>NC_000002.12:137489618-147489618 GCF_000001405.40 Homo sapiens
TAAAATCACTGTTGAGTCACTCTGTAGATGATGTGACCCAGATTAATTATAATTTGAATGATTAAAAAGAGAAAATCCTGGATCAGGACCCAGCATCATTCCTAATGTGCACACACACAAATACACATTCTAAATATATCCTCAATATGGAATGTTTTTATATTTTGTTAGCCTGAAATCACCATATTTTAAACCACTGATAGTTTAAAGAAAAAAACCTCTCCCTCCTTTACTGTCTTTTTCCCACATCTCTGCATGAACATCACTGATTGTGAAATCTGTGGAACAATGTTCTGTTTTTTTTGTGTGTGTGTGGTGTCACGTAGAGAAAACACTTGAGCAACTCAAGAACAATAGATATTCATTAGAAAAATCCATCAGAGAAATCAATGGTATTTTGAGTTTCACTGAGGACAAATGCAAATACATTGAACATACCATATGATCAGAGTAATCACCAAGCTAGCAGGGATGATGATATAAACTGTATTAAAGTGAGTATAGCTAAGACATGGGCATTTCCTAACCATTAGTAATTGGCCACTAGAATTCATTCAGCATGCAAAGGATACCCATTAAGTCTCAAATAAGAGCAAGCGACTTTTGGTCATGCTTGATAAGACAGTGACTCTTCAGAACTTTCTTTTTGATGGTGTAGAATCCAAAGTGAAAATATTAATTATGTTTTTACATTGATGACACTTCCCTGTTTAAATACACAAAGACCATATCTAAAAAAATCGATTCCTAATAATGTTAGAAAGTGAGATAAGTTAAATATTTTCATAGGGTGCAGCTGGAGCTTTAAAAGTTACTTTTTTCTTTTTTTAATTAGACATTATTTTTAAGGCAGTTTTAGGTTCACAGCAAAGTTGAGCAGAAGGTACAGAGATTTCCCATATAGCCTCAGCCCCTGCACATACATCATGGTCTACCCAACTGTCAACATCCCCCATCAGAGTGCTACATTTTTTACAGCTGGTGAAACTACATTGACACAAATTATCAGGCAAAATCTATAGTTTACATTAGGGTTCACTCTTGGTGTTATTTATTTTTGTCACTCAGAAATGCCAGCTGAAGCATTGTTGTAGGAAAAGTGATAACTTTGCTAATCCTGTATATGAAAGTTTATCCTACTAGGGTCTGAGGGTCCCAGGGATAATGGACATAGTCTAGAAAGTCCATAAGTTGTCCAAAAAAATCTTTGCATGTATGCATTAATGAATATATTTTAATTACGAAGACAATTGTTAGAAAAATAATAAATTCAAGCATGTTGTGGATTATCCAAATAACCAGATTTTATCCAAACATGGTTTTTCGAAACCTTCGTTTACATTTGTGTGTTTGGTCACATTAGTAACAATCACTTGAAAGGTTTATTTTAAAATCTGAATCTGAGTTCCATAGACTAATGAAGGTTTATAGAGTTATTTATGTGACCCCGTATTTTTAGATTAGAGACACATTGACCCAAGGGTGAGTAATTTCCATGTGTCTAATGACACTGTGCAATGAAACTATAACCTCTTAACCAAACAAAGATTGGCTTTTTCAGTTAACTCTTGAAGGAAACACGTCTCCCTAACATACACACAGCTGTGTGTATACAAAAGAAATCGTTCCTTTTTTCCCCTTAGCTAGATTTGAAATGAGGGAAATGTGAAGAGGGATAAAAAGGAAATACATTCACCTTTGTGAATTGATCATGGAAAAGACTATCAGGAATTATAGGTGTGGCCAACGTTTTTGATGGTACTATTACTATGTTTTTGATAGAACTATTACTATTTCTGAATTTGCCCATTAATCTGGGTTTACATAACACAAACTAGAAAACATATATTAAATCAAGTCATGTGCTTAATTGTATTTATATGATACCAAGCCACATAGTTAACTTTTACTCCCTTCATCTCAATATTTTTAGCTAAATGGACTAGTATTCCGTCATCATGTGGAGAGAGGTTTAGATTGGGGTTGGCCCAAAGGCTGAGCTGTTGACAAATGTCTTCATACCAGGATGCTAGAAGCCAGTTTACTGTGTTGGCCACAACTCTGAGCCAAGACCTGTTTCATGCTACACATGTTGAAATCATTCCAGTTCCTTTTAAAAAGATTTATGTCTTCCCCACTATTAGTGTCAATTGAAAGAAAGTTAAGCCATTTAAGAGGACAAATTGGGAAAAAAAATTCTGGAAAGAGATGAATTAAATTGTTCCTAGTTTAGTGTATAGCTCCATCAGTTTCTAGATTGTTTCTAGTATTCGATATGTCATGATTTTCTGATTTTATTAAACCATCAGTGATGTGTTGGTCTTTGAAAAATGTAGAGCAATTCTTTTTCTTATTTTTTTTTTCTTGAAGAGTACTACTACTAATCTGGTTTTGGTTTGAGCTAATCTTTGCATCTCAATAAGGAATACAAGAGCAATCTCTTGATTAGCTCTATTTTCAACTAAATTCATTCTTTACGGTTTTACATTTAACCCTGAACTCCTTTTCTGCTTCTTTAGGTTACAGTACTTCAAAGCAAGGGAAATGAAACTCCATTTGCCTACTTTCTGAACAAGTTCCAAACCCACTTAGGGAAAGCTTGCTTACTACCATTTTATAACTACAAAATGACAAATTTAAGTTTTGAGACTCCTTTTTCTTTCCATCTTATACCTATTTTCCAGATTCAACATCCCTACCCACTCATTATCAATTATATACATGTGCCTGCTAGGAGTCTCTTACCATGCCTCTCCTATTTAGGCTTATTAATCTCCACACCTCTACTTTTGTGTCAACTATACCAACTCTAGAGAAGAAATCATCTCAATTGAAACAAGTTGTACTGTGGTATAAGTAGGTAATAACTGGTAGATGTAGTATTCTCATCTGCCCTCAATACTTTTCCTTGCCAAAGAAACATCTGTAATTCAAGGTTAGTAAAGAGGAGGTAGATAGGTTTAATGAAAAGAGCTTGAGCTTTAGAATCAAGAAGACTTGTGTAGACATTCTGGGCCCCATTTATTCCTCCTCTATAAAAAGGTATAAAACAATGGTTACTTTTTAGGAATTCTGCCACAATTGAATTAGATGATTTATCTAAAGCACCACACATAGTATTTGGCATAAATTAGCACGTTAATAAATAACACAAGAACTTAGCACTTAAAACATGATACAATTTCAAGTATTATTAGCAATAAACTAAGAAAAGTATCTTTGGGCTGGGCGTGGTGGCTCACACTATAATCCCAGCACTTTGGGAGGCCGACATGGGTATTACCTGAGGTCAGAGATTCAAGATCAGCCTGGCCAACATGGTGAAACCCCGTCTCTACTAAAAATATAAAAAATTAGCCGGGCGTGGTGGTGGGTGCCTATAATCCCAGCTACTTGGGAGGCTGAGGAGGGAGAATTGCTTGAACCTGGGAGGAGGAGGTTGCAATGAGCCGAAATTGCACCATTGCACTCCAGCCTGGGCAACAGAGTGACACTCTCTCTCTCAAAAAAAAAAAAAAAAAAAAAAAAAACAGGAAAAGAAAAAGGAAAGAAAAGTATTTTTGAACAACAGTTCTTTGTTGTTGTTTTAGTATGTTCTCCATAGTATTCCTTGAATCTTTTCCAGAAAGAGATTTACAGGAAGTTAGATACTGCATTTACTGAAGACGTTTCTTTATAGTTTTAACAATTGCTTTCTCTAACCCTTTGTAGAGTGGGTTTTATTATTTTGGCCACAAAGAGGCAGGTTAAATGTCAGTAAGAGATTAACTTTATTATATGTAATCCAAGAACATTCTGAGGCTAATGACCTGCAATGCAGCTGTCTTCTGTTGTCCTAAGAGCCAAGTCCTGCTACTCCCTGCCTGCACTTCTTACTTTACACACTCGTACGGTGACACAAGAGAGGGCACTCATGGCGCACAACTTCCACCACAAGGAAAGTCTATTATCATCTTCAAGTAAAAGAATGCCTGGTGGTAAAGGTTAGCTCGTGAGTCCAATTTTACCTTTGGTTTATGCACTGGAGAGAAACAAAGCCACTGCAGATATAAGCCAAGTTGCTGACAACCTTTAAGTCTGCAGTCTTCTAAAATGCAGATGAGAGAAAAGCAACATAATGTAAATGTGTTATCCCCTGCTCCTATTTTCTTTATTTAATTTTTTATTCTTTCATTTTCATCAGATGTATTTTAAGAAGAGTGATGCCAATCCAAGGGGAAACGTACCTAGCCCTGGATATGATACCCTTTGTGTCGTTTGGAAAGTGATGCTGTTAATACCTCAGTTGAAATCTTCACATCTCATAGTACATTACCTATTTTTATATGAAATCAGCTGCTTCATAATTAAATTTGATGCATGACATTTTTGAATGTAAAATTTTACTAGTAAATAAATTGAACAATAGCATATCATTTTCCCAGGAAATCAATCTTCCTGCCTCTTGATTAACCAAAATGCATGAAAGGAGAGCATTCATTATTAAATTTTAAAGCTGTGGTTAACAGAAAGTTACTAATTTAATCTTTCCTGTGGAAAATAGCTTACAATTTATTAGTCTGCCTCACAGCCTTATTAATAGAGCATAGTATGCTGAATGAAATAAATGGACTCTTCTCTGATGATCAGACCCCCTCTATTTCCTTAACATCTTCATTTTTATAAATGAGAGTACAGTAGATCAAGATTCATAAGATTCAGGAGAGCAGACTATATCAACTAAAAAAAATTCCTTGGAATTTACTCCTTTAAAAAATAAATTAGCATTTATTGCCAGATTTTTTTCTAATGTATTTCTTTCTGAGAGTCAAGGACAGAAAAAAAGAAATAAAGATGATAGTTAGCTGAGATCCTGTACCCTAGTCAGAAATGAGCCTGTGATCATGTGACACATGGATATTTCTGTGTTCCATTTTCCTGTGCTTTGTAAGGATCTATTCCAGCAAGCAGAACCAACATGGCAATCTCATATTTCTTAGGAAGCATTTATTAAACTCACCAGACCATCTCTGCCTACCACACTCTTACTCTTATTGAATGTTTTTATTACCTTACATCTACTTTTAACTTCTTCATTTTCCTGCTACCATTTTTTATATCAAGAGAAAGTTTAACTTCCCTGACTTTGTAACCATGGCCCTTTGTGATCTGGTGCTATGCCTCTATGGACACCCCTCTCCCAGTCATCTAGAATTACATGCAAACATCTTTTCTTTCCCACAAACAGTATACTTTCATTCTCATTCTGCCAACTCAATCCATGTATCCATTCTCTACCTCTGTAACTCCTACACATGCTTTAATACCCATATTTTGTATCACCTTCTCTAAGAATGCTGCCTTGATTACCATCTCTACCCCACACCACACAGAGTGCTACTTTCCATTTTCCTGGCATGCTGGGATTCCTTCTCTCACTCATTACTTACCACAGTCTAATTGTTTGTTGTTTGTCTGTTTCTCTCTATGGTAGGTAGAATCCTTTGCACAGTGCTAAGTATTGTGTATTCAAAATGTTATTTCAGCCAATTTGGATTATTTTTTTTCTATTTAGTGGTTCCTGATGAAAATGCATAATAACTTTAATAAATATACTATTTAAAATTAAATAATACCCAGGAAAAACTGGCAGGTTTAATATTTCCTATAGCCTGACAATAAGGCAATAGGCCCTTTGCCTTTTCTTCTTTCTGTTCCTTAAAAGCAGCTATCTTCTGATCTCTAGCTGTTATAGCCACTTTACCCACCTGAACCCTTTTCGCTTGTTGGTATTGGCAGAAAATTAGATCTTAACTCCCTCAATCTATCACCCATAGTAATTCCAAAATCCAGGGAGGTCTACCCTGGGGTTTACACCCTCAGTCTTACGGAAGTGTTCTTCTCAATGCAAATAGCCACTTCCAAGGGTAAAATTTCATCGCCCCAAGGATTATCTTGGGAGGGACTCTAGAGTGAGTAAGTTAGTAATTTAAAAGACCCAACACTCATCTCTCATTAACCATCCAAATGATTGGTGCAAGAGCCTGCTGACAGGTCCCAAGTATCCAACTGCCTCTCAGCCTCTCCAAATTCCCCCTTATCCCATACATTTCTGAGCAGTGAGTGGTTACACAACAAAAAGGGACTGTTCCCATGATTATTTTCAAAACAAGGTAGTTCTGCTCCAATAGAGCTTTGATATTTGTAGTGGGACAAAATATATGCCTCTTAACTTTTCAATGACATATTCTGCCAAAACTAGCAATCAAAACTCCAGTTCTACCCCCCTGGCAAGCCCGCTAAATTTATTGGCCAATTTTATTTTCTACAAATAATACAGAATTTTTATTTTTCATATTAAAAAATAAAAGTCAAAAATTTTATTTCTAGTGAATCACATCTCAATTTAGACTCAATTATTGGGGTATCTGTTTTACTGAGTTTTTAAAATAGCATGGGCTCCAAATCAGAGTCACAAAAATTTAAGAGAGAAAATTTTGAAATTGGTGAGTGTAGTTTGAGCCATCCTTTGAAATTCTGCAAGTAGAGATATATCAAAGAAAGTTACATTTTTAAAGCTACCAAAGACTTACAAGCTCAGTTAATGAGCCCTCTCATTTTGCAAGCGATGAGTAGATTCCAGGTCCAATGCTCTTAGCTGACTTTCCTAAGGTCTCCTACGGCCAAAGACTGATAGACTTGGACTACAGCTGGCCTTCTGATGACCAGATTAATGTACTTTTCCCTCCAGGCAATCCAGCACTTTGTACATTTTAAAGATAAACTTAAAATCTAGGCATGTTAATATGCGCTCTTACCCCAAATTTTGTCCCCTCCCAATAATGGGCCTATTTTCTACCTCTTTGAGTCCTTTTTGTTTTGTGTGCATTTTTTTAGACTCTCAAATGTATAGCCAGCTTTTATTATGTGCAGATTTCTCTCATACAGCAAGCTCTTTTAAGTTATTACCAGTATAATTACCATTGCATCAATAATTTCTCTCCTTCAACTGCACGTTTAAAAACCACGGGCAATATTTGCTCTCTTTTGGCAGCATAAATCTCTGATCCATTTATTTATAAGATAAACTCTTGTAATTGGAAGGATTCTAAAGTGATCATTATGTTGTAAATACCTCATGAGTAGAGGCAGTTTACAAAATGGATTTAATTTCTTTCTGTAGAGTTGTGACTTCTCATTAACTTTTTTCATAAAGATAATTTTTAATTCAGGCATAATTTTTTGAGTGCCTATCATGTGCCCGGTCTTAGAGATACGGAAATTCACATACACAGAGGTTACCCTTGAGGAGTTCCAATCATCTAGTTCGTGTAGTCTGCTAGGGTCAGCAAATTGCAGAAGTGGAAGGCAAATGTGATTCTTTGTATGTCCATTCTTTCTATTCTGCAGAGAATAGTCATAATTTTTATTTGGTCCTCTAAGGGATTGTAATTCAAAACAGGGTTAATAAATACTACTAATTCAGCCTAACCTTTTTCTAAATTGTAATATGCAGGCAAAGACTTCCAGAAAGATTGGTAGTTACTTTTTTAGGCTTCTTATGAATGAAATTCTACATAGACACACATACAACACATACACAACACACACACAGACACACACACACACACACACTAGATCTCACTTTAATCCTCTTTTTCTTGTTAAAGAAAATAACATTCTGTTGATTAACATTGATGGTAAGATAACTTTTAATATAATTAACTTTTCTTTCAACTACAGTCTGGTAAAATAATCGTAGACCTTAAAAACATTTCACATGACCCTAATTTTTTCAACTTGTTAGTAAACTATGTAGGTCTTCCCTGAAATCTATATTATCTATGATGATTTTAGCCAAAATCCTCCCTGCCTTGTTTTGAGACTAGACCCACTTCCAAATGTACCAATTGCATACAAGCTTTCCAAGATAGAATATAGCCAAATTAAGAATATATATGTATCAAACATATAATTATACATACATATCTGTATATATATATGTATGTGTGTGTGTGTGTTATGTGTGTGTGTGTGTATTTCCCCAATGAAGAATTTCCTCTCGCATATGGATAAAAATACTTCATTTCTTTGAAAACATCTCTGACAGCAGTATAACTTAATTTCAACTGGCAGACTGTTGACTAAAATTACCCTCATGAAATAAAAGCATTATTAAATGACAGAAAGGTTTCTTAACTCCTTCATTGGCTCACATTTTTAAAGTCCCACATATGTAACTTTAAGAGGGTAAACTAATATTGGTTTTCATGGAGTGCTTGTTTCTTTTAAGGCTCAAAAACCCCAAGGAAATATTTTTCTATTAAAATGAAGCGAAGTGTAACCTTCCTGCCGAGAACTTATATTTGATGATCATTTACTTTCCTCACAATGCTGGACACTAAACACTATACAAGGACTTGTGGCACCTCAGCACGCTGGCTCTACCACCATTGCATATTAAATAATCCAAGGCATATGGAACTTTCCCTTATATAAAATGGTACTACAACAGCTAATAAATTTGGTGATTTCTAGTGATCTGTTAAATATGTTCAGATAAGTGTGAAATTAAATTAATCTATGGATTGTTGTATCTTCTATTTCTCTTCATTAAGGATGTATTTATTGAGCTCCCCATCATGTGCCAAGATACCGTGTTAGGCACAAGAAATAAAAGATGAATTAAGACTGTTTAGGTCAGTATATCACATCTCTGTAGGAGGGACAGTAAAGTCTTTTTTTTTTTTTTCATGTGGAAAGTATATTATCATGATTTAGACAATTGAATTGATTTCATAATCAAGTAGTTCTGAAACTTGGCTGTGCGTCTTACTTCGTAATTCCCTATCCTTAAATGAAAGCATCTGACCCAGTGATTTTATATGTCTTCTTAAATCAAATGATCTAGAACAGCTTCATCCACCAATCCTAACCTAAGCTTCAGAGTCTACTGGCCAGGGAACCATCTTTGGATCTATTGGATGGGGGTATTTTTTTTTTATTGTTGAAGAGAGAATGGAATCTGGGGGTAGGGGAGCTCTTAATTGTTGGTTGGTTGTGTTGTAGTCACCCATGGCAATCCTTCATCCAGTAAGAAACAAAAGAGAAAGGGAGAAGGGGTAGGAATTGGCCCTTTGGACTAATTATAAGAGGGGAGAGAGGTGTTATATTGTGACAACATTATCTTCATGGTAGCCCTTCCAAAACCCTGAGAGAGCAGAGGCCTAAGTGAGAGTGAGCTGCCTCATGCTGAAGAAGGGAATACCTCCCCACTTTTTTCAGGAATCTCATGGAGACCTTTGGAAGATCAGAGGCAGGTTGCTCCCTTGCCATGGATATGGGCATTGTCACCAGGACTACTAGCAGGGGCAATACTGAGTCTCCCTCAGGAAGTGGGCAAGGAGGTACAGGATCTCCCTTACGTAATGGTGATGGAGAGCCTGAGTCACAGGCATCTTTGGGCCCCTGTTCAGAACCACCGGAAAACTCAGGGTAGGCTGTGTGCCTCTTGCAGGAGAAGGGTAAGTGTGGTAGTCGCCTGTAAGTAGATGAGGCAAGATCAGAAAAATCTCAATTATTGGTGAAATGTGACCAATTATATTTAGTGAAGTACAGAGGACATTTGCTTCTTCCATCTATTCTATTACAGTGTACAGTTCCTCTTTTAGTCTCAATGGTTCATTGTAAATCTAAAATAGTATACAGATTGCAGGGACTTGTCTAACCTGCAGAATTTTGTGAAACTTTAAATATATCTTGGTACTTACAGAAAAAAAAATGTGTATGGATATTTTCAGCCTGGCTGAAGCCCTAATACCATCATATCAATGCTTGCATAAGCAAAGTAACAAAATAATTTTCCCATTGCAACATTTCGTTATGTTCCCATTCCTCAAATTTTGCACCTACTCCCAGTTTTGCTTTGGGTGATCCATCTCATCTTCTACTTTTGATCTCTTGACATCTATGGCAAAGAGTACTAGCCTTTCAACACTGAAAGGTTTTCATAAGATTCATCTGAATCTTTATCTCTAAAAAGCATCGAATTGCTTAAGTTCTCACCAATGGATATGAGACATGACAATACTGAAGCTCCTTCAATTGGCTTCGTGAACAGAGCTATCAACAATGGGGAACATGAGCTGGAGCAGAAGAGGGCAGACTGAGACATACCATATGGTGGCTGTAGCTGAAAGCCAAATGCATGAGTGCACACACATACACACCAGAGGACTATCAGGAATTCTTGGAGGAGAAACACATCTCATGAGGGCAGGCAATACAGTCTAATCTGGAATCAATGAGGAGCATATTGAAACTATATAAATCCTGGAGGAAAAGATAAAGATAAAATATTCTACATTAAAAGGAATGCAGATTAGAAGAAATATACGATGATAAAGGACTATAGCAGTATGTAATCCTTGACAATACAGGAAAAAATGACAAAACCATATGTTTCAAGACACCCCACTGTTTATACATGGAGTTCAGACAACAACCCCCCAATTCCAATCAAAGGCTCCTCTTTCCTTGAAAAACCATCACTATTTAAATCCTGACCTAATTAAAATACCCACTTTGATATATCAGAATAAAGAACTGAATATTGAGTAATGAAACCTATCTGAGTGCATAAGATTAAATGATATTGTAACAACTCAAGCTAAGTATAGAAGTTGAATCTAAGGTTCAATCTACCACAGGAAAAACAAATTAAAGCAATTATTTGAATAATTCAGAAACATGTTTTTTTGACTCAGTAGCAAAGATCTAGACATTTTAGACATGCGTAGTCAGGCTAACGGCCCTGCTGTCATTGCAGTTTAACATGTGCTGCAGTTTGTTCTAAAATTTAGCCTTTCCAGTGCCTAGAGGGTTGACACACCAACAAAGAAAATGAGGCAAATTAGGAAGGTCTAAATTATAAGTCAGGCACACTTATGTTTACTTTCCAGCCGTATCACTTACCACCAGTGCAACCCTGACAGTCATTTAACGCTCTGTGAAGCTATCTTTTAAATCGTAAAATGAACATACTAATATGTATGTCAAGTGTTTCTGTGAGAATCAAATGAAATGATATGTGTGTAGCTCCTAATATGGAATCTGACATCCAGTAAGCACTCATTGCTATATTTCATTTTGTTTATGCACATGTTAGTAAAACATGTCGGGGGCATTTCTATGCACATGAAGAGCACATATTATGTATCCACTCAGGTCAGTCAATGCCTCCTTACAGCCTTGCCCAGAGCTTAGAGCTTGGTAATTGCACCAGAAAGGATTGTTGCAAATGTGAATTGTGACTTTATACTTAGTACCTTTTATGTTTCATGGTTTTTTTTTATATTAGAAAGGTTTAAATCAGGAACAAAGATTTATAGTTTTGTTAGATTTGTAAGATTAAGCATCTCAGTACTTCACACAAGGGTAAAAGCAAGTGCATGGCAGGGGCAGTTAACATTTAGGATCACCCTGAATTGTGACTTTTACTTTAACAGGGTGATTCTGTCAGGGGGTATATTGCTTCACCTAGCATCCTTTCATGAAATCATAAAACTAAACATTCACTGCATCTGCCCCTTTTGGAATAAGATGCTATTGACATATGCAAATGTATTTTATTAATCAACATTGAAGATTATTCACATAGTGAAAAGAAGAGGATTCCACAATCTAGCAAAATTACCTCTTTTAATAGAATATGGTATATTTCTTTTTATGAAGTATCTGAATACAAGCCCAATAGTATGGAATGTTGAATGAATTAATCCGTAATATTAGAGCCATTTCAATATTACATTGAGGGGTTCTGCATCCACTTTTTGAAAAAAAAAATTTGGTAAAGGTATTTTATTAAGAGATCAAAATATATAATCTCAAAATTTTTGATTAGGTTTTATACTATGACATATTATGAAAATGAATTCATTCTTCCATTTATTTTGCTATTATTCATCTTAGATGATACCTCTATAGGTTTCTTCAGCAATAGGAACCTTACCTTAAAGTAGAATGAAAGTTAGAATCACAACTCCCTCCCCGAAAAGAATCAGTGATGCATTACCAATATGATTGTACTTATAAAAACCACTTGAGTAATTTGCATTTAATTCAAGATTTCCTCAAGAAAATTGCCTATGATTTACTAATCTAACTCTGGGTTAGCAAGGAAATTAGCATCTCTGAAGCCACAGAATAGCAGAGATAAGTTAAATTTAGTGGTTAATTGTGAGGGTAGTTAACAGAAATCTAAGCAGGGCTTTCCCCAGTGAACGATGTTGAGCTTCCCCTGAATGCAACTGGAAGTGCTTTATCCGCTGTGATCTGGCTAATGAATTAAGTAATTTAAACAGGAAAGGATTAAATGGGTACTGATGATCAATGCGCAAGCTAAAGTGTTGATTTGTCTGCTTTCAGTGTTTATCCTAAACCTAAATACAAGAAACTCGTAAGCCAATAAATGATGTGTAGTGAAATGTTTTAGTATAACCTGAAAATATATTAGATAATAAATGATGATGAAGTCAGGTTCTGTGCATTGAGGATAACATCCCTGGATTGATTATTCTCCCACAATAAATATTCTTTCATTATAATAGTTTTGAACTTCAATGGTTATCTTAGTAAATTAGATACTAAGTCAGGTTAGTAGTTAACTATGCAACATAAATCCTTACTGACAGATAGATAAATAGATAGATAAACACACACGTATATATGTATGTGTGTATATATGTATGTTTGTACACATATAAAGAGAAAGAGAGAGAGACAGATACAGAGATAGGAACAGATGGATAGAAAAAGAGAGAAAAACAACGAGAGGGAAAGGTCAGAGACAAATCTTACATTTGAAATGGAGTACATTGATTCCATTAATAAAATCTCAAGGGTGAAATGAATACAACCTAGCTTCTTGCTAACCTTGACTTGGTCCTAAGTAAATGCTTCAGAATCAAGCTATCTTTACTGTGAATTAAGACAAAAATGCACTGAAATCAACTAACTTTGGGAAGCTGGAATTCTCATCATAACTACAATCAATAACTTAGACAAATATAAATAAACTTGGATATTTAATCCTTGAGATAGTCCCCACTTTGATTAATCCAGTGCTAAATATATTTTGTCATCAAATTACTCTTACTTTGAAAACTACTTCTGTTTAATCTCAGCCCCGCACAACAATATCTCTGATTCCATGGTTTATAGTTTATAATGTTTATTTTCAGGTTGATGAATTTATAATATTCTTAGAGGCCTACAGAAAATCATGAAAAATGTGTATATCCATGTATGGAATATAATATAAATGGAAAAAGTCCATTCACTCTGTAATTTTTAGAAGATGCTAGTCATTACTGCATATTACATATATTACATAATAACAGGCTGTCAACAGTCATAAGTCTTTCCAAAGAAACAGCAGGGAAAGATACATATTTTTAAACAAAATATGCATTCTATCATTGTTATGTACAGAGTATCATGCATCCAAATGGACTATATATTATAATCTGTAAGCAAGCATACCATTGTTATAACTCTGGGACATATTTTTTTTTCTTCTTAAAATGAACTTTGTTGAAGTTTACTTTGTATATAGTAAAATCCTAAGTATACAATAGAGTTCAGTGAGTTGTATACACTTGTGTAAGTAGCAGCCCAGTCATAACACAGAATATTTCTCCTACCCTAATCAGTATAAAAAACATTCCTCACAAAAAAGTCTCCTTTTCTAGTTGCCGCCACTGTTGCCCTAGACCCTGGTCTTGGTTCAAAATCACAGCTATTCCCCATTTTAAGCTTGTCCTACACCCTGTATGAATAAACATGTTACGTACTGAGGGACAGAGACATGAGAAAGAATTTTGAAAATTCTACATGGCTGTACATGTAGCTATTATGTAATGTTATATTTTTGCCTTTTTCATGAGAAGAATATCAAGTGATGCAGCTGAAGAGTCATAAAAACAGCACAGGCATTGGTGCAAAACAGATCTGCTTTTACATTCCAGATTACCTACTTTCTTGATGCATAGTGTTCAGTTCAAGGTACATAATATTTGTGAACCCTAGTTCCCTCCTCTGTTAAGCGGAAACAACACCCACTTATAGAGTATAGAAAAGAGAAAGTGAGCCGGGCGCGGTAGCTCACGCCTGTAATCCCACCACTTTGGGAGGCTGAGGCAGGTGAATCACAAGGTCAAGAGATCAAGACTATCCTGGCCAACATGGTGAAACCCCGTCTCTACTAAAAATACACAAATTAGCTGGGCGTGGTGGAATGCGCCTATAGTCCCAGCTACCTGGGGGAGGCTGAGGCAGGAGAATCGCTTGAACCTGGGAGACAGAGGTTGCAGTGAGCCAAGATCATGCCAGTGCACTCCAGCCTGGCGACAGAGTGAGACTCCATCTCAAAAAAAAAAAGAAAAAAAAAAAAGAAAGAGAAAAAGGAAAAGAGAGAGAAAGTGAGCTTCGGTGCAGTGATTGTCATCTTTATGTTCCTGAACATAGCTTTCCCTCTAATTACCCTTTAAAGGCCACTTCTGGTTCATCTCAGTTCTTTACAATACCTCTGACTCCATGGGTGATGGTTTACAATATGTATTTTTAGGATGTGGAATTGAATTTATAACATTTATAGGTTATTGAAGAAATTAATGAAAAGTATGTATATAGTTTATGTATAGAATAAAAGGTAATTGCAAAAGAAATCCTTCCTCTGTGTATTTTTGAGAAGATGATAGTCATTATTGCATCTGTCTAATCTAAGACCTACTCATTCTCCCTCAACTCATGCCATGCTGCTGAAAATGTTGGTGTTGGATTATTCTGCTCCCATCTAATCCATGTAGTTGACTGTTTTTCTTTATGAGGATGTCCAAAATAGCAGCAAGTCTAACTATGTGCTTTCAACAAGGAAAGGTATTATCATCTTTACCTAAAATGATTATTGACATAATACAAATATGATTGAACCACACAAAAATTAGATCCCCACTGAAGATTTGGTAGACTGTTCATTATTTGTCTTTTCTGTGGAGTCATCTTGGGTCCAACATCTACCTGAATTTAATGTTGGATTATACCTTCAGGAAAGAATATGCGAGAGTGCTGCTTTGCTGATGAGGCGATATCCATATCTATTGGGTCAGTTTTATAGTTTCTGCAGATCAGGAAAGCTGCCAAGTAAAATAGTATAGAGATGTGTGTTAATCCAGGCTGTCCAATAGGCAGACTCCAAAACAAGATTAAAGGCAATGTATTAGAGAAAACGACTGTGAGAGAAAATACAGTGGTGCTGGGAGAGCCAGTTTGCCATGATGCAGGTCTGACCTGGACTGAAGGAGACAAGGAAGGGAGGAAGGGAGGAATGGAGGAAAGCAGGAAGGGAGAAAGGGAGGAAGGGAGGGAGAGAGGTAGGGAGAAAAGGAGGGAGGGAGGGAGGAGCAAATATTTTAGAATGCAGTCCTAAGAGGAATTCAGGAAGGCCATTGGAGGATCGTTGAGCCTGTCCCAATTTGCCTGTCCCACATTTCCCAAGAAGGGGCCTGCTTTGTATCTCTGCTGCAGTCATCACAGGCTGGGAGCAACCCACAAGAAGCATGGACCAAGTGGTCATTTTCAGACTTTAATAAGAGAAGATGATATGCTTTAATATGCATAGAAATCACTCAGGGTTTTTGTTCAAATGCACATTCTGATTCAGTGGCTCTGGGGAGGGACATGAGCTTCTGTGGCTCCAAGTTCCAGGAGCTGCTTATGGCACTGGCCCCTGGACCACAGGTTGGGTCACAATGGTAGGAACACTTAGCTATTGGTCAGTCCATCCACATTTGTGGATTCATTGCTGTTCCATTCACTGGCAACCTGGGAAGCCCAGTTCCGCAGAGCTTTTGTACCAGCCCAACTCATAGGCCACTGTCTAGTCTATAGATGACTGCTCTGTGCCACGTGATCATGCCTGGACCAACATTCTGCGAACGGAGTCCTGGGATAAAGTTGTACAGAGTGGCAACTTTGCATAATAGTCAGTGTTTTAAAATAAAGTAGATTAATGGAAAACTAGAGGTATATATAGCAAGGCCAACAGATGAGAAGGTGACTGCCATTGAAAAGACAGTTGGTATACTCACAGTTCCCAAGAGGAGGGGCACTCCATGTAGTGGGGCCCACATTGGATAGCACCAGGGCTGTCAGGAAGCAGAGGGAGTGCAGGGACTGTGATAAGAGCTTCTATCATGGTTTTCCAGGGAAGAAATGGATAAGGCAGGGTAAGCAGGCTTAAGATTGGCTAGTTATAATAACTGGCATAGTGGCCAGCTTTAATTATCTGGTACCTGGCTTAGGGGTGATTAGGACAGAAGGATAGTGATCCTGTGTGTAGGAGCTTGTAAAGGAGGTAGTTGAGGTGTGGACTCTGGATTGGTCTGTTTGTGTTTGAAAAGCACATCCCTGGGGAAGGGGACTCCTCCTGAGGAGGAGGGCGGCTGAGTGGGAGACAGGAGGCCAAGGCAAGGTGACCCAGGCCTATCATTAGGTTGTTCAAAGCAAAGCATACCCTTCATAACCACTCAAGGCAGAAGTTACAGCTTCACATTACAGAAGCTAGAATGAGGCTAACACAGTCATTGGCTTTGTTTCAGAACTGAGTCGTGGCCACAAAAAGCCCTCAGATGCCTCTTCTTCAAAAACTTCACCATTTACACACAAGGGGGATTTTCTTTAGATGTTGGATATGTCCTTGGGTAAACCATTTTCTGGTCAGATTAGGCATCTTCTTTCCTTCTTTTGGATTCTTTAACGTTCCTGAATAAAAACTGATTCTAATTCTTGATTCTATGCTAATGGAAACCAATTAAAACAAGTCCTGTATTTCTCCAAGTAGACTGAACCTACCTGCCTGTGATTCTCTGTGATTCTGACTCTCAAACGCTGCTTTGTGGAAAGCACAGGGAGATGTGGAGACACATAGATAACTACTCAGGAGGGAGGTTTGAAAAAGCCCACAGACAGACTTCTCCATTAGCATTTACCACACAAAATGCTTCAGAGAGTGGACATTCTTCTCTTCAGCACTCACTCTTTTACAGGGCTCTTTCAGGTTTTAGGATGACCTCCTGATGAAAACCTGATTCAGTGCTAATGGACTGTAAGCTCTCGTAGCCTGGGAATGTTGTGGAAGCTACTGCAAGATGACCCAGCCTCCGGGCTCAGTAGGCAGCTAATAGTAAAAATATCTGAATCAGAAAGGAGTCCTGCACAGTAAATTTCAAGAAAGGTGAATTAGCAACCTTAAACTCTGCAGACCCACTCATCTCCAGAGGTTTGAAAGAACTAACAATCACATAATTGGTGTTTTCTGAAGAAAGTTTTGTTTACTTCAGTTTAACAATACAAGCTCAGCTGGCAGACTCCAGGTGCCTCAAGATATTTGAGAGGGCAGCACAGTACATAATCGTATCCTTGAAAGGAAAATAGATAACCCCTCCAGGAACTGAGTATTCTCATTCATACAAAATCTGGCCTGTTTGTCAACCCTCGTCTTACAATGACAGCTAGCAATGGGAGAGAAATTACAAATGGCTCTCACTCCAGTGCCAGAAAGTAACCTTCCGGCTTCTCTTCAAACCACAGAAAATAGAGCCACCTTAATACAAAGTCAAAGAATTGCCAGCCTTGGGGAGGTCAAACTCCAGTCATGTATTATAGTTCAGGGATTTTTAGAACATAAATCATACCAGAAATTCCACTGTCTTTCTCCCTTGGCAACAAATTCCCATAACTTTGGGGTTCGGTGATTTGAAAATTCTGGAGTGAAGTTTGATGGAATAAGCTTAGTCAGATTCAGAGCTGTCCTGTGAGCAGCTAGCTTTGCCACTTAGGCAGGCAGGTGGTTTAAACTGCATGAAGTCATAAATCCCCGCTTCCTCCTTTGTGATTGTAATAAGGGCCTGAATTAGGTAATAAATGGGAATAAAGTTCCTGTAAAGTTATAATTACCCTTCAAATAGGAGATTAATTTCCAAACCTGAATTTTTCTTACTATGTTTAAATCCATTTTTTTCTGTTTCCTTTTTCTTCCTCTTTTTCTTTCTCCTTTTTTCTGTCTTCTTTCCTCTCTCTCTACTTCTTTCCCTCTCCCTCCCTTCCTTTCATTAATCTTTGCTTTTGTCCTTCCTTCCTTTCATTCTTCCTTTTCTGTTTTGATTTATGTGTGGCGAAATTGATTACTTTCGAAAGATGATTTGGGCTAAAATAATTACCCCAGTCAACAAATTGAGCCAGCATTGTAGAACCAGGCTTTCTGGGATCAAATTCTGTCTCCTCTAAGTGGCTGTGTAAACATGAGCAAGTTACTTAACATATTTGTATAATAGTTTCCTCATCTTAAAAAGTAAGAAAGATAATAGTATCTACTTCACATGGTTCTTGTAATAAAAAGTTAGTATTTGCAAAACAATTAAAATAGCGACTGGTTTACAGTAAGTGCTGTATTTGTTAAAGTACCTTAAAGTGTTACTTGAAAAATGACAAGATAAACTGAGTTTAGATTTCAGTTTTCTGAGGGAAATCCCTGTCCACTTGTATTTACTTTTTAAATTCTTTCTCTCTTTTTAAATTTCTGGTTTTGCTTTTTGTTGCTGTGTTTTATAAACAGGGCTCTGTTGCCCAGGCTGGAGTGCAGTGGCACACTCAGGCTCACTGCATTCTCAAACTCTTGGGCTCAAGTGATTCTCCTGCCAGGCTTCTGCTAAATAAAACAATTTTTTTTTTTTTTTTTTTTGAGACAGTCTCGCTGTGTCGCCCAGGCTGGAGTGCAGTGGCGGGATCTCTGCTCACTGCAAGCTCCGCCTCCCGGGTTCACGCCATTCTCCTGCCTCTGCCTCCCGAGTAGCTGGGACTACAGGCGCCTGCCACCATGCCCGGCTAATTTTTTTTTTTTTTTTTGTATTTTTTTAGTGGAGACGGGGTTTCACCATGTTAGCCAGGATGGTTTCAATCTCCTGACCTCGTGATCTGCCCGCCTCGGCCTTCCAAAGTGCTGGGATTACCGGCTAAATAAAACAATTTTAAACTAAATTAGTTAAGCTGGAGCTCATGTGTATAAATTGAGTCTCAGTACTCAATTTATGCCTGGGCAAGTGCTGCCCTGTCCCTTCTCAGGGAAACTTATGGGTTGGAGCACCCTCCTTTATAGAAAATACCCTGTGCCTAGAATCGTCCAGGGCCAGCAGTGTGGTCAGAGGAGAGACCTGAGCTGGACTTGGACCTGGAGCTAGATGGGAACCTGACCTGTTTTCTGCCTCAGGGCACTCTCCAACCTGCTGTTCTACCGTGCAGAGTTAAGCAGCGCTCCAAGAAGTTCCAAGGCTTACCACTATGAGGTCGTCCTGGGGCACCATGGGCAGGTTGACACTAATTCCTGAAGGCAACCTGGCCAGTGAATCATTCTCCCTGGCCAAAGCAGTATTTCTTTTTCAGAATCATATGAACGGTGCTGATACACTAATATTGCAGGACTCAAATTGTTTAAAGAGACAGGAGTCCACCAAATATATTTGTCCTGCACAACTTAATGATAGCCCTGTGTAGCCTAAGGTCACCTTCCTGTCTTTTTTTCTTTTCTTTTCTTTTTCCTTCCTTCCTTCCTTCTTTCCTTCCTTCCTTTCTTCCTTCCCTCCTTTCCTTCTTTCCTCTCTCTTTCTTTTCTCTTTCTTTCTTTCTTTTTCTCTTTCTTTCTCCTTCCTTCCTCCCTTCCTTTCTTCCTTTATTTATTTTGTATACCTTTATTTATTCACATTAAAATTTGGCCATTTTAAGTATACAGCAAGATATCTGTTTATTTATCTTAAACATTTTTTTCTCTCTTCTTTGGATTGGGTATTGATCTATATTGAATTTTATTTGTTTGGTCATTATCTGTATATTTTTAATTATTTGAACATATTTTCCTCTAATTCTTTGAACATATTTTCCTTAAATTTGAGAATATTTAGACTAGCTACTTGAAAGTCTTTGTCTGCTAAGTCCACTCCTAGTCAATTTCTACAGGCTGTTTTATTCCCATCTGTGCATTGGTAACTGAGTTTTGGCTACTACCAAAAGTTTTAGAACATTTCTATTATCCCCCAAATTTTCCCTGTGCCTCTTTGCAATCACTGCTGTGAAATAAAGGTGAAATAAAGACTGTGGTTAGAGGCTTAGATGTCTGTAATTGTTATAGGTTTATGATTGGTTATTCCCTTTTATCATTAAATATGAAATCTCTTTCTTTAATACATTTCATTTCTTGACGGCTATTTGATCTGGAATTGGTGTAGTCATTCTAGTTCTCTTTTATTTATTGTTCGTTTGGTTTTAACATTTTTTTCTCCCTTTATTTTCAACCTATTTATGTCTTTGCATTAGAATTATGTCTCTTGTTAATATTAAATAATTGGAGATTATTTTTTACATAGTCCAAAAATCTCTACTGCTGGATGTGTTTAGTGAATTCACATTTAATATAGTAATTGGTATGATTGGATTTAGATAAGGAATTTGATTACTTATTTTCTATTTCCGTCATTTATTTTTTATTCCTCTATTCTTTCTATCTTCGATGAATTTTAATAGCCATTTTACCCCCCTAGTTAAGTTTCAGCTATATTTATTTTTTAAAAGTGATTGCTATAGCGATTATAACATGCATCTTGAATTGATTATAATCTAATGGTAATTTACCCTGACTTCTGATAAAATGTGGGAATTTTGCACAAGTACGGGTCCATTTTCCCCCATTATTTTTGCATTGTCATGTATATTATATCTGTGCATTATAATATGCATTATAAACCCCCAAATATAGTATAACTTTGCTTCACACAATTCTAAATCTTAAAGAAGAAAGGAAATACATATGTGTGTGTATTTTATATATTTACACCATACTTACCATTTCTGATGCTCTTCATGTCTTCCAATGTAGATAAGTTAGCATTTGTGTTATTTTTCTTCCACCAAAGGACTTCTTTTAGTATGCTTTATAGTGCAATTCTCCTAGCAACAATTTTTTTTTAACTGTTAGCAATTTCAGTGTCTCCTTTGGCTTCCATTGTTTCTGAAGAGAATTCTGCCACTAATCATATAGTTTTCCTTTGTATATGATTTGTCATTTTTCTTTGGTTGCTTTTAAGATTTTCTCTTTATTTTTGGCTATTAGAAATTAGACCGTCATGTGTCCAGGTGCAGTCTCCTTTGTGTTTATACTATTCGGGGTTTGTTGAACTTCTTGATGCATTAGTTAATATTTTTCATGATTTGGAAGGGAGGTATACTAACTACTATGCCACATATACCTATACCTCAGTATTTGTCACCAATTTGGGAAGGTGTTGCCCATTTTAGTTAAAATATGGTTTTTCTCCTTTCTCTCTATCTTCTGTGACTCTAATTGTATGAGAGTTGGAATGCTTAATAGTGTGTCACAGATCTCTGTTTATTTATCTTAAACATTTTTTCCTCTCTCTTCTTTGGATTGGATATTGATCTGTTCTGAAGTTTATTTGTTTGATCTTTATCTGTATTTTTTATTATTTGAACATATTTAATTTTCTTTAATTCCTTGAATGTATTTTTCTTAAATTCGAGAATATTTGGAATACCTACTTGAAAGTCTCTGTCTGCTAAGTCCACACACTCCTAGTCAATTTCTACAGACTGTTTTATTCCCCTCTGTGCATGGATAACTTTTCTGTTTCTCTGCATGACTAGTAATTTTGTGAGAAACTAGACAATGGAGATGATATGATGCAGATGTTATGTTGCAGTTACTTTCATGTCAGTTTCAGGTCCCCCCTGCAACCAAAGGGTTGTTGTGTTTTTGTTTTAATAGGCAGTTAAGTTCCCTGGACGTAAGTGGAAAATCTGCTGCTCTGAAGGAGGCAGTCCTTGATATGTCCATTTAGTGTTTGATAGCCTGGTTCCCTTGTAGAGTTTCAGGGTCAGCCAATGACATACACAGAGGTTATGCTAACCTCTTACTTACTGGGTTAGGCTTACTGGCCCCATGCAGTAAGGCTTCCATCCTCTGCCACCCGAGCTGTTTGTTGGTTGGTAAATAGACTCAGAGACAACAAATCCTTAATTCCCCCTAGGCTTTCAGTCTTTACCTGGATCATTACTGTGCCTCACCTGCAGGGGAGTTTAGGAGTAAACTGAGGATGTATGGAGAGTTTATTATTTCAACCTTTTTACATTTCCCTAACTTCCAAAATTTTACACTTAAATTTCTTATTCCTTTGCCACCTGCCCTGAACTGAGTCTGCAAACACCAAATGTAAAGCTATTGGATTTTGCCACCCTATATGAAGCAGTAGGAATGTCCCAGCCAGTGGCCACAAAATCACTATTCTTACCTGATGAATTAGCAGGCTTCATGCACAAACAATGTTCAAATTGTTACCTGCCTTTTATCTTCTTTTGATGTCTGGAAATAATTATTTTGAATAATTTTGACCAATTTTAAACTTTTCTCCCATCCAAGTACTAACTAGGCCCAACCCTACTTAGCTTCCAAGATTAGATGAGATGGGTGTATTCAGGGTGATATGGCCATAGAGCAATTTTAAACTTGCTTTCTAAACAGTGTAATCACCCACATTTTCTATCAAGGCATTATTCAAAGTACAATTTTTTTCATTTTATTTTAAGGGATTTAAATCATTCATGGTATCAGAATATATGTAAGTTTTGTTTGTTTTTGAATGATTATTAGTTACATTTATTTCCTTTTTTTTTTTTTTTTTTTTTTTTTTTGAGACAAGGTCTTACTCTCTTGCCCAGCCTGGAGAGCAATGGCATAATCACAGCTCACTGCCGCCTTGACCTCCCAGGCTCAAGGGATCCTCCCACCTCAGCCTCCCGAGCAACTGTGACCACAGGCACGCACCACCACTCTCAGCTAATTTTTTGTATTATTTGTAGAGACAGGGTTTTGTCATGTTGCCCAGGACATATCTTGAACTCTTGAGCTCAAGTGATCTGTCTGCCTCAGCCTCCTGAAGTGCTGGGATTACAAGCGTAAGCCACCACGCTTGGCCTTATTCACTACTTTTAAAGGACCCTGAAAAGCCTATGAAAAAGATATCATGGATATAAAGATTAACTTATGTAGGTACAATTATAAATCCTTTACATGTAGTAATTCTTTTTATCCTCACAGCTAATACTTACCCCCATGAGGCAGTAATAATATTTTTCTCACTTTCCAGAAGAGTAAACTAAGCAGAAACAAGATGAATGACTTGCCCAAGGTCATCTACTCAGGATTTCAAGTTCAAGCAGAGTGGGATAATCACTTTGTATCATTAGAGAGGCAAACCTAAGATAATATCAAAAGTTATCAAGGACTGTCATTTACCTTCAAAGCAACACTACTGAAAACCTCCAAAGGGTGTACAATAAGGATCCCTGATATTTCCTAGTGTCTTCCTCAAACTTTATCGCATTAAATAACTCAGGTTCTCTAAGCCTTTGGGGCGTATTTGTCACTTTTTTAAACAATACTGTTTATTTCTCTAATTAATCCCCATATTTAACATAGTGAACCAGTGAAGAATAAAAAGCAGTAGGTTACATTGAGATTATGCACTAATTTGTTGAGACTGAGAATTTGGGGACAATAGGAAGTTTTACTGCGACACATATCTGAAAGGGCATAATAAAGTGAGTTGTTAAAAAATTAATTACATTGCTATAGGATTGATATTTTAATTGCAAGTAGAGGATTTGGAGAGAGTAGAATTCAGTATCATATGCAAATAAATCTAGGCTTGATCAATGAGGCATAAAAGGAAAGATAAAATCTTCTAATAATTTATGCTAGGAAAACTATTCTCCAAATACTGCAAAGTAGGCATACATATATTATATGCATTTTATAATTTGAAGTTTTTGATGATATACAGACACATAATAAATATAACAAAAATCTTCTAGTATATATTTGACCAAAAATAATTTAACTAAAATATGTAACCATTTCATTAAAAAAGTTATTATTATTTTTTTACTTTCTGTCTTATTTAGAGTATCTTAGAAAACAGATCCTGAGGTAGAGCTAGAGCTAGCACCGTGAGGATTATTCTGGAACCTGATTCTTATTCAGAAGTTGTCCAGACAACCAGGAGAGTTTGTGGATGAGGCAGCAGTGGAAGCTGGGAATCTCTATGAACAAAGCCTGAGTACGAGGAGACAGTGATATCCAGAGGGTCTGAGAGGAAATGTCAATTGTGCCAGACACACATACTTTGTGTCACTTCATTTATTTTTATAAGTTATAATTTTATATGCCTCAAAGTAGCAACACAGTTGCTTTCTATCTCTATGCCTCACTGCATTTCTCTTTTCTTGACCCTGTCTGTATTGATCTATTTCATTATCAACAGTATTTTCCCACTAGATATCAATTGAAAATTGATAAATTCCTTGAAATTGACCTTGCATCCTCTCTTACTGCCTATATATATGACAGTATATGTGATATGGTTGTGATGGTTAATACTGAGTGTCAACTTGATTGGATTGAAAGATGCAAACTACTGTTCCTGGGTGTATCTGTGAGGCTGTTGCCAAAGGAGATTAACATTTGAGTCAGTGGACTGGGAGAAGCAGACCCACCCTCAATCCGGGTGGGCACCATCTAATAAGCAGCCAGTGTGGCCAGAATAAAAGGCAGGCAGAAGAATGTGGAGAGATTAAACTGGCTTAGCCTCCCAGCCTCATCTTTCTCCTGTGCTGGATGCTTTCTGTCCTTGAACATTGGACTCCAAGTTCTTCAGCTTTGGGACTCGGACTGGCTTCCTTGCTCCTCAGCTTACAGATGGCCTATTGCGGGACCTTGTGATACTGTGAGTTAATACTCCTTAATAAACTCCCCTTTATATATATCTATCCTATTATTTCTGTCCCTCTAGAGAACTCTGACTAATATAGATTTTGGTACCAAGAGTGGTTCCAGAGGAACAGAATATTAAAGACAAAGTTCTTTTGTTGATTTTGGAGTTTCTGGAGTTGGCTGCTTAATATGATGAACCCAAAAATGTTAAGGACTCTACTTCTAATAGTATGGAGAACACTAATAGTCCTTGGTGTGAACTGTGTAGAGATTTATGCAAAATAAATGCATTTGACACTCCTGATTCACCACTCGTGAGAGTCAAGGTGTTTGGTGACTCTAAACATAATACCTTTGACTATATGTGGAGAACCAAGGAACATAATGAAGTTGGTTGGTTGCTCCTAAGTTCACTGGACAAAGTGATGAAAGAAAATGAAGAACACAGGGATTCTAACTCCCGGCTTCAGAAGCAAATACTGAACATCAAATCTGCTAAGATTGCCCTGAGTGAGAGTCTTATCTCCTGTAGAGAAAGCGCTGAAATTTTGGAACACCAGACACAACCTCTTATCATGCGAGTGGCTGACCTGCAATGAAAGGTGCATGCACAGCCTCACCAGGTGTCTACCGTTAAAGTGAGGACATTGACTGGAAAAGAATAGGACCCTGCGACTTGGAATGGGGATGTGTGGGAGGACCCTGATGAAGCTGGAGACTCTGAGTTTGTAAACTCTGGTTAACTTTTTTTGCCAGAAGAAACAGCTTCCCCATTCCCATTAGTGGCAACATCCCCTCCCGGTCCCATGCTGCCATCGCCTTTCCACCTTTGTCTGAAGTGATAAACCTTGCACTGCCTGAGGCAATAATGATGGCCTCCCCTGAGGCAGTTGCCAGACAAAACAATATTGATTCTCCTCAGGACCCTCCCCTAACACCCCTGTTTGCTTCTAGACCTATAACTAAACTAAAATCCCACCAGGCTCCTACAGGTGAGGTTCAGAGTGTGACCCACAAGGAGGTACATGCCACTTGAAAAGAACTACTTGAGTTTTCTAATTAATATAAGCAGAAATCTGGAGAACAGGAATGGGAATGGATATTAAGGGTGTGGAATGATGGTGGAAGGAACACAGAGTTGAATCAGGCTGAATTTATTTATTTGGGCCCACTAAGTAGGGATTCTGCATTTTATGTTGCAGCTCAGGGAGTTAAAAAAGTTTCTAATAATTTATTTCCTTGGTTAGCTGAAATATAGATTAAAGATGACTCACTGTGAGTGAGCTGGAAATGCCTAATCTCCCTTGGTTTAATGTAGAGGAAGGGATCCAAAGGCTGAAGGAGATTGAGATGGTAGAGTGGATTACTCACTCCAGACCTACTAATCGCAGCTGGGAGAGTCCAGAAGATATATCCTTGACCAATACTTATGAAATAGATTTGTGATGGCAGCACCTGCATCTTTGAGGAGGCCTGTAATTGCTCTTCTCTGCATGTCAGATCTAACAATGGGAACTGCAGTCACTCAACTACAACATTTAAATGCAATGGGAATAATTGGATCTCAAGTTGGCTAGGGCCAAGTGGCAGCACTCAACCAACAAAGGTAAGGTGGGTGTAGCTGCCATAATGGACAGCAGAGGCAAAGCAGCAGTTAGAATAGTCTGACTTGTGTAGAGCTCTGACATGGGCTAACTAATCACGGTGTTCCTAAAAGTGAAATTTGTAGGAAGTCTCCTGCATTCCTACTTAATTTATATAAGCAGAAAACTTGCAGGTCAAAAGACTAATTTGAATTCTAAAAACAGAGAATCACTGATCCTCAATCAATTTCCAGACTTGAACCAGTTTACATATCCAGAACTACTTGAATGAAGGAGAGACCAGGTCCCCTTGACGAAGGACCCCACTACATTACCAACAATTTACACTGTTAGTCTTTCTCTCATCCTTCCCCAAGGAGACCTCCAGCCTTTTACCAGGGTAACTGCACTGGGGAAAGGAAAATGATCAAGCATGTTGAGGACTACTGGACATTGGCTCTGAGCTGACCTTGATTTCAGGGGACCCAAAACGTCGTTGTGGTTCTCCAGTTAAAGTAGGGGCTTATGAAGGTCAGGTAATTTATGGAGTTTTAGCTCAGGTCTGACTTACAGTGGCTCCAGTGGGTCCACGGACTCATTCTGTGGTCATTTTCCCAGTGCCAGAATGCATAATTGCCATTGACATTTAGCAGCTGACAGAACCCCCACATTGGCTCCCTGACTAGTGGGGTGAGGGCAATGATGATGGGAAAGGCCAAATAAAAGCCATTAGAGCTGCCTCTACCTAGAAAAATAGTAAATAAAAACAATATTGTTTCTCCAAGGGATTGCGGAGATTAGTGCCACCATCAAGGACTTGAAAGATGCAGGGGTGGTGATTCCCACCACATCCCTGTTCAACTCTCCTATTTGAGCTGTGCAGAAGACAGATGGATCTTGGAGAATGACAGTGGATTATTGTAAGCTTAACCAAGTGGTGACTCCAATTGCAGCTGCTGTACCAATTGTGGTTTAATTGCTTGAGCAAATTAACACATCTCCTGGTACCCGTTATGCAGCCATTGACTTGGCAAATACGTTTTTCTCTATTCCTGTCCATAAGGCCAACCAGAAGCAATTTGCATTCTGCTGGCAAGGCCAGCAATATACCTTTACTGTCCTAGCTCAGGGGTATATCAACTCTCCAGCTTTGTGTCATGATCTTGTTTGAAGAGACCTTGATCACTTTGTGCTTCCACAAGATATCACACTGGTCCATTACATTAATGACACTATGCTGATTGGATCCAGTGAGCAAGAAGTAACAAACACACTGGACTTACTGGTAAATCATTTGCATGCCAGAGGATGGGAAATAAATCTGACTAAAATTCAGGGGCCTTCTACCTCAGTAAAATTTCTAGGGGTCTGGTGGTGTGAGGCCTGTTGAGATGTTCCTTCTAAGGTGAAGCATAAGTTACTGCATTTGGTCCCTCCTACAACTAAGAAAGAGGCATAATGTCTAGTGGGCCTATTTGAATTTTGGAGGCAACACATTCCTCATTTGAATGTGTTACTCCAGTCCATTTGTCGAGTGATCCAAAAGACTGCCAGTTTTGAGTGGGATCTAGAAGAGAAGAAGGCTCTGAAACAGGTCCAGCCTGCTGTGCAAGCTTCTCTGCCACTTGGGCCATATGACTCAGCATATCCAATGGTGCTGGAGGTATCAGTGGCAGATAGGGATGCTGTTTGGAGCCCTGGCAGGCCCCCATTGGTGAATCACAGTGGAGGCCTCTAGGATATTGGAGCAAGGCCCTGCCATCTTCTGCAGATAACTGCTCTCCTTTTGAAAGGCAGCTCTTGGCCTGTTACTGGGCTTTGGTGGAAACTGAATGTTTGACTGTGGGTCATCAAGTCACCATGCAACCTGAACTGCCTATCATGAACTGGGCGCTTTCTGACCCATCTAGCCATAAAGTGGGTCATGCACAGCAGCATTAAATCATCAAATGGAAGTGGTTGGGCTTCCATCAAATGGAAGTGGTTGGGCTCCCAATCACATATATATGTGATTGGGCTCAAGCAGTCCCGAAGGCACAAGTAAGTTACATGAGGAAGTGGCTGAAATGCCCATGGTCTCCACTCCTGCCACCCTGCCTTCTCTTCCCCAGCCTGCACTGATGGCCTCATGGGGAGTTCCCTATGATCAGTTGACAGAGGAAGAGAAGACCAGGGCCTGGTTCACAGATGATCCTGCACCACCCGAAAGTGGACAGCTGCAGCACTACAGCCCCTTTCCAGGACATCCCTGAAGGACAGTGGTGAAGGGAAGTCTTCCCAGTGGGCAGAATTTCAAGCACTGTGCCTGGTTGTGCACTTTGCATGGAAGGAGAAATGGCCAGATGTGTGATTACATACTGATTCATGGGCTGTAGCCAATGGTTTGGCCGGTTGGTCAGGGATGTGGAAGAAGCACGATTGGAAAATTGGTGACCAAAAAATTTGGCGATGAGGTATGTGGATGGAACTCTCTGAGTAGTCAAAAACTGTGAAGATATTTGTATCCTATATGAGTGCTCACCAACGGGTGACCTCAGCAAAGGAGGATTTAAATAATCAAGTGGATAGGATGACCTGTTCTGTGGACACCACTCATCCTTTTTCCCCAGCCACCCCTGTCATTGCCCAATGGGCCCATGACCACAGTGGCCATTGTGGCAGGGATGGAGGTTACGCATGGGCTCAGCAACGTGGACTTCCACTCACCAAAACTGACATGGCTACGGCCACTCCTGAGTGCCCAATTTGCCAGCAGCATAAACCAACACTGAGCCTTCGATATGGCACCATTCCTCAGGGTGATCGGCCAGCTACTTGGTGGCAGGTTGATTATATTGGACCTCTTCCATCATGGAAAGGGCAGAGGTTTGTCCTCACTGGAAAAGGGGAAAGGGGCTGGGCACGGTGGCTCACGCCTGTAATCCCAGCACTTTGGGAGGCCAAGGCAGGTGGATCACGAGGTCAGGAGTTCAAGACCAGCCTGGCTAATATGGTGAAACCCCATCTCTACTAAAAAATACAAGAATTAGCCGGGAGTGGTGTGGTGGCGTGCGCCTATAGTCCCAGCTAGTCAAGAGGGTGAGGCAGGAGAATCACTTGAACCCAGGAGGTGGAGGTTGCAGTGAGCTGAGATTGCGCCACTGCACTCTAGCCTGGCAAGAGAGTGAGACTCCATCTCAAAATAAATAAATAAATAAATAAATAGAAAAAGGAAAAGGCCATTATTATTCAGATATGAGCAAGATGTTGCCATCTCTGGACTGATGTCCATAAGAGTTTTCTTGCCACTAATATTATTAGAACAGTTATTTTCAATACTGCTGAAACCATGGCAGGTGGTATGAGCAAGAGCTGTTGTTCCTTCACCTGGTAGAACTGCTAACTGCTGATTCTAAAATGCTTCATTAGCAGAACTTGGGCTCCCACTGCTGCTATCACTATAGGAGGGTTCATCAGAAACAGAATGTCTCACTTCTTACTGGTTTTCATTTTGGCGTAACTACTTCAGACTGGCAGAATATGATCAGCAACTTGCTAGCCAGAAAAGCTGCAAATAATAGTTTGCAGGTTTCTAGCCCTAACAGTTTGAAGGTGAATATAGAAGGACAAGTCTGGGGCTGAGGCTTAATAAGGAAATGTCTAACATATTAAGAGGAAACAAAAACTAAAGCATCTGTCATCAGGTAGGGATCTTACTGGTCCTATTTTTATACATGTAAACTTTCTTATAATTTCACATTCTTCTTAGAATTCATTGATAAATACTTAAAATATAAGAAAAACAACTTTATTTGATCACTGGGGCTTTAAAAGGAAACATATCTCAGAGAATGAGTGAATCGCAGCAAGAGAATATAAAGTTTTCAGTACCTGTTACTATTTCCTTTCTGACGTGGAAAGAAAGCTAAACACATGAAGACGAAGAGCCCTGAGGCATGGAGAATAATGTCACAGGGACATCGTGAGAGAGATGCTAAAAGGTAAAGACTTCCCATTTTATTGTCCAATGCCCTTAATAATTTAATAGTTGTGTAAAAAAGCTCTGGACTTGGAATTAGGATGCATTTCTGTTTTTGTTTTTTTCACATTTGTTGGGTGGCAGTAGGAATAAATTAGTTTACAGAGAGTGGGCTTCCCTTCTACAGAGGAAAAAAAAGCTCTTGGATTCATTAATTCTTTTTAGGTTTTGTCCAGCTTTATTGTTCTGTTTCATGAAAATGGATGATGATGATAATGATAATGATGATGACAATTTGTATAACGAATAGAATTGAATTTTTATTGAATGCTAACCATATGCCAGAAACTAGGATAAGCACTCTGTATATATAATGACAACCATCGTTAATGTATTTAAAGCACCTGCATTTAACAGAAGAGAAAATTAGGCATAAGTGAACTAGTTACTCTCCTTATGTGTGTATAGCTGAATGCAGACCTAAAACTAATTCTCAGTGCTTCGTTAAAAGCACTAAATTTATAAGAGAAAGATGCCCATAAATGCTGGATATATTTTATGTCCAAAGATTCTTGGGTAGACACTGCTACAGTAGGAGTGCTCGTAAGAATGACAAGCTCTTCAATTGCTTTCTTTCTTTTTATCAGTCCATTCACTTGCTGCCCTTTGGCATAAGGTACTTTTATCTTCAGCATCCCTGGAGCACAGTATATGCACTAGGAAACCAATAAACATGGCAACATTCAACATTAAATTGCAATTACATATTACTTCTTTCATAATGCTAGAGCATGATGAAATTTCTACAAATTACATTTCATAATTTAATATGCTGGATGAATCATGATTCGTGCTTAAAAATCATTAGCAGTTGAATTTTTAACACTCTTCAAGTTGTTTGAAAGTTGTGTTTAGTGAACCATTGTGGGTGAACTCTTTGGTCAGACAAAAGGAAAATATAAGGCTTCCTAATTTCTCTGACCTGAGGTGGGGTTGGGGATTGGGTTAGAGCTGTTTTTGCTGCTTGGTAGTATCACCGGAGCAGGTGTAAAATTGCTATAGAGGCAGAGTCATTTGGGCATTGCCAGGGAGATTATTATGTTATTTGTATCAATTTTTGGGTGAGAAAGAGCTGATCCAGAGATTTGAGCACTCTGTCCCCACCCCAGATTATGAGATTCTATAGTCCTTACTTAATAGGTATGTTATCTCAATTCGTTTTCACAGCACTTTTCTTAAAAATAAAACAAAACAGATATTTGTTGAGCTGTCCTTCTGGGTCAGCCTTTGTAGTGGGGAGGGGGGGCTGTGACTACAGACATCAGTGAGACCATCACTGTCATTAAATGAAGCTTGTACACTCATGGGTAGAGAGATCTGTAAATAAATTGTAATAAGTCATGTGGAGTGCAGCACACCTTCATCTAAGGAAAAAAAGCCCATAGGAAGGAAAAATCTCCCCCATCCCTCTTTTTCTTCTCATTGGACCCTTTCTCTTCTTGTTGGACTCTTTCTCTTGCCCATTAGTTCATCTCTCACTGGTGGGCTTTACTGGTACAGGGGAATAAAGTTGTTAGTGTCTCAACCCTGTTTGTTTTCTATGATCAGAGCATGGTTGGAAGAAGTGGAGATGCCAGCTGGCAAAGCCACTTCTGGTAGATCAGGGACAGTAGAGGGGACACTGGCATCTGGCTGGCTTTTGAGACTTCTCTGACAATCTGTCTCCCTGTAGAGCAGGAGTGCTTCTTAGCATATGGTCACCATGTCACATGGCAGAGCATCAGAGGGCCTGTCAGTCAGAGAATGTCCACATAACAGGGCAGACTGTGCTGGCATGCATCCCTCAGCTGTTGAGTAACCTCTCAGCTGTTGAGTAACCTTACTCCATGTTCTGCATGATTTTTTAGCACAAGATACCCAGTGTTCGAATCCCTCCTTGTAGGGGTATCACAAAGGAAAATCCCACAAGACCTCCTTGGTTCTGTGCTTTGTAAATGTGGACAACTTCCCAGATGGAGATAAACTACCCTTTCTTCTGAACTCAGCCTGAGAACTGCATGGGCTAGGCTGTCTTTTTCTCAGGTTTGAATCAGCTCAGATAAACTCTTCTTGGTGCACTAGCCAGGACTCCCCATGAGTGCTCTATAGTGAACCCTTCAAATGCTTCTCTCTGTGTGTAGTCTTAAGAGTCCTACCAGAGTCCCTTGTAGACTGCATGTGTTTTCCAGAGGGATAGTGTAGAAATGGCATCAAGCTGTAAAAGACAAGTTTAATTCCCAGCTTTGCGCTTGTTTCTTTTGTAACATGAGTGAGTCACTTAATGTCTCAATGTATTTATCTTAAAATTAGAATGATAATCCAGAAATTCCACAGAGTTGTGACTGCCTTGCATGCATGTCTTTCTTCCCTTTTAGCACATTTCTTGACACAAAGGAGGTGCTTGATGAATGTTTCTTGAATGAATTGCTGGTGAGGGAAAGAAAGCAATTCAGAGTCACTTTTTTTTTTTTCTTTTCCTTTTTCTTGGAATGGAGAGGGAAGAGTAAATGTGAGGGAACTGTGGAATTTCTTCTCAGTTAGAAACCTTAGTTGCAGCTCCTCTTGCTCTGGACTTTCCTTTGCATTATTTTATTGACATTGTCATAAATCCAGCTCCATTCGAGCAAAGTTTTGTAGCAAATCTACCTTCTACTTAAATGAGAACAAAGCAGATTTTGATTAGAAATCTCTCAGCAGAGCAGAACAGGGCACTTAGGAATTATATGCTGTGACACAGTATACACTTATACCAGATAAATCATTTCTGCATTGAAGACTCTGCCAGTTACCACCATTTGTGCTGGGTGATTGCATTCAAGCTAGTTGTTTACCTGCCTGATGGCAAAGATTGCATCTCATTCATCTTTAAATATCTCTAATGGATGGTGGAGGACTTTCCACATAGTGGTTACTAAACAGACATGTATGTTTTGAATGAATACACTTGAAGATTGTTATTGACGTTGTAAAGGCCACAACGTAAAAATGCTGCAAGGAGTCATGTACTTTTCTTAGACCAATGTGATGGTATAAATATTATTTCATATGCACAGTTGTAGAAATGGACTAGGCATATAATCAGTGTTCTGATTATAGGTTGCAGTTATTTTGTTAATAGCTTCTTCTGTCATTAATTCAAAATTCAATTTTTGCCACATCAATTTTATTTGCTCATATAGTCTTCAGATGTTTTTCCTGTGCTCATGCTATTTCTCCATGCAATTTTCACATTTCCAAGCCCAGAAACCTCTGTTTCTTCTCACATTTGGAGTTTACCACAGTCTGCAATCATGCATTTGTTTTAGAGGTTAGGAGAAACTTATATATTACTGAATCCAATCCCACATTTTCTTGGGACATTCTGTTACTTTGTGTATTCATACAGAAAAGGAAGGGAACTGGAAGAATTGATATGAGAAATGTCATTTTCAAACTATGCTTTGGTAAGTTTCCCATGTCACTGAAAATTTTCAAGAGCAATTTGAGAAACTTGGAGTATATGACAGACACAATTGGTTGCATACTCAATAATTGTCTGCCCAATAGCCATTCTTTTTTCCATTCCCTTTTTCATGCTCGTAGAACCAAAATGTATTCAGTCAGGTATGTGCCCACTTCCACTGATTTAGTCAAGATGGGTCTGAGCTGGTCATGGTTACTCCACTGTGCTGTTTCATGACCTAGTTCTTGCCATCCCCACTTATAGATCTCTGGGGCACACTCTTTTTTAAGCTCTGGGATGGATCTCAGACACCATCTATTTTTTTCCTAAGATCATTATATGATTCTAAATGTGAAGCCATGGTTGAAAACCACTGCTGCAGCATATTCTGAACAAATAGGTCCTCAACACATGACTTTTAGTTAAAAATACAGTGAGGGGATTTAATTTTATATAAAAGTAGTTTAATGGATTTTTTTTCCATTAAAATACAAATCAATTTCTGGATTTCTACCAACTCTTTTTATAGTCTACTAAGTGAAACTGCATATGTGTTTACTGCATTGAAACCCCAACAATGACAACAACAGAAAGTCCTGCTGCTTTGAGTTTTGTAGCCTGTCAAAATGTCAAAAGGGTTGGCATCAAGACCTCATTTTAAATGAATGCCTTGTGGTATAAATAAGATATTCAGTAAGCCACTGGAAAATCTCAAGTTTGCTTGGGGAGGCTTTGCCGTTAGCCTCCCCAAGCAAAGAGCTATTTCCCAACTCATGAAGAAATTCGTCATGTGGAACTGCCTCCTCACCGTCTCTGCCATGGGCCACTGGAAATCACTGCTTGGCTGGCAGAGCACAGGGCCCTCTGCAGGTTAGAGCTTACTGTTCATTTTTCTTCCTTTCCTGTTCACCAATATTTTTGGGTCTAAGCTATTTTGGAGTACAAAGTGCTTCTTCCCCTCCCGACATAGTCTGGGAGAGAAATATCTGCATTTTTTTTATAGGTGATGGCTGCATCCTTGTTTATGTTTGCCAAACTAATGTTACAGAGTCAACTGCCGTGAATAAATGTTGGAAAAGAAAGAGTCCCAACTCTGAAGGAACTTAGGTTTTGCTTTGTTTTGTAAATATCAATTATGCAGAAAAAAGATGTGTGTTCATAAGGTCAGGAAATTGATGTGCACTGGTCTGAGTCTTCTAAACTGAGGTTATTCTTACATGGGACAACCTTAAGACTGTTCTTAGGATGAATATTCCATGGATATGTACCTGTCCAGCTCACCAGCTGTTCTCCCTGTGATTGTGAGTGACTTTTCTCAGTGGTGGATATCAGACATTCAGGTGGCTGAATATTTTGAATGTCATCACTGCTGTAGAATTTGTATCCACTTGCATTGTGGCTAGCATTGCTTGGCATTTTGCTATTCACTCTCTTTTTCATGTATGTTGGCAGCTAGATGGGAGACAATAAGGAGAGGCCGTGCTTCATGTTTTGTGAGGTCGTTGTTGGTGTGCCTTTTTTTGTTGGTTGGTTGGTGTTTAATTTACTTTTCTCACAATGGTGGCACAATCTTTGACATTTAGTTCAAAATAAATATTTGCTGTTTGGCTAAGAGGTTCAAAGCACCAAGGGTAGTGGAACCACACATGAATATTGTGTTCACACAAACAGTATACTCAAAACAGATGGTGTCTGATCATGGACTGCTGCAGAAAAAATAGAAACCAAACACCATGCACAATTTCTAGCTGTCTCTTTCTGACCCCAGAGATCACAGTTTATTCTAACTCTTAGAATCCCAAGGGAGAATCACTGCCCCAGATCATAACTGAGGTCGGAGCTGCTAGCTCCTAGGTAGCTGCAAACCTCTCTTTATTTTGACAGGCAGTTTATGAGCATCCCTTCAGTGTACATTTGATGAGGCAAACCCTTTTCCAAAAGCTAGTTACTTATACTTATTTATCCATTTCCCAGCCACTATAATTCTCTCTTCTCTTGAAATTCCTGACTGCTACTCAGGAATACATTTTAAAATATGCTGTCATTATGGAGCTTAAGTAGTGTTTTGCATCTGTAATTTGTTATGTTGATCGATGTGAGCCACATTTTGAACATAATAATGCAATTTCATTTGTTTAAATATCATTAATAACAGTATTTCATAATGTACTATGCTTAAAAATGGAAATATTATAGTCAGAAAGTGTAGCAATGAATGAGAAGAAAGCTGGAGATCAAAGAGCTGCTGGTGAGTTCACACATTTATAAGTGTTTAATGAGTCAGAGGGGGCTGAATAGGTAAGTGGCTATGTAACCAAATGACTCCCTCTGTTCCTATCTCTTAATGTAGTCATACATCCCCATTTAGGAGCCACATAAAAGCTAGCTTCACCCAGCCCTTGTCACAGTTGGTATGCCAGCCAGCCCCTTTCCTCCTTAGCCTGGAAGTGTCTCTTCTCTTGTCCCTGGGTCTTTGTTTCCTTGCCATGACTCTTCAGCTGCAGATATCTCACCTAGCCAGCCCCTCCCAGGCTGACAGCCACTTGGTTTGTTATCTCTGCTGCTCTTCTCCCTCCTTCCCCTGGTTTTACTACTCTTACTGCTTGGAGAGAGGCAGAGAGAGAGCCATGTCCCGTACCACTTCTACCTGGCCGATTTCAATAGGATACTGGGCTACTGGGTACATTCCCTTCCTTTTCATCTAAAAGGATTGAGCAAAATCAACTTTTTGAAAAGTAAAATATTAACCTACAACATGACTTATTATATTAAGTCCATTTATTAATATTTGTAAGATATGGTGCTAGGGGCTGAGAATGCAAAGCTGTGCCCTCAATGAGTTTTCAGTTTATGGAGAATTAAACTAAATTTTCTTTAAGTTTAGGGTTTGTTGTTGTTGTTGTTGTTGTTGTTTGTTTGTTTGTTTTTGAGAGAGAATCTCGCTCTGTCACCTAGGCTGGAGTGCAGTGGTGCAATCTCATCTCACTGCAACCTCTGCCTCCTAGGTTCAAGCAATTCTCCTGTCTCAGCCTCCTGAGTAGCTGGGGCCACAGGTGCGTACCACCACATCCCACTAACTTTTTTGTATTTTTAGTAGAGACAGGGTTTTGCCATGTTGGCCAGGCTGGTCTCGAAATCCTGACCTCAGGTGATCCATCCACCTTAGCCTCCCAAAGTGCTGGGATTACAGGCATGAGCCACCACACCCAGCCAGTTTAATTAGTTTTTATTTATGTAATTAACTTTATTATTATGGTATTAATAATAAATGTGGTGCACAGTGATAAATGTTTTGAATAAGAGGGTATTGGCCTATAGAGGGGAGGTGTCTTGGAGGTTTGAACTGTGCCTTGAAGAATGAGCAGGTTGAAAATTAACACATGTACTCAAGAGAACATAAAATATCACCAAAGAGGAAAATCCTCAGAAATTTTGTACCGCTTATCCAATCCGTAACAAACCACTGAGGAGATAAGTCAGCAAAACCTTCTACCTTCCTTAGAGAAATGAATAATTTTGGAAAGGGAATGAAAAGATATGAATTGCTGGAAGGAAGTATTGATTAAAGGATTAAAATAACCAGTGTACTTTAGCTGAAGAATGACTGTGGCTATATGTGCACACAAATTAAAGTTTAAAACAAGCATTTTAATTTGATTGAACAGTGGATTATTTTGAAAAGAAAATAAAAGAATTCAGTCAGTTGCAAAACAGAATAATCTTATTTGAATAGATTTAATCCATATCAAGAAAATTGCCTTGTAGAAATTGGGGTGCGTGTGTGTATATGTACATATGTGTGTGTGCATGTGTATAAAAACCATCTAAAAACAGATTTCCTGCTAGAATAAATTTTCATTTGTCCAGAGGTGTGTCCTAAGGAAATACAGAAATCTGGAAAAGTATCACCTAATTCATCAATGAGTATAATTGATTCTGTCATAATAATAAAAAGCCAAGGTCAGTTACCTTGCTCCATTTTTTTAGCTGAACATTGTGGTTATTTGCTAGCATTGCTCCCTCCATTTTGAAACTCCTTTTTTTGTACCATCAATTAAATTTTATTTTGAAGAATCATGTGTCCCTCATTTGAAGTCTATGACATTTGGGTGGTGTTGACTCTGTGCTTGATCCAAAGGTAAACATTAGGCTCCCACATAGACAATCAGCATGAGTTGCCCTGGCTGCAAAGTGAACTTAGGGATAGATCTGTGACCCAAGAAGGACTGCAATGGGTCATTGAAAGAGATTAGAAAAAAGAAAAGTGCTGTCTTCCATTGAACTTGAATTTTGGAGGATATTAGGACAGCACTCTGGAGCAAGCCATTTTGCCAGGACCAGTGAAAGTTAACATGGAGATGACAAACAGAAAGCAACCAAGAGATAAGAAAGGAAAAACTGGATTCTAGAGTCATTATTTTTGTTTCCTGAATCAATTAATTCCTAGAGCCTACCATGAACTTTTCAGCCGTAAGAATCAATAAATTCCCCCTTTGCTTCAATCAGCTGGGCTTGAGTTTTTGTCACTTACAATAGAAATAACATTGATACACACTTGATTGGATTCTTGTATTTCTTAACTTCAATTACATCAAATTGATGTTCAATTTTGTTGAACCTAAAATTGTGCCCAATCTTGTTGGCCCAAAATTGATGTTTGTTGTATTTCGTTGTGCCCAAAATTGGGGTTTGTTGTGTTTCATTGTATAGTTTGGAAGTTACATTGCAGATATTTGGAAAGGAAGCATGATGAAGGAGGAGGAGTCAGACAGCCCTAGACTTTAATTTCCACTTCTATCATGCATGCATTGGATAACTGCTGCCATGTCATTTCAACCCTCTGAACATTTGTTTCCTCATCTGTTAAGTACAGATAGTAATGACTACCTCACTGGATTTTTTATGAGGCGCATGTGGGACAATATGTTTAGCAATAGAAGAATAATAACTGCTGGAATATTGTAAATTAAACACATGATATTTCAGTGCCTTTACTTATAGATCACTCAGGTACAATCTTGATTTATGCAAACCTAGTAGCAACTAACTAAATTAATCTGTTTGTAATCATTATCATTAAAACTGACATTCCTTGCCTGATCTAGTGCCAAAACCTCCTAGAAGTGGGCTAGCCATCCCACACTGCCTTTTCAATAATTCCCTTAGATTTCCTGTTTGCATACAGAGGCATTTCTCACAGTTTCATCTGAGGACAACTTGTATCAGAATCACTAGAGATGTTGAAAATAAAAATTCCAAGACTCCATTGTATATTTACTGCGTTAGCCTCAGTAGGAGCTTCTGACCTGCCAGAGTCCTTGACCTGCTTGTACGTAGGATAGAGAACACACTGATTGGCATGGTATGCAAAGCTCTTCTCAGTCTGGTGCTTCGCAGACTCATCTTTCTATCAACTGCATTCTAGCCACACCAAAAGTTCTTGGCATTCCTTGAGCATACAATCCTCTTTAATCATTAAATTTTCATACATGTAATTATTTTCACTTGAAAAATCTTTCTCTTTACCTTTTGGCAAACTACTACTTATGGCTAGTGATAGGGAGATATTAAATCTTCCAGGATCTTCCACTTCATGGAGACAGTACTTTCCCTTTCTAAGGCACATTTCATTTAATGAATTATTTGCTTTACGTGACTGTTAACTGCCTCTCCTCTCCCACTTTTTCCTCTGGACTATGGGCAATCTAGATATGATCATTATTATTTAATGAGGTACTCTGTGGATATTTGTTGAATAAATACATGAATGAAAGAATGAATGATTCATTGTGACAAGCATTGGGAATACAATGATACAAAGGCAAGGTAGAGATTTTCAAGGCAGTCAGGGAACTAGCTCTTTCACCTAAAATTTATTTTAAAATATAAGGGCTCTATGTGCTAAGGGACTAATGATTGTCCCAAAGATAAAGGCTTTAGTGCATAGGGAGGCCTCATAAAGAAGGTAAGGGAGGAGTTGAACCTTGAAAGAGAAGAATAAGCAAACATTAGAGTTAGGCAAATATCGTGTAGAATGTTCATGGAATCTGGATAGTTTAAGGGATTTAGAATCCTTCTAAGAATCTTTTTTTTTTTTTTTAAAGGACATCCAGAGTGTACTTGTGTTCAGAGAGACCATAGAAAACTTCAGAAAAAGGAAATTCAAATGGAAAGTTTAAGCTTTTTAATAAGATTATGGTTAAAAAAATCATCAGAAGAATTAAACTGCCCTTTAGATATTATACCTGTCTTCCCTGCTGAGATTGAGATGAGTAATGAGAGTAGGGACATCTGGGTTTGTAGTGTGACCTCTAACTACATGTCAGCACTTAGAGAAGTGTCCTCCCATGTATTTGAAATTTAAGTGACAAGCGGATGATGATTCAATTAACATTAAAAGGGAGAGAAAATGCCTTTTAAGTAGCATGTGGGAAAAATTAAGTGCAAAGGAGCCTTTTAATTTTTTTTGGTTCCTCCACATATTGACTGTTAATTGAAAAACAGTTATTGTTAATACCACAACATGTTCTTGAGTACATCTGGGCGAATTAGAACTTGAAAGCTGTGCAGGCCTAATGAAAAAAATCAGCATTCTACTATTGCTCTAGCAATCAGCTATTGAGATGTGCGTGCCTCATTGAGGCTTTGCAAAAGTTAATTGTTGACTAAGCAATACGTAGAGAAGCTCTAGGGATCCAACATGAGTAAATCATGTTTATAACTGGAAAATTGAACGTTTCATGGATTTATATGAAACATATGTTTCTTTTACCATTAGGATGCCTCATACCTCTATTAAATCATTTATGAGATTTTCATGGGGTCTTGCATGACATAGCTAAATGACCTATCAGGCCCACCATGTTTCTCAATGACAGGGTACATACTCCATACTGTAGCCCCTGCAAATGGTGTCACTGGAAAACAACTGAAATGGGACTAAACCACAATATAAATGATACTTCCTGGATTTGTAAAATGACCCTTGAAATGACAACAAAATAGAGCTTCAAGTCAGCTTGGTCATCAGCCTTACTTGGGTAATCATGCTGTTTTAGCACAGCCTGTCTCGTTTAGAGAGACAGGAAGTTGAACTGTGAAGGGCACACAACTGCAGGCAAAATTGGAAGTGCTAAAGGGGCAGTGTTATGGGGTGTTCTGGGGATAGCTGTCATAGGCTTGATCTCAGGGGCTTGAATGCCGAAGCAGAACTCTAGGAGACCTAGAAAGAGAAAACAGGGTTCTGTGAAACACAAAGTGGACTAAAGCATATGCAAACAAGTGTAGTACCTCTTACTAGAATTGTGATAAGTGACAAGGCTTGACTTCACAAGGATTATAGCATGAGCTGAGTTGTTGGAATTAGGATACAGAGGAGTGCAGGCATCATTGGTCCTTGAATTCCAATATATAATCATCTAGATTAAAGAGAACTTAACATTGATCAGTTCTCGAATATCTAAACACACAATCTTTGGGATGCATTTTCTGTCACTACAAAGCATTTTCGTAGCCTACATCTTTCTGTTGTTAAATGGTGTGTTTAAAAATTACAAACCCATTGCTATGCGGACAGAAAATAAAATAAAATCATAGTAAACAGGCTCACTCTAGTAGGGATAATATAAGCATTGTATTCTAAAGCAGTAAAAGTTGGCCTTGTAAGGCACACACGCTGCTTCCTGTGAAGAATAGCACTCAATTAATAATAGTTGCATTGCTTGGTCTTCAAGATCAGTAAAGCAGTCTTATCAGAGTGTGATGTTTTCTACAATTAATCATGGCAATTAGGCTTAATACTGAATTCAAGAAAATATTCTGACACTGATGCCCTTGACACATCGTTTTGTTGAGCAAAGTAAGGATATGATTCGAGTCCACAATGATTAAGCATAGAGGTAGCACTCAGGGTGAGAACTGTTAGTTTGAAATTCAGTTCTCAAGCACCTGAAACCCAGCAGCACTCTCATTTAATGAAATTTTTATGAAAGCTTACTTTCATATCTTATCTTCTGCTCTAGAGTTTTTTAAGCAGTAAAATTGCATGGAAATTTATATAATTATACCTTTAATTACCTAATAATTGGGGTAATTAACCAAGGGCTCCCTTAGGAGGATGCAACTGACCAGTTACACCTGCAGTTAGCTAATTTCAGGTGCTATGATTTCTGCATACAAATTTTTACACCTGCAGTTAACTGCAAGGGCTAGAGGTAAACTTAAGACAAAGGCATCTGTGTGACCCTTTCCCCTTAATGCTCATGTGCTTTATACCACTACCTAGTATCTAATGCTTAATTAAGCAGTGTTTTAAGGTCTTAGTAGGTAAAGTGTCTTCCTGGAGTGACATGGAAAATTTGGGTGAGTTGTGGTATTTTGCTCACAGAATATCAAGTAGTATTCCTCACAGGAGGAATGAGCACAAGTCTGGGGCTCATAGCCAAATAGAGATAATTAGCCTTCTACAATATAAACAGAGAGAGTGTATTTGACTAAGTAAGGTGTATTTGAAAGGGAGAGTTACACATTGTAACTGTTTTTAGAGTTGAATGTTAAAGAAGTGAATTCTAACTTACCAAGTTAATTGCGTAACATGATAATATTGAGAACACAGTAGGAGTTCAATAAATGTTTGGGGAATGAAAGAACATGCCTTGCAATTACTTTAGGACAATTCTGAATCTGAATCTTGGGAATTCAGTAGAGCCATCTTGATCAAATGTATTATGGTAGTTCTTCTGTATATCAAATGCCAATAAAGGATGTTTTTCTAAATACATAAAGCTATTACTGACTTGATTCCTAAAACAGAAATTCTTTGATCTTTGGTACTACTAATCATTGAAGAAACTGGAAAAAAATCTAGTTATAGAAAAGGCAAAACTTTAGATTGAGAAAAAAAGAATTATTCTAGATTATTCTGTTTCTCTGTGTTTTGTAACTCATTAAATTCCTACAAAACAAATTTAATTTAGATTTAATTTGATGGGATCATAGCCCTTAGGGAAAAATTAACATCTTTGAGATAAGATTTCCGTATTATAGAGTGCAAAAAATTAAATGATTTGCTATAAATGATTAAACTACTTGGTTATGGAATAGAGATAAAACATGTTATTCATGTCCCTCGGAGTTTGTTTCAAGATTCAGAGTATAGTTGGCTGTCTCTTTGCATCTTTGTTTCTCTTTCTAATTCTTTCTCTGTTGTAATCTGCAGGGCTTTATGATCCCACTTTTAAGTTTTTAATAATGAATAATTTAGAAATTCTGTAATAATATAAAACAAACCTGTAAACTAGCCAGTGAGTGACCATATAGGTAAAAGTCACAGTTATTAGGATAAGTATATATATTTTATATGAGCAAATAATGTGTGGCTATATGCATATATATGTATACATATATGCATAGATATATACACATACCATACATATATATACCATACATTTATGTATCTATATCTATATACATTCTGTCTGTATCTATGTATCTATGTAATATTCCTTATGTGATATGTAATAGGTAATATTATTTATATATAAATAATGTTATACATATGCATAATGAAATAATATATTTTCTTAACAATGTAGCTTAGAAATATTAGAGAAGCCAAAATATATTTGTTTTCATTTAAATCACCAAACTGCGTTTGAGTATAAATAATTCCCTATTGCTAAATTAATTTTTTCAGATTAAATCATTTCTGACTCATTCCTCTCGTATCAGAAATGTTCCAGTTCTCTATAACGTGCCTCTCCAGGATTGTTTCCCATAGGAAATAAGTCGAATACAGAGTAAATCCTGTTATTTCTACTCTGGTTAAATCTCTCCTCTCTATAATTACATGAGAGACAACTTCTTTATCATATTATTTTATTAGGTTTCAGACTCACCTAAAATTAATAACTGCATTACTCCTCCTTCAACTCAATACTCTACTTATTAAAAAAACTTCAACTATTCTGACATTTAGCAAGAAGGTAGCAAAATAGTTGGAGTATTTGTTGTTATTATTGTTTTGTTGTTTTGCTTTGTTTGTTTTAGATCTTCCATTCTTACATAGGCTTTGTTTAGTGACCTAGTCCAATGATATGCAAAACATTGCATTGCAAATGTTATATAAATAACTCTTCAAAAGAAGAAAACAATTATTCCCTAAATAGATTATTATATTTGTTTTAATGTAGTCATAGCATGTGAGCCCTTAGCCTGGGCTGCCACTGACAGGGCTTTCTGGGTTATTGAGATTTCAGCAAGTTGCATATGATTAAAAGGACTCTCAGAACCAGCAATTTGCCTCTGAAAATGTTGTTTGCTTGGCTGCTTGATTGATACCCTCTCTTATTACATAAAAGCACAATAAAAACTTTGACTAAACAATTAATTTGGCAACTACAATCTTAGGGGCTTTCTCTCTGTAATATTGGTTGTTTATTCCAATATCCTTTAAAAAAGTATTTATTAAATAACTGCCCGTGCACATGTATGTGTGTGTGTGTGCGCGCACACACACACACACACACACACACAGACTTCCTTTAACTGATGGGAAAGAGCTTGTTTTCTTCCAACTTTGATCTTCTGTAGTGTTTGAAATACTATTTTTTCCCTAATCTTTCCATTTCCCCTTTTGCCTTTGATCTAGGTTTATTCTTTTAGTTTTAGTACCATAAAATAGAAATAGTTATCTCTTTTATTTTGCCTTCTTACCTATTTATGAAGGGGTAAAGAGGATTAATGAGAATAAGGGTTCTAACAGTAGTGCATCTATTTTTCAAGTTGTTGCTGGCTATTTAATAGTGGATAGCAGTCCCTTTTATGTCATTGTGAATACAGGATAGTATTTTATGACCAACCATAAGTTGCACTCAGAAAAGTATCATTCATAAAGTTCCAGGACAGTGAATATATATATTTTTTTCCATTTTTTCTCTGAGGAGACAGCAAAATACAGGTTCTCTGAGGAAAGAGAAAGTGCACTTAAGTTTTTCTTTGTATCATTCAACTTTTCTGTATATTTTTAATTATAAATTGTATATAATACTCAATTCATTTTTACTTCCATGAACTAAACACAAAATAATGCTTAACCTACAGGAAAGTTTTATGTACCTGATACTAAAATATATACTATCAATATAAGTTTTCTTTTTTACCCCAAATTCTAAGATATGTCAAAACAGACACATAAATCTATGAGTAATAAATGTATCCTTAACATCTCTGAGTTTCTCAAAAAAGAAGCTGAAAAGCATATTTCTTATAATCACATTAGATATCTCTCATATAAAAGCTATATAATAACATATTCTTTCAGGTGATTCCATATTAAACTAGTTAGAATGACTATTCACATCATGCTCTTGTTTAATTATAAAATTTCACAAGAAAAATATAGACATATTCAATTCATATATCCTCCTATAATTGAAACTTGATTTTGTCTGTTGGCATCTGCCTTAATTATGCATAAAAATCCCTATTTTTCTCCATTTTTCTCTAAGGCAAATTTCAAGTATTCTTTAACATTTTATTTAACTTGATGGTCTTATGGTACTACAAAAAGTTGTGAATACAGATAATACTGTGGAAATGTTTTAATATGTAAAACTTGATAACCTGTTCATTTTTACTCCTGGTTAATGTTTTGGATTCACATTTCCCTAGATGAGCATTCATTATTTGTGTAAGTCTATACCATTTCTATCCATTCACATTGACACACTTGGCTGAAAGTTCATTATTTGTGGAAGTATAGAGGAGGTATATGCTGGAACACATATGAAAAAAAAAAGCAAAGGTATTCATACCTCCTAGTGACCTGCCTTAATTACCATTTATATTAACGGTCAGTGATATTTAATTTCAGGTAATGAATAAATTGGATTACACGGAAATGGAATTCGAACACCTATACCTATTTATTTAAGTGCAATGACCACGTAGGCTCCATATAATATAAGATGGCTTCAGAGTATCTTTTTACCACATTTTCTTATTCTGTAGTTATCAATCCTCACAGTCTGTGCTTAAGACTTTATACCCGGTGCCTAACTTACTAAGAGGTAATTATTCATGGAACAAACATTTATTTAATAGATCCTGTGTGCTACTTGCTAGGATACACCTAGGAACATGACAGTCAAAAACTCTGCTTTAATGAAGTATATATTCAAGTGAAGGAAGTAGACTGCAAAGAAGTAAAAATACAGAGAAATGGTTGCAGATAATGATAGGTTATGATGGTTTGGAGGACAGAATGATCAGAGAAGACTTCTCTGAGATGACGACATCAGACATCTTCAAGAATGATGTGAGGGGGATGCTGCGGAGGCCTCAAGAAAGAATATTATCAGTGGGGGGAACAGACTTGGAGACAGACGTTCTCTTGTCATGGAGGAACAGTAAGAAGGGTGGTGTGGCTGGAGTGGATAAGGTACAGGGAGAGTGTTGAAGATAATTTCAGATAAATAGGCAAGGTTTGGGTTATTTAGGGACCTAACCGGCCATGAGTATGGAAACCACGGGTATGTGAGTCACTCTCCTACTCAAAACACGGCAGGGCCCTCTAACAGGCTATGAGTACAGAAATCACTCATGACACCAGTGGTTTCCATACTCATGGCCTGTTAGGGGGCCCTGCCGTGTTTTGAGTAGGAGACTGAATTGGTCTGAGCTTGTCTGAAGTGTGTGCTACAGATCCCAGTCTCAAAACAGACTCAGACTCAGACTTTCCCGTTTGGAAAATAGGACACATATATAAAAAGCCAAATCTGTGGTACTGTCTGCTGAGTCTCAAAAATTCATGGGACTGTGGAAACACAGATTTGGGGAAGTTTAGGGTTAAAGAGAGGGAGATCTGAACTGAACTCAACTCTAAAGAAAGAATAGTACTTAGATATGTGAAAATGGTGTTGGCCCAGGGTGAAAATTAAGCAGTTTCTGTTTAGGCCATTAAAGTTGACATAATAGCAGTATTTTAATGTAGAAATAGCCAGAAGCAGTTTTACTAAAGCCAAGAAGAAAGATTAAGATTGCATGTAGAAGTAAAAGTGGTTGAAATATTTGAAAATATTTTAAGCAAGAAGAATAAAGGACTAATCTTTCCCAGAAATTATATATTTATTTAACAAGAGACTAAGTAATTATAATAACAAGATTTAAAAAAAAAAGACAAAGAAAAAATGATACATGTAATTACAGGAAAACAACTTAGCACATCATAATACATTCAAATTTCCATATCTAATGTGATTGATGCTTCTCCAGTATGTACCCTGAGGAATGACAAAGAGGTGCTTTTGATTGCTTTTATTTATTGCCGCATAGAAATTTAACCATCCATATCCAAGAAATTACCCATTATAATTCAGTGAGAGAATTTTGGTCTTTAATATTAATAATGCATTTGTTATTTACCCAGCACATATTTTCTGTAGCAATGCAATAAATTAAAATGGAATAATTCTAGCAACTCTTCAGCTATAGAGCTGCATTCCTAGAACCCTACTAACTCTCTGTTCTGGACAAACCAAAATGCGTGGGTTGTCTATACAAAAAAAAGAGTGAAGCAAGTGATACACCCAAGTTTTGATGATCATTGATCTAAATTCCAATGCATGGGCAGTCATCATCAAGCTTTGGTATTAATACTAAGATAGCACAGAAATCATTCTATAGATATAATACTAATGTGCAATAAAATTATCATGTGAACATTGTTCATTAATCACTAAATTCTGATGTAATTATGTCTACTACATATGAAGCCGACTTTTCCCTGATGTCAGGAATTTTGTTGAGTTTCTTGTGATTAAGGATTTTTAATGTTTCTATACTTCTATCTAAAGCCAAACGTATTCTTCTTTTAATTAGGCTATATAATAATATATAAATGGCAACTTACTCATTTTAATAATATTTTTGAAATAGTGATAGTTAATCTGGCTTTCTGCTGAGTTTGTGAATGCCTGTAGGCTCAATGACTTCTGGTTGCAAACAACCATCATTTATAGATTGTGATGATGATGGGTTGTATAACTCTAATGTGCTTAGAGTTTATAAGATGCCAGGTATATGGATATTTAATTTACCTTCTCAACTTAGTTTCTTTGGAACTATTATTCTGTTCATTAAGATTTGTGGTCTATTACATAAAAGAGTAAAACTTGATTTCAAATTGAAAATGGATTTTGGATTTGGGTTATAATTTTTCAGATATATCTACATGTTTATAATTTACATTGCTTTTAGACTACATTCATTTATTCATCTTTCTAAAAATATTTTGGAAATATCTATTTTATACCAGGCACTGGGTTTAGTATTGAGACTACAATATTTAAAAAAATATGATCCTAGCCCTGCCCTCAGGGAGCACACAGTCTAGTTTTAAAGATGGCAGTAATTAAACTATCACTCACATAAGTTCAAAATCGAAGTTGTAGTACAGTTAAGGAGGAAAGAAAGATACATGGTTGAAGAAGAGGGGACCAGTAGGGACAAGTGTCATGGGATCCACATTCCAAGAGTTAGTCTGGTCTATATGTCCTGTATCCCTGAAAAATAGCAATTCTCATGTCTTTTCCTGTGATAAGCTGTGATTAAGATACTTCTTAGGGAATTTGAGTTCAGCTTCAGAGATTTATTTCATTTCATTAAGCCCTTGATCTTAGGAATCAGCTCTCATAGCCAGAGGACAACTAGGAAAACATCTGCTTAACCTTCTCAGATCCAAGTGTTCTCTATTTCCACACAATCATATGTTTAATATCAATTAGGGGGAAGTATTTTGCTCGAGACTGGGAGGGTAACATTCAAATTGTAGCTGAAAAATAGCCATTAATTTTGAATGATCAGGGGAAAGGATTTCTACTTTTTTCAATTTTGCATTATAATAGCAGTTCCACTAATGCATATATAATTTTCTTTCCCTTTTGCTTATCATGCACTGCTAACATGGACTTCTACAAAGGCTCAGGTTGGTGTTGCAATCTGTTTTGATCTTTATTGTTTTTATTTAGTGAAAAGAAGCTTTGATGTTTTCCTTCACAAACCAGCTTTTTTTCTCTTTGTAAATTCTGATCAAAACATTGTTCACATATGACAGAAAAAAATTCCTCCCATAGAAGAGTCACTTTCTCAAACGTTGCTGTTGAATGAATTCCTTTATTTCAGTAAAAGGACTATTTCAGACACCTAGGAAATTGATTTATATCTGCTTAAATTGGCCATGCCTGGCTTATTTTACGATAGGAAGAAAACAATGCTCTGAGATTTCAGAATCAGCATAATATAATAGGCTCTGAAAAGATTTCTGACACGGAATCTGCCCTGTACTTTCAGAATGTCTTAAATGTCATTGCCATGGTTAATATAGCTCCAAACAGCCGAGAATTTTATACATAGCTTCCTAGCCAGAGCTGATTCTAGGATCACCAAATTCTTAGTAAATAGCTTTCAGAAAATTAATGGTGTTTCTCTTTTTCTCTCTCTGTTTCTTAAAGCCATTAGTCTACTTTCTAGATTATATCAATATCTCATATAAATCACAAGTTCTTTACTTTTATAGTTTTAATAAATCCACATGCTATTTCTGTACACCCCAATTCTTACTTGAAATATTATTGGTCATATAATAAATAAAAGCATCAGTAATGTTTTCAGAGACTACTTGTGTAGTAGACTGGAGTGATATTTATAATGCCTTAGGGGCCAAGTGCTAAGTGTAGCTAAAGTGAGTTTGTCACTCACAGGATAATTCAAATTTTTTTTTCACGTGCAGGGTTTTGCAAGGACTAAGAAAGGAAAATCAAATGGCTAGGTGGTTTGGATCTCATACACTGGGAAGGGGGTAAGATGTACAATTCCAGACCTATTCTGCCTTATGCTGTTTGGTTGTTAGGAGGCAGATTTTAAGATCCAAGAATGTTATAATGTCATACCTTCTGTTATGTCTAAGCTTCATCAAATTGTTCAAGTTGGCTTTTTCTAGTCATATGGTGTATAAGTAAAGTCATGGCACAATATTCTTGGGGTTGGCTCCCATTTCACATTCTGGTCATGTGCAAACAGCTTGTATAGAGGATGAATTTACTAAAATTAAATATTCACATCATAATCTCATATTTAACTTCCAAGATTGTTATAATGATTTGTCGAGATGAATACTTAGAGTCCTATAGAAACTTTTTTTCTCTGAGTAAAAATAATGACTTATTGCTAATAAGGCTGTATACCATGCTGCATGACACATGCAACTTCGTGGATTGTTTGAGCTTACTCACCCAAAATGTTACATTGTGTTGACTTAAAGTCATTTTCTTTTTTTCGGTTGAAGATGGTGAGCACTGTCTTCCCAATTCATGATGTATTTCTTGCTGAATAATCAATACTTCATCTTATTGATTAGTATATATTATTTTAATTTAACTTTACCCTAAAAAGGATCACATTTGAATTTTTCTTCCAAAACTTGGTCACACAATATAAAAACTAAAAAACTAAAATCTTGATATACATATAATGTCTTATCTAAAAATGAAGTGTGAGATATAGAAAAGGGGTCAGCAAATATGACTTTGCAGATAATGAGCTCTTGTTGCCACTACTCAACTCTGCTAGAGTAGCACAAAAGCAGCTACAGACAATAAATACATGAATGAGCATGGCTGTGACTCAATAAAACTTGATTTAGAGAAGTAGGCAATGTCAGCAAAAATAGTGGAGAAAAGATCTCCCCAAATCTCTTCCTGCATAAAAGCAGCAAGAACCACTTGGCAAAACTTGTCAAAATCAAGTTTCATAGAATTCTGGAAGTAAATCAAGGGTTTGCCACAATCTGGAGAGCGCTTACTCACAAAAATGACTGAGTCTTGGTAAGAATTGAGAGATTTCTCGCATTTTAACTTGCCCTGTTTCCAACTCCAGCTGCAGGGTACCCTTGAAAGAAGCTGCCCACAATTGTGGTAAAACAACCAACCAACCCCAACACCTAGCATTTTGGAAGCCAGTGGAGAGGGCTGAACAGGATTGGAACTCCTTCAAAGCCCTATCTTTGAAGAATTGTCATTGTTTGAACTGTCCAGTGTTTCCCTGGAACACCCCACTCACACAGCTATCTTTGTTTGACCTGACTCCAAGCTGGTCTGGTACAAACAGCTTTTTCTCTGATATGCTTTTTCTCTAGAGAAACAGCTGTTTAGTCTAAAACACTCAGAGGCAATTGTTTAACTTGTAGCTACCTGAGATGGTATATAACAGTTAGGGTAAAGAATAGGATAACAAAAAGCTTAAAAGGAAAAGCTAGAGAATGAGATGTTCACAGGGGTTCTGACAAACTGTAAGATATTCCTGGGAATTAAAAGAGCATGCAAGTATATAGGGCTGTGCACACACTTAGGAAAGCACTGACAAGACCCTAAGATCTCACCTCAGGCAAACTATGAGACTGGGTGGAAGCAAAAAATTGAAAACAAAGGCAGTTTTAAATTGCCTGGCTAGATGTTGAACGTGTGCCCCAACACATACGTATAGCCACTCAGCAAAGACTGGTAAACTTACTGATTCCAGATATCAAAAGGCATCTTTGTCAGATCATAACACAGAGACATCATTATACATGACAAACAACATACATATCATAGAGTTATTTCAGAAAAGTAACTAAACAAATAACAATAACAAATAGCAACAACAACAAACTTTGGGAGAGTGAAGAATCTGATTTCCAGGACTGCCATATTATATTATTTTAAATGTCTCCTCTTTAACAAAAAATTATGACACATGGAAAAAAAAAAATATGGTCCAAAAACAAGAAGCAGTCACTAGAAACTGTCTGAGGAAGCTGGGATGTTAGACTTAAGGAGACAACTATTTTTCAAATATTTTATTTAATTTTATTTTTTAATTGACAAATAATGGTAAATATTCATGGGGTACATAGTGATGTTTTGATACATGTAATGTATAGTGATCAAATCAGGTTAATTCACATATCCATCATCTCACACACTTATCATTTCTTTGTTTTGGAAACACTCAATATCTTCCCTCTAGCTATTTGAAACTATATATTATTGTTAACTATAGTCATGCTACAGTACAGAACACTGCATGTCCAGCTGTAATGTTAGACAAAGATTTTGAACCTATTTTAAATATGTTCAAAGCACTAAAGAAAACCATATCTAAAGAACTAAAGTATGAGAATAATGTGAAACAAAATAAAGAATATCAATTAGCCAGATAGAAATTATAAGAATTACATAGATATTCTGGAGGTAAAAAGTTGAAATGAAAAATTTACTAGAGGGCTTAAGCAACAGTTTTGGGCAGACAAAAAAAAATCAGTGAATTCAAATATATGCCAATTGAGATGATCTAGTCTGAGGAACAAGAAAGATTAAAAAGTGAAGAACAATGAGAGCCTCAGAAATCTATGGGACATTATCAAGTTTGTAAACATTCACATCACGGGAGTCCCGGAAAAAAAGAGGAGAGATGGAAAGGGGCAAAAAAGATTATTTAAAGAAATAAAACCTAAAATCTTCCTGAGTTTGATGAAAAAATATAAATTCAGAAGCTCAACAAACTTTGTGGAACATAAACTCAGAGCTATTTTCACCTAGATGCATCTTAATAAAAACCGTCAAAGCCAAACATAAAGAATCTTGACAGCAGCAAAACAGAAGTGACTTATTGTAAACAAATGAGTATCAATATCAGGATTAACATCTGAGTTCTCATCAGAAACCGTGGAGGCAAGAAGGCATTAGGAAGGCAAATTTAAAATGCTGAGAAACAGTCAATCAATACTTACATATCCAGCAAAGTATTCTTTGAAAATTAAGGAGAAATTAAGAAACTCTCAAATAAACTAAAACTGAGTATATTAATTGCTAGCTGATCAGACCTACACTAGATACTAAAGGAAGTCTTTCAGGCTGAAATGAAAGGACACTGGAAAGTAATTCAAATCTGCACAGAGAAAACAAAGAATACCAGTAAAGGTAAAGCTAAAGGTAATAACTACCTAAGTATCGAACACTCTACCTAGCAATAACACAATATACATTCTTCTCCACTGCACATGGAGCATTCTCCAGGGTATACCATATGTTCAGATTCATAACAGTCTTAGTAAACTTAGAAGTCTTGATATCATACAAAGTATTCAAGGGAAACAATAGCCAAAACAGTCTTGGAAAAAAACAAATTTGGAGGACTGACTTACACTTTTTCATTTCAAAGCTTACTACAAAGCTCAATAATCACAATCGTGTTGTACTAACATAAGGATAAACCTGTAACTCAATAGAAGTGAGAGCCTGAAAATACACCAAAACATTTATGATCGTTTTGGCAATGGTGCTGTTATTAGTTTTCCATTGCTGCTATAGCAAATTATCACAACCTTAGTGGCTTAAAACAACACAGCTTTATTATCTTATAGTTCTAGAGGTGAAAAGATCAAAACGGATCTCACAGAGCTAAAGTCAAGGTGTTGGTAGGACTGTTTCCTTTCAGAGGCTCCAGGGGACAAGCTATTCCTTGCCTTTTCACACTTTTAGAAGCTGCCAGTGTCTGTGGCCAGATTATTCTAATCTTTGTATCATTTTCACACCCGCTTCTCCTGTATCTGACCTTTCTATGATCCTCTTATAAGGACTCTTTTCCTTATTACTGGCTGACTAAAATAATATAGGACAATCTCCCTAACACAAGATCCTTAACCATATACGCAAAGTCTTTTTTTTGCTATACAGAAAATATGTAGAACATTCAGAATCTAAGGACAGGATGGGAGTATCTCTGCAATACTGTTGTTCAGCTTAACACAGGTGCCAAGGCAATGCAATGAAGAAAAACTGTCTTTTTGACAAATAGTGCTTGGACAACTGGATATCCACATGCAAAGAATGAATTTAGACCACTCCCTCATATCATATGAAGACAGTTATTTAGCTGGATTAAAGACCAAAATATAAGCACCAAAGCTGTAAAGCTGTTAGAAGAAAACATTGATATACATCTTTATGATCATGGATTAAGCAATTGACAATGAAAGCTCATGTAACCAAAGAGAAAAGAGATAAATTGGACCTTATCAAAATGAAAACATTTTCAATTTAAAGACACCATCAAGAAAGTGTGAAGGCAATCCACAGAATGGGATAAAATATTTGCAAACCATACATCTGATAAGGGTGTAGTATTGAGGATAAATAAAGAACTCTTACAACTGAACAACAGGAACACAAATAATCTGATTAATAAATGGGCTCAGGACTTAGACATTTCTCCAAAATATGTCTTGGAGAAGATAAACAAGCAGTCAAAAGGACCCGAAAAAATGCTCAGATGCTAAAGATTAGTCATTAGGGAAATATAAATGAAAATAAAAATGATATGTCACTTCACACACACAAAGATGCCTACAACACAGTAAGTGTTGGTGAAGATGTTGAGTAATTGTAATCATCATGTATTGTTGGTGAGAACCTAAAATGTTGCAGCCACTTTGGAACACTGTGTGGCAGTTTCTCAAAATGGTAAACATAGCATTTCCACATGACCCAGCAATTCTACTTCTAGGTATATAACCAAGAAAATTGATAACATAGGTTCATGCAAAAACTTGCATATAAATGTTTATAGCAGCATTAGTCATAGGTGAATAGCCAAAATGTCCATCAAATAAAGAATGCATAAACAAAATGTAGTACGTTCACACAAATGAGTACTATTCAGCTACAAAAAATAATGAAATATGTGTTCATGGATGAACTTTGAAAATATTATGCTAAATGAAAGTAGCCAAAAACAAAAGGCCATAGATTATATCATTCTATTTATATGAAATTTCCAGAATAGGCAAATTCATAGAAGCAGAAAGTAAACTAGTGGCTGGGTTGACTGAGAAGGGGGAAGAATATAATGGGCAGTGACTGCTAATGAGTATGGTTTTTCTTTTAGCGATGAGGAAATATTCTAGAATTACAGATAGTGGTTATGGATGGACAACTTTATGAATATTTATGTAAGTTAAAGAGTAAGTACAAGAGATTTAGTTCCCACTGTTGAAGATGTATATAATCCATGACTTTTGTAATCAGATGACATTTATTTTTAATGAAGAGTGATTTTTATAATATTCATACTCTCTTTTATTTTTATTTTTCATCAATACCTTGTAGTCTACCTTTATATAGTGATTTATAAATAGTTAATGGCTTAATTTTAATTCTTTCAATGTAGGGCACTTTATATGTCTCAGTTATAAAATTAAAGACTTCTTTTTTTGGAGGAATCATTTCATATTCGAGAAATTTCAAAAACTGACATTATTGTAGAATTGTACATGCCTCCTCATACTATTATGAGAAATAGCAGTGGTATTTTTGGAATGACAGGTTGTTTTGCTGGCTTAGCTGTTAGTGATTGGGCATCTCTTGTTCTCAATAATGTATCAGGGGCTATGGAGGATGAGAAAGCATACAACTTCAAGGCATGTGTCTGTCTCAGTCACCTCTTCTTTTGAGGGTGCAATGTTAGTAAGTATTCAAAGATTAATGTTTGTGGGAATGCAGCTGTATTTTTGATGAAGAAAATGAGACAGTTGGAATTGATGATCAGTTTACTCTGAGCTCCAAAATTTCATCAACTTCGTATTTTAATCCTAATCTTACTAAAATAAAAAGTTACTTATTACAGTGAATTCTCTTAAAGTTTCTAAAGTTCATATACCATTGCTGTACATCTCTTGAAAATGGTAAGTATTAATATCAGGTTATGAAGAGAAAAACTAGACCCCAAGAGTCCCGTAAGTGAGCTGCCAGAAAATCAATGGCGGAACCTGAAGTAAAACCTCTTTCTCACAGCTTCCTTAATACTGCCTTGCTCACCAGACCACAGATAATCTTTCACACAGGATAAAGGATCACTTCACCCATCATTGAAATGAAGCCACCCCCGAAGAGGACCACATTATCAATTTAATAGAACCCAACCAAGGAATCCAATAATGAAGGATAGGAATCCAAGACAAGTAAAGTACTTGATGCTGCCCATCTCCTAAATTGCTCTACAGATGGCATTCATTAAATCAAAGCAGTGTGCTTCCTGCTAAGGAGTCATATTTTAACAGACTCCTCCAATAAGTGAGAAGCCAGCTCAGATCTAGAACCCTAACTCTATACTTCCTAGAGTTCAGTCAACATACATTTATTATGAGCCCATCATGAGTCCAGCACAAAAGAGATGCTATGTGGAACATAAAAGGTGTGCAAGACATGGTCCCCACCTTCTGGGAGATCAAGCTGTCTCTGTGAGCCTTGCTCCCTTATGCCATCAGGGTCTGCCTGTAGTTATGCATGGTGAGGGCTGACCACATTGAATATTACCTGCCTTTAAGGGAAAAAAAGTCAATCCTTTTAGAAGCTTATTTTTTAAATTAATTCAAGACATCCTTTATTGGGATAGGAAAGTGGGGTAATATTGTCTTATTACTGTCATCTGTACTGAGAAAAAAAACATAAATGGATTCAGAAATGAGAGGATTTCTAATTCATATCTATCTGAGAAATATAAGAAAGACTCTAAATTCATTGAGATTTTTACTCTCCAGAACGATTCAAATCTAGACACTATACATTATAGTTATAAGCAATTAGAACTGATATTAATGCATAATGCTGATCTCATAAAATTAATAACAGTGGGCAAAAGTTTTAGCTTCAGGTGATATTAGCATCATGGTTTGGTATGGGCATGCTTTCCAGAAAGCATATTCATATTCATTTCTGTGTTCATGCATTCAGTATTGAAGTCAGCATATATATATATTATATATATATATAATATATATATTATATATATTATATATATTATATATATATTATATATATTATATATATATTATATATATTATATATATATTATATATAATATATATATATATAATATATATATATATATATTAACATACCTATTGAGCACAGAGGATAAACCAGGGACAATGGTTTACAAACGTTTTTCTTTCTTTCTCTCTTTCTTTCTTTTCCTTTTTCTTTTGGGGATACTGGGGTTTTTTTTGTTTGTTTTTTACAGAAAATATGGTTTTCTGGAATTCTTAGTTCTCAATAAATATCAGAGAAAGGCTGTTGTTTGTACATACGCGTGTATTTATGTTTTAACCTATTATCAAGGCCAAGTTTGTGGAAATATGCCCACTTTATATAAATGGGTTAGTTGACCATTCAGTAACACATTTTGTGGTCTTAATTGTTTATTGCATGCAGGAATAGCTGCTCTTGTTACAAGTGGCTTCTACCTTACCAACAGTAGTCTTTCCTTTGGCCAAACAAATGAAGTTTAATCAAATGGAGACCAGGTACAGGTTAGCCTTAAATGAACACTTTTCTTCAGCAATCATCTGTTTTTATTTTGTGAAGAGCCGGAAAGGTCTGTATTAGTCTTTGTCTGTTCCTCACTGTCTGCCTCAGAAGAAAAATGTTTGCAACAAAATAGCTTTTATTCCATACAGCAACAGCTTTCAATTAGTCCATAATAAAAGTCTCCAACTGTTGAAATTAGTGTGGAACTCAGAGCCAAGATCTCAATTTATCACCATGTAAGTGAATGGCAGGAATGCCATTATCCAATCAATTTTGCTTCTCACTTTTGCAAAGGTCAGGCTGTGCCATCCTTGGTTATAAAACACCACTTCTGGCTCTATGTTCCACTTTAACTTTCTCCCAGACATGTCAGGTCTGTTATGGAAGGACTCCCATTAAGTGTTCATACTTTCAAAAGCCATTTTGTACTGGGCCTAGCCTTATATTTTAACTCGTAATATAGCACAAGGCTGCCTTAGAACTGCTTCTTCATACATTTATACTTTTCTACAGTAGAAGGAAAAATTCACTGTGTGTGTGTATGTGTGTGTATGTTTGTAACACTTCTGTTCAAAAGTCTCTTTAAGGCTATATTATAATCATTATTTTCATTTTTGTCTTTTCTCCAAACTACAATGAAGTAATAATCTATTTTATCTCTTGGATAAAAAGATGCAGCAATTTCCTCCTTTCTCCTATTACAGCAAACTCATTTAGAAATTAGCCACATCAGGAACGGAGTTTGCAGACTGCAAGTTGTATGTTTTTCCTTTTTTTAAAATCAGACTTTCTAGATAGAATAAAGGCTGTTTTTGATAGTCCTCCTTTTGTTCTGTCCTCTTTCACTTCCTGATAGACTGTGGAATAAGTGATACGTAAGAACTCTGATGTGCTTCAGAGTAGGGAAGGTTTGTTTGCAGTGCTGATTAAGAGATGGTAGCATGGTGGGCCCGTAGCTCTCACTGCATGATAAGAAAGTCTTAAAAAGGCATTTCTTACCAGTTATGGGCTTTCCTTTTGGATGTGATCCTGGAATTCAGGTCAGATCCAGTTTTGTGCTTGCCTACTGTGAACACTGGTAAGTTCTGAGCAAAACTTCCAAAGACCAGATTGCTTTTAAGGTCACACATGACGTCAGATTTATCCCAAGGAAGCCGACATAAGATGAAATAAGGTGGCAAATATATTATGAAGAAATTTTCTTTGCAAATACCCATGCGTTTCTGCTGCTCTTCTCATTAGCAATACTCCCTGGAATCGAGGGCACTTGGGAGGCTGCTGCCTTGTCTTTTTCCTCACAACGATGTTGGTGAAAAACAGGAAACTTGAATGTGTTCCTAAGTATTAGAATATACTAATTTTAAATGATCCCAAAAAGTAGCAGTGATGTTTCAACTGTCTCTTTCATTTTCACTCCTAAATCTTAGTGTTTCTTCTTCCTTGTTATATACTGGAAGCTTTGCAAAAATAGTAATAGTGATGATCATTATTCCATAGCTATCACCTCATGCTGAGACCATAGCAATGTCCTCCTTTCTCAGCCCTTCCACACACTCTCATCTCCCTCACATTCCAGATGACTTATTCTTTCCCAAACTTTATTTGGAATATCTCACAATATAAATCTCAGAAGTCTTAGTAACTCTCATTGTCCACAAATAAAATTTTACATCATTACATTTTCCCATTTTCATACCCCAGCTAGCTGCAGTCTCCAGACTTTATTCTGTACACGTCATGGCCCTGTGTACAGTTTATGAGAATTACATTTCAGTTAGTTTGCTTGATTGATTAACAAATCTCCCTTTCAAAGTATAGTAGTTCATATTAAGTTAACCCTAACTAGGGCTACTCATCCTTGTCCATTTGTACTTAATAGTCCAGCCATACAAATGTAGGATTTCTCTGCCTAAGGAGTGTGTGTCTTAAATTATATTGCTTCTTTATACAAACACATCTTTATAATCCAAATTATATTGATTTCCTGGGCATGCTCTATAAGTTTCTCACCTTCTTGAATATATTGAGCAAGGCAACAGTTGCATGCATCCTAGAGAAAAGGAATAGCATGAAGTTCTTAACCACTGAGAATAACAGGGAGTTATATCAAGCCTTCTTCCAGCAAAAGTCCATAAGGAAAGTAAAGGTTTTCCTCAAGCCTTTATTTCTTAGGTCACAAAAAGTTGCAAGCCTGGGGCTTAAACTCATTCTCCTCCTTTTCTTGGTAAATCCTAAATAGCACTGCATACCTTTCTGATTCACTTCACCTTAGTACATATGTTTCTAAGGACTGAGATCCGTTAACTGATCTCTGCTTTTAACCCCACCTTATGCCTGTAACTTGTAGAACCTTTGCTGCCTGCCAGAAGGCAGACATGTCTTTTTTTTCAGATGCTCTTTTTTTTTTTTTTTTTTTTTTTTTGCAACAGAGATAGAAAGTTTTCCGTTTTCACCTGATTTCTGATGGTCATATTCTGTGGCGCAGACTCACTCACTCAATCTATCTACCTATCCTTGCACTAGACTCTAAACAGTATCTCCTAGATGGTAAAAGCAGTGATAGGTTTCCATGGTGCAATCCAACCCTTTCTGAGACACATAACTTAAAAAATATTATTCTGATAAGGACACTTAGCATGAAATCCTCTTAACAGATTATCAAGTGTACAATACAGCGTTGTTATCTACAGGCACGGCATCATACTGTAGGTCTCCAGAACTTACTAATCTTGCATAACTGAAGTTTTATAACCATTGATTAGGAACTCCTTATTTCCCTGACCCGCCAGCCCCTGGCAACCACCATTCTATTCTTTGTGTCTATGAGTTTGACTATTTTAGATACCTCACCTAAGTCTATCACGCAGTATTTGTCCTTTTGTGATTGGCATATTTCACTTAGCATAGTGTCCTCAAGGTTCATCCATAACCTCTTTTCTGAAGACCTGTAAATTCAGCTCTTCCAATATTTTTCTGAGAGTATCAATCATAGCTAGCATGGTGTTGCTTTTTTTCACTTGAACTTGACTGATAACTACAATCTGTTCTATGAAAATTGGAAGGACCACCATGGCTGGAGTCCCTGGCACGCCGTGAACAATCTCCAAAATCCCATCTGATTTCTTGCCATAATACAGCATGGCAGTGGGAAGCATCTCCCAGGGTATTGGAGAAGGCATTTTAGACTCTGGAGTGACCTTCCCTCTCTCACTCTACTTGCTGTGACTGTTTGCATAGTGCTGTGGAACAGAATGTGGGCTTTACAGTTCAACTTACCCCAAGTGCCTATGTCAATATGCTCCCTCAGTCCTGTTAAAAAAAAAAATACAGTGGGAGTCTGATCAGCACTCAAATTTGTCTGTACATGTGTGTTAGTACTTGCCTGGTAGAATATCATGCGCTTTATAGGATCTGCACAACAATAATTTATGTTGCTGATTGAGTGCCCCTTACTGTGTATTCAATTTGAAGTCATAATTTATTTTCATAGTCACTTAAACCACGCACAATCAGAAATATAAATCTGCTATAGGGGGAAATATAATATTCTGCATTAAGAAACTAAGGAATTTCTACTTCTCTGCCATTACAAATAATATAAACTACAACAGCACAGATAGCTTAGCTTTAACTATGGTCTTTGAGACAAGGGCTTTGTGGCTGCCCTCTGTTAAATATGTTGTGTAGTGGGAAGGGGCACTGTGTGCAACATCCTTGAAGGGAGTCAGGAAGCACAGGAGTGAGGATGAAGTACATGCATGGCTTACGACTGCATTTATTAAGTCTCAGTGCTTCCACCATGGCAAGGAAAATAAGACTATGTGGATGACATGGATGGTTTAGCTTGGAGTAGGGGTTGGCTTGATTTTGAGGACCTCATGTTTATAAGATCATCAGTGATACTCAGGCCAGAGGGAAAGGGTTAAGTGCTTTAGATCATTAGAAAATGAAAGGTAGAGTCCAGAGCTCAGTTCTATGCTTAGTACCTGGGTAACAAATTCGTCTGTACACCAAACCCCTGAGTTATGAGTTTACCTATATAACAAACCTTCACATGTACCCCTGAACCTAAAATGAAAGTTAAAATATTAAAATAAATAAATAAATAAATAATAAAAAAGCAACCGAATCATTGAAGTAATCAAAAGATAAAAATATATAAAGATACAAGCTGAAAAAAAATCCAGAGTTCAGAACTTCTCAGAAAAAATTATTCTTCAAAAAATTATCCTTCTGAAAGTGATCTCTGAAGGTCTGTTATATGCATATATAAGCAGCAGTGTGTTTTTAGGGCATAGCCTTTTTGTTAGTAAATTTCTTCTCTTCTTTATATGTAAAGGCAGCAGTTCCCTTCATTTTTGATATGAAGACCTTATACTCTTTCTTAGTCAGCCTGAATTGGGAAAATGCCTAAGGGGAGAAAAGCTCATTCAAGTTCAGCAGTGCCTTCAAATGAAATTAAAATTTCATTAATCACAATGGTGCCTACATTCATTTGACAAGAGATGGCACCAACATGCCTCAGATTATGTTATTCATTGAGACTACAGACAAGGTTTAGGATGTGAAATGTTCATGGGCCCCTTGCAATAATATTGCTGTCCTTAAGAGCCACACATCCAGATTGCAAACCACTGTTCTTAGGCGAAGGGGAATGCAGCTACCAAAGTTATTCTAATAAACTTCCCATTGGCTTTAAAGTTCAAAAATTTATTTATCAATACATTTTGTTAAATAAAGCTTATTTAGTATTATTAGTTTCATTTTTTGGTTCTTAATATCAAAATTGAGAACACATAATGCATATTAAAACTAAGATGATTCCTAACAAACCAGGCGTGATGGGAAGCTCAGAGTATTCTGAGGACATCTGCTCAATTTCTGTGTAGGTAAAAAATCTAGTGTGTGAAAATGCCTGCAAACCGGAGGATAGCCTGGGCCTGGGGCTTGAGCATCTGGCTTAAAATGGACAGTTATCAAGAGGGGTAACTGACCCAGGACCACTGGACCTAGGATCTCCAGAGATACCTGACTCCCAGTGCTACCCTCTTGAGAGACCAATAGTACACGTGACAGGCATAATAGTTTTCCTACAGATACCAATTCAAAAATGTCTCTGGAAATTTCCTAACCCACCATCTTCCCACAAATAATTGCAACCTTCCAAAAGACATAGGCCTGCTCTTGCTTTAAACATGAAAGGTAGTTTACTGAAAGACTTTTTGACTTTTTGAAATTGTCGAATGCATCTCCTTACCCAAAGACTAAGAATAAATTGCTTTTGTGGCTTTTTTTTTCTATATAAAATAACAGGCATCATCTAATTTATAGGCAACTTTGAAAATTCTGTTTCTGGCTTTCCTTTTGCAGGAATTTAGAACTATTAGAATTATGTTCATTGAAAAGGTGTTCAGTATCTCTTGGAGGATAGTGATGTGCCTGAACAAACTAAATGGGCAGAGCCTGTGCACCACTGGCCCCTCCAGAATTGGCATCTCACCATCTCAGTGTGAGTGTGGGCATTAGCTTCCCTCAAATTTCAGTTATTATTTTTTTCCTTTTTTTCCTGTTAGTAAGGATCATACCAACCTTGTCTAACTCCAATGAGTGTGATGACCAAGACTTAAGACACAGAATACCTTACATAAGCTATAAAGTTCTACACTGTATTATTGTGGTATCACTGCTGGCCAGATACTATTAATGGGCATATTTGTACAGCTTGTGGGTATGGTTGTGTTAGGACTAAAACTTAGCATTGCATGCATTACATTGTACACAAACAGATATGAATGCATGGTTGATAAAAATGGAAGCACAACTTCTTTGTGTAAGTGTGATCCTTTCCAGTCAGTCAGACCAATCAGAATGGAGGAAAGCATAACTTAGTTGCTGATTGAATAAGAAAAGGGTCAGAATGTGGTAAATTGGAGGAGAGTATAGCCCAGAGAACCCATGTGGGGGGAAAGTGTGAGCCATGAATGAGAAAAGAGAGAAAGCCTGGACACCTATAGAATGGCTAGGAGTAAGTTCATTGAATTAGGGGATGGGGATCCTAGGCCTGATGAGAGGCAAAATTGGACAGCTTATGGAAAGAGCTCACAACATTTGGAGAAGAAGCAATCTCATAGTGCTTTATTGATCTCAGTGTTCCTAGAGACCATTTCCCCTAACATTCCAATGAAATCGACATTGAATATGACTTGCCAGGATCTCTGGTCCCAGATGGGCCTTTGAACTTGTTTCCAAGTTCTATTGAGTAGACACAATGCCCAGCATGGAGGTCTCAAGCTTGAAGACATCTACCTGGGTCTTGACTTGCAGCTTCACTAGAGCAAGGTTTATTGCTACAGAAAGGCAGAAGCTGTAAATTTTCTATTTTTTTAATGTGGTTGTTGTTAAAGGATTATTTGTTTTATTTGAGCCCTTGAACCCTATGGCTCTGACACACACAGTAAGACCCCGCTTCCAAGTTTATGGCAGGGAAGTCAGTCTGTAGCTAGAGAAGCAGTATCAGAAAGCAGTACTTAGTTAAATTGATCAATTACAATGAATGGAGGCTTATTTAGTAAATATTAAAAGACTGACTCAATGAATGAGTTTATGATATGACTCCGGAACTGGCAAAATTATAAAAACACAATTCCCATGTGAAGAAATAACAAATAGGACTCATTACTAGGAGAATGAAATGTTGCCTCTCTCAGAGGATTTGGACTTTTCAGTGGCATTTTTTTAGCATCTATGGCCCTATTAAACCTTGTTATTTTTTCCCTAATTTGTGCCATTCAGAAATAGATTTCATTTAACTTTCCCATGGCTCATTTCTCTCCCTTAGAACATTTTCATATGATTCCCTGATAAAGTCCATGCAGCAACACATTTCCATTATAAAACTATAATAAGCACCAACTAAACAGCAACGTAAAATAGGCAGAGCATAAAAGACTGACATGAGAAGGAATTGGGCATCTGGGTAGTTAATTTTTATTCTTGAATGCCCTGCTGCTTTTTTGACTTTTGTGGGTGTTTTTGGTCCTCTAGATAAGATTCCTTGCCTGTTGGACAAAAGCTTTAAGGAGACATTTTTCACGATTCTTAAAAGATAGCTACTTTTTTTTTTTTTTTCAGCAAGAAAATCATCAACTGATACCTTTCAATGACATAGTGAGATTGCTGTTCTTCACCAAAGTTCCATAATGGAAAGAAAAGATTTTTATTTTTGTTCCTTCTAATCATCCTTTGTGCTTTCTAAAATATCCCTTACTCATTTCATGGAGTGGGACTGTTTTCTCTAGAGAATTAAGTGAGGAGCGTTTAGCAACCTGTGTCCCTTCAATAATTGTTTCAATTCAACCAATATTTATTAATAGCCTCCCCTTCACCTTATGTCTTGCGAAAAATATGCATCATGGAAACACACCCTCTCCCTACAGAAGACACAAATTTTTTCCCCAATAAACACTTAAACAAATGCTGACAGTTCAAGTGTAACTTTGGTTATGACCAGAAGCATATGTATGCATGGAGAGGTCAAACTGTGTCTCTCTGAGCATATTGACTCAGTATTATTTCAGGTATGAAATAGACATATAGTTTTTGGGACTAAGGTGAGATAAAGAGCTAAAGTCATGAAAGGCTAAAAGAGGGGAGGCGGTTCCAAGATGGCCGAATAGGATCAGCTCCAGTCTACAGCTCCCAATGTGAGTGATGCAGAGGTTGGGTGATTTCTGCATTTCCAACTGAGGTACCAGGTTCATCTCACTGGGGCGTGTCAGACAGTGGGTGCAGTACAGTGGATGCAGTGCACCGAGCGTGAGCCAAAGCAGGGCAAGGCATCACCTCACCCGGGAAGCACAAGGGGTCAGGGAATTCCCTTTCATAGCCAAACAAATCTGTGACAGAAGGCACTTGGAAAATCGGGTCACTCCCACCTTAATACTGCACTTTTCCAATGGTCTTAGTAAACAGCACACCAAATTATGTCCCGACCCAGGCTCGGAGGGTCCCATGCTCAGGGAGCCCCGCTCACTGCTAGCACAGCAGTCTGAGATCAAACTGAGGCAACAGCAAGTCTGAGGGAGGGGCGCCCACCATTGTTGAGGCTTGAGTAGGTAAATAAAGCTACTGGGAAGCTCAAACTGGGTGGAGCCCACTGCAGTTCAAGGAGGCCTGCCTGCCTCTGTAGACTCCACCTCTAGGGGCAGGGCATAGCCCAACAAAAGGCAACAGAAACCTCTGCAGACTTAAATGTCCCTGTCTGACAGCTTTGAAGAGAGTAGTGGTTCTCCTAGCATGGAGTTTGAGATTGGAGAATGGACAGACTGCCTCCGCAAGTGGGTCCCTGACCCCCGAGTAGCCTATCTGGGAGGCACCCCCTAGTAGGGGCAGACTGACACCTCATACGGCCAGGTACCCCTCTGAGATGAAACCTCCAGGGGAACGATTAGACAGCAACATTTGCTGTTCAGCAACATTCGCTGTTCTGCAGCATCTGCTGCTGATACCCAGGCAAACAGGGCCTGGAGTGGACCTCCAGCAAACTCCAACAGACCTGCAGCTGAGGCTCCTGACTGTTAAAAGGAAAACTAACAAACAGAAAGGACATCCACACCAAAACCCCATCTGTATGTCACTATCATCAAAGACCAAAGGTAGATAAAACCACCAAGATGGGGAAAAAACAGAGCAGAAAAATTGAAAATTCTAAAAATCAGAGGGCCTCTCTTCCTCCAAAGGAACACAGCTCCTCACCAGCAACGGAACAAAGCTGGACAGAGAATGACCTTAATGAGTTGAGAGAAGAAGGCTTCAGATGACTAAACTTCTCGGAGCTAAAGGAAGAAATTTGAACCCATCGCAAAGAAGTTAAAAACCTTGAAAAAAGACTAGACGAATGGCTAGCTAGAATAACCAATGCAGAGAAGTCCTTAAAGGACCTCATGGAGCTGAAAACCATGGCATGAGAACTACGTGACGAATGCACAAGCTTCAGTAGCCATTTTGATTAACTGGAAGAAAGGGTATCAGTGATTGAAGATCAAATGAATGAAATGTAGCGAGAAGAGAAGTTTAGAGAAAGAAGAGAAAAAGAAACGAACAAAGCCTCCAAGAAATATGGGAATATGTGAAAAGACCAAATCTACGTCTAATTGGTGTACGTAAAAGTGATGGAGAGAAAGGAACCAAGTTGGAAAACACCCTGCAGGATATTATCCAGGAGAACTTCCCCAACCTAGCAAGACAGGCCAACATTCAAATTCAGGAAATACAGAGAATGCCACAAAGATACTCTTCGAGAAGAGCAACTCCCAGACACATAACTGTCAGATTCACCAAAGTTGAAATGAAGCAAAAAATGTTAAGGGCAGACAGAGAGAAAGGTCGGGTTACCCACAAAGGGAAGCCCATCAGACTAACAGCTGATCTCTCAGCAGAAACTCTACAAGCCAAAAGAGAGTGGGGGCCAATATTCAACATTCTTAAAGAAAAGAATTTTCAACCCAGAATTTCATATCCAGCCAAACTAAGCTTCCTAAGTGAAGGAGAAATAAAATCCTTTACAGACAAGCAAATGCTGAGAGATTTTGTCACCACCAGGCCTGCCCTAAAAGAGCTCCTGAAGAAAGCACTAAACATGGAAAGGAACCAGCGGTACCAGCCACTGCAAAAACATGCCAAATTGTAAAGACCATCGATGCTAGGAAGAAACTGCATCAACTAATGAGCAAAATAACCAGCTAACATCATAATGACAGGATCAAATTCAACACATAACAATATTAACCTTAAATGTAAATGGGCTAAATGCTCCAATTAAAAGACACAGACTGGCAAATTAGATAGAGTCAAGACCCATCAGTGTGCTGTATTCAGGAGATCCATCTCACTTGCAGAGACACACATAGGCTCAAAAGAAAGGGATGGAGGAAGATCTACCAAGCAAATGGAAAACAAAAAAAGGCAGGGGTTGCAATCCTAGTCTCTGATAAAACAGACTTTAAACCAACAAAGATCAAAAGAGACAAAGAAGGCCATTACATAATGGTAAAGGGATCAATTCAACAAGGAGAGCTAACTATCCTAAATATATATGCACCCAATACAGGAGCACCCAGATTCACAAAGCAAGTCCTTAGAGACCTACAAAGAGACTTAGACTCCCACACAATAATAATGGGAGACTTTAACACCCCACTGTCAACTGTAGACAGATCAACAAGACAGAAAGTTAAGAGGGATATCCAGGAATTGAACTCAGCTCTGCACCAAGCAGACCTAATAGACATCTACAGAACTCTCCACCCCAAATCAACAGAATATACATTCTTCTCAGAACCACACCACACCTATTCCTAAATTGAGCACATAGTTGAAAGTGAAGCACTCCTCAGCAAATGTAAAAGAACAGAAATTATAACAAACTGTCTCTCAGACCACAGTGCAATCAAACTAGAACTCAGGATTAAGAAACTCACTTAAAACCACTCAACTACATGGATACTGAACAACCTGTTCCTGGAAACTGAACAACCTGCTCCTGAATGAATACTGGGTACATAATGAAATGAAGGCAGAAATAAAGATGTTCTTTGAAACCAACGAGAACAAAGACACAACATACCAGAATCTCTGGGACACATTTAAAGCAGTGTGTAGAGGGAAATATATAGCACTAAATGCCCACAAGAGAAAGCAGGAAAGATCTAAAATTGACACCCTAACATCACAATTAAAAGAACTAGAAAAGCAAGAGCAAACACATTCAAAAGCTAGCAGAAGGCAAGAAATAACTAAGATCAGAGCAGAACTGAAGGACATAGAGACACAAAAAACCCTTCAAAAAAACAATGAATCCAGGAGCTGGTTTTTTGAAAAGATCAACAAAATTGATAGACCACTAGCAAGACTAATAAAGAAGAAAACAGAGAAGAATCAAATAGACGCAATAAAAAATGATAAGGGATATCACCACTGATCCCACAGAAATACAAACTACCAACAGAGAATACTATAAACACCTCTATGCAAATAAACTAGAAAATCTAGAAGAAATGGATAAATTCCTGGACACATATACCCTCCCAAGACTAAACCAGGAAGAAGTTGAATTCCTCAATAGACCAATAACAGGCTCTGAAATTGAGGCAATAATTAATAGCTTACCAACCACAAAAAGTCCAGGACCAGATGGATTCACAGCCGAATTCTACCAGAGGTACAAGGAGGAGCTGGTACCATTCCTTCTGAAACTATTCCAATCAATAGAAAAAGAGGGAATTCTCCCTAACTCATTTTATGAGGCCAGCATCATCCTGATACCAAAGCCTGGCAGAGACACAACAAAAAAAGAAAATTTTAGACCAATATCCCTGATGAACATCGATGCAAAAATCCTTAATAAAATACTGGCAAACTGAATCCAGCAGCACATCAAAAAGCTTATCCACCATGATCAATTGGGCTTCATCCCTGGGATGCAAGGCTGGTTCAACATATGCAAATCAATAAACATAATCCAGCATATAAACAGAACCAAAGGCAAAAACCACGTGATTATCTCAATAGATGCAGAAAAGGCCTTCAACATAATTCAACAGCCCTTCATTCTAAAAACTCTCAATAAACTAGATATTGATGGAAAGTATCTCAAAATACTAAGAGCTGTTTATGACAAAGTCACAGCCAATATCATACTGAATAGGCAAAAACTGGAAGCATTCCCTTTGAAAACTGGCACAAGACAGGGATGTCCTCTTGCACCACTCCTATTCAACATAGTGTTGGAAGTTCTGGCCAGGGCAATCAGGCAGGAGAAAGAAATAAATGGTATTCAATTAGGAAAAGAGGAATTCAAATTGTCCCTGTTTGCAGATGACATGGTTGTATATTTAGAAAATCCCATCATCTCAGCCCCAAATCTCCTTAAGCTGATAAGCAACTCCAGCAAAGTCTCAGGATACAAAATCAGTGTGCAAAAATCACAAGCATTCTTATACACCAATAACAGACAAACAGAGAGCCAAATCATGAGTGAACTCCCATTCACAATTGCTTCAAAGAGAATAAAATACCTAGGAATCCAACTTACAAGGGATGTGAAGGACCTCTTCAAGGAGAACTACAAACCACTGCTCAATGAAATGAAAGAGGACACAAACAAATGGAAGAACATTCCAAGCTCATGGATAGGAAGAATCAATATCGTGAAAATGGCCATACTGCCCAAGGTAATTTATAGATTCAATGCCATCCCCATCAAGCTACCAATGACTTTCTTCACAGAATTGGAAAAAACTACTTTAAAGTTCATATGGAACCAAAAAAGAGCCCGCATTGCCAAGTCAATCCTAAGCCAAAAAACAAAGCTGGAGGCATCACGCTACCTGACTTCAAACTATACTGCAAGGCTACAGTAACCAAAACAGCATGGTACTGGTACCAAAACAGAGATATAGACAAATGGATCATAACAGAGCCCTCAGAGATAATACCACACATCTACAACTATCTGATTTTTGACAAACCTGACAAAAACAAGAAATGGGGAAAGGATTCCCTATTTAACAAGCGGTGCTGGGAAAACTGGCTAGCCATATGTAGAAAGCTGAAACTGGATCCCTTCCTTACACAGTATACAAAAATTAATTCAGGATGGACTAATGACTTAAATGTTAGACCTAAAACCATGAAAACCCTAGAAGAAAACCTAGGCAATACCATTCAGGACATAGGCATGGGCAAAGACTTCATGTCTAAAATACCAAAAGCAATGGCAACAAAAGCCAAAATTCACAAATGGGATCTAATTACACTAAAGAGCTTCTGCACAGCAAAAGAAACTACCATCCAATTGAACAGGCAACCTACAGAATGGGAGAAAATTTTTGCAATCTACTCATCTGACAAAGGGCTAATATCCAGAATCTACAAAGAACTCAAACAAATTTACAGGAAAGAAACAGCCCCATCAACAAGTGGGTGAAGGATATGAACAGACACCTCTTAAAAGAAGACATTTATCCAGCCAAGAGACACATCAAAAAATGCTCATCATCACTGGCCATCAGAGAAATGCAAATCAAAACCAGAATGAGGTATTATCTCACACCATTTAGAATGGCGATCATTAAAAAGTCAGGAAACAACAGGTGCTGGAGAGGATGTGGAGAAATAGGAATACTTTTACACTGTTGGTGGGACTGTAAACTGGTTCAACCATTATGGAAGACTGTGTGGCGATTCCTCAAGGATCTAGAACTAGAAATACCATTTGACCCAGCCATCCCATTGCTGGGTATATACCCAAAGGATTATAAATCATGCTGCTATAAAGACACATGCACACGTGTGTTTATTGCAGCACTACTCACAATAGCAAAGACTTGGAACCAACCCAAATGTCCAACAATGATAGACTGGGTTAAAAAAAATGTGGCACATATACACCATGGAATACTATGCAGCCATAAAATATGATGAGTTCATGTCCTTTGTAGGGACATGGATGAAGCTGGAAACCATCATTCTCAGCAAACTATCTCAAGGAGAAAAAACCAAACACCACATGTTCTCACTCATAGGTGGGAATTGAACAATGAGAACACATGGACACAGGAGGGGGAACATCACACACCGGGGCCTGTTGTGGGGTGGGTGGAAGGGAGAGGGATAGCATTAGGACATATACCTAATGTAAATGACGAGCTAATGGGTGCAGCACACCAACATGGCACATGTATACATATGTAACAAACCTGCACGTTGTGCACATGTACCCTAGAACTTAAGGTATAATAAAATATATATATATATAAAGAAATGCTAAAAGATGCACAAAGGAGTCCAGGTGCTGACTTTTTTGAGTGTTTGCTCCCCTAGCAGCCCACCATGTGTCCCTAACAACACCACTGCCCAGCCCCAAACATGTGTACTCTGGCTTTATTATCTGGCTTAAAGCTGGGACTGTGACTGCATCCCAAAGAAACACTAACTGGGGTCAGAGGAAGAGCCTTGTGTTGTGATGGGGTTAACTTGGGCTTTAAAGCAAGAGGGTAAGGATTTGTCAGCTAGAATGAACAGCATGAACAATTCTTAAATGATAGACACATATGGGGAAAATTTTCAAGTAATTCCATGAGAATGTAGAATCTTGTTTAAGAGGTGCTGTTTAAATGCTATTACTCAAGAAGGTATCTCCACATCTTCCTATACAGACATTCTCCCTGTCTTCCAATAGCTTGACATTGCAGATAGCTATCCTGCTGCAGGTGCAGACAACTGGAGCATAAAGAATATAAGCAAGAAACCAATATACAATCAGGTGGTCAAATGTTTATACCAAAGGTACATGCAACTAAACAAACAGTTTTTCATTTTTAGTTTGACCTTGGGGCTTTATATGGGAGGGAAGGTGAAAATCTAAGTTCTACTTAGTATTGATAGCTTTAGAAAAAATACTTTCATTTCAGAGAGTTTATCTCAACCCTTTGCTCTTAAATTCATGCATGAAATATAGGATAAATTACTTTTCAAATTAAGTTTTTCATCCAGCCCTGTTTGTACAAAGCACTTTGGCAGAGGTGCTCTCTTCTATCTCAGGGAAAATCCAAAAAGCTTTGTTTAATTAACAGATATTAAAGGGTTCAGATGATGAAAACATAAATTCAGTGAAAGCATCGTTGTCGTGATGCAGTCAGATCAGCTAAACCCTCGGCTGTCATCAGCTCAATTTCTTAGTATGTTTGGTTGGGGTCCTATCTCTTCATTTTTATAGATTATTTTCTTACATCTACTATCCTATGACTGTTATGGGAAAGACTTCTTAGGTATAAGATATCACCCCCTTATTCTAATGTAGGAACTGCTTCTGACCCTTTCATTCCATTCTTGCCAGCATTCACAGCATGAAATGTGATTATTTTATTACTTAATTCCTTTCTTTCCACACACCCATTTCCACTTCTATTTTCCCATCTTTCATTTTGTCCTCACATATTTGTTACTTTGTGTTTTATCTTCTTGTGAGTTCTAAGTGAGACAGCCAAGTAGAACCAGATGGTTAAAAATAGTTTCTGACATTATTTGTGATTCTTCAGAGGTAGTCTTGCAAATCACTTTTTCTCATTTGATTTTTACCTAACATGCTGACAGTGCTCCAATCTTGTTTCTTGATTATCCTATTACATAGTGCCTTCCTTTGCATTTAGTAAAAACATACAAGCAATGGTTCTGTTTGGATAGTGCAACCTAGTTATCATTTACAATTTTATGGAATTAGAAAGGCAAGAGGAGGAAAGGATTGAGACTTAAATTATTATTTAAAAGGAAAAGCATGAATTAACTACATTGGTGATAGGTGGAACCATTCTTTGTAAGCAGGCCTATAATTGAGCCATCTTTGTGATCATGCAATGGAAGAGCATTCTTTTTCTTACCTAGAAAGAGCACTGTTCCTCATATAAAGGAGCAATGCAATTGAAATGCAGCCACAAAGAGGTAGACAAACTCAATTGGCTGCCCACTGGGATACAATTTCAGTTAAAAAAAATCACCACAAACAAATGCATAGGAAGTAACCTAAGAATTCATTTACTGTACTCATTGTTTTCACCATAAAATTGTAAATATTCATAGTCAGTAATCATGCAGAGCCAGTAACAGTTTAGCAGTATTTCTCTTTGTGTGTGTGTGTGTGTGTGTGTGTGTGTGTGTGTGTATCTGTTTTAGCTACACTCTGAAAACATCCTACATATAGCTAAATTTATATGAAGCCACAATACCCAGGAGGCTAAATGATTGCCTGTTAGCATTGATCATTTGGGGGCATAAAAAGAAATTTCCGGTACAAATCATATCACTTTTCTTATGCATTGTAAGAACTCCTTATATTCAAGAATAATTTTCCTTATATATGTTTGTTTCAATTGACATGTTAAAGTACATCTGAGAATACAATATACCATACAATTGAGAGCTGGACCATCTAATAGATGCTGTGTGAGCTCTCAGAGGAAATGAAATGATAATGGAATTCCTATTCTTGGCACTAGGAAATGACCGTCCTTTGTTCTCTTCTGTGAAAGCATGCCATCATATTTTAGTTGATTTCCCCTGTATGCTTCTTTAGGCAAGTCAGTAAATTCAGAGAAGCCAAATCTATCTTGCTTTTTTGGGAAAGTAATTTGGCTGTTTGGGCCAGAGTGCAGTTTCTTGGGTTATGTTCAGCAAGCATTACTAAAAGATAGGCTATTTTTCTATAAGTTGGATAGTTCCACATAATTTTGTTTCTTTCCTGTTCTTGACAGGTACATGAGGCAGTCCCATGTTACAGTGAGTGCAATCAGTATTCCTGGGTTGTAGAACACTGGTCTTCATGCAAAATCAACAATGAGCTGAGGTCCCTGCGCTGTGGAGGAGGAACACAATCTAGGAAAATCAGGTGTGTGAAAATGGAGAGATTTGGGAAATAGGGGGAAGTGGAACTTATACATTTTTTATAAAAACAACAGTGATGTTTATCCAAGTACACTCTGATTTTCATAACATATACTCTGGTTTTTTCTCATCTTTGAAATATTCATTGAAATAAGTGCATCCTTACCTGCCATGTGTATAGTGGGGTTCCCTCTGCAGTGCAGCCACAATCCTTTAGCGTATCCTGCAAATGACATTGGTGCGAGAACCACCTGCAATGGAGCAGGCTGCTGTCACTCCACTGATTCATGGCCGTTATTCTTAACAAATTAGGAGATTCTGACTGTGTTGCCATTGGTCTTTTTTGCATTATGGTTAGTATAGTTGATGAACATTTTCTTAATTTTGGATGTTGATAATTAAAAAGGTTAATTTAAACCCCATGATTAGCCTTGGAAACTAAAGTCTGAGAATACCTATGAACAGTAGCAATACATGTTAATATAAGAGAAACACATCTCTGAGAGAATTTAGTGAATGCTAGATTATTTACTGAGGAAACTGGTTTAAAGTTTTTGGTTTAGAAATATAGCAGTGTTAACCAAAGGAAATACATGGTCTGAGTTTGTCAAGATGGTCTATTTTGAAATGATTTTGAAAGAAAGAAGAACGATGTCCTTACCAACTGAGGATAATGGCAATGAACATTAGACAATTAAAACAGCAGAAGTTACAATATTTATACATAATGATTAGTATGTAAAATAAATAAGAAGCATAACTTAGTTAACTATTGCACATGCATAGTGTATTATTTTGTCAGATTTAGGAAGCTGTGTTTCAAATGGACAGTCAGTGTCTAAATCAGGTAGCTGCCTATTGAGTTAACTGTTGAAAGTCAGTTGCAAGGCAGAGCCTAGTTATGTCATTGATTGTTATTCAACATCTGTGAAACGTACTTTATTCATTAAAATCAGTACATACTCACTATTTATGACAGTCTCAATGTTGCAAAATCACTGGTAGTCATGTTGAAAGGAAGAGCTGCTAGCAAAATTAGAAAGTTGCTTCTCCTCACCAGCTCAAGCAAATGGCTAATGGACAAATTATCTTTCTTCCCTTTGTACATTGCCCTTTCTTCTGGGAACTCAGATGCTCAGGCTGTTGCAAATTTGGAGCTTTTACCTTTTTCTTTTTAAAATTTCTGTCTCCTGTGTCTTATTCTCTCATGGTTTTGAAAAACGATTGACCAACCTAGCTTGTAAAGTAGTATGTAAATGAGCTGTGGCATCTCCTACTTGTATCCTATTCAGGCCTCTTAGAAATATTCAAGGAAAATCTCAGGAGAAAAAGAAAAGCTTTAGGAGAATAAATTGCAATGGACAGAATTGTGGAAGGTTGATTGAGGAAAACACACTTGAACAAGAAGGCCTTTCAGTCATATGCCTCAGCTTAAACCTACAGAGCCCGATATAATACAAACAGTATAATAACTATGAAGCATTATTCTACAATAGGATGAATTGTATATTTTCCAACCCCTTCCCCACAAAAAATATCCATATGTCTAAGTTAGAACCCTCAGTAGCTCAGAAGGTGACCATTTGGAAATAAATAGGATCTTTAAAGAAGTAATTAAGGTAAAATAAGGTTATTGGTGTGGGCCCTAATCCATTCTAACTGGTGGCCTTATAAGAAGAGAAGACTAGGACACAGACACATAAAGGAAAGACCATGTGAAGACAGGGAGAAGATGCCCATCTATAAACCAAGGAAAGAGGCCTCAGGAGAAAAAAGAAATCCAGATTACACCTTGATCTCAGACTTCTAGTCTCCAGAATTATGAGAAAATAAAGTTCTGTCATTTAAGTGACCCAGTCTGTGGTATTTTATTATGGTATATGTTTCAGCTCTTTTTATTTTGCTATGACAGAATACCCAAGACTTAGCAATTTATAAAGAAAAGAAATTTATTAGGCTCATGGCTCTGGAGGCTGGGAATTCCAAGGACATGGCAGCAGCTTCTGGCAAGGGTTTTAGTACTCTTTCATAACATGGTTGGAAAGTAGAAGGACAAGCAAGCATGTGAGAATGAGACCACAAGAATGAGCCAAGCTTGCTTTTACAACAGTCAACTCCCACGACAACAAACTCACTTGCATAAGAACTCAACACTAGAATAATGACATTCATAAGGGTTCCACCTTCAAGACTCAATTGCATCTTAAAGGCCTCACGTCTTGGTACTATTACATTGGCAATTACATTTTCAACACATGAATTTTAGAGTGACATATTCAAACCATATCATTCTGCCCCAGTCCCCTAGAATTTATGTCCTTCTCACTTGGTGGAAGCTTCTGGCGAGGGCTTTTTGTACTGTATCAAAATGAAGTGGAGGGCATCACATGGAGAGAAGGCAAAATCTTGCATGTTAGCTCAGGTCTTTCTTTTTCTGTTCTTATAAAGCCACCAGTCTCATCATGGTGGCTCCACTCTGATGACTTAATCTAATCCTGATTATGTCCCAATGGCTCCATCTCCAATCAACATACACATTTGAGAGATTAAGTTTTCAATATGTGAAATCTGGGGAACACATTCAACCCACTGAGGTAGCCCTAGAAAACATACATACTCACAATGCACCATGCTGTATGTACGTAATTACTTTTAAATATGTGAAGCAGATCTTCCAGTTACCTTGCATTCTAAACTATTATTGACCTTAAAGTCTTATAATGAATGGAATAGCTCATCTGTTCTCTTTCTTAAAACCTTCCAACTGTAGAGCATCTTCATGGTTTATCCATGACTAGAATCAATTATTAAATCAAAAATACTTGTGAATATTTGCCTTCTATGTATCAGATATTGTCCTAAGCACATCAGATAAAATAGTGAATAACATTTTTGTCCTCTAAGAATTGACAATATAATGTCATTGAGTCGAATTTGGTCCATTTGCTCACATGCAGTGGAAAGCCAAACACTGAAGCACCAGGTTTTTGCAGCAAGGAAAGTTTATTGTAAGTCTGTTGACAAGGAGATAGGAGGAAATGCTCAAATCTGCCTCCCTGAGCTGGGGGTTGGGTCATGTTTTATAAGCATAAATAACAAGGTATGATCTGATTGGATCTTGCAATAAGGTGGTGCTGAGAGACATGATTTGAGTGGACCCTCCTATGGGGTGATGCCAGGGACTTGACCTGATTAACCCTACATCCTGCCATGCAGTATCCACCTCTTAATTCAGTCCCTCTTCTGAGTACTTACATTCCACTGGTACTTAGTTCATCTGGGCATGCCCATCGGGTTTCATAACCTTTAGTGTAAGGGACCCATGGCAACTGAAAAACAACTCACAACTTTGTTACATAAAAATTCAGTCTGATTGGTCTGATGTAATATAATAGCAGTAGAGATAATCTGATGATTATAATAGCAGTAGAGAAAAAAATGAACACATAAATTATATTCAATAAAATGTCTTTGCTATGAAATGCCAAAAAAGAAAAACGAAACTGGGTTGGAGTTATCAGGAGTATTATTTTGGCAAGATGGTCAGCAAAATATTTGAGCACAAACCTAAATATAGTGAGAGACCTGAATAAGCATGAAGATCTGTAGAAAGAGGATTCCAGGGACAAGGAGAGTAAAAAGCAGGAGCCTTCTTGGCTTATTAACAGAGTAACAAGCTGTCCCATATGACTAGTGTCAGTACCCAAACAAGATAAAGACTGGATATTATTCTAACTGCAACCTGAAGCTATGGAAGGTTTGATGTGGGGGAGTGACATGCTCTATTTTATTTTATTTTATTTTATTTTATTTTATTTTATTTTATTTTATTTTTTGAGACTGAGTCTTGATCTATCACCCAGGTTGGAGTGCAATGGCGCAATCCCAGCTCACTGCAGCCTCTGCCTCCCAAGTTGAAGTAATTTTCATGCCTTAGCCTCCCAAATAGCTGAGATTACAGGTGCCCACCACCACACCCAGCTAATTTTTGTATTTTTAGTAAAGAGAGTTTCACCACGTTGGCCAGGCTGGTTTTGAACTCTTGTCCTCAAGTGATCTGCCACCCTGCCTGGCCTCTTATTTACATTTGAAAAGAGCCTTATTGGATGTGGTATAGGGAAGGTATTTTCAGAGTGTAGTGTAGAACAGCAAGGGATACAGTTTTGAGGCCCTTGCAGAATTCCAGGTGAAAGAAGTTAATGGTTGGAATCGATTTAGTAAAAGTGAAGGTGATGCAAAAGTCAAATTTGGAATATATTCTGAAGGTGTAGAACACAGAGTTTGGTGATAAAATGATTGCAGAGTGGGGAAAAAAGGAAGCCTCAAAAATGTCTGTTAGGTGGTGTGGCCTGAGCAACGTTAGGAATAATGGCATAATTTTTTGAGTTGAGGAACATTAGAAGCAGGTTTGAGATAAAAATCAAAATTAGCTTTTGAACACATTAAATTTGAGGTGATAGTAGCTTTCCAACTGAACTATTACAGTCCAGTTCAGAGGAAAGATTTAGAATATAAATTTGGGCACCATTAGCTTATAAATTTAGTATTTATTGAGAAGAAATTGAGTCCTGGGGAACTCCAACATTCATGGATTAGAGCAAATAGGAAGATTCTAGAAGTGAGACTAAGAAAAAAACTGGAATAGAAGGAAAACAAAGAAAATGAGAAGATGGACAAGTGAGTTACTCAAGAAGACATAGTAATCAATTGTTTCAAAGGCTTTTTGGTTTACTGAGATAAGAATTCACCATTGAGTTTGGCAATGGGGAGTTTGTTGATGATCTCACTAAGAGGTTTCTCTGGAATGGTAATAAAAGTGTGATTTAAGTGAGTTTAAGAGGTAATAATTGGGGAGGCGGGAGGAGAGGAGGGGAGGAAGTGGAGATAGCAAATATAGACAATGCCTTAAAGCAGTTTTGCAATGAATTTGAGTAAAAGTGAGGTGATGACTGAAGGGAGATGGGCAAGGAAATTGATGGTGCAGGATATGTAGTGGATAACTGCATTTCCATTCAGGAACACCCTCAATTTAAATATTTTGAAGTCTTTACTCTCGGGCTTGTCAGAACACCTAGTAAAGCCTCTTATTAAATCATATGTGAAATAGATAATCCTAACAGCCAGTGTATTAGTCTATTTTCACACTGCTATAAAGAAATACCCGAGACTGGTTAATTTATAAAAGAAAGAGATTTAGTTGACTCACAGTTCCACATGGCTGGGGAGGCCTCAGGAAACTTACAATCATGGTGGAAGGCAAAGGGGAAGCAAGCTTGGACCTTCTCACATGGCAGTAGGAGAAAGTGAGTGTCAGCACAGGAAAAACTGCCATTTATAAAACCATCAGACTTCGTGAAAATTCACTCACTGTCACGAGAACAGCATGGGGGAAATCGCCCCCATAATCCGATCACTTCCCATGAGGTATCTCCCTGAACACCTGGCGATTACAATTCAAGATGAGATTTGGGTGGGGACACCAAGCCTAACCATATCAGCCGGTATTCTGGAAACCTAGTGAAACAGGAATGCTGGGGTTATAGAGAGAATGGTGGCCCCCAAAGATGTCCACATCCTAATTCCTGGACTTTATGGATATGCTACCTTTGGCAAAAGGGACTTGGCAGATGTTATTAAGGTGAGGACTTTGTGATGGGAAGATTTTCTTAGATTGTCCAGTGGGAAAAATGTATTCACAGGATTTTTAAGAGTGGAGGTAAGAAAGGGTGGAAGATGTGACTACAGAAGCCAGGCACCAAGAAATGCAGTGTTGCTGCCTCCGGAGATGGAGAAAGGGGTCACCCAAAGAATATAAGTGTCCCCTGAACCTGGAAAAGGCAAGGAAAGAGATTCTTCTCTAGGAGTGCAGCTCTGCTGATACCTGACTCTCTGATGTTAGCCCATGAGGCCCAAGTTGTATTTCCATCCTACAGAGCTATAAGATAATACAGTTCCATGGTTTAAGCCACTAACTTTGTGGTAATTTTTGCAGTATGTAAACTTTTACTTAAACCTCTGTTTACAGGATGGTGTCCCCATTAAGTGCACCAGCTGTTCTCTAGTCCAAAGACCCTTTTGTGACCCTCTCCAGATAGTAAACCAGCAATCACCGGCAGGGGGAGGGGATGGGCAATCACTTACCTGTGTGGACCAGGGGAGAGGATCTAAAGGTTTGGGTACTTCTTATACTTTCAATAAATCCTTCAGTTTTTTTAAGCCTCATTTTCATCCTCATTTCCAGAGGTACTTGGTGCCATGAATTCCAGAATTTTTTCTTTGTTCTGTGTTGTAAATTGAGTTATTTTTGGTGTTTCCCTTTGAAGGTTTAGTATCAGTTTTTTCAGATGCGCTAAGGAGTTACCAGGAGCCCGTCTACTTTCCATTTCTTGTACTTGTCCTCTCCCATGTTCTCTGTCCTTGTGGAGTAATGCCTTTCCCTCCCAATTATTATTATTATTATTAATTATTATTATTGTTTTGGTAACAAATTCCTTTACTATTGCTTTTGTAGCATATTGGGAGTGAATGGAGACTAATATGTACATTCACTGGATTTCATTAACCAGAAGTCTTCCCTCTTCTTTTTCAGTGAAATAATAAATGAACATCAGCAGATAGTGTGCAGGCAGGAAGGGAAGCAATTTCCAGTTTTTATTTTTTTTTTAAGTTTGTCCAGGAAAGGACATTTAAGCTATCCCATGGATTTTCCTTCTACTATTGACTTTTGCCACAGAAGAAATTAAAGTCCATAGTTATTAAAGTCCATAGAATTAAAGTCCCTATATTAGAAGGCATTATTACAACTTTTTTGTATACCATTCTCTGCTAACCTCTTTTATACTATCTAACTTTTCATGAGTTAGCAACTCATAAAGCTTGTTTTATTTTTCAGTATGTGATTAGCTACTTTGAAATGCTCCTGGAGTTTTCTTTTATCATTACTATTATTATTAATTATTATTATTATTATTATTTTGAGACGGAGTCTCGCCCTGTCGTCCAGGCTGGAGTGCAGTGGCGTGATCTCGGCTCACTGCAAACTCAGCCTCCCGGGTTCACGCCATTCTCCTGCCTTAGCCTCCCGAGTAGCTGGGACTACAGGCGCCTGCCACCTCGCCCAGCTAATTTTTTGTATTTTTAGTAGAGACAGGGTTTCACCATGTTAGCGAGGATGGTCTCAATCTCTTTTTCTGTTTTTAATGTGTGTATAAAAGAAACTCTTAAAGTGCAGGATAATTCATTAGCATAGCATGATCTAGGGAGCACCAAAAGCTCTTTAGCGTATTGTTATTAAAGTGCTTATTTCTTAACCTTGACATTGTATCTGAATTGCTAGATCAGCAAATGGCATGATTTATTTCATCATCATTGCCATTTTCATCTTTATCTTTATCATTATCACTAGAACAAAATACTTATAGTGCTAGGGATCATGTCTGTCTCTATTTCAGTTCTGTACCCCAACACCCAGGCGAGGACTTAGTATGTAGCAAGCTATCAAAAATATTGACTAAATGAATCACTGACAAATAACAACTTTGTATCCCAACAGCTAGCAAAAGATATTTTCACATAGAAAGTCTTTATTAAACCATTTTGAAAAATAATTATAAAATTAATTTCTATTTGGGATGTGATATAAATAGAGAGAAATGCCCCCATCATAGGGGTACAGCTGGATGAATTTTAACAATGTGAACACAACTGTGTAACCAGCCCAGAGGTCAAGAAACAAAATGTTATCAAGACTACCTAAGTCCCTATCAGTCACTAACCATTTCCTCAAAGGTAGCCACTTTTCTGACTTCTGACACCCTAGATTAGTATTACCTATTCATTAACTTCATTGGAACAGGATCATATGTACTCTTTTGTGTCTAGCTTCTTTGGTTCAACATTATATTTTTGACTGTCACTCATATTCTTTCATTCATTCTCATCACTTTATGGCATTTACTATAATATATTTATAGGTTATACTCTTGCTGAACATTTGGACTGTTTCTAGGTTGGTTCATTATGAATAGTGCTGCTATGAACATTTTCAGTCAGCTTTGGTTTTTGGTTTGGTACACATTTATATGCATTTCTATAGAAATATAAGTGGATTGTTGGGTTACATAGTATGTATAGGTTTAGCTTTAGTAGACATTGCCAACCAGTTTTCAAAACAGATTATGCTCCCACCAGCAGCATGAGAAGAATTAATTATAATCGCTCTGCATTCTTGCCAGCTTTTGATATTTTCCATGTTTTTACAATTTAATCCATTTTGGCAAGCATATAGTGGTATAACACTTTGGTTTTAATTTGATTGAATCTTCTTCATCTTTAACAATAGTGTGATTATCTCATTATTGCCAGTACTTATCTCAAAACCTGACACAGAGTAGGCCAAGCACCCATGATGCATACATCTGTGCTATGTGATTAATTGCTGCATGAAAATACTTGCTCATTGCCCTTTGTTTTTTTTTGATTTGAAAAATTCTTTACTGAAATGCAGAAGTTACCTGAAAGAATACCTATTCAGATATTTTTCATATTACTTTGCCATGACTTTAAAAATGGGTGGGATAAAGTTTAGGAAATTTTACATGGTATCAGATAGAAGTTTGGGAAAGGTTTAAGAAAGCCACAGGAAGTAGGAAGGTTCTAGCTATCACAAAGTGATGGATTTATTCAGAGAAGGAGAGCCTTCAAGATTCATTACAATAAAAAGAATATGCACTCAGTGCTGGACCTGAGTAAATGTATTGCAGGTCTCTTGAAATATAAAGTTCTTCAAGGTCAACCATTGCCTTTAGTCCAAGGTCAACCATTGCCTCTAGTCTTTCCATTGTTCTCCCTTGCCCTGATGAATAAATGGTTCTGTACTGAGTTAATGCTCACAAAGCCTGACTGACTAAAGGAGGAAAGTTTTGTTCCCCTTGGTTTCTGTGCTGGTCTTATGTTATATTTAACTATCGTCAGTTACTATGATACATCATAACTATTTTAAATATACTCTCCACTGTTTTAAATAATCAAACTATCTTGTGACCTTGCTTTACAGATGTGTGAATACTGCGGATGGTGAAGGTGGAGCAGTGGATAGCAACCTGTGCAACCAGGATGAAATTCCCCCAGAAACCCAGTCCTGTTCTCTTATGTGTCCCAATGAGTGTGTCATGTCTGAGTGGGGACTTTGGAGCAAATGCCCACAGGTAATTTCTCTTTCTTTGTCAATGCTCTGATAATCTATTGTTGCCTTCACTGTTGTTCGTTGTGCATTCACAGTGCTAGTCTCCAAAGCATTCTTCTAGTAACATGGGAAAATAATTTTTTTCTTTTTGAGAAATCCAAAGAAAGAAAAAAAGAAAAAAAAAGTCTGCAAGCAAGACTGAGCAATTTAAAATGCCAGTCCTTCTTCCAGGGCCTTTATCACAGTTACATGAACAAGGAAAATGAGCCTATAATGATCACACTAGGATTCAACTGTGCACCCATTGTGAAAGGAGTCTTCTTTAGTAACAAAATGATTCTCCTTATAATATATCTTGGTCCTGTTCCATTTTTATCCTGGCAGAATCAATTACATCTTAGGAGCTCAACTCCACTGTGTGATTTAGCTTCTGTTAGTGATGATCTGTTTTTGCCTTTTACTGTTTTCCTGAAGATGAGGCATTCTTTTGCCATGTTTCTACTTCTTCCAAAGCTAACAAAAATACCTTAAAAAAAAAAAAAACTAAAGGATATACCTTTATTTTTTTCTTTTAAAGTCTTAAAAAATTGGAAGCACAACAGGAGTATGGCAAAATAAATATTATTCAAGGAGCATATTTCAACTTACTATTCCCAGAAGATAAATTCTGATGTTTTATACTCATACTTCAAAGTAAACACTGAAAAAAATGAAAGTGGGGATTAGGAACAAATTATATGAATTCAAACATTAGAAAGGAAAATTAGGATACTTTGAACTTGATTGTCATAGTGATAATTTGTGGAAAGACTATGAAAATCTCTGTATGGAAATGGAAAATATCTTTAAAATCAGTTAATATCGTATGTTTAGAGCTTCAAATTATTGATTCCTTATTAAATATTGAGCCCTTATCTTTGATATTTGTATAATTCTATTCCTGAAAGAGATTTCACTCTATTGTTATTTTTATTTGTTGAGTTGTTTTTAGAGCAATATAATATTGACATGAAGAGAAACTGATAAGAATAACTTGTAGAAGTGGGATATTTGTACTACTAAGTCATTTATTTTGTGTGTAACCTGAATATAATGAAAATTAAAATTTATTGACCACTTATTTTGTGCAAGGTACATGTAGGAACTATTCCCTTTAGTACTCGTACTAATCCTATTAGGTTGGTAGTATTACTAGTTCATTGTTCAGCTTAGAAACTGATGTGTAGAAAGGTTAAGTGGTTTGCACAAAGTTTTGTACTTAATAAGTGATGAGCTCAGAATGAACATTATTCTATTGATGAAGCCAGAGATTTTGCTCTTATATTCTCGGCCCAGTTATCTTGGAAAAATTAAGGTGGATTTAGACTCAATACTTTTCTTTGTTTAAAATGCAATATTTATTTGAAGAAGAAGGGTAGCTGTTTTAGTTATCTGTGTGATTATTCCATGAGTGAGTATTATGTTTATATTTTAGAAAGTGTGCTAGTACCACTCTTTATTAATCAACCTATAGAAGAATTAGCAGCCTGAAGAAGTTTAATTAAATGTAAGGTCATGATCTTCCTCACTTTTGTTTTTCTAATTTACTCACAGAAGACTCCATTAAGCTCTAATCACTTCGCAATGAAAACATTGCCGTCTTAAGGTATCTGGCCACTGGGCTAAAATTTTTATTGTAAGAACGTTTTACACAAAGTTGTGAAGGTTTAGCATTCTGTGTTTGCTTCTTTTGGGTTTTTGTTTTTTCAAGGCTTCTTTTTCGAAACATAATTATTTAATTTTTGGAGTGTTTAGAAATTGGAGGTAGAGAAAATATTTTAACCTCCTTTCATGTGTCAGAAAGACAACATAGTTACTCACTTGTCAGCATGAAATGGGAAGGTTGTTCCTTTACCTGCTTATGTACCTTCCAAGTTACATAATGATAGAAGCTATGACAATGACAATACAGACTTTTATTGAGCATATCTTATATAACCAACATTATACTGAAAGCTACATGTAACTCTTAAGTTTTATAACAACATTGCACTATGATGATGTAACACTTGTCCATGGCCACTCAGGTCTGTCTGACCACAATGGCCTTGTCCTTTTCAGATGCTATGCTGTACTTTCCCATGTAAATGTAAACTTCAAAGTGAAAAAATGGTAATTAGGGCTCATACCTGATTATTTTCCCTAAATCTAGGTATATTGCATAACTTTAGTTAAGTTGCAAGATCTTAGCATAATGTCCCGTCATCATAGGACAATCCCAGTCAGTATTGGACAATGATAATGAGAATGATTATAGCAAAGGCAGCAAACTAAATCATTGTGCCTGTAATTTAATTAGCACTTCAATGTGCATTTCATTAGAAAAAGGAAACAATTATTTTATAAGTGTCCTGTAGAACATGAGCTGATTTAAGGATCTTTAATATTTGCCATTATTTTACCAAATTCTCCTTTGATAGTCTGCAGTGTGACATATGATATTGGGACAAATTCACTATTTGTTGGGTATTTTCTCCTCCAAAGATACTTCTTTAGAGACAAACACATAAATAAGCTGAACATGTATTTAAGTGTGGTTGCAGCAAGTTATTTAAACATCTGAGTTACAGGTTTCTTACTGGGAAGTGAGGACAATAATAGCTATTTTTTTCAGATTGTTTAAAAAATTAGATATAATATGTATAAAATAAATTTCATAAGTTATTACCTAACACAGAATTGTGATGAAGAAGAACCACCACAAAGCCCCCTCCCACTTACCTTGTTTGCCACATGGTTGGGAAATCCCAGACAGGGAGCAGTACATTTTTTAAGCTATACAGGAAAGATCCCTTCCCCTGCACAAAATAAGTTATTACTTGATCTTTTAGAAATAAAATGTCACCTCCATTACTGAAACATGACTTATATCTAATTTAATAGTAGTCCTTAAAAACAATGCATCACAAAGATAACTTTGAATGAATGGATTACTGACCTGACAGTAACTACCAATTGCAAACCATACAGAAGAACAAATAAGACAAAGGCATTAAAAATTGTACTGGGACCATTTTTTTAAAACTGTATTGGGAAAACCATAAATGGATCAAGCAAAAACAAATACAATTCAAGGAGGAATTTGAAGAAAATGAAAAACTATTTGTTTCCTTTGTTTTATGTTCATGTTTTTTCTTATTCCCATAACACACATATATATATATATATATTTTTACTTTAACATGCTTACTTTTCTAGAATGCTTTACTATGAAAGGAAAGTTGTGTAATTGTGCATACAATAACCTTCCTAATAGTGTTTACTCTTTAAAAGTATGTGTGTGTATACATGTTTATACATGTATGTAAGTACATGCATACACATACAAATATACAGACATTTCGTAGTTCATTACTTACCACCCAATGTTCTCTTTTACCTAACTAATTTTTTCCAGTTTTTGTCCTGATCCTACATACTTCAGAATTATGCTGAGGATTATTCATAGAATCATCTATTCTTCAAGAGAAGTTTATAAATTTCTGGATGCAAATATCTTGGAACATTTGAAGTTGATTAGCCACTTATGTATCTGAAACAATATTGGGTTGCCTTCATTTATGCTACCAATCCTTACTGAAATTTTCCATTGAGTAACACAGATTTTCTATTTATATCTCTCCTTGGAGTCTTGGCAAAGGAATTTCCTAAACATTGATATTGATAGGACAAGTGTATTGGAAGTGAATTTCCAAACTGTTGTATATTTTGCAGAAGCAAGACTTTGCAAACCCACTCCAGAAAGATGACTTAGATTTAGCAAACCTGTTTGAACTTTGATTCACCTCTAGCTGAATGTATCAGGGGTTGGCCAGAACTGTAGCCAAGCATCCCTTCACATAGTGGGAATTAGAGGCTCATTAAACAGTGGTCCCAAGGAAACTTCATGATCAAAAAGTGACCAAAATCTTTGAATTATCACCAGAACAATCTGTGAGAAACGATCACAAAGGAAGACTTTGCAAAGAAACTATATAGGGCTTAAGTGCAATGGAATCTGGATTCTGTCACAGTCTGAATATTGTGTTTTTAAAATTCACCTTATTTCTGTGCTTTATTCTTTTCTGTAACTCTTTATGTGTGCAGGAGATACTAGTGAAAGCCAATGCAGAAGCTGCCATTATTTCTTCAGGCAAATGCCCTGCTTTAGAAGAGAAAGAGAAATGCATGCCGGTTTTCTGATAAGTGGTCTATAATTAAGCATTTGAGGTTAAGAAAAACACCCCCCCCCCTTTTTTTAATGGTGCTCCAGTGTTATTTTGGGGAAAGGCTGTGAGCAATGACATTTTATTCCTGATGACTCAGTATTTTCAGCACCTTGGCATCACCTGTGTAAATTATGTTTCAGGGAAGCAATTTATCCCAATGTTTAGTACTAGAGCTTAGCTCTAAGCACTTCCTCAACCTCACCTAACAGTCTTTATCACGCAGATGGCAACCTGTATTTGTCTCTGGAGGAGGTGCCTAATGATTACAACCCTCATACTACCTAGTTCTTTTCTTTGATTCAAGCTGAAAGCCAGAGGATGAGAATGATGATAACTTTCTATAATCTGGAGTGTAAATTCTGGTTGCATGTGCTAAATTGATATTGGCCCTTGTCAGATGACAGTAATTCATTACTCAGGGGCTTGCAGCGTATTTTACCCCTGTGTGCAGTGAGATGTATTATCACTTAGAGCCACTATTACTTCCAGAACCATATGAGGCACTGCAAGAAGGGTGCCTCATTTCGTGCATTGGAGCAGTGAATGACAATCTAATAGAAGCAGTCTTTAGGCTCCTCAAGTTTTTGATATTTAATATGCTTGTTATCATTCTTTCTTACACAGTCTGATTTCTTTGATTCTCAATATCATCAATTTGGAGTACAAAGTAAGGCTTCCATTGCCCTCAATTTCCATCTGTCTCTCCCTTTGCCCCGACACCTTCCATTCTATCTCCATTTCTATCTCTACCTCTATTTCATGAAATTCTCAGTTATAAAAAACATTATGATGGGCCCTATACATTGATCATCCTGCTTCAACAATTATCTACATATGACAAACCTTATTTCATTTATCTCTTCTTCCCCCACTTCTCTTTCCTTTTCTTACTAGCAGACTAAGGCATATCCCACATTTTATATTATTTCAGCCATAAATACTTCTATATATCTTCCTAAGAGAGAATGATTAATGACAACAACTACACCTAACAACACTTTTCTACACCTTGTAAAAGTATAATTCTATACCTTGTAAAAGTATAATTTTCAAAAAATTAAAAACGTGACTCATACAAAGTATCAAAAGTTAATTAACTGATTATTCATTAAACTAGCACGATTGTAACGCGATTCAAGAGAATTGGAGAGAGAAGAGAATTTTCACATCTAAAAGTGATGGAATATCATTGGATTTCTTTGGACTGGATTTATGCTCCATAGTAAACAATGTTATAAAGGGCAAAATATATAAACCAACAGTTTTGATACTTTGGATGAGTAGCATGGGACTCTGGTGATTGAGGAAGAAAACCAAATGAAGTGAGCCTTACAATCACCATGGCTGTCTAGCTAGAGGCACTTTCTGAATGGTGATGAAAGGAACGAGATTCCAAGGAGACCATGGTGAGGATCCAGCAACCAGAGTTGGAGAGGTACAGGAAGTTGAAATTTGAGACACAAAATACTGAAAAGAAAAGAGCTAGGCAAACAAAATGATCTAGATATCTATATGGGACCTCCTGGAGTTCTTAGCTAACTACTAATTTGGACATTCATGGAGTGAAACTCCCCAAGTTCAGACAAAGAATGACTTCTGAGAATCTGCAAGATGTACATATTCTAAAGCTCACATAGGTCTAGGAGACATTTCAATTTCATGTAGTGTGAACAGTGATACCTCTTCAAGCTCTGAGACCATTTGTTAATGACCTAACAAGGGTTTTGCCTTAGCAGGAGGGCTAAATTTACCTTAAAGTCTACTCCAGAATTTCCCTAATGAAATTTAAAGACAAACCACAGAAAGACCAAGCTGATCCACAGGTAACATTACTGCCTGCTAAAACATACTTCAACACATTCGAATGGAAGACACCAGCCCCCACCCCACCCAAGCATTCAGCAGTGTTACAATCACAATGTCTAGGACTGGTTATTGGCTAGAGAGGGGAAATGATAGGGACCTAGGTGGTTTTGGTAATATTTTGTTTGTTTGTTTCTTTTTTACAAGGTAACATTTTATTTCATGAGCTCTATTCTGGCTATATAGGTGTTTTCACTTGAAAACATAGTTACTAAGCACAGAAAGAAAAAAAGAATGGAAAAGAAATGAATAGAGACTAAGTGATCTGTACAACAACAGCAAGTCATTTAACGTTTGCATAATTAGAGCCCTGGAAGTGGACAGAAAAATATTTGAAGAAATAATAGCTCAAATTATTTCAAATCTTGGAATCATTGCAGTTTTCAGAGAATATTATCTGGATTATATGATCCTGGCTGACAATATTTGGAGGACAAAATAGAAAACATATTCTAGAGGGTCTCAGTACCAGTATATGAGCAGTGTTTCCCTTAATCATTTTATTTTCAAAATGGTAGCACCATGCTTAATTGTGCCCATTGTAGAGATTTTCTGCTTTACTTTTCCCAAATAATGAAGTTCCATCCAAACAGTTAAAGGCCCAAGTAGAACAAAAAGGCTGACATTCCCATGAGCAAGAGGAAACTCCTTCTGCCTGATTGCCTTACACTGAGACATTGGTTTTTTCCTGCCATTATACTCAAACCAAAACATTGGTCCTTCTTGGGTATAAAGCCAGCAGGCCCTTTGGACTGGAACCACACCATTGACTGTCTTGGGTCTCCAGCTTGCAGACTGCAGAACTTGGGACTTGTCAAGCTTCATAATCATGTGAGCCAATTCCTAAATAAATTAATATGCACGTGAGTACATGCACACACACACGCGCGTGCGCACACACACACACACTGTTGATTCTGTATCTCTGGAGAACCCTAATATAGACGGGTTAATTACTGACAGATGCACTTTCAATTAGTTCTCTAGTTTTGAACACTACTTTTAATTCCTTTTTCAGTTTTACTTGATGCTCAAATTCCTAGTCTTTTGAGGCTATAGAGTCCAAATCAAGTTCCAATTTACCCATTGCTGATTTGGAATTCAGTACTTTCAAGTCGGCTGTCAGTTATCAGATAAGTTTTCTAGCTTCTTAAATGTTATTACTATTAGGTCCTTATATTATTATTGTTGTTGTTTGTACACCTTTATAAACAAATGTCTTCACTCTCATTTTAATCCTTTTAATATCATTTTAGTGGTATTCCTGGAAAGAGTTTTATATACTCTTCCATATTTAACCAAAATTACCTATCAATTAAATTTTAACACAATTTGTGGTATCTTCTGTCATATAAAAGTGTTTAGTTTTTATGATACTAAGTTTCTTTCTTGCTTAAAAAAATCCCGGGTTTACTGTATAAAGATATGTTTCTAATATTTTAATTGTTTGAAAATACATAAACATGTTTTACTTAGTTTTGTATATGTTGACACAAGTTCTATTAAATTTCAAATGAATATTCCTATACCAACTAGTTTCTGGATTCCATTTTCTAGATATGTTAAAAAAATATTCGCAAGAGTTTTATTTCTATTTTTGCTGTACCCAGTTACATTTAATATCATGTGAATTGAGATTTTTTTCATCACTATTATTAATGGGGTGTTTTCTTCCATCTGTGTATCTAATTGGTTAGTGCAAATGTCTGAAGAAACAAATGGGTGTTATATTGGTATTACAGGAATATCTTGCATCCAACTGTTTTCTTAATTTTATTATTAATTCTACTAGTAGTTTTTAAAAAATTGGTTCATAGTCTTAGGATTTCCTGACATACACCCATATAATATACAATAATGACTTTTACCTATCCTTTCTTGATATTCACATTATCTTTCCTAGACATACATACTTTATTAGGAAGAACTTTCTAAATAGTGCTAAAAATCAAAAATCATTTTTATCTTTTCCTGGTATATTAGATTGTTCTCATGTTGCTGTAAAGAAATACCTGAGATTGGGTAATTTATAAGAAAGAGGTTTAATTGGCTTACAGTCCTGCAAGCTGTACAGGAAGCATGGTTTCTGGGAAGGCCTCAGGAAGCTTTTACTTCGGTGAAGTGAGAGCAGGCAGGTCACATAGCTAGAACAGGAGCAAGAGAGAAGGGGAATATTGGGGGAGGTGCCACACACTTTTAAATGTCCAGATCTCATGTGAACTCAGAGCTAGAGGTCCCTTATCACCAAGGGGATGGCCCAAAATATTCATAAGGAATCCACCCTCATGATCCAAATATCTCCCACTAGGCCCCACCTTCAACATTGGGGATTACAATTCAACATGAGATTTGGGTGGGGATAAATATCCAAACTCTATCAACTGGCTTTAATCAGGTGATATAATATGTCTGAGCTTTTGTTAAACAAATACTCATTGTGTATTATCTTTAATATTTTCTGTGAATTTCTTTTTAAATGTATGTATATATACAATATATTAAAGTATGTATGTGTTCAAAAATGATTACTCAGTTCTACTAAATGCTTTTTATTATTGCTGATATTATTTTTAGAATTTGTCATTTATAAGTATGATAAAGCAGAGCTTCTAGTTTTGAAATACACATTAATTCTTAAATTAAACTTTAATTTAAATTATAGGCCGGGTGCAGTGGTTCACGCCTGTAATCCCAGCACTTTGGGAGGCCAAGGCGGGCAGATCACCTGAGGTTGGGAGCTTGAGACCAGCCTTCCCAACATGGCAAAACCCCATCTCTACTAAAAATGCAAAAATTAGCCCAGCGTGGTGGCACATGCCTGTAATCCCAGGTTCTCCAGAGGCTGAGGCAGGACACACGGGAGGCTGAAGCAGGAGAAATTGCTTGAATGGAGGACGTGGAGGCTGCAGTGAGCTGAGATAGCGTCACTGCACTCCACACTCCAGCCTGGGCAACACAGAGAGACTCCGTTTCAAAAATAATAATTATAAAAATAAAAAATACTACTTGGGAGGCTGAGGCAGGAGAATGGCGTGAACCCGGGAGGCGGAGCTTGCAGTGAGCCGAGATCCCGCCACTGCACTCCAGCCTGGGCGACAGAGCGAGACTCCGTCTCAAAAAAAAAAATAAAAAAAAAAAAAATAATAATAAATAATAATAATAAATGAAATCTGCTGGGCATGGTGGCTTATACCTGTAATCCCAGCATTTTGGGAGGCTGAGGCAGGTGGATCACTTGAGGTCAGGAGTTGAGACCAGCCTGGCCAACATAGTAAAAACTCCCTCTCTTTAAAATACAAAAATTAGCCAGATGTGTTGGTGGACACCTGTAATCCCAGCTGCTCGGGAGGCTGAGGCATGAGGATTGCTTGAGCCTGGGAGGCAGAGGTTGCAGGAGGTTGCAGTGAGCTAAGATGGCGCCACTGCACTGCAGCCTGGATGACAGAGGGAGACTCATTCTCAAAAAATAAAATATAGATAAATAAAAATAAATTAATTAAATTCTATTTAGTTTATCATTTTCTTAACTGGTTCAGGACGTTCTGGTTCAAGATGTTTCTCTCTCATCTCTGTCTCTCTTATTCTTCCCATCAACATATTTGGCATTACTGGTATGCTAATTTTAAAATAATTTGTTAAGTTTCAACATTTTATATTCTTTAAACTAGTTTTGTTAAATGTAGGAAATAGTTATTTGACTTTTTTATTATTATATTTTAAGTTCTAGGGTGCATGTGCACAACGTGGAGGTTTGTTACATATGTATCCATGTGCCGTGTTGGTGTGCTGCACCCATTAACTCCTCATTTACATTAGGTATATCTCCTAATACTATCTCTCCTCCCTCCCCCCACCCCAAGACAGGCCCTGGTATGTGATGTTCTCCTTCCTGTGTCCGAGTGTTCTCATTGTTCAATTCCCACCTATGAGTGAGAACATGTGGTGTTTGGTTTTTTGTCCTTGTGATAGTTTGCTGAGGATGATGGTTTCCAGCTTCATCCACATCCCTACAAAGGACATGAACTCATCCTTTTTTATGTCTGCATAGCATTCCATGGTGTATATGTGCCACATTTTCTTAATCCAGTCTATCATTGTTGGACATTTGGGTTGGTTCCAAGTCTTTGCTCTTGTGAATACTGCCGCAATAAACATACGTGTGCATGTGTCTTTATAGCAGCATGATTTATAATCCTTTGGGTGTATACCCAGTAATGGGATGGCTGGGTCAAACTGTATTTCTAGTTCTAGATCCCTGAGGAATCACCACACTCTCTTCCATAATGGTTAAATTAGTTTACACTCCCACCAACAGTGTAAAAGTGTTCCTATTTCTCCACATCCTCTCCAGCACCTGTTGTTTCCTGACTTTTTGATGATCACCATTCTAACTGGTGTGAGATGATATCTCATTGTGGTTTTGATTTGCATTTCTCTGATGGCCAGGGATGATGAGCATTTTTTCATGTGTCTGTTGGCTGCATAAAATGTCTTCATTTGAGAAGTGTCTGTTCATATCCTTTGCCCACTTTTTGATGGGCTTGTTTTTTTTCTTGTAAATTTGTTTGAGTTCTTTGTAGATTTTGAATATTAGCCCTTTGTGAGATGAGTAGATTGCAAAAATTTTCTCCCATTCTGTAGGTTGCCTGTTCACTCTGATGGTAGTTTCTTTTGCTGTGCATAAGCTCTTTAGTGTAATTAGATCCCATTTGTCAATTTTGGCTTTTGTTGCCGTTGTTTTTGGTGTTTTAGACACGAAGTCCTTGCCCATGCCTATGTCCTGAATGGTATTGCCTAGGTTTTCTTCTAGGGTTTTTATGGTTTTAGGTCTAACATTTAAGTCTTAAATCCATCTTGAATTAATTTTTGTATAAGGTGTGAGGAAGGGATCCAGTTTCAGCTTTCTACATATGGCTAGCCAGTTTTCCCAGCACCATTTATTAAATAGGGAATCCTTTCCCCATTATTTGTTTTTCTCAGGTTTGTCAAAGATCAGATAGTTGTAGATGTGTGGTATTATTTCTGAGGGCTCTGTTCTGTTCCATTGGTCTATATCTCTGTTTTGGTACCAGTACCATGCTGTTTTGGTTACTGTAGCCTTGTAGTATAGTTTGAAGTCAGGTAACGTGATGCCTCCAGCTTTGTTCTTTTGGCTTAGATTCTCTTGGCAATGTGGGCTCTTTTTTGGTTCCATATGAACTTTAAAGTAGTTTTTTCCAATTCTGTGAAGAAAGTCATTGGTAGCTTGATGGGGATGACATTGAATCTATAAATTACCTTTGGCAGTATGGGCATTTTCATGATATTGATTCTTCCTATCCATGAGCATGGAATGTTCTTCCATTTGTTTGTGTCCTTGTTTATTTTGTTGAGCAGTGGTTTGTAGTTCTCCTTGAAGAGGTCCTTCACATCCCTTGTAAATTGGAATCCTAGGTATTTCATTCTCTTTGAAGCAACTGGGAATGGGAATTCACTCATGATTTGGCTCACTGTTCGTCTGTTATTGCTGTATAGGAATGCTTGTGATTTTTGCACATTGATTTTGTATCCTGAGACTTTGCTGAAGTTGCTTATCAGCTTAAGGAGATTTTGGGTTGAGATGATTAGGTTTTCTAAATATACAATCATGTCATCTGCAAACAGGGACAATTTGACTTCCTCTTTTCCTAATTGAATACCAGTTATTTCTTTCTCCTGCCTGATTGCCTTGGCCAGAACTTCCAACACTATGAATACGAGTGGTGTGAGAGGACATTCCTGTCTTGTGCCAGTTTTCAAAGGGAATGCTTCCAAGTTTTGCCCATTCAGTATGATATTGGCTGTGGCTTTGTCATAAATAGTTCTTATTATTTTGAGATATGTCCCATCAATACCTAGTTTATTGAGAGTTTTTAGCATGAAGGGCTGTTGAATTTTGTCAAAGGCCTTTTCTGCATCTATTGAGATAATCATGTCATTTATGTTTTTGGTTCTGTTTATATGCTGGATTATGTTTATTGATTTGTGTATGTTGAACCAGCCTTGCATCCTAGAGATGAAGCCCAGTTGATCATGGTGGATAAGGTTTTTGATGTGCTGCTGGATTCGGTTTGCAAGTATTTTATTGAGGATTTTTGCATCGATGTTCATAAGGGATATTGGTCTAAAATTCTCTTTTTTTGTTGTGTCTCTGTCAGGCTTTGGTATCAGGATGATGCTGGCCTCATAAAATGAGTTAGCGAGGATTCCCTCTTTTTCTATTGATTGGAATAGTTTCAGAAGGAATGGTACCAGCTCCTCCTTGTACCTCTGGTAGAATTCGGCTGTGAATCCGTCTGGTCCTGGACTTTTTTTTTATTTGGTAGGCTATTAATTATTGCCTCAATTTCAGAGCCTGTTATTGGTCTATTGAGGGATTCAACTTCTTCCTGGTTTAGTCTTGGGAAGTTGTATGTGTCCAGGAATTTACCCATTTCTTCTAGATTTTCTAGTTTATTTGCATAGAGGTGTTTATAGTATTCTCTGATGGTAGTTTGTATTTCTGTGGGATCAGTGGTGATATCCTTTTTATCATTCTTTTATTGCATCTGTTTGATTCTTCTCTCTTTTTTTCTTTATTAGTCTTGCTAGCACTCTATCAATTTTTTTGATCTTTTCAAAAAAACCAGCTCCTGGATTTATTGATTTTTTGAAAGGTTTTTTTGTCTCTATCTCCTTCAGTTCTGCTCTGATCTTAGTTATTTCTTGCCTTCTGCTAGCTTTTGAATGTGTTTGCTGTTGCTTCTCTAGTCTTTAAATTGTGATGTTAGGGTGTCAATTTTAGATCTTTCCTGCTTTCTCTTGTGGGCATTTAGTGCTATATATTTCCCTCTACACACTGCTTTAAATGTGTCCCAGAGATTCTGGTATGTTGTGTCTTTGTTCTCGTTGGTTTCAAAGAACATCTTTATTTCTGCCTTCATTTTGTTATATACCCAGTAGTCTTTCAGGAGCAGGTTGTTCAGTATCCATGTAGTTGAGTGGTTTTGAGTGAGTTTCTTAATCCTGAGTTCTAGTTTGATTGCACTGTGGTCTGAGAGACAGTTTGTTATAATATCTGTTCTTTTACATTTGCTGAGGAGTGCTTCACTTTCAACTATGTGGTCAATTTAGGAATAGGTGCGGTGTGGTTCTGAGAAGAATGTATATTCTGTTGATTTGAGGTGGAGAGTTCTGTAGATGTCTATTAGGTCCGCTTGGTGCAGAGCTGAGTTCAATTCCTGGATATCCCTGTTAACTTTCTTTCTCGATCTGTCTAATGTTGACAGTGGGATGTTAAAGTCTCCCATTATTATTGTGTGGGAGTCTAAGTCTCTTTGTAGGTCTCTAAGGACTTGCTTTATGAATCTGGGTGCTCCTGTATTGGGTGCATTATATTTAGGATAGTTAGCTCTCCTTGTTGAATTGATCCCTTTACCATTATGTAATGGCCTTCTTTGTCTCTTTTGATCTTTGTTGGTTTAAAGTCTGTTTTATCAGAGACTAGGATTGCAACCCCTGCCTTTTTTTGTTTTCCATTTGCTTGGTAGATCTTCCTCCATCCCTTTCTTTTGAGCCTATGTGTGTCCCTGCACATGAGATGGGTCTCCTGAATACAGCACACTGATGGGTCTTGACACTTTATCCAATTTGCCAGTCTGTGTCTTTTAACTGGAGTATTTAGCCCATTTACATTTAAGGTTAGTATTGTTATGTGTGAATTTGATCCTGTCATTATGATGCTAGCTGGTTATTTTGCCCATTAGTTGATGCAATTTCTTCCTAGCATCGATGGTCTTTACAATTTGGCATGTTTGTGCAGTGGGTGGTACCGGTTGTTCCTTTCCATGTTTAGTGCTTCCTTCAGGAGCTCTTATAGGGCAGGCTTGGTGGTGACATAATCTCTCAGCATTTGCTTGTCTGTAAAGGATTTTATTTTTCCTTCACTTCTGAAGCTTAGTTTGGCTGGATATGAAATTCTGGGTTGAAAATTCTTTTCTTTAAGAATGTTGAATATTGGCCCCCACTCTCTTCTGGCTTGTAGAGTTTCTGCAGAGAGATCAGCTGTTAGTCTGATGGGCTTCCCTTTGTGGGTAACCCAACCTTTCTCTCTGGCTGCCCTTAGCATTTTTACCTTCATTTCAACTTTCGTGAATCTGACAATTGTGTGTCTTGGAGTTGCTCTCCTTGAGGAATATCTTTGTGGCGTTCTCTGTATTTCCTGAATTTGAATGTTGGCCTGCCTTGCTAGGTTGGGTAAGTTCTCCTGGAAAATATCCTGCAGAGTGTTTTCCAACTTGGTTCCATTCTCCCTGTCACTTTCAGGTACACCAATCAGACATAGATTTGGTCTTTTCACATAGTCCCATATTTCTTGGAGGTTTTGTTCATTTCTTTTTACTCTTCTTTCTCTAAACTTCTCTTCTCACTTCATTTCATTCATTTGATCTTCAATCACTGATACCCTTTCTTCCAGTTGATCGAATCGGCTACTGAAGCTTGTGCATTTGTCACGTAGTTCTCGTGCCATGGTTTTCACCTCCATCAGGTCCTTTAAGGACTTCTCTACACTGGTTATTCTAGTTAGCCATTCGTCTAATCTTTTTTCAAGGTTTTTAGCTTCTTTGTGATGGGTTCAAACTTCCTCCTTTAGCTCGGAGAAGTTTCGTTGTCTGAAGCCTTCTTCTGTCAACTCGTCAAAGTTATTATCCATCTAGCTTTGTTCCGTTGCTGGCGAGGGCCTGTGTTCCTTTGGAGGGGGAGAGGCACTCTGATTTTTAGAATTTTCAGCTTTTCTGCTCTGTTTTTTCCCCATCTTTGTGGTTTTATCTACCTTTGGTCTTTGATGATAGTGACGTACAGATGGGGTTTTGGTGTGGATGTCCTTTCTGTTTGTTAGTTTTCCTTCTAACATTCAGGATCCTCAACTGCAGGTCTGTTGGAGTTTGCTGGAGGTCCACTCCAAACCCTGTTTGCCTGGGTATCAGCAGCGGAGGCTGCAGAACAGCGAATATTGCTGAACAGCAAATGTTGCTGTCTGATTGTTCTTCTGGAACCTTTGTCTCAGAGGGGTACCTGGCCGTGTGAGGTGTCAATCTGCCCCTACTGGGCAGTTCCTCCCAGTTAGGCTACTCAGGGATCATGGACCCACTTTAGGAGGCAGTCTGTCCATTCTCCGATCTCAAACTCCATGCTGGGAGAACCACTACTCTCTTCAGAGCTGTCAGACAGGGACATTTAAGTCTGCAGAGGTTTCTGCTGCCTTTTGTTGGGCTGTGCCCTGCCCCCAGAGGTGGAGTCTACAAAGGCAGCAGGCCTCTTTGAGCTGTGGTGGGCTCCACCCAGTTTGAGCTTCCCAGTGCTTTGTTTACATACTCAAGCCTCAGCAATGGCAGGTGCCCCTCCCCCAGCCTGGCTGCCCCCTTGCAGTTTGATCTCAGACTGCTGTGCTAGCAATGAGTGAGGCTCCAAGGGCGTGGGACCCTCCGAGCCAGGCACGGGATATAATCTCCTGGTCTGCCGTTTGCTAAGACCATTGAAAAAGTGCAATATTAGGGTGAGAGTGACCCGATTTTCCAGGTGCTGTCTGTCACAGATTCCCTTGGCTAGGAAAGGGAATTCCCTGACCCCTTATGCTTCCCAGGTGAGGTGATGCCTTACCCTGCTTTGGCTCATGGTCAGTGGGCTGCACCCACCGTCCTGCACCCATTGTCCAACAAGCCCCAGTGAGATGAACCCGGTACCTCAGTTGGAAATGCAGAAATCACCTGTCTTCTGCATCACTCATGCTGGGCTATTTGATGTTTTAAAATACCTCTGGAGCTGGAATATTTTTCAGTGTTTTTTTTTTTTTCAATTTCTCCATTTTATCTTGTGGTTATAGTCTTTTGAATGCTTCTGATTCCATTTTAGCATTTATATTTCACACAACTATAGCATATTTTTATTAGATTTAAAAAGATCCATTGAAATCCAGCACACATAGATTTTTTTAGCTCATATAGTCTCATGTATCTGTGATTACCATCTTTTTATTACTTTTTATCACATAATAATGTGTATGTGTATCTCTGGCATTTTGACAATATCCATATATTGGTATGTTGACTCATGTTGTCCTTTATTTATTTATTTATTTATTTATTTATTTATTTATTTTTCGAGATGGAGTTTTGCTCTTGTTGCTCAGGCTGGAGTGCAATGGCATGATCTAAGCTCACTGCAACCTCCACCTCCCAGTGGATTTTCCTGCCTCAGCCTCCTGAGTAGGTGGGATTACAGGTGCATGCCACCATGCCCAGGTAATTTTTGTATTTTTAGTAGAGATGGGGTTTTGCCATGTTGGTCAGGCTGGTCTTGAACTTCTGACCTCAGGTGATCTGCCCGTCTGGGCCTCCACAAATGCTGGGATTACAAGTGTGAGCCACCGCACCTGGCCACATGTTGTCCTTTTAAAATCAAATAACATAAGTGTATGCTTTTGATATTTGGCGGATACTTTCCTGCCATTTGATTTTCTTTTCACTTTTTTGGCTATTTACATTTCTTATTATTCTTAATTGAACTTTGACATTTTTGTCATTTGTAAAATAAAAAAATACTTATTTAAGTTTTTATTTAATCCATATTCTACTTAGAAAAAATTTTACCTAATTCTATTAATGTAATGTATTTTCTCTTTTATAATCATGAAACATTTAAGCATGCAGAAACTACCCAGAATCATATAAATAAAACTTTAGTGTCCAACCTCCATTTTTATAAAATCTTAAGCAATTTATATCTACATTTTTAAAATTCAACCCTTTCCTTACATATAGTTGTGAAATTTTGTGATTTTCTTCAAGTAGATATTTTACATTGTTTATATTTAGGCATTGCTATTTTAAATTACACTGTTTAAAATATTATTGCCAGCATAGAGGCGGTATAGTGTTGGGTTTTCTTTTTGGTTTTTGTTTTTCATGTTTCTATTCACTTCACTAGACTTTTACATTTGCTCTTGCATATTTGGGGTCTGGTTTCTTAGTATTTTAAGGCATATAAATGTATTATCTCAAATAATAGATAAGCCTTTTTTCTAATGTGTACATGCAAGCGTGTAGAATACTTTTTCCTATCAGAACTTATTTAGTTGGGAAGAGCTAACAACCACCATTGCAATTATATACTGGTTATTGGACATCCTTGCATTCCTGATTCACGCAGCAATGCCAAGTGCTTCACAATTATTATGACTGTTAGATTGAGATCATTTATGATTTTCGTCTTAAGGAACAAAAGACTAAGACTAAGACCATAACTAAGATGAAGACCACATAAGCTGCCAGTTGTGTTTAAAAATCATAGAAAATTTGAGTGAAATTATTGACTTTTAAGTTCATTTTTTTTTTCTTTCATGGCCCTCCTGATTTTTCTCTTTTGCTATCAGTACCTGTGCTTCACTTTTCATATGTAAGCCATGCTTTCTCCCTTCCTTTTACTCCAGAACAGAACTCACAATATTCTTTTGTGCAAGTCCTGGGAAGAGCTAGATCACTGGCTGTACTATTTACCATGGCTAATACTTGTCCAAGCATTTTAATACAAGCATTTAGTACAAGACACAGCAATGTGGGACACACTTAGGCCTGATCACCTCATGAAGAACAAGGCTGATGGTCTGATTGATGGTCATTTTATGAGCTAGAACCATGGGCAGGGTGACATCATCTGGAATGGAAATTTGTGCAGGACAGGCATCATGGCTGACTTGGCTAGTATAGCTGACTATAATAATAATATGTTTATTTCTAAACATGTACAAGATTGTATCAGGCTTGGATTTTAGACTTTCTTGATTGAATACCCTGCATGTGTCGCAATGAGTATTTGTGTATGTGTGTGTTTGTGTATAAGTGGATGAATTATTATGGTATTTTGAAAGTCTTTTATATTAGACATCTTTATTTTTCCAAGAAAAACAACTCAATCACTCCTACTGTATAGTATTTTTCAAAGTAGCACAGGTTTTTTAGTGCTTCTGCATCATATTTCTATAATTGACAATGATTTATAATTTCCTTTTTATACGTTAATTTTGTAAATTTGGAATTAGGGCATCTAATTGCTGTAAAATACATTTTGCATTTTTCCCTCTGCTTTGAAATAGTTTTTTTTTTTTTTTTTTTTTAGCTAAGGAGGTACATAATACCTGATGGTATAAAGTAGTTTATCTGTGGAACTGTCTGGATACAGAACATTTTGATTGGTGAACTTTGATCAAACTATTCCTTAGTTTCCTCCAGGCTGATTAGTCTATTCACATTTTCAGTAATTTCTTGAGCTAATTGTGAGAAATTTTATTTTTTATTTTTTCTGATACACTTTAAAAATTCCCTTGTGGAAGAGTCTTTCTAATTTTATTTCACTCTGTTTATTACTTTTTCTCTTCATTTTTCTTGGTTAGATTTGTTAAAAGTTTACCCCTTTGGTAATCTATTTTCAAAATTTTATTTGATGATCATATCTGATCTTTTTATTTTCTAATTTATCATTTTTAGTTGTTGTACTTATTTAATCTATTTGGGGAGGCATTTAAGGTATACATTTTTTCCAACTAGAATAAAATGCTTATTAATATATTTACTATCTTTTGTAGTAATGAAACATTTAAAGATATTATTTTCTCTTTAGTAGAATTTGGGCAGAGTGGAATGGTAAGGTTTTGACTCTGACCTTAAATTTCACATGTAGTATTCTCATTTTCATTATGTCTACAAAGCCCATAATGATATAAATGTCCTTATTTCCTGAATATTTTACAAAGTTCAGTATATTTCAGTTTTTAAATTTCAAAAGTTTTTCATATTATTTAAGCTTTTTTACTTATTAATTTCTGTTTGCTTCAAAAATGTATTTAAATTTTAACAAAATCAGTGATTGCCTTTCTTAGAATACACATATATATTGAAAAAATTGGTTCCATGTATTATGTTTTTCAATATTCTTGCGTCCTATTTGTCATAAACCAATCGAAAAGTTGTAGAACGACAGCAGTCTATTAGAGGATGCTATTACAATTATATTTCTGTCAAATTCTTTTTGCTTTTATTATAGTGTTTTATTCTTATAGTTTGATGCCACGTTATTTAGCTTAATAAGGTTCACAAATGTTTGTTTATATAATGTTCGGCTGATCTTTGTTTCATACGAACATTTTGCCTGGGATTTTATTCTGTCTAACAGTTATGCTGTTTTTCTTTCTTTTTCTTTGTGTTTTTAAAATATCTTTATTAGCTCTTTTTTTTATTTTTCTATGCTTCTTTCTTTTAAAGAAGACTTCCATTAGAAGTATAGATTAATATTTTTGGCTTTTCATAGGAGTATTTAAAATCTATTTTGTATAATTGGCATCTGTTGTATTATGCTATAAAAAGAAAGGATCTTTGGTATTTCTTTTATTTTCAGTAGTTTCATGGACTATGCCTTGTATTTTTCTGTGCACTTGAGTAATTTAATATTACTACTGATTATGTTTTATTTTTATTAAAAAACTTAAATACATATTTCTCTGCATTACAAATGTATAAACAAAAAATTCAATAGTAAACCTTGCATATCAAAAAATATGTAGCTTGTTATATTTCTCCCTCAAATTTTTTGTATTTTGTCAATATAACCTAAAATTATAGATCTAGATGATTATTTTCATCAGTTTCTGTATTTTACATAATCATATATTATTTGTAAATATCCACATAGAAAAGCTAATCTTTTTCTATTAGAACATTTTTGCTTTTATGAATGTGGTACCCTTTAATTTCTGTATTTTAGCTATGGAATACTACTCCAAGCAAGTTGGAATGATACCTTGAATTTCTGTATACTTCATTATGACAAAACTTCAAGTTCAAGTGCTTTAGTGCATTCTGAGACTATAACTTTTATTCCTAAATCACTTCTCATTTTCAGTGATTACGGGATGCATCTTCACCCAAGCTGCATTTTTCTGTTATCCTCTGTATGGTTTAGGGTTTTACATGTTTATTTTCTGTTTCAATTCTAGGAAATTTTTAATAGTCTTTTGATGTATATACTTTATATGTGAAAATGCATAGATCTCAAGGGTATGGGTTGATAAATTTTTTTACTTCTTATATTTCTGAATAACCACTAAACACAAAAATATAAGCCAAATCTAGTACACTACAGGATCTTTGATGCTGCTTTTCAGTGTATATGTACAATTTTCTACTCAAATTTAGGCACTTCTTTTACATCTATTAGTTTTGCCTGCCTTGGGCTTCATGTAGTGAAATAATACCCTAGACTTTTGTGTATGATCTCATTAGCTCAACATTATGTCTTGAATTTCATATAAATGGAACCACACAGTTCTTTTGGGCTGTGTGAGCTAGTTTCATTTGCTCAACATAATGCCTTTGAGATGTCTGCATGTTGTTGAGCAGATCAGTAGTTTGTTCTTTTTTGTTGTTAAATAGTATTTCACTGTAGGATTATAGCATCATTTATTTATGTACTCTCTTGTTAGCAGACATTTGGTTCATTTCTAGTTTAGAGCCTTTATGAATAAAGCTACTGCAACCGTTCTGTAAAAGGTATTTTGTGAATATCTGCACCCATTTCTCTTAAGCACATATTTAGGAGTAGAATAGCTAAGTTATAAAATAGGTGTATATTAATTATTAGAAATTTTCAAGCAGTTTTCAAAGTTATAGTGCCATTTTACACTATTTACAACAACGTAGGAAACTTTCAATTTTAATACAACCTCATCAACATTTGATATTTTCCATGTTTTTTTCTTGTTTAATTTTAGCTATTCTGCTGGATATACAGTAATATCTTTTAGTGATTTTAATTTGTATTTCCCTAATAACTAATAGTGTTGAGCAACTTTTTATCAGTTTATGGGTCATTAGATATCTTATTTGTAAAATGATTGTTGAAGTCACATGCCTATTTTTTAATGAATTTAACTATTTTTATTATTGATTTAAATAAGTTATTTGTATATTCTGGATGTAAGTCGTCTGTCAGATGTAAGCATTGTGAATATTTTCCACAATTTTATATTGCGTTTTACCTTTTTATCACAATGTTTTTTTGTGTTTTAGAAGTGGATTTTACTTCTGTTGATGCCAAATTTATCGTTTTATTTTATGGTTAATATCTATTTTGTCCTAAGAAATCTTTTTCTTACTCAAGGCCACAGAAGCATTTTTTTCATCTTTTCTTCTAAAAGTTCTATGAGTTGAGTGTTCACATTTAGATATATGGTTCATCTCAAATACATTATGTATGTGTGGAATGGTTTAGGAATATTTTAGGTTGAGTCCTTTCGAAGGTGGATCCTGAGCTTCAGTACAAGTGATTTATTAAGGAAGTGTTAAATGTTCCAAAAAGAAACCAATAAGGTATAGAGGGGAAGCAGAACTGAAAAGGGAAAGAAGCCAGGCAAGGGTGCTATTTCAAATGAAGTCCCAGACTCAGTCTGATTTTGAAAGACTCTCTGGAGTAGAATTGCACTACAGAGATGACCATTTTTGAGGCAAAGGATCTAGGCTTATATCTCCTGCCACTAGTTACTTACCAGCTACAGGCTGTCTGTTTGGGGTTGGGGATTAAATCTTCCAGGCACTTTTGATTCTCCTTAGAGTTTTAGAAAGGTAAGATAATCCATGGACAATTATTTGAGAGTCTCGGGTGCAAGTCATTAGCTGCAAGTCATGGCAAAGCAGAGAAATTGGTACACAGAACTGGTAAAAATATCTGAAGGAATCTGAATGTGGCACCAATGTTATCTGCTATAAGATTAATGGCCCCCACTTCTATACAGTTTCAAATTGCATTGTTGCCTTTGTAGAACATCAAGTAAACAGCTATGTGTTTGTCTCTTTCTAGACTGTCAGTTTTATTCCATTGATTGGTTTGTCTATCCATGCAGCAGTATTGTATTGTCTTAATTAGTGTTGACTTAGACTGAGTCTAAAAATTTGATAATGTATTTTTTCATTATTCTTAATTCTTCAAAATTTTCATAGCTATTCTATGTCTTAGCATTTCCATGTAAATTTTAGGATTGCATTGTCGATTTCTTACAATAATCCTGCTGTGTTTTTACTTGATAATAAATGGAATTTATAGATCAGTTTGGAAAAGAAGCCTGATATCATAAAAATAGTCTCCCAATTCATGAATATGGCATATCTCTCCATTGTTAAGATCTTTCTTAATTTATTTCAACAATGTTTGATAGTGTTCAGTGTAGATGTTCTGCATATCTTAGTTTATTACTATAATTTTATGTTTTTAATGTTACCATAAATGAAATTGTTTTGCTATCTTTACTTTCCCATTTTTGGTTGCAACTGTACAGATATGCAATTAATTATTAAATATTAACCTTATATGGCACTACTATGCTAAATTCACTGCTACTAAAAGTACTCTTTTTCTGTGGCAAACACAACTTTCCAGTTTTTATGCAATGGACACCTTTCCGTATGATATTTTATCACTCTAGCATATGTTATGGCCTCAAAATTTCCAATTCTCCCCTTTGTTGCATTTGTTGTATTCCTCTATCTATTCCAAAGTGACAGTATTTAATTACAAGAAGATATGAAAATGCTATACCTGCTCCTTTTATTTTTCAGTCTGTCAAAGTTTCTTCTTTATATACCACATCTTCTCATTGGCAGTAATATGGGTAACTTGTTGTGGTGGGTTTCATAAGCCTTGACATGCTTTCTATCATATTTATAGCACGTGGCTAATTAGGCAGCCCTAAAGCCAGACATGTTCAAACAACCCAGGGATAAATACTTTCAAAGGGGTGAGGTAACACATAAAATGCTTTCTGGTTTCTAACACTTTATTTGTCTTTTGTGCACAATTCTTGAATTCAAATATGAATCCAAGAAAGTTTAATTTGAGATTTACTATGTTGGCTTGGTATTGGAAATACTAAAATTTCAGTTTTAAACAGAAAATGGACTATCTTTTATAGACTTAATCCCTTTTTGTTGGATGTACATTGGGAGAAATTTCATTTTAAAAATATACTTGTATAGATATATGTACACATTCCACATGAATCAATAAATGTATATACACATATATGTTTATATCAATCATGAATGATTTATTAATCACACAAAACTTTAAAAAATAATATTATTACAAACTTCAAGTGAAGGTTATAACTATATACCTATTTAATATTGTAATTCAAATCATTAAATAGTATATTTTTGGGAGCTCATAAATTGCTCAATACTTTTGAAGATATATATTACATAGTTCTAATCTTTAAAAGACTCAGAATCTTAGTGAAGAAAAAACCCCAAAATACAAGTAGCAAAAACAGAGAGCTATACAAAATAGTCAAATATATTTCAGCCTTTATATCTTATTGTAGGGTCAAAAAAATGAGATTATTGTAAGCCAGAAAGGTTAAGAAGGACAGCTGGTAAAAGTCATACATCTTGCAAGCACAGAAGGCAACATGGAAACTCACTAAACAGGTAAAAAGCATGAACACATGCTGGATAATACAACATCTTCCAGGGACAGAGCCCAGACTGCCTTACCTGGAAGATAATGTAGCTATTAACTAACTGTAAGAATTCAGTTAAATGGAGGCAGATAACACAGGACTTGAATGTCAGATTAAGGAATTATTTTTGTGTTGCCAGTATATGGAATTAGTATATGTTTTGAAATCTGCACACTTTCTAGAAACATTAAAAATGTTTAATTATTCTTTATTTGGCTGTGTTCAAACATCATCTTCTAATTGCCCAAAACTCCTGAAACCAAAATCTTATCATCATGGTTAAGCATACTCTGATCAAATATCAAACAATTATAGCTGTGTCTCAACCCATATTTATCTCCATTGAGATAAAATGAATTGACTTCAATCAAATTAATCAAAGCACATGCAAATTGAGTTAATGTGAGAGTTGTGCTGTGAGTGCCTAATATAAATGGCTTCTTTTATTCTTTTTTTGTTTTCTTTCTTCTCTCCCTCTCTTTCACCCTCTTTTTTTCTCCTCTTCCTCCTCCCCCCTCCTCTTCCTCTTCTTTCTCTTGCACCTCCTCCTTTCTTCTTCAAGATTGTTAATACCATGTGGCTATGTTCTGTGGTCCAGTAACAGAATATAGTTTGATCAGCACATTTTCTCCTTTGTTACTATATATTCTAAATTATTTTTAGAAGTTTGAAATGACATAATGAGACAAGATTATTATGTATAACTGTAAGGGATGCTAGAGAATGTGTATTGCCATAAAAACAATAGAATGTAAGGATACAACCACATGTGGTGATTAGTTTCGTAAATATTTAAGAAACCATTGTGTGGTTTTTCACCAGAAAGAACATTTTGAAACTAGCATTATTAGTAGCCTAGGCTCCAAAATCATGGATATGAGATAAATTTTGAAATTTTGTCAGAATGGAGGTTAGTATACTGGAGTATACTAACTAATAAAAATTACTGTTGCCATGGACGATCAAATGGGACATGGAAGTGCCTTGCTGGATACAATCTTTGTTGTAATGACATTTAGAATAATGGGATTCTGCCTTTGTTATCAACACCTGTATAGTTAGCTTATGATTCTCTGACTCTCAAACAATATTAGACCATGAAATTCTCCATTGTCTCTCAGGCCAGATGTCCTGATCTTCTAGTGCTTGGAAATAGGATTCTTTGTGTTTAAATGCATTGGCTGTATGAGCCAGCTGTAAAGGTCATTTCCTAATCCAAGACGGTCCAATGGGCAAAAGAAAAACAAAACCAAAAAAAAACCTGTTTTTTTTTTTTTAAGATGCTTTTGTTTGCAAATATCACTACAATAAAATTTACCTGGAATCGTGGGAAGAATGGTCCTCTAGTGCAACAAAGTGCTTGCATGGTGACAAGAAGTGTCCTTGCCAATGGTCAAACTACGGAGAACATATAGTCAGGACAACTGGAGGCATCTCCAAGAACAAAAGACACAAAATCAATGAAGTATATTATGTTTCAGACACATATTATAATTCCATTTTGTAAAACTCAGCTGTCCAAATCTGTAAAAGGGCAATGCCCTGTGCACTGTAGTTTTCTGAGGGAACACTTGCAAAAGATACACAATTTTAGTGGTTACCATTTAATTACTTTGAATTGGGTTGTCACTGTTTATTGATAAAAGATTATTAAAATTGTAATTACATTCTCTATATCTAGAGATATAGCCCTCAGTTTTCATATCTATAATATGGTTAGTTAGTAAATATTTCTCAAAGAGTTCCTAAGATAAATAAATGGTAGAAGACATAAAAGCCCCCAACAATTGAGCTTGAGTCTCTCTTCCTATCTCCTACTTCTCTTGCTCCCTCACTCTATCTCATTCCTGTTCCTGTCTCCCCATTTCCCCATCTTTCTTTTTTTCTGTCTTTCCTCTTCACCCCACTCTCCATGCTATGCACATATGCATATTTTTAATAAAGATCTAACAAATTCCAAGACATTATTTTTGTCCTGATGAAGGTAGAGGGGGAACTAGACCAGTGACACAACAGTCTGCTAGATGGTACATTTTCCAGAAGTTGCCAATATGCTAAGAAATCCTCAGATCCTTGAAATATATGTCACTGCTACATCTGATAAATCTAGAATATAGAATCAGGAGTAAAAGATGATTTTCTTTTTCATGAGCTAGCAAAATTTTAGCAAGGAAAGTAGGTTCTTTATCATTCAGATTCTTCAGCATTTAGGACCCAGTGTACAGATTCTGCCATGTGTTCCAAACTGTTCACTAATTCATAGAATAAAGTGCTTACAGAAGAACTGGAAAACATTTACACTGGCTTGTACAGTAAGTTAGCAAACAAGCATTTATTAGACAGTTATAACTGCTCAAAACTCACTAGAGATGCATTCACTTTAGTTTAAGGGTTACACGTTTCCCTATAAATGGCTTGTTGTGAATAATGTAAATGTGCATCCCTGAGAATAAATTAAATACATTTCCTGATATTGTTAATGTGTTAGAACAGTTGTACCATAAATCACTTGAATAGCATTTATAGATTACTATACTCTATCTAGGCCAAGCTTGTAAATGTCTGTGTAACTCATAATTCAATGATTTGCAACCCTTGAAAGAAAACCTTAGAGATTTTTCTCTTGTTTTCTTTCCTCCCTTCTTTTTTTTCTTTTATGTTTCATTTTGGTTCTTTTTTTTTTTTATTATTATTATACTTTAAGTTTTAGGGTACATGTGCACATTGTGCAGGTTAGTTACATATGTATACATGTGCCACGCTGGTGCACTGCACCCACTAACTCGTCATCTAGCCTTAGGTATATCTCCCAATGCTATCCCTCCCCCCTCCCCCCACCCCACCACAGTCCCCAGAGTGTGGTATTCCCCTTCATGTGTCCATGTGATCTCATTGTTCAATTCCCACCTATGAGTGAGAATATACGGTGTTTGGTTTTTTTTTCTTGCGATAGTTTACTGAGAATGATGATTTCCAATTTCATCCATGTCCCTACAAAGGATATGAACTCATCATTTTTTATGGCTGCATAGTATTCCATGGTGTATATGTGCCACATTTTCTTAATCCAGTCTATCATTGTTGGACATTTGGGTTGGTTCCAAGTCTTTGCTATTGTGAATAATGCCACAGACACTTCTCAAAAGAAGACATTTATGCAGCCAAAAATCACATGAAAAAATGCTCATCATCACTGGCCATCAGAGAAATGCAAATCAAAACCACTATGAGATATCATCTCACACCAGTTAGAATGGCAATCATTAAAAAGTCAGGAAACAACAGGTGCTGGAGAGGATGTGGAGAAATAGGAACACTTTTACACTGTTGGTGGGACTGTAAACTAGTTCAACCATTGTGGAAGTCAGTGTGGCGATTCCTCAGGGATCTAGAACTAGAAATACCATTTGACCCAGCCATCCCATTACTGGGTATATACCCAAAGGACTATAAATCATGCTGCTATAAAGACACATGCACACGTATGTTTATTGCAGCATTATTCTTTCCTCCCTTCTTGTATGATATCGACAAACATCTAGCTCGAAGAAATTCATTTTGAATGCCTTTATAAAGCTTTACTTTTCAATAGAAGCTGGAGGATTTAGTGTATAACTAAACGAGAGGGAATCAACAAAAAGCATATGGAGTGACTTTCCACTGCACACGGTTGGGTCATCATTCATGTATCCTTTCCCCTTTGCTCTACCAAGGCCTCCTCCTTGTAAGATTCAGAAATCCTCTATGGCCATGCAAGGCGTGACAATTTTCCAATGCCCCTCAGCTTCCAGTTTCCTTTGTCTTCCCTCTTCTTTCCTCCACCTCCTTCTCTGCCTCCTCTTCTTCTTCATCATCTCTCCCTTTTCTGCTTCCCCTCCCCAGGGGCACCTGCACACATGCATGCACACACGCACACAGAGAGGGAGAGAGAGAGAGATAAAAACATTTATTGTAGAAACCAGTTCAGGCATATTTTGTCTGTTCCTACCACCATGAATTTCATTAAAACTTATGGCATATCAGAAGCAAAATGAGCATTCAGCTTTGGAAACACTAAAGGTTATTGGTTTCAGTATCCAGTCATGCGCCACATAACATTTCAATAATGACTAACCACATGTATGAAGGTGGTGCCATATGATTACAATGGAACTGAAAATTTCTTATTGCCTAATATTTACTGTATTATAATTTTTATCATTATTTTAGTGTACTCCTTCTACTTATATATATTTTTAAAAGTTAACTACAGACTGGATGTTATGGCTCAGGCCTGTAGTCCTAGCACTTTGAGAGGCTAAGGCAGGCAGATCACTTGAAGCCAGGAGTTCAAGACCAGCCTGGCCAACATGGCGAAACCCTATCTCTGCTAAAAATACAAAAATTAGCTGGGTGTAGTGGCACACGCCTGTAGTCCCAGCTACTTGAGAGGCTAAGGTATGAGAATCACTTGAACCCGTGGGGAAGAGGTTGCAGTGAGCTGAGATCATGCCACTGCACTCCAGTGTGGGCAACAGAGAGACCATTTCAAAAACAAAACAAAACAAAAAAACAAAATTTAACTACAAGACAGCATCAGGCAGCTCCTTCAGGAGGTATTTCAATGGATGCCATTATTATTGTATGAGATGATAGCTCTATGCATGTTATTGCCCCTGAAGACCTTCTAGTAGGACAAGACAGGGAGGTGGAAGACAGCAAAATTGATGATCCGGACCCTGTGTGGCCTAAGCTAAAACGTGTATTTATATCTTAGTTTTCAGCAACAAAAAAAGTTTAAATAGGAAAAAAATTAAAAATAGAAAATATAGGATAAGGATATAAAGAAAGAAAATATTTTTGTTAGGCTATACAACGTGTTTGTGTTTTATGCTTAGTGTTATTGTAAAAGAGTCAAAAAGTTAAAAAAATTAAAAGTTTATAAAATAAAAAAGTTACAGTAAGCTGAGGTAAATTTATTATTGAAGAATGGAAAACATTTTAAAATAAATGGAGTGTAACCTAAGTGTACAATGTTTATAAAGTCTACCATAGTGTACAGTAGTGCCTTAGGCCTCCATATTCACTCACTGCTCACTCACTGGCTCACCTGGCACAACTTCCAGTCCTGCAGGCTCCATCTGTGCTAAGTGACCTATAGAGGTGTACCATTTTTTAAATCTTTTATACCATATGTTACTCTACCTTTTTTATTTTTAGGTGTATTTAGATACAGAAATACCATTGTGTTGTAATTATCTATAGTATTTAGTATACAGTATTCTGTACAGGTTTGTAGCCTAGGAGTAATACACTATCCCATATAGCCTAGGTGTGTACCAGGCTATCCCATCCAGGTTTGTGTAAGTACATTTTATGATATTCATACAATGATGAAATTGCCTAATGATGGATTTCTCAGAACATATCCCCGTCATTAAGTAACATATGACTGTATGTCTTTGAAACCATTCTTCTAAGTAAAAGGAATTTTTAAAAATGGTGTTTCTTTGTTCTGGGCATTTTGCATACATTATCTCATTATTAAAAGAGTATTAACTCACAGTGTAGCATTCTTCGTCCCTCTTTATTAGTGAAGAAAGTGAAAGATACAGCAATGAAATAACTAATCAAACTCATAATACTTGAGGTTGCAGGATCAGAATTTGAAACTGAGCCTCATTCAGGAGCCAACATCTGTATCCTTTCAGCTCCACCTAATTGGTCATAACTGTAGCAAACTATTTCAATCTGATGAAAATCTGTCATGCCTATTCAATAGAGTGCTCTGAAATTTTATCTCTGTTCACTGTGTCTGAGTTCCCAAAACTGCAGTGGCCTGCTCCCTCTCACATTTACCTGTGTTGCTTTCATTCACCCCTTTCTGGTCATCCCTTGGGCTTCTTGAGGGAATACAATCCAAATTATCCTTCAAATGTATTGTTTATTTCTGAGGCTATATTAATTGAGAGTGGAGAATCATTATGTGTTGTTCTGTTTTGTGGTGTTATAGCAGAATACCCCAGACTGCATAATTTATAAAGGAAAGACATTTATTTTCTTTCTCGTTTTTTTGTTTTTGTTTTTGTTTTTGTATTATTTTTTAAGATGGAGTCTTGCTCCTTCGCCAGGCTGGAGTGCAGTGGCGCAATCTTGGCTCACTGAAACCTCCGCCTCCCAGATTCAAGCGATTCCCCTGCCTCAGCCTCCTAAGTAGGTGGGACTATAGGCACGCATCACCACGCCCAGCTAATTTTTTGTATTTTAGTAGAGACGGGGTTTCACCATGCTGGCCAGGATGGTCTCAATCTCCTGACCTCGTGATCCACCCACCTTCGCCTCCCAAAGTGCTGGGATTACAGGCGTGAGCCACCGCGCCCTGCCAAAGAAAGACATTTCTTACAGTCTGGGAACTTCAATATCAAGATGCCAGCATCTGGCAAGGGTCTTCTACGTGCATCATCCCAAGGTGGAAGGGCAAAAAAAGCATCAGTGGTGGGGGACAAGTTTCTTTGTTTTTTATTAAGGAACCCACTCTTGGGATAACAGAATTAATCTACTCATGAGAGTGGAGTCCCCATGGCCTAATTACCTCTTAAAAGTCCCACCTCTCAACACAGTTGCATTTGGGATTGTTTCAAACCCATGAACTTTGGGGGACACATTAAAACCATAGCACCTTTCAGTGGGGAGTTTCTCTCTGTGCCACATGTCTGTATCTACCATCCACAATGACCCTGCCTTAGGAGTTACCAATGCTTCCCATGCCCACTCATCACATCCCAGAGTCTGACTGTCTGTGCCTGACCAATTTTTATTTTGTTTTTGGTGGTGCTTGATTGAGTTGCTCCAGGCTTAGTGTAATTGGTGGTGAGTTGGAGCTTGATAGTCTTTGGTTTTCATTAGATGATGCTTTGCTGAACTGCTGTCTCATAGCACAGTCCAGCATGAACGCCTCCCCTCGCCTGAGTATCCCACCATTGCAATATGGACACCACCACTTTGTATTTGTAGAATGCCTTTTGTTTCTTCAGAGTGCTTTCAAGCTTATCTCACTTCATTGCCTTCACATCATTGTGAATTACATGGGGTAAATCTGAGTGAAGAGACTGAGACATGGAGAAATGAATTTTATTTCTGCAGACAGCGACTTTAGTTTCTTTTTTTCTTTTAAGTACACTTCTTCCAATGAGTCCTGTGTAATTAAAATGTGCTAAAATGGGTTCTCTAAATCTTTAACTTTCTTTGTAGGATGGTTTTGACATTGGAACACCCAGATCATTGAACAGTGTACTTGGAAGGTCTTAGTCACCCATATAATTTAGAATGAAGGCTGAGACTCATTAGCCACTGGAGTAATAATAAAATGGTTCTTCTTGCTATTGAATTAATATTTATATAGCAAGTATAAAAAGATAGCACTTGAAGTACTTGACATCCAAGAAGACAGCAAGAAGGAGATATCTGGATTTTGATCTCTGTTTTGCTTATTACGCTATGTGACTTTGGCATGTTGCTGATATTCTTTCAAGCTCAGTTTACTGATCTATAAAACTTAGTGTAATTACTTTTTAGAATATCAAATATAATTTGGCTTGGCATCACAAATGCATACAAATTAGTAATATTAAAAACTTTAAAACATGGCCAGGCACGGTGGCTCATGCCTGTAATCCCAACACTTTGGGAGGCCAAGGTGGATGGATCACCTGAGGTCAGGAGTTCAAGAGTAGCCTGGCCAACATGGTGAAACCCCGTCTCTACTAAAAATACAAAAATTATCCCGGCTTGGTGGTGTGCACCTGTAATCCCAGCTACTTGGGAGGCTGGGGCAGGAGAATTGCTTGAACCTGGGAGGTGGAGATTGCGCCACTGTATTCCAGCCTGCCTGGGTGACAGAGTGAGACTCTATCTCGAAAAAAAATAATAATAATAAAATAAAAAAACAACTCAATCAGATTCCTAATTCACTTATAATAAATATTTCTAATTGCTCATAGCTTCCTGAAAGTAAGGAAAGAGTTTTCTTCAAGAAGTATAAAAAGAAGTGACTATTTCAACTTTTTAAATAGTGAAAATATAACATTTAATTTTTTAAAATGACTCAATTCCTCTCTTTGAGCTATGTGATATATGTCTTTACTGTCAATAATATTTCGTTATTATGATGGCTATTATTAAAACTTTTAGTATTAAACTACTCTATAGCAGCAGTTTTGAGCTCAGATGTGTGATCTATATTCCACTTTACCTGTGATTTTTATTTCATCTAATATGTGTGTTTCATGTCTAAGAAGAAAAGGCCAGATTTTTGCTTTGAATTTTAACATGTATCTATCATCTAGGTTATCCTAGAAGTCCTCTTTTGCATCATTTTAATCCCAAAAATTGCTTATCTGGAAAAAGAATGTAAAAAATCACTTATTCCCATGGAAACTCACAGTGTCAGTTGCCAGGGACCCTCTCCATAAAATATCACTACTGATGAGTCATACTGGGCATAGTGATCTCTTGTTGAGTTTTGCACACACTTCAGCTTTTTAAAAATTTAGATGTTTCTTTCCAAGTCTTTTCTAATATCTTTTCCATTTTGGGTACAATATAACTATTACCTTAAAAAGTATCTATGAATAATATTATGCAAACTGTGATTTCTTAAAGAAGTATGTGGTATATTTGGCTATATTAGATTTATTATATCCCAGTAGTATTTCTTAGTTCTTAATATTTATTTGTAGGATTTCTAAATCATTACTTTTTTGGTATGGTTGTACTAGTAGAAAAATAATAGAATATAATAATAATAATTCTGAAATTGCACATATAAGTCCTTTGGGTATTTTGACCTTCAAATTAGCTAATAAGCATAAATTCTATAGAGAGCATCTTCTCACCTCCCAGATTCTGTTCACATTTCAATAAGGCCTGTGGACAAAATGGACCTTCTCAATTTGGCTGCATGTCTTGTTTTCCAGATGCTAATTTCTATTTTGAGAGGCAAGTACATAGTGATGCTGAGTAAACAATTGTGGAAAATAAGTTTAAGATTTAGAAACAGCCCAAACTCATCACATTCTCCTTTTTACCCTATGTCCTTTCATGTCTGTATACTCCTTCACACTGGCACTTTGGGCAAGTAATTTAACCTCAATATGTCTGGAAAATTGGAGTAATAGTGCACAACTCAGAGGCCAGTGTGAGGATTAATACATGTAAATCACTTAACAGTGTCAGGCACATAAGTACAAAAATCAGTTTAAATATTGTGTGTTTGACTAATATTAACTACCTGCTATGTAACAGGTATTATGGTAGACATCAGTGGTATGATGAAGAGACCTTGGCCCCAAGGAACATACAGTCTACTGAGATATACAGGAAATTCCAGATCAATCTCAGCAGAGCCATAGTGTTAAAAGTAAAAAAGCCAAGGGTATTAAAAAAGCATATATTGGCACTTCGCACTTTTTTTTTTTTTTTTTTTTTTTTTTTTTTTTTTTTTTTGAGACGGAGTCCTGCTCCGTCGCCAGGCTGGAGTGCAGTGGTGCGATCTCAGCTCACTGCAACTTCCGCATCCCTGGTTCAAGCGTTTCTCCTGCCTCAGCCTCCTGAGTAGCTGGGGTTACAGGCGCTTGCCACCACGCCCAGCTAATTTTTTTGTATTTTTAGTAGAGACGGGGTTTCACCGTGTTAGCCAGGATGGTCTCAGTCTCCTACCTTGTGATCCACCCACCTTGGCTTCCCAAAGTGCTGGGATTACAGGCACGTGCCACCATGCCCAGCTAATTTTTTGTATTTTTAGTAGAGACGGGGTTTCATCATGTTAGCCAGGATGGTCTCAATCTCCTACCTCATGATCCACCCACCTTGGCTTCCCAAAGTGCTGGGATTACAGGCGTGAGCCACGACACCCGGATATTGGCACATTTTCTAACCCCTGGAAAGATCAGTGACATCTTTCAGGAAGAGAATGTTTTTCTGGAAACCTGAGAGGTGGGTAAGGGCGAGTTAGGCAAAGTGGCGTAGGAGAGTGATGAGGAAAGAGGAAAAAAAATGAAAGAATACATCCTGTATGAGGAGAGCCCAGAACAACAATGTGACTAGAAAGAATGGACCTAGATCGAAGTCCCATGTGGGGGCCTCTATGTTGCTAGCCCCAAGTATGCAACTGGATAACACCTCTTCTAAGAGCAGATCAAGTGACTTTGGCTAACCTGAGAGGAAAGGGGCCCTGCATTCTTTGGTGGAAGAAGAAAGGAAAAGGTGAAGCGTGAAATCCCAAACACATTCTAGATCCATTGTTTGGCCCCTTTTCTTTGGTTTGGTAGGGAGTGGGAATGGAGGGTGCACAAATATTAAAACAGAAATGTCATAGAAGTGGCCCCTTCTACTTTTCTGGGGTCTAGAGAAAGACCCAGTACCCCTACTCTGCTGGCAGAGACTGGAATTTTTGTCCTGGGAGTCTCATTCCAGATATTATTCTGGGACTCCTCACAGACCAGGAGGCCTCAAGCAATTTATCGGCTACTTTGGCTCGACTTTAAATTTGGTTCTTGAATGGCTGGGGCTTAGGATAAAGAAAGAGAAGTAAGCATTTCATGGGAAGGAAAAGAGGAAGGAGGAGGAGAAGGAAAGGAAAGAGAGAGAAAGTGAAAGGAGAGAGGGAAACTGAGATTGAGATTAAGAGTTTCGTGTGCCCTCATTTCAAATGGCAACTGTCACCTAAGGACCCTTTGGGTGGCATATAGATAAATATGAATAAGGCTTGCTGCCTGCCTTTGAGGAAACCACAGTTCACAAAAGATGCTCCCAGTCTAGGGGCCTGGCTTGTCAGATTTAGAGTTAATTGGAAGGAGAAGTGCTAGATACATGTTTTAATATAATGGGACTGACAAGACCAGGGGCAAAAGCTATGATATCATTAAGACGATATAACATTCCTGGTAAGACTTCACTCGTGTTATTCATTAGTGTCTTCTAATATTGGTGTTCCAGTGCCATTTATATTTCTCTCATTGAAAAAATTTCCAAAACTCATTTGCATGAAATTTGCACCACCAATTATTAAGTTTACCACATATGCTTACCTCTATGTCTAGGTCTTTTTCTGTATATCTCTATTTCTGTCTCTACACAGACCTTCCAAACACAAACATACACACACAACTATTCTGTTTTCTGAACCATTTCAGTATATGTTGTAGGCATCATCCATTTTATCCCTTAATATTGATAATTTAATATGTAATCCTAAATACAGGGATATTTTCTAGCATAATCACAACATGGTTTAAAACTTCAGCCTCAGTGCAATACTTATAACTAGTCTGTAGTCCATATTTGTAGTTCTCATGGGTCGCAATAATGTCCTTTATAGTGTTTATATTTTTTTGATTACAGGATCCAGACTGTATTGCATTTGAGGATCATATCTCTTTCATCTCTTTCTTCCTCTCTCAATGCCAAATAACTGACTTTTTTGGAGAATTCAGCCCAGCATTTTGGCTTGTACTTGGTCATATTTTTTCTTCACTCCCAAGCTCCAACTGTAATATAAACAGGTGACAGCCTCGATTTCTGTGATTGGATATGCCATACATCATTTATCTGTTCCAAAACCTTTGACTGGATTGTAAATATGCAACTTCACAACTCCTTAGTGTCATAAAATATCAGACAGAAAGACTATGTGAGGATGTCCCTGCCTATTATAAAATCTTCACCCAAATAACTTAGCTAAGCAAAAAATCTACTGACATTTATGCATCATCCTAACTTCCTCTTTGCAGTAGGCCAGCAAAGTCTTACCAGGAATGTTTTATCATCTTGATGATATCATAGCTTTTGCCCCTGGTCTTGTCAGTCCCGTTAATACTAACACATATATCTGGCACTTCTCCTTCCAATTAACTCTAAATCTGACAAGCCAGGCCCCTAGACTGGGAGCATCTTTTGTGCACTGTGGGCTCCTCAAAGGCAGGCAGCAAGCCTTATTTATTGTTCTATTCCTAGCTTGGCTCTCTCATTCTTTAGCCTGTGATTTATCTTGCTTTTTGATTAGCTTATAAGCTATAGTTCCTTGTGTCTGTTCCCTCTCTTTCCCAATCTCTAATTACCATTGTCCATACTAAATGCTTTTCAGATTACAATAACTGCAATCACAATACAGCTCTGTGGTGCTTTTTTTTTTTTTAACCAGTTATCTTCAACTCAACATACTCCACAAGCACCAGTGCTTTACAAGTGTAACAGTTACTGAGGAGCAAATTAGACCTCCCAGATTGAAATCCCAGCTTAGATATCTACTATAAACTTGTTATGTTGTTTGATCTTTAATTTCATTATCTGTAAAAACAAGGATATTAAAAGTACACCTAGCTCGTTGGGAGGTTGAAGAGATGTGTGAGATAATAAATATGGAATGTTCAGCACAGTTCTAGGTATGTATTGACATTTTTAAATGTTTCCTGTTGCTATTATTTTGGGAATAGCATAGCACCCAGAATATAGTTTTAGTTTCCCTCACTATTATCCATTTATTTCTTAAAAGACCAGTGGAAGCTGTAAGGAGCTATTCCTCTATGCACAGATATGTATGCCTTGTTAAATTCCTTAAAATTAAGGTAAAGTATAGGAAGAGACAGTCTTCACTGAAGGACCCCAGAAATCTGAACCTCCGGCCCTTCTAACTGACCAGATTAGTTTATAGTGTTTCAATCAGGTTTGCATTGATGTTATAGTAAACATTCTTGTGTTGTATGCTATCTTTTTACCTATGTAAAATGCATTAATGATAAGAGTGCACTGCACTTGAAGAATCCAAAACTCCCAGGAATTCAGGATACACATTCATTAATCTCATTAAACTCATTAGATATCTCAACCCCCTGGGGAGGCTAAGTGATAAATATTCTCTCTACTTGAGACAATTGAAAGGCCAGACTGCCCTTGCAAAGCTTGCGTTGTTACTCACTAACACACACAGTCTGTTGAAATCTATTGTCGAGTATCTCTAAAGCCCATGAGCCTATTAGGGGAAAGATAAAATTTAAAAAAAAAAAACACACCAGAAGCACCAAATTAATATATAGAATATGAGGTAGCGATAAATGATATGGAGAAGAAAAAATATGTAGGAAGACAAGGAGTAACATGGAAGAGTTGCTGATATTTTTACGTAGCATGATCAGAGAAGGCCTTTCTAATAGAGAAGGCTTTGAGCAGTGGTGACCAGAAGCAAATAAAGCAGCAAGTCATGCAGGTACTGGAGGAAGAGCATTGCAGGCAGAGGGAACAGCAAGATCAAGGCCCTGGGGCAAGGAAATGCTTGGAGCTCTCCAAGAACAACACAGAGGCCAGAGTGGTGAATGAGGTGTAGGCAGATAGTGTAAGGAGGTGAATGGGCAGATTGTGTAAGCAGGCTATGAGCATTCAGATATAATGCTGGACCCGATTGTGTATAACTTTGTAGGCATAGAAATGGACTTGGTTTTCACTAAGTCGGGAAGTCATTTAAGGGTATGGAAGAGAGGAGTTAAATAATCTGAACTGAGCTATTTTAAGAAGATAGTTCTGGCCCCAGAGGTCAACATAATCTGTAGAATGGGAAGATTGGAGTCACTTATTAGGTTATTGTTATAATCTAAGTGAAGAGTGATAGTGACTTTTACCAGGATAGGAGTGGCACAAATGGTGAGAGGTAGATGGGTTGTGCATTCTACTTTGAAGATGGAGCTGAAAGGATTTGCTCAGGTTTGGGTTGTAAGGTGTAAGAAAAATAAGGGAGTCAAAATTGACTTCAAACTTTTTGACCTGAGCCTCTAGATTGTCGGAGTTGCCATTAACAGAGATGGGAAAGATTAGAAGAGGATGCTGGGGATGGGGATATCAGTTTGTTATTGTGCACATAAAGTTCAGAGACAATGGTTTGAGGGCATTGGTTTTAAAACTGGAACATGCATTAGAACCACCTAGAGGACTCATTAAAACAAGATTGCCGAATCCAAACCCCGAAGTAGATTTTTCTTTTGTCTTTTTTTACCCTAGGGTTTTTGATTTAGTGGATCTAGAATGGGATGGGACCCAATAATTTGTATTTCTAACAAGTTGCCAGGTGATGTTGATGCTGCTGGTCCTGGGACCACACTTGAAGAATGACTTTTCTAGTATTGAGAGTATCCATGGAAGGCATGGCTAGGGTAAAAAAAGCCCCAGGGCATTAGCAGGGGCGAGTTGAAATATAGTTAGTGGAATGCTTTCTGCACCTGGACTGCTGGAGTACCCCCTTCGGTTCTACTTTCTTCTACCTCATGGCCAATATTGATATGTGTGAGCCCATGGTCAACAACAGTTTTTGAGTTTTGATCCTACTTCACATTCGGTCACAAAGAACCCTGTGAAAGGAAATATTCTAAACACATGAAGAGTTGACTCAGACACTAGCTTTTGCTTCTTCTCTAGTTAAGCCTAATTTATCTAGATAGGCTGCAGACACCAACCTAACTCCATACCCATTTCTATGGGAAGAGATATGCCTAAAAAATTAATTTGTCTGACAAGTTTACATTTAAGAATCACATTTTTTTTTGCTTTAGATGTCATATAATTGAAAGCAAATTATTTTCTAGGTACAAACTTAATTTGATAATTGTATTGTTCTGAAATTAATTCTGGCATTTAAAGAAGAAAACCGTTTCATCTTATAGAGAAATATTCTAGAGAGAAAAATAGAGTGAACATCTACTTCTTTTTAAAAGTTATAGCTTTAGGGTACATGTGCACTACATGTACCCTAAAACTTAAAGTATAATAATAATAATAATAAATAAAAAATAAAATAAAAAATAAAAAAGTTATAGCTTATAGCAAAACGCACAAAAAAAAGACAAGCAAACCTTTATAATGAAAACAGTTTTGCAATAATGATCATGACAGTCTATGTAATGGAAAAATTCTTTTGATAAGAATTTATCATTACATTAGTGGCCTTTAATCATTTTTGACCATGGTCTACTATAAAAATGTGTTTTATATCACAAAAAACACACAAATCATTGTTTACCTATTGATGTTATGAATATATATATATAATCTTTTGAAATAATTTTTACCCTGAGTATATGACAGATGTTTACTATGCTATGCCCTATCAGTTTTAATATTGCCGGCTTTTACCCACTAAATTGAGAACCAAGATGGCATGATTAAAAACATGTACTCACAAGGCTGATAGGGTTGGAATCTTGGCTCTGCCTGTAACTGTGTGATCTTGATGAAATTGCTTAACCTCTCTTTGCCATCAGTAAAATGGGAATAATAATATATCTACCTTATAAGGCAGTTATAAGGATGAAATGAGTTAAAGAACTTAGAATGGTGACTGACATATAGTAAACACTACAGAATTATTAGTTACTAATATTGTTTTCACAACCCAATAATATGTAATGGCTTGAAGTTTGAAAAAACAAACAAACAAAAAAACACTTATTTGGATGACTAAGACTAACCTCACCCACCTGCCACCTTATCTTCCAACACATATAAAAAATTAGTAAATTAACTTTCTCAGAGGCAACTTAGTAAGTTCTTCTGTTTTGTGTGGAGGGTGAAATAGCTCCATTTCCTTTTAAATCCCTATTATGTTCTTTTAAAGCGTAATTGTAAGTCTTTTGGGGAGACAAGGTATGATCTCTTGAAACTCCAGACTATAAAAAGAAAATTCTTCCTTAGATGATGTTTTATTCATTGGTGTGGTGTCTTGCATTTAATGTATTTTCAAAAACTATTTGTTTAAAATGAGTGTAAATCTTAATAGAAAAATTTTCAAGGAGACCAAGTGATGCATATAGATAATAAATTAATAACTTTGTAATTTACAATGATTTCACATTCATGTGTCTTAAATCTGCAATTCAAATTATATAACATGAAATGCTAAATTGAAACATAAAAATTTGAAACTCTTCAAGAGTCACCATGTACAGTGTACTAGTTATAGATAATTTATCAAAACACATAGTCCCAAATTATAATGGTTCAAATGCAATGTAATTTTTGCTGATCACCCAGAAAACAGTCCACAGTGAGTTTTCCAGCTGTGGAAAGGGTAATCTGAATCTGTTACATGCATCACTCTGAGGCCCAAGCCCATAATGGGTGTGCTGTCTTCAAGCTTGACTTCCAATGTAATTCTGGTTACCCCTATTCCAGCTCTCTGGAGGGAGCCAGTGCAGGTTGGAGGATGACAAGTGGGATTTAGCATCAGGAGTGGAAGTGTCACATAAGACCTCCCATTTATTTGTCATTTGTCAGAACTCAGTAACATGGTCACTTAACTGCAAAGAAGGCTGGGATGTATGATCCAGTCTTGTGCCAACAATGAAAAAAGAAAATAAATTTTAATAACAAATAGCAGACTGCCAAACATCATTAAGTTCTATTGCAAAAAATCCTTGTTTAGCACTATTAGGTCAATGTTTTCTCATTATATTTGACTAGGAACCCTGGTTTTCTCTCTTGGCACCTCTTAACACACTATAGAAAACAACACACTTTGGAAAAGATGGTTGTCAGGAAACTATCAAATCTCATAATGAAAATAATCTTACATTTTCCAAGAACAATGAGAGAAAGATTGTTTTAACTTCTTCAAAATTGATTAGGACACAGATGCAGAACAAATAAACTATATATTTAACAAATATACAGTTAAATCATTATTAGCCGAATACCCTTGTAACAGTCACCCAGGTGGCAGAACCTTCCCAGCTACTTGGAAGGAAGAGCTTCACAACTTCCTCCTGATTATAACTTCCTTGCTTCCCTCAAAAGTAAATTCTGCCCTGATGTCTATGGTAGTCTTTTCCTTACTTCTCCTTACAGGTCTAAAACCAGAGTGGTTCAAACATGATCACTTAGTTCTGTCTTTAGATATGTCTTTAAATCTCTTTTAACCTAGCTTCTCCTCCCCTTGCTTGTTTTCCACCTTCATAGTAATTTATTGGTGAAGAAACAGGCCACCTGTCCTATAAACATTTTCAGTCTCTCTTTCGTGAATTGCATCTGCATGGTGAGGTTTAACATATTCCTTTATCCTTGAATTTCCTGTAAATTGGAAGTTGGATATCAAGGCTTCATTACTCTTTGACAAGACTCCTTCATAGAAAGTGTGCTGTTTACCAGAAAGCACATCATCTTGAGCGATATGAATACAAGTATTTAAATCAGGCAAAAGGCTTTGCTTCTAGAGATAACAAAATACGTGAAGGCATAATGTCATAAGGGAAGATTGAACTTTAAGGTAAATGCTGCTTTACAAAAGTGGTAAGTCATGAAGGGGTTTCTGTACTAGACACTAACTGGTTCTAACTGGATCATCTTCTTCCCTAGCAAATAAACATTAGCTATATAACCTTGATTTTTTAAAAATAAAACTGGTCCAAAGTTGACTTTTGGTTAGTTATTCACACATCATTTTCCCACTTCTATATGCAGGAAATTGACAATATGTCTTTATATAATTACTCTAGTGAAGAGAAGATCCAGAATTGTATTTGAGGAGTCTTGATCTAATAAAGAAATCATCCAGATAGATGTAAACATCCTTTCTCTTCTTTTTTCACTTATCCTCACACTCCTCCATCTCTCTTGTGGATAATTCATTATTTTATGGACTTTGTATAAACAGCTAATAGAGAGAAAGAAATAAGGATAAAAACACTAACATTAAACTTTCTATAAATAGCTATTAGAAAGAAATAAGGAGAAACAGTAATCTATCACTTGTTAGCAGCACCAGGAGAATTTTTATAAGATGAAGTGTGAAAATACTGCCTGAGATGAGGCTGAATCACGTTCATGGATTTCAGTCACCTACACAATCCTCTTTGCCTGTTTCTATGGGAAGAAATTTAGTAGGGGAGTAAGGTGCAGTGTTGGTTTTCTTTATATTAATATCTAATTATCCGAAACTATATGGTATGAAATGTGGATTACCTCAAGAAGATATTTTAGAACTATACCCATCAGACTTATACACATATGGACTGTGAGATCTGAGGAAGAAAATTCTTAAATCTTATCAAATTTCATCCCATCCCCATTCTTCTTTCTCATCTAGGTTTAGATGCGGAACTAAGGTTTAGAGTATATAAGTGAATTGTTCAAGGTTACATAGTAATTTGATTGATGTGTGTATGTTTTATTTTCTCTTTTACTTGATAGCTTACACTAAGCAGGTACCTAAGCCTTTACATGTATTCACTTGTTTCAGACATTAATTGATTACTTTATAAGATAGAAATGTAGGAAAGCACTAATCAGGAGTATCTACCAAGATACTTTCATTTTATTTTATTGACAAATCATTTGTTATTATTCTGCCACATGAAAAGAAGCATTCAAATTAATTGGTAAAATAGTGATAAATTATTGGTAAGCATTTAGCATGGAATTCATGTGCAGATAATTAAGAATAATTGCTTGGTTTCATGGGCCCTTCTTGATTATCCAGAGACAATTTGATTCAATTAAGTATAAAATTATAAGTACTGACAGATCCAAGTACAAAATCACATGGATAGTGAATGTGTATCAATGGTCCAAACTTTTACAATTAGAAGAAAAATTTGTGGCATGCTTTTTGCATATTTTAGTGCAATCCAACATAATAATTTTGGTTCATAGTCAAGACTCAGTGTACAGGTTTTGTTCTTTACTACTATATCTGAAAGAGGAATAGGAATAAAAAGCAAATAAAATATCCCACTTATAGAAATGGTGATTTGATGATCTTCATCCAGAGACTTTTATTTTTCCCATGACTTAAGAATCTATGGGCCTCGTTAGATTGAGGGTCTGGGATTGCATGTTGTGAACATGTTTAATGGTATTTGTTGAAAAACTGTGACATATAATTGATATTAAGACTTTCAGAGAGTGACATGAGAAGTAGAAGCCATGATCCAACATGCCCTAAAGGAATTAGTAAAGAAAGTAAGAGGCAGGGTGATGAAGAAACAGAATGGCGATGCAAAGAAAGGTTAGCACCTGAGGATATATGTATGTATATGTGTTTAGAAGCAGTTCTATACAGAATTTCCTAAGCATGAGTGGAAGTTTGCTCAAAAAGGAAGAGAAGAACATGGTATTGTTAGAAAAAAGACTGACAGGAGTGAGGCTTGATTAGTGTTCTGAAAACGGTGAATAGGATTTGGAGGACAGTGGAAAGAAGATTGTTCGAGTAGGAGGAGCTTGAAGGCCCACTGTGGGTAGACCAGCTGGATGAAATCTGGCAGGCCGGTTGACCTGGGTCAAGAACATTATAGGAACTGAGGCTACAGGAGGACATGTGGAGCCACAGGTATCATGATATTTGCAGGATATCTTTGGAGTTCACATTTTCACATTAATTTTGCCAGAAGGGCAACAGCATGCAGTTGTCCATGCTCTGTGGACCAAAGGCATTCCCAAATAAGAAGAAGGTTCTAGTGTATTGGCAATGTTGATTTTATAATTCCTTTTCTATATCTCTGTGTTCTAGTGTTTAAAAAATGATTTTCTCATGAAAATTTTCTGTGTGATTATTTTTATTGGTCTAGACTATCTGAGGTCACAGGGCAGTTTCTTCCTTTTTTTAAAAAAAAAAGCATTTAAACATTCAAAATATACGGATCTCTTACATTGTTGCAGACTATTTGAGAGTACAGTGTGAGTTTAAATGATAGAAATAGTCTCCGTGTGCTTAATTATATACGGGAGATAGAAATGTAGCCTTCAAGGTAACACAGGAAAAACAAAAGAGTTGTCAGGTGGAGAAAAAGAATTTATAATCATTCACAGAATGGTTTCATTTTCTAAGTAATATGTTTAACCCTCTAGATAATCTATTCCCTATATTGTTACATATGTGCCTACTTATACCTGTATATCTTATATAATTTATCAAATAACTTGCCCACAGTCAACTTTTCCTACTCTGATTTTAATAGTCATGCGATCCCCACACAATGCAGAGAAGAACTCGCCACCTGCTAAGACCATCACTGAACTCAAGGACTTGTGCTGAAGACTCACAGGTGCAGCCTTGCCTCCTGAATGAAAATTGCTTCCAGTTCCAGTACAATCTAACAGGTACAGTTAAAATCTATGACCTTGTCGTTCTCCCTGAACATTGACTAATGAGAGAATTTTTGCGTGGGTTTTCATTCTCAAGATTAAGAATGGAGAGTAGAATGTGTGAGTGTATTGCATAAAAGCCTGAGGACTTCATGTTTCTAGTATCCCCTCACAGAAAGAAATGCCCACTCTTGGCATGTAGAATCAGCAAGGCCACATAAAATTTCTGTAGTAAGAGAAGCTTAGAAAGATTTGGCAACATTTCAGCAAAATGTTGATTTAAGCCATGATAAACTGAAACAACAAAAATAAGTAGCAGAGAATAATTTACCATTGAGAGAAGAATGTAATCATACTGTGATAGAATTTGGCTCTTTTATGCCTTTTATTATTTCAGAAATCTGAGCTTGTGAGGTACTTTCTGTATGGGTCTGAATAAGAATGAATGCTACTACTGACTGGTCAGGGATGTTTTCGAGGCACACTGGGAGTTAAATCACTCTAGCTGTTCAGCCGCTGCTCAGTAATTTTCCAGGCACCACAGTGCTCAGTGTCTAAAACCAGAGGACTGGTATAGTTACATTGATCCGCTACTTGCCATTCCCTGCAGCAGCAGACATTCCATAATGCTACAAAATATGGAACCATGTTAAGTCACAGCATTGAATTCAATACTGACAACCAAACCACCACATGCCTGCAGAGGCAAAGCAATTGCCTTTTCTGAAAGAAAAAAAAAAATCCTCACCACAGCCATGTTGGCTCTGCTGAGATTCCTCTTGTGGAAAACCTCATAGTGACTTCTGTGGGGCTGTCTGATTGTCTTCGTGGGTAAAGATGACCTGGTGTATTTGTCCTTTTTCTTTAGAGAAGAGATCTCTGGTTTTTATAGTACTGTTTCAGAAATACAATAAAACTTGCTTTATTGGAAGAGCATATCTTTGAAACACTGATTTTACTATACATGGGTTTGCTATTCTATTCCTATTAAACTATTAGATCATCTACCAATATGGAAAATTTCTTTAAAGAGTTTTTATATGACCAAGGGTCTTCCTTTCTACTGACACCAAAAATAACAGTTGTTTAAAAATCAAATTAACTTTGGGATAATTTATTCTAATTCTTCACCATCTAGTTTGTAATATGACTAGCCAAATCTGTAAAACTTTTTCTCATGATAGAATAATCTGAAAAAATATAGTTTCTGTAACAGTCCATACAGTTTTGTGTGCCCTTCCCTCTTTCTTTCCCGGAGCATCTCTTTTGACTATTCTGTATCAAATGCACTAAATGGTTTAAATGATTGGATTTAGTATTGAAAATGTTTTCAAGTTTACATAAAAGATTGGTGTCTTAGTCTGTCCTGGATGCTATAACAAATTGCTATAGACTAAGTAGCTTATAAAACACATAAATGTATTTCTTATAGTTCTGGAGGCTGGAAGTCCAAAATCAAGGTGCTACTAGATTCAGTGTCTGGTGAGGAGGGCCTGTATCTCTAGACAGTGCCTTCTAGCTACATCCTCAGAGGATGGAAGGCGCAAACAAGCTCCCTTAGGCCTCCTTTATAAAGGTACTAATTTCATTCATGAGAGCTCAGCTCCCATATTCTAATTACCCCCAAATGTTCTCCCTCAAAATACCATCACCTAGAGGGTTAGGATTTAAATATATGAATTTTGCAGGGGTACACAAACATCTGGAGCATAGCAACTGGCATCATTTCTGGGTTGTTTTTTCTCCAGTTATCCTCAACAAATAGTTGATTCTAAAGTGATTTTTCTTTACCATCCTGGTTAGTATCTTTCCTCTTCTACTCCAGCCAGCCATGAGATGGTTTCTAACAAACCATTGGCTCTTTATCTCTGGAAAGCAAATTTAAGTAGGTAACTCACTTTTCTTTGTGTATTTGTTTTTTGTTCGTTTTGCAATAAGGGCATTGCATGATGATTCCCAAAGCTACCTGGAAATGATTTTAGGATTATGTGTGGATTATTCTCCACCAAAGCAGATAATCAAAGGTCTGTTGTATTTTGCTCACATGGCCATAATTTTGAAACTCAGTGTGGGTGATCCTATGCCTGTAGAGTGGAGCACATGCCAGCTGAGTGAAAACGCACCCTGTGGTCAAGGCGTCAGGACCCGCCTGCTAAGCTGTGTGTGCAGTGATGGCAAGCCAGTCAGCATGGACCAATGTGAGCAGGTACTGTGTTTATATTCATATCTCACATCCAAGGCTTTGTTTTTCTTAATATTGGTCTGCAGTTCCATGATGTCCAATATAGATAACAGACTGATTTCTTCTCATCTCAGCTTAGGTTCAGTTAGAGTAAGCGGTGCCAGTATAGTATGGTTATAGCTCACTAGTTTGAATTTAGTCAAAATGACTGGGAAAGGTCATTTTTGTAGTGGAGAAATGGGTTCATTAAAAAATATATGTTTTTATTACTTATAAAAAGTTATTTACCTGTACTTGTTTGCCAAACTGTTGACCTTGGGCGACTTTAATATTTAAATGTGATTCTTTTGTATTGGACAGGTGATTCATTTGCATATGTGATAATACTGTCCCTTGCATAGAAGACGAACATGGACACTTGCCATTACAGAATCATGTCAGTTTGCTTAAGCAGATAATATTTGGATAAATAGCAGAGATTTTTCTTTTCAACCTACATTAAAATGCATCCCTACCAAGTTTCAAATTAATGGGTTCTGAATCTTTGTAATTTTATAGCCCTCCTTTTTTTCCCTCTGTTCCAAACTATATGGAGTTCAGACAAAAGCTATAGTCAGACCTTTTCCAAAGAAGTTGGCATTTTCTTGCCAACATATAAATGAAAAACACTATGGGGGCAGTTTAGTAGAAGTAAAGATACTATCACACTTCAAGAATCACTGAAACAGTCTTTGGATAAATTGGAAAAAGGGGACCAGTTAACTCACATTTCCCCAGAAACTTCTTTAACGAACTTGCAGAATGAAAATTGGTGGCATTTCTCTTAAGAGAGGTGGAATACATCAGTGGGAATTAAAACAAAACAAACCTCTGTCACCTATCCTGACTTTGCTCTGTTTTGTCACAACACGCTCATGCTCTTTAAACCAACAGAGTAGCTGCAGACTACGTCACCAGTCCTAAGAACAGAACATCTGAAATGGATCTCCATTTGGTCAAATTCTGAAACTGACTGATACAGGGCAGAATGCTGTATACCATGATTTATTTTAACATTTATTTTATTTAATCAGCCTCTAAAGAAGTTGTCTGTTTCAGGGAAAAAAAATCATTAATCTACAACTCCCAATAGGTGAGCATTGTTTATTTAGTGTATGTAATGAGTATTTTCTTTTGATACAAAAAGATATAAACTATTCATTAATAGAAAGTCAGTTTCTCTGATTTCCAGATACCATATGCCCAATAAATATGTAAAAAATACCAGTTTAAAGCAATCTCAAATTATTAACAAAACTAGAATATCCATATATCTCAGATGGATTATAGGTCTCATTATGATAGTATCCATTTTACCCACTTGGCAAGTCATTGTACTATAATCATTAATATTAGCTTGGTAAGGATATTGCTACCATATAACACATGTTGAATGTCAAAGTTTTCCTAATAAGCACAGAAATAGTGTGTTATTCCTAGAGCAGAATTTTTTATTATTCCTTCTGTGTTTCTCAGGTGCTTTATTCTTTCACTAGGATCTCTGCTACCTTGGCCATTAGAAAATTTGTATGGTTTGCCAAGATGCTGGTTTCAGAGAGGACAAGAAAAAAAATAAACGGTATCATCAACTTGACCCATCGTTACGACCATGATTGTTTTTAGCCCAGGCTTTTTTATACACTTTAGATGGGTTGCTGATTGTATTTTTATCTCCACATTATTTATTTTCTAGCCTAGCTGGCTTTCTGTGTTGGCCCTCCATGTACTTTTGGCCTATTCAGAAGCACAAAGTGCCTGAAGTTGGCGTTGAAGTGTCTTTCTGGTTCCTTGCTGATTGAGCAACAGGACAGATCTCTGTGTAATCAGACGCCTCTGCTTTCCTGGCAGCCTAATAGAGTTTAGGATTTTATAAAAAGAAATTTTGGCTGACAAATTTTTATTTGGTAATTAAAGGACAATCATTTTCTATGATTGTCACCAATTTATATAAGAAAGGATATACTTCCCCACTGAAATATGGAAAGGTTATTATCACAGAGTAAAGGAAAGTCTTTCCCATGAAAGGACAGTGATTTGACTAAAGAGTGATTTCTCCAATAAAGTTGTGTTTCATTTCCATTTGCAGCATAATTTGGAGAAGCCCCAGAGAATGAGCATTCCCTGCTTGGTGGAATGCGTGGTCAACTGTCAGCTCTCAGGGTGGACGGCTTGGACAGAGTGTTCACAGACCTGTGGCCATGGAGGTATTGGTTTCCCCATATTTCCCACTAACTAGTGTAGGTTTCTAAATATCATTCAGTATGCCATAGCTTGATAAATGGCATAAGGTATGGGACCCAGCTGAAGTCAATATGAAACTGACCCACAGGGGAAGAAAAACAGAGCCTGGCCTCATATCAGTCCAGGAGAGTGAGGCAGAGGTTGCAGAATGGACCAGATAACAGTGGCAGACTCCAGAGAGGCTGATGAAACTGTGGGACAATGTTTATTCAGAAGATCATAAGCTCAACAAATTGAAAAAACATGTTGGCCTCAGTGGTTTTTGGAAAAAGTAGTATGTAAAGCTGTCTACTATACCACATAAACCCCCAAAGCACACCCTAGGCTGAGCATAATAGATTAGAGGCTTGCTTTTCACCCACATAAAGAGAGGGCTTTATGCTTCAAAATGTAAATCAAGGACACAAGTTCACAGAGGTTCTGCCACTTTAACAGGACCAAGTTACTCTGGATGGTGATATCACTTGGCTCTGTGGAGGTTTTATGAACTGGGTTGGAAGCAGCATACATCTCTTACATATATATTAGACAAAATTGCTCTATGTTTCCAACTCATTGGAAGATGGCAGGGAAGGAAATGTACTTTCTGGGTAGTCAGTCACATCTCAGCAATAATGTTACATTATCACATAATGTTGTAAAGGAAAGGTAGTATAAATCTTTGGGAAGAAACGGAAATCATTACTACACGATCCCAGAATCCCAGTGGATAAGTAATGCACCATGGCAAGGAATGCAGAAGGCAATTGATACTCAGTAGTGAGGCAGGTAAATGAAAACAGAGGTGGCATTCCAGTCATTAGGCTGAAGTAGGGATCAAGACATGGGCCCATGGGAGAGAAAGCAACAAGACCATAGCATAAAACAGAGCTGGCTTAGAACAGAACTCTGGTCCTAAAGTAGAGTTGCAATATATCATAAGGTAGATGTCAAAAATTTGGAGTAAGGACCTAGGGAGAAATCCTGGTACACTGTTAGTACATCTTAGTGCATTTTGTGCTGCTATAATAGAACACCTGAGGCTGGTTAATTTATGAAGAAAATTGGTTTATTTGGCTCATGATTCTTGTGGCTAGAAGGTTCAAGATTAGGCAGCTGCATCTGGTGAAAGCCTCAGGCTGTGTCAACTAATGGCAGAAAGCAGAGGAGAGAAGGTGTTCGTAAAGAGATCACATCGTGAAAGAGGAAGCAAGAGAGAGAAACTGAGGAAGCAAGAGAGAAATAATGCTGTGTTGCAGGAATGAATCTATCCCTGCACGAGTGAGAACTCACTCGCCCCCAGGGAGGGCATTAATCCATTCATGGGGGATCAGCACTTATGACCCACACACCACCCCATAGACCTCATCGTCCAAGACCATCACAAAGGGGATCAAATTTTAATCTCAGTTTTGCTGGGAACAAACCAAATCCAAACCATAGCATTCCACAGGTGAATCTAAAAACTCATGTTCCTCTCACATGCAAAATACAATCATTCCATCCAATAATCCTAAGTCTTAACTTGTTTCAGTAACAACTTAGAAGCCCAAAATCCAGAGTCTCATCTGAGACTCAAGGTAAGTTCTTCCAGCTTTGAGCCTGCAAAAACAAAACAAAACAAAACAAAAAACAAGTTATTTGCTTCCAAGATACAGTGGTGGTATAGACATTTGTAAACATTCCTATTCCAAAATAGGAAAGCTAGCAGAAGGCAAAAAATAACTAAGATCAGAGCAGAAGTGAAGGAGATAGAGACACAAAGAAAACCCTTCAAAAAAATCAATGAATCCAGGAGCTTGTTTTTTGAAAAGATCAACAAAATTGATAGACAGCTGGCAAGACTAATAAAGAAGAAAAGAGATAAGAATCAAATTGCCACAATAAAAAATGATAACAGGGATATCACCACCGATCCCACAGAAATACAAACTACCATCAGAGAATACTATAAACACCTCTATGCAAATAAACTAGAAAATCTAGAAGAAATGGATAAATTCCTGGATACATACACCCTCCCAAAACTAAAACAGGAAGAAGTTGAATCCCTGAATGGACCAATAACAGGCTCTGAAATTGAGGCAATAATTAATAGACTACCAACCAAAAAAAGTCCAGGACCAGATGGATTCACAGCCGATTCTACCAGAGATACAAAGAGGAGCTGGTACCATTCCTTCTGAAACTATTCCAATCAATAGAAAAAGAGGAAATCCTCCCTAACTCATTTTATGAGGCCAGCATCATCCTGATACCAAAGCCTGGCAGAGACACAACAAAAAAAGAGAATTTTAGACCAATATCCTTGATGAACATCGATGCAAAAATCCTCAATAAAATACTGGCAAACCGAATCCAGCAGCACATCAAAAAGCTTACCTACCACGATCAAGTGGACTTCATCCCTGGGATGCAAGGCCGGTTCAACATATGCGAATCAATAAACATAATTCATCATATAAATAGAACCAAAGACAAAAACCACATGATTATCTCAACAGAGGCAGAAAAGGCCTTTGACAAAATTCAACAGTCCTTCATGCTAAAAACTCTCAATAAACTAGGTATTGATGGGACATATCTCAAAATAATAAGAGCTATTTATGACAAAGTCACAGCCAATATCATACTGAATGGGCAAAAACTGGAAGCATTCCCTTTGAAAACTGGCACAAGACACAGATGCCCTCTCTCACCACTCCTATTCAACATAGTGTTGGAAGTTCTGGCCAGGGCAATTAGGCAGGAGAAAGAAATAAAGGGTATTCAATTAGGAAAAGAGGAAGTCAAATTGTCCCTGTTTGCAGATGACATGATTGTATATTGAGAAAACCCCATCATCTCAGCCCAAAATCTCCTTAAGCTGATAAGCAACTTCAGCAAAATCTCAGGATACAAAATCAATGTGCAAAAATCACAAGCATTCCTATACAGCAATAACAGACAAACAGAGAGCCAAATCATGAGTGAACTCCCATTCACAATTGCTTCAAAGAGAATAAAATACCTAGGAATCCAACTTACAAGGGATGTGAAGGACCTCTTCAAGGAGAATTACAAACCACTGCTCAGTGAAATAAAAGAGATACAAACAAATGGAAGAACATTCCATGCTAATGTGTAGGAAGAATCAATATCGTGAAAATGGCCATACTGCCCAAGGTAATTTATAGATTCAATGCCATCCCTATCAAGCTACCAACGACTTTCTTCACAGAATTGGAAAAAACTACTTTAAAGTTCGTATGGAACCAAAAAAGAGCCCACATTGCCAAGACAATCCTAAGCCAAAGAACAAAGCTGTAGGCTTCATGCTACCTGACTTCAAACTATACTACAAGGCTACAGTAACCAAAACAGCATGGTACTGGTACCAAAACAGAGATATAGACCAATGGAACACAACAGAGCCCTCAGAAATAATACCACACATCTACAACCATCTGATCTTTGACAAACCTGACAAAAACAAGAAATGGGAAAAGGATTCCCTATTTAATAACTGCTGCTGGGAAAACTGGCCAGCCAGATGTAGAAAGCTGAAACTGGATCCCTTCCTTACACCTTATACAAAAATCAATTCAAGATGGATTAAAGACTTAAATGTTAGACCTAAAACCATAAAAACCCTAGAAGAAAACCTAGGCAATACCATTCAGGACATAGGCATGGGGAAGGACTTCATGTCTAAATCACCAAAAACAATGGCAACAAAAGTCAAAATAGACAAATGGGATCTAATTAAAGAGCTACTGCACAGCAAAAGAAACTACCATCAGAGTGAACAGGCAACCTACAGAATGGGAGAAAATTTTCACAGTCTACCCATCCGACAAAGGGCTAATATCCAGAATCTACAAAGAACTTAAACAAATTTACAAGAAAAAAATCAAACAACCTCATCAACAAGTGGGTGAAGGATATGAACAGACACTTCTCAAAAGAAGATATTTATGCAGCCAACAGACACATGAAAAAATGCTCATCATCACTGGTCATCAGAGAAATGCAAATCAAAACCACAATGAGATACCATCTCACACCAGTTAGAATGGTGATCATTAAAAAGTCAGGAAACAACAGGTGCTGGAGAGGATGTGGAGAAATAGGAACACTTTTACACTGTTGGTGGGACTGTAAACGAGTTCAACCATTGTGGAAGACAGTGTGGTGATCCCTCAAGGATCTAGAACTAGAAATACCATTTGACCCAGCGATCCCATTACTGGGTATATACCCAAAGGATTATAAATCATGCTGCTATAAAGACACATGCACATGTATGTTTATTGTGGCACTATTCACAATAGCAAAGACTTGGAACCAACCCAAATGTCCATCAATGATAGACTGGATTAAGAAAATGTGGCACATATACACCATGGAATACTATGCAGCCATAAAAAATGATGAGTTCATGTCCTTTTTAGGATTATGGATGAAGCTGGAAACCATCATGCTGAGCAAACTATCACAAGGTCAGAAAACCAAAGACTGCATGTTCTCACTCACAGGTGGGAATTGAACAATGAAAACACTTGGACACAGGGTGGGGAACATCACACACTGGGACCTGTCATGGGGTGGGGGGAGGGGGGAGGGATAACATTAGGGGAAATACCTAGTGTAAACAACGAGTTAATGGGTGCAGCACACCAACATGACACATGTATACCTATGTAACAAACCTGCACGTTGTGCACATGTGCCCTAGAACTTGAAGTATAATTAAAAAAAAAAATAGAAAAATAGGCCTGAATAAATAAATGACAGGGCCCAGGAAAGTACAAAACATAGCAGGACAGGCATGAAATGTTAAATTTCTGGAACATATTCATTTGACTTCATGTCCTGGGCATACTGGTGCAAGAGATGGGCTCCCAAGGCCTTGGGCAACCCCACCTCTATGGCTTTGCTGAGTGCAGCTCATGTGGCTGCTCTCACCAGTTGGGAGTTGAATGCCTATGGCTTTTTCAGGTGGGCATTGCACACTGCCAATGGCTCTACAGTCTGGGGTTCCCAAGGCAGCCCTGCTTCCAGGGATCTACTAGGCTTTGCCACGGTGGAAACTCTGTGGCAGCTCCACTCCTGTGGCATATTTCTGTCTGAGTCCCAAGCTTTCTGACACATCCTCTGAAAGCTAGGTGAAAGCCAACATACCTTCATTGTTCTCCCATTACAAAATTAGTAATATGGATGTGGATGCCCCTAAAGCTTATAGCTTAGACTCTCCAGAGTGACAGCATGGTTACATCTAGGGCAGATTGAGCCATGGCTGCTCCAGCAGGAATCACTGGGATGTGGGTAGCAGATCTCTGAGGCAACACAGGGCAGTGGTGCTCCAGTCATGTCCCCTGAAACCATTCTTTCCTTCTAGACTTCTGGGCCTCTGATAGGAAGTGTTGGCTGTGAAGATCTTTAAAATGCCTTTAGGGGGCCAGGCGCGGTGGCTCACGCCTGTAACCCCAGCACTTTGGGAGGCCGAGGCGGGCGGATCACGAGGTCAGGAGATCGAGACCATCATGGCTAACACGGTGAAACCCCGTCTCTACCAAAAATACAAAAAAATTTAGCCAGGTGCCGTGGCGGGCGCCTGTAGTCCCAGCTACTCAGGAGGCTGAGGCAGGAGAATGGCGTGAACCCCGGAGGCGGAGCTTGCAGTGAGCCAAGATAGCGCCACTGCAGTAGCGCCTGGGCAAAAGAGCGAGACTCTGTCTCAAAAAAAAAAAAAAAAAGAAAAAGAAAAAGAAAATGCCTTCAGGGCTTTTTTTCCATTGTTCTCACCATTACCACCTGGCTCTCTTTTAGCCATGCTACTCTTTTTAGCAAAGGGTCTCTTGGCAGTATTCTTATATTCCTTTCCTGAAGATACTGTTTCATTCTCTACCAAATGGCCATGCTAAAAATTTTCCAAATCTTTCCACTCAGCTTCCCTTTTCTCTAGCTGTTTACCATAAGCAGTTAGAAGCAGCAGCAGCCTGAGCTTTGCTGCTTAGAAATTTTGTCCACCAGGTATGCTATTCTTTTAAGTTCTATATTCCACAAAGCTGTAGGGGCATGGCCACAATGCAACCAAGTTGCTTGCTATGGTGTAACAAGGATAGTGTTTTATCCAGTTCCCAGTAAGTTTCTTATTTCCAACAATTCACTCCTGAGTACCAATTTTCTGTGTTAGTCCATTTTGAATTGCTATAACAGAATACCTAAGACTGTGTAATTTATAAAGACAAGAGGTTTATTTGACTAATGATTCTGGTGCCTGGAAAGTTCAAGATTGGGCAGCTGCATCTGGTGGGGGTCTCAGGCTGCTTCAACTCATGACAGAAAGCGGAAGGGGAGCAGGCATGTGCAAAACAGTCACATGGTGAGAAAGAGAACAAGAGCAAGAAGCCAAGAAAGCCACACACTTTTTAACAACCCTGTCTTGCAAGAGCTAATCCATTCCTGCAAGAGTGAGAACTCACTCTCCCCCAAGGGAGGGCATTAATTTATTAACGAGGAATCCTCACCTATGACCCAAATACCTCCCACTAGTCCTTACCTCCCAACCCCACTGCAAAGGAGATCAAATGTTGACATGCCTTTTGGTGGGCACAAACCACATCCAAACCATAGCAGGCAAATTAAACAGGGGAGGAGATGGGAAGAACTGCAGTTTGGAGAAATCATCATTGGGAAGGGAGGATGGGATACCAGGACCTGGATCTGATTGTCAACCAAAGAGATTTGAAAGCAGTTTTCTAGAAGTCCTGATATTGGACCACTGGCAATAAGTTATGGACTCATCTATAAGCTACTCACAAATGTATGTGCTGATGTTGTTGATAATTATCTTCTTTAGTTGGGATTGTGTGAGAAACCAGGCATGACTCACAATTAAAAAGGTGCTCATCTGTGAACTCAACTGTAAGGTCCTAGAGAGGGCAGAGCCAAAAACTGTAGCCAGGGTACATATTAGGAAAATGTGACTAAGAAAAATTGACAACTACTTCCACAAAGAATGTCACTCATAATGAAAACATGGGAATTGCAATGTCCAACAATAATATGTAATTTCTTGCACAAATGAGAGCAAAGAGCCTGTAGAAATGAAATGGCAGGTCTTAGGACCAAGATTTCAGTGATTAACCAATAGTTTGTCAATTGTTTTAAGAGGCAGTCAGGCATGGTTTCCACTGGGGCATCCACTTTAAAGTTGTGTAAATCTAACTTCAAATGTAGCTGTTTAAGCAATTAGCTGAATCTTTCTGAATGTCCAAATTCTTTATCTATAAATTGGAATTTTGCACATGTTAGCGGTTTAGTTTTTGTTTTGAGAATTAAATGAAATTAAGTATTTGAAGACACCTGGCATAGTAACAGACACATCATGAGTGTTTAGTATATGTGAATTTTCTCCTCCACGTTCCTCTACCTGTCTGTAGAAGAGAGGATTATTGGAGACTCCGTAGGATCTTTTAAAAATTATTCCATAGATGCAGTCACCCTAATCTCCCAATTTTATATCTCATCCTTTTACTCCTCTCCAAATTCTACACACTATACTCATAGCCTATATGATGTTCTAAAAATGAATATCTGATCAAGTGTTTTTATATTGACATATAAGTCATTCATCTATTTTTTAATCCATAAACAAATACATACATGTCAGTTATAGTCTTATGTACTTAGAATTCAGCACTGGGGGAAAAAAGGCAATTTCCCTATTTTTATGGAGCTTAAAATCTAGTTTAGGGACAACAGAGAGTAAACTAACAAGTAATAATGCCCATTGATGAATCCACAAAAGACATACAAATGAGAGGTGTTATTTGCGTCAGTGATGTCTTTCATTGAAACAGTTGGTTGCGCCTCTGTCCAGAAAAGACCCACTCTGGATATCCCACTGCCATAAGCACTACAGTGTTGTCCTCAAGGGCCACTGCTGGGATGTTTGTTTCTCTCAGTAATAAAGGAGAGCATGGAAAAGGCAAGAAAGAATAAAGTCCTGTATTGTGAACATGGCCCACAGGAATCTTCAGGATCTCACCTGTGCTGCCCCACTGTCTCCATCACCTTGTACTGCCCCACTGTCTCCATCACCTTGTACTGCCCTGCCAGCTCTGTCAGTTCCAACATACTACATTTCAATCACACCCTTGATCAAATTATGCTGCTTCTCACCTTGGCACTTTTCCTTACATGGAACCTCTCACCATCATCCCCATGACTGCCTCCTACGATTTTTATCATGCATGAATTGAATCCATTTTCATGTCTGTCTTTCTAAGGGGCCAGTGACCCTGTTTGTATTCTTTGTGGGTGAATCTTCACAGTTGAAACACAGTTATTGGCACACTGAAAGAATTTTATTATTGTCATTGCCTAGATGGTTCTGGACCATAAAAAGAAAGTTGAAAGGGGAAGAGCTTGCATGCTAGATTGCAAGCCCAAAGGCAGCCAATCCCAAGAAACAGTGGCTGTTTCTTCTCCTTTGCCTGAATACCTACATTCTTAGGTCTCATTATCCAAGATTGTGTTCAATGCAAGGAGACAAGAAATCTGTTTATTATTATTTTTGTCTGAAAGTCCTAATTCTGCCACTGTACCAAGTCACTGAAACATGACAGATCTCCGTGTTATTCCAACATACCACCTTTATGAATAAGACCCCAAATCATAAGTTTAGTATTAAAAGATCACTTAAAAATTGTAAGCAGTTCTGTTAGTGCTGTGGACTCATCAGACCCTGTTGTCTACTAGACCCTGTTTGTCTACAAACAACAAAAACCCATGCAAATTTCAATCCTACTATTCAGGAGTTCTAGGCAACTATAGTCTGAGCTAAAATTCACCTTTCTCCAATCCTTAGAATAATAAACAAAGACAAAAACAAAACACAGATTTCACAAGAAAAGTCCTTGTGTGAACCAAGGCACAGAAGGACTAGGGAAGGAATGTTAACTACTTGGAGAAATGAAGTTGCATAAAGTACTTGGAAATCATCTAGATAGTGTCTATTGGCATATAAGTATGGCATCAGTTACACATCACTTCTGGCTAGTTTCTAAGGGTCTAGTAGGATAATATTTGGGGCAGGATGGTGCCATAGCTCTTGTGACTAATGTTTTCTTTACTAGGCTGCTCAGTGTTCAATCTCACAAGCATTTTTTGACTAACTGTTCTATTTAAGGTCCCATGTTAAGACCTTCAGACAAAAATATAAAGATGAGTATTTTCTACTTGCATTTATTTGCGCCCAACTTCAATTTTTTTTTTTTCGCGATACAGAATCTTGCTCTGTTGCCCAGGCTGAAATGTAATGGCACAATCTTGGCTCACTGCACCCTCTGCCTCCTGGGCTCAAGCAGTCCTCCCTCTTCAGCCTCCCAAGTAGCTGGGACTACAGGCACATGCCACCACACCTGATTAAATTTTCTATTTTTTGTAGAAACTGGGTTATGCCATGTTACCCAGGCTGGTCTTGAACTCCTGAGCTCAAGCAATCTGCCTGCCTCGGCCCCCCAAAGTGCTGGGGTTATAGGCATAAGCCACCCCACCCAGCCCCAATCTCAAACTTTAAAAACAGAATTGAGTGGTACAAAGAGGAATAGGATACATGGCCCTTGAATTTTTAAGCACCTACCCTCAAGACTGTGCCAAGGCAGCCTCTGTGGGTGTATCATGTTATTCCCCACCATCCCCAAACTTCTTCCCCATTCTAGCCTTCCTGCTCCAGTCTGTTGGCACCACACTTCCCTAACCATCACACCTGTGGTAGATAGTAATATTATTAAAATAAGATAATTCTGTATTTAAATCATGCTTGAATCCTCATACAGCACAACCTGAAAAACAAACAGTAAATGAATAGCAGTAATCAGAAGCAGGAATGTATGGTATAGATGAACTTGTTTCTTAAGAGACCAAATTGTGGAGCTGCAAAGGTTGGAGACTATCATTAGGAAACATCAGCAGCTCGCCTGTTCTAAGACAAAGTGCCAGCAGCTGTCTTTTGTAGGAGCCGCTTTCTCTTTTCGAACGGGTTGTAGCAATAGGCAGAGACCACAGGAAGAGGTAGAGTTTATTTAGTCACATTAAAGTGGGCATGCGAGTTACCTGGGAGTCAAACTTCAGCAGCTGCAGTTCTCAGCTGATGTCTTTATCAAAAACAAAAGTTCGCACAATTATCTTTTTTTCTGCATTCGCTGAGTTATTGGGCAAAACCTGGTGTGCTAGATGTCCCTGATGCTTCCCCATGAGCCACACTTCGTCTTCAAACCCACAGAACTACAACGATCTGAGGGGAAGTTTTGAAATGAGCTCTTACTTTATCTTCCAAGTGTCTGGATTGCCTCTTTAATGTATACCTGATGCTTGGCATATACTTTCTAATTGTGTTAAAGATTTCAAGGTCAGAACAGTTTGAATCCAATTTATTTCAATTTAGAGAGAGACCGATTCTAAGCTTCCACTAAGGGATCTTTTTAGATAGATTTCAAAGATCAAAGCTTGTAATAGAAGAGCTTAATATTTGGATTAGTCATGTTTTTTGTCTCTTGAATTTTCATCAGTTTAGTGGGATGTAGAACTCCCTAAATTTAGCATATCATGAATTATTCATAATTATTTAACTGATAACACTCTAAGAATGTTATTAAATCCAGACTATGATTTATTTGTATTTTATATTTTTAAATTTAATGCATATGAGTTTATAATATTTTTATATCATATGACCCAGCCTACTTCTTGTGTTTCCCAGATGGCATATAATTTTCTGTCAACTCTAGCCCATAATGAGAAAATAATTTTGTATTAACTCCAAAACACAACAACAACTTTGTGACTTCCAGCTGTTTTTTCTAGGTTTCAAGGGCAAGCCAATAACTTTAATTTTTGATATCTGCATCCAATTTGATCAATGCATGGTATTCTTGATTGGGCACAGTCTGTCACAATAATTCAGACTTATTTACTGTATCAAGTAATTCGTTCTTATGGCAAAAGAACAAGAAGCTAGGTAGTGGAATGGAAGAAAAAGAATAGACAAGAAACTCGACGATCTGTGTTTTAGAGTCAGCTTTTCCATGGCAAGCTGTAGGATGTCGGACCACTCACTCATCCTGTGCAGAACTCTCTTGCACTGTTTTTATCTATAAAATGATGAAATGTTAGAGGGATTACTTTTTAATACCTGTTGGTCAAGGGTATAATTACTGATGCTAGGAGTATGTTAGTAATTATTCTCAACAGTACTATGAAGAATAGACCTAATTTTACCGATGTAATGATAGGCACTGAAGTAATCTGCCCAAGGTTACATAGTTTGTCAGTTGTGGAGGATGGATTTGAACCCAAGTTCAGGTATCTCCAAAGCCCCCATTTGTTCCACTATGATCGTGTACATCTGACACTCTGTATCACCTATTGTGTACATGGCCCTGGGTTGCATGCTATATCACTATAAAAATTATTATAATTTATAGATATATTTGAGAATAAGCAGAGAAAATGGGTCACAGGTTGGAACACAAAAGGCAGTGAAATATATTAATGCTTTAAGAAGCCCCTCTGAATTTTAAACCTTCTAAATATGTTCTTGCCTCGCAACTAATAATGTTGCATGTTATGTAGTTTATCTAATAGGGATATAGCTGCCAATCTTACAGAGAGGTAATGTGTGACTCTGATGGTTTTCTCTAAAAAGGGTGTGAAGATTAGCTCCAAGATTTGCAAATTCACTCTCTCTCACCTTCTTGCATCCCATGGAAATTGCTCATTGTGGGTATTGCTGCTGTTTATAGGTATTACAGTGGTCCCTCAAGTTGTGTTAGTTTTTAATGGAATTGAAATGTGATTGTTGAAAATAGAACTGGAGGTAAGCGGTCAGAATGCATATACATACTCTACCATTGAAAAATCTGGAGTTATTTATATCCAAGCAATGTCAAAAGTGCTTAATCTTCTGCCATAAAATGCCATAAAAGCAATGTCAAAAGTGCTTAATCTTCTGCCATAAAATACCTATCTAAGCCCCTTGACATCACGGCCTTGACTTTTAAAGTGGTGGTCTTGTTACTTCCCATGTACCTGGCAGAGATGTGATCCTGGCTTGGACTAGAGTCTGTTTTGCTCTGAAAAGCCTATAGAATGTTTATCTTGCTTAAGTTGGATCTTCTCTAGGATAAAAGGGTATCCGGAGACCTGAAGCAACTTTCATATAAGCCAAGGAATCCCTCTATAGGGGAAGCTGAGGGACTGTATCTCTGGGTGTAGAATTACTGCTGCATCAATACCACACATGTGCTAAAGAGCTGTCTTTAGTTTGCAGATCAGGACTGTAATTTTCCTCCACTCTGCTATACTGGAAAATAGCCTTGATCCCAAATCTATATCCACCAGTAATATTTAAAATAAATTTTGCACTTAAAATAAACTTGGATAAAAATTCCTGATATTTGTTAAGAGAAGTGAGAAGTACAGCTTTAACCACTTTTTAGTAGATGTCCAGCCTAAAAAGCCACATGAAATTAACTGAGCATTTTATACACAACCTGATTTTCTACTGCTTTCAGAAATTTACTGTGATGAGTACCTGAAAACAAATAAAGAATTGTCATAGGAGAAAGGTGTTAGCACAGTCACCTTAATTCCTTTTTGCTAAAGAAAATATGGAGTGTACAAATACATACAACAAATTTATTGCAAAAGGTAGATCTAAGTGCAATTCTCAAACTAGTTTGAGTGGCCTAATAACTAGAGCGTAGTATCTGATACCTAAGATATGGATTAGATGAGATCTATTGGAAAGCATATGTTTTTGGAGCAAGACAAATCTTTGTTCCAAACCTTCTACCTGTATCATTTCACAAAAAATATTTAAATTCTCTGAGCCTCAGTTTATCATATGTTAAAGGGGAATATTAATAACTATGTCCTGAACTCAGCCTGAAACCAGGGTTGATAAAGTGTTTTATGTGACTCAGAGAGTAGGGGGAGGAATTCTCAGGGGCAGGAGAGTGAAGAAAGCAGGATAAGGAAGAGAAAAAGCTAAGCAAGAACATATGATATCATTTGTATATCAAAGCACATTGTATTCCCTTAATTAATTTAGTGCCTTCCTCCATAATGAGGACTGTTTTTACAATGACAAAAGGTATCATACAATAAAATGCCTTAAACACAGAAATATATATGACTAAAATTAACTTAGATTGAACATGGCCATCTACTAATGAGGTTTTGTTAGTATTCCTTTGCTTCTTTTTCACTTATGTTGTCATCCACTAGTATTTGCTATTGTCTAACACTAGGTCACAGGTACCAAATGCTGAAGAATAAATCCATAGGGGGAAAACCCTTGAAAGTGGAACTCTTTTATTCATTAACCTGATTTTGGGGTTCTTATCAGGAAAGACCATCATTAACTTCAGTTAAGTGACATTGTACCCTATTCTGCATGGTGTTTTAGTTGGCCAACCCCTTCTAGATGTTGGTTTCTGGGTGATCATTTTCTGCCAATGATTGTGCATAAACTTTGGAAATTTAACTTATGTTCAAAAGAAGTGATGTCCAGGTGGAAAGCAAGCCAATAATAATGTCATTCATAGACATGCTGGAAGCTCAAAGTTACTTCATATACTACTACTATTGCTTTTATATATCTACAGTGCACTGGAGTTTATAGGTATATTTATGTAAATTGCTCAGATATTTTATTCAATGAACTATTTGTTTCCAGTCAATAGGAACCTTCTTCGACAATCTCTCTATTATTCTTATATTTCCTTTTCCATTATCTCTTACATATATACTTTGCCTGGGCCATATCCAAATTGGCCAGAGCTACCAAAAACATAATTTCCAGTAAATTCAATGACTATGTGTCAGGGCCACAGAAGAATTGTTGTTTACAGCATGGCTTTCTAAAGGGCATGGTGGCTGGCTACTTTGATTGGAAAGTATAGTCAGAATAGGGAATTACTGCATTTGACTTCCTTTCTTTTTCTAAGTGTATACATTGACAAATGTTTACCAGTTTTGAGATTTGTTTGAATTGCTTAAAATTTCCTACATCTACTTTGTCAGTGGAGCCTCAAGAGGGAAGTTTGACTACTGCCTAGTTCAGTAGGAATATGATCTAGTCTGATATGCTTTAAACCTGTATGCAGGCACTAGGATTGTCCTCTCTGCTTCTGTTTTTGTTTTTACAACCTGTATACCACCTCACTGTCTATTATTTTTTCTAAAGATCTTGCCATTCAATCCTTTTTGTTTCATTGCTAGTGATTATTGCTCATATAATAATAAGCTCAATATCAATGTTGTTTATAATGAGGTCCCAGTATTCTCCAGGGAAAAAGAGGAAAAGGCTCAGAGAGGAGAATTACTAGCAAATAGCAAATTTACCCTACTATGATTTCGGTCTTTTTTCCATTGGAAACATATTTTATAGGGAGTGTCTTTCTCTGTTTTGTAAGCTGATGAGTGCACGAATAGAGAGTCAACTTCTGTTCCTTCATCTCAATGGGCATTGCTCATTCAGCATATTGTCCATATTTATGATTGAATTTAGTTCCCAATTGATACCTATTGTCATGTCTCATGCAGTTATTGAAAAACATAAACCCAAGCAAGACAAGTCTAGAGAGTTTCCAAGGAAATTCTTCCCCTCTGACTTTGAAAGCATGAGGATATGTATGGCAGCAAGCTTCACTATTACTCTGAGAACAGAAAGAGTCCAGGATACAGTGTTAAGGGATTTGATAGGTTGGGAACTGGCTGAGTAACTATGTATTTTGTAATTTCATTCATTTAATATAATAAGCCCAGTAAAATACAGCAGACACAGGTAGCATGTTTTATGTACTCATTACAGGCATGTTTCAGGGCCAGTTCTAGGAATTGATATGAGAGTATTTGTTAAAAAATAAATGTTTAAGAAGAGAAAAATAAAAGCAGTTACCATATTTAAAATATTCCGCAAGTTTCTTTTTTTTTTTTTTAAACGGAGTCACAGGCTACAGTGCAGTGGCACGATCTTGGCTCACTGCAACCTCTGCCTTCCAGGTTCAAGTGATCTTCCTGTCTCAGCCTCCGAATAGCTGAGATTATAGGTATACACTACCATATCTGCTAATTTTTGTATTTTTAGTAGAAATGGGGTTTTACCACGTTGGTCAGGCTGGTCTCGAACTCCTGACCTCAAGTGATCTGCCCGTCTTGCATCCCAAACTGCTGGGATTACAGACATGAGCTACTGTGCCCAGCCCCTTGCAAGTTGCTTTTATACAGTATTTTTTATTTGTATAACCTTTGTGACACATATCCAGGCAGTCCTCATCATCTGATATTCTTCATCTGAATCTGCATTATTGTGAATTCCATAGACAGCCAAGCCCCTCATAACATCAAAATATTCATGAACAAACATCATTTACAGAACCTTTGCCCAGTCAACAAACTTTCTCCATTAACACACATGTTCTATCATTGCAAATCAGGGGATTTGTTGGTCTATCTTTAGCTGTAAATTAAACGTGTGTCCACTACAAAGGGGATACAATATGGAGTGATCTTCACACCAAAGATTAAAGGGAGCCCTTGGAAAACTGATGATAATTGACTCAACAGCCAAAAACTTTATGTTCAAGCTGTGAAAGTCAGCTATGAAACATCAAGATCTCTTACAGCTATCATAAAATTATGTAAGAAATATCAATGACCAATTTATTATTTGTCCTAATAACAAGTGCATAATTGTAATCATAATATATATGCTAGTGGATATTAGATAAAATAAACCCACTTTCATTCTTTTAGTTTCAGAAAAAAGTCTCATTTAAATATTTTTTACTATTTATTTAAAATAATTTAATTCCCATTTAAAATAGCTTCACTTTTAAGTGGCATTTTTTTTCTAACATGAATTGTCTTCAAGTAATAAAGACTTTTTGTATTCTCAGTTTTATTTTACAGAAAATTTATGCTCAGAAGAGTTAAAGTACTTGTATGTAGTCATATCATTTACTAGTTGTTAATTGGAGAGAACTATTTCCAACTAGAAACTTTTAATGCCCATTCCAGGCCTCTCTCCACCATATATCAGGTTTATTTTTTAACTTTCTGTGTTTTTTCTATAGATATGAGGTCTTGCTATGCTGCCCAGGCTGGTCTCAAACTCTTGAACTCAAGTGATCCCCCTGCCTCAGCCTTCCAAAATGCTGGGATTACAGGCGTGAGCCACTGTGCCTGGCACATCAGCTAGTTTCAAATTCTCTTCCTCTCATGTTCCATACAACACCATAATTTTATCTTTAATATGGCCACATCCTCCACTGCTTTCTCTCTCCCATCAAAACTCATCATTGCCAAAACAATTCCTTCAGGCTCCTGCTGTTAGGATTTCTTGATAGAATAATTATTGCTGGGAGATAGCTGCTTGGTTGAATATTCCATCCTTTCTGAGATCTGGCATCCCAAGTAATATTGACCACTAACCTGGAAGGTGGCAGACCTCTTTATTGATAACATCCACATTCCATGTTATTAGATTTTTTTTATTTGAGGGATACATTTTTGGTTCTTTAACTTATACAATCTAAACATCCCTGACTTAAATAGAAAAAGAAATATAGTAAAAGATAACAATTACCCAACAGAAGCATCAGGTCCAGTAATTTTCTCTTACACTTGCATGTACTTATTAGCAATAGTTTTTGTTGAAGTTTAACACGAACCAATTAAACACAAAATACATCAAAATGCAGATTTACTATATGTTCCTTGGTTTCAAAAAATATTCTTGGAAGTCATAGGCATTGTTTGGAAATCTTCTCTTTGTGTTTGGATACCAAAAGCAAGAGAAACCATATGGCTGTGCTTCCAATGAATGGTCTTGAGACTTCATTATTTTAAAAGTAATAGCATCATTTTTTTCTTTTGCATTTATTAGATTTTCTCTACCTTTATGTCCAGCAGAACATATCTGTCACCTTAATGGAAATAAATAAAATGGTTCTATAGTATTGGCCCTCAGCATGCCATCAATTCAAAACAAGCCTGAAGTTATTTGGTTATAATGAAATAGAGTCTCTTTGGCCATGATAAAGGTGACACCACATTGTCATTATCCTTACAAATATGGATGGAACAGCCTGCAATTATAATGACATTAGGATAATAGGTGTTTCAGTCAAGAGAATAAACATTAAAGTTATTATAAAACTTGAAGAGTATTTAAGCAAAAATTAATGTGAAATCTTGTGCCAAATGTGTTCATCTGGCAGGGACAACATTTGATGTGAATGATATCTGACCTGTATGATTTGAGTGATGCTGGGAAGAACATCTGTCTAAACATATACACTCCATGCAAGAGCTCTGTGCCCAGGGTTGCAGAATAAGCCCTTGCCTGTATCATCACTGAAAGAAATTTTACCGCTGATATGGTTTGGCTGTGTCCCCAACCAAATCTCAAACTTGAATTGTATCTCCCAGAATTCCCACGTGTTGTAGGAGGGACCCAGGGTGAGGTAACTGAATCATGGGTGCCGGTCTTTCCCGTGCTATTCTTATGATAGTGAATAAGTCTCATGAGATATGATGGGTTTATCAGGGGTTTCCGCTTTTGCTTATTCCTCATTTTTCTCTTGTTACCTCCATGTAAGAAGTGCCTTTCACCTCCCACCATGATTCTGAGGCCTCCCCAGCCACGTGGAACTGTAAGTCCAATTAAACCTCGTTTTCTTCCCAGTCTTGGATATGTCTTTATCAGCAGTGTGAAAACAGATTAATAGAGTAAATTGATACCAGTACATTGGGGCACTGCTGAAAAGATACCTGAAAATGTGGAAGCGACTTTGGAACTAGGTAACAGGCAGAGGGCTCAGAAGAAGACAAGAAAATGTGGGGAAGTGTTGAACCTCCTAGAGATTCGTTGAATGGCTTCAACAAAAATGCTGATAGTGATATGAACAATAAAGTTCGGGCTGAGGTGGTCTCAGATGGAGATGAGGAACTTGTTGGGAACTGGAGGAAAGGTGACTCTTGTTATGTTTTAGCAAAGAGACTGGTGGCATTTTGCCCCTGCCCTAGAGATTTGTGAAACTTCGAACTTGAGAGAGATAATTTAGGGTACCTGGTGGAAGAAATTTCTAAGCAGCAAAGCATTCAAGATGTGACTTGGGTGCTGTTAAAAGCATTCCATTTTAGAAGAGAAACAGAGCATAAAAGTTCAGAAAAATTTGCAGCCTGACGATGCAGTATAAAAGAAAAAGCCATTTTTTTTTTTTTGAGGAGAAATTCAAGCCAGCTGCAGAAATTTGCATAAGTAGCAAGGACTCTAATGCTAATCCCCAAGACCAAGGGGAAAATGTCTCCAGGGCATGTCAGAGAACTTCACAGCAGGCCCTCCCATCACAGCCTGGAGTCCCAGCAGGAAAAGTGGTTTTGTGGGCCTCGGGACTTGGTGCCCTGTGTCCCAGCTGCTCCAGCTGTGGCTGAAAGGGGCCAACATGAAGCTCGGGCTGTGGCTTCGGAGAGTGGAAGCCCCAAGCCTTGGCAGCTTCCATGTGGTGTTGAGCCTGAGGGTGCAAAGAAGTCAAGAATTGAGGTTTGGGAACCTCTGCCTGTATTTCAGAAGATGTATGGAAACGCCTGCGTGCCCAGGCAAAAGTTTGCTGCAGGGGCAGGGCCCTCATGGAAAACCCCCTCTAGGGCAGTGCAGAAGGGAAATATGGGGTCGGAGCCCCCACACAGAGTCCCTAGTGGGGTGCTGCCTAGTGGAGCTGTGAGAAGAGGGCCATTGTTCTACATCCTCGTGAATGGTAGACCCACTGACAGCTTGCACCGTGTGCCTGGAAAACCTGCAGACACTCAACGCCAGCCCATGAAAGCAGGCAAGAGGGAGGCTGTGCCCTGCAAAGCCACAGGGATGGAGCTGCCCAAGACCATGGCAACCCACCTTTTGCGTCAGTGTGACCTGAAAGTGAGACCTGGAGTCATAGGAGATCATTTTGGAGCTTTAAAATTTGACTGCCCCACTGGATTTCGGACTTGCCTGGGCCGCATAACCCCTTTATTTTTGCCAAGTTCTCCCATTTGGAATGGCTGTATTTTTCCAATACCTGTGCCGGTATGTATTGTATCTAGGAAGTAACTAGCTTGCTTTTGATTTTACAGGCTCATAAGTAGAAGGGACTTGCCTTGTCTCAGATGAGACTTTGGACTGTGGACTTTTGGGTTAATGCTGAAATGAGTTAAGACTTTGGGGAACTGTTGGGGAGCCATTATTGGTTTTGAAATGTGAGGACATGAGATTTGGAGGGGCCAGGGGCAGAATGATATGGTTTGGCTGTGTCCCCACCCAAATCTCAACTTGAATTGTATCTCCAGAATTCCCACCTGTTGTGGGAGGGACCCAGGGGGAGGTAACTGAATCATGGGGGCCAGTCTTTCCCGTGCTATTCTTGTGATAGTGAATAAGTCTCATGAGATCTGATGGGTTTATCAGGGGTTTCCGCTTTTGCTTCTTCCTCATTTTTCTCTTACCACCACCATGTAAGAAGTGCCTTTCACCTCCCATCATGGTTCTGAGGCCTCCCCAGCCATGTGGAACTGTAAGTCTAATTAAACTTCTATTTCTTCTCAGTCTTGGGTGTGTCTTTATCAGCAGCATGAAAATGAATTAATACAACCACCATCTAAAATTCCTTGTATATCTCCTATAAAAGACTTAAATAGGTAGCTATCTTAGCTGTCTTGCTCATGTCTACCCAGCAGCATAATTAATGAAGCAGCTACTAGAGTAAAACTGCTTTGAATCCTGTTCTGCAACCTACTTTGTTTGTTTGTTTTTTTAAACCCAAACAAGGGACTTAAATTCTCTGAGCCTTAGTTTCGTCATCTATAATATGAGAAAACAGTAGAATTTTCCTCTTGGGTTGTTATCACTATTAAATGAATCCATGCATATGAAGTGTTGAAAATATTGCCCAACACATGGTACTAGCTCAATCAATGTATTGATATTATTGTATCACACATTTGCATATAACATAATATCACATCAATAATTTATGAAAATATAAATTAAACATATAGTCCACTTACTTAATGTCTGTGAAGTACCATGTTAGGCACAGAAGTATAAACCTTAAGAAATTTAGAAGCCAGTGATTAGGACACCCTAGTTTTCTTCAAGGATACTCTCAGAGAGTTAGTTTACCACCAAATCTATGATAATATTCTGGTGGACAGTAAGAGGTCTAGTTCTTTGAAAGTGAGTCACCCTTACTTATCACTAAACTTGAAGGTATCTGTAATTGTTTCTATCCAGGGTTTTCAAGTAAATTCTATCTAGAAGCAAAGTCCTCACTAGCTTTCCATTTCTCTTAGGATATAAATGTAGAATCTTTGACATCAACTAAAAGACTCTGCTTTGAATAGCTTTAACAACATTTTCTCAAGCCCTTCTCACTAATACTCTCTGCTCCAGCTGCACTGGCTTCTGTCAGGTCCTCAGATATATGATCCTTTGCACCTCACCATCTCTTCACGTGCTCCCTCCTCTGTGTGGCGTACTCTCTCTGCACATCATGTCTGATTTACATCTTTTCAGATTTCTGCTTAAAGTTCCACTGCTCATGGCAGTGATCTCTGATTCCTTCTCAGAATGGGCTGCCATTCTAATGCATGCTTCCACAGAACCCTGTTTTTCTTTTAACATTTATCACAAATACAATTACATAATTAACTTTATAACAACACTGGAAGTCCACCATATTCACAAATAACTAATAGTAATTAAATTATATGTGCTGAGTTCTTCATCAGAAAGAACAAGAGTAGGAAAGAGAGAGTGAGAGTGAAAGAGTACAAGAGAAAGAGAGAAGCACAAACAAATAATGTAGGTTATTCCATCACTATTCCACCTGATGAGCTGATGACCTAATGCCTAGGAGGGGGCAGAAGATGACATGGGAGCACTGCTCTTTTCTGAGCGATTTTTACTAATCAATTGTCTTTCATTGCAGAACAGGAGACTAGTATTTGAACATATGTTTTTTAAACATCTTGGTTGCTTCATACAAGCCAACAACTTTATCTTGTGCTCGGTGAAGAAAGAAATTGGTTCTAAACCTCTGAAAAAAAATTGTCTGTTTTGAATTAATTAAAAGACACTATTGGGACCTTGGGGTAGCACCTTCCTAGGGAATTTTTTAGGATAATTTGGATGATGTGTGATTTTTACCTTACTTGCTCATGTTTATTATGCTCATGCTCATTGCCTCACAGAAGAGGCAATGCTCACTATTTTGGTTTAATATTTGTAATCCTGGCTTAAAATATGAGGTATTTGACGGTAGAGGATATATCTGGCAATTTTACTACTGTCCATAGCACACTACAGGATGCCTTGATCATGCTAGAGCTTAATAAATAAATATTTATTAAATGAATTGACAGTCTACCAATGTTTACAAGATCAGTCTACTTGGCAACAATAGAACGTTTGTACTTTGAAGACTAAAAGAAGTAGAAGACAGAATTTCAGATCCTTTAAGCATTGTGAAAACCTAGATAGCCTGTGTCTCTGTGGAACTCTAAATGAAAATGACAGAAAAACTAAAAGTGAGATAGGACAGAGTTCAGTCTATTAAAATGAAGACTTACATGTATAAGGCAACATTCTGTTCTTCAGGTCCCTTTCCAAGCCAAACTAACTGAAAAGCTGACACCTCCCTTATCATTTTAGGTCGAATGAGCCGGACTCGATTTATCATTATGCCAACCCAAGGAGAAGGACGGCCATGCCCCACAGAGCTTACCCAGGAGAAAACCTGCCCAGTGACCCCCTGCTACAGCTGGGTCCTTGGCAACTGGTCTGCATGTAAATTGGAGGTAGGTCATGTAATGACAGTTAGAGAAATATTCATCAGTATATTCGAAGCACTTGTCTGGTCAAACCTATGCGCTGATGGAATAAATTTCACAGCACCAGGGGTCTGGCACAATGTATTTTTAATGCAATGCAGAACATGGAAAAATACAACCAAATGGCTTAACCTCATGCAGAGTGATATTGCTAGGGTAATAAACAGCCATTCATTAAGCACTGATTATAATAGGTCAGGTCACAGATCCTTCAATCTCCTTGGCATCCTTAAGAATTCTGTTATTTTATTGGCTTGTTGGGAATATCAAAGGATTATTTAATTAGGCGAAAATCCTGATGCTGTGAAAATGCATAGCTTGCTTTAGATTGTTTAAGAAATTTAGATTTCTTAAAGAAACACTTTTAGGGTTAGACAAAATCTTGCATATGAGCAGAAAACCAAAAGTGTATGAAGTTATATTTTAACATTATTACATGAACCATGGTCACTACATTTTCCTCAATGATTACTTTTTTATTGGCCTTACAGATAAATGCCTAACAACATCCTAGTATATCACGTACCAAGAGCTTTTGCTAGATCAGCAAAGATCCTCTACTGCATTTTCTCTCTGGCTTCTTGCTTAAGAAATAGCACATTGTTTTTCCCTATTTTCTTATCCTAGTAGTTTATCCTTAGTTCATGTTCCAAAGCATACTTTAATTAGGTAACAATAATTTTGATTATGCATTAAGAAATCTGCAGAGTATTCTCATAGAGATGTTTAGTGTTCCTGTCAGGATGACATTGTCAGGCAACATTATTATCTTGCAAAAGTTAAATGCCTATGTATTTTAATAGGTCCCAGAGGAATAAAAATGCGTGGTACATTTGTTCAGTCTCATTTTTAGAGAAAATAAGATAACCATGCTAATTAACCAATTCAGAAGTAACTTAATAGCTTTAAATATTAATACTTTGTCTACTAGTCTAAATTCTTTCCTAAGTATTCAGCAATATTTAAATGTTGTTTGGACTCACTTACAAAAATTGAAGGAATATTGCTCCTTATCATTGGGACTGCTTTGACAGAATAGAGAAAATAAGCTCAAAGAATTTAGAAAGCCATTTCAGGGGAAGGGAGAGGAAAGTTGAATATTAGGAAGAAGAGAGAGGACAAAGGATGGGAGGGAGGGAGAGACAGAGGGACAGAGAACTGACAATGTCCACACTCCAAGTTTTACCAAAAATACAACTACTACTGTACCTTACCTGTTTTTGGCACTTTCTCTTTTATCTTCTCAGGTATCAGGAATCTATATCTTTGATAGGCAAGTCTACCAACTTGTTCTATAGGAATATTATAGGAAAATGCCAAATGCTATGTTTTGCTGTCAAATGTTGAGCTTTTACAAAAACAATAAGGGCAAGAGTGATGGGTGGTGCTCATTCTCTGTAGTGGTGCTGGTGATGGGTGGAGGGTTATGGCATCTATTGGAAATAGCTAGTCTTGAAAGCCCTGACAAGGCTTCTGGAGATCCACCAGAGTAGGTGATTGGTTTTTGCTTCCAGAAACTTCAGAGTTGCCCCAGATTTCTAGATAGAGTGAGTCCCGTTCGCTGACACTTCTAGTTGGGAAGAAACTCTGGAGCTAGACTTAATCTATGCAAAAGCTTCAATAAACAAGTCTATAGTTAATTATTCTAGGGTGGGCCCTTACCCAAACAGTGCCAATCAGCATTCTTCCCCAATAATTTAAAATGAAATTGATCTCATTCCAAGATACTGTAATCAGAAGCTCTTCATTGCCACATTTTTCTACCTTATAGATGAAGTCAGTCACTCAGAAGCAAAAAGCCCACCGAAAATGACATAAAGTAAAGCAGAGGTGCAAGAGAAAGGGAATCATGACAATATCTAAGTTGAGTTTTTCCTGACTTCCAGCTACATTCCTACTTTTCCTGCAGCCTGATTGTTAACTCTTTGTGAGATAGGTAACACCATATCTTCTTTAAAAATTTACTATACTTAAATTTATATATAAGCTGGATTTTTTAAATTACTGATCAAAATGCACGTGGGCCTTTTTGCACAAAGGAAAAACATCTTTCTGCCGCTGCATTTGTGCTTCCTCTTGTCCTAGCATGTCCTTGCCTGCCAAACACAAGTTGGGATCTCATTCAATGAGGGAGGTGATGATATTTAGGTGGCTGCTTGCCTTCACAAGTATCAACCCATAATAAAAGCTCGCGTGGGCACAGTGGGTGTGCCAATTCTGCCAGTGTCTTATGTGAAAAAGGAAGTATTTATCCTCAGGCATCACTTTCTTTTTTAGCATTTCCTAACTCTTCCCAAGTTTCTCAGCTGCTAACACATATACACACATATGCTCATAAATCTGCTTGAGGAGCTCAGATTCTGGAGTCTAGCAGCCCTAATTTTGGTCATGGTTCTGCCAATTTTTAGTTCTGCATTTCTGGCCAAGTCTATAAACTCTCCAAACATCTGTTTTCTTTTTTATATAGTGGGGATAGCAGTAGTACCTATTTCGCTGGTTATGTGGGCAGGAAGTAGATAAGTTAAAGTACTTTGCATAGTAATAGACATAAGTTAAGAGCTCAATAGTTATAGTTAGTATTATAATTTTTATTAAAACTATGATTATGATTATAAGCACCATCTGCCTATTCACATTAGGCAGTAATGCCAATTCATTGTATACAAAACCTCTATTAATGCTCTAGGCAATGGAGAGTTAACGAGAAAACCTGTGCCATTTACAGTCTTTCTCTTAGAAACCTGGGTCTATTTTCAGGCCCTAGTGTGTAAAATCTCTTGACTGTGGATGAGTGAATGTTTGCTTTATGACAGAAATTATTAATCTGATGCTGATTTCTCTTTACATTGTGGCTGTTGTTGTCGAAGGTATAAGCGATTAAGGTTGAATATGGACTGATCCCAAGATACATACTAGGAGCACACTGTTATTTGTCTTAGTTTTTAAAGTGATCTGCAGCATAAGTTTGTTTCCTGTTATTTCTTCACACTCTGTCTCATGGTGTGTAAAAAAAAAAAAAACCACTTTAATAAACTGCATATTTTACCTAAGGGTCCATGTATCAGTACTTTCAAAACTTTCAAATTTCATGTATGTTACAGTATCTTTAAACGCTTCTTTCCAGGTACACAAAGTCTAATACTCCACAGTAAAACATACACCTAGACAATTCTGCAATGAATCTATCATATGGAATAATAAGTTATAAGTGAGCCCTCCCTTCCCTGGAGTAATTTATACCTATTGTTTTTCACTCTAGGAAATAAACATTTACTAGAATATTTGCTTTGAATAAATCTACTATGAATTGATTTTGAACTTCCACTTTTCTCCAAAAAAAATGCATTTAGATTTAAAATTATGGTGCTTTTTTGGGACAGTTTCATAACAGGCATAGAAATTATTAGAGCAATTATGAAATACTGATAAAACAAATGTGGGAACGACTGTGTGCTGTGGTCTGAATGTTTGTGCCTCCTCCTCCAAACTCACATGTTGAAACATAACCCCCAATGTGATGGAATTCAGAAGTGGAGTTATTGGAAGGTGATAAGGGCACGAGGGCTCCGCCCTCATGAACGGTATTAATGTCCTTATAAAAGAGGCCTGAAGGAGCTTCTTCTTCCCTTGTACCATTTGAGGACACCCAGAAGTCACCATCTATGAGGACCTGGCTCTCATTTAAACACTTCAGGTGGGGCGTGGTGGCTCACACCTGTTATCCCAGAACTTTGGGAGGCCGAGGAGGGTGAATCACTTGAGGCCAGAAGTTTGAGACCAGCCTGAACAACATGATGAAACCCCATCTCTACTACAAATACAAAAAAAAAAAAAAAAAAGCTGAGTGTGGTCGCACGTGCCTGTAATCTCAGCTACTCGTGAGGCTGAGGCAGAAGAATCACTTGAACCTGGGAGGCGGAGGTTGGAGTGAGCTGAGATCACCCCACTGCACTCCAGCTTAGGTAACAAAGTGACACTCCATCTTAATAATAATAATAATAATAATAATAATAATAAACACTTCACTGGCACCTTGATCTAGGATTTTGCAGCTTCCAGAACCATGAGCAATAAATTTCCATTGTTTATAAATTACCCAATCTAAGGTATTTTATTATAGCAACATGAACAGACTAAGAGACTATCTTAGATAAATAAATCATAATTCCTCTGAACACTTCTTTAAAAGAGGGTGCAGTGTCCCTAATGTTTGTGACTGCTCAGATTCTTTAGATTTAAAGTTGCTACAACTTCATGTCCTCCAAGTTGCCCTTTTTCTTTTGTGCCGGTATGTCTTTGAGTCACAACTTCTCTATGTTAAGAAGCTTTATGAGCAGCCATTCTATACCATCCTGCACCCTCCAGCAGCTTATCCGTGACCTTCCCTTGATGCCCAACAGCTGCTGTCACTGTACCCTGGCATGTCTGATGCCCAGCTGACCCATAAGCCCAGGGATCACTTGCTCCATGTCCTGGAATGCTGTCATGACTGCTTTAGCAGGCCACCTTGTCCTGCTTTACTCCTGCCTCTGCAAGGGCTATAGAAGCTCTAAAATCTAGACAATGCAGTTTGGGAGTCCTGCAGGGGAAGAGGGATAAGAAGGAGGAGACACTCAGTTTTCAAGTGCATAGTTGTCAGACTGTCATCTAATAATGGATTGTAGCATGTAGCATACCTGACTGCAGCAACAGAGATGCAAAAAGACTGGGAAGTTTGAAGGCCTGAGTCCCTACTCCGATCTCTCTCTGTCTCTTTCTCTCTCTCTCTCTCTCTCCCCAACCCCCCCGCCCCCACTCTCTCACTTCTCTTATTCTCCCTCTTGTTTTGTCTCTTGCTCCCACCTTCACTTTTCTTCTTTGTCTTAGCATCCATAGCAGCAGCAATAGTCACAAAGCCTCTAGCTCTTCCACCAACTTCTGGACTTAGTGAAAGCTGAGTAACACAACTTGGAAGTACAGAGGAGTTAAGACTTCCTAAAATGACCATTGATCAATAAGAACTGGATCCTAGGAGTTGTTGACATTTAAGTGCCTCTCCTTTCTTTCCTCTCCTCCCTGCTCTTCATGAATGGTACTGAGACATGGTGACACCCCATGACCTGTCTGGAAGATGATGTGAGTAGCCAAGAAACCAGCTGTGCTTGTTTGTGAAGCTGAGGCCAGCTTGGTAACACACTACCTCATGTTAGCGTCCCCTCCTTTCCTGCTTCAGTTATATTTTACCTCTACTCTAGTCATACTGGGATTGCTTCTTAGTGTGAAAGTTTTGCCTTGGACTCTGTTTTCTAGAATATCTACATGAAAACAGAGCTATCAACTGAAGTTATCCAAATATCTAATAGACTTCTTTGAAGTGTGAACACCTGACTAAAATCGAAGATACTCATCTCATAGTGCCTGACAAAATTTTATTTTTTATTTTAGAACTATATTTTTGATACATAATAGATGTATATATTTTTTGGGTATATGTGATAACTTAGTATATTCATATAATTCGTAAATATCAAGTCAGTGTAATTGGGATATCCATTACCTTATATATTTTCCTTTATGCTAGAACAACTCAAATTATTCTCTTCTGGCCATTTTGAAATATATAGTAGATTATTGTAAGCTATAGTCACCCTACTGATCTATCAAATACTGGGTCTTATTTCTTTTATCAAACTATATATTTGTACCCATTAATCAACCTGTCTTCATCTCCCCCCCTCACCCCTACGTTCCTTGCCTCTGGTAACTACCAATCTTAACTCTCTATCTTTGTGAGATCCACCTTTTTAGCTTCCACATATGAGTGAGAACATATGATATTTGTCTTTCTGTTTGGCTTATTTCACTTAATGAGCTCCAGTTCCATTTATGTTTCTGCAAATGACAGGATTTTATTCTTCCTTATGGTTGAGTAATAGTCCATTTGTATACATTATACCACGTGTTCTTTATCCATTCATCCATTGATGTGCACTTAGGTTGATTCCATAGTTTGACTATTGTGAATTGTGCTGCAATAAACATGGCAGTGCAGTTGCCTCTTCAATTTATTGATCTCTTTCCCTTCTCTTGAGTATATAAATGTGTGTGTGTGTGTATGTGTGTTTATGTGTGTGTGTATTCAGTAGTAGAATTTCTGTATATGGTACTTCCATTTTTAGTTTTTTGAGGAACCTCCACACAGTTTTCCATAATGGCTGTACTTATTTAAATTCCCACCAACAGTGTTCAAGGGTTCCCCTTTGTCCACATCCTCACCAGCATCTATTATTACCTGTCTTTTTTATAATAGCCATTTTAGCTGGGGTAAGATGATATCTCATTATGCTTTTGATTTACATTTTTCTGATAAGTACTAATGTTGAACTTTTTTTTCATATGGCAGTTGGCTATTTGCATGTCTTCTTTTGAGAAATGTCTACTCAGGTATTTTGCCCATTTTTAAATTGGATTATTTGGGGGTTTTTTGCTGTTGAGTTCTTTGAACTATTTATTTATTCTGGTTATTAAGTCCTTGTCACATGGGTAGTTTGCAAACATTTTCTCCCATTCTGTTGGTTGTCTCTTCACTTTGTTGATTGTTTGCTATGCAGAAGCTTTTTAGCCTGTTGTACTCCCATTTGTCTATTTTTGCTTTGATTGCCTGTGCTTTGATATCTGACACAAAAGAAAAAAAATCTTTTCCCAGACCAATATCCTGGAGCATATTCCCAAAGTTCTTTTCTTCTAGTAGTTTCAAAATTTCGGTTCTTAGGTTTAAGACTTTAATACATTTTGATTTGATTTTCTTGTATGTTGAAAGGTAGAGGACTAGTTTTATTTTTCTGCATATGCTTATCCAGTTTTCCCGGTAATATTTATTGAAGAGACTATCCTTTCCCCACTGCATGTTCTTGGCACCTTTGTCAAAAATGAGTTGTCTATAAATGCATGAATATAAATCTGGATATAAATCTGGGGTTTTTATCATGCATATAAGTCTGAGTTTTTTATTTTGTTTCATTTGTCTAAGTATCTGTTTTTATGCCAGTGCCATGCTGATTTGCCTACTACAGGTTTGTAGTGTATTTTGAAGTCAAGTAGTGTGATGCTTTCAGCATTGTTCTTTTTGCTCAGGATTGCTTTGGCTATTCAAGATATTTTGAGTTTCAGCTGGACACAGTGGCTCACGCCTGCAACCCCAGCACTTGGGGAGGCTGAGGTGGGAGAATCCCTTGCCCTCAGGAGTTTGAGACCAGCTTGGGTAACATAGTGAGACCTAATCTCTACTAAAATTAAAAAAAAAAAAGTTAGGCAGGTGTGGTGGTGGATGTCTCTCATCCCAGATACTCGGGGGGCTAAGGTGGGAAGATGGCTTGAGTCGGAGAGGTCGAGGCTGTAATGAGTCCCGATTATGCCACTGCATTGATATTTTGAGTTCCATATACATTTTACGATGTTTTTCTATGTATGTGAAGAATGTCTTTGGTATTTTGATGGGGATTGCACTAGATCTGTAAATTGCTTTGGAAGTATCATCATTTTAATACTAGTTCTTCCAATCCATGTGCATAGAATATCTTTCCATTTTCATATATCATCTTCAATTACTTTCTTTAGCGTTTTATGCTTTTCCTTGTATAGCTCTTTCACTTTTTTTGGTTAAATTGATTTGCAGGTGTTTTATATCCTTTATAGCTATTGCAAATGAGATTGCATTCTTGATTTATTTTTCAGATTGTTCACTGTTGGTGTATATAAATGCTACTGATTTCTGTATGTTGATTTTATGTCTTGCAACTTTACTTAATTCTTTTATCAGTTACAAGAGTTTTTTGGTAGAGCCTTTAGGTTTTTGTAAGTATAAGATCATATCATCTGCAAACAAGGCTAATTTGACGTCTTCCTTTCCAACTTAGATGTCCTTTATTTCCTTCTCTTGACTAACTGCTATGGCTAAGACTTCCAGTATTATGTTGAACAAAAGTGGTAAAAGTAGGCATCCTTGTCTTGTTCCAGATCTTAGAGCAAACGCTTTCCATTTTTCTCCATTCAATACAATGTTAGCTGTGAGTCTGTCATATGAAATCTTTACTATTTTGAGTTCTTTTTCCTTCTGTATCTAATTTGTCAAGAGTTTCTATCATAAAGGGATATTGAATTTTATCAAATGCTCTTCAGCATCTATTGAAATGATCGTATGGTTTTTGTTCTTGCTTCTGATAATGTTGCATGTTATTCCTGCACAGGGTGTACCATCCTTACATTCCTGAAATGAATCCCACCTGATCATGGTGAATGATCTTTTTAATGCATTGTTGAATTTGGTTTGCTAATATTTTGATCAGGATTTTTACATTTATTTTCACCAGTGATACTGGCCTATAGTTTTCTACTTTTGCTATGCCCGTTTCTGGTCTTGGATCAGGGAAAGCTGGCTTCATGGAATAAATTATGAAGTATTCCCTCCTCTTCAATTTTATTTAAATAATTTGAGTAGAATTGGTATTAGTTCTATGTTAAATGTTTGGTAGAATTCATTAATGAAGCCATCAGAGTCTGGGTTTTTTTTCATGGGAGACTTTTAAGTACAGCTTCAGTTTTCTTACTTGTTACTCGTTTGTTGCCATTTTCTATTTCTTCATGGTTCAATCTTGATAGGTTGTGTATGTCCAGGAATTTATCAATTTAGTCTAAGTTCTTCAAATTGTTGGCATTTGGTTGCTCATAATATACTGTAATTATTATTTGTATTTCTGTGATCTCAGTGTTTATGTCTCCTTTTGGGGTTCTGATATTATTTATTTGGGTCTTCTTTTTTCTTAGTCTAGCTAAAAGTTTGTCAGTTTTGTTTATTTTTTTAAAAAAAACAAAGATTTGATCATTTGATCTTCTGTATGGTGAGACCACTTTGACTTATGGCTACTCTGATGTATATGATTTTGTCTTTCTACTAATTTGAGGTTTGGTTTGTTCTTGCATTTCTAGTACCTTGAAGTACATCATTAAATTATTTGAATTCTTTCTACTTTTTCAATGTAGACATTTATTGCTGTAAACTTCCCTCTTAATACTGCTTTTGCTGTATCTCATAGATTTTGGTTTGTTATATCTCCATTTTCATTGTTTTAAGAAATTTTTACATTTTCTTAATTTTTTAATTTATTCGTTGGTTATTCAGGAGCATGTTGTTTAATTTCCATGTATTTGTGTAGTTTTTAAGGTTCCTCTTGTTATTTATTTCTAACAGCATTCCCTTGTGATCAGAAAACATACTTGATATGATTTCTACTTTTTTGGATTTGTTGAAACTTGCTTTGTCGCCGAAGATATGGTTTATTCTGAAGAATGTCCTATGTGCTGATGAAAAGAATGTATATTCTACAACAATTGGGTGAAATATTCTATAAATATCTGTTAGACCTATTTGGTATAATGTAGTTTAACTCTAGTGTTTCTTTGTTGATTATGTGCCTGTCCTGTCAATTACTGAGAGTGGAGTGTTGAAATGTTCTACTATTATTGTATTGAGATCTCTCTTTCTCTCTCTCTCCCTTTAAATCTATTAATGTTTTCTTTATATACTTGGGAAGTCCAGTGTTGGGTCTATCAACAATTACAGTTGCTATATCCTCTTGCTGAATTGACACCTTTAATAGTGACCTTCTTTGTCTATTTTTACAGTCTCTGATTTGTAGACTATTTTAGCTGATACAAATACAGCTGCTCCTTCTCTTTTTGGTTTCCAGTTGCATGGAATATCTTTTTTTATTCTTTCACTTTCAATGTCTTTCACTATATGTGTCTTTATAGGTAAGGTGAGTTTCTTGTAGACAGTATATACTTGGGACTTGTTCCTTTATCCATTCAGACACTCTATGTCTTTTAAATGGAAAATTGAGTCTATTTACACTCAGTGTTATTGATAGGAACTTGCTACTGCCATTTTGTTGCTTGTTTTCTAATTGTTTTGTAACTCCTCTTTTAGTTTTTTCCCCTCTTCCTTTGTGGTGAAGTTATTTTCTCTGGTAGTATGTTTTAATTTGTTGCGTTTTACTTCTGGTAAACCTATCATAAGTTTTTGCATTATGGTTACCACGAAGCTTACAAAAATATCCTGTATGACAAGTTATTCTGAAGAGATGACAAGTTCACTTAGATTGCAAAGAAAATAATAGAAACAAACAAAAAAATTTACACTTTCACTTTGCCCCCGACATTTTGACTTTCATTTTTCTCAATTGACATATTTTTATATTATCATTCTTAGGTTGCTGTAGCTGTTATTATTTTTGATAGATGCTTATTTGGGGCTTCAAATTCAGTTATGAGTGAATTGCACACCACAATTACAGTATTAGGATATTCCATGTTTGTCCATGTGCTTAATTTTTCCTGTGATTTCGTTTTGCACATTTGTGTTTTGTTCTTTCAAACTGAAGAACCCCCTTTAGCATTTCTCATAAGTCTGGTGGTGGTGAATTCTCTCAGCTTTTGTTTGTCTGTAAAGGACTTTATCCTGCCTTTATATCTGGAGGATAACTTTGCTGGATACAGTATGCTTGGGCAGTGGATTTTTTTTCTTTCAGAACTTTGAAAATGTCCCACTCCCTTCTACCCTGTATGATTTCCATTGAAAGATCTGTTGCCAGATAAGTGGGAGCTCCTTTATATGTTGTTTGCTTATTGTATCTTAAGGTTTTTAAGGTCCTGTTTTTCTCCTTCACCTTGGAAAGTTTGATTATTATGCGCCTTATGATAGTCTTATTTGGGTCATATCTGTTTGGTGTTCTCTGACCTTGCAGTACCTAGATATTTATATCATTCCCAAGTTTTGGAAAGTTTTCTGTTGTTTTTTATTTGAATATGTTTTCGACGCTTTGCTCTTGCTCAACTCTCTTTTGAGCACCAATAAATCCTAGATTTGGTCTTTTGGGGTAATTTTCTGTATCTTGTAGGCAGTCTTCATTCCCTTTCATTCTTTTTCTCCTCTGACTGTGTATTTTCAGATAACCTGTCTTTGATCTCCCTAATTCTTTTCTCTGCTTGATCCATTCCGCTTTTGAGAGCCTCTAATGAATTTTTCAGTTCAGCAAATGTAGTTGTTTCAATATTTCTATTTTTTAAAATTATTATTTCAAACTGTTTAATTTCTCTGATAAATTTCTGAATAGATTTTCTGTGTTATCTTGGAGATCATAGAGTATTCTAGAAATTGTTATTTTGAATTCTAGCTCAGAGAGCTCACATATCCATGTTGTTAGGATCACACACTGGTTCCTTTCTTTATTCATCTGGGGTGGTCCTGCTTCCCTGTTTCCCTTGTTTTTTTAATGGACGTACCTCTCTGTCTTTATGTGGAAGGCTTAGCTATTAATTCCAGGCTTGTCAGTGTGGCTTGTTTTGGTTTTTACTGGATATTACTTTTTAGTAATTCTTCGTAATTTAACTGTTGGTTTTCTTTCTTTTTTTCTACTGCTAAGTTCTGGCCTTCTTTTTAGCACTATATAGCATCTTGAGCCTAGGTTTGCTTTGCTTCAGTAAACAATTAGTGTGCTGCCTATCATGAATAGGGGAGGTCCCCAAGGGGATATCCCAATAGTGTGAGAAGGCTAGGTAGGTGTTCATGCCTAGGGGATCTGTGAAACCAACCTCCTACAGCGTGGTACTGCTGAACAGCCACTTTGACTTGGTATCTCCTTTGGATGAATTACAGAACAGAGTTTTCAGAGCTGGAGGATAGTAGTCATCCCTCCCCTCTTTGTCTCTGGATGTCCTTAGGGATGTTTCTTTCTTCAGGCACTTCCCATGCTTCCGGTGGGTTGAGGCAGGGACAGGCCTCCTGCCAGGATACTGAAGATGGTGGGGAAGCTGGTTATCTACCTCAATCTCACATTTTGCAGCACAGAAACCATGAGTAAAGGGGAAATTTTCTGTGCACTTGGTTCTGGGCAGATTCGGGGGAGGGCTATTGCAGATATGGAAGTCTGATTCCCTTACCACTTACTGAGTTTTTTCACTTCTCTGTGGCACCAGGAACTGTCTTATCCTCATATTTGAGCTCTGAGATATGGCTGATGATAGTCTCAGCATTGAATATTTGTTTTTGGTTTTCTGTGGGGGGCTGGAGGAAGGGTGAAGCCAGCTTGCTTCTATGCTGACATTTTGGAGCTGAAGTCTTCTCTGCCAAAAATTTTATAGTAGGAAACCCTTTATCAGGCAGATCGTTGGGCCAGTTTACCATTAGGAGCCATCCAATTCTAAGCTTCTGTTTCTGTGAGACACTGTACAAATTTTTTCTAATTGCCTAGAATATCTAAGTGAGATGGGTATGACATGTCTTCAAAGAACATTATTCAGCATAGAAGGCATGCTGTGAAAACAAATTCTTGTGGCAACAGAGAAAAACCGTGTTTTATTAGAAACCTCAACCTAATCCATAGAAAAAAGTACTGAATTCTATAAAAAAGAAAAACAGGTAAAATAAAAGAAATTTATGCCCTGTAACTTTATATGTTCTCATTGGTGATTACAGATTAGGTCATTTTATCACATACAACTAGACAAATTATGTATTGTTTTCTTTTTTAGTCAATCTTGGCTGAGTTCCAAAATGAATTGTCATATTCTAAGTACATAGGTTCCATGGCATGATTTGCATTCCCACTGAAGCTTCTCTATCAGCTCTGGCAGTGTTGCTCAGGGATGCTTTATTGTCAACAATTGAGAGATAGCTCACAAGAAGAGGAAGCTACGAAAATATGCAACTATGGTCTTCTTAGGCAAGAGGTGGCAAGAGCCAAAACTTTGAGATGTGAATTATTTGGGTAATTGTGAAAGTATCCTTTCCTCTCATAGGGTGGAGACTGTGGGGAAGGAGTTCAGATCCGCAGCCTTTCCTGCATGGTCCACAGTGGTTCAATATCTCATGCAGCTGGACGTGTCGAGGATGCACTGTGTGGAGAAATGCCCTTTCAGGACAGCATCCTGAAGCAGCTGTGTTCTGTGCCTTGCCCAGGTATGCAATGCTAGTGATTGGGAGCGCCTCCCATGGTGATCTTTTTGTTTATTTTACTACTGTTTTCCTAGAGATGCTCTAGCTCATCAAAATTAAAGTTTTTAAATAACTTTAATTCATTTTTAATTGTGGTTATCACTTTGGTATATACCTACGGCTTTGATGGAGCCAAAGTAGGCAAAAGAAAAAAAAAGGCACTGGATTTGGAAACTTAAGAGCTAAGTTAGAATCATGTCTCTATCACTTCATTGTTTTACTTGGGGTATGTAGTCTAGCCCCTGTGAGCAATGATTTCTTCATCTAGAAACTGTGATGTTAATTCCGTATCCAACAGCACCTAGCACATTGGACAGCGTTCAAAAAATGTTGGCTGAATTCTGGGTGATGGCATGGTTGGAACCAGTAAGGCTATGAGTTCATGAAAGCACTCTGTAAATGTGAAGTTCCATATAAATGTGAAGTTCTATATAAATTTTATTAGTTACATAAAATGTATCAGTTTATCTTAATCCTAGTAACACAACATAGTTTGTATGGCATAAGTTCAAGTGACAATATGTTTTTATAATACAGTATATAACATATGTGTATGTATGTATACACACATATGTATTACAAAAAAAATTATAATTTATATAAAGATACATTTATACAAATTATAAATTATATTTCTTGAGTGAGAAAGATGTTTAGGGTATTAAATTAAACATTCTTTGGTCCAAAAGATAGTTCATTTCAGTGACCTACTTATTCTCTTTTATATGGTTTCTATGAACATCCATTTTATGATGTTATTCTGATCTTTGAACACTGAGTTACCATAATCTTTATATCTCTCTTTTAAAAGTTTTATTAACACTAGCAGATACATAATATTTTCTAGATGTGACTACTACAATTTGAAGCAAAGTAATAACAATCTAGTTTTTGGCACTTTCTTGTTAAACAAGATTAAACTATAAATTACTTCATCATTCTTAGTACATTCTGATTGGAAAATTGATCAATATAGAATGTGTAGTATCAGGAACTGCATGTATCACTGCAAATCTCTGTGTGAGCCCTGCCCATGCAAATGTTGTCCAGTGCCACTTTTCATGCTGTTTTCTCCACCCTGTACTGCATGACTGTCCAGGAGACTGCCATTTAACAGAATGGTCAGAGTGGAGCACATGTGAATTAACCTGCATTGATGGAAGAAGCTTTGAGACTGTGGGCCGCCAGTCTAGATCAAGGACTTTTATAATTCAGTCTTTTGAGAACCAAGACAGCTGCCCCCAACAGGTTCTAGAAACACGCCCTTGTACAGGTACCAAGAGCACTTTTCAGTTCTTTAGCCTTCATTGATCAATGCTTATTCTAAGTGAGGTGTAATAGAACTGCTATTATCATATTTACTTACAGGAGGCAAATGTTATCACTACACATGGAAAGCAAGTCTTTGGAACAATAACGAACGAACTGTATGGTGCCAGCGTTCAGATGGCGTTAATGTCACAGGTATTCCTGCCTAAGACTCATGTGGGCACTTCACAAACACCCCTGAGTGTTGTTATTTGTGAGAAGAATTAGCTTACAAATTATAAACAAGGGGTGACTTGGGCAGGTAGCTTAGATGAATTTTATTACAAATTTTCATTAGACGTTTGCATCTTAGAAAGAAAGCAATTCAATTTTAAGACCTATAAAAATATCAAACAACTTAAAGAAATAAGCTGAAATGCAATAAAATGTCCTTAAATATCATGATCTGAGATAAAGACTGAAAAAGACAGATGCTAGTAAAATTTTAAATCATGTCCCTTCTCAATAAAACGTTTCAAAGGACATATCTTAGCATGTGTGTGTGCAGTACTCACCTGACATAAAACATACTCAGAAGTTGAAACTAAAGAGGTTAATAAAGACAAAATTTAAAAATTAAAATATTCTGTATGTTAATGATGCAGAAAGCTTTTATGATGTAAATTACAGGTATTTGTATTCATGTACTAGCAGCTTAGTTTTTGAATATTTTGTGAGTCATGATTATTACTTAATATCTAAATATAGACTGAGCAAGAGGTCCCTCATTCATGATGGCAGATACCATTTAGCAGGCTGAAGTGCAGTGACACAATTTTGGCTCACTGCAACCTCTGCCTCCCTGGTTTGAGTGATTCTCTTGTCTCAGCTTCCTGAGTAGTTGGGACTGCAGGCACACGCCACCACGCCCAGCTAATTTTTGTGTTTAGTACAGACAGGGTTTCACCATGTTGGCCAGGATGGTCTCGATCTCTTGACCTCATAATCTGCCCGCCTCGGCCTCCCAAAGTGCTGGGATTACAGGCGTGAGCCACCACGCCCGGCCAATTTTTGAGATTTTTAAATGCTTTCTTGTCAGCAAATTAAATTGTCATTATTTTTACTTAGTACTATCGTTTACAGAGAGCTTGTGCAAGAGCTGAAATGCCTATAGGAATAGAAGTATTGTCAGCTCCTCCTTTTTCTTGTTTACTTGCTCTTGCACTATTGGTATTCTTTTTAATTTAAAGTTTATCCACAAAATAATTTACTTTAAGCTACTTATCTTTTTTGTAAGTTGTTAAAACTAAATATACTCTAAGTCTCCCTAGTCAGGAACACAGAAGGCATCATACTCTGCAATACACTGAGAGTTAACGTACTGGTAGGAGCTTTGCTATCAATTCTCTGCACGGAATTCCTCAGGCACAGTGTATAACATGTAATCATCTGATGAAGAAGCTCAGGTCATCAGTATCATCTGACAAATATTATTAAAGCTTAATTTAATTCTTAGAATTAAAAAATATGTTCTATAACCTATGTAAATTCCAAGATTTTCTTTCCTATTCCCAAGAGCCCTCCTCCCACTGAAGTACGCCTGCTGTGGAGATCCCTGGTTGAAAGAACGGAAACCCTCCCCCTGCCAGCACCAACACAGTTGGTAGAAATAGGACTGTGTGGTTATTGCCACTAACACCGAAATTATCAATTTCACACCTAGATGCTAATTCTGGACTGTGAATTTTGCTTTTTAAAAATTTCTGTGTGGATTCTTTGTGTTATTTTTCAAGTCACAGTGAGAATTTAGCTGCTTCATTCCCAGGGACAATGTAGGTCTGACTGTTCGCTACTCTGCCTTAGGCCCAGAGCTTTTTGCTAGCTACAAAACTATAAACTATAATGGGTTGACAATTGTACTTATCCAAACGCTAGAACCTTTCAATGCAACCAGTACTATATAAATGGTGCTTTGTCAAATTTTCTCTAGGCTTTGTCTCATGTCTCTTTTACTATCTTGAATTTAGCAAAGTAAGACTAGTATGTAAATGATTTTCCAGTTACAGAGACATACATTGTCTCATCCATTTATTCAAAAATATGTACGGAGCAGGAACAAGTACTGTGTCAGATGTTTGATTGTCTCTCCTAGAGCTTCGGTGCTTGCTCTTAAGAATGTGTTTATACGTGACTCTGTGTGCATGTATTCCAGTTGACTTACATTTAAAAATACTACCAACATATTTGATACCATGGTCCCATGAATTCATTCATGGCATTCTTTTAGCATTTCCTGGGTTGTTGAAATCGGCCTAGTGCCTACCTGGGTGCTCAGGAGCTGAAGCAGTATATATGTAGAAGGAGTATTCCAGCAGATATGTTTTCTGCTCCTGAGTTTAAATTTAGATTTTATCAATTCTTCTACAGATTCTGGCTCACATAGACTTTGTGCTCAAGCATAGCCGTATGATAGAATCACATCGCCAATAAACAGTATAAAAACTCTACTGCAAATAGCCTCTGTTAGAAGAGCCTCCCATCTCAATTCATTTTAGAGTAATCAATAAAATAGGCTTGGACCACAATGTTGGCAAATAGATTTTTCAAAAATAATAATACTGTTGCAAAGAGGCCGGTGGCACAGGTTAAAAAAAAATACCAAAAAATTAGAAATATCTAATAGAGAAATCTGCAAATGATGGTGGAATTTCCTTTGCAGGAGGCTGCTCCCCTCAGGCCCGTCCTGCTGCCATTCGGCAGTGCATTCCAGCCTGCAGAAAACCTTTCTCCTACTGTACACAGGTGAGTCATGTGCTGGAGTCTTCTATAAGTGCATTAATTGCTGTGTTTTACACATGCAATCAGATGTTCTCCTGCCGGCTGCAGCCCAAGCAGCAGTTCCACGTGCCCATGATACCATCTAGAGGCATTTGCAGGAGTAATCCCAGTTATAAAGAATTTCTCGTCAGGACCATGTATTAACAGTGTTTTTCTATAAATCTGTCTTTAGCCAAATCTATCTTTCAAATACCTAATTTATGTTAGCTCTATTTACCAGTAAGTATTCTCAGTTGACTTATGTCTTCTCTTCTTAACCTTTTATACGCCTCAACTATTTTGAAAGATACTATAAATGTTCATATTTGCTAAAGTTATTATGCAAATTGTATTACACTATGATTACTGTTGAGTGAGTACATTTTTAGTTTATTTTAAATAAACTGAATATGTGACTATGGTTGAAAAAAATATGTGTATGGGGTGGCGGTTATGCATGTATTTTTTTTTCAAAGCAGAAATTTATTTGTGCTTTTTCTCCTATAACTCCCATCTACCACAACTCAGGAATTAATGTAAAACATGTAATGTATTCTAATCAATGGCACTCATGGTGTGCAGTGCACTATAATTCTTAAAAACTATACTACATTTTTTAAAGAAACAAGCTTTTTCTTATAGTATGCCTATTCTAAAAGTGATTTGATTAAAAATAATTCAAGTACTCAGTCCTATTATTGGCCTTACAAATCAAGATGGGTTAATTCTTTACCACAGAAAAGACAGTGGGTCAGCTTGCAGAGGGGAATAGAAGGAAAAGAGGGGAAGTTCAGGAACAACTCCATTTGGGTTAATGATGTTTAAAAAGTAGAAATTGTAGCTTTTCACCAACTCTCTGGATGTCCTCTTTAATTAAACAGAAAATACTTTTTTCCTTGAACTCTTGAACATATGACTGACTGGTTACAAGTTTTATCTCATGCTAAAAATAGAGATGCATCTTGAGAATATGGCTTCAATAGCTAAGCACATACAAATTTGCTTAGATATCTCCACTGTGATATGAAGATATCATTTTGTGATACTTTCAATTAAAACCAACTGAAAATATCATATTTATGTTATTATTATATGAATGCAACCTGAACTAAACTATAGGCTGTTAACTATAACATGTGCTCTTACTTTTTTTCTTTTGTAGAAGATTGAGGTGCTTTGTTTACTTTTAGTATCTGTTTCTCCTCAAAATCATGTGTTCAGTCAATAATTGATGACCTAAATAAAGTTAACTGGTTGATGAGGATTGGCATGAGTAGCTATGTGAAGCTAAGGTCTGTTCAGAAAATGCTAGATAAATAGCTTTAGGTAAGGAGCCATAAGAGCGAAGTCATAGAGATTCATAATCTTATGCTTATTCTCTTCCACTCTTCTCTATTGTCTGTATACTTGCTGGAGGAAGAGCAGTTATTTTCAAGTTCACTTCCAGAGACAGATAGGAATCTTCATCCATCATGTCTCATAATAATCTGCTTCTTGGTGACATTCATTGTACTTAAAAATGACCAGAAATTTACAGACTAATATAAAAGACCCATTGTCACAATGCCAACTAGAGATGTGATGTGGGGTGACACTCGAGTTATTACAAGGAAGGAGTAACTCAGATAGGCATAGGTATATTTCTCTTGAGCATGCGTCTTTGGTGAAGTCTTTTATCTCCCATGTAAGGCTGCCCTCCTTGAGTGCAGAAGTAAGCCTACAAGCAGAGACGTAGTTTGACATGGTTATGTCAGCAGCAGCGAATCCATACAGGTCTGCGGCAATTTGACTCTTGCCTCCTCCGAGGAAATAATTCATCTGAGGGGCATAAGGCAGAATGTACTTATGCTTGTACTGAGGCAAGTATTTGAACAAGAGTGAAAGTTTATTAAAAAGTTTCAGAGCAGGAAAGAAAGGAAGTAAAGTACACTTGGAAGAAGGCCAAGTGCCCTCTTTGACCTTTGACTTGGGTTTTATATGTTGGCATGCTTCAGGGGTAGAGGTCGTTTTCCCTCTCCCCCGATTCTTCCCTTAGGGTGCGCCATCCACATGCATAGTGGCCATCCACAGTGGCCTGCCAGGACTTGGGAGGGGCCGCATGCACAGCGTGTTTACTGAAGTTGTACACATGCTCACTTTAGGCATTTTTCCCTTACAAGTTGTGTGTTCCTAGAGGAAGATCATATACCAGTTAAACTCCTCCATTTTGCCTCTTAGTGAGCACGGTTGAGCCCATTTGCCCAGCTCCTGAGATTTTATTAGGAAGCTACTGATCACCAGCTTCAGGTGTTTTCTTTTTTCTTTTTTTTTTTTTTTTTGAGATGGAGTCTTGCTCAGTCCACCCAGGCTGGAGTGCAGTGGCATGATCTTGGCTCACTGCAACCACCGCCTCCTGGGTTCACGCCATTCTCCTGCCTCAGCCTCCCAAGTAGCTAGGACTACAGATGCCCGCCACGACGCCCGGCTAATTTTTTTTTTTTCTTTTTTTTTTTTTTTGTATTTTTGGTAGAGACAGGTTTCACCACGTTAGCCAGGATGGTCTCGATCTCCTGACCTTGTGATCCACCCGCCTTGGCCTCCCAAAGTGCTGGGATTACAGGCGTGAGCCACAGCGCCCGGCCAGGTGTTTTCTATCTTTTGGGAGACTGCCTTTCCCTCGTGCTCGCTGCAACCAATTATTATTTTAGAGAGACAGTTTAACAGCTGCCTAACCATCACCTGATGGTTGCCTGACATTCCTGGTGGGGGACCCTTCTCCTGCCCTGCTTATGTCTTCTTAGCTACCTACTCTAACATTTAGTGGTCAATGGTAAAAGGTGATGGAGGGATTTCGCGGCTGTGATAGCAAGAACACTTAATTCAAAGAAGATATGTACATAATCCCTGTTGCTTTGCTTCTCAGTAAGAAGGGTGGGTTGGAGCAACTAGGCAAGGATCTGAAACAAATGGAGATAAGAGTTGAAGATAATTTGATTAAATGCCATAAACATCTCCATAAGAGAGGAAAAGATGGCCAGACATGGTGGCTCACACCTGTAATCCCAGCACTTTGGGAAGCCGAGGTGGGAAGATTACCTGAGGTCAGGAGTTTAAGACCAGCCTGGCCAACATGGTGAAACCCTGTTTCTATTAAAAGAACAAAAAAAAGACAAAATTAGCCAGGTGTGATGGCGGGTGCCTATAATCCCAGCTACTCGGAAGGCTGAGACAGGAGAAGTGCTTGAACCTGGGAGGCGGAGATTACAATGAGCTGAGATTGTGCCATTGTACTCCAGCATCAGCAACAGAGTGAAACTCCATCTAAAAAAAAAAAAAAAGACAAAAAGAGAGAGGAAAAGCATAGTTAATTAACTTTATTCACAAAGAACTATGGTTTAATATTTGGCAGGTGTCAGAATTGTAAACACATTTGAAAAACCTAACATTTGATTTAAGAGCTGACTTTGGAATTTAAAAAGATGAACTATGTATTTGATTTTCATGTCACTGGTAAGTCAGTTGCCCCAAACCCTACATTGCCATGATGTATAGTGCAAATATTAAGTGATTTTAACATTATATTTTTATTCATTCACCTGTTCAACTCACTGTGTAACCATAAAAATATTCTTTATGCTGTAGGGTGGAGTCTGTGGTTGTGAGAAGGGCTATACAGAGATAATGAAATCAAATGGTTTCCTGGATTACTGCATGAAAGTACCAGGCTCAGAGGATAAAAAAGCTGATGTGAAAAACCTTTCTGGGAAAAACAGACCTGTGAATTCAAAAATACATGATATTTTTAAAGGATGGTCTCTTCAACCACTTGATCCAGGTGAGTTTCAGTTGTGAGTAAGAAATGAAAATTTTCTCATGGGAGGTCTATATTTTGACCACTTCTCATGATGGAAAGAATGGAGGGAAGGAGGAAAAGAGGAGAGAAGAAAGAGGCAGTAAGGCATAATTCAGGGTTTCTCAGATTTGAATATTACATGATATATGAGTCCCTTTAAGTGTACAGTGTTTTCATGAATGGTTGAACGTAAGTCTCTCAACCTCAGTCTAAGAAACAGTGGGTTAAGTAACAAAAATAATATTCTTTGAAAAATCTTTCTTTTTTCTTGGGTCGGGGAGAGAATTTCACTCTGTCGCCCAGGCTGCAGTCCAGTGGTGTGATCTCGGCTTACTGCGACCTCCACCTCCCAGGTTCAAGCGATTCTCCTGCCATAGCCTCCAGAGTAGCTGGGATTACAGGTGCCTGCCACCACACCTGACTAATTTTTTTGTATTTTTAGTAGAGATGAGTTTCGCCATGTTGGCCAGGCTGGTCTTGAACTCCTGACTTCAAATGACCCTCCCGCCTTGGCCTCCCAAAGTGCTGGGATTACAGGCATGAGCCACTGCACCCGGCCTGAAAATATCTTTCAATCCTAAATTATCTCTGAAAAATGATCTACTCTTATAACTGAATTTGTATATATAACTAAAATGACAAAATTGGAATAGAACCTCAAGAACTTATAAGAAATGTCCAGAGATCCTATTTGCTTCAAGAAATACTAGTGAAAAGGTAAAGAGTATCAGTTTCAAAGTTAGACCTTACTGGACCCATGGCTTACACACACCTGTTTTGTGATTATGTATAGTTTCTTAACTTCTCTGGACCTCAGTTTTCTCATCTATAAACCCAATCTAGTGGTATTTATCCTGCAGGATTGTCATGGATATTGCAGTATTAGGCCTGTAGGGCTCAGTAATCGACTCTTACTAAGTGCAGGAATGGACATTTATTAGATGCTTTCTGTGTGTCCTGTGGCTCTGTGCTGGCTGGTTGTACAGCATGAAATGTCTCATTACATTCTTGCAACCTAATGAGATGTTATCATCCCATTTGAGAGATGAGGAAACTGAAAATGGCAGTGCAGGTTAATTTTATCAGTTTCACACCACCAGCAAGTGACAGAGGAAGGTTTTAAAGGCAGATCTTTTAGGCTTTTACAAACCCCTGTCCCTGCTTCCTACTTTGTGAATTGGATAGAAGGGGAAAGCCAGTCTCTGTGGCCATCAGACATACTTCTTTCGGAAACAAAATGCTACAAATGATCAAGCAAAGCAACATTAACTCCTAGGGCATGGGAAGGGAAAACACAGAAAAACTCAGGCAAATATACCCTAGGAACTCTCCTTCCAAACCCTAGGCCTTAGCCATACCAGAAATGTCTTGATGACCTGTTTAAATGAAGCAAAATCCAAAGCCCAGGCCCAAAGAAACACAGATCTAACAGGAGAAGCAATATTTATACCCCTCAATCAACTTTTAAGAATTACCACCATATCTTAGTCAACTTTTGCTTCCCCTATGTGTCTGGGAATGCCAAAGGTGTTTAAAAACATCTCATTAGCTTTAATGCTAAATTAGAAGTAGATTTAAATTTGAAGGAAGCATGATATTAAATATAGCCAGGTTCACCCATTGCCTGTGGATCCTATTTCTGACACAGAATTAAGTTGAGGTCCCAGGGAAATGAGTCTTCAAATCCACAAGTAAGCCCTTAACCTTTTATCCATGGATGGAATTTGGAGATCTAACTAACACAGCAATATCATATGTGTGAGTATATGTGTGTGTGTCTATGTGTGTCTAGATACACAAAAGTTTATGTATTCACACATATATGTATATTGGTATATAAATTGCATGTGTGTGTGTGTTTATATTTGTATCTATATATATAGATAAGTATATATAAAATATATATTTGGTCTTGGGAGAGTTTACAACTTTCATTAGGTTCTCATGGTGAGGGTATAAATTAGAGCACCCTGTCAGGAGGACAGTTAGGCCATACTAATATACTTATTTACCTGTCATATATTTTGACCTAAAATGTTCCTCTAAGGAACTCATCATGCAGTTATATGCACATATACTAAAAGAAGTCCGTAAATTATATGAATTACATGATTGCTTATTATAGCAAATGAATGAAAACAATATAAATGCCCACAAATAGAATAATGGGAAAACCAAAATATGATATAACTGTGTCATGGTTTATCACAGGGATACTAAGAAGAGGTAGACCTTCTTTTATGAACTAATATGAAAATATTTCCAACCTATATTGTTTAGTGAAAGAAAAAGTACAAATCAAAGTGAATGATATGCACCATTTGTGTCTTTTTAAGAAGTGTATGAATTGGTATGTGTGTGCTCAGATGCTTGCATATACAGAGAAAAACTAGAAAGATTCACGAGGAAACTGGTAACAGTAATAGCTACTGGGTAGGGAATTGAGAGGTTGGTGGGAAGACTTATTTTTCACTATTATCTTTTTTAATAGTTAGAAGTTTTAGCCTATCTTTTTTTATGTTCTTACAGAATACATTAATGCTTTTATTAAGTAACATGGCTTAAAGGTTTTGTACCACCACATACCTCTAAACTGAGTATTTAAAAGCACTGGATCCTCCCAATGCACCAATCCATAAGTTGTTATGGATTATAAGCTATAAGGAGCATTCTCACTCAGGAAAGACTTTTTTTTTGATCAATGTAAAAACTCAGATTAGGCCATTTCATCATTAGTGTTTCAAAGAGATTAGAATCAAAGCTTTGGTAAAAGTTTTATGACCATAGAAAAATACAATTACTACATTGAACCTCATTCTAAAATCTGATTGAGACTTGAAAGTGTCCTATAAGCAAAAACTATAATAGGTAGTTGTAATGTAATTGAAAGTAATTGTGATTTTATTCAAAACAAGTGTTGTTTACAATAGATTTTGATTGATTTCCCCCCCCCATAGAAGCTTTTCAAATAAGATACTGTTATGTGTATTTTGGACCTGTAGTTAATTACATTCGTGTAGTATAATGAATCTCTGTGTGTGTTTCTTCCAGAAATAAATGCAATTCCTTTGGGATGCTGAGACATTGCCTTTGTCAGTCCAATTCTAAGTTTAGTTAGCTATATGCTCATATAAAATAGAGCAAAAAGACATTAGAGTGACAGAAACAACTCAAGTTTCTATCACATGTAGAAAAAGCATATATATATTTGTGAATATATGTATATATACTCAAGCTTATATCTTATATAGAATAAAAGTAACATAATAGATTAAAATATATGGTTGATTCATTTTGTTAACTGTAGTAGATATCAGATCCAGAATAATGTGTACTTGCAGACACATGGTCATAATTTTACAGTAATTTGGTGAATTGATTAACTTGTTTGGTCATGTGGTTTTTGTTTGCCTAGCATCATTTTGGAAGTAGAGCCACTAAAAATGGTCATAGTAGTTTTCTTTCCATGCAAGGTTGTCTCTTAATTATAATTTTCTTTGTTCTTTTTGTCAAATGTTTTGCCATATTTTTGTATATGCATATGACTATAAACACCTTAAAATAAATTCAAATTAGCCCAACAATTGGCTGGATTTTATGAACTAATGATTACCAGTGTTTGTTTGGTATTATGAAAAAATTTGATTGACTATCTTACATTTTACATTTTCGCTTTTTTTCTTCATTTGAGAGCTGTTACCTATGTGTATTTCCACCTATGCTTATGACTGACTTATGCGTGTCTCAGAATTCAGAAGAAAAGTAAAACATTCAGTAAAATAAACATTTGGTGCCATGAAGTTACAACCTAATGTTTTTGAGAGTTAATTTGCTAAAAATCAAACAACAATGCAAACTGTTTATCTGTAAAAGTTCATTAAAAATGGTACCATGTAATAACATTTAAGGTTTTTTTCATAGACATAATTTCTAGTAGGAAACCCGTATTCCTATGATGTTCTAAGAGAATCTTTTTAATTCCTGATTATACCTGGCAATTTACAGAGTATGCTAGAGCATTGCTAACTTCTGCAGTTGAGTGCACAGTTGGCTAAAGTGCTGCTGTTCAAGTACAGAACTGATGGTCAGCTTGGGGTTGTCAGATCTGATGTTGCCCTATCTCTCAAATGCTGCAGACTTCTGTATGCTAAGCTTCTTATGTTATCTCTATTTTAAACAGATGGCCGAGTAAAAATTTGGGTTTATGGCGTTTCAGGTGGCGCTTTTCTCATCATGATTTTCCTAATATTTACTTCCTACCTTGTTTGGTAAGTACTAATTAGTAAAAAGTTTATGTTCCGTATTTTTATGGATTTCATGTTATACTTAAAACAAGTATCTCAGGATCATTGCCCATTATAACAGGATTCTTGAGTCCAAAAATTAACAGTAGAATGGCTGAATGGTTGAAATGAGGAATCATTATTTTTTTGTTCTTATTTGAGATAACATTTTTTAAATTTGGTATTTGAATAATATGAAAATCACTGGTCAGAACTTTTCCATTTGCATGTTTTGATTTCGATCAGTAGTTTTCAGCTTTGACAATACATTGATGTCTCCTAGGGAATCAGGCTTGATCTCACTCCCCAGAGGTTCTGATTTAATTAGTCTTAGGTGTGGCCAGGTCATCTGGGTGTTGTAAAGCTTCTCAGGTAATTCTAATCTGTGGTCACAGATAAGAAAATTACCATAGATTATTTTAGTTCTTAAATTTTGTTCTTAAATTTTGAATGGTTAGGTTAAAATGACCAGTTGGTTGAAAGAACCTGTAAGCACATTTTAAATAGTAGAGCAAGTTGTTTTGCTATATTGACCAGCTATGAGACAAAATTTAACTGATGGTCATTTGCAAAAAAAAAAAACCATTTTGTAAAGTGACTAGTTCTGAGAATTTATTAATCTCAGAAAATAATAACTAGTTTATCATACAGAATATATTTAAGTTGATGAACGGCTCTTGAAACCAGACAGAAGTAAATGCAGTTGACTCTTGAACAATGTGAGGAGGACTGGGGTGCCTACTCCCCACACAGTCGAAAATTCAAGTATAATTTATGACTCCCCCAAAACCTGACTACTAATGGCCCGCTTTTGATCAGAAGCCTTACCAATAACATAGTCAAATAACGCATATTTTGTATATGAATTATATAGTATATTCTTACTATAAAGTAAGCTAGAGAAAAGAAAATGTAATTAAGAAAATCATAAGGAATACAAAATATATTTACTATTCACTAAGTAGTTATGGATTATCATGAAGGTCTTCATCCTCACCATCTTCATACTGACTAGGCTGAGGAGGAGGAGGAAGAAAGGGCTGTTTGCCTTATTGTCTCAGGGGTGGCAGAGGCGGAAGAAATTCTGCATATAAGTTGATGCAGTTCAAACCTGTGTTGTTCAAGGGTCAACTGTAGATTTTAATGTTTTCAAGTGTGCTAAGAATATTATATCAGCTTTCTGAGCAGAAGTTTCAATGGATTTTTTTTAATTTTAATGAGATCAAAGTGTTACTTCAATTTTTTCTCCTAATAAATATATTTATATTCATCATCTGTCCCAGAGACTATTTTCCGGAGAGTTTTTACCCAAGTTTTAATCTTGATTCAAATTCAGCCATTGTCTATTAACCTCAAGTTCTGTTTCCAAGGCTACACAGGTTTTTAAATTTTTGCTCTTGGTCAGTGAAAGTTGATGAAGAAAATAAGGTGACTTTAATTCTTTCTGCCACCTACAGTGATAGAAATTGAATCCCTAGAAATTAGATTTCTATCCAACTAACATTTCCCTGTTGTTGTAGTGAAAAGTTCATCTTCAGTTGGTCATTCATCCTAGAATCAATTTTTTTTTTACTGATTTTCTTTATTCAAATTGATGTTTGGCTAGTATTGCCTAGATCTACTTTTAATGAACAAATGTGAATTTGAAAGCTTTGTATGAGGTTTAAAGGAATAGGAAGCATTCACCACCAGAAAAGATTAAAACAAGGAGGAAATTTCTTAAATTGCAGCAAAGGACACGAAGGTTTGGCCAATAGGAAACTGCTTTCAAAGCAATCAGTAGGCCAACCCAGTGTAAGGTAATTAGATAGTCTATCGGTCTATAAAAGCTTAGATGAATTCTAGCTGTTAGTAGCCATATCCCCAAATCTAGATTCTATGGTTCCCATTTCCCCTAAGTATTTAAAAGATTAAAAATTTACGTGTAGTAACACATACATTTTTCCTTTTTGTTTTCCTCCATTCCCTTCAACCTAAAAATGTGTTAACCATAATCTATTCCTTCGACAACAAATATTTATTAAGGCCCCTTTCTGCATGACTCTAGGCTCTGGGAATTAATTAGGTACATCATTGAATTCTGTTAACAAACCACTTTCTAGAGCATTTATATATATATATTCATGGGATACAAATGCAGTTTTGCTACATGGATATATTGCTTTTTGGTGAATTTTTAAGTATAAAATACCAATGAAATTTCTCTTTACTTTTCAGTAGCCAAATTACATAAATATTTATGCATATTGTATCTCATAGCCATTTTTTTGATCCCCAATGTCTGCCTTTAATAATGTCCCTGTGGAAGTAGCGCTCATATTTGGACCGGCTCCCATCTGCAGTCTACAGCCAGATTCGTCTTTCTGAAGCTTAGCTCCAGGGATCAGCCCTTTCCTACTCATAGATGAGCTCTGGCTTCCCACTGACAGCAAAACTAAAGTCATGTTTTGGCTGCCTCACCAGTTGACTAAAGTCTTCCACAACTGGAGCCCAAAAAACTCTTTCAAATTTATCTGCTACTAATTCCCTATACCCTGTACAGGCTGGTGTGTTGTATAGGTCCAAACACATTTAAGTCTTCATTTTCTAACAAGGAAAATTTTTTAAAATAGAAAAAAAATTGACTTTTTAAATAAACTTTGATTTCGATAAGAGAGTAAATTGTCTATGCTAATATTTAATCAATGTGCTAAATTATAGTTCCATTTATTATCTTACATCATATATAAATACAGTATTTCATTATATAAAATGCTCATCTTCGGCCAGGTGCGGTGGCTCATGCCTGTAATCCCAGCACTTTGGGAGGCCAAGGCGGGCGGATCACGAGGTCAGGAGATCGAGACCATCCTATCTAACACAGTGAAACCCCGTCTCTACTAAAAATACAAAAAATTAGCCAGGTGTGGTGGCGGGCGCCTGTAGTCCCAGCTACTCCGGAGGCTGAGGCAGGAGAATGGTGTGAACCCGGGAGGCGGAGCTTGCAGTGAGCCAAGATTGCGCCACTGCACTGCAGCGTGGGCGACAGAGTGAGACTCCGCCTCAAAAAAAAAAAAAAAAAAAAAAAAAAAAAAATGCTTGTCTTCTCTAATTTCATATTCATAATAGAATTTTATTCAATGTCTACATCTACCTTTCAGATAAGTCACTCTTATCACTGCTTTAGTCTTTCTTTCCACAGTTCACTTCAGTATCAGGTTTAGTATATTCATTTCCACCCAAGTTGTTTGCGATACAGCACTTCTTTGGATCTCTTTGTGCTGCTGTTTCAGAAGTTTTATCCTAACATCCAAATACCTATCTGCATATATTAGGGAGATGGCCATTTTATTTGTGTTGTGTGTATATTTATGATTTGCTTTTTTTTTTTTAAAAAAAAAAAAAAAGCTTGTGGTATAACAAATGTAGCCCCTCATTATGTAAAAGATTTTATAGTCATTGAATAAAAGACTATTGCCTCTTTCTGAAAGATAATTTTAGGAGGAATAATTTCACATTAGGGCACTATATTAATCCATTGTCATACTACTATGAAGAAGAAATAGCCAAGACTGGGTAATTTATAAAGGAAAGAGATTTAATTGACTCAACAGTTCTATATAGGGCTGGAGAGGCCTCAGGAAACTTACTTACTTACAATCATGGCCCAAGGCAAAGGAGAAACAGGCACCTTCTTCACAGAGCAGCAGAATGGATTGAGTGCTGAGAGTAGGGGAAAAAGCCCCTTATAAAACCATCACATCTTTTGACAACTCACTCGCTATCATGAGAACACCATGGGGGAAGCGATGATTCAGTTACCTCCACCTAGTTTCTCTCTTCACATGTGGGGATTATGGGGTTTATAGGGATTACAACTCAAGATGAGATTTAGGTGGAGAAACAAAGCCTAACCGTATCAGGCACTTAGGGTACTGCCCCTCTAATTTTCCAAGGACGTTTCTGCTTCTGTGGCTTACTCCTTGTTTCCCCTTGCTAGCTATTGGTACTCTACCTGTTCATTAATCCCTGTAAAACTCAAATACCAACATTTTCCTTTTTAAACAGTCTGGAATAACTTGTTCATGTCTCTTTTGTCGTGGTAGTTACCCCATGATTGATAATATTGTAGTTATTTATATAAACATCTTCCTCCTCTATCAAACTCCAGGGAGTTTGGGTGGGGAGAGGTAATGACTATGCTTTATGGATTGTTTTAAAGCATGAATTTGATAAAGATTTATTGAGCAAATATATAAAATGTATTAGTATAAACTAATTTATTGCCCGTGATTTTTAGAAAAACAGTATAGGAAAAAAAATCTAATATTTATATGTCAAATATTACATACATTGCCTTATTCAATCATAATAATTCAAGGAGGTGTTGCTATTGCCATCCCTATTTTAAAGAGTAATTGATCCGTAGTGAAATTATATAACTTTTCTGAGGTCACCAGCATGGTAGAATCAACCCCAGGTTTGCCTCTCCCTAGAGTTTGCCTATCCCTAGAGTTCATGCTCTTTCTACTGGTCTTTGAGTCATTGTGATTTCTTTCTCTTGAGTGATGCCCAAAACTCTTTAGACTCAACATAATGTCTATAGCTTCCACATTTCCTAGAGGATTTTTGTTTCACAGGTAAAGTAAGCTGTTGACCTATTACAGACCTATTGTTATAAAAACACGTACCTTTTACTGTTACATATGAGCCGCCAAAGAAACCCAAATAGATATTTTCACAGCATCTAATTCTATTAAATGGATTGCAGAAGAGTTACAGGATGACAGTTTTAGAGATTTTATATTTTTGCCAAAAACAGAAGCCTTAGGACAAGAGAACTGCTATAATATGCCAGGTCTTTGGTGTATACTTCAGATGAAAGCAATTTATAGTAAAACTTGAAAATGCTTCTGAGAAAATGTCAAAAAAATAGCCTTCTAAAGACTACTTCTTTCAAATACTAGCCTTTGAACATCTACCATTAGTGTTTGGAGTTTCAGAAATATTATTGATGCCCCTTCTCCTCTGGCAGTAAATATCCATGAAGCAATTTAATGGGGATGACCACTGGATGAACTTGCTGTTAACCTAGATGTAGCACCTGGAAGTTACACCAGATAATAATGTCCATTCTGCCTGGCCCAGCACAGTTCTGTAATGCATTCTTATTCTTCCCAAGTTTGAGAGTGGTACTTGCACCTCCAAAGGCTTGTCTCTCACAAATGGCTGCCAAAACAAAATGTGGTTTGCTGCTTTCATCAAACTAGTTAATCTCTCCTGGCTTGAGAATGAGTCCTTGCTGAGAAGTGCCAGAGGCTTGCTTGTCAGTCCACAATGAGCTCACTTTTCTGGCTTAATTCATTTTTGTCCTTTGCTAAAATGCAAATGACCCTAAAAGAGGTAACTTTAAAATGTGTCTGCCAGTGATCTTTCACAGCTAGGATTGCAAAATGGTTTTATGCTGTGTGCCAACTCTAAAAGTGGCTATGGCTGTCAAGAGTGCTGTTAGGAAGAATGATGAGGCTACACCTCAGCTCAACAGGAGAGAATAGAGTGATGGATTAGAGATGTCCACCTGGGCACAGGATGACTGGTGGTGTTGGTGGCATATGTGCCAGGCATTTATGGGTCCTGATTTAGTGAGTGAGGGAGGTGAACATACCTTTTCTGAAACCAGAGTGGAGGAGGAAAAAATAAGAAATAAACTTACTTCTAAAGGAAAAATGTGGATACTGTAGGGAGAAAGGAAAGCAAGCCAGAGGTTCTAAAGACAAGCCTCCTAGTTGCTGGCCTCCTCAGTGTTGGCCTTGCTGAGTGCAGTCTTGCCCCTCAGCTCCTCCTCCTGAGGTTCTTTTTTACTGGCCAGAAAGCCTTGCTAAGCTGCTATTCGGCAAAGTACTACCATGTTCAGTGGTCCAGAGATTAATATTTGAGAGGAGGCTGATCTATTCAAAGCCATAAAACTTCTCAGATCTCATGTATTCGTAACTGTGATTTTGGTGTCTGGCAATTGGGAGGTTGCACAATATGAAAAGATGCTTGATAAATGAGGTCCTAATCCCAATGATCCCCAGCACACCACATGGCCCACAAAGGTCCAAGGCCTACCTATTAGTAGCCCCCGCTGGCCACAGTGTCCGTGATTCCAAACATGGTAAGTGGTATAAACATATTTGTGTAAATTTTGAATAGAATATTCCAAGCCTAGATCATAGAGGCTGGCCAAGTTGACGTGTCTCCCAGGTGATAGTATTGTCTCTTTATAGAGATATGACCACCTCTAGCCGTTCTCCTGGCTTTGCATTCTCAACTCCCCAATGCTTAGGATTGTCTAATTTCTCCTTGCCCAGTGGCCTTTAGCAAATGCCCATTAAAGGTAGACTGCCAAAATCTCTGTTTTGGAAGCAACTACATTTCTTACCCCTCTCTTCTTCTTTGCTCCCTTCCCGCAGAAAAAAGAAAACCAAGAGAGGTGGGAGGGAGAAGACTCCTACTGTAATTTCAGATGAACTTCCTTGTACTCTTTTTTGCCATTAAGACAACCCACCCCATCACCACCACCACCATCAGGTTTTACAGGCTGTCACTTTCAGATTGCCTCACCCTCTGGTGTGTGCATGATTTCTTAGCACCTTTAAATGCTGTGGAATGGTATACCCAGGACTCCATGTCAAGTGGGGTTCATGCCAGAGCCTGAGCCCATCAGTATAATTAGAGTCACTGGAACATACTTAGTATAGATAAAGTTAAATTGAATGTTATTCAGATAATTAAGCAATACCCTTTTGAAAATTGGAGAGGACCTGGAAAGCAGGAAATTGAAGGCTGAAGCTCCCTCTGGAGAATATTCTGAATCTTGTTTTTGCATCTCCGCAGCTTCTCTGGTTGGAAGTTGTTTGCCTGCAGCCATCTCTGCCCAGCACTCAGCATATTCTCAATGAGCACCCGCTGCATGCCAGGTGCTAGGGTGGGGGGCACTGAGAGAATCTGCAGTTCCTTTTAGGGTTTCTGCCAAAACCATTTTTAATTTATTTCTTTAACTTGTATGATTTGCTTCAAACATCAATCAAAAAAATAATTTTACTCCTCAAATTAAAACTTGAGCATTTTAAACTAGGAGTTTCTCCCTACAACCATTTTAATTTTATCAACTTTTTATTGCAGTAAAATTCACATAACATAAAATTCACAATTTTAGCCATTAAGTGTAAGAAGCCAGACACAATAGACCAGATACAGCATGATTCCATTTAAGATATCAAAATCTATTTGGGCAGAAAGTTAATTGATGAATGGCTACCAGGGGCTGAGAGCAGGGTGAAATGGGGGAGGGACTGCTTGGAAGAGTGCAGAGTTGCCTTTTGGCACGATGAAAATGTTCTGGAGCTAGATAATGGTGATGGTACACATGCTGTGACTGCCAAATGCCACTGAATTGTATAGATTAAAATCTTTGTTTTTTACGTTAGATTCACTCAGAATACAAAAATTAATTCATATGTGCAGACAAAAAATGTCATTTCTACCAAGTGCTAAATGAATGCCATATATATATATATATATATATATATATATATATATATATATATGCGGACAGTGTGGTGAAAAGGTTAAAAGCTCAGGTCTGTGTGTTAGATTTGCTTAGAATTCAGGTTCTGCCACTCACTCAGTGACCTAAGGGAAGGTAAACAGCCTTGGTAGTCCTTCTCTGTAAAGTAGCAATAATTCTAATGCCTCCCTTGCAGGGTTGTTCTGGGATGTTTTGAGAGATTTTGTGTAAAACATTCAGCACAGATCTTGGCACTTAGTATGCATCGAATAAGCAATAGATGCTAATATAATATAAAAGCATGGAAGGTTGGAGACAGGGAGAGAGATGAAGCCGGGCTGTGTGGGCAGGGCAAAGCAAAGACCTTGAGGAGAGAGGATAAGTGTGGTGGTGAGAGAAGTTAAGTGGCAGAATTAAAGGTTACAAGCATTTATAAATACAAGTTAAGATTTCCCCATACTAAGAAACAAGAAGTGTACTGCAGGGTGTTTTGCCCCATATCTTGGGCATCACTGTGTGATTTGGGAATGTTGTTAACTTAAGCTTTTCTCTCCATGAGAAGGAAAAGCAGCCTTCTCTGACCTGGCAAAGTTGTGGACTTCAGGTAAAGCAGAGACCAGGTGAGAATGGCTTTGCACGGAGTAGAATTGGTTAAATTTTCCTGACACACTCTGGCATCTTGGCAGCTAAATGTCAGGTTCCAGGTCAGAGCAGAAGTGTGTTTACTTAAAAACAAGACCAGCAGGGTGAGGCCTGGCTGCTCCAGCTGCTTATGATGTTGAGCATCTGTGATGTGAAGGTCACAATAGCTTAAAAATTAGTGAGAAAAGACGTTCCTGTTGTTGTGTATCATCAAGAATATAAAAGGAAAACAACTCTTCTACTAAGTTCCTTCATTCCACTAAACCAATTTTAAGATTGTGAAAAATGATGGCTTCTCCTTAACAAACAGAGGGTGAAAGCATTCAATATTCACAAAAGGGAACCCACACATCTAGAGAAATGAATCTTTTTGTCATTTTACCGCTTAAATTTCTGTATCTCAAAATTGTCTTTGGCAGATGAAACAGAGCTCTATGAACTTACTTGATCTGAGGAATTTTTTTCCCTTTGCAGCAAGAAGCCAAAACCACATCAAAGCACACCTCCCCAACAGAAGCCTCTGACCTTAGCCTACGATGGAGACTTAGACATGTAATCTGAAAAAGAAATCCAAATGTAGACATCAACTGCCTTAACCGCTTTCTCTTTTGTAGCTCTCAGACTTCTCAGTTTTTTGAGGAATCTCAAGATGTGATATATTGGGCAGAATACAAATATTGCAAAAGTAATATTGCCTCAACTTCATTTGGACATGGAGTCAAGGATTATTAGGTCTGCCATTTTGTTTTCAAGTTGTTTGTGGGTGTGTTTTATTTTTTTGGTTTTCCCAAGGGACCTGAAAACCCTTCTCTTCCTGTTTGGAACTGGGAGGAAGAAAACATGATGGAATTCCCACAGACTTGAGTAAACTTGATCTTCAGCAGCATAATGACAATCCAGAGGAAAATACAGTCAAGGCATTTACTCTAAATGACGAGTCTGACACTGCATTGTTACGCACTATATTAGTGCAAAGTCTTTATTCTTCCCATACTTCAACACTGAGTTTTCTAGAGTTTACTTTGGTTTAAAGACTTTCAAATTGGATTGCCTATTTTTCATGAACACAGAGAGAATGGATTACCATTTCAGAAATTCTCTGAGTTTTTAACCTTTAAATATTGTATTTTGTTTTGTAGCCAGGGGATGATGGCGCTTCATGGGTTGCAGCTACTGAAAATAGCAGCGTGTGTGTAATTGCTGGACTAGATGAAAGCTAGGTCATTTCTGAAGGGAATGTGTACTGAATGTTAGAGTGTACAAATGAAATATGTGGTTAAATTGGAGAATGAGGTAGATTATTTGATTACTAAAACTGTATTTTAACAAAAACTTATCCATGTAGATATAGCATTAACCACACACAGTTGTAATTCAGTTTAATGATGACAAACTCTGCTTTTGTAATTTCAATTTTCTTATCTGAATATTTATAAATTCTTCTTTCAAATTTAATTATCTGACCTCATTTAATATACATCAAACACCGATCCTGTTTGTACAAAGTCTTGCTTTTATAAGGTTTCAATAATATCTAAAACAACACATTAAAAAGCTGAGACCATTTTATGAAGATAATTGTTTGTAATCATAGGTGTTGAAAGTAAAAAGGTGCCATCTTGTGGTATTGACTTGTATTTATAACAAATAAACTGCTCAAGAGACTGCAGTGTTGGCTGTTCTAGATTTATTCACTTCTGAAGTGCCTTGCCCTTGCTTTGACAAAAACAGTATTAATATCAGTTTTTCAGTGTTTTGGGGGTTGACAGCTGCTATCACTGACAAAAACAAAAAAAGGAATCTTACCCCTCCACACTATCAGGCATACTAGGAAACAGCGCCAGTCACAATGACATAGAGTAGCTTTTAGGGAACATTTAGAGCTCAAATAATATTAGAAAAAACCGCTGTAATCATGCAAACACTGATATGTAAATGATGTGAGAGAAGGAAGAAAATGGAAATGTTAGAAATGTGACACAACGACCAGATTAAAGGATGTTTTCATTTACACTGTAACCTCTATTAACCATTTAACACCTAGGTAAGCCCTCCAACTAGCTGATTGTGTGCAATGATATACCATAATTTTAAAATAAGAAAGCAAAAAGAGAATACTTTACTTTATTTTACTAGTATACTTGAGAAAACAATTCCCAGAATTGTGCTTTCAAAAGTTCACTTTAGCTAAAGCATCAGTAGCCTTCTTAGTAGTTTAAGAAAGGCTGCTTTGGAGATCAAACCATGGCTAGGCCCTTTATTGCCTGTGTGACCCCGGACCAGGAATGTAACTTTTCTGTGCCTCAGTTGTTTGACCCACAAAATGAAGATAATAAAATTATGTTCCTCTAAAGTTAGACACTAATAATAAATGTAAAATCCTTAATATTCACCACATATCAAAAGTGCAATAAATATTATCCACAATTAATTAGTATTGTATATTCAGAGTTAGGACCCTTAGGTCATTCAAGTTTTTCATTCATTACAGATTCAACAATTATCCATATATTTAATTTGTGTCAATAATATTAGACTTTTAGTACTCATGGCTTGAATAAAATTGCTTTTCCAATAATACATGCCCAAAATATTATTTCAGTTACATCCAGTTCCCAAATATCAATATCACTACATATGTCTTTCATTCATTTAAGCAAATCATATATATTAAACATCTACCATTGGTTAGGCACAGTGCTCAGAGGTGCACTGTTGAATGAAATGTGATCCCTTCTGACTTTTACTTTACTTGAAAATTATGCCAGACAGACCCAAAGATTTGGGACGATTACTCCTCAGGAGGAAAGCCAAGTAAAAAAATATGAGTAAAAAACTATGTATATTCCATAAACTGATATAGATTTCAAAAGTTTATACATGAAGTCTATGAACACTTCCTTAGGACAGCATATTGCTCCTACAGGACAAATGGTTTTAACATGTGTAGTGCTTATAGGCAGAGGATAAAAGGAGGAGATCAGAAGAAGTCAGTTTGTGCCTGGTACTGCTACTAACTAACTAGCCATTGACTTTAACAAGCCACCTAAGTCAGTTTCCACACTGCGCAGTGTAGAAAACAGACTCACAGACACCAACCGATTTACCCTGTGAATGTATATAGTAGAAATACCAGAAAACTAGCTTGCAGAAAGATTCAGTTTCATATGCAAAGGGTTTTTGTTTTCGAATTAAAGTCATTTAAAATTGAGAGCTTTTACATAAAAATTTGGAGTTCTAGGTTCTCTTGAAAACTTACACAATCTGGTCCGGGCGCGGTGGCTCACTCCTGTAATCCCAGCACTTTGGGAGGCCGAGACGGGCGGATCACGAGGTCAGGAGATCGAGACCATCTGGCTAACACGGTGAAACCCCGTCTCTACCAAAAGTACAAAAAATCAGCTGGGCGTGGTGGCGGGCGCCTGTAGTCCCAGCTACTCGGGAGGCTGAGGCAGGAGAATGGCGTGAACCCGGGAGGCGGAGCTTGCAGTGAGCCGAGATCGCGCCACTGCACTCCAGCCTGGGTGACAGAGCAAGACTCCGTCTCAAAAAAAAAAAAAGAAAAAAAGAAAAAAGAAAACTTACACAATCTGATAACAAATACCTCAATCCTTCATGGTAATTTGCTGGAACTGAATGTTGACTGCAGTCTTTAGAAATGGCATTCACTCTCATTGATTAAACAAATATACATCGTATATTTAGGCCTTACAGGCCAAACAATCTCTATTGCAACTACTCAACTCTGGGAAGGCAGCTGTAGACAATACATTAATGAATGAGTAGTTGCGATAGAGATTGTATGGCCTGCAAAGCCTAAGTATTATCTGGCTCTCTACAGAAAAGAACTGCTGACCCCTTTCCTACTGGTTCTCTCAACCTAGTTTCTTCTCCCCAGTTTCTTCTTATTTTTTTCATAGCCTGATTACTTCTAACATTCTATTTACTATACATATTTATTTTATAGTTTGTCTATTTTTTCCTTGCATTTAGATGTTAACACCATGAGGGCAAGGATCTTAATTTAGCTCACATATGTATCCCAAATGTTTGGAATACTCAATGAATATTTGTAGAGTGATTGAATGAGGCTAGAGGAATTACAGCATGCAACCACGGAAGCCATGGTGAAGAATTTGTATTTTATTCTGAATAACAGCCACAAAGGTGTTTTAAACATGATATGATCCGTGGCACCACAGCCTCATGACTTCCTACACTCCTTACCCCGGATTAGACAGGTCGATTTACCTGTGTGCTTGGTCTGTGCTACGTATTAGTCCAGCAAATACTGCATGAATGAGAAATGATCATAGTAATGGAATCTCAAAAGACTAGCATTCAACCACTTCACCTCAGAAGATTCCCCTGTGGGCAGAGGCCCCGGGGAGAAATGGTTTTAATGCCAAGCTCTGCATAGTTCTTTAATAACAACATTAAACATCAAGCTCAATTATTTTGGGACAGAGAGATCTTACAGGAATTTTACAAGCTTATGTATTACATTTGTTATAATGCTTGTGAGTTTTCTTCTGTGAAATTTATATAATGCTGTTAGTGTAACCAAAGCATGATAAAACTCACTTAATCAACTAATATGCTGAGTACATAGGTATGCCAGAAGTGGGTTTCAGATGTGCTGGAATATTGATTCCTCTTCACCTTGGGGGTGACCAAAGCCAGTCAGTATCTTAGTCAGTCATGGCCACACCCATTTACCCTCAGATTTTATAGAATTAGTATCATTTTCTATGCATTCCATAAGATTAAGCTCCTGCAATGGGCAACGATCATAATTTATTAATGATAACTTGTTTTTCAAAAGAGAAGAAAAATCATTAAGTTTGTAATTATTTATAGAAGTAGGAGGCTCATTGGAACAACTTGACAATGGTTTCCTGAGAATATTCCTATTTTTAATAAATTTACAAACTAGGGAAAGCACATATAAACAATAAGAAACAATGATATGGATAGGTGCAGAAAAGAAGGCTTGATAATTGCATCTAGGGGATTAAAGTAGGGCTTAGGAATAATAGGAGTTTGAGTTGCACATTGGAGAGTAAAGACTTTCTGACAAGGATAGAGGGCTAAGTAGCTGATAATTGGCTAGACAATGTTGCCCCAAAGATTCAACTGAATGTCCACATTCTTTGTGATAAGAACCAGGGTGACAACATTTTAACATTCTTAGATTGATCTAGGAATGAGATACCAAACAGTTGTATCAATTTTTTTCATCAAACAGCATCAAATGCCTTTTCATCAACACCTCATGATCCATTATATTGGCAGTCTTCCTACCAAAGAGTTTTTATCCTATGTCTACCATGGAGCAGCCTCATCACTCTCACTCCAGAAGGAGGAGGTGTAAAAAGCAGTATATGCTACCCAACTACCTAATTAAGAAAACTCTGCCTCAATTCACTTATAGATAGAGACTAGGGAACTGGGGACTATTTAGTCACAGAATATAGGAATTACACACACACACACGCACACCAAAAAAAACTTCCTAGAATGTCACTTGGCCTTTTATGATTATTCTTAAAGCAAAATCAACAGATTCAAATGATTGAACAATGTCAAACAACAAAATTGTGTGATTCAGAGATCCCCAAACTTTCTTGATCCACAGATCCTTTGTGTCTCAGTAATTGACCGAAAGCAACGTTTAACTATTCTGCTTATGAATAGTTAGGTCCAAACAACTTAATTTATGTCTTAAGAATGTAGTAGCCTTTAGGAAAAATACAGGCATAAATAAAAAGTAATATTTTTATTTTATTTTTAAATTACAATTACCAAGTCATTAGGAGCCAAAGTCGATTTATGCTCCTGGAACTTCTCAAATTTTGGAATCTATTTTGATACTATCACCTTCATTACCAATTTCATATTGATTTCTGTGCACTTTTTATCAGAGCAATCAATGAAAATCTAAGTTAACAAAGATGTGGCATCATTGAGAGAAATGTAGTGTCATGAAATATGAACTACTTCAAGCTAGTAGTTCATACCATGTCTGATGGATGCTATGTTTTGCTGTGTTTTTCTCATAAATTTAAAATATGGTAGATGCAATCTCAAAGAGAGCTTTGATACATAGCCAATAAGAGTGGTGTCTCTAAATGGCCAACATTTTAGATATCAATGTCAATTTTTTCCATGAGCTTGTTTTTCATTTCAGGGCTGAAAAACTTCATGAGTCTCATTTTGTTGTTATTTTGCTTCCTAAAACTGCAGCTTCAACTTATTACTCAAATCTCTAAATATCTCTCTATCAAGCATTATTGATTTGCTGAATGTTTAAAAGCACAAAGGGCACAGTTAAAGGGCTTTTCTGTGAGTGTGGTTACTCACCCCTCATAAATAAATTCTGTATAGATATAATTTTTATGGGAAATTTCCTTAAAATGGAATATTATGCCCTCTCCCCACCAAGTTTTCTATTATCAGACCCTTTACCTAAACACTGTTCATTTACACCTTTTTAACATAAGCATATTGATATTTAACAAAAAGTAACAAGGAAACATGCAGTTGGAACGACAGATAGAACATGGCAAGAAGTTGTAGAGAAATTGAAGAAATAGGAGTAAAGGATGTAGAGACACCTTCAGCTGCTGATTATTTTATCAAAAGTTGAAAGAATCTAAGGCCATTGCCACAAAAAGCAATTTATAAAAGGTTTATTCATGACTAATATTTCTGAGATTACATATATGTGTATGTATAGTTACAGGTGTGTGTGTGTGTATATTTCTTCAGGGGAACTAAATTCAAGATTAACAAGAAAAGATCTAAGACCACTCTGAGTTAATAAGTTCCATCTCACTACATTAGGCAAAAAGTAATTTATAATTCTTATTTTACAGATGTGGTTAGTTACTTTGGAATATGATTTCATCAGTAAATTGTAACAAATCAACTAGAATAGGCCTGAAACTACTTGGGGGATTAATCTTCTAACCAACAGACAGGATATGGCTCCCATCTTGTAGCCTAATCAAGGTGAAAAATGGCTGTGTGTCACATTGCAAACTAAGATCTTGTAGATTTGGTCATAATGGCAAATGTGGACATATGGTCATGCTCCATGCAGGGCCACTGAAGAATTCTTAGTTATTGTTCCCATCTTTCATTTTAACAGAATAAGAGGGTAGTTCCTTTTAATGGCTCTGTACTGTATCTTCCTTTGGACAAAATAACTAGACAGGTTGGACAGCAAGGTGAATCACCTTTGGTAGATACTGAGTATGAAGTACTTACTCAGGCTGCTCCAAGTGCTGTCAATGAGAGGGAGAAGGGGGAAAGTTCTGAGCACATTAGAAAGTGGGTGAAATTTCAAGTCCTCCTTTTTGTGTACTTGACACAAAGGAAAAGAAAAGCATTCACAGCCCTCATAGAGGCTGCAGGGCTTTTCCCAGAACCACAGACCACCACTTACATCCCTTATTGCACAACAGGGGTTTCCATTCTCAGTTTGGTCTGTGTGAATGATTCCAACAGGAGCTGTGTGATGCTACAGTCCTGATGGTCTTCATAGTTAGTTTGATAATTTGGGGTAGCTGCTTGAACTTTTTTTAATTTTATAAGTTGAATTTATCATATTTTATATTTTAAATAATGAATAAGAATGTTTTACCTGAAGCTAGAGCAGCAAATAAACAATAGCTTAAAGAAAACAAAGTTCAAGTCCTATAAATTTATTTTTTACTCAGAAACTATATTTTGTTGATTCTATTCTTTAAACTGGGAATGACTTTAAGTATAAAATTTTAATTTATTGACTTTTCATGTGCATTGTGTAATTCGAATACAGTGACAGCACACCATCATCTTGCCTCATCCTAAGATTTGGAAAAGTACAAAAAAATGCGTTTTTAAATACTAAATAGTAATACCAATTCCTTAACTTATCAGATTTACCTTACAAACCAATCTGTTATCAATTATAGAAACACTAAATATATACATGACTTAATATTCACTACCATTGATGAATCTGACACTAGACTATATATGCCAGTACCAATTTACTTAGTCCATCTCCTACAATGAATAAATTTATAATCAAAGCTTAAAATTTTAATAATTGTACCTAAATAAAAATTGAAAAATAGAAGGTCAACAGTAGTCACTTTTGAAGATACAAGTTATTTCCATAAATTTCTAAGAACAGACCTTTCTGTTGAAGAAAAATGGCAAATATATGCCTCTCTCTAAACAAATTTTTATTGCAAATAATTTGTAGAAATCCCAGCAGGGATATGCAGAATGCAGACGCATAGTCCTGGATTTATTTGTTTCATGCACGTCTGTGTGAAGAGAGTGAAAGTGTCTACCTAGACTAAGAGGTATTTTAGTTATCTGACTCGGGGAGTGTTGAGTAAAGCTAATTTGCCAGTCCTGGGTGGGGGCAAATCCTTCAGCTTGATGTGTAGGGAAGGGAGGGGGCCTGAATAATCCCTGAGGAGTAGTAGAATAGCAGATGGAACACTGAGAAGTTATTTCCTTGAGGATTGATTTCCATGATGGAAAGAAAATGAGAGGTTCTAAGAGGCGGGCTAGTAGCTTGTACTATAGCATAGCCTGCCTTTGCTGGTGTGTGGCGATTAGGCCTGGTGGAACTGCCATCAATAAATCAAGCATGATCAAGGTGAGGAACAGGAAAGAAGGAAATATGGGGAAATGGGGTGAATGTCAGGTGGATCAGAGAGATACAGTCATGGGGGTCAGGTGTGGTATCAGGAATAATGTGGGAGGCCGGATTGAAGTCCAGGCCTGGAATAATGGTAATTGTAGGACTTAACAAAGAGTGAGTATAGCTGAAGGAGCCCGGGGGCAGAAAGTATATGCGTCAGGTGGGAAGAATAAAGTAGATTTTGGAAGTGATGAGAACTGTAGAGAGTGAGTTGAGCATAGTTTGTGATTTTTAGGGCCTCTAAAAGTATTAAAGCAGCAGCAGCCGCTTCACGCAGACATGAGGGCTAGGCTAAAACAGTAAGGTCAATTTGTTTGGACAGAAAGGCTACAGGGTGCGGTCCTGGCTCTTGTGTAAGAATTCTGACCGCACTAACCATGCCTAGGAAGGAAAGGAGTTGTTGTTTTGTAAGGGATTGAGGTTTGGGAGATTAATCGGACACGATCAGCTGGGAGAGCACGTGTGTTTTTATGAGAATTTTGCTGAGATAGGTAACAGATGAGGATGAAATTTGGGCTTGACTGAAGTAATGGGGGCTGTCTGTGAAGCCCTGCCGCAGTACAGCCCAGGTAATTTGCTGAGCCTAATGGGTGTCAGGGTCAGTCTAAGTGAAAGCAAAGAGAGGCTGGGATGAAGGGTGCAAAGGAATAGTAAAGAAAGCATGTTTGAGATCCAGAACAGAATAATGGGTTGTAGAGGGAGGTATTGAGGATAGGAGAGTATATGGGTTTGGCACTATGGGGTGGATAGGCAAAACAATTTGGTTGATAAGACGCAGATTCTGAACTAACCTGTAAGCCTTGTCTGGTTTTAGGACAGGTAAAATGGGGGAATTGTAAGAAGAGTTTATAGGCTTTAAAAGGCCATGCTGTAACAGGAGAGTGATAACAGGCTTTAATCTTTTTAAAGCATGCTGTGGGATGGGATATTGGCATTGAGCGAGGTAAGCGTGATTAAGTTTTAATGGGATGGTAAGGGGTGCATGATCGGTCGCTAAGGAGGGAGTAGAGGTGTCGTAGTTGTGGGTTAAGGTGGGGAGATACAAGGGGAGGATGTGAAGGAGGATTTGAACTGGGGGAAAAGGCAGCAATGAGGTGTGGCTGTAGCCTAGGAATAGTCAGGGAAGCAGATAATTCAGTTAAAGTGTCTCAGCCTAATAAGGGAACTGGGCAGGTGGAGATAACTAAAAAGGAGTGCTTAAAATAGTATTGTCTAAGTTGGCACCAGAGTTGGGGAGTTTTAAGAGGTTTAGAAGCCTGGCTGTCAATATGCGCAACAGTTATGGAAGCAAGGGAAACAGGCCTTTGAAAAGCAAGTAATGTGGAGTGGGTAGCCTCCGTATTGATTAAGAAGGGGACGGACTTACTTTCCACTGTGAGAGTTACTCAAAGCTCGGCGTCCGTGATGGTCTAGGGGGCTTCTGAGGCGATCGGGCAGTGTCAGTCTTCAGCCGCTAAGCCGAGAAGATCTGGGAAGGAGTCAGTCAGAGAGCCTTGGGCCGGAGTTCCAGGGGCTCTGGGAGTGGCTGCCAGGTGAGTTTAACAGTCTGATTTTCAGTGGGGTCCTACACAGATGGGATGTGGCTTAGGAGGAATCCTGGGCTGTGGGCATTCCTTGGCCCAGTGGCCAGATTTCTGGCACTTGTAGCAAGCTCCTGGGGGAGGAGGTTCCGGAGGAACACCTGGCAGCTGCGGTTCGGGCATTTGGAGTTCTTGTGTGCTGGAGATGTGGCTGGGGTTTGTCTCACAGTGGAGACAAGTAATTGCAACTCAGAAATACATTGCTACTTGGCTGCCTCTACTCTATTATTGTACACCTTGAAGGCGAGGTTAATTAAGTCCTTTTGTGGGGTTTGAGGGCTGGAATTTAATTTTTGGAGTTTTATTTAATGTCAGGAGTGGATTGGGTAATAAAATGTATATTGAGAATAAGACCGCCTTTTGACTTTTTAGGGTCTAGGGCTGTAAAGCGTCTCAGAGTTGCTGCCAAACGAGCCATGAACTGGGCTGGGTTTTTCATATTTGATGAAACACCCTAAACGCCACTGATTTGGGAGAGGTCTGATAAAGGAGCATTAACCTTAACTATGCCTTTAGCTTCAGCCACCTTTTTAAGAGGAAATTGCTGGGCAGGTGGGGGAGGGCTACTCATGGAATGAGACTGTAAACCGGACCAGGTGTGAGGAGGGGAGGTAATAAAAAGATTATAGGGTGGAGGAGCCGAGGCTGAGGAAGAATTGGGAACTAGCTCGGCCTGGCGAGGAGCAGCCTGGGGAGGAGGGGAGAGGTCAGATGGGTCTGTAGAAAAGGAAGATTAGAAAGACTCAGCAAAGCTTGGGGTTGGGACTGAGGGAACAGGTGGGAGGGAAAGAAGGAAGATTTGGGACGAGTTGCACTGGGCACAGAGACTAGGGAGGGACAGATGTGTAAAAATGCCTGGATGTCAGGCACCTCAGACCGTTTGCCTATTTTACAACAAGAATTATTTAGATCTTGCAGGATGGAAACATTGAAAGTGCCATTTTCTGGCTATTTGGAACCACTGTCGAGAGTTTGTATTGGGGTCAAGCAGCATTGAAGAAGAAAATAAGGCATTTAGGTTTTAGGTCAGGTGTGAGTTGAAGAGGTTTTAAGTTCTTGAGAGCACAGGCTAAGGGAGACGGAGGAATGGAGGGTGGAAGGTTGCCTATAGTGAAGGAGGCAAGCCCAGAGAAAAGAGAGAGTAGAGACACAGAGGGAAGGGGTTCGGGGGTTCTTACCTTCCAGAAAAGTGGGAAAGGGGTCGGGGTGCAGAAATAAGGGATCGGGGCACAGAGATAAGAGGTCGGGGCACAGAAATAAGGGATTGGGGTGCAGAGATAAGAGGTTGGGGTGCGGAAATAAGGGATTGGGGATTCTTGCCCCCTAGAAAAGTGGAACTTGCCACTAAGGGTGAAGGAGAAGGGGTTGAGGGGTTCTTGCCCGTCTCCCAGAAAAGCGGAGAAGGGGTAGAGACATGGAGAGAAGGGGTTGGGTACTTGCCCCTCCCCCAGAAAAGCGGGACTTGCTAAGGGTGAAGGACTAAGGCAGGTGTCCATGCATGGTCTGACACCTCTGAAACGTGGGTGAATATTCAGAGAGGCATCCCTGAAATGATTAAACACCAAGGGAAGGCTGCCTTCCCAGTCCGTGACCAGTGCTGGAGTTTTGGGTCCACAGATAAAACGTGTCTCCTTTGTCTCTACTAGAAAATGAAAGGAATTGAAATTAAGAGAAGGGAGAGATTGAAGTGTGGCTCCAAGACTGAAAGGAGAAAGAGGTTGAGGGATAGTGAAGGAAGTTGGAGAAGAGAGTAAAAAGAGGCCACTTACCGGATTTGAAATTGGTGAGATGTTTCTTGGGCTGGTCGGTCTGAGGACCTGAGGTCGTAGGTGGATCTTTCTCACGGAGCAAAGAACAGGAGGACAGGGGATTGATCTCCAAAGGGAGGTCCCCCGATCTGAGTCACGGCACCAAATTTCATGCGCGTCTGTGTGAAGAGACCACCAAACAGGCTTTGTGTGAGCAATAAAGCTGTTTATTTCACCTGGGTGCAGGTGGGCTGAGTCTGAAAAGAGAGCGAAGGGAAATAAGGGTGGGGCCATTTTATAGGATTTGGGTAGATAAAGGAAAATTACAGTCAAAGGGGGGTTGTTCTCTGGCGGGCAGAATGGGGGTCACAAGGTGCTCAGTAGGGGAGTTTTTGAGCCAGGATGAGCCAGGAGAAGGAATTTCACAGGACAATGTCATCAGTTAAGGCAGGAACAGGACATTTTCACTTCTTTTGTGGTGGAATGTCATCAGTTAAGGCAGGAACCGGCCATCTGGATGTGTACGTGCAGGTCACAGGGGATATGATGGCTTAGCTTGGGCTCAGAGGCCTGACAATTTGAGTTCAACTCAAATGCAGAATTGATTTTTCTCCCTGGCAGTTTTCTGAAATGTACATTATAGCTTTGTTTAGTTAAACCAGTTATGACACTTGTGCCTCTGAAATGCTAATATACCTGCAATGTGCCCTCTGAGCATGTTGACTTTACTTCTTTGGTGGAACAAATTTCAATCCCTTTTGTGCAGAAAACTAAGATGAGCAGATATTTGTGTAATGTATATGTTAATTAAAACATACTGTTCCCTGGGGGCTGGAAGCAAAGAAAATATTATGGCTATTTTAAGGAAGACATTCACTTGTGAAATACAGGAGCAACAGGGCAGGATAGTGGATTGCTAGATGCTGTAAAATGACTTATAATAACATACTTAAAACAAGAGAAAACCATGCTGTAAAAATACATTTGGATGCCTTAATGTAACAGTGATATGGTTTCCATCAAATGTTGTGTCATGCTGATGGTCACCAAGACAGTAAAATTACTTCACCTGGTTGTAGGCCGTCACAGCTCTACTCAGTCAATGGTTGATAGGTTTACATTACCATAAATAATTAGCTTTTCCAGGTAAGCTGAAAACTGTCTTCAGAGTCTATTACCATCCTACTCACTAGCAAAACATGGGCTTACAGATTAAGATGCAAAAAGCTAGCATGTCCCAATTGGTGCTATACTTTCATGCCAGACAAATGCACAGGCAAGCAATGACTGTCCGATAAACAATCCATCAAAAATCCTCTGGACTCAGGCAATGATCCCAGAACATATTCACTAGCTTCCTACTTATCTTTTGTTTGGTAAATGATTCAGTTCCTAAATTTTGAGGTTCTTTTGTTTTGTTTTGTCTTATTTTTAATTTATTGTTCATCTTGGTCCAAGAGTTTGTATATGTCACCCAGATATCAATCAAACATTCTAGGTTGGAATTGACAACAAACTCACTCTTTTTCACACTGGTATGACCACACTGGTTCCCTTACAACCAGCATTCAGTTAGCCAGTTAGCCCACTCAAGTCTTTCTTTGAAGAGTGAGGTTTCTAACAAGTGTGTGTGTCTTAGAAAGAAAACACAGGGGATGCAGTGAAGTTTCAAAGTGACTCACAGTTTTATTTACAGAATACCGAATGTCCAAGTCTTATCTTCAATGTGAGATGTAGTGGCTGACCACAAACACATGGAATGTCTTGAGTAACTTCATCAGTTTTACATAGGCAAATGTGTATTGTCATAATTGCAGAAAATATATTTCTACCTGTATTTATTGATTTATTAACTTTAGAAAATAGCAATTGATTTCAATATGAATGATGAGCACTGAGCTTGCAAATACAGTTTTTCTTTTTCATATTTACATTATTTTAAATATTCTCACATAATTTAAGTTCAAAATATATACAAACATCCATATATTCAATAATCTTTTGAACCGCTTTTTTTTTTTACAATAATAATAACATTTGTCTCCTTTTCCCTCACCCTTATGCCACAGATATTTTTAATGACTAAATAAATATAGCACTCTACTAGTCCAGGTAGCATATTGGAATATAAATTTTATTCACTAGGCATCCAGTCCGACAGATGCTGTCTCTTATCAAGTGCTTAAAAGTGTGCTCTTTTTCATTGTACTTCATATCTGGGAAGCATTTTTCTCATCCAATTTTCCCCCTTTTGGAGTGTCTAGTTGATTTTTCCCCTATAAATTATTACCTGTTTTCATTATATTAATTTTTTAACTTCATAAATATAGATTGTATGCTATAAAGCCTTTTTTCTTTTTCTCCAGCTACCAAACTTCCAGTCCTTCATTGTCTTTCTCAAATCCAAGCTGGTTGTAGTTTAGGTTTATTATAGAAATCTCATTCTGGGACTTGCCTTTGTTATTTAATTGGTTGGTTCCATTGTCTTTTAGATTCCATGTCTTTCTTTTTCATGGATTACTCCATTATTTTGCTGAAGAACATCCTAATGGTTTGAGTCTTTCCATGTCTGAAGAGACCATATTCCATCTTTGTATGGTTTGATTCTAGGCTAAAAAAATGGGGGATGGGATTATATAATAATAAAAAGTTATAAAAAACTATAAAAATTATTAACTAGAATATATTAATAGAGCCTCAAATATGAAATAAAAAAATGACTGAAGTACCATGAGAATTCACTGACATACTGGATTTTTAACATATCTCCTTCAGTAAATGGTCATTTAGATAAAAGATAAAATTGTAAGTATAATTTTTAATCAGCATTGCAACCACTAACTGTATGAAACCACAATTTCATACATAGATAAAACAATTGGCAACAATTATAAGTAAATTAGAAAGATATCTACAATGTCACCTAAAGTTGGAAATTTTCAGAAAAAAAAAATTTAACAAAGTCTAAGATTGGTTGTTTGAAAATACTGAAAAGCAGATAATCTTCTGGAAATGTTGATCAAGATAAAAGTTACAAATAAAGAATATCTGGAATGAAACAAAGGGATACATTGCATGGTATAGAGAATGAAATATAATGGGAATAACATTATGAGTTTTATGAGAATAAAATTAGTAGCTTACGTAAAATTCCTTGAAAGAAAAACTCAAAAAAATTGAACTGAACAGACTTCTTAATATTAAAGAAATTCAATTGATAATTAAATATAATTATATACAAGATATAATTGGTCCAAATGGCTTTGCTTATACATTCCAGCAAACACTCAAAAAGTAATTCTAAGGATTCACCAACTTTTACATAGAATTTGTAAAACAGCCAACACTTTCCAACTCATTAAATTGGGTTAGCATATCCTTGATGCCACAATAAGAAAAGACTGTATAATTCATAAAAATATAAAAATTATTGGCCAATCTCACTCATGCAATTCTAAAGAAAATATTAATCTAGCAAAATACACTATGACAATTTTGGAATACATCCAAGAATACAAGGTTGGCTTATTAGATAATTAATATAATTAGTCAATTAACATATTAAAGCAAGAAGACCTTGTAATCTTCTCAGTAAATGCTCAAAAAGAACTTGAAAAAAATGGAACAATCTGTGGCAAAGCTCTTAGTAGAAAAAATAGAAAGAATAGAAGAAAAGTACTAACCTGATATGGTAGTTGGTCTCCGAAATATCCCACAATAATTCTTACCTCCCGATTATTCTTACCTTCATGTATTTACGTAATTTCCTCTATCAAAGAACAAAATTTCAAAAAAATTCAAGATCTAATGATTTTATTAGTGATTCATAAGTTGAGCAGCCTCCCATCTGGGAAACAGAAAGGCACTTCCCAGAGCTGAGCAGAGAGAGAACTCTTTATAGGCAGGAAAAGGCTGAAGAAAGCAGAAATAAGGAACAAAAAGTTGACTGGTCGTTTTAAAGTAACTTTCCTTATACAGTTAAAGTAGAGAGGACTTTCTTACTGCACTGGTTCATGTTGAAGGGGCCCATTTGGATGGGTTTCTGTGAATCTCCTGTTTTTTGGAAAACTTTTTTTCTAAGTTCAGTTTCATTATGTGGAAGCTGGCATGAGTGACTCTATTCTGTATTAGTCTGGCCTGATTGTGTCTAGTGCAGGAGCTCAGTCCAAGAAATGACCTCCCATAACTTTTACCTAACACTTCTGCATGACATTCAATAAATCTTGGGTACTCAATAAGATACTGTGGAAATAGCAATTTGTTACTTTCAAGGGTGTCATAAAAACATTTTGGCTTCCGCCTTGCTGTCTCTTAGATTGCTCACTCTGAGGGAAGCCAGCTACTATGTTCTGAAGGCATGTAAGCAATCTTATAGACAGGTCCATGTGGAACCTATCTAAAGTCTCCATCCAGCAACCAGCATCAACTCGCCACCTGTATGAGCAGGCCATTTTGGAAACCAATACTCCAATTCCAGTCAATCTTTAGATGACTATACCCTTGGCTGATAATTTGACTATAACTTACTGTCTCCCTGGCTGACATTTTGACTACAGCTTCATGAGAGACCCCCTAAGACAGAATCATATACCTAAGGTGCTCCTAGGTTCATTACTCACAGATAATATGAGCTGACATATGTTTATTGTTATTTTAGGCCACTAATTTTTAAAGTAACTTGTTATGCAGCAAAAGTTAACAATACACTTGATAAAATGTTTTATAAAAAAATTTAACAGCATTCTTTATATGCAATAATAAAATATTAAAATATTCACTTTAAATTAGGAACAAAATAAGGAATTCTTATATCATCATTCTTTTTCAATATAATATATTAAGAAATCCTAGCCAGCCCAGTAAGGTGAAGGGGGAACTTACAAAGACTGTAAAATCAGAATAAAAACCTTATTATTACAAATGAAAAGTTGTCTCAATAGATAATGAAAAAAATAAACTATTAAAATTAAGACAGTTTAGTAAATTTTTCAGATAGAAAATCAACATATTGATATTCGTTGCAATTATTTACACCAACAGCAAATAGAAACGTAATGAAAATATGCCATTTGAAATATCAACACCCCCAAAAAAGCACTAGGAATAAATTCAACAAAGCATATGTAAGAACTTTTTGTAGGATAACACTTTATTTAGAGGTTATAAATAAAACTTAAATAAATGGGAATATGTGCTGGATGCTTTCTTCCTTTTTCCCTCTAGACCCACTCTCAACTTTTCTCCACAAACTCTTGAAGACAAAATTTATGGATTACATCAATGAGCTCCCTTGAACCCTGGATTCTGGTAGGCATCATCAGGCAAGAAGCACTGGCATGAGATTAGAGAGCAAAAAGAGAATATTCAGCCAACTGTCTTCCTGCTGGATGGCCAAGGAATGATTATATTCCTCTAATGAAGGCCACAGCTTCTGTAAAGTGAGTGGCTCTCTTTTATAGCTAGAGATTTTGCTTCTGGGTTCCAGTAACTACTCTCTCAATCTACTTTCCTTTGCTACTACTTCAGGCACAAGAGTGATAATCATTTATGACTGTTGGTTTTCCATTAATCCTGCTCATTCATTTAAAAACACTTTTATTAAACTCAAATCAATCATCTTGTTTGAGTAAGCCACTTCCTTCCTGCTTAAACTCTGAGTAATAAGTCATTTGTACCAAAGTGACCCCAGGAAATGGGACTCTCGCATTGCATTGCTCATGTATTTAAGGAGAGCACAAATTACTTTCTTGCCCTAGAAACCAATGTCATGTAATGGATTCACAATTACCCAGATTAACACTGGTGGTGGTGTGTTATGAACGCAAATGGAGAGCAGGAAATTGGGAGATCATCTATGGCCCCTCATTTCTTTGATGACAAAAGTGATTATAATAATGCAGGAGACAACAAACAAAGAAAAGAAAAAAATTAAGGCCTTTATTGTTAACTCAGATTGTGAGTGAAAAATTAGAATGACTGTATGACAGCTGGTGACTCAGGACAATTATGGCTGAGATATAAGCCACATATATATATATATATATATATATATATATGTGGCTTATATATATATATATCTCAGACTTAAGATGAGTTTGTTTACATGGAAACAGTCACCTCGGATTCATGATTTAATGTTTTAACTTGAGCTTCTAAGAGTTGCATTAAATCTATGGTGAATTTAAGCCTGGACTTAATGGTGAGCTAGACATGCATTAGAAGAAGATCAAATATCAAGGAGATGGAGATGTTGGACTGGATCTACTTTGAACCTGCTTAGTCACCCATGAACCTTACCCTCATGGAAGGCCCAGAGGATACTGTCTTCACCAAATCATTAAGAAATGCATTGGCAAGGCAGCAGCTTTAATAAGTTCTGTGGTAGCTGACTCTGTAGGTCAGAGATGATGGTAGAGGAGGCTTCACTGGAATTGGGCTCCCTATTTTTAATGAGAATAATTAATAAGATCCTACATGAGAAAGGCCAGGATGTAGAACTTAAAAATCAGCAGCTAAAACTAGGCATAATTGCCATAAAAGTTCACAAGGACAAAGTAGTAATTAGAATATTGACCTGTAGGGATGTGTGGTGATTGTTAATTAATCACACCTAAGGATGGAAAGTTTATTTTTTACTGATTTACATATACAAGAAAAAAAATTCTAGGTCTGGTACCAGTTGTAGCTTATTAACATAGAGAATTGTGATCTCTTACATGATGCCTAGACCTAAGCTATTTTATAGATCTAGAGTCCTTCGATAGAGAAAAAGACCCTACAATGTGACCAGTGCAGTATACTTTAAGTAATAGCTCAAGCCTTCCCCCAAGATGCTTGTGGCCATTTCCCATGATGTTTTTTTCAATACATAAATGGAGACACACGAATCTTCTGGACATAATTAAGTAGTGGAATAACTGATATTAATCCCTAGGTCTGAAATCTTTAACATGTTGTACAAGTCAAAGAGGGGACATATGGCAGTCCAGTGATAGATGAACTGCTGACTCCAGTCTGTATCACAATGAGTCCAGCAAAAGCTCAAACTTATGTTACAATGATTTACCTGGTTCAAGAAGTAAGGCTCAGTTCAGGTATAATAATTAAATAGAACAGTGACTACTCCCACTGCTGCCTCTTACCCCACTTATAGCCTTATGGAAAGTATTCTAAAACCAATGAATGAAAACCAATTAGCTCACACCAGAATCACCTGGAGGACTAGTTAAAACACAGGTTTCTTTTTTTTTTTTTTTTGAACTAGAATTAAATGTGTGCTTTATTTATTTTTTTTTTACTTTAAGTTTTAGGGTACATGTGCACAACGTGCAGGTTAGTTACATATGTATACATGTGCCATGTTGGTGTGCTGCACCCATTAACTCGTCATTTAACATTAGGTATATCTCCTAATGCTATCCCTTCCCCCTCCCCCCACCCCACAACAGTCCCTGGTGTGTGATGTTCCCCTTCCTGTGTCCATGTGTTCTCATTGTTCAATTCCCACCAATGAGTGAGAACATGCAGTGTTTGGTTTTTTGTCCTTGCCATAGTTTGCTGAGAATGATGGTTTCCAGCTTCATCCATGTCCCTACAAAGGACATTAACTCATCATTTTTTATGGCTGCATAGTATTCCATGTTGTATATGTGCCACATTTTCTTAATCCAGTCTATCATTGTTGGACATTTGGGTTGGTTCCAAGTCTTTGCTATTGTGAATAGTGCCGCAATAAACATACATGTGCATGTGTTTTTATAGCAGCATGATTTATAACCCACCAGTTAGAATGGCAATCATTAAAAAGTCAGGAAACAACAGGTGCTGGAGAGGATGTGGAGAAATAGGAACACTTTTACACTGTTGGTGGGACTGTAAACTAGTTCAACCATTGTGGAAGTCAGTGTGGCAATTCCTCAGGGATCTTGAACTAGAAATACCATTTGACCCAGCAATCCCATTACTGGGTATATACTTAAAACACAGGTTTCTAAGCACCACCCCCAAAGTGTCTGCCTTGGTAGCTCTGCGATGGAGGCCACAAATTTGCATGACTGCATTTCCAAGTGATACTTACTACTTTGAGAACTCTTAGCCCTTTATGGTTCAGGTCACCAATTGGTGTTCTTCTAGATAAAGTCCTTCCCAGATATTAGCCTCTTTCCCATGGCATGGGAAGTATTCATTCCTTTCTACTTTGTCTGATTGGTGCAAAAGTTAGATGTCTTCTGGTACACATCAACACAAACAATCAGAGAGTGATGTTAATTACAGCTATCTTTTTAGATGTGGTCTTTTCTAGAGAGCAAAACAACACAGCCCTTGGCACCTAGTATACAGACAGTGACTTGACAATTTTTTTTCCTTATTGCTACCAGCAAAGTTAGTTAAAAGCACTTTGTCTTTATATATTAGGAAAAACAGTATACTATTATGCCCTTGTCACTCATCAGCTCTCCCATTCTCCCTCCATAATATATTCTAAAGGGAGCTTAATTTTTCAAATGGCCTACAAAGTATTTTGCTAGTTCATTTTATTGATGACATTTTCCTCATTGTACCTAATGGGTAAGAAGAAATACATGTATACCTGAGAGAGGGTGATAAATACCCCTGAAATTCAGAGGCCTGATACATAGGTGAAATTTCTGGACCCTCTGATCTACGGCATGTTGGGATCTCTATTATAAAGTAAAAGTCAACTAGTATATTTACTCCCACCAATTAATAAAAAAAAGAAATCCAAGGTGGTGATACTCTGGATTTGGGGGTAATTATAACTTATTCAGCCTTACTGTTTCAAGGTCTTTACTAAGTTAACTGAAAGGCTCGTGGTTTTGAGTAGTACTTTGGAGCAAAAAAAGTCTCTGCAGCAAGTATAGGCTGGAATGCAAGCTGCCCTGTCCCTTTAAACTTATGACCCACAATCATACCTGTTTTGGAAAGATCTGTAGTGGAGAAATGCCAAATAAAGCTTTTAGCAAGCCCCAGTATAAGAACTGCAGTGCAGGCCCTGAGAGGTTTGGAGTTAGGCCATGTTCTCTTTGCCCTCTTTCCCTGACAACTATATGCCATCTGAAAAGCAGTCCCTGGTTTGCTACTGGGCTCTATGAATACATAACCATGTGACACCAAGTATCTACACAATAGAAACTACCTGTTAGGTACTTGGCATTATGTAATTTACCAAATCATAAAATTGGAACATTTTCAGCAGCCGTTGCATTGTAAGATGGAAATAGCATGCAATCCAGCACGGGCAGTTTCCGAATGCGTGGGTAAACTGCACAAAGTGCTTCGGATTTCAGTGCCCACTCCCACTGCTGCCTCTTACCCCACTTACAGCCTCATGGAAGGTGTTCCAAAACCAATTAATGAAAAATAAAACAGGACTGACCTGGCTGGTAAATAAATCTGTACAATGTTCTGCCATGAGTTAAAATAAAGGAAAGATAAAGACAGTAGTGAAGGGCTATCTTCCCAGTGCGTTCATTGCTCACGTGAAATAGAGATGGCCAATGGTAAAGACCGACATCAACTTACAGCCAGTGCTATATACTGGCTGGTTAGTCAAGGACAGAAAAAAAACAAAACTGACAAACTGGTAACAACAAAGACTGAGACTGAAGTAAGGTGATGAATACCTTGGTGCAGCATATAAAGATGATCATGTGCCACATAAATGCCCACCAGAGGGTATCCACAACCTAGGACCTTCTTAAGAATTAGACAGACAATAAAAAAAAAAAAAAAAGAATTAGACAGACAAGATCTTTCTCTGATGTCAATCAGTCTCTTTCCCTTGCCACTCTTCTCTTTGCTCAATGGAGTCATGTATGACAAGGCCCTAATGATATGTGTAGTGGTTATACATAGCTGAACAAACGATCCCCATTGTTAAGTGCAAAACCTGCTAAGAGCGGACACACAAATGGAGCCTTAAATGGCACCATTTCCTAAGGAAACCTGCTAGCCACCTGATGGCTGATTGCAGACATACACAATCATACATGGAGTGAAATTGCTGGTTCATATGGTCAAAGTATTTTAGCTTTATTACAGATTAGTTGGCAGTTTTGCAAGGAGGTAGTACAATTTTAGATTCTTAACATGAGAGTTCCAGTTGCTCTACATTCTCACCAATCCTTGCTTTTCAGGCTTTTCATATATGAGCCTGTTTGGTATATGTAGTTTTTTAAATTATTATTTTAAAATCTTATTATGCATGTAATTTGCATTAGCCATGAAAATTGAGAAGCTTTTCATATGCTTATTGCCATATGGATATTTCATTTTCTAAGTGTCTGTCCAAATATTTTGGTCATTTTTAAAAAGTATGTTGCTTTGTTATTATTGATTTATAGGGTTTATATATGCTGGATATACATTCTTTGTCAGCTATATGCTTTATGAATAGTTTTCTGAATCTGTGGATTTTCCTTTTATTTCCTTAAGTTTATCTTTCTGTGAGCAGAATATTTTAATTTTAAGCCTAACTTTTCCACTTTTTTTAATGGATAGGCCTTATTTGCCCTGAAGAAACACTTGCTACACCAGGAAATTTGGGTATGTTTTCTTCTAAAAGCTTGAAAGTTTTTAGCTTTGACATTTAGATTTATGTCGAATTAATTTTAGTGTAAGGAATAATGTAGATGGTCAATGTTAACTGATTTTTTAAGCCTTTCTTTTTTCATTTTGACATATTTTTTCTCCAGAAATATCTGTATTTTAAATTGAAGAACACTGCATGGGCAACATGGTGAGACCCTGTCTCTAAAAAAACTAGTTCTAGCTATCATGAGCCTGAGGTGGTAGAATCACTTGAGCCCAGGAGTTTGAGGTTATAGTAAGCTATGATCCTGCCCTTATACTCCAGCTTGGGCAACAGGGTGAGACCCTGTCTCTAACAAATAGATAGATGATGATAGATAGATAGATAGATAGATAGATAGATAGATAGATACATACATACATACATACATACATACATACATACATACATAGCTGATGATAGACAGATTAGATAGATAGATGATAGAGAGATAGATAGATATAGATAGAAAGATAGAAAGAAATAACTCTCCCTTATCCCATTAAACTGCATTGGTGCATCTGTCAAAATCAAGTAATTGTACACTCTCTTTAGTTCTATTGATGTATTTGTCTGTCTGTGTACTAATACTCATTGACTTAATTAATGTTGTTTTATTCTGCCTGAAAATATGGTCTTTTTTTTTTTTTTAAGAATTGCCTTGACTCTTCTGCATTTTTGAATAAAATACAGAATAAACTTTTTCAGTTCTAGAATTTAAAAACCTGCTAGAATTTGGAGTTATACAGCTATGAATTCATATATTAATATCAGGAGAAATGGCATCTTAACATTCTGACTTCCAATTTATGACATTATTTTTCATTTTATTTAGTTTCTTAATTTCTTTCAATAATTTTCAATGTACAGGTCTTACACATGGTTCTTTAAAATTATTAGTCAGTATTTTATGGTTTTGTGGTTTTTTAATTGCTATTTTAAATGGTATTATTTCCCCATTTTATTTTCCGATTTTGTGTTACTATACCTATATGAGACCATTTGACATTCTCCTACAGGGCTCTGATCACCAATTTAAAAATCATTATTTCTTTTTCCTCTCTGTGCTTCAGTTTAGAGAATTTCAAATGACCTTATTTGAAGTCAATAAATTTTAGTTTCTGTGTCCAGTCTACTTTTAAGACAATCAGATTATTCACTTCTAATATTACATTTCTCAGTTCTAGAATTTCCTATTTTAGTTTTCCTTTTCTCTGCTGAAATTCTTCATCTATATACCAATTCATCCATTTTTTCTTCTAAATTACTGCACTTTAATTTTTTTCATCTACTAATTCCTATAATTGTATCATCTATAGTTCTGCTTCTTTTGGCTTTTTAACTTTTTTTTAAATAATTTAATCTAATTTTATTGCCTTGAACATGTTTTGACAGCAGTAGCCCTCTCTCACCACTCCTATTTAACATAGTATTAGAAGTTCTGGTCAGGGCAGCCAGGCAAGAGAAAGAAATAAAGTGTATTGAAATAGGAAGACAGGAAGTCAAATTGTCTCTGTTTGCAGCTGACATGATTGTATAGCTAGAAAACCCCATTGTCTCAGCCCTAAATCTCCTTAAGCTGATAAGCAACTTCAGCAAAGTCTCAGGTTACAAAATCAATGTGCAAAAGTCACAAGCATTCTTATACACCAATAATAGACAAACAGAGAGCCAAATCATGAATGAACTCCCATTCACAATTGCTACAAAGATAATAAAATACCTAGGAATCCGACTTACAAGGGATGTGAAGGACCTCTTCAAGGAGAACTACAAACCACTGCTTGAGGAAATGAGAGGACACAAACAAATGGAAGAACATTCCATGCTCAAGAATAGGAAGAATCAATATCATGAAAATGGCCATACTGCCCAAAGTAATTTATAGATTCAATGCTATCCCCATCAAGCTACCAATGACTTTCTTCATGTAATTAGGCTTTTTAACTTTTTATCAGGAATCACATTGTCTTAACACTTTTCATGTCTTCTAGTTTTCTATTGCATGCCACAATTTAAATACAAAATAGCAGCAAACACCCAAGTTGGTAAGTTCTTCCAGAAAGGACTTGCTTTGTTCCTTTGTCATTGAGCTAGAGGCTTACATCCTCAATTTAATCAGTAGTTTAGAAGACTTGAGTTCTGTCTTTAAAAGCTTCCAGAATGGGATCAGGCCCCACCCTTCAGCAGGTCTTAAGCAAATTCTTTCTATTTTCCAACCTGTCTGCCATCAGTTTTTCAGAACCACTGCTTAGTCACCCAGATTCCTTATATGGAGAAATTCATTAGCAGCCCTGTCAGCCAATTTGCACTGGTAAAAATCTCAGCTTGCCTCTCCCTTTGGCATTAATGCTGCTTTGCTTATAATGGTCTAACTTTTCCACCCAAGTATTCCTATAGACTCAACAACTGCATTCAGAAATGAAGGATGTTGCAGTCTCTGCTCATCTCTAAAGGTCTCACATATTTCTAAAATTATTTTATTTAGGCCAGGCATGGTAGCTCAGGCCTGTAATCCCAGCACTTGGGGAGGCCAAGGTGGGTGGATGGCTTGAGCCTAGGAGTTAGAGACCAATCTGGACAACAAGGTAAAACCCCATCTCTACAAGAAATACAAAAAATTAGCCAGGTGTGGTGGCATGCAACTATAGTCCCAGCCTCTCAGGAGGCTGTGGTGGGAGAATCATTTGAATCTGGGAGGTTGAGGCTGCAGTGAGTCATGATGTCACCCCTGCACTCCAGCTTGAGCAACAGGAGTGAGACGCTGTCTCAAAAAATACAAAAAAAAAAAAAATTTACTTAAATTTCTTTGTGCCCATAGCTTTTTGGTGGTTTTAAATATATGTGTGTGTGGGTATATATATATGTGTGTGTGTGTGTGTGTGTGTGTGTGTGTGTGTGTATCATGTTATATGTTTTTTCTTAATCTTATGGAGTGATCAATTGTATTTTGTGACCATTTATAATTTAACTGAGATCATAACTCCAAGAGATATGTTTTATATTAATCAATTTATCTCACACTCTTTACCTATTTCTCACTAATATCTTAAATGAAGAGCAAAAAGCAGTATTTCAGGAAGAGAGATGACTGGACTGGAATGATCTCAGGATAATATAGTAGCTGTTGGAACTTGACATGGGAATATATATTTTTCAACAGAACAAAGGGCAAAAGTTAACTCTAAGGAGGAAAATAGCTGAATATCTACCATTTGCCCTAGCAGATTACTTTCACATTTCTCTACCAGGCTGTATGCTCCAGAAAATTGTTTATGGATTCCATCAATAAGCTCCCTCACACACTTAATACCAACTGTATTTAGTCACTTATAAGAGGCCATGATGGTAATGGGAGGAGGGCACATCTTAGCCTTCCAGAATGCCTGGAATGTACTATATTTTGATCCCATGGTGGTTACAAAAGTGTATACATATGTAAACATTAACTACACTGAACACTTAATATGTGTACACTTCACTGTATGTAAGTTCTAACTGAATTAAAATAGTATTAAAATATATTTATAACAAACATTCTATTTAGTAGTAAACTATGAAATAGAAAACAAAAGATATGCACTATCACTACCTCTATGTAACATTGTACAACACTGTGAAAAGTCCTTGCTATTGCAATATGACAAGAAAAAGAAAATGCATAATGTTTGTAAGAAATAGTTTATTATTCACACATAATGTCATTAGGTATCTATAAAACTCATAACAAACTATGAAAAATAGAATTAAAAAGATAATTTATTAATAGATTAAAAAGTCAATATATAAATAAATGTTTTTATGCAACAACAGATACAATTACATACTAATTTTTTAAAGAATGATTATTCTTACTTTAGCAGCAAGAACTGTCAAACACAGTAAAACTAAAAGTTGTGTAAGATATAGACACAGAAAAGCCATGAAACATTACTGAGGGAAATTAAAGATGGTCTTTGTAAGTAAATGGAGCTTTATGAATTGCAATATTCAAAATTGTAAAGATGCCAATTATCTCCAAATCAATCAACAAATTAAAGAAAATCTCATAATATGTGTATATGTCTAAAATCATAGCCTGGACTATTCACAAGTGTTGCTCAAAGATCAACTGTATGTATGCATACAACTGTATTCTTCTCCCACTTCTTGCTTACCTTTTCACCCAGTAATGGTGTCTTACTAAATTTAAAATTTTTAAATTTTAAATATATATTATAACAATTAATATTTAATACATATTAAATCTATATATTGTGATAGCAAAGGCATGGAATCAACCTATGTGCCCACCAATGATGGTTTGTATAAAGATAATGTGACACATAAACACCATGAAATGCTATGCAGCCATAAAGAAGAATAAAATCATGTTCTTTGCAGAAACACAGATGCAAATAGATGTCATCATCCTAAGCAAATTAACACAGAAACAGAAGCCAAATACCGCATGTTCCCACTCAAAAATGGGAGCTAAACATTGAGTGTTCATGGACATTAAGATGGCAACAATAGACATTGGGGACTGCTAGAGGGAGAAGGACGGAATAGGGGCAAATGTTGAAAACTATAGGTACTATGCTCACTACCTGGTTGACAGAACCAATCATACCCCAACCATCAGCATCACACAATACACCCATGTAACAAACCTGCACACATACCCACAAATCAAAAGAAAATAAAATAAAAGTTGAAATTATAAATAAAATAAAATCATAAGCTCTTTCTTACATACATGAGAGAATGTAATGGGTCAAGAATAAAAAAGACAAATTTGTGGAAGCAAAACAAAATTGGAAGAATTTTATTACCAGATATGAAAACTTTATGTAAGCTACACCTATTAAGATCATGTAGTGTTGGGGTAAGACAAACTAATGCATCAAGAGAGTGGAATAGAGAATCTAAAAAAGACTGTACACATATATGGTCACTTGATTTATATCAAAGGAGAGTCTGTGTTATAGTGTGGAGAGAATTATTTTTTCAATAACCAATGCTGAATCAATTGAATATCTGCATAGAAAAATATTGAATCTTGACATATTCCTCATGTTATTTGCAAAATGAATTTCAGAAGTACTGTAAATATAAATGCAAATTTTAAATAAGCAATAAGACTTCTGGAAGAAAATGTATTAGAGTATCTTTATAGTCTTGGGGTTGGCAATGATCTCTTATAATAAACATAAAAATATAAAACATGAAATAAAAAATCGATGGATAAACTACATTAAAATGTTAAATATCTATTAATTAAAAGACATCATTACTGAGTGAAAAGGTAAACAAGAAGTGGGAAAAGAATACAGTTGTATGCATACACACAGTTGATCTTTGACATGTTTGAACTGCACGATTCCACTTATATGCAAATTTTTAAAATATATTGGAAAATTTTTTGGAGATTTGAGACAATTTGAAAAAATGTGCAGATGAACCACGTAGCCTTATTTTAAAATTAGAATTTTTTAAAAGAACAGAATTATTTTAAAAAATTAAGAAAAGGTATGTCATGACTGCATAAAATGTATAAAAATCTATTTAGATACTATTTCATCATTTACTACCATAAAATATACACAGATATAAACAGTTAAAATGTATCAAATTTTATGCATATAAACATAGACTGTACATACAATCATTTGTGGTCAAGAGAAATGTAAACAAATGTAAATATGAACTATAGGACCTACTACTGTATAAAAAGAACTACAGGGCCTACTACTGCATAAAATGAACTATAGGACCTACTACTGTAATAATTTTGTAGCTATCTCCTATAGGTTAGCATGCAGTTAGCTCAAGTGCTGTGAGTATCCACTTAAAATACTACATGATGTTAATCATTTCTGCATGAGCAGTTTCTCTCTCTAGTAAATTGTATATCACATCAAAAAGTGATCTCTCATAGTTCTCATGTATTTTTCATTGTACTTAGTTCAATACTATAAACCTTGAATAACACCACAGGACCCTTATGAAATGGCTCTACTGATGCTGGAGGACTTAAGCAGAGAAAAGACATGACATTACAAGAAAAAGTTGAATTGCTTGATATGTACTACGGGTTGAGGTCTGCAGCTGCAGTTTCCTGCAGTTGTCTGCAGCTGCAGACAGATGATTTGCCTTGTAAGCAGACAGAGTATTAATACAATGCAGTAGTATAAATATATTTTCTCTTCCTTATAATTTCCTTCATAACCTTTTCTTTAGTTTCTTAACTGTAATAATTTGGTATATAATACATACAACATAAAAAATACACGTTAATTGACTGTTTATGGTATCAGTAAGGCTTCCAGTCTACAGTAGGCTATTAGTAGTTAAGTTTTGGGGGAGTCAGAAGTTATACATGGATTTTACACTTTAGGGGTGATTGGTGTCCCTTAGCCTTCACGTTGTTCAAGGGTCAACTATGTAAGTGTGTGTCTGTATGTGTGTATAACTACATGTATGTATGACATGCATCCAGAATATATGAATAACTATTATGAACCAATAAAAGGAAGACAACCAAGTAAGAAAGTGAACACATTGAATAGACAATTTATAAAAGAGAATATCAAAATAGCCAATACATTTAAAAAATGCTAATTTTTTTAGTCCTTGAAACCACAATGAGACCACAACTCATCTGCCAAATGGCTAAAATAAAAAATAAAATTAAAACAATAAAAGACAGTGTCAAACGTGGGCGATACTTTGGCACAATGGAAACCCTCAAGTACTATTACTGGCAGTGTACATTTGTGCAGAAACTTTAGATAAATTTTGTGGCAGTTTCCACTCAAGTGGAATAAAAGCATAGGTGATGACTCATTGGTTCCATTTCCATGCAATACGGACTTACGTGCAAAGAAAGATGTGTACAAGAATATACATAAGAGCACTACTAACAATATCCCTAAACTAGAAACAATCCAAATGTTTAATTGTGGGTTGATAAAGTGTTATGTAGCCATGGGACAGAATATCATACAATGAAAATGATACAAATATGTTTAGATCCAAGAAGGATTAATGTAGCAAGCACATACAGATGATCCCTGACTGTTGATGGTGTGATTTATGAGTTTTTGATTTTACAATGGTGCAAAGTGATACACATCAAGATTCTCCTCAACTTATGATGATATGTGTGAATAAAGCCATTGTAACTTGAAAACATTTCAAGTTACTACGGGTTTACTCAGACATATTTATCTAAAGTTTCTGTACCAGTTTAGACTCCCAAGACATTGTTTTCAAGTTACAATTTAAGAAACACAATTTCCACCTATAAAATTTTCAATTTATGAGAGATTTATCAGGATGTAACCTCATCATAAATTAAGAAGGATCTGTGTATACTACTTTCTTGCCTATGACTTATTTTGCTTAATACAGATGTTCTTCAACTTGCAGTGAGGTTGTGTCACAATAAACTCATTTTAAACTGAAAATATTGTAAGTTGAAAACACATTTAATACATCTAACCTAGCAAACATTATCGCCTAGCCTATCTTAAGTGTATTCAGAACACTTACATTATCCTCCAATTGGGCAAAATCACCTAACACAAGGCCTATTTTGTAATAAATCCTGAATATTTTATGTAATTTATTGAATACTGTACTGAAAGTAAAAAACAGATGGTGTGTGGGTACTCGGAGTATGGTTTCTATAGAAAACTTACTGCTTTCACAACATCTAAAGTAAAAAACTCATAAGTCAAATGATTGTAAATTGAGGACTGTCTGTGTTTTATGACAATGTAAAGTTCAACAATAGGGCACTGCTAATCTTTTTCTGTATCTTAAACTATCTGATGTACAATTATGACATGTAATTTTCTATATGTATAATATATAAAGTTTTACTGAAAAAACATACATTTGCACATTTGCACATACATTTGCACATTTCTAGATATCTATTTCCTAGGAATCCATATAATGAAAATTAAATATCAGCCAGCACCTAAGAACATATATATAAAGATGTTAATTGCAATATAATTTTTTAAAAAGTAAATGCCCTTCAATACGGAACTGTTGAATAAATAATAATATGTGCACATAGTGATTACTATGCAGCCACTAAAAAGAATTTTACTTGTAAGGATTTAATGAAATATCATCATGTGAATATGTCACAGGATCCTTCAGGTGTTGCTTCACCAGCCAGAAACCTTTGTGGCCAGCAGAACCTCAGCTCGAGTTTTTCTTGTGCCCTCTGGGCTCATTCTGCACACTCGGCCCGACAGGCTGCATTTAGCTTACGCTACCAGCTCGTATCCCACGCCTGCCAAGGGAGAGTCAGGCATGGAGCGGCAAGAAGTGTGTAAGCGAGTGGGTGCGGAAGCCGGCCACTGTGCACAGCCAGGCATTCTGGCTGCTGTGGTGGGGTGGGAAGCTCCAGGCACTGGCACATGTGCCAGCTACATGCAAGACTGAAGCTGGAACAGACATAGAGCAAGCACCCTCTGCTGTGGGCACCAGCATCTGGACAAGAGGAATGCAATGGCACTTGAAAGCTCGGAGACGCCACAAACCACAGAGCCCCAGAGAGGATGTTACAACATGTCACAGCCCTGACCTGGGGAGCCCTGAGGTCTGGGGTTTCAGAAGGGCTACAGCTCTTCTTTCCTTCTTGTCACCTGCAGCGCAGCGAGCTGGGTGGCAGGCAGGGTGGAGGGCATGTTTCAGGAGGAGTATTTAAGTCCGTTTGTGTAACAGTTCTTTCAGTCCTTCTGCCCTCAGCCAGGCCTGCAGCTCCTGGGCTGGCCAAGCCCTGCCACTGCTTCTTGTTGCAAGAGGTGCCTGCCCAGTGCTGGCAAAGGGCCAGAGAGCTATAGTGTTACAGCAGCTCTGGCTTGGGGGAATCCTGAGGTATGGGCCCCCAGCAGAGTCACCACCCTTCACTCCCACAGTCTGGGAGTGTGTCACTGCCTGCAGCTCAATAAGCCATCCAGGAACCTATTACAGCCCCTTTAGCTGCCACTGGCACCTCTGCGAGCCAGCCAGGAATGTGTTACAGTTCCTTTCATTCCTGGTGTTTAGCAGGTCCCAAGTTCTTGTCCTATGTCCAGGAAGAATGAGGTTGTGTGGACAAATGGAAGGTGAGCAAGGGAGAAAGCTTTATTGATAGAACACCTCTCAGCAGAGAGGAGACCTGAAGTGGGTGGCTCCTATCTGCAAGCAGGTCTTGCTGATGAATATCTGAGTCTGACTAAGTCCAGGGGTTTTTATGGGCTCAAAAGAGAGGAAGGTCATGCTTATTGATCCATGGATGGGAGGAAGTATGTGCTGATTGGTCCATGGGCAGCCATGGGCAGGCCTGGAAAAAGCACCATCTCGTCACAGAAGGCATCAAGGAAGTTCTCACTCCAGGTTGTGGACTCCACTGGGAACTGGAAGCCCAGTGCCCAGGCTTCAGGCTGTCCCTGGCTTGAAGGTGGGATTTCACAGGGGAACAGCCCCCTCCCGCCTAGGAACCTGTCTGCCTCCCACTGCCATCAACATGCCATCCACAGAGTCCAGGATGTCTGCACCGAGGGGCACCCACAAACCCATACTAAGCCACCCTCAGCCCCCTGGGCTCCCTCCCATGACCGTCAGCACCCAATGTTTTAGCCTCAGAAGCAGTTTCCAGAGGAGGCCAAGCCAGCAGGAGACTGGTATGTCAGCACCACCCTAAGTGCACACATGCCCAGCTGGGTAGCAAGAGTGCCTGGGCTCAGCTATCGGGACATGTCCACAACTTTGTTCTGCTGCAGAGTAGCACTGGGAGCAGGGAGAGGCCAGGGAGTGGGAGCAGGCACTTCCAAGCCTGTGGGTGCAGGGGTCTTCCTAGGCCCCCGAGAGTACAGGGATGACTGGATCCAGAGCTGTGACTGGGTGGCTGCAGCTGCACCCAGGAGCACAGTCTCTGCCAACTAAATAGGGTGTGGGGCTCCCACTGGGATCACCTGTTCCCAGCGCCTGTCATCTTTGCAGATCGCGCAGCCCTGGCTGTGCCTCCCCTGCTGCAGCTGATGTCCTTGCAGCTGCCACTCCAGATGGGCCACTACTGCCATCAAATAGATCAAGATGCTGAAAAATGAGGAAATACATATAGAATATCATTCATTTTTTAATAAAAATAATCAAAGAGTTACATCTTTAAGCATATATATGACTATGTATTTCATATAATATATATTTTATATATTATTGTGAGATTGTGGAGAAATTTTGAGTAGTGCCTACATTCCTGGATAGAAGGTGATGATTGATATGAGTGGAAAGATGAATAAAGGAAAAGAATTAGAAAATCTAAATAAAAAATACAACACCAATATATATGACTAAATTAATTTATTTTCTGTCACAGTGAATAAACATATATGTATATATAATGATAAAATAGAAAGATGAAAGTATAAAGAACTTTAAAGAAAGTATGAAAGACCAAAAGTAAGTACAGAGAAAAATTACAGGCCAACCTTATTCTGACCATAGAGGCAAAATATGTTTTAAAATATTAGCAAACCAAATTGAAATATTTGTTTTAAAAAATATATCATGGCCATATCAAGTTGTCCCAATAATGTAAAGACAGTTTATATTTTAAAATAAACATGTAACTTGCTATATTTAGAAATTAAAGAAAAAGAAATAAACCATTATGTCAAATATATGAAAAGCATTTGTAATATTCATTAATGGTAACAATTGATAGCAAACTAATAATAGATGGCAACTCTTTCAGCCTAGTATAAGACATCTACCAAAATTTTACATCAGTTATTATTAATAATGGAAACATAGGAGAAGTATTGATAATGGAGACATATGATATCAGCAAAATGGCAGAAGAGGAGTTCCCTGGTATAACTCACCCCACTAAAGTACAACTAGCAATTATCAGTAGACAAGAATACCACCCTGAACTTGCCAGAACTCTGAGGAGAAGCAGAAAACCCCTGTGGGTTTGAAAAATGACAAAAGCTGCAACTAATAAGAGGGATGGCTATTTCAGACTTCACTACCCCTCCCCTAAACTAACATAATGCCACTTACAGAGAATTCCTATCAACCCATAGTTTCTCAGGTGGGAGGAGGGAATTGAAGGTGGATATTTGATCTCCTCACTGGTCCAGCAATCTTCCCAGGAAGATGGGAAATGCTTTAGTCTCATCTGCTGGAAGCACTGGAAGTGCCAGTAGGGCTCCAGTCCCATCTCATGGAAGCACTGGGAGTGCCCATAGGGCCAAACCACCTGGGGTAAATTGGAGACAAAGATCAGGAGCACTGATTGCAGTGACTGGTGTGCAGATCTTAGTGGCTACTCTACCACTGATCGGGGGGTCATCATGCTGAGGAGACTAACCAGCACAATTACAGTGCAGGGGGCATGGTTCATGTGTCTCCTAGGCCAAAGTTTCTGGCTGGCTTTCACACATGGTTCAGGTGCTCTTCTTGAGTCTTACCCTGACTAGGAAGCAACTAAAACTTCAGTAATTATTTTTCAATGTTCAGATTAAGTCTTCTCCAGAGTTGAAAAGAACTTCAAGTCATTGGTTTAGCTCTGGTGCAGCATTTGAGGTCTGGTGCTCACTATAAGTGTTCCCCAGAACAGAACTTAACTGCAGGCCAGCAGTTAAATTCTGACATTAAATAGTAAAAGTTTAATGCCACAAAATAATATCTTCACAAGATAAAAGTGGTGACTGTCTCCTTAAATCCACAAGCATTAACATAAACACACAATGATTGTGAAAAATCAGGAAAATATGATACCACTGTAATGCCAAAGGTCCTTGCCTTAGCCACACCAAAGAATTGGTGTGGCAGCTGCCCGTGAGAAGTGACAGAGACACAGACTGATAGAGAAAGCTGTAGGCTTTATTCGGCAGAGTGAAAGCATAAAGCTTCCACAGCGTGGAAGGGGTCTCGAACGGGTAGACAGAGTTAGATTATGCAGTTGCCTTTTAAACTCTTTGAGGTGGGAAATATGTGCAGAGAGAAGACGTTACCAGAGCGAGAAACAAAGGCAGTAAATTATTTTGTGACATGTCTTAGATTTTGAGGAAAACTGGAATTGCAACTTAGGTTTTATCTACTTTATGACCTTGCAGTGACATGGCAAAGGAGACAGGATCTCACATGACTTTACAAAGTGTGTTTACAAGGAATTGGAATTAGGAGCATAGGTAAGGTCCACTGGTCCTTATCTACCCATTAGAAAAATGGGCATTTAACATTCCTTTTAGTTTTAGGGGAGGAGGAAGGGAGAAAGGGAGAGAGGGCACAGGGAAGCTTACAGCAAAATTTTCTCTGTTTATAGCTTTTTTGGGGAAGAAAACACATGCACAAATCCTCATGTTAGGAATATTTTAAGCATATATCTTCAATATTATCCAGGACCGAAGTAAGTCCTGACGCAGGAAATGAGTGAGTTTCACAGCTTTCTGAGCCCCTACTTGACCCAGGAAGCCCAGCTGGCCCCTCCTTTCACCACCAAGGTAAACAAATAAAGCTCCCATAATGGATTCAGAAGAATTGAAGATCTATGAACTGACTGACAAAGAATTCCAAAAGATCCTCTTAAAACAATTCAGGGCATCACAAGAAAATATGTTTAGAAAATTAAATAAATTTTAGAAAACAATTTATGGTGTTCACAAAAACATTTGACAGAGGAATAGAAATAAAGAAACAAATTAAAACCCTAAAACTAAAAAATATAATAGCTGAATTGAAAAACTCAATAGAAAGCCTTGAAAGCAGACTTAAACATAGGAAAGCATCAGTAAGCTCAAAGGACGTATAAAATTGTTCAAGTAGGGAAGTAAAAATAATAAATAAAAATAAACACCACGGGAATCATGGGACACCATCAAGTGATCTAAACTTCACATAATGTAAAGTTCTTGAAAGAGGTAAGAGAGAAAAAAGCCTAGAAATAATATTTTTAAAAATAATGACTAAAACTTTTCTGTATCTGGGGAAAAATAACAACATACAGGTACAGGAAGCTCAGAGATCACCAATCAAATGTAAGACAAAGAATAATTCCCCAACAAATCCTTAAAAATCAGAGACAAAGAAAGAATACTGAATGTAGCAAGAGGAAAAAACATGTCACATTCAATGGAGTACCAGTACAACTTTCAGTGGATTTCCTGGCAGAAATCCTACAAACTAAGAGAGAGTGGGATGATACATTCAAAGCACTGAAGAAAAAAAAAAAACCTTCCAACCAATGATACTTTACCCACAAAAACTATACTTCAAATTAAAAGAGAGATAAAGACTTTTCCAGACAAACAAAAGCTGAGGAAGTTCATCACTACCAGACCTGGCTTACAGGTAACACTCCAGGCTGGAGAAAAAAAAAAAAAACAACATTAATAAGTAATACAAAAACATCTGAAAAATATAATACTTACTCGTCAAAGTATGCTAATAGCCAAATTCAGAAAACTCTAAAAGTGTAATGATGGTAGGTAAATCACTTAATATTCTTAGTGTAATGGTTAAGTGATAAAACACTGAAAAATAATAGTAAGTATGATTCTATTTTAAAGAATATGCCATATAAAAATGTAAATTGTGACATGAAAAGTTCTAAATATGGGGTGACAGTAAACTTAAAATATAACTTTTTTTAAGAGATCAAGTTTAAGTTGATAGAAGCCCAAAATAACCTATTCTAACTACAAGACACTGTCTGTAATCCTTATGGTAACCAGGAAGCACAAAACCTGCCTTTAGTTTAGTAGATAATGTAAAAATAAAAGGCAAGGAATCAAAGTAGAATACTAGAGAAAATCACAACCATCAGGGAAGACACTAAGAAGGAAAGTAATAAAGAATCTACAAAATGACAGTAAAATAATTAACACAATGGCAGTAGTCGGTTATTACCAATCAATAATCACACTGAATACAAATGTATTAAATTCTCCAATTAAGACACAGAATGACTGAATGGATAAAAAATAAAGACCCAACAATATGTTGCATACAGGAGACTCACTTTACCTGTAAGAATACTCACAGATTGAAAGTGAAGGGATAGAAAAAAATATTCCATGCAAATGAAAACCAGAACAGAGCTGGGACAGCTATACTTATATCAGATAAAATAGACTTTTCAGGTTAAAAATTTGAAATTTTCTTTTCCTCTTAAAAAGAGGCAGAGAAAGTCTTTATATAATGATAATGGTATCTATTCAATATATATGTACCCAGCATAGGAGCACCTAAATATATGGAACAAATATTAATAGACCTAAAGGGAGAGATAGACTACAATACAATAATAGTAGGAAACTTCAACACTCCATTCTCAGCAATTGACAGATGATCATCCAGGCAGAAAATCAACAGAGAAACACTAGATTTAAACTGTACTCTAGACCAAATGGATGTAACAGACATTTATAGAACATTCCATCCAATAGCTACTGAATACACATTCTTCTCAAGTGCACACAGGACATTTTCCAGGATACATTATATGTTAGGCCACAAAACATATCTTAACAAATTTAAGAAGACTGAAAACATCACCAGCATCATTTTTAACCGCAATGGTATAAAACTAGAAATTGATAACAGGAGGACATTCAGAAACTTTACAAATACATGAAAATTAAACAACATACTATTGAATAATCAATGAGCGAATGAAAAAAGTAAAGGAGATATTAGAAATAGTCTCTGTAAAATCAGGGATAAGTCAAGAATATGCTTATTGAATGTATGATGACTACTAAAGTTTCTAAACAGTGTAGCAAGTTAAGAAAAGAGAGAAGAAGGACATTGCCGTCTTTCAAAATGATGAAACTGGTAACATATAAAGGGCAAAATCTAAGAGAAAATTATAATTAAAAAAGGTTTATTTAATATAAACATGATAAACTTATGTCAAACTTATGCCTTAAAGGTAAAGACAAAAGTTCTATTTCTTATCTTTCAAGGAGCCTTGACTTCAGGAGGATAATAAAATTTCACAAGTCATTGAAGTCTGGCATAGCTTTGTCTTTTCCAGTTTATTCAGGACGTCGCACATCTACAATTGCTAAAGTACTAGTATGTAACTACACCTTCTCAGCAATAAGTTATGTATTAGGAGTTAGAGACACAAAGTGTTGCCCTCAAAGAATTTACCATATATTATGGGGAAGATTCATAAGTGGTGTAATACAATAAAATGTTTAGACAATATTATAAATGTATGTTCACAATACATTGGAGGCATAAAGATGCTAATAAGTTGGCCTGAGCTGATTAAGAGATGTCTTTACAAAGGATTTGGAGCTAAGTTGGGAGACAGATTGGGAAATGGCATTCCAGGCAGAAGAAATAGAGGCATATCATTGAAATATGAGGTGACTGAAATATTTCAAAGAAGCATGGGTGTAAGAGGAATGTGGAAAGTACCTCATGAGAGAAAGAAAAAAGAGCTGGATTATAGAGAGTTATTTGTAGCATAATAAGCCACATAGACATTGACCAAAGGCTATGGAGACCCATTCAACAGGCTTAAGCAGAAAAGACCTCAGATTTGTATTTTAATAACATAGAATTGAAGGTAGGGTAATAAAGGCAAGGAAGAGATAGCTATGGCACAAAAAGGAGGTGAACTGAAAATATATGTGGCTCTGGTTTGGGGACAAAGATGATGAGAAGAGTTAGCAAATCAATTAATCTGATGCACCTGTAGGATCACCAGGCTAAGATCATTAGACCTGCAACAGGAAGGGATGGGGCAAGGGTTGAAAAACTATTGGTAGTATGCTTACAACCTGGGTGATGGGGTCATCCATACCATATACATCAGCATCACACAATATACCCATGGAACAAACCTGCACATGCACCCTCTGAATCCAAAATAAAAGTTGAAAAAAAAATAGTATCTGACATAAGGTGTTTATTATTTCACATAAATCTGTAAGCCCATTTCCCCCTCTTTCTCAAAGATAGTATTCATTTGACCTTGGGTGGATATATTTTTTATGTTAAGTCAAGCAGATGATCTCCTGGAAACATATAATTGGTTGAGAAACCACAAATTAGTCTCTATTGATAATTTGAACTTAATATGTAACCTTGGGAGTTATAATGTGATCATGCCTTGTAGCTTTCTTTCTTTTGGTCAAGGCCCAGCTATGCTGTATTTCTACCTTTTACTCATAAATTCTTATATTTAATGTTTACATTTTTCCTTGACTTGGTTTGTGTTTCTTTGAACAAAAAAACTCAATTTATACAATACATATGAGTTAAATCTCTTGATTGTAGCAAATGTTTCAGTATTACTTGAATGTAAAGGTGACTACAGTGAACTGTTCAACATTTCTATCAATAATATTTTAGTTCTTAATTATGAGCAGAAGAGAATAAAATCAGATAGAAGGCTGAGTAGTTCATGCAAAGCAGACCTACCTCAAAGTTGTCTCTTTTATAAAGACTTCTTAAATGCTCAATATACACAGCTATTCAATGTCCTCCTTTTTGGCTCTCAAAACATTGGGTCTCAGATATTTAGATGTTCTTGTCCAGTTAAGAGCAGAGAATCTAAATATATCCCAGAATTTCCCACCTTATCATCTATATCACCATATTTCCATAAAGTAAAGAATTATCTTCACTTAAAAAAAATCAGGAAAAGGCTGATCTGAAGATGATGAGTTATCTCAATTGATTGTTCAGCCAGTTACAGATCCAACTCCTTGCTCTATTCTTTCCTCTCTTCTCACTACTGCACTTGGCTAGGAAAAAAAAAATCAGAAAAAACCTTTATTTTAGAATTAAGTTCAGTTCCTTCAATTAAACATATTTCACTTTATGCAAAATATCTCTACATTTTTCTTTTTTTATAATCAACTGAAACCAAAGCCCTGGTCTTATAGCACTTGTAATTCTTCATTTTTAGCAACTATTATTAATTCATTGTTGGTATTGAGAGGTGACAGCATGCTGGCAGCCCTCGCTCACTCTCAGTGCCTCCTCGGCCTTGGCGCCCACTCTGGCCGCACTTGAGGAGCCCTTCAGCCCGCTGCTGCACTGTGGGAGCCCCTCTCTGGGCTGGCCAAGGCCAGAGCCGGTTCCCTCTGCCTACAGGGAGGTGTGGAGGAGAGGCATGGGTGGGAACCGGGGTTGCGCGTGGCACTCATGGGCCAGCGTGACTTCTGGGTGGGTGCGGGCTCAGCAGGCCCCACACTCAGAGCAGCCAGCTGGCACCACCAGCCCCAGGCAGTGAGGGGCTTAGCACCCGGGCCAGCAGCTGCAGAGGGTGTGCTGGGTCCCCCAGCACTGCTGGCCCACCTATGCCATGCTTGAATTCTCACCGGGCCTCAGCCACCTACCCACGGGGCAGGGCTCAGGACCTGCAGCCTTCCATGCCTGAGCCCTGCCCCTCCATGGGCTCCTGCGTGGCCCAAGCCTCCCCAGCGGGCGCCGCCCCCTGCTCCATGGTGCCCGGTCCCATCGTCTGCCCAAGTGCTGAGGAGTGCGGGTGCACAGTACGGGACTGGCGGGCAGATCCACCTGATGCCTTGGTGCAGGATCCACTAGGTGAAGCCAGCTGGGCTCCTCAGTTGGGTGGAGACTTGGAGAACTTTTATGTCTAGCTAAAGGATTGTAAATACACCAATCAGCACTCTGTGTCTAGCTCAAGATTTGTAAACACACCAATTAGCACCCTGTGTCTAGCTCAAGGTTTGTAAATGCACCAATCAGTGCTCTGTGTCTAGTTAACCTAGTGGGGACTTGGAGAACTTTTACATCTAGCTAGAGGATTGTAAATACACCAATCAGCACTCTGTGTCTAGCTCAGGGATTGTAAACGCACCAATCAGCACCCTGTCAAAACGGACCAAAAAGCTCTCTGTAAAATGGACCAATCAGCTCTCTGTAAAATGGGCCAGTCAGCAGGATGTGGGTGGGGTCAGATAAGGGAATAAAAGCAGGCTGCCCCAGCTGGCAGCGACAACCCGCTCGGGTCCCCTTCCACGCTGTGGAAGCTTTGTTCTTTCGCTCTTTTCAATAAATCTTGCTGCTGCTCACTCTTTGAGGCCGCACTGGCTGTAACACTCACCATGAAGGTCTGTAGCTTCACTCCTGAGGCCAGTGAGACCACAAACCAACAGGGAGGAATGAACAACTCCAGACACGCTGCCTTAAGAGCCGTAACACTCACTGCGAAAGTTTGCAGCTTCACTCCTGAAGCCAGGGAGACCATGAACCCACCAGAAGGAATAAACTCCGAACACGTCCGAATATCAGAAGGAACAAACTCCAGACACACCATCTTTAAGAACTGTAACACTCACCACAAGGGTCCGCAGCTTCATTCTTGAAGTCAGTGAGATCAAGAACCCACCAATTCCAGACACAGTATTACATTTATTATGTATGGAGCCTTTCTCTTCCATTGAATGATATTTTTCTTGGAGGAAAAAAAGTGTTTTTCTTATTCATCTTTGTCTTATCCATCATGTCCAGGCTGCCCCTAACATACATCTTTTATATAGTCAATGCTTCAGTAATACATTGCTGAAGGTTGGGCAATGCTGGTGGCCCAGAAGCAATTGATTTATTATTGTTTTTATTTTTAAAATTTCAGTTCAGGTTTGGGTGAGAAAAAGGTGAGAGTAAAAGTTGGGCACATCAAAACTTCTCTTACCAATAATGTTTGAATCTTTACTGTAGGCATGACCAAGTAGCTCACGATGACATGGACTTCAAACAAAATCTGATTTTACCAATTATCTTTGCTTTAGGAATCCAGTGATTACCTGGGAGTATTTTGATGGCCATGTTTGATTATTTAGTTTTCATTTTCAAACCCATCACTATTTTTCTAGTTTAAATAATTTAAACAGCTCTAGGGTAGACAATAATGTCAGAAATAAATTGTAGACTAAAAGCATTACTGGTACATTTGCATCTAAGATTCATTTGCTGAAATTATCAGGCTGGGTTACAATAGATTGTGGTTGAGGCACAGACTGTCAAGACTCTCAAGGGCTACTTTGTCCTGGAAATGATTTTTAAAGTAAGCAAGGATGTTTATCTAATAACAATATGAATTGAAGATATATTTTCTTGTTTTGTTGCACTATCATTCTCAGATAGTTCTTATATGTAAGCCCTGACTAGGGCATTTAACACAGCAGAGAAAACTACACACTTCCACCTTCATTTTGAAGGCCAGGCACATGTCAGCATAATGGAGTTCTGGTATGAGTAGTCTCAAATCTGGACATCTCTCAGGATTGGCAAATGATGAGTCTCAGGAGCTGTAATTCTTTGGGCTGATGACTGGGGCTGGAACAAATTAAGAGATCTCATTCTTTTCTGGCAAGTGGAGAAGGCTATTAGAGTTTTACATATTTTGAAGACATTGTCTAGCCCCATTCAAATACCTTAAGTGCTTTTTTCCTACCAGCATACATTTCAAGCAACAGATCTAATACAGGCAGTTAATGCAACAGCTCTAAAGAAATATTCTCATATAACCAATTGAATCCATCTCAGGTGACCACTCAATTACTGCAAATACACACATTAAACCATCGCTTCAAGGTAATTTGTTTTATAATTATTTGGTGTGATTAAATTAATTACCTGGAAGCATTACAAAGTAAATTCTCTTTTTTTCCTTTTTGCCAGACATGAAAAGTGGTTTGCAAGCATCATGTTTCATGTGCTCTCTTCGTGTCTTCTCCTAGCATATACTCCTTTCATCCTTTTCTCCCACCTGCTCCTCCAGCCCTATTGTGTGTGTTCACTATGGTTCAACATATTGGCATTGTTGCCCAGGTTTCCTAAGATCTGTGCTCATCAGTGCTCTTCACTGGTTGACTGCTCAAGTAGTTGACTTCTACTCATCATTCTGTCCTTGGCCTTAAAATTGTTTCTTCAAGAAAATCTTCCCCAACTTCTAAAACTAGGTTAAGTGACTCAATTACATGAAAATACTCTCATGTTAATGATGTATATTTACTTAATTTTTTCTCTTATCACTAGATAAGGTCTATGTGAATAGGAACTTAGGCCCAGTTTCTCTGAGATCTATGCCCCAAAACAACTACCACAATGGTGGTTGTGGCAACACCATTCTTTTCCGTAGAACCGACCTCTAACATATGATGACAGTACTGAATTTCCTGCCTACTCCTTTGAGACAGTAGCAGCTATGTCAGATCTTATACAACTATCACTATGGAGCACTGACCATGATAGTAGCCCAAGCTGTCTTTGGCAAGTAACTTTAATATCAAAGATTTTTAGAGTCCTGTGTTGCTCCACATGTGTTGACAGACCCACACGTGTTGCTATTATACTGGCAAAGAACAGCAAGTCTTCCTAAATTCTAATTTGTGGGTAAAAACATATGCATTCCTAGGGAATTTTGAAGATGTTTGTGGAAGCAGAATCTTTCAAAGTCTATATATTCTTATAAGTCTAAGAAGTAGTAGCAGTGAGAAGTTTTGGGAAATTCAGGAAAGGTAACTTTCTCTGGTATATTTTTTTGCTAGAGCTGCCATAAAAAATATTACAATCACAGATTGGGTAGCTAAAGCAATAGAAATGTAGTTTCTCACAGTTCTGGAGGCTGGAAGTCCAAGATCAAGATGTCAGCAGGTTTGGTTTCTTCTGGGGCTCCTCTCCTTGGCTTGCATATGGCCGCCTTCTCACTGTATCTTCACATGGCCTTTTCTCTCTGAGTAAATAGCACTGGTACATCTCTGCTTCTTATAAAAAAAAAATCAGTCATATTGAATCAGAGCCCCACCCTTAAGACATCATTTAAATTTAATTATCTTTCTAAAGGCCCTATCTCCAAACACAGTCACAGTGAACAATGGGGATTCAACTTATAAACTTGGAGAAAACATAATTTACTCCTTCACATCTAGTAATTCCTGGGATAATCTGGTTACATTGGTTTCTACTGTTTCAAAAGAGTGATCTTTAATGTTGCTGCATTTTGTTCTTTTATAGGTATATACTCATACATATGTAGTATATATGTTTATATCAAATATACATAAAGATTTATGTGTGTATATATATATTTATATATTTATATATATAAAATTAATGATTCTGACCTGGACCTCAAAATAATGTCTATATTTTGCTGTTAATATACCTAGCCAAAACAAGACCCATTGATCTGTTGCCTAAAAGAAACACTTCAACTGTTAAGACACGTATAGACTGAAATAAAGGAATGGTGTGATGGTTAATACTGAGTGTCAACTTGATTGGATTGAAGGATGCAAAATATTGATCTTGGGTGTGTCTCTGACGGTGTAGCCAAAGGAGATAAACATTTGAGTCAGTTGGCTAGGAAAGGCAGACCCACCCTTAATATGGGTGAACACCATCTAATCAGCTGTGAGTGTGGCCAGAAAATAAAGCAGACAGAAAAATGTGAGAAGATTAGACTGGCTTAGATTCCCAGGCTACATCTTTCTCTAACGCTGGATGCTTCCCATCCTCAAACATCAAACTCCAAATTCTTCAGCTTTGGAACTCGGACTTGCTTCCTTGCTCTTCAGCTTGCAGATGGCCTATTGTGGGACCTTGTGATACTGTGAGTTAATATTCCCTAATAAACTCCCCTTTATACATATACATATATATATATATGTATATACACACACACATATATATATATGTGTGCATGTGTGTGTGTGTGTGTGTGTGTGTCCTATTAGTTCTGTCTCTCTAGAAAACCCTGACTAATACAGATTTTGGTATCAGGAGAGGGGTTCTAGAGAAACAGAATATTAAGCATAAAGTTCTTTTGTTGGTTTTGTAGTTTCTGGAGTTGGCTGCTTAATATGATTAGACCCTAAAATGCTAAGGACTCTACTTCTAATGGTATGGAGAACACTAATAGTCCTTGGCATGAACTGTTAAGAGAGTTATGCAAAAATAAATGCATTTGACACTCCTGATTCACTGCTCATGAGAGGCAAGGAGTTTAGTGACTCTATACATAATACCTTTGACAATATGTGGAGAACCAAAGAACATAATGAAGTTTGTTGGTTGCCCCTAAGTTCACTGGACAAAGTGATGAAAGAAAATGAAGAATTCGGGGATTCTAACTCCCGGCCTTCAGAAGCAGATCCTGAACTTTACATCTGCTAAGATTGCCCTTAGTGACAGTCTTGTCTCCTGTAGAGAAAGAGCTGAAATTGTGGAAAACCAGACACAAGCTCTTATCATGTGAGTAACTGACCTGCAATGAAAGGTACATGCGCAACCTTGCCAGGTGTCTACTGTTAAAGTGAGGGCATTGATTGAAAAAGAATGGAACCCTACAGCTTGGAATGGGGATGTGTGGGAGAACTCTGATGAAGCTGGGGACATTGAGCTTGTAAACTCTGATTAACCTTTTTTGCCAGAAGAAACAACTTCCCCATTCCCAGTAGGGGCAACATCCCTTCCTCGATCAATGCTGCCATCAGCCCTTCCACCTTTTTCTGGGAAGATAAACCCTACACTGCCTGAGGCAACAGTGATGGCCTCCCCTGAGGCAGTTGCCAGGCAAGACAGTGTTGATTCTCCTCTGGACCTTCCCCCAACACCCCTGTTTTCTTCTAGACCTATAACTAGACTAAAGTCCTGATGGGCCTCTAAAGGTGAGGTTCAGAGTGTGACACAAAAGGAGATGCACTAGATTTGAAAAGAACTGCTTGAGTTTTCTAATTTATATAAGCAGAAATCTGGAAACAGGCATAGGAATGGATTTAAGGGAGTGGGATGATGGTAGAAGGAACACAAATTTGGATCGGGCTGAATTTATTGGTTTGGGCCCACTAAATAATGGTTCTGCATTTAATATTGTAGATCAGGGAGTTTAAAAAAGGTTCTAATAGTTTATTTGCTTGGTTAGCTGAAATATGGGTTAATAGATGGCCCAATGTGAGTGAGCTGGAAATGCCTAATCTCTCTTGGTTTAATGTAAAGGAAGGGATCCAAAGGCTTAGGGAGATTGGAATGCTGAAGTGGGTTAGTCACTTTAAACCTACTTATTCCAGCTGGGAGGGTCCAGAAGACAACAAAATATTAGGGAACCAAATTAAATAATACATTTAAAAGATCACGCATCATGACCAAGTGGGATTTTTCCCTGGTTTGCAAGAAAGTTTCAACATAATCAATAAATGTATGACATTTCTATTTTTATTGTTTATTTATACAAATATTATAAATAAATACTAAATAAGTAAATATTAATATAAATAAATATTAATTATTTGTTGTTTTATTTATTATTTATATATTTAATTTACTTATAATTATGTTTTATTTATTTAATTTATTTGTTATTGGTTTGTTTAATTTATGTTGTATTGATTATGATTATTTATTGATTACATAATTTAAAATGTCATACATCATATCAATAGAAGGAAGGACAATAATCATATGGTCATTTCAATTGATGCTGAAAAAGCATTTGATAAAATTCAACATCCATTCATGCTAAAAACTCTAGAAATCCTAGGTATAGAAAGAACATACCTCAACATAGTAAAGGCTAGAGATGACAGACCCACAGCTAGTATTATACTGAATGAGGAAAAGCTGAAAACCTTTTCTCTAAGATCTGGAACACAACAAAGATGCCCATTTTCACCACTGTTATGCAACATAGTACGGAAAGTTCTAGCTAGAGCAGTCACACAAGAGAAGGCTATAAAGGTAATCCAAATTGGAAAATAAAAGAAGTAAAATTGTCCTTGTTGGCAAATGATATGATCTTATATTTGAAAAAACCTAAAGACTCCACAAAAAAACTATTAGAACTGGTCAATAAATTCAGTAAAGCTGAAGGATATGGAATCAACATACAAAAATCACTCATATTTCTATATGCCAACCATGAACAATCTGAAAAAGAAATTTAAAAAGTAATCCCATGTACAATACCCAAAATAAAATTAAGTACTTAGGAATTAGCCAAAAAAGTGAAAGATCTGTATAATGAAAACTATGAAACACTGATGAAAGAAATTGAAGAGGATACCTAAAAAGTAGAAAGATAGTGTAGTGCAGGTTCCTAGATTGGAAGAATGAGTATTGTTAAAATGTCCATACTACTCAAAGCAATCTATAGATTTAATGCAATCCCCATTAAAATACCAATGACGTTTTGCATGAAAATGGAAGAAAAACTATCCTATATTTCATATGGGACCACAAAAGACCCAAAATAAGCAAATATATCCTAAGCAAAAAGAACAAAACTGGAGGCATCACATTACCTGACTTCAAACTATACCACAGAGCTATAGTTACAAAAACAGCATGGTACTGGCATACAAACAGACACATAGACCAACGGAACAGAATAGAGAACTCAGGAAAAAAATACACACTCCTAGAGTAAACTCAATTTCAACAAAGCTGCCAAGAACATACATGGGGGAAAATACAGCCTTCAGTAAACCATGCTGGGAAAACTAGATATCTATATGCAGAAGAATAAAACTTGAATCCTGTCTCTCAATTTATACAAAAATCAAATCAAAATGAATTAAAGACTTAAATGTAAGACCTCAAACTATGACACTACTACAAGAAAACCTGGGGAAAATCTCCAGGTTACTGGGCAAAAATTTATCAAGTAGTACCTTACAAGCACAGGCAACCAAAGTAAAAATGGACAAGTGGTATCACATCAAGTTAAAAAGGTCTGCACAGCAAAGGAAACAATCAACAAAGTGAAGAGACAACCCACAAATTGGGAGAAAATATTTGCAAGCAACTCATCTGACAAGGGATTAAAAACCAGAATACATAAACAGCTCAAACTCTATCAGAAAAAATTGAATAATCCAATTCAAACTGGGCAGAATATTTGAGTAGACATTTCTCAAAAGAAGACTTACAAATGACAAACAGGAATATGAAAAAGTGCTTAACATCATTGATCATCAAAGAAATGCAAATCAGAACTACAGTGAAATATCATCTCACCCCAGTTAAAATGGCTTTTATACAAAAGTCAGGCAATAACAAATACTGGTGAGGATGTGGAAAAAAGGAAACCCTCATACACTGTTGGTGGAAAAGTAAATTAGTACAACCACTATGAAGACCAGTATGGAGGTTCCTCAAACGACTAAAAATAGAGGTACTATACAATGCAGCAATCTCACTGCTGAGTATATAACCCTACCCCCCCAAAAAAATAGGATATTGAAGAGATATCTGAACTTCCATGTTTGTTTCAGCACTGTTCACAACAGCCAAGATTTGGAAGCAACCTAAGTGTCCATCAACAGATGAATGTATAAAGAAAATGTGGTACATATACACAATGGAGTACTATTCAGCCATAAAAATGAATGACATTCAGTATTTGCAACAACATGGATGGAACTGGAGGTCATTATCTTAAGCGACATAAGCCAGGCACAGAAAGACAATCATCACATATTCTCACTTACTTGTGGGATCTAAAAATCAAAACAATTGAACCCATGGAGATAGAGAGTAGAAGGGAGGTTACCAGAAGCTGGGAGGGGTAGTAGAGGGTTAGAGGGGATGTCTGGATGGTTAACAGGTATGAAAATAGTTAGAATAAATATGGCCTACTATTTCATAGCACAACATGATGAGTGTAGTCAATATTAGTTTAATTGTACATTCAAAAATAACTAAAAGAGTATAATTGGATTGTTTGTAACACAAAGGATAAATGCTTTAGGGCATGGATACCCCATTTTCCATTATGTGATATTATGCATTGCATGTCTCTGTTAGAACATCTCATGTACCCCATAAATATGTACACCACAAAAATTAAATCTAAAAAACTACAAAAATATTTTTTAAAATTACATAGCCAACTCTTCTTTAACAGATAGCAGTGTATATATATTTTAGGAATGGTCTTAAGGGGAAATAATATTTCTCATGAAAGAGCCTTAGAGACATAAACATACAGACAGTTAAATTCTGCTCTACATAATCTATTGCATTTAAGGGATTAAAAAGAATTTGTCATATTTGGTCACAGATAGCCCTTACAATCTCTGCACATGAGAATTTAGACCCTTTTGAACCATCAATATGGCTCTTTATTGTGCATTTTAATGTTTACTGAGATGGAAAAATATAAAATTCATTATTATTTTGCACAGACTTATCTAAAATTGTTTTAGATACTGACCAGATGTTTTTTCTTTTCTTGTTTTGTCTTAATCTGTGATTTGGGATATTTCTTCAGCCTGTTTCTGATCCAAGGTATTTGCTTTGTATACCTTATCGTGAAAACTGTTTTATTCATAGGCAAGTGAAAATGCTCAGCCTGAGTGAACAAATTTCCTGCATGACAAAGCTGTTGTCTTTCCTGACAGGAGAAGCTCCAATTCCCTGTTTAATGCAATCAGTGGAGGAAGTCTATGAACTGTTTGAATTGAAATGAAAAACCATAATGATGACGTTTATAACATCTGTCACTTTAGATTTGCTTGGTCTATATATCTCTCTCTGGAATAATAGTGATTTATGCAAATTGCTTTTCACTGCAATTTATATCAGTGTAAAGATGCCACTAGATATATGGAGAATTTTATTTGCTTCAAACTGACTGTCTATTTAATTGTATTTGCCACTAACTGAAAATACTACCCTCTGGCACATCTGCTTAGATATAATGGTTAATTTATTTTTGGGTTTTATAACTTCAGCCTCTTCCACTTGTTAGATACTTGAAAGCATAACTTTCTCTCTCTCTTTTCTTTGCAAATATATATATATATATATATATGTTTTAATATATGTATATGTAACATCTTTATGTCACAAATCTGGTAACTACACTTTTATTTCTCTAGGAACTTCATTGCCTAGATATCATTATTCCTCTTGTGGAAGGAAAAAAAATGCTTATTCTGGCTACTTAAACTACAGCAGTGGTTCCCAATATAGAGAAAGAGGGTATCTTGTGACTGTGAACATTTTTGGCTGTCACAAGTGGGAAGGGTTACTATTAGCACCTGTGAATAGAGGCCAGGGATGCTGCTAAACATTCTACAATTTATGAGACAGTCTGATAACAAAATATTCAGTCCAAAGTGTCAATAGTGCTAAGGTTGATAAACCTTGAACTACAGAATGGTTTTCGTAGTGCACTGGAGCTGCATTATTAAGATATGTCTACATAAATCCCGATATTTCCATTAAAGGTCAACAACTTCTAAAAATACAAAGATCAATTGATCTAGGCATAGATGAATTTCCAGGAAATCCAATTGCATTTTCAGTTGTAGTTTTGGAGTATTTTAGATGCCTGAATTCTTTCTGGCTGCTTCTATTCTGCCCTCTATAGACCCGGGCTTTCCCCAGAGTTGCAGAGAGCCCAGTGTGGCCTTATGCTTTTTCCATAGACTCCTTTTTCTTTGAAGGAAAAGGAGCAAAAGAGCCCAGAAATTCATCCTCAATCATAATTTTGGCTCTCTGCTGCTCAGCACTCCTGTGTCTTTCTCAGTATGTCTTCTACTGCAATGATCTCTTTTTCTCTGTCCCCTTCACTAACTTTTCCTCTTCCTCCCATTCCTTTCATGTAGCTACCACCCAGGGCTCTGACACATAATCTCTTTCTTTACTTCTGAATGTGCTCCTTTGACATTTTCATTTACTTTCTGGTTTCAATAATGATTTCTAGAGGATTATTGAATTTGCAATATAAGCCTAAGTGTCTTTTCTGAATTACAGATTTTTTTCTCTGGGTACCAGGTGCTTTGCCCAACTTTACTGATTTGCTTAAAGGCACCTTTCATAACCTCCTCCTTTACGTTTACCACATTGACATAATCGGTGCTAAATCATGCAGATTGTGCCTCATGTAGTTTCTTTCCATCCATACTTATTTCCCAGTATTATTTGCCTTCTCCATCCACTCAGTCCTATATGATATGGTCATAGGAATTTCTTCAAAGCAGAGATTATTTGTGTTAGCACACTGCTAAAATCCTGAGTGCAAACTCTTCACCATATGCGTTAAATGAAAAGTCCCCATCCTGACATTCAAGATCCTCACTAACATTCCCCAAACTAATCTTTCTGCTTCAACAATGTATATACCAAAAGAACTTTCACATTCCAGCCAATATACCCTGATCCTTGATCATGAATATGCCCGTATTTTCCCGAGTGTCTGTTTCAAGCTTGCTTTGTCCCCTGTAAACTCTGCACCACATCATTACAGATCCTGTAAGAAGCCTTTTTTTTAAAAGCCTCCCATGCTCCTCCACCTTCAACATTATTTTTCTCTTTTATAAATACCCAGAGTACTTGTTGCCACCATTTTATCAATGCTTACCTAGTGGAATGATCATTTTTGTCCTTGTCCAATTTTCTGTGTTAAATAAACTGCACATTGTTTGTTGAAGGGCATGGATTGAGTTTTTCGTATCTGTTTTTCTTCAAAACACTAAACATAAGACGCTGCACATTATTCATTGTCAGTAAATGTCATACTCAAATTGCAATCTACCTTTTGCCCTCCATCTTCAACTGCTGACAGAATATTTATTTTATTTTTATCTAAAATTCTGCTTATTTCTAAAGCTGGGCTCATCTTCCCCTGATCACAAGATTCTCCATTTACAATTTCTTATTTTTGTCAAGGTAGGTCTTTTAACTCATTAGCCAAGTGAAAAACAAACAAGCAAAACAACAACAACAACAACAAAAACCTCAGTCTTTAATTTTATACTTCCTTTTCTTCTTTTCTTTTTAAGTCTTTTGAATCTTTCCTTGAACGATCTACACCTGCATTTTATGTTGACCTCTTAACCAGTGTTTCTGCCACTCACTTTATTTGAACACTAATAAAAATTGCTCACATTGTTTTGAATTCTTCCTATGTGCTAGGCAGTACTTAAGCACTTCCTAATCAGTAATTCTCTTAATGCTGAAAACAATCTTATTATCATGATTCCTGGAGAGATAAAATGACTTTGCCACAGAAACAAAATTATAAAGTGGTGAGCCAGAAGCAAACTTAGGCAACCCGACACCAAGTCTTAAAACACTAGGCATACTGTTCCCCATCCTTGAATTCATCTTCAACTACAAGCAATTTAATTAAATCTCTTTCCATAATAAAACATTTTTTCCATTGTTAATAGAAGAAAAAACCATATTTTTCTGAATTCTAGACCACGTTCAATTTCTCCCAACAATACTGATCCAAACTTGTCTATTGCAAGAGCCTATCTCTCCAGCAGTTGCAGACACTGGCTGAAGCTTCCCCCCTTGTCATTTCTGCCTCTACAACTTGCTCAGTCTTCTCCTTTCACCTTTTCTGCTATCCATGCCCTCCTTATCCAGTAATTCAGACGTGCAAATGAATAGACTATAGGTCATATATGACCTACACAGCACTGGTTTATGGTATTTTAAAGTAAGATAGTAAAAATTAGATGTTTTCACAAAAGATTCAGATTCCTGGTTCTTCAGAAAAATGGAAAGATCTGGCAATGTTGAGCCTGCTTATCGCCTCATAGTAATTCATGGGAGCTGAGAAGTTACTGTTTTATTTAAACAGAACGGACCCCTCCACCCACTACTCTCTCTGCCATACCGATGCTAAGGGAACAGTCACTATTTAGCTTGCGTTAATTCTTGTGTGTATATTGACTTTAATACTAGAGTTAGAGGAAAGTAAAATACTTATTATCTTAATATCTCTATGAAAAGCCAAAAAAAAAAGTAAAATAAAATTACTTTTGAAGATTAAGAAAACCAAAAAAGGTATATTACATAAAGCCAGTAAAAATATTATTTTGCGTTTATTAAGCTATAAATGCAGGTAAAACAAATGAATGAAAATGAATAAATGAGTGTTAGTATGTAGGGAACTAAATATACTTAACATTCATTCCGTGGAAGACAATTTCCATACGTTATTACATTAGATACTTACCAGATCTCATGATGTTCTCTCCATTTAAAAGATAAGGCAACTGAAGCTCAGAAAGGATGAAGTTGCCTGCGACCACATGAATATGAAGCTATTTAGTAGTGTGGCCAGGGTTTCCTCTGACCTGGCTGAAAAGTCTAAGTGCTTCCCACACTGCCATATTTAAGTAACACATTGATTAATTATGTCATTAAGTGTGAATAGAGAGCACAGACATTGTTACTAATTCTCAGAGTCAGTGATAAGCTGGCTCACACTGACTGATAACAGCCCTTTGTGCACTTCTCTTCCTATCTCCACCTTAATGCCATCACACAGGTAGCTTGAAATCAGCCTTGGAGGGAGTATTTACACCATGGAAGCTGGCAAAAATCCTAAAATTAGGGCTGGTGTTTTGTTTTGGTTTTGTGTGTGTGTGTGTGTGTGTGTGTGTGTGTGTGTGTGTGTGAATAGCCTGTTGTTAAACATTTACTGGCACGTTCTTAATGAGAAATCTGGTTATTGCAGGTTTGACCCAAAGGGGTTTTATTTTTCATGTCTTGGGAAAGCATCTCCTAATACTAACAACCTAATACACTGAATATCAGGATTTGGAGAAATCATTGTGGTTGATCAGACAAATCTTTGTCTGGTAATGGTAACTCTTTCCATTAGCTCTGTCAGGAGCACACAATGCTGCTATTGCAAGTTTCTGTTTCTGATGTTCATTACAGAAAAAGCTGGGAAAACATGAGCACGAAAGACTACAGAATAGCATTTGTTCAAAGAAGCTACCACAGAGCAAACACATAGCAGCCGACAAGTTATGTTGGGCCCCATCAGAAATAAAGGTGAGACTTGCTCATGATTTTTCTCACTGATGGTCACAGCAGGCACTGTTAACCAAGCAGAACAAGTCTTTGTCCTCTTGGTATTCACATGCTATGTTACACTGACGTTCAAACTCCTAGAGCCCAAAAAGGCTTTAGAGGCATTTACAGGCATTTACACCCTGCTGAGAATCCAGACCCTGTTATGTCTAATAGCAAGTATTTAATAGTTGGTCAATATGTTTGAGATTAATTAAGGGACACATCTGATGTTCATTTGGCAGATCTCTGGGCTTGCTATTGGTGTTGCAGCTGATGAGATATGAAAGCCTTGTGAGTCTGAGTGAGGGTTCAGCCTGGCCAAAAGGCTGGAGAAGACCAGAAGGTGTTGGAAGAGAGAGGAAAGATGTGGCTACCAGAGAGAGAAAACCCATGCAGGAAGACTTCATGATGTGCAAATTGGTCATCATCTTCTTCCCTGCCTAAAACTTTATGGACATTTTATTACTCATCAAACCTTTCAAGGTTGGATATTTGGGATGATAGGGTAAAGTTACCACATGCTAGGTTTAACCTGAAGATGGGCAAAACACAAGAACAGACACGTGGTACAGTAAGTAACTAAATCATATTTTCTTTGTTGATATTGTTTTGTTATAAACACCATGAAATTGCTCTTTCTAATCATGAATTAGGCTGGGTGACCACTTCTCTATTAATTGAAGCACACTGGTAAGTGCTAGAAGCAGTTTTAACTTGCTTTGACATATACTTCTAATTACCATCCAATATCTATTTTCTACTTCCTCCATAAAAACAAAACTCAGAGTTTTAATTTAGAGTGATGATGTAACTAGCCTTCCACGACTTTCTCAAGCCTTCTTTTCAGCAAGGTATGGGCATGTGAATACTTAATGTCAATAAGACATATGCAGAAGTATTGCATGGGGTTTCCAGAAAAGTGGTTGAAGGGGTGTTGACTCGTTTCACAGACTCTGTTTTTGGTTCTTCCACTTTCCTACTGCCTGTGTTGAAGAAGAGATAGCGTGAACACCAGATGTCATGTTTGTACAGGAATCAACCTTGAAGATAGAAGCCTTGTAGCAAAGACATTTTAGGAGAAAACTAGGAATTAGGTGGCTGAGTAATTCATCAAATCATCACATGAGGCTTGACAGCCTACCTTTTACATGTCTTTGTCTCATGGTTATTTTGAGTTTTCTCCTTTATGCAACCAAACTAACCTTAATTTATATAATCATAGTAGCCCTTTATAAACAATCAAACATTATCGCTTTTATATTTAAAAGTAAGGAATTCTGCTTACAAATGATTCCTAAGTATTTCCAGAGATTTGTGGACATACATGCCTTTAATACAGTAATTTTCTTAATTTTATTCAAGTTGTTTTTATTCATGTAGATGGTTCATTCTTTTATATGTGTTTAAGTCAACTTTACAGCTTTCCCCAGTGATCATTTTGAGTTTATCAAAATAAAATAAAATGCAGCCATTAGTAAACATTTACTTATATTTTGGGATGAAATTTTAAAATTTAATTTTATTGTGGTAAGACCACAACATGAAATCTATCTTCTTAACAAAATTTTAGCTGTACCATAAAATATTAACTATAAGTACATTGTTGTATAGTAGATATCCAGCAGCTATTAATCTTGAGTAACTGAGACTTTCACCAGTTGATTAGTAATGCCCCTTATAATGCTTTTACTTTTAATTTTTTTGAGGAACCTCTATACTGTTTCATCAGAAGCTGCATCATTATGCATTTCCTCTAACAGTGTACACAAGTTTCTATTTCTTCATGTGTTGTCTAACAACTGTTCTTTGGTTTTTTGATATTAGCTGTTCTAACAGTATTAGGTGATGTCACATTTTGGTTTTGAATCTCATTCTTTGATGATTAGTGACATTAAGCATCTATTTATATACTTGTTGGCCATTTGTATGTCTTCTTTGAGGAAAGATCTGTTCAAGTCTTTAGCCATTTTAAAAATGGATTTTAAGGGTATTTTTGCTAATGAATTTTAGGAGTTTTTAAATATATTTTACAAATTAGTCCCTTAATTGATATGTGCTTTGCAAATTATCCAATTCCATAGGTTTTTTTTTTTTTACAAATTTCTTTTTTCTGTACAGCTTTTTAGTGTGATGTAGTTCCACTTGTCTGATTTTGCTTTTGTTGCCTGTGCTTTTGGTGTCATATCCATGAAATGATTGCCAAGACTACTGTCGTGTAACTTTGCCCCATCGTTTCTTCTGGAAGTTTTGAGGTTTTAGTTTGTTTATCTGAGCCTTTAATCCATTTCAAATTGATTTTTGTGTATGGTATAAGGCAAAGCTCTAATTTTGTTCTTTTGCATGTGGATGATCAGTTTTCCCTGCACCATTTGTTGAAGAAACTATCTTTTCCCCATTGTGTATACTTGGCACTCTTGACCAGTTCACAATATGTGCATGAATTTATTTCTGGGCTCTTTTCTGTTCCATTGTTCCATATGCCTAGCTTTATGCCAGTACCATACATTTTTAATTATTGTAGCTTTGTGATATATTTTAATATCAGGAGGTGTGGTACTGCCAGTTTTGTTCTTCTTTCTCAAGACTGATTTGACTATTTGGGGTCATTTGTGGTTTCACATTAATTTTAGAATTGTTTTTCTATTTCTATAAAAAATGCTATTGGGATTTTGATAGGGATAGTATTTTGAATCTGTAGATTACTATGTGTTGCATGAACATTTTAATAATATTAAGTCTTTAAATCTATGAACACAGAATATCTTTCCACATGTTTGTGACTTATTTGATTTTTTCCTCAGTGTTTTGTAGTTTTTACTATGTGTCTTTCATCTCCTTAGTTAAGTTTAATCCCAAGTATTTTATTCTTTTTTGTGCTATTGTAAATTGGATTGTTTTTCTAAATTTCTTTTCAGTATTTCATTCTTAGTGTATAGAAATCCCAATGATTTTTTTTTTTTATTGATTTTGTATCCTGTCACTTTACTGAATTCATTTGTTAACAGATTTTTGTGGAGTCTTTAGGGTTTCCTATGTATAAAGTCACATCATCTGCAGAGACAATTTCTCTTCATCCTCTTGAATTTGGATGCTTTCTATTTATTTATCTTGCCCAATTGCTCTGGCTAAGACTTCTGGTATTAAGTTGAATACAACTGGGCAAAGTGGGCATCTTGCCTTGTTCCAGATCTTAGAGGAAAATCTTTCAGTCCTTCACAGTTGATTATCATGTTAGCTGTGGGCTTGTCATATAGGGCTGCCTTTATTATGTTGAGGTAATTTCCATCTTTCCTAGTTTGTTGAGAGTTATCATGAAAGGGTGTTGAACTTTGTGAAACTTTTTTTTGGCATCTATTCAACAATCATGTGATTTGTATTCTTTATTCTGTTAATGGGATATGTCACATTAATTGATGTTTGGATGTTGTGACCCAGGAATACTCCAACTTGTTCATGGTGTATGGTCCTTTTAACGCACTGTTGGATTCAGCTTGCTAGTATTTTTTTTTTAGTTTTTTTTTTTTTGCATCTGTTTATCAGGGATATTGGTCTCTAATTTTTTTCTTGTAACATCTTGGTCTGGCTTGGATATTAGGATAATGCTGGCCTCATAAAAGAGTTTGGAAGTTTCTTTCTCCTCTTCAGTTTTTTGAAAGTGTTTGAGAATTATCAATACTAATTCTTTAAAGCTATCTGGTCCTAGGCTTTTGTGGAGATTTTGGATTACTGAATCAATCTCCATGTCAGTTATAGGTCTGCTCAGACTTTCTATTTATTTATGATTTAGTCTTGGTGGTTGTATGTTTCTAGGAATTTATCCATTTTTTCTAGATTATCCAGTTTGTTAGTGGACAATTACTTACAGTAATCTCTTGTGACCCTTTTCATTTCCATGGCATCAGTTTTAATGTCTTTGTTTACATTTTTGTTTTATTTATTTGAGTTTTTCTCTCTTTTTTCCTTGGTTAGTCTAACTAAAGATTTATAATTTTTGTTGGTCTTTTCAAAAAACCAACCCTTAATTTTATTGACTTTTTATTGTTTTTCTATTCTCTATGTTGTTTAATTCTGCTGTATATTTCATTACTTCCTTCCTTCTGCTAATTTCATCTTTGGTTTATTCTTTTTCTAGTTCCTTGCAGTGTAAAGTTAGGTTATTTATTTGAGAGCTTTCTTTTTTTAATGTACACATTTTTCACATTAAACTTCCTTCTCAGTCCTTATTTATTTTCCTGCATCTCATAAGTTTTGGTGTCTGGTGTTTCCATTTTTGTTTGTATCAAGATATTTTCTGATTTTCCTTTGATTTGGTTTTTGAGTTATTGGTTGTTCAAAAGTGCATTGTTTATTTTCCACATATTTGGAAATGTTTAAGTTTTCCCCCACTATTGATTTCTAATTTCATTCCATTGTGGTCAGAAAAAAATACATGGTATGATTTAAATCTTCTTAAATTTATAAAGTGTTGTTTTATGAACTAACATGTGATCCATACTGAAGAGTGTTCTGTGTGCACTTACGAGGAATGTATATTCTACTACTGTTGAGTGAAACTTTCTGTATAGGTCTGTTAGGTCCATTTGGTACTTCACATTGTTTAAGTCTACTGCTTCTTTTCAATTTTCTGTCTGGTTGTTTAATCCATTATTGAAAGTGGGGCTGTGAAATCTCCTACCATTATTGTATTGCTTTATAGTTCTCTGTCAGTTCTATCAATTTTTGCTTTATAGACTTAGGTGTTCTGCTCTTGGGTGCATATATTTAGAATTGTTATATCTTCTTGGTGAATTAACTCTTCTATTATAGATAGATAGAGATATATTGTTTTTCTTTATCTCTTGTGACAAAATATTTTACTTAAATCTATTTTTCCTGGTATATGTATAGCCACCTCTGCATTCCTTTTGTTACTATTCCCATGTAATAGCCTTTTCTAGCCCTTCTAATTCAGCTTATGTGTGTCCTTCAACCGAAAGCAAGTTTCTTGTAGACATCATACAGTTGGATTTTAAGAATCCATCCAGTTACTCTATGTCTTTTGATTGAGGCGTTTAATCCATCCGTATCTAAAGTAATTATTAATAGGGATGGATTTACTATTACCATTTTGTTAATTGTTTTGTTTCTCTTGTAGTTCTTTTCCCATCTTTTCCCCTCTTGCTGTTTTCCTTTGAATTTCGTTAATTTTTTTTGTATTGCTGTGCTTTCATTTTCTTCTTTTTTTCTTTTGTGTAATTTCTACAAGTATTTTTTGTGGTTACCATGGGACCTACATTAAATACCAATAGTTATGTTTACTGTAAGCTGATAACAATTTAAGCTAAATTGCATACAAAGGTTATACTTTTATCCCGGACACACACACTTTATGTTATCAATGTCACAATTTACATCTATTCATACTGTGTACCATTAACATATTTTAAAATTACATTTATTTATAATACTTTTAAAACTTTTCTTCTAGCATAAAAGTGACTTATGCAACAGTTACAATCAAGGAGTATTCTATATTTGTCTATAAATTAATCTTTACCAATGAGTTTTATACTTTCTTATTTTATTGTGCTGCTGTTTAGCATCCTTTTGTTTGAACTGGAAGAGCTCTCTTTAGCATTTCTTATAAGGCAAATCTGGTGGTGATGAACACTCTCAGCTTTTGTTTGTCTGGGAAAGTCTTTCATTTCTGAATGAAAGTTTTGCCAGAAATTGTTTTCTTTGTTGGCAGATTTTTCTTCCCTTCAGCACTTTGAACATATGATCCCACTACCTTTTGGCCTGCAAGTTTCTGCTGAAAAATCAACTGATGGTCTCATAAAAGTTCCCTTGTACACAACAGGTTGCTTTTCTTTTACTGCTTTCAAAATTATTTGTCTTTGGCTCTTTACCATTTGACTATAATGTGTCTAGGTGTAAATTTCTTTGGGTTATTAACTTATTAGGAATCTTTGGGCTTCCTGGTTCTGGATATTCAGTTCCTTTCCCAGATTTGGGACACTTTTAGCCATTATTTCTTTGAATAACTTTCTGGTCCTTTCTCTTTTTCTTCTCATTCTATGATTTCCATAGTGTACACACCAGTCCAATTGATGACATACCTTAAGTTTTCTCCACTCTTTTTTATTTCTTTTTCTTTTTGCTTCTCTGATTGAATAATTTCCAATGACCTACCTTTGAGTTTACTGATTATTTCTTCCGCTTGATCTAGCCTGCTCTTAAATTCCTCTAGTGAGAATTCTGGTGAGGCAGGAAATCTGTCCAATCCCATAGGAAGGGGGCTAAAGACAGGGAGCCAAGCAGCATTCTCCACTGGGCCCCACTTCCACAGATACTCAGTAGCTAAGACCCACAGGCTTGGAATCCCCACCAGCCAGTGGCAGCAGACTTGAAACTGCCTAAGATGAATGAGCTCCTAGTGGGAGGGAGGGCTGCCATCTCTGTGGCTCCAGTCGGCTGTTTTCCCCTGCCAGTGCCCAGGAAACTGGAAAAGATACTTGCACACGCATATGTATAGCAGCACAATTCACAACTGCAAAAACATAGAACCAACCCAAATGTCCATCAATCAATGAATGGATAATGAAACTAAGTTATATTTTATATATGTGTGTGTGTATATATATATATATATATATACCTCAGTTATATATATATATACACACATCATATATATATATACCTCAGTTGTATATATATATCATATATATATACATCATATATATATATATATACACACACACACACACACACACACACACCATTTGTAGATGAATTATTGTTGATTTGGTTTCTTAATAAGGAGGGGAAAGGATGGTCCAGGACTTTTTTGCCATCTTTCTGACTTGCCATCTTCAGACTTTCTGCCTTTTTCTTTGTAAGGTGTATTCTCTGAAAAATGTAATACTTTTATATCATCAGCAAAGCAATAGTAAGACCAGTTTCATCTATTATTGTAACTTTTAAATTTAATTTATGTAATCTAAAAAAAGCTGCCAACCTGGTATTCATATATATATATATATATACACATATATGTATTCATATATATTCATATATATATTCATATATATATGAATTCATATATATATATATGAATGATGGAATAATAATCAGCCATAAAAAGGAGTGAATTAATGGCATTTGCAGCAAGCTGGATGTAATTGGAGACTATTATTCTAAGTAAAGTAACTCAGGAATAGGAAACCAAACATTGTATGTTCTCACTCATAAGTGAGAGCTAAGCTATGAGGATGCAAAGGCATAAGAATGACACAATGGACTTTGGAGACTCAGAGGAAAGGGTAGGAAGGGGGTGAGGGATGAAAGACTACAAATAGAGTGCAGTGTATACTTCTCAGGTGATGAGTGCACCAAAATCTCACAAACCACTACTAAAGAACTTACATAACCAAACACCATCTGTTCCCCAATAACCTATGAAAATAAAAAATAAAAATAAAGAAATAAAAATAAATAAATAACCCTAGAAGAATATCTAGGCAATACCATTCATGACATAGGCATAGGCACGGGCAAAGATTTCATGATAAAAATGCCAAAAGCATTGCAACAAAAGCAAAAATTGACCAATGGGATCTAATTAAACTAAAGAGCTTCTGCACGGCAAAAGAAACTACCATCAGAGCAAAAAGACAACCTACAGAATGGGAAAAAACTTTTGCAATCTATTTTTCTGACAAAGGTCAAAAATCCAGAGTCTATGAGGAACTTAAACAAATTTACCAAAAAAAAAAAAAAAAGAAACAACAACCAACCCCAATAAAAAGTGGGCAAAGGACATGAACAGACACTTCTCAAAAGAAGATATTTATGTGGCCAACAAACATATGAAAAAAAGCTTGGCATCACTGATCATTAGAGAAATGGAAATCAAAACCATAATGAGATACCATCTCACTCCAGTCAGAATGGCCATTTTAAAAAAGTCAAGAAATGACAAATGCTGGCAAGGTTGTGGAGAAATAGAAATGGTTTTACACTGTTAGTGGGAACATAAATTAGTTCAACCATTGGGAAAGACAGTGTGGCAATTCCTCAAATATCTAGAACCAGAAATACCATTTGACCCAGCAATCCCATTACTGGGTGTATACCCAAAGGAAGATAAGTCATTCTACTATAAACTTACATGCACATGTATGTTCATTGCAGCACTATTCACAACAGCCAATACATTGAGCCAACCCAAATACTCATCAATGATTGACTGGATAAAGAAAATGTGGTACATATACACTATGGAATACTATGCAGCCATGAAAAGGAAGAAGATCATGTTCTTTGCAGGGACAAGGATAGAGCTGGAAGCCATTATCCTCAGCAAACTAATGCAGGAACAGAAAACCAAACTCCATGTGTTCTCACTTATAAGTATGAGCTGAATGGTGAAAACACATAGACACAGGGAGGGGAACAACACACACTGGGGCCTGTCAAGTACAGGGTAGTGGGGGGAAGGAGAGCATCAGGAAAAATAGCTAATGCATGCTGGGCTTAATACCTAGGTGATGGTTGATAGGTGCAGCAAATCACCATGGCACACATTTACCTATGTAACAATCCTGCATTCCTCTACACATACCCCATAACTTAAAATAAAAAAAAAGTGTTAATTGGATACCAATGCTGGGGAGAATAAACTTCCTGGGCATGTGCACTAAGAGACAGAATGGTGAGAAAAAATAGAAACACCTCCTCTATTAAATTTTTCAGTTCAATAATCTTCAGCCCTACAGTTTTTGTTTAGTACTTTATTATATTTTTATATCTTTGTTTAAATCATCATTTTGTTCATGCATTTCTCTCTGACCTCAGTGAACATCTTTATGACTGCTATTTTGAATTCTCTGTCAGATAAATCACGTATCTCTACTTAATTGTTGGTGGTTTCCAGATAATTATCTTGTAGATGTTTTTGGAACATATTTATTCATTTCTTTGTTTTCTTTCACTCTCTGTGTTGGTGTTGGCACATTAGAAAAACAGCCATTTCTCCCAGTCTATGAAGACTGTTCTCATCAGGAGAAGACTCTCACCAGTCAGGCTGGTTGATTCTTGGGATCTCTCAAATCTTTGTGCTAGTTGAATCTGCTTTCTTTGTTCTTAGCAACCCCTAAGTGTCCAGATTATGCTTGTCCTACCGAGAGCTTTGAGACAAGTGAGACAGAATCCAGTTACCAGAGTAGCCCACATAAAAGTTGAATAACTGGATGCTCTGTCCAAACCTTTTCTCTCCAGGAAAAATCTGAGATCTTGGATTTTTTGCCTGTTCCTTCTGTGCTAAATTGGGGGATGGGGCTGTGGCAACTAGTTGCATGCTCAATCAAACCACTGTCTTGTTCTCACTGGCCCATTGATGTCTAAAGTATTCTGGTTCTCATCAGCCCTCTGAAACAGGCAAAACAGAAGCCATTTTTTGGGGTATCCCTCAGAAAAGCTGTGGCATTGGATGCATGGTCCAACTCTTTCCCTCTACAGGGAGAAGCTAGGAGCTGAGGGTTTCCTTCCAATCATATGGCATGGGCAGGAATAGGAATTCTTGCAAGAGGGTGTCTTGATCTCCCTAACAGTTTCTATGTATCTAATTTCGCATTCACACAAGGTACAGAAGACTTTTAACCAGTTTCTAAATTCTCAGAGGAGAAATTTGTAGATGAATTATTGTTGATTTGGTTTCTTAATGAGGAGGGGAAAGGATGGTCCAAGACTTTCTTTTTTGCCATCTTTCTGACTTGCCATCTTCAGACTTTCTGCCTTTTTCTTTGTAAGGCATATTCTCTGAAAAATGTAATACTTTTATATCACCAGCAAAGCAATAGTAAGACCAGTTTCATCTACTATTGTAACTTTTAAATTTAATTTATGCAATCCAAAAAAAGCTGCCAACCTGGTATTCATTCTCTTTTATAATGACATCCTAATTTTGTGGGCAGCAACAAAGGGTTCAGATAAAAACAAACAAGCAAACAAAACTACATTCACTTGTATCCGTCAGTGATGACCAAGATTTTGCAATTCTGGCCAAGTAGATATAAGCATAGGGTAGCTGAGAGAGTGTTCTGAAAAACTCCTTTAAAGAAGGTGGACTCAGCAGGTTCATACCCTTTTACTTTTCACCATCTCCTTTACTCGTATCTGTTGTGAATATGAAAGCTGGTAATGCAGCAGCCATTAGGACCATTAATGGAAAGCCAAGAGAGTCACAGAATCCTGGACTCAGATATTTTTCAGCCACAGGACCAGTGCCTACAAGTTTCTGCCTTTGGATATCTTATTGTGTGATTGGGCTTTAAACCCTCAATGTGTTTACATTTACAGGCAGTCAAGCAGACAAATTCAATTCCCAAGAATTACATGGCTACAGGGAAAAATAAATACATAAATAAAAGGGAGGTAAAGTATCTATATTTTAGGAGGTGGTTTATAAGAGATGATGATTTTTCAAAACTATTTTCATGACTGCTTCCTGCACTTTTAGTTGGAGGTTGGCAAGATTTCATTTTCTCATTATCCCCTCAATCATGAGAGAAGTAGTAATAATTTTATTCTCTTCTTTTTCTCTGGTTCTCCAACGAAGATATTCTCACCTGGGAAAGCTATTTCTTCACCTCTTACTCATAGATAATTGAGAGATAATGTCTCCTTGTTCTTCTTTCTTTGTTCCTTTCCCTAATATCTGACTTTTTCTTCAACATCCCATTACTTTCCTTCTTTTCTAGTTTTTCCCTTTGCTTTTCCCCCTTCTCTTATCTTTTCTCCATCTGTCATTTCTTTAATCTGTATTTTTATTCAATGCATTTTAAAATATATATTACAACTGCTAGAAAAATAGTTATTATTTATTATTTTTTTCATCACCCCAAATGCTTGAGTTACTGAAATTTTGGAAAATACAAAAAAGAGGCATTTTAGCAGTTTAACAGGTAAACACGATGACTAAGGACTAAGGGATATATATATATATATATATATATACACACACATATGTGTGTGTGTGTGTGTGTGTGTGTGTGTGTGTGATATTGCTCAGTGTTCTTTAAAGAGAAGTTTTGTTACAAAATGGCAAGAAAATGTATTATTGGCAAAAAAGGAAAAAGGAAAGAAAAGAAAAAGCCCTCTTGGTACACATTTGATGCCAATGATTTTCATAGCATGATATGCTACTTACTGGTATAAAATACTAATGTGTGTGCATATGTATGAATTTAAAAGTGTTATTCCAGGCTGGGCAGGGGGTCCCATGCCTGTAATCCCAGCACTTTGGGAGCCTGAGGCCGGCAGATCCCCTGAGTCAGGAGTTTGAGACAATCCTGGCCAACATAGTGAAACCCTGTCTCTACTAAAAATATGAAAATTAGCTGGGCATGGTGGAGGGCGCCTGTAGTTCCAGCTACTTGAGAGGCTGAGGCAGGAGAATCACTTGAAGCTGAGAGGTGGAGGTAGCAGTAAGCCAAAATTGGGCTACTGCACTCCCGCCTGGGTGACTGAGTGAGACTCTGTCTCAAAAATAAAAAAAAAATAAAAATTTAATCCATACCAACTTTAAAGCAAATTTTCCCTTCTATACAGTTCTATTAGACATGATGCAAGCCCTTGAAAGTGCTTGTTAACTAAAATTATTTATCTAATTCTTCAGTGCTTGTTAACTAAAATTATTTATCTAATTATTCAGTGATCTTGATATTGGAGATTTCCGCTGTAATGTCCACCTCTAGTTCTCTCCCAATTTGAAAGTAAAGTAAAGTAAATGAAAATTGGAATAGCCATTCACCATCTTTACAATGATTTGTGTAATAAATGGATCTTGCCATAGAGTAGTTTCTTTAGGTAAATCTGGTGGGGAAATAACATTGCCTGCAAATTATTTTATTACTTGTTTGTAACTTCAAAATCCTCTATCAGGTTTTAAAGATAATTTATGGTTTATTAGCTTAGGGTCATTTCATGAGAGCAAATGTGGTTTTCCTGACATAAAAATGCCACACAGTAACTAAATGAATATAAAATAGGTGCCTCAACCAAAAGAAACTTGGTTCTGACAGCCTTGCATTCTGAAGGGAAAATGGGCAAGAAAGTAAATTGAACTGACAAGGTGATGTAAACCGTAGATGGAAGTCTGTTACTTCATTAACTTAGCAAAAGATTTTGACTCCTCACAATACCTGTAATAATTTAGTAGCATGAGCTGCTTGGCCTCTTGGCCTCAAAAGTTATTTCCCAACATATTTCTGGAAGTAGTTTAGCACTACCAAGTCATCCTGTTGTGACACCTGGAAGTAGGTAAAAGCAAGCTGTGAAAATGCCAAGAGTGGACATTAAGAATATTTTATTGCTTCAGTTAAATTTGGAAAGAAAAGAAGACAAAAACAGCAATACTCCCTAGTGCTGTCTGTGTGGGAGCCTGTCACTCTCTTCCAAGTCGACTTCTGCATGTTCTGCATTCCCCGGAGGTCTCTTTGTCATCTTCCTCCCTGTCATCACCACTCAATCCCTTATTTAAAAAGGAGCACATAAAGGGACCACACCATCACACAAATTGTCATTGTCAAGAGGAAGCACAGAATTCTAAAGTCTTTTCATTCAGTGCAAGCACATATCAGGATGTAGGTGCCATGAAAAATCATAGTGAAAATGGGTGGATCACTCACTCTGTGTCAAGCACAGGCGTAAGCTTTTTCTACCCAGTGTCTGTTTTATGATGTGCAACAACACCAATACCCTCCTTTAATGGGATGAGTCAATAAAGGCAGAGAAAAGTTAAGTAAGTTACTCGGGGTCACAGAGCGGGTGACAGAGCCAGAATTGGAGCCTATGCTATATAACTCCAGAACTCTCTCTTAATAATGGCCATACTGCTAAAATATATATATATATATATTTTATATATATATATATTTTATATATATATATATTTTATATATATATATATATTTTTTATATATATATATTTTATATATATATATATATATATATAATATATATATTAACTATGCCTTGCTAAATGCTGACCTGGAAATTTAGTCTGTCACGTGCCCATTTGTTCAGCTCCTCCTCCTCAGTCTCTTTAATTCCAGCCCTATCACTGCAAGGCTGAGAGCTCCTTTAAATGAAAGGGCACATCAATTTCTAAGCAGCCTGAGGTTTCTGCTTGACATTTTTAGAAGTGTATTCCTTATAAAGCTGATCCTTTCTCAGTCCTACAGGACAATTAGAACTTGTCAGTTGAAGACACGGTGCATTATTCTCCCCTTTAACCCTGTCCTATTTGAGCTTCCTTATCACAGTTCACAGGCAGCTACTGATCTGATTATTAAACAGATAATTCACCCTGCTGCTCCTGCCTGCCAGAGCAGGAGCTCTATCTGTTTGGACTAGTTCAGCCCCATCTCTTTTGGGGTGACTCGGGTGATGCTAAGCTTCCCAGGGCCATTGTGTTCTGTCTTCTGCCTCTGACTTTTTCCCTGCTACCCACATGAGCTTCTGCTATGCTCTCTTCTTTCCTGTCCAGAAATCATGTAGTAAGATGCTTTTTGGCTGGAGACCCTGAAAGCAGTCTGAAGCTGCAGACCTTTCCTTCCTGTTCCCTCCAGGTGGTCAAGCCCATTAAGCAAAGTTAAAACTTGCAGAAACTAAACTCTCTTGTTTTCATAGCCCTTGGTGGTCTCTAGATTTGTCAGGGGCTTCCAAAATCACTCTTGAGAGGAGAAAGAGATGCAAGAACAAAATTAATAATAAAATCACTATGCTTCCTCTCCCACTGGTTGCCTCATCAAATTTAGAAATTGCTATAGCAATCTATCCAATTAGGCCATAGAGACTTAGCAGTGGAGTCTACCATACTATAAGGGATCCCATTTAGTTTATTATTTTCAGGTTACTTCTTTGAACTAAGCAGGCTGCTAAGTTCAATCAAATATAAAAATAGTAGGGTAATTCAGGAAAGCATCTGACTTGCCTATTGCTTGTAGCCAATTGGCCTATTATGATGGAGTTATGAAATCTATTATTTGCATATTGGTTGACTGAACCTGGGAACCAGGTTGCCAATGGTTTCACTGCAGATTGATTCTGGGTGAAATACCCCAAATTTTACCCCAAATAATAAGCTATGAGATTAATTCAGAGGTATATTTTTATTATACTCTTAAAGCTCAACATTGGGCTGCAGGGCTCTTGAAAGCCTGGCATGACTTTAGGAGGCAGGAGGAGGAAACTCATTGTCTCCCTGGAAGCACACCTGTATTAGACTTGGAAATCCCCCTAATTTGTTGCTCTCCTGTGTGGAGTACCAAATTGATAGAGGAGATACCTTATTAGGATACAGTTTTTGGCTTAAAACATATTTTTCACCTATTTGGAATTTAAATTTGTTGCTACATTTCAAGCTGAAGACCAGAACAGTTAGTGAGCGGTTAGTGATAATCCAATTAAGGGCCTTGATGGGGTCAAGCTTCTCATTGAAGGTGACCAGCCTTGGCTATTTCAAATACAAAACCTGTTACTGAAAGAGATGAGCCTTTGGCCCCTGGATGATCTCGTCTATATGCCATGGCTTCACAGGAGCAATGAGCACAAGCCCCAAGCTCTGTAATATTTTTTAAATGATGCAAAGACTGAAAAGTATATTTTTTTCTTCCTCAAAAGAATAGGCATGAATATGAAGGAGATTATTTAGGATATGCATACATTTTAAGGAAAAAGCTATCCAGCTGAGAGGCTGGGGTTATATAAAGTGAATGTCTGTTTTGTGTCTGTAAATTTACATATTCAAAATAACTCAGAAGCCAAGAAATTTGCTTCAATGAAAAGTTGCAAGATGCATTTATTCTTGGGCAATGAAATGGTATGTCTTCAGGAAAGCTTGAGAGCTGCAGATTCTGAATACAAGACTGTAAGAATGTGTCACAGTAAGACACCTGTCGCTAAATGCTCCTAAAAGTATTGATAATAGGCTGAATCTGCAGATTTGGTCTTGTATAAAGTATCAAATGCCATATTTGTTGGCTAAACCCATAATAAAGGACATGGAATAAAAGAGGAAGGCCTCAGGCAACTGCTGCTGAGGAAAAGCCACTGGCATATGCAGGAAGGGTTTTGCTGTCCATGTACTTGGGGCAAGGAGCCTATTTTGTTGTATTCTCTGCACTTGATTTTAAAATACCTCAGGCCAAAATATATGTGTGTTACTTTAAATCTATAACTTAGGAACTTTCCAAATTCCATGGCTGAGAATATACCAACCTAGGTCAGAGGCTTTAGCTGTCTTAATCTCCAAACAACATCAGAGCCCTTAAAATGAACATACTGGATGATAAAGTAGCTTTTCATCATTGAACTGAGTGCTGTTTCAGATGAGTGCAGAGGAGAGTTATTGTTCCTGGCAACATATCCTACTCCAACACCTTCATAAGAATAGAGAATGAGAATCAGAATCAGCAAACCCAATAGGCTCAATCTTACAGAACACTGTCTTAGGCTTAGACTTCTGAAATTAAACCTATATTTATTTTACCACTGTATTAGTCATGGTCCTCCAAGTCAATAGCATATGTAAATTTGTGTGTATTGAGAGGGAGAAAGTGGAGTGGGGGGTGAAGAGAGAGAGATACCATAAGGAATTGGCTCATACGATTACAGAGATGACAAATCCCAAAATCTACAGTCAGCAGGCTTGAGACCCAGGATGGGCTGATGTTTTGATGTTTCGGTTCAAGTCTAAAGGCAGGACAACCAATATTCCAGTCCAAAAGCAGTCAGGTAGGAAGAATTACCTCTTATTCAAGAGAAGGTCAGGCTTTTGTTGTATTCAGCCCTTCAACTGAAAGGATGATGCCCACCTACATTCAGGGGTACAATCTGCTTTACTCAGTCTATTGATGTAAATGTTAAACACATCCAAAACCACTATCAAAGAAACATCCAGAATAATGTTTGACCAAGTATCATTGTACTGCATTGCCCAGTCAAGTTGACCTATTAAATTAACTATCACAACCATCTGGCAAAGACACTTGACATGTGCTCCAACTATAATATTAGGTGAAAACTGCCTCTAGAATGATGTCACATCTGTCTCTAATGATGTGAAGTGGTGTCAGAACACAGAAATGGACAGAGGCCTAGAATCTCATCAGTATTACTGAAAATGTTTTATGATGACTTTTGTGCATGCTTGTTAATAGATGTTGATGTACAGAATTTGCTTTCATTGCTTTCATTGTAACCTCATTGTAGTGAGAGCATATGGGAGGATACCTATTGTTTTCAGCTATTTCTAAACTACTGGAGACTGCCCAGTGTCAACCAAGAAGAATCTCATACTTGGGAATGGCCACATTACATTGGCTTAGGCCAGACTGCAGCACATTTTCTATAAAGCCTCTGGGTGGAAAATGTTTTTTTCCATAGAAGAGGTTTTGAAATGTCCTTCCTAGCTCAACAGCACCCAGGATAATACAGATCTCACAGAGCAAATGCAGGTGACAGAGATCACAGCCCCAGGCCTCAGGTAGAGAGTAAAGGCTTGCAAGATCTCACAACTATTTTTGATAATATACAAAACAGAAAGCTAGCATTGAGCAGAGGTAAGGGGAGTTAAATACAGCTTCTGTGGAAATCAGTTGCTAAAGGCTGTCTCAGGAGCAAAGAAAGAAATAAAATAAGACTTTGGAACCAAAAGAAAGAAGCAGACATCAGAGCACACCCAAACAGAGAACCCAGAGAAGATTAACATTAGCCCCTTATCACATTGCTCAAAGATTATCATCAGCTCAACAGTAATCAGAACTCCAAATAAATATCAAAAGCTATTGAATTCCTTTAGAGTTTGTCATATATGTGTAAATTAAATGTTTTATCATTTTTATTGCATTTCTTTTGTCTTCCTATATATTCCCCAAATAAAATGCCCTACATGTTTTGTGATGGGATGAATGAAAACCATCTTATAAAATTAGAGTCAAGATTCTGGTGCCCACAGTGGACTAGACAGATAAGCACCTGCATGCCCTGATGAATATGTGGTAGAATATGTCATTGAATACAGACCTAATGAGATTTAATACTCTTCTTGTATATACCACCAAAGTAAAAAACAATAATCCAATAAACAAACTCAATGACTATTCCCAATGAATGTGTATTTCACTCGAGGCTGAAGTTTTTAACCTTCTGGAATCAAATTTGCTCTCTGAAATATTTTATATTTAGCTTTGAATGTAAAGTCCCTTTGCTTTGGCTGAGGACTCCCCAACAGGGTTGTAAAGCAAAGGAAATTATAGAATTACTTTATCTGTTACCCTTTCAACTGGCTTTGTAATGCAATCTATGTTTTGAGACTTAAGGGAGGTGCTTTTGGAAGATACAGTAACTCTAATCAACCTTGCAGTATTTTCTCTAGGAAATTACTACATCAATGCCTAAAATTGCATTTAAATGAAGAATAGTAGGTAACTTCCTTCCCACAATAGTCTTTTGTGTACTTGATGTCTCTTGTATAATCTATATTCAGCCTTCTGCTATTTCTTCATATCTTATCTCCTCAGGACAGTGGGGATTTATTTGGCTTATTAATGTCTCCTTTTCAGGGATATTTTTCCCCATGAGGCTATTTTGTGTTCCACTATGAGCTCATAAAGCTAATCTAAACATAGGGCACCACTGACATTAAAGGAAAAATTTGTTCAGAAAACATCCCCATGAGACTTAGAAAAAAAAAATCAACCCTCCAGGCAGATTCACAGAGTGATTTTAGGATGAACATTTTCATTTCATTAAAAAAAACAAGACAGCTTTGATTTTTACGTATCACTTTTTTTTCCCATAAGTTAGAGATACTAAAGATAAATATGTTTATATGTGTGGAATTTACTCCAGATTCTGATAAACAATGTGCATATCTCTGCATATTGAGTCGAGATGGCAAACACTGTGGGTTTTTTGTATTATAACTAAATTATGTATCTGGAGTTTTACCTCCTCAGCAAGATAAGCTTTTCTATTACATATAGGACCACATGCAAGAATTAGGAAGATTAGGAAAAAGAAAAAGGCATCTGAGCATGTTGATATTACTGGTCTGGGGAATTTAGCTGACATATTAAAAGAACTTTCTGAACAAGATTGGTAGAAACTCAATTTCACTTCTCCCTTGAGTTTCTTGGGTTCTGGCCATTTCTGACAATTGAAGGCTCTGGATGGGAGCTCTCTGCCCATCTGGGAGCCTATTAAAAGAAGGAAATCAAATACACATAACTATTTACTTCCTTTATGGCAACCACTAAAACCACTGAATAAACAAAAAAAAATGTTGCTCAATAAAATGTTAATTTGAAAGTGCCACTGTAGTTAAGTCCAAAGTCATTTTTCACCCTTATATCCTATCCTGTATCCAATTTGTCATTAATTACAGTTTTTTTTCTTTAAAATGTCTTTCAGCTTTTTTTTCTTGTTAGGCCTTAGGACTACACTCTTTTGTTAACAACAAAAACAATAATAATAATAAACTTTAGCGTGACTTCCTGGCTGAGTCACTACACATTTCCATGTACATATTTGCAGATTAATTTAAGGCTTAAGTTCAGCTACCTAAGATAGTGTTTCGGTTGTTTATGAGAACACCGAGTACAAACTAACTTTATATTTAAGATGTATCTCTTGTGAGAAGTAAATAGTTGTGTCTTGCTTTTTATCCAACCTGATGACTTCTTCTAATTGGAGTCTATAGCTCATTTTTATATTAATATGGATGCATTAAATCTATGATTTGGTATATGTTTTCTACTTGGCTCCTCTATTTTTTCATTAGCCTGTTTCTCCTTTCCTACACTACAGAATGGCAGATTAAAGTAAACTCTCTTTGGGGCCACAAACTGAAAATAAGTCATGGATGCTAATGGAGCTATCTTGGTTACTTGTGTAGATGTCTATGGTAAGGGTCCATTCTCTGATGAGACTGACTGCCTGAGCTTATATTGCTCAGCTTGCCATTACTGCTGTCTGGATTCATTATCATACCAGAAAAATCAGTGCATCTACCATCACAGACAAGGCACAAAATAAAGTGTTCTATGTCTCTGATGCAGAGATTACCATTACCACCACTTGCGTAACTTGTGATACATGCCAAAAGTTGACCCATTTGTCTTGTGATAAGAGAGGTCACCTTGTACAGGGTATAGCTCTCAACCACTCTTGTAGACTGACTAGATTGCACCTTTGACCCCCTCTCCAGGCTGACAGCAGTGTTTTACCACTGTTTACGCTTTCTCTCATTATGGGTGTTTCTGTTCCTTAAAGATCAGCTGTATTTGACCAGAGTTGTGGCCCTTCAAACGATCTGTGTATTTGGCCTTCCAGATCATTTTCAGTCTGATAAGCACTTTTTATCATACATGTTACTTAGTAATGAGTTGATTATCAAGGTATTTGATAGAATTTCCACACTCTCTTTTATCTACAGGTATCTGATATTATTGTGCATGCATTGCATCTGCCTTCTCAAAAATTGATTCAAACTATTTCTGACTTTGTGTTTCTCACTTTCTTTGGGCTCACACACCATAGCAAGGAAATTTGACCACTGAGTGCAGCTGCCCCCAGAAAGGGATCATCTACCTGTGACTGCTTCTTGGGTGATAATTAGGACCAAAGACGTGAGAGGTTATTTAAACCTATTTTGAAAATTCAAGATTCATCCTTGATCATTCTTGGGCCTGAAGCTTCTTACTTTCCCCTAATAATAAACACAGGTGATCTTGGTAGGTATGCCCCTTGGACGTCCAAAAGGGGGCCCAAAAAACTTAATTCTGGTTTAGCATCTTGGGTTCTTTTGTTGGATGGATCTGGTCCTGGATCATAACACAAAGATCTCTTGGTTGACCACATTGTTCATTGAGTCCCCCTGCAGTGGCCCACTTCTACAAAATTGAGCATAATAGATTGCTATAAATGTTATAAAAATGACCTTGTTTCTCTCATACCTGATCTTTCTAGATGAGAAATCTAGTTGTGAGCAGGAGATAATAATAATAAAAAAAAAAGGTGTTGTACTATATTGGAATGAGGCACATCTATTTTGTGGTGGCAGAAAACAACACCCTGTCACCTGGGAGAAGAACACTTCAGATATGGAGAGGGAAAGGAGAGAGGAGTACGTTAGTCATCTCTGTCTTCCAGAATCAACTCTGGAGATTTCCTTCACAAAGAAGAAGGCCCTGATTTTCTCTCCCAAAATATTATAAGAACATTTACTTCAGCTGACTGCTCAGTCTACCAAACCCTACCAGGTATCTGTGAACACAATTTGATCAACATCTCCTTTCACCTTACTGAGAAGATAAGTAGAAACATATCTTCTGCACCTTTCATGTGAAACAGCCGTCAACACATCTGGAGGTCTTCCCCACCCTCATTCATGTAGCCCTTTCTCAGTCCCATGATGCAGACTAATTCCACCAAACCAGTGGGATAGACAAATGGGACAGGTTAGATTGACTGCCCTCAAGCAGGTCTTCCAGAACAATCATTTGACTCAATCATTTTAACTGAACTGGGCACTCAAAGGTCTAATGGCCAGACAGAGGGGCTGTTAGGACCCCTGTCAACCTGTAGGTCCTGACCCATGTAGGAACTACTTTGAGGACACCAACAATTATAGCCAATACTTTATTTCCTGGGGTTCTATGTATATTTGCTTCTTAACTGTAAGGCAGGTATAAACTGACTTCCTCCTAAAAACATAATGTCTTTACCTTAAAAGACTTTCAAGTATTTAAGAATACAAGTAGATCATGTAGCTCTCATATGGCTATAGAAATCTCTTCAAAATTTGGTCACCCCTAGTTACTCAGGGAAGATTTCTGGAGAAATCAGTGAGATAAATGGCTCATTATTTTAGCACACCCTGTGAGAAGTTAGTTTTACAATGGAAAGCATTCAGTTAGAAATTTGTCCTTAACTTTGTTGAAATGACTAAACATACCACTTCAGCTCTAGAATGCATTCAGGTCAGCCATAACTTAAAGGCCACAATTGCCCTAGACTTCCCCCTTTTGGGTTTAAGCAGAATCTATGTATTCACTGATACATCTTACTGTACCTCAGCTAAAGTGGAAAGGCTAATGCAGAAATTTAAGAAGAAAATTACCTCAATTTCTAAGGTAGACCCTGATGGCTTAAAAGAATTTATTTAGCTGGTTGGGTCCAGCTGGGAAGAATGGTCAATACAGCAGATTGGCTTCCTCCTGCTACTGGTAGCTCTGGGGATAGTAGTCTTAATTAAATGATATGGGAAACAAAGTGATGGATTTAGTCCTAGCCTACCTTATTTAAATTAATGAGACTAGCCAACAGAGTAGCGTACTCATGGGAAAATTCACCAGCAGTCAAGACAAAGTAGTAGCAATAAGAAGTAGATACTGTTGTGACATAATTCTCCAGGGCTATCTCATAATTTTATGTCTTATAAGGAAGGCAGTTACTGTACTTTATTCTGAACTATCTTTTAAAAGATTTTTGTATAGAGAGTAGCCTTGGAAGACAGAGATAGAGTTTTCCTCCAGAGCAAATAGCAAGCACGCTTACTGTCAAATACAGTGATGATAATATCTCTTTCCAGACCAAAGGGCTAGCATGCTTATTACCTATCATGAAATATTAGGTTCTAAGCGCAAAATCACTTTCCTGTATTACAGACCACAGCATGTGCTAATGCTTTCTGGCTGAATAGCCCTTTGGAAATCAGGAATTGGAGGCACAGGGCAAAAAAAAATGCCAATACCTTTGTGATTGCCAATATTATTTGTAATTAACTATAGTTTCCAAACCAGAAAGCTCATATAATTTACCAGAATCCATGAAACTGTGGCAGGCTAACCTGTTAGCTTCCCAATAGACTAAAATCTCAGAGCCTTCAGAGTTGCTGACAATATAATAAGGTGAAACATCACACATAAACAGTGATCACAGTTTCTGATACAATAAATAACTTCAATATTGGAAGTTATTTGGTGTCATTTCCCTTGCATATCACAACACTCAGTACAAAGTCAAAGTGCAATATATAGTAAAAGAGGGATTGGTCAAATTTTCAATAAAATATTAAAAAAAAATTTGCTTGCCATAATGCCACAAAATAAAGATTTCAAAATATAATTGGGTGGTCAAAACAAAATTAATAGATAGTTCTAGAATCTTTTTAGTTCAATACATACCAATCAGCCGTCAGTTTTCACAAGTTGAATAGGTTTTGTTCTTAATTTTCTATCCAGTAGATGTCAGCAATTTTCTCTATTTCTTTATAAAATTAATTCTTGCCTAACTCATATGTTTCAAACATCAGAGATTCTCATTACAATTAGATTTTTATCATTATCTAAAAATTTTGGTAACATAATAATCAATGTTGGCTAAAGATGATATTTTGATACAGTGACAAAAGGCCAATGCTTAGCTTTATGTATCTCAATGCATCAGCCAGACATGTGAAAAACATCTCATTTATGAAGGATATACCTGTCATATAATGAAAAGATATCATAAATTTTTGCCCTGAGTAATATTTCAGTACTTATTAAACCCATAATGTTCTCTTATTTTTATGGAAAAGGAGGGAAGGGTGGAGTTTCTATTAGATTATATTATTACATAAAATATCCTATACCCTTTCCTGTGGAAGGGTTATAGACATACTTCAAAAAGTTTGTAGAAAATGGAATTAAATGATAAAAATAAAAAATACAAACTTTATTTCTCAGCATAACCTCCACTGAGCTCAAGACACTTTTGTAAGTGATAGTGCCAGCCATTCAGTCCATCTCCAAAGAATTGAGGGGCCTGGGAATTTAACCATGTCAATGCAGTCTTTTTTACATTACTAACTTTTGAAAAAAGTGTGCCCTTTAAAGATTTGTTGTTTAAGATTAGGGAACAATAAAAAGTCAGAAGGAGCCAAATGAGGACTGTAAGGTGGATGCCTACTGATTTCCTATTTACACTCTAATAAAATGACCTTTGTTTAATGAGAAGAATGAGCAGGAACATTGTCATAGTGGTAAAGAACACTCTGATGAAAATTTCTGGGTGTTTTTCTGCTAACACTTTGGCTAACTTTCTTAAAACTCTCTCATAATAATCAGATATTATCAGTTTTTGGCCCTCCACAAGGGCAACAAGCCAAATGCATTTAGAATCCCCTAAAATTGTTGCCATTACTTTTGCTCTTGACTGTTTCACAATTGGACCACTTCCATCTCTTGGTAGCCATTATTTTGGTTTGGTTTTGTCTTCAGGATTGTACTGGTAAAGGCATGTTCAATCTCCTGTTATAATTCTTCAAAGAAATCCTTTGGGATCTTGACCCCTCTTGTATAAAATCTCCATTGAAAGTTCTGCTCATATCTGCAGTTGATCTGGGTGCAATGGTTTTAGCACACATTGAGTAGAATATTTGCTCAACTTTTTCAGTTGGAATTGTGTAAGCTGAACCAATTAAGATGTCTATGATATTGGCTGTTGTGGGTGCTATTAATCATTGGTCTTTTACAATTAGGGCATTTTGATGGTCAATATTGAGTGTCAACTTGATCAGATTGAAGGATGTAAAGTATTGTTCCTGGGCATGTCTGTAAGTGTTGCCAAATGAGATTCACATTTGAGTCAGTGGACTGTGAGAGGCAAACCCACCCTCAATCTGGGTGGCACCATCTAATCAGCTACCGCAGCAGCTAGAATAAAGCAGGCAGAAGAGGTTAGAAGGACTTGACTTGCTGAGTCTTCCAGGTTTCATCTTTCTCCCATGATGATACTTCCTGCCTTCAAACATCAGATTCCCAGTTATTCAGCTTGCGGACTCTTGGACTTACAACAGTGGTTTGCCAGAGGCTCTCAGGTCTTTGGCCACAGACTGAAGCCTGCACCATCGTCCTCCTTATTTTGAGGTGTTGGGACTCAAACTGGTTTCCTTGCTCCTCAGCTTGCAGTGGGCCTATTGTGGGACTTCGCCTTGTGATCATATGAGTCAATACTCCTTAATAAACTCCCCTTCATAATTACATCTATCTTATTAGTTCGGTCCCTGTAGAGAACCCTGGTTAATACAGGCATGAACAAGTTAATTTTTTCCTCACAAATTGATGTGAATAATCTGCTGCTGTGGGCTTCATCTTCAACATTGATTCCTTCTTAAAATGAGCCATTCATTTGTAAATTGCTAATATCTTTAGGGCATTGTCCCCATAAACTTTTTGAAAAGCATCAGTGATTTTACCATTCTTTCATCCAAGCTTCCCATTAATTGGATGTTTGTTTTATATCAATTTTAGTAGAATTCATGTTGCTCTGATAAAGATTCTGTTCAAACTGATGTTTTATCCTTCTTAGTGCCTCAAACTAGATCCTGTTCAGACATGTTATAACAAGTTAGTATGATGTTATTTTGGTGTAAAAACTTTGAAATCCCTGCATAGATATTTCATAATGTGCGTTTTCATGAACTTTTTGAATATCCTTCATACACTTCAATCTATTTATTGATGCCAGATTTTAAAATGTGAGCAGGAATGTGTCTCATTAATGAGTAGAAGTTTTAGAATCATCATGTCCTTTATTCATTGTTTTCTTTTTCCTCTGACATGAGACTGGAAATATCCCATACAGGGGTTGTTCATCATGTTTGCTAGAATGAGAACAATGAGTTGCATTTAACCCATGATGGCTATGTAACAAGAGAAAAAAATTGACTGAAGTTGAGGACACTAAGATTTAGGGGTTTGTTAGATACTGCAACAGATTTAGCTTGAGCTATCTGATAAAGGGGCAATAGAAAAGGATATTTATTACCCCAGAAAGTTGACAGATGGGTAATATATATAAACACCTTGCTAATTCTAAAGCACAATTCTGCACATTTAAAGAAGAATATGGCAGGGTGTGGTGGCTTATGCCTGTATTCCCAGCACTTTGGGAGGCCAAGGCAGGTGGATCACCTGAAATCAGGGGTTCGAGACCAGCCTGGCCAACATGGTGAAACACGTCTCTACTAAAAATACAAAAATTAGCTGGGTGTGGTGGCATGTACCTGTAGTTCCAGCTACTTGGGAGGCTGAGTCAGGAGAATTGCTTGAACCTGGGAAGTGGAGGTTGCTGTGTGCTGAGATCGCACCACTGCAATCCAGCCTGGGTGGCAGAGTGAGACTAAAAAAAAAAAAAAGAAAGAAAGAAAGAAAAAAAAGAAAGTGAGAGAGAAAGAAAGAAAGAAAGAAAGAAAGAAAGAAAGAAAGGACTTCTGAACATAGAAAGCTATTAACTTTTCCTCTTCTTTTTTTGCTTTTTTAAAGATCACCTGTTCCATGGCCTCTGTTGGTGTCTCGTAATGTTGACCATTAAATTCTATTTTTCTCTTTTACTATCCTTAGGCAAAGATTCAATGAACATCCACTATGTTCAGCCATGTGTCCACATTTCTGTCTTTATTCCTTCCTCATGCCTTATGGAGGAAACTTCTTAAAGATTTGTAACCATTTATGAAGCAACCTCTGTATATCAGGTTCTGCCTTAATGTTATTGTTATTAACATATTTAATAATAAATCATATGTTATGCATAAATTTTCTTTTACAAATAACTCAAATGAGATTGACAGAGGTTAAGAAAATTGAAGACAATTACACAGCTGATAAAAGAACAAAACCAAGATTTGAATTTAGTTTGCTTAGTTTCAAACTCCCCTATCCTTCCACTACATCATTTGCTTAGATGGCAGCATGAGAAAACTACATAGTTTGTCAAATCAAATTTCTCCATGAAACCCAAAATATGTGTAATGGAAATTAACCATATGAGAAATTGATGAATTTCAATTAACATTTGTACTCCTAAACTGTATGTTGGCTCTTTCTTAGTTTAATGCAATCAAAGTATCAGTTTCAAAGTACTTGACAATAATTAAGGTGGAAGAAGTTTTTGGACAAATCCAGGTACTTGAGATAAATATTAATCAAAACTTTTCTTTTAACTTAATTTCACATGATCTTCTTAACTCTTTTGGGGCTGAAATTGGTTTATTTAAGATAAGCCTAGAACTGATTATTGGTTTAAGAATATAAGATTATAAGAGAAACAGATGGATTTCAAAAACATTATGTTGAAGAAAAGAAGCCAGAAACAAAAGATTATATACTATATGAATTCTTTGTATGATGTTCTAGGATGGTTCTGCATATAAAATCAATTAATATGTTATATCATGTCAACAGAAAAGGAAAAAGCACAAAATCCACATGATCATTTCAACAGATGCAGAAATAGACTTTGACAAAATCCCATCTCCTTTCATGATAAACCACACAGCAAAATAGGAACAGAAGAAAACTTCCTCAACTTGATAAAGAGCATCTATGAAAAAAACCTATAGCTAACATCAAGATGAATAATGAAAGACTGGCTTTTTTTCCTCCTAAGATCAGGGACTAGACAGAGATGTCATCTCTTCAAAATTGCATGAAGATTCTAGCCAGGGAAATTATGCAACAAAAATAAATTAATGACATCTGGTTGGAAATAAGAAAGTAAAACTATATTTACTTGAAGATGACATGATTGTGAGTATGGAAGATCTTTAAAATTTACTAACAATTTATTACAGATAATAAATGACCTCAGTAAGATTGCAAGACACAAAATCAATATATTAAAAAAACACAACTGGATTTCTGTACACTTGCACTAAACAATTCAAAATAAAATTAAGAAAACCATTCCATTTATAGTAGCATCAAAAGTAATAACATATTTAGGAAAAAATTTAACAAAACAACTGTAAAATGTATACTCTGAAAACTACAAAACATTATTGAAAGATACTAAAGATCTAAATAAAAGAAAAAATCTGATGTTCATGAATTGGAAGACTTAGTATTGTTAAAATGGCAATACTTCCAAAAGTAATCTAAAAATTCAAGGTAATTATGATTAGAATCCCAGAAGACTTCTTGCAGAAATTGTCCAGCTGTTTCTAATATTCAGATGGAATTTCAAGAGACCCAGGATAACCAAAGCAATCTTGAAAAAGAAGAACAAAAAACTGGGACTCATTTTTCTGATTTAAAAATTTACCAACAAACTAGAGTAATCAAGACATTATGGTATGGCATGAGGACATAAACCAATGAAATAGAATTGAGAGATCAAAAATACGTCCATGTGTCTATGGTCAAATGATTCTCATCAAGAATGCCAAGACCATTAAATGGGACAAAGAATAGTCTTTTAAACAAATGGTATAGGAACAACTGGCAAACCATATGAAAAAAAAGGCAATAGTCACTTGTCATTGAAATGGTTTGATAAAATAAAAATTCATGAGCATGATGATAAGACACACTACCAGCTACCATCTGGCCCAGGTTGTTTTACATAATATTGTATTATTTCTTTAGTCAACTTTTATGATAGCACCATACACACTGATTAGCTATTAACTTACCATGGTTATCCTTGAATCTTTTCAAGGATCTCTACTTCAGAATGGGAACATAATAGAAATTGACATATATAATTGAATAAATAAACTTTCACATTCTCCTTTTTTTTCCTCATCATTCTCTTCCCATTGGCTGAAACATTTCACTAAAAAAGTCCTCCAGAGCACAGCCAAGGACACCCATCCCCCAAGGCTCACCATGTTCCCCTAGGATACTCTAGCCTTAGGAGAAGTGTTGGACCTGAAGAGAGAAGGGCAATTTTGCCCATGAGATGGAGCCAGTCTTTCTGTCTGCCTCCTTCTCTCACACCCCAGCCTGGTCATGCTTGTTAGCAATTCAGCCTTGGATGCCCAACTGGAGTGCCGTCCTGAAGTTGCATCATAGCTTCTGCACTGGCAGACCATGCCTGAACATCAGAGAGCCCCAGCAGAGCAGTCCCCCACTGACACATACCAGCCGTCTGCACCTTCCTTCCACCTCAGCCTCCCCCATGCCACTTTGCTGGCATACACTTGCCCATGGCCACTCCCTCATTGCTTTGCCAGCATGCATGTGTGCAGGTGGACCTTGCCTCCCCTTCCCTGCCAGTACATGCCACGAGTGCATATGCCTCCCACCATGCCATTGCTGCCAGCATGAGTGCACCCATGCCCCTCCTCCCATCACCGCCCCACCACATCACCATTGTTGTCATGAATACATGTGTGGACACCAGCAACCTTGCCTCTGCCTTGTGCTTCCACTGCCACTAGTGTAAATGTGCAGGGGCACTGCCATGGGTGCAAATGCGCAAATGGACCCCAGCAGCCCCAACATTTCTCCCCTGCCATGTAACCACTACAGTCATTACTAAAACCTACATGCAAACCAGTAGGCTTGGGCCTGCCAGCACTCCACCCGAGCTGACAAGTGTGCAGCCCACCATGCTGCCACTGCTGCTGGCACATTCAAACAAGTATCGATCCCACTGCTACCAACCGATGAAGCACTTTGGCTGGCACCACCCTTTGAGGTGCTGTGACCAACAGTCCAGGAACACCTCAGCCCCTCCAACACAGCACATACCCAACCTCGAGAGGCCAGAGAACAAAGCCAGGGGCCGGATACCAACCATTAGAGTTAAAGCATGTAGCCCAGGCATGCCCAGCTGAGCCTTGCCCCTCCAAAAGTCTACCAGAAATGAAGCCAGATGACTGAACCCAACTTATAACACAATCAAACACCAAGGACATCAAAGAAGATAAAAGAAACAAAAACCCATCCAAAGAACAGCAGCTTCAAAGGTGAAAGGAACATCAGCCCACACAAGATGAGAAAGAACCAGCACAAAAACTCTGGCAACTCAAGAAGCCAGCGTGTCTTCTTACTTCCAAACAACCACATACTAGTTCCCCAGCAATGGTTCTTAAGCAGGCTGAAATGGCTGAAATGACAGAAATAGAATTCAGAATATGGATAGAAACAAAGATCATAGACATTCAGGAGAAAGTTGAAACCCAATCCAAGGATTCTAAGGAATACAACAAAACAATACAGGAGATGAAAGATGTAATGGCAATTTTTAGAAGAAACCAAACAGAAGTGATAGAGCTGAAAAACTCGTTTCAAGAATTTCAAAAACAATTGCAAACATTAACAGCAGAATTGACCAAGCTGAGGAAAGAATCTCAGAACTTGATTACTGGCTCTCTGAAATAACTCAGTCAGAAAAAATGAAAAAAAATCAATAAATAAAAATGAACAAAACCTTCAAGAAATATAGGATCATGTAAAGAGACAAAATCACCCACTCATTGGTGTCCCTGAAAGAGAGGGAGAGAAACAAGCAACTTGGAAAACATATTTCAGAATACAGTCCATGAAAATTTTCCAAACTTACAAGAGGACAACATTCAAATTCAGGAAATGCAGAGAACACCTATGGAACACTACTCAAGAAGATCATCCCCAAAACATAGTCATCACATTCTCCAAGGTTAAAAAAAAAAAAAAGTTAATCATAGCTAGAGAGAAGGGACAGGTCACATACAAAAGGAACCCCAATTAGGCTAAAAATAGACCTTTCAGCAGAAACCGTACAAGCCAGAAGAGAATGAGGGTCAATTTTCAGCATTTTTTTTTTGAGATGGAGTCTTGCTCTGTCACCCAGGCTGGAGTGCCGTGGCACAATCTCAGCTCACTGCAACCTCCACCTCCCAGGTTCAAGCAATTCTTCTGCCTCAGCCTCCCGAGCAGCTGGCATTATAGGCATGCGCCACCATGCCTGACGATTTTTTGTGTTTTTAGTAGAGACGGGGTTTTGCCATGTTGGCCAGGCTGGTCTCAAACTCCTGACCTCAGGTGATCCACCTGAGGCATCAGCCACCTCACCTGGCAATTTTCAGCATTCTTAAAGAAAAAAATTTAAACAAGAATTTCATATCCCGCCAAAGTAAGATTCGTAAGCAAAGGAGAAACATCCTTTCAAGACGTGCTAATACTAAGACATTGTATTACCACCAGACTTGCCTTACAAGATGTCCTGAAGTTAGTGCTAATCAAGGAAAAGAAAAACTGTTACCAGCTACTACAAAAACACACTTACTTACATAGACCATTAACACTATAGCAGCCACAAAAACAAGTCTACACAATAACCTGCTAACAACATGATGACAGGAGCAACTTCACACATACCAGTACTAACCTTGAAAATAAACAAGCTACATGCCCCAGTTGAACGGCACAGACTGCTAAGTTGAATAAAGAAGCAAGACCCAATGGTATGCTATCTTCAAGAGGCCCATCTCACATGCAATGACACCCATAGGCTCAAGATAAAGGAATAAAGAAAAATCTACCAAGCAAACAGAAAACAGAAAAAAGCATCAGTTGCAATCATAGCTTCAGACAAAACAGACTTTAAACCAACAAAGATAAAAAAAGACAAAGAAAGGCATTACACAATGTTAAAGGGCTCAATTCAACAGGAAGGCTTAACTATTAAATATTCTAACTATATATGCACCCAACAGAGGAGCACACAGATTCATAAAGCAATTCCTTAGAGACCTACAAAGAGACTTAGGTAATAACAAAATAATAGTGGGAGACTTCAACACCCCACTGACAGTATTAGACATAAAGCATGGCAGAAAACTAACAAAGATATTCAGGACCTGAACTATGGGCCTAGTAGACATCACAGAACATTCCACCCCAAAGCAACAGAATATACATTCTTCTCACCTGTACATGGCATATACTCTAAAGTTGACCACACATAAACCAACCCCAAAGCTAACAGAAGGCAAGAAATAACCAAAATCAGAGCTGAACTGAAGGGGTCTGAGACATGAAAAACCATACAAAAAAAAAAAATCAAGGAATTCAGGAGTTGGCCCTTGAAAAAATTCCTAAGATAAATAGACTGCTAGTTACACTAACGAAGAAAAAAAGAGAGAAGATCCAAATAAACACAATTAGAAATGACAAAGCGTACATTACCACTGACCCAACAGAAATACAAATAACTATCAGAGACTACTATCAACACCTCTATGTACACAAACTAGAAAATCAAGGGGGAAAAATGGATAAATTTTTGGACACATACAACCTCCCAAGACTGAATCAGGAATAAATTGAATATCTGAACAGACCAATAATGAGCTCCAACATTGACTCAATAAGTAAAAATCCTGCCAACCCAAGAAAAGCCCAGGACCAGGTGGATTCATTGCTGAATTCTACCAGATGTACAAAGAAAAGCTGGTACCATTCCTACCGAAACTATTCCAAACAATTGAGGAGGGACTCACCCCCAACTCTATGAGGCCAGCATCATCCTGATACCAAAATCTGGCAGAGACACAACAAAAAAAGAAAGCTTCAGGACAATATTATTTATGAGTATTGATACAAAAAATCTCAACAAAATACTAGCGAACTGAATTCAGCAGCATATCAGAAAGCTACTACATTGAGATCGAGTAGGCTTTTTCCTTGGAATGCAAGGTTGGTTCCACATATGCAGATCAATAAATGTGATTCATCAGATAAACAGAACTAAAGACAAAAACCACATGATTATCTCAATAGATGCAGAAAGGCTTTTGACAAAATTCAACATTGCTTCATGTTGAAAGCTGTCAATAAACTAGACGTTGAAGGAGCATACCTTAAAGTAATAAGAGTCATCTATGACAAACCCACAGACAACATCTTACAGAATAGGCAAAAGCTGGAAGTATTCTCCTTGAAAACCAGCATAAGACAAGGATGCCTTCTCTCACCACTCCTATTCAATCACCACTGAGTGCTCTGGCATACTGGATGTCCCAGTCTGAAAAATCAGGCAAGAAAAGAAATAAAAGGCATCAAATTAGGAAGAAAGAAAATCACATTATCCCTGCTTGTGGATGATGTGATTCTATAGCTAGAAAACCCCATAGCCTCTCCCCAAAATTCCTTGAGCTGAGAAAAAACTTCAGCAAAGTTTCAGGATGCAAAATCAATGTATAAAAAGCCAGTAGCATTTCTATACACCAACAATATCGAAGCTGAGAGCCTAATTAGGAAGAAAATTCCATTCACAATAGCCACAAAAGAACAAAATAAAATACATAGGAATTCAGCTATCCATGAAGGTGAAAGACCTCTACAATGAGAATTACAAAACACTTCTCAAAGAAGTGAGAGATGATGCAAACAAACAGAAAAATATTATATGCTCATGGATAGAAAGAATCAATACTGTCAAAATGGCAATACTACCCAAAGTAGTTTACAGATTCAATGCTATTCTTATCAAACTACTAATGACATTCCTCACAGAATTAGAAGAAACTATTTTAAAATTCATATGGAACCAAAAAAAAAAGTGCCCAAATAGTAATGCTATCCAAATAGGCAATACTAAGCTAAAAGAACAAAGCTGGAGGTATCATATTACCTGACTTCAAACCATACTACAAGGCTACAGTAACCAAAACAGTATGGTACTGGGACATAAACAGGCACATAGACCAGTGGAACTGAATTAAGAGCCCAGAAATAATGCTGCACACCTACAACCATCTGATCTTTGGCAAAGTTGACAAAAATAAGCAATGGGGAAAGGACTCCCTATTCAATAAATGGTGCTGAGATAAATGGCCAGCCATATGCAGAAGATTGAAACTATACTCCTTCTTATAACATATACAAAAATCTCAAGATGGATTAAAGACTTAAATATAAAACCTAAAACTATAAAAACCATGGAAGGTAACCTAAGAAATACCATCCTGGACATAGGGCCTGGCAAAGATTTCATGACAAAGATGCCAAAGCAATTGCAACAAAAACAAAAATTAATAAATAAGGCCTAATTAAACTAAAGTGCTTCTGCCCAGCAAAGGAAACCAACACAGAATAAACAGACAACCTACAGAATCGGAGAAAATTTTTGCAAATTATGCATATGACAAAGGTTTAATATCCAGAATACATAAGAAACTTAAACAAATTTACAAGCAAACAACCCCATTAAAAAGTGGGCCAAGGACATGATCAAACAGTTTTCCAAAGAAAATATACATGCATTTAACAAGCATATTAAAAAATGCTCAACATCACTGATTATTAGGGAAATGCCAATCAAAACCACAATGAGATACCATCTCACACCAGTCAGAATGGTTATTATGTAAAAGTCTAAAAATAACAGGTGCTAGCAAAGTTGTGGAGAAAAGGGAATGCTTACACACTTCTGGAGGAAATATAAATTAGTTCAGCCATTGTGAAAAGCAGTTTGGCATTTTCTGAAAGATCTTAAAACTGAATTACCATTCAACCTAGCAATCCTGTTATTAGGTATATACCCAAAGGAATATATATCATCCTACTATAAAGACACATGCATGTGTACGTTCATTGCAGCAGTATTTGCAATAGCAAAGACATGGATTCAACCTAAAGGCCCATCAATGGTAAACTGGATAAAGAAATGTAGTACATATATACTATGGAATACTATGAAGCCATAGAAAAGAATGAAATCATGTTCTTTGCAGCAATATGGATGGACCTGGAGGACATTATCTTAAGCAAACTAACATAGGAACAGAAAACCAAATATTGTATGTTCTCACTTATAAGTGGAAGCTAAACATTGCATACGTATGAACACAAAGACGAGAACAACATATCAGGTCCTACTTAGGATGCAAGGTGGGAGAATGGTGATGATCAAAAAGTTACCTTTTGGGTACTATGCTTATTACTTAAGTGATGAAATAATCTGTACACTAGATCCCCGTGACACACAATTTACATATATGATAAACCTGCACACGTACCCCTGAACCTAAAATAAAAGTTAAAAATAACTTCCATATTTATGTCTTCACTCAAGTGTTAAATATTGTTAGCAGTAAAATGTACATACTTCAGAAATAATTTTATATCTGCCTTTACATACATATGTGAACATATTAATATATACATCATTTTATATTATTGAATTCATACTGCATTTTTTCACAATCTGTTTCATTTACAGATAGTATATCTTGAATAATAATCATAGCTTCCACTTATACACCACTTTTTATGGGAGAGGCAATATTCTAAGTCCTCTATGGCTCTTAACTTAATGTAATCCTCAGAAAAAAACCCTGAGATAAGTAGTATTACTATTCACATTTCAGGATGATGAAACTGAGGTATGTGGAGTTTAATAAATTTGACCAAGTTTGCACAACTGGAAGCTGCTGATTTAACTCTGGAAAAACTGGAAGAACTTGAAATCTCTCCATATAAGAGCATATTTTCCTCCTCCTCCTCCTTCTTTTTTTTTTTTTTTTTTTTTTTTTTTGACAGTGTCTTGCTCTGTTGCCCAGGCTGGAGTGCAGTAGCATGATCTTGGCTCACTGCAACCTCCGTCTTGGGGGTTCAAGCCATTCTCCTGCCTCAGCCTCCCGAGTAGCTGAGATTACAGGTATGCATCACCACGCTCAGCTATGTTTTGTATTTTTAGTAGAGCTGGGGTTTCACCATGTTGACCAGGCTGGTCTTGAACTCCTGACCTCAGATGATCCACCCAGCTTGGCTTCCCAAAGTGGTGGGATGACAGGTATGAGCCAACAGGCCCTGCCCTTCTTATTTTTTACAACAGCCCCATTTCAGCAACAATTGGCATGTTTTCTACTTAACTATATTTATCTGTTCAAGAAATGGAGACATAATCATTTAAACTGGGTCTCTTCGTGCTATTTCAGGTAATGCCACATGAACATCTTGACAACACTTATCTTACTGTATAGAATGAAGTAAAGATCAAATTATCTTTTCTTGATTCCCAGCCAGAATTTTATTTATGATATTTATTTTTATTTGTCTGCCTGTCCATGACATGGTCAGGAACTTTTATCTTATGCTTAGCTAAGTGACTCTACAATTGTTCACTAAATGAATGAATGAATAAATAATCTATCCCTTTTATGAATTATTAGCTCATTGAGGATAAATCAAATGAGTCACAGAATTGTGAAGATCAGATGAGTAAACTATAACATGCTGAGAAATTAAAAGTTTTATAGTGTTCTCCCTCTTTGTGATTTGATGTGAAATCTTTGTGTAGATACTTTAAAGATTCCTGACCACGTATTCAAAATCTTAAACATTCTTTAAATTCAAAGTCGTTACTTCCTGATTCCTCTAAAATGTCTCAAACTTTTTTTGGTTTCTCTGATTCTGCATTTTAATAAAAACTTTCCTCTTTCATTAAATTTCATTTGGTCTTTGAAAAGACACTCTAGCTCCTGGGCTATGCTTTGCTTTGCGTCCTGTCTGCCAGTCTGAGTTTAAAAGGAGGAAGCACGGGGCCGCTCCACATCTGATTGGCTGTAGTCCACTCTCTGGTACTGTGCTGACGCAGCTGACAGTGCTGAGATGATTAAAGGATTTCGAGAATCTGTGAAGAACCAAGTACAGATATTTGAATTGTAACCACTTGTCAAAATTTTACAGTAATTAGGAGCTAAGCAAAGAAAAAAGAATGTGGCTGCTCAGAACTTGGTAGAATCTCAGTGTGATGAATATTCCTTTTGAAATTTTTAAATGACCTGAATTCATTAAGAAGACACATAAACTTCACATTCCATTGAAAGGAAAAAATAAATACATTTGTGTAGTATCCTAGATAGTGGTATCCTTGAGATGGGGGCCAGTATTTAGAAGTGGTGTCTTGGAATTGATTGCATTTGAGCAGCTACCATCTTCCTTCTTTCTCCTAGGAGAGTAGTCAGATTACCCTTTCATTAATTTTCTCCTTCATTGCATTTATACTGCCAGACACTGTAGCAGGTATGGGGACAAAATGGTAAAGAGCATAGGTGCTGTATTGGACCTTGTCAACCTAATAGCTTGTTTAGGACCTTTTATCACAATTTTCTCTGTGTCATTTACAGCTACTGTATTTCAACACAATTTTTGAAGCTTTATGATCTCTTATGATTGAGAGCTATCATTTACCTGTTTATTTGAGAAGATTAAGATTGCTTCTATTTTTAAAATTATTATATCTAATTTGGATACAAATATTTTTATATTTTAATATTTATTTACCTTGTCAAAAGAAGAGTTTTGAAGTAAAATTTTTCACTTACCACAGGACTCAATCCAATTTAACCAAGGCAAATTTTTTTTTCACTAGGGAAATCCTAAATTTTGTGTGTCTTTGTCAAAGGAAATAATTTAAAAGCCCAATTAGAGGGTATGTGATGTAGGAATCACTTTCCCTATATTAGGGCTTTGAAGTAAGTTGGCTTCTTCTTATCTACCAGGAGCCTCCTATTTGCTACCATGTTTGTAGTCAGGGAGCATGGTGTGGTGTCTTGGTTTGTTTCATGTGACTGTATGATGATGGATGCTTTTTCCAGCATCTGAGGTTCCAGAGAAATTGAACAACTTGAATACTTGAGAATGTTTTAGAAATTCTGAATTATGATTGAACAATACTGGAAATCTGTATGATACAAAATAGAAAAAAAAATGAAGTAGCTAACTGACCTTAGAGAGATGTATGGGTTTGAGGACTATATATAAACCAAGATTTCAAATGATCTAGAATTCAAGGTGTGTTATCCAGGAATGGTGTCTCCCACCTTGACTAGATGCAATGAATCCTAGAAAACCAATCTCTCTGGTCTGCCCCCATTGGAATAGTGTAACCAACTCAATCTAGCCCCAACAAGAAGGAATAAATGTAATTACTGTTTTTCCTGTTACAAAAACCTCAGGACAGAGAACAGATCCCAGCTATTCCAACTAAAAATACACACCCCTTAGCTTAGTTTTACCCATCCTTTTGCCATTTCCTCAGGCTGTAGAAAATTGGAAGTGACACAAAGTACCCAGCTCTCATTATATCTCATAGTGAAAAAGAAAAAGGGAAAAGAAAGAAAAATTATACTAAAAATGCACTTGTGGGGAGAGAGTCTAAAGTTAACCACATTCTATCAGAGCAAATAGAATGTGTAGACAAAGACTCTCAAAAAGGAGAAAAATGAAAACTAAAGCAATCTTGGCAACTAAGAAAACTTAAGAAGAATAAATTTTTAAAATCAAGAAGGCAGGAAAGAAGGAGAAAAGACACATTATCTAAAGTAAGAAATAAATAAAAAATACATTGGTCCAATTATTAAAAGATGAATAAAAATAATAAAATAAAAATTTGGGGAACAGGGAAATGTGTTAAAGGATTACTGCTTCATACTGTCAAACGATAAAATTACAACAAATTTATTTTTTATGCTTATTTGAATATAAAGTTTAGGGTTTTTATTTTTATTTTTTAATTTTGTCAGGCATAAAGTTTCAATTTACATAGTTTAAAGATTTAATTGGCTTCTATTGGAAATTCTAGATTTGGGCAATACATTCTATAAAATATAATTAGTGATTTGATGCGCTGAGCAGAGGCTTGGTTTTATAGACAGAAAAGGGCTGAAAAAAGCAGAAACAGGGAATAAGAAACAGATTGATCATTTCAAAGTTACTTTCCTTATAGGGTTAAATACAAGGGCCTTCCTTATTACGCTGACTTAAGTGGACCGAGATCTGCATTTTGTTTTGCATTATTTGGGAAAACTGGCCCACTTCAACGTTCAGTTTGATTACATGGCACCTAGTATGAGTGGCTTCATTCTGGTTTGGTCTGGCCTGCTGGGATCTAGTACAGGAGGCTAGTCCAAAAAAATGGTCCTCATAAATTTTGTTTAACACTAGTATATCAACTAAATGTAGGAGTAAAACCAATTATTAGAATTGTGGTTAACAACTAAATACTAATATTATAAAAGTTGACCTTGACATAGGAATACCAGTAACCAAAAATCCAGAGGAAAAGTTGAGGAGAGTTGATAAGATTGGTGAGATTGGTGGCATCCTTCTAAAGCAGAGTAAATTATAGATATGGCTTAAAATTGAAGCACATTGTTTAAAAAAAACATAATGACTCCAACTTTTACCAAAAGTTTCATAGCATCTTTTTGAAACCATAGTTGAGAATATTAATTTTAATTTTTTTCAACTTTACTTCTATATTTTAACTGCAAGTAAAATTAACTTTATTATCAAAATAGCATGTACTTTATAAATTCCTTTATATAAATATTTATATTTGTTTGTTTATTCTCATCCATCTGCATATAAATCCATCAATCTATTTGTATATTCAGAAAATAACACCCAACTATTTCAATAATAAAAATGTATGGATGGTGAGAATTAAGTTTAAAAAAATACTTCCCCTTTGGGGTTTTTTTCAAAATAGACTATTTTTTAGAGCAGTTTTAGGTTCACAGCAAAATTAAGAGGACAATTCAGAGAATTCCTGTATGTATACTCTCCGACCTCATACTCAGGTAGTCTCTACAGATATCAATATCCCACATCAGAGTGATTCCTTTGTTAAAACTGACAAACTTACATTAACATCATCATCACCCAGCCTCCATAGTTTGTATTAAGGCTCACTCTTAGAGTTGTACATCTTATGAGTTTTGACATAATGTATAATGACATGTTTTAGTTCATTCAGGATCCTATAACAAAACATCAAACACTGGATAGCTTATAAACAATAGAAATTTCCCAGTTCTAGAGGCTGGGAAGTCCAAGATCAAGGCACCAGTAGATTTAGTGTCTGGTGATGGCCCATTTGATTCATAAATGTTGCCTTCTCACTGTGTCCTCACCTGGTGAAAGGGGCAAGGCAGCTCCCTGAGGCCCCCCCCCCCTTTTTTTTTTTTTTTTTTTTTTTGAGATGGAGTTTCATTCTTGTTGCCCAGGCTGGAGTGCAATGGCACTGTCTTGGCTCACTGCAACCTCTGCCACCTGGGTTCAAGTGATTCTTCTGTCTGAGGCCACTTTTATAAAGGCACTAATCCTATCCATGAGAGTTCCCTGCTCATGATCTAATCGTCTCGTAAAAGCCTTGTCTCCTAATATTATCACATTGGTGAATAGGTTTCAATATGTTAATTTGTGGGTGAGTGGATACAACATTCAGACTACAGCAGCATGTGTCTATCATTATAGTTTCATACATAGGACAGCTTTACTGTCCTAAAAATTCTATTTATTCTACTTACTCCCTGGCCACTGAAAATCACTAATCGTTTTACTGTCTCGATAATATTGCCTTTTCCAGAATGTCATATAATTGGAAATATACAGTATCTAGCCTTTTCAGATTGGCTTTTTTCACTTAGTAATATACACTTAAGTTTCCTCCATGCCTTTTTCATGGCTCTGAATAATATTCCATTGTCTGGATGTACCAGTTTTTGTTTGTTTGTTTGCTTTGGGTTTTTTTAAAAAAGTATTCATCTACTAAAGGACATTTGGCTGCTTCCAAGTTTTAGCAATTATAAATAAAGCTGCTATAAACAACTATATACATTTTTGTGTCAACATAAGTTTTCAGCTTCTTTAGATAAATACCAAGGAGCAAGATTACTGGATCACATGGTATGACTATGCTGGATTTTATAAGAAATTGCTCAGTTGTCCTCCAAAGTGGTTGTACAATTTTGCATTCTCACTGGCAATGAATGAGAGTTCCTGTTGCTCCATATTCCTGTCAGCATTTGGTGGTGGCAGTGTTCTGGATTTTAGCCATTTGAATAGGTAGGTAGTGGTATCTTTGTTGTTTTAATTTACAATTCTCTAATGACAATATCATCTTGAGCATCTCTTTGTATGCTCCTTTTGCTTTTCAATTCCTAAAAATTCTGTTAAAGCAGTTTTCAATTTTATGAAATCAATTGAGAAACATTAACTTTAAAGGAAAAAAAAAAAACCTTGAAGCAAATATGCCAAGATTTAACAGTGGTTAATTCAGAATATGAAATATGAACTATAAATTATCCCACTTTCTCTTTCATGTTTTGAAAATTCAACAAAGTAAGAAAAATGTGTGAGATAATTTAAATCTACTCAGCCAGGCACAGATGAGAAGATATCTAGGCATGAGATTACCTGTCCATTTTTACCCTGGATTTTTCAGCTTTGTCTCCACCCTGGAGCATATCTTGTCAGAGCTTACAAGGGCTAAGGAGACCCTTTGACATGGCATTTCGACACCACTCATACCCAGCAAGAGATGTGAGACTGGTATCCCTCTGGGCCTGGAGGAACTTGGCTTCTTCATTTTATTCAAACCTTAGCAAAGCTGCATTGAAAAAACTGCTTCTTTTATTTTGAAACTTGCTATACTTCCCTTTTCTCTTTCCATCACCAATCTTGCTCTTTTTGTAACATTTCTCAATAGCATGAAAAATGCTAATTTTTGGAGTTGAGTCCTTAACAAGTAACTTTCTCATGTTAAGTCTGTTAAGTGCAATGCAGAAGAGCCTGTTTTCCTGCCTAAACAGCTGAGGCTGCAGAGGGGTGTCAGTTCTGACACATTTCCAATTTATCTGCATTAATAGTTTATGAGAAGGCTGGGGTAGGGGTTAGAGAAACTCTGCTTTAAGTCTTAAACACTTGAGAGGCAAAAAGCAAAGAAGAGAAGAGAGAGAGGGGAAACATGCACCCAAAATGGCAGTTGGTTAATGTTGGCTGCTGATAAAGGGAGCTTACCAAGAAGGTGGCTATCCTTTGATTCACTGGGTCTTGGTGGGGTGTGAGGGGACATCTCCTTCCTGTTATTTTGCTAGTTTACCCTAAGATGACATAGCTAGTGGCCCAGTGCTTGTTCACTGGCATTCAAGCAGCTTTCTGTTTGATAATTCTGTTTTATATGCTAAGCTGAAGAAATCACCTCAGCAAGATAGAACAACCATCAGGATTAAAAGGCCCTGGCCCCAGCACTATCAACAGCCTTGCAGTGTTTGTTGCATGAATGAGTGCTAAACCCCCCAATTAAATGCCTCATTAGAAGGCCTACCTAATCCTAGATCTTCACAGAATCACATAGCATCTGTCTTCTTAGCTCAGCTATGGGAGCGGTGGCAACAGGAGGGAGCTTGATCCTCACAGTGGAGTAGAAATGTTTTCCCAAGAAAGGAGAACATTGGGAATTATATATTCAATTTGAAGGCTGCATGGGGCCTAAAAAATTAGATTTCCTCAGAAATGCTAAGGAACCAGGCAGATTTGAATCTGCCAGAAAGGCAATTCTTTTTTCTTATTTTTTAACATACCCAAGGACAGAAATAGTGTGAATTTCTGTGTTAAATAACCAAAGAAGTACTATTTTTAAATTTTAGAGATTCACCAAAAATGATGGTAATTTGAAACACAAAATGCAATAATAGGAGAGTGTATAGACCGTAGAGTTCATAAGCCGCAACTTACATCTGAGTGGCTTTCACTGCCTTGTTTAACCTCTTGGAGTCTCACTTTCCTCATTTGCAAAATGAGAACATCTAGCCTGGAGGATTTTTGTAAGAATTAGAGAGAGTGAGTGTAAAAAACTTGGTACAGTGGGCAGCACACCTTAGGCACATTATAATGATGATTTAAGTGCTGTTTATAGATTTTTTTTTCCCCCAGATCAACACTAAGGATTAGCCATTGTTGGAAAAAAGAGATGCAATTTTAGCCATGTACATCAATGGGTTTAGGAATATATAAAAACCATAAGTAATTAAGAAGATATGTGTTACAGATATTGGTCCAAATTTTAATATTATCTTAATAAAGGATAAGCATTGTAACAGAAATGAAAAGACAAACAAACAACCACAAAAAAAGGGAGACTGCAAGAGGAGAATTGAAACTGCTCCTTAAATGAGTCAACTTCAGCCCACAGAGAGGGCATAAGAACAAGACTGAGGAGCAATTTTGTGGCCATTACTTCATAATCACTTTGTCATTCTGAAGCAGTGCTAATGGTATTTAGAAATTTCCTATAGCACCACAGTTCTTCTCTCATATCCCGTTCTCCCATAGCTATGGCAAATTTTGGAAGTATTATAGAGAGTTTTAGGTGCCAGGAAATCATTGCCCAGACACAACGGTAACTGCCTTTAACACCAGTGCTCTCTGCTTGGTGCACTGGGTAACATTTCCCCAACACAGGCAAAGAAATCCATGTTGGAGCCGGATCAGAGATTGCACATATGGGACAAAAGCTCGAAATATCTCATTACTCTCTAATTGTCATTGGAGTCCAAAGTCTTCCTGAGAGTGGCTCTGCTTCACTCACCAGAACTCTGTATTATGATATGCCTCTGGAATTAACAATTAGAATAAAAAATTTAAGATGGAATAGTTTTAGAATAACTGCTCATGAAGAATGTTTACTGTCTCCACTTAATGTGGCATTTGTTTGTCCCCTGCAGACATCATATTCCAAGGGAAGAACATTTATTATTTATTTCATTTTTAAAAATTTATGATTTTTTTTCTCAAAGGATATATCCCAAACTCCAAACTCCTAATAGTTTATACAGCAGGATGGTGAAAAATACACATGGAAGAATTTTCCTTGTCACTTTCTTGCATTTATGGGTGTGAATTTTAATGTTCACTTATTTATTTAGTTAGAAATAAAATAAGTTAAAACACATATGCCCCAAAACTCGTAGTTTTGCTCAGCCATTCTACAGAGATGCTGATAATTTATAGCATTCTAATCATAAAGGCTGACTGGCTTAGTTAGGTCCTCAACATTAGTCATAGAGGTCTTTAAAAAGAATAAATGATTTAATTTATTTAAAACTCAATGACCATTTTTTAGTGCCAACTCTTTGCCAACTAGTGGAGATGCAGAGGTAAATCAGATTGGTCCATACTTTCCAGAAGGATACTCTTTATTGATAATAATAATTTCATAAAGAATAATTATGATGATGCTACCAGTTGTTGATTCTTACCCCAGGCCTGGCACTGTGCTGAGCCCTTCATTCACCTTCACTTATAGAAACTTTTCATTAACAAGATGACAAAGATAACTATTAGTATGTCAATTTTACAGAAGAAAAAAAAATGCAGGCATAGACGGGTTAAACAAATCTGCCAATATGTTTTAAAATGTAGGTTTTTTTAATTATTCAGGTATGGTGAGGCCAGTGGATCAGGAGAAGACTGCCATAGAAAAGATAGTTGTTACTCATAGTTCCCAAGAGGAGGGAGAACAACCCACCACCGAGGTCCACATGAGGAAGCACCAGGGCCAATGAGAAGGCAGAGGAAGCAGGAGGAAAATGTGGGTAAGAGCTTTTGTTTTGGCTTTCATGGGAAGAAATGGGCAGTGCACCCACAGGCTGAACATGAGGATTTTACTTGTTAAAGACTCAGCGCCAACAATCACCCTACTACTGTTGTAGCTATTAAGAAATGTTACAAAAAGAGCAAGACTGGCTCTTTCAGGGTTCACAGTGAAATGCTTTAGTATTCCTTCATCCTGTGCATTCTCTGTTGAATTTGCTCCATGTGGAGGCCTCCAATTAGCATAATACAGGATGCTATTTTCCATTCATATCTATGAACAAAGGCAGAACCTGGTTCTTCAGATTTAAATTTTGCTGCCTCTGCTGACTAGACTTTTTAGCCCTACATAAATTACAAACCTCACTGAGCTTTAGTCTTCTTACTTACAAAGAGGAAGTATGTAATTATGCTGTTGACCTAAAGGAAGAAACTGAAGCAAACTTAATATGAGTAAAGAGTTTATTGGGCTAAGGTTGAGGACTAAAGCACAAGAATCATAGATTCAAGTTGCCCTGAACATATGCTCCCATTAGCAGCAGTTATGAGTGGGTTTTTAAAGGAAAAAATAAGAAGTTTAGGGGCAGTTCCTAAGTTGTTTCCCAAGAATTTATATTCGTTCATTAAAATAACATAAGCTATCTACTGGCTATACATTGATCTTTGTGTCACAAATTCCACAAACATGAAGATAATGGGCAGGGGTCATGTTGTGCACCTTGTGGTAACACTTAGGTAATTTATCACCTAGTCTGAAACTTCCGAGAAGGAAAGGAAAACCAAAATGCCTTTAAACAACTACTTCTCCACCCCCACCCAAGCATGGGTGCAGGAACCATGAATGAAGTCCCATGCTTGTGTCACTCTGGGCCTGATAAATTTTACAAATCTCACATTCCTCAGACTGCCCTGAGCCCTTTTCTTTCTAGATGTTTACTCTGAAAGTTCTTTTAGAGATTAGAACAGGTTTTTGCATAGGTTGGAGAGCATAGTAAGTGCTCAGTAAGCACTATATATTTTAAAATTATTCAGGAAAGTTCCCTGTCTGTGAGATTCTTGCTAGAAGACAAACATTAGCAGATAGTTACTAACTACTTTTTTTTTACATTTTGTTTTTATAGATTCAGGAGATGCATGTGCAGCTTTGTTATGTGGACATATTGCATAATGATGAAGTTTAGGCTTCTAGTGTGTGCCCATCACCTGAATACCTAATGCTGTATGCAGTAGGTAATTTTTCAACCCTCACCCCTTTCCCACCCTCTCCTCTTTAGAAGTCCCCAGTGTCTGGTATTTCCCTCTGTGTGTCCACATGTACCCATTGTTTAGCTTCCACTTATAAGTGAGAATATACGGTATTCGATTTTCTGTTTCTGAGTTATTTCACTTAGGATAATGGCAAAGCCCCATCCATGTTGCTGCTAAAAAAATTATTTCATTATTTTTTATGGTTGTGTAATATTCCAGTACATATATGTGTGTGTGTGTGTGTGTGTGTGTGTATATATATATATATATATATATATATATATATATATATATATATATATGTATACCAGTCATTCACATCCATCAGATCCATCCTTAGGTTGGCTCCATGACTTTGCTATTGTGAGTGGTGCTGTGCTATGATAAACATATGAATACAGGTGTCTTTTTGATAAATTAATTTCTTTTTCTTTGAGCAGATACCCAGTAGTGGGATTACTGGGTCAAACGGTAGTTCTATTTTTAGTTCTTTGAGAAATCTCCATACCATTTTTCATAGAAGTTGTACTAATTTACATCCCTACCTAGAGTGTATAAGTGTTCTCTTTTCTCTGCATCCTCACTAACATCTGTTTTTTTAAAACCTTTTAATAATAGCCATTCTGACTGGTGTGGGATGGTATCTCATTGCAATTTTAATTTGCATTTCTTTTATGATTAGTGATTTTGAGCATTTTTTCATATGTTTGTTGGCCGCTTGGATGTCTTCTTTTGAGGTATGTCTGATTCTGTCCTTTGCCCAGTTTTTAATGGGTTTGTTTGTTTTTTATTCTTGTTGAGTTTTTTGAGTTCCTTGTAGGTTCTGGACATTAGTCTTTTGTCACATGCATAGCTTGCAAATATTTTCTCCCATTCTTTACACTGTCTATTTACTCTGTTGATTATTTATTTTGCTATGCAGAAGCTAGTTGGAGTCCCATTTATCTATTTTTCTTTTTGTTGCATTTGCTTTTGAGGTCTTAGCCATAAATTCTATGCCTGAGCCAATGTTCAGAAGTTTTGTCTAGGTTTTCTTTTAGGCTTTTGATAGTTTCAGGTCATACATTTAATTGCGAACTACTATTTAGTGAGGATAATAGTAGTGATGGTTAGACAAAATGTACTTGAATGCTTCTGGGTAAAGAGCATCTTTTTCTGAATTACACAAAATCATAGAAGCATATCAGTCAGCGTTCTAGAAATTATCTACCATCTAGTAAACAATCCTAAAAGGATTAAATACCTTTAAAAAATTCTACTTCAATAACTGACTATGTTATGATAAGATTCTTTGTATTCAATTCCTAGTAGAGTGCCCTTTCCTTTGTCCACATTGTCAGGGTTGGTTTTGTATGTACATAAAATGGCATCAAAATATTAGAGTATTATATGAAGTATGAAATATATAATTTCTCCTCTATAATTCCCTGTGTAGGGCCCAAGGGATTAACTTCTCCTTCTAAAGTTTCACTGAAAAATCAAATTGCAAAAGGCAGGTTGATTAGAGAAAAGGCATATACATTTATTTAACATGTATACGTGGGAGGCTTTAGAATGAAGACCCCAAAATACAGGGGAAATGGTTCATTGTTATGCTTATGTTCAACAAAGTATAGACAGTGATGTAAAAATGTGATTGGAAAAAAGGGGTATGTGCTGATGCTAATAGACTGATTGGGAAACCCAGCAAGGCCAGTCTGTCTAGACTCTTCTTGACCTCATTGTGTCTGCATCCTTTCCTTCCGGGTTTGTGGCAGGTCCCTCTCTGGAAGTGGGGTTTTATAACTTACAGTCAAACAAAGTTGATCAGATAACTTGTGACTAGTTTTCACATGGCATATTTTTCTGTTTTATGGCTGCGTTTCAAACAAAAGCATTCTACTTCCTGTGACCTGCCTCGGGGAAGAAGGATTATAGTTTCTATGGTTAGCCTTAGGGGAGAATGAGACAGAGACAGGAGAGCAAGAGAAAGTTAGAGAAAATTTTTATTTCTAAGGTGTTTCTGAGGCCTTCATTTTGGGGTATTGTTTTTGAGTCTTACTTGTCAGTTGGGGCTGGGAATTCCAAACATTAGAATCATTCCACTGGGTTGAAAGAGTGCCTCCTCACAGTCCTTGCTAAAATGCTCACAAATAATCTGAGTGCTAGCACCATGCATAAAACCTATCAGTCACAAAGTTAACACAGCAGGTGGAGTCCTCAACCGGGGGACTGTGATTTGTTGGATTCTTTTCTTTTCATTGTAACCTCGCCCTCCCATTGATAATTGGTTGCCTAACCAATTCATCTGGGTAGGTAGCCTGAACAGTTGAGGAAGTCACAATAGCATTTACATTTACCAAAAAGGCGACAGGACTGACGTGTTAGGTTGGGAACTGTGGGGCATCAGGAGTGATGAATACCAGACACCATATGGGTTTTATTTCAAAAGTATATGTCCTGACCAGTGCAGTGGCTCACGCCTGTAATCCCAGCACTTTGGGAGGCTGAAACAGGTGGATCACCTGAGGTCAGGAGTTCAAGACCAGCCTGACCTACATGGTGAAACCCCATATCTACTAATTACAAAAAATTAACCAGGCATGATGGCATATTCCTGTAATCCCAGCTACTTGGGAGGCTGAGGCAGGAGAATTGCTTAAACCTGGGAGGCGGAGGTTGTAGTAAGCAGAGATTGCCCCATTGCACTCCAGCCTGGGCAACAAGAGTGAAACTCTGTCTCAAAGAAAAAAAAAAAAGTATATGTCCTGACATTTTCTTAATCCTGTGGTGAAGAGTAGTGCTTTTTAAAATGGACTTGTCCTTGGATCAAAATGAATGGAAAATAAAAGAAGGCACATCAGAGAGGAGAGGTATGGCTGAAAATCCAGGACACAGCTATGGGGTTTGATAAGGGCATCTCACTTCCTTCCACCTGAGCTGTTAGCCAGAAAGTGTCACCCAAGATTCACCACATAATGAGAGCTGCAGTGTCCATTTCAGACTGGGGGAATTCTGCTGGGATTTTTTAGGTGCTGAACAGGAAAGGAAGTCCTACATCAGGCACCTCAGCAGAGTGCCTGGCGGGGTCAGAGGGAAGATAAGAACACAGTTTCCGACAGTTTTGCCAGATTACCTGAGAGCATATTTAGGCTTGAAGTGATTATTTTCCTGAAAGGAAGCTTAGAGGTCTAGATGAGTAGCGAATGTGTCAATGAATAAGGTTTCAAACACTTTTAAAGTAAAGATTTTCTGACCCCACTTTTATATTTATTTTGCAGCCCAGGGAGGCAATATGATGCAGTGGGTAATGGGATGGATTTTGAAACTGAATAGATTTGTGTTAAAAACCCCAGCTCTGCCAGTGAGTATGTTCCATAATGAGTATTGGAACCACAGTCTCCTAATCTGTAAAATGTGGGGATAAGACCTACCTCACATAATTATTGCAGATTTTAAATAAGCTTATATAAGTATTTAGCATAAAGCCTACATAATTAAAAGTGATAAATAAGTATTGTTGTTATGGTTAGGATTATTTTCTTACTGGTCATGCCAATTTGTTTATGTTGGATCATTCTGGAAACATGGAGAGACTAAACAGAATGACCCATTAACTAAATTCAATTCTTTATTTCATTACTATGTCTCACTATTTTGTATGGATAGACTGCTTGTGCTGGTTTCACCTAGACCAAGTGTCCATAAGTGATACAGGCTAATCCATCCTAATGAGCTAATAAATCAGTTTAAGCAGGCATTCTGCTGGTGCTTCCCTCATCTACTTTATCAATTCTTTGTACTTTGTCTTCAGAGGGAAGTTTGTAAGCACAGTGAGAAGATTCGTAATTAAAATAGAAGGTTCATTTAACCCTAATATGCTAATTTGTCTCTGTGAGGAGATAAAAAACATTATGGATACACTATCAGGACATAAAATACAACCAGCTGCATTTTTTTTTTCCTGAAATGATAACAAAGAAGATAACATTGGAGCAGTAACACTAAGTCTGAAATTGGCGTTAGCTGTACGTACCTAACACAAATGAAACAAGATTTCTCTTCTCTTTAGATCCTCTCTGTTAGGTTTTTTAACTTCCTGCTCATCCATGGAGCCCATGTTTTCAGTTCTTCTTGTCACTAGGATCTGTCTGGCTCCAGGCACTCGCAAGCTTCTTTTGTATTTCTTTATTGGTAAGCTGTGTGTGATGAAAGTTAATTTCTGTGTAGCCTCCTTGTGTCACTTCCTGGATCTTCTTTCCACCACCTTGGAATATTCCTCTCCATTAGTCAGATTAGCCATCACACGGGGACCATGAAAAAGGTGTGAGTTACAGAATATTGGCTAATTTGAATTCTTAGAATAATGTGAAACTACAAATATTTGCTGAGTCTACTGAAGTTTATGTTGATGAGTCAGGAAGTCATTTCAATGGTTGCAGTTGAGCATTACTGTGTTTAAAGTAAAGATTAGTTTCTTAGTTTCAAGCGTACATATGGGACCTTTTACTTCAAGGGATCTAGGGCAAGAAAGATAGGTGTAGATTAAATGGGGACTTTATCGTAAGCCATGAATTTATGTTAAGATATGTAATATGTGTATGATTTAGGGCTTGTTATAAAATGTCTCCAAGCTATGACATTCTCATGTGAAAAATGTTAATAGGGTCTTTGTAGTACACTTCTGCTGTTTTTGCTTATTTAGAGTTGCCAAATTTGGCGAAGAAAAATAGAGGAAACACACTTTAATTTGAATTTAGATCAACAAGGAATAATTTTTTTAGTATTGCTCCAAATATTGCATGGGACATATTTATACTAAAAATTATATGACATTTGGTACATAATTATAATGAAAATATTAATTATTGATCTGAAATTAAAATTTAAGTGGGTACCTTCTATTCACAACCCTATGCTTATCCCATCTCTCCTTTCTCTGATAATCTCTGATCTTTCCCTAGGAAAGCACTCCTCTCCTAATGTAAGCCCATGTGCTTCAAGTAGAGTTTCTCCTGCATGGCACTAAGCAGGGTAATAGGATGAAGGTTTGGCCCATTGGGCACCAAACTCTCTTTGTTTCTGTTTCTTGTTCAAAGTTGGTTATGAGACCAAGGTGGTCTAATTGAACTCAATATTGGGACTCAATGAAGCAACTCTGAAAGATGAATTTACTGTCTCTGGGACTGATGAGCTGCAGATGTAAGTCGGCAGTTGCTGGATCTGTTTTGCTAACGTGATTTGAGAGACTGCTGGAGAATTCAGCCAGGATGGCACAGTGTAGACCTCAGAGTTAAAGAGAGTTAGATTGTGTATTGATGATAAAAACCACCTTTGCAAAGATTATGACAGTGAAATAAATCTAACATGGCTGATTTCATCTTGCTTCTAGCCTCACAGGCTAACTATCTTCATTCATTCCTGGGCATAGGCCAAGTTAACCATGGAAGAAATTTAGATTATAATTTAACTTGAAAGCAAAGATGATAATAGTCCCTCCCTAAAACTAACCCCCTCCTTCCTCAGAGACTGAAAACTAACGAAGGCCATGAGATTAGGATTATGAGAAGGGTCTGAACTCTGAGATTAGGATTATAGAGGCATAGTTTCTATAATCCTTTACTACTTAGGAGTCATGTGGGCAGAGGTCACAAGATTTTTGACTTTTCCAATTGCTCCTATAGATAACATCACTGTTATAGAACTTAAGACTGGACTCTTGAGATATTTTTCAGACTTGCACTCTGGCAATGAACTGATCTCACCCAAACATGTGACTAATGATTCAAGCTGTCCTGTGCACCCTGACAAAGAGGTGGACTCAGTGCACAAGGACTGTTTTCCACACCCCTATGATTTCATCCACAACCAATTAGCAGCTTCCATTCCCTAGTTCCCTGTCCATCAAAGTATCCTTTAAAAACCCTAACCTCTAAGCCTTGGAGGAGACTGAGTTGAGTAATAACTCCAGTTCTTCCATGGAACTGGAAGTTCTGTGCATGTGGCTTGCCTTGCATTAATTAAGCTCTTTTTTGCTGCAATACCACAGTCTCAGTGAGTTGGTTTTGTCTGTGCAGCAGACAGGAAGAACCCATCAAGTAGCTACAAATCAGGGGGCTCATCCAGGATCTGCCCTCCTGGGTGCCTATCCACAGTTTGTCAGGCCCCGTGTGTGTGTTTATATATGTAGAGGGATCCCTGAGGGAATTGCTAATAGAAGTCCAGCAGGCCTTAATTTGGAGAACCCTCTTTTTTTGTCTGGTCACATTTGGTGAGCCCTGAAGGAAGGTCAACAGGTCTAACTCAGGGTGACCATTTGCCCTTCCATCTTACCCAGATACTGACTGTTGAAATTCTGGGTTGGAGGTCATCCCTTCTGACCTTGAGTAGATCAAAGACAACAGGGGCCAGTGGGTGATGTTTGAGCCTTGCCAGGTTGATACTTGGGTGCTGAGTGGGATGACTACTGTCAGTGTTTTGTCACATGTGTATCACTCTGGCCAGAATGGGAAATGTTAATTCAATTCCCCCATACAGCCTGTTGGGCTGCATCTTGCAAGATTGAGAGGCTTTTTCCTATGATTCCATGAAATAGAAAAGGATGATTTCCTTTTGTGTTGCAACTTGGCCCCCAGAAATATGGTGCAGTGAGTGGTTTCATCAAACTCTACTCTACTCTTCTGGAAGCTACAGAAAAAGGAAGCCCAGAAACTTGGCAATCTGGCAAAAGGGTAAGAATTTCTGACCAGCTTCTGGCTTCTCTGTGTTTGTGTGCAAACCAGTTGAGTAAATGGTAAAAATTAATGTTTGTCTCCTCTGAAAGGTTTTCATTAATGAGGGAAAGGATTTATGAGACTAATCTAAGGTTGTGGGGAATCTGGCATACAGCCTACTTTCTGCTATGCATTTATCTTTCTGTGTCATTCTGTCACAAAAAGGAATACCATAGGATAGAAGGTGGCCTAGGACCCCTATATACCCACCAGTTGAGCTGGCCCTGCAGAATGGTCAGATACATCTTTGCTGCAGGTCCCTGAAGCAAAAACTAGATGAGGTTTCCTTCTTATCTTGTTTCATGTCCTTGGGAGCTTGACTTTTAACCATGTGGGGATATTCTGCCATCCAGAAGGCAGAAATTTTCAGGTTCATATCAGGCAGCTGGTTTGAAAGACTGGGAGTCCAAGAAACATCAGCACATTCTCCATCCTGAATGTATCAGGCACTTAGGTGAATTTTTTATTAAAGGGACCCATTCCTATGGGGATTTTGTTGTCTTTTGCTACCATAATCCCATTTCTGAGAGGGAATTCTTGGAGATCATAAGGAAGCCTTTTCTACCCACTCTCTAGAAATACTTCTTGCTTGTATGGTGTATTAGTCCATTCTTGCACTGCTATAAAGAAATACTTAAGACTGGATAATTTATAAAGCAAAGAGGTTTCATTGGCTCATGGTTCCACAGGCTGTACAAGAAATGTGGCAGCATCTGCTTCTGGGGAGGCCTCAGGGAGCTTTTACTTATGGCAGAAGGCAAAGCAGAAGCAGGCATCTTACATGGCAGGATCAGGGCTGAGAGAGAGACTGGGGAGAGGCTACACAATTTTAAACAACCAGATCTCATTGAGAATTCTATCTCAAGAACAAGACTAGGGGGATGGTGCTAAACCATTCATAAGTAACTACCCCCATTATCCAATCACCTCCTATCAGGCCCCACCTCCAGCATTGGGGATTACATTTCAACATGAGATTTGAGTGGAGACACTGATCCAAACCATACCATATGATGAAAACCTGGAAAATTATCATCCGGGCATTTAAAAGCTTTGAGGTTGAGTCACTATTGGAACTAAGCACACCATTGAAAGAAAAAAAGATTTTAGAGTTCTCTTATTCTAAACAATTGAAAAGAGGTTAATAATAGTGTCATGGCTAACCTTGAGAATTCTCCTGGGTAGTTTTAAAATCCTTTGCAAGTTCACAAATGACTGTTCCAGACTCCTGGAAAGAAGAATGGAAACTGACCCATGCTATAGCTCAGTAGGTAAGGCTTTGCCCTTTTGTGGTGGTGGCATGGGTTCAAGTTCTGGCTTAGGGAATAGATACTCTTTGTTTTGATACCTGTGTCACTTTTGCCACTTATTGATCTTTTCCCCTCCATGTACAGTTTTGTTTTCCTGCCTTCCATCTGTGTGGGCATATAGTGTTTTGGGACCTTTGTGTATAGATGGTTAGCTGGGAAGCTGAGGCCCTGCAGAATATGACTGGATAGAAATGTAAGTTGTACCCCATTTACAGCCAGTGAATCCTTCCTTTCTCTGAGCTGCCTTTAGGATCGATCTTGTAAAAACTGCTTGCTGCCTCTTTAGGGACACCTTGTGTGTCATAAATCATGGCCTTAGTTGGGGCTTGTTGGTTACACTTGGGAGAATAACTATAGGAAAAAAAATGCTTAAAAGCCAGAGGTTTTGGCGGTTTGTCCTGGCTACAGTCTGTTAATAAGAGATTTGAAAGGATTGTCTTAAAGTTATAAGCCAGCTTAATTAAAAGTGGATATTCAAATATATATATATATATATATATATATATATATATATATATATATATATTTTAAGGCTTCTCTGATTTTTCTCTCTTGGTATCTTTTTTTAAGTTTTTTTTTCCTCAGTCAACTGAATTCTGTTTCTCTATTTACTTCTGCCTGTCACTTCCTTTTGCCAAACTCAATGTCCATATGAGGGGACCTAAAGTAATTTCTAACAGCTGGGATCCTTTGGGGAAAACAGAGAAGGAACCTCAGACTTTGTTTTGGGAGAAACCTGTTTTCCTCTTGGATCCCCAAGAATTGTAAATAGACAGATCCGTCTCAAATTCTAAGGCTCTACTCTGTTTTGCATTGTGTTAACTGACCTTTTTGACTTTTGAGGGCATCACAAATTATTTTGCATTATGACAGAACATTTAGCCTCAGTGTGTAATAGCTAGGTAGGAGGTATATTTTTAAGGATAGCTAATGGCTGTTGCTTACAGTGAGTGGTTATTACTACAGGGTGATACTCCTTTCTTTGCATGTTTCAATAATAAAAGCATGCTCTTGGGCACCTAGAAGGCATAGAATGGGGGATGGGCTGATTGTAGAATAGGCTGATGGGTGATAGGATGCCCAGCAGCCATGGGAAAATGCTCGTACAATGACATACATTGTGGAAACATTGCACTATCTCATCCCCCAGCATTTCTCTCTTTTGGGGGAGCCAGTGTATTAGTATGTTCCCATATTGCTATAAAGATGTACCTGAGACTTGGTAATTATAAAGAAAATAGGTTTAATTGGCACACAGTTCTGTAGGTTGTATAGAAAGCATGATGCTGGCATCTGCTTGGCTTCTGGGGATGCCTCAGGAAACTTACAATCATGGCAGAATGTGAAAAGTGAGCAGGCACATCACATGTGAAAGCAGGTGCAAGCGGGAGAGCTGGGAGGTGCCACACACTCTTCAACAGCCAGATCTCGTGAGAACTCACTCACTATCATGGGGACAGTACCAAGGGGGATGGGGATAAAGCATTCAAGAGAAATCTGCCCCCAGATATTTTATTTAATTCCTTTTAATTCATATAACTTTAGTAATCTTTGATAAACAAAGATAGTTCTTAAGATTATTTGTAAAATAAAAAAAATCTTTAGAATTTAGATACTTGGTCTATGACATTTTTGTATAATTTTTTGACTTGTCTGTTTTACAGCCGTTTAAATTCTAGTAAGGCCTGGGACATGTAGAGTTAGCCAAGTCCCCTGCCTATGCTGGGAAAAGTCAGATGCTGTCTGTGGTCTGTCCTTTCCCTGGGCTCTGCAACCTGATACATGGTTAAAATTTCTTACTTACCAGGGTTTTCACTAAAAGTAAAAGTTTCAAAGAGTTAACATTGTCAAATATGAAATTGAGACTACAAGAGGAACAGTTTTATATAAAAGATGTATAAAGTAAGTAGAGTGTGTTTTGGTAAAAGGTTATAGAAGAAGGCATTGCAGTATGGTTTTTATTAAAGGGAAAGTAATTTTGTCTAGCTTAGAGGTTTTTAAGGATTGTCCTAAGTTTAAAAAATGAGAAGACAAAATTGAAGATTTAAGCAAGTTGTAAAACATTCGTAAAAGATTGATCTTGTAGAGGAATTTCTGTGTGTGAGCAAGCTGTCCAAAATTTGAGGGAGATTATTTAGTTTTTCTCTGAACTGAACATTAATATGTAAAGCACATTGATGCAGGCCCAGAATCTGGGCCGCTGTGTCTGAAAAATAGAGTTTTGTGGAGCATTAATCTTCCCTTTAATAAAAAATTGTAAATGGTAATAAAGGGTTTGTAGAAATCTTACCTTACAGTTAAACTAATTAAAATTAGATAAATTTATTTATAAAATTGTATTAAAAATTAGCTTTAACATTAATAATGCACTAATGTAAAGGTGGAATTTGGTTTTCTCTTTTGAACAGAATTTCCATGTGATACTTAAAAATAATTTTTTTTTTTTTTTTTTTTTTTTTTTTTTTTTTTGCCTTTTGAGTAAACTGCAGGTAAAAAGGAAAAACGAATGGAGAGGAAAAGGACAGTCAGTTGGTCTCATGCGTTGGATCTTGTTTGAAAAGCTGAGTCCCATCTATATCAGAGTAAAGGTTTTTGACTTCTTGAAATTTTTTGAGTTATCACTTTGACTAAATGAATGACCGGTGATCCAACTTTGTGGTATCAAGTGCTTTAAACATTTGATATTTAACAAACCTTCCAAGATCAAAATTTCAAATTCTAAATTCAATCCTTTTTACCTTATTAACTTTTTAAGATATTAGGTCCCCTGAAGTCCAAAAGAGACATTTGGTTAATTTGTTGTGTTAAATCATACAGAAGGAATTTTCAAGTATGAAATGGTGTTTGGTTTTCTTTAGATCATATTCGTATGAATGTGTAATTAGTATGTGTAACAGAATTGCATGAGATTCTTGTATTCTGATATGTCTCAGCATACGTTATCAGTAATAATTATAATTATGTTAAAATTTGTTATGCCACAAAATAAGCACATTTTCACCAATTGTATCATTAACCCTGAATGTTCTAAAACTTTTGTCATCCATAAATTCTTTAGATTGATCCTTTTGAAAAGATGATTTTATAATCAGCTATAAGACTCTGACAGGCACTCTTGAATGCAAGTTTCTGATAACTTTAGAAATTGTGTCTTTGAAATAGGAAAACTTCCCAGACTGTCATGGAAAGCAGATGTATTCATGAGATTTGAGCAAAACAGGAGTTATTGGCATGGACTGAACTAATAGAAGAGTGAAATAATCTTTTTATGACTTATTGCTTGAAACATTGCTTGTCTTCCAGAGTCAAGAAAACTTATTTTCTTTTGAGCTGTTTACAACTTTTTAACAACTGAGTAAAGTATACTCCCTTGAGCAAAATTTGGCGTATATATCTTTCTCTCTACCTGATTTCTCCAGAATTTGGAAACTATTTATGAGTATTTTTAACTTATGACAATATATTTATTTGCAATAATTCAATGAGAATCTGTTTTCTTTTCTAACAGGAAACAATTGGAGACGCTGATTATTTTACCAAGGCTTTGACGGGTATGACATGTTTTCAGACTGCTTTGAAGAATTGTTGAACGACAGAGCCAACAAAAGTTCCTTGGGAAAATTGGTCTCATACCTTGTCCTTTACAAGTTTCCTAACCTGTAGTAAGTAAAGAATGTCAGTTTCCGACAGGCCCAGGAACCCCAAGTTATTTTGGAAACATCGAGCTGGAAGGAATTCACTCAATTCATACAAGCATCTGCAGGCACAAATAAATCCTGGGCTGGGCTCAAGAGGCTTTTAAAAGGTCTAATCTGAGATTCCTTATTAAAAAGTCCCAGAAAAGCCAATTTAAAAAAAAAGGATATATGGTAATTAATTATTCTCACCTCATTTTGTGTGTGTAATTAGGCCAAGTATAATAAGACTAAAACTTATTTTGCAAATAAATTAGTCTTACTATGATGTGTCTTTGATAGAAATAAAAAAGTGAAGAGATAAACATTATTTCAGAAAAATTATAGTATACCTGTTATTAGATTCCATTCTTGTCCATTATTTTTGAGTCTCCGCTAACAACCCAATATCTGACTGGTTTTCACGGTCATTCACCTGGATCCCTCAAAGCCTCAGGGGAGTTTTACAGAGACTCCTGAAGCTAAGAATTTTACCCCTTATGTTAGGGCTCATTATTTATCTTATAGTCCACTGTTCTCTCAAGTGCTGTACTAAAGCTGTAGATAAGAATATTAGTGTTTTTGTTATGCAGAACTTGAGACCCCCAACTAGGCACCTGTGAATACATACAGACAACTGCAAAATGGTTTCACTCCGCTTGCCCTCGGGGAAACCCCTATCCCAACTATGCCCACTGTCAACAGGAAGAAGTTAGAGGAGTCCTCAGTCTTTTTCCATCTCCATAGCTCACGCCTAAGGATTGAGGTATGGTGAAGCCCAGGGAAGGAATTGAAACCACCTTTGCAGAGATCATGAGGGTGAGAGAAATCTAACATGGCTGACTGCATCTTTCTTCTACCCTCACAAACTGGCTGTCTTTACTCATTTCTGTGCATAGGCCAAACTAACCACAGGAAGAATTTAGTTAGTTTAACTTGGAAACAAGCACGATAATAGTCCTTCCCTAAAACTAACCCTCTGTTTGCTCAGGGACTGAAAACTAATGAAAGGCCATGAGATAAGAATTATGGGAGGGGCCTGAACTCTGCTGAGATGTAGGTGTAGCTTGTATAATCCTATACTGCTCAGGAGTCATGTGGGCAGAGGTCAGAAGATGTGTAACTTCCCTAATTGATCCTATAGATGGCCTCACCATTGTAGAACTTGTGTTAGTTCATTTGCTGTGCTATAAAGAAATACCTGAGGCTGGGTAATTGATAAAGAATAGAGGTTTGTTTGGCTCATGGTTGTGCAGACATATAAGCATATAGGCATGACACCAACATCTGCTTGACTTCTGGTGCAGTCTTAGGAAGATTTTACTTATGGCAGAGGGTGAAGGGGGAACAAGCATGTCACATGGTGAGAGCGGGAGCCAGAGAGCTCCCAGGCTCTTTAAGCAACCAGTTCTCATGGGAAATGATATAATGAGAACTCACTCATTACTGTGAAAAGGGTCCCAAGCCATTCGTGAGCAGTCTGTCCCCATGACCAAAACATCTCCCACCAGGCCCCACCTCCAACACTGGGGACCACATTTCAACATGAGATCTGGAGGGTAAAAACATCCCAACTCTATCAGTGAGATTGGTCTTTTGAGATGTTTTCCAGACTTTTGCATTCTGGCAACTGACTGGCCCCTACCTGGACTCACAATTCATGATTCAACCAGTCCTATGGCCCCCAGTAGAGAGGTGGGGTCAGCACAAGAGGATTGTTTTCCACATCCTTATACTTGCATCTCCAACCAATCAGCAACACCCATTCCCTAGTCCCCTGCCCACCAAATATCCTTGAAAAACCTAACCTCCAAGGCTTCAGAGAGACTGATTTGAGTGATAACTTCAGTTATCCCATGTGGTCAGTCTTGCATTAATTAAACTCTTTTTTTTACTGCAAAATAACTCAGTGAGTTGGTCTTGTCTGTGCAAAGGGCAGGAAGAACCCATCAGGCGATTAATGACATTATATGAACCTCTGCCTGTGACTATAGCCAGCCTACCCTGCATTTCTGGCAATATGAGCCTATTTTATAAACCACTTGCTTCTTTAGCCATTTTGAATTGGGTTTCTGTCACTTGAAACAGGAAAGTTCTGAAAAATACAGAGCATAATCAAATTTTGTGAGTACTAAATGAAAAACTATGTAGAGAGCTAAAAGGACTGTCTGTTACATAAAAGATATTCACTAAATATCAGTTCCCCTCTGTCCCCCTGCTCCCAATCTCTGTAACACCACACACAATCCCTGTGCAAGCACAAACAATAATATATGAGTGAGAAGATACAGAGTTTTAAATTTACATTTATCCTCCATATGAGAAAGAAACAAGTGAGAAAAATAACCTCTTAATAACTACAGGATCAGCCACATGTTTTCTTAATAAAGGAAACCACTACTTTTTTACTTACTTTAGACACAAGATATAGCAGCTTTTCTCCAGAAATATAAAAAGCAATTGCTGATTTATTGATAAGTAAGGCTCATAATGCTAAAATATGAGAAACTTTAATCTTAAGCTCATGCAATGTTACCGTAATTGCTAGTTGGACTGTGATATTTACTTTCCTAAAAGTTTGTAGGGACAATAATTATTTGAAAGCTTAGGCTAACTAGTAAATATTGGGAAAGGTGAGTTTTCCTTAATTTTATATATTGAGATAAAAACATGGTGTGTGTGTGTGTGTGTGTGTGTGTGTAGAACACAGTGTAGTTTAGTGTTTCTACTGGGAAATAGAATGAGAATACATATAATAAAGAGAGCCCAGTGATCTGGTCTTAGGGTAAGATGCTTAAATATTACCCAAATTGTAGGGCTAATCATCCTGTCTTTTAAAATTACAATAATTACTTTGTTTTTATATTTCACGATCATGAAACACAAGCAATGATTCATATTGGAGGCTTTGGAGTTAGATAAACTAGGAATAAAATCCAGGTCTAAAATCTAAATCCAGGAGTTAGATAAACTAGGAATAAAATCCAGGAATAAACTCCAGGCTTTGGAGTCAGATAAACTAGGAATAAAATCCAGGTCTGCTTAAATATTACCCAAATTGTAAGGCTAATCATCCTGTCTTTTAAAATTACAATAATTACTTTGTTTTTACATTTCACGATCATGAAACACAAGCAATGATTCACATTGGAGGCTTTGGAGTTAGATAAACTAGGAATAAAATCCTGGTCTGAAAATTGTAAATAGCATGGGTATTTGCAATTACCTTAATTACTCTGATACTCTGTAATTTCTTTAAAACAAGTTGCTGTGAGAATTAAAGTATGATGGGTACCTGGAACAAAGTAGGTGCTCACAAAATGGTGAGCTACAGAGATAGTTGAATCATGGCTATGTTGGGATTTTACAGCATAATCTCTGAGGAGATGGTTGCCAGATCCATAAACTGGCAGTTTTTCTTCAGTTCTCTTCAATTCCCCTGAAGTTAGAACATGCTATAATCTAGTTTCTTCCAGCTACACTTCAAATGATTGTTGGTCCATAAACTGAGGCAAGAGATTTTATAACACCCTAGCTAATTTTAAAACACCTCTCCCAATTGCAATTGCTTTCTGGTATTTTAACATGGTCTTTTTAATTTATTTCAATTGCTATGAAGTTGACATTTTAGCTTCTGGTATAATCATCTCTTTTGTTTCTTTGATCCACTCCTATTCCTTATGCACGTTTAGTCTGATGCATATAGGTCTAGACTCTCTACTAGAACACAAATCAATGGTAAGAAAAGTGGCTATATCAGGGTAAGTGACACAGTAACACTCAGGATAGTGCAGCAGGCCATTTATTGGTAAAGGGCATAGAGCACAATTTGTAACTTGGGGCTGGAGCTGCTAGTGACATTGCTAGGCTGGGAAATTTAAGGAGACATTTGCTCTGAGGGTCCCAAAAGTGCAATGTCAGCCCTGGGAGCAAATGCCTCCTAAATTTTGAGCCCTAGGGCCTCACTCCCTTTACCCTAGTCCTGGCTCTGAATTGCAACACTAAGTCACATTGGCTATAAATACAGAATAGCATTCAAAGCTTGGAAAAATGAACATTTTAAGTAACTTACAGTGGATTGTATTAGAAGTCAGCAAAAAATTTTAAACACATGAGGAATATTTATATAGCATTCTCTTTTTAGATTATACATTAAAAGGTACTAGGAAAATTTAAAATTTTTATGCCCAGTTTTAAAAATATATGAATAGTAATGTTAGAACCACTAGCATACCTCAACAAATATTGAGCAAACTAAGTGCATCCACATCTTTATTTCATCATTAGTTTGGTGACTTGAAATAAATTTTATGTTAAACACTATGAGCAAATCGAAAGGTTCATCCAGGAAAATTAAGTACTTGTATTTTTTTAAAGTTTTAATAGGATGTATATTTCTGTATTAGTCCATTTTCATACTGCTATGAAGAAATACCTGAGACTGGGTAATTTATAAAGAAAAAGAGGTTTAATGGACTCACAGTTCCACATGGCTGGGGAGGCCTCAGAATTATGGCAGAAGGCAAAAGAGGAGGAAAGGCACATCTTACATGTCAGCAAGCCAGAGAGTGTGTGCAGGGAAACTGCCTTTTATAAAACCATCAGATCTCAGGAGACTTATTCACTATCACAAGAACAGCATGGGAAAAACCAGCCCCCATGATTCAATTACCTCCCACCAGGTCCCACCCATGACAAGAGTATTAAGGAGCTACAATTCAAAATGAGGTTTGGGTGGGGACACAGCCAAACCATATCATTCTGCTCCAGGTCCCTCCCAAATCTCATATCCTCACATTTCAAGACCAATCATGCCTTTCCAACAGTCCCCCAAAGTCTTAACTCATTTCAGCATTAACTTGAAAGTCCACAATCCAAAGTCTCATCTGAAACAAGGCAAGTCCCTTCTGCCTATGAGCCTGTAAAATCAAAAGTGAGTTAATTATTTCCTAGATACAGTGGGGTACAGGCATTTGGTAAATACACCTATTCCAAATGAGAGAAACTGGCCAAAACAAAGGGGCTAAAGGCCCATGCAAGTCCAAAATCCAGCAGAGCAGTAAAAATGGTAAAGTTCCAAAATGATCTCCTTTGACTACATGTCTCACATCCAGGTCATGCCGATAAAAGAGGTGGGCTCCTTTGGTCTTGGGCAGCTCTGCCACTGTGGCTTTGAAGGATACAGCCCCCATTCTGGCTGCTTTCATGGGCTGGCATTGAGTGTCTGTGGCTTTTCCAAGTGCACAGTGCAAGCTGTCTGTGAACCCATCATTCTGGGGTCTGAAAGACAGTGACTCTCTTCTCACAGCTCCACTGGGCAGTGCCCCAGTGGGGACTCTGTGTGGAGACTCCAACTCCACATTTCCCTTCTAGACTGCCCTAGCAGAGGTTCTCCATGAGGGCTCTGCCCCTGCAGTAAACTTCTGCCTGGACATCCAGGTGTTTCTATACATCCTCTGCAATCTAGGAAGAGGTTCCCAAACCACAATTCTTGACTTCTGTGCACCCACAGGCCCAACACCACATGTAAGCTGCCAAGGCTTGGGGTCTGCACCCTCTGAAGCAATGGCCTGAGCCCTACTTTGGTTCCTTTTAGCCACAGCTGGGATGCAGGGCACCAAGTCCTGAGACAGCACACAGCAGCAAGGCCCTGGGCATGGCCCACAAAACCATTTTTTCCTCCTAGGCCTCCCAGCTTGTCATGGGAGGGGCTGCCATGAAGGTCTCTGACATGCCCTGGAAACATTTTCCCCATTGTCTTGGCAATTAACACTTGGCTTCTTGTTACTTACGCAAATTTCTGCAGCCAGCTTAAACTTCTCCTCAGAAATGGGTTTTTCTTTTCTACCACATAGTCGGGCTGCAAATTTTCCAAACTTTTATGCTCTGCTTCCCTTTTAAATATAAGTTCCAATTCCAAGTCTTATCTTTGTGAATGAAAAAAACTGAATGCTTTTAAGAACTCCCACGTCACCTCTTGAATGCTTTGCTGCTAAGAAATTTCCTCTATCAGATGCCCTAAGTCATCTCTCTCAAGTTCAAAGTCCCACAGATCTCTAGGGCAGTGACAAAATGCCACCAGTCTCTTTGTTAAAGCATAGCAAGAATCATCTTTGCTCCAGTTCCCAATAAGTTCCTCATCTCATCTAAGACTACCTCAGCCTGGACTTTTTTATCGAAACCATTCAACAAGTCTTTAGGAAGCTCCAAACTTTCCCACATCTTTCTGTCTTATTCTGAGCCCTCCAAACTGTTCCAACCTCTTCCTGTTACCCAGTTCCAAAGTCTCTTCCACATTTTCGGGTATCTTAATAGTAGTACCTTACTGTACTGGTACAAATTTACTGTATTAGTCTATTTTCATACTACTATGAAGAAATATCTGAGATGGGGTAATTTATTTAAAAAAAGAGGTTTAATGGACTCAGTTCCACATTGCTGGGGAGGCCTCACAATCATAGCAGAAGGAAAGGAGGGGCAAGGGCACATCTTACCTGACAGCAGGCAAGAGAGCATGTTCAGGGGAACTGCCCTTTATAAAAGCATCAGATCTTGGGAAACTTATTCACTATCATGAGAATAGCACAAGAAAAACCCGCCCCCATAATTCAATTACCTCCCACAAGGCCCCTCCCGTGGCATGTGGGGATTATGGAAGCTGCAATTCAAGATGAGATTTGGGTGGGGACATAAAAAACCATATCAATCTCTGATCAGTATAGCTAAAATGAAGAAAACAAGCACAAAAAAAATCCTGTATTGTGTTAATTTTCAGAAGCCTGCTCCCTCAAAAAACACATTAACATTTCTTTTACAGTGTTGTTACATGTGACTTATTTTGCTTATATATAAAGTAACCAGAGTTTTTATTCTTCTTAATAAGTATTTAAAATACATCTCTAGGTATTAAGTTTAAGTGTTAATTTATGACACCCTTAAAATTTTTTTGTATGGCAGACTCACCTGACAGCAATAATTTAAAGACCCCATCATCTAAGAAGAATGCGTGTTCAGAGATCCAAGCTAAGGAACCTGGAAGCAGTCAGCCTGGAGATTTATTCCTTATTGATGAGGAACATCTGAAACCCTGTCCCATCCTGTGGAACTCAGGGCTTACAGTGGATCAAGTCCTTTTGTTTTGGATTAAGTGAAGGTTGCCAGGTGGAGGGTGCTAGGGGGAGGGTGCTGAGAGAAAATGCTATATAAACTGTGTGTTTTTTACAAATGGTAGTGGTTCTGCTATCCAGCCCATTACCACTGGACTACACTGTATGGTAAGTCTCCTCAACAAACTCTATGTCTTGCTTACTGGTTCTATGTCTCTTCTCCTGCCTCTTGAACATGGTGTCATTCCTACTGAATAGTCAATAGGGGTCCAGCACAACGTCTATGAACTTCTAAAAAACAATTTCTAAATATATATGGATGCTTATGTTTTAGTAGCAAATTGTCATATAATTAATCAGCACCATGTAAAGACATATGTATTTGCTTTGGTTCTAGAAATAACTTTGGTTCAGTATACTAAGAAAATCATGGGTATTGGAGGAGTGGTCTTCAAAGAGTCAAAAGCATAAATAGTTTCCTAACTTTTTTTAGTTGTCATGTAAAGTGTTAATTTTTTCCTGAGATATTCAAACCATAAAACCTAGCATTTTCTCTCCAATATGAATTGATTTTTTACAAATTGATACATTTCAGAAATTCAAATTTGTGAGTGCATTTGAAAAGAAAGAAATACAAGACAGTATTTTAAGGCAGTTCAGATAGCTTTCTAGCCTAGCAGAAAGAATAAAAACGCTGGTCTGAAACAAATTTAAAAATCAAGGAGTTGATTAGCTAGCCTTTAAGTTTGTAAACCTAGGGGTAATTGGATGGTCAACTCTCTTCCCTTAAGATTAAAGCTCTGCTATTTTTTTAGGGGTCAAAAAAATTTATACTGATTTAAATTTTAGAGAACGTATGCCCAAGTCCTCATCCTTGGTACATTCAAGAAGCTTCTTTCTCTATGCTCAATTTGCATTCTCTGTATAAGACTCCTTGAGGCTAATCTGTGTTGTCAGGTTTTAAGGAATCCAGTGGTTGTGCATTTTCAGCAGCTCACACTTAATTCTGCATACTGGCAGCTGTCATTTATGTGTGGGTGAGTATGAGGTGGAGGTCAGGCAATATAGGCTTTGCAAAAGGAGGACTTATCTATTGCTTTCAGTTGCTTTGAGCTTTTTCTCTGCTCTTTCCCTTTCTTTTCTTACTGTGTGTTTGTTCCCTTTTCTTTGGAAGAAAGTTTATATGCTGCTGGGATAATGCTGAATGATCTATAGCTGGAAGGAACAGGCAGGTTTTTGATGAAGTCTCCAGTTGTAGTTAGACCTTTTTCACCTGTCACTTGGAACCAAATTTATATACTTCCTAACTACTAGAGAAGACAGAAAGATGGTCCTGCAGTCAGGTAGAGTGATGTACTTTAAATAATATCAATGCCCTCCTTCTTGCTGATTATTAGAAAGAACCAAAAGCAGAGACATTCGTTAGAAAAACCAAAGCCCTCTGCTTAGACTAAAACAGGTTAAATGTTCTTTTGAGGGAAACCTTTTAGTTTGCTCTTTAAAGATGGCTTACCTTCTAGAAAATGTAGTAGGTTCCAATCCTTTCTTTTTGAGGAATGCCCCTAAACATTCAAGAACTTCAAAGTGATTAAACGTGTATCATTACTTATCAGATCTTGGAGGCTATATGGTATGAGAGAAAAAAAATTAGTTTTGGGTCATAATTTTTTTTTTTTTGAGACAGAGTCTCGCTCTGTCACCCAGGCTGGAGTGCAGTGGCACAATCTTGGCTCACTGCAAGCTCTGCCTCCCGGGTTCAAGCCATTCTCCTGCCTCAGCCTCCCGAGTAGCTGGAACTGTAGGCACCCACCACCACACCTGGCTAATTTTTTTGTATTTTTAGTAGAGACAGGGTTTCATCGTGTTAGCCAGGATGGTCTCGATCTCCTGACCTCATGATCCACCCACCTTGGCCTCCCAAAGTGCTGGGATTACAGGCATGAGCCACCGTGCCCGGCAGGGTCAGAAATTTTATACCCCAGTTTTAACACTGTAATTAACTCTTTGAAAGGCACTAGAAAAGTTTGTTTTTTTGTTTTGTTTTGTTTTGTCTTCTGGGTGTCAGTTGCCTCATCCCTAGATATTGAACTTTAAATTAAATCTCTGTTTCAGCTCAAACATTCTGTGAATTCTTGTTATTCTAGGTTTAACATTACAGGTATAATACAGAACTGTACATCACAGTCATGACTGGAGGAACCTTCAATCCTACTGCAGAGATAAAGCTGTCCCTGTGAAATAACAGCATGCACTACAGAACAGACTACATTTTAGTAATGAATAGAGTGGAACAGATCACAAGTGTCAAAACATTTCAGAATAGCAAGAGAGAGTAAGGCAGACTCAAATGATAAAGTTCCTTAGAAAGGGTTAGACTTGGGTTGGGCCTTTGAGGTAGGCATCGTGTAGATGGATAAAATAGCAAATGTAACAGGTAACAGTAATTCAGTTAATGGATACCACACAACAGGGCCCAGATATGAGAGGGAGCATGGTAAAGCCAAGTAAGGAGATAGCTCAATATGTCTTTTGGTTCAAAGGGTAAAATGTTGTTTATTTTTCACTTGTAGGCTTTAGTCAGTTTGGACTGCTTTAAAGAATACCATAGACTAGATGGGTTAAGCAACAAACACTTATTTCTCACAGTTCTGAAGGCTGGAAAGTCCAAGATCAAAGTGCCAGCAGATTCACTGTCTGATGGAGTTCCACTTCCTGACTCAAATGACCATCTTCTTGCTGTATCCTCTCATACTGAATGGGGCAAGGGAGTTCTCTAGGGTCTCTTTTATAAGGGTATTAATCCTACTCATGAAGGGTCATCCTCAAGACTTAGCTCCCAAAGACACCATCTTTTACAATCATCACATTGTGGGTTAGGATTTCAAAATATGACTTCGGGTGGAGGGCACATAAACAGTCAATCCAGAACATTGTAGAAGCCCTATTTCCAACTTTCTTCCCAGTTTATATAATAAGCAGACATAGGACCTAGAGCATGGACAGATCAACTGTGCTATCTTACACAATTGTATCTTACTCACTTCTTAGAAGAACTTCTCTAGATTACAGCCAGTCTGGCCTTGCTTCCTCTCTGAATGGGTCTTTTCCACCTAAATTTCTCTTGAAACTATTCTACCACCACAATTTCAATTGCTAGAACTAAAGAGTTTATTGCATTCTCTTTGTGACTTCCCAACGTTTTAGATACAAGGAAAGTTTTAGAAAAGTCCAAAGAACAGATCTTCTTTTCACTTTTGCATCCCAGAACACAGCCATTGCATCTCAATTTACTGCCTGATTCCACATGACCTCATCTTCCATAAGCCCTCTGTTGAAGTTCCTTGTGTTTGCGTTTGGTTCCTTGTCTTTCAGGAGCATAAGGAACCTCAGAACATCCATTGTTATTACTATTTGGAAGTTCTAAGATTGACGATATTGTTTAATTGCAGATTTATACCTAGCCCACCAAGCAGAGAGCAATGGAGTAACTACCAATTCATTTATTTTCATAATTTAGCTACATAGGATCATATGAGTTGCATTCTTCCTTTTCTTACCCATTTTTTAGATTCTCAAAATTATGCCTTCTACCTAGTGAGAGAGAAGAAAAACTGCCTGAAGATATTTGACATAAAGTTATGGAATCTTTCATTAGAAACAGATGGTATAAGGAAAGTGTTATGTTTCATATCTGGGTATAATAGAAGTCAAGGTGTGCATCCAGGTTTCCTCCAAAATATGTAAAAATGTATCTAAGGAACTTCTTTCCTTCTTTGAGCCAAGACTAGGGGAGGTAAAACTTTTCATGTTCTGCCTCATTTAACTCTGAGGAAACACCTCCTGATTGATGTGGCAGTGTTTGTTTCATATTCCATCTGGTGTTCATTAATTACTGAGAGCATTAATGATGACTCGACAGCCATTTTGCAAAACAGTAAAGTAGAATATGGTCCACAGAATATTTAATGTTCTACACATTTATTTTATTCTGCCAATTTTGAACAGGTGGATCTATTATGCTTTTGGCTCTTCGTCTCATATGACTGACTCTCACTCTTACAACTTCCACAACTTCATGCGAACTGACTAAAAAGGTGCTTAATTAAATGTGTGCTTGGTAATTAGAGAGTTTTCACAAGCAAGTACAGATGGAGCAAATGTAATTGAATGGAGGAACATAGCAATTCAGTGAGCTTTTATATAGATGTGGAATAGTATGAGCAAGATAGTAGGAGAAGATCTTTGTAGAGGTTTAACAGTAGAAGCTTTTTTGTCCCTCCCTAAAAATTTAACAGTTTTGAACCATTCAGATTTATACTCAAGGGGAAATGCCCTAATACATGGGGCAATTAGTAGGAAGAGCATATGGCCTAGTTTCCCTTGGACCATCTTAGTAAAAACTTTATAGCAGATGTTGTTGGTTTCCACCTATAATGCATTGGTGTTCACATTCAAGTCTATGTCTAAGACATCCCAAGACAAGTACTTGTGACTCTCTCTATAAGGCTTCCTCTAGGCTCAAAAGAATGGCAGGCCAGAATTGTGTAGTCGTTTATGCTCTTGAGAGTGGCCCTTAGATGATAAAAGATGGACGTTGAGGGATAAATGACCCAGTTTCTTCTCTCTTTGGGGATACACATCTGGATTATGTTCTAGATCAATTTTCAGAGTTTTTCAGCAGGATTGAGTCCCTGTTACCCACCGTGGTAACTGACTTGATATATAGCTATTATTGTGTTCTCTCCTTTTCTTGCCTTAGTTCCTCACTCTCATGCTAGTGCTTCCTGGGATAGTCTCCCAGATAAATGGCTTCTACTCAAATTCTTGCCCTCAAGTCTGCACCCAGGGGAAGACAGCCCAATGCTTGCTATTGCTGGGTAATTTTGAAGTTTCCTTTGTCTCTCAAAATTTCTCAGCTTAGATATAAAATAAATAGCATTCTAATCATTACATATCAGGATACACTCTTGTTAGACTCATCTAAAACTGTAGACAATTTTGTCCTCATTATTTCAAGATTTAGTTTTGAGTCAACAGTTTCAAAGAGTTCTCTACTTCCTCTTTTTGCAGTCTTCCAGGAGACAGATAACTAGAGTATTCCAACACCCACAGACACCTCCAGGGAGTTCAACTTATTTCTCTCTGTGTGTTTCCATAACATTTTATTCATACATCTGTGAATTGCATGCTTAGCAAAATTACAATGACAATTTGCATAACTGTCTTTTCCATGAGGTTATAGGTTTCTCTAGTTCTGAGGACCTTAGTTTATTTATCTTTTACTTTCCACAGTATAAATAAGTACCTGACATCTCTAATGATATCTACTCAATGAGTGAATAAGTAAATCAATGAATAAATGAACTGCATGCATAAATTCTAGGGTCTATTCCCTTGGAAATTAGGTCTGGATTTCTGAATCCAGGAAAGGATGTTTACTGGGTGATATGGTTTGGCTCTGTGAGCCCACCCAAATCTCATGTGGAATTGTAATCCCCACGTGTCAGGGGAGGTTCTGGGTGGGAGGTGATTGGATCATGGGGGTGGATTTCTCCCATGCTGTTTTCATGACAATGAGTGAGTTCTCACAAAATCTGATGGTTTAAAAGTGTGGCACTTTTCCTCCCTTACACTTTCTCTCTCCTGACACTTTGTGAAGAAGGTGTTTGCTTTCTGTTTGTCATCCACCATGATTGTAAGCTTCCTGAGGCCTCCCAGTCATACTTCTTGTTAAGCATGCAGAACTGGGTCAATTAAACCTCTTTTCTTCATAAATTACCCAGTCTCAGGTAGTTCTTTACAACAGTGTGAAAACAGACTAATACAGAAAATTGGTACTGGGAGAGTGGGCAGTGCTATAAAGATACCTGAAAATGTGGAAATGACTTTGGATCTGGTTAACAGGCAGAGGCTGAATCAGTTTGGAGGGCTCAGAAGAAGACAGGAAGATGCAGGAGAGTTTGGAACTTCCGAGAGACTTGTTGAATGGTTTTTACCAAAATGCTGATAGCAATATGGACCACAAAATTGAGGCTAAAGTGGTCTCCGATGGAGATGAGGAACTTATTGGGAGCTGGAGTAAAGGTCACTCTTGCTATGCTTTAGCAAAGAAACTAGCAGCATTTTGCCCCTGCCCTAGAGATCTGTGGGACTTTGAACTTGAGAGAGATGATTTAGGCTGTCTGGTAGAAGAAATTTCTAAGCAGCAAAGCAATCAAGATATGACCTGGCTGTTACTAACAACATACAGTCATATGTGTTCACAAAGAGATGGGCTGAATTTGGAATTTATATTAAAAATGGAAGCAGAGCATGAAACTTTGGAAAATTTCCATCCTGATAAGAAAAGAAAAAACCCATTTTCTGGGGAGAAATTCAAGCCACTGGCTGCAGAAATTTGTATAAGTAATGAGGATCCAAATGTTAACAGTCAAGGCAATGGAAAAAATGTCTCCAGGGCACTTCAGAGATCTTCACTGCAGCCCCTTCCATCACAGGCCTGGAGTCCTAGGAGGGAAAAACAGTTTCATAGGCCAGGCCCAGGGCCCTGCTGCTCTGTGTAGCCTCAGGACATGGCACCCAGCATCTCAGCAACTCAAGCACCAACCATGGCTAAAAGGAGACAAGATACAGCTTGGGCCATTGCTTCAGAGGGTGCAATCCCCAAGCCTTGGTAGCTTCCATGTTTTGTTGGTCCTGTGGGTGTGCAGAAGGCAAGAGTTTGGAAACCTCCACCTAGATTTCAGAGGATGTATGGAAATGTCTGGATGTCCAGGCAGAAATCTGCTGCAGGGGCAGAACCTCTGCTAGGGCAATGCAGGGGGATATTTGGGGCTGGAGCCCCCACACAGAGTCCCCACTGGGGCACTACCTAGTGGCGCTGTGAGAAGAAGGTCACTGTTCTCTAGATCCCAGAATGGTCGATCCACTGACAGCTTGCGCTGTTCATCTGGAAAAGCTTCAGGCACTCAGCAACAGCCCATGAAAATAGCCAATGGGGCTATATTCTGCAGAGCCACAGGGGTTGAGCTGCCGTCCAAGGCCCTGGGAGAGTGCTCTTGCATGCTCTTGCATCAGCATGTCTTGGATGTAAGATATGGAGCCAAAGGAAGTTATTTTGGAGCTCTAAGATTTAATAACTTCTCTGCTAGGTTTTGGACTTGTGTGGGACCTGTGGCCCCTTTGTTTTGGCCAATTTCTCCCATTTGCAAGGGGAGAACTTACCCAATGCCTGTACCCCCCATCGTATCTTGGAAGTAATTAACTTTTTGATTTTACAGGATCATAGGCAAAAGGGATATGCCTTGACTCAGATGAGACTTTGGACTTGAACTTTTGAGTTAATGCTGGAATGTGTTAAGACTTTGGGGGACAGTTGAGAAGGGATACTTGAATTTTGCAATGTGAGAAGAAAATGAGATTTGGGAGGGTCCAGGGACCAGGGGTGGAATGATATGATTTGGCTCTCTGTCCCCACCCAAATTTCAGATGAAATTGTAATCCCCATGTATCAGAGGCAAGACATGGTGGGAGGTGATTGGATCATAGGAGCAGATTTCACCCATGCAGTTTTGTGATAGTGAGTGAGTTCTCAGGAGATCTGATGGTTTAAAAGTGTGGTTCTTCCCCTACCCCTCCTGCCATCTTGTGAAGAAGGTGCTTGCTTCCCTTTCACCTCCCACCATGATGGTAGGTTTCCTGAGGCTTCTCAGTCATGCTTCCTGTTAAGGCTGTGGAACTGTCAGTCAATTAAACCTCTTTTCTTCATAAATTATCCAGTCTCAGGCAATTCTTTACGGCAGTGAAAATGCTGGGTAATACACTGGGTAACAAAGCCATGTGTTCCTGTCATAAAGGCATCTTCCGTTGCAGGAAAGAAGTTGCAGAAATAACTGTGGTTCATATATTGAGTAATATCAAACTTTTCTCATTGTTAACTCACTAGGTCAGAGATTAGCACTTGAAGAAAAAAGATTCTCTAAAAGCACATAGGAGTCCAATTGACCCAAAAATAGCTTTCAGTAAAATTCCACCCATTAGGATTGCTTGGCATTTACATGGTGATTAAACATTTTGTCAGTTCCACTCTTCTGGAAATGAATTCCTAACTAAAAAAAAGAAGGCAATAAGTATACATATAATGTGACCCTTGAAGAATCCTGAGGCATTTATCCAGTTTCCCATGAGACCTGCAGTATATCTGCCATATATCTTGGAAGTACTGGAAGCCTAAAACATTATCTACATGAAACATTGAAGTGCTTTGTCTCTCTACATTTTTCAGTATCTTTGAAAAAGCAATTTTACCAAACGCAACATTTTATGCCTCTTGCTTGCAAATCTTAAAGAACCAAACAAATGCACATAAATGAGTGGATAAATAAGTTGGGGCCAAAGCAAAAGATCATCGTGTAAAAATAAGCAGTGCATAGGAGCAGGAAGATCAACCTTTGGAATAAGTTCTTTCAGCCTCTTTTGTTTTCTGACTTTACATCTGGCTGCTGTGACCCTCAGATTTCAGCTTTTGTTACCTGGTATCTGTAGATGTCTTGGCTCACTTCCTTTAGAAGGAACTGGGGAATAATGAGTCTATTCCTAGTCTGCTTTGGGATTACAAAACTACCCTAGCAGAAGCAGTGAGAGAAGTCCAGCATAGCTGACCCCATCTTGCTTTGAGCCTCATAGTCTGACTGTCCTTGCTCATTCCTGGGCATAGGCCCAGATAACCATGGAAGGAATTTAGTTTACAGTTTAACTTTGAAGAAAGGATAATAGTCACTATCTAAAACTGACCCTTCTTGTTCAGGGACTGTAACCACTGCAAGATTAGGATTATGAGAAGAACCTGAATTTTGCTGAAATGTAAACATAGCTTGCCCTTCTGTAATCATTTACTATGCTGGAGGTTACAAGATTTGTGACTTCCCAAATTGCTTCTACAGGTAACATCACTATTGTAGAACCTAAGATTTGTCTTTTGAGATGTTTTTCAGACTTTTGTATTCTGGGGACAGCCTGACTCCACCTATACCCATGATGCATGACTCAACAGGTCCTGTGACCCCACCCAGAGGCAGACTAAGAGCACAAGGACATTTTCCAGACCCCTAGGATTTCATCCACAACCAATCAGCAGCACCCATTCCCTAATCCCATGCCCACAAAATCATCCCTAAAATCCTTAGTCTCTGAATTCTCAGAGAGGCTGACTTGAGTAATAAACTCTGCCTTCTTCTTGGCTAGCCCTGTGCTAATTAACCTCTTTTCTTGATGCAAAAACCTTCTGTTCTCAGTGCATTGACTTTTCTGGGAAGCAGGCAAGATGAACCCATTGGGTTATTACAATTATACTAAGGACCCCAGGATACAGAGCACCTTTTAAACTCAAGACAGGGTGACTTAAACAAAGAAAGCAGGAACCATGCAATAGACTATCTAGTCAGGGGCATGTGGCAAGATCTGCAGCCCTCTCCTGGGACATGCAGAGAGTGATACTTCTCCAGAACTGCTGGGGCTTACTGACATCTATGATGCAACTTTCCGTTAAAGCACAGCAGAAATTTTCCTATTTTGAAACTCAACTTTCTCAGATGTAAAATGATCCCAGAAGTCATCCCAGCCAGGCTTTATCTTGGCAAAGAAACAACTACAACAATCAAAAGCTAAAAGTCAAGAACAAAACTTGGAAAAAATCAACACCCTAATTATGTACAGCATTCTAGAAAATTTCAAATCGTTTCTCTGTTATCACATTATATTTGATTATCACAATGCATCTATTAGGTGGGAAAGAAAATGAAGATCCTGAGATACAGGATAGGTAAGCCATTCTGCTAGTTATTGGTTAAGTCAGAACACAAGTTCTTTATGATCTCACTATACTTAGAGCACATCTGCAGGTATAACCATTGTTGATCTCCCCGGCTCCTTCAGAGACAACTCCTTCCTTAATCTACTTCCCTCAGGCTATAAGAACGAACACCTACTCTAAGTCTGGGTAATTATTATATCACTCTTGCTGAACAAAAGTGATTGGTCGAAGAGGTAGACGTTACCTTTTTTGTTTGTTGTCTTTCAGCTTCTGAAAGGAAAATAAAATCTCGGGACCCCAAATTCACTATGCCAAAGGGAAAAGTTAAGCTTTGGAACTGAGTCATGCAAAAAACAAAAACAGAAACAAAACAAAACAAAACAAAAACCTGCCTTCCTTTTGTTCCCAAATAGATAGCTATAATTTCGTATGCTTACTTTATCTTATGTAAAATGTAGATTTACAAAGCATAAGACAGGTACGTAATTGACTTGTTCCCCACTACTCTCTTTTCACCTCTAAAATGTGGATTTCTCATTGCCTAACATCTCCCTTTTTTTCTTTCCTTCTTCCCCTCCTTTCCAATCTTTCCCTTTAAATACTGAAGTCCATCATGAACAGACACTTTTCAAAAGAAAACATACATGTGGCCAAAAGTATATGAAAAAATGCTCAACATTGCTAATCATTAGGAAAGTGCAAATCAAAATCATTATGAGATACCATCTCACACCAATCAGAATGGCCATTATTAAAAAGTCAAAGAATAACAGATGTTGGCAAGGTTGTGGAGAAAAAGGAAAACTTACACACGGCTGGTGGCAATGGAAGTCAGTTAAGCCAATGTGAAAAGTAGCTGGACTGTTTTTGAAAGAACTTTAAACAGAACTACCATTCAACCCAGCAATCCCATAACTGGTTATGTACCCAAAGGAATACAAATTGTTCTACCACAAAGACACACATATGCATATGTTCACTGTAGCATTATTCACAATAGCAAAGATATGGATTCAACTGAAATGCCCATCAATGGTAAACTGGATAAAGAAAATGTGATACATATGCACCATGGAATACTATACAGCAATGAGATCATGTCCTTTGCAGGAACATGAATGGAGCTGGAGATCATTATCCTTAGCAAACTAATTCAGGAACAGAAAACCAAATAGTGCATGTTCTCACTTATAAGTGGGAGTTAAATAATGAGAATACATGGAAACAAAAAAGGTACCAAGAGACACTGGGTCCTACTTGAGGGTGGAGTGTGGGAAGAGGGAGAGGATCAGAAAAAATACCTATTGGGTACCATGCTTGGTACCTGTGTGACGAAATCATCTGTATGTACATCAAACCTCCATAACATAAGTTACCTATATAACAAATCTGCACATCTACTCCTGAACCTAAAATAAAAGTTAAAAGGAAAGAAATGAATAAGTAAATAAATAAATATTGAAGTCCTCAAAACCTTATTTTGAAAAAAGCACAGGCCACAGATCCTACTTTAATTTGTGTTTCTTTTTCCCAGGCATGTTCTCAAACTTGGCAAAATAAATTTCTTAATTAATTGAGATCAGTCTCAGACACTTTTTGGTTTACAAGTTCATAATTTTTTAACTAGTTTTTTTGTTTGTTTGTTGTTTGTTTGTTTGTTTGTTTTGCTATGCAGATGTGGAAAGAATGAAGTCACCATTTCACTGGGATCGCTAAACTGGTGGTATCAATCTTGAGCTGTTAAGGGTGTCTGCCAAGCTGTTGGAGGAAATACATCTTTAAAATCTATTTTATTTCATTTTATTTTTTATTACTATAAGTTCTAGGGTAGATGTGCACAACGTGCAGGTTTGTTACATATGTATACATGTGCCATGTTGGTGTGCTGCACCCGTTAACTCATCATTTACATTAGGTATATCTCCTAATGCTATCCGTCCCCCCCACCCCACCCCATGACAGGCCCTGGTGTGTGATGTTCGCCACCCTGTGTCCAGGTGTTCTCATTGTTCAAAAGAACTTAAACAAATTTACAAGAAAAAATCAAACAACCCCATCAAAAAGTGGGTGAAGGATATGAACAGACACTTCTCAAAAGAAGACATTTATGCAGCCAACAGACACATGAAAAATGCTCATCATCACTGGCCATCAGAGAAATGCAAATCAAAACCACAATGAGATACCATCTCACACCAGTTAGAATGGCCATCATTAAAAAGTCAAGAAACAACGGGTTCTGGAGAGGATGTGGAGAAATAGGAACACTTTTACACTGTTGGTGGGACTGTAAACTAGTTCAACCATTGTGGAAGACAGTGTGGGGATTCCTCAAGGACCTAGAACTAGAAATATCATTTGACCCAGTCATCCCATTACTGGGTATATACCCAAAGGATTATAAATCATGCTGTTATAAAGACACATGCACACGTATGCTTATTGCGGCACTATTCACAATAGCAAAGACTTGGAACCAACCCAAACGTACATCAACGATAGACTGGATTAAGAAAATGTGGCACATATACACCATGGAATACTATGCAGCCATAAAAAAGGATGAGTTCATGTCCTTTGTAGGGACATGGATGAAGCTGGAAACCATCATTCTGAGCAAACTATCTCAAGGACAGAAAACCAAACACCACATGTTCTCACTCATAGGTGGGAATTGAACACTTGGACACAGGGTGGGGAACATCATACACCGGGGCCTGTTGTGGGGTAGTGGGAGGGAGGAGGGATAGCATTAGGAGATATACCTCATGTAAATGACAAGTTAATGGGTGCAGCACACCAACATGGCACATGTATACATATGTAACAAACCTGCACGTTGTGCACATGTACCCTAGAACTTAAAGTATAATAATAATAAAAAATCTATTTTAAGAAACATAAAAGAAAAATAAAAAGAAGAACAAAAATGGGATCTGAATTTCCATGTTAGCCTGTGAAGTGAGGCCTTCATTCTTGCATCTCTATCTTAGCCCGGGTATCGTTTCTTACTTCCTAAACCAATAAATGCTCCCATGTGTCTTTAAGTTGCTTTGAGTGGTGTTGTTCTCCCTTGCAACCTTTGACCTATTATGAAGATAAATAACGGATGCTGGCAAGGTGGTGGAGAAAAGGGAACACTTACACGCTTCCAGTTAGAACACTCTTCTAGTTAGAATACAAATATGGCTCAACCAGCCCTAAGATTATGAGGCTTAAAAACGGAGATTAGATGAGTGAATTTAGCCAGAAAATGAAGAAGTCAGAGTTGCTAGAGGGAAATAAAAGGTGTATATATGCCAGGGAAGGGAGTTCCAAGGACACGCAGGAGAGGTAGAGAGAAAGGAAGTTGGGGAAGATAGAGCTGGGGTAGAGGTTGAGGAATGTTTTAGCTTCAAAGGTTTTAGAATATACCCCAGGTCAGGAAATAGTCTAATGCACACAACTTGGTCAGCTCACCCAATTCATCATCTGATGGCTATGCTAGTTCATAAATACTCAGTAACCAAGGTCTCTGCCTCTTTGCTTGTAATTCTGACTGTTGCTCTCTGTTAGCCAGCCTCAGTGCTATCTTTGGTTTACTATTAAAATGCTTCTCCTTGGACAGGGGTAACAACCAGTCTTATTTAACATTACAATCCTATGCAAAACTCCAGAGCATGCATAAACCTGATTTCTTAAGAAAGCACAAGGCTTATGTAAATCCTATTAAAGAAGCCAAGAAATTAAAGACTCAGCAAAATAGGGATTATCATATTTTGTACTCATTTAAGCATTCATAGATTTAGGGAGGGGTTGAGTGAAGCATAGAAAGTCAGATACCTTGATACAAAGCCTACTTTTGTCACAAAACATTGTGACATGTTTTTTTAAAAGCCCGTTTTGAAAACATGTCAGTTCTGAAGCTGGTTTGGTAAGTAGTCTTCATATTAATCATCAGTTCAGAGATCCTTGGGCCAGAAAGCCCTGGAGTTGTAATCTAATCTTTGCTACCTTAGAGAACACCAATTTAATCCTACCAGGTTTATTATTTATTTATTTATTTATTTATTTATTTATTTATTTATTTGCTAGTCACTGTGATAGCTTTTGAATATACTATGGAACACAAATCATAGTCCACAATGTCATAGAACTGCAAGTCTAATGGGAAGGAAGACAGGCAAGTAATAATGACAATATGAGGAGACACTAATGAGGAGGAAGCTTAGGGAACAGGTTAAGTTGTAGCAGGAAGCCTAACTAATCTAGGGGCAAAGGAGACTTTCCTTTCAAAATTGATGTTTAAGCCAAGACTGTAGGAACAAGTAAGATTAGCCAAGTACAAGTGGCTCTAGAGAGTGTTTTACGCAGCAAGAAAAGTGTGCGTGAAGAACAAGAAAAGAAGGGGAGCACTGAGCCTGGCGGAACCACAATCTGTCCATTATGGTTTGCATGTAATGGTGCAGCAAGAGGACACTGGGGGGAGATGGAGCTAGCTAGTAACTATCATAAATAGGTACTAAAAAATATTGAAACAGTTGATGTCTAGGATCAGACCAGTGTTCTATTAGGAGAATCATATTCCAACTTCAAGGTTTTCTCACTCAGCAACTCATTATCTGGTTACCAGGAGCCAGACTGTGGAAGGCCTTGTAAACTGTTTTAAGAAATTTGGATTTTGTGTTTGAAGTTTCTTTGAGATAGCTATGTATCCGACCACCCACACATCCACTTGCTTATTTCACAGGTACTTATTATGCTTCTATTACATGGCAGGCATTGAGGCAGGAATTAGCTTTAAATTAGAGAATAAACTAGACACACTTCCTAACTGTGAAATTTATAGAGAACATGGAGAAATGAACAATAAACAACTAAAGAAACAAACATGTGATATGACTTATTGGTACAATAAAGGAAACAAATTTCATATAATGATAGAAGATAATGGAAATTCACTCATGTACATAAGGTGGTGTGAATGGTTTCTCTAGGGAAATATAATTTATGATGATAAATGAAGGGTAAGAAGACAGAAGCCTTGTGAAGAAGATTCTAGGCAAAATGACACCTCTGTGAAGACCCAAAGGCAAAAATATCTTGAGATGTTTAAGGAAATAAATACAGCTACTGTGATTTAGATGGAGAGGGAAACAGAGAGTGGTTCAAGGTGAATTTAAAGGTTTACCAGGTTAGACAGGGAATTTGTAGACAATATCAGTGAGTTTGGATTTTATCTGAACAGCAAGAAGAAACCATTGAAAGTTTAAACAGAAAGTAGTGGCCATGGTACTATAAAGGTTGGGTTCTGGTGAGGACCCTCTTCCTGACTTGCAGGTGGATACCTTCTCACTGTGTTCTCACATGGCCTTTCCTTGTGCACACAATGAGAGAGAGAGAGAGAGAGAGAGAGAGAGAGAGAGAGAGAGAGATGTCTCCAGTGTCTCTTTCTCTTCTTATAAGACAATACCATGGTATCTTCAGGAGCTATCACAGGGACTAGCAAAAAGTACCTGATTGGTGTTCTCTAAGACAGCAAAAATCAGATTGCATTCCTATCAAGGTGAGGCTCATCCTTATGATCCTATTAACCATAACTACCTCCTAAAGGCATTATCTCCAAATACAATCATACTGAGGATTAGGGCTTCAACATACACACACATTTGAAGGAAACAAAATTCAGTACACAACCAGACTATGGATCAAGACTAGAAATGGAAAAACACAAGTATGCTAGGATCTTGATTGTGTCTTGAAATGAGTAGTGCTCATGCATTGAAGAGAAGTAGGTGAACTCAAAATATGTTTAGATGTAGAAACAGTAGAACTTGCAGATGGTTTGGGTGTGGGAAGTGGTACCACTACTAAAGTGGAAAAGCCTTGGGAGGAAAGATTTGTAAGAAGGAAACGGGCACAGTATTTTAATTTCTATATTTGGGAAATCTATAACTCACCAAACTGGAGATGTGTGTTGAAAATTGAATGTAATAATCTGGAACTCAGAATATAGATCTAGAGAACAGTGAAAATTTTGGAAATCATTGGCATCAATGCAGAATGAAGTATCACCAAGAGAGACCATAGAGTGAGTGGAGCTGAACAACCACAGTAAATTAACACTTAGAGGATGGGGAAAGAAAAAGTAATCTAAAAATAAATTAAGCTGGTGTATATGTATCATATTTTCTTTATCCAATCCACTGTTGATTGGCACCTGGGTTGATTTTATGTCTTTGCCACTGTGAATAGTGTGATGAACATACAAGTGCATATGTCCTTTTGGTAGAACAGTTTATTTTCCTTTGGGTATATACCCAGTAACACGATGCTGGGTCAAGTGGTAGTTCAACTCTTTGTTCTTTGAGAAATCTTCAAATGGCTCTCCAGGGTGGCTGGACTAGTTTATATTCCCACCAACCGTGTATAAATTTCTTCTTTTCTCCATAGCCAACATCTGTTATTATTATTATTATTATTATTATTATTATTATTATTATTATTTTTACTTTTAACAGAAGCTATTCTGACTAGTGTGGGATGGTATCTCATTGTGGTTTTGATTTGCATTTCCTGATGATTAGCAGTTTTCATATATTTGTTGGCCTCTTTTATGTCTTCTTTTGAGAAGTGTTTGTTCATGTCCTTTGCCCATTTTTTAATGGAGTTATTTCTTTTTTTCTTGTTGATTTAAGTTCCTTATAAATTCTAGATATTAGACCTTTGTCAGATGCATAGTTTGTGAATATTTTCTCCTGTTGTGTAGGTTTTCTGTATACTGCTTTGATGTTTTCTCTTGCTGTGCAGAAGCTCTTCAGCTTAATTAGGTCCCACTTATTTTTTTGTTTTTGTTGCAGTTGCTTTTGAGGACTGATGGAATACTATGCAGCCATGAAAAAGAATGAAATCATGTCCTCTGCAGCATTATGGATGCAGTTAGAGGCTATTTTCTTAAGTGACCTAGTGCAGAAACAGAAAACCAAATACTGCTTATTCTCATGTATAAGTGGGAGCTAAACACTGGTAACACATGGACACAAAAATATGAAGAATAGACACTGGCGACTATTAGAGCAGGAAGAGAGGAAGTGGGGCAAGGGCTGAAAAACTGCCTATTGGATACTATGATTACTAACTGGACGATGGATTCAGTCATGTCTCAAACCTCAGCATCATACAATATGCCCATGTAACAAACCCACATATGTGCCCCCTAGTTCCAAACTAAAAGTCGAAAAAATAAAATAAAAATTTAAAAACAAAACTATGAATAAATAAAATTTTTTTAAAAAATAAGAAAGACAGAAAGGCAGGAATAAAACCAGGAAAATGTGTTGCCAGAAGTGGAGAGAGTTTCTAAAAATGAATATCTGTGTTGAGGTCCCCAAGACCATTCCAAGGTTCAATGATTCTCTAGGAAGCCTCACAGGACTCAACACAAGTTGTGCTTACAACTATGATTAATTACATGGTATGAAAGAATACAAAGCAAAGTCAGCAAAATTAAAGGCAGATGGATAAATTCCAGGGGAAAGCAGGTACAAGCTTCCCAGGATCCTCTCCCAGGGGAGTTGCACAGAACACAGGTAATTTCCCCCAGCATCAAGCTGTGACAACAAATATGAAATGTTGCCAACCTAGAAAGCTCGTACAACATTCAGTGCTCAGAGTTTTTACTGGGGGCTTATCATATAGGCAACCAATTCCTGGCATGTATGAAAATTCCAGACTCCTTGAAGGAAATCAGGTGATCAATATAAACCATATTGTGTGCACAGGCAGTTTAGGTACAGTTAGCTACTCTTAAAGAAAACAAAACAAAACAAAACAAAAATAACAGCTTTACTGAGGCATAATTGACATACAAAAATCTGCACATATTGATTGTATATGTTTGGACATATGCATATACATGTGAAACCATCACTACAATCAAGGTAAAAAACTTATCTATCACCTCCAAAAATTTTCTTGTGTCCCTTGTGAATTTGTTTGTTTTTGTGATAAGAATACTTAATATGAAATCTGCCCTCTAAACAAATATTTAAGCGCATAATACAATATTGGTGACTATAAGCATTATGCTGCACAACAGGTCTCTAGAGCTAATTCTTCCTGCATAATTGTAATTTCCTACCAGCTGAGAAGCAACTCCCTATTTTCTCCTCCCCCTGTTCCCTGGTAACCACTGTTCTTTTCACTGTTTCTAGGAGTTTGACTATTTCGGGTACCTCATGTAAGTGGAATAATGCAGTGTCCTGCCGTGCCTGGCTTATTTCATTCAGCATAATGTCCTCCAGGTTCATCCATGTTGTTTGAAATGGCATGATTTCTCTCTTCTTTGAGGCTGAATAATATTCCATTGTACATATTTGTCACAATTTCTTTACCCACTCATCTGTCTGTAAATTTTTGGGTTGCTTCCATATGTTGGCTATTATGAATAATGCTGCAATAAATATGGGAGTACAGATATCTCTTCACAATCCTTATTTCAATAATTACTTCTGGGAGTGGTGGGAATTCTCCTCAAATCAAGATTCTCAGATGCCGGCCAAGGGCAACCTTGTAAGCAGGACTTTCTAAGGATAAGCGGTCAGGTCTGCTTTATGTATTTTCTGTGCAGCACCAAAGTGTCAGATGCTGTTACGGAGGATTAAAGCTAAAGAGAATCAAAGATTGTCACTGAATTAAGTGATAAGGAAGTTATTCATGACAATACAAAAGCAGTTTTCATACAGGGCAGAGTAAGGCAATTTTTCAAGGGTTGAGGCATAATGAAGGGATAAAAGACAGAAGAGAGTCAGTGTAGACAACTCTTTCAAGAAGACTTGTTATGAAGGTAGGAACAGGGAATGTAGTAGCTAGAAGTAAAAGTGGAGTAAACGGTGTAATTTTTGTCTTTGTTTTTTAACGGGGAAGTCTGGAACATATTGAAAATCTGGTATTCACAAGTTGGTAGAAAAAGAGAGGTTGAAGGCACCAGACAGAAAGAAGACAATCAAAAGGATGAGAGTTCTGAAGAGGCAGAGGGAAGGTTGGCTTTAGACTGAAGAAGGGACTTTCCTTTCATTTTGGTGGGATGCCAGGCAGAATGGATGCATTCAAGGGCACAGAAATCTGAGGTTTTCGCAGCAAGAAGTTGAAATGATTTTTTTCTGGTAGAATTTGTTTCCTTAAAGAAATAGGAAGTTAGATTTCTACTGTGAGATCTATGAAGATCTACGGATGTGGGTGTTGGAGGATTAACTAAAATGAGAGAGAGTGGAGTAAAGAAACACAGTAGGACTGACAGTCTGCTTAATGTTGGTGAACACAAATTTATAACTGCAGTAAATGGCTAATTGGGTGCTTTCTTCACAGACAGTTCAGTAGGAGAAGGTTGATGTTGGACGTAGTCAGAGGCACACTATTGTTCAGCTTAGGAAACCATGTGAACATGGTGTGGCCTTGAGAAAGCCCTGAAGAGGGCAAAGGTGGGCAGTGGGGAATACATTAAAAAAATTATTCTGACTTGGCTTTCCTGTCTTGTGTCTCAGGATAGACCTAGAAATTTGATGCTGTTCAACCAGTGTTTATTGAACACTTTATATTGTGCCATACACATGTTCTAGATAATAGAGATAGGGACATAGAGAAAGATTATTTTGCATAGCAAAATAACCAAAAGTCTCATTTACCACAGTATAAAAGAGGTAATTAAAAGAACAAAAGTAAAGGTGATAAAATAATTTCTTATCTGCTCTCCCACAGGTAAATCAATGCTTTATATTATCTGGAGCTAGCAGGATAGTTTTCCTATATTTTTCTTGTGACTATATACAAAATATCATGACATTTATTACTCATGATTTATTTTGAACTTCTCTTTCTTCATTATAATGCATTTTGCTAATTAGTTATTTTCTTATTCTACAACCATTTAAGTTTTATTTATTGGGTTTGTTGTTAAAGATGGTGCACATTATAGAAGCAATGCTGGGAGTTGCAATTTCCTCTGTTTTAATAAACCAAGGCTTTAATGAGGTGTCTGGCTGATCCATAGCCCAGAATTTAGAAGAGAAATCAAGCCTTCATTGGAAAATGAGGATCTAGACTTTGCTAAAAATGCCACAATACTTTGGCAGTCTGGACTGACAAGAGAGCAAAAAGTTATTTTTAACATTCATTTTATGGTGATGTTATTCTTGAATATGTAGGCATATTCTGATGAAAGCATTTCCATTTTGAACTTAGAGAAAGTGTTGAGTGTTAAAATAAATTGAGAAAGTACTGTAGCATTTCATTTTTGTTTCTTATTTAATTCAGCAATCCTAAAAGGGGAAAAATTCTAGAATCAGATGTATAAAACTTCATATGGAATAAATAAATACATCAACAATGACACTGTGTTTATCCATTTTGCTGACATCATATGAAGTATACTATCACAGATTTATCGCATTGTATTTAACAAATATGTTCCTAAATATATAGTTGTTGCAATAAAATATTTATTACCTCATGTATACTAAGAACTATGCTAACATCCATGAAAGATGCAAATGAACTGTAGTCTCTGCCTCCTGGATTATAGAGTCTTACTGTAGAAAAAAGTAATCTATCACACAGTTTGAGAGATGTCTAAGACAACAACAATAATACCCTAAATATGTGGCAAAGAAAAGTTTGAGTAGGGTGCAATTACTCTGAACTGTGGGATCCAGTTACTATTTCAAGAAGCAGCAGCTCCAGGATAAAGTTCCGGGATACACTCTGCCATGATTGAGCTATTTCCAGTTCTGGCTTAATCCTCTCTCACTCTCTCACATGAAAATGCTAGACTTAATGCTACTTAACGCATTAAGGATTCTTAATGCTACTCCAAAACCTCACCTGGGTTTGATGCCTACATGATTTGTACTTCAACTTCCTCTGCCTGGAAAGCCACACCCAATTCATCAACCTGCTTTTATGACTAATTTCTAGCCTTTCAGTAGCAACTAAAAAATCACTCACTCAGGGGTGCTTCTCAGACCTGGTTTGGCGGGGTTAGGAAACCCCTTCTCTGTGTTGTTAAAATATCTTCACTTACTTCTGCCCTTCAGGTAGCCTCCTCACCGATAGGCTGCAAACTCTTTGAAGGCGATATATCCCTGGTAGCCATGAGTATACTGTACAAATGGGGGCCATCATCAGCCCCTAGAATAATGCCTGGTACATAATGGTCCCTCTAAAAATTATCTCACGGTTGAATGAAAGAGAACATTTGATATGGAGAATGCTCTAGTTAAATGGACACCAACTTTGAATTGTTCCAGAAAAAATGCATCAAAGGCATAACGGTTAACAGCACTATGACTTCCTCTAGGGTCTGTGAGGAGATAAATTTGATTGCAGTGAAAGAATAAAACTCGGCTCTGGACAAAACGAGTCCCATAAATTGTGAAAAAACTACACCACAGAATTTTGTGGGTGTGTATCTATCATGTGCCTATCATTTCTGTTACCTCATTTAATCTGCAAACAACTTTGCCAAATATCTTGTCATGATAACTTATAGACACTTTAAAATTGTCTAAATTCTATTATCTACTTGCTCTAATTTGATCAATCTTTTATTATAAAAACAACATATGCACATAATGAGCTATTATGCCATTGCCATTTCCAGTTATCTCACAGGTAACCTCTTTTAACTACTTGTGTTTTTCAGTTTCTGGTGATTAACAATATCTTAGTAATGTCAATATGACTTCATTGCTTGACTTACCAACTTAGGATAGTTTTCTTTTATTTAAGCTATTAGAGACTAAAAATTCAGCTCACTTATTCTGCCATCTGCCAAATATTTCCCTTCATTCTGAGTTTCAAGAATTATACTATCATTTTAGTTATTCTGCAGGCTTTAAAAAATAATGTAAATAAAGTGTCTGGGCCTACATGTTTGTTCCATCAGCTTGAAACCTAAAAAAGACAAGGCAATGTACTTCCCTACACTAACCTACTCCATTTACCACTATCGTACCTACTGTACTATTATTGGAGTATCAAGACTTGTACAATTTTCTTTCTGATAAAACTGTAATTAATTCAAGTATGTTAATAGTTTGAGATTCTACAAATCTAAATGCCAATAAATAGTATTAATAATATTTGGATTATCCAAATACTACTTTTTAAAAAACAAAGGAGTATGATCAAAACCATAAAAAGAAACCCATAGAAAGAAATATAATTCAACATCATGTAAGATATGCTAATGAGAAGAGAATCAGCCAGCATCAATCAAAATAATTCTCTTTTTAAATTTTCTATAATTCAAACATGATGTATTTTGCTATGCTTTTTTGAGCATCACCTTCATGTATAGCTCTTTGTTTTTCGGAGGATTTCTATTCATATCTCAATGCTTCTTTTATGATACAACTGATATCTTCCAGCTTTTAAGTCATAAAATTTGATGAATAATGTCACTTTTATCTTTCAGTCATAGTTCTTTATGCGCTCTTTCCCTCTTCCAGCAGAAGAGCCATGTCCCAGAAAAGGACGTGGATCCTAGGATGAAGACAACGTAGAAGAGAGCTACAGCCAGTCCACAGTGGGCATGTGACTTAAACATATGGGGCCATTTGCTACCTTAGCATTTCTTACTCTGTTCTGATACAGGCTTGAAAGATTTGATACCAATTTAACTATCATTTCTTTGCTAAATGATTGATATATTTTATCATATTCTTTCAGAAGTTTTAGAATCTTCCCTTTAATCATTGGTGTCTTGAACTCTTCTAAGCATTGTCTAAGTGTCAACTTTGTTTCATTCATGCTTCGATTAAAGACTTGTCTCTCTCTAGTTCTAATAAATTTCTCCTCTTCCTCCCTTAATTTTTCTGTGTTCCCTAGTCTTAATTTAAGTCTTCCAGCTTTTAAGTCATAATATTGACATTTTTATTAGAAACAGATCTTCCTAATTTTATATTTTGAATTTCTGTCCTGTTTTAACTGTTAATTTAATTGGAAATTAAATTAATTGCAGTTTAAACAAATTGTCCAAGTCATAAGTTAACATCCTATTGGCTTTAGGTTATATGTGATTTCCTCAACTCATTTCTCATTTTTTCTTTTTCTTTTATTAATGACATTTCTAATGTAAGTACTATGATCTTTTTTTCCTAGAAGTCTTTTTGCAATGAAGATAAATGTCTTTTCAATTCTCTTTGGAAATAAAAATTGAAATTAAAAATATTATTTTAACTTTGCTGAATTATATTTGCTTTCCTCTTGAGCAGTTGATTTGTGTGTTCATTTTGGTACATCTGTATCAAGTCATTTGTTTTCCTCAAGTGCTTAGTTGTCTTTAATTTTCTATCATATTTATGAGTAAATGTTGAGGTGGATGATCATAGATAACTGGAGACCTGTTCTAAGCTTCTGACAAGTCTAGTACCTATTTTGTTATTAAAACAATCAAAACATCCTTCTTGTAATTGAAGGACTGATAACAATGACTGCAAGTCCTGGGTGTCGGGACAAGGTGAGCTGGCTTTCAGGTTTCTTATTAGGGTACACAGATGGGATGTAGGTAGCAAACTGTCCGTCTCCTCCACCGAAAGAAAAGTGCTTTCCTCTTAAGACACATACCTGCCTTAGGAACCCTAACCTTGCATAAATAAGTTGTTCAAACTCATTGGAAAACTCTTTTTCTAGTTTTAGCTACGGAGGCAACTCTACTGCTCTCTGATTTTTGGTATATGTAGGTTTGTTTAAATTTAAAAAGATCAATTAACTTAGTCTTCATATAGACAGTTTTAAAATTATTTATTCAGATTATTACTCTACAACACTTTGTGCTTTTCCTGCCTGTTGATCCTGAGCCTGGTCTTTCCAGGGTTTTGCCACGAAGCTCAGCTTCTACTTTTTTTTTTTTTTTTTTTTTTTTGAGACAGGTCATCCAGGCTAAAGTCGAGTGGTGTGATCTCGGCTCACTGCAGCCTCAACCTCCCAGGCTCAATCAATCCTCCCACCTCAGCCTCCCAAGCAGCTGGGACTACAGACACATGCCACTATGCCCAGGTAATTTCTTGCATTTTTTTGTAGAGACAGGGTTTCATCATGTTGCCCAAGCTCGTCTACAGTTCCAGGGCTCAAGCAATCTGCGCACCTCAGCCTCCCAAAGTGTAGCTCTAATGTAGCCTTCTTCAGGCTTTTTCTTTCTATTATGATTTGCATGTTAATGTGGTCCCATTCACTTTCCAAAATGTCCTATTTTCTGAGATGCTTGGCCTATTCTTAGTATTATTAAGGATGTATTTCATTTTGTGCCTTCTTACTAGAATCTCAAACATATTTTGGCATGTATGTGTCTCAGTCTCCCATCATGAACAGGAAGTTACCAAATTTATTTTCCTGAACATTAGGAAAAGCTATGCATCTATTCATTACTGAATAAAAAACTAAATTGTACTAAGAAATTTAGGCAAAAATGATATAGAAAAGGGAGGAAAGAAGACTAACATTTGTTGATGACATACTGAGAGCCAAGAACTGAATAAGATACTTTTTTTTTTTTGCTTTCATGATCTAATTTAATCTACACAATAACCCTAAGTGCTGTCATTATCCGGTTTTTAAATATATCAGGGAATTCAAATAAAGCCAGGGAACTCAAAAGGTTTAAATAAATTGTCCAAGTTGAGTCATAGGACTAATAAATTGTAGAACTGATCCTGGGCATGTCTAGCTCTAAATCATCTGCTAGTTGCTTCACAGCATGCTGAATGACTTTGAGTGGTTTAGACTCGATGCTGGAACATTGTTAGTTGTTTCTAAGTTATTGTTGTTGTTGTTGTTTTTAAACAGGAAAATAACACGTGAAATACTAGATTTTATTTGCAATCTTTAAACTCAGAGAAATTCTATATAAAGGGAAAATGTATTTTAAAATACATTTTCAGACTAGCATAAGCAGTAGAACATACTGCATGCATCCCTTTCACTGAAATTCAACCAGTGACACGTTTTTCCTCCCCATAATTGGATTATGCATAGATAGTAACAAACATGTAAGTGTTAGTGTTCTTTAATGACAAATCAAGGCTAAAACAAGAGATGCTGTGATCTGGTGCCCACAGACCATGAGACCAAGACAGTAAAGTGGGTAAACATAGTTCAGTCTTCCCCCAGTATAGTCTCCATGCCAAAACAAGGTGACAAAGGCTAGCTCAAGTGTCGTGGTCTTCATTCAGTCAAGAAATGGTGTGTTTCTTTCTTCCCCAATGGATTAGGTATATATGACACTCTCAGTGCATATGTGGATCTATCAGTCTATCTTCATCCTATATGATTCCTCCCATACGCAATGGGAGCTGAAAAACAGCAAACAGCAGTAGAAACAAAGAAGCAAACAAACCCTTTCTGTTAGATGGTTTATGAGGGAGAATCACATTGGGTTTTTCATAGAAAAAAATTTACTGACCACATTACTGGTCAACTTATTATTAAAGACTTCTCACGAACAAAAAACAAACCTTTGCTATTTTGATATGGCTGAGTTTAAATCTACCATATTGCTGGGTTTTTTTCTGTTTATTCAATCCATTCTTGCTTAATTTCCCCCATCTGTTTGAAGAATACATGTTTATTCTAGTTTATCTCCTTTATTGACTTATTAGTTATGAACCTCTGTTTTGTTTTTAGTGGTTGCTCTATTTTTTGTCCAATAAAACTTTATATGATTATGAAACTGTTCTGTTATCTGCATCACCCAACACTATTCTCTAGTTACACAAGACTATTGTGTCTTTGAAAAGTAGATTTAAATTTAATATCAAATAGATACATACAGCTATCAAATGCTATACCATGAAACTTAAGGGATTACTATGTATAATCTTAACTTATCCATGTTTACCTTCAAATAATATTACTTTACCTAGCCAGGTGTGGTTATGTGTGCCTGTAGTTCCAGCTACTTAGGGGGATTCTAATTTCAGCTGAGGCAGGAGGATTGCCTGAGTCCAAGAATTTGAGGCTGCAGTGAGCTATGATCACACCACTGCACTCCAGTCTTGATGGCAGAGTGAGACCCTGTCTCTAATAAGAAAGAAAAGAAATTACTTTACCTAGAGTATAAGAATCTTATATCTACGCTGTAAGTTTAAGACTAGACTAGTCTAGTTCAATTGTCATTGTACATTTTACTTCTACCTATGTCATAAGCCCCCGTTATATATTGCTATCATTTTTGGTTTAAGCAATCATATTTTAAAGATACTTTTAAATAAAAAGAATTATCTGATATGTTCCCTCATATTTACCCTTTTAAGTGTTCTTTATTCTTTTATAAATTTCTACCTACCTAAAGGACTTCTTTCTTTCTTTTTTTAGTAAAGATCTGCAGATAATGAATTGCCTCTGCTTTGTATGTCTTAAAAAGTGTTTATTTCACTTTCGCTTTTAAAAGTTGTTTCTGGCTGGGTGCGGTGGCTCACGCCTGTAATCCCAGCACTTTGGAAGGCCAAGGCAGGTGGATCACGAGGTCAGGACATGGAGATCATCCTGGGTAACACAGTGAAACCCAGTCTCTACTAAATATACAAAAAAATTAGCTGGGCGTGGTGGTGGGCGCCTGTAGTCCCAGCTACTCAGGAGGCTGAGGCAGGAGAATGGTGTGAACCCGGGAGGCAGAGCTTGCAGTGAGCCGAGATTGTGCCACTGCACTCGAGCCTGCAAGACAGAGCGAGGCTCCATCTCAAAAAAAAATAAATAAATAAAATAAAATAAAAAGTTGTTTCTACTGTGTATAGAATTCTAGTTTGACACTTTTCATTCAACATTTTAAAGATGTTGCTCTACTCTTTTCTGGTTTGCATTATTTCTGACAAAATGCCTGCTGTCACTTACCTTTGTTCATTTGTACGAATGGTCTTTTTTTCCTGACTGCTTTTAAGATTTTCTCTTTATCACTGTGTTTCAGCAATTTGATTATGATGTGCCTTGGTGTATCTTTCTTCAGTTTCTTGTGTTTGAGATTGGTTGAGCTTCTTACATTTGTGGGGTTATAGTTTTCACTAAATTTTTAAAAATTGAATAGTTTTTCTTCAAATATCTTTCTGTCTCTACCCTATTATTGTTTCTCTCCTTCAGGGGTTCTAATTATAGATCTGTTAGGCTACTTGATATTGTATTGTCCCACAGCATGTTTACTTTAAAAAAAATCTTTTGTTCCCTGCATGTTTAATAAGTTTATCAATTTTTTTTAGGCAGGGTCTAAAATGTTGCTAATATGATCTAGGGTTTTTTGTTTTTGTTTTTGTTTTGTCTTAGCTGTTACATTTTTCATCCCTAGAAGTTTCATTTTGGTCTTTCTTTTATAAATTGTATTTCTCTCTTCAACATATTTATGCTTTCCTTCATGTTAATGAGCATACAGAAGACATTTTAAATAGGTGATTCAATGTTTCTTTAAATGAATTCTGTCATCCATGCTGTTTTCTGCATCTGTGTCTATTGAATAATTTTTCTCCTCATTATGAGTCATATTTTCCTGCTTCTTTTATGCCTAGTAATTTTGTACTGGATACCAGACATTGTGGATTTTGTATTGGGTGCTGAATATTTTTTAACTTTTTTAAATACTTGAGAGGTTTTTTCCTTTGTTTTTGTTGTTTTTTCTGGGATGCAGTTAAGTCTCTTGTTTTATCCTTTTGAGGCTTGTTTTTTAAAATGTGTTAGTTTGGGATAGAACACCCTTTATTCTAGGGCTAACTTATTCTACTTCTAAGGTAGGACCATTTTAAAGACTTCACTTGGTGCATATATGTTAAGATACATTTCCATTCTGGCTGGTGAAAACAGTAATTATTCCTGGCCCTGTGTGAGCTCTGAATATTATTTTTACTGTTTTTCTTCTGATGGTTCTTTGCTTAGTCTTGGTAGTTTGTTCACATGCATGGAGTGATCAGCACACAGCTAAAGGCTTGAGGAAACCCTCTGAAGACCTTTGGAATCCACCTTCTCTTTAGGATCTTTTATCCCTGGTATTCTGCTCCATAAATTTGAGTTGCTTTGGCCTCCTTGAACTCCAACTTTGTCTCCTCAACTCAAGAAAACTTCAAGCTCCAGTTTGATTATTCCTATCCAATGGTTAATTTTTTGTGTTAACTTGTCTGGGAAAAGGGATATCCAGATGGCTGTTAAACATTATGTATTAGTCCATGCTCATGCTGCTAACAAAGATACACCTGAGGCTGGGTAATTTATACAGGAAAGAGATTTAATTGACTCAGTTCAGCATGGCTGGGGAGGCCTCAGGAAACTTAACAATCAAGGCAGAAAGGGAAGCAAACATGTCCTTATTCACATGGCAATAGGAAGGAAAGAATGAGAGCCGAGTGAAGAGGGAAGCCCCTCATAAGACCATCAGATCTTGTGAGAACTTATTCACTATCACGAGAATAGTATGGGGGAACCACCCCATGATACAATTACCTCCCACCACGTCCCTCCTACCTCACTTGGAAATAATGGGAACTGCAATTCAAGATGAGATTTATGTGGGAACAGAGAAAAACCCATCACATTATTTCAGGGTGTGTCTGAGAAGTTGTTTCCAGAAGATATTAGCATTTGAATTGGTCAACTGAGTAAAGATCACTCTTACTAACATGGATCGACATCTTTCAATCCATTGAGAGTCCAAAACAGCAAAAAGGTGGAGGAGGGCATATTCACTGTCTCTTCTTGAGCTGGGACATCAATCTTTTCCTGACCTTAGATATCAGAGATCCTGGTTCTTAGATCTTTAGCCTCCTATACCAACTCTTTAGACTTTATACCAACTCTTTGGATTATGACATCAAGAGCCCCCTGATTACTAGGCCTCCAGATTTGGATTGTTTCCCAGCTTGCTGATGGCAGATGATGGAACTTCTCTGCCTTCATAATCACATGAGCCAATTTCCATAATAAATTAAACCAATCATCTTCTCTCCCCATCCCCATCTGCCTGTTCCCCTTCTCAGCCTTTTCTCTCGTATATATAGATAGATACAGATGTAAATATCTTTTACCAGTTCTGTTCCTTTGGAGAACCCTGGCTAATATACCTTTACTACAATCTTGCCTAAAAACCTCTCCAGTCAATACCTCTCCAGTCAATGGGCTGTGGTTGTCATTGGTCTCATCTTGCTTGTTTTCTTTCTCTCAGTTGTCACTATTCCTTACTCTCTGCTGCACAATGTCTGAAAACCATTGCTTCACAAATTTTGTCTTGTTTCTTAGTTTAAGAAGGGGGATAAATTCAGTTCCTGTTACTCTTTTTTTTTTTTTAATTATACTTTAAGTTCTAGGATACATGTGCACAATGCGCAGGTTTGTTACATAGGTATACATGTGCCATGTTGGTTTGCTGCACCCATTAACTCGTCATTTACATTAGGTATTTCTCCTAATGCTATCCCTCCCCCTGACCCCTACCCCACGACTGAATGAAAATAGTCATTTTCATGACTATTTTCACGACTGTGATTTTTACTTACTTCCTGCCTGCTTGCATTTGGTAAAAAACAAATAAAAAACAATCCTAGCTGTTAGAATATGTGTGTGGTCGGAATTCTTACACAAGAGCCGGGACCGCGCCCTGTAGCCTTTCTGTCCAAACAACTTGACCTTACTGTTTTAGCCTAGCCCTCATGTCTGCATGCAGCAGCTGCCGCTGCTTTAGTACTTTTAGAGGCCCTCAAAAATCACAAACTATGCTCAACTCACTCTCTACAGTTCTCATCACTTCCAAAATCTACTTTCTTCCTCCCACCTGACGCATATACTTTCTGCCCCCTGGCTCCTTCAGCTGTACTCACTCTTTTCTGAGTTTCCCACAAGTACCATGTTCCTGGCCTGGACTTCAATCTGGCCTCCCACATCTGAACCCCATGACTGTATCTCTCTGATCCACCTGACATTCACTCCATTTCCCCATATTTCCTTCTTTCCTGTTTCTCATCCTGAACACACTTGGTTTATTGATGGCAGTTCTACCAGGCCTGATTAGGCCTCACCAGCAAAGGCAGGCTATGCTATAGTATCTTCCACACCTATCATTGAGGCTACCACTCTGTCCCCCTCCACTACCTCTCAACAAGCCAAACTCATTGCCTTAACTCGAGCCCTCGCTCTTGCGAAAGGACTACACGTCAATATTCATACTGACTCCTTTTTCGGACTCAGCCCATCTGCACCCAGGTGAAATAAACAGCCTTGTTGCTCACGCAAAAGCCTATTTGGTGGTCTCTTCACACGGATGCGTGAGACAATATGGATATAGGCAGCTTTTCTTTTTACTCATTTCTAGTTTAGGTCACAATAAATGATTCCAATAATCATAAATTTAAAAATGAAATTTATTTTAAAGCTACCATACATCTTGGGGGAGAAAAAGGGTAAACATTGGAGGATATATGGCTTATGTGTATTATCTACATTGTTTTGATGTTACATCCAGAACTTTTACACCTTATTGCCATAGGCTTATTTTACATAAGATGAAAGACATTTTATCAGGAAGATTTCTTCTAAAGTATTCACTCACATTTGAGATGTATTTGAACACAAAAGACAGTAAAGCAGTGAAAGAAGGGCAGTGGTCCACATACAAGATTAAGCTGGTGTTTTTTATAAGCAGGCTGGCTAGAAAATGAGGCCCTCTGTGCAGCAAAAATTGCTCCAGGGTAATTTAAGTACCAAATAAAATCAATAAAAATATCAGGGCTATTTATAATGTGTCGCTAAGAAAGACAACAAATAAAAACTCATTTCAGAGTACTTGCCAGCCATTCAGACTTGGAAGACACATCTCCAGTGAGTCAGAATGGCAAAGAAAGGCTGTAGTTGTCACCGGCATTCAGCAAATCATTGGCTTTTGCAGCCTTTAAAATCTAAGAAAAGCTTTGTGTTCATTTTTAAAGCCCCAAGCATTTCAATGGACCGTCTTTTTCTTCATATATGCTATGAAACATAAGTTCTATGTTACTACACATTTATCGACCACTTCAAGCTTAGTGGTGTGTGCTATTTGGATGTATAATGATGAGTAACAGCAGTTTTATCCCTGAATAATTTTATAGTAAAAAGGGGTTAAGAATTTATGTCCAAATATTCACAATCCAAGTCATGATATGCTAAGTGCCATTAGGATAGTCTGAAGAAGGGTGTCCAGGGGCAGAGATCTCACCTGAATTGTCTCTAATGGATGCTTTCTTGGAGGAGGTAGTTTTAGAGTAGATGACAGAAGGTGGGCAGGATTTTCACAGGAAGAGGTAGGCGTGGATGGTAACTTATTAAGAGCAGAGGCAACAAATCACGAGGTAGTGATTTAAAAGAATAAAAGTTAAGGGGAGAGGGACTAATGGAAGAAGACACTGGAGAGAAAACTTGGGCACAGGATTATAAAGAGCTTTACGTGGCAGGCTGAAAGGTTGTTGTGCAAGATAGGTAGGTCCCTTCTGAGTTCCCATTACAGTGCATTACAGCACTAGGATTTGATATTAAATTTACAACTTTACATAGTACAGATTAAAAAAAAAAACAGGCTCTTTGGAGAAACTTAAATAGGCCAAAGATACAAAGATATACAAGGAAAAAGACGTCATGTGAGTCCTCATGCTCCTTTCACCCCGCAGAGAGATGTATGGGGGCCAAGGCAATGCTGAGCCTGCAGCATATCCAACTGGTAACACTTTACCTTGTTACTCTCACTTTTTCCAGAAAAACTATGATAAATTAGCCTATCAGTGGGCAAATTCACAGATTACTTAGTCACATGGTGTCTGAATTCATAGGAAGTGTCTGGAGAAGCCAGATAGCTGGAACTTAAAGAACTTGGGTCCCCTGGATGTTACTGTATGACCCCTAGGAGGCCACATGGGTAGCTGAATTTGGACCCAGCAACTCTCACTCGGACATAGTGGTTGTAAGTTCTAGCTAACTTTCAGGGTCACTTTTTGGACAATTATGCTGATTATACCATCAAAGGATTGGAATTAACAAGGTTAATGGAAGTTGCAAATTCCAAAAAATTTCTAAAGCCAAACAGAATTTTAAAGAAAAAAGGAGGGCAGGGCTTAAGGCATACTGAAAAGATTAACAACATTCAAAGTTCAATTTAGCAAGAACCTGCATAACAAAGGTCAAGATTATCCTGACCCATTCAATGTTCAGATGAGGAGTGAAAAGGATAATAGAGTCAGGATGACTCAACCACGAAAACAGGTAACTAAAAAATGTGCCAGTACCATTAGCAGTGCTAAGAAATTTAGAAGAGCTAGTCTGGGTGGAAAGAAGGCAGTAAGTCTGGATTTTAGACATTTTGGATTGGAGAGGTCAAATAGAATAGCTAAACATATTTTGTGTAGTTTTTTGCCTCAGGCCTACTCTTTTCTTTTTTTCTTTTTTGAGACAGGGTCTCACTCTGTCACCCAGGCTGGAGTACAGTGGCACGATCCCAGCTCACTGCAGCCTCCAACTATTGGGCTTAAGCTATCTTCCTGCTGCAACCTCCCAAGTAGATGGGACTACAGGCATGCACCACACTCAGCGAATTTCTTTCGATTTTTCTTTAGAGATGGGGTCTCGCCATGTCACCCAGGCTGGTCTCCAACTCCTGGGCTCAAGCAATTCTTCTGCCTCGGCCTCCCAAAGTGCTGGAATTACAGGTATGAGCCATCGCACTCGGCCCATTTAAGTCTTATAATTACTCTTTGAAGTGGAAACTATTATTATTATCCCCGTTTTACTGGGAGAACAACTATGACTTAGCGATATTAAAAATAGCTAATTATACCATTCGCTAGTAAGTGGCAAAATCCAAATGAAGATAGTCTTCTGATGCAAAGCTGATCAACCACTGAGTCAGTGAGCAAATTCCAACCAAAAGGTCTTTCTGAGAGCAGCCACAGAGGCTTTGGTTTATCCACCTAGTCATGGGAGAAGGAGCCACAGGAAGAAAACAAAATTGTTCAAAGGGAACACAGACATATAAAAAAAAAAGGCAGCCCTGAAGAAAATGTTGAGACAGACCAATTTGAGTGAGTAGTGGGAAAGGGGAAGGAGTAAGAATATGGAGAATGGGAGAAATTAGGGAAGACAGGATGTGTGTTATGAAAAACAAGAAACAAGTTCTGAGAAAAATGCATAATCCACAATGTAAATTGTTGCCAAAGGGGATAACAACTAGAAGGTTATGGGGAACTTTGGGATAATAATGACAAACAAGTAAAACATGCTTATTATGTGTTAGGAACTGTTTTAAGTACTTTACATGAATTAATCATATAATCATCACAGCAAGTTTATTACCCCATTTCACAGAGAGAAGCTGATGCACAGAGAAGCAATGCCCAGCTAAAATAATTAAATGGCAGAAAATTTGCCTGAGATGGCTCTGACACCCTGGGTTCTAGAGTAAGCAAGCCAAAACCTGGTACAGAACTTAAAAGAAAACAAAACTTAATCTCAGCCAATCACAGGCAGGCTAGTGGGCATTAGGTAATATTGTCTTGAACTTCCTGTTAAGATATTCTAAATAAGGCATTTGCTCACACTTTAGCCAATCAGATAATTTATTTTATTTGCTCTTACATTCACCCTATAAAACTTCCCCTCATGTCCCTTTTTAGTGCTATGAACCATTTCTAGTTTTAAGCTGTCTGATTCATGAATTACTATCTGCTCAAATAAACTCTTTATCTTTTAACAGCCAAAAGTCACTCAGATCGTAAGTAGCAGAGCTGTGATACAACCCAGTGAGTCCAATCCAAGTATATATATCCTTCATTGTGCCACAGTTTCAGGAGAATGGCACCTGCACTGACCAGATGATAGCATGTTGACAAATGACTAAATGTTATTATTTTCCCTCTTGCTATCCAGTGGTTAATGGGATAACCTGGCTTAGGGATCTTCCTTTGTTGCCGACTCATTTTTTAAAAAGCCAAGGAGCTGGAGTCCAGCAAGGGTCAGCGTAGTTGTGCTGCAATGACCACACTTTAGTTTCTGTGGCTCTGGGGACTGACTGCTGGACTCTTTTGACAAGTGAACCAAAGCCTTAAAGGTCAGGACCAGTGTTTCTCTGGGAGTTGCTTAACTCCCTCTCCCCTTTTTTCCTGATGTATTTTCCTTCAAAATAGCAGAGAAGCCAAGTAGACCCACATATTTGGTAAGAAGGAGAAGAGAGGATGCTGGTGAAGAACAGGAGTCTGAGTCGGTGCTAAACAAGAGGAGATCCCAGTGTCAATTACAAGGGCCTTTTTCATTATGAGTCAGGCCTTTGCTACTTGATTTGAGGCACAGTACATAGAGGTTTAGGGTTAACCCTACCTAACCACAGAGAGGCAGCTGCTGGAACCAATGAAAAAGAATGATTGCAAACAACACTCACCAATCATTTGTCTCCACAAGAAGACCCTCTTAGTCATTCCTTACTGTTCCTATTCATTAATTCCTTTGAGAAGGGCCATTGCTTGTGAGCTTTGGTTGAAAAGCTCAGCATTTTTCCTGAGAGGAATTCTACGTTACCCCATTAGCTGGAGCAAAGTGGAAGTGAGGTCATCCTGGAGGCCCCAAAAGGGGTCTGGTTCTGGGGAGGAACTGAGCTTGATTTGAATAACTGCTTTTGCCAGCTCAGCCCCAAAGCCTCAAATTTCTCATCTCTTATGTTGCTGAATTTATGGCTTCTACAGCCTCCCCGACTTGCTCTCTCCTTAAGAGCCCACATTTTTCTGCCTTCACCATTTTATTGAAGAGCTGTTTGCCAAGATTCCCAATGATGGAGTCCAGGTACCAAGAGGAGGATGGGAGACCAGGCAGGGGAGCCTCAGTTACTGCCCTCCCCTTGTGGGGAGTGGGTTGTGTGTGGAGAGACACTGGTCCTTCAAATAAGAGTTGGAAGAACTGAAAGCAATGCTGTATATATCAGTGGTTCCCAAACTTCGCTGCATATTGAGATCAACTGGGGACCTTTGAAAAATATGGCTGCCTCATTTCCACTCCCAGACACTCTGATTAAACTAGGATGAGATGGGCATGGGAAGTTTGGAAAGCTGCCCAGGTGATTCTAATATGCAGCAAAGTTTGGGAACCACCGGTCTACTACACTTGCCTCCCCTGTCCTAGATTCTTGAAGATTATCTTTGAATGTGCGGTCTTGAGTTGGCTTAAGGAAGTCTGGATCCAACAAACATATTTATTCAAGTTGGCCTGGTGGGCTTTTTCCGTTTGGATGTGGCATGGTGTCATACTTGCTGGAATGGCCTTCCTGACCCCTTAATCTCTTCGCAAAAGTGATCAACTGTTAGGCTTAGTCAGCTGGGAATGACGCTTAAAGGAGATGCAGCAGGTGTCAGAGTTCAAATCTGTAAGTTCTAAAGGCTAACAGAAGTCCCTGGAGGCAGGTGGTGAAGAATACCAGAAGAATTGAGGAGGCAGATGGTATCTGTTAATCCAGCAAGTTTTGGTGAATGATAAATAGCAGCATTGATAGAGATATAGCTTGATTCTAGAACAAAGGATGTTTGGGTGGAGGGTAATCACAACCATTTGAACTGGACTGGAAGCAGGAGGAGGGAATCTGGTAGCCATGGGAGATGCATTGACACCAATTTTCCGGTCTTCACTGTACTCATTTTGTGTGAATGTGAGTGATCTGTGTCCAGAGATAACAAAACTCTAATGAATATTATTATACAACAACACTGGAAATATGTATTTGGGTGGTGTCATCTACTGGTTGATACATAAGGACCTAGCACAGCTGGGAAGACTTTGCAAAAGAAGCTTGTTATAGTGTTGTGTAACGGAATGAGCTCCCCAGTGAGACAGATCTGGGAGAACATGGCCTGAATACTTGCTAGTTGTGTGATGTTGGCCAAGTTACATAAGCTTTCTGAGCCTTAGTTTCCTTATCTGTAAAGTGAGAATATGGTTCGCTCTCATAAATTTGTTGCTGGATTAAGTAAGATAATGGCATAAACATCTTGTACATTTCTTGGCATATAACATGAGTTCAACAAATGCAAGTTGCCTGGCCTTCAAAGGAAGCCAAAATATTCCTCTCCAGAATACTGAGGATTATTGAGCTGAAGAATACAGGAGGCATCCTGCCCCTCCCTCTGCCTGCATGATGGCAGGACAGCAATTTACAAAGACAAAAGTTGACCTTCCCTCCTCCGCCTTTCCCACCTAAAGATAGGCTGCTTTCCAATGCTTGCTTATCAGCTCAGAGACAGTAGCACCAGAGCATGTAGGAGCAGACTTTACTCTTGCCATAAATTTACATTCCCATGTTTTCCCGCCTTTAGGAAGCCTGAAGATATTATCTTCTTTATCTTGTTACTATATAGGATTTATGGCTCTTTGACAAAATGCTATTTAATTAAATCCCCTAAGCCACTGCCTTGAGAGAGAAATATTTTGAACTGAGGCCTCTTCTGCGTGATGGGTACAGTACACGTTAATAAACTTCTCCTAGTTTTTCTCTTGTTAATCTGACTTTTGTTTTCAGGAAAATGTCTCAACTAAGAGCCTATGAGGGCAAGATAAGAAATTATATTCTCTCCTTTACAATTTTCTCTGTCATCTTGTTCTTTTATCTCTAGAATAGAAACATATTAAAACATTTTTATAATATGCAGCAGGTTTAATATCACTTAAATTTAAAAATATTATAGGTGATTAAATATAATAATATATAAGTGTTTTGAAAATTATAAAGTACTAAGCAACTCTAAGGTATCATTATTTTAATTACATAATTACACACGAGCAGCTCCTATCTCATTGTCCTGCCTATTACTGCCTGCTGCTGACTCTCAAATCTGCATTTCTAGGAGAAATCCCTGAAGGCTCCTTCTCCTCAGGGGCACTCACAAATCTCCACTTCGCATTTCCATAAACAGACTCATTACCTTCCCTCCTTTGTGTTTTCTTCTATTAGTTGGTGCAAAAGTAATTGTGGTTTTCTCCATTGCTTTTAATGACAATTAAATGGTGCAATTACTTTTCCACCAACCTAATACTTCTATTGGCACTTTGGATGAAGTGATCCTCTCTGTATTTGTGTGAAGAAGGATCTGTCTGTGAATTCAGCTCAGAGTGGTGGAATGAGCTGAGGAGGATGGCTGAATTAGAAAGTCATAATTTGACATCTTGGAGGGGCAGAACAGTATATGGTGAAATAATATATTCTGGAACCTAACTGCCTTGGTTCAAATCCCAGCCTCATCTCCTATAAGCTGTGTGACCTCAGACAAGCTTCCAAATTTACCTGTGCCTCAGTTGTCTCAGCTGTGAAATGGGGATAGTAATAACAGCACTTACCTTACAGGGCTGCAGTGATAATTAAATGGCCTAACATAGTTAATCTATTTACAATACATTCATTATTTATTAGCTTGGTGCTGCCTGTATAGTCACATAGTCTCTGCAAAAGTAACTCAACTTGGAGCCTATTGGCTTGTCCATGAAGTGAAATAAAAATACTTGCCTGTTAGAGACTGTGATGATTAAGTGAGAAAGTAAATTTGCTGCCAAAGAGTTGGGATCATTCTCTAGTTTAGTTGACATCAAGGAAGACAGTGGGTTGTGTCCTCTTGCCCACTGAAGACAGAAAATACAGATGTGCACCTCCTTCCTGCTTCTCCTTTCTGCGTCTAGACTGGTCATCTTACCTGGGATTGGCCAGTTAAATTGAATTTGGAAGCCCTTACCTTGGACTGGCCAATTACCCTGGATCTGGCTTCTATTACCTGGGTTTGGCCAGTTCCTCCTGAAACTGTGCATCTCACGTGGGAGCTGGTGAGTCTAGTGTCCAGGCTCCTGGGCAGGCTGGTTTGGCAGAGACACTGTGGACAACACTTTCTCACTTGCTGTCTGGCTGCTTCCATTCCCCCATCTTGGGGATTCAGAATTAGATGTAAGGAAAGGGCTTCTCACTTGAGCAAAATGAGTGCTGTACATGCTAGGTCTCAGATTACTGCAGGACTTGCAGAGAACCCCCACAATAATGAATAATAATTTCCCTTCTATTTGCTATGAGTGTATTTACCTAAAAACTGGTCTAGGTTAACTTGGGTATCCCTAGACTCTGGCTATCTTGTTGCCATAGGAGGATCTCAATCTGTTCGTGTTTTCTGTCATAAACACTGGGATTGGTATTCATTCTATTTCCACGTGTGATGTGGTCAATCAGGCTGGAAAGGGGGCATTTTCCTCCTCCCTACCTGTTTAATGTGCTTACCTCCTGACGTCCATGGGCAAAATGATGTGGACACACTTTCTTCCAGACAGTAGCTGTTTTCTTGCTAAAGCCTCTGCTGTATATTCTCTTGGTCACATGAACTCCACATCCCCATGAATTTGGGCTTCTCCTTCTCTGTCATTGTCCATATTGTGCTGGTCATCTAATAAGTGGTGATACTCCCTCCAATGCCTCTCACTTTTGTGGTGTCTAAATAGTGGTCTCTCCACATTCATTGGGTTTCTAGCCATTGCAAAACTATATTCTATCTTCTTAAAGCAACAGTTCTGATGCCTCACTGCAATGATTTTCCCATCGTCCATGTGCAGAAGTGGATTTGCCACGAAGCTAACGCGGCATAAGGTTGAGGGCACCCACTGGCAGGGCCCTGGCATTATGTTTTCATGGTCATATGTTATTGTAAAATAAATAAAAGTAAGACATTTAACCTAAATAAATTCATACCTCCATGCCTTTCTGCTTTGGTTTGCCCTACGTACACACCCCCTCATGTCAGAAGGTGATGTCATAGTGCGGATATTTTAGATTCATGTAACAGGAATTTTAGCTGAGCACATATTACAATCCAGTTTGGTGCCATATGTCCTTTTTTGACTTGCAGCCACGTTGTGCCATTATGCTATTTTCCTGAATTTTGTGATGTTTTTGAAACCTGTCAGCTTTGAAAAAAATTTTAGCATGTTATGGCTTATTTCCTTACATAAAATAATGTGTTTATTTTTATTTTATTTTTATTTTTATTTTTTGAGATGGAGTTTCGCTCCTGTTACCCAGGCTGGAGTGCAATGGTGCAATCTTGGCTCACTGCAACCTCTGCCTCCTGGGTTCAAGCGATTCTCCCACCTCAGCCTCCTGAGTAGCTGGGATTACAGGTGCCTACCACCACTCCCAGCTAATTTAGAGATGGGGTTTCCCCATGTTGGCCAGACTGGTCTCAAACTTCTGACCTCAAGTGATCCACCTGCCTCAGCCTCCCAAAATGCTAAGATTACAGGCATGAGCCACTGTGCCTGGCCAATAATGTTTATTTTTGTACCTAATTTTGTAACAAAAGTTTTATGATGGTGCCCCAAATTATGTAAGTCTGCAAGCTCCCAAGAACAACAACAACAACAAGAAAGATCCACCCTTGCTCATAAATTTTAAAGAGTACACTAGTTTGGGATTCTGATCCCTCCCTTCTGGGCTGCTCATATATTTTCCAAATTTTCCCAACAATCACCACTGTCAGTGTGGAGCTTCTACTCCTGTTATTTACTCCTTTTCCCCTCAACATGTCATACATGGATTTCAAGTCCTGTGTGTCTCTAAATTCCACCCATCCCTTTAGGCCCTCACCACATTGCATATCAAGGATAAACATGACAAAGTCACAGTTATTGACTATTTTCAATAGGACAGGTGTTCTTTATGCATTGTCTTTAGTTCCTACAACCACCTGGAGAGGGAGGCATCATTATGATCATTCTGTAGTTGAAGAAAGATAATCTGCAGTTATTTTCCCCACTGTCATGGCACACAAAGGCCAGGAGCCAGCATTTGCTATTGCCTTCAATCAGCATCTCTTTAGAATGAGAACCCCCCTCCCACCATCAGTCCAGAGTTATCTCTGAGCCATAAAGTGTGATGGTGCCTATCTTGTAAATAACCAATAAGAATCTTAACTACTTTGTAGACACCCTTCTTAATTCTTCCTTCTTCCTCCACCCCAACTAGAGCATAATAACCTGGAAAACTTGGACAAAATTTATGCTTCCATTATATCTCCTGTAGGGCCCATGGCATGCAGACAGGTTAGGGTTTATTAAATCAAGGTACAAATGAATTACTCTATTAGAAACTAAAATAAAAGCAATTGGAGGAAGAGCTCAATTTTAATTCATAAGAGTTAGGAAACTTGAGAATAAGAGTCTCTGTTCCAACATTTTAATCCCAAAATAGAAGACAGAAGTTAAATGATGCATAACAGCAGAAATATATTTGAATCCACAATGTCAAGAAATATTAACTAAAAATATTTTTCACACAAAAAGTAATTCATTTGTGTCTGGAGACTGACACTTCAGTGTAGGTGATTAGGCTGAGAGGAATTCATAGTTTTTAGAATATAGCTGAAAAATTACATAGAAATTTTGAGTCAACTTCTGTTCTTCAACCTGAAAAATGCATATTTTCAAAACCCAATCAAATACAATGATAATGAAGATTAACAAATAAGTTGCATATCAGAAAGATGATGATGCCATTACAGTTTTCTTTTTTATCTCTCTTTTTTTACCTAATTGTCCATGTGTAGTTTCATGGAATAGTGGGAAAGAAATATACAAGCTTCAAGTTTTCATTTTCTCTCTCTCTCTCTCTCTCTCTCTCTCTCGCTCACTATTCCTCCCTGCCTCCTCCCTTACTTCTATTACACTTCCTTCCTCTCTATCCTTCTCTCTTTCAAATCATTAATTTGTTAAATTAAAAGGAACATTTTGTTTCAATACACAAGCTATAGGTATCTGCCTCAAAGGAGCATGCTGGGAAAATTTCTTGGTAACCTGCTGTTGCTCAGTCATTGGATCACAGAATCTCAGGTTTATTCTTATAGTGTCTAATATTTTAGATATTATGTAGCTCAAAACATTTCATCAAATTAATAAACATACTTGTTTAGTATGTCAAGCGCCATATTAAATACAATACATATTTTATTTTTTTAAAGGAAATCCATAAGGTACATATTATCTTTACTGTAGAGGAAACATATGTTGAGATAGTTTAATAATAATTGTTAACATTTGACTGGGCATGGTGGCTCACGCCTGTAATCCCGATACTTTGGGAGGCTTAGGTGGGTGGATCACCTCAGGTCAGGAGTTTGAGACCAGCCTGGCCAACATGGTGAAGCTTCATCTCTACTAAAAATACAAAAATTAGCTGGGCATGGTGGCATATGCCTGCAATTTCAGCTACTCAGGAGGCTGAGGCAGGAGAATCACTTCAACCCAGGAGGCAGAGGTTGCAGTGAGCTGAGATTGCACCACTCCAGCCTGGGTCACAGAGCTAGACTCTTATCTCAAAAACAAATAAACAAAATTGTTACCATTAATTAGGTGCTTACTATATGTAAGGTAATGTTCTGAGTTTTATGTTTGTTGACTTGTTTGATCCTCACACAATGCTGATAATAGTACTTACAAGACAGACAGTATTTTTGTCCACATTTTGTAGATGAGATCATTGAGGCCAGGAGACATTCAATGCCATGCCAAGGTCACACAGCTAGTAAGTGCAGACTAGATTGAAAACCAGGCTATCCAGCTTCAGAAACCACCACTCAGCTCAAAATAATGTATCTATTTAGAGAAAGTCTTTGAACTTAAGTCTTTTTTTCCCAAAGCCCATTTTCTTAGTTACACTGTTTCAATCTTCTTTCCAATTACCTTACAAAAGGTTATTAAGCCTTGGCTAGAACTCCTCAATTGCTGGTGGGGATTGGCTGCTTCTGTTTCTGAGGAAAGTTCATTCTATTTTCGGGCAACTCTATTAGAAAATTCTTCCTTATACTGAGCTAAAATGTTCCTCCCCATTACCTGTGTGAAAGGAGCAGGTTGGCAGAAAATGTCACTAGATGTGAGGCTGGACAGGAAGGTAAAGGCTGGAGTGTGCAGTGCCTTGAGGCCATGCCAGCCTCTGAAGTTGCTGTGGAGAGTGACCCCTGAAATAAGTCCAGTGTTAGCACACATCTTCCCATGCTGCACCTGGACGGCAGGTTTCCACGTTTGGAGCAGAATCTACTTTCATCTATGCTACATTTAACAGTGTTGGCTTCTGCTCATCATTCCAATGTAAAGATGTTTTGTCTCCCAACTCTGACTTTCAGTATATTACCTACCTTTTTCAGTTTTCTACATTCATCAGTATTTTTATTCAAGCTATTGATAAACTTGATAGCAAGCTTGATAGCAAGCTTGATACCAAGAAAGATGTTACTGGATGTTGCCTGAAAAAAATAGACTTGAATTTCTCAATCACCATTAAGTTATAGTATTCTTGCCTTGTAATATATTGCCAGAGATTCTCTCCTCTTTTTCTCACCAGGCAGTGTCCTGGGTGCTTCACCAGCTAAGAGATCACTGGGTGAGAAATAGTAAAAATCATAAAACTTGGACCTCTGTAGCCAAGGAGGATGTTTAATGGTGTTACACAGGAAATAAAATGGTATTTATGTTTCTGCTTAATGGAGAATCAATATTTAGCTATGACCTAGTTGGAAAGTTCTTTGAATGACCAAGGGGGAAAAAGCTATGGATCATAAAAATCTACTCACTGCCACAGCTTTGAGAAGAACACAAAGTTGACTGGGCAGAACACAGAGCAAGTACATGAGGCCAAGGCAAGACAAGGGGACTGACCCAGGAAAGCAGAGCCACGTGCCTTTCCGGGTCCATTCGTAACTCATAACCAGCAGGCTGGGTGCTCGCAGGCTGCAGGCGAAAAAGAGCCCCTTCTTAGAAATACCTGGTAAGGACTTTATTAATTAACGTCTAAACTCTCAGGGGCTATAGCTATAGAGAGGGAAAATTCTCTGTAATTACAATGAAGATCGTGATACCAGGAAGCAATCTTCCCAGCCACCTGGGAAGGGCCCAGAGAGTTATCTGTCTCATAAGGAAACTAACAAGTTCTGTTCAGAGGAAGAAATAAGACATTCTGAGTTAAAGCAAAACAAGACCATTCCCAATTAGCCAAGATATTAGTAAAGACAGAACGAAATTTAACACAGAGTGTGCCATTTAGACCTTTTAGTTTATTATGCAGTCATTCTCACATTGCTGTTTTAATAATCTGCATATAATTTTCATTTTGAAATGGTTCATTTGTTTTCTCGAAGTACTCTATTATGAAAAATTAATAATAATAACTCTCCATGTACCATGTTAGAGAGATGTCTGGTCTGAGCCAACCCAAACTAAAAATCACATGTAAGACTCACATTTACAACTCTGGAGCCCTTAAGTGGGCAGACCAGACAAGCAATCTTTTCTTAGAATGTTTAAAACAGCTGTTCCCAACTAGTTGTGCTTCATTATTATATTTCCACCCATAAGTAGGTATATGTCCATACAAAACTCAATTTGGGAGATCAGAGCTTGCCTCTCTTACTGAGACATCTGATGCTTTTGAGGGAGGTGTCCATCTCAATGTTGCTTCTCATCCCAAGACTCACTCTCCCCAGTCCCAGCAATTCCATGTGATACATTGTCAATAGCTGTAACAAGGATAGTTACAATTTACGCTGCATTTAGTATCTGAAGTATGTGTCCTTGTTTTAAAGTAATGACTTTGATTTACTGCTTTCTGAATTCCCATAATAACTCTTTGACATATATTTAATCATCCTGATTTTATATTTTAAGAATTTCAGTTCAAGACTTTAAGCTTCTTTTCTAAAGTCGAATAGCCAGGAGATGGGGGACCTGGTGTCTGCTGTCTGTGATGTAGTCATTTCCGTGCTTGGTGTTGGTGTGATGCTTGGGTTTTACTACCAATTCCTTTTGTGGGTTTTTTTTTTTTTTTTCCTTGTGGGCACCTCCAGCACTGAGATTCTGCTTTTATGTCCTGCCTTTTATGGACTGCCGTTCACACACTACTCCAACTTGCAGAGTGCTCCTACAGCGTTGCCTATCTCAGAGGCAGGGCCACCTCATGTTTGGCTGGTCCCAAGGAAAGGATGCAAATGTAAGGCCCACATTCCACTTGTCTAAATATTTTAATTTATAAGCCAAGTTAACTAATCATTTAATTAAATATGTTTAATCCTCCTACCTTGACAAATATACAAAAAAGACCAGAGAGGCTACATTTCAGTTCAGAATGATCAAATTCCTCAGCCAGAACCTGGAGGTGCCAGAAGAGAAGGGTCCTGGAGCCCAGCAAGCCACCTGTCGGCTCCATTCTCTCCTGCGAAGGGCCTCACACATTCACCACCCCCAGCCTAGGAGTGTGCACAGTATAATGCTAGCCACCCCAGAGAGGGCAGGTCTAGAGAAAAAGCCTGTAGGGGACTTGGGGAAGGGCTGGGAGGCCATGTGGGTGAATAATTCTGGGATCTGGGCACCACCTGTATCACTGGCTGGGAGGGGAAGATGCTAATTCTGGGGACATGTTCCACTGGCCCCATGGGCACATCCTCGATGGCAAGGGGCCTCCAGAAATTAGTCCAGTGTGGGGTCTTAGATGGGTCTAAAGGCAATACTCTTTGGGGTTTCTCCAAACTTTGGCTTCTTTCATTGAAGACCATTGAAGTAATGAGGAACCTCTGGGTCAAACGCCAGACAAGTTGTCTTGCAGCAAGGCAAGCTGGTCTGCTAGAGCCAGTGCCCTACAACCCTACAACCCTTTAGAATTGTTTCCTTCCTAGTATCCAGTGCTTTTCTGTAGATATGAGCCATCCATTCACAGAGGCTGTGGTGTGAACATTCATTCTCTAAAATAGGACACCTTTCCCAGGATCTCATGTATTTTATTTTAAAAGAATCTGCAATTTAAACCAAAGGAATAAATTTGCTAATCATGGAATTTCTAGCACACTGGAAAAATACATGGGGACAGGAATTTTCTTGATATAAACCTGTACTAGTTTCCTAGAGTTACCATTTCAAAAGGCCACAAATTTGGTAGCTTAGCATGATAAGAATTTATAATATTTACTTAGAGTTGTGGCATACAGGATTCTGAAATTAGGGTGTTGGCAGAACCACGCACCTCCCAGAAGCTCTAGAGGGGAATCCTTCCCTGCCTCTTCAGGCTTCTGGCGGCTCGGGTGTTCCTGGGTTTGTGATCACGCCACTGCAATCTCTGCCCCTGTCTTCATATGGCCGAATCCTCTCTGTCACACATCTCCCTGTGCCTTTCTAAGGACACTGGCCATTGGATTTAGAACTCACCTGGATAATACAGGATGAGCTCATCTCAGGATTCTTAACTTCATTACGTCTTCAAATACCTTTTGTTTTCTTTTCTAAATTAGGTCACATTCACGGGTTCTATGTGGACATATTTTGGGAGGGCTTCCATTAACTCACTATGAAATTCTCATGCATTCATAAACTAAAGGCAGATGTAGGAAGAGGGAAGTGGTGAGCACTGGAGTCCCTGCTGTGACCTCCTGCCTGTGCGAAGGCCATGACTGTTAGTCCAACATTGCAGACCTCTCGAAACTTGGCAATGCTCCTCATAGGAGAGGAACTTCACGTGTCAAGGAGAGATGGGGAGGGGAGCAACTGCATTTGAGAACATGAAGAGAAGGTTATTGTGACACTTTGCAGGGAAGCTTTAGCCACATTGAAGCAGAGTAAAGAATAAATCTTCTCTCTTTACTTTTCAAGACCCATAATTTCCTCACAACCATACCTGGAGATTAGTTTAGGACCTAAAATCTAAATTGTATTATTTTTCCCTACCCAAAGGAGACACAGAGCTATTAATAATCGACTGCTTATTAAATCTTAAGTATTTTAATAATATTACTCCGTTTTACTTCATTTTTCTTTCCCTTGTAAGAAAAATAACATTCACACCCATTATATAAATGTGAACACTGAGGCCTTGTGATGTTAAGCAACTTGCCAGGATCTCATAGATAGGAATTAGAGGAGCTGAGACACATAGAGTCCATGCTCTTTCTAGCCCGGGAGTCCATCTAGAACAGTCCTGGCCCTCTAAGTTGACTGCCTTAACATGACTGAATTTCCTCCTTTTCTCCTGAAACAGCGGTAAAACATCCTTTAACAGCAGCCAGAGAAGCTTGGGCTGAGGGAATAGATTTTCCTTTTGCTTACACTGTACTGCCATCTAGTGGCTACATAGTTAATTACAAATAATACCTTTTCTGGTGTCTTCATTCTTTTTTTGGGGGGGGTATTGGTAATTAATTGATATTTAAATATTGCTTCTAAACATTGTGATTCTATAAAAATCTACATCAACTTCATTCCTTTGCTTCCATATATGCACGCACCGCTTCTCCTGTACACCTCTCCTACATATGTGTACCCCACTTGGTCATATTTTGTGTAGCAGATAAGTGAGTTAGGCCTACCTTCAGTGCTCAGAATATGACTTGAAACATCCAGAAATTAAAATTGTATGCAAACACACCACATGCTCCCCATCCTCCCTCCTCATGGAACTGTGCTCCTTCGGCATGATCTAAATAAAGCTTGTCCAACCTGTGGCCCACAGGCCATATGCGGCTTAGGACAGCTCTCAATGTGGCCAAATTCATAAAGTTTCTTAAAACATTGTAAGTATTTTTGCAATTTTTTAAGCTCATTAGCTATCGTTAGTGTTAGTATATTTTATGTGTGGCCCAAGACAATTCTTCCAATGTAACCCAGGGAAGCCAAAAGATTGGATACCCCTGGTAAATTGACAGAAATGTTAGGATAGACTTGCTTTTGATCATGTTTTTAGATCTGCATACACAATTTTTGTCCCACCAAAGATGACGTATGCACTAAGCCATGGCAGAACTGCCTCTGGTACTGATTGCCCAGCGCACGTGCTGGAATGAGATCACCCATTGAGGGATGTGTGCTGAGTGCCTCTGTGTACAAGTTGAGCGGAAGGAGGTCTCACCGCCCCATTATAAAATATACATTCTGAAGCTGCAAGACACCAACCAGTGCTAGTATTAATCATCTAATGTGGCTGTTGTAACAAATTACCACAAATTTAGTGGCTTAAAACAACGCACTTTTATTATCTTACTGTTCTGGAGGTCAGAAATTTAAAATAGGTTTCACGGGCCGAAAACCAAGGTGTCGGCATGCTGGTGTCTTCTGGAGGCTCTAGGGGAGCGTCTGTTCCCTCACCTCTTCCGGCCTCTGGAGGTTGTCTGCATTCTTTGGCTTAGGGCCCCTTCTTCTATCTTCAAAACCAGCAACATGGCTCCAGTCCTACTCACATTGCTATCTTTCTGGTTTGCTCTCTTTTGTCTTTCTCTTCTCCACTGAAAAACCCTTGCTGGTTATATTGAGACCACTTACAGTAATCCAGGATAAAGTCCCATCTGCCTATTTTAAGGGTAGCTGATTAACAACCCTAATTCCATCTGTGACCTTAATTCCCCTTTGCCATGGAACATAAGATATTCACAGGTCCCAGGGATTGAGGCTTGGACATCTTTCGTGGTGTGGGTGGGGCATTATTCTGCATACTCAATACTCAAGAGAAGGGAAATCTGGACTGAAGTGTTTCTTGCTGGGCCATGGTGGCGATGGGAGAGGCAAGTTCCACCCAGAGATCATTCTTTCCCTTCTCGCTGCCTCTCCATCTTCACAGACTGCAGAGAGTCTTGTAAGCATGAGGACACACCCACCCTTAGATTCTGCCCACACTTTTTTGGAAGCCACACTTAACAGTAGATAGGAACATAGATTTAGACAGATTTTAATTTAAATCCCAGATTTATTCCTAGATCTAAGAACTTGAGTATATTACTAAGCTCAGTTTCTTCATTATTAAAATGGGTGAAATACCTTCCTCCTAGTATTGTTGCAAGGCTTAAATAAAAGAGTCTCCAAAGAGCACTTAGCAGAGCACATGGCATATATTAGGACCTCATAAAGAAGAGTTTCTGAAAATGAAGGTTTTTCTATTCAATATTTAATGGGAGATTAACTAAACACTTTGCTGATGCTTGGGGAACAAGGGAAGGACAGTGTCTATCCTCACTGAATTAACTCCAAGTGAATGAAAAAAGATTTCATGTGTGAAATTAGAGACCAAGTTACAGCCTATGATAGGTACAGAATTTGCCCAATCATATACCTTTAGGTGCAAGTGCATTTGTAGAGAATGTTGAAGAGAAAGACATAGCCATAAAAAGGAATGAAACAACATTTGCAGCAACTTAGATGGGGTTGGAGGCTGTTATTCTAAGTGAAGTACCTCAGGAATAGAAATTGTATGTTCTCACTTATAAGTGGAGCTAAGCTATGAGGATGCAAAGGCATAAGAATGATATAATGGACTATGGGGTCTTGTGGGGGAGGGTGGGAGGGGGTGTACACTGCTCGGTGACAGGTGCACCCCATGATCACCACTAAATCACCACTAAAGAATTTATCCATGTAATCAAAAACCACCTGTTCCCCAAAAGCGATTGAAACAAAAAGTAAAATAATAAAAATTACAAAAGGAGGAAGATAATCTTTCCTTAATTCTTTCTATTCTTCATTTTCTTGAACATGCATACCCATGTACCTACCTAGGTGAGTATTTCCATACTGTATAAGAATATACGTGGAAATATGGTCATTTTGACCTGTTTCCTAATGGTGGTTGGAGACATATATATGTACCGCTACCACACACACACACACACACACACACACACACACAAGCCATCAAGTCATAAGACCTATTTTGCCCTAAAAATAAGTAAACATTTGGCAATAAAATAAAAACGTCTTTGAAACAATCTTATTATACTAAAGGTTATTGTCAGGTGGAAGTCCTGAAATAATGAGTTTAAAAGTTCATTGCTTATGAGCTACCCCAAAACAATTTACTTAAATTATTTTTTTAATCTATGCTTTTAGGTAGGCTAAATCTATGTGTTCCCTATAGTCTTTTTTCAGTAACTTTACTTATGAATATGTTCATTAAAGAAGGTAATTTTTACAACTATTGTAAAATTTTTTGAATTTGTGACATCTAATGATATGGTTTGGCTGTGTCCCCACCCAAATCTCATCTTGAGTTCCCACGTGTTGTGGGAGGGACCTGCTGGGAGGTAATTGAATCATGGGGGCAAGTCTTTCCCATGCTGTTCTCATGATAGTGAATAAGTCTGATGAGATGTGATGGTTTTTAAGAGAGGTGTTCCCCTGCACAAGCTCTCTCATTTTCTGTCCCACCATCCACACAAGATGTGACTTGCTCCTCCTTGCCTTCTGCCATGGTTGTGAGGCTTTCCCAACCACGTGGACCTGTAAGTCCAATTAAACCTCTTTCTTTTGTAAATTGCTCAGTCTTGGGTATGTCTTTATCAGCAGGGTGAAAATGGACTAATACATCTAATATGTTTGAATGAATATTTCATTTTAGGATTTTATGTAATGTTCATGGTTATAATGCATTAATGCCTTGAATATAGAAACTAAACAGTAAAATGCTATTTTGCACATTACAAATATTAAAAAGACACCAAAAGCAAAGTTTTACTTTGGCCCTGATGGTCTTTTTAATTGCCTCAGTAGAATCAGAAAACAGAACCCTGTCTCCCAGGTCTACCAGACCTTCCTGGAACAAACAGAAAACATTTGGCCATGACCAGTTCTGCTTGGGTCTCTCACTTAGATGGCAGCATTGAGAAGGGTCACTAGGTTTTTATTGTGGTCTCAGCTCTACTCCTGATTGCTGCAAACCTCAGGATTGGGAGGACTAGATGAGGACTGGAAAACCTAGTATCAGCAACAAGATCACAGCTCACAGTTTTGCTTGAGCTTAGTGTTCATTACATACCAGGGACTTTGGCATGAGGATATTAAAAGCAGATCGACAAACCCAACCTCTGTCCTGAGTTTACATGGCTGAGGCTGAAACTGATTTGGTAGGGAGGTGGTCATAGCTTGGGTAATGAGGCCTTTGCAGACTGCATGTGCAACTGTACTTTGAGGCACTGTTGTGAATACACCCAGTACCTCCTCAGAGAAAGCCATGGAGTTTTATATTTGAGAATTGTTCAACCCTCAGCTCAATGTGCATACCAAGTCCAGCATGCTGATTCAGTGTGACAAGACTGTCAACCTGGTCCACTTAAGCAGTGGCTAAGGCCACATTCCAGCATAACTTGAGTCAGCCCTGCCAGAGGAAGGCTGGAAAGGACACACTCAAGAACCCATTGTATTTTGTTCCTCTGTACCTCATTGAAATATTTTTTAAATTGCAGGTGTCCTGAATTTAGTTTTTACAAAGTAATGGCTAGTTCTTTCCAATATTTGATAGATAAATTAGACTAGTTGGTAACATTTATTTAGCACCTAATATATGGCAAGCACTCTACTAAGAAACATATGTGCATTATTTATGTAAAGTAGCCAACCACACTATTAAGTGAGTAGAATTAGTGATGGATGAATCTGAGGCCTGAAGAAGCCAAATGACTTCCCCAAGTTTGCATAGGGAGTAAAGAATTGTATTGGTGTTTCCCTCACAGCTCTAACCCCTTTGAGTTCCACTGTTACTTAAGAACACAGAAGTTAAATATATATAAATAAATAAACAAATAAATCTTAATCAAATTTCGCTAGCCTTGCTATTTTTTATTCAAGGGATCATTCTCATAGTCTATCTTTGTCGCCTCTCAAGACATTGGCACCTCCATATCCTTCATGCTAGGATGTGTAATATTGTGACCCTGAGATGGGTCACATTTGAATTGTTCGTGGGATAGATCCTCATTAAGAGCATTCATTTAAAAAAAAGAGTATTCATAATGGGTCAGGAACTACCATTTGTCCTTTGTTCTGGATTAGATCATCCAGGAAATAACAGGCTTATTAAACAAAATAATAAATGGGTAGATGAGCAAATGAGGGCCATAATTGTTAAAAGGAATGAATGGAAGAGATTGGGGGTCAATAGACTCTTTTATCCCATCCATGAGATCATGGAAGGGCAATGGTGTGATCATTTCTATTACATGTTATATATCAATTCTGACCAAACTTCTTAGTTTCCTCCATCAACTCATTGAATTAAAATTCTTTCTACTCTATGATTATTTCTACAATCAACAGAAAAGAATAAATGAGTCTTTGTGTCAAGCCTCTGAGAATATGTTCAGTAAATGAAAAAGATTGTTTTGAAATGGATTTATAATGTTTTCTCCTTCATTGGCCTAGATTGGAGGTGAAACTCAATTGTCCATTAGGATGAGCTTCTCTCTTCAATAATGAGGAGGTGATGATTAGGAGAAATACATTAGCACATAACGAGGTCAAATATGTACCATAAAATATTAGCTAATGCTTTCCCTTTCCTGGTAATAGAGTTTGGGAGGGTTTCTCATCTATTTAAGAAATGGGCTACATTAGTCTTTAGGTCATGTGACTCAAAGTTTTATCATTTTCATAGATCCAGACCTAAGCTAAAGTGCTTGTTGTTGCTAAAGCTATTACATTTTTTGGATGATTAAAAACAAGAGCTAAGGATTAACAGTAATTAAATGTCTCTTAGAAAATGTCAGTGGTACAAAGAAATGGTTAATTAGAGTGAGAGAATAATAAGAAGGAAGTTGCAGAGAATGTATTTTTTCAACAACAAAATTGAGTAAAAGCTATCCAAGCAATGAGATTCACTAATTCATAGTAACTAAGTAGTTAATTAGAAGTCTGTAATTATCTTTGCCACTTAATTAAGAACTCTGTACAGATTTCTCAATATAACTTGTTGGAAACTCTACTTATCTTGGTTATTGGGATTTCATGAGGAAACTGCTTTCAGTGTATTAGATTGTCTCATTAAAACTTTGCTCAGCCATCTGGGGAAGCACAAGTTGATTCCTAAGAGTCTAATAGTTCAGGGTTTGCTGGTGAAGTGTGACTGAAAGGGCATAGGATAGCACAAATAACTTTCTAATCCTCAATCACTAAGGTGGATATTAACCCACTATGCACAGCTATGGCATTATTACTTACTTATGTTGGTATTGATTCTTATTGACTGTAGGCATCAATTCTTATCGTTTACTGCCCAGGCTGTATAAGATCATTGCAAAGCTCACCTATTCTACAAATGGGTGACTACCTGGATGGAAAAATGGAACCCACAAGATATTGACTTCAGGTTACCTACTTTGACAATGGTAAGAGAGCTCAAACTTACTTCCATCTATAACAGCCAAAACTCATGGAGACAAGTCTCCAGGAAAGAAGTCAAAAAGCAAAATTGTAGTAGCATCATTGGTGACTCTACTTTTCTGTATTTTTTAAATAGACAGATCCTGTGATTATTATCAACATTGTCAATAATCCTTCTTAGAGAGCTTGCAAATGTAGTGGCTACATTTGCAAATAGATGAATAGCAAAATAGTAGAAATTCCAATGTCATCAGGTAATATAGAAAGAATGAAGTTAATGGATATGTGTAGCCTCTTAGCCCAACTCTGGAATAGAGTACATTCTCAGTAAGTAGTAAGAAATATAAGAAGAAGCATTTCCCCATGTTTTTCAGACTGATTACTACCTAATTTTTAATAGCATATATTTCTTCACCAAGTGAATGCATTGTGATGTTTTTAACCACCTTATTATAGTTGGACATTTAGATTATTTCAAAATTTTTGCACCTGAAAACAACGACAATCTCCTCATGGACATCTGTATGTATCATGAACATTGTTTTTGCATTTTGGATTATTTCTCATTCTATTCCAAGTGGTTGGCTGGGTCTAGTGTATGAATTTGTTTTAGAGTCCATTGCAATTGGTCCTACCCTCCTTATTTATTGTCTACTTACAGATAATGGTGAACTACATATAGTACCTAACTAAGTTTAAAGATTTGTCATGTTGTAATAAAGATTAATAAAAATACAAAATAGTATGTCATAAATGTGGGAGAAAACAGTGAAGTAGAAACTAAGGGCCACTGATTTTTATACTTTAAATAGAGATTGAAGCTGGAATTTAGAATTCAAGGAGAAATTTATATTATTTCATCAGAAAAAGAATAGGGACAGGACATATAACAGTGAACTTGCAGACAATAAGAAGATGAATTTTGCTGACACAGTTTATTCATATACAGAAATAATAGGGCATCAATGGAGAATCAAGAGTAGGTAGATGCCAGATAGGAAAGGACTTTCAACATAATTTAAGGAATTTGGACTTTATTATTCAGTCAATTGGAAGAAATGTGATTTCTCATTATGAGGTTGATATGCAAAAAGGCATTATAGGAATCTATACTTTTTAGGGGTGTGAATTACCAGTGGTTGAAAATAGAAAGAAATATTTTTTTCATATACTTGTTGGCTATTTGTATGTCTTCTTTCAAGAAAAGTTTATTCAGGTCCTTTGCCCATTTTTAAAATCGAATTACTTGTTTTCTTGCTATTGAGTTGAATTCCTTACATATTTTGGATATGAATCCCTTATATGATGTATGGTTTGCAAATTTTTTTCTCTCAATCTGTAGGTTGTCTTTTCACTCTATTAACACTGTTTCCTTTGCTGTACAGAAGCTTTTTAGAGTGAAGCAATCCCATTTGTTTATTTTTTCTTTTATTGGCTAAGCTTTTGGGATCAAATCTAAAATATCATTGCCCAGACAAATGATGTAGAGATTTTCCCTTATGTTTTATTCTAGTGGTATTACAGTTTCCATTATTATGTCTAGGTCTTTTATCTATTTTGAGTTTATTTCTGTATGTGGTGTAAGATAAAGTCCCAAATTTATTCTTCTGCATGAGGATATCCAGTTTTCCCAGCATGACTTATTGAATTGAAGAGACAGAACTTTTCCATTGAGTGTTCTCGCCATCTTTGACAAAAATCAATTGCTTGTAAATCTGTAGGTTTATTTCGGGTTTTTCTATCCTGTTTTATTGTGGTGTCTGTTTTTATGCCAATACCACACTGTTTTAATTACTATAACTTTGTAACATATTTTAAAATCAGGTGGTTTGATGCCTCCAACTTTGTTCTCAAAATTACCTTGGCTATTCAGGATAATTTGCAGTTCCATATGAATTTTAGAATTTTTTTTCTATTTCTGTGAAAAGGATTTGGAATTTTGATAGGGATTGAATTGAATCTATAGATTTTATGGGGGTGGTATGGAGATTTTAACAATATTAATTACTCCCAGCTAGGAACACAGAATTTCCTTTCATTTATTTTCAGTTTGTTTTATCAAAGGTTTATAGACCTTTTATGTCCTTGGCTAATTTTAGTTATAAGTACTTTTTTTTTTCATAGCTATTGTTAACAGGATTTTTTTTCTTGATTTCTTTTTTGGATAGTTTATTGTTAATGTATAGAAATACTACCAATTATCAAATATTAATTTTTGCACCCTGCAACTTTCCTGAATTTATGTATCAATACTAACAGTCTTTGGTAGAATCTTTAGAGATTTTTTATATAGAATATCGCTAGTCACTAGGAAAACACAAATTAAAACCACAATGAGATATCACTTTACTCCTTTCAGTATAGCTATTATTAAAAAGATGAAAGGTGAGTGTTGGTGAGGATGTGCAGAAAAGGGAAACTCTTGCACAGTGTTGGTGGAATGTGAGTTAGTAACGTTATTAAGGAAAACTAAGGTGAGTTCTTGAGAAACAATAGAACTACCATATGACTCAGCAATCTTATATCTAGGTATATATGCAAAGGAACTGAAATCAGCATGTCAAAGAGGTAACTACATTCCCACGTTCATTGCAGCATTATTCTCAATCATCAAGATATGGAATCAATAGATGAATGGATAAATAAAATGTAGTGTATTCACACACACACACACACACACACACACACACACATGCACACACAGGAATATTATCCAGCCTTTAAAAAATGGGCAAAATCGTATCATTTGCAACAACATAGATGAACCTGGAGGATATTGTGCTAAGTAAAATAACCAGGCACAAAAAGCCAAATACCACATGATTTCACTTACATGTTGAAATTAAAAAGTCAAACTCAAAGTAAAATAGTCATTATCAGAGGCTGGGTGTGGGGAAAAAGGAATGGAAAGGTGTTATACCAAGTTCCAGTTAGACTGGAGTTACAAGTTTTTGAGACTGATTGCACAACATGTTAGCTATATAGTGAATAACAACCTACTGCATATTTCAAGACTAAGAAAGTAAATTTCAAATGTTCTCATGAAAAATGGTAAGTATGTGAGGTGATGGATATGTTAATTTAGCTTGAATTAATCATTGTACATTGCATACATATATCAAAAGATCACATTGTACCCCATAACTATATACAATTATAATTTGTCTTTTAAAAATTTTGAAAAATAGAGACAGTAAAATGCTAGTAGCCATGGATTTGTCATTAAGAATCTACAAGCGGCTTCTTGCTATGCAAAAGAGACACACTTGATATAAACAACTATAGCTTTTATTTTATGTGTTAAGAATGTTGGGTTGAATGTAATAATGTAAAAATTGACAGGTAATACAATTTAAAAATAGTAATAGTTAACATTTTTTACTATTTAAGACCTACTATGTGGCAGGTACTGTGTGAAGCATTTTACATTCCTTTTCTTATTTAAAATTCCTCCAAACCCCATGTGGTAGGAACTATGAGTATCTCAACTTTACGAAAGAAATAATAACTTAAAGAGGATAAGTAATTTCCTTATTTAATGTAGATACTTACGGGCAAAGCCAGGATTTGAACCTCATTCTGCCTGGCACCAGCGTGTTTGGACAATCTTTCTTCAGGCATGGTTATACTCATGACAAACATGATTCATTTATTAAAATAACATTATAGAAGTCCAGGAAAAAGGTGGCTCCAGGGCAAATGGAAAAGAGGAAAAGATGTAAGATAAATTACTAAATTGAATACAAGAGGAGAGATGAGGATTCGAGAACAACTTCAAGTGTTTAAACATGAGATAAAAGGAGAACAGTAGCACCACTAGTGGAAATAGTAAAAACTAGAGAATAAACTTGTCTCCAGTAATAAAAAGTTTTGGCTCGACAATGGTAAAACAGTATGGGCTTATTTTAGACCAAAGTCCAAGTTTTATAATTGTATCCCTTGAGTCCAGCAATTACCAAAATAATGTTATTAAGGATGAGATGTTTCCAGGGGGCGGCTTGACCACAGTGCCTATCTTCTCTTCTTCCTAAGATCAGCATACACAGCAATAAGTCTACACACTATTTGGTGAACTAGCTCAACTACTGTGGGCATTTGTATCCTGGATCAAGGATATTCAGTTTCAATCATATAGAATTTCCCTGACACTAATGAGATTACTTCTCTTTAGTTATTCCTATTGATTATCAATCCTCCTTCATGTAAACCAAAGTCCCCATCAAGTTTCAAATGCCTTGTTTTTAAATATGAGCCAAAAAAAAAAAACCCAAGAAGCTACAAGCACACAAGAAAATTAACATATAAATGCAAAAGAAAAAATAAGTATAAAATAGGAAGAAAGAAAGGAAGGTAGGAAAAAGGAAAAGAGGAAGGAAGGAAGGAAGGAGGGGAAGGAGGGAGAAAAACCAGAGAAAGTTGAGATTTAAAAGAATAGAAAATGGCTTAAAATAATAAAATAAAATATTGATTACTGTTCTCAGAGAGAGTCCTGAAGATATTTAATTTATAAAACCACTGTTGTGGCCCTTAGAAATCATTACTTCTAATGTCTTTTGTTGATAGTGTTTATTGAAAAGAAAAGTATTTGGATGAATGCTTGTTGCTTAAGGGCTTTTGCTTGAAAATTGCAATATTAATTGTCAGTACTTTTATAGAAAACATCATTGAATGACTATATCTGTGACACAAAAATGAAGGGGATAGTTTTAATTTGAAGCATTTTCTTTATCACAAATTACATATCTAGCAGAATTCACAGCCCTTCAAATAAGGTTTGCAATTACAGGAAACTTATCTCTACAAGCCCCTTGAGAAGCCCTGGACTGGATTCCATGATTCCAGCAGGTATCTCTTAGAGGCATCACCTCTTACAGGACTCACCAAAGCTCTTGCTAGGTAATCTGCAGAAGTATAATAAACTTTAAATAATAGCCTCATGAAGACATCATAGTTTACTGGAAGTCACTATTATGGGCAACTAATCTGCAAAGCACATTTTCTTATATCCTCCAAACTTTGCAGCGGTGCTACAAAAATCTAGGTATGGAATTAGGAAATCAGCATTAAAATTACAGCCGTTTACCATTTGATTTTAAATAAGTCAATTACCATTCTGAGTTGTGGTTTCTATGTAAACCATGAATACAGTAATACCCTTATAGCATAAATTGCTAAAAAAAAATAAATTTAAAAATTTTAAAGCGCTATCATGATAAATAGCATATAGAAACTCTATTATATTGAAGATAATTTGTCGCATGGGCATTAATTAAAATTTCCATATAAAATCAAGATCATTACACATTATCATCATAAAAACTGAATATATCTGTTATTTTATCCACCCCAAACAGGTCTAGCTTTATTTTTAAAAAATCTATGTGTACCCCAAACCCTCTCTGTTCTATTAGAGAGATAGACATTAATTTTGAGCAGATAACCCCTACTAAAACAAAAACACACACACAACATGAAATACATGATCTTAATGATAAAATATGAGGTTTCAACAATATAAAAACCCAAGATTAATCTCTAATTCTGTCATATTTGGAAGATAATGATTTTATCTCTTTAAATGTAAGATATAGACATTTGAAGTGATGATTTATAAGATCTACACCACTTTGGAGCTTAAGCTCTAAATATTTGTAATAATCATCCAACCTGGCCATAACTGTGAATAAAATTGGTCCAAAACATAGATTTTATTTTTTTCTAGATTTTTCTTTATATCTATAAATATTTTTAGAATAGTAAATTTACCTTTTGAGCAAAATTATGGTATCTCTCAATTAATCATGTAGAGAAAATATTTATGATCTTCATAAAACTTTCCTTGCCTTATAAACTCCACGATACTACAGAAAATGTCACCAACACAATTACAGCCAATTTTTTTGTTGAATATTCTTGGCAAAGTTCCTCAAAATGTTAAACATTAGAGTTAGTACATGACCCAACAATTTCACTCCTATATATCCTAAAGAAGTGAAGATATATATTCACGCAGAAACTTGTACATAGGTTATAGCAGCATTATTCATAATAGCCAAAAAGCAGAAACTGTACAAATATGCACGGACTGATGAATAGTTAAACAACATGTGGTATATCTATGCAATAGAATATCACTTTGCAGTAAAAAGGAATGAAGTACTGACACATGCTACAACATCATGAACCTTGAAAACATTAGGCTAAGTGAAAGAAGCTGGTCACAAAAACCCACATATTGTATGATTCCATTCATATGAAATGTCCCAACTAGACAAATCTATAGAGACAGAAAGCAGATTAGCAGTTGTCTAGGGCTGGGGGCGAAAGTGTGTGTGAGGAGGCAGGACGGATGGGGAGTGACTGCTAATGGGTATGGCAGTTTGGCAGTAACTACCTAAATTTTTAAAGAACGTAATTTTTTGACTCAGCAATCCACTCTCAGAGTCCTATCCCAAAGAAAGAATACAATTAAACTTGTATTAAAAACTTGTTTATTACAATATTATTTGTAACAGTGAGAAAATGTATTAATTCTGTGGAATATTATGCAGCATTTGCAAATTGTAAGAATATGTACAGGGTTTGAAAGAGTGCTAACACATTTATAGATAGACTAGACAGAAAGATAACTATGCCTTTTATATGATAACCTGTATATGACATATAATCTATGAAGACATGCCTTTATGTTAATATTAACATATATAACATATATATGCAACATATGTAGGCCATACAATTATACATGTAATATGATTTCATTAATGTTAAAACAAAAATAAGATATGTATAGAATGTAAGTGCTTGGATATGCACATCAGGGCACAGGCAGAGACTGAAAGAGGCCTAGTCAATTGTGAAAGTGCAGTTGTTGCTGGGACTGAAGTGGTATTGGGAGGTAAGAAAGAGGACCTTTGAGCATTCTACTCTGTATGCTTTATATCATTTGAATCTTAGGAAATAATAATATATTCCTATAGTACTCATGTCATCGGAAAGGGAGACTTATGTTTTAAGTAACTATAAATTTGCCTATTCTGAAGGATTTATTTTATTTTATTTTATTTTATTTTTATTTTTTTGAGACAGAGTCTCGCCCTGTCACCCAGGCTGGTGTGCAGTGGCTCAATCTTGGCTCACTGCAAGCTCTGCCTCCTGGGTTCATGCCATTCTCCTGCCTTAGACTCCCAAGTAGCTGGGACTACAGGTGCCCGCCACCACGCCCGGCTATTTTTGCTGTATTTTTAGTACAGACAGGGTTTCACCGTGTTAGCTAGGATGGTCTCGATCTCCTGACCTCGTGACCCACCTGCCTCAGCCTCCCAAAGTGCCGGTATTACAGGCATGAGCCACCGCGCCCGGCCAGGATTTTTTTTTTTTTAAAGTAAATAGATGGTCCCAATATGGTCAAGAATCCAAGCAAGCAGACAAGCTGCCTGGTTTCTCTCAACAGATATCAGGTTCCACCAAGGTTGAGGAGAAAAAGGGGAGAGAGGTATAGACTGAGGCTTGGCCAGACCATGGTCAGCCTCCCAGCTCTCAGAAGAACATGGGGTACAAGTCAACTAGAAAGAAAGGGTGAATGAGCTGAATCTTACCTTTATGATGTGAAATGACTGGTCAGTTGGAAAACTATCATTAACTGTCATCTTGACCATTTTTATTTTAAAACTTTTGTAGGACACAGCACATGATAGATGATATTATAAGCCATGGTATAAGCCATGGTCCTGGACAGCGAAGAAATGGCATTGTCACAGGGTCATGGAATGAGTAATGAAAGGACTAGTTAGAAAGCTGGAGGCAGGGTTAAGGGAACCAACAAGAGAAGGTGAAACACAGAGGAGTAGGATGGTATGAAGCCTGACCATTTTAAGGCCTGAGGGGAAGCAGGGTAAGTGGTTGTTAGAACCTGTGAGAACTGCCCCTATGAGTGAGGGTCCACTCCACAGGAGCTGTGGCTGTTGGTGAAGTATCACTGCTGCTCTTAAACTGCTATTCAGCCAGAGAAGCAACCTGAGAAATACAGAACTTTCTCTCCCCCTGCACTCTACTGCCAATGCCCTCTTCTAGCCAAATCTAAAGGTCACATGATACAAGAGCAGGATGAAGAAGGGCTGAGAGGGACTAATTAATTACCAAGGCTATTGCCTATTTTAATTATAAGGAAGCTTGTGCCTTTAAAATGAACTGATATTTGAGACATCACTATGTTATTCTGGTTGTGTCTTACTTTGCCATTGTCATATAAATATCATGGGAAATAAAATGCAAAATGAGGTACACTTAACTACTCAAACATAATGGAAATGTGTTTAAAAGATGCAGGCAGAGTCTCTGCAAAAATGAAAATATTTCAGGGAGAATTCACATGTCTGCTCTAGCTCATATAATTAGAAACCATAAAGTGATTCTCCCATCTTTGTCATACGGCTGAAAGAATTTTCAGCTGTCCCATTATTCCCTATGATAAAGAAGATAATATGTAAGCCATAGTGTTATTTTGCAAGGGTCTTTTTTTTATTTTTGTAGCAAGACATTCCCAGATTTGAAATTCAAATGATTCAAATGATCAGAATAAGCCAATTGGCACTCTTCAGGAATCCTAACTATCAGCCAGGATGATCCTATGTGGATGTAATTTCCTTTGGATATGAGAAAAACAAAATTTTGAAAAACAATTCATTTTAGTGACTAATCTAAAAAAAGACCCAACTCATTCTATTATAAATTCAGTTATCAACCTATATGACTTTAAAAAGCATGTAAAACTTAAAATTGAATAATGAGATTCATTGAAACATGTCTCAACTCGAGTTTCCTTTGCAAATAATGAATGAATGCCTCCAAGTACAAGAAACAACCATTTGAGAGTCATAGCAACATGGGCATGCTTGGTGTGTTTGAAGAATAGCAAAAGGCCAGCATGCTGCAGCCAAGGGAGCAAGGGGAGATATGCAGATGAAAGTGCAGGAAGGTAGCTGAACAAATCATATAGGATCCTGGAGGCCAAAGGCAGAACTTTGATTTTTATTCTAGGTGAAAAGTAGCAGAGGCTTCAGGAAGCCTTGCCTGTTTCTGCCTGTTTTTTCTTATCTGTCTAATGTCTGTGATGAGTAGAGAAGAACTCAGATAGCTGCTGCCCTTTCACCCTGGCTCCCAGCAGATTGTTGAAACTGCTTCTTGTGGTATGTCATGGACGTTTTGAAGTTGGTTTGTTGCTGGAGTGTAAACTGAGTAATACACTTTGTGTGTGCATGTTTATGTCTGTTTTTGACCAACATGTGGATTCCTAGTGCTAGCATGGTTCCCATCAAATAGTAGGTGCTCAGAAAATGAATGAGGGTGGTGAAAAGCTCAGGCTACTACAACAAAATGCCACAGACTGCGTGGCTTAAACAACAGGACAAGATAGAGGAGGTGTTACTCTTGATTGGTTACTTTGATTATCAGAGACATGCTCCCTCCTGAGCCATTTGTTATCTCTAAGAAATGGCTAGACCAGGAGAGGCAGCCTGTCCCCAACCGGAAGGGTTTTTTAAGACATCGAAATATAATACACTGATAACAAAAATGAAAACAATACATCCCCTATTCTTTTACTAATAATTTTTGTATACTCCATATACTTTATGCATGTATGTATGTACTTATACAGATATATGCATATGTAAGTATGTGTGTATATTTACCTATACATATATTTCATAGTGATGTTATAGCATATATATTGATTTGCAACTTGTTTTATCACATAACAAATTGAAAACATTTTTATGCTTTTTAAATTTATTTGAAAAAGCTTCATGTTTTTTATATATATATATACACACACATATATACCCATATGTGTTTAAGCAACATCCTATTTATGTTTTTCTGGATATTTTTCTAAGATTTGCCTGTGCATTTCTACTTGGATATCTGTAGTGCAAATTTGTAAAAGTGGAATTGCTGAATGCCACGTATATGTTTTATATTTAGATAGTGACAGATTATTCTCCAAAAGATTTTTCCAGTTTTTCATGTTTATTGTTAAAATCTTCATTGATGATAAGAATGAACCCTTGTGGTTATAAACCACTGGGTGAGATAAGGAAATATAGAGAAACCTTGACGTAGGAAGAATAACTTTTCCAATCATGTCACATGTTTAGCCAGAAGTGAGTAAAAGGACACTTTGCCTATTTACCCCTTTGAATTTACTCTTTTTACATTTTTTAATTTATTTTGGTTACCTCCCTTTTTTTTTGCTCTATTTATTCCTATCATCTTTTTTCTTAATGAACTTTCAGTAATACCTATTTTCTCTTGAGCTCCTTGTAACTTCTTTTCTTCTCAGATGATTGTATTTATTTATTTATTCATTTATTTATTTACCAGCTCTTTTTTACCATTTCAAAATTATTTGATTCTAAGGAAAACCCATCTGGACACTGGCTACCCCATTTACTTAAACTCAGAAAAAGTTATTTCCCAGGGCTGCCTCCCCTGGTAATTCACATATTCCAACCTGTTTTTTTTTTTTAATTCCCAGTAGTGAGTCCTCTGATACACCAGGTTTTGAACATAGTCTCCATATTGTGTTGTAGAGAATATGTTTGAAACCTGGCATATGAGAGGACTGACTACTGTTGTATATTTCAAACATATTCTTTGCCCAATCAGTGGGTCTCTTTTCTTATAAGGGTCACTCCTAGTTGACGTGATCTGTGTTCTCCCATGGGACTCTCATGTATCTCCTCTTGACCAGCAACAAATGCATAAACTCTATACGTAACTCTAATGTTCTGGCTTATTTATGTGCTTACTTAAATATAACTTGAAGTTTGTAATATTATCTGTCTTTTAGTTATCTGTGGGTATGCATTCTGGGAGATTTTATTTATTTTCATTGTTAATTGATATGATTTTTTGATGACATGGTAAGATTCAAAGTTAGGAAGCCATCATCTTTGTACAATTTCTCTTCATGAGAACTTTCCAAATTAACAAGGGACTTATTTCAGTTTATTCTATATTAATTAGGATAACTTCTGAATTGGTAGGAATTAAATAAATGCTAGTCTAATAGTAATAATGATAATGATAACAAGATAATATACAGAGCTTTATATTTAAATTATCCATAGTACTTTAAGATTTTTCAAAAATCCTGTTAGAAAGGTATTCACAGGCTGGAATCTGATACTATTATTATGATTTGGCCAAACTTCAGGTAAAGCCAGTAAAATTGATAATATACTCTTTGAGCTGACTTGATATATGGTCCATTAGGTTGTGTTAAACAGCACATTACAGCTTGTCAGAGAAAATAAAAAGAAGAAAACGTAAGCCATTCCAGTCAGGGAAACATTCTCACTTTGCAATAATTTTTTGATATTGTAGTTGAATTGCCATTTTCTATAACTTCAATCTATTTGGTTGAATAAATAATTTATTATATACTTTATCCTTCTTTGTCTACCCTTCAATACCATTATACAAGCTGCTCATATCTTGAAATATTGGCTAGTGAATCTTTAGCTATTACTCAAGGTCATCATGGGATTTAGATAATTAAGATTTAATACAATATATTACACTTTCAACAAAAATTAAACACCCCAGATTGAAGAAATATAGCCAAAGAGTGAATTCATCAATTATAATGTCTCGCCATCTTCCTTGAAGATTGGTGTTTCCAATAAAAGTGATCATGTAATTTCCCTTTGTCATTACATGGACATGTACTATTAATTTTAAATATTTTGTCTGAAAGAAGGTAGTAACCCAAAATTTGCAGTATGTAACACCTATTGAAAGGGAAGGTATTTAAAATCTATATTCAGATTTTCTCTAAACCTAAAAAATATTAGATGTCAACCACATCTCAGTTCAGCGAAGCTTAGTGTAGTTTGAGTACATTGACACTTAGCTATAAAAGACATTATATCTGGACTATTTTTTAAAAGGTAAGAATTGAAGAAATCCAGTTAGATTGTTTGTATTTGATACCCTTAATGATCAAAGGTAAAAATTTTGCTGGTTGTATGGAAAATTATAGCGCAAGTTTAGTAAATTTCTAAACTAAAATATGTTCCTGAGAAAGCTGAAAGATGGCAAAGTGTCTTTTTCTTCACTTCTGGCTAAGCATGTGGAATGACTGGAAAAGTTATTCTTCCTACTTCAAGATTTCTTTGTATTCCTTTATCTCACCCAATGGCTTATAACCACAAGGGTTCATTCTTATCATCAATGAAGATTTCAACAATAAACATGGAAAACTGGAACAATCTTTTGGAGAACAATCTGTCACTATCTAAATAAAAATCACGTGGACCCTGGGGTTCAGCAATTCTACTTTTACAAACTTGCACTACAGATATCCAAGTAGAAATGCACAGGCATACCTGTAGAAAAATATCTAGGAAAAAAACATAAATATCAATAGGACGTTGGTTAAACACATATTGGTATAGATATGTAATAAAACATGCAGCTTTTTAAAAGAAATAGGAAAAACAGCATTAAAATGTTTTCAATTTGTTATGTGATAAAACAAGTTGCAAATCAATATATATGCTGTAATATCACTTACAAAATATATGTATATGTAAATATACAGACATACTTGTAAGTATATATGCACATATATGTATGACTACATACATATATGCATAAAGTATATGGAGTACACAAAAATTATTAGAGAATAGGGGATATATTGTTTAAGTTTTTGTTATCAGTATGTTATGATATTTTGACATCTTAAAAAGCCCTTCTGGTTGGGGACAGGCTGCCCCTCCTGGACTAGCCATTTCTTAGAGATAACAGACGGCTCAGCAGGGAGCATGTATTTGATAAGTAAAGTAACCAATCAAGAGTAACATCTCCTCTATCCTGCCCTGTTGTTTAAGCCACACAGTCTGTGGCATTTTGTTATAGCAGCCTGAGCTTTTCACCACCCTCATTCATTTTCCGAACACCTACTATTTGATGGGAACCATGCTAGCACTGGGAATCTACATGTTGGTCAAAAACAGACATAAACATGGACACACAAAAAAGTATTACTCAATTTATGCTGCAGCAACAAACCAACTCCAAAGCATCGATGACATACCTCAAGAAGCAGTTTCAACAATCTGCTGGGAGCCAGGGTGAAAGGGCAGCAGCTATCTGAGTTCTTCTCTACTCATCACAGACATTAGACAGATAAGAAAAAACAGGCAGAAACAGGCAAGGCTTCCTGAAGCCTCTGCTACTTTTCACCTAGAATAAAAACCAAAGTTCTGCCTTTGGCCTCCAGGATCCTATATGATTTGTTCAGCTACCCTCCTGCATTTTCATCTGCGTATCTCCTCTTTCACCCTTGGCTGCAGCCATGCTGGCCTTTTGCTATTCTTCAAACATACCAAGCATACCTATGTTGCTATGACTCTCAAGTGGCTGTTACTTCTACCTGGAGGCATTCATTCATTATTTGCAAAGGAAACTCGAGTTTCCTTCGATGAATCTCTTATTATTCAATATGAAGTTTTGCAAAGTTTGAAAAGGGACAAATGAGTACTGTCAAGGCAAAAAATCATTGAAACAGAAAAGTTATAAAGAATCATAGGAAAGTACAAAAAAGTATATTTCTTATTTGTAACACTTTTTTTCTCCTATCTTATATAAAACACAGTCACATAAAGTGCTTATTATAAATGTGATTGGATAGATGTACAATGTGGAAGGATGTAAATCATACAACAGTAATAGCACAAAGATAAAAGAAGAGGAAAGGGCGCTATATAGAAGCAATTTTTGTATAGTATTTAAATTAAGTTGCTGTTAATCCGAACTATATGGTTAGAAATTAAGAAGTTAATTAATCTCCAAGGCCAGAACTAAGAAAATACATTTTATTATTTTTATTATATTTATTGTTTTTCTGTTTTTTTAATTTGTATATGTGTATGGGGTACAAGTTCAATTTTGTTACATGCATAGATTGCATAGTAGCCAAGTAAGAGCTTTAAGGGTATCCATCACTCTAATAATGTACATTGTACCCATTAAGTGGTTTCTCATATCTACCCCCACTGCCACCCCCTCAATCTTCTGAGTCTTCTTTGTCTATCATTCCACTCTCTATGTCTATATAAACACATATTTTAGCTCCTACTTATGAGTGAGAAATGCAATATTTGTTTTATTGTGTCTGACTTGTTTTACTTAAGATAATGACCTCCAGTTTCATCCATATTTCTGTAAAAGATATGATTCCATTCTTTTTATGGCTGAGTATATTCCTTGTGTATTTATACCCCATTTTCTTTATCTAATCATCCACCAATGGACACTTAGGTTGATTTGGTATCTGCTGTTGTGAACAGTGCTGTTATAAACATACGCATGCAAATACCATTTTGATATATTGATTTGTTTTCCTTTGGATAGATACCCAGTAGTAGAATTGCTGAATCGCATGATAGTTCTATTTTTTGTTCTTTGAGAAACCTCCATACTGTATGAGATTGTACTTACTTAGATTCTCACCAAAAATGTATGAGTTCCCTTTTCTCTGTATCCTTGCCAACATCTGTTATTTTTTTACTTTTTAATAGTAGCCATTCTGACTGGTATAAGATGATATCTCATTGTGATTTAAATCTGCATTTATTTAATGATTAATAATGTTGAGCATGTTTTCATATACCTGTTGGTCATCTGAATGTTTTCTTTTGAAAAATACCTATTATGTCTTTTGCCCACTTTTTGATGGGATTATTTGTTGTTGTCGTTGTTGCTGCTGCTGTGTTGTTTGAGTTCCTTGTGTATTCTGGATGTCAGTCCACTGCTGGAAGCATAGTTTGCAAATATTTTTTTCCCATCCTGCAGGTTGTTTGTTCACTCTACTGATTTATTTTACTGTGCAAGAAGCTTTTTAATTTAATCAAGTCCCATTTGTTTATTTTTGTTTTTGTTGCCTGTGCTGTTAAGGTCTTAGTTATAAATTCTTTGTCTGAAGGGATCTCCAGAAGAGTTTTTGCAATGTTTTCTTCGAGTATTTTTACTTTTGGGTCTTATGTTTAGGTCTGTAATCCATCTTGAGTTAATTTTTTATACATCGTGAGAGAGAGGGGCTCAGTTTCATTCTTCTGCATATGGCATTCCAGTATTCCCAGCACCATTTATTGAAGTGTCCTTTATCTGATGTATGTTCGTGTCAACTTTGTCAAAGATGAGCTTGCTGTAAATATGTGGCTTTATTTCTGTCTTCTGTATTCTGTTCCATTGATCTATGTGTCTATTTTTCTACCAGTGCCACAGTGTTTGGCATGGCATATATGGTAAAACATATATTTACCCAGGTATTAAGCCTACCTAGAAGTGACTATTAATGGGCATGAAGTTTGTTTCAGGGTAGATGTAAATATTCCAAAATTAGATAGTAAGGATTGTTGCAGAACCCTATGAACCTTATGATTGTAGCAGAACTAAAAACCACTGAATTGTACATTTTTAAAAAGAAAATGAATGCAATCTTTCAGTTAAAAAATAAATAAATAATCTCTTTTTAGTGTATACTGCTGAAGTTAATGGTAAGTGTAATTATCTGACTATATTTACTTTTAGCCTCCTAAAGATATTTCAAGTTGTTTCTGAACCAATTAGATGCTTCTTTCCAACTAAAGTGCATTAAGTCTAAAGTAAATGTTTAATAATTAACATTTATAGATTTAAAAAGTACTTTCTTAATGAACAGAATATAGGATTAATGTAACACTACGACTCACTCACACTAATGTTTTTGCCCAAAAGTATATTAGCTCCAGATTCAAATGCAGAACCTGGTTGAGTCATGAATGGACATTTATGGGCTCTGACTGCATCCAGTCAAGCCATTAGGAGCTCGGTAAGAGCAATTCTGTACAAAGAATAACCAATTTACTTGTGTTCAGATAATAAATCTGATGACAAGATTTCAACCGCCATGATTATGATTATATTAATTTTAACTGCTATCTGAAAATGCAGATTATATTGACACACTCAGACTTGTTTCACATAAAATCTCCTAAAGAACAATTTAGGTGAATTTAATCAAATAATCTATATTTTTTTCTTAATTAAGTTCATAGAAAAAGATTTGAATTTTTAACCTTTTCAACAATTTGTTTTGACGTAGTAGACAATGGGCATTTATAAGCAGAATGAAGGACAGACAGGAAGATTGATTTAAGTGGCACTTAAGAATGTTTGAAAGTTTTAAAAAATTCACTGAAGAAGTAACATGAGTTGAAATTGCGGAATCTCTGTTTTAGCCACAATACTGAAAAGGACAAAGATTTCTTTTTCTATTGAGCTTATATTTTAAATGGGGAGTTAAAATATAAATAAACTTAAACTAATGAATGAATGAACAAATAACTGAAATAGCATAGTATATCTTAGGTGAGAAACTGTATAGAGATAATGAGCACATTAAGTAGAAAGGAGTGTGCAAGGGAAGGGATGGGGATATGCTGCAGTGTTAAATAATGTGATGAGAAAGGGCTTCATTATGAGATGGGAATTGTATGGAGATTTCTCCAAAAGTTAAAAATAGAACTACAGTGTGATGCAGCAATCCTACCACTGGATATATATCCAAAGGAAATACAATCAGCGTTCCTATGTTCATTGCAACATTATTCACAAAAGCCAAGATATGAAAGTTACCTAAGCATCCATAAATGGACAAATGAATAAAGAAAATGTGGTATATATTATATATTCAATAGATTATCATTCATTCTTAAGGAAATCCTGTCATTTGTGATAACATGGATGAACCTAGAGGATGTTATGCTAAGTGATATGAGCCGGGCACAAAAAGACAAGTCAGTACTGCATTATCTTACACAGACGTGGAATCTAAAAATGACCAACTCATAGAAGTAGAAGGCAGAATAGTGGTTACCAGGGGTTGGCAAAAAGGTGAAGGTTGGGGGGATTGGGAAGATGTTGATCAAAAGATACGGTATTTCAATTAGATAGAAGAAATTAGTTCAAGAGATCTGTTGTACAACATGGTGACTAGAGTTAGTAACAATATATTGTACAATTGAAAACGGCTAAGAAAGTAGATTTTAAGTGTTTTCATCACAAATAAATAAGTTCGTGAGGTAATGTATATGTTAATTAGCTTTAGTTAGCCATTCCACAATGTATACATATATAAAAATATGATAAATATGTATCAGGTTGATGAAAAAGTAATCACGGTTTTTGCTAATATAATTTTTGTTAATTAAAAAATAAATTTTAAAAAAGCTAACGTCTATCAATGGGGTGGTTAATAAACAGTTAAAATGAATATATAAAGAGGAAATGAGAGTTAAACAAGGTATTCAAAGTGGTGGTAAGAGAATATTTCTGAAAGAGCTACCAGCAAGAGTGAAATCTCTAATGTGCAGTCGTGTGGGGAAACTGGCTTATTTCCCAAAAGCTCATTGTTAAATTATCAGAAATTGTTTGAGCCAGTTGCTAAATATGGTCATTATTAAACATCATATTACATGCACTTAAAATTAAATAAAATGCATTAGAAAAAAAGATATTCATTACTTGTTAATCATTTTACTACATTTTATTATTGATGATCTTGAAGTTATTTACTCCTATTCTTTCTATATTGTGAATACAATATAATGATGTACTTCTGTGCATTTCTTCCCAATTCTGTATTCAAAGATGTCATAATGATCATTTGAAATCTCCAAGGGTGGAAGTACTTACATCACAGAAGTTGGCAAACACTACAAATCAGGGCTTTCTTTCATGTTTTATTGATTATCTAGACACAAGAAAGAGATAGAATGTTAGTAATGCATATTGAACTTAAAAGTGTGCTGTATCCTATTATTTCAAGATCTTAGTCAACTTCATATATAAAACATGCCGTGCTTCTGGGTTAACTTTTCTAGGAAATTGCTGTGGTTTCTTCTTCTTTTGAATATGTGAGTGTCTTAGTCTGTTTTGTATTGCTGTAAAAGAATACCCAAGACTGAATAACTTATTAATTAAAGAGTTTTATTTAGCTCTTGTTTCTGCAGGCTGGAAAAGAAGCATGACACCAGCATCTGCTTTTAGTGAGAGCCTCAGACTGCTTTCAATCATGACGGAAGGCAAAAAGGAGCCAGTGTGAACAGAGATCACATGCTGAGAGAAGATGCAAAAGAAAGAGGAGGGAGGTACCAGACTCTTTTTAACAACCAGCTCTCACAGAAACTAATAGAGTGAGAACTCACTCATTCCTGTAAGGGTTGCACCAAACCTTTCATGACTAGGCCCCACATCCAACATTCAGGACAAAATTTCAACATGAGCTTTGTGAGGGACAGACGTTCAAACTGTAGTTGTGAGTCTCGCCTGACTAAGGAGTTTTACCTATACACTGAAGGAAAATCAGAGAGGCTAAATAGATATAAAATGCTTAACTTTAGGGTGAGAGGATGGAGACAAAACTATAAGCTGAGTGGAATGCACATGCCAGAAAGAGTAGAGTGCCAACATCTATCCTAGGAATCATAATTCCCAAACAGGTAATTTTATCTCTGTCAAAAAGAGCCCTGTTAATTTTTCCTGGGAATAAATGCTGCATTACAAGCATTTGGAAAGGGGATGTGGAGAGAAAACTGGGATATTTGACCTATAGGTAGACTTTTAATTAATTACCCTGCTTTGATTTCCCTTTGATACGGCTGAGCTGTGTCTCCACCCAAATCTCTTCTCAATTGTAATCTCTATAATCTCCATGCATTGAGGGAGTGATCAGGTGGGAAGTGATTGGATCATGGGGTGGTTTCCCTCATGCTGTTCTTATGATAGTGAATGAGTTCTCATGAGATCTAATGGTTTTATAAGGCAGTTTTCCCTGCTCTTGCTAGCTCCCTCTTTCCTGCTACCATGTGAGGGTCTTTGCTTTCCCTTTGCCTTCTGCCATGATTGTAAGTTTCCTGAGGCCTCCCCAGCCACGTGGAACTGTGAGTCAATTAAACCTCTCTATGTAAGAAAGGGTGCCCATATAAGCCTACACCAAATGGTTAATAGGAGTTCTTTCTGTGCAATAGTACTAAGTAACCTAACTTTTTTTTCTTTTCTATATTTCCCGATTTTGCAAATAAACATATTTACTTGCTTAATACAGTTGTTTTTAAGGACATGTTACTTTCTGATTTTAAGTTTGCAACTGGTAACATTACTGCTGTCTTCACCAGTTGTCTAGAACTGGCTGATTGGTTATTTTTAACAATGACATTAACCAATACTGTCTCAGAAGATTAATTTGTCTTTCAAAGTTGGGGTAATTTTTCTTTGTTCATGTTACTTTAGCTGCAGTCAATGAAAGGGAGTTTTTACAAAGATAATCAGAGCATAGATAAGCTTTCACAGGATATTCTTATTTTCTGCTTTCGGTTTTTTCCTCAATAGTACCTTAAATGGCAGCATACAGATGAATGAAGATCTGTTAATGTCAGCATTGATTTTATAATCCCTCAGCAGAAACTCAAATGGGATCTGATGTCTGCCATGACTTTTTTATTCTTATGGAATAAGTATGGTTTAAGAAACTATGGCTTCATTGTTTGTAAGGCAAATATTTCCAACTTTGCTGTATTCCTTGACAATCTGCCTTAAGCAAGAATATATGACTTACTCTTTGCCTAAAAATTTTGTTTGATGGATTTTTTTGATGTAGGTATATATACATATATATTTATAAAATGTAAATTAACAAATATTTCTTTATATCCCAAATAATTAAAAATACATTGTCATAGACACCATTATTCTGCAATTCCTTCTGGGGGAGATAAGAGGACTTAGGACATCAGTCTCACTTCTTTGGAGGAACGATAACCTGGTTATACCAATAGCTTGGCTATAGGGTGTAAGAAAGTAATGCGTTCCTCACTAGGAAATATATAACTGCCTTTGTGACATTGCAATTAAGTCTCAAGTTGGAGACATCTGATTGTGTGGGGTGTGAGAGTGAGGAGAGATGTCTTTTCTAGTTTCTTCATAACATTTGGCATTCAGGGCTCTCAACTTACAACAATTTATTGATGTCCATATGTATTGTTAGATAAATTTGGGTGTATGGGAGTAACAGTCTCAGTCTCAAAGTGAATCATGTTGAAGCAAAATACTAAATGAATGTATTTTGAACTATCTATCAAATAGATAATATGTTCTCCTTAGATTCGTTCAAAAGTCATTCTTTAAATATGTATTCAGTGAGGTTGTCAGTCCCACACATCTGTGGCCAGTGAAGAGCAAGAAAAGCATGAAAAGGCTGCCAGAGTCCATAGCATATCACTTGCATGACAATAGAGCTGCTGCTAGCGAGACAGATATTGGGGGAAATTCAATAACCTAGGGTTGAGGGCAAAATTGCATCAGCCAAAATCATGCTTAAAACTTAAAAGAGGTTACAGAGCATTGGATGGGGAGAGAGAATGCAAAGCCAAATTCTCGGTGAAAGGCATAGAGGCATAGGGATTATAAGAAAGACTTTGTGAAAATCATTCTGGTAGAATTTGTGTCCCTATTTCAAGCTCAAACTGATAAGTATACTTGACCTCCATATTCTAACCTAGTCACATCAGTCAATTGAGCCATTGTTGAGAAGACTTAAATGATTACTTCATGGAGAACTCTCTGGAGCAGTGGACTGGCAAGGAAATATGTGTAAATAAAATAGTTAATCAATCCTAAAGTATTAATATTTTATGTTAAATTTGCAATCTGTGTATTTTATTTAAATACTGGTAATAATAAAAAGAATTTGATATATTAGCTTTGTTGTTTTTAGCTGTGAGTAAATAGGATGTTTTTGTAAATTGAACTGTAATATTTATGGGAACTCAGTTCCTGGCTTATGTCAATTTATTTATTAGATTAATAACATTTCATATCATGTTTAAATATATGTATATTTAATTTATAAAATTTAGTTTAGTGTGTTTAAGAGAATGTACTTCACTAAGTTTGTAAGCAGGAACTACTGGTTAGGAAACATTAACTGCTTAACTTGGGTTAACCATTAATTTTAAATAAGATGAAATAAACTACTCTCATTTTTATCTAAATATTACTTATAAGTTAATAAAACATAGATGAACTAAAAGGTCTAAGGAAAATTAATCCTTTAGTAAAACTGACTATTAATTTGAAACTCTCAAATATTAAAACTCATGTCAGCATGCCACAATTGATAACATAAATTGTATATAATACAGTTGATAATGGAATTCTATTCCTCATCAAGTGTCAGAGAAGTTGATAGTTCTAGGTATTTATGGAGGTGGGAAAGAGTGGACAGAGAGTCCAAAGAAATGAGGTCCGATAGGGAAACATTGAGGGTCAAGGTCTACCCATCCACAAGACCTCAAATCATCCCCCTTAGGATTTAACTCAAAATGGGCAACAGCCACCAGGTGGTGCCAAACTACAGCCCAAACCAGTTATGGATTTAGCTCATACAGACAAACCACTGGGCCTCATTCTGACTAAATACATGGAGTTGAACCAATTAATTCCTTAACCTTACATTAATTGAATTGCACGTTTTCATAAAATTCAGTTTCTGCCTTTCAATCACAGTGTAATGTTGGGATTTTTACTGTGACTATAGTTATTTTTGATTCTCAAGGTTTCACCTAACACATTTTAAAAAATTGCATTCATAGACATAGCAGCCTTATAGAAGATGGAAATTGTACAATGCTCCCAGCTCTTCTGTGTCTGAAGTTATCTGAACTCAGTACAATTTATCTGGTGTTATTAATAATGTTAACTTGGTCTGCATAATCAATGGCACCTAGAGAATATTCCACAAAAGTATTCTGTAATCTGTTTATAAAGTTAGTAAAATAATTTGTTAATACTTTATCCCAAATATTAAATATACTATACATCACTTGTTACATATTTACATGAAGATAAATATGTTTAACAAATGATGTATGATATTTACAAGTAACTAATGAAATTGAAACTCTAATTGATATTCAATGTCAGTCCATTTATAGTGTAGTGACAATGATGATGAGAGTAAATAGGCAAAAGTCTTTATAGCCTTCCTCCTCTTGGACATCAGGCTTTGTCATATGTTAACGTAAGAGCAAATGAGTTGTCTCCTGGAAGTAAAGGTGATACGCAAATTGTAAAAAGTTCTTTTATCTCCATGTGGTTATTCAATGTTGAGATCTGTGTATGTCTATGTACTCTAAATATACATAATGAACTTAATTTTTATGTTTTGATATTATCTTTATTTTACTAATTGTTTCATGCTAATCCGTGAATTACAGAAACACTTTCTTATGTGCCATGAAATTCCTACAAATGTGTGTATCTGTGCTATATCTATCTATGAGAAAGGTTTACCATGAATTACAGAGACACTTTCTTGTATGCCATGAAATGCCTGCAAATGTGTGTATGTGTGCTATATCTGTCTATGAGAAAGGTTTATCACCTAGGCTGAACACTTGGGTTTCTCCCCTGGGTTTGTTTTCTATCTCTTTTTAAAGATGACTGGTCTTCAAAAGAATCTCTTACTCTTGGGGCTGAGACTAATCTAACTGACTGAACTAAAACTTCACTATAAAGAGATTTTATGTTCTTTGCATGCTAATTACAGTAGCGCTGTGAAAAACCACCCTGAAAATAGGTCCAACACAAGCATGAAGCTATGAAATACATGCCAATTTATGTGAGCCTGTACAATACTAGCTCATCTGACCACCCAACACTCTCTAAAAGGATCCCTTAATGTATTAGAATATAGACTGGCTCACAATTAAAACTTACCATTTCTTTAAAAAAAAATTTTTTTAAATTTTTTTGGCCTAATTGTATTTTTTTAATTGACGAATAATAATTGCCATATTCATACATATTCATGGGGTACATAGTAATGTTTGGATACCTATAATATATAGTGATTAGATGAGGGTAATTAGCATATCTGTTATCTCAAAGCTTTATCATTTATTTGTGTTGGGAACGTTCAATATCCTCCTCCTAGCTATTTGAAACTATATCATACATTATGGTTAACTATAGTGATCCTAAAATGGTATGGATTTCATTATGGGATATCAATTTAGTTGGTGGCAGCCTACCAGGTACATAGGCCAGATGGGAGACAATCTTTTAATCAATTATATGACCCAGAGAGCAGACTATGATCATTGAAACAAATTTATAAAATAAGCATAGACCTGACCTTGGAGGCCCTTGTTTGAACATATCTTTACAATTGTTTCAATGGCATGCCTCCAAAAAATTCAGCAATACCCCATTGGTTTTCTTCCCAAGATGCTAAGAGCAGTAAGCAGTTAGTATTTAAGATAACTTATAGGATCATGAAGAAGCTTCATTGAATTTTAATGACAAAATTTGAGTTGAGGGGAAGCATATTTTAAATTGCTTGCATTTCTTTCTATGGGACAGTAATTCAAACTATTATTTTTATAAATATATAAGGCTAAAATGTTAACATCAAGTATGTTAGCAAAATGAGTCAAATTTCAGAGTTATGAAAGCAATATCAGCCAAGCAGAAAGTAAAAGTATTCCTACTCAAGGCGTATAAATTTCTATATTAGAAAGTAGGCCCCTGACGTTTTTGAGGGGTGGTCCATTTGTCAAGTTGTAAGTAGTCAATAACTGTTCATCTCCTGAAGACATAGAGAATACCTAATGTCTAAATTATATCCCAAGTACCTAATATTGTGCTAAGACCTTTTAGATCTTCAATAAAATCTAGTGATTGACAAAGAAAATACATCATACTTTTCACAGCCTCCGTATCAAGAGCTTTTAGTTTGGTAGGTTTATTTGGCTTCCTTACTGTCAAGTTTGCATGTCACAAAATGGGATAAGAGGAACAGGTCTCTTTTGATCTTTAAAACTATACGGATTTGACCCACCAATTCCAAGTCCAATAAATAATCAATTAACAGCCACTTTGTGGATATATAAGTATACATAAGTGTATGTTTTCTATAGCCATAGAAAGTCTCACTGAGAAAGTGATGTTTGATTAAAGACCTGGAGGGGAGAAATTACGTAAATATGTAGATAATGTCATAAATTCAACCAGTATATGTGGTAGAAATATAACCAATTATAATACCCTGTCTGTTCAGTAAAGAGAGATTACAAATTCAAACTATCATTCCTCTGAATTGGCAGTCTATAGAGTCTTTTTAACAGGTAGTTACTGTGTGGCTTTTTGTTCAAAAAAGATTGAGAATCAACAGTTATGGTAGGCACCGTGGGTTTGCAAATCCAAAATTTATTCTCAATTCTTCTCTCTTTTGCTCACCTCTGCATTTAGATGCTAGAAAAATCTCAATACCTTTCTGCCTGCTATGTAGCCATACAGGACAGTGGGAAGTTAAAATAGAAAAACGTTTGATTTCTTGAAAGACAACAGGCTCAGTGTCTTGGTCCCCTGTCCTTTTGCTATGGCTTTGAATGCAAATAACATAACTGGACATGGGTAGATATCCTGGACCACAGGGTAGCGAGGATGAAGGAAAGGCCCAAAGAATCTCAGAGACATTAACCCTACAATCAAGCTGTTAAACCAACACTAAAGCTGCTTTACTCAAGACTTAAAAAAAAATTTGAGAAAAATACACCCTGATTCATTTGAACTTCTGTAACTCAAGTTTTCATTTACTTGTGGCTAAAATCTTTTCTAATGTTTACAGACAGAAAGAGCTAAACCCATGCAATTGTGAGATTAAGCAAAAGCCCATTCCTGTGCCTAAGACTAACAAACCCTCCATGCGTTCTTGAACTCATTCACCTCTTTGTTTTTTTGTGACTTATCTCACAGATAATGAGACCTTAATAACAAATAAGTGTAAAAAAATTTTCACATTGAAATGTTACAAACATTTGATGTAATAAAACCTTGTTGGCGTGATAAACACATCACATTCATTATCTCTTATTTAGTAACTGTTTTTGATTAAAAACACTCTAGAGATAATTTTGATTTCACAAAGGAAGAAGAAAGTTAGATACAAATTCAGGAACATATAATCAAATTCTGATACTAGGACTAGAAGACTTGACTTGATATAAGCTGTTCTTTTAGTCACGAGAAAGGAGTTCTATGTTTTGAGAAAATGATATTGATCAAAGTCCAATGACACCAAATAAATATATCATTATGGAATAAGAATGCCATTTCTATACGGATTTGGTCTTTTGTTGACAACAGGAGTGTAAATTGTCATTCAACTGCAAAGTGTTATTTAGTAGCTCATGCTTAAAGAAAACAAATCATAACCACAGGTTATTTGCTGACTCTTACTGGGAAAAATAATAAGGCTTATTCTTTTGGTAAAATTAAACCATGCATAGTATGAGATAGTGTGACTTGCATTATGTATCCTATGATACGAAATTATATCCCATATTCTCATATTTTATTATTATTTATTTATGAGGGCTCAAAAGTCCTTTGCTCTCCCACCATAACAAGTTCCACCTTCCCCCTCTACCTAGTTTTATAGTCAGAAATACAGAAGAAGTAAATGTAATTAGATAAATTTTATTAATATTTGTTTTATCCACTGAATGAATTGCTGCTCTCAAGTTTTCTAAAATTGCTTTATGTTATCATACTTATGTCAATTTTATAGCCATCTGCAAATTGAAATGTACATGAAAACATAAAGTTTAAAGAATCAATATAGCCATGGACATGTTAAAAGAGTTCTGTGATTTGTTTCTCACTATTGGAATTGGCAAGTTTTTTAAAAAGTGTGTCTGTGTGTGTGTGTGTGTGTGTGCATACATGCATGGGTGTGTATTTTATAAGTTTAATTTGAAGTTAACTAGAAATGACAACAATTAAGCCTTCACAATTAAATATGAATTCTGCCTGTTGTTATTAAGTCCTATTTAAGAAATAAAAGCTTAAATACCTTAATTTCTGAGGTTCTAAGCAGATGTTTCCACAACAGGAGAGCAGTCTATGTAACTATATAAAATTTTTAAAAATCTTCTTGATGAATTATATTCATTAGCAGCAAAAGTTTGATGTACAGCTCTGTACAGAAGAATGCCCCAGGACTCAGAGATTTACTTCTGCCCCTTCTGTCATTGATTAACAAAGTTTCAGGATGGTTTATATTTACTAGATATAACTCTCTCTCAATATGAGTCAAGATAACATTCTGAGATTTATGAAGCTTAACGTGCTCTGATATTTCTTGGTATTTACTTTACAGCTGTCTTTGTAGTTTATTTACAGTAGGCTCAACTGACTGGGTGAAGCCTGGAGTCCTCTGGAATAGTAAAGGTAGAAATCCTCAATACTTCCTCCCAGGGCTACTTATAAAAGTGTTTTTGTTTATTACAAACATATTTGAAAGTATTCAGATCAAAACTTGCAGTGCCGTGTTTCTAATCACTATATCACTATTATTTGAGCATCAACCAAAATTAGTTTTCTATGATAATTCATATTTTAAATATGCAAATAGAGAAAGTCCTTTCTAAATGTCTACTCCATTGTTGGAGCTGCTTGCCATTTGTGCTGTTTGGTATCACTTTATAGGATTGATTGAAAAGTAGAGAATACCTTTTCTCCATGCCAAACCAAAGGTTCCTTTCCCATGGCTAATACTCAGCAGAGGGCTAAGGATTGGAGAACTGGGTCTTAGTTCTAACTCTTCCACTTACTAATTCTATGACTTTGAATAAGTCACTTGGATAAATCTCAGCCTCTTCATACTTAAAAATGAGATCAAGGAAGTAGCATACATTGGTGTACTATTAATATGGCATGCTTATTATAAACAGGGCTTATAATTGTTATTCTATTAAGCACCGCATAGTTGCAATGAAATATTATATTTTAAATACTGTACAAATATAAAATTAAATGATTAATTTGAGGCATGGGGAAAGTTGAACACACATAAGGTTATTAGATGCAAAGTTAATCTCCAAACCTTGAATTCAAAGATTGGAAACACTGACTATCTATTGGAAGGGACAGCTCATTTGTCCATGGTATTCTTGCCTAGTAAACTCTCTGAGGGCTGCCACCATATTTATACTAATCACTATTTTGTTCTAGTGACTAGCATGGTGCCTAATACGTAGTGTGCATTAAACACATACACACATATACTTTATATATACAATAATCAACTTGTTGGATGACTACATGCATAAAAAAAGAAAATATTTCGTTTCTCTCTGCAGGTATGGGGTGAACAATGAGGCTGTGAATGAGGATATGGGTGAAAAATTAGGACAAATTGGTAGAAACAAGAGGACATTAGTAAACCTAACCTTTAAAAGAGTTATTCAAAATGAGAAACACCTATGTTGGTAATAGGCCTTTCTTTGTAGCAAGATATGTTCAACTGAGACCAGATCATTCCTGGACCAAACCAAGGGTTGGGCTGCTTAATCTCGTGGCCCAATAACAAGATGCAGATGAACTGGGAGAGAAGGGAGTTTACTTCTGTAACCGGGTACAGGGATAAAGCCTGGAAATTATCACCAGACCAACTGAAAATTACAAAGTTTTCCAGAGCTTATATACCTTCTAAGCCATATTTCTACGTGTAAGTGTGCATTCATCTAAAGACACAAGTGATTAACTTCTAATCTATAACTAAAGTCTGAGTTTTGAACACCTTCCTCTGGAGCCTTAGTCAATTTACTTAATCTAAATGGGTCCAGGTGCTGGGGTGACTACCCTTACCTCCTGCTAAATCATGGAGGTTTGGGGAATTCCTTCAGACCCACAATAAACTTCTCTCTGGAGTTCTGGGGAGTTTCTTCAGACCCACAGTAAAACTTGTTTAATCCTAAACGGGTCCTGTTAAGAATTCCTTCAATATCTTGTCATACTTCGAGGCCCAGGAAAGGCCTAGGCAAAACTCTTGGTGGGCTTTTCTTATATTCTAGCCTTTGTATAAGGGCGTTGGCTCTATCAGCTTTTAATATTTAACTTAACCACTCAGTCAGTGCTGAAACAGTTGTTACGGAAGCCTGTATTAGTGAAACCTGGCCTGCCACAAGATGACCCCCTATACTGGATATTCTAGAATTCACTGCACTGGCTGAGTGGATGTTCAAGGTAAAAACTATAATCTCATTTAGTAGTCAAATGTATTTCAAACCACAATAAAAACAACAAACTTCTTGGATAGCGGATTACTAAGACATTTGAATAAATTAGCTGGTCAATTTAATTAATATAATTGATCCCATCATCTTGGAAACAAATCCAGGAAATGTTTTATGCCTCTGACAATTTTGCATGACTTATAACGGCATGAAGCAATGAATGAACTAGTAAGTGCTGGGAAAGTGTTAGTACTACTAATATGGTTTGACTCTGTCACCACCCGAATCTCAACTTGAATTGTAATAATCCTCACGTGTCGTGAGAGGGACCTGGTAGGAGGTAATTGAATCATGGGGGCACGTTTTCTCATGCTGTCCTTGTGATAGTGAACAAGTCTCAAAAGATCTGATAGTTTTATAAGGGGCAGCTCCCCCACGCAAGCTCTCTTGCCTGCCACCATGTAAGATGCGACTTTGCTCCTCATTTACCTTCCACCATGATTGTGAGCTTCCCTAACCATGTGGAACTGTGAGTAAATTAAACCTCTTTCCTTTATAAATTACCCAGTCTCAGGTATGTCATAAGCAGCGTGAGAACAGACTAATATAACTACCTCCCTTTTATAGGCAGTAGTGTTCTTTGCTATTTCCCTAGTGCAAATAGAGCTTCCCAAAAAGCATTTGCCTTCTTATCAGATGGAATTTGACTAATTTTTTTTTAAAGAATTAACAGGGACAAAGGACTTTATGAAAGTGACCTATCTTGATCTTTAATATCTTTCAAAAGCTCTCAAAAGATGCCCCTTGCCATCGTGTGTTCTGGAAGTAAAAGTGGGAGCTGCCTGGCAACAAGCTCGGAGTAACCGTCATTTGTTCTAAATGCTGAGTAATGCAGCATGACATTTTTCATCAAGAACATCAAAGAGAAATGGTCCTTAAAATATCTACAGCATCAAGTACTGTACATGGACAATTACCGTGTGATAGATAAGTAAATTGGGTACACATAGGTTGTTTGTTATTACTGCAGTTCTCTCAGAATCCAGAGAGAATGACACCCCCTTTTTACTTAGGACGGTTTTATATGTGAGGGTTAACTCCTCAAACAGTGGTGCAATGTATTCTTAGTGAACTGCTTCAGTTAAATGCACTGTTAAAAACCACAGTCATGAAATTAGAGAAGTGATAAGAACTTTAGAAATCAACCCTTTTATCTCATATTTCATGTGAGAAACCTGAAACCCAGATTGATTGTCTTGTGTAAGATCATGTTGAAAGTTATTAGTAGGTTTGTTTGCCTTTGTCTCAGGCCCATACACTTCCAATGATTACATTGCCAATTCACTGAAAGGTTAATATTGTTAAACAGTCTAAATTAACTAAATGACATATGTCAACATAACAGGGCAAGCTGAACTTGCACATTTAACCTCTTTCCTCACCACCTTTCCAACTCCCTGAAATCCATAGCAAAATATTTATACCACATTGGAAATTGAGGAGGAGTGCTGGTTATATGCCAGAAATTTTATGGAATCTTTGCAAGATATAGTATAAGTGAGATCAGAATGAGAGGTAGGCTGACCAACAGCTAAGACATCAAGGACAAAGTCAAAGTCTGATAAATATCTGGCAGAATCTAGCACCATTGTCAAGTTCCGAAGGAAGGTGTTGGGCACAAGGGCAGTAGATGAGAAGTAAACATTAATCTTTCTAGTTCTTCTTAGAGTAGTATTAATGTGCTAGTACACACAATGCCATCCAGAGTACTCATTTTTAGCTTGCACTTACTGTGAAGTAAAGGATGCTGTGTGTGTATATTTGGTGGGCGGCAGAGGGTCAGCCACTGCCATCCTAAGTCTTACAGAAATAAAGCAGGGCTCCAGCTAATCTGGTTTGTAACAACCAACATGAATAATATAACTTCAGCACAGTGAACAACACTTCCCCTAACCAAGTCTTATCTTTTACGGATCGCAAAAAAATGGACTTGTCATCTGGCATCTTAACAATGTAATTGATCTAAATCTAAATCTAATTGATTTCCATCTTTATTTTCTGGGATGCAAGTGTTTGAATAAAGACTCAGAACAATCTGATAGAAACCATGTTATAGCCATAAACATGAGAAGTTTGTGTCATTCAAAATAAGAAACTTGTATTATGTGTAGCTATAATCTGTTTTAGAATAATTATAAAATAATATTTATTATTAAGTTGGTGCAAAAGTAATTGTGGTTTTGCCATTACTTTCAGTGGCAAAACCACAATTACTTTTGCATGAACCTAATAAATCTAAAGAAAAGTCTGTATTCCAAGAAAAAGAACACAAATGACACAGGTTGGAGCAAGCGTTAAAGCAGCCATGGCTAATGGAAATGGAACCAAATTTTGCAGTTCAGGCCATCAGTTCTGATAAAAAATAAGGCTTTGCAGCATATCTCAAGTGTCTATTTTGTATGGGGTCAGAAACTTATAGCATGTTAATGACATGACTCAAACCGTTAACATGATAAAAGAAAAAAATTAAATACAAAGTATTAAAAAAAGAGAACTTCAGCCTATAAAGCCTAGAACATTAAATATTCTTTCTTTTTCAGTCATTCGATATGAAACTTGTTATGTTGCCTCTCTTAACAGAATACTGTTAAGTATCTTTTCATCCAATTAACTCCTTTTACTTGAATTTTTATTCACAATCAAACTTCTCATTATTATAGTATAGCTCTGCCTGTAGTGAGAAAAATAGCTTATTATGTACATCCATGCAAGTGTTTCATTTTATGTATTATTTAAAACAATTAATTGATCCTCTGATTTTATGGGCTGGTGTGGAGGAGGAGGGATGGGCACCTACATGCATTAATAGAGCAAAGGAACAATGATATTAATGTATAATGAAGAGAACTTAAGGCCAAACAATTAAGTTGATATGAAGTTTTCCATGGACAATTGTATTGTTTGTAAACACTTACCCATATAATAATATAGCATTGCAATATGTAAAACAAAATGAAATTTTTAGGAAATGATTTTAAGATACATTTTTAAGTCATTTGCAAACAATTTAAACCAAAGGAAAACATGGATATAGCATATTTAAATAATGTAATCAGTAACATACATCTTATGTGAAATCTTATAAAAGATGTACAAATATTCTTCTCTAATGGAGCTTTTGTACAAATTGACATACTAAACCATACAGAAAAATCTGTCATGAAATTTTAGTGCCAATGTTCCCAGGCCACATTGGAATAAATTGAGAGATAACAACAAATAGAAAAAAAACTCAAAAATATTTTAGCTCCAAAATATTTTTTAAACTATTTTTTAAAATTTCAACACATCGAGTAAGAAATAAGAGCTGCAATGGCATATTACTCTAAAAATGAAAACAGTCACAGAATTATTTTTCCCAAAACTTGTAAATAGCCAAATTTTATTCAGAACAATATAACTTTAAATGTCTCTATTATTTGAAGAAAGACATAAAAATGTATTTCTCTGAGCTGCACAAGACCCAGAATGCTCTACCAACAGTATATTTAAATACTGAAGCAACAGATTCTAGGCTATTTAAACTCTTCCAGGATATAAAAATAAGTAAATAAATAAATATATTAAAAACAGCTTAAAATTCCTTTTGAGAAGCTCATGTTAACAAAAAGAAAATTAAAAATAAATTATTATTCAAAAACAAAACCAAAAATTACAACTATTAAAAAATTCAATTTAGTAAATTTAAAAAGGAGTATAAAATAGGATCAGGAAGAGGTTACTCTAGAACTTAAAGAATAATTCAATATTAAGTCACATTTTTCATCATATCAGTAAATCAGATGAAAAAAAAGTTGACCTTATGAATAGAGGCCAAAATAGTGTTTGATTAAATATTGAATTCATTCTTGATGTAAAATAGTATAAAAATAAACATTTAAAATATAAGTGTAAAAATAACAAAGAACATATAACTTGACCCAGTCAATATTATGCATATTGGAAGAAAACAAAAGCTTTTCATAAATGTGCTGTTACTTCTCTAAGAAAAAAAATTGGAAGGAGGAGGATAAAAGAAGGAAGAGTGGTAATTTGACAGTGTCTTAGATTCGAAGAAGTACTATTCATAGCTGTTAAAATCTTGTCCATAAATAGAATATTTTCTCAGCTAATCACATGCAGGATTACATGCAGGAGTACATGCAATCAGGGCCTATGCATCTATCCTTTCTGAACTTTCTTCAGTGTTTAAATACAAGACTAGATGAAAGAGGTAGAAATTACTGAAAGTAGAATTTCCCTCCACACATTTTCTTCTTAACAAGAAAGAAGATCCCTTACCAAATTGTTAGCTGAAAAAAATCAGTATTTCCAAGAAATGTATATATTTGTGTTAATTAAGCTAATTGTTTTCTTAATACATACTGTGAAATGTAATAATCACTGATCTATCTATAAGAGTAAATTACAACATTTTATAGCCCCTGTCTAATTACAAATTCTCTTAAAAGCTTTGGAAGCTTTTGGAAATTAAAACCTTTGGAAATTCTCTTAAAACCTTTGGATTCAGAGAAATCTGATGAATTTTGACTTCAGCATAAAATATATTGTTTAACATGTATGACATCAACAAATTAAAATCAGGTTATAAAAATAGGAACCTTAAAGGGGTCAAATCTCAATATATTTCCAAAAACCAAATGTTTCTGCTTAAAGAAGAAAACTTTTACTTCTGATTTTAAAAAGAAAACATGAATCTTAAAATAGTTACACTAGGCTCCCAAAATGTTATTGTATGATTATAGGAGTTTATTTTTGCACCTTTGAAAGTGTATTTTGATAATATATTTTAAACAGAAATGCTTTGTGCTAGTGCTTTGTGTGAGTATAGTGACTACTTCAGACTCAAAGTTATGTTGAAGTGATGAAAAAGATATTGTATTTTGAACCCTTGACATTCTTGTTTACAGAATTGGCATCAGCTATTGTCTTAGTCCATTTAATATTGATATAAAGGAATACCTGAAGCTGGGTAATTTCTAAGGAAAAAAGACTTATTTCGTTCACTCTTCTTACAGTGGGAAAGTTCAAGATTGGGCATCTGCATCTGGTGAGGGCCTTAGGCTGCTTCCACTCATGGTGAAAGGCATCAGCCAGTACAGAGATCACCTGAAGAGAGAGGAGGCAAGAGAGAGAGGGGGAGGTGCCTGGCTCTTTTAACAATCAGCTCTTGTAGAAATTAAGAGGGGGAACTCATTCACCCTGAGGGAGGGCATTAATCCATTCATGAGAGATCTGCTCCGATGACCTAGACACTCTCAATAGGCCTCACCTCCAACATTGGGGATCCAAGTGAAACATGAGGCAAAGGACAAACTTCCAAACCATAGCAGCTAGTTATATCATCTAGAACATCCAGAAGATATCTGATCACTTACAAGTACCCTGGTTTCTAGTCTTCGAAGCCATGTATTGGGACACATTGTAATACGTGGTACCTTCCAGTTGTTGGGGTTTTTGTGATATACAGAGCTTTTGAACATTTTTTCAGGTTTAGAATAAGTAACTGTGCATCAACTTTGTAATCTAACTTGGTGCCCTCCTGCTTTGACTGAAAGTCTCTCTTCCTGATTCCATCATAGACAAAACTGAAAGAAGCCACAGAACACATTTGCTTTGGCATTTGTCAAGACTTCCTAACTTTTTAAGTAAAATAAATTTTAAAGCAGAATAAAAAAGTATTTGACTCATGGACTCTTGAGAAATCCAGTATATGATCCAGTGTCTTCACAGTGTGACTATAATGTCAATTAAACTTAAGAGGAATTAACAAAATCTGTAGTTAATTCAAATGTGATGTGGAGTAAAAGTGACAAAAGCAAGTGACAAAAATATCATTTTATTTAAATATGAAACACAATATAATATATTTTTATTGATAACTTTATTATGAAATTATGAAAATATGCACATTGAAAGTATGAACACCAAGTTTGTAATATTGGGGCAAAGGGAGATCTAGATGTGGACAGAAATCTGGAAATGGTTTTACATTTTGTAATACGCTAAAAAGGAATATACATCTACTTATGTATTTGTGTGAGTATGTGTATGTTTGTATGTGTTCCGAGATAGCACATATAGTTATGTATAGTAATTACACAGATAGATTGATAGGATTAAGAGTATAGGCTTTTCAGCCTGATTTGTTGAATTTGAAGCCTCTTCTCCTAGCTTTGGGGAAAATATTTGGGAGCAATATTCATTATCTCTTTAGGAGAGGATTAGAATTCTCTACCCCATTCATATCTATCTTCTCCTTTCAACTTGCTTTGATCAATGAACTGTGAGGGAAATTGACATCTGTCTCCTGAGCAAAATCTTGTGAAACCAGCATGTCCTTCACATTTCCCTCTCCTCCTGTGTTTGTGATCATGGAAACAAGTGGAGATAGAGCCTCAGTCAGCTTGGATCCCTGAGTCATTATGATGCACAAACTCCACTGCAATGCACATGTAGCATGCGTGAGAAATGAGGCTTTTGTGTTTTAAGTCACTGAGGCTATTGTTTTATATACAATTGTAGCATAAGCTAGCTTAGTCTGACAGATACAGATGCATTGCTATTGTACTTTTTACATGTCTAAATTAGAATAAGTTTAGAAGACTGGTGTGTTGTTGCTAAATGAATATAAACTCTCATGCATTGTTTTCCAGCAATCAGACCTTATCAGATCTGAGCACTTAGGATACAAATACATGCATTTCAGTCTGTTCTCAAAGTGTGAATAAAGTAGGGGGTGAAGAGAAAAGTAGTCACGTGAAAAAAATAAATAAAAATATGTTTTATAACAGGATGTTAAGTGCATTTTCTTCAGTGATGTCCGTTATTCTTTTGATACTCCACAGTAAGGACAATGGGCATTAGCTGAAGAGGACAGACCATCTCATCTGACTTCCCAGTCGGGGTGGTCTCGGAGCTGATTCTGCAAACCTTAGCCCATAGGCACCTCCAAACAAGAGCATCTGCAAAGAGGAGGCCAGGATATTGAAGAAATGAAATTGGTGGGGTTTTCCTTGAAGAGAATTGTGGGCAAATTGTGCTCCTCCCCCTTCCTTGGACCCCTCCTCCCCCACCACCTCAAGAAGAGTGAAAGCGGCATCCAAAGAATGGCTTAATGAGCAGAAGCCGGGGCCGGGCGCGGTGGCTCTTGCCTGTAGTCCCAGCACTTTGGGAGGCTGAGGTGGGCGGATCACAAGGTCAGGAGATCGAGACCATCCTGGCTAACAAGGTGAAACCCCGGCTCTACTAAAAATACAAAAAAATAAGCTGGGTGTGGTGGCGGGCGCCTGTAATCCCAGCTACTCGGTAGGCTGAGGCAGGAGAATTGCTTGAACCCGGGAGGCAGAGGTTGCAGTGAGACGAGATAGCGCCACCGCACTCCAGCCTGGGCTACGGAGCAAGACTTCGCCTCAAGAAAAAACAAACAAACAAAAACCCAACAACAACAACAAAAACAAAACAAACAAACAAAAAACACCAGAAGCCCTGGAGTTGAGGAGACAGGAACAGGGCGTGACTCTTGTTGACTGGAGTCCTCTCTGTGAAAGAAGTTGGAGTGTTTTGTGTGATGGAGCGCAGGCAGAACGACATGATCAGAAGAGTCCGTAATTCTATAGAGAGGCAGAGGTAGTGGGATTTTCGTGTAGGAAGAGTTTATCTCATGGGAGGTAGCAGTACTGTAGACATCTTAAGAGACTCAGCCCCAGAGAACTGGCTCCGGGTAAGGTGACTGAGAGCCGCCTGTGCCAGGGGCACTTCGGGAAGCGTCCGCCCTGGGGGACTCGGTGCCCTGGGAGGCTGTCCCTTACACAATCACCATCCAAGGGGTGATTAAAGGGGCAGAATTTGGGAATTTTTCACAGAAGCCCCAGTCCAGAAAGATCTGGCCTTTTCTTCAAATCCTCTCTCACTCCTGTGCCTGACCTTAAGGTCAGCTAGAAAGCAGGTAAGACTGGAATAAAGAAAGAAGAAAAGTGGATGTGCTACTCCCTACTCCTCTGCAAGCCTGGAGAGCCTCGAATCAAGCCTGGGAGTGGGACGGGGAGCTGGAAATGAAGTTATTTTAGACTAGGTTGCACTTTTTTCCTTTTTTTTGCAAACATACAATGCATAAGTCAAGAATTCTAAATGTACAGCTGGATGACTTTTTTCTTATCTCCACCCATGTAAACCCTAGCCAGAACTTCTCAGGAAACAAACAATAACCTGACTTCTATCACTTTAGATGGCTAACTCTTCTTGAGCTCTCCATAAACGGAATTATGCATTATGAAATCTTTTGTGGCTGGCTTCTTTCCCCCTACATTATGTCTGTGGGTGTCATGCTGAGGGTCGTGTGGTCGGCAGTGTATTTTTACTGCTGTATAGCTCCCCGTGGTGGGAATGTATCACCACTGGCTTATCCATTCCATTAGTGATGGATGGATTGTTTTTAGGCTTTGACTATTAGGGATTAAACTACTATGAACATATTTGTATGTGTGCTTCTCACGGGTAAAGTGCATAGGAGTGGACTTGCTGGGTCACAGAAGACCACATTGAACATTCGTAATGTAGGGAAAGGCAGTCTCATACTCACCCCCACTCAGCTACGTAAGAATGGGCTTGGGCCTGGAACACTTCCTTATCAAGAGATAGAGTCCTCGCAGCTTGACCTGGGCTTGTCACCTTGTGTGGGACTATCTTTCCCTGCTTCTGAGTCAGTGTGTGCACTCCTTTGTTCTGATTAAGTGAATGTATGAATGGTTCTCCCCAGCTTTTCGTATTTCAGATCCCACAGCTGCGGGAGGGAATGGGAAAGGTGGGTTTTGGGGAGGGGATTCTTTTACTGCAGCATAAAGTGGGATGCCTGCAGCCATACTGCCCACCTTGGCTTTGGAGTGGATCTGCTGCCTATGGGGGACTGGCACGTTTCAAGGGACTGGATCTTGTAAACACTCTCTCTCTCATTTTGGTGTAAGTAAACACTGTACCACTTGAGCCTGCTAGGCGTCTTGTCTGCTCTCAGTGACCTCAAATCATGCACTGGTCTCTCCCCTGGGCGGCGCTTCTTCCCCTGTTAACCTTGACCACATTTGACCACATTCTTGTGATAGTCTATCCTGCAGCACAACCTGACCACCCAGTGAACACTGAAACAAGTAGATCCTGCTAAACAATTTTCCTAGGTTCATGTAAAACTTTATACTGTAGTCAGCAGTGTATGAGAGTTCCAGGTGCTCCACTTCCTCACATATTAAATTTTACATTGAATAGTCTTTTAAGTTTGAGTCATTGTGTAGTGGTGTCTCATTGCATTTCCCCAATAAGTAATGATGTCGTATTGACCGTGTGTGTGTGTGTGTGAGTGTGTGTGTGTGAAGTTCCTTTTCTAGTCTTTTGACCACTTTGACCATTTTTATTGAGGAGCTTCTTTTTATATATTCAGGACACAAATCCTTAGTTATATATATAGTAATTTTCCCCAGTGTGTGCTTGAGATTTTCACTCTCTAAATGGGTGTCTTTTGATGAGCAGAAATTGTGAATTTTAGGAAAGTTTAATTTATCAATTATAGTTATAGTTGTGTACAGTTTGGAAAATCGTTGCCTATCCCAATGTTATAAAAATAATGTCCTATGTTCTCTTTTAAGAGGCTACATGATTTTACATTTCTCACCAAGGTCTCAGATCTAGTTGATGTGATTTTTGCAAATCACAGACTCGCTTTTGTATAGGGTATGAGGAGGGGTCAAAATAAATTTTTCCTCATAGATATCCAGTTGATCCAGCACCTTTTATTGAAAAGGCCATTCTACACACTAAATTGTAGTAGTTCTTTTGTCAAAAATCAGGTGACTATATATAGAAACGTCTGTTTCTGATCTGTTTTCTGTTTTATTATTCTGTGTGTCCATGCTTGTTCTAACACCTTACTGTTTGATGTACTTTAGCTTTATAGTAAGTTTTGATATTTAATCATGTAAATCCTCAAACTTTGTTCTCTTTCAAAGTTATCTTGGCTATTAAATTCTTGGTATTTCCAAATATAGTTTTAAAACAGTGTCAGATAATGCTGCTTTTGTATTACTTAAAGGTGAAATACTCAGTACCTGAACACAATGACAAATTCTATGATCTGAAACTAACCTCTGGGTGTGGGAATTTGAAAGTTAGTGGATAAAGAGAGTAGCTATGTTTTCTGCTTTCATCTCACTAAATCTAGTTTATTTAACAATCAGATTGCAATAACATAATAAATTCTATAGTAAGATTGTATATAATTAGCTATATATTGGAAGAGGAGGAAAAAGTTATAACTGTGAGTGCTGATGAAGCTAACATTTTACATGCATTTTGAAGTGTGAATAAACATTAAACAGGAAGAAAGGGCAGGAAAAGAAATGTACTTATTTCATGGAATAAGATGTAAGAGATGTGAAAGAAAAATATGAGAAATGTAATCAGTAATGCTTTAAAAAAAAGAAAGTAGGGAAGCCGTTAATCTACCGTGGCTGTTACATTGATGTTCAAAATGAGAACTAAAGCCATATTCAACTGCAGCCTCCCACACTTTTATCATACTTTTCTTATATCTGTTCGTTCTTTCTTTCTTCTTTTTTTTCGGAGTCTCGCTCTGTCACCCAGGCTGGAGTGCAGTGGCACGATCTCGGCTCACTACAACCTGCACCTCCCGGGGTCAAGCGATTCTCCTGCCTCAGCCTCCTGAGTAGCTGGGATTACAGGCACGTGCCACCGTGCCCAGCTGATTTTTTGTATTTTTAGTAGAGATGGGGTTTCACCATGCTGGCCAGGCTGGTCTCAAATTTCTGACCTTGTGATCCCACCCACCTCAGTCTTCCAAAGTTCTGGGATTGCAAGCATGGGCCACCGCGCCCAGCCTTGGATCTGTACTTTCTAACAGAGCACCACAACTAGCATTTCTAACAAATGCTGCAAATCTTAAAGACAATTGTGTTCAGCATAATCTAAGAATACAGAGCATAAAGGCCTATTTTAGAAAAAATATTAAAAGCATAATGTTAAAATTCAACACTTATTTTTAGAACCTACTGTGTGCCAGGCACTTTAAAAAATTCTTTTAATACAAGGATGAGCAAAATTGGCGAAATCTCTGCCCCTGTGGAGTGACCATTCTAATGAAGAAAACAGTAAGCAAGTTAAGAAGCAAATGCATAGTATAGTGTTAGGTTGTGATAAGGGCTATGAGGAAAAAATGAAGTGTGGTTGAATATAGAATGACACAATGTGTGTGTAGAGAGAGTATTGTTGGAGAGAAGGCTCAGACGTGAAAGAAATGATGAAAGAACCACACCAATATCTGGGGCAAGAGGGAATAGCCAATCAGAAGCCTTAAGGTAGCAAGAGCTGGGAGGTTTAATAAACGTCAAGAAAAATAGTGCAAAAGTGATATAGAGTGGCAGAGGGAAAAGTAGTAAGTAACAGATACAAAAGATGAGCAGGACCTAGATTCCCTGTGGCCTAGGAGATAATGATGAAGACTTATGGATTTGTTTCATGTGATGAAAATCTGTTATAGAATTTGAGTAGGAAATGATGTGATCTGATCTATGTTTTTGAAAGAATCGTTTTGGCTCTTGTTTGGAAAATAGCCAGGGATTGAGGTGGTGAAAAAAAATAGTAATGGAAGTAAAGGGAACAGTCAGAAGTGACTGCAGTAATTTAGAAGAGAGATAATGGAAGCATAGCCTGGGGTAGTAGCTACAAAAAAGGTGAGAACTCGATTTAGGATGTGTTGTGAAGATAAAGTTGACAGGCTTTGCCAATGGAATGGACGTGGAGTGTGTAAGAAATAGGGAATCCAGGCTGATTTTTAAATTGAGGGCCTGAGCCACTGGATAGTTAGAGATGATATTTCCACTAAGACTGGAAGTGAGGGGAAGCACCATATTTGGGGCAGGGAGGAATCAAAGTTTCTGTTTGGAGTGGTTAAATTCAGAATGCTTCTCAGGTGTCCCAGGAGAGGTGTTAATTTGGCAGTCAGGTGTCTGAATCTGCACACAGAGGGGAGGTCAAAGCTGGACGTGTTAGTTTAGAAATAACCAGCATTTGGGTAAGATTTAAACCTATGACATAGGATAAAATTATCTAGAGAGAGCATTTACTCAGACAGCTCTCAATATTCAGGAACACAAGCCTAGCCAGACTGGCTCAGGATAAATACAGTTTTATGTAGAAGATGAATAGGTGTCCATGTAGAACCAAAGTGAAGGCACAAATAAATACAAGTCTATCATCTCTCTTGGTTACACAGAGTACATGAGGCAGTAAAGGATAAGGATTAAGCTCTCAACATGTGAATGTCTTGAATTCAGACTTCAAACAGAACTGAATTTGAATCTGTTTCCCACCAGCCAAATGAGGGTTTGGTGACGATGACCATGATGATGACAATGACTTACATTTCTTAATGTTTCCCCTATGTGTGTTGGACTTTTAAACTTGATCCAGTACAGGTAGGAAAAGGAAATTCACATTAGTTTTTATGTGAGATATATATATATATGACACACATGTATATACACCACACACATATACACACACACACGCACACACACACACGCACACAGACAGAGACGGGGTCTGTGTGTGCTGCCCAGGCTGGTCTCAAACTCCTGGGATCAAGTAATCCTCCTGCCTAGGTCTCCCAGAGTGCTGGGATTACAGGCATGATCCACTGTGCCCTGCCCTAAATATATATTTTTATATAGCAGGAAATCAAAAAAGAACATGAGGATTACAAATTTTAATCACAGAGGGAAAGATTTTGTGAGATAGCATAATTTCATGTTCAGACAGCAAGTCTTTAGCTAATTCTTTAATTAAAGCTGTGACAAAACCATTTTTTTAAAAAATGTTTTTGTGACACCTTTACCTGTGAAGTTTTGAAAGATCTGCACTTGGTAAATTTAGCATCGTTTAATTTTTCTTTTTCCTACAGTAATTACAAAATTCTGGAGGGAGGAAAAAAATGTAATATTCTCCAGGAATGAGAAGGGAAGATAATACTTTGAGCTATACTAGACATAATCATTTTTGTACATGCACTTTCAGAAGAGGTCCCATGCTGTGGACTGAAGTTGAAATGAAACACAGTAATTGTCTCCAGCATTAAATACCCATAGGCATATTTTTACAAGAACATACATTAGTATATGCCTGCTAGATACATAACAATGTGTGAGTATATTTTAAGAGAATCTTAATATGACTAAAAAATAGCAATCAAATTGTTCACAATTTCAGGCTCAAAATTGAAAAGAAGAGGAAATTTTTTTACTAAAAAAATTATATACACAGAGACAGTGATGCGAAGTTGAGCACTAATGCAAATTAGGATGAAATATGAGAAGTAATCAGTTCCAACCATTTGCCTAGCTTCTCCTCACTTCTGCCCTTCCCTAGCAGGGGTGAGCTAAAGTTTTTATCTCGTATGGAGATGGGAAATGACAGAGAGTGAAAGGCTAGTGGGAAAGTTGCAGGCACCCCCTTCTCTAAAAGCAGGAGGCTGTGGGTGAGTACTGCAATTTTGTTTTTCTAATTTGTTCTTGAGGTTTCTCTCTGGAAAATGAGTATGAATTCTAACCCTGCATTGACAGGGCTCCAGTGATTTGGTCATGGATGTCTACAGTGACTTCTTTATCCTAGTGGATGGCCTAATGCCTAAGTGTTGCCTAATGCCTAAGCGTTCAACCCATGACCAGGTGTCCCACTCACAGGAAACATGCTTATACCAGCAGGCCCCCTTGTGGCTCTTGTCTGACCTATGCCCAGTTTATTTCTACCAAGATATCCATTGTGTAAGAGAGCTTTCCCTTGGAAAGAAGTTAGATTCAGGTGTGTCAGTCAGATGAGATGCAGAGGAGGCAATGCAACTAAAACCATATAATAATAGAAGGAGTTTATTACTTACAGATTAGAGAAAAGGGCAGCCCTCCTTGTAGGGCCAATGGGTAGGGGGAGCCATTCTAGACATACATGCTCAACCAGAACCAGAAAGTGGAGAGCAAAAGAGAGAGTGAGGGGCCTGTGTGCTAAAGCTTTTATTGGACTCCAAGATATTATCCAGGTGGGTTTCCATGGGAGTTCTAATTTGCAAGTTTAAATTAGACAAGCTGGTGCAAAACAAGCTGGTGCAAGTTCTATGTGGCCATGCTGTTAACCGAGACGTTGTCACTGCAGCATATCTGTGCAGTCTATGGGGGATGGAGGAGTCAGTGGGGTAAGCCAATAGGTGATATCTAGCTATCTTTTAGGGAAGATGGTCAACAGGGGGCAATTGTATAAGGCACATATCTGGATTACCACATTAAGGAACTGGGATGAAATAGAGAACTGGAAATTGTGCCAAGGGTGACTAAGCCCTGTTTCTTGTATGAGAAAGTCCAACTTATATTCAAAGTGAATGCCAAGGCAACATAAAATTACAGGAATTCACTACCATGCATCCCCATGCTCCTGAATTTTTAAGTCCAAACTCCCTATATCTAGCTGATAATATGGGTGCCAAGTAATATGGAAATTCCTGGAATTTCTGCTGCTAATTGGAAGTCCCAGCCCATTTCATTCAAGGTAATTTATCTTTGGGTCCAATGTCAGCATTTTATGACACTTAGATGCTCTCATCAAAGATGTGTGTATGAAATGGCTTAAGGAGAAAATAGACACAGAACAGCCTGCCTTCGCCCTGTAACAGGGCTCTCAGGTAGGTCCAGCCCACCCTGGGGCTTGGAGTGATTTCAGATACTCTGAATGCCTCTGGTTCCCAAACTGCCATGGGCTTGCTGGTGGAAAAAAACAGACCTTGATACCCTTACTATGAATTATATATATGATTGGCTAACTGAAAGCAAAACCATAATGGAACATGACTGCAGACAGGTATATATTCTCCAGGGGGCCCGTGTTTCGTTGGGGCAAACACATCTCACCAGGTGAATGGCCTCAATGGCTGGAGGCAGCATGAACTCTAGACTTTTGGATACTTGGATAATTTATTAGGAACAACGGCAGACAGAGTTGAAGCTAGTCTTTGAGAATATTCCCTACAAGCCAGCACAGACCAAAATCTTTCAGGTATAAAATTCTCTTTTTTCTTACTGTAGTATATCTTTGGCAACAGGGGTACACAGATCATGGAAAACTTAAGAATGTAAGTTACATTTTAGTAGCTCCATTTGCTTCCAGGAGTAAGGTGGAATATATATGTGTCCGAAGAGCTTTCTTAATTGGATGTAAGCTTACCCTGATCTACTTTAGTCCAGATTCCTTGTTATTAAGCTTTTTATTGCTGCAGCATATTCTCTAAATATAATTTACTCATGATGATAATTAATCAACATTACAGAAGAAAGCTATAAATGTAAGGTGATAATATAAAATATATATTTCTATGTCATATATTACATAGTAAATAAAACACATACTAAATCAAAAGTAATATAATAAAATAAAAATAGATATAGGCTAAAATATATATGTACACATAAACATTTAGTGTAAATGTGCATATAAAATGAGAAAAAGGAAAAACATTAAAATAATACTGTAGGTAGGTAGGGGGATTGTTTAATTTTTCACATATTCCAAAATCTTTAATTACTATTTTATAACTTACACAAATTGTAGAATAACTTCTCTTGTTTAGTAACAGCATAGAGGGGAGAGAGGGGAGTAAAACTGGCAGAAATGGGTATGTTTGATCAATGTTGATCCTTCAAACTACAGTGATCCACTTCTGAGAATGAGGAGCTCACATTTAATGAAGGAGTAAGCCAGGTTCTTACAGAGTATGAGATTCAGCTTCTCCTATCATGACGCGGGGTCAGGCTCTGGGCCAGGAGAGCAATGGCCAGCTTTGGAAGCCATATCTCAGGTCACATTCAAAAGCACACATTTTCAAGTCTTTTCCTAATGCTGCTTTTGTCACATTAGAATGAAATTTGCCCTCTGAGTTGAAATATTCTATAAAAAACACAATCTTGCTTAAGTTAAAATTTAAATTTAGCTTCTCTGACAGCTGGGATGTGAAGAGACAGTGAAGAGATTCCGACTTTTGGCATTGTCAGCAGTTTCCCCTGAGAGTGGAGTTCTGTCTTTCTGCAACCTGCAGCTCTCGCTTTCCTGCTGTGACTGAGCCAGTGGGATCGTCGGCCAGGAGAGGGCGGCCTCACCCAGTGAGACATAAATCCAGAAGCTCCCTATGAAGGCACTAGGAAGGTGAAACGCAATCATCACCTACACTTGCTCTGCTTTCTGCGTTTTCAGCATTCCACCTTAGAGCGTCAGGCTTAACTTTGGAGGTGTTAAATTTCCATGTGTCCATGAAACACTACAAGTATTATTTCAGCAGCTTGGAGAAATCCCAAATACAAGTCAGGAAGTTACCTCCGTCAGAGGCTTGCGGCCTCACCCTTGCATTGGGTCTCAGAGAAAGCTTCCTTTCTGTAAGACATTCCAATCATCACACTGTGGCTAAAAGGCCAAATATAGGAGAGATATTTGCCCAGATATAGCAAAGCTGATGTTGGTTTGCCTAGGCAATTTAATAAATGATGATTGTATGCAGGTGTTGGCTAAATAGCCGTAGACTACATAACTACATAACTACATAAGTTAGATAACTTATGAGGTCTGTTGGAGAGATTGGGAAAGTGGGTGTGTGGGGATGTTTGGCACAGCTTGGGGCTATGGCTATAAGAACCTGAGTCTAGGATTTGCCATAGAATATTCTGTAAGCAAAAAAGACACCTACTTCTCAGTTATAATTCTCATTAGGATTTTTGTAACTTTTTTTTAAGCTGTGAAATCCACAGCTGTGTAACTCTGAGAAAAATCAATTAACCTGTCTGAACCTAGGTTTCCTCAAATACATTCAGTCTGCACTCCCAGGACCTCACTTTAAGAGAAACCTGAATCTCTTGAGCACAAGCATTTGGATGGGTGTTATTCCCTTCCTGCACACCTGCTGTGCTTCAAAGAGAGAACTTATGTAACCTTTTTCCTCATGTATCCCTGCTTTGAAATCTGTAAATTTCTATCTTTCTCTACCCCTTTCTGATTTCTTTTGATTATTATTTCCAACTTCATTGATTCCTTCAAACTACTTTCCATCCACTAAATATTTCTAATGAGCCCCGTAAATTTTTCTTTACCACTGTGGAAAAATGTAAAATACTTTTTGTTCTCAACAAAGGATTGCCAACCCCATCTAGCAGTAAAAGGAAGAAGAAAAAGCGTGACACATTAAAAACAGTAAGCATTGATTTCTCTGGCTCTACCTACAGACCTGTTACCATGAGGCCTTTAGTCCATCTTCACCGCCGCTTCTCCTGCGTTTGTCTTTTAAAGTTTCAGGGGACTCTCACAAATAGGGTCTTACTCAGAGCCTCCTGCTGCTGATGATTGGCATTGTTGAGCCAGTGGGGCTGGTTCCTGTGGCTCCTCCTGGCCAGTTGTCCACTGCAGGTGTCACGGATCCAAGAATTACCTCTGCTGGGCACCTCCCTCCCACAAAATGGCACCCTGCTTCCAGGACATGCTGAGTCCTATCTCAAGGCATTCTTGGTCTTCCCTTAATGTTCCAGAGTAATGTTTTATCTAAAACATTCCTGTGTTGAAGCTCAGTAAATGTCAGCACAAGTGGGCAGAAGTGTATTGCTTTGGGTAGTGAACTCTCTCCGTGCTCTCCCCAGACCCCTTCTTATCAACTTTACCAGCCATGTGCATGCATCCTGTAGCTTCTCTGTGCTTTCTTCCAAATGGTCTGCCCCTGTGACCTTCTTCAGAGGCTGACCTTGGGCCAGTCCAACCCTCCCAGAGAGAGCCTGGAATGCCTGGTAGTGTAGATCTGTCTAGGGAAGCCTATAGCCAATGACTGTGCAAGATTCTGAAAGCCTAACTCCCTTTCCTCAAAATGGGGCAAATTCTGACATAATTTATGGTCTAGAGCTCCCCAAAAGGTCTGGCTGAGGCCAGGGAGTTGGCTAAAATTGTGCCTTTCTCTGTTCTTCATTTCCTTTTCTCTTGCATTCTTCTCCTGGCCCTTAATAAATACCTTGTTCATGATCTGTGTCTCAGAGTCGGCTACTGGAAGTCCAGCCTAAGGTATTTGGTCAGGAGGGCACAGATGATTTTTGGAGGCAGATTCTGAGGATGGGATTCTAGAATTAAGTCACCAGCTAAATGGCAATAAATACCCCATCACAGTGGGTATATGGAGCCCAGAGGTGCCCTGACACACTAGAGCATTGCAGTTGCTAAAACTTTCACCTGGAGCAAATTAAGATAATGTTACGGGTTGAATTATGTAACCTCAAAAGATGTTGAATTTCACCCCCAGTACTTGGGAATGTGATATTACTGGGAAATAATACATTTGCAGATAATCAAGTTAAAATGATATCATTAGGGTGGGCCATAATTCAATATCACTGTTGCCCTCACACAAAAGTGAAATTTGAACACGGAGACATACGTGCTTAGAAGAAAGATGGTGAGAAGACACAGGGCATCAACAAGAACAATTAGAGGCCAACGGGGAGGTCATGGAACAGATTCTTCCCTATGGTTCTCAGAACCAACCTTGCCGATACCTTGATTTTGGACTTCTAGTCTCCAAAACTGTGAGGCAATAAATTCCTCATGTTCTATGCCACCCAATTTATTGTATTTTGTTTTAGAAGCTCTAGGAAACTAATACAGATGGGATTCTGACAGAAGGGGTGTGCTAGATTGTGCAATTTTCTTTGGCTTTTGAAGGTACAAGGTAAATGGTCATTACAAAGGCTGTGGATGGGTCCCATGATAAACGGAAAGGAGAAAAGGGCAGACTTCAGTTGGTCAGCATAAGGCAAAGTGAGAAAGTCAGAAAATCCCTTGGCAGCTCTTAAACAAACCATCTTTTTCTACAGCCAAGGGAGACCATGCTGAAGACCAGGCCAGGACCAACTATCAGAACAGTAGAACTTTGGTGGCTCATGCCTGTAATCCCAGCACTTTGGGAGGCCGAGGCAGATGGATCACCTGAGGTCGGGAGTTCAAGACCAGCCTGACCAACATGGAGAAACCCCATCTCTACTAAAAATACAAAATTAGCCAGGCATGGTGGCACATGCCTGTAATCCCAGTTACTCGAGAGGCTGAGGCAGGATAATCCCTTGAACCCGGGAGGCAGAGGTTGCAGTGAGCTGAGATCGTGCCATTGCACTCCAGCCTGGGCAACAAGAGCGAGACTCCATCTCAAAAACAAAAACAAAACAGTGGACCTTAAGGGAAACCTAGTTTACGTCCTCAGCAATCCCATGCAACAACCAGGACCTTGGTAAGGAAGAAATGGCATCTTGAGACTTGGAATCAGAAAATGTGAATAGATGCCACTGAGAAATGTGAACCTGCAGCTGTCCCTGCATCCTCTGGGCCTGCAGAATGGGCCCACGTCTTCTTTCTAGATGGCAGAGTTCTCTTGCTTGAAGATTGTAAGCAAGTATACAAATGTAAGCAGAGAAGCCTAACAAGAGATTAATTTTGTGGTTTATATCCTTTATTAGGCCTTAAGTCCAAAATGTTTATTCGACCTTACAGTTCTGTCTTTGAGAGAAAAGAGAGATATGTTAAAGTTCTCACTTCACGAGATTTGTAACCATAGGCAAGCTACTTAATGGATTTGAGTCTCAATTTTCTTATCTGACAAAAAGTGGTTAATGACACCATAATGTATGCAATGTAAAACGACTTCTCCAAGAGGGTGCTTGGCAATTATAATCTATTAAATTTTTCCTAACTTCAAAAGTCCCTGATTCTAATAATGGATAAGATGTCTACCACCTAGTAAAGAGCCCTGCTGAAAGGTAGCCAGGCCGGGGATATGGAGGGAAGCTTTCCTTTTTATCTTTTTCTTTTTATCCATTGAGAGGGAGATGAAGTCAACAGCTGTTGAAACAAACAAGCTCACTTAGTGAGTTGAATAATATCAGACTATTGCTCAAATGAAAAGAGCAGCTGGCTTTTTACCAAGGCATCATTGTCAAACACACCCTCACGTTTGGGATCATTAGAAATTTACATGGGGTGAATAGCCTTGGAAAACTATATTTACTTTTTCATAAATCATCAGAAAAATGCTAGCATACTCTCAGTGAGATAAGAGATGAAAAAAGAAACACACACACACAGTAGCAGCAGTGGCAGCAGATGTGTATTTTTCATGTGAATGTGAAGAAAACTGCTGGAAATAAATTTAAGCTTTCCTGAGACAAAGAAGTGGCAGGCATTCAAAGGAAGATAGATGCTTGAAGGAAAATGGAGAAGTGAAGCAGAGAAAAATGTGATCTATTTAAAAGCGTAAATTAGTTCTAATGTTTTAGATAGAACTAATTATTCCTAGGCCTGCTAAGAAGTACAACCTCGGGATGTTAGCATTTCAGACCTAAGAGTACCTAAGTGTTTGCCTTCCAATTGTATTAAGTTTACCTTTGCCTGATTGCAAAAATGCAGTACAGAATGTACATAAGATATAAATAACAAGAAAAATTCATCACCTCACAATCTAGTGAAAATTAAATGACAGTTATAACAGTGTAATAATTCCTTTTTGTATTTTCTATACATTTTGATACAGTGGATATCAAATAGTAGATAAAGTTTTGAACCCTGGCTTTGTTATTTGATATTATCTTATGACATTTTTCAGTGTCATACCCAAACACTTCATAGACATTATTTTTAATGACTGCACAATGTTCCCTGGCATGATTGTTCATAGTCACTATATTCCCTAAAAATGGAAATTTTGTTTTAAGTGTACAGTATTATAAGTATAAAGTTATGCAGTAACCAAAATTTAATTTACTTTTTTAGGTTATAAAACTAATACATGTTATGGAAAATATGGAGAATAAAGAAAATTACAGTAAATCAAAAACAAGTTTATCTCCATTTCTTTCCTTCCTAGGTTAATCACTTGTAACACTTTAGTTTATTTTTTCCAGGTTCCAGAAGTCTTTCTGCCATCTTTGGCTCTTTGCAGATCTGTCTTTCCTATGCTTCATTGCTTCAGTTCTCCTAGACAAAACTGCATCTGAAATTCAATAAATTTCTATAATTATATTTCAGGCTTTGCATAAAACCTGTAAAGGATATACTTTATGGCACTGTGTTCCAAATTTATACATAAAACAGATTTCTGCCATTGCATTCCAAATTCAGACATAAAACAGATTTCCAACTTCTTTCACCTGTTGGGCTGGTCCCATGCCACTTACTCAATGTGCAGTACTTACTTCTTTGGGCCTCAGTAACCTGTGAGTAGAAATGGGATCATTGTAATAAATCTACTTGCATCAATTTATGTTCCTTGTCTTATAACAACCATTTCCCCACAACCTTACTTAAATATTTCTGAGGGGTAACTAAAGAATATTGGATTGCTGTTGGTTTGAGATGAAATCTGTGCAGAGTCTGTGCTACGAAGGTCTCTGCCTATGTTTTGGTTACTGAAGTTACCTTATTTTGGCAGGGTGCGGTGGCTCATGCTTGTAATCCCAGCCCTCTGGGAGGCGGAGGTGGGAGAACTGCTTGAGCCCAAGAGTTTGGGTAAAAAAGCGAGATCCCATCTCTACTAAAAACTTTTTAATTTTAAAAATTTTCTTGTAAAGCTCTTTGTGCATATTTTGTCTTGTGTCATGTTCTCCTCAAGCAGCCCCTGAGATGAGGAGTCATGTGGGAGTAATTTATTAAGAAGGCGATCTCAAAGGAAGATAGGGAAGGAGAAGGGAAAGTAGGATATGGAAGAGAGAGAAGCCAAGAAAGTGATTTTTTCAAAGTCCAGCTGCAGCCTCATCCAACTTGAGGCCAGGGAGTCAGACTTTCAGACACTTGGACCAGTCAGTCACTGCCTAAGAACTGTACAGAGGGTTAAAACGCCCCATTCTCTCAGCTCCGTGCAGAGATCCTTAAAGACAGTCCCAGTTGTGGCTGGGTGCAGTGGCTCACTCCTGTAATCCCAGCAATTCGGGAGGCCAAGGCAGGTGGATCAAGAGGTCAGGAGTTCAAGACCAACCTGGCCAATAGAGGGAAACCCCATCTCTTCTAAAAATACAAACATTAGCCGAGTTTGGTGGCAGGTGCCTGTAATCCCAGCTACTCAGGAGGCTGAAACAGGAGGATCGTTTGAACTCAGGAGGTGGAGGTTACAGTGAGCTGAGATCTCGCCACTGCACTCCAGCCTGTGTGACAGAGCTAAACTCAGTCTCAAAAAAAAAAAAAAAAAAGAAGACAGTCTCAGTTTCAGGCCTTCGGAAGCCTTTGGAAGCAAAGCACAAAGCAGCTGGAAGAGGCTTACAGAAAGAGCAAAAGGAATGCAGAGGAATGCAGGATGTCTGTGTGTGGTGTCAACAGTGCCCACTATTACTGTGAATGAATATCTATGTCCCTCCAAAATTCGTATATTGATGCCTAACCCCCAAGTTGTTGATATTTGGAGGTGGGGCCTTGGGGAGGTGACTAGGTCATGAGCGTGGAGCCCTCATAGGTGTGATTCCTGCCCTTATAAGAAAAGATGATCTCTCTCTCCACCATCTAAGGATATAAGAAGATAGCTGTCTGCAAACCAGGAGGTGGGTCTTCACCAATCACAGAGTCTGCTGACAACCTGACCCTGGACTTCCTAGTCTCCAGAACTCCAGAAATCAATCTCTGTTGTTTAAATCACTCAGTCTATGGTATCTTGTTATAGCAGCCCAAACTGACTAAGACAATCATACACGTCAAAATCCTTTCTAATCTGTGGATCTGGGCTTTGCGACTTTGCATGTCTCACAGCCAGCAGAGGATTCTATTATTAATGGTAATCCATGTTGAATTTAATACTATAAGAATTTTTCATAAAATCAATTTGTTTTTAACCATTTGACTATCAAATTAGTTGTGATTTGAAATCCAAGACAATTAAATCTTTGTAAAATTTTGGTCTTTTTGTAAGATGACTTTAACTACAGAGAAAATGTAAAATTTTAGAAAGTGTAAGACATGTAGTTAGCACTGAGATTAGTATGTAAGGACTAATGTCATCTATGTGTAAGGTAATCATCAGTGTTACATTTCATTAGAAAGATGGCTTTTAAAAAACAACAAGCACCTAGGCAGGTGGATCACCTGAGGTCAGGACTTCGAGACCAACCTGCCCAACATGGTGAAACCCCGTCTCTACTAAAAATACAAAAAGTTAGCTGGGTGTGGTGGCAGACACCTGTAATCCCAGCTACTTGAGAGGCTGAGGCAGGAAAATCGCTTGAACCTGGGAGGGGCGGAGGTTGCAGTGAGCTGAGATCGCGCAACTGCACTCCAGCCTGGGTGACAAGAGTGAAACTCTGTCAAACAAACAAACAAACAAAAACACCCAACTAGCCAGCTTCACAATAGAGGCAGTTCTATAATTTGTTGGGATTTTTGAATGGCAGTGAGCTACATATCTTTTCTTTCATGTTATAACATATATAAAGCAAACTATGTCTTTGTATATTGGCTAACTCAGCAGGACAGTCTGTGGGAGATTATACTGATCTTTAATACACAGTGTACTCATATTGGATATTGATGCATAATTTGGGTCTAATTTCTTCTCATATCTAAATACCTGTAAACATTTAGAATGGGTTAAATGTACAGGCTCAGAATGACTTTAATAGGCCCTTTTAAATTTATATTTACATATTTAAATAAGTGCTGATAGCATTGTCGTTTATAATACTAGGTTTCTTGCTGACCTTTCAGAATTTTCCTTAGACCCTGAGACAGGCCGACTGGTTGGTTCCCTATCTTAAGATTGAAGGAAAAGGATAAAAGCCCCTCAACTCAAGCTCTAGCTTATCTAACTCTCAGCCAATCAGCAATAAAAGACCCAGGAAGCTATTAACTGCAAATTCCTATTTCAGGGGCCTAGAGACTTTCCCAGAGTCCCACATGCAGAGTCAGACTTAAACTCCAACCTAAAGTTACATTTTCCTCATTTTAACACTAAAGTTCATGCCCAGAGGTGGAGATTTAAAATGGTAACGCTACATGCAATGTATGAAGAAACATGTTGAGCCATTATGCAGGTGCTAGCAAAACTCCCCCTATACATTCCCTGATGTAACCCTTCCCTATTGAAAGACCCTATACCTAACCGAACCACACAGTATCTTCAGGGAACAGCCCACTCCTTTTTCCTCTCTCATGTCTGGCTCCCTGAGAGGTAATAAACTCTCCTTCATTACTGCATCTGGTGATCTCTCCTGATTTCTATCCTGGGAGATCACAAGATCCCAGGGCACTGGTTACAAGCTTATCACAGATTCTTTGAATTTTTTCAATGGTTCTGAAACAGGAGAGTTCCCTTGACCCCTTTGCTGGACTTGTGACATCGGTGGCTTGTTTACTTGATTACCATGCTGAATCCCTTATGGAAGGAAGCACATGAATGGATGAGTGTGGGAACCAGAGCAAATGAATGCTGGAACTGGCCTGTTGCTCCTCTCCAGCAGGAGCAAGCTTTGTGTGGGTTCTGCAGCAGTGTCAAAGTGTGTTACAATGGTCTTTTACCTCTGCTGTCTGGGAGGGGCTGTCTGCGACCCCCAGAGCCCCAGAGGGCATGTGTTACAACCAGTGCTCCTTTAACATTTGCTATCTGTGGATGGCTAAGTGTTAACCAGCTCAGTGGAGGGTCGGGGTGACAGCCCTTTACACTTTGCTCTCTTGGTACCTGAGTCCAGGTACCAGGAAGAATCAGATCACATGAACAAATTGAAGGCGACGAATGTGGAGGACTTTATTGAGTGGTAAAAGTGGCCCTCAGTGGGAAGGGGAGCTGGAATGGGGGTGGAGCGGGAAGATAATCTTCCCCTGGAGCCCGCTGTGTCTGGCTGGACTCTTCTGTGACCATAGTCCCCAACCTCCAGCTGCTGCTTCTCATTTCAACATCCAGACACTTCTCTCTTCTGTGTGTCTGTCCACTCAGTCTGGGTCTTGGGGTTTTTATAGGCACAGGATAGGGAGTGAGGTGGGGTGGGGGTGGGCCAAAAGGCAATATTCAGGCAGGAAAACAGGGATCATTCTCACTTTGGGCTGTGGGTCCATGCTTGGGGGTGGAGCCCTTGCCAAAGACCCTGCCGTCTTCTACCAGTAGTTGCCTGCCTTCTGTCCATATCAGTTCAAGACAGTTTGTGCAATTTGGAAACAGCCAAATCTAAACAGTGTAAAATCTGGATAGTCAGGCAGAATAAGGTTGAAAAAAAATACATAGTTATATAGAATAAAGCTGAAAAAATTAGCTGAGTAATACTCTGTGTGTGCACCTACATGCACATGTAACAAGGTAATAAGTTCTATTTTCTTAGATGTCTCAGTGTATCTTGAACATATGACAAATAGTTAATGTTTTCTGGGTGACTACACTGAAGCCTACCACTCACTTGGGACACAGATGTCATTTTTTGGTGTGTGATTATACTTGCTATCTTATGGTCACAACTTTTAAATGCTACATAGAAGCATTAATATTTTTATTTTTCCTTTTACATCCTTCACTGAAATCAACCCAATCTGCTCAACAGTTCACCAAGGATCTTGCTATCTCCAATTTCAGGATATGTTTTTCATCACCAATACCCAGGTTAATGCACACTCCTCAACCGTTTGTCACTCCCTGCCCAGCATTGCTTTTGAGATTGAACTCTGGACGGCCCTTCCATGTTCTCTTTTCTGTAAAAAGGAGGCTTTTCATTTCTGGCAGCACTTGCCTAGGAGACAGCAAAGTTAAATGTTGTGTGTCATCACAATCAGTCTTAACTAGCTAAAACTAATTAAACGCTAGGAATTTTGAGTAACCCACTTACCCTCACTGGACCCTTTCTGCATCTAACTGAAGATATTCGTGATCAAGAAGCAAGAGACTGTTTCAGCTCTCATGTACAGATCTCATCCTTGTATGAAAGCTAGTTCTCAGTGCTTAATTAGCACCAGCAGCGTGGCCCTACATTTCGTAGCATTTAAAACCTTGAGTTTTGTCCTTAGGTCCACATATGCAGTTGTTCCCTAATAAGCTCAGCTCAGCTCCAGGCCACCCCCAGCTCTGTGGCCCATGGTTTTTCTATTATTGTTTGTCATCTCTAATTAGCCTCTTCTGCCTCACCACTACTTAATTATTTATCCTTCTCAGAACTTCTGGAATGTATTGTACTATATTTTACTTTTAAAATATGTTGCCAGTGTTCTTAGTTTGTCATTTACATGAATTTTCTATGACAAAGTACATCCCTAATACAAAGCCTTAAGCAATCTCATTAAGGGCAGATTACTGATATCTAATTTCTTTTCCCATTCCTAGAAGCAGTGGTCTTCAAAGTGTGGCCTCCAGACAGCAATATCAATATCATCTGGGAATTTGCTAGAAATGTAGATTCTCAAGCCCCAGCTCAAACTCAATGAATCAGAGACTCGGAGTGTGGGGCCCAGCAGTCCTTCAGGTGTTTCTAACCACATATTAAAATTTGACAATCATTTACTGAGGATATTGCCCCTGGTAGTGTCTTAATAAATGCCTGTTAGGTTGACTCTGATAATCCTTTCTCTCAAGCTATCTTAAAAAGAAGGGAATCCAAAAATTCCAGAAAGAAATGAGGAAAAAAGTTACAAAGAATGAAGTAGGGAGTTTAGGTTTATGAGCAATTAGAGGGAACTGAGTCTTCACAAAGAAACACAGTATCCTGATTTCCTATCTCATGCTTGATTTTCCTACATTGTCTCACCCCAGCTGCATGATTCCATGTATCTCACTAACCCTCCTGGTTGCCTTCTGTAAGGTTACACGTGGATTCTGAGAAAATTCTTTTTCAACTTTCTATCCCTTATTCCCATTTCAGTCTATGTCTTCACAGAAAATTATCACTGCAAAGCTGAGCAGTTTCTGGAGAAACTTGGCTCATTCACTGAACTCTTCAGCAAGGGTTGGTTCCCTTTGCACATCTTCACTAAACTTGGAGCTTTTTGATGACTCTCATTTTCTATTACCACCATAATCTTTAGATGTCCAGGTTGCTTGGGGCAAAGATGGAAGTTGGAAGTAAGGAAAAACATGGAGTTGGAATTGGATGATGAATGCTGAAGCAAAAGAGGACTCAACGTCTCTATGGTTTTGCTTTTTGCTGGGCCTTTCTAAATCTTGTGAGCACCTGATAAATGTCCATTTGATTATGTTGAGCTCTTTGGAGCAGTGGCTCTCAACCCTGATTAGGATGTCAGAATCCTTTGGAAGAATTTTTTTTTAATCTATGGGCATGGAACCCAGCCATCAGGATTTTTTAAAATTTCCCAGATGGTTTCTATGAGTAGCTAAGGTTGAGAACCATGGTTTTGGATTTCCCAATTGAAGATTGCAAACCGTGACATCACTTTGCCTATTTTTCTGAATATTCCTCTTTCTACAGTCAGCTTTCAATAGTGAGACTACAACTGGATCAAAAAATTACACAAGAAAAGGGAAAACAAGCCATCCTTCAGCAACTCCAGGAAAAAATCAAGGTCCATACAATGATGGGGTAGTAAATGCTAATACCATCTATCTCCTTCCCTTGTATTTATCCCTGTTTTTTTCCCGTCTTTCCCCTCTGGCTTCCTATTCTCCCTTTGTGGCAAGATATCCACTATTCTTGAAGAAAGCTAACCAGCAAACCTGCTAATATTCAAGCTTCAGTGACCCAAAAGGTAACTAAACTTTGATGAACATTTGCATTTCCAAAGAAATTATCTGAAGACAAAAATGTCTAATTCAATGGGCTGAAATGCAAATTGTTATATTTCCAGGCTAGAAAGGTATCTAACCCAAGGAACTTCCTTATCATGCTCTGGGAGACAGTGTGCTGCCTCATGGAAGGACATAGATGTCTGAGTCAGCATCGAAAAAAAAAAGGTATTGAAACATTGGCTTGGGACTGAGAAATGATATTAGTTTTGTGCAAAAGTAATTGCGGTTTTTGCCCTTGAAAGTGATGGTTAAAACCGCAATGACTTTTGCACCAACCTATGGATCAGTAATTGATGCACAAAGACATGACATATGAGAATACCAAGTGGACTGCTTGGCACATAGCAGACATTCAACAGATGCTTTCACTGACAACTTTTGCTTTCCTCCTCAATCACTCACTTTTTAGAATCCTTGAAAACATTTTACAAATTTTTCAAATATTCAGGAAACATAAAATAACATCAGATTTAGAGAAGAATTATTGACTGTAGCCAATTTTTGGACCTATACATTTTTTAAATTATGTGATGGGAATCTCTTCATGTTTTAGAGCAACATGGTTGCATATCCATTATACACCTTGCTAAATCATCCTTTCTATCTCTGAGGCAATAAAATTCATTATCCTGGTTAGTTTGAGGATATACTTAACCCATAAACACCAACAGCAAGTATAGATTCAGACATTTGTATCTATAACTTAGATAATTTAAAATGCAATATTAAATAATCCAAAAATTTTTCAAAGCTCAGTACCTTTTCACACATTAGTACTTTAATTATCAACTTTAAAGAGAAAGTGAGTAGAAAAGGGTTAGTAAGTAGAAAAGAGTAAAAGAGGCCTTTCTTTCACAATTTGCCAAGACATGCATCACTTATTTAAAATCAAACAAAATGCTGTCTGAAAAACAAGAAGGATGGCAAAAGTGAAGTTCCTTCATGCAAGGTACCTCTGACTACTCTCTGCAGACAGATACTATGGCATGGTGATAGAATTATTGCAGGAAAAATTTGTCCACTGAGGCCACTTCCTCCAGAGGTAAGGTTCAACTTATGATCACTTGCTATAGGTCAACAGCTCAAGACGAGGTGTGTGGCTGGCAATTTAAGTGTAAAATTAGATTTCCAGTATAATCAGTCATCTGATAGCACATCCAAATGTATTCTGCATTTGCACATTTAATTAATTATGTCTTAATTGAAAACATTTTGCTCATAATGATTGGTTCTAATTTTATTCCAAATTAAATTAGTAGGGGAGAAATTTAGTCTGGGAATTTATTTATTTTTATATATTAAAGAAAAAATAAAAATAATGGATTTTCTCTTTTATTCTTAAAAGGAAATGTCTTTCTGCCCATTTAGAGGTGCAAAGGAAAACATTTAAAACATTTCAGATAAATTGCATTTCATCTGAATGAATCTCCATTTGGAGATGGAGAGAACATTCTTTTGTATTGTTGTAGATATGCCTATTATGATATTGGTATAATTACTTTTTCAGCTACAACTCAGATTTCCTGGGTCAGTGCAAAAGACCTTGTTTATTTAGAAGAAGTGATTTTCTGAGAAAGTGGCTCATTAGTCTTAGATTTCTGGACTACACAGTCTGGTCTACAAATTAAAATAGCTATTTAAATTCCCTTTATGAAAATTGTGCCTGATAGGGCACTTCCATTTGCAATGAGTTTCGTATTTGTACATCTAGAGCGGGCAAGAAATCAGAGAAGGTGGGTTTTGTGTCTTTAGATATGCTACAGTTGATAAATCCTAAGATTCAGATATTAACTATTGGATAAGCTCTTGAATTTCCCATAACTTCAGCTTTGAAGCCATTCATTACCTTAATACTAAGGAAAGAATGTCAGAAAATCCAAAGAGAGAGAATTCTCAGTTATGATTTTTGGACATATAATTGGAAAGAAGTCAGATTTGGCTTTTACAATTAATGCCATATAATGTCACACAAAGTATTTCCTGCAGTGTGCTCAAAGAGGTCAATTTGTGATTTATTTGCCAGTTATAGACCTGAAATTACTGACTTGTGTGTGTAACAATTTAGCTTTAACTTGGGCATTTAATTTAGCATTAAGTATAGCTCCTCTTCAATACTGATCCTTGCCCTGAACAAGATGTCATTTCATAAACCCAATTAAAAATGGTATTTACTGTGGTTTAAATACCAAGGCAGATTAAATGTATTGTCCAGTTTCACAGATCAGCAATGCTTCTCTTCCCATATCACTAGCTCATGATAGTAACATAAGAGACCAATCTGTGCCAGTGGATAGGCCAGAATTAAAAGAGGATAAATATTGCTGTCCTGCCTGAAATAAAACTGGGCACCGAAGGTGTCAGAGAGTTATATACTGTGAAATGAATGTCCCATATATATAAATTTCAGCCTTTTTAAAATAAGGTAGAATTGTTTCTGAAAGATTAAAAACTCTCTTTCCAAATCATTGAATTAAAATATTTAGTCAATAAATAAATCACTGCTATTTTCATCAATATTGGAGTTGTTTCTTCAAGTTTGTGAATTTTCTCAATTAGAAAAAAAGTCTAATTTGTTTAAATAGTGAGAAGTCAACATTGAACTGTTGTCTACTCAGTAGCCACAATTCCTTATTTCTTGTTTACAATGATCATAGATTTTTTATGTTTGTATTGTTGCAACAAGTTCACAGAATATGGATTCCTCTCCCAATCTGAGAGGATGAGCCATAATTGTTCTAGGCCATGAATATTGTAGTAGATTGTATTGTGTGTTCATAATTCTTTGTTCCCTGGCCAGGTTCAGTGTCTCACGCCTGTAATCCTAGTACTTTGGGAAACTGAGGCGGGCAGATTGCTGGAGCTCAGGAGTTCAAGAATGGCCTGGGCAACATGATGAAACAGCTCTCTACTAAAATTACAAAAAATTAGCTGGGTATGCCGGTGCACACCTGTAATCCCAGCTACTTGGGAGGCTAGGGCGTGAGAATCGCTTGAACCCGGGAGGTGAAGGATGCAGTGAGCCAAGATTGTGCCACTGCACTCCAGCCTGGATGACAGAGTGAGACTCTGTCTCAGAAAAAAAAAAAATTAAAAGATGATTCTTTTTCCCTCCCCATCCTTACCATACTTTAATAAGGAAAGAGAATATTTCTCTGTATCATTGACTTTGGGCTTGGCTATGTGATTGCTCTACCCAATAGAATTTGGTAGGTTAATAGTAATAGAAGTAACTAAGCAGAACTTTAAAGAAGCTTCTCCTCTTCAATCTTCCTCAGCATTATAAAAATCAAATGCCCTAAGTAGTCTGTGTCCTTCAACATGGGTCCAGGAAGGAGAGATTCCTGGAGCACACCTGAATCTCATCTGTAGTCTAAGGTAGAACTGCTGCAACCAATTCACAAAACTCACGAGCAAGGAGTAAACACTTGCTGTTATAGGTCATTAACTTTTTGTCATGTTTCTTAAGCATTACTGGAGCAAAAGCGAACTAATACAAACGTTAATGTAATTCCCTTTGCTTGTGATTGATTTAGAGATGAACATTTGTTCTGTTTCCAGCTAATAGAATGTATTTAGGAAGAATGCCAAAGCAGGGAGCTTATTAGTAGGATTTTGACCTCTAATGAAAATGATGGCCATATATATGAAATTTTTTCTTTCTTTGGTTTTATTGTTTAAAGACATAATTATTTAAGTTGTGTTAGTTGTGTGTGATCTTATAACTGTGAGGAATTACATAGAATGAAAATGGAATGTGCTGTGATGGCGGAACAGAAAGAAGTTGGGTGATTGAAATTGTTGAGCTGCTGCAGGAAATCTGGTAGTCTCCATTTCCAGAGGTCTTGTATTGTAGAAAAATTGAATAACTTTATTGCTTAAGTCACTATAAGAATGTCTTCTGTTACTTGCAACCCAATGCACCCAACTAATAAAGTATGTTTCTAGAAATACACTTGCCTTCACTCTTTTTAAGACACACAGACCACATACACACAGATATTGTTAATGGTCTCATACTACATATATTGTACTATTTTTTAACTTAAAAAGATAATATGGGCCAGGTGCAGCGGCTCACATCTGTAATCCCAGCATTTTTGAAGGCCAAGGCAGGTGGATCATGAGATCAGGAGATCAAGACCATCCTGGCCAACATGGTGAAACCCCATCTCTACTAAAATACAAAAAACTAGCTGGGCATGGTGGTGTGTGCCTGTAGTCCCAGCTACTTAGGAAGCTGAGGCAGGGGAATCGCTTGAACCCAGGAGGTGGAAGTTGCAGTGAGCTGAGATCACAACACTGCACTACAGCCTGGTGACAGAGTGAGACTCCGTCTCAAAATAAATAAATAAATAAATATAATATGATTTTTATATTATAGCACCTGTACATTACAAGACTGAAATCTGTCTCATTTTTTAAAGTAACTGCCTAATACTTTGTGCATGAACATCCCATGCCTTCAAATTGAATTGAGGATCAACCTCAGTTAGATATTTTCATAAAATAAATTTTAAAACATATAAAAAGATGAAAAATATGAGGGAAACATTAAGTGAAATAGAATTTGAATTCATAAGTTGTGATATCCACCTAAATGAGTCACCAAGAGATAAAACATGAAAAATGGAAAACAAAAACAGAAATAATAGAAGAAAACTTTAAAAGGTAGAGAATAACGAAACACATGCTATAATGTCACCACCCAGTCAATGCTAAGTTAAATGGATTTGTTGAGAAGACTACAAAGCAAGTATAAATGTTGAGTATGTGTGTGCACATGTGTGTGTATGTGTGCAGCCCTATATAAAATGTTTTAAAAATCACTTTTATTGAAATATTGCATAAGCACATCTAAGAACAAATTTTAAGACTGATGAATTTTTACATTGTTAACACAGCCATTTAACTATCAGCTAAGACAGGAAAAAAACATAATCAGCCACTGTCACCTTGTTTTAGATTCACTATCAATCATTACTCTTTTTTAATTTGAGACAGAGTCTCAGTCTGTTGCTCAGGCTGGAGTACAGTGGTGTCACCTTGGCTCACCGCAACCTCCACCCCCAGGTTCAAGCAATTCTCATGCCTCAGCCTCCCAAGTAGCTAGGATTACAGGCACCCACTGCAATGCCCAGCTAATTTTTGTAATTTCAGTAGAGACAGGGTTTTGCCATATTGGCCAGGCTGGTCTCGAACTCCTGGCCTCAAGCAATTTGCCAACCTCAGCCTCCTAAAGTGCTGGGATTACAGGCATGAGTTACCATGCCTGGCCCATTCCTCTTTTTTTAATACCCCAGGCAACTAATATCCTAATTTATCATACAAGAGATTGGTTTTGCCTGGGTGTTGAACTTTACATAAAGGGAATATCAGTACATTATTTGCCATATTGATCTATGTTGTTTATGTAACAATAATGCATATTTATTCATTGTTCCATAGTATTCCGTGTAGAAATAGATCACAATTTAGTTGTTATTTCTTCTACTAATGGATATATTAGGGTTGGTTTCAGTTATTGTTATTATGAATATGATGCTTTAAATATTCTTGTTTTTTTAAGTAAAAATATGTGCAGATTTATAGCTGAACAGAAAAAGCTCCGTCTTTTAACCTGGATATCTGGATTTTTTACTCTTGGTGAAGATAACTGCAATGAGATTTATCACGTATGATTAAAAGTCAAGAAATGATTCCTGGTAACCTGCAGGGTCTGTTTTTTACTGATGGGTTACAGCTGGCCTAATTGGTTTGAGAAACCTAGCTTGATTACATGGACAAGGAGACACAAAAGGGTTGTTGAGAATTTCTCCTCCAAGCCCTCCTGAAAGCAAGATTCCTAGCACAGAATCATGGTGGTTCACACTGGAGACAGAATGCACACTCTGTGTCTGTGAATACTTGGAGCCCTGGGTAGCTTTCAACATTGGACGTCTTTCAGACTCCCAGTCCATGCCTGCACTCTCACTTGCTGCACCATATCCTTTGCCTTTAAATAAAAGCCCCATGTAAGTATGTTCTGTGGAATGTGGTGGTTCCTTTCAAATATCCAAACAGGAAGCTTTTCGGTATGTATACATTTCTATTGAGAATATACCTAAGAATGAACTTGCTATTTGCTGGTTCGTATATATATATATTTATATATTGATCTTTAGGCAAAATTTGCAAGTAAAATACACAAAAAAATTCTTGAGCCATTAGAGAATAAGTTACTGACCTGATTCCCAATTATCACCAAATATTTTGGGGTTTATTCTTTACAAACAGGATTTATCCTTCATGTTCACAACACAACTGTCAGCATTGGTTGTATTCCCACTAATACGCTGTTACTGTCTAATCCTCAGACCCTATTCAAGACCCTGGCACTCTACATTAAGTTACCCCTGTGTGTAGTTACCCTCTTCACTCTACTCTGGCTCCAACACCTCCTGCTTGGCCACCCTCATTCTTGGATGCCATCCTTGGGCTCCGACCTACTCCCTAGATTATCATCCATTTCACATAGATACTCTTCTCATCCTTCCTGGGCTAACCCCACATGGGCGCTCACCCCACCCTGCTCAGTCAGGCTCTGACAATCCAACCATGCTACATCACTGTGATGATGCCCTTTTCATCTTGCTTGCGTTTTGCCACCACTTCTACGTGGACTCCTTCTCCTGTTCTTTGGCTTCAATACCTGGCACCTTGGAGCCCTCTTAACAGATACCGCTTTCATTCTATTTAGACCAGAAAAATCCCACAATGACCTGCCTTTTCTACATGCAAATCCTTTTCATCCCATTCTGTGCCACTGCCTTACATGGGTGTTCTCTTCCCACTAGCCTGTTGGGTTTAGACACCAGGTGATGGATAATATGTCTATCTGGATGCTCCCTCACATTGCTTTGATTCTGACACCCCACATGGGTCACCTACCTGCATTGAAGCCCTCACTCAGTGTGGCTTCAATCCACATGAGGCAGCCTTCTTCTGTAGACAGAAGAATTGACCATTTTTCCCTATTCTAAAAATTTACCATTTCCCCAAAGAGCATGGGTTTCTTTCATGGAGAAATAGTGTTTGGATACAAAGGTCTAGAGGCCAGGTGTTCTAGGTTCTCTGACTTCACAAAGCTAAGAAATACACATGCATATACCAACCAAAGCATACCGTAAGGGTAAAATGGTGACTTGTTTGAGGTTGGAGCTCACTATCTCTCCATCCCCCTTCCTTAGAGTATTTCCTTGAAATCTTAATGGGTCCAAATAACAGGTTTGCCTTTTTGATTTTGCAATGGAATAATGGGGACTTTCTGACACTTGGAATTGTAAGCAAATGCCTCCAAAACTTACTTGGGAGTTTTCACTAGAGGACTATCTTAGGATGTAGCCCTTTGTCTCTTGAGGAGATGAGAAGTTATTCTTTCTTCTGCTTTGCTAAATGAATTATGTGAAAGTCTGTCTAGACTTTTTAGTCACTTTTGTAGTACCTACGTGCATAGAAATCTGACTATGTTCATGTAGTAATAAACTGTGTTCTCTTTTCTAGGTTGGTTCAGAGAGGTCTTTGTTAGTATTATTTTATTTCCAACAAATATACACCCTATATTTCTGTATTGTTACTTTCTAGAGATGGATGACTTTGGATGGTCAAATATTGATAGAAAGGCACTAGTGAAAAGTAATTCAGAAAAAACACATTTACAGATTTGGTGACAGGAAATAAAGAATTTTTTCATGTTGAGCTCCAATTATATCTGAAAGGTAGAAGGGAAGTCATTAATTGAGAGTATACATGGAATTGGAGGAGGAAGTTTTGAGAAAAGTGGAGGCTTATAAAATTAAAATAGTTGTTTCCAATAATGTGAAATAGAACTGATTAAAGAACAAAGCAGACATGATTGCCGAGGAGTCTCTCAGATGAGTTCACGTTGATCACTGTAGTCTATTGTTTCACAATAACTCATTCCAAAGCAAGCTGCATATTGGATTCACCTGGGATCTTTTAAGATATACTGATTCCTAGGTCCCACCTGCAGAGATTCTGTTGTAATCACTCAGGAATCTGACATCAGCATCCAGATTTCAAAAGTTCCCCAAGTGATTCTAAAGTGTCCTGAACACCAAGAACCATTGACTCAGATAGAATGTTCATCACTTTTACTGTTTTCCACAAAAACCTACCCATGTAAAGCACTTGTGAGGATAGAAAAGTTTATTGAAAATTAGAAATTGAGAGTTGAAATGGCAAACAAATTTAGTCAAATTAAATTCTGAGTTTTAAAATTTTCCTGTGGCCACCCCAAGAGTGTGGAACTTTCTCTGGGCCTTCACCCCATTGTCTCCAAACTCAAATCATTTCACTAACTCTTCTCCACCTCCCAGTCTCTGTTTTCTGCCTGCCTCTTCCTAGTCTACCTGACTCTGGGAACTATAGGTTGGTGCAAAAGTAACTGCAGTTTTTGCCATTAAAATTGATGTCAAAAGCCACAAATTACTTTTGCACCAACCTAATAAAACTTCTCACTCCATTACTCAGAGTGGTTCAGCTCTCACTGACAACCTGGTGTGCTCCATTTTCCTTTAGCATGGACTATAGCTATTCATCACTTTTGAGAATTTTTAAGAGGCAATATTCTTGCATGTGATCTGGTTTATAGAACCAGGATAAAAGGTCAATGCTGACTCCAGAGTTTTGCAGTCCCAGGAGCTCCTCAGAAATATGTGGCAGAGACAGACCTGCAGGATAAAGACAAGATATGCATTCTTTTCTCATTCACTCCATAGATAGCTAGTAACAGCCTACCATATCTTAGTTCAATGAAGGAAAAAAGATAGACAAATAGATACAGTAGAGTGTAGTCCATATAATGGTTTAGTATACACAGGAAGTATACAAGTACAGTAACATCTGGACAAGCTAGAGGTTGGGAGAAGAAGGGAATTGAGAGAGCATTGCAAGAAGTGAAGAACCCAGGGTTTGAGCTAGCCTCCTGAATCCACATGTATAGAGCTGTAGAATTGGAATACTACAAAGGATGTTAGAAATCATCTAATCTAATCACCCTTTGTTACAGATTATAAAATAGAAGTCTCATAGCCTAGGAGTTGAACTGAATTGCAGAAAGTCCCATAACAAGTCAGGGGCAGTGCCAGGATTAAATTGGCATCTGGGTTCATTGACGACTGGCCCAGTGATACTCCCTCAACAGGTGAATTTCTAAGGTTCTATGAGCACTACTACAGGAGGGAGTAGCCCAGCAATAGGGTCTCTGGTGGCAGTAGAGGCCTAAACCTACATGGCTTACACCTCTGTCTGCAAAGTGACTGACTCATTTCAGCCATATCTGTGCACTCTGCAGTACCTCTGCTCAGAAGGTACCACTGGGGGAAATGCTAGATAGATAATTTGACTTGAGCATAGAGTGGGAGGGAAGGGCACATACTGAAAATAGGGAGGAGAATGAGAAACCTGAATCAAGAACCAGCCTAACAAATATTATGCCTTTGAATTATAAAGCAGGCATATGGTCTGGCTTTAGAAAATTACAGGACAGCAAAGAAGAGCAAATAAGACTAGAAAATTGTGACTTTGGGACCTTGTGTCTGAAATAAATGGAGAGACACTTTGGGGAGTGGCAGGCAATGAAAACACATCTACCATCTGAGGAGGTGACTTAGAGAAATTCAAAACAGCATTTTTTTTAAGTCCAATTCAAATATAGTCAAGTGAGGGAGGGTAGATCATTCATTCGCAACTCACTGTGTTTAGTTTCTTAAAAGCTGGCCGAATTAAAAAAAAAAAAACATTTTTGAATGGGGCAGTTCTAGTGTCAGTTGTTCTCACTTTTCCTTTTTACTTACCCACTACTAAAAACTACCACAGAGACATTCTCTACATTCAGTTACTTAGATTTACTTTTCCCACTTTCCACATTTTTAATTATAGCCTAGGAAACTTCTTTGCTTGGAGAAAGACATTCTTATATTAAAACATAAAACTTTTCGCAAGCATCCGCTAAGTTCATCCAGAAAGCAATTTCTTCATTACACACCAGAGGTCAGTATTGGATTATTAATTTACACGAGCTGTTAATTTTTACTTTCCCAGTAATAAAAATGAGAAACAAAATACCAAAAATTGTTATTGTATTAGAGATTTGGTGTTAGTTCCTTAAGCAAGTATCATCTGTGCAGACATGCATAGATCATTAATGGCTTAAGAAAAATACAAAAGAAAAAGAAAAAAGCCATCACAATGAAGGTGGTCTTTGTTCTTCAGGAAGGTGGCCTTTGTTCTTTAGGAAGACATCCATGACTCATTCCAGGCACATTAATTATGCCGCTTTTACACAAAAGTTAGTTACTCTTATATGTGAGAATTGTTCACAACTAGCAGTATTAGTGGACATGCTGGCAGTGAATTGGAAAGATAATGATAGTTTTTAGAGTCTTATTCAAATCTGCATATCTACAATAGTGTAACAGTTTGGGATGGCCAAAGTTACAGATAATTTGGACAAATAAAATACGGGCCCAGCAGTAAAATAATGACTGTATCTCCAGAAGCTTTAAGATTAAATGGAAAGAAGAAAAGACTAAAGGCAGATCAAGCTATCATGCTGACTACAGACATATTAAAGGCTTTCCACAGAAAGAGAAAATAAATTAGTCTTGTTTTACTCTAGTCAAGAGGGTAGAATTATAGAACTGGAGATTGCAGCTGCATATAAGATAGAATTTTTTTTTTTTTTTTTTTTTTTTTTTTTTTGAGACGGAGTCTCGCTCTGTCACCCAGGCTGGAGTGCAGTGGTGCGATCTCGGCCCACTGAAACCTCCGCCTCCCAGGTTCACACCATTCTCCTGTCTCAGCCTCACAAGTAGCTGGGACTACAGGTGCCCGCCACCACTCCTGGCTAATTTTTGTGTTTTTTTTTTTTTTGTATTTTTAGTAGAGACGGGGTTTCATAAGATAGAATTTTTAAGACTCATAGCTATTCCAACATTTTTGCCTAGGGTGCTATAGGGAGTGCCAACATCTAGTATCAGAACAAACTAGATGAATGCCAAAAGCTCTTCTATTCTAAGGTTATATGAGAAGGTGATTATGATGCCAAAGAGTAAATATTCCACAAATTCCAAACCTCCTTCCAGGCATATATATTCGGGTGGCACCTGCTTTAAGAAGTCTCCCTTAATCTGCCAGAATACAGTTTGCTCGTGCTTCTAATACTATGACCATATATTGTCTTTTGTCATCTTTTGAACCATATTGTACATTTATGTATTATTTAGCTTTGTGTTGTTATGTCTTATCTAAAACCAAGATTCTTCTTTTAGGAATACATGTTATTTTATCCTCTATGACACCTAGAACAATACGATGGAATTAGTAGATACTCAGATAATATTTGCAGTCTGAACCTATTTCCTTATCTATAATGTAATGAATAAAAACACCCACTTTACCTGCCTCACTGAGCTGTTTTGAAGATCAAATGAAATAATGTGCCTGAAAGCACTTTGAAAAGTATAAAGTATTATACAAATGTAAGGCATTATTATTTCAGAGGGGGGTTCTCTCAGTTATAACCTCCATGTCAGCTTGAACATAACAGCAATAAAGGAACATTTTTTAAAACTTAATCTGAAAAGAAACTTGTCCCTTCTGGGCACAAATTATAAAACTCCCCAAAAAATGTTTGTATGTATTTTTGTTTGTTTCTAAATAGTATAATGAGCTGTGGTCTTTCAGGGAAAATGTTGTTCTGATAGAAGTAATTCACAATGTAGAAAATTGCCCTTGTGTACTTTCAGGAAAGAATTGCAAACAAATGAGCTATTTTGTCTTCTCAAGCAAAGGGACTTCCCAAGCATGGGTAGCAGCTGTTCAAGTCCATCTGGTCAAGAATTCACTAAGATCATAATATGAAAGTTGCTCAAATGCAGATTTGCACGACAGCCTGCAAATGCTCCTTTTGAGACGAAATGGTTTCTCAGGCCAATAATCTGCATGTTTAAAAGTCTTTAAATACAAGTTTATGGAATAATTCATAACAGCTTTAAGGAACTATCATGGTACACTGGGAAAGTGTTCCATATTGCAGGATAGATTTCTTCTGTTGGCTGGTGAGCATTTGTTTATAGTCTGCCTTGACTGTATCACAATTTTATAAGTAGTTCTTTTATTTTTTAAAAAGCAACATTTTGGGACAAAATATTGTGAACAAATAAGGAATATGACTATATTTGTGAAACCCCTTGTTAATTTCCAAGTGATATTTTAAACCTTGAATAAGACATGTATGCTCATAAATAAGGAGGGAAAAGAAATAATTAACTCAATGTTCATAAGAGCTTCTCAGAAAATAAGAAAATAAGAAAGAGATAAGTGATAGAATTATAATCTGCATTCTACCCTAATAGTATCTTTGCATCACTTCTTAAGCTTTGTTTAGTATTTTAACATGCCGTTTCTTATTACATGTGAAGAATGCTGTGAGGTAGCATGTCAATGTTTTGCAGATGAATAAACTGATGTTAAAAGAGGTTAAGTGACTGATTTTGTACTTCCATTATCTCGAAAGCGCAACTAAAACTGCACTTAGGATTGCCACTCCTGTCTGGGGCCATGGCTTTGGTCCTATTTTCTGCAAGCCTCTGGATGACCTCTGTCCACCCACTGCCTTTGAGTGCTCTCCTCACCTTGGCCTTCCTCCCTGGTTTTAGTCCAACACCTGTCACCGCTCTTCAGAATCCTCATGAAACTTCAGGAAAATTGACTGGGTAGGGCTTGTTTCAGAATTATCCTCCAGAATTCTAGGGCTGATTTAGAATTCAGAGAAAGAAACAAAAGCGCTTATCAAAGTATCTGTTCTAGAGGTAAGCTCAGAGGCACCATGGCAATCCCCACATTTCCCTAGGATATCTTCAGAAATACCTGATATTGCCATCTCAGGCCCAGATATCATCCATCAGCTGAAGGCCATGGGCAACATTCACATCTTCAGAGTAAAGACTGTTTTAGAAGTCCGTGGGCAATCACCAGTCACACAGGGAGTTCCAGGGACCAGCCAGTTGTTCCTTTCATGAGTTAGGAGGCAGTAAGGACATCACAGTGATCATTTCCACTGAAAACGCAAATGTAATCCACTCTGCTACTCAGCAGTTAATGCTGACTTTTGAAAATTATAAAGCAATTATCACCATGGTCTCCTTCTAGGTTTATCAGTGCAGTCAGCTCAGAAAACTTTCATTCCTTCAGTATATCCAGCTACAGCTAATCAGAAAGGGAACAATGAAAACAGGCTGACATTTGATTCAGAGGTTCTGGAAAGAAAGTGGACCTGGCAACAAAGTGACTGCACTTAGAATCCCCCAACCTAATGTATTCAGGGTCCAGAGTAGACCATCTGGGGCTACAGGGGAGAGAAGCCAGTTTCAGAGGCTATTATAAGCAGCTCTGATTAACATCTTAGGACCACAAGACAAATTATCATTGGTATTTGGAGGCAAAAGGTCTTGGATGCTCTGGGCCTGGGTGAATATCTGGGTCTAACACAATTCTCAGAAAGGCCCTCTGGGTCCATTCCCGATGTGTTAACAAAATGCCTGAAACACAGTGGGGTTTGAACAAATGATAGAATGAATGTTTATGGAAGGACAATTGTCTGACCTCGTCTACTACATCCTTTAAAGAAAGGTTCTCAGAATTTATGGTTAAAGTATTGTATAGGTTGAGCATTCCTAATCCAAAAATCTGAAATTCACATTTTTTGAATACTGACACGATGCTCAAAGGTCCTGCTCAAAAGGAAATGCTCATTAAAGATTTTCAGATTTCAGATTTTTGAATTTGGGATGTCAACCAGTAAGTTTAATGCAAATATTGAAAAATTTTTTAAAAATCCAAAACACATCTTGTCCCGAGAATTTTGGATAAGGAATACTCAACCTGTATTTCAATTGTTTGCTTGTTTGCCCTGTCATCAAAAATGACCCAGGTGCGGTGGCTCATGCCTGTAATCCCAGCACTTTGGGAGGCTGAGGCGGGCAGATCACTTCAGGTCAGGAGTTGGAGACCCGGCCGGCCAACATGGCAAAACTCTGTCTCTACTAAAAATAATTTTAAAAAAATTAGTCTGGCATGGTGGCAGGCTAATTTTGTAATCTCAGCTACTCAGGGGGCTGAGGCAGGAGAATTGCTTGAGCCCAGGAGGCGGAGGTTGCAGTGAGCCAAGATTATGCCACTGCACTCCAGCCTGGGTGAGACAGTGAGACTCTGTCTCAAAAAAAAAAACAAAAAAGAAAAAAAAGAAAGAATGAATGAATGAGTTTCTTCAAGAGAGATATTGTAGCTTTTTCATGTCCATCACTCCCATGTATAATATCGTTCCATAACAACTCAGTCCTTATGAAACTCCATTCAGTAAGGACTCAGTTTTTTCAGAATGAACAGACCAAGTAAGACCAATTAATTACTTATTGTCATGTAGCTCAGATGAGAACGGGCTGGGATTTGAGAAAAGGCTCTGTTACTGAATAGGATCTGGGTGGATGGATTCCATCACAGATGTAAAGCGAGGCTACAGTAGCCTGTCCAACAGGATCAAGGGATAGCAGGTTGTAGTTCAGATAAGTAGATACCCACGGAGGGTTGCAAATGAAGTGTTGGCCTGTCCAAACAGTTGGATGCAGTATGAGACAATTCATCCTTACAAGAAGGATAGCAAATTGAAATTAGGAATATTTGGCATTTCAGAGGAGGGTCCAAGACAGTGGTCCAGGATCCAGGACTGGGATACCCCTTCCTGAGGACGATCACAGGTAACAAAAGAGGATCAAGTTGAGGAATCAGACTTGGGTGCTGAGGAATCAGACTTGGGTGCCCGGAGAGCAGGAGACTAAGTAACACTGAGATCCACTTAGCAGAACCAGGGTATTTTCTCAGCATTAGCTCAGAGACAAAGAAAAAAATGATGAAACCATAGCTTATAGACATGTAGTCATGTAAATCTCCTTAGCATCATTTCAGGATTCATGCTGAAAGTTAAGGCAATGGTGAAGCTGCAGGAGGGCTTTAGGTGGTCATAGCTCAGGAAGGAAGGGTCTTTCAGAGACTAGAAACTAGGCCTGAGCTAAAATATTTGCAATCTTGGATTTGCTTGAGGATGTTCATTCTACTAACAAACAAACGCCAATTTAATTTCCTGATGTTTATTTCAGGAGGTTTACAAGAACTAATTTCCTTGGAAGTGATTTTTTAAAACATCCATTGTAGAAAATTCTTTTTCTCACTTGTGAACACCTCTGAGAAAGAAGTATTATTTATAAAAGTTGGTACCTGTTGAACTATTACAGAGTTGCGGGGAAAAGCCTTCACAGGGTTCACAAGAAAAAGCCTTCTCCAACTATGCCTTACAGACGTATTCTTAAAATAATGACTTGACATATTTATATGTACATCTTTAGCTTAATATCTTACCTAATTGTCCAACAAACTAATTCAATGTTGTTTGCAATACATTAAATGAACAGAAGATAAACTGGGTAATAGAGAATCCAGAGAGCCTAGTGGCCCATGAAATCACTGGATTTGCAAAGTGATTTTCTCTTCAGCACCGTGCACCATCTGAGAACAAAATCTGTCGGCAAAGCACTTTAGTGGCAATCAATGGATCAGAATATAGAGACATTAGGAATGCCACATGGGGTCCAACCAATGGTCCATCCAGGCCAGCACAAAGGCAACATGAGAGGATTTTGGAGAGTGAGGTTGCTCGGTGCGGTATCAGTTTATAATGTTGGGATTATTTAACATACCTTCCCGAAATCATTTTGTGAACTAACATGTAACTGTAATCTATCATTTTATACAAATCCCTTGATTTTTTCCCACAGCTCACCCTCTTTGTGTTAGAGTTCCATAAAGGTAATGCCCAATATGTGAAGAGAAAATTAACATTCCCCTTTTTCTACTTGAAGACTTCCAAACATTTCCTGAAACTTAAACACTTACTGATTCTTTAAACTATCCCCATTCCACTTTTCTCTGCAGCAAGTAGCTCTCAATGTGTGGTCCTCAGATGGGCAGCATCCACTGGAAAAGTGCTAGAAATGCACATTCTCAGGCCTCACCCGAGATCTGCTGAAACAGAGGCTCTGGGGTGGGACCCAACAACCTGCATTTTAACAAACCCTCCAGATGACTCTGAAGCATGCTCAAGACTGAGAACTACTGCATTATGCTAAATTTACCCACCCACCCTCTGGCAAAAATAACGTCTAATTGCATTTAACTTTTTAGTTTGATGAGTACTTATCTTGGTGTCTTTTAATTCACCTGATGTTTCTGTTGCTAACAAAACCAACAAAAACAATGTAAATTTGGTATACTGAAATACAAAATAAGAGTGAAGGAGAAAACATTGGTAGTGAAATCAACTACTATAAAGCAGTTTGGGGCAATTCAGTTTAGAGACAGGCATTATACCTCAAATACCCAATGAGCATCACGTTATAAAAGCATAGCTCCAAAGATGATAATTTCAAATGAGGACCCTTAAGTCACAAAGAGAGGATTAGCTCACATTCATTATTTCCAAATTTCCCTCACCAAAGCACAAATTATTAAGGCATTTTTGAGACATTTTTATCAAAATGAAAATAAATGTGTTTCACAAATAAAGGAGCAAACTGAGATATATGAAATATTTACTTGTTTGAATATCTGAAGATACTAGAAATGTGTCCTTAATTTACTCTGTTTGTCTTACATGAAATGTAAACCAATGCTATCCATTAGCTCTTAAACATGTTCCACCTGGTGCATGTTGCAACTGCTCCAGCCCTGTTGTATAGGACAAGACTCAGTTTTTTCAGAATGAACAGACCAAGTAAGACCAATTACTTATTGTCATTGAAGTTTGTGGTTTTTGATCAAATTTTATAAGAGCACAATATGATGTGTTTAATCATCATGGTGGCCACTCTTTATACATGACTTTTTAAAAACTTAAATGCAAACTTCACAACCTTTGCCTCATACTGAATGAGGCCTCATAACAAGCCCTCCAGATGACTCTGTACCAGTAGAAGTACTGGTACCTCAGTACCAGCAGAAGTCTGATTTCATATTCAATGAGTATTTGTTGAAGGAGAATATTTGTGCCTGTGTTCTGCTGGGCATTTCTGAAGGATATTGACCAGGACAGCATATAAATCCTATCCTAGCTGTGACCTAGATTGGCACAATGGCAGAAGGAATATCTCTGAGAATTTACATCCTGGGAGAGGCAAATTATTCAATCAGTCAACTAAGGAGCAAAACATTGCTAAATTCAACCGGAAAAAAAAGTTGAAATTTTCTCATATTCTCTGTCATCTAATATCCGGTATGTTTTTATCCATTCAGTTACTCTTCTCTGGATTTCAAATAGAATTTCTAATAATAAATGTGCACCAATTCTATCATCAGGCTATTTATGTTCTTTATATTTCTGTTCTTGATAATTACATGCTAGTCTTTGAATATGAAGATAATGCTTCTGACCCAATATTCACAATGCATGTGCCTTGAGTTGTTATGTTTTGCAAGAGAAATAAGTTTATATTGATCTGATGCACTCTCTTTCCCAGTCTTCATGTGACCAATAGCAGCAACTGCAAGACTGTCACCTGAGTGTGGCTTGCAACCAAGCACATGTGGGAATTCAGTGAAGGCCCCGGTCTTGGCCTCATTATCAACAGGAACCAGCTGAAGACAGTGGTCACTCTTTATCCATGTAAATAGACACTATAATTTATTTTCAAAAAATCCAAAGGACAAAATTTAAGACCATTGTAATACCAGAAATTTGTGCTGTGGGTACTTGGATGATGACAGTTGATAAACCTGGGAGGTTTACAATGGCTAGATTGTCAGAAGGGATTAAATGTATGTTCTAATAATAAAAGAACAAGAAAAAAGAATGCCGTGGTGATGTGTAAATTTAAAATACAGTGGTACATGTTATGAAAAACAAAAATCAATCCATGAACTTTGAAATGAAGGGAGATAGTTCTGAGAGAACTAGAGGAACTGGACTTGAGATCCAAGTATACAATTTACTCAATTTATTTTTTATAGATACTTTAAGTATGGAAAATTTAATTTTATTATTATAGACAGTAAGGTATAATACAGAACATAAAGTCCCTTAAATTAAGGTGGTTATAGATCCTGGTTTTCTTGACACTCCTATATCACACTGATGGTTCCTGTGTGAATATTAACATTACCCCCTTCAATTCACAAGTGTCTTGTGGTGTGTGTGCACGCACGTGTGTAGCTTTTGTTTTTATTCTTGTTTGTTTTGCAAAAATGAAATGAGAGCAAACATGTGATCCTGAGACTTTCTTCACTAAATATGTATCTTAGAATCTTTATTTTTCTTATTATTCAAAATAATTCCTTTTTTAACCTACTACTTACTCATCATTAAATAGTTACTTAATCCTCTTTGAAAACCATTTGCATTGTTTTAAATTTTGCCCTACTGCAAATAATTTCACCACATTCTTTTAAGCTATAACTGTGCATGTTTTAGTATTTCTGTAGGTTACGTTTTTGGAAATGGTATCGGCTCAAAAAAATTAACATTAAAATCATAATCAATATTCCCAAATATAGATACATTTTTGAATCTTCAATTTCATCATAAAATTTCAACTTTCCTTAATAATACTTCCAATTTAAACTAAAGAGTTTTGATTGTTTAGGATCACAAAGATTTCTATCAGAGGGAGGACAAAATGTGAAATGTTTTGTTTTGTAATTCATCTGTCGCAGAAAACATCACTGCTGTTTGGCAATTGAGAAATTGTCCAAACAAGTACACTATGGACAACAAATGTCATGAACTGCCTGTCCACACTGAGGTTTGAGAGCCACAGGAGACTTGAGACATCTTCTAAGACAGTTTAAAGAAGTCTCATTTATTTTTTTATACAATGTAGCAAATCAATATATTAAATAATATAAGAACACCAAGTTTTCTTACATATAAAACTAGAATAACCTATCAAACAAAGCTGTTCCACGTAACTAAGAACTCATTAACCCTGAGGTTCTAGGACTTTATGAAGTCAGTGAAATAGCAGGCAGTAGTCTCTCATGTGCAACTAGAGCTGCTGATGGGAAAAAGTACAATATCCCAGATTTTTCAACGATGTGGCTGGATCGTTGGGTGTGAGAAATGCACCAACCCTGACTCAGAGATGCCCTCTCTTGCTCATCTTCCCGTCGTTGTGGCGCTGAACACCTGTGCCCACCCATAGCAACCTGTGACCAAGTGCATGGGTACAAACACCTTCCCTTTCTTCCTGTCTTTTTTCTTTCCCTCATTTCCCTTTATTCATTCCTCTATCCTTCTTCCTCCCCCTCACAACGCCAACTCTTTTCATATCATCAACAAATGGCAAGTACAGGCCCTGAGGAAGACACAGATGACTAAGACAGAGATTCTGCCCTTAAAAAGCCCATGATCTAGTCTGGGAGACTGACATATAATCGGACGATCAGACAGCCTGATGAACACCATGATCATGTGCCTGACACCTTAGAATAAAGAAAATGTGGCAATGCATGTGGCTAAGAGGAATCAGGACAGCTTTGCAGAGCACCTGGCATTTGTGATGTGCCTGGAAGTTCATTGTCTTCAAGTGTAGGAGAACATCGTTGGGGCACATAGGCTGGACCCAGGAACCCTGGACCCTGCAACAAACACAGGCTTCTGAATGGAAGATAGGTGACATTGTCGCTGCCCTCAGTCACTGCCCTGGCTTGCCCAGAAGGCAAGAAATTAAGTTGTTATAGGTGGTGTGTACTTGTACCTAAAGATGTCACTGCTAGCTGAGGGGAAATAAGCCCCTGAAGATTGTTAGGGCAGTGAAAATATTCTTTAAGATACTGTAACGGGAAATATGACATAATACATTTAGCAAAGCCCATAGAACCGTACAACACAGGGACTAAACCCTAATATAAACTATGGATGTTAGTTAATCATAATGCATGAATATTGGTTCATCAATTGTAACAAATGTGCCACACCAACACAAAATGTTAATAATAGGAAAAACCGGAGGTTGGTTGGGGGACAGAGTATACAGGAACCCCGTATATTTTGCTCACATTTTCTGTAAACCTAAAACTGGTCTAAAAATCAAAGTCTATTACATTTTTAAACACTCTGAAACAGTATGTCTACCTCTCTTAGCTCCCTGCCTTTGTGAAAATAAGAGCAGAATTTTGGTTTTCCTTCTTTAGGACAAGAATTATATTTTTTTAAAAAAAACTCCTCCATTACTTTTGATATATCTAATTTGTTTTAATTACTGGATCAAACACTTTAATATTAATGAATGTAGAGCCAATAAGATATCCTGGTAGATTGGAAATGGGAGAAACAGAGGCATACAGGATGATGCTGAAGTTTTTGGCTTGAGCAAGAAGCAGGGATGGTACTAGGGTGAGCCAAGTGAGATGTTGAGGGCATAAAATTTAAGGAAGCCCTTGCATAGCCATACAAAAGCAAGGTCAGCACTTCCTTGATGCTCTCAATGCCTTAAATATTGTGCCCAAGTGGCTGGCTTGCTTCACCCTTGTCCCAGTCTTGACTGGAACAATGGTGTCACCACCCACTGAGTTGGGGCAGGCTGAGCAGAAGCATGTTTGGGGAGGTTGGATTGAATATAGAAGCCTGGTTCTGGACATGTTGACTCTGAGATGGCCGTTGAACATTCAAGTGGAGACATCAGGTGGTCAGCTGGATCTCTGAGTCAATACTTTGGGAAAGAGGCTGAAACTAAAGTTATGTATTTAGAAATTATCACAAGACTAGAGGAACTCATGAGGAAAGTGAGTGCGAATGGATAGATAGATAGATAGATAGATAAGGGAAGAGTTTCAAGGCCTGAGCCATGAAACACTTCTATTTGTCAGAAAGAAAAAGAGGAACCAGCAAGGAACCTTGAAAAAAAAAGCAGGCAATAAGAGAAGGAACACTGGCAGTGTATATTCCTGGGAGACAAGACAATGCTTCAAGGAGCAGAGAGTAATAAATTGTGTTTCATGCTGCTACAGTTGAGTTAGACAAAGTTTGAAACTAGAACTTTGGTGTCAGTAGCATTGAGATAATTGACAATGTTGACTGAAACAGTTTTAGAGGAGAGATGACAACAAAAGCCTGAACAGCGTGCCCTGAAGAGAGAAGAGAGGAGAGAAATTTGATTCTGCAAATACATAAAACTCTTTCAAAGCCTTCTTTTAGAAAGAGGAAGGGAGAGAGAGAGAGAGAGAGAGATGAGAGAGAAGCCAGAGGAGGAAGAGAGGTCCAGAATTTAGTACTTTCCTGGTTTTTCCAACTTGCATCCCAATCCCTTATCTCTGGGTTTAGCAATGAACACTTTGAGATTATAATATTTCTCTCCTCAGAAGGTGAGATGCAGAAGAGGAGATAGGAAATTGAGATAACAACTACTTTATTCTGATGGGTGGGAAAAATTCTATATGAGAGTTTTTCTACCAAGACACATGTGAAAGGAAGTGGCAACATGTGGCAATTCATCTAAGATCAGCAACTTTTTTTCTCTGTTTGAATTTGTTGATTTGGAAATTATTTGTCTGGCTCTGCAACTGAATCATCATTTGCTCTACCAGTTTTTCTAAAGTTTCACATGCTGATGCTAGTTAAGAAAGAATACATTTTAATCTGTCAACTTTTGCTTACCAATGAGGATCTAAAAGTGTGTTCAAAGGTAATTTGAACAGACTCTTTCAAGATAGTGCATCTTTTAGTAGATCCACAGAACAGTAAATATAACTTGATAATCATGCCAAACATTTCTTTGCATTGTAAAATTGAATTGGCAGCTTTGCATAATAAAGGGCTAAAATTATGAACCACGCAAGATTTGCCTGAAACTTGATTGTTCAGGCTCAAAATTCTCTACTGAATACCCTTGTGCTTGCTTTTGTATTTATCCATTTTCATGTAACTGCTTACAGCAGACATTTCTTTTTTTAATCTTTTTTCATAAAAATACATTTTAATAAATATGCCGAACCCACTCTAATAGCATCCATCTATCATATGTATTATATAAATACATATTTTACCATTATAATTGACAAACCAGCATTTATGAACTTTGTTCTTTGTGGATGCATTAGGAGCAGTGTTTCTTCATAGGATATAATATTTTATAATTTCTTATTCTTTACTGCTTGCTGTGCTGTACAAACGGTTATAAAATGAGTTGCTTTTGGGGTGTGAAATGAGTAATCATCAGAGGAGAAAAGCATTAGGGACAAGAAAGTGGAGTGAGGATCATGAAGCATTTGCATGTCTTTCTCAAGGTCATGGATAAATTTCAGCTCCATGGAAAATCTTGAGAAAGAATCCAGCAAGAATGAGATCATGAAATGTTAGCTTTCCCCAAGTAGAAATTCCATAATAGAACTATAAAATTTCTGCTTACAAATTTTATCTTCCAACTTCTACTTGAAATTAGGAAACTGAAAGGGCCAGGAGGGACCCTGGAATTCATCTAGTCTGAACTTATTGTGCATAGGGAAAGCTAAGCTGAGCGACTCTGCAAGTCACACTAATGTGACGTAGAAAATACTAGAACATAAGGTTCTGCATTACTGTTTCAGGTTCATGTTTGTTGCTACAACAAACATTTATCAAACAGCTAGTAGGTATAAGAGATCATTTAAACCCACCCTAAAGGATACAAAGTTGAGGAAAGCACTCTTTGCCTTTGCAGAAATCACAATCTATTATCAAACACATGATAGAAATTTCAATATCTAAAACACAAGATCTAATTTGTTAAGTGCCATGGGAATGATATAAGAATTTAAGAAGGGAGAGATACAACAAAGTTTGGGCAAGCCAGTATGTTTCTTGAAGGAATAACAATTTGTGATGTGAAGGTAAAATCTCAGTAAAGAAAAATGGGGAAGAAGATGTTAAGCCTGGCAGAAGGAATATTATTAGCAAGTGCAGGACAATATGCTCTAACAAAAAAGAGCAAGTAGCCTAATTTGACTGGATTTCAATTTACCTTTACATTTTTCTATCATGTTATTCCATGCCATAAATTATGGCAATAGTCTCAACGAACTTGAATATCAGACCAAATTGCCTTGTCTTATGTTGTAACCCACTCAAGTCTCTAAGCAGGAAATAACCTGACCCCCGTTCTCTGAGATTTAACAACAACAACAAAAAAATTGTGTATCCTTCACTAAAGTTTGTAATGCATTTTGGAAGGAAAGAGTCAAAAAGAATGAATGTGTCCTGACCATGTGTATTACTTGTTTGTTCTGAAAGCCATATCCTGCCCTGTTTCCTGCTCAGTTCTGAATGTTAGTCTCACAATTAGGTTTAGCTAAGTGAAGGCAGGGGAGAGGGCATCCAAAGGGTGGAAGGGAAGGAGAAACCAGACTATTTCTTCTCACTCTCTGTACTTGAGGTCATATCTCTTCTCTGGTTTCGGTTTCTGTTGTGCATTCTTTGCCATGGTTCCAGCCTGGCAGCTTCAGCATTTCCTAAGCAGTTCCTTCTCCATGATTCCAGGTCCTACTGAGGCCCCAACTCAGAGAATCCCATAGTGCCACAGCCTCCCTTTGTTGTCCATTTCTGGTATCATAGAGACTTTCTGCTCTTGCTAACCTCTGGGTGCTTCATATTTCCTTATTAACCTTTTTGACTCTTCCAATATAGGATATTAAAGAATCATATTACTGAAATGTTAAAAAGCATAACTGCCTTTAGATATAATTAAACAAAGGGCCTCAAACAAAGTCACCATGGGCCTGCCTCTTTCTCCCTATTCCTGGACTCTTCTGTGCTCTTTTTGCATTGTCTTTGCTGAAGGGCAAGTTCTTTCTATATAGTTGGAAAGGTGACTGTTGTTTGGCCCAAGTCAACATCCTTATGGCTCATAATCCAAATGAAAAAGAGATTATCTATTTTCCAGAGACCCTGTATTAAATCTCAAAGTTGAATTTGATTGATTGGCTAGAGGGTAGGGCGATGAAGTTTTCTGGTCTTGGTCATTGGAGGAGGGTAACATGTTATTTCAGCCTCATTCAAGTTTTATGGAGTGAGGCCACCCCCACCCACCCCCGCCAACCAGACAGTGATGTGGCAGTGGCGGTGGCAGCATCCCTCACTGAAGCAGCTCTTGCTGGATAGTCTCTCCCATGTGCAAGTTCCCCAATGCTCTGATAAGAGCTCTTACCTCCCCCATCCCTACAGGCCTGATGGTGGGAATGGCCTTCACCACCACTAGTCCCTGGGTGCCTCCCTACTCCTAGTGGGTTCCTTAGCTTTGTCCATACCCTGAATGAACTCTTGATAAAACCCCCTTCAGTTATCCTTTTTAAAGCATGCCAACTGACCCAGCCAGGACCTGGTACTTATGGCTTAAATGAATATTTCCACTTCCTAGCTGACAAAGTCAAAACTTAAACATTTTCAGAAACTTACTAAAGACCACACAATGAGGAGTATGTGGGGTTGGGACTGAAATTTTCGTTTATTTGCCTTCAAAGTCTGGATCCTAAAAGAACAATTTCTCCCCTTTCGACAGGCACAAACCCAAGAAGATCTATGCCATTGTCATGTGCCTAGTCTGTCTATATTCTACTGAGTATGATGGGCCAGGCAGACAGGGATTTTTGCTTTATTAGTAAAATTAGCTCTTAAGTTAAAAAAGAAAATAAAAATAAAATGGAGAATCCCCTCTCTTAACACTCACATCTTCATGGCTGACTCCAGTTTGCTTTTCGATAATATACACATTCCATTTCTTATACTCTGTGAGTAAATGGGCCCTTCATAAGCCCATCCAAAGGGTAACTTATAATTTTCATTCTGTCCCCTCTCCTTGTACTTTTCTTAAAGTGAATTGCTAGTTAATGCCTGAGAGAGTAAAACTCCAGATCCAATTTTTTAACAAAATGTATAGTTTTATGTGGAGGAAAATAGGAGTCTAGAGGATAGTGGGTCTCAATGGACTTTACTCCTCTGAGGAAGGTTAGCAACGGTTATAGGAGTCAGTAGAGGCACCCGCATTAGTCACCAGCTCTGACTGTAAACAGTGGAATAATCAGTTTTAATTCTTTACCACTGAACTTTCTCTGGCACCAGATTCATGTAAGTATAATTCAGAAATGTAAAGTGGATAACAGCTTATTGTCCAAGGCTCCCAGGGACCAAAAAAGAAGGTGCAAAAACAAATGCTTAAAAGTAACTAAGTAACTCTGACCTGTAGCGCTGAAGTTAATTCCCTTTCTACATCATTTCCATAATATCTCCATACCCAAATGGTATCCCAAAATACATTAAGGAATTAACTAAGAAGTTGCATGGAAAATAATAGCAGCGGTAAAGTGCAATTAATGCCATAGGCAGGAAAGGCAAATACACTGATTTAGCTGAGATTTGACACAACTTTGGAATTCAACTTGGCAAAGCAAGAGGGGACATCGGAAAAGCCATACCTTGCTAAGGGAGAAAGCGGCTTTCTATTCTGAAGCGACTATATATGTGCAGTCATAGAAGGCCCAATCCACGGGAGAAATGAGCAGGGAAGTTTATGGGAAGAATCCAATGCAAGAAGGCATTTACTTGCAGCTAAAGCGCTGATCTTGAGGGGTTGAGGAAGACAGAAACCTTTTTTAATGACAAGGAAACAAAAGCAGAAATAATACTTTTTAAATTATTTTTAAAATCTTACTTGTGATGCATACTTAATGTCCCATAGTTGTGTGGGCTTTTCTCCAGAAGTACAGCTTCACAAAGGGTTATTTATTTATTTACTTTATTATACTTTGAATTCTGGGATACATGTGCAGAATGTGCAAGTTTGTTACATAGGTATACATGTGCCATGGTGGTTTGCTGTACCCATCAACCCGTCATCTACATTGGGTATTTCTCCTAATGCTATCCCTCCCCTTGCCCCCAACCCCTGACAGGCCCTGGTGTGTGATGTTTCTCTCCCTGTGTCCGTGTGTTCTCATTGTTCAATTCCCACTTATGAGTGAGAACATGCAGTGTTTGGTTTTCTGTTCCTATGTTAGCTTGCTGAGAATGATGTTTTCCAGCTTCATCCATGGTTATTTTGAGAAAAGTTTAGAGTAAAATGAAGGATAGACAAAGGCCCTCTGTGGTCAGAGTTTGTGCTCTGAAAGGGGGTCCCTTTCTCCATGGTGCTAGGTAGTCATGGTGATGCACAGACAAAACAGAAATGATCTCCTTGTTTTCTTCAACAAAGTTCCAATTACTCCCAGTATCTTCAAAATGGGTGAGAATGAACCTCTGTGAGTGCAACATGCTCCATGGTTTGTGTTTATTTACTTTATTTTTGCTGTAAGGTTGCAGGCTCCTTTGTAGTCTACAAACACCTTGAGAACAGGGATGGTCTTTACTCATCATTGTTCTTATTCCTCAGCTCAAGGCCTGGACACATACCAGGCATTTAATAAAGTGAGTTCTGTTAACCTAATCTTTAAATGTTGATATTGCTTTCTTTTCAGGAGATAAACTTATTTAGGTCACACACATACACACACACCACATGCATTCACACTCCAGAAAACTAAATCTGACACATACACACACACAAAGAACAACTGATGTAAAAAATAATAATGGTAAATTGAAGGCAATAAAACATTCATTTTTATACTAAAATTAAAAAATAAGATACAAAGAAAGCTGAGCATAGAAGATTGACATATACAGAAGCTATAGGAAAACAGACCCACAAAGCATTATTTCATATCTCCATGCAGTGATTTTTTTTTTCTCTAACTTGGGGAATGAGGTAGAATTTCTATTGCCCCCCACTTTCTGTTGGCTGCTGATGGTTACATTTCCTCTTCTGAGAGTCTCACATATTGACCATAGATGTTGTTGTCACTAAATAAACCACATGCATCATTAATTAAATACGAATTAGTAAAAAAGGAAAGAGGTATAGTGGGTTGAATAATTTTTCCCTAAATTTATGTACATCTGTGTCTTGGTTCATTTGAGCTGCTATAACAAAAATACCATAGACTAGGTAATTTATAAACAAGAGAAAATTTATTGCTAATAGTTTCTGGAGGCTGCAAGTTCAAGATGACTTCCTATTCAGCGTTTGGCAGGGGTCTACTCACTGCTTCATTGATGGTGCCTTCTTGCTGTGTCCTCACACGGAAGAAAGGTTGACCAAGGTCTCTGAAGCCTCTTTATAGGGCAGTAATCCAATTCATGGGGAATCTGTCCTCATGGCTTAATCACCCCCACCTCCACCCCGACCCAAAAGAAAAGCTGCATCTCTTAATACTCTCACATTGGGGATCAAGTTTGAACATATGGGCTGGGCGTGGTGGCTCATGCCTGTAATCCCAGCACTTTGGGTGTGCTGAGGTGGGAGGATCACCTGAGGTCAGGAGTTTGAGACCAGCCTGGCCAACATGGTGAAACCCCATCTCTACTAAAAATACAAAAAATAGCTGGGCGTGGTGGCACACGCCTGTAATCCCAGCTACCAAAGAGGCTGAGGCAGGAGAACCACTTGAACCCTGGAGGTGGAGGTTGCAGAGAGCCGTGATGGTGCCACTGCACTCCAGCCTGGGTAACAGAGCAAGACTGTGTCAAAAAAAAAAAAAAAACAGTTTGAGCATATGAATTTTGGGGGTATACAAACATTCAGACCATTCCAACCTGGAACATCAGAATGTGACCTTACTTGAAAACAGAATCTTTGTAGATATATTTGGGATATAAAAAGGATTCTGGAATAAAACCACCCTGGATTTACGGTGCACACAAAAATCTAATGCCAGGTGTCCGTATGAGAAGATGGAAAAATACAAAGACACAGGGGATAAGGCCATTTGTAAACTCTAGCAGAGACTGGAGTTATGCTGCCACAGACCAAGAAATGCCAAGACCCATCAGAAGCTGAAAGAGGCAAGGAAGGATTGCAGCTTTCCAAGGAAGGGTGTCCCTACTAACACACCTTGATTTTGGACTTCTGACCTTCACAACAGTGAGAGAATACATTCTTGTTGTTTAAGCCACCCAGTTTGTGGTACTTTGTTATGGTGGCCTCAGGAAACTAATACAGGAGGTTTTCTGTTTAGCATATTATAGGATATTGACTTGAGTAGGAGCTCAGATTCCACAGAGAGATAGTTGGATGAGGTCTATGTATTAACACCATATTGAATACAAACTCTGTAAGTGGGAAGCATTGTTTCCAGGAAGAGCAAATACCACATTCCAACCATATTTATGGTTGTTGAGTCAGGGAGATTCCTGTCAACACTACCTTATCAGCAACTGTCTGGCTGAGAGTAAGAATAAACTTTTGCCTCTTTTATATACAGATTTTATGTAGTTAATTAAATAAATGTTAATAAAAACCATATTAAAGCAATTTCTAAAAATATCTTTTTTAGCCACTTTTTTTTAGGTCTTCAATAGAATAATGAAATCCGTGAAAAATCCTCAGGTCTTCAGGGTTTCATCTTGATATCTTATCATTCTGTCAAACTATAGGCTGAGGGAGAAACATTCTGCAGCTTCCCTTAGAAGACCTGCTTTCAATCTATCTTTCCACAGAGGCATTTTTCAGGATTCCTGTGTCTAGATTTCACCCTGGGAAAACCAGGGATAAAACCATCAGTCACATTAATTGCGGCCCAGGGAATGTTCAGCTGGCACATGTGACTAGACCAGTGGTAGAAGGCATGCAGGACTTAGGATTTTACATTTCTTTACATTTGGCCTTTACATTTCTTGTTACAGACATTGTTTATTAATGTCATTTCACACAGGAAAAAAATGAAGATCAGGATATTTAAGTGAATTGCTCAAGATTACACAGCTAGTAAATGACAGACTCAAGTCCTGAGCCCGACATAGTCTTGCCCCAGGGCTGTGCGCCATGTTGCTTTTCTCAAAATGTGCTTAAGCCTATTTGCTTGATCACCCTCCTTCTTGAGCTCTAGAAGGGCAAACACCATCTGTCTGTTGAAAACAAAATGAGAGTGCCTATTTTTTGCCAGACACTGTGAGAGTAAACAGTGGTTTATAATCCAAGCTCAAACAGTGTATTGGCTGAGTAAAATTTAATAATTACTTTACATCATTTAGATAGTCTGGTTGGATGATTGGCAGTAATTTTCCTATGTTTTTCACTCTTTTGAGGAACAGGCTGGCCCTGGGAGACGGGATGGAGTGAGGAGGAAGAAAAGGCCGCATAGCTTTTACAAATCTTATCAAAGTCAAAGGTCTTATGGACATACCTTTGCAATATGGAAGTGACTTAAGTGTTATGTGTTTCCACGCACTCTTCTTTTAGTAATTTTTCCATGGGAAAACAAACCCATGACTCAGTACAATTTGAGAAAGTAAATCACCTAAAATTTCACAACAGAACTCCCCCCAAATGGTGGTGGGAAGCCACCGTTAGAAATAAATTTCGGTCTACTATTTTTTAACTAATTTTTTAAATAGTGGTAACATACACATAAAACTTACTATCTTAACCATTTTTGAGTGTGCAGTTCAATAGTGTTAAGTGAATTTCCATTGTTGTGTAATCAATGTCCAGAACTTTCCCATCTGTCACAACTGAAACTCTATCCCCATTAACTCCTCATTTTCCCCTTTCCTCAGCTCCTGGCAAACATAATTCTACTTTCCATTTCTATGAATTTTATTACTTTAGACACTTCATATAAGTGGGCTTATAGTATTTGTCTTTTTGTGGCTTATTTCATTTATCAGGCCTGCAAGATGTATCCACGTTGTAGTATTGTGTCAGAGTCTCATTCCCATTTAAGGCTGAATAATATTCATATATATATATGTATATATATATATACAAATTATTTTTCCATTCATGTGTAGATGAACACTTGGGTAGTTTCTAATCTTGGCTATCGTAAATAATGCTGTTATGAACATAGGTGTACACTCTACCTACTACTTTTTATCACAATTTAAACTCTTCCATTTTGAGAAAAGTTGTAAATTAACAGAATATGTTTTATTTAGAAATTTAATCATCATTTTTCTTCTCAGATATAACAAGAACAACACAAAGAAAGTATTTTTTCTTTGAAGTTCATAAAGTGCCATTGCATAATTTATTTTTACATAAAAATACTTTCTGGGTTGAGCACAGTGGCTCATACCTATAATCCCAACACTTTGGGAGACTGAGGTGGGAAGATCAGTTGAGGCCAAGAGTTCAAGACCAACCTGGGCGAGAGAGTGAGACCCTGTCTCTACAAAAACTTTAAAAAATTAACCAGGCATGGTGGTGGATGCCTGTAGACCTAGCTACTCAGGAGGCAGAGGTTTGAGGCCAGGAGTTCAAGGCTGCAGTGAGCTGTAATCACGCCAGTGCACTCCAGCCTGGGCAACAGAGTAAGACCTTGTCTCAAGAAGAAGAAAAAGAGAAGGAAGGAAGGAAGGAAAGAAGGAAGGAAAAAGAAAGAAAGAAAGAAAGAAACGAAAGAAAGAAGGAAAGAAAGAAAGAAAAGAAAAAAGAAATAGAAAGAAAAGAAGAAAGAAAAGAAAAAAGAAATAGAAAAGAAGAAAGAAAGAGGAAGGAAGGAAGAAAGAAAAAGCAAAGAAACAGAGAAAGAAAGAAGAAAGAAACAAACAAAGAAAGAAAGAAGAAAGAAAGAAAGAAAGAAAGAAAGAAAGAAAGAAAGAAAGAAAGGAAGAAAGAAAGAAAGAAAGAGAAGAAACTTCAGAGTACATTGCTGCTTTGAATTGAGTTGTGCATTAGGAAGCATCAGTCTCCCAGGGAGGAACAGAGAGCTGATAAGGTAGCATGCATTCTCCCAAATCTGTCCCACCCAGAGAATAATGCTCTAGATTTTTCTGACATGTTTCTGGAGGGTGATAATGCTAAAAGTCCCTTGCAGAATCATTTCCCATTACTAAATTCACCTGCTTTATTACGTCTCAGGAATGAATTTTTTCAATTAAGTCTTCCCCTTGTTTTTGTTGTGTTGTAACTACTTTACGATGACTGCCCTACTTAGGGATGGTATCTTAGGCCATTTGGGCTGTTACAAACATTTTTGTTACAAAAATACCATAAGCAGGATAGCTTATAAACAACATAAATTTATTTCTTACAGTACTAGAGGCTCGGAAAGTTGAGATTAAGTCACTGTCAGAATCGGTATCTGGTGAGGCTCAGTTTTCTGGTTCACAGACAGTGACTGTCTTCTCGCTGTGTCTTCTCTTACAATGGCTTTCCCTTGCAGTGGATCTCTCTTGCATCTCTTTAATAAAAGCACTAATCTGATTCACCGATTCATGAATCACGAATCACTTTTGAAAGATCCCGTCTCCTAATACCATCATATTGGGAATTGGAATTTCAACATAGGAATTTGGGGGGAATATTAGTCTATTGTTGATGGTTTGATGACCTAATTCTCATGGTGGTTTTAACCCATGCTCTGTTTTAATAAAAATAAAATGTTGTAAAATTATATAATTTTTTCTGACAGATAACTCCACCCTTTCCTCATACTTTATCCTCTTTAAAATCACTATATATTTAGAAGATGGTTTATTTTCTAGGCATTTCTGCAAACTGATTAGGTCGAACTTTTATTTTTCTTTGACCAAATATTATATTTATTATCAAATATATGCATTCTACTTTGATCCTCCTGATCCTCCCTCCATTACCCCCAAAAAACCTTTTAAGGATCATATCATTTTAATTAGGAAGTTCTTCGGCTACATTCAAAATATGATTTTTCTTTATAAAATTGGACTAATAACTCCAATTTGTGCAGACCACATCTGAAGAATGTTACAAACGTGTGTGAACTCTGTAAGGCTCCCAGTCCAACTTTTTTTTTTTTTGAGTCGGAGTTTCGCTCCTGTGGCCCAGGCTGGAGTGCAGTGGTGTGATCTCGGCTAACTGCAACCTCCGCCTCCTGGGTTCAAGTGATTCTCCTACCTCAGACTCCCGAGTAGCTGGGATTACAGGCATGCACCACCACGCCCAGCTAATTTTTGTATTTTTAGTACAGGGGGGTTTCACCATGTTGGCCAGGATGGTCTCAATCTCTTGACCTCATGATCCACCCACCTTGGCCTCCCAAAGTGCTGGGATTACTGGCATGAGCCACTGCACCTGGCCCCAGTCCAACTTTTATGTCTCCATTTTCATCTTTCCTAATCCAGCCTTATACTGGAAGCTTCTTCGGACTAAGCCAAGTAAACCTTAGGTCTTCATGTTCATATGGGGACCTTAATATTGATACGGGGCTTGTACACTTTAAAATATTTCCACATATGTTAAGCTTGTGGTGATCCTCTGAGGCATGACAGATACTATTTTCCTTGTTTCATAGAAGAGAAAATTTGAGGTTCCCTGGCTTCCAGTCTGGCACTCTTCCTGCTATTCCATGCTGTGTTCTCTGATTGAAAAATAGTAAGTCTTTGGTATTCCCCAGCTTGGTCAAATCTGTTTAAAGATCACTTAGCCCACTTTTTTCTGAGTCCATATGAACCAAGTGATCCTTTAATCTGCCTTATTGAGTAAATGCACCCTTCCTGAAGTAAGTGAGTGCCCTACAGAGTTAGGTGCCAAGCTGAGCTGCAGTCATGGGTTATTTACTGCCAATTTGGCATCACCAACACTCCCTTCTAAGGGTTCCTCTGTCTTTTGAGAAGCTGGGAGCTATATTTGCAGAATGCCTTTCCCCATATGTTTACAGATTGGTTGACCAAGAAGTCCCTTCTTGCTGAAGATTTGGAAGGCTGAAACGAACAACAGGCTAGAGGTGGTTATAGGCAGAAATGTGGACAGCTGTGAGATTCTAAGAGGCTCCACCAGAAAGCCATGTCCTTCATCATTGCAGACTGTGATGGTTGAAGAGAAATGTCTAGAAGTTCAAGAACAATGGACAATGAACAGAGAACTGTTCAGCTGGGAGCTGAGGCTGAGGCTGTCCACCATGGCTTCATTGACCTCAGCTTCCTCCAGTTGTCCAATGGTTGTGTAGGCTTCTTGACATCTGCATTAAACCTTTTTAATTTGGATTATCTAGAGCAACCAGTTTTTCTTGACTAAACCCTGACTGATAGAATCATTCCCATGCTAAGTGCTAACATTTTGATTATGACTTTTATTCTTATTGCTAAAAAGCATAATTTCAAAAGATATAATTAGGACACTGATATAAATATAATATGAATATATGGTAAGGATTTTGTTCAACTCATTAATTAGGTGGGGAAACAATTAGATATTAAGATTAGTTCAAACAATATTTGAGGAGGTAGATATTTATAGAACACTTAATTTTAAAATGTTAAGATAAGATATTTGGGTTATATATAAAACTTTTTAATATCTTACAGAGCAATACATAATAACTTTGGGGTTATATTTCCACCAAATCCTATGCCTTTCCATGGGACAAAAATCAACATGTTAAAGTAAAACTTCTGGGACTTTCATTAGATATTTTTTTAATTAGCATCATCATCATCATCATTTGCTATACACTTGATAGGTTATAGACACTACAGTAACATGTTCTCAAACATGTAATTGTCCTTTCAACAATTTTGTGAGGTAGATTTTGTCACCTACATTTTAGAGATTTGGAAACTGAGCCCAGTGAACCTACCTGACCTCCTCAAGGTCACGGACTGAGTTAGAGCTAGGATTTAAATCCAGATTTGTCTCACACTGAGGCCTGTGATTTCCTCCTGGTTCACTATCACCTAATTAATTCATATGCTCCTGACTGCATCAATTAATAAAATCAGCTTGGAGAATAACAAAGTTGAAAACTAAGCAAAGGAACATAACTGAATACAAAGTGTTATTACAAAAGATTAACTGCCTTGAAAAGTAAAAGCAGTATAAAGTAAGTCATGTAAACCTTAAGGGGATAAGGGCCTTAGATTATTCAAAAGATAAATATATTTGGAAAAATGTTAGCAACTGGTATTAAAAATCCAAAGTTGCCATTTCCACCAGATTATTTTTTCATGGTCTGTGATGTGCCAAGTGTAAAGCATAGGAGTAACATAAAGGCAGGCTCATGCCCTTGAGCAGGCCCCAACCAAGCAGAATCTCTGAAACTTGAATAGAGCATGGAACCTACTTAGCAGAGGGAGTGAGGGAGAGAGATTTCTCAGACTCTGAGCCCACGCCATCTCATCCCAAAGTCTAGAGAGCACAGTTTGTGATTCATGGTCAAAACAGGCCTGATCATTTCTGGTGCTAGAATAAGATAAATTATGTCTTTCAATTAAGATTTTTCTATTTGCAGTATTCTTACCTCATCCTCAGCCAGTGTAAAAATCAAAGTTTTATTGTAAGTTAAAGAAAATAAATGAAAATATGGACAAAAAAAGATAAATGAATTCTAATTCATTAACCACTAATGAGTAGTGGTTAAGGGCATAGAGTCTGGAGTCAGAATGTCTGTGTTCAAATCCTGACTCTACTGTGTCCTGTGAAACTTTGGGTTGGTCACTCAACCTCTCTGTGCCTCCGTGTTGTAAACGTCCAGTGGGTTTACCTTGCCCACTGCCTAGACAGAGCCAATTAATCAAGACAGGGGAATTGCAATAGAGAAAGAGTAAATTCACACAGAGCCAACTGTGCAGAAGACTGGAGTTTTATTATTTCTCAAATCCATCTCCCAGGGCATTCAGAGTTTTTAAGGATAATTTGGTGAGTGGAGGAAGGCCAGTGAGTCCAGAGTGTTGATTGGTTAGGTCAGAGATAAAATCATAGGGAATTAAAGCTGTCCTCTTTCACTGAGTCCGTTCCTGGATGGGGACCACAGGATCAGATGAGCCAGTTTATCTATCTGAGTGTTTCAATAAACTGGGTGCCAGCTGATCCATCAAGTGCAGGGTCTGCAAAATATCTCAAGCACTGATCTTAGGAGCAGTTTAGGGAGGATCAGATCTTGTAGCTTCCAGCTGCATGACTCCCTAAACCATAACTTCTAATCTTGTGGCTAATTTGTTAGTCTTACAAAGGCAGTCTAATCCCCAGGCAAGATGGACGTTTGTTTAGAGAAAGGGCTGTTAACATCTTTGTTTTACACTATAAAGTAAGATCCTCCCAAAGTTAGTTCTACACTCTACACCCAGGAATGAACAAGGACAGCTTAGAGGTTAGAAGCAAGATGGAGCTGGTTAGGTCAGATCTCTTTCTCAGTTATAATTTTGCAATAGCTATTTCAGTGTCTTCATCTATAAAACAGGGATAATAAGAATTATACCTCATAGATTTCTATGAGAATGAAATAAGCTGAGAGTCATAAAATGTTTGAAAAATTAGCTGGCTTAAATAAGTACTCTTATTTTTTAAATATCTGTTAATGAAGTATTAGTCAGCTTTTTTTTTTTTTTTTGTAATAATCTTGAGTGTTGACCCAAGGAATCTTTTGCACTAAGGCAGAGTTTTCATGTAAAAATCCAGCCTGGGCCGGGCACGGTGGCTCACGCCTGTAATCCCAGCACTTCGGGAGGCCAAGGGGGTCACATCACGAGTTCAGGAGATGGAGACCATCCTGGCTAACAAGGTGAAACCCCATCTCTACTAAAAATACAAAAAATTAGCCGGGCATGGTGGCAGGCGCCTGTAGTCCCAGCTACTCGGGAGACTGAGGCAGGAGAATGGCGCAAACCCGGGAGGTAAAGCTTGCAGTGAGCTGAGATTGCGCCACTGCACTCCAGCCTGGAAGACAGAGCAAGACTCCGTCTCAAAAAAAAAAAAAAAAAAAAAAAATCCAGCCTGTACATTTTGAGAAAAGGGATATCACACACTTGATTAGCTCTGCGCAGTCTTTGTATCAGAAATGTAAACACTAGCTGTTGTAAGACATAAAGCCTGACATCTCGGTGGCTTAATAAAAAAAAGGCATTTATTTTTCATCATGTAAAATTCAATCTGCAACAAGGATTGGGGCGAGAGTGGCATCTATGGTTGTTTTAGTCTGCTCAGGCTGCCATAACAAAATACCACAGACTGTTTGGCTTAAACAACAAAACATTTTAAAATCACAGTTCTGGAGGCTAGAAATTCAAGACTAAGATGTTGTCAGGGTTGTTGTCTAGTGAGGGCTCTTTTCCTTGCTCACAGATGGCCTCCTTCTCACTGTGCCCTCACATCTTCTTTCCTCTGTGCTCTCACTGCTAGGCTGGGGGAGAGAGAGCATGCTCTGGTCTTTCTTCTACTTATAAGGAGGAGAGAAGGGTACGTAGTCTTTCAGAGATCCAGGCTGAAAGAGGATCCACCATTTTCAGCACGGAGCTTCTAGGATCTCCCTGAGTGTCAATATTCAGCAGCAAGTGAAGAGAAAGAATTGTAGACATGAGGGTAAGTGGCCAAGGTCAGTAATCACTTCTGCCCACTTCCCACTGGCTGAATGCAGTTGCATTCTTCCTAACTGCAAGGGAGATTGGGAAAAGCTGTCTACAGTGTGGAAGGAAATAAATTTTGTGAATAACTAGCTATTGAATAGTCCTATTGAATCTTCCTCACAGTTGTTGGACCTCCTAGACATAAGAGGGAAAAAAAGTGCACCTTTTCTTAGCTCTTCCAGAGTGTTCTCTAGTGCATGCTACTTTCAAGTTCTTTCCCCAAACTTTTCTCACCTATGTTTGCCTATGGGGCTGTGACTCAGAAGTTCATGAGCAATGTGTTCCTATAAAGAAGAAGGAGTGTAGGGCCACCTTCGGCTTATGTTTTAGCTCTAGAGGATGAGGGAAGAGCCAACGTGTGCCAGTTTGAGGATGGATGTACAGTGAGTAGTGAGGGGCTTTTTCCACCTTGAACGCATGAGCGCTCTTGAGGCCCTCCCACTGTACATTCAGAGTCACCAGATTTGTGCATGATATCTCTGCACATACAAGAAAAGAGTTCCTGTGACTGCTCAATATTTTCTGTCTTGGTAAGAATGAAGAGCAAGAGAACTAAGGCCCTAGGAAAAGGCAATGGCAAAGAACAGATACGTGGCTTTCACCCCCGCCACTATCTTTCCAGAAAACCCCATGTAAACCTTGAGCACACTGCAAAGTCATGGTTTGGGCAGGTTTCTTTCTCTAGCAAGAAAGCCCCATGCCACCCTGCCAGTTCACTGGGGCCTCTCAGGCACCATTCTCAGCATGAGCTATTGGTTGGGTCAGGTATGTAGGGGAGCTGCTGGTGCCACTGAAGTCACGTGATAATTGTGGGCTCCTGGCCAGGAATCTGCTGATCTAGCTTGGGGACAGGGTGGGCAGGATGTGCCATTGATTCCCTTGTGAGAAATTCCTAAGAACCTACTCTCCATCTGCAGTTAATTCTCGCAGGACAATTAAGGGATTTTTTTTCTCTCTCTCTTCTCTAAAGCAAACAAATAAAGGTCCAATTATTTTTCCAGCAATCTGAGTTTAAGAGTCTAAAATTCTAATTTTTTGTTTCCTGGAAACAGTAAAATTCAATTGCCATTTGTTTTCTTCTTTAAAATCCCCTTTACCGCACTTTCAAAGTAAGCTTTTCTCATAGCCCTGAAGAGCCTTTGTCTTTAGGTTGTCAGTAAAAACAAGTTGATCCCTTTGACTCCGTTGGTTGAGATATGAGTGCACTGAAATGTGTCCCACAGCCATTGCCAAAGTTGTGGTTTTTCAATTTATGTTGGAGACAAAAGAGTCCAAGGAGAATTCCACTTGTGTAGGTTGCATAAGAGCCGACAAACAAAGCTGAACTGGATAAGAGTATAAAGAAAATAAGAGAAGCAAAATGTGTGATAGAGGCCACAGATACTGCTGTAGAGAGCGAGATGGTGACAAGGTGAAAAGGGGCTGCAAATTTATTAACTGGCTCAGTCCTTCCTGAGAGCTCTGCACCATATCTCCTCCAAACAGGTGCAGATTTTCTTTTAGTTTTATAAAGATTAGAGCAAGAAAGAAGCTGCTTTTAAAACAAGAAAAAAAAATCAGTTTCAGTGCACCATCTTGTATAATATTTTATCCTATTGTACCCTGTCATGGTTTAGGTATCACTGTATTCTCTCATTGTGTCATATATATATTAAGAGCTAAATAAATGTCTGTTTCATTGAATAGTTCAGCTCTGCTCTCACCTCTCCTAATTAAACCAACACCACATGCCACTTGCTACCTCCTGAACAATAATTATTTTTGTGTTTCTTCATTTCTCCAACAGCTCCAAAGGTGTAACATTCAGCTCTAACATTAACGCTGTTGCTTCTAGAGGCTCTGTACCCATCTCTCTGTTATGCCACACTGCCTTTAGACCTACTAGACTACAACACTTTGTCCTTTATGTCTCCTTACAGGTCCCAATAAGAGTCCCTGAAGACAAAAGGCAAATTGCATACCCAACATCAATTACATTTATCTTCCTTCATACACAAAGCATTGTATGTTTCCACATTCAAGAAACAAAGAAACTCATGAGTCATCATGGGAAGACCATGACTTTTAGATTCAGACTGATCTATATGCAAATGTGGAACTGATTCTACATTACATGTCCAGCTGTAAAACTGGGAGTAAAGTATATGACCTCTTTGGATCTGTTTTTTTCATCAGAATAATAGTAATATTTACCTTGCAGGTTTGTTCTGGGAACTCAATGAGATGACACACGTGCAGTGGGGTTGCAAATGTACCCATGTTAGAGTCAAATGTGGGAAAAACAGGGGCCTTTTAGTGTTCTATATGTAGACTAGTCTTTGTAAACTTGCACCCCCACTGATAGTGGAGGCAGTCCTGTGATCTTGGTTTGATCTAGTAATTGACATGTCATTTAGTTAACACAATCTGTTTTAGATGCTTTTCAGACTTTCAGATTCTCTCTCCTACTCCTGAACTTCCCTGGAATGACACCAAGATGTATGAGGGGTTTACTCTGTCCTTGTGACAGTGGAGAGAAAAAAATTCAGATCATGCGAAGTCCTCAGATACCCTCTATGCCCAGCTGTGGACAGGCTGGTGGAACTCCTCTCCTTGTCTGAGGATTGCTGAGCTATGCCTAGCTCTGCCTATCCTTTTGGAGTGAAGCTTTGGCTCCCTGGAGTCCAAGGTTTCAGGTATCTGTGTGTATTCAAGTCCACCCTCACTTTATCCTATCCACTCTGACCCCAAGCCTCTGACAAGTTGCCCACTCCTTTCTCAACACTTCCACATCCCTTCTGGAGCATTTGGGAAATCTTAAATCCCTGTCATAACAAGTTCAGACAATGGAGAGTCAGGGCTTCATTGTGGACTCATCACCTGAACCCATTCTCCAGTCTTCCCACAGAATTGCTCTGGAACCACCATGGATCTGGCGTCCAGCTGAAGGCACAAGTTGTTCTAGGTGCCTGCAGGCTCTGCCTTGGAAAATAATCTACTCCTCTGATATTTGTGTATTGCCCCACGCTTACTTCTATGTTCCTAAAAGACTTTTGCATTTGACGTATGATTCTTATGTGGGGCAGTGGGAATAAGAACCTTTTTATTCTACTTTTTTTTTTCTGCCTCCATTATCTGACAGGATGGGAAGGGGTAAGCTTTTCTGTTGCTTTCCCTTCCTGTCTGAATGCAACTGTCCTATATCATTTCCTCCTCGTTTATTTAAGATTTCAGTCTCAAAGTTCAGCTGAAATGATGCAATTGACTGTATCTTAGTTTATTCCGAATACTACAACAAAATACCATAGACTGGGTAGCTTATAAAAAACAAAAATTTATTTCTCACCATTCTGAAATCTGGGAAGTCCAAGATGAAGGCACCAGCAAATTCCATGTCTGCTGAGGGTCTGTTTTCTGGTTCATAATTGGTACGTTCTCACTGTGTCCTCACATGGCAGAAGAGGCGAGGGCTTTCTCTTGAGTGACTTATAAAGGCACTAATCCCATTCATGTGGATCTGCGCCCATGACCTAATCACCTCCCTAAGTCTTCACCTTCTGATACCATCACCTTAGGGGTTAAAATTTCAACATAAAAAATTCTTAGAAGGCAGAAACAGTCAGACCCGAGCAGGGTGCAAGGAAAGAAATCAGTCCAACCATAAGAAAACTTAGTGAGAAAATACCTCTAAAACTTTATCCCTGTTATAGATGGAAAACACTTGGTGCAGAGACTGGAATCTTCTATGAACTTGGATAGGTGAATAACACTGTACTACATGGTGATATCTGTGAAAGATCTAAGTGTTACACTTAGAACTTACAAATTCAAAACATTTTATAAGACAAGCATTGGGCTCATTCTGTCTATTCCACAGTCTATAGGCTGAACTCTGCTAAACCTATCTGATTAAATAAAGACATCCATAAAAGTCTTAATGACGGTCACACTACAAAGCTCTTTGAGTAACTAATCCCAGTGTTAGCCAGCAATGTGTCTTAGGGAAGTTCTTCACATTGACCTGGAATCCAAATACCTAATGAAAAAGAGCAAGTGTCAAACTCAGAGTGTGTGTCTCTCTCTTCCTGTTTATTTGTGAATGCCTTTCAGTGATTAGGAAAAGAACAAAAACTATAAATGCAGCTTGTCAACCACAACAATGTACTTTTTCAACTTTTGGCTGATCAAGACATGAAAAGGTTATAATTTCACTACTTTTTATATAAACATAACTGCATATTTTCACAGCATTGCTTTAAGACTTAAGCTCCTCCAGCTGATCGTAAATTGCCAGGAAATGTCTGCCCAGTCTATCACAGTGTCTTAATTAAGCAAAGGCATAGAAATTATATGGGGGCCTCGGCCCATGGGACTCACCAGGTGTAATGAATTCTGAAGAAGCAGTAGTTACAGATTTCCCAGGGCATGCTAATAATAAATACTAGTTAAAGGACAACAGAAATAAAAAAGTTTTTTCTCTTTTCTACCAATCTCTTCCTTTTTAAAAAGATAGCAACTATTAGATCTTTAAGCCTCAATTTTGATGCCATTTCTTTCCAGAGAATTTCTTGGTTTCTCCTTTCCACACTCCATTATAGGCTGTGCTAAGGGACTCTCCTTTGCACTCCTATTGGTAAACAACATTATTATTGCATTATTCGCACCTGCTATAATTGTCTTGTTATATATATTTGTCTCCCTCAGTAAGTCTGTGGCATTGCCTTGCAGATGTTTTATTCATCAAAATATCACTAGAATTATAGAAAATGTGTGGTCCTTAGTTATTTCTCAAAACAAAGATCAAATAAAACATACAAAAATTACCTTTTTAAGCTCCCAGAGGACTTTAGTAACCACAGATGCAGAGAAGTTACTTATTTTTTGTTTTTATTTTTGGCTATGAACAAGCCTTCAGTGAGTAAACCTTCAGTTAGTTCACTACCTGTTTCTGCCAAACTGGGAACTAAAATATTTGCATTGTATTCTCTGTGAATGCTTGTGTTTCCAATAATTCACTCCTCAGAGGGCTTTCCCAGGAGGCTGGGGGTGGAGAGGGGCCCACTGATAAACAGCAGATGCCCAGCAGGCCTGAGGCATGTCTGACACATGGATGATGAAGGAGATGGGAAAAAAGGAGCAGCAGCTCCTGGGATGACATATTTAAGAGCCCGAGGAGGTGCATTGCTTTAAAATTACTGATCATAAGAAATAGTTCCTGCAAATGGTGTGGGGTATGTGCCCTTCTGTCCATGCCAATTCAGTTGGTAAACACACAGAAACAGAATTCTCGTTGAGTACTTGAAGCTCATAGAAATGTCAACAGTAAAAGGAATGGGGCAGTTGGAATTCCTGTGCAATTTGAAGCTCTCACTTGAAAATGAGAGAGGAACAAGGAGCCAGGAGTGAACAGATCAGGGGATCAAGCAGGAATAATATATGGTTCAATACTTGTGTGAAGTAAGAGAGAAGAAATATTCGCTACCTTAGAAAAAGTAAAGTGCTTACTTTTCTGAGGTCATGGCCTTCCAAGAAAAGATATTTTAGTTGCAATAAATGAGCTCTTTCTTCATGAGGCTGAGAGTTTGGCTTCCTTAATCCTGCTTTAAAAAAAACAAAAAAAAAGAGAGAGAGAGCAAGAGAGAGAAATAAAATGCACCCACTGATGTTCAAAGAGGAAGAGCAAAAGCCTGAACTTGCCGTATCAATGATTAACTACAGAGTTACTCGTTGGAATAAGATACATAGGATTTGCACCCCAAGAGAGGGCACTGACCCTGTTTGAGAAATATCATTTGGTTAAGAATTAATTTCCTTCCTTTTAGAATTTGAAACAACAAAATCTATTAAGCAAAAAGTGGTAAGGGAGCACAAGATGCAGGAGACTTTCTCTGTCCCAAAGGACCTTATAGACTTGTTGAGAAGATTGTATGAATAGGTGAAAGTCACCAAACAATGGCATATGTGCTTGGCATAGAGTGAGCAATTGGTTAATATCTATATGGATTGCTGTTTAGCTAATGAAGTCTGTGGTGTATTTACTAGCCTTAAGTACATAATGTTGACTAAACTATGCTCTGCTCAGACAGACAATGAGGCCTGCTCTTTGTGCTGCCCCTGACTCGGTCCTTTACAATGAGTCCCTGTGCTCCCTGTCCTCAGGAGCCACTGCCCTTTGGTCTCATGAAACCTTTCAGACCACATCCCTTCTGCCCTAACCTTCTCACTTAATTGTCACAATTCTAGTTTATTTGCCAAAGGAAACTAATCTGTGTGATTATGAAAGTAAGAAGTAATATGAAGTATTATAAACAAGTGGGATAAAGTGTGATGATTTTGTATTTAGATGAGAAGTTGATCAGCTCGAACTACAGAGGGAAGGTAGTGCCCTTGGAGTCAGAAGTATAAATTGATGATCCAGGTCTGTCTCTTCTAAGTGTGCACCCTTGAGCAACTCACCAATTCGCAAAACCCGTTTCCTCATGTTTGCAGAGAAGGGATCCCAACTGTAGCACAGGCTTTGTTGGGCCAGTGGGGTGAGCCCAGCTGGAGTGGACAGACTTAAGTCCATTTTGCATGAACAATGGCTTGTTTGAATAGAAATGCTGGTAGGTCCTTTACAGGTGGTGAGAGAGGGCAATAACAAGGAGAATGTAGGTGATAGTCAATCAATTATTTCAACTCATTGGTGATGGTCATTTGGGAAATACAGGTTACATACAACTGGAAGGTAATGTAATTTTCCTCATAAGGTTATTATGAGGATTAACCAGCAACCACAGTATCCAACAGAGGCTAATGATTTTGCCTGTACATTATTTGAATCTTATTTTGCAATCTTTATTTTGAGTCTTTATTTTGCAAATAAAATTATTAAGGAAAAACTTATGTTGATAGTAAAAATACAAGGCTTAGAGTGAAGTGAAGTAATTTGGAGTTTGTATTCTTCAATCCATGATGGTGGCTGCATATACTACCCTCCTCTAGAGGTCACCCTAGCTGCCAGCTTCCAGTACCTTGAGGCATAGACTCCATTCTATTTATCTATCTATATGTATGCCACAGCATCTAATAATGCGGCTTATTGCGCTAGAAGCTCACTATGGTTATGACAAATGAAAAATGAATAAAATTATAATTGGAAGTACATACCAGAAAGGAGCAGCAGTACTGTGTTCACTAAGGTCTTATTTAGTAACCCACAGTTTGGAAATGTTATGCTCATGGGGTGCAACGTTAATTAATGAACAGCCATGTGCTGAGTTCAGGAACAGCAGAAGACAATTATATCTCTGCTGCTGGTGCAGCAGCTCTTTCACCAACATGTGAGCCCTGCATAAAGCCTTGGAAATTTCCATTATAATAAAAACAACCTTGGAGGATCATTGGAGACAGGAGAATCTGTTCTTTATCCCCAACAGTGTGGTTGTCTCCTAAAATCAGGTTTTGCCAGCCTGATGCAAAATCCTTGTTGCAAGTTTTGTTTACATTTACAGGCCACCTCAGTAAAAGAGATCAGACAGACGTTGTGGATATTAACTCCCACCAAGCCTCCTTTCATGCTGATCTGAGTATAATTTGATTTTAGTCTTAGGTCAGAGGAAAATGGGTAATTGGGGCAAATTGGTATTGATCCAGGGACTTTGTTATATGACTTAGATTCTGAACTCAGGTGAACTTGACCTCGCCCGCAGATTCCCCATCTCTTCCAGATCTCTCCTATCACTCATGTTGTCTCCCCCATTACCAACAGCTCTGGGCACTCAGGAGCCCAGTCTGGGATGCCTTAGTCATTATTTACTTCTTGATAAATCTACTTACCCTTTTCCCCTTAAACATCTCGCTGAAGATCACAGTTTTCAGCAGTCTTTGCAATCCTTCACAACTCTGAAAGAAAGGATCCTTACTCGATAATTATTTGTGGATTGGCGGGAACTGAACTCCAGTAGCATAGTCTTTAGGACTGACATCAAGGATTTAGCCAGAGATGAGCTGGCTAATTGACAGCATTTTTGTTGTTATTGTTTAAAAACTGTGCATAAAGAGTTGAATCAAGATAGTTAGGATTCACGTGTTAAAAAGTCACAGAAGCGCATGAGCCCCAAGGGGGCAGGGTGGGAGGGAGACATAGTACAGGCCCTCTTTGTCCATATAATAATGCCAAAGAAGCTCTTGGGGGTCAGCGGAGTGTTAGTGTTCTTGTCAATGCTGTCTTTATTAGGAGCTAAGGGCAGGACAACTCCCACCCTTAGGACAGCCAGAGTCTGGGATAACTCTATGACACTCTGGCATCCAGAGAATCAGGAGCCAGCAAGGAGGTAAGACTGGCTTGACTGCAGTGAGCAGAGGTGGCTGGGTGCAGAACAGAGACTATGGGAAGGAAAGACTCCTGGGGATCAGGGATTAAGGATGAAGGACACAGGACTAGAGTAAATGTCCTGAAACCACCACTGAAGGTAGTAAGTGACAAGTGCAATATGGTCCTTTTTAGTTTTCTATGGCTGCTGTAATAAATTACTACAAACTTAGAAGCTTAAAACAACCTAACTTTATAATCTTATAGTTCTAGGATCAGAAGTCTAAAATGCATCTCACTAAGCTCACATCAAGCTGTTGGCAGGGCTGCATATCTTTCTGGAGGCTCTAGAAGAGAATTAATTTTCTGCTTTTTCTATCTTCTAGAGGCTGCCCACATCTTTCAGCATGGCTCTTTCATTAAGTTTTTTTCATGATGCCATCTTTCTGGTTCTACCCCTTCCAAATCCCTCTTCTACTTTTTTTTTTCTTACTTTGGCTTTTTTTTTTTTTGCTATATTTTTAAGAGATATCCTTAATTTTATCTCCTAACCCTTTTACTGAATCTATCTTGGCTATTGTATTTTAAATTTTCTTTTTCATAGCACTCTTGGCCTCTGGATATAAACCTTTGCTTATCAATTTGAGATTGCTCTTGGTAGTATTATTTTGCTTTTTGATCTTTATTTCGTGGACTGCCTCTGTTTCCTCCATGTTCTGAATACTTAACTTCAGTCTTCTTGGACATCCTCTTTTACCTTGTATCCAGAACATGGACAGGTGGTTGGGAGCTAGATCCCTGGTAAAGATGGAGGCATTCTCTCTAGAGAAATGGAAGAGCCCCAGAAACTATGTCTACATGTTGTAAATGAATGGATCCTCAATAAAAGAGCCAAGCCCTTTGTTATCCTTCATGATGAAACTCACTTGTTAGGTTTCTGAGCTCTAATACCACCTATGTTTTCTGAGCCCTAAGAAACTGATTAAAAGCTCAGGGTTCATAAATGTTACAAGTATGCAAACTCTAACAGAAACTCTGCATTTATCTCCTACCCCTCATAAAATCATATGTTCTCAATGTCTGTCACAGGGTTATTCAATTTCTCCCCAGAATTGTCATCCTGGAGGGTGAGACAGAGGCACTGTTTGTTCTAGTAGCCATCAACCAAAATAATATCTGGAATACAGATTTAAAAGACACAGTGTTTGATGCCAAAAAGGCTTAAGTGCAGTAATACTGATACACATTTAAGCAGATGTTGTACATGCTATGATTCAAATGTTTGTGTCACTCCAAAATTCACATGTTGAAACCTTAGCCCCAAGGTGATAATATTAGGAGGTGGTGGCCCTTAGGAGATGATTAGATCACATGGGAGGAACCTCATGAATGAGATTACTGTTCTTGTAAAAGAGACCTTCCTTGCCCCTTCCACCATGCAAAGACATATTTAAAAGCCTCCGTCTATGAAAAAGCAAACCATCACCAGACACGGAACCTGCCAATATCTGGATCTTGGACTCCCCAGCCTTTAGAACTATAAGAAATAAATTTCTATTGTTTATAAGATACCTAGTTTATAGTATTTTATTACAGGGGCCCAAACAGACTAAGAGAGTACATGTTGTTTAGACAGGAGTATAATGAGGATTTAGTAAGAATACAGTAAGGTGAAAACAAAATGCAATCAATTGTGGAACAGAGGGAAGAAATGTTGCCTCTGCTTGGAGAGAGTGTTGGAAGGCTTTATAGCAGGGGTAACCTTTGAACTAGGGGTTTCTGAAATAAATGTGTACAGGGTAGAATTTCCAAGCAGCAGAACGCATGCAGAAAAGCATCAAGAAGTCATAAAATAGGTTGTTCTTGGCAAATGATACAAAGTTATAGGTGTGGGAATGTTGGTCGTGAGAGGAAGTTTCGTTCTCAGAATCAAAATCAGTAGCAGCTAGGTACTCATCTCACAATGTTGCTTCAGAAAAATACAACTGTAAACTTATTCCTTGAAATATTGCAGGCTGCTCATTTTTCCTGGGTTTCTCACTGTGACTGTCCACCTATCACTTCCTCTTTCCTTAGCTATTGTGCTTGCCATGTCTTCTATTACTCAGTAACTCAGGAGAGAGATATGGGCTTACATTACCAAGGTCTAACAGGATGGGAGACATGAGGCTTGTTGAAAAAAAAAAAAAAGGAGTAATTCAACATACATGATGGGATTTGAAGATTTTAATTCATGTCAGAATTCTTTCTGGATTCCAGATTTGGCTGCAAATTTCATAAGAAATCGTTGAAGTATAGGTATTTGTAGTTAAACGATCTCAACGAACAAGACATACTATGGTCTTTAACCCCTGTGCTCCAGGAACTTAGATCCCTGGTGTTCCAGGCCAGTGTTCTTTTTATCCTGTTTTATCCCTGCTTAGGTATGCAAAATCAAGAATAAACAGGGTTTCTTCCTTCAGTGGAAACAGGGTCACAAGCCACCAGGTGGCAGTGGTCGTTAAAAGTGGATACAAGTTACAGGACAAGAATATTCTGTACTCCTTCCTCTTTTCATCCTGGCCATATTGGAAAAGTTTTTCATGTTCTAAAATTTCATGAACATCTCCAGCTGGATCCTACTTTTCTATGGGCAATGCCATTCTTTCAGTTTCTCAAGTTCATGTATTATTTACCTTTCTAATCACTTATTTTTTAATCCAATTAATCTGCTTCTTACTAACACATTGTTTTTATCACATGAATTTTCTCAAATACTTGCAATGGCTTCTTAGCAACTACTTTGTTCTTGTAAAGTTGCTGTGAAGTTGTTAACAATTGCTTTGTAGTCAAGTAGTTTTCAAGCTCTTCAGGCTCATAACCAAAACTCATACTGCCTAGACCAATCCACCTTTACATAAACATAGAATCACATAGTGTTGTACATTGAAAGTAACTAGTAAAATTTGTAGAAATTATAAATTTACAAATTTGTAGTAAAATAATCACTACACAAAAAATAATAAAATATGTAAATATTATTCAAATCTATCAAAATATGTATTTAAAATACCAATCATTGAAATGGCATATAATTGATATTTGTATATAATTATAAATATACAAATTTATAGAAATGAAAATATAAGGGTTTTAGCCCTTATATTTTTTAACACCAATAAGTCATTTAAAGCTATCAACTGAAAAGTGAAATAACAGGCACTAAAACTTAGAGAAATTATGGTTAGGTTTATTTTGAGCCAAGTTTGGGGTCTTAAGCCTGGAAACACAGACTCAGTGCAGACTGAGAATGAGTCTCCAAAGTAGGTTCCATGAGGCACAGTATATAATTTCCTAATAGAAGGATGCATGTGGTACAGAAGGTGGGAGAAGCAGGGCCATGAAGCAGCAGTTACATTCCTATGATTCTGACTGGTGCTCAGTGACACTATCCATAGGTGATATATATGCATAAAGTGTACATGCAGTTGAGCGGGTAGGGACTAAGGTTAGGCATCTGAGGATCTGGTACAGGGTGAGTGATTCCATCTTGTCTTTGTTCTACCTCTGATACACGTTTATAACCTGTACCTGTCGGTGAAATACTTAACAAACTGCAGTTACGCAGGTAAGAGGTCAAATTTAGTTTATAGGCCTAGGTTTTATTACCCATGTGCCTGACTGCAACCATCGTGGCCACTGTTAAAATTTTCTTTTGATTTTTTTTTTTATGACAAAGCCTATAGGCCCTTGAGGTTTAAAGATTACACATTATAAAATTTCAGCCAGGTACAGTAGCTCATGCCTGTAATCCCAGAGCTGTGGGAGGCTGAGGTGGAAGTATGGTGGGAGGCGACGAGTTCAAGACTAGCCTGGGCAACATTGAGAGACCCCATGTCTAAGAAAATAAAATAAAATAAAATAAAATGTCAGTGTCATATCAGAATTTAACCACAGAGCTGTGGTATAAAACAATGCATCCTCCTGTGACAAGAGCTAGCTGTTTTTACATAGAATAGACTAGCTTAATTCATTCACATCCAGGAAACAAGCTCACCAACTGATTTAAGATTTTATGCTGACTGTAATAGCTATAATAGTTTCATCTTGTATGTACAGAATAATTTATAAAGGCACAAGGTGATACTTATTAGATCATTTGAGCCTCACAGGTGTCATATGAGGTTGACAGAAGAGTGTTACTCATGTTCTATTTTACAGAGAGAAGGATTTAAGTTCAGCAGAAGTAAGGTATTTGTCCAAGATGAGATGACTAAGAAGTGGCATAAATCAGATCTTCACTGGGTCTCCAGGATCCAGGTAACAAATGGAAGCAGGACCAGCTTTGGCTGCTGAGGAGATAGCAGGCAACTGCTAGGACTCTTTACTACTAGATATTCCATGGGAACCTGGAGGACTTGGGGCTGGCAGGTTCTGTCTTGGTATCCAGAGGAAGTCTAGAAAAATTCAAGAAACTTAGTAAAGATAAAATAACTTCTTTCCTGCCACCCACATGTAGTTTCCAAACTTTTTTTTTTTTTTTTGGTGCAGCAGAAATCCTTTTTCATAAGAAAACTAAGTTGATCTGCTCTGGTTGCAGGAGAACCCAGGGAGCTGCTGGCTTGGGTTGACTCTACCCTCTCCACATGGCTCCTGAGAGACCGCAGAATGGAAAGGTTCCAAGAAATACGGTCAGAAAAAAATTGTTTAAAAACACTTGCAGTATTCAGGATCCCTCTTTATAAGCAATAGAAACAGATGCTAGCCCACCTAGGCAGAGAAGGTATTTATTTGAATCCTCTGAGTGGTTTTGCTTCACTCACAGCATCATGGGGAGGCCTGGAGAAGTGGACCTGGTAGCTGCTTGCCGAACAGAAGCCTGAAACAGCACCTGGAATAGGTGTGGTGAGGAAAACTCTGCTTCATGTCTTGTGCTCTACTGGGCCTTGGTGCTTTGAGCCCATCCATATCTCTCCCCCGCGTTACTGAGTAATAGAGGACATGGCAAGCACAGTAGCTAAGAAAAGAGGAAGTAATAGGTGGACAGAGTCACCGGGAGAAAGACAGGAAAAATGAGCAGCCTGAAATATTTCAAGGAATAACTTAAAGAATTGTATTTTTCTGAAGCAATATGGTGACATAGATACATAGTGGCTATTGACTTTGATTCTGAGAATAAATGTTTCCTCTCACAGCCAACATTCCATCATCTATAACTTCTTATCATTCCCCAAGAGCAACAGGCTTTTTTTTTTTTTTTTTTTTTTTTTTTGAGACAGAGCCTTGCTCTGTTGCCCAGTCTGGAGTGCAGTCGAGCGATCTCGGCTCACTGCAACCCCCACCTCCTGGGTTCAAGCAATTCTCCTGCCTCAGCCTCACGAGTAGCTGGGATTACAGGTGTGTGCCATCACACCTGGCTAATTTTTTTATTTTCAGTAGAGATGCGGTTTCACCATATTGGCCAGGCTGGTCTTCAACTCCTGACCACAAGTGATCCACCCGCCTCAGCCTCCCAAAGTGCTGGGATTACAGGCATGAGCCACTGCACCTGGCCTAAAATTTCTTGATGTGTTTATTTTTTAAATGTTTTTAAAATTTCAATAGCTTTTGGGATACAAGTGGGTTTTGGTTACATGGATGATTGTATAGTGGTGAAGTCTGAAATTGCAGTGCATCTGTCACCCGAGTAGTGTACACTGTACCCAATATGTAGTTTTTCAATTTCTCGCCCTCCTCCCACCCTTCCACTTCTGAGTCTCCAATGTCCATTATCCTACTGCATGCCTTTGTGTACCTATAGCTTAGCTCCCACTTATAAGTGAGAACATGTAGTATTTGGTTTTCCATTCCTGAGTTACTTCACTTAGGATAATGACCTCCAGCTCCATTCAAGTTGCTGCAAAAGACATTACTTTGTTCTTTTTTATGGCTGAGTAGTATTCCATGGTGTATATATACCATATTTTCTTTATCCAATCATTGGGAGATAGGCACTTAGGTTGGTTCCATATCTTTGCAATTGTGAATTGTGCTTAATAAACATATGTGTGCAGGTGTGTTTTTGCTATAATGATTTCTTTTCCTTTAAGCAGATACCCAGTAGTGGGATTGCTGGATCAAATGGTAGGCCTACTTTTAGTTCTTTAAGAAATCTCCATACTTTTTTCCATAGAGGTTGTACTAAATTACATTCCCACCAGCAGTGTGTTAGCATTCCTTTTCCACCACATCCACACCAATGTCTGTTGTTTTTTAACTTTTTAAGTTAAAAAACATTCTTGCAGGAGTGAGATGTTATCTCTTGATGCCTTTCTTAATGCCTTCTGCTGCTTGGAAATTCGACCCTGCCACCTACACATTTCTTTCAGAAACTCTTAGCTCAGAGGTTACCCATGGTGAAAAGCATGATTCATACCTCAAGTCAAACTTCCACATCCTAGTCCTGCGACCAGTGGCAATTCACTGTTCTGGGCCATGGTCTCTTCATCTGGAAAATGCGGGCAATGCAGGTTGATGGAGTATTAAAGAAGTTAATTGAAGATGACTATAAACTATAACACAGTTTACAAATATAAGGTATGATTATTATAATATCCTTCTCTTCTTCTCTCTCTTTAGACCCACAGGGTTCTTGCAAAAAATAAAAATAAAAGAGTGAAAGCATGCCCCTCTCCCACCCACACACACTTTCCCTATGATCCTTTTCTATCAGCACATTCTCCTGACTTTTGGAACATTCCTTCTCAGGTCTGAATTCTTTAATCACCATAATTAATCTGAGGCCTTGGTTCTCAAAGTTGGTGTTTTTCTGTTTGTTTTGTTTGTTTGTTTGGTGTGTGTGCAAAGGAAGAGAAGTCAGGAAATCCCAGCAAAATTTAAGGAAGTGGGAAACTGAGGAGAGGTGGGAAGAAGGAATTAGGGAGGTGGAGGGGACAGGTTAAACGTCAAGTCTACTGATAAGCATGTCTAATCTAAAGCGAAACTGACACACTTGTTCAAAGTTTCCAAGTTGACAATGTTCATTTTTTTATTTTTAAAAATTTACATACAGTAAAATCCATTCTTTTTAGTGTACAGTTCTAGGAGTTTTGACAAATGCCACTGAGATGAGAAGTCTTCTCCCAATCGAAAGTCTTTTCTTGATCCAATGTTTCGTGGTCTCAGGGGCTTCAAGAAATGAAGCCATGGACTGCAGCGGCGAGTGTTACAGCTCAATGAGAGAAACACGTGGATCCAAAGAGTGTGCGGCGGCAAGATTTATTAAAGTGAAAGGGAAAGTAAAGCTTCCACGTGGTGGAAGCGGACCTGGAAGGCTTGCCGTTTCTGGCTTGGGTGTCTTATGCTTATATCTCCTTATGATCCCTCCTTTTTTCCTTTTTTAGTCCTGTAGAATTAGCTTATTTTTTATCCACTTGTGGATTGGCGGGCCTGATTAGTTAAAAACATCAGGCTGCAGCTAGAGCTTAAACTCCCTATATGATTGGTTGAAGTTTCAATACCTTAGCTTGCAGCTATGACTCATTTTGGCTTAGGGGCAAGTCCCCTTAGGGAAGTCCCTATTGACCCAGGAAGTCCAGCCAACTTAGCCAATTAGTCCCTCACCACCATTATTTTCAGAATGCAGAATGGTGCTGTCTCTCCATACAAACTCCCTCTTGCTGTTCCTTTGTAGCTCACCCTCCCACAGCCCTTAACCCCTGAAAGTCACTGATCTTCTCTGGTTCTCTCTTGGAATTTAAAAATTTGAAATGAAAATTTTTTACCTGAGCAGCAGATGTGATTTACCTCTTACCTCAGTATTGCCTGTGGTCTGGATTTTTGTCGTATGTACTTATAGTAATAAAGTTTAGAGAAGAGCTGTTGTCTTCAGAGCATTCCTATCATTATTTTGGCAAATGCTCTTCCGTCTGGGTGCTAAAGGAAGGTCCTGAGGGTAGGGAGGATATATTGTGTTTGCAAAAATGAACAAGATCTCATAGAAAGGCCATTTTTAGCACAGAATTGCAACACTGGTCTAAAATTAAAATTGCTTCTCCATGAGAAACAACCTTTATTAAAGTAAGTACAAATTCTTTCAGGAGAATCCCAGATTTGATATAATTTTTAATTAAATTTCTCAAAAGCTGGAGCTCATTTATTCTTCCCTCTGTCTGCCACCTAGCAGCAAGCTGCAACATCCTCTATTCATGGGGATCTTGCTTTGAATTCTAATTTCAAGTTGAGTTTTCATACATAATTTTGGCTCATTCCAAATTTACTGAAATTATTTTCTTGAATATCATCAATATCTACTTTCGGCTCACATTTTCACTATGGAAGTCTCCCTGGATATGGCTATTAAGAAGTTTGAGCTATATCTCCTTTCAATACTGGATTGCAGTTAGTATTTTAAAACAAATTAAACAAAACGAATTCCCCAAACAAATTCAATTCCAATATGCATTAATTTCCTATCCTGACTAGAGATAAAAAGGTGATAAAAATGAAACTTAGAAAAATGATTCTAGCAGCAATATTATGAAAAACATGAGCTTTTCACTGTTTATCTGACTAGTAAAAGACCAAATATGTACTGTGAAAAGTTTTAATCAACTTTGACATTTTGTTCCTGGTCCAAACTGAGGGTCGGGCAGCTATCCCTTGCGCGCCAATAACAAGATGCAGATGAATTGGGGAGAAACAGAGTTTTTATTTCTGTAACCAGTCACAGGGAGAAGGCCTGGATCACCAGACCAACTCAAAATTACAAAGTTTTTCAGAGCTTATATACCTTCTAAGCTATATGTCTACATGTAAGTGTGCATTCATCTAATGTTGTAAGTGAATAACTTCTTTTAATCCGTAACTAAGGCCTAAGTCCTGAAGACCTTCCTCTGGAGCCTCAGTAAATTTACTTCATGTAAATGGGTCCAGGTGCTGGGGTGATTACCCTTATCTTGTCTCCTGCTAAATCATGGAGGTTTGGGGAGTTCCCACAGACCTCCAATAAACTTGTTTGTGGAGGCCTGGGGAGTTGCTTCAGACCCACAGTAAAACTTGTTTAATCCTGAATAGGTTCTGTTAAGAGTTCCTTTGTTATTTTGTCATGTTTTAAGGCCCAGGAAAGGCCTAAGCAAAACTCTTGGTGGGCATTTGTTACATTCCAGCCTTTATATAAGGGTACTGACTTTTAATATTTAACTTAACCACTCAGTCAGTACTGAAACAGTTGTTATGGAGGCCTGCATTAGTGAGACCTGGCCTGTCACAATTTCAACCAGCATTTCATTAGGCACCATAACTAGAAACACAGTATAAAACAGAACATACACTTGTGAGAGGCAAAAATCACTGTACTTTTAAAAATTGTCTTTACTTCCTTTTTTGTTTGTTTTAGTAGTATGGAGTTTTGGAGACAAGATCATCTACAGATCAATTCAGAATTATCAAATAGCAAATTTTCAAAAATTATTGAGTTAATCTCCATAAACCTTCACCATCTTTGACCCAATCTGCATTTCACTGCTGCTAGAACTGGACCAGTGGAAGTATTAATTTGGAGTAGTAGAGCAGAGAGTCTTTAAATACACTTTTGGGAACATTATGCCTCTGTTTTTAACCATGTGTTTATTAACTACAAATTTCAGTTGATGGCACAAAATGTGTGCCAAATTGATAACTCTGGAATGTATTTTACCAGAGATCATCTCTGAGCTACTTGAGCTGACTGACACCCCATGTATAATGTCTGATTATACAACATCCTGGGAGCTACTTCTTCTATAGGCATTGACTATATTTAAAAACAACTGCTTTGGGAGGCCGACGCAGGAGGATTGCTTGAGGCCAGGAGTTCAAGACCAGACTGGGCAACAGAGTGAGACTTCCCAATGCTACAAAAAAAAAAAAAAAAAAAACTTAAAGTAGCCAGGCATGGTGTCTTATGCCTGTAGTCCTAGATACTTGGGAGGCTTAGGCAAGGGGATTGCTTGAGCCCAGGAGTTCAAGGCTGCAGTGTGTGGTGATTGTGCCACTGTACTCCAGCCTGGGTGACTGAGTGAGACCCTGTCTTTAAAGACAACAACAACAACAACAACAACTCTTAGAGTCCTATGTAGGAAATAATAAAATAAACATTGAATTCATATGCATTTTGTTTTTAATTAGCCATATTTATAAACAGACTTTAATTATTTTCTACTGCCTGAGAACATATGGGTAATTACTTTGATCCCCTTATGTTTTCCAAATTGTTAGTGCATCACAATGGTATAATCTATGCTTAGAAATGCAAAGTAGCTTTGAATTTGTATTAGGGAAGGAGGAGCACCAAAGAGTCAGAGAATGAGACACATCGAGTGCCAAATGTCTTACAAATGGCATCCTAATTCAAGCCTGAAATATGAGCCGTGTCTCTGATTAACAGGTGTAAACTCAAGTAGTCTTAGAATTTTAGAACTGGAAATGAATGATGGCATCTAGTTCTCTACATCTGAAGAAATTCAAGGCAACTGAATTAAGTGCTTGCTCAAAGTCACACAGGGAGTTAGTAAGCAGTGTAACATGGAGAGAAGCAGGAGCGGGAGTCGCCCATTAGTCCATCTTCTGACCCCCAGCGAGCACAGGAGGAGAAAGGGACAGACAGCTCTGAAATTCTCAGATCTGAAAAGGAATCCCATCATCATGGGACTCCTAATGACCTCCCATTATCAGGTGCCCGCTGATGAGTTTCCCAAAACCCTGATACATTCCCAAGAAATAGTTTTCAGCCAAATACCCTCATCAAACAAAGTCAGTCTTCTTTAAGAGTTCATGAGTACTAGCTCTCATTGACCTGTAGCTATCACAATAGACACCTTTTGTTTTCACTATTTTATCTGGCATTCAGTGAGTACTTAATACATTCTAGGTATTTTGCTTTATGCTTTTTTTTCTTTTTCTTTTTCCACTCACAACAAATTAATTTACTATAGTAGGCACTTGTTCTGGTTATTGACTGTTTGATGCTAGATACATTTCTGGTCCTTCCCATCCTCTACTAGGTACTTCAAAAAGTTGAATCCTACAAGTTATATCACCCATACTTCCTTGCCAACTGGTTTTCAGCTAGTTTTAGTAAAGTGGGAAAATTGGTAGAGATGAGGGGTCAGGAAGAGGAGACACTGGGTACTTTTGCCCATGTCCTGATGTTTCAGGCAGCATCCTCAAGAGCGCTTGTTCTACCTCCCACTATGCAGCTTGAGCTCCAGAACTTTGGTAACACCTGCTCCTACAGGTGGTACAGGTGGCAAGGGCATCCTGCCTTGAGGACTTGCTCACCTTCCTTGTTTGCTTTTCAGTTCTTCCAACACCTTTATCATGAGCTACCCATATTAAAAATTATCTCTGGAATCCTGGACAGAGATTTTGCCACTTGTATTGAAACCTGACTAATACAGCATTATTGTGTTCATCCCATAAATGAAGGAACTGAAAGTTAAAGATGTCAACCTCACACCAGAGAGTTTATTATATGCCAGGCACTAGGCTGAAAACCTGATACACATTATTTCTTTTAATCCTCACAAATTTTTATGAGGTAGGAATTATTATCTCTATTTCACAGGTGAGAAAATAAGGCTCAGCCAAATCATATTACAAGGCATCTCAGACAGGAGAATGTTCTAGCCCAGGAGAATGTTCTAGTCCTGGGATTTGATAGACTATATTTTTTGGTATATTGAGCAATTTTTTGGTATATTGAGCACATACTTCTTCACCAGATGCCAGAGAAGTTTGCTTACCACAACCCCTCTGTTTATAAAATTCCTTTTACATGAAGCTTTTCCCTTCACCAGATCCCCACCTCCACACTGGTGCTACCCCTTACGGTAGTCACTGAAGATTGCATCATCTGTAACATGGACAGTAAGACAAAAGCTCATTTCATGAATTGTATTATTGGATTTTGGTTTGATTTTTTGTTTTGATAGCTGTCCAGTTCTTGCTAATTTTCCAGGTTCTAAATACTTACTGACCTTTACCTTTGAGAGGAGATCTAGTACTTTCAAGGTGACAAAATTTTTTTTGATTATTAAAAGGAAAGTTAGTTCACAGACTCTTTCTTTTTTGTTGTGCCTTATTCTTTGTTCACATCCTTAAATATTTCAAAATAGCTTTATATCGCTAGAATTTCACTGATTACTCTTTATGTCTTTTAACAGGATTTGTCTGTCCATCTGCTCTCTTCCTTCTCAATTAATTATCCTCCAAGTATTTTGTCTCTATCACAAGATGGTTTGGTTTGTCCCTGATTGGGTATTTTGGGCCTTTCCTTTCTTAAGTTAATTAAAACAAAACTATTATAAACTCCACATTAATAAAGCATAATTGAAACAACTAAGTCATTAATAGTAACAAGATACATGGCATTATTACCAGCTGTGTGACCTTAAGCAACTCACATTGGTAAATTTGCCTAATAACACGATGTCAAGGGGCTGCTTACCCAGAGACTATCTTTAGGTTATCATTTATGATTTATTGACAATCTTTAGATACAGTGGCTCTACTAGCTATGAATATATATACAACTACTTTTAGTTTCACAAGCCCACAAAAATTTATCTTTTTAAAAGATGGAAGGCATTTAACTAGAACTTCAAGAAAACTTAAAGATCATCTCACCTCTCATCTTTCCACATTTTTTTATATATGGAAAAAAAAGTTTAGAGCAGATTTACCTAGTAAGAGGCTAGGCTTGTATAGCATTCCATTTTCTTGCTTCTTATTTCCATATTTATGAGAAACTTATCTAAGTCTCCTGTAGAATGTAAGATTCCTGATGCCTATTATATTTGGCTGAAATTACCAGTCTAATCAAGCTCTAAAATTTTATGTGCTATAATTCCAATCCTTCCTTTGAGACCACACTTGGGTCAATCTTCCTGATAACTTTCAAATAAGCTAGCAGATCAAGTAAATCAACCAATTTGTATAAAATACGTCTTCCTCCATTCTTGTCAAGTGAAAAGAAAATGTGATTCTTTGACCTATTTGACTAAGATATTTTAACAATATTGCTGTTAACATATACCTATGTAGTATGCTACTTAGATGATGGGACATAAGAATAAGAAGCTAGACCAATGAGCATGGTGTTCAGAAGACTAAAGACCAGGATGAATAGAAATATCTGAACAATGCTGTGTAGAAGAAAATGGGTCCTGAAGACTTTGCTACTGTTTTTTCTTCTCTTTTGTTCATTTGTTTATTTTTTGGTATACCACATACAGAAGAAGAAAAATGAAAAAGGGAAAGCCTTTGTTTTTTGACCTAGCACAGATGGTGTTCTATTAAAAGGTGATAGAAAGAACACAGAATTATTCCACTTTCTCTTTGCTTCTATCTTTCTCTTTGCTCCTATATTTTGCTCCAAAACAATCTTCATATTGGAAAGACACAGAGTGGTGAGAGGTAATATGGCATAATTTTTTAAATGAGCCTTGGAATCAAACATTAATTTGGACCGAGGCTCTTCTCTTAGGAGTTATGTGGTCTTAAACTATTTATCTGCTCTGAGTCTCACTTGATGGTGTCAATAGTTCCATCCCCCAGAGTGTTAGAAGTATATAAGGTGCTTTGACACAGTAACAGCTTAATAATTGATATATAATAGGGGATGGATGCCCAAAATAGGTAAGAAAATAAATAAGAATTTTAAATTAGGCAATAATTTAAGGTCTAAAAAAATTACATTTCAATGTGCTGAAAGAACTTATAAAAGTAATACTGATGTCACTGCTGGTAACTTTTGAAAAGTCATGGCAAATGATAGATGTGGTAGATTGTTGCTTCAATTTTCCAAAAAAAAGGGAAAAAAAGATTTTCAAGATTCAGTAATTCCAACCAGCCAGCTAGAAGGAAATTCCAGATGCAGTATGGATTATGAAACAGATATTCTATATGCAATTTTAAAAGGAAGTTGTGATTGCTGAAACCAGCACTTAATCAAACACAAAACATGCTGAAAGCAACAAGATTTCCTCTTTTTTTTTTCTTTTGAGGGGCTGCAAGACTAATCAGAGAAATGTCATCGCCATGATATATTTGCATCTGAAGAGGACATGTGACAAAGGTTTTATGAATCTTTAATATACTAATGTGCATTATGAATATCCAGAGGAAGCTACTGAATTCAGCACTTTTTAAATTATTTGACCATGGAACCCATTTTTTGCAGAGTAAAATCTGAAAGAAGTTGGGTTGGGCATAACTTTGGGAAACACTAGTATATGCCTGGAAAATAAATCTCCACTTTTTATGTAGCTTTGGGGATATTGTGTTTATTTTCAAACATCATCTTTTAAAGGAACCCAGACAAACTAGAATCTTTCCAAAGGAGGGGCCAGAGTAATGAATTATATAATGCTATATTGTAGAATAAATAGTTAGGAACTATAAAAGAGACACCTGGGGAGTAAGGTTGTCCTGACAGTTGATTTCAAGTTTCTTAATGGTTGTTATATGGAGAAAGAACTGGATTACTTCTGTTTAGTTTAAGCAACCAGAAATAGGAGTAGTATCTAAGAATTATAGGGCAGCAGGTTTTGGCTGAATAAAAAATTGTTGTGAGAGTGCTAGTCCTGGGGTTTGACAGACTATAATTCAACAGCAGTCCTGCAGTTTTTGGCTAGGCAGCTTAATCTCTCAGAAACTTGGTTTTCTCATTTGTAATAGGGGGAAGCTGATGGAGGTACCACAAAGAGTAAATCCTACATTAAATTTGAAAAGATCTGTACAATTCCTGGCACATAGTAAGTGCTCAATAAATGGAATTCTGGTGTTATTGGTAACATATAGAGCTACTCAATAATGAAAAGGATGGAGGACATCTGATAGCAGAGAACAACTCAATAGTGTAAATGTTCAAGCATATTCTTAATTATTTAAAAAAGAACTGAAAGTCTACTTCAGGCAACACATCACGGGAAGTAGCTGTGACTCAGTTCCTGTCTTTATGAGCTAAGTCACATGGGGACAAGCAGGGGAGTTAAGGCAAATATATTAAACAACAATAACACAAGGATGAATGCTTGCAAGAATCTCAGAAATTACGAGCGTGAGTGCTGATTATTTTGAGGGAAATATGGAAGGCTATATGAAAGTGGTAGCATATGAAGAATAGAAAATTTTTCAATGGATGCGGTAAGAAAGGAAGCAGCATGTTACAGAAGGGACTATTATGAGGAGATGCTGTAGGCAAAAAAGCACAGGAATGTATCCAGAGAAGCAGCACAGTTTGAAGGGGATATAAATGCAAACTAGAGGTAAATGAGACACAATTCTGGATAATTATTGGGGGGGCTACAGAATGGATCTTGTACTTGACGTGGGGGTCAGTGGGGAGACTAAATATTATGAGAGAAAGAAAAGAGTGTCTTTATCCAAACTTACTTAAAAAAAAACATGAAGTTGACAGTGGCAATAAAATTGGTTAGGATCTGTGTGATTCCTAAAGCAGGAAAGCCAATAAAAAAAAAAACCACACACACTATAGTATAACTGGCCAGCCAAATGCAGAAGGTTGAAACCGCATCCCTTCTTTACACCATATATAAAAATTAACTCAAGATGGATTAAAGACTTAAATATAAAACCCAAAACTATAGAAACTCTGGAAGACAACCTAGGCAATACCATGCAGGACATACACATGGACAAAGATTTCATGACGAAGACACCAAAAGTAATTGCAACAAAAGCAAAAGTTGACAAATGAGATCTAATTACACTAAGGATCTTCTCCACAGCAAAAGAAACTATGAACAGAATAAATAACCTACAGAATGGGAGAAAATTTTTGCAAACTATGCACCTGACAAAGATCTAGTATCCATTATCTATAAGGAACTTAAACAAATTTACAAGAATAAAAAAAAGACATGAAAAAGTGGACAGAGGACATGAATAGACACTTTTCAAAAGAAGACATACATGCAGCCAACAATCATATAAAAAAAAGCTCAACATCACTGATCATTAGAGAAATGCAAATAAAAACTACAATGAGATACCATCTCACACCAGTCACAGTGGCTATTATGAAAAAGTAAAAAAATAACAGGTGCTGGCAAGGTTGTGGAGAAAAGGAAACACTTATACCCTGTTGGTCAGAGTGTAAATTAGTTCAACCATTGTGGAAGACAGTGTGGCGATTCCTCAAAGACCAAAAGACAGAAATCCCATTCAACCCAGCAATCCCATTACTGGGTACATACCCAAAGGAATATAAATTGTTCTGTTATAAAGACACATGCATGTAAATGTTTATTGCAGCACTATATGCAATAACAAAGACATGTAATCAACCTAAATGCTCATCAGTGATAGTCTGGACAAAGAAAATGTGACATATGTATATCATGGAATACTATGCAGCCATAAAAAATATGGGATCATGTCTTTTGTGGGGACAAGGATGGAACTGGAGGCCATTATCCTTAGCAAACTAATGCAGGAACAGAAAACCAAATACTGCATATTATCACTTATAAGTGGGAGCTAAATAATGAGAAAATATGGAAACATTAGATGGGAACAACACACACTGGGGCCTATTGAAGGTGGAGTGTGGGAAGAGGGAGAGAATCAGGAAAAATAACTAATGGGTACTAGGCTTAATACCTGGGTGGTGACATAATCTGTAAAACAAGCCCCAATAAAACATGTTTACCTATGTAACAAATCTGTGCATGTACTCTTGAACTTAATTTTTTTTTAAAAAAAAGCACAATAAGTGAAAAATAAAGAGAATCTCAAGTAAGGTGGAAACAGTGGAGACGGAAAGGAAGTCCTCACTGGGATCCACATGAAGAACTGGCTCTGTTGGAGAATATTTGACAGCAGGCAAGGGAGGTGATGGTCTCAGAAGACCAAGTTTCAGTTAAGGGAGGCCTTAACAGCAGCTTTCCAAGAGAAAGTCATGTCAGGAGTATTCCTCAGCAGAATAGCAAACAGAGACTCTTACTAAACTTTTATTCAATAGATGAATACATTATTGGCCATTTTTGGTTTTGGTTAAAGTGAAACAAAAACAGATAGATGTTACACATGAATGAATGAATGATTTGGGTTGAGCTCTAAAGAGAAAAATGGAAGATGGTAATAGAAGCAAAAGTTTGTCAGAGCCCATCTGAGGAAAGGGAAGGCTGGTTGGATAGAGATGTGAGTAAAGAACCAGCAAAGACCTTATCTAAGGATGAGTGAAGGGCACAGGAGCTAAATCAGGGCTTGGCCAAATAAGGCCTGTGGCCAAACCCAACCCTACCAACCTGATTTGTGCAGCCCATGAGCTACCAATAACTTTTATGTTTTTATATGGTTAAAGTAAATTCAAAGAAGGATAATATTTCATGACATGTGAAAATGATATGAAACTCAAATTTCAATGTCCGTGAATAAAGTGACGACTGTTTTTGTCATTTTATATATATATATTTTTTTTGCAGAGGGACTGGCTTGCACTTTTTAAACATTAGTTATATTATTCTCAGTACAACCCTATAAGATAAAATTCATTCCCATTTTACTGATGAGCAAACTGCAGCTTATGTTTCAGCCAAAGTCAGACAGTTCATTAAGGGCAGAGTCATCCATGGCAATCTGCCTGTCCAGATATTACACTTTCCCCCGGGGTAAAAGCACTGGCTCTAAGAATAGTGAGAACAAAACATACTTATAAAAGGGAGTTGGGGGCTGGGAATGGTGGCTCACGCCTGTAATCCCAGCACTTTGGGAGGCCGAGGCGGGTGGATCACTTGAGATCAGGAGTTCGAGATCAGCCTGGCCAACATGGTGAAACCCTGTCTCTACTAAAAGTACAAAAATTAGCCAGGCGTGGTGGCGGGTGCCTGTAATCCCAGTTATTCGGGAGGCTAAGACAGGAGAATCACTTGAGTCCAGGAAGCGGAGGTTGCAGTGAGTGGAGATCGCACCATTGCACTCCAGGCTGGGCGACAGAGCGATACTCTGTCTCAAAAAAAAAAAGAGAGTTGGGAAGTGTTTTGAATGCTTAGAGGGCAGCTTGGGAACTCAATTAGAAGAAGGGACGGTTTAAGCAGACATATTTCTAAGAGACTTATATGAGTTAACTCATTTGATCCTCAGCACTCCTCCATGAGTTGGATGCTATTATTAACAACCCAATATTAGATAAAGGATGACCTTCTTAAAGACCTCTTCCCAGGAAAAAGACTGTGTGTGGGTACTCTGAAGCTTTGGCTCTTCTGGTGGGGACACCACTGGGTTTCCAAAGGCTCATCCAGCCAAGCGAAGTATCTATGACCTCGTCGTGTTCAGCGCGCTTAGGGAAGGATTCTATGGACTGCACTTTTACCCTGGTGTCCTGCATTCTTGCTCCAAGACTTCTCTTACCACTCTCATTCCCCTAAATGCAGCTTCTGACACCTTCTAGCTACGAGTTCTTGGGCTCCTCCTTCGTGACTTCCTTTTAAGATAATTTCTGAGTTACAACAAATCAGCATTTGAAGAAATGCAGCAGATAAGTTGAAAATTCAAGTGCTGAGGAATGTAAAGGCCCAAAACAATCCCGTAGAAAGCACAGAGGCAGATGACAGTCTTCCGTTAAAGATTTCACTGCTGTAGATTTCTGAGAGTGCTGTGTAGCTGTCCTCTTTATCCTGGTGTTTGCCACTTCGAACAGTCACTTTCCCACTTGGAACTTACTTGTGGCTTTGCTGACAAAACAGGAAGTGATTTGAATACAGTTTGTTTTTATGACCTTTCAACCTCAGGAATTTGAAAAGTTTTAGCAGTGGATTTACAGCCTTGCTTAATACTTCTATTTCTTACAAAACAACCGTATAGGGGTTAAAGTATCAGTGCAAAGTCCCGTTCAAATATTGACTCAGTAATGAGCTCTACAAGCCAGCCTTTGTGGCATGTTAAATTCAAAACAAGCTTAGCATTTTTTTTTTTTTTTTTGGATAGAAACTGGTGGGGGTGGGGAAAGAAAGAGGGAACTGGGAAGAGAAGGAGGGGAACTTAAACCTTGCTTCCTGCTCTGTCTTTCTCAGAAAACCAAATATGGCATCTTCCATGAGGAGCTTGTTTTCTGACCACGGGAAATATGTTGAATCTTTCCGGAGGTTTCTCAACCATTCCACGGAACACCAGTGCATGCAGGAATTCATGGACAAGAAGCTGCCAGGCATAATAGGAAGGTAACAAAAGGGACGTTGTTGTCAAAGGGACAAGCCTCAGACTGGCTGTGCGTCAGTGATAGATGGGTCTCGCTCAGCCTCGCAGGCTGGGCACAGGGATAAGGGCGAATTACTGATAGCAGCTCCCCGTCGTCCCCTCCTCGCTGCCCTGCCCTGCCTTTCTCCTGCAGTGCTTTGGTTCCACGTTTGCTTTGAACACTCAAAGGCTCCCATTTGTGTTGTATTTCCAGCTGCATAGAGATAAGCGTTAACCATTTGAAGGCACAAATCCATGTTCATTTGGGAAAAGATAAGATGCTAATCTTCGAACTCAGATTTTTCAGCCCTCCTCCAAATTTTACATCCCAAAAAAGTCCCAAAGGGAGTCTGGTATGCTTTTCATTAGAATCAAATATAAATAATTGCCAAAGTACGATTTGCCCTGAGGATTGAGTGCCTCAGTTCTCATAATATCCATTTAAATTAATTTTCCTTATCCATTGTTATAGTTATCACTCTCTTCCTCAAAATTGTCTTTTTCTTTCAGCTTAATATTAGCAATGTGTTCCTTAAAAAAAGAACCATTTTCCCATTATCAGTGAAACTCACTGGTTCCTATCCTTCTTGCAGAGTTCTTTTTTTTGGGTGATTAATGTGTTCAATTTGTGCCAGAGCTGATAAGCATTATGAGAGTAACAGATTCCACATGCTAAAGATAATCAAATCACCTATCTGGGGGTGATTTGCTGTAACTCATTCTACTTCAGGAAATAATAATGGAAAACTGGGAAGAAATGACTATGGATCCAATTTGCAAACAGCAAAGGAAAGTGGTATTTTATCTTTTGCTGAATTTCTCTATTGCAGGCCTGAAATTCTTTCACCAGGGCAGTACCTATGTCTGACCAGAGCAGGCATTATTAGATGTACATAAAATTTTATTTCCTTTTCTATTTAACATGATTCAGATTTTAAATGTTAGCTTTCAAAAAATAGGATATTATATATTAAAAATTAATATGTAATAGGATAAGGATGCAAACATCAAAGCAAATAGCAAATATAGAGAACTTCTTACCTAGGAACTAATTATAGTTAACCTCTTTGGGTTTCTTTGCTCATTTCTAAAGTTAAAGGTAATGAGTTAATTTCTCAATTCTTTTTCAGTACTAAAAGTATTTGCTCATGTCTGTAGCTTACCAGATCCTTGGTTTTCTTCAGCCATACACAGTTTGGTTTGAAGAGGTACCGTGGATGGAGATAACATAATCGATGATGAATGACCCCTTCCTTATCTTCAAAGTTTAAATCTAACTGGAAATATTATAAAATCTGTGAAAGACTGAAGAATTTTTAAGGGCACACTGTTTGTCTTATAACAGTAGTATATAGTTAGGAATGATCAGATTCAGTGTCATTTATTTTTTTCCTGAAGGTAATGTTTGAAATAAGATTTAGCTGAAGGACTTTTAAAATTGTTACTTAGAGTTGTCTATAAGTTATGAAGTACCAAAATGTGATTAGGATACTCTTTGTGTATGTTAGGGCAGGGTTTGTTGAGTTTGTGGCTCACTGTGCTAATTGAGTGTGGAGCGAGCCTATTAAATTTTTATTAAAGCAAGACATGCCATATTTTAAAACATCAAATGGTTCTAAAGTGTGTGGGGACTATAACAAACCCCACCCACTCCATTCTTGATTCCCACTCTCCGGAAGCAACCACTTTCAGCACTTTGAAATCTTTTAGTTATTTATGGAATTTTCTTTCATAATTCAAAATAACATGTTATTGTTCTATTTCTTCATTTCGCTGTATTAAAATAGCTAAGTAAGCATGCATATTTCCCACCCTATCATGTCACTATATGTAGTCAAAATTTTGGTTAAATAATTTGAGTGTTTATGTTATTTTGCCTATGTACATATTCTTAATAATTGAGCAATATATTCGACTATGCTTATATTTCCTTTTACGTACAACTTTTTGTTCTCCCTAGAGTTGACTATTGCCTTGATTTTGGTTTCTTTTCTTAGTTCTCCATGTACCTATTACTATTTTGATCCCCAAGCAGATATATTAATCTCCTCTCAATATATGCAAACATATCAAGGAATCTGTTTATTTTACCCCAAGGGAACAACTTTTCTGAAGCCCTCTGTTCTTTTTTTCAGTTTAGGAAGATCTGCTTTGGCCTGCTATACAACTATTAAGGAGGGAATTTATTTCACTTTCTGAGAATCATTTTCTTTCTCCATTATTTGATTCCCTGATTCTATATCTCATGCCTTTCTTTTCTTTGTTTCCTCGGTCCTTTGTTTCCTGAACAATTCTTTAAGAACTTTAAGAGTGAACGAGAGGTAAACTTTTTGAGACTTTGTATGTTTAAAAATCCCTTGGTTCTATGTTAATCGTTTGACTGGATATAGAACTCTATACTGAAAATGGTTTTGTATAATAGATCTAAAGGTACTTTTCCACTGTCTTTTAGATACCAGAATTGCTGTTAACAAATAAAATACTGGCCAGATGTGTTGGTTCACGCCTGTAATCCTAGCACTTCGGGAGGCTGAGGCGGGAGGATTACTTGAGCCTAGGAGTTTGAGACCAGCCTGGGCAACATAGCAAGATCCCATCTCTACAAAAAAGTGAAAAAGTTAGCTGAACAAGGCGGCATGCACATGCTACTCCAGACGCTGAAGTGGGAAGATCACTTAAGTCCGAGAGATCGAGGCTTCAGTGAGATATGGCTGAGACACTGCTCTCAGCCTGGATGACAGAGTGAGAACCTGTCTCAAACAAGAGAAAAAAATAAATCAAATGCTACTCAAAATTCTCATCCTTGGCATGTGGAATAACTTTTACATTGCTATGTGTTTTGTTTTCCCTATTTTGAACTTTTTAGAATCTTCTTACGTCTAGTATTCTGAAATTTTAAAATACTGAGCTGTGAAATGGTTCCTTTTTACCCATTTTATGGGTACTCCCTGGGCTATTTCAATTGAGATTCAGATCCTTCAGTTATGCGGAACTTTGGTAATCATTCTTCACCACTGTTTTCTTTTTCTGGAACTTTTATTCATCAAATACTTCCTGGATTGATTACCTAATTTTCTTATATTTCCAGTTTGCTACAACTTTCCTCTTTCAGCCCATGTATTAACTTTTTACTATTATATTTTTAATTTCCAAGAATGTTTTCTATAGCATTCTTTTCATCATTCCCAGATGTAATACCTTCTTATTCATTACAAAATGTTCCTCTGCTCTCTCTGCCTCTTTCCATCTCTGTTTCTTATGTTAGACAGCTCCCCAACCACCTAAAGAGCCTTGGTTTTCTATTCAATCAAATAATGAGGCACTAAAAGGTAGTCAGATTCTCTTTGTGTAAGTCAGGGCAGGGTTTGTTGAGTGAGTAGCTCACTGAATAATTGAGTGTGGACTCAGCTCTTTCCTGGGAGATCCTCAGATATAAAATCATGTTAACTTTATCACTGAGATGATTTGTTTCCCTATAGAGGAATTCTTCAATCCCCTATTTGAGGGTAGATGGTGGGGCAGGGCTTGGGGGCAGGAAAAATTATAGTAAATAACTATAAATAGTAAAGTTGGTTATTGTTGTTGCATATAAAACATTTAAATCCTTGGCTAGAAAATAGTAAGTTTTCAATAATTATTTGATGTCATTATAATATGTGAAATGGGATGAATAATAGTATCTAACTCATAGAGGAATTTCAAGGATTCAAAGAGTTAATTCACATAAATCACTTACATGTACCTAGAATCATAATAATTGCTAATATATGTGGAGTGCTTGTCATGTGCAGATACATTTCTAAGAGATTTGCATGAATTAAATCATTGAATCCTCACAACTTCTCCATGAATTAGAAACAGTTATTAATAATCCTACAAGAGAGATGATATTATTATCTTATTTCACAGAGATGTCAAATAACTTGCTCAAGGTAACATAACAGTAACCTGGGATTTCAACTTGGGTGCTCTGCTTCATAGCCTCCCTATGCTGTCATAGATGTAAGCATTTTAAAGAATGAACAAAAGGTGTAGATAGAAATGGATGTGTTAGGACTCAGGATTATGAGTTGGAGGATAATTAGAATTGAAGAAGGCAAATCATTTATAGGTGTTCTCGACCCTAGACTTTGCAAGATTCCTTTAGAACCTTACTTCAATTTTTGTTCCCATCCTGTGACTGAGCAGGCTTTTTGCACTGTAGACAAAACACAGTTTTGTTTGCCATCCCAAAGTCCAAAGAAACAAACACCATCCTTTTCCCTTCATGGTTCTCCTACAGCAGTCATCTCTTTTCCTTCTCTCTTTCACCCTGTTTCAACAGACTCTAGATCTGCTTCCTCATTTTTGAGCTCAGTTTTAATCCCATTGCCATCTGACTTCAGTCTTCAATCTTCTTTTACAACTGCCATTACTAAAGACACTCGTATTGCCAAATTCGATGGAGATTTTTCCTTTTTTAAGTAGTACACTCTGCTGCTTTTGCCATGACGACGGGCTTTCTCTGCCTCCAATTACTCTGGTACCTCTCTGTGCTTTATTTCTTTTCTTCTCTGTCTTCTTTGTATATTCTTCACAATCCAGTGATCTTTAGAAGTTGGTATTGCATCACCATCCACTACTACTATAACTCTGCAATATCTTTGGGTGATGGAATCTACTTTTCTAGCACTGACCATTACTTTATGATGATGATTCTCCAGAATACATCATTGACCCTGATTTCTCTCCTCCCAGCTTAAATCTTGCAAATCCAAATGTCTGCTGAATTCGTATTTATTTTTTTTAAAAGCCCTGACAAAACATAAGCTTGCTGCCAAACTGTATTTCTCAGCTTCCTTTTTGGCATCACCCTTTGCCCAGTCATCCAAGCCTGAAACAGGGAAGTCACTGTGCATTCATATTTTTTTCTGACCTCTTCACATCAATCTAACAGCAAGTCCTACTGGCTTATTTCCCAATCTGTCCACTCCACTCTATTTCTAGTACCTGAGTCATAATTCGGGCTTTATTATCTCACATTTCATTTTGAGAGCAAAGTGATATCTGTTTTTTTAATGCCTAGGATAGAATACACATAATGCATGTTTAATAAACACTTGTTCATTAAAAGGAAGGTTAAAAAAAGGGGGAGGAAAGAAGGCAAACATTATAGATAGTGGGAACCAGCTGAGCCTTTCCTTTATCTACGATGAGTGGCTTATTATATGACTAGACTCAAAACTCCACTTTTTCTGTTCTTGTTCTCCAAGCCATAACCAAACAAATGGCATTTTGTACCTCTGATATGTACATACTGCCATTTCCAAGTCTCCCAGTTAAAGATTGTTAATGAATAAAACCTATATTTTGAAATATACTCTAAAGATGGCAATATAACTGATATAATTGGGACATTTCATGTTGGCCTAGTTTTCATTCATTGTATTTTTAGTCTGTTCTCTTCAACTAGACTAGATAATCAGATTTCACAAAGCACCTAACACATTTTTCTAAAACTACATAATTTTTTTCTTTCAGGATTGGAGACACAAAATCAGAAATTAAGATTCTAAGCATAGGCGGAGGTGCAGGTATGAGTAATATATTTTTAAAGTTCATATTTCACTTTAACCATTATGCTGTGTGATGACAATATTGTTCATTTTTTAGGAAGACTTTTTTTTTTTGCTTTTGGAAGAGATCGGCTTATTAAAACTAGCAATATTACTTCAACTAACATTAATGCCCCCATAGATTTACAGGGTTTAGGACATTAGCCTTCATTACTATCTCTATTGTGAATAAGTGATGTGACTTGTTCTTTTGATAGATGAAAAATCAAATAGGATAACTTTAAGGATAACTCTTATCCAAAATGATTAAAATACTCACAGAAAAGGAAAATCTCATAATAAGCTTCTTAAGTTTGTGCCATTTAAAACCTTGTTCATGGACTGGTTACTGTTTTCAAACTGTTATTGGTCCATGTGAAGATCTGAAATGTGCACAGGAGGCTGGGCGCGGTGGCTCACGCCTGTAATCCCAGCACTTTGGGAGGCTGAGGGGGGCGGATCACGAGGTCAGGAGATCGAGACCATCCTGGCTAACGCGGTGAAACCCTGTCTCTATTAAAAATACAAAAAATTAGCCAAGCGTGGTGGCAGACGCCTGTAGTCCCAGCTACTCGGGAGGCTGAGGCAGGAGAATGGCGTGAATCCTGGAGGCGGAGCTTGCAGTGAGCCGAGATCGCGCCACTGCACTCCAGCCTGGGTGACAGAGCGAGACTACGTCTCAAAAAAAAAAAAAAAAAGAAAGAAAGAAAGAAAGAAAGAAAGAAAGAAAGAAAAAAGAAATGTGCACTGGAATATAAACTGATGCACAGCTTTTTTCATTGAGAAAGTCTCACCATGGGGAAAAATGTGCTCAGTGACAGAGTTAATTTACATTCTTGTGAACTCATTCTTTGAGTGGCATGGGCCTAATCTGTTCCCTTCCTCTTACTCAGTTCCAAAACTGAATGCTTAGAATTACCTCTAGCATTCAGATAACTCCTAAGCACCTTTTTTTTTTTGACGGATTCTCACTCTGTCGCCCAGGCTGAAATGTGCAGTGGTGCAATCTTGGCTCACTGCAACCTCCACCTCCCGGGTTCAAGCAATTCTCCTCCCTCAGCATCCTGAGTAGCTGGGATTACAGGCACCAACCACCGCACCTGGCTAATTTTTGTATTTTTAATAGAGACGGGGTTTCACCATCTTGTCCAGGCTGGTCTCAAACTCCTGACCTTGTGATCCACTCACCTTGGCCTCCCAAAGTGCTGGGATTACAGGCATGAGTCACATGCCCAGCCCTAAGCATACTTTTATAGGCATTTTATAGTGTCATTACTTTTAGATCCAGTGCTTTCATTCTAGGGGAAAATTTAAAGTCTGGAAAGGTAGATGGACACAGGTAACTCAGCCTCCAGTGAAATTTATGATCTTGGCTAAAACATCAGTAAAATGGGAACAATGAATTTTATCTCATAAGGTTGTAGTGAGAGTGATATAGGTAACATTTACAAAGTGCTTAGGACATTCTTATTGCTCCTGGAGAGTGAAGGCTATTCCCTTCTGCAAAAGTAAAATAAGTTTCATCTCAAGACTTTTCCTAATATCAACTCCTGAACAGTGTTTGCCTTATTTTTAAGTCATCTGGAAGTTTGGGTTAATGCATTAATATATAAAATATGTAGATATATTATTTATATATTTATCTTTAGTTATTTTCTTTTGTCTGAGTGATAGTTCAGTAATGGTTACAACTCGATATCAAGTGGACACTATTGTCACTTGTAACTTAATGCCAAGTGGTAATCCCTTGAACCTCTTAAGTATAAGTGTTCTAGTGCCCCATGAATGAGTTGAACTGTGGCTCATATTAACACAAAGATAACTAAGAGCTCTCTAATGAAATGAGATCACTGATTTTTTGTTTTTGTTTTTTGTTTGTTTTTTGAGATGGAGTCTCGCTCTGTTGCCCAGGCTAGAGTACAGTGGCATGATCTTGGCTCACTGCAACCTCTGCCTCCTGGGTTCAAGCAATTCTCCCTGCCTCAGTCTCCCGAGTAGCTGGGATTACAGGAAACTGCCACCACACCCGTCTAATTTTTGTATTTTTTAGTAGAGAAGGGTTTCACCATGTTGGCCAGGCTAGTCTCGAACTCCTTACCTCAGGTGATTTGTCTGCCTCGGCCTCCCAAAGTGCTGAGATTACAGGCATGAGCCACCATGCCCGACAGAGATCACTAATTGTTAATGTCATTATTTGTTAATTTTTCATGAAATACACTGTGATATAGTGTAATAAGAACTAATCATTAAAATCATTTTACTTTATTATCATCTTTCACCAAGAAAATAGAAACCAACAAAGACAGACAATGAAGGGAATTGTCATGAACAATACCATAGAGGGTATTTAAGCTAAAATACTTTATTATTGGTTATACTTTAAGTCCCCAAAATTATAATAGTTATGAATTGTCTAAAGAATGTCTTATTAATTCATTTAACCAAGACAGTTATTTCCTGTGTGTTTTGGATATGAGTTTCAGGCAACCAACAGGCAATGAGACTATCATTTGATAGTGTCACTTGTGCTTGGACAAGAAGAGAAGGCCTACAAGAAAAAGTAATTAAAAACAATCTCTATCATGGCCAAGTTAATTGACCTTTTAATATAAAGTTAATTGAATTTCTAATGCAAATTTATCCAGATGCTTATAAGCTATCTAGAGAAAGGAACGTTTGGCCTGCACAGTGAGTCCTTACATAAAGGTGCACATGGAAGCTAATACAGAGAACTTAACAAAATAAAGGGAACAACTCTTGGAGTTCTTCTGACTGAGCCCTAATAATGTATTAATAACAAACTCCACCTTGGGGAGAATGTGGGTGCCCTTTAAGGTCACTTTTCATAAGAAATCAATCAGAAATGTAAGAAAAACTCCAAGAAAAATTTAAGTTATATATACTTAGCTTTCACTACCCAACTAAGTTATATGAAATCAAAAGCAATGCATTTAAAATCCCTAGGTCTAGGTGTCTGTTGCTTGAAAGAACAGTGTTTTGAGGGGAAAGGACACTCTACTTCAGTTAGTTTGAGTGCTCATGTAGCAACTGGGAGATGGTTATCTAATCACCTATTATGGCCTGACTACAAGCATCAGGCAGAACAATGCATTACTATACAGCAAGGAACTTTCTATCCTTGCCTTAGAGAAATGGTCTCCCCACATATTCTAAGATCTACAGGGTGCCTGAGAGTTTTGTATTGTCCCATGGCTTGAGTATCCTTCCAAATCATTCATTAAACTCCAGTCCCTAGCAAATGAGGTCATTGATCCTGTTCACTCCTTTGTGCTCAGCTCCTGTAATGTATCTCATAGGGTCCCATTTCTGTCTTAGTTTACAGGTTTTATTACCTCAAGTTTCTTTCCTTGTTTGCACAGATAGATAGGCACATGGCTTTGGTGCAAATATTCTCTAAGCATTCATAATGGTGCTACCACTTCTCCCACCGTGCTTCAAAAACACACAAAAGAAAACCAGCTAAAAGCCTTCCTAGATGAAACTGCTACTTTTATACCACTTAATTCTCATGGTTTTTTTTGGGGGGGGGTGGTCTATTTGATTTTTTTCAGAAACATGAGCAGGGAGGGGATGCACATATGCCCTATCGATTAGCCTCTCCTCTTGAGTCTGGTGTTTGTGTGGAAAGAGTTTTCATAGTTTAAGAGAGATTGTGAGGTTTTTGCAAAGGTGCTTGGCACTTCAGTTTAGATGCGAAGCAATTATTAGGGCTCTGAGAAGTTCAAAAGAAAGGTAGATGACTCTGAGTCATCTACCATATCAATAAATTATAACTGGTAAATAACACTGTTATCCATAGATTACACATTCTAATGTTAGGAAAATGTATGAAATAAATATTATATGAACCCAATAGGAAGAAAGAGAGGAAAACAAACCATGAACAGAAAAACAGACCATGTAGCTTTTACAGAGACCAAACTTGGAAGTGTAAAGTTATGCATGTATGTTCATGTATATGAGTTTGTGTGCTTTAATGAGACAAAATGAGTGGCCAGAATTGCTTTATTCAGGGTCTTGAAGTATTCATGTTGTTAATTTCTGCAATTGTTTTTAGGTTTTGAGAGTAATGCATATATTCTAAATCTCATAGAACATGCTTCTGGGTCCATCAACATTGGTGCTTCCTTAAATTAAACCTCTTGATGGGGGTTTTCATTATTATTCAACCTCTAATGAGTGTTGTCTTCATGCTAGATGGTACGTGGGAAAAAAGAAACCCATATTCTTTTTGGTAAGAGAGAATGCTATTAATTTACAGTGCATATATTTATACCTGAAAACATGTTCCAGAAAGCAGTCACGGCCAATGTGTTCTCCTTGCTCTGGGCTCTGCTTAAAGGATAATCATTTTATCTGTCCCAGTGTTTGGTTCTTATGTTCAAATGCCAGAAAGTTTTTTAAGAGTTAGACAGAGCTGTAACTCAAATAATCACATTTAATCCAGCTTCCTACTTCTATTTTCATTAACCTATTGTATATTAACTCAACCACTATACCATTGCTATACCAATAATTGTATATACATTTATAGATAAATTTTTTAACCCACTCAAGCAACTCATATATGAAATACAGGTGTTATCAACCCTCATAATATTTTTTGTAATAATTTTTCTGACATATGTTGAGACCAGTTTGATGGGTCTCCTGTTCTGCAGCATATAGACACCAGCATTTCTACAGAGGTTAAAACCTAGAAGAAAATTTACAGACCATCAACACTCTCACTTCACAAATAAGAAACCTGGGGACCATCAAGGCAGAAGAAAACCCAGATCTCTTGACTTTAGTCCAGTCCAACAAATTGTACTAAACAGATTTAATAGTTAATTCTTAACCTGGTAAGGGAGAAAGTGTCTGAGACAGCTCTCAATCAATTTAGAGGTTTATTTTACCAAGGTTGAGGATGCAACTGAGAAAAAGAGACCTAGGTTGCAGTAGCATCTGTGATCTGTGCTTTTTCCAAAGAGGTGTTTGAAGGCTTCAATATTTAAAGGGGGAAGAGCAGCAGGAGAGAAGGAGGAAAGAAAAAAATAGGGAGGGTAGGGAGTAAGGTAAGTGGTCACTTTCTTGTGAGGGTTTGATCAGTACTCACTGAATCCACATGTTATATGTAAAAGGAGGGGGGCCACATGGAGAAATAGTGGCCTTCTGTCATTGCACCTATCTGTTTAGGTACAAAAGGGAAGGCAGTTTTTGTGTGACCCAGTTCTCAAGTGTAACTCTTCCTTTTAACATAGTGAGTTTGGAGTCCCAGGATTTTATTTTCCTTTCACAGGAGAGATTAGGTACTTAGCAATGACTAGCTATTTGAAAATCTAACCTTATCAGATTATTAACCTTGTCTCCTTTCATAAATAACATGTTAAGGTAACACAGAAGCTTAATACTTTAAGCTGATTGGATGGCAGTAGAATGAATGTAATTCAAGTAGGAACTGGAAGATCCAGTGTGTCAGGTTTAGAAACTAGGAGGTGGCAGGAAGCAAAGGTTAATGTTTACCAATGATCCATAGTAAGCCAACAGTACAGATCAACAAACTTAAAATGTGTGAGAAAATACAGGGAATTGAGGTATTTTTTGCTTGGAAAAAAGAATTTGATTGTGCTTATTGCCATTTTCGTATATTTTCTGATGGGCAAACAATAGAATATTTGCCCTCAAAGCGCCAATGGTTGAAAGCTTCAGAGAGTGATTTCTTGGCTCAGTGTAAGAGCCTGTTGGCTGGGCCTGGTGGCTCACGCCTGTAATCCCAGTACTTTGGGAGGCCAACTGGGGCCGATCACCTGAGGTCAGGAGTTTGAGACCAGCCTGGCCAACATAGTGAAACCCGGCTTTTCTAAAAACACAAAAATTAGCTGGGCATGGTGGCACACACCTGCAATCCCAGCTACTCGGGAGGCTGATGCAGGAGAATCTCTTGAACCTGGGAGGAGGAGGTTGCAGTGAGCCGAGATCGGGCCATTGCACTCCAGCCTGGGGGACAGAGCAAGACTCCATCTCAAAAAAACAAAAAACAAAAAAAAAAAAACCTGTCTATAAATAGAAAATAACTTCCACTCCTTGGGAGATAAAAAGTCATTCTAGTGGTGTCAGCACAGGTTGGAGAAATACTTTACAGATATGTTATGGAAGGGACTTAGGCACTGATTTTCTTGTGTGTTTGGGCCATCAAACGTGCTTTCAGTCTTGAAATCTTGTTTTATGAGTCACCTTCTAGAAAAGAGGTAGGAATATTTTTCGGAGTAGTGTGGCTATTACCATGTTTGCTGTATTGAGGAAGCGGTATTCTAATGGGGTTTCTAGACCTGCAGACAACTTTGGGAATGGATTTTAATTGCTTATAACTAAAAATGAGTAAAAACTAGTACTTATATGCAGCATCATAGCAGTTAACTCCTTTACCAGAAGGATATAGATTATAATCATAAACTAATCTACAAGATTTAGAACTACTTTACATAAACACAGTTATAGTTTGGGGCATCATTTTATTAAAGGCATTTGTTAAATATATGATTAAAAAATAAAGTATTCTTCATAAATAATTTTACCAAAATAGCTTACCCCATTGTATTGTATTTAAAACTTTCAGTGAGCATTGAGCTATTGTTAAAGACAGATAAGTTACAGATTCAAGAGAAGGGAGCATAGTGTTAGAACACTGGAGTGATTGTCATTAAAAGCAGAGTAAACAAGATTGTTTTGGCTAATTCAATAAGGTTAGAAACAGCAAAACAAGGGATAATGAACCAAGTGAGGACAAAACTATCATTGCAGATTAAATGACTGTATACTTACAAAAGCAAATAAACTTAGTTCTAAAGCCTTATAATTAATAAGAATGCAGCAATGGGCTTAAACAGGTAAAATAGAAAAAAAGCAGTATGTTAGGTTCTTATTTTGTTTTGTTGTTGTTAACGTTTGAGTGTTTTCCATTCCCAATTTTGATTATTTACAATCTACATAAAAGTCCATGGCATGTGTTTATCTGTAATTTTGCTGAAGGGCAAATTTGTATCTTGCCAGTTTTTGTGCCATTTTGGTCTGCAATCTCTTAATCAGTGAATAAGTTTCCTCCTGACAGTCATGCTGTATAAAACTTTGCAATTTAATATACACAGTCATGCAACTCTGGTGTAGGTGACTTGTTGTTATCTTCATTTTATAGATAGTGAACCTAATAATATATGCCTGAAGGGGATTGGGGGGGTTGCAGGGATTGAGATCAATTCCTTGGGTCTCCTTCAGCTTGATCTCTATTAACAATAACAATCTGAGAGAAACGACGAAAAAATATTTGGTTAATTAGCTAATAATATATTTTATTCAAAATATAAAAAATTTAAAGAAAAGTTCAAATGTTTGCTAAGAATAATTCAAAAAGACTTAAAAAGCTAATAACATATAATACTGATGAGGTTACAGTGATATGGAAGTTTTCATGTGCAAAAGGTAAAGGTATGAAATTAAAATTTCCCTGAAAGTAATTTGGCATTATATAGCAAGAACAGTTCTGATTTTCATCTAATATGCCCTGGCCTGGCCCTGCTGGTTGTTAAAAATATTGAAATTCTTGATAAACAGCTACTCTTCTTCCATATTATCACAGCCCCAGATACTGCTTCAGTGCTTTCTCCTGGATATCCCACCTTGCCTCCCCACCCCCCATCTCCAGGGCTCCAGCAATTGGCCTGGCCTTGCCAGTCCAGGAGGGCTGCTAGGACTGTGCTACAGTTCCTCAGCCTGCATCCTTTCTGAGCACCTGCCACCCTTGGACTTGAGCTTTTTGTGGTGGTTGTTATTGTTGTTTATCACTGTTTTTAAAAATATCATCAGAGATCAAGAGTCTTATTCCAATCATTAATTCCCATTATGGAAATTAACTTAAAAAAGTAAGATTTTTGCACAAAAATTTATGGCTCATTTTCAGTCTCCTCACAATACCAAAATATCTAAAACTATATATGAGACCAACGATAGTGAATTTTAAGTATATTTATATACGTATATATTAACTATACTACAGTTATGTATGTATATATTAACTGTAATATAATATTACATAATTATATAATATATGATTATATAATATAGTATTATACAATACATATGATTATATAATATAGTATTATACAATACATATGATTATATAATATAGTATTATATACAATACATATGATTAGATAATATAGTATTATACAATACATATGATTAGATAATATAGTATTATACAATACATATGATTATATAATATAGTATTATACAATACATATGATTAGATAATATAGTATTATACAATACATATGACTAGATAATATAGTATTATACAATACATATGATATAATATAGTATTATACAATACATATGATTAGATAATATAGTATTATACAATACATATGATTAGATAATATAGTATTATACAATACATATGATTAGATAATATAGTATTATACAATACATATGATTATATAATATAGTATTATACAATACATATGATTATATAATATAGTATTATATAATACTTTATAATTATGTAATATAGTATTATATAATACTTTATAATTATGTAATATAGTATAATTATATAATTTAGTATTATATAATAGTCTTATATAATAAATAGTATAAAGTATACTCCATATTACATAATTATAATAGGTAGTATACATAAAATAGGTAATCTATTATATTACATATAATAAGTAATATATAATATATATAATTGGTAATACATTATATAATATTCTTATATAATATACTATATAGGCATACTATAATAGTAAATTGTATAATATATAGCATAGTTCATATATGTTTATAGTATAGTTATATATATTATGTGTTATATATAGTACATAATATATAAAGTATAATTTATGTTATATAAGACAAACTATATGTAAAATTATATATTCACATATAAAATATATCCATATATATTTCCATATATAAAGTATATATAAATACAAATATAAATGAATTTTACATAAATGTATACTTTTATTTATTTATTTATTTATTTTGAGACGGAGTCTTGCTCTGTCGCCCAGGCTGGAGTGCAGTGGTGTGATCTCGGCTCACTGCAAGCTCCGCCTCCCGGGTTCACGCCATTCTCCTGCCTCAGCCTCCCGCGTAGCTGGGACTACAGGCGCCCATCACCACGTTTTTAGTAGAGACGGGGTTTCACCCTGTTAGCCAAGATGGTCTCGATCTCCTGACCTCGTGATCCACCCACCTTGGCCTCCCAAAGTGCTGGGATTATAGGCGTGAGCCACCACGCCCGGCCATACTTTTATTTTATTTATATTATATATGAAAGATTAATAATTAAATGAATTATTTCACATGTCCATTTAAGAGAATATAGTATAGCCACTACAAATAACACATTAAAATAAATTTTGATATATTCATAGTTTAACACTCAAGAGAAAGGCAAAATAATTTATATACATAATAATCTCACCTAGATAGACTAAGAAAAAAATTGATTTGATCAATGGAGAAAAATAAAAGTTTAGGAAGCAGTGAGATGTTTCTTTTCTACTTTTTACCTTTCTCTATGTCCTGAGTTTTCTGCATTATTAATTTTTAGCCAGAGAGAGAAAAAAACAAAACTATAATTTTATATACGAGAGATGATGGTAAGGACTAGACCTCCGGCCTCTCCTTCATCTCCTTCAGCTAAACAGCTGAAGCCCAAAGCACTGCTCCCACAAGTGTGTTTTCCTGACAGTTTTTCTTCAGAAGATTTTGATTCACCTGTAACAGGTTTTTTTTTTTTTTTTGAGACAGAGTCTCCCTCTGTCACCCAGGCTGGAGTGCAGTGGCACGATCTCAGCTCACTGCAAGCTCCACCACCCAGGTTCATGCCATTCTCCTGCCTCGCCCTCCCCAGTAGCTGGGACTACAGGCGTCAGCCACCACACCCAGCTAATTTTTAAATATTTTTTAGTAGAGACGGGGTTTCACTGTGTTAGCCAGGATGGTCTCGATCTCCTGACCTCATGATCCTCCCATCTCGGCCTCCCAAAGTGCTGGGATTACAGGCGTGAGCCACCATGCCCGGTCCTGTAACAGTTTTATACCTGTGCAAATATTTAAAGAGCAATCCCAGCTATGTTGTAGATTAGCAGAGCTTTTCTTCAGAGCCTATAGATTCTCAGTGCCTAGCACCGAGTATACTTCAGCTCTGAGGACAGTGAGGATGATGCTGATCAAGAGAATGGTGGCTATCCTCTGTTTCTTGAGGTATTTGTTGTATCTTTTCTGAGTTTTCCATCAAATATCTGTACATTTCAGTCTTCAGCACCCTTTGAAGCATTTTCTCTAAGTTTGTGTTTTGTAGAACATTTTGGTTGCATGACTTTTCTTAGACTTCCTGATGTTGCAAAACCCTCAGGCAGTAGATTTCCTGGGCCAAGAACCAGAAGACACATGAAAACAAATGGCAACACCCTTTTGACTAAGAATTTATATTTATAACCCCCTTCTTGAAACTCTACAGCTATTTTAATATTTTATACTCATATTTTCATATAGACAGAACTGCTTTAATACTGAGGTACCCAGGGTGTTGGAGGGAGATAGAGAGAGAAAAAGAGAAGTAAAGAAAAGAAAGGATCTTGTCAGGAATCTTCTGTCTTTCATATTGCAGTTCACAATCAGATTGTTCTTTCTCTGGCTGCAAACCCACACCTGAAATTATTTTTCATCTCCAAGCACGGAGTTATATGAGCAATCGCTCTTCCTAGAAACCATTTTTTTTCTGCCTGATATTCTAGTAGAGGGAACAAAAATGATAATAATCTTAATGCAACATGTAATAGAATTAAATTTTTCCTGCTGATAATATATATTTTGATATGAGAAAAGAAGCAGGGATAGGCTGAAATCGAATGGCAGGAGATATGGCCACAGTCTTTAATCCCCTATTTTCTTGACCTGCAGATTGTCTCATTCGGGGAAGCTCCAGGGTTCTCAAGCGGAATTCGTGTTTCATTTTGTGTAGCACCCGTCAGAAAGACAAGCCAGGCATGAGGATCCATGATGAGCGCTCTTCTGAGTTGCCATTTGGAGCTGCCCGTTTAGAAAGCAAATCTGCATTTCCCTCATTCCTAGTTTCCTTCATCCTCTTTTAAGTGTCATCTTTTCCATGAAGCCTACTAGATCACACAGTTGAAAATTGCAAAGTCTTCACACCGCAGCTTCCCCTTTCTTTGTTGCTTTGGTTTTCTCCGTGGGACTTCCCACCATCCGTAAAATTAGGTGTTTTTGCCTGTTTTATTCACTGCTACGTCTCCAATGGTTAGAACCTGACATTTAGTGGGTGCTCAATAATATTTGTTGAAGTAATGTATAATAACTTCACTTTCTTGAGTAATTACTATATATCATGAACTGTGGTAAATTATCTCCATATAATGCCTGTAATCTTTACAACACCTCTAACCCTATAACATAAACCATGTTATACCCATTTTACACATATGCAATTTAAAGGACAGAGAGACCCACACATTTGCATAGGATAATTCTAGTGAATAAGAAATTTGCGTTCTTTTGTCTCTCTACAGGCTTCTTCTTATTATTATTATCACTATTTTGAAACAGAGTCTTTCTCTGTCACCCAGGTTGGAGTGCAGTGCCGCGATCTAGGCTCACTGCAACCTCCGTCTCTCAGGCTCATGTGATTCTTGTGCCTCAGCCACCCGAGTAGCTGAGATTACAGGCTCACGCCACCACGCCCAGATAATTTTTGTATTTTTAGTAGAGATTTCACCATGTTGGCCAGGCTGGTCACGAACTCCTGGCCTCAAGTGATCCACCAGCCTAGGCCTCCCGAAGTGCTGGGATTACAGGCAGGAGCCACTGCGCCCAGCCTTAATTTTTTCTTTTCACGATTTTTTTCCATTTTAAATTAAATGCCTTTGGATTTTAAAAAATGCAACATTCCTCTGCTATCTTATTAAACGTATCCTTGAACTTCAGGGAGTGGAGAATAGGTGTCTGGAAAATGAGACACTGCTTTTCTTTGTTTTTGAACTTAACAAGTTCCACATTCAGAGATCTCAATTACATGCCCTTCATTGAATGTAAGTGTGATGCATTTAACATACAGCTTGTGTGAAAGCAGGATATTATAACCACAAACATATCTGACTTTAAAATTAAGTAAAATACTCAACATAGCCCAGAATGGAAACATGGGAATTAATTCTATATCTGTGGCAGATCTGAGGGACACGGTGGTACCAAAAATTGAGATTTACAGAGAAGGAGATTTTTAATAATTCAGTTTTCATTAACTTCCCAAATCAGAAAGCCAGCATATTCTGTTTGGTAGGAAATTACACAGGAGTGAAGAAAAAAATCCACAATTCAGCTGATTAGAAAACAAGTTTTCATTAAACTAAAATTTATTGAATTTTTAAGCAATGTATAGCCAGCTAGCTTCCAAAAATTTGCTCATCGATATTGCTTAATAAAAAGTGTTTTCTTTCCCTTTATATGCTGTAATAACATAAACTGCCTAAGTGCTATTTTGGAAGCTGAATCATAGAGGGGCTAAGTGTTATGAAGGCTTATTATTTTCCAGACACTTTGCTAGCCACTTGACATATGTAATCACATTTTATTCTAATGGAAACTCTGTGGGGACTTCCTTTAAAAATGAAAGAGCTGAGGTTCAGATATTTTGAGGCTCAGATGGTTTAAGATGCATTTCATCAAGTAATAGACGGTGGAGCCGATCTCCAAGCCCAGGTTGGATTTTTCCTGAAGCGCATGATTTTTTCCTATTATCCCAAAGCCTCATCCATAAATATCATGCAGAACCTATGTAGTTGCTCATTATAGAGAAAGTTCTAGAGCCTAAAGTAGTCCAAAGTAAGTGACCCAAAACCAGGAAGACAGTTAACAGTAGAATACACAGACTTGCCCAAGGGGTATATCCTCCACATCCTCCACAAAGTATTTCCTGCTCTTCTTCTTGGACTCAGCCTCCCCTGTCCTCACTACAGTCACTAACTCTGCTTTTGTATTTTCACTGTTTGCCCTGAAGAATTCCATTATACCATTGTTGTAATTTATTGCACTTAATGTGTTTTATGTTTCCGATTACCAATCTGTACATTTTTATTCTCCTATTGTATATTTTTATACAATATACATATAGTGTATACAATATATATTGTAGGGAACAAAAAAAAATTCCCCCTCAACCCTCATGAATTCTTAGCTGGGATGGGTCCCTATAACAAAAGATAGATTAATAAGAGGGAAACAAACACGTTTATTAACGTGCAGTGCTCATCATACAGGATACACTCCAAGGAAAAGTAACTCGAAGTAGTGGTTTGGAACTCTGGCTCATAGAGCATCTTCAACAAAAAACAATAAATTTGTGGGGAAATGACAGGACAAAGGAAAATTATTTTAGGCTTCCAAGGGAGGGAAACTGTGGGAAGGTAAATATATGGGTGGAAAATATGAGTAAGTTTGTTTGCAGATTCCTCTGGTGCTGTCTCTGGGACGGTAAGAGTTTAGAGTTGTCTCCAGTAAAGGAGAATTTATAACCTGCCCTTAGGCAGAAGAGTAGGAGGATAGGGAAAATTTTCCTTCCATTTGCTGCTTCTTAATTGCCTTTAGCTCAAAAACAATTTTCTTGTCAAAGAGGCAGATGTCGAGGTGACCTATTCTGGTTTCCCTCAATATATTACTCTTTCTTGCATTGTCATGGAGTACTATACCCTGAAGATTACCGTATTGCTAAGTATTGATCTGATCTATGGATTCTGACTGTTACAGAATACTGAGTGTTGTGCATCCACCACAATTTTTCTGCCTTATAACTTTCCATCTAACTCCCTTCTATCCCAAGCAATGCTGTAGTGAACGTGGTTCAGTATCTCCTTATCCACCCATGTGAGAATTTCTTTGGATTATGCATTTTTATTACATTCTCAATTCAGAACTCCTGGGTCGTAGGTTATGCATATATTTAATACGAATAAGTATTACCAAATTAGTCCCCATAGTGGCTGCTCCAGTCTATATTCTCAGTGGCCTGGATGAAGTTTCTCTATCTGAATATCCCTGACATCACTTAGCATTCTTTAGCTTTCTGATGTTTTGCAAGTCCAACAAGCATCAGGTGATATTGTATTGCCATTTTAATTTTCATCTCTTTGATTATTAATGAGTTTGAGCAATGTCAATGTGCCTATTAACTTTTTAAGAAATTATCTCTATAAGCCCAACAGTGGGCATTTCCTGGCATATAATGGATCCTTAGTGGATGTATGATTGAAAGAAAGACATTATAGCATGCAAAATTCCCAAATTAGTCTCAGGCTTTGATTTTTGATACTTGTTGGTTATCTCGAAATCTGAACACTAAGTAAATATTGGAATTAAGTTTTTGAGGTAATTAACTATATTAATCAGTTGTCCTGATTTTACAGTCGAAGATTGTTGGTAAGTTTGACATAGGGAAATTAAACTTAAAAAAATCATAAAAATAACATTTTTTAAAAGTTACCATATGATGTAAGGAGTGACTGTGAGTTATATTTTCCCATTTTGTAGATGAGCAAATGAGTTCAGGAGAGATTTAAATACCCTATGAAAAGCATGCAGAATTCTGGTAGCACTATAAGGATAAATAAAAAGATTGGGCCATTTGGCTAGGGCTGGCATGAGTTAATTATAATCATTATGTGATTAATAAAACATTTGACATACCAGCAATCATGTCATGAAGTTCTATTCTCTGCCTTTGAATAGTAGCAAACTAGGATTATAATTTTATAATGACAGACCAGTTTAAGATAGAAGAGACATGACACGTAAGACTCTCAGCTTCTCACTATCTGCCTAAAACGTGCATGGACAAAATTGGTGTGTGCTAAAGGCAGTGCCACAGGAACCGAAACTAAAAAAAAAAAAAAAGATTAAGAATGTATAAAACTGCTCTAACTCCATCCCTTGACTGCCTTGGGATCTCAAATAGCAGAAATGTATGTCCATCAACAATGCAAGTGGAAGTGTATGTCTAATTTAAAGCCGTGTCCTAAGAATAGGATTTCACATAATGTGCTAGCTAAAGCGTAGAGGGTTGGTAGAGCTTTTGTTAGGGATTTCCTTGCAGCCTATCTTCACATCCTACCCTTTAAACATGCTTTTTTAAATGTAACAGCAGAGCACCTAGAAAACCTATTTTTCCAAGTTGTGACTTCTCTCTTTCCTACATACTTTTATTCTTCTAGTCATCCAAGTAACTATCTTACTAGTAGCAGTCTGTGAGTCTGTCTATGCATTCATGCATCCGTCTAACCAGCTGTCTACCTACTTATCCATATTTTTTAAGCAATAAAAATTTCATTTTGTAGCCTCTTTTACTAGTGCACTTGCCCAGAACAGACAGTCTCCCACTCAGAAGACCAGTTCTTTGAGTCACCAGATAAAGTTCATATATGATATAAGGTATAGTCACATCTTCAGTATACTAACATTTACTATAATACAGCAATGCCTTTTAAAATCAAATACACGTGATTTTACAAAACCAAATGTAAGCCTCCAGGATGTAAGAGAACAACTTGCATTATAAAGTATCCTTGAACCCAGGAGGCAGAGCTTGCAGTGAGCCAAAATCACACCACTGCACTCCAGCCTGGGCGACAGAGCGAGACTCCATCTCAAAAAATAAAATAAAATTAAAATTAAATAAAAATGTTTAATTAGATACATAATGGTAAATGTGGTACTAGTGTTAGTGGTAAATATGGTAATTAGCGTAGAGAGGTTAAATGATTACAGTAAGCTAAAGGCCAAATTGTTGTTAATTTGAGTTGTTTTATATATGTTGATAAATGCCTTGGAATAGTCACTTGCATACAAAATAATAAAAGAAAAAATTTAGACCTGTAGTAATTAGTCAGGGTTCTCTAGAGAAACAGAACCAACGAGATTATATATATATAATATAAATACAATTTATATATATATACCTTAATATGTAAAATAAGGAATTAGCTTATATGATTATGAAGGCTGACAAGTCCCAAGATCTGCAGTCGGTAGGCTGGAGACCCAGGAGAGCCCATGGTGTAAGTTCTAGTCTCAAAGCCAGCAGGCCTGAAGGCTTGAGACTCAACAAAGGCTGATATTTCAGTCTGAGTCTGAAGGCCAGAAATGACCAGTTCCAGCTCAAGCTGTTCTCTTCTGGTCTTGGATTGATTGGATGAGGGAGGGCAGTCTGCTTTACTCAGTCTACCAATTCAAACATTAATCTCATCCAAAAATGCCCTGACAGACACACCCAGAATCATGTTTATCCAAATGTCTGAGCACTCCATGGCCCAGTAGAGATGACACATAAAAGTAACCATCACAGAAAGGTTTTCTAATTGGAAGATAAACACTTCGAAAATAATTAATTTGAATAAATTTTTATAGAAACATTTCAAATTATAGATAAAAAAAGAGAATTAAAAATAAGCTATAATTCTATCGCCATTAGATAACTCTTGATTTGAATTTGGTGCATATCTTTCTAAACATTGTATATTGAAATGAAGTGCTGTGTATCCCATTGATTTATGCTGATACATACTTGGATTTGCCCAGCTTTGCTAAAATTACACACAAGGGATCAATTGAGAAAATCAGTTACATCATCATCACAAGCACAGAATGAAAAATCATTAATTTGCCTTGCTATTCACAGAAGGGGAGAAAAGAAAAAAAGAAAGAAAATACTATGATATGTTTGAATAGAGTTTGTTTAATCATCAAAATTATTTCTCTATTTGTCACAGAAAATGCTGTAGCCTTTGTTTCTTTAGGGAGAAACATTTAATGTCATTTCTTAATAGGGCTTTTGTTAACCCAAACAGCTGTTGGTGTGTATGTATCTAAAGGCCTTAGGGGGTCAAAAATAAGTAGCCTTCAATCATCAGAGTTATGACCAAGCAATGGTCATGAGAGGTCACATGTGGGAAGAGACTGACTATAAACTGAGCATGTATTGCCCTACTCCCCTTAAATGCCATTTTCTGGATCTCAAGTTTAAGATTCCTAGAAAGTTTTGCAATGTACAATAAAAGTAGATTGCTGCTTCCACATTTTTTTCACTTACCCCTGAATTTGTTGAGAATTTCTGAATTATTTGACTCAAGTCTAGTTTACTTTCTGCCATTATTTTGACACATTAGTTTGGCTTGTGTTCTCTCTGAAAGCATTTGTAAGGCATTCCATACCTGATTCTGGAACATAGTCATAACATTGTGGGTCCTGCTCTGAAGGATTCAGTTAGAAAGGACAATGGCCACTTTTTTTTTTTTTTTTTTTTTTTTTTTTACTTTGAATCTCTTATACTGATGGCTTATGGTTCTATAGGGTATAGTAACCCCTCATATGCCTGCAAAGATTAATGATCAAATCAGCTCAGTTATTCAATCCAGCATTTAAGTATCCTTAGTTCTTTTTAACAAACTTGTTGGAAGCAAGCCTTTGCTAGTACATCATATAAATGAAGAAGAGCAATAATTTAGATCAGGAAAGACAAGTGTGTTTTATCTGTGTTGCCAACTCCAGTCAATTGATGGGTAGTTAGTGTCTGGAAGATTCTCATGCTGCTTCTGGGCTCTGTGGGAAAGACCACTAAGATTACCAGCTATGAGTGGTAGAGTTTTAGATGTGTAGGAGTTAGCCAGCTGAAGTGAAGAAGTGAGGGAGACCTTTTTAGGCAGAGGAGAAAGCATGGGAGAGGATGGTACGTAAAGGAAAGAGGGTAGAATGCAAGCAATTCAGGGCTCCTGGAGCCGCAAAATTCAGAATATAAAACTGTGAGTGATGAGAATAAGGACCAGGCCAGATAGTCTATGTTTAGTGGAGAAGCTTGACCTTCATCCATTTTATAGTCACTAGAAGATTTTAAGCAGGGAAGTGATAGGTTTGCTTAGCAGGGTTTAAAATGGTTATCATGGTAAGTGCTTTGAGGAATACAAGACCAGAGGTAGGCTGACCTTTTAGGATATTATTGCAGTATTCCAAATGTGAATAATCTTGACCTGAATAAGAGCACAGCTAGTAGGGACAGAATTGAGAAAGTAAACTTCTTGATGGCCAGGAAAGGAAGATAAAGGAAGAAGAAACTTTGAGTGATGATGGATAGCAAACAGCATGGGTGAATGTTTCAAGAAAAGATAATACTTTAAAACTAAATGTTAAATGGTTAAACAAGACTATAATATGACAGATCTGAACTATTGACCCCCCTTTTTTTTAAACAGGCAAGAGGATTATATACATCTTTTTGTTGGCCGGACGTGGTTACTCACGCCTGTAATCCCAGCACTTTGGGAGGCCAAGGTAGGCAGATCACTTGAGGTCAAGAGTTCGAGACCAGCCTGGCCAATATGGTGAAACCCCGTCTCTACTAAAAATATGAAAATTAGCCTGGCATGGTGGTACGTGTCTGTAATCCCAGCTACTTGGGAGGGTGAGGCAGGAGAATCGCTTGAACCTGGGAGGCAGAGGTTGTAGTGAGCCGAGATTGCACCACTGCACTCCAGCCTGGGCAACAGAGCAAGACTGTTTCAAAAAAATAAAAATAAATATTTTTGTCATTGTTGTTTTATTTTAAAGAAAGGTTTTTTAAAGGAAGTTTAGGGTTTGCAGATAAATTGACAGCAAGGTACAGAGATTTTCCATACAACCCCTGCTCTCAAGCATGCATTGTCTCCCCATTATATATATATTCCCTCCCAGAATTACAATCTGCTACAATTTATAAACATCCATTGACATATAATTACTAGAAGCTCATAGTTTACTTTAGGGTTTCCTTTTGGTGTTGTATTCCACGGGTTTAAACAAATGTATAAAGACATGTATCCACCATTACAGTATTATACAGAGTAGTTTTACTGTCCCCGAAATCATCTATGCTCCACCCCTTCACATCCACCCCTCAGCCCCTGGCAACCACTGATCTTTTCACTGTTTCCATAATTTTGTCTTTTCCAGAATGTCATCTAGTTGAAATCACACAGCATGTAACCTTTTCATATTGGCTCCGTTCAGATAGTAATATGCATTTAAGTTTCTTCCATGTCTTTTCATGGCTTAGTAACTCATTTCTTTCTTGTACTGAATGATATTCTATTGTCTGCATGTACCACAGATTCTTTGTTTGTTTGTTCTTTTACTTATCAGTTTATATGCTGAAGGACACATCTTGGTTACTTCCAAGCTTTGGCAATTATGAATAAAGCTAATAAACATCTATGTGCAGATTTTTGTGTGACTGTAAGTTTTCAACTCCTTTGGGTAGAAACCAAGGAGCTTGATTACTGAATCATATGGTAAGGTTATGCTTCGTCTTTTAAGAAACTGCCAAACTGTATTCCAAAGTGGACCCAAAGTTACCTTTCCCACCAGCAGCGAATGAGAGTTCCTGTTGCTCCATATCTTTCCCAGCATTTGTTGTCATTAGTGCTCTGGATTTTGGCCCTTCCAGGTGTGTAATGGTATTTTGTTAATGTTTTAATTTGCATTTCATTGATGGCATATGATATGAAATATCTCTTTATATATTTATCTGTCATCTGTATATCTTCTTTGGTGAGGTGTTTAGGTCTTTGGCCCAATTGTTAATTGGGCTGGTTGTTTTCTTATCGTTGAGCTTTAAGAGTTCTTTGTATATTTTGGATAGTAATCCTTTATCAGATATGCTCTTTTCAATTATTTTCTTTCATGCTTGTCATCTCATTCTCTTGACATTTTCTTTTGTAGAGCAGAAGTTTTTAATTTTAATAAAGTTCAGCTTATTAATTACTTATTTCATAGATTATGCCTTTGGTTTCTATTTAAAAAGTCATCGCCGTACCCAAGGTCATCTAGGTTTTCCTCTGTGTTATATTTTAGGAATTTTACAGTTTTATGTTTTACACATAGTTCTATGATTCATTTTGAGTTAATTTTTGTGAAGGATGTAAGGTCCTTGTCTAGATTCATTTTTTTGCAGGTGGGTATCCAGTTGTTGCAGCACCATTTGTTGAAAAGACTATCTTTGCTCCATTGTATTGCCTTTGCTCCCTTGTCAAAGATCAATTCACTATATTTATGTGGGTCTATTTCTGGTCTCTCTATTCTGTTCCACTGATCTATCTGTCTATTCTTTTGCCATTACCAGGCTGTTTTGATTCATATAGCTTTATAGTAAGTCTTGAAGTCAGATAGTGTCGGTTCTCCAACTTTATTCTTCTCTTTCCATATTATATTGCAGATTATGGGTATAAATTATTTTTTAAAAATACATGTCTGCTATTTCTGAGGGATACTGAAAAGCAAATCATGTAGAATACAATGTCAAGGAATATTTTATTTTATGATTTTATATCTTATGGATATGTATATATACCCACACATATTTATATGTACATACATATGTATATGTTCTGAGGGAAAAACTCAAACTTTTTCCTCTGCTCTCACACCACAACAATCAACACAGAAGACTTCTGTGACCAAATGCATGAGTTTTTTTTTTCTCCCAACACCAAGCAGCAGATACTTCCAGGTATCTTCCAATTCAATTCAATTCTGATGCTGTCTCCCTGAAAATAATGTCAGATCCCACAGGTTGAGGGCTCAGTCCCACAAAACTGTCCCCTTTCAGACACCAGTTGCAAGTTTGGGCCTCCAGAATTTCTCAGTAGCCAGCTTCAAGTTGAGGTTTCCACAACCCCTCTTTGGGTTTGATTAATTTACTAAAGTGGTTCACAGAACTCAGGGAAACTGGCTTAATTTGCTGGTTTATGATAAAGGATGTTACAAAGGCTACAGATGAAGAGATGCATAGGGTAAGGTATGAGAGAAGGTACACAGAGCTTTCATGCTCTGCCTGGATATGCCACCTGCCAGGATCCTACACATGTTCACTATCTGGAAGCTCTTCAAATCCTGTTCTCTTGGGCCTTTTATGAAAACTTCATTGGATAGGCATGACTGAAGCATGGACAACCATGTAGTAATGTGATTGGATGAAAAGGTTATAATCTAATGCTGATAGGCTGAGTGGGAAAACCCAGTGAGGCCTATCTGTTCAGATTCTTCTTGATCTCTCTGTGCAGCATTAATTCCTCTAGGATATGGGACAGGACCTCCTCTGAAATGAGGTCTTATGACCCTCAATCACAAAGGTGGAAACACGTTATAGTCCTGCCTTGTATAGGTGAAAGGTTTTCTGAGGTCTGCTCCTGAGGCCAAAAGCACCATAAAATTATAATAAAAGACTATTAACAAGGGCTATGGGAATCATAAGCCAGGAGCCATAGATAAAAACATATAGATATATAAAATAATATCACACACATATATCGATCTATGCATATACACACATTTCTATAAAGATACATATATGTATGTAAATAGATAGAAGTAGATATTTATATAGCTAGATATAGAAGTAGATAATTGTATTATTTATTACATATATATCACAATAAGAAATACTATACTTATTATAAAAATAACACAGGGCGGGGCCAAGATGGCCGACTAGAAACAGCAGCGTTTGGAGGCCCCCATTGAAAAAAAACATAAGCTTGTGAATACTTCACCAGCAACCAAGGCATCCAGGTTCTCTCATCAGAACTGACTAGGAGGTTGGTGTGACCCACGGAGAGAAAGAAGAACAGTGTGGTGTGGCAGCCCACATGAGAGCCACATGGAGTGGGGGAGCCCCCTCCCCCCCAGCCAAGGGAGGCAATGGGTGAGCGTGCTTTTTCCACAGAATTGTGCAACCCACAGATTGGAAGATCCCACTCGTGAACCCACACCACCAGGGACTAGCGTCCCAACCCAGGAATGCACAGACTCTTAGCTTCTCGGTTGGAAGGAATCTGCTTAAGCCTACGGAACTCCTGGAGGGAGGGGTGACCAGAACTGGGTGTGGCTGCCTGCTGTCAAAGCTATTTGAGCTCCTTGTGGGAGGAGCAGCAGCCAGTACTGGGATTTGCATCTGCCTAACACAAAGCTCCCTGGGCAGGGGAAGGGAGGCATCCATCTCTATAGCCCCAGGCTGTGCTTTTCCTCTGTTGGAGACAGGGAGGCTGGACGGCTTGGTCCCAAGACTTGTCCCTCACAGTCCAACACATCTGCTTGCAGTCTGTGGCCAGAGTGCCTCTTCAGGCCTGACCCTGACCCATCCTTCCTCATTGGGTGAGGCTTCCCCCACCAACTCCAGTAACACCAGCCAGAGGCTCAGGGACAGAACCTGCATCTCCCTGGTCCTGTGTCCCTAGGGGGAGGGATGGCTGCAGTCTCTGTGGACCAGCAGACTTAGCCTTTCCTCCTGGTAGTTCTGAGGAATCCAGGCAGCCCAGACAAGTGGGTTCCCCGCAAGTGAGGCACTGTGTTAAACAGGTTCTGTTCCCCATGCCACCCAACTGGGTGAGACCCTCCAATAGAGGTTGTCAGACACCCTATACAGGAGTGCTCCTACTGGCATCAGGCTGGTGCCCCTCAAGGTCAGAAGTCCCAGAAGAAGAAGCAGGCACTCATCTTTGCTGTTCTCCAGCCTCTTTGAGTGACATCTCCAGGCACAGCAGCGAATCAGATAAATAGGTCCTGAAGTGAACCCCCAGCAAACTGCAGCAGCCCTACAGAAGAGGGACCTAACCATTGAAAGAAAAAAAACAAGCAGAAAGCAACAACAACAGCATCAACAACAAGAACAACAAAAAGTCTCCACAAAAACTCCATCCAAGGGTCAGCAGCCTCAAAGACCAAAACTAGACAAACTCACGAAGTCAAGAAAGAATCAATGAAACAATGCTGAAAACCCAAAAGGTCAGAGTGCCTTTTGTCCTCCAAATGATTTCAACCTTTCTCCGTCGGGGTAACAGAACTGGAGGGAGGATCAGATGGACAAATTGACAGAAGTAGGCTTCAAAATATGGGTAATAAAAACCTACACTGATCTAAAGGAGCATGTTCTAACCCAATGCAAAGAAGCTAAGAACCTTGATAAAAGGTTAGAGGAATTGCTAACTAGAATAACCAGTTTAGAGAGGAGCATAAACAACATGTTGGAGCTGAAAAACACAGCACGAGAACTTCCTGAAGCATACACAAGTATCAACTGATGAATCAACCAAGTGGAAGAAAGAATATCAGAGTCTGAAGACAAGACTAGAGAAAAAAGAATGAAAAGGAATGAACAAAGCTTCCAAGAAATATGAGACTTCATAAGAAGACCAAACCTACAATTGATTGGAGTCCAAGAAGGAGATGGAGAGAATGGAAACAAGCTGGAAAACACACTTCAGGATATTATCCAGGAGAACTTCCTCAATCTAGCAAGACTGCCAACATGCAAACTGAGGAAAAACAGAGAACATCATTAAGATACTCCACAAGAAATTCAACCCCAAGACACATAATCATCAGATTGAAGATTGAAATGAAAGAAAATTGTTAAGGGCAGCCAAAGAGAAAAGCCAGGTCACCTACAAAGGGAAACCCATCAGACTGACAGACCTCTCAGCAGAAACTCTACAAGCCAGAAAAGATTGGGGGCCAATATTCAACATTCTTAAAGAAAAAAAAAATTCAACCTAGAATTTCATATCCAGCCAAACTAGCTTCATAAGCAAAGGAGAAATAAAATCCTTTCCAGACAAGCAAATGCTGAGGAATTTTGTTGTTACCAGGCCTGCCCTGCAAGAGCTCCTGAAGGAAGCACTAAAGATGGAAAGGAAAAGCCAGGAGCAGCCACTGCAAAAACACATCAAAATATAAAGACCAATGACACTATGAAGAAACTGCAACAACTAGTGTACAAAATAAACAAATAGCAGCATGATGGTAGGGTCAAATTCACACATAATGATACTAACCTTAAATGTAAATGAGCTAAATGTCCCAATTAAAAGACACAGTCTGACAAATCGGATAAAGAGTCAAGACCCATCACCCATCAGTGTGCTGTATTCAGGAGACCCATCTCATGTGCAAAGACATGCATAGGCTCAAAATAAGGGGATGGAGGAAAATTTACCAAGCAAATGGAAAGCAAAAAATAAGCAGGGGTTGAAATCCTAGTCTCTGACAAAACAGACTTTAAACCAACAAAGATCAAAAAAGACAAGGGCATTACATAAGGTAAAGGGAACAATTCAACAAGAAGAGCTAACTATTCTAAATATATATGCACCCTATACAAGAGCACCCAGATTCATAAAACAAGTTTTTAGAGACCTACAAAGAGAGGTATACTCCCAGACAATAATAGTGGGAGATTTTAACACCCCACTGTCAGTATTAGATCAATGAGACAGAAAATTAATAAGGATATTCAAGACTTGAACTCAGATCTGGATCAAGTGGACCTAGTAGACATCTACAAACCTCTGTACCCCAAATCAACAGAATATACATTCTTCGCAATGCCACTTGGCACTTATTCTAAAATCTACGACATAATTGGAAATAAAACACTCCTTAGCAAATGCAAAAGAACTGAAATCATAACAGTCTCTCAGACCACAGTGCAATCAAATTAGAACTCAGGATTAAGAAACTCACTCAAAACCACATAATTACATGGAAATTGAACAACCTGCTCCTGAATGACTCCTGGGTAAATAATGAAATTAAAGCAGAGATCAAGAAGTTCTTTGAAACCAACAAGAACAAAGAGACAACATACCAGAATCTCTGGGACACAACTAAAGCAGTGTTAAGAGGGAAATTTATAGCACTTAAATGCCCCCATCAGAAAGCCTGAAGATCTCAAGTTGACACCCTAACATCACAATTAAAAGAGTTATAGAGGCAAGAACAAATGAATCCAAAAGCTGGCAGAAGACTAGAAATAACTATGATCAGAGAAGAATTAAAGGAGATAGAGACCCAAAAACCCTCCAAAAAAAAAATCAATGAGTCCAGGAGCTGGTTTTTTGAAAAAATTAACAAAATAGATTGCTAGCTAGACTAATAAAGGAGAAAAGAGAGAAGGATCAAATAGACACAATAAAAAATGATAAAGGGGATATCACCACTGACCCCACAGAAATACAAACTACCATCAGAGAATACTATAAACACCTCTACACAAATAAACTAGAAACTCTAGAAGAAATGGTTAAATTCCTGGGCACATACACCCTACTAAGACTAGACCAAGAAGAAGTTGAATCCCTGAATAGACCAATAACAAGTTCTGAAATTAAGGCAGTAATTAATAGCCTACCAACCAAAGAAAGCCCAGGACCAGATGGATTCACAGCTGAGTCCTACCAGAAATACAAAGAGGAGCTGGTACCATTCCTTCAGATACTATTACAAATGATTGAAAAGGTGGGACTCTTCCCTAACTCATTTTATGAAGCCAGCATCTTCCTGATAACGAAATCAAGAAGAGACACAACAAAAAAAAGGAAACTTCAGGCCAGTATCTCTGATGAATATCGATGGGAAAATCCTCAATAAAATACTGGCAAACCAAATTCAGCAGCACATTAAAAAAAATTATCCACCACAATCAAGTCAGCTTCATCCCTGGGATGCAAGGCTGGTTCAACATACACAAATCAAAAAACATAATCTATCACATAAACAGACCGAAAGACAAAAACCACATTATTATCTCAATAGATGCAGAAAAGGCCTTTGATAAAATTAAACTACTCTTCTTGTTAAAAACTCTCAATAAACTAGATATTAATGGAACATATCTCAAAATAATGAAAGCTATGTATGACAAACTTACCCAACCAATATCATATTGAATAGGCAAAAGCTGGAAGCATTCCTGTTGAAAACCAGTACAAGACAAGGATGTCCTCTCTCACCACTCCTATTCAACATAGTATTGGAAGTTCTTGCCAGGGCAATCAAGCAATAGAAACAAATAAAAGGTATTCAAATAGGAAGAGAGGAAGTCAAATTGTCTCTGTTTGTAGACAACATGATTGTATATTTAGAAAACCCCATCATCTCAGCCTAAAAACTTCTTAAACTGATAAGCAACTTCAGCAAAGTCTTAGGATACAAAATCAATGTGCAAAAATCACAAGCATTCCTTTACACCAACAATAGACAAAAACAGAGCCAAATCATGAATAAACTCCAAATCACAGTTGCTACAAAGAGAATAAAATACCTAGGAATACAGCTAACAAGGGATGCAAAGGACCTCTTCAAGGAGATCTACAAAGCATTTTTCAAGGATATAAGAGAGGATGCAATCAAATGGAAAAACATTCCATCCTCATGGATAAGAAGAATCAATATTATGAAAATGACCATACTGCCCAAATTGATTTATAGATTCAATGCTATTCCCATCAAACTACCATCGACATTCTTCACAGAATTAGAAAAAGTTATTTTAAATTTCATATGTAATCAAAGAAGACCACATATAGCCAAGACAATCCTAAGCAAAAGGAGCAAAGCTGGAGGCATCATGCCACCTGACTTCAAACTATACTAAAAGTCTACAGTAACCAAAACAGCATGGTACTGGTACCAAAACAGATATATAGACCAATGGAACAGAACAGAGACCTCAGAAATAACACCACACACCTACAACCATCTGATCTTCAACAAACCTGACAAAAACAAGCAACGGGGAAAGGATCTCCTATTCAGTAAATGGTGCTGGGAAAACTGGCTAGCCATATGCAGAAAACTGAAACTCGACCCCTTCCTTACACCTTATAACAAAAATTAACCCAAGATGGATTAAAGACTTAAATGTAAAACCCAAAACCATAAAAACCCTAGAAGACAACCTAGGCAATACCATTCAGGACATAGGCATGGGCAAAGACTTCATGACAAAAATGCCAAAAGCAATTGCAACAAAAGCCAACATTTACAAATGGGATCTAATTAAACTAAAGAACTTCTGCACAGCAAAAGAAACTATCATCAGAGTGAACAGGCAACCTACAGAATGGGATAAAATTTCTGTGCTCTACCCATCTGACAAAGATCTAATATCCAGAATTTACAAGGAACTTAAATGAATTTATAAGAAAAAAAAAGCCACCCCATCAAAAACTGGACAAAAGATATGAACAGACACTTCTCAAAAGAAGACATTTATGTGGCCAACAAACATATGAAAAAAAGCTCAATATCGCTGATCATCAGAGAAATGCAAATCAAAACCACCATGAGATACCATCTCATGCCAGTCAGAATGGCAATTATTAAAACATCAGGAAACAATAGATGCTGGCAAAGCCGTGGAGAGATAGGAGCACTTTTACATTGTTGGTGGGAATGTCAATTAGTTCAACCATTGTGGAAGACAGTATGGAGATTCCTCAAGAATTTAGAACCAGAAATACCATTTGACCCAGCAATGGGATTGCTGGGTATATACCCAAAGGAATATAAATCATTCTACTATAAAGACACATGCATATGTATGCTCACTGCAGCACTATTTACAATAGCAAAGTCATGGAACCAACCCAAATGCCCATCGGTGATAGACTGGATAAAGAAAATGTGCATATACACCATGTTATACTGTAAAGCCATAAAAAAGAATGAGTTCATGTCCTTCACAGGGACATGGATGATGCTGGGAGCCATCATCCTCAGCAAACTAACAGGAACAGAGAACCAAATACCGCATGTTCTCATTCATAAGTGGCAGTTGAACGATGAGAGCACATGGACACAGAGCGGGGAGCAACAGACACCAGGGCCTGTTGGGGGTTGGGGTTGAGGGGAGGGAACACAGAAGACAGGTCAATAGGTGCAGCAAACCACCATGGTGCATGTATACCTATGTAACAAACCTGTACATTCTGCATATATATTCCATTCTTTCTCAGAAGAAATAAAAAAAAGCACAGAATGTAATCGCCTATGAGCACAGTGGTATTATTTATTGTCCAATGTAGGGTACTTTAGAGAATTAGTTGGAAAGAGTAGGTAAAATAATTAAAATTATTATAATTTTTGAAATTTGTATGCATTGAACAAATTTCTCATATTAGTAAATTTATGAAATGTTCTTTTTTAAAAACTACTTCCAAAACTAAAATTCTGCTAATGATATTTTATTAAAAATGAACAAGTTAGGACCAAAAAACGAAAGCAGATGGACACTAAGTCAACAGGTATAAAATGGAAATGTCCCTGACAAACAAGTATGGTCACCCTACTTATGAGGTCAGAAATAGATTTTACGTTCTAATTGACTCTTAAGGAAATAGTTGCATTATCACCTCTTCTTAAACTTAATTTATTTTTGTCAGGAATCCAGCACACATGAGCTTATACTCTAGAGGCTGTTATGCAAACCAATGGTTTCCATATGTCAATTGTGATTCTAGCATTGTGTCCTCTATCAGTGCCCCAGGGAGAGGGACTGCCTGGCTCTGAACATGTCCCAGACTGTGCTAGATATATTTTGCCAACCAGGCCAACCTGAAATGTCAAGGTCCATCTTTGGAGGAGAGCTCATCAAGCCCTGAGGGGATATAATTGCATTTCAGTTATCTTTTTCAAAATGTCGAATTTGAGATCCTCATAATTGATAATTTTTCATTTAAAATGTATGGCTAGGTTAATATGAGGCAAGAACAGAAAATTTTGGTCTCTAGTCTTTTGGGGGCAAGCTGGAATCTATTTCCCATTAGCCCACAGCTATTCTTACCAGCCTTTTGTCTTAGTTGTCTTTTTTTCCCTTCAGAATAGTTGCTGAACAGAAGAATAAAAGGCTTTTCATGTCTTTTTAGCATTTGTGATCTTTCTACTTCTTAGTTGAATGAGTTAGAAGAATAAACATTGTAGATTTAGACAAATGTGACTTAAACTTCAGGTATATCAATATCCCTTGAATGTCAACATACTCAAATCACCTAATCCAGTTGGGAATATTAATAATATCATGGAACTTGCTGTCAGGATTAATGAGATGTTCCAGGTAAAAAGCCTAGCACAGTGTTTGGCAAATAGTAGGTGGCCAATAATAAATGGCAGCTATAGTCATCAGTGAAGAAATACATGATTTCAAGTAGGTAGGGCTGGCTGTGAAGAAAATTGTCACATAAGTGACTTCATACTCTATTTCAGCTTCCTTCCCACTCTCCCTCCTTCCCTCCACACACACCATGTACGCCATCTCCTATTGTCAGTACTTGGGACTCTCATATGCACCTGGACCACTGTCTTTTCCCAGTCTAGCATCTTCTGTTCCTGGTTTATCTTCCTCATCTCTTTCCTTCCAGACCTCCCAGTCTTATGACCTCTGCTTTTGCTTCCTGCTATGTGCAGCCTTGGAAAGTTTCTGCTAATGTCATTTATGCCAAATGTTAAAGACTAACATCATTTTCCTATGCTAATCTTGCCAGGAGGTATTTCCATTTTAGTGAAGGTCAACATCATAACCTAACTGAATAAAAGTGCAAAACATAAGTTGGAGGCATCAGCAAGAGGGAGAGAAGAGATATTTTCAAATAGATGTACTCAAGATAACAATAAAAATAATGAACAGCTAACATTTATTCACTGCCAACTTTATTTTGCACTGTGCATTATATGCATTACTTCATTTAACCCTCACAACTAATAAATTAAGTACTATTATTATTTTTATTTTTCTAATAAAAAAAAAAAAGAAGCTTGGAGAGGTAAAGCAAATTGCCCAAAGTCGTATACACCGAGTAAGTGAAGAAGACAGGTTTAAAACTCAAGTCCATCTGACTTATTGTCATCTCTCTTACACTAACCCTTACAGGCTGAATTTTCACCAGGGCAGGGATTCTTGCTTGGAAGTCCTGCCTTGCTCAATATTCTAAGAAATCTAGACTGCTAGTAGTTCCAAATATACTCTTTTATTTTCTGTGTGTGCATCTGTCATCTTGTCCCCTGTACCTGCAATCCCTCACTTCCCCACAGTTTCTGGGCTAACTCCCACTTACCCTGGGAGTGACAGAGTTCATGAGTGATCTTCCCCCATGAAGCATCATCACTCTGGCATCATCTCTCGTCCTCTCCCCATATGTTCTCTTCCCTCTTCCTACCTTGATTCAACTGAGCCAGGGCTATTTCTGTGTCTGTGAACAGGTAATAGTGTTTATGAGGGCAGATATCTGACATGTTTTTCTTCTTTATTTTACCTGACATATGCTTGTACCCTTTATTTAATCTGACATTTTTTTGTACTCTTCTGGCCTAGCCTACTCTGCCAGTTCTGAGGTGCATTTTTTTTTCGTATTTTAATACCTCTGATATTGTTATGCTCTCCAGTTGATAAAAATCTTAAAATTTTAATTGACAGTGGCTTTTTTCTAACTTGGTGAAACAAAAATAAGGGTTAATTTCCTTCTACAATCAACAGCATCTTTGATTTGATGAAATATAGTGATAGATGTTAAAGATCATGTAAACGAATGGATGGCACTCACAGCCCTCCTTGAGTCACATTACTATGCCTACTTAGAACCTAGCTGCCCTGCATCATGGCAGGGCAGCAGTTGAACATTATTCTTTATTTATGTTAGGCTTTCCTAGTAAAGGTAGGGCAGATAATAAATCAGCTAAAATTGTTTTTAATCATTTCTTGCTGGAATGATGTGACCTGTCCCATATGTTTATCTTCTAGGTGAAATTGATCTTCAAATTCTCTCCAAAGTTCAGGCTCAATACCCAGGAGTTTGTATCAACAATGAAGTTGTTGAGCCAAGTGCTGAACAAATTGCCAAATACAAAGGTACCTGTAACTCCTGGTCCTCTACACCAGATCCTATCCCAAAAGACTTAACTCAAATTGTTCCCTTGAATGATTAAAAATATAGTTACTGTGGTATGCTTTTCACAAGCTTATTGGGAGAAGAACTGAATTAGTTCTTGGCAGGCATGACTAAACATCTCAAAATGTGAACAGTGAATAATAAACTCCCTTTTCTATTAACACTTCATCCATTCCCCAGTTGTCATCAATGATTACCTTTTGATGTTTATGCTTAAGTACAGATTCATTCATTGATCCAGAATTATTTAAACCAACCTTAAAGAGCTTATGTTTAGTGGGTTACAGTAAAAGTTCACAAACTTTTCCTGGCAAAGGCCAAATAGTAAATATTTTAGATTCAGAAGGTCAATTCAGTCTCTGCCATAACTAATCAACCTGCCATGTGCCACAAAGGCAGCCAAAAAGAAAAATAGGTAAACTAACAAGCATGGGTGTGTTTGAATAAAACTTTATTTGTAAACACTAAAATTTGAATTTCATATCATTTTCACATATGAATTAGCATCCTTCTTTTGTTTTTTTAAATCATTCAAAAATATAATGACGTGAAACATGAATGGCAGTGACACAAAGTCAGGAAGTAGAACGATATATGTTTTTAGCTTGCGGTTCATACAAAAATAAGTAGCAGGCTAGATATAGTCCCTGGACTGTAGTTTGTCTTCTCCTGAATTATACAAACATATCTGTTTCCAATTCACTTTCCATTGATAAAATTCACCAGTTGATTCTTCATTAATACTAAGACAATATAACCTATTCTGCCCAGGGTTCTTGTAATTATTTCTTCCTGACTCTTTCTTTCACCTCTAATTTCATTAAATACTAGAAACCAAAAAAAGCAGTATGAACTCTCTGGTCTCCCAGACATAAGAAAGAAAAACGTTCTTTCTATCTGTTTGTATATAACATTGATTGCATTAAAATTCTAAATGGAAATGGTTTCCACATTTGCAATTAAAATTGATGGTGTGTCACCTCTTCTCTGTATTTTAGAGCTTGTAGCCAAGACATCGAACCTCGAGAACGTAAAGTTTGCTTGGCATAAGGAGACATCATCTGAATACCAAAGTAGAATGTTGGAGAAAAAGGAGCTTCAAAAGTGGGACTTTATTCATATGATTCAAGTAAGAAATATGTATTATAATATATACTCAGAAAGAAGACTTTTCAGAATATATATATAATGAATATCTACTATTCTAATTTTTAAAAGGTAAATGAAAATCTTCTGATTTCTAATTTTACAAGTGACCATGATCTGCCCAAATAAAAGGTAAAGATGTTTATTATACTAAGATTCTCTTTAACATTCCAAAAACCAGTTTTCTCTAATCAAAATACCTCTACAAGTTATCCATTTTTAAAAATGTTGGCTTAATTCTTATTTCTTTTTTGAGATGGGAGTCTCGCTGTGTCATCCAGGCTGGAGTGCGGTGGCATGATCTTAGCTCACTCTAGCCTCAAAATCCTGAGCTTAAGCAATTCTCCCACTGCAGCTTCCTGGTTAGTTGAGACCACAGGTGTGCACCACCACACCCAACTAATTTTTTATTTTTTGTAGAGATGGGGTCATACTATGTTGCCCAGGCTGGTCTTGAAATCCTGGGCTCAAGTGATCTTCCCTCTTCAACCTCCAAAAGTGTTGGAATTACAGGTGTGAGCCACTGCACCCAGTCTTTAATTTATTTTTATATCATTGGATGTTTATATAGAGATTTGAGAATGATAGCATCATAACATATTCTCTAGTGGCTCTAATGGTTTGGGTGGACCAATGTCCCAGAGTGTTTCTGTAGTGGACATATGGTCGAAGGGGCAGGTTAAATGATGCCTCAGTTCAATAAATTTTTACTTCCATTATCCAGATCCGACAAACTGACTCATACATGTTATAGAAAGGGAGTGACGCAAGAACAAAAAACCAAACACCGCATATTCTCACTCATAGGTGGGAATTGAACAATGAGAACACATGGACACAGGAAAGGGAACATCACACTCTGGGGTCTGTTGTGGGGTGGGGGGAGGGGGGAGGGATAGCATCGGGAGATATACCTAATGCTAGATGACGAGTTAGTGGGTGCAGCGCACCAGCATGGCACATGTATACATATGTAACTAACCTGCACATTGTGCACATGTACCCTAAAACTTAAAGTATAATAATAATAATAATAAAAGAAAGGGAGTGACTATTGAGTAGATAGCATGGGGCTGGATTTCCAGAGATAACTAACATTTCTGAATAGCATAAGGGATGTATGGGTTTTGGAAGTTGGTTACCAACGGGAAATGTACGTATTTTGGCAATACCACTTGATTAACGACAAAACACTATTTTTCTTCCTGGTCTACAATGATAATCACCCCAAAAGAATAAACTTACAAGAAGTCAAAGGAAGAAATACTCCAATTGTGTCATATACAGGCAATTCTATGTCTCTGCTTCTTTAGCTGATGAAATCTTTTGCCTGTCAGGTAGTACTTATCACTGTCCAGGATGCCAAGATATTTCTCTACCAGACTTGCTTTTGTTCCCACTTCCTCACATAACTATTTCATAACTCCCCTGTCTCCTTACCACTCCTGCAATCTCTCCCAGACCATTCGTTCTGAGCCAATGACCTCACTTCATAATGTATAGAGAAAATAGAAACTGCCAGATACTCATTTTTTACCCTCTAACTTTGCAAACATAACTGCATTTGTGCATCATCTCCTTCTTCCATCTTATTGCAAAAACCTCCTCTTATCAAAAACCACTCCCTCTGCTTAACCCTGGATCCCATTCTTTTCTCTGTTATAAATATTGTGATTTCAGGAATCAGCTTCTCTTTCCTATTTCTCTTAAAACTTCCATGTTTGTTCCTTCTTTCTTATAACAACTCTGTTTCCCTCTGAATCTCTATCCTGTTCCTCTCTCTCCATCTCTGTCTATGCCCCATTTTTCTGTGCAGCGTCTCTGCCTCTCTATTACTCATTATAGTCCTCACACTCTTATGATACTTTTACAACCTCACTGTCAATTCAGAAAATTTCACTGTCTTTGAGAAAAATTTAAGGTATCTTCTATGGCCCACTTCCACATTTCTAGCCAGGTCATATCGTAGATTGTTAGCCATCATATTGATTCACTATATTTGGGTACCTGCCTATGGTCCCTGTGGTGGAAAATGTGGAGTGTGGCCCCTAAGGCACCATGAGCCATGCACAGGTCAGGTCCATTTTATTTCATTCATTCATATGAAAGAGGCACAGCTAAAGTACTTTTCCTTTGTGCAATGAATTCTCTAAGGACAGGCTATATGGAATATTGAATTCTTGTCCAACAAAGATGAAGATGAGATATAAGAAGTGTCTATGGGGGTGGGGTCCAAAGATGCAAGCCATGGGGAAAAATTTCCCACGTCAATGCCTAAGTCCAAGTTCTGTGTTGGGTGGAAAGGCCTGTACTTCACTAGAGATTGATCCAGAATTATTAAAAATGGGTGTCCTGACCCCTAAACACCCTGTGACCAAGCAGATAACCTCATGCTTTATTTAGTCCAACTTCCTACAGAATCTGTCATCATCAGAGGCTGTCACATTTTCTGTGATTTTAAAAAAGCATCTGTGAGCATATGGAGAAGCTAGTGCAAAGGGCTTAATTGTAAAGTAACGTTCCATGAAATGGGGTCTGTTTTTATGGTGCCAGAACCATTTTCTCCCAGAAGAACTGCAATTCACGAATTATAGAATAGGCATAGGATTCATGTCCCCATGTGGAATGGTGACTAAGTGTCTCCAGCTATAAATGTCTGTGCTATGGAAGCCAGAAAGAGTAAATTTAAAACCATTTGACTCTAGTCGAACAAATACCATACTTTTCCATTTCCCCAAATATTTTCTCACATTATTGTTCTATGTCTTCATGCAACGTCTTTAATCTTTAAATTTCTTAAGTGTTTTCTTGGGTAAAAATTCACTCAACTAGAAAATCAAACTTTCTAGGAGTATCTAGCCCAAGCAATAAAGACTTCAACATACAGAAGCAGCTCATTTCTCTTTTTCCTCCTTTCTAGATGCTGTATTATGTAAAAGACATCCCAGCTACCCTGAAATTCTTCCATAGTCTCTTAGGTACCAATGCTAAGATGCTCATTATTGTTGTGTCAGGTAAGTTATTTTCATTCAGCCTGAATTTTAAAACAGCAATAATACACGTATGCATGGATTCCTGTGTTTGAAAGAAGCTTATATATTTTGTCTTCATTATGAAATTCTTGCCTTGGCCTCTAATCATAGCCAATTAATTTTCACAGTATTAGGGAAGTCATTCACAACAGTTCTCAATTTAGAAGGTATAGTGGAATTAAACATCTGTCTACTTCTTTCTTTTGGGAAAATATGTCTTTGTCTTCTATATATGAATCCTTTTTATATAGCTTAAATTCAACTGACAAAAGATTTTAAATGAGACTAAAAATAGTAAACATTTATTTTACCTACTTCGTGTCATTTGAGTGTTTCTTTTCCCTCTATGATGTTTATTAATAAATAAAGGTTAAACTATTTCAGATGTCATCATTTTTAATTGACTTGCATTCTTAGAGCCATGATCAACACTGCTTGCTATAGGTTTTTTCAAATGCCTATCAAAAACAGTTCATTTGTTTTGTTTTGTGTTGGTGTTTTATTTTCCAAGGAGGCATGTGAGCATGTCCAGTTGCTGCCAGGGATTTAGTAAGTATCACACAGAGAACCCAAGTAAACATTTTTAGATAATGAAACATTGACATTGTTGAGGACAGTATTTATTACTTCTTTCATTCAGCAATCTTTATGGATTTTCTACCAGTACTTACAGGTTGATTTTAGATACACAGCAGACTCTGTCTTCCTAAGGTTACACCAGACCCCATACTTTAACACCGTATGTCACAAAATTGACTTGTTCTTAAATATGAAGAATTGCTTTAAAGATGGCAAGCATGGTTATAGCTTGTAATCCTGGGTTTGACCTTATGTGAAAGTTTGGCAATAGAGAGCTCCTGTACACAACCTCTCCTGCAAGGGAACATTTAGATATACTATTTTTATCTCTATTTAGTTAAAAATACTCATTTATGTGGGAGAGGTCTCATTTCCCATTTAGAAGGGCTTATGGAAACTGGACTCATCCTACTAACCTCTCTCTGAGCTAGTAAAGCACTATAAACTGCATTTAGAATTGCAAAGTAAACTTAGTTATCAACATTGTAGGCAGCCTATTCTTGATTATATTCATCAATCATACAGAAAAAGTATTGTAGACGGAAATAACAATTCATTGAGAAGTCATGTATTTTTTATCTTAGAATATATTTCATCTCAATAGTAGGTCTAATCTCTTATTTATATTTGGCTTATTCTAACATATTTTCAGAAATTAAGTATCTGAGCACCCAGAAGTTAGCTTTCTATAAGTATATATTACCAATAAGACAAAGCCAGCCTGAAGTTTAGAAGGGAGCATGAATAGTCCACAAGTAACTGAGAACTGATTAAGTGCCCTTATGGCTACAGTATTCTGCTGGCTGTATCATGAATGAATTAATTGATGATTATTGGCATCAAGAAATTTGAAGACCAAAATAAACCCAATGAAATGTGTTGTATGTTAATACATGGTGCAAGAATACTGAGGCACTTTTAACTATGTGAATTTGGTCTCTGCATCTCAGTTTATTCAAGGGCTATTTCTGGACAACCTTATCTGCATTATATTACATCTTTTCATATATGTGGCTCATAAGTACCATCTGTAAATAAGCATTCATCATAAAAAAAATCAAAAGAAAGGGAGTAAAGACTCAACAATCAGTTAGCTTTTTTTGAAAAGTATTTTTAGTCAAAAATTATTTAACCAAAGTATTTGATGATGGAAATGTTTTACTCACTTTCTCAATATGCAGTTAACAATTCTTCATTACTGCTTATAGCACAGGAGACAGCTGTTCCAAAGAGGAAAACATTGTTAATAGAATGCAACGAATAACATTTGACAGATGATTAAAGAGATTCTGATGATCTCCTTCCTTTACCATATCACTTCTTCTGAGAAGAGATTTACACAGCTATAGCCATCTATTTCTTCCTAAAAGAAAAACCACTTCGCAAAAGTAGAAGAAAGATTTCGATATTTTATTTGGGGCTTTCTACGTCTCTCTCTCCTAAGCCTAAGAATGTCTTGGCTTTTTTTGCCTCTATTTGTCAGAATGCTAAGAAAATAAATAAATTAAATATAAGTTAATTTTTTTTAAAACCTACTTTTCCCAATAATGAATACTTTGCAGTGAAAAATAATTCTACCTGAAAAGAGAAATAGAATTGTGAAATATGTTGATCATTGTCATCAATTTAGTAGAACTGGAATGTCCCCAGATTCTCCAATCCTATCGGCATGTCATACTTAACTCTTAAAGATCCAGAGTAAATGATGGAGTTCTCATTTCAAGTAACTTGGGTAATCCATCCCCTCATCATCACTCCTTTACTCCTGAGGGTTCCTGGGGGTCAGACTTAAATGTTCCTGGTGATTGCCATCCACTGTGTGCTCCAAGTTCAACTTTTGATTTCTTCTCCCCAAATCTTGCATGTGCTGCAGCCGCCCTTTCTCATCTTGTTTCACATTGCCTTAAACATGGACATAGTCCTACCTCCTTCCTTCTCCAAAACACCATTCTTGCTTTTGACAGATTTTGGGACCTGTGGGGGAGAAAGAGGAACAAAGAACAGAATTTAGCATTAAGGTCCCACCGTGACTCTTTTTCTCACCTTTCTCTTGCTCAATCTGGACACACTTCCGTTGAACCTGCTCTCATAACTTCTCTCAGTCTTCCCTCATATCCTCTTAGTTCAGTGCTAAGATGCCACCTCCTCATTTTCTATTGCAACCCTCTTTTTTAACTTTTATTTTAAGTTCAGGGGTACATCTGAAGGTTTGTCACATAGGTAAACGTGTCCGGGGGGTTGTTAAACAGATTATTTCATCACCCAGGTATTAAACCCACTACCCAATAATAATCTTTTCTGCTCCTCTTTCTCCCCCCACCCTCCATCCTCAAGTAGACCTCAATGTCTGCTGTTTCCTTCTTTGTGTTCATCAGTTCTCATCATTTAGCTCCCACTTATAATTGAGAACATGCGGTATTTGGTTTTCTGTTTCTGCATTAGTTTTTTAGGCCAATAGCTTCTGGCTCCATCCATGTCCCCAGAAAAGACATGATCTCTTTATTTTTTATGGCTGCATAGTATTCCATAGTGTATATGTATCACATTTTCTTTAACCACTCTGTCACTGAAGGGTTTTTAGGTTGATTCCATGTCTTTGCTATTGTGAATAATCCTGCAATGAACATTTATGTGCATGTGTCTTTATGACAGAATGATTAATATTCCTCTGGGTATATACCCAGTAATAGGTTTCCAAACCATACTATAGGGGGGTACAATAACCAAACAGCATGGTACTGGTACAAAAACAAGCACATAGACCAATGAAACAGAATAGAGAGACCAGAAATAAGGCCGCACACCTACGACCATCTGATCTTTGACAAAGCTGACAAAAACAAGCAATGGGGAAAAGACTTCCTATTCAATAAATGGTGGTGGGATAACTGGCTAGCCATATGCAGAAGACTGAAGCCAGTCTCCTTCCTTATACTATATACAAAAATCAACTCAATGTGGCTTAAAGACTACCTAAAACTATAAAAACCTGGAAGACAACCTAGGCAATACCATCCTGCACATAGGAACAGGCAAAGATTCTGTGACAAAGACACTAAAATCAATAAAAACATTGGCAAATGGCATCTCATTAAACTTAAGAGCTTCTGTACAGCAAAAGAAACTATCAATAGAATAAACAGACAACCTACGGAATGGTAGAAAATATTTGCATAGTATGCATTTGACAAAGGTCTAATATCCATCATCTATAAGGAACTTAAATTTACAAGAGAGAAACAACCCCATTAAAACGTGGGCAAAGGACATGAATAAACAATTCTCAAAAGAAGACAGAGATGTGGCCAAGAAGCATTTGAAAAAAAGCTCAACATCACTGATCATTAGTGAAATGAAAATCAAAACCACAATGAGATACCATCTCATACCAGTCAGAATGACTATTTATTAAAAAGACAAAAAATAACAGATGCTGATGAGGTTGTGGAGTAAAAGGAACACATACATTGTTGGTGAGAATGTAAAGTAGTTCAACCACTGTGGAAAGCAGTATGGCAATTTCTTAGAGAGCTAAAAGCAGAACTACCAGTTGACCCAGCAACCCTCTTATAGAGTAGTTTAAATCCCTTTTGTTCTATTTCTATCACCTAGATAAACCTGTGCACACATGAACTTGTCTTAACAACAACACATTTCCCTGAGATAAATTGTTTTGCCCCCCTCAGTGTATGATGAGGGTGATGGTAGTTTCCTATTTTAAAAAAATAGCAATAGTTGCTTTGTTGTATTAACATACCCAATAGAAATATATTGGTCAGCTTTTGGAAAAATAGATCAAGTCTAGTTTCCAACATTGGAAACAAATTTGATCACAAGAAATTTCCAATCAGACATTTTCATATTGATGTCAGTGAACACACATAGGAATGATCCACAAAATTACTACTCATTGTTTTCTTTCAATGATGTAGCTTCAAATCCCTATCTGCTAGACTAGTCAGTGGAAAGAAAACAAGTTTGAGAAACCTCATCAGCCGAGGTGTTCCATCTACATCCCTCCTTACCCCTGTTTAGGAACCATTGCCTAGCTTGCCTTCTCCACCAGAGCTATAATTCTTTAAACCCCATTTTTCATTTACTCAACAGATTGAAACATTTCCTAAAGTTGAATATTGACCCAGAACTTGGAATGTCTATACCACATTGGTTTACACTAAGTTCTGTTTTTATTAAGATTCTTTGGGTCACTTTCTTAATGGAATTTGCTTCATAATTACCTAAAAGGGAAGATGCTTCTGTGTATGTTCATTTGTTTCAGGGTAATATTGTCATCCATAGCTGCTCTCCAATGCACAAAACTGAGTACTCATGGTATATAGGGAGGCATATAGGGACATTCATCTCTGTTCCTACATCTTTGTAAAGACTTTGGCACAGAGACAATACTTAGTAAATATGTTTTAATTGAACTGAATAATTGTTTATTATTTCTGCCTTATGATATCAGAACTACAATAAGCTCTGAATATACATCCAAAAAAAGAGAATATATTTCAGCTAAAACTGACTTGACGAAATCAGAGAACACAGGAAGTTCTGGATATTTGCAGATGAAGTTTAATAAATAGGAATAAAAGGCTCAATAAAAAAGACACACGCACACACACACACACACACACACACACACACACACACACACAGCAAATGGAAGCAGCCAGACAAAAGCAATAAAGAACAAACAACTAAAACTATTTGTGTATTTTTAGGGAAAGAAAAAGAAATTGAAATCAGAATTAAATGACAACATTTACTGGTCAGCTTATGGAAATATATGTTGCTTGATGGAAATCAACCTTTCCTCTGTGTTTCTAAATATCCATTACAGAATTACCCTAACTCAAGAGACTGTCATTTAGTGATAACTAGTAGAAGTTCCTGATAATGGAGATGAAAGAAATTTGATTTGGGGATAAAAAAGAAGAGATATAAGAACAAGAGAGTTGGATTTCTTTAAAAAATGTGGAGTATCCCACACTAAAATGGTATCAAAGAAAAGTTTTTTTCTGCAAATGTGATAGCCAAGCATCAATTGGGAGGGTTGCTGTTTAAAAGGCAGCCTGTCTGGTTAAGGGAGATGAGCCAGAAGGAGATCACTGAAGCTTTCTGTCTGTCCTCTCCTTACCTGAGTAAGGAAGGAGGAAAATCATTGTGTGTTATTTTTAGTGCAGTGAGAAAAAGAAAATCTGGCTTACATCATGTTGAAAACAAAAGTAACACCATATGTTGTGCCCACCGAGAGCCATTATGATAATGCATTAGTCGGGAAGTGCATAATTGCTCAGCTCAGAAATGGCACCGAGTCACAGCACTGACACCAGCAAATTTTTTGCAATTAGTGTTTGGTTCTTTTTTCTCTGCCAGGTTAAAAATAATAATAATGATGATAACAGAGCCTCTCTTCAACCACTGAAATGCTGATTTTCTTGTAATGTCTTGTTTGCCGGCAAACTCTTATTTAGGAAGACAATCCACTGTCTTTGGAATAAAAGATTTTTAAATAAATACTCACAACCCTCATTTATTTTCATTGAACAGAGGTTTTATTCTTTCTGCTTCATTCCAATTCCACCTTCTCCTAGAGCATATCCTGCAGTTACCTCTCCCTCTTCTGAAATATAAGTAGAACATCAATTATCCTAGGCTATTTATTATTTAGCCTATTATTTGTCTTGGTTCATCTCTTGAGTTAAATTAGATCTGGGAACTTTAGCTTAATCCATGCATGAGCGCCAAGGGTCTTTGAGCATTCTATAATCTTATGCAGAACTGTGTGGGTATGTATTGTTTGTGTATTTTTCTGGAGAGTCAGTTACTCTCACTAGATCATAAAGGGGACTTGGGAACCAAAAGTATCTCAAGACATTTAATCCTAGAAGCACAAAGAAAGTATAAGTTGTCTCTTATATTGCTTTTGCCAAATCCAGTTTAACACTTCAGTAACGTTAACTATTGTGTCATGGTTCTAAGGGTCTTTACTTTATTAACTCAGTGAATCCTTGTAGCAGTCTATAAATGGATTATATTATCACCCCTGTTTTACAGATGATAAAACTGAGACACAGGTTCATAAAGTTGGTAAGAAGGAAAGCCAGGCTTCATACTCAGGCAGTTGGGTTTTAGAGACCATGCTCTTTATTACTGCCCTGTACTGACTGTGTATGTAATATGCATGTATTAGAAGGCCCATAAATAGAAACTCATTATTATTATTATAGATTTCTGAATAGCAGGCTTGCTTTTTTAGTCTCAAGAATGCAATCAGTGGAAATACACTAGCAAACTAATTCATGTATTTTATAAGCACTTATTACACATCTTTCATGTGCGTACCATTACGCAATAATTCACTTAAATTATCTCATGTAATGCTTGTAGTTGCATTCAAGGTAAGTTTGATAATCCCCATTTTACAGATGAGGAAATTTAAGTTCTGAGAGGCTAGATAACAAGCCTCATCTCATTCATAAAGCATCAGAAGAAGAGTTCAGCTCATGTCTGTCTCCCTCAGATAAGGTATTCCGTAGCTTCTCTGCAGGGTTAGAATTTCAGTTTAGTACTACAAACATTGCTAAAAGGTCTTCTAAACTTGGGGACAAGATTTATAGAAATCCACCTAGTTATTGTCAGTCCAAGGCAGCATCTTTTTTTATATAGAGATGAGAGTAAAAAATCATTGATTTGAGTAAATCACCATTTACTGTGCTCTTTCTTTCCATTTTAATTTTCACTGTTAAAGATTCTTGTCTGAATTCCAGACTAACAACTACCTTCCTCATATCACCACCTGAATGTCCAGTAGGTATCTCAAATTTATATTCCTGAAACCAGAGGCCTGATGATACAAAACTGCTCGTCTTCATTCTTCTCTCCAACAATGGCAATTCTGTCTTCTCAGGCGCCCTCACAGAAATTACTGGGGTCATCACTGATTCTTTCTTTTTACCCATATCCTACATCCAAATTGTTGGCGAGCCCTGTTGGATCTCGGAGTATAACACATAAAAACTCCCACCACTTCTCTTCACCTCCCAGCTCACTGGTCTGTGGGACCCACCCCCACCTATCCCCCAGGTGATTACAGTAGCCTTCTCGCTGTTCTCCCCACCTCTGCCCTTATGCGCCAGTACTCTCTTCCCATCGGTGAGGCCAGGGTGACCTTATTAAATGTATATTGAGTCATTCTAATGTGCTGTTCCATACAGAAACCATGTTTTAGTAGTGAAGTTGAAACTGAAATTAATTTAAATGAATGAAACTTAAAATTCAGGTCTTCAGTAACACTTGAAACTCAAGTCCTAAGCCACCTTTCAAGTGCTCCATAGCAACAAGTGGTGAGTGACAATCCTGCTGGACAATGCAGATATCGAACGTGTCCATTGGTTCAGAAAATTCTATCAGACAGCATTACAGTGGTTTCCCATTGGGCCCCAAGTGATCTGGGCCCTTCATCCACTCCCCACCCCTAATCTCTCCAACCTCATCTCTTTTCCCTCTGCCCTCACTCATTCAGCTCCAATTTCACTGGCTTCCTGGCTAGTTCTTTAATGGGCCAAGTATCATCCTGTATTCAGGTCCTTTGCAGCTGCTCATCTCTCTCCTGGAGTCATCTTCCCCCTGATATCTCCATGTCTTGCTGTCAGGTCTCTGCTCAAATGTCAGGTTATTAGACAGACTCTGCGACCACCCTAGTTAAAACAGCAGCCCATCAAAGTCTTTAACCCTCTTAGCATTTACTCAGATTACTTTTTCATTTAGCATTTATCACCATATATTTACTTATTTTTCTCTCTCCTCCTGTACTCCTTGAAATATGAGCTGCACAAAGGACAAGATTATTATTTTGTTCTATTCTAAGCATCTAGTGTACTTTCTGGCAGACTGCAAATGAAAGAAAGAATAAATGAAAGCATGACTTGTGTTTTATTGCACAGGAAGCAGTGGCTGGGACAAGCTGTGGAAAAAGTACGGATCACGCTTTCCCCAGGATGACCTCTGCCAGTATATCACATCAGATGACCTCACTCAGATGCTGGACAACCTAGGGCTTAAGTATGAGTGCTATGACCTTTTGTCCACCATGGATATATCTGACTGCTTTATTGATGGTAATGAAAATGGAGACCTGCTTTGGGATTTTTTGACTGAAACCTGCAACTTTAATGCCACAGCACCACCTGATCTCAGAGCAGAGCTTGGGAAAGATCTACAAGAGCCTGAATTTAGTGCTAAGAAAGAGGGGAAGGTTCTTTTTAATAATACTCTGAGTTTCATAGTGATTGAGGCATAACTATCAATCACAAAAGTATATTCAAAAATTATATTTTGAACAACTCGAATCACTCATTTATTTCCATATTAAAATCACAAACTCATCCATTAATGTAGATAAAGCACTGTTTGGATATGAGATGTAGCAAATTCCAATACATTATTGGACTTCCATTTGGAATCATATGGGATACTGCTGGTCTTATCCTGTCCCTCCTCCAGGTAGAGAGACCACAAGCAGGCTCAACATAACATAAGCTAGAAAAATTAGATGACTGAATTTCTATGGCATATTGATAATAAAATTCATTCCATTTGCTGATTGTCTGAAATTTTCTAGAATACTAATAAAATACATACTATAGATTCTTTATTAGTGAAGTATGCACTAATCAATACTTTGAACACAAAGCCTGTGTTACTGATTTGGCCGTTTTGTGAAGAAACATTTATCTTTGTACGTTCTTCTATTGTGCTTTCTATCTAATTTTTATTAATTTGTAAGAGTAAGCACCTTTAGAATATTAAAAATTAATTCTTTATCACATGTTGTCATTTCTTCCCATTGTGTTTTCTCTTGTAATTTTATCTGTGAATTAATAGCTTTTTGTTTGTCTTTTTGATATACTGAAGTTTTCTATTATATTCAGCCAGATTTTTTTTTAAGTCTCGGCTTCTGATACATTTTAAAAGACCTTCTAAAACCAAGGTTTTAGAATACTAACATTTTATCAAAATAATATTATAGTTTTGCTTTTTTTAAAAAATGAAATCTTTACTATGTTTGAAATTTAGATAAGTATAAACAGTGAGAACAAACTGTTTCCCCTCAAAATAATAGCCAGATGTATAAACAAAATTTATTGAAGAACAAAGAAACACAAAACTAAACCTGTTCTAGCTTAAAATGCAGCTTTTACCAGATTTCTAGGAATTGGGTAAATGCAAGGTTCTAGAAAACCTTCAATGCATTTTGATACTTTATAGTTTCTTATGTCACTCTCAAGAACTCCTATAAGACCAAGAGTCATCTTTGGACTGTAGGATTTCAGGGGGGTTTTGAAAACAAATTTGATGTTTCTTATTTTTAATAATAACGCTCTGTTATTTTTGACATAAACAGTACATTTAATAATTAATAAATAAATATTTTAAGTATGTAAATAATTAGTACTCCCTGTCACAAACAAAACAAAAGTAAGGTTTTACTAAACAGCTCATGAGCCCTCATTCTGCCAGTGAGGAAGCCTTCAACCCCGTGTGATACTCACTCTTTCATGCAATAGGGCTTCCATGTAATGTTGCCGTATAATCACTTTAAAAAGTTAAACGACCCATCTCAATCACCTAGTTTATCCCCAGGGAATACACTGGCATAGAGAGCCTATTTACACTAATAAACTACCAAGCTTTGTTGTTCATAATAAGTAAAATGGACTTGCATTGCTCTCTTTTTTGGACAACTTCATCAATGCTTTTTGAATTATATGTTTCAACAAATGAAACGACAGTTATCCAATCAGATTCCTGAAAATGAACACTGAACCGTTAATCATACTGATATGTACTACTGACAAAGGAAATCTGTGAGGCACACATGATTGATGGGTATGGGGCCATGAAGACCTTGAAGAGCTTCACCAGAAGTATGGAAATCAAGACTTTACAGAGTCTTTTGTATAAAGCACACGTGCAAAAACAAACAAAATTAGAACTAACAATGCTATTGAAAGATACAAAAGAATTGCAGTCCATAGATTGGTGTTTGTAAATATGGCCTTTTTCTCGTCCTTATTAAACCCTTAGTATACAAGGATAAATAAATTCTCACCTGCTTAATTTTAGTGCAATTGAAACACATAAGCCTTTTTAAAGAGAGAAATTCCCATGAAAACCTACTAGTCAGCAATGGGAAGTTGTATAAATTCAAGGGATAAACCTATCCCTGTTTTCTTCCTGCACTGTATGATAATACCAAAATTTGGGACAGTCACATACTAACTTTTCAGATTTGTTCTTGTGTTTCAGAAAAAAGTGCTCAGCATGAATTTGGAATGTTGTTTTATGTATTGTTGTGGATCTCTCAGTGTTTAACATGGTGCCTTGCATATGGTAAATGCTAAGTAAAGCGGGATCAATGAATTATTTCCTTCTCAAACATTTATCTTATACCTTGTGTGTTCATATTATTATTATAAACAGAGCTCAAGAAACCCAATAAAGTTATGTGTTGCCAGTGTAAACCTTAACTTATTTAGGACTCTTTCAGACACTTTTTTGCATGTATTGTTGGGGCATATTGCCAAAACCCAAAGAGAAAGCATGATGTGGAGCACAGCATTTTAGGGCTTGATATTTGCTTATTATAAAAATTGGTGACTTTTTTATGGCCCTGCCATTCTGGGCCATAAAAGTTAAGTAATTTCTAATGCACAACCATAAAAAGAGATGCAAGGGCCATAGGAGAATACTAGATCTTAAGTCTGTGGAACTGCACAGACCCAAATGTATATTTAATGTATTTTAAATGTTTGTTTAATGAGAATAGCTGGCACATAATACTTTATTATTGAAATCATATTTATATGTCACCTCATCAGAATGTTACTTCTAAAAAAATGTGGGCTTCTTGCGAAGTCCCACAGTGGAGTGAGTGGATTAAAATAACCTTGTTAAATAAAGCTGTAGAGCCAGACTTACTGGGTACAAATTCCGGTTGTATTAATTACTCACCAAGTGACATTAGGTAACTTATTTTCTCTCTATTCTCATATTTCTTCATCTACACAATGAAGTGAATCATAGTATCTACCTCAGAAGATGGTTACGAGAAGCCCAGGAGTTAAGCTTCATAAATATGCACATAAAGCATTAGACTCATCAGGAATACTCAAAAATATTAACCACCATTGTTATTAGTTACTCATGGAAACTCAATACAAAATGCAGAGTAAATAAAAAGTTTAAGGAAAATTACAACTAAGGCCAGAGAGCTAGTACTTGTAGGAGCCGACCTAGTTTCTGACCTTGTGATTCTTAGCCACAGGAAGATGGCCTCTGTGTCTTTCAGAGCTAAGCTGGTCCTCCAAGAGACTCAAGGTGCCATCAGGATTCCACCATCCAAGCCCCACCTTAAGGGATCTGCCTCCCTGAGCTATCCATGCTCTAAGTGCCTGTGCTCAGTACTATGTGAAATGGCCCCATCTCAATCCTGCCTGATGAGACTATCCAGCTGGCACATGGATAGAAACCTATAGGCAGAAATTGATGAAACAGTCTTTCTGAAAATTATGAAATGCATCCATCAAAAATTCTCTTAAAAATGTGAAATTACAAATCTGGGGCAATGAGACATTCATTCACTTATTCGTGATATGTACAATTAATCAATATTTATTGAGTACCTCTTTGGTGTGAGGGAGTTTTCTAAGCAAAGGACATATCACAGCAAAACAATAACAACAACAACAACAACGAAGTTCCAGACCTCAGTGACCTGATTTCTAGTGGGTGAAATAGGCAAAAAATAAATATATGCCAGAGAATGATAGGTGGTATTAAGAAAATAAAAGTAAATAAGGGGAAAAGAGTACCAGATGGGGAAATATTAAGTGGAGTGATCAGGGAAGCTCTCTTTGAAAGAACAAGATTTGAACAGAGATTGAAATGCAGTGAAGGAGCAAACCATGCATAGAGTTGGGAGAAAAGCATTTGAAGAAGTACAAATACAAAGGCCCTGATGTGGAAATAAGCTTTACATATCTAAAGGACAATAAGAAGGCGAGGTGGCTTTCTATAGTAGCTGAGCTGAAAGGTCCTAAGATAGATTCAAGTCTAGAGTTGCCACTGTGGGCCACATGTGGGAGGACCTCACTGGGATGCCATGGTTTGAAGGTGAGGCATGGAACCAACTTGCAGAGAGAATGAGAGATGCCAGGAGTCTAAGACCACATGGCCTTTGAATGGGAGATGAGCTTTGGCTGTCTCAAGGAAGGGTTCTTGCAGTTTCTATTCCCATCTGTGTCTAACCTGAACAAATACCATTTTACTCCAGGTATCCTTGTGGGTGTCTGCTTCTTGCCTCCCAAATGTCTTAGGTAGAGCAAAATAGAAGATCTTATTTGGTTGTTACCTCATGAATTAGAAAGATTATTTATTATTATCCTATTTCATAGGTGAGGAAACTGAGATACTAATACACTGAATAATTTAACCCAGCTCCCAAAGCAAGTTGATAACAGGAAGTTAGCCAAACCCTATACCTGCCCGGCCGACTCACACTGTATGTCTGCATATTGGGCAAGTTAAATATGTGATCTTCATTCATCTTAGATGCGGAGTATGACTTCATAGAACTAAATCACCTTTGCCCCCAAATATCCACTTGTACATTGAAGGGGACCTGATTATAAAAGGGAAGAAGAAGCAATCAGAGGATCAGAGTACTATGAAAAAATCACCTCCTTGAATAATGAGATAGTACTCTTTCTAAATACTACACTTCAGTAACAAGTTCATTTTAAGCTTGTCATAAATATCTGATTTTTCCATCCCATTGCCTTAACTTTTGCCTGTATTTCTCTGCCTCACCTCCTACCAGGTCCCAGACATCACCAATTTCATGTTTAAATTATCTGTCATTCATACCCTAGCTCCCCTATGATTCATAAACTGTGCAATACACATCCATAGTACATGATCAACTAATGCAGGATAGTTAAAGCTAAGGATCATGTAATCCATTTCTCAGTGTGATATACACCATAAAAAGGCAACTGCAGTAAAAGGGGGGTTGATTTAAGGGCTCCCTGGGTAACGACAGTCACAATTTCTAAATGTGCCAAAAATTAATTAGGGCTCTGAGTCAGATTGTAGTAATCTCTGTGGCAATGGATTAATAAATACAGCAAGACGCCGTTCTGGAGGCTGCACTGACACATGGGGATACTCTGTATAAGCAGTGCCTTTCCATGATCATATTCTTCTCTTGAAGAATTATCTGTGTTTCCTGGCTTGTCTTAATGATACTTGAAGGACTTTGCAAACAACCTGCTTAGGATAGAAAATGTTGAAATAAATCACAGGGGCCATGAGGTATAGTCCAACCTTGGTGAGTTCTCCAAAGACATTTGCTATAGAAGATGCAGAAAAGTGTCAGTACCTTTATTTATGTTCTACAGCTAACTAATTTCATGCTAATTTCATTTCTATACTGTGATTCCTTTTTCTGCATGTGTTGATATATGGGTTTCATGAGTTAATTCTCTGGTTTTCAATGCAGGCAGACTGGACATAAATCCCAGGGTTTTGTAGAAGAGGCAGTTGCTCCATGCTGCTTATTATCAGCAGGAGCACATTGCAGCCTTAGCTTATTTATCAAGATATTGCTGCCTCATGCCACACATTTCCCAACAGACTTCATCTACCCCACAATAGCCTTTAATGGAAGGTGCATTACCCTCCTTGTGGTTTGTTTATAATTACTTTTATTTCTCCAGGACTGATTGGGAGAGGAGTTTGGACTTATTCTTCATTGTATAAGTTACCCAGGCAAGGAAATTAGCCAGGGCTTACTGCTCCAGTAGAAGCCTCATGGGATGGATATGTTTGGGCAAGGTTGGCAACTTATGAGTTTCCCATCTGTGTGTCCTAGGAATGGTGGAGCAAAAACTGGCTCTTCAGCTTGGCTGCTTCCCTCTGTTTTCTTTGGCCATTCTAATTCATAGTTTCCAGCTTGAAAAAGAGTTAATCATGGAGGAAGATTCTTTGCTAAATAAAACAGACCATAAGGGATTTAAAAGACCCCATTTTAATAATAGTTAACATTTCTTGAGGGCTTATTACGTGTTGTGCTCATGTTAAGTGTTTATAGGCATTATACAACCTAATCCTCATAACAAGCTTATGAGTGAGTTAGTTACAATTTCTATTCCAATTTCACAAAGAAGGAAACTGAGGTTTAAATTATATATTAAATTATATAATGTGTACCTCATTCTTACATCTGGTGGAGCCAGAATTCTAATACACACGAATTAACCCCAGGGACCATGTTCATAACCACTACATCTTGCTGTCTTTAATAATGTTGACCTTCATTGCCTCTCTGTCCCTTTTCTTCCTCTTTAAGTTTCATATAGGAATTATCTCCTAGCTTCTTAATTTTTATCCTATTTCCCAGGGACGGATCTCACCTGGTGACTCTAGCATAAAGATAGTACCTGTTTGACTTGATCAACTTTGGCCCAAAATATATTATCTTCAAGAGGCAAAATATATTATCTTCAAGAGGCAAAATACATTATCTTCAAGAGGCTACTCCTGTATGATTGTGGCTTGGTCTCTTGGGCAAGAGAGAACAATCCCAGTAAACTGATCCATTATTTTGACCTTGTATAAACATATCCTCAGTTACTGAGCATCTGATAACAAAAGCCTTTTTAACAGCAATATTGAGCCCAGTGTGGCTCCAGCTGGACAGAGTCATTAGGTGAGGTGGCAGAGACTAGCCCCCTCTGCCTTCCTTCTATGGTAATAGAGTGTCAAATTTTTAACTAGGTACAAGCCTGCCCAGATAAGACTACATTTCTTATACGCCCTTGGAGTTTGATATAGCCACATGACTAAGTTCTAGGCAATAGAATGTGAGAAGAAATAACACAATTTGTGGAACATGATGACAAAGAAAGAGATATATTCTCCTCTTCTACTTTTTTTCCTTCTGGATGGCTGGAATGTGGTAGTCAGCTATGCCAGACCATGCAGACAAGGACAGCAACACCCTAGGAAATGTGGAGAAACAAGGTAAAAGGAGCCACATCCCTGGACCTGATGGAGCAGAGTTGCCATTTTGGGGTGGACTACCTACCCTCTGAGTGTCACCTGAGAGAGAAAGGGCATTCTACCTTGTACATACAATGTTAACTTTTTTAGAGTAATAGCAACTGAAACCATGCCCAAACTACCATAGGTAGCTTAATTTGACCCACATATTTCCCATCTGTTTCAGAATCTTTTTTTTTAATCTGCAAAGGAAGCCACAAGAAATATTATGAAAATGGTAAAAAAAAAAAAAAACCTTGGAAAATATAACATAAGTTATATTGAGGGTAGGAAAGTGGATGACTGCATTGGAAGAAAAACATTCTTTCAAATGGGGCCAAAATACCAAGATGAGAAGTGCACTCATCTTATCAGTCACCTGAGTCCTAGATATTTAATCTGCATTATGTCAAATACCCAAAAGATGAGCAGATGACTTAGTCATTCATCATGGTATTTAGTTAGATTTCAATAAAACATAAAAATATGAACATTAACAGATTCTATGAATGGTGCCCATGCACTGCTTTTAAAATTTCTGTGGACTGAAGAATGACCTGGGTGGCTTTTTAGATATGTAAATTTCTTGGTTCCGTCCCAAATCTGAACCATGTGTGCAGTTCAGGAATCTGTCTTTGTGAACTGACCAGGTGATTTTCTGGCTCACCAAAACACCTAAACCTGCAATATATTGAGGTTTGGAAAGAATGTTATAACAATAAAAAATAGTAATAATTATAGAAACATTAAAATCATACTCTTACCTATCTCGACCAGTATTTATCAAATTGCTGCAATTAATAATAATATTATCCACAGTGAATTGAGTACTTATATTTGCCAAGGACTATATAAAATTCTTAACGTATTATTTCATTTTGTTTTCACAATAAAAAGTCAGTCTTTAAAATTATTATTATTTTTCAGAGGAAGAGTCTGAGGTTTGATAGGTTTAGATAGACTTGCCCACAGTCTAAGCTAAAACGTGATAGCGTGGGGCCTTTTCTGGATTTTTCTCCCCCACAGTCCAGGTGTTTAACTCTTAGACAGGAAGGTCTTTCATGGAATCTTGGAGCTGTCATCATTCAGAGAGAAAAATCATGGCTCAAAGGTTATTCAAGTAAGCAATAGTGAGCACACAGGTGTTCAGAATGTCTGTACCTGCCATTTGCAAGATGTCATATAGGATCTGTGAAAAGACATGAGTTCAGGGATTAGAAGAAAAGAGAGAACATAAAAACACATTTTCTGAGCTAAAAGGCCAAGCTTCGTATAAATCATTTTAGCAATTTTAAACAAACACACACACACACACACACACACACTTTAGAGATGTAAAAATGCTTTCAGCGGGTTCCCAAGATTGTGATGACTCTAGTTTCAGAATTTTAAATTCACCATGATTTAATAAAATATTGTGAATTGTTTCAATTTTATAGTTTAATTTTACCGATTTTTTTTTGTCTATGTTTGGCTAAGTTATGGTTAGCGTTTTTCAATTTTTTTTTTTTTTTTTTTTTTTTTAAGCTGGAGTCTTGCTCTGTCTCCCAGGCTGGAGTGCAGTGGTGCGATCTCGGCTCATTGAAACTTTTGCCTCCTGGGTTCAAGGGATTCTCATGCTTCAGCCTCCCTAGTACCTGGGACTACAGGTACACACCACCACCCCCAGTAGATATTTTGTATTTTTTGTAAAGATGGGGTTTTACCATGTTGGCCAGGCCGGTCTCAAAATCTTGACCTCAAGTGATCAGCCGACCTCAGCCTCCCAAAGGACTGGGATTACAGACATGAGCCACCACACCTGGCCTACATATAATATCTGTGTGTGTGTGTCATACACACCCAGACATAAAGACGCACACAAATCATTTATATATGTACTTCCACATTTGTATCCCAGCTGTCGATCTCTACAGTGACAGAAAGCATGATGTGGATTACAAATTCATTTTAAGATGAATACTTGTGCATTTTCTTAATTTAAAATAATACTTGCATAAGCAAGACACCAGTATACATCAAATTTTAATGGGGTCCTTAATTACAAAAGGAAGTTAAACAAAGAAATTAACATACAAGATGTCACATTAAACTCAAAGACATCAATGTATTTTATGCTTTTGTTTTATAGCAAGAGTTCTGAACCAATGGTACTACTAGGTAGAGGGAAAAAAAGTCTTCACTTTCAATAAAAATAAAAATGCTAGAATTAAATAGATTAATATCTAATTTTATACCTTCATTTATATTATGTGCAAAATTATCTTAAATATTTGTTATGGATGAAGTGGCTTTCTACCAAATTGAGCCTTTTCATAGTAGAAAATGTTAACATAAATTGTAGCATAAATCATTGCCTCATAGAATACCAGAAGGCGCATATAAAAACCCATATCTTTACTGCACATATTTCCCATTAACCATAATCTATTAGTAATTGAAGTTCATTACAAATTCTTGTAGACTTTATTGCTATCATGCAGCATGACATACTGGACCTGGCTTGCATAACAAGAAGTCCTTGCTGGGAAATATCCTATTAACAATGACAGTGCATTTGTCATTGTGATAATAAACCCGAGAGCTGTCTGTAGACTATAAATTATCAAGGCGCCATTTGTGCTGCCCTGGCTTGAAGGTTTGTCAGTGTTTCCATTTTAAACCCTTGATTTTCAGTGAGTTGTAACTCAACTATCGTAATCTGCAGTGAGCTGCAACTTTACATCCAAAACAATTCTTAAATATGACTTACATTTTCCAATCAGGAAGAATAGAGGTCTGCTGGCTTGAGCACAATAGTATCAAAGAGATCTGTAAAACATAACACTTTCGGCCAAGAAAAATATGTTTATATCTGGTCCAGAATACCTATGGATATTTAAAATCAGAGTTTCTAATAGTTCCTTTTTTATGCCTTAAAAGGACATTATTTATCTTTTTGAAGGGTAACAACTAAAAGCAAATGTCAGGCCTTCAAGGTAACTACATATGTCAGGGGATTTTTCCTTTCATGCAAGAGCCTCCATTTCCATCCCTTTCAGATTAATAATTTGAAAAATAGAAGAATTTACATGGAGCAGTGAGACACATTGCTGTCAAGGGAAAGGAACATTTGAGAAGCAGATGTATATTTGAAACAGAAATAGTAATGACCATGTAAATAGATGTGCCTTTGGCTTGGAGGTGAGCTTTACCAGTCTGTGACATTTCTCAGCCAAGGAGCTGGAAGCCAGCAGAACCAGAAAATGCTTTCTGCATTACATAATGGACTGGTTCCACAATCTGCAATCGTTCTTACCTCAAATTGGGGTTGCAGACAATTACAATTACTTGAAAAATTTCCCCAATTCCCAAATTAAGGGCATTCACTTCTATGGATACACTGACAGCAACTAAAACTCTCGAGTCTCAAGTTTCTATAGAGGGTGATGAATTGATCTGAGCGCTTGGACACCAGTTGCATACAAGCCTGGATGCCAGGTACCACATGAAAGGTAAAAGTGAAGAAAGAGACTGGTTTCAGCTCTCAGAGAGGTTGCTAATTCCTAAGGAAGACTGACAAGTAAGAATACAAATATTATACAAGACAGAGTGAGATGTAAATGCAAAATTGAGCTATAAAAAGTACTTGAGGAAAGGTAAAGCGATTAATTTTTACTGGAGGCCTAAATAAACAGACATCATGGACAGGACACATTTAAGCAGGATCTTCAAGAATTTCATCTTTTTAGAGACCACCATACTCCCCGCTTCCACCCCTCACCCCATCATGTAACACAATGCCCTTTCCTGGGATGCATTACAATGTGAGGAGAATAACAAATTCGTACTATAGGAATGACCACTAGCTTGGATAGGGTGGACTAGCAGATACTTGCCCAACTTCTAACAATTACAAATACAAATTCATTGTCAGAGTATACCAATTGCTTAGAGTGATTGGGAACAACCAAAGTGTAGCCAGCTAGAATAAACCTTCTTTTATTTTAGGGAAATCCTAATGTCTGGGTCCTTCTAGCCCCCTTTTAATGAGACAATAGGACTTCAGTTTTACTCAGTCATTAAGTGAGGGAAAACACAGCAAATATTCATTATACTGAATTTATTCTCAAATGTGTTAAAAAAAAATCAAATAGTTCAGACAATACTAAATCAATGCTTTGGGTAGATAATTTACTGAGACTACATACAAAATCCCAAATCTGTGTCCCAGACACTATGCTAAATGATTGCAAATCATGAAGTAGGTTTTAATATTTCCATTTTATAGAATAGGAAAGTGATACTTAGGCAAATTGCAAGTTCTGAGACAGGTTATGATTTGCCTAATATTAAACAGCTATTCGGAGGTACCACAGAAATTCAAACTTTGGCTTACTTACTGCTTGGGCAATACCATGATCTCTAGCTGCCATTTACTTCCATTGTTGTCTTTTAGTCTCAAATAATAAATTAGAGAGAGCATTAAGAATGTTAGTTCTCGCCCTCTAAAACTTAGTTCCTATTACCAATTAACTATATTTCAATTTTTTTCTTCTCTTTCTGAAATAATTTCATTGGTGCTCTTCAGATATGTACCACCCTGCTTCAATTTTATCCTCAAGAGCTATTTCAAAAACAGTGATTTCATGTCTAACTAAAAGCAAAATAGGCCAGGCGCGGTGGCTTATGCCTGTAATCCAAGCACTTTGGGATGCCGAGGCGGCCAGATCACAAGGTCAGGAGTTCGAGACCAGCCTGACCAACGTGGTAAAACCTCATTTCTACTAAAAATACAAAAATCAGTGAAGCATGATGGTGCATGCCTATAATCCCAGCCACTCAGGAGGCTGAGGCAGGAGAATTGCTTGAACTCAGGAGGTGGACGTTGCAGTGAGCTGAGATCACGTCACCGCACTCCAGACTGGGCGACACAGCAAGACTTCATCTCAAAAAAAAAAAAAAAAAAAGGTAAAATGAGTAAAATGTTATTTTCTCATAAAGTTTATTGATTCTGTCAAAATTATATAATATTCTCTGACTTATTTAGAACAAAATTTGTAATTCAGGATCCAATTCTCATTTGAAAATAGCTCTGGTATTTGGGACAATCATGCATATAAAATTTGCTCACATTTAGATAAAAGTTCCGCCACTTTAATTTCAAATTCCACAATGTTCTTGGACTCTTTTCTTCCCATGTTAGCATCTTTGCCATTTGGATATGGCTATCTGTTAATTCACTTGCTTTCTTTTCAAACTCCTTCCTAGTGCTCTAATAAATCACATTTTTTTTCTATCAAGTTTAATGTCCTTTCATAGTGGTGAACATGACTTGCAGAGTACACAATGCACTGAAAGATTCTCAGCAAACAAAGTATGGTCATTTTGATTCCAAATGTTTGCCCAGGCAACAGTTTGCCATTTGGAACCAACCCGAAAGCCAGCAAAAGCATGATGGGCCATCTGCTCATTCTTCCTTTCTCATTCTCAAGAATTTAAAACAATTATTTCCATTCATATAGCTTTTTACTTTCAAAGCATTTACCAATTGCTGTGCATATAATTTCATTTATCAACTTAAGCTTTCCACTAAAATAAAAATAGATAATTCAGGAGAAAGTGAAAATCTACCATGTGTCTTATCCAGTGATATCACCATTTTTTTTTTTCTTTCATGGAGAACCAAAGAACAGGGACATCAAATGCCCCTCAGTGATAAAGCACATGACTTCAGTAAGTAATGTTTTGCTTTCCCTGCCCTGGCCGAGTTCCTATGCCCTCATGAGCTAAAGATGGTTCAAACTCAGAATAGGGAGGAGAGTAATTGGAAAAACAAGAATGTTAGATATAAGAGAGAACTATTGCTTGCCGTTGAGGGTTGGGGAGAGAACATATGCTCAACTTTATGCCAAATATGTGCAGTAACACAAAAGTCCATTTTAAATTTAGAGATCTGATAGTACAGCATATCTGGGTTCCATGCTGGGTGAAGCCCAGGAAGATAGCAAACTTCACGGAGAAATCTTTCTGTCATCACGGGCAGCTACTGTAGAGTAAAACTGTCACTTCTAATATTGCGTAGCCAAGCCTGAAGGAGAAGGAAGGGGCCACAGAGGACACTACACCCCAAGCTGTGTATTTCTACAGGCTCAAGTGTGTCTGAGACAGCATTCCAAAGATTCCTCCCACTGTACCTACTGCCACCCAAATGGGTGCTGTGAAAGGTCTGAGAGGACACTGGTCCTCAATGGATCTCGTATTTATGATGAGGAAATGCAGCCCTAGAGGGCAGGACTGCTGGGGTACCCTAAACTCTCTAAAGTCCTTTTCTGATCACATCTTCTAACTATCCTCACTTTGTAAAATTCTTCCATTGTGAATTTTAAAAGTTCTTGTCTATTATCATTAAAAACATCGGTATTCTCAATCCCCTATGTTCCAGAACCTGGCCCTGTTTTGAGGATACCATTTTCCCCATAGCCCTTTCAAATGATAGCTCTTAGCCCATTGCATTGTCATGTGCTGTGCTTGAAGGAAGGATGGTGTCCTCTTATCTCTTCATTGTCATTTCCTTCCTATCTTCTCTTCTTTCTCCATGAAAAAATCGACTTTGAATCTCAGGCCATCAGGCTATCCCAAATACCAGTCCTCCTTGTTTCTGTTATTAACTCATACTTGGAGACCATTTTCTCTTGATTTTTGAGGATTTTTGATCCTGGCTCATTGTCACTCTTTTTATACCACTCCTGCTTTTTGGTAATTTCAATTTCCCTCCAACCTAATGTTACCCTGCTAATATCCTGGCTTCTAAGTCACTGACCTCCTTTCTTCCTATGTTCCTCTCATCTATGTTTTCCAGCCATTCGCTCACATTTGCTCTCTTGTCTTACCCTAACCATGTGCCCTCCATATTTTCCATTCCCAGTATCACATTCTGCTATGTTTCCAGCCCACTCCCTCCAGGAACTCCTCTCCAACCTCCCTTTGACCTCATCAGAATCTACAATTTCTCCATGATATCAATGTTACACTTTTCCTGGCTTGCCTTCAATTCAATCCTCTTTTAATCCAGCTTAAATTCTGGTGACCAATAATTATAATCCCTCCCTTGCATGAATTTTTTGTCACTCTCTCACTTCATCATAGGCAAAAACACAGCCCTACTTAAATCTAACTCTTTGTCTACTCCATGCCTGCAACTGTGCAACTGAATACGACTGAAGAAAAGCGTAAAACCGTGATGAATGGCCTCACTTTAAATTCATGACCACTAATCTCAAGTGGGCTCTTAATGTTAACTGGAAAATATATTTCCATATCCATTTCTCTCCCACTCTACCAGTGGAGTATGTCATATTTTTAGTTCTTTCCTTAAATCTTTAATACCTCTTCCCCTATCCTTATTAGTTGATGACTTGGTTCCTTCTTCTCAGCAACATACTTTACTGATAAAATAAAAGCAACCAGAAAAGAACTTCTGCAAACTCCAGCCACATCTACTCGCTTGCCTGCACCTGTACCTATTATACTCTACTTTTCCTTCTGGTACTGATATGGTTCCGATGACTGGAGGAACACCAGTGTTCTTAGTCTCATACCGATTTTGATAAAATGACACAGACACACATGGAGTGGTTTTAAGGAGCAGAGAGTTTAATAAGAAAGAAGGAGGAAGCTCCCCCATACAGAGACAGAGGGAGGGGAACTCCAAAGCTGAAAGAGGAAACTCTGTGTGCTGTGGAAAAGTGGCTGCTTATCTAAGGAGGCTGGAGGAGGAAGTGACTGATTTGTATAGGGCTCAGGATATTGGTTTGACTAGGCATGGTAGCCGGCAAAAAAATCTGGCCCTCCCACTCTAGCTTTTTAATATGTAAATGCAGGCCACCATGATGTTCTACCCACGTGGGGATATATGGGGGCAGCCATGTTGCCAGGCACATGTTGGGCCAAGGGCAAGAAGAATGCAGGAATCACCATGTTTGGGTGGACCCAGTTTCTAATGGCCAGCATGGCCCATCTAAGAGCTGGGGCTTTCCTGCTAGACAACAAACATTTCTGGAGCTGCTTTAAAAGAAACAAAAACTTCCCAAGGAACCCTTTTCCTCTCTATCTGCCAAAAGTAACTTCTTAATAACTCCTATAACAGTACCATAGATGCAATGTCCATGCTTCTAGCTGATGTGAGTGTCTCTACTTGTGCACCAAGTCCCAACTCCTCTGTGCTGTCTGAAGACATCACGGCAGCAATTATCCCCTCTTTTTCCCAAACCATGATTTTCTCTTCTCTATTAAGTCTTTTTCACCAACATAATAACTTGCTTTTTATTCTTCTACCTTCTTTTTACCTCTACTTCATTCTCGAGCCACTATTTATTTCTGCCTTTCCCTTTACAGAAAATTTCCTGGAAAGTGTTTTCTATATTTGCTGGGATTCATTTTCTTTCATAATTCTTCCTTGATTCCACCCCATGTTTTCTCCACACCACTCCATTAATGTTGCTCTTGGCAGCCCCATCAGTCTGCTCTTGGCAGACCTCAGATCCAGTGGTAAGTCCTTGGTGCTCAACTTATTCCATCTACTAGCAGTATTTTACATGTTCTATCTTGAAACACATTCTTCAATTGACTTTCAGGACACCCCCACCCCTGATGTTTTGCCTCACACCTCATTTGCCACTACTTTTTAAACTTCTTTTTGAGTTTTTCCTCATCTCCCTGACCTCTTAATGGTGGAGTACCAAGGACTTCATTTTGGAATTTTTATTTTCCTGTTTATGCTCACTTTCATTCTCTTGGGGCTTTACATACTGCTTAAGTACTGTTGATATGCTGACAACTCTAGAATCTCTCTCTCTCTCTCTCTCTGTCTATGAATTCTAGATTCATAGAAGCAACTACCTATGTCACATCCCCTGTTAAATGTCTAATAGGCTTACCAAGTTTAATGTGTCTAAATATTAAGCTTCTGATCTTCCTGACCCCAACCCCAAGCAAATATCTTCTATCTCATCTTTGCCCCATTTCAAATAATGCCATTCTTCCAGAAACTCTGGCCAGAAACCTTGAATTCTTCCTGGAGTCCTTTCTATTTCTCACATCCTATCCCAAAATGATGCTAAATCTTTTCCACCTCTTTTCCTGAATGTCCTTTACCCAGAAAACCCATGACTCTCTTCTTCACCTCCATTGGATTTTTACTTAAATGCCACTCTGAGGCCTTCCCTGACCTTGTATTTAAAATTTCAACCCCCTATTCTCAACACGTACTATCCACTTCCCTGCATTATTTTTCTCTGTTGCATATATCCCCACTAAAAAAAATGTTATTTATTTATTTTGTTTATTGTCTGTTTGTCTCTCCCATCCTTCCACTGCAATATTATACATTCTTTGAAGACAGGACATTTTTTTTATTTGCTTACTGCTCTATCCCCAGTACCTAAAACAACACAACACATGGTAGGAACTCACTAATAGTTATAGAATGTGTTAGGAATACCTCTTTCAAGTAACCATTTTGAGGCTTGCATCCCCATCACCCATCCTGAATATCACAAGGTTTCTTGTCTACTCCATGAGCGATAGGACCCCTTTGCTTTCCTGCTGAGAGTGAAGCAGTTCTCAGAGGGGAAGCCCAGTAATGTACTCTTGCATGAAAGAAAGCCTGTGGTTTTGATGTGTTAAGGCCTTGGGTATGATGGTTTGCTAGCATTAAGGTGGTGGTGAATAATTCCCTTCCTTCCTGCAATGCAGCATTTTGGGAGATAACAACATCTTATTTTCAGTCTGAATCATTTCTCATGACCTGTTCATTTTTAGCCGCATGCTCATTCTTCTGTATACCATAGTCATAGGTTTTTGTTCATCTCTGCACTGCCCTGCCCCACCCCACCCACCTTTTCTAAAGTCAGCCTCGATCAGCCAGGGTCCCACTAGAAGTACAGAACCCACTCTGAGGAGTTAAAACAAACACAGAGAATTGTTTCCACAGCTATATAGAATGCAGGGAGGATGCTGAGAAAGCATCCAGTACAGAGGGAGGCAAACCAGAAATGAGTGATGGTAGGAAGCTCCTACCCTAAGTCTGAAGGGACCAGAAGGGAGTGTTGTTACTGGAGCACTGGGGTGACAGTCACCTGGTGAAAAATGGAATCAGGGCAGTTCATCACAGGGTTTTCTGGAGACCCAGAGGAGAAACAGTGGCTCCTGGGAATCACACCCTAAATGCAGAAGAGGGAATTTCTCCCTCCTTCCCACCCACATCCAATCTTCCATTAGTACCTTTCTTGGCATAGGATCCTGGAAAACACAGTCTGCAGGGGTCAGCTAGCCTTCTCCCTCCACTGCTTCCCCACCCTTTGTGATACATAGCAGAGCAGGGGGAAATTTGAGAAACAGATCTGAAGGTAAACAGCTCCATGAACAGGCATACAAGTTGGGATTTTGGTCATTTCTAGCAGTCAGAAGTTAATTACCCCAGAAGATCTGAAGATGCCTATAAGAATCTTCAAGATATGAAGTACAACCAAGCTTACACTTAACAGCTTGGGGTAAGGTGGTGAGGTTTTGTTGTGGAGTGCTGACAGAAACTTAGGATAGTGCAGAAGGGGAGGGAGAGGAGGGCCTCCAGCTTTGAGGCTGTTTCAGTTCCCACTAGGGTCATCCCTCTCTCACTAACAGACCCATTCAGTGGGAGGTTGTGTCTGGGACTTGGGCACCAACACTCAGTTTCCCACTCACTTCCAGTGTTCACAGTTGTTGGCAAACTTCCTTCGCATTAGTGGGGCTCCGATTTTCAAGAATCCAGAAATTCTCAAAAGGGCTATTAAGCTATTAACCATAGTTCTAAAGGATCATATTGTGAAAGCTATAATTGCCTACAGTAGGTCCCAAATAGAAAAGTAAATATGAAACCTTCTTTTACAAAAAGTTAAATGATGGGAAAGAACTACTTTTGATTAGTTCTTTGATTAACCTTTATCTCTTGACTCATTATCTGAGTAGAATCACAAACTGAATCGCAAACTGAGTAGAATCACATGACTTTCTGGATGGAACTGTTCATATATTGTCATCTACCTGCAAAAATAGCAGGTATACCTATTACATCTCCCACCTAATAACAGATTATTTTACAGCTACTTTTTATTTAGTTAAATCTCAGCATTGACAGCTGGGTGCAGCCAGGAGATGAACACAAGCTTAGGGGAATCCTAAAGAAGTTGATCATGCCCTACTTGTTCAATGCCGTTTTACCAGCCCAAGGCAGATCCAAGTTGGGGGAGATAAAAAGCTTTAAATAGTATAAGTCAAAGATATTAAAAGTGTGGATGTTTCACTGGATTGGAATTTTAATATCTGAGAGAAGCTGAAGAAGCAATAGGATTACCCAGTGTGGAGGATAATGAGTTAAGAGATCAAGGTTAATAGAAAATTGTTTTCTGCTTTCATACACCAAATCCAGCTCATTCAATAGTTAGGTTTTTCAGAGAACAAATAACCTTGTGGATTGTGATTACCGTTGTGAACAAGGTGAGATCAGAAGAGGTCTCTTTCAGGCAATTGTCCTTGAACCTGAGCCCTGAGTGATGAAAACAAACAAAATTAAACAGAGACTTAGAAAAAACATTCTCAGCTGAACACAGTGGCTCATGCCTGCAATCTCAGTGCTTTGGGAGGCCAAGGTGGGTGGATCACCTGAGGTCAGCAGTTTGAGACCAGCCTGGCCAACATAGTGAAACCTTATCTCTACTAAAAACACCAAAATCAGCTGGGCGTGGTGGCATGCACTTGTAATTCCAGCTACTTGAGAGGCTGAGGCAGGAGAATCACTTAAACCTGGGAGGCAGGAGTTGCAATGAGCTGAGATCGCACCACTGCACTCCGGTCTGGGTGACAGAGTGAGACTCTATCTCAAAAAAAGAAATAGTATTCTCATCTCATTAGTGGAAATAACATGAGTGAAGGTCACAAGGCAGAAGCTTCTAGTGATATAGGAATGGACCAAAGTACCAGAAGCATCAGATGCATAGTATATCAGAGGGAGAGATCATTGGAGAGTGCATTGGAGTCAGGGGCCTAATGCCACAGTGGCTCTGAGATCTTGGCCTTGGTTTTGAAATTAGTTATAAAGGCAATAAGAAGACATTAAAGTATTTGGAGCCACCAGATTTGTGTTTAAAAAATAATAATCCTGGCTTTTCTGAGGTCAATGTATTGCTGATGAGTAAGGTGGACATAGAGGCATGTGTTGGAAGCATTTTACTTGTTGAAATAAGACGTGGTAGTAGCTTGGCCTAGAGATAGTGCCAGAAGACAGACAGGGGCGGGTCCCCCATGAAACCCTACCTTCAAGCCGAGACAGTTTAAAGCCTGGAAGCCAAGCTATGAGTCAAATCCACGTTCTGGATTGAGAGTCTCTTTTCCCATTTGGTGGCTTTCTTCTGATTGATCCTCACCCTTCACCTATTTTACATATACCTACCCTTCCCTAATTGGTTTTCTATACTGTTGTGCCCACCTTTCAGTGGTGCCTTTGTTTTAAGCTTTTTTTGCATACTCACAAACCAATCAGCACATACTCCCCATTCTGAGCTCATAAAAGCTCTGGATCCAGCTACACTGGGAGGGAGACCACCCTTGCAGATGCTGGCAGGTCAGTGCTCCCTCTGAAGGCTCTAATGGAGAGCCTTTTCTTGCTCTTCCAGCTTCTAGTCACTCCATACATTCCTCAGCTTGTGAGGAACTGAATGCTGTTCTGTCACTCAATAGAATTCTTCTCTGCCCTCCTCACACTTTGATTGTCCACATAACCTTATTCTTCTTAGATGCAGGACAAGAACTTGGGAACCACCAAACATGGGTATGAGCTGTAACACAAGTCGGCTGGGGCAGGCCCAGCCTAGCCACAGGCTAAGCACAGAACCTGCGGCGAGTGCAGGATCCAGGCTGGTGTGCAAGCCAGGTGTGACCCAGCAGGCCAAGTGAATGGGGCACCTCCTGTAGCAGGCCCAGGACTGAGCAAGGCCCAGGTGGGGATGTCACTGGCTGTGGAGGTCCCTGGCTGGCAAAGTGACTGAGAAAAATCCTGCATCACTAGGTTATTGGGAGAAGAAACAGAAAGATGGTGGATATCAGGGAGAATTGGTAGGTAGAACTTTGACCACGTAGTGTAGGATTAATTAAGAAGCTATAGTGGATGTTATTGGTGCCCTGTTCTTGCCTTCTCTCTTGGCAGATTTGCCCATTTCCCATCTGCTATGAGTGTTGGATGCTAGTTGCTCACAGCTGCTACCTTCTCTGGAGCTTTTCCCCAGCAAGATAGTAGTTGCAGTGTTGGGGAAGTTAGGTCCTACAATCTGTCACTCCTGAGGAAGCTGGAACTGACATGTGGCAACAAAAGGCCAGTCTCCTTCCTTGCCTCAAGGTGGGACGAGCTGAGTGCACAATTTGCATTCCAGAGCTTCTGTATGGGATCATGTTGAAGCTAGACTCACTTACATTTTTTGCCCAGCCCTCTCCTGTTTTTCTCACTCCCCTTCTGAGAGCACTAATTAAATAAATCACTTGACTATCACTAAATCAATTTCAATATCATAAGTTACTTGAGAATTCTTGTCTGAGCCTCTGCTTTTAGGGAACCCAACCTAAAAGAATTAATTTTCAGCAGGTTACTTTTGACATGACTATGAGGTATCCAAGTAATAACATCAAATAGGTAGATTGATATAGGACTCAACCTTAGAGAGATAGAGTATTTGGGCATTAGTAGCATGTGAATAGTATTAACAGCCAGAGGAATGGATGGAATTTCCAAGGAGGTATGTAACTAGATAGGACGGTTTACGGCTGAGCTGTGAGATCTCTGACGTTTAGAGGTAGAAGTTAAGGATTCAGCAAAAGAGAGAGTATGATGTCTTGGAAACTGAAGAAACACTATATCTAGATTTTGAGGTTGTAATAGGGTTCCATCAAATGAAATTATATAAAGTATTAGACTTACTAGTGGTCACTGACTGTCTTCTTTAATATACAATACGCAGAAAATTCAACAAATGTGATATTCTGTTAAAGAATCTTTTAATCATTGATACCTGCAAATTGATACTTTCAGAGTCTTTATAATTCTAGGTAGGGTTATTTTATGTTAACTGCACAATTAACTCATGTCATCAATGAAGGTTTTTTCATTTGAATTAAGTCCCCAGTCCCTATAAAATGAGAATTTTCCTCATTTGCTGAAGTCTTCCAATTACTTTCTAAGTTGAATTAGTAGTGCACTAAACTTTTATTTCCAGAGAAATGAGTTCAAGTAGAGGTCATCCATGCAAATGAGTTGAGTGATCTCAAACTAGCTTATAAGGGTGTCAGAAAGTTCTATCTATATTGGTTTATTTTTAAAGGCAAAGGAAAGATTAAAATATGGATTTGATGTATTTATTTAAAGTGAGATTTGAAAATGACTGTACTTTTGTCTAAATCCCAGCACCCATCCAGCTACTTATCAGGGAGCAAAGTTCATGACAGGCCTGAGAATCCCAAGATCAAGAGGCAACAAACCAAAGGTGTGAGGCGAGTATCAAAGATCCCCTGAGTTAAAGATACTATGGACAGTGGGGCTATAAATTATCAAAGTTTATACCAAGATATAAGGTTCTTATTACAACAAAACCCAAAGCTCTCAATTCTTGTTTAATCTCTGCAATATTTTGAGTTAGTTATTCTTCAGCTTAATAACGGCGCAAATTTTTTTTTTTTAAAGCTAAGCAACTGAAATAAATCATCTTGTGAAAGTTGGCTCATGGTAGTTTCACAATATACTGGTGTGGTGGACTAAATGGTGCTTCTCAAAAAAATATGTCCATGTCTCAATCTCCAGAACTTGTGAATGTGCCCTTATTTGGAAAAAGAATCTTTGAGGATGTCATTAAGTAAAGAATTTCAAGATGATATCAGCCTGGGTTATCTGGGTGTGCCTTAAATCCAACGACCAGTGTCTCTAAAACAGGCAAAACAAGAGAAGACAAACAGAAGAAAGGCACAGGAAGACAAAGACAGAGATTAGAGCTCTGCAGCCACAAGCTGAGGAATATATGGAGTGACCAGAAGCTTGAAGAGCAAGAAGAGGCTCTCCACTAGAGCCTTCGGAGGGAGCACAGGCTTGCCAATGTCTTAATCTCAGACATCTGGCCTCTAGAGCTCTAAGAGAAAAAAAACTTTTGTTACTGTAAGCCACCAAGTGTGTGGTGATTTGTCACAGCAGCTACAGAAAACTAATACAAGTAACAGCATTTAAACTGTACGATAACTATAACACAAATAATAGTAAAACATGGAACACATACTCTGTGAGAGAGGTTACTGAGCACCTACTCACATTCTACCAGCACTATGTGCTCAGAACTAGAGGCTCTTTTTGTCAGCTCAAACTTATGAAACCCTAGGCAAGATTATCCCCATTTTACAGCTCACAAAATGGGGGCTCAAAAAGGTTAAAATGTTTTCCAGAAGGCCACTACAAGTAAGTGAGTCAGTGGGGATTTGTGTCCAAGTCTGTCTAACCTCAAAACTTCTGCTCTTTCTAGTATACCATTCAGCTTCTTCCACCTGGGTCTCATTTATTTTAGGCCATTTTAAAATTACAGTAAACTGTTCTTGTAGATAGAATAGTCTTATACAAATATTGGCTGCTAGACAGAGACTTAGTGTCATTAAAGGCACCGTACTCATCTTTCTTCTTGAAAACATTTTTTTTCTGACATCCTTATTCTCTTTCTAGAGAAAGGTTGCAAGTTAACTATTGCTGAGTCAGACTCGCATCCTTCTTTGCTTAACATCATCAGAAATATTTTTAGAAAACTGAAAACAATTCAAGAGACCGACGAGTCAATCGTAAGTAGTTATCAGAAAAATAGGCAAAAGTTAAATTTGTTGGGTATGAATTCCTAGTATAAACTGTAACACTAAGTTTGTCAAAGTCTGACCTAAACTCTCAGCACATTTTGGGGATGATTGAAAAAGTTTCCCTGTTTATCATTGTCAGAAGATGGTCATTCCTTGCATTAGAAATTGCACCAAAAAATACCCTCGAAATGATAACTTCAAGGAAAATAAGATAGTGGTGTAACTACCCCTCAAAAGCCCTTCCTAAATTGTTAATGCACTCCTGGTTTTCCTCAAATAAAGTGGGCAAATTGCTGAGACTGTGAACATTTGTTATTGTCATAGCAGAAGGTAAACTATTTTCATAAATATGCAAATATCTCCTACTGGGCTTCTATAATACTTCCAGCAACTCTGCTGCCGTGTATGTCTATTTCAAATCTGATGATATTAAAAAGGAGGAGAAAATGCAGAGCATGCAGCTTGGAATTATTTCTGCCCAGGAAAGCTGGCAATTAGAGCTGGGATAGGCAAGCAGGCCTGGGATAATGGACAGTACCAAGATAACCTGCTTAATTTGATCTTCCTTGGAGCCTGAAGATGTTGCAAAGTAATGAACTTTGTTTCTGTATGAAAAAAACAAACAAACAAAAAACAGCGAAACAATAACAATCTTTTTATGATTTCACTGCTGATGTACTGAGAGGTTTGCAGTCTGTAAAAGAGCAGTACTATGAAGATCCAAGACAAGAGCCCCTTATCATTACCGGATTGTATTTGCCTATTTATTTTTTTGCAGTATTGGGGCCTTTCTCTTTACCATTCTGTGAGCTTGTGGAAGTCAGAAATCCCTGAAGGGTATTCCCTCAGGATGTCCACATGCCTAGCCACACTGTGGAAGCAGTAAGGAGAAGGTTCTCCTGAAGTGACTTAAGTGTAGGTTAAATGAATGAATGAATGAGAGAGGGAGATAGATATAATGGCAAGAATAATTTTGTCATTATATGACAAATTACTGGGGTTAAGACTGGGGTTCAGTCCTGGCTCCACCACTCATCAGCTATGCAACCTTGGACAAGCAACAAACTCTGTGCCTCAATTTCCTCACCTATGATAATGTCTGTAACTCACTAGGCACTGTACCTGGTTTATGTCAGGTATTGGATTTATGGCAGCTGTTATTAACTTCTCAAGATGGTGAGCTCCCTGGCTGCCCCAAAATAGATAATAATAAGTATAAAATGTATTATCTATTATTATACAAATTATTCTTAGTGTTGAATTATTCCTAATATTAACGTGATAAATGTAACAAAATCATGCATAAGAATCAATGGTAACACACACAAAATAAAGAATGTCAAGGAAGACAGGAATAGTTTTACAAGGAAAGGGATAGTTGACCTTATAAAATAATAAGTAGAAATTGTTGGAAATAGCCTGAGTTAAGGTTGTGGGGCATTCGGGAATTATAACTATGACTAACCATTGTAAAGATGCAGAAGCATTCCTAGTGTTCCTAGGATGGCTATAAAACCAGCTTGCCCCCAAATCTTTCCCCTGCAGATGATCCCTTTTCTTGTTGAACACAGTTTTGTCTCCTGAAATCCATCCTAGGAAGTTAGAACGCCAAAGCGCTGAGGCCTCAGAGTACACAGGTATAATAGATACAATTCTCTTTGGAAAAGACCGAATTTCCCCAGGGAAGGATAGCTGAGCATGCAGCAAGGAGAGTTCCAGGTTCCATAACACGTGCAGTTTTTCATACATTTGCCATGAAGTAGCCCTACTGAATTCCCCATGTTTGAGGGGAATATATTAACAACTAGCTTCCTACACCATTTCTAGACATCAAAGCTTCAGATCTTGAGCTCCCTTAAAGAGTTGCTGCCTCTTCCGTGTGTACATCCACATTTGGATTTGGAGGAGGGCTGGGACAGGCCCTGAGATTTCCCAAGGCAGATCTCCATTGGTGTGCATTCCCCAACCCCACTTCCCCCTTCTAATTCTGCAAATATTCAAAAGGCCCCTTTTTATGTAGAGATTAGTGAACATCTCACCCTAAAATCGAGCTTCAGGAATTACAGAAAATTTGAGCAGAAATGGTGGAGGGAAAATGTCTTCTTGTGATGAGGATTCAAAACTTGGAAAAACATTGATCTAGAGCAGGGGTTCTCAAACTTCAGCAGGCATTAGAGTCAACTGAAGAACTTTTTAGAATACAGATTGCTAGTCCTACTCCCAGAGATTCTGATTCAGTAGGTCTTGGATGGGGGTTTTAGAGTTTGCATTTCTAGCAAGTTGCAAATTATGCTGATGCTGCTGGTCTGGTGATCGGACTTTGAGAAGCAATGGCCCAGCAGGTTATGGTAAAGGAAACAAATCTGGCTGGAGAGGAGGGGGTTCTAGATTCTTAGCTTAAAGATGTCACTAATTAGTGGTAAACATTTTAAGAAATTCTACTCTCCCTCTCTGGGCTTCAGACTCTACAACTGTAATATTGGTGAGGTTGGGAGCCATACTTTTCCAGACGCCTGTGACAGAAAACTGATTCCTATTAGCTTAAAAACAAAATGGAGCTGATTGGGTAATGAACTAGAAAGTCCATGTGCAGATATTTGACTTCATGTGTGCCTGGGTTCAGCTCTCAAACAATGTCACTGGGCTTCTGTACCTTTCCGTCTCTCAGCTGGGCTTCATTCTCAGGAAAGTTCTCACCTTGCCTGACAGTGGTGCCAAGAGGACCACTAAGAGAATGTATCCTATCCGCTTAGCAGCTACAGGGAGGATCTCTCTCTCAGTAGCTCGAGACAAAAGTACTGGGGCTGGAGATCATTTCTTGGAGTGGGACTTGTGAACCAATTTGGGACGTGTTGCCCAGTCCAGGGGCATGTGCCAACTCATGAAACTAAAGGGTAGGGTAAATACAGCTTAGGCCACATGGACCAAAAGTAGGGGAGAGCTGACTCCACAGTAACACCAAGATGTTGCTATCAGAAGAAAGAGGAATGGAGGGGCCACGGCAGAACATTGTAACTTGGGGATGGGTAAATCAGATCAATTATGTTTCAACTTGTTTTTTTTTTAACCTGTGGACCAGCAGCCAAGAAGATTACTTTAAAAGGGTTCATGCTTTGAAAGTCAGCGTAAGTTTTTCTTTTTTCTCCTCTTTTGTGATACAAAATTATGTTGACTATTTTTACATGCTTTTAAAATACCACCCCCTCCCTGGGGATATGACTCCCTGGATGGGATCAGGGCAGATGTCGTTGCCAGTGAGGGAGCAGGGATTTTGGAGCCTGTCAGACCTGAGTTTAAATCCAAGCAACACCATTGACTGTGTAACCCTGAGCAAATAGCCTTGTCCTTTCTGTTTCTGTGGAATGAGATATCAATACCTATCTTCCCGGGTGATGGTGGGAATCAAATTAGGTGATGTCTATAAAGCACCTGTCCCAGTACAAAGACTCAACAGATGGAAACTACTTTTATTATTATTGCTAAACTCAGTGAGGTCCATTTGTCAAAATAGTCTTGATTCTAGCTAGAAGCTGAGGATTATTTCAGTCTATGGACACCCAGACCCAGAGAGCCAATTTGAATAAAGTCACCAATTTGGCAGACTTGGGTTTATTTTCTTCTCTTCCCAACTCACAGTGAGCACAGATATCTTTTTAATAAGGAATCTGGAGCATTTCTGGGAGTTTACAAAATAAGGTAGAAAGTAGCCTGGGTGCGATGAACATAAAAAATAGAGGGAACACAAAGGGAACCTGGAATCAGTGGGAAACTTCATTTTCTTTAATTAGCATATTTAAGTGAAGCTTAGAAGCTGCTCCTTCCCTGAAACATTGCATTTTATTAAAAGCTGTTTAGAGCTCATAACCATTCTGCTGATTTTCTCAAAACACGTTCTCCTTACAGGCCGGTGCTAAACTGTGCATATGAAATGAGCTCAGCTTAATGTTGTGTTAAAAGAATTTGGTCTCCAGAGCTGTCTCTCTTCTTAATAATATGTAATCATACTCCATCTATTTAGTTTTCATTTAACTTGCCCCATGCAGGCAATGAATCCAGTTTAATTAAATGTGCCTTTAAATAGTCGAACGGCACTCATTTGCACCTAGCAAGCCTCCCTTTCATCCTATTAAGACCCCCTCAAGATATAAAAACCCAATAAAGAGGCCATGTAAAATGTGTGTCTGATAATGCGAGGGAAGTCTGACATTTGCTCCATAATTTAGTGAAACCTGCAGTAGCTTTTGGGCACATTGTCTCAGCTGAATGGAGCCGGTGTGGGGCCTTGGGTTCTGGAAGGCTGTATCTGGATGAATCGTCATAAATAGCACATTTGGAGATGAGCTGGTGATCTTCTGGGTTGGAGCCAGCAGCAAAGGAAGTGAGGCCACTGAGACACCAAACAGTTACCCAGGGAAGCTCTCAGAGGGTCTTTAAAGAGGGCCTGGCCTGTGCCTCTGGTCATACTCTCTGGGGACAATGGGTGGATGGGGCTGCAGCTTTCCCTATTACAAGATGTGCTAAGAAGGAAGGGAAACCTATCCTGAACACTGACAGCAGAAAATTAGGCAGTATTTTGCAGTCAAGAAGGGGTAACAGTAGAATCCATAATTTTTACAGTGACCATCCTAATCTCTGAGTCCCTCAGTTAAGGACTGGATTCAGTTCAATCTAGTGCTTCATGATTCATGCAGGTAACACATTATTTCTCCAGCAACTGCCAAGTGCTAGCCCCTGTTACAGACCAGAGACACAACAAGCAGATGACAAGCAGATAATTAGATGGTGTCAGGTGGTGAGAAGGAAGAGAATACATCAGGTTAAAGGGTATGGAGGTTAATGGAGTGGGCAGTTGTAGGAGTGGGGTGCACATATTGTCAGCGGAGACCTCATTTGTTAGGTACTATTTGGTAAGCTCAGATTTGACACACTCTTGTTGGTTATGTGCTCAGGGCTAAGTTCTAGGGGCTTTTACACTGTATGTCAGAGACTGTCTACAATGCATCACTCCATTGGCTAACTTAGTTGACTGTGTTGATCGGTTGGGGCCCCCTTTCTTTATTTGTGTCCTTCTGCAACAGCATGCAAAACAGGATTTTTTCCAGTTGTTCGCCCAGGGATTTTTAAATGCCATGTTTTATTGTTCCTTATGAGTTCAATGTATGTAAGCCCTGCCCGCCTAGTGAGAAAATAAGCTCTTTAATGTTGAGAACTCAGCCTTTTAGTTGTCTATTTCCCACCCAGCAGGAGTGCCTTTTTAATACAGGTTAACACAAACTTCAAACTGTAATATGATTTAAAAATTTATATTTTGGTACTTTATGCTTTGAAAAATTGGCCTGTGTATCATCCCAATAAACCTGTGTGGTGAATAATATCTATAACATCCAACTGTGTGGTATTGGTCAAATTCATTCATTCATTTATTCATCCATTTAACAAATATGATTTCAGTTGCATGATTAATTTCCTTGGAATTCAACTTTCTCATTTAAAATTTAGGGACATTAATGCTTGTTTTGCATAATGTGAAAATGATACAGTAAATAGGTTAAATAACTACCACAATGTACATAATAGGTGCTCAATAAATAAGAGCTATTTATGAGTTCAAGCATGTGTAGGATGATGAGTGGGAGCAGGAGATATGAGACGTCATGCAAAAGAAATAGCTAGAGGCCAGATCGTGATGGACTTAAAAACCTAATTGCAATGCGGGTCACTTGAAGTATTTTAAGCAAGGAAGTGGCATGATCATATGATTATACTGGTGACTGCATAGAGAACAGATTAAAAGAAGACAAAAGCAGAAGCAGAAACACCATTTAGATGGGTGTTGCAGTGGTTCAGGTAGGGAATGATGGTGGTTTGGCTGTGATAAAGGAGATGAAGAGAAGTCAGCGGACACAGAAGGTATGGTTCAACAGTGGAATGGACAGGACTTGCTAGTGAATTGAATCTGAGAAGTAAGGGAAAGGGAAGAGACTCCCAGCTTTCCAAGTTAAGCAATCAAATGTTTTCTGAGGGAAGTAACACTCAAGGACAAATAGGTTTGCCACTTAGTTTCCACACATCACACCTAGATTCCTAATGACAGCATCCGCCTAAAGCTCAGAAGATAATGCTGAGTGAGAAAATAGATTTCCTGACTTTAATATCCCATGGTATTTAAAGCCATGGGAGGCGATGAGATCACCTGGAGAGAAACTGAAGTGTGAGAAGAGAGGAGGACTCTGGTGAGATCTCTGAAGAACTGCACAGCTTCAGGTTTGCATAAAGGAGGAGAAAGTGAGGATTGGCCAGCGGCACAGAAGAAAAATCACAGATGTTAGGAAGAGAGAGTGATTCAAAAGGAGGGTCATTTTTTATTCTGTCAAAACCATCTGAGAGGTAAAGTTAGTTGAGGGTTTAGCAGAACAGAGGTCATTGAAGACCCTGATAAGAGAAAATTCAGAAGACAAGAGGAAAAACCAGTTTGGAATAAATTTGAGAATAAAGGGGAAATAATAAAGTGGAGCTATTTTTCAGGAAAGAATTATTGAGACCTACTACATTCCAGGCACTGCTACAGATGCTGGGACTGAGCAGTCAATTGACAGTGTCTCAAGTTACTTCTGTTGTAGAGGGAAGAAAGACAATAGACATACAAATAAATATGTGATATGTCAGCTGGAAAGAATAATGCAGCATTAAGCCAGACTTAAAGGGACTTAAAGGAGTGCTGAGTGGATATGGTTGTTGTCTTACCTAGGGAGGTCAGAGAAGTTGGCTAGGGAAGTCCTCTCTCATGATGAGGTGTCGGAGCACAGACCTATAGAAAATGAGAGAGAGCATGCCCCATGAAAGTATCTGTGAAGACAATAGCAAAGACTTGGAACCAACTCAAATGTTCATCAATGATAGACTGGATTAAGAAAATGTGGCACATGTACACCATGGAATACTATGCAGCCATAAAAAAGGATGCGCTCATGTCCTTTGCAGAGACATGGATGAAGCTGGAAACTATCATTCTGAGCAAACTATCGCAAGGACAGAAAACCAAACACCACATTTTCTCACTCCTAGGTGGAAACTGAACAATGAGAACACTTGGACACAAGGCGGGGAACATCACACACTGGGGCCTGTCGGCGGGTGGGGGATGGGAGAGGGATAGCATTGGGAGAAATACCTAATGTAAATGACGAGTTGATGGGTGCAGCAAACCAACATGGCACATGTATACATATGTAACAAACCTGCACGTTGTGCATGTTTACCCTAGAACTTAAAGTATATATATATATAAAAATCTGGGAAGAGTACATTCCAGGCAGAAGAGGCAGTACATACAAGAGACCTGAAGTGGCTTCATGAATAGCATTGATAAGAAACAACAATGAACACCCAGTGTGGCTTGAGTAGAATGCATGAAGTAAAAAGGGGTAGTAGGTGAGGTCAGCGTGGTGAAAGGGGGTGGTAGAGTAGACCATGTCTGGCTTTAGAAATCTTTTTTCAAAGACAGTCTTTCCCTCTAAGTTGCAAGGTAATTAGTAGGTTTTCATCAGAAGCTGCTGCAAGGTGGACCAGGTAGAAGCAGAGAGAGCCATTGGGGACTATCGTTGTCATCCAGGTAAGAGATAATAGCAGCTTGCACCAGATGGTAGTAGTCAAATGGTGAGAAAAAATCAAAATCTGAAAATATTTTAAAGCTAAAGGTAGTGTAATTTACTAATAAACTGGATGTTAAGTATGAGTGATGGAAAAAGTCAAGGATGACTACATAAATGATTTAGGAAGTTGACCGTGAAGAAGGGTTCAAAATAGTAGACAATGGCTGGAAGGGACAGGGAACAAGGTGAGCAGTTTAAGAATGTGTTTGCCTGCAAATGAGAAGAATCCTGTATTAGTCAGCTAAGCCTGCTGTAACATAATACCACAGGCAGGGTGGTTTAAGAACAGAAATGTGGCCGGGTGTGGTGGCTCATGCCTGTAATCCCAGCAGTTTGGGAGGCCAAGGTGAGTGGATCACAAGGTTAGGAGTTCAAGACCAGTCTGGCCAAGATGATGAAACCGCATCTCTACTAAAAATACAAAAATTAGCCAGGCATGGTGGCAGGCGCCTGTAATCCCAGCTATTTGAGAGGCTGAGGCAGGAGAATCACTTGAACACAGGGGGCAGAGGTTGCAGTGAGCTGAGATCGCATCACTGCACTCCAGCCTGGGTGACAGAGTGAGACTCCATCTCAAAACAAACAAACAAACAAACAAAAAAACAAGAAATTTGTTTTCTAACAGTTCTGGAGCCTGCAAGTTCAAGACCAAGATGGCAGCAGGGTAGGTTTCCTCTGAGGCCTCTCTCCTTGGCATCCAGGTGGCTGTCCTCTTGCTGTCTTTTCACATGGTCGTCCCTCTGTGCACGCACATCCCTGGTGTGTCTGTGTGCTGAATCTCCTCTTCTTCTAAAAACACCAGTCTTATTGGAATAAGGCACATCCTAATGCTGTCATTTTAACTTAATAACCTCTTTAAAGGCCCTATATCCAAATGCAGTCACATTCTAACAGTAAGACACTGTGAGTTAGAGCTTTAACACATGGATTTTGGGGAAAACATTATAAAATGTGTATCAATGTGATTTTGACTTAGTAGCCATAGAAGAAGATGAGGAATGACATGAAAGTGAACCACTCTCCCTCTTTTCAGACTGAAATATCATCTAAGATCAGGATTTGCAGTGACCCACGTGGCAGTCAAGGGAGAGAGTGTCTTGCAGCAAGGCTTTTGGATTGTTCTTGGACATAAATGGTGAATTATACAAAGAGGAGTTTTTGGAAATATTTGCAGGTTTGGTATGGAGGCCACATGTCCTTTTAAGGAATCAGGTTCTAGAAATTGAAACCTACAGATTTTGAACTTGCCACTTGTACCACACACATTTTTCTAAACCTAGTCTCAGATTGAGAAAGAGAGACAGAAAGAGAGATCAGGAAATAAATATAATAAAAAGTGAATGAAAGTGCAATTTTGACCTAAGGACCTTAAGCAGAAAAACAGGTTACTCAGCTACTCCTTTTTTAAATAACGAAAATGAAATGAGAGAAAGTAGATGGTCATTATTATTACTATTATCACAGCTGTCATTCCCTCATTGATGCCTCGTTAAGATGGATTTTAGTAGATCACAATCTAATATACTACTATATTGAAGACACTTTTTTAAAAAAGCAAAAATAAATCAATAAAATGTTAAAAGACCACTGATGAAATCATGGAGTGGATTAATTAGGGTGTAATATTCAGATCATATTCTTGAGTTGGGCATTTTTTAAAATGTTGTTTTTCCTGTATTCATGTTTCTAGGGCGTTGGCTCTGACTTTAATCTGTCAGGATTCAAACCCTAACAGATCCTCATTCGAACATTTACCATGTGACTCAGGACAAGTTATTAACCTAAATTCCAATTTCCTCACCTATAAAATGGGAATAATGAGAACACTGATCCCAGAGAGCCACTATGGTGATTCCATGAGCGATGTGGGTGAAGTGCTGGGTATGGTGTTTGGCATAGAGCGAGTGCTAAATAAATAGTTTTAAACAACTGCTAGTGAAGGAGAGAAAAAGAGAACCTGAGTCATTAAGGTGATGTGTGAGTAGGATGCAAGCCAGGACAGAAGGTTACAGGGCCATATGTGGGTACAAATGGCCATGCTGAAGTAGGGACTCTGATATATTCCTCATTCTTACTCGGGGCAGTGATGAAAAAGGGAGAGCCTTGTTCAAAAAGCTGGACAACAGTGTCATTACAGGGGAAAGCATTTACCTTTTTTCCATGTACATCCTTTGTTCAACCACATGCTTCAAGGTTGCACATTCAAAACATACCTTCAAAGATTACAGCTTTTAGAGTTTCAAGACAGCAACAGATGAGCATTCAACCATGTGGGGGTTCTTCATAGGCCCTGTTTTCCTTGTTCTACTGTAATCCATAAATGGTTGGAAATGCAGACCACTGAAGAGAATTAATTAGGACTTTTCAGATTTAATGGGAACAATTCAAAGAGTCTAAGTTTCTTTTCCATCCAGCGTGAGTTTCCTATTTAGTGAAGTAAAGCTCAACTTTTATCAATAGTTTCATTCTCTTGTGGTATGTAAAACCTACACACACTCAGAGGCACCCAGAGGAAACTACACTCTGAGTTATTAGTAAATTCTCTCCAAGTGAAGCTGCCAAACACAGAAGCTTAAAACTAGATACAGCTTCTCAGGAAGCAGATCAAGCCCAGACTCTGCCACTGAGATTGAATTAACAGGAGCTCACAGGGCTCTCTTGGATAAGCCACATGGACCCAGGGTTGTTAATTTGGGAGGTTTATTAAATAGCGGATTAGGATTGAAAGCGAATGCATCAAAATGTAAGAAGCCCTAGTTTGTTGAAATGAGAAAATTGATACTGAATGAGGTTATCTCTTGAATCTGGGCAGTCTTGTTTTGGCTACCCCACTGCTCAACTCCTAATTAGTAGGGCAGAAAAAACAAGTCCACGTAGGCTAAATGGCCAAGAATAGATGAAAATCAGCTAATAATATAGTAATTAGGAACAAAGCCAAAGCAGGACCTGCAGATGCCCAAAGTTGAAGAGATGCAAAGAAAAGTGTTGCTATCCAAAAAAAAAAAAAAAAAAAAAAAGTACTTGTCAGAACAAGTTTTTCAACAGCATATACTTTTAGACTAAGATTGAGGATGAAGGTGACAGGAAAATGATTAGCCCCATAGTTAGGATTACTTATATTTAGAAAAATATTTGCAAAGCTTTCCTTCTCCTTTCATATCATAGCGAACACTGAAATTGTGTTGTTTTCCAACATAGCTGCTAATATTTGCAAAGTAATAATTTTGCAAAGGAAACAGCTTGAAATAAAGCATGCCTGATGCTTAGGAAGAAAGCAAAGAATGCTATCTTTGAGTAGTTACTATAGGTAGCTTTTGATCAGAACGAAGTGGCACAGAAACATCCGATTCCAGTCTCACTGGTGCTGTTTACTCCATGTGACCATTATCAGGTCTCACTTCTGCACTGGCTTTAGGATACTTCTACATCATATGAAAGTGCTGTACAATTTCCAAGTTCCTTCTAAGTCAAACATTCTGTTATTCTTCCCTCCAAAAGATCCTTCAAGACAATGGAAGACTAAATAGCAACTAGAACTTGCTTTGAAGTAAGGCTGACATTATCTGCAAACAGATTAAATCACTATGCTTATATTTTATACTGTTATGTATTTTCCCATTGCAGCTTCACAGTCTTCCCCAGACCTTATCTGTGTATATAGGCACACATGCATAACTGCCTTAACAGTAAAAACATGGTCAAAAATGTAAAAGTTCAGGATGCAAGTTTGATGACACACTTTATTTCTCCAAATTGAAATAAAACTAGATCAATCCCCTGGAAGAAGTTTAGAAAAGTGTTAGCCATCCTCTTCCCCTTTGATTTCCATGTCCAAAGATGGAGAAGCTGCCTTTCTAATCCTTCTGTTTCAGTTTCTTTAGCCAATGGGATTTTATTACCAAAAAATGTCACTGAAGAATCTGGCTGATAATGTCCAGCACTGCAGTTTTTCACTAGACCAATAATATAGTTTGGCTGTGTCCTCACCCAAATCTCATCTTGAACTGTAACTCCCATAATCCCTACATGTCCTGGGAGGGACCTGGTGGGAGGTCATTGAATCATGGGGGCAGGTTTTTCTCATGCTATTGTCATGATAGTGAATAAGTCTCATGAGATCTGATGGTTTTATAAAGGGGAGTTCCCCTACACAAGCTCTCTTGCCTGCCACCACATAGGAAGTGACTTTGCTCCTCATTTGTCTTCAGCTATGATTGTGAGGCCTCCCCAGCCATGTGGAACTGTGAGTCAATTAAACCTCTTTCCTTTATAAATTACCCAGTCTCAGGTATGTCTTTATCAGCAGCATGAGAACAGACTAATACCACCAGCATCCATCAGTGATCTTTCAAGGGAAGAACAGATTGGAAGTGCTTTTTGGTGCTGCATTCAACTCAAGTGTAGCCTACACCTAAGAAGTTTGCAATGTGGTTCCAGAAACCCTTTATAAAAATAAATAAGTTAGATGGTGCAATAACTCTGTATTCCATTAAAATCCTTTAACCTCTCTATGCTTAATTAACAAAGGGCAGGAGTATGAGACAAAATAATAATCACTATTTAGCTCAAGCCAACACATATTTGCTGAAATTCTGCTCCATATAAGCAACTTATTTTTGTTTGGGGAATACAAAGATGAAACCAACTCTGACTTCTACAGAGAAGGAAGGCTGCAATGGAGATGATGACAGTGTGAAACTGTTATTGGTGCAATAAGTGGAAAACCAAGCATCATGGTGTTGAGGGTGGAAGGTGGTAGTGGGGAGTTCATTTGTTGGGAGCATTTGTATTTTATTTTGACTTGGAGGTTAAGTAGAACTTCAACAGTGAGAGAAGTAAAGGAAAAAACAAAGACAATAACAATGGCGAATATTTTCTATGTAATTACTTGATAATATTACCATTTTTTTACTTTAGGGAGGAAATCTTGACCAATATATCTTATCTATGACATTGCACAGCCAGAACTTGAAAGCATATTTGGCATCAAGGCCTGAATTTATAAAACTGAGAGGGACAAATAGAATAATATATTTGGGCAAAGCCTGCAGTGTCCAGTGTCATTGTGGCATCTGGTGAAGGAGAAAATGTAGCAGAAGATGAAGTGGTAATTTAGTCCAGATTTTAGAAGGCTTTGACTATCAGACAATATCTGACACCATTTATTGAACAAGAGTCCTTGATACTGTCCATTCCAGGAAAGGAGGGAACCTTTACTATGACACATGGTTAAATGTTAATACCAAGGGTGCCCCCAGGTAGGCTAATAACTAGATGCATCTTCAAAATAATTTACATTTTGGGCTGGGCATGGTGGCTCACACCTGTAATCCCAGCACTTTGGGAGGCCGAGGCAGGCAGACCACTTGAGGTCAGGAGTTGGAGACCAGCTCCGCCAACATGGTGAAACTCCACCTCTACTAAAATACAAAAATTAGCCAAGCATGTTGGCATGAGCCTACAGTCCCAGCTACTAGGGAGGCTGAGGAAGCTGAATTGCTTGAACCCAGGAGGCAGAGGTTGTGCTGAGCCGAGATGGTGCCACCGCACTCCAGCCTGGGTGACAAAGCGAGACTCTGTCTCAAGAAAACAAACAAACAAACAAAAAACAAATTGCTTTTCATATATACTCAGCACTGAAAAGAGAAGCAGAGCACTGTTTGGGGAATGTTGAATAACAGAAGCTCATAGTGGAAATACTTGGACTTGCATATGTTTTTTCTGAGTTCTGGCTCCAAACTTTCATGTAAAATAAAAAAGAAAAACTGTTTTATGTCTTAGTTCATTTGAACTGCTATAAAAAAAAGGCCACAAACTGGGTGTCTTATGAAAAACAAAAATATATTTCTCACAGTTCTGGAGACTGGGAAGTCCAAGATCAAGGAGCCAGAAGATGCAGTGTCTGGTGAGGGTTTGCTTTCTGGTTCATAGATGGCACCTTCTTGTGGTGTTCTCACATGATGAAAGGGGCAAGGATGCTCTCTGGAGCCTCTTGTGTAAGAGCATTAAGCCCATCACCTAATCTAATCACCCCCAAGGGCTTTGCCTCCTAATATATCATATTGGTGATTAGGTTTCAGTACATGAATTTGGGGGGAACACTAACATTCAGACCACAGCAAAACCTCTCCATTAATTTGAAACAGAAGCACGTTATAAGATATTTTGTGATATCAATCATTATTTAGTCAAGTTTTTAAAGAGTTTCACTCCTCCTCCAAAGTTATCATTAGTATACAGACATTTGTCATGTTTTCTGATTGACTAAGACTTTCCCAACACCACTCCAACAAAGAAGCCATAGAAATGGCTTTGCCAGCTTCCTTGCAGCTTGAATTCAGGCATGTTACCTAGACTCCACCAAGTGAATACACTTTGCAAAATATGATAGAAAGCAAGCAGTGTGAGGAAGAAAGAATTACACATAATCCATTTTGTTTTTGTTCCCAAGATTAGTGAAGTATCCAGCATGTGAAGTCTGCAGTGGCTGCAGAAGTTGCAAAGGTGCTTTTCTTATGTCAAAGGGGCATTATGAAGGAACAATAGTGCTTTCAGAAGCAGTGAGTTCTTGATGCACAAGTAGTGCTGGTACAAATTGTATTTTCTAGTCAGTGTGCAGTTTTCTTACCAGATCAGTTTCACAGTGTGCTTTAAAGGCATTACCCTGAACACTTAGCCTCCAACTTTCTTTTAATAATTCTGTGATTTGCTAAATATATGTAATAAATTCCTTTTCTGTTTAATTGTCCTAAGCTAGCTTCTGTTGCCTAGATCTGCAAATCTCATCTAGTACACAATGTCCTTTCCTTTCTGAGAAACTTAATTTTCTCTACCTTATTCCGTATCCAGTGATGTTTTAAATCCTCAGCTGATGGTTTGGCAGCTCATATGGATGGGTGCTTCAGGCAGCTGTTGTGCCAACCTGCTATTGAATCTGGAACTAAATATTGGAAGGAGCAACTCTAGGAGAGCAGCCAGTGAAAGGACATGGGTCCCTATCTGGCAGATAAATGGTGGGGAGCAGTAATAGGAAGGCTTAGCTGTAGGGCTGAAAAATATTAGGCTCAGACTCACAGTTTATCTTGGACTAGTCTTGTGTACAGCTGTAGTAACATTTGAATTGTAAGTTGCTCCCATCTCCAAGTTTCCACAGTATATCACATCTTTGTTATAATATAACACATAATGTACTACAATTATCAGTTTATTCATCTGCCTCTATCATTAGACTGAAGCCAGAACAATAATACTGTTGTGTGTCCGTAACTAGTACTGATTGTTGGACTTTATGGAAGACCCAACAGCTTCTCTCTTCACCACCCCCCAAATTTTGAACAAATTGATAGATAAGATAAAAGGTTAACAGAAAACACTGATATAGTATTTTTCTAAGCGTTTTCCATTAACTCATTTAATCTATAACAATCTTGTAAAAGTAGGTACCTATATTACCTGCCTATTTTCTCAGCACATTGCCAAATATAAATCAACAGGAAACTTAAAATTAACACAATAATAAAATTCCAAATAGCTGAATATAAACTTCTTTCCAGGATCAAATTCCTTGGGAGAAAATTAAGTCTATAGATTAGATCCCCTTGAAAATTCAAATTTAGATAAAACAAAATTCAAAGTAATTTAAGTCCAAAATCAAATATTATTGTCCTTGGCTATGTAAAGCCAAAGAAAGGGAAGTCCTTTTTGTGTTCTACTCGGTCTTAGCTTAAGATATTTTCAATGCCTGGCTTCCTTTAGAAGCCACAGCCAGTGTTATCCATCACTAGAATACAGGCCATTTCTCTGAACCTCAGGAACTGAATTAGTTCAACGTCAAGTCTGTCATGTACCTCACTTTTTAATGAGTCCAAAGATTTTTTAAAACACAAGAGTTTATTCCAGTACTGCTGCAAACCTTAAACATACAGAAACAAAGGGAATTCCTACTCCTCAAGACCTCATTTCAGATAAAGAAACCCAGAGCTTAAGGCTTCCAAAGACCATAGCAAAGATTTGATGGTATCTGAAAAAAAGTGAGTAGGTGAAAAAAATTCTGATTTCAGCTCCAAATGTACCAATCAGGCCATCCCTGTTTAAGAAGACGATCAACTGTAAATTTAAACTCAATTAGGAGATCTTTTTGAACAAAAGTTAACTTGGGCACTGTACATTTATCTTATCTGAGATGGAATTTCACTTAGGGATTCTGTCTCCCATTCCAGAAAGGGCCATTTGACACTGCATTGTGTCTTCTAGAGTTTACAAATATGCAGTGGCGGCAGTCCAATCATCAAGTCTTTCTTGAAGTAACATTATTTCCCACTAAGTGCATTTAAACCTCCCTAATTTCCATGTTTCCTTTGATCCCTGTGTCCTTGGCACCCACGGAGCATGGGTCTTTCTGGAAGCATATTTGCTCACTCCCATGCCAGCAGGCATTCTTACTCCTCAATGTCTATTAACAAAACTACTTGCCATGGAATTGATTAGGCCTAAAACACCTGCCTCCTAGAAGAAGTTTCTCCCTTGTCGTATCTGACTTTCAGTTGAACCAATATCTGGGAACTGAAATAGTTTTTGCTGTTTCTGAAATTTGTAATGGGGGGCGCTGAGGACCAAAATCTCTAACATGTGCTCTTCAAATACAATAAAATACAGAAAAAGTTTAGTAATTAATCCAGGACAAATGTGAGGTCAATTTGTGTGTGTGTGTGTGTGTGTGTGTGTGTGTGTGTGTGTGTAGGAGAAGGGTGATTCTTGAGGCATCTAATAAGCCCCAGGACTTAGAGTTTTCTCCACATTCCCAATATTGAATTGAATTTGGAATAACAGATCTAATACAATCCAATACATTTTAATACTAGAACCTTACCAGAGCTCTGTGTATAGGTCTCAGCCACCTTAAGGCTTAAAAGTGACAAATATTCTACCTATTGTATCTAAAATGATCTTCCAATACCTGTTCAAGCTGAACTTGAGTAGTTTAAGATTTAGCCACGCAGCTGGTACCATAAGTAAGTACCTTCCATTGGGCTAAAAACTTTGGAGAGATCCACGACATAATTTGTGGGGCTTAGTGCAAAATGGAAACGTGGGCTGCTTCAAGTCAGAGGCCCTGTGTGACTGCACTGCTCCTACACGCATAATGAAGGCCTGCGCTGTGATGGCCCATAGGCTGTTTGTAGACCTGGCACCCCTTTGCCTGATTTCAACCCACCTCATTACCAATATAACTGATAGGAAACTTCACATAGATGTGAGACAAATTTGATTTCATGATGTGGAGCCTTTGTATTAGACAGATTGACAGTTCTGGTCACAAACAGTGAGGGAAACCACACATTGACCCCCATTAGAACAGAAATTTTACTGCTCAGCTTAACACATGTCCAAGAGCTGAGCAGGCAGGTTTCAAAAAGAAGGAAAAGAACAAGGGGAAGAGCTATGCCAAATTTCTACTTGGAACTTCCTCGTGGTAAGTCACTGCCACCTCCACTCCCAGGCTGGGAAAATGTGAGTGTGGAGGTTTAGAGATGCCAAGTGTGATATATTTACTGATGTTCTTCTTCTTGTAGAAACAGTGAGCCAGGGAATGGAGGTCCCCACCCCAGTGTCCCATATCCCTAGACAACATTGATGATAATGTCTAGCATGCTATAGGTGTTTAATAAATATTTTCTTAAAGAATAAATGTCCCAAAGCTAGTACACATGTAACTTGGTCCATGTTAGGATTTCAGGTAGAACTCTTTATTCTCCACAGAATCAAATAATTAATTTCCTGGCAGCACAGTATTAGACAACATCATTCACTATATATGTCATGAATTTCTTCCTCTCATCCTTTTCCTGTCTTGGTTTGCTGGACAACAGCTGCTTCTAAACCCCACTCTTAGTCAATGTGCAGGATAGAGTACTGGACAGAGAATCAAGAAAATTCAGTTTGAGTCTAGGTTTTGCTTCTGATTTGCCCAAGAATTTAAGACAATCAACTCACATCTTAGCCTTAGCTTTGTACTTCAACATGAAGCAGTCGAATTATAAACAAATCTTTCAACATTTCACATTGCCCAGCCATCTCTCAATCTAAAGCCCAGAACCTCCAAGGCAAAAGAAAGGCAACCCACTTCATCTGCAAAAGATATGTGTATGCAGACATTCTATATTAGGCTGAATATTTAAAGTAGATCCTCATAGGCATATTAAAAATGTCTGCCATTAAACAAAAGAGAGAGATGATTTAGTATGATAATATATGACAAGATAATTCTTCATATTTCAAAAGGTCATGGATAAATTATTCAGTGGTAAGTAATATTTTTAATATATAGCACATCATACTTCATGGAGGTTGACTGAAAACTAGCTTTTTTTGTAATTGTTATGAAATCCTGCCCATGCCCATAAAGAACCTCTGCATCCTGCCAGCAGCCATTCACTCCACTGGTGGGGAGTCTGTGAATCGGGTGATGATGGGGCTATGGTTCCATAGTCCTGACTAGTGGAGTTGTGATGGCAACAGAGCCACCACCACACTGTTGTTAGGACTTTTCCTTAGACTCAGGGCTGGTTCAGGGCAAAATTGTGAAATAGATGAGGTTTTATCTTTGGAACCATGTTACATGTCGCATGAACAATTCTACTTGACCATTGCCTCTGTGTCAGTATAAGGGACTGAGAGTACTGTCCCTACAACAGCGTGGCACACGCCAGTGTACGATTTATAGCAAGGAACAGGAAGGCAAATGTAGCATGTTCTTTGGGTTTTATATCTTATAGTATGTCCTGTGAACTTTGCCTGCTTTTTACTTTGTAAAACCTGGGTAACAGAAAGGAGAGAACCTACCTCTTACTCTCAAATAAGAAATGGAATGACGTATAGTTGTTATTTCTGCTAATAGTCTTGAGTATAACAGAGAATGAGTCCCCTTAAGAAGGAAGAAGCATAAGCAACAGCTTAACAACAGAAAAAATATTTTTGTTTCCTCCTTCTAAAAAAGAACAGATCTTGAATCTATACTCCAATATCAAAAAAAAAAAAAAAAAAAATAAGGCCTAAAAAACTCACTCAGAGCAAGCTGAGAAATCAATGTGGGTAATGTCTGATTATTAATGTCATTTTGAGTAGAAAATAAAAGGACTTTGAGGAAAACCTGTCTAAAATTTTTCTTAAATTTTCTTAATCACCCCCATTGTTTTATAAATGAATGAATAAATTTAAACTCTGAGAAAGAGTGTGACTCTTCCATAATATTTTGATAACTCCCCTAAAACAAATACATACCCCCTAGTTCTCTTAGGGTTGGTGTTGTTATTGGACTTATCTCCCACCATCCCACCACTCCCATATCAGGGCCACACAATAGGCCAAGAGTTTCAGCATCCTGAACACCAAACTTGCTAGAGTTTACTACATTGATCATATTTTTTTACACCAGTTGATGGGAGCAAAGCTACGTTCCAGGTAGCTAGATTCAAGCACTATATGCTCCTCTCTTCAATGCATCTTTCCCTGTCACCAGGCTATGCCCTGCCCTCTGGTTACAAATTCCACTCCCTCACTTTTTCTGTTCCCCATCTCAACTTAGGCATTAGACTTATTTATTTATTTATTTATCTTTGGAGTATCTTCACTTAAAAAAAATAAATTCCTTTTTTTTTTTGGTTGAAAAGTCTCTTTTTTACTCCCTTCAAGATCTTTTTCAGGGATCCTTTTCTACCCTTTGTCACCCAAGTCCAAGATTACTCCTTACCTACTCCTATGTTTAAGGCAATGGATAGCTCTGTACCTGATGGGTCTGGCAATCTTATGCATGATATGATGAAGTAGGGCAGGAGACATGGGAATAAATCAAGTACTCTGCTAATACCTGGAGGCCTGGAATCTTGGAAGGCAAGGATCTCCACTATGTATATTTTTTGCACTGGATCCTATGCCACAATTCCACTGAAGGTGTCCAGCATATTCAGGCTTTCCACCTGCTTTAACTCAAGGTAAGTGGATTTAATAACATTGAACACACAGACATGGTGGTGGCCTAATGTAGCCTTCCTATCAGGAGTCTTTTCTTTGTTAGAAAAATATTTAGGGGCCAGGAGCGGTGGCTCATGCCTGTAATTCCAGCACTTTGAGAGGCCGAGGCAGGCAGATCACTTGAGGTCAGGAGTTTGAGACCAGCCTGGCCAACATGATAAAACCCTGTCTCTATTAAAAATAAAAAAATTAGCCGGGCATGGTGGTGCACACCTAATCTTAGCTACTCGGGAGGCTGAGGCAGGGCAATTAATTGAATCCAGGAGGTGGAAGTTTCAGTGAGCCAAGATCGCACCACTGCACTCCAGCCTGGGCAACAGAGGGAGACCCTGTCTCAAAAAAAAAAAAAGAAAAAAAAAAAAGAAAAAAGAAAAGAAAAATATTTAGGGAGAACAGGGAAATATGCTTAATTAAAAGGCATGGCATAAATCCCAGATGGAAAATCACCCAGGAAGGCAACTTATTTCCTCTACTTATCAAATCAAAACTCTTTACTGTGAAGCCACCTGATGGTCACCTGGGCTCCATTTTCAGGGAGGCATTTGAGAAAGTAGTAGAGAATGCAGGATGGAGAAAGATACATTTGCCAGCCTTCTTATTGTAACTGAAGCCCTTCCCACTTCTGTGTCTTTTAAAATAGAAGCTCCAGAGTAAATCACAACACAGGAAAACTTAACAGCCTCAAATGGAAGCACAAGTTGTTGAATTTTGCAGTGAGTAATAAAACATCAAAGTAGTGGCAAATCCAAATAAGTGAACTGATTGGGGATGTGAGGTTTTTTGTTTGTTTTGTTTTTTGTTTTTTTAGGTTCAAGAAAATTTTTTTGACAATCCTTTTCTTCCCTTTCTTTCTCTATCTTTTCTTCCTTCCTTCTCTTTCTTTTTCCTTCCTTCCTTCCCCTCTCTCTTTCTTTCTCCTTCATTTCTCTATTTCTTTCCTTCCTTCCTTCTCTTCCTTTCCTTTCTTCCTATCTTCTCTACCTCTCTTTTCTTTCTCTTTTTATTTCTTCCTTTTTTCCTTTCTTTCCTTCCTTCTCTCTCCTTCTTCTCTTCTTTCCTTCCTTTCTTTTCTTTCTCTCTTTATTTTGAGACAGAGTCACCCTCTGTGGCCCATGCTGGAGTGCAGTGGTGTGTTCTCAGCTTGCTGCAGCCTCTGCCTCCCAGGTTTCAGTGATTCTCCTTCCTCAGCCTCCCAGGTAGCTGGGATTATAGGCACGCGCCACCATGCCTGGCTAATTTTTTTTTTTTTTTGTATTTTTAATAGAGACAGGGTTTCACCACGTTGGCCAGGCTGGTCTCGAACTCTTGACCTCAGGTGATCCGCACCCCCCTTGGCCTCCCAAAGTTCTAGGATTACAGGCATGAGGCACTGTGCCCGGCCTCTTCTCTCTCTTTCTTTCTCTTGCTCTCCTTCTCTTTCTCTCTCTCTCTCTTTCTTTATTTCTTTCAATGCTACTCTTGGCTAAAAACTTACTTGATTCTTAGCCCTAGCTGTCTTGATCAGCTAGACGGATTGGCAACTTTAGCACAGAAAAAGAGTGAAAATTCTTTGTCTCTGTTTCTTGATGCCTACATGGAGCATGTTTTGGGGAAGGAAAAAAATGCATTGTCTACTCGTATGATCCACTGAAAGAAATTTTACTTGTTCTTGTGAGGCATAGGTGCTCTCCAGGTAATAACACCAAATTTCAAGCTAAAATTGAGGACGGAGTGCATAGAAGACAGAGAATCAGTAAATTCATAATCAGGATAAAATGGACAACAATGTAGACTACACACATGGGTATATGGGTGGTGAGTATGAAAAATAGCCTTGGAAACATTCATATATAATATAGGCCTAGGAGCACTCATATTTCAGTTTAATTATATTGCATGGGAATGATGATTAATCTTTCAAAAGACTGTTGTGGAACTCTGTCATTCTATTTCACTCCCTTTGTAACTATCCTGGTACAAACCTTTAACATCTCTCCCTGAGCCTACAGCTACTTAGAAGTGTGCACAACTCCACTGTTTCTATCTTCTTGTCCACACTGTCAACAAAGGTTGTTCATAAACCACAAATGTCATTATGGTGCTCTGCTGCTGAACTGCCTCAATAGTCTGTTATTATCTATAGGATTAAGCCCAAAGTCCTTAGGAAGGGCTTGGCTTACCTCATTTCCCAGAATACCCAACACTTAGACTCTATCAGTGTACTTATCTGCCATATGTACGCTTCATTATCTTAAACTTGCATTTCCTCTTTTTCAACTTTTAAATTTTGAACCAATTTTAGGCTTACAGAAAAGTTGAAAAAATATTACAGTGACTTTTTGTATATTCCTCACTCTTCCCCTCCCATCTTGTGTAACAATAGTTTATTTATCAAGTAAAATGAATTGACATGAGGAAATACTATTAACTAAAGACCTTATTCAAATTCCACCCTTTTTTCCACTAACTTTTTTCTGGTTCCATATCATATTCAGAATCCCACCTTGTATTTTAGTTGTTATTTCCTCCTAGTCTGCCACAGTCTGTAATAGTTCCTTAGTCTTTCCTTCTCTTCCCTGACATTGACACTCTTGAAGAGCAATGATCAGTTGTTTTGCTAAATGTTCTTCAGTTGTGGTGTGTCTCATGTTTTCTTAGGATCAAAGTAAAGTTATGCTTTTTTCTTTTTTGGCAAGAACACCACAAAATGATGTTGTGTTTTTCTCAGTGCATCATATCACAGAGCTCATAATGTTGATAGGTCTTATTACTGGTAATGCTGTTTTCCATTCATTAGAAGGTTGTTTCTGCCAGATTTTACCTCTGTAAAATTATCTTTGCCTTTGTAGACAATCATACCCTGGAGGAGATGCTTTGAGGGTATGTAAATTTTGTTTTTTCTTAAGATTTACCCAATAAATTTAAGACTCATCAGTGAATTTTACCTGCAATAACTATTACTGATGCATGATCAGTTTCTCATTTTTTCCTCTTTGCCTTAAATGCCTATCTCCATTTTTTTCTCCTATCTATTTCCTGCTTATATGGCTTATCCCAGCTGAAGATTGTTTCTTCTCTGGGAAACCTTTTCACATTGTCCCAGGCAGACCAAGACTTCATCTCTCCATATTTTCTTAGCACCCTTGCACATAGCTCCACAATACTCACCACCATGGTTACTGGTTGTTTTGATTTCCCTGGGAGTCACTCTATGTGACTGCAAACTCCTAGAGGGAGATAACACTGTCTCAGCATTTTTTCTAACAATACCTAATATGGGATCTGGTCTATAAGAGACTATCATTATGTGCTTAGAGAATAAATGAATGCATCTATTATATTATTTCCAAAATTCATTTTCAGGCTGAAAAATTTAGAGTTTTTTTGTTACAGTTAGAAAAATAACGTTCAGTTCTAAAATCGTGATTCTGATTTTCTGCCAAAATTTTCCCCTTTGGGAAATTTATGATGTTTCTGGAATCAGCCCTATTTAATCTAAAAACAAGTTAAAATCGTGTTTTCTACTTTTTTCCCCTACCTTCCCTCATTATACAATGGTCTACTCTTCTCCCCTCCACTTGTGATTCTGTTTGTACATATATTTTCAGGAGCAAAAGTAAATAAACTACTCATTCATTCATTTTGCTAAGCTTCTGGGTGTCTCTTACCCTGGTCCTGACATGAGCTTCTTTAATCCTTGGTGGTATATTTCCTCCTGTGTATTTGCTTTATTCTGTAAATTTAAGGGAGGTTTTATAAAACTGCCTTTAATCCCCTGAAGATACAAAACAAACAGTGGAAATTGACTCTTTGCCTAACAGTTATTATCATTATTATTACATAATCAGTGGTTTGAGTCATAATGCAGGAAACCAGATGTCAATGTGGATGAATGGCCTGCCTGGCCATGTGCCCACAGACAATGTCAGCAGTAGCTGATAAAACTGTAAATGCTAAAAGGAACTTGTCCTCCTTCTCCATCATCATCGTCATCATCACAATCATCTCATCACCCTTGTCTTCATCATGAAAACCTGTACCACATTGTTTGTGGTTTGCACAGAACCATGACTAATACCAACCACACCTAATCCTTTAACATCACTCCTTTGAACCCTCTTAGCACTTGAACCCTCATACCACCTGATTTTAACAGTTCCTTTAGACTGCATTGTAGCCATTTGGTGCTGTGATCTTGTCCTTCTTGGCCTACTTTCTCTCTACCTTTACTAGGCCAGGAATTTCATAAAGACTGAGATAAAAGATTATACTCCTCTTTATCATTAGTATTTATTGCTATATGAGAACATAATAGGGGCTCAATAACTGTTTGTGGAATTAAACTGTTTGTCTTCCATGTAAAGCAGAAAAAGAAATGATAAATTGGGGAAAGGCATGTAAAAAATTAATAATTCCAGAATCAAAGCTCAGCTTTTTCATTGATAAAATGTTATCGATAAGCACATTTTGTGTATAGACAAGGCTTCTAGACGTTCTGAGAAGTTGGAAACATGGATTCTAAAATGAGACCTGCAAATACCAAAGATTCATTCAGACTTGATTTATGTAATACTTTTTTAATAGTGGGAGACGTTCAACAAAAGGAATAGTCTAAATGTTATTATTTTTGCATCCATAACACTATTAAGACTCTACCACCTCTTAATTCCTATTTACAGTGTCTTAGTTCTGATCTTCATTATTTTTCACCTGGATAATTGCAATATCTTCAAATGATTTTCCATTTTCTAATTTCTTCTCCCTACAGTTCATAAGAGATAGCTCCCCATTAATCATAAGACCAAGTTCTAATTCCTTTTTATAGCATATTCAATTTCAACCACCAGTCTATTTTATTGGACTTCTCTGTTACCATGCTCCTTCTGAGAGCTGCACTCCAGCTACCTAGAACTTCACAAATCTCCAGGAGAAAGTACACCATGCTCTTTATTATTCCATGCATTTCTTCATAGTGTTTCTATAACCTGAAAGGCCCATCGCTTTGATTTGATCTTTCAGGATCCACATAAAAATATTATCCTCTCAATGAGATATTCTATAAGTTTATAAGACAGAATTGTTCCGTCTCCATCATTTGCCATAGAACTCCATTTGTAGCTTTATAACATTTGTCATATTGTGTTAGAATTACAGTTTATCCTTGAATAGCACAGATTTGGACAGCAAAGGTCACTTACATGTGGATTTTTTTCAATAGAATTTACACTCAGTGTTCCTTCCTTTTCTGTCTCATCTTCTACCTCCTTGATCACTTCTGCCTCTGCTACCCCTGAATCAGCAAGACCAGTCCCTCCTCTTCCCCTCCTCAGCCCATTCAACATGAAGATGATGAGGATGAAGATCTTTATGAAGATCTACTTCCACTTAATAAATAGTAAAAATATTTTCTCTTCCTTGCAATTTTCTTAATGAAATTATCTTTTTTTCTAGCATACGTTATTGTAAGAATACAGTATATATTACAGATAGTATACAAATTATGTATTAACTGACTGTTTATGTTATTGGTAAAGCCTAATGATCAACATTAGGCTATATTGCTAGTTAAGTTTTTGGGGAGTCCAGAGTTATACTCAGATTTTTGACTGTGCAGGGAGTCAGCACCACAAAGCCTCTCATTGTTCAAGGATCAACTGCATTTGTTTATCAAACTGAAGTTCCCTAAGGCTAACAGCTGTTCATCTCTGCACCAACACCTAGAGAAAAATTGTAGTAGGCTGAGGTGTTCTAACAAACCCCGAAACCTCTGTTGTCTATCACAATGAGAACTCAATGTTCACTCGTGAAAGACCACTGTGATAGCAGGGGTGTGGATGTGGGGGTGGGGTGACATTTTCTGTTCCACACAGTCACTCAGGGACCCAGGCTTCTTATATATTATGGCAACTCTATGTTCAGTATGTAGACTCCAAATGTTCCACAGGAGCAGTAAGTGGAAGGTTGCATGTGGGAGATTTTTATAGGTGAGACCTGGAAATGGTATACAATTTTATATCACATTCCAGTGTCATAACAGATGCAATCTAACTTAAAGCATTCTGGGAAATGTAGTTTAGCTGTGTGCCCAGAGAACAGAAGAGAGACATGGATATTGGAAGGGACAGCATCCTCTGCCATTCTGCTCAGTAAATGGGTGCAGAATGAATACAATGGAAGGCTCTTTTTAATCTGAAGCCATTGTGGTGAATGGAGGAACAAAGAAAATAGTTTTTGAATCCAAAAATCTTGGTTTCAGACTATAGCAATGAAAGCCAATTAGTAGCTCTGTGACCATGGCAGGTACCTAAAACTCTCTAAACCTCAAGTTCTTCATCTGTAAATGAAGTTGGTATGGGGATTAACTGAGAAATACATGAAAAGCATCTGGAGCATAGGAGGAGCTATTTAATAATCATCCTCATTTCATTCAAATCAATATTTTTAAGAATCTGCAATGTGCTAGAGCAGTGTGCTAAGCATTCGGAATAGAAAGACCTATTAAAGGCATCCCTCACCTTTAGGAAATCAGAGACCAATTGTTAGGTCACAATTGTAGATAAGAAAATGAACATTTAAAACACACTGTGATAAACAGGCTTTTTATTATACAGGGTAGCAAAATACCCAATAAACATGAAAAATGACTCAAATCATGAATCACTTTTACGTATGTATAGGAACCCATCATGGTTGTAAGTTGGGTAAAATTAAAGATACGAACAATACAAAGTGTTGGCAAGTTTATGAAGCAACTGTGACTCTCTTGCCTAGCTGGAGGAGTGGAAATTGGTCCAATCACATTGAAAAAATATTTTAAAGTACTTACTAAATCTTAACATACACATATCCTGCAACCTAGCAATCGCATTCCTAGACATATGCCCAACAGAAATGAGTGCTTATGTTCACCATAATATACAAGAACAGCCTCTTTATGCATAGAAGTGCTAAACTGGAAAGAAACCAAATTAGCTGGGAAGAAGCCTGAATGAATTTTCTGGGGTGATGAAAGTGTTCCTTATCTTCATATGGATGCCAGTTACACCTAAACAGTTAAGAGCTGTATGTTTCAATGTATATAAATGATGGTTTAATAATAACAGTAATAACAATAATGTCAACAATATTAAAAAATACATTTTAAAACAGGTGCTTCCAAATTGGCAGTTACAAGGGTCTCTTATCATATTTCAGTTGTAGTTTTTGATGATGACTCCTATATCCTAGGATATGCCACAGCTCCCCCTGCACCCAAAGAAAGTTTACCAATGACACACACCATCTCAATAATTCTCTCCACATTATTAACGTTATTTGTATTAAAAACTCATCCTCAGTTTTGGCATTAAGGTGATCCAGCTATTTCATGGCTGTTCTGCATACTAATCAGGTTACAGTTCGAAACAGACACAAACATACCCTCCATTTTGGACAAGAACCCAGACAGCTATTTTGTTTCTCTGCTTGCCAAACAAAATTCACTATATAAATTAACCTTCTTCATTAAAAAAAGGATAATCTTCACCTCGGTGATAAAACATACCAAGTAGGGAAGAAAATATTTTATTGCAAATCTGACTTAAAATAAGAGGTAATAAAACCAATTTCTTCTAAGTCTTCCAAAGCACTGTCTTTTAAAGACTATATCTTGTTCCCTAATTATAAGGTAATTCACGAATATAGTAAAAATATTTGGAAATATAAAACAGAAAGACTATATATAACATATATGAAATATATGTTCTCTTTTAAAAGCTATTTAGACTAAAAAATTACAAAGTAAAGAATAAAAATTAGAAAAAATTTCAAAATCACTCACAATTTCCCCAAGCAAATAAAGTAAGCATTATAAATATAATGCCATAGGAGAATTGCTTATTGCTTTGGTTTTCCAGGTGTTAGGTCTCTGCATCTGTGAATAGAAGAATGGAATGGGGAGTGTCTTCCCATCTGGCTCCATTTGCAATATAAATATTATAATTTTTCTTTGATTACATTATTTTCCAATTTTTGTTTATCCTAAATTTACATATTTTGCTAGTTCTATATTTTCATTTGCATATACTTACAATTGTATTTTAATGATAGTTGGAAGAGGCTACTCACCCCTTTAAATCAGAAATCTATTATTTTTAGGATGGGGAATGCCAATGAATTGATAGTGAGTAAGATCTACTGCCAAAGAGTGTAAGGGTTTCCATAAAGTGTGGGTTGTTAAGGACGCTAGATGCAATTTTTGGCAGAAAAGGCCAAAGTAAAAAATTTCTAAAGGCAAAGAAAAACATGGAGAAAATTGTCCTATAATCATTATACAATAACAGATTCCTCTGTTGGCCACCTCGCAGATTCCTGTGTGAAAAGAGGAGGTAGAGTTGGCCTGCCCATTTAGTCTCATTGGAATCATTCCTCTTTTCTACTTGGTGACATTTGCTTCAGATCATTAGCAACCAAGAAAGCAGTATGTAAGCTGGCAGAAAAATTGAAATGGACACTGTGGTGTATTTTTCCCCCTAAAGATCAAGGTTCAGATACTCAGGGATGTAAAATAGACAAAAAAGCAGTCACCTATGGAAAATATGATGTGAACTTTATCCCAATAATGTAATATTATTTGGTATAGAAATCATCTCCTTCACCTTCAAGAGGAAAGCTTTGAATATAATTTACCTGACTTCTGTGGCTCTTGGTGATAGTTTCTCATGGAGAGGCTTGTAGGTTGGTCTCTGCTAAATGTGCCACTTTTATGGAATCATAAATGGTGCTTTTCTTGAAGAAGGACTAATTTAATCAGAAATAGAATTCTAAACCTCTTAATATTCTATAGGGCTCTTATAAAGTTTGACATTGTAAAATCTGAAATAGCTCACAGAAAATAAAAAAAAAATACTTAGGATTTCAGATAAGAAATGCAACATCTTTATACTTGGGAGAGGGAGAAACCTAGCAGTAGAGCATTGGACAAAATGCCCTATCTCATGCACATCTTGTCTAACCCTGGTTACATCGAATTCTCTACCTACTCTACACCTGCTTCCTAGCAAGATGAGCAGTGGAACTTCCTAAGCAGTTGGACATGGCTAGAGGAAAACCACACAGCCTTATTAACTGGCATCACTTCATTTTTAAGACTGTAAACTTGAAGTTGTCCCATTGTTAGGCTATCCTCATGATACCAGCTGACACTTCAAAGTGCCAGGCTCTGTTTTGAACTCCCAAGCAACTCTATGGTGTAAGTACCATTATTATCTCAGTTTTACAGATCACAAAACTAAGGCACTTAGCTGGATGTTACTTGAGGCCATGATCATAAGTGACCCAGCCAAGACTGGATCGCAGACACTCTGGCCCAACAGTCTGTGACTAGTAAGTAGCACATTATACTGCCTCTGTTGTCATCTCTCATGTTTCTAGTAAACTTGGTTCTCCACTGTTAGAGACCAATATTTACACACATACTTTCTCTTAAAACCTACAAGAATCATTCCCTTTTCTTCATTCTTAATTGATGACCTTGGTTTTATTTCCCTGAAAAAATAAATTATTCAGAAAAGGACACATTCATCTTTCCATCTACCAAGCTCCACGAATTTCTATCCATACACCCTACTCTCTTTCCTGACACAGTGGGTAGGGTAAAACATCCTTATTCAGATAAGGCTGCTGGAAACTGTTCCTCCAAAGTGTACTGATTTCCATTCCCTCTTGTCTGCTCTGGAATTTGGCTCTTACATCAAATTTATTCTTTCTATTGGATAATTCCTATCAGCTTATGTAGTAGAGGCAGTGATGCTACAAAAGATTTTCTTTGCTATCCTACATTTCCCATGGCCTTTGCAGTTACGCAGGTCATGTGACTAGTTTTGACCAATTAGATGTGCATCACTTGCAGGCTAAGAGTGAAAATCCCATTCATTCTTTTCTAGTGTTTCTCTTCTGCTGCAGCAATGAGGTGTCTCCATATTTGAGATACGGAGCAGATATATGACAGATACAAAACAACAGAGCCTCAATCAGACTGTGAACTCGAGAAACTAGGGAGCATAGCCTTCAGCCAACCCTCCTTGAATATATAGCATAAGTGAAAAATAAACCTTTGTTGTAGACCACTGAGATTTATGGTCCAATTTGTTACTGCAGCATAATTTAGCCTATCCTGACCACTAAAGCATGTAAACACATTGTGAAAAAAAAATCTTGATCCTATATCTCCTCCAGCTATCTTCAATTTTTTCTTCTATGTTTAGAAAAAAAAAGAAATGAGTGCATTTTCTATATTCACTCTTCACTTTCTCACCTTCCATTTTCTTTTAACTCTATAATCAGGCTTTTATCCTCACTCATCACTCTTATCAGTGTCACCAGTGCTTTTATTGCAGTAAATTCATCAGTCAGTTCTATGTCCTTGTATTACTCAAACATTCAGAAAGCTCAGAATACTCTCTTTACTTTATTCTCTGTGAAGTTTATTTTTTGCACAGATGGCTCCTCTTCAGTTCTGTTTGCTGGTTTCTTTTTCTATATCCTTCTTTGAATATTGTCCTGCCCCCATTCTTGGTCCTTTGCCCTGTTCTCTCTCTGCCTCCCTCAGCAATCTGCCATTTCCGTGATCTCATATAGAATCTACATGTTGATAATGTCCCAATTTGTATTCCCCATCCAGACCTCTTCCAGACTCCAGACTCATCTCTAACTTACTGTTAGTAGTACTAGCAGTAGTTCACAGGTGCTTAAAACATAACTTGTTCATATCCACATTTTTTTCCACCTCAAATCCCTAAAAGGTCTCTCTCACTATCTTCTTCATCTCAGCCACCAACATTCTACTTGCTGAAGCTCAATCAGGGCCTGTGCTTAAAGGAAGGTAGTACACTGCTCTTCTAGATGCCTAGATATTGAAATGATTCATTCCATAATCTCAAATCTTTCTCTCACCTCAACAGCCCCACATCCAGGTCACTAGAAAGCCCTACTGGGTTTACTCTCAAAATATATCCAAGTCCCGTTACTTTTGTTCACTTTTTCAAATATCACACTTCTCTGAGATAACCATCTCCTTCACAGACTTTAGATATTATCTCAAAACTGTCTGTGTTGCTTCTACTCTTGCCACTCAATAGTTTATTCTCCACACAGTCACCAGAGAGCTCCTTCAAACTACACCTCAGATTCTGTCCCTTCCCCTGCAACACTCTACCACAGTTTCCCATTGCATGGGGGAGGACAGCCCAGCTCTTTGCTGTGGGCTCCCTTGTTCTCTGTGGCTCTCCAACCTAACTCCTGCTTTGCTCCTCCTCACTCCTTCCACTTCAACCACACTAGTTCCTTAAAGTTTTTACAATACCATGAGCTCATTTTCTGCTCCCAGGCCCTTACACCTGCCATCCCCTTCCTTTTGAACACTTCTTTGTCAGAACTTTATACAGCTTGCTCTTTCATATCTTCAGGTCTCTTCTCAAATATCACCTCAGGAAAGCCTCTCCTGACATCTAAAGCAGTCTTACCACTTCCTACATTGCACCTCCTTTAATTTCTTGGTAACATCATGATATGCAAGTATATTTTGGGGGGTTTTTTGAGACAGAGTTTCACTCTGTTGCCCAAGCTTGGGTGCAGTGGTGCAGTCTCGGCTCACTGCAAACTCCACCTCCTGTGTTCAAGCCATTCTCACCCCTCAGCCTCCTAAGTAGCTAGGATTACAGGTGTGTGCCATCACACCCAGCTAATTTTTGTATTTTTATTAGAGATGGAGTTTTGCCATGTTGGCCAGGCTGGCCTTGAACCTCTGACCTCAAGTGATCTGCCCGCCTTGGCCTCACGAAGTCCTGGGATTATAGGTGTAAGCCACCATACCCAGCCTGAAAGTATATTTTTGCATATCCTTCTTTGCCTAACTATTCGGTTTTTGTCTTCCCTACAATAACTTAAATATAAGGAGTTGTCTTGTTTGTCCCTGGATTTCTAGTGCTCTGAATAGAACCTAGCATCTAGTACATGTTCCATGTCTCTCTGTTGAATAAATGAATGATCAACCATACATCCAACTTTGTATATAGTACCTTTGAAATGGTATCATTTTTCTTCAGATTTTAATTCCCAAAGAAAGGGAAAGAGTCAAGCAAAAAATCTCCCTGATATAGAAAAGATCACAAATCATCCCTATCTGAGCAGAGACCAAGTCTACAAGTAGTTCACAAATTGTCTGGGTTTTGGTCAATTTATTTTTTTTTAATTATACTTTAAGTTCTGGGATACATGTGCAGAATGTGCAGGTTTGTTACATAGGTATACATGTGCTATGGTGGTTTGCTGCACCTATCAACCCATCATCTACATTAGGTATTTCTCGTAATGCTATCCCTTCCCTATTCTCCTGCCCCCTACAGGCCCCGGTGTGTGATGTTGCCCTCCCTATGACCAGTGGGGTGTTAAAGTCTCCCACTATTATTGTGTGGGAGTCTAAGTCTCTCTTTATAGGTCTCTAAGAACTTGCTTTATGAATCTGGGTGCTCCTGTATTGGGTGCATATATATTTAGGATAGTTAGCTCTTCCTGTTGTGTTAATCCCTTTACCATTATGTAATGCCCTTCTTTGTCTTTTTTGATCTTTGTTGGTTTAAAGTCTGTTTTATCAGAGACAAGGATTGCAACCCCTGTTCTTTTTTTTTTTTTTTTTTTTTTTTTTTTTTTTTTTTGCTTTCCATTTGCTTGATAAATAGTCCTTCATCCCTTTATTTTGAGCCCATGTGTGTCTTTCCACATGAGATGGGTCTCCTGAATACAGGACACAGATGGGTCTTGACTCTTTATCCAATTTGCCAGTCTGTGTCTTTTAATTGGAACATTTAGCCTGTTTACATTTAAGTTTAATATTGTTACGTGTGAATTTGGTCCTGTCATTGTGATGCTAGCTGGTTATTTTGCCTGTTAGTTGATGCAGTTTCTTCATAGTGTCGATGGTCTTTATAATTTGGTATGTTTTTGTTATGGCTGGTACCAGTTTTTCCTTTCTATATTTAGTGCTTCCTTCAGGAGCTCTTGTAAGGCAGGCCTGGTGGTGACAAAATCCCTCAGCATTTGCTTGTCTGTAAAGGATTTTATTTCTCCTTAGCTTATGAAGCTTAGTTTGGCTGGATATGGAATTCTGGGTTGAAAATTCTTTTCTTTAAGAATGTTGAATATTGGCCCCCACTATTTTCTGGCTTGTAGGGTTTCTGCTGAGAGATCCTCTGTTAGTCTGATGGGCTTCCCTTTGTAGGTAACCCGACCTTTCTTTCTGGCTGCTCTTAACATTTTTTCCTTCATTTCAACCTTGGTGAATCTGATGATTATGTGTCTTGGGGTTGCTCTTCTCAAGGAGTATCTTTGTGGTGTTCTCTGTATTTCCAGAATTTGAATGTTGACCTGTCTTGCTAGGTTGGGGAAGTTCTCCTGGATAATATCCTGGAGAATGTTTTCCAACTTGGTTCCATTCTCCCTGTCACTTTTAGATACACCAATCAAACGTAGGTTTGGTCTTTTCACATAGTCCCATGTTTCTTGGAGGCTTTGTTCATTCCTTTTTGTTCTTTTTTCTCTTGTCTTCATGCTTTATTTCATTAAGTTGATCTTCAATCTTTGATATCCTTTCTTCGACTTGATTGATTCGACTATTGACACTTGTGTATGCTTCACGAAGTTTTCGTGCTGTGTTTTTTAGCTCCATCAGGTCATCTATGTTCTTCTCTAAACTGGTTATTCTAGTTAGCAATTCCTCTAACCTTTTTTCAAGGTTCTTAGCTTCCCTTCATTGGGTTAGATAGAACATGCTCCTTTAGCTGGGAGTAGTTTGTTATTATCCACCTTCTGAAGCCTACTTCTGTCAATTCATCAAACTCATTTGCCGTCCAGTTGTGTTCCCTTGCTGGCGAGGAGTTGTGATCCTTTGGAGGAGAACAGGTGTTCTGGTTTTTGGAATTTTCAGCCTTTTGATGCTGATTTTTTTTCCTCACCTTCGTGGATTTATCTACCTTTGGTCTTTGATGTTGGTGACCTTCAAATGGGGTTTTGGTGTGGACATCGTTTTTGTTGATGTTGACGCTATTCCTTTCTGTTTGTTAGTTTCCCTACTAACAGGCCCCTCTGCTGCAGGTCTGCTGAAGTTTTCTGGAGGTCAATTCCAGACCCTGTTTGTCTGCATGTTACCAGCAGAGGCTGCAGAACAGCAAAGATTGCTGCCTGTTCCTTCCTCTGGAAGCTTCGTCACAGAGGGGAAGCTGCCAGATGCCAGCCAGACCTCTCCTGTATGAGGTATCTTTTGACCTCTGCTGGGAGGTGTCTCCCAGTCAGGAGGCATAGGGGTCAGGGACCCACTTGAGGAGGCAGTCTGTCCCTTAGCAGAGCTTGAGTGCTGTGCTGGGAGATCCGCTGCTCTCTTCAGAACTGGTAGGCAGGAATGTTTAAGTCTGCTGAAGCTGCTCCCACAGCCACCTCTTCCCCCTGTTGCTCTATCCCAGGGAGATGGGAGTTTTATCTGTAAGCTCCTGACTGGGGCTGCTGCCTTTCTTTCAGAGATGCCCTGCCCAGAGAGGAGGAATCTAGAGAGGCAGTCTGGCTACAGCAACTTTGTGGTGCTGAGGTGGGCTCCACCCAGTCCAAACTTCCTGGTGGCTTTGTTTACGCTGTGAGGGGAAAGCTGCCTACTCAAGCCTCAGTAATGGTGGATGCCCCTCCCCACACCAAGCTCGACTGTCCCAGATAGACTTCAGACTGTGTGCTGGCAGTGAGAATTCCAACCAGTGGATTTTAGCATTCCAGGTACCACTAGGGTATGAGAAAAAAGTCCTGCAGCTAGCTGGGTGTCTGCCCAAATGGCCACCCAGTTTTGTGCTTGAAACCCAGGGCCCTGGTGGTGTAGGCACCCAAGGGAATCTCCTGGTCTGTGGGTTGTGAAGACCATGGGAAAAGTGTAGTATCTGGGCCGGAGTGTGCTGTACCTCACGGCACAGTCCCTCAGGGCTTCCCTTGGCTAGGGGAGGGAGTTCCCAACCCCTTGCACTTCCCGGGTGAAGCAACGCCCAACCGTGCTTTGGTTTCCCCTCCATGGGCTGCACCCACTGTCTAACCAGTCCCAGTGAGATGAGCCAGGTACTTCAGTTGGAAATGCAGAAGTCACCTGCCTTCTGCATTGATCTCTCCAGGAGCTGCAGACTGGAGCTGTTCCTATTCTGCCATCTTGCCAGCCACACTGTCAATTCATTTTGTAAAAGTCACCTCCTGAATGTGTAGGTTTTTGCAGTCACTGGATCAGCCATGCAGTCAATGCAATTCAGCCTCAGAAGGGGTAGAGATTGAGTGTTTTTAAACTTTTTTTTTTTTTACCTTCCCAACATGGGCAGTGTTTACTTTGAACAATTTCCAACACAGAAACCACAATTTATGAAAAGCTCTGAGGCATTAACCTTGTTGCATCCCCTTTCTTGCTGTCTGATTTTCTTTTCACCTTCAAGTACTTAAAAAGCACATTTGCCCTTGTTACTAGAAAAACTAATGTTGGGCAATTGATTAGAATCTTTACTAATCTTCGTGTTTCCTGAATTCATATTAACAAAAGAGTGAAAAACCAACGGCCTCATTTGAGGTCATTCCAAATAAAGCCTCATCTTCATCTTCCCATTTGAGCACTCAGTTTAAGAGCAAAACTCATCACGGAGCAGAAAAAAGGGCAAGTTTTAGCTGTTAAGCTTCAGGCTGACTTGATCCGAAATAAATGCTTTGTAATCTCTCTTTAAACAAAAGCTTTAGCTTCTGTAATCCTCTTCTTTATCATTCCTATGGAGCCTCCTGAGGCTGAAACTGCTGTTCACGTCATTTTTATAAACAGCCTAGATCTCTGCCCACAAATTGCATTCCAAGGGTGATGGCAGTGGTGTCAACTTAGCTCAAGGCGCAAGTGTCATGAGTCATGTTTCCCTCCCTTTGGAGACACCTGCCCAAGCAAATCCCAAGCATCCTCTGCTTGTTTTCTCATTGCACAGACGTCCTGTTACTGAGCATCCATTCAGCCAAGAGCCCTAGCTCATTAAAGCATGACTAAGAGACTATTGTGTCTGTCTGCACCTTCTGTTCTTGAAAAGCCTTCCATTTGGTGTGTAAATACTCACTGTGACACATTGCATTCAGGGCTCCATCCAAAGCCTGGTGCCTTTGACAGGGTCCTTCAGTGCCTGTAAATTTCCACTGCCTTTCCTAAAGGAAACAGCAAGGAGGCTTAGGGTCCATGACATCAAACTGATGGTCTTAGGAATGATGATCTAACCAGAATTGAAATGGCTTACACTGGCTGAGTCACCATGGACTTTCAAACAGGTATCTGAAGATACATGTTGATAAAAACCTTCATGTGGAGGCAATGAAAAGCTATACTTCAAATAAATGGCAAAAAATAAAAATAAAAACATAGCTCTGTGCATAAATATTAGAGAGAACATGCACCATTTGCTGCACCTCTTATAGCAGAGCCATGTGTGCTCCTGCCTGAGTGCAACACACATACACCATACACATAAGGACCCTTTCCCAATAGCTACCCTTCTACCTTCTCACAAGCTCAACTTCTAGCTATTTGTATGAGAAAAACAATCTCTGGGTAAATCCTCATAAGACTGACTTGGACTTAGAACTTGGGTCAGACTCATTGCCAAAGTAGAAGCCATAGCTGGGAATAAAGAGATCTGGATTCTTAAGTAGTGCCTAGTTAATGAAAGGGGCATGGGCTATTGAATTAAACAGACCTTGATTTAAATCCCCCATATGTTATTTATTAATTGTGTTAATAAGCAAGTACCTTAAAGTGTGAGTCTCACTTTCCTCTTATATATAAGGCTTCCTGAAAGCATTAACAGTGATGTATATGAACTGGCCAATACAAAGTAAGACCTCAATAAATGGTGGGCACCTTCTTTTATATGCCAGCTTGTATTCTTATTGGACAAGGTATGCAACCTCTTTGGGCCCCAATTTCTTTCTGAAAGAATCAATTCTAGTGCTCAAAGATTCAGAACTTAGTGCTTACACTTTGGGAAGGAGGACTGATGTAAAGAATCAGGATTTTCTGGACAAGTTGATGAATCTCCTCCCTCTCTTTGGTGTCCCTGAATGAGTGATAGATGGATAAAAGTCCAGTGTCCACATATGCACAGATGCTAATAAAATGAGGTGGAATGATGGTAAGGCCTTAAAGTAGAAAGTATGAAACCTCCACTCTTGTCTTGGCTTTCTCTCTTTCCCTTGCTTACTCACTCTATCTCCTTCTCTCTCTCCCTTTCTCCAAATGTCAAATGTAATCTCTGCCTTAAATTTTGTAAAATCATCAACACCCTTGTAAAACAACATACAAACATAAGTTATTATTATTAACTATGTAATCATTGTTGCAGACATACTTTTAAGTCAGTGTCTCCAATCTTCCTTGGCTGTAAACTACATTCAACTCTGTATTTTCCTAGAAAGAGGTACTTGAAGAAAAGATAATGCTCTTAGAGGGCGTTATTTAGCAAATACAGGGTAAAGGAATCATGTATTTTTTGCATTTGGGGAGTTTTCTGAAAGTTCTCTTTTCCACACCCATACTTGATTTGTATTAGACAATTTCATCTCTTACTCAGAAAAAAGGCAGGGTTTCACACTCTGCCTAATGTTGTAAAAGTTTCAAAAAAGCTTTAAAAAATGAGAGTAATTTTGTGAAGATTTTCTTGACTGCTGTTAGAAAAATTAACTTCCTACAAAGGAAACAAATGCAGCTGTACCCAAAATGGCATCATTTTAAAAACTGTGCATGTACAGGGACTCTCTTGATCCCTTATAATAGGTAAAGGATAATAGAATTGAAATGGGATTAATCAGTGTGTATATGTGTATTCTGTTTTGAGTTTATCCACTGGTATTTTTCACTTTCTTTTTTTAAGGTTATCAATCTGTCCTAAAATTGCCTTCAAAAGACATGAATTTGTCTGGCTCAAACATTGGAATTTTCATTCTTTCTCCTACTGATTTTAGTAACTACGGTAACAAACTGATGTCTTTGGCTGCCTTCAGTTCCTCACCTTATGGATATTTCCAAAAAAGGTGCTAACTTTGAGTTAGCAAGGTGCATCTCTAGAGCAACTCTGATAGTAACTAATCATGGAGTAATATCCACTAATATTCCATATTCTATTGGTTAGAAGCAAGTCCCAGGTCCCACTCATGACAGGAGGCAGGGGGTATGAGGGTGGAGTCCACCTTAGAATCTGTCCATCACAATTAGTATAGAAGGCAAAATCTTGGATGGGGTTAAAGGACCCTTCAGGAGCAATCAATACCCTTCAGGAAGGTAAGATTTGAGGTGGTGATAGAGATAATAATGTGGCCAGTCCAGGGATGCTCATACCTGGAACATCATTAAACCCATATTTTAAAAGTATTTGCTCCTTGTTTATCTAGAGAAGAAATGAAGACATTTGAGGGAAGAAAAGAAGAAAAAAAGAATGCTGAAAACAGTAGTCTAGTTTGGATATTTACTAATTTAAATAAATCCTTGCATTTAACTTCCACCTTCTAAAGAAGTAGGTCTAGTGATCATCTGCTGTTACTCAGCTATATTCTCCATGGCCTCCCCATCCTAACCCAGAAGCAGACTATAACATTATTCCTTTTAACTACAAATAATACTCATTCTAAGAGAAATTTTGGTAAATTTAATTTTCTCTCTTTCCATTTCCAGTGATACTACAGCATTGTCTAACCTATCAATTTCTAAGTAAGAGACTATATCCTTAATTGGGCTATGCTTTTATATTCATATGGCAGTCTTTAAACTCAGCAGTGTGAAAGAATTAAGGTGGGTAGTAGCCTTAAATACTATTAGTTTTTTGGTTTTTTTTTTTTTAAACACCACCTAAGACAACTTTTAGCTCCATAGGTCTAGGCTGTTTCAGTGACCCAGAAATCATGCCAAAAGAGTATTAGCTTCATTGTTAATATAGTCATAATAGTTTCCTACTTGTCTCAAATTTAAAACTACCAAGAATTTCCTTTGGTTACAAAACAAATAAATATCCCCTCATCGATATGCATAATATTGTAAAATTATAGTGTGAAAATTATCAACTTGTCTTACTTCATGGCAACAACTTTTTATGGCTCTTTCCTGGGGTTCCCACACAGGCTCTGGTTCCTGGGTCATTTCTCTCCTCCCATATAATTACCATTCCATAAGAGGGGATTATACTCACCCCTCCTTTGACTCCTTACCCTACTGCTATGTGGTATCAGCTTTAGATATTGTTGAAAAATGTTGTGATTTCAATCACAACGTTCTGATAATGACAATTTTATTAGTATGCTAAGACTTCCAGAACAATATACCGCAGACTGGGTAGCTCAAACAATAGAAATATATTTCTCACAGTTCTTGAGGCTGGAAGTCCAGGGTCAAGGTAATAACAAGTTTGGTTTCTCTTGAGACCGCTCTCGTTGGCGAGCAGATGGCCACTATCTTGCTGCGTCCTCACATGGTCTTTCACTTGTATGAGTGCACCACTAATGTCTTTCTCTCTTCTTATGAGAACACCAATCCCACTGGATCAGGGGCCCATCCTTATAATCTCATTTAACTTTCATCACCTCTTTAAAGGTCTTCAAATACAGTCATATTGGGAATTAAGCCTTCAACATATGAATTTGGTGGAAGGGGCACAGTTCAGCCCATAACAACCATCTTGCTAACAAATTTGGTAACAATTATTCAGGCTTTACTTGAATAATGCATTTTATTTCATACTCTTGACAACTCCCTTCTTAAAAAAAACTTCTAATCCCCCTCAGTTTCTACAACAGTATCCTTTCCTGGTTCTGCTTATTTTCTTGGCCACTCCTACTCATTTTCCATCCAAATTTCTCTTCTCACACCTTCCCTAATTGTTGTTAATTTCTATGCTCAGTCCCGAGCCCTGTTCTTACCTCACTTAAAATGATTTCCCTATGGAAATCACGCCACAACTTCAAACATGATCTACTTGCTACAGACACACACTCATAACTCTAGTGTAGACCTTCTCTTGTTCCTGAAATTATATGATTCACTTTGTGCTGAACATCCTGGGACACAGTAGGCATGCAATCTATACTTGTAAATTCATTCACTCATCCATTCTTTCCAAAATTATTCACTGATCACTTGCTAAATAGAAGGCACTGTTTTAAGTGCTTGGGATACATCATTAAACAGAAGAGACCAAGATCCTTGTCCATAGGGAGCTTCCATCCTGGCAGAGGTCAAGCAGTGGTCAATGAACATCCTGAATAAGTGAAGTATACAGCATGTCAGAAGGTGTAAAGTGCTATGAGTAAAGAAAAAGTAGAGCAAAAAAAGGAGGATTAAAGATGGGTCAAGGGGGAAGTTGAAGGATTAGATAGTCAGGGGAAGCTCAATGAAAACGGAATGTTTGAACAACGGTTTAAAGGAAGTGAGAAAATAAATCCAATTGTAACATAGGCATTTCAGATATAATAGGTCTAAAACCTCCTTTCAGCTCGTCTCTTCCCTGAAGTTCCCAATGTGATTGCCATTCATTCTTTTACTAGAGTGACCACATAAATTTGACCGCCAAACTGAAACACACTGGAAAATAAAAGGATGGTACTACAGGCATAATCCTGCCCAGCTCCAGACAAGCTTGAATATACAGATGCATGGGGGACTAGCTGTCACCCAAGACAGAAACTTGCGAGCCATCCTTGCTTTTTCTTTCTCCCTCATCCTTTTTTTTCCCAACTTGTCCCAATAGATCACCAAGCTTTTTGATATGACCTCTAGAATATCTCTTCTCCATTTTTACTACTGCTGTCTTACTTCAGGATCTTAGGATCTCTGACTAGGACAGACACGTGGCCTCAAAAATGCCCCACTGTGTCTCAGTCTGTTCCCTCTCAAATCACTGTCCTGAACATCAGACAGAATCTTCTTAAACACTCATATCTAATCTTGACATTCTCATTTAAATTTTCTGGAGAAAGAGGGGAAGGAAAGGTTTGGATAGAGAACATTTGCAGAGGCTGAGAAGAGCAGGCCCTGGCAGATTCAGGCACCCTCCCTGCTCTGCTGATGCAGAAGCCAACACAGCCTGTGGGTTCCTGCTGCAATCTAGACTGGTGAATACCTTCCCTGAAAGGTAAGAACATGGGGGGAATCAGCCACTTATCTCCAAAATCCACAATTTCCGCAGTTCCAGGTCCAAAACTCAGTGTCTCACTAAGATTAAATGGCCATTATTGTTCTTAAGATTTGGGAAATTAAAAATATATCAGATCTCTCTGTATTTCCTATTTCAGCCCAAATGAATCCAATTAGATTTCACTGCAAACTATAAAATACTCTAGGCCTATTTCCTCTTTAAATTGATTATAAATGTTGATGCTTGTAAGTATAAGTGCAAATTAATCTAGGGAATTCCACGAAATTTTATTTCTTAATTAAGTAATTTAAACTAAATTACTTAACTGAAATGACTACTCTGGCTCCTAAGATTGTTCAAGGTCAGACAAATGTAATCAAATATAATTTAGTTATTTTTCATTTGCCATAACCCTTTTCATCAAACTCATTTCACTGCTTTGGACTTGATAGAAAGAAGAATTTGCACTCTTGAACTCTCCAGAGACTGGGATTAAGATTATGGGAGGCAAGACGAGGTGACAACATTCAGGTCAATTGGAGAAGTTTCTGGAAAACAGAAATGTGGTCTCTATTACACTGAAAAAGAGGCAGGGTGTTAGACTGCCCAGAAATTAAACTTTCTGCTGGTATACGTGTGGCATTGCTCCAGTGAGCACAATCCATTTGGCCAGCCAGATGGACCAGTCCTGGCAGCTTTTCAGTCTCATGCACAAAACATTTCAGCCTGGGAAAGAAAAAAATCCCCAAACAAAAATATAAATAGAGAAGATTCAGCATTGTGGCGAAACAATGGGGAAGACTCATGGTCTCACAAATGAGGTTTCTACAACATTGTCTGTGCATTTCACACATTCTGTTTCTTTTTTTCTTGATTTTTAATAGCTTATTTATCATAGGTGAAGGATGAGATTACTTATCTGAGGCTCCATGCTTTTGGCAGAAAACCTTTATAATGCTCAGTTACTCTCACCTAGAGGGAAGAAGGCAATTTCTAGCCTCTTTCTGTGGAAATATACTAAATAACAGCAACAAAGAACATTGATAATAATCTAAACTGAAAACAATTATTTGAAGATGCAAACTTTTTTACTGTCAACTATCAAAGAGACTCAGGCTAAAAGGATGAACTCACCAAAGATATTATTATTTTTTTCTTATTTAGGAAGACTTAGCCTTTCTTCACTTTCTAACACCATTGAGTCCAATTCAAGTTCCCCATTAGCTTGAATGATAATTATCTTCTGTCAGTCAAGATCTGCATCTGAGTTGAAGTCCATTGATCATCCTTCAGCTGAACTGCCGTGCCTACTCAATAATCATGGCCAGTTTCAATTTCTGAAGTCAAATGCTTACATAAGGAAATGGCATCACTGTAGTCTAACCATGTTTCTTCCTTCCTCACCTGGAGTTCTCTGAGGGAGGGAGAGAGAGAAAGAAATCCATTTTAAACAGTCATCTCAATTTATACTTTTCATAATTATGAACTTTTGAATTTATTCTAAATGTATATTTTAACTCACTAATCAATGGTTTACTGGGGAGAGGGTTAGAAGGTATGAAGTAAGTGAGGAAATGTCGATGTCTTTTACTTACTGAATAGTTTAATCAAACACATTTTATTTTTTGTCTTTAGGTGTATAAATTCAGCCAAAGCTTAAAATATGGTCTTTTCTCCCCTCCTTCCTCCTTTTCCTTCCTTCCTTTCTTCTTTTTGTGTGCCCTTTCTTCTTGCAAAGATTTATTTAGTTCCTACTTTATGCCAGGTACATGCTGGGGAATCTCTGTGACTTACCAATAAAATAAAGCATTTTTGGTGAATTCCAGGTATTATACACAAACTGTCTACATTGCCATTCGCCAATCTTCAAGTTCCTCCATTATTTGCGTATTGATGGGATATCAAGTTTCAGATCAAATATCACAAATAAAAGCTCACAGGTGGAATAATCTCCAATTTTAGATTTTGTTTTGTTTTTAGTTATGGTTGGACCATACTTAGTCTGGCTTGTTTGGAGAACTAGATTCCTTAACCCAATCTCAACAATTCATTCAGAAATATTGGAATTATTTTTTAATTTCAGATGAAGGATAATATAATTTTCTTTTTGTAATATTGTAAAACATATATTTGGTGTTCAATCCTCTTTCCTGGCATACAACTTCTGAAATCCTTAGAAACTCCAAAGTGATGTCTTCTGGTATGCTAATGAGTTGACTGATAATTGACAGCCCCTAGCTGCTTCAGGATGGGGCTGATCCCAGGAAAGACCAAAGCAGAATTAAAGGATTGGAACTTTAATCCCCACTACCAACAACTGGGGAGGAAAGCGGGGTTGAAGGTTAAGTTGATCGCCAGTGGCCAATAGTTGAATCAATTATCCCTATGTAATAAAGCTTCCATAAATACTCAAAAGGACTAGTTTCAGAGAGCTCCTGAATAGCTGAACATATGGAGGCTTACAGGAAGGTGAGCAAGAACTCAAACATGTGCTGGGAGGATGGCACACCCCAACTACACAGGGACAGAAGCTCCTGTGCTTGGGACACTTCCAGACTTTGCCATATGTATCTCCTCATCTGGCTACTTATTTATATCCTTTAAAATATCCTTTGTAATAAACTAATAAATGAGAGTAAGTGTTTCCCTGAGGTTTGTGAGCTACTCCAGCAAATGTAATCATAACCAAGGAGACAGTTGTGAATTTATAGCTGGTCAGTCAGAAGCACAGGAAAAATAACGTGGGGCTTGGGATTGTCATTGGAAGTGAGAAGTAGTCTTGTGGACTGAGCACCCACCTTGTGGGATCTGATGCTAGCCCCAGGTAGATAGTGCTGGAAATTAATTAAGAAAACCCAGCTGGCGTCTGCTGCAGGTTGATTGCTTGCTTGTTGGTGGGGAGAACCCCCCCACACATTTGGTCACAGAAGTCTTCTGTGTTGATTATTGTTGTGATATGAGAACAGAGGAAAAACAGTTTGAGTTTTTTCCCCCATGACTGTCCTTTTGTACGAACTGCCTTTTCAGAAGCAATCCATTCGTTCACATTTTTCTGTCACTTCTGCAACCAGTCCTTTGCCACCATGGGCTCAAGTTCCTGATAAAATTCTCAGAATCCAAGGGAATGTTAAAGTCTCTTTGAGGGGTTATTTCTTTAATTATGTTTTCCACCATAATATGAGCTCTATATGTTTCTCATCTTGCTCTCTCGTAAAGCCTCTGTGAAACAAATCTGGAGTATGAGACTAGAATTCTTCAGGCTCAGCCCTTGACACACTTATCCCTTGGCGGATGAGAAAGCCTGCTGTCATCAGGCCCTCAGCATGTTTGCAAAGTGAACATAGTTTTACCATATTCCATTACCTGGTACCTTTCTTTCCCAAGTGCCGTTTGCTGGCCAAAGCTCGCCACTTTGATAAATCCTAGATTATTTCAAGAATTTCACGCTTCAAAATGATCCCACTCCAAGTCTTTAGTAACCATTATTATTATTTCTTATCAATAATAATTACTATTGATCAAAAACAATCATGAAAGAAGCTGATCTCAGCTTTTTAGGAATAATACAATCGCATTATAGTAATTTATTTCTAAGTTAGAAATGATCGCTAAACCTAATAAATACAAGTTCTTATTGAGTTATATTGGGATAATTGTAGCTTTCCATGAAGTCATAAGGAATAATACAGAGAGAGCTCATGTACCATTTACCCAGTCTTACCCTTACATTTTGTAATAGCAAAATCCACAATCAGAATATTGACACTGATATAACTCACCAGTCTCAGAGTTCTCTAGTTTTACATGTACACACTTTTGTGCGTGCGTATTTACTTCTATACGGTTTTATCACATATGCAGTATGTGTATACAGATTGGAAAAAGACAATCCCAAAAGGTTACACACTGTACAATTCCATTCATATTCTATTCATATAACATTTTTGAAATGGCAAAGTTACAGAAATGGAGAACAGACAGTGGTTGCTGGGGTTTACAGATGGGGAAAGGGAAATAAGAAGGTGTGGCTTTCCTTGAGTACCCTTTTTCCACTCCATATAATTTTTGTGAGATTCATCCAAGTTGTTTATATCCGTGGTTCAGTGGGTTTTTTTCCTTTTTTTTTTTTTTTTTTCCTGACTAGTGTTCCACAGTATGGTTATGCCACAGTTTGTTTAACCATTAACCCATTGAAAAACATCTGGGCAGACTCCAGATTTTGGCTAATACAAATAAAATTCCTGTGAACATTCGTGTACAGGTTTTTGTGTGAACAAATGTTCTCATTTGTCTGGAATAAATACCCAGGAATGCAAACGATGGTACATACAGTAATTGCATACTTAGTTTTATAAGAAACTGCCTCTTTTCCAGAATGGCTGTGCCATTTCACATCTATACCAGCAATATATGAACAATCTAGTTTCTCTGCATCCTTGTCAGCATGTGGTATCATCACTATTTATTATTTTAGCCATTCTGGTAAGTGGATAATAATATTTCATTGTGGTTTTAATTTGCATTTCCCTAATGACTAATAATGTTGAACCTTTTTTGTGTAGTTATTTGCCATTTGTATAGCTTCTTCAGTGAAATCTCTTCATGTTTCTTACTCATTTTTTAATTGAATTATTTGTTTTTTACTGTTGAGTTTTCATGGTTTTTTATATAGCCTAAAAACTAGTCCTTTGTCATAATGGATTTTGCAATGGTTTTCCTTAGTCTGTAGCTTGTCTTTTTTGTCTCTTCATATGAGTTTTCACAGAGCAAAAGTTAATTTTGGAGATGTTCAATAATTTATCAATTATAATTTATAATTTATAAAAAATAATTATCAATTTTTCCTTTCATGAATTGTGCTTTTTATGTCAAGCTACAAATATTTTAAAGAAGGTTTCATTAGTCAAAAAGCAACTTTAGGAATTGATAAATTATAGTATATTCACACAATGGAATATTACACAGTAATGAGAACAATTAATTTCACAACAGGCAAAAGTATGAATGAGTCTCATAAATAGAATGTTGATCAAAGAAACCAGACACAAAAGAGTACATACTATACAATTCCATTTACATAATGTCTTAAAAGTATCAAATTATGGTGCCAACTTTTAGAAGAGAGATTACCCTTCTGAGGTGAATAATGGGGTGCCAAGTAGCAGGAGAGGGTGTCTGGAATGCTGAGGTTGCTCTATTTTCAATCTGGGTGAAAATTACATGAGTGTAATCAGTTTATGAAAATGCATCAAGCTATACACTAATGATATGTATACTGTATACAGGTTGTATTTCAGTTTAAAAAAATAAAACCACACAGAAAGTATCTTTTATAAGTAAGGGCAGTGCCATCCCCCACAATTAAAGAAGAGTGATATCCCACACATGACAAACCTTCTGAAATTTTGCCTCCATCACTATTTGTTGCAGGAGCATCTCTAGCAAATATAAAATGATTCTACCTAAATATTGTTGAACTGTCCACAAGGCAGTTGGTTTTATTTGGGTTATGCAGTTTTAGCTCTAATTTGTGATGAGATTAAGAGAAACCTTAAGGTCGCCTAGCTGGAAGTCCAATACTCTGCAGACACATGCATTGTTTCTTTTGCAAAGCTCTTTGGCCCTTCAAGAGCTAATTTAAATAATCAATTTTATTGATGTATAATTTACGTGTAATTAAATGCACCCATCCATTTTAAGTATATGGTTCAATGGATTTTGACAAATGTATACAATTGTGTAATCATCACCACCACAATCAAGATACAGAAAATTTTCATTACTCTTCAGAAGCTCCTTGTGTCTCTTGAAGTCAATCCCCCATCCACTTCCCCTCCTGACCTAAGGCAACCATTGATATGCTTTCTGTTGCTATGGATTAGTTTCAATGCAGAACTATAGGTCTAGAATATCATACAAATTAAATCATGCACTGTGTCCTTTTATTTCTGGCTTCTTTCAGTCATTATCTATGTTTTTAATATCCATCCATGTTCTTGCCTTTCTTTTCTTACCACAATTTTTTATGCATTCACTCATTGATAGATGTATGACTTGTTTCTATTTTTTTGTTTTGTTTTATTACTTAAGTAAATCTGTTATGAGCTTATATGTATAAATCTTTATGTGGATACATCAGGATTCTTTGGCAAGAAGAAATAGAAAAGGAATATTCCAGGACCATAAGTTCAGATGCCATAGGGAAGTGGCAGGTAACACAAATAAGTGAAGCAGATTAGGTATAAGATAAAAGGTATGATGAGGACTATAGCAACTTGCCGCAAATCCAGTTTTTAACTCTTAACTTATGGAAATAATGTGAAGAAAGCTGAAGTGATTACACACAACCCCCTCAAAACAAAAAGTACTATAGATCAACTAATTCTTTGGATCAGATAACAAGCAACTCTTTCCAGAACTTTTACATCCCATAGGCTACAGTATCATTAAGAAAGAATAATTAAGAAAATAGGACAGGCAAGATGGCTCACACCTGTAATCTCAACAATGTGGGAGGCTGAGGCAGGAAGATCACTTGAGGAGGCTGAGGCAAGAGGATCACTCGAAACAGGAGTTTGAGACCAGCCTAAGCAACATAGAGAGACCCACCTCTACAAAAAATAAAATAACCAAGAGTGTTGATGCATGCCTATAGTACCACTACTCCAACTACTCTGCAGTCTAAGATGAGAGGATCACTTGAGCCCAGGAATTAGAGGTTGCAGTGAGCCACAATCACATGACTGCAGTCTGGCTTGAGTGACTATGAGCCCTGCCTCAAAAAAAAAAAAAAAAAGAGAGAGAGAGAAAGAAACTTGGTTTTAGGGAGCTTCAGCTTTGAATTCATGATCTACAGCTACTAACTGTGTAAGCATGTTTCTTCACCTTTTTGAACCTTTTTTTCTTAACAAAGGAAGAATAATAATATTATTCACTTCATAGCACACAGGCAAAGCAGCATATCTGGAATTCTAAACATTCTAAAGTTATAGCATAAACTACAATTTTATTGCTCGTCTTCCACATGCCAGGCCTTGAGTGAGGCCTCTTTACTCTCCTCATCTCATTCTATTAAATCCTCACACCATTTGCTACACAAGAAACTGAGGCCAAGAGAGAGTGAAAGCCCTGTAATGAGAGTGGAAATCAAGAAGCACTTGCTCTGGCTGGATTTTTCCAGGCTTCCTCAAAATATATGAGATAACAGCATAACATTTTTTTTCTTCAACTTTTATTTTAAGTTTATGGGTACATGTGCAGGCTGTGCAGGTTTATTACATAGGTAAACGTGTGCCATGGTGGTTTGCTGCGCAGATCATCCCACCATCTATGTATTAAGCCCAGCATGCATTGGCTAATTTTCCTGATGCTCTCCCTTCCTGCAACCCCACTGACAGGTCCCAGTGTGTATTGTTTCCCGCCATGTGTCCATGTGTTCCCACCATTCAGCCACCACTTACAAGTGAGAAGTTCATGTGGTGTTTGGTTTTCTGTCCCTGAGTTAGTTTGCTAAGGATAATGGCTTCCAGCTTCATCCATTTCCCTGCAAAGGATATAAACATGTTCCTTTTATGGCTGCATAGTATTCCATGGTGTATATGTACCACATTTTCTTTATCTAGTCTATCATTGATGGCCATTTAGGTTGATTCTGTATCTTTGCTATTGTGAATAGTGCTGCAATGAACATATGTGTGCATGTATCCTTATAATAGAATGATTTATACTCCTTTGGGTATATACTCAGTAATAGGATTGGTGGGTCAAATGGTATTTCTACCTCTAGGTCTTTGAGGAATTGCCACACTGTCTTCCACAGTGGTTGAACTAATTTACACTCCCACCAACAGTGTAAAAGCATTCCTTTTTCTCTGCAACTTCACCAGCATATGTTGTTTTTTGACTTTTTAATAATAGCCATTCTGACTGGCATGAGATGGTATCTCGTTGTGGTTTTGAGTTGCATTTTTCTAATAATGAGTAATGTTGAGCTTTTTTTCATATGTTTATTGGCCACATAAATGTCTTCTCTGAGAGTGTCTGTTCATGTCTTTGGCCTACTTTTTAATGGGGCAGTGTGTTTTTTTCTTGTAAATTTGTTTAAGTTCCTTGTAGACTCTGGATATTAGATCTTTGTCAGATGTATAGATTGCAAAAATTTTCTCCCATTTTGTAGGCTGTCTGTTCACTCTGATCATAGTTTCTTTTGCCGTGCAGAAGCTTTTTAGTTTAATTAGACCCCATTTCTCAATTTTAAGCATAATAATTTTTATTGACCTTAGACCTTAGACATATCTCTACATTTGCCAAGGACTGGGTACATTTGCTGGTAAGCCCACTTCTTCGCAACCATTTCAGTTTCTGTCACTTGGCTGATACTCCGTAAAAGTTCCTGCAGGCAGAGCTTTTCTGAAAACTTCTCTTCGGCAAACTCTATACTGTCAAAAGTGAATCTCCTTCACTGGACTGTAAGCTATTTCCCCAGGACCTTGTACAGTGCCTGGCACATAGTAGGAAGAAATCATTTAGATGAAGCACAATTTGAACATAGTTCTCCTCACATTGAATTTAGCAACCAGAATCTTTAGATAAAGAAAAGTGTTCACTTCTTAATTTTATTTTGTATATCACTATAATCTTTTTAGTATCTTTAGTAGCTGAAACAACCACTCGGGTGGTTTTAGATGACTTTGTGACCAAATATTTGTAACATCAACTCACTTATTTTTAAAATGATATTACTACCCCTCATTAGATCTCTGTTATTTCTTTGTTTATAAAATGAGGGTGTGGATCAAATGATTTATCAGATCCTTTGCATCTTAAATTCTCTATAATTCAAATAGCACCCACTGGTTCCTCTTATCTCTAATAATTCTGGGGTAACCTGGCACACTTTTCTTATGCAGTTTCCCTTAGAGCAATGGACTAGCAACATCAACAACAACCAGAAACTTGTAAGAAGCACAAATTCTTAGAATTCACTCCATCTCCACAGTCTATTCTAAGGAGTGTTAAGTTTAAGAACTGGCCCCTGCTTCAAGAGATGACATCATTCCTCTCCCTTCAGTCTGAGTCCTTTTTTCAAACATCAACACTGGCTCCAACACTGCAGCAGCTGCCAGCAAACACCTCCCTGTGTTCTTCAGAGAGGAGAGCATCTGGAGAGTTCTTTACATTCTACTTGTCCTGCCTTTATGACCCAACACAATGTCTTTGTCAGCCTCATTAAAGAATTATAAGGTTAATTTTACTTCCCCCCAAATACATAACCTCTTTCCAAAATGGAGTGTCAGTTGATAAGCAAAGGCTGCCTGGCTAAGGAAAAAATGGAGAGAGGGTGTTTGTTGTATGCGTGTGTAGTGAAGGATCAAATCAGAGACTAAAAGTCAAGCAAAGCTACTGTGCAGGCATCACATTCATGAAGAAGCTTAAACTTAGAACTTTGACATAATTTTTAAATCACTTTGTATAAACTCACAGAAGTACACTGTCAAAATTGAAAGATGGCCATCATTTCTCTTGTGTCTCATACTGGATCACACTGCCTGTAGTGTATTGTGAATTATTTAAAAAATTAAAATTTACCTCATAGACAACATAATTGTATTGCAGTGGGTTTTCATAAAGGTGTTTAATCTGTTAGTCTATTAAATTCTTGGGGCCCATTTTTGCAATTATTCACTGTAATTGACCAGGATCCTCAATATATTGACTTGCCCTGTCCACTCTGAGGGGCTCTGGGGAGATACTTAGGATGCTCTATGTGTAAGGGCCCAACATTAGGCCCCAGATGGATACAATTCAACCTATGCTAATAACTTCCCCCATAAAACTAAACTCCATGAAGCATTCAAGGCACTTCCTAATTTTGTGTCTTGTTTAATTCTCTTCAAAAGTCAACAAACATTCCCCAAATTCTCACTGTTGCCAGACCGTGTATTAATGCTGAGGAAACAAAAATGAAAATGACAGACTGTATTCTCAAAATGCTCACAGACTGCCAGGGAAAAAGACTTGACCAATAGGCACAATTTATTATAATAAATACCGTAAGGGTAGTATGTACACAATACAGAAATTCACTTTAATTAGGGAAGAGAAAGCTTGCTGAAAAAGACATGCCCCAAGTAATGGTTCTGGCACATTGCCATTACACTTTGCAGCACAGGGACAGTTCTGGCAGAAGCCAAGGTGTCTGAAATCAGAGCTATTGCAAGGAGCCACAACAAGTAGCTGGGTTTTGCTGCAGGCTAAAGGGAGTGAAGGGGGAGTGGGAGCAGATGAGCCCACCTCTGCCTCATGGGTTTCTTAAATCTCTAAACTGCTCATTCACTCCAACACCTATTCCACATTTGTTGACAGCTTTATGGCCAAGAAAATCCAGGATACTGAACACAGGGACTTGTTAAGCTCCACCCTGCAGGTCTGCCGGGGCACCCAGAAGCTGGCACCCAGGCTACTCAACAGCCTGGAGGCTGACACCAAGCTCCGAGTTCTCCTGCCTGGAAGGTGTAGAAGACCGAAAAATATTAAAAAAAAAAAAAAAAAAAAAGTTCTGCGTTAGTGCAAACAGATCCGTATATCAGCAGAGAGTTATCAAGGTTAATGAGAAAAATTATCTCATCGGAACAACCCCCAGTTGGAGGCACCGGCGCCGAGCTGCAGCCTCTCTAATCTGGGAGAGCTGGGTCTCCCGTGCAAAGCGATCCATCAAAGTCACTTGCTGGCCTTCCCGCCTTCCCCAGGAACATGGCCCCCTTCCTCTGGCTGGGAAGGAAAGCAGGCAGCAGTGAGGGGAAGGGTCCCTGCAGTGGGCAGCAGAGCACAAGGGGACACCAGGTACACAGAGAAGCAGAAAAGGAAACAGGGGCCGTGCCCCAAACCTCCTGGCTGTGAAGAAGCCAAGAACTGAGGATGCCCAAGCAGGTGCCAGAGGAAGGAGAAAAATGTGTGCCTTACACACACACACCCGCACTCTACAGCACACCACACATACACACAACATGGGCATATACTGTACACTCACCCACCCACCTGTGCGCACACACACACACCCGCACTCTACAGCACACCACACATACACACAACATGGGCATATACTGTACACTCACCCACCCACCTGTGCACACACACACACACACACTCTATAGCACACCACACATACACACAACATGGGTATATACTGTACACTCACCCACCTACCTGCGCGCACACACACACACTCTATAGCACACCACCCATATACACAACATGGGTATATACTGTACACCCACACAAAGGTGCACACAGTACACACATATGCACACACAGTCATGCTCTGCGTCCTGCTGTCATTTGTTTTTAATCTCTCGTCCTTTACGGAAAGTAACTCTTTAGCCAGACACATTTTCATAAACACTTGTCCTTATGGTTCCTTTAGCAAGAGCATGGAATCTCCACCTGCTGCCCATCCTGCGGGAAGAGATTTTTTTTGTTTGGTGGTGTTGGTTTAGTTTTGCTTTGTTCTGGGGAAGGCAGGAGGCAATAAACAAGTAGAGGGGAAGTCACAGCTTTTGCAGAACCATCCAACATGCGGCACAGTGTGCCAGACCCGGGGCTGTTCAAGGTTCCCACCTCCCTCATCGCCCACCTAGGTTCGCGTCCTTGCATTACCTCCTTCTGGGAACTGCAAGCCTATCACCGGCAGGGGCCATGCCCCCGACCCCGACCCCGACCCCTTCTAGCCATGCCTCCCAGATTCCAAGCCTCTTCCACTCATTCTCAAGCCCCACCTCCTGGAGGAAGCTTTTAGCCTTCAATGATCTTCCCCCACTGGGGCGTCCTGTATTTAAGTTAGAGTAACTTCACGACTCTCCAGTAAAACACAGTTTAGCCAGTGATTTATATTGACTTAGATTCTCACTAGATTTCAAGCACGTCAGTCTTGACGTGTTGAGCCAGTTTGTAAGCGACTGCAGGGCGTAATCAGCTTTCCAACGCATTCTGGCATGCTCCTTCAATTCCTGGTGGAATGGGGAGGCAGGTTGGGATTCTAATCCTAAAGCACGGCCAATAGATTTTATTATACATACATACATATGTATATATATACATACATACATACATACAGCGGCTTCATTTAAGAAGCTACCTGTTTTTCTAAATATTCTGTTTCCAAGCATTTGCTAAGAACTTTTGAAGATGGTTTAGACTTACAAATTGTTCTGCAAGCACAGAATATAGTTGTCGTAATCTTCAGTGGTGAAGCCATTAGGAATGGGAGACAGAAGAAAAGTCTAGAAGGGATGATCCTTATACCTGAAGCTGAGAGATAAACATTCTCTTCAAAGTTTCTAGGTGACTTGGTAAAATTAAACAACTCCTAGAATTCCTAGGCAAATTAGCTGTCCAGTATGATCAAAGCATAGTGCAATTCATCCATTCTTCAGGTATTTATGGATTGCTTGTTATCTATGTTTTGGACTCTAGGCACTGGACATATAACGCTGAACAAGATAATTATGGGACTTGAACTCTAGAATTGCAAATGCTGATCAACACTATGAAGGGACTGCAGCATTGAGATGACAAGGGGGAGGTAAGTGGGGAATGGGGAAGGTGTGGTGAGAATTGATTTAGACAGAGTGACTGAAGAAGGTGAGGACATTCAAATTAAGACCTAAAGAACAAGAAGCAGGCTGACCTCAGAGAGTAGAGAAAGGCAGTTTGTCAAGTGGAAGAGTTGTTTTATTCAGATCTGTAGCCACTTGTTATTTAGGGCAGCTGCCCAAACAATGAGAATCCTGGGTCATGATTATAACAGCGAACTAGCATTTTTTGTTCATCTACAAAATGCCATCCTTAGAATATCACTCCAGGCAAGCTTATCACAAATGAGGAAATGGAGACTCCTAGAGGTAAAGGGAGGGAGTGTAGATTCAGCCTGAGCCTAAAGGCCTCTAGATGTGTGTTTCTTGCTCCTTGCTAATCATACATAGGTAAGTGAGCATGGCTCAGGGCCACCTAACTCCAGACTCTGAAAAACTGTTCAATGGGTATGTCTTACTGATGCCATGTCTGCAAATCAGATCTTAAACACATCACAACTATTCTACTTGTAAAAATCAGAGATATACATAAAGTAACTTTAGGAGTAGGAAAGGGTCAAAGAATTAAGCAAATAATCCAAGAAGTCCAGAATGGCTGCCTTGGAGCTTACTGCTATGTATCATGTATTAATGTTTACTGGAACCTGTCTTGATAGACAATAGACAGTCATTACTGGTTCTTGTCTTTTCTTCCTTCATTCCACAGACATTTTTTGAGAACATGTTATATGCCAGACACCATGGTAGGAGCTCAGGATACAGATAAATACCATGTTGACATCCTAGAATTTACCAATATTATTTTGTTGAACAGAGGAGACACATAAGAAAGGGTGAGATAGAAGTCACCGAAGGATTCTGTAGGGCATCCAGTGCAGCCTGGGAGGAGGAAGTGTTAGAGAGAGTGTCAGTGAAGGCTCCTTGGAGCAGGTGATGTCTGAGCTGAATCTCTGAAGCATCAGTACGAATTAGTTAGGTGAAAGCTAGAGGTGATGAGGATAGTCCAGAAAGAAATAGCACTGAACATCATGGCAATTGCTAGGTGGCCAATACGACTGCCCCTACAGTGTGGGGCATGAGGATAAACACAACAGCTGCAGTTTCAAACCTAACCAAAGACCAGGCCATGAAAAGCTTTCTGTCCTGCCGTAACAAGTTTGAGCTGTACTGAGGACTAAGGAAAATCACTGCAACTAGATAAGCATTGTTTTTACAGTACTCCCTCTGACAACTGTGTGAAGAATGAATTCGAGGGAGGCCAGGTTAGAGGCAGGATGGGGATGAGGTGCCTGCTGTGTGCCAGGCACTGTCCTAGCTACAGAACTCTCACTATGAACAAGACCAAGATGGAGTGAACCAGGTACTTGGAGAGATAAAGTTTCCCTGACAGATCGCCTTTGATCTGCATGACCAGGAATGGGCTCTCTGTGCTGCCCAGCAATCAGGCTGCATGGCCATTCACTCCTCCACCTTCCAGATATTTATCACCCCTCTTCTTCCCTCAAACTGCCTCTTCCTCCCCAACCTCATACTTAGTGGTTGACCTTGCTTCCTACTTTACTGAGGAAATGGAAGCAACCAGAGGGAACCTCCACAGACCCTCAACACCACATCTACCACTTTCAGAGCCTGCATGTCCTGGACCCCCTACCAGACATCAGCAGTGAGCTTCCTGTGCACCTGCTAAAAGCATCTCTCCACGTGGGCACTAGATGCCATTCCCTCTCGCCTGCTCCAAGCAATTCTCCCTGCCTCTTGCAAGACATTTTTCTTTTCCCATGGATTATTCCCATCAGCATACACATATGCTCTCATTCTTCCCATCCTAAAAATCTTTCTCTTGACTCGTTTTTCCCACCAGCTACTGTCATGTTTTTCTGTTCTCTTTGTTGGACATCTCACAAGAGTTGTCCATACTCACTGCCCCAATTTTTCTTCTCCCATTTATTTTTGTAAACCTACTTTCATCATGCTTTAGGCCCCTCTGTTCCACAGAAGTTATTCATCTAAATCCAACGGACAATTCTTAGTCCTCATGTTAAGTGACCTATTTATTATCAACATAATACAGTTGCATAAATCCTCTTCTTAAATATCTTTGCTTGATCTTGGTTCCAAGGCACATATTTTCTTTAGCTATGTTTGCTTTATCTATCTATGCTTTTCTCTATCTCACTGGTCATTTCTTTTTCTGTTTTTGAGAGAATTTCAGATTTTTTCCACGACTCTCTATGTTAGAAAGCCTTAGGGTACCACTCTTGATTCTCTTCTCTCTCTACAGTTGTAACATCTATATGTCAACACCTCAAATATGTATGTGTATATATATATATACACACACACATATATATATGAATAAAAATCTCACCCATTCCTTCAAATTCCAGCCTCACATATGCAACTGCTTCCTTAATGCCGCCTCCGCTAGAACATCTAATAGAAACCTCAAACTTCACATGTCCAAAACTGAACTCCTGGTCTTACCTTACAAAACCTGCTCTATTGGCAGCCTTGTCCATCTCCAGGGATAGCAACTTCACTGCTTCTAGTTGTTCAGACCAAAACTCTTGGGGACTACCTTAGCTTACCTCTGTCTTATATGTCCCACATTCAATCCTTAAGCAAATCTTATTCTACTGTCATGAGGTAGCTAAACTTCTTCTACTTCTGGCCGCCTTCACTGCTGCTACTTGACCAGAGAGCCATCATCACCTATTTCAAAAACCTCCTGACAGGTCTCTCTGCTTTCATTCTTACTCCCTAAAAATCTGTACTCAGTAATAGAACAATCCTCTTGAAACATGAATATCACTCTTTGCTTAAAAAAAAAATCCTCAGTAACAGCAAAGGTACCTGAAATACCTACCTTGCCTTTCCCTTCACCTTTTAAACCTCAATCTACTTTCTCTCCTTTGCTCACTCTGCTTCTGCCATTCTGGCCTTCTTACTGGTTGGTGGGTCTTCAAACTCTTCAGGTATACTTTCTCCTTAGGTTCTTTCTATTGAGCATTTCTGTTTTTCTTCCAAATTTCTCCTCTCTATATTCCCCCACCTCATATAAGTCTTTGCCCAAATGTCACCTTTTTTTGGAAAGGCCTAGTTTGAGCATCCTATCTTAAATGGTAACCCCTGACCCCACCAACTGTCGTGGTGCTCCTTACCCTGTTCTATTCCATAGCACTTGCCACATTTTAATTTACAATATAATAAGGTATTCGCTTATTATATTTTATGTTTGTTATTGCTCTCTGCCAACGAGTATATAGGCTCCTCAAGAGGAGAGAGTAGAGATCCTCAAGAACACATTTGGTTCCCCTGTGTGTCTCATCTACCTAAAACAGAGTCTGCCTACAACAGCATTTAATGAATATTTGCTGACTGAACGAATTTCAGGTAACAAGTCTTAAGAAGAAACTGAAGAACGTGGGCCAAATACAGGACAGTGTCAATGCAGAAAAGGGACAAGATATAAGAAATTTAAAAAGGTAAAAAAGGTAAAATTAAAATACCTCTTTGAGTGGATTCAGTGACAGAAGACAGGAGTAAAGGGTCATTCCTGGGAAGTGTGTCTGCTTAAGCCTAGATAAGCAGGCAGGTAACACAGTTTAAGGAAGATGTGGGGAAAACAGCTTAGATGAGATCAAGAACTTCTTCTACATCAGTGTTTGGGGTGCAGCAAGGATGGGAGGCTGCAAAGATAATTTGGTAAGTGTTAAGACCAGAGTGGCTAGGAAAAAAAAAAAAAACTTTAAGGAGACCCTTAGGAAGGCATCTGTTTTCTGTGACAAAGGAAGAAATGCATTGAAAGGCAATCATTGGGTGTGAAGCAGAATGCTGAGCAGAGAGAGGTCTTGAGGAAATTAATGTAGGCATGGGGAAAGATAAGATGCTGATGGGAAAGTTCAGGCTTATGTACAGCGTCAGGCGCTCAGCAGAGGATGAAGGTCCTGTATTAGTGATAATTCCTGGGGCGCCTTTCAATGGCAGGCTGGGAGAGAAGCAGAGAAAGCAAATAGCTGAGCTCTTCCAGCATCAGATTTCTGTAAGGAGAGGACTTCAGAAGGCTAAGGGGCAAAAGAGGTGAAAAGGAGTGGGATGTTTGAATGTGGGTCATGATATATTGGTTGAATAGGAAAGAACTGATCCTAAACTTTCTAAATTTATTTTTCCTCTTCTTCTTGTAGTCAGTTAAACTTTAGCATACAAAAAGCAGTTAGCAAAATACAACAAAGGCACAACAGGGAGCCTGGCTTATTTTTTCTGTAGGTATTCAAATTTACCTATCTCAAAATACATAACTAAAAAGCACTTTAGATGTTTTCTTAACACTGAACTGTGAATAGTTATAAAACATCATAAATATTCGTTTACATTGCAATCTGCTCACAGAAAAGAGATGAATTTAGTTGCAATAAAATTAAATCGACCAAGCATTGAAATCTAATGGGAATCTTTTGTTCATTTATGTTGCATTGCTAAGGATTCAGGCTCATATTTATTCTTTAACAATAAATATTTCACTTTTTCTTAAATTTATGATCAGTTGAGTTGCATTTATTATTAGCCTCACATGACTGATAAGACTCTGGACAGTATTGTTTATTTGCCTTTTATTGTTAAACTTTCTATTGTTAATTTTTATAACTTGTACAAAGTGTGGAACAATTTTTGATATTTTTGATTTATATGGGGTGTCAATCTTCTGGAACTGTTTCTGAGTTTCTCATTCCATTAAATATAAGGTAGTATGATAAAGGAAAAACTAGGATTCTAAAAGAGCTTCACAGCAACTATACCTGAACTTTCTTAAAATGTTAGTTAAAACAAAAGTGCTATTGGCAAAAGCTAGTCAGCCTCCCTCCCTATCTAATGAATGGAATAACTCAAGGAACAGATGTATTTTTGTATCACATAGTTATCATATAAATCTGCTTTATATCATGATCTTGCTCTAGTTGATGCTATGGTATTCCTCACCATTCTGTCCACATAAATACTACTTATTTGAGCAACTGGTCAGTTTAAGTTCCACTTCCTCTGATTGCCTTCCAGTAGAATATACACCAATCACATATTATGAGCTATTCTAGACCCCACAGCTCAGAATGATCTGAACTCAGCATTCTTCAATTTCTTCTCACACTATTCTCTCCCTTAGACACCATGATCCAGTCTCACTGGCTTTCTTATTAGCTCTTTTCTGCCTCAGGGCCTTTCTTACATGCTCTCTCCTTTGATAGAAACCCTCCTTCTCAGATCTTCCCATGGCTGCCTTCTCATCATTTAAAACTCTGCTCAAGTGTCACCTCCTCCTGGAAGTCTTCCCTGACTACTCTAATAAAGCTCCTGTTCCTGTCACTCCACAAATGCTGATTCTCTAACAAGCCACTCTGTTTTCTTCTTGGCACTTATCAAGTCTGGAAATTATATTGTTTATTTTTGTATTTGCTTTTGGTCTATCTTCTTTCATCCTTAGTGTTATATTCCAAAAGAAGTAAAACATCTCATTCTTCTTCACCAGAGTATTCGTGTGCCCAGACAAGACCCTACCACATATTAGCTACTCCAAAAATACATTACCTTATATTTAATGGTACAAGGAACTCAGGAACAGTTCCAGAAAATTGACATACCCTGTAATTATTTTATGTAGCTCTTTGTCCATGGCACTAAACTTAAGGAAAAAGTTGGGGGCCAGGATGAGAAAACATCAGCTTTGAATCTATTTCTTTATCAACTCAAGAAGACAAGTAGGTAATGCTTCCATTTCCTACCAAATAAGGATTAAATGAGTGATGAACGAGGAAGTGCCCTGAATATACAAACTGTGATTTAATATGATCATTTGGTGGGTAAACTCTTATTATGCCTTGCTATCTCATGTTGTATCATGTTTTATTTCTATATGAGACTTTATGAGAACTTTTGCATATTATCAAATATTCTTTGCAAACATAATTTAGTGACTACATAAAATCCTTTTAAATGTATGGATGCATAATTTTAAATCTTCCATAATATAATAAATTGATCATTTATCTGATTATTGTTTCAGGATGGGTCTCCAAAAATTAATACATAAAAAGATAAATTCTATGCTACTCTGAATAAAATGACAGACTGGTAACATCTTCCCATTATTGCATGAGAAATTTTTTTCCCTTAGCACTCTTAAGGGTGGGAAATAATTTTCTATAGTTGTTTAATGTGCATTTCTTGGATTATAAATGAAACTGAGCATTTTTATGTATTTATTGAATATTTGTATTTCTTTTTCAAAGAATTGCTTGCTGTGACATTTTAACCATTTTTCTCTTGGGTTTAAGGACTTTTTTCATTTAATCAATTTGCGTGAGCATATTATAGATTGATAGCTTCTATTATTTGTCATGAATGTTTCAAATACTTTCCTAATGCACATTTATCTTTAAATGTTATATATGACACAGAATTTTCCATTTTTAAGCTTATTTATTGATGACTTTTCTGGCTGTGATTCTCTTTGTTGCTGTTATGCTTAGACAGTCCTTCCTAATTTTTAGATCAAATAATTATTGATATTCTTTTTTCCCCCCAGTTCTGATAGGATTTCATTAACTTCTAATTTGCCTGAATGTTTTTCAGTAGGTAAAGGGGAAATTTTACTTGTTCCCCACTCCTATATCTAACTAAAACATTGTATGCTCATGTTTGCTTTCATCCTCCATGTACTAAATATTCCATAGGCAGTGCTGCTTGTTCTATTCTGATTTACTGGTTGAATCTAGCACCAACACCATTCTGTTTAAGATTATTAGATAAATTACTACATGGTTTGTCATCAAAGTGAGATCTCCATTTTTAAGTGAGCTCTTTTTCTTTTTAAAAACTGTATTGGCTATCTCTATATGTTTACTCGTTCAGAGGAAATTTAGACTATTTAAGTTATAACAGGTTAACAATTTTTTATTGAAATTATATGAAACCTACAAGTTTATTTGGTAGAATTTTATACTTTTATAATTTCAGTCTTCGGTTACAAGTCAAGAACCTATGTTTCTCTATTTATTTCAAAAAATAAATAGAGAAAAATGCACACTATTATTATCATCTAGAATCAGATCATTAAATATTTTAATATGTAAAGTATCAAGCAGCAGTCATTCTGTTGATTTAAGGTATGGTATATTGAAAAATCCATTGTAAAAATGCACACAATTATTATCTAATATTGTATCATTAAGTATTTTAGTAGGTAAAGGATCAAAGAATTGATAATGAGTGAGCAAGATCAGACCAATAATAATGCAGGTGTGTTAGAGGACAAGGCCAGTCCTAATATCCCTGTGCTAACCATGGTTCTGAGGTGATGTGGATCTAAAACCAATGCATTAAGCAAATAGTTGTGAGAAATAGAGGCTCGGGCCCCAGTCAAAACCAGAAATATAGTCGTTAGTCACTGAACAGAAGTGTTGAGCAGAAGCATTAGCTGATAAAAAATGAAAGACTCAATACAAGATATTATGGCAATTTCAAAAGAATTCAAGACAGAGAAAGAAGGTAATAAGGTGGCATAGAAGTTAAGCTACCAGTCAAAAAGTTTTTTAAAAAGGAAGTACCATAATGGAAATAACAAAATAGTCCCAGAAAGGAGGACACTACTTGCAGTCCTTGGAATCCTAGCCAAACATCATGAACTATTCTATTCACTAATTCCAGGCTCAAAGATTAGCCTTTGGCTGCCTAAGTCACCCTCTTCCTCTCATCATTCTGAATACAGTGAAAGCAGAGCAGGATGGTGATTAGGGCTATGGTCCTGGATAGTCAGTGAATACTGTGAAGATACTGTGAATCTTGTCCTAAGCACCAAGAGAGAGAAGGGAGTGGCCAAAAAACAAGTTTGAGAGAGTCTGCCTATCACAGATTTCATGCAGCTTACAAATTTGTGAATGGTGTTTGAGTGAAATGAGAGATAGGACAATTTGAAAAATTGGCCTTTGTACCGTATAACATTCTATTAAAACACTTCACATTTAAATTGTGTGTTATAATCACAGAGTGTTTCCAAAACCACAAAACCATGATATCCTAAATCCCCTGCAGAATTCTGAGGGTTAGCCTAGGAAGTAATAATTAATTCCACTTTCTCATTAACAAAAACAAGGCAGTAAGAGGTTTAATGACTTATCCAAAGGAGCAAAGCTAGTGAGGTGAAGAGATCCTGAATCCAGTTTTCTGCACAGTACATCTAATTCCATCTCCACAGTGTTTCCATTTCTGTTGCTTTTTTCAGCCAAAACCATGTTTCTCAAACTTGTCTACACCTTGAAATCACCTAGAGAGTTTTAATGCTGATGCCCCGGTTCTACTCCTAGAGACTCAGATTTAATTGGCATGACATGCAACCTAGATTGGATTTTCTGAAAGCTGCAAGATGATTCTAATGGAGCAAAGTTTGACAACCACAGTCACCAAACAAATGCTTCCTTCACAAAGGTAACTGAGGATTTAGTAATTCCCATATCAACCAACATATGCCATTCCAAATCAACTGGTGGGGTTGGCAGGGGTGGGTGATCTGACTTAGAGAGATAACTCTGTTAAGCAAGTATAGGATTAATAAGAGTTAACTGGTAGGTAAAAGCAGATTTATGGAGATTGAGTATTCAGAGTAAGAGTCAGGGTAAAAGAGCTAAAAAAAATGAAGAGGTAAACCGGGAGTGGAAATAAAGGTTGGCATGTGGATGCATGGTGAGCAGATAGGGCATGGTACTACCTGCAGAAGGGCATTTATGTAAACTTGCATGTGCCCTCAAAGCCAGTCAGGTTAAGTGAACCAACTGTGCATGGATAGCAAGGACAGAACCAGAGAAAAATGTCCAAAGCATTGGTGAGAGGTCTTCAGCCAAAGGCAGAACTGGCATTTTCAGGTCCTCACATACAGAGTGAACATTGAACTCTCTGCAACAGGGAGCCTTCTGCCCTTCTCCCCACCCCCAGCTCTTCTCACTTTTAAAGTGAATCAATATCAGAGAAGTCAGATATTTGAATGAATGCATTCAGAAAGGCACTTTTTAGTACTAGATTGGAGCTCGAAATACTCTTTTGCCCACATTTAAAAAAGAATAATATAAACACAGTGCTAGAGAAATAAATGTTGAAATAGCCTTATAGAAGTATGTCTTAGTTTGATGGATAAAGGAAATGTGGTACATATACACCATGGAATACTATGCAGCCATAAAAAAGGAACAAGATCATGTCCTTTCCAGGGACACCGATGGAGCTGAAAGCCATTATCCTCAGCAAACTAATGCAGAAACAGAAAATCAAACACTGCATGTTCTCACTTATAAGTGGGAGCCAAATGATAAAAACACATGGACACATGGCGGGGAGCAACACACACTGGGGCCTGCCAGTGTGGGGAGGAAGAGCAACAGGAAGAATAGTTAATGGATGCTGGGCTTAATACCTAGGTGATGAGGCTGGGCATGGTGGCTCATGCCTGTAATCCCAGCACTTTGGGAGGCCAAGGCGAGTGGATCACCTGGGGTCAAGAGTTCGAGACCAGCCTGGCCAACATGTTGAAACCTTGTCTCCATGAGAAAAAAATTAGCTGGGTGTGGTTGTGTGCACCTATAATCCCAGCTACTTAGTAGGCTGAGGTAGAATTGCTTGAACCTGGGCGGCGGAGGTTGCAGTGAGCCAAGATTGTGCCACTGAACTCCAGCCTGGGTGACAGAGTGAGAAGCTGTCTCAAAAAGAAAAAAAAAAAAAAGAAGAAGAAGAAAGAAAAGAATAGAAAAAAAAACAAAAACCTAGGTGATGGGATGATCTGTGCAGCAAACCCCCACAGCAAAATGGCAAATGTTTACCTATGTAACAAACCTGCACATCCTGCACATGTACCTCTGAGCTTAAAATGAAAATTGAAGATAAAGGAAGAAAATAAAAGAAATATATCTTAGTTTGTTAGAGCTGGTATATCAACATATAAGCTGAATAGGTGGCCTGTAAACAACAGAAATGTATTTCTGACAATTCTGGAGGCTGGAAAGTCCAAGATCAAGGCACCAGCAGATTTGGTGTCTGGTGAGGACCCACTTCCTGATTTATAAAAACTGCACTTTCTAGCTATGTCCTTCCTCACATGGTAGAAGGAGCCTGGTAGCTCTGTGGATCCCTTTATAAGGGCAATAATCCTATTCATGAGGGCTTTACCCTCATGATCTAATCACCTCCCAAAGGCCCCACCTCCTAACACCATCTCCCTGGGGGTTAGAATTTTAACATGAATTTGGGGGTACACAAACATTCAGACTATAACAGAATTATGTTTTAGGAACAAAGGAATCGTGAACTGAAAACCAACTGCCATATTTAACACTAACTCTATGGAGATGGCATTACAAGTTTCAAACCAACGTTCAAATAAACTTTTGGTTCCATTGCCACGACTTTGTTAAGAACAGGGTCTGTGTCTTACTCATCATTGTACCACTTGGGTTTTGCAGAGAGCACACTTAAGTTGAATTGTTTGAAGGTGGACTTTTTTATAAGTTGTGACTGCCTCTTCTTAACACAGGAATAACTAATGCCCCTCTCAAATATTTTCATGCACCTTTTTCCCCTCTCTTATTTTGAAATAAATTGAAGACTAATTGTTTTATTTATTAAATATAAGTTCTAGGACTGGAAGGCAAGTCTAAAGACCTCTTGCTTTCTTGGCATTATGATTTCTGGATGGGAGGAGGTTTCCATCCATCTTCATTCCAAGGCACCCACAGGCAATATTCTGAGGCTCCTTCTATTTAATGTATTGGTTCTTGTACTGGTTTTATCCAGGACACAGTGCCCTTCATCCAGTTTCTCTCTTTCCTTTTTTCTCACCCTGTTTTATCGAGGTGCAGCCCTTTTTATCTGGTCACAAAAGGGAACTCCTAAGTGTTGGTTTGTGATCAAGAAGCAGCAAAGCTGTCATCTCTCTAAATATATTTTTATATTTTGCTTGGGGTTGTCACTATAAATAAGAAGAAGTATTGCTGATAGGGCTTTTCATGTGTGTACTCTCTTTCTCTCTCCGTCCTCATTCACTTCATCATCCTTAGGCCCCCAGAGCTGTGTCACCACCCTGAAACAAATGAGGGAAAGCAACCAATTACATTAAAATGCAATATAAATAGAGGGAACAGGCAATGTATAATGTGGATTTCCTGAACAACTGTTCACATTCTAGGGGCTGGTCAAGCAAAGGGAACAGATAAGGAAGCCCTTGGCTGTCATTTCCCTTGAACTATTGTGAGGATCTCAGGGCCTAGGGAAAGAATCCTCCTGAGTCTTCTCTCTTTCATAATAGTTTCATTTTTGTCCTTGTCATACATTTTCAAGAATACAGAGACTGATGTAGGCATCTCTGGAATAGTCTTAGGAAAATTATTCTGGGAACAGGATCAATGAAGAGGATTGTGAAAATGAACATGGAGACTTGAATCCCCTGTGCCTTCTAGAAACGGAAGGACAGAAAAATATAGCAATAGTCTAATGCAAAAATTGTCATACACATGCCAACCTCTTAAAACAGACAATGCCACCAAGCGTCAAGGTGACCTTAGAACCTAAGAATGTGGAAAGAAGAAGACACACATTTGGCAGGCTACCCCAGACCCATGTGGAGCAGAGGTGGTAAATATCTCACATGTTGCAATCTCCCTTGTCATGTCTGTGGTAGATATTGTTAATGAATCACAACTTTCTCTCCCCCTCAGTCCAAATTTAGCTTTAAAATCTATTTTAACACAATATGCCAGATACATTGCCCATCAAATGCCACCAGCATTCCAGAAGAAATCTATCTGCTATCCATGATCAAGGCTATTGCAAAACTTGTATTAATTCAGGTCAGAGGAATGGTAATCTCGGCTTGATTCAAGCCAGCAAGCTACCTGCCGTCTGAATCTGAGCCTTCTGCTTCTGCTCTAAGTAGTCACACTCCTTACCATGATGGCCCATCATGGCTCTTTTCTTTCTCTCACCATCGCATCCTTTTAACTTGCTTTCTACTCTTCCCTGTTACCTTCTGCCTCCACAGTATCCAGACAAGATTCAGGGGGGCTGCTTTGTTGAGAAGGGGAATGGAATGGATTTGAAGATGATGTTGAGGGAGAGGTACAGGTTTTCTCTTAGGTGGAATAAGGGAGGAACAGAGAAAGGTTTCATGTTCTATGCTTCTAACACAGTTGCATATGTTCTTTATTGTACTCAAATTGCACATGTTCACTCTCATCCCACATAAGAAGCTCGGGGTCATCTTTGAGACTCAGCTATCTCTAGCTACACCCAAGTGTGCAGTGTGCCTTTAAATGTTCCATGCTAATGGAGATATGCAAGAAAAGTCCCCAGATACCCCAATTACCATTCTGCTCAGCTGCTATGATATCCATTTCTCATTTTTAGGTTATCTGTGGAAATAAAAAAACTAATAATAGCCATTCTAATGACATCTACAAATACTTTGCCCACAAATAATAAACTGCTAGGCACTACAAAGATAACAATTGAGCTTCACCATTTTTAGACAAAGCCTGCAAACCTGCCTTGATATCCATTATATCCATAATGCTGACTCATACATATTTTTTAGATATGCTTTATGGTGTATTCTACCTCCTCTAACTCAAAGAACATCACAAAAGTTTGATCACAGTGTCTGAAAACTGATCTCTGAAGGCTAGGTCTAATCAAATTATATTTGTCTACACTAATGCAAAGAAATTTTAGCATTGATCATTTAAAATAATGTTGAATTATGATAAAAAAACTCTCTGAATCATACTTATTTTCATAGAAGATATTGTATTTATTGAACTACTAAAATAAGCTTATTACCCCAAAACCCATCCAGACACTGGGGGACAAAAAGCGCTAGCAGCTTACAAGTGTTGAGAGATGTTTTCTAAGATTTCTGATTTTCAGAAGATTCTTTCCTTCAAATGTGATTTTTGAAATAAAGATAATTGAGAATAGGATAAATAGAAGAAAGTGGTTCAATCTCCAGATCAGGCATATGACTCAGGGTAAGTGGGGTTGGCAACTATTTTCAGCTGTTAGGAGTTCTGAAATTCTTGCCTATTTCAAACCTGCCTCTCAAATTTCCCACTCATTCAAGACAACTCTCTTTTCCAGGAGGAGGCACTCATTAAACAGTCATTGTTTTATTATCTCTTGATCAATGGCAAGGTTGGAGGGAATGGGACTTCTGTCAGGTAAACCTTGATAAGGGGGAATCATCAGACCCTTGGGCTGTGGCCTCTTTAACCAGCTTTGTAGATACTTTAGGGACATCTTGAAGTCATGTGAACCCATTTTTCCTTGAAAAATTTTATGTTACCAGAACATTTTCACAAGCCAGATTTCTAGCTTAGCCATATCCTCTGTGGAAGTTCAGCTCCTCACCTCATCACTTCCCCACTAACATCCTCCCCCAGTCACTAAGTGCCAAGCTAGATCCTACACACAGCCTCCACCAGTGCCTAGTTTTACTTTGAAGCTACCTTCACCCATCTCCTTTTTCCTCAAGGTCTTGAACAGGCAGCTGGTCTTTTCCTATTTCATAGCTCATAATCCTTATTGCGATGCTCACTACACTGCCATCTCCTAGTAAAAGAACATCCTCTCAGCATTCTTCAAGCAACGGTGATGATGCCACTTGAAGGCAATGACATGAAGCCCATCAGATTCCAAAATTTTTAAAAAAGAAAAATCTGGTTTTTAGTTAGTCAGAGGGAAAGCATTGACAATATAGCTGTGCCTTGAGCTACATGCAGCAGGACAGAGACTCCTAGCAGACTTAACTGACCTACAAACACAAATGAAAAACATTTCAAAAATTTCAGAAACACTGGTGGCATGGAGGGAGTGCAAGACCCTGAAGAGAATATGCTGAGGTCCTGAAGTGTGCAGCTGGGGCTTAATGAGCTAGGTAAGGCTTAATGTTCACTTGACCTCACTGGCACTGGGCTACTCATGCCTAGGAATCTTGGGTTTACCACAACTACGTGGCTTCCCTGGGTATAGAATCTAGTTTTCTTCTTGAAAAATATGAGACTACTCATGAGCTCCTGAAACCACTTTAATTTCTACAGTGTCCACAAGAAAAGAATATTGACAAAGGTCTTCTAGGTTTATTTTAATAAGTGAACCAATTCAATAATTAGTCTCTGAGAACCTCTGTGAGCCTGAATCCTGCTTTTGTTTGGCTTCAAAAAAGATAGGTAGATGGCCGGGTGTGGTGGCTCACGCCTGTAATCCCAGCACTTTGGGAGGCCTAGGCAGGCAGATCACGAGGTCAGGAGTTCAAGACCATCCTTGCCAACATAGTGAAACCCCATCTCTACTAAAAATACAAAAATTAGCCTGGTGTGGTGGCGCGTGCCTATAGTCCCAGCTACTTGGGAGGCTGAGGCAGGAGAATCACTGGAACCTGGGAGGCGGAGGTTGCAGTGAGTCAAGATTGCATGCCACTGCACTCCAGCTTGGGTGACAGAGCAAGACTTCATCTCAAAAAAAAAAAAAGAACAGAAAAAAAGATACGTAGATTTCTATATCTGCTTCTGGGCTCAATCTGCTGTATGTTGTTTTACAAAAATATGTGAAGGAAATGTGGCCTCAGAACAATATGTAGATGGAAAAGTAAGAAGAACTTTAATAGACTTTTCAGATGAATGTAGATATTCTTTTTTGATAGTACACCAAAACTCAACAAGTAGTAGTGCCTTAAAAGTTAGTTGTGGGTGGAATCTGAAACCATATCAATAAGCTTTTCTTACTCTGTTATATTACAATCCATTAGCCCATTTTGTACTTTGAATGTATCTTTTAACTAAGCATGATTCTGCAACATCATGGTGTCTTGGAAAATATTGGTTCACTGAATTATGCAGGTTTTTTGAATACTGACACATTTCATTTTACAGTATCAAAAAAATCAAATTTATTATCAAAACCACCAATTTCATTAGAGGACACTCTAAATATTATGAAGCTAGTAAGCTCATGGTGATGGAAACAAGTTTTCCAAAATTCAAATTTTCCCTTGAAAGTTTGGATTTTACTGCTGGCAATAAACACCATCAGTCATTTTCCTAGAAATGAAAGACTCATGTTGTTCATTTTCATGGCAAATCCTAAATGCTTAACTCTGAATTCCTATAGTTTGTCTCTCTTTTGTACTTTCAGATAAAACTGACATTCCATAAAAGAAATGAGTAGTTCAGCCTGAAACTCAAATAATTGCACAAGTATTTTTCTTCAAGATAATCATCATACTTTGTTACAGAGCAGAAATACAGCTCTTCCTGCTTCCTTCTCATCTTATCACCCAGAATATTTGTCATAGTTAATTATATGTGTCTACTTGAAGGGTGTTTTTGGATGACTCCACTCTCCCTCATCTCTTCTGGAAAATAAAAGGAATCAGAAATTTCTAGAAGCCAAGAACCAAATGAACGAAGTCAAAATTATGCCCTAAGGCAAGCCTTCCCCTCCATGCTTAGAGCTAGCTCAAGGGGTGTGAATGCCTCTACAGATCCAGTTTCTTGGTGCCACAGAAGGGTCAGCATTGACTCTTACCCTGCTCAATTTGCTTCAACCCAGTGGGGCCTTGTTAAAAAAGAGCAAGTATGTCTACAATTCCAGATCTCATTTCATGCATAGTTGGCAGTGCATAAGAAACTTTATCAGATTCCAAAATATATTTTTAAAAAGTCCAAGAGGCTGGGGTCCTTTGTGATTGTTGTGGATCCACATCAGGAAGAGAAACCCTTTAAGGAGAAGAATATGATATTTTCATTTGCATAAAAACAATAAAACTCTTTCAGCAGCAATTTCCCCTATATAAAAAGTGAGAACACAGCACCTTGGTGACACAGACATCTGTTACTTAAACAGATGCCACCTTCTAAACTCACTCAAGCAACCCTCTGCTCAACCAGAGACCCCTAAACCAAAATTCAATGCGTGGATAGAACAATATGTGCAAAGGGTGCTTTCAGTAATGATGGGTTTTACCTCCCAGCATCATTATGAATTTGCTTGACTTTTTTGTGTTGTTACTTTAGCAAAATCTCCTCCATCATTTCTCTCAGTAATGTCTTTTTTCTAACTTAACCTCCACAATCTGCAAAATCAAATGGTTCCTTCTAAGATTCATTGCTGATTAGCACTAGCCCTTCAAAGGCTAAACCATGGCTTTTGTTTGTTTCTTTCTTTTTGCAGATGCACTTTAATGACTTCACAGGACAAGGCTCTAACACTATCTAGGAGAGAAATGAAAGTTAGTTCCTTTTTTTTCTTTTCCAGTAGCACAAAGGGTCCCTGCTGATGTTTTCCAGTGAAGCAATACTCCCCTAGCCTGAGACTGATAAGTGCCTTCAGAAGTTAGGCTTACACTTCTAAATCAGCAGTTCATGAAAGGCATTACGAAAAACTATTATACTGCTATAATGCTATAATGGATGACAGCACAGTTGTATATGTTACACCTTGAAGTAAGCAGTAGGATTTTCCATCACTTGATAACCTTGAAACTGCTAAGGTATCAAATTGCTATCATGAATATTGTGCAGGAGAAGAAATAACTCAGGAAGCTGCCTTTGTGAATAATAATCAGAAAACTGCAACATTTTTACTGAGAAAATGGATTTGAGGCACTGGTGTATTGACAAGCTTTCTAACAGGAAACTAAGGTAGACATTACAAGTACATTTACATTGAGCTATGCATCAATCCATCATTCAGCATTCGATTTGTAAGTTCTAATCAGTTAAAAATATTATTAGCAAAGAATTATGTGGTATGTTAAAATTTCCAGGATAAAGGGTAAGGAGAGCCCACATGCTATTTTGTAGCTGAAAACAATAAATAAAAATGTTTGTTTGATATTTCAACTTCTCAATGTACTCTGAAATCTAACTCATTCCAGCAGAATATAGAGATGAGGTTTGGGAAGTGAGGATTTGTTTAATAGGCATTTAAATCAATTGCAGCATGAAGACATGGTAGGAACAGAAATAGTAAATGTTTATTACACCTCTCTTTTTTTTTCTAAAATACATATGTTTAATTTTGCCAAATCCTGGCTTTGTTCATGAGCAGAGCACCTAGTATTGGTCCGTAGCATTTTCAGACAACAAAGTCTACCGAGAACCCTCGACAGCTATGTGAAAACTCAATGTCTGGAGTGATTCATCATTATGTCAGACTGGCCAGCACTTTGTCACAGTGACTGACAATGGGAGAAACTTGGAAATAATACAAAGATTCTCTGTTCACTGATAGTGTCTGAAGTGTGATTAGAGAAGAAAGCTTTGAGACTGTGAGGAGAATCTTAATTTTCCCCCAAAATTAATTTTGATATTTTACCCTTCGTTGGAAAAATTCCACCTAACTTTTTCATTGTCTTACTCAAAACTGGCCACTTTCATTTTAAATAGTGTCTGGAGCTTGCTTATTGAACTTCACTGCACATTCAACAGCTTAGTAGGTGGGGTGAACAATTTTTCAATAGTGTAAGACCAGCTACACTGGCTTTATACTGGGCTACTCTATCCAGTTGAGAAAGGTAAACGCCCTCCAGTTAATGGTTGATAGTGGTGTCAATACAACCTAAATTAACTCATGCCTTACCCTTTTCTTGGAATCTGGAATCATTTTATACTATTCAATATAGCAAAATTCTAAAAGGGTAATGATATTAATTCCTTACTTCAGGTAAACTATTGCTAGACAAAGTAATGTAATGCATGGGCATTACATTTAGAGGTGCTGGGGAGCAAAGGTAATGGCTTTCATTTATTTCCCATCCCCTCTATGGGAAATAAATGAAATAACATCTTTTATGGATAGTAGATCAATGATTCCACCTTCTTATTAAAAAATTTAAAAAGCTAAAATGGATCCTATCCAGAAAAATGTGATTACAAGAGGAGTAAATTATTAGAGGGGATAATAATAAAAACTAGCATTTGTTGACATTGTGTGCCAGAAATTACATAGATACCATCGCATATATTCCTAAGAAAATTTGAGATAAGAATTACCATCACCATTGTATAGTTTAGAAAATGGAGAATCAGAGAAGAATAAGTATACAATTGGTGAATGGTAGAACTCGAATTTATGTCCAAATATGCCTGCTTCCAAAGACAATAACCATCAGAGTAAACAGAAAATTTAAAGTGAGATACATGAAGGATAAAGTTAAGGAATATAAAAAGATATGCAGTCAAATATCTATCAAAGTGATGGTCTCAAGATGCACATCACTTCCCTTCATCACTCTCCCATCTCCCTCAAAATCTCATTGCTTTACGTTAAAGCAGAATGTCCTCACCATGACCAAAGTAGCGATGTGTGATCCAGGTCTGACCTGCCTCCCAAACCTCATTTTCCAGCACCTTGTCCTTCTCTCTATTGCACCCTCACTGGCTTACTGGTGGTGCTTTTTATCTGTCATGCCCTCTCCTGACTTTTGCTGTTTCTAGTTACTAAAATTCTCTTCTCTATCCTCTTACCTGGTTAAATTCTTTCCATCCTCCACAGCTCAGTTAAAGAACACCATCAGGAGGTTGGATTCCCCTTATCATATGAACCACATACCTTTCTTTTATTGCCTTTGTCAGAATTGTAACTTACATTTGTTAGAATGATTATTTCATTTATACCTGCATAATACACTTGCCTAATATCTCCAGTGACTAGCTCTCCCTGCTACATAAATAGAGGCTCATTAACTCTGAGAGAATGAATGAGTAAATGGATAAATAGTTTTTATCTATATTCCTTCTTATAGCTTGTATTTAGAGTTTTATTTGATTTTTATTGCAACTCAAGGACAAAAAAATTAGGTATCACTTTCTCATTTTACTGAAGAAGAAATTAATGCTCAGAGATGTTTAATACATACCTAAATTTACATGGTGGCAGAGCCTGCTAAAATCTGGGCCTTCTGAATCTCAGGTCAATGAGGATTATACCAAAGCCTTACTGTGTCATCAGTGGAAATTCAAATTTCTGCTATCTACTCATAACAAAACACGGAAAATGTCAGAAAGACAAATGAGCACCTCATTGACCATGGAGAAAGCATGCATGAATTAGGGAATGCATCTTGAAGATCGCAGCATTGCTTTCCCCTGTGGTCTGCCTGGGCCAGCTCAGGGCCACCTGTAAGCTCAGACTCTCATTAAGGTCCTGGAGGAAGAATCAAAGCCTTGAGTCAGGAGTGATTTCTCTCACGTCAAGGAGCTGATTGTAAACTCCAGGTGAGTAGTGGTAAAGTGGCCAAGGTTCAAAAACATGGAACACACTTCTGGCCAAGGCTTTGTGGACAGGGAGGTAACATATTCCACAAAATATTATAAAAATGGCCTCTGGCTTTGGAGCACAGCAGCCTTCCATGTGGGGTAGCTGTGACAGGTGCCTTTGAGCCCAAATATACCAAAGGCCCATTGAGAGTTTATCATTTCCTGAAAACACACAGTTCAGGCCCAATAATAACTCATGCCATTAACTTGTGGGCTCAGCCGACCCAATTTTTGATCCAGTTTGGACCAATGTGGAGAGTATATTGGTAGCTCCAGATACAACAAGTCTGGAACGAGTGGTCCAAGAGGAAGCAAGTCGCAGAGCCCAGGGTTTCTCTAACCGCAGCTGCCAATGCTCAGCCTGAATGATTGCACTTGAGCTTAGTTTCCCTGTTGACTTCTCTTAAAAAGAGAATGTTGCTAATAACTGTAATGCACTTGGTTGGTTTCCTCTGTCCTTTTTCCCAGGAGTTGGACCCTTTTTCAGTTCTCCCAGATACTGGTTATGATCTACTTAAATTGAATCAACCCCTCCATCACACAGAACCATGAACCAATTACCTATCTGAGTTTGAGAATCACCATTACTTTGATTCTCTCAATTACCATGACCCGTGAGGAGGCCTGGGTTTGTTCTGCCTCCTGAGCTCTTCTCAATAATGTCTGGTTGTCCTGTGGTCCTAATCTCAGGGTCTGGGGCTAACCCCTAGCTCCAGCCTTGTCTTTCACAAAGGCCCACTTGAGAAAACTCAGATCATCTTTCAGGGGAGCATTTGTGAATTCTGATGAATTCCACCTTAGATTTCTACACGGCAGATTTTGCCTAGGGAATATATGGATTGCGTATTGTGATTGTTCAAGCAAGCACCAGAGCTCTGCCCTTACCCAGCAAAGAGGAAAGTTCTTGGGCAAGTCTAAGAGTATAAGAAAAGCATCAACCAAGGAGAAGTGTCTAGTATACTAATTGCATATGCACCCAGACTGGTCATTCTGTTTAATCTGTACTCACCTATGGACCCTGAACTTCTGTACCAAATTCCAGCTTTTATCTCCAAACTGTATTGACCTCATTGTGGTTTTCCTGCTCTTGTTTGGACATCCAGATCTTACATGAAATGTCAGGTTCCTGGCTACTTTGTTACTGATTGTTTTTTGCCTGTTTGAGCTAATTTCTTAACTCTAGTGTCTACCCTGGCCTTTCTAAATGTTGCTAGAGAGTCAAAAAATTGGTAGAACTCGTGAGGACATTATTGCCATATAAACTGGTATGGTCTGAGTAATTACACAGGTGATTCCAGTATGTGGTAAAGGTTAGGAGCTACTGTTTTATGTTCTTAGTATTCAGCCGAAACTGAATTTCAGAGAGAATGGCCATTGTGAGGGAAGAGTGGGTTCATGAAGCAGAGGGAATAAGCAAGTGGGAAAATGATTTTTACAAAGGGATGGTGCCAGTGTGGTAAGGAGGAGATAGAATAAAAGAGAGAAGAGCATGTCCTGGAAGCTGTGTCCAGGGACAACAGAAAAAAATGTGCTCAGCACGTAGGAGTGAATCCAACCTAGATTAACTGGTACTGGACACAGTGTGAGCCCATAATGGACATAGTGAACTCACACTTAGTCACACTATCTATCTGATTAAAACACCAGTGAGTCCTAGGCTTATATGCAACCCTAGAGGCCATACAATCTACCTTCCTATCTCCTCATGGCATCTCTGAGCAACAAGAACTACCACTTAGTTATAACAACCCACTAGTTGACAAAATCCAATCTCATACTGATTATCATTTTCTTAGCAATTCTGTGAAGCAGACAGGACAGTTATTATTACTTTTATCTCCATTTTACTGATAAGGATAATGAGACCCAGAGTGGGAAAGTGACTTGGCCAAGGTCACATAGCAGCCAGATTCCAGGCAGGACTCGGATTGGAGCTTAAATCTTCTCATTCTAAATCCACAGCTCCTTTATTTCACCACTCTGCCTGAAAAGATTGAGAATTATCTCAAAATACAGACATCAGTTTACATGATGACATCTGTATTTTGTAGGCTTTTCATGGGTTGCTGTCCTTAAGTAGGTGGGGAAGGATATCAAGACCACTGTGTCTGTTTCCTCAACAGTTTCATCAGTGATCAACTGATTAAGGGATATGGTACTATCCTTTTGGATGCCTTTGGAAATTTACAGGGAGAGGGTTTTTTATTGTCACAATGATGAGGAGTCACTATTGGCATTTAGTGATGGGGACCAAGGAGAGTGGTAAAGTCACAGTGCATATTACATTTTCACATAGTAAAACATTCTAACTTCATTCATGATGTTGAGTGCTCAGTGTACATCATGTAGGTAAAAAAATCTGTTTACAATTATCTGACTCAATAATCTACTCCATTTTACATAGAAGCACACAGTATTTTTGCATGGCTTTAATAGTTACTGAGTTTTCAGCAATGTGACTCCCAAATAGATCCAGGAAAATTTTATATTTTTGTCAAAAAATTAGGAAGAGTTGTTCACCACCTTACAAAATCACAATGCATGTGACTTTACCTTACTTTGCTGGCTTAGTTTATAATCTTGCCCAAGAGTGTGGATTGAAGGAAGTTTACTGTATAGCCACCAGAAATCAACTCTCCCTCTTCTTTAACATGATAATTTGGATGCCTGAGAAACCAAGGGCATAATTATAAGATATTGAACTTCATTCTGGAAAGGCAACTAGTTTAATGACATTGTGCTTCATTAATAAAAAGTCTTGATTTTGTCTGAAATGATTGGAGGATGAACTCGCTTTTCACTGGATTATCCAGAAACTCAGGTGACAAGTTTGAATTTGAAATGGAAATGCCTTAATTGGAAAACATTTCACAAAGTCAGCTTGTTTTTCTATCCTTTCTCCAAGAGAAGATGAGAAGTTGCGTCTGGATGAAACATTCTGTCACAGATTCATTTCAGCTTCATGTCACAGCTTGTGTATTATTTAGAGGTAATTTAATATTCCTATATATGGTAACATATATTGAAACTTTCATTTCACCTACTGCACTCTCTCCCTGAACTTTCCAATTCCAGTCTTTGTTTTGGAATGAAACTATTAAACTGCGATATGAAGTTAAACACACTCAACAGGGAAAGGTCTGTGAGTCAGCAGTTTGTAGCTGCCAAGAAAGGAATGAGAGGGCTTTCAAATTCATGTTATTGATGTGAATTATTTTGAAGAATGTATGGTTGGCAGTTTCAGTAAACTTTGGCAGGGATCAGAAATTTACTGATGATGAAAATAAACTAACAAACAACACTACATTCTCTAACCAGGCAGCAAAACTGATCATTTGATAATCAAAAGTAAAGGAGATAGAGCTATAGGTGATCATTTCAGAGTGACCCATAAAGAGGCCCCTGAAGTCAGCTCTTTATCTCAAATGGGCAGATATCATCTTTGCAGTGAATGACAAGTCTGCCAAATATGACATCTGGGCTACAATTTTCTTAGAATCTTCAGTTCTTTAGTGACAACTGCTTTGGAATATTTTCTAAGCATTATGTTCACAATAATTGTGGGAAGACCCAAAGCACTGTTCTGGAAAATCTTATCCATGTCAATTGCATTAAAATCTTCTGGGAAGATTTAAAGAATAAAACAAAACAAAACAAAAAAAGGCGATTCCAAGGCCTAAGTCCCAGCACGCAGGATTTAGTAGCTCTGATGCAAGGCTTGAGAATATTTATATTAAAAATATTCCCTGGTAATGTCTAAGGAGCCAACAGATGTGGCATGTGCTGGTTTGATCCCTTGTCTATTAGATGACAGAATAAAAAGAACAATGTAGAATTTCTCTGGGTTCATTTCAGTAATTTGTAGTAAATTCTGATTATCTCAATAATTTTACATAATTTATAAGAATATAAAACATTTAATATTGAGGATGTTAAAAGTAGTTTACTTACTGTGGAGAAGGACATAAAGAAAGAGATAGAAAGAGTGCTTATAGCACACACTTTCTGGCCCAGGGTGGGATAATGTATGAACTGCTGGGAACACTTCCTCAAGGCCTAGGTGTACCTTAACAGTGGCACAATGTTAATAGCTACTCCTGGACTGTGGCTTAGCTCTTATTGGGCACAATATTTCAGTCATAGGGAAAGTTAATGAAGGAAGACTTGGTTTCAGAGCATCAAAGGAGATGGATGCAACACCACTGCCTAGATAGTTTCAGACTCAGATGGAACATGGAGCCACCAATCCTTCAGCCTACCAGACCAGGAAGAACCATTTTTTCAGTAGTTCCTGACAGAGCAGAAGCATCCCCATCTTAGACAAACACTGCCATTTTAAGTTCCCCTTGATTAAAAACCACCTAAATCCAGCCCAGAAAACATCAGCCTAATGGCTATTGTCAGCATGACCATAAACCACAAGTGACACTTCTGACCAGAAACATTCCAAGCCTGAGATAAACCCATTCTGACCAGAATCATGCCAACCCTGAGATAACTTCCCCTCCAACCAGAAACATGCTAACCCCAAGATAACCTCCCCTCCGACCAGAGACATTCCAACTGTGTAATAAAACTCTCCTCCACACAGAAACATTCTGAGCCTGTAATAAGCTCTCCCTTCCTATACCCTTAAATACCCTTATTCTGTAAGAGAGAAGGCTCCTAACCAAAAATCAGCCAGAAGCCCCTCTCAGGTTTATTCTCCCAAATAAACTGGTCTTTGACTGTTGCGCCACTTTTCATGTTTTTCTTCTTTCTTTAACCCTTACAGTTCCTTCTCCCTTCTTAAAAAGCTGAGGCTTATAATTTGGTGAGTTTGGGTTAAAATACTATATTATTCACCCGAGAGAGGCAAGGTTAATACTTTAGCACCCTCACACAAAATTATTTGTCGATTATACCCATTGAGGCAGTGCATATTCTCACAGCTCTGGCTTCAGTTTCTGCTTTTCCAAAGGGGGAAAAACTGTGCAGCAGTAAATTCTAAAACCTAGGTGAAACCTGCTTTAACCCATTTTATTCCAGCACCCAAGGTTTGAAGATCACAATTAGGACATATCATTTATAATTATAGAATCATAAAATATTGAGAAGAGATCTTATATATGATCTGGTCCACCTCCAACTGGGAGTCATCTCTGACCCCTCTCTTTCTATTACACATTCCAGATTCATCAAACAAAGAGTTAATCAGCAACTCTCTTGCCTCTGCCTTAAAAATATATTCAGAATAGGCCGGGTGCAGTGGCTCATGCCTGTAATCCCAGCACTTTGGGAGGCCGAGGCAGGTGGACCACCTGAGGTTGGGAGTTTGAGACCAGCCTGACCAAATGGAGAAACCTTGTCTCTACTAAAAATACAAAATTAGTCACACATGGTGGTGCATGCCTGTAATCCCAGCTGCTCAGGAGGCTGAGGCAGGAGAATTGCTTGAACCCGGGAAGTGGAGGTTGTGGTGAGCTAAGATCATGCCATTGCACTCCAGCCTGAGCAACAAAAGCGAAACTCCATCTCAAATATATATATATAATATTATACATTAATATATTAATATATAATATGTTATATAATATATAAATTATATAATATGTTATATAATATATAAATATATTATATAACATGTTATATAATATATAACATGTTATATAATATATAACATGTTATATAATATATAACATGTTATATAATATATAACATGTTATATAATATATTATGTAATATGTTATATAATATATAATATATTATATAACATGTTATATAATATATAACATGTTATATAATATGTTATATAATATATAAATATATTATATTATATGTTATATAATATATAAATATATTATATTATATGTTATATAATATATAAATATATTATATTATATGTTATATAATATATAAATATATTATATTGTATGTTATATAATATATAAATATATTATATTGTATGTTATATAATATATAAATATATTATATTGTATGTTATATAATATATAAATATATTATATTATATATGTTATATATAATTTTATATATATATATATATATATATATATATATATATCTCTCCACAATAAGACCATTTCTCATAACCTCCACTGCAGTGACCTTGGCCAGAGAAACCATCAAGTTTCACTTGCATTACAGCAATTCCTAACTGGTGTTCCTACTTCTATCTTTGCCCACTAAAGACTTGCCATATCATATCATAGCAGAAAGATATTTTCAAAATAGAAACTACATCATGTCATTCTTCTGGGCAAAAAGCCAGTCCTTACAATGACTTACAGGATTCTACATGATTGGTTTCTAGTTACTTCTCCAATCTCATCTCCTAACTTTTCACTCCACTGAAGGCATACTGGCCTCCCAGCTGTTTGCTGAGCATCTCAACTATTCTTCCACCTCAAGTCCAAGGTCCTGGTGTTTCTCCTGCTTGGAACAGTTCTCCATGGCCAGTTTCTTCAACTCCTTTAAGTCTTTGCTCAGAGGATACTTTCCTAGTGAGGCCTACCCTGATTACCCAAGTTAAAATTCCAACTCAACTCCCTCTCTGCACTCTATTCTGGAGCTCCTTATCCATTTTCCTATTGCTTGTTGAAGGTTTCCATTGGTTGGCTCTCTGTCATCTCACACTTATCATCACAAGTGGAATTCTTTATCATTCCCCAAACTTACCACTTTATTTAACAGCATCCCTTCTATAATGAAATCCTGAAACTAAAATTTATTAGGCATGCTCCATGTCAGAAGCTTTATGCATTAAGTCACTCAATCATTTATCCAGTCCTGTAAATACAATGTACTTATTCCAATTTAAAGCAAGACCATGAAGAGTATATAGTGAATGGTAGAGCTAGTAGCCAGGTCACAGTGATAGGACACACTAATGACTTCCAACTATACCTGGGGTCAGCAAATATGGATCATAAGCCAAATACAGCTCACCATCTGTTTTGTTTTTGTACGTAGAGTTTTGTTGTAACACAGTTACGCCCATTTGTTTGTGTATTATTATGGCTGTTTTTACGCTATAACCACAGAGTTGAGTAGTTGCCAACAGAGACTATATGACCTGCAAAGCCTGAAATACTTATGATGTGGCAAACTCCTGATCTCTACCATGCTGCCTTTCATATAAAGCAGAGGTTATTTGATCTAGAAATTTCCCGATACATAAAGATACAAGGAATGTTTCATACACAGGAATGTCTATTAAGAAAAAAACTTGTTTTAACAATAATATTCAAAATTTTAAAGTTGTAGATCTCCAAATCTAGCTTTTTTTAGTTCAGTTTACTATACTTAATATCTTTCTGTAGATACAACAACTATTAATAATCACTGTTGAGGATGCCTTTGATTATTTTTGGTAGAGATATAGTTGGACTCAATGAAAACATTTTTAATCCACATTTATGAGTTTAATATTTTCAGTTTCCCTTTTACTTACTTTATCTCTCTGACTGAGATATACTCATGTAAGTTTTATATAGCAAATAAATGAAAGAAATAGTAACACTTAGATCTCTAAAATGTCCCAATATTGTTTACATATTGAGGAATACTTTAATCTAAAATTCTAAGTCTAAATCTGTTATTCAAATATGTATTTTATATTAAATTTGTAAGTTTCACTTGTTATTGGGGAGAACAAATTCTCTTAAACATAAGCATATAGAATTCCAAATGTACTCTTATTATTTAGCTAAAAGAAATACAATAGGTTTGATTCTTTGAATATGTCTTACTTAAATCTAAATGTTTTTGAGTTCAGTAAGAAAACAGTTGTATCATGCCAATCAGTTTTGGAAAAAACTTCTCAACTAATTGAGATTGCAAAATGATAAGGTGTTTGGCTCACAAAATTAACATATTAGCATATGTTAATTGCAAATAATATATAATCAGAACATGTAATTAAGATAATCCTATTATAGACTTTGTAGAGACATTCTAAGCATTATTATTATTGTTGTTGTTTGAGACAGAGTTTTGCTCTGTCACCCAGGCTGGAGTGCAGTGGCACGACCTTGGCTCACTGCAACCTCTGCCTCGTGGATTCAAACAATTCTCCTGTCTCAGTCTCCCAAGTTGCTGGGATTACAGGCATCTGTCACCACACCCAGCTAATTTTTGTAATTTTTAGTAGAGACGGGGTTTCACCATGTTTGCCAGGCTGGTCTTGAACTCCTGACCTCAAGTGATCCACCCGTCTCAGCATCCCAAAGTGCTGGGATTACAGGTGTGAGCCACCGTGCCTAGCCCTAAGCATTATTTATAGTCTATAATGGCAAATTTAGCACTTAAAGCAAGTTAGGCTTTTAGTATGTCTACCTGTCTACTTATTGTCTGCAACTCTGCCTAGTAAGTTCACTTGAGTGGATTTTTGCATTTCTTTGCATCCTTTGGTCCTGAAATGCTTTGAATTTAATGCTAAAGCCTTTTGAATAAATTAATTTGATGTCTTTTTTTCATAGAGTCTATTTCTTAGTATCATATAATTCTTGTGGACATTAAAATGGAGATAGATTTCTAGTTCTCTCTGATGGCTTTGTATGACTATTAGGTAAACCTCTAGTTTCTGGTTCCATGCTGGATGGCCCTAGACCGATAGATTCTGAGAGGTGGAGGAAAGAGAAAAGGAAGAGAGGCTGCCACACTGGTCTTAATACCTGATTCATGTTCCAAAAAAATCAAGCCTTTATCTCTCTCTGGCTTAACATCTATGTAGCTACATTTTGTATGTTATTATGATTTAAAAATAGTGCCTATCCCCCTCTATTATCCTAACCAAGATTTGAAGATGTGAGAAGAGTTAAAAATAATAATAATTCAGTGACAGGTAAATAAATAATCCGTATTCCATTATGTTACCAAATGTTTGATTTTGTTAGTCTCTTTCTTATCTGCTTGAGCATGACTGAGGAAAAGGAGGTTTTCCATTCATGCTTCTTTAATGCAGTGGCCACCTCCTAATTTCACTGTAATTTCTCATGGCCATCCTCCTCCCAATTCTTCCAGACCTGCACTGTCCAATGTGGGACCACTAGCCACATATAGCTACTCAACTCTTGAGATGTGGCTAGTATTATTGAGAAAGTAAATTTTTAATTATATTTAATCTTAGTTAATTGAAATTTACCTTTAAAAACTGATAATTGATTATTGTAAAAATTGTAAGAATATTTGGAGCAAGTTAAGTATGTATATCTTCTTTTAGAACTGTAAATTTTATGAAATATCAATAAAGGTTCAAATTTAGATCCAAAGAATAAAAATTTACCACCTGAATTGACATGTGCAATAAATGTAAAATACACACTGGATTTCTAACACTTGCTATGAAAAAGAATATAAACTTTTAATAATAATTTGTTGATTGCATGTCAAAATGATAATATTTTGGATTTATGGGGTTACATGAAATATAGTATTGAAATCAAGTTCACCTCTTTTTTATATTTTTTAGTGGCTACTAGAAAGTTTCAAATTGCGTGTGTAGCTTGCATTTTACTGTGAGACTGTGAATGCCCCAGGTGTACCTGCTTCCATTCAGCATACCTAGAGCCACCCAGCCTCCTTAACTTTTCTGAATACTTACTGCCCTACAAAAGGGAGATGGAACTATTTTCTTTCACTGAAGTCTCCAAGATTTCCCTTTTTTCCTTATCAGATATTTCTTATTTTAAAACTTTCTTCATCAAACAAATTTCTATACACTTTTAATGAAATGCTAACCATAAGCTTTCTATTTAAAATTACATCTTCTTCAATGATAAGCTTTCTATTTGCAATTTAGTGCTGTGTTACAGGTTTATCAGACCTTTTTCTGAAAGCAGGCTGTGAATGGAAAATTGAGTGAGAGGATCCAGGCACCTGTATTGCAGGGAGTTTATGAGAATGACAAGATATTGTCTAACCTTGGGATTGTCAGAATACCTCTGATCCTCCGGTTTATCTTCTACACTGTGAAAATAATAATACCTGCCTCACAGATTAGATGTGGAAATGAATAAACATATAAACTAAGAAAGTGCCTGGCATAGTGTATGTGGTCAGAGTGTTTTGGTTTATTTGCTTTTAAAAAAAATTAGTATATTTTTCAAGTAAAATATTCAGAAAGATGCATAAATCATAAAGCCACAGTTTATGAGCCAGTACAAAGTGATGCACCTGCCTTTTCACTCCCCAGGTCAAGAAGAAGATAACCAGCACCTCAGAAGCTCTCTTCATACACCCCTCAACCACTACTCACTGGATTTGTTTGGCCTATTTTCAAACATTGTATCTATAAAATCATATAGTATGCATTACTTCGTTTTGCTTTTCCATTCCACATTATGTTTGTGAGATATATCAATGTGACCGTAGGTGGTAGTAGTTTGACCTATTTCATTGTTATATAGTATTTCATCTTATGCCTATACCATGATTTATCTATTCTTCTCTTGATTAACATGTAACTTGTTTTCAGTTTGGGAACAGTATAAAGTTATGTTGCTATAAAACATTTTTACATGGCTTCTGGCACTACTAAGTACTATTCATTGTTGACTCTATAACATGGAGTATTCATTGCTGGGCCACAGGGTGTGTGTATGTTTAACTTTAGTTACTACTGTCAATTCCTTTTCAAAAGTGGTTGTACAGGTACCAAATTTGTTCTCACACCAGCCATTTATGCAGAATCCAGTGACTCCATATCTTTGCCAACACTTGGTATCTCATTATGGTTTTAATTTTCCTGTTCCTAATCACTAATGAAATTAAGTTTTTTTTTTTTAAGTACCAACACTACTTTAACAGAATTGACTTTCTGATATCATTGATTTATCTTTATCTAGAACTGCTCTTCATGGTAGGCAACTCACTAGTTGATGCCCTTAAAACTTTTCCTTAGAGAGTACAGATTTTTAATCTAAAAATTAGCAAGTGTGTTATATGGACATTTTCTTTGTGTAACAACAACACAGGTAAAAATAAACAACTTTCTAAATATTAATACCACTTTTAAAAGCTATTCTGAAATTCTTTATCCTTACAAGTATTTGGTGAAAAGGTGAGGTAATTTTATTGGCATAAATGTATATCTCATAATTATCAACAAACAAAATGAATTCCAACTGTAATACTCAGACACGTTTTGCATGAAAAGTAACCTGGAATGGCAAATGCAATAGTATCTCCTTATTTTTTAGGCCATTAAAAATCATTGCTGGCTGGGCGCAGTGGCTCATGCCTGTAATCCAGCACTTTGGGAGGCCGAGGCAGGTGGATCACCTGAGGTCGGGAGTTCAAGACCAGCCTGGCCAACATGGTGAAACCCCGTCTCTACTAAAAATACAAAAATTAGCCAGGCTTGGTGGTGCATGCCTGTAGTCCCAGGTACTCGGGAGGCTGAGGCAGGAGAATCACTTGAACCCAGGAGGCAGAGGTTGCAGTGAGCTGAGATGGAGCCATTACACTCCAGCCTGGGTGACAGAGCGAAACTCTGTCTCAAAAAAAAAAAAGAAAAAATAATTGCCACTTCCACCCACATCATCAATGAAGAAGGGCAGCAACAAATTCGGCTACATAAAGATGACAAATATACAAAGGACAGCCTGTGAGAAGGGACAGGTTTAGATTTTTGGCTTCATGCTCAGGTTTCATATTTTCCAATTTGAATTTCTACTGATTTTGATATCCTTTTTATGTTCTGATTAGGCAGATTAAATATGTCTATAAAGAATTTTCCAGATACATGATATTACATAAGATCATAATAAAATTATTTGAAGACACCGGCAACATGTTTGATTTTTTTTAAGGTTCTGTGTGTTTCTGAGAGAATGTTTGTTTATATCACTTTACTAGCATGTCAAAAAATCCCTGGTGAGGATTGTAAATTGAAAACCAGAAACAATGCCAACATTATTACTACACCTGGAGCATTTACTCTTGTCTAGTTACTGTTCTTTACAGTAAAGAAAGCTCTGTATCTATTCTCATCAGTCTCCTTTAGCAGAATATTTGTGATGGTTTGGATTATTGTTCAGTAAATATTAATTCCCCTACAACTCCAACTGTAGGCAGAGAAAACTTCCTTGCCTTGTTGATATTGGGCTTGGAAAGTTAGCAAATGTAACACAGGCAGAGGCCTTAAATATGTCTATATGGTTTGGCTTGGCTTTGGGACTCCTGGTATTCATATTGAGAATAAAATGATCAGATGGCCACTGATTTAAACAGTGTGAAAATTACGTGTAACACATCAAATCCTGGAGCCCAGAGCCTGGAGCTGGGCCAAGCTGAGCTGCAGTCAACCTACAAACCCATGAATGATAAATAAGATCTTGATGTTTTAAGCCACTACATCTTGGTGTGGTTTGTTATGCAGCATTATTGTGACAAAAGCTAACTGAGACAGCTTCTGAATCTGTTGGTTAAAAATATTTACATTAAAGTTCTGAAATACAAAATCTATTTAGTAAATTAGTCAACAGTACCACTCAGTCAAAAGATAGTTATTGAACACTTAGAATGTGCCAATCACAGTGCTACATAGTGGAGATGGATGGTAAACAAAATAGACATGGGGAAACTTGAAAAGGTAATTGAAATACAATCTGACCTGTTCTGATAAGGACAAGCAAGCACCAATTACGGGATGATTTAGAAGGGAGACTAGAACTAGTCTTGACAAGTCAAGGAAGTTTTGTCAGAGATGAAGCATGAGTAGGGATTATTTACATTACTGTAGGAAGAATCAATAACATCCTCAAAAACTCAGAAATAAAAAGATACAGTAATTCAGTGAACTACAAGAAATAATGCATGACAGGGAGTGAGTCGAGTACATAAAAGCAAGGATGTGTATAGTAGAAAATAGTTTGAGGGGGCAGAGCAGGTAGGAAGTGTGTCTGGGGCTTCTGGCAGCCATCCCACACCCTAAATGTAAAGAAACATAAAGCTCAGATGATGTCATTGGTTGCTAGGATTCAGCTATGCATGAAACCAAAGATAAGACTCTGGGTAACACCTACATTTACTACATTCACAAAGAGGCAGTGTATTCATTAGCAGATATTTGTTGAGCATTGTGAATGTGATGCTAAGTGAAAATAATACACTTTCCTCAGAAAGATTACTATCTGGTTGTAAATACAGAGAGGTAAAGAGGCAATTTTAATACATAGTGTTGTGATATAATACAGAAAACAGGACAATATGGGAAGAGAGCCAGGGAAATTCCAAAGAGAAAGTAACAAGTAAACTGAGAACCTAAAGGAGAAAAGGTATTTACTCAATGGCACAGTGGCTTACACCTGTAATCCCAGCAATTTGGGAGGCTGAAGCAGGAGGATTACTTCAGCCTAGAAATTCTAGACCTGTCTAGGTAACATGATGGGACTCAGTCTCTATAAACACTTTTAAAAACTAGCCAGGCATGATGGTATGCACCTATGGTCCCAGATACTTGGGAGGCTGAGGCAGAACGATTGCTTGAACCTAGGATGATGAGGCTACAGTGAGTCATGTTTATGTCACTGCACTCCAGCCTGGGCAACAGAGTGAGAACTTTTCTCAAAAAAGAAGATTTACTCAAGTCAAGAATAAGAAAATGTTATTCCACATAGAGTAAATGGGATGTTTAAGATTTTCCAGGATGAAAAGAAAGATAGTCCATATAGGGGGTGATTTCCTTCAAGAGACAAAATGGGAGAGGTAAATGGGACCAGATCATAAGTCATGTTATGAAGTTTGGACATGAATTTGAGAACAAGGAAAACCAATTAAGGGATTTCAAGGATAATTGAGAAATGCATAGCAGAGAGAACTGGCAGGACTTGACAACTGACTACATGCCTGTGTTAAAGGAAAGGGAAGACAAGGAGGACACTCAGCAAACTGACTTGGGCAAATTGGTGAAGAGAGATGTCACTGGGAGCACAGATGTGGCACAGGGTGGTGAGGAGGATTTAGTGGTGACATAAAAAAAAATTAAAAGAGGTGGACAAACAGCTATTAGGGCAAAGTAAGAGAATCGGTGTAATGCTAAGTCACTAATCCAGGAGAAGACTTACTACTAAGAAAGAGGAGATTTTCATCAGTGCCAAAGTGGCAAATTTGAGGATACCAATAAGAAAACGATTCCAATTTGGATATTAGGAGTTTGGGAATGACTTGATAAAGTAGCTTCAGCAAACTGGTGTGGAGACCAGATTATAAAAGCCTTAGGGATGAGTGAGTGGTGAAGAACTGGGAGAGAAAGTAGACAAAATAATGGAATGGCATCCTAAAAATGTAGCTGTGTGGGGAGAAGGGAGTATCAGGAGAAGAAGACATGACAGGTTGTGTGCTGAGAGACAAGGGAGAGAAAAAGATTTAAGATATAAGTGCATGTGTGTGGGGGGTTGAGGGTGGGAATTCTAGAGCAATATTCCAGAGAAAGCAGAAGGCTTGAGCTCAATCTTAAGGCTGGAAAACTCATCTCAGATAAGGAGCAGAGACACTTCATTGTCAGGGACAGAGAACAGAGGGGCAGGCTAGTGATAACTAGATAAGAAATTCTGAATGATGGAAAGGAAGACTAAGGAGTTGTTGTTCATTAACTTTTACTCTTAAAGGAAGCAGAGTTTGGATATCTGAGTTTGAAAAACACAGAAATATTTATAGTCATTTTTTAAGGGAACTGGTAAGGAGATGTTTCTTAGCTGCAAACTATAGACTGTATCTAGTTAATTTTGGTAGAGGTAAATAAAATTTATTACGGATACTGAGTAGCTGACAGTATTATCAGGAGGTCCAAAGAGCCACAGAGAGTCATGGGACGATACTCAATGCATGAAAATGACCCACGAAAATACCACTGCTGTTAATGTGTGTCACCTATATCTCAGTTCATTGAAATATCAAAGCTTAAGATCGGACATTAAATGCCTCTGAGGAGCCAAATGCTTGGAAGCACTTGGAACCACTAATTGCTGAAAGATAGACTCAATGAGTGTCTATGACATCATATTGCTCCCTTCTGTAGGAAAGACTGCTGTTTGTACCCCAACATATATTCCCTCCATCTCTCATTGTAATATATTCTCTCCATCTGTCATGTTGGTCACATGGCCAGCCGCTCAGAGTAAAAACTACATTTCCTAGCCCCCACTTAATCAAATTGTGGCCAGTTTAGGCCAGTGGAAAATAGAAGTTATTTTATGTTAGCTTTTAGTATAGCGAAGATGAGTCACACTCCCTGGGGTTGTGAACTAATCACTTGAAAGGAGTCTTGTCCCTATGGATTTCTGAGACCAAAGCATGATATCAGTCTAGGATGATAGATCTTTACTCTTCTATAAGAGCAAGTAAACTTCTATCTTATTTTCCTAACTCAAAAAAATCTTTTCATGGGTGTGTCTGATGGGTGGCCCAGATCCCCTTCCTGCACCCAGACAGCCAGGGAGAGTGAGGGAATGAATTCACTTCCCACCCTGGCAGCCGGGTTTATAATGTTGAGAATGTCTCCCAGATAGAAGAGCTATTCAAAAGATGTTAGGTAACGACTAACAAAACAGTTGTTTGTTTATAACAGGGGTGGTGGTCGGGGGGACGGGGGGAGGAAAGGAGAAGGGAGGGAGAGAGGAAGAAGAAAATAATAATGAGCAGTAAAAGGGCACAAAAGAGCATGAATTAATCCAGGTCTGATTTTATGGTATTTTTTTTTAATCTTAATACTCTGGAATTGGGAACAGAAACTAGTCTTTACCTAGTAAAAATGTTATTGAATCACCAAACTGTAAAATTCAGATTTGATATAGAAACCGAGGTGGAGAGAAATGAAAGGCAGGACAACATTCCTTCCCTTGTGCTTCTTCAGCCCCAGTAGGAGGGTAGGTACGAGAAGGAGTATTGAGGACTGAGTGATGTGAGAAGCAGGCAGGGGTTTGAAGTCAGATGTGGATATGACCCTAACTCCGCCCAACATACTAACTCTAAAAAGTTACGCAAGTTAATTGCTCCTTTGAGCTCATTTCTTCATTAGTAAGATGGAAATAATTGCAGTACAAGCCAATAAAAGTATAGTACCAGGGACAGAATTTGCTCAGCTCTCAGCTCAGTGCTTACTGCATTGTGTAAACCCTCAAATTCTTAGTAAACACTTTTTAATAAAGCTCAAGTGCTTCTCTTACTCTTCGACTCTCATCTCATGCCATAGGTTTAGGCAAACAAAAATATCTCGTCCTACCTGGAATCGGAAACCACCCTGCATAATTCAAGCCATTCTCAGAAATAGCATTTGGACAAAGGGAAGAAAAGTCATGACTCACAATTAGAGGATGGAATCCTCAGGAAAAACCAACATTAGCATCTAAACAAGAAAATTAGCTTATTGACATTGAAAAATGTTGCTACATTTTCAATTTCATTAAAGCCTCCAATAGACAAACACATTTATTTCTGTGCTATGTGTCTGATAGCAGGAAGGGCCAGAAACATCAGTCTACAAGCTCTGGGACTCTAGACTGTGACAGTGCTGATGAAATATATGTTTGCTGAGAAGACGTACGATCTCGACTATCTGTGACCATTGAAATATTAAGGAAATTACTTATAAAACAGATAAAAATCCATTAAGAGAGCATAGCCTAGAAACCGCAGAGGAGGAAGGGAAGGACTAATTTCCAATCCTTCTTGAAAATAAAAAAAAGAATTTTTTCCCCTTGTTATTATCCTCATGAAATTAAATTTCATTGTGCAGTTCTCATCTTCATAATTACTAGGTTGCTTTGAGAATTAGATATAAAAAGCCACCTCATATACAGGTAGCAGCTGATTTTTCTAAATATTACATTTTAAAAATGATAAAAGAGGAAGGAATAACATTTCAAATGATCATTATAATCACCATGCTTGTTCTGTGTCAGCCCACCCACCTGACTCAATGCATTCATTTACAGGCATTGAGGCAGGACACCTACAAGCATCCCCGCCCCCAACCTTAAAACCATCTGGATCCATACAGGAATAAGATCCACATGAATACGTACTTGACTTTTAGAAGTCCAGAGGCTGGGAGCCTGGAAACCTGTAGACAGGTCTTGAGAGGTGTAGTACGCTGAATAATTGCCCAAAGATGTCCATACCCTAATCACCTGGAACCCATGAGTATGTTGCCTTACGTGGCAAAAGGGATTTGGCAGATGTGAGGAAGCTTATGGACTTTGAGATGGGAAATTGTCCTGGGTTAGCCAGGTAGGTCCAATCTAATCACATGCGTGCTTAAAAGCAAAGGCCCTTTCCTGCCTCTAGTTACTCAGAGAAAGGTGATAATGATGATGGAAGAGAACCAAAGAGATGGCAATATGAGAAGGATTCAACCCGAAGTTGGTGTTGAAGGCAGAAGGGACATGAGCATAGGAATGCAGGCAGCCTCTAGAAAAAATGAAGATATTCTTTCCTAGAGACTGCGAAATTAATGTGGCCTTGCCTACACTTTGATTTTAACCGAGTGGGACCTGTGTAAGACTTCTGACCTAAAGAACTGTAAGATAATAAATTTATGTTGTTTCTGTCACTAAGGTTGTGGTAACTTGTTACAGCAACATAGAAAACCAGTATAGTGATTCTCACAACCAATGCTTGTGAGAATCCATTAAATAACTTGATGTTTTTTCCCTAATTCTTCCTTCATTTGTCTAATCTTATTACACTCTGCTTTTCCTGTCTATCTGCTCCGCTTACCAGTATGCACACTGGGCTTGGAGCTCTACTCCTGTCCCAGCTCTTTAGACCAGGTCCTGGCAATATACCTGCCTCTTACTACCTTTTATTTGGGAACTAGATTCTCTCAGTGAAAGCAGTAGCCGGCTGGTATACTGCTCCAGCTGAAATGAATCACGCTGCCTCCAGTCCTGAAGATTCCCACAGCTCCTCTTTGTTTTCACCATGTAAGACCCATTTGAACATCAAGCGTGTCCAGGACCTGCGCTTACCCATAAAACTCTTCTTCCTTCCTTCTTCCTCCCTCCCTCCCTTCCTTCCTCTTCTCCTTCTTTCCCTCCCTTTCTCCCTCCTTCCCTTCTTCCTTGTTTTCTTTCATCCCAGTGATGATGCTCTTTACACAAACATCTTAACAAGTACTACACACACACACACATATATATTAGTGGAAGTGTAACGTGAGACATTAAAACCACCCAAAAAGGGTGGTTTTAATTTCCATTACATTTCATTAAATTATTAAATTGTAGACTAACAATGAGTGAATTTTAATATATGCAAATTACACTTCAATGAAGCTGTTTTTTACAAAAAGAAAGTTTTGTTCTAAAGCTTTTATTTATCATCATCATCACTATCAATTACATACATGTACACAAGAGAAAAAAGGCAAATAGTAAGCAAAGCATAAAATGAAAACTATATTTAGCTGCCTTATCATCAGTCTTATGCCCAATATACTAATGCTTTTATCAAACTCTTGCTTTTTTTATTTATATAAGTTTTAAACTTTGGAATAAATTTACAGGAAAGTTGCAGATAGTACCAAGAGTTCTTGTATATCCTTCACTGAATTTCTCCTAATGTTAAGATCTTACACAATCATCTCACACTTATTAAAAAAAACTGCTCTTAATCATTCCGGTTATTTATTCCATATTTCTAAAAATGCTTATATATCTATTAACCAATTTATCAAACATAAACCAAAACCATTGTCTCTGTCACTTTGAAGGTAAGAAAGCAGCTCACATACTCCACTGGAGAAGGTAACCTTCCCTCATCTTAATGCTTATAGTGAAACATAGTTTTACTATATTTTTAGAACATAGTTTTACTATATTTTTAGTATTTGATTGGTTAACTTTTACTTTAAATAATGCATTTAAGAAAAAGTTTTATTTTCAGTCATTATTATACCCTGTCTCTTAAAATTCTACTTGCGTGTTTAAGAAATTGGCATCCCTCCATTTCCCTCTTTTCTACTTTCTGTTTGAACAACTCAACTTTCATTCATTTATTAAATTGATACCTATTGAGTATGTGCTATACTGCAGGATTTTTTTAGGCTCTGAGGATACACTCATAAAGGCATGAGCAAATGATTTCCCTGCTCTCACAAGGCTTGAATTCTAGAATTGGAATAAGACCAATAAAAGACAACAAAAACATGTAAAGATAAGGGTGATGCAGATAAACAGAACTCAAGTGATGGAGTAGTTTTCCTTACACCAAATGGTCAGAAAAGACTTCTCAGGAGATGACTTTTCACTTCAGAGGGAATGGTTAATGCAATGGCCCTGAGGTGGGAGTGAGAAACAAAGGGACAGGCAAGCAGAGAAGAGAGAGTGGCAAGACATGAAGGCAGTTTAGTGCCAGGAGTCAAACAATGATTTCTATGCAGGGCAAGGAGTTTGAGTTTTGTCCTATGGGTAATGGGAAGTCTTTGCAGGGGGTTAAACATGACGTGCATGTGTAGGGACACGGTCTGATTCACCTTCTTCAAGTTTACTTCAGCTGATTTGTGGAGAATGGATGTGGCGACAGGTTTGCCACAGAGAAGCCACTTGGGAAGTTACTACCATAGTTCAAGTGAAATATGGGGATTATTGGACTGATTTGGGATATGCTTTTAATGGTAGACCTCGCAAAACTTACAGATGAATTGGATGCTGGATGTGAGCAAATGAATAAAGATAGTACTAGAAGCTGTACAGTGGATGATACTGTTTACTGAGATGGGGAAGCCTAAGAGAAGCCAGTTTAGGTCAAAGTGTTGAGGTAATCAATGGTTCTGTGGTGTCCACATTAAATTTGAGATGCCCAAAAGATATCTAAGTGGAGATGTTAAGCACACAGTAGGTTATTCTCATTAGGGATTTCAGCAGGGGTCAGACTGGAGATACATATTTAAAGTTATTTCTAATAGTTTACATTTAAAGCAATGAGACTGGATGAGGTTATCTAGGGAGGAGGTGGGTAGACAGAGAAGAAAAATAGCTAAGAAGGAGCCCTGAAGCATTCTTACGTTTAGATGTCAAGCAGAAGAGAAGCCAGCAACAGATTCTGAGAAGTGGCCAATAAGAAGGAAGGAAAGCAGGAGAGTGCAAGGAAACCCTCCCCCAAAAATAGTGTTTCAAGAAAGAAAATATGGTGAACAGTATCCAGTGCTCCTGGGAAGTCAAGTGAGCAGAAGGAACTATTGGCCTGGCCACTGGCAAGTCACTGATGACACTCAGAAGTGGGTTCTCAGAGAAGTGTCAAAGTCAAAATAAAAAAGTAGAGACAAACTTCTAAAGTTAATGTTTTATTTGAGAAGAAAGAATTGCAATTCAGGGCATCCACAGAGACCTGGTGGTCTTTGGAATGTCCAAAGAACAAAGAGAAGATTGGGGGTTTTATTTAAAAAAGGAATGTTGCATGTTATGTGTGGTCCAGAGAGAAAATCTTCCTTATGTCAAATACCTTTCATACTTTGAATCTGACTCTTGGCTCTGACTTTCAGATCCACAATTAAATGGCTCAAGCAATTAGTTCAAGCCCGCCTGAATAATCTCTTTTTATTGACTCAAAATCAACTGATTAGTGATCTTAGTTACATGTGCAAAATCTTCTGCCATATAATATAACCTAATTATGGCACAACACTGGGGGAAGAAGTCATGGGGACAGTCTTAGAATTCTGCCTAAGTCTTCCAAAAGAGGCTAGAATATGGGGACCTTATTACAGGACACCAATATTCCCATTAGAAGCCATTATTATTATTGTTGTTGTTATTATTATTGTTATTATTATTATTATTATTTTTAGAGATAGGGCCTCACTCTGTTGCCCAAACTGGAGTGCAGTGGTGCAATCATAGCTCTCTGTAGCCTCAAATTCTTGGGCTCAACTCATTCTCCTGCCTTAGCCTACCAAGTAGCTGGGAGTATAGGCATGCATCTATTTCTTAATTGAATACATTTTCATTTAAATCTCAATACAATTTTAGTGTATGTTTTTAAATGTAAAAATATATTAGTATAAAATGTGTGTAATGTGTATGTAAGTTTAATATATATGTTAACTTTTACTTTCTGTTTTACAACTCCTACAGTGCATAATAAAAAATGTCTGGAGAGAATTTGTTTATAAAATTCTGAAGCATGAGCTGAGATCACTTTCTATATAATAATACTAATAATGATAATAATAATTATAATTTATTGAACACTATGTGCATCACTGTTCTGGAGAATTAACATAATTATAAATGTTCTTTACAACATTCCTGTGAGTAGATTTATATTATTATTATGAATGAAGAAAACAATGCCCATAGAATTTAATTAATTTGACCAAGATTGTCTTAAATAAATTGCTCTTTCAGTGGAGTCAAGGCTCTTTCCAGCCGCTCATTGGGAAGCAGAATGGGAGAAATAGGTTTAGCTAACCGTGGATTGATGCTTCATGCTGCTGAACCCCCTGAGTGTCTCATTTAAACCAGTTTGTTTATTTCAAGCCACCCTCGAACCATGATTGCGCTAAGAAATGGAACTTAAAAATCACAGACCTGAGGCTAATGACTCTCAATTTCTGGCAGCTATGTTGACATTTATTTTTCCTCTCTTGGCTCCATTTCAGTGTGAGGAACTCTTAAAAGTAGTAAGGAGATCTGCCCTGCTTACCCACCTCCCAGTATAAATGAATGAATACAGTAATTCAGTTTAACCCACAAATATGAATAGGAGAGAAAATGAACGTGAAATAACAATCTTGTAGATTTTGTAGACACACCTGTGCTCTTGCTTCAATTCTCTGTAAAACATCTACGTATTAAGCATTTAGAACTTGGTTTACATAGTACCTCCTCGAAGAAGCCTTCCTGCCCTCCCAAGATAAGATTGAATCAGTTTGTCCTCTTTTGTGCTCCCATTCCTCCCAACACTCTGTTCACTATAGACCATACAACACTGTTATAATTGCTAGTTTTCTTGTCTGTCATCATTAGTAAACTATTGTTGAATGCAGGGACAGGCTTCTGGCTATATCCTCGAAGTTTTTGTACTAGAAGGGTGCAGATAGTAGCAACATAAAAAACCACAAAATATGATTTTAAAAAACACATATGGATGAACAAAAAAATAGCAACTTGTTAAACTGACGAATGAACAGGTTAAAAGCAGGCAAATTAAACATGGTACAGGAAATCAGAAAATTAGGGCCATCAGATAAATGAGAAAACCTTTGCTGCAATGACCTCCTCCAGACTTTTACACCCAGAAAAATGTAGAAAGAAACTATTCAGTTTTAGCATACACGTAAGTGAGTTGTGGAATAATCTGGCATTGATGATTGCTGCTCATTTATGGAAAGATTGCGCACACAAAAAAAGCTTGTTAGTGGCCTGAAAAGACAGCTGCGTGAAGAACTGGGCTCTTCCAATTTCACATAAACCGTACTGTCATTTTGGTTCATGCAATATTCCATCCTCGTGTTGGATCCAAACGTGAAGATCCAAAGACAGGTTGGGGGAAAACAAACAGTTTTTGACACCCTTCTTCTTGAAATTATAAATCATCCATGGTTCAATGGATACTCCAGCCACAGTTATACCTTGTCCTTCCTTCTCTCCATTCCCCCAAAGGTTAAAGGCATCGCTCCCAATCTGAAAGTTTTTACTAGAACTTTTCAAATCTCTTCCAACTTCAGAATGACTAAGTATAGCTCAAGCACTTGAGGGAAAGCTGAAGAGGTCATGTCCTAAATTGCTATTTAGCCTCACCTGGCAGGAGTTGATGAAGACAAGTAGTGAGTAAACAATGAAATATTTTTGAAACCCTCTCATTCTATTCATCTAATAATTGAGCACAACTATCATACTATCATAGCAACAATAATTCTACAAATCTGCTTTCCATTTGTTTGTGTTAGAATCCTATACCCTCCTAGGTCATTTTAACAATTGTTTTTAAGAAGCTGGACAAAAATTGTTTTAAATAAGGAAAAGTGTCAAGTCTCAGTGTGCTCTAATTGGCCATGATTAGCATGGCTCTTAATAGGGTTTTCGCTGCTAGCCATTGACAGTCGTTTGCATTTAGACCGCTTTTCTAAAAATGCAATGATTTCTGTGTGGTGGAAAGCTCCGGAGACTTAATAGAGAAGTCATAATAATGTAAACTCACATAGTGGTTTCTACTACTGAAAAATGCCTCTGTCCATGTTAGATACAGTGATGGGATTTCTTTAACTCTGGGTGCAAACACAGGCTTTCACGAAATACAAACTTTTTTCTGGGACCTCTCTAGAAATGTACAGAAGCAGTAGTAAAATTAATAAGCTGAAAGTTAAACTACTTAAATTCAAAAGCCTTAGCAAAGCAAAAGTGGAACTCTAACATTAGATGGGAAATAAAAATAGACATTTCAAACCTCTTTGGAGAAAGAAAATGATAAGAACACAAAACACACATGCCTCTCTGTTAGTGACAGGGTAAACTTGGGTGGAAAATAGGAAACAAATGAATTACCAACTGAGTGACATTTTGTGCTCTGATGTAAGCAATGTGATGCACTTATCAACAATTGAGCCAAGGTAATGAGGGGCCATCTGAAAGACTGGTTGCAAGCGGTGTATGAACACAGCAGAGCAACTCTACTAAACGGAGTGCTAGAGAAGGCTAGAAAGGTAGTCAGTTTGGGTGTTGCCCCAGTGACATTTCCTAACTTGGAGTCCTTATATGTTTGCAAAAGTTATTCAAATAATTTTATACTTTTTCCAGTTTTCAAACTGTGTTGTCCAAATGAAGTATATTATTTGGCTGGGTTCTGGAAAATAGCATGCTTTTTGGTAAAAGGAATAATTGAAAGTAATCAACAACAGTAATAATAACTCAGCACTGACTGAGAACACTCTTGCGTCAGAAACCTCTAGGTACTACAGGTTTATGCTCTCATTAATTCGCAAAACATCTCATTGTTGAACACACCACAGGGCAAGACAACCTTCTTCAGAATTAGGTCCTAAGATCACCCCTTAACTATTTGCTAAATATTATTATGATAACTAGAAAAAACCCTAGAGATAAATGTGAGATGGCTGAATAATTCCAGAGTCCCTGCATTTCTAAAGAGTTTACTTCTTTCTATCTTAGTATTTAGCCTCAATAACCTTAATAATGTAATTTAAACTAATTACCTAGTAAAATCCCAGAGGAAGAATTAAAATACTTAGTGGAACCCTGGGGAAAGTTGTATTATAGAAGGAGCACACCCATTAAATACATCACAAGATGCAGCCTCCCCTGTATTTTACATTAGAGAAAATTCAAGCTAGAGAAGATAAGTACATTCTCCAAGGTCAAGAATGGAGCAAGTGGTAGAATTGGGATTTAAGCCAGGGCCCATCTGTATCACCACTGTATAATTCACAATACTAGTGGACATAGCATTGTATATACACTTCAAATAGATAGAAGCAATTTCTTTTGTTAGCAAAGAGTCTGGAAACAGAATGTTTGTAAAGCAGATAATAATTTAATATATTTAAGCAAAAACAGAAATACAGAAAAGATTATGAGTAAAAGTAAGGAAGGAATGTTGGAAAATGTATTAATTCTTTGGAAGGATCATTTTGTGAACTGAAATAAAAGCCCATGCTTTGATGAATAAGTAAAAGTAGTAACTACTTCTTATGTGCCAAGTTTTTAAAATGCTAAAATTGTAAGATATTTGTGAAAAAGATGATTCAATGACAAATTTCAATAAAGCCTCAAGAATTTGGTATGTGAGACACTGAAGTGTAATTTCCCAATTGATCTTTTCTACTAGTCACACACATTCCCAGTCAAACCAAAGCATTTTTCTGCTCTAAATGAAAATTTGTTTTCAACTTTCTGAAAAATTTAGAGTGGAGTCAACAGCATAAGTCAGCAAGTCTTTGGGTAACCTGACCAAGTTGAATTGCAAATTTCCCCAGAACTGGGACAGGCTCACCTCCCTGCTAGGCCTTTTTTGCATGTGAACTTCATATGCAACTCAGGTTTATTGATACAGCCCATAACTATTGCATTTCCAGAGAGTACATAGGGTGAATTTTAGGATCCCATTTGTAGTCTTTGCCTTGATTTCTACCTAAGCTCTGCAAGAAATTCTCCAGAAGTTGGTGTACCAGGTGGCCGGAAGTGATCTGTAAATCTTCGTTTTAGCTTTCTCTGTAATAAAATAAAAGTCTTAAACATGGATGCATATATGTTTAATTTTAAAAGTTAATTATAATTCATTTTTGCTTTAGCCTTCTTAAAAATTAATTCCTAATTATCATGGCTGTCATCATTTCTGCTTTTAAGTATTTCATATTTAGTTTTAAAAAATAGTAAAATCTGAATCCATAAAAGCAATAAAATGCTTCCTTTCTGTTTTAAAGAGCAAATGTTCTGGCTTCTCTCAAAGACCATCTATCTACTTGTCATATAGACATTATGGTGATTTGCCAGGACTTTGCTCCTGAAATTAGGCACTATGTGTCCCTCTCAACCACTTGTATCATTCTCATCAACTTACAAACAAGTTCTTATCAACTATCTTTGAAAAATCCTTTCTTGACACCACATTTCTCTACTAGTCTTGCACCACTTCTCAGCCTCCAATTCACAGAAGAGTTGGAAAAATTGTTGTCAATGTTGTCTTCTTCTTTTCCTATTCTTATTCATTTACTATCTACTATTCTCTTTATAATTTATTTTGAAGCAAATTTAAACTAAGAGAACATTTGCAAGAAGAATACAAAGAACTCCCGGATCTCCTTTACCCAGCTTCCGCAATTGTTTATACTTTACCACATTTGCCCCATGTCTCATTCCTTGTAAATATATACAACACATGATTATCATTCTTATTTTTCTGAATAATATGGTCAACGTTATCCCTGCCTCCTTAAATACTACAGTGTGTATTTTCCAAAAACAAGGACAGTTTCCAACATGACTGCCATGCAATCATCCCAAACAGGAAATCTACACTGATGCATCACTATAATCCAAACCTGAAATCCAGTCACATTTTTTCCAGTGACCCTGATTAGAGCTCTTCTCCCTTTCTGGTCAAGAATGCCAGTCAAAATCAAGCTTTGCATTTGGATCTGATGTCGCTTTAGTCTCCTTCAATCTGGAAAAGTTCTGCAGCTGTTTTCCTGCCTTTTATGTCCTTGATGGTTTTAAAGAGTAGAGATCTTTTGTTCTGGAGGATGTCTCTCAGGTGGCACAATGATCCTTCCCACAAGAGGTGATGTAAACATCAGGTTGGTGTCTGCCAGGTTTTTCACCCTAAAGTCACGGTTTTCTCCTTTGTAAATGATAAGTATTTTGTGGGAAGATACACCACATCTAAACCAATGGTGGCTTAGTCATGTGTTAACTTGGCTAGACTGAATGTTTCAAGAATGTTTCAAGTTAGTCTGGGCCACAACGACCTTCTTGTGGGCAATTAAGAGGGTGGAAGTAAAGCTGCACCCATTCTGTTATCTCTCACGTTGGTCACTCACCCACTGGCCTAGCTCATTGGTGCGCAGGAGCCAGGACTGCAACTGCTCACCTCTTCCTGATTTCCTTTTCGGCTTCTCTGACCTGCGAGCCAGGTAGGAGGGCCCTGACTTCTGCAGGACATCCATACCATCAAAGGCAGAAGCAACAAGAACTGACACAGGTTTCAGTTCATCTTCTGATCTGCAGCTTATGCTTGTGAATTTCAGCTTGCTCTGCTTGCCACTCAGTTTACATCTATTTCCCTTTGCCTACTGCCTACACTTTGGACTTCAAAGCTCCAACATCACAGAGACAACAGCTTGCTTAAATCGCTTGACTGACTTTCATAATTGCAGAAGGCTAAGTGCCTGTCAAAAATCATATATATGTCTATGTTTTTATATATAAATATTTGCTATATGTAATCTTTTTATGACTCTGTTTTCCTGCTTGGACCATGACTGATGTACTGCTTTCTGTCAAGTCTCCATGCCAAAGTCTTAGCATCCATTTATACCTCCCATCGAATCAATTATGACTATGATGGTTATCAAATGGTGAGTTTTCTATATTCATAACTCCTTCAAAATGTATTGGTATTCTTTTGGAAGGAAGAACTATCATTTCTCCCTAATCTATTTGTCTCTTCATTCATTTATATAAAATAGACTTATGAATTGATATTTTAATGGGTCACAAACCATTATTCATTATTGATTTTGCTGCTCAGGTGGTCTTTGAGTTGGCCAGCAGAAGTCCCCTCCAATCTAGTCCAATGTCTCTTTGGATATATCCCCTCATTTTTTGAATATTTCCTTCCTTTGTAACACAAATATATGTTTATGGATCTTTTTGTTAATTCTCTGATTTAGCCCCAGAATCAGCTATTTTTCCAAGGGACACTCTTTCTTTTAGTGGAGGATGGTATTCAGAAACCAAGCCAAAAATCTTGAACTTCCTGTTTTATCCCTATCTTTGATCTTCTCTGTTACAAACTACGTATTCGTTTTCAATTACCACACTACAAATCACTATAAACTTAGCATCTTAAAACAATGCAAATTTATTATCTCTCAGTTTCCACAGATCAGGAGTCAGGGCACTGGTTGGCACTCAGGGTGTCACAGGCTGTCATCAAAATTCCCACTGGGCTGCAATCTCAAGTGAGGCTTGGGGCCCCCCTCCAAGCTCCTTTAGATTTTTGGTAAAATTTGGATCTTTGTGATTGTAGGGCTGAGGTCCCTATTAACTGGGGTTATGCTCAGTATCTAGTGGCCATCCACCCTCAGGTCCTGGCCATGTGGCCCTCCTACAACATGGCCAGCAGAAAAATTTCCCTTCAGTGTGCTATGAGGAAATCTTACACAATAAATATACTGTAGTCATGAGAATAAGTATCCCATCATAGTCACAGGTCCTGTTCACACTCAAGGGCAGGAGATTATACAAGGCATGCATAATGTCAGGGGCAGGAATCTTAGAGGCCACTGTAGAATTGTGTCTAGCACAAACCATCAGCAATCTGTGGGGTCTTACATCTGATACATGCTCAAATCCAGACTCTTCTCTGCATTTCTACGGCTAGCTTTCCAGCCCACACTACTTCCATCTCTCTTCTTTATTCTGATAGTTTCCCTATCTCCATCCCTCCACTTTTGCTTCCCTGTGCCGTCACCTAAAACTAACCAGAGTGATCATTAAAAACTACCTAAGATGATGCCTTTAACCTTCTTAAAATCTTCAACAATGTCCTACTGCATTCAAAACCAAATCCACAATTCTTCCCACAGCTTCCACATTTTCAGTCCCTACTGGCCTCTTATAATAACTTCCTTTTGCTCCCTGTGCAACAGCCACCATAGCCCATGTATTTTCCTATGTCTCAAATGAGCCAAAGTTGTTTCTTCCCTATACCTTTGCACATCCTCTGAAGTACTTGGTCCTTGCACTGAACAAATTTAGTTGGTTATTTGCATCTCAGTTCACATGTCACTTCTCTAGAAAAGTCTTTCTGACAGTGTAAAGTGACATCATTCACTTAGTCACTCTGAATTACATCAGCCTATTTGTTTTCTTCATAGTGCTTATCAGAAAGTATATTCTTTATCTGTTTACTTCTATATCATTTGCCTGTCCCAAGTAGAATGTTTGCTCCATGAGGCCAGAGACCATGTTTATTTTATTCACTGGTGTATTGCCACTACCTAGTACAGTATTGTTTCATGCTAAGCAGATGCTTAATAGATAATGGTAGTGAATGGGTCTCATGAGACTTACGTACTACATAGAAAAATTAAAATTAGGGAAGATGTTACTTATAAGGACTAAAACTCTGAGGTCATTTTTGTAAGTGGAAAATTATACATGCATATATATGTATACACACATACTTTAAATTATTTGTCTAAAAGTAAAATATTTAAATATTTAAGAATAATATTAAATTATTCCACTTGATAATATTAAAATCCCTCTTGGACTCTGGAAGGAAGGCATCAATACAGAAAGAAATTTTGTCACCCCTTTTCTCATTGGTGGCCTGACATTTTTGCAATGAATATCTGGCAATCATTTCCTACAGTGAATTAATGTTCTGCTTCAGAAATTTAGCTTATCATCGTTAGCAACAATAATAAAAATCCTAGCCAGGTGATCGTCACATGCCTGTAATCCCAGCTACTCAGGAAGCTGAGGTGGAAGGATCACTTAAGTCCAGGAGTTCAAGGCTATAGTGAACCATAATTGCATCACTGTACTCCATCCAGCCTGGCTGACACAGTGAGACCCCATCTCAAAAAAATAATAATAATTTTTAAAAATCTATATTCCAGAGACTCAATAGGTGGAAATCTCTTAATAGCTTTGAATTCTTTTGCCACCAGCAACAAATAAATCAAACCTCTCAGAAGGGATCCCTCTCTATCTTATTGTGACATCTCAGTAGAGGGGATACAGTGGGCTTGGTTGCTAGCTCCTGTGTGAGGTTACAGTCGCAAGGGTCCTGCACCAAGAGGAAGGAATGTGGTTAATTCGCCTTGAATATGATCTTTGAGAGCTTTACCTGGGGTGGCTTCCCGCGATCCAAATCATTCTAGTATTCCCCAGGTATTTCCTTGCAGTCCTTCAGAACCTGACTGAAAACAATATTCATGATGACATTTTCTGTGCCCCGTTTGCAAACTTAAACTACTATATACAGTTTAAGAAATTTTAGAGCCACTGGCTAAAGGGCTAAAATGTAACAGGAATGCTTAGAAACTGTATGCTTGATGTGTTTTACAGTGTTTTTGGTCTTTAGTTTTGATTGGATTGTTTTACTGAAACATGAAGGGCATTTAGAAGGCAAGAAAGTGAATAGGATACATTTGCAACAATATGCCCTAAAGCAACATCTTAATGTCAGAAGTAAATTATAACAACTTACATTACTGATGACATACATTATAATTCAAAGCCAGAGGAACTACATCAAGGTTGTTCTCACTATGATATAAAAAGGTTTTCTTTGTATCTTTTGCAGCCAGACAAAGACCTTTATTGATGAAAATGGTATTAGCAAAAGGTAATAGAAGAAAATACGTATCTTCTGTAAGGCATGAAACAGTTTTTTCTGAAGTTTCCCAATGATTTTGCATCAATTTCACTGAAAAATGTTTTTTATTTCGTAGACAATGTGGAATGGGTTTCTTCCAATGTTATATATGTTCCTCCCAAGATATCAAGAGGAAGTATATCTAGAGTTTGACTTGATCCATTTCTGATGTATTCCATTGATAATAGCACAAGCAGTGATGACAGTTAAAGAATAATGCTTGTGACTATTACAACTGTTAGAAGACTATGTTATTTAGATATATGTGTTTACATAGTCTTTAGCCCCTTAAATGAAAAAAATTTTTTGCATAGTCTTCCTGGTCATGTTTGTATTGACATTCAAATTTTTAAATATCTAATTCAGAGCCTGAGTTAGCTTTCAAAGTATTAGCAAAGTAGTTAATTTATAAAACTTTATTATTACTATAAACATATTAAAATGTTATGAGGCCACATGTTCAGACAAAAACCCTGGAGACATTACAGAATTATTGTTCGATGAAAACAGTAAACCATGCATTTTTAGTTATAGAGTATGCCGAGTCTAACAATCATAGCTTTGATAGGTGTAAGAACCCAATGAGATATTCGACATCAATTAAATATATTTGGTAATTGCCAAATCTCTGTTACTGAGGCCACTTATTTTTCTTCTATGAGTGCATGTGTATATGTGCATGCATGTTCATGATGCAGCTGAGTGACACCAGGGTATCAGGCACACCTAAAGTGCTGAGGGTTCAGTGAAGCATTTTAGCCAGGACAGACTCAACCGTCCTCATGCAGCCTTGGCTTCAACTGAACACTATGGCTTGAAAGCTTAAGGAAAATCCATCACTTTTTTTTTAATTTGATTGTACTAGCCCAACTGTCCCATCACTTTGCCAACTCCTGCTGGTATTCCCAGGACCCAACAAAGAATCCTGGATTTCAGACCAGAAAGAAATTTGGAAATCATCTAGAACACTGGTGGCACCTATGGTGGTGCATCTTCAGGAGTGAACCAACCAATAATAACCATCTACTCAAATATTATGAATTCATGTAATAATGACTGGATTATGCCTGTAGGTATGCTGGTATCATTGGTTTTCTGGAAAACTCAGAAAAGAGAATGTACTCTTTTATTTGTTTTTTTCACTGATCTAAGGACATCTTTAGTTACAAGAGGATAGGAGAGATGAAGTTTGTTTATGTCTGTGATGATGTGCCTTTGACATTAAACAGACTCAGATCCATGCACAGGAATGAAGTAGCAATTACATGACTGTTGAAAAGAAAATGTGTTGGTTGGGGCTTGTAGCCCATCTCATGAAATATCAGGATGAAGCAGCCTCTGAGTGCTTTGAAATGATATTAGGTAAGGCAGCATTATCTAAATGAAAAGGCCAGATTAGAGTCAGGAGGATGGGTCTAGCAGAAAATGTATTAAGACCACCCAATATTTGTGGAACATCATTACCTTCACATATGTACTTTAAAGATAGAAAGGGCAGGTATTATTAAGCTACCTTTCTAATGAGGAACCTGAAGCCCATGCTTACTGACTTATGATAACATAGTCAATGAAAACTAACTTTCCTTAATCCAGTCTATCATTGATGGACATTTGGGTTGGTTCCAAGTCTTTGCTATTGTGAATAGTGCCACAATAAACATACATGTGCATGTGTCTTAATAGCAGCATGATTTATAATCGTTTGGGTGTATACCCAGCAATGGGATGGCTGGGTCAAATGGTATTTCTAGTTCTAGATCCCTGAGGAATCGCCACACTGTCTTCCACAATGGTTGAACCAGTTTACAGTCCCAACAACAGTGTAAAAGTGTTCCTATTTCTCCACATCCTCTCCAGCACCTGTTGTTTCCTGACTTTTTAATGATCGCCATTCTAACTGGTGTGAGATGGTAGCTCATTGTGGTTTTGATTTGCACTTCTCTGATGGCCAGTGATGATGAGCATTTTTTCATGTGTCATTTGGCTGCATAAATGTCTTCTTTTGAGAAGTGTTGGTTCATATCCTTTGCCCAGTTTTTGATGGGGTTGTTTGTTTTTTTCTTGTAAATTTGTTTTAGTTCATTGTAGATTCTGGATATTAGCCCTTTGTCAGATGAGTAGATTGCAAAAATTTTCTCCCATTCTGTAGGTTGCCTGTTCACTCTGATGGTAGTTTCTTTTGCTGTGCAGAAGCTCTTTAGTTTAATTAGATCCCATTTGTCAACTTTGGCTTTTGTTGCCATTGCTTTTGGTGTTTTAGACATGAAGTCCTTGTCCATGCCTATGTCCTGAATGGTATTGCCTAGGTTTTCCTCTAGGGTTTTTATGGTTTTAGGTCTAACATTTAAGTCTTTAATCCATCTTGAATTAATTTTTGTATAAGGTGTAAGGAAGGGATCTAGTTTCAGCTTTCTACATATGGCTAGCCAGTTTTCCCAGCACCATTTATTAAATAGAGAATCCTTTACCCATTTCTTGTTTTTGTCAGGTTTGTCAAAGATCAGATGGTTGCAGATGTGTGGTATTATTTCTGAGGGCTCTGTTCTGTTCCATTGATCTATATCTGTTTTGGTACCAGTACCATGCTGTTTTGGTTACTGTAGCCTTGTAGTATAGTTTGAAGTCAGGTAGCGTGATGCCTCCAGCGTTGTTCTTTTGGCTTAGGATTGTCTTGGCAATGCAGGCTCTTTTTTGGTTCTATATGAACTTTAAAGTAGTTTTTTCCAATTCTGTGAAGAAAGTCATTGGTAGTGGCACATATACACCATGGAATACTATGCAGCCATAAAAAAGGATGAGTTCATGTCCTTTGTAGGGACATGGATGAAGCTGGAAACCACCATTCTCAGCAAATTATCACAGGGACAAAAAACCAAACACCGCACATTCTCACTCATAGGTGGGAATCGAACAATGAGAACACTTGGACACCGGGTGGGGAACATCACACACCAGGGCCTGTCATGGGGTGGGGGGAACGGGGAGGGATAGCATTAGGAGATATACCTAATGTAAATGAAGAGTTAATGGGTGCAGCACACCACCATGGCACATGTATACAAATGTAACAAACCTGCACGTTGTGCACATGTACCCTAGAACTTAAAGTATAATAAAAAAAAATAATAAATGAAATGGTAAAATTGAAAAAAAAGATATAAAACTAGATAAAAGTGTCTGCTTGTAACAATTCTATTGTAAATGGAATATATTTTCAGAACATTCATTTAAGCAAATATAACATAATTTTAATGTAAAAAAAAAGAAAACTAACTTTCCTACTATGTGCATAGCCTCACATGTTCTGTAGAAAATACATACTTCCTAAACTGGAGGCACTTGTGATGTAAGGCAGGGCACAACACTATCTGTTTGTAAGGGACTGTAAAATGATCTGGGCCAATGTCTCCAAGTGATTTATTAATCTACACACAGACATGGGATTTTGGGTTGTTGCAATGTTTTTCTTTACATTGAGCCACAATTGGGTTTGACATGAACATGCAGTTTGAGTATTATTATACACTCAATGCAGTGACCTTATGCAATGACCAGGGACCAAGGCTTTTCTGCCAAAAGATTTGGACATCATTACTGGTTCTTCCTTAAAATCTGTGCTATAGGCAGCTACAGTCATCACTGTGATAAAACTTGCCATACTTGATTGTACAAGTATTTGCTATGGTTTGAATGTGTCCCCTAAATTATAAGTGTTGAAAACTGATCTCCAATGTGACATTATGGAAAGATGGGGCCGCTAAGAGTTTATTGGATAATGAGGGCTCTGTCTCATGAATGGATTAGTGGGTTAATGAATTAATAGCTTATCCTGGAAATGGAACTGATGCATTTATAAGAAATGGAAGACCTGAGCAAGTATGCCCTCACTCTCAGCCTTCTCACTATGTGATGCTCTTGCTACCCTGGGACTCTGTAGAGAGACCCCACCAGAAAGAAGGCCCTCACCAGGAGCCAATCCATGCCCTTGGATTTCCCAGCCTCCAGAATTGCAAGAAATACAACTCTTTTCTTTATTAATTACCCTGTTTCAGGTATTCTGTTATAAGCAACACAAAATGACTGTTATAAGACAGTATTGAATGAGGTCATGAAACTGAAATTGATTTATTAGTTCTAGCATTCTAGATGGATACTTGTAATTATTGTAATTATTTTAAAGCTGAAATCATCAAGAAAAAAGATGATAATGAAATTCCAAACTAGAATTTTTGGATATTTTAACATTTTGCAGTCTTGTAATTCCCTATAATCAATAAAGCGAGTGAGACTGGTCTCTTCATCAGTATTTATGATGAAATTCTTAAAATCCATGTGGAAATACCAATTGTGTCTTAAATAAGAAGAAATACCTATTATTTTTATGTGACATAATATTTCCCATATGACCTCAGTTTTTCTCTGTTCATTAAAAGTTTATCTTACTGCCATTAAAGCCTGCCACCCCCCAAACCAAAAGTATGAAAATTAAATTTTAAAATTATTTTACCTATAACACTGAATTTCTTCACAATCATTCAAAGAAACTAATCAAATTGGGTTTTATTCAGAATATTGTTATAAAAGATTAAATGGCAGTAAAGAAAATTTGCTTTTCTATCGTAACTAATACAGGATCTAATTACAGGATCTTATTATACTTTAGATTAAAAAGTTTGCAGGTTGATTCTATAATTGAGCTTTTTTTCAGTTTTACCCAAGAAAGAAAAATAATGCATTATGTTTGCATAACACCTTATAAAGTATGATGCAGTTTTATGTGTTATTTGATCTCTGCATAATAACTCTGGGAAGGTGAAGAACAGGCATAGAGGTGGATGTTTCAGCTAAGAAAGTTCAAGAGGTTTGCCCCGGGCTGCACTCTTTTCAAGCAAGTATCAGGGCTTCTTCTTAAGCCAAGCACTTCTGACCTCAAAGTCTATGTTCTTCATCTCACAGCATGATCAGTGTCTCTCACACATCATGTTCCTGCCATGGTACCTGTGATTTTCCTTGTTTGGAAGACTTTGTCTGGGAATTAGGTTTTTATTACACTGTTTTGATTATACTGTAGGTCACTTGTTCTCTCTGTAACTTCACTGACTCAAATTGTAATATGTCTGGTGCCACACTGGCTCTAGAAATATCAGTAGCTGTATCATTCAAAACCAGTGAAATAAAAGGATTTTTCTGTTTCAAACACATAAAACGCAAAACATAGTCTTCTTGCTGAAGAATTGTTTGCTACGTGTAATCTAATCAGAAAATAACTATACCTTAAATTTAATGAGGAACAATTTTTTAATTCTTCTGGTTTTTGTTTATAAATGTTAAAACGTACCACATGACTATTTTCTGCTAAGCTATTAAGGACTTGGAACTTCTGCTTTCTTCTGTGCTAATACAGACCAAGATATTATAATTGATGTCCTTAGCCAGTCATCTGAAAAGGTCATGATATTTTCATGAATTCATCTCTAAGTCTTTGACTTCCTTTGCTAGAACCTGCATGCCTTCCCACCTCCTCAAACCAAAAAAACAAAACAAAACAAAACAAAAAAACCACAAAACTAGCCAGTGAATGTTCTGGTATATTCTGGTAAATAAAGTTTTGTGTTTTTTCTTCCTATCTCTTGTCATTAACTTCTATATCAGTAATAATCAAATATATTTGTATTCTGGAAACTATTTCTCTCTGTGTGTATGCAACAAATTCTGTTGAGAATGAACAAGAATTAAGTTTAATAATAAAGAATCTTATAAAGTGCTTTATTTCCATTTATCTGGGCATAGCTGTGGCTCTTTCTTGGGGAGGCAGGTGAAAGTGAAGGGTTTTTAAAGGGGTCTGATAGAGAATGTGAAGTTGATTCATTTAGCCAGATTAGGGTCCACTCATAGCTTTCATCAACTTTCTGGTAGACATCTCCATGTGCATAGGTCTCATTTTTTGTCCTAGTTTTTTTTTTAACCATTTAATCTTAAGGAAAGGACCAATGTATTCTGAAAAAAATGTTATGGATAATGAAATATGGAGTTACTAATAGGTTTTTACTATTTGGGGTGATGGGTACGGTTTCCTACTCATGTTCCAAGGACTTTGAAAGGAGCAGAGTCTGCTTCTATATGGCAATAAAGTCATCATGTCCAAGTGGTTGATTTTCTGTTTTATTTTAAATACTCCTTCTAGGTCTTTCCACATGAAGAAAGCTCATTTGATGGAAATACTTAACAAGTTATTTACATTGTTAATGGGTTGCTGATAAATTTTATTATCAAAATCAGACTCAGAAGCAATGCTACAATGATCAAGATTATGACCAATTTTTATTTAAAGTTACTATAAAGTGTATTATTCTGAACATTAACTACTACATTCCATGGCACATAGTATAATTAATTAATTGCTACATGTATTGTTTACAAAGAACTTCCTTATATGTGTTTCAGTTAATAGTCATAACAAGCCAAGAAAACTTGTGGCACAAAGTTGAATGAACAGTGTGATGGGAATATCACCAGAACCCACGTTAGCTGTGCTTAGCTGTACTTATTTACATGCCTTTGTCTAGCTACTGTGTTATTATAGATCAGATATTGATTGTAGTAGGTTTATTCATATATTTATTCATTTGAGTGAATGTCCATTATGAAAACAAGATTTTCCCCTCTGAAATCTCTAGTTTGATCCAACACATGCAATGTGATTATGTGGATATACTCAGGACATAGTATCATTCAAAACCAGTGAAATATAAGGAGCCAAATCATCAGGTGTATTGAAGAGGACCCTCTTTCACTGTAGGAAGACCCTAACCTACTGTGACTGGCCGTTGCAAAAATCAAACACAAATCTTCCAAATTTTGAAAAGCTGGTCCAGATTGGAAAAATATACCTTTAAAGTTGTATAAGTTGTATTTGCCCAATTCTACCAAACTACTCTCCCTTAGAACCTACCAGTTACAGCATTCTTGAATTTGCAGTTGAGTGGCAAAAAAAATATTATCTTAAAAGGCAAGTAAAGATTATTTCCTCATGAAACTCTACTTTCAGTCGACTTAAAGTGAGCCCTTCTCATCCATTTTCAATTAGGTTGGTGCAAAAGTATATGCGGTTTTTGCCATTACTTTTAATTACTAGTTACTTATTGAGCCATAAGGGCCAGACATAAAAGTCAACCTCTGAAATACACATTCTTGTCTACTTTGGGGAAAATGTGAGTACATATCACTGTATATAGTATCTGTGTACATGTGTTTATTAAAATGACCAAAAAATGTATTAAATTTTACAAAAGGAATGCACGTACATAATTTTAGAAAGGAAATTGTACTCTTAGGTTTTCATTAAGAGTGAGCAGTATCTTCTTTTTCCCCAATCCTGCTCCCCAAAGACTGCTATTTTTCACCCTAGATGTGTTTTCTGCTATTTATATGTTTCTGCTAAAATATAATCATTAAATTGCAATTCTTTATTTTGTTAATTTTAGAATCTATTTTTACAGCTTTATTTATTTATTTATTTGAGACAGAATCTCTCTCTGTTGCCCAGGCTGGAGTGCAGAAGCACGACCTCGGCTCACTGCAACTTCCGCCTCCTGGATTCAAGTGATTCTCATGTCTCAGCCTCCAGAGTATCTAGGATTACAGCCATGAGTTACCATGTATGGCTAATTTTTTTGTATTTTTAGTAGAAATGGGGTTTTGCCATGTTTGCCAGGCTAGTCCAACTCCTGGCCTCAAGTGATCCACCTGCCTTGGCCTCCCACAATGCTGGGATTCCAGGCGTGAGCCACCACACCTGGCCTATTTTTGCAGCTTTATTAAGGTATAATTAATATATGATAAGCCACACATATTTAAAGTTTACAATTTAATACATTTTGACATATATATATACACATACATATACCCATAAAATAATCACCTCAGTGAAGATAATGAACATTCCCATCATCCCCAAAGGCTTTTTCATGCCTCTTTGAAACCCAGTCTTTCCTCCATACCTCCCTTATTCCCAGACCCATGTAACCATTGGTCTACTTTCTATCACTAAACGTTAGTTTATTCTTCCTAGAGATTTCTATAAATTGAATCATATTTTATGTAAGTTTGTTCAATATTTTTTCATTCAGTATAATATTTTGATATCCATTCAGGTTGAGCATAAATCAAGTTTATTGATTTTTGACTATTATTCCATTATAAGGATATATCACTATTTAATTTATCCATTCAACTATTTGTTGATGGGCATTTAGCTATTAAAAAGTAAGCTAGGGCCAGGTGCAGTGGCTCACACCTCTAATCCTGACACACTGGGAAGCCAAGACAGGAAGATGGCTTGAGGCCAGGAATTTGAGAACAGCCTGGGCAAGAAAGCAAGAGCCTGTCTCTACAAAAAATTTAAAAAGGAAAAATAGCTGGGCATGGTGGCATGCACCTATGGTAGCTACTCAAGAGGCTGAAGTGGGAGGATCACTTGAGCCTGGGATTTTGAGGCTGTAGTGAGCTATCGTCGGGCCACTGCACTCCAGCCTGGGTAACAGAGCAAGACTCCATATCAAAAAAAAAAAAGTAAGCTGCTATGAGCAGTTGTTTGATATTATATTTTGGCTTCTTACTTGGTAGCTAAGGCTTTAACTCTCTTGCACAATTATCCTTGTTCATTGTTTTCTCTCCCCAACAAAGTTCAATTATATTTCACATTTTGGACTTATATCAATATTCAGTATTTATATTATTTTTACAAAGCAGTATTGTTTATTGCTGAGCCAAATAGTGGGAAATACTAATTTTACTTTCTGATAAAACTTTTCTTAATAAGTTGCCTTACTTTTCTCCATATTGTTTTTCTTATATTGACCTATAATTACTTTTGACCATCCGTCAGCCCCTCAATACCATTTTGCAAATTGTAGAATGTACAGGGTAATCAGTTATTTCGATTTCATTAATGAGTGCACCCTTCTTGGAGCTTTGACTCCCCTGTCCACACTGAATGCTTGCTCTCCTGGGCAACTGCATAGTTGCATTCCCATTGCTCTTGTTCTGAGAATTTCCTTCATTGCCCTCCTGTGTCAGGATCCAATATCTCATGTCTTTCTCTTTGGTTTTATTTTGGTGAGACACAACCCCAGTATATTCTTGACCTAGTGCATGAAGAAGAGGGTAAAAAGAAATACATACATACATATATGTGTGTGTGTGTGTATGCGTGTATGCATATATACACACATATGTATATAGTACACATCTGAAAATTCTTTCATCCAGTTTGGCTGGGGGAGAAATTGGTGGTTGAAAATTATTTTTGCTCAACATTGTAAGAATATTGTTTATTGTTTCCTAATTTCCAATGTTAGTGAGATGATCAACACCACTTCATATTCTTTATTTTGTGTGTGACCAATTTTTTTCCATCTAGAATATTTTTAGCATCTATTCCTTATCCTTCATGTTCCAAAATTTTGAAGTGATTTACATTGCTAGACTCATCTTTTTGAGAATCCCTTTAATCAACAGAATTATATTCTTTCTGTCTATAAAATTGTCTGATATTATTTCTTTGATAATTGCTCTGCCCACTCCCCACACTCAAACTCCCCTGAAAACAAAACAAAACAAAAAAACTCTGCCCTTTTTCTTTTTCCTCTCTTTTGGAACTTCTATTGGCAGTATATTAGGTCATTAATGACCTTGTGAAATTGCTGCTATTTCATCATTTGATCTACAAAAATGGTAGTTTCATATGATTCAACTTAACATATTTATCCATAAATGTAGCCATATATATTTTTTTCTTCTCTGCATTGTCTTTGTTTTCTCTAAGTTTTCTCTTAGCATTTATTGACTTTCACCTCTACCTTTGATCCTAGAGTCTCTCCTAAATGTCTGCTGATCCTAGACTAAATGTCTACATTAAGTAATGAAGCACCTACAAGCCAAGTGTACACTGTGTGTGCTTAGCAGCGACTTGTGGATGGGTGAGCTTCCACGTAGGGAGTCGATATATGAACGCAACTATTTCATTGGTAAAATTCTAAATTTTAGTGTCAGTTAACATTTTCTCTGACACTGTACAAAGAAGGATCTTTTAGTCTCTGCCCTCAGTTTATAGGCCTGGCTGCTGGTCCTCTGAAAAAGAGGATGAGATCTTGACATTTTGCATGCATATTTTTGCTTAGGTCCCCTGTTTTAAATCTAGCTCTATTCTCTGTTTTCCATTGTGTCCGGTGTTCCCAAATCCAAAGGCTGATTTATTCGATGTATGCAAAGAGTCAATCCCTAGTCTCTTGGAAGAGGTGGTCACTGGGCTATCTGGGAGTAGAACTAAGTTCCTGAAGGCCCAAATGTCCCCTGTGTGGCCTTTCACCCTGAGGTGAGCCATCTCTAGGTCTGTTGTAGGTGTTTACTGAACTCAAAAGAGTATCTTGGCAAGAGTTTCTTCCTAGGACCCTAGGACAGATCTCTGCATGATAATAGGATAATAGGGATCTTCTGCTTTGTGAATTTCTTGCACATGAAGCTGTTTTCCGACAATTCCAATGTACTTGTGTGGGAGAAATGCAGAGACCCTGACAGCTGGATACTCCCTTGTATCTCTGTTTTGGAATTAGCTTTGGAATGATTTGCTAGTACCAATGGAAAAAAAAGAATCTTGAACCAAGTCTGAGTTGTCATTCTCACAAATCTTCAAAGACAGGCTGACCCTTCTTTGGTCTGACTCTTGATCACTCCATTTTCAGCTCCATACTTCAGTCGCTCATTTTGGAGTACTCGAAACAATTTCTGAGACCATCTGTCATTGCCATTTTCTGAGGCCCTGTGGTTGACTACATATTGGTATCTATCTCTGCAGGCATGTAAGATTTAGGTTCTTCTCTTCACTTTCAGTCATTATAAATTTTATTAGCATTTCTTCTTAATTAATTGTTTTCTCCACTTCTGGTTACTTGACTGCTACAGATTTATAACTTTTTCTTTTCTTTACACTTATTGTGGTAGGATTTGAAGTGGAGGCAAATATAAATGCATGTATCCTCTGCCACGTTTATCTAGTGGTCTTAGATCTTACACTTTAAAAATGTTTTTAATTAAAGTGTTATATACATACAATAAAATTTACCCATCCTAAGTGCACAATTTAATAACATCTTAAGACCTTCGATGTTTCAAATATCCTACTCATTAGTCAAATGCAGACCCATCATAATTACATATGTCTTTTTCTACCTTAATCTCACACAGATAAATATATGCATTCTTCCTGGTGAGAGTGGCAGAGGAGTTATATGCCCTTACCACTCAAAAGAAAACAATTGTAGATATTTTTTGGGCACAGATCTGAATGAAAATAAGTGGGGGAGACCAGTGTGCTTGACAATATAGTTAACTATGTTGGCCAATATCAGAGCTATTTTTTGTGGATAAGCAACCATGCCAAAAACCAGAATATACTATAACATACTAGTCAATAATTTTTAATTGGCTACTATCATTTTTCAAAAAGTAAGAAACAAGGGGAAAGTAAATCTACTAGTTTTCCTGAAGCAAGAGAAGAGGAAAATGAGAAAATTGAGATTTGACCAACTGATTTCTGCCCAAAGTGGTACAAATGACTGTGTAAAAACATCAGAGAGGCTAAATATTTGTGGCAGACGCTCTTTTAATGGCTGCTGATAAAGCATGAAAATCACTTTGAGAGCATCTGATACATTTCTTACAAATACCCACTGCTCTCTTTGTAAATATTGGGGGAGAGAAGTATACAATATATCTTTCCAAATTTCTAAACATATGTGTTTTAATATTCTTAATTTTAAAGTGTACAGAGATACAAATATCTTGTATTTATCTTCAGCAAACAAGTCTTTATCTGCTAGTTGGAACTACAAACTCAAATGCCTACAGAAGCCAGGCTGGCATATAAACATGGATGTAAGTAAATAGGGAGTGTTGAATTGCAGAATGGCATAGCCTCCTAAAGGCACTCAAATTTAAAATATGTTAAAGATGTATAAATAAAAAGAAACAAAAAATTAAAAACAATTAAGTTTAAAAACAGAAAATTAAATAAATAAAGTAAATCCAACTTTTAGGACCTTGTTGACTGCAGGTCACCAGTTTAACTTCTAGTTTAGGAAATGGTGGGTGAGTTGCTCCCAGCTCAAAGGAGCAGCAGATTATGTTCGCCATCTAATTCTCAACTAAACATTCACTTAACTTTCTCATGTAGGCTGGGTGCGTGGCTTATGCCTGTAATTCCAGCACTTTGGGAGGCTGAGGTGGGAGGATTGCTTGAGGCCAGGAATTTGAGACTAGCCTGGGCAACATAGTGAGACCCCCATCTCTCCAAAAAAAATTTATTAAAAAGTATCCAAGCATGGTGGCACATGTCTGTAATCACAACTGCTCAGGAGGCTGTGGCAGGAGTGTCACTTGCTCCCAGGAGTTCAAGGCTGCAGTGAGCTAGGATTGTAGCACTGTACTCCAGCCAAGGTGACAGATCAAGACTCTATCTCTTGAAAACAAAACAAAACCCTCCTATTCAATCCTAGTCCGGCTTTGATTCCTTGCTCAGAATATGTTTCTCCCCTTTCCTGCTTCTCTAGTGTTCACTCTTACGCCTGTATCTCCTTCTTCTTTCTTCTTCCCCCTTACCTTGCCCCTCCTCAACTCACCAAAGTGGAATGGAATGAAGAGTTTTGTGCTTACTTATTCCTATAAGTGTTGCATCAAGTTGAATACCCCAATGGGCTCATCTCCCTTGTTAGAAACCTGTGAAGGGTTTTCCTTACCTGTAGTCCAAAGCCCATACTGCTCAGCCTGCTGCTCAAGCCCTTCCACTGATCCAGGCTTGCTTTGCCAGACTTTCCTCCCAGGACAGCACTTCCTCCAGTGTCGCAGATCCACAAGACCACCTCAGCCAGCCATCACACCATGCAGACTGCTTACTCTCCACCAGTCATCCTTGTTCCTTCATTTTGCCTGGAACATGTCTTGAATATTGAAGGTGCTTAATAAGCATGAGGTGAATTTTAATTTTGTTATCAGTTTGAAAGCAAATGAGTTGAATTGTTATTATTTCTCAATTTACTATTTTAAAGCCAATTAAATTAAATCACATTTTGTTTATGGTTCATTTTTTTTCCTCCTTAACAACATCAAAATAAAGACTTTTTAAAAAGTATGAAAGGCATCCTTTTCTGCATTTCCATGTCCTGTGGCTTTATCAGTCTGATTAGACAGATGGCACTAGGTGTTTGATTCTGGCATGAGGTTAATGGGCATGGATAAGAAACAAGAGGTGAAATAGACCTCCAACTTCAGAAATTGTTGACTAGTAGACCGTAGTTCACTTTCACTGCTAAGAGCATTTGCTGCCAATGTTTTAATCATTCTGGGCTCTTCTCCACTACATGAATTTGCTATATAAATTTTTATTTTTTCATTCACATAGTACACCCTTTCTTTGCCCAGTTCTCTGAATAGAATCTTGCAAAGATAGTAAACAGACATTTCTTAGCCATTTACAAAGGGCTTTTTCTGGTCTAAGAAGTCCACAATTTAGACACTAATGAAATATGAAATATGTCACATTATACTTTGAAAATGACTTGAGTCAATGTCAAATATGTCAAATGAGTGTTCAGGGAATTTCAAGGATCTTACCCAAATTTTATGTCTACTTTATAGAATCTCTTTTCTGCACTTATATGTCCTGATGTTTTTATAGACATTAATATCAAAAGAACAATTTAGATTGTTTAAAAAAATCTAAAGTCTGATTTATCTTTGAGACATACTTCAGAACACAAACCAATTTTGGTATGGTAATATCATGTCAATATTTTTTGACAGAAGACAAATGTTGTTATTATTTCACCATTTCTTACCTTTGTAAAAGTTTAGAATTTTACAAAATGACTCTTCTTTACATGGCAAAATAGTAATTTGATGAAAATAAGAAAAGTTGCAATTTTTATGTCTGGTGGCAATGATGAATCATCCAGGTATGTTGGGTTATAAATGGGGCACAAACCATATTGACATTTTTTAAAAGTAAATACAATTTTAATGGAGAAATGTGTCTTTTCACCAAAATCACAGATTACATTGTTTTTAGAAAAGCTTACTTTGACTTGTTCCACTTCTCATTTGATTGGATATTCTCCATGATAGAAGATTGAAAGTAGGACTATCTTAAAGGCATCAGTCTCTATCCAGTAGTTCATTGTCTGTAATATAAAATAAACAGTGGGGGAATTAGCACCTAGAAAAATTGTGAAAGAGATAAGACTATGCTTCAGGCTGTCTACCTTTTCTTTTCTAAGCTCTTTTCTATAACTCCTTTCCTATTATCCACCCCCATCACTCACACAGAGTCACTCAGTATTCTTACACTGTTTTAGTCCTTTCACAGAGGAAATCTGATATATTCTTTCAGGACAGGTACTTAGAAATTTTATGTGCTGCAATGATCAGGAGATTCAAACTTAATAAAAAAGCCTAAGAAGAAAGACAATGAAGACAATGCACAACTCAGTAATTGTAGAATTCCGAGATATAATTTGGGGTGAACCTTCCAGCACTTTAATCTCAAAATATAAATGACAGGTCTTTCATGGAGGCAGTATGTTCGTGAACTTTATCGGGGAACGATAGAATTCGGTTAGTATTTTATGTGTGATCTGGAGCTTGAGATCAGAAAATGTGGCCCAGCTTTGGTGTTCTGAGTCTTTTCGTCAGAGTACTCGCAGTATTTATTCCCTTTTTCCAAAAGAGTATTTCACCTACTAGTTCTGCCCCACCTCTTTCTACAAACCCATTTCTAGTGCAATCTACTTCGTTATCTTCAAAGGACAGGAGCATATCTTGTGGAATTTTTCTTATCTCTATATAAGCAGTTTTCCAAAATAACTAACCCATTCAAGTTCCTCTGTAAAACAAAATGATTCCCATGGAACACTTAACTCCTTAGTTAATCCCTAGAATGATCACAAAATTATTTTCCCATTTATTTAGTTATTTGTTCCAAAACCTTTTGTTCTATTTGAAATTGTTATTGTAATTAAGTAATTTAATTAGGTAATACATTATTTTAAAAGAATAAAATAAAATAGTATGCAAATATGAAAGTTTAAAAAAGGGAGTTCATTGTGCCTATAAAAATAAATCAAATGTTTTGCAAAGACTCAGTAACTATTAGTCAGAAAAAAAATTGCATTGGAATAAAGAAGGGTAAAAATAATTCACAAAAAGTAAAAGAATTCTCGACCTGGATTGCTTTGCAAAATTTTTAAGATTTTGTTTGTTTGTTTCATTGTAAAGAAGTAAAACAGAAAATTTGGACAACTCATTATGGATGTGGTTTATATGAGAAACAGAATTATAATCATGGACCCAGAGTCAAAGACAAGTCCTTTGTCAAATAATTGCCATATGAATGTGCATTTATATGCCTAATATTTAGAATTGCTTAAAGTATGTTTGCGACTTCTTATGAGCCCAATTTAATATTCTATTATTACTGTTATTATTATTAAATGATCAGCTACTGATGCAATCACCCTGAGAAGCAGGCTTCTACAGAATGTCAGTGGAGGAGCTCCTTTGGCTGGCAAACTAACATCATGGGAAGTCAGAGCATATGCTATGAAGCTGGGAGTGGAAAAAAAAGCTGCTGATCTAAGAAAAAAATCCACCCTTTCTGGCTATTTCTTATATACAGTACTAATATTTTTAGAGACAACACAATACATAAATACCTCTATGAAAGAGAATATACAAAGTGATGGGTGATCGAGATCAAGTTTCATAAGTGGGGAGAGGAGAAAAAGCAGACAGCTGTCTGTGGTTTCTGTAGAAGTGGTGTCTCAATGGGTGTGTAACAAGTAAGAATTCAGAATGAGGGTTGGTTTATCTATATTGTGATTGAGTTGAATCTCCAATACCTAATCAATGAAGTCAAGGATAGGCAGGATTTATGTTGCACTCACTGAGGGTCAGGTCATGTAATATGTGCCTGGGAGACACAGCAACAGGCAGCACTGGAGGAAACAGGCTCCCACCATGGTCAGGTTTCTCCTTCCCTCAATAGCTGTCATGAATGCAAAGGGGAGAATTAACATTTTATTCAAGAAGGACTTCATTGAACCTGAGACCATCACTAAAGCCATTGCTATAGTCTGAATGTTTGTATCCCCCCAAAATTTATATGTTGAAATCCTAACCTCCAAGGTGATAGTATTTGGAGGCATGAACTTTTGGGAAGTGATGAGGCCATGAGTGTGGAGCCCTCAGGAATGGGATTAGTGACCCTGTGAAAGAGACCACATAGAGCTAGTACCCTTTTCTACCATGTGAGGACACAGCAAGAAGGCACCGTCTATGAACCAGAAATCGGGCCCTCTCCAGACACCAAATCTTAGACTTCCCAGCTCCAGAACCGAAATAATAAATTTCTGTTGTTTGTAATACCAAGTCTATGCTATTTTGTTATAACAGCTCAGAGTAAGACAGCCATCTACTACTTCAAAAACATAACTTCTTTTGTTTGATTGTTTTCTCATTTCTCTTCCAACTAAAATCTAACCTCCATGGGCAATAAACATATTTCTTATGCCTAGAAAAAAGCCTAAAATATTGATAATATTCAATAAATGTTTACTGAATCATGATTTTGATTTTTTTTCCACCTTATTAACCTACCCTGCCCTTGTTTTCTCTTCCACCTGTCTTTTAGTTCTGACAACAATCCTCAGATCTCTCTATGGTCAATAAAGACAGTCAGAATTAAAGGCTTTTATCACTCCCCAAGATTATGATTTTTGTTATTATTTCACAAATAGCACTGTTAAAACTTCAGACAAATTAAATTTAGCCGAGTTTAATTGAGCAAGAAAAAACAAACAATAACAAAAAAATGATTCATGAATCAGAATTAGAGTAGAATCAGACAGACTCCAGGCATGCCTCCTCGTCAAAACAAATTTATAGACAAAAAAAGGAAAATGATGTACAGAAATCGGAAGTGAGGTACAGAAACAGCAGGATTGGTTACAGGTTGGTATTTGCCTTATTTGAACACAGTTTGAGCATTCAGCAGTGTATGAGTGATTGAAGTATGACTTCTGGGATTGGCCAAGACTCAGCGATTGTTACAGATGCATATTCCTAAATTACGTTACCATTGATCCACAAGGACTCAAATATAGAAGTACGGAGTCTTTCTCAGGCCATATTTAGTTTGCTTTAACCACACTCTGCACGGTGTTAAAAATTATTTTGAGGATCCTTGAATGGAAGGCAATGAGAGGGTAGATATGAATATACCACCTCTATGTTAGGCCAAGTTTCCCAGAAGCGGATGCTTAGACAAGGATTTGTACACAAATGATTTATTAGAAGAATGGTGCCAGTAGAAACAGGTAAGGCAGTGGGAGATGTTGGATCAGGAGAAGTGCTACCCTAACCTCAGCCTGATCTCATGGGGAGCTCTAGAGATTAAAGACTACAGAGGGCTTCCCCCTCCTCCTTCCTGCCAGGGCAAGGAATCAGATATTTGTACCCTGTCTTCTGTCAGTCAATAGCTACAGACCTCCCCAGATGCTACGTAAATTCTAAGATGCTTCCAGGAAAGTGGCACTAAGAGTCCAAGTCCAAGTCCTCTGAGGAATGTTGCTGGAGTAAGTGTTGCTGGAGTAAGCTGTAACAGCTAACACGTAGAGGCTGCTGTATGGACACACAAAACCAGCAAGAGGGATCCAGAGGAGCTGACAAAAACATGAATATCTCTTAATGCCAAAAGCTATACTGAACAAAAGACTCACTTGTCACCTTCTCGTCTGGTTGGTGAAGGCACATACATGGCTATACAGCATTCTTCAGGGTTCCACCTGATACTTTCGTTCCTGTGTAGAGTTCTCCCGGTTACTCACACTGACCAAATGCTTTCACTATGAGCTCTGCCTCTACAATCTATTTTATTGTTAGATCACTACCATTATAGGAGAGAATAGTCCATTGATTACTCTATGCTTTTCTTAGCTTGGGCTAGGGACATTTTTAATGTTTCTAAAATAAGTCCCATGTGGTTAGGTGTGAAAATTAAAATGACCCATTAACAACTGTAATGTGCTATAAGATTTGGATTCCTACTAATTACTGTAATCTATCTCCCAGCTTCACTGAGTATGTAAATGAGAAAAATTATTACACAGCTTCTTTACTGAAACTGCGACTATTCTCTAACATCTAATATGCAGTCTGAGATGGATTTCTAAAAATGACAGAGTAAGGATGCCAATCTTAGCATAAGTATACTAACATCTGTTCTACATTTCTTTAATTCTTTTGACATTCTTATTACTATTTATAAAAAAGTAATGTTTTTCTTCAGAAATGAAACTTTGTTTAGTTTTATCTTTCACTTAGAAGCAACAATGGTCATATAATTATAACCTCTTTATATATCATAATATGCATATATTATACATAATACATACACATAAATATATATGTCTAGAGGTCAGTATTGTAGCAAATAATCAAAACACAAACACGCTTTACTAAGAAAAATTGTTTTAAATGTCATGCTCTACAATGAAAAAAGGCCACAAAGCCCTTATGTCCTTATTATCCTATTCTTTGAATATAAAATCAAAATTACTTATTTAATAATCTTAGTTACCTTTTTCATTAGAAAACTAATATTATTTGCCAAACTAATCCAGAGAGATTATTAACAAGTATGGTATGAGAAGGAGTTTCTGGACCCTGACATAGTTACAGATGATAGGAAGGCAACAGAAACACTAACTGAATAGTCTGACAGACATGTGGTCTTGTATATGCAAATATTTTTTTTAATTCTCATAATGAACTATGACATTAGATTCATGGTACTGTTTATTAAAAGTGTAACTTTAATAGATTTCCATCAAAATAGTTACATATTTTGAGTCTTTGATAAATATGTTATTTTGCAAATTTCGCTCATGTAAAGTATTTCATTCCTGAAAATAGAGGAAAAATTAAATACTGTCATCTGCCTGTCTTGAAGTAGTATGAGGTTATATTTGCATTAATATTCACACATACCTCAAATAACTAGGATTTTTATGCATAGATGAATTTCTAATCAACAGGGTAAAGATACAACATGCATGAAAAGGTTTTCAGTTTTGCTACATTCCAAATTACTGAATTCAAACAGAAAGTGAAGGGAGTGAACCCCTTAGGTAAAAGTATTCACTTTGTATATATCAAAGTGGACATGTCACCAAAGTGGACATGTATATAACATGCTTCAGAGTATTTCAAAACATGAGCTGTGTGATCAGAGAGTAACTTAGGCTTATGTCAGGCCAGATGCTCTCCTGAATGTGTTTATTAAAGTGGTTAATTCGAATAAAAACACCTGAGGAGGACCTTCACCCTGCCCACATACTGTGAGGTATTTACCTCCAATATTGGTTCACTGACGAAACACACACCTTAGGGAGAGAGGAAAGTAAGTTATAAACCTGATGCAGATTCCCCACTGAAGACATTTCTCTACTAAGTACTCCTAGTTAGACTTTTACCTTGATGCAAATTCATGGTGGTATGGTTTCTGGGTTAGTGTGATTCTGCTAGACTATGAGTTCCAAAAGAACAAGACCTTGACTTTGTGTTCACTGCATTTATCTAACATTTAAATAAAACACTGGGAGATACTCGTCTTATGATAACATTAGATGAAAGAACAAACTATCCAGTGTCACCCTGAACACATCCCTTTCCATGAAATAAGGAAATGGCACTGAAATCAACTCTTAGAAAATGGATCCAAGAATAAACAGGAATGATGTTCCATGAAGCTGAAAAATACAGGAAAGCTGGGAGCAGAGGAGGTTTATGCTGCAGTATGAGGACTGCAAAGACCAACTACATACAAAACAATCTTGATACTCAGACTTTGAGGTACCTACTTTATTGTTCCCACAGAGGCTAGTCTTTCTGATATGCAATAAATTAGAAACTGAAAATGCAAATTTGTCATTCAATTTGCATTTATTGTGGTAGCATACTTAATCCCTGAAAAGATCCATAGAACTCAAATAAGCAACTGCAAAGAAAATATTAGAACTGTGATAAGTGGGCAACAAAATTAGAAGACAGATCAGCTCATCTCTAACATTCCTATAGCAACTTAGGATTTGAACTTTCATGAAAAGTTCTAATGTGTTGGAAAGAACAACATCATAGCAATACCCCGACTCCTTTTTAGAAACAGCTTTCAATCTCCTCTTCATAACCAGGACAGATAGCACTCATTTCTAGGGCACATTGTCAAAGGTGTGTCTGTGCTTATTCAAAGCATAATGCTGTTTATAACTGTATCTAATTCTCTGACACTCAAAATCCACACTGAAATTTTAGAAATATAAATGTGATCTTATTTTATGGATAAGTTTTAATCTACCTTGTTTATCTTAAAATAGTAAAGTACAAGGAATTCAGTTTTCCACCATGATGGAATAAATATATGGTACTAGACTCACTCTCTTACTGTGAGTTACCATACAATTAAACAAAATACATAAGGCAATAAATAAATAAAATAAAATGTAGTCTTTTATATTTTTTAGGTATTTATTTTTAGGTATCTATTAAGTAGCAAGCAGAGCAGGACTGTTATTCTTGAGAGAAAGCAAACATATGAGGTTTGTCCCACATTCATTCACGCTTTCTGCCACAATCAAGAAGACAGAAGCCAAGTCTATCCTCCTACCTCTCAATCTCCTATTCAGAGATAGGAGATCAGTACTAAGGAATCTGGAATTTGTAGGGCATTTCACCAGAGAAAGGAAGCTTGGGGAGGTGAGGGGAGAGGAGTGTAAAAGTCGTGCGGACATTCAGTGCCGTTCTCAATGAAGGGCTGACACGTGCATGCACAAAGCAAGACTCTACAAACCTAACCACTGTAGCACTAAGGGCAAAATTGAAACAGCCCAGCCTAACAACAGATAGAAATACAGTTCTACAGAAAAAAAAAAAAAAGCACAGGAAAAGGTAAAACATCCATAATATAAAAGACTACATTTTTATTTCTTCTATTAATTTCATTTTATGTAAAGTACTAACTGTAAGCAGACTATATTATGATACGTAATGAACAAAAGCTTAAAAAACAATAAAGAAATGAAAATAGAATACCAAAATATTCATTAAGCACAATATAAGTCAGAAACGGAAGAATAGAGAAACAAAACCAGATACGAGAAAGAGAATACAAATACCAAAACGACAGACATAAACACAGCTATACAAAAATTGTTTTGAATGTATATGGACTGAGTACTCCAATTATAGAGCAGATATTCTCAGACTGGGTAAAAAAAAACAAAATGTAAATATTTTCTATCTACAGGATATCATTTTAAATATAAAGATACAGATAAGAGGAAAGTAAAAGGATGGGGAAAAAAGACACACCATGCAAATAGCAAGTAAATGTAATAAAGCTAGTAGGAATGCATTGATATAAGACAAAGTAGACATTAAGACTAGAAATACCTTACTACTGAAATGAAATGTGGAAAAACTAGAAATATAAGCAGAAATAAGGAAATATTTCATAATGTGAGAAGGAATAAGTAATCAAGAATGTATAACAATTATAGATATGTAGATACATAACAATAGAGTTCCAAAACGCATTAAACAAAAACTGACAAAACTAATGATAAAAATAGACAAATTTATCATTGTAGTTGGAGATGTCAGTACCTTTCTTTCAGTATTAATTGAAATAGGAATACAGAATATTTGAACAACTTGATCAACCAACTTGACCTAATTGACATTTATAGAATAATGCATCTAACAACTACAGAATAGACCTTCTTTTCATGTACGCATGGAACAGTCATTAAGAAAGACAATATACTGGGTCATAAACCAAGTCTCAATGCCTTTTAAAGGACTGAAATTATATAGAGCTCTGACTACAGCTGAATTAAAGTAGAAGTCAATTATAAAAAATAGAAATAAAAAATCCTCAAATATTTGGAGATTAAACAACACTCTTAATTAATTCATGGGTCAAAGAAGAATCACAGAAAAATAAGAATTTTAAACCAAATGTTAAGAAAAATAAAATATGTCAATATCTACTAGATGTAGATATTACATCTAGTTAAAATAGTACTTAAAGGAAAATGTGTAGCTTTATATGATTATGTTAAAAGAAAAAAATGATTTGAAATCAATGATTTAATTTTCAACCTTATAAGCCTATAAAAAATAAATTAAAAACTAAAGTAAATTGTAAAAAGAAAAAATAAAGATAAAAGCAGAAAACAATAAAATTAAAAACAAGAAAATAATAAATACAAATAACAAAGCAAAAGTGTCTTTTTTAAAGTTTAGTAAAATATAAATCATTAAAAATAATTCAGTTTTAAAATAGAAATTTTCCACAAAGAAAAGCAAGCACAGATAGTTTTATTGGTGAATTCTATCCTATTTAAAGAACATATAAAACCAGTCTTAGGCTGGGTGCCATGGCTCATGACTGTAATCCCAGCACTTAGGGAGGTTGACGCATGTGGATCACTTTGAGCTCAGGAGTTTGAAAACAGCCTTACCAAAATGGCAAAACCCTGAGTCCACAAAAAATAAAAAAGTTAGCTGGGCATGGTGGCTCATGCCTGTGGTCCCAGCTACTCAGGAGGCTGAGGCTGGAGGATTGCTTGAGCCTAGGAAGCGGAGGTTGCAGTGAGCCAACATCGTGCCACTGCCGACCAGCCTGGGAGACAGAGTGAGATTCTGTCTCAAAAAAAATAAAAAATAAAATAAATAAAACCAATTTTGCACAAAATATATCAGAAAATAGAGAAGAATACTTCCCAACAGATTTTGTGAAGCCAGCCCAACGCTTATGCTAAAGTCCAATATTAACATTAAAATACACAAACAGCAATTCAAAATTCTTAATAAAACAATTAATTAACAAATTAAATATAGCAATATATAGTATATTAGAGACAAGTAAAATGTTTTTCAGAAATCTTAGTTTGGTTAAACTTTCAAAAATGACTCAATGTGATTTACAGTATTAACAAAAGACACATTTTTATGTCAATAGATACAGTCAAAAGCATTTGACAAAATCCAATACCCAATTATTATAAAGCTCTTAGCCAAATACGAACATAATTTAACTTTCTCCATCTGATAAAATGCAATTATGAAAAACCTACAACTAACATAATACTCATTTGTGAAACTGAATACTTACCTGCCAAGACTGTGAACAATGCAAGGATCTACACTCTCTGCACTTGTATACAACATTCCATTAGAAGTTCTAGCTAGTGCCATAAGGCAAGAAAAAGAAGTAAATGGTATAATAATTAAGTGGAAGATGGGAGGCAAGCTTAATTTATGGACAACAGCATTGTATACATAGATACCTTTTTGCATCTACAGAAAAAATTGCTAGAACCAATAAATGAATTTAGCATTATAGTAGTGTATGAGGGTTAATATACAAAAGTCATTGTATTTTTTATGTTTTGTATATTTATTTATAAAATAATTGTATTTCTAATATTAGCGAGCAATTGGAAAAAAATAAAAACTAGTTGCTTAAAAAACAAAAAAACTTGAAATCATTTTAATAAAAGATGTGTAAGATTTCTAAACTAAGTATTTCAATTCATTGTTGACAGAAATTAAAATGAAATTTTAATTTCATTTTAATTCTAATGAAATGGAGAGATACACCATGTTTATGCACTAGAAAATTCAATATTGTTAAAATGTCTTATTTTTTTCAAATCAATCTATGAATTTAATGCAATTCTAATTAAAAGCCCCAAAAGTATTTTTTTAATAAATTGACTATATGATTCTAAAATTTACATTAAAAAGCAAATGATCTACCAATCTTTGTAAAGGACAAACAAAACAGTCCTTAAAAAAGAACAAAGTTAGAGTATTAAAACAAACTTTCAGGAATCTAGGATCCATGGAAGAATATCTTAAAGCATAATAGGAGAGAAAAAGATTACTTAGGATGCAAAAACAACAATAAAGAATAATTAGACTTCATCAGAATGAAAACTTATGTCACCAAAAGACATCACTAAGAAAATGAAAGTGCAAGACATAAATCGATAAAAAATATGTATTTTACATACATGTGACAACAATATTGTATCTAGATATAAATCAATTATTAAAAGTTAAATCCTCAATTTAAAAATAGGCAAAATATTGAGATACCTCACAGAAGAAGATACATGCATGGTCAAGAAGGACATAAAATGGTTTTTATTATTAATCATCTAGAGAACATAAATTTAAATAAAAATATACATAATGAGATACCACTTCATATCCACCTCAATGGCTACTGTTAATGATTGATAACACCACTTACTGGCAAGAATGGAAAGCCACTAAGTTTTGCACATTATTGATGAGGTTTAAAATGGTACAACTACTTTGGGAAAATGTTTGGAAGTTTTGTTAATAAAGTTAAACCTGCATTTACCCTATCACCCAGCAATCCCCCTCCTGGGTATTTGCCCAAGAGAAATTAAACATGTCCACAAAAAGACTTGTGTAAAAATGTTCATTGAAGGTTAATTCATAGTAGCTGCAAATTAAAAACAACCCAAATGTTCATCTGTGGGAGAATTAGTAAACAAAGCATGCTATATTCATGTAATGAAATACTATTCAGCAATGAATAAATAAAATAAATACCGAAATACACAACATGCATGAATCTCAAAATTGTTGCATTAAAGAATAGAAGTCGTATACAAAATATCACTGAACTTTTATAAACCTCAAAAACACCTTTTTTCCACCTGGCTTTTAGCATGTCTCAGGCACTTGGAAATAGAAAGATAATAAATAAAATAAAGATCAACTCTGTGAGCTTTAATTCAAGATGGAAAATGGGAATCCACCAGAATTGTGAAGGAGACCCTGGGGAGCAGGATATGGGCAAACAGCTTCCGTGATGACATCTAGCTGCTAAAGGTGAGTAAAGCCTCAGTACTGAGAAAAGCAGAGAGCCTTCCTCTGTGACTTACCTTTCCACTGGGGATCTGAACAACCCAGGCTGAGGGAGAGCGCTTTGTTTCCCCTAAGCCCTGGAGCTAACTTTGGGAGAGAAGAGGCTTAGAGGAGAGACACTGGGAAAAGCTACAGGCTTTTTAATTTGAGCTCATAAAAAATCAACCATTTTTTGGTAACCCAGCATTGTGGTCATGCTGGCATTTTAGTCTTGGGCCAAAGATTAGAGCTCCTGCTCTGGATTTGGGTAGGGGCTGCTGCAACCAGAACTGTGGGAAGCACCTCAGCAGTAGGAATTGGAACTGTGCTGTCCCCAGTCATTAGCCCAGAGTGGGAGGAGAGCTGCTATGGCTGCAGTTTCTTCTGGGCAGTGAGACTTGCAACCAGGGCCAGCTTGGTGACCTGAAACCTGCCTGTCCGTGTCATTGCTGGGTGCTGAAGCTGACTTCCCTGAGGTCATAGTGCACCAGAGCCCTCTCCACTCCACTCTCTGTCAGAAATCTAGGCATTTGGAGCATACGCTTGCCTGGAACAGCCGCCTGAGCCACCCCACCCTTCCTGGATATAAATCGTGGTGCAGTGGAGCCATCTCCACTCTACACACAGGCAAATCGGCAGGCATTTGGAGCACCGATTCATGTGGACTAGTAATCTGAGTCACCACATCCTTCCTGTACAGAGATCCTCGTGTAGGGAGGCCGTCTCCAATCTATGGAGAGACAGGCAAATCTCTAGGCATTCAGAGCACCCCTTACTTAGATTAGAAGCCTGAGCTGCTCCAACCATCCTGTACAGAGATCCTGGTGCAGGGGGTGCCCTCTACATTTCATGCTCATGCAGCTCTTCAGGTACTGCAGCACTCAGTCCCCTGGATTAGGAGTTCAGGCTGTACCCCCTGCCCATGAAGAGAACTTGAGGCTGAGAAGGTTTTGCAGTTCCACACCTAGGTACATGTCTGTGTGCTTGGTGGCCACTCACTGTATTCTCCACTGGGACTGTCACTTGTGCCTGCCATCAGGGGACCTATAGGCCAACCTGTCTGATCAAGCCCAGCCTATCTTTCTCCACAGCCCCCAAGGGCTGAACAGGGTGCTCAGCCCACTGTGTACTCCATGAGTTGACCTATTGCCTGAGCAGCAGAGAGCTTCTTCCAGTAAACAAGGCCAGTAGATACCCAGCCACATTGGCCACAGCCCATTCTTACCCATAAGTCCCATGGACTGGCTTGTAGGTCAGACTGTACAGCCCAGTGAAAAAACATGCTGACAGAACTGCATACAGCTTTAGAAGCAAACCCAAAAGATGCCATCCAGCATTTTCTACAGTCACACCCCTTGGGAAGGGGTGGAAAAGGAAAGGGAAAGAAAAAAAATCATAATGATATTTTAGGAAAAGAAAGACAAGGGGAAAAAAATCCTACTTGCATGAAAATAATTACAAATATTAGAAGTGCCTCCATCTCCAGATGAGAGGGAACCAGCAAAGGACTTCTGGTACCATGAAAAATCTAAATGTAGTGACACCACCAAAGGAGTACACTAGCTCTTCAGCAATGGTACCTAACCAAAATGACAGATAACCAGAAATGACAGATAAAGAATTCAAAGCAAGGATTGCAAGGAAATTCAATGAAATCCAAGAAACAGTTGAAAATCAACACACACAAACTTCTAAAACAATCCAGAAAATGAAAGAAGAAATAAACATCTTAAAAAGAAATCAGTCAGAGCTTCTGGGATTGAAAAACACACTTAAATTTTTTCAAAATACAGTTGAAAGCTTTATCAACAGAACGGATCAACCAAAAAAGAGAATCTCAGACCTTGAAGACTGATCTCTCAAACTAACCCAGTCAAACAAAAATAAAGAAAAATAAATTTAAAAAGTAAATAAAATCTTCAAGAAATATGAGATTTTGTGAAGCAACCAAATCTACAAATTATTAGTATTCCTGAGAGAGAAAGAGGAAAAAGTAAACAACCTAAAAAATATATTTGAGGGAAATTCAAGAACATTTCCTCAATCTTGCTAGATGGATAGACATCTAGATATAAGAAATCCAGAGAACACCTGTGAGATACCCTACAAAATGAGCATAACCAAGGTATATAGTCATCATACTGTCCAAGGCGAACACTAGAGAAAATAATCTTAAAGGCAGCTGAAGAAAAAAGTCAAATTACATACAAAGGGAATCCTTTCAGGCTAACAGCTGACTTCTCAGCAGAAACCTCAAAAGCCAGAAGAGATTGAGGACCTATTTTAAGCATTCTTAAAGAAAAGAAATTCCAACCAAGAATTTTATCTCTTATATCCTGCCAAACTAAGCTTCGTAAGTGAAGAAGAAAAAGTCTTTTTCAGACAAGCAAGTGCTAAGGTAATTTGTTACAACTACACCAGAATTACAAGTGATCCTTCAGGGAGTTTTGAACATGAAAATGAAAGAACAATACCTACTTCCACAAAAACACACTTAATTACATAGCCCACAGACCCCATAAAGCAACCACATAGTAGGGACTAGAAAACAACAAGCTGACAACTTCACAATAGGATAAAACCTCACATATCAATATAATCTCTAAATTATTCCCTCAAATGATCTAAATACCATACTTAAGAGGCATAGAGTGATGAGTTGAATTTTTAAGAAGACCCATCCATCTGCTTTCTTCAAGAGACTCACCTCACATGTAATGACACCCATGAGCTCTATGTAAGAATTGGAGAAAGATCTACCACACATATGAAAAGCAAAAAAAGCAAGGGTCGCTATTCTTATATCAGATAAAAACAGATTTTAAACCAACCACAGTAAAAAAGGACAAGGAAGGGTATCACATAATGATAAAGGGTTCAATTTAACAAGAAGACCTAGCTATCCTAAATATATGCACACCTACCATGGGAGCTCCCAAATTCATAAAACAAGTACTTCTACATCTACAAAAAGACTTAGATGGCCACACACACAATAATAGTGGGGAACTACATGACCCCACTGATTGCATTAAACAGATAATTGAGGCAGAAAACTGACAAAGAAATTATGGACTTAAATTACATATTTGACCCATTGGAATTAACAGACATCTACAGAATACTCCACCCATTAAGCACAGAATATGCATTTTTCTCATCTCTTGTAACATACTTCAAAATCGACTACATGCTCAACCATAAAGCAAGTCTCAATAAATTCAAAAAAATCTAAATGATACCAACCATACTCTTGGACCACAGTAGAATAACAATAGAAATCAATACCAAGATGATCACTCAAAATCACACAATTACATTGAAATTAATCAACTTGCTCCTGAATGACTTTTGGGTAAACAGTGAAATTAAGGCATAAATCAATAAATTATTTTAAATAAGTGAAAACAGAAACGCAATATACCAAAATTTCTAAGATACAGCAAAACTGTACCTACCTCAAAAAGTTGGAAAGATCCCAAATTAATGATCTAACATCACTACTAGAGGAACTAGAAAATCAAGAACAAACTGACCCCAAAGCTAGCAGAAGAAAAGAAATAACTAAAACCAGAGCAGCACCAAATGAAAGTGAGACCCCAAAATCTATACAAAGAATTAATGAAACCAAAGGTTGAAAAAAATAAACAAAGTTGAGGGACTGCTAGCTAGGTTAGCAAAGAATAAAAGAAGGTCCAAATAAGCACAATCAGAAATAACAAAGGTGACATTACAACTAATCCCTCAGAACTAAAAAGATTCTCAAGAACTATTGTGAACACTTCTATGGACACAAACTAGAAAATCTAGATGAAATTGACAAATTCCAGGAAACATACAGCCTCCCAAAATTGAATTGGGAAGAAATCAAAATTCTAGACAGATGAATATCAAGTTCCAAAATTGAATCAATAATTCAAAAACCTACCAATCAAACAAAGCCACAGGCCAGATGGATTCACAGTCAAGTTCTACCAGATATAAAAAGATCTCATCCCAGTTCTACTGAAACTAGTCTAAGAAATTAAAGATGGGGACTCCTCCCTAACTCATTCTACAAAGCCAGCATTACCCTGATACCAAAACCTGACAAAGACACAAAAACAACAAAAAGAAAACTATAAGCCAAGCCAATATCCCTGATGAACAGATACAAAAATTCTCAACAAAATATTAGTAAACAGAATCAAGTAGCACATCAAAAAGTTAATTCACCATGATTAATTAGGATTTCTTCCCAGGATGTGAGTTTGATTAAACATACAAAAATCAATAAATGTAATTCACCACATACAATTAAAAACAAAAACACATGATTATCTCAATAGATGTGGAAAAAACTTTTGATAAAATCAAATATCCCTTCATGATAAAAACCCTGAAGAATGTAGACATTGAAGGAACACACCCTAAAATAATAAAAGCCATTTATGAAAAACCCACAGCCAACACCATACTGAATGATTAAAAACTGGAAGTATTCCCCTTGAGATCTGGAATAAGATAAGCATGTCCTCTCTCATGACTCCTATTCAACATAGTACTAAAAATCCTAGCCAAAGCAATCAGGCAAGATACAGAAATAAAAGGCAACCAAGTAGGAAAAGAAAAAGTCAGACTATCCCTCTTTGTAGACAATGTGATTGTACACCTAGAAAACCCTAAAGACTCCACCAAAAAGGCTCCTGGAACTGATAAGTGACCTCAGTAAAGTCTCAGGATACAAAAATTAATGTATAAAAATCAGTAATATTTCTACCACACTAGTAGTGTTCAAGTTGAGAGCCAGATCGAGAACACAGTACAATTTACAATAGCTACAAAAACACACACATACAACAACAACCACCACCACCTAGGAATACGTCTAACCAAGAAGGTGAAAGATCTCTACAAGAAGTACTACAAAATACTGCTGAAATAAATCATAGATGACATAAACAAATGGAAAAACATTCCATGCTCATGAACTGAAAGAATCAATCTCATTTAAATGATCATACTGTCAAAAGTAATTTACAGATTTAATGCTATTCCTATCAAACTACCAACATCATTTTTCACAGAACTAGAAAAAAAACTATTTTAAAATTCATATGGAACCAAAAAGAGCCCAAATAGTCAAAGTAATTCTAAGCAAAAAGGCCAATGCTGGAGGCATCACGTATCCAAAGTCAAACTATATAATATAAGGCTACAGTAGCCAAAACAGCACAGTTCTGGTACAAAAACTGGCACATAAATCAGTGAAACAGAATAGAGAAACCAGAAATAAAGCTATATACCTCCAGCCATCTGATCTTTGAAAAAGTCAACAAAAATAAGTGGTGAGGAAAAGACTCCCTATTCAATAATTGGTGCTAAGACACCTGGCTAGCAATATGCAGAAGAATGAAACTGGACATTGCCTTTCAACGTATATACAAATTAACTCAAGATGGATTAAAGATTTAAATATAAGACCTCAAACTATAAGAATCCTACAAGAGAACCTAGGATATACCATTCTGGATATCAGCCTTGGAAAATAATTTATGACCAAGTCCTCAAAAGCAATTGCAAAAAAAAAAAAAAAAAAAAAAAAATGACAAGTGGGACCTAATTAAAGACCTTCTGCACAGAAAAAGAAACAATCAATAGAATAAATAAATGAGAGAAAATATTTGCAAACTATGCCTCTCACTAGGATTTAATATCCAGAATGTATAAGGAACTTAAATTAGCAAGCCAAAATAAAACCATTAAAAATAGGCAAAAGACGCAAACAGACACTTCTCTAAAGAAGACATACAAGCAACCAACAAATATAAAAACTGCTCAATATCACAAATCATCAGAGAAATGCAAATCAAAACCACAATGAAATATAATCTCATACCAGTCAGAATTGGCTATTTTTAGAAAAATAAAACAAAATAAATAAAAACAGATGCTGGTGAAGCGTGGAGAAAAAGGGATGCGTATACACTGTTGATGGGCATATAAATCAGTTCAGCCACTGTGGGAAGCCGTTTGGAGATTTCTCAAAGAACTTAAAACGAAGCTACCATTTGATCCAGCAATCACATTACTGGGTATATATCCAAAAGTAAATAAAACAACCTACCAAAAGGACACATGCACTCACATGTTAATCACAGCACTATTCACAACAGCAAAGACATGGAGTCAACCCAGGTGCCAATCAATGGTGGACTCAATTTAAAAAATGTGGTATGTATATGTCATGAAATCCTATGCAGCCATAAAAAAGAACAAAATAATGTCATTTGCAGCAACATGGATGGAACTGGAGGCCATTATTCTAAGTAAATTAAAGCAGGAACAGAAAACCGAACACCTCATGTTTTCACTTTAAAATGGGAGCTAAAAATTGGGTACAATTAGGCATAGAGATGGCAACTATAGACACTGGGGACTACAAGAAGGAGGAAGGGTTGAAAAACTAGCATTCAGTACCATGCTCACTGTCTGGGTGACAGGATCAGTTGTACTCCAAACCTCAGCATCATGCAAAATATCCAGGGAACAAAACCTGTACATGTACACCCTGAATGTAAACTAAAAGTTGAAAATATTTTTTAAAAAGGATTCAAGAATAGGCAAACTAATCTATGGTGACACAAATCAGAACAGGGAATGCCTGTGGGAGTTGTAGATTAAATGGAGGTAAGAGATGACTTCCTGGGATGATGGAAGTATTCTATTAATGGGCATAGCTGTCAGATGGTTGTACATTCGTCAAGTCTCCATTAAATTATGTTCTTGAGAGTGCATTTCACTGCCTATAAACTTAACAAATACGAATAGCGTGTCTCTTGCAAATTTGTGGCCTTTCTACTATTATCAGTAACAAATTATTTAGAACACTTTTTACCCCATGAGTTACCAGGGTTGAGAATTACTCCTCTCAGGCATACAACAAAAAAAATCCATGCTGGAAGTCACTCATAGGAAGTGGTCTAAAGAATCCAATAGCTATATTACCTTAGCATAGTTGCAGGAGTGAGAAGCACTGAGTCAACAAATGTGTAAAGTTACGGATAGAAGTGGCCCATTTCTACCATCGCTTACAGTATAAGAAGTTGTAAGCTGCTACTAGAAGCCACTATTTATTCATTTATTCAATCAAATATTTAACTAGTGGCGGCTATGAATGATACGGTTTTGTCCCTGAATCCCGCCTGCTCCAAATCCAGCTGTGGCTAAAAGCGGCCCAGGTACAGCTTGGGCTGCTGCTTCAGTGAGTTTAAGCCATAAGTTTTGGTGGCTTCCATGTGGTGATAAGCCTGTGGATGCACAGAGCGCAAGAGTTGAGGCTTGGGAGCCTCCACCTAGATTTCAGAGGATGTATGGAAAAGCCTGGATGTCCAGGCAGAGAAGCCTGCTGCAAAAGCAGAGCCCTCACAGAGAAACTTTGCTAGGGCAGTGCAGATGGAAAATGTGGAGTTGAAGCCCTCACACAGAGTCCTGACTGGGGCACTGCCTAGTGGAGCTGTGAAAAGAGGGTCACTGTTCTCCAGGCTGTGGAATGGCAGAATCATCATCAGCTTGCACCATGCACCAGGAGAAGCCACAAGCACCCAACACCAGCCCATGAGAGAAGCCATGGGGGCTGATCCCTGCAAAGCCACAGGTGAGGAGATGCCCAAGGCCTTGGGAGCCACCCCTTGCACCAGTATTCCCTGGATGTGAGACACTGAGTTAAAAGAGATTATTTTGGAGCTTTAAGATTTAATGACTGCCCTTCTGGGTTTTGGACTTGTATCAGGCCTGTAGCCCTTTTTTCCTGGCTGATTTCTCCCTTTTGGAATGAGAGTATTTGCCCAATGTCTATACCCCAATTGCATCTTGGAAGTAACTAACTTGTTTTTGATTTTACAGGCTTATAGGGACTAGCCTTGTCTCAGATGAGACTCTGGACTTTTGAATAAATGCTGAAAATGAGTTAAGACTTGGGGGACTGCTAGGAAAGCATGATTGTATTTTGCAATGTGAGAAGAACATGAGATTTTGTAGGGGCTGAGAGCAGATTTATACAGTTTGGATCTGTGTCCCCAACCAAATCTTATGTCAAATTATAAGCATCAGTGTTGGAGGTGGGGCCTGCTGGGTGGTGATTGGATCATTGTGGGGGCAGATTTCCCCACATGGTGCTGTTCTAATGATAGTGAGTGAGTTCTCATGAGATCATGTTGTTTAAAAGTATGTGGCACCTCCCTGCCCCCTTTCCTCCTGCTCTAGCCATGTGAAGTGCTGATTTCCCCTTTAACTTCCACCATGATTGTAAGTTTCCTGAGGCCTCCCCAGAAGCTGAGCAGATGGCAGCAGAATGCTTCCTGTACAGCCTGTGGAACTGTGAGCCAATTAAATCTCTTTTCTTTATAAATTACCCAGTCTCAGGTATTTATAGAAGTGAGAATGAACTATCACTGTTCTAGGCTCTGGAGATCCAATGGTAATTCCCCTAACATTATGACACTTACAGTATTGTGAGAGAGACATATATCTATCAAATAGTCACAAAAATACATGTGCTAGTATGTATGCATACTAGTATGTACTAATTAGTACTAAAAATATTAATATGAAAAGAGCAATGAAGGAAAGGTACACGGGGCCATAGGAGCTTATCACAATGATAGGAATTCCTTATATTTATTTCTTACAACAACACTACAAAATAAGTGCGATCATTCTTCTTTCCACATAATAGCTGAAGAACTTAAGGCTGTGAGAGCATTAGCAATTTGCTGAAGGTTACAGAGCTAGGGAATGGCTGTGCCAGTGTTTTCATTTTGGCCTTTTATCTCTAGATTCTATTGCCTTAACCACAATGACACCAGTGCATATCTACCTGGTCTGGAGATTCAGGAAGATGTTTCTGAAAAATAAATCTATCTAAGCTGAGATTTGAAGGATGAGTAAGAATTATGTAGAAGGAAGAGAAGGGAGTATGTGTGCAAATCCCCCTGGCATGGCTTGAGCCTGATGTAGTTGATGGATGAGAAAGCTGTGTATATCTGTTAATTTGATGAGATTTAGAGAAGATTCTAAAGATGACTTGACCAGTTAGAAAAAAAATAGACTTTAAAATTTCAAGGCCGGGAGCGGTGGCTCATGACTGTAATCCCAGCACTTTGGGAGGCCGAGGCAGGCAGATCACAAGGTCAGGAGCCTGATCAATATGTGCAACCCCCTCTCTCCTAAAAATACAAAAAAAAAAAAAAAAAAAATTAGCCGGGCATGATGGCATGCACCTATAATCCCAGCTACTCAGGAGGCTGAGGCAGGAGAATTTCTTGAATCTGGAAGGCTGAGGTCGCAATGTGCCGAGATCGTGCCATTGCACTCCAGCCTGGGTGATAGAGTGAGACTCCATCTCAAAAAAGAAAAATAAAATAAAGTTTCATTAATTTGTATTGTTCTAAATATTTTTAAAAGAACTGCTTCTACATTAAGAGTTAAACCCATATTTTCCACGAGTAGCTGAATCCCGTTGGTGTTCCATCCTCAGTGAGGATGAGGAATGGGCCATCTTTCGCTGTACAAGGACCCTTTCAAACTTAGATGCCAGCACTTTTCACTGATTGCTAAGCACTGTGATTGCAGTATGAATGAAATCTTTAGCCCAATTCTTTTTTCTAACCCAGTTGAGGAAAGTTCTTTTCCCAACAACTGTAGCTCCTTGTTCCACAAAGACTCTTCCTTAGGAAACATGAAGCAGTTAATTACCCCTGCTAAACAGCAGGAAGGTAATACTTTTTTCAAATATCAAATCAGTCCAATTTCATTTAGACTTAAATGATTTTTCTGGCCCCTCTTCATGTAGACACCTCCGCAGTCAATTAGCATTGTCACTTTTAATCTTCTGTAGTCAGATCCTGGTCATTTCCCATTAGAGTTCTATTAAATAGATTCTTATGGCCTGGCTGAACTGACTGCAGTGCAGTATCTGAAGAAAGCACGCCAGCCATCATTATGCAGCTGGCATTTACTAAAGGTTAGATATTACTGAGAACCTTAATCAGGAATTATGCTACTTTGACTGAAAATTCACTCCTGGATTTCCTTGACACCAAACTCAAATGCTCCCGGTATACTCAGGCTATGCCTGGATGGAAAGGCACCTTGAATTATGCATCTGAACTCAAACCATTTTAAACTCCATGGCCTTTGAGTCAAGATCCAAAGATCATGGAGTTGTCAGAGGCAGAAGAGCCTGTATCTAGCTGCAATGCCAGGTATGCTCTAACTAAAAAGGAGAGCAGGAACAGTGTCCTCAGGAAAGAGCCCTATTCTACTGTGGCTTAGTTGAGCCTTGCAAATAAATGTAATAACAATGAGACTGTGGAAAACTAAAGGACAGAAAAAACATATAGAAGATTTACATTTTCTAAGTGGAAATAAATACATGGTCAATTCAGAGTAACTCAAAACATATGGCAGAGATGAAAAAGAATCCTCTAACAGAGAAAACAACATGCCAGGTGTCAGACACATGGCTTCCAAATACCCAGTGCTAACTGCTGGTGTGACCTTGAGAAAATCACCTGATTCCACCAGGCCTCTTGCTCTGCAAGTCTCTGGCTCAACATAAACAGGGTACTGAGAAGTGACTGTAGCTGATTAGCACATCTCTCATTAGCAGAATGGAGACCAGGAAAATGAAACAGAATAGAAGACAGAGGAGACCAGCACGAATGGTCCAGCACTCTGCAGCTGGACAGGTGCTCGATGTGGAGTGGCTGAGGGCAAACAGGTCTTACCAAGTCCTAGGAAAAGAGAGGCAGGGAAGGCAGCACTGAAAGACATCTATGTCTACAAGTTTTTGTTGGCAACCCGTCCTAGGGGGTAGAAATCTTCAAACAGACATAGCAGTAGAAGCTATCTCATGGACTGCTTTCTCCTTTCTTCATCCACTGTTAAGGCCTATTCAATAAGTTTCTTAAGCACTTATTAAATAATATCTCTGACCTTTAAGGCTTACTCTTTAGAAAAAAAAAGGCTGACTTTGAACAGATGATCCCAGAGAAAATGATAAAACTCACATTATTAACTTTCTTTTTAGACCAAATTTCTTGACTAAACATGGACCCATTCTAGAGTGGATTACCCCAGCTTCCCTCTTACAAAGCTCTATCAATTTCCTTCTAAGCTGCCCCAAAGAAGTTTTGCAGACATAAACTTCTAGAATTAAACAACAAATGAGACTTGTTGGTAGACAGAGAGATTTGAAATGCTGCTGAATATTTCTAAAGAAATGGAGTGGTTTGGGTTTAGCATACCAGCAACTCAGTAAAGACCATAAAAATGGTCCCCAGGAGAGGTCTTGCTAGAACTATTTTAATAAGGGGCTTAGGATAATTTATAATTAGCCTAGTAGTCAATGTTTGCTAAAGGGCTTGAAAACTATTTTCTTAAACATTTTTTAGCACAATTTCTGAAAATTGCTCTGTCCTATGATCTTTCCATCAACTTAATTTTTTTCATGCAGCCAACATAAATCAGTTGTGATGACTTTAATGTACTAAGGCAGATGGAAGAGGTGAAAAACTAGTGTTTTTGGAATTGTCAGAGAAGGTTTCCTAGAGGACACCTAAGTTGGATGTTAAAGGGTAGAGAAGAGTCAAATTAAATTAGAAAAAGAGAAAAATTATTACCAGGAGGCAGGACCCATGTTGATAACGTTGGCCAGAAGAGTGCTGTTCTGCCTGTTTTTCACAAAGTCCAATGCAGAGACAATAAAAGGTCTCTGGGACAACAGTTTTCCCTAGTTAAAATGAAAATAACTGCATTGAGTACCAGGGTTGTAAAATGTCTATTCTTACACAATATTCAACAGAAAAATCTAAATAAATAAAAACAAGTGGCATTGTTTTTAGCCACAATACTATCAGCATCCCAATATGCACATTTCGCATACTCGCGACTTTCTTATATTTTATCTTTATGTTATCTTGGGTCTATCAAGAAGCAGATGCTAAAGTGGGATAAGACATGCAAGAAATTCGCCTGAGAGAGAAGAGAAAAGGAGCTAAGAGAGGGAGGGAGAGCTGTCAGGCTGTGATACAAACCTGACTCTGAGTGAAGGGGAGAGAGAAGGGAAAGAAGGTTGGGTGGAAGTTTCACAGGCTGCCTGAAATTCTAAGGAAAGGTTGGCAAGGCCATCAGAGATTCCTCTAGGTAAGGTCAGCCTTCAGCAAAGTCCCATATCTCCCTGGCATGGGCCTGATTTAGTAACCCCTCTGCCCAATCATTGTCTGGGGGCAGCACACAGAAAGCATGGCCTCTGTGCAAACACAGTATCAGGCTTTGGGGAACAGCAGCTGAGGCCGTTGTTCAATCACACTCCCTGCACTTAAAAACCTAAGAGGCACATTCTTATGCTCACCAAATCTTGAAATTAGACTTCGGACCATACCACAAACATTGGGTCACATGTGACTTACCCTGAATTCTAATAATTTTGACCCAAAGGGCACATAACACTGGTAAGGTGATTTGTATACTCATAACATCACCACAAAGAAAATATTGCCGTGTTTATTTTATAGATGAGCAAACCTTGTTGACGTGCCTAGTAGGATAAGAACAGAGAACGCCAACCCAGGTCTTTTAACTCCACACCCCACCTGCTTTTCATGGCACATTAAGGTGAGCAGTATACTACACATTTTCTGGGATAATGAGGAGTACTGTGAATAGTGCATGATTAAAGAAACAAATTATCAACAAAATTAGGATGCTTATGAAAGAGAAAGGAACACTATTAATAATCCCATCGAGGCAATAATTCTTTCTTCACTGACATTTTTCTCACTTCAGTCTATAACCCCACAACTTCCTTTGTGGACAGGTATTTAATATCAATCCTATCCAAATTGCACACAGGCTTAGGTCATCCCTACCAGGAGAACCGTCTTGAGGCTCAGGGAAGAATTATCTACATTTCCCTTCTCACTCTTGCTTCTTTTCCCAGGAAACAATTCAGAGGCTCTGGGCCAATCCTCCAGGCCCATCAAAGCAACTGGAATCTCCGACTCTGTACTTAGAAGATTTGTTTTAGATCATAATTACAGATTAAATTTCACATTTATTTAGCATCTTTGCCACTAACCCTACATTTCATTTGCAAATAGATATTTGCCTACAGTATCTTATTTATTTAATTGATTGCCTGTCTCAGTTTTCAGAGTAATTGTTTATCTCAAGTGGCATAACAGCATGCTCTGTTCCTATGCTCTACTCTGGAAGACGGTGCTGGCTGCCTGGAATAATTTAATGTCTCATTAAAGTAAAGAGACTGAAACTTAGCTCCAAAAACTCTCAGCCAAGGTACATGTTCTTGACAGCTTTGCAGATTTCACTTTTCCGGATGAACTTGCACACAGGAAGAATGCTTGCTCAAGCCTAAGTCAATCAAATATTCAGAGAAAACATGGACTTCACAATTCTGTCTCCCAATCTGCTTAGCATCTTTCCTTTTTCTCATACATTATGATTTTTATCTCTTGCTGTTAATGATTTCACAAAGCCTAAAAGTTTCTGCTGTATGGCTGCAGGAAATAAGGGTTCCTTTAAATGCAACCATAGATGCATTCTGGCTTCCATAGTATGCTTCTGAATTGGCAATTGGCTGACCTGAGCCAGTAATTTTAAGTATTCACCGCGTTGATGGCACCAACCAAAGCTATTGTCTTTTTAATTATAATTGCAGGCTTATTCCTCCAAAAGTTGAGATAACACATAAGTCAGTGCCACCCCTTCTAAGTCTATGCCTTTCTAATTCACCGTAGCCAAGGGTCTTACAGAAACTGATGCTACAGTATGTCGAGGGTTATCAACACTGTGCTTCCCACCAACAATAGTCTCCTTTAGGCCATATGGCCAGCAAATGATCCCATTTTAGAATCCTTTCTTGAAAAGCTTCTTGTTGCTAATAGAAAACCTGGTCTGAAAACTTCTGCATAAATTCTTCTACTTTGGATGGTTCCAGAAAAATTTGCGCGCCAATAGAAGTGCAGAGACCACCACTAGTGAAGTGAAAAATGACACAGGAAAGGAAAGGCAGCCAAAAAGTGGTGTGTTATCAAGCTTGCTATCACACATGGGAAACAGAACTTTAGCCTATAGGAAAACTGGGGGAAAGTACAAAACACACCTCAGGATTCTGCATGAGTGGCTAGGGACCTGGGACATTTTACATCAACTTCCAAGAATCACTGATTGAGGGCTCTTCTCAGGGGTGTTAATTTCTGGTGCTTACGGCTTGCCAAACACCAGAGCAGCGTGGCCTTGTGCACTTCCAGATGTGGGTACCAGCAATTGCAAATCACCCAGAGCATCTTGAAATGGTAGAGTTTAAGGGATATGGATGGGGCACTGACAATATCCACTGTGTTTACACTTTGAAGGATAAACATGTTGAACATCTTTGATTTCAACTAAATATTATAACTCAGTTCTGACTCAAATTCTGTTGTCTTCTCTGAGTAGTAACATTATACACAGCCAGGATTTTCTGTAAGTGATTTCTTAGATTGCTGTTTCATTGAATCTGTACTAAATTGTAATGATGAGAAAGAGTCTAGGTTTGGAGTCACTCAGGCTGAACTTTGAATATAAGCTCTCCTGCCTCTTACCTGTGGTCTTGGACAAGGTTTTGAGAGCTAGACATCTCAGTTTTTGTGTTTTGTTTTTTGTTTGTTTGTTTTGTTTTGTTTTTGCCTGTAAAATACGAATAATACTACCTTCCTCATAGCAATTATTGTGATGAAGACATGGTATATTTAGAGTTTGAAACAGCAAGCCTTCACTAAATAGCAATCCAAAGGGATTCAGAGGTAATTTAGAATTTGCATTAGTGTAATCCTTACTGCTTTCCATAACTTTGATTGGCCCTGCTGACAATTCACAGATATGCCAATCTATTTGCCTAACTAGCTGTCTTCTGCTTGCCACTCTAGATTCACTCTTTGCCTTTCTTCCCCCTTCTCTGCACTCCTGGAAGCTGACCTGTGTCTCCTACTTCTGTGGGTTCTCAAGCCCCCCAGTTTCCTATTGGGCTGGCCAACAGGATGCAAGGGGAAGAAATCAGAGAACAGGAGGAAATGAGGTCAAGACATCTATTCACCCCATAACCTTCCTTTTGGGTCATCATATGTTGGCTGCGTGCCTCCATTAAAGGTCAAAGCTGTTGACAGGTGACTCTCTTCATATAGCCTCTATCTGGATTCCAATAACTTCTCAGTCCCATTGTTTTTCAAACCTGGGTGTGATAATGGCTTCCCAGTGTTTCTGTGCCCTATGGAACTCCACTATACTCTCTTGGTTTCCTAACCACATCTTCGTAAATAATCTCTCCCTAATTATTCCCAGTTTGAATGTGTCACCTTTTTCCCACCAGGATCTTCACTAAGATATTCACAAACGGGCAGATTTCCTCATACCAGCCTCATAGGTATGATAATAGGTTTGCCAGCAGGGAAAGGGACAGAAGTGCATGCTTCTGTACATGTAAATGTACAGAAAATGTAGACCAAGACAGCTATCATTAATTCCAGTGTATTTCAAGACACCACATGTAATGCATCAGGTACGCACATGCACACACACTCACACATACATGCACACTCAGAATCATGCTGGGAATGGAAAAAGTGTTGTATAAGAAGATGTCAAGATCAGCAGCTCTCAACTTTTTGCTGCTAAGAGATAGTCGAGTCTCCCATGAGTAACTGGCTTTCACTATGTCCATGATTTCCAAAAGTGGATTAGTAGTGTTTTAGAATTAATGGATCTTAAAGAGCGATTTTCAGAATTTTCCAGGAGATTCTCACATGGCTCTTATTGCAGGAACAGAATAAAAGAAAATGAATAACAGTACAAATATTTAGGGCTTTGGGGTCTTACATAACTGAACATAAATCCTAAATTAGCCACCCTTTTTAGCACTGTTCAGAGTGTTTTTCATCTGTAAAGTTAGAATATTGAAGCATTGTTATAAGAATAAAGAGATTTATGGGCATTATTTATTTTACACATATGTATTAACATAATGCATTTAAAATGGCATTTCCTAAATGCTTGCTGTATCACTGGAAGGCAGCTATCAACATTACCAGGATGTAGAAGCAGTGTATATGCAGAAGTGGAGGGTAGGGGGCTCCCTTTCATTCCATTCCAAGAAGCCTGGACTATGGGGAAATTTGGAGTGAGAGTATGAAAATGAAAACACAAAGGAGAAGGTCTGACATGCAGCAACAGAAGTGATCCTTCCAGACTTTGAAAATCTGTTATGAGGGACTTCTGATCCATTATCATTTTCTGCCTTCCTTAGATCAGTATTCCCTTTAGACAGTTCTTTTCAGTCCCCACTATTACTCAACAGCTCATGGTGATGCCCCTTATCCTGTGTAACCTTTGTGGCCTGTTATTGAGTGCCACACAGAAAAAGCAAGGAAAGACCTTGCTGCTAACAGTGTCAATAGATTGAGCAGTCCTGTAACCCAGAGCTAAATCTCAGAAGAGGAAATGAGATGCTCAGATGATTTCTGCTGAGAAACTGAACTCAAACACTTCCCACATTCCTGTATCAAATGCAATCTATAGCTCTATTGCTCAAAAAAATTGACTTTGTGGAATTGACAAATATATAATTACATAAAAACAGAAAAGCCTTCCAGCTTCAGTATTCTACAACTCTGTTTAACTAGTTCTTACCCTTCATGGGGCACAAAACGTTTAGAAATAAAGCCTTCCAGCTTCAGTATTCTACAACTCTGTTTAACTAGTTCTTACCCTTCATAGGGCACAAAACGTTTAGAAATAAAGCCTTCCAGCTTCAGTATTCTACAACTCTGTTTAACTAGTTCTTACCCTTCATAGGGCACAAAACGTTTAGAAATATCTAGCATCAAACCGACCCTAACTTGCAGCCCATCTCCTAACAGGCTTAAAGTACCTGAATATTTTCAATCTGTTAGCACATCAATGAAAAAAATTAATTGCTAAGGGCACTTCACTAGATACCTTTAATGTAGCAAATAAACCTCAGGCCTAGCCTTTGCTACTCATATCTAATTGAGGCATGACCTGCCATGTGTCAAGACACAGTTAGCAATGCACATGTGGTTACACACATCCAGATGAGGGAAGTAGCAGAGGGAAAAGTGGAGGCAGGTACTGTCCAGATACTAACTCAAAGGAAAAACCTACTCTTGACAGTCACTTTTGACATATTACTTTGTTAAACCCTCATAACAATTTTGTGGGGCAGACATTATCATCTCTGCTTTACAGAAGTAAACCGAGGTTAAATAGAGGTAGCATATAACAAACCGGAATTCAATCCCAGATATCTTAGATTGTAAAGCCTTTGTAATTTTAATCAGGTCATACTACATGTTCCCTTCCTAAGAGAACAGTTCTTAAAGGAGAGAATCAAGGCCCTAAAGAATAAAGACAGTTTGCAGATAAATAAAGCATAGCTGTATAAAGTGGAAAGAAGAGCTAACAAGTAGAAAATAGTCCCCCTCATGTCAAGGTCCAACACATCTCAAGAAAGGAACTGTGCATCCTTCTATTTTCAAGTTCAGAATTAAGCAAGCACCAGAGTATATATCAGCATATACTCAGTATATATCAGCCAGAGACTGGCTGATTCAGAGTATTCTAAGAGACAGCCTGATGACAAACACACACCTGTTACAAAGAATGTCATCAGCAAAGAAAAAACCTGCAGGTTGGTTTAACATGAAGGTGGGATTCTATTAGTGACCAAACAATGAGAATTCCTACAGAGATCCTGGAACAAAAGAGACTTCCAACATTTACCTTGCATCTCAGATTTCTTTTTTCAGAGAGCTCCAGGAAAAAAAAAATGTTTAAATTAAGTTTGTTGCAGCTGCTCTGTCAGGAACTTACCAAGCGCTACAGCCATCGGAGCAATTAAAAAAAATTGCACAGAAGGTAATTAAAAGCCTTACTGGTTCTTGCGATTAGACTGACATTTTAAATGCGTCTGGATGTTTTATTGTGCCAATAACCTATTTCCCTCGTCTCCAAGAGAAATACAACTGACATCAGTAATTTACCCAAATACTCTACAGGTAACGTGTGCCAAATACAAACCTGCACTAAATTAGGGCCAGAACTCTCCTCTGTGCATTCTGCCTGATACATCTTAACAGGAAAGCTGCTATTTGCAAATTCCTTCTAAATGTTTGTGTTTTTTGGTGTTCACTGTCCTCTTTGCTTGGCTCTGAGAAACAGCCTAAAGATGGTTCCTAGCTGGAATATACTAGAACTATGGGCAGGGCAATCTTTTCCAATTTCCACATGGTTATGCAAGAAAAAGGCCCTTGCTTGGGAGGACAGGGCCTCATTCTGTCATCATTCTTGACTGGTGATGATTATTGCAGAATGTGAATCCTTTAATAGGCTACTCCTGCCAAAGAAATTCTGCCTTCCTCCAGTCTCAGTCCTCAATTCAGGATTAGAACATGAGTTTGTTATTTTTACAATAACCTAAGGAAAATTTTGCCATATGATTGAATTTAAAAAGCTACCCTGGCTCAGAGGCTAGGAACTTGAAAACACATCCTAATAGGAAGCTTAGGAAGCTTAATTACTCTCAACTTTCTGTTCTTTCTTTTATGGAAGAATTCCCAGTAGAGTTGTTGGGTCTACCGCATCAGGACAAACACAGAGAGAGATCTTTCCTCAGGGATGTAAAACCAAAAGACAGACAAACAAATAAAAACAGAAAAGGAGATAGATGGAATTGAAGATAGCTAGATGTTTTCTTCATAACAAAATATTATGAGAAAATAAGAATTAAAGTCACCCTCAAAACTTCAAACCCAGGTAAAAAAAAAAGCTGCTCCAGTTTTTGGGAAATACTGAGAAACTGAATTCAGAGTTCAGTTTCTCAGGGAAATACTGAAGACTACAGGTGAAGTAATTTGTAAGCAATTCTCTTCTAACTTTCTAGGAAAAACATTTTAATTTGCTCTCTTAATTTCTCCCTGTGTGATTTATTTTTTCTAGGATGTCGAGTAATCTATAACCACTATAAATGGTTCTCAGTTCTCCTGAGAACCATTTAAGCAGCCTTTTATACTGGTATCTAGTCATGTGATCCAGCTATTCTCAGTTCTTTCCAGAGCCCTGGCTCCCACTGTGTGTGAATGACAGGCATGGCCTGTCACATCTTCAATCCTTAGGGCTCACAGACCACGAGGCAGCAAGACTGAAGATTGTTGAACTTCAAATAAGACTTTGTATAAGGATGAAATAAATTTCTTAACAGAGTTAAACAGATTAAATAGCTTCAGTTTTGTTTTTTTTTTTTTTTTTTTTTTGAGACAGAGTCTCGCTCTGTTTCCCAGGCTGGAGTGCAATGGTGCGATTTCAGCTCACTGCAACCTTCTCCTGGGTTCAAGGAATTCTGGTGTCTCAGCCTCCCAAGTAGCTGGGATTAGAGCCGCACGCCACCATGCCCAGCTAATTTTTTTTTATTTTTAGTAGAGACGGGATTTCACCATGTTGGCCAGGCTGGTCTCGAACTCCTGACCTCAAGTGATCCTCCCACCTCGGCCTCCTAAAGTACTGGGATTACAGGCATGAGCCACCGCACCCAGCCAGGTTTTTTTTAAGGTTAAAATAAGATGATCAGATTTGATGAACCTAACAGAAAACTTCATACAAAGAAGGCATCAAGAAGGACAAAGTAGAAGATGTTCCAACCTATCAAACAGGGATGTAGAGGACACAATGTGAGGATGTCACAATGGAGAAAAAGATGCAATAGGCAACAGGTACAAATTACTTTATGCCATTAAGAGTTACTGCACAGAGCAATCGATTCCCTAGCACTAGGGGGACAGCAACTCTGGCCTTTGAACCCACAATGCCAACAGTGATCAAAGTGAGGGGCCCATGGATCTATTGGGCAACTTTTGTGCCACATACTTGAGTTTTTATTTGTATATTTTTAACATATTCTCACAACAGTCCTGGAGACTCTGGCCACTTACCTGCTTGCCCACCCAATGTATATCACTAGTAACACCTAAAGACCTTCTTAAGGCTCTAGTGAAACAAAGGTCACTTCCCCACAACTCACTTCCCAGGTGCTCCATGTATCTGCAGCCCCAAGCACTAGTCTACTCCCACAGAAATTTTGAAAGAGCATTGAGAGTATGAGTTCTTCATGCAGAAGTCAGTAACAAGGAAAGGTCATAAAATCTACTCCTCTAGAAAATTTTCAAAAGAGGATGAATTCCAATGGACCCGAGAGAGAGAGATGTGAGATCTTCTTTCGCTAAATAAAGTGGAAAAAAGAATAGAAATGAGTTTAATTCAGTGAAATATTCTTTAGGAGAACCATTAGGCCATTATGTTATTACTTTTTAAAAGTTGATTTAAGTGAAATTTTATTTTTTATTTGCTTACTTTAGTGTTGTAAAAATATGAAAGTCATCTGAGCATAATGCAAGAAGAACAAACTGATTTCTCAACATACTGAATGGCCCAACAGTGACATAACATCTCAAAAAACGTTAATTGAGCTTACTTTATTATGCAGGTCAATAAGAGAAACTGATGGTACTTTCATCATGTCATCTTAAATTTAAACTAGTTCATTAAATCCTTTTTGTCGGGTGTGAAAACAGTCTCATGTAGAACATGTTTTACATGAAAAAGTAAACTTCACAAATGATAATTTACGTCAAAATTTCTAAAAGATTTGATTTGCGTTATGTATATGGGGATGGTAAAAATGTGGTTGATCCCTTTAAATCCATTATGATAACAATGTCCAATATTACATTTCCAGGTATTTAATTTCAGGTATGTAAATTACCTATACATGCAAGCCTACAAGGCAATAAGAAATTCAGTTCCCCAAAAAGTCATTTTTAAAACAATTGCTAATAACTTTTAACAATGGGTAAGTAATACATGCATAAAATGTAATATGTGCTACAAATAGGGATGGATAGAATTCAGCCACACTGAGAAGGCCTGTCCTTTTTGCACCCAACCATCTGTATTTCTGAAGTGAATTCAAAATTTGCAAATAAATAAATGTATCTATAGTAGTCGCGGTTCTCCAGAGAACAGAACCAATTGGGTGTGTGTATGTGTGTGTGTGTTTAATAAAGGAATTTATTATAAGGAATTGGTTTATGTGATGATGAAGGCTGACAAGTTGCAAGATCTGCAGTCAGCAAGCTGGAGACCAAAGATAGCCCCGATGACGCAGTTTCAGTCCGAATGCCATTAGGCTCAGGACCAAGAAAGAACTAATGTTTCAGTTTGAGTTTAAAGGCAGAAGAAAATCAGTGTCCCAGTTCAAGGCATTCAGGCAAGAGAACTTCCCCCTTATGAGTGAGGGATAGGGATGGCTTTTTTGTTCTATTTAGGTCTTCATCTGATTGGATGAGGCTAACCCACATGAAGGAGGGCCATCTGCTTCATTCAGTCTACCAATTCAAATGTTAATCTCATCCAAAATGCCCTCACAGACACACCCAGAATAGTTTGACCAAATATCTGAGCACCCATGGCCCAGTGAAGTTGACAGATAAAATTAATAATTTCACTACTCTAAGAAAATAATCAGACATTTTTTAAAAAGAGCTATATGTACACATATTTGGAACACATTCTTGTACAATTCAATTATGCTGAACTACTTGCCACAGAATATAGGAATGGTAAAATATCCAACAGTTAAATATGAGATAGAGTGTGATGTATTCATTAGAAATCATGTTTTTTCAAGATCGTTTTAAATGTCATAAACACTTTCTTAATATAATATTAAGTGAAAAAAGTGGGACACTAAATTTTTAAATGATTTCAAAAGTTAAAAATTATCCACCTGTAAATTAAAATGTTACCAACAGTTTCTCTCCCAGTAGTGGGATTATGAGTGGCTTTTCTTTCTGTTGAGACAGGGTCTAACTGTTGCTCAAGCTGAGTGCTGTGGCACAATCACAGCTCACTACAGTCGCGACTTCCTGGGCTCAAGCAATTCTCCTGCCTCAGCCTCCCAAGTGGCTGGGACTATTCCACGTACCACCACACCCAGATAATTTTTTATTTGTAGAGACAGGGTCTCACTGTGTTGCCCAGGCTGGTCATAAACTCCTGGACTCAAGCGATCCTCCCCCCTCATCCTCCCAAAATGCTGAGATTGTAGGCATGAGACACTACACCCAGCCCCATGAGTGGCTTTTCTATTTATCTTTGTACTTCTTCATATATTTCAATTTCTCTATGAATATTTTTCCTTTTTCTAACAGAAAAAAAAACCATGATTTAAATATTTTCAATTACATATATCTTAATGGCCATGTTTCCGTTGGTAACTTTCAGCCCAGCCACGTGCACCACTCCATTCCTGGATGCACTTGCTCCCAGAGCATCTCTGAATGCATACCTCCTCTCTGCTCTCCATTTCCAGACAGCTAAGTTCTATTGACATTCAGTGTCTCAGGAACCTTCTCCTCCACCACCTCTGCCACCACCTTAGTTCATGCCCTAATTCTTTTTCTCTGCTTTTGCTGGATTCTATCCGTGCAATGCTCAAATGCTTCCTTCATTCAGCGTCCACAGTGATCAGCCTAAGGCACTATCGCCCGAAAGCTCCAACATGTTCTCATCACCAAGTGGGACTGCTTCATAAGACAGAAAGCCCTTTGTAACCATGCTTCTGCTGGCCTCAGCTCCTGCCACGTATTCCTACAGCCTTGCACTTCATCTAGAACCATTCTGAACTCTGTAATTTTCCTCTCATGGTGGCTTTTTTCTCCTTGGCACTTTTGCAAGTTCTGTTCCTTCTGCCTGGAATGCTCTTGTCATCCTCATTTCCCACACCTCTATCTTGTCTGCCTCACTAAATTCTATGCTTATCATCAACCTCCTTGTGAGTCTATCTCAGCTACCCCAAAGAGAGAATTAGGTATGTTTTTCCCAGTAATACCTCCCAATCTATGCATAATTTTATCACTGCAGAGGACAAAATATATTGCATCCATTTGTTTACATGTCTTTGTCTCCAACAAGATATAAACTCTCAGAGAACAGTGACTATACCTATCCAACAGAATTCATTGTATGCTGACATGCAGCATACAGCTATTATATTACACATAGCAATAGATATGATCTTCTGTAGATCTTCAAAATAATTCTAGCAAATTCGACATGAACATATTCTGTGACATTTGGTTAAAAAGTGAATATTTAAATATAACAACTTTTTCTTGTTTTCTACTTCCAAATAGTTATCTTTTACAGATTTTTTCCTCATTATAATATTGTGATATGAGAAATATATAGTTGGTCTTTGTCCCTGGTTTCTTGTAATTTCCTGTGATGGGGGTGAAAAGAGCATCTTTTGTTATTCACAATAAGACCCTTTAAACAGATCTGAGTTTATGCTAATGAGGTGACTCTTGGTGGGCCCCAAGATAGCTTCAGGATGGGAGCTGCTTGCCAGAGAAACCAACCACATGATTAGACAATTGGTCCTTTCAGTCCCACTTACCTGGAACCTCCAGAGAGGAGTAAGGGGAGAAGAACTGGAGGTTGAGTTAATCACTGATGGGCAATTATTTAATCAGTAATGCCTATGTAATAGAACCTCCATAAAACCCCTGAGCAACCAGGTTTGGGGAGCTTCAGGATTAGTGAACATATCAAAGTACCCAGAGGGTGGTGCACCCAGGGAGGTCATGAAAGCTCTGCACCTCACAACTCACTGCCTTGCCATATGCATGTCTTCTGCCTGGCTGTTTTGCATTGTATCTTTTATTAAAAAACCAGTAGTAGTTAAAAAAACAAAAACAAAAACAACCACACACACACACACACACACACACACACACACACACACACACACACACTGTTTTCCTGAGTTCTGTGAGCCATTCTAGCAAATTATTGAATCTGAGGAGACAGTCATAGAAATTCCAATTTATAGCTGGTCAGTCAGAAGTACAGTTGGTCCAAACTTGTGATTGGCATCTCAACTGGGGGAAGTCTTGTGGGACTGAGCCCTTAACCTGTGGGGGTCCTGTGCTAACTCTAGGTAGTGTCTGAATTGAATTGAATCATTGCATAACCAGTTAGTTCCCAGAGAGTTGGAGAATTGGTTGGTATGAGGAGAAATCCCACATATTTTGTGAGAAAGCACGGATCATAACAGTTCCCACTGAGTAAATTATTTATTTGACTAGAGATGCTAATTTCAGCTAGCTGATTTAGTTAATTCAATGAAGAAAAAAAAAATCCAGTGAACTTGTGGTTTCCAGTGAATGACTTGTCAGTCTATTCCAAATAGTTTTACATATAGATGTCCACAGGCCAACTAAATCTACCTTACCAACCCAATCTTGGAAATCTCAGTTCTTTTACTACTGTCCTGTGACTACAATAAAAAAACTTTGAGTTTTAATTTGCCCACACTCAAAAAGTAACATAAACCAAGTCCAAGATTAAACAGCCTCATGCTTGAAATCTCAGCTTACTTTTTCTACTAATCACCAATGAGCAATTATTTAATCAATAATGCCTATGTAGACAACTCTTTGACTTAATCTCTGCCTTTTCTAGTCCCTTCCTGCTTTATTCAACTTCTTTGTACTTAATATTTTGTCTTTTGGTTTGTTTGTTTGTTTTAGTAAGATGTCTTTATCTGGACTCTGGTTCTAGTCTTATTTTGCTAGCCTACTCTGGCTACACCCAGTTGCCACATAACAGAGGAAACAAGAATAGTGTAGAGCAGGCTGGGTGCGGTGGCTCACACCTTTAATTCAGCACTTTGGGAGGCTGAAGTGGGCAGATCATGAGGTCAAGAGATCTAGACCATCCTGGCCAACATGGTGAAACCTCATCTGTACTAAAAATGCAAAAAATTAGCTGGGTGTGGTGGCGGGCTCCTGTAGTCCCAGCTACTTGGGAGTCTGAGGCAGAAGAATCACTTGAACCCAGGAGGCGGAGCTTGTAGTGAGCCCAGATTGGGTGCCACTGCACTCCAGCCTGGCGACAGCGAGACTCTGTCTCAAAAATAAATAAATAAATAAAATAAAAATAGTGTAGAGCAAGGGGAGGATTGTTGGGGAAATTGTTTTCTCCAGAAATATTCATTGATCAGTTGGTAGTGGTGTTCTATAATATGCTGAAAAGGATTCTGAAACTATGCTCAGTGGAAATTATTGATTAGTAATGTTCAAAATGGGTGCAGGGAGAGGAAGATGGGGAGAAGTTATTTTTAATATAATGGAAAGAATTCAGGGCACCATAAAGAGACAGACAGGTATTAGCCTGCATTTATAAAATCTTGTTGTATGACCTAAACAAGTTCTTTCTCCTCTGTAAGACATTGTTTCTTCATGGAACTTTTAATTAAAGTCTTGTTATTTAGATTAAATGTACAGTATGGAAAGTGTTTTTCAGAGAACACATAATAGGTGTTCAATAAATGAAGGGAAGATGCTGACAATCATGATGGCAGACTCCTTTCAAAACTAGTCTGCATCTTTTACTCTCTTTCCAGGATTATCTACTCAGGTCAAATGAACATTTCCGTTAAGTTTTAAAGTGTTGACAACATAAAAGGTGATCATTTTCTCAGTGAGGCAATCGCCTTCACTGGATGCCTCTTTTTCATTGTTTTTATTTTATTTTATTTTATTTTATTTTTTATTTATTTTTCTTTCACTGGATACTTCTTGATGGCTGTCTAAGGCTACCTCATCTTCTGAAAAGTATTCCTTGGTTATATTTGGGTCTCTTGAACATTTCCCTGATGGTAAGCACCAGTTCCATTTTGAAACCTCTCATTAACCCCTGTTTTCCCTCCAGTGATATTTCATGTGGACTTCTGTTCCATTCCGAGTGCGGTCTTAAGAAGATTTCTCCTTTGGGCATTCTGACTTGCCCTATTGTAGACTTCTATTCAGAAAACTGACTCCACATCCACACTAGAGCCCTGGCTTCTCTCTCTACCTCCTGCTGGCTCTAAACTTCTGTTTCATTGTTCTCCAGCCTAAGTTTTGGGAGGGAATCCAATAATGATGACCTAGATCTTAAACTTATTTAAAAAAATTAACTTCCCAGTACAAAGTATCATGATCATCTTCCACTTGGCGCCAATATATAGCCCCAGAAGTTAAGATTGCACTTGGTTCAGATTATGTAGCCTTGAAGAATTAAGGTGAACCACAGATGAGCCATGGGTGGCTTTATAACACACAAAAAGGGGCAAGATATTTCTGTGAGCTTGACTCACATCCGAGATGTTTTTCCCAGTATTTGGGGATGGTGTTAAATGAATGTCACCTGGGTCTTTTTATCTTCCCTCACTTCTAAATCTATTTCTCACCCTTCTCATTCAAAAATGAAAGTCCTGAGGGCCTGTCATGATAACAGATGTTTCATTCCTTTACATTTTAAAATTAACATAGCACTTGAGTCATAGCCTCTGAGGGCTTTGGGAAAGAAACATGAGCTTAATACCCATGAAAATAATAAAATTAGATGAAAAGTTAAAAAAAAACACAACAAATTCATCTGGTGCTGTAAAAACAAAAACAATTACCACCCCCAGCCAGACCTGTCTGAGAAAAGTAGCAGACAGTGTTTTGCGGGTTAAATGGTTGCTCTCTATGGTATTACATCCATAAAGTCAGAGGAAATAGTAATATTTGGGTAGAAAGATTAACTGAACTGAGTGTAGGTAAACCTAGAGTTTAGGTGTAATCTATTTATTTCCAAGATGAGCTTCATTTGGCCATTATTATGTTTTCCAAAGTGTATGCCATGAAGAACTATCCTTTTTGATATTTCCTTTTTTAAAAAAAGGAGTCCTGAAGACATTGTTATTTGAGAAATAATATATACTATAACTCTTAGCTTAGAGAGACATGATTCCTAAAAACATACTTGAAAGAGACCTGATTTGTTTAACTCAGTGTTGTTTGCAAAATATTTTCGACAATGTGATATTTTTATTTAGTTGTGTTTGATTTATTACCAGACATCTATTATTTCTAAGGTTTATTTCCCAGCCATTTCATCTTATTTAATTATAGTCCAATAACATAAATATACTTATCATTTTTTAAAAGCAAAATCACTGTAAATTTAGCTGAATTTTGTTTATTACTCATTGTATTCAGTATTCTTATTTTTGCTTTACCTAAATGTACCCATTTACAAGGTAATCCATGCGTCAACTATTCCAGGATTTCATAAACATAAACTTGCTTACTTCATTCATGACATTTATTATTATGATGATGCTTAGATAAAAAAGCCTTTGCCAATTTCATGTTCATCATTACCATTGATGTTCTCACAGCTACCACTTATTAACCACCCACTATGTGTCAGGGAGCATGCTAAGTGTATTTTGTGCATTTCCCATCAAATACTCACAACCACTATGGCAGGTATGCATTATAATTCCCATTTAATGTGAAAAACCTTATATAGCTTGCTTAAGTAGGTGGTAAGTGGCAGAGCTGAGAATGTACTTATGTCTCCCTCTGGCTTCAAAGCCTAAAATGTTCTTTTAACTACACTGTTGTTCATGCATGTGACTTAAAGATTTTAGGGTGTTTCCATATGGAAGCAAGAAAGCCTATAGTTCACACAACAAAGGAGGTAAGATATCTTTAAAACAAACAAAGCAGAAAAGCTTCATATCAGCATCTCAAGAGGTTCCTCTTCAGCCCAACACACTGAGACACAAGGACTTGTGCGTTTTTGTGTGTCTTTTGATTTTATTCCAGAGACCTGGTCTAACATTCAGTCCATTCCTAATAAACTTGTTTATTACACCAAGTTTTGGCTCTGAAATTTACTTTTGTGTTCTGGCATCTTTATTTCCATGCTCAGCTCTGATTTGGTGGTTCTTATATTTGGCCTGTCTTCTGGCATCAGCTTTCCATTCTCCACAAATAGATCCTTCAGTTTCATCTTTGATTTTATTGGACGGTCTCCGTGGTTTTCCTTTTGAACCCAGATCCAGCTTTGCCACCTAAACTATTCCCTTCCCCTCCTTGCCTTAGGGGGATTATCCAGCGTGGGCTGATCCTGCCAATACCTGATCTCCAGTGCTGGATGGGCTTAACTCTGTGCATCCGAACTGGACTAATCTTGGTACTGAGAAGAACCTCCAAACCCCCTTGCCCATTTTTCAGGCTCTTCTTTCCATAGTCTCCAGCTGCATTATGCTTTTATTGAGTTGTGGAAACCACATGTACAGTCCCACTGCAGGAACACCATGGTTAAAAGGCAGGTAAGGTGGGGAGGTTTTCTCTTTTTTCTAACAATATTCCACTGCTTTGTTTACCACTTGAGTTATTGTAACAAATTCAGCTAATTTTTATCAAGAAAATTATTCTCCAATAAGTTCTCTAAATATTTACCTATCAGGTTATAAATCAAAATACAATTATCTTTCTGGCTTCCTTTGAGACCTTGAACTAGTAATGAAAATATATGGGCCCCATTTTTCCTCATCTATGAAATTAGAGGAAGGCCACATTAGTTGTCTTCAAGGGGGTTCCAAAAGTCCTCATGTTCTGCAGCAGTGCCTATGGGAGATATTAAGCAGGGGAAAAGGTATTATGGAGCAAACACAGGCAAAAAAGGTCTGCTTTAATCTGTCTTACAAGTTAGGTTTCTGGACAGCATTTTACTTAGGAAAAAGAATAAAGATTAAAAAATAAGCCTGAACAGACTAAACCTAGCATTGCATTTCCTGGCTTTCCCCCTTCATGGGAAACTGCCTCTTCCTCTCCTGGCCTTTAAGTTGTAGCTCAAATGTCACCTACTTGGAGAAGCTGAACTTTGTTCCCTCAGGCTCCGTTTTCTGTGTTCCCAGAGCTCTTGATAATTGTTCCTGAAAACACTTGTCAGGTGATATTGCAAGGTAAATGGCTCTGTCTCCCCCTAGTAGGGCAGCAACTTATGCAGGTTTTTTGCTCCTTAGTTCAGCTAAATCTGGGTTCTTGTCTCATGACCAGAAAATATTAGGCACATGGACACATTGAAAGGTAAGGAAGGCAGAATTTATTAAGCGAAAGGAAAGCTCTCCACAAAATCAAGGGTCTTGCACGCAGGTTTCCACCTCACAAACTGAATACCAGACCACCACACAGAGGCGAGGCTCCTCCTCAGCATAAGGTGTGAATTCCTGGTGGCTCCATCCCATCCTTCCAGTGCGCCATGTGGGCCCTTAGTCTAAACCATTCCACATTGATTTATTTTCCTTACTGTACACGTGTTAAGGAATGGAATTTTTCACTGTGGCCATGTTTAAACAAGCCTCCCGTGCACAATGACCTGGATGGGTCAGAGGTTCTCCAGGGACCCTTCCTTATCTGCCTAGGCATTTTGGTGTCTCCTGCCTCTATCACAACCATGTGCTATGTGTCTTACCGTACCCAGTGCCCAACACAGTGCTGTGGGCATAGTAGGTGCTCAATAAATTTTTACATAAAGAATGAATGACTCACCCAATACATAAAGTTTCCATTATTTACCCCAAATCTAACACACTGCCTTATACTTTCTGAAACTGAAGCTCAGTTACTATTTTTCAGCTTACTCCCACAGTCTCTCAAGATGTTCCTGCAATTTATTCATGTCACCCTGGCATTTCACTATCAGGAAAAACCAGTGTCATCAGCAAATTTGAAGATGTCACTGTGCACTCCATCTTCTAGATCACATCTAAAAATGTTCCCTGAAAATAATCCTCAAAGGACTTCTCAGTTTACGCTTCCTGTATCTAGACCTGTTTATTCTTACTCATGGCTTCATGGATAGAAATTCAGTCCATAGGGATGTATGACAATATTTTTTTTCCAAGTCTGACGATCAATTAATTTTAAAAACAGCTGTTTGGACTTGATTAAAAGTTTTTGAAGGTCAAATAATTTGCGTTCTCTCTGCTCCAAAACATGAAGAGTAGTGGATACATTTAAAGCTTTACTATTAGGTATCTACCTAGATGTTTCTGAATGGAGTCAAAAACACCAGGTTATTTTGAGAGGTAATGAAGTGATGAATAATCTTAGGTGGTTATGGATATGATCTTCCTGGAGGTGTTATCTGGCTGTATGATCACATACCAAACTACCCATTCCCCCACTTAGATGTGTATTCAAAACAAAATGTAAAATTGTATATAGCTCTGTGTATATCTTTAATAGCTATTTTTATCTCTCAATTTACTGATAATTTTTACATTATAATCTTATTGTGCGACCTAAGATATCAGCTTGAATTAGAATTCATCACATTTTTCATCTAACCCCAACACACACACACATGCACACACATACACAGCACATAATGATGATAATTTGGGCTTCAGTCACCACACCTGTTTTCTATTAAGAAAAATTAACCCGGGCATGGTAGCTCACGCCTATAATCCCAGCACTTTGGGGGGCCAAGATGGGCAGATCACCTGAGGTCAGGAGTTCAAGACTAGCCTGGCCAACATGGCGAAACCTGTCTCTACTAAAATTACAAAGAAATTAGCCGGGCGTGGTGGCAGGCACCTGTAATCCCAGCTACTCGGGAGGCTGAGGCAGGAGAATGGCTTAAACCCTGGAGGCGGAGGTTGCAGTGAGCCAAGATCCTGCCACTGCACTCCAGCCTGGGCATAAGAGCAAAACTCCTTCTTAAAAAAAAAAAAATTAATCCTTATTTCATATTCCTCTCCTTGAAATTTATACCTGTATTTGATAATTGACATATCTTCAAAGCAATTTTATTATTTAACCTATAGCCAGTATAGATTGTCAAATGTCAAAATACGAAATGAGAAGCAAAAATGCCCCTCATCTGGAACCATAGAATATAGTTTCTTGCTTAAGATTTTTTATTTTTTTAAATTGCCATTGCAATTTGAATAAAGACCTCGGACTTTCCAAAACATAATAATTTTCAAATTGTATTGATTGTCTCTGGAATACTTTCTTTATTCATTTAGCTTTTATTTTAGGTATTTATCCTAGTGCTCATTATTGTTGATTTACCTGGGTGAAATTGAATTTACTTTTGATGACCTCAATTTAAATCCCCTCAATAGCAACTTCATTGTTTATTTGGGGAAGCATATAATACTATATGCACATCTGTTTCTTTTCTAATGTTTTCAAAACTGCCATTAAGACAAGTTACAGCTAAATTTTTAATGTGCTTTTCATGGACACAGCTTGCTAACTTCAAGAGGAAACATTTCAAATAATTTTCAGGAGTATCAATTCAAATTCTCTTTTCACTGTCAACCCGTTGATTCTCTCATATGTAAAAAGAGATTGCATAGGGGGATGTGTAATTTATAAATTCCAAGGTCCCTTAATTAAGATGTTTTAGCCTTGATTGTAGTCCTTACTCTATAAGTAACTATAGAAATTTGGATAAGTCCTTTTAACTTTTTTGCCCTTAATCTCTTTATCTAAAACAGTAGTCTTTGTCTGTTTTGATACATGAAAACATTCCAGGAGCCACTTGAGTGTGGATAGTTTTAAGCAAACCAATGTCTGATTCTTAGCTTCCATATATGTTGGTTTCTGAGGTTGATCTGCCTGGGAAGGGATCTGCTGTCAAGTCATTATGCGAATTTTCTTTCCATTTCCACTTCTACAATTACTCTTTTCCCATTTTGAAAGAAAAAGTAGAGATCTCACCAATCCCCAATCTTGGTCTGCTTCATTGCCCTAAGGATTAAAAATATATCTGAACTCACCAAAGTTTCAACATGAAATACTTCTCTACAGTACCACCAACCAAAAACAGACTTCCTATCTTCCATCCTTTCTCATTTTAAATATTTCATTCAGAGGCAAACATGGCATTAGAAACATTAGCCTATGTTGGCATATTTTGAATTCAGGTATAATTAGAGTAGGGCTTGGGGTAGGGTGCGTAGATGTTGGGAATGATGATGCTCTTCTTTTAACTACCTCACCTCCTCCCTTATCTATTGTCAAATAATGCATCACACCTGAAGGAGGATCTCAGGCGAACAAAGCACAGGATGCTCAGGTAAGCAGCACTAAAGGGAGCAGCACTGTGCTTTATCCAAGAAGAGTCCACAATTCATTTATCCATCTATCAATCTAGCTAGCCATCTAGCTATTGATCTATTGATCTATCCATCCATATTTAGAATTGGAATATTCAGATTTGTAAGTAGCATAGTTAAAAATTACCAATCTGCTACAAAATGAGAAATGAGTACTCTCTTCATTTTTCTCATTCTTAACAATACAAATCAGTTTAGTGAACATTTCTGCCCATATAATTTATCTATGACTTAATTTGGCATTATTTCAGGGAAGAGGTTAAAAGTTTGTTTAACTATACTAGATGAACGTTATATCTTTGAATAAAAGGAACCTATATCAAAGTAAATGATTTGTATTTTCCTGAATAAATACTCAGACTTGGAGAAGAATTTTTTACAGTTCCCCCCCGCCACCTCCCGCAAAATAATTGAATATTACATATCCATGTTTTGTTTGAACTTAGGGACTTCTGTTTTCTCTCCTGCACCACCCACTTTTCTGTTCATGCATTCATCTCCACCATGTACTTATTTGGTTTAGATTAAATTAACGGAGTCACATTGTGAATTCCACGCTAAAAAATGCACTCAACCAACACCATTCTTGCTTCATTTACAAGCTTGCACTCACTAGTGGCCAAATACTATCCTTTTCTTTTGGCTTGTAATTTCCACAAAATAAATAACCTGTACTCTTTAAAGCAGAATGTCTTCCTCTGTATAGGTTAAGAACAAACGTTCTCCAATATTGTTCTTTGACTTTTTTTAAGGTACTAAAAAAAAAACTGTGAGAACCAAAATTCATCACAAGACATACATCTTCACAGCGAATGCAAAAAATCTCAAAATTAACAACATTCAATCTATGAGGTGGATTTATATCAATTTCACTGAATTTTAGCCACACAAATAAAATGTCTTTCCATAAAAAAAGCAAGTTTAATTAATTGTCACTTGCGTGTCCTGTAAAGCTTTTTTCTTTGTTACAATGCCCAGAATTTAAAGAATTTGATAAATTTAATGAATGGGTAACAAAACCTTTTGAAAACTGTTGGTAATTAGCTTCTGGTTATTTACATTTAACAAAATTAAAGAACGTAAGACCTAATATATCATTAAAAATTATTGATTATAAGTATCATTTTGGGTATGTAACTCAAGATGACTTTAAATAATTTAAATATATTGATATAATAAAACTTCAATTCTATATTTATTTGTATAAAATTTTTATTTATTTATTTGTATAGAAGCTCACCTACATCCATTAAAACGAAAAATAGGAATAACACCAATATTGAATTCCGTTCAACTCTGGCAATAAGTAATATTTATTGATGAATAGATTAATTAAAAATAATACCACACATTTACATTGAGATGCACTTCTAATAAAAGTTTACTTGTTATGCTAAATAAATCTTTTTCTTTTTTTTTGAGATGGAGTCTCGCTCTGTCACCCAGGCTAGAGTGCAATGGCGATCTCAGTCACTGCAACCTCTGCCTTCCAGGTTCAAGCGATTCTCCTCCCTTAGCCTCCCAAATAGCTGGGATTATAGGTGTGTGCCACCACTCCCGGATAATTTATTTTTAGTAGAGATGGGGTTTCACCATTTTGACCATGCTGGTCTCGAACTCCTGACCTCAGGTGATCCACCCACCTCAGCCTCCCAAAGTGCTGAGATTACAGTCATAAGCCACTGCACCTGGCCTTGCTAAATAATTATTTATAAAATCATAAATATACTTGTTATTTTGATCAAGTATGTATCTGTTACAATTGTTATGGTAATTCAATCCAAATTTTAGACACTTAATCCAAAACACCCAGGAAATTGTCTTAAATTGTAATAACTCTAAATTTTCTTAATCTCAGAGAATTATAATAATCAATAAACAACTTTCAAGTATAAAATATAGTGCATTCATATAAAATTATGTAAGGAAAGTTGATTAAAAATATAAATTGACACAATAGCAAAGGCTTCGAACCAACCCAAATGCCCATCAATGATATACTGGATAAAGAAAATGTGGCACATACACACCATGGAATACTATGCAGCCATTAAAAAGAATGACTTCATGTCCTTTGCAGGGACATGGATAAAGCTGGAAACCATCATTCTCAGCAGACTAACTAACACAGGAACAGAAAACCAAACACCGCATGTTCTCACTCATAAGTGGGAGTTGAACAATTAGAATATATGGGCACAGGGAGGGGAACATCACACACAGGGGCCTGTCAGGGGGTGGGAGTTAGGGGAGGGATAGCATTAGGAGAAATACCTAATGTAGATGACGGGTTGTTGGGTGCAGCAAACCACCATGGCACATGTATACCTATGTAACAAACCTGCACATTCTGCACTTTCTGCACATGTATCCCAGAACTTAAAGTATAATAAATATATATACATACATATATATACATATATATTTATATGTATACACACATATATATACATATATATTTATATGTATACACATATATTTATATGTATTTCTTCTGTTATAAGAGAGTTTCTCTGTTTCAACAGACGATTTGGATATCAAATCACTATTGTATTTACACACTTTTAAAATAAGAGTCTTACTTGCATGTTTAGGTTCATTGCAGTAGTATTCACAATAGCAAAGACATGGAATCAAACCAGGTGCCCATAAATGGTGGATTAGATAAAGAAAATGTGATACATATGTACCATGGAATACTACACAGCCACAGGAAAGAATGTAATCATGTCCATTACAGCAACATAGATGCACCCGAAGGCCAATATCTTAAGCAAACTAATGAAGAAACAGAAAGCCAAGCATTGCATGTTCTCAGTTATAAGTGGAAGCTAAACACTGGGTATACATGGACACAAAGATGGGAACAATACACACTAAACAACACAAGATGGGGGCGTGAGGGGAGGAGGCAAAGGTTGAAAAACTACCCAGTAGGTACTATACTCACTACCTGGATGACTAGTGCAATCCTATTCCAAACCTCAGAATCATGCAATCTACCTTTGTAACAAACCTGCACACCCTCTGACCCTAAAATATAAGCTGAAAAAGAAAAATTTAAACTGGGGCTTCATTAAATACATAAGCAAATAAAGTAAAAATAAAAATAAGAGTCTTAAAGTAAAATTTTTGTTTTTAAATGTTATTTTATTATACATAATAGTCCCCCAAAATATATTATTTAAATTCAGAAATGAAAATTTTAAATATTATCTTTAAAATATGCAATGGTAGCATGTGTTTTTTCTAATTCTTTTCAGAAAGAAATGAGGAGAAATTTGCACCATACTAACATAGAAGATGGGGATAATAACATGAGACCTATCTTCTTCAAATGACTTCACCAGTGGCACAATATGTGAAATGAAAGATACTACGTAAGATATCATGATGACCACAATATGCCATATGGGGTTTTTGTTTTAATTTGTGTTATACCTTATATGATATAGTGCAATACTACCTACAGGGAAGTAATTAATTTATTGTGGGTGGCAATGACTAAAACTTGACTCAAATAACTTCTGTATTTGAGCTGGTTCTATACCAGATCTTACTGGAGCCAAATTGCCTTCATTTCAAGAAATGCTTTATTTATATCATTTTTCTCAGGAAAGCTAGGGTTTAAATTACCCTACGTTCTTTCTCACTTACTATACACCAAGTTGATGTATCTAGAATTGGTTTTATTTATTAAAAATTGAGGTATTGGACTACATGAAATTTAAAGTCCTTTTCAGATTTAACGTCTTCTGAATCAAGAAATGTAAACTTTAAAGTAATTTTAAATAAAATGAGGAAAAATAGGAGACAGAGAAAACCTCATTTTGAATGAAAATGCAATTTTTCCAAGTCCTAGCTTAGTTATTTACTTCAACAGATTCCTTTACAGGAATATTTATTTTTTGTGCACCAAAAAGTATGCCACATGACAGCAGGTAGCATATTAGGCAGGAGAATTAGACCTTGGATATATGAGTGAAATATCATCAAATTTTTAAACACCATTTGATTTTTATTTACACTCATTCTTTTAAATCTTTCATGTCACAAATTGGGTCTTAATTTTTATTCTTTAACAATACAGACAACCATATGTTCATTTGCTTCAACTGTATTAAATTATTACTGAATGATTATAATTCCACCATTACCGTCTTTTCAAGGCCACAAGTTCTCAATCACTGCTATGTTATGCTCTCCTCTATTTCAATTTCAATTCTAAAATACAATACAAACAATGTGACTGCATCTTTAGGATATGTGTGGAGTAGCATTGGGTTTCAATCCCCTTCTTCAACAAAATATAAAACAAAATAGTACAGCATTATCCCTGCAAACATGTATTCTTCCTTAGTCATTCTGCAGTTCTCAATCTAGTCAATGTCAGAGTATTTAATATGACCCATTTTTCATAGAGAATAGTAGTCCCATTTACACTGCTGAGATTGATAGCATGGTATGCTATCAATCCCAAAAGCTCTGATGCGGGCTGTGGACCTCTACCAAAAGATTCCTTTCTGCGCTATCAATCTCACCACTTCCCACTGTCTCTAAGCCCTAAATCAGACTGCTTGATATCTCTGCAGTTTTGTACTCCTGCATCAGCAGTCTGCCTAAGCACAGCCATCACTCACTAGCACTGTTAACTGCACTTGCTACAAACACTGAACCACTTTCCTCATCCTAAGGCCAAGTGTGAAATTCCTGCTACATTACATCACTTATGAATCTCTCTACCAGAAGAAAGAACCCATTTTGTCTCCTGGATTTTGAATAATGGGAAATTTAATAGGATTATTATTTTATTATTTATTTTGGTAATGAGACTCTTGAACATAACAGGTAGCCCAACAATGAAGCAAGTCTATCTCAAAAAGTAAAGTTAAAAAAGATTCATCAGTAAATATGTACTTTGTTCTCTATTAGAAGTAGTAGTATTTCACTCTATAACTGCTAAGTGTTCTTTTGAATGAAACTTCTAAGTCTAATTTCGTCATTCTCTTTATAGTAGAAAGCCAATGCATTCCCACTAAGGGTCAGCTTTAGGTGAGACAACATCAGAGACAGAGTGGCTAAAACAGTAAGGCAAGATCTGGCTGTAATGGCTGAAGCATGTTTAATCCCATTTTTTTTCTATCTTCACAAATCAATTTTGCCTCGGTTCACTTGAGAGTCATTTCTTCTCATGTTTTGTTGGACAAAGCAAGTCATGTTGTCATGCCTTGTTTCAAACTGCAATCCATTTATGTACGTGAAAGGTGAAGGGAACTGGAACCCAAAAATTATTCACATAGGTTATTTTGAAAATGTTCTTGATAAATGTAAAGCAACTAGTACTACTTACATTATATAAGAATTGGTCAGGGCCGGGCGCGGTGGCTCACGCCTGTAATCCCAGCACTTTGGGAGGCCGAGGCGGGCGGATCACAAGGTCAGGAGATCGAGACCATCCCGGCTAAAACAGTGAAACCCCGTCTCTACTAAAAATACAAAAAATTAGCCGGGCGTAGTGGCGGGCGCCTGTAGTCCCAGCTACTTGGGAGGCTGAGGCAGGAGAATGGCGTGAACCCGGGAGGCGGAGCTTGCAGTGAGCCGAGATCCCGCCACTGCACTCCAGCCTGGGCGACAGAGCGAGACTCCATCTCAAAAAAAAAAAAAAAAAAAAAAAAAAAGAATTGGACACCCTGTCTCTAAAAAAAAAAAAAAAATTAAAAATTAACTGGGCACAGTGGCTCATCCTTATAGTCCCAGCTACTCAGGAGGCTGAGGAGGGAGGATCGCTTGAGCCTGGGAGGTAGAGGCTGCAGTGAAACGTGATCATGCCACTGCATTCCAGCCTGAGCTGCAGAGCAAGACCCCATCTCTACAGGAAAAAAAAATGTTAATAAATAGTAGCTTTCTTATTAATGTAAGGAGTTTTCAACCAAAAGGCTTCAGTATTTGAAATCAACACAATTGCCAGACATTGAAAAATTATATCCCATAATAGTTAGCATCTAGTATGAGACAGGTAGAAGGAATCTCTGACTAGTGAACTAAAAGGAAATAACTATTCCTGATAACTTAAAAACTGCTCTGTTCCCCAGTGTAATGGTTATCAAACTTGTATTCCTTCCATGTCAGGACTTGTATTCCTTCCATGTCAGGACTGAGTATTTTTTTAACAATCTGAGAAGCATCAGACTCCTATATTACTGGGCCGATTGTTTAAGGTATTTAATTACAACTCATATCATTATCAGATGCACATACATAAAATCTTCACCATATTCTACCTAAAAATGTCTAGCCTTTTGCATTTTATGGTAGAAGGTAAATCTGAAGAGGCATAGCATAAACAGATTCATGCTAACAGGAATTATTCTTGCATTTACCCCAATGACTAATATTTGTGTAATGGGGTATAGTTCAATTATACATATCCTTTTTTTGTAAACTATACCCCATACACACACATATAATAATGGCCTAAAACCTCTAGCACCTTGAAAATCACCCAAGTGGCCACATTTTTGTTTAATACCAGGGGTTAGTCTCAACTCTTCCTTATTACATACTCTTTCTTTCAAATAAAATAATAGCTAACACTCTTTATAGTATTTTCTTCTTTCCTACTCACCTGTCCTAGATTCCATTCATTTAGGACTTCGTCTAGGACTTTTTCCTCTGCCTGAAAACTAAGTACTCAATCCATATCAATATTATGACTCTCCTTTGTTATCATATATTTGTCTTTGCCAGGGGTATGGTGGAAAAGAGCCCCTTAATCCTGAGACATGCATGTGTGGAATGTATGCTTAACCAGAATTAGGAATACTTCCCTTATTCATAATGCTTGAGACCAGAAATCAGATTTCCATTTTTGTAATCCCAGCACTTTGGGAGGCCGAGGCAGGTGGATCACGAGGTCAGGAGATCAAGACCCTCCTGGCTAACATGGTGAAACCTCATTTCTACTAAAAACACAAAAAATTAGCCGGGCGTGGTGGTGGGCGCCTGTAGTCCCAGCTACTCGGGAGGCTGAGGCTGGAGAATGGTGTGAACCTGGGAGGCGGAGCTTGCAGTGAGCCGAGATCATGCCACTGCACTTCAGCCTGGGTGACAGAGCAAGACTCTGTCTCAAAAAAAAAAAAAAAAAAAATTTAGACCATTTGCCTATTGTATTAGTCTGTTTTCATGCTACTGATAAAGACATACCCAACACTGAGCAATTTACAAAAGAAAGAGCTTTACTGGACTTAAAAGTTCCGCATGGCTGGAGAGGTCTCATAATCATGGAAGAAGGTAAAAGGCACGTCTCACATGGTGGCTGACAAGGGAAGAGAACTTGTGCACAAAAACTCCTCTTTTTAAAACCATCAGATCTAGAGACTCATTCACTATTGTGAGAACAGTGCAGGAAAGACCCACCACCATAATTCAATCATCTCCCACCGGGTACCTCCCACAATACATGGGAATTGTGGGAGTTATAATTCAAGATGAGATTTGGGTGGGGACAGAGCCAAACCATATCATTCTGCCCCTGGCCCCTCCCAAATCTTACGTCCTTACATTTCAAAACCAGTCATGCCTCCCAACAGTCTCTCAAAGTCTTAATTCACTTCAGCATTAACTCAAAAGTCCACAGTCCCCGCAGTGTCTCATCTGAGACAAGGCAAGTCCCCTCCACCTACAAGTCTGTAAAATCAAAAGCAAGTTAGTTACTTCCTAGATACAACAGAGGAAAGGGCGTTGGGTAAATACATCCATTCCAAATTGTAGAAATTGGCCAAAACAAAGGGGCTACAGGCCCCAGGAAAGTCTGAAATCCAGCACAGCAGTCAAATCTTAAAGCTCCAAAATGATCTCCTTTGACTCCATGTCTTATATCTAGGTTCCCCTCATGCAAGAGGTGGGTTCCCATGGCCTTGGGCAGCTCCGCCCCTGTGGCTCTGCAGGGTATAGTCCCCCTCCTTGCTGCTTTCATGGGCTGGCATTGAGTGTCTGCAGCTTTTCCAGGCACACAGTGCAAGCTGTCGGTGGATCTACCATTTGGGGGTCTAGAGGATGGTGGCCCTCTTCTTACAGGTCCACTAGGTGGTGCCCCGGTAGGGACTCTGTGTGGGAGCTTCAACCCCACTTTTCCCTTCCACACTGCCCTAGCAGAGGTTCTCCATGAGGGCCTCACCCCTGCAGCAAACTTCTGCCTAGGCATCCAGGCATTTCCATATATCCTCTGAAATCTAGGCAGAGGTTCCCAAATCTCAATTCTTGACTTCTGTGCTCCCACAGGCTCAATACCATGTGGAAGCTGCCAAGGCTTGGGGCTTCCACCCTGTGAAGCAACAGCCTACACTTAACTTGCCCCTTATAGTCATGGCTGGAGTGGCTGGGATGCAGGGCACAAAGACTCTAGACTGCACACAGCAGAGGGACCCTGGGCCCAGAAACTATTTTTTCCTCTGAGGGCTCTGGGCCTGTGATGGGAAGGCCACAAAGGTCTCTGACATGCCCTGGAGACATTTTCCCCATTGACTTGGGGATTAACATTCAGCTTCTTGTTACTTATGCAAATTTCTGCATTCAGCTTGAATTTCTTCTCAGAAAATGGGATTTTCTTTTCTATTACACTGTCGGGCTGCAAATTTTCCAACCTGTTATGTTCTGTTTCTCTTTTAATACTGAATGCCTTTAAACAGCACCCAATTCACCTCTTGAATGCTTTGTCCTTAGAAATTCCTTCTGCCAGATACCCTACACCATTTCTCTCAAGTTCATAGTTCCACAAATCTCTAGGGAAGGGGCAAAATGCCACCAGTCTCTTTGCTAAAATGTAACAAGAGTTACCTTTGTTCCAGTTCCCAACAAGCTCTTCTTCTCCATCTGAGACCACCTCAGCCTGAACTTTATTGTCCATATCACTGTCAGCCTTTTGAACAAAGCCATTCAACAAGTCTCTAGGAAGTTCCAAACTTTCCCACATTTTCCTATCTTCTTCTGAGCCCTCCAAACTGTTCCAACCTCTGCCCGTTACCCAGTTCCAAAGCTGCTTCCAAATTTTTTAGCATCCTTTCAGCAGCACCCCCGTCTCAGTACCAATTTACTGTATTAGTTCATTTTCACACTGCTGATAAAGACATACCCGACACTGGGCAATTTACACAAGAAAGAGGCTTATTGGACTTACAGTTCCACATGGCTGGGGAGGCCTCACAATCATGACAGAAGATGAAAGGCATATTTCACATGGCGGCAGACAAGAGAAGAGAGCTAGTGCAGGAAAACTCCCCGTGTTAAAACCATCAGATCTCGTGAGAGTCATTTACTATCACAAGAACAGCACTAGAAAGACTCGCCCCCATAATTCAATCACCTTCCACCAAGTTCCTCCCACAACATGTGGGAATGGTGGGAGTTACTATTCAAGATGAGATTTGGGTGGGGACACAGCCAACTCATATCACCTGTACATAATAAGCTATCTTAAGAATGGGACCCAAGTCTAAACATGAAGTTCATTTATGTTTTATATGCATCTCATACACATAGCCTGAAGGCAATTTATAGGATATTTTAAATAATTTTGTGCTTGAAACAAAGTTGTGAGGTGTTTTAACTGCAACCCATCACATGAGGCCAGGTGTGGAATTTCCCACTTGGGGCATCACGTCAGTGCTCAAAACATTTTGGATTTTGAAGCATTTCAGATTTCATATTTTCAGATTAGAGATGCTCAACCTGTACAAGTTTCTGAACTAGATTGTGTCACCAATATGGCTATAGCCTTGACAAGTTATAACTTCTGGGCTTAAGTTTTATATTCTGAAAAATAAATGAGCAGGCTTCATGGTATCATCATAACTTCATACATGTGTTCTCTTTGTGAGATAACCCTTAGCCTCTCCCCATTTTCACATATTTACTGTTGACTTCTTTTTTTTTTTGAGATGGAGTCTCGGTCTATCACCAGGCTAGAGTGCAGTGGTACGATCTTGGCTCACTGCAACCTCCACCTCCCAGGTTCAAGCGATTCCCCTACCTCAGCCTCCCCAGTAGCTGGGAATACAGGTGCATGCCACTATGCCCGGTTAATATTTTATATTTTAGTAGAGACAGAGTTTCACCATGTTGGCCAGGATGGTCTCGATCTCCTGACCTTGTGACTTGCCTGCCTCAGCCTCCTAAAGTGCTGGGATTACAGGCATGCACCACCATGTCCAGTCCAACTTCTATTTTTCAAAGCCTCACCTCAGGTAGTACTTCCTACAAAAAGCCTCCTTACTTTCAACCCAGAAAATATTATATGCCACTTTCTAGGCCTCACATAATGACTATATGGCTTCACCATTGTACTTAAAACATTGTTCTTCCTTGTTTTATATTTGCATGTTTATGTATATAAATGTAATGGAATTTCCACCACCCCACTACAGTGTAAACTCCAGGAGACACAAGTCCATATCTAATTCATCTTTGAGATGCTTAAAAACAATTAGGCACTAAATAAATAAATGTAGAATATACAAATAAATGGGAGAATGAGTGAAGTAGATGTTTTTGCCAAAATTCCTTCTAACTCAAAATTCATATTTTATTATTCAAAATAATGTAAATGGGGGACATAGATACTGGAAGAATTTGCTGCATTGTAAATCACTATAACTAGGAAGCTACGCCCACCCCTTCAGGCTCTAATTCCTGAGTTCTCACCATGCCTGTTCTTTTCTTGCTCCAAATTGCTATAAAATCAACTGGAGTTTTGTTGAAACATATGGCTCCTCTCTTTCTCATCCACTCTCTGCAGCATTTGAGCAAAAACTCTGCTCACCTTCCTCAATCAGAGGACATTTCTGCTCATCAGTCAAGCAGGCAGACCACAGGACTCTCAGACAAAGGCTGAGAGGTAGACTGATGAGGAGGGTGGGTCTAGTGGTCATGGGGGAATTCCATTAGGACTCCAAATGTTTTATTGTTGCTATCTCAGATAGGTATGACAGAAAGGAGTGTGGGAGGTGCATAGTGACCGCCCCGCCATCAAGAATGAATTCATCTTCTATCCATAAAATGTTTTACCTAGGCAAACTTGTTGATCTTTCATTGCCTATACTTCATTTTCTTATCTCTCATGCTCATTTCTCTATCTATTTATTCATTTTAGCTTCACTTTTCTTCATAGCAGGAATCTAGTTTTCTCCCCAATCTACTGTAGATCACTCTAGCACCCATGATGCCTCTCTATTCTGAACTCAATATATTTACTCTTTCATTTGGTACTTAATCTTGTCTTGTATTGTTACATAACTTTGCAAGTATTTAAGCCTAATCTCTTCAAAATACTGTACTTTTTAGAGAGAAGCCACTGTATCTTGTAGCTATTTGAATCACCCTAACAAGACACTTAATAACTATTAAACAGTTGATGGTAGATCATTATTTCAGCCACTAGCATAAGAAAAACCATCTTATTTTCACAATGATCCAAATTTATAAAGTCATATATCCTGTATCAATAGCATATGTTAAAATCTTTTGAAAACTCACATTTATAAGCTAATCTTATTCACATAGCCTTTCTCTGAGTTGCACAGTATAGAGAAAATTATCACTTTTAAAATGAAGAACTTGCACCCTAAAAATTAAGATTCTAGCCCTCGTAAGAAGGCCCAGGCTAGATTCAGGTCTCCAGACTACTAGTATTCCATTGCTCTTTCCAGAACAATACATCAAATTTAGGTTCTCAATATATAGTTCCTTGCACATACTTCTACCACATAAAAATGGACTGTTAACCTGGAATGTAAAATAATTCTATAACTTCATAACCTTTTCTGTGCCAGATTACTAAAATTCAGAAATTACCCTCCAAAGAAAAAAAGTGAATGCTAAATCTGCAACCCTTCTCTTAGATTGTTAGTTGGGTTATAAGAAGACTATGACATTGCTTAATGTACTTTGCTATTTGCTCAGAAGCACAGGAAAAAAAAATCATATAAGCTCCAGAGTACATAGTCTCATATTTGGCTCTGGAATATAAAGACCAGATTAGAAAATACAAATTCAATTTCATCTCTACCTCTGAAAGATTAAAACAGAAAACAAATCCAAACTCAAAAGATTTTTTTAATGCAACAGAGACTTCTTAACTGCCTGATCCACATAGATTGAATTTATTTAGCGAACACATGAATTCATCTATCAGAAATGTAGTCATTCATTTACTCAGATAGAAATCATTATTCATGCAAAATAAATGGATTCTACTTTAATTGTCTACCGGCAGTGACTATAAAGTAAGCTATGTGAGCCTTACAATTGAATCTTTACCACAGGCAGAAACAACAACATAAACCTCTAAAATACAGTTCACTGAGGTCATCGTTTAAGAGCTCATATCCTGTCCAATACTTCAGAATAAATTACATTATGCTTATGATGCAATTAATCACATCATAACTTCTGCACATCCAAAAGAAAAATCATTTCTCTTTATCTATAATCCTTACTCAATGAAAACTGCTCAATTATTCTCTGTATTGAAGGTAAATTACAGAAGAAAGTTAATTGCTTACCTACATGATATTTCATTTCTGAAGCCAAAATATTAACATATGCAACAACAATAAAAGTGAAGAACAGTAAATTGCATAAATAAAAGCGTGTTTCCATTTACGGGCTATAAAACAAACAAAATCTGACTTTAAAAGCTGTTAATATGTATAAATTAAAGTATAGAAAGGTCACAAAATTTTTTAAAACCTGATTCTTAGAAGGAAAAATGAAACAAAGAATCTTCATCATATTCATGATAGTTGGATGTCATTGATCACAACAAGGCATTTTTTAAATGTAGGGAGTTTAAAATTTGAAATTTAGCCAAAGAGCTTATGTAAAGTTGATGTTAAATTAACAGAGTCAGCAATCTCTGCTTTCAGAAGTATTTAGGTAAAGTTTTTGTTTACATTGATTATTAAGATCTATAATTCATATTTATACATATTTATATATAGACTTTTTCATTTCCTGGCAAGTGAATGGGCCAAAGTTGAGCTTGGGAAGATTAAGCTTATATATTTTTTGTGCCTTTATATTTAGTGAATGAAGTACCTCAAACGTTTTACAGTAACTCCTGTATATTATCTTGCTTTCTGTTATTAAATACTAACATTTTAAAGAATTTAAATGTAACTAAATCTCATTGTGCAAACTCTTATGCTCATGTTATATGTGTGCATGTAGCCTCAGTTTCCTAAAGAAGATGTTCATCATGGAGAAACACTCAATTTTTCCATCCAAAAGTCTAGATTTTGATTTGGTTTTCTAACATATAAAACTTTGTACTGGGAAAAATCAATCAATTATAGTTTCTCATTTATGGAATGAGAACAATAATAGCTTCCCTACTTAACTCAGAAATTGTGAGAGTCAAATAAATTGTATAACAAATGATATAAGTGTAAGAGATTATCTTTTACAAAATGTAAAATCCATTTATTATTTCAAAATGCACTTATTAATAATTTACAATGAACAGACTAACCAACATAGCCCCTGTCTACAAAAAAGATAAATGGCAGGGTCTGGAGAAATCTCTCCATAACTGGACACAGACTAGGCTATCAGCATCCATCTCCTATCACACCCTTGAGCTATGCTTACTGTAACATTTCTGTGTGTTTCTCTCTTTTCTAGGGATCTTTTCAGTCTTTACAGTTTATAAGATTCTGAAGGTGATGACAATAACCTGTCTGCCCCACAATAGCCATGGGACACAAACTAGGAGCACATTCTTGTTTGCCTGGTGACTGCGAGTGGCTGAGAGACACTTGTGAAATGTGTCCAGATGGGTGGAAGTGTACTCTGTTCTCAGCCTGTCCTCATGCATATTTGATATGCAAATCAAATAATGAGTGTTGCCTCGGCCATTGGCCACCTGATTGGCTGTGGGACAGACAAATGAATCTGATTTAACATCCATAGAGAATCACAAAGTCCTGCTATTAATAAAATGTGGTGTTTCCAGGTGACTGCATTGAACATGTCCTGAGGATCCCCTGCTGTTCTCATAAAAATGAGTGCTAAAATGTATTTTAAAATTCCGTAATGTAGTGACACAACAGATGAAAATGAGTCACATTCGCTGGAAAACACATCTTGACATTCTAGAAATAGATACACTCTTTGGCATCTAAAAGGTTTCCAATCATTTCATAGAACAAATCATTGATTCCAGGACTGTGATTTAAAAGGTTAGAGGTATATATGGGCAGAAGTAAGTTATCAAGGGTATGGGTACATTAGAGGTATACTCTGACAAGTAGCCACTGAAATTGAATCCCAGTGACATGTGATTAGGCTAAGTGTTGGCAGCAGAAGGAGAGGCAGAGGCACAATAGGGAGAGGAGGAAAACATAAAAGCTGAAGGGGGACAAGATTTGGATATAATAGAACAAAAGAAAGAAGTGCAAACAGAAAAAAAAGAAGGAAGGAGAGGTAGCTAGAAGAGAAAAAACATGAAGAAAAATAGTAAAAGGAGCTACCAATGAGTACCTGCTTTTCCTTGGCATTATTCAGAAAAATAATTGTCCATGATTCTGATTGGTTTCTGCCTGAATCTACCTTCTCACAAAGGGTCATCTATCTTTTCCTCAAAATAAAAAACTCTCTGTCTATAAAGGTACGTTCCAAAGTTGCTTTCTTTTATCAGACTTAACTTATGTTCCTTGCGCTTTAGTAGTTACAGTGCAATTAATCACTTCTCTCTACATCAAAAAGCAGTTTCTAGCACCACAAGCACATGCATGGACTTGACTGTGCTTCTCTGGGGGGCCATCTCCATGGCTTTGGAATGCTGCTGGCTCAGGTGACAGACCCCCTTTATTCCACTGGATGAGGGCATAAGAAGAGGAATATAGTTGGATTGCAGTGGAATTATAGTGTGGACACCTGTAATGATCTTCAATTTATTTCTGCCCTGCCAGCCTTTGATGACTTCCAACGGGACTGTGAATACTTCTTTCTGATCACATAAATATCTGGAGGAGAGTGAGGGGAGTGGGGACTTTGGGCTTCCTGGAAATCACTGTGTACTTCCACATGTCATGTAATTTGTCCAATGAGAAGTGTGTAATTACTAAAGAGAAATGTGAACCACGGCAAAAATTATACTTAATGTTCTTTGACAAGATTGTGTGTGTGTGTATATATATATATATATATATATATATATATTAGACAGAGATTTTGCTCTTGTTGCTCAGGCTGGAGTGCAGTGGTGCAATCTCAGCTCACTGCAACCTCCACCTCCTGGGTTCAAGTGATTCTCCTGCCTCAGCCTCCCAAGTAGCTGGGACTACAGGTGTCCACCACCACGCCTGGCTAATTTTTGTATTTTTAATAGACACAGGGTTTCACCATGTTGGGCAGGATGGTCTCGATCTCCTGACCTCATGATCTGCCCGCCTCGGCCTCCCAAAGCGCTGGGATTACAGGTATGAGCCACCACGCCCAGCCGACAAGGCTATATTTTTAAGAAGTTGACTCAAGTTAGTTTTTCTCCTTTCCTGCAGGTGGCTAAAAGGAGAAAGAAAAAGAAGAATACAGCTTAGTCTTCCCTGTTTTTGCTTTCAAAAGAATATGCTAGTTAAAAGGAGTATGATTCTCAGATCTGAGATTTAAAGTTGAGGTAGAGCTTGGTGGGTGAGTAACACGAAGAGGGAGAGATGAATGCATTTCGTGTGATGAATAGGAAATGTCAGTAGGAATGTGAAAGAAAAGGAAAGATAAATGGGTGGTTTGGCTAGCTCCTTGAAAGAGGGTCTGTGCATGAGGGCCATGAGGACAAGAATGAGAAACAACTCAATTAAAGTGCAATGCAGGAGGTATTCTTTCAGCCAATGGAAGCTGACTTACCATGCACAGTAGTCCTGGTTTTCATGAAGGTGAATGCCTTCCTTGGCCTGCACTCAGGAGCTGCAACAGCTGTCCTTCCCATTGGCATTCAGGGCAGAGCTTTTTTCTTAACCCCAGGTAGCCACTCAAGACAAGTGGTGACTGTAATGACCAAAATTTGTGGCAATTAGTACCCAAGGCTCTAAGAGTTCCATCTGACTTCTTGTAGACTGACTCCCTCCAACACTCATATACACATCTACACAAACACAATATTCCATTCGAGCAATGAGCACAAGAAAGCAAATGTATGGCCAAGGGCCTTTAATTGGTTGTTGGGGAGGAGAGTCCTTACACCTGAAATTGGGAATAGGCAGTTGTTAAATGAAAAACCTTAGACAAATTAAACTGAACAGAGTTTAATTGAGCAAAGAACAATTTGCAAATCAGTCAGATCCCGAACCTGAATAGGTTCAGAGACTCCAGTGCTACTGCATGGTGGAAGATTTATGGATGGTAAAAAGAAAGTGACATACAGGAAACAGAAGTGAGGTACAGAAATGACTGGATTGGTGACAGTTTGGTGTTTGCCTTATTTGAACAGGATTTGAACAGTTGACTGCTGTTGATTGATCAAAACTTGATGACTGGCACAAAAGTTGGTTAAGGTCTATCTACACATCCACTTAGATTACATTTCATGATGCATGGAGAAACGTTTATGCTAAACTTACAATATGTAAGGAGGTAGCTTTAGGCTAAATTTAACACAGTGACTCAAACCAGTTCCCAGCTCCCCATTTCCAATCTGGAACAGTGACTACACACTTGCCTAGGATACTACGACTTTTGGACTAAGTTTTTCTCATCTAACTCATGTATTTAACACTTGAGTAACTCAATTAAATTCAGGTGAATGGAAGATAGAAGGGACATGGAGACCCTAGAAGTTCATGTAATATTCTTTAAATATGTGTGATGATTTTTGCATTTTCATTTATATGCTTACACACTTGGGACACACATATATTCACACACTCACACTCACACCACACTGGCCTACATAGCCATTCCCTGCAGGCATTCTTTGCATTCCATGCAGGTCCTGGTTACATTGAGTCTAGGCCCCCATTCAAGACTGTAGGGTCAAACTAATGGCTAGAAGAAAGAAGATGTGGTTTTTGCACACAATTGATTAATTAATTCAATTAGTGTTTCATGAGTATGGAAAGTATGAGGCCCTGTCCTGGCTTTGGGGACAGACACACTGATGTATCAGATGTGACCTTTGTTTTTTAGAAATTTAAAATCTAGTAAAAGCGTGAAGTAAGCACAGCACTGGACCTGACATAATGGCTGATTTGCATGCATGAATGAGCAAATGAGGCATGGAAACATACACAAAAATGTAACAGGATGAATTATTGAAACACACATAAAACCTGTGAAAAGGAAAGTTGTTTTAAAAATAGCTTTCCCTAGCCATACAGGGGGAAAAAGAGGGCACTATTTATGCTATCCTTAATCCTCATGATCGTGGGAGAAATAAACAGCTTTCTAAAGTTCATGTCTGTTCAGAGAAGAATTGGTCTGAGTTATCTCAAAGGTGGATGGGGTGGAACCAAAAGCTTTGAGTAAAAGGAGTCAGAAGGTGTTGGGGGGTGGGGGCTATATGCATTAAAGGTCCCTAAGCGTGAAAAACAAAAAAACAAAAACAAAAAATACAGAACCATATTTGAATAGTTTCTATAACTGGAGGATCCCCTAGGTGGGTGATTTCTTCAACATGCCTGTAGAGACTGTCAGTGAGCACAAAGGCCTTAAGATTAGCGACTGAAGGCTCCTGGAATGAGTATGTGGTTAGAGACTGGAACTACTCAGGAGTTTCCCTAGGTCTGCTCCAAATAGCACAAGCAATGGATGATGAAGGATCCATGTTAATAGCAGTGGATCCACAGGTAATAAAGAGAACTGGTGGTGCGAATGCCTCCACCATGATCTAAAAACCTGGCTACTTCCTGATTTTCTGTAGTGTAAAACAACCTAATTTTTAATTATGCCAATGATAAGGTAAGTTTTCTGAGTTAAGGAATACCTTTCCCACACAAGTACACTGTAGAAGAGATTCCTCCTTTTATCTCTGGGTAGACTGCATGAAGATCGCTTCTATCCCACTGAAGTGAGGTAGAATATGCCAAACTGAACTGAGGTTGAATTTCTCACCAAGAAATTGAGGGCCCAGAGGAGACTTACATGATGTAATGAAATTTTAAAATGTGATAGATATTCATGTTGAGTTTGAAACTAAATTCTGCAACTAAAAGATAAGGTGTTTGTGATAAGGGCTATAACTATAATTCAAAATATAAGAATAATTTAGATTTGATAATAAAAATAAAGAGTAAAGGATTCTTTATATTCTCCATAGACTAAATATCTGATAAAAATTAAACTATGTCAATGATATAGGGTTATTCCTATAAAAACTAACAATTATTCTTCACTATTCTAACTGAAGCCAATTCAAGTCTCTTCTCAGTGATGAAGAAAACCAATGAAAAGAAGATAGAATCTCACAATAATAAGACTCTAAGCTACAATTTAACACCAATTTACCAATTCCATTAGAGAGCACATCCAGTTCATTGAAAATAGCAAGCTAACCTGTCTATAAATTGCCTTACTATAATCAAATGTTGGCAAAATAAGTAGATAGGAAATACAGTGCCTGTCTGAAATATTAGCAATTAATCATAAAATAGCCAGTTGTTTGAAAATGTCATGCATATTACTATATAATAATATTCCTTAAATTGAACTGGGAAAAGTTTATTTTTTTATTTTTTTTTAACGTGTAAACTCTTCAATCAGTTTTTTAAAAAAAAATACATTAAAGAGTTAGCTACCTCTACACATGTGGATTCAATCCATATCAAAACTGAATTTATCAGTTAAGCAGAGTCCTTCAAACCAATTTGGATATGTAGCTGGACAACCTTTTAGGTATCAAACAGAGCCCTAGATGGTTATTTCCTTCTGTAAACCCAAGCCAGGGAGAGACCTTTATGCAGGCAGCCCAGAGACCAATGTAGGAATCTCTTTCACAGCATCTCTGATTTGGCAAAGAGTTCCTTAACTCAGGAAATGGCCCATTTCATTGCTAAGCACACATTGCATGATGTTAACAAGCTCTTTGTTAATTAATTTAAAACCTAGATTTGTAATTTGTATAATTTCCACACCTGTGTCCTAGTTTTGCCTTTCAGCCAAACAAAACTCTGCCTCCTGTATCCCAAAGCATTATAAACTTGTGAAGACTGCCCTGTACCTTTTATTAATCCTCTTGCCTCCATTTCCTTTAGCCACTTTCCAGCGTGACATGGTTTGTAGATACCTTCACCCTTCACTGACAGTGAACAATGGCAGAGGTATGATTATGGGTAAAAGAATTTTATATTTTGTATATCATTAAAGGAAAAATCAAGCTTATGGAATCCTTTTGGCTATGTCCAAATGTTGCTGCTGAGTTGACTATTTTGGGAAAAGTCTCCTTTTTTGAAGTGGAAGGTATGTCCATTTACTGGAAAGATTAAAAATGTACTATTAGGGACAAACTTTTATACATGCTGAAAGTAATTAGCAAACTGGTTTCTTGTAATTCACAATTATCTATGTGAACAAATACCTTCACTCTAAATATCTAATGAATTAACTGATTTACCTAGAACAACTTTAAATTCATTCCACAGGTATTGACTGTAAACCAGGCATTATGTTAGATGATGTGACAATGAGCAAGAACAGCCTCAGACCTTGACCTTAGACTTGACTGAAGGATCCATTGAGTAGCGATGCACAGTATTAACTGTAATAGGTGTTAAGAAGAAAATTCTTAAGAAGCTACGAGAGGCATATTTAGTCCAATCTGGGGGCTCAAGAAAGGCTTCTCCAAGGAAGTGGCATTGGAGCTGCAGCATAGTGGAAATTAACCAAGCAAAAGCGTGGAAGAGAACATTGTGACAGGGAAGCAACCATGGGTTGAGGATCTAAAGCAAAAGGAAGCAAGGTGTGACTTGAGTTAATTTGAGCCCATTTTGTCTTGGAGTTGTGGCAGGGGAGAGGGGAGTAATTGTACAAGATGAATCAGAAAAGTTTGGAGGAAACCAAGCCATGCAGGGCCTTGTCTTCCTTATTCTAAGAATAATAAGGAGTTTCCAATGAATTTTTTTTTTAATCAGAGAAGTCTTGGTATTGAAAGATCACTATGAATTTTTTATTATTAATCAGAGAAGTCTTGGTATTGAAAACGTCACTCTGGAAGTACTATGGAGAATGAATCAGAGCAGTGTTCCAGGAGGATATCTGAATAATCCAAGTGAGATGTGAGAATGAGGGTGCAACAGTGGGGTCTGCAGAGATGAAGAGGGGTGGACAGATTTGAGAGACATTTAGGGGGTTAAATGGAAGGAACTTGATGGATGGGATGCAGGGGCTGAAGGAGAGCAACTTGTCAAGGGTGATCACTTGAGTTCTACCTTGTGCAGTTGATTGGACAGTAATGCCCTTGATTGTGACTTGAACACAGAGCAAGGAGTGACTGTAGGAAGAAAGCGAAGGAGTTTGATTCAGAACATGCTGAGTTTAAATGTCATCAAAACATCCTAGTAGACAGGCCTGGGTTTAAGAGTGTTGGGCATGTAGATAATAATCAAAATTAAAACTCCCCCTTTACTATCCCTTGTAGAGGGCACTACTAAGTTTGGTAAAATGTGTAAATTTGTGGTATACAAACACCCACTGCCCTCCACACACATATATCATTACCAGTGAGGCTAAAGAATAGTTAAACTCTGAGGACATTTGGAATATTTATGCATCTCTTCATTTCAAGCAGACCTACTCCCCATAGTAGACGTTACTGAATGTGGAGGTTTCTTCAGCTGACCAGAAAGCGCTTAAGGACATTAACCTATGCAGTTAGCTTAAGGGAAATGATTCTTGGCAAGTTATTCCTTGCAGACTGGAATGTGAATTCACTACTTGCCTTTCCCCCTTCTTTTGAAAAAGCACTTCCCAGGACGTCCCTTCTAAGAAATGGCTCTAGCTATTTAATTTGCTCTCTCAGATTGGGAACTAAGAGGCAAAAGGACAATTGAACTGAAATGGGTCTTTTAGGTTGTGTGTATTTCACAAATGAAGAAACTGAGGCTCAGAAAAAGACATGTTTACACAATGCTAGAAGCAATTTCCTCCAACTGTTTTAGTTGTTGTTTTTTGTGCTTTTTTTTTTTTTTTTAACATTTCTAAAGTAAGAATAGAATGCAAGGATAGCATTGGTAGCATGTTATCCACATTCCAGATTCCAAAAGAATACTCTAGTGTACTGAAGTAGAAGACATTGTGTTCTTGGTCTCTCTGCCTTCTGACAGTGCTGCCTGGCAGTTAGTAATAAAATTCTACTCAAGATAGTGTGTTAAGTACTCACTGAAAGTGTCAGGCTCTTCAGAGTGGTTTCCTAGATTAGGGAGTGAGGTAAGCTGCTCATCCTTTTAAAGAACATCTATTTATTTCCAAATTGTAAATAAACTTAAATAGTGTCTTGGTTAAACCTCAAACTCAATGTATTATTCTTAGAACATAACTCTCAGGAAGGTCTTTATTCTCACTGTGAACCCAGGTTTAGCAAGGGCTTTGTCATCGTTATCATCTTATCCAATGGTAAAGAATAAAATATTATTAATAAAAACAGCCTAGCAGCTTGGTTCTGCTTATTCTTTAGGGTTTTAAATCAAAATCAATGTGGCTTTTAAAAGTAAACCCTGAGTAGAGTTTAAAATGCTGAATGTGCATGAATTATGCATGTGTCCCACATGCATGAGGCCCACAGCCTCAGGTGTATTGTTAGTAAATCCAATGCCATAAATATAAATCCATTCCAATAGCTTATTTGAGGTGACTGGGCTGCTGCCCCATGCAACACAATATTAACACAGTGGCTAGAAAAACCACTGTTCACACTGAGAGATGTTGGTATGTGTAGGGGTTGAAGGTGGTCCAGTGATACTGCTATTAATAAAAGCTAAAGTAATGATGATTGAGAGCTCTTCTAAGTTGTTTAATAATTTAGCCACATGCTTTTATGGCAACAATATGTAAGTTCTACTTTAGGCCTCACAAATGGAGAAGACTGGATTCTTTCCCTCTAATAAATCACAATCCACCTGGTAATTTACATGCCTAATTACCACGATGCAAATCAAACAGGGAGCAGTGGGAGAGGTCATAAGCTCTATTCAAATAGGTCTGTTTTATTTTCTTTCAAAGTCCCAGAGAAAATGTTTGTGATGGGGTTGCTATGATGTATGGTGTCTTCTAAATTTATTTGTTTGAGAACTTAAATAACCATTGTACAACAATCAATTGACCGAAACTTATTTATAATTGAACTTAAGGACTAAAAGTTCATCTAGTCCAAACCAGTCTTTTCAAAGTTGTGAAAACCAAGGCTGAAGGAGTTTGTCGTAGGATAATTTTTCATGTTATTAATCCTAAATATGTATGTACACATATATATTCATGCATATTTATATACAATGTAGGATATGTAATATATACAAATACTATATATCATACATATTAGAATCATATATAATATATAGTGCAGATTTATATATCATTTTACATATATGTGTATATATATGCATATATGCATTATATATGTAAATGATAGCAAATTATTTCAGAACCATCAATCAATACTATAATATTACAACCAACTACTTTTGGATTTAAGGCAATCACTTGTCAAAAGAGCTACTTAATTAATTTTCATATCTGTTCTTCCTTGAACGCCATGAGTAAAACGAGTTCTCTTAAGAAGGCTGGGTAAGAATAGCGATGAATAATAGCACTTCCATAGTCCTCAAAAGGTAGCATCACCTAGACTAAGTAATATTTATTATGGAACCATTGCTTCCTTTGGAACACCTATCAAAGTAATTAGCCTACGGGACTGAGCTTTCTGTAATGCAGAGAATGGGCTGATGGAGGGCCTTCATCTTTTATCTCATTCAAAACAGACTCCAAAGAAACAGTGACAAAGAGAAATTTAATTTGTAACTGAGGAGGCAAGATATTAGATAGCCTTGGCAGAATGAGCTTTGAGACTTGCTGGAACTTAAATATGATTCTTTTATAGCAAGGGTTTATTAAACTCAACCATCTCTGTGGACTATCTCTTTGCCAAGATCAATCCCCATTCTGATATTTCCCCAAGGGCTACGCAAACGATAACAGAAAAAGCTTTGGCTCTGTCACTGTAAAACTGTAGGCGTGTTTCATATTTTGTTCGTATAGTAAGCTGTCCCAGGGGAGACATGAGGCTGTGGGAAAAGACAAAGAATCAAATCGATTTCTTAGACTAGGAACAGGGAGGCCACTTTCAGAGGCATCACAAGGTGAGAACAAAGCACTGACTTGTCCTCATGAAGAACCATGAGGTTGATGGATCCAAAGGAGCTTGTACATACAGAGCAGGAAGTGTAAGGAGAATAAGTCTTTCTTAGAGAGTAAACAATGATTACACATTAGGTTCTATTTAACACAATTCTTTCTTCCCAAAGCCTCAAAACATTCTCTATCTTTCCACTCATTTAATCGTCACTGAATTTTTCTGAGGTAAAAACAGACATTTCTTTATGAGGCAGCTATTTGAGTTTCTGATTATCATCCTCTCTCCACATCCACCCAGAAACATCTGAACCAAATTTCACTATATGTACTGACCAATTGGCTTCAGCTAATCAAGGGACTATGCCTGTCATATTAATGCACGTGGTAGAATTTTCTGGTAAATAATACATGGCATGTGTCAAAAGTAATTTTGTGCCAAATCTACCTCACTTCTTCCCCTTTAACCCAGTGCTCAGAGTTGTGTAAATTATGCTTTATTCACACAGGTTAAAAGGACCACTTTAACTTTTCGAGCTAAGATGTTTCTTGTGCTTTTTGTTAACATTCATTTCACTCAAGATACTCCTCTTTTGAATTCAACTCAAGAAAACAAGTTGTTTACTATGACACTTTCTGTAAGTAAGGTTTCAGATTGCTTTCATCACAGAATCTAAGAAATTTGTCTAGGCATCTTCTTGTTGGTATTCTTTTAGATTTAAGCTCAAAGAAGCTTAAAATCAAGCAAAAGAAGAGTTATGGAACTCTAATTCTCTGTGGGACAAAATATCATTGCTGAGAATATGTACATATTCATTACATAGATTTACATATATATAGACATATACACACACAAACACACACACATATATATATCTATTTGGATATGATTGCTCACAAATTTTAATGTAGCAGTCAATAAAATTAATGTCCTCAGTTTATCTTCTAAATATATCTACTGTACTGGGATTTCGTTTCTAATATATTTCAGGTAGAGCTTCATCTAACCAGCTGTGGGTTAGGTCTCATTCCCTTACTTATAGGTAACACACCTATAAGAAATAAGGTTGTTAACATCACTTTCTTGAAGATGGTCTATTTTGTCTGTTTCTCTGAGCACCAAAATCTGGTCACACTCATTGGCTATGTCCATCCTTTCCAGAAAATAATTATCAGAACAATGGTGAGCATTCCCTGACCACTTCCAAGTTACCACTGTTCTTAGGGCTTTCATGTAAGCCCATTTAATTTTGATGACAAATCTATGAGAGGCTATTATTAGCCCCATTTTATGTTTAAAGAAACCATGGCAAAAACAAGGTAACTGGCCCTGAGGCAGGCACATCCAGGCCCTTGTCCTTGGCCTTTGAGCTCTATGTCTTTATCTGTTGTTTCTCTGTTACAACATCAGGCTTTGGTGGCAAGGAATTTAGTTCTTTAGAAGTAGCGCAAAAGGATTTATTGAGAATGTGTATATAAACCCACCCCAAAATAAAAGTGTATCAATTCATTCCACAGGTATTCTAAGCGTTAACGTATACATGAAATGCAAATATTACATAGTCGGAAGGACCTTGTCTTTAGAGTTACCAATTCCTCTTCCTAAACATAATTCCCAACCCTAGGTGCAGTCCATGTTTACTCTATCCATGGCCTTCCCTGCTCACCTGGCCCTTCCATCCCATCACGGGAAGCCCACAATGGTAATAGTCTCTGTACCTAGAACCTGCCCTGTAACTACCCTAACATGTAGCCATTCTATCTATTGCTTCATGATCTTCTCTGGCGGCTTTTCTCATTCCATCTTTATATCTGCACATTGTATATCTGCTTATGATTCTCCCTCTCACGTTGCCAGCCTTTCAGTCTCTTCCTCTGGCCTATGAACCTTGTCATCCATCATCACCTCACAACTGTGCCTATTCTATAAATCAGAGAAGTCCTTGTAGCTTTGAGGAAGAGACTTCATTAGACTTACTCTTTTAGAACTGCTGAACTCACATCCTGTGCCAGCTTTCCTGCCACAGAGGGTGTCCTCGCACTAGGCTGAAGTAGGTAGCCTATGCTCTGATGGTAACTTGCAAGTGTTTCTGTAATTTCTCCATGGAAATAATGTTTGTCTTCCACCAGGCTGCAAAATCTTTGAGTAGAGGAGCCATCTCTCATTTGGGTCACCTGTGCTTAGTACAGTACCTGGCATGTTTTTGGTGTATGGTGAAATGCTCTCTGAACTGAAATCTGTTTTTCTGCAAGGTGAGCGAGGGAGAAGATAGTTTAGCGGAGAGGAAGACCCAAGAATGAGACTCAGGAATAAACCAAACAACACATTAAAACACAAGACTGGAAATTCAGGAAAAATACAGATGGAGGAAGTTCATTACCAGAGATAAAGGAATATTTAAAAACTGTAATGACACAGCATAAGTAGAGGATAAACTAATGTTTAGTAGTACCACTTAAACTAAGGGGAATTAAAAGCCATAAAACCATGATCAAAGATGTTTTGATGCTGATGACAATGTGTAATTAATTATCCATCATTCCCTAAGCACCTAGTATGGTCATAGCAGTATGCTATTCACAGAAAATATTGCATATATGCTTTAAAAAAGTACCCCATAGAAGATTAAAACCCTCCTTGGGAAGATGAAATCAATGCATGAGAAACCATTAGAAAGGCATGAAAAACAGTATTCAATTCACTATTAAATTATGTAATATGAATTAACTGTTTAATTTATTTATCCACTCAAAAATATCAAGCGAATGCTATGTGTATTTTCCTGAATCAGGTACTCATATACAAAAAAAAAAAAAAGATTTGGGAAATTCAGGATGAGGGTATAAAGCATTCTCATTTTGATAGTGTTAATTGCTGTAAGCTTATTAAAGGGGAACCATAACATGACTGCCAAGAAAAAGTCAGATATTAGGTTCAGATGCATTTCGTTGGGTACGTGCTAGCATCTGAAGAGTTGAGAAATTGTAAAATATTGAGTTTTTTTTTCTTTGCATCAAGGTGTTCCTAAACAATTTTATTGATTCTGTGCATTCATAATAGCTCGCAAACTGATAACTCAGCCTTAAAGCAATATCATAAATCAGTCAATTGTCTTGGAAACCCTGAAACCAAACTGCGGCATACAGGATGTTTTCTATAAGGATAATTTGAGATCTGGGCATCAATCTCAATTCAAGAGATTTACTCAGTTCATTTCTGAACTTATTTTCCCTGATGTTTCATTCGGGAAAACTACGTATAAATTGTTGTGCTGTGATGAATCTAAATGTATGATCTAATCCAGCTCCAGGGCTGTGTTAAGTCACTGCTCAGCAGGACACTGCACCTGCGTGGAATGCCAATATGATGAAACACTGGTTATACGAAATAAATTTTAAAGGCTCTACATTTCTAAATCAGGAGGAGCCACTTTTACTGCCCTGAATGTTCTTCCAGATCACAATCTATGGGATTCTAGAAGTGAAATGACGAACAACTCCACTTTGGAATTCTATATATTGAATTATGATTTACAGAATGGTCCATCTCTTTTAAGAGAAGAAAGTAAATTTAGTTTTGTATTTTATTGCCACAAACTTTTTCTCCCACAGTAATGTAATTGTTGTTTGGTGGAAATCAAGGAGCAAAGGAATAAATTAAACAGGGTCTAGCCATTTATTTTCCCACTGGCTTTATCACCAAAAGTAAGTAAGATTGTTTTGAAGTCTATCCCCATTACCCCAACTCAGCCCACCCATGTCCAGGAATACATTTGCTTTGAATCTTCCTAATTCTCCTCTCTAACCCATTGTCAAAGATGTCAGATAAAAGAATTTAGAATTTTCTTCCTTCCTTCCTTCCTTCCTTCCTTCCTTCCTTCCTTCCTTCTTTCTCTCTCTCTCTCTCTTTCTTTCTTTTTTTTAAGACAGGGTCTCACTATGTTGCCCAGGCTGGTCTCATACTCCTGTCCTCAAGCAAACCTCCTGTCTCAGCCTCCCAAAGCACTGGGATTACAGGCATGAGGTACCACACCCAGCCAAAAGCACTTTCTTGAGTTCTGTGTGCAGAGCATTTGTAAAGCCAACAGTATTTCCAGATTAAGCTCAACTATTCATTAAAATTTGTTCAACAAAAGAATTATAAAAATGTAGTTACAAAGACCTCATAATTCCTGCCATAACAGCTTTTTTAAAATGTCTCAATGATTCAACCTAAGAACTTCACTACAATCCAATGCCAGCTAATAGAATGTGAAACAAAGAGCAAAGTACTGTCAGGTAAATAAAATAAAATTATTCACCAAAAACATTTGAGCCTTATACTCAGCTTTAAGATGGCACTCAAAGCTGATTTCTCTGTTGCACAGGTCTGAGCTCCCTATCAGTCAGAAGAATGGCAGAAAAAAAAAAAGTACATTCCAAATTTACATACTGACAGAGCACAAATGTCCTTTTTAAATTTTTTTTGTTTTTTAATTAAGGTATAATTTGCATACAATAAATGCAGATTTAATGTGTATAGACCATAAGTTTCAGTTTTTACATTTTGACAATTTTACACTCATATAATTACCACCCAAATCAAAATATACAACATTTATATTAGTCTAGAGAAATCCATCATGCCTCTTTTTATGTAATCTTACCCCCAGGCAATCACAAGTGTGTGTGTGTGTGTGTGTGTGTGTGTGTGTGTGTGTTTATATGCATATGGATATATATACACAAACATATACCTATGGATATATATACGCACATATGTGGATATAAGAATATCAGATATAGGCACTGCAATTATTTTCTCCCAGTTTCTGGCTTACCTTTTTATTTTTTTTTAAAGGTGACTTTAATAAAAATGATTAATTTTGGTAATTTTAATGTCTGCATTTTGGGGGCTTCAGCTTTCCTTTTCTGTTTCATGCTTCTTAGGTACTATTTAGGAAATCTTTACCTACCACAAGGTCATGAAGATGGCTTCTTGTGTTTTCTTCTAAGATGTCTTATAGTTTTATTTACTTATTTATTTATTTTAAGATGGAGTCTCACTTTGTCACCCAGGCTGGAGTGCAGTGGCATGATCTCAGCTCACTGCAACCTCCTCCTACCGGGTTCAAGCGATTCTCCTGCCTCAGCCTCCGGAGTAGCTGGGATTACAGGTGCCCACCACCACGCCCAACTAATTTTTTTTTATTTTTAATAAAGACAGGGTTTCACCACGTTGGCCAGTCTGGTCTCAAAGGCCTGACCTCAGGTGATCCACCTGTCTCGGCCTCCCAAAGTGCTGGGATTACAGTCATGAGCCCCTGCACTCGGCCTAGAGTTTTATCTTTGTATTTACCACTATGGTCCACTCCAAGTTAATTTTGTGTAAGGTAAGGGTTGAGGTTCTTTTTTTTTTTTTTTGAGACGGAGTCTCGCTCTGTCGCCCAGGCTGGAGTGCAGTGGCGGGATCTCGGCTCACTGCAAGCTCCGCCTCCCGGGTTCACGCCATTCTCCTGCCTCAGCCTCCCAAGTAGCTGGGACTACAGGCGCCCGCCACTACGCCCGGCTAATTTTTTGTATTTTTAGTAGAGACGGGGTTTCACCGTTTTAGCCGGGATGGTCTCGATCTCCTGACCTCGTGATCGAGGGTCTTTTTTTTACGTAAAACCAAGTTGTTCAAGAATCATTTATTGAAAGGATTCTCCTTTGCCCATTGAATTATCTGGGTGTCTTTGTCAAAACCCAATTGATAACAAATGTGCAGGTATATCTTTGGACCCTATTTACTTCCATTTTATTTGTTGATCCTTACCACAATACCACACATTCTTGATTATCTTTGGCTTAAAATATATCTTGAAATTAGCCAGTATAAGACCTCCAACATTGTTGTTCTTTTTCAAGTTTGTTGTGGCTTTTTTAGATTCTTTATATTTCTAGATAAATTTTAGAATCTGTTTGTACATTTCTACAAATAATGGTGGGTTTCGATCAGATTTACGTGGAATTTCTGTGACGAGGTCTTACACATCACTCATTAGATTTATTTCTTTGACGTTTATGTATTTTGGTCCTAATAAAAAATCTTTTTAATTTCACTTTCAATTCTCAATTGTTTGTTTATAGTCTATGTATATCACATGATCTTGCTAAACACACTTGCTAGTTTTAGTATATTTTTGAAAATCTATCAGGATTTTCTACGTAAATGACCATACCATCTACAAATGAAATCAACTTTAATTCTTTTTTTCTCCAATTTTTATGCCATTTATTTTCTTTCTTGCTTTATTGAACTGGCTTTGACTTTCAGCACAATATTAAGAGTAGCATCTCATAAATAGAATTTTAATTTTTATAACTAAAGCCAGAACAAATGTGACTACTAAAGCTCAAACTTCTTGAGAAATTCATAATGCTACCAGTGGTATACAATAATGTCTGTTTCTAAAATTTCAGATATTATTCTTTTGCATCTTCATGGACAGAATGGCTTGATTGATTTAATACTTTTATATAAAATGATTCACGATATATATGCTGCTTTTAGTCAAACTATTGAATTCATTTTTGCTTAAATGTATTGAATACGAATACACTGAAATAAAATTAAGACTGTTGCTGGACTTCAGATACCATTTCTTCATCAAAGAAAATATTTTCTTCAATGTCATTATAAGGCAGGAAAATTTTATTGAAAAATTATAAAAGACTGGTATCATTTTTAAAAAAACCTATTTGCTTCCATTAAGATTATTGTTACTCATCACCATAAAACATAAAACATGAAGAGCACTCTCATATTTTCAAATCTTCTCCCCCTCCCAAATGTAATTATTTAATTTTTATTTACATTACCAAAATTCAAACTATGTAAATTCTATTCTATAACCCATAATTATCTGGACTTGTCCTATTTTTAATTCAGTGCTCACCACCACTTTTTTAATCATGGCTTTTTATTTCTGAGCTCTTTGTTTCAATCTTTACCAGATTTCAGGTGATTTTCCACAAGACTACAAGGGTGCTACATTCCTGTGTGCCTCCACATATTAATATGTCTGCCTGTTCTTTGAGTGCATATGGGTATATCATTGTTCTCAGAACATTGAGACATGGCTTCACAACTGGTGAGGTATAATTCTATTATTTTCTGCCTTAAATGTTTCTGAGCACAAGGCTCCATGTTAGCCTGAACTTTTTACAGTGCATCAAGGTCTTTTGTACTATGATAAGTGAATGTTTTTTCTTCATTGTTGACACTAAATAACTTTATCAGAGCATAACTCAACATTGAGTAACTTTTCACATTTTCCTGTAACTTAATATGGTTTCTCAATTTGCTAAATCTGTTCTTTCTTCATTTAATGAAAATTTTCTGTTTAAAGTTTTGGAAATTGTTTTTGTTTTCCTGTTCCATTTGTAAGATTGTCTTCTTCAAGGACACTTGTTGGCTCATCTTTCTCTGTCCATTGCCTTTTCTCTATTAGCTTTAAAATAGCTTCTCCTTTTCCTTTTCCCCCCTCTCCTCTACTTTTTCTTCTCTCTGCATTCACTCTGATTACTGCTCATCTTCTTTCTTCATTGTTTGGGTTTTATCTCCATCAATTTTGTTCCTGCTATTTCTCTTTCATGTATTATTTTCAATATCAGTGTTTGTTCTTTCCAACTGTAATCCCCCTTAGTAATCTCATGCTGTTTAAATGTATAAATATTCATATTGAGATGATCTGTAGATTAAAATTCATGTGAGGAATTTCTTCTATATCTTTGACTACTTTCTTCTAGGCTAGGTTTTTGTTCTTTTCATTCTGTGTGCTTTTGTTTCTGTTAGTTTCCCTGAACTATTTTGCGAATTTGATATGCCTTCTCACCATAGATCTTTGAAACCAGATTCCTTTTCCAGAATAGTTAACTTCGAGAGCTCACTGTTTTGTAGGATTGGTATGAGTGTGGAGCTCCATGGTAATGACATGGACTCTGATGACTGTGAACATCCAGCACCAGCACATGCATGAGAAGCCCTGGAATGAGATCTGGTACTTGATTCCCCCACCCCCACCCTTCTGCATTTCCATTCTCTCTGGCTCACACTGTCCTTCAAGCACAACAGGCGTGTTTCCACCTTTGGACCTTTGCGTTTGATATTTCCTCTTCCAGGAACACTCTTTGTTACCCACATATTGTATCTCTTGGATACCTCTTTATTTGTGACTGCTTAAATGTAACTTCCTGTGAGAAGGCTCCCAATGTACTTCCTCTCCCCATGCAACCATAACTTCCTATACCATTACCCTCTTTTATTTTCTTCTTAATACCACATATTTTATGACCAACACTGACATCATGCGATATATTTTTAAATCTGTTATTGTTTTTGTTTTTCTGACAGTAGAATGCCCCCATTAAAGTACGACAATATTTCCCATCACATTTTCTTGTCTTCAGAATTCTAAATATGGCTTATAGGTTCTCAATATATATCTGATAAACTGATAAATGAATGATACACTTTCTGTTGATATTGAGAATAAATGAGAATGGACAATATTTACAAATTGTCATCAACAGAAACTGTTCCTTTTTCTTTTTATATATGCCATTAAACAGATTGCTGTTTTATTAGTTTTACTTTGTCTTATTTTCTTTTCCTAAGTTTTTCCATAAAGAATTGAATGGAATAATGAATAATCTGGTGCGAAACTCAGAAACTAACTCTGGAAATGCATCGAATGTTTAGTAAAAGTAACAGTTTCATTTTTTGAACACCTCCTATGATTCATACTCTGTATTGGTTCTTTATAAGCATTCATTTTAATTTCTTATTAACAATTCCATAGATAATTTCTTATCCTAATTTGACAACTAAGAAAACCAGGCTTACCAAATATGAGACTGCACAGCTCATAAGTTCTGGAAAGGTGGTTAAATTCAGGGCTCCCTTATTCCACCACCTGCAACCCTTCTAAAACACCAAGCTTGACAACAATGAAAAGACACGTCTGTTAGTAGAGGAAGGGGCAAGCCTAGTAATCCATACCAGGATTTCTGCTAGACATTGAGGATGTAGTGATAGACAACAGAGGCTCAGCCCTGCCCTCAAGGAGCTTGTAGTAGAGGAGAGACAGTTAACAAGCAATAAGAAGATTGTTACAAAGAAACATAAATTGGTGGCATGATGACATAAGAAACAAACATTTTTAAAAACTTTTTAACCAGAAAGTAAAGAGGTTTTTTTTTTAAGAAATATCTTAGTTGCAGAGGAATCAGGGTATAACCAAAAATGATGATCCACCTATTAATAAGTTCCATACTGTTTATCAAATTAGATTTGAACATCTTCTTTTCCAACTTCCAAAACTCTATGAAAACATTTACCTTTGGTTTTTCCACATGGCACATTCAAAGCTATCTGAGCACTACCAAAATACAGGCAAAGAGTTCTCTCATTTTTCTTTACTTATGTTTCTTGTAGGAAAATAGCCTGTTGCATGGCAAGAGTGATGCCATTTTGAAGCAAAACCATCATGATGATCAGTGTTTGACCCCCACATTCCAAGGTGTTCCACTGCAAGGTCTTTAAACAATGCCTGTAGCGGTCATGAGTCTTGGCAAGAAAGTCTGAGATATGACCAGTTGCACACATCTTTTTCCTAAAGTTACCATATAAAAAAATACTTTGTGGAGGGTGGATAGGGAGAGATCCACTGTATCTCAGCCACCAGAGACATACTTCAGTTCCTAAGTCCATAGTAAATGCTTCTTTCTGAGAAACTGGATTTGTCAGCCTCTCTCTTCAGCCTCTCAGCTCCCTTGGCCTTTGGGGGTAGATCTGCATTTGCCTATTCACCTTGGAACATTCGTCTTTTCCTAGACATATACCCTCACTTATATGTGAAATCCAAAACAGTGGAACTCATAAAAGTAAAGTAGAATGGTGGCTACTAGGGGTGGAGAATAGGACATGGAGAGAAGTTAGCCAAAGGATACAAATCATTCAGGTAGGGAAAATAAATTTAAAAGGTCTATTGTACAACATGGCAATAATAGTTGATAACAATTCATTGTATTTTTGAAAATAGCTAAGGGAGTAAATTTTAAGTGTTGTCACCTCAAGAAAAAAACAATTAGTATATGAGATAATGCCTATGTTACTTAGCTTGATTTAGCCTTTCCACAATTTATACATATGTCAAAATGTCAGGTATACAATAAGCACATATATAATTTTATTTATCAATTTAAATAAATAAATCAAAGAGCTATTACAACTCTTTAGGTGGTAGGTATGACAGGCATTTTAAATCTTCGCCTGTGATCCTAACAGCAACTATATCTAATAGGAATTGTTATCTCTATTTTATGAGTATACTGAAGCTCAGGGAGTTAAATAACTGGCTTTCATTTAGCTGCCACAATATCACTTAACCAGTAAACTGAGGCTATATATGAAGAACAAGGTCAACTATCACAAAGGATGGTCTCTATTGAAGCAGGCATAAACTTTCGGTTGCTGAGCTGTGAGAATGCCTAAGAGCTGGTACCATGAAACCCAAAGTGGTCTTGGGCTTCTGGCAACACATATTTACTTGTTAATTAATCTCTGCAAGTCATACATTTTTGTCTTGGTATTACACCTCGAGTACAAGTGCAAAAATTTCTCTAGGTCAAGACTAGGATCTGACAACATTTTGTATCATGATATTTTGTATAACACTGCTGTAAAATACAGATTCTTATCCATAATAGAGAACCAATAAATATTTGCCAACTGATTGTTAGAGACAAGAAATATTTACCCCCACAGTATTTATTTCACATATGCATTACCCTTATGTTTGAGAAAAATGGAATTTCCTCATATTGTCTATGTGGGTTGAAATGACTGATCTGTATTATCTATTTTGTTTTTACACTAGTTTCTACAGAAACAGTTACATTTTGAAGGTATGGAAAGTTTTTATTTCTTGATGTTTTCCCTGAACAGTTTTTGGCTTTTAGCTTTGGAACTGTTCCAATGGAAATACTGGTAACCAATTAAGATTTGGTAACCCAGTATCTTTTTTTAATATGATGACTAGTTATATGAACACAGATTGGTGATAAAAATATGTTTAAGAGAATAACAGCAGATTTGTCTCACTAAGTTGAATTGAATATCAGTCATATCTGATGTGATGGCATCTCATTAATAGGAATGAAGCATTTATAATAAAATCAGTGAATATGAACTTTTATTTTACAAAATAAAAAGTCACTAACAATACCCAATCAAGTTGTCACACTAGCCTATGACCATTGACGTTATTCTTTATTATAGAAATGAGTAATAAAAAGTCTCTCTCACACACAAAGATGTTCCAGACTTAACACTTTCCTAGCTTCTCATTGTCCCAAGGATCCTTTTTAATCTTTTAAATAGGATTTATAATGCCCTTTTTGATAAGATGTAATGTGTCAACCTGACTGGATGACAGGGTGCCCAGATATTTGGCTAAACATTATCTCTGGGTGGGTCTGCGAGGGTGTTTTTGGATGAGATTAACATTTGAATTGGAGGACTGAGTAAAGCAGTTTCCTCTCCTCAGTGTAGGCTGGAATCATCCAATCCTTTGAAGGCTTCAATCAAACAAAATGCAGAGGAAGGGAGAATTCACCTCTTCTGCCCGACTGCTTGTGCAGTCTTCTCCTGCTGTCAGACTGAGACCCATGCCATTGACTCTCCTGGGTCTCCAGCTTGCAGACAGCTGATCATTGGACTTTTCAGCATCTGTAAGTACATGAGCCTAATTCCTCCTAATAAATCTTCCTCCATCTTACCTCTTAGTTTCTAGACCATCAAAAAAATAAAGTGAAATTTTTAAAAACATAAAGAAAAAAATAAAGGCCATTTCCTTTCTACTTTATTCAAGAGAAAATTATGAAATCACTACTCTACACCAGGCAATACTCAGGAATGTGGAGATAATACATTGGTAACCTCATGGAGCTTATACTCTAGATGGAAGAGAAAAACTTCAGTAACAAGTAAATATTGATATATAATACATTAAAGGCTGACCTGTGACAAGAAAAGAAAACAAAGCAAAATAAGAAAGATCAGAAGTATGGGGGTAAGGGAAGGTGTAATTTTAAATAGAGTGGCCAGGGTAGGTGCTTCTGAGATGATATTTTGAGCAAAGACTTGAAGGAGACTGGGAGATAGCCATGGAGATTTTTGAGAGCAAGGCCAACTTACCCATTAGGCACAGCAGGCACAGAGCTTAGGGCCCAAGATACTTTTAGGAGCGTATAAAGATATTTTACCTTCTTTATGAGTCAGAAGGGAAAAAATGAACTCTTGGGGTTGGAGATAATGTTTAAGTGTTTACCCTGGATAGATGATAGTTTTTTTCTACCAAAACAATTCCTAAATATACATTTTATATACGTTATATTGATTATATATTGTATACACACATACGTATACGTGTGTGTGTGTGTGTGTGTGTGTGTGTGTGTGTGTGTGCATAAAACATATATTTGTTTTTTGATGAAACACAGGGCTAATAGGGCAAGGACCTAAGGCCCAGGAATGTCATAAAGCAGCCCTATTTGAAAACAGTTTCTAGTCAACAGTTGCCATTATCATCAGAATGGAATACATTAATGAGATGTAATTGGTATATCAACTAGAAATAGTTTGGGGAAGAATTTGTAGGGCTTTTAGAGACTTATAGAACCAAAAATCTTTATCATTTAAATCCTAATATTGTACCTTAATTCCTCAGTTATCTAATTAGACCTGAATAGGTGAGTTACAATGGTTAAACAGCATTTTTTTCAGTTGATAGTCCACATATTTAATATTATTTCTTGTCAGTTTTCCCAGTATCTCTGATGACAGTCACTTGCATGGAAAGCCCTCCATGTACTTTATACAGTTAGTACAGACAGCCTTTAAAAAATAAAAAACTCACCCTAATGATAAAAGTAGAAGAGAATTGGTGGTAATTTATTTCAATGAGCAAATCATAAAATGGTGATGAGGAGTTAAATTTACCGGATTCAGAATATCCCAAAGGCCAAGAAAAAAGTGTACTTCAGTCTCCACAGAGAAAAGAAAGGAAGGCAAAAAGAAAGATGAGAAATTAAAATGTTTGGATGGCAAAAACAAGTGATGAAAGATAAGGAGCCAGGAAAACACACAAAGTATCACCAACTGAATTCAATAATTAATGGGCATTTTAAAGTAGAGGTCTGGTCAGCCGGGCGTGGTGGTTCACGCCTGTAATCCCAACACTTTGGGAGGCTGAGGCAGGCACATCACCTGAGATCAGGAGTTCAAGACCAGCCTGGCCAACATGATGCAACTCCGTCTCTACTAAAAATACAAAAAGATTAGCCGGGCGTGATGGTGCACACCTGTAATCCCAGCTACTTGGGAGGCTGAGGCAGGAGAATCACTTGAACCCCAGAGGCGGAGGTTGCAGTGAGCTGAGATCATGCCACAGCACTCCAGCTTGGGTGACAGAGTGGGACTCCTTCTCAAAATAAATAAATAAATACATACATACACACATACATACATACATAAAAATAAAAAATAAAGTGAGAGGTCTGTTATTTTTGTGGAGGTTTTGGGGAAATTTAAAATTCCATTCAGGTTCAAACTTTTTTTTTTCTTTCTCATTTTATTTTCAGTCCCTATATTCCTTGTGCTTTAAAATATGAGTTCCCTATCACCTAGTAATTAAATTCAAATTCTATAATTAACTTATAAGAAAACTTTTCTCATCAGTTTTTAATAAATGTACTGAGTTAATCTCTGGGTGGTGCTGGTGGTGAATGTGAGGTGGGGGCTGGGGATTGAGATTGACTTGCTGGCTGATTGATTGACTAATTCAGGACATAGCAAAGAAGAGGACCATGGGTAAGTCCTGAAGCAAAACTACAGACAGCAGAAACAGGTGGGCTTCCTTTCATACAATTTCTGACATGGATTTTTTTTTTTAACTGCTCTTCAATCTCCTTTATTACCGTATCCTTCAATAATCTCTCCCTAGGTTCCAGCCTCTATTCTACCATAGGTTTACAGATACGGAACAGTATCATAGATATATAACAGCAAGTTTATCATCTTTAACACTTGTTAAATAAATCAAAGAGTAGCAATGGGACAAGTGGTGCCTAAGAGAAAATGGAGGAGTCAAGAAAAATAATACGTATTATACAGAACTGTCTTGAGGACTCAAGAGAGTATATATCTACATCTACATAATTATGTATAGCAAATGTTGAAATAAATTAGTGCTTACTTGACATGTTTTTCTTCTTTCATCCTTATTTCAATATCAGAAAAACTTTCAATTAAAAGAATAAGCCAAATGTGCCAGGTTAGTGGTGGCTACCCATAGCTAAATGGAACATGAAGAAGCTATTCAGAAACCCTTTCTTTCCAGTCTCCCCTCGTCTATTCTCCCATGTACATTGCTAAACCTCTCTTAGACTTTTATCATAACAATTACAATATTGTCTCCATCATGACTATGAGTATTTTAATCTTCCCTCTTAATTGTATCTGTTTAAAGTCCCCATCTTATTTACTTTTGTGGACTGCTTGCTTCTAAAACAGTGCCTAGAAAAGTAAAGGTGCATAGTAAGTATTTGGTTAATTGAATTAAATTTGAAGAAATTAATTTATTCCTTTCATATGTTATACTTCAGAGCCTAGGAAATTTATTTCATGGTTAAAAGGTGTAGCATACATAACTTTATTAAGTGGCGACTCAGAGATAATGAAACATTTCTCAATGTATTTATGATTTGCCAATTCTTGGGAAATGTTCTATTATTAATAGATTTGTCACACAGAGGATCAGGAGAAAAAGTTGGCGAAGAGACTTCAAGGAGAAAAGAGTACAGAACTAAAATTGTGGATATCACTGGCATATGGATTTGCCCCTCTTCACTGAACTCAAAGGACACTCCATTCTCCTGGAGAGTTATTTGTAACTATGGATGGCCAGATAATTGCCTGTTAAATAGTGAATGAAAATTGTCAGGGGGATGAGGGAAAATGCAAGTCATTTACATTCCTCAGCAGAATTTGCAAACTAGTTCTACAACTCAAAGTAGTTTAAAGGAAAGTGGGTTGAAGGGTCATTGAAAAGAGATACAACTGATAAAGGTTGATTGGAATTTCTTGTCATATTAGCCAGTTAATGATGTATTTAAATTATCCTGTAGGCGCTTTCATTATACCTTAATGTTCAGAATTTAACTCTTTTAGTTTGAAAGTCCTAGATAAATTTTTCACATTTAAAGATGAATAATTCAGATACAGGACAGAGAGTACTGCTTAGAGCTACATACAAGATGAAGAGCAAAGGGTGATCTGTTGACAAGCTGAGGAAGTCGGCAAAGGTAGGCCCTTTCTCACAGCGGCATTTGAGTTCTGCATTGGTACAGTTTTTATGATCACTTTTGGCACTGTTTTGGGAAAACAAGTACCTGTATACCCTTTGACACAGCACTTCCACCTAGAAATCTATTATTAAAAATGCTTAACATGCTCCAAGATAAAAGTACAGGTATTTTTTATTACAGTATTGTCTATAATAGCAAAATACTGGCAACAAAATAAATTCCTGGCAATATGGGGCAAAGTTAAATTAATTATGGTATAATCCAAGCAACTAATAGCATACAACAGATAGAAAAAAATTACGTGAAAATCTATGCATAAAATATTAAGTGAATAAAATAAGTCACAGAGTAATCTATAGTACATATGTTTTAAAAATCCTTTATATGCCCATTAAAAAGGTACAAAAGTGGCAGGCATGGTGGCTCATGCCTGTGGTCCCAGCACTTTGGGAAGTCAAGGTGTGTGAATCACTTGAGCCCAGGAGTTCAAGACCAGCCTGGGCAACATGGTAAGACCCTGTCTCTACAAAATACAAAAAAAAAAAAAAAATTAGCCAGGCATGGTGGCACTTGCCAGTGGTCCCAGCTACTTGGAAGGCTGATATGATTTGGCTGTGTCCCCACCCATATCTCATCTTGAGTTATAGTTTCCATGATTCCCACTGTTGTGGGAGGGACCTGGTCGGAGATAATTGAATCCTGGGGGCGGTTTTCCCCATACTGTTCTTGTGATAGTGAATAAGTCTCAGGAGATCTGACAGTTTTTATAAGGGGAAACCCCTTTTACTTGGTTCTCATTTTCTCTCTTGCCTGCTGCTTTGTAAGATGTGCTTTTCACCCTCTGCCATGATTGTGAGGCCTCCCAGCCCTGTGGAACTGTGAGTCCATTAAAACTCTTTTTCTTGGCCGGGCCCGGTGGCTCATTCCTGTAATCCCAGCATTTTGGGAGGCCGAGGTGGGCGGATCACGAGGTCAGGAGATCGAGACCATCCTGGCCAATATGGTGAAACCCTGTCTCTACTAAAAATGCAAAAATTAGCTGGACGTGGCAGCGCGTGCCTGTAATCCCATCTACTCAGAGGCTGAGGCAGGAGAATAGCTTGAACCCAGGAAGCGGAGGTTGCAGTAAGCTGAGATAGCGCCACTGGACTCCAGCCTGGTGACAAAGCTAGACTCCATCTCAAAAAAAAAAAACAAAAAAAACCCACCTCTTTTTCTTTATAAATTACCCAGTCTCAGGTATGTCTTTATTAGGAGCGTGAAAACGGACTAATCCAGAGGCTGAAGTGGGAGGATCACTTGAGCCCAGAAGGTCTAGGCTACATTGAGCTGAGATCATACCACTGCACTCCAGCCTGGCGACAGAGTAAGACCCAGTCTCAGACAAGGTGTAGAAGCATATTTTTTTTCTTTTAACTTTTATTTTAAATTCAGGGGTACACATGGAGGTTTGTTACATACATAAACTTGTGTCACAGGGGTTTTTTGTACAGATTATTTCATCACCCAAGTATTAAGCCTAGTACCCATTAGTTATTTTTCCTGATTCTCTCCCTCCTCCTGTTAGAGTAAGTAACTAAACAGACATGGGCAGGGCAGGGCAGGGCAGGGCAGGAGAGCCCCGCACACCACCAGGAATATCAGGCAACCATCAGGTGATGGTCAGGGGGTTAACTGTCTCTCGGAAATAATAATTGGTTGCAGCCGGTACCAGGGAAAGGCAGTAGAAAAAACCTGAAACTGGGCCGGGCACGGTGGCTCACGCCTATAATCCCAGCACTTTGGAAGGCTGAGGTGGGTGGATCATGAGGTCAGGAGTTCAAGACTAGCCTGGCCAACGTGGTGAAACCCTGTGTCTACTAAAGACACAAAAACTTAGCCAGGCATGGTGGCACGTGCCTGTAATCCCAGCTACTCAGGAGGCTGAGGCAGGAGAATCACTTGAACCCGGGAGGCGGAGGTTGCAGTGAGCTGAGACTGTGCCATTGCACTCCACCCTGAGTGACAGGACAAGACTCCGTCCAAAAAAAAAAAAAAAAAAACAAAAGAAAGCAAAAACCTGAAACTGGTGATTAGTAGCTTCCTAAGATCTCAGGACTTGGGCGAGTGGGCTCAACTATGCACACTAAGAGGCAAAAAGGTAGAATTTAACTGGTATATGACCTTCCTCTAGGAACACTGGACTGGTAAGAGAAGAATGCCTCAAGTGAGCATCTGCACAACTTCAGTAAACACACTGCACTTGCAGCTCCTCACGGGTGCTGGCAGGCTACTGTGCATGCAAACAGCACACCCCAAGGGAAGAATCAGGGGAGAAGGGACACGACCCCCTGGAAGCATGCCAACATATAAAACCGTAAGTCAAAGATCAGACTGCACACTTGTCTTTCAAGTTGCTTGCTTGGCCTTCTTCCAACTGTATTTCCTTCCTTTTGTTTCTGCTTTAGAGCTTTTTAATAAACTTTTGCTCTTGCTATAAACCTTGCCTTGGTGTCTCCTTCTGCTTTATGCCCCTCAGTTGAATTTTTTCTTCTGAGAAGGCAAGGATTGTGGTTGCTGCAGACCCATACATATTTGCTGCTGCTAACACTCCCACCCTCCACTCCAATAGGCCCCAGTGTGTGATGCTATCCATGTGTCCATGTGTTCTCATCACTTAGCTCCCACTTATAAGTGTGAACATGTGATATTTGGTTTTCTGTTCCTGCTTTAGTTTGCTAAGGATAATGGCCTCCAGCTCCATCCATGTTCCTGCAAAGGACATAATCTCGTTCTTTTTATGGCTTCATACTTTAAAAGAAATATGCATTATCTTGTAACGAAAGCTTCAAAAATAGTTTGTTGATGTTTGTTGTTACTTAGTAATTTTGGGTTAAGAGTTGTAACCCATAAAATTTATGGGTACATCCTCCAAAAATTTAACCCTGTGATTACCCTACAAAATATGGAGTAAAATTCAGATAAGTATTTTTGTTCAACATTCCACAGATCTTCAAATGTATACTTCCCATTCTTTATTAATATAATCAGTTTTTTAAGAGTCAAGAACATAAGTTACCAATTTATTTAAAATCATGTTCTAGAGCAACTTTTATATGACCTCTGCTACTTTTCTCATTAATCCCTATTTCTGTGTTAATAGTGTCCTATTTATAATAAAATATCTCATCCGGTAGTTTGTGTGTTACATTGTTACAAGCTACTCAGCTTTTAATGAGCTACAATAGGCAATATTTCTAAAAAAAAATTGTGTCTGTGACTGTCAAGTTTTTCAAGATGCTACTTATACTCTTCCCCAGAGATTTTCTCTTCTTTCACATAGAGATGTTCTTTCCTTCCTTGAGGTAAATTAGAAGAGGTAGAAAGGTCTGTATTTTGGGAAGTATACAGTGTGGTTCCTGCATCAGCATCACTTGGGAACATGTCAGAAACATTAGTCCTCAGGCCCTGCCCAGACCTGCTGGATCTGAAACCTGGGGTGGCAGGGTCTGAGGGGGCAGGACTCAGGACTCTATGATAACAGGCTTTTTAGGTGATTCTGAGACACACTCAAGTTTGTGAACCACTGAGATATAGACCACAATGAGATTTTTTTTTTGTAAAGGAGATGGTGCTTTCCTATTTAGCTTCCTCTTTCATCACTTAATTATTTCAAAACCTAGAGCTACATGTAAAACTATACATCTTAAATTGACTCTTCTGTCATCTTCAGCCCCTAAGTACCTCTGTTTTCGAACCTTCAGAGTTGTTTTCTTGAATACCTTATATTCCCTAATGAGAATCAGAACCTTTTGCAAAGTATGAAAACAAAAGATTTGTTTAAAAAAACATTTAAGCAGGTTTTATTATAATTGCATGGCTAACAATAATATCTCATTTTCTATACTGAGTAGAAATTAAATTTGTGAGGCTTCACACACAGACACAAAAATACTAAGAGGGAAAACACTCCATCTTACTTATGTTACTTGGAAAGGCTTTTGGAACCAAAATATTTAGTCTAGATTTAAAAAGTTAAAATTATTCCATTATTCTCTCTAAATCCAGAGATGTCAAATAAAACCAAGTTAAATCTAAATTTCAAAAAGCATGATCAAACAAGATTTTTATAAATATTATTTTAGAAATAAGTTTTTTCTACTACCTGCTCACAGAGTCAGTGTGTAATTGTTTCAAATTTAATGAGTGGCTGGAAGGAATCACTATATTTAATTTTCAAGTAACACATAACCAGCAAATGCCCCTGAAAACATCACTTGGGAGGAAGAAATGTTTTTTTCTTTAAGAGCACAGTGGAAAGTTAGCACCTACTGAGTGGGAAATATTAATCACTGAGTTTTGTGTTGTTCTCCTCTCCAAGTAGTAAGAGTCTGAGTAACTTTCTACTTCTTTAGTATACTACTTGGAAAGAAAATAGAGACCACAAGAAAACCGCAAACTTTTGAGAATGATTTCAGCAGCAGACTCTGAAAGGGCAAGACATAAAATTCCTCTCTTGAGTTCTTGGGGTTTCATGTAAATAAGACTTCAACATTGGACGATACTAAAATTCTGATTCCAAGTCCTACCTCCCAATTGAGTTGTCAGTTATTCCAATTTAACAGACCTGAGTCAGAGCCCAGTAATTTGCATTTTTAACAAATATACTGAGATGATTCTGATAAGATGGTAAAGAGTCCAAACTTTGAGAAAACTGGCCATTATTTGATGTCTCCTTAGCTCACAAGAATAAGAAGCTGTAAGTGTAAGTAGTAGTTGGTAGATTTGAAATGCTAAGCTAGGATTTTCAAAAAATTGTTTTTGGAACATTAGTTCTGGAATGTTCCAGGATTCATGTGCCAAAACCAAAGAGTTCTGGGTCAAAATGTTAAGAAAATGCTGCATTCCAAATATTCCCTTTGGGAATTTGATTCACAAAGTCCACTAACATATGGAAGGCCCTTGAAAAGTACCTCGATTTTTTAAAAGTTTTATATTTTGCTTAATAATTAAACTTCTTTGCAAGAAAAGGTTTTTTTTTTATCTTTATAAATTTAGTGACATTTCCCCAGAAGAGTTTTGTGTTATTATTATTACTTTTTTTTAATAATACTTATTTGGAACAGGTTAGGCTAATCTGTAAAATTCAATCCTGTTGCCAATAGAAAGAAAACATGTATTAAGTAGATGAGTGGGAAAAAAAATGGTTTTGGGCGTGGACCTAAATCAGGAAGCTTCTATAATCTCTCCATCATAAAAAAGAGCAGAATTGGCGTGGCACAGTGGCTCGAGCCTGTAATCCCAGCACTTTGGGAGGCCGAGGCTGGCGGATCACCTGAGGTTGGGAGTTTGAGACCAGCCTGACCAACATGGAGAAACCCTGTCTCTACTGAAAATACAAAATTAGCCGGGCGCTTTGGCACCTGTAATCCCAGCTACTTGGGAGGCTGAGACAGGAGAATCGCTTGAACCCAGGAGGCAGAGGTTGTGGTGAGCTGAGATTGCGCCACTGCACTCCAGCCTGGGCAACAAGAGCAAAACTCCATCTCAAAATAAAAAAAAAAAAAGGAGCAGAATTTATATTCTCTTCACTCCATCTTTGCACACCAGAGAATGCAAAACAGCACTCTGGTGAGAGAGAAGAGCTGCAGAGTCAAGAAATTTGCAGATTAAGGGCAGTTAACACTAATAAGTAGTACTTTGGACAAACACAACTCAGTGTGTTATCAAAACACTTTATGTTGACTTCCACAGAATTTATGCAGTTGCATAAGATTTATCCCCTCCAACTAGAAAACTCTGAAAGCCTTGTGCCTTTTCTGATCACTCTTTCATGATAGAAGTATTTTGGACTTGGTCTTAATTCAGGAATTTAAAATGTCCAGTCCAGTACATTAACAATTTTTATCATACAATATACATTTATGTTACTGTATATTATATAGTATATTATTATATACTATATAATAGCATATACACTATAAAATTATCATTGTAATAACAGCTTGATCTTCATTCAAAAGTAAGACTTCACCATAAACCTGCCCAACCTCCTCATCTATGACTCTGTCAATGGGAAAAACTGTGTGGACGCTTCCTTCTTTCTCACTTATCTTATTCTTCAGCTGCTCTTGTGGAGCCTTCAGAGGTTGAAGCACCAAGAAGGAGAGAGGGAAGAAGAGAAAAAGAAACATACTTTCTTATTTGAGTAATATACTGTATCTTACCTTCACACTCTGAGCCAGGTGGATGCTTGAAAATGCTTCCTTGTTTTATGGGCATTCCCATTTCTTGGAGGGACCTGTGCTATCTCCTCTGACTGAGACTTTCAGGCACTGGGCAGTACATTCTCTCACCCTGGTTTTGCTCCTCTTTAGTGCAGATTTTCAGGTGATCTGCTCCCCTACGACTCACTAATTGGAGTCCCATTGGCCCCCCATGTGACCCTCTTGGATAAAAATCAAAATGGCTCTCGTCTTGTTTGTTTCTCCTGTTTGCCCCCAGTCAGGTTTATAGATTGACGCATCCTCTACCTTGGTAAGTCCTGAGAGTGGAGACAGATTTTAAAACGATAACATCTTTGCTTCCAAAGCAGCTTGCTAGCCTTCCTTGCCCTCTAGATTTCATGAGCAGATATCAGAACAGTCCATTGTGTCTGCCATTCACCTAACAAGTTCTCCATTAGCCTATGGAAGCACCTCTTTTAAATTTGAAATCAAGTAGGCAGCATCCCACTTCCTTGGGTGGGTAGGTGGAAGAACTTAAAGCACAGAGCATGCTCTAGCCCAAGGAAGATTTCCAAATTAACTGTAGGATATCCAGTTACATTTGAATTTCAGGTAAACAACAAATGATTTTTCTTAAATATAAGTATGCCCCGTGCAGTATTTGGAACACAATTATACCAAAAAATTATTTATTGTTTATCTGTGGGGTATTTTATCTGACATCAACCAATTCTCCAGCCCTCCAGATACCAACAAAGTGTTGCACAAATTCTGACTCTAAAGTTAGTGCAGACCCCACAATGAGGCAGCATCATTGTCTAAGGTAGATACCTGGGGTTTGTCATCTCACACCAAGAAGATTAAGGACATAGACGCACACGAGGAGTGGGTTTAGGAGTGGAGGTTTAATAGGCAAAAAAAAAAAAAAAAAAGAGAGAGAGAAAGGAGAACAGCTCTCTCCCTTGCAAGACAGGGGCTTCCCAAAAGAAAATCCATCCAGCAGTGGACTGCACTAGATTTTATTGGCAGGCCTGAAGAGGTGGTGTCTGATTTACATAGGGCCCACAGATTGGTTGGATCAGGTGTGACATTTAAATAGCACTGGGAGAAGGGTGACCAACCCATCCTGATCTTATTATCCAAATGGGCTTTCCACTTGGCCGGTGCCATCTCGTCTGCGCCTTACTGTACACGTGGCTTGGCAAAGAGAAGGGAAGATGGAGCCACCATTTTGAACATGCCTACTCCCAGGTAGCCTTTTCCCATTGGCACAACGGCCGCATTCACCAGTGCAAGCTCCCAGCTTGCTTATCGGTCTGCAGCTCAATTTTACAGGCTGCCCTTTATTAGAAAAGGAAATAATTTGGGGGCTGCTTTTCATTAAAAGGAAAACCTTACCAAGGACTTTCCTTACCCTCACTAGCTGCCTAAATAATTTCTTTTTAACTCCTATAACGACAGCATAAGGTCTCAGGACCACAAGGCTGCCCCCACTTCAGAAACCAGCCGCAAGTCCCAGGTTTTCTGTACTTCTGACTGAATGACTATAAATTAGAGGTTCCTATTGCCACCTCCTCAGGTTCAATAATTTGCAAGAAAGAACTCAGGAAAACAGTTGACTTATGTTAAAAGAGAAACCTTAGACAAATTAAATTTCACAATGTTTAACTGAGAAAAGAAAAATCTGCAAATCAAGCAGCCTTTGACCAAGAATAGGTTCAGAGAGACTCTGCTGCTGTTGCATGATAGGAGAGGATTTATGGACAGAAAAAAGAAAGTGACATACAGAAAACAAAAGTGAGTTACAGAAACAGCTAGATTGGTTACAGCTTGGTATATGCTTTATTTGAGCCTAGTTTGAACAGTCACCCACTCTTGATTAGCTGAAGCTCAGTGATTGTCACAGGAGTAGGTTACAGAATGTTTACATATCAGTTAGGTTACAGTTCATGACATATGGAGAAACCTTTGGGCCAAACTTAAAATTTGCAAGGAGGCAGCTTTAGGCTAAGCTTAATTTAATACTTACTTTTACTAGCTTATTATAAAGGATACATCTCAGGAACAGCGAAATGAAAGAGAGGCATGGGGCAAGGTACTGGGCGAGCTGGGAGGTGCACAGAGCTTCCATACTTTCCGGGTTTGCAATCCTCAGAGCATCTGGATGTGTTCACCAACCCCAAAACTCAGCAACTCAAAAGTTTTTATAGCATTTAATCATCCTTCTCCCCCCAACTTCCAGGAGGTCCAGGGGTGGGATTCAAAGTTTCAGCCTTCTAATCACTTTATCTTCCTGGTGACCAGCCCCGTCTTGAGGCTAGAGACTCTACCTCCATTACATTTTTAGACAAACTAAAATGTGATCAAAAGAGACTTTTTTAGAATAACAAAAAACATTCCAATCACTCAAGAAAATCCAAGAATTTTAGGAACTCTGTGGTAGGAACCAGAGACAAACACTAAATATACTTCTTTCTGTACCATAATCTGAAATTCAATGTAACTGTGTAATCACCCAACAGGTTCTTCTTGCCTGATGCATGGATAAAATCAATATACTGAAACATGGCAGTATTGCAGTAGAGAAAGTGTTTAATTAACACAGGGTTAGGAAAGTGGATTTATTTATTACTCAAATTAGCCTCCCTTAGAACTCAGAGGCTAGGGTTTTTATGGATAATGTGGTAGGCAGGGGGCTGGGGAATGGGTGCTGCTGATCATTTGGGGATGAAATCATAGGAATGTGAAAAATAGTCCTCATGTCCCAAGTCAGCCTCTGGGTGGGGCCCACAGGACCAGTTGACTCATGAGTCACAGGCCCAAGTGGAGTCAGTCAGTTGCCTGAATGCAGAAGTCTGAAAAACATCTCAAAAGACTAATCTTAAGTTCTACCTAAGATGGTAGAACCTCATATAGATAAGTGGTGTTATCTGTAGGAGCAATTGGCAAAGACACAAATCTTGTGACCTCAGGCCACATAACTCCTGAGAAGTGGGGGTTATAGAAAAGCAAGCTAGGAAACAGTGGCTGGTAATCATTTAACCTTGCCTATATCTTAGCACAATTCAGGCCTCTCCCATAATCCTAATCTTGTGGTTTTACAAAGGCAGTTTCATTCTTAGAACAAGGAAGGGGTCAGTTTTAGGGCGGGATATTATCATCCTTGCTTCAAAGTTAAACTATAAACTAAATTTCTCCTGTACTTAGCTTAGCCTACAACCAGGAATGAGCGAGGACAGCCAGACTATGAGGCTAGAAGCAAAATTGAGTCAGACATGCTAGACTTCTCTTGCTCTCATATTTTTTGCAAAGGAGGTTTCAACTGGACATCCTGTATTTTTATTTGCTAAGTCCAACAGCTCTACACCAGATAAATCTCTTAAATATTTTCCTTCCATAGCCACTCTCCAAATATTTTATCCTCTGAAATTGGCTGATGGTTACAAGAGATGTGAAACCGTTTCTCTGGATTTTTTAGCTCACTCTGCTTGAGCACCTTACTTTAGAATTTCTTATCTACTGTGCCCTGGCACATTAGTGGAAACATAATTTAGCAACCTGTCATGCTAACTATTAGCAGTAGGCACTTTGCAGAACATTGGAGATGGCAAATCCTTATAAGAATACTCTATTTTTAAGTGGACTTTGAACATTCACATTAGAGACTGTTTGAAATAACCATAAGGGCTCTGACACAAAGAATTAGTATCCAAGTAACAAACAGCCTAGTATGAGGACAGCATAGTACACAAAGAAGTGAATCAGCAGATACTAAAATGAAAACAAAAGATGGAGATTACAGAGCACACAGGAGCAGCTAGCTAGCTCTGTTAGCTATAGCTATAGTTTCCTATCACTTTCTTAAAGAACATTAAAATTAGTATAAGAACAAACATTCAACATTTACAAGTTTTGCATGTTATATTAAGTTTATTTTATTTTCATTGTGAATTGTCTGCCATTTCTAATGAATCTTTTTTGTTGTTGTTGTTTTCATAAAGAACCAAGTTTTTAAACTCCTGCAAGTATTATTACAGGTGTATATCTGAACCCATACATAGCAGTCTACACCTTGCACCCCATATTATTTTCTGGGCTAATTTCTGTTGGTGAGTTTTGGAAAATGTTTAAGGACCTCAGGTACCAAATTGAGGTAATACAGTTAAGATAAACTCTCAGAAAAGATCTAAGAATTCTACCTGTGTTAGAAAACAGGATTCGGGGATTATGAAAAGATGATGACCTATGCACAGGTCACTTCATATCTTTGCCAATGTTCTTTGGGGATGGTTTCCTAGATGTGTAATTGCTGGGTCAAAAAGTAAGTGCATGTGAATTTTTACTGTTGTCAAATTCTACTCCATAACTGTAGAAATGTATGAGTGTCTGTTTTCCCAGTCTTAGAGCATATGATAAAACTTAGATTTTTGTTAATCTGATAGGTGAGAAACGGTACCACAGGAGAGTTTCGATTTGTGTTTCTCTCATTACACGTGAAGTTAAGCATCTTTATAGGTATTTAAGAGCAATTTACATTATTTTTTCCTTTAGTCTAGCTTTCAATTAGGCATAGGCTTTTCTCAATTTTTAGAAGGATTTCTTATCCTTCTAAATCCTTATATATTATAAGGATTATATATTATATCCTTAATATATTTCTTACATATTAATCCTTTGTTTTTAAGTAGAAATATTTGCTAGTTCGTGATTTGTCAATGATATTGGATATTTTGAATTACATGTAGAAGTTTTTGCCACTTCTGATTTTAAAGAAAATTATCCATATATGTACATAGTTTTCTTGTTTATACCAAGGGCTCTAATCCTATAGAAATTATCCTGGTTTCTGATGTGAAGAATTGATTGAATCTTTCCTAATCTTATCCCAAAATATACATTGAATTTGTTATTTTTCACAACCAGTTATTTAATTGATAGTGCTATTATTGGGGTTTTTTGTTTACTCTTTATTTCTACCTTTTCTTTAATTATTTCATTCTTCTGAGTTTATTTGGTTTTTAATTTAAATTTAAATAGCTACATGTGGCTAGTGGCTGCTGTTTTTGATAGTGCAGCTTAGATTACAGCAACATTGTCATAATATTGATGAGTTAAGTCGTTCACTAGAGAGAGTGAGGGCATAATAGGCTATGGTGTTAGAAGGCAGGAATGTGGTTATTTTTGTTGAGGATGGGTAGTGACCAGAAGGTGGCATGAGGGGGTTTCTGGGGCTTTGTGATGTTTTGTTTCTTGATCTGTCACTGTTCCATAAATATATTCATTCTGTAAAAATTCATAGAGCTGTGCCTTATAGTTTGCACACTTTTCAATATAAATTAAAAGAAAGAATATACTAAGTGGAATTTATTTTAGTCATGCGAAGGTGTTTCAATAATAGTAATATACCATATGATTTTTATAGTTGACGTTTGATAAAATGTAGCACTGATTCCTGACAAAAACATACAATAAAATAGTAACTGATACATTCTTTCTCAATATAAGCATACCTCAGAGGTATTGCATATTTGGTTCCAGATCACGTCAATAAAGGAACTATCACAATAAAGTGAGTCACACAATTCTTTTGGTTTTCCAGGCATAATAAAAGTTATGTTTACACTATATTTTATTCCATTAAGTGTGCCATAGCATTGTGTCTGAAAAGTCAATGTATATGCCTTAATTTAAAAATATTTTATTGCTTAAAAAAGCCAACAAACATCTGAGCCTTCAGTGAGTCATAATCTTTTTTCTGGTGGAGGGTCTTGCCTCAATGTTGATGGCTGTTGACTGATCAGGGTGGTGACTGATACAGTTGTGGCAACTTCTTAAAATAAGACAACAATAAAGTTTGCTACATTCATTGACTCTCCCTGTCATGAAAGATTTCTCTGTAGTATGTGACGTAGTTTGATAGCATTTTACCCACAGTAGATGTTCTTTCAAAATTGGAGTCAATACTATCAAACTCTGCCACTGCTTATCAACTAAATGTGTGTAATATTCTAAGTCCTTTGTTGTCATTTCAATAGTGTTCATAGCATCTTCACCAAGAGTAGATTCCATGTCAGGAAACCACTTTTTTGCAAATTCAAAAAAGCAATTTCTCATTCTTTCAAGTTTGATCATGAAATTGCAGCAATTCAGTGACACCGCCAGGCTCCACTTCTAATTCTAGTTGTCTTGTTATTTCCACCACATCTGCAGTTACTTTCTACATGAAGTCTTGAACCACTCAAAGTTATTCATGAAGACTGGAACCAACTTCTTTCAAGATATTTTTATCTCCTCCCACAAATCAGGAATGTTCTTAATGGCTTCTACAATAATGAATCCTTCCCAGAAGATTTTCAGTTTACTCTTCCCAGATCCATCAATGGAATCACTATGGCAGCTATGGCCTTTCAAATATATTTTTAAATAATAAGATGAAACTGAAAACTGTTTCTTGATCCATGAGCTGCAGAATGGATGTTGTGTTAGCAGGAATGAAAACAACCTCAATCTCTTTGTACATCTCCATTAGAGCTCATAGGTGACCAGGTGCATTGTCAATAAGCAGTAATATTTTGAAAGAAATCTCTTTTTTTCTGAGCAGTAGGTCTTAACAGTGGGCTTACAATAGTCTGTAAACCATGCTATTTTTCCAGTAGCATGGTTATAAGAGATGCACAGTCATCCAGGCTTTGTTCCATTTATAGAGCACAGGCAGAGTAGATTTAGCATAATTCTTATGGACCCTAGGATTTTTGGCATGGTAAATGAGCATTGGCTTTAACTTAAAATCACCAGCTGCATTTTCCATTGACAAGAGAGTCAATTTGTCCTCTGAAGCTTTGAAGGCAGGCATTGACTTCTGCTTTCAAGCTATGAAAGTCCTAAATGGCATCTTCTTCCAATAGAAGGTTGTTTTACCAACCTTGAAAATCTGTTATTTAGTGCCACCACCTTCACCATTTATCTTAGCTAGATCTTTTGGATAATGTGCTCCAGCTTCTAGATTAGCACTAACTGCCTCATCTTGCATTTTTATCTTATGGTGATGGCTTTTCTCCTTAAACCTCATGAACTAACCTTTGCCATCTTCAAACTTTTCTTCTGCAGCTTCATCACTTCTCTTAGCCTCCATAGAATGAAAGAGAGTTAAGGCCTTGCTCTGAATTATGCTTTTGCTTAAGAGAATGTTGTCACTGGTTTGGTCTTCTAACCAGACCACTCAAACCTTCTCCATATAGGCCATATGTGTTTTCTTTCACTTTCTTATTATTCATATGCTTAATGGAATAACACATAAATAATAAGAAAGTGAAAGAAAACACATATGGTTGATATGCAGAAAGTTTAGTTTGCTTCTAGAACTTTTCGTTTGCATTCACAACTTGGCTATTTGACACAAGAGGCTTAGCTTTCAGCATGGTTTCCTTTCTAAGCTTAACCATTTCTAACTTTTGATTTAAAGTGAGAGATGTGTGTTTCATTTGAACACATAGAGGTCATTGTAAGGTTATTCATTGGCCTAATTTTAATATATTGTGTTTTATGGAATAGGGAGGCCTGAAGAGAAAAAGAGGTGGAGAATAGCTGGCCTGTGGAGCAGTCATAACACATACAGCATTTGTTGATTAAGTTCAAGGTCCTATATGGGTGTGGTTTGTCTCACCCAAAAACAATTAGAACAGTAACACCAAAGATCACAGATCACAGATCACCATAACAAATATAATGAAAATAACACAACTAGACATGCTTTGAGAATTACCAAAATGTGATTCAGAGACACAAAGTAAGCATTTGCTACTGGAAAAATGGTGCTAACAGACTTGCTTTATGTAATGTTGCCAAAATGCTTCAATTTGTAAAAAACACAACATCTGTGGAATGCAATAAAGCAAAAAATACTAAAACAAGGTATGCCTGTATGTCCCTCACTTTAAAAGCCAACTTCTTATTAAGAAATATGAAACCCATTTCTACTAAATAAGGCAAATTTACCTATCATCTGCAATATTAATGTAATTAGACAATATAACATACTTAGTAATTAGAACTGTAATGGAAGTGGCAAAAATCTCTATTATAATTGCATATTTGGAAAGGTCAAGAGAATCAAAGGAAAACCACTGCAAATAATCAGCAAATTTAGTAAAATGGCCATATATAACACTCATATTAGAAAACTGAAAATTTCATGTATGTAAAAGTGAGTATAAGAGCAGAGAAGATTCTATTTAAAATAGGAAAAGATAACATAAGAGTTTCAGCATAAATGTACAAAAGCTCAAGCAGATGCAGCGGTTGGGGGGGTCTCCAGGGATTATCGGAATTTAATCAATTTGAGCCATCAGCCTATTTTACAGCCTCCTACTCTGCAGCCTGTTTTTCCCCAAACCTGGTAGGAAATGTGGTCACTTTGTTGTCTGGAACCAGCTCCTGACAGACCTAGCAACTTATAGATGAGCCTGAGTGAACTTCCCTCATTACCATGCTAAAGTTTCCAAGTGGGAGGAGCTATAGCTTCATTAGCATAACATGCAACCTATGTGCTGGCATGATGACTCACTGCATCTGCACAACTGGGACCCCTTCTCTATATGTGATGAGACCCTCTCCCCATCCATTACCCCATGAAACCCTATTGTCACTTTCCCTCAGGCAGATTGTTTTGGGGAATACTCCCATGTCCTCCTTACTTGGGCCAAGTAATAAAACTCTTACTGGTCAAAACCTGTTGTCATGGAGAGTTGTTTGTTATTTACTAGGTAAACAAACCCTGGATTTTTTTCAGGTAACAAAAGTAGACTTGAACAAAGAAAAAGGCATGCCATATATTTTAGTACAAAAAATCATTTTAAAGAGATTCCATTTTTCCTAATTTATTTCATGGTGTTATTGCAATCACATTTAAAATTTTTTTTTTCTGTAACTGGAATGGTTGATTATAAAGTTTAAAAGAAAAAATAAACATAAATGAATAGCTATAGAGTTCTGGGAATGACAAAATCAATGTGGCAGAAGTGTTGCGGGGTATTTCTGGGGAGGAAGTACTCACCCTATGATATGTTATAACATTTTTTAATATCATTATAATTAAAACGCTGTGGTATTGGGGTGTGAATGTGACTTATCAGACTAATACTTATCAGAACCAAATAGAAAAATCCAGAAAGAGACCCAGGTATATATGAAAATTGATGTATGATCAAGAAGATATCTTAAATCAGTATATTGAATTTACTGGCACACTTAATGGAATAAAATATAGTGTAAACATAACTTTTATTATGCACTGGAAAACCAAAAGAATTGTGTGACTCACTTTATTGTGATAGTTCCTTTATTGACGTGATCTGGAACCAAATATGCAATACCTCTGAGGTATGCTTATATTGAGAAAGAATGTATCAGTTACTATTTTATTGTATGTTTTTGTCAGGAATCAGTGCTACATTTTATCAAACGTCAACTATAAAAATCATATGGTATATTACTATTATTGAAACACCTTCGCATGACTAAAATAAATTCCACTTAGTATATTCTTTCTTTTAATTTATATTGAAAAGTGTGCAAACTATAAGGCACAGCTCTATGAATTTTTACAGAATGAATATATTTATGGAACAGTGACAGATCAAGAAACAAAACATCACAAAGCCCCAGAAACCCCCTCATGCCACCTTCTGGTCACTACCCATCCTCAACAAAAATAACCACATTCCTGCCTTCTAACACCATAGCCTATTATGCCCTCACTCTCTCTAGTGAACGACTTAACTCATCAATATTATGACAATGTTGCTGTAATCTAAGCTGCACTATCAAAAACAGCAGCCACTAGCCACATGTAGCTATTTAAATTTAAATTAAAAACCAAATAAACTCAGAAGAATGAAATAATTAAAGAAAAGGTAGAAATAAAGAGTAAACAAAAAACCCCAATAATAGCACTATCAATTAAATAACTGGTTGTGAAAAATAACAAATTCAATGTCATTAGCTAACCAAATTAAAACAAAAGAGAGCAAGGGAGAAACAACACAAATACCTTACAACAGAAATCATAATGGAAAAATAACTACAAGTATAAAGGAAAATAAAGAATCATAAAAATCATACATAACTACATTGTGGTTTTTTTTTGTAAATAAACTTGAATATGAGAAGAAACTACAGGAGTTCTCTGGTAGAATTTAAGTTACCAAAAATGATCTATGAAAATTTTAAAAGGTCTTGAAAATGTTGCTTAAGCTTGGTTAAAATATTAATTGAAGCCACAGGACAGAAGTCACTTTACTCAGTTAAAAACCTTGGGAAGGAAAGAAAATTGTTAAGTTAGTTGCTTTTTAGAATATAAAGTCTCAAATTCTTTATATTTCATTATAAATATAATAAACCAGTTATGATACAGACGTAAAATTAAAAGCTATCACAGAGAAAATGCGAGTGTGTGTATAAAAAGAGAGAACATTCTATGTGAGTTCTGTTTCTATATATTCAGTTTCTTGGCATCATTAGATTGTGTACATGTTTAGATTATTTTACTGTGAGAGCAAGTTCTTGATATTCTGCTTTTTAACTATAAATAATTTATTGCCATGACTTTTGTTTGTGATCTTCAGCTTAGTGACTATAATTACTGTAAAGCTTGATTTTCCTTCTTATTATAATTAATTGTATTAGTTTGAATACGATGGCTGTAGGAAATTTAATTCAGTCCTCTGCCGTGTGTTAAATGGTGACCCCCAAAAAGATTTGTTCACATTCTAATACCTAGAACCTGTGAATATGACTTTAGTTGGTAAAAGGGTCTTTGCAGATGTAAGTTAGATGAAGTGAGATCATCTCAGATTAGCATCCAGTTCAATGACAAGTATCCTTACAAGATTTGTAAGAGGCAAGGCAGGATTATCCCCTAGAGGTGTCAAAGAGAGTACAGCCCTGCCAACACCTTGATTTTAAATTGCTGGACTCCAGAATTATGAAAGAATGAATTGCTGTTGTTTTAAGCCACAAAGTATATGATACTTTGTTATGGCCGCCCTAGAAAACTAACACAAACTCTGTTGTAATGTTCACTGTGATGATAACCTCATTATCTATAAACTCACTTTGTTTTGTAATCCTCTATTATAGGTGTGGTATAAATTTGCTTTCAGAGAGAAACCATTGAAATATATTCTCTTAAATTTCTTAGGGGGGCTCTATTTGAGAAAAATAAGTTGGTCATTATAGAAGATTCATTTTACACCTAAATGCAAAGTTTGTATCTTTGACAAGTAAAATGAATAAAACAACAAACAGAGCAGCAACCAAGGAAGAAACTGCGAATGCTAACAAAAAGTTTTCTTATTAGCTCACGCCTCTGCTCCTTGTCATAGTGTCAAGTTCAAAAAATTTCACATTTAAAACTTTTAGACCTTTGATTAATGGCTAATTCTACAATTGAATTAAGTCATAGTACAATTTGGTAGCGATAAAAGAAACATTTAAAAATTATTATAATAAAAATAGTCTAACAATAAAGTAATAAGCAGAAAGGATAATGATATACTATATATGAAAGTATATACCAATTCATACTTTTTTTTTTTGAGACAGTCTCACTCTTGTTGCTCAGGCTGGAGTGCAATGGGGCAATCTCAGCTCACCGCAACCTCCACCTCCCAGGTTCAAGCGATTCTCCTGCCTCAGCCTCCTGAGTAGCTAGGATTACAGGCATGCGCCACCATGGCCGGCTAATTTTGTATTTTTAGTAGAGACAGAGTTTCTCCATTTTGGTCAGGCTGGTCTCAAACCCCTGACCTCAGGTGATCCACCCACTTCAGCCTCCCGAAGTGCTGGGATTACAGGCATGAGCCACCGCACCCGGCCATCATACTTTTATAAGTGCTAATAAAAAGTTTTAGAGAATATTAAATTAGGGCATTAATAGACTAGGCCTTGCCTAAATTATCTTTCAATAAATAGGATGTTTCAGTAAAATAAATTTAGGAAATCACCACTACTAGGTCAAAGGGTGAATAAAAATAGAGAGTACCTTAATTAAAGCTGAGAGGTGAAGCCGCTGGGCTTCTGGGTTGGGTGGGGACTTGGAGAACTTTTCTGTCTAGATAAAGGATTGTAAACAAACCAATCAGCACTCTGTGTCTAGCTAAAGGTTTGTAAATGCACCAATCAGCACTCTGTAAAAACGCACCAATCAGCACTCTGTGTCTAGCTAAAGGTTTATAATCGCATCAATCAGCACTCTGTAAAAATGCACCAATCAGTGCTGTGTCTAGCAGTTTGTAAATGCACCAATCAGTACTCTCTAAAAACCCATCAATCAGCACTCTGTAAAATGGACCAATCAGCACTCTGTAAAATGGACCAATCAGCAGGACGCGGGCAGGGCCAAATAAGGGAATAAAAGCCGGCCACCTGAGCCAGTGGGGGCAACCTGCTCAGGTCCTCTTCCATGCTGTGGAACCTTAGTTCTTTTGCACTTTGCAATAAATCTTGGTGCTGTTCACTCTTTGGGTCACACTACCTTTATGAGCTGTAACACTCAACGCGAATGTCTGCAGCTTCACTCCTGAAGTCAGAGAGACCACAAACCCACCAGGAGGAACAAACAACTCCAGATGCACCACCTTTAAGAGCTGTAACACTCACTACGAAGGTCTGCGGCTTCACTCCTGCAGTCAGCAAGACCAAGAACCCACCAGAAGGAAGAAACTCCGGACACATCTGAAGCAACAAACTCCAGACACACCATCTTTAAGAACACTCACCGTGAGGGACCGCAACTTCATTCCAGAAGTCAGCGAGACCAAGAACCCACCAGAAGGAACCAATTCCAGACACGAAGCCAAAACAGTATTTATAAAATTTCAACATCTTATCATAATTTTTAAACATTTAAAAGAGAAATAGATTGTAATAGCAACATCATATTTTATGATACACTATTATAGGAATTCCAACTAAAGCCACCATTTCATAATATTCTGAAAGGTCTGTGCAATGTGACTAGATGACACAAAGAAATGGGAAGTGTAAATATGTAGAAAAAAAGAGTGAACAATAAAAAATATTCTAAGATTATTCAGTTCATTAAATTGAGCATCAGTATAATCGCTAATTTACAAAAATGCCAATGCTTTTTAATATACAAAGTATACATAATAAGAAAAGAGTTTGCCATTAATCACAATAAAATATTTGAAATGCATTGATAAAAGATTGGCATTTAAAATTCAGAAATCATGTATTTTTAAAAACTTTAAAATTATGAGAAATATCAGTGTTTTAATAAAAGGAAAAATATTTCCATTTACGGCAAAATGTTAGATCAGATAGCCTGAATTATTATCTTGTTTAAAAAATATCTTAGGATTTTCTTTTAAATGAATAGTTAACCTGGTATAAAACAAGAATCAGAAGAAAGACTTCAAAAGAGACTGAAGATAGAACTATGGAAGTACACAAGCATTAGAGACAGCTTTGCTCAAAATCACTACTAACTACTAAATGCTAGTGACCCCGAGATTCTGCTTTGATTGTCAAACAAGTTACTGGAGAAGGCAATTGATTCCTAGGACATATGAGAGCTAGGAAATGTAATAGACTTCTGTTTAAAGCTGCGAAACTAAGTGTATCACATGGGAACAATGAATTACAGGAAGAGAAGGCAAGAAAACCTGCCTGATTTGACATCAGTGCTAATGAAAGGGGGAAAACATCTTCCTTCAGAAGTTTTATTTGCTCAAATTATTTTATGTCTAGAATTCACACTACTTGCTTCATCTGAGAGGCACCAAGTAGAAAATTAAAGTGGTTGAAGTCAGTAGGGACCCAAGCTAATTAGCAAAAGCAAATAAAAAATCTCTCCTGAAAAAGAAAAAGAAAGGCTGACAATGATTTTCTCAGATAAAGTCCCAAACAACAAACACTCATAATCTATGGTTATAAAACAACAAGTCATCAGGGAAATGCAAATTAAAATCACAACAACATAATTCTGTAACCCAACTAAAATGGCTAAAATTTAAAAGAGATTGACAATATCAAGTACTGCTGAAAATGTGGAGGAACTGAAACTCTCATCCATTGTTAGTGTAAAATAGTATAACTACTTTGAAAAAATGCTGACTAATTTATTTTAAAGTTAACATACACTTACCATATTGCTGAGCAATTATGCTCCAATGTAACTACCTAAAAGAAACATAAATATATATCTCTCCCCCAAAAATGGACACGCACATGAATCTTCATAGACAGTATACTCATATTAGCCAAAATTGGCAGAGAACTCAAATATCTGTCAACTGGTTAATGGATAAACAAATTGCTATACACTATACAATGGAATATCACTCAACAATAAAAAGAAAAAACTACAGATAAAAGCAAAACATGGAGCTAAATAAACATAGGGTAATTTGTTGCTAGGCTGTAGATATACTGGAGAAGCAAAAATACAGCAGCAAGTTACGCATTCACTAAGAAAGATATATTTAAATCAAAAAATACAAATAAGATATTTCTCAATGTACTTGGTTTCAAAGAACAATTGCAAATATGTTGCAAATATAAATAGAAAGATGAATAAATGGATGGATGGGTGGATGATGGATAGATGAATGGATGGATGGATAAATGAATGGATATATTTGTTTAAGAAGAGATAAAAATCTGGAAAGATAAGTACTGAATTCTTCACAGCGAGTGCCTACAATGGCTATGGAGTTGTGGAGGAACAATGGAGGATGATGTGAGGAGAAAACTTTCACTGTTTAATTTATAAGAAGTTCTAGCTCACTGAAGGAAATACAGACACAACAAACCCTTCAAAAAATCAATGAATCCAGGAGCTGGTGTTTTGAAAAGATCAAAAAAATTGATAGACTGCTAGCAAGACTAACAAAGAAGAAAAGAGAGAAGAATCAAATAGATGCAATAAAAAATGATGAAGGGGATATCACCACCAATCCCACAGAAATACAAACTACCATTAGAGAATATTATAAACACCTCTATGCAAATAAACCAGAAAATCTGGAAGAAATGGATAAATTCCTCAACACATACACTCTCCCAAGACTAAACCAGGAAGAAGTTGAATCTCTGAATAGACCAATAACAGTTTCTGAAATTGAGGCAATAATTAATAGCTTACCAAGCAAAAAAAGTCCAGGACCAGATGGATTCACAGCCGAATTCTACCAGAGGTACAAGGAGGAACTGGTACCATTCCTTCTGAAACTATTCCAATCAATAGAAAAAGAGGGAATCCTCCCTAACTCATTTTATGAGGCCAGCATCGTCCTGATACAAAAGCCTGGCAGAGACACAACAAAAAAAGAGAATTTTAGACCAATATCCCTGATGAATATCAATGCAAAAATCCTGAATAAAATACTGGCAAACTGAATCCAGCAGCACATCAAAAAGCTTATCCACCATGATCAAGTGGGCTTCATCCCTGGGATGCAAGGCTGCTTCAACATACGCAAATCAATAAACGTAATCCAGCATATAAACAATCAATGACAAAAACCACATGATTATCTCAATAGATGCAGAAAAGGCCTTTGACAAAATTCAACAGTCTTCATGCTAAAAACTCTCAATAAATTAGGTATTGACGGGACGTATCTCAAAATAATAAGAGCTATCTATGACAAACCCACAGCCAATATCATACTGAATAGCCAAAAACTGGAAGTATTCCCTTTGAAAACTGGCAGAAGACAGGGATGCCCTCTCTCACCACTCCTATTCAACACAGCGTTGGAAGTTCTGGCCAGGGAAATCAGACAGAAAAGAGGAAGTCAAATTGTCCCTGTTTGCAGATGACATAATTGTATATCTAGAATACCCCATCGTCTCAGCCCAAAATCTCCTTAAGCTGATAGGCAACTTCAGCAAAATCTCAGGATACAAAATCAATATGCAAAACTCACAAGCATTCTTATACACCAATAACAGACAGAAAGCCAAATCATGAGTGAACTCCCATTCACGATTGCTTCAAAGAGAATAAAATACCTAGGAATCCAACTTACAAGGGATGTGAAGGACCTCTTCAAGGAGAACTACAAACCACTGCTCAATGAAATAAAAGAGGATACAAACAAATGGAAGAACATTCCATGCTCAGGGGTAGGAAGAATCAATATCATAAAAATGGCCATACTGCCCAAGGTAATTTATAGATTCAATGCCATCCCCATCAAGCTACTAATGACTTTCTTCACAGAATTGGAAAAAACTACTTTAAAGTTCATATGGAACCAAAAAAGAGCCCACATTGCCAAGTCAATCCTAAGCCAAAAGAACGAAGCTGGAGGCATCACACTACCTGACTTCAAACTATACTACAAGGCTACAGTAACCAAAACACCATGGTACTGGCACCAAAACAGAGATATAGACCAATGGAACAGAATAGAGCCCTCAGAAAGAATGCTACATATCTACAACTATCTGATCTTTGACGAACCTCACAAAAAGAAGAAATGGGGAAAGGATTCCCTATTTAATAAATGGTACTGGGAAAACTGGCTAGCTATATGTAGAAAGCTGAAACTGGATCCCTTCCTTACACCTTATACAAAAATTAATTCAAGATGGATTAAAGACTTAAATGTTAGACCTAAACCATAAAAACCCTAGAAGAAAACCTAGCCAATACCATTCAGGACATAGGCATGGGCAAGGACTTCATGTCTAAAACACCAAAAGCAATGGCAACAAAAGCCAAAATTGACAAATGGGATCTAATTAAACTAAAGAGCTTCTGCACAGCAAAAGAAACCACCATGAGAGTGAACAGGCAACCTACAGAATGGGAGAAAATTTTTGCAATCTACTCATCTGACAGAGGGCTAATATCCAAAATCTACAATGAACTCAAACAAATTTACAAGAAAAAAACAACCCCATCAGAAAATGGGTGAAGCATATGAACAGACACTTCTCAAAAGAAGACATTTATGCAGCCAAATGACACATGAAAAAATGCTTATAATCACTGGCCATCAGAGAAATACAAATCAAAACCACAATGAGATACCATCTCTCACCAGTTAGAATCATGATCATTAAAAAGTCAGGAAACAACAGGTGCTGGAGAGGATGTGAAGAAATAGGAACACTTTTACACTGTTGGTGGGACTGTAAACTAGTTCAACCATTGTGGAAGTCAGTGTGGCGATTCCTCAGGGATCTAGAACTAGAAATACCATTTGACCCAGCCATCCCATTACTGGGTATATACCCAAAGGATTATAAATCATGCTGCTATAAAGACACATGCACACATCTATTTATTGCAGCACTATTCACAATAGCAAAGACTTGGAACCAACCCAAATGTCCAACAATGATAGACTGGATTAAGAAAATGTGGCACATATACACCATGGAATACTATGCAGCTGTAAAAAATGATGAGTTCATGTCCTTTGTAGGGACATGGATGAAGCTGGAAACCATCATTCTCAGCAAACTATCGCAAGGACAAAAAAACCAAACACCGCACATTCTCACTCATAGGTGGGAATTGAACAATGAGAACACATGGACACAGGAAGGGGAACATCACACAACGGGGCCTGTTGTGGGGTGGGGGAAGAGGGGAGGGATAGCATTAGGAGATATACCTAATGCTAAATGATGAGTTAATGGGTGCAGCACACCAACATGGCACAGGTATCCATGTGTAACAAACCTGCACATTGTGCACATGTACACTAAAACTTAAAGTATAACTAAAAAAAAAAGAAGTTCTAGCTCTGAAATATTGTGGGAAAAAAATTGAAAGTGTATAGTGAAGGCAGATAATAAACTAATTTAGTTATCTACAATCACTTCTTTCTTACGTATTTCTGGGCATCAGCATGCAGAGCAAGAAGCATGTTAGATACTTGCTTTTATTTAGTATGAAGTCTCAGCTGAGAGTCTGGCCAACTGGCAATAGGGCTGATATTCATATTACACATTTTTTAAAATCAAAAAAGAGATTTCCTAGGACCATGGGAAATATGATCAACATGGCAGGGACTCAGAAGGGCTTGTGGTCAGCAAGAATGCCTAGTCATCAGAAGAACTAAGGACATCAAAAGAACTGAGAACATTCGCAGAGAATGTCATCGGAATATGCTGAGATGGGACTGGGTCAATCAATTATACCTCAGGGGATAGCAGAAATTAAACCCTCAATCAGATCTAGTGTGTAAAAATAACACATCAGGACCAAGTTTGTTTATCTGAGGATTTCAAGGTTAGCTTAACATATATATGTAATTTGACACATTAATCAAAAGAAAAAGAAAAAACCAGTTAGGCGCAGGCAATGACTTCAAAAAAATTTAATACTCAGACATCAAAGCTCTCAGAAAACTTGAAATATACAAGAACTTCCTCAGTCTTATAAAGGAGATATGCAAAAATACCTACAGCTAACACCAAACACTGATAAAAGACCAAAGACTTTTCTCCTCAGATAAGAATAAAGCAAGATATCTGCCTTCATCACTTCCATTCAACATTGTACTGGAGGTTCTAGCTAGGGGGCAATATGACAAGAGAAAAAAATAAAAGATATCTAGATCATTAGAAAAAGAGATAAAATGACCTTCATTTGCACAAGACATTATTATGTAAATTATAATGAATCTTCAAAAATACTAGAAATAGTAAGGGAATTTAAGGACACAAGGTGTATACAGAAAAATTAAATACATTTCTATATATATTATATAGAAATATGTATTATATACTTCTGGGTTGAATGGTAGTTCTGTTTGTAGGTCTCTGAGAAATTGTCACACTGCCTTCCACAATGTTTGAACTAATTTACACTTCCATCAACAGTGTATTAACAATCTCACCAGCATTGTTATTTTTTGACTTTTTAATAATAGCCATCCTGACTAGTATGAGACGGTATTTTATTGTGGTTTTGATTTTCATTTATCTAATGATCAGTGATATTGAGCTTTTTTTCATATCTTTGTTGGCCACATCTATGTCTGTTTTTGAAAAGTGTGTGTTCATGTCTTTTGTCCACTTTCTAAAGGGGTTATTTTTTTCTTGTAAATTTGTTTAAGTTCCTTATAGATGTTAAATATTAGACCTTTGTCAGATGCATAGTTTGCAAATATTTTCTCCCATTCTGCAGGTTGTCTGTTTACTCTGTTGATAGTTTCTTTTGCTGTGCAGAAACTCTTAAGTTTAATTGCATTCCATTTGTCAATTTCTGTTTTTGTTACAATTGCTTTTGGCATCTTAATCACAACATCTTTACCAGATGATATTGTCCAGGTTATCTTCCAGGGTTTTTATAGCTTTGAGTTTTACATTTTATTTAAGTCTTTAATCCATCATGAGTTGATTTTTGTATATAGTGTAAGGAAGGGGTCCAGTTTCAGTTTTCTGCATATGGCTAGCCAGTTATTCCAGTACCATTTTTTGAATAGGGAGTCCTTTCCCCATTGCTTGTTTTTGTCGGCTTTGTTGAAGATCAGATGGTTGTAGGTGTGTGGCCTTATTTGTGGGTTCTCTATTCTGTTACATTGTTCTATGTGTCTGTTCTTGTACCAGTACCATGCTGTTTTGGCTACTGTAGCCCTGTAGTATAGTTTTAAGTCAGAGAACATGATGCCTCCAGCTTTGTTCTTTTTGCTTAGGATTGCCTTGGCTATTCAGGCTCTTTTTTTGGTTTCATATGAATTTCAAAATAGTTTTTTCTAGTTCTGTGAGGAATGTCATTGGTTTTTGGATAGGAATAACATCGAATCTGTAAATTGCTTTGGGCAGTATGGCCACTTTAATGATATTGATTCTTCCTATCCATGAGCATGGGATGTTTTTCCTTTTGTTTTTGTTATCTTTGATTCCTTTGAACAGTGTTTTGTAATTCTCATTGTAGAGATCTGTTGTGGGAAGTCAGGGACCCCAAACAGAGGGACCGGCTGGAGCAGCGTCAGAGGAACATAAATTGTGAAGATTTCATGGACATTTATCAGTTCCCAAATAATACTTTTATAATTTTTTATGCCTGTCTTTACTTTATTCTCTTGATCCTGTTATCTTCATAAGCTGAGGATGTACATCACTTCAGGACCACTGTGATAATTGTGTTAACTGTAGAAATTGATTGTAAAACATGTGTGTTTGAACAATATGAAATCAGTGCACCTTGAAAAAGAACAGAATAACAGCAATTTTTAGGGAACAAGGGAAGACAACCACAAGGTCTTACTGCCTGTGGGGTCGGGCAAAAAGAGCCATATTTTTCTTCTTGCAGAGAGCCTATACATGGACGTGCAAGTAGGAGAGATATCGCTAAATTCTTTTCCTAGCAAGGAATATTAATATTAATACTCTGGGAAAGGAATGCATTCCTGGGGGGAGGTCTATAAACGGCCGCTCTGGGAAGGTCTGTCTTATGCTGTTGAGATAAGGACTGAGATATGCCCTGGTCTCCTGCAGTACCCTCAGGCTTACTAGGGTGGGGAAAAACTCTGCCCTGGTAAATTTGTCATCAGACCGGTTCTCTGCTCTCGAACCCTGTTTTCTGTTGTTTAAGATGTTTATCAAGACAATACGTGCACCACTGATCATAGACCCTTATCAGTAGTTCTGCTTTTGCCCTTTGCCTTGTGATCTTTATTGGACCCTTTTCAGTAGTTCTGCTTTTGCCCTTTGTCCTGTTCCCTCAGAAGCATGTGATCTTTGTTAGACCCTTATTAGCAGTTCTGCTTTTTGCCTTTTGAAGCATGTGATCTTTGTAACTACTCCCTGTTCTTACACCCCCTCCCCTTTTGAAACCCTTAATAAAAACTTGTTGGTTTTGAGGCAGGCATCATGGTCCTACTGATATCTAATGTCACCCCTGGCAGCCCAGCTGTAAAATTCCTCTCTTTATACTGTCTGTCTTTATTTCTCAGCTAGCCGACATTTATGGAAAATAGAAAGAACCTATGTTGAAATATTGGGGGCAGGTTCCCCCAATAGAGATCATTCACCTTCCTAGTTAGCTGTATTCCTAGGTATTTTCATTCTTTTTGTGGCAATTGTGAATAGGACTGCATTCCTGATTTGGCCCTGAGCTTGGCTGTTGTTGGTGTATGGGACTGCTAGTGGTTTTTGTATATTGATTTTGTATCCCACAACTTTGCCGAAGTTATTTATCAGCTTAAGGAGCTTTTGAGCAGAGACAATGGGGTTCTCCAGATAAAGAATCATGTCAACTGTAAACAGGGATAGTTTGACTTCCTCTCTTCTTATTTGGATGCTCTTTATTTCTTTCCCTTACCTGATTGCTCTGGTCAGGACTTCCAATACTATGTTGAATAGGAGTGGTGAGTGTTTCTTTTTATAAGGGCACTCATCTCATTCATGAGGGCTCCACCCTCATGATCTAACCACCTCTCAAAGGCCCTATCTTTGAATACTATTATATTAGGGATTAGAATTTTAACATATAACATTTTGGGGGAAGGGAGGGACAAAAACATTCAGTTCACAACACTGACCTATAAAATGAAGGAATCAGAGTAGGGTGGAATCATTCTAAAGGCTCCTTCTTGTTCTAATTATTAGTGGTTCACTAATCTATAACTTCACAAGATCAAGATTCTATTCTCTTTGCCATTTTATTTCACAGTGCCAAGAACTATAAGCAGTCATTGCATTGTCTATTTAATAAGAAGAGAATGAGACACTGGAATAGTTTACCAAGGAATAGTAGTAACCCTTCACTTTTGCAGATTTTTTATAAAGTTAATAGCTGCCATCTGGAGAGCCTCATAATTTGAAAGTCAGAGACTCATCTCTACAGTCTCTTAAAGATTTTTTTGGTTTTAGGAATGTATGATTTTTCCCTTCTGATAAGAGCCATCATGACAACGGACATCCATTCAGAAAGCTGTTATTTACCTTAACTTGAACCTGGCACTGCACTAGGCACTGTGAGTAAAGAGTTTCCTCCAAGAGACAAACAGTCAGAAATGGAAAACAAAATGATCTGTAATAATGTTCTATTGCCAATGGCACAAGAGGCAGAAGCTTAACTATTTGCAAAATTACTCTATCTTCTTTCTATTTCTTGAAATCATGGAGAGCAAAGACATTTGGCTATCATAACCTCAAATCACAAAACACCTAACTTAGTTTCATATGCACTTGTCTTTGAATGTATCTGAGATTTGCATGCTAAATTATTCATTTGGTAAGTAGGCTGTGTAAAAAAAGTTTAAGCGTGTAAGCCTACAGAATGATTACTGTTGGAATTTGTATTTCACCAAAGTTAGTTATGCTTCATATCACCCCTGGAAGGCAGGTAAAATTTAAACTTTATCTGAAAACACACACATGTGCATACACATACACAGAAACACACACACACACCAGTGAACTAATACCAAGATTCTAAATAATAAACAACTGAGAGATTATGTTTAATGGAACAACATAACTTGAGGGCCAGACTACTCTAAAGAATCCATTGTCAGATGACCTTTGAAGAAATCAATGAACATGAATATAAATATATTTGTATGTGTGTAGAAGTTTGGCAGAACAGATTTCAGAGAGATAATAGGAAGATGCAAGAATAAAGATTAAATTTTAGCAATCTGCATATTCAGTGTACTCCCTATCAAAATATCAATAACATTCTTCACAGAAATAGAAAAAAATAATTCTAAAATTTATATGGAACCACAAAATACATAGTATCAAAGGCTATCCTGAGCAAAAAGAACAAAACTGGAGGAATTACATCACCTGACTTCAAATTATGCTACAGAGATATAGTAACCAAAGCAGCACATACTGGCATATAAACAGATATGCAGACCAAAGGAACAGAATGGAGACCCCAGAAATAAATCCATGCATCTACACTGAACTTATTTTTGACAAAGGTGCTAAGACCATACATTGGAGAAAGGACAGTGTCTTCAATAAATCGTGCTGGGAAATTGAATATTCACATGCAGAATAATGACACTAGATCCCTATCTCTCACCATATACAAAAATCAAATTAAAATAGAACAAATATTTAAATCTAAGACCTCAAACTATGAAACTACTACAAGAAGACATTGGGGAAAATCTCTAGGACATTGTTCTGGGCAAAGATTGCTCGAGTAACACCCCCAAAACACAGACAACCAAAGCAAAAATGGACAAACAGGATAAAATCAAGTCAGAAAGCTTCTGCATAGCAAAGAAAACAACCAGCACAATGAAGTGATAACTCACAGGACGGGAGAAAATATTTGCAAGCTATCTATCTGATGAGGGACTAATAACCAGAATATATAAGGAGCTCAAACAACTCAGTTGGAAAAAATCTAAAAATCTGATTTAAAAATGGGCAAAATATCTGAATAGACATTTCTTAAAAGAAGACATACGAATGGCAAACAGGTTTATGAAAAGGTGCTCAACATCATTGATCATCAGAGAAATGCAAATCAAAACTACAATGTGGCCTCATCATACCTCAGTTAAAATGGCTTTTATCAAAAAGACAGGCAATAACAAATGCCAGCAAGGATATGGAGAAAAGGGAACTCATCCACTGTTAGTGAGAATGTAAATATAGTACAACCACTATAGAGCACGGTTTGGAGGTTCCTCAAAAAACTAAAAATAGAGCTGCCATATGTTCTGCAATCCCACTGCTAGGTATGTACCCAAATAAAGGGAAATCATTATATCAAGGAGATATAATGCACTCTCATGTTTGTTGCAGCACTGTAAACAACAGCCAAGATTGGGAAGTAACCTAAATGTCCATCACTTAGGTACATACACACAATGGATTACTATTCAGCCATAAAAAAAGAATGAGATCCTGTCATTTGCAGCAACAGGGCTGGAATTGAAGGCCATCATGTTAAGTAAAATAAGCCAGGCACAGAAAGACAAACTTTGCATGTTCTCACTTTTTTCTGGGAGCTAAAAATTAAAACAATTGAACTCTTGTTGATAGAGAGTAGAATAACAGTTACCAGAGGCTGAGCAGGGTAGGGATAGGGGGAAGTGGGGATGGTTAATGAATACAAAAATATAGTTAGAATGATTAAGAACTAGTATTTGATAGCACAACAGGGAGACTACGGTCAACAGTAATTTACTGCATATTTTAAAATAACTAAAAGAGTGTAATTGGATTGTTTGTAACATAAAGAAAGGATAAATGTTTGAGGTGATGGATACCCTATTTACTCTGATGTGATTATTACACATTGCATGCCTTTATGAAAATACCTCATACATTCCACAAATATATACACCCACTATGTATCCAAAAAAATTTTTTTAAAAAATAAAATAACCTGGTACTTGACCAAACAGCTAGGTACCATAGCCTAGCCAAGTTGGCACATAATTAATCTGCAGATTTGGATTAAGACATTTTGCTCTAGAGAGATTACATTTGCTTCTGACAGTCTCTTGGGGACATTACACTAATCAGAGACCTACTTAAAACCAACTCAATTCTTAAGATGGTATGGACTATGCAAGATATTAAACTTCAGGTTGCAATTCCATGAGAAGCCTGGTATACTTCTGGTTGACCCTCACTCAGAGTATGTAGTTCTTTAAAATCCCAGCTCATTTTGCATAAAGTTGTCTCTTAAACCTCTTACTTCTGCCAGTCCTGGGCTTTGAATTTTTTCCCACTTGCCTTCCAAAATGATCAAACCCAATTTACAGGAGACACAAATGCAGGTCAAAAGTAGCTTTGGTGTTTCTTAAATTCTCTTCAATGTTTTAAAATAATATATTATTCAGGTTTTTTTGGTAAAGTTTTTGAGGGAGAAATTATTAAAATAATCTAGCCAAACATTGCTTCCAGAAGCTAAACCTAAAATTTTCCACTTTTCCAGTGCAACATGAAAGTTCAAACAAAACTTCCTCCTTATCAAAATATAATTAAAATATAAAAATCTGATGGAAAAATAAAAATTTTAAAGCAAGATTCTCCTTAAATTTTGTTTCTACAGAATGACAGTATCTTCATAGTGAAAGAAAAAAAAGAAAAGAGTGGTTTGTGGTCAAGTAAATTTGGCAAATGTTGCAATAAACTTTTTTTTCAGATTTCTCTGAACTTGATATAATATTTTTGCCTGTGTAAAGGAGAAGGGCATATTTTGCTGTGCTTTTTGAACTTATTTTACCATGAAATTTCTTCTTTACATGGAGCATCTCCAAGGACATGTGTTCCACAGCATATACTTAAAGTCGCTTGAAATTAATAGCTGTATTTTTCTCTTGTCCTAAGCTGGAGGTGCCTGCTCTTCCCTGCTGGGTTCTGCTCTATCCAGAATGGTGGCTAGAGTGCCATATTCAACAAGAGGGTGAGAAGCACAGAAAAGCTAGCAGGAGGGCTGTTCTGCATGTGCATAGGAGGTACAGGCGCAGGTTCACACCCAGGTGAAGAACTTTCCCAGGTCCTTGTGCTTCTCTGTACTCCCAGGCTTCTGGGACCTTGTGAGTCTTGTCAAAATCTGTGAGATTTTGCTCACCTCACACAGGCCCTGCACACTGTCCTCTGTGAGGGCCCGCGGTCTCACACCTACACTCAGGGTCAAGTAAAGACACTGTCTAGGAGCCCCGCTCCCAGTGAGCCCACCTAGAGAGCCCACTTTCACAGCACCAAACTTTTCACTGTTGGGTAGTTATGTGAGTTTCTTCTGAGATTCTCTACATTGCTGTTTTGGAAACTGCTTAATTATAAGTAATTCAGTCCCTAAATTTCATTTGATAGAGAACATATTTCACTGTTGAATCACAAATTGCATATGAATAAGTCATAGTCTGTTTCCTGCCTGCCCCATGATTTCATTATACATAAGTTTTATCACTGGGACCATTTCCAAAACATAAACCAAAGAGCTTTCATTATTAGTAGGACTGAGCATCATTTTGTGTTTTCTGGTCTTCTTTTTACTCATTGTAATTCTAAAGGCCATGTTAATCAATTTCTGAAACTCACTTAACCTGGTTCTAATTGATTAATGCATTTCCTCTCCATGTATTAGGCATTTTCTTTACTCTTGCTTTTCTTCTCAGAAAAATAAATGTGTATGTATGTGTGTGTGTCTATATACCTTGTAATCATTAATATGACTTGGAAAATGTTAAATTAACTAAAGTGAATGTGTAAAATAAGTTGGGTGAAAATATAACTTCATTGCAATATTGAGATTTTCTCTAGGGATGAGCAGGTCCCTCTGCTCAAGTCTCTAATTCCCCTTTTCACAGTTTAGTGATTCCATGCCTCTCCCACACATGGCTTAATTGGTGCAGTCTTTTGAACTTCTTGGAGTGATGTTATATTTAGTTGCCAATATTATTTCTGCTTTCTGTTCCCATGGTTTCTCAGTCAGGCAATCAGATCATCTGAAAATGCTACTTGGCCTTTGTTTCTGTATTTCCCAATTTTGTCTAAAGGTTTTGCTTATTTTTTCTGATCAGTCATAAATATTAGTGGGGACGGTGGCTTCTTTGTCTTTTTCCTAATGGCACTGAGACAGGAGTATGCCAGCACAGGCTGAGGTTCTTCTCTCTTTGAGATCTATCTGATAAATAATGTTACAGAATTATGCAAATGCTACCAGTTTTTGTGAGTCTTGAATCAACATAAAATACTGAATTTTAGAAAATACCTTTTTTTTGCATCTTTTCAGATGAGCATGTATTTTTCCTCCTCTGACATTGTAAATATTAAATCTTTATATTTTTTGAAAATACCACACTCTAGTCATGGCCAAGAAAACCAGCCCGGTTTTACGCTCCTTCTTTAGGAGACCTGATCAACAGAACCAAGTAGCATTTTAAGACCCACTTAGTTCCTAAATTAAAATTTGTAGAATTTAGAAATGATAGGTCCTACTTCCCAGGGGTATTTCTTCATTGAGTATAAGCTTTCAGTATGTAATGGATACGTTGTCTTAGTGCAAGAAAGTGTTTTTCTATTTGTATTTTGCTGGTTTATTTTTTAAATCATGATTAAATGTTGGATTATGTCAAATGCTTTTCTGTGTTTATCAAGATGAGCATTATTTTTGTCTTTTTCTATTAATATGATATTTTACAATGATTTATTCTTAGATGTTAAACCATCACTGCATTTGCAAAATAATTTCACAAGGTTGAGGTATGTGATTCATTTTATATATTACTTTATTCAGTTTTCTAGTGTTTTTAGAGAATGTCTGTGTCTGCACTCATCAGGAGATAACTGGTCTGTCGTCTTAATTTCTTAAGATACTTTTGTCTGGATTTTGTATCATGCTAATACTGGCCTCATGGAATAAACTGGGAAGTATTCTCTCTTGATAATGAAGGATTGAATTGTTAGTGAAGGACTGGTATTAATTCTTCATTAAATACTTAGTCAAATTCACAAGTTTTAAAAAATTAATTAGTACAAATTTTGGAGGACATGGCTGTAAATGTTTATGATAATTTATTTTCCTAATTTTATGCGCATCTAATTTTGTCACCTTTTAGCTGTTAAATGCCATCTGCTCTTTTTATATGATCATTGATTGTTATCTTTCTATAAATTACAAAATACTATTTGTTAAAAGATTAAAAGGCTGATAATAACACTATTCATGTATTATTGACTCTAAACTGATTTTTTTCTCTTTTCAGATTGAACTTTAAAGACCCTAAGAAGTCTTGATTAGATCGGATTTTAAGGTAAATGTTGCATACAACATCTCTTAATGGTCTTCTAAGAAGTCCCTATGGATTCTAGCAGGACTCCTATTTTGATATTCTGTTCTCTCCAAGGTAGTAGTAACATACAGATATGAACTCAAGGTGGGAAAAGAATGAGGTAAGTTAGTTTAGATAAGGTAAACGAGAGGAGACAAAAATTCAATGAGAGTTTTTGCAAGTTGAATTCTAAGTAAACTTTGTGAATCATTTGGATTGAAAATGTGGCCTTACTTCACTCTGTAGTTACCAGAATTAGCCCTAAAACAGCTCATTAGCACTACTTGACACTTTGTTAAATATTCCGTATAAATTCCTACTTTCATAGACAGGGTTTTCATTTTAATTAGTTTCCACTGGTGTAGCATTCTTTCCAGAAGGAATGTCATTGTGGTTTGGATTATGGATTGATTTATCAAGTAATGAAGGTTACTAACAAAAGACCATCCAGGCTTACATCATCTCTTTCCATACTTCTAATTCAGAACATCAAATAAGTTTAACTTTTCCATCTTATTTGCAATTATTTTCTTAAATTGTGTTTTGTCAAAAAGAAAAAAAAAAACTATGTTACTCATCCTTCTCTTACTTAACCTTGGATTACATTTCAAAATGATGATAATCAGCAAGCTGTAGAAAGTGGTATATTTATAGCAATATGGTAACCAACTTAATTAAGTAATATAAAAGATGTATTGAAATATCTGTGTTCTTTCTCTTGATTCAGATAATTTTCTTCATGATCTGAATTACAGATGGAATTACAGAAGGAATTACACGGCTTGATTACTTTTTAAAGTGATTATTGAGCTCTTCAGATATTTATTGGTTTCTCCGGATCAATTATCCACATTTATAAAGTGCTATATCTAATTGGCAATCTATTTCACTTACACTTTTTAAATTGCCCCATTGTTGGTCAAATCGTGTTTACCAGCACCAGACTCCATTATACAAAATAATTTTATTTCTAAGTAGTTTCCTTAAAGCTGTTTCTCTGATTATATATGACAACTTTGATAGACTACAGTCATCGTACAGACTGAAGCTGCCATAATCATTTTCTATATTATGGAATCAGTCTCTATTCTTTATAAATATGGATCATAGCAACCAGTTAAGACTTGTTTTGCTACAGCATGGTTTACATTGTAGGTAAACTCAAGTGAATAGCAAAACAATAATATTGAGAGTTCAATAGATAATGAAAACCTAGAAAATCCAGATTATTTAATAATAGAATCTTAGAATTAAATGAGATGACTTACGTTAGAATGAAATTATATAATCACATCAGTGATTATCTAGTACAGCTTCTAACTAAAGCAGAAATATCTTCTGGCATGTACTTGACAGGGGCTCATTATTTTTCATTTTTTATTTATTTATTGAGACAGGCTCTTCCTCTGTCACACAGGCTAGAGTGTAGTGACATGATCATGGCTCACTGCAGCCTTGACATCCTGGGCTCAAGCAATCCTCCCACTTCAGCTTCTGGAGTAGCTGGGACTACAGCTGGCTAGTTTTCCTATTTTTTGTAGAGACAGGGTCGCACTATGTTGCCTGGGCTGGTCTCAAGCCCGTGGCCTCAAGCAATTCTTCCACCTTGACTTCCCAAAATGCTGGGATTACAGGCGTGAGCCATCACATCTGGCCCCATTTTTCATTTAAACAAACTCGATGGTGTAAAAAATCACTTGCTTATAGGACATCTCATATCTTGAAGCATCAGAGAGGTATCACATCCACACAGGTGAACTGTAGCCTTCAGAGCCCGACAGTATATGTTCAAATTCCATTTCTACTGTTTCCTGACTGGAAAGATGGGCACATTTCATAACATCCTGGTACTTCGATTTTGTGATGTGTAAAGCGGATTTCTATAAACATTAAATTCGTGTGGTAGGAGTTATGAAGAAATTATTTTAGGCAGAGAGGAAAAGGGGTCCTTGGAATGTTTTTGTTTCTTTTTAAAGCAGCTCAAGAAACGTTTCTTATCTAGCAGAGAAGCCCTGGCTCTTAGGGGCGGCAACCTTTGATATGCAAATGCAGGCCATTAGAAACTGGGTCCACCCAACACGGTGATTCTCACCGTTGTCCTCTTGCCCTTGCCCCCACGTGTCCCTGGCAACATGGCTGCCCCCACATATCCCTAAGTATGGAGCCCTGCATTTGCATATTAAAAGGCTAGGGTGGAAAGGCCAATTTTTTCCCAGGCTACATGAATAACATGGCTGGTCAAACCAATCCCCTGAGTCCTATGCAAATCAGACACTGCCTCCTCCAGCCTCCTCATAAAACTGGCTGGTATCCTCGGCACATGGGCTCTCCTTTCTCGGCTTTGGAGCCCCTCACTCTGTCTCTGTACAGGGGAGTTTCTTTCTTCTTTCTTCTCCCTTCCTTCTTGCCTATTAAACTCTCTGCTCCTTAAAACCACTCCACATGTATCCATGTCATTTTATCTAATTCGACTCCAGACGAAAAACCCTGGTGTTCCTCCACTCACTGGAGCCGTATCATTAGTAAATATGAGTAAAGACACAGTTAATATTATATAAACACACAGAATACTCTCATGAATGCAATAATATTTGTTAGAAAATTATTTTATATGTAAACCTAAATCTGTCTCTCAGTACCTTCCACTCATTCCTTCTGGCTCTGACTCTAAAACCATGCTATGCAAAACGTATCCCTCTTCTGTATTTCCAGACTCAGTCTTCTGGGCCTTCTTTTCTTTAGGCAGAGTGTTACTAAAGGCCTAACATACATGAATACTGTCTTCAAGTCAGTGGAGTCCTAGACTAAGATTCACATGTTTCTTCGCTTTTTGGCTGATTCGCTGCAGCACTCTTTTTATTTTTTTCTTTTCAGTTTTACAGATCTTCAGCATATATCATATTTCTTCACAAACTTGATGTCTTTATTTTAACAAAAGTTTAACCACGAGTTTTAGGGTAAGAAAAGTATGCCATATATGCAATACATATGCACACACAAACACACACACATCACATACACATTGTTGCCTGTGTATCCCATAGAGTACACATTTCTGAAGCACTTTTTCCCTAGACCAGCTTCATCAAAATAAATAGTAAGTAACTTATCACTTCACTTTCAGAAAGCAGGGTTGTTTGCATTTCTTCAGTACTTCTACCAAGACTTCAAGAGGCCAGAGATACTGATCAGGCAGGAAATTACACAGAGGGAAAATAACATACATGAGTCCTAAAAATGTAGACTGTAAAGCATTCAATATGAAGGATGAAACCTACACTCTGTATCTACAGGTTCTTTAGTTTATGGATACAACTTGCTGTAATATGCCCTTTTTCCATTTGTTTATACAAGTTGATTCATATAATCTGTGTGCCTCAAATTTGCATAGAGACTTTGTTACTACTCTCCTATTAGCTGTAAGACTCTGTATCTAACCACCTCGGCAAAAATTGTGACAGTGAAAGTAATGTGACCTAATTTCATCTTGCTTGTGACCTTTAAGCTGCCCTTGCTCATTCCTGAGTGTAGGCCAAGCTAACTATGGGAGGAATTTAGTTTATAGCTTAACCTCAAAACAAAGATGATAATGTTACGGTGGGGCCGGGTGGGGTGGGGTGGGGCGGTGGGGGGAAGGAGAGGGGTCCTTGCTCCCAGAGCTCCCAAGATGGTGGTGGGCTGCTTCCAAGACGGTGGCAAGCCTTGTTTTTTCTGACCTGGGGTTCTTGGCCTCACGGATTCCAAGGAATGGAATCTTGGGCCATGCGGTGAGTGTTATAGCTCTATTAGAAGCCGTGGGTCACAGAAGAGAACCATTGAACCCAGAGACTAGTGTTCAGTTCAATTAGGATGAACCCGGGCACTCAGCTGTGCAGGAACAATGGCAAGCCTTTAGCCCAGTCAGGAGCAGCAATGGGCGCCTCCTGGATCAGGAGCACAGCAGACACCCTGCTGGATCCAGAGGGATGGAAATCAGCGGTGGGTCTGCGACATCGGCAAACAGCAGTGGTGGACGGCAAGCAAAAGCTCAGCTCCAGCCGTAACAAACACGGACCAGAAGAGAGTGCAGCTGCAAGATTTAATAGAGTGAAAACAGAGCTCCCATACAAAGGGAGGGGACCCAAAGAGGGTAGCTGTTGCCGGCTCGAATGCCTGGGTTTATATCCTGATCATTATCCCTCCAGCTTGCTCTCAGGCAATAGATGATTGGCTATTTCTTTACCTCCTGTTTTTGCCTAATTAGCTTTTTAGTGAGCTCTCTTTACCACCTGATTGGTGGGGTGTGAGCTAAGTTGCAAGTCCCGTGTTTAAAGGTGGATGTAGTCACCTTCCCAGCTAGGCTTAGGGATTCTTAGCCTAGGAAATCCAGCTAGTCCTGTCTTTCAATAACAGTCCCTTCCTAAAATAAACCCCTTCCTTCCTTGGGGATCAGACTTCCTTTGAAACTAACAAATTGGCCACAAGATTAGAAATTATGGCTCAGGAGTCATGCAGCCAGAGGCCACAAGATTCTTCACCTCCCCAGTTGCTCCCATAGGTAACATTGCTATTATAAAACCTAAGATTGGTGTTTGAGACATTTTTTCAGAGCCTGCATTGTGATGGACCAGCTGGCACCACCCAGGCTGGTAACCTGGTTTATCTGGTCTCAAAAGCTAAAGCTCCAACCCAGGAACTGACTCAGTACAAGAAGTCAAGCTCCTCTATAACTGCCCAAGGGGTTCACCTTGCCTGTTGCCTAGACGGAGCCAATTTATCAAGATAGGGGAATTGCAATAGAAAAAGAGTAATTCATGCAGAGCCCGCTGTGCAGGAGACCAGAATTTTATTATTACTCAAATCAGTCTCCCTGAGCATTCAGGGAGCAGAGTTTTTAAGGACAACTTAGTGGGTGGGGGAAACACAGTGAGCCAGGACTGCTGATTGGTCAGGGATGAAATCATAGGGAGACAAAGCTGTCTTCTTGCACTGAGTCAGTTCCTGGGTGGGGGCCACAAAATCAGATGAGCCACTTGATCAATCTGGGTGGTGCCAGGTGATCCATCAAGTGCAGGGTCTGCAAAATAGCTCAAGCACTGATCTTAGGAGCACTTTAGGGAGGGCCAGAATCATGTAGCCTCCAGCTTCATGAGTCATAAACCATAATTTCTAATCTTGTGGCTAATGTTAGCTCTACAAAGGCAATCTAGTCCCCAGGCAAGAAGGAAGTCTGCCCTGGGAAAGGGCTGTTACTGTCTTTGTCCTAAACTATAAGCTATAAACCAAGTTTCTCCCAAAGTAAGTTCAGCATACGCCCAGGAAAGAACACGGACAGCTTGGAGGTTAGAAACAGGATAGAGTTGATTAAGTTAGATCTATTTCACTGACTCAGCCATAATTTTGCAAATGTAGTTTCAGCTCCAACTCCCTGTGATTTCATCCCCAACCCAACTAATCAGTATTCCCCATTCCGTTGCCCTCTGCACACCAAACTATACTTAAAAATCCCTAGCCTCCAAATTTTTAGGGAGACTGATTTAAGCAATAATAAAATGCCTGTCCTTCAACTTAGGCAGTTCTGAGTTTACTAAACTCCTTCTCTATTGCAAAAGGCTGTTCTCAGTGCATCAGGTTTTCTGGGAAGCAGGCAAGATGAACACATCAGGTGATTACATATACAAGTTATTTAATTTCTTGCTGCCACTTCTGACAAATTATGTTTAGAAACAAGCCTTCTTACCTCATAGAACTTGGGTTATCATAAGCAAAAGAAACTTTGAAATTTTGAAATTGTAAGCAGACAGGGAAGGTCTCCAGGGATTATAGGAATTTAATCAACTTTAGCAATCAGCCTGTTTTACTGCCTTCTGCCCTGAAGTCTGTTTTTTTCCAAACCCTATGTGGAATGCAGTTACCTTGTTGATTGGAACCAGCTCCTGACAGACCCCAGCAACTTATAGATGAGTCTGAGTGAACTTCCCTTGTTACCATGCTGAAGTCTCCACCTGGGAGAAGCAGTAGCTTCATTACCTTAACATGCAACCTGTGAACTGGCATAATCACTGGCTGCTTCTGCACAACTGGAACCCCTCCTCTACATGTGGTGACGCACCCTCTCCCTATATATTGCCCCATATAATCCTCTTGTCACTTTCCCTCGAGGAGACAGTGCTTTGGAGAATACTCTCAGTGTTCTCCTTACTTGGGCCAGGTAATAAAACTCCTATTGATCAAAACCTTCATTCTTGTGGAGAGTTATTTGTTATCAGGCAAATAAACCCTGTTTTTTGGGGAAAAACAAAATTACTCTAAAACCATAAAGTAAAAAATAAAATAAAAAATTATCAAGACAATAGCTGTTAACAGTTCTGAGAAGATTCGCGAGATTCAGGGGTTTTTGAACTTTTTTTTTAATCATCTAGAATATTTGGGTATACCTAGTAGTTTCTTTCCACAGCATTCAAACACAGGATCTGGGAAAGTAACCTGTATCAGATTTGTTAGATTTTTCTCTAGCTCTCAGAGGGCAAGAACTAAGCCTTCTCGTCAGGGAACTTCCACAAAAGTAAATATTTGATCATGATAATTAAATAAATGTGTAACCCAAGAGTCAAAAACGTGAATCATCAGCATAATAGCTCTGTGCTGCTTCTACCTCTAGTCTGAGAAAATCCACCTTGAAATATTAAAATTGTAAGCAGACAGGGAAGGTCTGCTTACAATAAAAAAAAATTAGGATTTTTTTTATTACAAAAAGACTAATATTAAACTGTAGGAGCAAAAGGAATTTCCTTCCCTCCCTTTTCTGAAGGTTTGATAACTTTATTCTATAAACCAAACTTAAAATAGACAGATTAACAGGAGAAGGGCACACAAATATATTTATACATACATGAACATAGGAGCCTTGCAAACATGAAATTCAAAGGACAGAACAGATGGCTGAAGTTTTTACACCATCCTGAGGGGACAGAAAGATTAGGGGCTTGAGGCTTCTAGAGGAGGGAGGAGGTGGCATTCCAAGAGAATGATGGGAGGAAAGCATGGTGTGAAAACAAGTAATTCAGAATCTAAGCTGTTGGAACTTTCAGATATTTTGAGCCTTAAGGGAATGTGATTATGGGACCTGAGTCATGTGACAGGCAGTTGTAACGCAGGCAGCTGTAATCTTTGTTGTTTTGGTTATCAATTAGCCTTTTCTTTACCTACAGTGTTTTATAAAATGTGGTAAATGACAGAAGGTTGCCAGAGAAGACCCCTTCCCTGTTCACTGTTGATCTTCATTGTAGATTAACTTTCCTCTTTCCTCTCTTACACAAAGACTTCATTACTGTCACATTGTCTAAGATGGAACATTAAATATGCTTTTAAATTGGAAAGGATATGAAAACAAGCTGTTAAAAAAAAGTTAGTTGTAACTCATAAACGAGGCTTATATAGAAAATGTTATAATCCTACTAACTGTCCTTGTTTTCTGCTAATATAAGGAAGAACTTAACTTTTAACTTCAGAGCACTGACCCCATTTCTCAGGAGTCCATGTTTCTTGGATAGTTATTCTCAGCTTTTCACTTAAATAAACTTTTTAAAATTGGGTTCTGATCCTGTCAATTATTTCAGGTTGACAATGGCAAGCAAAGTTTTTCTTATTATGCAGATGAAAGCTCATTGGTAGCAGCTCTTGGTATAGATAGGAGCCTGAGGAAAAAGTTTTAGTCTCCTTTGTTTGTGAGTTAATCTTTTCTAGATGTGGATAAAGGCAGATAAGGGATGGGGCTCAGAGAAAGCCTGTTTGTATTCACTGTCAACTTCACTTATGTAGATTTCCTCTACAGTTGCAAATCTTCCTCACAAAAGGACAGCTTGTAAAAGGTATTCCTATGGTCTGCAGCCTCTCTGAATAGCCACATCAAAATATATTAAAGACATATATTTGAAAGTGGTGTATTTTGGTTTCCTTCAGAATCAAAACACATTAATATTTTTAGGATATAAGAGAATTGCCACTATGCAGTAATCCCTATAGTACTTTGGCAATGATAGGAATATTATTGCCTGTGATGCTACACCTTACTTTTGCTCTCTTTATCTTATGGCACTTGGTGAGCCTTCAGAAGGTTTAAATGAAAAATTGAAAGCAGATGGCCCTTTAAGAGAGACTTTATGTATTAAAAAAATTTTATTTATTTAAAAGAGACTATTGCTTCTGCTATTTCAAGCCACCTTGAAGGGAAGCCTGAACAGTCGATCAACCTGTTGATGGAATGCCAATTTTATTACCATAAAGTAGTGCCTCAGGAAAAACTAATCAGAACTTTCATGAGAAATGCCCCAGATACTCTAGGGTCTATAGTAGCAGAGATCCCTAAACCAATGTTATTTGTTGTGGTTCATTGGCAAGCATTATCTTTAATGAGCTGGGTGAAGGTTTCCAATGTTCTGTATGTGTTTTCACTATGAATGAGACAGGGTTTCACCATCACTTTTTCATCCAAAAGAGATTCATTCATGCCATAAACATACTAGGCACAGGTGATAGAATGGTGGATACATAGGCACAATCTCTCTTCCAGTGAAGTTTATGAAATAATAAAGTGGCAGTTCCCAAAGCTGGGTTCTGGATCAATAACTAAGTTGTTAGAAAAGAAATTTCTCAGGCCCCACTCCAGCCAGACTTCCTGAATCAGTAACTCTGAGGATGGTGCCCAGCAGTCTTTCTTTTTTCTTTCTTTCTTTTTTTTTTTTTTTTTTTGAAACAGAGTCTCACTCTGTTGCCATGCTGGAGTGCAGTGGTGCGATCTCGGCTCACTGCAACCTCCATCTCCAGGTTCAAGAGATTCTCCTGCCTCAGCCTCCCGAGTAGCTGGGACTGTAGGTGTGCACCACCACGACCAGTTAATTTTTGTATTTTTAGTAGAGACGAGGTTTCACCATGTTAGCCAGGATGGTCTTGATCTCTTGACCTCGTGATCCACCCGCCTAGGCCTCAGCAGTCTTTTTTTAAGAGCTTCCAGGTGGGGAGTAAGACTCTTTCCTTTCTGTCTGGTGGCAGCCATCAGGTAGGCCAAGATAGGTGCTTACAAGTACATCCAGGAGCTGTGGAGAAAGAAGCAGTCTGATGTCATGCACTTTCTTCTGAGGGTCCGCTGCTGGCAGTACCCTGCTCTCCACAGGGCTGGCACAGAGTGGCAGCTCTCTGCTCTCCACAGGGCTCCCCGCTCCACCCAGCCCGATAAAGCATGCCGACTGGGCTACAAAGCCAAGCAAGGTTACATTATATATAGGATTTGTGTTCGCCGTGGTGGCTGGAAATGCCCAGTTCCTAAGGCTGTAACTTAACGGCAAGCCTGTCCATCATGGAGTTAACTAGTTAAAGTTTGCCCAAAGTCTTCAGTCCGTTGCAGAGGAGCAAGCTGGACACCACTGTGGGGCTCTAAGAGTCCTGAATTCGTACTGGGTTGGTGAAGATTCCACATACAAATTTTTTGAGGTTATCCTCATTGATCCATTCCATAAAGCTATCAGAAGAAATCCTGACACCCAGTGGATCACCAAACCAGTCCACAAGCACAGGGAAATGCGTGGGCTGACATCTGCAGGCTGAAAGAGCCGCCGCCTTGGAAAGGGCCATAAGTTCCACCACACTATTGGTAGTTCTTGCTGCGCAGCTTGGAGAAGGTGCAATACTCTCCAGCTCCACCGTTACCACTAATATAAGTAAAGTTTGTAAAATTCATACCTAATAAACAATTTAGGGCAGTCATGTCTGCTTACAGGTGTTATTTGTTTGTTAAAACTAGTCTGCAGATTGTTTCATGAATGCTTTGTCAAATTATGAAAGTTAAAGTGCAATAATGTTTGAAGACTGTAAGTGATGGTGTATCTTATTTCTAATATGATAAACTTTTTGTTTTTGCTTTATCTTATTAGGGAGTTATATGTCAGTGGTGTTATGATAGGTTCAAAATAAATTCTTTAAAAGAGGAGTCAAAAAAAAAAAGCTTCCAGGTGATCTGAGACAGGTGCCACTGAAACAATGAAACTAGATATTGAACAAAACATTACAATGTTGTCAATGTAATTAGCAAGAAGAGGAAACCCTTACATCTAAAACACTGGTTTTCAACCACAGCTCTACATAGAAAGATCACTCAGGAAGCTTTAAAAGAATATCTAAGCTGAGAATTCAACCCCAGGGTTTTGCCTGGACTAAGAACTCAAGCATCATTATTCTTAAGAAGATCTCCAGGTGAATCTCATGTGTATCAAAGTTTGAAAAGCATTCAGCTTTGCAACTCAAACTGTGGTCCATGGTCCAGATGCATCATATCACCAGGAAGCTTGTTAGAACGGCAGAATCTCAGGCTCCATCCCAGACCCACTGAACCAGAACCAGCATTTTTAACAAGACCCCCAGGTGATTGCTATATGCATTAAGGCATGAAACACTGGTTTAAAGAGTTTGTGATTAATTCCTCTCTTCTGAGGCATCTGTGCCCCTAATATGAAGTAATAGCACACACATTATCTATCACAGCCTGAGTGTGGTGTGATGTGCCTAGGGCATCTTTGGTTTGTCATGAAACATTTTTTGTGGTTTGTTCAATGCCTGAGAAGAGTTCTCTGGGCATATAAAAATATTCCTATTAAAGATGTTTCTTTGGTTTCTAAACCAAAGAGGCATATAGTAATATGGTCCCATAGCCATTTGGGGGTGATTTTAAATAGAAAATTAGAGGGTTTCTTTACAAGCCTTACATGCAACTTGTAAGTCAAGGAATGTGTCTGGTATTTATCTCTATCTGGTAGTGCACTCTATTGTGTACTACCCAAGGATCAAGGTACTAACTAAGGCTAAGTTGTTGATTTCACTAGCTCTTTTAGTCATGCTTATTTTTATAGTAACCGTGCAAGCAAAATATTATTATGCCCATTTTTTCATAAGAAAACGGAGGTCCAGAGGATTACATTGCCTAAAGTCATTCAACTAATAGATGGCTAAGCAATAATTAATTCAAACTAAGCCACTGAGACCCCAAAGATCAAAATCTTTTCACTACTCCAACTAGATTGCTTTAATTCTGTAAGTTTTAGTGAAGCATCACATATATCCCCTCCTTTATACATCCTCTAAAATGTATAAAACGTTCCTCGTCTTCCTATGAATAAATGATAATTGATCGTAACTTTTCCAAACTATCTCTTGTCATCTGCTGTCATGCCAGATACCCTGCACTTGGTCCCAAGGTGTCATTCATCTAATTAAAATGCTTATTTTTGGAATAGTCAATTTTGAGTGTTAATAAACTATAGGCAAATTTGATGAGATATGGCATATTTTGGAATCAGATAAAGAACATTTATATGCCATTTCTGGTTCTTTCCTTATCTCTACCAAATTAATTCCATTATAAGCCTTGTCTGGCTACAGAATATTGAACTTTGGTTGTCTGTGTCTGTTTATAAATTAAAAGTATGACTTTAGAGTTTGCACATTATTCTGTACTTGATGTATATATGAAGAAAGCAGCAAAATTAAAGTAATAAAGCCTGTCTTTAAAAGGCATTTAGTTACTGTAGTTCTCTTTGGTGGAAAATGACCTTGGCTGCCTCTTTCATGCATCCTTGCATTTGGCTTAGGATGCATAATTCATACAGCAATCAATTAGCTGACTGTAGAGCCTGCAACAAGAGGGAATATTTCATATAAATCATTGCTGGCTAAATTGCTGAGACAATTAATAAAGTAGGAAATCTGTGGACATTAATTTGTAGGCAGCACAAGTTCATCAAAAGCAAATCAGTTTCCTACATATCTTGGAAAGAAATTGCACACAAAGAAAACACCAGATATCTTTTAGTCACCATTTATTAGGAAGGGTTTGATCAAGATTATATCATTTGTTGTTTTTATGAATGTGAACAAGTGCCTAACATAAGTGGCTCATTATGTTAGGTGGCTCATATATTTATTTGGCTTAGGGTACTCAATCAACAATGCCTTTGTATGAATTAAAATACAGCAATCAAATAAGTGTCCCTGCTTGTGCGGCATCTGTAATCTAGCACAGGGATCCTGAAAGTTAAATCTCTTGGAGGCCATGAGGGTTCACAGGGTGGCCAGCACATTTCTCCAAAATGCAAATCATCTCAGCATTCATTACTTGAGCTTCCAATGCTATTTCATCAATTACTTTTATGTGAATTCCACGTAATTTCAATAACTTCAATTTGCCTGTTTCATAGAAAGAAGTTTGCTTTTGACATGTATGCTGTCCTTTTTTATTTTTAAGATATTGCTAAAAAATATTTTCAAATCACATTAAGAACACAACAACATCTTTATAAATGACTGATTGCTCAGAGATGTCACATATGTGTTATTTTTATTAAATGAGAAATAAATGTAGTGGCCTTCATATACAGGTAAATGGTTATAATTTGGCTGCACATCAGAGTCACTGGAAGAACTTTTAAAACTTAGCTATGCCTGAGCCCGATCTCCTGTAGCTATTCATTCAATTAGTCTAGTCTAAGGCCGAGCAGTATTTTTTTAACTCCCAAGTTGAGTTGAATGTGCAGGCGAGTTTGGGGGACACATTTATTGATTGCATGGTATTGTATAGGGCAATGTGTCTCAAACTTGAAGCTGCATACACGTCACCTGCAATGTCTTGTTTACTTTTGGATTTTTATTCAGTAGGCTCAGGGTTAGAGCTGTGTGTCCACAACTCTAACTTTGGTTAACTTGAACTTTGGTTGTCTGTGTCATTCTGATTTTGCCGTAGGTGCTCCTGCTACTACCAGGCCATGCCATACCTGTTTGCAGGCTACTCTGACAGGCCTGATGACTGCCTCCTTTCCTTTGGCTCCCTTGTCTTTCATCCCAAGAGTATGCACCCTTCACCCACATGGTTTCTCTATTTCCTCTAAGTCAGTGGTTGCTTAGGCTGCCAGAAGCACTGGCCCTCATTCACATTACCTCCTCCCTACCGCAGAAAAGAGCTGGAAGTTTTTTGTTTTTTCTTTAAACAGAAGGCCTCTGGGCTTGGGTTACCATGCACACTAAAGTAGAGTACTGAAAATGAAGATTAAATGATGCCCTTGTACTGAAGGCTGATATTCTCCCAGCATTCCTCTTCCTTCATCAGCTACTCTAGTACTGGCAGCCAAGTCTTTACCCTGTAGGCAGGATGCTGGATGCATCTTCTCTGGGAGGCAGCACAAGAGAAAAGACCTAAAGAGATGAATATAAGGGGCTGCTCCAAAAAGCAACTAACCCAGATTTTCCTGCAGTGAATCTACAATCACCCAGTCCCACCTACCTGTTTATAGCTTCCTACAGCCTTTCCCACTACTCTTAAATCACAGGTTACAAAAGGATGGAGGGAGTCTTCTCATAAGAAAGATAAAAATTTTAATTTTAAAAACAAGAACAAAAATAAAAAAAAATTTGGAAGCAATAGACCATACAAAGAGGAAAAAAAATTTAAACAAAATTAAAATATTATCAATATTCCCAGAGATGGATATGACACCAAAATAACAGGAAACAAGAGCAAAAATGGACAAGTGGGACTAAACCAAAACAAAAAATGTTGTGTAGCAAAAGAAACAATCAAAGTGAAAAGGCAACCTAGAGAAAGGGGAAAAATATTTGCAAACTGTATCTGATAAGGGGTTAATATGTAAAATATATAAAGAACTCCTACAAACAAATAGCATGAAGAACAAATGACACAAGTTTTAAAATGGGCAATAGACTCACAGACTTGCAGAGTCATTTCTCCAAAGAAGACATACAAATGGCCAACAGGTATATGAAAAGATGCTCAACATCACTAATCATCAGAGAAATATAAATCAAAAACACAGGGAGATATCACCTCATACCTACTAGGGCAGCTATTATCAGAAAAACAAACTAGCAAATATTGGCAGGAATGTGGTGTAATTAGAATCCTTGTGAACTGCTGGCATCAGTGTCAAATGCTACAGCCACTGTGAAAAACAATAAATAATTTCCTCAAAAATTTAAAAATAGAGTAGTCCTATGATCTAGCAATCCCACTTGTGGTATATATCCAAATCAATTGAAAATAGGATCTCAAAGAGATATTAGCATTCCCATGTTTTTTGTAGCATTATTCACAATAGCCAATAGGTAGAAACAACTTAAATGTCCATTGACGGATGAATGGATTAAGAAAATAATACAACAAATTATTATTCAGCCTTAACAGTGAAGGAAGTCCTGTTATAGGCTACAACACAGATGATCCTTGAAGACATAATGCTAAGTGAAATGAGCCAGTAGCAGAAGGACAAATACAGCTGATTCCATTTATATGAAGTCTAAAGTATTCAAACTCATAGAAAAAAAGTAAAATGGTGGTTGCCAGAGGCTGGGAAGAGGGAGAAATGAGGAGTTGCTATTTGTAATGGATAATTTTATGTGTCAGCTTGAGTGGGCCACAGAGTGCCCAAGCCTGGCCACTGTCAGACTGGAACTTATATCCTCAGTTCTCCTGGCTCTCAAGCTTGTAGGATGCAGATCTTGGGACTTGTCAGCCTTCATAATCATGTGAACCAACTTCTTTTCATAGATCTCTTTATGTATATCTGTCATTTGGTGCTGTTTCTCTGGAGAATATCAACTAATATGCAATTTAATGTGTACAGAGTTTCAGTCATGCAAGATGAAAACCTTCTGGATATCTAGAATGTGCAGACAGTTAACACTACTGTATACTGAAAAGTTTGTTAAGAGGGTAAATTCCATGTTATGCGATTTTTCCATAAGAAAAAAAATCTCAGAAAGATACAAAAAGATGTAGTAATCATGAAATATGAATGGTTGGTTTTATTTTTTAAAGAAATACAGAGGTTAGAAAATAAAACCAAGGACATTTCTCAGGAAATAGAGCAAAATATGAAGGAGACAAAAGAGAAAGGATAAAAAAATTAGAGGATCAGTTAGGTAAGTCTAATATCTTACTAACTGGCATTCCAGAAGAGAAAACAATGATAGAAATGATGATATTATCTAAAAAATAGAAAATTTTCCAGAACTAACTGACTTATGTTTCCAAATTGAAAATATACTCCAAGTGCCCCACCCCTTGTATTATGAATGAAAATAGGCTCATGCCAAGAGAACCATCATGAAATTTCAGAACACTGGGCAAAGAGGAGACTCCAAGCTTGCAGGGGATGGTGCAGAGGGGGGAAATGATATATAAATATTCAGGGTTGGGCACAGTGACTCACATCTGTAATCCCAGCACTGTGGGAGGCTGAGGCAGGAGATCACCTGAGGTCAGAAGTTCTAGACCAACCTGGGCAACATGGTGAAACTCTGCCTCTACTAAAAATACAAAAATTAGCTGGGCGTGGTGGTACGTGCCTGTGGTCCCAGCTACTCAGGAGGCTGAGGCAACAGAATCACTTGAACCCAGAAGGCGGGGGTTGAAGTGAGCCAAGAACATGCCACTGCACTCCAGCTTGGGCAACAGAACAAGACTCCATCTCAGAAAAAATAAAATAAAATGAATTTTCAACTTGAATCAAGAAAGTAGCCATATTCCTTTCCCTTGCTAACAAAAACACAACCTTTATATCAAATGACTTTGGACTTCTAAACAGTTTCATTAGAAGCAGGATAATGATAGAAAAATGCTACAAAAATTACAAAGAAAAATGTTTTCCAGTTGCATTAGCTTTCTGTGGCTGTTGCAACAGAAGTATGCTCAACAAGTTGAGTATCCCCAATCCAAAAATCCAAAATCCAACATGCTCCAAACTTTGAAACTTTTTGAGCACTGATGTGATGCTCAAAGGTCATGCTTAAAGGGAATTCTCACTGAAGTATCTCATATTTTTTTATTTTCAGATTAGGAATATTCAACCAGTATGTATATTCAAATATTCCAAAATTTGAAAAAATCCCACATCCAAAACACTCCTAATCCCAGGGATTTCAAATAAGGGATACTCAACCTATAGCACAAACTGGGCGGCTTAAAACACCAGAAATTTATTCTTTAAAAGTTCTGGAGCCCAGAGGTCTGAAATAAATTGCAGGGCTATGCTCCACCCCAGGGAAAATCTGTTTCTTGCTACTTTCAGCTTCTGGTGGCTGCCCATATTCCTTGGCTTGTGGCTACATCCATCCAATCTCTGCCTCTGTGGTCACATTGTTTTCTCCTCTTCTGTCTGCATCAAATGTCCCTCTGCCTCTCTCTTACAGGGATTACGTGATTGCATTTAGGGACCACCATTATAATCCAGGGTAATCTCCCCATCTCAAGAGCCTTCACTTAATCACATATACAAAGACCTTTTCCTTATAAGGCACTATCTTCAGGTTCTAGGGATTAGGATCTGATATATTTGGGTGGTCACTAGTCAGTCTACAACATCAGCTAAGCTCTCAATGGTAAAGATAGGAGTATTTCTAATCTGCCAGTCTCAAAGACATTTGCTTCCTAATCACTCTTCTCAGGAAACTTCACAAGGATGGGTTCCATTTAGCAAGAAAGAGAAACACCAGGGATACAGAAACAGCAAATCCAACACAAAGGGAGGTGACAGGATTTCCGGTATACAGTAAGAGCAAGGGCCAGAATAAGTTTTGTGTACCAGCCAGGACAACCAGTACAGATGCGTGCTCTGGAGAAGGCATCTGAACAAGTTGGAGCTAATAGAAAACAGGAGATTGATGACTAGCAGAGAGTTTGGGGTATAATACATACATAACTTCAAGTAAAATAACTAATACAAAATTGGTATTATCCATAAGCATTGGCAAAAATGAAGGAAAATTTTCCTACCACAATCCTAAGTAGATGTTCAAAATAAAGTCTAACTCACCCCAGCATATTGTATGTTCTTTTTAATCAAATAGATAGCATTGGTATATAAGAAGTAAACACTGCAATTATTAGCTTCTTCTCCTAGAAATAATACAAAATGCGTAACTGAGACAAAGACTATGTAAAAAGTGAATAATCATAGTACCCAGGGTTTTTTTCATTAATGAAACCAGTAAAAATATAGAGTAGATTGATATTTCTGACTGCTTTTTACAAAGTTTGAATATTCTAAGATAAGAAAGTAGACAAAGGAGACAAAGAGAAATTTAGATGAACACACAGATAAAGGAGAGAAGTCTCTCCTAGTTTGCCACATGTAGGAAATAAATACTGATGTCTTCAATATTTCTTTTATATATATATATTTATTATACTTGAAGTTCTAGGGTACATGTGCACAACGTGCAGGTTTGTTACATATGTACACATGCACCATGTTGGTGTGCTGCACCCATTAACTCGTCATTTACATTACGTATATCTCCTAATGCTGTCCCTCTCCCCTCTTCCCACCCCACAACAGGCCCTGGTGTGTGATGTTCCCCTTCCTGTGTCCAAGTGTTCTCATTGTTCAATCCCCACCTATGAGTGAGAACATGCAGTGTTTGGTTTTTTGTCCTTGCGATAGTTTGCTGAGAATGATGGTTTCCAGCTTCATCCATGTCCCAGAAAGGACATGAACTCATCCTTTTTTATGGCTGCATAGTATTCCATGGTGTATATGTGCCACATTTTCTTTGTTTTTTTTTTTTTGGCATTTTTAATTTAGGTTTGTTTTATTTAAGTTTAATGCTAATTCCATGCTGTGTTTCAGTAAGAACAATAAAGATTCTGTATCTGTGGTTCCAGTCAGATATCCAGGAGTACAAATTAGCTTCAAGTTACACATACTGAATAAAAGAGATTGAGCGAGCGAAGGAGGGGAGGAATGAGGGGAAGGAGGTAGTGGGAGGGGGAAGGAGAAGAAACAAAGAATTGAACAGGCATGCAGGCTTTTCCATACCACCTTCAACGCTAACCTGCTTCAGTGGGAGAGTAAAGTAGGCAAGAATGAGCAGCCATGGATGGTTGAACTGTTATCGGCACCATGCTTTTCAGCAACATTTCAGCACAGTTTGAAACATTTTTTACAGCAAAACCATTACAACTCCCTCCCCAAACGACCTGTAACCATCTCAGGCTAACACCCAATTACTTTCAAACATTGGTATAAAATACAGTTTAAACAATTAGAAAAATGAAAACTGATACCACTTATGCCTCTATAGTGTGATTAACCTCTCTTAGATGCTTGCATTACCTAGAAGTCTAATGGCTTTCAAATGTAATTTCCATTTCTAATGGTGATCTTGCCACATCTGGCACAGAGACAACACAGTAATGCTGAAAAAGCCTCCATGCAGTCCTGTTAGTGTCTTAAAGAACCTAAAAGCTGGGACCAGTAAAATCCACAGAAATTCACTCTTGCCTTTAAGAACTTTTGAAAACTGTTTTTTTAAAAAAAAAAAAAAACAGGGAAGGAACCTAAATTCTGAGACCAAATGTAAAAGTCAGATTTGGTGGTTCTCAGTGACAATGGGGAGTTTCCAAGGGGTGGGATGGGGAGGAGGGGGTGGTCAGAGATGGTTTCTCTTGTTGGCTTATGTCTCCCTGATTTTTGTCTTCCACGTCCTGCAGCACTTCTTTATTCTGCTCTTCACCATCACCCTGCATATCTGAAGTCCATAGTGTCAGATTATCACGTAACAACTGCATGATAAGTTTACAGTCCTTATAGCTTTCTTCACTCAGCGTATCCAGTTCTACAACTGCATCATTGAAAGCTGCTTTTGCCAACCTGCAAGCACGGTCAGGGGAATTAAGAATTTCGTAGTAGAATATGGAAAAATTGAGAGCAAGACCTAAGCGAATAGGATGCGCTGGTGGAAGTTCTGTCATTGCAATATCACTAGCAGCTTTATAAGCCACTATGCTGTTCTTCGCAGCCTCCTTCCTGTCATTTCCTGTGGCAAATTCTGCCAGATACCTGTGGTAGTACCATTTCGTTTTATAATAGAAAACCTTGGACTCGCCAGTGTTAGCTGCTGCAATCAGATGTTTGTCCAGTACATCCAGAATGTCACAACAGATTAACTTTAGCTCAGTCTCAACCATTTGCTGATATTCCCGAATCATTTCTAGCTTGTTTTCTCCTCCCTTGTTTTCTTCTTTCTGTTCAATGCTGCTGATTATTCTCCAGGAGGTTCTTCTAGCTCCAATCACATTCTCATATGCAACAGATAGGAGGTTTCTTTCTTCATCTGTCAGCTCCACATCCATCCCTGCTACTTTCTTCATTGACTCCACCATTTCATCGTATCACTCAGCCTGCTCGGCCAGCTTCGCCTGGTACACCAGATCCTCTCGATCATCCACAGCAGCAGTGGCTCCAGCAGGGTCTGCGTGACTGATGGAAGTGGATAGTGTCTCTAACTCTCTCAGCCTCTCGCTCCGCGTCCAGGCCTATATGCCACATTTTCTTAATCCAGTCTATCATTGTTGGACATTTGGGTTGGTTCCAAGTCTTTGCTATTGTGAGTAGTGCCGCAATAAACACACGTGTGCGTGTGTCTTTATAGCAGCATGATTTATATTCCTTTGGGTATATACCCAGTAATGGGATATCTGGGTCAAATGGTATTTCTAGTTCTAGATCCCTGAGGAATCGCCACACTGACTTCCACAATGGTTGAACTAGTTTACAGTCCCAACAACAGTTTAAAAGTGTTCCTATTTCTCCCCATCCTCTCCAGCACCTGTTGTTTCCTGACTTTTTAATGATCGCCATTCTAACTGGTATGAGATGATATCTCATTGCGGTTTTGATTTGCATTTCTCTGATGGCCAGTGTTGATGAGCATTTTTTCATGTGTCTGTTGGTTGCATAAATGTCTTCTTTTGAGAAGGGTCTGTTCATATCCTTCCGCCACTTGTTGATGGGGTTGTTTGTTTTTTTCTTGTAAATTTGTTTGAGTTCTTTGTAGATTCTGGATATTAGCCCTTTGTCAGATGAGTAGATTGCAAACATTTTCTCCCATTCTGTAGGTTGCCTGTTCACTCTGATGGTAGTTTCTTTTGCTGTGCAGAAGCTCTTCAGTTTAATTAGATCCCATTTGTCAATTTTGGCTTTTGTTGCCATTGCTTTTGGTGTTTTAGACATGAAGTCCTTGCCCATGCCTATGCCCTGAATGGTATTGCCTAGGTTTTCATCTAGGGTTTTTATTGTTTTAGGTATAACATTTAAGTCTTTAATCCATCTTGAATTAATTTTTGTATAAGGTGTAAGGAAGGGATCCAGTTTCACCTTTCTACATATGGCTAGCCAGTTTTCCCAGCACCATTTGTTGAATAGGGAATCCTTTCCCCATTTCTTCTTTTTGTCAGGTTTGTCAAAGATCAGATGGTTGTAGATGTGTGGTATTATTTCTGAGGGCTCTGTTCTGTTCCATTGGTCTATATCTCTGTTTTGGAAGCAGTACCATGCTGCTTTGGTTACTGTAGCCTTATAGTATAGTTTGAAGTCAGGTAGCGTGATGCCTCCAGCTTTGTTCTTTTGGCTTAGGATTGACTTGGCAATGCAGGCTCTTTTTTCTTTCCATACGAACTTTAAAGTAGTTTTTTCCAATTCTGTGAAGAAAGTCATTGGTAGCTTGATGCGGATGGCATTGAATCTATAAATTACCTTGGGCAGTATGGCCATTTTCACGATACTGATTCTTCCTATCCATGAGCATGGAATGTTCTTTCATTTGTTTGTGTCCTCTTTTATTTCTTTGAGCAGTGGTTTGTAGTTCTCCTTGAAGAGGTCCTTCACATCCCTTGTAAGTTGGATTCCTAGGTATTTTATTCTCTTTGAAGCAAAACTACCATCAGAGAATACTATAAACACCTCTACCAAATAAACTAGAAAATCTAGAAGAAATGGATAAATTCCTTGACACATACACCCTCCCAAGACTAAACCAGGAAGAAGTTGAATCTCTGAATAGACCAATAACAGTTTCTGAAATTGAGGCAATAATTAATAGCTTACCAAGCAAAAAAAGTCCAGGACCAGACAGATTCACAGTTGAATTCTACCAGAGGTACAAGGAGGAGCTGGTACCATTCCTTCTGAAACTATTCCAATCAATAGAAAAAGAGGGAATCCTCCCTAACTCATTTTATGAGGCCAGCATCATCGTGATACCAAAGCCTGGCAGAGACACAACAAAAAAAGAGAATTTTAAACCAATATCCCTGATGAACATCGATGTAAAAATCCTCAATAAAATACTGGCAAACCGAATCCAGCAGCACATCAAAAAACTTATCCACCATGATCAAGTGGGCTTCATTCCTGGGATGCAAGGCTGGTTCAACATATGCAAATCAATAAACGTAATCCAGCATATAAACAGAACCAAAGACAAAAACCACATGATTATCTCAATAGATGCAGAAAAGGCCTTCGACAAAATTCAACAGCCCTTCATGCTAAAAACTCTCAATAAATTAGGTATTGATGGGACGTATCTCAAAATAATAAGAGCTATTTATGACAAACCCACAGCCAATATCATACTGAAAGGGCAAAAACTGGAAGCATTCCCTTTGAAAACTGGCACAAGACAGGGATGCTCTCTCTCACCACTCTTATTCAACACAGTGTTGGAAGTTCTGGCCAGGGCAATCAGGCAGGAGAAAGAAATAAAGGGTATACAATTAGGAAAAGAGGAAGTCAAATTGTCCCTGTTTGCAGATGACATGATTGTATGTCTAGAAAACCCCATTGTCTCAGCCCAAAATCTCCCTAAGATGATAAGCCACTTCAGCAAAGTCTCAGGATACAAAATCAATGTGCAAAAATCACAAGCATTCTTATACACCAATAACAGACAAACAGAGAGCCAAATCATGAGTGAACTCCCATTCACAATTGATGTCTTCAATATTTCTTACTGCCCCTTGCCTTGCTATCCTCTTTCAAGACTCTCCGTTAAGGAGCAATGCTTTTTTGACAATGGTGGGGGTTGAAAGATGTGAAACGGTTAAAGCAAAACTGCCGCTACTCCTGCTGACCCACTCCGCAAAATCCCTAAATTCAGAAAGTGCATTCAATCCAGGCCACGATAGCTCATTTCTAATATTTCACTTTCCCTTAAGAGAAATATGTATCAAAAGAAAATGAATCTAGCCTTTTGACTAAAGCTGCCTTCACTGACACTGAGAGTTTGTATTGCCTCTCTTTTGGTGCCCCAGAGATTTCAATATGCAGCGTTCCACATTAAGAATCAGAATGAATGAGAGGAACACCTTCTTTTATTTGTTTTCTTTTGCTTGTAAAGAAAAAGAAGAGTGATTGTGAAAATGGAAATGGAGAGGAGAAACAGAGGGATGACTCACCTGCAGACATGTTCCTGAGGGAGGTCATCTGGAGGAAAAATTCATATGGGTGTTGTGGATCCGGAAATGGACTTGTTTAAACTCTCAATGTGCATGGTACACCTTCTTGCACATCCAAGGACCCATGTACCTCAGTTGGAAGCTTGGTGGTTTGGAGAAAGTTCCTGGTTCAACAAAGGTTAGGAAGCGGGGAGGTTTCAAGACCTGGAAGTGGAATCTAGACTACAGGGAGCCGGGAAAGAGTAGAAGGAGAGGAAGCTGGGAGTAGACAGTTGCAAAACCCTCTCAGTTCTCTTAGGCCATACTAAGAATGTTGGTCTTTACCCTAAATCAGTGGGAATCCCTTGAAGTAAATAAAGGTAGAACAAGATCAGATTGACATCTTAAAACAGAATAAAATATGGACTTCATTAGGAAGTACAGGCAGAAGGGAATAATTAAGAGGCTTTTAATTATGGGAGTCAGTCCAGGGAAGAATAGTGGAAGTGGTAATGGAGAGAATCAGACAGGCTTAACAGATATTTAGAGAATATAATTGATAGAAATGGATGAATTATTGGATATTGGAAAGATGAAGACGAAGGTGTCCAAAAACGATTTCTGGGTTTCTAGTTTGCAGGTCTCGAGAATTTTTCATTATTATTATTTTTTTTTCTGAAAAACCTATAATTGATATAATGGGAAATAAAAAATAAATTTTTAAAAAGAATAAACAAAAATCTTCAAAAATAGTATCTATATTTAATATCATGTTTACAATGTGATCATAGATAAGATAATAATTTTTAAATGAGAAGACTGATATTTGATAACCTGCAAAATGTATTTTTAAAAAACCAGGTGTTACACTCTAAGTATCTTGCTTTTGAAATATAACATTGGCGACTAGTTGTGGTGGCTCACGCCTGTAATCCCAGCACTTTGGGAGGCTGAGGGGGGTGGATCACTTGAGGTCAGGAGTTCGAGACCAGCCTGGCCAACATGGTGAAATCCTGTCTCTACTAAAATACAAAAATTAGCTTGACTTGGTGGCACGTGCCTGTAATAACAGCTACTCGGGAGGCTGAGGCAGGAGAATCGCTTGAACCTGGGAGGCAGAGGTTGCAGTGAGCTGAGATTGCAGCACTGAACTCCAGCCTGGGTGACAGAGTGAGACTCCATCTCAAAAAATTTAAAATTTAAAATATAAAAATCAAAAGCAAGATAACATTGGCTATATCTCAAATGGCACCAATGCCATTATCCTTCCACTACAACCCTCATAGCAAGACCATTTCTTCAGTGAATAGTAGGCCTCCCAGCGTAAAAAATCAGCTCTGAATGCGTAGAGAAAGTAACTAAATTCAACATCAGTGTTATTTTTTGACCTATGCAACTGTCACCATATGAAACTGAAAATAATATGTATTATCAAATTCTCTACTTTCTTGCATAGTTCATGTGATCCAAAGAATCAAATACCACATTGCTGAAAACACACCATCAATTCTCATGTGGTTATTTTGCAATTCAGTTTCTTTTTCTCTACTTTTACGTAACACATAAAATTTTCATATAGTTGAAATGAACTGTGCAGAGGAAAAGGTAAATGCCAGCAGGCATCTAAATATTGTAGCATCTGTTATATTTTACACTCTGTAATCACAAATTTTATAAGGCTTCATTGCATTTGAGGTTGGATTCTTCACAAATTATTGAAGATTGATAGCTGCAGTAATTGTCATTACACTTATATTTTATTATATCGAATTACATAAACTTCTACCTTTTTGTGATATTTTTCTAGAGAACAATTCATGATGTCTGCTTTGTATTTTCTTGTAAATGTGTAAAATTTATATGATGTGAAATTAGCATCTTCCAATTAAGGTATCCCAAATTTGGAGGGTGTGTGTATGTGTGTGTGTGTGTATGTGTGTATGTGCACATGTGCTAGTATATGTGTGCCCAGATTTGAACATGTGTGTGCATGAGTGCATGTGTGTAGCATTGCTAATTATGAAAAAGCCTTTTCTAGATAATTAAAAACAATGCCTTTCTTTTAAGTTTTAGACCTCTAAGTTAACATGATCTTTTTCTCTCTTTTTAACCACTTATTAGAGTTCATCTCATCTGCTTACTTTCAAGGTTAACAGTTATTAAGCATCTACTGTGCACTTGGTACTATTCTAGTATTACTATGGAAATAAACTCTTGTAAAACCTCATTTAACTTAAAAAAGACCCATATGTGATAGGTAAAATTAACTTCATTTTATAGACAAGGAGAAGTCTCAGAGAAAGCTACTAACTTTGCCCAGTGCTATTTAATCAGGTCTCTAACATTGGTCTACCTCAGGGCCACTGCATCTAGTCGCCCATGTTGTGTATCGCACAACTCCAGGAATGCCACTCACAGAGCCTATTATATATATGGCACCCCTTGGAGCTTTCCAGTGCTACAACCCTAAATCTGTCTTGAAAATCTAATATATTTTTTACTGCACTATTTTACCACCTCACTAACTCATTCATATTAAAGTAGCAGGAGTAGAATATAGTTGGGTAAAAAAAATAAGAAGAGTCAAGTTTCACATTGCACTTCTTGAAAACACCACAAATGTTTCTCCATAATTATTTTACATTATTCAATCCTTAAAGCAACAACTCTCTCATATTTCCATTCTTATACAAAAAAGTAATTTATGATCATGTGTAAATAACCTAAGTACAAGCTAAACTATCATTATGGACTGCCTTCATATACTATGTACTGTGAAAGTTTTTATTATGACGGCATGAACAAACTAGCCTGAAATGATCTTTTGACACTCAGAATGAGTCATGTATTGATACGCAGGCTGGCACTCATTTGAGCAGGAAGTATGCCTCCCAAGCATCTTAATCTACTTATAAACTTCTACCTTAATTCAAAATTGTACATCTCTAAATGATTATACCGTACATAGAGTATGCTTTCCAAAGAAAAGACGTATTAAAATAGTGAACATCTGCAGAGACATGGTTAAATGAGCAAAGACAATTTGAAAGCATTTGCTGTCCTAATTCCTAGCAAGTTGACAGACAATGCCCCAAAACTCTCTATTGGATCCAGAATAAACTAATAAGCTAATCAGAGCATAACAAGCCTTTGCTAAGTGATTTCATAAGAGAACTGTAAGTATGTTTAAGCAGCACTCATGGGCATTTCTCACTAAACTTGCAAACTCATTCTGAGAAATATTGTTAAATATTGTAAATCCATGGAGTATACTATTCTCACTAGTGATTAGGGCTCTAGGGTACAGAGTAAAATGAAGAGGTATATAATTTCCCCCTGTGAACTCACAATGAAGTTCTTTCTAAGTGTCTCCTCAAAACTTCTGATCTTTAAGCTGTAGCATTGAGGTACCATTTACCTAGTTATTAATGAGGACTCTTCAGGGACTTATGACCATGAACAATTTGGTCATAGCTCTCTTAAAATGTTAAAAGTTCTTTTCTTAGGAAAAATCCTTTAGTTCAAGAATTTGTTGAATATCAAGTTTATGAGGCAAATCTAGAAAATTCTGTAGGAATACGGCAATTTGCTAATCAAAGTTATTATGTCATGCCTAAGGGAGCTTGTAATTCATGAAGCTGTCAGGATTCATAGCAATCAGTAAACAGAAAATTATTCTCATAAATAAATATTAATAATTAAGAAATATAAAAAGTGGTTTTCAAAATATCTAGTGACTGCACAAGCATTTGAGTTACTTTCATCTCCTTTGAGTGTTTTATTTCTCTTACGAGAATTATAAGCTGTATCAGTATCATGACCAAATATAAGAAAACCTTCTAGATCAAATTAACAATAGCAGATATAGTCTATTGCTGTATAGACAAAATAAGAATCACAGTAGAACAATTCTAAATAAATTATGGCTCTCTGTGTTCTCTAAATTAATAAAATGAAAATTTTAAAAATTTAGAAAAACCTATCAAGGTATTCCAATCCCCCTCCTCCTCTTCCTTTTTCTTCTTTCATTTTAGTTTTAAATTCAAGTTATAATCCAAGAAGAAATATGTATTTCTTGCTGTCCATTTTCATGCTGCTGATAAAGACATACCTTAGAGTGGGCAATTTACACAAGAAAGACGTAAGATTTGGACTTACAGTTCCACATGGCCGAGGCCTCACAATCATGGTGGAAAGCAAGGAGGAGCAAGTCATATCTTTGTGGATGGCAGCAGGCAAAGAGAGAGCTTGTGTAGGAAAACTCCCGCTTATAATAACCATCAGATCTTGTGATACTTACTCACTATCATGAAAATAGCATGGGAAAGACCTGCCTGCATGATTCAATTACCTCCCACCAGGTCCCTGCCACAACACGTGGGAATTTAAGATGAGATTTGGGTGGGGACATAGCCAAAACATATCAAAATATAAACCTTTTTTCCCTCTACAATTATATAGAACTTAATTTCATAGCTTTTTTACATTTTAATTATTCAAAACTCAGAATGGTAAAAAGGTATTAAGACTTTTTGCTGTTAATAAATTAGTAAATATTGTAGATTTCAAACTTTTTCTTTATGTTTATTCTTCCTTATTTAAGGAAAAAGGAGAAAAATAGATCATATCATGTGAGAAAGAAAGAAAGAAAAAAAAACCCTAAACCTCTCCCTAAACATGAAAGTTTTCTTCAAAAGATAGAAAACTCCCTTAGAAGTATATTCAAGCAGTCACAGTCAGAGTTGTGTCCACTTCTTCCCACTGGTACTTTATACAATATGTCTTTTTGAATTTTCTTAAAATGATTCTAATGTTATTATTTCTCAATGTTCTATCTTTGAATCATCAGAGAGCCTTTTCATCTGAACTATTTCATGACTGCAAATATTTAGAGAGTAAATTCATTTCAAGCCCATGGATATCACTTTTCATGCTGAAAAATCATCCAAAGCATGTCCAAGTTAATTTATTTTCCTGTTTTTGACACAAGGTGCCCATCTCTATGAGGAAACTTGACTAATGACCAATTTACAGAGTTTATGCTGTAACAGCCCATACTGCCTTTATATTTTGCCTCTTTCCAAAGGATGGAAGAATCTAAAAAAATAACCCATCGTAGAGACAAGTACATTTTATAGCAGAAAGGTATACCTCACTGGTATTAAAAATCATGTCTAAAACCTGTAACTTTGTTCCATCTGGTGAAACAACCTTACGTTCTTCTCCACAGGCCAGTGATCACTTTGCTGCAAGCTCGGGAAGGATATTTCTTACGAATGTGATAAACTTTCTCTTCACTATTGACTCTTCTCTCTCTCCCTTATCTGATAATGCACAGAGAGGCTTCCTTAACCTATACATACACATAAATGAACATGTCCATATGGTTTGCAGGGAGAACTAGGCAATTTGGATGCACCTGAAATACAGACCAATTCAGCATGTCCAATATTCATTCCAATAACGTCATATTCTCATCATTGCACCAACTTCCCTTTCCAAAAACCTTTTACTGTTATTAGTGTTACCATCTTATCAACCAGAGAGTGAGCACCACAGGGAGGAGGTAGCATGTTTACTGTGTTCACCACTGGAATCCCAGCAGTCAGCACAGAACACTGTTGCCTTACACACAGATGATCCTCAACAAAGTATTGAATGGCAGACCAATTTTCTTAGTCACTGAGACTTAAAACCTTATCAACATAGCAGTCAAGGTTAGATAGCAAGACTAGTGACCCTACCATCAAAAGGCCTGGTTTCTATTTTAGAGTCTAACATTATATAAATGCTTGACTTCAGGCAAACTGCTTACCCTCAATAGAGCTGAAAATTTGGGGCATAGGAGAATGGAGGCAGTCAAGCAACTAAATAGTTCATTAAGAGAATTAATTCATTGAAATATTCAAAAATATTCATTGACTATAAGATTTATTCTCTTCCTAAATGTTCCATATATAGGCAATAAGTCAATATAGTTTACCTTCAAAATGTTATTTGTATCTATCTGTTTTTCCCTGTTCCTGTTGCTAATCTCCTGAGAGCTGGCTTGTACCACCTCAGGTGTGAATTAACAAATTCTCCATAGCATAGCAGAAGAATTTTCCTTAAGCTTCTTTAGGCATGATGATTTTGCAATGCTAGCATGCACAAGAACCTGGGATGCTTGTTATAAAGACCCATTCCCAAGACACATCTCCACAGACTTTGATGGGGCATGCCCAGGATTCTCCAGCTGCAGCAGGTAGTCTGCAGAGGACATCCTGAGAAACTTCTTTTTTTTTTTTTTTTTTTTTGAGATGGCGTCTCGCTCTGTTGCCCAGTCCAGAGTGCAGTGGCACAATCTTGGCTCCCTGCAACTTCCACCTCCTGGGTTTCAAGAGATTTTTCTGTCTCAGCCTCACGAGTAGCTGGGATTAGAGGTGTGCGCCACCATGCCTGGCTGATTTTTGTATTGTTAGTAGAGGTGAGGTTTCACTATATTGACCAGGCTGGTCTCGAACTCCTGTTCTCAGGTGACCCACCTGCCCTGGCCTTCCGAAGTGCTGGGATTACAGGCGTAAGCCACCGCGCCAGACGCAGAGAAGTTTCTTGACTGCAGTGACTAGTAAATAGGCTTAAAAAGGCACCCTCAAAAATATGAATATTTATAATCAAATTATGTGAATGTACATTACGTGATGAAGCCTCCATTAAAAATTCCTAAACTACCAAATTTGAAGAGCTTCCAGGTTGGTGAACACATCCCTGTGCTGGGATGCACACATCCCAGGGGACACTGCAACTCCACAGCGACAGAAGCTCCTGAACATGAGACTCTTCTAGACCTCACACCATGTGTCTCTTCACCTGACTGCTCATCTGTATCCTTTCTCATTTCCTTTATAAAACTAGTAAACATCAGCAAATGTTGAGTTTTGTGAGTCCTTTCAATAAATTATTAAACTTTGATGGGGGAAAGGTTGTGAGAATTTTTGGCTTTGTAGCCAAGTTGGACAGAAGTGTGGATACCCTACGAGTTCATTATTTGCTACTCGGGTCTGAAGGGCCTTGTAGGACTGAGCCCTTAAACCGGTAGTTAATGTCAGAATTGAATTAAATTATAGAACATCAAACTGACATCCAGAGAGTTGGGAAATGGTGACTGCAGGGGGGAAAATCCCTATACATTGGGTGTGAGAGGTTTTGTGAATAGAGAAACAGTTTTCCTTTCATTATATTGCCCCCTACTACTAGAATGAGTGCTTCTAGAACACATTCTATGTGGAAGAATAGAAATAAAACATCCAGAACATGTTGGAAAAACAGGAGTCAGCATGTGACAAGGAGACGGAAAGAGGTTCTATGAGAGAAATAGCCCACAAGCAATTATTTCTCATGTTCCAAATGACACCTGAAACTCTTGCGAGAAAATCTATTAAGACCGAAAATGTGTCACTATGCAACAAAGCAGCAGTAACACATAGCACAGGAAATATCCTCTCACAAGCAAAATGCAAAATAAGCTGACAGCAACAAGTAAGCTGGTAAGAATATATATTTCATAAGGATCATAGAAGCTACAGCAATTTGAATACATTTTTTCAATCACTTACAGATATTTTAAGGAGCCACATCCTATAGAATCCCAGCTTTTCAGTTATAGTAATCAAAGGAGCAAAATATTCTCGAGTGCCTACCTAATATCTGCAGAACGATGGGTCAGGCACCGTGAAGGAAGAAGAACCAAACAATCTGCTTTGCAGGAGTTTACCATCTGAAGAAAAAATTAGAAAAGTCAGAATGTTTAAAAAATATAAGAGCACACTTAATGGTAAGCAATATACTAACACACAGCACTGTGTAGTGACATACGAAAGCATTTGATTGAATGAAGGATTGATTGAAGTGATTCTTGGTCATTAGCTCACTCTCTCCTCTTCCCACATGAACCCTTGGATACTGATTCATTGTGGTTTACTTAATTAATTTTTAAAATGTACAGTATGTAAGACTACTCATGCTTTTCCATTCATCATACTTTCATCATCAATATGCTAACAACTCTTTTATCTCATTTTATCTTTATTTTAGTATATTGCCCCTTTTATAGTTCTCCCTCCTTTTCACCCTTCCAACCTTCCATCTAAGTGGTTATTTAAATGCATTGGTTCCTTGAAAATTAGAGTGTATTTTATATGTGCTTTTAATTTGCATAAATGATAGTGTTAGTATCTTGTTTCTTGCTATTTTCATTCTTGCTAGTGTTTTTGAGATTAGATTATTCCATGCTGTCAAATGTAAATCTGGCTCATTGTTGCTAATGGTTCATAGTAGTCCAACATTCTGACATATACATACACCTCCTTTTACTTGGCCATTCCATCAGTTTTCCTGCTACCACAAGCAACGCTGTGAAAATCCTGCACAAAGTCCTACGATTTTTCATGAGCTGAATTGTAGCATCAAGACATGCTTATTTTACTAGGTAATTTTGGCTTTTCTCCAGCATCACTGTAGCATTTTAGATTCTTACTAGCTGTGCGTGTGGATCCCCCTTCCTCTCGACATGTTTACCTGCTTTCTAATTTCTGCTAATTTGGTGATTATAAAGTAATATTTTATTGTTTTAATTTTTATTTATGTACTTAGCAGTGAGTTTGAGAATCAGTTTACACACGTATTACCATTCACATGAATTTCCATTCAACTACTGTACTTATTTTTATAAACTTTCAGTCCTTTTATTCCTGAATTGCATGTGTTTTTTAATGTATTTTAAATATTAAACAGTTCTCAATCTTGTAAATTCCATGCTAAAGCTTCCTATAATGTGTTTTATTGGATATAAAACTCTTCTTTTGATTGCAGTCAAATTCCCTAATCAAGTTCCTGTTTATTTTTGTTATTTTGTTTCTTTACTGTTATTTTTATGCCTGTGCTTTTATGGATTTTTTTTTTAAAAAATAACCTTTTCTAGCTCAAGATTGAACATGCCATTCTCCTACATTCCTTTCCTCCTCTTCCTCTTCTTCTTTTTTTAATACCCAGATTTGTCAAATGTCTGTTTTGCCAAGAAAGGCAATTAAAAATTCAACTTCATCACTGACTTTCATCATTGTATAAAATAAATGAATATTTTAACACCAAATTACAAGGAGAAAATTTCACAATAATGATAGTCACTTACAGGTGAATAAATTTTATACTTTGAAAAACTTTCCATATCTGATTTTTTTCTTCTCAGTTCATAGCACACTAGTTTATGAACCAACAATTGGGACCCACTGAATTAAGACATTCTCCACCTTAGAGCAGAGATGTGGGTCAAGGGACCCTGCCTAAGAATGAATGGAAGCCAAACAACTTTGATCAAGTGGATCTCTGGTACTCTGCCAGGGATTGGCTCAAAGTAAACTCCAGGTAGCCACTGATGTGTTTTCTGACACTACAAATTAGATCTGTCTCTTCTTGGGTTATATATACATGGAATCACAGTCTATTTACTCTGTGGTGTCTGGGCTTTTCTGCACAGAATATTTTTGAGCGTCATCTATGTTTTTAGTGTATTGGTAATTTACTGTTTTTATTGCTGAGTAGTATACCACTGAATGAATATACCACACAGAATTTATCCATTCACCTGTTGATGAACATTTAGGCTGCTTCCACTTTTAGGGCCATTATAAACAAAGCTACTGTGAGCAGTTTGTACAAGTCTTTGTATAGACTTAGGTTTTCATTTCTCTTGGGTAAACAGAAGTTGACTTTCTGGGTTATATCATAAGGGTATGTTTTACCTTTTCTTGTGCCTTCTTTGTTGAGTGACCCTAAATATTTACAGTTCTTGTTATTTGGAGAAATATTTTGTTAACCATTATTTTTCATTGTTAATTAGTGATTTGGATTTTTTAAGTGGATTTTGTACCAGCAAATGGACGGACTATTTCATAGTTATAGTAATTTGTCTGCAAGTTTGATTTTGTGTTATGCCTAGGAGTTACAGACATAGACTATTAGTACCACGTGATGCAGATATAATTGGGGGAAAATCTTATTTGTAGAAAAGTAGTAGGACATTCACAATCTTGAGAACTCCCGTTATTCCCTAGTTTAGGCACTGCAAATTTGGATTGCATGGGCCATGACCAGTGTTCCAACAGAAAAAGACCTTGCTCCCTGCAATACTCTACACGTTGATAGAGACAAAGGGCAACGAACCATTCTATCACTATATTTAAAAGGAAGCTCTGATAGAGGCAGTCATGTTTTTAGAAAGGGGGCCTCTGAAAATCAGCAACTGGATCAGTCTGTTCCTGCATTGAGCTGGCTCAGACCTGCTCAGTCAGCTCTCAAAAGGTCAGCTATGCAAACTGCCTCCACAGAGAAAAGAAAATACATATCCAGAGACACCCAGATGTGTACTCCCCAGTTTGCTATGAAGCTAACCTGGAAATAACAGTAATTTTAATTCTTTCTCTCTGTTCTTTCATACCTGTGACTTGTTTTTCTTGTTTTATGTTTGCCAGTTCCAAAAGTATATGGAACATAGCAGTGCTATCATATATATACAATATTATTTCTAAACTTAAGAAAAATTCATATAAATATACCACATTATATATTTATTCTACCTTTTTTAGTAATATTTTTTGATGTCAGGCTAAGAAAGTTTCCTACCAACCCTACCTTACTAAGAATGCCTTCTGGTATATTTACTGAAATAGTTATGAGATTCTTTTTCCAAAGAGCCATGAACTATCTTGTACATGTGTCAAAATATTCTTTGGTTCCTGGTACAAACCCTACTTGATCATGATATACTTTAAATAAGCAATTAAATATATAAAAAAGAAGTAAATAAAGAAAAATAAAGTCTCAGATTTGTTAAGCTCAACACTTTAAAAGGAGTCTCACATTTTTGTTTACATGTGAAGTCAGCCTATATTTTTGTATACTTGAATTACCATTTTCTGGTTTAAAGACCAGGGTTAGTGAAGGATTAAGTAAAATATAACTATTGTTTCACTGCTGTTTTAAAACAAGTAGACAGATACAAAAAGTAATCTACCTAAAAAGGCTTTTCTGATAAACAGAACCAAATTAGAAGACAGCGAAGAACAGGTTAGCTTAACATGTCAACTCTCATTACAAGAAAAAAAGGAGAGAAAAATCTAGCTTTTATATAAGCTCAACTTAAATAACAATAATTACAGTAATAATACAATGCTTCTACACTCTTGGAAGAAAACCAACTGTTATAAAACATACCTCAAAGAAAGGACTGCACAGGCATAAAGAGAGCCTAAGTTCCCTAACTTATTCCCATATTATAGTGACCTGATAACAGAAAAACTTGGAAGTATTGGCCTAATATGTTCTGAAGGTCGTTGGAGCATGCCGAAGTAGGTTCTTAGAGAAAAACTTCATAGAATAAAAAGAGAGAATAATGTAAACATGTTTCTTTTAAATTTTATATAAAAATTTAAATATTAACCTGCATATTTTAAAACACCTTAAGTATTATACTATATGATAGTCAATCCCTCCACTGACTCTAGTCAGAGTCAGTGAAGGATATAAACCAGGTAATTGTATAGTGTTGCCTTAGCTGTTCCACCAACTAATTGGCCTCCTTGCTTGGAAAAGAAAAAAGAGTCTGTGAAGTGAGTTGTGATGGAAGAAATCCAGACAGCCTGAAGCTCAGAATGTTCTTTCTGCTTTTTTTAAAACCCAGGAAGATTGGCCCTACCGGGAGGCAGCAGGAAAAGAAGTCAAAACTTATACCAGTTTCACTGAGAGCGGTCCAGTTTTCCTTTTCTACTTCGTGTTTTGGATTAACTTATTTATGATAGGAAGTTTCTGTACCTTGAACATTTCACAGTACTCCCTTTTCAACTGCTGATCCATTGCCTTTTTGTGGGCAAAAAAGAGAAATGAGGAAGCAGGTTTTTAGCTAACATTTCAATTTTCTCTAGTAGTTATTAGAATATTCAAGTATTGTCATTATTCTCATGCAAAATTTGTGCTTTCATAAATAAATCCTTCAAGATTTTCAAGTTGAGAGAAAGTTAGTGATTATAGCCTCATGATTCTTATTCTTTGTTATACCTGTGCGAAATCCTCTTTCTATATGCATTTTGTAGTATTTACATCTTCTGTCTTTTCTCTTGATCAGGTTTACTAGACGTTGTACGTCTTATTATACTCAAAGAACTGAGTTTTTGTTTTATTAAACCTCTCTACTGGATTTTTGTTATTCTCTGTTTTTAAATTTTGTACCTATGTAATTATTATTTCTGTCCTTATACGTTTGGCTTTACTCTGATGAACCTTTTTGTAGCTTTGTGATTTGAATATTAATCCCATTTATTTTTTGTTCTGCTTGTTTTGTGATGTATTTAAATCTATACATGTCTCTTTAAGTAAAACCGGATATTCATCCTGCAAATATTGGCCTATAGTCAAATAGTATGTACATTAGCTCTAAGAATTCCATAATTTCTCTTATGATTTTTAAATAAAAGCCATTTAGCAAAATGTTACTTAGTATTCAGCCATATGAGATGGTTTGAGCTTTTTCTTGGACTTATTTCTAACTGTATTGCATTTTAATATGAGTCTACATGGTATTAAAGAATTAGATTATACTGAGGCCTTCCTCTGTGGCCAGTATCTGGTCCATTTGTGTAACTGTTCTTTGTCCGTAAAAAGAATGTCTATCTTCTGTTTGAGTCTACAAACTTCTATGTATCTATTCATTTAAGCTCAATAATTACGTATATTTTTGATCTGCTTGATTTAACAGTTTCTGAGGTTTATGTGTTAAATTCCCCAATTAGAATTGTTGATTTATCTATTTTTCTCCATAGAGCTACTGGTTATTGTTCTGAATACATAGTATTAGGTATGTAAATGTTCATGATTATTATTCCTATTATTCCTATTACAAGTGCCCTCATTGTCCTTTATGATTTTTTTTTGCCTTAAATTCGATATTAAAACCATTAATCTGACTGTTTGGGGGGGAAGGTTGCATTCACCTACTATATCTTAAGCTGTTTTTTTCATTATTACTCTAATTATATTTCTTTGTTTTAAATATCACTTTTAGGTAAATATTGCTTTTTAAATCATACTCAGAAATATCTCTTAATCTTTGAGATAATCTTGAGTTAATAAACATTTATTATAACACTAATCGCTAAATACATATTTCTGCATTTTATTTTGTATTTACTACTTATTCTCTTTTATTTTTTTCTCATTTCAACTTGCCTCTGATCTTTTCCTTCTCCCTCCTACCATTCATCTCTGTCAGGTTAGTACCATTCTGTAATTTTATTTGTGGATTGTTCTTTATTTATTTGTGTTGTAGTCATTTTTTATTTAGAAAATAAACCTTACCAAATTATATGTTCCCACCTTCTGTGTTCATCTTTTTTCTTACTGGATGATTAGTTTGAAATGGTCTGGGTGGAGATATCATAAAACCAATTAATAATGACTTACATTTTTTTTTCTCATCTAAAAAGATGTTTTGAGTTTAAGAGGCTGCTGGCAATAGCTCATCAGTTTAACAATATCAGGGTCAACATTTCTGCTATTCTTTTTTCGCTTCCTCTTTGTTGCAAAGTGGCTCCCATACCTCTTGCCATCACTTCTGTGTTCAATTCTTCCCCTTTTACCAGTTGAAACTTTCCAAGAAGCTCCACAGCAGGCACATGCTTATCTCTCATTAGCCAGGACTCCTTTGTATGTCCTCCTCTAGTTGCAAGAGAAGTTCATAAAATGAGTATTTGCTTTGCCAAATTCTATAATGTATATAATTTACTTTAACAAGAAGGAGGAAAGAGATATGTTTAGCCAACAAAAATGTCTTCCACAGGTACTTCCTCCAGTGTCTCACTACCATGTGCCTACATTTGGGTTTGCTTGGTGGCTCTTAATGAGCCCTTTCAATAAGCTCTTAAACCTTTCTGTGATTTACAGAAGTATTAAGGCATTATTTCTCTCCTTTCATCTGCTTTTTCTTCATCTGTGGCTTTTTTTTTATTATACCTTAAGTCTTAGGGTACATGTGCACAACATGCAGGTTTGTTACATATGTATACATGTGCCATGTTGGTGTACTGCACCCATTAACTCGTCATTTAACATTAGGTATATCTGAGGCTTTTTAAGTCAGATACTGACACATTAATTTCACTCTCTGTATCTTTTAACTTTTCTCATTTTTCCAAATCCTTATTTTTTACCCTTGTCTTCCAGAAGAGTCCCCTAACAAGATATTCCCACTTGCTGTGGCACATTTCAGCTGTATTAATTCTGTGATTCAATTCATCCACTGACTTACGGTGATAATTACAGGTTTTACATCCATTATTTTCTAAGGGTTCTTCTTCATGAATTCTTGTTACTGTTTCTTTTTACCATTAGCCTCAGTTATTTCTCTGAGAATATCTTGGGTTTTCTTGTTTTTGTTGTTGTTGTTACTTTATCTCTTTAAAGCAGTTTTAGGTTCCTAAGAAATTAAGAGGAAGGTTCAGAGATTTCCCGTGGGCTCCTTCCCCCGACACACACACCATTCCTCACCAGAGTGGTATATGTGTTAAAATTGATGACTTACATTGATAAATTATTATCAACCAGGGTTCAGAGTTTACATGACAGTCCACTCTTGATGTTGTAGATTCTATGGGTCTGGACAAATATATACTGACGTGTGTTCATCAATGTAGTATATAATACACAGCAATTTCACTGCCCTAAAATTCTTCTGTGTGTTACCTATTCAACCCTCCCTCCAGGCCCTGGCCACCACTGATCTTTTTACTGTTTCCATAGTTCTACCCTTTTCAGAAGTTTTACCTGTTCCATATGCTTATTGGCATCTGTATATCTTCTTTGGTGAGGTATCTGTTAAGGTCTTTTGCCCATTTTTTAATTAGCAAATGTGACTGTACTGCCTCTAATCCTGATTTCTCTACTCTCAACTGGTGATGTTGGTCTCTTTTCTTACCCTAGTTCCTTTATCTATACAAATGTCAGTACGCTACCTCTTTTTTGATATTGTGAAACTGAAAGATAGTATGTGCATAAGCATCTGCTACATAGAAGGAAATCGATACTAGTTTCCCTTTCTTCCATTCAATCAAAATCCTGCCCCATCAAATATTATTTCTTCACTGAAGCCGTTTTCTATCATTGGAATCTTTACTCTCTTCTTCTGATTAGGAAATCTTAGATATTTCAGAACTCATTTTTATCAAATAAAAATGTGTTACAACTTTAAATGATCTTAGAAATCTGGTAGGCTTCACTTATTTTAGTAACATGCATGATCAATGACTAGGTCAAAAGCAGAGTAGAAATAGAACCCAAGTATTAACTCAGTCCACTGCACTATGCATAATTCAATAATAAATTGCATTCTTTCTTTTCAAAAGACTGCTGCTTAATGTCACTTGTGTTGCCTCCACAACCAAGCTATAAATTCATCAGGATAGGGTGTCCATGGCCAAAGGCCACTCAGGACAGATCAGACATTGTGTAATGATGCCTGAAATAAACACTGACCACCTCAACGAGCAACAGGTTCAACTCCTGGCAGAGATGTGTACACTTATTGATGAAAATGACAATAAAATTGGGGCTGAGAACATTGAGAAAGGGTTATTGCATTGAGCTTTTAGTGTCTTCTTATTCAACACTGAAAATAAGCTTCTGCTACAGCAAAGATCAGATGCTAAGATTACCTTTCCAAGTTGTTTTACTAATACTTGTTGTAGTTATCTATTAAGTAAACCAGGTGAACTTGAGGAAAATGATGGCCTTGGAGTGAGGAGAGCAGCACAGAGGCAGCTGAAAGCTGAGCTAGGAATTCCCTTGGAAGAGGTTCCTCCAGAAGAAATTAATTATTTAACACTAATTCACTACAAAGCTCAGTCGGATGGTATCTGAGGTGAACATGAAATTGATTACATTTTGTTTGTGAGGAAGAATGTAACTTTGAATCCAGATCCCAGTGAGATTAAAAGCTATTGTTATGTGTCAAAAGAAGAACTAAAAGAACTTGGGGAAAAAAGCAGCCAATTGTGAAATTAAGATAACGTCATGGTTTCAAATTATTGCAGAGGCTTTTCTCTTTAAATGGTGGGATAACTTAAATCATTTGAATCAGTTTGTTGACCATGAGAAAATATACAGAATGTGAATATGTAGGTGAATGATTACTGAAAAATTTCTCTACTTAACAAATTTAGAATGACTTTTTTCATTTAAATTTAGTTTACTATCATCAATGTATTATATACACTGATACTTTACAACTTGTGTGGAAAAAAATAACTTATAATTTTGTATCACACACCTTGTATATGTGTTCTGCTTCTAAACGACATTTATGAGAGATTATTGTGAAATGAGTGAGAGCAAATAAAAATTTAACCTGTGCAGACACACATGCTTATGGCAAATTTGAACAAATGAGTGAAGCCCCGTGTTTTTAGTAAGCTGTGATAAACATTTCCGGAGCACTCGCAGAGCACTGTTATTTTCCAGGTGCTTTATGTATCGTTAAATTTTTATCATAGTTCAGAAAAATGTGCAAAGGAAACTATTGCTTAGCTCCTTCAAAACAGTCCTAATTAACTTCATATTAACAGATTAAACTAGCATAGCAGGTTCAAGGGAAATTAAATGATATGGACCCTAATTTGTATCATTCTGAGTTGATGGTGTGGTTTATCCATTCTGGAAATATGTTGATACTTCAAGTCAGCCATTGCTTTTGATAAGAGATATTGATTAGGTTAAACCTTCTTTTAAGTAGTATTTGCCAATTAGCACAGTCTGTTTTCAGAATTAAAGTGGGCACAGAGGTGTTCATAAAATGGGAATTGAGTCTCACTCGACAAGAGTTGCTTAACCTTTGGGCTGCATAAAATCTTTGTGGTGGGGGTCCGTCCTGTGCATTATAGGATGGTGAACAGCATCCCTGGACTGCGCACTGGATGCTGTTAGCACCCCTCTCCCATGACACCCACAATTATACCAACTGTTGCCAGATGCCCCTGGGGGGCAGAGTCAACCCCCAACTGAGAACCACTGTCCTACAGAGCAGGCAATATTGCAGGGAGAAAAAAATAACAATGACAAAGGCCAGTGTTCATGTTAAATGGATTGAGATTATGGAATGTGTATATTAATGTTAAAAATTATATCTTGATCAATGTACTTTTATAAACTTGCCATAGATATCTCAAATTTGAAATCTCATAATGGCTTTATTATTCTTAAATGCTGTATGATAATGAAAAAAATAAAAATTTACTTCTTACAAAGTTAAAACAATTCATCAGGATATTCATTCATTCATTCATTATTTTATCTATCAATTAGTTATTGATCATGAACATAAACCAGGCATTATTCTGAATGAATATACGAGAATGAAAAACAAATAAAGCAGGTATCAAGTTTTATACATATCCAATTATAGCACGAATCACATACTGAGCACATTATTACTCAATACTTACTTGTTTGATTGACCTGAACAGACAATCGCATATAGCGATAACTAAATAAGCAGTAATTTATTATTTGGATTTCAGTGTGAAAAAGACAATTAGTTTTTCCTCCAATGTCTAGTACTTTAGTCTCTGGATTAAGCTACTTTTTTTTCTTTCAGAATAATTTCTCTCCCAAGAGATATCTTCAAGATTTAAGCAACTTCATTGATAAGTTCTCAACAAGACATGTCCAGACATCTGAATCCCAGAAATTAGATAGCTTGAAATGAAGCTTGGGATTCTTGATAAATATGAAAAACAGAAAAAGTCACTTAAAGGGGCAAGAATATGTAAAAAGGTTTCCATATCTCATATCATGTAAGAAATGTGCTGAAAATGATAAATATTGTTCACTAAAAATGATTATAATTCAAGATGCTATCAGGGAAACAGATTTAATTGTATTTGTCTTAGACAAATTAGTTTTGGTTAAATGAATCTCCGGTGGATTGGACCAGGAAAGGTAGTAGGAAGCTTCTTTATTGTAAGGACCTCAATGAACTTCAGGTATTTGGAAAACTGAGGTGGCAGAAAAATCTGGTATTTGTGTCCTGCCCAGGTGAGCAGTGCCTGGTAAAAGAAGTACCTGTGTACTTTCTAAGAGCAGGACAATCTGCTGAATCATGAAAACTCCGAAGACAATTTTTTTCTTTTTTAATCCTGAGGGGGATAAAGGGAGACAGAGTTGTACAATAGAAAGATTCCAGGATTGAAAACATATAGTGTGCACCCATTGTGTAGTAGGTATCTCCAGAGACTATCTAAATTCTGGTTCTACTTCTGGGACTTAATGTCTTCACCTGTAAATTGTGGTGTCTGGTTCATCATAGAAGCTCAGTAGCTGTAGCTACTACTACTATCACCATTATCATTACCACCACCAATGAAAAAGATGAAAGAGACTAAAGTGAAGCTATTTAGAATAGTGGCTACTTAAAGATTAAAAGTTATCTTGCACAGGTGAAGAGGTATGTATCATTACTTGCCTAAGATTTTTTTTAAGTTATTAATTATCAAAGCCAGAATTCTCAAAGTCCAAGGTCCATACACTGGATGCAATGTTGTGCATCTTTTCCTGGAGCCACAGGATAGGAGTTTTGCCAATGTGTTGACAAGGGCCTCTGACATTACAGCATCCCACAGTCATATATTGCAGACCAGGCATTTTACTACTTTATGAGCAGAATCTGCTTCAATACAGCAGCAGCTGAATTTGCAGTTCACAAAGAAGACTGGAACAAACATAGCCTGCAATGTTTATTTTATGTTCATATTATTTACCAAGAGAAACCATGCTCAGTTGTCCCAAAATGAGATGACATTGACAAGTTCTTACATTCAGCATTTAATGAGTAAATCCACAGTCTATGTGAATCCCATTGTCTTGAAAGTGAGGGAAATAAAACCACCAAGGGCCTCATTGACTTCAGAATTATGAGAAGTCCCTGACTATATTACAGACTATTTATCCAAATAAATTTCTGATTATTCCACAATATGTCAATTCCAAGTGCCTACACACATGCTTCAGTTGCTCCTTGGGGGCCATTTTTCTACATAGAACGTGTTCCTGGAAAATACAGAACGTGATGAGAGAGCCTTGCTAAGCTGAGCAAGATGGGTGTGTGGGTGGGCAGCTATTCTTCAGGCATTTGGGAAATTCTGAACGTAGAGCCTGAGCCACTTAAAAACTGTAGACCAATAATGCACGTGTGGCTGTCAGTGGAGGCCTGGTATGATAGAATTAAGCAGCAGCACTAAGGAAATCTGAGCATGTTCATTTGGGCATTTTTGAAGCACCTCAGACTAAGTGAGTTAAATGGTGATTATTGCTTTGCTTGGAAATATGAACTGAGCAGCTCTATTTTTATTTAAAAATTTTTTATGACAAAGGTTATATGGGTTTATTGTATACAAAGAAATATAAACAAAAAAGATGAAAACTAAACTAAAGCCACTAATCAGTATGATCATTTTTACATATGCATATCCAGATTTTTTGTATTTATTCATTCAATTTATTTAAATATTACCTATAAGCCAGGCATATCTCTAAGTACTAGAAATGCAGGGAAGATAATATTTTTATCCATAGGTGATATGTATACATATTTTTAACAAAAATTGCACTCATACAGAGTACATACATTTAACCTTACCTTTTGTCAGTCAACAATGTCATGTAAATTCACGTAAAGACATAAACTTAAAAATGTAATTTCAGTGGCTATGATTACATTGAATGGCCATGCAGTAGCTTATTTAACCAATATTTCTTTTTTTTGCATTGGAACTAGTTTCTAATTTTCCCCTATTAAAAATATCCTGATCAAGATGTTTGTAAAAACTGTCCACATTGTATTGGATAAATAATTAAATGTGGGTTTTATGGATCAAGAGAATGGGTCAAAAACATGGCAGTCATGTTTTTAAGGTTTCAAACAGGTTCCAAATGTCCTCCAAAAATATTTATCCAAGTTGTGTAATTCCTAAAAGGACATGCAAGTGCCTATTTCCTCACAACCTTGACAATCTTAATAATGTAATAAAAAACTAGATTTTATGAAAAGAGAGTATCTTATTTAGTTGTATTTTCCCTGTTTTTGATTACTAATTGAACAGTTTTTCATAAGCATATTGCCTATTTGTATTTATTACTTTTCTGTTTTCTACTGATTTTTTAAAATTTTCTAATATAAGTTGTTAGCAGTCTTGGGGTGTTTGGGATAAATAATTTATGCTTATTTCCTTTAAGAAATTAATACTTCAGATTGGAGAATAAAACTACTGAAGAGTTTAAGAAATAAGCTGACAAAGTACAGAATCTTCATACCCAAGTTCATATCGTAAAATGTCCAGGACAACAATAAGTCAATGCCAAACTGAAGTGCATAGAAGGCTGAGATAATCCATGGGGCGTGGCTTCCCAAGTTTGCAAAAAGAAGGGGCTGGGCCGCCTGATACAGGGGAACATGCTGGCTGGGACTGGTTGTCCAGCAACGCAGCTCCCCTCTGTTCCAGGCTTCTTAGCAGAGGTGGCCAATGAAGGTCTCTGGAACTCCATTCTCTCATTTCTAACACAGAGGTAGACAAGATGCTGCTTTTCCCTCTAAAATTCTAGGGAGCCACATACAGAAGAGGTTACCGAAGAGAACAGAAAAAAAAAGGGATGAAGCATCAGAGTCGGAGAAACACAGATAACATAGAGAGAGGCATTCCAGATAGAAATGCAGTGTGCCATCACGTAGAAATGTGGAAGAGCGTGGGACACAGCAAAGAGTTGGGTGTGAGCTGAGAGGAGCAGGAGATGAGACTATGGAGAAAGGCAGCACCTGATGATGAAGGACCACGGAAGGAAGATAGGATGATATGGCTTTAGACTTCATTCTGTAGTTAAGAAAGGAATTACTGAAGAGTTTTAAGTGAGCGAGTCATAAAAAGAGATTTAAGGAATTATTTTTTAACTATCTAAAACCAAACCAAACAAAACAAACTTTGGCAGTGATACGAGATCTGATTAGAAGCCTGGAGGAAGGGCTCCCAAGTCAGAGGCTGTCTATTGCAAAGTCAGTAGAGAAATAACGTGGGTCTGAACTAAGGCAGTGGCACAAACTGCAAATGATACTAAAGACTGAAACTTCCCCTAAAGCGAATAAGATTTTCTAGAAAGATAATGCTAATAAGAATAATAGGGGAAAAAGAATAGGGCAAAATTTTAATAGCGATATTAACTCCTTAACATTGCCATTGATCAAAATTGACAAAGTGTGCCCTCTCATTTCATATTAGTTATATGCTCAACCAATTTTCTTTAAGCTAACCATAGCTGAGATTATCAGTAGGTATTTTTAACAGCCATATGCGGGGGGCATTTTCACAGTGCATAAAGTGCTAACATGAGTGCTATAAAACCACTGATTACTGTGAAGTTCTTCTAGCCAAGATCACTGCCTCTGCTTCAGGAAAGAACTGAGTAGTTGGGGGAGATGACTATGACAGGAAGGATCTGAGCATTCCTTTAGCCCAGGATCCAAATCCACTGAAATCTTAAGAGAACCAAATTCTTGGCCCACCTCCTGCTAACAGATATGGTTTCCTAGAGGGCCTGGTGGGTCTCCCTCCACAGATACTAGGCAAATTCACATCTTTGGGTTAGAGGGTCAACTGTGCTATGACTAGTTGTTTCTGGCCTATTTCCAAAAAAAAGACCTACTGAGAATCATTCCTGGTGCTGGTTTAGAACTGGCTCAAATCTTCTTCCCTCAATTCTCCACTTCACACCTACACTCCTGACCAAAATTTCTGCTTAGAATATGCCTACAGAGACATTACTTTGATCCTAGCTTCTTAATCAAGTCATTAAAGCAAAAAGTCCCAAACAATCTCAGTAAGAATAAGCTGTTTATGTGATTGAATTCATTTAGGTACCACTACTACCTGTGAAGAAGGTCCAAATATTATCCTGATTTTACAGATGAGAAACTGAGGTCCAAAGAAGCTAGTGAGATTGGCCAAGGTATCACGTCTAGTAAAGAGTAATACCTAGGAGATTTACCCAGGTTGGGCTCCAGGGCCTTGGTGATACTTCCACACTGTGGAACAGAGATGTTGTTCTTTTTCAAATGGTCACCATACCTAGAGTTGAACTGATAATTTAAAAGAAGGAATTTGCCAAGATGAATTGTAATCCTATTTTAGAAGTGGTCATTTTCAACATCTCAGAATCCTCATGGTCCAGGTGGCCTCGGGTGCCCAACATATTATAGAGACCTTTTCTGAGACAAACAGAATTCAGGGTCACTGGCTTTCAAGAAAGGGAGCAACACTTATCTTTTTAAGGAGATCTTTAAATTCAGATATACATGAGATTTCATTCTGAATAGAATAATTGTATAATGTCCTAAGAGATCAGTTTATTTTATTGATTTAAGCAGGAATTAAGTATTTAGGTGACAGTTATTTATTGAGCGCTTTTCAGATGAAAGTCAGTTGCTATTGACATTTCTTTCTAAATACTAATGCAGTAGAGCCACAAAATGAGAACTCACAAAAGAGTTGTGGATGGGACACATATTTGGATAAAGGATCTTTATAATTGGAGGAAGGAAAGCTTAAATACATACACATGTGCTCCTAAGGACTTTTTGGTGAAACATAGTGATCTATCACACACAACAGCTAAGATATACATACATACATATACGTGCACATACACGTTACTACTAGGATGATGGATTAGTCTGTTTTTCATGCTGCTGATAAAGACAAACCTGAGACTGGGAAGAAAAAGAGGTTTAATTGGACTTACAGTTCCAAGTGGCTGGGGAAGTTCTCACAATCATGGCAGAGGGCTAAAGGCACTTCTTATTTGGCAGCAGCAAGAGAGAATGAGGAAGAAGCAAAAGTGGAAACCCCTGATAAACCCATCAGATCTTGTGAAACTTAATTCACTATCACGACAATGGCATGGGAAAGACCCGCTGCCATGATTCAATTACCTCCCCTTGGGTCCCTCCCACAACATGTGGGAATTCTGGGAGATAAAATTCAGGTTAAGAATTAGGTGGGAACACAGGCAAACCATGTCATTCTGCCCCTGGCCCCTCCACATCTCATGTCCTCACATTTCAAAACCAATCATGCCTTCAAAGCAGTCCCCCAAAGTCTTAACTCATTTTAACATTAACCCAAAACTCCACAGTTTAAAGTCTCATCTGAGACAAGGCACGTCCCTTCTGCCTATGAGCCTGTAAAATCAAAAGCAAGCTAGTTACTTTCTAAATACAATGGGGGTACAGGTATTGGGTAAATACAGCTGTTCAACTGGGAGAAATTGGCCAAAACAAAGGGGTTACAGGCCCCATGAAAGTCCAAAATCCAGCAGGGCAGTCAAATTTTAAAGCTCCAAAATGATCTCCTTTGACTCCAGGTCTCACATCCAGGTCATGCTGATGCAAGAGGTGGGTTCCCATGGTCTTGGGCAGCTCTGCCCCCATGGCTTTGCAGGGTACAGCCTCCCTGCTGGCTGCTTTCACGGCTGGCATTGACTGTCTGTGGCTTTTCCAGGCACATGGTGCAAGCTGTCAGTAGATCTACCATTCTGGGGTCTGGAGGACTGTGGCCCTCTTCTCACAACTCCACTAAACAGTGCCCCAGGAGGGACTCTGTGTGGGGGCTCTGACCCCACATTTCCCTTCTGCACTGCCCTAGCAGAGTTCTCCATGAGGGCCCCTGCCCCTGCAGCAAATTTTTGCCTGGGTATCCAGGCGTTTCCATACATCTTCTGAAATCTAGGCAGAGATTCCCAAAACTCAGTTGTTGATTTCTGTGTAGCCACAGGCTCAACACCATGTGGAAGCTGCCAAGTCTTGGGGTTTCCACCCTCTGAAGCCACAGCCTGAGCTCTATGTTGCCCCTTTCAGCCACAGCTGGAGTGGCTGGGACACAGGGCACCAAGTCCCTAGGCACACAGCATTGGGACCTGGGGCCCAGCCCACAAAACCACTTTATCCTCCTGGGCCTCCAGGCCTGTGATGGGAGGGGCTCCCATGAAGGTCTCTGACATGGTTTGGAGACATTTTCCCCATGGTCTTGGGGATTAACATTAGGCTCCTTGCTACTTATGCAAATTTCTGCAGCCAGCTTGAATTTTTCCTCAGAAAATGGGTTTTTCTTTTCTACTGCATTATCAGGCTATGAATTTTCTGAACTTTTATGCTCTGTTTCTCTTTTAAAACTGAATACTTTTAACAGCAGCCAAGTCACCTTTTGAATGCTTTGCTGCTTAGAAATTTCTTCTGCCAGATACCCTAAATTATCTCCCTCAAGTTCAAAGTTCCATAAATCTCTAGGGCAGGGGCAAAATACCACCAGTCTCTTTGCTAAAACATAGCAAGAGTCACCTGTGCACCAGTTCCCAACAAGTTCCTCATCTCCATCTGAGACCACCTCAGCCTGGACATTATTGTTCATATCACTATCAGCATTTTTGTCAAAGCCATTCATCAAGTCTCTAGGAGGTTCCAAACTTTCCGACATTTTCCTGTCTTCTTCTGAGCACTCCAAATTGTTCCAACCTCTGCCTGTGACCCAGTTCCAAAGTAGCTTCCAAATTTTTGAGTATCTTTTCAGCAACATCCCACTCTACTGTACCAATTTACTGTATTCATCCATTTTCATGCTGCTGATAAAGACATACCCGAGACTGGGAAGAAAAAGAGGTTTGATTGGACTTACAGTTCTACGTGGCTGGGGAGGCCTCAGAATCATGGCAAGAGGGAAAAGCCATGTCTTACATGGCAGCAGCAAGAGAAAATGAGAAAGAAGCAAAAGTGGAAATCCCTGATAAATCCATCAGATCTCATGAGACTTATTCACTGTCATGAGAATAGCACGGGAAAGACCAGCCTCCATAATTCAATTACTCCTTCCACAACATATGGGAATTCTGGGAGGTACAATCCAACTTGAGATTTGGGTGGGGATACAACCAAACCATATCAGATGACAACCTATTTGCCCATCTCCTTAATGGAAATTTAATGCTTCCACTCTAGTTTATTGTGATAACATAGATCTAAAATATATCCCCCAATACAAAACCTTACATAACATATGGGTTCAATGATTACTGATTTAAATATTTGCTTTGAATTTGAATAAGACTTGGAATCTTTAAAAAATAAAACTACTGTGATTTTAAGAATTATGCTATATGGGATATAAAAAAAGCAAAAACATTATTTCGATGAACCCTTTCTAGCATACATACACCTTACATCAAGAAGAACTATTTGCTCAGAAAGTGGTAATTTCCATTTTAAATGAATCTGAGATTTCAACTATTTTTAGTGGTACAAAATTTTTACAACCTTTGACTCAGTACCTCCTACTAAACACATCCTTTCAAAAGCACGGAATGTTGAAGGTCTGTCTATATTATTCAAACCAGCAATTAGATCCAGATGTTACTGCACTTTATATTTAGATACCACATTTCAATATCTAAAAAAGAAAGAATGCTTATGAAGGACAGAGAGAATAATTTATAAATGCAATTAAAGCATATTGTTTAGACTCCTTCTCACTAATTTACCTGATTGCAAAGTAAAATTAAAAGAATTCATATTTAAATGTAAAATTGGGCCAATGAGTAATGAAATTTTTCAAACTGTGTGTACAAGGAAAAGAATACCAAGTATACAATGGTTGTGTCACATACAGTCTGTCGATTTTATAGCTTTGCTATAATATCTTCCAGCTTTTTTGTAAGGCAGTCAAATTCTAGATAGTATGATGGATACATTTATATTAATTTTAAAGAAAATATATGGAATGATTATTAAAGAGCAACTTGAAACTAACTACATGTTATATATAGTAGCAAAGCTGCTAATAGAGATCTATAAATCTTGCTGATGTGATATGCTTTCTTGGCTTGGAATGTTCTTCATTTAGGGAAATAATAGAATGGAAATGCTATGTTCCAGCTAATGCTACTTGAAAAACCATAGTATATATATGGAAACTGGATATAGGTATATCATACAAAATATAACTTATTCTTAAGTTTGGTTGACCAGGCTAAGAAAGAAATAGAATGGCTAGGTAGCCCTCCCCTTTAATGATCAAATGATCTAAGTACTTGTTTAAATTGAGCCAATATGCTATGGCATTTTTGTGGCAGTGGGTATTCTTAATTATAGCTTTGGCTTTGGGTAATAATAAGTGGGTTGGCCTTTTCTAAGGGTATACCAATGGCTGGTAGCATAGAGGTAGTCTGCATTACTTGCCACTAGCAGAGGAGCCTGCAATGGGTTAATAGCTGGATGCCACGAGAGCTGTACAGGGTTGAGAACTGGAACCAACAATCAGGTGAGAAGTTGCTAAACTAGTGAGTAGTGAATGACCATTGATTCTTGCAGCTCTGTGCCAGAAAGACACCATTGTATCCAAATAATTGCCAGAATACAAGGCTAACAATACTCTCTGGTCTCTAATTAATTGTTCATGATTCAAGTGATTAACATATGCTACCATGTTCTTTAATGTTACTGTTCAGGTTATTACAGCACACAAACTTAAGGGTAAACAGGAATAATTCACTCTTTCATTCACAATATTAGGTATCCACTTTATACTGGTCACTAATATGTATGCTGAAGCTTTTATATTAATTAGAATTAGTTTCCTCTGTGATCTCAAAAATATGAAAATAATTATAGCTCAAATAATAACAGATACTATTTACATAGGGCTTATGACATGCCAGATACTATCCTAAGCATTTTACATACATTATCTCATTTAACCCTCGCAGCAACTTCATGAGTTAGGCATTTTTATTAGCCCATTTTGTAACTGAGCATATAAAGGCACGACTTGTTAATTTGCTCAAGGTCACACAGCTAGTAAGAAATAGAGCAAAGACTCAATCAAACCAATCTGGTTTCAGAGTTCATTCTTAACCATAGTACATATTCTGCCCATGTATAATTCCAGGTAAGCAGGGTAGGCCAAGTTGATATTGTGAAAACACAGCCACCAAAGCCAAAGTTTCCATTATCTTGCTGTTATGCTATTTCTATATCTGCCAGTTTCTAAAATGCAAATTTCTACATCCTGTTCCAAAATGGCTATGCTAGCACCAACCATTATCTTTATTCCAGCAAGCAGGAAGAACTATTTTCTTTTAAGGATTCTTCCCAGAGGCTTCCTTCACAAGCAAATTAAGCTTGTGCATCTCATTGATCAAAATTTAGTCATATGATTGTAAGGGAGTCCAAGATGTATAGTCTTTGTTCTAAGTGATCCACACCCAGTTGTTATTTGATAAGCTGATACTGACGAAAAAGGGAAGAGCGGCATTCTCCGTCAAAATATTGAAAAAACAGCCCTAAAACAACTGCTGTTTTCAGAATATTTCTATTATTGCCCCTAGTATATTTTTCATTCTACATCATGTTCTGTTTGAATCTAGATGCCTTTGGGGTCATTGGTAGACTGTGATTCTGTCGGCTTTTCCTCATGTGATCACTGATAAGAAGACAGCACCTGTGTCTAAGACATGTTAGCAAACCGGAAAACAGTTACACTCCTCATACCACAGATCACCACTAGTTCCCTCTATCCTTTTGGTAAAAAACTGATTGAGTGAGTTTTCATTATAATAAAGTATCTCTATTTATCAGATCAGGAAAAAGAGTTTGTATTGTTACAATTATTATATTTGTATACATGTTAATTCTAGGACATTTGCAAAAGTCAAAACAAGAAAAAACGTTATTGCTTAAGAATGCAGAAAGACAAGGCACAATGACTCACTTCTGTCATCCCAGCACTTTGGGAGGCCAAGGCAGGAGGATACCTTAAGCCCAGGAGTTTGAGACCAGCCTGGGAAATGTAGTGAGATCCTGTATCTACAAAAAAATTTAAAAATTATCCAGGCATGGTGGTGTGCACCTGTAGTTCCTGCTACTAGGGAGGCTGAGGTGAGAGGATTGCTCAAGCCCAGGAGGTCCAGGCTGCAGTGAGCCATGATTGCATCACTGCAATCCAGCTTGGGCAACAGAGTGAGACTCTGTCTGAAAAAAAAAAAAAAAAGAATTCAGAAAGAATATACAAGACGGGGTATTTATCAGAGGCATGTTAAAAAATACCCATGACACTGTATCAATGCATAAAGGAAATGCTGTTGGTTTGGAATGTTATGAAGATTTACGGTCCTTCCTCCTTCAAAAATGTATTCTTTTCAGTGTTCTGGAGTGCCTTTTCATCAGTCACACCAGGGTGATACCCACTAGTCAATATAATTCCTGTTTCATACACTGCGGAACAATCAAGGAAAAGTTCTTGTAATAGGTGCTGCTCTCTTGTTCACAACTTGTAGTTTGCTCATTAGTTAATGACTGTTCTTTGTACAGGAGACTTATTTTTTCTCTTTTCTGAAGTCTCTAATTACATTCTTTTAGAAGTTGAAAGGTGATGAGTAGGAGTTGTTGATACCATAAAATAGAATACCAAAGTCCCATAATTCCATGTTGCTGGAAATAGTTTAAATTAATAGCAGGAAGCACTGTTCCCTCTTCCGTCCAAGAATATTAAAAAAAGGTGTTATCCTCAAAGGAGGTAGGGAATATGTAGATTAGTTTGTAAACACCAGATGCTGACCTGGAGACAATAGTAACTTTAGGGCATATATGAAATGCACAATTTATTTTCTGGTACCCTTCTCTGATTTCTGAACCCTTCCATTTTCTGCTGTCCTCTGCCTTCATATTCTCTCACAAGCTGTCTTACGTATCCACACTCCTGTTAAAAGGAGTGTTTAGTTTTGTGTTTTTACTAAAGCAAGACTCTTAGGAAAGTAGTTTTCAAAAAGAAGAATCCAAAGAATGCCTGTTCCAATGGAAACTTTTAGAGTTCTAGCACTTACAAAGGCCAGGCATGGTGGCTCATGCCTGTAATCCCAGCACTTTGGGAGGCCAAGGCGGGAGGATCACTTGAGGCCAGGAGTTTGGGAATTCTAGTACTTACAAATAGAGGGAATTCTGAGTGACTATGCACTCCTGGTGTCATCTTCAATTTCTTCGTGAGCTAAGTGCTCCCATACTTGGCTTCCATGAGAATCACCTGGCTACACAGCCAGATTTGAAACCACTGACAATCTAGCACATATCCCATGAAAGATAAGGCTGCCCTTCCTTATAAAATGAATAGAGTTGACAGAAGATTTGGATGTTCTTTGAATCTACAAAGAACATGGTACTGAATTTTTTCATATGAAACTCTATGTGTTAAGTTGCCTATTATTAATTATCCAAAGAACAAGAACACAAAATGAATAGAATTCCTTTGTTCAATACTGTCTAATAATGATCAAGGTTCATAATAATAATCTTAAGGTACCATAAGAGAGCAGTCCTCAATCTTCTTGACACCAGTGTCCAGTTTTATGGAAGACAACTTTACCACAAACTAGCTGTGGGGGGATAGTTTGAAGATGATTCAAGCGCATTACCTTTATTGTGCACTTTATTTCTATTATTATTACATTGTAATATATAATGAAATAATTATACAACTCATCAGAATGTAGAATCAGTGGGAGCCCTGAGCTTGTTTTTCTGCAACTGGACTGTCCCATCTGGGGGTGATGGGAGACAGTGACAAATCATCAGGCATTAGATTCTCATAAGGAACATCCAACCTACCTTTTTCACATGTGCAGTTCACAGTAGCATTTGTGCTCCTATGAGAATCTAATGCTGCCACTTATCTGACAGGAGGTGGAGCTTAGGCAGTAATGTGAGCCATGGGGAGCAGCTGTAAATACAGATGAAGCTTTGCTTGCTCACCTGCCGCTCACCTCCTGTTGTGTGGCCTGGTTTCTAATAGGCCACAGACTGATACTAGTAATTTTTAATTCAGTAACATTTTATGTAGACCTTTTATGTATTCTAGTTCTTTGGAAGTTGGCATTTTATATGTACTGCGGTGACTTCATTTATCAGAATAATAACATAAATAACTCAGCACCCAATCATGCTGAATAAAGGCAAGTGTGCTGGTTAGGCTAATGCAAAGCAATTGATACATGGCCTAAAAATGTTGAGCTCTACAAAAATTCGAAAGACCACAAAGCACAATAGGAAAGGGTATGGGCTTTGAACTCAGCAGACATGGGTGCAAATTTGTATTCACCAACTCATTAGCCATGTGAAAACAAGCTAGCCTCTTTCTTCAGTCTGACTCCTGTCTGCAAAACATAAATACACCTTTCTCTCAGGGTTGGCCAGCAAATTCAATGAGATAATGTTTGCAGAGTGCCTGATACAAAGTCAACATTTAATACATGATAAATATTACTATTTGTGGGGGACAGAAATGAGAAAATCAGAAGCTTCAAGGTACACCTTAGAGACCTAAAATTGAGGTTATCACTGGGCTTTTTAATACCAAGTCTTGGCCACAGCACGACAACTCTGAAGGAGATCTTGAATGTGGCCTAAAAAGTTCAGGTGTTTTTGATGGACGTTGTCAGCAAACATCACTGAAATTCTCAGCACTTGAGGACTTTCAGCCTGAACTTGAGGGCTGCTTTATCAGTTTCCCTTATCCTTCACCTAAACATTCCCTTTTGTGAAGAAAGTCTTCCCTACTTCCCAGGAGTTAAACACCACTCCATTTCCTGTGCTTAATCAGAATACCGTTGGAAGTTAGCTCAGAAGAAGGGCAGTTTGTTCCTCCCACTTTAAGCCAATGAGAAATAGTATCAGCAGACCCATTTTATTTTATTTCGTTTTATTTTATTTATTTATTTATGTATTTATTTTTGAGACAGAGTTCCACTTTTGTTGCCCAGGCTGGAGCGCAATATCGCGATATTGGCTCACCGCAACCTCCACCTCCCGGGTTCAAGTGATTCTTCTGCCACAGCCTCCCGAGTAGCTGGGATTACAGGCATAAGTCACCACACTCGGCTAATTTAGTATTTTTAGTAGAGATGGGGTTTCTCCTTGTTGGTCAGGCTGGTCTCGAACTCCCAACCTCAGGTGATCTGCCCATCTCGGCCTCCCAAAGTGCTGGGATTATAGGCGTGAGCCACCGTGCCCTGCCTTTATTTTGAAATATAATTTCCCTCTTGCACATCTTAACCAATTCTGACGGCCAAATAATGAAGGTATTAATACTTCATAGGAGCCTCAGTTTCCCCATTCTTCCAATAAAGTTTGTAATCCCTACCTAAGAAGACATAAACTTCAATCATGCACCACTGACTCTAAGTGAGACTCAGAAAAGGAAGGATGGTGTCAGAAAATTAAGCAGTCATGGAATCTGTAAAGGTCGTTAAATGACTTGTAATAAGGTGGTAAGCATCACCTCTAAAATTTTAAGTCACATTTCCTACCCAACACAAAACACAACTATGACTATGGATGAAAAGATCCCCATCTTGCAAATCAAGAAAGTAAGGCCACCTAATATAAGTGAACCAGGGAAAAGTTCAGTTCCTCATGGCAGAAGCATCTTGATAAAAACGAAGCTGCCTATAGTTCTACAAGCCTTTCCTTTAGCAGCTCATATGCAGGGCTGGTCTCCAATACACACAAAGATATAAAGGCTAATGCAGAGATAATTATGAAGCCCCTAAATGGTTACGAATAGATTTCTACAGGATATGTCCAGAACTCTTGTTTTACCACCCACACCTTCTCCCTACCTTAGTCTTCCCCAACTTGGTAAATGACACCACCTTTCAGTTTCAGTCTGAATATAAGAGACTGTCTTTGACTCCTATATTTTTCTCACATCCTATATCTAATGGATCAGCATATCTGAGGGTTTCATCAGCAAATCAAATCTGAGGGTTCTAGATTCAAAACATAATCAGAATCACACCACTTCACATTCTACTACTGCTGCCACGCTGTCCAAGCCTATGGTGGTGGTTTGGATAATCTCACATGGATTATTGCAGCTACTGCTTACCTGGTCTCTCTGCTAGGATCCTTGCCTCCCTGCAGTTCATCCTCTGCACAGCATACAAAATGGCAAGCTGCTGGAGGGGTTTTCTCCCCAGCTCCACCCTCAGCTTTCAGCCATCCCTGTGCCTATGCCTCAGAGAGCATCTCTCCACACTCCTGCCCCTCTCCCCAAGGTGGACCATTGTTGCTTATTACCTGGGAAAGGGGTTGGGAATTTCTCTGTTGTCATTGCCCAACTTTAGTCTTAGGTGAATCCTGTGTTGCTGGATTCTAGAGGTGGTGTTTAGTGATGCTGTCTTCTTACCTATGACAGCCAAACTCTGCTCTGTGTCTTAGGTGAGTCTTCTGCAAGACAGTATTTCCTGCCCTGTCCAGCAGTAGGAGCCCTTAAATAGGCTTGACCCAGGATACTTTCCTATTCCTCCCCCAAAGTCAGAGGGCATTTCTTTCGCCCTCTCTCTGGCAGCAGCAGTGGTCTTCACCTGTACCTGGGACAACAGGATTTGCTGCCTTTCCCTCAGTGACCTCAGACAGGCTTTTGTTCTATAGGAGAGAAAGATTCTGTCCAGCGGAATTTTCCAGTCCTTTCATCTGCCTTCTATTCTTCTAATCTTTTTGTGGGATGTCCCACGGAGAAGAGCCTATAAGTGGGTGCAAACACTGCTGTCTATGCCCCAAGGGCATATGTATGGCAGCCCTCATTCTGCCCACACTCTGCCCATAGGTGAGCCAGTGTTTGCCTTTCAGGTCCTTGGAGGCACCTGTCTTATCTTAAATTTCAGACTGTTGGCTGCCCTGTGAATTCACCAGATGGGGCTGACAAAAGTTTAGGTCTAGTGGTCTATCTGTCTTTTTTTATTGTTGGGCTGGGAGCTACTCTTTCTAGCTTCCTACATCCTAGGCCAAAGTAGCCTCCCCCAAAACTAGATTTTTGCAATAGTCTTACTTTTAGCTTCCCTGTCATCTTTCTCTCTCCCATCTCAGATTATGCTTTCCAACACTTGTTTCATTATGTTTTCCTCTAACACAAATTCTTTATTTCCTAGCAGATTAATTCCAATGTTATAAGCTGACATTCAGAAGATCATACTTTTTAGTGCTTGGAAGGCCCTTAAGAGTCGTTTACAGACCAACTACCTTTCTAATCTTCTCTCTTTTTACCTTCAGTTCAAACCCTTCCTCTTTTAGACACAGTCTCTTAGTGTCTCAACCCACAAACATCCATTGGACACTTGATTATTATGTATCACATTAGGTACACTGGATTCAGAAATGAATCAAATACAGACCTTCCTCCCATGAAGCTACAGCTTAATGCACATTTTGCTCATTTCTACTTTTACCTTAGCTCATTCTGTGCCATTGAGCAATAGGCCTGCCATACCATATCCTCCGTTCTGTAACTGGTTCTTCATGCAAACCTTAGTCCAAGCATCATGATCTCATAATGTCTTCTTTAACTATTTCAGTCTCATTCTTATTTCCCTTCCTTGTGTTCTAAGGTACTTCATTTGTATCTTTCTTCTATCCCTAATTAAATTATAAGTCCCATGAATAAATGGACCAAATTTTAGCAAAACTTCATGTTCTACCATATTAGTTTCTGACCCTTTAGGTACTCAATTCATACTTGTAAATGATGTTATATGTCATAGTCATTAGAAACATCACCTGGGGTCAGACAAACCTGTGTTCAATTTCAGACTTATTTGTCATTTGAGGGAGGCTTTTTAACCACAGTTTTATTTTCCTCATTTGAACAATGATGAATACAAGGTTGTTGTCAGGATAAATGAGATTTGTATATAAAGTGCCTGACAGGTAGTAAGGTACAGTAAAGAGGAGACAGAGTATATCAGCCCTAAATTCTGGGTGCAGCAAAGCACCCATATGCAGCCACAGGCTGATTTTACCCAGGTACAGAGGGTCTTAAAGCTCACCTACAGGAACTTAAAACCATGAAGGCTTCATTAGTAGTTAGTGCAGAAAGTATTGCTGACCCTTTGCCTGGCTTTGCAGTCACAATCATAACACAAGTAGAAATACCATCAGCAGCGTGGTGAAACACAAGAATCTCAACCTATCTGCCTAAGTGAAAAACGCCACTACAACACTAGTTTAAAATATTTAAATAAAGTGCACATTTCTTCAAAAATTCTGGTTCAGAGGGAACCGAAAGTAAGCAACTTGATCAGAAGCCTGCAGCAGAAATCCTGTCTCTTTAGATAGTGGAAAGGGAATATTTAATTGCAAAATATGTAAGTTCTTTTTTTTTTTTCCTTTTAAAGATAGTCTTTAGAGAGCAGCATGCAACATACCAGTAACATTGCCACTAGGTCTAACAGAAGTCAACACTGAGGTTCACTGGAAACGGCGCTAACCCTAAGTTGATGGCCTTCATCTTTCTCTTGAAGAATACTCTAAATTATGAGGAATAAATAAATAATGGAAGGAAGGAAGAAAAGAAGGAAGGCAGGAAGGAAGGAAGGGAGGAAGGCAGGGAGGGAGGGAGGGAGGGAAGGAGGGAAAGAAAGACAAAGAAGAAAGGAGAAAGGAAGAAAGAAAGACAGATGAAAGAGAAAGAAAGAGAGAGAGAGGGAGGGAGGGAGGGAAAGAAGGAAGGAAGGAAGGAAGGAAGGAGAAAAGAAAGGAAAGGAAAGGAAAAGAAAAGAAAAAAGAAAAGAAAAGAAAAGAAAAGAAAAAAGGCCGTCCAAATGGGTTCACTTGTTAATTCTATCGTACATTTGAGAAAGAAATTATACTAATTCTCTACAATCTTTTCCAGAAGATAGAAGCCAAGGAAATACTTTCTAATTCACTCTATTAAGCCAGTATTACCCTAATACCCAAAGCAAAGACATTACAAGAAAGAAAAACTATACAACAATATTTCTCATGAACAAAATAGAAAAATCCCCAACAAAATACTAACAACTTAAGTCTAACATGTATAAAAACACTTTATACCACAACCAAGTGACACTTATTCTAGGTATACAAGGCTGGTTCAACTTTAAAAAATCAGTTAATACAATTAATCACATCAATAGGATAAAGGAGAAAAATCATATGATCATATAAATAGATGCAGAGAAAGCATTTGACAAAGTCCAACACACATTCATGATAAAAATTTTCAGCAAACATGGAATAGAGGAGAAATTCCTCAACTTGATAAAGAATATCTGGGGAAAAAAAGAACACCTAGCAGCTAACATCATACTTAATGGTAAGAAACCATATGCTTTCCCACTATGTTAAGGGACAAGATGAGGATGTTTCCTTAGTACTCCTATTCAACATTATACTGGAAGCCCTAGCTAATGCAATAAGACAACAACAACAAACATAAAAGATATACAGACTAAGAAAGAAGGAAAAAAAATCATTGTTTTCAGATAACATGATTTTCTATGTAGAAAATCTCAAAGAGTAAAAAATATATTTTGTAAAAAGACTCTGGAAACTAACAAGCAATTATAGCAAGCTTACAGGATACAAGGTTAGGTCAATTGTTTTCCTATGTACCAGCAAATGAACACCTGGAATTTAAAATTAAAAACACAATACTATTTATATTAGCACCAAAATAAAAGAAATCCTTAAGTATAAATATAACAAAATATGTATAATATCTATATGAGGAAACTACAAAACTGATAAAATAAATCAAAGGAGAACTGAATAAATGAAGAGATATTCTGTTTATGAATCGAGAAAGCTCAACATTGTTAAGTGGTCAATGCTTCCCAATTTCATGTACAAATTCAATGAAATTCCAATCAAAACCTTACCAAGTTATTTTGCAGATATCAACAATTGATTTCAAAGTTTACATTGAGAGACAAAAGACCCCAAATAGCCAGCACAATATTGAAGAAGAATAAAGTTGGAGGACTGATAGCTACTCAATTTCAAAGCTTATTAAGCTTATTATAAAGCTACAGTAATCAAGACAGTGAGGTAATAGTGAAAGGACAGACAAACAGATCAATGGAATTGAATAGATAAGCAAGAAATGCTCATGTTTGATAAATGTACAAAGGCAATTCAATGGAAAAAGAATAGTCTTTTTAACAAAGAGTGCTGGAACAACTGAAAATCAACATGCAAAAAAAATACTAATTGTAGACGTAGACCTTACACTTTTCACAAAAATTAACTCAAAATGTATCACATCCCTAGGTGTAAAATGCAAAACTATAAAACTCCAGGATGATAAAAGAAAATCCAGATGACCTTAGGTTTGGCAAAGACTTTTTAGATAAAAATCCAAAACATGATTCATAAAAGAAAACATTAAGAAATCAGACTTCAGTGAAATTCAAAACTTCTGCTCTGCAATAGATACTGTCAAGACAATGGAAAGACAAACCACAGACTAGGAGAAAATATTTCCAAAAGCCATATTTAATGAAGGGCTTTAACCCAAAAACATACAAAGAACTATTAAAACTCAACAGTAAAACAAATAAACAAACCAACCAGTTTAAAAAATGGCCAAGGCTGGGTGCGATGGCTCATGCCTGTAATCCCAGTACTATGGGAGGCCAAGGCGGGAGGTTCAAGAGGTCAGGAGTTCGAGACCAGTCTGGCCAATATGGTGAAATCCCGTCTCTACCAAAAATACAAAAATTGGCCAGGTGTGGTGGTGCACAGCTGTAGTCCCAGCTACACGGGAGGCTGAGGCAGAATAATCGCTTGAACCCAGGAGGCAGAGGTTGCAGTGAGCTGAGATCAAACCACTGCACTCCAGCCTGGGCAACAGAGAGAGACTCCGTCTCAAAAAATAATAATAATAAATAAATAAAAATAAAATAAAATAAAAATAGCCAAAATATCTGAATAGAATCCCCACCAAAAAAGAGGAAAAGATGTTCCACATCATACGTTATTAGGAAAATGCTAATCAAAATGACAATGGCTAAACTTCAAAACACACATGACACCAAATGTTAACCAGGAGCAACAGGAACTCTCATTGTTTGTTGGCGTGACTGCAAAACAGTACAGCCACTCTGAAAGACAGTTTGACAATTTCTTACAAAATTAAACATACTCTTACACAAAATCCAGCAATAGCATTCCTTAATATTTACCTAAATGAGTTGAAAACTTATATCCACATAAAAAGTTGCATGTGAATGATTATAGTAGATTTATTCATAATTGGCAAAACTTGGAAGAAACCAACATATCATTCAGTAGGTGAATGGATAAATGAATTATGGGTACAGTCACACAATAGAATATAATTCAGAACTAAAAAAAACAAAATGAGGTATCAAGCCTTTAAAAGTGTGGCAGAACCTTAAATTCATATTGCTGAGTGAAAGAAGCCAATCTCAAAAGGTACATACTGTATGATTCTAACTATATGACATTCTGGTATAGGCAAAACTATGGAGACAGCAAAAAGATCAATGTTTCCAGAGGTTGGGTAGGGGGAGACATGAATAGCTGTAGCACAGAGGGGTTTTAGAGCAGTGAAACTACTCTGTATGATACTATAATGACAGATTCATGTCATTGTATAGCTGTCAGACTGGTATAATGTACAACACCAAGAGTGAATCCTAATGTAAACTATGTACTCTGGTTGATAATGATGCGTCAATATTGGTTCATTGATTGTAACAAATGTACCGCTCTGGTGCCCCGAGTTGTTAGTGGGGAAGATTGGGGTGGGGGATGAAATGTAGAAACTCTCTACTTTCTCCTCAGTTTTTCTGTAAGCCTAAGAGTCATGTAAAAAAATAAAGACTATTCATTTTTAAATACATAAATAAAGCAAAGAGAAAAAAGAATGAGAGTAGACAGGAGATTTATGGTTCTGTCTGTAAAATCAAATGGAGGGTCAAAGAAGAAAAACTGGGAAGAAATCCAGCAGTCAGGAGCATGAGAAGCACAAAAGAGACTAAAGAGTCAGCGATTTCAAATAAGGTCAAGCAGTTAGCACAGGTCATTCTTGCAGAAACCTCTGTGGCATTGCTGCCCACTTCAAGAATGACAGAGAAGACCTCTGACCTCTGGGAAGAAAACCAGAGTGAGGAGCATTTAAGTAGCAATTGAAGACAAGCTTATATAAATAAGAAGGTATTTATCTAAGCCAATTTGTAGTATTCACTTAAAAATTCCTTTGTAATATGTAAATGTAGGTAATTAGTGGTTAACATGTATCTAGTTTTTTAATAGTTGTGATTAAGTGATTTTATTAAAGATACTATAATTTTCTTTCTCATAAGCATTGGATATCTTAACCCTCTGTTTATCTCTTGGACTTACGCTAACCTTACAAGGGCCATTTGGGAGAATGTTACCAAAATTGCAGGAAAGCATTTTGTTTGAGGTGCCCGAACTAGTTTCTTGCAACTAGCCCTAGCATATTTTAATTTAGATTTCTTTATTTTGTCTTTTATCCAACAGAGAAACATTGTGCATCCAGTTTTCTAAGCTCTGAGCTTCACCAGTTATTCCTCTGCCTGTTCTGCCTGTAGCTAAACCCTCCAGCTTGCCGTCTAATAGTAACTTCATTACATTTAAGAAAACCCTGAGATTGAAGATGGCTAGTTGCAAGAAGATTTATCTGTTTATCTGAATAGTAATAAGCAAATCTGACATTGAATCCATCTCCTGACTTGCTTAAAGAATAACATAATAGATTCTGATGCCGGCAGTATAAAGCTTTCAGTTAAACCTATTCACATTGTGTGTGTGAGCACACGTGTGTATGGTCGTGTGTGTATGTGCATGAGCTTTCATGTATATTCTACAATGGGCACACAAATAGATCAATCCCTACTGATCTTTATCACAGGCCTGGGAAGGTATGAGACCAGCCTCATTCTGATAGGGTAAGTTTGGGTGATGAAAGCTTCAGAGTGAATCAGGAACCTTGGTCCCAAAGGTCTGGCTAAGAGCTATAATGTGAATGGGAATGGCTAGCAAGAGAGGGAGGAAAGCAGGGAGTGTGAAAATTTAGTGCATATAGAAAAGAGAATTAGGGGACAATACAGTGTCCAGTTTCATCCAAAATCTCTGTGCGATCACAGAACTTGTAAAATCTCTCAGAGTCATCAGGAGGAAGTAACACAATATCAGGACAACACTGGCAGTAAGATGTTACATGCCGAGAGGAAGACCATGTAGGAATCCAAGCCGATTAGAAAGGAATACTGGCAGATGCCCCAAGTCAGGGTGGAGGGCTTGCAGGGAAGTATTTGTGGGACCATCCATAGGAGCATTAAGAGGGTGGTGCAGAGTCTTTAAGGAAACTGGAGGTCTTGGTCTGCTAGGTAACATTAAATATGACTTAGAAGAGGTGCCAGGGAAGCTTCTCTGAAAGCAAACCTTAGGACAGCCTTTTCAGGTCAAAGCTCATGTTTACACAAGGCAATAATGAATGCTCTTTTTTTTTTACATGTCTTTCTGTAGAAATATATTTTTATTTCTTTTGCATAAATAGCTAGGAGTGGAAATAATGGATTGCATTGTAAGTGCTTATTTAATTTTGCAACAATGCCAAGCCATCGGCTTCAGGAGCAGCATCACTTTTCACTATTATTAAAAGAGCACAAGGGTTCCAGTGGCTCCATTTCCTCACCAACACCTGCCATTGCCAGTCTTTCCAATTTTAGCCATTTTAGTGGTGTGAAGAGGCATCTCATCATGGTTTTAATTTGGATTTCTCTAATGACTAATGATGTTGAGCACCTTTCCATGTGCTTATTGGCCAGTTGCATTGGGATTCCTCTAATTATAGTAATATCCACCTGTAAGAGATAGAAACTCATGTAGGGGGTGGAAACCTGTTTCTTTTCTTTCTTTTTTAAAGCCTCTTAGAACTTGTTTTATTTTTTATTTTTCAATTAATTTTTTTTATTTTCATAGTTTATTGGGAAACAGGTGGTGTTTGGTTACATAAGTTATTTAGTATTCATGAGATTCATGAGATTTTGGTGTACCCACCACCTGAGCAGTATACACTGCACACAATTTGTAGTCTTTTATCCCTGGCCCCCTTCCCACCCTTTACCCCTAAGTTCCCAAAGTCCATTGTGTCATTCTTAGGCCTTTGCATTCTCATAGCTTAGCTCCCACTTATGAGTGAGAACATATGATGTTTGGTTTTCCATTCCTGAGTTACTTCACTTAGAATAACACTCTCCAATTTCATCCAGGTCACTGTGAATGCAATTAATTCATTCATTTTTATGGCCGAGTAGTATTCCATCATTCATATTTATCACAGTTTCTTTATCCACTCGTTGGTTGATGGGCATTTGGGTTGATTCCACATTTTTGCAGTTGCGAATTGTGCTGCTATAAACATGCATGTTCAAGTATATGTTTTGTATAATGACTTCTTTTCTTCTGGGTAGAAACCCAGTCGTGAAATTGCTAGATTAAATGGTAGTTCTACTTTTAGTTCTTTAAGGAATATCTACTGTTTTCCATAGTGATTGTACTAGTTTATATTCCCATCAGCAGTATAGAAGTGTTCCCTGTTCACCGCATCCACACCAACATCTATTGTTTTTTGATTTTTTAATTTATTTTTTGATTATGGCCATGCTTGCAGGAGTGTAAGGTGGTATTGCATTGTGATTTTGATTTGCATTTCCCTAATCATTAGTGATGTTGACCTAATACTCAACATCCAAGTATAAGAATCTAAGTATAAGAAAGGCCACCTCACCAACAGGTACAACACCTCTTGCCTTCTGTATCTCTGCTTTATCTAAAGTCTGAACCCAGGAAGAGTCAGAATTAATTAAAAGGCTAACTATATAAAGAACAATATTTTGACAATTAGCAAGACTTGAATAAGGTCTATAGATTAGATAATAATACTGTATCAAAGTTAATTTTCCAACTTTAATAATTGCACTGTGGTTTTATAAGAGAAAATCTTTGTCTTAAGCGATATGCACCAAAGTATTTAGGGATAAAGAGGTACCATATTTGCAACTTTTAAATGTTTATTAAAAATATATGAGGTGGGAGAGACAAGGAAAAGGAGAATGATGAAACAAATGTGGCAAAATATTAACAGTCAAGGCACCTAGGTAAAGGTTATGCAGAAGTTCCGTGTTTCTTGCAACTACTCTAAGTTTGAGGTAATTTCAAAACATAAAGTTATTATAAAAAGTCTTTGTCAACAACAAAAAAGATATAAATAGAGCTATTCTTATTTGTAGAATGGAGGCTTCTTAAGCTTTAGGACCCAAGTGATGTTGAAAATGTGGCATGCTCACTGCAAAATACACTCTACCTCCCACCCAGCATCCTTAATTTTATGGCTATCATTTCTAGAGGTTAAATTTTTTTCAGAAATCTCTGTGAAAAGGTAAACATGTCTTATTTGGAAGGGTACTGCCTTAATCTCTTCTCATTGTCTAAGTGAAAGAAAGCATGACTCTAAGGAATTTTTTTCTCTCTGGCTTTTTTGAGACTAACCCAACCAAAAGCCTTGTCCCTCTTTTCATGAATGTAGATTTTGCTTTCATTAGTTGTATAAAATCACATTAAACTCCCTCTGGGAGAACAGTAACATTTAATGTCAAAATAATTTCTTTTGACTGATATATCATGTTTCTAGAAAAAGGCTCAAAAATTTTGTTTGTGATTCTCAGCAGACAATAATACTTATAGTCTGGTGTATTAGCCACAGTCATTTTTTGTGCTAAGTCCAGTAGGGATTTGGTATTGGATTCCTACTTAAGTGAAAATCACGATGCTGATTTTTTTGAATCATTTGCTTTGTGTTTCACATTTTAATGTAACACATTTATTGAGACTTTATCCAATGGTAAGAAATTCACAGATAAAAATATTACACATATCCTATAGGTGCTTGCAGAAAGACCCTTTCATTTTCACTCCAGTATTCCAGCCTGAGTCTGGAAAATAAAAACCTCTATCACTTCATAATTTCTACCCACTCTTGAAAGGATGGTTGACATCTCATTGGTGGAGCTGAAAAACAGTTGAGCCTGTTCAACTTGGGGCCTTTCTCCTTTCTCTATTCAGATTAACTAGGGTGAGTGCATTCTTCTCTGTTCCTATTTCAGGGAGCAACCACCCATAGGTCCGGAGTTAGACTCACTTGCTAGAGGCAGTTCTGAAGGTCCATCTCATTCTCTGTTTGAAGACTCAGAGATATAAAGCAACAGTCCTCAGTGATTATATCTGCTCTGGAAAGACCACTATAGCCTTTCCAATAATAAAAACAATAGTCCATTAACTATCTTTCTGATTCTTTTATAATTTACATAAATTTGTTCAGAACTCCAAAGAGGAAGAGTGCTATTTACTGGCCCCTTAAAATAACAACATTCTTATAGCTTAGTTTTTCTACTTTCATATTTGTGGTCTTTCTTTTTGTGAATTCACACTGCACTGACTGAGGTTTAAAGGCAACTTAGATTTCTACTAGGAATTGGTAATTAATAAAACTTCTACTTTTATTCCAAAACAAACTAAGTATTCATTATCTGATGAGTATGTGTTTATTACCGGGCATTAGTGGCCATTAGGAAATGCAGTCCTTTCATTTCAGAAGGCTTCGTTTGAACTTCACAAATCACATTACAAACTCTGTCAACACCTTCAACTTTCTGATGAAGTCAATAAATAGAGAAACTGGACTGGGACAGGACCTAGCCCGGCTTGGAAGGTCAGATGCAAAGTGGAGCAGCCTGGGTCTGGAAGAGACTCAATCACTGCAGGCAGCAGAGCCAGAGGAGCTGACCCAGCAACCAAAACTGTCTCCCTCCAGGAGGCTAGTGGCTATTAGGAGAGTTCCTTCTTTATTCTTTTGAAATTTGTATTATGATAAAGAGAGATAAAGTCTGAGAATGTTGCCAATCTAAAGGGAACAAAACAAATAAACAAGAAGTCAATCCAGTGAACTGAATTCTGGTCATACCATTAGACTTCTAAATCAAGCTGTGATCCTTGGTGTTTTTGTTAGGAGAGCCATTAAATACACTATCTTAAGGAAGTCATGGTAGGCTTTCTCCAATTTGTGCTTGAATAAATATTAGCTGATCGAGAAAATCTACTTATGCTTTTCAATTTTCTTTACTTTAGGCATAAGGTAAATGCTGTAATGGTATATCATTCAGTTTGAAACAGAAAAATAAAAATTATACTAAGTGTTTAAACCAGAGGAAACAATACAGGGAATCAATCCCCCACGTGATGAAAGAGCTAAAAGATGACCAGGGGATGGTGAGGCAACCTACAAATGAGCAGCAGCAGGCAGCCTGGAGGAGGCTGTTCACTAGAGCCCAAAGGCCAGGGTTGTCTGACAGAATTTGAAATACAGCAGATCCATCAATGAAATCCAGAGCCATGGAGAGACTCAGACACTGAGAGGGATGCTGCCTGAGTCACACAGATGGGGGAAAGACCCTGGCTCTTCCCCTTCACTCTCCCTCTGACCTTCTGTCTGTGACTCCCTTTGGCTAAACCCATGTAATCAGCTGATACAGGGAGGGCCCAAAAACACAGCCTGCAAGGATTGCTCTCCCTGCAAGCCCTCATCTAGTGATACTAAGTAAAGCAAGAAGGGATCTGAAAGCAAACAAGCTAAAACTCTGCACAAGCAGTGTTTGTAAATTAGCAAATATCCCATCTTGAAAGTGTTAAATGTTTATTCCAGTGCTTTCTAACCAGAAGAATGGAGGATACAAGAAGTATTTGCTCACCATGTCCATTCTGTTCCTCATTTCTTCCTCCCAAACCATAAGGAATAAAGAAAATGGGTGTTTTTTTTTTTTAAAGATCTCCAAATAATTCAGATTACACTTTTATTGTTCCTCATTCCTTCATCTTTCTTACCTGGAAACAAGGCTCTACCTCAAGTCAAAATTCAAAATGGTATGCTTAAATGGTAATATTCTTAATGATTTTCCCTTCTTTCCTACTTTAAAATTGGGAGGAACAAAACACTCTAACAAATGAACAAACCACAAAAAAATGTTTTCTATTCTAGGAATTCCAAGACCACTAAACCAACATTAATTCTTAATTATAGGTTCAAATATGAGAATTTATAAAACTAAAAGGAGACAAAATTTAAAGAAAACACAGTGGCTTTATGTGATACATCAAAACCTTTTTAAGTATGACTTTTAGTATGAGTTAAATGGATTTCTGTTTTAGAAAGTAAAAATGACACTCTGCCTGACCTCTCAGTCCATAATAGCATTCCTTGGCACCATCTATAATGATTTTGTCCCAACTCTACCTATAATACTATAAAGTGGAGGCAGCAGAACCTAGGTCTGAAACTAGGGAATAATTAGTTCTATCCATGAGTGGAGATTTTATGAGTTCAGTAAATGAGGAGTGTCTGGTTGAGTACTTAGGAGGAAAGGGGGAATTTGATGTAGTGAAGTCATAATATACTACATATCCGGAACCTTCTCAGGAATCTAAAGGTCATCTGCCTTTCAGTCCCCAAGAAATACAACCCTGCAGAAACCTCCCTGGCCATTTACAACCTGCCTGGCTCAGCTTTCCCTCAGGGCCTGAAGGATTGCCCCATCTGCCAACTCAGGCAGCCAGACTATCCTGAGGCCTTTTCTAAATCCTTGATATACGATCTCACCTGTCCTGCATGGAATATGAGGCTAAAATATTATCAGAGAATGTGCCCAGGCTGCAGCAGTCAGATTTAACCCCTGTTCTGGGAGGTGATATTTGGGAAGGTAATTAAGGACTGAATAATAGGCTTCCTCATATGACCATGAGAGTCACCTCTGAGAATTTAGAAACCTAAAGTCCAGTGTGATGAGACGCAATCAGGGACAGGAGAGAGTTTCAGACATTAAGGGGCTCTGACAAAGCTTTTCCAACAACCCCTTCCCTATCACCCAGAAAGAATTCATTGGGATGCCCAAATCTGATGTCAGCTATTCCCTGGGGACATCGGAATGCTCTCAAGATGCAATGAGGATGCATAGTGAGCAGCTAAAACACCCCTGAAGATCCTTATTTCTTTCTTATATTGGTGTTATCAATCTATTTATTCATTTATTCTCTTGGCACTGTCTTCCTTTTCTCTCCATCCTTCTCTTTCTATACAAATAGATTTGAACCACAAATGAACAAAATTGAAAAGTATTTTCCAGGTTAACAAAGTTCTCTCCCCGTAGAATTTTATACTTTGATGTGCTGCCCTCTGTCTGATGTTTAGTGTTTTCCATAATGATGAAGTCATCTTTCCAACTGCAAAGTCATTTGATAACCCAGCCAATTACCTTAAATTTTTAATTTTTAATTTTTTAATTTTTAAAGTTGTTTATTAGCCAATAATTGACTGATTAATAATTTCCACCTTGTTCTACAATTGATTTAATGTGCTTTATAAGGACATGTATATTTTAAGATATAAATTAAATATATGTAAGAAAAAAGAAAGCAAAACAAGAATAAGATATAAAATTGAGCAAGAATTGAAGTGAATACACACACACACACACATAAATAAACATTGAGATCAAAATAATCACATTCCAGTAGGTAGCTTAGAAGTTTATATGTAAGCTTTAGAAAACATAAAATTGCAAACATGGTCAGTTGAACCATTAAAAAATGTATATGGTCCATTAGACAAATGCAACCCATCCTGACATAAAACCTGAAATAAAATCCCCTCATGTAATGTAATTAAAAATTTATCAATAACTAGCTTACAGAAAACACAATTGCAATATTTTAGGGACATTTTCTATAATATTCCTAGATATAAACCAATGTCATCGTGACGAAGTCCAATTCCACCAGAGAGATACAGCAGGTTCACAGTTACAGGAATTAGCTCTGTGCTGGAATAAATTATTAAAGTAACAGATTTCAGAGCACGTGGAGGTAAAAATGTACTGCTTAAGTATAGTTAAGCAAATAACAAATCTTTATTACAGAGTGCTTCTCTCAGCTAAGCTTTGACAGCTGTAAGGAGTAAATGGTTTACTATACGGTCTCTCAACTACTACTCTTGTGTTTTTAGTTAAAAACCAGCCTTCATGCCTTGATATTAAAGCTAGGGTTTTATAAGACAGCACTCTATCATAAAATTTTCACCTTACACAAATATGTATTCTGCCTCAGCTCAGAGATGAACCAAGAATAGGATGAAAGTTTTCCTTACACACTTATTTGGATCAACTTCAAGATTCAGATGAAATGATTGGCAAAATCCCAGGGTTCTACTGTCTGTAATTTTGCTCCAATAAGTTTGGCCTAGAAAAATGTCAACAAGGTTATAAGTAGATTCATGTATTCATTCAATGTCTGTTGAGCTCCTGCTACGTTTCAGGCCCTCTCCTAGATGTTAGAGAAAGAGCAGTAAGCTAGCAGTAAACAGACAAAAATTCAATCCTCCATGATCTTACCTTCCAGTGGATATCTGAGTTGGTTATTAAAAAATTCAATAAAACATTTTTTCAATACCTGGATTTGAGAAAGCCCATTTCTAAGTGTACTTTCCCAAAAATGATGTTTGAAAACCTAAAACTATTAATATATCTCATTTCTCAATGTATACCTCTTCTTAAATTCAATGTCTTTTTTTGCAATCACTTTGTAGGCCATTTTAAAAATCATCTTTATGTTATCTCACAGCTTTTATCATCAATTTTATAGACACTTCCAACATAAATACTTATTACAAATATAGAAAATGATTTTGTAACATTACATAAATGATGACATTATATATATTCCTGAGGGGGGAATATTTCACTATTTTCTTGACTATTGAAAATTTTAAGGAATTCTTGTTAGTTTTTCACAACCCATTCTCAGTCTAGTAAAAGGTAGTTATCAAATCTGATAATCTGGAAAAGGATATTTTATATTCTATTCTCCGTGTTTAGTCTTTGTAAATTAACGTTAATTTCTATGTTCTGTATTTCTGGTGTATATTAAGTGCTTATTAATCAAATACTAGTTTCTGTTTAGTGAGGAATTGACACTAATATGTCAAAAATGTGAAAAAGTAGATCACAATTTTATTACACTCAGATTTTTCGAAATATTTCTAATTTAAAGAATTATATTGTGTTATACAATGCAATAATATAGGGACAGTCCAGATTTATGAGTTAAATCACACTATTCCTTCATAGAGAGTTATAAATATTCCAGTTTGCCTACTATTTGGGTCAGGACTATGTCATAATCAATTATGTGACTCAAACATGTGGGAAATTATATATTTTTAATGAAATATTTCATATAAGTAGTCATGATTCGAAATACATTATTTTAATGAAATGTTCTTTAAGAAAAAGAGGGTTTTTTTTAGTCATGAATGTGAATAAAAATAGAAAGACATACTCACGGGATGCAAAACAATCCCCCAATCCACAAAATTCTGTAAATTTGATTATTTTTTATTTCCTATAATTATTTGCAATAGTAAATTTTTAGATATGTTTATTTCTAAACATGTAAATAGTTTAAAATAAGGTAAAATTTAGGAGATATTGAATGGATTTTAAAATGCTCAAGGGGGGTTTATTTTAGGCACAATGGTAATTAGGTGAATTTATAAGTAAGAAGTAAGAGAACTGGCCCTGTTCTAAGGCAGAATTTTTCCAAAAGCAAAAAATACAGAACAGACAAAAAGGAAGAATGATTCAATACAGCAATTAATAAATTGAACACATGTTATACATTTTAAAACAAGAAGTTCTTTAGCAAGTGAAATTAGAAGAAAAATATCAATAGCTAATATGTACCAATGTACTGAACTCCTGGTCTCTGCTCTAGTCATTTTATATGTAATCATTTACTCTTCCTAACAACCCTTCTGGGTCAGTACTTTTCTATCCCCATTTTGCAGGCAAGTAAACCGAGTCACAAAAACTCAGAAAAACTTGCTCAAGGTCACTCAACTAGTAAGTTGTGAAACTGGGGCTTTAACTCAGGTATTCTGGCTTCAGAACCCCTATGATATCCCTAATATTATAACAAGCATAAAAATAATATTTAAAATGAAAAACTGTGGGACCGGGCATGATGGCTTACACCTGTAATCCCAGCACTCTGGAAGGCCAAGGCAGGTGGATCGCTTGGTCAGAAGTTAGAGACCAGCCTGTGGAACATGGCCAAACCCCGTCTTTACAAAAAAAAAAAAAAAAAAAAAAAAGCTGAGCGTGGTGGTGCGTGCCTGTAGTCCCAGCTGTTCGGGACGCTGAGGCAGAAGGATTGATTGAGCCTGGGAGGTCGAGGCTGCAGTGAGTTCTGGTTGCACCACTGCACTCCAGGCTGGGCAACAGAGTGAGACCCTGCCCCCCACCCCTTAAAAAATAAAATAAAATGAAATGAAAAACTACAGATACATTAAGTAAATTAGTTAAGAGACAATAATATCTATTATATCATTTATCATTTGCAAATGAGAAAAGGAAGGAAGGAAGGATCAAGAGAAAAAAGGAAGGAAGGTAAGAAAAATATTTGAAATAGAGGAAAAATTATATGCTTGTCTACTTAGGAAAACATTTGGTGTGCAGGTAACCTCAGTAACTGACAATCATTTTAAAGTGTCTAATTATACCAGGGTGCATATGTATGTGTGCCTACAGATAGGCAAGAATATATCTTGTAGATGTAATATATTACATAAGCATTTATATATATTCTATATATAATACATTATACACACATATGTGTATATCATATGTGATACATGTAATTATATGTGTATATTCATATTATTTATGCATATATCCACACTCGTGTAATAAATGCTCAATAAATATTTGTTGAACAAACAAATGAATGCATATATACATATATACTTTTTGGAAGCTACACATGCACTATTCAAAATGGTTATCTTCAATAAGGCGAGCAGGGTTAGGAGGATGAGGGCTTTTACTTTTCACTTCATACCTTGTGGTATTGTTTGCATTTTCTACCAGTATTTACATATTGCTCCTTACTTTTTCATGTCAATTGTAATTATCCAGAAAACAGGATTGTGGGGCTTTTTTGCTCTATACTTATTAAAATATAAATAAATATAAAGAAACACAATATTTATTGACTACTTTTAAAATAATGATAGGAATCTAAGGGAAAACACACCATGCCTTGAAATTTACCTGAATTGATTCAGAGCAGTACAATAAATAGGTTACTCAAAATAATGGGGTTGTTTTCTTTTTGGTCAAAAGTCTCATCTCATGAATTTCCAATTCTCCAAATTTAAAATAAATGAATGTAAAAGCAGAGGTGAGACCACCACTACAGTTAGACGATAAATGCAAGGACCTATATCTCTCACTTTTAATCCTGTGTTATATTCCATTAAACTGCTTTCATTTATTCTGTAGATCTGTCCTGCCAGCCATATAGCCATAATTTAAATATTAAAACTGAAATCTTATTAGAAGTAATCTTACTTCCTAGTTTTCTTTTTGTCTTTCAGTAATTATTGTACCTGTGGGCAGGTGGTATAAAGGCTATGAAGTATATTAATAGATTTTTTAGTATCATGATTATCTGATACAAAACTGAAGTGTTACCCTTCTTAAATGTAATCAAGTAAAAATTATAGTTTTGATTAGCCATTGAATAAGTCCAGAAACATAATCAGATACTTGTCCATTTTGTCAACCTCTGATTTAGAGTCTTTATTACAATTGAATGGCCTGATTCTACTAACAAATAAAATATTTGATTTAAGTAGACAAGGAAAAAATGATTTTTTTTTCCAGGAAAACTTTCCTTTTCTCTTATGCAAAGAGATGGGCTAGAATCTTCCTAATGGTCTATTAAAACTACTAAGATTTGATATGGAAGGTAAGATGACTTTCAGTAATCTGATATACGTTAGAATTTTTATTTTATCCCCCTCTTCTCAAATCAATCAAAAAGATTCCTTGAACTTTTGGAATATAAGACACCAGGAAGAAGAATCATGATCTCTACCCAAAAATGTTCATCTCATTAAAAAAAAAAGATACAAATAAAAAATAAAAAGTTTAGCTTTCTACTAAAGTATAAAATTGTGCCATACAGATAATAAATCATCACTTTCTTTCTTTCTTTCTTTTTGTCATTCTTAAGATTTTTAAAAATCAGTTCCTCTACTTTCTAATGTTGGATTTCTTTGGGGCCCATTTTTTCAGGTTCTTCTCTACATCCTCCATCAGTGATCTCATCCTTTCCCATAGCTATGAAACAGTACCACTTCTGGTACTTCCCAAACGTATAGTTTTAATACGTCCTCAGACAGGATAGCCCTGCTGTTATTTGGCAAATCTTCTTGGATATCTTCAATGTTTCTAAGATTTAAACACCACAAAAATTTAACTCTTGATCATCTCTTTTCCACAGCTAACTGCTTTACCTGCATACTTTCTAGCCTCAGCTACTAAAGCCAGAAATCTGACAATCATCCTTCACAAGCTGACATTTCTCCTTAGCACCTATATCTCATTCATCATAAAGGCCTATCACCTTCCAAAGTATGACCTGACTCCATCCACTTCTCTCTTTGCACTTTTGTTGCTTACCTAAGTTCCTAACATTTCCTTTTTTTTTTTTGACCCTCCTTTCTACTCCATTCCATTTTCCATACAGCAGCTGAAATGACTGATTTAAAGTAAAAATCTCTGAGGTGACTCTTTCTCTTAAAAGCCTTCAAAAGTATCTCATTATAGTTAAGATAAAATATGAATAACATTTGATTCATATTCCTTGTGATCTTTACGTTTCAAAATCATTATTTTTCATGAAATTGATTATAATTTGTTAATGCATTTTATATGAGTGGTCTCTATTTTTGGTTTAATTTTATACTTTTCTGTTTGTTTAATCATCCCCTAGTAGACATTAAGTTCCATGTATAAAAGACCATGGTTCTTTATATACATAATCTCATTTAATACTCAAGATAACCCTGATGTGGTTTGGATCTGTATCCCCACCCGAATCTCATCTTCAGTTGTAATTCCCAATATTGGAGGTGGGGCCTGGTGGGAGGTGATTGGATCATGGTTGGGGAGATCCTTCATGAATGGTTTAGCATCATCCCTTTGGTGCTGTTCTTGTGAAAGATTTCTCATGAGATCTGGTTGTTTAAAAGTATGTGGCATCTTCCTCCCTTTCATCTCCTCCCTTTCTACTCCAGATGTGTGAAGTGCTGGCTCCCACTTTGCTTTCAACCATGATTATACGTTTCCTGAGGCCTCCACAGAAGTCGCGCAGAGGCAGCATCATGCTTCCTGTACAGCCTACAGAACCATGAACCAATTAAACCTCTTTTCTTTATAAATCACCCAGTCTCAAGTATTTCTTTATAGCAATGTAAGAATGGACTAATACAAACTCTATTTTATGTATTATCCAAGTTTTACAGAGAAGAAAAGTATGACTCGGGGAAGATGAGTGACTTTCCCGAGGACACACATCTAATATAATGAAAAACCAGATTTAAAAAGATCTTTTGGAAGCTAAGATTTATATGGTTATTTGTGATGTTGTATCATCATCCCTTACAACCCACTCCTCATTGGAAATGTTCAAAATCCCAGTTATACTAGGGAACTCCTTCTTGAAAATTATTAACAAGATAAAATCAACATGAAGGAAAGTCTTAAAAATGTCAAACGTCAAACAAATTTTTAATTGTATGATTATGAGGGAGGTAAGATAAGAAACTGGTTACTCCATATTTTTAGGGAATATATTTTCATATATAGAAAATTTAAGTGCTAAGAGCTTTCAAGAAAGACGAACCCAAATCCCAGTTCCTCCATTTCAGTTTTCTAATATGTAAATGGCTTTAGGATTTAAGGATTAAATTAGATAATATGTATGAAGCATTTAGCATAGTCTTACACTAAAATATAACATTGTTGTATTAATTAGTCATTTTTTCAGCACACTAAACAATCATCTATAGGAGAAGTGGCACAAGATAATGTGTTCTCTGTTTTAAGTCAGAGGGTGCTCATAGTCCAGTAGCAGTGAACATGGAATAACTGCAGTTATGCAAGATGAAATCTCCCAAGGGATCCGGGATGACCCTCCAATTCCCTGTACTTGAGAATTCCCTCCATAATCTGTGGGGAACTTTACAGATGAGTTTAGTTCATAGTTTTTTCAAGCCCTGACCTTATCACAGTTGTAATTAGAGAGATCCTTTCTATTTTATTCGATATGCTTGATTCTCTCCTTCAGTGTCTTTCAAGGACTGGTTTGTACCTTGCTTTTTCCAGCCCTCCTCAGGGACTGTTGTTCTGATACCTAGGTCTTTTATCCTGTTTTGTGGAGGCTGTTCTCCAGGGCTGCCTGCTTGGACCGAGACATATTATCTAAGGGAATACGGTTCTGGGTTCCCTGTTGCTCTACTCTATGGTCCTGCTGAGAAACACTCCTCCAGTGTAGTGATCATGTTAGCAATCACCAGTTGTCAGAAATCATGTTTTTGGAAACCTTGCTTTGCTGCTTATACTCCACACCACTTCCTCCTTCTGTAACCATAAAACAGGAGGTAGGTCCTGATGTCCACCTGTGTACCATATATGCATGTTGTAATGAGATCCTGTTCAATTCCTTTATTCCATAATGTAATGTCATTAACTTCTTTGCTAATTAACCCTTATTAAAGGATTAAAATTCTGAAGACCCAAGACATACACAATGGACACTTACAGAAGAAAAGGCTTGCGGGTATGGAGAACTTCTAATATCCCTCCAGAATATAGCTAACATATTCAAAAGTAGTTAATTAATGCCAGAGGGTTTTTTTAAAAAAACCACAGGGAAACTGTCATTTCTTTAGAACTGATGTTAAGATTAACTAATTAGGAATTCAAATCACTAAAAATACTTTGGGAAATAATTTTTAAATGCTCATTTGTGTTACTGGCTGTGGGGGAAATCCAAGAAAGGGAATCAGACTCTGATGCCCTCCCAATTTCTCTGCAATTGGTATTCTCTCATTTCTGGTGACCCTGGTCTCATTTCCAAATGCCATCCCTTTCCTTTGTGATGCATAATCACCACCCATCAGGGATACTTCTCCAGCCTGTTGTCTGTATCCATCATGCCTTATCACCCCTGTCACAGATCTATCCTCCCCTGGTCAGACCACCTTTTGCTAACCACTCTTGCCTACTCCTTTGTACTAATTCCTTTAAAGTCCTCTTTCTATGTCTAGTGTCACAGGGCACAGAATGAGGAGTTAGACAGTCCTCACTCATGAACTTCCACCACGCCTTTCCCAACATACCCATGTGCATTCATTTCATAGGTGGATGCTGCCAGGTTAGCAACTTGCCTTCTTCTGTGTAACTATCTGTGAAAACATATGAATAAGTGACAAGTAAGACTTATGGAGAAAGGGGGAATGAACTTGTGAGTCCATGATCCCTCTCCCTTAATGTTCAAAGATATTAAAACAAGTCAATGAACTGGCAAGGGTACAGTTAAAGCAAGAGTATAACTGAGAACAATAGGTCCCCTGACAGGTCACTTAATTATAAGGGTGGAAGGAATCTGGAAGCATGAGTATGTATTTTTATCAAAGCAATGGGTGATCTGAGAGTACTGGTCTCACCCACACACACTGTTAAAAATTATATTATTACTAGCATAATTAATTTTGGTAATGTGAGTGTACTTTATAGACCACAGCAGGGTGGGGGCTCTGAATTGAAAGAGCTTCTACCACTCATGAAACTACTGTTGCTAGGACAATTCAACCAAGATCCATGACTAGAAGGAATATGGAGCCATCAATGGTAGACGTCTTGATCCATTGATGATGGCAAATGGGGAATGAGAGAGAGTGGTCATGAATGTGTTCACCTTCAAGAGGGACATCAATTTCTGCTCCCCCAGGGGGAAGCAGCATGAAAGCAATGGTGAGACATGGTTCATCAACATGTATACACTCTCCTGGGGCATGTCAGAGATATTTGGGGAGAGAAACTCCTGGAAATATTAAGAGCTTTTTCTAGTAAAGTAGATAGAAGACCAAAATCCTTATAATTTATAATAATGTAAACTTGTGTGTGTGTGTATGTGTGTGTTTTATCTAAGAGCTAGTGAAATTTCCTTATACCCATACTCTTTTCTCGAACTTGAACTCCTGACCTCAGGTGATCCACCTACCTCGGCCTCCCAAAGTGCTGGGATTACAGGTGTGAGCCATCACACCTGGCCGACCCTTAATCTTTTCTAAGAACACTTGACCCTAAAAAAAAAAACATAATTTTCCCCAATGATACTATTGCCTTGGTATGGGAGAAACCATTAGTTGCTGATTATGTTTAACAATAATTGAATTTTTATTGAGTATATGGTTTCCCTGAATAGATATTACATTTTTCAGTCTTCCTTGCAAGTATGTATGGCCATGTAATTAAGTTCTGACCAATGAGATATAACCAGAGTTTTTAGGTAGGAAACTACCAAAAGTTTTCAGGAACCTACCCTGAGACAGCTGACATATGCCCTTGTTTCTTCTTCTCTATGCCTTCCTCCATCCTCCTGCCAGAGACATCATGCCACTATCTCGGACAATGAGGATGATGACCATACCTGGAGATAGTAGAGCACTGAGGCAAGGAGGTTGTGTTCATGGGGCAGAGAGCCATCATATCAGCCCGGGAAAACAGGAGATGGTATTTCCAGACATTTTCACATGTCTGGCACCTGGACTGGGATGGGTAGAAAACTTGGGGGTAAATGGGCATCGCTTTGTGACCTTTTCATGGAAGGTGGCTTAGCCAAACTATCTTCTGGCTTTTCTTCTATGCCGCTAATTAGTCCTTCTTCATCATCTTAAATGGACCACTTTCCTCAGCTTTCTAGCCATTCCCCAAGGATCTGCCCTTTTGATCCTATGCCTTTGACTTCTCCCTCTACACTCTCTCCCCAGGTAAATTACTTCCGAAGGCTGCTAAGTGACCAAGCTCTACCTAGAATGACATTAAACACTTTTGCAACATAATTCCAAGCTTTTCTTCCTCCTCTCTCCCCAGAAATCCAACAGCACTTTGGAGTAAAAATATACACTGAAATTGTCCAGCTTTTATTTAGGCTCCCCTCTCTGAAATAACCTGCTCCTCCTTTCAGTCACATGTGACCATGTGTGCCCAGTGTTCAACACAGTCAGTCCTCAATGAATATTAGTTTCAAGACAGAAACAAAATTCTTGTCTTTTTGTCTTTGTGAAAGTATCCAGTATGCCCTGAAAGAACTAAGCAGCACTGCTTCCTGCCTTCCTAGTAGTTAACCTTGTACTTGTATTTACTATAACACATATGATATTGTATTAGACTGGGTTGCCTGTCTGTCCCTTTTCCCTTGTCCTTTGAGCAAAGACTACAAAAATGAGCATCCCAGGGGTCAAATCATGCTGCTGACTGGTTTGGTCATCACAATATTACTAAACAATTAAATTGGAAGGATCTGGCAGCCAGTATCCAATTTCTCAAGACCCAGCCCTCCCTATTATCTTATTCTTGCTTTTCATATATTCACAAATAAGTTCCTGCCCCAACTTCTACTTTCCAGACCCTTAGAGAACAAAGACCAGTCCTTAGTAATCACAGTCCCTGTAAATGGGCACTCAGTAAGTGCCAAGGGGAAATGAGATAAAATCTTCTTTGATGTGTCTACCCTACATAGGGCCTAAGCTAAAAAAAAAATTAAAGAAAGAAAGAAATAAAGAGAAAGAAAGGAAGAAAAAAGGAAGAAAAGAAAAAAAGAAAGTTATAGTGTATCCCTGGAGTGTTTGCATTTTAACAGATTTCAACACTGCAAAACCTTCAACACTTCCTCAACATAAGTATTTAAGAATAGCGCTCTTTTAAGGTACACCACAACTAGATACAGGTTGAGTATCCCCCATCTGAAATGCTAGGGACCAGAAGTGTTTTGGATTTTGGATTTTTTTCAGATTTTGGAATATTAGCATATACATAATGAGATATCTTGGGAATAGGACCCAAATCTAAACACAAAATGTATATATATTTTATATACACCTTACACACAGGGCTTGCAGGTAATTTTATACATTTTTAATAATTGTGTGCATGAAACAATGTTTGTGTACAGTGAACCATCAGAAAGCTAAAGGTGTCACTATCTCCCACCCACGTGGACCATCTGTGGTTGTTTGGCATCATCATCTTTCCTAACTTTAAATTTATATGCTACCGATAAGCAATCATTTTCTTATACTTATTCACACATAAGTATTTAACAGTAAAAAATATGACACACCATTAATACAGTAGAAAGATAATGTGTTCAGGGTAACTAAGCAGCGCCATAGCATCACCACAATACGTGCATCAGCTATTAGATAACAGCAACAACAAACAACGGCAGGCTTTCAGTTTCCACTTATGATGCTGTATTTCAATTAAAAAGGTTATTGTAGGTTATTGTAAACTGTATTTATTTTTATTTATTTTTCTTAGGTGAGAAGAAACATCAGAGGCAGTTGAAGGGCCAGGAAGTGAGTCTTCTAGGGATGAGAAGGTGTTCTGCTGGATGGCTTTTTAAAATGTTTTCTCCACAGTCATCTGCTTCATTTACAATAATTTACAATAATTTTTGTCTTAGAAGTCTCTCTTTGATTTTATAAACTGACATGATTTCTTGTTCTGTTATAAATGCGTGTTGTTCTAGTCCTTCAATAAGACCATCATACATTTTCACCATGTCATCTATAGGCAATTTTTCTGCAGTGTTAATATCTTATCATCACTATTACAGTATCATGATTACCTTGATTCAGAACCATTTCAGCTATTTCACCATCGGTCAATAAAAAAACTAGAGCCTCCTTATCCATGTCAAAAACATTTTTGATATCCACCTCTTCCAGCTTACTGATAGATTCCGAAGATAGCCAGCCTGGGTGACAAGAGCAGAACTCTGTCTCCAAAACAAAATAAAACAAAAAAAGAATTTTCATATTTACTCTTCATTGATCTAAGGATTCCCTGGCAACAGGGCTAAATCAACAAAGTCACATTTGGGTGAAAATATATGATATGAATACTATTTTTGATGAGAATTTCAGCTGGGTCATGACACACAGTTCTCAAAGAATAACAAAATCTTGCAGCCATCATCTAGTCCAGCTTCCTTGCAGTGAGCACAAGCTACTGGTATAAAATATTTGTGAAACCAATCAGAAAATATATCCCCTGAGACCTGCCTTTTTGTTAGCATAACAATGGACTGGTAAGAAATTCCTTTTCTGAAAACAGTGAGGACAAACTTTTGCCTATCACAGCAAGTTTACACTTATGCATGTCTGCTGTATTAGCACATCCCAGCACAATTATTCTGTCTTTGGCATCCTTAATTCCTTTAGGGGCTGTCTCACCTGCTGTAGACCATGTCTTTCTGGGACAATCATGCCAAAACTGTGATGAACTGAAAATTGAAGGGAACTATGTATTATAGAATGTAAAGGGAACGAGTCAGTATTAAGACTTGTTCCAATGTCAGATTTTCATCAGCAATGACCTTGGCAAACTCACCAAGGAATTTCTCTGCTGCTTTCTGATCAGCAGATGCTTTATTACCACAAATCTTTAAAAAGGTAATGGCGTATCTTTAGTTAAGTTTCTGCAACCAGCCTGTTGAATATTCACAGTTCCCTTCAATTTTCAGTTCATCATGATAGATCTTCACTTATTTCATGATAAGCATACCATTAAGTGGCATGTGTTCACTGCTATGTAGATGTATCTCTACACATTTGGGATCTTTACTTTTAACATGGTGCAGCGTATTTCTACTTTTCATTAACTTCTCTTTCACTTGTGGCATCATATCTGCACTCAAAAAGTTTTGAATTTGGGAGCATTTCAGATTTCAGATTTTCATATTAGGTATGCACAAACAAATTAGGTATGCTCAACCTGTACTGAAATAGTTCCAGTGCTTCCCTGAGTTCTTCATTGCACCTTGAAATACCAGAACAGAATGTGGGAGGACAGGGAGCAGGATTTGATTCTGTCCAGTTTTGTAGAAGGAATAACAATCGCTACTACATGCCCAGTAAGCAATGGAAACTCAGTCAAATCATCACCTTCATCTTTCTTTTATTCTTTAAAATGGTCACAGTGGTGCTCAGAGGTGTCTCAAACACAAAATTACTTTTGCTAGACCTTTTTTTTTTCTGTCTTCACAATCTGTACCCATGCTAGCCTTTTTAACATTAACATAGAAGATGAGTTTCCTTCCAGCATACATTTGAAAGCGGGGAATTTTATGTAACCCAAATAAACTTGGAATTTTGTATCTCATTATATTTAAAAAAAAGAGAAAAAAAGAAAAACATACCATCTAGGAATATGAATACATTTTTACAATTGCATTGAGATTCAGAGCGTGCATTTTTAATACTTAATATCTTAAGTTGTTTTCTTCATTTCCACTGAAATAACTCTGCAAGTTCAGTTTATTTTTTAAACCACTTTTTTTTTGCAAATCAGTGGGACAAAATTACCATATCTTTCAGCAATATAAAATAGTTTTATAGCTTAGCACTTGAAAAACAACTCCCATCAATCACTAGCGGTAACTGAGGCACTTCATATACCAAACAACTTAAGCTGAAATTGAAACATCACTGATTGGTGACAAAACAATTTTTGCCTTGTTAGTTTCTGGCATGTCTTCTCATCAATAGGTGTTAAGTCTAAAGTAAAGTCAATCTTTGGCCCTATTTAAAATATTTCTAGGGCCTAGGAGGTGGGTGATGGAAAAATCCTGTACACTTATTAAAAACTACAACTGTGGCTGGGCACAGTGACTCATGCCTGATTTCCTAGCACTTTGGGAGGCCAAGACAGGTGGATCACTTGAGCCCAGGAGTTTGAGACCAGTGTGTACGACATGGTAAAACTCTGTCTCTAAAAAAGCAACAAAAATTAGCTGGGCATGGTGGCACACACCTGTAGACCTACCTACTTAGGAGGCTGAGGCAGGAGGATCATTTAGCCCAGGAGGTGGAGGCTGCAGGGAGCCGTGATTGCACCACTGTGCTCCAGCCTGTATGACAGAGTGAGACCCTGTCTTAAAAAAATAAAGGATAACTGTAAATGTTTTCCTGCAAGTATTGCCTGAGGAAAACTCCTTAAGGTCATTATGATCTTTCTATCAGTTTCACAAGAACTATTTAGTGATTTTATTAAATATAAATTGAATCTGCTAAGTAATAAAAGGACATGTTGAAAGGAATACAGTTGTTTATTCCTTGCAATTTGGCACTATATTAACATCCAAACCAGTTATCCCTGAATCCCCAAAAGAGGAAAATCTTCTGTAATACTACTTTTTGCCAAAGTGTTTATTTCTGTCTGGCAGTTAGGTAGAAAGTTATTTTTGTGGTGAAACATTGCTGAGACAGTATTCTACAACTTTATTGTAAGCAGATACCAATCTTCAGTATAATAAAAGCTGAGCTCTATATGAATGAACTTAATTTTTAATCCATATTATAATATGTATACATGTGTTGTTAATACATATTTGAAAGGAATGAATGGAATCATATTTTAAGTACTTTTCTCAAGCCAGTAAACAATTTTTTTTTCATTTCTTCTAATGTGAGAACAGCCAAGTTTACAGTCAACATCACTGGAGAAATACCAAGAAAGAGAAAGAAGAGGGATAAATAGAAGATTTGCTATTAGTTTATTTATTCAATCAACAAATAGTCATTAAGCATCTTCTCTGTGCCAGGAAGTATGCTGGATGCTGACGCATTGTGGTGTCTAAAACTTTGAGTCTAAGGAATAATTTGTGATTCCATGAAGCTAAATAGTAACTTAAGAAGGCCATTCCCCACATCTCCTCTAAGGTCTGAAGAGAAATATTCTCAGACACATGAAATGAGTCCCATTTCCTCTCTATCTGCAACCTATTTTTTTATTATATATTTATCTGTTCTTTTCCAACAAAAAAAGTGAATTGTGGATGTAGATTACATTGAAACCATGGTCAAAGTGAAGCATTTCTTGTAGGTAGTATTTTTTATTAGGTTTTGTAATAAATTATAGAGGTGGTGTTAAAAAATTGAACAGTTTATTAATGTGAACCCTCATTAGCATATATTAAATATTATTTATTAGAAAGTTAATAATTTATTAGTGTTTAAATTAATCATCAAATCACTTTACACAATTAAGTCTAATTAATGCAGAGAAATTTCAGAGGGAGGATGTTCTAAAATCCTCTCTTTTTTTTAAATTAAGGAAACAGCATGAGTCCAGGTTGTTACACTGCCCTTAAGCACAGCTCAATTATTGGGCAGAGAGGGAGTTTAACATAAAAGCATTTTCACTGTTTGGGCACAAGGATTGTTGGGGCTCAGGAACCAAAGTGCTTTCAGGGCAATCATGTGGTAAGATGAGAAATCAAAGGGTTACTTGAGTGGCTGTTAGTTCAGGAGAAGCCCTCACAGGCAACTCTAATGTTCCTTCCTTTCTCTGTACCCAAGAGTTAAAAACTGCTGCACTAAACTCTAAACTCCTTGAGGACAGGAATGGTGTCTCATTCATCTCTGCATGCTGGTGGCCATAACTATATCTGACAAGAAGATTAACTGTCAGATAGACAAATAATTTCTTTAAAAAATCTTAGGCTTTCTCTTATTTATTTATTTATTTATTTATTTAGAGACAGAGTCTTGCTGTGTTGGACAGGCTGGAGTGCAGTGGTGTGATCTCGGCTCACTGCAACCTCCACCTCCTGGGTTCAAGCAGTTCTCCTGCCTCAGCCTCCCAAGTAGCTGGGATTACAAGCATGCACCACCATGCCTGGCTAACTGTTCTGTATTTTTAGTAGAGATGGGGTTTCACCATGTTGGCCAGGCTGGTTTCGAACTCCTGACCTCAAGTGATCTGCCTGCCTCGGCCTCCCAAAGTGCTGGGATTACAGGTGTGAGCCACCACACCTGGCTGGGCTTTCTCACTTATTAAAACAATTTTTGAGTGCCCACTGAGTGTTAGATACTCTGAAAGTTAAAGTGTTATAAAATGAAAGGCAGCTGCAGTTATCTATTTCTGCAACTAAAACATGGGAACACCTTGAATACCTTCTTAGGGCTATAAGGAATACATGAGATAAAGATACCTTAGTGTAGTGCCTACACATAGGAACCACTCTAAAATTTTAGTTATCATGATGTCTCAGGCTGTTGCATCACAGATGAAAATTATAGATATTTTTCTCTTTTTGACAACAGAGATGTGAGAAATGTTGCCTACTTCATCTGCCATTTTTCTAGGTGTATCTCTTGGATTATCTTGGGGAGTAGAGCTGGGACTAGGAGAATGCAAGAAGAGAACTAGGACCCCAAAAGTAAGGAAGAACCCACTGTCAAGGCTGTATAAGTGTAACTCTGCACCTCTAGGATATGGAGAAGGAGCACCTCCTTAAATTTTGTACTCTAGCTGCCTCCTTGACTTCCAACCCTATTGGAGAATCTCCCTTATATAGATGAGTCACCTTAGAACTACTGAGAGTACACTTCTTTCGGAGTGTGGGAAGCTATCCCCAGTGTGTGAAAGAAGTGTAATACGACCATTTGGATTTTGAGCATTTAAGAGAAAACTGCTTATAATGGGTTAAAGAGTGGCCCCTCAATATTTGTGTCACCTGAAATTTGTAAATGTGGCTTTATTTGGAAATAAGGTCTTTGCAGATGTAATTAAATTAAGATGAAGTCAACATGGATTAGGGTGAGTCCTAAATCTAATATGATTAGAGAGAAAATTTAGACACAGAGACAGACACACAGGGAAAAGGCCATGTGAAGACAGGGTAGAGATTGGAATAATGCATCTGCAAGCCAAGGAACACCGAAAATAGCTAACAACCACCAAAGCCTAGAAGAGGCAAGAAAGAATTCTTTCCTAGAGCCTGTGAAGGGAACATGGCTCTGCTGACACTTTAATTTCAGATGTGATGTCTAACCTCCAAAACTGTGAAACAATGAATTTCTATTGTTCTAAGACACCAATTTTTTTCTGTTTTATTATGGTAGCCCTGGGAAGCTAACATACATACTCTTTAACCACTAGATGTGAATCCCCAGTGAGAGAAGGAAGAGAGTGGTCTGGATCTGTGAAGTGTAGGACAGAAACAATCATGACTTAGTGTTGTGGGGCCTCCTATTTCCCTGGGAGGAAGCTATACATGCAAATGGAAAGACTGAGCACTAGGATCTGAACCCCTGGGAGCCAAGAGTGAGAGAGCTGTGACTGAACTTAGCACTGATCTGGCTAAGTTCAGTCCAAAGATGCATGAAGTCCTTGGTGGAATCTTGTCATCAACATCAAGAGCGTGGAAGAGCATCTTCTGATAGCTCTACAGGGCCTGTTGCTCATCAGAAACAAGTGCCAGCAAGGACCTGTGGGAACGGCAGGTGTCTCCCTACATGAGTATGAAGCTTGACTAACCACTCTCCCTTCCTTGGGCTAACTATACTCTTGGAGGTTCTGGGCAGTTTGAAGATGGTTTCTAATTGTACTTTAGTTCTAGTCTCCAAGACAGTCTTGAAGTATGAAAAGGAGGAACCACAGAAGGTTTTACAGAGAGATGACACCCACACTGAAGAACAAATAGGAGTTAGCCAAGAGATGAATAGCTGGAGAAGCATTTCAGGTGGAGGAGCTGATAAAAGTGAGGGCCTAAACTTGGAAGAAAGATGGCACATTGGACTTCTGAAAAGAATTGAGAAAAACCAGAGCACAGACCAAAGTGTAGGAGTTTCAAACTATGTGATGAAGAAGTAAATGGTCTATGTGGCCAGCTGGGGAAGTGGTGGAGTTGGTAGAGACGAAGAAAAAAAAAATACTGAATCCTAAAACCAGGGCCACAATGGAGGTAACTGAAATTCCAAACACATTTCCAAATCTAAATGGTTATTGTTTTATTAGTACTATTGTACCACCCTCCAGTTGCATTGTGAGTTAAATGGGTGTTTTTGGGCTAGCCTAGGAATTATAATACACATACCATATATTTTTAATGTTTCTATAGATTATTATCCTCCTGCAATCCAAACAACCAACTTACAAAGAAGCCCAATCTATTTCTAAAAGGCGAGCTAGCTATACTAACTACCTGCCACATCCTGAAATGGCCTTGAACCTAGAGAGGGGTTGCAATTCAGTATAAATTATCCTCTGCTACCTTTGCATTCTGAATTGCTGATGAGCAAATTCATCACTTTTCTTTAATTTTCACATGCTCTTTTTCATTGAGATAGCCAGAAATGCCACAATCAATCTTGATAAAACTGATCTGGAGACAAGAACCAAAATACAATTAGAAACACTCCCTTACTCTCACCCCTATCACAAAGCTGTAATAGTGCTGGGCAGGAACTAGACAGACAACCCCTTGCAACCCCCTGACCATGAATTAGTGATCCTTGGTCCAGTGTCCAGAGACAACTGTATTTTCATAGGAAAACCTACGCTTTCAGTTTCAGCATAAGGAAACTACAAGCCTGTGCTGCTAGACTCACCAGTAAAAAGCAATAGAGATTGAATAAGGATGATAGCGGCCTTCCTTGAATTCTCTCCCTGTCCATGAATTAAATCCTCATAGAGGTGAGACTCTCATCACCACACAGCCCCAGGAAAGGACATGATTGATTGAGTTCATATTATAATACCTGGTACTTCTCCTGCCTCTGGGAAAGAAACATAAAATAAAGATGCCTGTACCATGAAATACTCAAATATGTTCTTCAGAATTCAAGGACTTAAATTATTCATTGACTGGGGCATTTTTTTTTGAAGGAGAATAAAAGGGAAAAAAAATACCTACCCTAGTCTTTCTGTCACAAAATAAAATATCAGCCCTAATGTTCAAATTCACCCGCAGAACACAGTATAATCCCATGTTATAAACAATTTTGTAAAAATTGAAAGTATATGCAAAATAAGATAAACAAAAGGAAAGGAAGGCAACTGAGTGCAAGAAAATAGCTCACAGCAAGTGACATTTAGAATGAAAGATAGAAAACCCACACTATTTTGTTCTATGCTTAAATAGACCAAGAGCAGAAATGTACCAGAGACATTTGATAATCAATATAACATTACCCCAAGGGCACCATATACAACTATAATTTTAAAAACAAAACTCAAGGAAATGGAACATTTAAATCAGAAGAACTTTTAACAACAAAATGACCAAAACAATGGTTTAATGTTCTTTTATATCAGGGAATTCTTAACTTAAGGATTATTTTTCACAGCCAGTTTTTGCCAAGCAATGAGAGAACAGAAAAAAAAATATCTTAGGTCTTTCCTGTCACTGTAGCTTTCATAATCACCACAATTCAACATGACACCATAACTTGTAAGAAATTCTCCCCGGCATCCATTTAAGTGAACACTAATTGGAAAGTTCAGTGAACAGAAAAAGGCTGTGAACAATATATATTTCAACATGCTGTGCCCGATCCTGACCTTAAATGACAAGGAGGAAAAAAATAGTCCAACACAGCCTCTGCATTCAGTCCTGTATTGTGAAATCATGATGTGGATTAGCTCCAGGAAAAATGTCAGGCTCGTGGTGAAACCTCAATAAAACCTGGAAACTCCATGTGAATCAATCTGCTCCACACACACGGTTTTATAAAAGAGCATCTGGATCCCCTGCACTGAAGTCAGGAACTCCACAGGTGAGAGGCAATAATAAGACATTGCTGAAAACATGAGCTCTGAAGCCAGACAAACAAGGGGTTTAACCTTGTCTCTATTGTATTCTTGGGCAAAGAGCTTTGCCTCTCAAATTTGCTGTCTGTAAAATGGGGCTAGTGATAACAATGTCATGAGCTATTGTGAGGAATAATCTTGATGTAAATATAGCACAGCCCGTCACATGGTAAGTGCTGCCTTAATGATAGCTAGTGCATACTGAGGGGTTACAGCATGTCACTGAAAAAGTTTTGTCTCTGACATGAGCTAAATATTATGATTATCCCCATTTTACAGAGAAAAAGGCTGAGGCGTAGAAAAGATTAAGTAGCTTGCCTATGGTCACACAGCTGTTAAGTTTAACCTGGCACAGGTTTAACCTGGCACTTAAACCAAACATTTTGGTTCCAGTTTGCACATACTACTTCTCATGTAGTTTTATTAAATAAATAATAAATGAATAAATCATAGTTATTACTTTTTTATTCCTGAAAATTTGATAAACTAATTGGGAAGTGATAGGCAGAAACACTATACTCATAAAATAAGATAGTATATAATTCATAGCTACATTTAAATCTAAAGCATCAAGCCCTACAAACAAGTGAAGACAGAAAGGGTTGTAAAATCCATTAGGAGAGTCTCTGGTTATCATTTATCTATGGTACTGCACTGGAATATCAACTTTATGGGAGCAGAAATCTGATGTGCTCTGTCTCCGGCACCTCAGTAAGAAGTGGTGAAAGGGTAAGTAGATGGATGAATGGGTGAGTCAGGCAGTGCCAGGGTCCAAGACCCCAGAGCTGTCTCCTCAGAGGTGCTCCATGAAGACACACCAGCTCCGAAGCTGGCCAGGTACGAGAAAGCCCACTGGGGCTCTGTGCAGACATAGCCACTCCAGGACTCACAGAGGCAACCCCTCTGTCCTATTGAGTGGGAAGACAGTGAGCAGGGTTTTCTCCAGCCACTAGGCAGCCTCAAGTATACATTCACTGAATAGGTAAGAGGTCTTCATTAATAGGCTTCTTCCACACATAGAACCAGAAACAAATCCAGAGTCTTTTTGAGGTTTGTGCAAAGTGCTATATGACAATACAGTGAGGCATTGGGATCACCCAGCTCTAAACCACCATGCAATTCAACCCTGCCCTTCTACAGCACATACCACATGCAAACTACAGACTTTGGAAGTGAAGAACTACTGAGCAGAAAGTATCTTTGCCTTGGTGCCATGGAGCCTTAAGGAGATAAGATGTGGGAAAGATCTCACATATTGGGCAGTAAAAGATAGTAATGAGTTGCAGGTTTCCTTGGTAGAAAAGAAGAAAGAAGTGAATGAATAACCCCAGAGATTTATTTCCCAAAACTATTTTTGTGTCACTAATATTCTCAAGAAAAAATAATCCAGTTGAGATTGTGTCTGTTCGTTGTTTGGTTTGTTAGGTGTTCCACGACACTCCTTTTGAGAAGGAGAATAGGAAGGTATAAGTTCAAACAAATCACAATAGGACCTGGTCCTTTTGAAGGGGTTGCTATAAAAGAGAACAAATTTATTTCAAGTTTGAATGTCTGAAAACCTAGATTTGCCACAAATATTCATTGAAATTGCCTCATAAGACATCTTGCAGGGCTCCTCCATGGGATCTGAAATTATGGAAGATGAAATCTCCTCTCACAGACCCCGTCCTCCAGGTATTTGACCCCCAAAGAAGAGAAAATAAAAACTAACACTTAAGGGGTCCTATATGTTGCCAGTCACTGTGTAATGCATTATCTTATTTGACCATGACAAAAGACAAGAAAGACTGTAGTATGAGACCTGTTTTAGAGAGAAGCTAGGCAACTTGCTAAAGTTCACACAGCTCAGAACAGAGCAGAACTGGGCTTTAAAATAATCCTTACTTTTATACATTAATTATTTTCCATGCTAGGCTGCCTAGGAAGGGATGTTTGACGATAATATTACAAACTAACGGAATATCTAAAGAAAGCATAACCTAATTTTACCAAACTTAGCAGTCCCTATTGTTTGAAGGATAGGTGTGACCAAAGGTGAGCAGGCTGTTGAGGCTCCCATGCTTACCTTGTACATGAACCCCATGTCATCAAAAGGGGGAACAAGCCTCCCCTCCCCACCAAACTCACAAATGCTTCATGAGTTTTCTAGACTTTATGGATGGTTTTTTGGGGGAAAAGAAAGGGTCTCATCACATATCAGAAGTCTCTAAAATCCAATTTGAGCATTTCTCTTTCCCAGAAAAAAAAAAATGTCTTTCCAGAATGTGCAAGTCTCCACTCTCTATCTTCCACCTCCCAGCCCAGCCCTGAGCCCTAGTTTCCTGTTCCACATGCCTCTTAATATTCCCTTACCCTAAACAAAACCCTGCTCGCTGGCTAAGCAGAGGAGACTCAATGGGGGGGAAAAAAAAACCAAAAAACAAACAAACAAAACCTACAAAACTAAAAACAAATCAAAACAAACAAACAAAAAAACCGCCAAAACAACCAGGGGAATGAGGAGAGCCTTCAATCATCCTTTCAGAGAGCAGTAATGAAATGTGATATTTGTAAGCATGTAGTGTGTGCTGGACATTGTTCTTGGCCTTCAGGATACAACCATGAACAAGACAGCCTGGAGCTGATAGTCTAGTGGGGAGGACCCAGCCACCGAATAAGAAAGCCAATTCATCAATCCCATCATTGCAAGTGTTGGTAAGTGGCAAGAGGGACAACAGTATAATGGTATGATCACAAGGACTAGAATTGGTGGGGGAGAGCTAGTTTATATTTCATGGCCAGCAAAGGCTTCTTTGAGCAGAGGAATTTTTATCTGAGTCCAAACAGGGGGGGCACAACCATGCAAAGATGGGCATTCAAAATAGAGAAATTAGCAAACACAAAAGCCAAGGGTCTGTCCTAAGAAGGAAAGGGAAGTTGGGGTGAAGAAAAGAGAATCAAAAGTGTGCAGGCAGGACCTCATGGTCCAGAAGAAGTCTGAATTTCATTCTCAAGAGACTCGGAGGCCTCTATAGAATTTGAGCATGGCTGTGTAGCATTTTTTTCTTTTTTCTTTTAATTTTTAATTTTTTTTATTTGAATACAGACATCATTTCAAGAGACTGAATAGCATTTTCTAAAGGCTACTCTGACCACTGGTTGTGGAATGACTGTGAAGGGCTGTGGGGAAGGGGGAATGGGTGCTCCCACACCTTCACACTCAGCCTGTTTGGCATTTGCTTTCATTTTGCTCAAGTGCCACAGGGCTTAGATTAGAGTGATCTATTTCTTTGTAAAAGTGGATGTATTTGTAATATATGCTCAAAGGAAGGCAACCAAATCTGCTGTGAGGGGCTAGGACAGGGGTGAAGGATGACTCTCAGGTTTTGAGGTGGATCAATACCGGGGGAGGATTAGTTGGTAGGTAAAGCGAAGAGTGAGGGAGGGGAGTTGAGACCAGAGTTTTAAAAACTCTATTTTCGCTACAGAATTTGAACTTTATTTGCTAGGCAGTGAAGGAGCTATCAAGCAATGTTTATTTGTTCTCGTAGTTTTTAATAAACTTTTTCTGAAGTAGGATTAACAGGAAAGGCTGGTTTTAGGGAATGCTCCCACCCAGAAGGGCATGTGTTTACTTTATTGTTTTGCTGTTGTCATCTTGAAATTCTTCATAATTTTATCATTGACGTTGTGTTTTGTAAGTGAAGTCCAATGGAACAATGAAGTACATGTAAGAGCAGAGGAAACTCACAAAATGTGCGTGTCCATGTTTCTTGCCATTCACTTGCATATAGCATTCATGACACCCCATGAGCTTGGAATTTCAGTAGACCCAGGATGCATAGGAATTCAGGGTGTTGCAAGGTGAGTACTAGGTGAGTGTGTGTAGAAACCAAGATTCCAAAGACTGTTGGTAGAATGTGTGCATTTCAAAACATGAAATAAAATGTACTTATTATGTTACTATTGATGAACATTGAGGTAGCTTCCAGTTTGGGACTATTATGAATAGTGCCACTATGAATATTCTGGTACATATTGTTTAATGCACACATTTAACCATTTCTGTGGGGTATTTATTTACAAATGAAGTTGCCAGGTCATATAGTCAGTTTTAGTTGATAACAGCCAAATAGTTGTTCTGTGAATTATATAAATTCTGCATTTCTGCCAGGGATTATAAACATTCTACCTGTTCCTTGTTCCTGCCAGCAGCAATATTATTCAGATTTAAAATGTTAGCCATCCTGGTGGGTGTGTAGTGGTATTTCATTGAGGTTTTAGTGTGTACCTTGCTAGTCTCTAAAAAAATTTAGCACCTTTTCAGATATTTATTGGCCACATATAGATCCTCTTTTATAAAGTGTCTGTTATCCATGTTTTTCCACATGGATATCCAATTTTATTACACACTTTCCTTTTCTTTTTTTTTGCCAGTTTCACTCTTGTCGCCCAGGCTAGAGTGCAGGCGCACGATCTCGGCTCACTGGAACCTCTGCCTCCCAGGTTCAAGCAATCCTCCTGCCTCAGCCTCCCAAGTAGCTGGGATTACAGGCACCCACCACCACACCCGGCTAATTTTTTGTATTTTTAGTAGAGACAGGGTTTCACCATGTTGGCCAGGCTGGTCTTGAACTCCTGACCTCAGGTGATCCGCCCGCCTCGGCCTCCCAGAGTGCTGGGATTACAGGTGTGAGACACCATGCCAGACCAATTACTTGCTTTTTCTAACTGTTTTGTAGGAGTTCTTTATATATTCTATACTACTCTTCTTTTGTCATAAAAATGTATTGCAGACGTCTTCCTCACTGTACCTTGAATTTTCACTTAAGTGTCTTAATTTTAATGCAGCTTGATGTATTCAAACTTTTTGATTAAAAATTTTTCTGAATGTCCCTTTGGTTGTTCTTTCACATTTATCTTCATGCCCTACATAGAATTGATTCTTCACATATGTCATGATAGAGGGAGCACCATTTCATTTTGTTCCACATGGATATCCAATTGGCCTAGCACCATTTGTTGAAAAAACCATTCTTCCCCACTGCACAGCAGCACTATCTTTCTCCTAAATCAAGGGGCTAAATATCTGGAATCTCTTTATATGTATACCTGTTGAAAGAGTTATTTTTATCATGCCAACTTCTCATTGTGTTTGCAATTTTGTCAACGATTCCATGTCTATTTATCTATCCTTTGCAAGTAACATATTGTCTGGATTATATTTGACATCTTGAAGTGTATATTATTTATAAAACATCATTTATAAAACATTTTGATGTTTTATAAATATATTTTTAATCTATCATGTATAAAACATATTGATATCTAGTATGATATATGATATATGGTATATATGATCTATTATGATACATGATTTATTATATAAGTCAACATGTATTATTTATAAAATACATTGATATCTAGTACAGACTCAACTTTATTTTTCTTCTCTGATTGTCTTGCCTATCTCTGCCCCTCATCAAAGGTTTTTGATAAGCAGAAGAAATGACTATTGTGGGATCTTACCCATCTTTTAGTATCATAAATATCTTGGAAATGGTCTGAAGGAAGAATTGGTAATGACCAGAACACTAAGAAGAGTGATGATAAAAGTTTACTAGGATCTTGATATTAGAAGTGAAAATTAAAGGATGTGACAAAATATAATCAAGAGGACAGATGCCTGATTGAATGTAGGAGGAGAGGGAAAGGGAGAAGTAGGATAACTGCAAGAGCTGAGGCCCAGATAGCTGAAGGATTGGTGAAAATGTTCATTGAAATAGGAAAGAGAAGACCAAGAGTTGGTTTCAGGAATGGGGGAAAAGACACATTTAACAGACAAGTGGAGTCTAAAGGATTTAAGGAACCATAGCTGCAAGTGTCCAGCAGGCAACTGGAATGGTGAATTCATGGTTGAGAGATCAGGGCTACACACAGAGAATTGGGTTTATGTGAATATTGATATGTTGTAAATTAAATGTAAACTCAAAGGGAGGATATGTGGAGAGAGGATAGGGGAAGAAGGGATAGTAGAAGACAGAGATTGAAAAAGAGACCCAAAGTAGAAAGATAAACGGTAGACAGAAGAAGGAGGGAAAGAAGAAGGGACAGAGCAAGGAGAGAGGAAGAGAAAGAAAAAATATTTAAATTTGAGTTACTAGATAAGGGGCTAGCCATGTCTTTATTCCAACACCAAATCCATGTACTGATTCAAGTATTCCACTAGAAAATTATTTTAGTGGGACATTCTTGTGGCAGAACCTCTGAAACTCTGCCTACCTCATGCAGTGCTGTTCTGTGCCTAACTGCCAGCTCCTACCCAGCAGAAGAGCCGTGGGCTAATGGTAGAGTACGTTTTGGGCCCCTGTATTTTCCATCAATGTGTATGCATTTGAAATAACAGCAGGTCGTTGAGTACTAATTCCTAACATTATTACAGTGTTGTTCTGAAGAGGAATTAATGTGTAAATTGATTGACTTGAGGATCAGTGAAAAGTACATCACGCATTGTGGTAAATTATAAAAAATAATGCCCTGCTTCCTAATTGCTTTCAAAAATTTTTATGCAGTTGCTTATCTTTATTACATTTAGTCAAATTCTGTAATGTTAATGATTCACAAATAAAAAACATTAAATATTCCTGATGGCCTGTACACAAGGTTAATTTACACCCTGGAAGCCAGATGAGGTGTTAACTATATTCAGGTTGCACTTCAGTGGTTTGAAAGGTAATTGTTTTACATTCCCAGAGCTTAAAAGGGACTTCCAAAAATAGAGTAGGCTATCAAACACAAAGAGACAATAAAACATTTGAATTGTTGTTATCTTAACATTCCTTTCTATTCCGTGATTTATCTAGCACTGGTCAAAGTACTTTTTGCCAAATAAACAATAATGAAAGGTAATATTTTGGATAAAATTTTATCATCATTGATTAGACTTTCGTAGCAACAATTTTCTTGAGTCAACAACATTTAGAAAAAATAGAAAAAAATTTCTTTTCTATTTTGGAAAACCCTAGTTATAAATTTAAAGATCTGAACCAGATTCAGCAGTAATGCCCATTCTTCTATAGTCTGTCAGATCCTTTGGGTTCAGGACATGCTACCCCAAAATATGACCCCTTGACATTTGAGAAAACAGTAAAAGCAGGAAGGTCACTCTCATCTTCCCCTCATCCCTTCTCCCCTGAAGCAGGCTATGAAACTTAGCTGCTCTTCCCCTTGTGTAGGTCATAAAACCTTTATTCCAGAGGTACCCACCATATACCTGGAGAAAAAAAATACCATCACTGAAGACACAGAAAAACAAAGAAGAATCTGAACACATGAGCCTTGCCAAGTCCCCTCCAGTGTGTTACCATTGGATCATGCCCCCTTCTGCTGTTCATACTTCTGCATGACTATCCTCCTTCATCAAACTTACCATAAAATATACAGTTTTTTCTCTTTCTTTGTGTCTTCATTTCTGAAGGCTCCTGTGTCATGTAAAACTTCTATTAAATAAATTTATATGCTTTTCTTTTATTAATTTGTCTTTATTATAGGGGCCTCAGTCATGAACCTGTGATGGGTAAAGAAAAAAATTGCCTCTCCCCTACAGGAAAAACAAGCTGAAGGCAAGTAGTGATGATTTTTTTGAGTGGCTTATACAAAAAAGGGCATTCCTTAACTTGGACACTGGAGGACAAATTTAAGCCAACAAGTAAGTCCCTGAGCAGCATTTTGCTCCCCTCCCCTTTTTGCTAAGAATAACCTTGTTAAGAATATCAATAAGTGAGGCTGGACGTGGTGGCTTACACCTATAATCCCAGCAGTTTGGGAGTCTGAGGCCAGAGGATTGCTTTAGCCCAAGAGTTTGAGACCAGCCTGGGCAACATAGAAAGACCCCCTCTCCACAAAAAATACAAAAATTAGCTGCCTGCAGTAGCAAGTGCTTGTGGTCCCAGCTACTTTGGAGTCTGAGGCAAGAGGACCGCGTTGCAGTGAGCCATGACTGTACCACCGCACTACAGCCTAGGAGACAGAGTGAGACCCTGTCTCTAAAAAAAAAAAAAAAATTAATAAGTGAACATACCACATTAACATTCTGTGACACACACACATTATACTTCATTGCTGTATCATGACTGTTAGCTTGATTACTAGAGCAATTGTCTCATGAGTCAGTTATTATGATATCTACTAGCCAAGGTATTTCTACATAGTTTAATAGTTTTCAAGGCCAAAAAAATTTGAGTGTAGCAATAAAAATTATATTACAAAAGCAAAATAAAATAATTTGGCTGAAGAATAAACCCAGAATTATTTTGGCACTAAAATGTTTATAATTCCTTTCTCTTAAGAGAGGTTTTTCACTCACAAAACCTCAAATAACATGTGTTGTTATCTTTGTGCTTTTGAAATAATAAAAGTGGTAAAGGTCAGGTACACATAGTCTTTGCTTGCCTTTCACAAACAGTTATTTTAAAATGTATGTGTGTGAAGGGGAGTGGTGTTATGTGCTTAATTTATTTTCTGTAGTTACCTTGATTAATAAAAGTCAAATATATTCAAATAAGTCTTTCATACTTCAATATTAATTTGTTTTAAAAAATAATAATTAACTTTTTAATAGAGCTGCTTGAACACAATCTAAGAGACACTTTGGAAAACTATCTCAAAAGTCTGTTTTTCTAACCAGGGAACTAATCCTGAAAAAAATTCACAGCCCAATCAGCATCACTCGTGACTTTATAAAATCTTCTATGTTTTCAGGAATGCAACAGCTTGAGTTAGATGAAAATTAAAATTCTGAGGTTAAATTCAGTGTATTTGAACACTGTGTAAATTCAGTGAGCTCAGGCACACACTTGTTTACTTGAGAACTTTTCAATAAAGTCCTTACAATATGCTTATGGCTCCAAATAAGCTGTGAAAATCACAAATTCTAAAACTATGAACATCTTTTTGTGAAGTGGTACACTGAAATTAACACTACACTTTTTGAATAAAAGGCCAAGGTAGAGATGTCTCCAATTTTTGGCTAAGGAAATGCAGCTGAAGCTTTGTCTATCGTGTTGTTGGGTAGCAATTTCTTAAGGTAGCAAAAGAGTAACTTCCAGTCAAAGACAGAAAAAGTCATTCTATGTTGAGCATGCTGGGAAAAGTCTTCAACTTCATTCTTCCCTTTGACTTAAGAAACACTTGGCATGTTTCCTAATATTGCCTATTAGACTTTCCCCTGCTCTCCCCGAGAACACAAACTACATATTATTTTCAAATAAAGTATATCCCACTTGAGCTGTTTCCAACCCCCATTAATCCCTTAGAGAGCAGATATGAAAGTGAAAGACCTTTGTTATTTAATGATGATCATAATAATGACTAGCATGCATTACACGCTTACTATATGTCAAGCACAGCAGTAGCTCTTTGCCTATATTATTTCATTTAATCCTCACACAATGTAAGAAGTTGATTCCATATTTCATCATCTCTAGGAGGTCATCAGTGCATTATAATTTTTTTAAATACACAAATGAAAAAAGGGGGAAAATGCCATAAACTATTATGTAATCTTTTCTTGTCACTTCAAAGTTTTCTTCTACACGTGTTGAAAGAGTTCTTGTATCAAAGCAGTCTCTCCTTGCTTTGCAATTTTTCTCATCTATCTCAAGGGAGTTGCAATTTCTCCTGCCTTTGGTTCTATGGCTTGTTGTGATAAGCAATCCTTCTGCTGCGCCTCAGTAAAAAACATGTAACCCAATTTCAGCTACTTGTGGGTATGTTTCTTTCTTGGATGTCATAAAACACTTGTTTTTTTCTTTGCAAGACAATCTGGCATAATGATCATTTTTCTAATGATGAATATTTGCTTCGCGAATATCAAATCTAAACACCACTCCTCTGTTTTTGCATATACATTAACTTTTTGTCTTAAACCCAAGTATATTGTTGAATTTATCTGAAGCCAATTTAAATGGCAAACTAATTCAGCATGTGCAGTAATGCAAATGCTCATAACTCAGGTGAGATAACCCTGACCAGTGATGACCAAGTGCATGTGTGTGATCAGGCAAAGCCAACTACATTTCCACTATCACATGTGCAACAGTGACCATAAATCACCACTGACTGTATGAGATATGAAAATGTAAAATATTGTGTTCCTTGGAATCTGTGCAATCCGGTGTATTCAAAACATTATACAATTGTTAAGAAGCTGAGTCAGAAATGTTGTACAAGAAATCTGACACTCGATTGCACTCTCTAAATTGCTACATTTACACTAGTTTTAGGAAAATAAAGAAAATAGATCCATTCCCTTACCTTTAACAGTCCCTTATCTATAACTTTGCTATAAAGTTGGAACTCAATATAACTTCCACTTCAGGTCTGTGGATTTAACTTCAAACCTTTGCTGCTGCTGCTGCTTCTTGTGCTTTTATTAAATAATGACACCAGTCTTGGTACTCTGCATAAAGGGGTAATGGTTTCAGGCTGGAGAGTTTATGATCTAAATTAGACAGGATAAAACCAGGAAAAGAGATGACAAGAGATTGTGAGGAGCTGGTATTGGTTTCAATTTGTTTCATTTTCACAGTGTCAATTTTCTTAATGCTTCCTCAATTCACACTTCCCATCTCTTTTTCTCCCAATAATTTCTGAGATGCGTCAAGAAGTTAGTATGTTCCCTTTGTTACAAGTGAAGAAATCTGAGAAGTCTACCCATATTCACACAGCTAGTAAGAGGAAGAGATATATAGTTCTAGCCCTCAGATTATCCATGTATTCAGGACCATGTTCAAGAAAATTATAATCTTGTTATATTTAATAAATGGATGAATACAATGTATCTGATCACACAAAAAGTCTCCTGCGAGATAAGAATTTGACCACACACCAGATCCCAAACATTTACCTTGAATTTAGTGAAAATACAGCAAGATGGGATGGTTTGGAGCATGTGCTCTGGAGTCAGCCTGTCTTGGTCCATATGCTGGCTCTGCCACTAACCAGCTTCACAAGTTTGGTCAAGTTATTTAACATCTCTACACCTCTGTTTTATTATCTATAAACTGGAGATAATAATAGCAACACATAAGAGAAAATAAAAGGCTAAAATTATATCAATAAGATTGTGTATAGAGTTGAAAGAACGGTCTTTAAAATAGACAAATTCTGAGAAATATGTTATTAAGAAAAAAGAGGAAAATACAAAATAGAAACTTAGAAATGATGAGTAAAGAAATTTTGAGGAAAAGAGAAGGTGCTCTTTATTGTGATTTTAAACTTGAATTGACTACCAGTTCACCTTCACTTTTTATATAAGTTATTATTCACTTAAATATATCTCTAATCTTTCTAGTGGGCCCTCAAAGGGTTATCACTTCCCAGACACCTTCTTTTGCTCTCTGAGTAATTCTTCTGTTTAAATTTCCAGAAACATATTCACATATCATTTCCATAGTCCCAGTACTATTTGTTTATGTGCCTCAGCAAGTACATCTGATAAATGCACGTTTTCTTTCCTGAACCCGGCTGACTTCTTGGTATTTGTGAAAACACTCGAGAGACATACTGAGCAAATGAATGCCCTTTGAATTTCTAGTCTTTTAGTAATGGAGATAGTTACCACCCCTTTTCAGGACTTTTAAAAAGCATGCCCACATGAAAGTAGCTTATGGAAAAGTAATATCTCATTTGTGATGGTGTTAGAGTGCTCCAAAAGGGTAATGGTGAAGAATAATTGCACAGCCGAGGTGAAGTATGCTAATTCAGCAAGAAGTTTGTTTTTCCAATAGGAAAATCTAGGCTTATTACATATCACAATGTCATATAAGTACAGCTACTGCACAATACACTCTTCACAGTAATGCAAGGTGGAAGGGTAGTGAATAATCTCAAGCATTAGGAAATAATAATGCTTTCATTTGTGGCGGACCATGATAGCGCTAGCTTGTCGTTCATATTTCCTTTCTTTGAATAATAGAACCTCTTTTCTACTCCCCATGATTCAAGGGGCTTTCAGTCAAGTATCCCCTCCCACCAGCCACCATATACACAATCACAGGAGCAGCAAGAACATGACCCAAGATCAGAGGGCCCCTTCCTGCAGTCTGCAGTGGTTCAGGAATAGGCACAGGACCCAGGTCAGGCCAATCGGAGTCCTTGGGAAATTTCGACTCGAGCTAAAAGAAAGATTCTATTTTCTTTATGTTATGGTGTTAGAAGGATACAAGCTGAAGCTCTTTGTGGCCATATTAAGGTTTTGAGAGGAAAGCTATCTGGTGTAGAAGAGACTAAGGTACAAAGAGAAGCAAAGTCAAGCAAGCCTCAGAACATGTGACATTTCCAAAGACACCATTAACCTTCTCTACCTTGCACCCTTGGCATGCTTTTTCCCCTTGAATACCATATGAACAATACTCCCTGGAGTAGTCTTAGAAAAGAGGAAAAAAGCATCCAGGTCATTTTGAATACCTAGTTCCAGCCTTTTATAAGCACGTTTCTACAGCTTGTCCTTCAATCCTATAAAATACCCAGTATCCTGTCCAGTTTTATCAGCCAATTAATTCCACTTGCCTTTTTAGATATTTGAGTTGAACTTCCTTCACTTGCAGCTGAAAGGGCACTGAATAGTGCAAACTTTCTATAACTTTACAAAGTGCTCTCATACACACACAGAGTTATGGTGTCTGTTTTATGGATGAGAAAACAAAGAGGTTAAGAATTTGTCTGTCACTATAGTGGAGCAGAATTTTTTAATAGAAATTTTTTAAATAGAAAGAAAAAGCAGGAAAAAGGTGAGAATTATATCTGGGATTTTTTTCCATGTTAGGTTCAGTGAGTTTTCCTCCAGGGTATATACTATGCCACATCTTTTTGTCTCCAAATTCAGGTCGGATTTAGGAGAACATTCCTTGATCCTCACTAACTCACTGCTGATTCCAGCTAAGTGCTCTTCATTCCTCCTGCCTACGCTCTAGCCTGGAGAGAAGCTTACTATTGAACTGCAATTGTATTTACCAATGCTTTTTAATAGTTAATATTTATTAAACACTTACTATTTCCCAGGCACTGCTCTAAGCACTGAATCTGTATTAACTCATTTAATCCTCAATAAGTATTTGTAAGATAGGCATGACAATTATTTCTACTTAATGCATCAGGAAAAAGAGGCACAGAGGATTTTGTAACTTGCCTAGGTCACAATGCTAGATAAGTGGAATGTGGATTGGAATGGAGGAAATCACACTTCAGAGTCTGTGCCTTTGTCCATATGGTCATCACAGTTTGTTCAGATGGTCTGCCTTAGACTCTTGAATGTATTTTATATCACCTGCATACCTGGGTACCCTTTTTAATTCCCATTCTTATATTTTGGGTATTTCCTATCATATCATTTTTGTAGCCTGAGTGCATACAGGAGCTGATTGCTCCTCCTTTTTTTTCTTCCTTGGCTCAGTCTTCTTCTTTATATGACTAAAAGTAAACTAATGCTCATTGCATATGCCCAGATATTTGCAGCACTTGGTTCCACAAGCTGACAATAGGAGAAGAGTGGGCCAAATCTGAGCTGACTATGTACTGAACTAACATTGCCTAACAGAGACTACCCAGGGCACCCACAAGTAACAAAACTATTTTTAATATTTACTTCTCCTTTCTTCCTGTTGGCCTTCTATAATATGAAGTACCACCCAAGATAAACTATTCTCTTTCTGAAAATTGTGAGGCCAGTTATCTGCTTTTGCTCACTGTATTGGGTAAGTTGCACTATATATGAAAATAGTTCAAATATCAAAAATAAATTTTTTTATTATTATTATAAGTTTTAGGGTACATGTGCACAACGTGCAGGTTTGTTACATATGTATACATGTGCCATGTTGGTGTGCTGCACCCATTAACTCGTCATTTAGCATTAGGTATATCTCCAAATGCTATCCCTCTCCCCTCCCCCCACCCCACAACAGTCCCCAGTGTGTGATGTTCCCCTTCCTGTGTCCATATGTTCTCATTGTTCAATTCCCACCTATGAGTGAGAACATGCAGTGTTTAGTTTTTTGTCCTTGTGATAGTTTGCTGAGAAAGATGGTTTCCAGCTTCATCCATGTCCCTACAAAGGACATGAACTCATCCTTTTTTATGGCTGCATAGTATTCCATGGTATATATGTGCCACATTTTCTTAATCCAGTCTATCATTGTTGGACATTTGGGTTGGTTCTAAGTCTTTGCTATTGTGAATAGTGCCGCAATAAACATACGTGTGCATGTGTCTTTATAGCAGCATGATTTATAATCCTTTGGGTATATACCCAGTAATGGGATGGCTGGGTCAAATGGTATTTCTAGTTCTAGATCCCTGAGGAATTGCCACACTGACTTCCACAATGGTTGAACTAGTTTACAGTCCCACCAACAGTGTATAAGTGTTAGACCTAAAACCATAAAAACCCTAGAAGAAAACCTAGGCAATACCATTCAGGACATAGGCATGGGCAAGGACTTCATGTCTAAAACACCAAAAGCAATGGCAACAAAAGCCAAAATTGACAAATGGGATCTAATTAAACTATAAATTCTTAAATACTCCTTCCTCCAAGAGTTTAATTTTCCATCACTTAAATAAACCTAGTGACTCACTTATTAACACACTTCTAAGAAACAGACTCTATGGAAAAGAAAAAATAGTAAACTTACATGAAGAAACCTGGAAGTTACCATCTCACCCACGTGACCAACGTTAATATCACCAGTAATTAAAAATACTGATATCATGTATCCCCTCAGAGGATGCAATAAAGGACATATTACCCATGTGGCATTTTCCTCCCAAAATCTACACCCTTAGTCTAAATATGAGAAAGCTCCAGACAGATCCAAACTGAGGACCATTCTACAAACACCTGACCAGTATTCTGCAAAAATATCAAGGTCTTGAAAAACAAGAAAAGACTGAGGAACTACCACAGATTAAGAAGACAATGGAGACACAATGACTAATTACAATGTAGTATATTGGATTGAATCCTTGAACAACAACAAAAATTACATTAGTAGAAAAACAGGAAATTTGAAGTAAACAATAATTTAGATAATATTATTGACAAATGTTAATTTCTTAATGTCCATGTTACTATGTGTATGTAATATGTTAACTTTAGGGGAAGCAAGATGAAATATATATGGGAAATCTTCATACAATCTTTGCAACTCTTTTGTAAACTTAAAATTATTTCAAAATTAAAAGTTAAAAAATCTCAACATAGGGTTAAGTATGTGCCATAAGGAAAACATGAGATGTTCTGGCAGAAGACTTTACTTGAGGAATTTCCTGGGAGATGGTAATATCTGAGATGGTCAAGGTTTTGGAGATGGGAGTGCAGAAAGAGCATTTCTTCAGCATTTTCATTCTACTGACAAACACATCTCTTTTCTCTCCCATCTGTTCTGTCCTCCTTCTTGCTTTCTTCAGTCTCCTTCCCAGTTATGTTGCAGATCAGAGAATTCTGTCTTCCTTGTACTGAGTTTATGCCACCAGGTTAAAAAATCACTAAAGATTTCTGGGAAGAGGTAAACCTCAAAAGAATGTACATATCTGCATCACTGACTTCTCAGACCACTTTACATTACGAAGATGAAATTTTGACAACAGACTTACTGTGATAACTCTGAAGGTCATTGGCTATGATATTATTTCTGATAATGTACATATATGTGGCAATGCCATTTCTTTTTAGGTAGGAGACAAAAATCTCTCTGGTGAGATTTTTTTTCAAATAATGAAAGTTTTATATCTTGAACATGTATTCCTGGAAAACTAAGGATCTACTTTTGGATGTAAATTCTCAAGAGAGCATGGAGGATTGACTTCACCAAAAAAAAGTAACTTTTTAAATCCAGTGTTCCCACTCAATGTTCATTTATTATTCATTTAATTGTTCATTCAACATTCTTCGAGAACTTGTTGTATGACAGATCAGGAGATACAAATGTGATTATCTTGACCATCCCTGAAGCTGTTAGTCCAGTGAAGTTCAAAGATATAGTTCAGAATCCAGATAATTTACTGATCTACCTGTCTTCTATAATGGCCCATTAAAAGGATTATTGTAAATTATCTTATGTGATTGTACAATCCATGCCAATTTTTAAAATATTTAATTGTTGGAAGTAGAATGCAGAAGTGATAGGGTCAAAGGCTATGTCTTATCTTGAGTAAAACTGAAATCACCATATCTAACCTAAAACCAGAACAGATGTATTTTGTTCTATTCCCAAATCAAATTTTAATAACCTCAGATGCTTCATTTGTGTTTGATACATTTTGAGTTCTTGTCCATCCCTGGTAAGAGTAATATGGTTGTTGAAAGATCTAGGCACCTATTTATGGCTCTAAAAGGCATCATAATATCCATTTACTTTACTTTTTTAATATCCTAAAGTTTATCTACAAAGTTGAATGAATTCAAAGTTAATTTGGATAACTTTTTTTCTGATCCAAAATTTAGTTCTGAATATTAGGTGAGTTGCCTAATCTGACAAATTCAAAGAAATTTTGAGCACAGATATACATGACATATTATCCTAGACATTCTATCAGACCCACTAGTAAAATTTCTTGGATCATTTCTCCTTAATATATGAAATCTTCTGAATAGTATAACCCTGTACTTCCTTCAACTAAGACTTGTCTAATGATCTCATCAAGGAAACTCTTGCCTAGACTCTTGCTTTATATTTAGATCTATTTCCACTGGCAAACCTTCTTGATTTTTCAAACATGGGTACTTAATAGTTTTAAATTATTTTCCACTAACTGAAAAAAAATAACGTTTAAAAGAGATTATTGTGTATTACTAAAGAAATATGTTCATTTTCTAAGAATCTATTTGCAAGCAGATATTTTTTATTTTAAAAAGACAAATTGTACACACCAGATACAGTGACTATAAAGCTCACTGATTTGTAATTAGTGACCTACATATGCAATTTACCATCTCTGAGACCTTAAACCTGTCCTAGGTGTAATTAAATGAGTAATGTATGTAGAAGCACCATAACTTTCAAGCGTCATATAAAATGATAATTTTGTATTATTAATACACATATTATTAGCATTCATTCATTCAACAAACATTTTATTTAGAACTCTTATTTAGAAACTAGGCATTATTTTCTTCAAGTGGCTTTTCCTAACCTTTTCCTGCCTACCTCCCCAGACTAACTCTGGTTCATCTTTATAATGCCATAATTTAGCTCATGATCTGAAACATAGCAAGAACTCAAAAAAAATTTATTAAATAATTTCAGGCATTCTTAGCCTTCTACTCTCTTCTACTTCTGACAGTATTTTCTAAATTAGGTTGTGTTAAAGTTACCTGATAACTCCCAGTTTCATTCCATATGACCTGTAGTCTTGAGCATTTTCATTTTGAATCAGTTTAAACTTGGCAGCATTATTAAGGTAATTAATGCGCATTCATACTTTGAGTTTTATATCTTCATTTAAACTCCATCTCTTTTTAAAAATTTAATTATGAAAGGCCCACCATATGTTTAAAAGCCATTATGATTGTTTAGATAGGGAGAGACTGGTGCTCCCTCTGCTGGCTCTGAAGAGAAAAAAGATAACTGGAAAACCATTGCAGAATTAGACTGACATTCTGGCCAAGGCTTGCCACCCAAAGGATGATTTTAGAACTCTGAGATGCTTTACTGAATTGACTATATAACCTGAACTACACTAAAATACCACACTAACACCTATGCTTGTCAGACATGAAAGAAATTATAGAAAGTGGTATCTTAAATTCAAGGTTAGAAAAGCTTTTTATTGAAAATAAATCTATATTCTAAAAGCCCTGATTTGATTATTATACAATTTATGTATGTAACAAAATTGTACTTGTACCCTAAACATTTCAATAAATAAAAAATAAATAAACCAAGAAGAATAAAACAGTAAAAAGCATAAAATAAAACTTGACAGCTGGTATTAAAATAATAGGTGTATAAAATAACAATGATAATTTTTTCTAGGTGTGAGTAGTTGTTAACTTTGCAACTCCAACATATTATGTGTGTAGAGTATTTTACAGTTGTGACATAGATTAATGAGTATTATGCCAATTGATCCACAAAAATAAATGCTTACAGTTAATAGGCCAATAATATTTCACCGTTGTTCCCTCCATTTGAAAGAGAGGAATGTCACCAAGGATGTATAGCTCTTCTACAGGACCAGCAAAATAATCCCATGACCACTTCAGATATTAATGATAGCTAAACTCTAATGAATGCTTACTATGGCTAGACACTGTAACAAGGAGTTTATAAGCAATGCCTTCTTTAATTCTCGTAACAGCCCTATAAAGGAGGCATGATTATCATTCCCATTTTATAGATAAGGAAATTAAGCCACAGTCACTTTCCAGCCCAAAATTCAGGATGACACCCCAATATCCAAGGTAAATCATGTGAAAACTCACAGAAGCCAACTCAAACACAGGTGATAAGTTGCATGGAAATCGCACACAATGTGGAGTACCATGAAATATTGACATACCGAAGTCTATTTTATCGACTAGAAACAAAATTTTTAGTGGTGAATATTACAAAAAATATATATATATATATATATGAGTACCAACCAAGGTATATTTGTATTGCATATGTTTAAATATAAAAGTAATATATACATAGACTCTAGATTTGAAGGAGGATCTTAGGTCCCAGAATGTCTTCAGCTCTAATAAACATGGACACCTTATGCCTTGCAAAATTATTATTCACTTATTAAATTTAACAAAAGCTAAAAATTCTTCAGATTATGTTTCAACTCTTTTCAAATCAGTCCTGGAAGTCTCCCCATCTCCTTTTACACGATAAAAATTGGCATGAATTAAAATCTTTTGAACCCTCCCCTAACCATTGGGTACAAGCTTTGTATTTAGGCTCAACATGTTTTCTCTTTAGGTCTTCAAACAGACTTTGCTGAAATCTTGGCTTTTCAAATGACTTGAAATATCATGAGCCATGACAGTAAAAATTTACTTGGTAACAGAAACAACATGAGACTGAAATCAAAGACCTCTTACTGATCTTAATTTTGGGCCACATCATCCACTTTGCTTTGTAGGATTTATCCACAAACTCCTGAGTTTCTGTAGGAAATGCTAAATTTCTTTAACATCTCTAAAATGATACAGATCTCCACATTCTCAGAATACACAGAAATTTTCAGAAAAGGATATTTTACAAAGTTAAAACTATCTACAATGAACCCAATTACCTTATGAGGTGGTGAAAGGGCTTCATTAGCTGTCCAGATTGCCATTTTTGTGCTCACTGCTTATCTAGCTGCATACACCGAGTAAACAATCAGCAGCAGTTACCAAACTATTAAAATAATAGCAAATTATGAGGCAAAAACTTCACATTCAGAAAATTCCACTCATAAACTTAATATTTTCTGAGCTTTTGAGAAGATACCAACGTGGTTAAATTTTTTAGCAATACCCCAGTATTCTAGGGGAGGCTCATTTGAGAACCACGTCTTATGGGATTCAGTCTTTGATCCTCCACCATCATGTTTCCTTCCATTGTTTCCCCAAAATAGAATCCACAGGAATTGTCATCACAAAAAAAAAAAAATGCCATGTTGAATTGCTTTTAATTTTATTTTATATTTGAAGGAAATTGAATTAAATCAAGCACCAGTGGATTGGCTCAGAGAGGGCAAAGCATGGGAGAAAAAGGCACTGGTTGCCATACAGTTGGCTGAGAAGGAACCAGCTGAACCTTAAAGGATTGGTGGAGGTTGAGTGTGGCCTGCTGTGACAGTGTAGAATCCCTGGCAGCCCCAGACATGGGAGGAGCTGCTGCTTACCCCCAGGCTCATCTCCAGGCACCTCCATGAGGTACTCATAAAAAAGATGGGGGCACAGTGGGTAACTGGGGAGAGTCCCTCTTAGATGATACAGGCCAGGAGAAGGGGAAGAGCAGCCACTATGGGGAAAGCATGAACCCCAGCCACCCTGCCCAGATCATCCTCTCAGAAAGAACAAAAGCCTTGAGCCTCTGTAACAGAGGCAGAAAACCTTGTCACTCCCAGGCACAGGTTAAAAACCTATTGTTGATGACGGAATAAAAAAGAAAAATTATCTATCCCTGGAGGAGGGCCAGGAAACAGTCTTGGGCCCAGCCTCAGGATCTTATATTCATGCCATTAGAAGTGAGCTGTCACCACTGGGGAAGGCCAAGAAACTCTCTCCTATACCAGGACATCAGAGAATGCCCTCCTTCCCCTTCTGCTACCACCCCACAACCATACCACCAACATACTATTATCATACAATACAGCAATTTCATTCCTATGTATTTACCCAAGTTAAAGGGCTAAGTGCCCACAAAACATGTACACAAATGTTTATAGCAGCATTATTTATAATTGCTAAAAAGAACCTAAATGGCAACAACCTAAACTTCCATAAACTGGTGAATGGATGACAAACTGTGTTTTGGCCATTTGGTGGAATACTATTCACCAGTAAAAAGAAATGAACTATTGTTTCACGCATTAACGTGGAGGAATCTCAAGTGCTTTATGTTAAGCGAAAGAAGGCAGATACTAAAGATGATATGATATATGCTTCTCTTCTTAAAATATTCTAGAAAGGCAAAACTATAATGACAAAGACTTCAATGGTTGCCTGGAGGTGGAAGAGAAGGAAATTGACTACAAAGAGGCACAAAATAACTTTTGGAGGGGATGTGAATGTTTTATATTTTAATTCTAGCAGTGGTTACATGCCTATATACACTTTTCAAGTCCATAAACAAGGTGAATTTTATTTTATTTATTTATTCTGAGACAAGGTTTCACTCTGTTGTCCAGGCTGGAGTTCAGTGCCATGATCATGGTTCACTGCAGCTTGACCTCCTGGGCTTAAGCTATCTTCCCACCTCAGCCACCTAAGTATCTAGGACTACAGGCACACATCACCATGCCTGGCTAAGTTTTTAAATTTTTTTTTGTTGTTTTTTTTTTGTAGAGATGAGTTCTCACTATGTTGCCCAGGCTGGTCTCAAATTCCTAGGCCCCAGCACTCCTCCTGCTTTGGCCTCCCAAAGTGCTGGAATCAGGCATGAGCCACCATGCCTGGCCTGATTTTATTATATTTAAACTTTCTCTCAATAAACCTGACTAAAATTATCAAGAGATATAGAACTAGCCTCATTTCTGTCATAGTCTGAGTGATCTTAAAAAAACCTTAGTTCACTTCAACAAGATTTTTTTTAATTATTGTTTTACTTTACGTTATGGGATACATGTACAGAATGTGCAGGTTTGTTATGTAGGTATGTATGTGCCATGGTGGTTTGCTGTACCTAGCAACCTGTCGTCTAGGTTTTAAGCCCCGCATGCATTAGGTATTTGTCCTAATGCTCTCCCTCCCCTTAACCCCCACCCCTCAACAGGCCCTGATGTGTGATTTTCCCCTAACTGTGTCCATGTGTTCGCATTGTTCAACTCCCACTTATGAGTGAGAACATGTGGTGTTTGGTTTTCTGTTCCTGTGTTAGTTTGCTGAGAATGATGATTTCATGAAGTACCTACTATGTGCCATGCCAGGTTATGTCAAAGAGATAAGCTAGCTGTGTCTCTCTAGGAACACAGAGTAACAAAATACTTCTTAAAATATTGTCAGCAATTTACAGATTAAACATGAAATCCTATGCAAAATAAAAATATTTAGCACTATATGGTAATGAATTACATCATTCGAGAACCTGTGCGCTGTAACTCAAAAGGATTTCAGAGGAAAATTTATAACCTAAAAGGCATTTATTGAAAAACAATAAAGATTGAAAATATATGTAGGAAATGCTTAAGAAGCAAAATGAAAACAAACAAACAAACAAAAAACCCTCAAATTAATAAAAGGAAAGATATGAGCAAAACAAAAGAAACTATGCATTAAATTAAACTTAATGAATTGTTTATAGATTCCTTTATGCACAAATATCTCAGTCTTCAGTACATAATATATACTGTTAATCACCAACAACTTATAGTATTCATCTTTTCCTAAACTAATTTGACCACTAAACCATGTGTGTGTGTGTGTGTGAGAGTAAAACGCCTGCCTTATATCTAACTGATTCATAGACAAAAATTCAGAAAACATTGGTCTAATGGCTTAATTAAATCATGTAACTTGTCTGAGCTCAAATTTACCACTCTAGAAAAAAACTGAAATGTAAAAGTCTCTCATTTCTATTTCTCAAAATCTAATTGGTTGTACAGAGGAGAGAAGACAGTAAAACCGATATAAGAGATCCACAGATAAAGTTACATAAAGTGGCAAGGACATCAGCAGGATAGTGGGCTAGGACTCTCCAGTGCTCATCTCCCTGCAGAAACATCAACTCATTCAGCTATGCATGCACAAAGATACTTTCACAAGAGATAAGAAAACCAGGTAAAAGATTACAACGCCTGGGTGTAGCACAGAAACAAGAATAGACATATTGAAGAGGGTAGAAAGGACAGTTTTACATTCCTATGTCATCCCTTTCCCAGTCCTGGGCAGCAAAGCATGGAGAGCTATTCTCCAAGTGGGGAAAGGAGAGAGAATTGACTCCATATTTTGCTTCAGACCCAAAACCAGGACTGCCCCAGTAAAATCCAGCACCAGGTAGGCCTCCATGGCCCCAGACCCCAGGGTAGTAGCTGAAGATGGAGGTTCTAGGCCCACCCTGGCACCCTGGCACCAGCCCCAAGGCCCAAGCACGCCAGGTAGATTCAGTCTCTGGGCTGCCCCACTACCAGCCCAAGCTCAGTAGTCCCAGGCTCCAGACTGCCCTCAGCACCAGGCCAATCTAGGTGACCCTAGGTCCCAGACCACCCCCAGCACTGAGCTTGCCCCCATGGGCACAGGGTTCAGGCACCTGCCCTGACATGAGGTTGCCCCCTACATTCCTAATAATCAGGCCAGGACCCAAGGATGAAGCCTCCAGGCCATTCCTTACAGCCCCAAGATTCAGGCTGGTACTGGCAGACTGAGCCTCCAAACCCACCCAAGCATCAGGCAGAAACCTATAGCTCGAAGTGTCAGGCCTGCTCAGCAGACTTAGTTTCTAGGCCTTCCCTAACAGCAGGTTAACCCCAGCAGCCCCAGGCTCTAGGCTGACCCTAGCACCAAACAGCCCCAGATAGGCGGGCACACCCAGGCTTCAAACCCATCCCAATGCCAGGACAATCCCACAGAATCAGGTTCCAGGAGCACCCCAAGACCAGGCCAACCCCAGGTGGCCCAGGCTCTGGATTTCCTCTGGCACTGAGCTGGCCCCTATAGCAACCCTAGATTTCAGGCTTATTCAAGCACCAGGCTGGCCCCCACATCCCTGGTAATCAAGCTGGTACACACGGACTCAGCTTCCAGGGTAGACCCTGTAAATACAGAATTCAAGCCCACCAAGTACCAAACTAGCCCCTGTATTCCCAGGTTTCAGACCTGCTCCAGCTCCAGATCACAAAAGCTATGCAAAGTAGATATGCAGGTCACAAAAGTGATATACAAAAGATAAAAAGTAAGAAACCAAAGGACAACACTAGAGAAAATTACTTAATCACAAAGGAAGACAGTAAAAGAGAAAGGAACAAATTATCTACAAAACAATGAGAAAACAGTTAACAAAATGGGAGTAGTTAATTTCTGACTTAACAATAATTACCTCAAAAGTAAATAGATTAAGTCCTCTAATCAAAAGACATACAGGAGTTGAATAGATTACCAAAAAAGACTCAGTTACATGCTGCCTACAAGAGACTTACTTTGCCTGTAAGAAAGCACATAAACTGAAAGTGATAAGATGGAAAAATATATTCCTATATTCCATGCAAATAAAAATGAAAGAAAGCAGGAATAGCTATACTTAGATAAAATAGACTTTAAAAAAACCATAAAATGGGACAAAGGTAGTTATTATATAATGATAAAGGGGTTTGTTTATCAAGAAGATAAAACAATTATAAATATATATGCACCCAACATCAGAGCACTTAACTATATAAAGCAAATATTAATAGATACAGAAGGAGAGATAGATTGTCACACAATAATATTAGAGGACTTTAATACCTCACTTTCAGCAGTGAACATACCATCTAGACAGAAAATCAATAGGAAAACATTAGACATAAACTACACATTGGATGAAATGGACAAAACAGATGTATACAGAATATTTCATCCAAAAGCAGCAGAATACACATTCTTCTCAAGCACACAGAGAACATTCTCCAGGAAGGGCGATATATTAGGCCACATAATAAGTCTTAGAAAATATAAGCAGATTGAAATTATATTGAGTGTCTTATCTGATCACAATTTTCTAAATCTAGAAATAAATAACAAGAGAAATTTCAGAAAATTCATAAACATTTGAAACTTAGAAAACATGCCCCTGAACAACCAATGGATCAACAAAGAAATTTAAATAATATCTTGAAATAAATAAAAATGAACAATATCAAAATTTATTGAATGTAGCAAAAGCAGTTCTAAGAGGAAAGATTATAGCAACAAATGACTACATCTAAAAATAAGAAAGACTTCCAAATAAACAACCTAGTGTTACACCTCAAGGAAATAGAAAAGGAAGAACAAAGCCCAAAGTTAGTAGAAGAAAGAGAACAAGAAAAGTCAAAACACAAATAAGTTTAATAGAAACTAAAAAGAAAAAAAAAATAGAAAAGAGCAACTCTTACAAGTTGGTTTTTTGAAAAGATAAAATCAATAAGTTGTAAGATAGATTACGAAAAAAGAGGGAAGGCTCAAATAAAAAAATAGAAATGAAAGAGTACATGAACAACTAATGTCAAAGAAATTTAAAGGATTATAAAAGATTAATATGTACAATTATGTACCAATAAATTGGATAACCTAGAAGAAATGCAAAAATTCCTTAACCTATACAGCATGCCAAGACTGAATTATGAAGAATGGAAAATATGAACAGACAATATGAGTAAGAAGATTGACTCAGTAATAAAAAGTCTCCTATCAAAGAAAATCTCAGGACCTAATGACTTCACTGTCAAATTCTACCAAATATTCAGAGTAAATACCAATCTTTCTCAAATGCTTCCAAAAAAATTGAAGAGGGAGAACTTCCAAACTAATTTTACAAGGCCAGCATTACCCTGATGTCAAAGCCAGACACAGACACTACAAGAAAAGAAACTTACAGGCCAATATCACTAACGAACGTAGATGCAAAAATTCTCAACAAAATACTAGAAAATAAAATTTAACCACACATTAAAAGAATAATTCACATGATTAAGTGGTATTTGTCCCAGGTTGCAAGCATAGTTCTATATATGCAAATCTATAAATGTGCTCCAAAACTATCCATAGTAATTTACAAATTCATTGCAATCCCTATCAAAATTCCAATGATATTTTCCACAGAAATAAAACAAATCCTAAAATTCACATGGAAACCAACGACCCTAAAGAGCCAAAGCAACCTTAAGCAAAGAGAAAAAGGCTGAAAGCCTCACACTACCTGACTTCAAAATATACTGTCAAGTTTTAGTAATCAAAATAGTATCATACAAATACTAACAGAATAGAGATCCCAAAAATAAATCCACACACTTAAAGTTAATTATATTTGACAAAGGTGCCAATAACACACATAGGGAGAGGACAGTCTCTTAATAGTGTTAGAAAAACTGGATATTTTCATGCAGAAGAATAAAATTAGACCCTTATCTTGGAACATATACAAAAATGAACTTAAAATGAATTGAAGACTTAAATGTAATACCTGAAACTGTAAAAGTATTCAAAGAAAACATAGGGGCAAGTTCCATAACATCAGTCTGGGCAATTACTTTTTGGTATGAACCTGAAAGCACATGCCACAAAAGCAAAAATAGACACATGAGATTACATCAAACTAAAAAGCTTCTGCACAGCCAAGGAGACAGTCAGTAGAGTGAAGAGTCAATCTGTGGAGTGGGAGAAAACATTTGCAAACCATACATCTGATGAAGGGTTAATATCCAAAATACATAAGGAACTCACACAACTTAGTAGTAAGAAAATAACCTGATTTAAAAATGGGCAAAGGCTATGAATAGACATTTCTATTCACAGAAAGAAAATGTACAAACGGCCAACAGCTATATGAAATAATGCTCAATATCACTAGTCATCAGAGAAATGCAAATTAAAGTCACAATGAAATATGACCTCATACCTGTTAGAATGGCTACTACCAAAAGGTGAAAAATAACAAGTGTTGGTGAGGATGTGAATAAAAGGGAACACTTATACACTGTGGGTAGGAATGTAAATTAGAACAGCCATTATGGAAAACAGTATGGAAGCTTTTCAAAAGACTAAAGAGAGAACTACCATATGATCTAGCAATCTCATTTCCAGGCATATACACAAAGGAATTGAAATCAGTATGTTGAAGAGATATCTGTCTTCCCATGTTCATTGTAGCATTAGTCACAATAGCCAAGAAATGGAACCAAGCTCTGCACTAGGAAATAAAAAAATCAACCTAAGTGTCCATCAGTGGATAAATGAGTAAAGGCAAAGGAAATGTGTGTGTATATTATATATATGTATATACATTTACTATATATATACTATTATTATATATAATATATATTATATATTATATATAGTATAATATATAATTATAAATATATAGTATAAATATACTATACTATACTATACTGTGTATACTAGTATACATAGTATACTATACTATACTATATAGTATAGTATAAATATATAGCATAATATATAATTATACATAAATTATATATATAATAAGTGTATATATAGTACATTATATATAGTAAATGTGTGTGTATATATGTGTATATATGTATATAATGTGTATATGTACATATATGTATATATGCATATTTTTTCTCTTTTATATATATATATACATATATGTGTGTGTATATATATATATACACACACACACATTTCCTTTTCCTTTACCCATTTATCCACTGATGGACACTTAGGTAGATTTTTTTTTTTCCTAGTGCAGAGCTTGGTTCCATTTCTTGGCTATTGTGACTAATGCTACAATAGTGTATATATAGTATATATATAGTAAATATATATATACTATATTATATATGCTATATATACTATACACTATATATACTATATACTATATATACACTACATATACTATATATACACTATATGTACTATATACTATATATACACTATATATACTATATACTATATATACACTATATATACTATATACTATATATACTATATACTATATATACACTATATATACTATATATACTATATACTACATATACACTGTATATACTATATATACACTATATATACTATATGTATATACACTATATATATACTATATACACACACACACACACACACACACACACACACACACACACACACACACAATGGAATACCATTCAGCCATAAGAAGGAATGAGATCATGTCATTTGCAGCCAGGTGGATAAACCTGGAGGAAATTATGCTAAGTGAAATAACCCAGGAAAAGAAAGACAAATACTGCGTGATCTCACTTATATGTGGCATCTTAGAAAGTCAAGCTCATAGAATAAAGAGTAAAATAGTGGTTACCAGGGGGTGAAGGTGGGGAGGTAGGGAGATGGGGAGATGTTAGCCAGAGGATCAAAATTTTATTAGATAGGAGGAATTAGTTCAGGAGATATATTATACAAACTGGCCTCTACAGTTAATAAGAATGTATTTTATGGCAAAGAGTAGATTTTTAAGTGTTCTCACCACAAAATATGTGAAGTAATGCATGCATTAATTAGCTTAATTTAACCATTCTACAATGTGTGTATGTATATATTTCAAAACAATATGTTGTACATATTAAATATATACAATATTTGTCAATTAAAAATTACATAAAGCAACAGATAAATCATCTTAAATAAAAATTTTAAAAAATAATAGCTGCATTATATGGAAACATTCCACAAATGAAAAGGAAAAACTGATCCACTAGAAAAGTGAGAAAAAGGAAATAATTTGGGGATTCACAGGAAATAAGCATCAATTACATTCATATTTTTTTAAAGGAGAAAAAGGCAATGCTGGTAGACTCCAGTTCACTCAAATCAGAAATATTTATCAAGCACCTAAGAACAAGTATATGTCAAATGGGCTAAATTTGGTCTGTTTCCCTAATCACAACTTTACCAACTTGTGAATCAAGTTCATTGTTACAGTCCCTCAACAATAAGAGTCAAGCTACCATAATTGTTTATTATTTTAAACTCATTTTTTCTCATACTGTTGTCAGTAAGATACCAGGTGAATTGAGCAGTGTCATTTTAACTAAACTAGTTCCACATATTTAGGAAATTAACCTAAAAATCAATTTTTAACCCAACACTAATTGAAACATTTAATAGATGCTGCTGCCTCTAAGAAAAAAATAATTCATAGTTAGGTAATAAAAGCATATTTAATGTGACTTTGACATGTGCTAAAAAAAGAAAAAATAGAGAAACTATTCACTCTCTAATGAAAATGGCTTCATAAAACTAAAAAGATTTGGTAATACTGAGCAACAGTCCATGAGAAACTGGTTATTAAGCAGTCAGTGCCTAGTTTGCTAGTTAATGAGGTGAGAAGAAACCAAGAGTGGTTAATAATCCCACAAACTGATCATAATCAAATCATTACAATGTTAATTATGGAAGTAAGAGGATTGTACCATGAAAATAAGAATAAATATAAAAATCACTGCTTTTGTCCTATATGTGTTATAATAAAGCATATTTTTCTAAGGCTAGATGGGGCTCAAAAAGATGACACTTTCTTCTGCAGAGTTGTATTTAAAAAAAAAATCAGGTTGAGTGAGTTTATTGATAGCACCTAAAATATTTCCTTATTTTCCCACCTAAGAAATACGTTTTTGAACAATTTTTGAGATATTTTGTTTCCTAGACATCATATATATTCACAGGGCAAGTCATTAGTAACACAAATTATCCTCCAATCGTGTTGGAAATTTAATTTTCTTTATTGGATTTGTAAGTTGGTTCTTATTCTCTGACTTATATTTTCAAGAGATAAATGAAATGTTTTCGTTCTATAATGTTGATAGAAATACTCTTGTTTGTTCATATGGCCCCTATGGATTTGTCTAATTACACATTTTAATAATAAACTAATCTCAGAACAATTGCCTCATCTGTCAATCTTCAGAGCATTTTTCTTTTGGTGAGCAGACTATGTTACTAAGACTTAACTAAATAAAGATAATATATTTCCACTATGCTCTGAGAAGATAAAAAGCTCCACAAATTTTTAAGTTCAAATTTACTTTTATCTGAACGTAAGTCAATTCATTCTTGTTAGAAAAATGTAAAAAGCCCCAAAAAGTATAGAGACCAAAAAGGATGATTATCATAGTCCCACAAATCAGAGGCAGCTACTATTAATCTATATTTCTTCTCATTCTTTGTATTCACTTCCTTTAAATGGTTAAAATTATAGAAATATTCTAATTTGTTTTCACTATTTTTATTTAAAATGATTTAAGAGTAAGCATTTTCCATACCATCTCTGGCTGCATGGTATTATATGAAAAGCATCAACTATAGTTTATTTCACTATTACATTATTAACAGACTTTAAAAGTATTTCTAAATTTTCACTTTTTTTTTTTCTTTTTTTTGAGACAGGGTTTCGCTCTTGTCACCCAGGTTGGAGTGCAATGGCGCCATCTCGGTGAACTGCAACTTCCACCTTCTGGGTTTAAGCGATTCTCCTGCCTCAGCCTCCTGAGTAGCTGAGATTACAGGCATGCACGACCACACCCAGCTAATTTTTGTATTTTAGTACAGATGGGGTTTCATCATGTTGGCCAGGCTGGTCTTGAACTCCTGATCTCGGGTGATTCACCTGCCTCGACCTCCCAATGTGCTGGGATTACAGGCGTGAACCACCGCACCTGGCCAATTTTCACTATTACATTATGAAAGATATCTTGGGTAAAATAAAATTGTAATAAAGAGCCCACGCAGAATCTGAAACAGACAGATTCAAATCCTCACTCAGCCATTTAGAAGTTTTGTTGAGAAGTGAAAGTAAGGTAAGTAAAATGTGCCATGTGCTAGACAAACAATGAATTAAGGCTATTGTTATAATGAAGCTTTTATAAATTTTATAATATTTTGCTATCATAGATGACCTGAGATTGGATTTCTAAGTTTATCAATATAAGCATTTTTAAGAGTTTTCCTACGTATTGCAAAATTGCCTTTCAAAATGCCATCTACTTTAAACTCTCACCAATATTACATGAGCTGTGCGTGAAGCCTGAGCCTTAGCAACATTGGGCTATTTTCATATTTTCTAATTCAATAGGTGAATATCTTATGTCACTTCGCCTTTTATCTTTTCAAGCTCTAAATAACATTGTATGCTTTTATAATAAATTATCTGTTCATGTCTTTTGCCCATTAACATTATGGAGTCATATCAATATATGTAACTGCTTTAAATGTTAAGATAATAATTTGGCATATATGTAGTTAATTAACTTTTAGTTTTTCTACCTTTAAGTTCTGTTCATAATACCCAAGATATTGAGAATTTTCATATTTTTCTATAGTTGAATCTATTATTATTTTCTTTTATGAATTCTTCCACCCTGATCCAGGAATTAGAAAATAATCACTTCTTATTTCCACCGGGTCTAATTAGGTTTGATATTCTACATTTACCTTTTTAATCCTAATATAATATTTTTTGGCTTATGCTGTTAAATAAAAATACAAATTGAATTTTTCCCCAAGTAGCTAAACAATTGCCCAAATAAGATTTACTGAATAATCTTTCTCTTTCTCATTGTTCCACATCTCCTTTATGATGCATAAAGCTTTAGCACATAATAAAGCTTAATTTTATAAGGCATCAAAATTTATCAAAGATATGATCCATTATACCTGATCAGCTTTTGGAAGCAGATCTCTGATTAAAGATCCTTGCTGCGACCCTCACCCAAATTATCTCACATACCTATTGGGTTCAAGTGGTTTTCAAGACAATAAAGGAAGATGTACAAAGAACACAGAATAACTTTAAAAGAATTCTACATTTTAATTTACGGTCTGATTTTTTTCTTTTACTTTGCCCACATCAAACTTGCATCATTAATGAAATGGAATGAGACAGAAATAGGTAACAGTTGCCTAGCATCTATAGTGTTCCAAGTCCCTTTAGCCCCTCAAACTTCATGATGTAAACATTCTTCTCCTAATTTTGCAATTATAGAAACCCATTTAGTAATCTTAACTAAACTGCCCAATACCACACAGTCAACAAGTAGCTAAAAATGGGATTTAAACCTGGATCACATTGACTAAAAAATTATGTTGGTTGAAAATGGCCTTTAGTTGGAAAGAAAAATACACACACAAACACACACTCAGACAGATACTCTTTTTTCCCATGGTGTATAATATTAATCTTCAGAAATCACTCCAAGGGGCTATTAAATATTTATCCAGTAGCATATACTGCAATTTAGAGTCTTTATACTTTTCAAGAGTAAGTATATATTTGAAGCTGGAAGGATAAAGAGGGAAAAAGCTCATGGTTGGGATGAGGGAATCTGCAACAGAGAGTGTGGAATGTCCCATGGAAGGTTACATGGAAGGTTAATCTGTTGGTTAAATCTCAACAGATGACCAGTGTCAATGAGGACTATGTTAAGACCAGATAGTATGAGTTATAACTTAAAGGATGCAAGAATAGTGTGAAACAGTGTACTAATGAGGAATATTCCCTCTTTACTAATGCTACCAGTGATCGTTGCTTAAGGCCTTCAGCAACACAACCCAAGACGAAGGAGTCCAACAATCCTGATTATGACAGTTTCCAACATGAAATGACTGACTAAATTAGACTGAATCTTTAAATTTTATTTTCTGAGTCATGAAGAATAGGGATAGAGGTTCAGAAATTTAAATAAGCTATAGAAAATCATGTCAAAAATTATAATAGACACACACAGAACTGAGCACCATGAAAACTAGATGAAAAGAGATGACTGTAAGGAAGGCATAGCCTGGCTACAGGTGTACTAGAAGTAAGAACAGGAAATCAGAAAATCAGTCTTCTCTCTGTATCTCACAGGGACTTCAGATCCTTTCTCTTGGCTTCTCCTTAGGTAGCTGCCTGCTGCTGTCTCTCCTGGCCTCATCCTAGAAAAGGATGAAGAGCTGCTCTGCTGCTGACTGCAAAGTTACAATGTCATTCAGAAGTCTCCAGCTCATAATACCAGTGGCCCCTGCCACTTCAAATCCCATTTCCTCATTCCCTGCTTGGCATTTCTGACTTACGCACTCCTACTGATTTCTTACTCATCTCATTCTTCCTCTCTGCCAGCACTTTTCCCTCTATTTTGTATGCTGATGGAAATGTCATTTATATTGTATTTGGTGGAGATGAAACTCATGAATTCGTTGTCAGAATGGGGTGTGTGTGCACACATGTAAATGTTATATATAAGACTGGACATATGGACTCTTGTTGTAATCCACATAATATAATGGATCCATCTTATTATATGAGGTGGGTGCAATTCTCAGCCCAAAACTTATGTTTTGCAAGAACCGTAACATATGTCTTTTTCTACGACTCAGCTTAATTTCTATTTCGAGTTCCCATGCTGCTGTAGTGGTAGAAACTCAATGTTAACCAGTTTGTTCCCACACCCCTCTCTTTCTCCAGGATTATGCCAAAGTTGTAGAGGCTTGTACAGTGCCAAAAAGTTTGAGTGAGGCTCTTCAAAATCTTCCATTTTTCTACTCCAGGTCCATACTAGATCCCTCCACACCAGTCCCTGCCCTGGGGCGTGAACTAAATAGATCACATCCATGAGGTTCCCTTCCCTGTGGCTCCCAGATAGATTCAGCCTTCTCTACCTGATTCTTTTCTTTCTAATTTCCAGAATCACACCCTCCTCTCCTCATTTCAGGCCTAGCAGTGGCAACAGCTCTGCTGCTACAAGCCCCAGGTTCCTCAACTCTACACTCTTGCCTACACCTTATAATCAGTCCCCTTTGTAAATAATTTCTCCTCAAATTATCCAACTATGAGGGCACCAGCTTTCCTGCTGTGACCTTGACTGATTCAATTCTAGATGTTCATTGTCCACATAGATTCCCAGATATCTTTTATTCTGTCTGGTACCTGGTTGTCAGACCTCAAGATTTACAACATCCCTTGTGTTTGTCTACCTCCCACTGCAGGCCTTGTCACTCCCCTGCTGCTTTGTCCATGCCAACTTTGGCTCAGAAATATCTGTTGGGTTGTCAAGGCTCTATCTGCCTGGACCTGTGTTACTCTCTCCCTCTCTGAATCCAAGGTTGTAAAATACAGTGAGCTCCCTGTCTCTAGGGAAGATCCATTCTGCACACTTCCCACCCCTGCCCTGTCTACTTTATGCAACCCATACTAGGGGACATGTTTGACTGGTGGGAGATGGGGAGAGGAAGGAGGTGCATAAAATACTGGGAGAGGAAATATATATGCCCTAACATATAGAAGTTGTTAATTTAGGTATTTAAACATTACCACCTTCTAACAAATCCATGAAACCCAACATTTACATAGCCACTAGAACCATCCAGCTTGTGGGTTCTGAGAATAAGAACTTAAACAGTTCTTTTGCCAAATGCCAGGCTTTTCATTCATATAGCAAATTATACTTTGAAAAGCACATTGCATATAAAAACTTACTGGATCATCAGACAACCCAAAGAGGGCTATAAAGTGTACTTCATTCTATAGCTCAGAAACTGAAGTTTAGAGAGGTTAAATGGTCTGCCAAACACTCACAGGCAGCTTTCCAGTAAATTATTTACTGTGAGTTATTACAACTGTAATCCTAATACTTGAAGTCAGACTGCCTCCCACCCTAAATTACGGCTCTCATGAGATGACTGCAAGTGCTCTGTAGCTGCACGATATTATTGTCATATGAGAATATTCATGAGAATATGTGTATAAACTTCTTCAAAGTCAAGCAATGCATCTGTGGGCTTAGGCCACCAGGTTGTGGCTGCCTCCAGGCTGTTTCCAGACTCCCCACTTCCCGCCCTCCCTCCACGCCATCTGCTGCTTTTCCACCCCTTTCACACTCCCTGTCAATTTCCTGAATCACAGGTCCATTCAGAAGACTGTACAAAGAAGGAAAGAGGTGAGGGAGGGACCCTGGAGCAGCAAGTGAACCGCACCGAAATACTATGAGGTACATAAAGGAGAGGACGCTACTGGGGGCACTGAATTCCCACAATGGAGCCAGGCTGAAGAAAATGAAGAGACAGCAAAAACAAAAGGAATTTCAATTTAATTCTGAGTCTAAGCACAGAAACTTGAGCCTGTGGACTGCAGTAGGGTGGGTGGGCTAGGTGGAAATAAGAAACCCTGGGTTATGGGCTCAGATCTATGGCTTGCTTATAAGGAACCTTGGGGAAATTAATTACTGGGCCTAGGTTTTCTTACCACTGAATGACTAGGTTATATTTGCAGTTTCTTCTAACTCTAATATGTGGTAAGATGTCTACCTGACACTGTAATTTTGTGTTTTTCATTGAAGCATAAAATTGCATCATATGGTTCAGCTGCCATTTGAACTTCAATGTCAAGTTTTGATGCTCTTGGGGAGCAGGTTTTTAAAAAATAGTAAGAATTTTAGCTGTAAAAGTATTATTTTGAAGTTAATCTTACTCCAATTTCAATATAAGAGGAAAAATATGACTTGACTTATTTCATTGTAATCACAGCAAATATTTCACTCATTTCCTTATTCATTTAGCCAACATTGAAGGAACACTTACTGTGGGCCGAGTCCTTACTGTACTTATCCTTAGGCAATCTGAGTCTTTTTAGTTGGGGGACAGAAACAATACAGAGTGGATAAGGCTGTGGGTCATTTTAGAATATAGGTAAACCCAGGATGGCATGGCAGGTATAAAAGAGCAAAAAGGGCAACGAGCCTGACTTTCCCATGAAGAATGAATAGGAGCCCATCGAGACAAATGGAGTAATATGTACTGTGTCCCAGCAAGGACTGGATATAGTCAAGGAATCATAGGGAAGTAGGAACAGTCTATCAAAAGGGCTGGATATTTTGATGACTAAATCATGAAAGTCTCTCATACACTGCCTGTAATTGACCTTATACAATTCCTTTGCTATTTGTTACCCTTGTGAGGTTTCCAAATGATGTGAATCTTATGGCAGTGCCTAGTATTTGTTACATCCTGACTTGTTCTTAGAAGCAAACATGTCTAAAGTCACAGAAAATCAGATACGAAAAGGACCTAATAAATCAACTATTCCAACCCATTCACTCAGAGAGATAAACAAATTGCTACTAGACTTCACAGCAGCAGGGCCAAATCTAGTTACCGAATATCTGGGCACCTATTTCAATGATTTTGTATTTTTTCTACTGAACCTCCCTGCACTTCCTGCCAGCCTTTATGTAGAAATTCCAGGGAAGGAAGTCAAATATTCTCTGTCATTCTGTGAATCAGCTACCAATCATTTAGGAAGTATGTCAGACCACAGAATCGATCATGGCTATATTTCAGTTGTGCTACCATACACAGAATTGTGTGCCATATAATTGATATTTTGGTCAATGATGGACAGCATGTGCAATGGTGATCCCATAGGATAACAACGGAGCTGAAAAAATCCCGTTGCCCAGTGACATCATAGCACAATGCATTGCTCATGTGTTTGTGGTGATGCTGGTGTAAACAATCACACTGTGTTGCAAGTCGTGTAAAAGTACAGCACATACAATAACATATAGTACATAATACTTCATAATAAATGTCTATGTCACTGGCTTATATATTTACCATGCTAGCTTTTTAATCATTATTTTAGAGTATACTTCTCATTCTTCTTATAAAAAATGTTAACTGTAAAATAGTCTCAGGTAGGTCCCTCAGGTGATATTCTAGAAGAAGTCATTGTTATCATAGGAGATGACTGCTCCACACGTTTCTGCCCCTGAAGACCTTCCAGTGAGACAAGTTGTGGAGGTAAAAAAACATTGATACTGATGTTCCTGACCCTATGTAGGCCTAGGCTAATGTGTGTGTTTGTGACTTAGTTTTTAACAAAAGAGTTTTAAAAGTCAAAAAAATAAAAATTTTAAAAATAGAAAAAACTTATAGAATAAGGATATAAAGAAAGATAATATTTTGTACAACTGTAATAATAGGCTCATATTTTAAGCTAAGTGTTATTACAAAAGAGTTAAAAGGTTAAAAAAATTAAAACTTTGCAAAGTAGAAAAGTTACATTAAGCTAAAGTTAATTTATTATTGAAGAAAGAAAATTGTTTTTATAAATTTAGTGTAGCCTAAGTGTGCAATGTTTATAAAGTCTACAGCAGTGTACAGTAATGTCTTCAGACTTCACATTAACTCACCGACACCCAGAGCAACTTCTAGTCCTGCAAGTTCCATTCACGGTAAGTGCCCTGTACAGGCGTATCATGTTTATACTGTATTTTTTATATTGTATTTTATACTATATTTTTACTGTGCTTTTTCTGTGTTTAGCGATGTTAGATACACAAATACTTACCATTGTGTTACAGTTGTCTACAGTACTCAGTATAGTCACATGCTGTACAGGTTTATAGCCTAAAAGAAATAGGCTATACCATATAGCCTGGGTGTGTAGTAGGCTATACCATCTAGGTTTGTATAAGTTCACTCTTATGTTTGCACAATGATAAGATCACCTAATGATGGACATCTCAGACTGTATCTCCATCATTACGTGGCTGTATTTATATGTTCAATATTTTGAATTTTTTTTATTTAAAACAGTCTTAGCTGGAAAGACTTATAAATGCAGACAGTGAATGAATATTGCAAAAATTTCATCAGAGCTGACTAAAAAAGTGAAGTGGCAGATGACACTGAACTCAGATTCCCTGATCATTTGGCAAACATTTAACGAGCACCTAATATGTGCCAGGCACTGTTCTAAGAAGTGAAAAAATGGAGCAACTGTAATAAGGCAGTGTCCTGGGCTACATGGTGCTTATCTACCGAGTGAGATAAAGCATAAGCAATGAAATGCACATTATGATGAAGTCGAACAGTAACAACCATATGACAAAGATTCAAAATACAGAAAGCGAAGAATGTTCTTTAAATTCTAAAGGAACAAAAAGTGCAATAAGAGGAAACTGTATTGACTCTTACTTCCAGAAAAGACACTTGAATACATTGAAGCCTTCCGCATTCACCTTCCTCTGTCACAAAGTCATTCTTAGAAACATAGTGGGAAGAGATAGGAGGCACTCTCAAATTTCTTCTGGAGTGTCAAGAACCACCCTCCTATTTCTTATCAGTTTGGTTTTGAGAGATATCAAGCCTCATCACTTTCTCCTCTAAATACAAGGGAGATCTTGTGTTTTTATATTATTTGGGCAATGGTTCTGCTTTGCAATACCTGTACTGCAGTTTCTTCAGGAACAGAAAACAGAAGAAAACAGTCTACCTGTTTTGTGGGTTATATGTGAAGTGTAGGGGCCTCTTCTTTAACCATTTGATCCTGGTGACACATGGCTAGGGCATTTTCCATACCTGTAGGGGATCCTGAAGCCTTTAGGTGCATTGGTAGCCTGAGGTCCATGACTGCACATGGGCTCCCTTCCTTTCCCAAAACACCCAGGTTACAAAATGTTGCATTAAATTTCAGAAAGTTCATTGAAGACCATCAATAATAATCTTCCTGAAGACCCCTTCAAAACACAATCATGTTTCTCTGCATTATGGAGAATGAGTTCTAACTGGCTTAGGCAGGGAGAATTGCAATCCAATAATGCACATGTTCAGAGGCCTCTTGGCAAAAGGGCTTTGGGCCACCAGTCTGCACTGTTCAGGGAGCAAAATTCACAGGGATGACTAGTAGTACTATTAACTGCTGTTATTAAAAACAAGAGGATACCAATTTTCTTAATTTTAAAAAGGAGCTTTAAATATATATGTAAAAATGGTTGCTCCTGAAATTCATAGAATAAATACAATGGAATCCTTTAAATATTAATTCTCAACTCTACCCATATATTAGGATTAGAAAACTCTACAAATGAAATTAAGAAACTAAGTAAATAAAGAGATATTCTATGTCTACGGATGGAAAGACTCAATATTGTTAATATGTCAGTTTTTCCTGACTTGATCTATAGAATCAATGTAATCCTAATCAAAATTCTAGCAAGTTATTTTGTGGATAAACACAAACTAATTCTGAAGTTTATATGGAGAGGCAAAAGACCCAGAATAGCCAACACAATGTTAATGGTAAAGAACAATGTTGGAGGCCTGATATTAACCAATTTCAAGAATTACTGTAAAGTTACAGTAAACAAGACAGCATGGTATTGGCAAGAGAATAGACAAAACAGGGTAGAAAGCCCAGAAATAGATCCATGTGAATATAGTCAATGGAAATTTGACAAAGGAACGAAGACATTTAAAAAGAAAAGATAGTCTTTTTCAATAAATGGTACTGGGGCAGCTGGACTTCCACATGCAAGAAAAAAAATAAATTTAGACACAAATCTTACATCCTATACAAAAATTAACTCAAAATGGATCATAGACTTAAATGTAAAATGCAAAACTATAAAACCCTTACAAGATAACAAAGGAGAAAAAATAGATAACCTAGAATTTGGCAATAACTTTTTATATATAACAACAAAGGCACAATCTAGGAAAGAAATAACTGGATTTTATTAAAACTAAAAATTTATGCTCTGGAGAAAGGAGGTGGAGTAATATGGCCTGACCAAATATAAACTTCTACTGATCATCACCCCTGACAGGAACACCAAATTTAACAACTATCTACACAAAAAATCACCTTCATAAGAACCAAAAATTAGGTGAGTAATCACAGTACCTGGCTTTAACTTTCTATCACTGAAAGAGGCACTGAAGAGGGTAGGAAAGACAGCCTTGGATCACCAATGCAACTCCTCTCCCATGCCCTGGCATAGAGAGAATATGTGTGTTGTGGGGAGAGAGACTGCAGTGACTGTGGGACTTTTCCTTGGACCTTAGTGCTGCCCCGTCACAACAGAAAGCAAAACTGGGCTGAACTCAGATGATATCTATGGAGGAAGGGTTTAGTCAAGTGCTAGCCAGAGAGGAATCACCCATGGAACTTGAGTTTCATCAAGCTTAGCCACCACAGGCTAAAGTGCTCTGGGGTCCTAAATAAACTTGAAAGGCAGTCTAGGCCACAAGGACCGTAACTCCTAGGCAAATCCTAACACTGTGCTGGGCTCAGAGCCAGTGTACTTGTTGGGCATGTGACCTAGTGAGACACCAGCCATGGCAGACAAGGGAGTGCTCTTGCTACACCTCCCCAAACCCCAGGCAGTGCAGTTTGCAGCCAGAAAAGTGACTCATTTCTTCTATTTGATGAAAGGAGAGGAAAGAGTAAAGAGGATTTTGTCTTGCAACTTGGATGCCAGCTCAGTCACAGTAGGATAGGGCAGCAGGGAGAGTCATGAGGCCATTACAATACACCCTACCTCCTGGAAAATGTTTCTGTATACACCCTGAGCCAGAAGGGAACCTGCTGCCTTGAAGGGAAGCATCCAGTCATAGCAGGATTTATTCCCTGCTGACTAAGGAGCACTTGGCCCCTGAATAATCAGCAGTGATACCCAGGTAGTAAGTCATGGTCCTTGAGCGAGATTTTGAGACATGCTGACTTCAAGTGTGAAACAGCACATTTCAAGCCGTGGTGGCTGTGGTGATAGACTCTTTCTGCTTGAAAAAAGTAGAAGAAAGAGTAAAGGGAACTTTGCCTTGAACCTTAGGTACCAGGTCAGCCACAGTGGGAGAGAACATAGGGTAGGCTCTTAGAGTCTCTGATCCCAGGCCTAGGCTCTTAGATGGCATTTATAGATCTGCTCTAGGCCAGAGGGAAAGCTCACTGCCCTGAAGGGTGAGTCCTAGGCTTCGCAGCATTCACCATAAGCTGACTGAAGAGCCCTTGGGCCTTAAGGAAACATAAATGGTAGCCTGGCAGTACTCCCCATGAACCTGAGGTTGTGGTGGCCACAGGGTGAGGTTTCTCTACCTGTGGAAAGGGGAGGAAAGAGTGGGAAGAATTGAGTCTTACGGTTTCAGTGCCAGCTCAACTGCAGTACAATAGAACACCAGGTAGGCTTCTAAGATTTTTGACTCCAGTCTCTGGTTTCTGGATGGCACCTGTGAATGTACCTGGGGCCTGGAGGAGCTCATCTCCCTGAAGGGAGAAACACAGGCATGGCTGGCTTCACCACTTGCTGATTATAGAGCCCTAGGACCTTGGGCAAACATAAGCAGTAGCCAGGTAAGGGTTACAGCAGACCTTGAGCGAGACCCGGTGCTGTGTTGGCTTAAAGTCTAACCCAGCACAGTCCCACTGGTGGTGGCCACAGGGTTGCTTGTGTCACTCCACCCACAACTCCAAGCACAGAGAGACACTGCATTTGTTTGGAGAAAGTAAACGGAGAGAGCAAAAGTTTCTGGTAATCCAGAGAATTCTTCCAGATCTTATCCAACACCACCAAGGTGGTACCTCTATGTGTCAGAAAGAACCACAGCATTACTGGGCTTGGGATGCCTCCTAATGCAGATAAAGTTTAGATCACAACACCCAAACCCCTTCAAATACTTGGAAAGCCTTCCCAAGAAGAATGAGTACAAACAAGGCTAGACCACAAAGACTACAATAAATATTATACCTAAGTCTTTAATGCCAGACACCAATAAACATCTATAAGCATCAAGAGCATTCAGGAAAACATTACCTCACCAAACAAACTAAATAAGGCACCAGGGACCAGTCCTGGAAAACAAAAGATATATGATCTTTCAGACAGAGAATTCAAAACAGCTGTTTTAAGGAAACTGAAAGAATTCGAGATAACACAGAGAGGAATTCAGAATTCTATCAGATAAATTTAACAAAACTATTGAAATAATTTAAAAGATCAGACAGAAATTCTGGAGCTGAAAAATGCCAGTGGAATACTGAAGAATGCATCAGAGTCTTTTAATAGCATAATTGATCAAGCAGAAGGTAGAATTAGTAAGTCTGAAAACAGGCTATTTGAAAATACACCGTCAGAGGAGACAAAAGAAAAAAGAAAACAAAAACAATGAAGTATGCCTACAGAATCTGGAAAATAGCCTCCAAAAAGCAAATCTGAGTTATTGGCCTAAAGAGGAGATAGAGCAGGAGGAGTACAAAGTTTATTCAAGGGATAATAACAGAGAACTTCTCAAATATAGAGAAAGATATCAATATTCAAGAACAAGAAGTGTATGGAAAACTAAGCAGACTTAACTCAAAGAAGACTACCTCAAGGCATTTAATAATGAAACTCCCAAAGGTCAAGGATAAAGAAAGAATCTTAAAAGTAGCAAGAGAAAAGAAACAAATGACGTACAATGCAACTTTAAGATGTCTGGCAGCAGACTTTTCAGTAAAAATCTTATAGGCCAGGGGAGAGTGACATGACATATTTAAAGTGTTGCAAGGAAAAAAAAAAAAAACTTTTAACCTAGAATAGTATATCTGGAAAAAATATCCTTCAAATCTGAAAGAGAGATAAAGACTTCCAGACAAGCAAAAGGTAAGGGATTTAATTAACACCAGACCTATTCTACAAGAAATGCTAAAGGAAGTTCTTTAGTCAGAAAGGAAAGGATGTTAATGAAATCACCTGAAGGTCCAAACTCACTGATAGTAATAAGTATAGAGAAAACACAGGATATTATAATGTGTAATTGTTGTATATAGAACTACTCTTATCTCAAGTAGAAAGACTATAAGATGAAGCAATCAAAAATAATAACTACAACAACTTTTCATGACATAGCAAAACGAGATATAAATAGAAACAACAAAATTTAAAACCAGGGGGATTAAGTTAAAGTTAAGAGTTTTTATTTTTCTTTTTGCTTATTTGTTTATTTGTTTATAAAATCAGTGCTAAGTAGTTATCAGATTTAAATAATGGGTTATAAGATAGTATTTGCAAACCTCATAGTAATCTTAAACCAAAAAGCATACAACAGATTATGTAAAAAATAAAAAGCAAGGAATAAAGGAATAAAAACATACCACCAGAGAAAATCACCTTCACTAAAAGAAAGACAGGAATGAAAGAAAGAAGGAAGAGAAGTCCACAAAACAACCAAAAAACAAATAACAAAATAGCAGAAGTAAATCCTTATCAAAAATAACATTGAATGCAAATGGACTAAACTCTTCAACCAAAATACATAGAGTGCCTGAATGAATTTTTTTAAAAAGACTCAATAATCTATTGCTACAAGAAACACATTTCACCTATAAAGACACAGACAGACTGAAAACAAAAGGATGGAAAAAGATGTTCCATGCCAATGGAAAACAAAAAGGAGCTGCAGTAGCTATATTTACATCAGACAAAGTAGAGTTCAGCACAAAAACTGTAAGAAAAGACGATGAAGGTCTTTATATAATAACAAAGGGGTCAATTTAGCAAGAGGACATAACAATTGTAAATATAAATGCATCCAACATTGGAGCACCCAAATATATAAAGCAAACATTATCAGAGCTAAAGAGAGAGATAGACGCCAACACAACTACAGCTGGAGACTTCAACACCCCCATTCAGCATTGGACAGATATTACAGACAGAAAATTTCATGAGACTTAACCTGCATTACTGACCAAATAGATCCAATAGCCTTTTACAGAACATTTCATTCAACAGCTGCAGAATACACATTCTTCTCATCAGCACATAAATCACTCTCAAGGATAGACCATACGTTAGGTCACAAAATGAGTCTTAGAAAATTCAAACAAATTGAAATAATATCAAGCTTCTTCTCTGACCCCAATGAAAGAAAACTAAAAATCAATAACAAGAGGAATTTTGGAAACTCTACAAACACGTGGAAATTAAACAATATGCTCCTCAATGATCAGTGGGTCAATGAAGAAATTAAGAAGAAAATTGAAAAATGTCTTGAAATAAGTGATACTGGAAATATAACATTCCAAAACTTATGAGATACAGCAAAAGCAAGTACTAAGAGGGAAATTTATAGCTATAAGTTCCTACCTCAAAAAAGAAGAAAAACTTCAAATAAACAATCTAACAATGCATTTTAAAGAGCTAGAAAAGCAAGAGCAAACCAAACCCAAAATTAGTAGAAAAAAATAATAATAGAGAAGAAATAAATGAAATTGAAATAAAAATGCAAAAGACCAATTAAACAAAAAGTTTGTTTTTTGAAAAGAGAAACAAATTGACAACCCTTTAGCCAGACTAAGAAAAAACAGAGAAGATCCACATAAATAAAATCAGAAATGAAAAGAAAAACATTACAACTGATACAGCAGAAATTAAAAGGATCATCAGTGTCTACTATGAGCAACTATATGCCAATAAATCAGCAAATCTAGAAGAAATGGACAAATTCCTAGACACCAAGATTGAACCAGGAAGAAGTCCAAAACATCAAAAGACCAATAACAAGTAATGAGATAGAAGCCATAATAAAAAGTCTCCCAGTAAAGAAAAGCCTGGGAACTGATCGCTTTATTGCTGAATTCTACCAAACATTTAAAGAACTAATTCCAATCCTACTCAAACTATTCCAAAGCATCGAGGAGGGAATACTTCCAACTCATTCTACAAGGCCAGTATTACCCTGATACCAAAATTAGCTAAAGATGCATCAAAAAAAGAAAACTACAGGCCAATATATCTGATGAATATTGATGTAAAAATCCTGAGTGAAATTCTAGCAAACTGAATTTAACAATATATTAAAAAGATTATTCATCATGAACAAGTGGGGTTTATACCTGGGATGCAAAGATAGTTCAGCATACGCAAATCAATCAATGTGATACATCATAACAACAAAATGAAGGATGAAAACCATATGATCATTCCAACTGATGCTAAAAAAGTACTTGATAAAATTCAACATCCTTAATTTTAAAAACCTCAAAAAACTGAATATAGAAGAAACATACCTCAACATAATAAAAGCCATATACAACAGACCCATAGCTAGTATTGTACTGAATAGGAAAAGACTGAAAGTCTTTCCCCTAAGATCTGAAACATGACATGGACGGTCACTTTCACAACTGTTTTTCAACATAGTACTAGAAGTGAGTAATCAGACAAAAGAAAGAAATAAAGGGCCTCCAAATTGGAAAGAAAGAAGTCAAATTATCCTTGTTTGCAAATAATATGATCTTATATTTGAAAAAACCTAAAGACTCCACCAAAAAACTATTAGAAATGATAAACAAGATCAGTCAAGTTGCAGGATAAAAAATCAGTATCATTTCTATATGCCAACTGCAAACAATCTGAAAAAGAAATTAAAAAGCAATCCCATTCACAAAAGTCACAAATAAAATTAAGTACCTAGGAATTAACTTAAACAAATAAGTGAAAAGCCTCTACAATTACAACTATAAATCACTGATGCAAGAAATTTAAGAGGACACAAAAAATGGAAAGACATTACATATTCATGGATTATAAGAATCAGTATTGTTAAAATGTCCATACTACCCAAAGCAATCTATAGATTAAATGCAATCCCCTATCAAAATACTCATGACAGTCTTCACAGAAATAGAAAAAAAAAACCCCAAAACTTATATGGAACCACAAAAGATCCAGAATCGCCAAAGCTATCCTGAACAAAAAGAACAAAACTGGAGAAATTATATTACCTGACTTCAAATTATACTACAGAGCTATAGTAAACAAAATAGTATGGCACTGGCATAAAAACAGACTTACAGACCAATGGAACAGAATAGGGAACCCAGAAAAAAGTCCATACATTTACAGGAACTCATTTTCAGCAAATGAGGACATACATTGGAAAAGTACAGTCTTTTCCATAAACGGTCCTGAAAAAAATGGATATCTATAGGCAGAAGAAGAAAACCAGACCCCTATCTCTCACTATGTACAAAAATCAAGCCAAAATAGATTAAAGACTTAAATCTAAAACCTCAAACTATAAAACTACTACAAGAAAACATTGAGGAAACTCTCCAGGACATTGGACTGGGCAAAGATTTCTTGAGTAATACCCCACAAGCACAGGCAACCAAAGCAAAAAGGACAAATGGGATCACAGCAAGCCAAAAGGCTTCTACATAGCAAAGGAAACAATCAACAAGGTGAAGGGGCAACCCACAGAATGTGAGAAAATATTTTCAAACTACCCATCTGATAAGAGATTAATAACCAGGTGATATAAGGAGTTGAAACAACTCTATAGAAAAAAAAATCTTGTAATCTGATTTTAAAAATAGGCAGAATATCTGAATAGACATTTCTCAAAAGAAGATATACAAATGGCAGATATAAAAACATGCTCAACATCATTGGTCATCAGAGAAATTCAAATCAAAACAGAGACATTATCTTACTTACTGTACACTTTCTGTACATTGGGGAAAGTACAGAAAGAGACTGTATTTCCCCAGTGATGTTTATCCAAAAGTCAGGCAATAACAAATGCTGGCAAAGATGTAGAGAAAAGGGAAACCTCCTACTCTGTTGGTGGGAATGTAAACTAGTAAAGCCACTATAGAGAACAGTTGGAGGTTACTCAAAAAAAAAAAAAGGAAAAACAGAGCGACCATATGATCCATCAATCCTATTGCTAGGTACTCAAAATAAAGGAAATGAGTATATAAAAGTGATATCTGCATTTCCATGTTTATTGCAGCACTTCACAACCACCAAGATTTGGAAGCAACCTAACTGTCCATCAACCAGTGAATGGATAAAGAAAATGTGGTACATATACACAGTGGATGATTATATACACATTTCAGCCATTAAAAAAATGAGATCCTGTCATTTGCAACAACATGGATGGAACTGAAGGTCATTATGTCAAGTGAAATAAGCCAGACACAGAAAGACAAACTTCACATGTTCCACTCATTTTGGAAGCTAAATTTAAAACAACTGGACTAGTGGAGATAGAGAGTAGAATAATGGTTATCAGGGGCTGGGAAGGGTAGTGGGGGTGGGGGCTAGCATAAATGGTTAATGGGTATAATAAATAGAGAGAATGAATAAGATCTAGTATTTGGTAGCACAAATACAAGAATATAGCACAAGGGTGACTACAGTCAATAATAGTCAAATATAGTCAAATAGTCAAATATAGCACAAAGGTGACTATAGTCAATAATAATTTAATTGTACATTTTAAAATAACTAAGAGTATAATTGGTTTGTTTGTAATACAAAGGATAAATGCTCGATATGATGGATACCTCATTTACCCTGATGTGATTATTACACATTGCATGCCTGTATCAAAATATCTCATGTACCCCATCAATATATATACCTACTGTGCACTCACAAAAAATAAAAACTTAAAAAACTTCTCTGTGATAAACATTGTCAATAGAATAAAAAGAGAAGCCTAAAACCAAAAGGAAGTATTTGTAAATAACATATCTGATGAAAGACTCTTATCCAAAACATGCAAAGAACACATAAAACTCAACAATAATAAAAAACCTGATTTAAAAATGAGCCATAGACCCTAAAAGACACATCATAAATGAAGATATACAAGGAGCAAATAAGCAATGTCATAATCAGGGCAATGTAAATTAAAACATAAATAAGATACCACTACACAGTTATTAGAATGGCCAAAATCCAGAACACTGAACACCACCAGATGCTGGAGAGGATGTAGAGCCATGGGAACTCTCATTCACTGTTGGTGGCAATGCAAAATAATACAGCCACTTTGGAAGACAGTTTGGCAGTTTCGTACAAAGCTATATAAACTCTTACCATATAATCCAGCAATTGTGTTGGAGGCCAAAAGATTGAGGGTCATGATCAACTCAGTATACCACTGGAGGCTATATGAGTAAACAGCAAACAGTCCTTATAAATGCAGAATGTTGGCAAACTGACAAACTGCGTCTGCTGCCCAGAAGGAATGTGGAAGGCAGTCACGACCCAGGCACAAGTGTTGCTTGTGATTAGGCACATCTGAAGCCTGTTAGCAATAAATGAACCTGTGATCAATTAAGCAGCTGACCAATCATCACCTCCTCCCTGCTCTTTGTCCCCAGTAAATACGAAAGGCTGTCGAAGCTCAGGGGCTGCCTTTGCTCACCAGAAGCAGGTAGCTCTCTTCTTCTTCTCCTGACCCCTTCTTTTAAAACAGTTTCTTTTGTCTTAAGTTTTCATTTCTATGTTCGTCCCTTCATTCAGTCTCATAATAATGGTCTCAAGTAGTACCAGTAGTGACAGTCTCAAGTAGTAACTGTGGCAGTCAGCCACACAATTGCACTCCTTGGTATCTATTCAAAGGAGCTGAAAACTTACTTCCACACAAAAACCTGTACATGGATGTTTATTGCAGCTTTATTCATAATTGCCAAAACTTGGAAGCAACTAAGACGTCCTTCAGTAGGTGAATGGATAAATGATGGTATGTCCAGGCACAATGAATTGTTATTTAATGTCAAAAAGAAATAAGTTATCAGGCCATAAAAAGACAGGGAGGAAATACAAATGCATATTACTAAATGAAAGAAGCCAATCTGAAAAGGCTACATACTGTATGTTCCCAATGATATGACATTCTGGAAAAGGCAAAACTATGAAGATAGTAAAAAGATCAGTGGTCTCCAGGAGTTAGGGGATTAGTATAGTGTCATACTATAGTATCATAATCTGCATGGTGAGTATGTGTAATTAAAAATTTGTCCAAGCTCATAGGATGTGCAGCATCAAGAGTAAACCCTAATTTAAACTACGGACTTCGGGTGATGGTGATGTGTCAGTGTAACCTCATCAACTGCAGCAAATGTACCACTCAATGGAGGATGTTGGTAATGGAGGAGGCCACACAAGTACAGGGGTAGAGGGACATATATCTCTGTACCTTCTGCTCAGTTTTGCTGTGAATCTAAAACTGCTCTAAAAAATAGTCAATTTCTTAAAAAGAAAATAAGTACTAGTGCTATAATGTATATGAATCTTGAAATATTATGCTAAGTAAAAAGCCAAACACAAATAACCACATATTATGTTATTTCATTTATTCAAAATGTCCTGAAATGGCACATCTATAGAGACATATCTAGATTAGTGGTTTCTATAGACTGGGGTTAATGAGTAAGGAAAAGAGAAAGCTAATGGCTATGGGGTTTTGGCGAGGAGGGAAGATTAAAATGTCCAAAAATTAGTGTTGATGGTTGCAAGGCACTGTGAATATACTAAAAAGCACTTAATTATACAGTCTAAAAGGATAGATTTTATAAGATGTAAGTTGTATCTCAATCTGTTTTTTAAAAAGATCAGCCTCTAAAAATTTCTTCACCAGGAAAGTTCTATTAAGTGTGTAGTCAACGATAAGTGTGTAGTCACTATTAAGTGTGTAGTCACTTAAGCATGACATTAAGGTAACTTTTTTCAATCCATGGGCTCCACCCATTTCTTTTTTTAAACACTTTATTGGGGATGATTAGCATACAAAAAACTGCACATAATTAATGTGCACAACTTGATGAGTTCAGAGATAAGTGTATAATCTTGAAACCATCATCACAACAAAGGTTATAAACTTGAACTCATCACTTGCCAACATTTCTTCCTGCCATCTTTATTATTTTTATTTTTATTCATTTATAAGCATTTTCTTTTGTGGTAAGAGGTCTTAATAAACAATCTACCCTCTCAGCAAATGTTTAAGTATACTATACATTATTGTTAACTATGGGCCCTTCGTTGTACAGTAGACCTCCAGAACTTACTCATCTTGCATAACTAAAATTTTGTACTCTTTGAATGACACCTCTTCCTTTCCCCTCCCCCCAGCCTCAGATGACCACTATTCTACTCTCTGGTTCTACGAGTTTTACTATTTCAGATTCCTCATAAAGGTGGTTTTATGCAGTACTTGCCCTCCTGTGCCTGCTTATTTCACTTAGCATAATGTCTTAGTTCCATTCGTATTATCGCAATGGCAAGATTTCCTTCTTGTGTAAGGTTAATCATATTCCATTATATGAATATACCACGTTTTCTTTATCCATCCATTTGTCTATGGACATTTAGGATATTTCTATATCTTGGCTATTGTGAGTAATGCTGCAATGAACATGACAGTGCAGATATATTTTTGAGATCCAGATTTCAATTTCTTTGAATAAACACTCAGAAACGGGATTGCTGAATCATATGGTAATTATATTTTTACTTTTTTAGGAAACTCCATACTGTTTTCAATAGCAGCTGCACCAAGTTATTACATTAATAATACATTAATACATTCCCACCAACAGTGTACAGGGTTCCCTTTTCCCTACATCCTTGACAAAACTTGCTACCTTTTGGGTTTTTTAAATAATAGCCTTTTAAACTGGTGTGAGGTGATATACCATTGTTTTGATTTGCATTTCCCTGACAATTAGTGATGTTGAGTACCTTTGCATATACTTGTTGGCTATTTATATGTCTTCTCTGGTGAAATGTCTACTAAATCTTATATGTTTTTGATATTAACCCCTTATCAAATGGATGGTTTGCAAATACTTTCACCCATTCAGTAGGTTGTCTTTACTTTTTGTTGAGTGTTCTCTTCGTTGTGAAGAAGCTTCTTGGTTTGATATAATCCCACTTGTCTATGCTTGCTTTTGTTACCTACGCTTTTGGTGTCATATCCAAGAAATCATTGTCAAATCCAATGTCTGGAAGCTTTTACTCTGTTTTCTTCTAAGAGTTTTGCTTCAGGTTTTGCACTGAAGCCCTTAAATCATTTTGAGTTGATTTTTGTATATGGTATGAGATAAGAATCCAAAGTCATTCTTTGCCTGTGGGTATCCAGTTTTCCCAATACCATTTATTGAAGAGACTATCTTTTCCCCATTATGTATTCTTGATACCATCATCAAGATTAGTTGACTTTATGTGTATAGTTTTGTTTCTGGGCTCTCTATTCTGTTTCATTTATCTATATGGCTGCATTTAAGTAAGTACCATAGTGTATTTATTTCTGTAGCTTGTTATATATTATGAAATCAGAGAGCATGAACAGCTTTGTTCTTTATTCTCAAAATTACATTGGCTATTCAGGGTCTTTTGTGGTTCCAAATAAACTTTAGAATTGGTTTTTTTCTATGCCTGCAAAAATTGCCATCAGGATTTTCATAAATATTTCATTGAATGTGTAGATTATTTTCAATAGTATAAAGATTTTAACAATATTAACTCTTCCAATCTATGAACACAAAACATCCTTCCATTAATTCATGTTTTTAATTTTTTCAACAATATTTTATAATTTTCAGTGTAGAAGTCTTTTGCCTCCTGGGTTAAGTTTATTCCTAAGTATTTTACCTGTTTTGATGCTATTGTAAGTAAAATTTTTTCTTAATTTCCTTCTCAGGAAATTCCTTGTTGGTGTATCAAAGTGCAATTGATTTTTACATGTTGATTTTGTGTCTGAAACTTTACTGAATCTATGTATTAATTTTTATATTATTTTTGTGGTATCTATAGGCTTTCTACAAATAAGATGACATCATTTGCAATCAGGACGATTTTTACTTCTTCCTTTGTCACTTGGGTGTCTTTTACTTCTTTGTCTTGCCTATTTGCTATGGCTAGGACTTCCAGTATTATGGTAAATAGGAGAGGCAAGAGTGGCATCCTTACCATGTTCTGGATGCTAGAGGGAAAGCTTTCAGCTTTTCACCATTGGTATGATGTGAGCTGTGGGCTAATCATAAATGGCCTTTATTGTATGAAGTCATTTCCTTCTATATATAATATGTTGAGTTTTTATTATGGAAGAGTGTTGAATTCTATCAAATGCTTTTCTTAAATCTATTGAGATTATAATGTGATTTTTACTCTTCATTCTGTTAATGTAAACCATCCTTGCATCCCAGGAATAAATCCTACTTTGTCATAGTGTATGATCCTTTTAAACATGCTGTTGAATTTGGTTGGCTAGTATTTTGTGAAGATTTTTGCATCTATTTTTATAAAAGATATTAGCCTATAGTTCCTTTTCTTGTGGTGCCTTTGGTAACTGAATGATGCCTCAAAAACTGAATTTGGAAATGTTTCTTGTTCTTTTCTTTTTTTTAAGTTTATGACAAATTGGTATGTCTTCTTCTTTAAATGTTTGATAAAATTATCCCTGAAGCCATCTGGTTCTGGGCTTTTATTTATTGAAAGGTTTTATTATTATTATTATTACTGCTTCAATGTCCTTACTTGTTATTGGTCTGTTCAGAAGTGCTATTTCTTCTTTATTCTGTGTTAGTAGGTTGCATGTTTCTAGGAATTATCCATTTCTTCTAGTTTGTTCAAACTGTTGATGTATAATTGTTTGTCAGAGTCCCTACAATCCTTTTGATTTTGGTGACATCAACTGCAGTATCTCTACTTTCATTTCTGATTTTATTTGAATCTTCTCTTTTTTCCTTAGTTAGCCTAGGTTTGTTAATCTTCTTTATCTTTTCAAAGAACAAAGAATTTCATTGATTCTTTTTCTATTGTTTTCCTATTCTGTATTTCATTTATTTCTACTCTATTTGTTTTTCTTCTGCTAAGTTGGGACTTCATTTTTTCTTTTTCTAGTTTCTTGAGGTACAAAGTTACCTTGTTAATTTGAGATCTTTCTTCTTTTTCAATGCAGATGTTTATTTCTATAAACTTCCCTTTTAGTACTGCTTTGCCTATATCCCAAAAGTTTGGGTATGTTTTGTTTTTGTTTGTTTCAAGATATTTTTTAATTTCCTTTTTTATTTTTATTTGACCCAATAGTTATTTAAGAATGTGTTGTTTAATTTCCACATTTTTGTGAATTTTTCCAGCTTCTTTCTATTATTGATTTCTAGTTTCATTCCATTATGATCAGGTAAAATACTTTAAATGATTTTAATTTTATTGAATTTGTTGAGAATTGTTTTGTGATCTAGCATGGACTCTATGCTGGAGAATGTTTACGTGTATTTGGGAAGAATGAGTATTCTGCTGATATTGAGTAGAATGCTCTATATATGTCTGTTAGGTCCATTTAGCCTATAGTATTCTTCAGTTCTGCTGTTTTATTGATTTTCTATCTAGATGATCTATCCTTTATTGAGAGTGGGGTATTAAAGTTACTTATGGCCAGGAGCAGTGGCTCACGCCTGTAATCCCAGCACTTTGGGAGGCTGAGGCGGGCGGATCACAAGGTCAGGAGTTCGAGACCATCCTGGCCAACATGGTAATACCCCGTCTCTACTGAAAATACAAAAAACAAAATTAGCTGGACATGGTGGCACGTGCCTGTAATCCTAGCTACTTGGGAGGCTGAAGCAGGAGAATTGCTTGAACCAGGGAGTCGAAGGTTGCAATGGGCCAAGATCATGCCACTGCACTCCAGCGACAGAGTGAGACTCCATCTAAAAAAAAAAAATTACATACTAGTATTATGTTTCTATTTCTTCTTTCAATTCCAAAATGTTTGCTTTATATACTTAGGGTCTTTGATGTTGGGCGAATATATATTTATAATTGTTAATCTTTTTATAAAGTTGGCCCTTTATCATCATTTAATGACCTTATTTGTCTCTTATGTAATTCTTTGATTTAAAGTGTATTTTGTCTGATATAAATGTAGCCACTCCTGCTTTCTTTTGGCTACTTTTTACATGGACTATCTTTTGCCACCCCCTTCACTTTTAGCCTAAGTGTGTCACTTAAATTGGGTCTCTTGTACACAGCATACAGTTGGCTATTACCTGTTCTTTTAAATCCACTCAGCCATTTATGTCTTTTGATTGGGGAGTTTAGCCCTTTAAATTTAAAGTAATTAGTGATAGGTAAGTACACTACAATTAACTTGACATTTTGTTAATTGTTTTCTGTCTCTTTTATAGTTTTTCTCTTCCTTTCTTCCTCTCTTGTTATCTTTATTGTGTTTTGATGGCTTTTGTAGTTATATACTTTGATTCTTTTCTCTTTATCTTTGGTGTATCTACTGGAGGTTTTTTCTTATGGTTACAATAAGGCTTGAATTGAACATTTTATAATTGTGACAGTCTATTTGAAGCTGACAACATCTTAACTACAATTGCATACAGAAATTTACACTTTACTCCTCCACAACTTTATGTTATTGATGTCAGATATTACTTCTTTTTTATATTATGTTTCCATTAACAAATTTCTGTTGTTACAGGAATTCTTAATAATGTTGTCTTTTAACTCATTATAGTGTTAAAAGTAATTTATGTGTCACCATTACAACATTACAATATTCTTTGTTTATCTTTATATCGACCTTTATAGTGAGATTTATAATTTCATATGTCTTGGTGTTGCTGTTTAACTTTTTTTTTTTTCATTTCACTGTTAATACCTCTTATAAGGTAGATCTAGTGGTGACAAACTCCTTTAGCTTTTGTTAGTTTGGGAAAGTCTTTATTTCCCCATCTTTTATTTATTTATTTTTTTTATTTTTTTTGAGACGGAGTTTCACTCTTTGGCCCAGGCTGGAGTGCAGTGGCGTGATCTCGGCTCACTGCAAGCTCCGCCTCCAGGGTTCACGCCATTCTCCTGCCTCAGCCTCCTGAGTAGCTGGGACTACAGGCACCCACCACCATGCCCGGCAAAATATTTTTTTAGTAGAGACGGGGTTTCACCATGTTAGCCAGGATGGTCTCGATCTCCTGACCTCATGATCCGCCCACCTCGGCCTCCCAAAGTGCTGGGATTACAGGCATAAGCCACCGTGCCTGGCCATCTCTCCATCATTTTTAAAGGACAGTTTAGTTGGGTATAATACAGATACCCAGCATCAGCAATATAATACAGATTTTTTTTTTTCCTTTCAGTATGCTGAATGTATCATCCCATTCTTTCCTGGCCTGTAACATTTCTTTCTTTTTAATAAGATGATTTTAAAATTTATTTTTATTTTTAAGATTAAGCATCCCCTTTGACAATCCAGAAACATAGTCCTTGCTCACTCTTTGGATACACACACCTAAAACAGTTAAAAGTGATTCCTCAATTTTCAATGACACAGTAGGAAAAAAGAATATGTTCTCAAGCAGCAGTTCAATTTTTCTGTCCTCTTTTCCAAATAAATCTTACTTTGCTACCAAGCCACTCATCAAACTATAAGAAAAGACAATTTTTCAAAAAGCCAAGAAAACCCAGAAAAAGGAATAGGTATCAATCCAAAATTATCACCCAAAATACTGCCATTGCAAAAAAAAAAAAAAAAAAAGTGGAAGCCAAATTCCCATAGCTTGTTAGAGAAGATATTTAAAAAGAATTCAGAAAGTCAGGACTGGAACTACAGTGGTATAGACAGATTATACTGTCACTACAGGCATATACGGTGCTAAATGTGGATAATTCAAGAACTTTCAACTTGGGAATATATTAGGCTTTCTCCTATTCCAGCAGAGGAAATAAAAACAGACATTGCTGGAATTAATATTAAAAGTGTCCTTACAAACAGAAGGTAGGGCAAAGGTAAAGAGGGGGAATGTGGAACAAAAGTAGTAAAGACAAGTCATTTTGAATCTAGGCTCTGATGCCCAGGAAGGTTGAATAGAACTTAAATTCTTCTGAGCCAGTATCACTAAATTCTAGATTTGGCCTGAAACCAGTGGACCATATACACCACTAATAAATATCAAGTGCCCAACAGTATTTGTGGTATTACAAAATATTTTTAAAGTATTATAAATTTCCATTCTGAAAAGCAGTATATCAAAATAACACTGGACCACCCAGTCAGTTACAGAATACAGGGCTCCCTCCAAAGAGAACTGACTTGGCCAAAATTTAGGTTGGAAAGAATGTGAGTAACATGGAGTAAATTAGATCAGACTCGCAGTATAATTTTCATAAGCCTTCTACCCACCCCTGTTGTAAGGAGTAGTACTGAGGGAGCTCCAACAGAATGCCTTAGAGGGATGCTTCTCAGAGACAAAAAGGGTCTCTAAGTTTAACTCTTGACCCCTCTTTTCCTACCTAAAGCTTTGAGGAGAAAATAAATATTTAACTATTCAGTGCTTTGCACACATTATATTTAATATTCTGTTCTTTCATTTTCTGAAGCTTTGGCTTATAATTTTGCTCAACTTACATTACATTAAAAAATGTATGAATGCACCTTCATCAGTAGTACCACATGAAAATATAAAACTTGTTCTTCCATATATTCTATACAGGAAGAGTGAATAAATAGTGCCATAAATATCCTGCAAGGCTACTTTGTGTACTTGACAAAAGATTAGGGAAAACCAATCCACTTCCATATCTTGAGCAGTCATTAACTAGTCTTCAATCCCATCTTCCCAAATATCTCCATTAACATCCACAGCATGAAACAGCCCATTAAAACATGATGAGGTAGGATCAGTGAAATGTTTGTAAGAGTCTGCTCTAGAGAAAGAACCCATGCAAATCCAACAGAAATATTGCATACAGCCAGTACATGTCATCTTATTACATTCATCAATTTCTCTATGGGAGTTCCACAACATGGCAGCCCTTTGAGTTCTTTTCTAGCCCCTCCTTACTTTCCATCTCTTCCAGTGCCTTCTGAATCACCCTCTTACGATACCTTTGTTACAAAAATCTTTTATTGGCCTCATCTGCATTCAGGGATTTATTTCATAAGTCTATTAATTTATCTGCAGTCACCTTACATAGAGAGACCCCATGGTAGGTCAATTTGCCCAAGGTACAGAAGGCAAAATTGCAGCTAGAGCAGATGCCCATGCTGCAGCCAGGATTCTGCATCACGGGCAGCTGGGCAGCATGAGCAGGGGCAGTACACCACATGTGCCATCAAGTTCAAAGTGGACTGGAGGAGAAGGCAGTGATAACAGGCACTAGCTCTTTGACCTGACCAGGAGTGGCCATCAAAGGACACTTTGGTTTTGGGCAGTTGAGGCATTGGACCTGACCATCTCTGATCTGGAGTTCAAAGTCGTCCTTCAGACAAGCTTTGCAGTATACATACCTGCCCTCCAAGAAGTACATGCATTCACTGCCCAGCTTCTCACAGAAACATATTGCACAGGAAAAATTTACTATTAAAGCATTTTATGTGCTGAGCTTGATCAAAGTCCAAGATTTTCTGGATTAGACTTGACAGTGATTCCACATCCGCACAGCTCTCTCATCCACAATTTCCTCTTGGCCTACATTAGATCCAGCAGCTCCTCCAGTATCTAGCTTTGTGCTGGGAGAGGCTTGGGCTGTCATTCTCTACACTTATTTCTGAGAACCCATCTTGAGCTCAAAAGGAGAGACAATATTCAAGTACACTAGCGTCTCTTCCTTAACAAACTGCATCCAGGCAAAAAGGACCATGCTGCCATGGTGTTCTTCCCATAGGATGTCTACATGCTTGCATAGAGCAGATAGCACTCACAAATATCTTGAAATTCTGTGGCAAATCCAAATGGAACCTGGTTTCTCCACTTTGAACAGACTCTGCTTTTCTAAATTCATCCCCATCATAAATACTCTCCAGGGCCAACAATTCACCCTCCTGAGCTTCTCTGTCTTCTGACAACATTTAATTTTCTGAGGAACTGTTAATAACAATCAGAAGAAAGAGATATTAACACTGCAATCTCTGTTTCAGTTCAGAGTGGAGTTCATGCAAATCCCATTTATTCTCCAGCTGGTGGAGCTGAGACTGCTGAAGCTGGATATGCTGGCCTGTAACATTTCTGCTGTGAAGTCTGCTGATGGAAGTTCCCTTTTGTGTGAAAAGTTTCTTTCTCTTGCTGTTTTTAAAATTCTCTCTGACTTTTATAACGTAATTATAATGTTTTTCCAGTATACCTCTTCGGGTTCAGCCTATTTAGGAATCTTTGGGTTTCATGAATCAGAATGTCTATTTTCTTACCTAGATTTGGAATATTTTTAGTCATTTTTTTTCTTTTTTTTTCTTTTTGAGACAGAGTCTCGCTCTGTCTCCCAGGGTAAGGTGCAATGCCACAATCTCAGCTCACTGCAACCTCCACCTCCCAGGTTCAAGCAATTCTCACATCTCAGACTCCCAAGTAGCTGGGATTACAGGTCCCAGCCACCATGCCTGGTTAGTTTTATATTTTTAGTAGAGGCGGGGTTTCACCATGTTAGTCAGGCTGGTCTCGAACTCCCGACCTCACATGATTCACCCACCTCGGACTCCTAAAGTGCTGAGATTACAGGTGTGAGCCACTGCGCCTGGCCCATTATTTTTAAAAATAAGATTTCTTCCCATTTCTCTTTTTATTTTCCTTCTTGGACTTCCATAATGGGTATATTGTTTCATTTGATGGTGTCCCATAACTCCCATAAGATTTTTCACTCTTTTTTGTTCTTTTTTCTTTTTGTTCTTCTGACTGTATAATTTCAAATTAACTGCCATTGAATTCACCGACTCCTTCTGTTTGATTTAGCCTGCTGTGAAATGAAGATTGCTAGTAAATTTTTCAGACCAGACATTGTATTCTTTAGTTCCAGGATTTCAGTTTGATTCTTTCTTATGGTTTCTATTTCTCTGTTGAACTTCTCCTTTTGTTCATGTATTGTTTTCCTGATTTAGTTTCATTGTCTATGTTGTCTTGTAGCTCCTTAAGTTTCCTTAAGTCTACTATTTTTAATTATTTGTTAATTTTTTTTAGATCTCTATTTGTTTATTGTCATTTACTAGTGTTCTATTGAGTTTCTTTGATGGTATCATGGTTGCCTGATTTTTCAGGATTTCTGTAACCTTTTGTTAATGTCTGTGCACTTGAGGAAGCAGTCACCTCTTCTAGTTGTTACTAACTGGTGTTAGCAGGGAAAGATCTTTGCCAGTCAACTCAATCAGATATTCCAGGTATATAAACTGGCACAGTTCACAGGTCAGCTGGGGGACAGTGTTCACAGGCATGTGTGTCTTTGGTGGGCCTGTTGCAGGTATTTGCAGGGGGCAGTCCTACTGTTGGGGTCTGTGGCTGGCCTGGGCTGCCACTGGAGTCCACAAATGGGTGTGGCTACCTTCAGGGTCTATAGGAAGGTGGGGTCACCATCATGTTCACAGGTGGGCCTGCTGCTGAGTCTACTGCCACGAAGCTCCATTTACTTTCTTTGTGCCTTACACAAATTATGAAAGCTTATTAAGTTTGTAATTTTCCATCAGTTATGGAGATCATACTTAAAGTACAGTTGTGACAATTTAATATTATATCATAGATAAAGTACCTGGCATGAGTTTTTGTCACTGTTGTAGAATAAAATTACCAAGGAATGATGAGGAAAGGCTAAAATAAATCCCATGATACTGAATTACAGTCAGAGATATCAGCATAAACCCATGTTTATTTTAAAATATTTGCAAATAGATACAGGAATAATTATTGATATGTATGTATGCATGACTTAACATACATATACATATTTCCTAGCTTTGTGAGCAGAGAGGACTTAGAAGCAGATATTCCAATATCAATCAGCACATCTAATATCCATATCTTAATTACTAAATACTATTCTCCAATAAAGAGAATAAGAACTCCCTGGAGAAATGGCTGATTCTAGGACCAGGGCAGCAAAAATACAAATAAATCTGGACCATCTTGTAGTGCCAGAAAAAAGAAAGCGCTTTAACAATAACAAAACAAAGGATGGGTACATAACAATAGGACATAAGAGCCACCTGAAACATTTTTAAATGGGCAAAGATGGAATAATTTTAACAAAATAAATAGAGATAATACTGGATTATGACCACCCAAAATTAAATAAATATCCAGTTCATACTAATCTAAACAAATGATTAAATACATAAATAAACTGGGGAAAATAAACGAATATTCTTTAGAAAAGAATTTTAAAGAAGAAACAGAAAGGAAATTAAGGAAAAATAATATCACCATTACATACTATGATACAGGCTGGGAATCCCTTATCTGAAATGCTAGGAGCCAGAAGTATTTTAGAATGTTTTTTGATTTTGGAATATTTTTATTATATTTACTGGTTGAGCACCCCAAATCTGAAAAGTCGAAATTCAACATGCTGCAATGAGCATTTTGTTTTAGCATTGTCAGTGCTCAAAAAGTTTTGGATTTTGGAATTTTATATTTGGGATACTCAACCTGTGATGGCTGTAGGCAGGATCCATAGATGAATGCTAAAATTTGTGGGTGGATCTTTATAAGGAAAGAGTATATTTGCTTAGACTTAAAGTATCATGCTCAAAATATTTATCAATTACTGTGGTGGTTTTAACATTTGTTCACAAATTCCTCGTAAGTATTCAGTGAAGAAAGCTTATATCACTAGTAGTAGTCATGTTGATTTCACATACCTCTGATAACATGATATGACGCTATCAGAGAATGTATCACCTCCGTGATATTCTTCTTGCCCCGAACCTCAGTCAAATCATGAGAAAACATTAGAAAACCCCAAGCTGAGGGACCCTCTACAAATACCTGACCAATATTCTTCAAAACTGTCGAAGTAAACAAAGAACAAACAGAGACTGATTAGAGGAGACTATGATGATGTCATGATGACTAATGCAATATCTGATATCCTGGATTTAATTCTGGAGCAGAAAAAAGACATCAGTAGGAAAACTTGTGAAACCTGAATAAAGTCTGCAGTTTAGATAATATAATAGTATGCCAATGTTAAGTCTTGGTTTTAGTAAATATACCATGGTTACATAAAAGACTAATGTTAGGGGAAGCTGGATGAAAGCTATTCAGGCATTCTCTCATCTGCACAATTCTTCTGTAAATATATAATCACTTTAAAATAAAAAGGTTTTTTAAAAAACTGCTGTATATCCTTAATAAATAATAGCTATTATCATAGCTTTCTAAGATGACTCCTCTTCTATTGATTATACAATCCACTTTCCCCTTTTCTGAGAAAAAACTTCCTCCTTGGCCTCCAGATCCCTTTGGTTATAATGGTGAGTTTCCCATAAATCACATTAGTGAATATGGTGCCTCCTACTACATACCTCCTTATGCCCTGCCCTGTCATAGTTGATTGGACCAGGAATGGGGCCCTTGACTGAAACTGAGCCAATGAGCCCCTTTCCCAGGGAATTTCAGATTCCAGATACATCTGTCTGACATCTTGACTAGGGAGATCTATTTAAGAGCTTTTAGAAGCTATTTTCTAATATCTTGCCTGAGAAGCGAAGAAGCAATTCTATAGCAAAGGAGCAGAATAAAACAGACATGCCCTGAGAGGGAGATAAATCGGTAGAGAGAAGACTACCTGGGTCACTGTGGAACTCCAGCCTTTAGTTCTGAATTCTACCTGCTTCCCTGCCCTTAGATTCCACAAAATAACCACTTTCCCTGTTGCTCTTTAGGTATAAACTGGCTAGATTTGGTTTCTGTTAATACAATTAAAAAGTGTTAATATAACCACTTTGTAGCAAATGACTTGCAATGCATCTAGACTCTATTTCCTGTTGTGTTTGCTTTCCAATAATTCAGGTCAGTAATTTTTTAGTCATATTTTATATAAGCTATTTGGTTAAATTACCTCTATGTTTACATGTATACCACACCTTTTCTATTCTGATCATTTGTTTATTCTGTGTTCACTCTCCAAAATGCCTTCATTTTATCTCACGCCCCAATTCTATCTATACTTCAGGGCTTGATTAAAATGTCATCTCTTTCATGCAGACTTCCCTGTCACCCACCCAAAAAGAGAAAGAAAAAAAATCCCATGTCCCCTTATCTGCACCTTTTGTGGCAATTATTTCTTTTTATTTGCATAATTATTTACATATATTTATTTTCTTTCCTCTTAGATATGAAGCTACTTGAGTTCACTATCCCTGTTCTTATTCAGGCACCATTTCAAGAAATATTTATATAATAATGTTAACACATACATTAATTTCAACTGCTTTAAATAAGACAGAAATGCAAGATATTAATAATATTCAACAGCATCTTTTTCCCGTACTTAATAAGAAAAAAAATTTTAAGTAAAGTTATCTCACACATACTTCTAAAAATATATTGGAAAATAGCTTCATCACCCTGGGTTTGGCAAAGATGTCTTTTTTTTTTTTTTTTTTTTTTGAGACGGAATCTTGCTCTGTCACCAGGCTGGAGTGCAGTGGTGCGATCTCAGCTCACTGCAACCTCTGCATCCCAGGTTCAAGCGACTCTCCTGCCTCAGCCTCCCGAGTAGTTGGGACTACAGGAGCGTGCCACCACACCCAGCTAATTTTTGTATTTTTAGTAGAGACGGGGTTTCACCATGTTGGACAGGATGGTCTTGATCTCTTCACCTTGTGATCCACCCACCTGGGCCTCCCAAAATACTGGGATTACAGGCGTGAGCCACCGCGCTTGGCCAGATTTCTTAAACAGGACACACAAAAGTACTAATAAAATAAAAGTGAATACATTACACTATATTAAAATTAAAAATTTCAGTTGATCAAAAAAGTATAATTTAAAAATGCCATTAAGATGGGAGAAAATGTTTGTAATATACATAAAAGACTAAAACCCAGATATTTAAAAATGTACAAATCAATTTTTTATTTAAAAAAGGACACATTCTAATAGAAAAATGCACAAAGACTTGAGCAGGTCCTTCACAGAAAGGGATATCTAGATGGCCATTAAACTTATGAAAATGTGCATGACATCCATAGTCACCAGAGAAATAATGCCTATTAGCCATAGTGAGATACCACTTCACACCTGCCAGAAGAGCTGAAATGAAAAAGATGGAAAAAAACAAGTGTTGACAAAGTGGGTGAGGAAGTAAACCAGGAGGCATTGCTACTATGAGTGTAAGCTGATGCAATTATTTTAGAAACTAGCTCAGTATGATGAACTAAAGCTGAACACAGGCATAATTTATGACCCAGTAGTTCACACCAATGCATGTATACGTGTGTACATCAATAGACATGTATAAGAATGTTGATAGCACCATTATTCATCATAGCCAGAACCTGGCTATGTTCATACAGAAGCACATTATACAACATTCACACAGAGGCCCATTAAATAGCAATGAGAATGAACAAATTATCGCTAAACTCAAAATATATGGATGATTGTATAAACATAATATTGAGTGTTTGTTTTTTAAAGCAGGAACAAAGATTTTTCTACTGTGGGGTTCAGCTTACGTAAAGTTCAATACTATGCAAAACTAATTAGTGATGTTAGAAGTCAGATTGTGGTTATCTTTTTTCAGGTGCTAGTGCCTAGGGTGCTGGTATATTCTATTTCTTAGTCCAGAGACTGACTATACAGGTGTATTCACTTTGCAAAAACCCAGCAAGTTGTAAACTTATAATTTGTACACATTTCTTTATGATGGTTATGCCTTAATAAAATATTTTTAATAAAAGGTTTTTACATATTATTTGCAGCAACAATTTCACTGCCTTAGGCACCATGCCAAAGAGTTGTGTATGTATGAATTACATACCCTTTTAATAGCACAAAAACTATTAAAATCAATATTTTTATATTACACCTTTAAGAATTAAGAGGTAAAATTACACAGTGATTTATTCAGCAGTACAAATGGAAACAATAATAAGTGTTTATTGATTCTGAAATTATGGAGGCCTGAGAATTTAAATCAGAGTTTCAGTATGCTGAAGCAATTCATTTGTTCAAATCACCTTGGCATTTATGATTAGCTAGAATTTGATTAATCGGGGGTATATGTCATCATCTTGCAGTGTGAAAGTATCCCCCCAAGTCTCTTTTCTTTTCCTTTGGTGTATTTTGATCTGGGGCGTTCTGGGACTGTCCTTAACATTATAAGCTCATTTGGAAAGGCAGATAATGCTTAAAATCTAGCCAAGTGGGTTATGGCTCCATTAAAACTATCAGAAAGATCAGTAGAAAGAAGTAATAAGAATCTATCTAGGCCAAGAAACAAAATCTGCTGTATGCTATAGAAATCTCCAGAAAAAAGGTGCTTCCTTCCCACCTCCAATCCATAGTGAACTTAAAACAATCCCTAGGACTTCAAGGCCTAGTACAAAAACATTTTGTTAGGTTTTCTGGGTTTCAGCGATTTTTCTCAGTAATTAGATTTAAGTTCAAATAGACATTGGTACGCCTGGAAGAATCACAGAAGGCACTACAGGGCATAAAGCAACAAGGAACTGTGCACCTCAGAGTAGGAGGGGTTGCTAGTTAAGGAAAGGAAAAGGGAGCCCTTTATATTGTATACATTTTTTGAGACTCAAAGATGTAAGTGATGGTTCAGGCCAGTTAACCCTGGCATGCTAAATATTTGCTAGTCACAACTCACCATCTTGTTCCTTCAAAATGGGCACTAATGTTATCCACAACCTTGCCATTTCACACACACCCTCAAAGAGTTCAGGCTTCTTCCTGGGTTTCATACTTTAGGGGTCTTCACAAATTCCTCTCTCTCTCTCACACACACATACACACACACATACATACACATACACACACACACACACACACACACACACAAGTATACCTATTAAAAAGCACATATGTGCCTCTGCCACTCAAGACCCTGTCCTTGACACTGGCATCATGTCACTAGAACCCTGTACTGCTCAGTTCCCAGGTAATTGCTATTCCACACCTCTTGCCCTACAAACTCAACTGTGCCCTTATGTGGTGAATGTATGAGGACTGTGCTAATTCCAGTATCAGAGTCAGAAGCTGCCTCCCAGTTGCTGTGGATTGAATGTGTTCCTCCAAAGTTCATGTATTGGAAACAATCCCCAAAGCAAAAGTGTTGGGAAATGGGGCCCTTTGGAACGTGAATTGATTAGTGCCACCATAAAAAGGGCTTGAAGGAGTGGGTTCACTTTCTTCTGCTCATCTGCCATGTGGGGACACAGCAAGAAAGCCCTAACCAGATGCTAGCACCTTGATCTTAGACTTCCCAGCGTCCAGAACTATGAGAATATAAATTTCTGTTCTTAATAATTATATTCAGATGTCTTTGGTATTTTACCAATTTTTAGTTATGTAAAAACCATGGATGTAATTCACATATCTTTTAATTTGGTTTTATATGTGCTATAAAAGTTATATTAGAAACAATTGGAAGATAAAATATATGTTATGTAACAGCTTTTAGGATGATTTATCACATTTAAATATTAGCATATGGCATGTAGGCCTCCATTTCTTTATCTTGCTGCAGACTTCACAAATGTAAAATGAAGGTCTGCAATAAGTCAGATAAAACTCTATCACCTCATTAATACCATTTGTAGTTTTTAGTCTTCATATTTATTCTCTGATGTGAAGGTTATTTTTTAAAAAGTAAAAACAAAAGAATTATTAGGAGTTTTAGCACCAAAACCTAATGTAATATTATACTAGTAACTTTTTTATCTTCCTAAGTCTTTTAATAATCAGAGGTGGTTTTTCCTGTTTTCAAATGTTAGAATCTGATTATCTTTTAATCAAACATTAGTTTATTCATAATCATCTGCATTTTTATTTTTTATTTACAGGATACTTTATATGCATAATATTTCCCAAATCTGCCTAATCCTAAAAAGTCACATGGACCACTTCCAACACACAAATTTCTACATCCCAACCTATATCCATATTTCCTGTATCGAAATATCTAGGAAAGAGAAGCTTGTGTATCTTTTTTTTTCCTTTTTTCCCTCTTCTCTCCTCCCCTTTTTAACGAACACCTGAAAGGATTCTCATCAAAGAAGTCTGAGTAACACTGTTTTGTAAGGAAGCATTTTTCAGTGACGAATCACAGATTATTATTCAACTTCTCCCAGCTTGTTAGGTCAAAGAACAAACATAGGTCATCTCTTTTATGACCTAGAGTTGGGTCATATAACATCTCTCTCTCTGTCTCTTTTACTCTCTTTCTCTCTCTCACCCTCCTCAAAACCAAATGTCTTTTAGTAACATCTTACAGTTATTCAAAGCACTTTCACATCTATAGTATTGTCTTAATTTATTCTCAAAACCAGGCTATGATAGAGGTGTTATTATCCTCAAGTAGTAGATTGAGAGACTGGACATAGAAGGGCTGAGGATCCTGTTGACATCATCATGTATCTAGGCACAGATGAGACTAAACTAGGTCTCCAGTTCTAGTGTCAGTTAGCTCTTACAGTATGATATACAACCACAAAAACTCAGTGGTATTCAGCAAAGAGCATATAGTTTGGGTTCAAGTGCCTGAGACTGGGCTGGGGCAGCTCCTCTTGTGCATCTCATACTGGAACTCATGCTAGAGGCACCTGGGGCATAATCTTCTCCTGGCACTGCAGAAGCACAGTGCAGAGGGAAACAAGCCTAACCACTCATAAAAAATTTCAAGCCTCTGATTACATCATACTTGCTAATTTCCCTTTGGCTAAAGCACACCCAAGTCAAGGAGGCAGGAAGCACACTCTAAAATGCTAAAATGAAGCCATAGCAAAGGAATGAATCAATTATTTTACCAGAGCCAAGGAAAACTTTGCATCAGTTATTCAATCTACTTCACTCAAAGGCACAGTTCTTTCTACTAGATCATACTACTTTGACCTTCAAACTTTGACATTGGCTTATTTCCATGGCTTACTCTGGCTATTTTAAAATTTGCTACATAGGAAAAAAGTAATTTTACAAATAATGTATAATTAAAAGTTCATCACAAATTAGTGTATTACCTTATACAAAAATAATAAATATAAAACAAATGTTTCAGTAAATAAGAGAATATATTACTAGTTCAGCTTGCTGAGTCTACCATAAAATAATGTTTCATGCTAAAAGTTTTGTCTATTGTTTGACTAAACACTAAAGAGCTTTCTTTTAAGCAAATCCACAAGTAATAGTAGAATAGCTAAGAATTTGTACAGTTATGAAATATAAGCTTAGAAAATGAAGAAAATGTTTTTAAATGTTAAATTTCTAAGTCTATACCTTCAGGCAATTGCATATCTTGAATTTTGAAATTTTCTTTTTCAAATAATGACTAGGAAATTTGTTTTAAAAAGTCAGTTTCCTGTTATATTCTGTAGACAAATATTTTTCAGAAAAAAATTTAATATTAACACTTTAATCACTAAGCAGGAGTTATTAATAATGGAATTCCTTGAATGAACTATTGTTTTCAAAAGACACATATATACATTTTTTAATTTAATTAATACTTAATCATAGGAAGCAAGTTTTTAATTGGACAAAAGGTAGACTCTGGCATCATGAAATTTGGGTTCTAGTAGGTCAGTTCAAATATAGTTAGAGCACAGGCATAAAACTGACTCTGTTATCAAGTTGCTTGTGAAACATGTTGAAATAAAAGTGATTGTATTATTAGTCAAAATATTATCTGCCCATACATTTGGGAGGTTACACTTTCACCTTATGAAGTATCAGGCGTAGTTATTTGCCCAGCAGTGACCTCCCTGTGAATGCATTATACAATCCTGCCCTGCTGACTTCAGGCATATATACCTTGAGGTATCCCTCCCTGCAGGAGGATTGTGTGTCCCTGTGATGGTGAACCCAGGACTTTTTTAACCAATGAAATATACCTGGAAATGACCTGGGCCACTGGAAGAAGAAGATTTGGGTACCACTGTATGGTTATGCCATGCTCTGTTCCCTCTCTATGATGAGGCTGTACACATTTCCCATTGATACTGCTTCCTCTGCCTTGATCACAAGCAGAGATGTCGAACAAAGTTTCAGCTGACCTTTGATAAGCCAGCCGTAATGTGAATGAGAAATGAATCCTTGTCTTTGTAAGCAACTAAGATTTGGCTTAACATTCTACAGACTAAACTTATACTCTACAGCCTAAACTTACTGGTATAGAAATTGATCCCCAAAGTGAGTGTTATCATAACACAAAACCTGAAATACGTGGCATCAGCTTCACTGCTGGACAGTGGATAACCAGGAAACTTATGTACAGTGGAAAGATGTGACCCTTACCATGTAGTGGCAAATTGGAATAACTAGGAAGAAAGATAATGTACGAAATGAGCTCATGGCTTTAAGTGGAGAGGTTGGGAGACATAATGTTAGGACCATTCTTTGGTTGCTATTGGATGCATTTGGTAAGGTACTGCAAAGAAATGAACTCAGAAAAGGACTGACGGCTTGTAAATAAGAGTCAAAGGAAATAAAGAGAGCACAGAAATTTGTGGGCCTTTCAGTTTTGAAGGATGCAACTGTTTTTCATCTCCAACTGGTAAAACATTAAACCAAAAGAGAAAGCTTTGGGTGACAAAGGCCAATTTGAAAAGAAGTTTCATGGGAAAGACAAAATCAAGCATGTGACCATAAAACCCATTGTGAAACTTCTGAATCAATTAAGAAATCAAACAAAAATCCTTTCAGTTAGACAAATGGCAGAAGGAGAACATACTAAGGATGTGCCTTCTGTGAAAATCTCATCAGCTTACAATGCCCAGAATTAATATTAGGAAAAGGAGCACATATCAAGAATTGTTGATGTAGGTATTGGTACAGGAACTAAATAAAATAAAATAGACAAAAGGCCATGTAAATTTTTGAGAGAGTTGTACTCAAAAGATCATCCAGTCTGGACTAAATAAGAATGACTGAGACATAAAGTAACTCTTGGTCCTGAACTTTCTGTGAGTAGTATATCATTTGAGGTTAAGTCAGGAAACCAGAACCACTATATGTATCACAAGGAGAGCATCCATCGAAGTACAGAGAAACAACAAAAAAAAGAAAAGAAAAAGGAATAAGGGATTTAATATGGGAATTAGAGTTTATACAAACATGAGTGGAGCTGGGAAAGTAAAGGGGTTGGACGTAGAACTTGAGAAATTGTCACTAACGATTTTATCCTGATGTGCTGGCATGGGAACACAAGTTGGAGCTTGCAGGAAAATATAAGTAACCTGTGTGTGTCACTGCCAAAGAGGAACTGGAGAACCTGGCAAAGAAGGAACACAGGGAGAGTCTTGTGTAAGCCTCTGTGGATCCACAAGCCAAGATCAGGTGGGCTTGAGGCAGCTGTTGGTCAGCATGGCCAGCCATCAAGATGAGTTGGAGCAGCAGAGTTACAACCAGAGACTCACCAGGCACCTCTGCAGATGATGCCTGATGCGAATAACCTCCCAAGAATGATGTCCTCTACTCTTATCTGCCTTCCAATCTCACAAAATTTCTTTTAATGGACCAATCCATCTGACAACCATACAGAGAAGATTCTGAGAAATGTAGTTCCTAATCTTAGACAGGAGCCCAGGTGCTAAGTCAACAGTAGACAATTCAACACAGAAAGGAAGCAGGCTCAGAAGCAGCTGGGGGTGAGGGGAGGGCAAGGAGAGCATTTTCTAATGTGGCCAAAGATGATCATGAAAAACATAGGAACTCCCAGAAGATGAGGCTAAAAGTCATAGAATACAATGGACTGAAAATCTACTTACATGAACAGAGACTAGGTGACTAGGCTATGAACTTGGAACAATTCTGCACTGCCCCCCAACCACCCCCCTTGCCCTGCCACTGCACCCCCGGCTCAGTAGAAGAATCTTGCTTAATAGGATTTCAGAATATCTATGGACCAGTAACTGCTCTGTGCATCTCATTGTTCTCCTTTCCAAATAGAAGAGTTAACTGTCATTATCCTGTCCCTGTTCTTCCATCCAATCAGTGTTCAAGTCATTTTATATACTTTTTAAATACAGTTTGACAGGTACCTGCAAACTGTAGCCTTCAGGCCAAATCTGGCTGTCTCCCATTCTTGTTAAGTACAGATGTCTTGGAATGCAGTTCATTAGGATTTCTATGGCTGTTTTTGCATTATAAGGGCAGAGATGAGTAGTTCTGACAGAAAATGTAGGACCAACCCACAAAGCCTAAAATATTGACCAATCTGGCTCTTTGCAGAAAAAGTCTGTCAACTCATAAATAAGATCTACACAATGCAATTGGTGGCTGTTGCAGGAAGTCAGGGACCCCGAACGGAGGGACGGGCTGAAGCCACAGCAGAAGAAGATAAATTGTGAAGATTTCATGGACATTTATTAGTTCCCCAAATTAATACTTTTATAATTTCTTACACCTGTCTTTACTGCAATCTCTGAACATAAATTGTGAAGATTTCATGGACATTTATCACTTCCCCAATCAATACTCTTATAATTTCCTATACCTGTCCTTACTTTAATCTCTTAATCCCATCATCTTCGTAAACTGAGGATGTATGTCGCCTCAGGATCCTGTGATGATTGTGTTATCTGCACAAATCGTTTGTAGAGCATGTGTGTTTGAACAATATGAAATCTGGGCACCTAGAAAAGGAACAGGATAATAGCGATTTTCAGGGAACAAGGGAGATAACCATAAAGTCTGACTGCCTGCAGGGCCGGGTGGAACAGAGTCATTTTTCTCTTCTTACAAAAGCAAATAAGAGAAATATCACTGAATTCTTTTTCTCAGCAAGGAACAGCCCTGGGAAAAGAATGCCCTCCCAGGGGCAGGCCTCTAAAATGGCCACTCTGGGAGTGTCGGTCTTATGCAGTTGTAGATAAGGAATGAAATATGCCCTGGTCTCCTGCAGCGCCCCCAGGCTTGTTAGGATTGGGAAATTCCAGCCTGGCGAAATTCTAGTCAGACCGGTTCTCTGCTCTTGAACCCTGCTTCCTGTTAAGATGTTTATCAATGACAATATGTGCCCAGCAGGACATGGAAACTCTAGTTAGTAATTCTAATTTTGCCCTGGCCTTGTGATCTTGCTCGCTCTGCCCCCAATTGTCTTGAGATATTTTATTGCCTTTGAAGCATGTGATCTCTGTGACCCACACCCTATTCATACACTCCCTCCCCTTTGAAAATCGCTAATAAAAACTTGCTGGTTTGCAGCTCGGGGGCATCACGGAACCTGCCGACATGTGATGTCACCCCCAGAGACCCAGCTGTAAAATTTCTTTCTTTTGTACTCTTTCTCTTTATTTCTCAGACCAGCCTACACTTAGAGAAAATAGAAAAGAACCTACATTGAAATATTGGGGGCTAGTTCCCTCGATAGGTGGCTGTGTCTCTCAAGTCTCTCCTTTAATCTATTAGTTCCAGAGATGGCTTCATTGTAGTATGTTAATAATCTTTCTAACTTCTTTTTACCACTACATATTACTCCATCATGTGTATGTAACACAGCCTTCAACCAGTCCTTTTATGATGGGCTCTTGGGGTTTTCTAAGCCTTTTGCTGCAATGAGTAGCCTGTGCAAATGTCATCTTGTTTTTTCCCTCCATTTTATTCAAAATAGGTTCCTAAAAGTAAGATTTCTGTGCCAACTAATAAATATTGCCCACTTGCCCTCTGCTTGAAATTGTACATTTCTTTATTCCAACCAACAATGTATAAGCATGCCTCATCCAGCTAGCAGGGATACTGTCAAACTTTTGAATTTTGGCCAATCTCCTAAATGGGAAAAGGGATCTAAGTATAGCTTTAAATTGTTGAACCCTTTACCAATGATGCTGAATACCTTTGCAAATAGTTAAGGGCCATTTTTATTTTTTTCTATCTTACTTAAATCTCTTGCCATTTTTCTATAGGATTTATAGGATGTTTTTCTTCTCTATTGTTATAAACTCTTTGTATACTCATAGTATTAAACTTTGTCTTTGATATACATTGCAAACACTTTCCTCATTTTCACTTTCCTAGTGTTTCCTTGTTTTTGCCATGAAAAGTTTTTGGATGTTATTATTTTGAATTTTTATGCTGTCAAATTATTAATATTTTTCTTTACTGCTCTTGTATTTTGAGTTACATTTCCAAGAGTTTGTCTTATGCCTAGGATATAGGTTTGCACCTATGATTTGTTTCAGTACTTCTTTGATTTAATTTAACTCTCTGGCACATTTGGAATTTGTCCTAGTATGCAGTAAGGAGAATGAGACCAAATTTCTCTCTATTGCCATCTACTTATGCCAACACTAATTTATTTAAATAAGTTATTTACCCCACTAAGATTATTTTACACTACATTTGCGTATGTATTTGGGTCTATTTTTTTCTTTCAACCTTTGCTATAATGTTATACTCTTTTAATTTAGAGATTTTGTAGTATGTTTTAATATATTTCAGGATTAGTCTACCTTTTTTGGTTTTTTTTAAGGTTCTTATGTCTACTCTTGCTTCTTTTTTTTTTTTCCAAATAAACTTTATAGACAAGTTTTCTAGTTCCAGAAAAAAAAAAAAGATGGCATTTTTATTAGGAGTGTATTAAATGTATTAATTAACTTAGAAATAACTGATATCTGTATTATGTCAAATTTTACTAACCAAAACATATCTCTTCTGGTTGTTCAACTGTACCTTTGAATCTTCCAATAGTGAGTTATAGTTTTCTTTACAAAGGTTGGAGACATTTCATGTTGAGCTTATGTATAGGTGTGCCTGTATTTCTGTTTTTAAGCATAAATTGGGTCTTCAATTTTATTATTACTTTAAATAATCTCTCTCTCTATATATATATATGTTTATTCAATTTTGTATGTCAGTTTTAACTCTGCAATTTTATTACACTATTGACTATAGTAATTTTTACATAGATTATTGATTTTTTGTCACATAATCATACCATCTGAAAATGGAGATAATTTAACTTAATGCTTTATTCTTTAAAATATCAACTCTTAATTATTGATTTTTAAATTAGATTATCCAGAAATGAAGAGGTCTGTTTTTACCTTTCAAAAAACTACACAAGAATCTGAGATGATACATTGGCTTTCTTTTCTTCCTTTGTTGTATTAATTAAATAAGTCAAATGCTAATTGAGTGGCAATTTATAAAACAATTTTACAGTGAAATCTTTAAAATATGTTAAAAGCTCTCAAGTTTAAAAAAATGTGTAACCTCAAGTTTGCAGGTTTTATCTATTACTTAATTGGAAAAGTTACAAATAGAAAAAAGGATCAGCTCTAGGCATAACTATCAAACGGTTAAAGTTTAAAGTTTTCTCTCACAATCTGTGACCCTTTCTTAAACCTCTATTTCCCCCAAGGATGTTTGGTTATCATATTCACCCCTTATACTCTAAGAACACTTATAAAGAAAGCCACCCAACCTTGGATATCCTTTTTATTCCTGTCCTTCCTGGCTCCCATCTAACGTAGCAGAGGCTGAGCTGCTGTCAAAGTAAGAACTTTACCTAAGCACTACAAGCATAACCTGACTCTGTTTAATCTGGCATGTAAATATGATTCCCAAAAGGAACCAAAAAACAAACAAACCAAAGCAAATGATATGGTTTGTCTCTTGTGTCCCTACTCAAACCCCATCTCGAATTGTAATCTTCACATGTAGAGGGCGGGAGGTAACTGGATCATGGGGATGATTTCCCCCCTGCTGTTCTTGTGATAGTGAATGAGTTCTTACAAGATCTGATGGTTTTATTAGGCAGATTTCCCTATTCTTGCTGGCTCTCTCTCACCTGCCACCATGTAAGACGTGCCTGCTTTCCCTTCCACTATGATCATGTTTCCTGAGGCCTCCCCAGCCATGCAGAACTCTGAGTCAATTAAACCTCTTTGCTTTATAATTTACCCTATCTTTACACCAGTGTGAAAACAAATACAGCAAACAAACAAAAGCTAATGTGAATGAAGCACTGATGACTAAGTAAACTCAGAATGACTTTTCAGACTTTCAACAAAAATGGTATTTCTTTTTCTTTAGCTAGCACTCTTTTAACCAGCCATAAGGAGGGCCACAGAGTTTCAGGTATGAAAAATATCGTAGCCTCATTTGACTCACCTCCACCCCTTTCCCTTTACAGGCTTAAATTCTCCAACCAACAGCCCAATAACTGACAACAAAAATGACTGGCTGGACTTAGGACAGAAAATCTGTTCTGTGACTTCTTCCTATCTCCTTAGTTCCAATTGAAAATTTGAAAATGAGAACCTTTCAGTTCAAGTGGGACCAAGCTAGAACATGTGCAAAAATCAGTACAAATCCATTCTTGTGACTTCTAAAACATAGTAGATACTACGTGCTATCTATTGCATGAACGTGTTGATATGTTTATGTCAACAATATTATATTTGACTATGAAGGATACTACATTTTATTAAATATCCAGAGATTACCAAGGGGACTTTATGATCAATGTCAAACTCTACAGTAAGCTTTGTACATTCATTTTCTCTGGTATGCAGACATAGTTATAAGTAAAGGTTTTCTCCAACTTTGGGTAGAATCACTTTAAAAATTCAGAGTTGGCCAGGTATGGTGGCTCACGCTTGTAATTGTAGCACTTTGGGAGGCCGAGGTAGGCGGATCACCTGAGGTTGGGAATTCGAGACCAGCCTGACCAACATGGAGAAACCTCGTCTCTACTAAACATACGAAATCAGCCAGGCGTAGTGGCAGGGGCTGTAATCCCAGCTACTCGGGAGGCTGAGGCAGGAGAATCACTTCACTTGAACCTGGGAGGCAGAGGTTACAGTGAGCTGAGATAGCACCATTGCACTCCAGCCTGGGCAACAAGAGTGAAACTCCATCTCAAAAAAAAAAAAAAAAAGAAAAGAAAAATTCTGAGTCAATAAATAAACTTAGAGAGTCTCGTATATCGTCAGTAAAGGTTTTGATGAGTTGGAATTTCCAGAACCCAAGAAATGAAAATGGAAGTGTAAAATAGTACTCATAAGGGAAAACATCAAACAGATTTCTCTTTGCCACGTATTTCAGCAAGTTTTAGATTTCAATCAGGGTCTGACTTTGGATTAAAGTTAAAAGTCATAGTATCAGTGACTGAATCTCAAATTGCCTCTGAAATATAGTGACAGGCCCACCAAATGATGAAAGCACTTTCAATCACAAGGAAATCTTCCTTTAGGTTTCCTTCTCTGAACACTCCTTAATATTTAGCAAATATATGTGGTATTAGTGCTGATAGTATATAATATTTAAATATGTGTTGGTTAATAAACTCTTAGTTCTTAGAATTCAGAGTCTGTTGTATTTTTCTTGTGCTATCTACTAAACTTAATAAAAGTCAGAGAGAACAATGTGATGTTCAATATATGTAGAAGATTGATTTAGACCATTAAGTCTTGTGAAATAACAAATATATTCAAATTATAGATGAGGACCCAGAATTTAATCTAGAAACAGAGATTCAAAGGATTTTTAATAGACTTTCATGAGGCTAGGAATTATATTTTTCTTATCCTTGCCTGGTATTGCAGGAGTTCATAGCGCAAGGATTTTTTTTAAAGGCACAGTAAATATGTGCTAAATTAATTAATTAATGAGTTAATTTTGTTCTCAAACTTGTGTTTAGAAAATACTGAAAATCAGTAGAGACCTTCATGAATGTTATGCAGAAAGGGAAGAAGGTCTTCAGACATTTTCTTCTATGCTGCATAAGCACAGATCTCTGCTCCTGTTTTCCCTCTTTCTCAGATACCTGTAACTTTTGCAAGTTAACTCCACACATCTGGTAGCTGATAAGTTCTAACTGACATTTTCCAGAAACGTTTGAAACACCAGTGTCCCTTTAACAATCCAAATGGAGGGTCTGAATAGTGGACTTTAAGCACGAAAGGAACGTAGGGTTCTAGTGTGGGGTGTACACGCACAGGTGAGAAAGTCAGCTTGAAGTTCTGTCTCCAAACCTTATAACAGCCTAATGAGGTAGATACTATTATCCCCTTTTAAAGATGCAAACACTGAGACTCTGAATGGTGTTTCTCAAAGTGTGGCCCTGGACTGATAGCATTAGCATCACCTGGAAACTTGTCAGGAAGATGCTTGAGCCCATTTCGGACCTATCGATTCAGAGACTCTGGGATAGAGCCCCACACATCGTGTTTCAGCAAGAAGCCTGGGTGATTCTGGTGCATACTAAAGTGTCAGAATCACTGCATTAGAGAGCTTAAATGATTTGATTTGCCCAGGGTCCCACACAGATGGGAAAGGCAGAGCTGGTAACTGAATCCAGGCATCGAATGCCAATATCTCACTTTATTTCACCCCATTTCCTCATGTTGGAGAGTCAGTCACCCTCCACTCTCTCAAAAGGCCAATCCTGTGCTAGAGCTGAAATTCAACAAGGAAAAAGATGAAGCCACTTCCTAGGAGAGCCTCACAACTTCAGAATGTTAAAGACTCTTAAAAATCAGTTTACATATAAAGTCCAAATAAGTATATAATCTTCCTGATTAAAATGGAACACATATAATGGTTTTTGCTATGAAAATACAGAGATCAGGAAGGACTTTTCACTCATTTCATTCAGAGATTTCTCTAAAATTGTTGTTTATAGATCTTAAAAATGACTTTCTTCTCTTTATCTAATCTGATCCTGACAATGAGTAGATGTTTAAAAGAGGTAAAGTAATTCATAGTAGGATACATGTATTTCGTGTCTTAATAGCAATTTTCCCTTTCTTGACCTGAGCTGACCTACAAAATTCTCTAAGAAGAGAACAAAAAGTAAAAAAAAAAAAAAAAAATACTCTGAAATGACTTTGTTGGAAGTAGCACAGTACATTGGTTAAGAATCTAGGTTTTGGGCCAGGCAGTGGCTCATGCTTGTAATTCCAGCACTTTGGGAGGCCGAGGCGGGCAGATGACCTGAGGTCAGGAGTTCGAGACCAGCCTAGCCAACATGGTGAAACTTGTCTCTACTAAAATACAAAAATTAGCCGGGCGTTATGGTGAATGCCTGTAATCCCAGCTACTCAGGAGGCTGAGGCAGGAGAACTGCTTGAACCTGGGAGGCAGAGGTTGCAGTGAGTGGAGATTGCACCACTGCACTCCACTCCAGCCTGGGTGACAGAGAAAGACTCCGTCTCAAAAAAAAAAACAAAAAAAAAAACAAAAACTAGGTTTTGGAATTAGAATCACCTGGATTTGATCCAATTCTGACAACTTACTATGTCCAATAATTTATTTAGATTTCTTGTGCCTCAGTTTTACCATCTAAAATGAAGATAAAAACTACACCTACTTCACAGAGTAGTTGCAAGAATTTTATGAACTTAAAAAAAAAAAACTAGGTTCTGGAATTGGAATCACCTGTATTTGATCCAATTCTGACAACTTACTATGTCCAATGGTTTATTTAGATTTCTCGTGCCTCAGGTTTACCATCTAAAATGAAGATAAAAACTATACCTACTTCATAAAGTAGTTGCAAAAAATTTATGAACTAATACAATGAAGCACTTAGCACAGTTTCAGCACAGAGTAGATGCTTAATAAATGCTGGCTTATTGTTATTAGTGTTACTACTATCATTAGCCATGTGAAAATACTACAGCTAAGCTCCAGGTTTGCTATTTGTGCATATAGTTATTCATTCAACACATTCCTCCCCTTTATGTCATTCCTCAAGATGTTTTGTAGGGCCCCTTTAATTTTCAGTAGGTATTTCTTCTGCCTGTGTTTCATCTCCCCGAGGACACAAACCCACACATTCACACACCCACTCATTCTCATGACTCAGGTTGTCACACTCACATCCCAGAGTCTGGGCCTTTTTACCAAAGCTGATTATAAGAGTGAAGATAACTGCAGAAGATCTTTTCCCTGAAAGTGTCCTTGCCACCAATCATCGCCACCTGTCATTTTTAGTGATTCTTTGGTGTTAAGATGAACTATTTCCTCACCACATACCCCTTTTTAAACAAAAATGCCACTGAAAATGGGTAACTTACTAAATCATCAGTGTAAATAAATTATCGAATTGAATGAAAGAAAAATGTAGATCTTGAGTATGTTGGATTCTTCAGGGAGAGGAAGTAAAAGTTCTCCAGTGGGTGACTGGAGGTGTCAAGAGCAAACCTGTGCATTAGACATTAGTCTGTAAAAGCTGACAAAGGCCTTTGCCTTTGAAATCAATACAAAGTTGCAGAAGTGTCTTTCTATGCACACATTTTCACCTGAAAAATGTTAGCTCCATGATTTACCCAGGATCAGGGTAAAAATACTGAGCGCAAATATCTACAGTCATATACACAGCAGTGTCATATGGGTAACCTCTAACTAGCCTAAGCAAACCAGATAAATAGAATGATAATAAAAGAGAGAATATATAATTTCACATACATGTACCTCCATGAAACCTTTAAATAGAACCAAATACACAAAGACTCCAAAAATTTAAATAAAGATAGTCAGTACCAATCTTTCCACCTACACATATTAACCCACCAACACTGGTCTAATTCATACCATAGAAGTACCCAACCTAGGCAAGTTCAATGCTAACATTAAGGAGACAAACAATCATGATGGTTAATTTCATGAGAGTCTCTTTTGAGAGTAAGGAGTCTGGGTCCTCATTAAATTAGCTGACTTTAGATTCCCAAAGTTGCAAAATTAGCATCTCCACCCTCCCAAAGCCATCACCATGTAGCATGGCCAATTACACTCAACAAGCATCAGCATGTTTGGGCTTTAAAAGCTGCAGTCAGTTGCTGTAGATGAGTTGGGCGTGTTTCCAATGCCTTCCTAAGTATGAAAATAAACATATATGGGAAACATTCAGTGAAGCATCTGACAGCCAGTTCAGACTGGCACCTTTATCCCTTTCAGTTTCATCTGTCTCTCCCAGTCAGTCAAATGACTAGGCACCAGTAGTGCTGTGGTGGGGAGGGGGCTGGTGGTCCTTGCAGAAGTCCAGGTGTTTTGCCTAAACACTGATTATGACAATGTATCCTACGGTGGTAGGCATTCTATCTGCAAAAGCCTGATAACTCTATCAGACTCTGCTCGATCAAGCGACTCCAGAGGCCCCCTTTTCATCTTCAGCTTGAGGCAGATCTCAATGGGCTGAAAGAGTATGAGAAACTGAGATAAGTGCAGGCTACAATTACAGAGATATGTCTGTGCTGCTGCAATTAGAGTTGTGTCAGCGCTTCTATTAACCTTTGCATTGCCAGCATTTTCCCATTTGGAATTCCAAGTGAGTAATAGCATTTAAACTAAGAAGAAACACAAGCCACTGCCTGAGTTGCAGACCCGTGAAAGGGGTGAAAATGGACAGCAGCGATAGGACAGTATCTATTGAGCTGCTAAACAAGCCAAGCAGGGATTGGGAAAGTTTACGAGAGTGGCTCCCACACCACTGTTCTTTTGTACTGTGATGTTGAAACAATTTCTGGGGATAGGGTGGACTATTACTGTGTCACTGAGAGAAGCTGGGCACTGGTAGGATCTCAATAATTTACTGGGCCTTTCCCTTGCCTGTATTAGATTCCCTAACCAAATACTCCTTTTAAACAGTTTAGAATAATGATTTTCAGACGACTTTGAAATGAAATATACAGAATTTGTGATTATCCAATGAGTTTAATAACTCTTTGTATTTATGCCCATTATGGCATTCAAGCCTCACAATAATCTGTATGATGCATGGAATATGTGTTGTTATGTCCCATTGACAGAGATTGAAGATAAAAAGCAGAGAAGCTAGGTAAATTGCCCAGAATCACACAGCACGTTAATTGCAGGACCAACACAAACCCAAGCCTATTAATTAATATCTGGAATAGATTACATTAGTTTTCACCACTAAGGAATAGAAAACTAAAGTATCTTTTCTTCTCTATACCACAAACCAGCCGTCAGTTGCTTCATCAAAAAAAAAAGAAAAGAAAAGCTCTGGTTTTGAGAAAAGTTTATCATAATCTCCACTGAGAAGTATTTATCAATTGTATTATACATAACACAGTTTTTTTTACTACCCTCCTCAAGCACCTAAAATCTTTTTCACTAAAATTATTGTTCACCCCTTTGTTATTCAGCTCTTAAACTCTATTAAAACTGAAAACAAGACAATGATCTTCTCCTAGAAACCAGATTCTGTCTCTCCTCCATATTTGATTTGCTTCAAGTATCCAAGCATAAAATTAAAATGAATGATACAGCCACTGTCTTTTTACTTACCCCCATCTGATTCTCTTGCCCCAAAAGCTTAGTCTTAGGAATGTAGAAATGGAACAAATTTGAGTTTGGTTGATTATTATTTTTTTATTAATAGGATTAAATATTAATTATGTTAAACTTTGTTTATAAATCTGGTTTGGAATGCTGTTTTCCCGTCAAAACTTAAGGGCAATTTCAAGTTTATCTGGCCCAGTGATCTGACTGACATTTCAGCTGTATGTCAAACCAGTTTGGATTGTACAGGCCTGAGTTGATTATCAAGAAATCTAAGGCTAAATTTCAAATAGCTTTGGGCTAACTGAGTGATTCCCAAACTTGCTAAAATAAAAATAACCTGGAGCTATTGTTAAAAACATAGATTCCCAGACTTTTCTGGAATCTACAGTTTTAAGATGTGCCCCAGGTGACTACTTCTCTCAGCTACATTTGGGAAACATTGTGCTAAATGTTCATTTTAAGTGGAAACCAAAAATAAAGCAGGGATTTTTATTGACTTTTTAAAAGATCTTAGAAGCTCCTCTTAAATCAAGAAATTCAAATTAATGTTTGTCAAGAAAACTTGGGAAAATAAAGACATTATCAAACATGGTCATCGCCTACTATACACATATTTCAAGAAGTTTTTGTTATAATCTTTCTGTAGGCATCAATTCTTTCTAAAATTTGTATCACCAGCAGCTAAGCCAGGTCTACACACTGTGCTTGGTATAGAATGCTTAAAAATATTTCATTAAAGAATGAATGAAAAAATGACTCAAGTCCCCACTTCTTCAAGAAGTTCACACCCATCTTTCCAACCACCTGTGATATCTTACCTCTCTTTCTCATATGCATGTTATAAATAGAGCCTACAATGCACTTGATCCCATTGTATGCAATTGTTCCTCTAAGGCAGCACATTGTGGTAAAAAGAAATATGACTTTCGGTTCAGGCACCCATGGACAAATTTCTTAACCTAGAATCAACATGTGGATATGATAAGTATTTTACAGGGTTCGTGAGGGGATTCAATGAGTAATGCCCACCAAGTATTATGTATAACCTCTTTAAAACTACCTAAGTCTTCTTATACTTAATACAATGCCAAGGTCACTGCAAGAGCTTGGTTTATTCTATTTTCCTTCCATTCTTCCTTCATTGAATAATCTACAAATCCTGCAAGATCAGGGACCAAGTCTTACACTTCTTTATATTCCTTTGCCTCTATCCTTTGTCAGTTATTCTGAGCATATATGTTCAAATAATTGCGAATTTAGAAAGATCAAAATGAAATGGCACAGGAAAATAACAGTACAGAAATAAAGAGAGAGCACTGAAAGAAAAAAATACTTAAAAAAATTAAATGCTGGAGGCCAGGCGCGGTAGCTCACGCCTGTAATCCCAGCACTTTGGGAGGCCGAGGCGGGTGGATCACGAGGTCAGGAGATCGAGACCATCCTGGCTAACATGGTGAAACCCCGTCTCTACTAAAAATACAAAAAAAAATTAGCCGGGCGTGGTGGCGGGAGCCTGTAGTCCCAGCTACTCAGGAGGCTGAGGCAGGAGAATGGCGTGAACGCGGGAGGCGGAGCTTGCAGTGAGCCGAGATTGCGCCACTGCACTCCAGCCCAGGCAACAGAGTGAGGCTCCATCTCAAAAAAAAAAAAAAAAATTAAATGCTGGAAAGAGTTGTCTTCTCAATAATTATCCCACGCACCATGGAACTAGCCCTCAGTGCAGAATTAGAGTTGACATCCTAAGACGGCCCAGCAGGAGTTGTTTCTCACAGCAGTAATTGTTTGCAGTTTTGTTCACTTCCAGTAACTTAGATTTCAGAACAAAGAGTAAATGTTTGATTTTTACCTACACTGCACAGTATTCTCTCTGCAATATCGTTTTTATTTGCTGAGGCTTTTCTGCTTATCTGCAAAGTTCAAAGTTTCTTTCAAATATAATTCATGTAATTTTTAATCTTTAAAGTCAAATGGAGAGGAAAAGTAATACTATATACTGCCTGTAGCCCAGAATTCTCCACATTCCTAGCTCCAAATAAAAACTAAAAACAAATGGGAAGACATGTTTTTGTTAAATTTTTTTAAATATTTTTTATTTTTTGAGACAGGGTCTCATTCTGTCACCCAGGATGGAGTGTAGTAGTGCCATTATGGCTCACTGTAGACTCAACTTCCTGGGCTCAAGTGATCCTGCCTCAGCCTCCTGAGTAACTGGGACCATAGGCAAGCACCAACATGCCTGGCAATGGAAAAAATAGTTTTTCAGGTTGCTTTCATTAATTAACTAAAGTAATTTAGAGCTAAAAACCCACCAGAAGTCTTTTTACAGATGAGTTCCAAACTGAGACCTAAAGAAGGTAAATGAACCACCTAAGAACAAATCAATCAAAATTCCAACCAGGATGAATAATTTATATCTAAAGAAATTTATAAAATCATTACATTTTAGACCCACAAATGGTCTTAGAAACACCCAGGTCTAAAATATCACTCTCAAATAGAAATACGCAATACAACATTCCTGATGGTGCTGCCTGAATATTACCTCTGAGAGTTAATCACTTGTCACAATTAGACAGCTCATTCAATTTGTGAGATATTTTGTTTTCATATCTAGCCATAATATCTTTCCTTCTACTCTTTGTTCCTGGTTCTGATATTTGAGAAACTGGTTAATGCTGCTTCCTTTTCTCTTTAATATTTTCACATTTCTTTTAGGCATTATACTCCAGATTTTTTAATAGTCAAATAATTGTATTTTATTATTTTTTAATTTATTTTAAGTTCAGGGGTACATGTGCAGGTTTGTTACATAGGTAAACTTGAGTCATGGGGATTTGTTGTACAGATTATTTCATCATCCAGGTGTTAAGCCTAATACTAATTGGTTATTTTCCCTAATCCTCTACCTCCTCCCACCCTCCACCCTCCAATAGGCCCCAGTGTGTGTTGTTCCCCACCATGTGTCCATACGCTCTCATCTTTTAGCTCCCACTTATAATTGAGAACATGCAATATTTGGTTTTCCATTTCTGTATTAGTTTGCTAAGGATAATAGCCTCCAGCTCCATCCATGTCCCTGAAAAGGACATGATCTTGTTCTTTTTTATGGCTACAGAGTATTCCATGGTAAGTGTGTGCCACATTTTCCTTATCCAGTCTGTCACTGATGGGCATTTGGTTTGTTTCATATCTTTGCTATTGTGAATAGTGTTGCAATGAAAATATGTGTGCATGTGTCTTTATAACAGAATGATTTATATTCCTTTGGGTATATACACAGTAATGGGATTGCTGGGTTGAATGGTATTTCTGTCTTTAGGTCTTTGAGGAATTGCCACACTGTCTTCCACAATGGTTGAACTAATTTACACTCCCATCAGTAGTGTATAAGCATTCCTTTTTCTCCACAACCTCGCCAGCTGTTATTTTTTGATTTTTTAGTAATACCCATTCTGACTGGTGTGAGATAGTATCTCATTGCGGTTTTGATTTGCATTTCTCTAATGATCAGTGATTTTACTATAAATTTTTAAATATTTCATGACCTTGGTCCCCTCCAGATATTCTGTAATTAATATTGATGAAGATAACAATAGAGAAAAAAATAATTATCAGAACAACCTATATTTATTGAGCGTTTTCTATGATACGGCATTGTAACAAATAATTAGCATTTACTATCTGTTTTGTCCAGTGCTCTATCCACAGCACCCAAGACAGTGCCTGACATACATTAGGCATATGATGAATGTTGGTTGACTGAAGCCACCTTCAACAAACCCTTCAAAGTAGGCATAATTATTCCTATCAAAGAGCCAATATATATCACAGTTGGAATTTGAAGATAAGTCATTTTGACTACATAACTTGATACATGCAATTAACCATTGTGCTTTAGGCTTACAAATGTTCTTCTCTCAAATTGATTCCATTTATTAACTATTACAGTAAGTCCTCACTTAACATCGTCAATGGATTCTTGGAAACTGTAGGTTTAAACAAAGAGATATTCAACAAAACTGATTTTACGATAGGCTAATTGATATAAATAAGAGTTAAGATCCTGTGGCATATTTCTGGTCACAAAAACATCACCAAACTTCTTAATAAAGACCCACTTCTAATAGTAAACATTGAAATAAATGTGGCCTACATGTACATTTCAGAAAGATTAATAAAAACAAGTAAGATAATTACTTAAATCTAATTTTTAGTGAATCAGTGAGTCACAGCAGTAGTAGTCGTGGTGGTTTCAATCGAGAAATAAATGTTTGCAAAGTGAAAGTTGTAATGAGCACCTCCAACCACCACACAGTCCAAAAAACCATAAATATGTTATGCTCACTGAGTGCTTTTATGCCAAATTGTTTATTGTCCTGGATTTGTATGATTATTGTATACTTTACTAATTTTTATTTTACCATCATTTCTATTCATTCTTCATTTTCCAACCTGATTATTCCAGTTCAGGGTCTCAGGTAGCTGGTGCCTTTCCTGGTAGCTCAGGGCACCAGGAGGGAACCAGCTTTGGACAGGACACCATTCCACTGTGGGGCACACACATGCACACACACACAGACACACACATATACATACACTCTCTCAGACTGGCATCATTTAGACATACATGTTAACCTAACATGCACAGTCTTGGTATATGGGAGGAAACATAAGTACTTGAGAAAAAAATCCATGCAGACATAAGAAGAATATGCAAACTCCACACAGACAGTGACCCTGTCCCAGAATTAATTTTTTTCATTGATGGCATAATAAAATGACTTTGCACAAAACGATGTTATTTGAGGATATGCTGTATAAGTAAAAGTTCTGCATCTAGAAGTGGACTGTATAGTATTCCAGAATGCTGTTCATGGGAGTTGATTCCTATAATATACAAATAAGCTGTTATTTCTTGATTCCTGACCCCTGCAAGCTACTACTCTATTTCTTTTATTCCCTTTTCAGAAAAATCCTTTAGAGTTATCTGCCTTGCTGTTTCCAATTCCTCCTCTTCAGTTACCTTGTAAAACCACTTCATTTACTTTCTCCCCAAATCCTCCATGAAAATTGTTCATTAAGATCTTCAATGACTTTCACTGTACTAAATCCAGCAGTCCTAGTTATACTTGACTTATCAGCCACATGAAACACAATTCATCCCTCACTTCTCTCCAATACACTTCATTCCCTTGCCATCCAGGACAACTTTCTTGGTGTCCTCGCACCTCACTGAGCACTCCTTCTCAGTCTCAATCCTCTTTAATCCAGAGCTCTTGGTATTAGTGTGCCCCAGGGCACAGTCCTCTTTATCTATACTCACTCCCTTGTGATCTCATTCTTTCTCAGGGCTTTAAACACAATTTCAGTGCAAAGACTCTCAACTGTCACATTCCTGCCCATAACTTTCTCTCCACTGCCTCATTTTAATGTCCAACAGAGAACCAAAACAAAATTCCTGCTCCCAACCATTCCAAACCCACTCTACCCACAGCCTTGCCTGTCTCAGTTGATGGAAACTCTATCCTTGCTGAAGGTCAACACTCTTGGAATCAACATTGACACTTCTCTTTCTTTAACATATAATCTGTCAGAAAAATCCTAAACCTTGATTGTTTTCTTTTTTAAAAATCTGATCATGTCACCCTTCCACTCAAAACCTTGCAATGGCTCTCCACTTCACTTAGAGTAAAAGCCAAGTCCTTAACTGGCCTTTCATGTTCTGCCTGATCCATTCCTCTGTTACATTAAACATCACCCTCATTAGCTCACTTAATCCTTGCAAAAACCCTATGACAGTTTGTTATCCCTACATTGTAGATAAGGAGACTGAGGCTCAAAAAAAGTGTTTTTTTTGTTTTTTGTTTGTTTGTTTGTTTGTTTGAGACAGAGTCTCACTCTGCTGCCCAGGCTGGAGTCCAGTGGTGTGATCGTGGCCACCAGGAGTTGCTCAAATCTCTGCAACCTCCGCCTCCTGGGTTCAAGTGATTCTCCAGCCTCAGACTCCCAAGTAGCTGGGATTACAGGGACATGCCACCATGCCAGGCTAGTTTTTGTATTTTTAGTAGAGATGGGGTTTCAACATGTTGACCAGGCTGGTCTCAAACTCCTAGCCTCAAGATTCACCCACCTCAGCCTCCCAACATGCTGGGATTAAAGGCATGAGCCACTGGGCCAGCCAGAAGTTAAGTATTTGATCTAAGATTAAAAGACTAGTGAATGATATAGCCAAGATGTGAACTTAAGTAGCGGTACTCTTTATCATTCCATTCACTGAACCAAGAAGAACAGACGTTCATTGCAAAACCCCAAGGAGGCAAAGAAACAGATGGTACCTGGTACCTCTAAAAATGAGAGGTGGATGTAGGACTAAAAACAGGTAGAGTCACTGAAAATCTGATTAAAATTTTAGTCTTCACTTTGCATAGACAGATCCTCTCCAACCTTGGAAGAGGAACTGAGACTTATATGATGGTAAGGGAGGGCCAGAGAGATACAGAACTGGGGAATACTGGACATAAAGAGCCAAATCATTCCCCAGTCTAAAACGAGATCGTATTTTTCCTTGTATTTCCCATAACTTTTTCCATGAACATTTCAAAAACAATTTTTAGAACATTAGCATGGAGTAGTATAGACCTGGCTAAACAGCTTAGTCCAAAAATAATGAAAATGACAAGTCTGCATTCAAAGACAAACTACTTAATGACTAATTTTTTTAATTGGTTCTAGGCTGAGACCTTTGTATAACAAGTTTCAGCCTAGAGAAAAATTTTTATGCTGTAGTTATGAACTGCTGATAATAGAAGATTTAATGGAATTTCAAATAGGCCATTAATTGTAACATGCCAATATAATAACAGGAAGATTAAAATATGACTAAACTAAACAAGTTCAATACAGCTTAAGGACTTTGTTTGAAATTAAACTTTCCCAAGTATATATTTTGATATCAAATCTTGAAAAGTTAAATACTGAAACAGCAAAAGGTTTTTGTGGCAAATTTCCATAATATTCCTGAATAGCTTACTCTAACAACTTTGCAACCGTATGAATTAGAAATTAGATCAAGCATAAAATAAATTGGGATAAGACAGTTTTGTGTGTATTTATAATTTCTTATCCTTTTCAAAAGAAAATTCTGTGAAATGTGATTCTTGAGGGTAAATTTTGAGGTGTTTGTGACTTTTAATTTATTTCTCACAATATGGGGTTGCAAAACAGTAAAAAGGATTGGATGGAGTATTGTTGTTGAGTATATTGAGTGTAAACCTTGGAAAGGACAGGTGGTGTATAGAGGGATTTCATTCTGTTTGGGGAGAACAAAGAAAAAGATATGGTGGTAATGGCTACTGTGTTGTTTTTCTTAGGATGGTACCATGTTGGAAAGAATTACATAGATTCCAGCTGTATTTTGTATTACCATGTGTATACCAAAAAGACTCGCTGGTGGGTTGGATGTGGGAGGTGAAGAGAGGAAGAAGTTAAAAATGATGAACAATGCCGGGCATTGTAATTCCCAGCACTTTGGGAGGCCAAGGCAGGCAGATCACCTGAGGTCAGTAGTTCAAGACAAGCCTGGCCAACATGGTGAAACCCCGTCTCTACTAAAAATACAAAATAAGCCGGGCATGGTGCTGCACACCTCTAGTCCCAGCTACTCAGTAGGCTGAGGCAGGAGAGTCGCTTAAACTCGAGAGGCGGAGTTTGCAGTCAGCTGAGATTGCACCATTGCATTCCAGCCTGGGTGACAAGAGTGAAACTCCACCTTAAAAAAAAAAAAAAAAAAAAAAAAGATGAACAAGTTCCTGGCTTGAGCAACTAACAAAATGATGATGTCATTTGCTGAAAGAAGATGAGTAGAGCAAATAAGTTCATGGGGTGTGGAATCACAAGTTCTGTTTGGGACTTCTAAAGTTTGTGATGCTTGTGAGTCATCCAACAGGTGAAATCAATTAGGATGCTAAATATCCAAGTCTGGAGTCATTATCTCCACTAAACTAAGGACATCAGCAACAGTGAACACAAAGTTGGTCAGATTCAACATTATATAAGCACAGAGTAGGTGGTCACCTTGAAAATGCTATGACGTAGTAGCAAAAGTCTAGTAGGAAAGTGAGGAAATCTAGATTCTTGTTTTTCTCCTCATTCCACTATCTAGCTGTGGGATTCATTCTAACTTTCTAGAACTCACAATGGTGCAATTGTTTATAATATACACTCCCAATTCAGAAAACTGGGGCCAAGTTCTAGTTGTGCCTCTTACCAGCTGCGTAACTTCAGAAAAGATAAAATATTTGTCCCTCAGTTTCCTCATCAATAAAAGGGGGATATCATTATAACTATTTCATAAGATTGTCTCGAGCATTAAATTACCATGTGTGTTTATGCACACATACACACACAAGCATAACTTAAGGTTGTTTCTGAAACATAATAAGTGCTAATTAAGTGTTTGTTATTATTATAAGATGGATTAGATTATAATAACATCTTTTAGATTTTATCTATTAATAAGATCCTTTCTTCTAAACAATATTATGTAGAAACTCAATATGTAAATATATATATAAGTAATAAAGAGGGAATCGCTACGGCTGGAATGTAGAACCCATATCCTACCAGCTTAACAGTTTCCCCTCCCTTTTCCCTGTCAATAGCCTCAGTGGAAGATCTAGAAAACTTCTGATTCTCTTTTCTGAAAACCATCAGACTAGATAATCTTTCCAAAGTGAGAGAGAAATAAAGATGTTTTCAGACATAGAAGCAATAAAGAGTCTAAAAATAGATCCTCACTAAAAGAACTCAGTGCTTTGGCAATAACAGTAGTGAAGCTGGAGGTTCAGTCCGTCTTACTGGAGGGATGCTTCTTCTCTACTCCTATATTCCCTTCCATATGGTGGGTCTTCCACTTGCATCACAGCCCGGGGCTTCCTCTCCCCACCCCACCCCCAGCTCACTAGTCCTCCTCTGAGAAAAGTATCTTAATATGATGGGAAAATTTGAAAGGAGAGACGGGGTGTAAGCAGTGCAGCCACTTCCTCTCTCCTTCTGCTTGGGAGCCAGTTGTCTATAGGAAGAACCTTATGCTGTGCTGCTTCCATATGGTACTATCCGGGCACATTGCCACCCACTGTCAGGGGGCTTTTGCTATCATCCAGAACTGCCTGTGATGTGGTTTGTATAGTTATCTAATTCTGGGGACTGGTATTAGAAAGCCCACTTGTCCACCAGTAGGCAATTTTTCAAGTATCAGCTCTGTCGGTAACAAATATCACATTTGGGTTCCCATATGCCTTACACTTTTGTTTTTGTCTTATTTTTAATGTACTCAGAACTTGGATGACAAGATGTGTGCTATTTAGAAGACCCCCTTGACCTCCAATAGTGTGGGGCAAAAACAAAAACAAAAAAACAGTGAACTCAAAAATACATCAAATATGCTGGCAAATTCCTGAGATAAGAAGGTTCCAGATCACAAAAACAAAAGTTATCATGCTAAAGAGGTTGGATTTTATCCTGTAAGGAGTCAAAGGTCATTAGAACACTTTAAAGAAAAAGTAAATGGCCAGATTGGTATGTTTGATTATTTTCTCAGACAGGGTCAACATAGAGAGAAGACAGTACTGAAAACTGGCTAGCATCAGGTTAAAAAGAAAAGGCAGCATTTTCTGAAGGCCAAATTCACCTGCTTTATAACTTTGTCTAAGGCTGTCTCAAATGATGATGTCATGTTTTCCCAACCTACTATCTAATTTTAAACAGATGGTCAGCCTGTTCCATAGATTTCATTAAGTCAAGCAATCGGATAAGCAAATCTTGAACTGCATTGGGATCTTTATCATGCTGTTTCAAAGATGCTTTACAACTTTCCATTTAAAAAAAAAAAGAATGAAGTAATGTTGTTTCTCTTCTGATTTCCAAAGTTTATATTTTCATGGCATATACATGATACATTATTATTTAGAATTTTATTGTGTAATTTAAAAAGGCAAAATACTGATAATCACAGAGTGATAGCTTAAGAACTAAAATTTGTGGCTATAAAATAGGTCATTTATCACAAAATTAGCACAATTTTAAAATGTTGATGCAAAACAGATGTATACTACATTGCAGCATTTGTTTTCTCCCTGCATACAATTTGTTCTTTTTAGTAATTGTGAGAATATGTCAAGTACCTAATAGTACCTCTTAGCCATAAGCTAGGCCTTAAGCTCATACTTGGTTCCTTGCCTTTCTGAGTCCTCTCTTTTTGTGCAATTCCTCTGAGAAGAATGCTTCCAGCAGAACTGATTTTGACATAGAAGTAAAGTTAATAGTTTCTGCTACAAACATTTATTAAGTTCCATAGTCAGCTAACACTGTCCTGGGCACTGGGAATACTGTAATGAATAAGCAAGAGAGGACACAGTCCATGGTTCGGGAAGATCAAAGTCACACACAAGCGAAAGCAGTAGTAGTAACACCCCATCCTCAATTCCTAAGGGTTCCCCCATCCCGACGTCCTATCAGGAAATCCCCTGATGTGTACACTACCTGATGAGGAACTTTGTTGAGGAAACACAAGAAAGGGAGGGAAAGGATACTCACCTGCCTAGGCAAATCAGCCAAATCACCTGAGATGACAAACATCATAATCATAGATTGCCCTGCTTCCAGGAGGAGCCATTTGGTGACTTAAATCATTCAGCTGTTTCGTTGTTATTCTTTGTTTTATTGTGTTTTCTTCAACACAGCTGCTAAGTACTCCCTTTCTTAGCAGGGAAAAAAGTGCAGGCCTAGCTATTTCTAAAGTCCAGCCATTAGTTCCCTAGGAAACAAAATATATTAATACGAAAACTCTTTTAGTAAGAAAAAGCCTACCCAAACTACTTGGAAGAAACAGACTCATCTGGCTTTCTAGCTGGGAAGTTCCACCAATGAACTTCAGGCATGGCTAGATCATAATGCTCAAATTACGTCTTAAAGATTTGACTTTCCCATTCTATCTCTGTTTTTCTCTGGGCAGATTCTTCCCACATAGTGGCAAAGATGACCACCAGCAGCTCTAGGCTTCCATCATCTTTACAGAAAAAATGCCTATCCCTTGCCCTCCCCACACCAGCAAACTGTCTCTTTCCTCATAGTTTCAGCAAAATTCCAGGGATTGTCCTCAAGAGAAATGCTAGAAAGAAAAAATATGTATATCCACTTTAAAAAAAAGTATATCCACTTTACACAAAAGCCCTGTAATATTTTTAAAGACTTTTAAATAAAGAGAAGAAAATAACAAAAAAAAATCAAATTACAATGACAAAAAACTATATAATTTTTTTATAGATCTCCCTCTGGAGTTTATGGAAATGTCAGTGGAATTAAGCCAGTTATTTCTTAGCTCCTTTCACTGACTCACTTCTTGTTGTACTGTTTAGAACGATCTCTGCCTAACTTTGTTGTTTAGGTTTTTGTTTCCAGGATAATGCTCATAGGTTTTCCCAACTTCTTGGTTGCCATCCTCTCTTTCTAGTGATATAGCCAACAATGAAATTATGTAGCCACTAGTTATAGGTAACAGATCCAAAGAGAGCCAAGTAAGACTTGTATCTTCTCAGAAAACTACAGGCTTTCTAGATCTAAGGTCTTCTGGCTTCACCTAGAAAAGTCAATTTACTTAATTCCTTGATGCTTGACCTATGCTTTACTCCAATATTTTTTTAAAAATGGTTGTCAAGCACAGAGCTGGAAATTTGTCTCTATGGGACTGGAACATAGAAAGCTGGTGCTGGGCTTTGAGAAACCCTCACAAAAGAGGACAGAGACCAGGCACTCTAAGGAAGATGAAGATTATACACATTCTCTCAATCTGGGTGGGCCTCTTGCCCCTGCCATTCTCTCAGGCTGTAGAAAAGTGGAGACAATGAAAAGTAGTCAGCCCACTACCTGTGGCTAAGAGGAAAACAAATTCTTCTCATATGGTAGGAAGAATGCACCTGTACTGTATCAATGGAGAATTACCTGGGCATGATCAAGATTAAAATAAATCTCATGGCAGAAACAAACAAATATTTAATGCAAAGTAAAAGGATCCAGCTTGGAAGAAATTATAGCTTAAAAATGAGATGGAAATACCTCACAGTTGCTTTAAGCTATAGATGAATTTAATAAGAATACAAATTCAAGGGATTTTAAAAATGAACTGAAAAATGAGTTGATCAAACAACAGTTTGAGATCAAAAAGAAGATTGTCAGTCTGAGCAAAAAACAATTAAGGATGGATAACATTGTTCTCAGGCCATAAAATTCATTGGCTCTTCTCTCTTCTTTCAAATAAAATAGGGCTTAGGAACTCAGGAAATAAAGCAGACTCATTGTTTGAAGAGCTTCCCTAAGATACCACCTGTTTCCTGCTTTAAAGATAATACACCTTCTCTTCAAATTAGGAAAAGATCAAGGCTTCACGAAGACTTTGGTGGAAACTTGGCAAATGCACATGTGTGCCTGCACACACACTCACCAGTGGAAAGGAGTAAATATTTGAGACCTATTGAAGAGTTAAAGTCTTTGTGTTCCTTCAGCAACATCACATAAAATGACAAGTATGCGCTGATCATTCTCACTGGCCAACCCCTCAATACCATTGCCACCACTACCATTCTCTGACCTTCTCTAATATGCTGTGGTCTGGGAAAGCTGACCCCTGAGGACTTATCACCCTTGTTCCTTTGTCCTTGGGCTTCCAGTTGGGCAGGAGATCAGAAGGTAGGAGGAGGGAGAGGCCAAGATGTTTTTTCTCCAGTTTTTCCCTGCTGCTTTGTAGGTCTCTGGCAGTAGATATAACACTCCACACTCTGCTGGTGTGAGAGGGGACCCTCCTTTCTGTGTTCATTGTCAGTTGACTCCAGGAACTCTACCTCCTCCCCTTGTGCCTGCAGCAGCTTCAAGCAGTGGTTAGTCTCTGGAATCTCACTATTGCTTATTTTTTTCTCTTAATCTCATTCTCACCTCAACAGTACTTCTTAATTTGTCTAAATTTTAAGCAAATAGGGCAAATTCTGTTTCCTCACAGGATCCAAACTGAGTTGCAAATACAGATACTGACTGGCCAAATTGAGAAAAATGAATAATTTCAAAGGAGCAAAGAAAATAAAAAAGGTTCTGATAAATATAGAATTGTTCTCATAGGGAAATGGCTAAAGATAATAATAGTGAATGTAAAAAAGAAAAGAAGGAAGAGAAGGAGGACCGATCTAAGAGATTAGGGGGAAACTAATATATAAGAGAGTTAGATAAAAAGGATCTAACATAGATACTGGGTTGTAAAGCACCAAACAAATACAAAAAGTTATTTGAAAATATGAAACAAGAATAATTTCCCTGAATTGAAGGCAAATGCTGCAGACTGAAAGAACACACTGAATTTGAAAGAAATTTGACGCAGAGCAGTCAACGCCAATTTATATTCTAGTTAGGTTATTCTCCTTATGCTAGTTGTGCTACTATCAAGCATTAAGGAAAAGAATTCAAACAAAAAAGACCAAAAACGCCAATCACTATCACCGGGGAAGTAATCACACTGGCCTCAGATTCCTTGACAATTGGAGATTGGTTGTACCGATCTTCATGGTTCTGGGAGGAAATCATAGTTAATAGTACATTGTAATAGTCCTATTATGTTAAAAATAATTTTTAATAAAACTAGGAAGGTAGATAGAATGAGATGACAGAACATATGTGACTGTTAATGTCCTCATCATTTATAGCAGGGAATCACTATTAAAACTGAGAACTTAAAAAAAAGACTCCAATTCCAACCTTTTTTTTTTTTTGAGATGGAGTTTTGCTCTTGTTGCCCAGGCTGGAGTGCAATGGTGCGATCTCGGCTCACCACAACCTCTGCCTCCTGGATTCATGTGATTCTCCTGCCTCAGCCTCCCAAGTACCTGGGATTACAGGCATGCGCCACCATGCCTAGCTAATTTTGTATTTTTAGTAGCGACAGGGTTTCTCCATTTTGGTTAGGCTGGTCCCGAACTCCTGACCTCAGGTGATCCACTCGCCTTGGCCTCCCAAAGTGCTGGGATAACAGGCGTGAGCCACCGCGTCTGGCTCCTCCAATCTCTTAACATTTGTGTTTTTCCAAAATTTCTTCCACAGTCTTAGAGGAATATTTTACGTTGAAAGAAAAAAAAAATATTTATTTGAAGCTTACACTTTCATCAGGGTGTTTGGGAATTTTTGTTTGGTGTGTACGTATGCACATGTGTGTTTGGGTCATAAAGAAATTTGCTTGTTTCTTTTTCACTTTAAAAAAACATCTGTAGGCCAGGTGCAGTGGCTCACATCTGTAATCCCAGCACTTTGGGAGGCTGAGGCAGGCAGATCACCTAAGTCAGGAGTTTGACACCAGCCTGGCTGACAGAGCGAAACTCCGTCTCTACTAAAAATACAAAAATTAGCCAGGCAGGGTGGCACATGTCTATAGCCCCAGGTACTCAGGAGGCTGAGGCAGGAGAATGGCTTGAACCTAGGAGGCAGAGACTGCAGTAAGCTGAGATCGTGCCACTGCACTCCAGTCCAGATGACTGAGCAAGACTCCGTCTCAAAAACAAAACAAAACAAAACAAAACAAAACAAAACAAAACAAAACAAAAAAACTACAATAGGCCAGGCATGGTAGCTCACGCCTGTAATCCTAGCACTTTGGGAGGCCAAGGCAGCTGGATTGTTTGATTTCAGGAGTTCAAGACCAACCTGGGCAACATAGCTAAACCCCATCTCTACAAAATATTAAAAAATTGTCTCGGCATAATAACATGCACCTGCAGTCCCAGCTACCCCAGAGGGTTCCTTGAGCCCAGGAGTTCAAGGTGGTAGTAATCTATGATAGTGCCACTGCACCTCAGTCTGGGCTACAAAGTTAGACCCTGACTCTTTAAAAAAAAAAAAAAAAAAAAAGTCGTCTATAATATAATCATATTTTAAAGCATTTCCTTCCTGTCTAGCTGTCTATTTTTTAAAGAAACATGCCTGGATAAAGTTCATCTAATATTAACCAAGTTTCTTCTTATGTGGTGAGATTTAACTGATTTTTAAATCTCTATGTTTGTACTTTTTGCAGTGTTTGAATTCCTTCTAAAAATACACTTAGTATTTACAAGAAAAGATAGAATAATTTATTTTATTAAAAATAAGACTGTAAACAAGACAAAATATTAACCAACAACTATAAATCTCTTTATGGAGGGATATGAATCATCTTAGTGTCCTTCTTTTACTTTTTTCTGATTGACAAATAATAATTCTATATATTTATGGGGTAGAATGTGATGTTTCAATACATGTATACATTGGGAGATGATCAAATCAGGGTAATTAGCATACCCGTTACCCCAAATGCTTATCATTTCTTTGTGGTGAGAACATTTAAAAACTTCTCTTTTAGTTATTTTGAAATATTTAATACATTAACTATCGTTACCTTGCTGTGCAACAGAGCAGCTAGAACTTATTCCTCCCAGCTGTAACTTTGTACCTGTTGACAAATGCCTCTCCTTTTGTCCATCTACCTCCCCCAACCCAAGCCCCTGGTAACCATCATTCTGCTCCCTACTTCTATTTTTTTCTTTTTTTTTTTTAATTTTAGCATCAGAATTACTTGCAAATCTGCTCTCTCCTTCTATGAGCTTGCCTTTTTTAGATTTTACGTATACATAAGATCACATGGTATTTGTCTCTCTGTGCCTGACTCATTTCACTTAACACAATATCCCCTAGGTTCATCCATGTTGTTGAAAATGACAGAATTTCAGTTTATTTTTTAAGGACGAATAGTATTCCATTATGTACATATACCACATTTTAAAAATCTATTCATCCCTTGATGGAAAGTTAGGTTGTTTCCATATCTCGGCTATTGTGAATAATGCTGCAATGAACATGAAGTGCAGATGTCTCTTTGGCATACTGATTTTAAATCCTGTGAGTATATACCCAGTAGTGAGATTGCTGGATCATATGGTAATTCTATTTTTAGTTTTTAAAGAAATCTTTATATTATTTTCAAAATGTCTACTAATTTACAATACCACCAAGAGTGTATAAGGGTTCCCTTTTCTCCACATCCTCACCAACACTTATTATCTTTTATGTTTCTGATAATAGTCAATCTACAATTGTGAGGTGATATCTCATTGTGGTTTTAATTCGCATTTCTCTGATGATTAAAGATGTTGAGCATTTTTTTCATGTATCTGTTGGCCACTTTAAGAAGTGTCTATTCAAGTCCTTTGCCCATTTTTAAATAGAGTTGTTTTCTTGTTATTGAGTAGTTTGGGTTATTTATACATTTTGGATATTGGCTCCTTATCCCATATGTGATTTGCAAATATTTTCTCCCAATCTGTGGATTGTCTCTTCTCTCTATTAAGCTTCTTTTACTTTTTAATAAAAGTTTGTTTCATGTCTTTGCAAAACAAGGTTCCAGACTTCATTTGAGAATATGCAGGGAAGTTCAATAATTTGTGACAGCATATTGCAGGGTAAAGAGTACTCAAGCTTTAGATTGAACCTAAGTTAAATATCAATTATCTATTGTTATGTAGTAAATCACTCCAAACTTAGGTAGCATAAAATGACTACTATTTTATATACTTATGACTTTGTGGGTCAAGTAGTTAGGCAATGTACAATGATAATAACTTGTTTCTGTTCTTTGATATCTGGGACCTCACCTGAGGTTACTTAAATATCCAAGAGCTGGCTGGAATGGCTCAATGGAGGCCATATGTCTGGAGTCTTGGTTCTGACTCTTAGCTTGGGCTCCTCATATTATGGTAGTCTCAAGGTTCCAAGAGGAAGCATTACAAAGAAGACAAACTCCCTAAGTCCAAGTGCTTAGTAAGCCTCTATTAATATCATGCTTGCTAATGTCCCATTGGCAAAAGCAAGTCCCAACGTCAAACCTAGACTCAATGTGGGAAGGGCATACACAAGAAATTTGGATCTTGGCTCTATCATTTTTGACCTTGACAAGTAATTTTATTTCCCTGAGTCTCAAAAGAGTTTTCTTTTCTGTAAAATGATGATAACAATACCCAATTCACTTGGTTTAAGGGATTAAATGAGACAAAAGTATAGCTAACAGAGAACCTAAGAAATAGTACATGTTTAATAGATATTAATTTTCATAATACTTATTATAAAAACATAAAGGGTACTTTTGTTTAAAAATGGTTGCACAGCTTATAAACTTACCTTTTGAATAAGTTTTATACAGTTTTGATTAGCACCATTTTAAATCTGTTTTTCAGTGTTTTTATTTACTTTGGGTCCCCCACACAAATTCTGTAAGTCCTTCTATGCAATGGTTACCTTATTTTCTATTTCCTTTGTTTCTCATCTTAACTTTTATTTTTATAGGCTTCTAATCAAAAGTACATTTTCCATTAAACTACTTGGAGGACATCTTATTTGATCTTCATGCAACCTTATGATATAGATAAAGAAAGTACTATCTTCACTTCACAGTTGGGGAAATTATGGCTGAGAAGGGTTAAATTAATATCTAAGATCATCCATTAGCATAGGCAAGACTATGTCCAAAGTCTCAGTCTTCCCAGTCTTCAGAGCTGTAGACCATAATATATCTTTCTAAATTCTCATGAGCCTCTTAAGAAATCTTTGTGAACATTCCAGAAATGTTATCATTGCAATGTTTCTACAATCTTTTCATATGTTGATTTACTGTCTAATAATAGAAACAGAATCCACCATAGTTAAGAGAACCTAACTTACTTTCTCCAGATATCAGATGCAAACCTGTTATAATATTAGTATGTATTTAACATTGTAAGAATATGCAGGAAACTTCTGGCTGTAAAAGGGCTCTTTTCTTTGTATTCAAATAAAAAAGGACTTAGAAGCTCACCGATTAACTGGAGAGTGTTGAAGGGAGACTCCTTAGAATATACCTGTTTCTGCTTTGTTTCCTTTAATTAAGAAAGATCAAGGTCTCATAAAGATGCCAGTGGAGGCTGGGTGCCGTGGCTCACTCCTGTAATCCCAGCACTTTGGGAGGCCAAGGCAGGCGGATCACCTGAAGTCCGGAGTTCGAGACCAGCCTGGCCAACATGGTGAAATCCCGTCTCTACTAAAAATATGAAAATTAGCTGGGCGTGGTAGTGCGCACCTGTAATCTCAGCTACTTGGGAGTCTGAGACAGGAGAATAGCTTGAACCCCGGAAGCAGAGGTTGCAGTGAGCCACAATCGCACCATTGCACTCCAGCCTGGCTGACGAGAAAGTCCGTCTCAAAAAAAAAAAAAAAAGAGGCAAGTGGAAGCTTGATATTTGCAGATGAGTCTCACATACCAACACACATTCATTCATACAAGCATGCACACACACGTACACATCAGCGGAAACGGGTAAATGTCTGATATCTGTATACTGATATCAAATGTTAAATTCTGTATAATCTTTTACAAAAGTAACACAAAGATTGAGGAGGAGTACAAGATTTTGTGTACCAATTAGAGATCTTCAGTTGCAATGAAAAAGGCTAATACTGGCAAACTTGAAAAATAAAAAAGGACTTACAGGAAGGATATGGGTGGCTCACAGAAGCAAAGTAATAACTGCCGAAGTGTGCTCAGCAAAGAACCCAGGGATGCAGGTAGCAAGAGCCAAGTAGCAGGAACTACTCTGTGGTTTTATTAGGTCACCTCTGTGGGGATGAATTAGCTCTGTTTTTCCCATCTTTATATCACTCTTTTTAAAAGTTAAATCTTGAGCAAGAATGTTTGGTTGGTCCTTATACTCACCCCTTGGCCAGGTGAGGACAGGGGACTTTGACAGTTAATAAGACTACAAACATTGGGCAAAAGGTAACTCAAGAAAGGAAATCATCGTATTATAACAAGAAGAAAAGAATGCTGGACCACTAAAAATTAAATTACAGACCAAAATGTCTTGTTTAGATTTAAAACATTTTATAGAAGGAGATATTTGCCCCAGATAAACCCAGTAGCTAAGCTGATTTAAGATTATCCCATTTAATCATTACAGAGACTTACATTAGAAAGTTCTCAGTACATCAGGTTAGAATAATTTTATATTATTCTCTTAGTATGCTACTTACAGTTATCTGTTTTATTGTTATTAAACCTGTCACTTAAAAACATAAGCAGCACAATATAGTTCATTCCAAACTACACTTTCTTTCATCTCATAATTACATTAGAAAACACTAAGCCTTCTGCTACAATGAGATAATACAATTCCTAGATGTTCAAAGACACATGGCAAACAACGCCTAAAAGGCAATGTTATCTTACAGTTAAATATGCCTACCTCTGAGGGTTTTACCACTGCTAACGTGCTTTTAGAATTCTGAAAGAGATGTACTATAAGAATGTCAGTGATTGGCAAATCATTACATACCAAATACCTAGAGAAAAATGATAGTAAGAATTCAAAACAAGATAGTGAGTATATTTTGAAATGAATTTTGAAAAACATACATGGAAATTAAAACCTTTTCTGCAAACTGCCATAACTGTTTTCCTTGATTATAATGAGACATTGGCAGAACTAAGTATTTGATATCTATAATCATTTAAAAGATGAAAAAAATGGCAGATAGGAGACAGGACTAACTTGCAGCTCCACCTGAGATGGATAGAACAGCACGTGGAGACTCATATTGTGAACTTTTGCTCTAAAAACTACCACAGGAACATATCAGAAAAACCAAAAGAATACAAGAGACCCTTTGAAAGAAGCAGGTTGCTGCTACAAACTCCGTGAGACAGCCAAAAAACTGAGTGCCCAAAGTGTGAGAGGGGAAAGTCCACCTTCTAACACACACTCTCACTGGGGAACCTGTCAATCCAGATCACAGGAGAAAGATCTAACCTTACCTAGATCTGAAACAAATGTAGAGAGCCAAGAGAAATACAAAAGTAGAAGAAGCAGTGGGAAGAGCCCTTTAGGCACTGCCAGTCCTCAGGGAAGCCATTTCTGATTTTATCTCACAGGGATCCCTGGGGAGGGCTGCCAGTGGAAATGGGGGAAGGATCCCAGGGAGAAGGAAACTTCTAGCAGATCTCTGTAATAATTATGACCGAACACGAATTTTCCTGGACACAATTGGGTGGGTGGGGGCAAAAGGGAAATGCAAATAGGAGCACAGAAGCCATGGCCAGTAGGTAGGGGTGGGGCCTGAAAGCCCTGCTTACTTTCTTAGCAGGAAAGCTTGTAGCCTGGGGCAAGATCTCAGCCCTGCTCACAGGCTGCCTGGATATGCTGTTGATGGGGCATGATGGGAGTGAGATTGGCCTTGCTGGCTGCATGGGAGTTGGGTGATGCCTGTCACTGCTAGCTTTCCCCTACTTCCCTGGTGATCTGTATGAAACAGAAGAGGCAGCCATAATCTCCCTGAGAATATAACTCCATTGGCCTGAGAACCACAGCCCCCATACCCCAGGGCAGCTGCAGCAAGCCCTGCCCAAGGAGAGTCTGAGCTCACACCACCTAAACCTGCCCCTACATGATGGTCTTTCTCTACCAGCCCTGGTATCCAAAGACAAAAGATATAATCTCTTGGGACCTCTATGGCCCCACCCAACACCTGAGAAACCGGAATACTTATTCAGGCAACCTTAGGGCAAGCTTGTATCAGCTGATGCTCTTTTTTTTTTTTTTTTTTTTTTTTCTGAGATAGAGTTTCGCTCTTATTCCTCAGGCTGGAGTGCAATGGCACGATCTTGGCTTACCGCAACCTCTGCCTCCCGGGTTCAAGAGATTCTCCTGCCTCAGCCTTCCCGAGTAGCTGGAATTATAGGCATGCGCCACCATGCCCAGCTAATTTTGTATTTTTAGTAGAGACGGGGTTTCTCCATGTTGGTCAGGCTGGTCTCGAACTCCTGACCTCAGGTGATCCACCCACCTTGGCCTCCTAAAGTGCTGGGATTACAGGAGTGAGCCACTGTGCCTGGCCCAGCTGATGTTCTCTTGAAAGCACCATCTCCTGGCTGGAGACCAACCAATGGCTAGCAAAACTAGCACTCAAGAAAACCAGTGCACTAAACACAACTACAACCAAGGACCTTCACAGAGTCCACGACACTCCCTTACTACCTCCACTGGAGCAGGTGCTGATGGCCATGGCTGAAAGACCTGAAAACCAATCACATCACAGGACTCTTTGCAGATACTCCCCAGTACCAGCCCAGAGTCTGGCAGCCCCACTGGGTGGCTAGTCTCAGAAGAGCAATAACAATCACTGCAGTGCAGCTCTCAGGAATCCCCATCTCTAGGGAAGGGGGAGAACAATGGGACAAAAGAATCTGAACAGCAGCCCTTGAGTCCCAGATCTTTCCTCTGACATAGTCTACCCAAATGAGAAGGAACCAGAAAAACAATTCTGGTAATATGACAAAGCAAGGTTCTTTAACACCCTCAAAAGATGACTTTAGCTCACGAGCAATGGATCCAAACCAAGAAGAAATTTTTGAATTGCCAGTAAAAGAATTGAGACTGTTGATTATTAAGCTACTCAAGGAGGCACTAGAGAATGGTGAAAACCAACTTAAAGAAATTAAAAAAAAAATACAGGATATGGATGAAAAAATCGCCAGAGAAATAGCATAAATAAAAAACAATTAAAACTTCTGGAAATGAAAGACATACTTAGAGAAATGCAAAATACACTGGAAAATCTCAAAAACAGAATCAAACAAGTAGAAGAAAAAAAACTTCCAAGTTTGAAGACAAGGCATTTGAATTAACCCAATCTAACAAAGACAAAGAAAAAAGAATAAAAAAAAAAAAAAGAAAGAACGAAGCCTCTAAGAAGTCTGGGATTATGCTAAATGACCAAACCTAAAAATAATTGGTGTTTCTGAGGAAGATGAGAAATCTAAAAGTTTGGAAAACATATTTGAGGGAATCAGTCAAAGAAAATTTCCCTGGCCTTGCTAGAGAACTAGACATCCAAATTCAAGAGGCTCAAAGAACACCAGGTAAATTCATCACAAAAAGATCATCACCTAGGCACATAGTCATCAGATTATCTAAATTCAAGATGAAGGCAAGAATCTTAAGAGCTGTGAGGCAAAAGCAACAGGTAACCTATAAAGGAAAACCTATCAGATTAACAGCAGATTTCTCAGCAGAAACCCTACAAGCTAGAAGGGATTGGGGTCTTATCTTTAGCCTCCTTGAACAAAACAATTTTCAGCCAAGAAGTTTATATCCAGTGAAACTGAGGTTCATAAAGGAAGGAAAGATAAAGTCTTTTTCAGACAAACAAATGCTGAGAGAATTCACCACTACCAGTGCCAACTGGTAGACTACATACACTACAAGAGCTGCTAAAAGGAGATCGACATCTTGAAACAAAACCTCAAAACAGAAAAAACAGAACCTCCTTAAAACATAAATCTCACAGGGCCTATAATACAATACACAATGAAACAAAAAGGTATTTAGGCAACAACTAGCATGATGAGTAGAATAGTATCTCACATCTCAATACTAACATTGAATGTACATGGCCTAAATGTTCCACTTAAAACATACAGAATGGCAGAATGGATAAGAATTCATCAACAAAGTATCTTGTTGTCTTCAACAGACTCACCTGACACATAAGGACTCAGATAAACTTAAAGTAAAGTGGTGGGAAAAGATATTCCATGCAAATGGACACCAAAAGTGAGCAGGAGTAGCTATTCTCATATCAGACAAAACAGACTTTAAAGGAACAACAGTTAAAAAAGACAAAGAGGGACATAATGATAGAAGAACTAGTCCAACAAGAAAATATCACAATCCTAAATATATAAGCACCTAACACTGGAGCTCCCAAATTTATAAAACAATTACTACTAGACCTAAGAAATGAGGTAGATCGCAACACAATAATAGTAGGGGACTTCAATACTCCATTGACTGCACTAGACAGGTCATCAAGACAGAAAGTCAAGAAAGAAACAATGGACTTAAACTATACCCTAAAACAAATTGACTTAACAAGTATTTACAGAACTTTCTACCCAACAACTGCAGAATATACATTCTATTCATCAGCACATGGAACATTTTCTAAGATAGACCAAGGTGTATCTTGTATCAGCTGAAGCTCTCTTGAAAGCTCCACCTCCTGGCTGGATAGACCTTGTTTTGTGGCTAATACCATATAGGTCACAAAACAAGACTCAATAGATTTAAGAAAATCAAAATTATATCAAGTACTCTCTCAGACCACAGTGGAATAAAATCGGACATCAACTCCAAAGGAACCCTCAAAATCATGCAAATAAATGGAAATTAAATAATCTGCTCCTGAATGATTGTTGGGTCAATGAAATGAAGATGGAAATTAAAAATTATTTGAGCTGAACAATAATAGTGACATAACCTATCAAAACCTCTGGGATACATCAAAAGCAGTGCTAAGAAGAAAGCTCATAGCATTAAATGTCTACATCAAAAAGTCTGAAGGAGCATAAATAGACAATCTAAGGTTATATTTCAAGGAACTAGGGAAACAAGAAAAAAACAAACTCAAACCCAGCAGAAGAAAAAAATAAAAAGGATCAGAGCAAAACTAAATGAAACTGAATCAAAAAAATCTGTAAGACAAATGAAACAAAAAACTGGTTTTTTTTTTATTTTCTTTTTCAGATGGAGTCTCTCTGTCGCCCAGGCTGCAGTGAGGTGGCATGATCTCGGCTCACTACAATCTCTGCCTCCTGGGTTCAAGCAATTCTCCCTGCCTCAGTCTCCCAAGTAGCTGGGATTACAGGCACCTGGACCATGTCCGGCTAATTTTTTTTTTTTTTTTTTTTTTTTTTTTTTTTTTTTTCTTTTTTTTTTTTAGTAGAGACAGGGATTTGCTATGTTGCCCAGGCTGGTACTGAACTCCCGACCTCAGGTGATCTGCCCTCCGCAGCCTCCCAGTGTGCTGGGATTACAGGCGTGAGCTACTGTGCCTGACCAACAAAACTGGTTTTCTGAAAAGATAAAGAAAATTGATAGACCATTAGTGTGATTAACCAAGAAAAGAAGAGAGAAGATCCAAATAAGCTAAATTAGAAATGAAATGGGAGATATTACAACTGATACCACAGAAATACAAAAGATTATTCAAGTCTACCATGGACACCTGTATACGCACAAACGAGAAAACCTAGAGGAGATGGATACATTCCTGGAAAGATATAATTCTTCTAGTTTAAACCAGGAAGAAATATAAACTGTGAACAAACCAATAACAAGCAGCAAAATAGAAATGGTAATTTTTAAAATCACCACCAAAAAAAGACCAGGACCAAATAGATTCAGAGCTAAATTCTATCAGACATTCAAAGAAGAATTGGTACCAATCTTATTGACACTATCCCAAAAGATAAAGAGGGAATCCTCCCTAATTTCATTCTATGAAGCCAGTATCACCCTAATACCAAAACCAGGAAACGACATAACAAGAAAAGAAAACTACATACCAATATCCCTGATGACTATAGATGCAAAAATCCTCAACAAAATACTAGCTAACCAAATACAACAGCATATCGAAAAGATAATCCATCATGATCAAGCGGGTTTTATACCAGGCATGCAGGGATGATTTAACATACACTAGTCAATAAATGTGATACACCACAAAGGATTAAAAACAAAAATCACATGATAACCTCAACAGACGCAGAAAAATCATTTGACAAAATCCAGCATCCTTTTATATTAAAACTCTCAGCAAAATTGGCGTAGAAGAGACATTTCTTAAGGCAATCAATGCCATCTATAACAAACCCACAGCCAACATTATACTGAATGAGGAGAAGTTGAAAGCATTCCCCCTGAGAACTAGAACAAGACAAAGATGTCCACTCTCACCATTTCTATTCAACATAGTACTGGAAGTCCTAGCCAGAGAAGTCAGACAAGAGAAAGAAACGGCATTCAAATTGGTAAAGAGGAAGTCAAATCATCGCTGTTCACTGATGATATAATTGTATACTTGGAAAACCATAAAGACATGTCCAAAAAGCTTCCACATCTGATAAATGAATTCAGGAAAATTTCAGGATACAAAATCAATATACACAAATCAGTAGCACCGCTATACACCAACAGAGGCCAAACTGAGAACCAAGTCAAGAACTCAATCTCTTTTATGATAGCTGCAAAAAAAAAAAAAAAAAAAAAAAAACCACTTAGGAATATACCTCTATTGGTCCATTTTCATACTGTTGTAAAGAACTGCCCAAGACTGGGTAATTTATACAGGAAAAAGATTTAATTGACTCACAGTTCGGCATGACTGGGGAGACCTCAGGAAACTTACAATCATGGCAGAAGGTGATGGGGAAGCAAAGCACCTTCATCACAAGGTGGCAGGAAGGAGAAGTGCCCAGTGAAGAGGGAAGAGGCCTATATAAAACCATCACATCTCATAAGAACTCACTATCATGAGGTCAGCATTGGGGAACTGACCCCATGATTAAATTATCTCCACCTGGTCTCTCCCTTGACACGTGGGGATTATGGGGATTACAATTCAAGATGAGATTTGGGTGGGGGCACAAAACCTAACCATATCATTCTGCCCCGGGCCCCTCCCAAACCTCATGTCTCTTTTACATTTCAAAACAAATCATGCCTTCCCAATAGTCCCCCAAAGTCTTTTTTTTTTTTTAATACTTTAAGTTCTGGGATACCTGTGCAGAACGTGCACGTTTGTTACATAGGTCTACACATGCCATGGTGGTTTGCTGCACCCATCAACCCGTCATCTACATTAGGTATTTCTTCTGATGCTATCCCTCCCCTAACTCCCATTCCTCATCAGGCCCCGGTGTGTGATGTTCCCCTCCCTGTGTCCATGTGTTCTCATTGTTCAACTCCCACTTACGAGTGAGAACATGCGGTGTTTGGTTTTCTGTTCCTGTGTAAGCTTGCTGAGAATGATGGTTTTCAGCTTCATCCATATCCCTGCAAAGGACATTAACTCATCCTTTCTATGGCTGCATACTACTCTATGGTGTATATGTGCCACATTTTCTTAATCCAGTCTATCATTGATGGGCATTTGGGTTGGTTCCATGTCTTTGCTTTTGTGAACAGTGCTGCAGTAAACATATGTATGCATGCGTCTTTATAGCAGAATGATTTATAATCCTTTGAGTATATACCCAGTAATGGCATTGCTGGGTCAAACGGTATTACTGGTTCTAGATCCTTGAGGAAGTGCCACACTGTCTTCCACAATGGTTGAACTAGTTTACCGTCCCAGCAACAGTGTAAAAGCGTTCCTGTTTCTCCACATCCTCTCCAGCATCTGTTATTTCCCGACTTTTTAATGTTCGCCATTCTAACTGGCGTGAGATGGTATCTCATTGTGGTTTTGATTTGCATTGATCTAATGACCAGTGATGATGAGCTTTTTTTCATATGTTTGTTGGTCACATAAATGTCTTCTGTTTCTTTTTTTTTTTTTTTTGAGATGGATTCTCACTCTGTCGCCCAGGCTGGGGTGCAGTGGCACGATCTCAGCTCACTGCAAGCTCTGCCTCCCGGGTTCACGCCATTCTCCTGCCTCAGCCTCGCAAGTAGCTGGGACCACAGGCACCTGCCACCACACCTGGCTAATTTTTTGTATTTTTAGTAGAGACAGGGTTTCACCGTGTTAGCCAGGATGTTCTCAATCTCCTGACCTCATGATCTGCCCGCCTCGGCCTCCCAAAGTCCTGGGATTATGGTTTTTTTTTTTTTTTTTTTGAGACAGAGTTTTGCTCTTGTCACCCAAGCTGGAGTGCAGTGGCACAATCTTGGCCCACTGCAACCTCCGCCTCTGGGGTTCAAGCAATTCTCCTGCCTCAGCCTTCCAAGTAGCTGGGATTACAAGTGCCCACCAGCACGCCCAGCAAATTTTTGTATTTTTAGTAAAGACGGGGTTTCTCCATATTGGCCAGGCTTGTCTCAAACTCCTCACCTCCGGTGATCCACCCACCTTGTCCTCCCAAAAATGTCTTCTTTTGAGAAGTGTCTGTTTATATCCTTTGCCCACTTTTTCATGGGGTTGTTTGTTTTTTTCTTGTATATTTGTTTAAGTTTCTTGTAGATTCTGGATATTAGCCCTTTGTCAGATGGATAGATTGCAAAATTTTCCCCCCATTCTGTAGTTTGCCTATTCACTCTGATGACGGTTTCTTTTGCTGTTCAGAAGCTTCATTCCAGCACTAACCCAAAAGTCCAAGTCCAAAGTCTCATCTGAGACAAGGCAAGTCTCTTCCACCTATGAGCCTATAATATCAAAAGCAAGTTAGTTACTTCCTAGATACAATGGGGGTAAAGGCATTGGGTAAATATAGCTGTTCCAAATGAGCGAAATTGGCCAAAATGAAGGGGCTCCAGGCCCCATGCGAGTCTGAAATCCAGCAGGGCAATCAAATCTTAAAGCTCTGAAATGTTCTCCTTTGCCTCTATGTCTCACATCTAGGTCATGCTGATGGAAGAGGTGGGCTCCCATGGCCTTACACAATACCTAACCAAGGAGTTGAAAGACCTCTACAACAAAAACTACAAAACACTGCTGAAAGAAATCATAGATGACACAAACAAATAAAAACACATCCCATACTCATGGATGGGCAGAACCAATAATGTCAAAATGACCATGCTGCCAAAAGCAATCTAAAAATTTAATGCAATTCCCATCAAAATATCATTATAATTCTTCACACAACTAGAAAAAACAACCCTAAAATTCATATGGAACTAAAACAAAAAAAAAGCCTGCATAGCCAAAGCCAGACTAAGCAGCAAAAAAACAAATCTGGAGGCATCACATTACCTGGCTTCAAACTATACTACAAGGCTATAATCACCAAAACTGCATGGTTCTGGTATAAAAATAAGCATGTAGACTAATGGAACAGAATAGAGAACCCAGAAATAAAGCCAAATACTTACAGCCAGCTGATCTTCAACAAAGCAAACAAAAACATAAAGTGGAGAAAGTACACCCTATTTAACAATTGGTGCTGGGATAATTGGCAAGACACATGTAGGAGAATGAAACTAGATCCTAATCTCTCACCTTATACAAACATCAATTCAATATGGATCAAAGATTTAAATCTGAGACCTGAAACTGTAAACATTCTAGAAGGTAACATCAGAAAAACCCTTCTAAACATTGGCTTAGGCAAAGACTTCATGACCAAGAACCCTAAAGCAAATGCAACAAAAACAAAAATAAAAAGGTGGAACTTAATTAAACTAAAAAGCTTCTATACCGCAAAAGAAATAATCAGCAGAGTAAACAGAACCCTCAGAGTGGGAGAAAATCTTCACAAACGAAGCATTCAACAAAGGAATAATATCCAGAATCTACAAGGCAATCAAACAAATCACAAGACAAAAAAAAAAAAATCCAACCAAATACAAATAATCACATCAAAAAGTTGGCTAAGGACATAAATAGACAATTATCAAAAGAAGATATACACATGGCCAACAAACATATTTTTAAAATGCTCAGTATCACTAATTATCAGGGAAATGCAAATCAAAACCACAGTGCAATACCACCTTACTTCTGCAAGAATGGTCATAATTAAAAAATCCAAAAATAATAGATGTTGGCATGGCTGTGGTGAAAAGGGAACACTTTTACCCTGCTGGTATGGAAAAAAATATGGAGATTCCTTAAAGAACTAAAAGTAGATTTGCCATTTGCTCCAGGAATCCTGCTACTGGATATCTACCCAGAGGAAAAGTCATAATATAAAAAAGACACTTGCACATGCATGTTTATAGCAACATAATTCGCAATTGCAAAAATATGGAACCAGCCCAAATGCTCATCGATCAACGAGTGGATAAAGAAAATGCAATATATATATATACATATACTATGAAATACTACTCAGTCATAAAAAAGAATGAAATAATGTAATTCGAAGGAACCTGGATGGATTTGGAGACCATTATTCTAAGTGAAGTAACCCAGGAATGGAAAACGATGCATTGTATGTTCTCACTCATGAGACGGAGCTAAGCTCTAAGGATGCAAAGACATAAAAATGATGCAATGGACTTTGCAGATTCAGGGGGAAGGGTGGGAGGGGAGTGAGGGATAAAAGACTATACATTGGATACGGTGTATACTGCTTGGGTGATGGGTGCACCAAAATCTCAGAAATCACCACTAAAGAACTTATCCATGTAACCAAACACCACCTGTTCCCCAAAAACCTACTGAAATTTATAAAAAATCATTTAAAAGATGGAATAAGGAGCTGGGGTTATTGGAGTCATCTCTCTACCTCATTCCCTGACTTTGTTCAGGGAATGAGGTAGAGAGATGAAATTCTGTGAGTTCTCTAGCAGTTTTTCATAAGGGTGGATAAGAACTCAGGTGAACCTATAGGGTTTTAGAACTTAGAGAACCTAGAAGTAAAGAGTTCTTAGAAATCATCCAGGGCAAACTCTTCATATAACAGTTTCTTTCTTATCATTCATGTGGTTTATAAGTCTTATCCAAAGATAGTAGCAATCCTAGTCATGCTAATTCTAATTCACTACTTACCCATAGTAGAGTGGAAACTTTTACCAAAATATCTGGAAACAGTTTTAAATTGTTTTTCTCTACCAGGATGCCCCCATGTTGAAGGAAGTAGGCAAAAACTGTGATAAAAATATGAGCTAGTCCTTTCTCTTTTGAATGCCTTAAAAACACCCAAAGAATCTGTGAGCTGGTAGAAACCCAAGAGGCTACTTCTTTATACATTCTTTGTCTTGTTCTGAAAAATAATTTACGGCAGCTTTAGAAGTCAACTAGTAAAACCTTATTTCCCACAGAGGAACCTTCTCTATGACATCTCAAATTGATATTTTCTTTTATTCTTCAAAGATGAAACACATTCACAAGTATCTTTCCATTGATAAAGCTGATTATTAGAAAAAGAAATCTCCCCTATATGGATTTACATCCTCTTTCCTAGAATATACACTTTATTTAATACAGTCCACCTTTAGGACTTCTTTCAAGATCATAATCTGTCCATAATCTTCCCAGCAACCCTAGAAATTTATCTTCCTATATCAAAGAAATGGCCTAACAGAATCACTTGTCCACTGTCAACAGTAAGTTGCCTCTTCTGATTCTGAATCAGCATCAGAATCACTTGTTGTACCAATTCATAGGCTCCACTACAGACCTAAAGTATCGGAATCTCTAAAGATAAGACCAGAGAATCTACAACTACTACATATCAATAAAAAAAATAGAAACAGAAATTTTTAGACATGAAGTCCTTGCCCATGCCTATGTCCTGAATGGTAATGCCTAGGTTTTCTTCTAGGGTTTTTATGGTTTTAGGTCTAACGTTTAAGTCTTTAATCCATGTTGAATTAATTTTTGTATAAGGTGTAAGGAAGGGATCCAGTTTCAGCTTTCTACATATGGCTAGCCAGTTTTCCCACCACTATTTATTAAATAGGGAACCCTTTCCCCGTTGCTTGTTTTTCTCAGGTTTGTCAAAGATCAGATAGTTGTAGATACGTGGCGTTATTTCTGAGGGCTCTGTTCTGTTCCATTGATCTATATCTCTGTTTTGGTACCAGTACCATGCTGTTTTGGTTACTGTAGCCTTGTAGTATAGTTTGAAGTCAGGTAGCGTGATGCCGCCAGCTTTGTTCTCTTGGCTTAGGAAGGACTTCATGTCTAAAACACCAAAAGCAATGGCAACAAAAGACAAAATTGACAAATGGGATCTAATTAAACTAAAGAGCTTCTGCACAGCAAAAGAAACTACTATCAGAGTGAACAGGCAACCTACAAAATGGGAGAAAATTTTAGCAACCTACTCATCTGACAAAGGGCTAATATCCAGAATCTACAATGAACTCAAACAAATTTACAAGAAAAAAACAAACAACACCATCAAAAAGTGGGCAAAGGACATGAACAGATACTTCTCAAAAGAAGACATCTATGCAGCCAAAAAACACATGAAAAAATGCTCATCATCACTGGCCATCAGAGAAATGCAAATCAAAACCACAATGAGATACCACCTCACACCAGTTAGAATGGCAATCATTAAGTCAGGAAACAACAGGTGCTGGAGAGGATGTGGAGAAATAGGAACACTTTTACACTGTTAGTGGGACTGTAAACTAGTTCAACCCTTGTGGAAGTCAGTGCGGCGATTCCTCAGGGATCTTGAACTAGAAATACCATTTGACCCAGCCATCCCATTACTGGGTATATACCCAAAGGACTATAAATCATGCTGCTATAAAGACACATGCACACGTATGTTTATTGCGGCACTATTCACAATAGCAAAGACTGGGAATCAATCCAAATGTCCAACAATGATAGACTGGATTAAGAAAATGTGGCACATATACACCATGGAATACTATGCAGCCATAAAAAATGGTGAGTTCATGTCCTTTGTAGGGACATGGATGAAACTGGAAATCATCATTCTCAGTAAACTATCGCAAGAACAAAAAACCAAACACCGCATGTTCTCACTCATAGGTGGGAATTGAACAATGAGAACACATGAACACAGGAAGGGGAACATCACACTCTGGGGACTGTTGTGGGGTGGGGGGAGGGGGGAGGGATAGCATTAGGAGATATACCTAATGCTAAAAGACGAGTTAATGGGTGCAGCACACCAGCATGGCACATGTATACATATGTAACTAACCTGCACAGTGTGCACATGTACCCTAAAACTTAAAGTTTAATAATAATAATAATAAAGAAATTTTTAAAAATTATACTTTAAAAAGACCAGAGAATCTGCATTTTAAATAAGCATATTCTGATTCTTGCATACACTTAAATCCTTGAACTAGTGCCTAGAGGATAGGGATACAAAGCTAATATGGATTCGACCATCTTAAAACTAACTCCTAGAAAAATGCTCTCACTCTACAAGAAAAAAAGAGCATCGTTATCTGAAAGCTCCATAGTCCCCAAAGCAATACATTAACATAGCTATAGGAATCCAGTGTTTGGCTAGTACTTACTCAGTCTGTTGGGGGCTAATTGTTCAAGGGGTTGCAGTCTTCATGGAGAAAGTACACAGAAACAATGAAGAATAAACTAGCACCAGATCCAAAAGGTTGGGGGTGGGGGCAACCCTATGAAATGTTGCTGTCATTTTACTCCATGAATATGAACAATACTTCAACATACTTGACATTTAAGGAAAGCTTGGTTTATAATAAACTTTGGATTCTTGAGAGGCTTTTATGAAATTTTGTCTTTAGTAGCACAAAGTAGGGTTAATCCAATTCTATAAGCCTTAAACCAATACTCCAGAGCGCAGTTTGTTAAGAACCTATGATTGAGTTCTAGACTAACATACCAAATGTATCTCAGGGTTTAATCCTTAGATGGCTCTTCTTTTCTCTATCTACATTCAATCCTCTGGTATTCTCATGGCTTTCAATATCATCTATACTCTGCTAACAGCTAAATTCTCTAGTTCAATTCTCTTACCTGAACTCTAAATTCATACCCAATTGCTTATTTGACATTACTGCTTGGATATCCAATACACATCTCAAACTAAATATTTCTAAAACTGAATGGTTCATCACTTTCCAAACCTGGTCCTTTTGAAGGCTATGCCATCTTAGTTAACTGCAAATATATCTTTTCAATTGCTCAGGCTATAAACTTCAAGTCATCTTTAATTTCTCCTTTTCTTTTTTCACCCCAAATTTGATTTTTCAACACATCTTCTTGGCTCCTTCTTCAAAATACATCTAGAATCTGACTTCTTCTCACCATTTCAACCTCTACCACTTGATCTGAGCCACCATCTTCTCTTGACTAAATCTATTGTGATAGATCTCTAACTGGTTTCCCTAGTTCTATGCTGTCCTCGCTCTAATCCATTCTTTACCACAAAACCCAGAATAATCCATTTAAAACTAAGCTCAAAGATATCATTCCATTACTCAAAATTCTTCAGTGTTTCCTCATCTCACTCACTCAGGTTAAAAACCAAAATCTTTACTATGGCCTACAAGACCCTACATAAATCTGGCTCTTCATGACCTCTAAGATTTCATATCAAACTATTATGCATCTGGCTCATGCTGCCCCAGTACTCCTAGCTCTGGTCTCCCAATGATGTCATCATGTTCCTGCCTTAGGGGCTTTGCACAGGCTTTCCTCAGATATTCTCATTGCTTACTTCTTTGCCATTTTAAGTTATTGCCAAAAAATATCACTTTCTCAGTCAATAACCCCGACTACCCTGTTTAAAATGTACTTAGTGCCCAGAACTACTTACCCTTTTTTCTGCTTTGTTTTTCTTTCATGTAATGTCACCTTTTAAGATACTCTATAATTTACTTTTCTTTTTTTTTTTTTTTTTTTGAGACAACGTCTTGCCCTGTTGCCCAGTCTAGAGTGCAGTGGCACAATCTCGGCCCACTGCAACCTCAACCTCCTAGGCTCAAGCCTTCCTCCCACCTTATAATGTACTTTTTCACTTTTATTTATTATCTACCTTCTTCCAGTGGAATATATAAACTCCACCAAAGCAATCATTTTTGTCTTGTTTTTTATTTCCCCTCTCTCTGTCTCCACTGTTTTATTTCCAGTACCCAGAATAGTTCCTGGAACAAAATAGGTTTTTAAATAAATGATTTTTAAGTGACTCAGTTAATAAAGAAGTTTAACTGGCTTTGTGGCCCTGATAGGACAGGTCACTTAACCTTACATCCTGTGTATCCTGATTTGTAAAATGTGATTCATGATTCTTATTAAGGTGTCTTCCACACTCTGAAATTAAAGTGATGCTCACAGATCCATAGTTATGGAAGGAAGCCCAGTGAAGTTCTGGGGCACAGCCTGGCTGTTTGAAGACGGTTGTAAGCCAAGCTGCTGTGGCCATGAGAAAGGCACCCAGTGGTTCCTGTGATAAAGACTGAGTTTCAACAGAACTTGGTGTTAAGGAGAATCAGAGGTTGCACTACCCTCTCTAAAATAGTCATAAATAAAATCTGTCTGGTGGTTTCATCTTTATATCTTTTTTCTGCTTTGGGCAACCCAAGCCTTGTTCACTGCCTCTACTCAGCATGATTTTGTAAATGCTAGCCACACTACAGAGTTTAAAGGTATGAAATATCTAATTAAAATGAGACTTCTGGTGGGAATAGCTTTCAGAGAGTAGTAATATGACTAGACAATATTTAACAAAAAAAAAAGTCTGAGTCTAGGAGTCAAGGGAACTGGATCCTAAATCTGGTTCTGTCACTGTGTGACTTCAGAGAAGTCACTTAGCCTTTATGCCTCAGTTTTCTCATTTGTCAAACCGGGATTTGCCAGCCCTCAAAGGATAATTGTAGGGATTGCATAAAATAACAGATAAAAAAGTACTTTTAAAGTTTACAAATGCCCTGCATGTTTCATCCTTTTAAAGCACTAACGATGTGTTATGTTCTGAAAATGACAGAGAATTAAATGTGATCTTCACTCATAAAACTAGGAGATACAATCCTACAGGTTCACAATTTACCTAACAGGATATGACATGATCACTGGGAGATACTCCAGAAAAGAGGCTGTTGACAGAGTGGAAAAGTCAGGCATATGCAATTATAATGTTGAATCCAATCATCATCATGAGTTCAGGGTAGATATTTATGGATCATTATGGAGACCAGGAGGAACCTGACATTTTGAGTGGGTGGTAGAAGATTTTCTTTGGAGAGGTAAAGTTATCAAAGACAAAGTCACTTCCAACTTAAGAAGCAGATATTTTACAAGCTGTACATTTCATCCATTTAACAGGCCCTAGCATTTGCTGCATACAGAAATTAAGTTTGGTTGACATGAGAGCATACTGGATATTCTGAGTGCCACACTTGGTACCAGCACAGCTGTAATCAGGACAGATTGCAATAAGGATACCTTTTTCTGGGTCCACAGATACTGACAAAATCCATGTTTTCTTTTTCCAGGGCCCAGCTCAGAAATCAGCGCTGATCAAATAAAGCACACATTCCCTTTGGCACTAAATTTGACTCGGCAGCGTCTGTACAGGGATCCTGGCAAGTAAGAGAATCATTTTTCTAAGCCATGGCCAGTCCCTGGAAGTGAATTTAATCATAGTATGGTGTTCCAAGAGGGGAAGTGAGAAATTTTCAGAGATGGGCAGAAGGGAAGATATAAGAATAATCATAACAAGATTCTAAGGGGGAAAGCCATATTGAATTAAACTTTAGATAATCTACAGCAGCTCTGCAGTGCCCAAATAAGTGCCTATAATACATGTGTTAATTAATGAAAGAATGAAACCTAGTCAGGGTCGGCTAAGTATCTATAATTGTATTCATTTGGTTGCAGAACCAGAACATTCAGCCTTTAGAATCACTGGGGATTGGCTCACCGCTGTGTGGAAGCACAACTGTTATTTCTGAATGCCATCCACGTGGCTCAGCCACTGAGATGAAGCACCATTCAGAAGAAGCAAATGTGTGCTCTATGTTTCACCCAGTCTGATTTGGCCAAGATCACACAGATAGGTTCTACAAAGAAAGCACTATTGCCATTATCATCGAAATACAAATCTACTTTTGGAAGACAAGTGCCTTATAAATACACCAATTGAAAAACAAGCAAAGTGAATTTAAGCTACGTAAGTATGAGGAGATTCTTTAACAGAAATGCCCTCTTCTAAGTTTCTCTGCCAAATCTTCTTACTACATTTAAAGTTCTCAAAACCTTTTTGTTTCATGTCCTTGATTCTGGTCTCTTCAATGACTTTAGCTACTCTTTAGTACTTATACAGAGAAACTTCTCTTATATGATACAGTCAGGGAATGCAATATCCCAGCTCTACAATATTCTGGCTTCTGGAAAGATATGCTTTTGACATACCATATAACATTTTCAACAGGTTTCGAACAATAATAATACATGATATTCTATTACATCATATTATATTAAATCATATTATAATAATATATGGGTACTTGTGCTGAATGTAGTATAATCTTCTCCTGGTGACTCATCAAGTATTTTAGGATCATGGTTTGTCTGTTTTATTGATGCTCACAAAAGCAAAACAACTATGCCAAAGTGCTGGTGAGTGAAGCATTATATTGAATAGATTCCTGCTAAACCCGAGAACATCTTTGCCCTGAAACTATCTGGTATCTAGATAGCTCATGGTAACCCTAGGCATTTGCTGTCAACATAACAAGATCAGCTCTACTTAGTTTCCCAGATCAAACAAGATCAGTTGTGCTCTATTTAGTGCAGTTTAACGTCTTCCTGTGATTACATTCATTTATGTTTTAGGTTTTTTTTCACAATAGACTCCTTCTTTTGTTTTCATTTCAGATTGTCTCCAGGCTCCAAGATTTTATTTTTTCATAGCAATTTCTTCCCCTCGATGCTTATTTTAATGCTATGCACAATAAATTCCTCAAAAACTAGCCACTAACTGGTACTTACTGGCTATGTTTTGTGAAACAAAAATTACAGGAGGCCATTGTTTTAGGATGGAATTCCTGCACTAGTCCCTAACAAATTGGACCAAACCAAAACAGGGTCACTCATGCTAAATGGCACATAATCAAACTAAAGCTTTAAGAAATCAAATAGATCCCAAATGGACCAACTTTTCCTGAAAATAGGAGACTCCAGTCTACCTGAGTCAGAGTAATAAGGAAGTCCTCTCTCTTTGAACCTGCACAAAAAAGTAACCTGATATTAAATAATCAGTTATTTTTATTCTTTTTTTTATGTGGGGTCTCACTCTGTCACCCAAGCTGGGGTGCAGAGGTGCAATAATGGGTCATTGCAGCATAGAAATACTAGGTTCAAGAGATCCTCTCCCCTCACCCTCCTGAGTAGCTGGGACTAACTACAGGCACACACTACCACGCCCAGCCAATTTTTTATTTTGTTTTTTGTAGAGATGAGGTCTCACTTTGTTACCCAGGCTGCTCTCAAACTCTGGACATCAAGCAATTCTCTTGCCTCATCCTCCCAAAGTGCTGAAATTATAGGCATGAGCCACTGGGCCCAGCCCCACTCAGATTTTTATTTTATTTATTTTATTTTATTTTATTTTATTCTAATTTTTTTTTATTTTTCAGATGGAGTCTTGCACTGTCACCCAGGCTGGAGTGCAGTGGTGTGATCTTGGCTCACTGCAACCTCCGCCTCCCAGGTTCAAGCGATTCTCTTGCCTCAGCCTCCTGAGTAGCTGGGACTATACGCGCACACCACCACACCTGGCTAATTTTTGTATTATTAGTAGAGATGGGATTTCACCATGTTGGCCAGGCTGCTCTCGAACTCCTGGCCTCCTGATCCGCCCACCTCAGCCTCCCAAAGTGTTAGGATTACAGGTGTGAACCACCGTGCCCAGCCTCAGTTATTTTTACATTGCTCTTTTCCTTGTCCCCCCTTTACAAAACCCACTGTTCTGCCATTGCCCAGTGGGAGCTTTACTCTATCTTGAAGAATAGAAGCTGCCCCAATTCATGAGCCACAGATAAAAACCAATTCTATCTATAACTAAATTTGTTGTAATTTTGTCTTTTGACAATTTTATATGGCGAAAATAGCCATTGTGCTAAGTGAATAACCAAAATGTTCTTGTAAATAACATAAATTTGTGGTTTCCTAGTATACTCTGCAGAGCTCTGGGATTCTCTAGATGTACTTCACTGACCACTGTGATATGAGGAGGCAGCTAAACTCATGTCAGTCTGCGCATCCCATATCCTTCAAGCTGAGCAACTCTGTCCTAATCCTTTTTCTTTTTATTTATTTATTGAGACAGGGTCTCACTCTGTCATCTAGACTGGAGTGCAGTGGCTCCATCACAGCTCACTGCAGCCTCGACCTCCTGGGATCAAGTAATCGTCCTGCCTCAGCCTCCTGAGTAGCTGGGACTACAGGCATGTGCCACCACACTCAGCTAATTTTTGTATGATTTTAGACGTGGGGTCTCCCTATGTTGCCCAGGCTAGTCTCAAACATCTAGTTTCAAGCAATCCTCCTGCCTCAGCCTCCCAAAGTGCTGGGATTATGGGCAAGAGACACTGCACCTGGCCCTTGTCTGTTTTATATAGTGGGTTTCTACACAAGATTGTGTGTAAATGTGTTTTATAGCAAAAAAAATAGTTTGACAATTAGTAACATTGACCCAGCTGCTAATTGACAGTGAATATTTCACTTCAGTGACTCTACTTGTTTGTTGACAAAGCTACTACTGAGCAGGGGCAGTGATATTGTCAAGTCCTGTTTGTGTGTGTGTGTGTGTGTGTGTGTGTGTGTGTGTGTGTACAAATATTTTTAAATGCTTACCAATGGTTCAATACTGAATAAAGCCTATGTACTCCCAATGATTACTGTCCAAAATAGCATTATGCAAAGTACTTAACTGAGCTTCCACCTTATGATTCTAAAAGCTAAGCAAAAATGCTTGTCACTCTTTTGAAGATATGGGTTATAATTATTGGAGAAGCACGTTCACATGCAGTTTGACTCTTCTCCACGTTGGAGTAATTACCCTGCATTGTAGCTGGACTCAGGGGATTTTGAATGTAGTAATGAATTGCTGCGAACCTTCCAAGAAATACAGAACCATATGTCTCAGGAAATGGGTTGGAGGCTGTAGCTATAGATAAGAACGTGGGAAGGGAATGCTAGTACTTCTAAAGACAACTGTGTAAGGTTATGAATTGAAATTCATTGCTAATGTGGATGAAGCTGGAATGTATTTTTCCCATGATGTTTAGTGTGGAATTTGTCATAGTAGCAGGAAATTGGATGCTAAACTTTTAAGTTGCTTTCCAGTGATTAAAGAACAGAATGTCCAGATTCTTAGAATCTCCATACTAGAAGTTCAAATTTACATGTAGCTTATGTTATCTGGATGGCTACAATTATAAACTCTCAGAAGCTTAGGCCAGATCATAAAAAGGCCAAAATATGAGAATGAAACCACTGAGAATTAAAATACAGAAGTTGAAAGTCACCAACTGTAGAAGTTTCATATTCAAGAGATATTTTCTTTTTCCTGAGGAGACATTTTCTTTTTCCTGAGGAGATCAAAATCCAGTCAAATAATCAAATGTAAATAAAAAATATAACAATCAATCAAATCCATCTGTAGAAAGGATGGGATGTGTTTATAGAAGCCCAGTAATTCAAACCGAAGCTAGAAAAGGTGGTATCAAAACTAAAGATTTATAAAAATTTGTACTATCCAAGAAGAAGAGAGACTATATCTAGGTCACCTGAGGTAAATTCTATCAATAAATAAGGGTGGTTCACCAAGCTTACAGCCTGCTAAGACAATATTCCAGATCTCAAGCTTTCTTACAGACAGGAGACAATCTTTCAGATTTCAAGAAAGAAAGAATAGATAAAATAGACATCTACAGTCAGTTGACTTTAAGTAAAAGAGATAATCCTATATCATCTGAGTGGCCCTAATTCAATCAGTTGAAAAGCTTTACAGCAGAATGGTTTCCTGGAAGAAGAAATTCTACCTATCAGCTTCAGCTTGATACATTTTGGACTTGTCTAACCAGCTCCCACAACTGCAGCCTGGGTGACAGAGTGAGACCCTGACTCAAAAAAAAAAAAAAAAATCCTTAGTGTATATTGCCTATTAGTTCTGTTTCTCTGGTTGAACTCTGACTGAACTTCTCCATTAGTTGCCTGACAAAGGCAAAGTCTTCATCAAAAAGAAGTAAATAAAGAAAGAGGAAGACTAGTGTCAAGCAAACAGAGGATTAAATTTAAAGGAGTGATAAAGGGAATCCCCCGATGATGGTAACTGACTAAAAATCCCTGGGACAACACTTGTGAACCGTATTCAATAGGCTGTCTAACGTCCACAAGGTAAACAGGAACAGATACTTGCAAAGTGAAGTTTACTCACACGTGTCAGATTAGTGGAAGTTAGTAGCTTGAGAGGAAGACAAAAGTCAGAAAGAATTTAAAACATTATTGACAGTAATTCTTAGTGACTAAGACAAAAGTTGCCCAGCAGTTCATTGGTGGAACCACAGAAGTCTGTCTGGAGTTCACTGTAAGCCCAGGAAGCAGGGACATCAATGAGACTGTTCTGGAGCCTTGCATGTGCCATAATTATGCTTTTGCCTGAGATTACTATTAATATAAACTTCACATTCCAAAGAAGAATCTACTCTCCATTACAAAAGCCCAAGGTAAAGAAAGTCTGAGCAATGAACGCTTCACCATGGTTTCTTGTATTAGAGAAAATGAAGGTTTCTGAATAGCATTTAAAAAATGATCATGGAAATATGCCAGGAAGGAAAAGGTTTCCAGGAGGCAAAGGGGAATTAAAACATGTGTTGATAGAAAAATGTGTTTAGTTGATAGAAAGAAATTCAGAACTATTCAGGTTGTGCTGTGGAGAATAAAACTTTCGTACCAGAGTGACAACTTTGATATCTCTCAACTATCAGAGTCTATAAAGTAAAATCATGTTATTTAGATATCAGCATCATGTTTTTGGCTCAACTTAGTCAAAGACTAAATTTAATGCAACTTTAGATGTAAATTAGATTGTTAGGGAAAGGAATGCCTTCTGAAGTTCTGGGTAGTCCAGAAACCATCAAGTAATGAAATTAAGCAAGGAATTAAGAGCAGTGCATTCTATTAGACCTCAGGTAGGTTTATGAAATTTCATTTAGGTGAGTCATAGATGCAGAAGTGCATGAACAAGTTATAGATAGTAGTTATGGCTCTCAAGGATCAAACAAGCAGTGGCTTCAGGGCTTTAAAGATATTTCTTGTACATCATGATCTGAGGATTCTAATGAAAGAATTGGAGATACAATGCCTTATTCTTTAGTGTATTTTGTCTTACAGTAATAAAAACAAATGCATTTATATGTGTATATATGGATAAGCACTATAGTATTACAAATTAGGCAGACTGAGACATGAGGCATCCTGGTACCTTCGCAATTTGTATCAATAAGAAAGGAGCAGAAGCTGAGACTTTGAAGAACATAAGACCTGCCAATCTTGAACAGCTAGCTTCTGGGGGACTAGCCAGGAATTCCAATGCCCAAAAATCAAAAGATATGGAAGCCCAATGCTGAGTAACTAAGGGTCCCCATCAGTCAGGTAGGGAAAGCATCAGAAATCCATCTGATGTTGATTATAACTCTTGTCACAGCAAGCTTCTTGCCAGGAGCCAGGATCCACAGGAGAGAGGCTTGATACAAGCCACATAGGGAGTTGGAGTCACAGCCAAGCGAATTGCAGCTTGAGGAGTATCTCAAGCCCAGCAAGGAAAGCGTAGCAGATTCATGATCTGAATTAATATGGTGGGTAACAGGGGAGAAACAAAAACCCTGCAACAGAAGGTTTACATGCTCCAGGAGCTTGGCAGGACCATACCAATTACAAATCAGGAATAATACTTCTAGACTGTCTATAGGTGGTGCTAAGAAAACTGCTTTTACTACCTGACCTGGTTAGGCTCTGCTAGGAAACTGGAGTCACTGGGGGCAGCCTGAGAGGGGCATTTTTGACTTCAGCTGGATAGACCTGGAGAATACAAAAGTAAAGAAAATAAGTTCATTAAGGACAACAGGCACATATCTCTAACTACATAAAAAGAAGCGATGCGAGTCCTATTTCAAAGCTATTATATATGCTGTGTCCAAGGAACCCTTGTCAGTAAGGAATCAGAGTTTTTAATGAATAGGGTTATGGGAGTCCTATGCTATACATTTCTAAGCAGGTGAATGAAAATAAACTCCTGCACATTTACTCAGACAGATATTTGTTCAGTGTGGTAACAGGAAGTGTTATGTTTTGATCTCAGTAATAGTTCATGAAGCCTACTGGACAATCATGGAAATGATGATCAAAGCAAGGATATAAATAATCTATACATCTATACTTTATTTCTCCAGTAGAGTGTGAAAAAAAAATCTCATTAGCCTTTGAAAAAACTTGAGAAATAAAAGCAGATGTCTTAGGCCGGGTGCGGTGGCTCACGCCTGTAATCCCAGCACTTTGGGAGGCCAAGGCAGGTGGATCACCTGAGATCAAGAGTTCAAGACCAGCCGGGCCAACATGGCGAAACCCCGTCTCTATTAAAAATACAGAATTTAGCCGGGCATGGTGGCGCAAGCCTGTAATCCCAGCTACTGTGGAGGCTGATGCAGGAGAATCACTTGAACCCAAGAGGCTGGGGTTGCAGTGAACCGAGATCGCACCACTGCACTCCAGCCTGGGTGACAGAGCGAGACTCTGTCTCAAAAAAACAAACAAACAAAAACAGATGTCTGAAGAAGTCATCAAGAAAAGCAACCAGTCAAAAAGAGATTTTAAACAGATACATCTTTAATGAAGTGGCTGAAGGTGTTTTTGTTGTTTTGTTTTTTCCTGCTTCATCCCAACTGATCCCACAGAGTGTTGGTGGTAGGATGTTGAATGGCAGGGTATCAATCAGCACTTTTCCAAGTCTGAATGGGCTGTCATTCTACTTTCTTTGGTAAGAGAAGACTTAAAGTGGATGGAAAAATGCCTTGGCCTACCAAAAGAGCTTTATTCAGCAACCCAATCCAATTACTTTCCCCTCAGTCCACAGATACAGCAAACCTGGACCTGGAAAACTTGGAATACATCTTCATCTGTCCCTCTGATATACTTTCAAGGGAAAAATTATGAAGTCACCCCTTATAAAGGCTGTCCTGATTCACAGAATATTCATTCAGTGGCTTTTCTTTATTTCATTTCTCAGAGTTCTACTATTTAACAACAAAAATTAAAATTAAAATATCCTTTAGTAGTTGGGATACTTTTTTTTTAAGAGGATAGGTAACTTTTTCTATCTAGTTAATGGTTTGGGGATAGACAGGCACATCATTTCTAGATAAATAGATCTCCTACAAAGAGTCAAGTAATTTCTGTAACTTTTAACTTTTAATTTAACCCTAATATAACAGCCAATGGTTTTAGTGCTATAAGAGGTCTGAAAAGATTATCTTGCCCTATCCCCTATATTCTAACCAATAAAAGATAAGTAGACACATGCCTTCATTTTATGGAGTTCAATGCTACGCTCAGGTCTCACAGCAAATAAGAGGGTAGAGAATCCAGGACATGTTTACCTCATGGGGAGAGCCTTGATCTACCACACCATGCTGCTTCTCTTCTAGATCTGTGGCTGATTTAAGCTGTGTTATTATAAACCAGGCCATAGACATTAACTCAGTAATTGAGTTTTGTGAAATTTCCAAGCTAGATGAAGGTGATTAAAGAGTGTCTTCTCAAAAACAACTTTAATATTAAAATTTAAATAGGTCTTGTAGAGTAAGTGTGGGTAATAATGCACATTTTTCCTCTTAGTAAAGCAGTAAATAATAGGAGAGTCATTGTTTATAATTTGTAATATTCTCATACCAATGCTTATAATTATACAATTCCTTCATATCACAGTGAATATATTCTGGTTGGGGATAAAATTCAAGTCAAGACTGTAATCAAAGAAACAAAAAAAAAATGAAATCACTATACAGAAAGATATGGTAGCACATGCTGGTGAAGTGTGGTAAAAAAATTTGCATGTGTTCCCTGTGCCCCTTGGTGGATAAGACTAGAAGACCTGATAAAGAAGGATATAGGAAACCTAAAATGGGATATTTCCAAATTGGAATAATGGGCTTTACACTATGCTACCCTTATTCCAGAGAAAGCCATCATTCTCCACCAAACATAGCTAAGCCAAAACCCTGGTTTTCCGAGGTAGCAGATTACCACATGGTATGCACTAAGAAGTGAGAAGTGGTGTTTCTGCAGATAGTCTGAAGATGGTTGGGTGGTGACTCAAGCCAGCCTTTGAGAAATCCTTATTTCCAATGGAAAAAGTGGGGATATAGAAAATACAGTTTACTATCAAAAATACATCTTGTTATAGGCTGGGCCCAGTGGCTCACGCCTGTAATCCCAATACTTTGGGAAGCCAAGGCAGGTGGATCACTTGAGGTCAGGAGTTCAAGACCAGCCCGGCCAATATGGTGAAACTCCGTCTCTACTAAAAATACAAAAAGTAGCTGGGCATGGTGGCGGGGACCTGTAGTCCCAGCTACTCGGGAGGCTGAGGCACAAGAATTGCTTGAACCTGGGAAGCGGAGGTTGCAGTGAGCCAAGATCACATCACCGCACCCTAGTCTGGGCATCGCAGCGAGACTCCATTTCAAACAAACAAACAAAATACATCTTGTTATAAAATGTTATTAAAGTTATTGAAGCATATATTTCTGTGAAATATTTTTAACATACATTTTATGAAACTAGAGGTTTGATTTTTTACATTAACAGTGTAGACAAAGACCTCTATCTGGTAAATTATCATTTCTAATTCCAAGTGCATGTGACCATACATATTCCTATCTTATTTTAGAATAAAATTTTTTTGGTTTTTATATTGCTTGTAAAAATGCAGATATTTTATAACAAGATCTACAAATTGATTTTTCAAACACTGTGGTAACAATATTTAAAGGCAAATTAATATAAACATGATATGATTGATGATACTTAGAAATATTTTTATTTTTCAAAAGTGGTAGTCTTTTAAATTTTACACTTGTAGGTAAGAATATTTCTGGAGAGCATGTCTAGACTGATTTATTCATATAAGTGTTATTTTATATACTGGTTTGTTCCTAAAAGAAAGTAAGGGACATTACAAAGGTAAAAACCGTATGAATTTATGTTCAGATGGCTAGGTTAATTCAAGGAAATACTGTAGACAGTTGTATTTGTCAGTATAGGGTAGGTTATACTTTGGTTGAAAAACATATATTAGTAGATTAATAAAACAAAATTTTGTAACTTGTTTACTATAAGTCTGTTGTAGGACAAGGTGACTCTTCAGGCTAAAGTCCTTCATCCAAAGACTCAAAAAATTGATGCTGCATTTATCATCTTCCAGTGGGTTTCAGAGCATATCATTTTTAGTTTTGTCAAAATTTTTTTTAAAGAATCATTTAAATGGTATATGATGCTATCAATTCTAAATTTTGTTCTAAGCCACAAGCATCTATTGATATAATGTTAGGATATATATTTTTTTGTTTTCTGTTTTTGTGTTTTAGGGAGGATGATGCCTATATATATTTGCACATTGAAATTGTTTCTAGAATAACAAATAAGTTCATGTCAATGCTTACTAAATTTTTTTTGTGTGTAATTTTTTTGTTAAACCACTTTATTGAAGTATGATTGATATATTAAAGGTCATAAATATTAAATGTACACAACATGATGGGTTTGGAAGTAGGCATACACCCATGAAACCATCACCATAATCTATGCCATAAATCTACACATCACCTCCAAAGTTTTCTCCTGCCCTTATTATTATTGTATGTGTGTATGATAAGAATATGTAACAAAAAGTCTACCTTATACATTACAGTATTGTTAACTATACGCATTATACTGTACAGTAGATCTCTAGAATTTATTCATCTTGTATAATTGATACTTTGTACACTCTGACTAATACTTCCCCATTAATACCTCCCCCCAGCCCCTGCCAACCATCATTCCACTCTCTGCTTCTATGAATTTGACTATTTTAGATTCATCATATAATCGAGATAATGCAGTATTTGTCTTTCTGTGTCTGGTTTATTTCACTTAGAATAATATCTTCTGGGTTCATCCATGGTGTTGCAAATGGCAGGATTTCTTACATTTTTAAGGCTGAATAATATTTCATTGTATGTATATACCACATTTTCTTTATCTATACATCCATCAACAGACATTTAGGTTGTTTCCATTTCTTGGCTATTGTCGTGAACCTAGTAATACAGATATCTCTTCAAGATCCTAACATTAATTCCTTTGTATAAATACCAAGAAGTAGGTTTATTGGATCATATGGTGGGGTTATTTATAATTTTTTGAGGAATCTTCTTATTGTTTTCCATAGCAGCTGCACCAGTTTACATTCTCACCAACAGTATACAAGTGCTCCTTTTTTTTCCACATCCTGGCCAATACTTCTTAACTTTTTTTATTATTAATACTCCTCCTAATATGTATGAGGAAATATCTCACTGTGGTTTTGATTTGTTTTTCCCTGATGATTAGTGATGTTGAGCACTTTTGATATAAGTGTTGGGCATTTGCATGTCTTCTTCGGAGAAATATCTATTGTGATCCTTTGCCAATTTTTAACCAGATTATTTGTTGTCGGGCTTTTGGAGGATTTTTTGGTATGGAGCTGTAAGGGTTCTTTATATATTTTGGATACTAATTCTTTATACAGACATATGGTTTGCAAATATTTTCTCCTATTTTGTATTTTGCAGGGTAGGTTTGTCTCTCACTTCATTTGTTTTCATTCATTGTATCTTCACAATATTTATACTTGTCACATTGCTTTCTAAGTGATATTTGAAAAGCGTGTTTACATGGTATTCTTGCAATTGTAAAATCCTCCCAGAAAAACTGAATCTTTTACATTATCATGCCTTATTTTCCCTCCCTTTAAACCAGTTCTATAAGCATTTAAAACCAGTGACCTTGATAGGGATTTAAAGTGATACCATCTCACACTAGTCAGAATGGCGATTATTAAAAAGTCCAGAAACAACAGATGCTGGTGAGGATGCAGAGAAAAAGGAACACTTTTACACTGTTAGTGGGAGTGTAAATTAGTTCAACAAATTAGTAAATTAGTTCAATTGAAATTAGTTCAATTGTGGAAGATAGTGTTGTGATTTCTCAAAGATCTAGAGGCAGAAATACCATTTAATCCAACAATCTCATTACTGGGTATATACCCAAAGGAATATAAATCATTCTATTACAGTCCGGGTGCAGCGACTCATGCCTGTAATCCCAGCACTTTGGGAGGCTGAGGTGGGCGGATCACTAGAGGTCAGGAGTTTGAGACCAGCCTGACCAACGAGTGAAACCCTATCTCTACTAAAAATACAAAAATTAGACAGGTGTGATGTCATGTGCCTTTAGTCCCAGCTACTCAGGAGGCTTAGGCATAAGAATCACTTGAACCTGGATGGCAGGGGCTGCAGTGAGTCGAGATCGCACCACTGCACTCCAGCCTGGGGTGACAGAGCAAGGCTCAGTCTCAAAAAATAAATAAATAAATAAACCACTCTATTATAAAGATATATGCACCTGCATGTTCATTGCAGCACTATTCACAATAGCAAAGACATGGAATCAACCCAAATGCCCATCAGTGATAGACTGGATAAAGAAAATATATACCATGGAATAGTATGCAGCCATACAAAGGAATGAGATCATTTCCTTTGCAAGGATATGGAGGGAGCTGGAATCCATTATCTTCAGCAAACTAACACAGAAACAGAAAACCAAACACTAGATGCTCTCACTTATAAGTGGGAGCTAAACAATGAGAACACATGGACACAGGGAGGGGAACAACAAAAACTGGGGCCTTTCATGTGGGGAGGTAGGGGGAGTGAGGCCATCAGGAAGACCAGCTAATGAACACTGAGCTTAATACCTAGGTGATGCAGAATTGGAAAAAACTACTTTAAAGTTCATTTGGAACCAAAAAAGAGCCTGCATTGCCAAGTCAATCCTAAGCCAAAAGAACAAAGCTGGAGGCATCACGCTACCTGACTTCAAACTATATTACAAGGCTACAGTAACCAAAACAGCATGGTACTGGTAACAAAACACAGATATAGACCAATGGAACAGAACAGAGCCCTCAGAAATAATACCACACATCTACAACTATCTGATCTTTGACAAACCTGACAAAAACAAGAAATGGGGAAAGGATTCCCTATTCAACAAATGGTGCTGGGAAAACTGGCTAGCCATATGTAGAAAGCTGAAACTAGATCCCTTCCTTACACCTTATACAAAAATTAATTCAAGATGGATTAAAGACTTAAATGTTAAACCTAAAACCATAAAAACCCCATAAGAAAACCTAGGCAATACCATTCAGGACATAGGCATGGGCAAGGACTTTATGTCTAAAACACCAAAAGCAATGGCAACAAAAGCCAAAATTGACAAATGGGATCTAATTAAACTAAAGAGCTTCTGCACAGCAAAAGAAACTACCATCAGAGTGAACAGGCAACCTACAGAATGGGAGAAAATGTTTGCAATCTACTCATCTGACAAAGGGCTAATATCCAGAATCTACAATGAACTAAAACAAATTTACAAGAAAAAAACAAACAACCCCATCAAAAAGTGGCTGAAGGATATGAACCAACACTTCTCAAAAGAAGACATTTATGCAGCCAACAGACACATGAAAAAATGCTCATCATCACTGGCCATCAGAGAAATGCAAATCAAAACCACAATGAGATACCATCTCACACCAGTTAGAATGGCGATCATTAAAAAGTCAGGAAACAACAGGTGCTGGAGAGGACGTGGAGAAATAGGAACACTTTTACACTGTTGGTGGGACTGTAAACTAGTTCAACCATTGTGCAAGACAGTGTGGCGATTCCTCAGGGATCTAGAACTAGAAATACCATTTGACCCAGCCATCCCATTACTGGGTATATACCCAAAGGATTATAAATCATGCTGCTATAAAGACACATGCACACGTATGTTTATTATGGCACTATTCACAATAGCAAAAACTTGGAACCAACCCAAATGTCTAACAATGATAGACTGGATTAAGAAAATGTGGCACATATACACCATGGAATACTATGCAGTGATAAAAAAGGATGAGTTCATGTCCTTTGTAGGGACATGGATGAAGCTGGAAACCATCATTCTCAGCAAACTATCGCAAGGACAAAAAAACACCGCATGTTCTCACTCATAGGTGGGAATTGAACAATGAGAACACTTGGACACAGAAAGGGGAACATCACACACCAGGGCCTGTCATGGCATGGGGGGAGTGGGGAGGGATAGCATTAGGAGATATACCTAATGTAAATGATGAGTTAATGGGTGCAGCACACCAACATGGCACATGTATACATACGTTAACAAAACTGCAGGTTGTGCACATGTACCCTAGAACTTAAAGTGTAATAAAAATATATATATATAAAAACTACCTAGGTGATGGGTTGATGTGTGCAGCAAACCATCATGGCACATGTTTACCTGTGTAACAAACCTGCACATCCTGCACAAGTACCGTGGAACTTAAAAGTTGAAGGAAAAATAAATAAATAAATAAATCTAGTATTGATTTGGGTTATTTCAGTTTGTGTTCTCCAAATAATATTTGTTCAAAATAAAGTAATTTAGAAAATGCTCTAAAATGTGAAAGACTTACAAGAATGTGAATGTAAGACAATATCCTTTAATTTTGAGGAATACTTTTGGACAAAGTATTAAGAGTCTATTATGTGCTTGGCATCATACTAAATAATAAGAGAAATATAATACAAAGAGGCAGAAAGAGATCAGAAAGCTGGAGATGTGGGTACCTCACTGGTATCTCACACACTGTGGTGTGCATGCCATTTTGACTCAGAAGGCAGTGGTTGGCTTTTCTCAGAGGGTGATATCATGCTGATTGCTAAATGAAGAAGAAAGTAAACAATGTGAAATTTTAGGGGTAGGACATGAGGAGGCAAGGTGTGAATCATACCAGGCCAAAATGGCCATAACATGGGGTCTAGATTTATGTGTACTAGGAAGCAGTCCTTGGGGTATTTTTTGTAGGGATGTAGTATGAACTGATTCATATTTTTCACATTGCTCCCTATCTTGTACATAGAAAATAATAGTGTCTTGGTGGCAGAGTGGAAGGAGAGATTTAATAGGAGGCGAGGGTTTAGTGTAAGTGGGAGCTGAGAGAAGGAGGCTTGGATCAGTAGAGGAGATGAAGAGAAATGGACAGAATTCCATAAAGAAATTCTAAAGACAGGCTGGGCGCAGTGGCTCACACCTGTAATCCCAGCACTTTGGGAGGCTGAGGCGGGCAGATCACCTGAGGTCAAGAGTTGGAGACCAGCCTGGCTAACATGGTGAAACCCCATCTCTACTAAAATACAAAAATTAGCTGAGCATGGTGGTGCACACCTGTACTCCCAGCTACTCAGGAGGCTGAGGCAGGAAAATCGCTTGAACCCAGGAGGCAGAGGTTGTGGTGAGCCAAGAACATGCCACTGCACTCCAGCCTGGGCGACAGAGCAAGACTCTATCTCAAAAAAAAAAAAAAAAAAGAAAGAAAGAAAGAAAGAAAAAAGAAAAAGAAATTCCAAAGACATAACGGACTGGGAAAATATTTGAACCTCATATTGCTTTTCTACAGATCAGTAAGAAAAAGACTGGTAACTGAAAGTAAAATGAACAAGGAATGTTAACAGGCAGTTTGCAGAAAAGGAAATAAAAAATGCTAAATATATGTTAAGCTGTTCGATTTCACTCTTAATAAGATAAATGAAAATGAAAATTACACTGAAATGTATATTTACTAAAGATTAGCAAAAAGAAGAGAGCTTAATAGAATATAAACTTGGGGAGGGTAGAAAGAAATATTCTCATACATTTCTGGGGTGAATGTAAATTAGTATACTGTCTGTGATGGACAATTTGCAGGTATCTATCAAAATCACACAAGCACTTATTCTTAGACCCAGAAGATTCTCCTCATTGTAATTTATCCTAGAGATAAACCTTTATTCTACATCCTATAACAGAGGCTGTCAGTGCTCTGCTCATGTTCATCAGATCTGCAGCCTTCTACCAATGACTCTCAGAAGCTGGTGTGTATTCACTTCAGCTACCTCACTCTTGAGGTTAAATAACTGTGAGGAGTGTGTTTTTCTCCTTTCTCAGATTTCCTCATTTGAGCTTCCCATAAGGTTAAACTCCAGTTGCCCATGGCAGTACCTTGGCTCGATACTGCATTGGATGACTGCCTTCTTTTCCCTGGATCACTTCCCTCTTCCTTTACTGGTTTTCCCAGTACTTCTGAATAAATTACTTACAATCAAGATTTGTTTCTGGAGAAATTCAACTAAGACAATCAATCCAAGCCTTTTCTCTGAATGTTCTTTCTACTTTTAGATTCCTAACAGGGGTGCTACTGGCATTTGGGTAGCATATGTCCATGTCATATAATCTTGCCATTACCTTTCAGGATGTTTAGCATGTCTCTTCTTTGGACACAGAATTCCACTAGTTACTGTGACAGCCAAAAACTTAATACATGCATTTCCATATTTCCACGTGTCTTTCTCTCTCCCCTGGAAACACAGCTTTTCCTGTAGCCCTCTCAAGTAGAGCCAATATCTTCTCTCAGATGCCACATACCACTAGGCCAGTGGGGGGCTCCTTACTGCTTCCAGATCATTTTCTCTTCTTCCCCTAAAACCCCAGCTTTTAATATCATATTTTCCCACCATATTGCTATGATTCACTGTATTTCCCTTGACCACTCCTCCTTATTCCTTAAAGATTTAGCCTTTAGCTGATTGACATTTTATCAAACACTATTCCTATAATAGTTCTTGGTGATTGTAATATTCACGTGGATGATCCTTTCAACTCCATGGCCTCTCAGTTCCTTGACTTTCTCTCTTCTCTTCTTCAATGATCTTATCTGTCCTTCATAAGAGAACCTCCAGAATCTCCTACCAAATACCTACCTGTATCTCTGCATCTGTGCCCACCTACTGCCTTCTTTTCTGTTACTATAAATGAACACCCTGTGCCTATCCAGACCAACATGTCTTCTAGTTCTAATCCTATACTTTCCTCCCCACTGAAGGATATAATTCTAGCAATTCATCTTGCTCTACCTGCGTCCCAAATTTTTCCCTCTTCATAGCAGTCAAATATGCTGCAATTCTGCCTATCTGAAAATGATAATATGCTCAACTGGTTTTTATTCTACTTCACTGGCTACTTTACCACAACCTACTTTGCTAGTTTTGCCTTGTCTCTTTGATTCTAACTATTGGAGGGCCCCCAGGGCTAAGCCCATGAACTTTTCTCTATCTATGCTGCTTACATTATGATTTTGTTAATTTCTGTGGCTTTCAATATCACATATAAAATGAAAATTCCAGAATTTATTTATCCAGTTTGATCTCACCTCTAAATTCCAGACTTATATATCCACTATCCTTTTTGATAGCTCTATCTGGTACCTGATAAATAGTTCCAACTGGAAATTTTAAAAACCAAATTTATATCCTCCTATCCAAACATGCTCACTCAATAATCTTCTACTTAGGAAATGGCATACTCATCATTCCATTTGCTCAGACCAAAGTCCTGGCATCATTTAATTTCTCTTTCACACTCTACATCCTTACTTTATCAGCAAATCTTTTTGGCTCTATTTATATTAAAAGTATAAATAGAACTCAGTCACCACTTGCACCTCCATTGCCCCCAACTTTCTAGTCCGAACCATAATCCTTCTTTAAAATTTCAATAGCCTCCTGATTGGGTTCCCTATTTTCATTTTCCCCCACAGTCTAATTTCACTACAGAAGTCAGAGTGATCCTTTTAAGACTTAAATCAGATCATGTTATTACTTTGGTCAAAACTCTGTATCTTATTCGGAATAAAGGTGAATGTTCATGTAACAGTTCACAAGACCAGATAGAATCTAATCCCTCAGGCACCATTCCAGTCTCCTCTTTAACCTCTGAATAAATAACTGGAGAATGGAGATAGGTTCCACATAGATTTTTGGAGGCAGAACTATTAAGACCTGCCAGTGGATTTGATGTGGTAGGATTAGGGAAAGAGAGCAATAAAACATGGTAAACAACTCCCTAGTTTTTGGCCTGAGCACCTGGATATATGATTGTGTGTTAACTCTCATGGGAAAGACTAGGGCAGGAGTAGGTATGGGCCTACCTAATGCGTATTTGTAGGATGTGGTTACAGCAAGTAGATCCGAATTCTGTCATATACATGTTAGGCTTTAGGTACCTACTGGACATTTAAGTGAAGATTATGAGTATGCAGCTATAAAGTCTGGTAAGAGAAAACTAGGTGAGTGTATTTCATGAAATCTATAGAAGATGCTGCTGTTACTAAAAGGATGCAATGTTGAGAGATTTTGATGCTGCTGAGAGATTTAGGAAAAACTGAACAGAGGCTGACAATGAATTAGATACATTCAGGTCATTGGTAACCTTGTGTAACCTTATTAGTGGAAAGATGGGATGGGTTAGGGACAGAATAGAAGGAGTGAAATGGAAGATAGTTTATACAACTAACATGGTAGTAGAAAGATAAATTGATTCTGATTGCATCTATTTTTAACCATCATTGTTGTGATATAATTAACATACCATAAATTTACCCATGTAAAGTATACAATTCAGTGGTATTCAGTGTATTCAAAAGATTGTACAACCATCACTACCATCTAATTCCAGAACATTTTCAATACTTCCCAAAGAAACCTCACCTTTATTAGCAGTCACTTTCCAATCTCCCAATCCCTGCCAATCACTATCTTCTTTCTGTCTCTATGAATTTGCCTACTCTGGACATTTCATGCAAGTGAAGTCATACAATACATGGGCCTTTGTGTCTGGTTCTTTCGCTTAGCAGTTTGCAAGGTTGCAGTGTCTGTCCATGCTTTATTCCTTTCTATGACTAAATATATTCAATTATTTTATGGATATACCATATTTTATCTGTTTATCAGATGATAGACATTTGGGTTGTTTCTACCTTTCGGCTGTTAAAGATAAGGCTGCTATAAGCATTCATGTATGAGTTTTTGTGCGAAAATATTTTCATTTCTCTTGGGTACGTCCTAGGAGTAGAATTGCTATGTCATGTAGTAACTATATGTTTAGCAATTTGAGGAACTGCCAGACTTTTCTAAAGTGGCTGCACCATTTTATATTCCCACCAGAAATTCCAACCAGATTTGGGTCTTTTAAAAATATATTCCATCTCTACTTAGCTTTCTGAACATTTGGAACATAGTCACAATAATTGTTTTAGTGTCTCTCTCTGCTAATTATATCATCTGTGCCAATTTTGGGTCTGTTTTGATTGACTGGTTGCTCTCCCCATTATGAGATATGTTTTTCTTTTTCTTTGCATGCCCGGTAATCTTTGATTGCATGCATACTTTGTGAATTTGTTGGGTGCTGGATACTTTTGAACTCTCATAAATCTTCTTGAGTTTTGTTCAGGTATGATGTTAAGTTACTTGGAAACAGTTTGATCTTTTCAGATGTTGCTTTTATGATTTGTTTGGCAGGTTGAGAGCAGTTCTCAGGCTAGGGCTAATTATTTCCCACCACTGAGGCAAGACCTTCTTGAGTACTTTATCCAGTGTCTATGAATTATGAGTTTTTCCAATCTGGCCGGTAGTGGGAACAGACACTACTTCTGGTCCTATGTATGTTATGGCCACATGTTCTCTCTACCTCCTCCAGATGGTCCTTTTCTAGGCCTCATGTAGTTTCTTCATAGTCATGATCAAAACTCTTCTGAATACTTAACAGAGATCCCTCTGCAGACCCCCAGGCTTTACTCTGTGTAGCTCTCTCTCTCCTCTATCACTCTTTCCTAAGAAATCTCACTGCGTTGATCTTCCTGGACTCTCAGCAATGTTGCCTCAATTCAGAATCATAACTGGGCTTCACCTCTGTTCTCCTACCACATGTCATGACCTGAAAACTCTCTCAAATTAGTAAACTGGGGCAATAGTAGGTCTCATCCATTTTATTTCCTATATTTCAAGAATCACCATGTCCATTGCTTGATATCTAGTGTCATAAAAACCATTGTTTCATGTCTTTTGTCTGTTTTTGTTGTTGTTTAGTTGTTACAGGTAGGAGGGTAAATCTAGTTCTATTACTCCACCTTGATCATATATTTTTTCTAAATCAGAGATAGCAGGGAGGACTCTGAAATGGCCCATCGTCAGTGCCTTTCCTTCCTTATTTATGATGAGAATGAGAGCTTTGACTCAAATCATTTCTATGTATATTTACATAGTTGTTTCTCAGATCTTAAAAAACAGATGGGGCAAGCACTGATACCTCAAATAGATTTCTTTTTTGGAAACAAAATATTCCACTGAGGAATAGTCATTTATAGTATGGGATGCTAGCCCAAGCTTTGTCCTGGCAGAGTTTACAGATCCAAATGTCTGCACAGAGGCTTGACAGATGTGAAGCGTAGGCCAGATGTAATATGTGATGAACTGAGAACATGACAGTGAACTGGAGAGGCAGGCTTGGTCCAAAGTCCTTCAAATTCAAAAGCATGACGGCAAATAAAAGTGCCCTAACTTTCTGACTGAACTTAATCCCACTGTCTGCATCCAAAACTCTGACCACCCGCCTCAGTTATAAGATAGTTTTTATTTATTTATTTTTCACCAACCACAATAAGCAGCACTGAATAAGATTGTTTTATTAAAATATCTTGTACAAAAGTATCTTTAAAAGAGCAATACATATTATTAATTTTTGTACAGTGATATTATTATTAATGCCCGTAAGTCCTTCAAAGGAGGCTCACTGTCCCCCAAAAGAAGATTAACTAGGAGAATGCAAAATCATAGATGAGGAAATAAGTGTAATTTTCCTGAAGCAGTAAGTATTTTACCAATCTCAGAATGTTTGTCCACAAAGCTTAGCAATATACTCATGTCAAGGACAGTAGTTACATCTCTTTTATCTTCCCAGCAAAAAGTAACTCTTTTACTACAACCAGTTTCACCTGTTTTGCAACTTGCTTTGGTCAATATTTTCTTTAGCTGGGAAGAAAGCTAACTGACACAGTGGAGATGAAAAACTGGTTTTAGAAACCTATTGATATAAGCTAGAAGAGACATATTTGGAGACCTGGAATCAATATTTTAAATACAATAATTTCTAGACTTTACATAGTTATACTTTGGTTTCCAGTTCTCTAGAAATTAAATGGTAGCTAAGACTACCATATTAGGAATTGAAATATGAATGATTCTACAGACCATGACTTAGCTGTGATGCTCATAAAATTCTAAGTCCTGCAGCTACTCAAGGTAGTCCATACAAGTACAAACCCAGAATATATGAGTCAAGAGTGAAATATATGTTCCTACTAATATTCAATCTGAGTTACCTTGCCTTTTAAAGGACATCAAAGGATTTCAACATACAGTAGTCAGATATAAAGTGTTAGTGTGTTTTTTTTTAACACCTAGTAAAAATAACAATGTTATTAATTGTATGAAGAAGAAAGGACATCTTGGTTAGGTAGTCCGACCACAATACTTAACAGGAAGATTAGCTTCTCCAACGTAAATACTTAGTAACACACACTACTGCTGTGACAATCACCACTGACTTTCACTGTAGGGTTTTTGGATCTTTAAGGTTATATTTTATGACTGAACTGCATTTTTAAAAGATTTTTCCCAAATAATCTATGAAAAGCCAGACTTCTTTTAATTATTGTTTGTTTTAACAACTTATATCAAAAAGAAGGCACATCTTTCCAAGTAGGTTTTGTTAAATCAGTGGTTTTCAATTTGGGGCGGTTTTGTCTCTTTTTTTTTTTTTCCTAGGGGACATTTGGCAATGTTGAGAAATGTTTTGTTATAACTAGACAGGTGGGTGCTACTGGTAGAGATGCCACCAAAAATCTTACAATGCACAAGACAGCTCCCTACAACAAAGAATTATCCAACCTCAAAGGTCAATAGAACTGAGATTGAGAAATCATGTGTTAAATCAAGACTGTGATGTTGTTAAGCTTCTGTATAAATTCTAGTTGAGAAATACCTTTGTGGTAACTTTTAAAATTACAATTGTTTCAAGGAAAACAACTAATTTAGGCTTATTTACTATTTCAAAATAATAACTTCTTATTTGCTTAGCATTTTATCGTTAAAAAAAATTTTTTTTAAATACAGACAGGACCTCTCTATGCTGCCCAGGCTGATATTGAACTCCTGGGCTCAAGTGATCCTCCTGCCTTGGGCTCCCACAATGCTGGGATTATAGGCATGAAACACCATACCTGGCCTTTTCTTTTTATTTTCTTTTAGCCTTTTATCTTTTGCACAATCCTTTCATATGTTTCATCTCATTTTCTCCTCATAGATTTGTGGTGAAATTATCTTTTTTCCTGTTCTGCTATCAAGGGCACTGTTGTGCAGGACAAGGCTATAGGATTCAAACAAGCCACACTGATTCACATTCTGAATGAAAAACCCAGTGCTCTTTTGCTATCCTATCCTACAGCAGTGACATTCTTGTTAAGGACACTATATGAAAAGAAATTTAAAAATAAACAAAAACAAATCATTGTGTACCTCTGGGGATGTGACCCCAGAAGATAGGTGTCATATGCTCTAAGAATGGAGGAAGCAGGAGAGACACAGGTTGGGTATGGGAGGTGAGGAGCAAGCATGGGGAGTAAGAGGTGGAAAAAATAATGACATTACTAAAGCCATCGGGGGAAGCACAGGCAGATTCCTAAACTGAATGTGACTGCTTTCCTGTGAAAATCATTCCTTCTCCCCTAAGCAGGGTAAGACCCTTACGAAAACACAAAATGGATAAATCTGCTGAATTCAACTAGAAAAACAGAAACCACACTTATTTCTTCAAACAAAGAATGTGATACAAGGAATCTGTTGCACAGGTGATGGAAAAACTGAGAAGAATCCAGGGGAAATTCTTCCCCAGAGAAGCAACCACAGGAAACTATTACACTTTTAAGTAGGTGGCAGGAGGAGGTAGTATTGTCAGATCCCAGGGCTGATTTCATGGTAGGCCTGTCCAGCAAGAGAGGGAGCCGCTGGGGAGACAGCTGCAGGGGATGGTGCCTAAGGCAGAAAGAGATGGGGAGATATATTGGTTTCTCCTACCCTCCAATCACCTGACAGTGCTCCCTGTTAGCCTAGCCCAGTAGGAAGCCAGCTGACACATGGGTCTGGAAAACAGCCTGTAGAAGCCAGCTTAGATAAGGACAGAGAAGGGCAGGGGAGGAGTATTTTCCAAGACTAGCAGGCTAGTCATCACACGTCCCGCGGAGGAATGCCAATGGAGGAACACCATGGATTGGTTCAAGTGATCAAGTAAATATTCCAGGAACTTAATCATGTTTTCTTTCAAAATAAGATGTTTTAAGTCTATCTTGGACCAAACAATTAAATAACTAAAATTAAAATCAAACTCAGAAGAGAAAGAGTATTTAACAAATGAAGCATGGTACCTTTTTGTATAAATATCCAGGCCTTTTAGGGTTAAGTGATTACCACAGAGAGAAAAGTTTTTTTAAAATAGAAAATGGAAAGAAAACAGCTCTAATAGGGGGGATTTTGTCACACCTGTTTTGCACACAGTAGGCTCCACAGTCAAAATAGACGCAAATTCTTGCTGAGCTTTTGACGACATGAAAATAAAGGCATTCATCACCTTTCCTCTCAAAATTGCAGACTGTAGCAGAACACCATTTTTAAAAGGCTAGTCTAATTTCCTTTCTGGGGGAAAAAAATGAGAAAGGAAACTAAAGAGACAAAAATATATAATTGCAGACTCTCCCTCTTAACTGGATCACTGTGTACCCAAAATATGTGTAATTTAATTTTAAGAAATATATTGAAATTGCAGAATCACTAGTAATTCAGTGACCTCAGAAATCCTGGAACACAAAAGCCAACTATTAATGGCTATTTCAACTGAGTAATGGTTAACATTTACAAGAGACGTAACCTGGGGTAATTGCTGGGGATATTTTGGCTTTCTTGTACATGTTCTTAATCTGTATAACTGATCAGAAAAGCCACAGAGAAGTGTAGCAGGGATGCCACATGTAACTGACTCATAAAAGGCTCCTTTAGAGAAGGAGACACTCAAAGCACAGGGAAATGTAAGCAGGCACCTTAAGTAGGAAAATGTGAAGTGTGATTTCTGGTAGCTGTCCTACTTGGGACACAAATGGCCTTTGCTGGTCAGTCCCAGCAGGCAGGGAAAGACTGAAGCACCCAATATGCAATCCCAGATCAGGGCTTTGAAGGGGGCTGGGGCTCCAGAGAGCCAGATGAAGCTGCAGCCTTAAGAGAGTTCAGTTATCATTTCTACAGGGTCAAGCAAACAAATGCCATAGTCCAAAGTGGCAGTCGCCTGGGGGCAGGGTCCTCAGAGGTGGAACAAGGGCTTGAAAGGGAATCTAGGGGCTGGTGAAACTCTTGAAATCCAGGCAGGCCAGCTTGCTTTGGGAATAAGGGGAGTGTTTGTCTGAGAGCTGCTGGCAGAAGGTGAGTAGCCAAGACAGGGGATCAGGCAAAGAAGCCCATTAGGATATAGAAACTGGGCAAGAGAGAGATTTAAGTGATGATGGGGGTGAGGGGCTTGAACTGCATCATAGAGACGTGTGTGTTTGCTTTCCTCCCAGAGGCATTTTTCTAATCCTTTAAGGCTCAAGTTCTCACTATAGGTGCAGTGCCCAGAGCTCATAAGCATTTCCCAGTCTTATCAAATTGTTTGAGAGCTGGACAAGAAAATGGCCTGGCTCTAAAACACAAAGCAAATTATAAAATGCAATTAATAAATGTTTCAAGAGGAAAATTATATGATTTCCTTTAATTTTCATAACAAAACGTCGTGCTTTTCATGTGGGATAGGACATTTTCCAGTGTTTGATAGGATGTGTGATGAGGCCTCTGAAAGAATATCCAGGGTTTAGGTAACCCTTGAATTCGCCTTTCTTCTGCTTGGCATAGTTCAGGCAGGGGAGGTCCAATGTGTTAAGACTTCAGCAAGGTTGGGCAAAGAGTGGAAGGCAAAAGCCCAAATCACCATAGCCAGAAATATGGGGGAGGGGAGTAGAAGAGACTGGAAGGAAGGGTGTCTGGGACACTTGCAGAGGTTGGCTCGACTGAGTGCTGAGAGATGCAGGCATAGTGCCCCTGGGAGATGGTGCAGTCTGGTTTCTAATTTTGGAAATGGTCATACCAGGGTTTCCAATTCGGCAGGCAGGCTAGCAGTGAAAGACTGAAGTGTAGGAGAACCATCTGGAGGCCAGTGGCCATTCAGTTTTGTGTAGGGGTATAAATACAGAATTGACAAAAGCAAGACAGGGCTTAGTTTCTAAAGCAGGGAAGCAGCAGAAGGGAAGTGACGACTGAACAGGAGAATCTGGTTCTTCTGAGGCACCAGACCAGTGGAAAATCAGTGAGTCAAGGAAAACTGAGGTCCAGAGGTTCCAAGGCTCCTGGGTTTACTTAGTGTCTGATTGGCTACAAGGCAATTTCAGGAACACCACAGAAGGTCAACCAATGAGAATGGACTTCTAGATTGCTTGTCTGGGAGCAGGGCCTAATTCTATTCTATATGCATCCTCGTTGGGAGAAGGGGCACCTGAGTCTAAGTGAAACAAGGGGTGATCCAATCTGAGATTACCCTGGAGACAGGACCCCTTTGTGTGTCCAGAGAAATAGGCATGGAACTGCCATTTCTTGAGTCAGGTTCCAAGGTGACTGGGATGAAGTGGCTCCAATTTAGGAGAAGGACACAAAGACAGGAAACCACCCAGTGCGCACTGCAGGGGCAGATGTTTAAACAAACTCTTCTAGCCAGGTACAGCCCTGATAGGGAGGAGGGTGTGTCTCTCTGAGAAGACCACAGACCCTGACCTGGAGACATGGTGATGACTGAGCAGAGATAAAAGAGGAGGAGACCGATCAGTTGCACCTCTAGAGCCAATTAGGGCTGGTGCAGAGGCTGGTGGCCTCTGGCTGAACAGAGTGGAGAGCTTTAGACTTCCCCTGGGTCTGTATCCAGGTTCCAGGGCCAACCACAACTCCTCTTTCTCTGTTACCTGAGAGCAGAGAAGGGGCAGGGCCAGGGCGCCAGCAGGAGAGAGCTTAGCTGGCCAAGCTGAAGAGAGAGGTCATTAGGGACTAGATCATGGCAGCAGCGACTGCCTGGATCCTGGCAGAATAAAAGAATTCCAGCAACAGTAAGTGACTTTGGAATAAGAGCCCTCAGCTGATGCCTGGAGGGATGCTGTAGGAGTTTTGGATAATCTTGTAGAAAAGATCATTTTTATTGTTTTTCTTTTATTACACTATGAATAGAGGACCTGCAGGTAGGGTAGCCAAGACTTTTCCCAGATGATACATTCCCCAGCAGAAGTACTGCTATTTCTAATGCGTGAGGCACTAATGATAAAGAATCTATGGATTACTAGCATTTCAAGAGCCTCAACCACGTTTTAAACCTAATTCAAATGAATATTTAACTCAATGGCTATAAGATGTGGCAGTATGCCAACCATTCAACTTATTCTTCACATTTTTCACAAGAAAAACAACAAAAATCATCTCTCCTATAGACCTGACTGATTGATTATCCAAAGAACCAAAGCAGTAAATTTATGAATGTGTATTTAATTTGAAACAAAGAAGCATTCTGAAATATTTGACATAATGTGACTGGGAACATAAAGGTAAGGGTGTTGGCCGGGCACTGTGGCTCATGCCTGTAATCTCAGCACTTTGGGAGGCCAAGGCAGGAAGATCACTTGAAGCCAGGAGTTCCAGACCAGCCTGGGCAACATGGTGAAACCCGGTGTTTAGAAAAAATAAAATGAAAAAAAAAAAAAAATCAGCTGGACTTGATAGTGCATGCCTGCAGGAGGCTGAGATGGGAGGATCCCTTGGGCCCAAGAGGTCAAGACTGCACTGAGTTATGATTGCACCACTGCCCTCCAGCCTGGGTAACAGAGCAAGACAGAATGGAACGGAATGGAACGGGACGGGGAAGGGACGGGGAAGGAAAAGGAAAAGGAAAGGAAAGGGAGAGAAAGAAAGAAAGAGAAAAGTAAAAGAAAGGAAAAAAGGAAAGGAAAGGAAAGAAGGAAGAAAGGAAAGAAAAGAAAAAGAAAAAAAGAAAAGAAAAGAAAGAAAGAGAAAAATAAGAAAGAAAAGAAAGTAAGAGAAAGGAAGGGTGTCAATGAAGGACTTAAAGGACTTAAAAATGGTCCTGTTCTCAGAATTCAGGGTAGGCCCTGTTCTGAGTTTCCTGAGAATTCTCTGGGAATGATTTTTGAGTGATAAGTACATCAAATGTATGGGTCCTTTTTTGCCATAGGCATCACTAGACAAGGCTTACAGGTGGAATTGCTTGAGTTCTGAAGTTTTTTGTATGCTTAAGAAGTCAGTATCATACAGTATAAAAGTACTATAAAACTAGGAATTCACAACAAGGTGAAAAGCCAGAGGCAGAAAAATGAAGACATGGGAAGAGAGAATGAAATTACGTGTACAATAATTTACAAGTTATTAATATTAAACAAGGGTTTGGTATTTCCTTCCAGATAAAAGGCCTAATATTTATTACAGTGAAAAATAATCAGCAAATAAGTTGTCATTTCTTTCCACATTGATTCCAGAAGCTAAATGTCATTTTAATTGTATAAGTGTTAGCTTATGGAAGTTGGGACTGAGTTTGGTTTCCTTGAAGAAAATTTAGGAAAGAAGGGGATAATGATTAGAAAAATATGTGGGATGCCAGGTATGGTGGTGCGCATCTGTAAGTCCCAGCTACTCAGGAGGCTGAGACAGGATTGTTTAAGTCCAGGAGTTTGAAACTGTAGTGAGCCATCATCATGCCTATGAATAACCACTGCACTCCAGCCTGGGCAACAAAGGGAGATCCTGTCTGTTTAAAAAAAAAAAAGAAAAGAAAAGAAAAAGAAAAAGGAAAAAAAAAAAGTGGAAACCAGCTTACTAGCAAAGAGCTTGGTGGACTGCATTAAAACGTGTAGGGGCATTAGCAAAATCTCCAGCAGCAGCGAGCCCAAAAAGTACATCACCGAGGATTCATAAAGTATTGCATGCTTTTTAACAAGCATATTCCTTGCTTTTTTATCTCTACATGGAAGACAATAATGGATTTGTGAGTTTTGTATAGCTTCGTTTTGGACAACTAGAATTGGAAAATTATTGTATAAACCAGGTGGTGGTATGGAAGGCAGTGGTGAGTCCATCGTGCCTACACAGCCATGAAATGGGAGCATCTGTGGTGTTTAATTTAGAAGAGGAACAAGATGCTACAGTCACTAAAATATCAAAGTGGGAAGCTTGATTGGTTCTTCAGGCAGAGCCTCATAGGGTTGGGTCATGGAGATCCAGAGTCTGAGGCTCATCTGTTTATTAAATTCAGAATGGCTGTTTTGATCATCTTCACTAACTGCTGACATAATTATAGGAAGTAGAACTTCCAAGTTGGCCATATACACTGAGGAGTATAAATAGTTTCCTATAGAAAATCAACAATAAGTAGCAAAATAAATATGCAAAAGTTATATGCATGTTTTTTCAGTAGGCTTTTAGGCAGGACAAGTTGGGTGATCCTAATGGTTAATGACTTAAACGAAGCAAGCCCAATACTGACCTAGCAGAGGCAAACTGTGCTCTACACTAATGACAAAGCTGTTATTTCTCTATTTTAAAAATTTATTTACGGCAGCAATAAATGAAAGCCTATCATATCTCTCTAGTTTTCCAATAGGTATCCAGTAAGTAGGAAATCAAATTAAGAAGGTAGTTCTTTAGCAGACTGGTAACAAAGCATCAAGCTTTAGTAAGCTTTAATCCAAACTTACTGACCATAAAACCATCTTTTACTTTGCTAAGCCATCACAGTTTTGTTAGCATTACTTACAAGCCATATTCACTCTTACTATTTACTATCATTTTATTAGTGGGTAAAGTCATTGAATACTGCAAGCAAGAGAGGAATGGTGTGTCCTAACACTTAGGGTAAGGAGATCAAGCCTAGGGAAAAGACTCTCTGAGAATACCCTGAGGAGCAATTTGACATCCTTGTGGTGGAAGTTTATTGAATCAGTTCCCAACTTCAGCCCAGTCAACTGTGAAGGGTCAGCATCACTCTTAACTTCCAATTGGAAATGTACTTGATGGACTTATAACTTAATTCTATGAGTGTATTATATTTACTAGGTGTCTTATAATTTTTAATTATGGGAAGAGAGGGGGTGACATACTACGAAGGGATTGAAAGAGCTAAAAGGCTTAGTCAAAAATTACATGTAATTTTTGCTGTATGTCACATACCATAAAGTTAACACGGGTGGACAGTGAGTATAGCAAATCGTTTCAACTGTTCTTTGCTGGTGTTTGGAGATGGTTAAATGTTTACACAAATATTTCCTCTCTCCACCAACTCTTTCCCCATTCCCTAATGCTCACTTCCACTTCTGTTTTTTAACTTTTGGAGTTCCTTGATCTGCATAAACATTCTACCAACTCAGCCCAAGGCAACTTTGAATTTTATGGTTACATTGCTAATTTTATCTTTATCTGAAAACCTTTGGCACAGATTTTGTCTTAAAGCACGTTTTGTCTTAAATAAGTCAACAGGATTGCTAACGTAAGGTCAGGTGCTAATCCCAGCATTTTGGGAGGCAGAAGTGGGAGGATCACTTGAGGCCAGGAGTTTGAGCCCAGCCTGGGCAATATGGTGAGACTCTGTTTCTACTAAAAATACAAAAATTAGCCGGGCTCACGCCTGTAGTCCCAGATACTTGGTGGCTGAGGCACAGAATTGCTTGAATCTGGGAGGTGACCCAGGATCGCGCCACTGCACTCCAGCCTGGCGTACAAAGCGAGATCCTGTCTCAAACAAACAAAAAGAAAAAAGAAATAAAAAAGACAGCTAATGTAGTATTAATTTGAAATGAGGGGGATCTGCCTGTCCAGTATTCAAATCCCAGTAACCTCTGGATGAATTACTTGCCATTTCTAGTTCTTGTCGCTTAATTTTAAGATGGAAATTTCTACGTTGAAGTTTTAGAGAGGTTGTTGAGAGAACAGAGACGATACAAGTCCATGCTTAGAATACTCAGTACATAGCAAAATAATAAATATTTTCCCTCTGCCCTCTCTCTTTTCTTGGAAAGCCAGGTAAGCAATGAGAAGTTGGTTTATGGCCAGGTGTGGTGGTTCACGCCTGCAAATCCCAGCACTTTGGGAGACCAAGGTGGGAGGATCCCTTGAGCTCAGGAGTTCGAGATCTGCTTGGGCCACATAGCAAGACCTCGTCTCCACAAAAAATTAAGATTACCTGGGCGTGGCACATTCCTGTAGTCCCAGCTACGGGAGGCTGAGTTGGGAGGATCACTTTAGCCTAGGAGGTCGAGGCTGCAGTGAGCTGTGATGGCACCACTGCACTCCAGCCTGGGTGACAGCCCTGTCAAAAACAAAACAAAACAAAAATTGCTGACGTATGCACAGTTAAAGCAAAAAGAGTTGGGATCCTTGAATGACGTTCATGTCTGTTCTGGCAAAGCCGGGATTGTTGGTCCCCCAAACTTCTTTAAAGAAGTTTACTCCTGGTAGCTCGATTAAGTATCTTTGTCCCATGGCCGTGGGGAATAAAAAGTTCAGTTGTCACCCCCTTTTTAAACTAAATGTCCGAAGAGACAAGGCAATCCCATCCTCTCTTCACACATTTGTGCAGGTGCAGCTTTATTTCCCACCGTGCGGTCCCAGGAGGCCGCCTGGTCTTCTGCGCTCACTTCCTAGGCATCCCTGGCCGCCCCTCGGCAGCCTCTCCTTCTGGCCTGAGACTTCCAGCTGAGCCTCATCCCCTCCACCTGAAAACTGCTCCATGGGGCACTTCATCTACCTGGAAAGTTCTCGATTTCCAACTGGAGCCTGTATACTGCTGGTTGTGTCTCAGCAGTTATTACAGCTCTGGGCTTACAACGGGAGCTTAGCAAAAGTTCCACCCTGGCTTCCTAGACTGCTACAGCTCCAAGAAAAATCCTGTGCGCACAAACGGCCGCCGCCTTTGGCGTCTCCCGCGGATTAGACCAGTTAGGAGGTCTCAGTAGGCTTTTAGGCAGGACAAGTTTTACGCCTGGCCAAATAAGGGTCAGACTAAGCAAGGCGCCTCCGTGCGCCTAGCCAGAGCGGTGCCGGCTGCGGAACCTGCCCCGCCGGGAGCCTAGTGCCATGCAGCAGCGGCGGCGGTGGCGGCTTCCCAAGCGCGGCGGCAAATCCGGGCCCGCCCGGAAGTGCCCGGCGCTGTAGGAGGGAGCAAGGGCCCAGGAGCCGCCGCCGCCGCCGCCGCGCGCACGCGCCCTCGCGGGCTGGAGCCGGGGCTGGAGTCGTAACTCGGAAGCCGGAGCCCAGACGGGCCCGCGGCGGGGGGGTGGGGGCTGCGCGGGGGCGGGAGTGGCGGAGGTGGCCGCCCCTGGCGGCGGGTTTGTTTATCCCGGGGAAGAAGTTTAGGAGCGGGAGATAGGGAAGGAGGGCGGGTCGGGGAGGAGGGATGCGGTTCGGCGGAGGCGGCCGCCACAGGGACTTGCCGCCATCACCCCTGCTGCCACCACCGCAGCCTCGGGCTCCCAGGGCGGACACGGCCACCGCCTCAGCGGGAGAGGAGTCTCCACCAGGACTGACCGCTGCCGCCCAGCACGTCCAGGTAGGCGCCCCTTCCCCTCCCCCCAGTCCCCGCGGCAGCCCCAGGCGCTTGCTCCCCTCCCCCGGCTCTCCGTAGACCGGCGGCCTCCTGCTCGCGCCTCACTGCGCCCTCTGCTCTCTGGGTCCCGGACCCCTGCTCGGGCGGCGAGCTCCGGCCTGCTCTGGGGACTACCTCCCACGCCCCCGGACCGCCCTTCCCTCGCGCGGCGGCACCACTTTCCCCGGGGTTGCCCCCAATCCCTCCTTGATTTCCCAGCCTCCACCTTCCAGGATCCCCTTTAGTTTTACCCCCGGGCCTCGCCCCTTCTTTTCCTCTGGCTTCTCTCCTCCTCTATACCTGTATACCTCCACACCTGCCCCTTTTTACCTGAGTGCTGCCCAAAGGCAGAAACTGCATGCTCTGCCACCGCGCAGCGTCCACTTTCATACCTCCTCATCCCAAATACAGACACTTGAAACTCTCGTCCCTGTTAGCCCATTTTAGGCAGAGTTCTCAGCTTCGCAGACCGCTCACTACCTCCAGTCCGGTGGTCATGCCTTTAACCTCTCTTTAACCTGCTTTCTAATACATTTTTGCTCACTTATACCAGAGTACATCAAGCTAACCGCGCGGTTCGGGGTCCAAGTCTTCAAAGAGCCCACTTGTATTCCTGCTGCTCTCCTTTTTCCTAATTCTTTTTGAGTCAATGTATTTGTATATTGATTCAACATAAAAGAAAAGGGAAGGTAGCATTTTCTCTCTCAAAGCAGTCACACAACCCAGTAGAAATAAGATTCACCATCTGCTTATCCTAACTTTCGCTTGTCTCTTTCCTGACTGAACTCTGTCATTCAGTGATTCTTTCCAGGCTTCTGATGCTTTGTCTATTTTTGAATAATCTTGGGCCTAGTTTGACCCATTGTGGTACTCACTTTCCCACTTGCAATTGAATCCACTGTTTCTTGGACTAGAAACTGACAGAGGTAAAAGGTTCATACCTTGAAAAATTACATCTCTCCTGCCACGATGAGATTGGTGGAATATTTCAAATTACCATTTCATCATTCTTGTGAGAAATGTTGCCTAGTGGTTAAGAACTCTTCTCTAGAGCTCAGACTAGTATATAGTTGCCAGGGTGTAAACCCTTGCTCTGCCATCTACCAGCTTTGGCTTTGGGGAAGTTACTTAATATTTCTTCGCCTCAGTATACTTACAGCTGTAAAATGGGGTTATGATATGACATCACAGGATGGTGCTAGTAATTGCACAAGTAAATACAAGTAAAGTACTTAAAACAGTACCTGGCACAGGGCAAATATCTGATAAATGCTATCATCACTTCTTGGTTTGACTTGATCTGGCTTGTGGGTAGATTAATTCTAAGACAGGAAGGTGGGAATGGAAAGCTACTTTCTTATTCTTTGACATTTAACAACCTTTTTTGATATAGATAGCATGTATAATTTGTTATTGTATAAATTAATTCCTTCTGATTTGAAAACTACAGGGTTTTAGCCCACCATTTTCAAGGCAGCTAACTACCAAGCTACAGATAGGTCAGTCCTTATTTCAGATGTCTATTTGGAACTTCTACAATTTTACCTTTGTTTTGAGAATAAACAAAGTGAAAGTACTGTGTATAACAGATTCATCATACTGGAAAATGAGATTTTACAGATAAAAGTTTTAGTACTGTAAGTTAAATACTCAAAACTGGTGGTATTCTTCATACTCATCTGACCTTTATCTTCAATCACTACTCGAGATAGAGCTTTGGCTTGTCTTCCTTCAGAAGACTGGTGGCCGTTTTCTCTTAATGTGTTATGTTCATTCATATTCACATGTCTTCTTGGCTTGGTGTTTACAGAATTTTACTCACTTTAAAAAATGCTGACAGTTTTTGCCGTATTTGCTTACCTCTTGTGCACTGTTGCTTACTTATTACATTTTTAAAGGACTCACATTAAAAGATCTGAATAGATATTACTTTTGTGTTGTTTTAAATAGTAAAAGTTTGAAATCACTATTTGCTGTCCTAATTACATGTAAAAATATGTACATATGTAACTATCAAAATAAAAATGTTTTTCCATTTATAGTTTAAAATCATTCTTGTGCCACCATGGAACATGTTCCATACTTGGGGGTGACACTGTTTTTGGTAATGCTGTTCCCTGACCTAGAATAACCTTTGCTCTTTCTCCTGTATATCCAGGTTCTACCTGATTTTCATCTCTCACTGCTTCCACATAGTTCCTTCCAACATTTAGTTTCTTGGCTTTCCTAATGTCTATATCTGCATTTTTGGCCATGAATTTATATAAACAGGGCAGGTTGAAGAAAAATAACTCCCCTAGAATCAGACTTTTAAAGCTTATAGAACTTTGAAAGGGTGGGATAAAATTGACATTTAACATCTACTCTATGCCTGGCACTGTTTCTTAGTTTTGTAAATATTCTTTCCAAAAATATTTAATGAGCATCTACCATGTGCCAGGCATTGGGGATACATGAGAGTGGCCCTTCTCAACCATGTTTCTGGGTGAAAATCAAACCCTAATGCTCTGAGGCATCTAAGCTATGTAATGAATTATCTCATCTCCTGTGCACCTAGAATAGTACTAGCTACGTACCGTTCTTGAGAGAACTAAAGCAGTAGTTACTCCAGTTTTTGTAGGGCTTAATTTCTGCAGAGCCCTAGTTGAGAAAAGCTCCTGTACAGAGAAGAGTAATATGCAGTCTCTGCTTTTTTGTAATTTTATTCTGATGTGGCACTGACAGGCAGTTTATATATATTAACTTATTTAAACCCATAATAATTCTTTAATAAGACTTTTTTATTCCTATTTTACAAATGAGGAACTTGAGAAACAGATTACTTAACTTCTGCAAAATCAGACAGTTGAGAAAGTTTTGCAGCCAGGCAACATAGTTCTCATCTATTACTCTTTTGCCTCTCACACCTTTCACTTCCTTGTTGATTTACTTTAGAGAAGACTCACTTCCTTGTTGATTAGAGAAAATTCTTCACCTTTCTGAATATCTTATTTATTTATTTTTTATAAATTTAAGCTTCACAGCAGAGTTTCCTTCTCTTTTCATGTTGTTTAGTGAAGAAAGTAAAGGAGATGTAACTCTTTTAAAGTACTTCATCAAAAGTCTTATGTCAAGCCTTATATATGATTAAATATTGAAGGCATTTACATTTAGTGGTCATGCTCACTGTTTTGTTTCCTTACTTGGATTTGTTAACTTAACAAAAGTTTATTAACAACCCATCTGTGCCAGTCTCTGGTGACATGTAATGGAAAGAGATTACTTGTATTCATGGAGGCAGAAGTCTGTTTGGGGAATAAAATAAAGAAAAAAAATTATAGGCCAGGTGCCTTGGCTCATACCTATAATCCCAGCACTTTGGGAGGTCGAGGTGGGCTTATCACTTAAGGTCAGGAGTTCAAGACCAGCCCGGCCAACATGGTGAAACTGTGTCTCTTCTAAAAAAAAAAAAAAAAAAAAAAAAAAAATAGTTAGTTGGGTGTGGTGGCACACACCTGTAGTCCCGGCTACTTGGGAGGGTGAGGCAGGAGAATCTCTTGAACCCCAGAGACAGAGCTTGCAGTGAGCTGCACTCCAACCTGAGCAACAGAGTGAGACTCTGTCTCAAAATAAAATAATAATAATTATAAAAATAATTAGTTACCATTACTGCTACAAAGGAAGATCATTGTGAAGAACAAAGGCACACCAATCCATTAGGGAATGCTTCTCTGAAGAAATGACTTTTAGACAGAAACCTAAAGGATGAACTGTAGTGACCCAAGTGATGTTGGCAATTTCAACTTTCTGGACCTGGAAGGTCCAGTAAGAACTGAACTTCAGCACGTGAGGTTGGTTGATGGGGAATAGACTGGAGCAGATCACCATGGCCAAAATCCACGCTAAGCATTTTGTACTTAATCCTAAGAGCAATAGGAAGCCACCAGAGAATGTTAAACAGCTGAATAAGTTACCCAAATTTTTGCTTTAAAAAAATCAGTTGGCTGCTCTGCAGAGAACAGGTTGGAAAGAGGCAAGTGTAAATACAGGGAGACTAATTAAGTCATTGCTTCTCAAACTTGTCTGTGTTGAAGGACCAATTTTGTTTTAATTTTCTATTCATTCTGGTATTTAGTAACACACAATAAGATGTTTGTTTTGGCAGTGTCAAATTGCTGTAAACGTTCCTAAATGCTTTCTCTAGGTTTCTATATTTATTTCATTTCAGACCAGTAGCAAAAGTTTTTGGACCAGTGTCAGTGCACAGGTCACAATTTGAATAGCGTTGAGATTAGCTGTTACAATAATGTAGTCAAGAGTTGGTGGAACCTTGGTTCAGGATGGCAGTGATAGAGATAAACTAGCCTGATTTGACAAATAAATTTTGGGAGGAAAAATTGATAGGATTTAGAGATGGATGAGATTTGGGGGTCCTGGGGAGAGGAAAAGGCTGACTTCCAGGGCCAGTAGTTCTTGTGCCTAAGGTGAGAGTACTGGGGGAGGAGCAGTTTTTTATTTTGTAGTTTCAGGGAAGGGGGAGGTATTGGTCATTTTTCAATTGGAGACTTACTAAACTTGAGACTGAGACATATAAGTAGAGATGCCTAGTAGCAATTGGATGTATAGGTCTGGAGCTCAGCAAAGAGGTTTGGACTGGAAATAAATTTGGGAATAGTGTACAGTTTATAATTGATGTCTGGGAGTGAGGGATGAGATTGCTTAAGGAGATAGTATGGAGAAGATAAGGGGTCTTATGAGTAAGCCCTATGAATCTTTCACATTTGAACTTTGGTAGAAAGAAATGGAACAAAAGAGGCTGAGAAGGAAGAAGCTAGAGGTTGGAAGAAAATTTTGTTGGTATCACTGAAGCCAAGGCAATAGACTGAAAAAGAAGGGAGTGGCCAGTTGAATATTTTGAATGCAACTGGGAAATTAAGTGGCAAACTAAAGAGCATACGCTGAATTTAGCAACATGAAGAAAATTTTATATTTCTGGTTGTCAATACACCCATAAACTGTTTGATGATGAATTTTGTATTAATCTGCCGAAGTTACAATCCTAAATTAAAATAAAATATTAAATCTATAATATGAACCATATCTGTCTTCCTGAGTTCAGACGTGTTTTTAGTATCATCTGGCTGTTCTATAAGTATCTAAAACTTTTCACAGCTTATTCATTCATAGTATGTATTTTTTAAATACTCACTATTTATCAGACACTGAATGCTAGACTTCTAGGTATGGGATTAGAATTCAGAGACTAGGGACCATGAACGATTAAACAAATATTTGTTTTTCTTGTGTGATTAGTGCTGTCGTGGCAGTTTATTCAGGTTGCCTTGGAAGCACAGAGCAGGGGCATCAGGGGAGGCTTTCAAGGAAAATGACCCTTGAGCAGAGTGTTTCTGAAAGTCAAGTTACACAGGTGGAGAAGACGAGTTAAACATAGGTGGCAGAGGAGTTTAAAGAAATGATACTCCAAGTAATTTGAAAGCCTGCAAAGGCAGAAATTGGGGCTAGAGTACACGGGTAGTAGGTTGGAGAGGTTGGCCATGCCATTTAAAGGTTTCTCACTTGAACTTGTATCTTTTTTGGATTTTTTTTATTAATATCCTTACCACCCATATAGTCACTAAATGTGGAGGTATCTTTTTAATATCTTTAAGAATTAAATATTTCTTTGTTTTAGTATTTATTGCCCAAGGTAGTGTTTTATTTTTGCTAGTTAGCTTTACATTATATGTATTAAATCTATACTTACAGGTTCATTCAATAACTGATAGCATAAATATTTTAGTTATATTCCAGTGACTTATTATGGAAGAAATTTTATACATGTAACTTTTTCTCTCAATTTTAGGGAGTTTAAAAGGAAAGCCTTGCTAAGGATTGGTGAAGATGTAGTACTAAACCTTGGGTATATGGTCAATGATGGTGTTTCTGGGCTCAGTAGAATGACAGCCATCCCCTGATAGCTTAAATGTTATTTTAGGTGGTTGTATTACATCAAAAAGTCTACAAATCCCTGGACTTTTCTCTTGGACCATGGGTAGAATACAATTTATCTATAGACATGGATAAACTTTTTGAAGAATACTGTAGTTGGCAAAACCTTAATTGGCAAGGGCAGGGTCTCATAGAAAATAATGGGATAGAAAGGAAAATTATGTTAAAATTAATTTTATTCTTTCTTTATTTATTTTCTATTTTTTTGAGACAGAGTCTTGCCCTTTTGCCCAGGCTGGAGTGCAGTGACGTGATCTCAGCTCATTGCAACCTCTGTCTCCTGGTTCAAACAATTCTCCTGCCTCAGCCTCCTGAGTAGCTGGGACTACAGGCACAGCCACCATGCCCAGCTAACTTTTGTATTTTTAGTAGAGATGGGGTTTCACCATGTTGGCCAGGCTGGTCTTGAACTCCTGACCTCAAGTAATCCTCCCACCTCAGCCTCCCAAAGTGCTGGGATTATAGGCTGAGCCACTGGGTCTGGCCAAAGTGAATTTTAAAAACACAGTAAATGAAAAGTTCTAGAAGACATCCAGTTTATTTTATTTTTTGGCAGAGACGGGTCTCACTGTCTTTCCCAGGCTTGTCTCAAACTCCTGGCCTCAAGGGAATTAAGAAAATTATAACTTTAAAAATTTATTTTTACTAGTTCATACTGGCTTTAAAATCTTTTGCTCTTGCCTTCTCCTTGGTTTTAAGTTTTGTTATGTCTTATATAACAACTGTGTGCTTTTCATGTATTTATTATGGCTCTTACAGGTACCCTTTTAGAGGCGTTTTATCTTTATGTTGAACATAACTATAGCTCCTGTTTGGTATTCTTTATACCTGCTTATATGTTCTAAAAGAGGTCAGGATAATTATTAGCATTATATTCTGAATTGTGTAATACATGAGACTAAACTTTACATAGGTAAAAGCTAGCAGATTAAAATGATTTTTTTATTCTCAAGTATGAAATTTTTGCACCTCAAACCATGGTTGGGACAGGTTAGATAGGAGATACGTATATGTATATATACCTAAAGTGAAGGTATGATGAAGATACTCATCTCTGCAATACGAATATATTTAGAAAATACTCCCCTTCCCCCAACACACACACTTCTTTGGAGTTGGTGTATTTGCTTTCATCCTATAGTAGATAAATAAGTAAAAATATTTAGGGTTAACAATTAAAAACAAAGAGGTGTTTTTATTTTCTGCAGAACTGAAGATTGATAGTATATCTAAAAAGTAGTATGCTTTTGAAATATTATTTTATAGGTATGAGCTGAGATTAAATTCAAAAAACAAAAATAACAAAATATAATGTTATATTTATTGACAAAGAAAATACCATTGTTTCCTGTTTGGGTATGTTTTCTGAAGCAAATTTAACAATTTTTTTCTTGTGTAAAATAGATTTGTATCTCCCCTCCTCGAACCCCCCAGTTAGGTGATTTTTTAAAAAAATAGATTTTATGTTTTTGAAGCTGTTTTAGGTTCACTGAAGAAGTTGAGCAGAATCTACAAAGATTTTCCATACATCCCTCGCACCCATACAGACATAGCCTCCTCCATTATCACCATTCCCCACCAGAGTGACCCATTTTTTAAACTGATGAATCTGCATTGACCCATCATTATCATCCAGAGTGCATGGTTTACCTTAGATTCATGGTTGGTATTGTATAGTATATTCTATGGGTTTGGACAATTTTTATGACATCTATCTACCATTATGATGTCTTTCACAGCCCTAAAAATCCTCTGACCTAGGTCTATTCATTCTTCCTTCCTGCAACCCCTGACAACCATTGATCTTTTTACTGTTTTGCCATTTCCAAAGTGTGTAGCCTTTTCAGATTAGTTTCTTTCACTTAGTATTATGCATTTTAAGTTTCCTCTATGTCTTTTCATGGCTCAATAGCTCATTTCTTTTTAATGCTGAATAATATTTTGTTATCTGGATGTACCACAGTTTATCCATTGACCTACTAAAGGACATCTTTGTTATTTACAAGTTTTGCAGATTATGAGTAAAGCTGCTATGAACAACCTTATGCAGGTTTTTGTGTAGACATAAGTTTTCAGCTCTTGGTAAATACCAAGGACCATGATTGATGGGTAGCATGGTAAGAGTACGTTTAGTTTTGTAGGAAACCACCCAACTGTCTTTCAAAGTGGCCATACCATTTTACATTCGCATCAGCGATGAGTGAGAGTTTTTGTTGTTCCATATCCTTGTCAGTATTTGGTATTATGCTGCTGTTGGTTGAAGTAGTCTATAGATGTCCATTATGTCTAGTTGATTGATAGTGTTGTTGAGTTCAAACTTGTCCTTACTGATTTTCTACCTGCTGGATCGGCCCATTTCTGTTAGAGGGGTGTTGAAGTGTCCAACTACAATAGTGGATTCATCTATTTCTCTTTGCAAATCAGATTTTGCCTTACATATTTTGATGCTCTGTTGTTAAGTACATATAAATTAAGAATTATGGAGAATTTACCTCTGTATCACTTTATAATACCCCTCTTTATTCCTGATAACTTCCTTCACATTAAAGTATAATTAAGTGATCTTTAAGGTAAAGATTGCAATAGTCTCAAGGTGTTTTTTCAGCTGTCATTTGGATATATTTTTTAATGTTTTAGGAAATTCCTCTGTAGTTTTTTATAAGACAAAAAAATGAAATAAAATTAACAGTGAGTATAAATTTGTTCTGAGATTGCTAAAGCAAGTACAAATACAGGAAGCTACCAAATGTCTAAGTGAATTTAATTTCATTTAATTAAATTTTTTTGGTGACAACACTTAGGATCAGTTTAAACCTTTACTAACTGTTTAGGAATTAAGTTTTGGTAGAAAAGCTCAAGTGGGGCATGGGCACACACTAAGCAGATTTGATCATTTCTCATTGCATTTAAAGTGCAACCTTTATCCTGCATGTAGAATTTAAAAATAAAAATAATAAATGAAGTACATCTTTTAAAACATGAAAATACTTTTTCCTGTAAGCATTTTATCAATGGCGTTTGAGAACTGGCTTGAATTGTGGAGTATCTTGGTTTATGCATTAATATTGTTGATGATTTTATTTTCTCAAGTGTCTGATTTATTTTTACTGTTGTCTCTCTGCCTCTCCCTACCCCCAAGTGTTTTATCAACAAAAATTGCATCTTTAAGTTGTGTAATGAAACCAGTATTTTTTCTTAAGAGGGTATACCAGGTGTATTCGCACATGGGCCTGAGAAACTGACAGCTTTCTACAGTGTAAAGATAACCTTTACATCAAATTTCCTTATAGATTATTTTATTAAAAGAGAAGAAGTACCCTTTGTAAAGCACTTGTGTCAGACAGACACTGTGTTGAGTACTTAAGACATTTTATCTCATTTACTTCTAATCACTAACCCATGAGGTATAGATAATACCATAATTTTTTGAATCACAGTTGCTGTCAATTACCAGATGGATTATTATTTTATGTACCGCAGAGAGAGAGAACTGCGGATTATAATTGTAAGATGCTATCAATTTCAGAAATGTTAAAATGTGACAAAAATAGCTGTCTTAGAATTAGTGAAAGGTGGAATTAGTGCTACCTTGTTTTGTGGTTGTCACTCAGGATTCTCAAGACAACTCACCTCCCAAAATGAAGTCAAGTCTGGACAAACGTAGGTCTGCTTTACTCCAGAGCTCTCCAGGCATCAGAGCATAGAGACTAGGAGCATACAGCCACCCTGCCATTTAATAGCTGTATGACTTTAGGGAAGTTACTTAAAGTCTTAGTTTTCTCTTCTGTAAAATGGAAATGGAAATGATAATGGTAAAACCATATAGTTGTTATGAGAACTGAATGAGTTGTATATACATTTATAATGTGCTTTCCATGAGGTTAAATGCTTTGCATATATATTGGTTAATTAAATTGGTTAATTAAAACAGTATTGTTTCTGATCTAAGTAGATGCTTGCTTAAAAGGGAGAGGAAAAGAGCCTTATCAAATGGTTCATTGATATTTTGTGCACATAATGAATATTAAAATTATTAAATCATTAAAATATTGATTTGTCTTTTAAAATTAATGTAAGATTGCAGTCTTGACAATTTTGACATCTAAATTACATTTTTATTTTCATAAAAATAATACTGTATAAAGTTTTAGCTGAAATCTGCTTTCCTTTCATCTCTGTTATGACATATTTAGTCAGAATATTGATGTGCTATGATGGATATCTTGAAAATAACCTGTGATGTAGTTGGGATTCCTGTCAACCTCATAAGAAACTGATTCAGAAATTTTTTTAAAGGGTTTCAGTATTATTGACGCGTGTTTTAATTTCAGTTAAAATATACTGCTTTTTCATTGCACAGTGTATAGAGGAAAGATAATACCGAGACAGTTTTTGTAATAGTTTTATATGCACATGATTTTGTTGGTTCACCTTGAGATTTAAAATCTTGTCATCTTGCTGAACCACAGTTCTATAAAAATAAAATATAATATTTTCGTATACCCTGATAACAAAAATGGGTTAAGACCTTCCTTTGAACTTCTTGCTTTTTCCTTCATTCCCACTTTTGCTTTGTTTTCATTGTTTTTTGTTTGTTTGTTTGTTTATTTTGGACTCACATTATTCATTTACTTCACAAGTAGTTATTGACTGACTGTTAAATACCAGGTCCTGTATTTACAGTGATGAATTGGAAATAGCCCTTGACCTGGAAGAACTCACTATTTGGGATTTATTAAGTGTCTAGTCATTGAGTACTTAGGCATGGTGCCAAGGACTTTATATATACATCTTTTGTTTTAATCCTCGTAACTACACTGCTAAGGTAGGTCAGTGCTTCTTGAATGTTTCTATTAAATAGATGGCAGAGAAGAGGAAATTCTTGGGGAATCAAAGGGAGGTGACAGTCTGAGTGTGGTAATGATGGTGGTGAAGGGGGAGAGCTTTGATGTTAAAATTCTTTTCAATTTAGTGTTTTCTCTTACAAATGTTTTGAGGCCATGATGGCTCACGCCTGTAATCCCAACTCTTTGGGAGGCCAAGGCAGGAGGATTGCCTGAGGCCAGGAGTTCTAGACTAGCCTGGACAACATAGCAAGACATTGTCTCTATAAAAAATTTAAAAATTAGGCCGGGCATAGTGGCCCACGCCGGTAATCCCAGCACTTTGGGAGGCCGAGGCCGGTGGATCACCTGACGTAAGGAATTTGAGACTAGCCTGGCAACATGGTGAAACCCCGTCTCTACTAAAAATACAAAAGTCAGCCGGGTGTGGTGGCACACACCTGTAATCCCAGCTACTCGGGAGGCTGAGGCAGGAGCGCTTGAACCTGGGAGGCGGAGGTTGCAGTGAGCCAAGATTGCACCACTGCACTCCAGTGTAGGCGACAGAGTGAGATTCCATCTTAAAAAAATGATAAAAATAAAAATAAAATTAAAAAATTAGCCACATGTTGGTGTTGTGGTGCACGCCTGTAGTCCCAGCTACTCAGGAAGCTGAGGCAGGAAGATCACTTGAGCTCAGGAGTTTGAGGAGGCAGTGAGCTATGGTCTTGTCACTGCGCTCCAGCCTAGGAAATAGAGCTAGACCTTACCTCAAAAAAAAAAAAAAAAAAAATTGGCTTTTGCATTCTGTTAACATACCTTTCTTTGTTTTGATATAAACAAATTTTTAATGTAAAAAAATTAATTAGCATGAGGGAAGATTCAAAAAAGTATCCTGTCCCAATTTTAGGGTAGAGGGAATATGGTACTGGGAGCAGGATTTTATTATACACTTCAGGGCATCAAGGGGGCTCATTTATTTGTTAAACTTTTTTTGCTTTTTTATTTTAAGTAAACTTTTGAAGTGTAACATGCAAAGACATGCACATATCATCATACAGCATGTATGGTGTTTTATCCTGGCTTCTTACCTTAAACATACATATATGGTTATGTGATCCATAAACCCCGAATATCTGAAACAGGTCTCAGTTAATTTAGGAAGTTTATTTTGCCAAGGTTGAGGACCTGCGCTGGGGTAACAGCCTCAGGAGGTCCTAAAAACATGTACCCAAGGCGGTCAGAGCATGGTTTGGTTTTATACATTTTAGGGAGACATGAGACATCAATCAACATATGTAAAATTAATATTGGTTTGGCCCAGAAAGGCAGGACAACTCGAAGCTGGGAGAGAGGGCTTCCGTTTGAGTTTCTGATTTGCCTCTCAGAAGGAGGCAATCAGATAATGCATTTAGCTCAGTGAGCAGAGGGGTGACTTTGAATACAATGGGAAGCAGGTTTGCCCTGAGCAGTTTCCAGCTTGACTTTTCCCTTTAGCTTAGTGATTCTGGGGTCCCAAGGGTTTTTTCCTTTCACAGATTCAAGCATGTTGCCTGTAGCAATAGTTTATTCTCACTGCTTCATAATATTCCACTGTATGACTCTGTATATCATGATTTATCTGTTTTACTGTTAATGGACATCTAGGTTGTTTCCAGTTTGGGGCCGTCATGAATAGAGTCCCTGTAAAATATCCTTGTATTCCTGTCTGTGCATGTCTTTTGGTCCCATGTGTGCATTTCCCTGGGTAATGTACCTTGTAATATAATCACTGGGTCATATGTGTGCCTTGTTCAGTTTTAGTATAACCCAGTGATTTCCAAAGTTGTTGTACCAATGTATAACCTCATCAGTAGTAGATGAGAATTTCTAGTTGTCCCACATACTCTGGAACATTGGCTTGATATTCTGTCTCATATATTTAGCCATTCTGGTGGGTGTAACATGGTATTAAGTTGTGGGTAGGCTATTTTCTCAAAATAAACATGATTCCTTTCCCTACTCCTACCCTTGGTCCCCTCCTTTGTGAACACCAGGGGAACGTGGAACAGACACCTGTATATTTTCATAAAACCTATCAGATGATTCTGGTCACCTTGCCAGTTGGTAAGATGCAGAATATACAACAAATTTAAGTATAATTTAAGGAAAATGAGACGGTCATGAAAATTATAGCTCCGCAGTGTAGTTTATTGACTTTCTGACAAATAGTGCACTTCTAACTTGATAAACATGGATGAGTTTTAAGATTTTGCAAGCTGGTGAAAAGTTTTGTAGGCTTTTTTATTTGACTGAGTGAGTTTGCAACATTGGCCCAAAGCTCTAATTACACAATGCTGGAATGCGCTTGTTCTTACTTGACCATCTACCCAGATTGCAGGTTGTGTTCATTCATTATTCTGTGGGGTTTTGCTACAGTTGAAAGAAGGGGAACACTATATGAGCAGATCTTTCTCAATTTTCAGAACTTGAAAAAAGTTGGCAGAATAAATTTTACCATTTCCTCACAGCATGCTGTGTGTTTTTATGTCTAATTTCTTGTTATTTGTGGAGTTTTTCTTTTAAATTTCACAGAAGTGTTGCTAAGCTGTATTTTTTGTCATTTTGTAGTGAAAATCCAAGAGTGCAAAAAATATTTTTCCCTTGAATCCTTTTCAGTGTTAAGATTGTAATTCTTTTCTCATTCCTTAATCATTGTAGATTATGTTAGAATCATATGTAGAGAAGTGTCATTCCTGTACCTTTTGGGGATAATATTTGTTGATTTCTTCTTTTAAGATATGCACATCGACTCTTAACTCCAGATAAGCTCATAGTTTTCCCTTTCTACATTTTATATGCCTAACTTTTTACAGCTATTATTTTTATAACTGGCTTCATTTCTTACTGCTGCAAAGTACTGTTTTAAGGTAGAGCAGCCATTTGGTAAATACTTGTGCTCTACATATTCAAAAGTATTTACTGATTATTGCTAGTCACAGGACTATTGGAATTATTAGCTCATCATCAGAAGAGCTAAGATGTCATTCATTATTTGTAAGATTTTTATTTTGGAATAAACCTGTTTGATGGCAATTAGCTAAAAAACAAAAAAAACAGAAGTACATGTTTAGTGAAAGCATAACTTATGAAGCTGCTATTCTGCTTTTTAAGATTTTTTTACAGCATTGTTCATCAGCTCAAAGAAGCAGATAGTGGGTGGTTAGATTGATATGGAGTGGAGGGTTTACAGGATGGTTGCGGTAAAAGAACAAAGGAGTGAAATGTTAACCATGCTTGCTAGAGCGTCTTTGAAGTTGTGATGTATTGTGGGTTTGAGGTTTGACGAGGAAGGAAGTGAAGGCATAATGGGAATAATGACTTAAAAAATGGGAAGAGGCTAAGGAAGTATTGGTAATAAGAGATATTGAGGGATTAAATTGATGACAGAACAGGAATAAGGTCTGTTGTAAAAGATACACTGAGGTTTATTTTCAGAGTTGGTCAAGCTATTCTAGCTAATAAGTTTGTTTGGAAAAGATTGCTATAATGTTATGTGGGTGAGATCATTCAGGAATGTCAAGGAATTTGATGCTGGTAGGTTGAAAGTCCACAGGGTGCACTCATCCAAGGTGATGATAGAAATAGTGAAGAAAACTGTGGAGGGAGACAAGTACTGATGAAGTCCTTAATAAGGGAACCTAACTACCAGTAGAAGAGGTGAGCCCATGATAGCCAGGGAAAAGAGGGGAAGAGGGTATAGCATTTGACTCACACAGTTGCCAAACAGTTTTGGAAGAAGGCTGGAAAAGTGGTCTGGAAACAACATCAGGGAGTTGAAAGAACTCTTAATTGCTCCATATTCCTTTTTTCTAGATCCTTCACAGGTGTAAGAAAAGAATATTATTTGAGCAGTTCTGGTTTATCTGCTTTAATTGAGTATTTACCTCCTTGACCTTATCTTCATAATCTTTGTTTCACCAGTGCCTGACCTATTTAGGTACTTTATAAATGTTTGTTCCGTAAATGCTAGACAAATGTGAAGTTGTGCCAGTGTCCTGGAATTCTAGAACAAAGAGCATTGCTTAGACATTTAAAAAACTGATTTGAAAACTAGTAAAAGAACTGTTACTTTAACACAATTATATTTTCAAAGTATGGAATTAAGTACCATAACTATGAGACATGTTTGTGTTTACAGGCATAATACGGGAAATAAATTACATAATTTTTTACATAAATAGGTGGATGACAGGTTCTTGATGGATTATAGAGGGTGGTTGGGATGTTAGAGAGAATATTCTTGATTTTTAGAGGTTGGCAGGAGTATTGTGGAATCGATGCATATCTTTTAGAACTTCCGACAATTATTACACCTCTGATCTCTGACTGCTGCTTACTTTGTTGTTTCCTTTCATTGGAGCATTAGGCTTTTGAGGATTGAATCGTAGCAGATTAATTTTGGGGCAAGATGGGTAAAGAAATCTTCAGTAATTTTAAGTAAAATATTTCTTGCCGGGTGCGGTGACTCACGCCTGTAATCCCAGCAGTTTGGGAGACTGAGGCAGGAGGATCGCAAGGTCAGGAGATCGAGACCATCCTGGCTAACATGGTGAAACCCCGTCTGTACTACAAATACAAAAGATTAGCCAGGCGTGGTGGCGGGTGCCTGTAGTCCCAGGTACCTGAGAGGCTGAGGCAGGAGAATGGCGTGAACCCAGGAGGTGAGCTTGCAGTGAGCCAAGATCGCGCCACTGCACTCCAGCCTGGGTGACAGAGCGAGACTCCGTCTCAAAAAAAAAAAAAAAATCTGACCTAGGCCAGGGCACGGTGGCTCATGCCTGTAATCCCAGCAGTTTGGGAGGCCGAGGCGGGCGGATCACCTGAGGTCAGGAATTTGAGACCAGCCTGGCCAACATGGTGCAAAAATACAAAATACTAAAAATACAAAAATTAGCTGGGTGTGGTGGCGCACACCTGTAATCCCAGCAACTTGCAGGGCTGAGGCAGGACAATCACTTGAACCTAGGAGGCGGAGGTGGCAGTGAGCCAAGATTGTGCCATTGCACTCCAGCCTGGGCAACAAGAGCGAAACTGTCTCAAAAAAAAAAAAAAAAAAAGAAAAGGAAAAAGAAATTCTGACTTGGTAAATGAAGAAGGAAGAGAAATAATGAAGGCAAATGACTCTATTATGATTTTGTTAAAAAAAAAAGAAAGAAAACTTTGGAAGTGGCGGAAGCTTTAATAAAATGTTTAGCCAAATTGTTCTGAAACAGAAAAGGTTGGGGAAGAATGAGAGAAGGGAGAAGGAGAGAACATAGTTTTTATTATAGATGAATTTGTTTTAAAACTAAGGTAAATTTGAAAAATGCTTAGGGTTAATATTAGTAGATCCAGAATTTGCAATAACTGTGCAGGAACTACCCTAAGTATAGACCTTATCTCCTGTAATACTCCTGTAATATGACTTTTATGAGTGAAGAATTATTCTCTTTCTGAAAATGAGAAAATTAAGGGCCAGAAAAGGAAAGTAACTTGTTCAAGAGTATAAAACCTAAGTTTCTTTAATTTACAAAGTTTTATACACAGACTTTACAGATACATTTCAGTGAGTTTCGAAGGAGGTATTCACCATTGAAACAACAGCCAAATCAAGATATAGATCATTTCCATTACTCCAGAAAGTTCCCTCAAAGGTTATACAATTCCTAACGGACATGTTAGACATCAATCTGTCTTTTTCCAACTGCACATCCACATTGCTTGTATTAAAAGGCAGATTGGAGCTACTAGAGATAAGCAGTGTGAGAAGAGCAGAGTTAATAGCTGGTGTATACCTGATGGAGAGCCAAGCAATTAAAGTTTAAACAGCAAGAATAAAACCTTTAAAACTATATTTGGACAAATTTAACTCTGCTGTCTTTCATAGTTCCCAAGATTATTTCTATTTTGTAAACAAGCTCTATCTTTGAGTTTTATATTGATACTCATATGAATAATTTATTGAGTGCTTTCTATTTACCGGACACTGTACTAGGTGTCTTCTGTACATTCCCATTCAATATACCAGTCATTTGAGATAATTACCATTTATTATTCCCATATTATAGACAAGAAAACTGAGACCCAGAGACCTTACACTGCTTTGGGATTGAACCCAAGTCTGATATCAGAAACTAAACTTTTAACTGTGATGGTGTTCTCTGGATCATTCTGTAATACTAAATTATTTTTGGTGCTTTATTTTAGAAGGCATTAAATTATGTACTGTTTTGTAAACATTAATTCTTTACTAGTGGTTGACTTCTTATCCAGTCAGCATATCTTTGCTTACTTTCTGTCACATTCTATACTAGGCAGTGGTTGCATAAAGATGGAAATATAGTAATCTCAAGGAGCTTAGCATATTTGATGAATTGGAAAAAATCATAGTGTTTTCACTTAAAAATTCTGGATTCAATTTCTGATTTGTTGGGCTTTAAAAAAAAAAAAACAACTCTGTGACCTTAAGTAGCATTGCTTTTCTGTGTTTCAGTTTCCCTATATGTAGAATAGAAGTAAATACTTAACAGGTTTGTCTAGAGGATCAAATGAAATATTGTATGTGAAGAATAAAGTTTAGGTGGGAGGATCACTTGAGCCCAGGAGTTCAGGACTGGCCTGGGCAACATAGTGTGACCCCGTCCCAAAACAGACATAAAATTATGCAGGTATGGCATGCACCTGTAGTGCCAGCTACATGGGAGGCTGAGGCAAGAAGATTGCTTGTCTGGGAGGTCAAGGCTGAAGTGAGCCATGATCATGCCACTGCACTCCAGCCTGAGTGACGGAGTGAGACTCTATCAGAAAAATAAAATAAAAATAAATTTTTAAAAAAGTAAAGTTTTAATGTGTAAAGCAAACTCTTACAGATTATTATACTATTAACTACAATACATTTGATTAATTCTGTATGGGTGGCATTTTTTGTGAAAGTTCCAGGTAGCTAGGGAGTAATTTTTACCCAGGAAAATGGTATAGGGACAAAGGGTGGTTAGTGAAAGTTTTACGGAAGAGGTGACATTTAAGATTAAAATGCAGTGTTGGTGCTTAAAGAGATAAGGTTAAATTATCTGTCACTAGTTGAAATAACCTCCTCTATGAGCTGAGTAAAAGAATGTTACTATAGTTTATAAACTAGAGCTTGAATTAAATTGACTAAAAATTTTGTTATATCAAAAATGTATACTTTTCTATTCCATAATGTTTTATAAAAGACTAATTATGCATAGGTAATTTCTGATTCCTTCTGTCTTTTAAGAGCTTTAAGCCATTGCTGAAATTTGCAAAACTTTGTAGGCCAGTGCTCAAGTAAATTTGTTTTTAGAGACTGTAGTGAACTTGAAGGTACTGCTTTGGCATTAAGAGTATCTGGATGATCCTGTTCCTTTTATCGTGTTTGTGTTGCTTAAAAATATATACATACCTGCGTACATACATGTACACAGACATACATTTGGGTCACAACATTTGGTTTCAGCTATTTGTAATTTTTACCAAAAAAGGCATGGTCAGGTTTTGCTATTTTGTTTATTCACTTAAGCACATTGGAAGTTGTAGAAGATTTTATCTGGAGGACCTCTGAGAGCTAGTTCAAATTATGAGGTTAGAGGCTGTCTTTGTGTTGTTCTTCCTTGTTTCTACATGGCCTACATTAGTGTAGGTTCCCCCAAAATACTCAAATGGGTCAATGAATAAGAGAGAAAGAGAGTGAACAAATGAATGAATGATTTTTTAAAAAAAGAAGAGGCTGTGCAACTTTCCGTTGTGAGTAGTCACCTAACTGCTAGTCTGGCCCATTGTAGTTTACTACCCTGTTTATATATTACTATAATTTGAAATCTTACCTCTTATAACTGTAGTTATAAACTGTGATGCTAACTGAATAAAGTTGATTTTTAAAAATCCTAATACTGTATAAGACTATTAACATAGGTACACTGGGCTTCGTCTTTTCTTATATGCCTTGTTTATACAATATTATTAATACATAATAGAAAAAATTGGACTTGTCACAACTAGCATGCCATATAAATGTAGTTGTTTGCAAATGATGATTGTAAAAAATGGTTTCCAGAGATCCAGAATATCTTTAATATGTTATGCTATAGGAAAAGTAATCAGGTTCTGCAGTGACCTGTAGTTGGTATTTTAAAAGAAGGTAATTGCAGTGTGAGGAAATTATTTGGTGATGTTGAGTAAATCTTAAACTAGTTTATGAATCTGTATTAACTTATGGTGGAACTGGACAGAGTTTAGCAATTCTTGCCTCCAGTTCTGTCTATAGCCAGAAGCTCAGTGATGTGCCAAAGAATACATAGCCTGAAATGTGAAATGGGTAGAAGTAGAATCCAAGTATCTCAGCACGTGGACCCCAGAGCTTTTTTTTTTTTTTTTTCCATTTTTACTGTTGCCATGGAAAATGACATTATGCCTATATCTAGAAATGTTGTTAGATGATTTCTTGCTTTTAATCTTTTCTTTGAAAATACATTAAAGCAACAGAAATGAAATGATTTTGTGGCGTTATATTGTGTACACAGGGGTTCACTCTTAGTTTAATTTTTAGTTGTTTTTTTTGTGTGTGTGGGAGAACCCTGGCAGTAAGTGACAAGGCAGCAGTAAACAGAGGCTCTAAATCTTCTCTTTTATAACAGCATGTGTTAATAGCTTTTAGGAATTATCAAGTAGAAAAAGAGTTGTTCCAAAAATATCTGGAAGTCTTTACCCTTGTAAACTTTTCATGTATCTATAAAATGTAATTAAAACTACCTCCTTGCTTTCAGTGTTGGAGAATGTTGTGGATTTCAAAAGAGATTCCCTAACATTGGAATAAGACCCCCCAAAAAAGAAGTTGAAAGTAAGCCAGTTCCTTAGCATAGTACCCAAGTAAAATGGAAGACTTATTCAGAGATGGAGGACAAATGAACACCTGGGGGAATGATGATGAGTTTTTTGTGTGTGTTAGCGGTATTGACAGCTTCCTAGTTCAGCCTTCAGACTAGAACAGAGGTTCTTAGTGTGAGATCCCAGGACGACCTGAGACTTTGTTAGAAATGCAAATTTGGGAAGCTGACCCGGACCCGCTGAACCCTTAACACCCGGATTGAAGCCCAGCATTTTGTTTTAACAGGCCCTCCAAGGTAATTCTACTGCACACTTAACTTTGAGACTTACTGCCCTAGAAAAACAGAAAGCCTTAAGGTCTACCATTGTAATCACTTGAGGGGGGATTGTTGCTTTAGGACCACATGAAATTGCCAATATTCTGCCTTTGACATACAAAAATGTCAGTGTCATGTAATTCAACCTGATACAATTGACTGAAAAAACCTGTCAGACTTTGAAGGGAGGTTGCCTTTTGCTTGGGGCAGAGAGCTCACACTACAGAATAGCTATTTCACTTATGCCTCAAGGACCCAGGTAAGTAAACTATAAGGTAAATGAAGGTATTTGTTCACCCCCACCCTTTTTTTTAAAACTGGGGTCCTGTGTAAATATATTACCAACGCCAGTTACTTCAGTGTACACATCCCTCCCTTCCTTTCCCCCAGCTCTGTTGGCTTCCCCTTTAAATAGAAATATATATAACTAAGAAGAAGGAATATTTTTTCCTGTCCTTAGCCAATTTTTTTTTCTTGAAGGTTCAGCTGTTGCCATTACTGCATCTTTAACCACCCCCTCTTCTTGCCCCTGCACATTCTTTTCTATAGCAGTGGTGTCCAGCTCTGCCACTTAGTCTAATCAGTCTTCTGAAAGACACAGCTGTTTCTATTTCAGAGACGAGCCTATCCATTTAGTACACATTTTAGTCAACTTTAAGTAAACTGGTTTTGAGTAATTAAAACTACAAGATGGACTTTCTGTTTTCACGTGTAGGTCAAAATTAGCTATTCCATTAATTCTCTCAAAACACGTAACTAGCCCCCTTCCTTTTTCATTTTATTTTTAAACCAACACTGAGTGTTGTGCTAGGCTTTGCCTTACAGAAATTAATAAACTAGAGATGATATTATACTTAGGTAATACCACAGCCATGCACATAAACTCTATAGTAAAAGACAATAAATGAAGTAGACTAATGAGGGTGTATATTAGTCCGTTTTCACACTGCCTATAAAGACATACCTGAGACCGGGCAGTTTACAAAAGAAAGGTTTAGTTGGACTTACAGTTCCACGTGGCTGGGGAAGCCTCACAATCGTGGCAGAAGGCACATCTCACATGACAGCAGACAAGAGAAGAGAGCTTGTGCAGGGAAATTCCCGTTTTTAAAACCATGAGATCTCATGAGACTTACTGTCACAAGAACATCACGAAAAACACCCACCCCCATGATTTAGTCATCTCCCACCAGGTCCCTGCCACAACACATGGGAATTATGGGAGCTATAAGATGAGATTTGTGTGAGGACACAGAGCCAAACCATATCATTCTGCCCCTGGCCCCTCTCAAATCTCGTATCTTCACATTTCAAAACCAATCATGCCTTTCCAACTGGTTTTGAGTAGTTAACCCCCAAAGTCTCAACTCAAAAGTCCACAGTCCAAAGTCTTATCTGAGACAAGTCCCTTCCACCTGTGAGCCTGTAAAATCAAAAGCAAGTTAGTTACCTCCTAGATACAGTGGGGGTACAGGCATTGGGTAAATATAGCTGTTCCAAATGGGAGAAATTGGCCAAAACAAAGGGGCTCCAGGCCCCCATGCAAATTCAAAATCCAGCAGGGCAGTCAAATCTTAAAGCTTCAAAATGATCTCCTTTGACTCCATGTCTTGAATCCAGGCCATGCTGATGCAACATCCTTTGGTCTCAAGCAGTTCTGCCCCTGTGGTTTTGCAGGGTACAGCCTCCCTCCTGACTGCTTTCACAGGCTGTTGTTGAGTGTCTGCGGGTTTTCCAGGCGCACGGTACAAACTGTCAGTGGATCTACCATTCTGGGGTCTGGAGGATGGTGGCCCTCTTCTCACAGCTCCACTGAGAGGTGACCCAGTAGGATTCTGTTGGGGGAGGGCTCTGACCCCACATTTTCCTTCCTCACTGCCCTAGCAGAGGTTCTCCATGAGAGCCCCACCCCTGCAGCAAACTTTTGCCTGGGCATTCAGGTGTTTCTATACATCTTCTGAAATCTAAGCAGAGGTTCCCAAACTTCAATTCTTGACTTCTGTGCACCTGCAGGCTCAACACCACATGGAAGCTGCCAAGACTTGAGGCTTCCACCCTCTGAGGCCACAGCCTGAGCTGTACCTTGACCCCGTTTAGTCACAGCTGGAGCGGCTGGGACCCAGAGCACCAAGTCCCTAGACTGCATAGGGCAGAGGGACCCTGGGCCCAGCCCATGAAACCATTTTTTCCTTCTGAACCTCCAGGCCTGAGATGGGAGGGGCTGCTGCAAAGGTCTCTGACATGCCCTGGAGACATTTTCCACATTGTCTTGGAATTAACATTTGACTCCTCATTACTTATGCAAATTTCTGCAGCTGACTTGAACTTCTCCTCAGAAAATGGGATTTTCTTTCCTATCACATTGTCAGGCTGCAAATTTTCCAAACATTTATACTCTTTCCCTTATAAAACTGAATGCCTTTAACAGCACCCAGGTCACCTCTTCAATGGTTTGCTGCTTAGAAATTTTTTCCACCAGATACCCTAAGTCATCTCTCTCAACTTCCAAGTTCCACAAATCTCTAGGGAGGGGCAGAATGCCACCAGTATCTTTGCTAAAACGTAACAAGACCCACCTTTGCTGTAGTTCCTAACACATTCCTCATCTCCATCTGAGACCACCTCAGCCTGGATTTCATTGTCCATATCATTATTAGCATTTTGGTCAAAGCCATTCAACATGTCTCTAGGGAATTCCAAACTCCCTATCTTCCTGTCTCCTTCTGAGCCCTCCAGACTGTTCCAGTCTCTGCCTGTTACCCAGTTCCAAATTCCCACATTTTCCTGCCTCCTTCTGAGCCCTCCAGACCGTTCCAGTCTCTGCCTGTTACCCAGTTCCAAAGCCACTTCCACATTTTTGGGTATCTTTTCAGCAGTGCCCCACTCTACTGGTACCAGTTTACTATATTAATCCGTTTTCATGCTGCTGATAAAGACATACCTGAGACCAGGCAATTTGCAAAAGAAAGGTTTAATTGGACTTACAGTTCCACGTGGCTGGGGAAGCCTCACAATCATGGCAGAAGGCAAAAGGCATGTCTCACATGGTGGCAGACAAGAGAAGAGAGCTTGTGCAGGGAAAGTCCCGTTTTTAAAACCATCAGATCTCATGAGACTCATTCACTATCATGAGAACAGCATGGGAAAGACCCGCCCCCATGACTCGTCTCCCATCGGGTTCCTCCCACAACACATGGGAACTATGGGAGCTACAAGATGAGATTTGGGTGGGAACACAGAGCCAAACTGTATCAGGGTGGTACAAGTGTTTCACATGAGCTGACTGGCAGTCAGTAACTGATTTCAGTTTTCCAGATAATTGACATACTGTGTTATATACTGCTTTTTTTTCCTACTTAATAGTGCTTTTTTAAAAATAGAAGTTGTGGCTGGGCATAGTGGTTCACACCTGTAATCCCAGCACTTTGTGAGCCAGGATGATTGCTCAGGGCCAGGACTTTGAAACCAGCCTGGGTAACAGCAAGACCTGCATCAGTATAAAAAGTAGAAAAAAAAAAAAAAAAAATACACAAAAAACAATTAGCAAAGTATGGTGGCACATGGCTGTATTCCCGGCTACTCAGGAGGCTGAGGCAGGAGGATCTCTTGAGCCTGGGAGGTTGAGGCTGCAGTGAGCCTTGACTGTGCCACTGCACTCCAGTCTGAGTTAGAATGAGAACCTGTCTCAAAAAAAAAAAAAAAAGTTGTAATTGTATCAATTTTTGCATTACATGAGAGAGTAGAGACAATAGGGTATCATCCATTCTCACCTTCACTCCCAGTTTTATTGTGCTTGCTTTTACTTGTGTTAGTGATTTCTATAATGTTCTATATGTCCTTTATTAGCTCTAGATAGTATTACCCATGTTTCTGAATCATAGTCTTGTTCCTTTCCTTACTCCTTCAATCTCCCAGTTTTAATTAGTTGTTAATTTTGCATCATCAAGGTATTTGCATTTTGTTCTGACTATAACTTTTTTTACTTTTTAAATCAATTCTAATGATTTTTTAAATCTAGAAATAGATGATTATATGAATATTTACTTTAGAACAAAGTGGAATGGACCCACAGAGTATGAAATGTAATCCTGTGTACATGAAAATTTCATCAATTGAAAATTTTCCAAGTGGAAAATTCTAGTGGATTCTCATCTGATTGTTGTTGTTTCCTACTTTTCCTCTAAGGTTATTCAGCTCTGTTGTCTTCACTTCCATGTTTTCTTCATTTGGTTAGAGCTGTGGTCTTTAAAATGAGACATTCGTGTAAAAGGCACACAAAATAATTTAGGGGAGTATCAGGATTTATTAGAAATTAAATTGTGTGTTAATTTTTATCTGTAATTTTTAATTTTTTAGTATGTTTTACAATACATATATTAATATAGTGATGTATATATTTTATAAAACTATACTGAGAGTATATTCTGATTTTTTTTACTCGTAAGGGTGTGCCATACAAAAAAATTTAGAGTTTAATTGGGTTCAGAATACATTTTAAATATAGGATGTCAAACTTTTCAAGTATGTGTTGTCTGAAAATGTCCTTTATTTGGTCCTCATTCTTAAATAGAGTATGGAATTTTTTTTTTTTTTTTTGAGACAGCGTCTCACTCTGTCACCCAGGCTGGAGTGCAGTGGCACAATCTTGGCTCACTGCAACCTCCACCTCCTGGGTTCAAACAATTCTTCTATCTCAGCCTCCCAAGTAGCTGGGACTACAGCACCTGCCACCACACCCGGCTAATTTTTGTGTTTTTAGTAGAGACAGGGTTTTGCCATGTTGGCCAGGCTGATCTCAAACACCTGACCTCAAGTGATCCACCTGCCTCGACTTCCCAAAGTGCAGGGATTACAGGCAGCAGCCATGGCACCCAACCTGAGTATGGAATTCTAAGTTCAGCTTTTTTTTTCTTAACAGCATTTACCCCTTGCCTTAATACAGTATTCAGATTTTAGTCTGACTTGTTCCTTTGTAGATAACATAGAAGTTTTAGGATTTTCTTTTTTTAATGGAATTTTGTAGTTTTATCCAGATGTGTCTAGGTATAGATCTTTTTTCAGTAATCATTCTTGGCAGTTGATGAGGCCTGTCTATGAACTTGTGTCTCCCTTCAGATTATGGAAATAATCTTGTGTTTTTCTCTTTATATATCTCCGTTGTTCCTAGTCTTACCTTCTTTAAGATCACCTGTCAGATCAATACTGGACCTCGTCAATCTGACCCACAGTTCCCTCATTTCTCATATTTCCTATATTTGTGTTTTTAATCTGTCTCCTCAGAAGTTGTCTTTATCTTTTATTTTCTATTAATGCATCAGTTATGACTATATTATTATTTATCTTGCACATTAAACTTATTTTGTCATTTATTTTTAATCAAGAAGTCTTAGTTTCTGACCACTTTTTCAAAGCAGCTTGTTCTTGTCTTATTCAATTGTACTTTAAGAGAAATTTTTTAAAAGTATACCATTCAGTCCCCTGAATTGTCTCCATTTCTATGAGAGTTCTTTGTTAATTTTTTTCTTCCCATTTTGGACCTTCTCTTTTATCTATTAGTTTTCCCCAAATGTCTGTTATCCTTGGCTTTCCGTTCATATATTAGGATGAGGGACTGTGTTGCTAAAAGATGGTATCTGGCTGTCATGGTTTTCAGGGCAGTTGTGTAGATCTGTTTCCCCAGCATCCTCTTCCTTGAATGGGAAGGTTATGGACACTTTCGGTACAAGTGGGCAAGGTGTCTCAACGTGATGACTTCCCTGAAGTTGCATGCGTAAGCTGGGAACTGTTACACATGTCAAAGTAAGGAGGGCTTTATTTTGTGTGGGAGAGTGCTCTATTTGATTTCTGTTAGAAGTTATCTTTTCTCCTTATTTTTCTTCGCATCTCATTCCTAATGTCTGCTATGATATTGAGAGTTAGTCCAACCTGTATCCTGTTTGTCTCTCAGGAATTGGCGCTCTCACAAGAGACATACCCAGACAGGTGTCCCTCTTCCTTTAGAGGGCAATTGTTGGGCTTTGGCGTGATGGTAAAAGCTACAACTGCCACCCTTGGGGAAGGGTAGAGCCCCAGCTGTCTCATCTAGCCTAAATACTGTTTCTAAAATAATTACTCTGAGGCTTGCCACTTGGCCTTTTCCTGCTCTTTGTGTATGTGATGAAAGGTTAGTTTTTCTTTGGGCCTCCTTGAAAGAAACATGGATACTTACAGTACCCTGGATTGTGATTTATCTACCTTTATATCTCTGCTAATTTATTGCCGTTCCTCTGACTTGAATTTTTAAAAATGTCTGATGTACCAGTGTCACACCCTTTCTTATTTTCTAACGTTGTTATTGGTTTATTTTTTTGTAAAAATTTGTTGTCATCTCATTGAGTATCGTGTTGGGAAATAAAAGAGATTGATAAATGTGTTCATTTCACTGCCTTGAACCATATGCATTTTTCTCAAAGTTCCGTCTTGGGTGCAGTATGTGACTCAGGTATCTAGAAATCAGAAAATTACTAGAAAAACTGTATACTTTGTCACATATGAATTGATAAGACAGTATGACTCCCTTTTGTTCTGGGTTATTAAAACTAAGCATTATCTGTTACTTACATGCTGGAAAGGACATGTCTTAAAGAATTTAGTGTAAGCTTGGACTCAAATCCAGTCAAGCACTGCCAAATTTTAGTGCTAAGACTTTGGGTAGGTTACTTTGCATTTTTGCGACCTAGTTTACTTATCTATAATATTGATAGAGGCAGTTATTATCTTCTTCTTAGAGTTAATTTGAGAATCAATTAGATAAATACTTAAGCCTGGCATATTGAAAACCTTTAGAAAAAATCTGTTCTCATCGTTTTTAAATTGCCTCTCTTCAGGAAAATGTTATTTATACATTTTAGATAGCCCCTTCCTTATAGTACAGATAAGTTTCTGCAAAGTTGGCTGTGAAGCAGATTATTATAAAACAAATTTCAAAATAGTTCTCTTTGTAATATTTGGGGAGAAAAATTATGAGTTGAAAGCTCTTGGTGAAGAAGTTTGTTAGTGGCTTGCTGGAATGAGTAGAAAGTATACTTGCAGAGAGAAGTTAGCTACTAGAAATGGTTGTCCCTCTTAGGAAGCACCTGCTGGAATAGTAGAGCTCTTTGCATAATTGGGCTCATAGGAAGCCAATAAGTAATACCCATCTCGTATCATTTTTCTCTGTGTACTTCTATAAAGCCATAATGAATATGATGTATTCTTTATGGCCCTTTTGAATATGTTTTTGACCACCCCGTTTCCATATTGTACTTCATTGTTACCTTGGTCATAAATGAACTGTTTGTGTAGGTATGTGTGTGTGTGTATGCATGTGCCTGTGTGTGTGTGTGTGTGTGTGTGTGTGTGTGTGTGTTTGCGTGCGCGCGCGCTTCTGCATTCTCCTTTTTCATTAGTCAACTTCTCTGTTTTTCCACTAGTACCACTCTGTCATAATTACAGTTGCTATATTTTAGGTTTATGTTTTCTACTTCTAAGTCTTTCAACTTTGTTGTTCATGATTGCTTTGGTATTCTTGACCCATTTGCATTTCCATGTAAGTTTTAGAATCAACTTGTCAGTTTCCACAAAAAGCAGCATTGGGATTTTTATTGTTATTACATTGAGTTTATATGTTAGTCTGAAAATACATAATTTTTTTAAACTTTTATTTTAAGTTCAGGGGTACCTGTGCAGGTTTGTTATATAGGTAAACTCCTGTCATGAGGGTTTGTTGTACAGATTATTTCGTTACCCAGGTATTAGTTAGCCTAGTACCCATTAGTTCTTTTTCCTAATCCTCTCCCTCCTCCCACGCTTTACCCTCTAATAGGCCCCTGTGTATGTTGTTTCCTGCTATGTGTCCATGTGTTTCCATCTTTTAGCTGCCACTTACAAGTGAGAACCTGTGGTATTTGGTTTTCTGTTCCTGTGTTAGTTTGCTAAAGATAATGGCCTCCAGCTCTATCCATGTTCCTGCAAAGGATATGATCTTGTTCTTTTATGTGGCTGTGTAGTATTCTGTGGTGTATGACATTTTTTTAATCCAGTCTACCATTGATGGCATTTAGGTTGATTCTATGTCTTTATTGTGAATAGTGCTGCAGTGAACATATGTTCACTGTGTGTGGACACATGTGTGCATGTGTCTTTATGATAGAATAATTTATATTCTTTTGGCTATACCCAGTAATGGGATTGCTGGGTCGAATGGTAGTTATGTTTTTAGGTCTTTGAGGAATCGCCACACTGTTTTCCACAATGGTTGAAGTCAGTCTGCATATATTGAAATTGATGTCTTTAGAATAATGAATTTTCTAATTTATGAATACTGTATATCCCTTCATTAATTTAGCTTACCTGTACTTTCTCTTAATATCATTGTGTAGTTTTCAGTGTAAAGATGGCATCCTTCATTAGATTTATTTCTAGGAAGTAGACTTTTAAATTATACTTTGGTATCTTTTAAAATTTTTGCTTTCCAATTGTTGCTAACATAAAAATATAATGGATTTTTATATGCTGACTTAGTATACAGCATCCTTGACAAACTTCCTTGTTATTCCTGTTAGTGTGTCTGACTTAAGCATGTTAACTGTGAATAGTGACCGTTTTCTTTATGCCTTTCCAATTCTTATGCTTTTCATTTATTTATTTTTGCCTTAAGGTACTGGATAGGACCTCTAGTACATGTTGAATGGAAGTGGTAGTAGTGGTCTTCTTGCCTCATTCCCGTTTCTCAGGGAAACCTTACTGTAGAGTGAGTGTGTGTGTGTGTGTGTGTGTGTGTGTGTTTTAAGACACTTTTAAAATTAAGGATTTATTCCTGGTTTGTAGCGTTTTCATCTTGAATGGGTACTGAATTTTATCAAATGCTTTTTCTGCAACTATCAAAGTGATCTTTTCCCTCCTTTTTCTGTTAATGGGCTAAATTACATTAATAAATTCTGATTTTGATCTAGTCTAACGGAGTATTTGGGCTTATGTATAAATGTAATTATAAATAATATAATTATATACTTATTTACAATCTTTCCCTTTTTCTCTCCTTTTAAAAATCTATTTTATTTTTAGTTATGCTGTCTTTTCTTGTAGTGGTTACTGTAGAGATTACAGTATACTTCATGGAGTTACTTGAGCTACTGCCAATCATTATTTTTACCCCACTTCCCCAAGAATGCTAAAACCTTAGAATACCTTTTTCCCCATGAAGAACACTTTTTACTCCATTTATCCCTCATGGTTTTTACATTACTGTTGGCATGCATTTTAATTCTACTTATATTTAAGCCCCAAGATATTACAATTTTTCGTTGGCCAGTTTTGGAAAATTCTTACTTACCTCTTCAAATATTGCTTCTCTCTTTTTCTTCTGTGACTCCACTAAGTAGGTGTTAGACTCTTGCACTGTGTCTCACGTTTGCCTTAGGCTCTTTGTAATACCTATATTTTTTTCTCTGGTTTAGTGAAAATACCTTCATTGATCTTTTAAAAAGTTTTCTAGTCTTACCTTTTGCTGTTTAGTCTATTCAACTTATATTAAGTAGTAATTTCAGTTGTTTTCCAGTTCTAGAATTTCCATTTGATTCTTTTAAAATTAAATTATTGGTAAAACTCTGTTGCCTGTTGGGTTTTTTTTTCCTCCTAGCTTTTATTCATAAGCGTCTGTTTTTTGGCAGCCTGATAATTTTTTATTGAATAACTGTCATTGTAAAAATTGTAAAGGCTCCAGATGATAATCTTTTAGACAGGATTTATTTTTTCTTTTCTTAGACATGTTAGTGTGGGAGCTGATAACTTTTATCCAATCAGGGACTAAAGTGAATCAAGACTGTTTTAAGGCTATTTGTACATTTGATTTGTCTTCATACAGTCTAGTTTTACTTTACAGGCATTTCAATTTAGAGTCTTAAATTCTTGGGACACTGTCTCTGGCAAATCTCAACTCTAATCCTTGTCTTGTTTGCAGTATAAGACGTCTGAAAACTTTGCCTCTTGGCTTCCTGCTGCATGCAAAGTCAGCATTTGGCAGAAGTCTTAAAGAGCACCTCACCAGGATCTTAGCCCCTTGGATATCCTGTTTTATCTCCAGCGCCGTAAGGCCAACAGAATCTTTGCTGATAGTTTCACCCCATGGCAGTGGCTCTGTCTGGGTAAAGTGTGGATTCTCGCTCTTGCATTATGCTTAGAATCTGCAAATATTCTTGGGGAGAAAAGTGGCTGTAGTCTGTCAGCCCAATTTATTTATTTATTTTTGTTCGCTTTTTTTTTTTTTTTTTTTTTTTTGAGATAGAATCTCGCTCTGTCGCTCAGGCTAGAGTGCAGTGGCACGATCTTGGCTCACTGCAAGCTCTGCCTCCCGGGTTCACACCATTCTCCTGCATCAGCCTCCCGAGTAGCTGGGACTACAGGCGCCTACCACCACGCCCGGCTAATTTTTTTTTTTTTTTTTTTTTTGTATTTTTAGTAGAGACGGGGTTTCACCGTGTTAGCCAGGATGGTCTCGATCTCCTGACCTCGTGATCTGCCCGCCTCGGCCTCCCAAAGTGCTGGGATTACAGGCATGAGCCACAGCTCTGGGCCTTGTTTTCGTTTTTTACTTCTGTAATGACTTGAAATGTCAGCCCACCTTTAGGTTGTTCTCCCTTCTCTAGAATCTTGTGACCTTTTGTCCTGATTGCTTGAGCAGCTCTAGATACCTTTAAACATACTTATTTTTATTCAAGTTTTTCTATTTCTCAGCAGAATTTAGTTTACCTGCTAGTTACTCCATTATCCCCAGAAGCAGAACATCCCATGGTAGCCTCTAAGTACTTTTTATATACATTAATTGTTTTGATCATTACCAGGCTTATCTCCCCTGCCCATCTGTACCATCAACTGTCACCAGTAAAGTTTTACTTACTGTTTCTACTCCAGTACTCACTTTGTGCTAAGGGTGTGTATATGTATAAAATTTCCTATTATCCACTCAGCAACCATAGGGCAATGAGGTGCTATAATAATTTAATAAACAAAGGAGAGGCCCAGTATCTATAAGATCACAGAATTCATGGCAAAGCACTGATTCACATTGGTCTCAGTATATAGCTCTTGTTATTAAAGTCTATGCTATTGTTTGTGGTCTTTCTATAATCTTGTTTGCTTCCTATAGAATACAGCTCAGGGAATATCTTCAGGACATTTTCTGTGTCCTGAAGTGCTTCATTATCACTGTTACAGTACTCTCTCATATTATCATATTCAAAATATCTCCGTGTCTGTATCCTCTACTATGTTATAGTTTTTGCCAAGAGTAGGGAATGTGTTTTATTTATCTTCATACCCCAGGTTTCGTTAGAGTGCATGATATATCTAAGCATATAATAAATGTTCATTGTATTTCCCTAAAGTCATCGTATACTTAATTTGAATAGATTTAAGAAATTTATATGTGTATTACTATTTTATCACCTTTATAAACACTTATTAGAATCTTAATTATTCTCCCTGGTACAGTCTTAGCAAAACTGTTGAACATTATATGTTATATATTATATTAACTCTTTTTCATCATATATATAAAGTTGTTTTGACCTCAGGCAGTATTTTGTTATAACATCCTGAAGCAGTTCAGAGGACTTTTAGCATAAATATGGTAGTATTTCAAAATTGTAATTTACCATTTGTTAATTGTAGAATTAATAAACAAAAATACTGTATGTATAATTAAACCACAATTGATTAAGCTACCTCCTAGAAGATGAATGAGCTGATTGCAGATGACAATGAAAGACGTAGCTCATAAACATCAGTCTCATTTTATAACTGGATAAAATTTTGATAATGCTCTTTAGACAGCATGATTTTTTTTAACCCTACTTTGCTGGATAATTTATATATTTTATTGGTCTAGAAGCTTGATAGCTAACACACTTGATATACTGCAAAATTGAAGACATTTTTTAAAGAAACAATAGTTTTTCCTTTGGGTGATTAAAAATAACGATTAGTACTTTATTCTCTAATAGTGGCTAATATAGACTCAATAGTTATAGAAGGTGTTTTATAGAGTTGACCCTCTGTATCCACCGATTCTGCATCTGAGGATTCAACCAACTGTGGATCAAAAATATATGGGAAAAAAAATTAACAATACAACAATTTAAAAAATCTAATAAAACAGCACAGTATAACAACTATTTACATAGCATTTACATTGTATTAGGTGTTAAGTAATCTAGAGATGATCTAAAGATACCAGAGGATATGTGTATATCAAATGCAGATATTATACCATTTTGTATAAGGGACTGGAACATCTGTGAATTTTGGTATCCATGGGAGTCCTGGAATCAGTCTCCCATGGAAACAAAGGGACAACTTTGATTACTTTTTAATCACAAAAGAAATGTGTATATATGTGCATATGGACTTCTATGTGCAGGTATTTTTTTTAAATGAGGCAAAATTCATATAACATAAAATCTATCATTTTTACTTTTTTAAAAAGTACAGTTCCGTAATGGCTTAGTACATTGACAGTGTTGTGCAACTAGCACCTCTGTCTAGTTCCAGAACACTTTTATCAGTCCCAGAGGAAACTCCATAACCAATTACTTACCATTTCCCCCTCCCCACAGGTCTGGCAACTACTAATCTGCTTTTTGTATGTATGGATCTGCCCAATATTTAAAACAAGTGAAATGATACAATGTGGCCTTTTGTGCCTATCTTCTTTCACTTAGCATAATGTTTTCAAGATTCATTCATGTTGTAACATGCATCAATACTTTATTTATTTTTATGACTACATATTATTTCATTGTGTGACCAGGCTTAATGGCTCACACCTGTAATCTCAGCACTTTGGGAGGCTGAGCTGGAAGGATCTCTTGAGCCCAGGAGTTCAGGACCAAACTGAGCAACAGTGAGATCTTGTGTCTATAAGAAATAAAATTACCCAGGTGTGGGCAGTGAGCTGTGATTGCATCACTGTATTTCAGCCTGAGTGGCAGAGCAAGACACTGTTTAAAAAAAGGAAAATTCATTGTGTACATGTACCACATTTTAAAAATTCATTTATTGCTTGATGAACATTTGGATTGTCCATCAATGAATGGATTATTAGCTAGTAACCTTTTGGCTATTGTGAATACTGCAGCAAAGAACATTTATGTTTCAGTCATTTGAACACCTGTTTCCAGTTCTTTTGGATATATACCTAGGAGTAGAATAGCTGGATCATGTGGTAATTCTATGTTTAATTTTTTGAGGAATCCTTAAACTGTTTTCCACAGCGGTTAAACCATTATACATCTCCACAAGCAATGTCCAAGGATTCCAGTTTCTCTACATCCTCGTCAATGCAGGTGATTCCCCACTCCTTTTTTTTTTTTTAATAGCCATTCTAGTAGCTTTTTTTTTTTTTTTTTTGGTCTTTTTCAGCATTTTTACTGTGATCCATGTGTTTGTGGGTTTCTTTGCATTTAACCTACTTGGAGTTGATTGAGCTCCTTAAATGTGTATATTATTGCTTTTCAATAAATTTGAGAAGTTTTCAGCCATTTTTTTTAGTTATCTTTTTCTGCTGCTTCTGTCTTTCTTCTCCTTCTGATACTCCCATTATATACATGTCAGTGTGCTTAAAATAATGTCCTACAGTTCTCTGAAGATGTTCATTTTTCTTCATATTTTTCTGTCTGGATTGTATAATCTCTACTGATTTGTCTGTAAGTTCACTAATTCTTCTATTTGTTCATATCTACTGTTGACCTCCTCTAGTGAATTTTCATTTCAGTTATATGGTTCAGCTCCAGAATTTTTATTTGGTTCTTTTAAAAAAAATAACCTTTACCTTTTTGTTGACATTCTTTATTTTTTTTGTGTGACATTGTCATCATACCTTCCTCTAATTATGATTTCCTTTAGTTCTTTACACATACTTATTAATGGCTATTTGGAATGCTTTGTCTGTTAAATCCAACATGTAAGTTTAATCACAGTTTCTGTTATCTGTTTTTTTCCCCAGCATATGGGTCATACTTTCTGTTTTTTCATGCCTCGTAATTTTCTATTCAAAGCTGGATATTTTATGTAGTAAATTGAGAAATTCTTGGAACTGGTTTCTTCCTTCCAGTGCATGCTGTTGCTTCTTGCTTATTTTGTTTATGGACTGTTTTAGTGGAGTCTATTTAGTGCCCCCCCCCCACACACACACACACGCACACAGTGTTAAGCCTCTGATGTTGCACCTCTGGGGAAGCAGCCTTGGGTATTCCCAGTTACCCTGGGTGATGGTGGTTTGGCAGGGCTTTCTTTTTGCCTGACTACTCACATCTGTTAAGGTCCATTAATCTAGTGCTAATTGCACTGTTTTCAACAATGCCCTGGGGCATTATGTTGTTCTGCAGACTCATCAACTTTGGTTTCCTTTGAAGAAATAGTTCCCTAAGTCAGTGCCTGAAATTTCTTCCGAATCCAGGTGGGCTCCTCTCAGCTGTGTCTTTTCCTGTTTTTTTTTGGGCAAATCAGCTGTCCTGTAGTTTAGCCTTTGTATCCATTGATTCCTCCAGTCTCTTCTCATTTGCCTCTCACAGCCTCTACTGTTTTTCAGATCATGCTTGCCTGTTTCCTTGCAAATGAACTTCTTTTCTCTGGGAAGAGATTAAAAGCAGTCTGCTTTATGGTCCACTTCTTTCCACAGGCAAACATCTCCAAGCCCAGGCTCTGGAGTAAGGAGGAAGGAACAATGGTATTTCTTTCCCAGTGTATCTCTACTGTAGGAGCTGTGCTGGAGGGAGGCAGTAGCCTCAGTTCTTCTTATCTTCACGCTCTTTGTATGGAACCCACAGTTTACAAGCCAAGACAGCAGTGATTGGTACCCTGACAGCACCATGCCCAAAGTAGAGCCTCCACCTTTCCGGCAGTGACAGATTTGAAGAAGGGAGCCAGCCCCTTACCTCTTGGTTTCATTCACCTGTAACATCAGCATTAAGTAGCTAGAGGTGTAGCAGCATGAGCCAAACAAACAAACAAAACCCCTCAGACACCGAGTTGAGGAAGGAAAGGACTTTATTCGGCTGGGAGCATCGGCAGACTTACATCTCAAACAACCGAGCTCCCTGAGTGAGCAATTTCTGTCCCTTTTAAGGGCTTATGACTCTTAAGGGTGTCCACGTGAGAGGGTCATGATCGATTGAGCAAGCAGGGGATACATGATTGGGGGCTGCATGCACCGGTAATCAGAACGGAACAGAACAGTACGGGGATTTTCACAATGCTTTTCCATACAGTGTCTGGAATCTATAGATAACACAAGCAGTTCAGTCATGGGTTGATTTTTAACTACCAGGCCCAGGGCGTGGCATCGGGCTGTCTGCCTGTGGATTTCATTTCTGCCTTTTAGTTTTTACTTCTTTTTTCTTTGGAGGCAGAAATTGGGCACAAGACAATATGAAGGGTGGTCTTCTCCCTTAGAGGCAGGATGAGAAATGTTGACATCCTTCCTGTCACAGGAGGACATTGACTGGACCTGTTGGAAGAGGGAACACAGTGCTTATGGCTACACCAGTCTAGAGTGGAGTTTCTGACTCCTTGAGTTAGGACAGAGCAGCTCCTGGTTCAAAGACCACAGACTCTCACTTTTCTCATAGTCTCTACTAAATTTTCTTGAATAAATGTTTCTTCATTTGTTCTGTGCTTCCAGCAGTGTTTTTATATTTTTCACCAAATTTTCTGGGGAGTATGTCCATGGAACTCCTCAAGTTGTCACGCTGAAAGTTTTTTTCATTAGTGGTTCAGTCTCTGCTGGTTATGGGGGTCTGTTCACATTTTCGGTTTCCTCTTGAGTCAGTTTTGGTAGTTCCACATTTGTGAATTTTAAAATTTTTTCTTCTGTTACTGATTTATAGTTTCATTCAACTGCAATCAGAGAGGATACTTTGTATAATTTAAATTTTTTTAAATTCGTCGAGACTTGTTTTGTGGCCTCGGTAGCATATGGTCTGTCCTTGAGAACATTCCATATGCACTTGAGAAGAATGTGTGTTCCACTGTTGATGAGTGAAATGGCTGTTAGGTCTAGTTATTTTATACTGCTGTTCAAGTCTTCTATCTCTTTATTGATCTTCCTCGTTCTCTGCATCATTGAATGTTGGGTATTTCTGTCTCCAGCTATTATTGTAGAATTGTCTATTCTCTCTTTAATTCTGTTAGTTTTTGCTTGATATCGTTTGGGGCTCTATTATTTGGTGTATATATGTTTGTACTTGTCATACCTTCTTGATGAATTGACCCTTTTATCAATAGATAATATCCTTTGTCTCTCATAACAATTTTTGACTTAAAGTCTGTTTTGTCTTATGGTAGCATAGCCACCCAGCTCTCTTCTGCATGAAATACCTTTTTTCATCCTTTCACTTTCAACCTATTTTTGATTTCCATACACAAGAACCCTTAAAAATATTCTTCCAGTCTTTTCACATTGCCTATCTGTTGGATCACTTCTTCAGTGCTTAGCCAGGCCATTTGCAACTCTGCCTTAGTCTTCACTTCCTGTTGGCTCAGCAATGTCAGCCAGCTTAGGACCTTCTTAGCTGTTTTCTTTTTTTTTTTTCTTTTTATTATACTTTAAGTTTTAGGGTTCATGTGCACAACGTGCAGGTTAGTTACATATGTATATATGTGCCATGTTGGTGTGCTGCACCCATTAACTCATCATTTAACATTAGGAATATCTCCTAATACTATCCCTCCCCACTCTCCCCACCCCACAACAGACCCCGGTGTGTGATGTTCCCCTTCCTGTGTTCGTGTGTTCTCATTGTTCAATTTTCCACCTATGAGTGAGAACATGCGGTGTTTGGTTTTTTGTCCTTGCGATAGTTTGCTGAGAATGACGGTTTCCAGCTTCATCCATGTCCCTACAAAGGACATGAACTCATCATTTCTTATGGCTGCATAGTATTCCATGTTGTATATGTGCCACATTCTCTTAATCCAGTCTATCATTGTTGGACATTTGGGTTGGTTCCAAGTCTTTGCTATTGTGAATAGTGCTGCAATAAACATATGTGTGCATGTGTCTTTATAGCAGCATGATTTATAATCCTTTGGGTATATACCCAGTAATGGGATGGCTGGGTCAAATGGTATTTCTAGTTCAAGATCCCTAAGGAATCGCCACACTGACTTCCACAATGGTTGAACTAGTTTACAGTCCCACCAACAGTGTAAAAGTGTTCCTATTTCTCCACATCCTCTCCAGCACCTGTTGTTTCCTGACTTTTTAATGATCGCCATTCTAACTGGTGTGAGATGGTATCTCATTGTGGTTTTGATTTGCATTTCTCTGATGGCCAGTGATGATGAGCATTTTTTCATGTGTCTGTTGGCTGCATAAATGTCTTCTTTTGAGAACTGTTGGTTCATATCCTTCAGCCACTTTTTGATGGGGTTGTTTGTTTTTTTCTTGTAAATTTGTTTGAGTTCTTTGTAGATTCTGAATATTAGCCCTTTGTCAGATGAGTAGATTGCAAACATTTTCTCCCATTCTGTAGGTTGCCTGTTCACTCTGATGGTAGTTTCTTTTGCTGTCCAGAAGCTCTTTAGTTTAATTAGATCCCATTTGTCAATTTTGTCTTTGTTGCCATTGCTTTTGGTGTTTTAGACATAAAGTCCTTGCCCATGCGTATGTCCTGAACGGTATTGCCTAGGTTTTCTTCTAGGGTTTTTATGGTTTTAGGTCTAATAAGTCTTTAATCCATCTTGAATTAATTTTTGTATAAGGTGTAAGGAAAGGATCTAGTTTCAGCTTTCTACATATGGCTAGCCAGTTTTCCCAGCACCATTTATTAAATAGGGAATCCTGTCCCCATTTCTTGTTTTTGTCAGATTTGTCAAAGATCAGATGGTTGTAGATACGCGGCATTCTTTCTGAGGGCTCTGTTCTGTTCCGTTGGTCTATATCTCTGTTTTGTTACCAGTACCATGCTGTTTTGGTTACTGTAGCCTTGTAATATAGTTTGAAGTCAGGTAGAGTGATGCCTCCAGGTTTGTTCTTTTGGCTTAGGATTGACTTGGCAATGCAGGCTCTTTTTTGGTTCCATATGAACTTGAAAGTAGTTTTTTCCAATTCTGTGAAGAAAGTCATTGGTAGCTTGATGGGGATGGCATTGAATCTATAAATTACCTTTGGCAGTATGGCCATTTTCACGATACTGATTCTTCCTACCCATGAGCATGGAATGTTCTTCCATTTGTTTGTATCCTCTTTTATTTCATTGAGCAGTGGTTTGTAGTTCTCCTTGAAGAGGTCCTTCACATCTCTTGTAAGTTGGATTCCTAGGTATTTTATTCTCTTTGAAGCAATTATAAATGGGAGTTCACTCATGATTTGGTTCTCTGTCTGTTATTGGTGTATAAGAATGCTTGTGATTTTTGCACATTGATTTTGTATCCTGAGACTTTGCTGAAGTTGCTTATCAGCTTAAGGAGATTTGGGGCTGAGACAATGGGGTTTTCTAGATATACAATCATGTCATCTGCAAACAGGGACAATTTGACTTCCTCTTTTCCTAATTGGATACCCTTTATTTCCTTCTCCTGCCTGATTGCCCTGGCCAGAACTTCCAACACTATGTTGAATAGGAGTGGTGAGGGAGGCCATCCCTGTCTTGTGCCAGTTTTCAAAGGGAATGCTTCCAGTTTTTGGCCATTCAGTATGATATTGGCTGTGGGTTTGTCATAGATAGCTCTTATTATTTTGAGATACTTCCCATCAATACCTAATTTATTGAGAATTTTTAGCATGAAGGGTTGTTGAATTTTGTCAAAGGCCTTTTCTGCATCTATTGAGATAATCATATGGTTTTTTTCATTGTTTCTGTTTATATGCTGGATTACGTTTATTGATTTGCATATGTTGAAGCAGCTTTGCAACCCAGGGATGAAGCCCACTTGTTCATCATGGATACGCTTCTTGATGTGCTGCTGGATTCAGTTTGCCAGTATTTTATTGAGGATTTTTGCATCAATGTTCATCAGGGATAGTGGTCTAAAATTCTCTTTTTTTGTTGTGTCTCTGCCAGGCTTTGGTATCAGGATGATGCTGGCCTCATAAAATGAGTTAGGGAGGATTCCCTCTTTTTCTATTGATTGGAGTAGTTTCAGAAGGAATGGTACCAGCTCCTCCTTGTACCTCTGGTAGAATTCAGCTGTGAATCCATCTGGTCCTGCACTTTTTTTGGTTGGTAAGCTATTAATTAATGCCTCAATTTCAGAGCCTGTTATTGGTCTATTCAGAGATTCAACTTCTTCCTGGTTTAGTCTTGGGAGGGTGTATGTGTTGAGGAATTCATCCATTTCTTCTAGATTTTCTAGTTTATTTGCATAGAGGTGTTTATAGTCTCTGATGGTAGTTTGTATTTCTGTGGGATCGGTGGTGATATCCCCTTTATCATTTTTTATTGTGTCTATTTGATTCTTCTCTCTTCTTTATTAGTCTTGCTAGCGGTCTATCAATTTTGTTGATCTTTTCAAAAAACCAGCTCCTGGATTCATTGATTTTTTTGAAGGGATTTTTGTGTCTCTATTTCCTTCAGTTCTGCTCTGATCTTAGATATTTCTTGCCTTCTGCTAGCTTTTGAATGTGTTTGCTCTTGCTTTTCTAGTTCTTTTAATTGTGATATTAGTGTGTCAATTTTAGATCTTTCCTGCTTTCTCTTGTGGGCATTTAGTGCTATAAGTTTCCCTCTACACACTGCTTTGAATGCATCCCAGAGATTCTGGTATGTTGTGTCTTTGTTCTCGTTGGTTTCAAAGAACATCCTTATTTCTGCCTTCATTTCGTTATGTACCCAGTAGTCATTAAGGAGCAGGTTGTTCAGTTTCCATGTAATTGAGTGGTTTTGAGTGAGTTTCTTAATCCTGAGTTCTACTTTGATTGCACTGTGGTCTGAGAGAGTTTGTTATAATTTCTGTTCTTTTACATATGCTGAAGAGTGCTTTACTTCCAACTAAGTGGTCAATTTTGGAATAAATGTGGTGTGCTGCTGAAAAAAATGTATGTTCTGTTGATTTGGGGTGGAGAGTTCTGTAGATGTCTATTAGGTCTGCTTGGTGCAGAGCTGAGTTCAATTCCAGGATATCCTTGTTAACTTTGTGTCTCGTTGATCTGTCTAATGTTGACAGTGGGGTGTTAAAGTCTCCCATTATTATTGTGTGGGAGTCTAAGTCTCTTTGTAGGTCTGTAAGGACTTGCTTTATGAATCTGGGTGCTCCTGTATTGGGTGCATATATATTTAGGATAGTTAGCTGTTCTTGTTGAATTGGTCCCTTTACCATTATGTAATGGCCTTTTTTGTCTCTTTTGATCTTTGTTGGTTTAAAGTCTGTTTTATCAGAGACTAGGATTGCAATCCCTGCCTTTTTTTGTTTTCCATTTGCTTAATAGATCTTCCTCCATCCCTTTATTTTGAGCCTATGTGTGTCTCTGCCTGTGAGATGGGTTTCCTGAATACAGCACACTGATGGGTCTTGACTCTTTATCCAGTTTGCCAGTCTGTGTCTTTTAATTGGAGCATTTAGCCCATTTACATTTAAGGTTAATGTTGTTATGTGTGAATTTAATCCTGTCATTATGATGTTAGCTGGTTATTTTGCTCTTTAGTTGATGCAGTTTCTTCCTAGCCTCGATGGTCTTTACAGTTTGGCATGTTTGTGCAGTGGCTGGTACCGGTTGTTCCTTTCCATGTTTAGCGCTTCCTTCAGGAGCTCTTTTAGGGCAAGCCTGGTGGTGACAGAATCTCTCAGCATTTGCTTGTCTGTAAAGGATGTTATTTATCCTTCACTTACGAAGCTTAGCTTGGCTGGATGTGAAATTCTGGGTTGAAAATTCTTTTCTTTAATAATGTTGAATATTGGCCCCCACTTTCTTCTGGCTTGTAGAGTTTCTGCCGAGAGATCAGCTGTTAGTCTGACGGGCTTCCCTTTGTGGGTAACCTGACCTTTCTCTCTGGCTGCCTTAACATTTTTTCCTTCATTTCAACTTTGGTGAATCTGACAGTTATGTGTCTTGGAGTTGCTCTTCTCGAGGAGTATCTTTGTGGCATTCTCTGTATTTCCTGAATTTGAATGTTGGCCTGCCTTGCTAGATTGGGGAAGTTCTCCTGGATAATATCCTGCAGAGTGTTTTCCCACTTGGTTCCATTCTCCCCATCACTTTCAGGTACACCAATCAGACATAGATTTGGTCTTTTCACATAGTCCCATATTTCTTGGAGGCTTTGTTCATTTCTTTTTATTCTTTTTTCTCTAAGCTTCTCTTCTCACTTCACTTCATTCATTTCATCTTCCATCACTGATACCCTTTCTTTCAGTTGGTCGCATTGGCTACTGAGGCTTGTGCATTCATCACGGAGTTCTCGTGTCTTGGTTTTCAGCTCCATCAGGTCCTTTAAGGACTTCTCTGCATTGGTTATTCTAGTTAGCCATTCGTCTAATTTTTTTTCAAGGTTTTTAACTTCTTTGCCATGGGTTTGAACTTCCTCCTTTAGCTTGGAGTAGTTTGATCGTCTGAAGCCTTCTTCTCTCAACTCGTCAAAGTCATTCTCCATCCAGCTTTGTTCTGTTGCTAGTGAGGAGCTGCGTTCCTTTGGAGGAGGAGAGGCGCTCTGATTTTTAGAGTTTCCAGTTTTTCTGCTCTGTTTTTTCCCCATCTTTGTGGTTTTATCTACCTTTGGTCTTTGATGATGGTGACTTACAGATGGGTTTTTGGCGTGGATGTCCTTCCTGTGTTAGTTTTCCTTCTAACAGTCAGGACCCTCAGCTGCAGGTCTGTTGGAGTTTGCTGGAGGTCCACTCCAGACCCTGTTTGCCTGGGTATCAGCAGTGGAGGCTGCAGAACAGCGGATATTGGTGAACAGCAGATGTTGCTGCCTAATCGTTCCTCTGGAAGTTTTGTCTCAGAGGAGTACCCGGCCTTGTGAGGTGTCAGTCTGCCCCTACTGGGGGGTGTCTCCCAGTTAGGCTACTCGGGGGTCAGGGACCCACTTGAGGTGGCAGTCTGTCTGTTCTCAGATGTCCAGCTGCGTGCTGGGAGAACCACTGCTCTCTTCAAGGCTGTCAGACAGGGACATTTAAGTCTGCAGAGGATTCTGCTGCCTTTTGTTTGTCTTAGCCCTGCCCCCACAGGTGGAGTCTACAGAGGCAAACAGGCCTCCTTGAGCTGCGGTGGGCTCCACCCAGTTCGAGCTTCCAGGCCGCTTTGTTTAGCTACTCAAGCCTGGGTAGCAGTGGGCGCTCCTCCCCCAGCCTCGCTGCCGCCTTGCAGTTTGATCTCAGACTGCTGTGTTAGCAATGAGCGAGGCTCCCTGGGCGTTAAGACCCTCCGAGCCAGGTGCGGCACATAATTTCCTGGTGTGCCGTTTGCTAAGACCATTGGAAAAGCACAGTATTAGGGTGGGAGTGACCCGATTTTCCAGGTGCCCTCTGTCACCCCTTTCTTTGACTAGGAAAGGGAATTCCCTGACCCCTTGTGCTTCCCGGGTGAGGTGATGCCTCGCTCTGCTTCGGCTCATGCTCGGTGCGCTGCACCCACTGTCCTGCACCCACTTTCCGACACTCCCCAGTGAGATAAACCCAGTACCTCAGTTGGAAATGGAAAAATCACCCATCTTCTGCGTCGCTCACACTGGGAGCTGTAGACTGGAGCTGTTCCTATTCAGCCATCTTGGCTCCACCCCCCACCTGTTTTCAAGCATGTGTTTGCCCCTGGGCATACCCATAGCTTTCTAGATTTCCTGGAATATGTGGGAGCTTTTCAAAGCTTTTATTCCCCAGCTTCTTCCTTCCCACGGTTTTTTGCCTGGTCATTGCTTGTGCCAGCTCTGATTCCTTCTCTAGGTGGCTATAACTAATACATTTGCCTCTTAATGCTTTTGATAAATGCCATATCCCAGAATGCTGTCCCCTACCTCAGGGAAGCTCCAAGGCAGGTGAAACTGGCCCTTCAGTCAGTCCTTCAGGGAATTGCCAGACTGGTCAAAGTACATTACAATATGTTTTAGAATAAGGTCCATCTTGCTCTCTTTGGTACCAGCACCGTATACCAGGAATGAAGGCAAGTGACTTTATATCAGCATCCTGTATCAGGAATGAGGGCTGATGACTTGGGCGGACCACCAAACTAGGGGAGGGAGCCGTAGTAAGCAGGTTTGTTAAAATGCCACAGCCCTTTCTCACTGAAATTCAGTAGCTTGTTTCTTCATTAAGCATTCCCTTAGCTGTTAAGTTTTGTTTTTGTTTTTTTTTTTGAGACAGAGTCTTGCTCTGTCGCCCAGGCTGGAGTGCAGTGGCGTGATCTCAGCTCACTGCAAACTCTGCCTCCCGGGTTCACGCCATTCTCCTGCCTCAGCCTCCCGAGTAGCTGGGACTATAGGCGCCTGCCATCACACCCGGCTAATTTTTTTTTTTGTATTTTTTAGCACAGACAGGGTTTCACCGTGTTAGCCAGGATGGTCTCGATCTTCTGACCTCATGATCCGCCCACCTCGGCCTCCCAAAGTGCTGGGATTACAGGCGTGAGCCACCGCGCCCGGCCAGCTGTTAAGTTTTTGATTCAGTTCCAGAGTTTCAAACAAGCTGATTCTGACCATTTCACCAGCTATTCATTTCTTTTGTGGACGGATGGAGTTTTGGAGCTCTCTACTATTTTGTGACATCTATGTGTATATACATTTTTACATATCTACGAATTTCTACCTATATAGTTTAGTGATTCATAGATATTTTTAAAGAATGTCAAGAAATTTATTGGTATGATAATCAACAATTCAGGATACAGGTTACTTCTGGTAAAGAGAGGAAACATGATGGTGGTAGGGACACACCAGGATGGTGGGTACATGATTGTTTGACATGTGATTCTTTTTTTGTTTTCTGAATATTTGAGATTTTTATATAAAATTAGATAGTTGTGTGTGTCTATATGACATATATAAAACATTGTGACATTGAAGCATTTTGTTGAAGTAGAAAGTCTTGTGTATGTTTATTTGAATAACAAATCTTGCTTTCCCTTTAATAAGTAAAAGTAGGAAATATCACACTTGAAATGCTTAAGACTAGTTTATATGATGGAATAGGGGAGAATCTTTTACTTATTTGTTGATGTATATAGATTGATTGTCTTGTGTTTTTCTCTAGATCTTAGTTTCATTGTACCCTCTCTGCAACCTTTTTCTGTAAGAATGAGAATAGGAAGGCCTGAATGTTAGTAGGTAGTTGATAGTCTGCTGTTTTTATTTTCATTTTTCTTCTTATGAAGAGGAAGAAAAAAATAGAATCCTGGAAATAGCACTGAAGTGGACTTTGGGAGATCTTTGTCTTTGTTCTTTGTTCTAATATTCATTCAACAGTGTAAATTTGGACAGTTATTATTTTCTGTGCCAGTCCTCATTTGTAAAATAAGAATTGGAACAATAGGTAAGGCCTGTTTAAGTTTTGTAAAATATGGAAGGGCAGCATGATTCTATGGAAAGAGCATTGACTTTGGAGCCAGGCAAATTTGTGTTCATCTATTTTCTAATTACTTTAAAGTAAGCTTTCTAAACGCTTTTCTCATCATTAAGATGGTGTATTAACACCCATCTCACAGAGCTACTGAAGAATGAACAACATATATAATATCTTGTAAAGTGCTCACACATACAGTCTGTTCACTCAGATTCTCCATACCTTTATCTTGTAACTACATCCTTTGAAGTAAAGCTGGAGAGAAAAACAAAGAAATCCTTGTAATCTTTTATGTAGCTTGCTTTTATTTTTTTTATTTTATTTTATTTTTGAGATGGAGTCTCACTCTGTTGCCCAGGCTGGAGTGCAGTGGTGCGATCTTGCCTCACTGCAGCCTCCACCTCCCAGATTGAAACAATTCTCCTGCCTCAGCCTCCGGAGTAGCTGGCATTATAGGCGCCCGCCCCCATGCCTGGCTTATTTTTGTATTTTTAGTAGAGACAGGGTTTCACCATGTTTGCCAGACTGGTCTTGAACTCCTGGGCTCAAGTGATCCGCTTGCCTCAGCCTCCCAAAGTGCTGGGATTACAGGCGTGAGCCACCGTGCCTGACTGTAGTTTGCTTTTATATATGAATTACATTTGAAGTGTATATGAAGTATATTTTTATATATGAGGTCTGTTGTGAGTTATACTTCAGGAAGATAATAACTCTTCTAGAGATATTGAAGAACTTTCTCTTTACCCTCCAGGGTTTCTAAAAGTTTTTTATTTATGTTTTTTGTTAGTATTAAATTATAATAGTATCTTTTTATAAAAGCTTAAAGATTCAGGTTAATGTTTTCTTTGATTTCTTTCAATTTACCTTCTACCCCAGGATCTATTACTTAAACAGTAACATAGACACAAGATCTTACGTATTTTCTGTAGTCCATATGAGTTTGAAAATAACCATGTTTTCCACTTTTAAAAATAATTACTTATATTTCTGTATTAATTAAAACATAACACATTTATGAAATATGAATAAATAAAAATAAGAAAAAAATCTCATCAGCCAGAGATAACCTTTTAATATTTAGATGTATTTGACGTTATCACTGAAATGCCAAAGTGCAACTCAGTGCCTCCACCTGCCAGTCTGTTTTTCTTTATGCACCAGTACCTCTATATACTATTTATATTTATAAAAGCAATGTCTTGTTAGGCATACTGTTTGATTTTTTTTAGATATATAACATATCCTGAACACTTTTCCCTGTCATTAAGAAAATTTAATACACTCTTAATGGTTGCACATTTTCCATGTATTAATAGTGCAGAAATATACTGTGCTCAGAATTATCTTTTTCACAGTTATAATCATTTTCCTAGGATGTATTTACAGGATGAATCTGACAAAATTTCTTTTGATACTAATTATAAAATTGATCTATAGCAAAGCCTTATCCCCAGTATAGTGATGTCTGCTTCTCTGCAATTTTGCTGGCTGTAGGGTTTGACGGTTTAAAATAATCTTGGACAGTGCAATAGGTAGAAAACGTTATGGGTTCTTTTTCTATTTCATTGATTACAAGTGAAGGTAAACTTTTTTTTTTTTTTTTTTTTGGTAATCATTCTTCTGTGAAATGCTTGCTCATCTCATCATTTTTGTGTGTGTGTGAATGTTTTTGAAATCAATGCAAGTTGCCAGAAAACATATAAATGCTTTCATGGACATCAAATAACACCATCTGCATTTTTATACTTTTAGAAATTGGTAGCTTGTATTTTAGCGTCATTCCCTTCTTGCCAGAAATCTCACTATGAAATAATAAGGGAGATTATTATACTATTTATATTCCCACAAGAAAAGTATGAGAGTGCCTCTCCTCTTACACTCTCACTCATCTTTTGGATTTTTCCTAGTTTGATAGGTAAAAAGTGGCTTTTTAATTTAGTTTTAATTTTTATTTTTCTAATTATAAGTTTCTTTCCTGTGAGTTATTTGCTTATTTTCTTATTTGTAAAAATTCTTCATATATTAAGAAAATTAGTTATATGTGCTATATACATTTCAGATAGTTTTCTTTGTTTACTGTTTTTGAAATTGGTCATAATGGTTTATTTTGTCAGGTTTTTTTACAGTCACTGGCAAAAGTATTGACCAGGACACATCCCTCTCATATATTACTAGAGATTTTTCTAACAGATAAGTCTAATAATCATTACTCTTTCAGTACATTTATTTAATTAACTATGAATTTGCCTAAAATAAATATTCAACTTTTGTTTCTGCTCCTGTTTCTACTCCCAAGTCTGTAGAAAACAATAGTGGTCTGTCTTGGAGAATGTTCCACATGCACTTGAAAATAATGTGTGTTCTACTGTTGATGGGTGAAATGGCTGTTAGGTCTAGCTAGTTGTTTTACACTGCTGTTCAAGTCTCCTATTTCTTTTTTTATTTTCCTGGTTCTGTGCATTATTGAATGTTGGGTATTGCTGTCTCCAACTATTATTGTAGAATTGTCTATTCTGCCTTCAATTCTGTTAGTTTTTGCTAGATATAGTTTGGGGCTCTATTATGTGGTGTATATATGTTTATACTTGTCATACCTTCTTGATGAATTGACCCTTTTATCAATATATAATATCCTTTATCTCTCATAACAATTTTTGTCTTAAAGTCTTGTTTTGTCTGTGGTAGCATAGGGTTCTGCAGACTTCAGTATATATATTGTCATGTAATCTTGAAACCCTCTTACACCTCCAGAGTGCACTACTTATGTAGCTTATTCTGATTGTGCCTCTTTTAGTAAGTTACAAAGCAGCAGCATCTGGTCACTAATATCCTGGTTAGGTTATGAAGAGGTAATTATGCATACCATTGGATACAGTACAAGAACAGCTACCTGGGAGGAAATTTTATGACATAGTACGTCTCGGCAAGAAGCACTCTGTTAGGGATGAAGTCTTATCAGAGAACCTGTTGTCTGAGATAGACGTGGAGTTTTGTAGAAAGTCTGTATTTCTTCTTACAGAGTATTCATTGCCTGTTACATTCCATTCTATGTTTTACTTGACGAAAACTTCTGGAGTCTGACAGATGGGTAACTAGTATTTATAGTTCTAACTTTGCAAACCTTTTGGTTTTCATGACTATGTCAATAAAAAGGTGAAGGAGGATGAACCAGATATTAACTGATGTCATTATGTTTCCATGATATTTTGTGATTTTATGTATATGCTCTTAAAACTATATGTTATTTTAAAATTTGTGATTTTTTGGAGAACATGCCTTTACAAAATAATCTTATCTATAAATACTAAGTTTGTTTAGATTTCAAGTGTCACATGTTACAAAAACTTACTTCTTAAAATCATTAAATTTATCTAAAATTCTCACATGTTCCTTCATAATCTAGTTTGGGATAGTAATTGTTTCATGTCTGTTTAAATATGTCTTCCCTCTTGATTCTGTCGTTTAAACTTTTTAATCAGTACATCAAACTTCTTTCCTTTGTAGGTAAGGTACTCAACTGTGTGGGGTACTACATAAATCCTGAAAGACTACAATAAAGTGGTGATGTCTCGGGAACCCACCCCACCTCTACCTGGAGATATGTCTACTGGTCCCATAGCAGAAAGCTGGTGTTACACACAGGTACATGCTCTTAAAAATCCCTCACTTTATGTCACTTATAAATTTTACAGTATGTTGAGAATAGTATTGTGAAACACTTTGCCATAGTTATTAGAAGTGTTAGAAGACTGGATCGTAGGATGTTGAACATGTAACAAGTTAAAAGTATTACCGTCATCATTATAAAAGTGGTTTTCTGAATCTCTTAGGTTAAAGTAGTAAAATTTTCCTATATGTGGACCATTAATAACTTCAGTTTTTGTCGAGAGGAAATGGGTGAAGTGTTAAAAAGTTCAACATTTTCATCTGGCCCAAGTGACAAAATGAAATGGTAAGATTTTTGTTTGCTTTGAATTTTTGTTTTTTGTTTTTGATGTGATCATCAGCTGCTCATGATTTTGTTATCATTTTTCCTGAATGAGTATTAATGTAATTTCATATTAGATTGGTAGTATGTTCCTAATAGTGTGGGGAATTATAAAGAACTGTGAGGATGTTGACAGGAGTGCTGTTTGTGACATTAACACATGATTTCAGTGTTCTCTCTCTCTCTTTCTCTCTCTCTCTCTCTCTCTCGAATGCTTTTCAAGTATTATATTCCTCCATGTGAGCTTATTGTTTTATTTTAGGTGCCTGAGGGTAAACCCAAAGGGATTAGATGATGAAAGTAAAGACTACTTGTCCTTATATTTGCTTTTAGTCAGCTGCCCCAAAAGTGAAGTTCGAGCAAAATTCAAATTTTCCCTTCTGAATGCTAAAAGGGAAGAAACAAAAGCAATGGGTAAGTGATTTGCAAACTAAGTGAAGACATTTCTGTATAACTACATATTATGACTTCTTCTGCACCTTTACCTAGAAAAGTCTGGGACTTTTTTCTGCTAAAATCTGCTTAACCTGAAACTTTTAATTTGACCATTATTTAAATCCAGCATAGAGCTATAATTATTTTACTGAGTCTTAGACTTCGTAAAACATGTAAAAATGATTAATAATATTACTTCTTCATGTCCTAAAATGACATCCAGTTGTCACTTAGAAAAATAGTTGCTGTTAGGGCAAGGTGCCTGGTTCAGTGCTTGGCATATATAATACGTGCTCAGGAAGCATTTCTCTCTTGCCTTTTTTTGCCAGGTAATAAAATCTGAAGAACAATGAGAAAGAGATAGAGTGCCCTGATACTTTGTCACTAGAGTTTTTTGAGCAGTAGATTGAACACTGACTGAAAGGAGCCATTTTTCTTAGTTTCAGGGCCTATTAATTTCAGTCCAAAATTCACATATATAGCCAGCTGAAATGCAGTAGCCTGAGCTTCATAATAGAAGAGTGATGTAGGAAATGTACGTTGTGTGTGGCAGGAGAATAATATTTTCTAGAAATGAATCGCAGAATCAAGTAACTTGATTACAGAAAATTCACATTCACATACATTTTTAAATAATGTATTGCTAAAATAATATATATTTTCACATTGTCTCACCTTAAGATAGTGGAGTATTTCAGGTAGATTGATTACTAATTTTCCACTTCCATTTTATTCTTTGTATAATAGATAATGAATACTTTCTGTAGAGGATCTTGTTTACTGCCTAGTATATAGTTGTTATAGACTACCTTAGGCATTTGAAATATTTGCTTCAGATGTTTATTAAATCTATTACAAATTACACAAAAAGCATCTTTTGGACTTTTATGAAAAATTCTTTTTAGGGGAGAGGAGGTTATGTCTAGAGACTTAGGAATGATAAAGGACTTTCTTTATCTTTTTCACAGGTTCATGGATTTTTCTATAGTTGAATAAAAAATCGGTGGGATGGGTATGTCAGGAAAGCTTAAACATGCCTTGATATTTAGAACATCCATTTTTGAAGGGAGAAGCAGGAAATAAGATGTATGTTTCTTACCAGATTCTGATATTAGATGATTAGTGTGCCTATACCAACATATTTTGATCCTATTTCATTGTCTTTTAGGGCCAATCTTAGATTGTTAAAAAGATCTCTTCCTTCTCCATGTGATTTGATCTGACTTTTCTATTTGAGATCCAGAAGTCTGAAATTGAGCTCATTGACAATGGCCAAAATTGAGTAGGCATATGGAGTTACTGTTTCTACCTGACTTAAAACTCTTATGACATTTGATTTATAAACACAAATATCGGTAACTTTTATGATGGATGTATTGACAAGTCCTGTTTTCACACATTTTATTTAACTGTGTTACCATGTTTAAAAAGTCTCTTGGATATTTATTTTATTTAAACTCTATTCTGTTTTCCACCAGAAAGCCAAAGAGCATATCGATTTGTGCAAGGGAAGGACTGGGGTTTTAAAAAATTCATTAGAAGGGACTTTTTGCTTGATGAAGCTAATGGTCTTTTACCAGATGACAAGCTTACATTATTTTGTGAGGTGGGTACATCTTTTATTCTAAGAACCCCATGGTTTATTTAGTGATATGGCAAAAGTATAAACTGGATTAATAACACTTTAAAATTAAGTAATTGGTATAGTTGATTGAGTTTCATTTGTAAATTCTTGACTAGAAAAAGCTTAGAAAATTCTTGACACAAATCAGTGTAATGACCCAGTCTGGAAACACTCTGTCATATTTCTAGCTATAATTTGTGTGTACACTTATACTACAACATACTACATCCTTCTTCCTCTTGAAAAGATTGTGAATGTGAATATGTGAACATTCCTAAATATTTTCTTCATTCTGAGTAACTGACATAGATTGTCAATTTTTAAAAAATTTTCAGATTGATTGTATTAAACATTATTACTGAGAATTTATCAGTTTGAACCCGAAGTACCTGGAAAACATTGAGAAGCTTTCTGATTGTTCAGGCGGTTGGATTAATCTAATTAAATAGCATTCTAAGAAATAGTTCTCAGATTTTTAAGATATGCCCGTGTCTATTGACAAACTTATAAGGTGTAATTATGTGCATAGAATGGGATATTTTGAAAGTTACTAGCATTGCCTCTGCCAATAATGTACACTTATGATTTGTCCTAATTTGATGTTTGGATTTGCTTTTGTCATGTTATCATTAGGTAGTTTTATCTATATGAATTTTTGAGATTCACCTTTGGACTGAATTCAAGGATTATATTTTTAACCTGTACAGTTTATAGAGAATATACATCAGTAACAATTTTATCAAAATGTTTAAGGCAGTTGATAATTTTCATAAGAAAGATAGTTGAAAAGATTTTTATCATGTACTCAACATTAGATATATTTCAACAGATTATCATGGACAGATGAGTGTCTTAGGAATATAATAACTTCTTAACTATAAGCTGTAATCTTTTTATAGTAAGTGTATAAGATTTCTTGGCAAGATTACAAACTAATTGTATGACATTATGTCAGAAGAATAATTGAAATATGCCTCCAGAGACTATATAATTGCATCTTATTTTTTACTTAGACAAGTTAAATGAACTGTATGATGAATTTATTATGAATACAATTATTTGGTTGACAAACACATAGCACAAGTCTTATCATTAAATAACTGGGAAGAAAACAGTATTTGTTGCTGATCAGCAGATATTCTAAGTAGTAGTCTAAATAAATATAGGTTATGCTATATAAAATTTTTAGCATCCTTACTGTAGAGTCTTCCAGAATTTTAGCAGTTATCCTAAATTTCCACATGTAAATTGTTTAAATGTTAATTTAGAACAGAAAGGATCTTAAAGGCTATTTAATCCAATTTTTAACAAAAACAAAAAATGACCAGCTAAAATAGTTTTAGAAATGAACCTTTTTAGAAAATACCTTTTTTTTTTTTTTTTTTTTTAGAATTGAAATAGTGTTTGCAGATATTTTCCTAAGTACACTGTGCTGGAACCTAGACAACCAAGAAATTCAGAAATAAGGCTGAAATTAAGATTTTTTTTTTGTATGCTTGGTATCCATATGCTACATGCTAGTGACCCCCAAAAACAAAACCCAACATGACATATATTTTAAAGTTGGCATCAATCAGATTCATTTTTGGATCCTGAAATATACATCTTTTTGCTGATATAGGTATTTATACCCTGGGCACCGTATTTAGCATAGGTGGGCAAAAGGTACTTTTAACTAACATTCTTCATGCCCTCCACTGTTTGTTCCACCCCGCTCACGGATGCCCTTCCTTCTACAGAATCTCCAGCACTGCTTGCAGAAGAGGAGGAAGCATTGCACTACCCTTCCTAAAGAACTGCCTCCTCCCCCTCCCCTGCAAGTGGTGCTGTAGACAGGTAAGGCAGTTGGGTGCTACCCTTTTTGCACAAAGCGTAACTTAATCTTGCAAGTTCCCTACAGTGGTTAAAGTAGCCAGAGATAGAGATTGGTAGCAGTGTAAGCAGCTCTGCCCTCTTTCCCAAAGTGATGCAGAAAATAGGAATTGAGAAATAAGTAGGAAAACTAGAAAACTGGTTAGTTTAATTTATCTTTTGAAATTCAACAGATTTTAAATACTCAGTCTACAGACCCATACCATTTCATGATATACAGGAAAAATGTATGTACAGATAAAATATATATAAACAAGTATTTCATGAGGTTTAACTAGCTCCTTTTTAAGGACACATCTTTTTTCCCATCCTGTTTATCTTTTGCTAAGATAGTGTCTTAGTCCATTTCGTGTTGCCATTAACAGAATACCTGAGACTAGGTAATTTTAAAAGAACAGAATTTTTATTGGCTCATGGTTCTGGAGGCTGAGAAGTCCAAGATTGAGGCTACATCTGGTGAGGTCCTTTTTCTCACATCATAACATGGTGGACATCATCACATGGTGAGAAAGAGACAGAAGAGGTGAGGGGAAGAGTGGGGGTTGTTGGAGGGTAGGAGGGTGTGTGTGTGTGTGTGTGTGTGTGTGTGTGTGTGTGTGCGAGCCAGACTCGCTTTAATAAACTCATTGTCTCAGTAAACACATTAATCCATTCATGAGGTTAGAGTCCTCATAACCTAATTACCTCTGAAAGGTCTCACCTGTCAACATTGTTGCATTGGGTATTAAATTTCCAACATATGATCTTTGTGAAATACATTCAAATCATAGCAGAGAGCCTTTCTGTTTTAAAATAATTATATATGATAGTGGGAGGAAGTTGGGATTTATTTTCTAAAAAGCCCTTTCTTGGCAAAATGAAAAGTTGACTACCCTATTTCTGTCACCAGATTTTTTTTTTAAATGACACCAATCTATGAAAATCAAAAAGTCTAAAACTCGCTATTCTGGAAGATATTCATGTGAAATTCGACTGTTAAAAGTTTCTCACTTTGGAGCCGGTGTGGTGGGTGTTTGGCTAGTTGATTAAAATGGCAAAATTGTAGTACTATTTAGCATTGGAAATTCCTGGCTTTTAGAATTAGTTGGAAAATTCAGATTTCGAAAACTGGAACCAATAGTTACCTTAGCTCTACATTAGAAGAGACCCAAATTTTTCAGGATAGTCACAGATTAGATCCCTCAAATGTTCCTTGTCTGTCTAAACTATGTTCTCTGAGTTGAGCCAAAAGCAAATTTGAAAAAGGGCTGTCAAATGACTTTGAGGTTTTGCTTTGCAACATTTAACAATTTTGAAGATTGCACATTTGCCTCTTTTTTTTTTTGAAAGAAGCATAACTTTGACCTCAGGAAAGAATCTCAGCCTTTTTCCTGAATTTTTTATTCTAGGTTCCATTCAGTAAGAGCATTCATTACCTGCATTTGAGTATGTAATAGATAAAACCAAATTTTTAACATTTTCTTAAATATAGGTGTCAAGAAAATAATCAGAATCCATTGCATATGTCAATTTTTAATTAGATCATTAATTTATGTTCTATAAGAAGTCTCTTGAATACTCTTTGGAGTATGAAGTATTAATTATGTGTCTTAGTTAAAATTTGTGGTTGCTGTGATAATACTGTGTAGATAGGTATGTCAGTAATACAGATCTTCTGAATTGTTCTTGCTTATACAAAATACAAATATAACATCAATATCTGTGTCTGATAATATTGTCTTTATTTTTTAATCCTTTTATTACCTGATTTTTTGCCAAATTTCTACATTAAATACGTTATTTTGAATTTAAGAGACAGTGAGTAGAATTCAAGAAATCATTTCTGAAATTAAATACATCATCACATTTTGTAACTCTGCTGTATGTATCATGCAAGCCATTGAACAGATCCAGTTTTTTCTGTCTAGAAATTTCAAGAGCAGTGCTTGATATGAACAAATAAATGCTGTTAGGGTCTAAAGACCTGATCCCTTACGAAACCTTGAATATTAACACCAACATTTTTTGTGTCTATATCATTAGGTTATAATGTGTAGTAGAACAGGGCAGTTGGGTAAGGATTAGTGAAACTTTTTTATAGTTATTAAAATTTTAGACATAACTTGATTAAAAACTTGATAAGATAGGAGCACCTTTATTGGCAGATTTATTTATTTATACAATATCTTGTGGCTCCCATACTTAGAGAAACATCTCCTAAGATTGTTGTAATAAATGCTTATTGGTCATAATTGTGTTAATTTTACTAATTTTTAAAAATATCAGAAAAATATTGTACGAAGAGCCGTAAAGAAAGGAATCTGGGCCAGGCACGGTGGCTCACGCCTGTAATCCCAGCACTTTGGGAGGCTGAGGCGGGTAGATCACGAGGTCAAGAGATCGAGACCATCCTGGCTAACACGGTGAAAACCCATCTCTACTAAAAATACAAAAGATTAGCTAGGAGTGGTGGCAGGCACCTGTAGTCCCAGCTACTCGGGAGGCTGAGGCAGGAGAATGGCATGAATGCAGGAGGCGGAGCTTGCAGTGAGCAGAGATCGCGCCACTGCACTCCAGCCTGGGCGACAGAGCAAGACTCCGTCTCAAAAGAAAAAAAAAAAGAATCTGGAGATTTAGGTCTAGTCTTCCTTTGGTACAAGCCAGCACAGTGTGATTTGGAACACTTTGTTTACCTTGTCTTTATCACAGTTTGAAATCTCTTTGTAAAATAAGGTGAATAGATTAGATGATTTCTGTGACACATATGATTTCAAAAGGTTAATACGTAAATTGAGGGCAAAAGCGGTTAATAAAAATATCCTCAGAAAAATAAAGATTTTCTAGTTTTTCTTTAGAAGTGTGTATTCATTCACATGAGATATATGTTTGTATGTCTGGATGTATTGGGACTTCTAAGACTTAATCTTCTCCAAACATTTTACATTGGACCATTATTAGACTTTGTTAGCATATTGGTAGTTTAGCAAATTTATTTATTTATGATTCTGTTTTCTGCATAGTTTACTGTATATATGTGTGTCCTTATTTATACTTTTATTTAATAAAAGCCTAATGAAATATTGTTAAATTAATGCAGCTATCTATTGCTGTGTAACAAATGATCCCAAAACTTAGAAGTTGAAAACAGCAGTAGATAAGTAATGTAGCACTTTTTGTTTTGTTTTGTTTTTTAAAAAAGTCATTTACTTTGAAACATTTACTAGTTAAAGTAGTATTTTCTTTAAGTGTATTTTTTTACATGTATTAAATGTAATGTGAAATTTTTAATAGCATAGTAGAATCCATTTTTTAAAAAAGTGGTCTGCAGCCAGGTGGTATGGCTCACTCCTGTAATCCCAACACTTTGGGAGGTCAAGGCAGGTGGATCACTTGAGGTCAGGAGTTCAAGACCAGCCTGGCCAACATGGTGAAATGCCTTCTCTGCTAAAAACTACAAAAATTAGCTGGGTGTGGTGGTGCACACCTGTAATCCCAGCTACTCAGGAGGTCTGAGACAGGAGAATTACTTGAACCCAGGAGGCAGCGGTTGCAGTGAGCCGAGATCACTCCACTGCACTCTAGCCTAGGCAACAGAGCCAGACTTTGTCTCAAAAATAAAAAATAAATAAATAAATTTTTTTAAAAAGTGGTGTGCAAGACTTAATAGTGTTTTAGGATATTATTCAGTATGTGGTCATCTTTTATGGGAAATAACTTGATCCATATTATATTGGAATCTCCATAAAAATAATACTGTAATCATACCTTTTATTGATTATTTCTTAAGTAAATAAAAGTCTGCAAATCGAACTAAATTATGTTGCTCTTGCTGTTGATCTTCCATAAAAGATTTTCATGAACTTTAATAATTACAGTTGCTTTTGTGGAAGTTTTTGTACCTTAAAATTTAAATCAGTTTAATATGTATTTAAATTAGTTTTACTAGAAGTGAAACATTAGGAATAACACTTTAAAAACTTCTCAATTTGCATATCATAGGCTGTAATTTTATCACTTTTTATACGGTAAAAAGTCATTTTGACTTTTAAACAAAATACTATGTTTATGTACATATAGTAAAATTTAAATGTAGGTAGGTTTGAAGTGTAAGAAAATAAAAAAAATTTTTTTCTCCACCTCACAAAGATGTACTTTTGTTTGAGTTTATATCATATTGTGGCTTTTCTATTGAGAAATATTTTTGTAATTACTTTAATAATCAAGCATTCTAACCAATTGATAAGCCATTTATTTACATAGAATAAATTGAAAAAGATCTATATTTCTAATTTTTTCATTTCTCTCCTTTAAATTGTGTTTTTAATTTCAGTTTCTGGATATTAGAAATTTTGATTAGGAGTACATTGAATTATCCAAATAAGCTTAAACATAAAAAATTGAAGTATGGACTTAAACTAATTACTGATATTACTTTGTGAAAGTGTTTTTCTTGCTGTCCCTTTTTTATTAGGTGAGTGTGGTCCAAGATTCAGTAAACATATCAGGACATACTAATACAAATACTTTGAAGGTGCCTGAGTGTCGTCTAGCAGAAGATTTAGGTAATCTCTGGGAAAACACAAGATTTACAGACTGCAGTTTTTTCGTGAGAGGACAAGAATTTAAAGCTCATAAATCTGTGCTTGCAGGTACTTTCTAGTTATGGGGTAATATAGTACATTTAAAAAAATGCATTTATGCATAAAATAATGATACATAATCTTGTTACAGCTCGATCTCCAGTTTTTAACGCCATGTTTGAACATGAAATGGAAGAAAGCAAAAAGGTAAACATGGCTTAAAGGCTAATATTGAATTTATATAAACGTAAAGTAGTTGGGTGTATGTTTTAAAAGTAATAGTACAATGTTCTCATTGTCATACTGTGATAAGCAGGGAAAATTTTTACAAACAGGAAAAAAATGTGTTCTATAATAGAACAATAGATGTAGCTCAGTGTGGATGTGCAGTCAATATTCCAGAGAACAGCTATTTTTTATGCCCTTCTGGTAGGTAAATTGGATAGTTGTTATCCAAAAGGATAGTTATCCAAAGGACTATTCTGGTCCATAGCTATTTGAGAAGTCTCTGTTCAAGGTATATATTCTCCCTTTGTAAGACTTTATGGATTGATTTTTGGAATCTGTTTTCTAGCAACAAAAATAACATAGATGACATCAGTATTATTGTATACCAACTGTAATCAGGATGTTACCTACTTGACTTCCCCAGATGTTTCTCTTTTACTTGTCATCATGAAATGTAATTATGTTAGAGATCAGAGGTTGATTCTTTGCTGTTTGCATAACTTGTGAACCGTAGGGCTCCAGCTGGACAACTCCAGAGTTTTTTCATGTGGCTCAATTTTATTCTTTCTGCAGAACTAGATGCTGCAATAAAATAACTGCTTTCTTTCTCCAAGTTTTGGTTTGGGGAGATGCTATGATCAGCCTTCTGATCACTTCCAAGTTGGGAGACATCAATGATGTCATATACTATTGACATCAAGGGGTCAGAAAAATTTGCTGTCATTTAGTTAGATATTTAGCTTTATTGATCTCAGCAAAGAAACTAAATACAAAAACACGCAGTAAAAAAGCACTCTTTGGACTTGACTATTTTTCAGGTAAGCAAGGAAGTGCCAGTATATGATAATACATGCCATTTTTGCAAATGGGAGAATTCTGAGGTAGTGGGCTTTATTGTTACCTCTAGTACCTTGCCCTACTTTTGCTTAATTCTGGGAATTAAGAACTGTTTGTTACAGGATCTTAGGTGTTGTATTAGGACCTAGGGATTCAACAAAGAAAGGGTTAATAGCCAGTGTCCTTTAGAATACTGGTCAGAAACTTAACACAGATGTATTTTATTTGGCTTATAGTTTTCTGTTTGTTTACTTGTTTTTTTTTTTTAACTTTTTAATTGAAAAATTGGGGCTCCTTTTTCCACATGGTGGTGCTTGGCTTGGTCTGAATATCAGGATATGGGCTCTCCAGCTGGTCATGGTTCCCACCTCTCCGATAGTGTATGCTTTTCCTCTTGGACTTGTCCACTTCACTTTGCCGAAGTACTTAATGAAGTTTACCTACCTCAATTTTAAAGTAGAATTTAGAAATATCTGTGTATGTATATTTGAGTTATACACTATTTTAGTGTAGATTTAGGGCTTTTAAATTACTGTCAAAGATTCACTTTGGTTCATTTGTGTGTACTTTTTTTTTTTTTAACATTTTTGTGTTGTTTTTCGATATCAGAATCGAGTGGAAATAAATGATTTAGACCCTGAAGTTTTTAAAGAAATGATGAGATTCATTTACACAGGGAGAGCACCAAACCTTGACAAAATGGCTGACAACTTGTTGGCAGCTGCAGACAAAGTAAGTAATTAGGTCTTAAGGAACCAAAATATACCCTCAAGCTTGATTTATATAGAAAGCTGTCATCAAATGAAAACTCCAAATAACTCGTATTTTGTAGATGGCTCTTGAGAGCTTTATGAAATAGCATACAGTGGGGTAATCTGGAAATGAAATTTTTTTTTAAAAGTCATGATGTGAAAGTATCTTGAGCCAGAAGGAAGTGGCTTTTTTCTTGGGAGAGTAACCTGTAAACTCAGTCGTTTTGAGTGTATATGGACTTCCATTTAAAAGAACACACACAGTGACATATATAATTTTCAGATATTTTTAGTCTTGAGATATAGTGCATGACCTTTTTTAAAAAAAGGAAAAAATATTGGATATTATGTAACTTAATTCTCTCCACATAGAGATTGTTTTTTTATTATGACAGCATAGAGCAAAAACAATATTAATAATTTTATAATACTTTTTTGTAATGATGATTTTTTTGAAGGTAGAGAAACTGCAAAAAACATCAGAAAAATCTCTAAGCCAATGGTTTTCAATCCTAAAAGCACATTCAGTATACAAGTTCACATATGCATGTATGTATGTATATATGTACGTATGCATGTGTATGTGTCGATGGATGGTATGTGTGTATATATACACATCATTTGAAAAATGTTACCATTGGGGAAATTGGACCAAGTGTGTATATGGAATCTATTTTTTCTGACAACTGCACATGAATCTATGACTGTCTCAATAAAAACTTAAATTAAAAACACCATTTACAATAGCAGCATCATCAGTATTAAATACATAGATATACATTTGAAAAAAGAGGGTTAAAACCTACACATTGAAAATTACAAAGGTATTATGTGATGCTGAGGTTTGGGGTATGATTGACCCCATCACCCAGGTAATGATGATAGTACCCAATAATAGGTAAGTTTTCAGCCCTTGCCCCCCTCCCTCTCTACCCCCTCAAGGAGTCCTCAGTGTCTGTTGTTCCCATCTTTATGTCCGTGGCATTACACAGGATACCTTTGTAACAAACCTGCACATGTATCTCCCTGTTTCTACAATAAAAGTTGAAAAGAAAAAAAGAAAATTACAAAATATGCCAAAAGAAACTCAGGAAGACTTAAATAAGTACATAAATCTTGTCCATGGACTGAAAGTCTCAATATTGTTAAAATGTCAGTTGTCTTTAAAATTGATAGTAGACGCAGCATGTTCCTCTCAAGATCCTAGCAGTCTTTTTTCTTTTTTTTTTTTCAGAAGTTGACAAGCTGATTTAAAATTTTATTATAATAACTTTGGGGAAAAAAAGAATAAAGTAGAGGACTAACACTACTTGATATCATGACTTACTATAAAGCTTTAGAAATTAAGACAGTGTTGTATTGGTGTTAAGATGGGCAAATAATGGAACAGAATAAAGAATATGAATATGAAAATAGACCATCACATTATGAATATTTAATTTTTGACAAAAGTGCAAAGACAGTTCAGTAGAAAAAGGATAATCTTTAAACAAGTGGTGCAGGAGCAGTTGAATACCTACATGTGCACCTCAAACCATGTATACAAAGTAAGGCAGGCCTCGCATGGTGGCTCACGCCTGTAATCCGAACACTTTGGGAGGCCAAAGTGAACAGATCACTTGAGGTCAGGAGTTCAAGACCAGCCTGGCCAACATGGTGAACCCTGTCTCTACTAAAAATACAAAAATGAGCTGGGTATGGTGGTGTGTGCCTGTAATCCCAGTTTCTTGGGAGGCTGAGGCAGGAGAATTGCTTGAACCCAGGAGGCAGAGGTTGCAGTGAGCCAAGATCATGCCACTGCACTCCATCCTGGGCAAAAGAGCAAGATTCCATCTCAAAAAAAAAAAAAAAAAAAAGTAATGCAAAATGGATCATAAACCTAAAATCTAAACCTCTAAAAGAAAACATAAAAGAAAGTGTTTGTGATGTTAGGTTAGGCAGAGATTTCTTAGCTGTGACACCAAAAATTCTGTAAAAGAAAAAAAATGATAAAATAGACTTCAATAAAATTTCAACTTCTTTTCTTCGAAAGACAGAATAAAAAGATTAGCCACAAACTGGGAGAAAATATTTGCACAGCAGATATCTAATGAACAACTTTTATTCAGAATATATCTGACTTTTGTATTCAGACTATATAAAGAATTCTCAAAACTCAGTTATAAGAAAACAATGTTATTTCTAAAAGACAAAACGTTTGAGCAAACATTTTCTGAAATAATGTCTGAAATACATAAAAAGATATTCTAGTCAAGCATGGTGGCTCACACCTGTAATCCCAACACGTTAGGAGGCCTGGGCTGGAATATCACTTGAGCCCAGGGGTTTGAAACCAGCCTATGCAACATAGTAAGTCCCCATCTCTACAAAAAAAAATTTTTTTAATTAGCCTGGTGTGGTGCCATGTGCCTTTAATCCCAGCTACTCAGGAGGCTGAGATGGGAGGATTCCTTTAGCCCAGGAGGTCAAGACTATAATGAGCCCTAATTGTGCCACTGCACTCCAGCCTGGGCAACAGAGCAAGACCCTGTCTCAAAAATGAAAGATACTCAACATCATTAGGTCGTTAGGGAAATGTAAATTCAAGCCATCATTAGATATTCCTGCACATCATTATAATGGCTAAAAGTACAAAGACCATACTAAGTGTTATCAAGGATGTGGAAGAATAGAATTCTCATGTTAAAGACACGGAAAAATTAGGGCTCTCGTGTGCTGTTGATGGAAATGTAAAATGGTACAACCACTTTGGAAAAGTGTTTGACAGTTTCTCAGAAAGTTAAACATAAACTTACACTGTGATCCAGTGAGTCCAATTTTAGGTTTTTACCTAAGTGGAAAGAAAGCATATGCCCATACAGACACTTGTATATGACTAACAGCTTCATTTGTAACAGCCAAGAACTGGTAACAACCCAAATATTCATCAGCAGTTGAATGTGTAAAACATATTGTTGTATATCTATGTATGATGGAATAAAAAGGATTGAACTATTGATAGGCAATAACATTCATGATTCTCAAAATAATTATACTGAATGAAGGAGTCAGACAAAAACAAACATGTAATATGTTATTTCATTTATAGAAAACTCCAGAAAATGCAGACTAATCTATAGTGATAGAAAGCATATCAGAGGTATCACCTAGGGTGGGGCAAGAGGGAAAGATTACAAAGATGTAGAGGGAAACTTTGAGGGACAATTGGTATATTTATTGTAGAGTTAATGATGGTTTTATGGCTGTATAAACTTAGCAGAAGGTGAACCTTATGTGTACTTTATTGTGTGTCAGTTATACCTTAGTAAAGCTGCTCAACATGTTATATAACATACACTAATACCTGCAAGAATGTTTAGTGGTTATAAATACGATTTATTTAACGTTACAATGAATTCATCCTTCAATACTGAGTGGTGGCAACATGCAGTATACTTGGTGGTACACATTAGTGTTTGAAGTAGTAGACAAGAGAAGTATATTTATTAAGAATATTGAGTAATAAGGTAGCTTTTTAGAATAAATCCTACTTCAAAAATACGCTTATGCAAATTGCAGTTTCCTAAAGAAAATTAGTCTTTCTTCTAAGTGCATTTGTTTATATTTACTTCGTATTAGGTTAAAACAGTAACTTAAAGAATTTTAAAATAATCTTAAATAATAATCTATTTTACCCTTATTTTCCAAGTTGCAAATGTATCATGTATTCAGGAACTTAGTTGGAGTAAATGTTTAATGGTTATGTTTTCATTTTGGATAGTATGCACTGGAACGGCTGAAGGTCATGTGCGAAGAAGCTTTGTGTAGTAACCTCTCAGTAGAGAATGTTGCAGATACCCTTGTCCTTGCAGATTTGCACAGTGCAGAACAGTTGAAAGCACAAGCCATAGACTTTATTAATAGGTAAGCTATGCTTGTATTTCAGTGGGCATGACAACTTCAATATTTTTTCTCTGGACTTTTTTTTAAGTATGTTTAAATCTTCAATGCAGGTGCAGTGTACTTCGACAACTTGGGTGTAAAGATGGGAAAAACTGGAACAGCAAGTAAGATGACATCAGTTTCTGACTCAAAGTTGCTCTACATAAGTGAGATTAAGTGTTTGCATAGCCTTTTGTTCATCTACAATAAGTATGAATCCAAATGTTACATGAAGCAAACTGCCAGTTATTAAAAACAAACAAAGACTACTTAGTGGATTCCTGAGGCTATGCTCCCTTGTAGGTCAGCTTCTAATGCAACCTCGGATGGATGCTGTAATATCTTAAGCGCATAATGCCATGTAGTATATAGCAGAGTCCAGGTATTGCTAGAGATCTAGTCCATGCCCCTTCAGAAAGCATTCCAAAAAGTGTGGGAAATAATTCATTTACTCCTATGAGGAATGTTACCCTCCAGATTTGCTGAGAAAGCCTTTACATTTGAAGGCTGACTCACTGCTTCTTAGGTTAGCCAGGTACCTTGAGTAATATGCTATATTAGGCTAGCTTCCTAATAGTCCAAAAATGGTAGCAATTTGATATTCCCTTTTCCCTAGTGAACCTGTAAGGGGTTGGATAGTTGCTATATCTTTCTAAGACTGGATCTTGTGAATATGAACATACTATTCTACTTTTTTCCCTTCTCTTACTTTTCATGACTTTTATATTCTTTGTTATTATTTGAAATCACAATGGGGAAAGAAGTCAATAGGTTGAAGTGTTTGCATCTGCTTTTGATTAGTTTTGCCTATAAACCCTTAAATTTCCTTTCCTCAAATTATCAAAAGTTGATAAAAGAAAGTGGGAATTTTTTTTTTTTTTTTGAGACAGAGTCTCACACTGTTGCCCTGGCTGGAGTGCAGTGGTGTGATCTCGGCTCACTGCGAGCTCCACCTCCTGGGTTCACGCCATTCTCCTGCCTCAGCCTCCCAAGTAGCTGGAACTACAGGCGCCCGCCACCACACCTGGCTCATTTTTTTGTATTTTTAGCAGAGACGGGTTTTCACCGTGGTAGCCAGGATGGTCTCGATCTCCTGACCTCATGATCCGCCTGTCTTGGCCTCCCAAAGTGCTGGGATTACAGAAGTGAGCCACCGTGCCCGGCCAAAAATTTTTAAAGAAGGAAATGAATTAGTTTGTTGACTTAATTATTTCCCATTGCTTTAATCTGTTTTGATATATGTTAAGTTGTTTAACTGAGTTCATCTTATTAGTTTGTAGATTCTGTTTTCTGAAAGTAAAAAGTAGTGACTACTTTAAAATTATTGGTTGTCTTGTATAATACGTTGGTCAGTGTATGCTAATATGATATCATTATGGCATTTGATCCTAGAGAAAAATTGTTTTGAGTTTAAAGTATACTATATTAGCATCAAATGGCAATTTATGATCCTTTGTACTTAGCCATTTTCAAGCTCTAGTTTTACTCTAAGGAAATACTTCACATTTTATAACTTTTTCAGTGTCAAAAAAAATAGCTTGTTTTGTACCCCCTTGGAGAAGCTGTATTCATATTCATCAATAGATATTTATTAATAAATGAAAAAGGTGTAATTGGTATCTATGTGATTCTAAACAACTAATTGAAATTTTGAACACAATGACACACTGGTATTAGGCTGATGCAAAAGTAATTGCAGATTTTGGCATTACTTTTAATGGCAAAAACCACAATTACTTTTGCACCAATCTAATAATTTGATGTTTGCCAACTTAAAAAATTGTTTTGTTGGTATCAGCTACTATTTAGTTCAGCAGACATTACTCTAGCATCTTCTGTGTTTCAAGTACAATGCTAGGGTGCTGCATATAAAAAAAATTTCAAGGGAAAATTCTTGGTCTTGGGAAAGTTATCTAATAGAGATAGATATATAAATATATCATTTCATTATAATATGGTAAGTAATACAATAGAAGAGAATATGTACAAGCACTTGACTAACCCTGGAAATTTAGAAATGGCTTCCTGGATATAGCTGAGTCTTAAAACACAAATAGGAGTTAGCAGAAGTAAGAAGGAAGTAGCAAGCATTGCAGACAGAAGGGACAGCATGAACCAAAGTATAGAAGCGTAAAGTAGTAGTTGATCATTCATTTGACAGATACTTATCCTTTATTATCCAGTAAATTCCCAAGTCACAGTGCACAGTATAGAGAATACAGTGGTGAGCATGACATATATTTTCCCTGCCTTCACGGAGTTTATGGTCTAGCAGCAGATTAAACAGCTAATTGCAGTAAAGCGTGATGATAGGGAATATGTAGCATACCCATAGGAGCATATAGCAGAGACTTAACCTAATCTAGGAATCAGAGCACAAAACTAAATGCCGGAAATATTGTAGAGGTTACCTTGGTGAAGAAGAGGGAAGAGAGGAAGAAAAGTACACCCCAGAAAAAGGAAATGAGATGCGCAAAGTTTTAACAATGAGAAAGAGCAGTATAGTGTGTGTGTGTGTGTGTGTGTGTGTGTGTGTGTGTGTGTGTGTGTGTGTGTGTGTGTGTGTTGCGGGCGGGGAGGTAGTTAATGAGAAGAAGCTGGAGAAAGTAGGCAGAGATCAGACCCTGAAAGGCCATGTAAAATAACATTAGAATTTTTAGATATTCAGAGTAGTAGGTGTCCAGTAAAGGGTTTTCACCCAGAGTGGGACATGATTAGTTTTGCATTTTTAACAATCTCTGCATGCAGGGTGGAGAACGAATTGTGGGGAGGTTGCGGTGGCAATAGTAGTTGAGAAACAAGGTTGAATACAGGTAGACCAGTTGGAAAGTTACTAGAGTAGTTCAGGCAAGAGATGAACGGTGGAAATTAGACTTGATTGGTGACAGTGGGGCTAGAGAGAAAAGAAAGTAAGAAATATTTTGAAGGGAGAATCTAATATTTGGATATTATTTGGATGGTAGATGGCATAAAGTAGAGAATTGAGGCAAGGAAGGGTAACTAGATTTGTTGCTTAAGCATTTATTTACGGTTATTGTTTGGTGAGAGCATAGTGTACATAGGGTACAATAAGCAGTTCAATATCAGAGTATAAAATGCCAGATCATGGAAGTGGGAGGTAGGAAGTGGGGGGTAGAGTAAGAAACCAAACATAATATGATGCTGTATTTCTCTTTCTAAAAAACTTGGATATGGGCAGTGGGGAACAATGAAGAGGGCCTCATATAGTCATATTTGTGTTACCAAGGGAACATTATGGAAGCTTGGTTTAAGAGGAGCAGGAAACTAGAAGACCACTTAGGAGTCTGTTGTCATAATCCAAACGTGAGATGATGTGGGCCTTAAACTGGGATTCAGGACATCTTTGAAGCCTTTCAAACCTTAAAATAAGGTTTTGATGATTGGAGAGGAGAGTCTAGGGTGACTGCCAGATTTCCAGCTTGCATCACTGGATGATGGTGGAAGCTTTAGGTGACTGGAAAGGTAGGAGGAAGAATTTGGGGTTGGGGAGAGGGATGATGAGCTCTCATCTGACAATCCTGAATTTATGGGTCTTGAGGCACATCCAAGTGAAAAAAACAAGTGGCTGCGAATGAACCTTGTGTGGAACCCTAGAATTTAGCAAATCGGTAGTTAACATCATTGAATTTCATAGTTAAAATTGTGAAGAGTGGATGAGATAGAATTAGTAATGCATGTTAAGGGGGGAGAGTAGAGTCCAATATTTGTAACTCAAGAGAAAATCTGCCTTATAAGAGGCATGTAAAAGAAGAGAAAGGGACTCTTGAAAGAGCTGGTACAGAAATTGTAACAATGAGAGTTGAACTATGAAGACCCATGTCACATACTTTAAGGGAGCCGAACTTCCAGAAAAATTTAATAGTTTCAGTTGCCACAGAAGATACCAGTAAGATAAAGATGGTATTTTAATAAAAGCAAATGATTTGAATACATAGGTAAAAAGTGTTCAAATATTTTGAAATTTGCAAGTTTTTAAGAAATTAACAGTGCAATAGTGCATTTTGAAAAGTATTCTTTAGTAAATATCTTTTAATTCTATTTTTCAGCCAAGCAACCGACATAATGGAAACATCAGGGTGGAAGTCCATGATTCAGTCTCACCCTCATTTAGTAGCAGAAGCCTTTCGAGCACTAGCATCTGCACAGTGTCCACAGTTTGGCATTCCACGCAAACGGCTAAAACAGTCCTGAAATCTTCCATGAACAGTTGAAAAATGGAATTGACTTTCACTCCTCCAGGTCCAGAAGGATTCTAATACACAAACCATAAGCAAGAGTTGTTTCTGTTATTTTGTCCACAGAACAGAAGCTGAAAAAGCATATTGCTTGCATTTCAGGTGGATAATTTATGGTTTATTCTTCAGCTTTAAATTAGACTGATTAATTCACTTCAAGGCCTTAAATTATCTTCAATGACTTGTCTTGTTCATATAATACTTTAATTTTTTTTTATTGTGCCTTGTCATTTTGACCAAGGCTATGCAGGATTGCACTAGCTCCATAATGCAGTAATATTGATAACTGAAGATACTAAGTTTCAAAAGGATCTTCCATTATTTTGCAAAAAGAAAAATGAATTTTATAGGGTTTGTCCTATGCTATCTCAAAGTTTAAGTTCTCTTTAAAAGCACTTGTATTGGAGATTACCAGTAATATCTCCAATCTAAGTTCTATAAATATGGGAGAACCCTCTTACCTTCAAGGTAAGTTATGGCAATACACTGCTTCAATTCTAATTTATTTTTCATTTCAGGGGGCAAATATGCAATGAGTTGGCCTAGATTTTTAGTGACATTTATGATGTTTGTCTTGTATGTTAACTGTCCAACAAACTGTGGGTTTATTCTAAGTTTACAATTATTGAGAACTGATTGAGGTTAAGATTTCATGAAGAAAGCATGTATTGTGTGGAAGTAATTTTTTTTTAATTTATACTGACCTACATTTATACGAAGAATTCTGTACATGTTAAAAGTAAGGATGACCAAATGCAAATTTAATGAGTGGGCCAATTAAGAAAGATACATATGCACTTTTACTGTGTAACTTTTGTATGCTGAATGGTACATATATTTTTTTGCTTTTGAGGGAATTAATAAGGTATAATTAATTGTGTCTTAACTTTTCAAAGAAATTTTTAGATGGAGGCAACTGGGATGTTTGTGATAATAGATGAGAAAGACATCCTTGATTGTAGTTAAATTGGTTTGGATTACAGATATTCATTATTGAATTGACTCCTATTTTCTCACACTTTGGAAAAGACACCTGAACAATAAATGAATCCTGGATAGTCTACTCTCCTTCAAACAATTAACTGATACTTGCCTTTGGGAGATGCATACAAAAGGAGAGAACCCTTAGACTATGTCAGGTCACACTAGGAACCTCCCCTCACTCCCCGTTTTTCTTCATTGTGTTTCAGTTACTGTACTAACATTGTGGATGATACTGAAATTCTGCATAATGTGAACAGGATAAACTATTTATAAACTGCTTTTCATGGGCCAGTTCTTTATTATAAATGAATTTTAGCTTTAAATGCATATACACGTTCAGTGTTTGATAGTTGTGTTCTTAAGGGAGGTTTGTTCTGGTGCATTGTCCTGGAGAAGCAGAAGCAGTCAGTGTTGGGGTACCACATCTGACTTACTGTGGTGGTGACCAGTGTGCTTCTTAAGGGCAAGATTTATATTTGACCACAAGGGAAAAAGTGTGTCACTGGAAAAAAACGCATATACCTATGTTTGCAAACATAACTATTCTTCAGATTAAAATTTGTATAATTTGTTTATTTAATGTTTGAATTCAGGACAAAAGAAAAAATGAAGCTTGAGGTGTTTTCAAATAGACCTTATTTTTGCTATCTCTTTGTTAGGTGTTAACTGAAGCAATTCGAATATGTCCAGATTCATTTGGATTCATATTTACATTGAAAAAACTCAACTAAGCATTTGTTATCCACAACAACCTAGAGTTTAAAAAGATCGTATTTTCACCTGTCTTCATTACTTTCTATGTAGTTTCATTCTTTGTCGTGGTAACTTAAATTTGAAATTGGAAGAATCTCTTGGGATAGAAGAAAGATTCTTACCTGGTGATGGAACTTCATACTTCATCCTGTGTAAGAGTATTATGGGAAGTAGAAATTCACTTCCTTAAATCCATCGTAAGATTGAGCCTCAAGTTTGCAATATACAATTTTAAAAATACACATACATACATACATATGTATACATTTCCAGTTTTAAGATTTTGCGAGGGTCTTATAAGAAAACAAAAATTCCCTCAGGCTATAGAATTATGTTGTCATATATCAGAAAAGTACTGATGTATCCATTTATATCCAATGCGCACCACACCGGCACATTGTGATTTAATTCACCGCTTGAATCTATATTTCTAACCACAGTGACTTCAGTAAAAATACCGTATAATGAACATTTCAGCTTCTTCTTACTTACTCGAGAGTTTATTGCAAATCTTAAGGATTTTATTATAAAGATTTTTTTTTTAGTTTGGTAGCACATTTTGTACCAAAAATGTCAAACACTGTGCTGTAAGAATATCCATGTTTGTAGAAATGTCCACTTTTCAGATAATATAATGCCTACCATTATACTAACAGAATCATATGGTAGTTGATTTATTTTTTTATTTATTATGTATATTTTTGGTATTGTGGGTTCTTGAGGCAATGATAAAAACACTTAATGTATTCTGACATGAGTGCTCTAATAGCCTCCTTCTCCTCATTTTTAAACTGCATACATTACTTTCAAAATAGGTATAGATACTCTGTCCCGCCTTTTGAGCTATTAGCCTGTTCCTGTTTCCCTTTGTCACCTAAGCAAGGCTTTTTCTGAGAAGGTAGTGAATGGTTTCAAATGTTGCATACTATAAGAATAATCATTGGGTAACTGTTGTTTAGACCAACACTTAGAAATACTATATTTGTGCCTTTTCATTTTTAATTTTAATGTGTGTTGATATTTGGAGCACAAATAATGAAGGTGCCATAATATGGCTTGCCAATGTTACCTCCTTGAATAGTCATGTGTCATTGTCTTGAATTGGTAATTGGAGAACCTTGCATGAAATATGTGATCGTGTGTGTGTGTGTGTATGCGCGTGTGTGTCTGTGTGTTTGTGTACATACCTGTATTTGCTTGGGGCTTGTGTGTGGTATGTTACAAAGAGTGAATTTCTGGAAATAGAAATCAGTTAAATGTTGAAAGTTCAGGTTAGCAGAAATATTTCATTTAAATATGCTTTACTTTGGAGGACAATTGATTAACAGAGGAAATGATAATTTTCAAAAATGTGATCAATTTACTGCATGATGAAATGTGAAAACAGTGCCTTTTTAGGACATCAATTATAATAAAATTGTTTTAAAATATTAACAAAGATCTCAAAAAGTTGTCATGAACATTATTCATTTATTTTTAAACTGGATCTAAATAAGAGCTTAGATGGCCAAAATTAGAATTAATAATATACCCATTTAAATTTTGTTCATAAATTTAAAATCTTAATCAGAATTCTTTATAAAATGTGGGTCATAGATATGACCCAGTGTTACTAAAATAGAACAGGGATTGTGAAAATCCAGCTCAACATACTTAAGTATACTTGGCTTAGAGCCAAGTATACTTGAAGAGGTGAATTATTCTGACTTGGACATGCATGCTCTTTGATGGATAAAATAAAAATATTCAATTTATTCTTACAAAAGAAGGTGGGTGGGTGAGTGGGTTCGTTTTAGTGTTCTCAGATTATAAAGACAGCTATAAAGACAGCACTTTCCGCACACAAAGTGTATTTTACAAACCTTTTTTATACAAATTAATGAGCTCTACTTTATTTAAGTGTTCATGGAATGATGTAAATTTTAGGTCCAGTTGAACAAATATTGAGTGCCTATCATATGCAAGACTAACTCCTTACTAGGAATGAAATCACACAGTGTCTTCTGTTTGCAGTATGTGAACTTTATGTTTGAAAAGAAATTATTATATTTAAATTTTTTTGTTGTCAGAGTTTATCATTGTATACTGTAACCCAGTAAATTTTGCATTCAGTTTTAAAAAATGAAGATGTAACTTACCTGAGTCTCATTTTTGAAAATGAAATTCTGCAAAAATTATTTAAAAATTAGTTCTTGGGGAAATTGATTTTCAAGATTCAAGTGTATAAAAACTTATATTGAACTTTTCAGCCTCGTTTTTAATTAGCTGATGTTAATGATAAGATACATAATACATGTATCTTGTTGCTGAAAATATTTTTTGCATTTCAACACATTGAGTTAAAATAAAGTTGTTACTACTTATTCAAGATTAATTGGCTTATCTTGTGTTTATTTGAAGAATACATACTCTTCTTTTTCAGGTTGGTATGATGCTTTGCAAAAGAGCCATGTATTTGATACGGTAAATCATGCATAGTAATTGTCTTTTCTACATAGGGGAGCTCTTGTTTTTTGGAACCAATTGAAGACATTCTTAACTGTAAAATATTAATATGCATTTATTTTAATATGTATGAACCATCAATACTGGATGACTTATTCTAATGCTACGTACCATTAATGTAACAGAGATCACCTTTTCCCTGTCATTCCTATCCTGTCTTAATTTCAGTTATCCCAGACAATTTAATCATTTGATGCTATCAGAAAGCAAATTGGGGCAGGATATTCCTGAATCAGTTTAGTAACAGTAACGCAATTAGTGCTTTAAAATTATGGCCAATATAGTAGTAGAAAGGCACAGTGAAAAACCTTCCATGTACCTCAGACACACATACATGCACTGAATTTTCCCTAATAGAATGAAAGAGGGTTGAAAAATTTAGCACATCATCTATGCAAGTATAGTAAAGTAAGATAAGTGGTTAATAATATTGTAAATGTTACTAATGAACTCTGTGTAACCTTTTGCTTCCTCCTCTGCTGCAGCCAGTCCCCTTAATACTTTGAGAACACTGGGATGTGATGTCTCCGTCTGCCACCTCAGAATCATTTGTTCCTACGAGAAGGCCAAGAGTGGTACTTGCTTTGATCACTGTTTTTAAATAGAAGACACATTGGTAGAAATCTTTCATATAATATGTTGCTGCTTTTGGGGGGGTGTTGGGGAGTACCAGAGAGGTCTGCATGCATCTGCAGTGTACACTGGCAAACAAAAGGTTTGTCATTCCCGTTGTCCTGTTGTGCTTCCTTTCCACCTCTCCCTGGCTGTTCCCCCACCCCCTTGTTCCTTTTGTAAAGGATGCAGGTGTAGTCTTGTGCCAGTCTGTGACATAACACCTGAACAATTTCTATGGTATCCTACCCATTTGCTCAGATTCAAACCAGGCCTTAATCGATAACAAGCAAAGAGAAAAAAAGGTGGGATTTGTAAATAACAATTACAGCAAAAAAAAAAAAAAAAAAAAAAAACACTGAGAACTCTGCTATTCTGCTTAAAATAGATATATTGCCATAAGGAGAGGTTTTTAGAATGTGTGTTTTATAAAGTCCTAAAAAAATTGTGATGGTCATTATAATAGGCAAAGATGAAAAATGAGAATGGCATGAGTTGAAAAAAGGTACTAAAGTTAGATGCATTAAATTTGATCAACACCAGAAATGATAAAGCAGACATTTGAATCAGTAGAAGACAAGGTTGAGAAATGTTTCCAGATTATGAGGACAAGAATAGAGAGATGAAGAAAAAGACAATTCAGTTTAATTTATATTAGCAGTTAATTAAATGGAGTACCTGGCACTGTGTGGAGCTGTTTGCAGTGATGAAATAGTCTGTGTGTTCATGAAGTTTATTTTCTTGAAGAAAATGCAGTCATATAATAGCATGTGATAATTGTGATAGGAATACAAGAGGAGCCCCTAGCCTAGGGGTGAGGGTGGAAGTCCCAGATGGCTTTTCTGAGTAAGCGATGTCTAAATTGAGATTCAGTGGAAATTAAGCAGCTTAGTGAGGGTGTCATCCAGCCCATTATTTGAAGTCTTAGAGGCTGACCAAGGTTCATATAGAACATTTATAGAAATGAAAATGAAGATGGCTATATCCTACTGTGTAAAGGGAAGAAAGGACTAACATAAACCAGTAAGACAGGGTTACAGTTTATTATAGGCCTTATTAAAGGAACCTGACTTAACCTGGGAGGACTGAAGTGTTTCAAATGGGGGTATGTCATGCTGATCAACAATCTATCAATCTTCACATAGTTTGGAGGGGGCTTTTTCCATTAAGGGGAGATTTAAGAGGAAACACTGAAACAACTTGAAAATAAATTGTGTAGGTAGAAGGGAGAAAGAGGAGTTAAGAGTGGCTTCCAGGTTCCAGGTTTTGTGTTTGGCTAACTGGGTGGAGGGTAGTATTGTTCCCTGATACAGTAATCACAAGAATGGGAATATTTTTGGAAAAAAAAATTTCATTTGGAGGCTGTTGAACTTACTGTTCCTATGGTGCATTCTGTTCCTATGGTGATTCAAAGATCAGATGGTTGTAGATGTGTGGTATTATTTCTGAGGGCTCTGTTCTGTTCCATTGATCTATATCTCTGTTTTGGTACCAGTACCATGCTGTTTTGGTTACTGTAGCCTTGTAGTATAGTTTGAAGTCAGGTAGCATGATGCCTCCAGCTTTGTTCTTTTGGCTTAGGATTGTCTTGGCAATGCAGGCTCTTTTTTGGTTCCATATGAATTTGAAAGTAGTTTTTTCCAATTCTGTGAAGAAAGTCATTGGTGGCTTGATGGGGATGGCATTGAATCTATAAATTACCTTGGGCAGTATGGCCATTTTCACGATATTGATTCTTCCTATCCATGAGCATGGAATGTTCTTCCATTTGTTTGTGTCCTCTTTTATTTCGTTGAGCAGTGGTTTGTAGTTCTCCTTGAAAAGGTCCTTCACATCCCTTGTAAGTTGGATTCCTGGGTATTTTATTCTCTTTGAAGCAATTGTGAATGGGAGTTCACTCATGATTTGGCTCTCTATTTGTCTGTTATTGGTGTATAAGAATGCTTGTGATTTCTGCACATTGATTATGTATCCTGAGACTTTGCTGAACTTGCTTATCAGCTTAAGGAGATTTGGGGCTGAGATGATGGGGTTTTCTAAATATACAGTCATGTCATATGCAAATGGACAATTTGACTTCTTTTCCTAATTGAATGCCCTTTATTTCCTTCTCCTGCCTGATTGCCCTGGCCAGAACTTCCAACACTATGTTGAATAGGAGTGGTGAGAGAGGGCATCCCTGTCTTGTGCCAGTTTTCAAAGGGAATGCTTCCAGTTTTTGCCCATTCATTATGATATTGGCTGTGGGTTTGTCATAGATAGCTCTTATTATTTTGAGATATGTCCCATCGATACCTAATTTATTGAGAATTTTTAGCATGAAGCACTGTTGAATTTTGTCAGAGGCCTTTTCTGCGTCTATTGAGATAATCGTGGTTTTTGTCTTTGGTTCTGTTTATATGCTGGATTATGTTTATTGATTTGCATATGTTGAACCAGCCTTTCATCCCAGGGATGAAGCCCACTTGATCATGGTGGATAAGCTTTTTGATGTGCTGCTGGATTCGGTTTGCCAGTATTTTATTGAGGATTTTTGCATCGATGTTCATCAGGGATATCGGTCTAAAATTCTCTTTTTTTGTTGTGTCTCTGCCAGGCTTTGGTATCAGGATGATGCTGGCCTCATAAAATGAGTTAGGGAGGATTCCCTCTTTTTCTATTGATTGGAGTAGTTTCAGAAAGAATGGTACCAGCTCCTCCTTGTACCTCTGGTAGAATTCAGCTGTGAATCTGTCTGGTCCTGAACTTTTTTTGGTTGGTAGGCTATTAATTAATGCCTCAATTTCAGAGCCTGTTATTGGCCTATTCAGGGATTCAACTTCTTCCTGGTTTAGTCTTGGGAGGGTGTTTGTGTTGAGGAATTTATCCATTTCTTTTAGATTTTCTAGTTTATTTGCATAGAGGTGTTTATAGTATTCTCTGATGGTAGTTTCCGGCCGGGTGTGGTGGCTCATGCCTACAATCCAGCACTTTGGGAGGCTGAGACAGGCAGATCGCTTGACCCTGGGAGTTCAAAAACCCCATCTCTACAAACACTGCAAAAATTTTGTATTTGGGGTCATGATGGTACGGGCCTGTAGTCCCAGCTACTCGGGAAGCTGAGTGGGAGGATCGATTGAGCCCAGGAGGTTAAGGCTGCAGTGAGCCAAGATCACACTACTGCACTCCAGCCTGGGTGACAGATTGAGACCCTGTCTAAAAAAATTAAAAAGAAAAAAGACACTTTCCATGTGTTTGTGTGTGTGTGTGTGAGAGAGAGAGAGAGAGAGAAAGGGAGGAGGAGGAGGAGGAGCAGGAGGAGGAGGAGGAGGAGGGAGAACTGTTAACATTCAAGCATAAAAGAACTTAGCACATCAAAGTCTTGATCAAATCTATTCCTCTTGGGATTTAAGGTTTTAGGCTGAATGGACAAGTGTTTCCTTTTAGTAATAATTATACAATTGAGCCCTTATTTGGTATAAGATACAGTGATGCCAAAAGAAAAATACAAAAAAAGACATGTCCTTTACTTTAATTCACCTTGCTGACAATTAGAGAAACAGTTATTAATTAATAATGATCAATCTTGCTAGATATTTATAAAAAACAGACTTTGTTCATTTTCTCTGTTGGTGTCCATTTTCTGTTTCATCAGTGTGTCCTCATTTAGCTTTATTACTTACCCTTTGTTTCCTAGCTTCTTAAGGTGAAGGCTTAAATCATTGATTTTTATATAGTTCTTTTCTTATGAGCATGTAAAGTTTTTAATTTTTCTCTATCTGCTACCTTAATTACATTATATAATATTTTGTTGGATGTATGTTCATTATCACAAGTTCAAAATATTTTCTAATATGCCTTGGGATTTATTCTGTGGCTCATGGATTTGCCTTCTATATTTGGGAGAATTTTCCTAGGTATCATAGTTTTATTGATCTCTTACTTAAATCTCTGGTGGTCAAATAATATGCTCTGTATAATTTCAATCAGTTGACATTTGTTGATACTTGTTTTATGGCACAATATGCTCTGTGAAGGTTTTATATGCATCTGAAAAGAATGTGTTTTCTGCAGTTAAGTGTTGTGTGTTATAAATGACGATTAGGTAGAGCTGATTGATAGTACTATTTATATGTTTACTCATTTTTGTTTCCTTTTTTCCAGCAATTACCGAACAATGGTGTTAAAATCTCTAACTTTATCCATGGATTGGTTTGCTTCTCCCTTTAGTTCTGTTAATTTTTTATTTGTGTATTTTGAAATTCTGTTATTAAGGGCACACATATTTAAGGTTGTTATGTCTTCTTGATTCGTTGATTTTTTTTAATTTTCACAAAAGATCTTTATCAATAGTGAGACCCTCTTCATTTTAGAGTTACTTTAATGATTACTGTTGTCACATCAGCTTTTTATATTGTTTTAAAAGTTATCTTTCCCCATTCTTTTACCTTCAGTTTACTTCTCTCTTTAAAAAAGTGTGTTTCATGTAAATAGCATATAGTTGGATCTTGCTTTTTATCCATTGTGAAAATCTCTGCACTTGGAGTGTTTACTCCATTTCAGTTAATGTGATTAGTTTTAAGTTTGGGTTTAACTCTTCCATCTTGATATCTAGTATTTATTCCATCCATTTTTTATTCCCCTCTTTCTCCTCTCCTGCTTTATACTGAATGAATTGCACTTTAATGTTCTGTTTTATCTTGCATGTTCAAACTTTTGCTACAATTCCTTTTATCTGTTTTCAAGTTACCCTAAAGATTACAATAAGTACCTTTAGCACAGTCTGTTTCAACTAATACGACACTTCACATACAGCAGTCTAATTCTGTTCAACCTTTTGTGCTTTTATCTGCTTATATTTTACTTCTACACATGATATAAAACACAAGATACATTTTTTAAATTTAAAATAGGCAAGAGTTTTTAAAGTACATTTAAAACATATATTTATACATACGGAGTTTTGTTGTTGTTGTTTTTGAGACGGAGTCTCGCTCTGTTGCCCAGGCTGGAGTGCAGTGGCACCATCTTGCTCACTGCAAGCTCCACCTCCCGGGTTCACGCCATTCTCCTGCCTCGGCCTCCCGAGTAGCTGGGACTACATACAGGTGCCCGCCACCACGCCCGGCCAATTTTTTGTATTTTCAGTAGAGATGGGGTTTCACCATATTAGCCAGGATGGTCTCAATCTCCTGACCTCGTGATCTACCCACCTCGGCCTCCCAAAGTGCTGGGATTACAGGCATGAGCCACCGCACCTGGCCCTTTTTTTTTTTTTTCTCACAAAAAATGTCAGTTACATTTACCCAAATATTTACCCTTTCAGGGCTCTTTGTTCCTTCTTTCAGATCTTTATTTCCTTCTAGCATAATTTCCATTTAGCCTGAAGAATTTCTATTAGCATTTCTTCTACTGAAGCTTTTGTGTGTCTCAAATTTCTTTTTATTTCTCCTTCAACTTTTAAAATTTATTTTTTCTTTCTAAAGTGATCAGAAAGAATCCATTTTTAAATGACCATTTCACTGGATATTGAATGCTAAGTTGATAAGTGTTTCCCACCCTGCCCCCTACAAGACTTTAAAGATGTTATTTCATTGGGTCCTGGTCTCTGGTTTTTTTTTCGTGTTTTGTTTTGTTTTGTTTTGTTTTGTGGTGGTTTGTATTGTTCCACTGTGTGTAATATGTGGTTTTTTCCCCTGCTTCGTATGCTTTTAAAATTTGTTCTTTATCTTTGGTTTTCAGCAGTTTTACTGCAGGTACGATTTTCTCTGGATTGATCCTCCTTAGGATTTCTTGAGCTTTTTGGATATATAGTTTGGTGTCTTTCATCAGTTTTCAAAAAAAATTTTTAAATATTTTTTCTTCCTCATGCTCTCTTTCCTCTCCATCTGTGACTCCAATTATGCATATATTAAATCATTTGATATTGCCTCACATATCTCAGATGCTCTGTTTTGTTTTGGTTTTCTTTTTTTTATTCTTTAACTGGTTTGTTTTTCAATTTGGGTATTATCTATTGACCTATTTTCAAGTTCACACATTATTTCCTAAATCGAGTCCAGTTTGCTGTTAAGCTCACCTAATGAGTTTACTTCCAGAATTTCCATTTGATTCTTTCAGTGTTCCAATGCCTCTACTAAAATTTCTTATTCTCTTCATGCATATTGTTCATCTTTCCTGTATCCTCAACATTTTTATTATAGTTTCAAATCTTTGATAATTTCAATTTCTAGGCCATAGCTGGGTCTTCTACTATTTCCTATCATAACCATTTTATGTATGTTGTCAGACTTATTGGCATAAAGTTGTTTGTTCATTATATTCCCTTTTTGTTAACTTTTAATGTTTGTAGGACATGAAGTAATAGTGCTTCTTCGTTTCTAATTTTGGTACTTTTTTCCCCTTTCTTGATTGCTCTTGGTAAACGTTTATCAGCTTTAATCTTTTCACAGGTCAATTTTGTTATCTCTTGATTTTTTTCCTGTTGTTTATTACCTATTTTATTGATTTCCAACTTGTCTAATTATTTCCCTTTTTCATTATGCTGTTTAATTTTTTCATTTTTTTCCTAGCTTTTTAAGTTAGAAGCTTAGATCATGGATTTTACACTTTTATTCCTTCCTGACATAGCATTTAAAGCCATAACTTTCCTCTAAGAAAATCTTATAATAGCATCTTACAAATTATTTTTATTGTGTTTTCATTATTGTTCCATTTCAACCATTTTCTAACTTCCTCGTGATATTTTTCTGTTATCATGGAGTTATTTGGAAGTGTTTTAGCTTGATTTCCAAATAGCTGGAATTTTTCTATATAGCTCATTTTTAATTTTTATCTCAATTCTCTGGTGGCCCGAGGATATACTCTAGCCATTGATATTTACTGATGCTTGTTTTAGTACTCAGCATGTAGTTTCTCTTGGTAAATGTTTCAAATGCATTGAAAAGAATATAACTGTCAGTTGTTTTCTGTAGCAATCCACAAATATCTATTAGGTCCAATTGATTGGTAATGCTATTCAAATCTATACTTTACTAATTTTTGTGTGCTGTTCTCTATCAGTTACTGAGAGAGGGATGTTGATCTCACCAACTATAGTTGTTGAATTGTTTATTTCTCCTTTCAGTCCTGCCCATTTTATTTCTTATATTTCAAGCTCTTTTTATTAGATACACATGCATTTAGGATTTTTATGTTTTCCTAATGAATTGATCTGTTATCATTAAATAATACTCTTCTGTATCCCTGATGACACTCTTTGTCTTGAAGTCTACTTTAGCAATATTAATATACACTACCTTTTTTAGGCTTACATTCTGATGGTACACATTTTTCCACACTTTCACCTTTCACTATCAACTTGATGTTTTTATATTTACAGTGAGTCTTTTGTGGAAAACACATATGTTGGTCTTAGCTTTTTATCCAGTCTAAGAAGCTTGCCTTTTGATTGGTGTGTGTAAACTATAAATATGTTATGTAAATGTTATTGTGTAATTACTGATAAGTATGAATTTGCATCTACTATCTTAGTATTCTTTTTTATATGTCCCGTCTGTTTTTCATTCTTTTGTTCGTCTCCTCTCTTATGTGTTTTTTTAAAAAGTTTTCAATATCCTAATTTATTTCTTCTGTTTCCTTTTTAGCTATACCTTTTTTCGTTTTTAGTGGTTATTCTAGACATTACAATGTGTATCCTTAATGAAAAAGATTAGTTTACTTAATGTTGCATCATTTCATGTAAACTATAAAAAATACACAACTGTTTAATTTCATTTATTGCTTCCCCACCCTTTGCACCACTGTTGTCATACACTTTATTTTTAAATACATTATAAGCCCTACAATATCCTGTTGTAGTTATTTTAAATAGTTAATATATTTTTTTAAAAAATAAGAGAAGAAAAATGAAAAAAAAAATTTCTATTTATCCACATATTTACTATTTCAATGCTCTGTACTTATTCCTGCACATCTGAGTTTCCATGTAGTATTTTTGCATGTATTTATAGAGCGCTGGCAGGGAGTTTGTGAATAAGTTAATGTTTGATAAATAGAAAACTAAAGCAAATATACAAACAAAAATATACAATCAAGAAATAGCCATATCAACAAGTTTGGAATTTGGAAAGAGGAAGGTAAATTCCAGAGTGAAGAGTTCAGAGTTGGCAGGGTTTGTCTCCAGGAAGCAGGAATTGACAAAGCATGGAGCTGCTTTCTCAAAATAAGTTTTGTTTTACTGTTTGACTCTTTATATTATGTACATGTACTACTCTGATAACAAACAAAAATTGTTAAGCTAATGGGAATATCCAAGTGAGAGGGAGGGCATGAATATACAGGAAACAGGCTAATGGGTTGTGTATAATTTCATGCACATTGTGATGGTATTCAATAAAGTAAGAGACCTTAAATAGGAGAAAGGATAGTTACTCTTGTCCATTTTAACAAGAGGGAAGGAGAGAGTAGGATCAAACTAGGTTATGGTAGGTTTTGTTAATGGTGGCAAATGTCCAGGTTACAATCGGTGAATCCGACCGATCTACAGCAACCTCAATTCTTGCCTCCTCAGAAGAAAGAATTCTACTTAGGGTCAGAAGGTAGAAAAAGCGACCGAGGCAAGTTTCAGAGCAGGAGTACAAGTTTATTAAAAAGCTTTAGAGCAGGAAAAAAAAGAAAAGTACACTTGGAAGAGACCCAAGCGGGAACTGTGAGGGTCAACTATGCCATTTGACCTTTTGACTTGGGGTTTATATGTTGGCATATTTCCAGGGTCTTGAATCCCTTTTCCCATGTTTCTTCCCTCAGGGTGGGTCACCCACACAGTGACCTGCTAACACTTTGGAGGTAAGCATGTGCAATGTGTTTACTGGAGTTGTACGCATGCTTGCCTAAAGCATTCTTCCCATTTCCAGTGGAATGCCCCTGGAAGGTTATACTCTGCCATTTTGCTTCTTAATGTGCATGCTTGTGCCCACTCACCCAATTCCTGAATATTTTATTGGCAGCTGCTGATTACCAATCTCAAGTGTATTTATCTATTGGGAAATTGCCTCTCCTTGGCACTGGCTGGACCAGTTATCATTTTAGTATGACAACTGCCGGCCCATCAGGAAACTGCCTCCTCTGGCACTGGCTACAACCAATTGTTATTTTAGAAAGTGTGATAACTGCCGGACCATCATCTAATGGTCACCTCTGACATTTCTGGTGGTGGGATGGGGGGTAGGGCAGTTGGTGGGGAACCCTCTCCTGCCCCACTCCTGCCTGACTAGCTACCTACTGTAACAGTTTTGTATATATGGTAGTAGGAAACAGGTGTTCTGGTTCTGTTTTCTCTATGAAGAAATCAGCATGAGAGTGAAATGAAAACGCAGAATCAAAATGCTTTTTACCTGAAAACTAACAGTGATAAAGATAAGATTTCTTTTTCATTTTCAAACTTTTGATTAACTTTTTTTTAGTTATTTTTGTTGTCATGTTCATCCTTATAGCCTGATATGTTACTTCTTAGTTTATTTTATCTGTATTTCCTTTTAGGGTTTCTCCTTTCCTTCCACTTAGTCTCAGGTTTATTTTCTGAAAAGACATTTGTAGGCTTTCAAAGGTATGTTCTTTTTCTGCTCTCTGAATAACCCAAATCAGCTTTATGACTGTCCGAGAGCTGTTAGCATCTGAGGAAAAAATCATAATTGTCCATGTCATCTCTGTAATTTCTGAACCCCTTCTGAGCTTTGGATGGTATATAGTCAAGATTTCAAACAAGCTTAAAATCCAGTAGTGGGTATAGAGCAAAAGTCTCCTCCTGTGCATAACTTTCTGTCTTAATGAGCCAGATAGATGTGTTTTGTGCCTGGAGGAAGGATTTGGTAAATCTGATAGTAGTGACTAGAGAGATCTGCATAGATATTGAAGGGACACTCAATCTAAGTCGGATGATTAGGACTTGGGTCAGCCAATCAGTTGTATTTCCCTGCTCTCAGCACATACTGATTTAATCGGAGCTATTGGGAATCAATGTCTGCAATTGAATCTTTCACTGCTTACTGTGTAATCTTGGTCAAATTACTTATCCCCTGAGTTTATTGCCTCATCTTTAAAAATGTTGATAACTTTACTATCTCATAAGAATTTTGTGAGGATTGAATGATAGAGTAGATGTGAATGCAGCTATCTTTTTTTTTGTTTGTTTTGAGACTAGAGTTTCTCTCTTGTCCTCCAGGCTGGAGTACAGTGGCGCCATCTCAGCTCACTGCAACCTCCACCTCCCGGATTCAGGAGATTCTCCTGCCTCATCCTCCTGAGTAGCTGGGATTACAGGCATGCGCCACCCACACCCAGCCAATTTTTGTTTTTTTAGTACAGACGGGGTTTCACCTTGTTGGCCAGGCTTGTCTCGAACTCCTGACCTCAAGTGATCCACCCACCTCATCCTCCCAAAATGCTAGGATTACAGCCGTGAGCTACCGCGCCCAGCCTGTGAATGCAGCTATCACAACTGGCAAACATGCAGGTACATTCTGACTACTGGAGAAAACAGCTCTCAGTTGCCCTCCACCACCAACTGACACTTGGTAGTTAACATAAATAACAGCCTGGTCAACATGGTGAAAACCCATCCATCTCTACTAAAAACACAAATTAGCCGGGCATCGTGGCACTCGCCTGTACTCCCAGCTACTCAGGAGGCTGAGACATGAGAATCACTTGAACCCAGGAGGCAGGGGTTGTGGTGAGCTGAGATCACATCACTGCACTCCAGCCTGGGTGACAGAGCGAGACTCTGTCTCAAAAGAAGGAAAAGGAAAGAGAGAGAAAGATAGAAAAGAAAAAGAAGAAAGAGAAGGGAAGGAAGGAAGGAAAGAAGGGAGGGAGGGAGGGAGGAGGGGAGAAAGAAGGGAAAGGAAGTCAGGCAAGAAATTGTTCTTAGGGGAGTCAAGAGTTTTCACCTTTCATTGAGGCCACTGGCAATCCTTTTGAGGTTCTGATGTGGGAAGTGTGAAGACAAAGATGACACTAGCATAGGAAAAGGGAAAGAGGCTGAGATTGGGAATAGGAAGAGGACAAAGCAATTCCAGGACAATAGGTGCTGAGGTCCCATCTCAAGTTCATGGCCATGAGCACAGAGGGTAGGAGCAGACCCAATATTGCCCAACTGTGCTGATGTGCTAGCACGAAAATGTAGGTTTAGAGTGAAACTAATGAAACTTCAGCTTCAAGGCTCATCACTGCACACATGAGCTCCTTTAAAGGCTCTGGGAGGGGTTCTAGTAATGCAATTGCATATTCGTATATTTTCATAAGATTTACAAAATAAAATATTTGACTGCCATTGATTAAGACGTTGGCCTCTATTCACTCCCCAACTTTCTGTCACTCTTCCCCTAGTGTTGGGGAGGTAATGGAGTGGCTACAGGCGTTAAGAGGTTCCAACTAAGGAAACTTGAGTTGGAAATCTATTTCTGCTGTGTTTTGTGGGATCTGTGCATGTGGGACACACAACAGGTTTTAGAAATAATCTTGCCCACCAGGCTAACTCTCTGAAACTGTAAAAAAGGTGAAAAGCTAGATGTTGTACATGATATAAACATGTCGTCTTGCAGCTGGCATTGAAGTAAATGGGTAATTAAATAGAGAAACAATGTTTGAAATATATGGAGCCAAATGGCCTGTGGGAAAGCCTTCCAACTCTCAGATATGTAACATTTCAAGAGGTAAATTCAATTCTCATTAATACCTAGACAAAATGGAAGTTGTGTTCTGTAAGTATATTTTCAGAAATGCACATATATAATTATCAATGCATAATCATATTTTTCTTTTTTGATGGAATTTGTGTGAAATTTATCACATTTTCTATGTATGTAGGGCGCAAAGCCTGTACAAGTACTCCTAACAGCTATACAGCTTCATGACATGTGAAGTCATGTTTTATGCATCTTAACATACTGCATCTCATTACCAGTAATAAGTTGTGAAGGCAGAAGTTTTTTAAAAAAACTATCAGTCCTGTAACACAAATTTCATCAGCCATGTTTCAGACTAAATTTTGTTTCCATTACCTTTTTAGAGATATTAGAAAATTGTCAGTATGAACAAGTGCCCTTCAAAGGTTTTACGCCAAACAAATTGTGGGAAAAGAAGAAGTATAGTGTATATCAGACAATTAATAAAACATTGTGTTGTTTACATTGATTTTGTGATGTCTATGTCAGCTTTTCAAGGTTTGTAATTTATTATAATTCCTTATCTCATTTGAAATCTTCACTTTTCTAACTAATTTTTTTATAATAATTTAGTTTTTTTATAGAGGCCCCCTAAAAATGTATAAACTTCAAGCCTCACAATACCTGTAATGGCCCCTGACAGTGAGAAAATGCAAGATAGGACAGGTGTTCTGGAAAGGGACATTAGTTCACTCCTAACACTGCTGAGAGCATCTAGTTTATTACTAAACTGGAATGAATCATTCCACAGATGGGACTACTCTCAGAAATTGACTTCTTTGCTTTTAGTGCCTAGCTATGGACTCTCTAATTCTGCGTAATGGATCAGCTGCATTCTAGAGCAGATGTTGTCCAAAGCCTTTGGGTATCTTTGTGCTTAATGACTTTCTCTTTCAAATGAGCATGAGACTTCTCAAGCCTTCCTGTTTCCTTCTAGCAATATGGGGCAATCAGGACATAGGACCTTGAGACACCAAGATAAAAGTTTGTGATGTTCTCTCTGTTATTGCTCCAAGGAAACACTTTACCTTAATTCTCTCTCTCTTTAAAAAAAAAAAAAAATTAGGGTAAACCAAGGAAATCCCACTTACGTTTTACTAATTAGAAGTTGGGCTTACATTTTTTCTGAAACAGAACCAGGTGCACTGTGTTTCAGTGATTACAAATGCAATATTAATATTGCAGATATTCACAAGGTAATATTTCAAATGCAAACTCCTATTAAGAATGTGTTCAATTTATTCTGTTACTAGCCATCAAGAATCTCTGTAAACTTCCATAGATCTTGTCATTAATTATACATTGAAAATAGTAAGGAGTAAACTAGGTTTCCACTGTGATTTTTTTTTTTCTCATGGAATTCTAAAGAGCAAGCCAGCCCAATAGATTGATTTACCATAGTATTAATTCTCATTTAAGGGACAGTTGTCATACTGCATTGGGTAGTTTCCTCTGATCTTTTTTCAGTTTTGCACTTATCAATCTCGTACTTTCTAAGGCCAAGTCCCTTGATGTTTCCCTAGGAGAAAAATGGCTTTCAATACATAGACAGTAAAGAAAAAGGTGGACAACTTCAAATCAATTTAAAGAAGAGCTAATTATTTCAAATTTGACTTGCATCCATTTATTTATTTATTTATTTATTTATTTATTTATTTATTTATTTATTTTTGTTGTGGTTGAAACAAGCTGTCCTTTAATAAGACCACCTATGTTCTGTTTCTCAACTCTCAGGAAGTTGACTTCCTGAGCTGGGGAATGAAATGCCAGAAGAACAAATAGATGAAGCTGCAGCATCTTGCTGATCTGTAAATTCAGTGTTCCTCACAGCAACTCTATGCCTTCTGCCTGGATCAGGTATCTGCTCGTTTGTGTGTTCCAATTGGGCAGCATCTCATTTCTTCCCTTTCTCTCCAAAATTTTCCTTCATTTTATTTTTTGTAGAAAGGCCTTTAAGTAATGGCTATCTTTATTCCTTTTGGAGCTCATGGTATAATAAAACATTTACCTCTGTATTTGATCTACATTTAAGTTTAGTGATTTCCTATCTTCTTGGTCAATGCTTGTACCTCTTAGGGTTCTGAGTCTGTTCTATGAAAAAGTTGCTCAGAACCTCTCCCAAAATTGCCTTGGTTTAAGTGACCTTCTGCTTACAATGTTCAAACCTTTTTTTTTTTTTTTTTTTTTTTTTTTGGCTGATCCTTACTTTTTTCCCCTCGATTTCCCTGTTCTTTATTATTCTCCCTGGCCACACTTCTGCATTTTGTTGTCATTCAAAAAAAGCTGGAGAGAGAAAAATTACCTGGTAATTCTTATCCTCTCTACTGGGAGGATAAGGTGGGACTCATTCCACCTTGACAAGATGACTACTGATGACATCAAACAAGAGGACAGATTCTGCCTAGAGACCATTGGGATCCGACGCTGGGTTGCAACCAATGGTGAAATCAGAACATCACACTTACTAGGAGAGACTTTGTGAGCCAGTTATTTCAGACCAGTAGAAGTGAATTATCGTGAACTTAGAGTAAGAGGGAAGTATTTCTTAAGTTTCTCTTGTAGTGAACTGGAGTTTATCTCTCTGCTTCTGGGAGAGGTACCAATGTAATCCTGCTTGAAATGTCATTTTGGGAAAATATTTATTCATGGCACAGAGAAGTTTGAAAACCCTTGGATGAGATCGTATATTTTTCCAGCCACCTGAAATTGAGGTTTAATCTGTATTTTTATCTGTGTTTAATGCACATTCCTCACTTCGTCCCCAGGGTTCTCCTTAATAGTTTATTTCCTGAGTCTTCCTCCACTTACTCTAACCAGGGATATATCTTCAAAGGTCCAAATGACAACAAAATTTTGTGTATATCTTGACTCTTTGATAACACACTCAGTGTCCTTCTCTCTCTCTTATGTTACTGTCTGAACTCAAGGCTTAATTTATCAAATTACATCTGACTACTATTTAGGTCCTCCATTTTCTTAGATAGGGAAGATCACCAGTTATACCAACTATAATTATTTTTATACCACACCTTTTACAAGTAAACTTTAAAATACTATAGGAACTTTAAAAATTAAAGAAAAACCAAGACAAAATGTGTCAATCATTAAATAAGTTTTTGAGATTCCAGTTAGCCAAGGCAAAAAGAGAAAGCTAATGAATTAACATTATCCAATGTTAATGGATCGTATCCATTACCAAAGGAAGGCATCAGTTCCTCAAATAGCATTTTTCTAAATTTTGATTTCTTAATGTAATTGATAGATTACAACATTTCAATAAACCTAGTATCTCCCATGTTCTCCGATACTCTCATATATCTTCAGAATCTATAAAATGGTAATAATGTAGTAGTCTCATTTTATCCAAGGGGCATATGTTCCAGGACACCCAGTAGATGCTTGAAACCATAGATAGTATTGGACTCTACATATTCTATTCTTTTCCTATACATACATACCCATGATAAAGTTTAATTTATAAATTAGGCACAGTAAGTTTGCTGAGGATAACTAACACAGAAACAGAAAGCCAAACACTGCATGTTCTCACTTATAAAGGGCAGCTGAACAATGAAAACACATGGACACAGGGAGGGGAACAACACACACTTGGGCCCTGTCAGGGGGTGGGAGTGGCAGGGAGCGAGAGCATCAGGATAAATAGCTAATGCATGTGGGGCTTAATACCTAGGTGATGGGTTGATAGGTGCAGCAAACCACCATGGCACACATTTACCTATGTCACAAACTGGCACATCCATGTATCCCAGAACTTAAATAAAATTTTTAAAAATTAGGCACAGTAAGAGATTAACAATAATAACTAACGATAAAAATAGGACAGTTATAACAATGTGTCAGCACCATTACTGTTGCCATTATTAAGTAAAATAGGTTTATTTGAACATAAGAGCTGCAGTACTGGGACAACATATCTGATAACTGAAATGGCTTTTATGTGATTAATGGGTGGGAACATCTACAGCACAGATAAACTGGACAAAGAGAAGAGTCACATCCCAGCTGGGCTGGAGTGGGATGGTGTGAGATTTCATCAAACTACTCAGAATGGGGTGCAATTTAAAACTTATGAATTATTTATTTCTGGAATTTTCCATTTAATATTTTTGGACTGAGGTTGACCACAGGTAACTGAAATCACAGAAAGCAAAACCACAGATAAGTGAGCTGGAGGTGGGGGACTACTGTAATAGTAACTATTAAAAATCAACATTTTTGTAGGTCAGAAATAGTTAAATATTGCCAATTTCTCATAGGTTAACCCCATATCTCATGGAGTTAAAAAGATCAGTTATATAGAGAAAAGTTTCTCCCACGCCATCTCCATCTAAACCTAATGATCCTTTCAATGGTTTATTGTATCTTCTTCCAGAATATCTGTATATCAATGTAAGCAAATAAAAATATCTATTCTTTATTTTTCTCCTTTTCTTGGAAAGAGTACACCATATTCACCGTTATAGGTCTTGCTCTAAAAAAAAATGTATCTTATATATCAGTAGCTTTCTGTCACCCTCCCTCCTTTTTTTTTTTTTTAATAGTGTAAGTATTCCATTTTAAGAATGTAACATGAGATACTTTACCAACCCTGACTGATGACTTTTCAGGTTTATGATATTTTTTGTAAGATGACTACTGATAACATAAGACAAATGTTTTGCTATTATAAATAATGTTGTAGTGAATAACATTGACATTATGTCTATGTATGCAGATTGTATGATTAAGATAAATTCTCAGAAGCAGAGTTGCTGAATCAAATGGTAAATATATTTGCAATTTTGATAGTTACTGCCACATTGCCTCCACACAGCCAGTTTCTGCTCCTACTGAGTATTGAATGAAAATGCCATTTCTCCACAGCATCATCAACAAAATGTGCTGTAAAATGATTGAGCTTTTTGCCAATATGATAAGGGGAAAGTACTGTTTTAGTATGGTTTTAGTTCGTATTTTTATTATTATGAATAAAGCTTAGTATTTTTTCATTTAAATATCATTTGTATATTTTTCCCCTAAAAAGTTTATTCATCTTTTTTCTCCCTTTACTTTTAAATTATGGATCTTAGTCTTATCATTTTCTGGGAGCTTTCTGTATATTAGGGAAATTAGCACTATGTTTCTAATATAAATTGTAATTATTTTCCCCAGTTATTCACCTATATTCTGACTCTGCTTATGTTTTTGTTTTACCGAGTGCAAGATTTTATTTTTATGGGTGTGAGCATATATATTTATCTGTTTTTTCTTTAATAGAGTTTAGATTTTGAGTCATAGACCTTACTCCAAGGTTATAAAAGATTTTGCTATGTTTTCTTCTAGTATCTTTATTTTTCAAAAAAGACATTCAATTATTTGACTCATATAAAATTTTTCATTTTATAGAATGTAAGATTTGGATCAACATTATTTCTTTCTTAATGTGGCTAGTTTTTCCATCATCACTTATTGAAAAGCCCAGCTTGTCAGCCTTGTCAGGTGGCATTTCAGATGCCACCTTAATTTATGTCTGTCTCTGAGTATTTATTTTGTGCATTGCTTACTCTGCTTAATCTTTCGCCTATAACACACTGTTTTCATTATGGAGAATTTATCATCGGTTTTAACGTCTGGTAGTCCTAGGCTCTTTCCAATGCTCTTCTTTTTTAGAGTTTTAGAATCACCTTTTTTAAGTTATTTGAAAAGTATCCTCTTGGTTCTTTTGAGATTACATTTCTAAATTAATTTAGGGAGAAGTAACATTTTTGTGATGAGTCTTTCACTCAAGAATACCTTTTTATTTGCTTAAGTCTCCTGACCTTCTGAAATGCTTGCCTCACATAGGACTTATACAGTTCTTGTTATTTTTACCCCTAAGCGTTATATCTTTTTTATTGGAATTAGAAATGAGATTTTTGTCTTCTATGACATTTCCTGACTTGTACATTTTCTGATTTCATGGTATACATGAAATCTATTGATTTCTGTATATTAATTTTATACTCTGCTACCTTATTGAGTTCTCTTACTGCTTGTAGTAGTTTTCTAGTTGATTTTTAAACTCCCCAAATATTAAAATCACATAATCAGAAAGCAGTGGTGGTTTTATCTCCTTTTTCATTTCATATAAGCAATATATGACTATATTATCATTGTATAAAAATGTCAAACAACCTAGAAAGATTTTGAATCACAAACTAGAATCTTTCCTAATTTCCCCAATCAACTATCTTTCCCAAATGTAACCACTCTTCATCTAAAGCTCTACAGACCTATTTCCATTTCCTTTATCTACATAAAACAATACATGTTTGTTTTATATTTTCATATTTGGAATATACTTTATATCCTATACTTTTACATAGTTGTCTTTTAAAATATTTTTTGAAACAACCACAAACCTACAGAGAAGCTGCAAGCACAAAAGAAAGAACTTATTTTACTAACCACTTGAAAGTAAGCTGCTGACCCAATAACTCTGAATACTTTAGTGTGAATTTCCAACATACAAGGATGTTATGCAATAAAATCAAAATCAGGTAATCAACATCAATGCATCAAGACTGTATATATTAGTTAGGTCAGGGAAAAAGAACCAAAAGGATAAGTGCATGTATATAAAGGGATTTATTATAAAGTATGCACTCCCATGACTTTGAAGGCTAAGTCCCACAGTCTTCTGTCTGCAAGCTCGTATAGTTTGAAGACCTGAGAACCAGAGAGTTGATGATGTGGATTCTAGTCTGAGTCTGAAGGCCTGAGAACCAGGAGCATCAGGGGTAGGAGAAGATCAACATCCCAGCTCAAGCAGTCAAGTAGAGAAAGAATTCGATCTTCCTGCACGTTTTGTTTCATTCAGGCCCTCAGCAAACTAGATGGTACCCACCCATATTGGGGAGGGCCATGTGCTTTAGTCAGTCCACCAATTCAATTGCTAATCTCTTCCAGAAACACCCTTAAATAACATTTTACAGGATATCTGGGCATCCTGTGGCCCGGTCTAGTTGACACGTAAAATTGACCATCACACCATCTAATCTGAGACCCCATTCACATTTCAACGATTATCTCAATATTCTTTGTGGCAAAAGGAGCCAGTTCAGTGTCACATGTTGCAATTAGTTGTGATGTCTGTTTACCTTCCTTCAGTCTTTCCTTGACTTTCATGACCTTGACATTTTTGAAGATTACTCTCAATTATTTTGTAGAATGTCCCTTAGGTAGGTCTGATTTTTTTTCCCTCATGATTAAGTTCAGATTACACACAGGAAAACAGGGACATTGAACATTTTTAAGTGCTGTTGGTTATCTATATATCTTCTTTTGTAAAGTGCTTGTTCAAGAGTTTTATCTACTTTAAATGTTTTTATTTTATTGTATTTATGATTATTAATTGTTTTTATTAATTTATAGTAATTTTTATATTCCAGATATAAATCCTTGGCCAAATATACCATTTAAGAAAATCTTAGTCTGTGATTTGTCTCTTCATTTTCTTAATGGTAACTTTTGAGGAACAAGAAGTTTTACATTTTGATAAAATATAATTTTTCTATTTTCTATGGTTAGTAATTTTTGTGTCCTGTCTAAAACAATTTTTGTCTACCCTACATTCATGTTGACATTTTTTTCTGTTTTCCTTTAACACATCCAAATTCTAGATTATACATACGGCTTTATGACTCATTTCGAATTGATTTTTGTGAATGCCATTGGGTAAAGTTTCAAGGTTCTTTTATTCTTTTTAAATTTAGAATGGATATCCTGTTCTGTTGATCCTAGTGCCATTTTGTTGACAATACTCTTCTTTACCCCCATGAATTGCTTGATACCCTTCTGCTGTCTTTGTTAGGGTAAAATTCATATAACATAAAATTAACCATTTAAAAGTGTACAGTCCAGTGGCAGTCAGTGCCTTCCTGAGGTTGTGCAACCATTGCCTATATCTAGTCCATAAATTTTCCATTGCTCCCAAAGGAGACCCCATGTCCATTAAGCAGTCACTCCCCCATTCTGCCTTCCCTGATACTTTTTTTTGAAAATCAATGAGCTGACCAATATGTTCCGGTCTCAATTTTGTTCTACTAACCTATATATCTAGTCATATGCCAGCAAAGCAAGTCTTTGGTCACTGTAGCTTTATAGCAAGTCTTAAAATCATGTTGTAAGTTTTCCAACTTTATTATTTTTCAATATTATCTTGACTACTCAAAGTCCTTTGTATTTCTCTATAAATCTTAAAATTAGCTTGTCATTTTCTATTAAAATAAAGCCTGGTAATATTTTGGTTCAGAAGGTATTGAATTTATAAATAAATTCAAACTTTGAGAAGTATTGACATCTTAACGATATCGAGCCTCTGAATCTATGAATATGTTATATTTACACACTTGTTTAAGGCTTCTTTAACTTTTCTCAGGGAGTTTTTAGTTTTCAGTGAATGAAGCCATTTAATCCTAGAGTTTTCTTTGTGAGAATGTTCTAATTACACATGATTTTAAAAATAAATCTAATGTTATTCTCTATTTCTTCAGTATATTTTGGTAAGTTGTGTTTTTTAAACGTATTTCTCCAGTTCATATGTTATTCAATAGTTGGCATTATGTTGTTCTTAACATCCTCTTTTTATCTCTTCAGTATTGGCAAGCTGTGTCATAACATTCCCTCTTTATTCCTAAAATTGGTAATTTGTGTTTTATCTCTTTTTGTCTTGATCCAGTTTTGCTAAAGGTTTATCAATTTTATTAATATTTTCTAAAAGTGAACTTCTTGTTTTAGCTTTTCATATTGTTTTCTATTTCCTTACCTTTCATTTATCTTTATTATCTCCTTTCTTTTACTTACTTTAGGTTTGATTTTCTCTTCTTTTTGTAGCTTCTTAAGGTGAAATCAATTGAGCTTTATTTTATAGCCTTGCATAAAATGTTTCATCCTGGTGAATGTTTAATGTACATTCTGCAGTTGTTGGGTATAGATTTCTATGTTCAATATAGAAACAAACCTACATGTCAAGTTGGTCTATTCCTTAGATACTTAATACATATATAATTTATTTCAATACCTGGTAAGAGGTGGGTATCTAATTTTTTTCAAATATATACCCCTTGTTTTAATATCTGTCACAGTTGATTTGAAATGACACCTTTTTCATATCATTACTATCCTCGACTTCTATATTACTTCTTGGGAGTCACATACACAATTACCTAATATAAGAACTGCCATAAAGAACCAGTCTTACCAATAATTTACTAGAAGTGTATTTTATTTATTTATTTATTTATTTATTTATTTATTTATTTATTTATTTATTTATTTATTGAGACAGCTCTGTCGCCCAGGCTGGAGTGCAGTGGCGTGATCTCAGCTCACTGCAACCTCTGCTGCCCGGAGTCAAGCGATTCTCCTACCTCAGTCTCCCGAGTAACCAGTAATTCAGGTATGCGCCACCTTGCCTGGTTAATTTTTGTATTTTTAGTAGAGATGGGGTTTCACCATGCTGGCCAGGCTGGTCTCAAACTCCTGACCTCGTGACCCGCCCGCCTAGGCCTTCCAAAGTGCTGGGATTACAGGCGTGAGCCACCGCACCCGGCCCTTAGGGTATTTTATAAACAGACATAATTCATCAACACCATTAGTTCCTCTTTGCTTCTCCATGGTATTCTAACCTATTATATATATATGTGTGTATATATATAATATACAATGTGAACATATATGTTTAAATATTTACATATTTTATATATTCTACCTTATATATATTTTAACTACAAAATTACTAGATATGTTTAGGGCCATGCTAAAAGCCACAGCAACCCAACTATATAACAAATCACTATGAAATCAATGACAAGGACAGCGCACTTTTATAGAAACCATGATTTTGCTAAATAAATGCTCAACCTATAATAAGTAATTTGAATTGGCTTGAATTGCTGACATCTTTTCTTAACTCCTGGAGATAATACTTGTCAGAGTGCTGGGGTCTTCCTCTGATTGAACTGTGAATGAGTTCATAACATGTTCCCTTGGAAGAACTTGTTCTTTTTAGCTTGGTGCATCCCTCTGAGCTTAGCTAGCAGGAGTAGAAAGCACTATTCCCATGAAAGAGATGGTGTGAGTAGACCATGTTGGCTGTTTGGGTGTGGGCATGTGGTAATTGACTAACAAATGCTTTCTCTGGCCTCTGGGCTTTTTATCTTTTCCTCAGCCACCTTGGATAGAATTAATTATTTTCTCTTAGAGGCTTAGAACTCTCTTAGGATGTTGATCACATACTGGTTTGTCCTATTATTTGAAGACATGAACTACTCTACCTACCAAAATGTTCCTTTAGAGGCCAGAGGCCATGTCTTTATCATAATTGTAGGTGTCACTGAACCTGGCCCTCTGCTTTAGCAGTTGGGAAGTGTAAAGATTAAGCCCTCTGCGGGCACACTGACTCACACCTGTAATCCCAGTACTTTGAGAGGCTGAGGTGGACAGATCACGAGGTCAGGAGATCAAGACCATCCTGGCCAACACGGTGAAACCCTGTCTCTACTAAAAATACAAAAATTAGCTGGGTATGGTGGCACGTGCTTGTAGTCCCAGCTACTTGGGAAGCTGAGGCAGGAGAATCACTTGAACCTGGGAGGCAGAGGGTGCAGTGAGCCGAGATCACGCCACTGCACTCCAGCCTGGCGACAGAGAGAGACTCCTTCTCTGAAACAAAAAAAAAAAGTAAGCCCTCTAGATCACCAGAAAACAGGGTCGGAGACACAGTGCTAGGGCTGTCAAGCACGGATGCTGCTTTCCTTCCTCGGAGAAGGGTGTGGCCTATATGATAATGTATTTGGCTCCAGAACCAGCTCAGTCTGAACCTTTTAAACAAGAATGCCAGGATTGTCAGAGTTATTGTGGACTGGACAATGGAAGTCCCAAGTTTAAAAGGCAGTGGGAAGGCAAGTATTCAAGGTGTTTTCTGCTCAGGATTCCTAACCAGGTCAGAGAGTGTCACCAGCAGCTGTGCACCATCTGTGAGTCAAAGCTTCAGGGAGAAGCTCTCCTAGACAGGCTGTATCTGATTCTGCTCCATACTGCTGCCTGGCTTCCCTTAATGTCAGGCTCCTTGGCTGAATAAATTAGGAATTTCAGGTCTATGTATGTAGTATTTTCCCACCAATCTCTAATCTGCATGAAATGCCAGAAAGAAAATTGAAAGCACTGTGGTAAAGGAGAGAAGAGAAGCTGTAAAACAATGAAATGTGCCAAATGAGACTATAGGGAAATCCAGCTGGATGCCTAGACAGAGTGTGTGTTTTCTCTACTTAACTTACTGGATGAAACAGTGGCGGTGGTTGTTAGTGGGGGTGGGGGGAGATGATTGTAAATTAGGGGGAAAAATTGAACCAAATAGCTACTTTGCATTCAGCACACAGTAAAAAAATATACTCAGAGGAGCCCTCGATTTTAAGAACCAATTGATCACGGCACGTTTTGGCTATGAGTAAAGAGCCACATATGACCAAAGCTGTGTGCAACAGCAAAGCACAGCAAACTGTGGCTGCCAAGACTTCCGATTACACCATTAATAAACTTCATTCCTTGCTTAAGTATCTCAAACTCTCTAGCACTCTGTTTCCTGTTCTACTAAGGGAAAGCTTGAACCAGGCTCTTTTAGTCCATTTATTTGTCTCCTAAAAGTCAAACACAGTGCAAAGACATGAGCAGACTATGATGAGAGAGTCCCTGCTCTTGAGGTCACATTCCAACCAGGAGAAAGTTCAGTATCTATCTTTATACACAGCCAAATCCAATAAAACTTTATCAAATTCTTTTCATTTAAAAATCCTATGGCTTCATGGAGGAAATGAGATTAATAAAAGTAGCTTGAAAATTAAAAGCACAGTACTAATGCAGGTTTTATCATCATCACCCCAAAACCTGAAAAAAACCAATTTACATTGAATTTGCAATTGATTCATGGTTTTGTTCTTCACGAGGAAGAAAAAGTTGCAGACAGTATGTTGTAGCAAAGATTTATGCAGAGAAAGGTGTACCTCTGTTTATGGAAAAATAGTTTATTATTCATTTATCCACTCATTGCTGGATGTTTTAAGCAGATTTGTATAAACTTTGGGCACCATTTGGATATAGTTAGTGGTGGTTTAGCTATGGCGTTCCAAATATACCCCCTTAAATAAAATTATCTCCCATGGCAGAAAAAGTTATGTCTGCTCTTGGTGTGAATATAAATAAGTAGTATTAGAAGGCAGTTTGGCAGATGCAACCAAAATTTCTACCAAAATGTTGAAAAAGAGTATAATTTGTAACCTAGCAATTCAAATCCTATTCAAAGGTAATGTACCTGCCAAGGCATATATATAAGGCTCTTTGGTGCAGCACTTTTAAAAGCAAAAAGTAGAAATGGCCTAAATTCCAGAACTACAGGAATAGTTAAAATGCTGGGCCACTGAATCCAATGAAATACATCTAGAGATACAAACGTAAAAATATCTCATGGCACATTACTACATTTAAAAAAAGCAAGTCACAGAATAATACATTATTTTTTACTTAATTTATGTAAAGGAAGCTATACACATGTCTGTATACACTAAGCTATATCCAGTAGTTACCTGAAAAAAAAAAAAATTCTAGTGAACTATAAAAGAAGAACTTAGTTTTTTGGGGTTTTTTTTGACTTCTATAGTTTTGTGTTTCTTGACTCTTTTAATGAGAATGTTGTCTTTTATTACTTGTGAATGATTTTCATTTTAATAATTAAAATATAGAGAAAAATAGAGTAATGATTCATGTTGCCTTGTTCTGTCAAATTAAATGCTGTGCAAGAATACAGTGGTTAAGAACATGAACTTTATATAGTCAGACTAACCTGTGATCCAAATCTGCTCCTAATACTTATCAACTATGTGACTTTGTGTAAGTCATGCAACTTCTCTGGTTCTCCATTTCTTCATCTGTACAATAAGAATAATAAATGTAAATGAGATAATTTGCATAAAGTATATAGCACAGTATTTGGTATGTAGGAATTATTTGAAAAGCAGTAGCTGCCTTTCTTCCCCTTGTCTTTTTAAAAATTATTATTTATATCACCCTCATCATCACAAAATGATTTCAATTAAGTATACACATGGACTTTTAAAACTCACTTTACCAGTATAGATATGTATATGCATACTCATATGCTGTGGGGAGGTCCTATTTCATGCATATGTTTAGAATGGCCACTTTTTTCCATTAAGTTCCTATGGTACTGAGCCAGCGAGCCATGAGCTATACTGAATAAAGTCCCAGGGAATTGACTTTTTGCAGCATTACCCTAAGCCCTGGGTAGGACAGGCTTCTGCCTTGGGCTCTGTATGTTAGAGGACCCACATCATCAAGTCCCTGAGACGCCAAATTATATACCCTATATCCTTGAAAGAATAGTTATTTGTGGAGATTTGCGGGCTTAGTCACTGCCAACTTTGGAAACAGACACTAATTTGGAGTTTGAGGAGGATTTGGGTGGCAGGAGCACTTGATAAGAGAAAAGGCAACTTAATTAATTTATCCAGTCTTCCCTCTCTGATATCATGAGTGCTCTAGATTTTTGTCTAACAAAGTATCTTTTCATAGTAGTGTTCAGCATCCATTTTCTTATTTCTCTTTGTGTTCTAATTTGTGATTCAGGAAGGACCCATGAATTAACACTGTGCTACAGCACACATGGTAACTGAGGAACATTTTGTAATATATAATAATCCAATAAGTGTATAAATACACACATATATAAATATATAATATATAATACATATATACATTATATATAATAATATGCACAATATATATTATATATCTATATAATGCCAGAAATTTGATATCACCTCTTTACATTAGCAACCAAAAGGACATTGAAAGCTAGAATTCTCAAGTTTTAATTTTATACGAAAAGTAATAAAAATCAATAAAACACAAATATTAAAAACAGCTTTTCTTTGCTTTTTAAATGTTTTATGTTTTTAATGGACAAATAATAATTGTACATATTCCTGGGGTATGTAGTGATGTTTCAATACATGTAATGCAGAGTGATCAGAACAGGGTAATTAATTAGCATATTCATCATCTCAATCATTTATCATTTCTTTATGTTGGGAATGTTCGATGTTTTCCTTCTAGCTATTTGAAACTATAAATTTTTAGCTATAATCATCCTACAGTACTATAGAACACTAGAACTTATTTTTCCTATCTGGCTATAATTTTGTATTCTTTAACAGATCTCTCTTTCAAAATAAAAGTTAATCAATGACAAGCCTCCGAAAATGGTGCTAACATGGCTGATAAAGGAAAAGGTGCACAAGCCAAGAGTTTGCTCCAAATCTATCTTTGTACTTGGCACTCTTTTGTGTAATTCCTTTGTGCTTATTACTAGGAGGCATGGCCTTTACTGTGCCCTTATCCATGACATTATTGGGAATAGTACATAGATTATATGTAATATTTTCTGGTTCTTTTAAAATATGAAATGTTTTGATTAAACCTTACAGCATCTCTTGGACACATAAAGAAATACAAGTTGCACCAAGAGAGTTAAGCAAAAGATGCTCAAAAAGAAAATTGTAGTCATCACAGAAAATCAAAGTAATTTATAATTAGAATAAATTTTATAATTAGTATAATTTGTGCACAGTTATTTGGTATAAATGGATGGGTGCTATTAATAATGCTAGAAAAAGTTTACAAAACCCTAAACAAATCTAGTCTTCTTTTACTTTTAAAAGATTTAACACACACACATATTATATGTATATAACATATCATAGTATTTTAATTATGAAATGTATTTTTATAAGTAATAGAAACTACATGTGAGTTACCCAATAAAAATGACATATCAATAAAATATAAGAAAATTTGAAGTTGGAAACAAAAATGACTCTAAGGAGAAACAAATAATATGTGCAAATAATCCTGAAACTAATTTTTTGTATTTTTAGTAGAGATGGGGTTTCACCATGTTGGCCAGGCTGGTCTCGAACTCCCGACCTCAGGTGATCCACCCACCTCAGCCTCCCAAAGTCCTGGGATTACAGGCGTGAGCCATCGCCCCCAGCAACAACAACATAATTAGTACATTTTCTGAAATAAAGGAAAGACAGTAAATTCTGTGAAATAAATATATAATAATTTATGAATTTTGTATGTCTTTATTACTCATCCTAACATCATCAGCCTTTCAACAGAATACCCAGACAGACCATCTGATATTTTGCCAACTTTCAGTTAAATAAAAACCACAGCTTTCTAATACCTATAAAAATTTTGTAGTAATGAAGGTGTATTTGTCAAAATAGGAGAACAGAACATATTTGGCTTAACAATTTGTAGCATGAAATATAACTTTGAAATAATTGGACATATGCTTCTTGGGTCTCCATTTATGTTCTTATCCGGAGCCCTGAAAATTTTAGGGGTGGGCTGATGTGTTATACTTACACAGGTGACCCTTCTACCCATACAAGGAGCAAATAATCATAAGTGTTGCTGGTCTTACCACAGGGAAAGTAAAGCATCCTGCTGGAGTGAGGAGTGAGGCATTGCTGGTTTTCTACAGAAGCACTGGAGCATTTCAAGCCCTTGGGCTTGATTCATGACATTCTTTCTGTCTAAGTGACTATAGAGGAGGAAAATACCCTCTCCCCCACATTCATCCAGACACTTCCTATTCCCTCTTCATGTGCCAGTGTTGTGGTGTGAATTGTGTTCCCTAAAAAGATATGTTAAAATTCTAACTCCCTGTGCCAGTAAATGTGATCTTATTTGGAGATACGGACTTTGCAGATCTAATCAAGTTAAGATGAGGTCATACTAGAGTGGGGTGGGTCCAAAATCCAATAATTGGTGACATCATAAGAAGACTGTGAGAAACACACAGAGACCCAGGGAAGAGGCCATGTGAATGAAGATGGAGGCAGAGACTGAATTTAGGTTCCCACAAACCAAGGAATGCCAGAAACCACCAAAAGCTGGAAGAGGAAAAGGAGGATTCTTCCTTACAGACTTCAGAGAGAGCATGGCCCTGAAAACACATTGATTTCAGACTTTCAGCCTCCAGAATCATGAGAGAAAAAATGTCTGTTGTTTTAAGTCACAGCAGCTGTAAGAAACCAGTACAAGTATCACTGTGTTTTAAGCCTGTGGGCCTGACTCATGAGTGTCTATCAGAAATGCCCTCTCCTCTATATTCACTTAGATGTTTCATATTTCTCCTTTGCATGTCATTCATGGCTTTCAGGAAGACTTTTTTGGCAGCCCAGGGCAGGTCTGGCTTTATGCTACCAGCAGCCCAGGGCAGGTCTAGCTTTATGCTGTCAGATGGAGTGGGCTATAAGTAGAATGTGACCAGGCTGATGGTGATGCTGCTGCTTCTAGCCTGGCATCATACTGGTTTTCCTCTGCAGTTGAGAAGAGTCATGTGCAAGCTCGTGGCAGCAGCAAGTCCTCCTAATATGTCCCTGGTATCAAACTAACTCATTAGACTGTGGTAGCTGTGGTTGACTCCTGGTTTCTCCCAACTCCACCCTTTTGGCAGGCAGCAACCCTGGCCAGCAGCTGCTCATGGTCTAGGAAGGACAGCTGTCTTAACACCCATTCATCTGTAGAGAGCAGCCTTTTGGATCAGCGGATGGCTCCACCAGATGCTCAGCTTGTTTTCAGTTCTGGAGTCTGAAATCCCCAGTGCCATCTACCTGGCATCAGTCTCAGGTGCAGCATTTTCATAAGGACCCTGATGTCAGCAGCTGCTTGTGTGGGTAACACTAGGTGAAATCATCCACTTATGTTCTCAGGTTAAGAGTTGATTAGGCCAATTGTATCCAGATCATTTTCCCTTATGAACAATGGCAGCTGCATGGCACATTTTTCAAAAATTTAGTCTAAAATACATGAAAAATATACTGTTTTCCTTTTTCTTGGAAATGGGAAAATAGATTTGGACTCAGTTCCTGAATTATATTTTCTCTCTCCCTGGGTTTCAATAGCAAGCCTAATGTAACTGTGTGTAAAAAGAAGTATTTTAATTTGGAGGGAAGGAGTTTGCCCTCACCACAAATCAACATTCTTTTCTCTATAAAACACTTGAGCTTGCATATGCAAATGAACCCCATGTAGGCATAATAATTAGTCATTCTTTCACAAAGAAATAATTGATGAACATTGTGGTATATGACAGACAGCATTAAGATACGTCAAGATTCTTTTGGATCTCTCAGCTTGTCAAAAAGCAGATGTCGATTTTGTGGCCTTGCTGGTAAAACATTGGACTCTTTCTCTTGGTGCACAATTTAGTCACCTTCTATAATTTGCTTTGAAATGAACAAGATCTGGCATAATATATCTTCTATTTAATGAGCAATATTACAAACAAGATTAAAAGAAATGGCTATGAAGCTATTGTCTTTGCAAATTGAATTTGGCAAGAGACGACTACAGACAAGTAATGAACTTTCTAGATACGTCACAGGGACAGATCATCATACTCCAGAATGGCATAGCTTTCTTTACAAACTTTAGTAAATGTATGGGAGAGCTTGTCATTCAAATACTAACAATTACAGAGATTCTAGGATGAATTCCAATAAGCTCATGTGGTTTAATTTTAGATGCAAACAGAAAGAAATCATTATTCACATAATTTTTGTTGTTAACCTTTTGGAGTAAAGTTGACAGAGTTGGAAAATCTGTACATTTAAAAAGTGTTACTGTTTATGATTACTGCGTTAGTCTGTTTGGACTGTTATAACAAAAATATCCTGGATGGGGTTGCTTTAACAACAAACATTTATTTTCCACGGTTCTGGAGGCTGGGAGGTCCAAGATTGAGGTGCCTGCAGATTCTGTGTATGGTGAGGGCCTGCTTTCCAGTTCACAGACAGCCATATTCTCACTGTGTTCTCACAGGGTTGAAGGGCAAGGGGCCTCTCGAGAGTCTCTTTTTACAAACTGTGCTTATCCCATTTATGAGGGCCTCACCTTCATGACCTAATCACTTCCAAAAGCCCTACCTCTAAATACCATCACATTGGGGATTAGGTTTCAACACATCAATTTTGGGGGAGCCATAGAGATTCAGTCCATAGCAACTACTAATGTTAATAATAGCAGTTACCATTTACTGAGTAGTTACATATGGTAGCCACTCTATTTAGTGCTTTCCATTTAATCCTCACTGCCATAGAAAAGAGATAAGTAACATTGTTATTCCCATTTTCAAATTAGCAATGTGAGTGTTTTAACCATAAACTTGTCCGAGATCAAGAGTTAGAAAAGAGAAGAGTCAGAATTCCACGTGTGCCCCATGACTTGAGATTCTGCACTTTTATTTGCAGGGTGAAACATCTCACAGTGGAAGAGGAGCATTCTGTGTTGAGAATTTCCATTGACGAAGCCAACTGAGTGGCCTGATTCCCTTGGACCAGCAATCTAGAGCTAGGGAAGATGTTGCCCCAAGGAAGAGGCACAGCAGACACTTGGCTCTCCTCTTGGGTTTCTGCTTTCTCTGAGAAAACAGAAGTTTGAGGCCTCTAGAAGCACTGCATTCCCTCCAAAGGGAGGTTGTAGATACATTAATTAATATGATTTTAATTCAAAACTTCCTGAGGCAGATAATTCTAAATGATTATCCCAAAAATATTTCCAACACCCTTCTTTTTACCACCCACTGGCCCCCAAATCCTCAATTTTCCAGTCTCCCTTGAGCTAAGTGTGGCCCTATGACTCACTTCCAGCCATGAAAACAAGTGCAAATCTGTTAGGAGTATGTTCTGGGGCAATTTTTGCTCTCCTGATGAAGACAAAGGCTGTTGATCCACTGAACCCACCCAGGTAATCACTTATTTTGTTCTTGTTCTAAGAGAAAAATGACCCCAACTATTAAAGTTACTGTGAGTTGATTAGTTTGTTTCTACTACCAAATATATTCCTAACTGCTACAGCTTTCAATATTTAATCATATTTAAAATTTTTCTTATGCAGATTAAATAGGTCAACAGATAAGGTAATTAGCATAATATTATCACCATTTTAAAGGCAAGGAGGAGGAGGCAGGCATGGTGGCTTACATCTGTAAATTCCAGCAACTCCAGAGCCTGAGGTGAGAGGATTGTTAGAGGCCAGGAGTTCAAGACCAGCCTAGGCAACATAGAAAGACCCCCATCTTTACAAAAAATTTAAAAAGTGTGCCTGTAGTCCTAGCTACTGGGGAGACTGAGGCGGGAGGATCACTTGAGCCCGGGAGTTGGAGGCTGCAGTGAGCTATGATCACAACACTGCCCTCCAGCTGAGTTACAGGGTGACATCCCCATCTCCAAACAAAAAAGATAAGGAGAATACAATCTAGGGTGACATAGCTACCAGTGTAAGAGCTGGAGCTGGTATTCAAGCCTTCCAGCTCCTGCCTGGGTGCGCTTTAAAACACTTAGTGAAGAGGCCTGAGCGGTAACCATCAGGGATGTGGATGTTGTGGGTTTTTTCCTCATCTTTTCCATTAGATCCACATAGAACTCAAATATCACTGCAGATTGATTTCAAACAGGGAAGGAAAAAAATACATTCGATATCCCCTGAAAGATGAAGGGAATCATTTATGGAATAGAGAGAGTTAGATTACCAGATGTAATGAATATGCAAGAGAATTCTTCAAGCACACAGAACAGAGAAATGGAGAAAGATGAAAATAAACTTCTATTATGGTAGTGAATTGGCTAAGGAATTAGCACAGGCAAAGGGAAAAGGAAATCACCTAAATATTTCAGTGTGCTCATTTTATTCAAACGTAAGCAAAGAGAGCTTAATGAATGCAGCCTGAGTGGAGAGAGAGAAATGAAAAAGAGAGAAAGAAAAAATAATGAGGAGAGAGGAAGAAAGAGGATGAGAACTTGAGATAACTCTAAACTGGAGCAACCATGTGGATTCCTTAACTGGAGGAACCAGGAATCAACATACATAATATAGATTTCCACCTTTTCTTCTTCCTATCAAGAAATCTAAATGGAGTCTTTAAAAGGTTCCTGTTTTGGGAGGGGAACAACACACACTGGGGCCTGTCGGGGTGGTGCTGGGGAAAAGAGAGCATTAGGAAAATTAGCTAATGCATGCTGGTCTTAATACCTACTTGATGGGTTGATAGGTGCAGCAAACCACCATGGCACACGTTTACCTATGTAAGAAGCCTGCATATCCTGCACATGAACCCCAGAACTTATAAAAATAAAAATAATTTAATAAAAGATTGTGTTTAAAGTCCTTTCACTGGCATTTGGAGAAAGTTGAATGATGTTCTACGTTGATGGCTGCAGGCAGTCAACTTTGTGATGTAGACAGAGGCTCTCTTTGGCAAAGATGTTAACTCCACATAGCCTGATATCTAGCTAGCTTTGGCCCAAGGGCATTGAAATGTACATTTAAAAAGCAAATGTTTGAGAGGCATAAGCCATTGCCACTCAAAGACATACCAAATCAGAACGTTCCATAGATGTCTAAGCCAAAAGATGGGTAGAGGACAAAGAGTTTGGGTGTGAAGGCAGTGACACAAGTTTGGAGCATGAGGCTCTGATTAGCAGGCCTGGCTGCAGTGCCATGGAAGAGAGGGTTAAAGGTATTCAGATGAGATGCACTACCTGGCTCAGAGGACAGAGGGATGATCAAAGAAAAGTTTGTCCAGCCCTATCCAAAGTGGATTTGTTTTAAAATCGTGTAATGACTCTGATCCCTGAAAGATCTTATCTACAACACAAGTTGTAGTTACCATTTTCATATCAGTGACTCACAAAAGTATATCTCTTGTCTGATCCTTTCCTTTGAGCTATATTCCTTGGTTTCTGCTGCAGAATGAATAACTTCAGAAGCTTAGTGGTTTATGACAATGCTCACAGGTCTGCAGATCAGCTAGGCAAGGCACTGCTCAGCTGGATTAGGCCAGACCCAAGCACCTGGTTGTGTTTGGGTCAACAGTGCATCTTAATTCTAAGGCTTGGGCTAGAGGGGCAGTGGCTTGCTAAAGCATGCTCTTCTCATGAAAGATCACAAGAGGACAAGCCAAACATGAAAGCATGTTAAAAGTCTCTGTTTGCATCTTGGCCACTAACCTTCTACTGACCAAAGTAAGTTTCAGGGCCAAATTTCAAATCAATAGGTGGGGAAACATACCCCTCCCACTAGGAAAGTTACATGGCAAAGACTGTGAGTGTAAAATTCTATTGCAAGTGAGTGAAGAATTGGAAACAAAAATCCAACATGCCACAGAGCTCTAACCCCATTTATCTAGGTGCCTAGGAGAGATAAATGCATTTTGATATCTCTAAGTCACTTTAAATTCAACATGAGCAAAACTACACTTATGATCCATCTCCTCCTCACTCCATACATGCACACACAGCCCATCCCTCCTTCAGCTTCTTCTGTCTTGGTGGATGGCACCACCATCCATGCACCTACATGGATAAGCCAAACCCTAGAGTCACCCTTGACATCCCTCTCTCCATCACCCTTTCTAAACTAATCAATTGCCAAGGCTTACTGATTTGTTTTCTAAATATCCCTAGAGTCCATCTTTCTCCATTTCTAATACCACTATCCTTTGCTCAGGCTGCTATTTTTGCCTGTGTTCCTGCAGTACATCCTGTCTGGTTTCTTTACATCCATTCTCACCCACTTCTATCACAGCCTTTGCACTATAGACAGTGATCATTTTAACAATGCATATATATCTTATCATTATCTTGTTTAAAGCTGTCCAGTTGCTACCCGTTATCCTCATGATAGCTATCAAAGTCTTAAACGTGGCCTATAGGACCTGCATGATCCAGCCTCTTCCTAACTGCCATCCCATTCTATAACCCATTCTGTCCTTGCCCCCTGCACCCTGGTAACACCCGCTTACTTCAGTTCCTTCTCAGCTCTAAGCTCCTCTGATGCAGGGCCTTTGCCTGTGCTGCCCTCTGTTCTAGGTAGCTCTTAACCACATTCTTTGCCTATTTGAGTTTGATTCGTTCCTCCTATCTAAGCTCAAGTGTCTCTTTCTTGGAGAAGCTTTTTTCACTCATAAAGACTATAACAGATCTTTGATTGTCCTCTCTTCACAACATACTTTTCCTTTTTGGCCCTCAACACAGGTTTTATTGTTATGTGATTGCCCAGGAAGGAAATCCATGAAGGAATTGGCTATAGGGGTGCTGGGCATGTGGGAAACAATTGGTGGAAGCCACTGCCATCCCTGGCACTGGAAGGGATGAAGGGGAGAGGTGGCGTCATCAGAAACCGAGAGCTGGAGAAAGCCTCATGGGTGATGGGAGGAGAAGTAGTGATGGGGAAAAACATCCCTTGGCTTTTCCCTTCCTCCTCCCCTCCAATCTCCTGCCAGAGTCTTCTGCTGACTGAACCTACCAGAAAGACAGAAGGAAAAGGAAATATAGCAGAGCAGGGGAGGAGCAGAAAACAGCTCTGAGAACAAACAAGCATAGGCTCATGACTGCAGTTTACGTATTTGTTTATGTGGTTATTTGTACACCATCTGTCTCCCATACCAGACTGCACCAGGGCTGTGTTAATGTTACTGGCCACTGATTCCTCAGTGCTTTTTACAGGGATTAATATTGATCCTTAATATTTGTTGAATTGATGAGTCAATGAGAGATCTCTAAGAATGGAAAAATAGGTATGTATTAAAGGTCTAGTGGGCACTATCTTGAGAAGGAACATATTTTCTCCCTCTACCTCTCCCTATCCCCTTTCTTTTCCAGAGGTTTCTAGTTAGAACTTCCCATCCACAGTTTTGTTGTTGGCGAAATGACAAAAGTATGAAATTGTGATGCTAGTTGTCCATATTCACACACACACACACACACACACACACACACACACACACAGAGTTTCTTTCTCTTCCCTTAGTCACAAGGGCAGGGCCCTGCGGAAGGTCTTTTGTAGTTTGCAGAACCTGTTTGTGACACCGAAGAATCTGTGGGAAACCAGATGCCAGCCTCTTGTTTTCCAAGGGGAATATTAAATAGCGGCTATCAGTCACTCCTCTGACTTTGAACAAAATTGTTTAAAAATCAAAGTGTTTATGTCCATAACCATGTCACCAAATGATCAAACCAGGTTATTTGCAAATGTGTGTGTTTATTTATTTATTCATTTTTGAGATGGAGTCTAGCTCTGTTGCCCAGGCCGGAGTGCAGTGGTGCGATCTATGCTCACTGCAACCTCTGCTTCCCAGGTTCAAGCAATTCTTCTGTATCAGCCTCTTGGGTAGCTGGGGCTACAGGCACATGCCACGACGTCTAGCTGATTTTTATGCTTTTTAGTAGAGATGGAGTTTCACCATGTTGGCCAGGCTGGTCTCGAACTCCTGACCTCAAGTGATCCGCTCACCTCGGCCTCCCAAAGTGCTGGGATTATAGGCATGAGCCACCGTGACCGGCCTTAATGTGTTTTCGACCCTATTTTCAGAATCTGTCATGAAAGTCTTTTAGACTGTTTTGGGGAAGCATTGATATTTGGGGCAAGCTATCATTTGGAAATTACAACTTTAAGGAGAGATTTTTATAACCATAGCCATGGATGGGGCGGCGATGGTGGCCAGAATCTCAGAAATAGTGAGACAAGTCTCCAGGCTTTATTGCCAACTGATTCTACCTGCTATGTAAAACTGTGTAAGAACCTCCCAGGATTCCCATCTTGGTGTTGGTAGGAGAGTAAGGCAGACATAGACCAGGGTCAGGGGCCCATGAACACTTCCTTGCTTTTAGTGTTCTTTCCTTGATACCCTTAGTGACTAATGTGGGAAAGGCAGTGGTGTTCCTCAAACATCCCAGTTGCTTCCTCACGTTTTTCAGCACCTGCACAGGTAGGCAGGGTTACAAGACTGGTTCTGGCTCAGGGACTGTGACTGAAGAAGATGTGTGTCATTTCCAGGCCAACGCATAGACAAGCCACCGTGGCACCTGAACTGGACTTGTGTTGAAATGCACAGCTTGCATGGCTGAGTAACACTGGAGGGAAAGTGTTCTAGAGACTTATTTGGACCCACAGCAGAATTTGTATGAGCAGGAGACCTCTGTTATGTTAGGCTACCGAGCTTATTACTATAGCATAAGCTGGCCTATTCTGACCTATTCTGACCAATGATGTGTGGATACAGTAAAAGAAGGAAGACTTCTAAAGCTTTTGTCTGGTTGTATTGTTCTGCCTTTTCTTCTGTTGATTCTCTTTCCTTTGAGAGTGTAAGGAGTACATTGGGGTGTGTGATGTTATTATATATATATGATTTATATATATATATATATCATATATATATGTTATATATATATATATCATATATATATGTTATATATATATATATATATCATATATATATGTTTTCATCCTTCCTGACTCATAACTCCCATAGCCCTTGTTATAGGCTTTTCTTATAATGTTGGGGTGAATTGAGCCTCAGAAACAGGCCTCAGAAAATAGAAGTTTGCTCTCTGATCTTCTCCTGCCTTCGTTTCACCTGCTCCTTTGTTTTCCTCCAAAGCAGGACTCTAATCTTCCCCAACCTATCCAAAAAGAAATTTTATGACTTAGCTTGTCTGATTGTAGATCATAAGACCCCCATCTCAGAAGGAGCCCTGCCCCATACCTGGGAGGAAAGAATACTGCACAGAGAGGCCAAGAAAAATCTGAACAGACAGGCCTTGCTGGGTTCCTCACTCAGCCTATTAGTATTAAGTCATACCCTTTTTATCAGATCTCATGTCTACACTGTTGTCAATCATGCCTACCCAATGAAGTCTCCATAAAAGGCCCAAGAAGACAGGGAGCTTTCAGATAGCTGAACACATGGAGGTTCCTGGAGGATGGTGAGCCCCGGAGGGTGGTGAGCCTTGGAAGCTCCACAGCTCTCCCCATACCTTGCCCTGTGTAACTCTTCATCTGTATCCTTTCTAATATCCTTTCTGATAAACCAGTAAATGTGTTTCCTTGTGTTCTGTGAGCTGTTCTCACAAATTATTCAAATCTAAGGGGCTGGATGTCATGAGACCTCTGATTCATAGCCAGTCGATCAGAAGCACAAGAATAACAACCTGGGGTTAGCAACTGGTCTCAGAAGCTGGGCTGGGGTGGGGTAATCTTAGGGACTGAGCCCTCACTCTGTGGGATCTAACACTATTTCCAGGTAGGTAGTGTCAGAATTGAGTTGAATTAGATGGCACGCAGTGGTGTCTGCTGCAGAATTGATTGCTTGCTTTTTGGTGGGGAAAAACCCCCACATATTTGGTAGCAGAAGTCTTCTGTGATGATTGATTGTTACTGTGGTTGAGAGCAGAAGAAAAACAATTTTAGTTTTTCCACTCAAAGGGTGAAAAATAAGCCTAAAAATTTAGTTAATTTGGAGTTTGGTTGTGACAGTCTTTATTTCTGATATATTGAATCTAGGTCTAATAATAAGAGGAAGAACTCTCGCTAAAAGTGGACAGGCCAAATTCTTTCAAAGCCATTGAACTTCTACTATAGGATACCGCCTATAGAACATTCCTGGGCAGAATCTCCAGGCATCATGTGAGGTGGGAGGTGGTGTTGGAAGAAGGCTTCTTACGCTTCAAATTACATCCCACCATTGCTCAAGAAGACATATTTGTTGGACTAATAATATTTTGTCTCTGTTAACATTCAACACTTAAATGAGTACTTAGGAACATATTGAAGATGAAAAAATGAAATACCCTCTTGAGGCCCTAAAGGAGTTCACAGGGTAATGCTTTTTTATTTTTTTATTTTTAAAATTATTTTATTTTTTGTCTCACTTCTATCACCCAGGCTGGAGTGCAATGGCGTGATCTTGGCTCACTGCAGCCTAAACTTCCCAAGCTCAGGTGATCCTCCCACATCAGCCTCCAAAATAGCTGGGACTATAGGAGCATGACACCACGCCTGCTGAATTTTTTTTATTTATTATTTTTAGTAGAAGTGAGATTTTGCCATGTTGCCTGGATTGGTTTCGAACTCTTGGGCTCATGATTGGCCCTCCTCAGCCTCCCAAAGGGCCAAGATTACAGGCATGAGCTGCCATGCCCATCTGGTAATGCTTATAATCACAGCAAGACATTAAAACCAGTGTCAGTCATGAATAAATAGGTCAGGGTTAGATTTCTAGGCTGTACAAGACTGAATCTATTTCATTACACTGTTTTATTTCTCTTGTATCCCTTATCACAATCTGAACTTTTACAAAATTAGCCAAACTTCCTATTATCTGCTCCCGCCATTAGAGTGTGGCACTGCAAGAGCTAGGAGTTGCCCGTTCATCACTGTATCTCCAAAGCATAAGAGGGTGCCTGGTACAAAGTAAATGCTTGATAATCTATTTGATAAATGAATGAATAAGTGAATAAATGAAATAAATGAATGACAGGGTGGAAAAGTGCTACTGTCTGCACATATGGACTCACTCTCTGGGGAAGTCAAGGCTGGATGGAGATCAAGTTTGCTCACAGAGCAGGGTGAGAATTTTGGGAGTCCAGGGGCCTAACTGATGGGGAAGGTGAGAGAATTGTTCTAAAAAAAAATTTGAGAGTGGAAAAGGAAAAGCCACCGTCACAGTTTTGCCTTATAGCCAGTGCTAGAAGTTTGGCCTGGTTACATGGTTAACCCTAAAGAATTATCTAGAACCACCTCCTTAGCACTATCTGAAAGTTCACATCTTCTGACTGAGGGCACAGAAAACCTCTGGCTGTAGAGTATCAAGCAGGGAAAATTTATTTTTTTAGGGGTGACAGGAAAAGTATTCCATGACGCTCTGTGATATTTCTGGATATTTCAGACACTATGTGGTTTCTTGAATGTCCTACGTACATTTTGATGGATTACCCAAGGACTATCTGATGAAGAATAATAGAGACATATAAATACATATGGGCTACATCTTGGCAAAATAAAGTAATCCTGAAGTAAATTCTAAGGATGTTCTGAATTGACACCTCTTAAGCACAACCGAATGTCCTGGTGGCTTTGCCTCCCACTGGGGCTTTTTGGCTCTTGTTTGGCCCCAGCGGCTGCTGCAGCTCTGTCTGAATTCACACAGGAGCAACATGATGGTGCTCAGCCCTCGCCGAAGTGTCTTGCTGAAGAGTTGGGAGATGCTTGGACTATTCAGATAGAAGCCAGCTGGAAGTACAGGGCAGTCAACACAAACCAGAGAGGCAAACTTTTGGCCAGTGAGACATGGAAAGGGAGAAGAAATACATTCTTCTTTCTCCCCTAGAGTGAGGACCAACCTGAGTCCCAGTCACCTGGAATCCCCTCAGACGAGCGTCCCTTGAGATCCAGCACATGGCAGCCAGCGTGCTGACGATTCCTTCCTGCCTACTGGCTCCTTCTTATTTCTGCCTCCGTGGAACTGTATTCTCTAATCAATATTAGCACATACATATTGCCCCAGACTGTACCTCCTGGGAACCCAGGATAAAGCACTATCTAAACATTTTGTCTTGGAATTGTAATAAACTTCAAAAGAAAAATACAACTTGAAAGTTAAATATTTATTGTGTGCACTTCTTTTCTTCATGTTTACACCAAATCATATAAAGGTCAACTACTTTCAGGACTCTGTGAAGTTTCCATTGAAATACAGTCCAAATTTCTGCCATCAGAAGTGTTCCCATGGCTGGGCACACTGGTTCACATCTTTAATCTCAGCATTCTGGGAGGTCGAGACAGGTGGATTGCTTGAGCCCAGGAGTTCAAAACCAGCCTGGGCAACATGGGGAAACCCCATCTCTACTAAAAATACAAAAAAAATTAGCCAGGCATGGTGGCGGGCTCCTGTAATCCCAGCTACTCAGGAGGCTGAGGTGGGAGGATCGCTTCAGTCCGGGAGATGGAGGTCACAGTGAGTACAGATTGCACCACTGCACTGCAGCCTGGGTGACAGAGTGAGAGCCCATCTCAAAAAAAAAAAAGAGAAAGAGAGAAAGAAAAGAAGTGTTCCCATGGATTGTAGCAAGCAGTAAAAAACCATAGGAAGAGAGTCAGCATCTTTCATCAGCAAGCCCTTAACAATTTTGATGCTCTTTAGCCTTATATCTTTTTTCTTATGCGATTGTAATAATACTACTTTTACATAAAGGGAAATTAAAAATAGGAGGTTTAACTGATGTGTTCAAAGTCAAACATTAAAAAGGCACCAGCATGGGGTCTAAAGTCCAGGCTTTCTGATCCTCAACCAAAATGTCTTACATTATACTTCCCTGCTTGATTCTCCAAACCTCACCCTGTTGAAAAGCACATAGGGAGGGGCACATGAGTACTTGGAGGAAAAAGCAAGCATATTGGCTGAAATGGGTAGAAAAGCTCAAATAATTTTTAACTTAATAATTTTAGTTTGAATAAACCCCAAATTTCAGATATGATGGAAAGCTGCTGCCTGGAAGATAACTTCAATGTTCCATTTGAGCTGTTTTTGTTCTCGATGCTGTGTCTCATGACACAATGTTAATAGTTTGGCTTGAAACCTGGAGGTATCACACAGCAGTCCAGGTACTTTGTGACAAAGTATTGAATGCAAAGTATTCTCATACTTTGAGAACCAAGAAGAAGAACACTAACTGAGAATAATAAGAGAAGGAAGAACTAGTAAAGAAATCTCGAGTTCTTTCAGGATAAAGAGTCAGGACTCTACAACTTTATTTTGTCATTTAAAATGTTGTCCAGGGCCAGATGCAGCGGCTCATGTGTGTGTGTAATCCCTGCACTTTGGAAGTCCGAGGCAGGTGGATCGCTTGAGCCTGGGAGTTTGAGACCAGCCTAGGTGACATAGTGAGACCTCATTTCAACAACAACAACAAAAGAAAAAGACAACGAAGAAGAAAATTAGCCAGGGATAGTAGCACACACCTGTGGTCCCAGCTACTTGGGAGGCTGAGGCAGGAGAATCACTTAAGCCTGGGAAGCAGAGGTTGAATTGAGCCATGATCATGCCACTGAACTCCAGCTTAGGTGACAGAGTGAGACCCTGTCTGTAAATAAATAAATAAAGTTGTTCAAAAGATCACATTTTCAAGTACATTCCTTTATGGGGGTGTTTGGTTGACATTCACTGTGAAAGAGAAGGGGTGGATTAGGGATTGTTGGAGTTGGAGTGGATGAATTGAGCTAAAGGATACCTCTTGGGGAACTGAACTGAACATCTGAACTCAGAGAACTTTTCGTGTCCTTAGAGAGGACAAGATGGAGACACAGACGAAGTTTATTGACTGCTTTCTTGATGTGAAATAAAAGGGCATCAGGGGCCATCACTGGACAAGATCGGGGATAAGGGTTCCTCCCACCAAAAAAAGCCAGGCTGCCACTAGCCCAAGTAGAGTGAGCCTTTGCACAAATTAAAAAACGGCCCAACACCTCCCATGGACCTGTGCTGCTGCTTCCCTCAGGCGATGGTTACTCTGCCGGTCGCATCTGTTCTCTGATGGGGACGGCTGCTAAAACCCCGCTAGTTTTAGGGAGAAAAGCAGCGCTCTTGGTAACCCTCCCAGCACAACTGAGATGCACCATGATGTGACTTTTAAATAGACCTGACTATAAACTTGAGGAGAGTAGAAGTACAACACAAACTGAAACTTACAACTGCTACCAGGAGGACCAATCTCACTCAGTCTAACTGCAATGTCTTTTGAGACGGCCCTTGTCATCTAGGTCCTGACCTGCAGCTATATGATAGGGATGACTCAAAATGCCTGCCTTTCAGGAATGCACCAAGAAACTCACTTTTGGAATTTCCCGGGCTTGTTCATTCAGCTGTGCAGCAGCTCACATGGAAACCACAAATCTCATTCCCAGAGCAAGGTGCCAAAGAGCAGTCTCGCCCTTCCCATTGTCTTTGGTCCTCCAGCACAGACGTCCTCCAGAGCAGAGAACAGGTGGAGAGAATTTATTTGCATCTCTCAATCACAACTCATAATTTTATTTATTTATTTATTTATTTATTTATTTATTTTTTAGACTGAGTCTCGCTCTGTCACCCAGGCTGGAGTGCAGTGGTGTGATCTTGGCTCACTGCAATTCTGCCTCCAGGGTTCAAGCGATTATCCTGCCTCAGCCTCCCAAGTAGCTGGGACTATCGGTGCCCACCACCACGCCTGGCTAATTTTAGTATTTTTAGTGGAGAGAGGGTTTCACCATATTGGTCAGGCTGGTCTCGAACTCCTGACATTTCGATCCGCCCACCTCGGCCTCCCAAAGTGCTGGGATTATAGGCGTGAGCCACTGCGCCCAGCCACAACTCACAATTTGCAAGCACAGGGCAAGCTAGTCCTGTTTTAGGATGAAGAATTTATTTAATACTTCAGGGACACACTTGTCTAAAATATTCAACTTACTTTGCTACGCAGTTTCCTTAATATTTTAGTCTTAGGTGGTTATATTTGCTGCATGCAAACCTTCCCTAAGGGCAGTATTTGGTCCTTACCTTACATGTGCATGACTGAAAAGGACTCTTTCCAGAACATGGAGAAGTTAGGGCACAAAGAAAAATTAGGGTTTCTGAACCAGAACACCAGAAACTGCATAGAGCCATAACATCTGATGCCCAGCTTTAGAAAAACTGAACCCTCAGTCCCTTCTAGGAGTAACCCAGATTCATGCTAATGAGGACAGTGGGGAAAGCCGTCATCAAAGGTGGCTCGATGGGATTGTTCGCTTTCCAATCTGTCAGACCCCAGTTCTGGCTCTGCATTTGATGATTACATTTGGTACCAAACAGGTTTATATTTCATATTTTTATGCACTCAAGTATTTACTTCCTTTTAACAGGACTAGTCTTCCAGATGTAGAGAATATCTGTCTAGCTCTGACACTAAGTACAGAGTATGTGTCAATTCTTTATGCCTTCCTACTTATTTCTGCTCCTCTTAGTTAAAGTAAGATCCATGCAATTACAAAACATAAAAAGGTTTACTCTCTCTTAATCCATACTCAGCAAAGGATCTGATCCAGCTGCCTATTAGTGGATGAGTTTTGAAAAGAGAGTAACTTCCAAATTGCACATCACCTGAAAAATGCCCCCCAATCTCGTAAAGAGACGATCCACCAAGCTACTCCCTGATTTGTACAATTGGACATTTTCCTGTGGCTGCAGAACTTCAGAATTGGCAATCTGACTATTTTAAGCAAATCTACACATGGGATACAGTCTCTCCTACTTCATATCCATAAAAAATCTACAAAGCCATGGTTCTCTGGATTTCTATTTCTCATTTTTCTTTCCTGGGCTTCAAACTGGTTTTTCAAAAATTTATCTGGGTGCCTCAAAAGTGTTTCAAAACCATGTTCACTATCTTCCATTGTAAATAGGCTTCTTCTGAATAACTTATATTAGGTAAAGTTTAGTTAAACTGGTCACTCATTTGCCAAGTTTCCTAATTCAGCTTAGACATCTGTCTCTCACTACTCTCATCTATTCTGTAATCAAGCCCAGGCATTTCTCCTTGCTGACTATTAATATCTCTTGATGCTCTTTCCTCCTCACCTCCATGCCACAGGTCTTCGCCATGCCTCCCAAGGACTATTCAGCTGAGTGATGATTTATCATGAAGGTTTAGTACATGAAGCTTAGGAGTCACACTGCCTGGGTTCAGATCTGACCTGCCACATTCTGTCTGGTCTTGGTCAAACTATTTATGTCTCTAAGCCTCAGTTTATGGAGCTATAAACAAGAGATCATATTAATATGATGATTAAATAAGATGATGCATGTAAATGTATTTATAATAGTGTGTGCTACATAAAAAGTATTATCCTAAAACTCCATAAAGTCAAAGGGCTTGCTTGTTTTATTCACCACTCCATCCCTGCTGCCGAGCACAACAGAATGTACAGTATATAACAAGTGTTCAGTATTGCGGGATGGATGAATAAGGCTTCATGATACCCCTCCAATTTATTCTCCACAGCCTTTCCAGAGTATGGTAAACTGTATTATTGTTCAAAACCGTTTCTGCTCATCCTTCTGGGAGGATATTCTACTCTGCTCCAGTGTCAGGCTTAGCTGTGTGAGTTGCTTTGGTCAATGCAATGGGAATTTTGTATCCTGGGACATATCTGAACAAAAGCTATAAGCACCTGCATGTAGTCTTCTAGGTTTTCTTTTCCTTCTCCCACAAGACCAGCAATATTTCAAGTAGAAGTTGCTCTATCAGTGGGTCCTGGAGTAAAGTCAAGTGAAACTGAGCTGAGGTCTAATAGTATCAGACATGCAGAATAAGCAAGAAATAACCCATCACCGTTTTAAGCCACTACAATTCTGGGCTTGTTCCCTCTTCCTAGCTTATCCTGGCTGGTCATTCAGAAACACATTTAAGACTGTGTTTCTCTCCACTAGCTAGAAAGTAAGAGTATAATATGTTCAGTTTGACATACACGATCCTTCACCATTTGTCCACAAATCATCTCCTCAATTTACTCCTGCCTGTCTGTTCTGAGACATTGTGTTCCAACCAAACAATTTTTTTTTTTTTGAGACAGAGTCTCACTCTGTTGCCCAGGTTAGAGTGCAATGGCAAGATCTCGACTCACTGCAACCTCTGCCCCCCTAGGTTTGAGCAAGTCTCCTGCCTCAGCCTCCCAAGTAGCTGGGACTACAGGCACCTGCCACCATGCCCAGCTAATTTTTGTATTTTTGGTAGAGAGGGCGGTTTCACCATGTTGCATGTTGGCCAGGCTGGTCTTGAACTCATGACCTCGTGATACACCCACCTTGGCCTCCCAAAGTGCTGGGATTACAGATGTGAGCCACCACACCCAGCCCCAATTTTTTTTAAGACAAGGTCTTGCTCTGTTGCCAAGGCTGGAGTGCAGTGGCATGATCACAGCTCACTACAGCCTTGACCTCCTAGGCTCAAGCCATCCCTCTCACCTCAGCTTCCCAAGTAGCTGGGACTACACGAACAAGCCACCACACCTGGCTAATTTTTTAATTTTTGGTAGAGATGGGCTCTCCTTGTGTTGCACAGGCTAGTTTTGAACTTCTGGACTCCCGCCTCTGCTTCCCAAAGTGCTGGGATTATAGGCATAAGCCACCGTGCCTGGCCTCACACAGATATTTTAACATCTCCTAAACATTGATCTGAAGACCTGTTTCCACCTCTGTCTGAAATCATCTCTGTCCTTGATGCTTGCACTTAAGAAAAACAGAACTACCTTTGCCTCTAGTTAGCTTAAGGCAGGCTATGTAGAAGAATATTAAACAATTGACAGAATCATTTGAAAGACTAAGGGAACTAACTATAGACTCAACTTCCAGTAATGATTCCCAACGCTGCACCAAGAGCCAGGCTGACAAGGGAGCTGCTGCTTCGACCATAGTCAGAAAACTGCCTTCCGAGCCTAGAGGCTGCCTCTATTGCTGCCAGCTGCTGAACTGTGCTACTTCTGTTATGACTGGCACCAGTAAAACTAGTCAATTAATCCAATTTCATACTCAAGTCTCTCATAAATGTGTATAATTGGCAAAATCCAAGTCACACCCAGACTGCCAAGTTGCAAGGTTGAGAAATGTTTTTAACTTTCTAGGCTCTGTAATACAGAAAGTCATCCTAGAAAGAAGTTGTAATAAATGCTGAGCAGATTGTTCCATACTCTCTAACACACAGTTTATTAATTTTTATAGTGCTTCACCCTCAAAGAACTTTCATGAACCTTGTCTTATGAAGACCCCTTGAGATTTGTAGAACAAAGATCCTCATTCCCATCTCTAAAATAAGGAATCTCAGACTCAGCAAAGTCACATGGTGAAGCCAAGACTAGATTTAGTGTTCCTAAATCCTAGTCCAGTTCCTCTCCCATGACACTCAGGAATCTAAGTTTCACTAGAACCCTAGGCTCTGAGCATTTGAACCTTTAGACTGACGACCGCTGCTGTTTCGCTGTACAAGGTGGCATCATCAGCAATGCAGGACTGCTCCCGGAGGAAAATCTGCCTCTGACGGGGTGGGGAGACTCAGCTCCAGGGAAAATAATTAATCCTTCAGTCTTCTGATTCCTATTAGGATAGCGTCTCTCTCATTTGTTATCTTTAAATGAAGTGAAGTGGGTGCTATCAGAAAAGTGGTGCCTCCTCCTCGACTTACCGTGATGTTGATGGGCAGGGGGAGCAAAAATATTTCCACATTTTTATTTTCACTGGAAATTTTCACTGGCAGAGATAAAGCTTTGTGGGCTGATCATACTCCTAGTAAATCCTGTTTTGCTGTTATAAAAAATCTGACTAGAAAAGAGAATTATTGATTTCCCTGAGAAATAATGAAAAGCCATTAATGTATGCATGTCTATATGCATTAAGAATTCTTGTGTGAGAATATTACTCTAATATTTTAGATGGGCACTTGTAGAAAATTATTCCGTTCCAGGTCAAAGAAGAAATAAATTTTAAAATTCAAGGATCTGGAATATTAGTTTTATAGCTTCAAATCTAGAAATTGTTGAATCCTAGAGTGTTTCAGCTAGAGGAAATCTCTGAAGTTATCTGTCTAGTGTATTTCAACCAAATTTAGAGAAAAAAATCACACACCCTTATTTCAAATAAGATGTTATGGAGAAACCTCAACCAGAAAAATAAAACTGTTCTGAATGAAAAGAGGCAAGAGGGCCAAGCCGGATATAAGTCACTTTCTCACAATTTTCCCACCCACCGGATCTCCAAGGAACCAAGGCTTCAAAAACAACAGTTCAAAAGGCACAAAAATTGTCAAGCTAAAGGCCAACTGAATGCAATAGAAATTGCTATGAGGCAAAAAGAGTTTTCCCAGACAAGGCTTTATTGGAGCTTATGCCCTGGCATAACGAAGGCAGCACAAGAGGAGAATTCTCTGGCTGACTCCCCAAAAAGAGCCAGTAGGGATTTTTTTTTAATTAGGCAAAGTGTGGGAATTGATATTGTAAACCGAAAATGAAACTCTAAGGTCCCCAAACCATCTGAATGGGTCCCTCCACTTGCCAAGGGCATTCCAAAGTTAATCTGAAAAATTAGTTGCAGGCTGTGATGGGAAGGGGGAGCCAGGCATGCCTCATTATGCTCTCCTCCCTTTTGGAATTACTAATAGAACAGACTCTTTCAATATGATAAGAAGCATTTACAATCTATTCTCTCTGAAGCCTGCTATCTGGAGGCTCATTCTGCATAATAAAATCTTGGTCTCCCCAACCTCTTATTGTGACTCAGATATTCCTTTCCATTGATAATAATTTTTCAACCAATTGCCAATCAGAGAATCTTTGAATCTGCCTATGACTTTAAAGTCCTCTCTTCCAGTTGTCTTGTCTTTCAGGACCAAACCAATGTACATCTTACATGTATCAATGAATGTCTCATGTCTCCCCAAAATGTATAAAACCAAGCTATACTCCAACCACCTTAGACACATGTTCTCAGGATCTCCTAAAAGCTATGTCATGAGCCATTGGTCAGTCATATTTGGCTCAGAATAAATCTCTTCCAATATTTTACAGAGTTTGACTCTTTTTGTCAACAATATCAGGGCTAGGGTATGCAGGGTGGGGTGGGCAAAGCACCTGAGTGGTAAGGTATGAAGGTCAGCATATCTGGTTGCCATGGATATCTTGAATAATGGGCCCTCTGGTGGTACGGCCGGCAGTAAGACTGTAAATCAATTGTGCAGCATTCCTGCCCAAGGTGGGACACTCTACAAACTTGGTTCACAACTACGGTTACATCTTGGATCTCCTAAGGCCAGTTTCTGAAATTCTTTAAGTAACAAGTATGGTCAAACATTATGAGAGCACAGAAGAACAACATAGACTGGCTATTTTCTTTTCATGACTATTGATTTGTGTGCTAGTCTGTTCTCACACTGCTATAAAGAACTACCTGACACTGGGTGATTTATGAAGAAAAGAGGTGTAATTGACTCACAGTTCCACAAGCTGTACAGGAAGTATAGTTGAGAGGCCACGGGAAAGTTATAGTCATGGCAGAAAGGTGAAGGGGAAACAAGCATGTCTCACCACGGTGGAGCAGGAGAATGAAGAGGTAAGCATCGCACGCTTTTTTTTTTTTTTGAGATAGAGTCTCACTCTGTTGCCCAGTCTGGAGTGCAGTGGTGCGATCTTGGCTCATTGCAACCTTCACCTCCCGGGTTCAAGTGATTCTCCTGCCTCGGCTTCCCGAGTAGCTGGGACTACAGATGAGTGCCAACATGTCTGGCTAATTTTTGTTTTTAGTAGACATGGAGTTTCGCCATGTTTGCCAGGCTGGTCTCAAACTCCTGACCTCAGGTGATCCACCTACCTTGGCCTCCCTAAATGCTGGGATTACAAGTGTGAGCCACCACGCCTGGCTGGTGTCACAATTTAAACCAATCAGATCTTGTAAGAAGTCACTATTGTGAGAATATGAAGGGGAAAATCTGCCCCCATGATTCAATCACCTTCCACCACGTCCCTCCCCCAACATTAGGAATTATAACTCAACACGAGATGTGGCTGGGGACACACAGCCAAACCATATCAATGGGTGTGGCATCAGTGAGGTAGTGGTGTGGGTTTGTGATCAGTGGGAAAGCATGAAAGAATGCTCAAATGTGGGTGAGCTGAAGTCAAGCCCTACCTCTACTCAGTCTCATTACCAGCCTTAGGATTTGAACTCAGGTCTTCTTATTTCCATTGTTTTCCCTTGAAAAATTCCTTGGACAAAGTTCTTGTTGGTGACTTCTGCAGCTCTCTCTTTGCCTCATCCCAAGGACTCACACTTGCTTCTCACAGCAACTTAAGGGTCAGCTGGGATGATTCTATTCATGTGGGTCTTGCCTCCAGGCTTGATAGGCACTAGGGATGAACTGAAGACACTACATTATCTTTGATCTTAAGGGGAAACAGTGTAGGTGAGTTGTTAAATGGGTGTTAAATCAAGTTTAGCCTAAAGCTGCCTCCTTACATGTTTTAAGTTTGGCCTGAAAATTTCTCTGTACATAGTGAACTATAACCTAAATGAAATTGTATACAGACTATAGCCTACTCTTGTGCCAATCACTGAGTTTTGGCCAATCAAAGGTGGCCAACTGTTCAAACCGTGTTCAAAAAAAGGCAAATGCCAAGCTGCAACCAGTCTGGCTGTTTCTGTACCTCACTTCCCTTTTCTGTATGCTACTTTCCTTTTTCTGTCCATAAATCTTCCACCACGACTGCACTGGAGTCTCTGAGCCTACTCTGGCTCAGGAGGCTGCCGGATTTGGAAATTATTCTTTGCTCAATTGAACTCTGTTATACTTAATTCAGCAAAAGTTTTTCTTTTAACAGGGGAAGGCCACAGATAGCCAGGGAAATGAAAAAATAAAGACATGGATTTTACAGAAAATTCTTATTTATCTGGTGCACTGCCTGGGTCATGACTTTTGTGCCTTACTTCCAGGGCCTGGATATTTAGAGGGACAGAGCCAGGGCAAGCTATCCTTTTTCTATTCTGCCTCTCTCTGTTTTCATCAACAACAGCTCTGAATCTCTTAAGACAGTGGCTCTCAAACTAGTTCCAAGGTTAAATTCTAACAGTGGCATGCATTTACATAAAAATTAAGTTAATTTATAGAATTTTCAGAAACTAAAGTTTACCTCCCAAAGTGCTTTTTAAACTTTGATGTCTACCATTGCTTGCCTGTCACTGAGAGCTAACAGATGTCAAACCTAATGAATATATAGCAAAGGAATATTTATGCAAAACTTAGAAGCAACTGATCCTGCTCAGGTTTGCAGCTTGTTTTTTTGTGGACCCTTGGATTCACAGGTTTATGCTGTATCCTTACAGTGCAGGCTGTCATAATTCACATAATAATAAAAAGAATAGCAATCTTTATGCTTATATATACTTAGAATATCTCTGCATTATTGCTAAGAAGCTTATAATAGCGGTAGTGTCTGGGAAAGATAAAATGTCTTGGAGTAAGAGGTGGGAGAGAAACTGACTTTTTATTGTATATCTGTTTATGTGTTGACATTTTTATCATGTGAATCTCTTCAGTTTTCAAAGAAATTAAAATTGAAATACATGTGCTTTAAATATCTCGGTGCTGGTATATCACTCCACAGATTCTGATTTAATTGGTCTGGGCTGTGACCTAGGCATTGGGGTTTTAAAAAACTCTTTACTGGCTGGGTGCAGTGGCTCACACTTGCAATCCCAGCACTTTGGGAGGCTGAGGCAGACAGATCACTTGAGCTCAGGAGTTCAAGACCAGTCTGGGCAAAAAATACCCATCTCTACAAAAAACACAAAAATTAGCCAAGTATGGTGGTGTGTGCCTGTAGTCTCAGCTACTTTGGGGTTGAAATAGGAGAATTGCTTGAGCCCTAGAGGAGGAGGTTGCAATGAGCTGAGATCATGCCATTGCACTCCAGCCTGGGCAACAAGGCGAGGCCCTGAGGAAATTAGAATGTGCAGCCAAGACTAAGAATCATTGCTCCAAGTTATTATCAGAACTTTTCCACTATTATATATTGATAATTGTAAATTGTGTATGGCAGGCATTCCTAGCTTTTTTGAGAAGGGCCTCTTGAATGTCAAAAACATTCACAGTACCTTACACCAAAGCTGACACATATTTAGTGTGTGTTGATTGAGAAAATATCAAATGTCAGAAAGTTACTATGAATTAATCTCAACAAAATTGATGTGCATTTGGAAAATCACAGTATGTATATGCATATAGGTGGGAATCAATACCAATGCTCTCTACAGGTAATTCTTATACTTCTTATATAAGATTTGTACAAGGGTTTCTTGTAAAATCCTTGGTTTCCTAGAAGTTCACAGCCCACAAGGTAGAAACCACTGAATTTAGGAATTGCTTTTCCTGGACAAGACTGTAGAGAGACATTTTGACCTCCTGGGCAGTAGACAGCAAACAGTAAGCATTTTCCTAGTGTTGACCTAAATTCTGCTTGTTTCTTTGTTATTGTTTTATTTCAATTTCTACTCATGTACCAATATTCCCCAGAACATAAACCCTACCTCTTCCCAATCTTATTATAAGACATGTTTAAATATGCAGCAGGCTTTTCTCTCTTGGTGACTTTGCTGGGGCTATTGGCTTTGTTTAGAATGATAGCAGAGAATAAACCCTGCTTCTTTCTGACCTAAGCCTCCCACATCATGACGACACCCTGCTCAACCTAGCTTTAGTGGAAATCATCTCTGCATCCTTTGTTCACATAGAGAGGTAACTAGCCCCTTAAATATTAGAAGCCAGCCTGACTTTTCTCTTTGAAGGTAAATATTAGGAAATCTCTTTGTTCCCTGGTGTTAGAGGTCAGTGGGGAAGGACTTAGTGGAGAGGCACTATGGGGAGCTTCTGAACTTCTTTTTGTAAAATAGCAGTATGAATATCAGACTCTTATCAAAGCTCATTAAAGACAGGAAAATTGCCAATCTTGAATGCTCCGAGCTTTGCCATCCCCAATTTTTTGTAGTCATGAATTACATTTACTCTTTTTCTTTTCTTTTTAACCTCCAACCAATGATCAAGTTCCACTCAACCAAAGTCTAAAGAGAACTATTAAGTATACTGTATTTGGCTTAGATACATCACCATGCCATAGTATGGTTTTTACTAAGCTGGCATGTTTTGCACGGTTGGCATGGTTTTTACTAAGCTATACACATTTTTCTGTCAGTTCTGAATACTATGGATTTTTGTCCTCCCTTGTGAATACCTGACTCTACCTTAAAGTGAAAAACAACTAAAGAAACAGAAAAGCACTTCACTCTTTGAATATGTAATAAAATATAGGGTTCAAGTTCTACCCATTTTATAAGCAAGTAAGATTCCAGCCATCAATCAACCTGTAGTAACTTTTACTTAACTGTATTTCAAAGGCATATAAGGTGAGAGTAGTAGCAGAAAAAAAGTTGGTCTCACCTAAATAGCCACATCATAGCTAACAAATAATGCCAAAAGATTCACCAGAATTTGCTTCCAAGTCCACAAGAAAGATGGCTTGTTCTTCCATAGAGTTTCTTCTTTGGTTTTTCCTTAGCCATCCTTGTGAAATTCTGTGTCTATTTAATAAAGTTTTCTCTGCTTTATTTTTATATTCTTTTTTAAACATGATCACAAAAGTAATATATGGTTATTATAGAGCATTTGGGAAGAAAAATATATATTAAAAATACCTTAAAATCACCTATACAATTCAGAGAAAACCATTCAACATTTGGTTGAATTTCCTTTTCCCTTTTTCTCTATGTAAAGTATGTGTGTGTTTACACAAATATATACATGAATTTATAAACAAAATAGGAATATACTGTATACATACACGTTTTTGTATTGTGCTTTTTTCTCTTAAAATCTATTATCAGCATTTGTTTCCCCATTCTACATGCCCCCTTCTCCATTCTTACATTCACTGCCCCAATTTCAGATCTCATTTCCTCTGTTCTGGCTTATTACAGCAGCCTCCCTACTGGTAGTTTTCTCAGTCCTCACTGAGAAATCCATCCTCAATGGCTACAGTCAGAAGCATGATTCTACAACATGGCACTGATCACATCATTCTCCTATTTTAAAAGCCTTTGACATGTTGCCTCTCCCCACAAAGTAAATTCAAGTTCCCCTTTGTTTCCTCATGACCTTCCCCTGCTTACTCAGGCCTGTCAGTCACATCCAATTGTGCTCTCCCTCCATATATTTTATGCTATTGCAGCATTTCTCAAAGTGTGGCTCACACCTGCTTCAGAACCACAGGAGGACTTTGAATAATGCAGTCTTAGGTCACACACCAGGCACCCTGAATCAAAAACTCTAGGCATGGTCCCCGGACTCTGTATTTTTTTTTTCTTTTGAGACAGATCCTCGCTCTATCACCCAGGCTGGCATGCAGTGGCTCCATCTTGGCTCACAGCAACCTCTGCCTCCTGGGTTCAAGCGATTCTCCTGCCTCAGCCTCCCGATTAGCTGGGACCACAGGTGTGCACTAGCATGTCCGGCTAATTTTTGTATTTTAGTAGAAATGGGGTTTCACCATGTTGGCTAGGCTGGTCTAGAGCTCCTGAACTCAAGTGATCCGCCTGCCTCAGCCTCCCAAAGAGCTGGGATTACAGGCGTGAGCCACCGCGCCCTGCTGACTCTATTTTTAATAAGCTCTCCAAGCACTTTTTGAAGATCCTAAAGCATGGAAACTTCTTTTCTAAGGCCACCTAAAAGAAAACACTAACATTGACTGTTTAAAGGCATTTCCCATCAATTATATACTTCATTTGATCCTCCCTGCATTGCTCTGATTTTGGTTATATCATTATTCTACTCATTAAACAGATGAGAAAACATGCAGATGATCAAAAGACAGTAAGAGATTTGTCCCATCCACATAACCAGTAAGGTCTGGAGATAAGATTCAAGTCTGCTCTTTTCAAATCCAGATTCCATGAGCTTTCACTTCTACAGTAACCAGCTTCCCACTTTGCTCTGTAAAGAGGGTGCTATGTGCTCTCTGGAGACATTCGATCATTCTTAAAGGGGGACATCACAGGTGCTCTTACCATACATATTTCCCTCTACATACCTTTCCAATGCATGTGGTTGGTGAGTTTAACCTTAGATACTTAACCTAAGATTCTCTGCCTAACATCTTTCTCTTGGCCTGAGCAAGGGTAGACTAGAAGTGCCAAGGAGTTGGTGACTGGAGCCAATGACAGATGGGAGCTGGGGGATAAATACTCCAGCTTCCTTGCCTGGAATGGAGCGAGAGGGCTCTGAGATTTGTGTTACATTGTCTCCCTAAGTTCCCAGAAGAGTTCACCGTGATGTATTGCTTGGTAAAACTTCCATTTATCTTCTTCCTTCCTCCCTGTCTCATATTCCCACTTTCCTCCCAAACTTCCTGGGATCACCTTCCGAGGAAACCACTTGAACTTATCCTAGACTCAAGGTCAGGCTCAGGGAGCTCAGTTTAAGACCAAGACCCAGCTTAAACAAGGATTTTGAATTTCAAAAGACAGAAACACAAATCACAATCACAATAACAACAACAAATATTAGTGCTCCCAGAGGTGAGAAGCCCAGGTATAAGCTTGGTTTCTGGTAGGGCCAGCTGAGTGGATGGGAAGAATATCAGTCTCTGTCTCTCTCTCCCCCCACACACTTCCACTGAGAGGCTCTGGCTCTGTTTCCCTGCCCCTTCCCTCTCTCTCTTTTGTTTTTCTTTGTACAGATTTATGCTCAGTAATCGATATTGTGCTAAGCCATGCTGGAGCCTGAAGCAAAAACAAAAATGATTCCCCATATACCTCTTTTTATACATTTTTAACGGTTAAATTTTTTCCAGGACTAGATTTTAAAAATATTATTGATGAACTTACTTTAATTAACATCAAAGGATAATAAATTTTGTTTTCAGTATAAATAAAATATTTATACTTAAAATGGTACTACAAGTTTTACTACACCCACTTTTTAGTTTTTTAAATATTTTTACAACTACTTTAATATTCTGGAAAAATTAATCACTGAGAAATATGGAAAAACATGTGTATAGAAGGTTAATTTTTCCTTTAGCCTCAAGCTCCAGTGTAGATTAGCATGACATTGTTGTTATTTAAAATTTCAATATTTTGTTCTTTATAGATTATTTTCATCACTTTTTATTTTTTAATGTCAATTTAAGCTATTGTCTATCTTTATTTGAGGGTTTTTATTTTTCAATTGGCAGACTCTTAAGTTTTGTGCCCAAGGCCAAGACCTCGCTTGCCTCACCTTGTTCCTAAGCTCTGTGTCAGCTTTGAACTGAGGGTGGGCCCTTCTCCAGCACTCTTTTACTATTGCTGTTGTTAAATATCATGGAGGGACTCTGGCTCTGATTGGGTTCCATTTCTTGCCCTTCACCTAATAACTGTTGTCGAGCAGAAAAACCCCATGATTTGCTGGTACCTGATGTAGAGAAGATGCCATGATTGACAATCCCTCTGGCACCACAGGGAATAAGGTTGTAGCAGTTTTGTAAAGAACTGGAAAAATCATATGTTCACCACATGAAACCTTTCCAAATGACCCTTCTCATTTGTCTTCCCAAAAAATTTTATACATTCTTAATTACTATTAACATCACGTTGTATTATATTTAGTTGTTTATTTATCTCGCTGCATTGATAGGCTGTGAACTCCTCAAGGGTAAGATGTGAGGGGATGTGTTCAGAGGACTAAATGGGATAAGGTGGGTAGAGTGCTTAGCAGAGTACCTGACGTAGAATGTATGCTTGATAAATATGAGCATTGTTATTACTCTTTTCTTCTTTAATTTTTGGCCCTTTGGCATTATTTGTTGAATAAACAAATTGTTTTCATACAATATGTTTTTGTCTGTGCAAGCTACAAGTCCCAGGCCTGGAGGTACATTTTTAAAAAATAAGTAAGTACTCTTTGCTCATTACTGGATCAACAGAACCACCCACATCCCTCTAATGGCAAAATCTCTCCTAATTAGCCCATTCTCACACTGCTATAGAGAACTGCCTGAGACTTGGTAATTCATAAAGAAAAAAGGTTTAATTGACTCACAGTTTTGCATAGCTGGAGAGGCCTCACAAAATTTACTATCACGGCGGAAGGGGAAGCAGGCGCGTCTTACATGGCAGCAGGCGAGATTGTGTTTGAAGGAGAAACTGTCAAACACTTATAAAACCATCAGATCTTGTGAAAACTCACTATCACAAGAACAGCATGGGAGAAACTGCCCCCATGATATAATCACCTCCCACTAGATCCCTCCCTCTACAAGTGGGGATTATGGGGATTGCAATTTGAGATGAGATTTGGGTGGAGACATAGAGCCAAACCATATCACTCTCCAGTGGTTGGGTTCTACTGCTAGCTTGGCCACTGTCTGTCTATCATTAGTTAGCAGCTTAGTCCTCTGCTGATGAGGCTATTGTAACCTCCCCGTAAGACTGTTGCTCTCAAATTCTCCTTCATGATATCTGGACACTCACAACTTAATTGGCATTAGGTAACCAAGGAGCTGAGATCTCTCCCTATAAAATGATGTTTGAATCCTTTTGCATAGAGCTGGTTATTCCAATACAAATATTTTATCCCAGGACTCACTCCTCTTTTTTTTTTTTTTTTTGGTAGGGTCTTATTCTGTCACCCAGGCTGGAGTGCAATGGTGCAATCTCTGCTCACATGCAAACTCTGCCTCCCAAGTTCAAATGATGCTGCTGCCTCAGCCTCCCAAGTAGCTGGGACTACAGGTATGTGCCACCATGGCTGGCTAATTTTTGTATTTTTTTTAATAGAGATAGGGTTTTGGTATGTTGCCCAGGCTGGTCTCAAACTCCTGGACTCAAGTCATCCACCCACCTCGGCCAACCAAAGTGCTAGGATTACAGATGTGAGCCACTGCCCCTGGCTGGACTCACTCCTTTTGAGGTGCAGACTTTTCTACATGGGGACCAGAATTATTTAAATGGTCATGTCCGCTCATGACCTAAGTGTCCATTTATTCCCTTCCTTTTGAACTCTGTATTTAGCCCAACAGTCCTCAGAATACTCAGCAGTGGATCCATTAACAGAGGTAATGACTAGCACATGGCACTAAGCCAATTTTCCCAGTGGAATTAGGCATGCTTTATTCATGGGATTACTCCCTACACATCCAGGACCACCAGGCAATCCAGTGCCTGAGGCTACTCTCCTGGGGCCTAAGTGAGATGAAGACAGTCTGAGTTTGCCTTTGAGAAAGGCAGGCTGCATGCCGTGACAAGTCCTCCTAACCATCTTCCCTCTCAAAGGCAGCTGTACTTTCTAGAATTTGCCATCTCTGGGGAACTTCCTTTAGTTTTCTTAGATGTATGATAAGTGAGGATATTTTAAAAATCAATTCTACTTCCACATGCTAAAAGCGAACAATTAAAACTTGAATTTAAAATATAATACCACTTAACGTATAATAAAAATGGGAAAATACAAAATCCTTAGAGATTACTCAGATCAAAGGTGGATGATAACAATATATTGAAAATTAAACATTGCTAAGGAAACATGAAGAAGACCTAAATACATGGAGATGTGTGCTGTATTTATGGTACAGAAGAGTCATTATTGTTGAGAAGTCAGTTCTCACCAAATTGATTTATAAATTCAACACAATATCTTTCAAAATTCCAGCAAGCTTGTGTGTAGACCTTTAAAAGCTGATTCTAAAGTTCACATTGAAAGGCAACAGATCTAGAATGGCTGAAAGAATTTTGAGTTCTCAAACCCTGCAACTACAAAAGTTATTATAAAGCTATAGTAGTTGAGACAGTGTGTAGTATTGGCACTATGATAGACAAATTAATCAATGGAAGAAAATAGAGGGTAAAAGAATAGATCTACACACATATGGTCGACTGAACTTCAATAAATGTCAAAGACAATTAAGTGAGAAAAGATACTCTATTCAACAAAGGGTGTTGAAATAATAAGATATCATATGCAAAAAGAAAAACCCATGCATATCTCATACTATATATAAAAATTAACTTACAATGGATTAAAGACCAAAATACAGAACCTACAACTATAATATATCCAGAAGAAGATGCAGGTGATAATCTTTGTGAACTTGAATTGGAAAAGATTTTTAGATATACCAATAAAAGAATGATCCATAAAGAGAAAATAATAAGTTGAACTTCATCAAAATAAAAAATTTTAATCTTTGGAAGACACCATTAAGAGAACAAAAAGCTAAATCACAGACTGAAAGAAAATACTTGTATCTGAAAAACATATCTGGCTGGGTGCGATGATTCACACCTGTAATCCTAGCACTTTGGGAGACCAAGGTGGGTGAATCCCTTGAGCCTAGGAGTTTAAGACCAGCCTGGGTGACATGGTGAAACATCATCCATACAAAAAATACAAAAAATAGCCAGGTGTGGTAGTGCATGCCTGTAGTCCCAGCTACTCAGGAGGCTGAGGTGGGAGGATCGCTTGAGTCCAGGAGGCCCAAGTTGCAGTGAGCTGAGATGGTGCCACTGCACTCCAGCCTGGGTGACAGAGTGAAACTCTGTCTCAAAAAGAAAAAAAAGAAAAAAAGAACTAATAAAGAACTTGAGTTCAGATATTCTCTATACAGCTGATTCTCATTATTCAAGGTAGTTATGTTCTATAAAGTCACCCCAAACAATGAATTATTGAATAATTTCTGCTAGGGGAAATACATGATTAGGTTCCTGTGAGCCTCTGGTCACAATTTTCATCACTGAATCAAAACATAACTTTGTTTTATATGTGATTTTGTTTAAACAAATTTTCTATTTAATACATACTGCTGATTCATTAACACTGAACTCACTGCTAACATCACTGTAACTCATGCCTGAATGAAGCTTATGGAAAATATGTATTTTATCCATAAGGCACATGATAGGCTTCTTGTGCTTAGGAACACTAGAGAGGACTTCAACACTAGAGTTAGAGTCCATTTAAAACAGTGACAACACTAACAGAAACCACAAAAATGCAAAAGACATGATGCAAGATAGTCTGTGAAAAGGACACTTGCTTAGAGAGTACACGAGCTTAAACTAGAAGGCAGAGCACTGCTTTGTTCAACCTCGGCTGGGAGAGAATATGTACCCAAGCCACACAAATTTTTTACCAGCCTATGCATGTCCATGAATGACTATGAATGTGCTGTAAGTACTGATTTTGAATTTACAAATACATTTAAGCAAGTAGGAACATTTGCAAATACAGAATCCACACATAATGAGAAACATGTATTTACATTTAATAATAAGAAAACAACCAAGTTTAAAGAAAGTTGGCAAAATGTTTGAACAGACACTTCATTAAAGAAGACATATGGATGGCAAATAAGCACATGGTTATTTAACATTAGTCATTAGAAAAATGTAAATTGAAGCCAAAAATTTATACCATTACATGTGTATTAGAAGAGTTAAAATTAAAAGGACTAATGAACTCATCAAGAAAGTGAAAAGACAACCTACAGAATAGGAGAAAAATTCACAAATCATATGTCTGAGAGAGTCCAGCACCTAGAATATATAAAAATGATTACAGCTAAACCACAGAAAGATTTTAAAAACCAAACTAAAAATGGGTCAATGACTTGAATAGACATTTCTTCAGAGAAGATACACAAATGGTTAACAAGCACATGAGAAGATGTTCAACATCATTATCCATTAGAGAAATACAAATCAAAATCACAATGAGATATGACTTCACATCCATGGAATGGCTATAGTTTTTAATGAAAAATAAGTGTTGGCAAGAATGATGAGAAGTTGGAATCCTTGTGCAATGCTGGTGGGAATGGAAAATGGTTCAACCACTGTGGAAAACAATTTGACAGCTCCTGAAAAAGTCAAACAGAATTACCACATGATCCAGTAATTCTACTCACCAAAAAATATACCAGAAAAGATTGAAAACAACCATTTAAACAAATACTTATACATGAATGATTTATAGTAGCACTATTCACAATAGCCAAATATCCACTAATGGATGAATGGATAAACAAAATGTGGTATATCCATATAACGGAATATTACTAAGCTGTAAAAAGGAAAGAAGGACTAATCCATGCTACAACTTAAAAACATTATGCTAAGTGATAGAAACCAGACACAAAAAGTCACATATTATATGATTATATTTCTATCAAACAATTAAAACAGGTAAATCCCTAGAGTGACTTCCCCATGGGCACTGTGTTTCCTTTGAAGGTGATAAAAATACTTTGGAACCTAATAGAGTTGGTAGTTGTGAATGTACTGATTCAACATTGTGAATGTACTGAATGGTACTGAGCTGTACACTTCAAAATAGTTATGTTATTTTATGGCAATTTAATTTAAAGTAGAAAAGAAGAGATTGACCACACCAAGTGTTGGCAAGAACGTGGAAAAAGTGGAACTCTACAAAGTTAGTAGAAATGTAAAATGGTTCAACCACTTTGGAAAATTTGGCACTTTCTGAAAAAGTTAGATATTCATCTACTATATGATCCACTGGTTTCACTCCCAGATTTTTATTCAAGAGAAAATAAAATTTACTAAAGAGAAAATTTAAGTCCATACAAAGGCTTATACCTAAATGTTCATGATGGGTTTACTTGAAATAGCCCCAAGCTGGAAGCAATCTAAATATTCATCAAGTGAATGGATAAACAAATTGTCTTATATCCATACAATGGAATATTACTTAGTATTCAAAAGGAATAAACTGTCAAAATATGCAATAACATGGATAAATCTCAAAATAATTATGCTGAATGAAAGAAGCTAGATAAAAGAGAACATATTTTTTATTCTAATTACATAAGTTTCTAGAAAATGCATATCAATCTATAGTATTGAAAACAGAAACCATGTTTATGGGTTGGGGGATGGGGATGGAAGATAGGAAATAGAGGGAAGAAAGATTAAAGGAGGAATAAGGAAAATTTGGGGGATGATGAGTGTGTTCATTTCCCCTCCCTACCCCCACCCCCATTCATTTAGCAACATTTGCTGCGTGCATATACGTACAATGTGGCATAAACTGTATTAGGCACAAGAAATACAATATTAAGTGTACACAATATCATTAAAATGAACTTAATGATTTAGAATTTCCCTTATGTCAAGCATTGTTATTGGCACTTTATATGCCTTATGCCATATAATTCTCACAATAACCTTATGAGGGAAGTACAATTATTCTACCCATCTTACAGATGTAAAAAGTGAGGATAGGAGAAATTAAGTATTTTGCCTCTAAATTTACACTCTCAAAAGTGGTAAGGCAGGAATATGGACCTATATGTCCTGGAGCCTACAGTCTGTGCTTTTGGTATGGTCATTATCTTGATTGTGGAGATGGTTTCGCCATTGTATACATATGTTAAAAGTCATATTGTGCGCTTTAAACATACGCAGTTTATTTTATGCCAAGTTAACGTCAACAAGACTTTTTAAACGAACAAACAAAAAGACAGACAGCATCTATCTCGGGGTATTTTAAACCAGACTTCTCTCTGCTTTTTAAAGGTTTTGATATTTCATATATACTATTGGCATACTAACTAATTCACTCAGTTCATTCCCCTTCCATTTATAGCAGGGCTCAACACAAACTATGTTATTCCTGAATATGTGTCTCAGGAGATCTGAGAGAGGAAACTCTCAAAATTGGGGATCACTGTCATTCTTCCTTGAATCATAAGAAAAGCCAAGTGCCACTGCTGCCTCCTTCTCTAAGAAGTAGTATTAGCCAGGCACTGTGGCTCACGCCTGTAATCCCAGCACTTTGGGAGGCCGAGGAGGGCGGATCACAAGGTCAGAAGTTCGAGACCAGCCTGGCCAACGTGGTGAAACCCCCGTCTCTACCAAAAATACAAAAGTTAGCCGGGTATGGTGGCATGCGCCTGTAATCCCAGCTACTCGGGAGGCTTAGGTAGGAAAATCACTTGAAACTGAAAGGCAGATGTTGCAGTGAGTTGAGATCACGCCACTGCACTCCAGCCTGGGTGAAAGAGCGAAACTCTGTCTAAAAAAAAAAAAAAAAGTATCTTATATTCATAGAGCGCTTTTCACTTTTTCAAATTCGTTAAAACATATTAAATTCACCGGTTCTCGCAACTCTGAGGAAGTCTAAAGCAGTACCCCTCAAGTGTGGTCTGCAGACGTTTACCAATCCACAGCAAGGTAGGTATGAAAACAGAGAATGAAGGTACAGAAACTGTTAGAGCAATCTGAAAGAGCCATTTTGCATCTATTAAATTTGATAATGACAATTGGGGGTTTTATGTTGTATGTTATTTTAATTTTATTTTTTCTATTATTTTCTCAAGTTATAAATTATTTTAATGAGAACTATATTACCTTGTATTTTGCAGAGTAACTGAATTGAATATTGACATAGAAAAACATGTATTGCTCCAAAATGAAAAGATTCTCTGTCTCTCTCTCCTCTCTCTCCTTAACATATAAACCTTCTGAACTCCATATGGAAAAGATGTTTACTAACCCAGAAAGGAATAGTTGCCATTTAATACAAAAGGTCAACAGTGCTGCCTCTGACATCAAACTATTGTGCTTTAATTTCTGCCTCTCCTACTTGCTAACTGTGATTTTGGGAAACTATCTACTCTGTGGCTTTTTTATTAACTGTTAAATAATAATAATATAATCTTCATCAAACCTCTCTTATAGGGTTTCTGTGAGTATATAAAAATTGTCTACAAGAGGACCTTTCACATAGTAGGCACTCAACATTAATTAATAATTTTAAAAAACAATTAGCCAAATCAGGAGTACAATAAAACAACCCAGATTTTCTTACGTTAAAATGTTCCAATTATTTATGATTATTAATTTGAAAATGATCTTCTTAACAGCAGGGCTGTACCGTATCTCAACGGTGGGACTGTGCTCTATCACTCTTTGCAACCCTTGAATCTATGCTAGTACCTGGCATGTTGTCAGCACCTGATAAATATGACTGGAACACCCCTCCCCAAGAGCTGGCATGCCCGGCTCTTCTCAGCGCCCAGCCATCCAGTATTAACTTTCAAAGTCCTGGCCTCAGAGACTCATTCAGGCACCATCCAGTTAAAAAGCAGCTCATCATTCTCCGTCACTGTCTGGCCCATTACCTGATTTATTTTCCTCACATCTCTCATCGTCTCCTCAAATGATCTTTTCCATTATTTGTTTACTTATGTACTATTTTTTTTCCTTCTTGCTAGAATATAAGGGTCATAGACTCAGGAAACCTGCTTGTATATTTATTTGTCGGATCATCACCTCGGGGCCCAATATAGTGTCAGGACCATAGTTCTGTAGTTTCTGTTTATTTTTTTATTGTATTTTAAGAAAGTCTCAATTCACAGTTTAAAATTGAAAATTTAAAAACAGTAAAACACAAGTGTGGTCCTTCACCACGGATAGTTTGAGAGATGCTGGTTTAATGGGCTTATTCACTATTTCCACACATATATAAACTGAGCTGCAGGGACGTTCAGAAACATACCCAAAGGCTGATAAGGGTTGACAGCATAAAACCTGAAAAAAATCCAGGGCCATGCACTCCTGGGCTCCTGTTCTGTGCTCTCCTCCTGCTGCTAAATCCCTTGCCTTTAGCAGGATAATACATTGAGCCTCTCAGGCTGTATAGATATGTGAGTTATTAACGTTTTTTATTGCAGGTGACCAGCAATGCTCCCCTATTCTGAACATTTCCTGATACTAGTGCAACAGGTGACAACCCCAAAGTTGCGCTGAAACAGTCGGGGGTTCCATTGCTGACTCTCTTGAACCAGGCCAGGATTTTCATTAGTACTGGATTTGCCTTGCTGAATAAACATGCTTATTTCGTTTTAATATATTAGGCTTTGCTATTCCGAACTAGATTAAGTTGTCAATCATCTCCCCCATCGAACTAGATTAAATTGTCAATCATCTCCCCCATATTTCATATTGTTTCCTCTGGGCAGGGGAATGTGTGATGTTACACATGTCTAGCCAATAAAACAGCCCTCTGGATTGAAATCTGTTCAGGACATATAGCAAGATGTCAAATTAATTGTACCGAAATAATGAGTTAGCACCAAATGCTAATTAAATATTGATGAAAGTCATCCTTTCAATTATCTTCATTATGGCCCCATGGTTTATGTTGGCATTAAGTGCTTGCAGTATGGGTATGTCTGGTAATTAGCTGTGCACTATAAAAAAAAAACCCCAAGTTATCACCCTCCATATTAAAAGCACTTAGAAACCACTTGGAAAATGGAAACTCTGAAAAGAGGCAGCACTTTTTTTCTGAAATTGTTTGAAATTCTATGAATTCAGTATTTCCTATTTGTACTGGGTACAAATTTCCTAAAGTACTAAATAGTTCTTGATTTGTTTATTTATTTTTTAAACTGGGTGCATTAGAAGTCGGAGGGCCACTGAGGTTCTGGATGAACTCTGCTGATTCATGTTTTTTGCTACTCAGGTTAACTTTTGACATCTTCTTAAACACTTCTACTGCCTTTTACTTTTCTCCTGCCTGTAGACCAAATGGCTGCCTCTGGCAAATATGATCATTATTATCATCTAGTGAATTGTGACTATGAAGCTTCTCACAGCACAATCTCGGCACTACCAGCATTAGAATCATCAGGGTTAATAATTAATATGCAGATTCCTGGGGCCCCACGGGTGAACCAACAAAGGAGAAATCCAGGGATGTGGACATTAAAGTTTGTCTAGCAATATATAACTCAGTGCTTTTTTTTTTTTTTTTTTTTTTGAGAGGGAGCCTCACTCTGTCGCCTAGGCTGGAGTGCAGTGGCACCACCTCGGCTCACTGCAAGCTCCGCCTCCTGGGTTCACGCCATTCTCCTGCCTCAGCCTCCCGAGTAGCTGGGACTACAGGCACCCACCACCATGCCTGGCTAATTTTTTTTTTTTTTTTTTTTTTTGTATTTTTAGTACAGACAGGGTTTCATTGTGTTAGCCAGGATGGTCTTGATCTCCCGACCTCGTGATCTGCCCGCCTCGGCCTCCCAAAGTACTGGGATTACAGGCGTGAGCCACCGCACCCAGCCAACTCAGTGTCTTTAATCCTGCCTGAATATTGGAATCGACCTGGGGTCTTTGAAGACATTCTGATTTAATAGGTCTTAAGTGATGCCAGAGTATATATGTGTATGTGTGGAACACGTGCACACACAAACTCACACACACGCATGCATGCACACTGTCTCTTTTTGGTGATTCTTTTGGCTTGGGTGGGGAATCACTATGATAGGTTCTTTAGCAATAAGTGCAGGAATATTATTCAACCTTAAAAAGGAAGGACATGCTGACGCATACTAAAACATAGGTGAAACTTGAGAACGTTATGCTAGGTGAAATAAGCCAGTTACAAAAGACAAACACTGTACAGTTCCACTTACATGAGGGACCCAGAGTCATCAAAGTCAAAGAGACAGAGAGCAGAATGGTGGTTGCCAGGGGTTGGGGGCAGAGGGAAATGGGGGATTTTTTGTTTAATGGGTACAGAGCTTCAGTTTTACAAGGTGAAAAGAGTTGTGAATATCGATGGGAGGTGATGGTTGTGCAATATTGTGAATGTATTTAACACCACTGAACTGTACATTTAAAAATGATTAAGATGATACATTTTACACTTTGTGTATTATGCAAAAATAAAAAATAACTGGGAAAAATGAAAACAGTATGTGCACTCTGCTATGCTGTCTGCTTGGAAGGAGGTTCTTCCTCGAGAGAGCCACGTGGCACATCCCTTCAGCTCCTTCAGATCTCAGCTCGAACGAGGCCATCTCCGAGAGGCCTTCCCTGACCTCCCTATAGAAAATGGCAGCACCCTCCACCTGATTCTGGGACTCCCTATGCCTCTACCATGTTATAGATTTCTTCTTAGCCCTTATGACCATCCCAACTGTGCCTAAAATAGACCCCATTACATAACAAGAACAAAATAACTATTTCTTAAATGAATAAATAAATCATTTCATTTCACAATAATTTTGCAAGGTATGTATTATTATCATTATTATAAAAATAATCTCAAAACATTTAACTGCAATCATGTTGTGGAGTGTGGACTTCAACTCAAGTGTGTCTCTGGCTCCAAATCTATGCTTTCTTCACTCATGATGCTCCTTCTTTGGTCTTCTAATTGCATCTTCCTTTGGCTGACACTCAGATCCCCAAAGAAGGAGGGTTAGCTGACCAACCATGTGGGGAAGTTTGAGGGATCCCCAAAGGTAAATATGACCACCACCAAATCCTTCACCTGAATGCCTTCAATGTTCAAACACTTTTCACTTCAAATAGGCACAGGTATCTTCTTATATAAGAGCAAGTCTACAGAAACGAACTGGATTTGCAGAATTTGGTATATAGAGATAAGAAATGAGGTAGGATTTGTTATCAGTGAGAATTGTTTACTGAGGAGCTAGGTTATGTCATCTCTTCTGAGGGTTGTTCATCTAGATTGAGTTATGGTTGAAAAGAGGGAATGGACTAGAAAATTTCTGAAGGAAGTGTTCTTGATTCCTCCGAGGAGCCAGAACCTAGTCCCATTCCTGCCATGTATCCGTTGCTATGAAAATTTGAGATGGTTGCACCTTTGGCTGTGAGTTGATTTCCAACACACGTTGAAGGAAGGTGCTTGCTTGACAGGGTCCAAGTTTCCCCCAGATGTTGGGAAATTGTGTCAGTATGGAAAAACAAATGGATCTGGGTGTGAAAAACTGTTTCATTAAGAAGAATTCTCCAAATAAGCCACCTAGAGAGGAATGTGATCAGCAATTATGCTGCAGAAGGACGAGTTGTGAGTCAATTCACAAGTTTGGGGAATCAGACCAGGGGGCAAGGGGTCTTTGCAATTCAACTGTCCAAATTTTTCCTACCCTCCAGCATTGCAAGGTCAGAAACTCCACTCTGGGTGTTTGCTCTTCTAGGTTAAGTGTCACTCTCAAAGTCTCCACTTTTAAACTATTAGCCCGTGGGATGACACGAGCACCATGGGATGATGAAAAGGGTGTCAGACCAGAGCAAGAATAGCTGAGTGACCTTTAAAAAGGTATTTAGGGGTTTTGTTGTGCTTCAGTTTATTTATTTGTAAAAACATTGGAATGGTATAGGCTAGGGGCGATGTATAAAAAGTGACTGGCACACCAGACAAGTGATTGATGCACATTTGGCAGTAGCTGCTTCTGTCATTGTTACACCAAGAGATGCCAGGGTATTTGGAGTTTGAAGGATAAAAATCAAGGACTAAGTGTCATTCAGGGGAATTGAGACTCATGGAATTTTTCTCCACTGAAGTGATATATTCTGGTAAATGATTGCTGCCTGGAAAATTAGCCCAGTTGGAGGTGTGTCATGCAATTCTAAAAAGCAACCCTTACCTGGCCTGGCAAACAGGTGATGACCTATGCTATGTGAAAAATTCCTGCCAGAAGAGTTCTCTGCCCTCAAACCGCACTCCTCTATTCGTTGTTAGTGATGAATTTTTTTTCTGAGTGCCAGTTAATATGCATCCTGTTAAAAATGTGAATACACTTATGTGCTGGGCATTTGCCTGCTTGTTTTCAGATGCATCCCTTCCAACATAAAACAAGCTCAGGGGGAGAATCAGATGCTGTTGGGACAACCCAGCATAGAGTCATGGAACATTATGAACTTGGAGTCTGGAAGCCCTGGGCACATATGATGAACCCTGACTATCAGTTATTGGCTGTGTGACTTTACACAAGTTACTTAACTTCTCTGAGCCTCAGTTTCCTCATCTGTAAAACTGAGGTAATGAAATCCCCTTCCTAGGTTGTCATGAGCACTAAATGAAATAACATACAAACACACTAATACTGGCTGGTCTCCAGGAAAGGCTCATGTGAGGGGGCTGCTATTAGAATCACTTGCAACATGTGAAAGGGTCTGGCAGAGACTCATAGTAAATATTCCGTAAATCTCATTAAAAATTAATTTGATTCTATAGCTGTTTTATGTTTATTCATTGAGTTGAGACAGAAATAGGAGAAAAAGAGAGCATTAGAGAGAGTTGGTTCTGTCGATTAAGACTTCTGGCTTCAGACATAGACAAAAACATTCTGTATTTTGGTTATGGCTCTTGTTACTCCTGGACTCAAACCTCGAGTGGTTTCTGTCTTACTCAGAGATAAACCAAAGTCCTCACCTTGGTCTGCAAGTCCACGCATGATTTAGCCCAGGCCGCTTCCTTAGCATCAACTCTTGTCACATTCCCCTTGCTCAGTGCATTCCATCTATGCCGGCCTTTGTGCTATTCCTAGAACAGAACAAGGAATTGCACCTCAGGCTCTTTACAATTTTCAGTTCCGTCTGTCTGGACTACTCTTCTTCATCCCCATCTTTATGGCTAGATTCCTCACTTCACGCGGGTCTGTACTAAAACATCACCTCCACAGAGAGGCCTTCCTTGCCCACTATATGTAAAACAGCACTCTCTTTGCAGCACTCTCCCACCTCCTCTCCCTGCTCAATGTATCCTCCTAGGCTTTAGCTACAGCATATGTCTGCTTATTTTATTATCTGCCTACCCTTATTAGAAAGTAATCTCCATGGCTGGGCATGGTGGCTCACGCCTGTAATCGCAGCACTTTGGGAGGCAAGGCAGGCAGATCACCTGAGGTCAGGAGTTCAAGACCAGCCTGGTCAACATGGTGAAACCCCATTTGTACTAAAAATAGAAAATCAGCTGGGTGTGTTGGCGAATGCCTGTAATCCCAGCTACTCATGAGGCTGAGGCAGGAGAATCACTTAAATCCAGGAGGCAGAGGTTGCCGTGAGCCAAGATCGCGCCACTGCACTCCAGCCTGGGCAACAAAAGTGAAACTCTGTCTCCAAAAAAAAAAAAAAAAAAGTAAACTCCATGAAAACACGGACTTTACGAGTTCGGTCGCATATTTAGAAGAGTACCAACACTTAGGAAATGATCCCTTAATATGTGTCAAACGAATTAATGAATAAGGACAAGGGGTGAGAAGGGAAAGGGAACTGACATTGTTGAGCTCTTGCCCTTTGCTGGGTGATGTGCCAGGCTTCCTCACCACTCTGTAGGATAGTCATGTTCTCACCACTACACACGTGGGCTCAAGACTCAGAAAATAAGTAGCTGCAAGTGCAAAGTCAAAATGTCCAAAATTACAGTCATGATCTTCCCTTCAACCTGTCTTGCTTCCAGTGCAGCCTAACTCAGTGAATGGCAGTGTCCTCTTACCAGTTGCTCAGACCAGAAACCTAGGCATCTTCCCCTGTGCACTCCCCTCCCTCATTGCCTATATCTAATCCATCACGAAGTCTTATTGATTTTGCCTCCTAAATACCTCTCAAGTCCATCTGCTTCTCTTCATGTTTACAGTTAACACTCTAAGTCAAGGAATCATTATTTTTCACTTAGATCTTGCAACAGCCTTTTAATTGACTCCCTTTTGCCATGATTGCCCCTCTAATAATTCATTCTTTTCAAAGAAACCTGAGCAATCATTACAAAATGTAGAACTGATTATGCCCTGCCCTCCTCTCTTGCTTAGATATTTCAATGATTTCCCATGTTCTTACCATAACACCAATGTCCTAGATTTGGTCCATCAGGCTGGGAGCCATCTTCCTTTGCCTCCTTTCTACCAATTTCCACTCTGCTCACTAGGTACTGGCCATGCTGATCCTGTGACATGTTTTAATTTAATTTAATTTTGTTTTTTAATTTTTATTTTTAGTAGAGACAAGGTCTTACTATGTTGCCTAGGCTGGTATCGAACTCCTGGCCTCAAGCGATCCTCCCATCTCAGCCTCCCAAAGAGCTGGGATTACCACTGTGAGCCATCTCGCCTGGCCCTTGTGCCATGTTTTTAAATATTCCAGGTACCTCCTCAGTTCACCCAGCACATTCTCATCACCCTCATTCCTTGTCCAGCTTTGGTGAGTTAATTCCTCATCCTTTAGGTTTCAGATCAATCATATTTTGAAAGTGTTTCCTGATCCCACAGCCTAGACTGATATGAACCATCATGGAACAACTGGCTTCTCCTTCAGGAAGTTTTTCACAATTGTAACCAAGGAATTGTAAAATTATGCCTGTCTTTCCTTCTACACTATAAGCTCCTTGAAATGGTGTCCTCTACATCTATCTTAAGGCTGTTTTTCCAGCACTTAGTGTAGTATTGCACAAAGAAAGCCCTTGGTAAGTAGTGTTGAGTTAATGAATGTAGCCCCATTTTGAATGATGAACCCAATAAGCCTAGACCCTGGCTTTGAACCTAAGGCTGCATGACTCCTAACTACACCAGGGTTCTTTGCAAAGGTACCGAGGTGAAAGGGCTGCCAAGGGACTATAGCGCAGTGGAGGAGGGAATTCCCAGCAGTCTGCAAAGTCCTGCCTGAAAGCAGGACCCAGGATGCACCTACGTGTGGGTCCAGTCCCAGACCAGGTGAACACAAGTGCTGTGTTCTCCCCCCATCACCTGGCTCCTTGGCTGGTTTAGATTTTCATTACTGGAGTTCACTTTTGTTTTTTTCCTTCTGTCTACTTTTGCAGCCTTGACAGAATATCACCTTTTAGGAGGTGCACTGCCTCATTTTGAGCTGTTAAGATAAGGGATGTGAAAGCTTAATTGATGGAGAGTGACGAGATAGGTACACCTGAAAATGAGGTGTGTGAGAGGAAATTCAATTTGTGGCGATGGTGACAGCTGAAACAGGGCTAGGCTGTTCAAGGACAGCTAGAATTAATTAATTAATTAGTTCATTCATTCATACATTCATTCATTCATACTGTGTCACTAGACACTGATATAACATGAAGTGTACAAGGAAAAAAAAGAAACATGTCACTATCTTCATGGATCTTATGTGTTAGTGTGAGAGAGACAATAAACAAATAATAATTAAATACATAGCAACATTAGGTGATGGTAAACACTTCGAAGAAAAATAGATGAGAGGGATTGAAGTGGAGCTGGATTTTTTTAGATGAGTCATCAGAGAAGGCCTCTTGAGGAGGTGACATTTAAGTAAAGATTTAATGAAGCAGGCCATATGAATACAGAAAGACTTCAAGCAGAAGAAATAAGTGGCATAGAAAGGAGTTTGGTTCATGCTTTAGTTAGAGGAGGCTAAATGCTTTAATAAATACCACCCACCCCACCACCAAAACTCAGCAGCTTGACACAAAAGAAGTTTGTCCCTTGCTCACAGCAGGGACTAGTGTGGCTTAGTGTGGCAGGGACTAATGTGGCTTAGTGGGCGTGGGGCCATGTATTCCTCCAAACATCTAGGTGTCTCTACAGCCGTTTAGGATCTTGAGTCCTCTGCCAGATCTTCTGCATCTCATTGGCTGATGAGGGTGTTATAAATAAAGTTTCAGTGCCGCAAAACAAATAGCACTCGAATATAAAATTTTCTTTGTAATTCTCAGCAACGCAATGTACTTGTATAGAAGGGTGCACCCTTACAGATGCAACAATGGTGAGCACACACTTGGACAAGGGAGAGGAAGGGGATCTTATCCCTGATGCATGTGGCCCCTGTTGCTGTGTCGTTCCCCTGTTGGCTAGGGTTAGACTGCGCAGGCTAAACTAATTCCGATTGGCTAATTTAAAGAGAGTGACGGCGTGAGTGGTTTGGCCGGAAAAGTGGTTATGGCAGAGCAGGAAATCGGAATGAGTCAGGGTGGAGAATGAGCAGGTAATCGGAATGAGTCAGGGTGGAGCAGATGATTGTAATGAGTCAGGGTGGAGTAGGTAATCGGAATGAGTCAGGGTGAAGCAGGTAATGGAAAAATGTTGCTTTACAAGGAAGTTAAGTTTAAAAGTAGAAGGCAGGCAAAGAATTGAACATACCGACATACTGACATACTGATTCTTTGAAGAGAAATTTAAAACTCCTATCTAACAAGGGAAATGGATCATGTGGCAGTTTCTACCAGTTAGGTCTGCAAATGTTATGTGTCACTTATGTTCTTATTCCACTGGCCAGAACTTAATCACATGCTACCCCTAATGGCAAGGAAGACTGGAATATGCAACTTGGCTGTGTGTCCAGTAGAAAGAGGATCGAGGCTTGGTAAACAGCTACTCAATCTCCTCAGGAGATATGAAAAATATGCAAAAGGCCAGAATGAGTGTTGCTGAGTGAATAAAAGATGAATTCAAGAGGTGGGCAAGTGCTAGGGCAGGTAAGGTCTTGAGGTCATGCTAGGGACTTTGTATTGTTTTCCTAAGTAAATTGGGATGCTACTGGAGGATTTTAAATAAAGTGATAGGCTTAGATTTAAATATTTTAAAAACACCTTAAAATCTCTTTGGAGACTATCTAGAGGGGGTAAGAAAGGCTATGGCAATCTTTCATGGGAGAAATGATACCATCGAGCAGATCATGGCTGTGGTGAAGTGCTGAGAAGTTTGATTTGGAAAATATTTTTGAGGGAAAAACCAACATAAGTTCTGTCAAATTGGATGTGGAGAATGAAAGAAAGAGAGGGAGAGGAATCAATGAAGTGTGCTGTTTGTTGTAGGCCCTAGGTAAATGGTTGTGTCATTTACTGAGATGGGGAAGAATAGAGAGGGTATGGAGACAGACATGAAGGAGTCTTTTCTAGACGTTTAGTTTATAAAGCCTACGAAGTAGCCAGCTGACGATATCAAGTGGGCAATTGGAGATGGGGAGCTCATAGTGGGAGAAAAGGGAGACTGGGGCTGGAGCAATACAGTGTGTAGTTATCAGTGTGTTGGTATATGAAACCAATAAAAACAGACCACTGTCAGTAGAGAAGAGAAGAATTTTGAGGGCCAAGCCCAGGAGTATTCCAACATTTAAAGCTCAAATCATAGGCTCATGGACTCAGAAATAAAAAGGCTCTAAGAGGTTATGAGGTCCAACCCCTTGTTTTTTCAGCAAAGAAATGAAAGCCCAAATGGTTAAACTGCTCATACAAGGTCAATTTGTGCTGCAGAATCAGGCAATAATCCAGACCCTTGGGTTACATGCCTGTTTCTTCTTAATCTATCTTATAATCAAAATAGTAATTCCTGGGATGAAGGATAAGAGAGTGAGGGGATCAATGGGATAAGAGGAAAAGAGAGGAAAACAAACTGCTGGACCATCTGTTTGCCTTCATCCTTGCAATAGGTGCAGAACACATACTATGTGAAGCACACAGTTTTAGGTGACTTTTGTATTATTTCAACTATAAGGGGGAAGGGAGAGAACTAAACATCAGCCAATACTGCAGGAACATTGCAGGAAACACATTTCAGATTCAACTGAGGGAGAACGTGATGAGTTCCTAAAAGACAAAGAAAACTCTCTCCATTGTCTTCATATTATAAAGCAGAAATTACTCTGTGTCTTCCCTTGTCTGAGGGCTCCATATTTAGGGTATGGTTGGCGATGAGGGGAGGTGAGGGCATGGCAAGAACGTAAAGGAAGCCATGAGGGAGGTGAAAACAGGGAATATGGCATTAAGGGCAGTTCCCACCTAATCAAATTGGGAGGAGGGTAAATTTGGAGACTAAAAAATAACTACAGATGCCGGCACGGTGGCTCATGCCTGTAATCCCAGCACTTTGGGAGGCCGAGGTGGGCAGATCATGAGGTCAAGAGATTGAGACCATTCTGGCCAACATGGTGAAACCTCGTCTCTACTAAAAATACAAAAATTAGTTGGGCGTGGTGGTGGGTGCCTGTAGTCCCAGCTACTTGGGAGGCTGAGGCAGGAGAGTCACTTGAACCTGGGTGGCAGAGGTTATGGTGAGCTGAGGTCGCACCACTGCACTCCAGCCTGGTGATAGAGTGAGACTCCTTCTAAATAAATAAATAAATAGCTACAAATAGTGATAAGATTAACAGTATACCAAGAAAATACTCAGGATGAGAAATAAAGTGCATGTAGTGGAGAGAAAAATGAACCTCACCAGGGAGGAGAGGGAGAATATTCCTATCTGCTGCCTCTGATTATCGTCGTGGGTGAACCAGGCAATTGCAAATAATTTAACTCCATCATTCCTTCTGGATTTGTGAATTGGAAATCTACTGCAGGGAGGAGTTTGCTCTTCGCCTTCATTTTTTTATTCATTTACATCAGCGTGTACTCACGGGTTCTTAGTTTACTCCAGGGGTTACAATATGTTACAGTCATTATTTAACACTCCAATTGGCCTGGACTTTGCCAAGGGGAGCCTCTTTAAGCTGGTTCCTGTGCCCCTTTGATATCCCCATCATTACTCTCTGGCACAAAATGTTTTCATTTCATTATGAATTTTTCATTCCAGGCCCTAGCCCTGGAGAGACCCATTTCTCCAAGAAGACTTGGTTTCTTTTAATGGAGAAAGATATTAAGAAACAAGATGTGATCTCCAGTGTTGTTGCTTCCAGAGTCTCTCATAGGGCAGTGCTAGGAAATCTATGTAGGTATGCACATATATACACCTGTATCTGTATCTATCTATCTATCATCTATCTATCTATCTATCTATCTATCTATCTATCTATCTATCTATCTATCATCTATCTATCTATCTATCTATCTATCTATCTATCTATCATCTATCTATCTATCATCTATCTATCCATCTATCTATCATCTATCATCTATCTATCTATCTATCTATCTATCTATCTATCTATCTATCTATCTATCTATCTGAAGTCAGTTTATCTATTATAAGCCAATTTGGTCCAGCACTATAAGACTTATTAGCATTCTATTTTTCTTAATTGTAATTCCCTTATCTGACAATGAAAAACCAGAGTCTCTTTATTCTCAAAATATTTATTCATTTGCTGAATCTGCTGGCTGCACCAGCTGAAAATAAGGTCCTGGATATGCTGGTGCCTCCCATCACAATTCCAGCCTCACCGAGTATAGGTATGCTGAGTATACGTTGAACCTGATGAAGGGCAAGGGGAAGGAGGAAGCCGCCTATTATTTGAGAAACTGTCATTGAAGGGGTTTCTCTCATGTGCTTCCAGCTATATCCTCCCTGCTTGTTTTTTTCTGTTTTCTCCTCTATTGTCCACTTCTGTGGCTTGCAAGGCCGTTTGTTGAGACTTTACTGTTACAATTGCCACAGGGTGAGCACAGTTTTGCTCTCAGAGCCAGTGTTGCTCAGCAAACCTGCAGCCCCAGGACACAGTGCCCCATGCTCTCTGCTCTGCCCTCTTTCCACCTCTCACCCCAAGGCCACTCAGCCTAAGCTCAGAAGGACAGGGATCCATCAGCTTCTGGCTCTCACCTTGCCCTGATGTCTCTCCCTTACTTTCCTTAAACAACAAGGAAACACACCAACAAAACCAGTTTTATTTGTTTCTGGGTCTTGTCTTATAATTGTAACTGTAATAGGTTCATTGTTTGATGCACACAGCAAGTCAATATGTGGAGACACCGAGTTGCAGTAAAGAGATTTAATCATAGGGCCACTGCATGAGGAGAGGGGAGGAAACCTCAAGTCCATCTCTCTGAGGAATTTTGGGTTAGGGATTTAAGGGCTTTGGAGAGGGCCCAGTGTGCAGGTCCTTTATTAGTCAAGAGTGCAAGGTGAAGTCACGGGGTAGGGAGATGAAGCAGCTGCATTCTCATGCTGATCTGTTCCTCTGTGGGCGTCTTCAAACTGGTTGCTGGAACTCAGGGCCTGAAAAAACATCTTAAACCATCCTTAAAAAAAAAGTCTTCTGGTTCTAACGTCAGAGATCCTGTCTAAAGGAACAGTGAGGATGCAAATCAATTCCTAAACAGTCTTATGACCCTAGTGTCAGAAATCCTACCTATAGGAACACTGGGGATGCAAATGGTCTTTTTTTTTTTTAACTACTCCCACCCCCCGCCCCCCGCACGCCACTACACCTGGCTAATTTTTTGTATTTTTGATAGAGACAGGGTTTCACCACGTTGCTCAGGTTGGTCTCGAACTCCTGAGCTTAAGAGATCTGCCCACCTCGGCCTCTCAAAGTACTAGGATTACAGGTGTGGGCTGCTGTGCCCAGTCACTACCTGACTTTTAGCAACAAGGAGGTGGGCCAGAGTGCAGCCTGATTAGTGCCTCATTATAGCTATATTTCTGTCCAGAGCCTGGCATGCAATTCTCGTTAACCCTGTGGGGACAGTTTCACAATTCTAGTCATAGAGACTCAAACTTAGTCTGTTGACTGAGTGGGGAGCAATGCCTTTCTGCTCTTAGTCTCTTAGCTCCCCACTCAGGGCTTCCTCATCCTCTCCCACTCCTCTCTGAATAGCATCCCCCCCCCCCATTCCCTCTCCTCTCAATAACAAAGCTCATGACAAGCAAACTAATGAATGTAAACAGATCCTGGAGGAAAGAAGGTGGAGTGAAGTCTTATCTTGAACTCAGCCAACCCCAAGTCCCTATCTCCCTGATCTGATGTTCTTTTGCTGCTTTTAGCAACACCTGAAGAATAGGCTGGGTAATATTCCATAGCCTGCAATGCCCCGTGGTACTCTGGAGAAAAGCACTCTACTCCAGGGCTGGGCCAGATACCAAGTGATTCATGCAGAGCCAGGCTGAAAGGAACAACAAAGCTGTGGACTGAGGGGACCCCTTGGATCATACCATGAGGTGTTCAGCTTCCATATCTCTTTAATTTATAGCACAGTTCTGAGTAATTCCTGTGTTTCAGACACAGTGCCAAATAGCAAAATTGTAGGATTGAATAGCAATGATCTTAATATTAGCAATAATAATAGTCTATTTCCTCAATTTACTACATTTACTAACTAGTTTAAGAGACAGACAAATGAACAAATGATTGCAATGTATTGTATTTTGGGGGATGCCAGAGTTATGATGGAAACACACAACAAAGGGAACCTGGCAAAGATGGTGAGGAAATGCTTTCAAGAGAAGGTCATGGGCATTGGAAGGGGGAGTAGAAGTTAGCCAGGCTGAGTATATAACAGAAACAAAGGCATTCAGGGGACAAAAACTCAACACTTGGAGGGGAGGCTTGTGTCAACTAGCAAAATGTCAAGAAACCAGCAGAATCGTGCACTGAGGGTCGGCCTGTACAGTACAAATTGGTACAGTCTTTCTCGAGGACAATTTTTGTGTCAATAGTCTTGGTCTTTGACCCTTTAATTCCACCTTTATAAATTTATGCTGAGGCAATAGTCAGAGTGGTAGAAAAAAACTTATGCACAAAAACTGTTTATCTCAATATTATTTATAATAGCAACACATTAGAAATAACTTCTTTGCCTAAGAAAATTAGGGTGGCATAATCATGGAGTGGAACACTACTCCACAGTGGCTGTGAAGACTTTAAATGTAGTGTTTTAGCTCATGATTACATTTGATGGGAAGTGTTCATATTTTGTTATTGTAGTACACAGTTGGTCGTTTTCCCAGCATTCAAGTCTCTGCTCCTTCTGCCAAAGTGGCATCATCTTCCATTTCAGAAATTCAATCCTTCTCATGGTGAAGCAGTCATGGAATCTGGGAATAACAGACCCCGCTTCTCCCATCCCTCAGCTGCCAACCCGAGGGTGAGCTCTGATGGGTTTAAGCCCACTAGCTCACCCACTTCCTCACTGGGAAGAAGCACCTCTCCTAAGTGGGGCCATGAGAATGAAACTAAGGGCTTCTGTTTCATGATTTAGGGAGGTCTTCTCTTGATTCCCTTCTGGATGAAGTGGCATATAGATATTAAGTTTAAAACTGATGTTAAATTAAGTTTAGCCTAAAGCTGGCTCCTAAAGCTTTTAAGGTTGGCTTAAAGGTTTCTCTGTGCATAGTGAATTGTGACCTAAATGGATGCTTAAACCAACTGCAACCTACTCTTGTGTCAGTCTCCAAGTTTTGGCCAATCAAAGGAGGCCAACTATTCAAACTGTGTTCTAATTAGGCAAACACCAACTATAACCCAGTCCGGCTGATTCTATACCTCACTTCCATTTTCTGTACGTCACTTTCCTTTTTCTGTCCATAACTCTTCTTTGACCATGAGGTTGCGCTGGAGCCTCTCTGAATCTATTCTGATCTGGGGCAACCTGATTCTTGAATCATTCTTTGCTCAATTAAACTCTGTTAAATTTAATTTGTCTAAGGCTTTTCTTTTAACACTGATGAGACTATTTTTTGCTTCTACAAATAATGAAGTGAGCCTGAGAATGAAGCCAACTGATGGGAAGGGCAAAGGTGACAGAATTGCAGAAAAATTTAGCTGGATTCTTAAAACAGCCCTATTTCAGGGATTTTGTATTACATGAATTAAGAGATTTATTTGATGGTTTAAGCCAGTCTGATTTGGAATTTGGGTTACTTACATATGAGAACATCTTAGCTGATACAGTTAAGTGAAAATAGAAGTAAATTGCAGTAAATGAAACTGCAAGTACACATAGATAATTTCCTACTTTTGTACACAATTTATTCCTCCAAATGTTTTTAGAAGTCAAATAATAGAGGAGGTGACAATTGGGCCGAAGTGGGAAGGTTTACTGTAAGTTGATGAAGGGACATGCAGAGGACAGTGTGAGGACAGAGGCAGGAAGGAATTTGATGATTACCAGGGACTCAAAGACAACCAAGGTGGCCGAAGGGACTGAAGGTGGAGAGGTGGGGCCAAGTGAGACTGGGAAAGTTGGGGATCAGACCAGGCACACATTTTTAAGTTAATTAAAGAGAGATGTCTTCATTCAAAGAACAATGGCAAGTAAATAAAGGTTTTAAATAAGGGGTTGGGGAACCCAAAGCTGGGACAGTATGAAGAGAGGATCAGATTTACATTTTGAAAGAGAAAGATCATTACAGCTGCAGAGTGGAGAATGAATTCAAGGGGAGGGCCAAGGCGGAATGAGAAAGATATGTAGGCTTACATCCCTGCACACAGGGTGGGTAATGGCCGGAGCACACATGTTTAGTGGAGAGGGAGAGGTGTGGGTGATTGGAAAGCAAAAATCAATGAGACTGCCTGATGGATATAGGAGGTGAGGGAGACTCCTCTGTCTGGGGTCTATAAGATTTAGAACTTATTATCAACAAATAGAAAAGATATGAAGTTTCATATGGTAAGATACTTTGACAAAATTCACATGGAGATCATAGACCACAGTGACACTGCAGTGGGCAGGGGGTGTGGGACGTGGTATAGGCCACAATGACCAGAGGAGATTCAGGGAGGAGCAGGGCCTTGAAGGAGTGGTGGAATTTGGACAGGTGATGAAATTACGTGATTAAAATATTGAAGTGGATTTTTTGCTATCTTAAAGTAAGCAGAAACTATCTGTTATCTGAGAGTGACTGGAAAAACCCAAGATTTCCTCCAGGCGAGAGAAAAGAAAACATGATTCATAGATCAGGCAGGAGGGCAGTGATAGCAAGAATCAAGTTGGTTTCTGCTTGCATCCTATTGAGTCCAGTTCATTGAAAAATGGATTGCAGCCAGGCACGGTGGCTCACACCTGTAATATCAACACGTTGGGAGGCTGAGGCACGTGGATCACTTGAGCCCAGGAGTTTGAGACCAGCCTGGGCAGCATGGCAAAACCCCACCTCTACAAAAAATACAAAAATTAAATATTAGCTGGGCATGGTGATGTGTGCTTGTAGTCCCAGCGACTTGGGAGGCTGAGTGGGGAGGATCACCTGAGCCTGGGAGTTTAAGGCTGCAGTGAGCCAAGATTGTGCTACTGTACTCCAGCCTGAGCAACAGAGTAAGACCCTATACCTGCCCCTCTCCCCCCGCAAAAAATGGATTGTATGCCCATCTTTTGGCAGAGCTAGTTATTTCTGGGAATCTGTACCCTAGGATTAGCAGCAAGTCTGTTGGAATTTCATCTAGAGCAAGGGTTGGCAAACGAAGGCCCAAGGGCCAAATCTGGCCCAAAGCCCACTTTTGTGAATGAGTTTTACTGGACCAGAGCTCCGTCCATTCTTGAGAATCACCTAGAGCTGCTTTAGCTACAGTGGTAGGCTTGAGTTGTGACAGAGACTCTTTGGCTCACAAAGCAAAAAATATTTACTGTCTTGTCCTTTGAGAGGGAAATTTGCTGATCCTTGACCTAGAGATACTGAGGTACTAGAAGTTTGCCTCCTAGTGCAACACAATTTTAGAGAGAGATATACTAATTTAAATTAAAAAAAACTCAAAAAATTTTTATCGAACAGTATTTGAGGAGTCAAATAACAGGTATAGGTAGAAAGGAAAAAAAAAACTAATGAATATTTTACCCATATTTCTCCTATGGCAGTTAGCTACTATTCATTCAATCTCTCATTCACCCAATAATTATTTACTGAGTGCATACCATGTGCCAGGCACGCGGCTATATGTAGGTGATTAGCTAGGAACACAAAACAAGGCTCCTTTCCCCTTGGGGCTTTATTCTTCAGAGGGGAAGAGAAACAAGAAAAATGAAAGTAAAAATATGCAGAATGTAGATGGTGCTACAAACTGTGGGGAAAAATAGGTCAGGAAAGGAGGATAGATAATGGGGATGAGGATGGTATATTAGGCCATTCTTGCATTGCTATAAAGAAATACCTGAGACTGGGTAATTTACAAAGAAGAGATTGAATTGGCTCATGGTTCTACAGGTTGTATAGGAAGCATGGCTTCTGAGGTGGCCTCTTGAAGCTTTTACTCATGGTGGAGGGTGAAGCAGGAGCTTGCCTGTTACACGGTAAAAGCAAGAGCAAGAGAGTCATGGAGTGGGGGTGAGGGAATGTGCCACACTCTTTTAAATAGCCAGATCTCACAAGAACCCACTATTGCAAAGACAGCACCAAGCCATGAGGAATCCGCCCCCTTGACCCAAACACCTCCCACCAGGCCCCACCTCCGGCACTGGGGATTACAATTCAACATGAGATCTGGGCAAGGACAAATATCCAAACTATATCAGATGGCTAGGGGCAGCCTCACTTGATGAGAGAGCATTAGAGCAGAGATTCAAGGAGGTGAAGGAGAGAACCATGTGACTCTGGGGGTAGAAGCCTTCCACAGAGAGGACGGGAGGGCAAGTGTCCCAAGGCAGGGACATGCCTGCTGGGTTTGCAGAAGAGGAGGAGGTGAGTGGAGCTGTGGTAGAGCTGAAGGAAATGAGATTAGCGAAGTAGAAGGGTCAGATGGTGAGGGTGACTGTAGGCACTTCGGCTTTTCCTCTGAATGAGAAAGTAGTCTTGTGACATTGTGGACAGTGGAGGAGCATGATCTGCCTTACATTCTGAAGGATCACTGCGTGCTGCTTGAGAATGGACTGTAAGAGGCCTGGATAGAGAATGAGAGCTGGTTAGGAGGCAATCATCCAGGCCAGAGGGGATGTGGTTTGGAATACAGGCATACAGTGCAAATGGCAGGTCCAAATAGGGCTCATATTTGGATTGGATATGAGGTGTGAGAAAAAGAGCAGTAAAGTATGACTCAAAGTTTTGGGGGCTGAGCAAATGGAAAGATAACAGAGGCCAGTATATGAGCAGACTTTGGGTGGAGGATTAGAGTTTGAACTTGGACCTGTTCAGGTTGAAATGCTTACTGTGAATCTACACGGAGATGATGAATAGACAGTGGGATGTATGGGTCTGGAGTTCAGGTGAGAGATCCTCTTTGTTTTAGCCCTGGACATAGCTGTTCAAGAAATTTGGGGAAACTAGAAGCCTTAGAAGGTTAAGATACTGTTGAACATAATGCACTCAAAGGCCTACAGACTTAAGGACTATTTAAAACTTCTTTAAGCACCTAGAGGCACAAGCTTTCTTTCTTTTAATGAAACTGAATTTCAAAAATAGCTTAAAACTAGTTTTACCAAATTAATAAAAATGACTCAACAAATATGACACCAATAGTCTATTGCCTGATTTTCTGGGGAAGACCTTCTAGCTGACAATTTAATGCAAAAACAAAAACAAACCAAAACAAAAACAAATTATAGCATATAAAAGTATAGAGGGTCTTATAAAATGTAAAGCATATTATAAACTTTTCTACAAAAAATTAGAATAATACCTTGTGGAGAACCTGAGTGTGGCAGTTTTTATTGAAATGGGGGAAGAGTGAGATGGTTAGCAAAGACACCGTTCTGGTGAGTAATGTTTAGAAAACCATTTCCCAGTTGACATCGGAGAGGCACATTTCTCTCATACCTACAAATCTGGATTTTCTGTTCATTTTTTTTTTAAATTGAATCCCAATAATGGCGCCTCACACTCTGAATAACACGCCTTAAGGGACACTATTTTCTTCCTCTCTGGTTTTCTCCATTTGCTGCTACCTCCCTCAAACCCATCCAAGCTCTGCCTTCTTTGCCTTGTTTTGTCCCATGAGATTCTATTTATTTATTTATATTTTGAGATTGAGTCTTGCTTTGTCACCCAGGCTGGAGTACAGTGGCATGATCTTGGCTCACTGTAACCTCCACCTCCCGGCTTCAAGCAATTCTCCTGTCTCAGCCTCCCGAGTAGCTGGGTTTACAGGTATATGCCAACACACCCAGCTAATTTTTTATTTTTAGTAGAGATGGGGTTTTGCCATGTTGGCCAGGCTGGTCTCGAACTCCTGAGCTTATGTGATCCACCCACCTCAGCCTCCCAAAATGCTGGGATTACAGGTGTAAGCCACCATGCCCAGCCTTGTCCCATGAGATTCTGACCTCTACATATTACACCTTATGGTCTCCTTTGCTTATTGGCTCATGGTTGGATTGATTAGTAGAAGACACCAGCAGATTAGAAGGCAGGAGGAGAGAAAAGTGGAGGTATTTCTTCCTGTCTTTTCTCCTTGCTCCTAGCTAAGGTTCTGGTAGTGCAGGATGTGTTTTGAAATCCTTGATGGCTGCAGCTCTTGTCTGTCATCCCCTTTCCCATAGTTCCATCTCACTGAGCTTTTGTAACACTGTTTCCTTCCTTTCTCCTTCAAGCCTGGGGTAGTGGGGACTTCCTATGGATGACTTCCCTGGATGTCTCAACAACTCTTTGTAGTTACCCTACTCTTGCAATTCCTCTGTAAATAGTCCCTTTATTAAATTTCTTTCAAAATACCTCTTCAGGGTATCATCTGTTCCTGCTGGAATACTGACCAATACATCAGCTATGCTTTTAAAGAACCATTTGACAGGTGAACTCTTATTAATTCTACAATTATGGTCCTTAATGGATGCATCCAGAACATTGTGTCTTTACTGAACTAAAGTAAACATAAGTTATTGAGTACACCAGGGGTCACTTTAGCTAGTATTAGGCAGAAACAATGAACAAAAACAGTGAAGGGCCTGGCAGCGATGGCTCATGCCTGTAATCCCAACATTTTGGGAGGTTGACGTGGGTGGATCACTTGAGGTCAGGAGTTTGAGACCAGCCTGGCCAACATGGTGAAATCCTGTCTCAACTAAAAATAAAAAATTAGCCAGGTGTGTTGGCACATGCTTGTAATCCTAGCTACTCGAGAGGTTGAGGCAGGAGAATAATTCGAACCTGGGAGGCAGAGGTTGCAGTGAGCTGAGATCTCACCACTGCATTCCAGCCTGGGCAACAGAGTAAGACTCTGTCTCTAAATAAATAAATACAAACAAAAACAATGAAGAAGAAATCCACAATCTGAGGAAGCTGGAAGCCCAGTCCCTTGTTTGTACAACTTATGTACCCATTATTTATCATTGCATCAACACTGGACCCTTACCCTGGCCAGATATCTGTTAACTAAAGTTGTATCTCAAGTCAACATCTTGTATGTAGCACGTGGTCTTCAGACACAGCTATTCTGCCATGTTATATTCATTACCATCTTATAAGAAAGTCAAGTAAAAATAATATTCAGTTATAATTATTTTTGGTTTCATTGACATGTCCTTGAACTAAGGTGCTAACACTCAGCATGGAACCCCCTATGCTGATACTCAAACAGAATCGGTATGAGAGTCAGTTTGAGAAGATTTGGGGATAAAACAGTTAAGAATTTCCAACTGGGTAATACCAAGACGTGTTTTGAAACGTTCCCCTTGACTGTTTCTTACATAATTATATTATTTGTGAGTGAGTTAATTGCCTGATCTCCCTCCATCCCTCACTACTGTGAACAGAAAGATAATCATTTTTTATATGCGGTTGATAGGGTTTCATTATATTGAGTTAGAAAAGACCTGAACAAAAAACGCCTCCCTGATTTTTGCCAAAAAGAAAGGCTGCCGTTTATTTCTTAACTACAGTTGTTATTTTTGGTAAATGTCCTCAATAAATAATCATGCTTTATTGCCAAATAACTTTATTTACTTCCTTTGGCATACATTTTGGAAATAGTTTGTTTTGTAGAATACATCAGAAAATAGCCTTGCTGAAAGCTGGGCAATTGATGGGTGCTTTGTAAAGAGTTTGTTTGGGGAAGGGTGGCTATCTAGTTTCTTCTGCCTTAGAATGATTTTCAAGTCCAAACTATTCCAACTATGCTTTGTGCAATGAAATGTTGAGGACCCCAGTGCACACTATTCTATGTGTTGGTGTGAATTAAAAATAACCTCTGTTAAATGTTACTCACCTGCCTTTGATAGACTTGTCTCAACAGAATTTTCTTTCACATCATCAATTTATATGACTGTGCAAAATTCTGTTGCATAGAAGTGCCTCAATATTTTTAACAATTCTATCTGAAAACTTCGGTTGTTTCTAATATATTTGTGTTAATACTGATGCTCCAGAGAATATCCTCATCATTTAATCTTTACGCTTATCTATGACTGGCTTCTTAGCAGTACAGCAGCTGGGTCAAAGAATAAGCAAAGCCTGTATGACTTTTGAAAATATTGCCAAATTCTCTTTGAGAAAGCGGACTATGAGAAAGTTTGCTTTCTTCCATACCTTTCAATTTGGTCAATATTTTTAAAATTTTCAGTTTGTTAGGTGAAAAACAAACCTTCATTTGCATTAATTTGACAATAGTGAGGGCAAAAGCTTTTCACATATTTACTAACCATTTATCTTCCTCACCCTTCCTTCCACCCTCCCTCTTGAGCTCTCTCCCTTCTTACTCCCTCCATCCTATAATTTCTCCCTCCTCCCCTTCCTCCCCCCCCATCCATTCCTTCTTTCCTTTCTTCTTCCTTTGAATGACAGGCTCATGCTTGTGGTTCAACTGTAACTTGCTTCCCCAATATCCATCCCACCCTTCTTTTTTAGTGAAAATACTTCAATTTTATTCAGGGCTGTCATCTGTTAAATTAAATGACAACAACTGAATTTCTCAGCCTACCTTGCAGCTAGGGTTGGCCATATGGCACAGTTCTAGCTAATGAGAACTGGAAGTTGCCAAGAGGAACTTTGGGGAAAGCCCTTTAAAATGAGGGTGGATATGCCAGCTTGTTTCATTTTGCTTTTGCCCTGTGTCTCTTCCTTCTGCCTGATATAAGACTGCATTTTTGCTGCAGGTTGTCACCATCAAGTGAGAAGGGGATAAAAGCCACCTGCTAAGGCTGGTACAGCAGGAAAAGCCTGGCCCCTGTCGGCAAGGCTACGTCATGATGCTTCCGTAACAACTCCAGACAGCTTACCCCCAGACTTATATTACCTGCAAAAAATAAATACTTCTTTAGGTTAAATCATCCTAAGTTGGGTTTTCTATTGGGTGCAGCTAATACAATGTTCTCTGTCTATATTATTGTGGAGAATATATTTGATTATTGACTAGAAGGGGTATTATAGACTTAAAGGATATTAACACTTTATTTAATGAGTGTTGCCACTTTCCAGTTTTTCTTTTCTTTTTACCCTTTTTTGTGGCCTGTTCTGACATTTTCAAAATTTAGTTGTCAAATTTATTGGGCTTTTGTTTAATGGCTCCTGCTTTAGTGATGTATTTGGAAAGACCCTTTTTTTTTTTTTTTTTTTTTTTTGAGACGGAGTCTTGCTCTGTCACCCAGTCTGGAGTGCAGTGGCATTATCTCAACTCACTGCAACCTCCGCCTCCGGGCTCAAGCGATTCTCCTGCCTTAGCTTCGCGAGTAGCTGGGACTACAGGTGCGCACCAACGCGCCGGGCTAATTTTGTATTTTTAGTAGAGACGGGGTTTCACCATATTGGCGAGGCTGGTCTCGAACTCCTGACCTCATGATCTGCCTGCCTCGGCCTCTCAAAGTGCCGGGATTACAGGCATGAACTACCAGGCCAGGCCAGAAAGCCCTTTTATAAATTTATATGATTATTCATTTTTACTTTTACATGATTATTTTAAAAAATTTATTTATCAAATGTGTCAGTCTTTTGTTTTATGGTTCCCACTTTAATGTTGAATTTGGAAAGATCTTTAATAAATTTACATGATTAGTCATTTATACTTAGTCATTTATGTGATTATTCACTTACATTTTCCTTAAAAATTTGGTTTTATTTATTTATTTATTTATTTATTTATTTATTTATTTATTCTGAGACAGTCTCGCTCTGTCGCCCAGGCTGGAGTGCAGTGGCGCGATCTGGGCTCACTACAAGCTCCGCCTCCCGGGTTCACACCATTCTCCTGCCTCAGCCTCCCGAGTAGCTACCTTTTTGTATTTTTTTTAGTAGAGACGGGGTTTCACTGCATTGGCCAGGATGGTCTCGATCTCCTGACCTCATGATCCGCCCGCCTCGGCCTCCCAAAGTGCTAGGATTACAAGCGTAAGCCACCGCGCCTGGCCTGGTTTTATTTTTTATATATACTAAACTGGAATGGCATATGCACTGACTCCCCTTCCCATACCCATGCAGACTCTGCTAATCGATTATGCCACTCATTCTTAGTGAGCGTCCATGTAGGCTGCAAATCTATTTTTACAAACCACTTTAAATGCTTTCTTGGACAGATGGAGTGTAAGTAAATAAGCAGTTGTAGACCGATCTACTGTTATCTTTAATAATATTAGTAAAGCACCACTGAGGGCAAACCACCTACTAATATTTCACAGGCTGGAAAAGAAGTTGAGAGGAAACCTTTTATTTTTTTTTTAATTGTGTAGCTTCCAGTCTAAAGAGAAGTCAGTACAATTTAAATGACGATATCCTTCAAATGACAAAATTACTGATCCACCTAAGGAATCAGCAACAATTATTTAGACAGACACATATGCTTTTTTTTTTTTTTTGACTTCTTAGTTTTACAGTATAGGGTGGTGTTGGGTACTCTAAATGTTTATGGAGGATTGGCACTTGCAGTGTTCATAATAGTGTCAATTTAATTGCAAAGGCTTAAGGAAGAGATGACTTTTTCTTTGCAAAACAGCTCAGAAGTATGAAGTAGTTATTCATGAGTTAAAAGCAATACAAGTCTTCAGGTAACAAAATGTTTTTCAGAAGGATGTGAGGAGCTAAAAGTAAAGGGAATATCAAGAGTAGACCCAGGAAATAAATTATGAAGAGCATGGTATTTGGGAGTGATGCAGATTTTTTCCTTGACTTTCAGTTTGGCCCATTCCCTTCATTCTCCCTCTTGTAACCTGCCAGCCTCCTATTTAACACACCATATGCTGATGCCTATTATGACTTTTCCTCTCGCTTTTTGCTTAAAATGGCTATCAGAGGGGCACTGCAGGTATAGCTGCACATACAATTTAAAGGAAATATTTTTTAAAAATAGGTATTTCATAGTTGCTCTCAAGGCTTAATTTATATTATTGGGTCCTGAAAGGAAATGCTTAGGCAACCTCTAAAACCTTCCTTCTAGTCTGCCACTTTGCTACTAACTGAAGATGAGTGGCTGGCTGCTCTGATATTATCGATGGTGATACTACAGCATGAAGTAGGAAGGAATAAATGGGACTGGGCTTTACTGGTTTAACCTCCAGAAGAATCACGGAGCTAAGAAGAGAGGTTGTGGGAGGGGATCAATAGTTGACAAATGAAAAGAGTCTCAGTCAGTTAGAAAGGGCATTTGTTTTCCCGTGACGTAGAAGAATAAATCACTTGTAGAATCCAACAACTCAGGATTGTCTTTTGCAAAATAACACTCTCTGTTTTACGTTACCTAAAATTTTTGAGAACTATAGTGCAAAGTATTTTTCTACATTATATGGCTGGGAAAGTAGAAGTACAACAATCCAAATTGATGCTAAAAGAGATGCAAATCTACTATCAGTGTCATTATCCAGATGAAGTACTTACTGTAACACACAACATTCATGAAATGATGCTAGGTAACATGGAATCTCTTTAGTAAAATGTGATTCCTGTTTTATTGGAAAGGATTCATTTAAGTAAAGAAACTTTTAGCTTACTGGTAACATATGATCTCTATGCTCATTTTGAGAAATTTTTCTGAAATTGTTATGTTTCTGTAATTCTTCATGTAAATCAAATTTATGTTTGGCATTAGGACTCTTGATTGGCTGCATATAACATAAGCCAATTTGAACTGCTTTTTTGGGTTATTCTGCATTTTCCCTTCTTCTCCTAGTTTCCATCCATTCTCTGCTATTGGCAAGTGGTTTGTGTCTGGCCACTCTCTTGCTCTATGCTCTGGGATGCTGAGCCCTTGGACTCAGTCTCTTGGGTCATCATGTTGGTTGACTTCTGGTTGGGCTTGGCAGTGGGAAGCCTTGTCAAATTTGAGAGTAAGAAGAAAGAGAGATCTGGATGCTTCCTTCTTTGCTCTCATTTGAGCAGTAACTACGCTCCTTGATCATAGCTCCCACCAGGTAGACAGCCTTTTCTTCACACTCTTGTTCTTGCTGGCTCTCAGAATACATTTTCTTCTCTTATCTTTGGCCTAACAATGGCAAGGGCCTTCAGCTGTTGCTAATCTATGGGCCCATCACTGTATTTGTCAGCTATTATTGTGACAACAAACAACTCCAACGTTTTGGTAGTTTAAAACAATAGACATTAGTATTTTTCTCATGAAACATCAGAGCTATGGATTTGGCTATGGCCCAGGTTCAAGTATCTTCTCATTCTGGATCCCAGGTTGAAAGAATATGATGTTCTCTTGGTATAGGCAAAAACACAAGACAGAGCTCAACTCAAACCCTACAATTGCACGTAAAGCTTCTACCTGGATAGGGACAATGTCAAGTTTACTCACATTCAAGTGGCCAAAGCATGTAACACGGTCAAACCCAAAGTCAAACAAGTGGGGATGTATACTTCTCCCACAGGAGTATTAGACGATTTGAGTGACCTTTGTTTTCTGTTAGGTCTCTGACTAATACAGTTATCTATAGAAAAAATATTTTTAAGGAAAGCTTATTACAATGATACATACAGCTCCCTTGCTGCACCCAAAGGCAGAAATTGCAGCCAGCCTTCAGGAATGAACCGGAATGTGAGACTGGAGTACTTTCCGGTCTTGCCTTTTCTCCTCTCTGCTCCTTTCTGACTGTTTGCTTCCATTTTTCTCTTTTTGCAGGACAGTTTCACTTGCTTCTCTTACTTAGATTTTGGAAAACATTATGTCCAACATCTCGTAAGTGTAATGTTCCAAGATGAACTGTCTGTTGGTCTTCATTCTAAATTCACAGAGAAGGCTTCTGACTGGCCCAGTATGGGTGAGATGCTCGTTCCCAGTGCTACAGACAGGGCACAATGGGCAAGGCCACACTGTACAAAGTAGCTGCTGGGACCCTGCAATGTAACATGGATTATGCTGACGTAAAATTAAAAGTAAAGAGCAAGATTATCGACCAGGTGCCCACCATGTCCAGACCTCTTTTTTGCCTTACGTTTTCCTTTGGTAATCGCTGTTTTGTTAAGCGGCATCTACTAAGTAAAATTGGAGTTTTTTGCTTTGCTTTTTTGTTAAGTGCAATATTTATTTTCTACCTAAAAGAAATCCGGACTTTGTGATCTGAAGGCCCTTTTTTAAAGAAAAATCTTTGATTTTCTCTATGCAATACGCTAGGTCTAAATTTTCAATTTCTTTTAAATATGGATGGAAAGTAGACATCTCTCTGAAGATAAGTGAGAAGTGTACCTGCAAATATGGATTTCAGCCTAGTAATGAAGATATTTGTAATGATATATGAAGTAATTTTGGAGGGAGAGATTTTGAATAAAAATAATGACATCTAATTATTTACATTGACCTTGATATGTCTATACAATATAAAAGTAATTGGTAGCAAAAAAAAAAAAATACTAAGTGTATTGTAGTTTAAAGTTCTTATCTTCCTTTACTGCTCATAATCTGTGTGATATAAACAACACTGTGAGACAGTTATTATAACTCCATTTTGCAGGTAAGTAAACTGAAACTCAAAGAGGTTGAATAACTGGCTTAAATTCATAGCGCTATTAAATGGCAGATTCAAGACATAAATCCAGGTTGGATTAACTCCAAACACTGTGCTTATTTGTAAATTATCTAGGATGGTGGCCGACCAGAGTAGGCATCAATAAATATTAGCTTCTTTTCTCTGTAAAGTTCCTTTCACTTCTATAATGCTATGATTTGCATGGTTCTTTCATAAAGTGAGTGGAGTGGGATTATGATAATGATAGGTTCTATTTGCCAAAATGGATGTCACAGGGACTCTGAGAATGAGTTGGCTTCCAAGATTCTATTGGGAGTGGGATCTGAGCTTAATCTTCCTAAAACAGATTTGTAATTGAAAAACATTTTTTTTTTAAATTTTCTTAGAGAAAGGGTCTTGCCCTGTCACTCAGGCTGGGGTGCAGTGGTGCAATCAGAGCTCACAGCAATCTTGAACTCCTGGGTTCAAGTGGTCCTCCTGCCTCAGCCTCCTAAGTAGCTAGGACTACAGGTGTGCACCACCACATCCAGCTAATTTGTTATTTTTTTTTTTTTTTGGTAGAGGTCTCACTATGTTGCTCAGGCTGGTCTGGAACTCCTAGCTTCAAACAATACTTTTCCCTTGGTCTCCCAAAGTGCTGGGATTACAGGCATAAACAACCACCCCCAGCTTGTACTTTCTGTTTTGACCCACCAAGTTTTGCAAAATTATGTTTCAGGGACTAGAATAATTATATTGGACTTCTCTTTATCCTAGGGTGGATAACAAGAAAGAAGGGAGAGGGCATCCCATTATTCACACAATCCTGGGGGTACTCCATTTGTGACTTCATATCCAGCCATGCACTATTTTCCACATAGTTTTCTCAGGAAGTGCTCTTAGTGTCCTTTTATTCTGGTCAAAAGTTTTAAATATCAGATATAATGTTGTATTTATTACACTACCACATAGTACATGATTGCAACTCCATAAAAACTCCATACACACAGACACACAGACACACACACACACACATACACAAAACTACATATATACACACAGATACACACACAAACACATCCATATATAAATAAAACTGAGAAGAAAAACATAGAACAAATATATTTAATTTATTAGTAATGGGATTATAGGTAGTATTTTAAATCAAAATTTTCTTTTTTTAACATTTAAAAGTGATTTATTTAAAGGAAACAATAACGAATTAGTGCATCACAACGCTTCAACTAGCCAGAATACACACAACACACAAAATGGAGCATCCCAGGCAATGGAAGGAAACATTTGTAATAATTTAAAATACCTCAAAAACTCACGCCTGTAATCCCAGCTACTCAGGAGGCTGAGGTAGGAGAATTGCTTGAACCTGGGAGACAGGGGTTACAGTGAGCCGAGATGGCACCACTGTACTCGAGTCTGAGTGATAGAGTGAAACTTCATCTCAAAATAAATAAATAAAAATAAAATACTTAAAAAACCTATAATTTAAAAAAATATATTTTTATTGATACCTGATCTTTGTACATATTTATGGGGTACGTGTGATATTTTGTTACATGGATAGAATACATAACGATCAGGTCAGAATATTTATGGTATCACCTCAAGTATTTACCATTCCTTTGTGTTGGGAACATTTCAAGTCCTCTCTTCTAGCTATTCTGAAATATATAATACACTGTTGTTAAGTATAGTCACCCTATCCTGCTATAGAACATTAGAACTTATTCCTTCTCTGTAACTGTATGTGTCCATTAACCAACCCCTCTCACCACCTCCAATACCCTTTCCAGCCTCAGATAACTATCAAACTACATCTCCACCTTCATGAGATTGACTTTTTTTTTTTTAACTCCCACATATGAGTGAGAACAAAAAGCATACTAATTTATCTCTGCCAGGATAGACAAGAAATGTATACTCTGGCTTGTCTCTGGAGAAGGGCACAAGGTAGCTATGGAAAAGAAGTAGGAAGGAGGCCTTCCTCTGTATACCATTTTGGTACCTTTTGAATTAGAAATTAAAGTAGTGCATTACCAACAAAAAGAAAGATAGAAAAAAATGTATACTCATCTGCCTTGCCTTAGTATGGGAAGTGGAATTAACATGATTCTTGAATTTTTGTTTCCTTATCTTAAGAATTCTCCACCTCTATTTTATATGGATCTTTCGGAAAACACACGTATTTAAGTAAACAACTTCCCTACATATCATTCAATGAAGCTTAATACCATATATATGACACTTTTTAAGATAACAGCTTAATCTGGGCATTGTGAAACATTCAAAAAGTATAAAATATGGAGAACCTATTTTTTAGGTGATGGAACACATAAAGAAGTATAAGTAATAGGGCAAACTCAAAGTTGTGCACATTAAATTATTACTGCAATGCCCAGCATAGACTCAAACACGCAATTCAACTAGACAAAGATCAGAGTGTGCTAGAGTATATAGATAGAGAAGATTTTGTGCAATGTTGTTGTTAGGTCATGCCAAGCTGCAGTAACACATTCATCCTAATATTTTAATGATTAAAGAACCATGTATTTGCTTATCTCTCATATAGCAGTCCAGGGTAGGTTTGGGGTTAGTTGAGTGACCCTTTTCCATTATCAGAAAAGTATTCAAACTGGGGATTTCTTTGTCTCTACCAATGTGTCCTCAGGGCATCTATCCCAGTCAGCCGAAGGGAAAAGAACACAGAGAAGTATGGGAATACTCTTGGGTGAGTCTACTCCTAAAAATGCACACACCCTTTCCTCTCACACTCCACTAGCTGTGGCTCAGCAACAAGGCCACACCATACTACATGAGATGCAGGGCTAGCCACACAGTTGACCTTTCCATTGCAATAGAGAAGTAGAATGAATTTTGGTGGACAGCTGGGAGTTTCTATCCCAGATACGGAACATCAGTGATTTGGAGGAATAAAGAAGATGACGAATGGCTTTGCTCAGGCAGGAAAAACAGTAAGTATAACAAGACTGTTAAACCTAGCCAGGACTCCATTTCTTTAGCTGATAAAGAAAACTTATTCTAGATGTTTTCTAAAATTGTTTCTGGCTTTTAAATTTCTGTGCTTCTGAGAGCTAACATTCTGTGGGTATTGTGTTCAGCTGAAGCAAGGTGCTCATGTTTGAAATGGTGCAAGATAACTCTTATGATGTGGGTAGAGTGGGTCTTGAATAATCAGTGTATTGCACTGGAGATTTTTTTAAAAATCAAGCAACAGATATTGATCAAGTACCTACTTGCGATGGTTAATTTTAAGTGTCAACTTAACTGGGTGAAAGGATACCCATATAGCTGGAAAAACATTACTTCTAAGGGTGTGAGGGTGTTTCTGGAAGAGATGAGCATTTAAATCAGTGGACTGAGTGAAGGAGACCCACCCTCAGCAGTATGGGTAGGCACCATCCTATCTAGTGAGGGCCTGGATAGAACACAAAGGTGAAGGAACAGCGAGTTTGCTCTCATTCTCTTGCTGAGCTGGGACGTCCATATTCTCCTGCCCTTGGACATTGGTACTCCTAGTCTTGGGCCTTTGACCTTGAACCATGATTCTCCGGCTTGCAGAGGGTATATGATTGAACTTCTTAGCCTCCATAATTGTGTGGGCCAATTCTCTCCATGTATGAGGATAATACATCTTCTCATACAATTTTCTACATGTCATATTGGTTCCATTTCTCTGGAGAATGCTAATATACTATACACTTTACCAGGTGCTGTGGAGGACACAAAAGAGTTAACTCATTATTTTAGATAATAGATTAAGTACTACAGATGCACCTCAATACACGGGGTTACATCCTGATAAACCCATTGTACGTTGAAAATCCTAAATTAAAAATGCATTTAATACACCTAATCTACCGATCATCATAGGTCAGCCTAGCCTACCTTTAATGTGCTCAGACACATCAGCCTATAACTGGGTAAAATAATCTAACTCAAAGCCTATTTTATAATAATGTGGTGAATATTTCATGTCATTTATTGAATACTTCACTGAAAGTGAAAAACAGAATGGTTGTACGAGTACTCAAAATGCTGTTTCTACTGAATGCGTATGGCTGTTGCAACATCGTAAAGTCGAAAAATTGTAAGTTGAACCATTGTATATCAGGGACTGTCTGTATTTATGGGACAGCTGAGTTGAATGTAGAGAAGGGAAGTTTTAAAATGAAGCAGAATGGGTTGTGTTCCCAGGATTCCAGACCTCAGAATATGGGGTAGGAGATTGGGGTGAAGATGAAATGATCTTTGAGTATCATCTACAAGACTTTCCTGAAGGAAAAATAATCTCTAATATGAACTTGTTATCCTGATTTGTCTCTTGCAATTGGCAATATTAAATTGTCATTCATTAAGAGTTCTGATTAATCAACATTGAGTTAACTTTAGTTTCCCCGCAAGTAAGAATGCATGACTCCATCCTCTACATTTTACAGGCCAGTTAATTAATTTAAAATTCTTTATGAGGTGAAATCAAACCTTTAGGCAATCAAGATATTCCCCAAAACATACCAATTCCTATGAAAATATATTCTCAGGTGCCATAATCACCTGAAAACTGCCCAATGTAGTGTTCTACTGCTGTTAATTCTTAGCCAGTCATATTGCTAATGTATTCCAGGACTCCTATCTTTGGATATAAGGATTTATCCTGACTTACTTTTCTGTAGTTGCAGTTTTTAAAAAATTTGTGATCATAGATAAATTATTATCCTAAATATTTTAGGGGGAGGTTATTTTCACCGTTTTCAGGTTCAGTTTTGGCTACTGGGTCCTGTCTTGTTATAAACTCATTGCAATTATTTTTGTTGTCTTGAATACCTGCTTCAATTTACCTTTCTTATGTAACGCAAGAGCTGGGACTAGGAGTCAGGAGAAATGCATTTCAGTTGGGTTTGCCATTTACTAGTGGGCACATCATTACCCTCATGGGGACTTGGGTTTTCCTGTCTGTCAAAAAAGAGGATTAAGAAGGTAGTGTAGGCTGCACTCTCTTTGAAATATTACTCTTCTATATGTTAATATGTCTATACGTTTAAAAGTTCTGTTGCTTTAGTTTTTAAACAGTTTGTGACTGAGTGCAAAATTAGCTTCCATGAATATCCTTTTCCTCAATAGCAGTACTAAAGGGCAAAAAATAGTTTTGTAGAAATGTGTGTATTTGCATGCTTAAGTGGGCTCTGATTTATATTGTGCCAAGTACCATTACTGACAATTAGGTATGCTTTGAAATGAAATTATGACTTAGAAATATATGTGGCATATATTCTACTCCAACTTACAAACGAGCTTATGGGAAACTTTTAAAAAATTCCACAAACGCTGCTAACATCTAAGAACTGTATAAATCAATTTACAGTTTTTTTTTTGTTTTTTTTTTTTGCATAGAAATAATGTTCACATCTCTCAACTTTGGAACATCAGATAGTTTTAAACCTCATTACTTCACGTCAAAACAATAATAATCATAATGGCAGCTCACAAGTAGAGTTCTTTCTTACTAGATGCCATGCTATGTACAAAATGTTTTATGTGAGTTATTCTTTTGCCCTACTTTAAAATCTCCACAGCCAAGATGCCTATTTAACATGTATCTAAGGGAAACCTTCTTGTTCAATTGGTATCACACACACACACATGCACAGAATAAGCCCTTGTGAGGAAAAGAAACAAGGAGAACAGAGTCTTTAAAAAATAACCACCCAGGATTAATGTGACAGATCTAGCAAATTCTTTTTATTTACATAAAATGTGTACACATACTTTCTCTGTACACAGAAAATTCTAAGTATATATATATAGATATATGATTCCCACATATTTTACAATAAATAATATTTTACTCTTGTTTCTAGGTGAAAATAAAAAGATGTTTCAAAATATTAATCACCAACCACAAAATTACAAAAACATGTGGTGAACTCAGAGCAAGAACTTCAAGCCTGTACTACCACACACTAAGCTTAGTACAATTTTTACAAAAGACAAAAATTGAACACTGCAGATATTACCGGTAAAAGGAAAGAAATGAAGATAGAGAACAGAGCTCTTGGTTTTTTGAACAGTGTGGTAAGAGTATTTCTTGTTGTTTAGGACTTCTCTTCCTTTAGTCCTCAATTTAATGTTTTACTTTAATTAATATTTTACAGATAAGAAGGGAGAAAGAAGTTAACATCTATTGTAAAAGGAGTGACCATTCCATGAGCGTCCTGAGTTCTAGAAGCCTTTTTCTTGGCCAACCAGACCCCTGTTTCTGTTCTAATTTAATGATCATTCAGTTCTACCATATAGGACTGCTATTCACCCCCACAGGGAAGATGAGAAGGGCACTGACTGTGAAGTGACATTAATTTGAAAGTCATTTCAAAAGTCTGGTAAGCCAGGTATCTTGGTTGTCAGCACTTAATAATTAGAAATGTTTAAATATAACTCTCTATTTCCACATAGAGTTTGATCTCTTATTCAAATATTAACTAAATGCAAGGGGAACTTAATCTGGGAGGCTAGAAATAATGAATCCATAATCCTGAAATTTCCTCCCTCTACTTCCCACTTTTGTTTTCTATTCTAGTCTAGGAAACAAGCACTTTCACTCAACTTCAGAGCTGTTCTACACATGTGTAAAGAATCACACTATCGAATGAATTGAATAAAGCTCTAAGCTATAGGATGCATACAAATTTTGTCATTTTTTGATTAATTCCACAGCATTTGAATTTATCAGAAGAGTCTAAAAACATCATGATTTTTGTTATCGTTCAACAAACTTATTCTCAGATTTGCTTTCCCATTACATCAGTATTCAAACTCAGGGGGAATCATAAGAATGGTGACCAACACAGGGCTAAGTGCTCAAATCACATTCCACGCAACTGTAGCTCAGATGATAAGGAACTTGGTTCCACTGTGGCACTGTAACTTCACACATGAATTTTGAAACAAATTTTACCTTTTTTTCTCTCATATCAATAACAGCACAGATGGATGGGGGAAAAGATAGAAATATAAAAAAAAGGGTCCAATGTCAAAAACACAATTCATCTATCAAATACAATCTTTTCCTTTACCGCATCTGCTGTTTCTGCGGTAACCTTCCAAAACATATTTCAAAGGCAGGCTCATTTCAAGAGCAATGTTTGTCACATGCATAATTTTGTTCCTTCTTGTCACATATTGCTATCATTGATGTTTCTTTCAGAGAAACAATAAGATTTCTAGAACTTAGTCATCTTGCATGAAAGTGATGGTTTCATAAACAGTTTAACTTTTTAGATAAAGGTACCTACGATAGAAAGAAACAAATTTCACACTTAAAGATGTCTCTTTTTCTTTTTTTAAATTTGAAAACCTGATAGGGAACTATTGTTCACTGCCAGAAACAAAAGGGATCCTTTATCATAAAGAGCTGGGCTTGTTTCTTTGTCATTCTAATCAAATACATATGTATCCCTCATTTCCACCACAGCAGGAAGATCAGCCAGAAGATAAGTATGGGGTCTCACTATGGTAATTGTAGTCAGGGCACACCTTTTGCACGAGTTTATAATCAACACTGTAAAAGGCAATGTAAATGCAAATGACCTTGAAGGGCTTGGAGCACAACCAAGACACATGGCTCTGAGTCTGCTCCTGGTAGCAGATCTTGGATGGGTCAAAGTTGCACAGGGCGGTCTTTTTCGCCCGATCTGTTTTTTCATACTCAATGCGACAATTGAAAGATTTGGATTCCTTGGTCTCCAAGGTAGACTGGGGGGAAACTTCAAATTCCACCACCTTGGAGGGTGGTACCAAGCTCACTGAAACATTGCCCAGGCCTGTTGAATTATGTCGGAAATACACACTGAAGGTTCCATTTCCATGGTCAACAATTTTCCCTGTGATGAGGAGATTGAGTTTGACAGTTTTAATGTTGGAATGAAAGTCACCCCATCCAAACATTTTCTTAAATTTTCCTGTTTTTACTATTGGCCTCCGTTTAGTTCTTGCCAATGGCTCCTGAATCTCCGTGATGTTGGCCAGCCAATCCCAAAAGTTTTCCATGCTGTCTGCGTACGCCATGGGGCCGGGCTTGGGCACCGGAGACTGTTTAACAAACAGGCGCAGGGGACTGATGATCCTTGAGTGCACCACGTTGCCGACCAACGTCCCTGGAGCATCTTTGTCTTCCCAATCCAGCCCCTCCGTGGCATGCACCACTTCCTTACTGTCACAAAATAGCTGTTTGAAAAGAAGAAAGAGAAATAAACTTTAGGTTAGTGCCGTGACTGCGCACTCAAACTGAAGTCAAAGCGCAAGGGAAATTATTTCAACATTGTTTAGATTCTTGTTCGACAGCATTTCACACACACAGCCGGGCTCAACAGTGTAACAAGATAAGCATTTAATTCAAGCAATGGAAAACTGCGAGTATGAAAATTAAAAATGGTGAGGTTAAGAACAAAGTATTTCATTTTAATGGGTTGATGTGATTTTAGTCTCTGTTTCCTGATCTTCACAATTCTATTTTTCCAGATTGGGGGAAGTAGTATATTTTGACTTCTCATTTGATATAATCATTAAATTGTCAACTCTTTTCTTTCAGGTGGAAGACAAAAATAGAGTGCTGAAGTATCTACAAAGGAGCTAAAAACTGTCAATGATATTGATAAGTCTTAAGTATATTTGGAAATATTAAGGGGATTATTACATTCAAAGGCTTATAACATGTAATTTCATAGCTCTTTATATAATTCCATCTCAAACTCTGTAACAAAAAAGCATGTGATGAGGATTAGAAAGTTCTACAAAAAGTTTTAGTTGAAAAAATAGAAGTAAAAATTTAGTTGCCTTTATAAAAACAGAAAGTAATGTAGAGAGGTATATTTTGAATTAATAGGTTATATATGAGTTAATAAATTTTATTACAACTGAATTATATCCTAAAATAATTGCTAAGAAACTGTCATGTGCATTGTTTTATGGGTTCCTCAGTATTTTGGTTCAAATCATAGCCACCGAAACGTAAGACTTTATTTGCATTTGATTTTTCTTTTTATTCTTTGTATAGTGTAAGAGTCCCCATGTTTACTAAAAATAATTTAGTTAAGTAGATATGGATTTTGAGGGACAGGATCACTGTATATGATGCTGTTGCATGGAGTGAATATTTATGGATGATTTATAAAAAGTCTGGAAAATAGAGGTTTCTAGTGGAAACACAGCCTCTTATCTCTAATGGCACAAACCACTCTTGTAATGATTCTACAGAAAACTGTCAGCACGATGAAATGGATGAGGAAAGAAGTGAGGCTGTGTTTATGTACTTTCTCTAGCCCTTTCAAACTTGGCAAAACACTTGGTAAAAATGGTTTCAGATTATTCCCAAAATTATTGCTTTCAATCCAATTTTGAAAATAAATGAGAGACGTAGCCTGGATTATAAATACTGCATTTGACTAGACGGTATAGTTTGATAACACGAGGTTATCTATTGTATGTTCATAAAAGTTTAGAAGCTTAAATCCTAACAGGGCTTTGTGAAAAGTGTTTCCACCTATGTCTAGTCCCCAAATCACTTTAAGAATTCAAGGACTCAAAATGTATAGATAGGTTTCTTTAAAATTATTTTTTGCTTTGGTAAGGATGGGAAGGTGCTACAACATATACTTCTCTCTTTGGTTAATTTCTTGGAAGATTTTCTTCCGCATTCCTGGAGTTTTAAAAAATTCAGAACAAATTGGTATGATGCATATTCTTACATTTTGAGAACCTAAATCCATATGGCCTCTTCTTAGGGGCTTATACACCCTGAATTGATACTCCTTTCTCTCTCCTGGTGTTGAAAGGCTGGCAGATTCCCCAGGGAAAGAGGGATCATTACTCTGGATTTCTGGCTCAAAGTATTTCTGATACTGTAACTACAGCTTTCTGATTTTGCACACTTTTTTCTCTCTTATTGGTATATAATATTTTACATATTTATGGGGGTACACGTGAGTATTTGATACATGCATAAAATGTGTAATGATTAAGTCAGAGTATTTAGGGTATACATCATCTCGAATATTTATCACTACTATGTATTGGGAACATTTCAAGTCCTCCCTTCAAACTACTTTAAAATATACAACACGTTGTTGCTAACTATAGTATAGTCACCCTACAATGCTTTTGAACATCAGAACTTGTTTTATTTTATTTAAAAAAATGGGATTAATTTTTTTTTTTTTTTGGTAGAGATGGGGTCTCAGTTTGATGCCCAGGTGGTCTCAAGCTGCTGGCCTCAAGTGATCCTCCTGCCTCATCCTCCCTAAGTGTTGGGATTACAGGTATGAGTCACCATGCCTGGACTAGAACTTATTTCTTCCATCTAACTGTGTTTGTACTCATCCATCAATCTCTCTTCATTTCCCCCACCCCACCCTCAAATGCTTCCCAACCTTTGGTACTATCAAAATTCTCTATTTCTATGAGATCAAGTTTTTTAGCTCTTACATATGGGTGAGAATATGTGTCTGTCTTATTTCACTTAACATAATGACTTCCAGTTCCTTGAATACTATTTATTTATTTTTAGAGACAGGATATCACTCTGTCACCCAGGCTGGAGGCATAATCATAGCTCACTGCAACCTCAAACTCCTGGGCTCAAGTGATTCTCCCTCCTCAGCCTCCAGAATAGCTAGGAATACAGGTGCACACTACCATGCCTGGCTAATTTTCTTTTTTTTCTTTTTCTTTTTTTTTAATACAGTCTTGTTCTATCACCCAGGCTGGAGTGGAGTGGTGCAATCTCAGCTTACTACAATCTCCACCTCCAGGGTTTAAGAAATTCTTGCACATCAGCCTCCCGAGTAGCTGTGATTACAGGCATGCGCCACCATGCCTGACTAGTTTTTGTGTTTTTAGTGGAGACAGGGTCTCACCATGTTGGCCAGGCTGGTCTCAAACTCCTGGCCTCAAGTGATCTGCCTGCCTTGGCCTCCCAAAATGTCAGGATTACAGGTGTGAGCCACTGCTCGGCTTAATTTTTTATTTTTATACAGATGAGGTCTTGTTATGTTGCCCAGGCTGGTCTTGAACTCCAGCCTCAAGTGATCCTCCTACCTTGGCCTCTCAAAGTGTTGGGATTACAGGAGCGAACCATCATGTCCAGTCCCTTGAATACTCTTACTCATGATGTGTGCAAACTTCATTCCAATCATTTGGTAATAGCCCATGGAGCTCAACACCCAGACTCTGCTTCTGACTTGAGTTTCCTGAGAATGGAGACAGCCTGGTCCAAGTGACCTGTCCCAGCATCTCTCCAGAAAGAGGGCCAAGGATGCATGGGCAGATAAGAAGCTCTTGCTAATCAAGGTCCAATTTCTCTTCTGTGATCATGATTCTTGCTGCCCATAGTCTACTACCTATTTTTCACCTGTTTCCAGTATTTAATGAGATTCACCCTGCTTGGTAAATGCTTGCAGACACACCTACCATTTGCGGAACATCTGGTTTACAAGAAGTGCTCCCTTACTTCCCAATCTCTATTCCCTGATTTGGTACAGCTTCTGAACTTCTTCCCTCACTCCCACCTTCCTTCTCCTGTTTCATGGGATAGAGCCCTTCTGACATTTTCCCTTTTAAGCTTGCTTTTAAAAATATGTCTTGATTCTTACCTTTATATATCATAATATCAATTGCTTTATTACAAATACCATGACACTTTATCAGCAGAACTAAAATACATTTTTCATTCAAAAGTATTTTTTCAACCACAAGTATAAAAATATTCTTTTATCAGCAGCAATATGCCCTCTTTTTCTTTAAAGTGCTTGTTTAATGTTATATGTTTCCCTAAATTTTTTTCTGCCTGGTTCATTTTTCTTGTTTTAGTGCTTTGCCCAATTTTCTCCTCACTTTCACATTACTGATAAACTCATAAAAATTGAGCCCATCATTCAACAATCAGTAAGTTTTGCAATCATGTAGTCTTAGCTGATCTTGGTGCACTTTCAAATACATGATAGACACTGATACCTTAAGAGATCCTTCTCTTATCACTAGTACTTCCATTGTGATGGTTCTGAGATTACTCAATAATAATAATAATAGTAATAATAATAGCAATAGGACATTACTGAGATATTTTCAAAGATCTGAAAACTTTCCTGATAGCAGTTTATGTTGTAAGAGAACATGAACCAAATATATGTGACTCTCTTTAAAAAAATGAAAGCAGAAAACATTCTAAGCTTTCAAACAGATAAATTGAGTGTCATTATTTGCTTTTACAAAAGTTGTTTTATTCTTTGGAAAAGGTTCCCTATATGAGAATTTGAAATGAAATTAGATTTCTAAAAAAAAATCATTCTAACACACTACTGTTGAGGTCCAAACCTGTTCAAAGAGCCCTTGATTTTAAGATTAGTCAATGTAATAAAAAGTAATAAAATTTAGCTAATAGCAAAGATATATAATGTTTCTCTCTTCCAGTGACAGCATTCACTGGCAGTACCTTAGGTAAAAAGTACATATATATACATATGTGTGTGTGTGTGTGTGTGTGTGTGTGTATAAATCTATATAAAAGCACTTTTTTTTAAAATTTGGCTTTCCTTAGCACATCATATTTCTAGCTTGTTTTGACAACAACATTAGCCAAGTTGGTAAAACTGTGTACAACCTCATCCGTTTATTACTTTAAAATACACGTACAGTTCTCACAAGTGCTGACTTCCAAATCTAAACCCAAATCTCAAAAAGCTATCTGACAGTGGTTTACTGGTAGAAGAATATAATGTAAAGGGCAAATATATTTCTCTATGTCTTTAAACAGATGACAATTTTATCTCCCCTCCCAACTTTCAGCCTTGGTGTAACTTGTTCAGCCTTCCTCTTGTTATTAATCATCACTTTATAACATCACTGTTGAGAGCTCAGGCACCCTTTTCTACACCAGGTCTACCTAGATGGTTATATGACCTAAGTCCCCAGTCCACATGCTCAACATGAAGACCTAATCAGAAGACTGGAGGCTGATGAGCCACAACCCTTCCCACCTCCCCACTGCTTACCCATGTATTCCCAATAGGGAAGCAGCCTGATATGATGTTTCCATCATATCAGAGCACAGGATTTATTGCCTAATGCCATTGTCACCCCTTGCTCAAGTGTGTGACATGAACCTCAGTTTTCTCACCTACATCTCCTTTGCTGTTTGGCTGTAAGGACTAAAAGAATGGACGGAAATTACTGGGCCTATTAAGGCATTCGATGACTGATGGCTCTTCCATGGTCCAATGGATAATCTCATGCCTCCTACTCAAGAAGTGTCTCCAAAGGTTTCTATGAATTCTCAAGCCTCCAGGAAACTGATTAATGGTTAATTGAGCAACTTGTTCAGTGCCATGTGATAAATTAATGACCAAGTAGAAATCAACCCACTCAACCCCAGAACATCAATCAAATGTTTCCCTATGTTTCTAGTCTTACTGGCATCTGAGTCACATCCAAATCCCAGGTGAGCTCTCTTTGCCAACAAAATGTGTTTGTAGATCTTTGATTCCAATCTACTACATGAATCAGCAAAGGGAGCTGAGAATATAAAGTGTCTGGCAGGTGCCCTCATTCCTGAACAGACAATTTCTGTGATACAACATGCTGTGAGAAGAATGTAGGTGGCTCTGAATCTGTTGGTAATCCACTCTGTCCAAGGCAAGATTGTTAAATGTTATTTACAAAACACGTAGCTGTATATTCCTGGTTACTTTTGTATTTGCTGGGGCTCTTCGGGCTAATTTCAGTATCCCTGCTGTCTTTTCCCCCATCATATTATAATAATAATGCAAAAACATTTAACCTCAAGCATAAAATGGAGTTTTACAAAGGGGAAGAAAGAAAAATTGCTGTGCTTTATCTGTTTGAACATTCCTTGATTTCAACACATTTATCAAAGCTTAAGTAATTTATGTCTTGGCAGGGTGTATCAATTTCACAAAGCACACACATTAGCTAGATACAATGATATCATATTAGCTTTTTCTGCGTCTTACAGAAGAGCTCAAAAAGATTAATAAATGCAGAAGCCTTCATCAATTAAATGAAGCAGGTGGAAGGAAGGGAGTAGAAGAATAAGACTGTATTTCATTTTGGTTCTTTTGTTTTTAGGGGGGAAAAGCTGACAGGTTCAAATCATTCATCATAACAAGCTAAAGTTGAATTTTACTGATAATTAAATGCATTTTTTCCCAAGAGGCAGAGAAGCTGCAATGAATTTTATAGTAGCAGATGTGAGACCTGTCACAAATTATGGAAATAATTTATAAACTAAAAAGCATCTTCCTCTGCAAACATTATATCAGAAGAGACTTTTTAAACTGTATTCGCTATATATTTTTTAATAAACATTTTTATTTTGGAATAATTTTAGTTTACAGAAAAGCTGCATAATACAGAGTTCCCATAGACCCTGCACCCAGACACTGCACTCGGTATCCCCTACCGTTAACATCTAACACTATAGTATATTTGCCACAACTATTAAACCAATATTGATACATTATTACTAACTAAAGTCCATACTTTAATTGGATCTTCTTAGTTTTTCTTTAATGTCTTTTATTTGCTCCAGCATCCTGTGCAGGATCCCACATTAAATTTGGTCATCACCAATCCTTAGGTTACAAAGATTCTCAACTTGTCTTGGTTACAAGTTTCTCTGACTTTCCTTGTTTTGGATGAACTTAAATGTTTTCTGAAGTACCTGGCAGATATTTTGTAGAATACCCTTCAATTTTGCTTTATTCTATATTTTTCTCATGATTACGCTAGGGTTAGGGGTTTTGAGGAGGAAATACACAGAGGTAAAGTGCGGCTTTCATCACTCCCTCTCAAGGGTAAATGTTAAGCAACTTGTCACTGTGACGTGCCACTGTAATGTTAATCTGGATCTGGCTGAGGTAGAGCAAATGTATCTTTTTAAGGTTTTGCTTTCAGAATTCTCATAAGGGTTGCAGACTGTTGTTATTATAACCTTAGTTGAAATTACCTTTAATTCCGTGGCACTTGGTTTAGGATTTTTTTTTTTTAAGTCAGGAACTCCAAAATTTCAATTTATAACTCTTTACAGTATCACTGAATTATCTAAAATAACCTCAGAGTTGTTTAGGAATTTACAGACTATTTCTAAATTATCCTGGCAATTTTACATGTTGTTAATGTGTCTGTCATCACCATTATTCATATTGCTATTTTATTTTTATTTAATATTAATTCCCTAAAAATTGTACCCACTTTGATAGTTGATAGCTCTATAAAAAAGAGCTTATTCTATGAATATCTTATACAGAATTAGAATTACTTGCTGACTACATTAGAATCAAATATCCCTTCTCAGTTTAGGAGCCTGCCCATTTTACTTTATTCTACACATCCAGTGAGAAAGGATCAGTCTTTAGGTGCGGCTTTCTTTGTAGGTCAACTTGTTTATCAAAGGGAAGGGAGCTAATGAAAGAAAACATCACTAAGGATGATTCTATATGTAGTGCTCTGGGTGGTGCAGGGACACAAACGCTACTTGGTTTCCTCTGGGTTCTATGACAGTCAGATATTTTCCACGTTTATAGGATAACGCTTTCCTACAGGTTCATCATTGTGATAGCTCCGCTTCTTCTCCGGAGCTACATGTTGGGTTGAATCCTGAACCGCAAAGGGAAGAGATTTCTCCACACTCACTGAATAACGAAAACTAAACAAAAAGCATTTAAAACTTTGAGCTTCTGGGGTTCAACTTCCATTTAATGTAAATCATGCCTTTATCAGAACAGTCCTAATAGGTGGTACTTTTGTTACTTACAGATACACTAAGAGAAGAGATATTGCCACCACCCTTGCTGTCCTAGGCCAGTGTTTAGCAAGTCTAAATGACAAGTTTATTAGCACATATTGACTCTTCACCTACGTGGCAGCGGGGGAGTAGGAGAGGCCTGAATTTTTTTTTTTTTTTTTTGAGACGGAGTCTCGCTCGGTTGCTCAGGCTGGAGTGCAGTGGCGCGATCTCGGCTCACTGCAAGCTCCACCTCCCGGGTTCACGCCATTCTCCTGCCTCAGACTCCCGAGTAGCTGGGTTTACAGGCATTCGCCACCACGCCCGGCTAATTTTGTATTTTTACTAGAGACGAGGTTTCTCCATGTTGTTCATGCTGGTCTCAAACTCCAGACCTCAGGTGATCCACCCGCCTCTGCCTCCCAAAGTGTTGGGATTACAGGCGTGAGCCACTGCGCCGGGCCGAGGCCTGAATATATGCCCTTTCTGACTCAGCAAGAAGAGACTAGGTGACATTAACACACCCTATTTAAGAAAATGGAAAGCGTAAATCAGTTTAGAAATATTTCCACAAAAATACTATTTTATTTTTGCAGGATTAAGTTTATTGCTTCACTGATTTTGCCTATACCTGCAATCACAGGAATATTATTGTATTCTAACATTGTACTGGCTAATCATTGGACTGAGAAGAAAAAGTGGAGTGTCCCAATCAAATCAGTGCATTGCAGAAAAAGATCTGTCACTGCGTCCTCCAGTGGCTGAATTTACCCAATCAGAAAAATTGTCCCAAGAGCAAAGAAATGAATAAGAAAAGGAGGGGCAATGAAGTCAATCAGGACAAGCAGGGAAGAGCAAGAGACAGGAACAGAAGTGCTTTGATTTATTAGAAGGATTTGGCATCAGGAGCATAAAAATGGTTAATGGGTGCTGTAACTTAACCATCCCAGCACACTGTGCAAGCCACATTCCCTCTCTGAGCTTGGTTTTCTTAATAGTAAAATGGTGAAAAGCACAAGATATGGTTGCACTTCAAAGAGATGAAGGAGGCTGCAAAGTGGAAAGTGAATTAGAGTGAGGCTTGTCTACAGGTAGGAATACTTGTAAGGAGGTGAATACTGCACCCCAGAGAAGTGAGGAGACCCTCAACCAGGTTCACAAATGTATGAGTTCATTTTTTTAAACACTTATTTGACACACACTTTTCAAACACATTTCAGGAGCCCACATTTGTGCTGTAGGCACTGAGAGTACACTGCTGAGCAGGACAGACACAGGTCCTGTCTTCAGACAATTTGCAGACAGCAAGGGGGTGAAGCAATTCACCTAGTCATAGTTCTCATAAGGTCCCATCTCTTGTTCTCTCTCTCTCTATATATATATACATCTCGGTATATCAGAAGGTGGAAATGCTAATCCTAATTAAGGGAACAGGGTAAGCAACAGGGCAGGGAGTGAACAGAACTAAACAATTAATATCTTTATTTGGATGAGTGAAATGAAATCCAGGACTTACTGGCTGATAGTTGATAAACAATGAATTTGTGACAAGAAAACCAATTGATCTTGGAATTTATACTCCTTTGTATCTGGTTCCAAATTGTATATTGATTTGTTTATAATTACTAATGAGAGTGTGATAACATTGTTAAGACAACAGTTATATTTTTTTCCCAGTGAAAGGCTAACTTGGTGACTATTTTCATGACCATAAACAGGCTCCGATGTTCAGTCTTTGCTGAATTCCTGACTTGCAGCTACCAGCTACAGAGCTTGGAAGTGATGACCTCAGCAGGCCTGGCCTTTCACCTTTCTACCTCCAAAGAGCTTTTGAAGGTGCATAAGATGCAGTCTTGGGTTCTGAGACAGTTAACCCTTTGTCATGATTATGCTATAGCCCTCTTCTATATAATCAATATAATATGTATTAGTGCTACTTGATAATTAGGTAACTATGGATTAAAAAGAATACTCTGAAACAATATAGAGTTGTCTTTATGTTTATAGGTGTGTTAAAAATATGCTAACAGAAAATAAATGTAGGTAACACCCATAGTTTTCACAGGGATTACTGATTGTTCTAAATGGAAGGCAAAGCAAAACAACCTAATTTCCCCCCATAATCATAAAATTGAAGAGGCATCTATACTTTAAGAGAATGTTTTCAGATTTCTGTGTTTATACTCAATATAAAGTGTTATGTCTTTACTGGTTTAATATGAAGCACTTGCTATAACATATATAATACACAATGCATAGATTGCATAGATCACCTACCACTAAGAAGGAATGTTGTAACTATTTTATAGTACACCAAAAATATGTAGTCCTCTACTTATCAAAGAAGAAAATTTTGACTTTCCAGGACTAAGCTGAATGAGCTGAATACTCCAAATGTGTGGATTTGCAGCAAGCCGGGAGAGAAAGTTGGCTTTTCCTTGATAACAGGACTGGCATATTCTACTAGAGAAAATTTCATACAGATCAGTACAAATATTTTTTTAAAGGCAGCTGGCTTTTCGGTCTTGGATACCCTATAAGTATTTATTATTGTTGTTTCAGAATGATGACCATTGCTAAGTGCAAGTTTGGAAGAATAAGTGGTTTTCTGAATGGACTTGTTCATGGTGTTGTTAACGATGGGATCTATATTGGTGGTCATTAATGATTTCACTGGGGTTATTAATTTAAGCCAAGAACCCCAAAGTGACCGCTATTATACAATCTAGAGGTGGCTTACAGATCCCTTTACAGTTGAAGAATTATAGAACCAATAATAAAAGGTGGTTCAAAGCCTCATTTGAGTTGCTTACATATAGCTTACATAGTTAGATTGCTTTGACAGTACTGTCCTATATCCTGCAGCTAAAACTAAAATGACAAGTTGCTCAGCAGAAAGAACAACAGAAAAAAACCCAAAACCCTGTCATGATCAATTTTATCGGCATCCCATTTGAATATAACAAACAAAATATATAATTAATGATCAAATTCAGCATACCATTAAATTTATTGCTTGTAAACAAATCTTGGAAAGCATTTCTCTGGGTAGAAATTTTGCAGAATGTCATCCCTGCTGACAAAACAGGAACATGCATCTGCCGGACAGCATACAATGCTGTATTGATGATTAGTAGTATGGCTTGCCCTAGAGTCATATTTCTGGTGCTCCATTACAGAACTGTCACAGTAGATTAAAAGAAGAATGACAAAAAAAGAATGAAAAATGATAGAATCAAACATATATCAATGTACTAATTGTACCTATTAATATTTTGTGGCATAATGTGGCATTGTTCCAAAATTCATTTTGTAAGTTGAAAAACAAATGATTGCTTAGGAGAAGAAAGCTAAACAGTGGACATCCTTTCTGCTGAGAGTGGCAAATTCATTTTACCTTCCAGATATCTTTTAATAGCTACCCTTTACGTTATTCTAAATTGATACAGGAACTAACAGGAAACATAAATGTGAAGACAGAAATCTTAGCAGTAAGAGCCAAAAAACCTAGATTGCAATGCTTGGCAGTAGTTTTATTGCTAAGGTTAAATATGGCAATTCTTATTTTATCTTGATGACAGTAATCTGAAAAATCAGTGACACCAACCTCTGCAAAAAATTCAGTACACACACACATGCATGCACGCATGCCTACACACTCTAGACACACAGAAATATCATGTATGCATGCACATACCATAGTTCTCTGTAAATATTTAGGAGGATAGTGTCAAAGAAAACTTAGATTTTATTTTGTATTAGAAAGCTGAATTAACAGAGCTCTTTAACAAATTATGAACGGGCTGGAAACAAATGTTAAAGATGCTTTGTTGGAAGGGGCTGCTAAATATGATATGGCTGTGTGTCCTGAGTTAAAAATGGTCAGATCACAGTCTCAATACAAGTTTTGCGAAGTCAAACAAGGTATTCTTTTGATAATCTAGTAGACTGAAATACTGCTTTTGTTGCTAAGGAGTAAGTGACTCAGCATGGCAAGTGGCACTGTCTACTTTCATCATTCAAGTTTTCAATGAGAGACATGAGCTTCACATGATGGGAACACATATATACTTCTGAAATATAATGGCCTGGGAGAGACAACATGAATCTATGTCTTGACCGCTAAAAGTTGGCATTTAAAAAGGAAAGTTGCAATGGAGGGAAGAACAGTCAAGTGAGGAATAGTAATGCCAGATTATTCTATTTCCATGCCATTTTCGGCAGAGTTTCAGTGAGGGATGAGGAGACGTATACAGGGGAGGAAGAAGACACACGCGGTGTGGGTTTGGAAAAGTGACTTTGTGTATGCTTTGTATTTTACTATCAAATCCATTTAATATTTCGGTCTTCAGGTACCATTAATTTGGCAATTAGCACATACTCACTGTGATGGTGAGTTTTATGTGTCCATTTGGCTAGGCTACAGTATCCAGTTAACCAAACACTAATTTAGGTGTTACCATGAAGGGATTTTGTAGATATGATTTGTATCTACAATCAGTCCACTTTTTGCTGTTGTTGTGTTTGTTCATGATGTTAGCATTAATTTATTGGTTACATTCTTTCACCAAACATGACATTTGTTAATTTAAAATAAATTTTCCAACTTTCTTAGATACATAGTACAGTATTTCACTTAAATGTAAATATTCACAGTGTATTGGGGATTTTTACAAGATCCTACATAAATATGCTACTTCATTATGATCCAATATAAATATGTTTTTAAGTTCAGTGACAGTTTACAAACTATAAAATATCTATCAACTGAAAATATAAATGCCTATTACTTGTGCATTTGAAACTGATAATTGTGTTAAAAGTATTTTTGCAATAATCATTCCTGACATTTCTAATGAGAATTACAGAGCCTTCACAAATAACCTCATTTGATTCTTACATCTACTTTATGAGGTATGTAGGGCAGGAAATAGCCTTAGAGAGGTTAAGTGGCTTGTCCAAGGTCCAAGTATTGAGAGGCAGCAATAAACCTAGGAATCTGGTCTTTGTATAAGGCCATTGTACTTTCTATAGTAATACTCTAATGAGACTCAACACCAAAAACAAACAAAACAAAACAAAAAGTCAAATAACAAAAAAACCTGATTAATATATTTGCCTTATAAATAAAAAACAATTTTTCTCATTATAAAGTAAAAAGTTTATTCTAGAAAATGAAACTAAGAAAACAGAAAAATTAAAGTCTGATAACTGTTAACATTTTAATATTTAATTCATATTTTCTATCTGTAATATAAATGATCCATATTTTATATATAATCTTTATTTTTAAGAACAATATACAGTATTTAGTTGCATAATAGGTCAAATGCTCTGGAAAAAAGATCTTGCAATCACTACAAGTAAAATCTAAATCCAAATCAGGGTCAATTTTATCTAGACCTCCCTAAATCCTGGATGACACTTTCCTGTTTCAGCATTTGCCATCCAAGTCCAGACCAGAAGGAACTGGGACTGTTCCGGGCAGGAGCAAGCTCATTGTCCTCTGGACTTGCTGGGGTGGCTGCCCTGCCCTCTTAGCCCAAGAGTCCCCTTTACATCCATGGATCTGCCCTCAGAGTCATGCTCCCTTCATTTCTTCCCTTCTCTGTCCCTATCAGTCCAGGCTGGCAATATTACTGGCAGTATAAAATTTTCAAAACTTTTTCAGTCTCCTGTGAAATTCATGGGAGTTTAACCCATCAACAAGAGGGCTTTCCACACATCTTCACTGGATATCTGCATCTCTATTCCTGGTCTCTGCTGAGATGACAGATTGCATCCATGTGTCTTTGGCAAAAGTTGCCCAGCCACATCTTTGGTGTTTTCTCCAGACCAATCAGTTGATTTTAAGTTAAAAAGGTTATTCTTGATTATTGGGGTTGGCCTTATTCAATCAGCTAGAATGCCTTAAAAGCAAAACTGAGGTTTCCTTGAAAAAGATGAAATTGTGCCTCAAGATGGCAGCATCAACTCCTGCCCAAGAATTCCCAGCTTGCTGATCTGCCTATGGATTTTGAACTTGTCAATCCCTATAATCATGTGAGCCAATTCCTTGAAATACAGCTCTTGAGATATCTACCTCTCTATCTTACTGTTTCTGTATCTCTGGAGAGCCTGTTTGATTTTAATAGATATGCTCATGTGTAAATATCTTACTTTCATTAACTCAGTTATGCCTGTTGCTTTCTTGTATCCTCCACAGAACCTAGTTATAGATTCACCTTGACTTACCATGGGGTTATGTCCCAATAAACTCAATTTAAGTTGAAGATATCATAAATTGAAAATGCATTTAATACGCTTAACCTACTGATCGTCATAGCTTAGCCTAATCTACCTTAAATGTGCTCAGAACTCTTACTTTAGTTGGGCAACTATAGTTGGGCAAAATCCTCTCACACAAAGCTCATTTTATAATAAAGTGTTGAATATCTTATGTAATTTATTGATGTTCTACTAAATGCTTATTGCTTTCATAACACTACAAAGTTGAAAAATCTTAAGTTGAACCAAAGTAAGCTGGGGACAATCTATATAAGGTTACTTGATGGTGACTTAATCACAGGTTTGGACTTAGGGCCAAGTGTCTCTCCATGCTGCTCCCAGAGTAAACCATCAAAGTATAGGTCACCATGCTTGTCACACTGTTTATTATTATCATTTTTGTTTTTTGACTTGGTTCTTCCTCTTGTATATTCCTTGATGGCTGCTACTTGATCTTATTCATCGTATGTCTCTAGCCCCTCTTATGATGTCTGATTTACAATAAGTACCTAACAAAAATTGAAAAAATAAATCTGACTGGAAGTGTGTAACTGCCTGGACCTCTCACAACTTTTTATTTCCTTAGACCACTTTGGGAAATGTTTTAAATCCTAATTAAAACTTAATCAATAAAGCAGTCAACCAGGAAATATAATGGAAATGAGGGGCGTCTTTCCTGGCATCTGGAATTATTTGTTAAGGAGATAAAAATCAAAGCCTTTTCTACTTCTCTGGTGATCTCCTAGTGGGGTCTTCTTTCTCTTCTCTCCCACCAGCAACCTCTTCCCGTATCTGTCTCAGAAGTCCTGGAAAAGGTTCAACAGGACTGTCCTGGAATTAAGAGATGATTCAGACCACAGGAAGAGGCACTGTCTCTCTCTTGCCATCATTTCATGTTAAGCTCCACCCATTAGGAATTAGGCCCAGTAAATTTTCTAAAATGCAAATTTAGCTGTGAGATGTCTTTTTTTTTGTCTTTCAAAAAAAGCTACTTTATTGAGGTATGATTGATGCACAAAAAGTTGTAGAAATTGTTATTTATTTATTTTATTTTATTTTTTTATTATACTTTAAGTTCTAGGGTACATGTGCACAACGTGCAAGTTTGTTACATATGTATACATGTGCCATGTTGGTGTGCTGCACCCATTAACTCGTCATTTACATTAGGTATATCTCCTAATGCTATCCCTCCCCACTCCTCCCACCCCACAACAGGCCCCAGTGTGTGATGTTCCCCTTCCTGTGTCCGTGTGTTCTCATTGTTCAATTCCCACCTATGAGTGAGAATATGCGGTGTTTGTTTTTTTTGTCCTTGCAATAGTGTGCTGAGAATGATGGTTTCCAGCTTCATCCATGTCCCTACAAAGGACATGAACTCATCCTTTTTTATGGCTGCATAGTATTCCATGGTGTATATGTGCCACATTTTCTTAATCCAGTCTATCATTGATGGACATTTGGGTTGGTTCCAAGTCTTTGCTATTGTGAATAGTGCCGCAATAAACATATGTGTGCATGTGTCTTTATAGCAGCATGATTTATAATTTTTTGGGTATATACCCAGTAATGGGATGGCTGGGTCAAATGGTATTTCTAGTTCTAGATCCTTGAGGAATCGCCACACTGTCTTCCACAATGGTTGAACTAGTTTACAGTCCCACCAACAGTGTAAAAATGTTCCTATTTCTCCACATCCTCTCCAGCACCTGTTGTTTCCTGACTTTTTAATGTTTGCCATTCTAACTGGTGTGAGATGGTATCTCATTGTGGTTTTGATTTGCATTTCTCTGATGGCCAGTGATGATGAGCATTTTTTCATGTGTCTTTTGGCTGCATAAATGTCTTCTTTTGAGAAGTGTCTGTTCATATACTTCACCGTCTTTTTGATGGGGTTGTTTTTTTTCTTGTAAATTTGTTTGAGTTCTTTGTAGATTCTGGATATTAGCCCTTTGTCAGATGAGTAGATTGCAAAAATTTTCTCCCATTCTGTAGGTTGCCTGTTCACTCTGATGGTAGTTTCTTTTGCTGTGCAGAAGCTGTTTAGTGTAATTAGATCCCATTTGTCAATTTTGGCTTTTGTTTCTATTGCTTTTGGTGTTTTAGACATGAAGTCCTTGCCCATGCCTAGAAAACTCTAGGTTTTCTTATAGGGTTTTATGGCTTTAGGTCTAACATTTAAGTCTTTAATCCATTTTGAATTAATTTTTGTATAAGGTGTAAGGAAGGGATCAAGTTTCAGCTTTCTACATATGGCTAGCCAGTTTTCCCAGCACCATTTATTAAATAGGGAATCCTTTCCTTATTTCTTGTTTTTGTCAGGTTTGTCAAAGATCAGATGGTTGTAGATGTGTGGTATTATTTCTGAGGGCTCTGTTCTGTTCCATTGGTCTATATCTCTGTTTTGGTACTAGTACCATGCTGTTCTGGTTACTGTAGCCTTGTAGTATAGTTTGAAGTCAGGTAGTGTGATGCCTCCAGCTTTGTTCTTTTGGCTTAGGATTGACTTGGCAATGCGGGCCCTTTTTTGGTTCCATGTGAACTTTAAAGTAGTTTTTTCCAATTCTGTGAAGAAAGTCGTTGGTAGCTTGATGGGGATGGCATTGAATCTATAAGTTACCTTGGGCAGTATGGCCATTTTCACGATATTGATTCTTCCTATCCATGAGCATGGAATGTTATTCCATTTGTTTGTGTTGGAGATGGAGTCTTGCTCTGTTGCCCAGCCTGGAGTGCAACGGCACAATCTCAGGTCACTGCAACCTCCGCCTTCCGGGTTCAAGCCATTCTCCTGCCTCAGCCTCCTGAATAGCTGGGATTACAGGCACGTGCCACCACGCCTAACTTTTTGTATTTTTTAGTAGATATGGGGTTTCACTGTGTTGCCCAGGCTGGTCTTGAACTCCTGAGCTCAAGCAATCCACCTGCCTCAACCTCCGAATGTGCTAGGATTACAGGTGTGAGCCACCATGCTCGGATGAGGCATCTTTTTTTAAAGTCTTTACCTAGCTCCCTGTTACCTAGAGCAGTGGTTACAAACTCAGCAGTGGGACCCTTTCTCCACTAAAGTACACTTTTGTAGAATTCCATTATATACAAAAGATACCAGTACCATTTATTAATGCATTATATATGAGTTCAGATGTGTAACAACTATTATTGAAAGCTTCATGAATGACAGCAATAAGGATCTTATGACAAAAATGAAACTTGAAATCAGAAGTTACAGATGATCATTGCAGTCATATCAGCTTCAAAACAGTTCATGGCAGCATTTCATACATAAAGTGTCTCTTGACATCCTGATAGACTTGGTCACCACCGCCCCCCCAACCCCCGGCCGAAACTGCCTTTATACTCCTATAGTAGCACCTGAACTGGTTTGTGTCCTTTCACTAGGCTGAACTCCTTAAACATAGGGACATTTTCTTATTCTCTGTTGTGTTTCCAATGCCTTGGGCAATAAAGCACACATGTTTAATAAATATGTTTCTGAAAATGTGTAAGCCTCCCCACTAAGCTCCAATGCCATTTCAATACTAATTTTATGACTTGGTTAAATTTTCCCTGGAATTTTTCGTATTGCCATTTCTCCCTGAAATTTCCTGGAGGTTTTATGAATTGGAATGTACCCAAACGACCATATCATGTTTCTAAATTATTGGGGATCAAGCCATGAAGTTTAATTGACTGTGATTTTTTAGGAAACCTGAAGAGAAGAGCCATGCTTGAACAAGGAACAAAGTGAGAAGCTGCAAACCATTCCTGATGGGGTCCTACTAGTTTTAGCCCTTGGAGACTCAAATATAATCTCAGACTCCTGGCCCCAGAGGAGGAGAGTGGTTGGGTTTGGTGGAGGGGCTTGGTCAGATGCAAGAATGGTTCTGGAAAATAAAGACTGTGACTTACCCTCATTAACAGAGTAGGGGAGAGAAAGACTACTGGGAGGAGTGTCCTCCAGCGTACACGGGACAATTAGCAAAGCATCCACTAAATTGCCAAGGAGGGAGCAAGCTTTTCCAGGAGTGCCCATGTTGAGGTAAAGTACCAAGGAAGAAATTATTCAGATCAGTCCCAGTTTTATAGGGAAATCTGATTATTTCAGACTATGAGTGTTCTGGACCTAAATCGCATAGGAAAATGCTTCATTTCTCACTGTACTGTATTTGGCTTTTATAGGCAAATTTAGCCGTCTATTAAATAAGCTGGAATACTTAATATCTAGCGGAATAGCCCCAGTGTGTTATTGGGGAGGGAGGAGCAACAAGTGATTCATTAGGTCTTTATGTACAGAGAAATATCAAGACATGAACTCATCGACTTGCTGATTAAACAGTTCACTTTGATGCTCCCTGAACAATGATGATGTACAGATCACACTGGCAACATCTCTTAAAAGGAAGAACTTGTGGTGGAACAAATGGGCCTGTACATGCAGGAAGTAGCTTGAGGGGGTGGCAGAGGGAGGAAGTGGTCAGAAAGTAAAGTTATCCAGAAACTCAGAGACAATCTTGAAATGTAAACTTCCCCTTAACAATGTCTGTCCCTTACGCGATAATAAGGTCATTTGTGCTGATTTCCTTTCTGATTTTCCTCCTGCAAACGTTTTCTACTCCCTTGGCACATGCCTCATCCTTCCCACCTATGCGTCTCTGTCCGCCTTCCCCCACTGGCTCAACCCAGAGCCTCAAGTTCTTCTTGATACCTCCCTCATTTTCACTCTTGAATTCATCACTAATTTGTATATTTTATCTCCAAATCCATTTTATATTTGTGTACCTCTGTTCCTCCATTGTCAACATGACCTCTCTCCTGGGTACCTTCAGAAATGCTCGTGTCCCATCTCACCCTTTCAACCTGCTTCACACGCAGCATCCAGAGTGACCTTTATACATCCAGGCCATGTCCCTCCACTGTTCACCCTCCTCAGTGCATTCCATTGCACGGATAATAGAATTCAGACTCATTAAATGGTTAAGAAGGTGCTTCTAGAGATGGGTCCTTCTGGCTTTCCAATGCACAATCCACTCACTGCTATATACTCACTGTCTTTGACTTTCTCTCAAAAAACTCAGAAATTGAAAAAAAAAAAAACAAAACTCAGAAAACTTTGCTCATGGCTCTCTTAAGACACATTAATGTTTGGCCTTGTTTCACCATCTCTCACTAGGCTGCAAGTTACTTACAGTGTCCTGTAACATCCATTTCACACATACTTGGGGGACACCCCCATATTTCAGGCACTACGTTGGGCACTAGGATACAATGGTAAGAATGGTTCTTACTCTATGGAGGGTAGTGTCTAGAGGAGACCAACAGAAACCTTGTAAACAAATGCATTCAGAAAATAAGTAGAAACCATGGAAAGTGCAGAGAAGAAACCCAACACGAGATGCACCAGAGAATAGGTGGGACCCTTTAGATTGGGTGGCCAAAGAAGACCATCTTGAGAAGGTGACATTTAAACTCACACAGGGATAGTTAGCCAGAGCTCGCCATCACAACAAGGGAAGAGTGTTGTGGGCAGAGAGGCAGTATGTGAGGAGACTTCTAGTCAGGGAAAGTGTGGTGAATTCTGAGAATTGCATGAGGCTAGTGTGGAGAAAGGGCACAAGGTGATTTTGGAAAAGTGGGCAGGGGTAAGAACATTTGGATTATCAAGGTGAATGTCTCACTTGAAGGAAAAAATTAATAAGTACTTGTTGGGTTTCCAGGTGATGATTCTATTCCAACTGCAAAATTCTTCAACTTACAAAATTGAGGCCCTTAAAATTAAGAGAAAGTCTAGAATTGAAGTCTCCACATACCCAGTTGAGTGTTCTTTCTAGTATCACTATAGGGAGTTAAGTACCAATGATTCCATAGCATCTGAAAATGACTGATGACCACTACATCTTCTATCATGCACAGATTGAATGTGAGAGACATATATTAATTGACAGTCTTTTATCAGCATGTGTGAATGATTCTGATAGTTTTCCTGAGTCTGTCTTCATTCTAAAAGCAAATATTTCTCTGTGCCTGAATGCTGCCTCTTTCCTAATCTCCCTTTGCCTAATTAGCCCCTTATGTTTTCTGCATCAGGGAATTTATTCCTCACTATTGGGAGAAAGTTATACTTTTCTGGTACATGCACTCTTGGAACCTGAGCGACAAGGTAAGAAGTGTAATCACTTTGCTGGAAAGACCACACATGGAGGCCCTGAAATACATGGAGATGGAAAGGGGCCCAGATGAGTGCAAACTGCCAGCCATCCCTTCCAAGGACCCAAGTATGTGAGCAAAACCATCTTGAGCCTTCCAGATCAGTTCAGCTGTCAGGTGAGTACCACTGAGCAATCCCAGTCAATGCCCTTTCCAAAAGCAGAAGTGGAAGAACCAGCCAACTAAGCCCTATCCAAAGTTCAGACCCATAACATCATAAGATGTAATAAAATGGTTGTGGCTTTAAGACATCAAATTTTATGGTTAATAACATAACCAAAATATAGAGGGTGTGTGTAACTCTATGAAGTGAGGTGATAGCGTAGTAGCTACAATGTACAGGTGCTAAAGAGGTAATCAGAGCTTTGCCCTATAGATGAGGTTGTCTGAATGTGGAATGACCTGCAGAATTAGCCTGCAGAGTTCAGCTCTGAGTCATTCTGATTTAAGGAGCTCACACAAAGCCTGGGATCTGCCTAAATTCTGCCTCCACGATTTCATGGTTCCTGTTGAAGCAGGTTCTTGAAAAATCCAGACCCAATCCCTGATTTTTCCTGAACACTGTCACATTGTCACTGCTGGTATGAATTCCACAAGATATGAAGGTCATGTTTATACCAGCGAAACATCAATGCTTGTTTATCATCAGCCACTGCAGTTCTGGTCAATTTTTATATTTCAACAATATTCAATATATGTGTAACGGAAGCTTTAAAACAAGCCTCAAATGATAAGCAACCCTCTCTCTGTTTTGTTTTGCCTAAAAATTCTTATCTGTCTTGGGTATTCACCAGGTACCTTTTTGCCATAAAGAGAATTCTTGAAGATTAATCCTAAATGTCCGCTGAAGATGAAAATGATGGAGCAAGTATTGTTAATGTGGGCCAAGAGAAAGCAGATGAAATTAATAATTGTTAGTTTTAATTTATTTAATAAGTTCACAACAGGCCTCATTCTTATGCATAGCATATTTGGTCTTTAGATATCTCTCTCACTTCTCATCTGACTATGGCCTAATTTTAAAATGTGTGTGCCTCAAAATACCTGGAGATTTCTAATATTTATAAAGATATTACATAAATAGCAGAGGATAGCAGAGGAGAAAGCAGTTAGAAGAGGCCTGGCTGTTCTCACTCCTCAATTCATCACTAATTCTTATACTCTGTCTCGAAATCTAAGCTCAGTCAGTTGTCAGAATCTCAAGAAAGCCTTTTGTTCATATAAATTAAACTTTTTCCATTTCATTTTACAATGCATGTAAGTTATAGTTCCATTTCATGCATATTTTTTAAAAGAAGATTCAAACAAGCTATTAATGGATTTCTAACCTTTAAAAACACTCTGCTTTCCTCTTTTCCATATTATTTCTTTCTTAATGCCTTTGCTTGACTTTTTTCATGGTTTGTTCCATGAATGTGTTGTGCTCCTCATGCTTTACCTCTCAACATAACTGAAACACTTAGGAGTGGCCATCTGTTCTGGTCATCATTGTCAGTTACAAGAAAGCTAAAGAATGTAACTGCTGATCCCCCATTTCCTTACCGACTACACACTTACAAGAGAGAACTTGCTGTTACGAAAGCATGAGAGTCCCTCCATCACCTGCCTTTGGTCAGATTGAAAACATAAGCTAAGACTTATGTTTAGGAGTAGGCTGGTTTGGGTATGGAAAAGATCAACCCACATGTTCTGCCATGTGAGCCATCAGAATTAGCGATTAACTTCTGAGACAGATGATGAGAATGAAGAACAGTATATTCAGAACCCACAAGTCTGATTGCCTAGCTTTATTGTGTGAATTTCTGCAGTATCCTCCATGAATTACTGGTATAAGGTTGCCATATAAATTATAGATTCTTGATGGTGACCATGTCTTGATTTTTTTTTTTCATCAAAGATGTGACTCTCTAGAAGCAATAAACTATAAGAGAGCTGTATTGGTGTACCAGCAGGGATGTCCAGCATTAGCCAGGTGAGATTCACAGTGGTTCACTGTAGGTCTGAGTATAGAGACAGTAGGTAGGCAAACCGTGGCTTGGGAAAAGGATGAGAGTTCTAACCATGAGGACTGCCCATCAACAGAACAGCCTGCTCCAGCCTGCTCCACCTATGACAGTGTTATGGGTTGAATTATGTTCTCAAAAAGATATGTTGAAGTCTGTTAAAGCAAAATGAAAATGAAAACGGGGCCTGAAAAATTCCTGGGCAATCAAAACCTGGTAGGCTTTAAAAATAGCCTTCATCTTGCTTAAGCTGCAAACATGAGTAAAACTTGGGTCATTTCTGGTAGATGCTCGTGTTAAAGAAAAATGAAACTTAACCTCAGCCAATCAAGAGCAGCCAACTAAAATATATAATTATATGATCGAAGACTTTCCATCAAGGTAAAACAAAAAAGACGATTTTAAAAAACTGTAACCAGCCAAATAATTGCTTTGTCTTATTTCCATATTCACCTGGTAAATATTTTCCTCTAATGCTTCCTCAGTGGAGCACTACACCGCTTTTGGTTTGATGCCTCCCAACTGAGGAACTGTTGTTTACACAAATTAACTCTAAATTTTTATTTTGCCTCGGATTTTTCTTTCAACAAATCCTAACCCCGGGTACCTGTGATCGTGACCTTATTTGGAAACAGGGTCTTTGCAGATGTAATCAAGATAGTTATTATGGTAGATCCTAATCCAATTTGACAGGTGTCTTTATAAGAGGAGAGAAGCACAAAGGTAGACACCACTGACTCTGTGAAGACAGAGACAATCTCTGAAGATGGAGTCAGAGATTGGAGTTACGCTGCCACAAACCAAGGAACATTTGGGGCTACCAGAAGCTGGAAGAGGTGAGGAAGGACCCTGGACTAGAGGCTTCAGAGACGTCATGGCCCTGCCAACACCTGGATTTCAAACTTATAGCTTGCAGCCTATGAGGGAATTTCTGTTGTTTTAAGCCACCTGGAATGTGGTTTGTAGTATAGATGGTCTCTGACTTATGATGGTTCAACTTACAATTTTATGATTTTCTGACTTTATGATGGTGTGAAAGTGACACACATTCAACAGAATATCAATAAGTTACACAAGCTATTCAACTAGTCAACCACACAATCACAAAGGTAAGCAACAGATATTCTAGAACGTATTGCTCCCAGATTATTTTGCAGGCTATTGCAAGTGTTTGGAGCAGGTGTGAAAATCATAGAGTGTACTACATACACCTAGATGTATAGCCTACTACACACCTAGGCTATATGGTATGTAGTAACTGTTGCTGTACTGAATACGGTAGGCAATTGTAACACAATGGTAAGGATTCATATATCTAAACATGTCTAAGCATAGAAAAGGGACAGTAAAAATACGGCATTATAATCCTATAGGACAACCATCATATATGCAGTTCGCTGTTGACTAAAATGGTATTATGTGGTGCATGACTATATCATTGCCTGGTGAGAAAAATAAGTTGCATAAATAGGAAATCCAAGAATACCAAGGGAAAAGAATTCCAAATCGATATTAGTGGCTAGATGAAAGACTGATAAACAAAAATGGTTTTCTAAATTTTAATATTAAGTGTTAAAATGTAGTTTGAAAAAGATACTGTTCATGGTAGCAACATAAATTTTAACATATGTAGGAATAGCCTTAGCAAGAAAGTTTAGCATTTCTATGAGTAAATTTATAAAACTCTGCCGAGAGGAACAAAGGTCTACACTAAACGAAGACACCAGGTGCTTGCTTGGGAAGAATGAATAATGTGAAGATATTACTTCTGCCCAATAATGTGAAGATATTACTTCTGCCCAAATAAATCTATATATTCATGTATTTTGATTCAAAAACTCCACAAATTTTTTTGAGGTAAAAATGATTTTTATTCAGAAATAAAAGAATAATATTAAATATTTCTTGAAATCAGAAACCTGACTAGTGAGGTTAAAATGCAAAAATAAACTGATAAACTATTTGATATAAACATGGTAGAAAAAAGCTTCATTCCCTTGTCAGATAAAGAGATTTTACATATTATCAAGAAAAGATGTAAAAATCAAAATGGGAACATAGGCAAGGAAAAAAACCCACACAATTCATAGACAAGATATACAAATAGCCAATGAATACTGTGGTAAGCAGATAAGTATCCATTTAAAAATAATGACAAGGACAGGCATAGTGGCTCACACTTATAATCCTCCATTGTGAGAAGGTGAGGTGGGAGGATCCCTTGAGGACTGGAGTTCAAGGCTTCAGTGAGCTATGATTGCACCATTGCACTCCAGCTTGAGCAACAGAGGAAGACCCTGTCTCTAAAAATAAATAAATAAATAAATAAACTGAAACATATTTTCTGACAATTAAGTTGGCATAGATATGTATATATTTTTTAATAAAACAGTCAGTGTTGAAGGTTGGGAAAGTGTCTGGAAGAATAAACAAGTACAATCTTCCCAGACAAAAATGTAGGCACATGAACCAGTATCCTTAAAAAGTATGATACCCTTGAACCCAGTGTACCATGTCTAGGAATTTACCTTAAGTGAAAAATGATGTTCTGGTATACAGAAATAGATATAACTCAATGGAATAGAATAGAGAATCCAGAAATAAACCCACATATTTCAACAGCTTGTTATCTGACAAAGGTCTTATATCTAAAATATAATAAAGAACTCATCCAACTTAATAATAATTGAAGACATACCACTCCATGTCAAAAAATGGGAAAAATAATTGAGCCAAAGAAAATACATTTCACTAAAAATATACACATGGCCCATATGCTCATTATAAAGTGCTCCATCTCATTAGTCATCAGGGAAATGAGACTTAAAACCACATGAGCTAGCACTCCATACCCACTAGAAGGGCTAAAATTAAAAAGACTGGCAGTATCAAATGGTGGTGAAGACATAGATTAACTAAAATTCCTGTACATTGTTGGTGGGAAAATAAAATGTAAAAAGCAACTTTGGAAGGCAATCTGGCAGTTTTGTATAACATTAAAGATACACCTTTACTAAGATCCAGCAATTTTACTTCTAGGTATTTATCCAAGAGAAATGAGTACATATGTCTAAGCAAAGACTTTTACACAAAAATTTATAGCAGCTTTATTTGTAATAGTTCTAAACTGAAACACCCAAATGTCCAATTAATGAACCATCAAATATAGATAATTAAATAATGGATAATCAAATAGAAACTAATGGATAATTAAATTGAAAATAAAAATAGTAAACCTATCAGATAAAAAAGTAATTGTAGAGAAAACATAAGTAGGTAATTTCATATAATTAAATAGTACTCAGAATAAAGATAAAAACTGGTAACATGCAACAACATGAATGAATCTCAAAAAGATCTCAGAAAATAAGAGTATATGTGGTATAATTCCATTTATATGAAACTCTAGAATAGGCAAAACTCATCTATAGGCAGATCAGTGGTTGCCTTTGATCAAGGGGTTGGTGGTGTTGACTGCAAAGGGACTTAAGAGAACTTCTTGAGGACATGAAAAAAGTTCTAAACTTTGATTCTGGTGGTGGTTATACATGTGTATACCTTTGTCAAAACTTTTGAAAATGATTTAAATAATAAACCAAGACTGTTTATTATACTGTATGTAAATTATACCTTTTAGAAGCTTATTAAAAATTTGAAATAAATGATGCCCAGAATTTATGTACTAGTCTGTTAATTATAGCATTATTCACAATGGTAAGAATATACATTTAATGGAAGTATTAAAAGATAATTTATATGGGTACCCATTAAAATTATGTAAGTAAAGACTACTTAATAATGTGAAAAATAAAATACTATAAGTGGGGAAAAGTGATATACGTTTGTAAAAAATAGTTTATATACAGATTTAAAATTATTGGCAGGAAATATACAATTCATTAACTGGTTGTCTCAGGATAATACATTCTTGGTATTTCTTATTTTCTTCTTTGTACTTATCTCTGTTTCATTTTCAGATTAAACACACTTTTTTTAATTTGGAAAAATAATGCAATATGTTTGAGAAAAACAAAATAAAAATAATAAACTAATAGATAAATAATCACCAGAGAAAATATAAATGAATAATATTAACATTTAATAAAAATTTCAACATTACTACTAATTAAGTACATAAACAACAGATACTTTTGTGATTAACAAATTAGCAAATATGAAATATATGAAAACAACAAATATTTCTTCAGAATGAAATACCTACTGCTTGAAAGCCTATTTCACTTTGTTATGACAATATAAATTAGTAAAGCATTTCTGGAAAGCAATTTATAATATGCACCAAAAAACCTTAAAGTTCTTCACTCTTTTGATGTAATAATTGTACTTCTGAAGCGTCCTTAGGAAATTTTTCCTCAATATCAATGGTGACGAATGCACAATGATGTTCACTACAATGTTATTTATACTTTGATAAACTGCAAACAACCAAAATCTCTCAAATTTGAAGAAAAATTTTAAGTGATTTTAATACATTTACTTAAGAACTTATTATCCAGTATTTTTAAATGATATGGGTTTTAATAATATGGGGGATACTCATTTCTATAATGTTAGGTTAAAATAGTTACGAAATTGTATATAAAGTACTATTTCAAGTATACTGTATATCAAAATCAATGGAAAAAAGTTAGAATGAATATCCTAAAGTACATATAGGTTATGACTGGGCAGAAAGGTTTCTCATAATTTTCCCTTTATTTTTAATGCACTTCCCTATTTTGAAAGAAGTCAATAATAAACAGGTAGAAATTTAATAACGTCTTCCAGTAAGACTCAGGAACTAAAATATTCCCAGATGAAGGTGAACAGATTCAGGTAACTTGCTATTTAATGTGGCATCAGGGCCAGGCGTGGTGACTCAGGCCTGTAATCTCAGCACTGTGGGAGGCCAAGGCGGGAGGATCCTTTGAGCCCAGGAGTTCAAGGTCAACCTGGGCAAGATGGCAAAACTCGTCTTTACAAAAAATTTACAAATTAGCCGGGTGTGGTGGTGCGTGCCTGTGGTTCCAGCTACTTGGGAGATGGAGGCAGGAGGATTGCCTGAGCCCAGGAATTAGAGGGGGCAGTAAGCTATGATCACACCACTGTACTCCAGCCTGGGAGACAAAGAGAGATTGCATCTCTAAAGTAAATAAAGAAAGAAAGTAGAATTATTTAGTCTTCTAGTTTCTGGTGAAATTGAAAAGGGTAATGAATTTTGGGACTCAAAGTACTTTGATGCCCGGAGAGTAAATAATTAGGCATTTAACAAATTTAGTTTTGTATATTGGATTCTTAGCATACCAGGGACATGATGGTTAATAAATGCTCATTACACTAAATAGAAATGAAAAAATTATTGAAAATGTATGTGAATGTATGTATGTACATAAACATATATATACACATACACAACATAAAGCAATCTCCCCACTTGGACAATAATATAATATGTAACAAAGCTTCAACTACATATGCAGAGAAAATTGGAATGAGTACAAACCCATTTTGCAGTTGTCAATAAAGTACAAATCTTAATCTTTGGGGAGCAGAACAAATAAAAGTGTCTATGGAAATGAAAGTGCTGCCCTATAGCCCAGGGAGAAAAGAGCAAAGAGGAAGGCTTTTTTCCTCCCTTATCCAATCACGGCTGACCCCAGGGTAGAGCTGTGAAAAGAGAGAAAGTAAAGAAACAAGGCAATCTAGATTACCAGTCTATGCCTTGTGAATAATTCATTAAGAATCATCCTTAACAGAGTAGGGGGAGAAGGCAAGACATTTCCCTCTGGCTTCCTGTGCTACTCTCTGTGAAAGCAGCATCCGGCACACGGGATGGTAGAGATGGCCTAGGGGCAGCGGTGAGACTCGATGAGTAGGGTTAAAGAAGCAAGTAGGTTAATGCAGGTAGCCTAAGGCGGACATGGGAGTGAGGGCAGGCCTTGCTGGGCCAGGCTTCTGAGAAGGATGAATGCTAGCACAAGGGACACATTTTCTGCAAGGATTAGGCTGAGTCAGAGCTTTGGGTGAGAACTTTCCTATTTGATCCCAGCCAGCTTCCTGCTGGGGTGCAAAGTATCAGCTGCGAAAACACGTTCATGCGTATTTTCTTGTTAATAGCAATCTTTAATTCAAAAGGTCGAAAGTAAATCTATTTTGGCTGCAGGACGCCAACATAGATTAGGATATAAGTCGAGGCTTGTGTGTTAATATGCCTTCCTCAATGCACGTTCAATGTAATAAGATAACATTGTTCCGTTCAGGTGCTGAATACATCCTTGTGCTGGGCTGTGCTGTTTGAGGGCGTCACCAAATTCTGTTTTCCTATTTCCCAGTAAGCCATGTAAGGCAAGTGATAATATCCTCATGTTGCAGATGAGAGATCAGGGCACAGAGAGTTTAAGCAACGAATCCAAGTTCCCTGAGCAAGTGCACCCTGGAAAATAAGCAGAACCCAAGTCCCCAAATCCCTTTATTATCCCTACAGCGATGCATCTAATAGCCCATTTTAATCCAGCATTCAAACCATTTTTAACATTATGTACAGCTTTTCCTTTGAGTAGGCTGTATAATAACCAAGCCTTTAGGAAAATACATATTTAGCACTATAAACATTTAAAAAATAAACCTTAACTATTCAACAATCTTTTCACCTATCGACATCTGGTGCTGAAAATTTCTACTGTGCTGAAACAGTTTATGATATTACTAACAATTACTGCTGGGTATCAAGCCACATAAATATTTAATGATACCATTAATTTCTGAAAGGAAAAAAGAGAATTTTCACATTAGGTTTAAATGAATATGGAATTTATTTCCCCATATTTTGCACTGACATTTAATTTGAAGTTCTTGAATTAAGGCCTCCTGTCTGTGATTGATGAGAATTTGTTATGGCTCTTTAGGCCTCTCTGTTCACCTTTAAATATGGGCTTCCTTCCCCCTCGTGCAAGACATAAAAATGGGAATGTCCAACTCTATCAGACCAGCACCTGCTGACCATCCGTCTGTTGGACTTCTTAATGTCCTCCCTCCTGCTTGTTTCTTGGATGCCTGAGAGATTTCGCTTTACATTTGCTAAGACTGGTTCATTAAAATACTAATCTTAAACTGTAATTATGTGTTGGTTCATATCGGTGGTTGAACCACAGTGGCGCTGATATCTTCTAACTGCAGGAGAATTTCACATCTGTTCTCATCCCCTGGAGTCTTGAGCAAGACGTGGTGCTGGAAAGGAGGCAGTTTGAAAGAGATGTAGAGAACGGCGTTTTAAGAAAAGCGACAAAGGCAGGCAGGAAGAATTATAAATCTGGTAAATAGACTCAATTGTAAAACTATTCATGATAATACCTTCTGGGGAAAAAGCGAAAGCAATCAAATAGGAAGCATGCCAGGTAACAGTGCTGTTGTCAGGTTGGGAGGATCTTAACTGTGCAGTAGCTCGTGTAATTCTAGGAGCGTTTGCAATCTGCTGGCCCAAGTGGGTGAGAAGTGGGGTGGGGTGGGTTATACCTTGTTTTACGATAAAGGTCAAGAATATCTTTAGCCTGGTGTGGTATCAGCCAGCCTAGGGAATGCCCATTGGTTGGCAGAACTGAATGCAATTATCTGATGTAAGCCATAAATAAGTGAGAAGAAAATCAAAAAGCAAACAGAAAAACAGAGCGGGTTTTAGAAAAGAAATAGGAATACAAAGATGGATAGGAAGGAAGAAGAAAGCAAGGGGGAGAACACACACACCCTGGGGAAGAGCAGCCATATTTTTTGAGCACCAACTACACACAAGGTACTGTAGAAGGAAGGATAAAAAGAAGGGCTGTTCACTGAAGGTTTATTGTATGCTTGGTGATTTGCTTCTTTGGGTCAGGTGGGTATCATCTGCAGCATGCAGATGAGGAGATTGCGGCTTGGAGGGATCAGATTCTGACTTTGAGACCCTGGTTGTCTAATTACTTACTCTGTGTCTTTTTCATTATATGATGTTGCTTTTTAATATTTCAGGGAGATGCAGAAATGAATAAGACACATATCTTTCCTTTAAAGAGCTCAAGGTCTTAGTACAAATCATAAAGCAGTGTCATCCATATGTTACAGAAACTTGCCTCATTCATCTGGGGCTCTGGCTTGCATACGAATCTCCGCTTTGGTAGGTGGGAAGACTCTAGATAACATTTTATTTCCAGGTGAACACCACCCACACAGGCAGTTGGCTTTGACATGGATCAGGCCCTGCCACTGTCTATCATAGGAGAGGTCGGTTACTCCGGTTTAAGGCAAAGCTAGTGTGGAGGAATATCAGGAGAATTCTCTGCAACACAGAGGCCACTTTATCATTTTCCAGAGACTGTTTCTTTTTATTTCCTTCCCCTTCCTTTATTTCATTTTTTCCTCATTTTCTTCTTCCTTTCTCTTTCCTTCTTTCTTTCTTACAGGGTCTCTCTCTGTCTCCCAGGCTGGAGTACAGTGGCACAATGATAGCTCACTGTAATCTCAAACTCCTGGGTGCAAATGTTCCTCCTGCCTCAGCCTTCTGAGGAGCTGGATCTACAGGCACACAGCACCATCCCTAGCTAAATATTTAAGATTTTTTGTAGAGACAGGAAGTCTTGCTATTTTGCCCAGGCTAGTCTTGAACTCTTGGCCCAAGTGATCCTCTCACCTTGGCTTCCCAAAGTGCTGGGATTTCAGGCATGAGCAAAAGCATCTGGCCTGTTTCTTTTTCTGTTAGTGTATTCCATACTTAGGTCCTGACTTGAATAAAACTATAAAATCGTCCAATAGCCTCTTCTCACCTCATGGCTTCCACCCCTACCCAACCACTATCAGAAGAAACTACAAAAGATTCAAAATTTTTCTTGAGTTACCTTCCCACCCTCCCAACCCCCACACAATAAGCTGCATAAATTAACTTGAAGAGAAAAAATGATAGAAATAGAGTGACAAATGAAGCCAGAGGGATGACTATTTCTTTGACAGAGAGTGTTCAATGCTTCAAATACAGTACAAAATGTTGCTGCCTCCGTCTACATTGGATGTGAGAACTAAATTGCCAGGTGCTAAGAACAACAACAACAACAACAAAAAGTGAAAGATTTTTAAATCTTTGAGCAGACAAATAAGCTTTAACAATGGCCAAAGCAAAGAGAAGATAGGGAAGTTTAGGAAGAAGGAAGGGAAAAAGAACTTCTCTATTCTGAGTGTAGAAGGAGGTAAAGCAAATGAATGCTAAATCAAACTTAATGAGAACTAAATCAAAGGATGTTCTATTGACAAATTAATTTGGAAATCATTTAAGAAAAATTGTGCTTTGGCTTTTATTTATGTCTGCTGGAGTGAATGGGCCATGTTCTCTCGCCTGTATTAAATAGCAAGTATTTAACCCAGGAACTTAAAGTCCATTTTTCTTTTATATCGTCAGGACCCAGTGACTGAACTGTTAATAATTTAGCTAATTGAGTAAAACCTAATGCTTCGAGTGTTGATGCAGGGAAATAAAAATTCAAGATTTCCTGTAGATATGGAATGCATAATATTTAATGCTTCAGAGATCATCAGTAAAATAAAATATTAAAGCCATACATACCCTCTGAGAGTCTAACTAATGAACGTCTCCCAGCTGTTGTTGAAAAATCAGCAGCAGCATCAGTACCAATTTCAAGACAAAGCACAGCTGACAGATGTTTGAAGGGATAAATCAGGCTGTACAAGGATTAAAATAATAAGTCCCCAGGGCCTTCTAAAGGCAGAGGTGCCACAGTAAACTATTTCCAGCCACTTGAGTACAAGTGAAATATGCATCCTGGGGGTCATTATCCAGCAACCCAGTAGGCATTGGAGAGGTTCGCATATTACTAAAACCTAGCACAGGTTCTAACCACACTGAGCTTTAAGTAAGGACAGCTTTTACTGTTACTTCTTTGTTTTAAGGGAGTCTCAAGGATTCTAATTCAGTTACAATGTTTGGGACATAATGTGACTAAATGTGAACTTGGCCAATAAAATGAAACATAACAACAGTGATTATGCATGTACATGTTAACCTATGCTTAGCATGTAATACAGTTATTACTAAAATGTATGATAAATAACCTCCTAACTGAGAAACATGCACTTACTGAGAACCCATCATGTGTCTACTCCTGTTTATCCTTTAGCAAGGCAGGTTAGGCGGGATCTTATTTAAAACATAAGAGGTTAGTCCTCTTTCCAAACTTAGGCAACCTCTGACATTCACAGGCTTTTCCTGCGCCACCAGCCTGGACATGACTTTATTACACCACTTGCTAAATTACATTGTAATGATTTGAACGTATGTGAATTGCATTCCCTTGCCCATACCCGAATGTGAACCTATTTAGGGCAAAACCTAGATCAGAGTCAGCTTTTGTCTCACAGACCCTTGACAATGCCTGGGATACAGGATATTTGATAAAGGTCTAGCCTTTTCCTATGTGCTTTGGGAGCACCCGAACTATATGTCAATGTTCCTGACTAAAATGTGTCCTCAGGCTATTAAAGTATAAAATACTAGTAGATATACCATCTTGAAACAAGTTCTATGGAAGGTAATGACTGACAGATATAACCCAGGCTCTGTAAGCCAGGGGCTGGTCACTCCAGCTTTATGTTAGAATCACTGCCCCTTAAAGAAGTACAGTCTACAAACTATCAGCAGTCTAAGATAGATACTTCTGTGTTTGGAAACTTTTATGGCAAGTTGATATTAGAACATTATTTAATCATTTGATTGTGCATGTTATAAAAGCATCAGATTGGCACCTAAACAACAGCTGGTTATTTATACAGATAGTTTGAGAAACACAGTCCTAGAAAGCTTATGCCATCTCAGACCAATTAAATCAGAAGGAGGGGAACTGGGAGCCTGCACATCTTCAAGGTATTTAGCTCCTTTAGAAGATTCTACTGTAGTGATATTTTAAGGGTTTATTTTTTGTTGCTTTTAGAGACAGGGTCTTGCTCTCTCAGCAAGTCTGCAGTGCAGTGGCACAATCATGTCTTAATTGTGCAGCCTGAACTCCTCGGCTCAAGTGATCCTCTCACCTTAGCCTCTTAGGTAGCTGGGACTACATGTGTGCACCACCACGCCCAGCTAATTTTTTTTTTTTTTTTTTGAGATGGAGTTTCATTCTTGTCACTCAGGCTGGAGTGCAATGGCACAATCTTGGCTCACTGCAACCTCTGCCTCCTGGGTTCAAGCGATTCTCCTGCCTCAACTTCCCAAGTGGCTGAGATTACAGGTGTCCGCCACTATGCCTGGCTAATTTTTGAATGTTTTTAGTAGAGACAGGGTTTCACCATGTTGGCCAGGCTGGTCTCAAACTCCTGACCTCAGGTGATCTGCCTGCCTCGGCCTCCCAAAGTGTTGGGATAACAGGCGTGAGCCACCACACTTGGTCTTTTAAAAAAATTTTTTTGTAGAGATGGAGTCTCGATACGTTGCTCAGGCTGGTCTCCAACTCCTGGCCTCAAGCAATCTTCCCATCATGGCCTCTCAAAGTGTTGAGATTACAGGCATCAGCCACCATGCCTGGCCAATAATATTATTAAAAATAAACATTAAGATCCTTTTTTTCCTTCTTGATTTGATATATGGAATTCTCATATTAAATATACGTATATTTTAAGTCATGTCTGAGGCATTTTGAGACAATAAATAATCATTCTTTTAAAAAAGAAAGCTTTTTATAGTAAAGATGAAACAATAACATGTAGTACTATGCTTATTTTGGCAGTCTAAAGACCCAGAGTGTCTTCTGTCTAATCCCTCTTAGTAGATTTTACTCAGTAACTGATTTTGGTGCTGCCATTACAATTTGAGGGAAGTTCCCATTATCTAAATGAATTCCCTGAATTTATTCTACACTATCACTGCCAAGTTGGTCATCCTGCCTGTCTTTGAACGTGGTGTGACAGGGAGCTAACTATCTCCCAAGGGAACCTATTTCATCTTTAAATTCTCTGTTAAAATTCTTGTTTCTACTAAGCTGAAATCTGTCTGCCTAGAACTTTATTCAGTGGTCCTTGTTCTCTCTCTCTTTCTAGAGTCTTACAGAACAAGCTCAGTGATTCTTCATAAAATAAACATTCATATAGCTGAGGATGTTTGTATTACTGAGTAAGCCCCTCTTCGGACCAAATGCCTCCACTTTTTAATCAAAAACCATTCTTCAATTCTCATAACCATCCTGGTGACTTCACTCTGATTGTGATCCTGTTCCTTCATATTCCCCATAAAAATGTAATATGATCAATGAATTCCAGAAACATTTATTAAATCCTTACAATGTGAGAAGGATGCAAAGTTGAAAACCAGGATTTCTGCTCTGTATGTGTTTACAGTTTTATGTATCAGAGTGTTTTAAGGGAAAACAATCTATGCCTGTGGTCTGACCATTACAGAACATACTATGTCTATTAATAAAAAGATAACAAATATTTACTAAGAATTTTCTCTGTGCCTGTTATCTCATTTAGACCTCACAACAACCCTGAGAGGCAGGTATTATTCTACTATCCTTATTTTACAGCTGAGGGAACTGATGCTTAAGGAATTAAGTTGGCAGTGTAAGCAAGAAAGTAGCAGAGCTGCTGTAGTCTATATTAAATGACATGCTCTAGAAAAGTTAAGAAGTTGTTTAAGGATGTTAACCAATTGGCCAGATTAACCAATGTTCTCCATTGGATCTTGCTGATGCCCAAGTATCCCGAATGCACACAGCTGGTGGGCTGTTCTCTAGGATCTATCCAATTATTTTGAATTTTATGTGAGACAGCTGTTTGTCCCCATCCTGTTTATGCCAGTTATAGTTGTCATTTTAATTACGTAACTTAATAAAGTATTTATTAGATAGGCTGATGAATATGAATGAGAAAAAAGTTGTTCTTTATATGAAAATTAAGGCCAGGTGTCGTGGTTCACGCCTGTAATCCCAGCACTTTTGGAGGCCAAAGCGGGAAGATTGCTTGAAGTCAGGAGTTTGAGAACAGCCTGGGCAACATAGAAAGACTTCATTTTTTTTTTAAGTAGGCAGGTGTGGTAGTGTGTACCTGAAGTCCCACCTACTCAGGAGGCTGAGGCTGGAAGATGACTTGAGCCCAGGTGGATGAGGCTATAGTGAGCTATGATTGCACCATTGCATTCCAGCCTGGGTAACACCGTGAGACCCTGTCTTTAAAATAAACTAAAATAAAGAAAAAAAAGTTAAGGTGAATGCTTAGAGAAACTTGTTGCAGATGGGTCTCTTAAAAAATTGCTGTTCAATAAATGAGAGCAAGAAAACTATTAAGAGATAAAAGGAAAAATGTAAAAATTCTAGAAAGATTTAGATTGATTGGAAGATGACTTTAAGTACTTGCCCCATGACAAAAAAAAAAAAAAAAAAGAGCAAGAAGAAGAAGCAACAGCTAGGAATCTTCTTAGATGATTCAATATGGGTGAGTTTTATTTAAATGACAAACTTCAGTCAGGGGATTCATATTCTGAAGGATGATATTCACATATTGTTATAACCAATCAGAACACATATCAAACAAATGAGAACAAAGGCCAGCCACAAAATCCAGATATGGCCATACCAATGTGTACTTGATATGCCCTCAAAGGAAAAGGTTTGATCCTACATCAAATAATTTGTGAAAGAATGAACCTTCAGCATTTAAGTTTAAAAGTTTCATGTATGTTGGATATTTTTATGAATCACTTGTGGCCTGATCTGGGGGGGAGAAAAGCTTCTACTACACTGTGAGTTGGAGCTGGGATCTAAAACTGGGTTGTCTGACCCCAAAGAGCATTTGCTTGACATCTGTGTGTACTGCCTCCAAATGCTTTATGCTATCACTTTCCTCTCACTAAATACCACAGTCTATTAATACAGTCTAGGGTTGCATAAGCATTCTGGGAAGCTTATGCACATTTGGAAAGCTTTTGCCATATTGATGACTCACAACTTTAGTTTATTTTCAACTAAAACTTTTCCATACTTGCTAACCATATATCCTTTATCCTCTGGTGGTGGTGTTCTTTTTGTATCCAAGTGCCAGGTCTTAAAATTATCCCTTGTAACTTTCTTCTCTGTGGATTTGGCCCATCATTCTAGCCTGAGATCCTTTTGAATCCTGTCAGCCAATAGGTCCCTCTCTCTCTAAGCCTCATGTCATTAGCTAATTTAATAAGTAAGACTTGTGTCTGCCCTTTTAAAATCTGACCTTGTCAGAAGACTCCCTGGACAGTCAAGCTGATTACTACAGATACTCCCTCCATTTCTCTCTTACTGAAATAATTTGTGATGGCAGTCACAAATCTGACTGTCCCAAGATGCCAGGGCTGTCTCCTCTTATAGAGCCTCATGTGTGGCACTGTGCTTGTCTTGTCCATAACTGCACTTACCCTACTACACAGGGCATTTAATAAATGTGTTTAAATCACAGAATTTCATTGTTTTTCTGGCATGGGACAACAGGAAAGCCGATCTGGAAAAACAACAATAACAACAAGACAGCTGCTACTTTCCTCAGCCGTCACACACGCTGCCCACTTCACAACTATCTCCCCGGCCATGAACTTGAACTTGAGAGAAGAATGAGTATCAATGAATTAAGATGTTTTAGAAAGTATCTGAACATACAATTGAGCTGGCACTATTTTGTACATCAGGATTTTAATATTGCAAAGGACTGTATTGATTGCCTAAATCTAAAAATAATTTCATTAATGGAAGAAGATGTAATGTGATTTAATATGCAAATTAATGCTGCATTCACTGAAAACTATTAAACCAGCTCATTTAGCAATTTGAGTGAACATTGCTAATACATTTCCAGAGTTTTCTTTTTCCTCTACAATCATACTGAAAACTCCTGAAAGACAACAAATGTCTTTTAGTTCTGAATACTCTATATAGCAGTCTAGAAATAGGCCAAGCTAATGTGAGGTATAGTGCTTATTATTCTTTGAATGTTGTTCTAAATTAAGGAGACAAGTTGCAGAAAAGTTAACTACTGTGAACTGGAAAACCTCCAATTAAGTAGTTGGATTCCAACCTCTCCTTGACTCACAGGCTGGAGGACATTTATCAAAGCATAGGGACATCGGGACTGAAAACAAGGGCTGATTTAGACAACAAAAGCTCTGATTCACTCTCTCCATGTTGACAAAATATACTCTATACCCACAAACTTAAGCTGTGTCCATGCACACACAAACCAGTCTGAAACAAAAACAAGTGAGCATTTAAATTTAGACCAATTATGACAGCAAAAGCTGTGTTCTTTGGCATTCTACCAAACAAAAAGCTTCAGAAACCAGCACTTCAAATACTCCCCTGGTCCACACATGTATTCTAGCAGCAGGGACTGGCAATGGAGCTAATTCCAATCAACGAGGAAGCTATTTAGGTCCCACAAGGCTGACTCTGAGAGTCGCTGGGGGATGCTGGGGTGCTGGCTCCACTCGAGACGGTACAACAGCCCCTTCTATCCTCTCAGGGAAACAGGGGCAGCTGCCCAGGGGAGGCTCACACTGCACTTTCTCTCCCATCCTAAATCCTACAGCAGCCTTCACAGTTTCTCTTTTTATAATTTTATTTTATTTTGGTGAAATAGAGATAACAAAATTTGTCATCTTAACCATTATTAACAGACTTTATTTTTTAGAGCAGTTTTGAGTTCACAGCAAAATTAGCAGCCAAGTACAGAGATTTCCCATATACCCCTGCCCCCCTCCCTACCCACAGCTGCCCCATTACCACCTTTCCCCCCACCAGTGTGGTGCATTTGTTACAATCAATCCTACATTGACACATAACTACCACCTCAAGTCCATGTTTATGTTAGGGTTCACTCTTGCTGAATCCTATGGGTTTTGACAAATGTATAATGACATGTACCCACCATTATAGGAGCATACTAAATAGTTTCACTGCCCTAAAAATCCTCTGTGCTTTGCCTATTCATCCCGTCCTCTCCCCAACCCCTAATTCTTTTACTGTCTCCCTAGTTTTACCTTGCCCAGAATATCATCTAATTGGAATCAGTAAGTACTATTTTCAGATCAGTGTCTTAGTATTTCACTTAGTATTGTACATTTAAAGTTTCTCCATGTCTTTTCATGGTTTAATCATTTCTTTCACCTGTGGAATAACATTCCATTGCCTGGATTTACCACAATTTATTTATCCATTCACCTACTGAAGGATATTTTGGTTGCTTCCTAATTTTAACCTCTTTTATGTGTACAATTCAGTGGCATTACTTGTATTCACAATATTGTGCAACCATCACAACTGTCTATTTCTCAAACTATTCCATCACTTCAAAAAGGAACTCTGTTAAACATCAAGCAATAACTCCCATTCCTCCCAGCCCCTGGTGACTTACTTCCTGTCTCTATGAATTTACTTATTATTTAATATTTCATGTTAGTGGAGTCATACAATATTTGTCCTTTTGTGTCTCACTTGTATCACTTAGCATAATGTTTTCAGGTTTGTCCATGCCGTAAATATATCAGAACTCCATTCCTTTTTACGGCTAAATAACATTTAATTGTATGTATGTACCACGTTTTGTTTATTCATCACCTCTTGATGAATACTTGGGTTGTTCCCACCTTTGGCAATTGTGAATAATGCTGTAATGAAGATTGGTATAAAAGTATTTGCTTGAGTCCCTGTTTTCAATTATTTTGGGTATATATCCAGGAGAGGAATTGCTGAGTTATATGGTAATTCTATGTTTAGCTCTTAGAGAAACCGCCAAACTTTTTTTCAGCAACTCCACTATTTTACATTCCCACCAACAACACACAAGGGTTCCAGTTTGCAGCTTCTCTTAAACCCAAGCAGAGTAGTTAGTTCAAATGAAGGTTATCTTGAAGTTACCTGGCCTATTGATTAGCTGGCATCCTTCCTCCACCCTAGACTCTATGAGATAAATTTTACTATAAGCTATTATAATTTACCACTCTCAGGCCTACAGTTCTCCATTAGTTTCCCTCACTAAGACTTCTGTTTCTATGCTCTGGACCTCATTACTCTCCTAACATAACCTTGATTCACTCGCCGTCTGTTTTCCACCCTGCTGAAGCAGCCCAACACACCTCTGACTCCATAACTCATCTAAACCACCCATGCCAAACACTTTACCCAAGCTGGCTTCCCCGACTTCCTCAGTCTCTCCCCGACCTTCCTTGGGCCACTCAGCATCTGTGCTAATGTCCTCCCTGCTCCTTGGTTCACAGTCATCTTGCTGCCATCTTCCTGGAGCCGGATCCCACTTAAAATGAGGGGAGATGCTCCTTTTGACTCTCATATTGCAAAATGTTATCGCTGCACCATTCTATTTAAAAATCTCACCCAGAGGAGGAAAGCTCACTAATTAATGGACACTTTAATGGAATTTCCTTCCCATTTCTATCACTTTTTTTTTTTTTGAGATTGAGTCTCGCTCTGTCACCTGGGCTGGAGTGCAATGGCGCCATCTTGGCTCACTGCAACCTCCATCTCCCAGGTTCAAGCGATTCTCCTGCCTCAGCCTCCGGAGTAGCTGGGATTACAGGCACCCACCACCACGCCCGGCTAATTTTTGTATTTTTAGTAGAGACAGGGTTTCACCATGTTAGTCAGGCTGGTCTTGATCTCCTGACCTCAAGCAATCCACCCACCTCAGCCTCCCAAAGTGCTGGGATTACAGGCGTGAGCCACCGCGCCCGGCCCCTGTCACTCTTATACCTTCCTTTCATTCATCCATTTGCCTCCATCCTACTTGATGCCTTGGCTATCTCATGACAACAGCTTGCAAACCTGTGTCTGCCTCTAAATTGTACTTGAATTGAATCCGTCTTTGGTTGCAGTATCATATACAGTGCAGATTCTTTTACTCAAACCTATCAATTGTTCTTTAGTTCCTACTCAGTGATTCAAAAGGATGATTCTAGCAGTTCAGGCCTCCCACAAAAGCCCAGTCCACCTTTTCCATGATATCTCCTAACAGACATGTCCCCTCCAGCTCCTGACTGCCCATGTTGGGCACATCCCTTTGTGTCTGCCTCATGACATGGCCTTTGTGGTTCTCATTTACACCGTTCTTTGCTTAATGAACTTCTACGTTTTGTTTAAGGATAGTGTTTCCATGATCACTCTAGCTAGAAGTAAAATGAACATCCTCTGCTGGTCTGGCACAGTTTGTACCATTTGGCTTATGTTTAGTTTCATCTAAAGAGCAACCAGTTAGCTTGGGGTGTCACTAGAAGAGGGCAGATGGCTGGCTGCCAAGTGGTTTCATAGCACCTTGGGACATTCACCAAGGCCAGTATCTGATCTTCAGTTTAGTAGGCTGAGGCACTTAACTTTGAGCAGCACATCCTGGGCAGAACTGCCTCTCAGGAATAAATACACATCACATCAGCTCATGGAACTGATGTGTGTGTGTGCACGTGCATCGCAGAATGCCACTAAATTAATTAATTTACAGCAACAGCTAGAACCTTCATGGATGGAAGTCTGTGCATTACATGAGTAAAACAGTCTCTCCCCAGTGGATAGGCCTGAACCAGAAGCCAATTTAGAATCAGAATTTTTAGTGAGTGTGGAATCAAACCAAACTGCTGGCTTGATGAGTCAAAACAGGAATTTCTCTGTCACAGAGGCTGAACTGCTCATAACCTTAGGCCAAAGATCATTTCCTGTTTCTGGACTTCGGAGTTCTGTCCTCTCTGGGTTGACCACATGTTGACTCAGTTTTACTCAGAATGGCCAACAATACAATCATCACAACATTGCCCCCCACCCTGGGATACTAAGGAGCCTTCAAGTGCAGTTCTGCTTCCCCCAAATTCGGTGGCAGCACAGTATCTTTGGTTTATCCCCTGACCAAATTCAACCACTAAATATGTCTAAGTATACCTGCTTGATTTAACTCCCAGAAGGCAATGCTTCCTTCCCCTCACCCCCTTCCTATGTTCTTGAGAGTTACTTTACTGTTCCACAAAGCATTGGCTATTGTGCCTCTGACCACAAAGTCCACTGCACTATAAACACTTGGGTTCAGCTCTTATCTTCATGTGTGAATGGAAAACTCCATGAAGACTAGACCAAGGCCTTATACGATGGTCTATGTCACACACGGCCTAGCACACAGCAGGTGTTCAGCCAATATTATTGAGAAAAGGAGCAAACAGGGGCTGTATTAGTAAATACTTGTGATAAATTCCTTCCAATTCTTTCTTCTCTCAGCTATATCTAACACTGGTGATGGTCTTCACATGATTTTTAAGTGTTGGTTATTCAAGAAAATCTTCTGAATGAAGAAATAAACTAAATTAATTATCCAAAGCTTCCAGGTCTTCAGTAATTGACTATAGAGAAACAGTCCTTGCTAAGTCCCAAGGGGCCTCCTTCTGGGAGAAGCCTGAATTGAAAGGCCATTCAGGATCTACTTCCCCACTGCCGATGGTTCTTCTGAGATGGATCTGCGACTGGGCTCCTGCCAGCTGCCCTTTGGATTTGGGTCTGACCTCCCTTGATTCAAGCACTGAACCTCAGCAGTCACAGGACAGCATGCTGAATTTTCTAGGAGGATTTGTTGTTGACCCAAACGGTCTGAAGAGGGACCTTTGTACGTTGGGAGTGACAGATTATTTGTCCCCCAGCCATCTTTAGAAGCTTCCAAAGGAAGGGAGACAAGATAAAAGCCCAGTGTACTTCACTCAGAGCTTTGCTGCGTGGTGTTAGGTTATCCAGTGTGCTCAGGATTCATCTCCTGATTTCAGTGAGAGAAATAAAATGAATATAGGAAAGGAAAACATGATATATGTAAAACCCTTTCTAAAGCTGGCTTTAACAGCACTTAAAGTCAACTGTAGAAAACGTTCTGTGTGTGTGTGTGTGTGTGTGTGTTTTAATTGCAAATTGGTGTGCAAAATCTCTGTTTGCTCAGGATCTCCAGAGACTGCCTCATGATGTGTGTTCTGTGATGAGGCCATGGGACCAGGCAGTAGAACTGCGACAGGACAGCAGGGACAGAGGGGAGCTTCTCCAGCCTTTTGTTTCGCACCAAATCACAACGTACTCATCAGGGGAATCCAATGTGTTCCTTATCAAACCTTTCTATTTTCAGCGTAAATTACTGAACAATCCTCCAGATACTGATTTTTATCTGCTTGCTAGATAAATATTAGTTCCTATTGGCACATTCCTATTCAGTGCACCACTCACAAGTTATGTAAACAAAGAAACAAACAAAAAAGCAAAAAAAAAAAAATTTCACTACAACTAATAAAACAAAACAGAAAAAATCAGCAAGAAGAGCTTCTTTCTTTTTTCTTATTGTCATAAAAGTGTAGCAGCTTAAATATATGTCCTAATACAATAAATAGCCCATTTGTATGGTTATTATTGGTTATTTCAGTTCTCAAAATTCATACTAGAATAAATTAAATTTATTTTCTAACTCTGCTTCTCTCTTGCTGTAGGTATGTGCGTACATAGGGGCAGAGGGCATGCTAAGCAAAAGAGCAAATAAAATCTCAGCATAAGATCCCTACAAGTAGTTATATTTTTGTATTTTTGGCTCCCTATTTAAAAAATAGTTATTTGTATTTTCATTAATTCCACAAATATTTATTAAGCTCCTGTCCTATATCCCACTTAATAATGGATATATCTTTTTAAGCTAAATTTCATATCCTGAATATCTCTGAATTACTAGAAATGGGGTAACTTTTCTCATTAATTAGAAGACTTCCAATTTCCACACCTTAGGAAGAACCTTAAAGTCTTTTTGAAGGTTATATTCAATGAGTGACTGCTGGACTCCTCTATCTAACACAGAGACAGGAAGCAGGCAGACTGTGTTCGCTTCCCTACAAATTGGAAATAACACACACTTCTATTACTGGTCTGATAAAAAAAAATCCAAGAAAAAAGGTACTGAAGATCCAAGTCCACCTTCTGGGATAATGGTGTTAATTTCATTGAATTACTTTGCTCCACTATATCCTTATACCAAATTATCTAATTTGTTTCAACGGATTCATGCAAAAGAACACAAGAGCAAAAAGTCCAGTGCCTGAAAGAAATTAGACTATGTACCTAAACAACTTGAATTCATGTCAAATAATATAACATATAATGGCATAATATGTGTATATGTATTTTCCAGAACTGATGAATGACATTAATGTACAGATGATAATTCAGCAAGAATGACTAAAAGAATTTCATGAGTAGACACATTACCGTAAATTTCCTGAACATCAATGGGAAAGTGGAAAAGTAAAACTTAGAAGTGAAATTTGAAGCAAAATATGGGTTAATCATGAGTGATGGATGCATTGGTGTTCTATCAACTCTAGGTACTCTCATCCGAGCATGCTAAAAAGAATTCTATTTCATTGTAGATTCACTACAGTCACTTTGTTTTTTTACTTGAATCCCTGGATATTTACTATAATTGACTATAAGCTAATAGCTCTCTTGGCACAATATTTATTATCTATTAAGTGAGTTTAGAGTTTGATTTTTCACTATCAACTCAATATTTAAAAAGCAGAGATTATTTTATACTGGATACATACAACTATTTAGTCCAGTTATTTAGAGTAGAGTTTCTCAACCTTGGCTGCGACTTATAATTATTTGCAGGGAATTTTTTGAGCCCTTCCTCTAGATTTAATTTGTCATAATGTGTGTCCATACATCAGATTTTTAAATAAATGTATTGAATATAACAAACATCACAATAGCAGGGTGAATTATAACAAAGTGAACATAACCCTGCTTATCAGGGTAAATAAACCAGGGTTTGTTTACCAAGTGCTTTCTCCTCTGAATTGGAGGGGAGAACACCTCTGTGTCACTGGTGGGGCATGTGGACAGGTGGGTTTCCCAGGAGGGCACACTGACTAGAAGCAGACAGGAGGCTGGGAATCCTTACAATAGCCGAAGAAGGAGATCCTTATTCTGGCGGTAGAGGGCTTTCCTGTTTCTACTTCTGGACAAAGCTGTTTCCTTTATATTTTCCCTCTAGAGGTCTAGAGTCACCTAAATCTCCATTTCTTTTCCTTCCCAGGTCCAGGATGTTTACTAGAATCCCTTCCCAGTCTCATCAGCCACCTCTTCAACAGAGAACAGGTCTTGAATTTTATACCAAGGGCAGGAACTCTCCATGCCAGCTATATAGTAGCCTCTCTGTCCTGGGGTGGGGTGAGGGCTAGGGAAATAGCTGGACCAACTATTCTAAAGTTAATTCTTACATATATTGGCAATTGCCTGATGATCTACTTTTTTCTTTGTCCTTGTTGACTTTGTACTTGGAGTTTCTTTGGAAGCTTCTTTGGGAGTTGAGAAAAACTGCTATTATCTCTGGTGTTTCTGGTTTTAGTTTTTCTTACTCTGATTTCTCTCTCCAAAATTTCCTTACACTTCATAGCATACCGAACTCCATTTTTTTAAATAGCAACATTATGTTGCATTATCTTCATATGGATATATCTTTTTATTATTTCTTGAAACCATGATGTTATGGTCTGCATGTTTATATCCCCATAAAATGGATGGTAGTAGGAGACCGGGCCTCGGGGAGGAAACTAGGTTTAGATGGGAGCATGAAGGTGGAGTCCCAAGGGTGAAACTAGTGCTCTTATAAAAAGAGAAAGACTAGAGCTCCCTCTCTCTGCAATGTGAGGCCTCATTGAGAACACGGCCATCTGCAAAGCAGGAAGAATACTCTCACCATACATTGAATCTGCTGGCACCTTGATCTCGAACTTTCCAATCTCCAGAACTGTGAGCAATAAACATCTGTTGTTTCCAGAACTGTGAGCAATAAACATCTGTTGTTTAAGCCCGTCAGTTTGTGGTATTGTTGTTACAGCAGCCTGAGACGACTAAGACAACAGGTATTCGGTCCTTTTCTAGATACCTATCCCTGTTATCCTGAGTAGCCCCTTATGATCGGTTCCACCCAATTGACTGATGTAGCTATTGTTTCTGCTCATAAAGCACAGTGAAAAGCGGCATGACACAGTGGAAAAAATACTGGGTTTAAGGTTTTGAGGTGATGGTTCTAGTTCCCACCCTGGAATAAACTTGTTAAGAAAGTATGATCAAATCACCTCATCTTTCTGGGGCTGCTTCCTCATGTTTAAAATTGAAGGGCAATTGGTTGGTATTTACCAAAATTAATAACACACTTAACTTTTGAGCCTGCAATTCCTCTCTCAAGAATTTATCTTGCAGGTATAACTGCACATGTTTGAAATGACAGATGGATAAGATTATTCACTACAGAATTAAAAGAAAGAATTCTTTGGTGTGATATTTGGAACTCACAGTTTTCAAATCAACAGAGAAATAGTGAAATAACAATGATCCATCACACAATGGAGTGCTATGAAGCTGTAAAAAAGAAGGAAGGAGCTTTTTATATACTGATAAGGAAAAATATGCAGGATATGTTATTAAACGACCAAAGACAAGGTGAAGAAGAATGTACATAATCATACACCTACCCTATGACCCTGTAGCAACATTCCTATGGCTTTATCCCACATGAGAATCACCTGGAGAACGTTTAACAGTATTGATGATATGGCATCTCAAGGCAACTGTCTTAGTCCGTTTTGGCTATAACAAAATACCATAAACCAGGTAACTTATAAGCAACAGAAACATCTCACAGTTCTGGAAGCTGGAAAATCCATGATCAAAGTGCCAGCCGATTTGGTATCTAGTAAGTGCCTGTTTTCTGGTTCACAAATGGTGCCTTCTTGCTCTATCCTCACATGGTGGAAAGGGAAAAGCACCTCTCTTGGAAAAAGGTCACTAAACCCTTTTGTGATGGATCTAATCAACTCCCAAAGCCTCTTCCTCTTAATGCCATCACCTTGGGAGTTAGAATTTCAATGTATGAATTTTGGGGAGACAGAAACATCCAGACCAGAGCAGCAACCTGTATGCTTCAGAAATATGAACAAAAGATCAAAAGAAATTTGAGGAATCAAATGGATCCCAAATCACCCTAAAAATTCTAAATGTTATCAATAGAAATGTGAGGAATCAAATGGATCAAAAACAACTCTAAAAATTCTAAATATTATCCTTAGAAAGATTAGGAAGGCAATTGTACTGCAAAACAAGTCAAGAAAGAAATTTTTGGAAATTAAAATAAGATTGCTGAAATCAAAGTCATTAGACCTCTCAAACATTATAATAGAGTTGAAAATCAAGTTATTGATCTAGAAGCTCAAGCAAAGAAATTTCCAACAACCAAAACCAAAAATGCCATAAGAAATAAAAGAGAAAGTAAAACCATAAAAAATGGGTTCAGGAAGTTAAGTAGCTGACTAAAAAAAGTTCTAAGAGATGAGAACAGATAGGAAAGAGGATGGAGGAGAGAATAATAATAATAAATAATGAAATGAAAATATCCTAGGTTTAAGAAAAATTAGATCACTCATATTGAAGTCCTCACCAAGGCTAAGTGAGTTTGATGGGGAAAAGACACATACTTAAATTTTACATACTGTTGAAATTAGTGAAAAGACAATTTAAAAAATTTCTAAGAGAGAGAAAAAAATGGGGCCACTTATAAAGGAAGGAGAATTAACAACAGATTTCCCTTCAGCAACAGTGGACACTAAAACTCAAAGAAGCAAAGATTGTCAAACAAACAAACAAACAAACAAAACCCTCTCTGGGATAATGACTATGAATTTAGAATTCCATGTTGAAACTACAATTTTTATGTAATATTTTCAATCATACAAGTTTCAGAAAGCTTGTTGCCCTCACAAGCTCTCCAAAAACATTACTCAAAAAGGCTGTCCAGCAGAACAACTGAGAAAGAAATATATTATGAGTCAGAAAGGTAGCAGCTGAATATGACTTGAAAAGGGAGAAAACTAAAAGGAAATGAAAAGAGAAGCCACTGGACCTTGATGCCTGGGGCATTATCCTATGAGTGGCTAAAGGTAAGTGTCTTAATGATATATTTAATTCTCTATAAATCCAATAGCATAACTTGGTTCTGTAGTAAATATTTATAAAAGCATAATCCCATTAATGCCTTTTTAAAGTTGGTTCAAAAGCTTTGAATTAACCTATAGACTACACATGGAATACATAATCATAGCCCCAGAACAGCAGATAAAGGGAAGTACAGGAGACGGGAGACACAGTCTCACTAGAGTGTAGAATTTCTAAATCTGGAAGTCAATAGCTACTTGCTAAAGTTGGGGGGTGGGGGAGGAAGAGGAAAATGTAATGTAAATTGTAATGATAACCCTAGAAAAATTACAACACAAAAACACTTGTTTATGTTTATTCCTGGGGAGAGAATTAGAGATACAGTAAGAAAGACAGCTTTTCATTTTTGATTAACAAGCTCCTTTATTAATAAAAGATTACTTAAATAACTCAAAGTAGAGCTATATAATGGAATACTGAGTGGTCTTTGGAAAGAATGAGATATGTCTATATATATTTTTGTGGAAGATTATCCACAATTATATATACTTAAGGTAAAAAAAAGAATTTGCAAAATAGAGTATCATCCCTATAAAGGTAAGAAAATTCTTTATATGTCTGTGTGCATGTATATAAGTAAATGCACTTAAAAATATCCGAAAGGAGAAGCTACAGGTTGAGGGTACAGGCGAAGAAAGGAGTCTTTCGGAATTTACTTTTCAAGCTTCTGAATTGTTTTACTGTTTGTAATAAGTAAATATAATACATAATATGTAAATATTACTTTTAAATAACTTTCATACTTTTTAATTACAAAGGTAATTTTCTTAAAAAGTAAGAAAAGCAAGTATATGAATGTATAGTGTTACTTTCTTCATTTAAAACTTTAAATGGGCAGGGAGCTATGGCTCATGCCTGTAATCCCAGAACTTTGGGAGGCTGAGGTGGGAAGATCGCTTGAGCCCAGGAGTTCGAGACTAGTCTGGAGACTGGGTAACATGGCAAGACCTCATCCCCTCAAAAACCACAAAACTTTGAATGTTTAAATATATTATTAAAATTAGTCTTTATTTTTTCATAGCCAAATAATGCCAGTATTATTTATTAAACTATTTCCCATGGAATGGAAACACTCTCATTTTCATATTGTAACATCCCACATGTACTTATATACGTTTCTTGGTTTGATTCTATCCCACTGCTCTATTTACTTTTTCTTGTGCAAATAGCTTTTTATAAAAAAATTATTACATTAACTTTAAAGCAAATTTCAATATATGGTACTACATGTACCACCTCATTATTCTTTTTCCCTCATACATTCTTGGGAATTCTTGCATTTATTTTTCCATATGAACTTTCAAATCATTCAATCCAGTATAAAAAACAAATCTATTGAAATGTTCTGGGATTAGATGAAACATGCAGTTTTAAGGTTAAAAAAAAAAAAACTTGAAAAAAAAACAGAGGCTATATGGTTAGATCAGCAGAGGTCAATCGCCACCACTGGAAGGACAATGCAAAGTAGGTCTCGTACTGATGGTATGAAGAACAAAAGCAATGACTGGGAGAGTCTTGTCTTCTTACATACAATCCTCAGTAACAGAAAACAAGTATGCTTGTAAACTTTCTCACAGGCCATGACGAAACATGAGTATTTACAGACAGCAGTGTTCACTGACCAGGGTCATTATAAACTGAACAAACAAACTTCGGTGAAGAGCAGGCATTTCTTCGGCTGCTCTGAAGGGGTGGTGAGAGGCAAGGCCACGTAGTCAAGAGTGAGGGCTGACTGCCCCAGGACTGTTGGTGTGAAGACGTAATTGACAGTCATAAATTAAATCTATTTATGTCACTGCAAAATGGATGACCAGGTCACTGAGGCACTGCAGCTACAAAGAGAGAGAAAAGGCTCTGACAGTGAGGAGTGTGCAGCTCTTTGAAGGAACTGTAATCCTGGGTGCAGAGGAGCCACGGCAGCACAGGGGGCTGGCTCCACACGCACTGGCGCTGTGGCAAGAAAATACGGTTCAGATCCCTGTTCTCCCATTTTCTAGTTATAGGATCTTGGGGTCTCTGAGCTTCAGTTCCTTTATCTGTAAAACATAGATAAATGCTTCTGAGTAGAGCTGTTGTGAACATTAAACCAGATACAAAGCCCCTTGGACAAAGCCTGACACATTGGAGTCTCTCAAGAGATGCTAGATATTAATGATAATCCAAAATGCAAAACAGATGGAAATAGGGCAGAGAAGGTAGTATTTAAGAGTGCCTGCAGTAGAAGAAAGTGTGTAAATGTGAAACTGAAGGACGCATGCAGGGCATTATTAAATACTTTTGTATTGTGAAATTAAAAGTTGCCAGAGGGGCTGAGTGTGGTGGCTCAGGCCTGTAATCCCAGCACTTTGGGAGGCCGAGGTGGGTGGATCACAAGGTCAGGAGTTCGAGACCATCCTGACCAAAATGGTGAAACCCCCATCTCTACTAAAAATGCAAAAATTAGCCAGACGTGGTGGTCTGCACCTGTAATCCTAGCTACTTAGGAAGCTGAGGCAGGAGAATCGCTTGAACCCGGGAAGTGGAGGTTGCAGTGAGCCGAGATTGCACCACTGCACTCCAAGCTGGAGATAGAGCAAGACTCCGTCTGAAAAAAAAAAAAATTGCCAGAGGTGGGGAAAGCTGAGCCAGCCAGAAGACTGAGAGGAACACAGGAATTCAATTGGAAAGAGTCTATATGCTAGGTCATGAAATCATGATTTTATATTATAGAAGTTTGTTTTTTTTTAATGGAGCAAAATAATAAGATTCATGTTTTATAAAGACCCTCCTGACAACAATATGGAGGATGTACTGGAGGAATTTGGAGGTAGGGCTGTGTGGTAAAACTGTAGGCAGGAGGATCATTTTATTTTATTTTTTAAGTCACAATGGAAGAGATATGATGTATGTAGGGAAAAAAACTAATTTAGAAAAAGACTATGTTTAATAGCTACAGAAGAGACACAAACTATGGGAGTTAAAGAATCGCCCTTGCTAGGCTCAGCCTCGCTTTCTTACCTTTCTTCTCTCTCGGCAAACCTAAAACTGATAAAGCTTTAAACTTCCCCAGGCTGAGTAACCTTGTTAGCAAGTGGGATAATGCCTGTAAGTTTGCAGGATTTAGATGCAGCAGGTAGATATGAAAGTGTAGTGTGCTTTGAGTATTCTGTCTTTATTGAATTTGCAGACCTACAATAGCAATGGCGGGAGCATGGCTATTTTTGCTTCAAAGTCAGTTGCTTGATTCAGTAGAAAGAGCACAGGCTACAGACAGTCAGACTGGGAGTTGAATGCTAGCTGCTCCACTTATGCTATAAGTAGGTAAATTAATTTCTCTCAGAAAGTCAGTCTCATCTGTTAGTGTCTCTCTCATGAAATTCACTAGTAGAAGTAGACAGAACAACAATAAACAAATACATATTAAAGAATGCTACTGATGGTAAAGAGCAAAGTGAGCAAGAGGATAGAAACTAACTGAGAACTGCTTTTTATTTAAGGTGGTCAAGAAAGGAATCCGTGAGAAGGTCATATTTAAACACACACTTGCAGAAAGTGAGAAAATAAGCTTTGAACACATTTTGGAAAAAGAGAATTCCATGCCTAGAAAACAGCAAATGCAAATGCCCTACAGCAGAAGAAAGCTGGGCTTGGGGGAAGGAAAATCAAGGAAGTATGTGTGGTTGGAGCGGAGCCTGGGCAGGGCAGCGTGAAGACTCACCCAGTAAGCATGGGCAAGCGTCCAGGCCAGGATCTTCTCTAACTGACCAGAGCAACAGGAAGCTGTCCTGGGCAGAAGAGAGGCACCATCTAACTGGCTTGAAGATCCCTAAGACTGCAGTGTTGAGTGCAGACTGTAGGGGACAGTGGGAGGAGAGATCTTCCAATAGTTAAGGAATTCCTGCAATGATTCCAGTTGAACAACGAAGAAGGCCCAGTCCAGGCTAGTAGGTGGAAGAGGTGTTCAGTGGTTATATTCTAGATAACGTTTAGAAGGTGGTGCTGATAGCATGTGCCGATGGATTGCCAAGGTGTGATCTTTGCTCAAGAGATTTTGGCTGGTCTTGTAAGAATAAAACAAAGTAAATAAAGTGCCTACAATTACTCAAAAACATCAGTTCTTTCCACCTTCCTTTGAGGTTCTTTGGCCTCTGTAGCTCAGGCCTCTGCAAGTGCTCAACATATGCAAAATCTGGTCAAGAGTGGCACTGGGTGATTTTTCAGCCATTGCTTATTGCCTGCTGTGTCCTTGTCTACTTGTTTTCTGGGTGAACAAAAACAAAAAGGTTAAGTACCACATTATTTTATATCTATTGCCAGGGCAAGCAAAGGCAAAAAGTGCTTGAGACAAGATATTTTCTTTCCCACAACAAGACTGAGGAGATTTACTGTAGGGTTTCACATTAAAGCAAAGCTAAGCAACACAAACAGACAAGCAAGCAAGCAAGCAAGCAGACAAACAAACTGGGTCCATTTCTCAAAGCTCAAAGCCCTCATCCAAGGAACTTTAATGAAGCCTTGAAAAGCAAACAGCAGTGGCAGAGGATTTAGTTCCAGGAGGGGGAAATTTTAAAAAAATTCATTGAAGATTATACATACTGGAATATGAATGAAAAATCATGGTTGAGTGTATTTAGCAGAATACTTGGCATTTGAGGGGAAAAAATCAGCCCATTTGGCTCAAACCTATCCCTGAAATCTAGTTCTCAATGATTACGCCATGAGGACACTCTTCTCTGAGTGAAGTTTTTATGTTAAGCCAACTGTGAGGGGAGCAGTCTTGGTTCTTCCTAAAGCCCTGCTTTCCCAAGTTCTATCTCCATGTGGAACCCTGGCCCTAGTCTTTTCTAGGGTGGGCATCTCACAGGCCCCCTGGCTTTACTTCATAAAAGGAAACTGACATTTATTGGGCCTCGCCTCCTGCCAGGACCCTGGTACTCAATGGAATTGTCACAGTACCATTGCAGGTGGAGTATCATTATTTCCGCTTCTCAGAGGTGGTGCTGGAGAGAAGCTCACCCACTCGCCCACACCTCACAGCTGTTACTTCATGACAGCAGGGTGCAGCTGAGCTGCCACGGATTCCAGGCTTTTTGGCCTCCCCTAGCCTTCCTCCCAGCACATTTTCCATTGCTGACTGGTATTTGACACTGACTTCCCCCGGATTATTTCACCATTGCTCCTAAACCATTCGGGTCATAATTTCTTTTTTTTTTTTTTAACTTTTAAGTTCAGAGGTACATGTGCAGGTTTGTTACATAGATACATTTGTGTCATGGGGATTTATTGTACAGATTATTTCATCACCCAGGTATTAAGCCTAGCATCCATTAGTTATTTTTCCTGATCCTCTTCCTCCTCCTACCCTCCACTTTCTGAAAGGCCTCAGTGTGTGTTGTTCCCCTCTATGTGTCCATGTGTTCTCATCATTTAGTTCCCACTTATAAGTGAAAGCATGTGGTATTTGGTTTTCTGTTCCTGTGTTAGTTCCAGCTCCATCCATGTCCATGCAAAGGCATGTCATGGTTTCTCAATACTTTTATCAGGAACAGTTGTAGGCAGAACATTCTATCAACTTTAGGGAATGTTGCATCCATTTAGCATGACTCTGTTTTCTGCCAATCAGTATCATGTCTTCAGAGACTGCAGGATGTGATGAGGCTATGGGAAGTAATGAACTCAGGTCTGATCACCAAACCACTGCTGTCAAATGGGGTGATTGTATGTGTGTGTGTGCATGCTTGTGTGCTTACAAACAATGCAAATAGCCTAATCCCTTTGTGGGGCAGAGCTCAACAGGTCATTGTTCACTGCTGGATGCCTGTTCTTTTCATCCTAACCATTTTTCCCCTGGAACTATTTATTATTTCTTCCTTTAACAAAAGAATAGCCTCACAGGGTGTTGACGACACTGAGTAGCTCATAACATATGACTGCTTCAGTGCAAAGGAGATGTGGCGAAACAGTGAAACTCTACTCCTCATAATTGTGCATATATGTGTGTGTTTTTTTGTCCAAATGTGTGTCTGTTAGTAGCTCAAGAAGATAAATGTTATTAATCAATTAGTTAATTAAACAAACAGCAACAGAGTGCTTATTCTGCAACATGCTTTATGCTCCATGCTCTCTTTGAAACTAGGCACTCATACACAATAAATACCATTACGCACAGTTGAAAATCAGTCTGTGAGTGGAAGAGGCTATGCCAATGGTGACATTTGCTGTGTGCTCTGATTGCTACTGAGCTCTCCCTTATTCTGGTGCTCCACAATTATGGACAACTCAGTATTTTCTGCATTAACAAATGGGAACAGTGAGAAAGATAAACCAATACATAGCACGATTAAAACAAATCTATATTTGCTTTTAAATGTAGTCTCAAATATAAACAAAGATTGTTTACTTCATAGAAGAGTTAGGAGGACAGTTAGTTATTGGAATACTTTATCCTACTACTTTAATCCTCTGTGAGTTTTAAAATGTGCAGTTATTGAAGTAATTCATTACAAATATTTACAAAGTGGTTGATGTTTAACTTTTTCAGCTGATGCTTTATGTTAAATGGACACTGAGCTTGCATTCCAAAATAGATAAGACAAACTCATACATTTATCTACCCTCTGAACCCAGATCTTCCCTTACATTGCATTTTACTCAGATCTATACCAATCTGTAATAGATGTGAGCTTCTTGGGGAAGGATTGAGAAAGGAGGTGAATCCATAAAGTTAGGATTTCTCACATGAGTGTCGGATTCGATAAATAATTTTTGGCTTAAAGGCAAGTCATTCATTAACAGAAGCTAAAATCATGGTTTCATGAATGAAACCATTTTCTTCAGAGTTTTAATTCAAGGTTGGGACAGAAAGATGTTGTAGACTTATGTTACATAATATTTGGCATTGTAGATGCACTGATTTTTATTCTTAAGTTTATCCCATATTCATCCCACCAAACTATTTATATAATTGTTCTTTGTATTTAAAAATCATCTTCTGACGGTGAATTATGTTTTCCAGCTTCAGTGATCAGTGGCTTTCTCTGACAGTCTCCCTGTGCTTATTTTCCCCTGCATAAAAAATCCATTTACTGTATGTAAAGAATTTTCAAATGCATAGGTAAGAAGTATTATCATTGTTCCAGTAATGTCATTCACATTATCTCCATTTATATTCTTGTTTCAGGATGTAAGAATTTGTCTCTGTGCTGCAATTCCTTGACTATATCTGGATATTCTAGGTTTTTGCATACTGACTTTTTCTCTTCAGCATTCATAACACCTCCCAAAGCGTGGCCAACTTAGAAGCTTTTTGTTTCATTTTGTTTTTGTTTTGAGATGGAGTCCTGCTTTGTTGCCCAGGCTGGAGTGCAGTGGCATAGTCTTAGCTCACTGCAACCTCCACCTCCTAGGTTCAAGCAATTCGCCTGCCTCGGCCTCCTGAGTAGCTGGGATTACATGCGCCTGCCACCGTGCCCAACTAATTTTTTCATATTTTTAGTAGAGATGGGATTTCACCACGTTGGCCAGGCTGGTCTTGAACTCCTGACCTGAAGTGATCTGCCCGCCTCAGCCTCCCAAAGTGCTGGGATTACAGGCGTGAGCCACCAGGTCGGCCTGCCAACTTAGAGTTTAATTAATATAATGTTGATTTATTTCCTCTTAGGTTGTTAACCAAGATGCAGAAATTGTGTTACTATACTTTCCTTAGGATTTCTAGAAATTAAAAATATTCAGTCTATAGTGAACTAAATTGCTTAATTTGCATCTTTTTGGAAAAAAGTAAAAAAAGAAACACACACACACACACACACACACACACACACACACACACCCTCCAACATAGCACCAAAGGCCAAATTTTATCAGTTGAGTCAATGAGATGTGTGTGTTTTTTTTAAATAGGCTTTATTTTATAGAGCAGTTTTGAGTTTACAGCAAAATTGAGCAGCAAGCACAGAGGTTTCTCCCACACATGCACATCCTCCCCCATTGTCAGCATCCTGCACCTCAGTGGTACATTTGTTACAGGAGTTGACCCTACATTGACACATCATTATCACCTGAAGCTCACAGCACTTATTAGAGTGAACATTAGGGTTTACTTCTGGTATTGTACATTCTATGGGTTTGGACAAACATGTAGTAACATGTATCCACCATTATAGTATCATACAGAATAGTTTGACTGCCTTAAAAATCCTCTGTCCTCTCTCTATTCATCCCTCCCTCCCTGCTCACCCCAGGCAGCCACTGATCTTTTCACATGCATTTTCTAGATGCCATATAGTTGGAATCATATAGTAGAATGTAGCATTTTCAGATTGGCTCTTTCACTTAGTAATATGCATTTAAGGTTCTTCCAAGTCTTTTCATAACTTGATGGTTCATTTTTTTAAAGTACTGAATAATATTCCATTGTCTGGATGTACCACAGTTTATTTATCCACTCACCCATCAAAGGACATCTTGATTGCTTCTGAGTTTGGGCAATTATAGATAAAGCTGAATCCATGCTCAGGCTTTTGTGTGCACATAAGTTTTCAACTTATCTGGATAAATATCACGGAGCATGGTTGCCAGACTGCCTTCAAAGTGGCTAAACCGTTTTGCATTCCCCCAGCAACGAATGAAAATTCCTATTGTTCAACATCCTTGCCAGGATATAGTGTCAGCATTTTGGATTATGGCCATTCTAATAGGTGTGTAGTGGTATCTCACTGTTTTTTGTTTGTTTGTTTGTTTGTTTTTTGCAATTTCCTAATGACATATGGTATGAAGCATCTTTTCATATACTTATTTACCATCTGCATATCTTCTTTGGTGAGGTGTCTGTTAAGGTCTTTGACTCACATTAAAATCTGGTTGTTTTCCTATTGTTGGATTTTATAAATTCTTTGTATATTCTGGATAATAGTCCTTTATCGGTGCGGGGGGCGGTGAGGCGGGGGGGGTTCTTTTGCAAACATTTTCTCCCAGTCTGTAGCTTGTCTTCTCCTTTTCTTGACACTGTGTTTTACAAGCATTTTTAATTTTAATAAAATCCAGCTTAATGAGACATGTTTTCATATTATTTGACCAAAATAAATATGAGCCCACTTTATTAACTCTTATTTTCCTGAGTGTGTGTACCTTGCCAATCTTTCAGAAGACAAAGGCAGACATTACTCCATGAATGAAAATATAAAGTAGTTGGAGGCTTGAGGTTCTAGTGTCAGGCTGCCAGGGTACCAATCCTGGCTCCAGTATTTCCTAGGTATGTGACCTTGGGTAAGTTTCATAATGTCTCTGCTATGGACTACACTGTGTTCCCTCCAAATTCATATATTGAAGCCCTTGCCTTCAATGTGACTGTGTTTGAAGACAGAGCCCTTAAGGAAATAATTAAGAGGTTAAATGAGGTCTTAAGAGAAGAAGACACCAGAGTGCGCTCTCTCTCTCTCTCTCTCTCTCTGTCTGTCTCTCTTCCCTCTGTCTCTCTCTTTGAGCATGCAGAGGATCATATGAAGACACAGGGAGAAGATGGCCACTTGTGAGCCAAAGAAAGAGGCTTCACTAGAAATCAATCCTACTAGGACTCTGATTCTGGACTTTCAGCATCCAGAACTGTGAGAAAATACATTTTTGTTTGTTTAAGCCACTTAATATGTGGCTTTTCTTATGGCAGCCCTAGAAGACTAATATAATTTCTAAAACTGAGTTTTCCATCTTCCATGTATAACAATAACATGTATCTGATAAGGACTATTTGGATTAAGAAGAATGACATTTAAATGATTTGGCATAGGACTTGTCATATAGAAAGATCTCGATAAATGTTAGCTATTATTTTCTTAATAAAAGGGTGCTTACTGTAGTGGCATTCAAAAAGAAGGCTTTTTACCTGAAACACATTCTTCCTTAAGGCATAAATAATGCTTATAAATGTGTCCTGTAGTTTTTTAAATTCCTACATGAAAATCCTGCCAGAACATCAATGTAGATGCATTTATTCTCTGATAAAAAGTTTGACATTATGTAGACAGCAAGCTATGCATAATAAATAAAGCAAAAATTATAGAGTAAAATGGCACACATCAGTAAAACATCCAGATGTGCCCTTACAAAGTATTTTCATGACTTCTGTTTTCATCGTCTAGTCTAAATGTCGGGAATCATGCAAACACAGTCAAAGTTTTGCTAAGGGCTTACACTACCTCCTGGTACACTATGGCCTTAAACCTTAATAAGGTCTCTTAGGAATCTAATCAATTTTCTAGGGTCAAATAGATTAGGATTTTGCTTCTATTTCTTTTCATACATATTAGTCCAATTATTACACAAGATTTTCTTGGAAAGTCATAGATTACAATGTATGGTTCCATTCTCCCAAGCTATCCAGCTTCCCACTGTCTCCTTCTCCTCAACAGCTTTAGTGCCTGATACGGTTTGGCTGTGTCCCCACCCAAATCTCATCTTGAATTGTAGTTCCCATAATCCCCACATGTCATAGGAGGGACCCAGTAGGAGGTAATTGAATCATGGGGGTGGTTTCCCTCATGCTATTCTCATAATAGTGAGAAAATTCTCATGAGATCTGATGGTTTTATAAGGGGCTTTCCCCTTTACTGGGCTCTCATTCTTCTCTCTCCTGCCACCTTGTGAAGAAGGATGTGTTTGCTTCCCCTTTGGCCTTGACTGTAAGTTTCCTGAGGCCTCTCCAGCCTTATGAAACTGTGAGGCAATTAAACCTCTTTCCTTTATAAATTACCCAGTCTTGGGTATGTCCTTATAGCAGTGTAAGAGTGGACTAATACAGTGCCTTTAAAAAATAGAAATCAAAATGTTGCTTTCCTATTTAGCCTTCTAAAATCTTCCTGCTGCATTTAGAACACAATCTGAATTTTTTGCTATGGCCAAAATGTTCTCAAATCACGAATCTCTGCCTACCCTCTTAACATTACTTCTTTCCACAGCAGCACACTTTCCATGGAAGCACACCATTTCTGAGCTACATTGGCCTTTTAGTTTCTCAAGCTGCCAAGCTCCTTCCAACATGCTGCAGCTTTCAAACATGACCCTGTATCTTTTGACACTCCTCTCTTTAAGGGCTTATGACTCCCGTTTCAAACTGTGTGGGTTTATGTCTTCTTTGGTCAATAGGGTGCTTCTGAAGTGATGTTTTTGTCTGCTCGGGCTGCTGTAACAAATACCACAGACTGGGAGGCTTAAACAACAGACATTTATTGTCTCACAGTCCTGGAGGTTAAAAGTCCAAGATCAACGTGTCAGTAAGTTTGGTTTCTTCTGAGGCCTCTCTCCTTGGCTTGCAGATGGCCATCTTTTTGCCGTGTCCTCATTATGGTCATCCCTTGGTCTGTATTGTCTGTGTCATAATTGCTTCCTCTTACAAGAACACTAGTCATATTGGACTAGGGCCTGCCCATATGACATATGACTTTTTAACCTAAAGTTCCCCCACCCCACCCTTTTTTTTTTCTTTAAAAAGAGACAAAGTTTTCCTCTGTCACCTAGGCTGGAATGCAGTGGTGCAATCATAGCTCACTGCAGCCTTCAACTCCTGGCCTCAAGTGATCCTCCAGTCACAGCCTCCCCAGTAATTGGGATTACAGGTGTAAGCCTTTGCACCTGACCCTAAATTACCTTTTTAAAGGCTCTATCTCCAAATATAGTCACATTTTGAGGTCCTGGAGGTTAGGACTTCAACATATGAATTTTGGGGGCACGATTCAGCCCATAGCACTTCTGAGGTGTGGTTATAAATAGCCAGGCATCATATCTTGTTTACTCTTGAGGCCCTGAGCTGCTTGATAAGAAATATAACTACACTGAGGCACCATGCTATGAGGCAGCCCAGGGCAGAGACCATTTGTATAGATGCTCAGGATGATGGCCCCAGTTGAGCCTAGCCTTTAAGTCATGCTAGCACAAGAGTCAGACATGATCAAAGTTCTAATAACTCTAGATGATTTCAGTCCCTTGTCTTCCAAGTTATGCAGATGTTAAAAGTCTGTCTTCTCAGCGGGTGCTCTGTAAAATGTGAAACAGAGAAAAGCCATTTCTCTTGCATTCTGTCCCAATTCCTGACCACAAAACCCATGAGCATAACAAATTGGTTGCTGTTTTACGCCACTGGGTCTGGAGTGGTTTGTAATGCAGCAATAGCTAACTATAACACCATCTCGGGTCTTCACAGAGGCTCTTTGCTCTCCCTAGTATCCTCTTCCCATGCCCTTTGTTGTCATTCTTCACATTTTGCCTTAAACATCACCTCCTTAGATAGGCCTCCTCTGACTGCCAATGTAAAGTTTCCCCTTTCATTGTCTTACAGGTCCCTGTTCCTCTCCTTCAGAGCTTCCCTAAATATTTATCATTATTTACTTCTTTTTATTTATTCAGTTTCTGCTGCCTCCATTGTGCTGCTTGCTTTTTTAGAGCAGGAACCACTTTTCTTTTGTTCACCCTGCATAGGATGTGCTCTATGTGCTCATAATAAGAGGCTGTGGAATATCTGTTGAATAAATAAATGACTATGAGTTCAGTATTGCTGTGTTCTTGTTAGAAAAAAATCACTGAAAGCAAACTGATAGGATTTAGGAAAAGCTCGGTCAAATTTAAGCAATACGCTTTTATTGTGTACCTGCTCTTGCCAGCTCTAATCTAGTAGCTGACAATGCAGTGATGACCCAGGAAACCCAAATGTATAAATAGATCCTCTAGAGAAGAACATAGTGGCAACTCACAGATAATCCTCTGTTTGTCATCATCTCTCTGGGCTTTGACAATTTAAGGTAAGAGTCATGATTAATATAATGATTGGGCTAAAAATGCTAATCCCTTGGTAGGTAGGGCAGAGTTTCCAAGTTCACCAGGAAATACCATGCTGAGCTTTAATCTGTGAACACTCAAGATGATCAATTTTAACAAACTGGGATAGATCTTCTAAAGACTGGGGAGGTCAACCTGCAGACAGGACTGGAGGGTCCAAAGACAGGACTGGAGACCAAGGACCCAAGATCAGCATTCATTTATATAGCAAGTAGGGCCATTGGACCAGCACAAGCAGGAGACAGTAGAACGGCCCTAATCAAGTCCAGCTTCTTCACAATCCCTGAGAGTCACCTTCTTTTGAAATAATACGTTTTGGGCCCCAACAGTTTTTTAGTGGTTTCTAGCAGATTCTGTCATCATTCACAAGATATACATTGCCTGAACCTTTGATCCATATGCATGCACTTCTGCCAAAATCTGTAAATTATCTCTGCATAGGCTTCTATGGGTGGGCAGGTGTGTATGGATAAGTGGATTAAGAGGAAACAGAAATAACCAAACAGTGGCAAACATGGCAACGCAGGTTAAGGAACTGGCTTACTGCTCCAAGATACCTTGATTTAAATCCACAGTATGTCAAGTTGAAAATGGGAAACTATGGACAACATTGCTTTGCAAGTTTGGTGATCTCATACACAATGTGTCAAAAGGAGGGCTCTGTGATTAAGGATGTAATCATCTTGGGCAATCAAAGATGTTTTTTGAATCCAGTAGAGAAAACTGGCCTATGGAAAGTCATAGAGAAGAGGAGAAAGTCGAGAAGCTCTCCTGGTAACTGGTCACACATCCAGCACTGGAAGAGTAGGAGATGCATCTGGGTCTTTTAAAAGGCACCAGCATGGTTAGGTAAGGAGGACAAGTAGAAACACTGATGTGTGAGATTGCGAAGGAGGGGATTCTTTTCAGGAGATGATCTCCTCTGAAATCTGTCAATGTCAGCCTTGGGCTGTGCACTTCCTTCCAAGTAAGGTGAGATTTCAGGCTCTCTCAGGCATGTTGGCTGAGGCTTCATTCCTGTGCCTAAAAGCTCTGCTGTGCTGGACCTGCTCTTCTCCTGACTTGTCACCTTGGCTTTACAAGACACGCTAAGGTTTTTTTTCTTCTTCTCCTTCTTTGTCTAGGGTCTTTTAAATGTTCCTCCTGCCAATATTCTGATTCTATTCTGTGGCTTTGACCTGTGATTCTGAAGTCCTAATAACTGGCTCTCGGTAATTCTTAACACTGTACCTCTTCCTGGTTCCATTCCTTATTCTTCCTATTCCACTTTTAGAGGTCTGCTCACCAGTGCTGATTAAGCACATTATGGCACATTTGACTTAAAGCCAAAACTTCTAGATTAAAAGAAAAAATTCAGAGGCAAATCACAAATATTTGGTATTCCATAAAATAAACTTCTAAGCAATTGAATATATTTCCCTCATTTTCATGTAGCTGCTGTGACTTCTTCCTCTTAAATGATCTCTTGTTCTGTTTGACATGCACAAATCCTTCAAATGCCTTATATAGCTCTTTGTTTCTGAACACTTGAGAAAAGTGAACTTACTGAAGCAATTTGTGTTGTATGGTTTTTCTTGTACATCCATCCCATATCTACACAGTCTATAATGAAATGACCTGAAGGAGAAATTCCCTTGAAGCTGTTCTTTCTATTGAATAAAAAGTTTCTGAGATCCCTTAGTATGAATGGTTTAGTGATAAGTGTATTTAAAGAAATCAAGATAAACAAAAGGCCACTTTGTTAACTGAGAGTAACTCAGAAAGAACGGATGCGAAGTTACACATATTGAGAAAAACATCTGAATTTAAACAGGGGCTGAATGAAGATCTGGATATTTTATTTCTGTGTAAACCTAGAGGAAAGCCATTAACCAAGTCTTCAAGTGACTCAAAACTGGGAAAGATAGTTAATATTTCAGGTAACATAACAAAGAGCCAAAAGGATCTTGAAAGGCAAGAAGAAAAGAGTTTAAATGAATGGAGAGACATGTGAAGTCTTGCACTTAAACTTAGAGAAAAATTCTTCAGAAATTGTCATTTTACGTGAAAATATATCTGTATGTTGAATTGCCCTCTAGCTACCATTATTAATAACAAGGGATATGACATCTAAGAAAGCTCTCACAATGTTCGGCTGCATTATAAGTACAGACTATAGGTGACTATCAAAGGAGGCTACTGTACCCATGGGGCTCAGACTCCATCCTGATATTCAGACTTGATTCTAAAAATGACATTGAGTAATACAATTATTTCCTGAAGACGCTGACCAGCATCTGCAAGTGTCCTGAAAACAAAGTCAGGGATAGTGGAAAGATTTGCAACTACATCAGGAAAAGAAAAGACGTAGGGGAAAATGTGAATGTTCATTGTAAATACTTGAAGAAACGTCAAGCAAAAGAAGAATGAGGGTGAGCATGGTGGCTCACACCTGTAATCCCAGCACTTTGGGAGGCCAAGGCAGGTGGATCACCTGATGTCAGTAGTTCAAGACCTGTCTGGCCAATATGGTGAAAGCCCATCTCTACTAAAAATGCAAAAATTAGCCAGGCATCATGTTGGGTGCCTGTAATCACAGCTACTCAGGAGGTTGAGGCAGGAGAATTGTTTGAACCTGGTAGGAGGAGGTTGCAGTGAGTCAAGATCCCACCACTGCATTCCAGCCTGGGTGATAGAAGAAGACTCTGTCACAAAAAAGAAGAATGAGATATTCGAGGTGGCTGTAAAGGGCAGGTCTAGAATTCACAGAAGTCACTGAGAAGCAGGATTTACATTGGAGATATTCAATTCAATGAGTCTGACTATCTGTCATATTCTGAACATTGGGGATACAAAGATAAATAAAGCTGAATTTCTGTTGTCTCATGCATAATTTAGAGAGAAAGGCAATGAGGTAAACACAGTAACTATTCAATGTGACAGGTGGTAGAAAGGAAGAAATGGTCAAGCCAGGGAAAGCTTTAAGGAGAAGGGAGTACTTGAGCTGAATTTTAAAAAAGGAATACCTCCTTGTAGAAGGATGGAATGTGAAATAGAGAGGGTGATCCTGAAGATGGGAATGCCAGCTATAAAGGTGACAGCAATAAGCCAGAGGGAGACCACAGTAGTGATGAGAGATTTTGAAGAGGCAGAACAAACAAGACTTGGTGGCTGATGGGGTATGGAAAATGGGGTGAAGAAAGTATGAAACCAGAATGATTCCCAAGATTTGTGCTTTTGTGCTCAGATGGCTGATAGAACCATTTGCAAAGAGATGCAATATGGTGAGCATGGATAAGAGGAGAGGAGAGAGAATTCAGTGTAGGGTAAACTGAGCTCACGTGGCTCAGAAACATCTTGATAAAGATGTAGAATGAGGAGATACAAATCAGAAAACTGGTCAAGGGCCAGGGATGTAGATTTAGGGGCCATCAGTCTATAAGTAGTAATTAAAATGTTAATCTGGGGTGTGACCAAACAGGAAGAAGGTGAAGTCAGTAGTTGAGATTAGGCAGAAAGGCAGTTATATTGGGTAATAAGCATAGATAGAAATGGCGCTGTTCTGGCAAGTCCATGACAATGGATGCCCCTGAACTTGGGGATGTTGGTTTTTATGAGTTATGAGGTAATCAGCCTCCTATAATTCCATGAATATGAAACAGCTGAACTATGAGACTGATTCTTGTAGGAGTTTTATAGTTGGTATTCTATGATGGTGTTGTATTAATCTGTTTTCATGATGCTGATAAAGACATACCTAAGACTGGGAAGAAAAAGAGGTTTAATGGACTCACAGTTTCACATGGTTTGGGGAGGCCTCACAGTCATGGTGGAAGGCAAGGAGGAGCAAGTCATATCTTACATGGATGGCAGCAGGCAAAAAGACAGTGAGAGCCAAGCAAAAGAGGTTTTCCCTCATAAAACCATCAGAACTCATGAGACTTATTCACTATCACAAGAACAGTATGGAAGAAACTGCCCCCATGATTCAATTATCTCCCATTGGGTCTCTCCCACAACACAAGGGAATTATGGGAGATACAATTCAAGGTAAGATTTGGGAAGGGACACAGCCAAACCATATCATTTTTCACCTGGCCCCTCCAAATCTCATGTCCTCACATTTCAAAACCAATCATGTCTTCCCAAAAGTCCCCCAAAGTCTTAACTCATTTCAGCATTAACTCAAAAGTCCACAGTCTAAAGTCTCATCCAAGACAAAGCAAGTCCTTTCTGCCTATGAACCTGTAAAATCAAAAGCAACTTAGTTACTTCCTAGATACAATGGGGGGTACAGGCATTGGGTAGATACAGCCATTCCAAATGGGAGAAATTGACCAAAACGAAGGGGCTACCAGCCCCATGCAAGTCCAAAATCCAGCAAGGCAGTCAAATCTTAAAGCTCCAAAATGATCTCCTTTGAATCCATGTCTCACCTCCAGATCACACATGCAAGAGGTGGGTTCCCATTGTCTTGGGCAGTTCTGCCACTGTGGCTCTGCAGGGTACAGCCTCCCTCCCAGCTGCTTTCACGGTCTGGCATTGAGTGTCTGTGGCTTTTCCAGGTGCACAGTGCAAGCTGCCAGTGGATCTATCATTCTGGGGTCTGGTGGAGAGTGGCCCTCTTCTCACAGCTACACTAGGTGGTATCCCAGTTGGGACTCTGTGTGGGGGCTCCTATCTCACACTTCCCTTCTGCACTTCCCCAGCAGAGGTTCTCCATGAGGGCCCCACCCTTGCAGCAAACTTCTGCCTGGGCATCCAAGCATTTCCATACATCCTCTGAAATATAGGCAGAGGTTTCCAAACCTCAATTCTTGACTTCTGGGCACTTGTAGGTTCAACACTATGTGGAAGCTGCTCAGTCTTGGGGCTTGCAACCTCTGAAGCCATGGTCCACGCTCTACATTTGACCCTGTCAGCCACAGCTGCAGCAGTTAGAATGCAGGGCACCAAGTCCCTAGGCTGTACACAGCATGGGGTCTCCTGGTCCAGCCCATGAAACCATTTTTTCCTCCCAGGCTTCTGGCCTGTAAAGGGAGGGGCTGCCATGAAGACCTCTGACATTCCCTGGAGACATTTTTCCCATTGTCTTGGAGATTAACATTTGGCTCCAGGTTACTTATGCAAATTTCTGCAGCCAGCTTGAATCTCTCCTCCAAAAATGGAATTTCTTTTCTATCACATTGTCAGGCTGCAAATTTTCCAAACTTTTATGCTATTTCCCTTTTAAAACTGAATCCTTTAACAGCATCCGAGTCACATCTTGAATGCTTTGCTGCTTAGAAATTTCTTCTGCCAGATAACCTAAATCATCTCTCAAGTTCGAAGTTCCACAAATCTCTATGGCAGGGGCAAAATGCCACCAGCCTCTTTGTTGAAACATAACAAGAGTCACCTTGGCTCCAGTTCCCAACAAGTTCCTCATTTTCATCTGAGACCACCTCAGCCTGGACTTTAGTGTCCATATCCCTATCAGTATTTTGGGCATAGCCATTCAACAAGTCTCTAGGAAGTTCCAAACTTTCCCACATTTTCCTGTCTTCTTCTGAGCCCTCCAAATTGTTCCAACCTCTGCCTGTTACCCAGTTCCAAAGTTGCTTCCACATTTTCAGGTATCTTTTTAGGGGCATCCTACTCCTGGTACCAATTTGGTGTATTGGTCTGTTTTCATGCTGCTGATAAAGACATATCCAAGACTGGAAAGAAAAAGAGGTTTAATAGACTCACAGTTCCACATAGCTGGGGAGGCCTCACAATCATGGCAAAAGGCAAGGAGGAGCAAGTCACATCTTACATGGATGGCAGCGGGCAAAAAGAGAGTGAGAGCCAAGCGAAAGGAGTTTCCCCTTATAAACCATCAGATCTTGTGAGACTTATTCACTATCATGAGAACAGTATGAAAGAAACTGCACCCATGATTCAATTATCTCCATCTGGGTCCTTCCCACAACAGAAGGGAATTATGGGAGCTACAATTCAAGACGAGGTTTGGGTGGGGACACAGCCTAACCAAAGAAGGTGTCCTTGCTTTTCACTTCCTCATGTCTCCAGTACCCACACATTTTCACATTTATTTCAGAGTTGGTGTGTTTCTGGAATGTCTCAGCCTCTCTGGGTCATTCTCTCCCAAGTCAAGAGCAGCATCTTTGGATTATCCAGAGTTGGATGCTCCCTCCAGCTCTTGAAATGGCCAATATCCTCATCAGTATCTATAAAATACATGATTTTGAGGCAACTAAAAAAGTGGAGAGCTTATTTGAATCATTACATAGTGTGCCATCCTTTGGAAGACATTGCCAGTCTTACTATATGGTAAATACCTCGGTGATCAACATGATGGAGTTGACTCATTGCCTTGTTAAACAGAACACCTTCATTTTCTTTTTTTTTTTTAATTATACTTTAAGTTTTAGGGTACATGTGCACAACGTGCAGGTTAGTTACATATGTATACATGTGCCATGTTGGTGTGCTGCACCCATTAACTCGTCATTTAACATTAGGTGTATCTCCTAATGCTATCCCTACCCCTCCCCCCACCCCACAACAGGCCCTGGTGTGTGATGTTCCCCTTCCTGTGTCCATGTGTTCTCATTGTTCAATTCCCACCTATGAACACCTTCATTTTCATACGTAGAAACAGTCTAGTGTAAAGGAAAGAAAGCAGAGTTTAAATTAAGATTTGAGTTCTATATCTGACTTTATTACTTTCTAAAATTTATTTTCTTCATCTGTAAAATGGGAATAATATATAGCTCATGGAGGTATACTGGTAATTAAATAAAATGATGAAGAAAGAAAACACTTGGTATAACGAATGACACTTGGTGGACTCATTCCCCAAATGGAAATCACTATTTATAATTTTATTTTGGAAAAAATTTTCATCTCCCCTTATTGTGTGCAAAAATCTTTATCTAGCCTTTAGAGATATATCTATTACATCAATCCATTAGGATAAAAGATTTAAAGCAAAAAAATTTGTGATAATTCAAAGGATTTTCATGGCACTGATAAATGGGTCTTTTGTTCGGTATAGATTTCCTCAATCACTTCAATGCTCATTATAGAAGCACCTCTGTTCTATTCTCTCTTTTACAGTCTTGTTCCTACAACAAAGGAAATCAAAGCACTCAAGTTCAATGTGATGCAGTGCAACTCTGATCTAACTACACTGAAACAAAGAGTCAGAACCAAGGGGACTGCCTGAATTTGCTCCCCTTGCTCCGCCTGGTTAATGCCACATGCAGAAAATATGTTATCGCTCATGCCACATGTACCGCAGCATCAAAGGGCACAAAATCGGATGATTGGGAACTTTGTCTCTCATCAGCTTCTTTGGAGGTGGACAGGCCTATAAGACCTTGTCTGCATGCACCTCACACAGACTCAATAGACGGCACAATGGAAATTAACAAGCCCTGAAAGAAATGTTGGCTCCAATAATTAACGAAGTCCTGGGAAACAGAGTTATTTTTTTTTGAGAGGGGAAACTTCTAAATACAACGAGTTAAAATCCACCATGGATGTAGGATGGTGAATGAATGTACATATTATTGCTTCCACGGGAAATGTTTTACTGCCTGAAAGCAGAAATTATAAAGTATTGCATCAATAATAAAAAAATAACAACTTTCAACAACACAATAATAATAATGGTAATGTGCTTTTCATTCAACCAAGTAATCACTGAATTCCACATTAGACTAATACACTAGGAGGCTCCAGGAAGAGAAAGAGAACGAGGGCCACAGCCCCAGTGTGAATGAAACCATCAGACATATATAAACAACCACAGGATTTAAAACCAAAATTATAAGTACACACACACATTCAGAAGAGGGAGAGATAGTTACTAGTTGGGATGATCAGGAAAGTCTTCATATGAGAAGCAGCAATGAAATGCAGTGAGGAGCTATTTTGGAAATAGAATATGGAATGACCTAAGCTGTGGAGGGTGTAGAACAGGAGGAAGGGAATGAGGGAGAGAGGAAATGGCAAGTGGTCCTGCATACCTGCCACATGGGCACCACAGGGGGATCACGGGAGGCAAGGCTGGTGGGACATGGTGGGGGCAGGTTACTGAGGGACTTAGATGCCAGGTTGAGGACGTTTGACTTTCCTCTGCAGTTTAGTTGATGGAAGCCATCTGCTCTCAAGCAAGGAAATAACATCTGATCAAAGGGGCTGTGCAAGCTTAACCCAGCAATAGTGAAGCTATCTCAGGTTCATTTTTTGGAATGAAGTAAGGTCTGTATGGTTTATTTCATGAAACAAAAAATAAACATAAGCAAGCAACAAGATAGTGGCATTGTACAGAATGAATTAAAAGAGAAGAGGGAAAAAAATAGAAGTAGGGAGGCCAGATAGAAAGCAGATGGGAGGATACAGTTCTTGACCCTGGAAATTTGGATATATAGACTTTGAATTGTTCCCATAATAGCTGTGGTAATTTTGCCCTCATCCCTCTATCTCTGCTCTCTATAATCCTCTTAAGCACAATGGTGCCAGTTTTCACAATGGCGTTCCATATCCCCAGAAAAGACACACGCAGACTGGCCCATGCTGGGGTCAAGATCACACTGGAACATTAGGGCCACAAGGCCACCAATGACCTGGCCACAGGAGATCCTGACTATGATGATGGAGTAGAAAAGGGTGAGGCTAGTGTAGAGTTTAGTAACTGGGCCTTGGGTAACTTAGGAAGAGAGGGCTGTAGAACTGTTTATGTCTGTCCTTTGAAAAAAAGAGTTAACAACATGAAGTAAAGTATCATTTTTCAACTTTCTGGCTGGAGCTGCTCTGAAATGGTGCTCTGTTTTTTCTGTTTCCTCTCTTAATTTGCCACACAGGTGTCCACTTGTTCTTGAACTTTGCTTGTTTGCTTGCACACCTTTTCAGAAGTTTACCAAAATGTGGTGAGGGGTTCTAGTCACCCTGAAATGAATCCGCTAATTAAATTAATTTTATCTAGGGTATATTGCTTAGTCCAATTAAGTTACTAAGCCAATCACATCAGAATAAATCAACCATATCGTTACGTAACTCTTTTTAATAAACAGAGTTATAATTATATGAAGGCAATTCTGAGGATGCCATATGCTACAACGCAGGGAACCTAATTTATTTCATTGATTTGGAGAGACAAACTCACTCATGTGTAATAACTTTTATCATCCAAGATTTTAATTCTTATTGCGTTGTAAAGTTTAAAGTCTCCTGCTTGCTTTATAGATCACAGTAAGAATTAGTTTGCAATGGGGCTTGTGGGGGAAAAGGAGGGTATGTATTAGGTATGAAATGGTATGCATGAAGCCACGCTGTAAACTCTGCCACAGAAATATGGGGGAAAAGTGCTGATTCTTCCTGCCCTTTTGAACAGCCAATACAGTAGAGATGTGTGTGGGGGCTGGGGGTGGGGTGGGAAAAATACATCTTGAAATAGATGCTTGAAGTGGAGAACCATACTGGGACAATCCCCTTGCTTCCCACCTCCCTCCACATTTTCCTGGCAAGTAATAGGTGCTATATAAACTCCTGGTAAAAATGACTTATTTTAAAATATAACAGAAATTCCACTTAACAGATCTGAGAAAGGGAATGAAAACACCTTTGTCTGTCAACTTGGCCTGATTCTCTACGAATGCTGTTGACTTTTCAGCTTTGTTGAGGATGGGACCAGGGAAGCATGCAGGGGCGTTAGTCCATGGCAGTATAATGTTCAGTTACTGTCTCTGGCCAAGCGACTGCTGGCAGAGCTGTGGGCATCACTGGCCCAAGAGACTCACACACACTTATTCATTCAGCCACTTAGACACGAGGAGCTCAGAAATGCTGGTGGAAGAATGTTCTTGAGAGCTCCTGTGGCTGACCTTTCTTTGAAGAGATTTTAGAGAATGCTAGAAAAACAGGAAATCATCCTCCATGTTTTCCCCCTCATATTTCTTACTAATGAGTTCTAGAATTGTTTAGTCCAAAAATCCCAGTGATTTTGGTGAAAGATGCACAAGCTGATACCTCATTTAGGGATGTAATTTCCCTGTCTGCAGAAGTAGTTCTACTCATAAATCCTATTTTGAAATAACCTAAAGGCAAATATTACTAGAACAAAATAATGTATATTAAAGCAGCACAAGTGGCAGAAATTGATGTGAAAGCAAGGTACTTAGTGGATTACATACTTTCTGCAGTGGTTACAACTAATCCTATTCTGGGCTGCTGCTTGAAATAACTAGATATTACCTACATTTGCTTCTATTTCCTTCCTGCCCTTACATAATTAATTAGATGCCAAATTGACAGAAGTAGAGGATCCCCAAAGCAGAGAAAGACTTGTATTGCATTCATTTGGGGGCATTAATGGGGAAAATGTTATTAATAGCATGGCAAAATGCACTATTGCTAATTCACAGTTACAACTTCCACAAAATTGAGCATATTGCTCTCTATTTAGTGGGCTTGCAAAGTCAATTCCATGCCATCATTACCTCATGATTCTAGCCAACTGTCAGCAATCCAAATGAAAGAGATCAACACAAAATTTGGACCAGATTGAATGAATTCATTACCAGGGTATTAATCCCAGGAATAATGAGTCTTGGGCTCAGATACAGATTGTTTTATTGATCTTCCAAAGCTCCAGATCTGGGGTGTCCGGCAGCCTCATCGTGTGAGATGCCTCAGAGCTAACTCTTGACTCCATCTTCAGGGCTCTTTACTGTCATGAGGGGCTGGAGCTGCAAAGGAGTATGGGTTTCTTCTGGAATCTACATGGGTTCAAATACTGAGGAATCCTGGAATAAAGTGAGGCCTTTTTAACACAGCATATTTGGAAATACGCCCTGGAACTATTTGGAAATAATGGAGCGTATTTAGAAAAAATAGATTGCTTTTGACTAATGGAGAGATGAATTTGGGTCTTATGGGAACGTATCAGAATGTATTTCTGACAGGAATTTTCTCACTAATATTTCTGTGGAATGTTCATTTCAAAAACCCTGGTATGACTGTGGAGTCAGAGAAGAGTGTCCGGTAACAGCAGTAGATCCCATGATGTATGAAAGTGACAGGTGTACAGGACACCAGCAGGGCAAATGAATGAGCAAGTAAGTCTCCTGCTTGGCTGAAACTGTATCCATTCCTAGCAAGCAGGCATCTGCACTTGCTGTTGGGCCCAGAACAAGTCAGCTTTATTTGATGAACCCAAATAAAAAGAAATATTGACCTAACTTATATCCTAACTGTAGTTTTGCAAAGTCAACAAAGTGCTTTTGAAGCTCAGCTTCCCTAGGTATCCAGGAGGTCTAGAGACTGACCTTGAAAACAATGGATTACATCACAATAGAGATATAGTCGTGATTAAAAATAACAACAAATATTGATTGGTCTCGGATATGGCAACCACAAACAGCAACAACATTTTTATCCTGCATTTTCACTTCTAAATCCATGTGTATTAGTATAATTTAGTGAGATCATTTCTTATATACAGGACTATTCCCTCTGATAAACAGTTGTAGCTCACATTTCAAAGAAAAAAATAGCCAAAAGAAAGCAATCACAAATGTATTTCAAGAGAGGTATGCTACTGTCAAAATGGTTCTTTTGATTGCTTGTAACAAAGGCAGTTAGCCTGCATTAATTACATACAAGGAGAAATGGATTTACATATACCACAAGTTATCTCTGGAAGTCACAGTCACCCGGGTGGGATCCACCTTAGTAAAAAAAAAGACTGAAATTAATGTCCATTAACTGGCGAATGGATAAATAAAATGTGGTACATCCATACAATGAAATGCTATTCAGTTATTTTTAAAATGAAGGACTGATACCTGCTACAATATGAATGAAACTTGGAAACATTATGGTAAGTGAAAGAAGCCAGTTAATTTAACTAAATGTTGTATGATTCCATTTACATGAAGTGTCCAGCATAGACAAATCCATAGAGAAGTAAATTAGGGGTTGCCTAAGACTGGAGAGAGAGCAGGGAGGAGATGAAGAGTGACTGCTAATGGGTATGGGGTTTCTTTTTGGGAGACGAAATGTTGTAAGACTAGATAGCAGTGATGATGACACACCTGTGAATATACTGAAACCCACAGAATAAGACACTTTGAAAGAGTGAATTTTATGGCTTGTGAATTGTATCTCAATGAAGCTGTTATAAAAATGATGGAAGTAGCCAGGCGTGGTGGCTCATGCCTGTAATCCCAGCACTCTGGGAGGTTGAGGTGGGCAGATCACCTGAGGTTAGGAGTTCAAGACTAGCCTGGCCAAGATGATGAAACCCCATCTCTATTAAAAGTACAAAAATTAGTCAGGCATGGTGGCATGCACCTGTAGTCATAGCTACTGGAGAGGCTGAGGCAGGAGGATTCCTTGAAACCAGGAGGTGGAGGTTGCAGTGAGCCGAGATTGCGCCATTGCACTCCAGCCTGAGTGATAGAGTGAGACTCCATCTCAAAAAAAAAAAAAAAAAAAAGACAGAAGGTATCCTGTTATTTTCATTAATTTATTATTTTACTTTGTCTTTAAATATCCTACTCTCTTACTCGCTTTAAGAACATTACTCCATCCTCATTATTAGTAGAGGGGTGATTTGGCCAGAAAAAAATTATATGTGTTTTCAGTAGGTATAATGTTATATGGATTTGTCTATTACACTGTACTTTCCTTTTTAAGAATGTTGTCTCCATAAATAAAGTAGGTGACAGTATGCTTCCTCTTACAAGTACAGATAAATAGTCTGTGAAACTGATGATTGGCTTCATAATGGATATGTTTTCCGTCAAAATAAATAAAAGTGAAAACAAAAAAGACAAGGCTTTTCCAGAGGGAGGGAATGAGAGAGAATAGTAATGCATTGTTATCTTTGGTTCTAGCCTGACTACTTCACATCATTCCTTAAAAAAAAAAATAAACTGGCTGTTCCATTAGTACCCAAAGGCATCTTTTGGACCAATATTTTCTTTGATCAGATCAATGTTTTGACACTGGGTAGGTGTCTATCTGATCCCAGCCTCCCTACAGTTACTGATGCGTTTAATCTGCTATTTAATCTACTATCTTCCCTATGTCTCCCTCCTCCAGGTGCTCCAAGCCTTCTTCCTTTTCTTGAGCCTCTCTTACTTTACGGACCTGCTTGAACATGCTTCCCAGTCACTCTCTCTCGGGCACTGGTCCTTAAGGTCTGCTTTTTCCCACTGTGTGATGAATAGAACTCTTCCTGGCTCTAGCCCCACCATGTAAGGACCACGAATCAAGCTCACTTCTTCCCTGCCTAGACAAAGGATCTCTGAGTGTAGACAGCTGCTTCCAGAGGACTTTTTCCCATCTCCATGCCCACATGCTGTGGAAAATGATGTGAGGAATGTTCCTGGAGAGTGCAGGACTCTTAGCCACGCAGGCTTTAGGTGCAAGTACAGAAATGTGAGCCCAGCTGTCAGCTCTCCATGTATGGCTGGCAGAGCAAAGGAAACAGCTGCAGCTGCTGCAATGATGAAAACACGACCTGATTTCCATCACTCCTCTGTGACTGCTGCCCCTAAGACTAACCTTCTCAAGCTGCCCTTCTTGTTTTCTTGGTTGCAGCTGTAGCTGGGCATGCCAGGTGCCCAGCATACTGGGAAAACTGAATGCATAATGCTTTTCATCTTAATGCTACAAAGGAGAAGTAGAGTGAGGGCCATTCCCTGAAACAGGATCAATAGGTTGTAGGATTTGAACCATATATTAACAAATTGCTTTCTTAAGTAGTTTTACCAATTTACACTCTCACCAGCAGTGCATACGAGTGTCAACTTGCCTACCTTCTCTCAAAGACATACATGGATATGGAATAGAATCTTTTTGCTAGTGACTATTAGTGAGTTAAGCAAGCTAATTGTGTACTGGCCACTTAAGTTTCCACTTCGGTGCAATGCCTATGCACATCCTTTTCTTCTTTTTTTGGCGGGGGGGGGGGGGTGTTGTTTGCATGTTTTTCTTTATAGTTCTAAAGTCTTACGCAAAAAGTTAATTGTGTAATACTTTCTAATAACAGAAAAATAGAGAAACATGAAAGAGCATCAATAAGAGAATCAATAAACAAATTGTGGCATAGTTATATACTGGTACATATTATAGCAATAAAAATGAAAGACATTATGTTTTAAAATGGAAAAATCTTGGAAACATAATGTTGGGTTAAACAAACATTTGCAAATGCCAGGCACATCTATCCAACAATTTCAGGACAGCTGTTACCTATGGAGTGAGAAAGAGAGGAATTCAATTATAGGGTGGGGGGAAGAAGCAGGAAGGTGGTTTAGTTGTATCTATCTCTAATGTTTTATTTAAGAAATTTGATACGGCCCATAAATACAAAATAATTAAAGAGTCATAACTCCATTGGGTGATAACACGGCTGGTGGCCTAGTCCACCAAGAGATGGTCAAAATAGCCATCCACAGATTCTGGAATTCTGGTGGCAGTGCTGATAGTCGTGGGGAGAGGAGACAAGGAAGGTGGCAGCACACAGGGGAATTCGTCGTCCTGTATGGAAGCTGTCTGAATGGACTAGGTTGGCACCTTGAGCCCATTCTAAGAAGGTGTTAGAGGATGCTGCACATTGAGCCTGCAATAGCAGCCAAGCACACCAAATTCTCAATTTTCAATTTTACAAAATAGAGATGTCCCTGGGTACCTATGGAGACTTCTTCACAGCTCCCATCAATCCCTCTGTTATCTGCCTGTGCTTGTTCCCTACTGGGACCTCAAGAAAGGACAAGCTATTCAGTAGAGGTGCAACTTGTGTCCTGTGAAGCGGCAGTTCACTTTGCCTCCAGGCACCTGGGGACATGACTGAAACTAAGAACCTCCCTTGGGGAGGAACTGGCCAAAGCTTTCCATGCTCCCTCGTGCCTGGCTCCAGCCAGACAGAGGATGAATGGTGACCTGTATCTGACTTTAGGGTTAGTCTGTGACAGACCTCAGGGCAACAAGAAGCTTTGGTGGGCAAGCCCTTCTTGGTAGGCCCAGCTTCCCAAAACTGCCACAATGGATGAGGACATTGTCAGTCCTCCAGGAAGCTAATATTTCTTGTAAATGAAATGTCAAATTGAGCACATGGGAAGACATCCAAAAGACTACTGCTCTCTCTTGCTCATAACCTACTCACCTTGGCCTCTCTTACTTAAAGCTCCAAGACCCCACTATCACTGACCAAATTCCTACCATCAATTTCACATGAGAATTCTGCTGTTGGTGTTGTCTAACCCACAGAAGTTCCCACTGCCACCACATACTGCCTTTCATTTTCTTTTTCTCAAAGAAATTTCCTATAAAAAAGGGTTTTGAAGCAGAAGACAGCAAAAGAGAAGTGACTGTATGATAAACGCAGTGCCTGGCCCTGATCCTGAAAAGAGGGTACCCTTGTTTTTTCTAAATCTTGCAAGAAGCTTCTTTTAAATATGTAGATAACAACCCAAATCAAGGTTTCATCAAATACATTATATTCCCCTCCCACCTAAGGTTAAATACTCTGCTGTGAAGATAAATCTCAAGATATTTGAACATTCTCCTATTGATGGACGTTTAGGTCATTCCTAATTATTTGCTACCATACGTAGTGCTGTGATGAATATTCATGCACGTTTATCATGCATCCTGAGGGTGGACAAAGTTGACAATTCAGTTCTTATTAAGCTTAAAGGAGATCAAGCAGGGAAAGAAAATTGATGCCCTTGCCCAGTGAACCTTGCTGGATGTCAGGTGTTCTGGGGCTGGTAGTTGTTGGGCGCATTGCTTGAGGAGGGGCTGGATATTAGGATAAGAAGTCAGAGAGGTACCTGCCCTCATTCTGGGACTGTGCTTTGACACTAACTGGATGGAGCACTGAAGGTCCAACTGGAAAGCTGAATGTAATCCCAAAGGCTGTGAAGGGGCCCCGTGTGGTACACTTGGCCCCTGATTGTGACCTGTCCCCTCCCATGGCTGTCAGACCCTCATGGTATTAATGGATATCTCTAGAAAATGGCACCCTTGTAACATTGGAGGTTCTGCTATTCCCTGGTTGGATCTAGGAAGAGTGGGTGTCAAAAAGGGGGCCATAAGTCTCACCATGCATACGTGGTAGTGTACTTTAGGATCTTTTATCTGAATTCAGTCACTCTGGCTGGGCCTACCCTTCCTGTTACATAGGCCTGAGAAGGACTGGGGGAGTCCCCTCTCTTCTTGAAGTCCACTAGCCTGACCACAGAAGATGTTTTCCAAGGACTCATAAAACCCATTGAGGGATATCAACCATCTCTCCAGAATTTGTCTACGCTGCCTCCCTTCTCTCCAGTTTCAGTTTACTGCTTCCATCTACCTTGCCTCAGCTCTATTTTCTCCTCCACACCTTCCCTAGAGGCTCTCACCTTCAGGCTGTCTTTGCTCTGATCACTACTTCTGGACTTATTTCTCCAGGATGATTTTAACATCTTCCCTCTGACATAGTTTTGATGCTAAGTGAGTGGGTCTAGAGTTGAGCTATGGGTCCCTTTATCAGCTTTGCCATTTACCAGGGTAAATTACTTCATGTATTCATTTATCCAGTGTTTCACGATGTTGTCATGTGGGAGGCACTGTGCTAGGTGCAAGTAACACTGCCATGTGTCACGAAGGAAAAAGGACAATGAGCAATTAAAGTTTGCTTAAGCACTCTAGCCTCAGTTTCTAATCTGGAACACAGGAATGAGACAGTTACATCTATCTCGGTTGACTCAGTGAGGACTGCTGTAAGGCTTTCAGTAGTGTTTGAGAATGAAAGCTCATTAGGTGTTAACTCGATATCATCATTTGTATCTTCTGCAGGTCAGCATTGCAATGAGGCATCCTGTTGCCCAACAAGGCCACTTTCTAGGCTGTTTCTCCAATATGGTCCAATCTGGGACAATTATAGGACAAGAATAGAGTACAAATAACAAACGGTGTGCAAAAAATGTGGTAGTGCCTGGAACAATTTATTGCTGAAATGGATAGAAATAAATTAGAAATAAAGAATGCCTGCATCTGAAATTCTCTCTCTCTTTCCCTCTCTCTCTCTTACATGCACGCACACACATACACACATGCACACACATACAGTAATACCATGGAAACTGTATTTATTACAGAAAGAAGAAATTGTCATATTTAAATAGTAAAAGAAGAAGCTTCTACTTACTGACTATTGGATTAACTTTTAGAAATCAAAGATGGCACATTATTGCAAAGCTAATAATAAGATGAATCAGTGTACAAAGCAGAGCACCTGAAGTTAGACTAAAAAAGACATTAAAAAAATAAAATTATGCATTGTGATCAGCAAGCGTAAGGGATGCTCTGATTATATAATAAAAAGAATCAAAGAAAAGCAGTTTTGCATTTTTGCTTTTTCACTACTGCTCTTACCAAAAGGACATAATTTCTTATGACTTTACTTCATCTAGTCCTAAAGTTTTAGGTTTCATTATGGCTTTTATTTCATTAGTGATATTGTTAGGCAAATTTCACCTTGAATTTTAATCCTCAGATGTTGAGGGAGGATCCTGGTGGGAGGTGACTAGATCACGGGGCAGTTTCCCCCATGCTATTATCACAATAGTGAGTGAGTTCTCAGGAGGTCTAATGGTTTTGTAAGTGTTTGGCAAGTTCCTCCTTTGCTCACTCTTCTCTCTCCTGCTGCCATGTGAAGAAAGACATGCTTGCTTCCCCTTCCAACATAATTGTAAGTTTCCTGAGGCCTCTCTAGCCATATGGAACTTTGAGTCAATTAAACCTCTTTCCTTGTCTTGGGCAGTATCTTTATGGCAGTGTGAGAATGGACCAACACAACTAGTAAAGTTATTATTAATGATAATACCTTACATTAATGATATACCTTTATGTTTATAAAATTCCTTTTATATACTTTAGCTTTGATTATTGACATGTTTTAAACATTTTCCAATAATGGATCCCAAATGTACAAAATGTTCAGTGTAAATTTTTATTTAAAATAATAATTTAATACACGTTCAAGAATTAAGAGGTTTCTTTATGCTTTATCTTTCATCTGCCTCTTTATCCTGAGCAGAATTATTAGTGTAAAAATAAAATAAAGATATTCAAGGTTTTGAAGACAGTTGCAGAAAAAAAGTAATTTTAAATCACAAATAGTTAAGAATACAATTTATAATGTCAGAATAAAATAATAAATTTCACTGACATGAAACATTTCTCTTATAAAAACACCACAACCTAGATTTTGTTCTTTGTAAGAGATAAAATTTAATTGAGCAAATATTCTTCTACAAACTTAAGACCAATGCAAGCGTTTCCTAGTATCTGTATAAAACAGAGTGTGTCGCTTATTTAAAGGGACTGTTTTGTTTCATCATTTCAAATGATGCTTAGAAGTCAGGTTGAACCCAGGAACCCAGGGCCACAGGTGTCCAGTCTCAAATAAGACAAAGAAAATAGCATAGTAGGCATTTCACTGATTAGAAGACATTTCAATTTAAACATCGTTTTCTTCTCCGTCTTAACAGAAAATACACAAGGGATACATACACGATGATGTTCAGGGTGACAGGAGGCTTCTATAGGATAAAAATAATAATGCAGATTTTTTTTACTTCCAAAATACAAGTCTTCTTTATTCTTTTCCATGATGAAGATTGAAATGATGCTTCTTTTATAGCTCACCATATACTATGCTCAAAGAAGCATTTTGTGAATGTAAAAGTTGTGTTCTGGTTTTAACATCTCTCATGAAGTAAATAGAGTAAGTAACCTGGAATATATGCAAATAATTTCATTCTAAACATTAATACATAGTCCAAATATACACTGGGGCATAAGCAAATGAAGGATTAAGTAATTCATCATTTTGGGGTACTAAAATAAAAAAAACTCATGACATTTTAAGACAAGTATTTATCTAGTAAATAGCCAAATTGTAGAGTTATAAACATCATCAGAAGTAGAGCTGTAAATGTGAACCAGCAGATTGAAATCTCATTCATTTGTCCAGTTATTTATTCAGCAAATATTTATTGAGTGCTGCTACAGCCCAGGAACTATGCCTAGGTATTAGAGACACAAAGGTGAATAAGACCCAGTCCCTACCTATGAAGGTCTTGCAGATAAGTGAATGATGGCAAATCTGCTGGACAAAAATATCACTTTAAAAATTAAATTACAAGTAAAAAGAGATGTATACACAGTCTCAGTAACTTCAAGACAACAACAACAACCATAAAAATCTAAATAGTACAGGCTTGATATGAGTAGGATCTGTGTCCCCACCAAATCTCATATTGAATTGTAATCCTCAGTGTTGGAGGTGGGACCTGGTAGGAGGTGATTGGATCTTGTTCGGATGTTTCCATGTCTGGCTTCTTCACTTCACTCTGGGCTCAGATCAAATGCCAAGTCATCTAGGCCTTCTCTTGCAACCCTCTATAAAGCTGTGCTCTCCTGCTTAACCCCACGTCCCCTCCCCACCCCCACCCCCATCTCTTTCTCATTACCCTGTGTTTCCTGCATAGCATCCTTTACTGCCCAACAGTCTCCTAGAGACTTACTGCTATTTTCTATCTTTCTGCTAGAATATATGCTCATGAGAGCAAGTAACTAGTTGTCAAATGAACCAGAATATCTTGACACAGAAGGTACTTGGCAAAAACATTTGTGCATGGAATCAGTAGCAGTACAGATCACACTCTGAGATCCAGCTACCCACAGAAACCCAGATAAGAAAGATAATATTTAGGGAAGATAATTTTAAGAACAAGGTTAACTATATACTTCTCTCAGTTGTCTAATATATCCTCAACTTAAAATTTGGAATGTATTCCAAAATACATGAACTACATTATAACATCATCTCAAATAACTATGTGCTTTGAATTGCCTTTTATTATTATGGCTTCAATCTGTTTGTCAGATTTTATGAGAAACAACCATATAAATTTTATTTCCATATTGGCTGTGAAACTATTGTGAACAATTTTTTCCTTTTACCTCCTTAAAATATCCTAATAAATCCATTCAGACTTTCTAACAGGGGAAAGTTTTGCCTCTCTGAGAAACTGGTATGTTCTCTCTTCAAAGGAGACATATAATATAACCATATTTCCTTATTTTTCTTGGCCACCAGATAAAATAGTGTCAGCTTTCATGATGAATTATAATAAGTGTATTAACCTTTATGGTTAAAGTATTTATTTATTCCCTCATAATTCTGTTTAGATTTTTTAAAATTAATGTTATCATATTTTTTCCAGGGTGTCTTCAATTCTTATTTGAAAGGTTGTAAGTAATACTGAATTTAAATTGTAATGGTAAGTCCTAAATGTAATACTCAGAAGTGCTCAATACTGAACTGAATAACAGACATTGCTGAGACTGTGGAGAGATAACTCTAGGAATATTTGAGATGCTTAAATTACTTTGAGTTTGGTTTCAAAAATACATTGAACTATGAAATAGAGGCCCAAAAGGATAAGAAATAAATTTTGAGAATAAAGCAATAAAGAATGATTTAATTTTAGCTAACAACATTATTAAAGGCCTCCTGTATCTAACAATGCGATAAGGCAATGTAAAGAGAGAAAGTCCACATATGATTTCTTTTACACTCAAATCTTATTTACTAGGCCCAGGATTCTGACAAATCCCTCATTTTCTCTCAGCATCAGACTCCTTATCCCTAGATTGAAAGAAAAACACTGTCCCGGTGGGGTTGTGATGGGGATTGAATGAGATAATAAAACTCAGGCATCCAGTAGAGTTCTTGGCACAAAATTAACAACGGAGAATTCAGGAGAGGGCCTCTTATCTGATGCCTTTAGGTCTGGCACTGGGCCAGTTCAAAAGAGATATCTACATCTGAGACATGTACAACCTCATACATCATACACTGTCTTACACATTTTAAACATACTTTTAATGCCAGAACAGTTTTAAGTTTGCATAAAATTGTCAAGAAAGCAGAGTTCCCATATACATCACACCTAATTTCCCTAGTTTCAACATCTTATATTAGTATTGTATATTTGATATTATTAATAAACCAATATTGATATATTATTATGAACTGAAGCCCATACTTTGTTCAGATTTCCTCAGTTCTCTCCTAAGGTCCTTTTCCTGTTCCGGGATCCCATCCAGGTACGCATTCCATTTAGCTATCGTGTCTCCTGGACTCCTCTTGGCTGTGGCAGTTTCTCAGACTTTCTTTGTTTCCGACGACCTTAGCAGTTTTGAGGAATGCTGGTCAGGTTTTTAAAGAATGTGCTACAAGTGGAACTTGTCTGATGTTTTTCCCATAATCAGACTGGGATTACATGTTTGGGAGAGGAATACTACATAGACAACATGCTGTTTTTCATCCACTGTGTTAAGGATATATAAAATCAACATGACATTACGTTAATTTTAACCTTGATCATCTGGATGAGGTATGGCTGTCAGCTTTCTCCATTATAAATTTATGTTTCCCCTTTTCATACGGTATTGTCTCGAAGGAAGTTATTATGCACAGCCCACGCTTAAGTTATGTTTCCCCTCCTTGAGGGTGAAGTATCTATATAAACCATTTGGAATCCTTCTGCATGGGAAATTTATTATTCCTCATTTGTTTATTCAATAATTTATATCAGTAAGGATAAATGGTTATTGATTTTATACTTTGGGTTATAATCTAATGTTAATTTACTCTGTTGTTCACATTGACCAAGATTTGACCACTGAGGGTTCTTTCAGTTGGCTCCTGGGTCCTTGTGACAGTGAGGGTTTGCTTGTGGTTTGTGTTGATAATTTTGTTTTTGAGCATCTCCTTACTTTCTGGCACTACAAGACACTCTAGGACCATGTTGTATATTTCCTGCCCAGGTTCTAGAATCAGTCATTTCTCCAAGAAGCCTTAATTCTTTTCTTGTATGAAAAATGGTATTAGAAACCAAAATCTGGTTTCTAGGCATGCTCATTGCTACTGGAGTGTTTTGTTTTCAGGCCCTCTCAGCTGGTAAGAGCAAGAAAATATATATGTGTATGCTAACTTGTAAATATATACATATATCTATAAATATTTTTATGTGCAACCATGTGTATCTGCATTAAACTAAAACTGAGTGTCTACAGATGTCACCAACTCTAATTCATCACCAAATAGATCACTGTAGCCTCCTCCCCTTGATATCTGTAAATTCCAGCTTCAGAGTGAGAAATCCAGCTCCCACTGTACACCATACATTGACTTAATTGATCTATTCCAGTATTCATGTATTGTGACACAAGAATTGTTAACCTACAACTCCATGGAAAATAACTTTATTAACTAGAGTACAGTGCTTATATACAGTTTCTTGCTGTTAGTTTTACAGACTCCACTCATCATTCATATATACAATTACTTAGATCAGGAAACATCACCCCCTCCCTATCCTCTTCAGTGAGGTTATTTCAATTTTTTTTGTTGTTTGTTTTTTGAGGTGGGATCTTGCTGTGTTGCCAGTCTGGACTCACACTCCTGGGCTCCAGTGATTCCCTCCCATCCCAGCCTCCCAAATACCTGGGACTACAGTTTCAAATAATTTTAATACAATTAGGCTATTTTGTCATATTTTGTATTTCATCCTGAAATCCCCCAGCCTCTTTATTGATTTTTTAAGTTTACATATGTAAGGATTCAGTCACCACACTGGAAAATTGTATGGACTTTAACAAATGCATAGCATCACATATCCACCATTAGAGTATCATATAGAATAGTTTCACCAGACTAAAATACAGCCTGTCCTTCACTATCCAAACCTTCCCCTTCCCTCTGAACCTTTGGCAACCACTGATCTTTTTACCATCTCTATAGCTTTACCTTTTCCAGAATGTCACATAATTGGAATTAGAAAGTGTGTGGTCTTTTAGACTGGCTTCTTTTACTCAGCAGTGTGCATTAAAGGTTCATTTATACATTTTCATGGTTTGGTAGCTCAAATTGTTTTTATCACTGAATAGTATTTCATTGTATGAAGGTACCATGGCTTGTTTATCTGTTTAACTATAGAAGCACAGCTTGTGTGCTTCCAGTTCTTTGTAATTATAAATAAAGCTGCTATAAACATTTGCATGCAGACATTTTTTGTGGAAATAAGTTTTCAAACCTATTGGGTAAATATCTGGGAGTTCAATTCCTGGGTCATATAATAAAAATACATTTAGCTTTATAAGAAGCTGTCAAACTGTCTTCCAAATATTACAGTCAAGCTACATCCCAAAATTGCAATACAATTTTGTGTTTTGATCAGCAATGAATGAGAGTTCCTGTTGCTTTGCATCCTAATCAGTAATTGGTATTGTTAGATTTTGGTGGATTTTAGGCATTCTTATGTGTATTGTGGTATCTTCTAGTTGTTTAAATGTTCAATCATGAATGACAAATGATGTTAAGCATCTTTACATATGTTTATGTGTTATCAGTACATCTTCTATGATTAGGTATCAGATCTTTTGGCCATCTTTAAATTGCTTTTTACTGTTGAGTTCTAAGAATTCTTTGTATATGTTGCATACAAGTTCTTTATCAGATATATATTCAGCATATATATCTCAGTATACGGCTTATCTTTTCATTCTTTTAATAGTGCTTTCACTGAGAAGTTTTTAATTACAATAAGGTTCAAGCTGTCAATTTTTTCTTTCGCAAAGTGTGCCTCTATATGACCCAAGGTCACATAGATTTTCTCCTGTGGTTTTTTTCTAGAAGTTTTGTAGTTTTGCATTTTAAATTTATGTCTATGGTCTGTTTTGAATTACTGCTGTGAAAGGTGTAAGTTTTATGTCTACATACATATGTTGCATATGAATGACCAACTGTTCCAGCATCATTTGTTGAAAAGGCTATACTTTCTCCATTGAATTGCCTTTGTTCCTTTGTCAAAAATCAGCTGACTATATTTGTGCAGGGCTGTTTCTTAGTTCTCTTTTTTGCACCATTGATCTATGTGTCTATATTTGCTTTTTTTAACCAATACCATGGTGTATTGAATACTACAGCCTAATAGTAAGTCTTAAAATCAGGTAATGTGAGCCCTTCAGTTTTGTTTCTCAGTATTATGTTGGATATTCTAGGTATTGGACTTTCTATAAAAATTTTAGAGCCAGTTTGCAATATCTGCGAAGTAGCCTGCTTGAATTTAAATTGGTATTGCATTGACTCTGTTGATCAAGTTAGGAATAAATGACATTTTAACAATATTGAGTTTTCCAATTCACAAACATGCACTGGCTCTCCATTTATTTAGATTTTTTTTTGTTTTCTTTCATCAGTGTCTTGTAGTTTTTCACATATAGATCATGTACATATTTTATAAGATTTATACTTAAATATTTCAATATTTTTTGGTGCCATTGTAAAACTGGATGTTTCAGATTTCAAATTCCAGTTGTTCTTTACTGGTATACAGGAAACAAATGAACTTACTAACCTTGTATCCTGAGACCTTGCCATACTCACTTATTCATTCCAGGAGTTTTTATTGTTCTTTGTATTGATTCTTTGGGATTTTTCTACTTATTCAATAATGTAATATTTATTAATTAAATGAATATTTATTAATTACTCTTTATGTAATCAGTTTTATTTCTTCCTTTCTAATATGAACACCATTGATTTTGTTTTCTTGTCTTATTGAACTAGCTAGAACTTCCAATATAAATCTTTTTCATTTTGATCAAAACATATAATGCCAATCTTTCACTGTTAGGCCAAGATATGTTTCCCTCAGAATGGGTGTTATGTGTTATATTTCTTGCAGAAACCACACTTACTCTAAGATTTTTCAGCACCAATTATTTTAAGCACCCCCAAAATGGACACACTTGAAAAGAAATCTAGGTGCAGAATGTGCTTAAAATTTTAGGACTTTTTTTTTTTTTTGCCTTTTTATGTTTCAAATGCGTTGGTCATGCTAATTTCCCCAGCTATTTAAAAAAGTAGCTTTTACTTAATCTTTCAAAAGTGTTTAACTGAATTTTTATGAAAGAAAATCTCTTGCTCTTGGGAAACAATTTTTATCAATCCACAATAATAATTAATTAAATTACAGTATCACAATAACAAGTGGAGGTGGCATAAATACGTTGGATACAAAAGAACACTGATATAATAATAGCAACTCTATTGGCAGAAGCAGAAGTTTTCGCTCATGGCCTCAAACTCTCAGTGTTCCACAAGACTAGTTAGTATATCTGACAGGGGAATCAAAGCCACTAGTTAGGCTGGCAAATCAGTTAAGTGGACTAAGAGGTAATTTATTGTATTAAATTATAGCCTTAATTTTGGACCAATGAAGGAATGAAGCAATATTCAGTGGGTATGTGACTTACTCATTCTAATAACTAACTAAACTCTTACTCTAAGCAAAGTAACATAACACTGTCTTTTTTATTTTGTGGAAATGTGACCATCTATACAATCTGAAGTAGTATGTCTTTAATAAAAAAGATTTAAAATAGGTTTAAATCTATCACAATGCAAGGCTACCTGAGAAAGGAAGCCAGCAGTTTATAAGAATTGTATTGAACACTTTACATAGAGATTTCCATTAATTTAAGCATACTATAAAGTTCTTCAGGGCAAGAAATATGCTTCCCATTTCCTCATATTTCCTACAACAATGGCCTTGTAATGGTAGGAAATGTTGGCTAGGCTGAACTACATTTCTCAGAATTTCCTTCTATGCTGGGTTAGATGGGCCATGAGAGAGATTCTTCTGAGATGTAGAAGGCGTAAGGAAGAAGACACACATGTGCTGCTGCCGATCTGCTGCATGAACATGAAGCAGCAGCAGGCCTATAATGATTCCACCTTCCCTTGGGTCCTCCTCCACTTTCTCTGACATCTGGGTCAGGTGTGTGTGTAACTCTCTGAAGAAGGGCCCTAGCTTCAGCAGGATACCCTTGTAACCAAGGTCAGAGTTAACCAGAGCTGACCTAGGTTTCTGTCCGTCCTTGTGGCATTCCCGTTTATGCTTGTCAGTTCTTGCCTGCTTGTGATCTCCCCTTCCTGACTGCCTGCCCTGTGGAATTCATGCTGCAGCATGAGACACAGAGAAAACAGGCTTACAGAGACTGATTACCCAGCCTCTAAATTGTGTAAGGCCAACCATCCCCATAATAAATCTATTTATGTGTATGCACACACAGATAAAAATACCTCACTCTCTTATATATGTGTGTGTGTGCATGTGTGTATGTATGTGTATGTATGTATATGTGTGTGTTTCTTTATCTATCTATCTATCTATCTATCTATCTATCTATCTATCTATCTATCTATCTCCCACTGGTTCCACTTGCTTGGTTGAACCCTGACTGATACATACCTTAATGAATTTTCTACCAAAGTCACGTTCCTGAGGGATGGGAATGCTGGCATGAAAAGCATTGTTAAGATGTGGCTTTCAACAAGCTCTGAGAATGAGAGATGGGGAAGCACAAGGATGAATGAACCAAAGACGAACATGTTAAGACTCTCAAATAGACTCATGTTTTTAGAGAAATTTCTATCATCTTCTAAATCCACAGACTAAATCTCATAAAAGGCCAAAACCCTTTTATGATAGAAACTCAAGAAAAATGAAAAATCATCACTGGATGATACTGCACCTCTTTTGACAAAGCTGATTGCTGATTTTAAATATTATTTCCTAGGGTCTATCTATAATACTATTAAATAGTATTACTGAGGATCTACCCAGGATCCTAGGACACCTCTGCCTGAATTCTGCTCTGGCACCAAGGATCACATTCCTCCATTCTTGAGAAAATTCTGCAGAATCACAGAATTTTAAGTCTAAGCATAACTGAAAGTTCATATTCTATCTCCTTATTTACAGGGAAGTAATTGAGCTTTCATGACATTTTGACTTGCTCAAGGTCATCTAACTAATGGACAGGAAGAACCAAGACTAAAGTTCAATTTCCTGCTCCCAAGCCAGTGTTCCACTCACAATAGTGTTTCTCTTCATGCCTCATGTCTCCACCTGCTCCCACCATGGGACTTCCTGATGAAACATACCCTGCTTAACCATCATATGTCTTTAGTTTGTCAAGTTATATGCTTGCATTTGCAAATTTCCAGCTCTCAAAATTGAAAGACTCACAATTAGAGACTGTGGCCTGGTGGATCTTGTCCCTGACTGGTTGACCATGTCTGGAGAAATCTGATGTCATCAGAATGTACTTAACACCAGTTGTACCTCACCAAAAACACCAGCAAAAAGTTTGCTCACAAGTGGTCCCAAGCCACTCCAATCTTCTGAAAAATGAGAGACAGCTGGTTGAATCTCTATATCACAATATGCTTATGTCATGAAAGTGTTTCCTCTGGATACCTTGACAGATATAAAACTTATCATCTCAGGTCCTGAGGCAATTTTGCAGCCACCCACCCCAGTTATAAAGCAATTTGTGACCAGGTATGCTGGGGGAGTAATAGATTGACATTTGAACACTCTTTTTAACTTCTTTTGAACTTCAAAAGACTCTGGTGCATCATTTTTCCAGACATTAAAAGAAATTTCTTTCCTTTTTTCAATTTTTTTAACCAATACATCTTTTGCACAATGATTCACAACTGCCCTTGATAGTGGGTGTTTTTATTAAGGTGGCACATTTCAAAAAATGTTTTAGTATCCTTTATGAAGGCAATGTGATATTTCAAATAGCAAAAGCTTACAACAGTGGCTTAAAGAGGCATGGATTCAAGAAACAAGAAGTCATGAAGCAAGCAGGCTAGTGGTGGCACAGAGGGTCCACAATGCCCTCTGTGCCACCAGGCTTTGCCCATCACTATTCTCTGCTCTTGGTCTATGCTTGGTCCAAGAGAGAGGTAGCTCTTGGTCCATGCTTGCTCCCTCATGTTCACAGGATGGCTGCTGCACCCCCTAGCTACAAGTCTACATTCCAGGTGGGAAGGTGGGAAATGGGCAGAGTACCAAGGACAGAAAGATTGCCAGCCCACTTTACCCTTATTCTAATTTTTTTTTTTTAAAGAGGATTTCCCAGAAATAATGCTCAGCAAATTTCCACTTGTATATCACGAGCCACACCTATCTTATTAGTCATCCTGGAATTTTACAAAAGACAAAGCGGGTATGGATAGAGATTGTGACAACCACTGCCACAGGCTCCTATGCCACCTTTTTTTTTTTTTTTTTTGAGACGGAGTCTTGCTCTGTGGTCCAGGCTGGAGTGCAGTAGCGCAATCTCGGCTCACTGCAACCTCCGCCTCCCAGGTTCACGCCATTCTCCTGCCTCAGCCTCCCGCTTAGCTGGGACTATAGGCACCTGCCACCACGCCCGGCTAATTTTTTGTATTTTTAATAGAGATGGGATTTCACCATGTTAGCCAGGATGGACTTGATCTCCTGACCTTGTGATCCGCCCGCCTCGGCCTCCCAAAGTGCTGAGATTACAGGCATGTGCCACAGAGCCCGGCCGCCACCCTTTTTCTATAAAGTGTTTAAGAATCATTCTGAATAAGGCTTCAAATTCAAAACCTACTTCTAGAAATTTTATTTTAAATAAAAAAATTAAAACTTATTAAATTCATTCATCCCAAAGAAGTGGGAAAATTAACAAACCCAACTCTACATCAGACAAATGTCCATATATACAGGGTGACAGAACAATAAGATAAATAGGCTACCTCCCGCCAACTACTAATGAGCAATAAGACACTCATCTGCAAACCGTCTCCATTGCTCCCTGTTGTATACCGAGTCTGTCCCCATGCTCAACATCTGCTTAACTTTTGAGATCTCTCAGCCTGACGCTTTGAAACAACAACAACAAAAACCCCACAGGTTAGAAACATGCTTCCTAACAGCAAAATTCTGGGAAGATATATATAGAACAGAGAAAACCATACCTCATCCATTGCACGGAGGTCCCTGCTTTGGAGCAAAAATGCTGTCAGGGTCCTGAATAAATCATCTATCATCAAAAATCATAACGTGTGTAGAGGATTTTCTAAAACTAAGTAGAACTAGCTCCCTTTAGGCTAGTGTTTCTCCAAGTGTCATCTCATCTCAAAAACTGCATTAAAAGTCCTTAGATGAGGCTTAAAAATTAAAATCAGGTTCCTGGCGGTTCCTGGCACCACCTTAAACCCATGGTATCTATCTCCCAGGCAGAAACCCAAGAACTTGCATTTTTAGAAACTATCCCAGATCACTGCATACTAAAAGTTGTGAACTGCTTTCTTAGATTAAAATACCAGACTCATGGACGGAGTGGACAGGCTGGCAGAGTTCCCAGTCAAACCAGGTGTGGACTCTCTGTCTGAAGTCAAATGCTGGTGGGAGAACAATCATTTCAACTCCAGATAGAAAGTGAGCTCAGAGGAAAGGCTTGAGCTCCCTTGGCCAAGCAAACATCCCTGGCAAGAGCAGGCACCTGATTAAACCCAGGGTCTGCACGTATACTCCTCCAACTGATGAATAACCCTGCCAGGTAAGCATCTATCTTATAGGGATTTTCAGGGTGCCAGAGTTTGCTGTGCCTGAAGCTCAGCAAGCCATAAAGATCCAAAGATTTTGTTGAAACCTATTGCCACCATCTGCCCCCACCCTCATCTTCACTTGAGCATATCCAGTCCACCTCAAGTCTCCCCTACCTGAGCTCTGCCTAATAACAAATTCTTTCACCAGCGCATTCTCTGAAGGGTCCCATTGCTAACCCCTACATCAAATGTTTCGTCTGATTGATGTCATCTGATCTCATGAATCACCAATGGCTGCCAACTACTCTAGCAATGGGGCAAATCTGATGACCATTTCCCCGGTCAGGTCCCCAATAGTCAGGGGCCAGGACATACTCCTAGTCACATTTATGCATCAGAGCTTTTCAATGTCATTTGGCTACATTTCTTTATGGGTTTGAAATTTCTTTGACTTACTAATGCATCTGCTGTGCCTCCTGTTGGTTTCAAGAAAGAAGCTGAAGTATGTTCTGTTGCACAGAAAAAAGTGCTATTCTGAGAGATGATGTAGAAAATCCAAAAGGGGTTTCCTGTGCCACTTGAAGCTAAGAAAGGAGCCACTTGAAGCTAATAAAGCTGGTTTGGGCTTTAGTACCCAAGTACACCTTCTCCCACCCCCAAAGTTCACTAAAATAAAGTTGGGAAAGTGGTTTTTCTGGCCCCTCGCAGATGTAAGAATATTTAACTTTCAAAGATTCTGGTTGAAGTACATATCTAAAGCAAAATATGTTTTATCTTATGCGTCCAAAAGGCAGGCATCTAAAGCTAACCATTTAAAGTACTGATCAGTGTTCAGGGAGGATGTCCAGGGAGTAATGCTAAACACACAAAAACATCATATTTCAAAGAGTATAGAGTCACAAAGGCAGAAGTCTTAGATTACGCTGGTTAAAACCGAGTAGCATAAGCATGACTGAAACTTAGATAAGTTTGTGGGTTCTCAGAGAAAGAGCTTAGCAGGAATTTCTGTTGGAAAATATACTAAGCAGATTCAGAACTGAATGTGAGTGAGGGAGAAAGGAGCAGGTGTGAGGACAAAAATCACAGGTTTTGTTTCTGTTATGACACTTCTAGCTTGTCCCTGATATATCTGGAGATGAGAGGTCAAAATACACTTTATTACATTATCAACAGTGGTCAACTTGAGGTCATAGGCATCCACATTTGTTCTTTCTCCAGATTTTGCACCAATACTAGCACATCACTTGCCATGGTTCAGACATTACCCAGAAGCTCTAGCATCCCAAAATTCTTAATAAAAATTCTTAATAAAAATATTCAAAGCTCTCATTAATAGCATTCAAAGATCACAGCCCTTGCCCACTGCTAGCACTAATATAATACTGCAGGCATTTCATTTAATAATATCTTGGGCACAGTTGTTTTGGTTCCACCTCATTTCAATATAAATCCAAATAAAAACAAAATAAAATATTATGGAAGGAATTTGCTTAATGACTTGGTCACATGCCTTCACCATATCAATTCTGGTCTACTAACTAAATGTGGTACAAAAGATGAGAAGGGTTTATTACACCCTAATATTTTTCTTGTTCAAAACCCAGAAGTCAAGTTGTTCCTGGATGAAAATGCAAATCTCTTCTCTGACAGCCTAAGATGGGATGTTGTGGATGACAGCCTAAGATAGGATGCCTTCATCAAATGGAGACAGTGGGCTGTGTCTGGCTTAAACCAGAACAGTATGCAGATGACACTCTTCAACTGAAAGTAGATCTGTCCCCTTTATCTACTGGAAACAAGCTTGCTTAGTATAATGAGAAGAGGAGCTATTCCATACAGACCAAGCTTGGCTCCTTAAGCCAGACCACACCTATGTATTAATATATGCACAATTATGTTTCATTGTATCTACTTTCATATACAGGAGAGCGTATTACGAATAAGTTACAGTGCTTATAAGCAGGTGAAGTGATGACTGCTAAAATCATATCTGGTCTTTCAAAAACTTTAAATCATGAAATAATCACTTTAATTAAGACTAAAATAAAAATCTGATACAGGATGATTGGAATTGGAAAAGACAGTAAGATAGTAAATTAAGTTATACTAAGAAAGTGTCCTTAGCATATAAATATCAGCAAATTAAACCTATTACCTCATCAGAAAAATCATAAATCAATGAAGTAAGGAGATCAATGGAGGAAAGCACTAAAATAACAGAATAAACACAAAATCAGAAATTTTGATCATAAATTTTAAATTATTGACTGCCTAAATTCTTATTTTCATATTTTTCTATCAAAGAACTGAATCTAAACTTTAGAAATAATATTTTTCCTATATTAATTAATTATTCCTCTAATTATAAAAATACATTAAAAAATACTGCATAGCATATTGTAGTGAGAACAAGTGAGTCTGTAATAAATATTACAAAGTCTTAAAATGTGGATGTTGTTGACTGAATATCAAACTTTTCTGGCTATATGTATTTACTTCCAAAGGGCAAACAATGGAATCAACCAGTTCTCTGGCTACTGAGCATATCCTTTCTTTGTCCTAGTAGAGAAAACAGTTAAGCTTGAGAGAATCAGGTAGAGAAAGTAACAGTCTATTTTAGTAGAGTGCTTTAACTGAAGTGTAGAAGTCTTGTCCCAAAGGATCTTTATGACCATACTGTAAGGAAAGGAAATAAACTCAGAGCTTCAAAACAAAGGGGTTTCGAGCACACTTTGAAGGAAATCAGTGACACTGAACCAGCAGACTGAGGGATTAGATGGAATATGCCACCCCAAAGTTTTTCCCTGCAATCTGTTACAGGTAGTTTTCCAGGGGCTCTGAAGCATAACCTGTCAAGGGAGTTACTGAGTGATTTCTCTCAATAGTTCATTCATTCATCCATTCAAGCATTTATCTGATGCTTACTATGAGGATGGCTGTGATATTGCAGAGACTGACATCCACATTCTTTGTGTTCATAGATTTCACTTGAGCTAAGTGAAATACACAAAGATGTGCACCCACAACTACAATACCATGAGATAAATGCTACAGAGGAGTTATGCACTTAGTGTGCACCAGACCACAGAGAAACACTTAACATACCTTTGAGGAGAGGTCTGCAAATGCTGTAAAACCCTCTCATGACCTAAGGCATTCCCCTTCCTGAGTAACTGGCAGTCTTTCCCTTTGTGCTGGCTTATATTCCACCCTCCAAAAGAATCATGAACTCACAAAGCCAAAGGATACTTAAGAGAAAATCTGATCCAGGGGTCTCCAAACCTGGCTGGGCCCCAGTATCACCTGGTGCTTTGGTTCCAGCCCAGAGACACTGATGTAGCATGCCTAAATGTTCTGAAAATGCTTTCTTGCTATGGCCATTGTAGCTGGCCCATGGACCAGCATTTGGGAATCACTGAATCCAATCATCTCAATTTGCAGAAAGAAGAATTTAGAGGAAATTAACATCCACAGAATTAAAATGACTTCAGCAAATTAGTGTTATAGGCACATTAGGACAGCAATGGTGAAACATCTGGCAAAGGAATTTTTAGCGCAAATATTTTCAAAAAATGTTCCCAAGGTTTCTGATATAAATCATATATAATAGGACTATCTATCTATCTATCTATGATGGTCACAAATTATATAACTGGTAAGAAAACCTCAAGAAAATGAAGTTTAGTAATGTTACTTGTTGCAATGAACTACAAATTAGCTTTGCTCTTCCCAGTAGGAAAGTTATAAATGAAAACACTGAATTGAAACTCTCATTCTTAAAAATACCTGATTTATCAGGAAGAAATAATTTGCCCCTAGAAATATTTTCTAAGGAAAAGCTTAGCATAGTGCCATGCCTACTGTAGACACTTAAACTATTGAGTGGATGTATAAGAATATGAATGCAAGTATTAACAAAACATGTTTTTCTATGGCCATTTCCTATATTAACCTTTGATAGAAGCTAAGAATACATTGATAAAGAAGGGCTTGACTTATTTAGGGATGTGTACAGAGAATGGTAGTAGCATAATTAGGTCTATAACTTCCAAGGCAAAGACAAGCAAATGAAAAATGCAGCCTTTCATGCAGTGAGAAAGTTCAGTAAGAGAGTGTTATTTGTGTGCCTGCATGTGTTTATGTATAAAGACAGGCACAGGAATGTGCTGGCCTGTGCAGGGTGCTCCAACACACTCACTGTGAAGGGTACAGAAGCCTATGTGCAGGTTCATTCTCCATATATATAAAGGGATTGAGCAGCAGCCCAGCTGTGTTCCACTGTGGTTCTCAGACCTGATCACAATAAGTAAGGTCAATATTTATGCATAGTTAAAATTTTGTGAAAATATATTTCAAATTTTAACACCACCAGGGATTCTGTTTACGTTTCTATTACCATGTTTATCTCTGGAGGTTAACATGCAACTCTCATAGGGTACCTTCACAGATACATTTTTTAAAAACTAAGAATTACCTTAAAGAAAAAACTTAACTAAAAATGCATTCCAATATAGAATAAAATGATTCATGCCATTTATAAAAATAGAGTAACTCACAGTTTACATTTCAGTAAACTTGAAAATCTCCAATTTTTCAATAAAAAGGGAATGCAACCTAGCTCCTAAGAGTGGAATGTAATAGCTGTAAGCTGTTTTTTATCTCAAAAACACTGAATCAAATTTTACACTCACAATCACTGCATTTGTTTTCATACCAAAAATATAACCTGGGTTTGTGATAAACTCTTTGAAGAGTGTAATCCTACTATATTTTAATTGTAACAAATTTGCATGTCAAGTGTGATGTAGTTCACGTTTTTATTAACCAACCAATATTTGTGATTGCCAATTTCAATTTTATTTGCTGTCTTCTACAAGGTAATTTTTCTCTCATTACTTCATTTTAAAATATGGAAATTAGAAGGCTTTACTAAAACTTTCAGAGCCAGCCCTAACAACTGATAATATCTGAACCTGACACAAAACGAAATGTGTGACAGTGTCTAGTAGGAAAGGAAATCTTGTCCAGGCAAGGAATATCAGGGGGAACATTCATCATTTATTACCCTCAAAAAGGAAAATTTGTCCAACAGAGATGTGTGCACTGGGCACAGTGCCTGACAGAGTTGGCACTCAAAGATATTGGTTGAACTGAATAAAACCAAAGGAAATTTGCCTGAATTAGAAGAACTAAAATGTTGAGAAAGAAACTAGATCTAAGCAAAATGCTGACCCCGCTTCCTAACAGTTCAAAGACAAAGCATTTAGTTGAGAGAGGCTGAAGCAGTCACTTGGTTCAGCTTCTCGCATAGCCAGAAATCACCTATGGCAGGTTTCTCACCCACTCCAGGTCTCAACTGGGCTGTTTTTGCTCCCCAGGGGACATTTGTCAATGTCTGGAGACTTTTTTTGGTTGTACAAGTGGGAGAAGGTGCTACTCGCATCTGGGTAGGAGCCAGATGTGTTATTAAGCATCCTACAATGCACAGGATGGCTCCCAACAACGAGAAACTATTTGGCTCAAAATGACAACAGTTCTGAGGTTGGTACACCCTGCCCTACAGCATGATCCAGCAGATGGCCTCTGCTTTCCCACTTCCAGAAGTCAACTCATGGCCACAGGAGCATGACTTTACCACTGCTGGACAGCTCTCCCTGCTGAAAAGACCACCTTCATTTTGAAATTTACGGAGTAATAAACATTTATCAAAAGCACTATGAAAAAAGAAGCATATTTTGAGGTCAAATACAAAACACAAAATATACATTAAGGTCAAAATGCTTTTTCCACATGCTAATTTTAAATTTATTTTCTAATTTATTTAAATTGTAGAAGAAATGAAAGCACAAAGTAAACAAAGATGCATACTGATTTTTGTTGATTGTGTCATTTTTAATTCTTCCAGTATTTGGTAACTTTTAAGACTTTGCATCTATTTCTTAATTTATTAATATTAGATGGCTTCTATTAACTTCTTACTATGTAAGATAAGGAACCTGGCATGCTTGCCCACTTTTACCTCTTGTATTACCTTCACCTCCAAATTTTTATGATTTTAGTTCATCAATATTTATTATATTATACTCTGTTCTTAAGCAATATCTAAATCTTTCATGCTTTGAATATAAATCCATTTCAAAAACAGCAAAATAATAAATAGCACTTATGAAGCTGATATAACGTCAGTGGAACCCTTCAGTGGAACCCCCTATAGAGTCACAGTGTGGCCTGACCACAGAAGGAAATGGAACCCCATGCTTTCCCAGGAGCAGAGACTGAGTCACACTCAGACTGGAGTGCAACTGTGTGCCTCATCATCCCTTTGCTCTATCTCTCTCTTGCTTTGCAGCACCTCTTTGAGGATTTCCCCAAATGGAGAGAGCAGTAGCTCCCCTGAGACCCTTGCATGCCCCCAAATACCATTTTTTTTATTTTAAGTTCTGAGATACATGTGCAGAACATGCAGGTTTGTTACATAGGTATACATGTGCCATGGTGGTTTGCTGCACCTAATCATTTTTACCTTCTCTATTTTTTTCCTCTTCTGTCCTTCATATTTGATTGATAATTTGACTATTGATTCAATATCTCCTACCCTACAAACTGTAAAGATATTATTTTGTTGTTAATAAGATAAAACGTTTTTTTCCTAAGTAATCTATCTTGTTTTTCTGAAAGCTTTTAGAATTTTCTGATTTTTCATTTGAGCATGGAAATTTCACCAATTTGTTATTTTTAAGTCAGGCTATTCAACACTGTGTCTTTGACCATGTCCTTCCTCTCATTGCCTCTGTCCTCTTTTTCTGGAGCTCTTCACTGGATTTTCTGGATTTATCCTCTGTGTCTCTTCACACTTCTCTCATATTTTCCATTTTGGTTTTTTTGCTCTCTTCCATGGGAGATTTCCATGGCTATACCTTGTAGTTCACCAGTATGTTCTTTATTATCTCTATTATTTTCAGCCTTCTCCTTAACTTTTTATTTTGTCAGTTATAAATTTCGTTTCTAATAATTATTTATTGTTCCCCAGTTGATCTTTCTTCATAGCAACCTGTTCTTATTTTCAGGATACAATATCTTTTTGACTCTCTGAGAATACTAATTGGGCATTTTAAAAATTATAATTAGTTCTTTGTATTATTGCTTGCCTCCAAGGTAAGTTGTTCTGTTTTCTCTTTGTCCTTTTTTTCCTGATGATTTCTCTTAAGTGTCTGGTGATCTCTGGTTATCTATGACTATTTATGAGTGGAGATCATGTGGATTAATATGAACAGCTGGAATGGGTCTTCTCTGTAGTTGTTTGGGTCTCTTTCTCTAATAGAGCTCCTTCTTTAGTGAGAGTGCTAACCACAAGTTTTCTAAGGGGAATATCTATTGTGGATTCCCTAGGATATGCAGAACTCTTCATCAAAGTGCCCTGCCCTTCTCAAGCTAAGGCGTATGACCCAAACCAACCAGGCTTTCTCAACCAGAACACAGCATCTTAAATGAAGTGAAGCAAGGATTGTAGAGACAGGGAAAAAATGGTTGGCATTTATTCATTATCTTGGCTAATTGACAATTTCCTGACACACAAACCCTGGATTCTGTTCTAGACATGCCTGGTTCATACCCTTTCTGTGAGCTGCCCCATTTTAATAATTTCTTCTCTGCTTAAGTTAGTCAGAATCAGTTTCTGTTGCTTGTGCACAAAGACCCTAAGTTAATACAGATGGAAAGGAAACTGTCATTTGTTAAGCTAATGTTATGGGCCAGGTATTTTACATTTTTTGTAAGTAATTAGCAAAGCCCTCTGAGATAGCTAATAACTACCATTATTTTATAAGGAAAGAAACAGATTTAGTAGATTTATTAGCTTGTCCAAGATGCCAGAGGAAGTACCAGAATCCAAGTCAGCCTGACATCAAAACCTACGCTTTTCCCTCCACTCTGAAATATTCATGGAGCATTGAACATACAGGCCCCGTCGCAGTTAAGAGTATGTGATAAATATTGGAGGAGAGATTTAAGTCTGGGAAAGCCAGGAATAAGAATTTAGACTCACTGTGTTCAGAAAAAGAGAATCGCAATCTCACTCTTAATAGTGTAGTGGTATAGTAAATCAAAGGAGAATTTAAGAAAGATGATTCTGTGATATGTGGGATGAATTAAAAAGGCTCATGTTGGAATAAGATACACCAGTGAGGAGGCTGTGATAGTGATGACATGGCTGGGGATGGAGAGGAAGAGAGTTTACAATGGGACTTGGAAGGAAATTTCATAGGATTGTGTGACTGAATGGTTATTATAGGGGATGAGGAAAGATGAGCCAAAAATGACTACAAGATTTCCAGTTGCAATGAAGGAAGCTGAAAGAATGCATGCACTTGCCTCCCTCCAAAAATCCCAGTGAAAAGAACTAGAAATGCAAAAACAAGAATAAATGCATAAGAGTGCTAGAAAGAGAAAAGGATGCCAAAAGAGTCCATAAAATCAGAATCCCCAGAAGACACAAAGAAGAGTAAATCAAAATAATGGAAAAGTCAAGCATGCTGAGCAGGCTGTAACCAAACAAAGGCAAAGGAGAACCACACGCAGGCAGGACACTGAAGTTTTTTCCCCATGTGCACCCAATTCCCACCACCCAGCTTAGTGCAGCAGGATTTAGGCGTGAAACTGGCACCAAGGCAGCTACCAGGAGGCTCCCCTGAGCACAAAGCTCGTGGGGTTTTGGATGCTCACCCCTTACCCTGAGGCTCCATTCAGTTTGGACCTCTTAGTAACTTATCTATGAAATTTGCCCCTCAAGTCTTCTATTTATGCTGTTAAACATAGAAAGAAAATGAAGGCACTCCCCTAGCTACCATTCTTACAAAACAATTAATATAATACAAACTCGAGGGCAAAACAGGGCGCAAATTCACAGTGTGCAGTAAGTTTTTAAAAATTAAGGTTATAGTATATATAATTTTATGTGAAACAAATTTAAGGATACAGAAACATGCATAATTTTAAAGTTAATAAAAGGGATTCAATAAGGGTTGGTTGAGGAAAAAACCTGAGTGGTAAGTAGTCATAAAGGAAATAAAAAGTTTATAAAAGACTTCTTTTCCCAAAACAAAAAGGCCCAAATGGATTAGAATGATTCCCAACAAACTGCCAAAGAAAAAGCAATTCTCAAATATTTTAACTCTTTCCAGAAGTGAGGGGGAAAACATAGAAGTCTTTTTAATTCTAATCCCACCATAATCTTTATACAAAAATCTGGCATGTTTCACTTTAGTTATATTTCATTTATGAATATAGCCAGTGTATCTAAATAAAATGCTAAAAACACATACATAAAATAAAAATAAAAATTAACAAATAATAAACTTCATACTTAGTAAAGTTTATGTTAAAGTTGGAAACATGAGAACATGCTTAATTTCAGAATTATTCAATAATATTTTGAAGATTCTATACAGTTCTCTAGGAGAGTAAATTTTAATATGAGACATAATGTTCAATAAAAAGAGTCAAATATAAGATTATTTGCAGATGATATGATTGTCTAGACATAAAATCCAGGGGAATCAAATAAAAAATATTACAACTAATAACTGAGTTCAGAAATAGAACAGATACAAACATAAACATACAAAAATAAATAGTTTTCCTTACATTCCAGCAAAAATGAATTTTAAAATGTCAGCCATAAAAAAGATATCCATAACAACCTAATAATGTACCAGATATTCAGGAATAATAAAGAACAATTGTGCGTGAGCAATATTAAAAAGAAACTATAAAATTTAAAGGCTGTAAAAAACTGAAACACAGGAAATTACTTAAAAAGGCAATTCACAAAATAAGAAATACAAATGGTTATTAAATGTGAAAACATGCTTTATATACCTGATAAGTAATACAGTATACAATACATGTTAAAAACAATGAAGTACTTTCCTTTAATAGATTGTCAAAAATTTTTTTTTAAATACCAGTATTCAGGTAGTGTGATACAGGCATGCACATACAATGTAATACCTTATATTGGTACAATCATTTCAGAAAACATTTATAATTATCAAAATTCAATATATACATTCTCAATTGAACCAACATTTTCAATTCTAGGAATTTGTGTTACAGGTATACTTACAACTATATTAAAGAATTCAAAACAATTTAAATATTAATTAGAAAGATTAAATATATTATGGCATATCAATGCCATGAAATACAGTGAATCTTTAAAAATATAAGTTGCTCTATCAAAGTAGCCAAAATATGCTATTGCATTAAAAAAGCTTGTTACAGAACATGGTACTGTGCATGATATAATTATTATAAAAGCATACATATCCATAATATCTGGAAAGACATACGTTAAACTATTAATAATGCCCTGAGTATAAGGTATGAGGTGGCAGAAAGCAGGCAGGGGTGAGGATGGCTACTTAAAGAAATTCTGAGTAGTACTAAAAAAAAAAAAAATTAAACAGAAATCTTAGATGGAGTTCCCCAGAAGGACAGGCTGAAGCAAGTATTTGAGGGCTATTGATTTAAAACAGAAGCACTTCCGGGGAAGCCTTGCTAAGGGAGCAGGGCAGCTGGTGAAAGAATGGGAAAAAAGTCATGGAAGTGCGTGATCTCAGGCAAAGTCTTGCAGAGGGTAGCTTCAGCCTGCTCCTGCAGGGAAGACCGAGATTATCTGTTTCACCTCAGTTATATCTGGGAGCTGTCCAGAGTCGGGGCAAGGCAGCTGGGCTTTCATACTCTGACATCTGTCAGTCACTAGTCAAGAGCTTTCCAGAGGAAGTGAATGGCACCTGTGGCTCTGAGTGCATTCTGGCAAAGTGCCTCCCCAAAAGAAATCTGGGTGGAGAACCAATAACATCCACTACAATATTACTTTTATAATAAAATACATATTTTCATTAAAAGAAAGAAAAAGAGAGCAAAAGCCATGTGCTACTAGTAAAGTAAAATTATATATTAATGCTCTCAAATTCTACACAAGTCTGGGCACCTACTAGACAGGTTCCCTCACCCACCTGCTTGTCCTCATATTCCTACCTGTCCACTAGAAAACCAGGGTTTAGCAGCCCGTGAACCCACACTTTCTCTCTCCTTTTTATCTTTTCCATCTGGAGTGGTATAGGTGAGATCCTGAAAAGTTAGAGGAACTCTCAAAACCTCTGCTGATCCTAACTGGAGCCACATTACTTGGCTACTAACTTAACATGAAAATGGCATTAAAGCTGAGACCCTTGGCAACTGGCCTCCATGAGGTTAAATTTTATTATTTATTTATTTAGAGACAGAGTTGCACTCTTATTGCCCAAGCTGGAGTGCAATGGCACGATCTTGGCTCAACACAACCTCTGCCTCTTGGATTCAAGCAATTCTCCTGCCTCAGCCTCCCAGGTAGCTGGGATTACAGGCATGCGCCACCACGCCTGGCTAATTTTGTATTTTTTAGTAGAGACGGGGTTTCTCCATGTTGGTCAAGCTGGTCTCGAACTCCCGACCTCAGGTGATCTCCCCACCTCGACCTCTCAAAGTGCTGGGACTACAGGGGTGAGCCACCGCGCCCGGCCCATGAGGTTAAATTCTAAATAGAACTCCAGATTAAAGAAATGCCCCAAGAATTCATTTGTTCTATTCAACTTATTTGACTTTATGGCAAAGCTAAGATGAATGAATTAAGGTTTCTAGCTCAGTGGTCACTGAGCAGAGTGGGATGTTTCCTAGAAATGTCCCTCAAGTCCATCACTCTGGGTGTCAGTGATGAGTACCTAGAAAGACAGCACTCATCATCAAAGTGGATGATTCGAATTTACAATCTGTGCAGTCTACAGTCTGTCTCTGAAACCTGTGGTGTGCTTTTGTTGCTTCACCTGTAAAATGGATGCAATAACTATCATTCTACTTACTTTTCAGAGCTGATGCACAGATTAACCACGAAAGAATTTTGCAAACCATGTAGTGCTTTACATCCTGTCACTTGTCTTAGCACAAAGGCTCCAAACATTAAAAATGGGATGGTGGTGACTTCAAGATCCAAATCCATGAATGTTGGAAGGCACTTGTTCAGCACAGATGTGTGTGGCCTTGCACATGTTGAGTGTGAGTTAACAGTAAAACATCCAAGTAAAACAGAACAGTAAGTTATGGAGACACCGGCTTGGAGCCTGAGCAACAGGGTAGGAACTGAGATACAAGCTGGAGAGTCAGCAACACAGGAGCAACAGGTAAATTCGAGACTACGGAAAACACGCTTTTGAAAACTTCATCTTTTTTTCCATTTCCATAGCCATATTCCTCAAGCCAATCCCAATCGTCTCCTGTTTGAACTATCCAAGTGCAAAACTTCATTAATACATATTCCTGTTATCATTACTACAAAATGTTAAATGATGCTTTATGGTCCCTAGTCGTTTATTGTATGCATTATCCATTGAAAAGATCATACAGATTTTTATACTAATCAACCACTTTCAGTAGCTGTCTACACACACAAATGAGGAATGGAATTTGGGAATAGAAATCACATGTGTTTTTAACAGCCATACTACATAAGTGTTCTTTCCCTTTGAATAATATACATTATTTCTTAAATTACTGTTTTGGGCGAATAAATATACCTGCTATATAACTTAAATTGATAAGATTTAAAAATTATCATTATATATGATAAAGCTTGAAAATCATAATCTTGCATATTCTTGCATGAAAAGACTTACACAATTTATGTAAATTTTGTTTTTAATGACCTTAGAATCACTTTATGTGGCAAAAAAGCAGCAATATCTCAAAGTCAAGTTTCATTTGTAGAGACATTTACGTGCTTACAGTTGGATTGAATCCCAGGAATAGTTAGTCTTTCTGTTTCACTTGGATTTTCTCCTAAGGTTAGGATCATTGGCAATTTTCTCCATCTTTGGTAGGTCTCACATGCCAGTTTTTTTGTTTGTTTTATTTTTAAAATTTTGTAACATTTACATGTGAACTCCTGAAACCATTGCAGTTAGTTAAAACTATTTCTGATTTAAATAGACTGTATTCTATTCAGGCACACAAAAGTCACTTGCTAGTTTTCTGGATGAAGAACAGTATTAATCTGTAATGTTGTTTATCTTAATAATTAGAATTTAACTGAGAGTCAATTTTCCGTTTATTTAAATTGATGCAATGACTAGATGTTAGTTTACAATTTAAAATGGTATGGGGGAAGAAAATCCCTGAATGCACCATTTTAATTTAACTTTTTATTGATTTTGCTGATTATATGTTAAATAAGTGCTCATCAATTCTCTGTCTGGTTTTACTAAATTTTCCTTTTCCGTAAGCACAGATCTAGTAATCCATCTTGTAGTGTTTTAAATCTACTTCTAAGTATATACATCACTTGTGATGTGGTTAACAGCATAAAATACATGTGAAATTTATATTTAAAACAATTACATTTTTATGTAACATATATATACAGTAACTAAAGATGTAAATCATATGAAGAAAAATTCAGAACCCCTGTTACAACATATTAAAAAAGGAGAGATGTTAAAAACAAATTTTTATCTACTTTGTCATTATTGACTTCATTTTATAGATGAAAGTTCTCAGGCTGTTAAACGAACTGCCCAAGACACATACACACTCACAGGTGCACATGTGCACACATACACACACACTCACACCCTTGGACCAACTCTATTTTGTTGACTGCTATGTTCTCACTGCTTGCTGTAGTCTCAGTGTAAAGTCTGGATCAAAACAGATAATGAACAAATATTTGTTGAATGTTTGACTGATTCAGAAATAGACTCCAAGTCTTTTGACATGAAATTCATTGTTCTTCCCAAAACATGAATGGAAACATTTAAAATATCCTTCTCTATCTTCTAGTCTTACTGGGAGAATAGAATGTGATAATTGTGTGAAAGAAACTTAAAATTATGTAAGTGCATGGAAATCTAAGTCAGCGTTATTATCATTATAGTTTAAGTTTATAAAATGTCTCATTTCTCTTACCATTTAAGAAAGGAAAAATTAACTAGAATGGCAATTTAGTATACGTGCTACTGAAGTGAGCACAAGAATGGCAATTTTAGATACAACTATTTGATCTTTGTGAATGATCTGACTAGGAAAAAGAAAAATATTTCCTACAGCATTTGGGCTTAAATAATGGAAATTTCATTTTTAATGGTAATTCTATAAGGAAAGATAATTCCTTATTATATACCAATCTTACAGCATAATGAACCAAACACTTGTTTGAGAGTTTTAATCTAGATTTTCATAAGTTAAAAAATAACATAAAATAGAAGTTTTCAGTCAATCACATCTTAAAATTCTTTCTTTAATATGAAAATCTATACCACAACTTATACTGTAAATTGCTTTAGATTCCTTTTTTATTTAGCAGGATTTTGAAATAAAGAATAGAGTTGTCATCAATACCATTAATCAAATCACAGCTAATAAAAAATGCATTAGTAAATAAAGACTTATAAAAGGGCACCTGATTTTGGCATAATTAAAAATACTTATGACGAAATAGTGTTAGAAAATCTTACGGCAGTACAATATATATGTTAACTGGGAAAAGGTTATCTAAAATCATTTAAACATATCCCAACTTAAATTATAACCATTGTGGAAGTCAAAACCATAGGATTGTGCCTGCTAATTTAGTTACAAAGTCAATAATATAGAAATTAGTTTGTTAAATCACCATCCTGCATACTATAAGGATACCTAGACAGTAACCTCATATGGGGAGCACTCAAAATCATTTGGACCAATTTTTTAAAGCCGTTTTGAAATAATTTACTTCCAAATCAAGATATTAAATGCCAGCTTCTAACCAGCAATAATGCTTATGGCTAAGATAGAAATGAGATTCTTTACAGAAACGCTGACACAGCCTTAACTGTAAGCACTTGAGTGTGCAGCTATAATTCTTTTTTCAAATCTTTCCCAGTAAAGCTTCAGGTAAAAGAGTCCACAGAATATGTAAACGGTAAGAGACAGTCTAGAGCTTTTACAAAATCACAAACCTGTGACACATTTATATTCATCTTTGATTGCTACCACTAAACGACTAAATCATTCAAGGTGTATTGATTAGCTCTTTAATAGATAAAAGGTGGGCGGTGTCTTATATAAACCAACATTTCTTAATACATTTGATTGGCAAGAACTACACATTTTAAGCTGACAATGTAAACCCCTAAAATATTTTTCCAAAAAGCTTTCTGCCTTATTTAGCATTACAATTACTAATCAAAAACCATAAAAAAGAAAAAATTACAAAAAAATACAGAACAAAGATTAAGAAAGCTTTTCTTTTCCATTCGGAAACTAAACAATAAAATAATTTCCCAAGCAGTCATTTTTCTGTATGGAAGGCATTCACAACTGGACCAGATAACATAATACCAGAATAAACCAAGGGAATACAACTTGTACTGGGAGGTGGGTGACTGGAACCAAGGATTTAATTGTCTAATCTTAATTTTCATTTTTTAAAGTGTGTAAAATAATGATGCTTATAATGAGGAGTTCATTTTAATGCACGGCCAACTCTAAGTCATAACAATGATATAGTGGTGTTTTTTTTTTTTTTTCCTTCACATTGTCATATAGCCAACAGAGGACTATTCATCCGGCACTGGAAAATACTATTTTGATGTTTATTGATCAAGGCTGTATGAGGAAAGTTGTCATTTTTGAATGGAAGATAGTAAAGAGTTATCAATTCTTGTAAGTACAGAAGAAGAAATAAATAGAATCATCAGACTAAACAAATATTAAAATTATTAGTTTTAATGTAAGTACCCTTAATAAATTATGTGGTACTAAAAAGATGAACTTAAAATTTTACCATCTTTCATCACAAGGATCTGATTTTATAGGATTCTAAAAATTTGCCAACTTACATTGCTTTTAACTAATATTTTATTTTGTAAACTCAGCATTGTATCACAGTAAAACAAGTTAAAATGTGTAAGAAACTGATTTTTTAAATCAGCCCTAAATTTTATCTTAAACGTTAGCTAATCATTCATTTAAATTAAAATTTATTCTTTTTTTAATCTTCTTTTTACTTAAAGGCAAAAAATCACACTTATTACCAGTTACAAATCATCATGCAAATCTGTAAACAGTTGACATCTGGTGAAGTCTTTACCTTGTATCATGATGAAGCAACACTCATTTTGATATAATATTCATTTCAAATGCTAATTTTTTTCTTCATTAGTGGCAGAAAAGATATAACATGCTCTTAATATTCTTTATAAGAGTATGTTGCTGAATAAGAATTTTTAAAAAAGGAATATGTTCAAGATGGATATTTAAATCTTGCAAATAGTAATCCCATTAATTAGCTATAGCAACCTGTCTGTTAAAAGCACTATACACAGGCCAGGAAAATGGGCAAGGACAGGTAAGAGACATACATTCTTCCTAGCCTACTTGCAGTATTTATCAATTCCGCTTACTGTTTTCTTAGAAGTTTTAAATATCACATAAACAGGTAAAAAAATTCTAGTTATTGTGACTGTATTATATATACGTGTATATTATATATGTTATATATAACCATAGTTAGTGACTTATTTGGGCTCAATTCCCTGTGACTGCTTTCAGAAACAAACAGGTAATTTTCATATCACTAAATGTTCAATATGCCCAAATGAATCTATTATTCTTTTAAAATATTTAATATTTTTTATAAGTATGTTCTTCAGGCTGGCAGTGCAGATAGAAAAGTAAAATCCAATTTCGACAATAAGGTAACTTCACTCCTCCCTCACCAAAAAATTAAAAAAAAAAAAAAAAAAAAAAAGCCTTATGTCAGCAAAGGGCAGATTTTTTTAGTACATATGGTTCCTAGAAAAGTAAATGACTAGTTTCATATCTAGAAAATATTTTATCCCCTTGCTGTTAGGATTTAACAAAGAAGTTCAATATCAGCTGAAAAAGGTAGAACAAAACTATGAGCCATCCAAATGAGCAAATCATGATCTGTCCTTTTTGACACCTACTGGAGTAGGGCATATGCTGGGATTGGGGAATATTTCAATTTAGATATGCTCAGCCACTCTGTTTTCCTTTCACATTCTAACCCCCTTGTGTTATAAGGCTGGCAACAGCTCTAAGAATGTGGAGAATGTAAACAGCCTTTTATTGTCCGAAGGGATGGCAGCGTAAGGAATGTGTGCTTATCAACAGGGCTGCAGCTCCCTACCTCACTTACCATGATAAAGTGCTCCAGGAGAAAAACATTACAACCCAAGCACAATCCCAAAATGGATTAGAATTTGACATAAGCTTTTTTAAAAGCAAATCCATCAGTCCATGCTGTAATATTAGAATCTAGCTCTTAAGGAGAGCATATAATCCCTTCAAGATGTATTTCCTATTCCTTACTGACTATGGCGGTGTGGAAAAAAAAAATATCTAACATTTCCAATATAGTAGCTGGGAGAAGAACTTTTCCCCGACACGTGCCCAAATATATTTTCTCATCTTTAAGAGCCTATCACACTGCTTACGGAGCAGATACACAGTTCATATTTATTAAATGCAAAATTAATGAACTAAGATTCGTGAAGATATTCTGAAGACCCCACATAAACACCTGATTTCCCCAGGCTTTTCCTTACACACACCATACAAATGCTGCTTTGTTAGATCACCTTTTATTAGAATCCAGACTAAAAAATTTTAAAGCAAGGGATACTAAAGATTAATGTGGCATATATTTTGGATTCATAATGCCTAAGATGTAAAATGTATTTTAACATGGAGTATTGTAGATAGCCAGTATGTGATGGCTCATTCAAGGATATTTGGGCATATCATTGCATTTTCTTCTTGATGCCATTGAAGAGTTTCTGAGTTAACGCTGTGCAGGTGAAGCTAATCTCCACCGTAACAAGCATGGACCACGGGCATCTCAGAGGTCTCTCCACCTTTTAGAGTTCCTTCCACCCTCAGAACTTGCAAAGTGCCTCTGCCTTAACAATATCATACATATCATAAACTTTCAAAGTTACTTGATTTTCCCCCTAATAGGAAAAGAAAGAGACAAAGAGAACGAGAGAGAGAGCGAGCGAGAGAGAAGAGACTGTCATCTTCTAAGTGCTTGGGCAAAGTCTTAAGTATGAGGACCAAAGAAACTATGGCATCAGGAGAAAGCCCTCTTAATAGCACCCTAACAAGGCAAGAGCTAAGTGACCAGAAGAAATCCATCACAGATGCTGACCCAGCCAAAGCACTCCCCTTCTGTAATTTTACTTTAAAAGTTTCTTCTTGAAGATCTTACTTTGGTTTTCCCTCAACTATAATTAGCCATGCATATAGAACATAGGCGTATATCAGGAGGAGGAGAGCGTGGCGCCTCGCGGGAAGAGAGAAGAGAGTGACAACGCGAACCCCAAACCACATTTTAATACGTTTCTTATTCCTCAGCGCCTCCGAGCCACCCAGACCAGGCGGGCGGTCTCCCTGAAAAGACAGCTTCGAGATGCCCGAGAGGGGGCTCCTGCGCGGAGCTGGGCATGAAAGTTATATCTTGTGTCCCCAGCTGGCAGAAAGCCCCATCCCAGTCCCTAGCGCCAGACGGAAAACGAAGAGAAATCCAAGCTGTCCCCCAAATCCGTATTTTGCCTAAGTTTTCTCCCAGCAAGGCGCCACTACCTGGCTCTGAGAACGAGGATGCATGCACTATGCTGTGCTTTGGGAGAAGTGTCTGTGTGCATCTGGGCAAAACACCACGTGAAAAATAAACACCACCAAGCCTCTCAAACTGTGAACAGGAGGAAGGTCTTTCTGCCCCTTCTCATCCTATCAATTTACTTTCCTTCCTCTCCTTGACCGCTTATCAATAAACCGCTTCCTTCTCCCGGACCTACTTCCCGGCCACCTTCTGCCTACTTTACCCCAGCGCTCAAGTCCCAACCCGTGCTAAGCCCCTGAGTCGCCTGTAGATCCCGTCTATTCCGTTCTTCAATTCTTCCCTTTCGACCTCTAAGGCAACCCAAAACTCCTTGCCCTCCGCGCGCCCCCAACCCCACTTCCCAAGCAGGCCCAGGCTGGGCTCCAAGTCAGCCGCCTGCGCGGTTTTCCCGCCGAAACGCGTCCCCGGCGTGTGGGACGGCGCGCGGGCCGGGCACTCACCAGCTGCAGCAAGCCAGGGACCACCACGAGGGGCAGCGGCCGCAGGCGCATGGTGCCGGCTGGCGCGGCTTTTCACGAGCTGCGCGCCCTCGCCTGCCTCTCGCGCATCTCCACTTCGCGGGGCAGGACTGAGGACGCCAGGGACACAGCGCGGCGCTTCCCTCCCGGAATCCGAGCGCTGCGCCGTGCCGCGCAGCTCTGGCCGGGTGGGCGGGCAGGGAAGGGGGAGGGTGGGCGGACCGGAGGTGCCTCTCCCGGCCCCCCGCGCGCCCCTCCTCGGAGGGGGCCGGCAAAGAGCCTGCGGGGCAGCTCGAGCTCCGGCACGCGGCGGGGGGCTTCAGTCGCGCCTTGGACTCTCCCGCTTGGCCGGGCTTGGGGTGAGCGCGTGGGGCGCCTGCGGGAGGGAGGCGGCGGCTCGGGCGCTTGGGTGATGGGTTCAGTGCGAGGCTGCCCTCCAGATCCGATCCCGCCGGGCGGATGCCTGGCCGAGCTGAGCACGCCTGGCCAGCCGGTGCCCCAGAGCCCCGAGAGGCCGGGTGCCTCCTCCCACCCCCGCCCAGCAGAAGGCCGGTCCGAGAGGCTCCACTGTGCCAAGCGCCCTGCCAACTGACTGGCTCTCGCTTTGGCTGGGGAGATTGGGGATGAGGGGAAGAAAAGGTTCTCCCTGGGTGGCTGCAAGAAAGAGTGCGCCCGCCTGGAGAGCGCCCAGAGAGTTTAGGAGGGGAAGGCGATTGCAGAGTCCTGGGGCGGGGCGTGGGGAGCTGCGAACGGAAAAGGCTGGGGCGGGGAGGTGAGGCTGGAGCCCAGGACGCCCTGGGAGAGTGCCCTACTCTGCCGCAGCGCCAAGCTCGCAGAGCCGCGGGTAAGGGGTACAAAGTGCGCCTGGTGCGGCTGGAAGGATTTCTGGGGTTGGGGAGTAATGGGGACCTCGAGGGACCAGGAGCAGAACTGTGAGAAACGGAGCTAGGTGATGTCTGGTTTACTCCGGTTTGGGGATGGTATAGACAGCTAGGTGTCCTGAAGACAGACAAAGTTGCTCCCAGACCTTCTGCCCGGGCTTTGGAGAAGCAGAATAAAGGCAGGATACCCCACCACAGCCTCCGACTTCAGAAATATTGGAGAGGGGTATCTTTGCGGACGGGCGAAGGTGCAAACCTGATGCCTGTGAGCCTCGACCTCCGTGTTAACAACTCGCCATTGGAGAGATCCTTAACCTTTTACTATCTTTGTGCTGGACACTCGAGTGGAAAAATCAAAGGCAATGGGGCTCACAGACCTGCACTGTTTTTACGGTAGATCAGAGTTTGGGCGTCATTCGTCACTCCTTTATTGAACAGGTGGGAAACCTAAGGTCCAGAGAGATACATTCACTTCTCCAAGGATGAGACTTTAGGCAGTTGCTCCGACAGAATACCCAAGGCGAGAATGCTTCTTACATCTAGAAACGCAAAGCTCTTAGAGAAGAAAACCATGTTGAAGCAAGGGAGTAGAATTGCAATTGATTTCTAGGCTTTAAAAAATAAACCCAACAAAAAGCACAGATTAAGTTGTAATTTTTGGACAAAAAAAAAAAAGTTTCCTTCTCCTCTGCTTACCACCCCCACCCCAAAATAGAAATGAAGGAGGGTTGTTAAATCTTAGCGGTTGAAGCAGAGCAGCCTTGGTCCTAGGTTTCAAAGGCAGGAGGATTGCTTTGACTAGGGCAAAATCCTACTATTCCTTTCACTGAGTGTGCCAAGATTGTGCAGATGGGGAGGGAGGTTATTCCAGAGTGTTCTGGGATCCCAGTGTGAATTTGAGAGTGTGTTGTCCTTGAGCCTGCAGGTAGGGTATCTTTCCAGTACAACTCCATTTCCTGTAGGGGGGGAGAGTGGCAAGCAAGGGGCATGCATCCTCCCTAAACCCTTGCTAAGCCTGACTGGGGGTTCCATGGTAAAGGATGCACCAGCTGCATCCCATTTCTGCTTGATCTCAGACTCTCCTTTTGCCTTGCAACAGACTCAAAAACAAAACCACTATTTGCATATCCAAATCTATATCTCACCCATTCCACTCCTCATCCCTACAAAAATTCCCTCTTTACCAAGGCTTAGAGCCCTGTTCTACCAGTTCTAGTAAATTATTCTGTCCCAAAAGCACAAATAAGAGGATTTCAAAAACTGGAAGGATCTCTATTGGTTGATTTTGCCCAACTTTGCGTCCCTGGATAGGGCTGCATCTTATTTACAGACAACCTTTTCGAAACAAAACGGACATAATAGGAAGGGTTTTGCAGAAACAGAGGAACCCCTTTCTGAAGAGGTACAGCTCGAAGAGGAGAGAGGCTAACCGCTTTGCAAGAGGCACTACCTCATTTAGACTTGGTGTCTCTGCCTGAGCTGAGCTGACTCATTTATAGAGCCAGAAGGTGAGGTCCTGTCTCCATTTGGTACTTTGGTAGTTTGCCATTCAGCTATCACAGGCTTTGTAAATGAGGAGGGCATGATTTAACACATTATTGAAATAAATAACAAAGTTGTTTAATTACTGGAATAGTTCACTTTTTTCCTTCAATTTGTTCATATTTCTTAGATCATTTTTGTTCTTTTGAGAAACTACATAAAGTTTAAAAGTGGAAGTTAAACTCAGACATGTGCCCTAGTAACACTAAGTATTCTTACAAAGAAACATGCTGAGGGATGTTGAATTCCAAGTTAAAAGCTAAAAAACAGTAGCGAACTTTCGTGCCCCAGTGATCAGGCCAGGTAAAAGAGAAGCCTAACAGCCCCACTAACCTAAGTCTGGCATTACTGTGTTTATTTATAAAATAACTACTGATCTTTCTGGATTCCTCCCAAATTTTGCTGTACAGACTACAGTAAAGAGAAAGAAAGAATGGAAAGAAGAAAGGGAGAGAGGGAGAAGAAAAGGATGAAGAGAGGCAGAAAAATAGAAGTATTTAAGACATTGTCCTCCAGCAGCATGCAGTCTGAGAAATATGCAGTAAACAAAACACAGTAGACAATACAGCAAAATATAAGTGTTGTTTAGTACAGCTGGAGAAAGGAAAGATCATTGTAGGCCAGCACGAATGCTTCTTGGAAGAGACGAAACGTGAGTTTGCTCAGTTTCCAAGAATGGCCAAGATTAGTCTACATGGGAAAAAATGGAGGAGATCATTCTGTATGGGAGAAACAGAATGAGCAAAGGCAGAGTGGAGGGTTTTTATAGGGCATAATTGAGGGATGAACAAAAAGCAGCCCAGACTGTGACTGGAGAAAATATGTTGAGGAAAAGTGAGAAGAAAGTTAGGTTATGGGCTGCGCTGTAGAGATCTGGGAATGCCAAGCTAAACAGTTTAGACGTAATCTGGAGGAAATCATGGAGTCATAAACCTTTTTTGGAGTAGACAAGTCATGCATGAAGAGGCATGAAGATATAGAGGTGGAATGAGGAGATGGTCATGGTAGTTGGAAAGAAAGGAATAGAGGAATAGGGAGATGTGGGTACAAGGGCAACAGTGAAGAGTGAACTGTGAACAGGAACTGAACTTGGGGTTTGAATATTTTTAAACTTTTCTAGCATAGTAGAGGAGCGTTTTTTTTTTTTTAATCACCGCTTTTTCTCTTTTCCAGTCTATTTAACAACTAGAGAATCAGATCAGTGCTTTCTCATTTTGAAAGGTAGTCTTCACAGTGTGAGGGGAAAAAGAGTGGTTTTTTTTTTCTCATACAAACCCGTAGTAGAAAGTGGGACCTACCAAATTTTACTGCTACGTGATCCAGTTGTAGTCTTTTAAAAGCAAAGAACATATCTAGGGTTATGTTCAATGCTTTGAGATCAAATTTGTCAACTTATGGCTCATCCAGACCATTAGTTTTTTCCAGTGCTTTCCCTGTACTTAACTTTCTCATCCCGTACTGTTCATTAGTATCATTACCAGAAAGTGGAGAAGGAAATAGTATGCATTTCAGAGTTTCAAGTGAATATTAGATAGTGTTCAACTTACTCACTTTACAGTTAAGAAAACAGGCCTGAAAAGTTCTGTGACTTGCATCAAGTCACCTAGAGATGCTTGGGCGGATCCGTAAATTGATTCAAAGGCCTGAGATTCTCAGTGCACTGCCTGTTCCAGTTCATTACTCTGCCTCAGGTATTTTCCAATTGGCCAGCAGTTATAAAAGTTTTGATGTAGTCAACAAATGAACCTCTAGCTAATAATAAATGTGACAATGATCTATGAATGCTAAAAGCCTCAGGGTCTACCTTATAATCAGGAAAACAGGTTTGACTATAAGGAGCCTGAAGCATTGATCTGGCAGTAATTTTAAAAGGGTATGAGGGAAAGGGAATGATATGGCGTGAGGCTACTGTGCAGCCCTCAGACTCAGGATTCCAGAACATGGTAGCATTTACCCCAAGGATAGGGGAAATTCTCAGGAAGGCTTCCAGCTTCTCAGACCTCTGCAATAGGAAGCTGGTGGGGTTTTTGGTAACAATTCTTAACAACTGTTATAAAATCCCTTTGAGTGGCCACTCTTTCTTTAGTGATTGAGTCACTTATTTAAGGAAATGTGATGCTGTATTGTATTGAATCTCAACACCGATTGCATAATAGAATCACATGGAACTTCAAACATCACTGAGGGTGGGCTTGAACATTGATATTTTTCACCCAGGATATTTCAACATACAGCCATGGTTGGGCCCTACTACTCTACCAGGAACTTGTGTTTCTTTTCTCCACCCTCCCTCTATCCTTCCCTTCCTTCCTGCCTTTCTTCCATCCTCTACAGAATTATAGCCCTAATTGTTGGAATACGCTGAGGCTGTAACCAACTATCATTAGGACCTATTTACTTTCTTGATTCTGTAGGACCTTCTCAGGCAACAACTGGACATTTTCTTTGTAAATATTTAGCACGATTGGAGGATTTATGAAGTTTTATTGCATAAATTTATCATTTGTTCCAGGTTTAAACACAATTAACTGATCTGTAGTTAAAGTGCTTTTCTCCCAACCTTTGGTGGCTGCAATACTACCTCTTCATTATCTCTTCACTTGGATGCTGGAAGGAGGTAACAGGAGTGTGTTGGTAGTTGATGCAACTATCAGTAGTCAAGAGGAGAGGCTAGAGGGGAAGGGAGGCAGGCAGGATCCCAGCAGGCCCTGTGATGAAAGGGCACCTGGGTCAAGAGAACATCACTCAAGACTGACAAGGCAGCAAAGAGCTTCTTCCTGGGTGCCAATATTGCATCTCTACCAAATCAGAATGATTTGGTAAATGACTGATAAACCTGTCATTATCTTTCCATGGGTAGATAGAAATAAACCTGTCATTATTGTTCCATGTGTGTTCCCATGCATTGTCCACAGATGCATGATTATTTAACTGAATAATCACCTTGTCTACTTGTACATCAAACATGACAGCTTTCATTACAAAGGAATTATTTAACCTGCCTCAAATGTTGCTTCATATATGGAGCGAAAGCAGGGGAACAGAACCATGGAAGGTTAGAATTGGAACATCTTGTTTAACCTCCTCAGTTTGTAGATGAAGAAACTGAGGCCCAGAGAGAGAAAGTGATATCCCCAAAGTCACACAGCCAGATTGTGGCAGATCAAGATTAGGCCCCAGGATTAGTGCCTCTTTGGACTATGGTAAGCTCACTCTGTGGGGTAGCCCGGAGCTCTGAGGTGCCTATTTCCTGTACCAAGATGATTATGAAAGAACAATGAGGGGGACACATATTTACAAAATATCATCTTAGTTAACCAAATGCAAATTTCCCAATTTGAGAATACTTAAGAGTTCCTAAGAGGGGGAAGACAGAGACCTGGGATGAAAAGATATTGGAGTAAATGCCATTGCCCCTCGAACCCCCACAACTTCTTATCATGAATGAATAAAGCACTATTGGTTGCAAGTGCCCAAACACAGCTCAAACAAGTCAAACAACTACAACAGAGGAAATTTAATAGCCTATGTGAATAGGAAGTTCAGTGGCTGAAGGTAGTTTTAGGCAATTTAAACCAAATTTTAAAATTCTTGAGCAGGATACTGGGCCAGCCATTCTGAGTTTGTGTGTAATTCCCTTAAAGTGGGCTGGGTGTGGCAGCTGGAGAAGGCTTGATGTTAGACCCTGGAGAGCAGAGAACAAAAACCTAACTCCTAGAAACTAATTTGTATAAGAACCTGAACCTTCATCACCACTTGACATGGTCTTTCCTGGTTCAGGTGCCTATAGCTTTTCTTTGCTAGGTCTCTAACTGAATGACTCTCATCTTCTAACTTCTTATCCCACATTTCTGTACTTGCCTGGTTCCTTAACACTCATCACCTTATTAAATGTAGAGCCATACTTGCTGTAGAAGATGAACTGAAGTTGTAACATGTGGATGATGGTTCAAGTATCACATATGCAGCTCTCTTTACTATTCTTACCGCCAAAGGAACATGAAATTGCTCCCTATGCAACAAGGATGTCACCACTTGTCAAAACATAAGCAGCAGCTATGTTAAACCAGCAAGTTTAAAAACACCAAGGCACTATCCACCAGCTTTAGGTAATTATGATTTATTTTAGTTTGTTTGTTTATAGCCAGGTTCTTAGTAATTTTAACATTGCATTCTGAAATGCATGTGACTTTTTCACTGTGCCCTTTGGCAGGATCAATGAGTTCTGCACAGTGTTGCCTTTTGAGTCTTCTTCATTGTTTTTGTGAAATGCAATGGCACGGTGTTCTTCGTGGTCTCTCCGGACCTCAGCATTACTGTTCAAGTGCTGCTTTCATGTGTTATTTAAATCTGTGTCAAATGTGTGGTACCTTCCCACATGCAAACAGAAGTTCTGTTAGGAAACAAGTCAGCTAATTTTCCTACTCTGATAAAGTACAGGTTTACATTAAGAGGCTACTAGGATTTGGTTAAAAAAAAAATCCCAATTTCTAATCAGTGGGGACTTCTATTTTCTTCCTCAGCTGATCAAAAATGAACTTGTCTGGTATTTCCCTGGCAAAGTAATAATCACGCTGAGATTTTTTTCACTATATTTATTGGAATATCTTGGGTGCTATCTACTGGCCAAATGTGGCATTGCCTCATAAAAGGTGAACAGGCAAATTGCCATAGCTCTTTTAAAGATAATTTTGTGTGGGGGCTGAATATATGCCATAGGTTTTAGCACACTTGGGACCTGCCTTCTTGGACAATATCACTTCCAGACATCACTCATTGCCTTTGAGATTGGGGGATCACTTGATCAGAAGTCACACAAGTTGTAATATAAGTGAAATATAATGGGTAGGCAGGTTCCTGCTTGTCCTTCCTTGAAATGGTTGACTATAAATAGCTTAAATCTAATTTGCACTTTGCTGAGCAATGTGAATGGATAAAAATGTTACTAATTTCAAATGAGCTTCGCTATATAGATTCAATCAATAATCCTGTGTCTTCATGTGTACATAAAGGAAAATAAGAAGTTAAAAAGATTCTTTATAGTTATTTTGCACTTAATACTAGGTAGAATGTACATGCCAATTGATAGTATTGGTCAAAATACTTGAAAATAAACAGATAAACAATATTCAGCATAAGGTAAACTCATCCAATTTATGCTAACCAAATCATATTCTTTCCCCAGGAGTTTTTCTTTGTTAAGCATCTTGTAATTTACCCAGAAGAGTACATTATGCTTTAATCAGATTTGCAGAAAGGAACATATCAGGAGAAAACACGGAACAGTGAGACACTGAGAGACTATGCCAAGTGAGATGGGAGACACAGTCAAAGAGCAGAGGGATCTTACTTACTGTAGCAAAATGAGCAGTTGTCCCATTTAGGACAAATAGCTGTAAGGGAAAAGCCAAGGACATAAGATCAATATTGATCATTGAGAGGTAATGAAGAGAAAAGCCCAATATGTCAACATTAACTTAGGTGAAAATCTAGATTATAAGGCTGTACTTAACAGGAACTTAATGCAGGTGTATAGATTTAACAATATACCAGAAAATAAAATGCCCTATCTTAATTTCTAAAGTTATTAAAATGCAACTTATGCCTTTAACTCAATTATTCTAAATTGCTTATTCAGTCATTCGGTGTTATTTTTGCCAGGTCATACTTACTTCAGGTTGTATTCTATTTCAGATTGTAATTTTTGAAATTGAATATCCTGATTCTGGGACTGTATAATATATTTAACTTATTCAGTTTTCTGTATATTATTGAATAATGATAGATGTAAACATTTTGATTGAAATGAGAAAGACCATAAATTAAAATATTCAACTATCATTTTAAACCATTCTGTTTTGGCAGTGGAATATTTTTTAAAGTTATGTTTGTAGGTGGAAGTAGGAATTTTACTTACACTTATTTTCGTTTTTGTTTTAAATTTTTTTCTTCAACTTTTATTTTAAGTACAGAGGTACATGTGCAGGATGTGCAGGTTTGTTACATAGGTAAACCTGTGCCATGGTGGTTTGCTGCACCTATCAACCCATCACCTAGATATTAAGCCTAGCATCCATTGGCTACTCTTCCTGATACTCGCTCTCCCTCCACTCCCAGCCCGGGCAGGCCCCAGTGTGTGTTGTTCCCTTTCATGTATCCATGTGTTCTCATCATTCAGCTCTTACTTTTAAGTAGGAACACACAGTGTTTAGTTTTCTGTTCCTGCATTAGTTTTCTGAAGATAATGGCTTCCAGGTCCATCCATGCCCTTGCAAAGGATATGATCTTGTCCCTTATTATGGCTGAATAGTATACCATGGCGTATATGCACCGCATTTTCTTTATCCAGTCTACCATTGACGGGCATTTGTGTTGATTCCATGTCTTTGCTATTGTGAGTAGTGCTGCAGTGAACATATGTGTGCATGCATCTTTATAACAGAACAATTTATAATCCTTTGGGCACATAAAGAGTAATGGAATTGCTGGGTCAAATGATATTTCTGCCCCTACGTCTTTGAGAAATCACCATGCTGTCTTCCACAATGGTTGAACTAATTTAAACTCCCACCAAAAGTGTAAATGCATTCCTTTTTTTCCACAACCTTGCCAGCATCTGCTGTTTTTTTGACTTTGATAAAAGCCATCCTGACTGGTGTGAGATGGTGTCTTATTTTGGTTTTGATTTACATTTCTTTAATGAGCAGTGATGTTGAGGTTTTTTGTATATGTTTGTTGGCTGCATGTATGTCTTCTTTTGAGAAGTGTCTGTTCATGTCCTTTGCCCACTTTTTACTAGGCAATGTTTAATGTTTGTTTTCTTCTTGTAAATTTGTTTAAGTTCCTTGCAGACTCTGAATATTAGACCTTTGACAGATGAATAGATTGTAAAAATTTTCTCTCATTCTCTAGGTTGTCTGTTCACTCTGATAATAGTTTCTTTTGCTGTGCAGATGCTCTTTAGTTTAATTAGATCAATTTTTGCTTTTGTTGCAATTGCTTTTGGCATTTTCATCATGAAATTTTTGCCCATACCTAGTTCCTGAATGGTATTACCTAGATTTTCTTACAGGGTTTTTATAGATTTGGGTTTTAAATTTAAGTATTCCTTTTTTTCTTTTTTTGAGGTAGAGTCTCACTCTGTTGCCCAAGCTGGAGGGCAGTAGGGCAATATTGGCTCACTGCAACCTCTGCCTCCCAGGTTCAAGCGATTCTCCTGCCATAGCTCCCAAGTAGCTGGGATTACAGGTGTGTGCCACCATGCCCAGCTAATTTTTGTATTTTTAGTAGAGACAAGGTTTCACCATGTTGGCCAGGCTGATCTTGAACTCCTGACCTCAGGTGATTCACCTGCCTCGGCCTCCCAAAGTGCTGGGATTACAGATGTAAGGCACTATACCTGGCCTACATTTAAGTCTTTAATCCGTCTTGGTTAATTTTTGTATGTGGTGTAAGGAGAGCCCAGTTTCAATTTTCTACACATGGCTAGCCAGTTCTCCCAGCACCATTTGTTAAATAAGGAATCCTCTCCCCATGGTTTGTTTTTGTCAGATTTGCTGAAGATCAGAGGTTGTAGGTGTGTGGTCTTATTTCTGAGTTCTCTATTCTGTTCCATTGGTCTATGTGTCTTTTCTTGTAACAGTACCATGCTGTTTTGGTTACCATAGCGTTGTAGTATAGTTTGAAGTCAGGTAGCATGATGCTTCCAGCTTTGTTCTTTTTGCTTAGGGTTGTCTTGGCTATTCAAGTTCTTTTTTGGTTCCATATGAATTTTAAAATAGTTTTTTTTCTAATTCTGTGACAAACGTCAATGGAAGTTTAATGGGAATAGCATTAAATCTATAAATTACTTTGGGCAGTGTGCTCTTTTTTATGATATTGATTCTGTCTATCCGTGAGTATGGAATGTTTTCCCATTTGTGTCATCTCTGGTTTCTTTGAGCAGCAGTTTGTAGTTCTCCTTGAAGAGATGCTTCACTTCCCTTGTTAGCTGTATTCTTAGGTATTTTATTCTTTTTGTAGCAATTGCAAATGGGAGTTCATTCATGATTTGGCTCTCTGCTTGCCTGTTATTGGTGTACAGGAATGCTAGAGATTTTAGCACATTGATTTTCTATCCTGAGACTTTGCTGAAGTTGCTTATCAGTTTAAGAAGCTGATATGATGGGGTTTTCTAGATATAAGATTATGTCACCTGTAAACAGAGATAATTTGACTTCCTCTCTTCCTATTTGAGTACCTCTACTTCTTTCTCTTGCCAGAACTTCCAATACTGTGTTGAATAGGAGTGCTGAGAGATGTCACCCTAGTCTTCTGCCAGTTTTCAAAGGGAATGCTTCCAGCTTTTGCCCATTCAGTATGATATTGGTTGTGAGTTTGTCATATACACCTCTTATTATTTTGAGGTGTGTTCCTTCAGTTTATTGAGGAGTTTTTAACATGAAGGGATATTGAATTTTATCAAAGGCCTTTTCTGCATCTATTGAGGTAATCACGAGGTTTTTGCATTTAGTTCTGTTTATGTGATGAATCACATTTATTGATCTGCATATGTTGAACTAACCTTGCATCCTGGGGATGAAGCGAACTTGATTATGGTGGATAAGCTTTTTGATGTGTGGCTGGATTCAGTTGCCAATATTTTATTGAGGATTTTTGCATTGATGTTCATCAAGGATATTGGCCTGAAGTTTTCCTTTTTTGTTGTATCTCTGCCAGGTTTTTGGTATCAGGATGATACTGACCTCACAGAATTAGTTAGGGAGGAGTCCCTCCTTTTCAATTTTTCAGTAGAAATGTACCAGCTCTTCTTTTTACTTCTGGTAGAATTCAGCTGTGAATCCCTCTGGTGCTGGGTTTTTTGTTTTTTTTTTTTTGGTTGGTAGGCTATTTATTACTGCCTCAATTTCAGAACTCATTATTGGTTTATTCAGGGATTCAGTTTCTTCCTGAGTCAGTCTTGGGAGGGTGTATGTGTCCAGGAATTTGTCCATTTCTTCTAGATTTTCTAGAATTTGTGATAGAGGTGTCTATAGTATTCTCTGATGATTGCATTTCTGTGGGGTCAGTGGTGATATTCCCCCATATCATTCCTGAATGTGTTTATTTGATTCTTTTCTCTTCTTTATTAGTCTAGCTAGCAGTCTATCTATTTTATTTTATTTTTTTTTGAAAAACCAGCTTCTGGATTCATTGATTTTTTTGAAGGGTTTTGTGTGTGTGTGTGTCTCAATCTCCTTCAGTTCAGCTCTGATCTTGATGATTTCTTGTCTTCTGTTAGCTTTGGAGTTTGTTTGCTCTTGGCCTTCTAGTTCTTTTATTTGAGATGTTAGGTTGTCACCTTGAGATCTTTCTAGCTTTTTGATGTGGGCATTTAGTGCTTTAAATTTCTCTCTTAACACTGTTTTAGCTGTGTCCTAGAGATTCTGGTATGTTGTCTCTTTGTTCTCATTGGTTTCAAGTCACTTCTTCATTTCTGCCTTAATTTCATGATTTACCCAAGAGTCATTCAGGAGCAGGTTGTTTAATTTCCAGGTAGTTGTGTGGTTTTGAGTAAATTTCTTAATCTGGAGTTTTAATTTGATTGCACTGTGGTCTGAGAGACTGTTTGTTTTTATTTCAGTCCTTTTGCATTTACTGAGGAGTGTTTTACTTTCGATCGTGTGATCAATTTTAGAGTAAATACCATGTGGTGATGAAAAGAATGTGTATTCTATTGTTTTGGGGTGGGGAGTTCTATAGATATCTATCAGATCCACTTGATCGAAAGCTGAGTTCAGGTCATGAATATCTTTGTTAATTTTCTGTCTTGATGATCTGTCTAAGATTGTCAGTGGGACGTTAAATTCTCCAGCCATTATTGTATGAGAGTCTAAGTCTAACCTCTTTGTAAGTTTTTAAGAACTTGCTGTATGAATCTGAGTGCTCCTGTATTGGGTGCATATTTATTTAGAATAGTTAACTCTTCTTGTTGAATTGAACCCTTTACCATTATGTAATGCCCCTCTTTGTCTTTTGTGATGTTTGTTGGCTTGAAGTCTATTTTGACAGAAACTAGGATTACAAACCCTGCTTTTCTCTGTTTTCCATTTGCCTGGTAAATTTTTCTGCATTCCTTAATTTTGAACCTATGTGTGTCTTTGCATGTGAGATGGGTCTCTGGAGACAGCATACCAATAGGTCTTGGCTCTTTATCCAGATTACCATTCTGTGTCTTTTAATTGGGGCATTTAGCTCATTCACATTTAAGGTTAGTATTGTTATGTGTGAATTTGATCCCATCATCATGATGCTAACTGGTTATTTTGCAGACTTGTTTATGTGGTTGCTTCATAGTGTCACTGGTCTGTGTACTTCAGTGTGTTTCTGTAGCGATGGTAATGGTTTTTTCTTTGCATATTTATTGTTTCCTTCAGGAGCTCTTGCAAGGCAGGCCCAGTGGTGACGAGTTCCCTTACCATGTGCTTGTCTGAAAAGGATCTTATTTCTCCTTCACTTATGAAGCTTAGTTTGCCCAGATATGAAATTCTGGGTTGGAGATTCTTTTCTTTAAGAATGTTGAATATTGGTCTCCAATCTCTTCTGGTTTGCAGAGTTTCCACTGAGAGGTCCACTGTTAGTCTGATGGGTTTCCCTTTGTTGGTGACCTGGCCTTTCTCTCTGGCTGCCCTTAACATTTTTTCTTTCCTTTTGACCTTGGAGAATCTGATGATTATTTGTCTTGGAGTTGATATTCTCATGGAGTATCCTACTAGGGTTCTCTGGATTTCCTGAATTTGAGTGTTGGCCTGTCTTGCTAGGTGGGGAAGTTCTCCTGGATGATATCATGAAGTATGTTTTCCAACTTGATTCCATTGTCTCTTTCAGGTACTCCAATCAGTCTTAGGTTTGGTCTCTTTATATAATACCATAGTTCTCAGAGGTTTTGGTCATTCCTTTTTATTCTTTTTTCTCTATTCTTGTCTGCTTGTCTTATTTTAGAAAGACAGTCTTCAAGCTTTGGGATTCTTTCCTCTGCTTGGTCTTATTCTGCTATTGATACTTGTAATTGCATTGTGAAGTTCTTGTATTATGTTTTTTATCTCCATCAGGTTGGTTATGTTCCTTTTTAAACTGGCTATTCTGACTATCAGCTCCTGCATTGTTTTATCATGATTCTTAGCTTCTTTGCATTGGGTTACAACATGTTCCTTTAGCTCAGTGAAGTTCGTTATTACCCACCTTCTGAAACCTATTTCCATCAATTCAGCCATCTCAGCCTCAACCCAGTTCTGTGCTTTTTCTGGAGAGGTGTTGCAGTCATTTAGAAGAGAAGAGGGACTCTGGCTTTTTGAGTTTTCAGCATTTTTGAATTAATTCTTTCTCGTGTTTGTGGGTTTATCTACATTTAATCTTTGAGGTTGCTTCCCTTTGAATGGTGTTTTTATGGGGTCTTTTTGTTGTTGCTGTTGTTTTCTCTTTGTTTGTTTTTCTTTTAACCTTCGGGCTACTCTTTGTAGGGCTGCTGCAGTTTGCTGGGGTCTCTTTCAGACCCTAGTTGCCTCAGTTTTTCCCTTACCTGAAGGTATCACCAGTGAAGGCTGCAAAATAGCAAAGATGGCAGTCTGCTCCATCCTTTGGAAGCTCCATTCCAGTGAGGGACTGACTTGTTGCTGGCCCAAATGTGCCTGTAGGAGGTGGCTGGAGATCCCTGTTGGGAGGTCTCACCCAGGCAGGAGGAACAGGATTGGGGACTTGCTTAAAAAAGCAATCTGGCTCCTTTTTGATAGAGCAGGTGTGCTGCATTAGGGGGGACCCTTCCTTGTCCAGACCATTTGTATTCTTCAAAGCTGGCAAGCTGGAATAGTTGAGTCTACCAAACCGCAGAGATAGTGGCCACCCCTCTCCTTGGGAGATCTGTCCAGAGAGATCAGCACTCTGTCCACAGAACCCTGACTGGAGTGGCTGAAGGTCCTGAGGGGAGGTCCCACCCAGAGCCTCACTTGCTGAGGCTCCACACAGATCTATGTATTGGACCCAAGGCCCTGGTGGCATGGGCTCCCAAGGGGATCTCTTGATTCACAGGCTGCAAAGATCTATGGGAATGGATCAGGGTCCAGCTTAAAGAAGCAGTCTGGCCACAATCTGGCAAAGCAGCTGCACTGTGTTGTGGGTACTCTTCCTCATCCAAACAATTTTTATTCTTCAAAGCTGGCAGGCTGCAATGGCTGAGTCTACCAAACTGCAGACATGGTGACTGCCCCTCCCCCAAAGAACTTGGTCCTGTCTCAGGCAGACTCCATCCTGTTGCCATTGGCTGGCTAAAATTCCAAGCCAGTGAGTCTTAACTTGTGAGGTGCCGTAGAAGTGGGGCCCACAGAATGACAGTGCTTGGCTCCCTTGATTCAGCCCGCTTCCCAGGGGTATGTACACATGGATCTCCCACCTTGCAAGGGATCCTGGGGCCAGAATATGTAAAACTCCCAGGTCTCTGTGTGTGCCTAGGTGGCTGCTCTGCTGAGCCTCCACACAGCTCTGTGTATTGGACCCAAAGCCCTGGTGGCATGGGCTCCCAGTGGGATCTCCTGATTCACAGGTTGTAAAGATCTGTGGGAGAAGCATAGTTTCTGGGGTGCAGTGGCATAATCACTCACCACTTCCCTTGGCTGGGGGTGGGGGTTCCTTTGGCTCAGTGCTGCTCCTGGGTGTACGCCACCTCCACCCCACTTTTCTTTGTTTTCCATGGATTGAGTTATTTGCCTAGTCAGTCCCAATGTGAGAACATGTATATTTCAGCTGAGGGTGCTGAATTCACTCACCACTTTCGTTCACTCTCTGTGATTGCTGTGGACTTCAGCTGCTTCTAATTGGCCATCTTACACTTATTTTTTTATTTTTTATTGTTCCTAAATTGAGCTCTTTATTTTTTTACACTTCAGGCGCTGTATGTATACTATCACATATAACCAATACAACAATTTTATAAGGTAGGTATTAGCTGAAATTTACAATGACAAAGCTAAAGAATAGAGAAATGGAGGTAAGGGCAAGATGGCCAAATAGGAACAGCTCCTGTCTGCAGCTCCAGGCGAGATCAACACAGAAAGCGGGCAGTTTCTGTATTTCCAACTGAGGTACCTGGTTCATCTCACTGGGACTGGTTAGACAGTAGGTGCAGCCCACGGAGGGTGAGCAGAAGCAGGGTGGGGTGTTTCCTCACCCAGTAAGTGCAAGGGGTTGGGGAACTCCCTCCCCTAGCCAAGGGAAGCCATGAGGGACTGTGCCCTAAGGAACAGTGCTGTCTAGCCCAGATACTACACTTTTCCCACTGTCTTCACATCCCGCAGAACAGAAGATTTCCTCGGGTGCCTATACCACACGGGCCCTGGGTTTCAAGCACAAAACTGGGTGGCCACTTAGGCAGACACTGAGCTAGCTGCAGGAGTTTTTTTTCATACCCCAGTGGTGCCAGCAAGACAGAACCATTCAGTCCCTGGAAAGGGGCTGAAGCCAGGGAGCCAAGTTGTCTTGCTCAGTGGATCCCAATCCCAGATAACCCAGCAAGCTAAGATCCACTGGCTTGAAATTCTCGCTGCCAGCACAGCAGTCTGAAGTCTACCTGGGATGCTTGGGCTTGGTAGGAGGAAGGGAACCTGCCATTATTGAGGCTTGAGTAGGTGGTTTGCCCCTCATAGTGTAAACAAAGTGGCAAGAAAGTTGGAACTGGGTGAAGCCCACCGCAGCTCAGCAAAGCGGCTGTAGCCAGACTGCCTCTCTAGATTCCTTCTCTCTGGGCAGGACATCTCTGAAAGAAAGGCAGCAACCCCAGTCAGGAGCTTATAGCTAAAATTTCCATCTCCCTGGGACAGAGCACATGGGGGAAGTGGTGACTGTAGGCATACCTTTAGCAGACTTAAACATTCCTGCCTGCTGGCTCTGAAGAGAGCAGCAGATTTCCCAAAACAGAGCTCAAGCTCTGCTAAGGGACAGACTGCCTCCTTAAGTGGGTCCTTGACCCCTGTGCCTCCTGACAGGGAGACACCTCCCAGCAGGGGTCTACAGACACCTCACACAGGAGAGCTCTGGCTGGCATTTGGTGGGTGACCCTCTGGGATGAAGCTTCCAGAGGAAGGAGCAGGCAGCAATCTTTGCTGTTTTGCAGCCTTTATGGGTGATATCCAGGCAAACAGGGTCTGGAGTGGACCTCCAGAACTCCAACAGACCTGCAGAAGAGGGGCCTGACTGTTAGAAGGAAAACTAACAAATGGAAAGCAATAGCATCAATGTCAACAAAAAGGACAACCATGCAAAAACCCCATCCAAAAGTCACCAACATCAAAGACCAAAGTTATATAAATCCATGAAGAGGAGGAAAAACCAGCGCAAAAAGGCTGAAAATTCCAAAAACCAGAATGCCTCTTCTCCTCCAAAGGATCATAACTCCTCGCCACCACAGGAACAAAACTGGATGGAGAATGAGTGTGACGAATTGACAGAAGTGGGCTTCAGAAGGTGGGTAATAACAAGCTCCTTCAACCTAAAGGAGCATGTTCTAACCCAATCCAAGGAAGCCACGAACCTTGATAAAAGATTACAGGAAATACTAACTAGAATAACCAGTTTAGGGAAGAACATAAATTACCTGATGGAGCTGAAAAACACAGCATGAGAACTTCATGAAGCATACACAAGTATCAATAGCCAAATCAATCAAGTGGGAGAAAGGATATCAGAGATTGAAGACCAACTTAATAAAATAAAATGTGAAGACAAGATTAGAGAAAAAAAGAATGAAAAGGAATGAACAAAGCCTCCAAGAAATATCAACTGTGTGAAAAGACGAAACCTACGTTTGATTAATGTACCTGAAAGTGACAGGGAGAATGGAAACAAGTTGGAAAACACTCTTCAGGATATTATCCAGGAGAACTTTCCCAACCTAGCAAGACAGACCAATATTAAATTCAGGAAATACAGAGAAAACCACAAAGATATGCCTTGAGAAGAGTAATCCCAAGACACATAATCGTCAGATTCACCAAGGTTGAAATGAAGGAAAAAATGTTAAGGGCAGCCAGAAAGAAAGGTCAGGTTTCCCACAAAGGGAAGCCCATCAGACTAACAGTAGATCTCTCTGCAGAAACCCTGTAAGTCAGAAGAGAGTGGGGGCAAATATTCAACATTCTTAAAGAAAATAGTTTTCAACCCAGAATTTCATATCCAGCCAAACTAAGCTTCATAAGAGGAGAAATAAAATGCTTTATAGAAAAGCAAATGCTGAGGGATTTCGTCACCCCAGGTCTGCCTTACAAGAGCTCCTGAAGGAAGCACTAAACATGGAAAGGAACAACCAGTACCAGCCACTGGAAAAACATACCAAATTGTAAAGACCCTCAATGCTATGAAGAAACTGCATCAACTAATGGGCAAAATAACTGGCATCATAATGACAGGATCAAATTCACACATAACAATATTAACCTTAAATGTAAATGGGCTAAATGCCCCAATTAATAGACACAGACTGGCAAATTGGGTAAAGAGTCAAGACCCATTGTTGTGCTGTATTCAGGAGACCCATCTCACATGCAAAGACACACTGAGGCTCAAAATAAAGGGGTGGAGGAAGATTTACCAAGCAAATGGAAAGCAAAAAAAAAGCAGGGGTTGCAATTCTAGTCTCTGATAAAACAAAATTTAAATGAACAACGATCAAAAAAGACAAGTGTATTACATAATGGTATAGGGATCAATGCAACAAGAAGAGCTAACTATCCTAAATATTTAGGCACCCAATGCAGGAGCACCAAGATTCATAAAGCAAGTTCTTAGAGACCCACAAGGAGACTTAGACTTCCACATAATAATAGTGGGAGACTTTAATACCCCACTGTCAATATTGGACAGATCAATGAGACAGAAAATTAACAAGGATATTCAGGACTTGAATTAAGCTCTGGACCAAGTGGACCTAATAGACATCTACAGAACTCTCCACCCCAAATCAACAGAATATATATTCTTCTCATCACTACATAGCACTTATTCTAAAATCAGCCACATACTTGGAAGTAAAACACTCCTCTGCAAATGCAAAAGAATGGAAATCATAACAGTCTCTCAGACCACAGTGCAATCAAATTAGGACTCAGGATTAACAAATTCACTCAAAACTGCACAACTGCATAGAAAATGAACAACCTGCTTCTGAATGACTACTGAGTAAATAGCAAAATTAAGGCAGAAATAAATAAGCTCTTTGAAAGCAAAGAGAACAAAGACACAATGTACCAGAATCTCTGGAACACAGCCAAAGCAGTGTTTAGAGGAAAATTTATAGCACTAAATGCCCACATGAGAAAGTGGGAAAGATAAAAATCGATATCTTAACATCACAATTAAAAGAATTAGAGAAGCAAGAGCAAACAAATTCAAAAGATAGCAGAAGACAAGAAATTACTAAGATCAGAGCAGAACTGAAGAAGATAGAGACACAAAAAAAACCCTTCAAAAAATCAATGAATCTCAGAGCTGGTTTTTTGAAAAGATTAACAAAATAGATAGACTGCTAGCCAGACTAATAAAAAGAAAGAAGAGCAGAATCAAATAGACACAATAAAAAATGATAAAGGGGATATCACCACTGATCCCACAGAAATACAAACTACCATCAGAGAATACTAAAAATACCTCTGTGCAAATAAACTAGAAAATCGAGACGAAATGGATAAGTTTCTGGACACATGCACCCCCCAAGACTAAACCAGGAAGAAGTCGAATCACTGAATAGACCAATAGCAAGTTCTAAAATTGAGGCAGTAATTAACAGCCTACCAACCAAAAAAAAAGCCCAGGACCAGACAGAGTCACAGCCAAATTCTACCAGAGGTATAAAGAGGAGCTGGTAGCATTCCTTCTGAAACTATTCCAAACAATAGAAACAAAGGGGCTTCTCCCTAACTCATTTTATGAGGCCAGCCTCATCCTGATACCAAAACCTGGCAGAGATACAACAAAAAAAGAATATTTCAGGACAATATCCCTGACGAACATCAATGTGAAAATCCTAAATAAAATACTGGCAAACCAAATCCAGCAGCACATTATAAAGCTTATCCACCACAATCAGGTTGCCTTCATCCCTGAGATGCAAAGGTGGTTCAACATATGCAAATCAATAAATGTAATCCATCACATAAACAGAACCAATGACAAAAACCACATGATTATCTCAATAGATGCAGAAAAGGCCTTTGATAAAATTCAACACCCCTTCATGCTAAAAACACTCAATAAACTAGGTATTGATGGAACATATCTCAAAATAATAAGAGCTATTTATAACAAACCCACAGCCAACATCATACTGAATGAGCAAAAGCTGGAAGCATTCCCTTTGAAAACTGGCACAAGACAAGGATGTCCTCTCTACCACTTCTATTCAACATAGTATTGAAAGTTCTGGCCAGGGCAATCAGAGAAGAGAAAGAAATAAAGGGTATTCAAACAGGAAGAGAGGAAGTCAAATCGTATCTTTTTGCAGATGACATGATTGTATATTTAGAAAACCCCATCGTCTCAGCCCCAAAACTCCTTAAGCTGATAAGCAACTTCAGCAAAGTCTCAGGATAAAAAATCAGTGTGCAAAAATCACAAGTGTTCCTATACACCAATAATAGAAAGCCAAATCCTAAGTGAACTCCCATTCACAATTGTTACAAAGAGAATGAAATACCTAGGAATACAACTTATAAAAGATGTGAAGGACCTCTTCAAGGAGAACTACAAACCACTGCTCAAGGAAATAAAAGAGGACACAAACAAATGGAAAAACTTTCCATACTTATGGATAGGTAGAATCACTATCATGAAAATGGCAATACTGCCCAAAGTAATTTATAGATTCAATGCTATTCCTATCAAGATACCAGTGACTTTCTTCACAGAATTAGAAAAAACTACTTTAAATTTCATATGGAACCAAAAAAGAGCCTGTATAGCCAAGACAATCCTAAGCAAAAAGAACAAAGCTGGAGGCATCACACTACCTGACTTCAAACTATACTACAAGACTACAGTAACCAAAACAGCATGATACTGGTATCAAAACAGTTAATATAGATCAATGGAACAGAACAGAGATATCAGAAATAACACCACACATCAACAACCATCTGATCTTTGACAAACCTGACAAAAACAAGCAATGGGGAAAGGATTCCCTATTTAATGAATGGTGTTGGGAAAACTGGCTTTCCATATGCAGAAAACTGAAACTGGACCACTTCCTTACACCTTTTACAAAAATTAGCTCATTGTATTAAAGATTTAAACATAACACCGAAAACCATAAAAACCCTGGAAGAAAACCTAGGCAACACCATTCAGGACATAGGCATGGGCAAAGACTTTATGACTAAAACACCAAAAGCAATTGCAATGAAAGCCAAAATTGACAAATGGGATCTAATTACACTAAAAAGCTTCTGCACAGAAAAAAGAAAAATAAAAAACTATCATCAGAGTGAATAGGCAACCTACAGAATGGGAGAAAATTTTTGCAATCTATCCATCTGACAAAGGGCTAATATCCAGAATATACAAGGAACTTAAACAAATTTACAAGAAAAAAACAAACAATCCCATCAAAAAGTGGGCAAAGGATATGAACAGACATTTCTCAAAAGAAGACATTTATGTGGCCAACAAACATATGAAAAAAAGCTCATCATCACTGGTCGTAAGAGAAATGCAAATCAAAACCACAATGAGATACCATCTCATGCCAGTTAGAATGGCAATCATTAAAAAGTCAGGAAACAACAGATGCTGGAGAGGATGTGGAGAAATAGGAATGCTTTTACACTGTTGGTAGGAGTGTAAAATAGTTCAACCATTGTGGAAGACAGTGTGGTGATTCCTCAAGGATCTAGAACTAGAAATACGATTTGACCGAGCAATCACATTACTGGATATATACCCAAAGGATTATAAATCATTCTACTATAATGACACGTGCACATATATGTTTATTGCAGCACTATTCACAATAGCAAAGACCTGGAACCAACCCAAATGTCCATCAATGATAGACTGGATAAAGAAAATGTGGCACATATACACCATAGAATACTATGCAGCCATAAAAAAGAATGAGTTCCTGTCCTTTACAGGGACATGGATGAAGCTGGAAACCATCATTCTCAGCAAACTAGCATAGGAACAGAAAACCTAACACCACATGTTCTCTCTCATAAGTGGGAGGTGAACAGTGAGAACATATGGGCACAGGGAGGGAAACATCACACACCGGGGCCTGTTGGGGTGTCGGGTGCAAGGGGAGGGATAGCATTAGGAGAAATACCTAATGTAGATGATGGGTTGATGGGCGCAGCATACCACCATGGCACATGTATACCAATGTAACAAACCTGCATGTTCTGCACATGTATCCCAGAACTTAAAGTACGATAATAATAATAATAATGAAAGAATAGAGAAATGAAGCATTTTCCCCAAGATCACTTAGCTATCGTATGATAGGACCAGGATTTGGACTCAAACTCTAGAACTTTCTCTCCTAAGCATTGCACAGCATTGTCTCAGACTCTACCGCTGTTTGCATCTTATGAATAACACTCCAGATCTTTCCAAACATCTCTTCATATTTCTTTTACTGGGACTGCAGAAATGGGGTGGGGAAAGTAGCATGTAAGGTGATGCTTCTAAAGAAGGGGAGTGTGTGTGTGTGTGTGTGTGTGTGTGTGTGTGAGAGAGAGAGAGAGAGAGGAGAGAGAGATTGAGAGAAAGCTAGAGGGAAAGCGAGAGAAAGAGAGAGAGAGAGAAATCTGGCACAATGTTTTACACTGAGTGGGAATCCTCCCAATGCTTGTTAAGTCTTAATATAAGATATGTTGTATTTCTTTATTTCACTCATGACTCCAGTGATGGGTTTCTCTGTGTAACCTCATCAAACTGGGACCCACATTTCCCAGTATATTTTTCCATGTATAGCTGGGTTAGAATTGACCAATGTGGAACTCACATGAGATCTGATCTAGAAGGCAGAAGCTCTATGGCAGCCATTCCACTTTAAAAAGTCTTCTCAATCTGTGGTAATAGATGGCCCCAGAGTGAACCTAGCAACTCCACCCTGTCCTCCCTCTCTGTCCTATCTGTTTATTTTCCCTACTGCTGTCCCTGCTGGCCAAGGCTACCCTAGGCCCACCTCTAGATGCTGGGTGGTGGATCCACAAGGGTAGTAAACACACAGATGCAACACCCACCCATGGATTGCTCCTTCATGACCCTGCTGGGCCTTTCAGAACATCCTGAGAGCTCCAGTTTTTCACCTGTACCAGTACTGCACCAAGAACAATTGGTGACCCCTCACAGATGCTTCAACTCCCCCTTCTGAATTTTCACTTCCTCAGCCACTGCCATAATTGCATAAAGTCTAATTTCTAACAGAAAAATCCCCAGTCACTCATAGTAGCCCTGCTTCCCTAACTGAACCTTGACTGGCATAATCTCCAAATTTTATCCTCTCTCTTTTAAATTAAGTTACAGATGAGGTCTCACTATGTTGCCCAGGGTAAAATCCAGTGGCTATTCACAAGTGCATGACAGCCTGAAACTCCTGGGCTGAGCTCAAGCAATCCTCTTGCTCAAGCCTCCTGAGTAGCTGAGACTACAGGCTCATGCCATCCTGCCAGGTTATACTCTTTCATTTACAACTTAAAATTGGTCATACTGATCATAATTGGTCAGTAAGCACTGAGTCCCTCAGTCCCCTTCATGTCAATTGCCCGATCTTTTGGGCTTAAATGCCTTCCTCTAGGATGACTATGCCTCTTTCTGGTATGTAATGGAATAAATATTACCACAGGAGCATTTCTTGACTTTCCCTTTATTTGCCTGCAAAAGAGGATTCTGCCGGGATGTACTAATTGTTTCCCCCTCTTTTCCTCCTTAAGACAAGTCCTACCTTATCAGATTTCTTGGTGGGCTTTAATGGTGGTAATTCAAGTGTAAATGGAGAGTGAAATGAAACAAAAAGAAAGGAGGTAGTGAGGGTTCCAGAAGATGTAAAGGAGAGAGGCTGGACGTGGTGGTGATGGCTCGCTCCTGTAATCACAGCACTTTGAGAGGTTGAGGCTTGTATTAGTCAGTTTCTCTAAAGGGATGAAACTAATAGGATAGATGAATATATGAAGGTGAGTTTATTAGGAGAATTGACTTACACAATCACAAGGTGAAGCCCCCCAACAGGCAGTCTGTAAGCTGAGGAGGCAGCCAGACCAATTCCCAAAACCTCAAAAGTAGGGAAGCCGATAATGCAGCCTTCAGTCTGTGGCCAAACGCCCAAGAGTCCCTGGAAAATCACTGGTGTAAGTTCATGAGTACAAAAGCTGAAGAACTTGGAGTCTGATGTTTGAGGGCAGGAAGCATCTGGTAGGGAGAAAGATGGAGACCAGAAGACTCAGCCAGTCTACTGTTTCCATGCCTGCTTTTAGGCTAGTAGCTGATTAGATGGTGCCCACCCAGATTGAGGGTGAGTCTGTCTCTCCTAGTCCACTGACTCAAATGTTAATCTCCTTTGGCAACACCCTCATAGACACACCCAGGAACAATACTTTGCATCATTCAACCCAATTTAGTTGACACTAGTATTAACCATTGCAAGGCAGAAGGAGTTTGGAACCAGCCTGGGAAACAAGCAGGCCCCCATTTCTACGAAAAAATTATTATAATAAATTTAAATTTAAAAATATATCAAAAAACAAAAAAAGAAGAGAGAGGTGGAAGAAGTTTTAGTATAAATGCAGTGGAAAGGAAAAAGAAGATTCTAAAAAATATTGTACGATCTATACATGCTTTTCATGGTATTCAAAAAATTAGAAATCTAAGTCATTTTGAAATTAGTTTTAGTTGCATGGATTGGGTTCTTCAAATTGTGGCCCCTCTCTGGGACTGATCCACGTAGACTGTGGTTTTGAAAAGGTTATAGGCCAGGCGTGGTGGCTCATGCCTGTAATCCCAGCAGTTTGGGAGGCCAAGGCTGGAGGATCACTTGAGGTTGGGAATTCAAGACTAGCCTGATCAACATGGAGAAACCCCGTCCCTACTAAAAATCCAAAATTAGCCAGGCATGGTGGCGCATGCCTGTAATCCCAGCTACTCAGGAGGCTGAGGCAGGAGGATCACTTGAAGGCAGTTGCTGGGAGGCAGAGGTTGCAGTGAGCTGAGATCATGCCATTGCACTCCAGCCTGGGCAACAAGAGTGAAATACCGTCTCAAAAAAAAAAAAAAAAAAAAAAAAAAAGAAAAAGAAAAAAGAAAGAAAAGAAAAGGTTACATATATATACATATATATATATAGGAGTCATGCCTATAAGACAGTCTCTGAATAGACAGTAAAAACAATTCATCTAAACCTCTCAAATTCCTCATGATTTCAACACTTTTTATGATTCCAAATTAATCTTTTAAGTATTATACAAAGTGCAAATGCTGATATCCAACATGAATAAGTTTTTCTCAAAGTATATTATTTTATGAAACAAGCTCCAAGGAAAGTTATATTATTTACATTAAGGAAAAATTGAGTTCAATTAGGTTTGGAAAACATAAGACAAAAGAAAGTTAAACATATTGGTTTATTCAAGAACTATTTAAATTTCTTAATTTTTTTTTTTTCTGGGAACTTTTGAGAGCCTCTTTTGGGAGTAGCATGATCCAAAATATATTCATAGGATCACAAAAGAGAAACACAAAGTAGCCACGTCTTCCTGCACAGAGAAGAAATTGAGTGGGGTCATAGGTAAAGTCAAATGTATCTGGATTTTTGTCTCTTCATTGATCATCCAGAAGAAATAATGGGGAGCAAATCATGACATATGCAACAAATATATACAATTTTTGTTTGTCAGTGTTGTGAACTGAGTCAGACTTATGCATTTGACCTGGTAAGAGACAGATCAGCTTTTACCCCTTAATTCTGGTTAGCATATTTCTGATTAAAGAAAATTAAAATCAGCATGAAATAGAAGTGGTCTTCTTTTAGCTTTTTGAAATAAATATTTTGCATACAGTAAAATTCTCTCTTTGCTATGTACAGTGTCATGGTTTCATGCAAATGCATAGTTATGTATCACATAGAGCAGTTCTAATTCCCTCACAGTTTTCTTATGCTGTCCCTTTGTAAGCCCATCCCCACAACCCCAAACCCTGATAACCACTGATTTATTTTCCATCCTAATAGTTTTTCCTTTTCATGAATATCAAAAATCATGTAGCCTTTGGAATCTGATTTCTTTCACTTAGCAAAATGCCTTTAAGCTTCATCCGTGTATTAAATAGTTGCATGAATCAATAGGTACTTCCTATATTGTATTTTATAGAAGTTTTAGAGTTTGTTTATCCCTTTTCCTGTTGAAGAACATGTAGGTTCTTTCCAGTTTTTGGTAATTACAAATAAAGTAGTGTGAACCTAGATTTTCCAACTCACTTGAATAAATAGCTATTAGTGGGACCGCTGGGTTATGTGATAAGTGTATGTTTAACTGTTTTCCAAAGTGTCTGTACTATTGTGAATTCCTACCAGAAGTGTTTGAGAGTTGCAGTTGCTCCGTGTCCTCACTCATATTTGATATTGTCAGATTTTTAAAATTCTAAACCACTTATTTCTCAGAGAGTAGATGTTAAGCCTTCTCATCACAAAAATGATAAATATGTTCTCATACTTATCATACACATATGTGAATTAGCTTGTTTGAGCCATTCCACAACATATACATGTTTCAAAACATCACTTTGTACACAATAAATGTATACAATTTTTATTTGTCAATTAAAGAATAAAACACAGATTTAAACTATTTTAATACATGTATACATGGCATGTCATTGTGTATTTAATTTGCATTTCCCTAGAGACTAATGATGCTGAGCATATATGTGTGCACAAATTTGCCATATATATATATATATATATATATATATATATAGAGAGAGAGAGAGAGAGAGAGAGAGAGAGAGAGAGAGACAAGGCCTTGCTCTGCTGCCCAGGATGAAGTGTAGTGTTTTGATCACGGCTCACTGCAGATCCAACCTCCTAGGCTAAATCAATCCTCCACTTCTGCTTCCTGAGTAGCTGGGACCACAGGTGCATGCCACCATACCTGGCTACGTTTCATATTTCTTGTGGAGATGGTGTCTTATTATGTTGTTCAGGCTGGTCTGGAGCTCCTGGGCTCAAGCAACTGAGACCACCCATTTTGGTCTCTCAAAGTGTTGGGATTACAGGTGTGAGTCACCACACCCACCTGCCATCCATATATCTTCTTTCCTAAAGTGTCTGTTCAAATGTTTCACCTATTTTTTAATTGTGGTGCTTGGTTTTTTTATTATTGAATTTGGGAGTATTTATATACTCTTGGTACATGTCTTTTATCAGATATGTGATTTGCATATTTTCTCCTATTCTATGGGTTGTCTGTTAATTCTCTCAACAGTGTCTTTTGTGGAGCTACAGCTTAAAACTTTGATAGAGTCCAGTTAATCAATATTTTCTTTAATGGTGTATGCTTTTGGTATTGTATCTAAAAACACATTGACAAAACCAGTGCAACACAGGTATCGCCTAGAAGATACTGTCTTTACTTTTACATGATACCTTTAGGTCTGTAGCCATTTGGAGGTTTTTTGTTTTTTCTTCTTCTTTTTCCCATATGGATGTCCAAATTATTCAAGCATCATTTGTTGAGAAGCTTTTCTCCATTGAATTGCCTTTGAATCTTTATCAAAAATCAGTTAACTATTTGTGTAGATCTATTTCTGGGCTTTCTATTCTGTTTAATTGATCTGTGTGTCTATCCTTTTGACAATACAGGATCGACTTGATTACTGTAGCTTTATAAGAATAAGACTTACAACTGGGTAATGTGAGGATTCTGACTTTGTTCTTTTCTTTTTCAGAATTTTGGAATTACCTATTTTAGTTCCTTTGCCTTTCCATGTAAAGTTTGGAATAAGCATATCAATATGTACAAACAAAATCTTTCTGTTATTTATATTTGGATTTCATTTTGAATCTATAGATCAAACTATGTAGAAATGATGGAGGATGGAATTTTAAGGAGTGTTGATAATAATTCTTAGACTACAACAACAAAGAAACAAACAAAAACCCAAACCTTAATGGCTCCTTCCTATTAGAAGATAAAGTTTAAACTCTCCAGCCTGATATTCAAATTTCTTTGTTATTTAGCAACATCCTGTTTTTTTCCAGCCTTATCTTTTATAATTTCTAAACCTAGATTGGCACCTCCAGTGAAAGCAAATCACTGTTCCTCCAACATACCGTGGCCTTCTCATGCCCATGAATTCACTCCATTGCCTCCTCCACAATCCTGTTTCTCCCTTTATTTCTAGTCAAATTCATTTTCTTTTTTAATTTTAAAATAGTAATTGGCAAATATTGTATATATTCAACATGTGCAATGTGATAATGTGATATATATGTGTATATATGTATATATTTATACATTGTGTAATGATTACCACAATAAAATTAATTAATGCATTCATAACCATCCATACTGTACAGTAGATCCCTGGAACTAGTTTATATTATAATTGAAAGTTTGTACCCTTTGACAAACATCTTCCCATTTTCCTCACCCTCCAGCCACTAGCACCCATTATTTTCCTTTCTGCTTCTGTGAGTTCAAATTAAATCCATTTTCAAGGCTTACCTCAACTGAAACTTTCCCTGGTTTATCCAACCGCCAGTTGTCTCCTGCTTTCTGAATTCCTTCCATAGATATTGTGAGGACCACTCATTAGATTCTTCTCAAACATTTGGGTGTATTTTTAGTATCATCTTTATCTGAAAAATGTCTTAACAGAAGTATCACCTGATAAATTCCTTCAAGATAGAGGCTGTATTTATGTTCTTTTTCATCTGTATAGGATATAGAGTATGCAATACACATAACTGACATTCCTAAGAATTAATCAATTAGAATGAATTAACTTTCAATGTTTGAAAGATTAATAATAAAATATTAAGATTTCTAATACAATTACAAATTTAAATATTTAACCTGGGAAGTATTTCGATGTGGATAAGGCCCTTTATGTAGTTGATCTCTATAGTTCTAAATTCTCTTTCATTTTTCCCTCACTCCTCTTCATTGTCCCCACTCCTGGCATCTGGGTGGGCTCACATGTAGTCATCTGGTATTTGGGGGTCCCCTGTGTGAGATCCTCTATGTAGTGCCAAATTTATTGGGGCTTTGCTTACTTCATTCCTCTGATCAAACATTTTCTCTCAGCTGTACCATGTCCTCAAAGGACTCTTTCTTTCTAAATGATGTGTGGAGATCAGAAAGAGAAAAGGGATTTTGATCTGATGGATTCATCTTCGATGATACACTAACAGAATTCAGGTTAGGAATTTTTAGTGAAAAGTGCATGGTCTTTGAAGTCAGATAGGTCTATATTCAAATCGTCTACCAGATACCATCTTTGTGACCTTGGATGAATTGCAAAGTTTAAATAAGAGCACATATAGCATTTTTAGAATGTGGAGGGAAGCAGCGGGTAGCACAACACACTTTAGTTCCTTTGCCCCGATCTTCCTATGATCTTTCCCTAAAAATACAGTAAGTGCTATCATTTATTTAACATTTTCTGTATGCCAGACACAGTACTAAGTGATTTACACACATTTCCTCATAATCCTTACAACAATCTAACTTTTTAGTATTACTGTGCCATTTTTCACAAGAACAAGCAAGGACTTAAAGAGCTCTTTGTAAGGTCATAAAATGAGAAAGCAGTGAAGCTGATATTTGACCTGCAGTCTGATTACTTCTAAAACCTAGGCTCTTAGTAACTATACCATGCCTTGCTAATTATATGCACTGTGTCTTCTTAGAAATTTCATGGTGTGAGGTCAGAAATGAGGGACAGTCAACATCTAGAAAACTTGGGGAGATATACTTTAAGTTGCAAGGATTTTTCATATGGTCCTTCAGACCCTGCTGCAAGAGACAGTTGCTTATAACCCCATTTGTAATTTATTAAATATATCTTATTTGGGCAAAATATATTCATGTATTCTCAGCACTCTGTGGGACTTCTTCCACTGGGCTCCATGTAGCCAATTAACCAAGAAGCACTGTGAAGTCGTTCATAACACTGTCGATGGTGTTAATTCCATTGACTCTTTAAATATGACCAACTTGGTTAGCAAGAAGTCCATCCTTCTTCCGAGGTCCTGAGTCATTCTCTGTGGGGTTCTCTAGTTGTGATGGAGTTGGAAATGGTGGAAAGGACTTGGCTATTGACAGTCAGAGCTGCTGTGTGCACATCTGGGTTCTGTTGCCTTCAGTGATGATTGCTGCTGTACTTTCCAGGGGATGCTTTCCTTGAAGCACCTGAGTGATCAGTCTTCTCTGAAGGGTCAGCCTCTAGGGCCTGGCTCCTTCTGTGGCCAGGAGGGAAATGAAGTTTGCTTCTTGTGACCAACTTTCACTGGAGATTTTTAGAGAAACCCAGTGTGAGCTCTAATGACATGGCTTTGTCCTTCTTCTCCTCCTTCTTGTTTTTCTCCTCATACATCTTTTTAAATTCAACTTTGTTTTCCTCAAAGTTATACATGGTTTAAAAAACTTAATTGTTATGTAAGATTTATTATGAAAAGCAGTAGTCCTCTGCTTACCTCCTACCCAGTTAGAGACTAGGACCTCATAATCAAGCACTTCAATCTACTTCATCTGATTCCTTTGGTATTTATTCTTATTTTTAAATCTTCTGTTTCTACTTTCAATATTTTTCTCTATTTCTGCTTTCTTTTTTTCTTTTTCTTTTTTTGAAACAGAGTCTCTCTCTGTTACCCAGGCTGAGTGGCGTGATCTCAGCTCATTGCAACCTTTGCCTCCTGTGTTCAAGTGATTCTCCTGCCTTAGCCTCCTGAATAGCTGGAATTACAGATGTACACCACCATTCCCTGCTAATTTTTTTATTTTTATGTAGACCAGGTTTCACTATGTTGTCCAGGCTGGTCTCAAACTCCTGACCTCAAGTGATCTGCCTACCTCAGCCTTCCAAAGTGTTGGGATTACAGGTGTAAGCCACCATGCCCAGCCCTATTTCTGTTTTCTATTTCTAATTTTTCCCATTCCCATTTTTCTAAATATAACGATCTTGCCATCGTTCAATTTTTCTGCAGCAGCCATTTTCTGTTGGCTTTCTAATATGGAAAAGGAGGATAATTTTCTTTCATTATTTCTCATCCTCCTACCCTGTTAATATAGTTGCATGAAAGCCTTGGCTAAACATTTAATTTTTACAATATTATGACAACTACAAATAATTTTCATGGTTAAGCTATATGAACGACTGTGATTACTTTTCCTTTCCTACACATTTTGTTTTTCCTAGAATTAATAAATGCTTCATAATATACTATGGGTAGTCCAACCACAAACTTTCTCTGAATTATTTAAATCTTCTCTCTGTACAAAGACAATTGGAGCCCTTCATCTTCATCTTCTTGGAGATTTCTCTCCTGAAGGCTTCTGATCTTCTCCAATCTGCTCCAGTTCTGTTACCTTCACCACTGGCAGAGTGTATTCCGGGATCTCTCTTAGCCTCTTTCTTAAATTGGTCTTTCTGTTTCTTGCATGCCATGGATTCTTTTTTCTTGATTTACTCTCCAATGTTAATGAAACTTTTTTCCCTTCAGTAGCTTCTTGAGAAGATGTGCATGTTAGGTAAAATATTGGTGACACTGAATGTCTGAAAGGCTTTTTAAAAAAATTTTTTTAAACCATCACAATGCATTGATAGTTTGAGTGTAGCTGTTTAAGTTGTAAATCATTAATCATTTCCTCTCAACATTTTGAAGGTATTGGTCTATTGACTTTGAGCTATCTGTGTTGTCACTGAAAATTTTTTTAATTCGTGACTTCTTATTTTGGCTTGCATTCCCTGGATCCTTTAAATTGTTCTACTTGTCTCTAGCATTTCATGATGTTATGCCTTTTGTGTGGGTTTATGCTTACCGACTATGCTGAGCACCCAATAGGCTCTTTTACGTGGGAAACACACCATTTAGTGCTGGAAAGTTTTCTTGAGTTACTTATTTTATTATTTTCTTCCTTCTTTTTCTCTTCTTTTTCTCCTTCCTTCCTTCCTTCCTTCCTCCCTCCCTCCCTTCCTTCCTTCCTCTCACTCTCTGAAAGGCTCATTATTCAGATCTTGTTTCTCCTAGACTAATTTTATCTTCTTACCTTTTAGTTCTATATTTTACCTTCCTACATTTTTCCTTCACTCTTTGAAAGATTTTTAAAATTTTGTCTTCCAAACCTTCTATTAAATTTTTGGTCATGTTATGCTGCTACATTGAAAGAGCTATTATCTGTTTCAATTTATTGATGAAATAACCTTTTATCGTTTTTCTGATAATATGATTGCAATTTTTGGAATTATCTTCTTCCTGTGGCATTTTTTTTTTCCAAATTGCTTTGTTTTTGTAACCTTTGGTCTCAGTCTTTCATGTTAAGGGTTATTCCTAATGGTAGAGTGGTCTGTGGCTGTCTGCTTATGTTAAAGAATGGGTCACTGAAAAGTTCATTGTAACCATTGTGTGTGTGGGTGTCAACTCTGAGCTTCACTGAAAGTTGATTTGCCTTCATCATTTTCTTGGAGAACCCAAAGGTCAAAACCTTTAGCACTTTTCTCTTGTTCTGATCAGAATACTCAGAGAAGAATCTTCCAATATCTACCTTGGAATCTACAAGCGTTGCATCCATAGTTTGTACTACAGTTGACTGGAAGGAATGCTGTCAAAATTCAGTATGTGAACTTTCACTTGATCTCTTTGTGTTAATTCTGCATTTCCAGTCTTCTAGGATGTCTAATATTCTCCAGTCCAGAGATTCTGTTTTGTAGTTTCGGGAGTGAGGAAGGGAAATTTGCCCATCTATTTGAAGTTGGGGAGAGGATTTTGGGAACATTTATTTCTTAAGCAGACTTTCAACTGATCTTCCTGTTTCTGATTACAGCTGAAACCATCTTTTCCTGAGCCTTTTCTGGGTCCTACAGATCTAGTTTCCTCTCAGCCATAACACAATTGGCTTAGGATTCAGCTTTCTTAAGTCTGCTAAGGCAGTTATTACAAGTCCTTCTGTTTTTTCCACTTTGTGTTTTTAATCCTCTTCCTTCTCATTATTTTTGACTTTGTGACTTTAATCTTTAAATTAAAAAAATTAAAGATTTCATTTATGGTTGTCTTACTGGGATTTTAGGAAGTAGCAGAATTAAATGTATGTGTTCTGTGTACCATTTAAAACTGGAAATCACTTTTTTTTCCTGCTTCGCACCCACTTCTCAGCTGAACCTGGTCACCCAGCTTCCTTTGAGTCCCAAATCAGCTGCTTTATGTGACCCACGCTGCCAGACACTTTCATTCATCCCACTGTCTTAGGACTCCATTGTTTCTCTCGTTTGTCCACGTCTGAACCCTAATGAAGCACTGGCTTCTTTTCCATTCCTTCAAGGTTCCTGGGTCTATGCACCTCCCAAGAGGTGGCTGGTCTCTGTTTTCAGTTCTCTAAGCATTTTTTGATCTTTAAAATCTCCTTGTAATTCCATCCTTAGAGGTTCCCAGAACAGCAAATAAAGTTTGCTCAGGGTACACAGAAGACAAAGCAGCCCCAAAGAATCTCATCTGCACTGAGCCAAAATACTATTGGATAATTTTCATATGTGATGTCTTTATAATTATTGGGATTATTATTTACAATTTTAGAAATTTATTTCTCACTTAGCCACATTTCCTTCTTTAATTTTTTTCTATAGTTTTTAGAATAAAGAGATTTTCTAATGCTGCCCTTTTATTTCTGGTCAATACCTCGTTTTCTAAATAATTACACTTTTAAAATATAATTTTAGCACCTTATCATATTTATATACTATTTTAGAAATAGGTATCCATCCTTTTACTTTTGGGAGTATGGTTTCCTTACATAACGCATTGGTTTTGCCTTTAAAGTTTATTAATATTATTATAATTATGAAACTGATGTATATTCATTGTGAAACATGAAGTTCAAGGAAGTTAAGTAATTTGCCAGTAGTCATCCATTTAACTAATGTCAAACACGGTATTCTCAACCACATCCTTGCTATTAACTACTCTGCTATACTACATTTTATTAACCCAAACTGTCTTTTGCAATAAAAGAGCCATATAATTGGTAGTTATATATAAATGATGATAAAAATCCATCAAAGTTATTTTCTTTTAGTCTTACTGACATTCAAGTTCCAAGTTTATTATAGTATTAGCCAGCATTTTATCAGAAATAGTTAACTTGTTTATGAATTAATTCAACATTCAACAGATATTCTGCAGGCACCTACAATGTACCAGATTCTGTGCTAAGTGTTGGGCAGTCCTTGGTGGAAAAAACAATTGTAGAGTGAGAATTTTTTTTTCCCATTTTGGGTTTTACATATTGGCTTGTCTTCACCTTCTCTGCTTATGAGAGAGATTCTTAATGCCAAGAGCTTTGATGAGTTCTTACCATGTTATGTCCTATAGCAGTGACATTGGGAGGCAATTAGTTTTCTAGCCTTCCAAGTCTTACAAGCTCACAGTAGGCATCCTACCAGCAGGTGGTGTTATAAATTACCAGCTAGATCTGGCTTAGAAAATCAAACAGATACCTTAAATCAACAAGTTTTTGGCTGATTTCCAGCTGCACAGGATTTGTTCCAAATCATTCTCTGTAGGTACCAGTGAAAAATCAATGGGCAACTCACGGAATATGTGATGAGAGAAAAGGCATAAGTTGAAAATAAACAAAAAACCCAATATTTAGTACAAAAATAAACCAACCATTTGTAATACTATTTATATTTATGAATCAATGCACCATCTCGATTGTCAATGTATTGTGTTTCCTTAAAAAAACTAAAATAACAAGCTGCTTCTGAGTTCAGCGCATGCTGGCCTGAGGACATGAGGAAGCTTAGTTTGTGTTGTGCTGTTATAGTTTGGGCACCAGGGGGCATGGGCTTCTCCAGGGTAAACATGGTCTTTCTTACATTATTTGTGAAGCAATAACAGAAACGGATGTCTGTAATACTTTTTTTCTTATGTGTTACAGTTATATTTCCCTCAGATATCAGCATTTGGGGAAGTTGCCTTGAAGCAGTAATTTGTGACTCTGGCTGGACCTCTGAATCATTTGTGGAGGGTCTGAAAACTTCAGGTGCCAGGGCTCTTGGATACTCTGGAAAGCTCCACACGCAAGTGATTCTGTCAGGCAGTCGGAACTGAGGTAGCATGAGCATGACCACAGGGAGCTACAACAGGGCTTCCAGGGCTCCCTGGGAGTTGGACGAAGGCTGAACTAGGCACAAGGTCCAGGTTAAGAGGACAAAAATAGGGATCCCAGTTTACGATGGGAATGCAGGAAAAGGATACAAATGCCTTTAGCAAATGACTAAAGTGTTGATTTTGAATATCTTTTTAAAAATGTCTAAGCCCATGCTGTCCAATAAACACAGGAGGCATTTATGCAATTCTAAATTTTCCAATAGGTGCATTAAAAAAGAAGACGACACAGGCAGAATTCATGTTAATAATATATTTAAACTCAATATATCATATACGTTATCACTTTAGAACCTAATCAGTATGAAAAATTATTGATGAGAAATTTTACATTCTTCTTTCCTGCTAAGTCTTTGAAATCTGGTGTGCATTTTATGTTGGCAATGCATCTCAGTTTGAACTTCCCTCATTTCAGGTGCTTAGAAGTTGAAAGTCGTGATTGGCTTCCATATTGGACTGTTCAGGTCTAGGTGAACAATTGTTCTAAATCCATTGGGAAGCAAGTGGTAGAGCTCCCAAAGCAAAACAACAACAACAAACAAACAAAAAGCCAAACAACAACAACAAAAAAAGTCAGAGCTAGAGTTAGAGGGTTTTTTATGGGAAGTTTTCAGTGATCTAGGCCTTAGGGAAGATGTTCTGGAGACTTATGACTTTAATAACAAGTGAAATCACCGAGAAAATTGGTGGATGAAAAGGAGTCCAATCACTGTGGAAGTGGGCAGTAGAGAAGAAACAACTGGAGAAGAAAATTAGAAATTTAAGAAAGAGAATAACCAGTGAGAGTTGAGCATTCACTACACACCAGGCACTTTTCAATGTGCTTAATATACTTCCTTGTTGAGTATTTGCAGAACTCTTATAAGTTAGATTGGGGCCACAGTGTATGACTGATTATGATGTGAGTGGTGGGTGTCCTGTGAAATTTTGCAATGTGGTGATCTCGAGGTTAGTACCATTATCAACCCCATTTTACAGATGAAGAAACGAGGCCTTCTTTTCGTTTGCTTCACTTTGGTATACCTTCTCTCCTCATCTTCTGTTATCTGTTCTGCAGTGTTCTGCTTTTGCTGTCATTTCTCTCCATTTAAATTGTTGTTTTCCCATTTAGAGGAAAAGAGAGAAAGTAGAATACTAGATTCCCCATTTTTAATCACTGCTTCCTGGCTTTCAAACTGTTCACACTTTGTACTTTGACTTAAATCCGATGATGCTCCTGATATGGTTTGGCTCTATGTCCCCACCTAAATCTCATCTTGTAGCTCCCATAATTCCCACGTGTTGTGGGAGGGACCCAGTGGGAGGTGATTCAATTATGGGAGGGGGTCTTTCCCATGTTGTACTCGTGATAGTGAATGGGTTTCACAAGATCTGATGGTTTTAAAAACGGGAGTTTCTCTGCTCAAGCTCTCTCTTTGCCTGCTGCCATCCACGTAACATGTGACTTGCTTCTCCTTGTTTTCCACCATGATTGTGAGGCCTCCCCAGCCATGTGAAACTGTAAGTCTGGTAAACCTCTTTCTTGTGTAAATTGCCCAGTCTTGGGTATGTCTTTATCAGCTGCTCAAAAACAGGCTAATACAGCTCCATCTTGCTGTGCTGCCTGAGCACAGGACTTATTACTAAGACCAGTAGTTACCGATAACTTTTTAGACCCCAAAACCCCAACAAGTAAATAACAGCAATAAGAAAAGCCCAAGCAAATAAAACCAAATATCTCTGCTTTATATTGTAAAGACAGTTGACTTTTTTTTTCTTCTGAAGCACAACAGAGTCTTCAGGATTCTCTTTTTAAGCGTTGTAGGTGGTTAATACCAGATCAAACTACAGCATAAAGGCAAAGAGAGATACTTTAAGATAGGATTTGGGAATGCATTAATAGAAAGTTATTTTAGTGCTAGTACACTCTGTTCTGCTAATTCCTAAGTAGTCCCTTAAACTCTAATTTAGAGATAAAAGAATAGGATTCCTTTATACAACCTTGCATTATCAGATGACACGCTGTGTATGTTTTGAAGGGCATGTCACAGCCATCTCCACTAAACACATTCTCCTAGATCAAGGGGCTCTCTCAAAGTATACTATATGTTCCTGAGTTTGCATGTAATCAATGGACTTTGTTGGGTCATTCTGGAGAAGCACACCAAGAAGGAATAAAAGTTTGTATTTGTATGTTAAACAATGGAGAATTTAGAGGCCAGGTGTGATGTCTGTCTCATGCCTGTAATCCCAGTGCTTTGGGAGGCTGAGGTGGGATAATAACTTGAAGCCAGGGGTTTGAGACCAACCTTGGCAATAGCAAGACCAAGACCCTGCTTCTACAAAATAAAAACAAAAATAAAAATATTAGCCTGGTATGATGGCACATACCTGTAGTCCTAGCTGTTTGGAAGGCTGAGGCAAGAGGATTGCTTGAGCCCAGGTGTCCGAGGCTGCAGTAAACTATGATCACACCACTGCCCTCCAGCCTGGGTGACAGAGTGAGACACTTAGCTCTTAAATTTTTTTTAAAAATGTATTTTTAAAAATGGAGAACATAGAGAAATAAAGAGAAACTTAAGCTTCTGAAAATACTGGGGGCTGGGAGGAGGAAACAAGAATTTCTTCTGATTATGCTATAGTTACTTTTAAAGTCTATAAAGCAAATTTAAAATTGCCTTGTATTATCTGTCCATGGTGCAAGCCAATGATTCTTTTAGGACTTGAATCCCTAATGTGCAAAGGATGCCAATAATGCCAGAATTACAGGACGGCAATGAGGATTAGAAACAATGTGTTAGGAACATGTGCTATATATCACATGTGCTGAATGGTACATCACAGTTCCTGGAATGCAGCAGTGGCCAATGGGATTTTGTTTTCTGTTTCTTTTTTTAACAGAAAAGTTTTGAATGTAGTTAGGCAATACTAGGGAAATGTACAAAAAAAAAATTCTATATTAAGTGCAAAATGAGAGGTATGGTTAAGACTTGAGAAGAGAGAGAAAGCTATGATTTGATTTGGTTGATGTGTATCTCCCTCATTAGTCTGTAAGCTGCATGAGGGTGGAGCCCTGTTCTGTTTTTGCTCACCATTGAATCCCCAGCAACTGACACAGGGCCTGGCTCATGGTAGATGTTCAATAATTACATTTGTACAATGATACAAAGTGGTCATTCATAAAGTACCAGTTATGCATTCCCCCTCCTCTCGGTGCTTTAATAATGCAAACTGGGTAGAGTGGCCAAGGAAACCCAGGGAGGCTTCATGGAGGAAACAATCTTTGAAGAATTTATAGAGCCAGAGCTGGTGGCAGAAGGGCATTTCATGCATGAACAAACTTGCAAGGGTTAGAATTGTACTGTGTGTAGAGGTGATACTGAATAAACCAATTTCACCAGAGGTGATTTATTTTAATATTTATGAAGAAATAAGACTGTGGATATTTGGGGTAAATTTCAGAGAGCCTTGAGTGCCAAGCTTGTTTTTCTAGCTAAGTGCAGTGGAAATTTAAAAAATACCCCTTTGAAACTGCTCTAATCAACAACTTCTCAAACCCTAGAAGCCACTAGACATGTAGGAAAAATATCCCCCCAAGGATTCCTCTGTCCTCATTTACATTGTGAGACAATTGCTGAGGGTCTGTAAGCAGAGATGCAGTGATGCTGCCTGTTTTGCCTGGCCTGAGGCCAGGAAATCTCTCTGCCCAGCTGGGGAGCCCTAGTCAGAACAGGTTGCCTTTAAATGCAAAATCAAAGCCAGGTCAAATGTGTTTCAGAACAGACTGAGAAATGTGAAGCCAGATATGATAAATTGTGGTGAGTAGTTGGCTGTGAGAGAATTTGGCTCTGCATGCTTCCCCACACATCGTTCTGGGAGTGGTTTGCTTGTTGATTGTTGTGTGCATTTTGAAAGCAGAACTTTGGCTCATGCTACAAATATGGCCAATAACTCTTCCACGTATGGCGCATGATTCCCCTGACTGCAAGGAGGTGCCAATTAACGTAAGTATTGGTATTGCCTGGACTGGTCACAATTAGGTGCAATCCAATTTCTGTGATATTAACTGGAAATAACTCAATTGCCCCCTCACCTCCTCTAATTCACTTTTTCAGTTCCTTTTTATTTCTATGCTGTGCGTTGTGATCCTGAGTTTTCTCCTAGGTACCAAGTGGTTCCACATTCTCTCCACTTTAAATCTTTTTTTTTGTCATTTTAAAATCAAAACTTAATTTACATGCACAAGTGCCTAGAGTAGCTATTTATGTGCGGATTGTAGAACTTGATTTTGAGGTAGAATATTCTGACTTTCTATTATATCTAGACTTTGATTGGGTTTTCATGCAAAACTAAATACAAGATATGTAATATGCTCAAAATACAAAATGCTTGGAGGACATTTCAGTTTCAGTGGCATTTCAGAGTGTGTCCTGAAGAATTGTATTTTATGTTATCGAAAAAATATTGTTTTTGTAAGAAAAGTTGTTCTGCGATAGCTGAATTCATAGACCTGACGTCTACCTTCCTAACAGCTGGAAGACTCTGGCAAATGTACTTTTGGATCATTAGAAGTATTTAAATATACAATGATTCTAGATCTTGGCTAAGCTTCTCTCTTCCTCCCAAGAATAAATTGATATATTGGACAGCTGCTACTCTTTTGATACTAGGATTTAAAATTATGCAACATTTTAAAAGCAGAGAGAAAGAGAATGATACATAATAAAAAAGAAAGCTTTAAGAACACAGAAACAAATATTAAAGACTATAAAAGAGAAGGAATAAACTTCAAAACAATGTTTAGAATATCTAGGTTTTTTTAGTGTGCGATTACTTATACAATTGCTCATATTTGTGATTGTTCTCAGGAATAACTTTTATTTTTTTATCTTCTTTATGATATATTTATATTTTAAAATTAGAAAAATATAATATTAGGTAAGTCATTAGATCTGTAAAATCCTGTTAGGTTTGGCAATGTTACATTAAGTGCTTTTCTGTACCGATGATGTTGGTGGCTCTGCACCAAGCTATGACTAATCACGGATAGATAGCCCAGGCCAAGTCATTTAATCTTTCTGAACCAAAGATTCATCATCTAGAATCACCTGGAGCTGTGCTGTCCAACATGGTAGACACTGGTCACATGTGGTCCTTGAGCACTTGAAATGTGTCATATCTGAACTGAGGTGTGTTGCGTAAGATGCACATTGAATTTTGAAGACTTATAAAAAATGTAAAATAATGTATTGATAATTGCTTTTACATTGCTTGTATGTTGAAATAATATGTTGGATATAATGAATTACATAATTATACTTAGAAAAATAACTTTACCTGTTTCTTTTTAACTTTTTAACATGGCTACTAAAAAATTTAAATTTACAAATGTGAATTGTGTTTTATTTCTGTTGGACAGCATTAATCTAGAGGATGCAGGTGTTAACTTAATGACCTCTAAAATCCTTCTCACTTAACTCCTCTAGGAATCTAGAGTATATACACAATGTATCAAGGTATGATGGGATGAGGATAGAACATATATGTCTTGGGGTTGGTGTGAAGGTAATTCATGAAGTTAGTTTCAGTGAATAGGAATAATATAATTTCGCACAGGTGCTTGAAACTATCTGAGAATACTGTTTGAAAAAATTTAAGGAAAATGATGGGGAAATGTAGAAAAAAAGATTATTGTCTTAGAGGACATTATGCTGAGTGAAATGAGTTAGGCACAGGAGGACAAATATAGCGTGATGTTATGTGGAATCTTAAACAGTTTAACTCATAGAAGCAGAAAGTGGAATGGTGTTTGCCTGGGCCTGGGACCAGAAATGGGGAGGTATTGGTCAAAGGGTACAAAGCGTCAGTTAGAAAGGAGGAATGAGTTCTGGAAATCTATTGTACAGCATAATGACTGTAGGTCATAATAATGTATCTTTGAAAATTGCTAAGAGGGTAGATCTTAAATGTTCTGGTCACACAAAAAAATGAGGGTATGTGAGGTGACAGATATGCTATAATAACATAAAGCTAATGATTTACTTAAATATTTCCCAATGCATATATATTTCAAAACATCACATTTTATATCAGAAATATAATTTGTATCTGTCAACTATACCTTAACAAAGAAAAAAAATGAGGTGAAATAAAATATTTTTTAAATGAGTAGTGACATGAGTAGTGACATCTCGTATCTAATACAGTAGATACTCTCTTACCTGAATTCTATTTGATTAATTAATTTTTTTTCTGTAAGGCATATAACACTGGCTGAAGCTCACAAATGCACTACTTATTTCTTTCATGGCTTATCAGGTGCCCAGGCAATTATGCACCTACCAATTGATTCATGTACTTACAGGGACATTTGTGTCAATTCCCAAACTTGTTTATGCCAGCTGTATTGGTTGTAATGATTATTATTATTTTGACACAAGGTCTCACTCTGTCACCCAGGCTGGAGTGCAGTTGCATGATCTCAGCTCACTGTAACCTCTGTCTCCTGGGCTCAAGGGATCCTCCCACCTCAGCCTCCCAAGTAGCTGGGAGTACAGCCTCATGCAACCAAGCCCAGTCCATTTTTATGTTTTTTATTTGGAGAGGTGGGTTTCCCCATGTTGTTCAGGTTGGTCTCAAACTCCTGGGCTCAAGTGATCCACCTACCTGAGCTTCCCAGAGTGCTGGGATTCAGGTGTAAGCCACCATGCCCAGCCATTATAATTATTTAACTTAATAAAATACTAAGTAGTTGATAAAATAGAAACGTGAAAAGATCATTGTTGTTTGTATGAAAAATCAGTTTAATGTTTTTAAATCAGTAAAGCCAAGTTGTTAAATCATGCTGTAAAATTCTGTCTAGTTTTGGGGAGAACTGCAAAAGTCTACAAAGATCCCATACTCAGTTTGTTTCACAATGTTATTAAGCTCTATGAAGAAAGTGGAAATTGTAGACAATATAGTATGAGGTGGTTTACGTAAGAATGGCAATGAATACTGACTGCTCTTTGACCCTACATCAAAAGATAATGCATATATTTACTTTTATACATATTGAGATACACACTTAATGAGTATATATCACATTATGTAATTCCCTGCTATGACCACTTTTAGAATGTGACTACATACTGTGTCTGACTATGTTGGATAAGATGTCTTCTAAAGCAGTATTGAGTTGCACTCACTCCCTTTGACTCTCTATTTTTATAAATGATAACCCCTCCACCCTGACCTTCTTATTCTCCCAGGCATAAGCCTGTGGTATTTTCCATGATTCTGTCATGTTATAGACTAAACCTGTAATTCTTGAGACAAGAATGCATTCTATCCACAATCCAGCCTCAGGGTAACTCAACAGCTTCATCCCTACTACCCTGTTCAGGATCTGTGTGCTCCAGCCAAACTGAACTAATCACCAGTGGTGCGTACAACCTGCAATTTCCTATCTTGGCTCGTCATGCTTTCTCTGGCTAGAATATTCTTATTACATATATATATATTTTTAAACCAGGGTTCTTCCACTTATCAGCTGTGTAATTTTGAAAACCATATCCATCCTATCTGGTGGGGATGTTTTGGGAAAGAATGAGATAATACACGTGAGACAGCTAGTACAGTACCTGGTATGTAGTGGTGTTAATCAGTTTTACTTTTTTTTTTCTTTTTTGATGGGGATTTCCAATTGAAATCAATTTTCTCCTTAATTCTTTTAGCATTTTACCTGTACTTCTTTAATGACTCTTAGATTTTAACCTAATTTCATTTGTTAATGTACAATTTGTATCTCACTTAGTGTGGTAGAGATTGCTAGTTTCTTATCCCAACGTCTTTTTTCTTCCCTCACTTCTTAGCAATGAAACCCCACATTATTCAGGAAGTAGTTTTTCCAGCGAAGGGGTATAATCAAACCCTCCTTTTGCTGTAACTGGTCATTTGACTAGGTTCTCTCCAAAGATTCATAAGCAAAAACATTGTGTGAGACACCTGGGAGTCTCCATTTAAAAGCTCAGAGACAAACCGTTATTTGTTGCTTCTTTATTTGTGCTCCCTGTAATGCAGATAGTAGCTAAAATACACCAGCCATTTTGTACCAGAAAATGATATTGAAATTCATTTTGGTTACAACACAAGCATTTTGGTTTTGCTTATATGCAAATGAATTTTATCTTGATAGATTGTTAGACTCTTGCAGAAAAATTCTTGGTCCAACTCACCTTTGTACATCTAACAGCATTGTTTCTCTAACGATCTGTGACTAATTCATTAGAGATGCACACTTTTGTAAAATAAACAAATATGTAAGACATACAAAATATAAGTGCCCATTTTTTATTATTAGGCTTTATTATTAGGTTTTTATTATTAGGTTTATTACTAGGTTTTATTATTAGGTTTAAATGTGTATCTCAATATGTATAAAATCATTAGGAGTGATTTCAGCAAGATGGTAGAATAAGTTTCGTTCTCCCCAACAGAAGTGCCACTAGTAAATATCCACAGACAAGCATGCCATCCTGAATAATCCAGAAGCTGGAAGAGAGGCAGAGACACCCCCCTTGGGCCACAAAACTGAGAAAAGCCACCATCTGATTAATGGTAGGAGGCACAGACCTCTTCCACTACGATAACCCATTCCCCAAGCTGGCAGAGCACCACACGCAAAGAATGCACCTGGAGCCACAGTTTCTACAGTGGGAAAGGGGAACTAAAGGTGAACATTTGGCTTCCCTGCCAATCTAGGAACCTTTGCAGCAGGCCCACTCCTATCTCATTTCAAGGGAAGCACGGAGTGGTGGCCGGATTGAATTACCTGGAGTCAATTGGAGACAAAGAATAGGGGTGGGGCTCACAGCCATCAGCACACAGATCTTGGTAGCTCCTCTTCAGTGCAGTCTGCTGAGGCACCACACCATAGAAAGCAGCCAGTGGTCCACAGGTCCACAGATCTTCCAGGACTGAGTTCCTAGCCACCTTTCCCACATAGCTGGGGTGCTTTTGTAGAGACTTTCCCAGACCTAGCATACACTACAGGCCTGAATTAAGTTCTAGTGCTTACATTAAATCTTCCCCAGATCTTGAAACAACTGCAAGTCAACAGCTAAGTTCAGGTGCAGCAATGAAGTTCCAGTATTTACAGTTATCCCCAGAACAGAAAGCAAATGGGGATCAGAGATTAAGTTCTGGTACGGTAATTACATTCTGAGGCTCACATTAAGCCTTCCTGAGATTGAGAAATAACTGCAGGTCAGCGATTAAATTCCAGTATCAAATAGTAAAGATCTAACACCATCAGGCTGGGTGCGGTGGCTCACGCCTGTAATCCCAACACTTTGGGAGGCCAAGGTAGGCGAATCACCTGATGTCAGGAGTTCAAGACCAGCCTGGCCAATATAGTGAAACCCTGTCTCTACCTAAAATACAAAAAAAATTAGCCAGGCGCCCAGTGGGTGGAGGTTGCAGTGAGCCGAGATCACACCACTGCATTCCAGCCCGGGCAACAAGAGCGAAAACTCTGTCTCAAAAAAAAAAAAAAAAAAAATCTAACACCACCAAAGAGCACATACAAAGGCTGGAAGAGTTGGCCTTCAAATCTGCAAGCATCAATGCAAGGATACAAAGAATATGAAGAATCAGGGAAATATAACCCTACCCCCCAAAACTCCAAAACAATAGCACAATGAATAAAACTCAAGTAATAAACCTAGACAAAAAGGAGAATTATAAAATGACTGGCAAAGAATTCAGAATAATCCCCTTTAAAACTCCTGGGAAATTACAAATATAGATAGAAGATTAAATTTGAAAAACAATTCATGAACAAAATGAGAAGTTTGACAAAAAAAGAAACATTAAATAAAGAAAGCCCAGAAACAGACTATAATAACTGAACTAGTTATAGACTATAATAACTGAACTAGTTAATAAGAAACCTTCATATAATAAAATTTTCTGAAAAAGAGAGAGAAAAAAACTAGTAAGCTTAAAGAAATAATGGCTAAAAATTTCCCAAATCTGGGAAAAGACAATAACATCCAGGTACAGGAAACTCAGAGGTTGCCAATCAAATAGAGTTAACAGGAAAAATTAAAGTTTAATAAATTTAATTAGAAAAAAATTGGAAAAAACAAAGATGTAAAACCATATTCATGGTTGTTTAAGAGTGTGTTGTACAAAATGATTAACATAGAGAATCACTATTGTACTCCTATCTTTTGGTCATTCTGCAATATAATTAAACAAAAGGTCACGAGGAAAAGAACGATTCCATATACTAGACATGTTTACTTTGAATGAACAGCATGTATACCAACATTTAGGTTTTTAATGTGATGAATAATCTTGTTTGTTAATTTATTTAATCCAAGGATAGGATTAATAGCATTGCTATTTTCAGGGAATAATGTACAGTAGACTGTTGATGGGAGTGGAAGTAGGGATTTTAAAGCGCTTATTTCATTTCCATTCCCACTTTCCACTTCACTTATCCATAGGGCAGCTTTGCTGTTGCCTGCATCTTGGTGTAGTTAGAAACATGGGCTCCCGAACCAGTCTTTCTGTGGGTTCACATCTTCGTTCACTATTTACTAAATATCATGCATTGGGCAAGTTATTTAGATGATCTGTATCTCATTTTCTTTGTGAACGAAATGGGGTTGATAAATCTCTATAGAGTTGTTGTGAGGGTTAAACACTTATGGAAAGTGTTTCATAAGTACTCCCAAATTGTTAGCAACCATTTACCAGAGACCAAAGGTAGGAAACAGTGTTTGACAGCATCAGAGAAAAAGATGGACAGGAACAACAAGCTGTTTGTTATAAAGCTCCTCTAGTATGGTGAGCTTTATTAACCAACTGCCGTGGCGGTGCAAGCAAGGGGAAAGCCTTCCTCCCTCCAGCCTTCCCGTGCACTTGCTGGCCCATACAAGAACGCTGCTGAGGTCAACTGTCCCTCAGGAAAGGGCAGTGCTGGGGCCTGGGAGTGCCTGCAGACCCTGGACCATCTTCAGACCCCTTTCTAGCTCCATTTTACTGCATTCACCAAGAAAACTTCTGGTTTTACTTTCCTTTCCCTAAGAATTTTATTGATTGATTGATTGTAGAAATGGGATCTTGCTATTGTTGCCCAGGCTGATCTTGAACTCCTGGGCTGAAGCCACTCCCCTGCCTCCACTTCCCAAAGTGCTAGGATTGCAGGCATGAGCCACTGCACCTGGCCCATCTAGGACATTTAAAAATATTATTTGTTCCTTGCTGAGCCTTAAACACTATAGATCCGTTTTTTTTTTTTTTCAGGACTTTTCATCTTCTGTTCAGATTGCCATTGCATTCCCAGACATGGGTGCTAAGAGTCTAACTTTGGATCTCTGACAAGTGGTGAGCTTCTCATTTTCTCTTGCAGCCCAGCTGAGCCCTCTCCATACTGGCCATATGCCTGCTCCCTTCCTGCTCTCCTGGGCCTCTAGCTAGTCTCTACCTGTCTGATCTGAGCCCTAAACTCCCCCGTCTGGTCTCTCTTCCTGACTCCCTATATGTATGCATGTTTCCAGAACCTTTCCTCTCCTGGTAAGTGACAGTAGAGAACCATTCAGCTAAATATAGATTTTCCATGTCTGCTGGATAAGATAGAAAATTAAATTTGAAAAACAATTCATGAACAAAATGTTTCTTAATAAATAACAGCTAAAATTTGTTGAGGAGAGAAAGCAGACTAAATATCTTCTAGTCTTATAAGTTAATTCTTATCATCAGAACTATGTGACAGTGCAGTAATCAAGGCTTAGCGAGCTTGAGCAATTTGTACAAAGTTAAACAGTTAATGGTGTGGAGTGGATTCAAGCCCTCTTTGGTGGCTGCAAAACCCACCGTCAGGTCACCAAGTTCTGCTGCCTCAGCTAATCACTTGATACCTGGTGAGATGTTCTTATCTTCCTTTGATCCCCACCACAGCCCTATAAAGGAAGCTGAGAAGGGCCTATTATTGCTATTTTACAAGCGAGAAAATTGAGGGCCAAAAAAGACGGCATCAGAGAAGGGGAAGGAAGTGGCCTCCAGACCTCCTAGCAATGAGACTCCAGGGCTCTTGCTACTTCAAGGAAAATTGATGAGATTCCACCCCCAAAGTGTGGTAAGGGGGTGAAGCTCTGTCTCCTGTGCTGACTGGTCAGCCAACTTTGTGATGGCTGGAAGCCCTGCATCCTACCATCTGTTAGGTATGTTTAATATCGCTACTGGTAACAAATTGATCTGTGGGAAGTGTTTAAGCCTAAGCTCTTCCCCCAAGCACTTCCCCCAGATTTAGTTTATTTAAATCTAGTTTCTTTCCCCTACTAACCAGTAAAGAGTATTCGAATTTGTAAGTTTCCAGCGTTTACAGCTTTCCAAATGAACCAGCCAGCATGAAAGAAGTATGTTTTCCTTTTATTTGCTATTTGTAATATTATAGTTTTCACTCTCAGCGCCCATTGGCAGATGCACAGGAATGTTTAGAGATGTATTTATCACTTGGGTTGGACTTGGCTTACACACCCAGCTCAACTCCTGTATCAGGGACTCACCACTCTTTATCACTGTTCACTATGCTCATCAGAAATGAAGCGGCATGTTGACTGGAACAGTAGCTCTATGCTGCCATCTTCTGGAATTCTAGAGAAGATGCTTTTCCTGTGTAGTTACTAGAAAATACTTTTAAGTAGAATTTAAGAGACCTAGACAAACAGAAAAAAACTCAAAACATGATAGATGCTTGTACACTGAAGAAGGAAGCCAGAGAAGATTATTTCAAAACCAAAATGACTGTAAATAAAAGTAATGAAGTTATGCTATGTTTTCATTTTCTTTTCAACATTTACTATACTTGCTGTTAAAAATTTTGGATTGAAATCAAATACCTGCTGTAGTATCGAATCAGACAGGGGTTGAGCATTATCTCCTGAAGATGTGCAATTTTCTTCTTGGCTAAAGCCAATTTATAACTAAGAAAGGCAATAGGGAACAATTCTCCCAGGATTCCATAGACAAAGATCACAGGAAAAGGGAACTTCTGAGATAAAATGGCATTTGTAATCCCCAAGAATGGCTCCAAAAAGACTGTGCTTGCTATAAATCAAGATTTATTTTATCTCTTGAATCTACAGAGATTTCAGAACAAAGGACTTAAAAATATTTTCCAAATCCAAAACGCCAAAAGTGTTAAGCATTTTGGGGATCCTTGTGTTTTTAGGCTCAAACCTCAAATAACTGAAAAGCAATGTAGCCAGAATTTCAATTTTTAAATATATTTGAAATGGTATCAAATTATAAAAAGTTAAACATTCAGAAATCTTGCTATAAAAGTAATTGTAACTGCTATTTCTCTTCCTTGGCTTTAGGTTAAATGTCAGCTCCCCAAGGAAGCCTTCTCCAACTGCTGGCAGACGCCAAGCTCCCTGCTTTACTTCACTTGTTGCTCTCTGCCTTTATAACATTGAACACAGCTGTCCGTGATTAAATATTTATTTGTGTAATATTTAGTCAATTCCTCCCCTTCTCTCCTCAAACATATCTGTTCTCCATGTCTGGCAGAGAAGAGATATTCAATAATTATTTGCTTAATGAATTAATGGCCTTTTGGTGTATGTCCTGGGGTCAGTATTTCTCAGCTTCAATCCCTCGTAACTTCCTCATCCACAACTACTGACAATTCGAGTATCTGTGCCAAATCCAAATTGTCTAATTTAGTTATATTCAGCATACTCCTAATGGAGCCCAGATGGAAAGTGGGCTCTTTCAAGTTCAAAGAATTCTGATCATAAGGGTTGAAGTATCAGGGTTTCTCAGATAAACAAAAGTCCAAAGAACTAAAGCATCCCATTCTCCAAGTAATTTGGTTTTCAATGTCATTAAGCAGACACTATTCCCTCTGATCAATACCATAATATCTCAGCCTCAGTTGACAAATCAGCGTTAGGTTGCTGTCAGATTCCACTAAGAACTATGTGCACCTTCACTTGTCTAAGGTGCCACTGGGTCCATCCATCCATCATAAGGAATCTTTGCCATTTAAGGAGTGATGTCGAGGCCGAGGCGGGTGGATCACCTGAGGTCAGGAGTTCGAGGCCGGTCTAGCCAACATGGTGAAACCCCGTCTCTACTAAAAATAGAAAACATTAGCCGGGCGTGGTGGTGCGCCTGTAATCTCAGCTACTCTGGAGGCTGAGGTAGGAGAATAGCTTGAACCCAGGAGGCAGAGGTTGCAGTGAGCCGAGATCTCACCATTGCACTCCAGCCTGGGCACAACAGCAAAACTCTGTCTCAAAAAAAAAAAAAAAAAAAGAAAAAGAAAAAGAAAAAAAGAAGTGATGTCATTTGAAGCAGCATTCAGAGTCCCTCTGAAAATCCACTTTTCACTGAAAAGACACAATTCCATATGTTAAAACCAGTGCAATTACCCATCATTTTCAGTGTGATAACCTGCTAATGCTTCATCCCGCTACTGGAGCCCGGTCTTATTAGTTAGGGCAGGGGGCCCTCTGCTGGGGACATGCCCAGGTCACTGCTTCAAGGCTGATGATCAGGCTGAGTCTGTGTGTCACTCTCACTCAGCTTCTGCAAGCACTGCCACTGGAGAACTGAGAGGACATCAATTGTGGTTGTAGAGCAATGTTTACCTTTGCTTCTGAATAGCATGGTGTGGGCATTTGAAACCTCATGTAAAATAGGTCCAGAAACTCTCAGACTGTTTAAAAGTGCATTCTTGTATTTGTCTGGTTTCCCATTTGATTTTCAGGTTTTACTGAAGTGAGCTGGTTGGGTTGCTTTCTGACTCTCTGGCAGGAAAAACAAAATGAAGTTGCTCTCTAAATAAACTTTTCTACTTATACAGCCATCGCTTTTTGACCTGTCAAGTCCCCTACAGGTAACACACTTGAGCCTATTGATGTGGTGCTATTCTCTAAGTTTCCAAAGCTTAAAGAACACCAGATAGCTAGGACCACGTTAAAGTCTGAAGTTAAGAAGTGGTTAGGCTATGATTTTGTGAATTTGCACTGAAAACATTGCCTAAGAGAAGAAAAAGAACTAAGAGTGCAGGCAGAGCAGAATAGTGTTTCATAGCGTTTGTGCGTGTTCACTCATTTTGGTTTTGTTTTGTTTTGCTTTTCTGAGGAATGAAATAATCCCATTTGTAAAAAATGTTACAAGGTCATTGTTTACTAAATCTTAGTTTACCAGATAGTTGTTTCTCCAATGCAGTTTAGATTATTGGAGTGTGGTCTCCCATTGCTGTCTTCTTTTCCAATATTGTAGCAAGGGCTAGCAATTCCCTCATTAGGACCTGTACGTTTATGTTTTTCCTGCTCAGTGGACAACCAAAGACAACTATCAAATTGAACTGCTTTACTTACTCCTGTAATAGACAGTTGGGCTTTTATAAGCATTGTTTGAGGTGCTTGTTCCTGGAAACTCTGCTACTGAAAATCCTGTTATTATCCAAGTCTGATATGATCAAGATAGCAAATGCCTGGCCAAGAACACAGACAGGTTGGCCTAGTTCAAGGAACATTAGATGGGAGGAACTTAGGCCTAGAACAGTCCGTTGATGTGAGATAAAAAGCATATCTGACATTAGGTAAAAGAAAAAAACCTTCTTTAAATTATGATTAATGCAAAATGAGCTATAATATGGATGTCATAATGAATCACTAGCAGGAAAAATTTTAATGCCAATGAAACTCACTGCAGTGGATCATATAAGTGCAGTGTATGGGATGTGTCAGGGGTGTGCAATGCGCAAGGGAGAAGGTACTCTGAACCTTGATTTCTAGATTTAGTTAGATAGAAACAGCCCTAGGCTGTTTTATGTGCCAGGCTTTGTACTAAGACTTTTAAATGTGTAAGTTCCTATAATCTTTACTACAACTGCATAACATGGGCATTATTATACTCCTTTTAAGAATGACAGAAAATGAAGACAGTTTAGTTATGTTTCTTGCCCCATAACACATAATCATTAAGGATTAGATGTGGAATTCAAATTTAATTATCATTATTATTTTGTTTTAACTCCAAAGCCTACTTACTTTCTATTAATTTACCCTCTCTTCTTGAACTCTGGTTGAAGGAAGCATGCAGTCTATATCCGTGGTTTTTGTTCAACATATTTGGGTAAATACACATTTCCCACTTTTATGTTCGTTAGAGATCTAGAGATTGAGTTTAGGTTTGTTATTTTCCCTTGTTTATTAAGTACAGTTACATGCTGTTCCACAGTGTTTTAGTCATTGATGGACCACATACAACAGTGGTCCCATAGGGTTATAATGAAGCTGAAAAATTTCTATTGCATATATGAAGCAATGCATTACTCACATGTTGGTGGTGATTGCTCACGTGTTTGTGGTGATGCTGGTGTAAACAAACCTACTGCATTGCCACTCATATAAAATTATAGTACATGCAATTATGTACAGTACATACTACTTGATAATGACAATGAATGACTGTGCTACTGTTTTACATATTTATTATACTATACTTTTAATTGTTATTTTACAATGTACTCCTTCTACCTATAAAAAATGTTTACTGTAGAGCAGTATGCCCGGTTACACCAGCAGAAGCCCATACATCTTGTGTTTACTACATTTGTTGATTGCATAATTTTCTCTTCTACTTGATGTGAGCATTACTTCAAAAGAATCAAAAAGATAAAACAATTAAAAAGTGCATAAAGTAAAAAACTTACAGGGAACTAAGATTAATTTGTTATTGAAGAAAGAAATTTAAAAACGGTAAGCCTGGTGCAACTTGTGTGCACTATTTATAAAGTCCTCAGTAGTATACAGTAATATTCTAGGCATTTACATTCACTCAGTACTTACTTACTGACTCACCCAGAGGAACTTCCAGCTCTGCAAGCTCCATCCATAATAAAGGTCATGCAGGTATACCATTTAAAAAAATCTTTTGTACTGCATTTTTACTGATCTTTTCTATGTTTAGATAAGTTTAGACACACAAATCCTTACCATTGTGTTACAATTGACTACAGTAATTGTACAGTAACATGCTGTACAGGTTTGTAGCCTAGGAGCAATTTAGCCTACATGTGTGTTAGGCTATACCATCTAGGTTTGTGTATGTACACTCCATGATGTTCACACAATGACAAAGTCACCTAATGATGCAGTTCTCAGAATGTATCTCCATCATTAAGCAATGTGTGACTGTGTACCAATTTTTTTTTTTCTAGAATGAAAATACTTTAACCTGGGATTCTAGTTAGATTAAGAAAGTCTGCTTTTTCTTTAAATATTGTAGATGACAGGTTGATTGTTTTGGACATCATACCATATATTTAGGATATATAATGAGACAAGTGGTATACTAATAGCAAAGAGAAACAAAAAAAGTGGCAAGTTACTTCTAAACTCTAGGCCTCAGTTTCCCCACTTGAAAAAATAAATCTGTTGGGCCAGATCATTACTAGCTCTTCTAACTATAAATATCATTATTTAAATAGAACTTTTTCTTTTTCTTTCCTTCCTCTCAACTTTCCACCTACCCTCCCTCCTTCCTTCCTTCTTTCCCTAAATTAGTCATATTAAAATACTTTACTTAGCTTTAATCATCCTGAGCAGACCATCTGCTTCTGTATTTTATCAAAAAGCAGAATTTGATCATAGCTGTTATAGAAGAACATTTACATTATTTATATTATAAGCAAATGAGTTGACATTTATACCACTGTGACCTAAATTCTCCTAAATCTTGTCTTATATGTGAAATGCGTATGATGTGTAAAGTTTTAGAAAGCTCTTAAGAAGGTTTTCACAGCTGAACAGTCTCTTTGATCTTCTCAAGACTTCAAAGCTACAAGTGTAGAATGCATTAATATTTCTTAAATTCTGAATATGATTCACAGGTAATTCAAATTTAGTCTCAGAATTTTAGTATGATCAATGAGTGATGTGTATATCAAGTGGACACCATTAATGCAAAGCACAAAATCTGTGTTAATCCTATAAATATTTAGTTTTTGTACAGGATTAGGAAAAGACTCTCCTTGTAGTATCAGCTTTGGAAAATATGACAAATGTAAATCTATGTTTAGACTAGTCAGTGTCATTTCAAAAGTGATTTTTTCTTTGTATTGCAGTGATTTTAATATATTTACCTAATTTCATAGACAGGTATAATTCTATTTGGTGTATTTAATTCTCTTCACTTAGAGTATACGAATTTGCCAAGTACCAATTCTGAGCAGAATCTTTTACAAGATGCTATATATATTTTGGTAACTGTAGTGGGTGCAGGTGAAGGGAGAAGATTGCCAAAAGAAAAAGAATTTATCAACTCCGTCTTCCAAGTTCTCACAGGAGACGGAGAGAAAAGTCATATGGCATGCAAAATGGCAGAAAATATTACAAAAAACACATAAGCATGTGCAAAATAAACATAAGTTTTTTACAGATATAAATGAGTCAACATTCATTTGTGATTTGGATTTTCAAAAGATACAGGAAGAAGGAAAGAGAGGAAGAGAGAGTGAGAAAAGGAAGAAGGGAGAATGAACTGCAGTGGTTATTTACGGCATGATCGTATCACACTACAGCCTCAAACTCCTGGGCTCAGGCGATTCCCCTGCTTCAGCCTTTGGAGTAGCTGGAACTAAAGGCACATGCCACCACTTCAGCCTTCTTCCATTTCTTTATCCTTAGAGTGATTTTACATTTATGTTGAAATTTATAAATCCATTAATTTCAAGCATCTTTGGACCTTATACATCCAGTACTAAAAGCATTTTTGATGTGCTGAAAAATATTTGGAAAACAAAGTTAATGAAGAATCTACCAGACTGTCAAAATATGCTAAACAAATGAATATATTGGTGATTCATTGTTTGAGTTAATTTTCTGTAGGAATCAATATGATAGCAGCATACAAGTCTGAATGTACTTCTGCAGATTGATGCTTTGTTCTTTAGGTTAGTGAGAGAATAAAGGCATGAGCATTGCCCGGTGTGTGTGTGTGTGTGTGTGTGTGTGTGTGTGTGTGTGTGTGTATGTGTGTGTACATACATGGGGCATCACTAATGTGAACAGACCAGGGACATCGGTCACATTGGTCAAAGAGGAGAGGACAGAGCAATCTTAAATTGGTAGACAAGTAGGAGTTGGTGGACTTATTTTTGAAAGTCCCCTCATATTTCCTACAGTATAATTTTCTCGTTTTTGGCAGCCACTGACATAGATCTTTTTTAGTTTTCAATTTTCTATTTTTTTTTTTTTGGTGACTTTATCCACTCTAGTAACGACATTTTTAGCATGCTAGCAAGTTAGGACTAGGGAGTGAAAGCTGGATGGAAGACAGAATTTTCACAGTAATTTTCTGGATTAAACACACTTTTGAAAAGAGAAGGAAGAAGGAACTAGTATTTGCAAGTTATTTTTTTCATACTGGCTATTTCTTCCATTTAAACAAATGGAAAGTTTTATCTTCCCGACATTGGGAACCCCAGCAGTGTTTCCTAGATCCTGTCTGTCAATCATATCCACAGACCTTCTTCACGACATCTGCATCTTGATGTAAAATCTAAGCCCCGGGGGCTGGGAATCAGAAACAAATAGCAGCAGACTTTGCTCAGCGATTTTTTTCTCAAATAATTTCAACTAAGGTTCAATTGCACAGCAGACAGTCACTCTGAGCTCCTGCTCCTGTTGGGTCAAAAGCACGAGAAAGTGCTAAGGGCAACACTTGGCATGTAAGTCATATGTAGGCAGGGCAAGATGACAGGGAGAGTTTTCCTCTGTATTTTTGCACTCTTGAGAGGCACAAGAAAGAATCTTTTAATAGAGTTGATGTTAGTCCAACAGTTTGGCCAGTCATTTTATGTATTTATTCCCAGAGTTTATGAAATAAGACAATCTTTGACAGCAATCAGGCAGCTGATTTTTTAAAAAATTAAAAGGCTTATTTCTGCCCTTTAATTTTTTGGTTGATGTGGCTATTTTTGCCTATGGAAAAGCTCTGACGATATCCTTGTATTTCTACAACTGAATGAAAAGAAAGGAAATGGAATTAAATGATGTTTAAATAATGCTTATTTAATCAGCTCTAAGCATTCAACAATGTAAACTATTTTCATGATAGATTGACTTTTTTTTTGCACTTTTTATGAAGATGTTTAGTTTTCTGTGTTCAAGCCTCATTGACCCTAACAGGAAGGTAGCAACATACTTTTATTTGTAGATATTATAGACAGGTGGGCCGGAGAAGGGAAAATAGCAATGGAAAAAGAAGGCAGGACTATATTTTGGCTAAGTTTTGACATTTATATTTTGTTGAAATTTATTACTATTGACTTGATTGAGGAATAACTTACACACAACACAATGTACTCACTTTAAGTGTATAATTTGATGAATTTTGATAAATGTATACATCTATATAACCATCACTGCAATCAAGGGGCAGAATGTTTTAATCATCATGATAGATTCCTTTGCCCATTCCAAATCAACTCCTTTCACACCTTGGGTCTTAAGCAACCATTGATCCATCTTCTGTCCTTATAGGTTAGATTTGTCTTTTCCAGAAGTTCAAACAAACATAAACCTAGAGCATATGCTGTTTTGAGTCTGGTCGCTTTCACTCTACATAATAATTTTAAGTTTTATTCACATTCCATGTATTTGTAGTTTGGTCCTTCTTATACGCCATTGTATAGATATAGCATAATTTGTTTATTTACCTGTTTATAGACATTTGCGTTGTATCCAGTTAGAGATAGTATGAACAAAGGTTCTATGAACATTTGTGTACAAATCTCTGCATGGGCATACAGTGTCATTTCTCTTGTGTAAATACCTAGAACCTAGAAGTGGAATGACTGGATCATTTTGTAGGTATTTGTGTATCCTTTAAAGAAATTGCCAAACTATTTTTTAAAGTGGTTGGGTCATCTTACATTCCTACCAGCAGAGATTAGAGTTTGAGTTGCTTCACATCCTTATCAATATTTGGTATAGTCAGACATTTTAATTTTAGCTATTCTTATAGGTATATAGTGAAACATAATTATGGTTAAAGTGTGCATTTTCCTGTTGAATAATGGGGATGAGCATCTTTTCATGTCCTTAAAGACTACTGTAATTTCTTATTTTGTGAAGTGTCTATTGAAATATTTTTGTATTTTTAAATATGTTGTTTATTTTCTTATAAAGATGTATGATTTTTCACATATTTTAGATAAAAGTATTTTGTCAGATATATACATGCTGTGAACACTTGCTCAGTCTCTGACTTGCCTTTTTTAAAAAAATGGTGTCTTTTTGAAGAGTAAACATTCAAATTTTGATCAAATTCAATAAATCATTTTGTCTTATATGCTTTGTGTTTTTTGTGCCTAGGAAATCCTTGCCTATCTCATAATCATATTTTCTCTTATGTTTTCTTTTAGAAGTCTCATAATCTTCACTGTTACAAACAGGTCGATGATCTATTTGAATTAATTTTATGTATAGTATAAGGTCAATATCAATATCAATATCTGTATCAATATCCAGTGGTTCCCACATAATTTATGGAAAAAGATGCTACTTTTTCCATTAGCAATTTATAAAAAATTAATTTGTAGATCTATTTCTGAATTACTGATTCTGTTCCATGGATGTGTATGTCTGTTTTTACATCAGTATGACACTGTCTTGATTACCGTAACTTTACTTGAAATTAGGAGTCCTTCGACTTTGAACTTTAAAAAAAAGAGTTTGGCTATTCTAGCTCCTTTGTGTTTCAATTATATTTTGGACTTGGCTTGTTGGTTTGTGCAAAAATGTGTGATGGGATTTTGATTGGGACTGCAGTGACAGCAATATGAACTCATCCAATCCACGAAAATCATGTGTACTTCTTCATTTATTTAGGTCTTCTTTAATTTTTTTTTTAACTAGGGGTGTGATTTTAGTAGCTTTCACATATTTGTTAAATTTATCCTTAAGTGTTTTTGTGTTTTTAAATGCTAATATAAATTGAATTATTAATTTAATTTTAAACTCAATGATTTCACTGCTAGTTTATATAAATGAAGTTGATCTTTGTTTATTGATCTTGTTTCCTGCAACCTTGTCAAAGTCACTTATTAATTCTAGTATCTTTTTGTAAATTTCTTAGGATATTCTTCACACACTATTATGTTGTCTGAGAATAAAGATAGTTTTATTTTTCCTTTCCAATTTTTATACCTTTATTTCATTTTACTCTTTTATTACATTGACTGGATACTCTAGGGAATAGAAGGAGTTGAATAGAAGGAGTGAGAGGAAGTATTCTTTTTAAATTCCTGATCTTAAGAGTAAAACATGTAGTCTTTTAACATTAAATATGATATTAGCTGTAGGTTTCTTTCAAATACACTTTGAGAAAATTTCCTTCTATTCTTTGCTTGAAAGGATACTTATTATGTTACATTTTGCATGCCTATAAATTGCAGGAATATTTTTCAATAAAATACATACATATGTAATCTACTCCTACATAGATTTGTAGTATTTTAAACATGTTAAAAAATAAAAATGTAAAGTAAACGAGATATATTATCAATTTAAGTGATTAACAGTTCTGCACATTCAAAAATGTGAAACAAATCTCTCTCAAAGTGAACTCTGAAAGAGATCTTCTCAGTGAGGAGGGAGTCCTGAATGACCCCATCAGATCCTGTTTTTCTAAGACTGGCTCTTTTTCTTTGAATAAGGCCATCACCACCATTACCACCACTGCTATCAACATGACCACCTTCTTCACCACACTACCCTGCTGGGTCTCAAGACATTCACTCTTTTGACACTCACAAGATAAAAATCATTCTTCCCTTTATTTTGCCTTTGCGAAAATCTGAGGTTGGCTGGAAGTCTTTATAAAGCCTCATGAAATACCAAGGTAGAGCTGTATGAAATCAACACAGGGTCATTAGTAAAGACTAGACTTCTTGCAGGACACCTTTACTTGATCCCTCCTTTCTTAACCTCAGTGCTGCTTCTTGATGAAGATTGCCATCTTAACACTTTCCAACCCAAATCTGTCTCCAAGACATGTTAGCCTTTCCCAGACAGAAAGGGAGAGGTTTCCTCTCTGTGTTTTCTCCTTCTCAAGGCCAAGTTCAGGCTGAAGGATGAGTCTCTTTCTTAGGAAGGTGAGATTGTGATTGACCTTCCTCCGTGGTGAGATGTCCACAACAGATTCTCATAGTGGGAGTTTGACAGTGGCAGGCTCAGAATCTTTGCTACTCTCAATAGCCATAGTTTTAAAATAATAATTCATATGCACCACAAATAGGAGAGTTAGTTCACTTTTAATATTATGAGCAACTTTAGAATGGAATCTGTTTTCAAAATTTCTTCTCTTATACATGGAACAATTCAAATTGTTTTATTAACTTGTGGTCAGGTAGAAGACACAATCTAGATAAGAATAACAAATTATCAGGTTATTTTTTTTCCCCTCAGTCAAGAATGAAGTGAGGGAATGGATGGATGAGTGTCCTGGGAATCTAACAAAGCAGACAGAGCAAATGCAGGCTGTTTCCTCCACTGGAGCTTTATTTTCATGGGGTTCAGGCTTGTTGAGAACCTTGAGGACTCAATTCTTTCAAATATGGTAAAAATTAAACCCATTTTATGCCATTATTATTTTTTATTATTTGCATTAGTACATGGATGTGCAATAATGAATTTACAAATAAGCACTATCAGTTTAAATTTGGGAGAAATGAACATTTAGTACATACTAAAATATTTATGTAATTTATATAATTTATCTCAATAAGAAAAGTTTTTGGTAGTTGTAAAAACTCAAGAAAGAAACTATCAGAGAATGACTTAAATAGACTTTGATAAATCAATTTATAAATTATTCCCAGGCAGAGCTGGCTCTTATTTGGTCCGGAGTTTATTTATCTTACTTATCTTAAGTTACAGCCAACAGGACTACAGAATTGAATGACCCCTAATGTTTCTCTACATGGAGGCAATGCCTGTGGCTGTCCACAGACGGACCAGCTTCCTCTTTGCAGCAAGTACAGAATAGTTTAACAGGGTAATTATTTGTAAAGGTATGCTAGGCAAGTCTTCTCATTTCACAGCCACTTCATGTAGGGCTCTTACCTCTTTTGCTTATTGTCTATATAAAGCTTTTGCTCAAGGACTCTTGATTTATTTATGTGAACTCTCTAAATAATAATGATTCTAATAATAAATAACATTTATTGAGAATTTCCTATGTCCTAGGCACCTTGAATAAGTTATTCTGTTCAATTCTCACAGCAATCTATGAAGCATATTCTTTATTATTGTTAACAACAGGAACATATACTTCTCAAACAGGAAACAGATGTAGAGAGGATAAGTAACTTGTCTCCAATGCCCAGCAAGTGGTGAACCTGGGATTGGGCCTAGCGGTTCAACACTAGAGCCTGTGCTTGTAACTGTGACACCACACCGTGTGTGCTAAACGAATGGCTCTGAGAGTCCCCAATTCATCCAAAATCAGGATGATCATTATTTCCAAATTAGCAGAGTAAATTATTGGAATTGTAGTGTTAAAATATATACTATCGTAGAACTAGACATGAAATAATACTTCCTGGGTAGCCTCTTCTGCGTCACAACCTGTGGCTTTCCAGGCAATGCCTTTACATGGACAACTGTCTGTGTCGTGATATTCTTTTGTTCTTTCCATGTTCAGGTGGTTTATTTCTATACAGATATTGGACTCAAGCATAACCCTCTATAAACATGGGAAAAGAAAAAAAAAGACACCTGTCTTTGATATAAAACATTTAAAACTAGTGATTTTTGAGCTTTGGACATGGGGAGCCAAGTCTCTGTGCAAGACTTTTTAGAGCATGACGTGGTACCTTGGGTTCATTCTCATACCCTCCACTACTCCCTGTTTCTTATGGATGTTATCAGTAAGAAGAGTTGGGGGATCAGCCATTCCACCTGAGCAAAATTTCTAAAAACTATTTTAAATTTTTTTTTTCAGACCATAAGGTGCATAGCAAAGATAGTCAAAAGGTAGCAAATTTTTAAAAAATGCTTGCTTCCTTTAGTGGTAAAATTTGGCATTGTTTCTGGTTAGCAATGCTAACAAAACATTTTGTGAATATCTCTCTTTTGGAGTCAGGCTTGACAAGAAATTGGATTCCTCTAAAATGGACATTATGTGTCCAACAAACCCACCTAACATTCTGCCTATCAATAGGCTCTTTTAACAATTGATGTTATGACAGAACTCAGGAGGTCAAACTAGAAGGAAATAGAGAAATTGGTCCTGAAAAGTATTTAAAAATCTTATTTCTCCGGGGTCCAGGGTGAAGCCAATTGTCCTTTGTTTGCCCATATGCCTTCTCTCCCTCCTCTGGAGTGTCCCTTCTGTATTAGTCAGGGGTCTCCAGAGAAACAGAGCCACTTAGGCATAAATATATATACAGATTTATTATAAAGAATTGGCTCATGCAACTGTGGCAGCTGACCAGTTTAAAAACTGCTGGATAGGATGGCAGGCTGGAGAACCAGGAGGGCTGATGTTTTGGTTCAAGTCCAAAGGCACTCTGCTGTAGAACTGGAAAGAGCTGATGTTGCAGATGAAATCCAAAGGCAGCCTGCTGGAGGATTCTCACTCAGGACAGGACACTCTTTTTATCCTATTTAGGCCTTCAATTACTTGCATGAGGTCCACCCACATTTTCTGGCACAATTTGCTTTCCTCAAAATCCACTCATTTAAATGTTAATCTCATTCAAAAACACCCTCACAGAAATACCCTGAATATTGTTTGACTAAATATCTGGACACCCTGTGGCCCTGCCAAGCTGAAAAATATAATCAACTATCCTATCTTTTAAGGCAGAGGGATACCCTCAATTGGCTGTACCTAGAACATCAAACCAAACACACAACAGCCACAAAACCACATGTTCATGCATTTTCTCAAGAAAAAACCCTTCAGTCAACATGGCCTGCTCTCCTCTATCTGGGCTCATATGATGTTTTTCCTGTCTTCCCTGCCCTGTGCAGGATGATAAATCCGATTATGACTGATTGCTCTGCTCTGGACACTACTTGTGGTGCCCTTTAATGACACTAATCCCCTCATTTGCTTTGTTGTTCTTTAAGGCAGGCACTTACATCCAAATTCCCCTGATGAAGGCAGGGATACAGAATGAGGAGATGGGCTGCTGTTAGCACAGAGGGATTTACAGATGCCTTAGCAAATAACTTCTTAGGGCGAACGTTCTTTATCACAAGGAGATAAGCTGTAGGAAGTTTGGATATAGCTTCCTGGGATCCTTGCCCGTATCCCAACTTCCTTTTTTTGCTCCTACTTAGTAAGAATTCTAAAGTCTGCTGGAGGATTGTTATTCAATGTAGGCACGATTGAAAGTAGAAACCATTTTTCTCCCATATTCCTGTTTCCAATTTTATACACCTACGTACGTTGTTCCAGCCTGCTTCCTAGTCCATCCCTTTTGTGCAGTTCCTGCCTTTCTAAAACCCTGATCTGCAGGGGTTAGAAAACCAGGAACTGCACAAAAGGGATGGCATCCCATTAGATCATGTGATCCTCCAGGCTCCAGTAATAGCCCTTCCTCTGTCCTCATTAACTTACATCTCTCCTGTGCCCTTCCTTCAAAGTACTGCCCCCTATATGGGCCACTGGCAAATTGATTTAAAATTAAGTGTTAATAGCATGTAGCAGCCCTGCTTCCCTTCTTAAATAATGTTCACATATTACATCTGCCACCAACTTGGCTTCTCCTGTTTGCATCTATATGTCTTTTTTTTTTTTTTTTAAATGTTAGGAAGCGTATTACCTTTGGTTTTGGATAAAATCTCTACCAGTGTCCTTTTCATTCAATGTAATTTAACACACATCTTTTGAGTGCTGAAAGCATTTTAGCCACTACTTTACTGGGGCTATTTGAAATTTGAAGGTGAGGAAACAAAACTATGCCATCAGGAAGCTTTCAATCGAAAGGGAAGGACAGATGTATGTGTACAAATCTATACTTTGGAGAAAGGTTTAGTGCCATATTAATTTACAAATTGCTTTGAGAGCTCTGAAGAAGGAGTAATCAATTCCAGTTGGGATGAAAGCTCCAGTTTTACATGTTCAATTTACTAGTGCTTAAGGTATGAAAATATATCTGCCAAATAAAGCTATGCCTATTGCAGAAATACTACCTTTTCATACACTTCATATGCAATTGCACTGCTCGGTAGTTTAGAAAGACACAGCCTTCAGTCCTCTGTGGCTAAAAATGGTCCCCACAACTTTGTCAGTAATTCATACTAGGTTTTTCAGGTTATCTCTCCTGCTTAAACAACAACAACAACAAAATGCTGGGGTAGCACCCACCAATAAAAGCAAACCAATTTCTTTAAAAACATTGACAAGCTGAAAAGAGAGTGGACAGCTGCCAGACCAGTTTGAGAAGATAATCAGAATCAAGTACATAAGCAGAATATTTGAACACCAATGTCATTTTTCTTGGGGGCATTTGTCTATGCTGCATACTTGGGATTTATTTGCAACCTTGTGGGACAAGACATACAGAAGACAAGGCCCACAATCTTCCCATGAGGGATGGGACTCCTAAAAGACACCCACCCCCAACATTGAGCTGGGATGACTAAGGCGTATACCCTCAGGATGAAGTATGGACAAGAACTAAACCCACTACCATGATTGCCTGATAAAATGCAGGTCACCCAGTTAAGTTCAACTTTCAGCTACACAATGAAAAGTTTTTTTAGTGTATTGCTCCATGCAATATTTGTGATATTTTTGTACTTTAAAAATGATCTATTATTAATCTGAAATTCAGATTTAACTATGTAACCTTTATTTGTGTAAACTGATTGTACCCACTACCAGATCCCACACCTTGAACTGCAAAGCAGACTACCCTGCTTTGAGTAGAGCAGAAGAAAAACAGAGGAAATAAAATCACCACTAGGATTTTGTAGCCATATCCTACATTGCTGGGGTTGGTCAAATAACTTCTATCCATGAACTTGGATAATATTCCGGGGTACCCAGCTACCTGGCAGATGCAAGCACAATATCTCACTAGGGAAGAACATAGTCAATTTGGATCCTAGGGAACCCTCACAAATAATCATTCAAGAGTAATAGTCAGCAAGCTTTCAAAGATAAGCAGGCTCACAAAGAAACAAGGCAGCATGAACAAGAACCAATAGAAACAACAGGTATAAAATAGTCGGATGCAGAATTCAAATGTTAAAATTACCATTCACAGATTTTAAACAACTCAGCTCACTATATTTTAAAAAATTGATGTTCTTTAACATATTTTCAAGGTAACTTAGCAGATTTGGAAAAAAAAGAACCAAATCCAACTTTCATAAACAAAAAAATACAATAACTCGAAACAAAAGCTGTGAAATAGATAGCAGATTGGACTTAGCAGAAAAGATAATTTATAAAAAGGAAATCAGGTTAGAAGTTATACAAATACAGCACAAACCCCATGTGTGTTATTTATGTATATTAACATCAATGTAACTCTCAAAATCTGGAGACACATTGGAAACAGAGTTATCCCTTCCCCCCAAAATAACATAATTTTAATAAAACTGATTCCTAGTAAAGTTACTTTAGCAATAGAGACTAAAAAATGTATGAGGCAACATTTTTAGAAAGTTAAGGGCAAAACTATTATTTTTGAGTTGTGTAATTCTGGACCTAGAAAAACCAGGAGAATCTACTGAAACCTATTATAAATAATATAAGATTGCATGAAAGAGGTTAGTTTCTACTGATGTATCTTAAAAACCAAGATTGTTTTGTTGTGCTTTCTTTCTGATACAGGGTCCTCACTCAGTCACCCAGGCTGGAGTGCAGTGGCACCATCGTGGCTCACTGCAGCCTCCACCTCCTACACCTACTTGATCCTCCCACCTCAGCTTCCTGAGTAGCTGGGACCACAGGCACATGCCACCATGCCTGTGTAAAAATAAACAAACAAAAACACAGGAGTTTTTAATTTTTAAATTTTTTGTAGAGATGAGGTCTCACTATGTTGCCTAGGCATTTCTCGAACTCCTGGGCTCAAGAGATCCTCCCACTTTGGCTTCCCAAATTGCTGGGATTACAGGTGTGAACCACTGCGCTGATCCCCAAGATTTTTTAATAGATTCAAAATAAACAATTAGAAAACATTATATAATATGTATACTTACATAATTAATATATTTGTTAGAACAACATATGAGAATGACTTAGCTTCATACATTTCATAATTTTGGATGAAATCCCAGCACTTTGGGAGGCCGAGGCAGGTGAATCACTTGAGGTCAGGAGTTTGAAACCAGTCTGGCCAACATGGCAAAACTCTATGTCTACTAAAAATACAAAAATTAGCTGGGCTTGGTTGTGCATGCCTGTAATCCCAGCTACTCGGGAAGCTGAGGCAGGAGAATCACTTGAGCCTGGGAGGTGGAGGTGGCAGTGAGCTAAGATTGCACCACTGCACTTTAGCCTGGGCAACAGAGCAAGACTCAGTCTCAAAAAAAAAAAAAATTCTTAATACTAGGTATAAAACATTAGGTTTAAAATATTAGATATAAAAGTTTTCTTGCTTAAGTAGGACTAAAGCCATTTCTAGGATTGAGGAGTCAAGGAAGCTAACTAAAATCTAATATCCTGGTTTCGTTTCTTCTCGACATTATAACACCTATCATGAGTGCCCTCCTCTTCCTAGAGTGAATTACGAGTGAGCCAAGGCCCTGATTCCCTCAGCCCTTGGTGACTGGTCAGAGACTACGCTGTCCAGAGACCCCCAGGTCTTTGGCTTCTGGCTGTAAACAGCCTCAACTCTTTATGCAGTGTGCTTTATAAATATGGTGATTTTCAATGAGTCTCATGGCCTCCAAAAGATTGGGAATCATGTCTTATGAAAAATAAAAGTGAACTAGGATAATTATGTAGCTTAATTTTTAAAAGGTTAATCAGTCCAGTGCCACACTAGCTAATATCTGAATCATGGGGAAATTATTTAAAAAATGACAGACTTGCCAAGCACGGTGGCTCATGCCTGTAATCCTAGCACTTTGGGAGGCTGAGGGGGGTGGATTGCCTGAGCTCAGGAGTTCGAGACCAGCCTGGGCAAAATGGTGAAACCCCGTCTCTACTAAAATAAAATATATATATATCTATATTAGCTGGGTGTGGCATCATGTGCCTATAATCCCAGTTACTTGGGAGGCTGAGGCAGGAGAATTGCTTGAACCAGGGAGGCAGAGGTTGCAGTGAGCTGAGATCATGTCATTGCACTCCAGCCTGAGCAACAGAGTGAGGCTTTCTCTAAAAAAAAAAAAAAGACAGATTTGGTTCCATCCAGTGATCAGAGGACTGAAGAGGGCTAAGAATTCTTTTGCTTCAGAAACTTCTTAGGGTATTGGATGCCCCATCAAGCAAGTTGAATACTCCTTCTTCTTCTTCTTCTTCTTTTTTTTTTTTTTTTGAGACAGAGTCTTACTCTGTCACTTAAGCTGGAGTGCAGTGGTGCAAACATATCTCACTGCAGCCTCCAACTCCTGGCCTCAAGCCATTCTTCCCCTTTGGTATCCCAAAGCACTGGGATTACAGGCTGAATACTCTTGAATTCAACTACCTGAAAGTAAATTTCCATGGGATCTTACCCAAGAATGAGATCATGTCCATTTTTAATCTGAAAAGAACCATAGAGATATTTTGAAAGGTATTTTCCCAGAGCACTCAAGTGAGCATTTTACTTGAATGAGACATTAAATCAAGTCCCTCTGCTTTGTCATAGTCTTGTTCAGGAAGGGGTTAAATGTTATATTCATTTGTTTTGCAAACAAGACCCCTGGTTTGGGTGTCTCAACCAGTAAAGCTGCTTGCTGGTGGCAGTGCAAACAGCCAAAGCTGCATGCAGGCTATGACAGGAAGAGTAATTTTATGATCTTCCCCTGCATGTGTGCATGCCCCTGCAAATGTGAGTCTCCAGCACAGCAAAAGTTCCTCTGAAATTTGATTTACTGCCACTCTGTGTGTGAGTTCCTTTATGGCATGGGAAGGTACATGCTCATGGATTTCTAATGGCAAGATTAAAAAGTTATTTACTTTTGCAGGCATGGTACGATATAATGATCAGTATCCGAGATCTGGTATTGTTTTCTGTAGATAAGTAGAGTTTCTTAAAATAATGAAAACTTAATCTAAATTCCATAAAAACACAAAATTTGATCTTTCTTCTATTTTCTAATATATCGACGGCTCTACTCAAAACCATTTCCATATATGACATCTCTGACTTCAGCCCACACTGATTTCTTCCTACTCCAGGATGGGCTGACAGTGAGCTGCTTGTATACTGCATACCTCTAGGGGGTGCTGTTTACATAATATATTTTGTATATGATACTTGCATAATTATTATACATACATGCCCACTACAGATATCAGTAAGATGTTCTGTGGAAGCGGTAAAATTTTCTAATGTGCACAAAGGCAAAATATGGACTAGCGGTGGGGCGGCCTTATCCTGACTGTTATAGTACTTACACTGTGGATAGCAGGATGCCATAATACATTGTTTATTTAAAATCACTACATTTGTATGTTTCCTTCACATTGTATGAGTGTGTGGGTTTCTCATATTAGAAGCTTACATTACACATCTGTGTTTCCTTGTGGCACGAATAAAAGGTGGAGGTGTAGTATGGTCTCAACGAAAGACTTAAACTGAGTCATGGGTGCACAGAATATTAACGACAGCAGAAGCATTTGCAATGCTCAAGCATCTGCTTCAGGAAGTTTTGACTGACACCAACCAACATGAGGAGTTGTTAGGATAATATTTTTACTGTATTATTTTGCCTTATACTTACAAAACAATGTATATTTAATTTTTTTGACTTTGATCCACCCTCCCCCCCCGCCAACCGGGAATTTAATAATAAGAACATATTTCTTACATTTGGGACAGTTTATAAGCTGATATGTCAGTTAGAGATTACTTTTAGCTCTATATAGCAGAAATCCCATTACAGTAGTTTAATAAAATAGGAATTCATTTTTCTCATGTCCTCTGGTCTGGGAGGTAGGCAGTTCATGGCTGTTCAGCTGTTTAGGGAATGAGACTCCTTTTCTATTTCTGCTCTGTCATCTTGAGCACGTCGATTTTGCTCCCATGGTTGCAATATGGCAGCTGCAGCACTGAGTGTCAAACTGCAATTCATACAGTGAAATAAGAAAAAAAAAAGAATAAAATGAGTTGACTGTTTCTGAAAAAGTGTTCCTGAAATTCCCTCTCAAAATCTTTTGCTGAAGTTCCATTGGCCAGGACTATGTTATATGGTCAACTCTCTTCTGAGAGATTTTTGGAAAGTGAATTTTTTTTTAAATTAGACATATTGGAATTCTTTTGGGAAGAAAGAAAGGGGAAATACTGAAGAGACTGAAGACACATTGTCTGCCATACCTAATATTGTCATTTTTAATGTATTTTTATGATGTCATTTGGGCTTATCTTCCAGACCACATTTAAATGGTTGGACTAGAGATCTGTTCAGTGGGAATTTGCATGACTGGGAGGTGACTGAGCTGGGACAAAAAAGTGAGCCTAACCATGGGATGGTTTTGGGAGTCAAAACGTAGGTGCAGAGGCCCCTTTGCAGGCCAGTCCAGGGAACTGTCAGAAAGCATCACATCTACCTATCACATACCCTCAACTGCTCACTTCGGTGATGGGAAGATCCAGATCTTATGGCAGTTTCCCACATTCCAGTTGCTTTTCAGCTTCAGCCAAGGAGGTGATGGGATTTGTAGCTGATGCAAGGTAGCTAGTGGAAATCAAGACAGTTTGAGCCTGGCTCCCCTGCTTACGAAACATGTAAAAGTTTCTTTTAGTACACATACATTATAATCACTTTATTTTACCTAGGCAAATAACATTTGCATTATTTTTTCATTTTATTTTTAACTTTCTGTTATGGAAAATTTTAAATAAATACAAAAGGAGAGAATACAATAAACCTCTATGTGCACATCGCTCAGCATCAACAATTACTAACTCACGTCTGATTTTGTTTCATATATAGCAATGCCCATTCCTTTCCCAAGATTATTTTGAAGCAAGTTGTATTATTTTTTAATAAATGTTATTTTATCTCTAAAATATAAGGCTTTTGTGTGTGTGTGTGTGTGTGTGTGTGTGTGTGTGTGTGTGATGGAGTATCGCTCTGTCGCCCATGCTGGAGTGCAGTGGCGTGATCTTGGCTCACTAAAAGCTCTGCTTCCCGAGTTCAAGCGATTCTCCTGCCTCAGCCTCCTGAGTAGCTGGGACTACAGGCTCCCACCACCATGCCCAGCTAATTTTTGTATTTTTAGTAGAGACAGGGTTTCACCATATTGTCCAGGCTGGTCTCGAACTCCTGACCATGTGATCTGTCTGCCTCGGCCTCCCAACGTGCTGGGATTACAGCCACCGTGCCTGGCCAAATATAAGGCTTTTTACGCAGCCTGTGTTTAGAGTTGTCTATTGTCAAATTTTGTCCAGGTTCTTTGAATAAAGATCCAAATGAGAAACGTACATCCTAATTCATTGCTACATCTCTTATCTATTTTTAATCTACAAGGTCCCCTCCCCCTTTGTTTCTCTCTTGCAGTTTATTTGTTGAAAAATCCAAGTTTAGCAGCATTTCTTGTATTCTGTGTTTTGCTGTCTGCATCTCTGTGTTGTCATTGAGCAAGTTTCTCTGTTTTCTGTATCCTGCAACTTGATTGTTAGAACTAAAAGCTTAATCAGATTTATGTTCACATTTATTGATTTTTGTTTTTAAGAAAATGGATTTACAATGATCAATGATCATTTTTTCCAACATAAAACATTCTTTGCAGATGACATCTTTATAACTCAATGTCAGAGAAAAATACTTTGAATTCCACTGTTGACCTAAGTGTCCATTAATGAATGAATGGTTAAAGAAAATGTGGTATACATACACAATAGAATATTATTCAGCCATAAAAAAGAACTAAAATCCTGCCATTTGCAACAACATGGATGGAACTGGAGGACATTAAATGAAATAAGCAAAGTGCAAAAAGGCAAATATCACATGTTCTCATTCGTATGGAACCAAAAAAATTGAACTCATGGAAATAGAGAATTGAATGTTGATTAGTAGAGGCTAGGAAGGGTAGTGGGAGCAGGGGATAAAGTGGGGGAGATTGATGGGTACAAAAATACAGTTAGAGAGGATGAACAAGATCTAGTATTTGCTAGCATAATAGGGTGACTACAGTTAACAATAATTTATTGTATATTTAAAAATAGCTAAAAGAATGGAGTTACAATGTTCCTAATACAAATAAATCATAAATATTTAAGGTGATGAATATCCCTAATTACCCTGATTTGATCCTTATGCATTTTATGCTTGTTTCAAAACATTATATGTATCCCATAAATATATACGACTATTATGTACCCACAACAACAAAACTTTAAAAAACTTCAGAAAATACTTTGAAGGAAAGGGCAGACATCTTAATTCTCAAGCAGTGTGAAACTTAAAGTTTGTACAGTTCAACTTTCCTGCTGGGTTTAATTTTATTCTGTCATACTCAACAGATATTTTCAGAACAAACATTATTGTAATAAAATTTTATTTTCCCATCTCTCGATTTGATTTAGGAATTCTTGACCCATTATGACCGCTAATGCCAGGAAGTTCTAATTTTGTTTGTATCATTTTATTATAGTTAGCTATATTTTTTCTATTAACTAATTTAGCCTATACTTAGATATAATTAATTCAGATTGAATTCAAAGAAGGTTACTCTCAATACATTAAAAAAATCCCAGCACTCTGGGAGGCCAAGGCGGGTGGATCACGAGGTCAAGAGATGGAGACCATCCTGGCCAACATGGTGAAACCCCGTTTCTACTAAAAATACAAAAGATTAGCCGGCGTGGCAGCAGGCGCCTGTAGTCCCAGCTACTTGGGAGGCTGAGGCAGGAGAATCACTTGAACCTGGGAGGCAGAGGTTGCAGTGAGCCGAGATCGCGCCACTGCACTCCAGCCTGGTGACAGAGCGAGACTCCATCTCAAAAAAAAAAAAAAAAAAAAAATCCTGCATCAGATATTATTGACACATCATTTAATTTTATGTAAATAAACTTTACAAATATTTCTCCATATTAAGCATAAATAAGGGTTCTTCTCACTTGCTTAAATCAGAATTACTTGTAAGAATCCAACCATATGCAAAGTTGGCTTTAAATTCGGTTATTCTCTTAAAGCTTTCCTTTTGGGTACTCAGTTCTTTCCATTGCTGAACTATTTTTTCCCCATACGTAGTGAAAAGGTCAGTGTGGTCAAGATTTAGGTCTAAATTATCATAAATTATCAATTTATGAGTTCTCAACTCATCCAAATTACTTATACTTAGATATCTTAAAATGACACATACTTGTAATTTTTTTCCAGTTACAATTTGGGCCACTTTATGGTGGTAGTCTGCAAACTTTTTTTAAAAAGATAGAATATTTTAAAGTTTTATTTTATTTAAGGTAGATATTTGGTAAAAGGCCTCTATATAAAAAAATTAATTAAGGCAGAGCAGCTGCCCTTGAATTAGTGGGTAGAAGCCTGGAGCTCTGCCCCCATAGACTCCTCTTGTCCCTCTGTTACTACTCTGATCACCTCACATAAATTCTAAATCTTATTGGAGACCATTTGAAAATAATGCCTTAAGATGTCCCTGAGCTCCATATTTCTCCATTATTTATGGAGGGCCGCTGTGCTGAATATAAGAAGGAATAAATAGTATAGTTGGAGATGTTGGTGATCGGGTCGGCCAAAGAGACAGTAAAGTGCTTAAGGCTTTCTGGTTTTCTCTCAGTCCTGCTTTTCCTTCTGAATGTTTTCTTTACAGGAATAAGGAAACCTAACAGTGATACCTGGTTTTTAACTTCAGCTCTAGAGTTAATTATGAAATGTAAATTTGAGCTTGTAAATCTTCTGAGATATTTTATGTAAATTTCAAAATTAGTTGTGATTCAGAAATTCTTGTTTAATGAAATGTTTTGAATGCTCTTTAATGAATTCATCCTGTAATGATCTAGAGAAAAACTCTATAACCTATTTATCACTGTGCATTGCGGGTTTAAATATGGAGTCTTTTGGTCAGCAGGCCCAAATTAAATTAAGCAACCTTTCTAATTAAGACAGAAATGCAGAGTACTTCATGTAGTTGGTGAATTATAAATGAAAAAGGATAATTAAGTTTGGAGTTCATCATCTAAAAGTGAATTGGTAAACTTGGATTCCTCACAACTTGAATTTAATATATTTTGGATTCAGGCCTTCTTTATTTTCACAGCTACTCACCTTTCTTTCATTTTATAATTTCTCACTTGTCTATGAGTTCTTCTTCTCTAATTTATCCCAGATACCTATTTCTAATAAACTGTACCTTTAGTTCACAGGATTCTTACATAGGACTCTTTTTAGCTCCCTATAGACAACCATATTAAATTTAAACTCTTAGTCTAACATTCAAGTCTATGTCAATTGGCCCTACATACAGATCTTAGCTTCCCTTATCATGGATCATGGACCTACTCTTCCATCTAGGCTGACATTCTTAGTGTTCCAGAGGTGAAAGTCAAAATGTTTAACAATCGTGGTAGCATGGCAATTGTTAGATACTAGAACAGACACTAGTCATAAGGTTAGATCATTCCTAGTTTCTAAGAAGCTGGGGTGGCCCAAGCATCAGGGCAATGGCTGGATATACCAAACAGACTGGAAGTCTTTCAGTATTTTAACAACTGGTGCAGTGGATACCATTAGCCAGTTCAAGAACTGCCTCAGTTTAAAAGAGCTATGTCTTCCTGGGATGACCTATATTCAATGACAGATGGATGTGGGGGTTTAGTTCTAGACGCCCCATGGGATTGGCTAAAGCTGTCATTTGTCGCTGAATCACAGTTGGCTTTTTCTGCCCAATCCCGCTTCCTTCCCTTTTATTGCATAAGTGTGATATCAAGGCTCCCCACAGTGAATGACCTGCCTGCTAACTGCCATCTCACACTCTGCACCTCAGGAAACACAGCCTGATACAACTGGTGTGTGGCAAAACCATGTCTACATATTATCTGGGCTGAATAGGATCCTGTGCATGCTTTTAAAAGTAAAGAGTAGTATAACAAATAGGTGCTCAATGAGTATTTGTTGAGGGAAAGTTTCATTCTCTTAAAATAAAGCATCTTTGTAAGAAAGCATCTTCCTATTTTGTTGTCTGGTGATAACTAAATTGTCTCCCTACTAGTCTTTCTAACTTTGTGCTTCTAGCAGGAGACAATCTAAGATTGAAGACCCTAGTAACGTGATTAGGTGTGGTTATTCATGGCTACAGACAGCAGCTGCTGTCGTGTAATCAAACACTTTATTCTTGAGAATTCTCCCAGTTGAGAATTTTGGGAGAACTAACAATTCTGGCATTTTAGCTTACTCACATTAAGTTGTGAACATTCTGTCATGGGGTAAATGCGTATATTCTGGAAGACATGTTCATTGGCATTATCAAGTTTTTTTTTTTTTCTAATATGAAAAAATGGAGTACAATCTGGCTGAGTTTTAAAGAAGTGGGGAGATATTATTTAAGCAGGGTTCTTCTCTGGAGGATCTGGTCTTTGTGGAATATGACTTAAAAAGATTCTGAGCACTCAGGTTATAGCAGAGAACAGCCAGCTTTGGGGAGTCATGGGAAGGAGGGCAAGAGGGGAAGAAATGAGTTGAAAACAGCAGTTACTTGGTTATAAATTTGCTGAGGACCAGCCTAGGGTGTGGGTATAGATTGAGAGTCTTAGTAAATAATTAAAAGAAATAGGAATATGTGATCCAAGCCTGGAAGAATAGGAATCATCAGGGCCAGCTTCATGAACACGTGGACTCAAAAGAATTCCACACTCAGAAGGGTTCCATGTTCAGAAGGGCTTCATGCTGGGTTTAATGTTCTTCTGTCACCATCTTGAAATTATTAATCCCATTTTTATAAGCAGCTCCATATTTTCCTTCTGTACTGCCCACCCCCCAACATTGTGTAGGAGGTGTTAGATGTAATATTATAGCATCAGCTCTGCTCTGTGGGAATGAGTGAGACTCTGTCTCTGATGGACAAAGGCCATCAGAGCCACAGTCATCCCTGGCACACATTCAAATGTCTACTGGTATGGCAATTAAATGCCTAATCAAAGACCTGGACTGTCTCCTGCCAACAGGCTGTTATAATTTAATCCATAATTTTTCATCAGAAAAATGAGATGGGAAACTGCAGAAAGCCTAGCTTTTTTTCACTTAAGGGTGCCAAGGAAAACAAGTAAAGCTTTAATCTGTGTTGTCAAAACACAGGAGTATATCTCTGCTTCTCTTTAAGCAAAGAACATCAACTTTTTTTCAGGAGATGGCCAAATGCCATTTTTTTTTAAATAATCAAAAGCAAAATATGTTCAGCTTACGCTATTTCTACTCCTCTTTCTTTCTCATATTCTAAAAACACCTCTCTGCCTCCTCTCTGATGCACTGGGGTAATGGGGACACTGTGCTGTTGGGGCCACTCCTGGCTCTCTGGATGCCTGGTCCTGGCCTGGATGCTCATGGAGAACTGTGTCCACAGTGTGAGTTTATAATATCTCACCTCTCTTCAGCATTTCAAGTGCTATGTTTTCAAACTATCTAATAAATGCTTCTTGAATTGAACTGGAACACGTTCATAAACATTTTAAGAGTCTCAACTTTCAGGAGAAACTCATCTAAGTTATGCTCAAATTACAGCCAAGGTCTATAAAGCAGCAACATTTTCAGACTCCAAAATCATTTATGATTTGCCATCAGACTATGAAATAGTGTTCTGATAATTTAAAGCCCATCTGTCTTCTATTCCTTGGGGCCTTCGAACTTTTTAAAAATGCCTGGAGTTTCTGTTCGATGACTTCATACTTCAGTATTAAAAGGCTACATTTACTTTAGGCTCACTGGGAAGGGAGAGATTCTACTTCTTGTAGTTGTCCCAGCATCTTCATTTGGATATATATTTTTTTCCTGATGAAAAAATGGAGAAAATAAGTCTCTTAACATTTGCTAAGGTGGCTTCTTCTTAGAAGATGTTGGTTATATGATAAAGATAAGGCAAGAGAGGCTGCTCTCATTCTTTCTTTAAAGAACATGATTGATGCTTGTCATTTATAGGTCCCTAGAAATAAAGAAAAGTAGCAAAAATTATTTATTGATAGTTTGATCTTCTGGTTACCTAAACATTGTTGATCTTTTGGTAGTTTTATTTTCCGTTCTTTTTTACCTCTTGCATAGCTTATCATTTTTATTAGCTACTTTTGATTATGGTCTCTATATATGAATTCTGTGTTCTATTCTTTCTATTTGTCACTGAAGCATAAGTGTTTTCATATTATAAATTATTTATAAATGTGTTTTTATATGATTAATCAGATTCATTAGGTTGATTTTCCAAGGTTATTATCCATGTCTCTATTGTTGGACACTTAAATTTTTCCAAAATTTTGCCACTATAAATAATCCCTCACTAATACACTTTTTTATAAAGTATTTTTTGCCTTCTCCACACATTTCAAGTGATTAGCTAAGAATTGATCCCCCCAAATGATAATTATTGTGACAAAGAATGCTGGCATTTTAATTGGTTGATATCTTTCTTTTCATTTTTTTTTTTAGAGATAAGGTCTTGTTCTGGAGCCCAGGCACCATTATGGGTCACTGCAGTCTCTAACCCCTGGGCACAAGGGATCCTTCTGCCTCAGCTGCTTGAATAGCTGGCACTACTGGCATCCACCACCCAGCCCAGCTAATTTTTTATTTAAAAATTTTTATTTTTGTAGAGATATGGTCTTGCTTTTTTCGCTCAGGTTGGCCTCGAAATCCTGATTTCAAGCAATCCTCCCACCTCAGCCTCCCAAAGTGCTGGGACTGCAGATATGAGCCACCGTGCTTGACCTAGTTAATGTCATTTACACTCATTGTCATATTGCAGTATTGTTGATTTACATTTCCAACTATAAAATATGAAAATATCTCCTTTATAGAACACTTTTCAATTTTGAATATAATTTTTAAGTTTTGCAATTTGGTAGGTAAAAAGTGAATAATCAAACAACAAAAAACCAAAAATCCCACCAAAAGCTGAATTATGTTTACATTTTCAATAAATGCAACTTCTTACAACATTATGCAACTCAGTTCTTTTGGTTTGAAAACTGACATTTGTCTCTATGGAGTAGAGAGGATCTGAAAAGAAGCATTGAAGAATGAGTACAAAGTGAACCCTCAGTGGTCCTTTGCACCTTTTAGGTGGTTAGAAAATATTGTTTATTGCTGCTTCCTCCAAATCTCCCAGGCCATGGTAGTTGTGGTAGCTTGCCGGCAAAATGGCTGCCATCAATTCCTTCCATTCCTGTACGTGCTTACTATTCTCCCATTAAGAGGTGGAAACTATTTCTCCATCATCTTAAAGATGGCTGGCCTCTGATTGCTTTCACCAATATAATACAGAAGAAGTGATGCTAGACCAGCTCCAGGCCTAGACTCTAAGAGGACTGGCAGTTTCTGCCTCGTTCTCTTGGAGTGCATGCTCCGGTGGAAGCCAGCTGACTATAAAAAGTCCAAGTGTCCTGAGTACCCTGACTGTCCTGCCCCATGTAGAGAAGTCCATGCTTGACAGGTAGGAGAGAGTAAATGGAGAGATGCCGATCTGGCACACCTCTCTCAGCTATTCCAGGCCAGGCACTAGACATGTGAATGTAGAAACCTCAAGCGACTCCTGCCTCAGCTGCCATCTTAATGCCTCTGCGTGAGATGCCAAATGAGGGTCGTCCCATAGATCCCCATCAATCCTCATAACTATGTGAGATAATAGCAAAATGATTATTATTTTAACTTCCTAGATTCTGGTGAGATTTGTTGTACATTCATAGGTAAACAGAACAGAAATCGAGGCAAAATAATAAAGGGAGTAAACCAGGTGTCATCACCCTTAGTAATTTCATGTAGCTTCTCCTGCTCTGGAATTTGACCATAAAACATATCCATTACTGGCTGGGTGCGGTGGCTCATGCCTGTAATCCCAGCACTTTGGGAGGCTGAGGAGGGCGGATCACTTGAAGTAAGGAGTTTGAGACCAGTCTGGCCAACAAGGTGAAAACCTATCTCTACTAAAAATATAAAAATTAGCTGGGCATGGCAGCACGTGCCAGTAGTCCCACCTACATGGGAGGCAGAGGCAGGAGAATCTCTCTTTTTTTTTTTTTTTTTTGCATAAATGGGAAATCCTTTAATTTGATAATCATTCATTCAACAAACATCTACTGAGCATCTGGCAGGAGAATCTCTTGAGCCCAGGAGGCAGAGGTTGCAGTGAGCCGAGACTGTGCCACTGCACTCCAGCTTGGGTGACAGAGTGAGACTCCATCTTTAAAAAAAAAAATCCATCGCCTTTTTTTAATTGATTAAACTTGCTTTCAGAACTATCAGGGGATTAGAGAATTATATAAGTAATATCTCAAACTGGTTTCTGTTCCAATGACATATTTTAAAAGAAATCCAAACCTTTCACTCAAAAGGGCTTAATTCTAATCATGTGATGAGACATATCTACCAGTGGAGGCTGTGGGAGATAGGATGGAAGGAATATTAAGGTCCATGTTTATAGAGAAATGTTCTAGTCCTATTCCATGTAATTTTTATGGGACTGTCATCTTAGCAGACCATAGGAATGGACATATGTTCTAAGCTTGGTCAATCATTAAAAGTGATCACCCAAGAGTGATTGGTCTAAGTGACATGCACATAACCCATGCATGTCAGAATCCTTTTCTTAAATTCTTACATGAATACATGAAAGAAAAAAAGCTCTTTTTATTTTCCCTACTGGAGTTGCTAAATCCAGATCAGGAAAAACTGAATTATCTGACTGACATCAACCCTACCTGCAAGGAAGAAGCTTGCCTCTTGTAAGAAAGAAAAGACCAAAAAAAAAAAAAAAATACTTGGAATTAGCACTGATAGATATAAATAAAAAGTCATGATGAATAATTTGTACTCCTGAATCCAGTTGTGCCTGAAGTGATTACCCCTTGACTTCCAAACTTTATTAGTTAATACACCCTTTTTCCCCTTTAAGCTAGTTTCAGTATGGTTTTTGTTACTGGCAATCAATGAAGTGTAGGCTTATAGACTAATGCATCTAATTACATCAACGGGATTTGCCTTTTTAAAAAAAGTTTTGTGAGACACACATGATGAATAATTTTTCTCACTATTTATATTGTAGGTAGCAACATTGATTAGATAAGTTGCAGTTTCAGCCATTTTTCTGCCATTACTACTGTAATTTCACACATATCTCTGAAATCCAAAAAAAATACTAGAATAAATGAAATAGAAATTCAGGTAGGTATAAGACAGCAAGAAAGACCACAGAAACAGATTCCTTGTGTGTTGGGTGAACATTTAGGACAGAATAGAAATTTGAAAACGTGATTCACTGAGGCAAAGTCTAGTTGTTTTCCAATGGCAGGTTAAATATGCCACTAATGTTTTTCCATAGGAAATTTTATGATAAAAATTCACACTTCATAAAGATTGAGATGGCAGAAATAAGCACCATAGATGTGGAGAGAGGTAGATAGAACTATAGGCCGGCTATTTCTCTATCCAGAATTAAAGTGACAAGGACAATGACAAGGGTGATGGCAGTGGGATAGGAAAGTTGGGAATGGGAGAGTAATAACAAAGGAAGAATTGACAGAACTTGTAGAACTTGGCAAATATTTTTTTTTTTTTTTTGAGATGGAGTAGAGTGCAGTGGTGCGATCTCAGCTTACTGCAAGCTCCGCCTCCCGGGTTCAAGTGATTCTCCTGCCTCAGCCTCCAGAGTAGCTGGGATTACAGGTGCATACCACCATGCCCAGCTAATTGTTACATTTTTAATAGAGACGGGGTTTCACCATATTGATCAGGCTGGTCTTGAACTCCTGACCTCATGATCTGCCCACCTTGGCCTTTCAAAGTGCTGGGATTACAGGCGTGAGCCACCGCACCTAGCCTGGTGAATGTTTTTATAGGGATACATAACACTTTCTGCTTTCTTGTGGAGGGAGGCATCATTCTGGAGACATGCCATGTTTGAGTTATTGTGTCCTAGAAACTGGTCAAATTCTAGCTAGAGATTAGTTTGTCCTTCATTGGTCTGAGGCAGGTGACCCCACATTAAATTTCACGCTAACCTGCTCTATGTCAGGAACACATCATTTAGCATCAGGGTTACCTAGTTGAACACACTGAAAAATCTATTTCCATTTCTCTGCCAACAGTTGTGAACATATTTTAATTGCAGCATGAAATCATTTTGCAATATTTCAACAAGGCAATTAAGTACCCCCTGAAATGCAATACTGAAAGAAACACATGGGAGGAAGCCACTAACTCTTGATCAGCAAATGCTCCAATTTCTAGGCATGGTTTTGATGGGGCTACTAAAACCCTCTTCTTCTCTCTAAACCACCTCTGCATCAGTTAAGAGAGGTGGACAATTGAATCAACTTGGTAGAAAATTAATACTCTTCTCCCTATCCCACCTCCTATGCCTATTTCGATCTCCATAAAATTCTGAATGTACGCTCCTCTCCTGGACCAGAAACATTGCAGCTGATGTGAGTTTAAATCATGATAGGAGGGAGACAGAGAAAAAAAAGCAAGCGTGTGTCTTTGTGTGTTGGGGTGTGTGTGTGTGTGTGTGTGTGTGTGTGTGTGTATTTACCAGGAGATACCTGAAGAATGCAATAGGCAAGCAATAACCATGACATTCAATCAGGGATCTAGAAGCTTACCGACTGTTTGTACTGATGTCCAGAATTCAGTGTTAAGACTTGTCTGAAACTTGTCTGTAAGAATGTGATGGGAAAAATGTGTGGTGCTTCTGCAAAACTATACCTTGTGAAGATAAAAGCAAATGATTACCAACCTGAGGATCAAGAAATCAAAGCCAGCTAATACAAAAAGAAAGAAGAAGGTACAAGTTACAGGCATACCTTGAAGACCACTGCAGTTAAGTGAATATCACTATAAAGCAAACGACATGAATTTGTTTGATTTTCTAGTGCATACAAAAGTTATGTTTACACCATACTGTAGTCTGTTAAGTATGCAATAGCATTATGTCTAAAACAAAACAATTTACATGCCTTAATTTAAAAATAATTTATTGCTAAAAAATGCTGATAATCAGTTGAGCCGTCTGCAAGTCATAATCTTTTCGCTGATAGAGGGTCTTTCCTCAACGTTGATGGCTTCTGACAGATCAGGATGATGGTTGTTGAAGAATGAGGTGGCCATGGCAGCTTCTTAAAATAAGACAACAATGAAGTTTGCCACATTGACTGACTCTTTTGTGAAAGATTTCTCTGTAGCATGCAATGTTGTTTAATAACATTTTACCCACAGTAGAACTTTCAAAATTGGAGTGGACCCTCTCAAACTTTGCCACTGCTTTTTCAATTAAATTTATGGAATATGCTAATCTTTTGTTGTCATTTTAACAATGTTCAAGCATCTTCATCAGGAGTAGATTTCATCTCCAGAAACCATTTTCTCTTTTCATCCATAAGAAGCAAATCTTCATCTGTTCAAGTTTTACTGTGAGATTGCTGCAATTCAATAATATCTTCAGGCTCCACATCTAATTCTAGTTGTCTTGTGACTTTCATGAAAACTGCAGTTACTTCTGCTACTGAAAGAAGTCTTGAATCCCTCAAAGTCATCCATGAGGGTTTGAATCAACTTCTTCCAAACTTCTGTTAATGTTGATATTTTGATCTCCTCCCATGAATCATGAATGTTCTTCATAGCATCTAAAATAGCGAATCTTTTTTCAATATACTTTGCTCAGATCCAGCAGAGGAATCATTACCTATGGCAGCTATAGGCTTATGAAATGTATTTCTTAAATAATCAGACTTAAAAGTCAAAATGCTCCTTAATCCATGGGCTACAGAATGCATATTGTGGTAGCAGGCATGAAAACAACATTAATACCCTTGTACATCTCCATCAGAGCTCTTAGGTAAACAGATGTATTGTCAGTGAGCAGGAACATTTTGAAAGGAATCTTCTTTCCTGAGGAGTAAGTCTCAAAAGTGGGCTTAAAATATTCGGTAAACTGTACTATAAACAGATGTGCTGTCATCCAGGCTTTGTTGTTTCTTTGTAGAGCACAGAGAGTAGATCTGACCTCATTCTTAAAGGCCCTAAGGTTTTCTGAATGATAACAGCATTGGCTTCAACTTAAGGTCACTAGCTGAATTAGACCCAAAAGTCAGTTTTCTCCTTTGAAACCTTAAAGCCAGGCATTGACTTTTCATCTGTAGCTATGAAAGTCATAGATGGCATCTCTTCCTATAGAAGGCTGTTTCATCTATGTTATAAATCTGTTTAACATAGCCACCTTCATCTATTATCTCAGTGAGTTCTTCTGAATAACTTGCTGTGGCTTCTTCATCAGAACTTGCTGCTTCACCTTGAATCTCATGAACTAACCTCTGCTAGCTTTCAACTTTTCTTCTGCAGCTTCCTCACCTCTCTCAGCCTTCATGGAATTTGAGAGAGTTAGGGTCTTCTTCTGGATTGGGCTTTGGCTTAAGAGAAAGTTGTGGCTGTTTTTTTATGTGATCTTTTATATAGATCACTCAAACTTTCTCCATGTCAGCAAAAGGGCTGTTTTGCTTTCTTATTATTTGTGTGTTTACTGGCATAGCACTTTTAATTTTCTTCAAGAACTTTTCCTTTGTGTTGGGGAAACCAGCCCCACGCCACCCAGTGGGTAACCCTGAGGCCAGCGGAGACAAAGGAGTTAGAAAGAGACAGAATAAGTGTTTAAAAGGTGGGTCCAAGGGACCGGAGCGTTGGAGGCTTGCTCACGGCCCAGAGCTCTCGGGACCCAGAGCTCTCAGGCTCGGCCCAATTTATTGGCTTACAAGCTCTTTGTTCTTAGGGCAGATGGGAGGGGGAGGAAGGGATGAGGAAAGGATTAATCAGAGAAGGAGAACTCGCGGGTCATTCAATAAGATGTATAGCAGTGGCGGTTTCTGTGAATTTCCTCGAGCAAAGGCGTGTCCAAACTACTTCAGATCTTTAACTTATCGGGACTGAAATGGGTGGGAGCAGGTTTCAGGAGGAGCCAAGAAGTTTGATTATACTCCCCTGCTTCAAGGGAGTGTTTTCTCCCTGAGAAACCTGTGGAATGCCACGGAGCGGTTATGCTCTCGGGGCATAAAGACATGAAGGCAATAAGGAAGCTTTTCTCCTCAGAGGCCACCCATGGCTCCCCATGGGTGTCTCACACAGGGGAGACCAACTCATCTGGCACCCCAGAAACTCTCTTTGTCACACTTTGCATTCTCAGCTTGGTTAACTGGCCCAAGAGAGGCCTAGCTCTTGTCACATCTCAGCTTTTGACATGCCTTCCTCACTAAGCTTCATCACTTCTAGCTGTTGATTTAAAGTGAGACACCTGGGACTCTTTCTTCAATTTGAACACTTAGGCCATTGTAGGGTTATTAATTGGCCTAATTTCAATATTGTGTCCCAGGGAATAGGTAGGCCCAAGGGGTGGGAGAGAGATGGGGGAACTGCTCATCAGTGAAGCAGTCAGAACACATACAACATTTATCAATGTTGTATGTTTATCAACATTTATCAATGTTGTATGTTTATCAACATTTATCAATTAAGTTTGAGGTTTTATATGGATGTGGTTTATGGTGTCCCGAAACAATTACTGTAGTCACATCAAAGATCACAGATCACCACAGCAGATATAACAAGAATGAAAAAGCTTGAAATAGTGTGAGAATTACTACAGGTGACAAAGAGGAGACAAAGTGAGCACATGCTGTTGGAAAAATGGAGCTGATAGGTTTGCTCAATGCAGGGTTGCCATAAACCCTCAATTTGTAAAAAACACAATATCTATGAAGGGCAATAAATGAAGCTCAATAAAGGAAGGTATGCCTCTATCTGATGAGGAAGACATCTTGACAAGATGATGCTTTTGCATCTGTGTGCTATCTTTTTAGCATGTCATGGGTGGGGGTGGTATACCTGGCAGGCAGGCAAGCACAGGTGAACAAACCTAAAAGTTCAGTCTCAAAATGAGTGCAACTAGTTATTGGAGTGAATATATCCACAATTTTTAATTTGCATTCCTTCAAACAGCTCCTTCTTTAGGTTCTACCATGTCAGTAAATGGAATTTCATTCTTGTACTTTCTCAGACCAAAAATTCTAGAGTCAACCCTCACTTCTCTTTTATTCTCACATTCTACACTCAATCCATATCAAATCCTGTTGACTTTATCCTCAAAATACATGTATAATATGAGCCCTGACTCCAATGCCCTAGTCTGATCCTTCTCCTTGGATGATAACCTCTTGAGGCAGGAGCATTCTAAGTCATCTTCCTCGTTTCACTCTTGTCCCTTTCAGTCTAATCTGTACCATCAACAGTATTTTATCCAACAGTATTTTATCCCACTATAGTTCTCTTCCTAGCACTGATCAGCATGTGAAATGTATCTCTTTCTCTCTGTGTGTGTGTGTGTGTGTGTGTGGGTGTATGTGTGTGTCTTACGCATATTTTGTAGCCTGTCTCTCTCACTAAAATGTAAACTCACAAAAGCAGAAATTTTATCTGTTTCGTTCCTTGGCATATCTGCCTAGCACACTAAAAATTAGTGCTCAATGAATACGTTTGGATGAATGAATGAAACTATGCTTATATCTGCACATTATCTTATCTGCTTTCTGCATCACCTCTCCACTTCTATTTCAGTTAGTGCTTTCTAACATTAAAGGACCGTTAGGGAACAAATCAAATGTCTACTGTGTGCCAGGCTATGAAAAACAATATATAATATACTGGTCTAATTGAGGGAAAAAGACATAAGGAAATGAGGATAAAAGTTCAAGAATTCATAAATGTCAAGGAAGTGAAAGAAAGACTAACTACTTGGCTTCCTGGAGAAGGCTATTATGGGTCAAGGAAAACTTCCTCAAAATGGAATCTGGACTGAAGAAGGAGGTCACCTATCTAGGTAAAGGATATTATAGGTAATAAAAATGCCACACTCTGCTGGGTGCGGTGGCTCACGCCTGTAATCCCAGCACTTTGGGAGGCCGAGGTGGGCAGATCACGAGGTCAGGAGTTCGAGACTAGCCTGACCAACATGGTGAAACCCCGTCTCTACTAAAAATATAAAAATTAGCCAGGCATGGTGGCATGCTCATGTAATCCCAGCTACTCAGGAGGCTGAGGCAGGAGAATTGCTTGAACCCGGGAATCAGAGATTGCAGTGAGCTGAGATCATGCCACTGCACTCCAGCCTGGATGACAGAGCAAGACTCCATCTCAAAAAATAAATAAATAAATAAAATAAAAATTCTATACTCTTATGGCCATTCTTAGGCTACTAGAAAAATGGTTCCTAGTCATAGGTATGTAGGGAGAATTCCCAGCTTCCAGATCGATTTCCTTGAGAACTTGTTTGCAGGTTGTAGCAGGGGAACACAGCTACTAATATACCCTTGACTGAAGAGCAGTCCTCCTCTATCGAGGATGGTCATCTTCAGTGAAGCATACAGCTTTGGGAGAGATGCACATGGAGTGGTGAGGGAGGAAGGGGACACCTGCTTAGCCAGCCAGATCAGCCGAATCAACCTTGGCAATCAATGGGGTGACAGATGTTCCAGCCAGATTGTCCTCACACCCTAAAATAGATTTCCCAAGCTGCAAAAGGTAAACACCACCAAGTCTGTATTATTTATAAAAAGTTTTGGAAAAATACAATTCAGCTGACAGTATATTGTTCTTTGTGTAGAACATTAGATTTTATACTCCTGTTGGCTGAGTTCTAATTAAATCCCAGGAAAAGAATCTTCCCCCTCTCAGTTTATTTTAAGAAAAAATCCCATATAAAGGCAGTGATAGAAATAAACTTTCATTGTAGTTGATTCAAATTTTAAAAATTATTTAGCTTTATGAAATACAACCACATACATCTTATGTAAACATAGATAAACCATTGGGCTCCATTCTTTGTTAGAAGAGAAAAAGTATACACAGCTAGTTTTGATATGTGGATTTTTTAAGCTACAAATTTTAAAATATATGAATTGGTACAGTTGTATAGAATTTAAAAATGGAATCAGCTACAATTAATTATGAATGCAAATCTGCATATATTTATAAATATACATAGTGATATTCTTCACAAAATCTGAAAATATTAAAGTGTTTATATAGTATATGAGCCAGTAACATTTTCTACTCTTAGAGATTAAGTTACATGGTACATGGTATTGTCTTTTTCAATTCTAAATTTCCACCAATTAACAGTATTTGGCATAAGGTAGATTCTTAATAAGTAGTAGTACAATTGATTTTGAGTGACAATAGATGTGCTTCTTCAAATCACGTATGAAATGCATTTTTTGTTGTTGTTGTTGTTGTTTTTTTAGACGGAGTCTCGCTCTGTTGCCACACTAAAGTGCAGTGGCGCAAACTTGGGTTACTGCAACCTCTGCCTCCTGGGTTCAAACGAGTCTCCTGCTTCAGCCTCCTGAGTAGCCGGGATTACAGGCTCGTGCCACCACGCCCGGCTAATTTTTGTATTTTTAGTAGAGATGAGGTTTCACCACGTTGGCCAGGCTGGTCTCAAACTCCTGACTTCAGGTGATCCACCTGCCTCTGCCTCCCAAAGTGCTGGAATTACAGTCACGAGCCACCACGCCTGACATGAAAGGCATTTTTGTAATTGTCTAGTAGGCAGTTACACTGCATGTATTATTGAGAGGCTACTATGATTGCCTCTGATTCATAAATGAGAGAACAAAAACATAAAGAAAGAGATCAGCATTCGTGCAGACCACCAGCAAGTCAACAACAACAAGATCACATTTAGAGATTTTTTGTTTGTCATGGTTATCTGTTAACACTTACCCCCACTTCATCCTGTGGATAATAAACTTAATTCCATTTCACAGATATGCAGAATGAGACCCAGGGCAGTTACTATGGTCTGAGGATAAATGGATAATTAATAGAATGAGGCAGGGCAGTGGGGCAACAGCATTGTTCTTCTGATGTGGATGTTACTCCCCTTTCTTTTGAAGCAGATTGCATCTTTCGTCAAAGGATATGTCTCCCTTTATTCCATCTTCCCTTTCTTTTATCCTTCCTAATAATTAGTATTCTATATTCTCTGAGGATGTGGGCTGCAGCTAACTGGAGACATAATTACTTTCTTATTCCTAGGCATAAACTGAGTAAATGGGGAGTTTTGCTTACTGGGTTCAGAATTTTAGTTTGGAATGATTAAAACAATGATTCGGAGGTGGATGGTGGTGATGCTTGCCCAACAATGCAAATATACTAAATGCTACCAAACTGTACACTTAAAAATGGTTAAAATGGTAGATGAATAAGCTATGGAGATCTAATGTATAGTATGTTGATTGTAGTTAATAATAATATATTGCATACTTGAATTTGCTAAGAAAGCAGATCTTAAGTATTCTCATCACAAAAAAGGTAACTATGTGAGGTGATGGATATGTTAATTAGCTTGATTATGGCCATCATTTTACGATTTATATATCACACCATCACATTATATACCTTGAATTCATATGATCTCTATTTGTCAATTATACCTTATTAAAGTTGAGTAAAACGGTTAAAATGGTAAATTTTACATTATGTTTACTACAATAAAAATATATGCCATTATAAAAGGAACCTATTTTTATGTTCAAAACTCTATGTTACAAAGACCAGCAGATAAATCTTTAAATACTGAAAAATTTACTTTTCAATCAAACATAAGGGTATATTTGTCATAATAGAGACAGAGACTAGGGTTGTGTCCAATATCATTTTAGCTATTAGTTCCAAGTTCTGTTCCAACCATTCAATGGCCAGTGAGTGGAATTAAAATAGCATGTTCTCTGGAGGAAGGAAGAGCTGCAGCTGCAATTGAATTTGCATGGGGAAAGATACTTAGGTTTGCTTTTTTCTTAACTGGTTGATTTTTACTTTATTTCTCTTATTCCTGAATACCAGTTTCAAGAGTAAAATGCAGTATGCACCTTGCCTTCCCTTTCTCAGATTGGACCTTTGACCAGCGCAGCAGTCATTAACCCTCTAGCCATTCCTTTCAAGGAAGAACATGGAGTGGGTTCTTACAGTGGCATTGTCAACAATCACAAGAGAGTTTCAACCCATCCTGCATCTTTGATTTTTTATTCAGTTGGAACTGAACATAAAAGATTGATCTTTCCAAAGTCATTTTGTGACAGGGAAAAGAATCAGTTGCTTTTGGTTTTATAAATGCAGCGTAAAATAAAGTAATACCTCCAGCCTTCTTCCTTGCAATCTGCTTTCCACATCTTTCCTCCACATTCTTTCTAAAATGCATATTGGCTTATATAATCTATTCATTTCTGGTAGATGGAGTCCAAATTTATCACCACAGACTGTAAGTTCCTTCCTGCCCTGGACTCCTCCTGCCCAGCTTAAGCTCTCGTGACTGCCACCATAAGGTCTCCTGCACTCCAGGGTTGCTCAATGTGGCACAGTTTCCAAAGGTGTCTTACTTCCTGAAGCTCCCACTTGGCCTTTGTAAATGCCATTTCCTCTGTGTTGGGTACATGGCCTCCTCTATTATGCAACTCAAGTGTGATCTCCTCTGGGAGGCCAACCTGAGCACTCCAAGAAGAATCAGACACATCCTCCTCAGTGGTATCACATCATCTTATAGTACTTACAACATTGCTGTCATTTGATGATGTGTCAGTTTCCCCTGATGGAAAATAGAGAATTTTCTACTTATCTCATCAGATACATTGACTGGCACACTTCAGTAGCATTTTTTGAATGAATAAATGAACAATGAGTACATTTCCCATAGGCTGATTCTTTAATAAGAGTAGAACCAGCACAGTTATTATGGGCATCTCATTGTCAAATAGGAAGAATGAAAACTAAAAGATGCTGATCCAAGTCTTAATAATTATAGCAAACACGATGGCATTCATCACCTCTTCAACAGATTTTTATAGAGTGTCTGCCATTTACTGGTTTAACCAGTCACCACTTCTGTGACAGCTGGGCTTTCTACATCTAGATTAAATAAATAGCTGAGGGAATACAGGCCCAGTCTTAAGCGTGTATTACTATTCTTAAGTTTATAGTAGAAAGTCAGATAATCATGTTACAAAAACAGTTTTCTGATTTCAGAAATAGGAGCTTTGGAAAAAAGTGATTTTCTTTCTTATTTGTGTAAATTTGAATTGGCTACTTGTACTCCCAAGGGTATTGCTCAATTATACTAACCTGCTTAATAGGATTACATTGATTTGCACTAGCCTGAAACAAATTTCATTACCTTCTCAGACTCTGAGCATTTCAGCAATTCTGAGAATTTTAGCAACAGGCACTGCTTGTTTTTCTCTTGGTCTGGTTGAATTTCTTTAAGGGCAAAGACTTTTGAATAGTTTGCAGATTTGTATAATGTTAAAGTTGGGAAGAGTCCATTGTAACCATCTTTGCTCAGTGCTCTCATTTTAAGGATAGGGCTCTGAGAGCAAGGTGAGTTAAGGAACTTGCTAAAAGTCACAAAACCAGCTGGTGGCAGACATCGTTTAGGGTTCTGGTTTCCTTTCTGTAAGGCCAGTGTTATATTCTTTACCCTGCACTGCCTCTCACAATGAGTTATGACTTTACATATTCAATCCAGGGCAGTGCAAGTACATGCAGCCATGTGTACACTGAAGGCTTTCAAATTATATCTTCAAAATTGAAGTTAGTTTAAGCACAGGCTTTGAATTTATTCACCAGTTAGAAAAATAGATGTATGTGATATTCTCAACCCACTGAACCATAATCTTTCTACAAAATACTAATGAAATACACAGTGTGATCCAGCTTCTCATTTCTCTCTTCCCCCTGTGAACCCTCCTTCCATCTGCAGAACTTCATTTGAAGGCAGTGGCATGCACGTAGCCCCTTCCAAATAACCTTCATTAAAGAATGTGCAAGACAAAGATCCCTTTGCCCTGGAAGCATCGACAAAATGATTTAAGAATAAGAATCCATGTCATAGGATAGTTGAAATCAAATAGGAAAAATTTCATGAAAGTTTAAAAAATTATCTTCTAGAAAGAGAGCTAAAAGAAAATGAATACACTAATATGTACAATTTTAGTTGATAGATAAAATGTAAAGCCTACAATATTCCAATGCAAAGGAGAAGATTGTAGCTGAGCAGAGACTCTTAAAGACCCAGCTCATTGGAATTAGGAATAGTTTGAGTTTAATTGGTAGGGAAGGGAAAACAATAATGCATGGGAAGAGTGGGATGGTAAGGAGTCCCAGGCGAGAGCTCCAGAGCTAAGATTGCACCTCATGTGCTGAATAACCTAAGCCCTCAGTAAGGCTATGCCACTGGCTGTGAGCCTGAATTCAGGAGATCTGTGGTCCAGGAGAGGTACTTACGTTTTATTCGGCTCTGCATATTTCATCTGCAAAATACTGGGGCGAAATCAAACAACCTTATAGCATGTGCATTCTGGGCTTGTGGAGATCTTGCTTTCTCTGAGTTCATACTACCAAAAAACCTAATAAAAGAAAATATGTGGGAAGTGTTGCTTTTACTCATTCCTAGTTGTGGACTGTTCTCTGCCCTCTGTATATCTTGGCCTGATGGACAGGTGATGACTGGGAATCCCAAAGAAGGGTCTAGATTAGTCTCACTCTTTCTCCATCCCATGGATGATCTAATGAAGCCCTTCTTCAGCTGTGATGTGGAGCTTAGTTGATGTCTTCTCAGGACTAGCAAGTCAAACTGCCCTTATTGAAATATGGAGTACACCACTTACAAGCTATGGGCCTTGGACAAGTCTTTATGGGCCATTTAAGGGAAGCAATTTACAATTCTGAAGACTTCTGCTTTCATAGATGATTAAAGGTCACTTACTGGTAACCACCCAGTATGTTATTAAGAGCTACCAACCTTTCATCTTAGTTGAAAATGGCTCCATTGCTAGTATTTACCGAGGCCCAGTATTCAAGACTGCTAAGATCCCTGTTGCAACAATTCTGGACACAGACACATATGCAGAAAGTGAAATGGTCTCAGATATTAGTAAGGCAGCAACAGTATTGGCTAGCCCCAGTGGTCATTTTCAATGGCTAGTCTTATTTTGTGTTATAAATTACCATTATATCATGAACATTTAGTTCCTATGTAGTTAATCCTTCCATGTATGTGCCTAAACTAAATTATATATATATTTGCATTGTTGTTCTCCCATACCCAAATTTCTTTTTTTAAAAATTATTTTTAGTTCTCGGGTGCATGTGCAGGATTTGCAGGTTTGTTACAAAGGTAAACATGTGCCACAGTGGTTTACTGCACCTATCAACCCATCACCTAAGTATTAAGCCCAGGATGCATTAGCCATCCTTTCTAATACTCTCCCTCCCCTGACCCTACCCTCTGACAGGCCCCAGACTGTGTCTTTCCCCTCCCCATGTCCATGTGATCCCATCATTCAGCTCCCACTTATAAGTGAGAGCATACAGAGTTTGTTTTTCTGTTCCTGTGTTAGTTTGCTGAGGATAATGGCTTCCAGTGTCATCCATGTTCCTGCAAAGGACATGATCTCATTCCTTTTTATGGCTGCATAATATTCCATGGTGTATATGTATTACATTTTCTTTATCCAATCTATCATTGATGGGCATTTGGGTTGATTCCATATCCTTGCTGTTGTGAATAGTATTTTAATGAACATATGTGTGCGTGTATCTTTGTAATAGAATGATTTATATGCTTTTGGGTATACACCCCATAATGAGATTTCTGGGTCAAATGGTATTTCTGGTTCTAGTTCTTGAGAAATCGCCACAGCTTCTTCCACAATGGTTGAACTAATTTACATTCCCACCAACAGTGTAAAAGTGTTCCTAGTTCTCCACAACCTCATCAGCATCTGTTGTTTCTTGACTTTTTAATAATGGCCATTCGTGACTGGTGTGAGATTGTATCTCATTGTGGTTTTGATTTGCATTTCTCTAATGATCAGCGATGTTGAGATTTTTTTCATATGTTTGTTGGCTGCACGAATGTCTTCTTTTGAGAAGTATCTGTTCATGTCATTTACCCACTTTTTAATGGGGTTATGTTTTTCTTGTAAATTTGTTTGAGTTCTTTGTAGATTCTGGATATTAGACCTTGGTTGGATGGGTAGATTGCAAAGATTTTCTCCCGTTCTGTAGGTTGCCTGTTCACTCCGATGATAGTTTCTTTTGCTGTGCAGAAGCTCTTCAGTTTAATTAGATCCCATTTGTCAACCATACCCAAATTTCTAAAGCAAATGTATTCACAATGCTTTTTATAATTTGCTTCTATAGCTCATTGGCAATGAGCAGCCTGTGAATACCTCTGCAACATAGTGTTGCTAAAAGAAAGACTTTAGACATTTTCAAATTTAACAGAGTTTAATTTCGCAAAGAACGATCTTTTGCAAATCAAGCAACCTCTCCCACCAACCCATGTTCCCCCTCTTCCTTCCTTTCTCCAGAGAATAAATTCAGTGATTTCTGTGCCACTTCGTTGTTGGAGAGGATTCAAGGACAGAAAAAGGAAAGTGAGGTGCTGAAAGGAGAAGTGAGGTACAGAAACATCTGGATTAGTTACAGCTTGGCACTTGCCTTATTTGAACAGGGCTGAATAGTTGGCTGTCTGTGATTGGCTGAAGCTCAGTGATTACTAGAGTAGGTCATAATTTGTTTACACATCTAAATAGGCTATAGAGAAACCTTTAGGCTGAACTTTAAATATGTAAGGGGAAGCTTTAGGCTAAACTTAACACTATCAAGGTAAGTCTTATAAAATTATTCAGCTAATTTTAAGTTCAGAGATCATTGTTATTCATATAAGATCAGTGTATATATTACTACACTTGCTTTAAATAAAAGAAGGGCAATTTCTTCCTTTTTTTGGTAAAGGGTTGGATAGAAAATATTTTAGGTTTTGCAGGTCATATGGTGTCTACCACCACTATTCAACCTTGATGTTTTAGTGCAAAACCCACTGTGGACAATACATAAACACATGGAGTTGGCTATTTTAAAATTGAAACTTTATTTACAAAATCAGATGGTGAGCCAACCAGGCCTACAGACTGTAGTTTGGTGACCCTGTTTAAAAAAGTAAGTGATGAGTAATTTGTGCAATGTCCTCTGAAATTCTTTTTCATGCAATTTTCTTGGTCACTGGAATGTGAAAATTAGTTCAGAATTGGATCAGTTGGTCCTTGCCCTATATGAGTCAGCTATATTAAAAAAAATTTGAGAACCACTAGTATACAAAAGGCAGGTTAGAGGTATTAGTGTTCTACAAATAGTCAACTTCATTTTTTAACCTGAGTGTTAGAGGCTGTGACTTGTAAAACCATCGAAAACATTTCTTTATGTATTTTTGTGGGGGAGCCACAAATAAAGGGATGGGAATGCAGCCTACTAGGCTAAATTATACTCAAATGTCTGTTTATCAAAATGGAACAAGGCACTCAAAAATAATGACGGAATTTCTTAAAGAAATTGTATTTTAAATAAAGATGAAACTACATGAATTCTGTGGGCAAGAGATTGGATTAAAAACTAATGTGCATCTTTAAAATGAGAATAGGGCACTTGAGATTAGGGAGTGGTGACTCTTAACGAGCATGCTGCCTTCAAGCATCTGTTTAACAAAGCACATCTTGCACCGCCCTTAATCCATTCAACCCTGAGTGGATACAGCACATGTTTCAGAGAGCACAGCGTTGGGGGTAAGGTCACAGATCAATAGGATCCCAAGGCAGAAGAATTTTACTTAGTACAGAACAAAATGAAAAGTCTCCCATGTCTACCTATTTCTACACAGACACAGCAACCATCCGATTTCTCAATCTTTTCCCCACCTTTCTCCCCTTTCTATTCCACAAAACTGCCATTGTCATCATGGCCCGTTCTCAATGAGCTGTTGGGTACACCTCCCAGACGGGGTGGTGGCCGGGCAGAGAGGCTCCTCACTTCCCAGTAGGGGCGGCTGGGCAGAGGCGCCCCACACCTCCCAGACTGGGCGGCTGGCCGGGCGGGGGGCTGACCCCCCCACCTCCCAGACGGGAGAGGGAGAGGGAGAGGGGAGAGGGAGAGGGGAGAGGGAGAGGGAGAGGGAGAGGGAGAGGGAGAGGGAGAGGGAGAGGGAGAGGGAGAGGGAGAGGGAGAGGGAGAGGGAGAGGGAGAGGGAGAGGGAGAGGGAGAGGGTCCTCTGCCTAGGAAAACCAGAGACCTTTGTTCACTTGTTTATCTGCTGACCCTCCCTCCACTATTGTCCTGTGATCCTGCCAAATCCCCCTCTGCGAGAAACACCCAAGAATGATCAATTAAAAAAAAAAAACAACAAAACCTCAAGGAGAACAAGTTGGTGAAATATCTCTCCATCATTTCAGGAATAATTGATTTGCACTCTGACACAAACCGGTCCTGTATTTAACATATTAGAAACATGGCAATCCTCAGATATTCTGTTTAAAAGAAAAGATGCAATCTAATATGGGCAATGGATACATAGGTGTTTGCTGTATGATTCCCTCTACTTTGGTATGTTAGAGATTTGGGGTTATGGTTCTTGTTAAAACGAAGTAAGCACAGTCTACTCTGTCTCTGCCACCAAAACAAATAAAATCTCTGGAAAGAAAAAAAGAAAAAAAATAAAATAAAATGAGAATAGGGCAGAAATATTTATTTTATTAATATAATATGATTTTTAAAAGAGAACATTTCTAGTTTGTAACCTATACTTAAACCTTAAGTATATAAAATTGTAGGTTTTACACTATACACCTGAAAATATAAATCATATGATATTACTAGTCACTTAGTGTTGCTTTAAATAGATATAAATGCAAGCTGTTATGCTACCTAATGTTAGGTCTTATATTAAGAAAAACACAGTATCTAATTTTGGTCAGCATAAAATGGTTTTAACCTTGAACAACATTTATATATAATTGATATAATAAATTAGAAAATGACTTTTAGAAGTTTCAACGAAGGTTAAAATTAACAGAATAATAAGAGTCACACTTCTGGTTAAAATGTGAAACAGAAAATTTGAGTAAATATACTTAGAAGTGTCTCTTAAAAGTAAAAAAATTATTTTATAGAATAAGTTTTTCTAATTACAATATATTTGCAAGCACCTTCCAAAAGTCTTTATTATCTTCAGCAATCAGGTAAAAATTTAGCTATGAGCAAAATGCAGCCCTTATGGTGATTTTTCACAATAGCTGTTTTTAAAGTAATACTGCAGTTTTGCTAGGCTAGCAAATTACCTTGCATGCACTGCACATTACATATATCCCACGGGAATTTTCCTACCAATCAGTGGAGAGAGTACAAGCCTAGTGCATGTATCAGTAACAATTTAGGCCCTCTCTTCTAGTTTAGGCCTGCAGCTCCAGAGGCCCCAGTGATAAACAACTTAGTCTGGGAGAAACTATAACACACCTGTACTTCAGCCAATGAATGAGACAACATCAAAAACACCCACCAAATTCTTCCCAGTGTAATGAATCGTTACAAAAAGGCTTTACCTTATTTTCTATGTAACAAATATATGTCAGTTATCCAATTTTTGCTTATGTCAGGCATTGCAGATTGTTTTTGTTTTAAAGTAAAAATTAGTGATTTAACTATGCTCCTAAACAAAATTTGTTATATATGTTTATATACTCACTGCAGTCTGCTTGAGGTTATTATCCTTGGTTCTTTGTTTCTTTGAACACCTCTTTATCCTGTACTAATACATGTTTTGAAAGGTTCAAATGCCTTGGTAGAAATTGTCTAAAAACAGGAAGAATACTTAAAAAGCTTTTGTTTATGCATTTCTCATAAGCAATTATGAAACAAAGTGCTTATAGTATATGATGTCAGAATTTAGTAATTTAGTCTTTATTCTTGATTTACTCTTTCCTAATCAAGTCTGTGTATACAAAAAGTGGTGGATCTTTGCTCTCACATTATGACTACAAGCAAATTTTCTCTGCCTTGAGTGTTTTAGCATTGAGTCTGCAGCACACACATTTAGCCTCACATTTTGCCACTACCCAATTTTGTCCAGTTTTGTTTTATGCATGTTAGTTTTATTACTTCAATTTATTAGCGAGTGTTTTTAAAGCTAAGAATCAAATCTGAGATGTTTTTAGCATCTCTCAGCATATTTAGCATAATGCCAGCCTCATAGCAAACATTAAAGACCTATTTGTTGATTGACAGTAATCTAAACATAGTTAACATTTCTAATCTATGTCTACTTATGTGCCACTGGACAAAGATAGATCATCAATTTAGCAAAGAACCAAATAGAAATCAGGTTGGTTGACACAACTGGGTCAAATTTAAAATTTTGAATTTGACAGGTTTAAATAGCTCTACTCCTACTCATCATAATTCCTCATGATACATTTAGATTGAAAAGAGCACCTCCTCTCTGTCTCTCTTTCTCTTTTTATTCCCATTCTTTATTCAGTTCTAAATCTTGGCTTAATGATTGAGAAAAGATCATTCTTTCTCAAACCTTCACTGATAAAACCTCTCTCTCTTGATAACAATGGCTGAAAAAAATGGAAGGATCTGGCCTGTGATATCTGATAATTACTTTGGGTTATAAGAAAGAAGGCTTTATTTTTTACTTTATTTTATCATTTAATTATTTCCCTGTTGTAGTGCACATCTGATAATTTAGCTTGTCTGGTACCTCTTAATCCAGCTAACGGAGTTCCCATTGTCGTTTTGTGAAATGTTTCTTCCATATTCTCAAGACTAAATTTTTCTTCTTCTTTACTCCATAAGTAGGCTCATGACCCAGGCCTGACCAACCAGAATGCCAGTTATTGGGTAGGGATAAAGCATAGATTTTTTTTGTCCAATGAGAAACTGGTTTGGATCTTCTGCTTGAACCACTGGGAGAGAAGAGATTTCTTTCTGGCAGGGCTGTTGAGGTGGAGGATTATATGCCTGGGGTTAGCTCGTCACCTTTGTCAACACATGATGTTTTCCAAAAATTAGTTAACACCAAAGAAAGAAGAATCGAGAAATAGCAAGAAACAGATTTTATGTGACTTAGTTTGAACACTTTGCAATATTAGTAATAAACTCCCTTTTTAGCTGAGGCCTGTTTGAGTTGAAGTTTCGTTATTCAAAACTGAAATAGTTCCGCCTAATTCAAGTGCATAAAAAGAAACTCTTTCTCATAAAAATAAGCTACTATGTCTTGGCTTAATGTTTTTTTCCTATTATGTTAAAAGTAACAGGTTTATCCTGTCCAGCACTATAGTGGGTGGGATAGAATTGGTTAGAAGTTCACGTTTTGTTGCATGGCCTAGTTTTAACAAGCCTAAGTATTAGGTTTAATATTGCTAACACTAACAAGGTCTGCTATACCAGGTGTAACAATTGCTTGATGCTCAGTTTTATTTCCAAGATACTATGAATAAATTTATTACATTAAAAAGAATATGAAACCGATAGGTTGTTTCCATACTAAAAGTTTTTAATTTATTTATTTTTATTTTTAATTTTACTTTAAGTTTCAGGTTATATGTGGAGAATGTGCAGATTTGTTACATAGGTATAAATGTGCCATGGTGGTTTGCTGCACCTATCAACCCGTTATCTAGGTTTTAAGCCCCACATGCATCTGGTATTTGTCCTAATGCTCTTCCTCCCCTTATTCCCCAGCCCCCAACAGGCCCCGGTATGTGATGTTCCCCTCCCTGTATCCATGTGTTCTCATTGTTCAACTCCCTGCAAAGGACATGATCTCATTCTTTTTTATGGCTGCATAGTATGCCATGGTGTATATGTGTCACATTTTCTTTATCCAGTTAAAAGACTTTTTAAATGTGGACATAATTTGTGAGTATAGCAGTGTTGCCTAAACATGTTTACCCTTCAGTGCAATGGCTGTGCAAATTTTCATCACCTGGAGTAACTACCTATACTTTAAATAGGTCAGTATTTTTTACTGGCTCAGTCCTGCAAGAGGATAGAAGAGGATGTGCTAGTGGCAGCAATGACTAAACACTTGGTCTCATTACACTTTCAGCTTTCTGTGTTTGCAGAAGGCCAGGTACTTTTCATCAAAGAAGTGAAGTTAAATGAAAATGTATTACACCAAGAAACTTACTTTCTAGGAGAAATTTCTAGAAAGAGATTCTGTGGTAGTAAATAATATAGAAAAACTAAGGGAAGGGTATTATAAAGAATTACCAAAAGTACATCTATGCAGTTCTAAAGAGAGACAAATATAACTAGGTGATGACAGTTACATTTGAAATACAATCTGAATCACACATGACATTTAAAATTTTCTAGTAGCCATGCTAAAAATAGCAAAAGAGGGAAATTAATTTTATAATATATTGTATTTTACCTACTGTATCCAACTCTATTAATCTGTTTTCATGCTACTGATAAAGACATACCCAAGACTGGGTCATTTATAAGGAAAAAGAGGTTTAATGGACTCACAGTTCCACGTGGCTGGGGAGGCATCACAATCATGGTGGAAAATGAAAGGCACCTCTCACACAGTGGCAGATAAGTGAAGGGAACTTGTACAGGGAAACTCCCCTTCATAAAACCATCAGACCTTGTGAGACTTACTCACTATCACGAGAATAGCATGGGAAAGACCTGCCCCTGTGATTCAGTTACCTCCCACTGGGTCCCTCCCACAACACATGGGAATCATGAGAGCTACAATTTAAGATGAGATTTGGGTGGGGACACAGCCAAACCATATTACCAATATATCATCCTTTCAACATGAAATTAATATAAAAATTGAGATACTTTACATTTCTTTTCATGTTTGGTTGTCAATATTCAGCATGCATTTTGTAGTTACAGCAAATCTCTAGCCACATGGTAATAGTCACATGTTCTAATAGTTACCATAACGGACAGAGCTGCATTAGAGAATGAGGAAAGATAAAATTCATCCTAGCTAGTTTCTGAACTTTAAATTTCTACCTTAAAAAGGAGAGCTAGGGGGCACATCTTTATAGCTACCCTCTCCCCAACTCTAATCTTAACCTTAACTCTAGCCCAGCCTTTACCTTGCTTCCTGCCTCAGGAATGAAAGATAGTCAGTGCATTTTGATGAATTATTATGCATCAAAATGTTATAAGAAACAGATGGCACCCAAATTGCATAAATTAAGGAAAATTTAATAAAATAGTTGTTTACAAAACTATGTTGCCAGGGTGAATAGAAACCACAGGGTATAGTGTGATACCCAAGGAATTTAAAATAAGTGAGACTTTACCACCTCACGCCTGAAGGGAAATGGGAGGAAGTAATCTCCAGAATCTGGAGAGGGTGAGTCATGTGTGGAGGGCCACATGATAGGAGCTACATTCTTCAGTTAGAGGACATTGCCCGTCCATGGTAACACTGAGGAGACAGCAGGAAAACTAAACCTCAGGCTCCACTTTCTGCTCCCTCTCCAATCTCTGGTGGTTATTCGTATTGAGCAAGCCCACCTGAATGCTGGAGGCAAGGCAGCCTGAGGATGCAGCCTGCATAGTCAATTGCTGGAGCACCGCAGGTGGGGAAGTATGATCTGGAGGGGAAAGTTAAACACATCCGGAACAATTGCCAGCTTGAGGAAATTAAGAAGCAGCAAAGCAAAATCATTGATAGAATACAAAATTAATGAGGCCTCGAAAAGAGTAAAAAAGAAAACACTAAAAGTATGCGTTTTCTTAATCTTCCGGCACTTTGGCATCTTATGTTTTGTTCCCTGTCTTAAATAGTGTGTCAAGGTCAATAATTTTGAAACTAAGGCCCACAGGTGGGTTTCAGGGGACCCAGAAACTCTTTGAAATGATGTAGAATATTGTGTATATATGGTGTTTTTTTCCCCTGAGCAAAATCCGTGGCTTCCCATAAATTCTTGGTTGTGGGAGCTTAAGAAACCCCAGTGATAGAGAGCAGAACATAAAGCTGTCCAAATTGCTGAACATTACCCAGGGGTAGTAGGGTCAGCAATTTTCGTGGGTTGAAGGCCCCAAAGCAGACCTTGATTTATTAAGAAACTGAGCCCGGAAGAAACTCATTGGGAACTTGGGAAGCAGGACAGGGAAGGCAAAGGAGGCAAACAAGGGTGTGACTTCAGGCAGCGTCCTGAGAAGGGTGGCTTCTGCCTGGCCTGACTCTTAGGGGGAACTCTGGAGTGTAAGCTACAGTTGTCATTTGTCATGTCTAAGGGCTACCCAGAAGATGTGAATTTCTGAGCAATTTTGGCTTTTTGTACAAGAGGCCTAGCTGCTTTGGTAGCCCAAGGGCTGTACTCTGAAGAGCCTGAGATGCTGGCAGTAGGAAGGAAAAGGTCACCCAAACAGGCAAAGGGCCACATAGACTAGGTAAGGGGTATCTGACAGTGACCACCAAACCAGTGCATTTGGTGCCACTGGTGGTGGAGATGAGTGGCAGGTAATTAGTTTTTTAAGGCATGCAGAACTCAGTTTCTCATCACTGAGCCAAAACATGCATATTATGCAGTGAGGACTGGGTAGTTGAGCCAGGGTTCCACCAAATGCCTACAGCCACTGGGTCATAGATCCCTGCTTTTTACCCCCATGGAAAAGTCCCAGAGCTTTTTCCAATGCATAGCCTTGAAGTGGTAGCATCTCATGGTTCTCTAAGTTATCAAAGTACAACATGTACAAAAATTCATGTGTTGTATCCTAACTAAAATTCTGGTCCCAGCCTCAATCCACTCAGTCACAGAGTAATCACAATCAACACAAAATGTTAAGCTATTTCTAACCATTGCTCTTCTTCTGATTCCCACTACCCTGCTCTTAGTCTCTTCCTTTCTCATATAATGACCATAATAATAATACAATGATGATGATGATGATAGAAACTTATTAAGCACTTATTCTATGTAGCCGCAAGCTAAGTATTTTATATGGATTGCCTAATTTAAATAAACCACATTGTAATTTTGATAGGATTATTATTTTCATTTTATAGCAGATAACACAAGCTTAGTGAGTTTAATTAATATTCCCAGGTCACAGAACTGGTAGTGTGAATCCAGCCTTGCTGATTCCAGAGCTTGCAAACTCTGTAGTCTTGATTTTCCTTTTAATATAATGTTTATATCTTCCATAACTCTTATTTCGTGTGATTCCAGGTGTGAAGATCATCTCTTGCCTTGCTCTGTCGAGTTGTCTATTTCCTCTTCCAGTAATGGAACAACTCTTCCACTTTAGGGACTCCTCTCCATTCCTAGACCATGTCGTGCAGGTAAAGCAGCTCTTCCCTAGCTCTCTTCCCTTTATGGAAAGTCAGGGCATGTGATCTAAGCTGGTTAATGACAACCCTTTTCTGAAATATTTGTTGGAACCATTTGTAAAGAAGCATTTTCTCCATGAAAGCCTGAGGGTACACACACAAACCTGCAGCTGTGGAGGGACCATTATTGACACCTTGAGAAGAAATCACAAGGCAGGCAAGGACTCCTTAGGTATCCCTGGGTGCTCTGATGAACACCCCACTTTCCTTGTAATGTTAGTAAGCAATGCCAACCTCTCCCCTACATGGCCGGGGGCACAGGGGTTGCTGTTATCTCTGGTTACTTGGATTGAAGCAATTGTCTAGGTTTCTCTGGAAAGATAGAGATCAATAGCAGCCACATGGTGAAGAACATTATCCCATTTTGCCTCCTCAGTGGGACCTAAAGATTGGTAGTTTCAACACTTCTGGTTTTTACGTGTGAATCTATTGTCAGCATCTCTAGTCTTCAGCAAAACCAGCCTTCCAGCAATTACAGCTGAGCTGCATGTGTGAGCCTCTTCATATGCACCTGGGGACCATTTCCCTCCAAATTCTCACTTAGTCATTTAAGTCAAAGGCACTTAGTTTCTCTTGAGCGGCTTACCCATGTCAGTTAGAAATAAGCATACTGCTCAAATTCTGCCCAGCATATGGCAAAATGAGAGTCTGGTCCAGGCTTAGGGAAGGGAGGACTAAGCCAGAATGGGAGGTGTTATGGTTATCTGACTGAGAGTATTTTTCTGGTGTTGTTATTCACATTATTTTTATTCTAAACTATGAAATTATATTCCCTGTAATGTAACTGTGCTGTAGCTGTGGAGTCTTCAGTTGCACATATCTGTGTATTCATAGCTAGCTCTATGTGTATGCAGATTAAATGCCTATGTTACATAGCTTATATTAAAATGCAAAATTACAGCCAACGTATTATGGCCCACAAGACTCCCAATTCTATAGAAACTCTTCTTTATTAATATTGTTGTCTCCACAAAGACTAGTTAATTGAAGCTCGATATGCTAACTAAGAAACATGGTCATTTGAATCGTTTCTTTAGATTTGGTACAACACTGGAAATATGTTTTATCCTGGGATCACTGCCTTAAGAGGAACATTTATAAAAGGAGGTGAATTCAGAACAGAATTAATCCAGAGTATTTCAGATGCAGCCTGATGGGACAAATAAAACAATACAAAATAACAAGGACAACAAAGGAAAGTTTGGGGGAAATGTGGTGTTTGTCTTCAGGTAACTGAAGGACAACTGTAGAAAAGAAATACCACTTGTTCGAAATATCACTTGTTCTTATCATCACCATAGGGCAGAGTAGTGATCAGGTAGAAGCATCATGAAGGCAGGTTTCAGCTAGACACAGGAAAAAGCCAGTCTGCTATTGAATTGGTTTGCTTTTGGTTGTAGGAGATTTCGCTATCACTGGAGATCGGCTAGCCAGAAGTTGGAGATAATTTGGTAGGGGAGTGGTGTGGCAGTGACAGCTCAAGGCCTCCTCAGTATCCATTCTCCTCTTCTTTCTTACCAATAGGATCTGGGAGGTTGTTTCAGATGAAAAGGTACATTTCCCAACTCCCCTTGAAGACACATGTTATCAATAGGGTATAAGGAGCACTTATTGGATGGAGTTTCTGGTAAAGGCTTTTTGCCCTTCCTCTCTCTCTTCTGGCTTCCTCCTGGGAAAGCAGATGTGAGGGCTGTAGCTCCAGCTGTATTTAGGATGAGGATGATGACATGACCTTGAGAATGAAAGAGACACATCTGGTGTGGTGGAGCAGAAATACAGAAGCGACTCAGTCCCTAATGGCCAAGTCAGACTGGACTGCCTATGTCCTTTTGTACATAACCAGCAGCCTAATGCAATTCCTATCTCTAGCAGCCTAATGCAATTCCTATCAGATACATGTGTCAACCACCTAGTCCTGTGGTCTCTTTGAATTTTAAGCATCTATGAATTTAAGAATACATCACTGCACTTCTACCTATTATCTTAATAACCTACTCCCTAGAAAGATTAAAATATCAGAAGATATAATGTGAAAATAATATTGAGATAATACACTAATGTATTTTTATTCTAAATTGTCTCTGGGGCCTAAATGTCCTGTAACATTTACTCAAGCACAATTATTCATTTATTTGCTTCAGGGACATCGAGAGCAAAGAGGTCATTGCTCACTCTAGTTACAAATTGGCATCTTATGTATCCTAACTAGACAGTGTCTTCAAAGCAAGACTTTATTGAGAGAGAAGAGAGTTTTCTAAATTCCAAAAGCATCCTTCTCCTAATAAGAACCAAGCGTGCCTGACTCAGATAATAGAGCTTTTATGTAAGTCACAGAATACAGAAGGAGAAAGAGAGGGTATAATAAAATGAAAGTGCCCTTTTCCCCAGTAATAAAAGGTAGGTCATAGGCTCTCTATGCTGGTAGAATAATCTGTAGAGATGGGAGAGATGAAAATAAATGTTGACTTGAGTTCTACAGCTCCCCATGGAGCCAATTCTCCTGAAGTGGGATTAAGGAAGAAATCTAGGTAAGTTAGGAACAGTCTGAGAACTACAGTGCTGGTGTCCCTGAGAGAAGGTCACTTTTCAGGCCAGCTGCTGAGGCAAAAAAGGTACAGAAATAGAGAGCAAAACTGGCAGAGGGAAGGGCCTCGAGAGAGTCTTAAACCATCTGCCAGTTCCTTAAGAACCCTGTGAGCTTACACAAATGCCCCATGTGCTTCAGGGTGGGCAGGTACAGTAACGCTGGGAGGCCTGTAATTTGTACCAGCAAGGCACCAAGGTGAGCACATTACCTGCTCCTTGCATTTGGACTTCATTTTGAGGGGAAACGAAATATCTTGAGAATCACAAAACAATCTTGACCTCTCAACTGAATATTTACCCAAAGAATCTATTTTTAAACTGGAAGGAATCACGATACCTTTAATTGTCAAATCTAAGTGTGCCTCAGCATATCAGTCAGGGTTTGATCAGGACTTAGGAAATCGTGGGAGTAATCTGACAAGGCTTTTTCATTTATGCCAGGTGGTGGCCCAAAGTGACTATGGGTCAGCTACTCTGGCAATAAAGAGGGAGATCAGAACATAAAGTTGCAAAGAGCAAAGACAAACTGGAATCTTCAAGAACCAACTGGAGCTCATGAGGACAAAGTAGAACCTGCATCTCTCTGTTGCCATTTCCAGTGTGCATGACGTTGATGGCCTGCAGAAGGAGCTGGTACCTTCGCCATAAAAGTGCACACACATCCAGCCTAGCACTTGGGGGAGTAGGAGGAGGATATCTGGCAGGAGATGGAGATGCTGAGACCTGGCTGGTATTCCCGCCAACAAGGTGAGCTACTGCCATAGAAGCCAAACTCCCAAGTATAAACATGTCTGCTCTTCTTTCTCCACCTTCCAATTCTCATGAATATTTCTTGTGAGCAACCACAATCCAGAACTACACAGGCAAGTGTCTACTAGCGAACATAATTCCCACATAACTCAAGTGACACGGGTCAGAGCCACAACAATTAGTAATAATTATTCCAGAATAACATAAAGTTTATTTCAGAAAAAAGTTAGACATTTAGCAAATCCGAGTTGAAATGTGTATATTTCAACCCACTCCACAAAATTTGTTTATTGGATTGTTTATCGGAAAGTAAGGCTCTTAGGGAACAGGGACAGGTCAGGAAATGTTTGATAATTTGGAGAAGTCTTTGGAATGTGGTGTGGTCCTGGATAAGACATGAATAAGATGATGTCAAGGTGGCTCCTAATGGAAGGTACCAGCAGAGAAAATGATGCACACGGAGGCCAACACGATACAAACAACTGCCTTCCAGCGTCCTCTAGGACCGGCAAAATATTTGTATGTGAAACTTTGACCCCATTTTCTTAGCTATATACAACAGGAACGGAAGTAGGTGAGACAATGACTACAGCCTCTTTTAAGCCATCTTCTATCTCAGAGCTTGAGGCTTCTGCCTTTTCCCTGCTCCTAGGAGGATGAAGGGAAGTATATAGGGATCTTTGTGACGAAGGTTCTCATTTGTAGAACTATGAGGCATCGTTTTGATCATGGAACGACACGTATTTTAAAATAACTCTCATCTGGACTCTCCATACTGACAGGCTCATCCAGTTTACTGATACATTAATCTTTTATTTCCTTAAATAGTTTTGAACAAACTTCAGAATTGTACATCCTTTTAAGAATAGAAGCACTCCAAGAATAAAAATGAGCTTTCCAGTTCATTTCCAGCCCTCCTTGATTAAAATGCCCTTTCTTGCTTGTGTGGACCACTGGCCTTCTCATGCCAGATACCCACAAAGGACCTGGGTGGACTTGGTTGTTTCCTCATCTACATAATATGTTGTAGTATTCAGCTCTGGCTAAAATGTAACTTTTTAAAATGTCTGTGCAAGCCTGGAGGAGGTAAGGAAAGTTGCAGGGGTTTAGTTAAGTGTCTCTGGAGGCATTTATGATTAATATATATGTGTGTTGGGTGGGAGTGGGATAGAGTGTGGGCTGGTCCTTCAACAGAGACCTGCATTTGCTACATCATGTCCTTTCAATCAGAAGCATTTCTGCCCAGGACAATTAGAGGCTTTGACATCAGACTGGGCACCTGGCCCTCTTCCAGTATGGCAAACACACTGACATAGTCTCTTGACGATCTTTCCTCCCTTCCATCTGTCAGGATGGTCCTAATTCACTCCCCAGCCACTTGGCCCTTTCTCTTTTGACGTAGGTTCTAGGCAGGGGTGAATTTAGAGGAAAAAGTTCACAGAACCATACCCATTGTATCCCTTAACATTTTTTTTTTGCAAGTTCTGTGGCTTTTAAAAAAATCCTTTTAGTTGGTGTCATAGGCTCAAATTTTGGTTCATTAACTCAGGCAACTTTCTTTGGGTTTCCTACTCCAGCTTCCTCAGTTTTTTTATCTGCTTGGCAAATTGCTACTTGCTCACTGAGAATTATTTCTCTGAGTTGTACCTTTCCAACTCTTGTCTCCAAGCTCCTGAAAAAGCTAATGAGCACTGATGCTTGGATTTTAACACTAGACATTTGCCACAGAGCTAATGCAAAATGCATGGCATGTGTCCAATATCAGAAAGTGAGGGGTTGCAGCATAAGAGGAAAAAGGAAGTGCTTTCTTTATTCTGTGCAACATAATTATCTAGAAATTTGCTTTTAAAGACACAGCTAAACCTTACGAAAAACCAGCTGTCATCAGGATGAACTTGGAGGAGAATTGACTCATGACCATGTAGTAGGTGTCTTGGAAATCATGTGGAAAATCATCGGTGACCAAGGAGAAATTATAAAACAAAAGTTTACATACATTAGACATAGTCAGCTTAATTGCTTGGCACCTCTATGATTCTGCCAGGCTGATTCGTGTGGGCCACATCAGTGGGTGACTTCCACTGGTCTGACTTTCAGCTGAGTTAGGCCAATAGGGAGTTCCAAGAGGAGATTGGAGAGGGGAGAGAGAGGTCATATTATTTCCTTCCCTGGTTCCTTCCTTCAAGGTCACCTTAGGTTGGCTGTAACTTTTGATCTCTCACAGTGATTCATTCTGCAATTCTTTGTTCCTCCTAATCCCAGAAACTGGCCTTCCTTAAACTCTAAAGATTTAGGGGGTGATAACAAATCAGCTGCTACTAAGCCATCAGTTACAGTGCTATTTCTTGTGATTTCCCTACACCTTCAATTTTGTAAAGTTTCATTTTAAAATGTCCACCACTATTATTCCATTATGAGTGTGTCATCTGTGTACCATTGGGATCCCAACCAATACATATATTGCAAAAAAATGAATTCTATTAATATAAAAGTGTTATGTGTTAGAAATTTTGGTTAGTGTAACTATATTCTATTTATTTATTTATTTAAGACAGGGTCTCACTCTGTCACCCAGGCTGGAGTGAAGTGGCACAACTGCACCCTCGAACTTGTGGGCTTAAGTGAGCCTCCTGCCTCAGCCTTCTGAGTAGCTAAAACTATGGGCATGTTGGCACCATGCTCAGTTAATTTTTTAATTTTTATTTTTTACAGAGACAAAGTCTTGCTATGTTGTCCAAGCTGGTTTCAAGCCCCTGGCCTCAAGCTACCTTGACCTTCCAAAGCACTGCAATTACAGGTATGAGCCACCACACCCAAACTAAAAAATATGTATCTAATCAACCATGACATTGGGTGATGGAATATTGCAGTGACTAAGAACAAACCCAAGAACCAACCAACCTGGTTGTGACTCCTATAAGCTTGTGGTAAAACTTCAATTAGTTTATCTATGTAAATGTCTGGCATTTAATGAACAACATGTAAGTACAAGTTATTAGTATTACTACAACTACTATGTTTTTAAAAAAGAAATTTTACAGAGGGTTAGGAAGACTTTATTGCAGGTTTCTCTTCGTAAATACATATTATCAAGAAAAAGCATCATACAGTTAACAATGGGAAACATTGATTGAGAGTTTGCTGTGCCAGGCATTGTGTTATTAGGTATCCAGCAACACTATATGCAGACTTCTGCCCTTAAGAAGCTTAGTCGAGTTTAATAAAATGGAAAAAACATCATACAAAATGAAAAGACATGAAAGGAGTTAGGATCTGATGATAGGAAACTCTCTCTCTCTCCCTCTCTCTCTCTCTCCATCTATCTGCTTACCTACCTAATATGGTCTGAATGTTTGTGTCCTTCCAAAATTTATGTTGAAACCTAATCTCTAATGCAATAGTATGAAGAGGTGGTACCTTTGGAGAGTGATAGGTCATGAGGGCTCTACTCTCATGAGTTTATTGCCATTGAAGAAGAGGTTTGAGGGTGCTTGTTTGCTCCTCTGCCATGCAAGGATACAGAAGGCACCATCTATGAGCAACAGGCCCTCACCAGACACTGAATCTGCCAGCACCTTGATCTCAGACTTCCCAGCTTTAGAATTCTGAACAATAATTTCTGTTGTTTCTAAGTTATGCAGTCTAAGATATGTTTTTATAGCAGTCTGAACAGTCTAAGATACTATCTGGCTGTCTATCATGTATCTGCAGATTTATTATAGGGCTTTTATCTTACAGAACTGTAAGGATTGGCTAAATGATCATTGGAAAGCTGGTTCTTCTTGTTGGGATACTGAAGTCTGAACATGGGCAGTCAGAAATGGAAGATGGATGTGAAGTGAGGGAAGCAAGGACAAACTAGAACTGGTGAAGATGAGAGCAAACCTACAGCAATGGGCTGGAACCTGCATCGTTCTCTCACCACCTCCTTCTAAGCTCCATCCTTTACAGTGGGAGAGTGTCCTGGAAGAGAGTCTGGTGCCCTTTGTCATGAAGCTAAACACACCCTGACCAAGGAGTTAGAGAAGCTGAAAAGCATCTGAAAGGAGCTGGAATTGCGATGGGCTCAGGTGCTGCCCCATGCCAACAAAATGAGCCGGCTGATAAGCAACTATGTGCCTGAGTTGAGAAATTATCTTTTGGCCTGCTCTGACTTTTCCCTGTGTGAAAAGCAGTAGAGCCTCTACGTGCCTTCTGCCTTCAGTCACTTGCAGAAGATTTCTTGTGGCCCATGCTCATCGGAAGCCATGCTGTCAGGTGTATTCTGGGAAATACAGTGCCAGCTTCGCCAAATTCACACAAAACAAATACACCAAGAGGAGTTATACAGACTTATAGGATTCTAGACATGGAAAGAACCTAATACTCCACAGTCAGAGGTGAGGAAACTGAAGCCAGAGAACACAAAACAAGGATTATTCTCTAATGGAAGTGTCTATATCCCTGGTCTACTTAAAATCATCATGAGCATATGTAGTTTTAGTTTAAAGAAATTTTAATTAGTTTAAATAAACATATTGTACAATATGTAAACATGTGAGTATCAAAGTGCGATAAGAGTAGTATACGGTTAATATATTCAAAGCAGATGCTTGTTACTTAATGGCACATACAGCAAAGACGTTTACTGAGAACTTTTTTTTTTGACGTAGTTTCACTCTGTCACCCAGGCTGGAGTGCAGTGGCGCGATCTCCGCTCACCACAAGCTCCACCTCCTGGGTTCACGCCATTCTCCTGCCTCAGGCGCCCGCCAACATGCTCTGCTAAATTTTTTTGTATTTTTAGTAGAGACGGGGTTTCACCGTATTAGCCAGGATGATCTCAATCTCCTGACCTCGTGATTCGCCCACTCGGCCTCCCAAAGTGCTGGGATTACAGGCGTGAGCTACCACGCCCAGCCGAAAACTTTTTTTAAAAGAGTTGGGTCAGTTGCCAAAATTGGAAGGAGAGGTTTGTGCAGGTACACGAGAAAGTTTTGACTAATCTGCCATGGTCCCCATTTCCACAGTTGATCCCACACATCATCCTTTTGGGACTGAATTGAGTGACCCCAAGACCTGGCCTTCTTGTCTGTTTCCTCCCACAGGCCTGTGAGACTGGTTGGCCCCTAAGAAAGGTGATGTGGTGCCAGCCCTGAAGGAGGATCACCCCAATTCATTTCCCTCTCACTCCATTACTAAGGAAGAGATTGACTGAAAACTTGGCATTCTTCTGAGTAAAGAGGAATTGTGTTCCCTGAATTACCACGGGGCTGACAAATATATCCATTGGCTCCATAAAAGAAGGCTGAATCCTAATCTTGGTTCAAGCCCTGTTTTGTTGTGTAAATTTGAGCAATTCACTTAATCTCAGGGTGTACAATATATATTCAACCTACCTTATGGGATTATTATCCAGAAACCTTGCCCAGGTCTCTCTGGCCCTAAATACTGAGACTCTTCCCAAGCCCAAACCTGCTCCCTGGCTTTCTTTTTCTTGCAATTGATCAGCCTTCGTACCTCACCATTTGTCCTGCTTTTCAGGGTGCCTCTCATCCCAAGTGTTTTTAGATGCCTTATACTGAGATCTCCATTTTATTTCTTTACCAGGTAATTAACAAATAAAGCCTCATCACTGGAAGGTTTTAATACCAAGCACTTATGATTGTAGCTAATACTCACTTAACTCTTTCCATATTCCCAGCTCACCTAACACTTTCCATCTTCATAGCAACCTTAGGATATAGGTGCTATTATTGTCTCTATTTTACTATAAGGAAACTGAGCCTTGTGGTGATTTTGCAAAGCTTAGAGCTTTGGTCCTTTGTCTTTATTTCCCAATTTATTTGATAAGAGGTTAAAATGGAAGCATCACCAGGATTATACCTTCAGTTTTTATTTCAAAGGATGAGAATTATCAACATTTGGTACACTTTTTTTAAACTTTGTGTTAATAAAGACTATGTCTTTTTTTCTATGGTGACATTGCCTTACAGCCCAACGAATAAAATAAATGCATAAAAATAGTGTGCTTCCTAAATGCCCACAGGAGAAAAAGGGAAAGATCTGAAATCGACATCCTAACACCACAATTAAAAGAACTAGAGAAGCAAGAGCAAACAAATTCAAAAGCTAGCAGAAGACAAGAATAAGTAAGATCAGAGCAGAACTGAAGGAGACAGACACAAAAAAACCCTTCAAACAATCAATGAATCCAGGAGCTGGTTTTTTGAAAAGATTGACAACATAGATAAACCGCTATCTAGACTAATAAAGAAGAAAAGAGAGTAGAATCATAAAGACTCAATAAAAAATGATAAAGGGAGATCACCACTGATTTCACAGAAATACAAACTACCATCAGAGAACACTATAAACACCTCTATGCAAATAAACTAGAAAATCTAGAAGAAAGTGATAAATTCCTGAACACATACACCTTCCCAAGACTAAACCAGGAAGAAGTCAAATCCCTGAATAGACCAATAACATGTTTTGAAATTAAGTCTGAAATTGAGTTCTGAAATTGAAATTAATATCCTGCCAACCAAAAAAGCCCAGGACCAGATGGATTCACAGCTAAATTCTATCAGAGGTACAAAGAGGAGCTGGTGTCATTCCTTCTGAAACTATTCCAAACAGTAGAAAAAGAGGGACTTCTCCCTAACTCATTTTATGAGGCCAGCATCATTCTGGATACCAAAACCTGGCAGAAACACAACAAAAAAGAAAACTTCAGGCCAATATCCCTGATGAACATCAATGAGAAAATCCTCAATACAATACTGGCAAACTGAATCCAGTAGCACATCAAAAAGCTTATCCATCACGATCAAGTCAGCTTCATCCCTGGGATGCAAGGCTGGTTCAACATACACAAATCAATAAACGTAATCCATCACATAAACAGAACCAATGACAAAACCCACATGATTATCTCAATAGATGCAGAAAAGGCCTTCAATAAAATTCAACACCCCTTCATGCTAAAAACACAATAAACTAGGTATTGATGGAACATATCTCAAAATAATAGGAGATATTTATGACAAACCCATAGCCAATATCATACGGAATGGGCAAAAGCTGGAAGCATTTGCTTTGAAAACTGGTACAAGACAAGGATGCCCTCTCTCACCACTCCTATTCAATATAGGGTTGGAAGTTCTGGCCAGGGCAATCAGGCAAGAGGAAGAAATAAAGGATACTCAAATAGGAAGAAAGGAAGACAAATTGTCTCTGTTTGCAGATGACATGATTTTATATTTAGAAATCCCATCATCTCAGCCCAAAAATTCCTTAAGCTGATAAGCACTTCAGCAGCCTCAGGATACAAAATCAGTGTGCAAAAATCACAAGCATTCTTATACACCAACAATAGAAAACAGAGAGCCAAATCATGAGTGAACTCCCATTCACAATTGCTACAAAGAGACTAAAATACCTAGGAATCCAACTTACAAGGGATGTGAAGAACCTCTTCAAGCAGAACTACAAACCCACTGCTCAAACAAATGAGAGGACAAACACAAATGGAAAAATACTTCATGCTCATGAATAGAAAGTGATTTATACAGTCAATGCAATTCCCATCAAGCTACCATTGACTTTCTTCACAGAATTAGCAAATCTACTTTAAATTTCACAGGGATCCAAAAAAGAGCCCACATAGCCAAGACAATCCTAAGCAAAAAGAACAAAGCTGGGCTGGATGCGACAGTGCACGCCTGTAATCCCAGCACTTTGGGAGGCTGAGGCGGGTGGATCACCTGAGGTCAGGAGTTCGTGACCAGCCTGACTAACATGGTGAAACCCCGTCTCTACTAAATACAAAAAAAATTAGCCAGGCGTGGTGGTGCATGCCTGTAATCCAAGCTACTTAGGAGGCTGAGACAGGAGAATTGCTTGTACCTGGGAAATGGAGGTTGCAGTGAACTGAGATCGCACCATTGCACTCCAGCCTGGGCAACAAGAGCAAAATTTTGTCTCAAAAAAAAAAAAGAAAAGAAAAAAACTTGGAGGCATCACGCTACCTGACTTCAAACTATAATATAAGGCTACAGTAACCAAAACAGCATGGTACTGGTACCAAAACAGATATATAGACCAATGGAACAGAACAGAGGCCTCAGAAATAACACCACACATCTACAACCATCTGATCTTTGACAAACCTGACAAAAACAATGGGTAAAGGACTCCCTTTTTAATAAATGGTATTGGGAAAACTGGCTAGCCATATGCAGAAAACTGAAACTGGATCCCTTTCTTATGCCTTATACCAACATTAACTCAAGATGGTTTAAAGATTTAAACATAAGACCTAAAACCATAAAAACTCTAGAAGAAAACCTAGGCAGTATCATTCAGGACACAGTCATGGGCAAAGACTTCATGACTAAAACACTAAAAGCAATTGCAACACAAGCCAAAATTGACAAATGGGATCTAATTAAAATAAAGAGCTTCTGCACAGCAAAAGAAACCATCATCAGAGTGAACAGGCAACCTACAGAATGGGAGAAAATTTTCGCAATCTATCCATCTGACAAAGGGCTAATATCCAGAATATGCAAGGAACGTAAGCAAATTTACAAGAAAAAAACAAACAAACCTCATCAAAAAGTGGGTGAAAAATATGAACAGACACTTTTCAAAAGAAGACATTTATGTGGCCAACAAACATGAAAAAAAGCTCATCATCATCGGTCATCGGAGAAATGGAAATCAAAACCACAATGAGATACCATCTCACGCCAGTTAGAATGGTGATCATTAAAAAGTCAGAAAAAAACAGATACTGGAGAGGATGTGGAGAAATAGGAATGCTTTTACACTGTTGATGGGAGTGTAAATTAGTTCAACCATTGTGGAAGACAGTGTGGCAGTTCCTCAAGGATCTAGCACTAGAAATACCATTTGACCCAGCAATCCCATTACGGGGTATATACTCAAAAGATTATAAGTCATTCTACTATAAAGACACATGCACACGTATGTTTATTGCAGCATGATTCACAATAGCAATACTTGGAACCAATCCAAATGCCTATCAGTGTTAGACTGGATAAAGTAAATGTGGTATATATACAGCATGGAATCTATACAGCCATAAAAAAGAATGTATTCATGTCCTTTGCAGGGACACGGATGAAACTGGAAACCATTATTCTCAGCAAACTAACACAGGAACAGAAAACCAAACACAGCATGTTCTCACTCATAAGTGGGAGTTGAACAATGAGAACATATGGGCATAGGGAGGGGAACATCACACATTGGGGCCAGTTGTGAGGTGGGGAGTTAGGGGAGGGATAGCATTGGGAGAAATACCTAATGGAGATGACAGGTTGATGGGTGCAGCAAACCACCATGGCACATGTATACCTATGTAACAAACCTGAACATTCTGCCTATGTATCCCAGAACTTAATGTATAATTAAAAAAAATACTGTGCTTCTTTTTCTTAAATGAGCAACTTATATTTCTAAGAATCTTCAATCTCAGCTTGGGGTCTGCAGAGAACCCTGTTTTGTATATGTAACACTAATAATACTGTTTTTGGCTACCTCTGATTTCAAAATGACTGGATCCAAACTAGCCATATCATAAACTTTCATATATTATCAGCTATAATTATTAGTAGTAATATTCTATCATTGGAATCCTACATATAATAGAAGTGTAGTTTAAAAAATAGTAGAAGAGAAGGCTCCTTCTTTAGACTCTTAGCACGTATGTATCAAGAGCACGTACATATCACATTTGAGAGAAGTGAAATGTAGATTAAGAGAAAAGTGTATATTAATATACAGTCTGAGCCTGCTTGCAAGTTATATTAGTAATAATACTCTTCAAAGAGCAAGAGACGATTATTAAATATATCAAATATTAAAATATCAGCTAGAGAAGCTAAGGCAAGTATCAACAAAACAAAATATAAAGCTGTAAAAACAGAAGACATTCAGTTATCAAAAACATGAAGAAAACAGGCAGATGGATCAACTCAAAGTATTGGTAGTCATTTTGAAAGAGAGAAATAGAGATGTAAAAAACCCTGTAAGATGGAAACAAAATAAGTAGGTCAAAAAACCAAGATACTTTTATATGGGTTGACCTATAATACATGCCATTAAATGACAAAAGCAAGGTACAGATAGTGCATTCTTTCAAGAGACTAGTTACTGGGGGTTGACTCATTTAATACTCAAAACACTCTATAAAGTAGATATTATTATTCACATTTTACAAGTGAGGAAACAGAGGCTGCATTCCTTGAATAGGTCACCTAAGTAGTAAGCAATAGCACTAGGATGCTCATTCAGGCCATCTTTTTCCAGAAGTGATGCTTTTAATGCTGTTTGCTTCATTTTTAAGAAAATATACTTACAGGTACACAGACTATTTCTGAAACTTTATATATGAAAACAGTAACAGAATTTGCTTCTAGATAGAGAAGGACTAAGGACTAGTAGTCTAAGGTAGGAGAGACATTTACATTTCTCCATATAGTATTCTGTATTTTTGATTTATTACTTTTTTATCACGTGCATGTAAGTTTTTCAGTAATACTGTAAAACATAACTAAAATGAAAAAGAAAATAAACTAAGAAGGGAAACTCTGCATTTACCGGTGCTGACTCTCTTTTTTACAGCTCCCCTTTCCTTTTAAAAGTTCCTTCAATTTAGTTTATTGTTCTATGACTTCTCCCTTATGCCTCTGACTCTGACCTGATCCCTCCTGTGCTGGTATCCAATGGACACATCAGGCCACATTGGAATCCTTTGTTAGCATGTGCTGTCCTACATCATCAATTCTTGAGAACAGGGGCCTTGTCTCATTCATGTTGGATTTTTAGTGCCTACCTCTGTATCTGGCCAAGAGTAGGCACTTGATAAGTTCGTATTGAAAGGACCAAAATCAATGTCAAAGATCTGGAAGTTTAAATAAGGTAAACCTGATCTTCAGTCTCTCAGGAGTACTTACTTATGCAATAGTCTTATCTGGTTTGTGATCAGCTGTACACACAGTTCCTTTGAGTTGACTTACACAACAGAGAACTGGGCCAGGTTTCGGTAAGACACTTACTACCCTATAAAATATTGGGACAAAAATTCATCAACAGATTCTTCCTAAACTGACCTCTAGAGGAAATAGACCTAGGCATGGCCAGTAAGAAGTTTCTTTACATTAATAGTTACGTTTGGGGGTTTAAATTATCAGAGAAAATATATTATTTCTTTCTTACTGTATATTTCTTTCCAAAAATTATCCTACCCTTTTAGTAAATCCATTTGCATAAGCCTATACATTAAAATAGGATGAGACGGAAAGGATAGAATCTAAAACAGGAAAGCAGGGAAGTATTATGTAAGAAATGTTCTCGAAGGTTTTTACTCACAGGTTAGAAGTTGATAGACTTAGGGATTAAAACATTTTTACTAAGCTTCAGGAAATAGAACTGAGACAAAGAATGATACCATGAGCTATATATATGGTTTCTATGGGTTGGAAAGATCATACCGCCGCATTTGTTTAATTAAAAAATATGGTAAGTAGAGTGTTATACAAGATTTGGGAAAGACAATAGTAAGAATGGGAAAGCCGCAGTTACAAAGAACAGAAGTTATGAGTAAAGGAGGAAAGGGACAAATAATTTTCAAATAAGAATAGCTAATGTACTGAATTATGTAAATACTTAAAAGAGTACATAAAAAGATAACTAAAAAGTTAAATAATAAAATAATTGAAAAAGAATATAATGGAAACAAAATGTGTGTATATATGGCTTGAGAACAGAAGGATTATAAATACAGATACCATTTTCATTATAAAACCTGTGAGGATCAAATGTTACACTTCAGTATTTTGAAACGTAAGGACTATAAAGATTTATTTTTATTAAAATAACAGCATTGAACACATTGTCATCAAAACTATCTTAATCTATGAAAACATGGTAGAAGTGTAAAGAGGTCATCTCAAGTTGAAAATTACTGATCAAATCTTTCTGTGTAAAAATTGGCATTGTTTTTAAAGAAAAAGTACCTTTTAATAAAAAGATTCCAAAGTTCAGATGAAAGAAAATGGTTTATTTAAGATTTTTTTCTTTGTTGACTTCCAGAGTGTTTTTTTTTTCTTTACAAAAGACAGACTATACAGGAAACATTAGAAAAAGATTGGCATCCAGAAAAGTGAAAAAAAAAAAAAAAAACACTATGAAAGAGAATGAATGTTATAAAAAACCTTCAGATTGGCAGGTGACACTGATAGAAAAACTCACTTCATATGCAATTGTAGAGTGTCTATGATAAAGGTGACTGAATTCTAGGTGCTAGAGGAACAGCAATAAGGAGAACAAACATCTCTACGCTCATGGAGTTTATGGTTAGTGGTGAGAGATGGTGATAAAGACAAAGAAATTCAAGCAGGAAGGAGCTAGGGAGATACTGGTTGGTTGTGCAATTTGTAATAGGATATTTGGAGCCTATCTCCCTAAGATGATGCTTGAACAAAGACGGAAGAAGTGAGGGACCAAATCTTGTGACTATCTGGAGAAAGACCATTCCAGCTGGTGAGAAGATGGAGATCCTGTTTGGAATGTTTGAGTAATGCCAAGGGGCCACAATGGCTAGCAGAGAGTGAAGGAAGAGGATGAGAGCAGATGAGATTCAAAGACCAACAACTCCAAACTGAGAATAAAGGTTTTATTTCTGGGCATCCTTGCTCCAGATTTTAAGATAACAGCTCCTCATTGCTCTTTATGTGTCGTGTTAGAGAGAACCATGAGGAGAACTAATCAGAGGGCACTTGTGAATGATATGTATTAGGTGTGTAACCTTTTGTGACTATTAGCTCTTTTGAGCTGAGCTTGACACATGCCTTACCTACTCCCATGATGCTGGTGTGCATCATAAAACAAAAAGTCATACCCGTTGACCTCTACTACATTCCCAGTGAGAATGTGGGGCCTCTCTACACATAGGCAGAAGGATGAGGAATGGGGCCAGTTACTTGTAAAGTCATAGTTCAATATTCAGGGGTTGAAATTTTTCCAAAACATTTTTTGCAGCTCTATTCTACCTTGTCAGATATCTTCTAAATTTCTGAGGTTAATTCCATTTTTGATTCAATACTTTGTTTTTATTAGGTACATAAAGATCAAGAATAAAAGGGTAATGAAATTAAATCTTTTTAGTTAAGTTTTTGTTTGGGTTTTCCAATGACTCCCAAATACAAGGCTCAAAATTTGGATACATAGAGAATTGAAATATGTCATTTTGTGTATTGGTTAGTATCTTTTTCTGTCTGTTTTAAATCCTCCACATGTTGAACCATGCCAATATTATCCATGCTAGATTATAAATCCCTTCTAATCAGAGACTATGCTTGTCTAAATCTCTCTGTAGCAACATTTGTTAGTGATCATAGTTATCAAAAAGTTATCTCTATGTATACAGAAAGCCATGCCATTTCATCAGCTCAGTAGACCATAGAGCCTTCCACAAATATCTTTGAGCCCCAAGGCCAGTCCAACTATTGGTTAATGCAAATAAGCATAGCAAATGTTTCTGCTCTGCCTCAGTAACCTCAATCCCATTTGAAATAGAGTTATGTATTATGGGATTACTAGGCAGACCCCTTCAAGCAAGGCAAGATCTGTATGCAGTTACAGAATGTTCAAATTGGTTTCTCTTTAAATAGAGGAAGGTTTGGGTTTGCTGATCAAATCAATTAGAGTATTTTTCCCTAGTTCACTCACAGAAGGGGAAATTGCCTTTTCAAACATTGGAGAAAAACAAGGACCCCAGACCAAAGGTCCAAAGAATTTAGGTATACACATCTGGGGAATCGACCTGGGGCCTATTTGTATGAAGAATATCTACTCATAGCTTGATCTATTTATCTATCTTAAATTTTTTATCACTTTATTGAAGTATAATTTATACACAGTAAAATGCACAGATTATGAGAACGCTTAGATGACTTTTGACAAATGTGTACACCCACATTATCAGCACCCTATTCAAGACATACAGTACTTCCATCATCTCAAAATGTCTCTTGCATCCCTCTTTGCAGGAAATTCCCATATCCCCTGTTCTGAGACAGTCTGATTACTATTACCATAGCTTCGTTTTTCCTATTCTAGATCTTTATAAAAATTAAGCTTCCTTCCTCACAGTTGGCCACCTCCTTGCCTGCCACCACAGCTGAGGAGCCCAGGCCACTGGATGACACCCTCTGCATGGGTACAGACGCCTCGGAGATGCTGGCTGAGATCTTGCAGCTGCAGTAGATCTAGGTGGACATCATCCTGGTGAAGACCATTGAGACCATGATGGTAGGCGAGGAGGAGGACAATGACAATGAAGACGGTGGCAGGGGTGGCCATAGGCATAGGGTGTGACCACCCACACCACCTGGCCAGGATCTGCTGCAGCCATTCCTCACGACGACCTCACCCAGGTTCACCACCACCAGGAGGTGATCCTGGTGCAGGCATGCCAGGAGGTGGTGGGTAGCGACGACTTGGATGGGGAACCAGATACTCATCCTGGTGCCAGAGCTGGCCAGCGGCGACCACCACCACCACCTCGAGCAGGCCCTGGTCACCATCGTGGGGGCTGGCAAGGGTGGATGTGGCACCATCTTGGGCAACAAGAAGTGGGGGCAGAAGCGAGTGCAGATCAGGAACCTGGAGGGCAAGTTATCTGTCTCCATGTGGTACTCGGATGAAAACAAAAAGACATTAACCATAAAATAGTGGTTGAGAAACAGATCACTGGAGAGAACTCACCTCCTGATTATTCAGAGTATATGACAGGAAAGAAACTTCCTCCTTGGAGGAATACCTGGCATTGACAGCTCAGATCCCAAAAAACTGCAGAATTCGCCAGAATGAAGCCAAGAAAAATTTAAAAGATGATGTTCCATGAACAATAGCTGGCCCTCGCCAAGGCTGCACAAAGATGTTCAAGGATAACTGACATGAGAAAACATCTGCACACTCACTGTCACGGAGTCCACTTCTGCACAGAATGTAGAAGAGCTTTTGTTGAGAGCTCAAAACAAAAACCACACAAACTGGTTCACACTGGAGAGAAGCTGTTTCAGTTCACGTTTGAAGACCGTGGGAAATGCTTTTCACTGGACTTCAATTTCCACACACATGAATTTTAAAAAGGCTTTAAAAGATGCTTTATCTTGCTCTCTAATCTTGTTTCAAAAACATGGTTTTTTTGTAAAGTGTGTTCCCAACAGGACAACTCGTAGATGCAAAAGACAATTCTTTATACAACAGTGCTAAAAATGGGACTTCTGTTTACATTCTTGCAAGTATGAAGCTCATTTGTTGCTTATAATTTTTTAAATTTTTTATTTTCTAAGTGTGCATATTGTACACTTTTTGAAGATATGCTTAGTAATGCTATGTGTGATTTTTCTGGAGGTTGATAATTTTGCTTGCAATAGATTTTCTTTGAAAGAATGGGCAGTTACATGCATGCTTCAAAAATATTTTCCTGTAAAAAAAGTTATATAGGATTTGTTTGCTATATGAATTTTGGTTATATTCTTTGATGTTAACACATTTTGTATAATTGTATCATATAGCTGTATAGAGTCATGTAGTATCAAATATTAGATGTGATTTAATAGTGTTCATTTAAATCCATTTTAGTCACGTTTTTCCCAAAAAATACTGCCAGATGCTGATGTTCAGTGTAATTTCTTTGCCTGTTCAGTTTCTGAAAGTGGCACTCAGTTATAGAAATGTTGTACCTTTTAAAACCTGTTGTGCACATTCCATGTAACAAAAAGGGCAACAATAAAATAGCCATCCTAAAGAAAGAATATGGCAGAACAAGCTCTGTAAGCACAGTCTTATTTTCTTTTGTTGTCCAGAATACTTATAATTCTTGAGTCTCCCAGAAATTGGAAGCTAAATAAAGCATCTTCTTTCCTTTATTTTGAACTCAGTTACAATGATTTGTTATTAAAGTGATGCATAGATATTTCAATACTAAAAATAATTATATAGTATGTACCCTTGTATCAAGTTTTGTTTACTGTACAGAATGCTTTTGAGATACAGCTAGACTATTGTATTTATGCATAGGTTTTTATTTATTTATTTATTTATTTATTTATTTTACTAGTTTTGTTTTGCCATTCATGACTTGATGGGTATTTGGGTTGTACCCAATTTGGGGCTGTTATGAATAAAGTTGCTATAAATACTTATGTATACATCTTTGCCTGAGCATAAGTTTTCATTTCTCCTGAGCAAATTCTTAGGGGTAGGGTTGCTGACTCATGTAGGCAGTATATATTTAACTTTCTAAGAAAATGGTAAACTGTTTCCCAAAGTGGTTATATGTTTTACATTGTCTACAGAAGCATAGAAGAGCTCTAGTTTACTATACATCTGCTCTGGCACTTCATATTGTCACTCTCAAATTTTAGCTCTTTTAGTATGCATGGAGTTTTATTTTGTTGTTTGAATTTTCGTATTTCTAGTGACTAATGAGTTTGAGCATTCTTTAACATATTCACTGGCTATCTTAATATTTTTATGGTGAAGTATTTGTCCAAGTCTTTTGCTCATTTTTAAACTGGTTGGTTATTTTTACTATTGAAGTGTAGCAGATTAAAAAAAATATATTTTCGATACAAGTTCTTTGTTGTACGTATGTACTAAGAATGTTTTATTCCAAACAATGGTTTGCCTTTTGAGGCACAAGATTTTAAAATTTGATGAAATTTATCAATATGGTTAGTGTTTTCTGTTGAATAAATATTTGTAAATTTTTAGAGAAGATAATTTCCTGTATTTTATTCTAGATAATTTAAATTTATAGTTTCTATATTTAGGTCTTTGATCCATTTGGCAGGGATATAATTTTCATGTATAATATGAAATGGGGGGGTGAAGCTCATTTTTTTCCCCATATGAATATACAGTTGTTCTAGCACTATTTGTTAAAAATATTTTTTTTCCCAAATATTATCTTGGCGTTTTGTTGAAAATCAATTGATCCTATGTATGTGGTTCTAGTTCTAGAGCATATTCTATTCAGTTGATTTATTTTTTTATTCGTATGCCTATACCACTTTTTTTTAAACTATTGTAGCTATAGAACAAGTCTTAGAATAAGCTACTGTATCTCTATCAACATTTTCCAGATTGTTTTAACTCTGAGTTTTTTTGAATTTCTAAAAATGAATTTGAATCAGCTGGTCATTTTGTAGAAACATTTCTGTAGGATTTTGTCTGGCATTGTTTCTGAGTTTATATAGCTATCTGGAGACAAATAAAATATTAATACTGAGAGTTTCAATTCAATTGTTTAGGTCTTCTTAAATTTCTCTCAATATTCTTATAATTTTAGCATACAGTTTCTATAGATTTTTATTAAAGTAATTTCTATCAATATTGTAATAATAATAGGATGCTATCACAAATAGTATTTAAATTTTGTGCTACTGTAAATGGTATTTTAAAGAAGTTTATTTTCCAGTTTTTAAGTGATTAGTATATAGGACCATAGATAATTTTTGGACTTTTCAGCTTCTGATCTAATTTTATTAATTCTAATAATTTATTTGATATATATTTTATGAATATCTATGTAGTCAAACTACATGCAGATAATGAAAGTTTTTGCTTCTTCCTTTCCAATCTTCATAGCTTTTTTCTTATCTATTGCTCTGGTATAAAGATATACAGAAGTGGTAAGAGCAGACTTCATTTTTTTTTTTTCCACCAAGATTTTTATTTACCCACCTTTCTGCTTTCTTTTAACATTATAAACATTGTAGGCCAAATTATTCTCTGATAGGAACCATCAGGTTACAAAGTGGTGGCAGATCTCTGCCAGCTTTTATGTTTTTATGGCCCCTCTCAACCTCTGGCTGTCACTTCTCTGTTCTTTCTCAGTTGCCCCTTAACAGTCTATTCTAATCCCTGTAAAACAGGGACTAAAAGTACTAACCTCATTGTTATGAGGTTTAAGAGAAGGCCCAGCACTAAGCCAGTCTCTCAGGAAAATTCGATCGACAGATCTTCTTTGCCCTTCAATATAGCTCTTTCTCATCTGTCATGGGCTGAGGAACCACTGGACCTGTCAACCAAGCACACAGGTATAAGTCCATAGACCAGGTGAAGGCCTAGATGACAAAATACACGGGCTTTGTGACTCCACTACTGACTGAGACTAAGGAAGGACTGACTTAGTGGGCAGTTCTAAGACCACTGAGCTCATGGTTCCCTGTGGCTGGGACCTCCATCATGACCGTGGCTTCTGGAGGGGCCTCTCAGTTCCCGCTGCCACTCTTGGAACAGTATGAGGACTGCAGCAGAGGCCAAAAACTGAGTGACCGGCCCCAGAGAGTCGATGGGGGACACTGACAAACGAATCACAAAGTTGGTGCCGTTTGCTCTTAGGGAGGAGAGGAGGGGCCTGGGCAGGGACAGCGGCTGAAAGGTGAAGCGCAGACCGGGTTCTCAGTAGCGGTAGTGATCTGGCTTGAAGGGGCAGTAACAAGACATGCCCAGGTACTGGGCCTGCTTCTCAGTCAGCTTGGTCAACTTCATGTTCAACTTGCCCAGGTGGGCTTCAGCCACTGACTCATCCAGCTTCTTGGGCAGGAAGTGAACCCCAACGGGGTACTTGTCTGGGTGGGTCCACAGCTTGATCTGCGCCATCACCTGGCTGGTGAAGGAGTTACTCCTCACGAAGCTAGGGTGACCCATGGCACAAGCCAGGTTAACCAGCCGACCCTCAGCCAGCAGGATGATGCCCCGCCCATTCTTCAGCCGGTACGGGTCCACCTGCAGCTTGACGTTCACCTTCTCCACAGTGTTCTTGTTGAGCCACTTGACATCCATTTCCACATCAAAGTATCCAGTGTTACACACAATGGTATCATCCTTCGTCTGCTCAAAGTGCTGGCCAAGGATGATGTCAACACAACCTGTGGTGGTGACAAAGACGTCGCCCTCCTGACAGGCCTCATCCATGGTAGTCACCTCATAGCCCTCCATGGCAGCCTGCAGTGCCTTGATGGGGTCAGTCTTGGTGATGATGACGCTGGCCCTGAAACCCCGCAGGGCCTGGGCACAGCTCTTGCCCTTATCGCCATAGCCTGCTACCACCGCTACCTTGCCGGCAATCATCACGTCTGTGGCCTGCTTGATACCACCTATGAGGGGCTCCCACAGCCATAGAGGTTGTCAAACTTGCTCTTGGTGGCGGAGTCATTGACATCGATGGCAGGCACCTTCAGAATCCCATTGACCATCATCTTGTACAGGTTGTGGACCCCGATTGTGGTCTCTTTGGATATACCTCGGAAGCTCAGCAGGAGCTGCGAGTACTCGCTGTGGATGAGGTTGGTAAGGTCGCCCGTCTTCCAGAATCATGTTAAGGGGCCCGTCCTTGAGGTACATCATCTGCTCAATGCACCACAGGTACTCCTCGTCTGTTTCGCCCTTCCAGGCATGCCAGCCTTGGCAACGGCAACACTGGAATGCCAGTGCTGGCTGAAATGCCAGCTTTGGCAATGGCAGCAGCCGCATGGTCCTGGGTAGAGAAGATGTTGCAGCTGGACCACTGCACCTCAGTACCCAGGGTGATGAGGCTCATTAGGACGGCAGTCTCCACGGTCCTGTGCAGACAGCCAGGGATGCGGGCGCCGTTCAGTGGCTTGGAGGCGGAGTACCGCTCCCATATGCGCATCAGGCCTGGCATCTTGTTCTCTGCAATGTCCAGGGCCTTGCGTCCCCAGGCTGCGACTTTGTAGGGCAGTTTGTCAGACATGCTGGTGGCGCTCGTGATGGGCACGGGCGAAGGGGGCTGGGCCTCAGTCTGGGGACAGGCACTGGGCGGTCGGCGCCGGGCAGGGCAAGAGCAGACATTCTTGCCTTGCTCACTTGGTCTTGGGAGAAAGAGTTCAACGTTTCAACATTAAATATGATATTAGCTGTAGGTTTTTCATACATGCCCTTTATCAGGTTTGTTGAATGTTGTCACATATTTTTGCTGCATGAATTGAATAACTTATACTTTTTCTAATCTTCTGTTAATGAAGAGAATTCCAACTATTAATTTTTGGATGTTAAAACAAACTTGCATCTTGGGATAAACTCCACTTGGTCGTTATGAATTATCCTTTTTATATATCATTGGATTTTATTTCTTAATATTTTGTTTAAAAATTCCTCCATCATGATTGTGGTCTGTGATTTTTTCTTGTAATATCTTTGTCAGGTTTTGGTATCAGAGTTACATTATTCGTATGAAATGAATTAGAAAAGATTAATTATTTTTACACATTAAATAAAATTTATCATTGAATACATCTGGACTTTTAGTTTTTAAAATTTTTTTGTGGGAAAGTTTTATCGTGATTTCTTTATCAGATAAGTGGCTATTTTATTTTTTTCGTTTTTGTGTCAGTTTTGCAAAGTGCATTTTACAATAACTTTATCCAATATATAGTAATTCAAATTCACTGAATAAAAGTATTTTTCAGTAACATTTCATTGTGTTTTTAATGTTTCTAGGACACAAAATGATATACCATATTTTATTCTTTGGGTTGATAATTTGTGTTTCCTTCCTTTTTATCCCCTGGTTCGTCTAGCTAGATATATGCCCCCCTCCCCTTTTTTTAAATCCTTTTGAAATTAATTTTTTGTCTTTTTATTTATGATGCTATTTGTTTTTTCCTGCTATATGAATTTATGCTCTTCTATTTGTTACTTCTTTCTCTCTGCTTATTCCTTATTTAATTACACTTATTCAGGCTTTTTAAGTGGAAAATCTAGATTGTTGATTTCACATCTTTCTGCTTTTCTTTATTTAAAGTGATAGATTTTTACTTTTATAACTGTTTTAGCTACATCCTATCCATTTCGTCTTTTGTATTATCATTTTGGAATAATTCTAAACTCACTTTTGATTTTTTCTTTGATTCACTGGTTACTTAAAAGAGGGTTATTTTCCATACTTTTGAGATTTTTCTGTATATCTCAATGTTATTGATTTTTATTTTAATTTTGTTGTGTAAGAGAACAAATATATTTTAAATAATTTCAAGTTTTCAAAATTTCCTGAGGCTTATGATATACCCAGTATAGGGTATATTTTCGTGGTTGTTCCATGTGATTTGAAAAGAATGTGTATTTTGTCCTTGTTTGGGTATAATATTCTATGAATATCAAATTGTTTTGATTTGTTTATTCAAATATTCTTACTAACTCATACTGTGTGTGTATGTGTACTTGTTCTATCAAGTACTAAGAGATGTAAAAATATTCTTTCATTGCTATCAATTTTTGCTTCATGTATTTTGAAGCTTTTTTATTATAGATATTTTAGATATACATTTAAGATTATTTTGACTCTTTTATCCTTTTGAAATGACCCACTACTTGCCTTGAAGTCTAATTTGTCTGACATTATTACAAATTCACAGGATTTCTTATGGTTAGATTTTGTGTGGCATATTTTGTTCATTTTCTTTTACTTAATTTTCTTTCCCAGTATGCTGTCAATGTCTTTATTTAAGTCATTGGTAAAAATGTTTAGGCCAGGAACAGTGGCTCATACCTGTAATCTCAGCACTGCTGGAAGCTGAGGCAGGTGGATTACTTGAGACCAAGGAGCTAGAGACCAGGAGGTTGAGACCAGCCTGGCTAACATTGTGAAACCCTGCCTCTACCAAAAATACAAAAATTAGCCAGGCATGATGGTGCACAGCTGTGGTCCCAGCTACCCAGGAGGTTGAGGCATGAGAATTGTTTGAACCCGGGAGGCGGGGGCTACAGTGAGCCGAAATTGTTCCACTGCACTCCAGCCTGGGTGACAGAGAAAGACTCTGTCTCAAAAACAAACCAATAAAAAAAGGTTTAACAGTAGCAAATGTCTTATTATTCCACTCCCATTTCTTCATTTATTTCCCCCCTTTATTGACTTTTCCCCCCACATTCATACAATGCTAAATTAATGCCAAGGATATTATAGGTACTTAGTATTTATAGCTTTGAGAAACAAAAATATTTATAGCTTTGAAAAACAAAATGTTTTATATGTTTTCATATATTTAGCTTTTGTGGTATTTTGCATTCCTTCCTGTAGATTCAATTTTCCATCTGGTATAATTTTCCTTCATCATGAAGAACCTGCCTAGCATGTTTTAAATGTTGCATTTATGTTGGCAATAGTCTCCCAGTTTTCATGTATTTAGAATTCTGATTTGATAATTTTCTTCTTTTGGTCCTTTAAGATGTTGTTATATTTTCTTCTTGTCTCTCTTGTCTCTGATGGGAAATCATCACTCTCTTTTATAATTTATCCCCTGTATTAGTCTGTTTTTTCTTTAGCTATTTTTATGAGTTTTTTCTTTGTCTTCGTTTAAAGCCATTTTATATGATACTCTTAGATGTGTGTGTGTGTGTTTTCAATTTATTGTACTTGGTGCTTACTGGCTTTTTTGAACCTCTAAATTGACATTTGTAATCAATTTTAGAAAGTTTTTATTCTTTCTATCTCTATATTCTATTTCTATATTTTTTCATTTCTTATTCTTTCTTATTCTATATTCTATGTCTATATTCTTTCATTATTTTAGCTATTTTTTCATTATTTATAAAATGCAATACTATGTATTTGACTACTTAATATTGTTACACTTCAATCATTATTTTAAATATTTTTCTTTCTGTGCTTTAGTTTGAGTGATTTTTGCTGTCCTGTTTTAAGTTTATTTGTGTCCAATATGCTCATAAACACATTCAGTGAATACTTTATTTCAGGTATCTATTTTTTAGCATCAGGATTCTATTTTGGTTTTCTTTTACAGTTTGCAAATCTCTCCAAAATTGCTTTGCTCATTATGCTTACTATTTTGTATAGATTCTCATACAAATTTATCAGACATTTATATGTTCTTATTTTATAATTCTGGCATCTAAACTGTGTATCTATTTTTATTAACTGATTTTCCTCTTGATTATTGGTCTAGAACACATTTTACTGTTTCTTCACATATCTTGTAATTTTTTTATTGAAACCTAGACATTATGTATAAAGAAAACTAGAGACTGAAGTGGACTATGAGGTTGCAGGAGTAGAAACCCATAAAACTTTGAAAATGAGAGACAGTGAGCTTACAAAACATGAGGCCATTCACATTGTACCTGCACATAGAATGTCCATAAAATTTTAAAAGTCACAGTATTGAGGCTTGTCTGATCCTATTTTAATGATTCCTAAAATTTCAGTTGAATAATGAAGTTATCCCTACATTTTCACCTATAGCAGTCTCTAATGAAGAAGGAACTTATCTTGAGTGAAGAAAGAGTTGACATAAAAGGCTTAACGAGTAGTTATCTACAGTCATGCATTGCCCAATGATTGGGATATGTTCAGAGAAATTCATTCAGAACAAATGAACCATTTTGAGTTTGATATCTCAAACTAGTTGCTATTTTTCCCACACACAAAAAATAGAAGAACTGTATGCCATTGTGATTGTACTCCTCATGAGACACGAACCAGAGATTTTTGGATTAGAAAACACTACCATGAATTTATTGTGCTCCGTGGCTAGTGTAACCTGAAAAAAGAATGAATATAGACCCTGAAAAAAAGGGGCTAGATCTGACTCTACCACAGAGACATTGAGACATTTTGTAGTGATTTGCTTCTTATTCTTGACAATATGATGATTAGAGCGCATAATCATAAACTGCCAAGATGCATGCTTTGTTTGATGGCAGGAAAAGATTGAATTATTTCTCTGGAAGGAAGATCAGGAAAAGAATGAGCTGCTGCAATTGTAAATGTCATTACTTATGGAGAGCCAGAGGAAAGTGTTCAAAGTGGTCATGAAAGCCAATGTACCAATTAAGTAAAGATCTTGAGGTGAAGAAGTAAATGGAGACTAAATGGCTGCGAAGCATGAGAAGCAGGCCATGTGCACTTAGGAAACATTGAGCAAAGCAGTTCCATCAGTTGTTTATTCTTGCCTCAGTCTTAAACATTAAAGGATTCAATTGTAAATTCTTTTTTAAACTATTATGGTATAAAATTAATTAATGTAAAAATGTGTGTCTTTACCATGTACAACATATTTTGAATTATGTAAACATTGTGGATTGGCTAAACAGAACTAATTAACGTATGTGTTATCTCACATTATGTATCTTTTTTTGCGGTAGAAAACAAAATCTACTCTGTTAGCTATTTTTAAGAGTATAATACATTGTTGTTAACTATAATCACCACTTATTCCTCCTATCAAACTGAAATTTTATATCCTTTGACCAAAATCTCTCTGACTCACTCCCCATCCCCTACCCAGCCCCAGGTAACCACCATTGTACTCTCTGCTGCTATGAGTTCAACTTTTAAAAATTCCACATACAAGTGAGATTATGTGGTATTTGACTTTTTGTCCCTGGCTTATTGGGGTTAATATAATGTCCTCCAGGTTTATCCATGTTGTTGCAAATGACAGAATTTCCTTCTTTTTTGAAGGCTGAATAGTGTTCTATTGTGTAAATATACACCACATTGTCTTTATCCATTCTTATGTAGAGAGACACTTAGTTTGATTCCATATCTTGGCTGTTGTAAATAATACTTTAATGAACATGGGAGTACAGACATTTCTTTGGCAGGTTGATTTAATTATAAATCCTGTGAGAGACTGTCTGCTTGGACCACAAAATGTGCCTCACATTATTTTCTGGGGAGGCGACAAAAACTTCTCTGCCCTGTATTTCACAGTTACAGGATATTTACCTGATGTTGGGGTGACAAGGACAGAGTTGGAGAGGATGTCAGGACATTATTCTTCTTTGATGCTGTATATTAACTTCTCCATTATTCCCACTGAGGTGAATGCACAAATATTACAAATAAATTCAAGCGTATTTTTGCTTAAGTTCTCTGGTGATACATTCAAATTGCAAAGAGGTAGAGGCCATGCAAAACCATGTTTTGTGGTGTGCTGTGTCACTGTGGCTCTCATTCCCCATTTGCACTGTATGAGAAGACATGGCCTCATTGCTCTGACCTGTTGGAAGACCCTCATTGTCATTCCACAGGTAAGCCCTTAGAATCCTCTTCTTTCTTCTTTGTTACAACCATCTTCCTCTAGCCTGTGACCTCCAGACCATGGGTTACATAATAAAGTGTCCCTCTATTAGCTTGACAACAAATGACACCATAATCAATTGTTCCTTCCCAACACCTGGATTTTTTTTCTCTGATATGAGTGGTGAAGGTGGGAAGGACATTTCATCCTTCCACATGGGCCAGTTTTTCCCCATGGCCTAGAGTCTCCTTTAGTACTGCCTTATCCTTGAACATATTTCCTCTTAGATCCTTTTCCTGACCAAACTCTTGATTGAGTTGTATTTGCTTATTTATTTAGGCCCCTCATAGTGTAGCTATGCATATTTATCTAGTCATTTCTATGTTATTTATATAGTTATTTTTAGTATGACCTGAAACAAAATATCTGCTCTTTGAGCTGTTTTTCTATTACCAGTAGGGAAAGCCTGAGCTTATCCTTCCATACCTTCTTGCCTAGTGCCCAAGGCATATATTTAAAGGGAATGTACCAAGGTTAAAGGAGTAACTTTTGGTTTCTGTAAAAGAGTTTTTGGTACTTATACAAAATGAATCAATGAACTAACACTATTTAATGAGAATTTACTCGACCCTGAGTTTAATATCTTTTGCACTGTCCTCAGTTCTGTTAAATTGATCTAACTCAGGATTCCCCTTTTTGATGCATACGGTGGCCTTGCTGAGAGTAATATTGAATATTAAAAAACTTTGTGCTGGATACCTGAGAAAGAAAATTCTGAACTTCTTCATAACTAAAAATTACAAAATTTTGTATATATATCTTGACTGCATTGTGCAGAGAACCAAGGGAGGGTAACAGAAAGGTCTCAAGTTTATTAATGAAGCTAAATATGTTTGTGATGAAAGTCAACCCTACAGCCAGAATTGATGCTGGAAATAGAACTAGCGTTGAAGTGGGAGATAGAGCTGAAAAGAATATTGTGACTTGTGCTACTACTTGTCATAATGTAATGGAGAGGACCCAGTGAAATAACTAGTATAATTACCTGCTGAGAGAATGGACTATATTATAATTATACCAGAAAGAGAATCACATGCAGTTTTTTTAGACTCCTTAAATCAGAAAAATTACCACCTCAGCTGGACATTTCCCCAAGGTCTATGAGTCTTTTCATTGCCTAATCAAAATCTCTCTTGCTGAAGTTTAACATAATATACCTAATAGGTGAAATCAGGACTGCAAAGCCAGATTTTCTGGGTCTAAATCCTGGCTGTTTCACTTATTAACTGGATGCTCCAGTTCTGCAAGTTCTCTGTTTTATTTTTAACAGAATTTAAGACAACATTAAATGTTTTATTTTATTTTAGTGGTATTTTAAAACAACTTTAAAGGGTGGGTACAAAAAGCAAATTAATAGATACATGTAAATTACTTGTAGCACCCCTTGGCATGTATACATGTATTGAGGGCTTTGTCAGTGTTCACATTTTTATTGCACATTTTTTTCCAGGTGAAAGAAATCAACATTTCATTCCCAAGTTCTCATATAATATCACCTTTAAGCAAACACTATCTTTTATTAAAAGGTCAAATCTTAACGAGTCTGAGGAGAATGGCTTCGTAATTCTTGGAGACTGTTTACCTTCCCTTGGTAGCAATTCCATTAAATGGAACATATGCCACCTCTTTGACAGACAAGAGCTGAAAGAACGAACTTCCTGCGGAATACAACACAAGGGTTTTGTTAACAGTCAAATAAGAAGCTCTTGAATCAAATAGAACAGAAAGAAAGAGAGAAATTTATGAGAATTTGAAAATAGAAAAGTGAGACATTTTTGGAAAGGCAGAGAAAAAGACCGTGTGTGTGTGTGTGTGTGTGTGTGTGTGTGTGTACATATGTTCAGTTATTAGGTTACTAGTCTATAACACTGTTTTTTCCCTTGAGAATAGTTTCCTAAATATATGATGAATTTCCAGCATGGCCTAATTTTGTGGAGCATATTCATACACAGAGAAAAACTCTACTTCAGTGTTTGTTTTATTTGCTCAAGGTCTTATTCTCTGAAATAGGAATGCAGGATATTGGTGTGGCATTCCTATGTTACAGATCCATCCTGGCCAGCGGGTCATAATTTCCTCTGTTCCATTTGGTCCATGACTCCCTTGTGTCACAGGAAGGTAATGTTTGAAATGCATCACCTTGATGGCGCACTCTGTCACCCTGCAGCAAAACTTTTCACTCACGAGATAGCACTTAATTCATATGTTCTTTCCAATCAATTTAAACTTTCAAAAAAATCAAATATTGTTTTGCACGACACAGGTGATATTCATGAACTTATTACCCCTCTCAAAGGCCATTTCTCTTGGCAGCTGCTTTACACTGAATAAAGATGAGGCTTCTTCACTCCATCAATTGAGACTAACATCAGTGCAGCTGTGTCCTATTGAGGCTGAAAAAGTAAAAATGAGATTAATTTTTCAGTGAGTTAGATTCATCTATAGAGAACATAGAGACAATTTAGGCCAGACAACTTTGTTTTAGAAGGTTTCACACCTCTACACTATTAACAAAGTTGCTTCCATATTTAACTTTCATTTTGACTAAACCCAAAGGGTTAGACATTTTTTCTTCTTATTAGAATTGATGGTCTGTGTTGCACAGGGCAGACAGCTCAGTTGATTTTTACTTAGTGTCAATTACATTTGGTCTAAGGCCATGAATCTCACCCTGGAGGTACATCAGAATCACCTGGGGAATAGGAACGGTATAAAAAACTCAGGAAACATTGTCAATGTGTTTATTTTTTTATATTCATACTTTTCTCTGAATGCTTGCTTATGCAATGACATATTCATTTATCAGAGCCAGATTTCTGCAGACACTGGAAATTAAAATAAAATAGGACAGATTTCTTGGTTTTAAGAAGCTTACAGTTGACTGACAGGGAAACTAATAAAAAGGCAATTTCAATGCATGGTTCTTCTTAAATTATGTGAGAAAAAGGAGATCTTCTAACCTGGTGGCTCAAGACATACATTTGGTGAGGAGGGAGGCTTACTGGACGAAGTGTCCACTTAACTGAATACTGCAGAAAGAAAAGGCGTTAGCAGGATGAAGTAGGGTAAAGGAAATTTCATGAAAAAAGTCACATAGCTGGAGCATGAATAACAGTCTTTTTCATGTACTGAAACAAAACAGTTTGATTTTGCTAGAATACCAAATACAAGGAGATGAGTAAAAAGCGATAAGACTGGAGAGGTAGGCAGGATTCAAGTTTCCATGCACCTTCCATGCCAGGCTTAGGAGGAGAGATATATCCTATAAGTGACAGAAAGCGTGTTAAAGGTTTTGGGTTTTCATTTTAGATGGCTCCTTCATGCTTCCGATAACATCATGGAAAACCAAACAAATGCAAATATATAAAGCAAACTGGATAATACAGATTAACATATCTCAGACATGGTAGACCCTGGTGGAAAAAAAGTACTTGCCATCAATCAGCAATCTAAATTAAGCACACAGCCACAATATAGGGCCTTATAAGTCATAGAAGTGGCCAAAATGGTCATTTCATTAAGGTTGACACAAAGGAGGAGTCCCTTCTGGCTAAAGAGTTTAGAGATGGTGTATTAGACTGTTTTCATGCTGCTGGTAAAGACATACCTGAGACTGGGCAAATTTACACAAGGAAGAGGTTTAATTGGACTTACAGTTCCATGTGACTGGGGAAGCCTCACAGTCAAGGTGGAAGGCAAAAAGGAGCAAGTCACATCTTACATGGATGGCAGTAAGCAAAGAGAGAGCTTGTGTAGGGCAACTCCTGTTTTTAAAACCATCAGATTTTGTGAGACCCATTCACTATCATGAGAACAGCAGGGAAAGACCTGCCCCCATAATTCAGTCACTTCCTACTGGGTCCCTCTCACAACATGTGGAAATTATGGAAGCTACAAGATGAGATTTGGGTGGGGACACAGAGCCAAACCATATCATTTCACCCCTGGTGCCTCCCAAATCTCATATCTTCACGTTTCAAAACCAATCATGCCTCCCCAACAGTCTCCCAAAGTCTCAACTCATTTCAGCATTAACTCAAAAGTCCACAGGCCGAAGTCTCATCCAAGACCCTTCTGCCCATGAGCCTTTAAAATCAAAAGCAAGTTAGTTACTTCCTAGATACAATGAGAGTACAGGCTTTGGGTAAGTACAGCCATTCCAAATGGGAGAAATTGGTCAAAACAAAGGGGCTACAGGCCCCATACAAGTCCAAAATCCAGTGGGGCAGTCAAATCTTAAAGCTCCAAAATGATCTCCTTTGACTCCATGTCTCACATCCAAGTCACACTGATACAAGAGGTAGGTTCCCATAGTCTTTGGAAGCTCCACCCCTGTGGCTTTGAAGGGTACAGCCTCCCTCCCAGCTGCTTTCATGGGCTGGCATTGAGTGTCTGTGGCTTTTCCAGGCACATAGTGCAAGCCGTCAGTGGATCTACCATTCTGGGATCTGGAGGATGGTGGCCCTCTTCTCACAGCTCCACTAGGCAGTGCCCCAGTAGGGACTCTGTGTGGGGGCTCCCATCCCACATTTCCCTTCTGTACTGTCTTAGCAGAGGCTCTCCATGACGACCTCACCCCTTCATCAATCTTCTGCCTGCACATCCATGCTTTTCCATACATCTTCTGAAATCTAGGTTGTTTCCAAACCTCAATTCTTGACTTCTGTGCACTCATAGGCTCAACACCACATTGTACATGGATGGCAACAGGCAAAGAGAGAGTTGTGCAGGGCAATTCCCATTTTTAGAACCATCAAATGTGGCACATATACACCATAGAATACTATGCAGCCATAAAAAAGGATGAGTTCATGTCCTTTGAAGGGACATGGATGAAGCTGAAACCATCATTCTCAGCATACTAACACAAGAACAGAAACCAAACATCGCATGTTCTCACTCATAAGTGGGAGTTAAACAATGAGAACACATGGACACAGGGAGGGGAGCATCACACACTGGGGCATGTCAGGGGGTGGGGGGCTAGGGGAGGTATAGCATTAGGAATACCTAATGTAGATGACAAGTTGATGGGTGCAGCAAACCACCATGGCACTTGTATACCTATGTAACAAACCTCCACATTCTGCACATGTACACCAGGACTCAAAGTATTATGATAATAATAATAATAATAATAATAATAATAAACCATCGGATCTCATGAGACCTATTCACTATCCAAGAGGAGCATGAGAAAGACCCACCTCAATAATTCAATTATCTGCCTCTGGGTCTCTCTTACAACACGTAGCAATTATGGGAGCTACAAGATGATATTTGAGTGAGGACACAGAGCCAAACCATATCAGATGGGTAGCAGAATACAGTGGCCCATGCTTGGCTCTGAATAAGGGGTAAAATTTTGATAAGCAGAATTCTAGAAAGAAGGAAAGAATGACATGAACAGACAACTGCAAATGTGAGGTCCTTGTTGTTGATTGACAAAATGGTCAGAGCATGGGGATTCTTAAGGGGCTAGGAATGGAAAACACTATGAAGTTAAGCAGGAGCCCAATCATAGCATGTTTCTTGAATGCCAAATCCACAATTTGGAAATTTATAGAAAAATGTGATCCAGGGAAAATTTCTAAGCAAAGGAGAAGCATCTTTAATACTAGGTGCTGTGAAGTTTGACTTAGTATCAGAGTTCCTTATGGAATTAAAAAAATGCAATTAATAATCTGAACTAGTATGGTAGCAAGTAGAAACAGAAGAAATCTAGGAGCAATGAGATTACTTGCCTATTTCTGATCTATTGGCCAAAAGCATTTTTATCAAGGCCATTGTGTGATTCTGAACTTCATCTGGAATTGGAAGCAATGACTTTGGTGATACCCCCAGTACCCATAGTCATGAGGACTAAATTTTACACTGGAAGGTGGAGCTAACTATAGTATGTGGAGCATGAAGAAATTCAGTTATTAAGCCAGTGCTCCCCAACTTTCCTATTGTTAAAGACTCTTAGATAACTTGTTAAACAGATTTATAGACCCCACCAAGGTAACAGAATCAGATGCTCCAGGGGAGCATGTGTGCTGAAGCCCTGTCCTACCATCAGACAAGTTGGTGAACCTAGATCCAGGGAAAATGTGACTTCAAAGCACCAAGGTAATTGATGGGCTATAAAGGCCTGTGTTGACATCATTTGCACAGCAGTTTTTAAAGTATAATGGTCATTAGTTTTCCCAGGTCCTGAGAAGTTAAAGTCATAACCCAAATCTGACTGTTTCCCCTTCCCTCCTCCACTATCACCCTATTTTGATCCACCACTATCTCCTTCCAGGGTCGCTCTAATGTATCCTAACTGGTCTCTTTGTTTCTGTGCTTTCTGGGATATAGTCTGTTTCCAATACAAGAGATGAAATAGTCTTTTAAAAACAAATCTCAGATCATGCCATGCCTTGCTCTACAACCTCCAGTGATTTCTGTTTACGCATTTTAAAAATTCAAACTTCTTATCATGGCCTCCAAAGCCCTACAGGGGCTGTTCCCTGCCCATCTGTCTTGTTTCAGCTTCTACCACTTTACTTTGCTCATGCTGGCTTGTTTCCTGTTGCCCTTGGCATCAAAAGCTTGTCAATCTCTTTGAGTTTGGCCCTCATTATTCTTCCTTCAAGGGACCATCTTTCTCCAGATATTCACTGGACTTGTTCTACAGTGTCATCCAGAAAGGCCCTCCTAACCCAAATGTAGACGAGCTTCTATGTACCAAAATCACCTCTTCATACTCCTGTTTAACCCTTTTCCTGATTCATTTCACCTCAAAAGTCCTATCACTATCTGATCTTTTATTACATATGCATAAATATGTTTTCCTCTGTCTCCTCTACTAAAATGTATATGCCCTGGGATTGTGCATTCTATCTGGCTGTCTAGTTCACCATATTCCCCAGTGCTGAGAATGGTTTCTAACAGTTAGTTTATGCTCAATAAGCATGTCTTGGATGGGTGGGTGAATGAATGATGTACTCATAATGCAAGAGGAGTTATTTGGTGTATATGCCTTTTGAATCAGTGCCTTTTTCTACGCTACCATCTCTATAATCCAGCCTTTAATTGTCTGAACTACATACTCTTTGTAATCTTTTCTCATATTTTTATGCTTACACACCAGATGACCTGTTTTTTTTGTGCGTGTGTGAGATCATTATTTATACAATATTTTATTACATACATTGGGAGAGATTTCTATTAGGCACAGTTAGGCTACGAAGAACATTCCCATCTTTATTGGCCTCTTGATACTTCTCTCTTCTCATACTTGATTTTACCCTAGGTGTTTGAGCATCCTACTCACATGTCTGAGGAGGGAGACCATCTAGTGAATGCCAAGACTCTGTCCGAGGGCTTTACCTAGGATCAAGTAGTCCTTGGTTTCTCTGACCTTCCTCCTCATCTTTCTCTAATAGAAGCAGTCTCCTACTGGACTGAGAGTCAGAGACAAGCTCTTAGAAAAAGTTGTTGCTTCTAGCGAAGGTATACTTAGGTCCAGATTTGGGACATTACTAGTATTTAGAGGGTCTGGACTCCATTAGCCTCAGGAAAGTCTGATGTCCAGGTAGGCAAAAGCTCCTGTAAAATACACCATTCAGTGTGGCCAAATTTATATTTCCCAGTTTGTTTTAAAGACATGAGATTTAGAGCAACATGGCACCGGGCCATTGATTTGGTCTTTATTGTGTCTATCTCACTGGCATTAAGTCAGTCATAATTATCTAATCAGCTCTTTGATGGTCTGTTTATCTGAGATTTTCTAATTTCTAAATTCACTTCACAGAATAAGCTAGCCAATGAGCAATTCCAAATGAGGTTTACAAGACAGACTTAGGATCTCTTATAATCACTGCTATCTCTGATTCATTTCACCTGTTGAAATTCAGGAATATAAAATTTGTTGTTATTGTGGCTATTTTAAATATTCTACCAGCTATGTGCTTTCTTTCTCATATTTGATTGCGGTGTCCTCCCTAAAAAGAAATTCACCTGAAATCATAGGTTGTGAACTCAAGATAAGATGGTAAGAATCATTAACTGGGTTGCATACAGACGATACAACTGTGCATGCAAACAAAACTCTCATCAATACATGCACATGCACAGAGATCTATCAGCTGCATTTACACCTTGCCCAAGCAACAAACACATTACATTCTTCCTTTATCTTTTCAGAGCAAGATAGGTCAGCAATTGCCTCAGAGTCTAAATCAGTACTTCATTAGAAGAAATTGCTCTTCTTCTAGAAACATCGTTACATTGACAGCATGTTGAGAGGAGCCTAAGGGTGGGCTTCTACAGTTTAGCTCCATGCCCAGTGGCCCTGCCTGCCTCACGCTGACCTGCCTTCCAGGATGTGCTGAGGAAGTTTCCTGACTAGGAGCTTCAGCCCCCGTGGCTTCTGCCTTATTTCCTAGGCAGGCAAGAACGGTTGCCTGTCTGGTAAAGTTTCGCTTGCGGAGGACCTGCCTGGAGGCAAATCTGTCTAGTTATCTCCTTGCCTTTTGAAGTGACACTGCACACAGCTGCTTTTGCCTCATCTCAGCTCCTACCTGCCTGGAAGAGACTTTGCCTGAGAAGTCCTGACCAGGGCGCCTGAAGACTTATTTATGTGGGATGAGAATCTCTCCACAGGAACCCAGAGAGTCGATTTGCACACCATGCTTTTCATCACTGAAGGCGATATTTTTTTCTTTTGGTTCAGATGTCTAGAGCTAAAACAGAGAAAAATATTTTCCCAGTTGAAGAAACATCCCTTTACAAATTTGACAAGGGTAAGGGTAAGGCTCTTATGACAAGTAATTGGCATGAAAACTGGTAATACGTGGTATTAAAGGGCATGAAAAAAGGAGAGCGACTGCTATCCTTTAAAATGGCTGTGAACTTGAGTAATGAAATATTTTTGGGGAAAAGGTGGGTAAAATGTGAGTGGCTTTTAAAAAATGAGTAATTCTAAATTAATTTTGAGAGATTTCATATTTTCTAAGTTATTAATAATCATTTAATTATATGACTTTTGCCTACATTTTAGTATTCTGGAGGAAAGAGATCTAAATCCTTTGGGGCGAGTCACTGAAGTTGCTTGACGGCTGTTTTGCTGCCTTCTACCTGTAGGGTAACTGCTGCCTTCTACCTGTAGGGGAAGCGCTTCCTCTGGAGCGGGGGATGCAGCACCCGGAAGCAGTCATGCCAGGCCTGCCTGATTCCCATCTTCTTGCCAGGTAAAATCTGATTGAAGTGGCGGGGCTTAATACCTAGGTGAAGGGTTGATAGATGCCGCAAGCCTGCATGGCACACGTTAACCTATGTAACAAACCTGCACGTCCTGCACATGTATCCCAGAACTTAAAATAAAATAATATTAAATTAATACTAAAAAAATCTGGTTAGGCCGGGCGCGGTGGCTCACGCCTGTAATCCCTGCACTTTGGGAGGCCGAGGCGGGCGAATCACCAGGTCAGGATATCGAGACCATCCTGGCTAACACGGTGAAACCCCGTCTCTACTAAAAATATAAAAAATTAGCCCGGCATGATGGCGGGTGCCTGTAGTCCTAGCTACTCGGGTGGCTGAGGCAAGAGAATGGCGTGAACCTGGGAGGCGGAGCTTGCAGTGAGCCGAGGTCGCGCCACTGCACTCCAGCCTGCACTCCAGCTCCTAGTCCAGCGCAGAGCGAGACTCCGTCTCAAAACAAAACAAAACAAAACAAAACAAAACAAAACAAAACAAAAACCTGGTTAAAGTGAACGCCAAAGCAGCAGGGTTGATTGAATTAGGGGTGTGGCTGCCTGCAGTGCCTTGGAGGTGGACAGGAAAGGAATCCTTGAGCCTGCCTTTGCTGGCTTATGTAGTCCTGATTTCTGGGACTTCCTCCTGCTTTCTCCCTGAACCTGTAGGCACTGGCATAGTTCTGGTTTCCTGGGTTCCCAAATTGGGGTCAAAGTGGGAAGAATAAGCAAAGCATCAATAGAAATGACCAGAAAATATCTTCCATCACTGCATCGCCATATCTGGTGGTGGCTGAGCAGTTTGCAGAGGCTGCTGCAGACTGCCACAGTGTGCTTTCATGGGTGATGGAGGTTAGGAACCAAGACCTTAGAGCTGGATCAGCCTACTGTGGATCCTGGCTCTGACACTTAATTGCTGGGTGAACTTGAGCAAGTGACTTGAATTCTCCGAGATGTAGTTTTCTTATAAGAAATGAGGATACTAAACCCCACTTTGTAGGAGTTCTATATGTTCAATGAAATAATATTTGTTAAGTATCCAATATAGCATGGCTCATTGTAAAGGCTCAATTAAGGGTAGCTTTTGGGGGTAGTTATGTACATGTGCTAAGATAGAAACTTTTGCTGTTGTAGCTATTCCCACCTCAGTATAACCAATGCTCAGTGAATAACAGGTGAAACATCGACTCTGTGTGGCTCTTGACTGCAGGTTTAAAATCCCAGACTCGTTATCCTCTCCTATTCAACATGCTTGCTCTCACCAGTTGTTACTTTGCAAAGTGCTCTAAAGTAACCTAAGACAAATCAAGAAAATTAAATAAATCACAATTATACTTCCAAACCAGTTTTATTTGCTCTAGATCAGGGTCAGCAAACTTTTTCTGGAAAGAGCCAGATAGTAAATATTTTAGGCTTTGTAGGCCATAAGGTCTCTGTCTAACTACTAAACCCTGCCATTGTTATGTGAAAGCAGCCAGAGGCAATTCTTTAAAAATGAGATTGACTGTGTTCCAATAAATCTTTATTTATAAAAGCAGATGGTGGGCTAGATTTGTCCTGCGGGCTCTGATTTGCTAGCCCTTTACTAGAATATGGTGATTATGTTCAATCTTGGGACATTTTGCTTTGCTTTTTGTTTGTTTCTTTAACAAGAAAAAGATACAAGAGAAAGTGATGGCACGGAAAGTGATACCTGGACCTCTGGAGTACAGTGTCCTAGTCCCAGTGCTGACACTAGCATACTGAGTCACATGAGAATTACATGGGACTTCTCTGAAGTATTTCAAAATGAAAGATTTTCATTTTAAAAATCATACGTTGGAGCTGGGTCTCTCAAAACATATTTTTTACAGTTTTATGACCTGTACTGTGCCTTAGATGTCATATCTGACTGCTTAACCATTCTCACACACACCACTTGTCAAGACAAGATCATCAGCCAGTGCTTATGAGCCATCGATGTTTAGGCACTGCCCCATAATTTAACTCTGCTCAGGTCAATATGTGCAGTGAATGTTCAACAGCAGGATGCTGAAGCAGTGTCTAGAGGTTGTATTAAGTGGGATAGAAATAAGTGGGCTAAACAGAAAAAATGCTTTAAAAACACTAAAGTGCCATCCTAAATTAGTCAGCCAGCTGTGGATTGCTTAGGAACAGCAGGATCAGCCAGACAAGACTGGCTTTCAGCCTGCAGGTCAAGGGATAATGTGTTTGACCTCCTGTGCACCCGTGAGTAAATGTTGCTGGCTGTAACACTGCCTCATCCACATAGCCAGGGTTTGTCTCCATGGAGCCAGGAGGCCATTCGACTAGGCCTTCCTCACAGTCAACATGGCTCAAATTTAGACTTTCAGCATTATCCCCAAATAAGGTCATACATACTAGCACAGAGATACATGACAGGATGGAAAAAAATATGTTGTAAAATATGGAAAATATGTCTCATTACCATGCCACAGTGCTTCTAGGACACAACAAATTAATATTTTACGTTAACTTAACAAAATATATAGTGTAGAGCAAATAATATGCCTTTTGTCTTTTGTGTTTTACAAGTATTAATTTGTTAAATGTAAACAACTCAAATAAAACATGTTTTTTTGATAACCAAGTTTAGGCATATCTTTATTTTTTAATGCCCTAGAGATCTTTGAAAGTGCAGGTGGAACAGAGTTCTTGCCCCATGGCTCCACTACCGTTGCAGTCATAGTGAACGTGAGACCAGATGGCAGGGATCTGATGGTAATGCATTTATTAATTTATTTGATACCCGTAATTTCTGCGAATATCTAAGCTCTTAGATTTATGCTAATTTAAAGTGCTATTTTAAAGACTCAAAGATGACTATTCACTTAAGCCCTTTTGGTGATTTCCCATTGCTCTTAGGGCAATATCCAATGTCTAGAAACTGCCCTGTCTCTTCAGGCTCATTTCATACCAGCCTCCTTCCTTTTTCTTTTATTCCAACCATGTTGTTTATCTTTCGGTTCATTCCTTGCCATGCTCTCTCTCTCTCCCTTGATCTCTGCACATGATATTCTTTCCTGGAACCATCTTCCTACCTCATTCCCTAAATGGCTGGTATATTTCCTTAGGTCTCAGCTTAAAGGATGTTAGAATCCCCTAAACATTTCCAACTCCTACACCAGCTCACACTTTCTGTTTTAAGCTGTGACAACCTCTATCATAAGCACCATCAGAGATGACTGGAATTGCTTATGTAATTGTATGTTTCCCCTGTAAGACTGCATATTTTATGAGGTTAGAGATTATGTCTGTCTTGTTCAAAGCTATACTATCATCCTGCACATTGTTCAATAAATATCTGTTGCATGAAAAACCTTTACCAATGACCAGAGGTTTTTATATTTTCTCTAGAGAAGAGAGTGCTGTAGCTTCTACTTGTTTGCATTGAAGGAATTCAGGACATGCCACCCAAAAATATACTACCGTGGCATATTGACCGTTTTGAGCTGAAGGCACTTGAGAAACAGCAGATACAGGAAGGGCTTTCTGAACTCCTCTTTTCCATCTAAAAAACAGGCTATAAAATTTGCCATGAGAAAGGTGCCCTTCCTGTACAAGGAAGAGAACATCCTTATCAGCAGAGACTGGAAATCAATGCTGAAGTGGATCTGTACAAACAACCTTACTAAAATAATCCTTATCTTCCATTAGTTTCCCCCAATATGTCTCTTAATCACTACCCCATAGCTTACTGTTCCTAGCCCAAACGCCTGTGTCTTGTCATTTGTTCACAAATCTTTCATTTCTTTGTTTAAATGGCATATAAGCTTTCTGCTCTGGTCACTTCTTTGAGGCTTCACTTTCTTGTGGGGACTCCAGGTACATGTAAAATTCTAAGACTGGTACATCTTTCTCTTGCTAATCTGCCTTATGTCAGTTTAATTCATAGGTGCAGTCAGAGGCCCCCCAAAATAGAAATTGTTTCCTCTCCTACAGCATGAGCTTAGTGGTAATCTTTGAATAGGAAGGGAACTGTGTTGCTTGCACTTTTATACATGTGGACATGTAAAAGCTGGCTAAGAGAAGTAATTAGTAAATTGGGCCTGTGTGGACAAGCCAATTCTCATTCTAATGCTGTGAATACTTAATAGTCATAAAAGGGTACTGTGGTACATAAAAAGGATATTCACACTACAGTGAAATGCACAATTCAGTGTTGAAGATTAGAGCTTGTAAAGGAATACAATTTTTCATTTGGTCTGTCTATTACAGGTTTTGGACATGCTAAATGTCTTGATTGAGAACACTGCTTAAGTGATAGATTACTGACCCCAAGGCCAACAGGGATCAGGCATTAATGTAAAGAAAAGGGCTGGGTGGGGACTGGGGCAAAATGGGGTTCAGCCATAGGTAATTGTTTCCATGTGGAAGTGTGAGCTTGGACAGGTGTTTTGATTTTTGAAGAGAAGCAGAAAATCCATAGCATTGATGTGAAATAATGATTTTTTTTAAATGTTGGTAAATAATTTCAATTTTTTAATTTTTTTGAGATGGAGTCTTGCTCTGTCACCAGGCTGGAGTGCAGTGGTGCAATCTCGGCTCACTGCGACCTCCGCCTCCCAGGTTCAAGCGATTCCCCTGTCTCAGCCTCCGAGTAGCTGGGACTACAGGCCTGCGCCACCCCGCCCGGCTAATTTTTTTTTTTTTTTAATTTTAGTAGAGACAGGGTTTCACCACGTTGGCCAGGATGGTCTTGATCTCCTGATCCAGTGATCTGCCCTCCTCGGCCTCCCAAAGTGCTGGGATTACAGGCGTGAGCCACCGCACCCGGCAATAATTTCAAAAATTTTAAATACTTTTCTTAGTAGACAAAACATGTCTGCTGGGCCACCAGCTTGCCAGCTGTGAATTTAAAACTTAATCATTGGGCTGCAATCAGAATTACTGAGACAAACAATAAAGTTGCTGATGCATGAATAAATGATGCATGGATATTTAACTAAATTAACAACTGATGCATAAATAGTAAATCAAAGAATTTTAGAATGAGAAGGGACATTAGAATCACCTTGGAACACCTTTCTCTATGATACAGATGAAAAATCTCAGGTCCACAAAAATTAAATTCTCGGGCTTAAACTCAGATGCACAAATTAAATAACATGGACTTGAATCCAAGTGTTTTGATGCTTGGCTTTTCCCACATCTCCAAGCAACTGTGGGGTGTGTGTATGTGTGTGTGTGTGCGTGTGTGTGTGTGCATATTGTGCTATAATAAAAGTGTAAATGGAATGACACATGGTGGTCAATGCTAGTACAATTCAAATTTTACTGTGCGTGCGAATCAATTGGGGATCTTGTAAAAAATGAAAGTTTTGATTCAGTAGGGCTGGAATGGGGTCCAGGTCTTTTCAGTTCTTAAAATGTCCCAGGTAATGCTGATCCCAGTACCAAATTTTGTTAGTAAGGACCTACCTTATTGACAATTGTCCTGGATGCCTGGGCTGGACTAAATGTCCAAGAGCAGAATATGTTCTTTGCTCTTTTCTGTGTCAGTCAACACTCTAATATTGTATTTCTCTCATTCTGAATCCTTGATAAGTAAAATATATTAAATTAAATGCTAAATTCACTCAACAGGAAAAGTAGATGAGCAAATGACTGGAAACAAGGGGTAGTAAGCTATATGAATCAAAAATCTCCGTGATGCAAAGCATATGAGTCCTCTCATGTCTTGTTTTATAGATAAGTATTAGTTCTGGTTAGTTCTTGGGGACCTCTCAAATCATTTTGTAACTAATAGTAACAAAAAAATGACATTCTTGACAATAAAGGAGAAAAAGGTATTTCAGAATGTAACAGCAAACATTCCACAAGATGGCAGTAAACTCTTATGCTTTACATTATCCTTAACTTTAACCTTTTACAGAATATATATTTCATCAGTGGAAATTTTTCGGACTGAGAATTACACATTGTTTTTTGAAAAGACAAAACAATACTTAATAAAACTTATATTTTTCACAGTCCCCAAACTAATGACTATATATCTACACTTTCTTCTTCATATGAGTATGACACAGTCATGCCATTCTTTTAACTTGTACTTAGTTTCAGGTTCTCATTTAAGACTGAGTGGAATATACTTTGGTGAAATATTGTAAATGTTATGAAAAAATAGGTAGATGATTAAGAGATTTTAAAAATAAAAATAAATAAAAAAATGACCAAAAGTAAGAGCTGGAAAATGTGTTAAAAACCTTGAATATAATAATAATCTATTTTTCCATAAATTTCACAATATTTCAACAAAAATGTGTTTTTTATCAACCTAAAAATACTGGTAATTACGGTTTAATACCCATTGCATTATAAGACTGTAAACATTAAAGAAATCACACTCTTAAGACTTGTCTGTAAGCTCTGTATTCTCTCTAAACCAGTCTCAGGAGATTACAGAAGCATGAATTAAGAAAAAGAAAATACAACAATTAAGGGTTTTCTAACAAGCTGTTCTCATGTGAATAAGAAGAAATGGGTAATCTACTGACCTAAAGATGGTGATATACATATGTACAGATACCCTCCTTTATACTGCAGTGATAATGGCAAAATTGGGTAGTACCCTCTTTCATCATCAAACCTGTGTGTGACCTAAAACCACTCATTTAATGACTTTGGGATTCAGTTCCTTCTAGTATAAAATAAAGTATATAGATTAGTTGATGTCGTTTCCAGCTCTGTAACATTCCAGGTTTCTCAGGAGAAAACATAGTTAAGTAAGATAAGTGTAAACTTTGAGAAGGACCATGGTGTGTAGAGGTTACTGGGGCCTTTAGGGTGTGGCAACACCGTATCTTTTTTCTTTATGTATTCTAGGTTGCTCGTAGAGAGAATCCTGGAACCGTATTTGTTTTAATATAACCCAGAAAGAGACTGGCAAGGTAGAGTGCTGCATCAGCACTGAGGGGTGTGTGGCTGTTTTCTGTATTCTTGAAATAACCGTATTATGAATCTCTTTTCTTCACGCATAAGTTTCATTTCATTAGGCCCTTAAAATAGTCAAGGGAAGAGTTGACAAGTAGTAAATGATTTGTGTTTAGCAGAGAGTGCTTTTATATATTAGAGGGCACCAGGAACATAAGAGAGCTGTGTCAATTGTAGGGGTGGGATGCCCTCTGGTAGCTTTGCCCCCTTCCTGGACAGTAGTAGCTCGCTTCCTCCTGCCTCCCTGACTCTCCCACTCTTTTCCTTCCACCTTTTCTCTCTTCTCTACTCTCTTTTCTCCTTTCTTCCTCACCCTTCTGGTCTCCAGGCCCGTGTTTCCCAGGCCCATCCCATTCCATCCACAACTCCTCGGGCACTTGTACTCCTGCAGATGTGGTCACACAGAACGTCTGGTGGTGCATGACCCCTGCTTGCCATTGAGACCATTGGGCCAGGGTGGTGCTTTGCTTCAGGCATGTCATTCCATTCCTAGCTCAGCTGAGGATGGGGATGTAGTACAGTAACCCCTCCCAATCCATAGGGGACATGTTCCAAGACCGCCGGTGGATGCCTGGAACCACAGATAGCACCCAATCCTGTATATAGTGGTTTTTTTTCTATATGTACATACTTATGATAAAGTTTAATTTATGGTAGACACAGTAAGAAGTTAATAACAATAATCAATAATCAATTAGAACAATATAGTATAATAAAAGTTGTGTGAATATGGTCTCTTTTTCCTCTCTCTTTCCCGAAATGTCTTATCTTGTTTTACTTACCTATTTTTGCACTGCAGTTTATCTTGGATAACTGAAACAGTGGAAAGCAAGACTGAGGATGAGGGGAGACTACTGCATTGCTTTGTCTCTAGTGGAGTAGAGAGTCCTCTTTTGCTTCCAAATGAATTTTTAAAGATATTAGCTAAAAGCACCATTGTGTTAGATGGAGCCAGATAATATCATTAAGCTCATAAGCATGTGTCACTGGTAAGTAACATAAATGCTGAATGGTTGAGTTTCAATTGAGTGCCTGCTGACCCAGCTCCAACGCTAAAATTTTCTTCACATACCTTTCACACATACACTACATTTATGACTCTTGATCTCAGAAACACTTAAGGACATTCTACAGGAAAAACAAAGTCAGCTTTATTTCAGGTTCTGGATTTTTAGACTGTCAGGCACTTCCACACGTGTGCTCCATGATCTATGATATGTTCCACACCTAGCACTCATTTAGAATTGGCTTAAAGATTATATCTAAAAAAGGTATCAAAACCAAAATAAAATAGGTAATAGATGTTTTGCTTTCTCCTACTCCACAATTTAAGCCTCAACCAATTGTATGCAAACCTTGTCCCTCTCCCCCATGATATTATCCTCAACTTCTGTCCAGCAGTAAAATTCCTATTCCAATTTAAAGAGTTGAACTAGTCCCCAGAAAAATGCAAAATGGGAAAAGATTGTCTTTAGAATTTCTCTACCTTTCTCTCAGAGTTCCCATCAAGTATTGCTGCTTAGCTTCCTGGTGTCCCGGCTGCCGCTCTGTCCTGGTTTCCCTAGGAGCCTACCAAGAACTCAAACAGGACATTGAACTCAGAGAATTATTTTTCATAGCCTGTTAGTGATGTTTCTCTCTTCTGAACACTTGTCGAGTTTAAGCAGTGGGTTCCAGGAGCTGAGCCTTAAAGCATGAGATAGGTGGAGGCATGCTCACTTTGGTCAAGTAGACAGTTCTGTTATCACCACACTTCGGGGTTGAGTCTTCTCAGTTCAGTTACTTTTAGGATAATTTCACAGCAATGGACTAGAATCATTTTTTGACAGTATGATTTAATAGCCAAAATGACCAAGGTACTTGGATATCAAAACTTTGGCCTTATCAGGTTGGTAATTTTAGAGATCCTATCAGATGAACCCTTCAGCAATTCTATCGATTGCCTACTACCCAAACAAGCTCCTTTATGGCTAATTGTTTAAGGGATAGCTACAAAGATGCATTTCCTGTCTTTCAGTAGCAAACAGTGTCTGGAAGGCACTGACCTTTACCAGTGGGACAAACAGGTTGTATCCCCAGAAGACAGTGATGTTCAAAGTAAGATTGCAAGAGAAAAACAGTATTGATTGGATTTAAGGAAGAATGGTTATATTGTATTTATATTTAGACAAACTCATAAGATGTAGTCACAAAGAAACAGTGGTAAACATAAGGAATCAATTCGACTCCTGTTGATTTCATTATTAATTACAAAATGATATCCTCTGTTATGAAATCTTTCATTTATTCATTTGTTCAAGGATAACTTCATTCTTTGAACAAGTGTTTATTGAGAGCTTAATATTTATGAGGCACAATACCTGGATTAAACTAAGCTTGATTCAAAGCACATGAAGTATTTAACAGATGAAAAAAATACAGAAAAATTAATTTCTTTGGTATAACAAATGCAAAAGGTCTTACTTGATACATAGTGATTTTAGTCTATTTTATAGCTTCAGGATCTAGAGGTTAAATTATTTGCCCAAAGACACCTAAATTTTGTAACTAAAACCTGCATATCTCTATTACCTTTCTAGTGCACTTTTCCTATTGCACACTGGCATTACATTCATTGATTCTTAAAACAACCCTTCATCCAGGCCTTAAACCTTGGCTTTAGGCTCCAACTCTGGCTCTTTTTATGAGGCCACCCTGAGCTCCCAACCTGGGCTCTTAACTCCTTTCCCAAGAAGCAGGAAGTTTCTGCATTCCCCAGCCTGCAACTATGGCAAACACACAAACACATGAATAATGAAACAAGCAAACAGACAAACAAACAAAGCACGGCCTTTTCCTTTCCTGAGATACTCAGGAGAATTTTAAAATATAGACCCAATTTTGGAGTTAAAAGGTTTGTGCTCAAAATTCAGTTCTGCACCAGGTGACCTTGGCTAGGTCCTACCAACTCTGTCACTGAAGCCAGCAGCTTACCTGATTGATTGACTTTTCATTTATTTCATCTACCATCTTCATGTTAGGAAGCCACAGACTCATGGATACCCAGGAAATAAACATGACTTTTTTATAGCTCAAAAGCTTTCTAAGGGAATTTGAAGAGGGTTCTTTGTGTGTGTGTGTGTGCCAATTATTATGTTTTACTAAGCTCCACCATCACTTTGGCATTAATAATGCAAACAAGAACCTTTACTACTTGGCTGACCCCAAGGAAATGGCTAATTGTGATTCTTAAATCTATAGACCTCATGAGACAGCAACTATACCTTTATGCATATGCTTGTTATTGATCATTGCAGAAAGTATTTAACTGTCTGGAATAGTCTCAGAATTACTGTAGTTGGTGTTGCTCAACAAATTTGTCTTTTGATGTAAAATGTCATTGTCAAAATTCAAAGTTATAATAAGATTCTGCACAAAGCACTCTGAATTACATTTCTCAGAATAACTTGAGAAAGTATTGTTCAGTAGCAATGCAAAGCACTAATTGTAATATTTCAGAGAAAACCTTTCATTTTTTCAAAACTTGTAAGTCTATTAATCCTAAAATTATGATTCACTCCAAGGATATTTTAGCACAAGTTCAGAAATATAATATAATGTTCTATAATATAATTAGTAATCCAATAAAATATTTTGCTCTAAATTACTTAATAAATGTACTATGTGAGTAATAATATTCTTAAAATGAATTCCAGGAAAATTCTTCAGGTTCTTCTTTCAAAATAATTGCATATAATTCTAAAAAATGTATTGGAGTTCCAAAGACTGCAGTCTTTATTTTATTGAATTAGACAGCACGCAGGCTAACGGTAGTCCATAATGAAACTGCTAGGTGTCAAGGTAAAAAGTGATAAAGGATGAAATTTAAAGCTTTCAGAAATTCAGCTGAGAGAAAATCCACAGATTGTGCCTTTTAGCCACTGTTTTACCACTACTAATAGAGAAGCAGCAAAGTCTGATTTTTTTTGTTTGTTTCCCGTCACTACCAAGCTGCCAGTTTAATTCCTCATTAAATAGATAAACATGTTTCTAAGCTTACATGGCAAAGGATCATCAGCATCCAATACTCTCAACTCAATACCAGGAATCTATTAATGTTTCTAAGGTTCTTTTATTTTTATGGTGATTTATTTTGTCTATTCATCCTCTGAGCTCAATGTGGGACCTATATAAGCTTTTCTATCTGAAAATCCTCAAAGAAGGGTGAAAAAAAATCTGTGTCATGGTGAGAGGCAGTGGATATCTTTCTACATGACAGAGAATGTAGGTGCATTCATTTTATTTGACTTCATAGCTCTAGTGAATTATCTGCTTTGTTTCATGAGGCATCACTACTTATGTAAAAAAGGGATGCAATTTGAGGAATTTAGCATAAATACTGGTCAGTCTTTTGCTGGTGACAGTTTAGTGCCCATCTTTTAGACATTCCTTTTAATGCTGTCAATATTTACAATGGAACATCACAAGCACAATTTCACCACTGAAAATCAATTTCATGTAAATGCCATTCTCTTGTAGGGCTGGTGATGAAAGACCCCTCTCCAAAGTCTCCCTCCTTCCCTATTAGGCTGTTTTGCTTTGCAGTTTATTATCTGTGCCTTCAGCCACACAGACACTTGGGAGAGGGAGAAGAAGAATGATCTGGTATGCCAATTAGTCTCAGAAAACCCTTTATATAAGACTGCTTATAAGTTTTGGAAATTACCATATTTAAGAGATTCCTGACGTGGGCTGAGCTTTTCATTTCTGATCTTGTATGGTCACACAAAATTGAATGTCATTCAAGCTCATGTGACCTTACTATTTCTTTTCAAATTACTTCATTTTATTCAACATCATACATGTTCCATTCTTAGCAGACCCCTCTCCTTACTCTGAGACATGTAATGTTGACTTCACTTTCTCTTTCTTTCCTTCCTTCCTTCCTCCCTCTCTTCCTTCATTCCTTCATTCCTCCCTTCTTCTTTTGTTTCTTGCTCATAAATTTCCCTTCCTTGACAAGCAGATTTCCTAAACATTACTTGCTATTCAACGACCAGCTCTGGCTTTTTTTTCCTTGTGAAACTGTCTTGGATTACTCATGAAGAATAATGAGCCCTAACACAATGTTAGCTCACAGTTGGCCTTTGATAAATAAGAGATGATAAGGCTCTTACTATCTGGAAGGTAGGATCTGGTTATGCACTAATGAGCTTATGCAAAAAGTGCTGGCTATGACTATCAACTCGCAATTTCCGATATGGAAAAAGTACAAATATCTTTATCTCTTGTAATTAGTGAATTTCTCTTTTTACCACCTCCATCTTACTGGAATGATCAACAGGCATTCCAGTGAGGATTTATGCTGTCTCCTTTCCCACAGTATTGTCCAAATTCCAAGGGACTTGATGCCAAAGCCATAGGAAGAATTTTGGTGGATGTTGGGTCATTACTCAGTGCTCTTGTCAAAGCTTGAGTCTACTGAGATATTCACTGTTCCCCCAAGACACTTGCTCATTCATCCACTTTAGGTGCTTTTCAATACGGCCTTCACAGGTTCATTGCTCTCTCTGTGGTCTTTAGGTCATCCTTGGATATATGGCCACCATTCTGTGTTCCTGAACCATTAAGTATAGGAAATCCAAGTGAAGTTGTTTAAGACGATGCTTGCCTATGTGCAGCATGTGGCTCTTCCTCTCTCAGTGTCTTTATCTTAGAAGGAGTCCTACCGCCTCCCTGTGTCTTCTTCTGGGAAGTGAGTCACAGGTTTCCTGCTCTCTGATCCCGCAGGATTTCTTACTATTTTGCTGTTTTTTTTTTTTTTTTAATGTATGGGACAGGATTCTTTTCCCGTCCTGGGGATTCTATTCCAATCTGTATGGATGAGGATTAAGAGCAGTGAAGGCTGGTCTTACTTTTGATGTTTTCTTGGATTCTCTTGCCTATGCATACATCTTTTATACTCTCCCAAGTACTAATTTTTTTAAAAATACAAAGACTAGAAATAAATTTATTTTTCCCCTACTTCATGCTGTTACATTTTGTAAATAAGGTGAAAATCATAGGTCTTTAAAGTTACCTAAATACTAAGTATGGAGGGCAAGTTTGAGAGGAGGGAGAAATGGTGTGATAATGCATAAAATACTCACAAATACATTAAAAACCCTATTATTTAGTATGCTGAAAATATTATAATACATTATTTTTCACATCTTATACTACTGTAAGTTCCTTGAAGAAGGGGAGCAGTTTTAGTATTGTAGAATCTCCTGTAATGCCCAGGAACATGATGCACATATGGGAGGTGCATTAGTTCGTTCTCACACTGCTATCCAGAACTACCTGAAGCTGAGTAATGTATAAAGAAAAGAGGTTTAATTGACTCCCAGTGCCACAGGCTGTACAGGAAGCTTGGCTGGGGCAGCCTCAGGAAACTTACAATCATAGCAGAAGTGCAAAGGGGAAGCAAGTACGTCTTTACATGGTGGGAGGTGAGAGAGAGTGAACAGGGAAGTGCTACACACTTTCAAACGACCAGATCTCATGGGATCTCACTCACTATCACGAGAACAGCAAAGGGGAAATCTGCCGCCCGTGATCCAATCACCTGCTGCGAAGTCCCTCCTCTGACATTGAGGATTACAATACTACATGAAATTTGGGTGAGGACACAGAACCAAACCATATCAGTAGGGATTTGTTAAATTTTTGCTAAATGATGGATTGATGGTGAGACATTTGTGGTTTAATAAATGTAGTTGTTAGATTACCAGAAGAATTTGCATTTTGTAATCGGACTTGCTTATCTTTCACGATGTTTCTTAACAGAACACAAAGTTATGTAGAACTAAATATCACACCGAGTGTGCTGAACTTGTTTGCTGTTCTGGGAAATTTATAAGCTTCTGAAATATGTATTCTGCTTGCCCTGTGCAGTGAAATTGAGCTTAAGAAACTTTACATGCAAGACCTCTACAATGAAGAAAACTGAAGGAGGGCAGGGCAAAGATGGCCAATTAGAAACAGCGGCAATTGGAGGCTCCCGTCAAAAAGAACCATAATTAGCCTGTGAATTCTTCACTAGCAACCAAGGTATCCAGGTTCTCTCATCAGAACTGACTAGGCAGCTGGCGTGACCCACGGAGAGGAAAGAAGAGCAGTGTGGTGCAGCCTCCCACCTGAAAGCCACATGGTGCAGGGGAACCCCCACCCCCAGCCAATGGAGGTGGTGAGTGAGCATGCTACCCAGCCGGGGAAACCATGCTTCTTCCATGGAACTGTGCAACCAACGGATCAGAAGATCCTGCTTGTGAGCCCACGCCACCAGGGCCTAGAGTCCCAACCCTGGAACCGTGCAGAGTCTCAACAGCCTCTCAGCTGGAATCTGCTTAAGCATATGGAGCTCCCAGCCGGGAGGGGCGACCAACACCAGTTGCAGCTGTGGCTGGCTGCTGTCTAAGCCATTTGAGCTCTTTGAGAAAGGGACAGCAGCCAGCACTGGGGCTCACAACTACCCAACACGCTAAGCTCCCTGGGCGGGGGAAGGGCGGCATCCATCTCTATAGCTCTAGGCCGTGCTTTTCCCCTTCTGGAGCCAGAAAGGCTGGATGGCTTGGTCCTAAGACATGTCCTCCACAGCCCAACACACCAGCTGTGGCAGACTGTGGCCAGAGTGCCTCTTCAGGCCTGACCCTGACCCATCCTTCCTCAATGGGCAGGGCTTCCCCTGCAGGAACTCCGATAAATCCAGCCAGAGGCTCAGGGACAGAACAGGGACCTCCCTGGGCCTGAGCTACCTCGGGGGAGGGGTGGATGCAGTCTCTGCAGACCAGCAGACTTAGCCTTTCCTCCTGGTAGTTCTGAGGAATCCTGGCAGCCCAGATGAGTGGGTTTCCCCCCAGCGAAGCACAACCCCTCCACCATGGGACAACGGGTCCTGTTCCCCGTGCCACCCAACTGAGTGAGACCCTCCAACAGGGGTTGTCAGACAACCTATACAGGAGTATTCCTGCTGTTATCAGATTGGTGCCCCTCGAGATCAGAGATCCTAGAAGAAGCAGCAGGCACCCATCTTCGCTTTCCTCCAAGCTCCTTGAGCCATATCTCCAAATTAGAAAGCTAGAAAGATCTCAAATAAACACCTTAACATCACAATTAAAGAGCTAGAGAGGCAAGAACAAACTAATCCAAAGCTAGCAGAAGACAAGAAATAACTAGGATCAAAGAAGAACTGAAGGAGACAGAGACACGAAAAAGCCTCCAAAAAAAAAAATTAATGGATCCAGAAGGTGATTTTTTTGAAAAAATTAACAAAATAGATAGCCTGCTGGCTGGACTAATAAAGAAGAAAAGTGAGAAGAATCAAATAGACAAAATATAAACTGATAAAGGGAATATCACCACTGACCCCACAGAAATACAAACTACCATTAGAAAATACTATAAACACCTCTATGCAAATAAGCTAGAAAATCTAGAAGAAGTGGATAAATACCTGAACACATACACCCTCCCAAGACTAAACCAGGAAGAAGTCAAATCCTTGAATAGACCAATAACACGTTCTGAAATTGAGTCAGTAATTAATAACCTACCAACAAAAAAAGCCCAAGACCAGAGGGACTCACAGTTGAATTATACCAGAGGTACAAAGAGGAGCTGGTACCATTCCTTCTGAAACCATTTCAAATGATTGAAAAGGACAGACTCCTCCCTAGCTCATTTTATGAAACCAGCATCATCCTGATACCCAAACCAGGAAGAGACACAATAAAAAAAGAAAACTTGAGGCCAATATCCCTGATGAACATCAAAAATAAAAAAATACTGGCAAACTGAATCCAGCAGCACATCAAAAAACGTATCCATCATGATCAAATTGCCTTCATCCCTGGGATGCATAGCTCGTTCAAAATACACAAATCAATAAACATAATCCATAACATAAACAGAACCAAAGACAAAAACCACATGATTATCTCAATAGATGGAGAAAAGGCCTTTGATAAAATTCAACATCCTTCATGTTAAAAACTCTCAATAAACTAGGTATTGATGGAACATATCTCAAAATAATAAGAGCTATATATGACAAACCCACAGCCAATATCATATTGAATGGGCAAAAACTGGAAGCATTCCCTTCAAAAACTGGTAGAAGACAAGGATGCCTTCTCTCATCACTCCTATTTAACATAGTATTGGATGTTCTGGCTAGGGCAATCAGGCAAGAGAAAGAAATATAGGGTATTCAAATAGGAAGAAAGGAAGTCAAATTGTCTGTTTGTAGATGACATAATTTTATATTTAGAAAACCCCATCATCTCAGCCCCAAAACCACCTGAACTGGTAAGCAACTTCAGCGAAGTCTCAGGATATAAAATCAATCTGCAAAATCACAAGCATTCCTTTAGCTTACCAATAAACAATCAGAGAGCCAAACCATGAATGAACTCCCATTCACAATTACGACAAACAGAATAAAATACCTAGGAATACAGCTAACAAGTGATGTGAAGGACCTTTTCAAGGAGAACTACAAACCACTGCTCAAGGAAATAGGACACAAACAAATGGAAAAACATTCCATCTTCATGTATAGTAAGAATCAATATCATGAAAATGGCCATACTGCCCAAAGTAGTTTATGGATTCAATGCAATTCCCATCAAATTAGCATTGACATTTTCCACAGAATTAGAAAAAACTAATTCAAATTTTATGTAGAATCAAAGAAGACCCCGCATAGCCAAGACAATCCTAAGCAAAAAGAACAAAGCTGCAGGCGTTATGCTACCTGACTTCAAACTACACTACAAGGCTCCAATAAAAAAAACAGCATGATACTGGTACCAAAACAGACATAAAGACCAATGGAACAGAACAGAGGCCTTAGAAATAACACCAAAAATCTACAGTCATCTGATCTTCAACAAACCTGAACAAAACAAGCAATGGTGAAAGGTGAAATGGTGAAATAAACGGTGCTGGGAAAACTGGCTAGCCATATGCAGAAAACTGAAACTGGACCCCTTTCTTACACCTTATACAAAAACCAACTCAAGATGAATTAAAGACTTACATGTAAAACTCAAAACCATAAAACCCTAGAAAAAATCCTAGGCAATACCATTCAGGATATAGGGATGGGCAAAGACTTCATGATGAAAATACCAAAAGCAATTGCAAAAAAGCCAAAATTGACAAATGGGATCTAATTAAACTAAAGAGCTTCTACGCAGCAAAAGAAACTATCATCGGAGTGAACAGGCAACCTACAGAATGGGAGATAATTTTTGCAATCTACCCATCTGACGAAGGTCTAATATCCAGAATTTACAAGGAACTTAAACAAATTTATAAGAAAAAAAAAACAGCCCCTTCAAAAAGTAGGCAAAATATATGAATAGACACTTCTCAAAAGAAGACATTTACATGGCCAGCAAACACATGAAAAAAAACCTGAACATTACTGATCATTAGAGCAATGCAAATCAAAAACGGAGGAATATTAATGGAAATGAAAGGTAAAAATTTGAGTAGCCTCTAGCTGTGATAAAGCAATAAAATATACTTAGGACTTACATGCAAACTTTGTATACATGAATTCTCAACACTTTGAATTACTAACAAACAATTTTTCATAGGTTTGAGAAACTCTTCCTTAATATATAAAAACAAATTTGCTGCAGATAATCATTATGGAGATTCCACTCCCCAAACTGTGAAATCAGATGTATTCACACCACAGATAATTAGGCAAGGTGGAAATAGATATTTTGTCTCTTCAGCAATCTTGAATGTTACTTTTTGGGGCAATCATGATGTAGTGATTATGCAGACTTTAATGAGAGGAATGCCTCTGACATTAGCTAAAATCTCCCCTAATGTTGGTGTCTGTTTAATTACCAACAATGAACAGCAAGGTAGCCTCTAGATATTTAATAAAGTTGTTGGATTTTAAAATGCTAACATGCTTTTCATAGGGTTCTTTGATAATGCTGGTTGCTTATTTTAATTATGTCAACCTCACTTCTAAGCAAGGACTAATTTGTACGTTTGATTCCTGTATTGACGACTTAGGTAAACTGTGTTCTATAGCCAGAGGGCACACAATTAAACACTAGCAACCAGCTCACTTAGTCCTGCTATAGGCAATCAGCAGCACACAAAAGAACACAGAAAAAGCAGGCAAATCTACCTTCCCTCTGCTGAAACAATCCTAGATGCAAGTGTAGGGGTGGTGGGTTGTTAGGACCTTTATATAGGAAGGATAATCTGTATTTATATTAAATAATTGTAAGTCACTAGTGCATGCATGCAACAGTTCAGTCCTTAATCCAAGACACACAGTCATTCATACGATTTGTACCAAATCACGAATTTCTAAAAGTAAAAACTAAGATGCTTAATGCTGCAGAGATTATCCTTTATAAGAGATATTCATATCTGTGCTATTCCCTCATGACATATCTCATTTTATTTTGCATTTTGTACATTTTATTTTTTTGCTCACCATAGCTTCTGAAAGTTTAGCACTCTTTGCGTATATCTTCAATAATAGACCCCAAATTTAAAAGTGTTATAATGCTACCTAACTCATATCAAAAATACACATCAAAGGAAAAATATCAAAAGTATTTTCATGAACAGCTATAGATTTAAGAAAATAAAGATGAGTAAATGTATGAATGCTTTACAGACATTATTCCATTTAATTCTCAACCTTGTGCTAGGAGTTCAGAGAAGTTTAGGTAGCACAGTATCTTCATATGTCCTCATGATTTCCAGCAAGAGTTTGTGAAGAAAATATCTGTGAGAATGAAGTTTAGTTATCATATCTGTGACAATACCCACCTATTTGTATCACCTTTTAGATTAAATAAGATGATGCATGCGATGGGTGGAGCTTGTAGTCTATACATAACCATTAACCCTGGAAATGTTAGTGCTTTGTCTTCTTTTTCTTTGTTATCTTATTCTTTGGGATGCTCCTCTTTTATTACTAGTTTTTAAGAATGAATTTCCTGCCTTCACCATCCCTGCCAGGAAGACTTTTCCTACCTCTTTCCCAGCAAATTATTGTCTTTTTCTTTGGTTCCTGTCAAAGGTGATGCATGTCATAGTCCAAGAAGAAGGTTTGCCAGGAATGGCTTGATCCAAGTATTTGTATTGGGCCTCTAAAATATGGTCTTCCTCTTTTACAATTTAACCAATAAGATAATCTAAACCAAGAATAGTTCTCATACTCTGCATTGTCCTATGCTGTGCAGTAATTCTCTTTTCCTCTTTTTATTTTTATTTTTTGGAATAGGGAATAAGCCCACTGATTTTCCCTTCCCTTAGGTCAGTGGTCCTTAAACTGGTTTGAGAACCTCTTTCTGCTCTTTAAAATTATTAAAGACTACAAAGAGCTCTTTTTTTAAATGCAGGTTATATCTATTGACTGTTACCATATTAGAAATTAAAATAAAAACATTTAAAAATATATTTTATTAAAAAATAATAATCTCATTACATAGCATATATATCATATTTTTATGAAAAATTAACTATTTTCAAAAACAAAAAATTGTGAAAAAATGCCATTTTTTACATATTTCAAATCCATTTAATGGCTGATTTAATAGATAGAAGTCAACATCTCATTCTTATATCTGCCTCTTTTTTTTTTAATTATACTTTAAGTTGTAGGGTACATGTGCACAATGTGCACATTTGTTACATAGGTATACATTTGCCATGTTGGTTTGCTGCACCCATCAACTCATCATTTACATTAAGTATTTCTCCTAATGCTATCTCTCTTCCAGCCCCCCACCCCCAGACAAGCCTTAGCGTGTGATGTTCCCCACCCTGTGTCCATGTGTTCTCATTGTTCAACTCCCACCTATGAGTGAGAACATGTGGTGTTTGGTTTTCTGTCCTTGTGATAGTTTGCTGAGACTGATGGTTTCCAGCTTCATCCATTTCCCTGCAAAGGACATGAACTCATCCTTTTTTATGGCTGCATATGGTGTATATGTACGACATTTTCTTAATCCAGTTTATCATTGATAGATATTTGGGTTGGTTCCAAGTCTTTGTTATTGTAAATAGTGCTGCAATAAATATACGTGTGCATGTATCTTTATAGTTGTATGATTTATAATCCTTTGGGTATATCCAGTAATGGGATGCCTGGGTCTAATGGTATTTCTAGTTCTAGATCCTTGAGGAATTGCCACACTGTCTTCCACAATGGTTGAACTAGTTTATACTCCCACCAACAGTGTAAAAGTGTTCCTATTTCTCCACATCCTCTCCAGCATCTGTTGTTTCCTGACTTTTTAATGATTGCCATTCTAACTGGTGTGAGATGGTATCTCATTGTGGTTTTGATTTGCGTTTCTCTGATGGCCAGTGATGATGAGCATTTTTTCATATGTCTGTTGGCTGCATAAATGTCTTCTTTTGAGAAGTGTCTGTTCATATCCTTCACCCACTTTTTGATGGGGTTGTTTATTTTTTTTCTTGTAAATTTGTTTAAGTTCTTTGTAGATTCTGAATATTAGCCCTTTGTCAGATGGGTAGATTGCAAAGATTTTCTCCCATTCTCCAGGCTGCCTGTTCACTCTGATGATAGTTTCTTTTGCTGTGCAGAAGCTCTTTATTTTAATTAGATCCCATTTGTCTATTTTGGCTTTTGTTGTCATTTCTTTTGGTGTTTTAGTCATGAAGTCTTTGCCCATGCCTATGTCCTGAATGATATTGCCTAGGTTTTCTTCTGGGGTGTTTATGGTATTAGGTCTTACATTTAAGTCTTTAATCCATCTTGAGTTAATTTTTGTATATGGTGTAAGGAAGGGATCCAGTTTCAGCTTTCTACATATGGCTGGCCAGTTTTCCCAGCACTATTTATTAAATAGGGAATCCTTTCCCAATTTCTTGTTTTTGTCAGTTTTGTCAAAGATCAGATGGTTGTAGAAGTGTGGTGTTATTTCTGAGGCCTCTGTTCTGTTCCATTGGTCCATATATCTGTTTTGGTACCAGTACCATGCTGTTTTGGTTACTGTAGCCTTGTAGCATAGTTTGAAGTCAGGTAGCATGATGCCTATAGCTTTGTCCTTTTTGCTTAGGATTGTCTTGGGTATGCAGTTCTTTTTTTGGTTCCATATGAACTTTAAAGTAGTTTATTCCAATTCTGGAAAGAAAGTCATTTGGAGCTTGATGGGGATAGCATTGAATCTATAAATTACCTTGGGCAGTATGGTCATTTTCATGATACTGATTCTTCCTATCCATGATCATGGAAAGTTCTTCCATTTGTTTGTGTCCTCTTTTATTTTGTTGAGCAGTGATGTATAGTTCTCCTTGAAGAGGTCCTTCACATCCCTTGTAAGTTGGATTCCAAGGTATTTTATTCTCTTTGTAGTAATTGTGAATGGGAGTTCACTCATGATTTGGCTCTCTGTTTGTCTTTAATTGGTGTATAGGAATGCTTGTGATTTTTGCACACTGATTTTGTATCCTGAGACTGCTGAAGTTGCTTATCAGCTTAAGGAAATTTTGGGCTGAGATGATGGGGTTTTCTAAATATACAATTATGTCATCTGGAAACAGAGACAATCTGAATTCCTCTTTTCCTAATTGATCACCTTTTATTTCTTTCTCTTGCCTGATTGCCCTGGACAGAACTTCCAATCCTATGTTGAATAGGAGGGTGAGAGAGGGCATGCTTGTCTTGTGCTGCTTTTCAAAGGGAATGCTTCCAGTTTTTGCCCATTCAGTATGATATTGGCCGTGGGTTTCTCAAAAATAACTTTTACTATTTTGAGATACGTTCCATCAATACCTAGTTTATTCAGAGTTTTAAGCAAGAAGGCTGTCGAATTTTGTCGAAGGCCTTTTCTCCATCTATTGAGATAATAATGTTGTTTTTGTCATTGGTTCTGTTTATGTGATGGATTACATTTATTGATTTGTGTATGAGGAACCAGCCTTGCATCCCAGGGATGAAGCCAACTTGATCATCGTGGATAAGCTTTTTGATGTGCTGCTGTATTTGGTTTGCCAGTATTTTATTGATGATTTTTGCATTGATGTTCTTCAGGGATATTGACCTAAAATTACCTTTGTGTGTGTGTGTGTGTGTGTGTGTGTGTGTGTGTGTCTCTACCACGCTTTGGTATCAGGATGATGCTCGTCTCATAAAATGAGTTAGGGAGGATTCCCTCTTTTTCTATTGATTAAAATAGTTTCAGAAGTAATGGTACCAGCTCTTCTTTGTACCTGTGGCAGAATTTGGCTGTGAATATGTCTGGTCCTGGACTTTTTTTGGTTGGTAGGCTATTAATTATTGCCTCAATTTCAGAGCCTGTTATTGGTCTATTCAGAGATCCAACTTTTTCCTGGTTTAGTCTTGGGAGGGTGTATGTGTCCAGGAATTTATCCATTTCTTCTAGATTTTCTAGTTTATTTGCATAGAGATGGTTATAGTATTCTCTGATGGTAGTTTGTATTTCTGTGGGATAGATGGTGATATCCCCTTTATCATTTTTTATTGTATCTATTTGATTCTTCTCTCTTTTCTTCTTTGTTAGTCTGGCCAGTGGTCTATCTATTTTGTTGATCTTTTCAAAAAACCAGCTCCTGGATTCACTGATTTTTTTTTGAAGGGTTTTTTGTGTCTCTATCTCCTTCATTTCTGCTCTGATCTTAGTTATTTCTTGCCTTCTGCTAGCTTTTGAATTTGTTTGCTCTTGCTTCTCTAGTTCTTTTAATTGTGATGTTAGGGTGTCAATTTTAGATCTTTCCTGCTTTCTCTTGTGGGCATTTAGTGCTATAAGTTTCCTGCAACACACTGCTTTAAATGTGTCCGAGAGATTCCGGTATGTTGTGCCTTTGTTCTCATTGGTTTTAAAGAACATTTTTATTTCTGCCTTCATTTCGTTATTTAGCCAGTAGTCATTCAGGAGCAGGTTGTTCAGTTTCCATGTAGTTGTGTGGTTTTGAGTGAGTTTCTTAATCCTGAGTTCTAATTTGATTGCACTGTGGTCTGAGAGACAGTTTGTTGTGATTTCTGTTCTTTTACATTTGTTGAAGAGTATTTTACTACCAATTATGTGGTCAATTTTAGAATAAGTGTGATGTGGTGCTGAGAAGAATGTATATGAATGTATATTCAGTTGATTTGGGGTGGAGAGTTCTGTAGATGACTATTAGATCCACTTGGTCCAAAGCTGAGTTCAAGTCCTGGATATCCTTGTTAACCTTCTGTCTCGTTGATCTGTGTAATATTGACAGTGGGGTGTTAAAGTCTCCCATTATTGTTTTGTGGGAGTCTAAGTTTCTTTGTAGGTCTCTAAGGACTTGCTTTATGAATCTGGTTGCTCCTGTATTGGGTGCATATATATTTAGGATAGTTAGCTATTCTTCTTGAATTGATCCCTTTACCTTTATGTAGTGGCCTTCTTTGTCTCTTTTGATCTTTGTTGGTTTAAAGTCTGTTTTATCAGAGACTAGGATTGCAACTCCTGCTTTTTTTTTTTTTTTTTTTTTTTGCTTTCCATCTGCTTGGTAGATCTTCCTCCATCTCTTTATTTTGAGCCTATGTGCATCTTTGCAGGTGAGATGAGTCTCTTGAATACAGCACACCGATGGATCTTGACCCTTTATCCAATTTGCCAGTCTGTGTCTTTTAATTGGGGCATTTAGCCCATTTACATTTAAGGTTAATATTATTACGTGTGAATTTCATCCTGTCATTATGATGTTAGTTGGTTACTATGCCTGTTAATTGATGCAGTTTCTTCATAGCATCAATGGTTTTTACCATTTGGCCTGTTTTTGCATTGGCTGGTACCAGTTGTTCCATTCCATGTTTAGTGCGTCCTTCAGGAGCTCTTGTAAGGCAGGCCTGGTGGTGACAAGGTCTCTCAGCATTTGTTTGTCTGTAACGGATTTTATTTCTCCTTCACTTATGAAGCTTAGTTTGGTTGGATATGAGATTCTGGGTTGAAAATTCTTTCCTTTAAGAATGTTGAATATTGGCCCCCACTCTCTTCTGGCTTGTAGAGTTTCTGCCAGAAACTGTTAGTCTGATGGGCTTCCCTTTGTGGGTAACCCGACCTTTCTCTCTGGCTGCCTTAACATTTTTTCCTTCATTTTGACCTTGGTGAATCTGACAATTATGTGTTTTGGGGTTGCTCTTCTCGAGGAGTATCTTTGTGGTGTTCTCTGTATTTCCTGAATTTGAATGTTGGCTTGCCTTGCTAGGTTAGGGAAATTCTCCTGGATAATATCCTGAAGAGTGTTTTCTAACTTGATTCCATTCTCCCAGTCACTTTCTGGTACACCAATCAAACATATATTTGGTCTTTTCACATAGTCCCATATTTCTTGGAGGTTTTGTTCATTTCTTTTCACTCTTTGTTTTCTAATCTTATTTTCTCACTTTATTTCATAAATTTGATCTTCAATCACTGATATCTTTTGTTCCACTTGATCAAATCGACTGTTGAAGCTTGTGCATGCATCTTGAAGTTCTTGTGCCATGGTTGTCATCTCCATCAGGTCATTTAAGGTCTCCTCTACACTGTTTATTCTAGTTAGCCATTTGTCTAACCTTTTTTCAAGGTTTTTAGCTTCCTTGCGATGGGTTAGAACATGCTCCTTTAGCTCGGAGAAGTTTGTTATTACTGACTTTCTGAAGCCTACCTCTGTCAACTCGTCAAACTCATTCTCTGTCCAGTTTTGTTCCCTTGCTGTGAGGAGCTGAGATCCTTTGGAGAAGAGGAGCTCTGGTTTTTGGAATTTTCAGCTTTTCTTCTCTGGCTTTTCCCCATTTTTGTGGTTTTATCTACCTTTCATCTTTAATGTTGGTGACCTACAGTTGGGGTTTTGGTGTAGATGAACTTTTTGTTGATGTTGATGTTATTGCTTTCTGTTTGTTAGTTTTCCTTCTAACAGTCAGACCCCTCAGCTTCAGGTCTGTTGGTTTTGCTAGAGGTCCACTCCCAATGCTGTTTGCCTGGGTATCACCAGCAGAGACTGCAGAACAGCAAATATTGCAGAACAGCAAATATTGCTGACTGATCCTTCCTCTGGAAGCTTTGTCCCAGAGGGGCGTCCACCTGTGTGAGGTGTCTGTCGGCCCCTACTGGGAGATGTTTCCCAGTCAGGCTACATGGGGCTCAGGGACTTGCTTGAGGAGGCAGTTTGTCTGTTTCAGGGCTTGAACACCATGCTGAGAGAACCACTGCTCTCTTCAGAGCTGTTAGACAGGGACGTTTAAGTCTGAAGAAGCTGTCTGTTGCCTTTTGTTCTACTGTGCCCTGCCTTCAGAGGTGGAATCTATAGAGGCAGTAGGCCTTGACGGGCTGCAGTGGGCTCCACCCAGTTCCTGCTTCTGGGCCTCTTTGTTTACACTGTGTGCTACTGAAGCCTCAGCAATGGGATGCCCCTCCCCCAGTTAAGCTGCAGTGCCGCAGGTCAATCTCAGACTGCTGCGCTAGCAGTGAGCAAGGCTCTGTGGGTATGGGACCCACCGAGCCAGGCATGGGACGGTGTCTCTTGGTCTGCTGGTTGCTAAGACTGTAGAAAAAGCACAGTATTTGGTCAGGAGTGTATCATTTCTCCAGGTATAGTCCGTCACAGCTTCCCTTGGCTAGGAAAGGGAAGTTCCCCAACCCCTTGCACTTCCTGGGTGAGGCAACACCCCTGCCCTGCTTCGGCTCACCCTCTGTGGGCTGCACCCACTGTCCAACCAGTCCTAATGAGATGAACTAGGTACCTCAGTTGGAAATGCAGAAATCACCCATCTTCTGCATTGATCTCACTGGGAGCTGCAGACCAGAGCTGCTCCTATTCAGCCATCTTGGAAGGGACCCCTTGCCTCTGCTTTTAATGTGGTGGATTATGTTACTTAGGTGAAGTATATGAAGAAAATTTGGTCTCATGTAGATGTATATTTGAAGAAAGGAGGAATATTTTCATGCATTTTCAAATAATTGTAGATAATCTTCTTTGATATAACACTGAAATTTTGCAAGTTGCAGTTTCCTGTAGGTTAGTTGAAGTGTGGCATCCGAAATGCTAAAAATGTACTCTTCATCCTCTATTAAATCACAATCCATCCACTAGTCTATCCTGTACTTTGAATGGATCATCCATTGATCATTTTTTCTTAATGTTGACATACTTCATTATACAAAAAACCCCACATTTCTTAACATTACCACTGATATCCTCAGAAAAGTCTTAAGTGTTGGGAAGCTGTCAAGCTCAGAGTGCATAAAAAGTTCTTCAAAATTATAATAGTCACTTGAAAGTAAAAGTTTTCTCATTGGAAATACATAGTGTCAGTTGTTTTCCTTGACACGAAAAGCTTACTTCATTTATTTGATTGCCAAATGCACAAATCTGAATAACTGTAGTTGTCTGTCAGTTGTTCTTTCAAGTAGAAATAATTTTACATGAAATAATCAACAAGAACAGCTCACAGCTCTCTCACACCAGTGCTTTTACTTGAGACCGCCATTGTACTTAAAAAGGCAGTATAAACACTTTATGTGTACTTCTCATTTCATCACACAAATAAGTATGAAAAAATATGAATTTTTTTCATACAAAAACATATGAAAAACATGAAAAAATATGTATTCAAGGGTCAGGCTTTGAAATTAATTGTTAGTGCTCAATCAAGGGAATTCTTAAGTGAAACTGGCATTTATTCTTATTTATTTCTTTCTGCAACTGTCTGACAGAGAAGAATATCATGCCTACTAGGACAGCTAGTACCACGGACTTGATTCTTGCTCAGGCTGCAGCTGTTTTACCTAGTATGGCTTCTGTATCATCAATACATAATCAACACAATGTCACAGACAAGTAACTTCTTAGTATTATTATGAAAATCATTTTGATCTTATAGCCCCTCTGAAGGGGTCTCTGGAACCCTGAGGAGTACATGGACCAAACTTGGACCCCATGCTTTCGTCCTCTGGAATAAAAAAGATTCTTTAACTAAAAGTGGTAGCATCTTGTAGCTGGGTGTCTGTGTTCTAATATAAAGACCATATGAGATTATTAGACTATTCAATACTGAGTGCTCTTGGAGAAATAAAATACAACTGTAGTCTCAATAGCTAAGAAAAGTGCTTGGATGGACTGGATCTTCAATAACTTCAAGATTTGGATTGTGTCAAAAGCTATGGGTACATAGCTTTCTTATTAGCTTAAGTCTTCCCACACCATGCCATTCTCTGTTTATTATTCAAGCTAATTGGAAAACACAGTACTAGCAGTAGCTTTAGGTAACATCTTTATGATCTTCTTCTGGGTAGGATTTATACTCCTTGGTGCAGTGGATGTCATGGAAACCACTGTTTAAAGGTGTAGAGGAAATACTGTGCCCCCCACACACTGCTTAATCCTGCAGAAGGGGTTCCCCAGCAGGATCCAGCCCTTTCTCATTCTATCTTTCTCTCAGTATCTCCTCCAGAATCAATCTCATTATTTACTTTTTGCTCATGCCAGCGATTATTTACTTGGAAACTATTCATCTTTGCATTTTACATTTTTTTGCAGATATAGTTGAAAATATACCCTTTTAACAGAATTGTTGCCTCATCTCCTACTGATAATGATGCATAATGATAGGAGCTTGGTTCAGTGAGAAACTGTTCTGATAGGGACAGACAGAGCTCATCTCAGCATGCTGCACTGCCACTGCAGTTCTCATGGATCTCTGGGATCCAACCTTAGGCTTTGGCTTTCTGATCTGTAGATACAAAAAGCCACATAGGGAATACAGACCTGCAGTAACTTCTGCGTTGCTTAAAAAAAGCTGAATCAGTACCTACCTAGACACTTATTACACGTTTAAAGAGTTAACATGCCAAAAATATTATGCGCAGCTACTTTGCTATGTTCCAGAAAAAAAAGAACTCATTTTCCCACCTCTCTCTAGTCTCTTAGGAAAAACACCAGCCTTGAGCACTGTTTTATTATTGACTTATATGGAGCCAGGTATTCTCCATCACTCCTGGAGTCCAGATGGTTTTGTGGTCCTTGTCCCCATAATATACCCATCAACCCAACCAAACAGCCAACACACAAATCTTCTGGAGCATCTAATGTGTACAAGATAATAAGCTGAGATGAGCTAGACTCTGGTTTAAAGACTGTATTTGAAACTATGCACAATTTCCTATATTTTTTCCTGCTCCAGGAAATCATAATTTTATGAATCAGTCATAATTTAAAAACTGGAGCTTTTTTCCTGAGAAGATAAACTCCAAGAGATGATGTCTATTTAGCTCATGAATATAGAACAGCACAGAAATGGATTATAGTGGCTGCAAAGGAGGAAACAGAACTCATTTTGATAGATTTGTGTCATCCATGCCTTTCTCACACCAGAGCAAATTGACCTCAAAGCTGTAGGTGGAATTTCTTCTCCAGACACTTGAGATGTAGGGCAGTCTTGCAGAGTGGATGGAGCAGAAGATGGTGCCTGATTTCTACACACTCCACATAGTTCCATCCTCTTACTGAAAAGCTCTAACATTCTGAAGGAGCCGAATTCTCAGAATCCTCTAATGGATACCACTTGAATTCTTGAAGATTTAAGAGGGAAAGCCCCTCAGCTTTACAGATATTCATTGTCTGTGGAGGCTAGAGTTACAACTTTTCAATCCACTCTAAAAGCAAAGCAGAAAGCAATTACAGCAAGGTCACACAAGTCAGTGACCAGGTGACTGGCCACTCCCTAAAAGAAGATCCTAACTTTGGTCTCACCCCTTTCAGGGTTAAACAGTCTTGCTGTTTTGTAGGTATTCGTGAACACATCAAGTTGTATTTAACTTACTTAAGGGATTTCTCTTAGAATCTTCCAGTGTCACTTGGAAATAATTCTATACATAAAAATACATGTATATTTGGTATTCCTGGGTTACAATGTCAGTTCCCATTTCAAGTGCATTCTTTTCTCTAATTGAATCTAAGAATTTTATTAAAAATCAAGATTTTAGCCAAGTGCAGTGGCTTACACCTGTAATCTCAGCACTTTGGGAGGCCAAGGCAGGAGGATTAGTTGAGGCCAGGAGTTTGAGACCAGCCTAGGCACCTGCAACTACAAAAAAAATTTAAAAATTAGCCAGGCACAGGGGTGTGCACCTGTAGTCCCAGCTACTTGGGAGGCTGAGGCAGGAAGATCCCTGGAGCCCAGGAGTTGGAGGCTCCAGTGAGCCATGATTATGCCACTGCATTACAGACTGGACAGCCCAGTGAAACCTTGTCTCAAAAAAAAAAAAAAAAAGATCCTCCTGCAGCTATTCTGATTTAGAAAGATTAGCGGTAGAGGCAATGAGTTATAAGATGAGTTCCTGGCGAGGGATTTTCGAAATCTGACCTGCAGAAAGCCAACTGGACAGTTAAGAATGGTCACATGAACTTGATCACCATCAAGGTGCATGCCACCTTTGATATTATCATTGGCTATGAATCTCCAGTTCAAGTTTTATGCTTCTTCTGTCCTGGAGTCTGATGTTTCTTCTGCTGTTCAGAGGAGATTTATGATTTTGATGGCAAAACTCAAGCAATTTTCGTTATTTCTCATAATCCCTGGGCCCAGAGCAGAGCCCTTCTTAGAGTAGCACTCACTAAATGAGTAAAGATAGCAAAAAGAGTGACACTGATTTCAATTGAATCAATTATTCCTTTGATCAAAAATATTGGCAAGTTTCTGGCACTGTCAAAATCTGCTAGGCCTGCCAGGCAGTGAAAGAAGGAAGACTTGGAATTGTCATTATTCAAGTGGAATTTGAGGTGAAAATTCAGAGAAACAGCTCCAGTGAAAAATCTTGCAACAGAACTCCATCCAAATATATTAAAAGACATCAAAAAGAAAGTGTTTTCTCTTGTGATTTTTCTTTCACTGCTAACTGAACACTTGTAAAATTGATGATGATGTGTCTTACCAGCCACCTAGAATGCTCTGTACACTGGAGAAAACAAAATTATTTTAATATTTTTGAAGGTTTCTTTACTTTGTAAGATGTGCCTGGGGAGCTTATTAAGTTCATTAGAAAACTGGAAGAAATGTAAAAGTACTTCTAAGGGCTCTTTTCTTCCTATCTCAAACTACTTTTGCATTTTTAGATAGGAGCATGAATAGATAAAAGGAGAGCTTAGCTAAAACAAATAAAAATTGATATGTATTTTTTAAGGAGCATGTGAGGAGGAAATGAGCCTATTTATTAATTTCCCTATAGCTGCACTCATCCTACCATAGGGCCCATACTCAATCCTGACTTGCAGTAGGAGCTTCTTAAGGAAAAAACAGTCATCTATATTGAGGTTTAGCCTCTTTCCCTGTATTGCTGGAAAATCCTTATTGTTAATTTTATGTCAATAATAATTGTATCTTATTATGAATAGTAAGATTTAATAACTTTCATTGTTTCATATGCTTGGCAAAGCACACAGGCATTTGTTTACTGAATTCTCACAACATCCCATGAAGTCAGCACTAACAATATATGCCCATTATCGTAATCAAGAATATTAAAAAAGACTATCTCCCAAATATCTCCTTGACTCAGCTAGTCAGGGTCAAAGCAGTGAGCCTAAGAATGGAGAACCCCTGCCTTGCATCTAGGCTGGGAAATTTTGACAGAGACAGGGTTGGGTCCCTGAGGTTCCAGTTATGAGTTCAAGAAGGTTTTCTTCATTAATATGCAGTAGAGATAGGTTTAGGGGAGGTAAAACAAGACAGAAGCTTTTTGTTTTCTCTTTTCCTGTTGTTATATAAGGCTATATTTTTATTCAAAATCAAATAAGATATTGCATAAAGGCCACATCTTTGCTGGGCCTTCTATGACCACAAGGCACTGTGGCCACGTCCCTAGCAACTTGCCTGACTCATTTGGCAGGCCAGTTTCCATTTGACTCATCCTGATTATCTCTAACACTAACAAATGAGACATTTCCTGGCTGCAAATCAAAGTATCTCCTTTGGGTGATAAAATTAAACCACAGACTTGGTGATGCAGCTGGATCTCTGGACTCAAATATTTCCTTGTGGTTTCTAGCAGACCTCAAATTGGATTCCACTTCTAGAACTTACATCCTGAGGTAGAAAGGTCTAGGAATGTGTCTTCAACTGGCAAGTCCCTGTGATTATTTCTGGCAGCAAAGGAGGATATAGATATTAGCAGGGAGCTGAGATAAGTATCACTTACCCTTTGGATTCACCTTATACTTGACCTGGAGGAGATGTTTTTCCCAGCTGAAGTTTAAATGAATATGTAGGCATTTTGAAGGGCTTTCTTCCTTGAGGTTGCTTCCAGAGAATCAAAATCTTGTTAGAATTATTCTGGGCATTGATTCAAAGTATGAGAGGCTAAAATATTGCCAACACGGTAATTTACACAATATAATAGCAGGGGAAAATAAATTATCCACAACTTACAGCAATGCCCTGTGAGCAGAAAGCCTCTTGGAGCACACAAAAATTATATCTGCAATATATCAGCAACATAAAGCTCAAGATTATAAGAATAAGATTCAAGTTCTTGAAAAATTAGTGAAAATTCCATTTCACCATCACTTTAGAAATTGAACAGTAATAATAAATGGGCACAGCCAGTGCTGAGGCATGACTGATTGAATTACATATTCCATCCTATTTGTTATTCAGCACCTCATATCCTCAGAGGACTTTGTTCTCATGCTTCAAGTATGGAAACTTGGTATTATTCCCATTTTGTTTACAAGGAAATGGAAACACTGGAAAGTGTGTTTCCTTTAAGGTCACTTTATTGATCTGAGAAAAAACTGTAATGGAATTGGAAGCTATCAAATCCCTATGTCCTGGGGCTGTCATGGACTGTAGCTTAAGCCAGAATTTCAGAGCCAGGGAAGATCAAAGAATAAAGACAACTGTATGTGCTGGGGATTCAGACCTCTGGTGATCTTTTCATTGAAATCACTGTTCTTCTTATCAACCTTTTGTTTTCTGGGTCTTTACATAAAAGTTTCCCTTTGCTGTGTAGCTTCTTTGTCATCACTGTTGGGAGCAGAATATTCCCTTGCTGTGCTCTACATTATGTTCCTGTCTATTCCTAAGAAGGTTTTACTTGAGAATATAGCTTAGAATGATTAAGCAATATGATCCTCAGCTGAATAATATGTGAAAAGGGCAATTACATGAGACTTTTATGTAATATCCAGAGAACAAGAAAAAGAGAGTTAACAGAATAAAGAAGGCAAAGAAGAAAGAGCAAATTGTATAATCTTACGAATAGAGAGAGTGGACGGGGGGAAATATTTTGGTGCAGGAAGATTTCACAACTGATAAGAGATGGAATTCATTGTGGATTCTCTCTCCCTTTGTTATCCGTGTTGAGTCATCAAATCCAATGTCCACACCTCTTCCTCTCTTTCTGTAGCTTTGCCTCTGGGCTATGTGAAAAGTAATACATGTCATCTATGTTTCAGGTATCAAAGGGGACTTGGTCAGAGAGCTAAATAAGTTTCTTTTTTCCTCCACTTAACTTCCTGCAGCAGCCTCTTAAATGCCTTTCCATTGGTGGTTACTCTCCATTCCAGTTCTAGCTGTGTGCCACTCCTCTGGCTTAGTCATTTTAACCAAAATTTCCATCAGGTTACTTCCTGGCTGAAACCTTTGCTCATCCTCTCTTTACCTTATCCCCCAATTAAAAGTCAGCTGATTAAAGCTCGAATTCCCACATCTCTTCATCATCTGGACCAGCATTATCTTTCTATGTTAAGCCTTGCATAGCCTCTTTCAGTTTCCTATTGCTATTCACATTAAAGTAAAACGTTAGTTGCTCTCTGAGCATATCTCAAAGTTTTCTGCATCCACTTTGTTATCCATTATCTTTCTTCTGTGGAGAATGCTATCCATTTCTTCCCTGATCCATCTCTGCATCTGTTGACCTCCTACTTGTCCTTCAAGGCTTGCCTTCAAAGGTACCTCTCGACTGTCTATTTCTGTACTTATTAAAGATCATCTTGTATTATGGTGTTTTTCTGATCCATCCCCCCTGCTGTATTACAAGTTTGCTAAGGTTAAAAACTGTGTCTTAGTTATCATTGGATTTTCCGTCCTTTCTCCTCCAGCCAGGACCTGGCACAATGCTGTGCTCATAGAAACAACTAAATGAATGAATAACAAATAAATTAATGGCCAAATGAAAGAGCAAGTGATATATGAGCTCTAGAGAAATTAAGAGACACAGAATAAAATCTCTGTACTTTAAAAAGATAAAATTTGGAAAAGATATATAGCCCATATATTTGAAATATAAAAAGTTACGCTTGTTTATATTAAGGGTTACATGAGTTTATGAGTTCTCTAGAACAAATGTACTGCAAAGTGCAGCTGGAAAAGGAGATTACTCTGGACTGAGATCAATGACTTCTTAGAGAAGCTGGGACTTGAGCCGAGTCAGATGCATGCATATAACTAAGCTAGACATAGAAGAAACTATGTTTATTTTACTATAATTTTCTGTACTACTTATTATAATTAATTGTGTATGTACTTGTTCATGAAACTAGACTATTAGAAATTTGAAGAAAAGGCACTTTTTTGTTGTTGTTTTCCAGTAATATGTGCATCTCCTGCAGTTATTACCACGTGCCTGGCATATAGAACATGCTTAATAAAAGTGTGGTAATTGAGAGTGTTGAACATTTCAGGCAAAACAAATAGGGTAAGCAAAATAACAGAGATTGGGATTCACATTAGATATTTAAAAAACAGTGAGGAGAATGTTTCCATTGGTTTCCAAAATACCTAATAGGGAGGATAATTTGATAAAATTAGAATAAAGGGAGCTAAATTACAAAAGATGTTCAATGTTACACTGAATTTGCTTTTTAGTAGTAACCACAGAAAAGTTTTGAAATGTGAAATGACTTCCCATGTATGTGTTTGAAGAATATTTCCCTGGCAGCTCTGTATGTAAGAACGTGGAATTGTGACTTACACTTGGTTGGTTACCCCCAAAGCCCTGCCTTCTACTTTTGTTTGGAACTGTTCAGAAATTCTCTAATCTCAAGAGAGCCAGGCCCAGACTCAGGTTTAGGAGTAAAATATGCTGTGGTTTGAATGTGCCCCCCATAAACATGGGTTGGAAACTTAATCTTCAATGCAACAGTGTGTGGAGGTGGGCTCTAATGAGACATGATTATCTTGGGAGTAGGTTTGCTATAAAAAAGAGAGTTAAGAGCCTTTTACTCTCTCTCTCCCTCTTTTTGCCCTCCTGCCAGGGAGTGATGCAGAAAGAAGACCCGGGACAGATGCTGGCCCTTGATCTTGGAACTTCCAGACTTCAAAACCATGGGCCAATAAGTTTTTGTTCATTATAAATTACCCAGTCTGAGGTATTCTGTGACAGCAGCACAAAACCAACTAAGACAGCATATAACTTAGCTATAGCCAAAAAGATGTAGCTGAAAGCTTGGCAGGGGAACCCTGAGGAAGTGCTTCCGTTTCACCCCTACTTCCTGTTGCATCCATCTTAGTACTGTACTGTATGGCCAAGAGCATTGTTGAGATGCTGACTCAGGCCCTCCTCATCTGTAAGTCCCTAAATCTAAGTCACACTAATAATTGCCTACCATTATGGGAAAAAAAGAGAACACATATATCTTTATCTACTGTTAGTCCAGCTTTTTTACAAAAACTTTCCTATCTCTGTCTCTCTGTTTTTTTCTCTCTCCTCTCTCTCTTCTGTCTCTCTCTCATTTCTCACAGACACAGACACGCACACACACAGATTAATATAGATTTAGTAGTAGCAGAGAGTCTACGTACACTGGAGTAAAGGAGAGTAAAAATCCCTGCCTTAGAGATAATGTAGTTTAATGCCCTAATTTCACCGATTAGGACACTGAAGCCCAGCAAGGAACGTTGGCTTGCTCATAGGAACACAGCAACAGATTTCTGAGCAGAACACACGTCTCCTTACTCCTAGACCAGGGCTCTTCTCCACTTCTTTCTGTGTAGCTTGGCCTTAAGAATCCATAAAGCTGTACAATTTTAGCTTGCAAAATACCTGCTTCACTGTCTACTTACAAGAGTTTTAAATTTGAGCCAGCAGAACAAGGTTCAAATCTGGAGCTTGAGTTGAGGGGTTTTTGTAAATTGGGCAAGTTACTTACTTTTTCTGTATCTTGACTTCTTGATCTGTAAAATAGAAATTATTAAATAGGACTTGGCTCCTAGGGTTCTTGATTAAAAAATGCAAGTGAATATATGTGAAGTGCTGAGTACAGTGCCTGGTACAGACTAACTACTAAGAATGTTGGCTATCACTAACATTTTTATTGGGACCTCAGGATGTTGGTCCCAGCCACTCCTCACAGCACTTATTCAAACTTCGTCTAGTCATCAGAGGTATTGTAGATAAAATATGTCAGCAACTAAGAGGAGAACCTGGCATCCTTTTCTAAATATATGATGTATTGATTTTGATACTGGAAATGTGGGGAAGATAGAATCTGCAAAAACTCAGATGATGGATGGAAAGTAATAAGAAAATTGAAGTAAGGCATTTGAGAAAATAGTATTTTTTCAAGACTATTAGATCAGAATCATAATTTTAGATGCAATGTGATGAGGGCCTAGATGAAAGATGCTAGTAGATGAAATGGGAAGAACAGATATGAGGGTTATATTATGATGAAAACAAATGACTGGACCTGACAGTACACTTTATATATTGTGAAGGGTGGTGGAGTGCTAGAAGAAAGAAGATGTCAAGTTACAGCTAATCATTAATTCTTCTTGTTTCTACCAATGTTCATGAACTTTTCATGCTCTGGTGAGAGATACAATGTATCTTGTTTGTACCCAGAGGGCATGATTCCAATGATGATTGTAACCTAATTTAAGGTAGATTTTACTGTCTTTTCATAATGAGAAGCAGGCATGGATATTTCCCAGCATTTAAAACCAAAATAAATTAGATTACTTAATTTTTGAGGACCATTTCTGAAAAACTTTGTAGTCATTTAATTTTTCCCCGTGATTCTTCGTGATGGAAATTAAGAGACTCGAGTGGAATATTGACATTTCTATCAAGATTTTAACTGGAAAACCAAAGAACTAGTCTGCTGAAGGGCTTGAAGAAGACCCTCATGTTTGCACTGTTTGTGTTTCAGTTGCTCTTGATGATTCCTCTTTTACTGTCAGTTTACAATGTTGCGTTTTTCAAACCTGGAGGGCTTTAAGTGGAGCACTCACTTTGGGTTTACTATATAATTTTCCTTCAAAGCCACTCTTGAGAGGTTCTGGTCAGTTATTATTTTGACAAGAATGTTTGTGTGCATGTGTGTAATGTGGAGAAGGATTCATTCAAAATCCACCGAGACCTCAAGCTTATGCACACAGGCTGTTCCTGTGAATCACTGGGTCTTTCATTAGACCCAAAGGGTATGCTGGTAGGTCTTAGCAAATAATAATGTAGAACATAGAATCTGAAACTCAGCCTAGATTTCAATCAAATCGTGGTATTAGTTTGCTAGGGTTGCCATGAAAAATACCACAGATTGAGTGTCTTAAACAACAGAAATTTATATTCTCACAGTTGTGGAGGCTACAAGTCCAAGATCAAGATATCAGCAGATTTGGTTTCTTCAGAAGCCTCTCTCCTTGGCTTACAGATGGCCACCTTTTCACTGAGTTCTCACATGGTCTTTCCTCTCTGTGTTCTCCTCTCCTCCCATCCCTGATATTTATCTGTGTGTTCTAATCTTCTATTCTTATGACTGTGACTTCCCACCAGTCACATTGGATTAGGTTGTATCCTAAAGGCCTCATCTTAACTTAATTACCTCTTCAGAGACCCCATCTCCACATACAGCCATATTGTAAGGTAGTGGGGCTAGGGTTTCAATGTATTTTCAGGGGACACAAAGCAGCCCGTTAACACTCCACCCTTGGGACCCTCAAAACTCACATCCTTTTCACAAGCAAAATACATTCACCTCCATCCCAACAGCCCCTAAGTCTTAATCCATCCCAGCATCAACTCTACGTCTAAAGTCTTATCCATATATCATCTAAGTCAGGTATGGGTAATATTAAAGTATGATTTATCTTGATGCAAAATTCCTTTCAGCTGTGAACCTGTCAAACCAGACAAGTTATCTGTTTCCAAAATACGATAGGAGAGGCATTGTCTAGACATTACAATTCCAAAAGCAGGGAATCAGACAGAAGAAAGAGGTCATAGGTTCCAGGCAAGCCCAAAAACTAGGGCAAATTCCATTAGATTTTAAAGCTGGAGAATAACCTTTTTGGTTTGATGTTGTTTTCCAGGCTGGCCCACTGGGATGGAAGCATTGTCCCTGTAAACTGTGGCTGCAGCCCTCCCCCTGAGTGAGCAGCCCTGCCTCCGAGGTCCCAAGTAGCCTCTCCTTGATGTTGTAAGTGGGCATCCCTGCCTCTGAGGTCCCGAGTGGGTAGCCTCTCGTCTGAGGTTCTGAGTGAGCAGCCCAGCCTCTGAGATCCCAAGTGGGCAGCCCTGCCTCCATGGTCCCGATTGGCCACTCCTCTGAGGTCCCTAGTGAGCAGCCTAACCTGCTAAAATGGAGGAGGTGGCCCCACCCTCTGAAACCAAGTAGGATACAGCCTCAGTTCTCCTAGCACCCCCTACGACTTCTGCAGCCACTGTGGCAGTGCAGTCTTGCTTATTTCTGAATCACCTTTGGGATCATTTTCCAGAAGGATAATGCATGTTCACAGGCTGATTGCTCTGTTGCCCCATCCTGTAGAATCTAAGAAGTCCAAATGCCTTCCTTCGTTTTGTACCATCTCTGTCCATTTCAGTCCAAGCTGTCAGAGTTTCTGCTGAGATGTTTGATTAGATATATGAGTCACATTCTTACTAATCTCTTTATCAAATGGTTGTCCAGTCAAATCCTGGATGTTCTCTTCAGAACATGTTTTATCTTTTATTTATTTATTTATTTTTGCAATATGGATAGGCTGATAATTTTCCAAATCTTCAAGTTCTGGTCCCTTTTTGCATAACAATTTCTTCTTTGATTTATCTTTCTCCTCTTGCCTTTTACTGTAAAGTAGCAAAAAGAAACTAAGCCACACCTTTAGCACTTTGTTTAGACATCTCTGCTACTAAATATCCAAGCTCATCACTCACAAGTTCTACCTTCCACACACACTAGAACACAACTCAGCCCAGTTCTTTGTCATTTTATAATGAGTGTCTTTCATCAAGCATCAAATAATAACATGTTCCTCATTTACATCTGCACCAACAGAACCTTCAGTATCCATATTTCTACCAACAGTCTCTTTAAGGCAATCTAGGCTTTTTGTAACATTTGCCCTAAAACTTTTCCAGCTTCTAACCATTATCCTATTTCAATGCCACTTCCACATTATTAGGTGTATACTACAGCAGTACCTTGCTTCACTGTACCAAAATCTGTATTAGCTTGCTAGAGCTGCCATAACAAAATGCCACAAACTGGGTGGGTGGCTTAAACAACAGTAACTAATTTCCTCATAATTCTGGGGGGCATAAGTCTAAGATCAAGGTAATGTCAGGTTTCGTTTCTTCTCAGTCTTCACACCCTGGCTTTCAGATAGCTACCTTCTGTGTCTTATTTCTGTATGTGTATCCCTCTGTGTGTCTTAATTTCCTCTTCCTATAAAGACACCAGTCATATTCAATTAGGGCCCTTCCTACTGGTCTCATTCTAAGTTAATTACTACTTTAAAAGCCCTGTCTCCAAATAGAGTCACATTCTATGGTACCAGGGATAGGGCTTCAACATATAAATTTTGGAAGGACACATTCAGACCATAACAAATTCTTATATCTTTTTCTGGGTAAATATGTGAGTAAAATACCTCATGGTTTATATTTTTTCTGAAGTATTTCAGATATCATTGAATACATTCTTACTGGGTGCCTTTTAAATTTGTGATGATCCTACCTGATCTCTAGTCTTGAAGCGACCATAGGGAAAAGGAGAACAAAATACCAGTGACTCACTCCCACCAGCTGGTTGGCAATTTCAGCCTCTCCAATTACATACGCCTTTATGATTCAAAAGTAGGGGGTGTCTTGGGGTGTGTGACAGTTACCATATTCTGATTCAAATGGGATCTTGGCTGTCTGATAAAGGTTGTAATTATTGCTGAACCTGTTCCCAGTACTGCTGGGACTTTGTTTACTCCACAGCCAAATCAGCTACTGATTGGATTCCCATTTCTCTTTTTCTGCTTCAGCTATCTCAGAACCAGTGTTATAGGGTGTGTTAGTTTCCTAGGGTGACCTTAACAAATTACCATAAACCGGATGGTCTTAAAACAACAGAAATTTATTCTCTCACAGTTGTGGAGGCTAGAAGTCTAAAATCAAGGTTTCAGCCAGATTGGTTCCTTCTGGAGGCTCTGAGGAAGAATTCTTCTTTGCCTCTTCTAGTTTCTGGTGGTGACTGTCAATCTTTAGTGTTCCTTGGCTTGCAGTTATATCACTTCAATCTCTGTTTCTGTCATCACATGGCATTCTCCCTGTGTTCCTCTGTACTCCTGTGTCTTTACATGACCTGACCTTCTTGTAGGGGTAATAGTCATTGAGTTTAGTGCCTATTTAATCCAGTATAGCCTCATTTTAACTTGAGTACAACTTCAAAGACCCTATTTCCAAATAAGGTCACCTTCAGAGCTTCCAGAAATTATGGCTTCAACATATATTTTAAGGGGATACAATTATACCCACCACACAATGCCTTTCTGTCCCTTTTTCTTTAGGGTTGATGTTGCTAGGGATGGTTGTTGAATTCACAATTTTACTATTCTATCAAGCTTTTTCATTCTTTCTGCAATTGATACTATGATGATAGAATTGACAAGACACGGTGGCTGACTTGAAAAAGGTGGAGGTAATAAATGAAGAATCAGATGGTTTCAAGCTATGGTGACCATCCTGAAAGCCCAGACAATCCCTGAAACAGGCTTGAAGAAGGGATTATCAGCCCATCCCCAAGACAGACTTGAAGTATGAATTATATGCAGGGTACATAGGTAAGGCTCTTAACTCTAGCAACTCCTACAATCAAACAAAGCATTACATTAGGGCTCAGTGGCTCTTGCCTTCAAGTATAAAATTAAAATTACTATGGTTTACTAAGCCTCTAAATGAGTTACCCTTATCTACCTCTCCATATTCAATTATTTTACCTCTTTTCCCCGTGACAAATTGCTTGTTGCATAAAATATACATTTCTTTTTCTCTCTTGGTAAAAAAGAATACCTGTTTTTTAACTTCCTTCTGGAATTTCCCAGCCTTTCTTGTACTTAGATTAGTCATTTGACTTTTTTTTCTGGTCAATGGAATATATATTAAAGTGTTGTGTTCACTTCCAGGAAGTATCCTTAAAAAATGAGGTAGATTCTTTGTTATTTCTTCCATCTGCCTATAACTGGAATTCACTTGTGAGAGCTGGAGCTCACGTGGCCATTTTAGGTCACGAGGAAGATGATGACTCCATAATATGGAAGTAACCTGGATTTCTGATGGCTTTGTGAAGCTGCCCTTCAATTTTAGACTAATGATTTTTATTTAAGGTTCTGTTACTTTGTAATTTTTCGTATTTGAAGTTGAACCAAATCCTAACTTATATTCTTATAGACTATTCTTCAGTCACACTGTTTTTGAAAACACCAAGCACAATTCTAACTTGGAAATTTATTCTTGCTGCCACTTCTGCCTGAAGTATCTTCTCCCAGTTTTCATGGTTGTGTGGCTTTCTTCTGGTCTTTTTTTCTGGCCTTGCCTCATATATCACCTCTTGAAAGAGGCTTTGGCTTATGCCACCTATCCCACCTTCATTGTGACTTTGAACTCTCTCCATCTCATTAGCCCTTCTTTGCTTCATAGCATCTCCTCTATCACTCTCTGAAGGTAGCTCATTTGTTCACTTGCTTGTCAGTCTCTTGCTTAGAATATAATCCCCACCAGCCCCATCACCTTGTGTATCTTTTTATCGTTGTATACGGGGGCCTAGAACAAAGTGCAACAGTAAGCACTCAAATACCTATGGGAACAAATGAATGAAGTCTCCTTCTGAGTCCTCTCTCAGCTTGAGAAGGGTACAATATTTTTATTTATTTATTTATTTATTTATTTTGAGATGGAGCCTTGCTCTGTCGCCCAGGCTGGAGTGCAGTGGCATGATCTCCGCTCACTGCAAGCTCCGCCTCCTGGGTTCACACCATTCTCCTGCCTCAGCCTCCCGAGTAGGTGGGACTACAGGTGTCCACCACCAAGTCCGGCTAATTTTTTTTTATTTTTATTTTTAGTAGAGATGAGGTTTCACCATGTTAGCCAGGATGGTCTCGATCTCCTGACCTCGTGATCCGCCCGTCTCGGCCTCCCAAAGTGCTGGGATTACAGGCGTGAGCCACTGCGCCTGGCCGGGTACAAGATTTTTATTAGCTTTTTCTTTTGTTTTTGTTTTTTATTTCTGTGACCCATGGCTACATAAGACAAGATCTTAGAATAATAATTGAGATTTTGACTTTGCGCACTTCCTTCCATAACCCTCTTTGCGTGAGCCAGTGACTCACAAAATTATTTTTACTATTGAAAAAGCAATAATACATGATTTACCCCAATAAATAACACATTTATTCAGCAGAATGGTCTGGCTTTAGTGCAGAATTAGCTACATATATTTTTAGTCAATTATCTTTTAGGTTGTATTTAAAATATTTAAAGTTGTTTATGCATCAATATTCAGACCTTGCGTGTGTGTTTAGTTAGGCTTCCTAGTAGAAAATATGAAATCTCTATGCATACAGCTATAATGAATGTAGATATAGTCAGCATGATGAAGTATAAGAAGCATGCACTTGGGTCAAGACTGAGTTCAGCTTTGGCTCTGCTTTCACTGGTTATGTGGCCCTGTGCAAACTGCTGGACCTCTATGAGCCTCTCTCTCCCTAGCCCTCAAGCGGGGAAGATGGTAAGTCCTTAAGAGGTTTATTATTAGAATTAGAAGAGATTATGCATGTAAATGGCTCAGTGTGAACCCAGTCATTGTTAATCCCCTTTCCTCTGTTTAGAGAAAATTGCTTAACAAAAAACAACAACAAAAAAAATGAGTAATTTTTCTTAACTTTTTATTGTGAAATATAAAACACAAATAGAAGTGTGGATAAGACATAACTATATAGCTTAATAGATTAAATATTGCCCAATAGGCTAATATATAGAATATCACGTCCAGAAATTATACATTATTGGTGCTCCCAAATCCTGTGTTCTGAAGGCTGTTTCCCATCCACAGTTCCCTCCCTCCCCAGAGTGTTACCACTGTTTTGATTTCTCTGGTAATGTTACCCATCCTCTTCTGAGAGTTTAAAATTTAAGAATGCAAGTCTTCACATTATAATTAACTTTTGCATGTTTTTGATGAAATCAGATGGTATGTATTCTTTGCTGTCTGGTTTCTCTTACTCAAAATTTTATATTTGGAAGTTTATCCATGTTTTCACAAATGTCTGCAGTACTCCTTTTAATTGCATGTAGTAATCCAGATTATGAGCATATTTATAAGTTATCTAGTTTATTCTTGATAGCATTTTTTTCCCAATGTGGGGTTATCATAAATAACACTACTGTCCTTCTTATTCTTATTCTTATGCACGTTCGTTGGAGCACATGTGCACTTATTTCTTCAGGGTATATCCTAGGAGTAAATATGCATATCATGCACACGAACTTTACTAGATAATCCTACAATGTTTCCAAAGTGGCTTTAACAATTTGTATTTCCACCAGCAGTTTAGGAGAGTTCCTGTGGTTTCATGTCCTCACATGATTTCCTTTTTCACAACAAAGTTTGTGAACAGCAAATTGGCTTTCTTTATATTGAAAACAAAACAATACTAAAAAAAAAGTAGGAAAATAAGTCACTTAAGGAAAACAAAAACACGTTATTTCATTGAAATGAATTTAAGAAATGTGACATAATAGCTGCTGGTATTATAGAAAGATAATCACCCTTGCCCCTTTCTTCTTCCCTTAGTGCTGAAGAAACCCAGCGTATCTGATTACCTTCAATACCCCAGGGCAGTAATTATTCCACGTAACAGCACTGAGGCACCCAGAGTGTTGTTATCAATTTCCTCTTAGCACTATAGCTAAACACATTAACTGAGGACTTTGTCAACCATGAGGTCTATAGGGATTAATCTGCCTTTCTCAGTATATAATTGACAGTCGAAATGTTTTTGGAATCTATTTTACATTATTTTCCTCAAGAGTCCAGGAAAAATTTCTTGTTACAGAAGACCAAAAATATAGAGTAGAGGATTTCATTGAATGATAAATGAAACTGAAATCCATAAATGTGTTTCCAAAAGGATTGCTGGAGAAGGTTAAAAAAAATTATATTTTCCGATTATATCTGCATTCTTAGAGTTTAAATGTTTCCCAAACAAATACAAAGACCTGTATAGATATTTTTCCTTTAAAAATGATGATCAGGTGGTGACCTGAAAGCAGAATGTTGAAATGTATTTAAACATATGTATTCCAATATTTTGTTTATATGTCTTTATAATTACTTATTCATTAATTTGTTATTACTATTATTTTTTAAGAGTTGGGGTCTCACTGTGTCACCCAGGCTGGAGTGCAGTGGCACTATCAGAGCTCACTGCAGCCTTGAACTCCTTGGCTCAAGCAATCCTTGCACCTCTCAGTTAATTTTTTTTAATGTTTTTAGAGACAAGGTCTCCCTGTTTTGACCAGGTTGGTCTTGAACTCCTGGCCTTGATAGTGGCGGTAAATCTGTATGTGTCTGTTGCAGCCTCAATTCTTGCCTCCTCAGAAGAAAGAATTCGACTGAGGGGCATCAGGCAGGAGAGACCGAGGAGAGTTTTAGAGCAGGAGTGAAAGTTTATCAAAAAGCTTTAGAGCAGGAACAAAAGGAAGGAAAGTATACTTGGAAGAAGGCCAAGTGGGCAACTTGAAAGGCAAGTGCATGGTTTGACCTTTTGATTTGGGGTTTTATATGTTGGCATACTTTTGGGGTTTTGTGTTCCTTCCCCCCTGATTCTTCTCTTGGCATGGGCTGTCCCCATGTTCAATGGCCTGCTAGTGTTTGGGAGCGGAGCATGCACGGTGTGTTTACTGGAGTTCTAAGCATGCTCACTTGAGGTGTTCTTCCCTTACCAATCTATCATTCCTAGAGGAAGGTCATATACCAGTTAAACTCCACCATTTTGCCTCTTAGTGCACATGCTTGAGCTCACTTACCCAACTCCTGAGATCTTACTGAGAAGCTACTGATCACCAGTTTCAGGTTTTTGCTACTTATAGGAAGACTGCCTTCCTCTGGCTCTGGCTGCAACCTATTACTATTTTAGAGAAACAGAGTAACAGCTGCCTGACCATCACCTGATGGTTGCCAGATATTCCTGGTTGGGAGTGGCCGTCTCCTTTGTCTGAGTAGCTACCTACTGTAACAGCCTCAAGGGATCCTCCTGCCTCAGTCTCAAGAGTAGCTGGGATTATAGGCCATCCTATAATTATAATATGTTATCTTATATTTACTTTGTGCTGTCTAACTAACAAGCCATTTTTCCTATCTTCTTCCAATTTTCTTTTCTCTGAGAATTTTCACTTACACAGACTCTGTTTTCTCCTTAGTTTATCATATATAACTTTGTAATTATGAAAATATTAATAATAGCTACCAATTATTCAGTCTTATCTAGTCACTGACATTTTGCAGAATGTTTGGCATAGATTGTCATTTTTTGATGTAAACTCTAGGAGACAGGCATAATTATTTCCACACTTCAAATGAAGATACAAAGCTCAGAGAAGTCACAGCGACTTGTTCTAGATCACACAGCCAGATGTACAATTACCTCTCTCTGAATCCTAAGACAGCATTTGTTCCACTGCATTCTACTGGCTCCCTGAAATGCCTGTTTTTCTTGGTATTTCTCACTAGGAGAAACATTGGCATTTGGGCTGTGTGATTCTTGCTTATTTGGAAGTGTTCCATGCATTGCAGTGTTTAGCATTAGCACTCCTACCCTACTTCTAACTCTTGCAAGGGACATGGATGGTGGTGAACCTACTCTCCGTGGTTCATCGTGGACTAAGGTGGTCCAATAAGGTCATGGACCTATCATCTCTGGACTCATTTATTTTCCCTATCAGACTGTGAGCCCTTCAGAGGCAATGACTACATATTATGCATCTTGTCCTTTTTGAATGTTTATACACAAAAAAGGAAATGTAATGAACATTTATTGAATGGTTACTGAATATTAATGTTGAAAAGAAAAACAATGTCCAGTGGTGCGATCTTGGCTCACTTGCTTCAGAAGGTGACCTGCAGCTAATTCTGTTTAGCTTTACTCTTTCTGATCACTTCATTCTTTTACGTGCTGTAAATTTTTTTTATCCCTTTAACTCCCTCTTTTCCGTCATCATTTTGGCTGTCATCACTTCCTTTATGCAAGGAATGCTCAAGTTACTAAGGGAAGAAAGGGGTATACAGATAGAAGGAAATAACTTGGAAACAAACATTTAATGAAAAATACTGTAACAATAATATATCTATCTACACACAGAGCCAAATGTGGGAGTTGACTCCCTCATCTGGAATGTATTGAATTATCTGCTGACAGATAGCAGAGAGGAACCCCGTCTTTCTCTGTGTTGTGGAAGAAACAGAGTTATGATGTGTGCCCCTTTGGAATTTACTAGGTGATGTGGTTTGGCTTTGTATCCCGACACAAATCTCATGTTGAATCGTAATCTCCGGTGTTGGAGGTGGGCCTGGGGGAAGGTGATTGGATCATGGGGGTGCTCTCTAATGGTTTAGCACCATCCCCCTAGTGCTGTTCCCCCCCCCCCTTTTTTTCTCTTTTTGAGAGGGAATCTCTGCTCTGTCACCCAGGCTGGAGTCCAGTGGCACAATCACAGCTCACTGCAACCTCCGCCTCTCGGGTTTAAGCAATTCTTCTGCCTCAGTCTCCTGAGTAGCTGGCATTACAGGCCAGTTGGGATTACACCACCAGGCCCAGCTAATTTTAAAACTATTTTTAGTAGAGACAAGCTTTCACCTTGTTGGTCATGCTGGTCTCGAACTCCTGACCTCAGGTGATCCACCTGCCTCGGCCTCCCAAAGTGCTGGGATTACAGGCGTGAGCCACAGCGCCTGGCACCTAGTGCTGTCTCATGATAGAGTTCTCATGAGATCTGGTTACTTAAAAGTGTGTGGGACTTTCCCCTTCTCTCTCTTCCTCCTACTCTGGCCATGTAAGATGTGTCTGCTTTCCCTTCGCCTTCTGCCATGATTGTGTTTCCTGGCGTCTCCCCATCCATGCTTCCTGTACAGCCTGCAGTACTGTGAGCCAGATAAACCTCTATTCTTTATAAATTATGCAGCCTCAGGTAGTTCTTTATAGCAGTGCGAGAATGGACTAATATAGTAGGTTTCAACTAGCTAATCATCGAGGAGCACCCTATGTTAGGATTTCCAGGTTTAGCAAATAAAAATATAGGAATCCCAGTTAAATTTGAATTTCAGATAAAACAATAGGTTTTTTAGCATATATTAAACAAAATTTGAGACATACTTACGTTGTTTTATGTTAGCTATCTAAAAGTCAAATTAAATTTGGCATCCTGTATTTTATCTGGCAATGCCAACTTGAGCTAATCTGGTTAAAAATGAGTTTATTGCTCATTTATTAAAGGCATAGCCAGTTATTACCAACAATAGGTCAGCGCAATTGTAGGTATAAAATGTTTCTCCTTGACTGCTCCAAGACAGGCAGGACTCACAAGTCAGGGTGTGCAAGGCCTCTCTGGAAGTTGCCTGTGTGTTTACTACTGGAGAGGACTAGGTACTACTGCCAGGAGAATTGTCTGTTGCCACTTGCTTCTGAAGCCCAGTCCTATGCTAACCCAGTCCAGCCCAGACCAGTCCCAGCTGCCATCACCTGTTCAAAAAAAAAAAAAAAGTTTGTTTCATTTATTATGCTGCTATTGACTCAGATTTCTTATTATTTGGTTGACATCAGTCTAACCATATTCCAAGCCTGCCCTGGGTCCTGCATCTGCTTGCTTTCTGATTTAATATAATTATAAATTAGAAACCATTTCTGAACTAATTACACCTACCATCTGAGCCCCACACTTATTCACAAGCTGAGCAAGTGTTCACCTGGCTGTCTATGCTACACCTTTATCTCACTGGCCTCAGAACTGTCTGAGTACTCCTCTGTCAACATGACTCAACCAAATGTAATCACAAATGGAGTGGTTTGGAAATTATGATGCGAGTGCATCAGTTATCTATTGACACAATGATGCTGAATAACAACCAACCACAAAATCTCAGTGGCATGCAACATTAACATATCATTTAGCTCATGAGTCTGGGGGGTTCAGCTAATCTAGTCTACTGAGGATCTGGGCTGTGCTTGCTCATGTGTCTGTGGTCTGCTGTGCTTCTGCAAGGCAGAGCTGTTATGTCAGTGGGCTGTGGGCTGAACTAGCACAGTTTGGTTTCACCTGGGAAAAGTGACCTGTCTCCTATTTTTCATCTTTCAATAGGTAGGCCAGGGCACGCTGTTATGGTACCAGCACAGGGCGAGATTGAGCAGAAATGTATGGGCACTTTTCAAGCTTTCCTGAGTCAGACTTGTTAATGTTCCATTGGCTGATGGAAATCACGGTGTCAGTCCAAATTCAAGAAGTGGGAAAATAGACTCTGCCATTTTGCTAAGAGAGTCTTGGAAGAAGATCACGGTGGTAAAAGTTGAGATTGGGTTTGGGGAGTGAGTATCTAGAGGGAAATGAGACTGGAGAATTTGGAAAGGACAGTCCAGGACTTGCCAGCCTTTTTGAAAAAAGAACTACTTAGCAAATCCTTCTTATTTTATAGTCATTTTAGTATATCATAGTAGTTTTGTCACTTATTTCTGAATATTACTTTCTCCAATTGTAACATGAGGGAATTGAATTAAATAAAAACTTAATAACTTTGAGATTGATCCAGCTAACAAATATAGATTTTTTTGGCCAAAATAGCGTTAATTAGTACTCTAAAATGCTTTATGGTAATATCTGTTCTTCAAGTTTCCACAAGTTTGTAATCTTAATCTTTAAACTTGCTGCCTCACACATTTATATTTTCTTCTTCTCTTTTTTTTTAACCTTCTTCACATTTATTTTTTAACTTTTATGTTCAGGGGTACATATGCAGGTTTGTTATATAGGTAAACTGTGTGTCACAGGAGTTTGGTATACAGATTATTTTGTTACCCAGGTAATCAGCATTGTATCCCATAGGTAATTTTTTGATCCTCACCCTCCTCCCCTCCTCCACCCTGAAGTAGGCCATGGTGTCTGCTGTTCCCTTCTCCATGTTCATGGGTACTCAATGTTTATAAGTGAGAATGTGAGGTATTTGGTCTTCTGTTCCTGGGTTAGTTTGCTTAGTTTAATGACCTTTATATTTTCTATGTAGCTCTTAAGGTATTTGAATTGGCAGGTCCACAGTTAGGATATTTTAAAATTTTCTTTCAGTTCTGTGTTTCTCATCATCAGAGAAGCATGCATATAAATTTGGGAGGCATTTATTGGAGAGGTAAAACAGCATAAGTGAAAAAATATTTTACATAATCCCTATGAAAATATCAGTGGATCAAGAACAATTTCAGGCTGGCAACAGAACAACTAAGTTGCTTAATTAAGGGAGGCAACATTATTGCGGCCAAGATGACAATGGATTCTTGTCTATTTACCTGTCCCAGGAGAACAAAATTCTGATAATTGAGAAGAATGTAAGTGAATGAGGCCTGTGGAAATTAAAACTAACTCCAACTGAAAGCACTATAGACCCAGGGTTAGGAAATGTTCTTTACCTTTTCTTTTAAATGTAATACTTCTCTTTTAATTTAAATCTAACTCCTTGATTTTCTTAAAAGTTCTTTTTTGTAGTCTCTATTAGTCTGTTTTTACACTGCTATCAAGATACTACTCAATACTGGATAATTTATAAACAAATGAGGTTTAATTTACTCACAGTTCTGCATGTCTGGGGAGGCCTCAGGAGACTTACAATCATGGTGGAAGGGGAAGCAGGCACCTTCTTCACAAGGTGGCAGGAGAGAGAAGTGTGTGAAGGAGAGACTGCCAAACACTTATAAAACCATCAGCTCCTGTGAGAACTCAGTCATTGTCAGAAGAACAGCATGGGGAAAACTGACCTCATGATCCAATCACCTCTCTCCCTCGACATGTGGGGATTACAAGTCCCTCCCTCAACACGTGGAGATTACAATTTGAGATGAGATTTGGGTGGGGACACAGAGTGGAACCATATCATAGTCACTTTGAAATATATGCCATCTTGCCTTTGAAAGAGGAACAATTTGTGTGCAAAGATGAAGTAAGTATCCTTGCCCTCTCAAATTATACTCTTCAAAACTGAGAACGTATGTTTTAGGTATAGCAGACTTCAGAGAATTATCTTGGGGTGTATGCTAGAGGCACATGGGTTGAAATTTATAAAAGATGCAAATTTGCATGTCTGTGTTTTCTCAAATGGACAAGGAAATTTCTCGCCAATTTTGGCTTTACAAATTGATTCTCCTACAATGGAGTATCTACATTTGTTGTATAAAATGAATGAAAAAAAATCAGGAAAGTGTTTCATCCCAGAGGATTTCAGTTTACAGCTCAGTCAGAATTGTAGTCATCCCTTGGTATCTGTGGGGTTTTTGTTCCAGGACCTCCCACAGATACAAAAAATCTTTATATATAGAATGGCACAGTATTTGGATATGACCTATGCCCACATCCCCCTGTATGCTTTAAACCATCTTGAAATTACTTATAATATCTAATACAGACCAGGCACAGAGGTTCATGTCTGTAATCCCAGCACTTTGGGAGGCTGAGGCAGGAGGATCACTTGAGCCCAGGAGTTCGAGGTTAGAGTGAGCCATGATATCACCACTGCACTCCAGCCTGGATGACAGCAACCCTGTCTCTAAAACCAATGAAAAAACCTGGTACAATGCAAATGCTAAGTAAATAGTGGTTATACTGTATTGTTTAGGGGATAATGAAAGAAAAAAAATTCTGTACATGTTAAGCACAGACATAACGTTTAAAAAATATTTTTGCTCTGCAGTTAGTTAAATCCATGGAGGCAGAACCCATGGATATGGAAGGCTGACTCTATATCATTTAAAGTGCAGGTTAGATTACACGTTTATATTTTGCTATTTCTGGAAGATTTTAGGTCCACTTGACTTTCTATTGGCAAAATGGAAAGACATGGGATGAAGGGGAACATTGTGGAAATCACATTTTGAGAATCAGGAAGGAGCAATGAGAAAGTAGATTATTTCTTCACCCATAAAAGTTAACTGCAGTCATTGAGAAATAAATTGAAAAAAATGGCTTTAGCTGATAATTCCCCTTTGGGAACTAGAGCAAGTAAGCAGATCCTATCAAAGGTAGGACCAAGACATTAGGCAGGGGCACTTGGGGCCAATCAACTTGCTAGTTGTTGGAGTTATGCTGTATGGGTGAAGTAGCTCCAATCCAGCAAAATTACTCTTTATTTTATTGTTATTGAGACGGAGTCTCGCTCTGTTGCACAGGCTGGATTGCAGTGGTATGATCTGGGCTCACTGCAACCTCTGCCTCCCGGGTTCAAGAAATTCTCTGCCTCAACCTCCCGAGTAGCTGGAATTACAGGCGCCCACCACCACACCCAGCTAATTTTTGTATTTTTAGTAGAGACAAGGTTTCACCGTCTTGGCCAGGCTGGTCTTGAACTCCTGAACTCATGATCCACCCACCTCGGCCTCCCAAAGTTCTGGGATTACAGGCATGAGCCAATGTACCTGGCATCTTTATTTTTTAAATTCACTTTTGTTTATTCATTTTAACATTGCCAAAATAATTATTAGCTTAATATCTGTGTAATCAACATATAATAGAAACACAATAAATATTTTTGAATGAAAGTGTAAAACATTGATTGTAGAAAATACAGAGACAAAAAAATTAACCCATCACTGTTAATATTTTGGTTTTAAAAAGGGTCATACTATACATAATGTTTGCTAATCTTTTTTTTCCCATAAATCTGTTTCCATGCCACCAAACGTGCTTGCCAAAACTGTTATTTATCCACTGAATAGTAATTGCATAGTTTCTAGAAAATTATTTGTAGATTGCCTATAAAAGTCTCTAGGTGACTCACCTATTTATTTTAGTCACTGTATTTTAATTTACATTTTCAAAGTTCAATTAGTTTATTCTGATTATGCAAAGAATATTTGCCTATTAAAATTACAGATATACGTAATAAAAATGTAGTATTTTCTCAATTATAAGATAATATCAAATGAAACTTACACCAACATTTTATGACTTTTTATTTTTTATTAGAGATGGAGTCTCAATATGTTGCCCAGGCTGGTCTCGAACTCCTGCCTCAAGTGATTCTCCCTCCTCAACCTCCAAAGGTGTTGGGATTACAGGTTTAAGCCACTGTGCAAAGTCCTTAATAATATTTCTTAGAGAAAAATATTTTATTAAATGTGCCTGTCAATTGTAGGACACAACCTGATTTTAAAATGAATGAAAAAACACTTTTCAGAATAAAGGATGTACAGTATTAGAGATAACTATTGTGATTGTGTTTGAAGGATGCTAAAAGTGCCAAATTGTCTCACTCCCCACTGCAGGCTTGTGAGGGAGGTGTGGGGCTGTAGTTATTATTCATATTTTACAGCTAAAGAGACCCATACTAAGAGGTATTAAATAACTTGTTCAAGTTTCTTCAATAGGTAGTAAAAGCAAAATCCAAACCTATACCAATCTGAGGTGAGAAAATATATTTTTAAAAATTGTGATGAGATATATATAACATATATTTTCAATTTGTAAAGGTATATTATATATAACATATGTTAGTATGTTATATTAACATGTTAGTATAATATTGTATAAAATATGTTATACATAATACATGAAAAAATTTGTCATATATCATATAATTATGTATATTATTATAAAATAATTTGTATTATGCATTATTTTATGATACATAACAAATATATTATTATGTATAATAATATGTGATATATGATAAAATGTATGGTAAAGTAAATACATCTTACATAATATATACTATGTAATGTATATAACAAATAAGTAATATATAAATATACAACAAATTTTGCCATTTTAATAAAAGTGTACATTCACACCATTGTGCAAACATCACCACTATTTCTTGAAATTTTTAATGACCTTACACAGAAACTCTTCAACCATTAAGCAGTAACATCCCATTCTCTCCTCTCTTTGCCCTTGGTAATTGCTAATATACTTTCTTTCTCTGTCTCTTTGCTCATTCTAGATCCTTTATATAAGTGAAATTTTTCAGTATTTGTTCTTTTGTGTCTGGCTTATTTTGCTTTGCATACTGTTTTCAAGTTTTGTCCATATTGTAGCATATAACAAGACTTAATTCCGTTTTACAGCTGAATAATATTCCATGGTCCAGGCATTAATTTTCCGTTAGTCTGTTGACAGATGCTTGAGTTATTTCCACCTTTTGTATATTGTGAGTAATGCTGCTATGAACACATCTTTTTGAGTACTTGCTTTTAATTATTTTGGGTGTATTCTTAGGTGTGAAATATCTGGATGATATAATAATTATATGTTTAGCTTTTGGAGAAACCACTCAAATGTTTTCTTCAGTGGCTACATAATTTTTTATATATCCACCAGCAATGTAGAGGTTTCCAATTTTTTTATATCCTTACCAACATTTGTTATTTTTCAATTAAAAAAATTATAGCCAGGCTAGTGAGTGTAAAGTGGTTTCTCATAGTGATTTTGATATGGATCTTCCTAATGATTAATGATGTTGGGAATCTTTTCATGTGTTTATTGGCCATTAGTATATCTTTTCTGGAAAGCTATCTATTCAAGTATTTTGCTCATTTTTATCAAATTGTATCTTTGTTGTTAAATTTTTGAGTTCTTTATACACTCTGGCTAGTAAACTCTTATCAGATATATGTTTGTCAAATACTTTCTCCAATTTTGTAGGTTGTCTTTTTAATATCTTGATAGTGTCCTTTGATGTGTCAAATGTTAATATTGATGAAGTTTAATTTATTTTTTTATTTTGTTGCCTGTGCTTTTGGTGTCATGTCTAAGAACTCATTGCTAAATCCCAAATTATGAAGATTTACCAGTATATTTTCTTCTAAGAATTTTATGGTTTTAACTCTTACATTTAGTCATTAATCTATTTTGAGTTCTTTTTCTTAATATGGTGTGAGATAGGGGTCCAACCTCATTCTTCTGCCTGTGAAAATTTAGTTGTCCAAGCAGCATTTGTTGAATAGACTATTTCCCCACTGAATGGACTTGGCACCCTTGTTGAAAAATCAATTGGTTAGAGATGTCTACTGTAGCTTTGTAGAAAGTTTTGAAATCAAGTGGGATTCCTCCAATTTTGTTCTTATTTTTCAAGATTGTGTTGACTATTCGAGACCCCTTGAAATTCCATATGAATTTGAGGTTTGGCTTTTCCAGTTCTGCAAAATGGCTTAAAATTTTTATAGGGGTTGAATTAATTTGTAGCTCACTCTGCATAGTATTGTCATCTTAACAATACTAAGTCACCCAATTCATAAACATGAGATGTCTTTCAATTTATTTAGATCTTCTTTAAATTCTTTAAGCAATATTTTGTTGTTTTCAGTGTATAAGTCTTTCACATTTTTGGTAAAAATTCTTTTTAGGTATTTTATTATTTTAGATGTTATAGTGCATGGAAATGCTTTTTTAAATTTCCTTTTTGATTGTTCTTTGCTGGTGTACAGAAACATTAACTGATTTTTGTGTCTTTATCTTGTACCTTGCAACTTGCTGAATTTAGTAACTCTAGTAACTTTTATTCTTTGAGATTTTCTATATGTGGGATTCTATCATCTGTAAATAAAGATACTTTTGCTTCTTTTCAAATTTAAGTGCTTTTGTGTTTTCAAAGAATTTATTACTACTACTTTTCAAGAAAATAAAATTCAACCCTAATTTTATTACTCAGGAAGAGATTAATTTTCGACAATTGACGGATAACTTTCTAGATTCATTCATCTACTATTCATTCCCTCACTCATCATTTTATACATACACACACACATATATGAACACACACACACACAGATACATAAAATGCTCTAAAATTTTCCTGATAAGTCAATTTTAGAAATTTATATATTTTTAGAAAATTATCTATTTCATTTATTATTGCAATTATTTTGACACAATATAATTTTATTTTATGGATACATTCAAGGAATTACCTGTTCAATTTAGTGTTTTAATGCCTTATTTTTTATTAGTAAAATATTACTAATATATTTTTTAATAAAAATACTAAAAATTCTATCTTTTGTTATTTTCTTCTTCCTACCTACTTGTTTATCTACCATTTTTTTTCCAGAATTTCGTTACAAATTTTAACATTTATACTTTATTTAAATATAGTTTAAGGGCTTTGCTTGTCTGATTACAATTTTAATTATGTTTCATGTGTACTTTTCTCATTGTAGGTACATGTTCTTAACCTGTAATTGCAGTTTTACATTCTATTTTGACTCATGAATAATTTAGGGTGTTTAATTACTTCTGATGATCTTTGTATTTGTAAATGGAGATGGAGGATCTGGACTGTTGTTTGTGGTAATTGGTAGATTTGTTTCTACTCTCTTTTGCTATAATTTAGTTAATTATAGCCATGTTCAGTTTTTTCTTTTTTATACAGTCAACCAATCAAAAGCCTCCCTGACCTATTGAGGTGGCATTTCCTTCCTACCCTTAATTCACGTCTAACATTTCCTATTTTCATTATGCTCTAAGGTTTTTTTCTATCTCAGCCTCCACTTGAAGTCCCCAGGGCACGCTGCTACCACCAATCAGCTTCCATTTCCTGCCTGGCAGTTTTTATGAACTTTGTAGCCTTTGTTTGTTTGTTTGTTTTAACAATGCAGCCAGTGCAACTGTTACAGGGTGGAGAGAAGGCAGGAGGCTACACACTTCCAGTCCCACATTGCATCACCCACGAGTTATAGTTATTCCTCTTGTCAGCACAATCGTGGGTCTCAGAATTAGGAAACATATGATGGTAAGGTAAAACAGAACTTCCTTTTTTTTTGTCAGTCATCCCCATCTTTTGAAGGGAAACTGAGGCATGCAACAGACTGAAGCATGTGCTAGTCTATTGCAATCTTGTCATATAAGCACTATTGTTATATTTTCCATTAGACTTCTGTGGAGTTTTCTGACTGTCTTATATACTTAAATATTAGAGAAAATTTCCCACTTCTTGGAAATTTGAAGGTATTTAGTGAGCATTTTCAAGAGACTATATAAAGAAAACATTGGCTAGATGATATTTTTGAACTGGAAGATACTTCAGAGAGCTTCTTAAATGCACATCTCAAGTTCTGACAACAAACATGCTGTCTATGTGGTAGATGCACTTACAAAAATCTAAGTAGCACAAAATAATTGAAGCAGGTTTAACAATGCTCTTGACACTCAGTGCCAATGACAGCCCTCATCAAAATAATCTATAACTCTTAGAAAAAATAGATAGAAGGATATAATTAATTCATGGCAAAATTAGAGTATTAAAATAAATAATGGTTTCTTGGAGATAAGATACATATGTATGAGCTTTAACCAAGTTTAACCAAGTTTAAGAGAAATCTCATTTTTATAAATTTAAAATTAGAGATTGATTTTCTCTATAGGAATAATTAAAAATTAATTAAAGATTTTTATCAGGATCTTTAAAAGGTTAACACCATTATAAGATTTCAAATACAATATATTTTCAGAAAGCTGACCTAATCACAGATTTTCTGAAAAATATAGCAGATTACATTTTTCCAAAATGGCCACAACACTATTTCTTATCCCTTTTACATCTCTTAGAATATAATTTTTACACTCTTACCATAGAAAGGTAGGGATCTATGATTTTTTTACCCTTTTATTAGGCTGGACTCCTGACAATGGCAGTAGTGATGCCATGTGACATCTAAGACTTGTTTATAAAAGACAATCCTCTTGAGTTGGTTACTCTAGAAACTCAGCAACCATGCTATAAAGAAGGCATTCTGCTATGTGGAGGGGAGGCATGGAAGTGTTCCAGCCAACAGCCCCAGTTGTACTAGTCAACAGCCCATATCAACCATCAGATATACTGTGAGGGAGCTCTCAGTCTTTGCCCCAAATGACACCATGAAAGTAGAAGCAAACTTTCTTCCCTCAGCTCTGCTCATATTATTGTGGATTGCAAATCAAAATAGTTATTGTTGGATTATGTTGCTAAATTTTAGGGAGAAGGGTTGTTATGCATCAATAAATAACTGGAATACCATCTATCCTATGCTGCGCATTATAACCTTAATATGGTGTTATGGATATATCCAATTTGTACGTCAAACCTATAAAATACATTTTTAAAAAGTAGCGTCTAAAATATCTGATTCAGCTTTTCTAAATATTGATTGATGATTATGTTTATCAGCTGGCACGAACCAAAAAGTACATTGAGCAACTTACAAACAAACTTTAGATCTTAAGTGAAAATGAAACATAATAAAACCACTTCTCCTGAAAGGGTATGTGTTAGTCTGTTTTGTGTTGCTAAAAAGGAGTACCTGAGACTAGGTACTTTATTTTAAAAAAGAGGTTTATTTTGGTCAGTATTCTGCAGGCTGTACAAGCATGGCATCAGTGTCTGCTTCTGGTGAGGGCTTCAGAAAGACTATAATCATGGCAGAAGATGAAAATAGAGCAGGTGCATAACATGGGAAAGGGGGCACGAGAAAGCAGGGTAGGTGCTAGGCTCTTTTAAACACCCAGCTCTCATAGTAACTCATTACCATAGGGAGGGCACCCAGCCATTCATGAGAGACCTGCCCCCGTGACCCAAGCACCTCCCACAGGGCTCTACCTTCAACATTGGGGATCACGTTTCAACACGAGGTTTGAAGGGGACAAATATCCAAACTATATCAGTATATTATAGAGCAAAATAGTCAGATTTCGGATTCTGCCAATATTGTAATAGATCAACTTACTGAGAAGAACTAGAAAAAAAAATAAAAATATGAAAAAGCATTTATCTTAAGGACACATCAGACAGAAGTCAAGAAAGTGAGTTATTGAGTTGTCAAGGTCTTTGAGAAATAGAATGCCTGAAGAAGTAATCTAAAATTTGGTGTTCTTTTTTTCTTCCAGAAAATTATTGATTTAAAGGATGCAGATGAGAACCTGAAGAGCTGACTAAAAAGTAATGACTGAAAAGCTGAGATACTGAGCATAGCTTCCAAATGTCTCATGGGGCTATAGAGAAAAACCCTGTGTTCATGGCCCACTGTGAAATAAGAATGCTAGGAAACCTCCAGGCTTTTAGTTAGGACTCCTGAAACATGATAGTAAGGAATGTGAATATAAACATAGGAGAAAACCAAAAATATGCCAGACCTCACAAAGAATGAAGCCTGAATTTGAATTAGCTCAGTGGTTGATTGAATTAGGTCATATTCCTTCTTTAAACTGCCTCATTGGAATAAAAAGTAAATCCTTTCTGGAGGAAAATAACATCACCGAGTTCCTTAAATTACTTGTATATGTTCCCAGACTTTGTGTATTCAATCTAAAATACTCAGGTACATAAAAAGGTGAAAGTTAACAAACAAAAGAATACAACGAAGAGGATCCAGATATTAGAACTATCAATCACATCCTTTAAATAAGTATAAATAGTATGTTTAAGAAGTGCCAATCTGAAAGACTTAAGTAGATAACTGAAAATTATTCAAAACAAACAACAAAAGAATGGAAAAGAAAAAATGATAAATGCAATTAGATAATAGGTTTCCTCAACATCTTACTGAACAAAGAAAAAAAGATAAATAGTGTATCATAAAATAAATCAGAAGAAAATATCTATAGTGAAATACAAAAAAATGGGATAGAAAAAGATAGAAAACAGAATGAGTCATGTGGAATATATGAAAGTAAAAAAAGTACGATGCATATATTGTATTCTCAGAAAGATGAGAGAGAGAGCAAAGGGAAAAAAGACAATATTTAAAGAAACAATGGATGCACATATTCTGAAAGTGATATAAGACATGAAATCACAGATGTAAAAAGCCACAATTAATCCAAAGAAAATATGTAGAAATGAAAGCACATCTTGCTATTCAATGTAAAATTGTTGAAAACCAAAAGAAAAGAGAATATGTTGATAAAAAGAAAAGTCTTATTTTAAAATTAATGATAATACTTATAACTGAGTTTTCATAAAAGCAAATGAAGATGAAAGACTATAGATGATAGTTTTCAAATATTAAGAGAATATAATTGTAAACATATTTTGCCCAGAAAAAAAATAGCAAAAGGAGAGAACAAAATAAAAATACCTTCAAAAAAAGAAACAAAAAACTGAGTAAATTCATTACTAGTTGATCTGATACTAAAGGAAATTCTTATAGTATAAAGAAGATGATTCCTGATAGAAGCTTAAAGATGGAGGTATTAATAAATAGTAGATAAAAGGGTAAACATATGGAAAATATAAAAACATTTGACTATACAAAAGAACAACAGTTTTATGAAGTTTAAAACTTATAGGACTAAATACATAAAAATTAGCACAGATGTTAAAATTTTCTCTGTATTGACTATAAGAAAGCAAAAATAATAACTGTTATTACATTTAATAAGTAAAACATTCTTGTTTTACTATCTATGGCAACCACCAAAGGAATTGTTTATTTCTGGAAATGTCCATATATTTTTAGACTGGTTGACTCCAGGTAACTGAAACCATGAAAAGTAAAGCCATGGATAAAGAGGTAGTACCACATGTGCATTTCTGAAATTTTTTTCTCAAGAGCTAAAGAAAGAAAGCTATAACTGGGTTTAGAGCCCTGGGCATTCAGGGATAACATTTTTTTTTTTTCTGACTACTTATTCTAAACCAACATTTGTTTTCCCCAAAGATAGTGAAGAAATAAAATACACAAATTAGTAGGCTGACTCATTTATTTATTTATTTATTTATTTATTTATTTATTTATTTATTTATTTTTGAGATGGAGTCTCATTCATTTTGTCTCCAGGCTGGAGTGCAGAGGCGCCATCTCAGCTCACTGCAACCTCTGACTCCCTGGTTCAAGCGATTCTTCTGCCTCGGCCTCCTGAGTAGCTGGGATTAGAGGCACCTGCCACCACATCCAGCCAAGTTTTGTATTTTTAGTAGAGATGGGGTTTCACCATATTGGCCAGGATGGCCTCAATCTCCTGACTTTGTGATCCGCCCACCTTGGCCTCCCAGAGTGCTGGGATTACAGGCATGAGCCACTGAGCCTGGCCTAGACTGATTTTTTTATACCCAGGATTATGGTAAGTTCTGGCTGTAGTAACTGTCATTAGATATTATGAGTTGAATCATGTCCCATTAAAATTCATTTATTGAAGTCCTAACCTTCACTACTTCAGAATGTGACCTTACTTGGAAATTAGACAGTTGTAGATGTCATTAGTTATTTAAAGATGAGCTCATACTAGAGAAGGATGGGCCCCTAAGTCAATGTGGCTGGTGTCCATATAAAAGGAATGCCCTTATGAAGTGATAGACATGTACACAGGGAGAATACCAAGTGAAGACTGGAGTTATGCTGCCAGAAGCCAAGGGACTACCTGAAACTAGGAGAGTGGTCTGGAATAGATCCTCTGTATTGCCTTCACCTTGGGCTCAGACTTGTAGCCTCCAGAATTGTGAGACAATAAATTTCTGTTGTCTAATCCATTTAGTTTGTGATAATTTATCCTCAAAATTCTCAAGAAATAAGCATAGGAGGAATGTACTTCCAACACAGAGAGAGGCATATATGACAAGCACACAGCTGACATCATACTCAATAGTGAAAAGTTGTAAGAGTCTCCTGTAAGGTCAGGGATAAGACAAGGTGCCCACACTCATCACTTTTGTTCAATATAGTACTGGAAATCCTAGCCAGAGCAATTAGGTAAGAAAAAAAAATAAGCAGCATCCATATAGGAAAGGAAAAAGTAAAATTATCTCTTCATTTCTTCATGCTGATGACATAATCTTACATGTAGAAAACCTTAAAGACTCCACCAACACATGGTTAGAACTAATCAACAGATTCACTAAAGTTTCAGGTTACAAAATCAACAAATAAAAATTAATGACATTTTTACACCATATTAATAAAGTATCCAAAAAAGAAATTATGGAAACAATCCCACTTACAATAGCATAAAAATAAAATACTTTGGTGTAAATTTACCAAAGAAGTGAAATATCTATACCATGAAAACCATAAAACCTTGAGAGAAATGAAGAAGACACACATTAAGGAAAGATATTTTATGTTTATGAATTGTAGGAATTAATATTGTTAAAATGTCTGTTAAAGTTTTTAAAGCAGATCAAAGTATTACATTTGTGTTTGAACTCTAGAGTTTTATCTGTAAAATTTGTATTGTAAAATGTGAATAATAAATTACTTGTCAATTGCCCATTAATTCACCTCTAAGATCTTTAAATGAAGATAGTTCTCTAGGAATATTAATGATATTTATCACCTGGATTCTCCCACCCTTTCATCCTTTATCTAACACCTGATATCACTTGGGGTTCATTCTTTTCTTTTTTTAAAGATAGGTTCTTGCTCTGTTGGTCAGGCTGGAGTGTAGTGGCTTGATTATAACTCCCTGCAGCCTCAAACTCCTGGGATCAAGTGACCCTTCCATCTTAGCCTCCTGAGTACCTGGGACTATAGGCATTCACCCCCATGCCTACTACTTGTAAGAACTGTTTTTAGAGATGGAATCTTTCTATGTTGCCCAGTCTGGTCTTGAACTTCTAACTTCAAAGGATCATCCTGCCCCAGCCTCCCAAATTGCTGAGATTATAGGTGTGAGCCACCACACCCAGCCAGGGTTCCATTCTTGAGAAATGCAGATCTCCCCTTCCAGTCTAAGACAATTTTCCCTTTCTTCCCTTGCCTGGATCACCACCTGGATGAAATGGAAAGCCACATGTACAGTGTTTGAAGACTACCACAGAGCACCATATACAAAGTGAAAACATTAAAATAAAATTTAAGAAACGTATTTTGGCCTCCTACAGGGCCTATAATTATCTCCTCTATAAGGTTATATAATCTAATATTCCTTTGGTTAAGGCTTGGTTTGTGGATGTTTCTATTACAATATGAAACTATTGACATTCTATATGGAAACAGCAATTTGTCATCATAAATCAGGTTATTGATTCATTATAGAACAAGATACAGGGTAAATGACTTTTCATGGGTGTCAATTCACTTATTATAAAGGCAGCTGGACCAGATCAAGCATTCCTAGTAGAAATTTTAATGTATACCATACTCTCTCAGAATTCTTCAAGGATAAGAAAGATCAAGAAGAGAGAAGTAGAAAGAAAAAATAAATTGCCTAAAACGTAAGTTGGGGACATGATTTGCCATCATAAAATATTTGACTTAACAGTTCATAATGGTTAGAAATCACTAGCCTCAATTGCAGTGAGGTCCCATGTTCCCTAGAGAGACTCTGAGAGCCCCAGCAGTGACAATTTGGCCATTCAGCCTCACGAGATGGAGAACATGGCACCAGGAAGAGGCACAGGTCTCTGAGCTACCCGATTCTAAGCATGGCCCTGCTTCGATGCCTTTGTTAAACATCAGCTAACTTTGGGAAGATGAATTACTTTGTTATGCTTAAGTAAAAATAACTGGGAAGAAAACACTGCTAAAAACAAACAAGCAATCAACCCAACAAAAATCCAGCATAATAATATGTGCAAGAGCCAAGAATAAATGCTTAGGGGATTATCCCCCACAGGGCTGTTTCTCTCCACTAAAGCAGGTAATTGAGAGCTAGCCAGATTGGTCTTGGATTTAATTCTAGTCAGCCACACTAATTAGGGCACTTGATTTGACATTTTATACTTGGATTTAGGGGCTTATCAACATATTATGCGGATTTATGGAAAATTGGACACAAATGAATACTTGGAACAAATCGCCCTGATGATTTTTAAAAATAGGTCTGTAATATTTTATAACAATCTTTTTATTAGTGACTTTTTTCCCTCATATGTCCGATCTTTTCTAGGATATTTTCATGGTTTTCCCCATGGCTTTATCTTTTCTAGATTATTTGACGAACCATCTTTCATTCCCTTGCATTTGTGGGAATTGGATGAATTTTGTCATATTTATGCCAGATTTCATTTCAGCAGTAAACTCCCATCTTTAGCCTAATTCTCTTTTATTGCCATAACTTAGAATTGTTTGAGGTTTGAAAATAGAAGACAACCACTTGCAAAAAGAGAGTGGAGTTTGTTAATGATTAGAAAAGAAAGAAAAAGTAAATATACTCAGGAGGCCGAGTCAGGAAGATCACCTGAACCCGGGGAGGTCAAGACTAAATTGAACTGTGATTGTACCATTGTACTCCAGTGTGGGTGACTGACAGTGAGACCCTGTCTGAAAAAAAAAATAAGTAAATAAAATTATTCTTCAATTAGGATACTGCTAGTCTGCACTTGACATCAGATTTTTCTGTTTTTTTTTAAAGTTAAGTATTTCAAGTTTGGTTATTTTAACAAATCTTCTTGATAATTGTAAATAGTAGTAAGGTTATAAAATGTCTATAAAATATTGTAAGTTGGGGGTTGTGGAGACAAAAGGAAAATAATTTAAATTGAAAAGAGGAGCTGAATTCTCTTTGTAGGTCAAGCATGTGTTCTTGCTTAGAGGGACAGGAATAATTGTCATGACGTTTGAAGGTGATGGAGGCTTGACACACTAGCTAGCTTTGACATAAAATTATACTGCCTCTCTTTAACATGTCTGTCACATGTATCAGTCTTTTCTTTTCCTTCTCCTCCTGGGCATCCTAGCTTCAGTTAGCCTAATAACTCTCTTGGCTCTTATCAGTCTGATAACCCCAATTTCAAGATGAATGATAGGTCTTCTATTAGAGACAAATGGACATTCACATTGACATTCAATGAGGGCACCTTGCTCAGGCTTTTGAAATTCATCTTTTCTTTGATTATGCCTTTCACTAAGTCAAGAAAGCAGGGTTGGAGGAGGCAACAGAAATGGGACATTTTTTTTTTTCTGTTCTCCACCTCATTTGTCAGTCACTGCACTGTGCTTTTGGCTTTCAGTTCTGCCTTCTATTTGTTTATTTCCATCATCCATCTTTTCTACACCATTTTTCTTCCTCTGGTTGTTTCTTTTTCTTTCTTTCTTTTTTTTTTTTTTTTTTTTTGAGACGGAGTCTCGCTCTGTCGCCCAGGCTGGAGTGCAGTGGTGCGATCTCAGCTCACTGCAAGCTCCACCTCCCGGGTTCACACCATTCTCCTGCCTCAGCCTCCCAAGTAGCTGGGACTACAGGCGCCCGCCACCACGCCCAGCTAATTTTTTGTATTTTTAGTAGAGACGGGGTTTCATCATGTTAGCCAGGATGGTCATGATCTCCTGACCTCGTGATCCACCCAGCTCGGCCTCCCAAAGTGTCTGGTTGTTTCTTAACCTTCACTTTTTATTTGATCTAGATCTAGTTCTATACAAGAATATTCAAGGTAGAGACAACTGCAAAAAGGGGGAAAATAGTGATCTAAAAAAAGTTCAGGGCTATTCTTGATAGATTTCACAGCTCTGGCAGAACCCAGTGAGAGGCACACTTGCCAGAATTGGGCCAACTATGGTCATTGCAGCCTTAGGTAGAGAAATTCAGTAACTGCCAAATTGCAGCCATCAAGGAGGGAGCCAGGGGCCAATACTATCACCTCTCTTTCATGACATCCTTCAGTCTTTTCCAGGGCCTTCTATTGGTTGAATACAGCCAGAAGCCAGAAGGCAAGAGAGCTTACTTTATATTGCCCATTAAGGTTAGCATTCTGTGCTACATAGCAGGATGAAAAAGGGTGGAGAATAAATATTGAGGAGAAAATAGACAATATGCAGTACAGAGGGTAAAAGGAGAAAAATTTTGTACATATTTTTCTTCTCATCCTCATTTTTCTCTTTTATTTATTCTTTATCCAATGCATGCCCAGTCTCTTTCACTACTGAGCTTCATTTTGGCCTCTGTTTCCTGAGGTACCTATCTTCTTTACCATTCGTTTGATAAATTAGTATATGTTTCTGGCACTTAAATTTTTTTAATCTATCTATTCTTTTGTCCAGCTCTAGACCATACCTTGTGCTCTCTGTGACCTTAAACTTTAAAACTTTTAATAATTACAGATTAGTTTTTTTAATGATATTTTGTGAACATGGAAGGTATAAACCAAAAAAATATTAACTGCAACCACATAATCAAAAATAAGAATTAGAAAGTCTTCTACAATTTTAAAACAATATGGCTGGTTTTATATAGCCTTGATATATGGTTCTTTAGAACTAGAAATTTTGAGGGCTACCTGATACTTCCAAGAAGATCCTTGGTCTTACTCCTTCGTAGCTAAGAGACCAAGGGCAACTGATGGTCAGTTACTTCAATTAAAGTTGGAATAATAATACCAATCTCATAAAAATGTTTATTTCAAGAATTAAATGTGATAAATGAAATAAAAAATACATTGGCGCTTGCTATTGTACACTCTTAACTTGCTTTTATTTTTGTCTAAATGAAAGCAAGAATCCTACTTTGTTCTTTGTAAGGATCATAGTCAAAATAAAATAACAATTGTATTTCAGAAACCATAAAGAATAATGTAGCTGCTTGTTTTAGGGGTGTTTAAAATGGACAAGCCTAAAGTTATATTTTTCTGCATTCATTTTTACAACATACCATGCTGAAAGTGTCACAGATAGTTTCACTGAAGACTGTTGTGAAAATCTTTATCACTCGTATTCACATGTTTCTTGGTTCTCTCATCAACATGTAGGTTCCCTGGTTACTTCCTCCCTCATATCTCCTCTTTCCTTTTGTTGGCCACATTACTCTTTCTCCTGTCTAGAAGTTACAGTGTTCCAAATGAATTTCACTCTTATGAAAGGGGTCAAAGGCATAATACAGTTAAGGGGAATGTTAGTGAAGCCATTGTCTGCAGTTATCAAAGATAGCACCTGTGTCCACAGAGCTCCCTTGCTGTCTATTCAGCCTAGAAATTTTAGTTCGGAATATCTCAAAGTTCATTCAGTGCAAAAGTAGTATCACAAATTTTTTTATTTTTATAAAAACACCGCAGGCTTTGAAAGTCAATTTTATGTGAGAATTTCTTATCTTAGAGATTCACCATATTTTAGAGATTCACCATATTAGCATAATAAAGACTCCGAGAAGTGTACAGTAAAAAAAATTATTTTTTTAAAAAAATTGGGGCATTATTTTCCAAACTAAGTTGACCACAGATCAAGTTTGTTCCCTAGTTATATCTCTTAGGACGTATTTTAGGCACCCTGACCTATGTCATATTGTATAAATTACGGAGAAAATATTTTCTTAGCAGCTGTTATAATCAAATATTTTCCCTAAGGAAATGACTTTTGGTTGAAATTTCTACATAATTAAAGATGGATATTAAAGGCAGTGAAGTGAAAAGAACTGATGATGGGAAGAAAGAAGAATCAATTAAAAAAAACACAACTGTTGTTTGGCAATGAATTAGGACTTTGAGGAAAACAGACACATCTAATGATTATTTTCTTGTGTGGTAAGCATCGTAACATTCTCATTTTCCTTCTTTTCCCCAAATTTTGCATTTGAATCTATAATGTTCACTAATGATTTGTGAAATGTATTTGATTTGGGGAAATGGAACAACATATTGAGTCTTGCTCCATGGCTAGACTATGTGGTGAAACTAGAGATTGCTCATGGAAGAAAAGACATTAAAATTTGTATAGTACAGGAGGATCTTATCAACAGAATTCTTAATAGTGTATAAAATGGAAGCATAGGCAGGGCGCGGTGGCTCACGCCTGTAATCCCAGCACTTTGGGAGGCCAAGGCGGGCGGATCACAAGGTCAGAAGATCGAGACCATCCTGGCTAACACTGTGAAACTCCGTCTCTACTAAAAATACACAAAAAATTAGCCGGACATGGTGGTGGGCGCCTGTAGTCCCAGCTACCAGGAGACTGAGGTAGGAGAATGGCATGAACCCGGGAGGCGGAGCTTGCAGTGAGCCCAGATCGCGCCACTGCACTCCAGCCTGGCGACAGAGCGAGACTCCGTCTCAAAAAAAAAAAAAAAAAAAAAAAAAAAAGGAAGTATAAAGAGAAAGGACAAAGAAGCATTCATATATGGGAGTGTGCAAGGTTGTCAAGATGGGATCTTGGAGGCAACATTCAAAATGGCACTAAATTTTCTACACAAAATTGCATTTTCAGATTGCATCTTGATTATAACTTTGGTCCCATGGACAAACGACTAATAAAATATTCATAGCAAAATTTATCTGATGACTAGATATTAGAAAACCATATCCTAAAAACAAAACAAACCAAACCAAATGCAAAAAATCCCACCTGTTCTTATATTAAGTCACTGCAGCAAAAGTAAATACCATACAATAATTCTGAAATGACATTTTGTCTTGAGAAGAGAATGTATAATTTATATAGCTTGTGTGTTGGGCTTAGAGTTTTTGAGGTTAGATAGTAAGGGAAGAGAAATCTGTGGATTGATTGAATTTTTTGAAAACCTCTTTATTGAGGTATAATTGATATACAAAAGTTGTACATATTAAATTTGCACAAGTTAATGAATTTAGAGATAAGTGTATACCTTTGAAACTATTGCCACAATCTGTGCCATAAAGGTTCACACTATACCATCCAAAATTTCCTCCTGATATATTTATTTACTTATTATTTTTGCAATAAGGATCCAACATAAGATCTACTCTTTTAGCAACTTTCAAGTATGTAATATGGTATTGTTTACTATAGGCAGTGTGTTATACAGTAAATCTCTAGGATTTATTCATTGCGTGTAACTGAAAGTTTGTGCTCTTTCACTAATACGTTTCCATTTCACCCTCCTCTATCTCCTGGAAAAAACCTTTCTACTTGCTGCTTCTATGAGTTTGACTAATTTAGATTCCTCATATAAGTGGTAGCATGGAGTATTTATACTTTTTGTGTCTGGTTTATTTCACTTAGCATAATGTTCCCTGGGTTCACCCATATTGTTGCATATGGGGAAATTTCCTTTTTTTAAAAAATAGAATGATGATCCATTGTATGCATGTATCACGTGTTCTTTATCCATTTATTCAGTGATAAATATTTAGGTTGCTCCCACATCTTAGGTATTGTGAATAATGCTACAATAAACATGGAAAGGCAGATATCTCTAAGAGATACTGATTTTAATTACTTTGGTACACCTTTTAATTACTTTGGTATAACTTTACTCCTCCCTCAAAACTTTATGTTACTGATGTTACAATTTTTATCTTTTATATTGTATAACCTTTTACAGATCGTTGTAATTACACTTTCCTTTCTTTCTTTTTTCTTTCTTCCTTCCTTCCTTCCTTCCTTCCTTCCTTCCTTCCTTCCTTCCTTCCTCCCTTCCTCCCTCCCTCCCTCCCTCCCTTCGTTCCTTCCTTCCTTCCTTCCTTCCTTCCTTCCTTCCTTCCTTCCTTCCTTCCTTCCTTCCTTTCTTTTTTTGAGACAGAGTCTTGTGTTACCAACCAGGCTGAAGTGCAGTGACACAATTATTGCTTACTGCAGCCTCAAACTCCTGGGCTCAAGCAGTCCTCCCACCTCAGCCTCCTAAGCAGCTGGGACCACAGGTGCATGCAACCATGCATAACTGATTAAAAAAATATATATATATATATAAATATAGTGTACACACACACACACACACACACACACACACACACACATATATGTATATATAGTGTACAGATGAAGTCATAGTATGTTGCAGGGATCACAGATGTATGCCACCATGCACAACTGGTTAATTTATAATCTGTACAACATAAATCTGGATGTCCATGTCTCTCCCCAGATTTGGTAAGCTTTCAGCTATTATTTCTTTAAATAAGCTTTCTGTTTCTTTCCTCCTTATCTTCACCTGTTTGTGTTCCATAATATGTATACTGGTTCATTTGATGGTAGCATATATATGTTACAGATGAGGTTTCGGTGTGTTGCTGCCCAGGCTGGTGTCAACCAACCAGGCTCAAGCCATCTTCCTGCCTTGGCCTCCCAAAGCGCTGGGATTACAGGCATGAGCCATTGCACCCAGCCTATAGCTATTCCTAATACTGTGTTTTTTTTTTTTTTTTAACTTTTATACTTGGGCTAAAAATGATTTATCCACCACCATTACAGCACTATGTTATTCTATGTCTATGTATATATTTACTTTTACCTGTAAGTTTTCTACTTTCTTATGCCGTCTTGTTGCTTTTAAGCATCCTTTCATTTCAATTTGAATAACTTTCTTTAGCACTTTTGTAATGCAGGTCTAACAGTGATAAATTCCCTCTGTTTTTGTTTGTTAGTGAAAGTCTTTAGCTCTTCTTCATTTTAAAAGGAGAGTTTTACCAATCAAAATATTCTTGGTTGGCAGTTTTTTTTTTCAGTGTCTTGAATAAATCATCCTGCTCTCTCTTTGCCTGAAAGATTTTTGCTGAGAAATCAGCTGATAGTCTTTTGAAAGTTCCCTTGTGTATAATAAGTTAATTTATCCTACTGCCTTCAAAATTCTGTTTGTTTTTGACTTTTGAAAATTTAAATGTAATGTGTCTCAGTGTAGACCTCTTTAGATTCAACGTATTTGGTGTGTTTTGGGTAAATCATAAATCTAGATGTCCATATCTCTCCCCAGATTTGGTAAACTTTCAGCTATTATTTCTTTAAATAAGCTTTCTGTTTCTTTCCTCTTTATCTTCACCTTTTTGTATTCCAGAATATGTACACTGGTTCATTTGATGGCAGCCTATAAGTCCCATAGGCTTTCTTCATTCTTTTCACTTTTTCACTCCTCTGACTAGATAATTTCAAATGAAACTCTCGTCACATTCATTGATTCTTTTTTCTACTTGATTGAGTTTACTCTTCAAGCTTTCTATGGAAATGTTTCTATTTTACAGTTCAGTCGTTGTATTCTTCATCTCTAAAATTTCTGTTTTTTAATGTTTTCAATCTTTTAGTTCAACTTTTGATTTTGCTGATATATTGTTTTCTTTATTTTTTAAAACTTTTATTTCAGGTTCAGGGGTACATGTGCAGGTTTGTTATATAGATAAATTACGTGCTGTGGGGGTTTGGTGCCCAGGTTTTTTCATCACCCAGGTAATAAGCATAGTACGTGATAGGTACTTTTTTGATCCTCATCCTCCTCCCTCCCTTCACCCTCAAGTATGTCCTGGTGTCTGTTGTTCCCTTCTTTGTTTTCTTATGTACTCAATATATGAAATATATAAATAAGAACATATGGTATTTGGTTTTCTAGTCCTGTGTTAATTTTATTAGGCTACTGACCTCCAGCTCTATTCATGTTGTTGCAAAGGACATAATCTAATTCATTTTTATGGCTGCATAGTATTCCATCTTGCATATGTACCATATTTTCTTTATACAGTCTACAATTAATAGGCATTTGGGTGGATTATATGTCTTTGCTATTGTGAATAGTACTGCAGTGAACATATGTGTGCATGTGTCTTCACAGCAGAATGATTTATATTCTTTTGGGTATATACCCAATAATGGGATTTCTGGGTCAAATGATAACTCTGTTTTGAGAAATTGCCAAACTGCTTTCTACAATGGCTGAACTAATTTACATTCTCATCAGTAGTGCGTAAGTGTTCTCTTTTCCTCACAACCTCACCAACATCTGTTATTTATTTATTTATTTATTTATTTATTTATTTATTTATTCATTTTTTGTGAGGGAGTCTCACTCTATTGCCCAGGCTGGAGTGCAGTGGTGCGATCTTGGCTCACTGCAACCTCCACCTCCCTGGTTCAAGTGATTCTCCCATCTCAGCCTCCCGAGTAGCTGGGATTACAGGCACCTGATACCATGTCTGGCTAACTTTTGTATTTTTAGTAGAGATGGGGTTTTTCCATGTTGGCCAGGCTGGTCTGGAACTCCTGACCTCAGGTGATCCACCCACCTCAGCTTCCCAAACTGCTGAAATTACAGTTGTGAGCCACTGCACCCAGCCAACATCTGTTATTTTTTATTTTTCCATAATACCATTCTGACTGGTGTGAGAAAGATATTTCACTGTGGTTTTGATCTGCATTTCCCTAATAATTAGTTTATTTCTTTTAGTTGCATGTCTGTGTTTCTTGTGGCTCGCTGAGCCACCTAACAATGATTATTTTGAATTATTTATCAGGCAATTCATACATCTCCATTGATTTTAGGTCAGTTATTAGTACTTTATTTTGTTTCTTTGGTGGTGTCATGTTTACCTAATTATTCATAATATTGATAACCTTGCATTGATGTCTACACAGTTGAAAAAATATAGTCCCCCTCTTCCAGTCTTTATAAACTTGCTTTGGGATGAAAAGACCTTCATCAGTCAGCCCAGCTAGAGATTATAGGGATCTCTTAAATCTTTTCTGTGGATACATCCACTCAACTCCTCTTTTTCCCTCCTGGGGTAAAGTCTTAAATCTACATGCCTTCTCTTTATCCCATAAAACCATGTTGGGTGCTGAGAGCTGCCCATTCCTTTCTCCTAGGTAAGTGCTGTGATGTGCTAGGGCATTGGATGCAAACTCCTTTTTCTCTTTCCTCCATGAATGGGATGTTTCAGGTTGATGCACCTTTCTTCTACCCTGCAGAGCCACGCGGAAAGTCAAGTGTCACCCACCCCTTTTCCTTGGAGCTGTGCACTAAGATTCTGGGACAATGGGTGTAACATTCATTGCTTTCTATCTCTTCTGAAGGAGCAGTTTCAGGCTTGTGTGCTTTCTCCCAGTCCCACAGAGTTAAGCCAGTTCCTGAAGTCTACATGCTAACTTGGAAGTACTTGGGATGCTGGTTTTGGGTATTTACAGGATGCCATCTGTGGAAGCACACATGCTGGTTGCTGTGAGCTCCCTTCTTTCTTCTTTCTTTTTTGTTTCTAGTTGCTCTCTGATTCTCCAGTCATCCAATTTTCTCAGTGTTCAGGATACAGTAGGATACAAGCAGGCCTCTCAGGATGTTCCCCTTCAAATTCTGGGAAACCCAGACCTTTTCTATGCTCTCTCTTTCTCCTGCAGGAAAAAAGAAATTCCTTTTGGCACTGATTTGTACCTGCCCCTGGGAGGGTGTTATAGGCAGAGTAAAACTGCTTTCTCTACCCCTTTCAGTGTAGTTGATCTTGTACTTTGTGGTCCACCAGAGTGATGGAAACTTTCAATGGACTCTGGAACTCTCATAAAGATATTTTCATTCATGAATGATTGTCAAAATAAGGTTTCTCTGGAGGGATAAGAGCTGAAATCGCCTATTCTACCACTACCACTTTGCTGATGTCACATTCTAGATTAATTGATTTCTTAAAGTGAGGGCTGATCAAAGCAAGGTTCTGAGCAAAGAAGGAAATATTATATGAAACAATTCCTCATTTATAATTGCCTAACTAATGAAGTGATTGCTCTGGTTCTTGTGATTAAAACCCAGTAATACCAAAACCTATATTTCAATGACTTCTCTTATTTGGCACTAGATTTTAGAACCCCAAATCAGTATCTGTTTAGTTAAAGGAAACCTATATACAATAATGTGATGGTAAAAGTTTAACAACAAACTCTCTAAGGAAACTAACAAAAATAAGTCATGATTATTAGTATTTGTCATTTCTGTGGTATAAATACTATTTTTTACCATGTTAAATTTCAAGCCGTCAAAGTCACTGAATGTGGAACTGGGAAGAGATGCATAGGTAGCACACCAATATATAGTATTTACAGCGTACAGATACAATAGATATAAATAACCTTAAAAGTATAGGTAAAAATATGATATTTAGAAAGTCTGAGTTCTGGGTGTATATTAACTTTTTAAAAAATTGCACAAATGTAAGCTTATGTAATTTGCTTTTGAATAATAATTGTGTTTAAAAAGAAGATTACGACATTTTTGAAAATTTAAGGTATAAGCTGCCTGTAGCACACCACAGCCTATATCCATAAAGGATAATCTGAGAATTACAAACAGATCTTTCTACTTTAAGTTATCTTCCAAGTTATCTTTCTAGCCAGAATTCATAATGTTTCTTTTTCTTTGGATGTTCATGATAAAATATACAGTTGACCTTGGAACAACACAGGGGTTGGGGATGCTGGCCCCCCACATAGTTAAAAATCCATGTATAGCTTTTGACCTTCCAAAAACTTGACTGCTAATAGCTTACTGTTGGCCAAATGACTGGCCAATAAACACAAAGAGTTACCACATATTTTGTTTAAGAGTTATACACTGCATTCTTACAATAAAGTAAGCTAGTGGAAAGAAAATGTTATTAAGAAAATCATAAGGTATGATTATTATGCATTGCATGCCTATATCAAAATATCTCATGTACCTCATAAATATATATACCAATTATTTACCTACAAAAATTTAAAATAAAAAAATCTAAAAAGGGCTGCTCTGCCTATGGAGTAGCCATTCTTTATTTCTTTACTTTCCTAATAAACTTGCTTTCACTTTACTATATGGACTTGCCCTGAATTCTTTCTTGTGTGAGATTCAAGAACCCTCTCTTGAGGTCTGAATCAGGACCCCTTTCTGGTAACACCATCCTGGGGAACCACAAAGGGGTGATACTGAAGAGACCCTGACCCAAAGGAAATAGACTGCAGCACCAATTGGCCAACTTTGGGTAAGTGGTAGGATACCCAGGTAAAGGATGGGATTGAGTTAGAGGCCCAACTTAGGGGAGTTAGAGTCTCTCCTAAGACAGAGTGGGTTAAAAGTCCCTCTTAATAAAAGACAAGGATGCTTGACCAAATATGGTTTCGAGGCCCAACTTACAAAGGTTAGAATCTTCCTAAGATTTAGTGGGTTAGAGGTCCCTCTCAGTAAAGTCTGTCTTGTCTAAGGGTGGATTTGGCACTATGGGATGTTAACTGCCATTTTGTTTGCATTAATCTACCTTGCACTCTTTGCTGACAGCTGTGGGTGAGAGGATTAGGCATGTACAGGACCATGGGACATGGAGAGCTTTTTTCTCCCCAGAGGGGAAACTTGAGAGCTGATGGGACTGCTGGAAAAAATCCCTTCACGACCAACAAGTGGTTGCCTAAACTTTTGATTCAGTGTCGCTCCAATGGGTAGGTCTTTCTCTGGCCTCCCTGAGCTCCTTGCCTTCTCTACCCTGTCGCAGGCAATGCTTTTCTCCTTTTCTCTCTTTTCTCTTTTCTGTTTTTCAGGGCAACCATCTTGCCCAGAGACCACATGTTGGAACTCCTCATTGGAGGTTGGATTAAAGATGACAGGGCCTGTCCAGGGGCAAGTTTGAGCCTTGCCAGTAAGATATTGGGTACTAAGTGGCTAATGTCTATGTTTTGTCACATCACATGTATTTTGCTCTGGCCAGAATGGAAAATGTTACTTTGGTTACCCCATGCAACCTCTTGGGCTGTGTCTTGAAAAGTTGAGAGGCTTTTGCCTATGAAATGTTCCTCGGGAGCTTGACCTTGTAACCAGATGGTGGTACTTTCTCTTGGTCTCCACTAAGGGAACAGAAATTTTAGAATTCATACCATAGTTAGCCCTAAAAATTATCTCAAGCAGTTAAAAGCCTTTGCAAGCTCAAAATTGGCTGCTCTAGGCTCTTTCTGGGAAGGGCAATGGAGACCACCCAGTGCTGCAGCTCAGTAGCTAAAGCTTTGTTTTTTCACAGTGGTGGCCCAGGTTCAGGTTCAATTTTTGGCCTAGGGAATAAGTACTTTTTGGTTGAAATCTGTATGATTTTTACCATTTGTTGAATCTCTTTCTTCCACAAACCATCTTGAAATTTCCTTTCTCTGAGTGCCTGGAAGGTTACCTTTGGTAAAGTTCAAAAGCCAGTATTGGCCATTTCGCATGGCTAAAGTAGGGAAATAAGAAATTTTAAAAAATGTTTTTTAAAGAGTGCTATGGTTAAAAGTCAGCTTAATAAAAAGCAGATATTCAAGCTCTAACAGCCTGAGACTCCATATGGAGAAAAGATGTATTAGTCCGATTTCACACTGCTCTTAGGAACTGCCCAAGACTGGGTAATTTATAAAGTAAAGAAGTTTAATTCACTCATAGTTCTGCATGGCAGAGGAGGCCTCAGGAAACTACAATCAAGGTGGAAGGTGAAGGGAAAACAAGGACCTTCTTCATGAGGCTGCAGAAGAGAGACAGCAGAGAGCAAAGGGGGAAGAGCCGTTTATTAAACCATCAGACCTCATGAGAACTCATTCACTATCACGAGAACAGCATGGGGGTAACAGCCACCATGATCCAATCACCTCCCTCCAGGTCCATCCCTTGACACCTGGGGATTACAGTGTGAGATGAGAAGCATGCTCTTGGCCATCTAGAAGGTATGGAAATGTTCTCAACCCCCCTCCCCCGCCCACAGCCATTGAGAGATAAGACTCCCATGGGAAATGGGTTGATTCCCTCTTTTGGTGGGGGGGATCCAGGATCTGGTATAAAAATGAGACACTTTTGAGAAAAAATAACAGTTTCTGGCGAGGATGCGGAGAAAAGGGAACCTTTATACACTGTTGGTGGTAGAGTAAGTAAGTTCAACCATTGTGGAAGACAGTATGGTGATTCCTCAAAGAGCTAAAAGGAGAACTACCTTTCAACCCAGAAATCCCATTACAAGGTGTATACCCAAAGGAATATAAAGCCTTCTATCATAAAGACACATGCACGCGAATGTTCACTGCAGCACTGTTCACAAAAGCAAAGACATGGAATCAATGTAATCCCTATCAATGACAGATTGGATAAAGAAAATGTGGTACATATACACCATGGAATATTATGCAGCCATAAAAAATAATGAGATTGTGTCTTTTGCAGGAACGTGGATGAAACTGGAAGCTATCATCCTTAGTGAACTAATACAGATACGGAAAATCAAATATCCCATGTTCTTACTTAATATTGGGAGCTAAATGATAAGAACTCATGAACATAAAAAAGGAAATAACAGACACTGGGGTCTACTTGAGGGTGGATGGAGGCTGGAAGGAGCAAGAAGAGCAGAAAAGATTGAGTACTGGGCTTAATACCTGGGTGATGTAATAATATATACCCTAATGACATGTTAACCCAAGCTTATATATGTAGCAAACCTTCACATGTATCCCCAAAACTAAAATAAAAATTAAAAAAAGAAAACAAGAAAATTATATGGAAGAGAAAATATATTTACCATTCATTAAGTGGCAGTGAATCCTTATAAAGATCTTCATTGTCTTCATGTTAAGTGGACGTAAGAAGAGAAGGAAGACGAGGGGTTGGTCTTGCTGTCTCAGAAGTGGCAGAAACAGAAGAAAATTCACCTATAAGTGGACCACGTGAGCTGAACAAATCTTGTTGTTCAATGGTCAACTGTAACGTATTGTCCTGGTGATGTAGCTGGTGGTTACTGAATATGTGTCTGAGTGAATGGAAAGCACAGATGGCTGATGAGATAGAAAAGTATGAGAGAATGTTTGTTGCACATGCCCTGATGATTATAAAGGACACACACTGATAGAGAGCCAGAATGAAGGGACTCTGGCATTCTACATAAAGAGAGTTCACAAATACTCAAAATTCTGACTTCCTAAATGTTTTACTGTAGACATTGAAGAGTATTTTTATTCCTGGACTTTGACTTCAACTCATCATTGACTTGAACTTAGAATAAATGCAAGCAAGCAAGCAAAAAACTCTTCTTCATATACTGTCATAAAGCAAATCAACATTAATTCTGTGTAGTCCCTTTTGTTCATGAATCATATGACAGAATCAGATTATGACCCCAAAATTGATAAAGAAATAAAGAAATTATTCAAATGGGAAATAAATCTTTTGGAGAAGCACAACAGGAAAGAACCATAAGAATTCCCAGACTCTAAGATTCTGGATTTTTCTTTCTTGGCTCCCCTTATTGCTTTGAGATTTCTGAGTTCAGATGTCCAAACTTGGCAGAATAAAGAAGATATGCAATTATAGAGCCTCTCTAAATATATCAAAGCATACTAAAAAGGGAGCTCTGATTTTTGCCACAGGACCTTTAAACATAAGAGCCAGACATTGCAAATGAAAGCATGGCCTGTATTGAAATTGCCTAATTATCAATCCATCTCCCCATAGATCTTAAATTCTGTGAGAATAGAAACTATTTGTCTTATTTATGACAGTCGCCTCTAGTACCTGGTACAGTGACAGCAAAGTTTCTGTGCAGAACACAAAACGTGTTCAATTAATATTTGTTGGCTGAATGAATATGTGCATGTTACCTTTGACATAGTATAAGTGGATTAATGTTGGCTGAATCACATTTCTGTACATAATATCTGTGTGATATTGACATATTACCTCTCCTATAAAATGAGGACAATAATAGTACCTCATATGGTTGTGTTGAGGTTTAAGAGAGGTGATTAACATAAAGTCCTCAGTACAGTGTCTAACTTATGGTAAAGAATTAATAGATGTTAGTTATCATTATTCTACCCTTCGATAGACAGATGTTAATTATCTTCCTCATATTTTATGGATTATATCACAATAAGTGCAATCGAATCCAAAATATTTTATTATGTTAATGGTCTTCTCTATTAAACAATAATCCTAGAGATTATTGGTAAAGATGGCAATCATTGGCAAAGATGATAGAAAAAAATCATCAAGATTTCTACAATTTTTATTTGGAGAATTACCAAAAATGTTATATTGTCATATCCTCTAAAGCTTAGCATATATTAATGGTACAATAATATGGATGTTCAAGAAATAGGAAATGAAAACATTTTATATTAACTGTCAATGGGAAGTAAACCCCAGGTTAGTGCCTACGAAATGTTAAGCTTGGCTTGTGAACTAAAATTGGTTGTTATTAAAATAAGGGGCAAAATGGAATTTCCTCATGATAATTTTAACAGTTCTTGTATAAATGTATCTTCAAAATTCAGACCATCACCATATTAGCATTTAACATAACACATTTGGTTGACTTTAATCTATAGCAGTAATAATGACTGAAAATGTCACTACCATTATGCAACAAATTGTATGTTCTTGTGACATGCCCTTAAGCAGTCTGTCTGCTAAGTAGAACAGCAAATTACTGGACTTAGATAATCTTCTTTCAGCAGCTTGGTATTTGTATGTTTTTAATTGTCAAAGCAATTACAGAGCCTTCTGCTCAAGCAGCCTCTGTTATGTGGAGGGAAGTATAAAATATTTTTATTATTTATCTTTAAGTATTACGATGTATTTGTATTGTTGGGAGACAAGAGTTGAATTCAAACTTTGAAGCAAAACATTTTCAAAAATTTTCATGCAGACTTTAGGATTTAAAAGAGTTTTGTCTTTTAGAATGTTAAAGTTGATACTATTTTTTAACATTATAAGTAAGACTGAATTGTAAAGTGAGGAAGGAATAGTTGAGAATGTGGGAAGGCCACAGTTAATTTAGCAGAATAATGAAAGCCACATTTATGGGTTGATATAAAGGAGATCAGTGTTAATTTCTGTTGTGTGAGTGCAATCATATCCTCCAAAGGTTTATGTATGCAGTTTTTGTTTCTCACAGTACATTTCTCTCAACAGGTTTTAAAAACAGGGATGTAAATTCAGTATATTATAGCACTGGCGACTACCATTGTAAATATATATTTTTGTATACATAGATTTCCTGACATGTTTACCTCTTTAAATAATGGAAAATCTCATCTTGTAATTTTCGTTGAATTGAGGCACAGAATGCTTGCCTTTCTCAAGTCTGTGGTGACCAGGTTCTTCTTGGCCAATGTTCTTTGCAGATCAGTTATCAAGGGGTCATTCTAGCATCACCTTCATGAAAAGGCAATAAATATGAAATGGTTTCTAAAATGACAAGCAGTCTTACATAATGATTATTAAGGCTCGAATTGATGGTACCCTTGACACAGTGTTCAATATTTCCTGAAAAAATATTAGCCAGCACTCTCAGTGAATGACAGAAGAAATATAGACACTGCTAATGAATGGGCCAAAATTGGTCTCAGTGGCACAATATCTAGTACATACAGTCTAATTTGCATGAAAGCATCAACTCATCAATATCGTCAATTCAATCACACTTTGGGTCACAGGAAAGTCTCATCTTCCTCTTCAATGATGAGAGGCCCTGTCCTCCATGCCTAACTCTTTTGCTAAAAAGGATTGGTCAGTACCTAGGCTTCCTTTGCCATATCTGAGTTGAGTAACAATTTGAGCATTTAGAATAGTTCAAACTTTCTTGGATGCTTCTTTTATCCCACTGAGGTTTGATTTCTTAATTCATACATTGAATATATGCTTATTTCACAGTACAGCTGTATTTATGAGATGTTACATGAGAAGGACCTGGCTGAGTGGTACATGGCACACACTCAGTAGTAAATCCTCTTTACCTAGGGTCACAATAATGCCTAAGATACCCAGCTATGGCACCCCTGTCCAACCATGCTGGCAACATGCTGGAAAGCTTGAATGCCTCTCTCACTATTTCTAGGTCTTCATCACTTGGCTCAGCTTCCTTTTGTACTATACATTTTCTCTAACTGATTATTTTTTCCTCTCTTGAGTCTTTTCTGACATAGATTCTGTTTCCTAAGAATGCCTTTGAGTCTTGCTTACTTAAATAAAAATTCAACCTGTTTTTAAAGATACGGTTAGATTTTAACCAGATCCATAGAAATTATTTAATAACTGGGAGTCTGAAACACAGGCTTATTCAATCAATCCTCAATAAACACGTTTGTTAGATAAATAAATGAATGACTGAATAAAGAGGAGGAATTCTCAACTCTTCCAAATGTTACGGTGTTTGCTCATACCTATCTTGTAACAGATAATGTTACTTTATAACTTATTTGTTACTTAAGTGTTGCTTTAGTTTTCTTAAAATTGTGCACAGGAGATTCCTAGTGTATTAGTCAAGTTTCTCTAGGGGGACAGAACTAATAGGAATATATATATACATATATATGTGTGTCTGTATATATATATATAGTGTGTGTATATATATGTGTGTATATATGTGTGTGTGTTTTTATATATATATATATATATATATATATATATATATATATATATATATATGAGTTTATTAACTATTAACTTACATGATCACAACGTCCCATAATAGGCTGTCTGCAAGCTGAGGAGCAAGGAGAGCCAGTCCAAGTCCCAAAACTGAAGGACTTTTGAGTCTGATGTTCCAGGGAAGGAAGCATCCAGCACAGGAGAAAGGTGTAGGCTGGGAGGCTAGGCCAGTCTGTCCCTTTTCACATTTTTCTGCCTGCTTTATATTCACTGGTGGCTGATCAGATTGTGCCCACCAGATTAACGGTGGGTCTGCTTTCTGGAGCCCACTGACTCAAATGTTTATTTCATTTGGCAACACCCTCACAGACACACCCAGGATCAATACTTTGTATCCATCAATCCAATCAAGTTGACAGTCGGTATTAACCATCACACCTGGATAGAATATATGTCATGATCTTTGTATGCATATAGAGAAAATAAATTAGTTGTTTGTGAGAAATGACCAGTTTAATGAAGCCAAACAACTGATTAGTTAGTGTAAATATGGTCATAGAGTTTATTTTAACCGATGTATTTTGCATGGCTTTGGAAAAATTGCTTAACCTTTTGGGCTTCAGTTTTCTTGTATACTAAATGACTTAATTGAATAAGATAATCTCCAAGAAACCTTTCATCTCTAGAAATAATGATCCTGTAAAGAGAAGAAAAAAGTACATTAAAGTAACACCATATGAAAGAAGCAACGTGCCTCTAAATATCAATATAATGGAGTGAGTTTTTACTCAAGTGTTATGTGTATAAGTCAGATATAGGCCAGTGAAGAAATTAGTGCAGAAACGCAGACTCAGAGTTTAATGATTTGCTGAAGCTAGAGACATGACTAGTGAAAATGTTTTTTGCCAGAAAACACAGAGCTAGTAAATTGATTGAAATAACATATCTGTTACAACTCTTTATGTTGCAAATAAGAGGAAAAAAATTCAATGTGGTTTAAATGACAAAAAAATCCATCAGCTCATATAACTGAAAAGTTAATACATTGTCATGATTTAAAGGAGACTTGATCTCAGAGGACTAAAGATTTCAGAAATAGCCCCATTTCTCTTCAGCTCTTTGCCTGGTCTCAAGTACTCCTAACAGTTTTGGATACCTTGGTTGATGTTAACAAAATAAATTTTGAATTCCAAATTTCACATTTTACAGTACTATAGCCAGGGAGGAATTATAGCATTATGGAAGCAAATTATCCCAGGATTTTGTGATAAATGTCTCCTTGCGTCTTATTAGCTTTATTTCAGTTACGTGTTGCTCTATGAGTCAATCATTGCAACCAGGGAAATAAGATACTTGGTAAGCTTAACCCATTCATTACTCATCTCTGGGGCATGAAGTGTGTCATCAAGCCACATTTACTAAGAATCAGAGAGAGATGATTTTCCAAAGATAATTTAGAAAGTTTTCAAGAGAGGGATATAGATTCAGGAGAGGCAAAAACACATGAACACCAAGTATTTTTTTTTCCTCATCAAACATTTACTAAGTATGTGCTATTTAACAAGTATCATTAGAAACTAGGAGCTCAGAGTACAGGGAAGGAAGCAGGCAATGGAATCTATAATGAGATGCAATGTGATTAGTACACTAAGTGCTCTGCCTAGAGAAGGTCAGGGATCTCACCTACTGGGCAGTGACTGTGTCCCAGGAGCTGGGCTAATTACCTCATAATTAAACCTTAAAGAGGTTGAATAACTAACAACATTAGTGCATTCGTGCAGTCATACTACACAGCTTCAGCTATTCACCTATCTTATACAAAGTTAAATTTATTGCAAGGAAACCAAGTAGCTCATACATTCAAAGAAAGAGATAGATAACCAGGTCTTGAACAAGAATAGCAACTAAACCAGCTTTGAGGATCTCAGAAGTGGGGATTCATAAAAGGACTTTTAATAACTGCTATGAGGATGATTGTGAGAAACTCTAATGCTAGAAGGTGACAAGAGAGGACCAAATTGCGGGAGGAGGGGCGGGGGGAATGGACATCAAAATATACTCCCATGAGGTGATTGACCTTGAGCTGAGTACTGGAGAAGACACAGATAAGAAAGGGGTTTAAAATGGTCCACCAGCAAGAAAGAATATTTAAACTCAGAGGCATAGGAGATCATGCTATTGTCAGGAGCCTTCAAATAACTCGTTTGATTCGAATTTTAGGGTACCTGTGGGAGAACTTGGTAGTATTTACCTTGCAAAGTGGGTGGGTGCCTCATTCTGAAGGGCCTTTTATGAAATGGCAAGGAGTTTGGACTTGTTTCTGCAAATATAAGGTGATCCACTGAAGGATCTAAAGATAAGAAGTGACTTGTTTCAATGTACATGATTGGCATCGTGAAGATAATTAACTGGAGAAGGGACAGAAACAAGGATAGGTAGAAAATATTGATATCAATGGATAAATGTGAATGTGAGGAAGATGAAGAATCTATAGTAATGGCCATATTGCTGTCTAGAGAAAAATGTGTGGCGATACTTTTTCCATTCTCTTACTTATTAAAAAAGAGGGAATAGAGAGAAAGGAAGATGAGCTTTCAATGGGTAAGAAAGTTTTAGAAATATTCAGATGTCTCCAATTGAAGATACCTAGTTAGAAGTTGAGATATAAGTTAGAAAAAAATTTGTAGAGTTAACAACCTATGAAAATATAGCTGTGACCCAGAAATGTACGTAAAGTTAAAAGAGCAGAGAGCTAATGATGAAATAGTAAGAAATATCAACATTTAAGGGCTATGTGAGAAAAAGAATACAGAAAGACACATGGAAGGAAAATCAGAATAAAATTGTGTTATCTCAAGATTATAAAATAAAAAACCAGGCCAAATGGCACCAAGAGGTTAAGAAATGGAGAAAACAACCTGTTGAATTTGACAAATACATAGATCATTAGTGATATTAGGGGAGATGCTCTGTGACTTGATGACAGTAGAGGTCAGATATGATTGGTTAAGGACAGAAGGTAAGAAAGCAAAGACATTGAGTGTCAACCAATCTTTCTGGAAGTGTGTCCATGAAAGAGAAGAGAAAGAGGGTGGTAGGACAAAGGAGGAGGAAATGAGATTCTTTCAAATGGCAAGTATTTGATAACAATTATATATTGTGTTTTAATTGAGAAAAATATGAAGAAATAATAAAAAATTAAGATGAGAACAGTGACAGGAGGAAAAGAATATAATTAGTGAAGAGAAATTCGAGAGAGAGAGAGAAGGGCTGAGACTCAGGGGACAAGATCAGGCTTGAAAAGAGGGAGAGATATGTTTTCAGTCCATAGGCCAACGACATTTGGCTCTATTGGATTTCAGTCTTGAATTTCTGAGAAAGAAATTTCTGAGCATTAAAGGAAAATTGTGAAAAACCCATAATAGAGGTTTGATGGGTTATAATACTCATCTTTGAATGATATTAATGTCGTATTAGCCAGAGTGGAACATTTTATAACTTCCTTTAGAAGGTCTTGTTTCTGCGGTGGAGTGTGAGCATAAAGAGAATTTTCTCTCTTAATGTTTATAATTGTATAAAGAACAGGCTGGCCTGATCCTCTCCAGATGCTGTTTTCTTGCTTTTCTAATTAAATCCAGATGCGTGTTCCAGCTTGAAAAAAAATAGGTGTGCTAATTATTTATGTATAAATTGTGAGGAAAATTATTTACTTGTATGTTTGAAATTCACCAAAAGAAAAATATGAAGTATTTATTTTGTTTGTTGCACCTGTGTTTTAGAGAATGTGCAGCTGTATAACAGAAAAAAAAAATAGAAAAAATAAAACTTTGTGATTTCATCAAATTAGGAATGTGTGTTTTAAGGAAATCATTCATTTGCAATGTGTTTCGACTCCCCTGGGCTTGTTTAAGAGAGCTTACCATTTCTCCATTGTTTCCCCTCCTGCCGACTGACTCTTAGCAATGAGTTGGAATGTCTTATTTTGTCGTTGAAATTGAAAGAGCTGTAATAGAGAATTAAATGAACCTGTGAGAGTCTTGTCTCATATTTAGTCTGAGTAATTTAATTTCTGTATGTCTGCCTTCAAATGACAATTATTTTTAATTGTTTTGTCCTACGGAGATGTCCTTTTGTTATTTCTACTTTCAAATTTCTCTGTTTTTTTTTTTTTTCTTTTTCTCTGATTGTCGTCATTGTTAATATTTCCAGAGACTTACAGAGTGGATCCTTTTAGGTCAACTTAGCATATGATTTTACAGGTTTCGTTAATGAGTTTTTCTCCTGAAAGTTTAGTATAAGCTTTTCCATCAGGATGTTCCAGCTATCAAGCCATGTTCTTTCTCTTCATTGTATCACAGTAAATTACATTTGCATAGCACTTGACAGTTTATAGCCTCTCAATATATAATGTCTTGCTTTATCTCTCAAAGAAGACTTTGGTGTCGAAAGGCCATGGATGGTCTCAATTTTGTGAAATTAGCTAGAAACAGTACTGGAATGATAGACAGGAGATGTGGAATATAATCCAGGGTGTGACACTAACTTTATGTCTTACTCTTTTAACAGTAAAATTTAGTATTGTGTTGAAATTAGTCGTTACTTAAAATCTTTTCAGTTCTATAACCGTTGTTTAAAAATAAATATTATTTGTAACCACCAGACGTAGGTAGTTGGAATCATCTGAGAGTATCTAGAGGAAGTTGGTGGTGAAGTGCATCTTTCCAGCTTTCCTGTCACTTTCCATGAGCCTCTGAGGCTCCTGGAGATCATGCTTCTAGATTTTACCTCAGGTTCCTTTCTCCTCCAATTCTGTTTAATCAAGTTACAAAAAACAAAGCTTTAGGAGCAGAAATAACAAGGTGGGATTTGTGGGCCAGATCCAGCCTGTAGGTGTACTTTTGCACACAATATTTTTGAAAGTGTTGAGTTAGATGGTAAATTAACAAATTAAAGGGTTTGACTTACAAATTGGGTTGTATGTGGTTTTTTAATGGTTATACTGGAAATATCAGAAAATCTGACACACTAAACCTAGGCAACAATCAACAGGGGCTGTGTAGGAATTCTTTCTTTTAAATTAGGCTTGGAGTCACCAGTTGGCCCTCATCCTGGTATATTTAAGTGGTTTAAATTGTCCACTTGGTTCCTGTTGGCTTTTTGATTTAAAACCCCTGACTTAGACAACTTATGAAAGGACATCAACCTCTGTCTGGTGTCGAATTCAGGACTCTCATTTTTCAGGTTTAATTTTACATGACTCCTCAGTATTGTCCATAATTTTACATCAGAAGCAATGCTCCATCTGATCCTGTCATGAGAATCATTGAAGAGTCTGTTTGTGTCTTAACTCTTCTTTCATTTTTTAATATTAGGATCATCACTTGGAAAATAAGGTAAAGGCACTTCCTGTGTTCCTACACATGGGAGGCCTCCAAGTTACCAAACTGCTGCCAGTGCGTCTTTAGTCTATCATTTTCTCATCTCAGTCAACTAATGAGTATAGAACTCATTGGGTTTCACTTGCTCCTCAAGGAGTCTCTATTACATTCCATGCACAATTCAGAAAAGATGATGCATTTTCTAATTGGCAGCATAATTTTAAATATGGCCATCTTCAAGCTTTTTAATAGGAAGTCACTTAATGATAAGGATTGGTTGCATGTGTGTGCACATATGTGCTGATTCCTTACCTTTCTGGGGATCCTTCCTTCATTGAATATGATAGGCTGGAAACTTTCAACCTGCTTCAATATGAAAACAATTTTTGTCTCTTCATTTGAAGATAAGCCTTTCTTACTTTTACTCTTGAGGAAAGAAAGCCCTCCCTCTCTTTTTCTTCCTGAGGTGGAGGACTGCTAGTGATTCAGGCTTTTGATTTTATAATTGTTAGGATTCATTGTGAATAGAAAAGAAGAGAATATAGCCTCATGAAGAAATTTAATGTGAAGAGAGAATGAGCACCAACAGAAGATGGGAAAGCAAGGAGGTCCTGGCATGTTTGTATTCAGGTGTGTGCGTGCATGTGAGTGTGTGTGCACCTGCAGATAGGCTAGTGTTATGAGGACCAACCATCCTGCTTTGCCTGAGACTGGGTTTCCTGGCATGTGGGACATTCAATGCTAGAACCAGAAAAATCATTAACTGGCATAAGTTGGTCTTCCTCGCTAGCCTGCAACAATATTTCTTAATTGCAGCCAGATTTACCCTCAAGGAAGTTTCTTCTCACCATGAACACAGTCTGGACATGAACAGAAACTCCAATATACTCTCCCTTGGAAAATCAGATGTCCCTTTTCTGTCACTGAAGAGAAAAAGATTCTTGATAACTGGATCTTCATTTATTCTCCCCAGCTAATCTGTGACCATCTTGTTTCTCTTAGGAGACTTATAATTCCTGATTCCTAGGTAAATCCTGAGGTCCCTTGAATTCTTCTAATCTTAGAACCATTTCTTTTGATTATAATAAAAAATGCCTTAACCAGTATAAGAGATTGCCATATTAGGTGCCACAATCACCATTAATTCCAGTATAGTTGTCAATGAAAGAGGAAGGGATGTTGTCTAGGAAAGTCTAGAAGGGTGTACCTCATGATGAAACTATTTTAAGTGCCCAAGATGCTGTTATGTAGCGGAGTGTCTGCCAGTTGACGCATCAGAGTTCACAAGAGCAATGGCCTTTGTCACTTATACCCAGGGCCTGTGTCAATCAATTCTACTTCAGGTAATGAAGATGACATGCCAGCACCTTACCATTAATGGCCAGGAAGGAGTGCCTGAACTTTTCTGGCACTCCTAGATTTTTCTCTGGATTTGTCTAATGAAGTAGACTTCTCACTCACTCAAGGTGCTAACATGCCTCTAGATTGAAAGCTGTAGGGGCTGACCGCTTAGCAGGATGGTAAAGACATTTCCCTTGCTCTTCTACCTGGGGGTGAAATAACTGAGGTTAGAACTTCTGAGCTGGGATATGACTGCTTAAGACCCTTTTATATTATTCTTTCATAATATCAGTATACATACTCTTTCAGTGCTGCCCTAAATTATTTATTTTTAACATTCTAACCCTTTACTTGCTCTTAGAATTCAAAAGATAGTGTTTTCAAGTTTTATAAACTTATCTGCTGGAAGGGAGACCAGTTTTAATTTTGCATTAAGTGAGATTGGTGACTGCTTGATGGCAAGTGTAGATACTACATACTTGCAAAGGTTATTAAAATAATTTCTGTGTTCCTACCTTCTAGGAATCATAACATCCTTTATGATACTCCTTTGGAAAAAGTCTACCTCTAACACCTGTTATTGTTGATTCTGACTTGTTTTCTTCTCACTTAGTCTTATTCTTTCTGTCATACAATATTAGTAATTATTCAGTGGACATGGCTCTTCTCAAGTATGATGCCCCAAGACTTTGTATCCAGGGTACAATTTTGTGATTAAGAGCCATGATTCCAGAACTGGGTTTACCCCCAAGCTTATCATCTGGCAGATGGGCACGTGATGTAAGTCTTACTTCTTCAGCTGGAAGGTGGTGATGACAATAGTACTTACCCCACAGGATATATGGGTTAAATGAGGTGATATATTTAAGGAACTTGAAACAGTGCCTGGAACCCAGTAAATTCCATATTCATTGACTATTCTTATTGTTGTACAAAAAAAAGTGATTTGAGGTTATCCTTTAAGACCCGTTTCAACAGATTTTTTATTTACCTCTGACTCTAAGGTTTTTTGTTGTGAATATGTGCATGTGTGTTTGTCAAATTTTCTCTATTTTTTTAAACAAAATGCTGATTTAAATTTTACTTTTTAAAATGTCCTTTTCTTAATAAATTTATAAAAGAATAAACTAAATTACACAAATCTGTTCTCAATAATAGGAATATAGTTTTCTTCAGTGGGTGAAATCCCTAGTTACAAAGAGAAAATCTAATTGATCAAGACTAAAGAATCTTGATGTGTCATATTAGCAAATAGGTTTACACCTGTCTTCTCTAAGCAACAGCAAATAATCCTTTCACATTTAGATAGAGAGTGTCCTTTCCTCAGGTATAAGTGATCAGTATAGAAGTTTGAAATACTTCTGTGAAGAATAAAGCATGGTCTTTTACCTAGATAGATATGGCTTAGAGCAAGTGATATAAGATTGAAGAAAAAAACCCAAATATTTATTTTGGAATAGTTACCATTATTATCATTTATAAAGCTTTTAAAATGCCTAATCATGTGTATTACTGCTCTCTGTGTACTAAAAATAAAGTCTTAAATAACATTCTACATACTTATTATTTGATATCTTTTGTTGGTGTATGAGATACCATCAGTGGAGGCAGTTAAAGGCTCAGTGTTAAATGTAATGTAATTGTTATAACTTTTCAATAACTCATTTATTAATTCATTCATTATATTCTTATTGAGTGTGTACTCTGCATCAGGTGCTATGCTGTGTGTTAAAAGCTCAGCATTGTGGAACCATCTATTGGTTACCACCAAATATAGACTTTTCCTTATTTTTTCTCCCACTAGTAGAAAACAGAACTTGTTTAGGGCTATATCTAGCAAACTAGATTTGGCTGTATGATATAATTTTGGCTGGTATTATATAAGCAAATATCTTCAGAATGAGTCTGCCTGTGAAATTATCAGTTTTCTGTTTAGAAAGTTCATATTTGGCAGACACATGCCTTTCTTTGTCTTTTTTCCTCTCCCCATTCTTCCTTCCTAGCAATGGGATGCAATGAAGGGAGCTATAACACCCGTATTATGATGATAAGAATAGAAAGCAGGGATAGCTAAGCAGATAGATCAAAATAGCCTGGTTTGTTACTTCCTCAGGTAGCTAGATTATGTCTGGATTCCAGATTTTGTTGTCTGAAAAGTAAGCTTCTCATTGCTTAAGTCTCTCTTATAGGTTTCTCTCATATGTAGCCAAGTACAATTCATGATGATATAGTAAATAAAACACATGATGTTGTCCTCAGCAAACCTACAGTTTTACAAAAATTAGAAATAAATTTTATTCTCAAGTGAATGTCAATTTACTGCTAGTGACTGCCTGTAATATACTTTGCCATATTGACAATGATTCTGAAGCTTCTCCTAAGTCTATTGGCAAAAAGTGCAGTGTTTGATCAGCAATAAGCAGAGCGGTGGAAGGAGTGATTTATTTGCTATCCTTGGTGGGAAATATACCTGTCTATATAAGTGTCTCCTGGCTAAAATTTTGTAATAGAACAATGTATAAAGTTAATATGCTAAGCAAATAATTTAAAAGCATGTAGAAAATAAAGGTTTGGTGTAAGCTCAGTGATCTGTGTTTACTTGTGTATGTAAATTATGTCTGGTTAAGTCTAAGCCTTAATATATATGGAAGTTCGAAATGCTCATGGAAAATGCATATTATGAGAAAACTACTCATGGACTTCAACATTTTTTGCACCAAAATAAACTCATCGTACCTTGGTATAACATGTAACATGTCTGAACAGGATTTACTTTGAGGCAAGAAAAAAAATAAGAACTCAGTTTGAAAAGAGCCCTTATCAGAGCAACATGAATTCTGTTCAAATTTAAGCAAGGACAGAAACATTGAGTTTACATCGACACTTGAGTGGCAGACTGATGAAATCATTGATGCTTTATGAAAAGTTTATGGGGACAATGCCCACAAAGAAATCAGCAGTTTATAAATGGATAACTTGTTTTTTGTTTGTTTGTTTTTGTGGGTTTTCTTGTTTGTGTGTTTGTTTTGAGATGGAGTTTCACTCTTGTTGCCCAGGCTGGAGTGCAATGGTGTGATCTCGGCTCACTGCATCCTGGGTTCAATTCTCTTGCCTCAGCCTCCCAAGTAGCTGGGATTACAGGCGCCTGCCACCACGCCCACCTAATTTTTTTTTTTTTTTTTGTATTTTTAGTAGAGTTTCACCATGTTGGCTAGGCTGGTCTCGAACTCCTGACCTCAAGTGATCCACCCACCTCGGCCTTCCAAAGTGCTGGGATTACAGGCATGAGCCACCACACCCGGCCAGATAACTTGTTTTAAGCAGGGACAAGATGGTGTCAAAGATGAAGCTCATAGTGGCAGATCATTGACATCAATTTGTGAGGAAAAAATTCATATTGTTTGTGCCCTAGTTGAAGAAGACTGATGGCTAACAGCAGAAATGATGAAAACTTAATAGACATCTCAGCTGGTTCAGCTTACACAATTCTGACTAAAAAATTAAAACTGAGCAAACTTTTCACTTGCTGGGTGCCAAAACTTTTGCATCCAGACCAGCTGCAGACAAGAGTAGAGCTTTCAATGGAGTTTTTAAACAAGTAAAATGGAGATCCTGAAGCACTTCCTTGAAGAATTGTAACAGGAGACAAAACATGGTTTTACTGGTATGATCCTAAAGACAAAGCACAATCAAAGCAATAGCTACCAAGAGGAGAAAGTGGTCCAGTAAAAGCAAAAGCAGACTGGTCAAGAGCAAAGGGCATGGCAATAGTTTTTTGGGATGCTCAAAGAATTTTGCTTGTTGACTTTCTGGAGAAAGAGAACATCAAAGAACAAAATCATCTGCTTTTTATGAGAGTGTTTTGAGAAAATCAGCTAAAGCTTCAGCAGAAAAACATCTGGGAGAACTTCCCTAGAGAATCCTTCTCCATTACAGCAATGCTCCTTCTAACTCCTCTCCTCAAACAAGTGCAATTTTGTGAGAGTTTCAAGGGGAAATTATTAGTCATCCACCTTACAGCACTGATTTGGTTCTTTCTGTTTCCTAATTTAAAAAATATTTAAAGGGAACCTATTTTGCATCACTTAATAATGTAAAATAATTGTATTAACATGGATTAATTTCCAGTACCCTCAGTTCTTTAGGGATGGACTAAAGGCTGGTATTATCAGTTACAAAAGTGTTTCAAACTCGTTGAAGCTTATGTTGATAAATGAACCATATTTTTTTTTAACTTTTATCTTTTAATTCTATTTTTTCTATGAGCTTTTGGACATTCTTTCATATGGTATGTGTACATGTGTGCGTCTGTGTGTATGTGTGCATGCACACACATACCAGTCTTTTTTTTTTCCTTTTTTATAGCATGGAAGGACACAAATTCAAATGGACATGTTAAGAACTAATAAGGGCCAAGAAAAAGAGATTGGAGAGGAATATAACATTGTTTGTGCCCTTGAAGAATGTATTATCTAATGGAAGAAATAAAATGAATACAAAATGTAAATAGCATATACTTAATATACTTTATAATATATAGAAAGTGAAATCCAAAATTTATCAATTCTGTATGAGAAAAAAATAAAGGTTTATTTAGACAAAGTAAAATAAGGAAAATCTCCTAGTTAAGACTGATCTTGAGTATATAAATCAGATGGGCACATAGAAAAGAATAGAGAGCATAGTTCTGATGATGAGAATGATTCCTACAATAGCCATGATAAAAACAAAAGCAAGTTGCACATATACAACAATAAATACATCAACTCTGCTGGAGCAGAGATCCCAGAAATCAAGGTGGCTGAGATTCAGAGAGCAAAATAAAAGAAATATGCTTGGGTGAGGCAAAGACCTATACCTGGGGATTTTCAAAGTTCAGATGAAAGAGTTTGAATTCTATAAATGAACATTAAAGAAGTAATTTCTCTTCCTCTCTTGTTTCATTTCAAAAAACAGTTTCTTTGGAATTTGTCTGTTTATGTCCTTCTCATTTGGTCAAAGCGAGGCACAGAATTAAGGAAGAATGAAATAATGAATATATAAAGTTTGCAATTTGCTGGAAGGTAGATTATTTTAGTGCAAATTCTGCTCCATATTTATCTATCTACCCACCCACCAATACAAAAACAAACACCAGAAAGCAATTTTTTTCTTTTCCTCCATTCTTTTCTTCCTATCTCACTCTTCCAGATTCCCTTTTTATTTTTAAGCAAAAGATTTCTTGTACATCAAATGGCTCTTTGAAAACAACATGCACTGAAGTAAAAGCAGGTCAGCCCAAAAGGAAAAGGCACACTTATTAGAGAACACACAACTGTGAATAAAGAGAGGGGAGCCTTTCCTTCTATGAAGAAAAAGTTTCCTAAAAGGGCAAGGGATGCTTTTGAACCCAGTGACAAGACTGTCTTTTAAATTCCCAAAAGGTCATATAATAATTGAGATTTAGTGTTTTTTTTTTTTCCTAGCAGCAACTTCTACTAAGTGAACCAGTAAAAGTTAAGCACTTAAATTAACCGAGCTGAACATAGACCTAAACACCCCTAAGGCAGAAAATGACTTTTGCTTTGACTCTCCAAACTTTCATATCCCTAGTGACTATGAACACATGCCCCAAAGTCATCGCAGCTCAAATGCAAAACACATGAGATATTAGAAGCATTTTCAAACGTTGATTTCCACTTTTCTAGAGCTGTTATTTTACAACAACTTGGAGTTTGTCTTGGCAAAATTTCCAAAGACCTCAAAATTCTAGCTCTATCTCCCATTGCTGACTTTAATTCTCCTTTACAGTAACCACTTTTCCTCTCTAGCAACCATACATTTCTGCCTTGAGTCCTTTGGCTATACTTTTTCCTTTACCTGGATTAAGATTTCTACTGGTAAAGCACTAACCACCTTCAATATTTAGCTCAGATATTGAGCTATCGTCTTTACTGAAGCTTCCATGGTATCCCCTAATCTGAATTGGCCTGAATGATTATAGCAATTTGTTATGTTCCTGCTGCTCTTATTAACCCGGTGTCATATTACTTGTCCATCTTTCTGTCTTTTACTTTTCAATACCTAGATTCTATGCTCCCTGGGGAAAAGAATGTGTATCTTTTTTATTTTCATGTTTTTTAAAAGAGGTTGGATCACATGGTTTTGAACATAGCAATTTTCCTATCGAAATCCATTGAATTAGACTGTACATTTAGCATTAACGTATTCACAATTTATGAAGCTCTACCTCTATCCTTGAAAAAGATATTTAGTAAGCACCTATTAGTTGACGTGAAAGACAAATGAATGTGTATGCGTTCACAAACATGCACACATACACATATCTGTATATATATTATTTATGTATACATATTATGGGATTGTGTGTATATACGATAACCTCCTTGAAACTATTAGACATATAAACAAAAAACAATTTGCAAATAATATGCAATTCAACAGAGAAACAGAAATTTTCCATTTTTCATCTATCAAATATAATGAAATCAATCTAAAAAATACCTTATATATTACAAATGAGATTCCTAAAAAATCCTATAAAATTTCCAATTGTGTATCTTACTTGAGGTGTAAAAAATGCCAATATATTTACAAAATTGTGTTTACATGTTTTTGAATGCTGAAGCCATAGTAGATGAAGTTAAATTCACTGAACATTGCATTGAGGCAAAATAGTTGCTTCTTCCAACATACACAGTAGTTTCATGTAGCCTTTGAAAATCCCAAGTTGCCTCCTTCTTTTTGCTTTGGCTACATCTCTTTATTCTACCTCCAAAATTTTATAATCCAGATGAGACATTCTATCCATAAAGAGATGGATTAAATTCTAGCTCACCAATTAAGGGAAAGGTTTTTTAGAGGCTTGACTCTCAAAGGAGGTAAAAGGGTTAGCACAATTATTTGGTGTAATTTATTCCTACACAACTGTACTTCTCTCTGCCCGTATATCTCCCTCAGGGGAATTATTCTTGGCCTTAGGAAGACTCACAAACTTGGGTTACCTTAGTGATGTTCTGAGTACCAAGACTCTTTCTTTCGCTAGTGATGGAAACACAGCTCAAATTAGTTTAAATCAAAAACAAAAGATAGGCCAGCTAGATCCATGAGTTCAATCAACTCTTCCTCACAACTTAAACAATTCTATTGTGTATATTTGAGGTTTACAACATGATGTCATGGGATACATATAGTCACATAGATCCACATAGATACTTGTGGCTAGTACAATGGTTTCTATAATGAATCAGATTGACATAGCTATCATCTCACATAGTTACTTTTTGTGACAAGGGTAGCTAAAAATCTAGTTATTTAATAAAAATCCCAAATGGAATACATTTTTTTCTTTCTTTTTTTAATTGTACTTTAAGTTCTGGGATACATGTGCAGAACGTGCAGGTTTGTTACATAGGTATACACGTGCCATGGTGGTTTGCTGTACCATCAAAAAGTGAGTGAGGGTTATGAACAGACACTTCTGAAAAGAACGGCCAACAAACATATGAAAAAAAGCTCATCATCACTGATCATTAGAGAAATACAAATCAAAACCACAATGAGATACCATCTCACGCCAGTTAGAATGGCAATCATTAAAAAGTCAGGAAGCAACAGATACTGGAAAGGATGTGGAGAAATAGAAATGCTTTTACACCGTTGGTGGGAGCATAAATTAGTTCAACCATTGTGGAAGACAGGGTGGCGATTCCTCAAGGATCTAGAAGCAGAAATACCATTTGACCCAGCAATCCCATTACTGGGTATATACCCAGAGGATCATAAATCATTCTGCTATAAAGACACATGCACATGTATGTTTATTGAGGCACTGTTCACAATAGCAAAGACTTGGAACCAACCCAATTGCCCATCAATGATAGACTGGATAAAGAAAATGTGGTACATATACACCATGGAATACTATCCAGACATAAAAAAGTATGAGTTCATGTCCTTTGCAGGGACATGGATGAAGCTGGAAACCATCATTCTCAGCAAACTAACACAGTAACAGAACACCAAATACTGCATGTTCTCACTTGTAAATGGGAGTTGAACAATGAGAACACATGGACACAGGGAGGGGAACATCAAATACCAGCGCCTACCGGGGGGTGGGGGGTTAGGAGAGGGATAGCATTAGGAGAAATACCTAATGTAGATGACGGGTTGATGGGTGGAGAATACAATTTTATTAACTTTAATCTTCACATTTCACGTTAGATTTCTAGACTTGTTCATCCTACCTATTTGCTGCTTGTATGAATGACAAACATCTCCCCACTTCCTCTCCTCCCATTCCCCATGATAACCACTATTTTATTCTCATTTCTCTGTGTTTGAGCTCTTTGTTTTTATTATATGTAATAAATGAGATCATGCAATATTCTTCTTTCTGTGTCTAGCTTATTTCACTTAGCATAATGTCCTCCAGATCTGTCTAGGTTGTGGCAAATGGCAGAATATCCTCTTTAAAGGCTGAATAATATTTCATTATATATATACCACATTTTCATTATCCATTCATCCACTGATAATCACTTTAGTTGTTTCCATATCTTGACTATGGCGAATAATGCTGCAATGATTGTGGGAGTGCAGATATCTTTACTGGGTAGTGATTTCATCTCCTTTAGGTATATAACCAGAATAGGAATTGCTAGGTCATATGGTAGCTCTATTTTTAATTTCTTTAGGAAATTCTATACTGTTTTACATAATTGCTATACCGATATACACATCCACCAGTAGTGTGCAAAGGTTCTGTTTTTCTCAACACCCTCTTTGTTATTTCTTGTTTTTTGATAATATTCATCCTTACGTATGTAAGGTCAAATCTCGTCTTGGTTTTAATTTATACTTCTTTTATGATTAGCGATGTTGAGTATCTCTTCAAATACCTGTTGCCCATTTTTATGTCTTCTTTAGAGAAACATCTTCTCAGGTCCTTTGCACATATTTCAATTGTGCTATTCGTTTTTATTCTATTGAGTTGTTGAGTTCTTTATAAATTTTAGGTATTAATCCTTTATCAAATGTGCAGTTGCAGTGATTTATTCCCAGTTCATAGGCTGCCTTTTAATTTTATTAATTGTTTCCTTTGCTGTGCAGAAACTTTTTAGTTTGATGTAGTGCCATTTATATATTTTTGTTTCTGTAGCCTGAGCTTTGGTGTCACATCTAAAAATCATTGCCAAGGCCAATGCCAAGGAACTTTTCCCCTGTGTTTTCTTGTAGGAGTATGGTGGTTTCAAGTTTTATATTTAGCTCTTTTATTCATTTTGAGTTGATTTTTGCACAGAGTGTATGCATGTCTTCTTTTGAAAAGTATATGTTCATATCTTTTGCCCACTTTTTAATAAAGTTGGGTTTTTACTAGTAAATTTGTTTAAGTCCTTTATAGATGCTGGATATTAGACTTTTTTCAGATGCACAGTTTGCAATTTTTTTCCCCCACTCTGTAGGTTGCCTGTTTACTCTTTTGATAGTTTCTTTCACTGTGCAGAAGCTCTTAAGTGTAATTAGATTCCATTTGTCAATTTTTGCTTTTGTTGCAGTTGCTTTTAGCAGCTTCATCATGAAATCTTTGCTCGTTCCTATGTGCAGAACAGTATTGCCTAGGTTGTCCTCCAGTGTTTTTATAGTGAAGTCTTTAATTCATTTTGATTTGGCTTTTGCATATGGTGTTAAGGGGTCTAGTTTCAATCTTCTGCATATGACTAGCCAGTTATGCTAGCATCATTTATTGAATAAGGAATCCTTTCCACATTGCTTGTTTTTGTCAGCTTTGTCAAAGATCAGATGGTTGTAGGTGTGGGGCCTTATTTCTGAGCTCAAGCTCTCTATTCTGTTCCATTGGTCTATGTGTCATTTTTTTTTTCTTAACAAGTGCTATGCTATTTTGCTTACTGTAGCTCTGTAGTATAGTTTGAAGTTGGGTAGTGTGATACCTTCATGTATGTTCTTATTGCTTAGGATGGCTTTGGCTATTCTGCTCTTTTTTGGTTCCCTGTGAATTTTTAACTAGGTTTTTTTCTAGTTCTATGAAGAATGTAATTGGTTGTTTGATAGGATTACCATTGAATCTGTAAATTGCTTTGGACATTATGGCCATTTTAATGATATTGATTCTTCCTATCCATGAGTATGGCATGATTTTCCATTTGTTTGTACCATCTCTGATTTCTTTAATAGTGTTTTGTAGTTCTTTTTGTAGAGCTCTTTTACTTTCCTGGTTGGCTGTATTCATAGGTATTTTATTTCTTATGTGGCAATTGGGAATGTGATTATGTCCCTGATTTGGCTCTCGGCTTGCCTGCTGTTGGTGAATAGAAATGCTACTGATTTTTGTACATTGATTTTGTATTCTGAGATTCTGCTGATGTTGTTTATCACCTTAAGGAGCTTTTGGTCCAAGACTATGGATTTTTGTAGATATAGGATCATGTAATCTGCCAACAGGGATAGTTTGACTTCCTTTCTGCCTATTTGGATATTCTTTATTTCTTTCTCTTGACTGATGGTTCTGGCCAGCACTTCCAGTACTGTGTTGAATAGAAGTGGCAAGAGAGGACATCCTTTACTTGTGCTGGTTTTCAAGAGGAATGCTTCCAGCTTTTGCCAGTATGTTGTTGGCTCTGGGTTTGTCATAGATGGTTTGTATTATTTTGAGGTATGTTCCTTCAATACCTAGTTTATTGACAGGTTTTAGCATAAATGGGGTGTTGAATTATATTCAAGAGCCTTTTCTGCCTCTATTGAGATAATCATGTGGTTTTTGTCTTTAGTTCTGTTTATGTGATGAATCATCACATTTATTTTCCTATGTTGAACCAAACTTAAAATTCCAGGAATAAAGCCTACTTAATTATGGTGGGTTAGGTTTTTTTATTTTTTATTTTTTATTTTGAGACAAGGTCTCACTCTTTTGCACAGGGTGGAGTGCAGTGGCATAATCTTGGCTCACTGTAGCCCCAACCTCCAAGGCTCAAGCAATCCTCCCACCTCAGCCTCCCAGGAAGCTGGGACTACAGTAATGCACAATCATGGCTGGCTAATTTGTTTATTTTTTGTATAGTTGGGGTTTTGCCATGTTTTCCAGGCTGGTCTCAAATTCTATCCACCTACCTTAGCCTCCTAACACACTCAGATTACAGGCATGGGGCACTGTGCCTGGCTGATAAGCTTTTTGATGTGCTGCTAGATTCAATTTGCCTGTCATTTGTTGAGGATTTTTGCATCAGTATTCACCAAGGGGATTGGCCTGAAGTTTTCTTTTTTTGTTGTGTCTCTGCTAGGTTTTGGTATGAGTATGTTGCTGGCTCCATAGAATAAATTAGTGAGGAGTTCCTCCTTCTGATTACTGGTCTGTTCAGGGATTCGATTTCTTCCTGGTTCATTCTTGGGAGGGTATAAGTGTCCAGGAATTATCCAGTTCTTCTAGATTTTCTATTTTGTGTGCATAGAAGTGCTCATAATATTCTCTAATAATTATTTGTATTTCTGTGGGATCAGTGGTAATATCCCCTTTGTCATTTCTAATTGTGTTTATTTGGATTATCTCCATTTTCTTCTTTATTAGTCTAGCTAGTGGTCTATTTGATTAATTTTTTTTTAAAAAAACAACTCCTGGACTTGTTGAACGTTTGAATGTTTTTTCATGTTTCAGTCTCCTTCAGTTCAACTCAGATTTTGATTATTTCTTGTGTTCTGTTAAGTTTGGGGTTGTTTTGCTCTTGGTTCTTTAGTTCTTTTAGTTGTGATGTTAGGCTAGTAAACTAAGATTTTTCTTTTTGACATAGGCATTTAGTGCTGTAAGTTTCCCTCTTATCACTGCCTTAGCTGTGTCTCAGAGGGTCTGGTATGTTATATCTTTGTTCTCATTAGTTTCAAAGACCTTCTTGATTTCTACCTTAATTTCATTATTTACCCAAAAACTATTTAGGAGCAGGATATTCAACTTCCATGTAATTGTATAATTTTGAGCAATTTTCTTAGTCTTGGTCTCTAATTCTTTTGAGCTATGGTCAAAGAGAGTGGTTGTTATAATTGTAGTTCTTTTGCTTTGCTGAGGAGTGTTTTGTGTCTTATTATGTGGTTCATTTTCAGAGTATCCCATATGCCACGTGGCAGTGAAAATAATGTATATTCTGTTGTTTCGAGGTGGAGAGTTCTGTAGATGTTTATCAGGTTTATTTGATCCAATGCTGAGTTCACATCCAGAATATCTTGTTGATTTTCTGCTTCATTGACCTAATACTGTCTGTGAGATGTTGAAGTCCCCCACTATTCTTGTGTAGAAGTCTAAGTCTCTTTGAAGGTCTCTAAAAACTCGCTTTATGAAACTGGGTGCTCCTGTATTGGGTGCACATATATTTAGAATAGTTAGGTCTTCTTATTGAATTGAAACCTTTACCATTATGTAATGCCCTTATTTGTCTTTTTTGATCTTTGTTGGTTTAAAGTCTGTTTTTTTTTTTTCTGAAATTAGAATTGCAACCACTGTTTTTTCTGATTTCCACTTGCTTGGTAGATTTTTTTTCCATTTTTTTTATTTTGAGCCTATGGGTATGATTGCTTGTAAGATAGGTCTCTCAAAGACAGCATAACAATGAATCTTGGGTCTTTATCCAGCTTGCCACTCTGTGCCTTTCACTGAAGCATTTAGCCAATTTACATTCAAGGTTAGTACTGAAATGTGTGGATTTGATCCTGTTACCATGATGCTAGTGGTTATTATGCAGACTTGTTTGTATGATTGCTTTATAGTGTCACTGGTCTGTGTACCTTAGTGTTTTGGTAGTGTGTGGTAACAGTCTTTCCTTTCCATATTTAGTGCTTCCTTCAGCAGCTCTTATAAGGTAAGTTTGGTGGTAACAAACATCCTCAGCATTTGCTTGTCTGAAAAGGGTCTTATTTCTCCTTTGAGTATGAAGTGTAGTTTGGCTGGATATAAAATTTTGGGTTAGAATTTCTTTTCTTTACAAATGTTGGATATAGGCCCCCAATCTCTTCTGACTTGTAGGGTTTATGCTGCAAAGTCAGCTGTTAGTCTGATGAGCTTCCCTTTGTAGGTGATCTAACCTTTCTTTCTAGCTGCTTTTAACATTTTTTTCTTTCATTTTGAACTTGAAGAATCTGATGATTATGTGTCTTGGGGATCATCTTCTTGCAAAATATTTTGCTGGGTTCTCTACATTTTCTGAATTTGAATGTTGGCTTCTTTAGTTAGGTTGGGGAAGTTCTCATGGATGACATTTTGAAGTATATTTTCCAATTTGCTAACATTGTCCCCATCTCTTTCAGGGACCATGAGTCATTGATTTGGTCTCTTTACATAATTCCATATTTCTTGGAGGTTTTTTTGTTCATTTTCATTCTTTTTTCTTTATTCTTGTCTGCCTGTCTTATTTCAGAAAACTAGCCTCTAAGCTCTGAGATTCTTTCTTCTACTCAGTCTATTTTACTATTAGTGCTCGTGATTAAGGCTGGGTGCTGTGGCTCACACCTGTAATCCCAGCAATTTGGGAAGCTGAGGCAAGGAGATCACTTGATTCCAGGAGCTTGAAACCAGCCTGGCTGACATGGCAAAACCCAGTCTCTACTAAAAATACGAAACATTAGCCAGGCATGGTGGCACGTGCCTCTGGTCCCAGCTACTTGGGACACTGAGGCATGAGAATCACTGGAACCAGGGAAGTGGAGGTTGCAGTGAACCAGGATTGCACCACAGCACTCCTGCCTAAGCAACAGAGTGAGGTCCTGTCTCAAAAACAAACGAACAAACAAACAAACAAACAAAACTTCCGATTGCATTATAAAATTTTTATAATGTCTTTTTTGGCTCTATCTGGTGAGTTCTGTTCTTTTCTATACTGGCTATTTTGTCTGTCAGCTTCTCTATCATTTTATTCTGATTCTTAGCTTCCTTGGACTGGGTTTCAACATACTCCAAATCTCAATAATCTTTGTTTCTATTGATATTCCTAATTCTGTTTCTGTCATTTTAGTCATCTCAGCCTGGTTCCCAACCCTTACTGGAGAGGTAGGGCAGTTGTTTGGAGAAAAAAAACCAAGAACCTCTGGCTTTTTGAGTAGAGAACATTCTTGTGCTGGTTCTTTCTCATCTTTGTGGGCTTATGTTCTTTCAATCTTTGAAGTTGCTGACTTTTGGATTTTTTTTTTCATTATATTTGATGACCTTGAAGGTTTGATTGTGGTATAAGGTGGGTTTCAGTCTACTGGCTTTTTTCTGGAAGGTTTTAGTGGGCCTATGCTCAGCTCCAAACTCCTGCACTGCATGCTTTAACTCTGGGGAACTTGCATCAGCCCCGACTTTGTTTTCTGGCTCCTCAAGATTAGGAATCCACTGCACCGAGGGTGTCAAGGTGATCCCAGACTGCTGGTCACTACACTCCAGTGGGATGTGCCAGCCAGTGTTTCATAGCATGGTGGCAGTGGGATCTGGGCTCCTTATCATGTGCCAGCAGCAGTGGCAGTGGCAGCATGGCAGGGTGCACACTTATTAGTTGTGGTAGGGTGCTAGCACATGCTGGTGTTCCTGTCACCATGTGGACATTCACAACAGTGGCAGAGGCAGCACACCATATGGTGGGGTTGGGGGAGTTTGGGGTCCTACTGGTGACTGTGCATGGAGTTGTGTTGGTGGTGGTGTTAGCATGGGGGCAAAGATGAGAGGCTGGTGGGTGTCTAGGTCTGTGTGAGCTCTCGGTGTGCTGCAAGCAGGGGTGGTCACTCAGGGTGGGGGAAGGTCTGCTGTTCTCTGTGCCTAGTTTCACTCCTGCAGCAGTGTTGTTTCAGGGAAGGGGTGCTGGTGGGGGTGGGAGCTGGCTGGCTCTGTACATGCCAAGGCTCCAACTGCAATGGTGGTATGGGGGCAGGGGGCAGAGTGCACTCATGCTGCAGCAGTGGCAGGGGTCAGGGGGGATGCACACATGCTCACTGGCAGGGCAGGGAAGGAAAAACCCACTCATACACATATGCACCAACAAAGCGATGTTAGGGGTGGCCGTGGGCTAGGGAGAAGCTGCAGTGGTGGGCAGGGAGTGAGAGGGCTGTTGCATGGCCATGGGGGCTGCCCCATTGGAGCTCTCTGCCAGTCAGGCCCAGTCCACAAATGCAGGAGATGTGATGTGGGCACCTGAGGCTGCCCTGCACACAGATGTGGCCAGACTGGGGTGCTGGGAGAGTCCAGCAGAGCAAGAGGTGCTCAGGTCAGATCAACCCCATCTGATGGGCAAGACCACCCTGCAGATTTCAGGTCTGACAGTTCCCCTAGGGCCAGAGTCTCCTATGGGAGCAAGTCAAGCCTAGGGGGATGGGCATCCCTGGCCATGATCCAGTATAGAGGCTCCCACATCAAACCCTCTGGGCTTCACATCAGCTGATATGCTGCTTCTACCCTTTCTCTAAGAAGCTCTCCCTGCCAACTTGAGTGTCTGTGGTGGTCGAGAGGTCTCTTCCTATTGGGATTCCAGAGGCCCATGGTGGCAGCAAGTTGCTTCTTGCCAGTTCAACTCACCTGTTCCTCCAGAGCCATTGGAGTCCAGGAACAAATTCCAGTATGTGATAACCCCATGCAGAGTTCCCAGCTTCCTTCTCCTTCAACCTATCTGCTGTGTCTTTCCTCTGTCCACTCTCAGTGCCTTCCCTCTGAAGATCTGTTAGGAGTACACCAGTCATCTTGGTCCCTCAGTGGCAGCTTTTCACCTGGCTGTGTCTAGTCAGCCATCTTATCCAGCCTCCCCCAAGATTTTTCTTTTTAATGAAAGCATTGCAACTAAAAATTTTTCTCTGAGCACTGCCTTCACTACATTCAAAAAGCTTTGGTATATTGTATTTTCATTTTCATTAATCTCTAGTACTTTTATTTTCCTTTGTGAATTTTTCTTTGACTTTTTGGTTGTTTCAAAGTACCTTTTTTAATTTCCATAGATTTGTGAACTTTCTTGTTTTTTTGTTATTGATTTCTAGCTTCTTAACATTATGGTTGGAGAGGATAATTGGTATGATTTTAATTTTCTAAGGTTTATTGACACTTGTTTTGTAGACAAATATATGAGTCTACATATCCTCAAAAATGTTTCATGTGAATTTGAAAAGAATATATATTCTCTTACTGTTGGGTGGAGTGTTGTGTATGTTAGTCTGTGAGTGTGTCTGTTAGCATGTCTGTTCGTAATTGGTTAATCATGTTGTTCATGTTCTCTATTTTCTTGTTGACCTTCTGAGTAGTTATTCTGTGCATTACTGAAAATGCTGTATGAGAGTATCCAATGCTTACCATAGAGTTGTTTATTTCCTCCTTCAATTGTCATGATTTTCTTAGTGTATTTTTGAGTTCTGTTGTTAGGTACATGTATGTTTACACTTGCTATGTCTTCTGCTTGGATTGGTCCTTTTGCCAAAAATCTTAACATGCTTATAATTGTTATATTATCTTTACCATTTGACCCTTTTATCAATGTCAATATTTTTGTCCCCTGTAGGAGTTTTTAACTTAACATCTATTTTGTCAGATATTAACATAGGTGTTCCAGTACTCTTGTTTGCTATTTACATGGACTATCTTTTATATTATTTCACTTTCAATCAACCTCTCTTTATCTTTATATCTAAAGTGAATCTCATGATCAACACATTGAATCATTTATTTTTAATCTATTCTGCCAATCTATGCCTTTCCAGTGGAGAGTATAATCCATTTACATTTAAAGTAATTATTTATAAGGAAGGTCTTTTGCCATTTTGCAAATTACTTATAAAAAAGGACTTTGCCATTTGTTTTTTGTCTTACAGCTTTTTTTGTCCCCCTCCATTACTGCCTTCTTTTGTGTTTAACTAATTTTTTTTTGTAGTAAACTATTCTGATTTTCCTTCATCTCCTTTTGTGTGCTTTCTATAGATATTTTCTTTTTAATTACCATCAGGCTTAAATTTAACATCCTTAAATGCTTGTAGTCAAAACAACAACAATAACAACCACTACCACCATCTCTCCTGGTCCTTGAAGTTTGTCTCTGCGTTGGACACTCCTTTAGTGCTTATTCAAGCTGTTTAGCACTCTGCCTTAGGTTTCACTTCCTGCTTACATGGGGCCTTATTGTCAGTCACAGGTGAAAGATTAGTGTCTTCTTGCATCTTTTCTGGGTATATGTCTTGTTCTGGGAATGTGTATGGTCTTCTAGTTTCCTCAATAATATATGCAAGATTTTTTGGAAGATATTATTCCCATTGTATCTCTTTCCCCAGGCTTTTTCTTACCATACATTTTCATATGTCTATTGCTTGCTCTAACTGCTATCCCTTGCTTCAGGTGTCTGTGGCTAGTTTATTTGCTTTTTGAGTCTTTCAACAAACACTGCCCAGGAGTAACATTCAGCTCTGGGAAAACTCTGAGGTGGGTGAAACAAAGGCGGGTTTCTGAGATGATCTCTTAGAGATCCACCAGACAGGTAAAACTAGACAATCACAGTTCTTTGAAAATAAGATAGATATTGCTACTGTGGCACCAACAATCTGCACCAGGAAGGCAGGCTGCCACTTGTTGTCACCACTAAGCTGGGAAACAAGTGATGGTAGGTAGATAAGTTCAAATGCCAAATACTTTCTCACAAAATTTCACCAGCTTCTATCTTCATTGGTCATTCCCTTGGTCATATTACATTTTTTATAGGGTTTCAGAGTCTTAAAAATTTTGATTCTGATAGTTTTTTTGCTAGCTTAATTATTGCATGAGTGGAGAGAAACAGTTTTGGATTTCCCCACTCCGTCATTTTCAGTGATGTCACACCAAGAAAGATGACTTTTATATAATTAACAAGAAAGAGGCGGAAAAATGGAGGGATCAAGAAGAAAAATGGGAGTAGAATGAAGGACATTTTGATAGAGAGCAGCATATACACATTCACCAAGTGATGAAATATTCCCAAGATCAGGAAGACTCTTAAATAATTTTCTTTTCTATTTATTCTTTGGGAAAAATATTTTCCCAAAGTTCGGTATACACACAGTATCTTGCAGGACTCTGTGCTTTTCCAGTACAAATAAAACAACAACAATTGTTATGCAAGTTCTATAAAACTCACGATTTGAAAATGGAATAAAGATTGTTATAAAATTATAACCAACGAGCCCAAGTAGTATTAAATCTATATGAAAACACCAAGGGCATCCTGATCATCCTAAGTTGATTTAGACCTTATCAAAATATAAAATTTATACTAAATCAAGAGTTGACTTTGAAGGAATTCTTTGAGGTTTGCCAGGGAAGCTTTTACTTATCAGGAGAAGATAAAGATGCTAAAATACTTTTGTTATTTTCTAAAGTGCCAGTTATGACCATATGGCAGTAATGATATCTATAAGGATTATGGTGTAACATGGATCCTTTTTAGTGTCCTTCAGTGCTTACAGAAATGAAATAACAAAGTTAAGTCCCTTAACTTTAAGCTGAAGTAACAGTTTCAAACACTAGAGCATTTCCATGAAAGTGCTAAAATGAATTTGAAATTTTTTTGTAGTCATAGTTATTTCTGAAAATCAAACACAAAATTTAACTATATGTTAGCATGTTGATGAATTACAATAACAATTGAATTCACTGTCTTGTCAAGTTTTTTCATGTGAAAGCTAGGACACTGATGGGGAAGGATTTGGATCTTGGTTGGGAGATCTGGTTGGAGTGGGGAAATCTGGTTGGATCCAGATGAAATAGGGAATCTTGACCCCTAAATCACTTTTCAATACTCTTTCCAATGGACTTAATTTTCACTCTGGTACTTGAAAAAACAGTTTTACTTAATTTGGAAACCCTGTGAGAGATAACTTGGGTAAGATGCCTTGAAGGAGGAAACTCATTCTTCTTAAGACCTACAACCATCCCTTGTAGTTGCTATTTCATAACTAGAATAAAATATCAGTGTATTCTAAGGAGACAGGTCATTATGACCTTGGACAAATAGTTTATTGCCATAAAATCACAAAATGTTACTAAAATATTTTGGGAGAAATCTGTGGAAAATGTGTAGAAATATATCTAATTGTGTTAAATTAAAAAATGTCGTGGATTATATCACTAGATTAGGCCAAATTAAGTGATATGGCTAAACTTTCTAGAGATTTCAGATTTTGTGTTTTCTCATTCAGCTAGAGGTGGCCCTAAATCTCTGCAGCAATTTCAAGCTGTAATAAGGGCTACACTACCCCTTGTCCTTCCTGATCTAGCAGGTCCAGTATAAACCAATTGTTTAAAATATTTGTGGCAAGTGGAGATCCTGCATGGAGTCCCTGGGAAGCACAAAGAAAAGAATCACAACCCAGAGCTCTAGGATTTTGGAAGAAATTGATGCTTTCTCCTGAAGCTATTTTGAGTAAGAGTACTGGCTTGCTTTGGGGGTTGGTGGAGACTGAAGTTCTAACAAAGGGACATCAGGTGATCATGTGGCCTGAGCTTTCCTTCATGGGCCGGTTACAGTCTGACACACTTGGCTATAAGTTTGGGCATGCTCAGCAATATATATTATAACAGTTAAATGGTTCATAAGAAACTGAACTTAAGTGGGTCTGAAAGTTATGAGTAATTTGCATATGCTTGTACCACTCAAAGGTGGATAGCTGCAATACTACAGATCCATTTAGGGGTGCTCCCTTAAGGATAAGAGCAAAGGAAATTCTTCTCAGTGAGAGGAATAATTTTCATTACTTTCCAGGTAATTGCTAATAGTTTGTATGGATGGTTAAGGACACGACAGAAACAGAATTGTGTGAGTGGCAACAAGGAAGTCTGGGGAAAAGATGGGTGTTTCTCAGTATGGGCACAGATTGTGAAGATATTTGTGACCCATGTGAATGCTGATCAAAGTTTACCCATTGCTGTGGAAGACGTTAATAATTAGGTGGACAGAATGACACATTCTGTGGATGTCAATCAATCTCTTTTTACCACATTCCCCATTTCTTGGTCAACGGGCTCATGAGCAAAGTCATCAGGGTGGTAGGAATAGACTATACATGGCTTAACAACATGGAATTTCTCTTACAGGTATGACCTGGTTAATGTAACTGCTGAGTTCCTAGCCTGTAGACAACAAGTAGAAATACTCAGTTCTCAATATGACACCATTATTCAGGGGGACCATCTAACCATCTTGTGGTAGGTTGATCACATTAGGAAACCATCATGGAGGAGATCAGAGCTTTTGAGAGCACTATAATCCATAAACCCAGAGAACCACTTACCCAATCTCATGCCACTTTATATAGCATTTCTTTTGATCAAAGAACTAATTTCAATGTAAAGGAAGTACAGCAATGGCTCATACCTATGGAATCAACCAGTCATTCTAAATACCCCATCAACTAGAAGTTACAGAGTAAATAGAAATATGAAATGGCTTGCTGAAGACTCAGTTCCAGAGCCAACTGAGAGACAATACCTTGAAAGGATGAGGTTCTGACATACAAGATAAAGTATATATATTGAAGCAAAGGTCATTATATGATGCTATTTCTGCCATATACAAGACATGAATCTGGGAATCAAAGGATGAAAATGAGAGAGAGTTTTCTCATTATTATACTCAATAATACACTTGCAATTCTTGCTTTCTGTTCTAGCAGCTTTGGACTCTGCCGATTTGGAACTCTTAGTCTCCAGGGTGAACATGCTTCAACTATGGGACACAATATTGGTTCCATTGAATTGGAAGATGAAACTGCTACCTGGTTAGCGTGGTCTCTTTATGCCATTGAACTAACAGGCAGAAAAAAAGGTTATTCTACTCAATGGAGTGATTTCTCCCAATTACCAAAGGGAAATTGATTTGTTGCTGCGTAATGAGGATAAGCAGGACTAAATTTGAAACCCAGCAAATCCTCTAGTGTATTTCTTATTAATTCCATGCTCAATAGTGAAGGTTATTGGAAAACTATTGAAACAACAACAAATAATAGCATGATTGCTAACTCAGACCTTTCAAGAAAAAAGATTTGCATTACTCCAACAGGCAAAGAATCCTGACCAACTGACATTCTGGCTGAGGGCAGGGGAAGTATGAAATGAATAGTAGAAGAATAAAGTAGTATGTATTAGTTATGTTCTTGTGACCAGTTACAGAGATGACAAATGTGGTAACTTTGTATTTTTTCTTTTTGCTGGTTATATGCATGTGTTTATTGGCATGTGCTAACAATTTTCTTTTTCTCTAACCTCTTTCTTATTTTTATTTTTTACGCAACTTGTTAGAAGTTAACTTTAACCTTTGGCCTTTAGGTAATAGAATATACCATGGAAATGTGGTGGGATTTGAGTAGTACTCATTAAAGCCAGTGATGGATATAATGACTGTTGGGACTCTGCCTCTTGTTATTTTGGGGAACAGATGAGAACTTCACTTGTAAAAAGAATAGCCTTATCTTTTTAGGGGAAGGTATAAAGATATTTTGTTATTATAAAGTATAAATGTGTGTATAAAGGTGAATGTGGAAGCTGAGTAACAGAAAATGTGAAAATTGCCAGATACCAATTTATCTCTCAGTTCCAAACCCACCTTCATTACTTACTCTGTGATAATAGAGGTGAGCCTTGCAAATGCTTTTATTTTGCCAGCTGCTATGAAAGAGCAAATCAGTAGACGGCACTGGAGGGAGATAGGAGCAGAAAGAAGTTCCAATGTGCTTCTTGTGGCAGGCTCTTACTGTATGCATCACACATCCATCACTGGGCTCTTGAATTGTGGGTAGATTCCACAGCATCAGGCACCTGTTATACAGGTGGCTTCTCCAGGACCTGAGTGCTGCTGCTCACTCTGACCATCAGTATCAAGGAGTAAGCAGTTTCCTTATCACACCCTTGAACACCTTTGCAGCAAGTTCTGGGTTGCAACATTTCCCTGTAGAGCACTTCCCCTGGCATTTCAGAAGGTGAATTTCTAGCAAGTTCTGAAGGTGCTGCACCTTAGCAAACTTTACCATCTTTATCTCAAGCCCTGTGGTATTGAGGGGTGAGGTGGTGGGATACTCCTTCATTGATGTTCTCTTTATATCTACTATTCTACTATTCTTGTATTTTCAATACTATTTCTCATTTTTAGGAAGTCCTTCATTATGCCAATCTCCTTTCAAAGTTAGTAATTTTTATATCAAACTTCCCATGATTAAGTTACTGTATGGTTTCTGTCTTCTGACTGGATCCTGACTGATACAGTTGACTAATTGGCTTCCTGCTTGGTTTAAAATGTACTGTACCAGAAATATCCTCACCTTTGAAATATTTCCCATTATCTGCTATGAATGCTTGGCATTTTATATCTGCAGACCCATTTAATTTCATGGATTTTTATGAATATCTTGGTTCTGGATTTATGTTATATGCTGGGAAATAAAATAGAGTTTAAAAAATTCCTTCTTCCAGGCATACAGTGCAGATGTTTACAAGTAAAGTTTTAAAAATATGTATTTCCAGAGAGTTAATAGATTTAGCAAACATAAAAGCAATCATATAATTGACTTATATTATTTTTTCTCTCCTCCCTGAGCTGTTCACTAATATAGTGGAGTCAGGATACAGAAGATTTGCTTGTCTTAGGTCAGGCACAACAGGACAGCAGTTAGAAATAGAATAATCAGCATTCAGAAAAATTCCTAATTCCAAAATGAAATTACAAACTCAATGGTAGAAAACTTGGAAAATATAAAAATTTATAAAGAATGTAAAAGATCTAATGTTTATTTAGCTCCTTTCATGTCATAAAAATTAGACTGCATTCTTTTACATATTTTAATTGATAGATGCTCTAAAACTCCACCAAATGTGCGTGTGCTTTAAAAAAATTTGAAAAAATTAATATTCGGAAATATTAAGTAACTTCTCTAAAGTAGCAGGACTGGTATGCAAAGCTTGTGCATCTGCTTCCATAGTCTTTGCACTCTCAGTATGGAATAGAGCCTCCCCATTTTGGTTAATCAATCTTAATCCTAACTTGGTGATAAACATTGTAAATATTGTAACTAACTTCTAATTTTTTATTATACATATACAAAATGTATTTGCATTTATTATAGACATTTGAGTTAGAGTATGCATTTAATATTGCAGCCTTCTTATTTTCTTACCATTATGTCTTAAATATTTTACCACACAGTGGGTTATTAATATTATTGTACCACTGGACTAGTAATTAAAATTTATACTCTATTGGCTGTTTTCACTACTGCAGATGATGCCTCATAAGACTTTTTTTGTGAAACTTTAAATGATCTAAGATTATTTTTTAAAATAAAACCCTAAAATATATTCATACATTATCACTATTTATAGTAATATTTTGTCACATTTAAAAACATTATTATTTTAAATTGACACATAATAATTGTACATATTTATGGAGTACAGTATGATATTTTGATACATGTATACAATGTATAATGAGCAAATCAGGGTGATTAACATATTTATCACCTCAAACGTATCTATCACCTCAAACAGTTGCCATTTCTGTGTGTCGAAAACATTCAAAATTCACTCTTCTAGCTACTTGAAAATATAAAATAGATTGTTGTTTATTATAGTCACCCTAGAGAGCTATAAAACACCACAACTTATTCCTCATAGCTAGCTGCACTTTTGTATCCATTGACCAATCTCTAGTTATCCTCTCCTTTATTCTACCCTTCCCAGTCTCTAGTAGCCATTATTCTACTCTTCACCTCTATGAGATAGATTTTTGTAATTTCCACATATGAGTGAGAATATCTGGTATTTATCTTTCTTTTCCTGGTTTATTTCACTTAACATAATGCTTTCCAATCCCATCCATATTGTTGTGAATGACAGAATTTCATTCTTTTATATTGCTAAATAATATTCCATTGTGTGCATTGTATTGAGATACATTCTATACCTTGTTTACCAAGAATTTTTATAATAAAGTCATGTTGAATTTTATAAAATGCTTTTTCTGTGTCTATTGAGATGATCATATGGTTTTTGTACTTCATTCTCTTGATGTGGTATATCATATTTATTGATTTACATATGTTGAATCATTCTCAAATTTCTTCAATAAATCCCACTTGATCATAATCAATGATCTTTTTAATGTGCTCCTGGAATTGGGAGGCTAGTATTTTGTTGAGGATTTTTACATCTATGTTTATTAGAGATATTGGCATATAGTTTTTTTTTTTATTGTGTCTTTGTCTGATTTTGGTATCAAGACAATGATGATTTTGTAGAATGAGTTTGTAGGAATTTATTTCTCTTCAATATTTTGGGAAGTTGGAAGGAATTTGTATTAGTATTTTATTTTTATTTTTTATTTATTTATTTATTTATTTTTTTATTATACTCTAAGTTTTAGGGTACATGTGCACATTGTGCAGGTTAGTTACATATGTATACATGTGCCATGCTGGTGCGCTGCACCCACTAATGTGTCATCTAGCATTAGGTATATCTCCCAATGCTATCCCTCCCCCCTCCCCCGACCCCACAACAGTCCCAGAGTGTGATATTCCCCTTCCTGTGTCCATGTGATCTCATTGTTCAATTCCCACCTATGAGTGAGAATATGCGGTGTTTGGTTTTTTGTTCTTGCGATAGTTTACTGAGAATGATGGTTTCCAATTTCATCCATGTCCCTACAAAGGATATGAACTCATCATTTTTTATGGCTGCATAGTATTCCATGGTGTATATGCCACATTTTCTTAATCCAGTCTATCATTGTTGGACATTTGGGTTGGTTCCAAGTCTTTGCTATTGTGAATAGTGCCGCAATAAACATACGTGTGCATGTGTCTTTATAGCAGCATGATTTATAGTCCTTTGGGTATATACCCAGTAATGGGATGGCTGGGTCAAATGGTATTTCTAGTTCTAGATCCCTGAGGAATCGCCACACTGACTTCCACAATGGTTGAACTAGTTTACAGTCCCACAAGACAATGATGATTTTGTATCAAGACAATGATGATTTTGTAGAATGAGTTTGTAGGAATTTATTTCTCTTCAATATTTTGGGAAGTTGGAAGGAATTTGTATTAGTATTTTTTTAGTATTTTAAATGTTTGATAGAATACAGCAGTGAAGGCATCTGGTCTTGGGCTTTTCTTGTTGGGAAACTTTTCATTACTCACTCTATCTCATTACATAAAATTGTTCTGTTCGGGTTTTGTCTTCTTGAGTTAAATCTTGATAGGTTGTATATGTTCAAGAATTTTTCCATTTTTGCTAGGTTTTATGACTTGTTGGCATATACAGTTTACTCTTGAACAACATGGATTTGATCTGTGCAGATCCACTTATATGCAGATTTTCTTCCACCTCTGCCACCCCAGAAACAGCAAGAAAAACCCTCCCCCTCAGCCTATTCAATGTGAAGATGGCAAAGATGGAGACCTTTATGATGACCCATTCCATTAAAAAAATAGTAGATATATTTTCTCTTCCTTATGATTTTCTTAACAACATTTTCTCCTAGATTACATTATTGTAAGAATACTGTATACAATAAATGTAATACACAAAATTTGTGTTAATAGCCTGTTTATCTTATCAATAAGGCTTCTAGTAAACCATAGGCTATTACTAGTTAATTTTGGGGGGAGTTAAAATTTATATGTAGATTTTCAACTATGCAGAGTGTCAGTTCTCTCTAATGCTCACATTGTACAAAGGTCAACTCTAGTTGTTCATAATAGTGTCCAGTGATTCTTGTATTTCTGTGATATCTATTGTAATGTCTTCATTTTCATTTCTCATTTTAGTTCTTTGAATCTTATACCTCTCATTTCTTTGTTACTCTAGCTAGTTGTTTCTCAATTTTGTCTATCTTTTCAAAAAAACAACTTTTTGTTTTGTTGATCTTTTGTATTTTTTATTCTAAAATTTATTTGTATATTCTCTGTTCTTTATTATTTTTTTTTTCTTTCTACTATTTTGGGGTTTGGCTTATTATTTTTTTTCTAGTTCTTTGAGATGCATTGCTAGGTTGTTTATTTGAAATCTTTCTACTTTTTTGATGTGGGTGTTTATTGCTATAACCTTACCTGTTAATACTGCTTTTGTTGTATCCCATAGGTTTTAATATGTTGTGTTTCTATTTTTATTTGTTTCAAGAAATATTTTAATTTTCTCCTTAATTTGTTCATGAATTCATTAGTTGTTCAGAAGCATGTTGTATAATTTCCATGTATTTGTGCAGTGTTAAAAATTCCTTTTGCTATTGATTTTTAGCTTTATTCTATTTGTGGTAAGAAAAGATAGTTGATATAATTTTAATCCTTTTAAATTTCTTGAGACAAGCTTTGTGGCCTATTGTGGTCTATCCTGAAAAATTTTCCATATGCTGATGAAAGGATGTGTATTCTGCAGCTGTTGGATGAAATAGTCTATAAATGTCTGCTAGCTCCATTTGGTCTAATGTGCAGTTTAAATCCAAAGTTTCTCTGTTGATTTTCTGTCTAGATGATCTCTGCAATGCTGACAGTGGGGTGTAGAAGTCCCCAACTATTATTGTATTGGAGTTTCTTGCTCATTTTAGATCTAATAGCATTTATGCATCTGGGTGCTCTGGTGTTGGATGCATATAGGTTGTTATATCCTCTTGCAGAATTGATCTATTTATTATTATATAGTTATCTTCTTCGTCTCCTTTTACTGTTTTTCAGTTAAAGTCTATTTTACCTAATATAAGTATAACAACTTCTGCTCACTCTGGTTTCCATTTGTGTGGAGTCTTTTCACATCCCTTCACTTTAAGTCTATATGTGTCTTTATAGGTGAAGTGTTTTTTGTAGGCAGCATACAGTTGGGCTATGCTTTAAATCCATTAAGCCATTAATGTCAGCAATAATTGTGGGCACCTCTAGTGGCCTGGACTGTAGACATTTGTGGCAGCAATGGCAGTGATGTAGGTTGTTGATTTTCTTGGTGGAAAAGGGATATCTTGGGGTCCTCCTATTCTTGTTTTCCACACAATGGGGAGACTTAACCAAAGGGCTGGCTCTTGCTATCAGGTCTGATATGGCCTGCAAGCAGCTGCAGCAGTGCTGAGTTCTAGATGTAGGTACTCAGAGCAGCTGTGGGATTGAGGTCTTAGCCTCAAGATCTTGTGATCCTATTGTAACACTGGGAATTAGGGTTCAGATTTGCTTTCTGTGGCTAAGTTAGATTTATGATGCCCACAGAGTCAAGATCTGTGACTCTGGGGTATGCCCTAGCAGTTTGGGCCTGAGAGGTTGCATTGTAGTGGTGATTCTACCCCTGGGGTCAGGGTATAGCACTGGCCCAACTCTGGGTAAGAAAAGGTGCTCTGAAGGTTTGGGTCTGGGAGGCAGGGTATGGCTGTAATTCAGGAACCTGAGTAACAGGGCTCAGTGGCACTGGAGTCCCAGGAAATGAGACTCCATGTAGGAGTGATTCCAGACTTTGAAATGGCAGGGCTTGGCAGTATCTTAGACTCTGTGAGGCCAAGCTCAGTAGCAGCAAAGACATCAGAATTGCAGAGCACAGCTGTTGTTTGAGCCCTTGGGGTCAGGAAGCAGCACAACACTGACTCCACTACCCAGGGAAAGGGGTATATCAGAAGCTCCCAATCTAGGTTACTAGTCCATGTCCAGAGACATAAGGTATAAGAGTTGTTTGGCTCATAGGATAGAATGTCTCAGATCAGCCACTCCCTTGTTTCCCTGTGATATGTGGTACTAGGTCAGCTCAGCCCTGGGATGCATAGCTGCTCGGCTCAGCCAAGGCCCTGATTCCTAAGGGTTGCTGTCCCACTTGATCTCAGGTGTTGGGGGCATGACTTTTCTGGATGGCCCAGGCATGGTTTCCCTGGGTTGCAGGGTGTTGCTTCAGCTTAGGTATTAGGGTGTGTGACACCTCTGTGCAGCCAAGATGCCATTCACTGGGAGTTAGCAAACTGCTTCAACTCAGCCCCAAGGATATGTGGCTGCTCTAGGCAGCAGCAAATGTACTGTATTCTCAGGAAGCAAGGTTCTGCTTTAGCTGGGGCACAGAGGGGTATGACTGCTCTGGACAGCCAAGGCACTATTTCCCTGGGGTGTCCTGCATTGCTTCAGCTCTGGCACAGGGGGACAGGATGCAGCGGTGACAGAGAGGGGTTTATAGAGTAGATGCACCAAAGCACTATTTCTTTGGGAGGGACTGTGCAGCTTCGATTTGAGTACCATGGGGCAGGGCACAGCAGTGACTAAAAGGGATTTTTGGAGTAACTGTGCCAAGGCACTGTTTTCTTGAGAGGCAGTGTGTAGCAGCTCCACCAAAGCACCGTTTCTGTAGTAGAGAGTGTGCAGCTTCAGCTCAGGGCCCAAGGGGCAGGGTGCAGCAGCTGACTGGGGGAGGTGGATGGCACAGTTCCCCCTCAGCACTGTTTCCCTAGAAGGGTGTGTGCTGCTTTAGTGATGGTCTCCAGGTGCAGAGTGCAGTAGTGGTGACTGTGAGGAGTGGAATGAGCCTCTGAAAAGGCACTCTTTCCCCAGGAGGAAGTGGTAGTTTCAGCTCTGGCCAAGGGAGCAGGTTGCATGGTGGGTAGGTGGAGTGACTTCCCATGAGGAAGGGTGTAACAGCTGCACACAACTCAGGGGATGTTGTGCCACCTGGTGGGGGTTGCTTGGTGACAGCTTAGCTTCAGGGATGAATGGGAAAATATAATACATAAAATTATTTTAATATTAAAAAGTATCAATAATACTTTTTATAAACTAAGTGTGAGACTGAATTTGGGGAGAGGGTAAATTACATGCTTTGTCTTTTGTCCAAATGTCTTCAAGGGCTTCTTTATGTTTTATGATAGATACATAGAGCCACTTAAAAATTAGTGCATTAAACTTGTGTTTGGCATCTTGGTTGAAAGCTTTTTAGGCCTAATGTCTTTAATAGGTTTCTATTTTTGTATAGTCAATTCTATTACTTGTTTTTCTTGTTATTTATTCAATTTTGGTTAAGCTTAAAAAAATCTTTACACCTCTGAAGTTCATATTAATATTGCCCATATTTTTCTCTGTTTTATTATTTGAATATTTAACCTTTGATCTTAAAATATATTTTGTCGTATGGCTTGAGATAAACAGCTAAGTCTCTTTTTTCCTTCTCCTTAAAAACAGTCATTAATAAACAGTTTAACTGAATAGGGAGATATTTTAAAGTGATGGCATAGCTCATTATGTCAGTCCTGGATGAGGTTCCATCTTGGAGAAACTTGGATTAAAAAAAGGTCAGCAAAGGACATTGGGTTACATTGGAGGTTAGGAGAGTGATAAATAATATCCTGCCACCGTTTAATGACTCTGTACAATGTGTCAAGCAGTTGGATAATTGGTATTCACTTGTTATTTTCACAAAAATCTCATTAATTGTATTTTATTATCTTCATTTAAAAGATGTCCAGAGATGTTAGCAGATTAGTAGCTTGGTAGATTTGTTCAAGCTGCAGAATGTTAGAACTAGTATACATAAAGCATGTACTTTTAACTTACAATTTATTTTATTTTACTCTAAGTGCTGTGTGATTAAATTTTTTATTTCAAAAATTCACACAATACAGAACTATACAAAATTAAATATTTAAATATATCTTTATTTTCCTCCATTTTGTGCATAAATAGAGGCTTATTCATTCAACAAATATTTATAGAATGACTATCATATTCCAAGCCCTTCTTTAGATTGCCTCTGATTTCATGGAGCTTGTATTCTTATATTGTTCTAAACTTGTAGGGTTTTTAAGTTAGAAAAACTTGTTTTGAAATATTGCATATCTCTGTTTATATTCTTATACCTATATGTATTTATGTCTGTGTGTATATATATATATGTATGTATGATTACCTTCCGAAACTATTTCTTGAAGTTCTTATCAATATTGTGGACAAGTTCTAATTTCCCTTCATTTTTACAAAAATGGATTTTTATCAGCCTCTTAAATTTTGCCAATCTAACCTGTGAAAAATGATGTCAATACATTAATTTACATTTTCCTGATTACTTCCTATGCTACCTCCTTTTTTTCTCATATAAAAAGTTAATGGAATGAACTTCAGTTAAGATGATGTAATGCAGGAACCAAGCACTCAAGTTGTTTGGTTCTCGGCCAAACCACTCGACATCATCTCCTTGGATTTGTTCTTTTCTGCCCCTGGATGAAAGGAGGGGCTGACTCCATGGATTTTCTTGGTTATTTCAGTCTTCAGGACATTCTCATCTCAGTAGTTTCAGAAACTCTTTGTAATGTAAGATCAACACTAGTGCTCATTGTTCAATTTAAAATTCTTCCCCTTTCCCAGCTGCACATTTCCTACATGAAGAGGGCACAGCTTATATACTCACTTTTTCCTTCTACTGTCTTCCCCGCTCTCAATATGGTTTTCCTATTTTTATTTGTATTTTAAATCTCTCAGTATATATTTTTTTATAGAATCAATATTTCCTTTTAGTTACCCACTTAGTTATCATGTTTATTATACAGTTATGGCATTCTTCCTGAATTTCCATGCTCTGTCAAGCATCACATTTCTTTTGCCTCAATAAATTGGTTTCATCCTTTCTTCTTTTTAGTTTGATTGGCTGGCAAGAAAATGTATTTCTTTTTCATTGTCTGAAATTGTTTTTATTTGCCTCCCATTCAGCCTTTAGCAAGTGATTTTTGTTTTCTAGCTTCTATCATTTCTTTGAAGAAGTCAATATACAGTTGAATGTTGCTTCTCTTAAGGTAAAATTTTATTTATTCTATGTTTTCTTTGTATTTGTATAGTTTTACTGTAATGTACTTAGTATAAATTTCTTTGTATTTTTCTTGGAGTACATGATGCTTCCTGAATCTGTAGCTTCATATCTTTCAACAATAATGCAAATTTTTAACTGTGCTATTTTTCAGCATTACTCCTGAGCTGTTTTCTCTCATTTGGTCTTATTACATGTTTGATCTTTCTATCTTGTACTAATGATTCTGAAAGTCTGTATTTAATAACTGAACTATCTGAATCACCTGAAGACCTTTTCCTTTAACTGATATTGTCTCAGACTGCCTTCAAATATGCTTATATACTATTTTTTGAATGACTCTCGGGCATTAAAAATTAGTAACTGTAAGGGATCTAAATTATGCTGTATTCCATCAAAAAAGATTTTATTTATTTTCTTCTAGGTAGTTAAAGTAGAATCAGATCAGATCTCAATATAAGCAAGATAAAGTTTATTTGTAATTAGTTTTTAGTCTCTGTAAATTTTTCTATTTCCAAATTGCTTTTACTCTTAGAGAGCAGTCTTTAACTTATCTCAACTGAAAACTTGAGATTTCACAAGAATGTCCATTTTAGTGGATCTGTATTCCATTTTTGTTTCTCCTGTAGATAAATTTGCTTGCCTTTACAGCCTCTTAGTAGCTTCGTTTTGCCCAACATCTCTGTCTCTTAGGCTGAGCTGCGTAAGAATCAGTGATGCTTTGAGGAGAATAGGGGATCAGACTGTTGAGTTTCCTTCACTGCACTTCTCTTCACTCCTGGATTATGGACTCACGAATCACAACTTGTTGGTATCCCTGAGCTTTATTTTTTATTGTTTTTTTGTTGTTGTTGTTTTTTGTTTTTTTGGTTTGCAATATCCATAAAAGCTCTGCAAAAATTTTCTACTGTCTAGTATCTTAGCCCCTCACATTTATGCTGCCTTTATATTTCTCTGATGCCTTCAATCCGGAGGTTTTGTATTTATTTATTTTTTTTTTTAATAGTTATTTTTCCTGAGAGCAATGGTCTGCTAATGGTCTGCTCTTCTTCCTGAGGGCAATGTACAGGATAATGTATCCTAACTGCAAGCATACAGATTCCCTTTTAAGACAATACCAGTCTGGTTATCTTCCCCATGGTCCACATATATCCAACTAGAAGCCCTGGGCTGGTATGAGGAAGGCTCTGAGTCTCACTCAGAAGGCGACCCAGACCCTAACAACTCTCTCCTGAGAAATTTTCCCTGAGGCAGCTTCAAACTTAACCTCTCATCCAGACTGGTGATGGCTGCTTGGGTTACCGTTAGCAGAACACATTTTTGGCTGGCACCTTTGCAAATCTCTTCAGAGCAATTCTATTCAGAATGAGTGATATCTAATACCCCTTGTTTTGTCTCAGTTTAATGAGTTTCTCTGGAAACTTTGAGATAACAAAAGAAGTTATAATTATCACTCTTGTTACATATTTGTTGCCTGTTTTAAATTCTCTGTGAACTACCTAGTCATAGCCCTTAATTATTTTCTTCTGCTACCTTTTTTTCCCTATTTTAAAAGTTGGCTTTAGGTGCTTTTTATTTAATGCTAAATATTTTGCAAATATGTATTTGTTTGTCACGTATTTAACTTTGTTAACGATATATTTTTCTATAAGTGGATAGCCACTTTCACAATGCTACATTCTAAGTGGTTTACCCTTTCACAGCTATATCCAATCTCTCTTTTGTCTTAAACTGTATTCAGTTTATTTCCTGGGATTTTAAGGAAACATTTAGTAGCATCTAAGATAGTGATATTCTTATCTTTCCCGATAAGTATACTTCTTATGTTTTATACTTTTTAATTTTATTTACCAAATTAAATGTAAATAGAAAATGTTGACTATAACAGTGCTTACTATATATAATAGCATTTTTTCTCTTCTTAATAATGGTATTGTCTTTTTTCCTTTTTAATTGTAATGTTTCTAATAAGCCAATATTCTACATCTGTTAAGATAACAATGGGAACAGTCATGGTGGCTCGCACCTATAATTCCAGCACTTTGGGAGGCAGAGGTGAGCAGATTGTTTGAGCCCAGGAGTTTGAGACCAGCCTGGCCATCACGGCAAAATCCATCTCTACAAACAAACATACAAACACCACAAAGCAAGAAAAAACTATCAGGGCATCATGGTGCCCATCTGTAGTCCCAGCTACCCCAGAGACTAAGAAAAAAAAAAAGAAAAAAATATAAAACAAGGATTTTTTTCTTTTAATCTCAATGTAATGAGTTACTTTTTTATATGCTAAACTAGTCTTGACACTCTTTTTCATTGATTGATCATGATTTCTAATATTTTAAAACTTTTATATTTGTATTTAGAACTAGGAGCAATTTGAATATTTATTTTTTGTGCTATGCTTGCCTTCTTTAGGAACTGTGATAAAGTAAGGTTTAGAGATTGTGTTGGAATGCTTTTCATCTCTTCACTGCTTATTTTCTGAAGTGGTTAATATAACAAAAGAATATGTCTGTTACATATCACTGATAAAATGCACTTAGCCTAATTCCTATATTAGAGATTAATGTTTAATCTATATCTTCATTTTCCTCCAGGTATGCTGTGTTTAGTTCCTTTTCTTGTTATATTTGTAAATTTTGCTTTTCTATGAAATCACCCATGTGATCTAGATTTGAAAATGTGTGGGCACCTGCAGCAATTCCAGACAATTTAATCAAACAATTAAAAGTACTCTCAAGACTCTACAAGGTATATTCAGATAAGACTTTAGTAAAGACAAAGGATATGAAAAATTTTCATGTACATTAACTTTTCTTTTCATCCCATTTGCCATACTACTAATTTTGGTCACATGAAATTTTATTTCCCAGTGACTACTTTTTCATATTACTCATTAATAATTATTTAAATATAAATATATTGGAAGATTCATTTTTAACTAATATTTCTTGTATTCCATGCTTTTTATCTACCTTGGATCTTTAATTCATATGCTTATAAATAGCTTCAAGTAATTACTTCATCCAGGGTGTGAGTTTGTTAAACTTTCTAAATCCTTGCGTATTCTAAAGTGTTCTTATTTTTCCCTCTCATTTGTATGTTGATGTGGGTATAGTTACTCTAGGATCACTTTTTTTGGTTAGCATTTTGAAAATGTTGCTCTACTGCATTCTATCATTCAGTGTTGATAATAAAAAAATGTGATGCTCATCTGATTTTTAAAATTTATTTTCTGAAATTGTTCTGGGTGTTCCTTTTATCTTTCTTAATTTGAAATTTCACCATAGTATTTATTTTTCTCTGGGGGTTAAAAATGCTTTGTTGAGCTTGGTCCTTCCACTTCATATTAATGGTTGCAGAATACTTGCCTATCTATCGAGTTTGATTTCTGATTCCTAGTAGATCTAGCTGTACTATTTTCAGCAATGTGTTTCTGTCAGTTGTCAGTGGCAGGCCACCAGCTTACAAAAGTGTGTGTGTAGACTTCCCATCTTCCTGTGGTCAATAGTTACCACAGATGTGACCCTGCCTCTTTATCCTCACTGTCCCTCGTCTAACCTATATGCACATGGTACAGCAACCTGCTGTAGCACATGTAGAAAGGGGCAAATGCCACCTGGCCTAGCTACTTCAAATATCATTCCTATATTAATTGCCATGATAAATATCTCAGTAACTCTTTTTTCTTAGATCCATTTTATACACTCTGAGATTGGCAGCCCTGGAGTCTCTCCCACCGCTGTAAAAGACTTCCAGGCATTTAAATCATGGTTTTCTGAAATGTTTGTTTCTCCATGGGTTACATCTTTCAACAGTGCTTCAAAGGATTCCTGTTCTGTCGATGGCTCTCTTTGTTTTGCCCTCCTCTTATTGATTTTTTTCTTTTTTTTAATAATCCAATATATTATTTCATGCTATTTGTAAGTGCAGGGATGGCTTTGAAACCAGTATTTAAAAGGCAAAGTTTATGTTAAGTACCAGAAAATGGCAGGGAGGAGCAGCAGAGAAGTGAGGTATGGAAACAATGCAAATATATTTCTTCTGTGTCAAGATTTTGAAAGGCGGATAAGCCTATCCACTATTAATTTTGCCTTTCCATTATCTTACCTTATTTTTAGCTGTTTTAGCAAAGATCCTTATTTGATCTCATCCACATTGCAACATTTAATATCAGCACAGTCTGTGGAGTCAAATATCCTGATTATAAGATTACTGATGAAAAACAATGTTTTTCAAGGTGCTTTTATTTACTCTGAGACATGAGTATGATTATATCTTTAAAAAATTACCAAAATTTACAGTCCTCCAAGTCTACCAAGGCATTCTCCATATCAGTAAGCTGTAAGCAGTACAAAAAGAATCTGTCCAGGAGTGATTTCTACCCAAGGAACTAGACATTTCTTTTGTATTTAAAACCTAGTATTTTTTTTTCATGCATAGCTTGCTTTAAAAAAATCATTAACCTCCTGGGTTTCTATTTTTGTTTGCTTGCTGCACAATTAACAGTTTTTAAAAGTTAAACGTTATCTCTAATATAATTTTAGCCTCTTTCTATTTTGCTGTGAAACATGATTGTGACCTGCAGTATTTAGACAAGAATTAAGCTAGATGCAAGGAAGAATTTGTTTTAGGTGAAGTTCCTGATCTCTGAAAGTGATGGAATCTCATCTGAATGTATTTAAATCTTGCACAATTGTCATCTGATTGTTTTTAAGGGAGGTTGAAGGTTTAGATATATTCTCTCCTCTTTAGTCATTTTGGTTAATTTTACTTTTTTATGAAATCACCTATTTGATCTAGATTTGAAAATGTGTGGCCACCTGCAGCAATTCCATAGGATCAGACAATTAAAGGCATTCCCAAGACTCCACAGGGTATATTCAGATTATGTTCAGATAAGACTTTAATAAAGACAAAAGATATAAAAGATTTACATACACATTAACTTCTCTTTCTATCCCATTTTCAATACTATGGATTTTGGTCACATAGAATTTTGTTTTACAATGACTTTTTAAAAATATTATTCATCAATAATTATTTAAACACAAATATATTCAAGGATTCATTTTTTAACCAATATTTTTTGTATTGCATGCTTTTATCTACCCTAGATCCATAATTTATATGCTTAAAGTAGTCTCAAACCATCTCTTCATCCAGGGTATGAGTTTGTTAAAGTCACAACTAAAGAAACCTGGCTTATCGTTGTCTTATACTGAAAGTACAGAGGTAGAGGAGGCAGTTCCAGATTCTCTTGGATATGCCTTACTCCATGCTATGACTTTAAGACTCAAGTATAAATTGTCATAACACTTCAAGACATTTCATCCAACCACACCAATGTCCTAAAGAAGAGGCCAGATCTTCCTGTGTCACTTTCCTAAAAGACATAGTGAAGACTAGCCTGAATGCCTAGTTAGCTGGCTTTGCACATTTCTAGACCAATCACTAGCAAAGACAGTGGAATTTTTATGATTAGCTTAGACAACATAGAATCCCTAAGATGGGATCCATTTCCCCTGACCCATTGCCATTATGGGGAATTGGTGGCTCTGTGAATTTTGTTAGGTAAGAAGAAGGAGATAGGATGGATATTGAGTCAGAAACCTAAAAGTGTCTGCTCTATCTTAGTAGAAGAAAACAAACTGAATTTGAAAGTTTTAGTGGTAATTTTTTTAATTTAAAAAGTTTGGTGATATTAGAAAACATAATTTGTTAAATCTAACAATATCTAAAGGCAATTAATAAAGAAGAGAATTTTATACATTTTTAAAGCCAATGATACATTTTAAAGAGCATGGCTTATAAAATTAAATGATGTTGATAAAATATTGGTGAGTAAGGTAGAGTATTATATAACTTATGTCATCTAGATATGTTACAAAAAACACATTAATATAATTTTCAATGATAGGTTGAAGCACTTTAACTGTTTTCTTCCAATTATTATTTACTTTCTGAAGTTCCTGTATATACTCAAGTAACATAATTGCATATGGAAAAATATGTGCCATTATAGGGAAAATAGCTCACAAAATATGTTAAAAAGCAAGTATACTTTTGATATAAAAAACAAAACATTACTGGAGAGAGAAATAATATTATTTCTCCTAATTTTCAGAAAATCAACAACTTCTTAGGGCACCTAAGGTATAATACTTAAATTCTTAGGAATTTCATCAAATTTCTTGGAATTAGATTTACAGAAAATATTTGGAAAGAGCTGTAATAAATAATCTCAATAATGTTACTATATCACTATAGTTCTATTATTGTTGCTTTTTTTTCTAAGCAAAGGATGTTAATTATTTTGGAATGCATGAAGTTTAGAAACAAGAACTTGTCCTCAGCTAAATTTGGTAGCTATCTTTTTAGCCCAAATATGAAAACGTACATATGATACTCTATAATTGAGTATCTCCCAAATACTGCCAGGTACTCAATTTCTCTGCTCTGTGATTTAGAGAGGTGCATTTCTCCGCACGTCTCTGGAAAAATGGTAGTGTATGTTTAGTTTCATTCAGAATAAGCTTTATGGAGGTTAATCTTTTTTTGCACATTCTTAACACTGTATGTTTTGATTAATATCAATTTTAATAAAATCTAGTGAAGCAGGGAGGAAGCTTCACTAGATTTCACTGTGATCATGAAGAGAGAATGGGGATTAGCTATCAGTGCTGCCAGTGCAGCCCAGAGACCGACTTGGGCAAAAGTGTCAAAATAACCACATATTTGTCTTTAGTGATGAACATCCAAATTGTATTGTAGTCTCCATGTTAAATAATCTTGACAGGACTTATTAGTATTTTTACCATTTTCATTAGCATAAAGCCATGGTTCTAGTGTTGGTAACTTACAGGATGAGGGGAATGCTTACAGTGAAGATTTGCTTCAAGATAAAGCCCTTTTCACATTGGAGACATTGCACCTTAAAGTGACTGCTTTTGGTAAATGAAACTATATAATTTGCCAAAACACTCACAAAATATACTGTCTTATATGAGTTCATTGAAAATGGTGTCTCAAAGTGGTATTTATTTGAAGTTCTTTGGCATGACCTTAGTTGTTTTGAATTCCACCCAAATGTGAAGCATGATAACAATTCTCAGATTTATTCCCAAGGAATTCCCATGATGGTAAAGGAACTGTGCTTAGCATGGTGCCTACAAAATACTCGTTACATATTTTTAAAAATTAGAATAAGGCTGGGTGTGGTGGCTCATGCCTGTAATCCCAGCACTTTGGGAGGCTGAGATGGGTGGATCGCTTGAGCCCAGGAGTTTGGGACCAGCCTGGACAACATGGCAAAACACTGTCTCCACAAAAAATGCAAAAAATTAGCCAGACATTGTGGTTCATGCCTATAGTCCCAACTATTCAGAAAGCTAAGATAAGAGAATTACCTGAGCCCAGGAGGCAGAGGTTGCAGTGGGCCAAGATCGTGTCACTGCACTCCAGCCTGGGTGACAGAGCGAGACTCTGTCTCCAAAAAAAAAAAAAAAAAAGGAAAGACCATCAGGAACCAAAAGAAAATCAGACACATCGTGAAGATGCTGCCTTTAGCAATGAAGATGTCTTTAGTTCATGCAGAATTTAAAATGAATGCATGTTTTAAGATATATATATATTTTAAAAAATTATAATAAAATCATTTGGTTACATTTGTTTCTAAAATCTAAGTTGTGGTTCACAAAATTTAGTATAAGAAAGACTTAACTGAGAATTAGGTGAAAATGCTTATTTCTTGGATAATGAAACATTGTCATCTATTCTGATCCAGTGGGTCTGAGATTAGCAGAAAATCTAAACCTTTTAACAAACACTCTTGTTGATTATGAAACAAGTGGTATGTTTAAAAAAATGAGATGAAATGATGGAACACTGTCACACTTCTTAGATCTTATAGGATCAGACAATATTTGACTGCAAATATGCACCAGTTTTCAAGAAAAGGGAAGAATGATCCTAAAGGTGATTCAGAGGTCATCAGGGCTGCCTCCTTGGTTTCAAAAGGTAGGACTTTACCTCAGTTTCAACAAACCAAAGAGCCTCTGACCAAGCAGTGCCTTGGTGGCAGGGCTGCCTAGAGCCATAGGGGTGGGGCCCACATCTTATAAAGCCATTGGAGTGGAACTGCTGCCCCAGAGTGTTAAGAAAATGGTACCACCTCCTCAGTGGACCTGGAAGGTAGTGCAACAAGTCAAAGGGAATTATTCTTGTGCCTTAAGACCTAATAGAATTTGCCTGGCTATGTTTCGAAATTGCTTGAAACCCATCATCCCTTCTTTCTTTTCTATTTCTTCCATTTGGAATGGGAGTGTCTATCTATTTGTACCCCACTATGGTATTTTAGAAACACATACCTTGTCTGGTTTTACAGGTTCAAAGCTGGAGAGGAATTTTGTCTCAGAATGAATCACACCTTGAGTCTCACCAATATCTGATTTAGATGATAAGTGGATGAGACTTTGGACATTAGAGTTGACGCTGGAATAAAGTAAGAATTTAGGGTCTCTTGGAATAGAATATATGTATTTTTTGTGTTAGAAAAATATGAATTTGGGGCACCCAGTGACAGAGCATTATAGACTGAATGTTTGTGTTGTCCAAAACTCATGTGTGGAAACTCTAATCCCCAATGTTACGGTATTTGGAGAAAGGGCCATTGGGAAGTAATTAGGGCTAGATGAAGTCAAGAAGGTGGGTCTTTCCTGATGAAACTTGTGCACTTATAAGAAGAGACATCAGAAAGCTTGATCTATCGCCCTCTGTGCGCACATAGATGTGATATCAGAACACAGTAAGATGACAGCTATCTACAAGCCAAAAGACGATATCTTAGAATGAAAATGTCCTTGCTGGTATCTTGATCTTGGACTTTTGAGCCTCCAGAACTGTGGGAAATAAATTTCTGAGCCACCCAGTATTTTGTTAGGCAGCCTGAGCAAACTAAGGCAATCTATAAGATATTGGACACACATAGCTTTGCACAGAAGCTAAAAAGAATGGATGATGGGGAAAAAAAGAATTTATTTAGCTCTTAGTTTGACATGCTAGTAAGACATAACAAAGGTTAAGAGGAAATACCCTTAAATCATGTTGAGACTACCTTCTGTTAGCCTGGGACATTCTAGAGTTAGACTTAGTTGTAGACGTAAGATAGTTTAAATTTTTTTGTTTGTTTTTACAGAGGATGTATTTTTTTAACTCATAAATGTCTACAAATAAATATGGTTCATAGGAAAATGAGGTGACTATTTCTCTTACTATAAATTTCATAATCTAACAAATTCTGAAGTTCTGGTTGACAACTCATGTTTTTATATAGAAAAAGATGTTCTCTCTTTCTCGAAAATTATTTTCTAAGTTCCCACCCCAATTTTTAATATACAAACTTGGCAAATATATTCACTAACTCATCCATACATTCCTTCAATAAATAACCTGCTCATGGTAAGCTCTTTGTTAGATAATAAGGCTTCTAAGTATCTTAAAGATCTATCCTTCCAGAAGGTTTACAGGGAGACTATGGTAGAGAAGGTCTTATATTTAAGTGATTTGTAGACATAAGTTTTATTTGAAGGACTAAATTATAAATTGATTCACAGAAAACTCACAAAGTTTGTAAGTGGATTGTATTATCATAAACTGAAAGAAATAGAAAAAAAATAAAAAAAGAAAACAGGTGTTTGGGTGCCCAAAACTTACATGGGCAAAAAGCAGGTTGAGATAATTACTTAGCTACAAACAGGTGCTTTTGTGGAAAAGAAAGGCTAACTCAAAAGGCACAACCAGGAGCCCAGAAGAGAGAGTGAAGGCCACGGAGAACACCTCCCAGCCAGTAAACAACTAATTAAGGAATTGGCAACATATACCCAACATGTCTGAATTGCTATGAAATAATGACTTTTGTGTAACTCAGGTTTTTTCCTTTTTGAATGGGAGTGGCTATAGCATTTAATCTACGCTTCTTTCACCATTGCATGTTGGAGGCACTAGGGGAGGAGTTGTCATTTTAGTTCACACGACTTCCAGTTGAGAGGAATGTTACTCAAAGTGTTATGCTTGAGTAGCCTCATCTATAGAGCTTCTTTTACACCTAAATATGATTTAGGTGACATATCTTGGACTTCTAAGTGACACTATAAAGGATGAGGCTCAGGGAGTTTGTAGAGGAAGGAGGATAAATACATTTTATACTTCAGAATAATGTAAATTTTTGTGGCCAGAGGACAGTTTGCTCAAATTGCGTTTTCCAAAAACGGCATAAATCATCTCCCATCAGACATGCTGTTTTTACTTTGTGACCTTGTCACTCCTCCATCAAGAGGTAGATTCCATAATCCCTTTCTCTGAACCTGAAAGGACAGTATGACCACTAATAGGGTTTGGCTCTGTGTCCCCACCCAAATCTCATCTTGAATTGTTCTCCCATAATGCCCACTTGCTGTGGGAGGGACCCGGTGGGAGATAATTGAATCACAGGGGTGGTTCCCCCATACTGTTCTCGTGGTAGTGAATAAGTCTAATGAGATCTGATGATTTTATAAGGGGTTTTCACTTTTGCTTCTCTCTCATTCTTTCTTGCCACAGCCATTTAAGAAGTACCTTTTGCCTTCCACCATGATTGTGAGGCCTCCCCAGCCACATGGAACTGTAAGTCCATTAAACCCATTTTTCTCAAGTATAAACCTCAGTATTGTGGAACCAAAATTGGGGTCAAATTTTTAGGCATTTCTGAGAATCAGCCTAATGAGCCCATAAATCATTTATAGAGCTTATCCTGCATACTAAGAACAGGAAATTTGTGATTAAAAAGTACAAATTATTTTATGCTTTGTAAAATTATACTACATATTAGGAAAGCAAAATGATGAAGTTTTGTCTTTGGCTCAATTTTTAAAACATTCATTAAGTGCCTATTACATGCAAAGCTCTCTGTTTGCAACTCTAGGAAATACCAAGATATACTTTCACACTATCTCATGGAGTAGATAGACTTACATATGAACTATCGTACATATCAGTCTGGGTTGATTAATAATAGGAATAAAAGGAGCATTCTGTAATTGAATTGACTCTTCCAAGACTGAAGGCAATTAATAATTTTGGAAAACATAATCTGCTATGGTATTGAAATCTGTATTTTTAAACACATTCTTTTTCATTTTTGCATTGTTAGAGAACAAACATGAGTGTGTGTCCATACATTTTCCAGATATCTGATACTTACCTCCTTAAGCACCAATTTCATTCTTCAAGTGTGATTTTAAAAACTTGTTTACAAAGTAAGAGAATTTCCTAAAAAAATAAACAAAATTCTTAAAAGCTCACGACTGGGCTTTAGCTCTGACAGGGAAAGAGCTTGGAAATTGTCGCTCCATCTTACAACAAGTAAAAGGTGAACAAACTGAAAATAAGGACTTTTCTTCACACTCTGGGAACTCAGGTCACAGGGCAATCTGGTCCTCTGAAATGTAGAGAGATAGGCACATTCAGAGAAACAAAGACAGAACAGCCACGATCTGCATATGTAGATTAGAAGCTACTGGGGCCATTAACTGCTTGGAGTACTTAAGGAGGCTGAATGTGGATTAGTATGAGACTGAGGCTCTCTTAGGAGCTGAAGTCTTAGGATGGTCTGCAAACTTTCATGGGCTTTTTCTCCATGAGCCCTACCAAGTTCTTAATGTGAGGATCTGAGAAAGAGCACTATATGACTCTAGCAGGGAAAAGAGAAGAATAGCTAGAATGTCCTTTATAACAAAGGCCTACTCTCCAGATTGAAGGACTTTGACAAAACTCAGTCCAGACATCTTATCATAGCTCAGGAAAGAAATTCCTCCCCATTCCAGGGAGAGATTTCTGGTTTTCCTACCTCACTTAAGGGGGAAAAATAGTCAATAAGAGACAGTGCTTTATGGAAATAGATTGAAATTCTTCAGCCAAGGAAGGGAGTGTGGAGGAGGGAGTACAATATTATACCACTAGAGAAACATTTGTGATCGTCCCATTGCTGAGACATAGGCCTACTGAAAGACTGCAATTTAGTTGGAAGAATATAGAAAATTTCACACCACCACACCAACAGGGCTCCAGTATCATAACTGGATTACAGCTGAAAGATCTGCAAGCTACAGACTGTCTGTGAGGAGCTATTTTTAGGGAATCCTAAAGACAATATGAGAGAAAAAGATGACAGCATTAGAGGAATTTGAAGCATCTGGTACCTATAACAACAACAGCAACATCAAAAAGTTAAACAAAGTCTAACTTCTAGCAAAGCTAACACAAACCCTCACACTAAAGGCCTATTTATCTCAGTTCCTGTTACCTAATTACCTGATACAATCTGTCCAGTTTTCAACAAAAATTACAAAACAGGTTAAAAGCCAAGGAAAAGCTCACTCTGAAGAGACAAAACCGTCATCAGAAAATGACTTAGCTATTACACAGATGGAATTATCATCAGGAAATTTAAAATAACTATCATTGATACTGTAAGGAAAAAGTAGACCATGTGCAAGAATATATAGTTAATGTTCTGGGAGAAGTAGATGATATGAAAGAACAATAAGTAGTGTAAGCAGAGAGAAGAAAGTCTAAGAAAAATCAAAACAAAAGGCTAGAAATTAAAACTGTAAAAACTCTGATGAATGACTTTAATTAATTCATCAATAGATTTAACATAGCAAAGAATAAAAAATTCAGTGAACTTGAGGATAAAACAATAGAAGCTTCCCAAACCAAAATTCGAGGATATAAAAAGATTTTTAAAAAATCTAAGAATCTTGGGACAATATCAAAGGTGAAATGTATGTGTAAGAAGAATATCAGAAGGAGAAGAAAGAGAGAATGGGGTAGCAGAAACAATTGAAGTAATAATGTTTGCAAAGTTCTCAAAATGAGTAACGGACACCAAATCACACATTTGCGAGTTTCAGAGAACATGAAGCCGACAAATGCCAAAGAGAAAAACAAACAACACACACACACACACACACACACACACACACACAATCTAAGCTTATTATTATCAAACTTCAGAAGACCAAGACAAAGATAAAATCTTGAAAGAAGCCAGAGGAGAAAAACTCTTCCCAATAGAAGAACAAGAATAAGAATTATTTTGAGCTTGTCATCAGAAACCATATAAGCAAGAACCATATAATCAGAGTGGAGTGGGATATTTAAAATGTTGAAAGAATAACACTTTCAACTGTAGAATTCTATATCCGATACAATTATGCTGCCAATGTAAAGGAGGCAAACCAAAGAAAAAAAAAAAAGCCTGAGGAAATTTATTGCCAGCTGACTTGCCCTGCAAGAACTGTTAAAAAAAAAAAGTCTTCAGATATAAGAAAAATAACATAGATTAGAAACTTGGATCTATATAAAGAAAGGAAGAGCATCAGAAAAAGAAATAAATAAAGGTAAAGTAAAATCTTTTCATTCTCTTGTTCTTAAATTGATTTAAGATAACTGCCTGCTTAAAGAAATAATAGTTATAGTGATTTGTGTAATTATAACATGTGCATCAGTGAAATGAATGACAGGGATACCACATAGTTTAGAGAAGAGGAACTGGGAATGCTCCATTACAAGGTACCTGCTCTACATTTACTGATTAGTGTTATTCGAAGGTGGAATTCGATTAGTTAAAAATGTATGTTGTAAACTCTAGGATAAACACTAAAAAATTAACATAAAGACCTAATTGATATGCTAAGAAAGGAGATAAAATCACATAAAATGATCTATTAAAATTAGAGAAGGTAGAAAACAACGTCTGAGGAAAGAAATGAAGAACAAATGCAATGAATAGAAACCACTTTCAGACATGGTAGATATTAATTCAACTATATCAATAATCACTTTAAATATGAATGGTCCACATACAACAATTAATAAAAATAAGAGCCAACTGTATTAGTCTGCCCAGGTTACTATAACAAACTACCCCAGACTAAGTGGCTTAAATAACAGACCTTTAGTTTTCACAGGTCTAGGAGCCAGCACATTCCATTGCTGGTTAAAGCTCTCTTCTGTGTTTGCAGATAGCCACCTTCTCACTGTGTCCACACATGATAGAGGGAGGGAGGGAAAGAGAAGGAGGGGGGGTTGGAGAGAGAGATTGAGATCCAGAGCACAAGGCTCTAATTTCTTCCTTTGAACCTAATTATCTCCTAAATGTTTATGCACCTAAGGACATAGTATTATAATACACATTGGTGAAACTGATAGAACTGACAGCAGAAACATTCAAATTCCTTATTTCAGTTAGAGACCTCAGTGTCCCTCTATCAATAATTGATAGGTCAAGTAGCAAAAAAATCTGCACGTAGATGACTTGAATGGCACTATCAATCAACTTGATCTGATTGACATTTATAGAATATGTCATCAAACAGTAATCAAATAAATATTTTTTCTTAAGCTCACAAGCTTAATATTCATGAAAATAGGGCATATTCTAGTCCATAAAATACACCTTAACACATTTAAGACCAGAAATCATCCAAAGTGAATATTATGCTAAGTGAAAGAAGCTAGACACAAAAAGCCACTTATTACTCATCTTTTATAGAATTTAATTTTACAGAATTTTACTGATTAGAATTGCATCAGATTAAATATTGTGAACTTATTTCTAGATATTTTGTAAGATTAAAAAAGAAGGTTTTTTTAGTATACTGATAAAACTTATAATTTAGCTATATTGTTTTGCAAAGGACCACTTTATTAAACTCACATTAAAAATAATTTTTTAGTTGAATCACTTGAGTTTTTAATGAAAAGAAATATGCCACTTGAAAATAATAAGTATTTTGGCTCCTACTTTTAAAAAATGTTAGTTTTGTTCTGTTCATTCTATTGGATACTAAAGATGCAGATTTGATATATTTTTTATCCTCTCCATTGCCTCATAGCTTATAATTTATTAATTTTATATATTCACATTTTATTTCTTTTCTGCTTCTTGGTTTGTGTTTAGTTTATGGAAACTTCTAATTTCTATTAGACACTTTTGTTGGACACTTAGCTGGTTTTCAGTTTTTCTTCTTTTTGAATGAATGAATTTAAGGTTCTAAATTTCCATGTGAGCATGGCTTTTGCTTCAATATACAAGTGTTGATACGGTATATTTTCAAGATCATTTGGGGGTAAATAATTCCTAAAATGTGTTTTGATTCCATTCTTGATTCATTATATATTTAGCATGTGTAACTTTTCTAGTGTATATTCCTATGTTATCTATGCTGCTGACTTCTAACTTAATTGCCCTGAAGTCTGAAACACAGAATGCATTATAATCATTTTTTGAAGTTTGCTCTGACTACTTTTTGCTTAGACTGTAGTTAATGAACATTACAATTCCATGTGATTTAAAAACTTGTATATTCCATAATTTTTAACTGCAGGGTTCTATGTCCATTAGAACGTGTGAAATATCTTTATACATTTTTCTATTTGATACATCAGTAACTGAGATAGGTGTTTGAAATATCTTATGTATTAATTAGGCTACAACAGAAACTAGAATTTTTATTCTGAGTTGCTTATAGTTATGTTCTTTTGTTTGTTTTCTTTTGCTCCTTGTTCATTTAGATAACAGCTTTCTTTATAAGTCAGTCGTACAGCACTACTTCCCATATACCTATAGAATCCTCTAGGATTTATTTTACTTTTTTCTGGATATTTCTTCCAGGACTACTTTTTAAAGTTTCCTTGTGTGGTAAAACTTTTGGACCCTGAATGTCTAAAAAATTGTTTTCTTTCAAGATTTCAAAAATAATTTCATTGTTTTCTTGTATCCTGAGTTGCTTTAAAAAGAACTTTGATACTCTTCTGATTCTTATTTCATTTGGTGTTGTGCTCTTTCTTTCATGGGACTTTAAGATTTTTTTTCAACTTATTTCATCTTTAATGTTCTCAAATCTCATAATTATCAATCTGTCTAAGCATATGTCTATATTTATCCATCATCATTTATCTAGCCTATGTTATCCTATGCATTTATATTTTGTGTTCTATCTCCTTTTCATTAACTCAATGAACTCTTTAGATCATAACATTTTATCCTTTTTAATTCTGGGAAAAACTGGGTCTTTTTTTTTCAAATAATTTCTTCTTTTAGTATTTTTTTCTCTTTCTGTTTTGAACTGTTAGTGTGTGGTTGTTGATACATATTTCTAGCATTCATAGCTCTTAACTTTAGTTTTATATTTCCTTTCTTTTAATCCCTCATGCAGAAAATCTGTTTGAGTTAGAAGACAGCATTCCTTCTGTCTTTAGCCTGAGAGCAAATACTTCTTTTACCTGATTTGAGGATAAGTCCCACCATTCTTCAGTACTCTCAACTACTCTACACATGGCTTTGTGGGGTCCATTCTGTTTCCAGAACCTGTTTTCTGTAATCATAGGCTCTTCTCTTACTTTCTAGTGGTCTCCTCTTTCACAATTATGAGGCTGCCATGTTGTTATACAAACTTACTCTTTATCTTGAAGATATTTCTCAATGTTTCTGCTTCACTAATGCTACTGAAAGCTGCTCCAGTTATCCAGTGTTGTTGGATATGTGCATTTCTTCATTTATATCTCTTCTGCTATTCTAAGTGAATCTTTAGAAATGTAAAAATTTAAATATGTATGCCTGGTCAATCATCCTGAACCAGAAGTAAAAGTATGTTTGTAGTACTTCTCAGCTCCCTCTTTCTGTTATCGAAAAATAAAAAAAAAATAGCCCACAAGAAAAGAAAAAATTATTTATGTACAAAAATGGCCAGAATGAGTGAATAGTGAGGTCTCCAAAGGAAATTCCCTGGAATTTTTAGGCAATAACAAGGAGACCCATGTGGCAGAAGAAAAGTTTACATTGTGCTTTAAGAAGATATTAGAAGATGGTGTTGACATTGTTTGATAAGAAAAAGAAAGACTCATCATTAAAATGACTTTTAAAATGGTCTTTGAAAAATTGGTCACCAACTTCTGGTGTGTCTGAAACTGTATCCATTTTAGTACTGAAAGTCCTGCATCCTGAGAACCCACTCATTCCCAGGCACACTTGACTGGTTGGTCACCCCACGGCAAATTTCAGAAATGTATTTTTGAGAACCAATGCACAGCGAAGGAAAGACAGCTTAGGTTTTAAAATGCATGGGGAGTAAGGACCATGCAAGAAATGTAGTTTAGAGTTGGAGAAAGGGAGTTGTTAAATCCTGGGTTCTTTATTTGGAATTTGTTTCATAAAAATATTAGCACAGTAAATGTTAAAATTTGATATTATTTATGGTCTCAATTTCTTTCAAACATCCTCAAAATATATAATGTTGTAAAGTGATTATGGTGATAAACTGACTCTTAGTGGGTTCCCAGGGAAAAAGAGTAATTTTTGAATGGTGGCTATGATTTAATCCTGGGATGATCATATCAAAAAAGGGGGAAGAGTGCCTTGTGAAAACTTGATGAGAAAATAATTCTAACTGGAAAGCTAATTATTCATTGAGAGTAGGCTATAAAATTACACAATTTTTGAAGCTATAATTTATGAAGTTTCATCTTTCTTAGGAAGTAGGTCTCAGTGAGCCAAATAACAGATCAGAAAGTTGTTGGCTAACACACATTCATTGGAAATGGAATCGTGTATCTTTGGGGAAAGGTTACAAATAAGTTTTTTACATGTTTGGACTTGATTGGTTACTTTTTTACTACATGGATGCTACGAACCACAAAAACTTATTTTCTAAAATCAAACTTCTCCTCTTGAGGTCATTAACCAACTCTCAGCGTCCATTTATTAAACTGTTTGTTGACCCTCAGCCTCTGATTTCCATCTTTTTACCACACTGTGACAACTGCGTGACACTTCTACAATATTCAATAGCTCAACATTCAATAATTGCTCATCTTGGGTTTGCCTCTGAGAATGCATCTGGTTTGTTAATTTTATGGATTTCTGCCACTCTCTGATGGTATTTCCTTCTATTCCCTTTTGGTTGTACCTTTACCTAGTTGTCTACTAAGTCCACTTTACTTTTAAGGCATCACTGCCCATTCTTTATAAGTATTATAGAAAGTCCTTGTTTTGAAGCATAAGCTAAATTGGAAAATATTTGGTATTTATTCAATCCATGTGTCGAAAATTTAACGACAAATAATTTGACAGAATTAAACTATAATATGACTGAGCTGATACACAAAATAGTCCCTCCAGATTTATGGGTAAAGACAGCCCCAAAATGAGAATATATATAGTCTCGAATTTTCAAATATTTTTAATATCTTTACTTTTCACAGTACTTATAATAAACTATGGTGTATTCATTCTAAATTGTCTCACTATAATTTTCAGCTATAGAATAAGATAATCTGCTTTTGGTGATTTCAGCTGAAAAGGGAACAAAAGTAAAAGGTATGGTAGGGAAAACAAATCTGGTGAATTTTAGCCTAAGTCTCTCTTTCTTTTCAAGTACTGACATGGTACTGCCTGTAAAAAACTGCTTTTCAATAAAAGTTGAAGGTCAAGAATTGAACATAGCTTTAAATATTTATGTATTAAAGAAAAGGAATTCCAAACATTTGGTTTAAAATACTTTTCCACTTTAGTTTTGTTATTAAGGAATTTTAATTTGGGTAGTTCACATAGTTTTCTTCCCCATATATGAGTTGAATGTATGGATTCCTAATTCTGTAAAATATTCCTTTCTGTTTTTAAACACATGGTACATTCCCTTGGTTGAAAATACCTTTGTCTCTCTTGTGGTTGAGGCTCTAATTTAAATTTCAATTTGATTTTTGCATATATTTTTTATAGGTTGAAATAATCTGAGGATTCAAAATTTTTCCCACTGGTTACTGTGTCTGCTTCATAAGACCTAAATGAGTATGTACAAAACTATATTTATATGGATATTTAGAGATTAAAAATGTTTGTGAACATCCAGCAGATTTGTAGGGTAAAATGAACTTATATTCATAAAATAATAAAAACAATTTTGCGTGAGTCATATAAATCAGGGGCAGAGCTTAGAGAAAAACATCTCTGATGTAGAAAAAGAAAAGAGGAATCAATTTACTTAGAAGAAACAAGTTGTTAATTAATTGGAAAAAGCATATCTAAGTCATTGAGACTTTATGGAGAAGAGAAAAAAAATATAAAGAAAAGACCACACCATTGGAAAGATTTCACAATCTTTAAAACACATGGCTGGATGGAAAAGAACCATAATTCAGTTGTGATCATAGGGAATAGAGGATCCAACTACGATGGAATTGTATTTGCATGATGTGAAATTGTACTGGCAATTCCCCTCCATGTGACAATTTAAATTATATGAGAAAAGAATATGAGAAAGGGTAAGCAGGCACTGGAGCTGGAGCCCCACTTTGGGTAGGGCCTGAATAGGAATTGTGAAGAGGTTTGTGGCATAAAGAACCATTGAGATTGAAGAACTTTACTAAGTGTAAAAGGTTAAGTTGGTCTTGTGTGCTGATAATGGGGACTCACACAAATTTTCATGCTGATTTGGACTCAGTGCTAATTAATCAGGTCATTACACATTATTCTGTCTCAATTCTTTTACCTGTCATATACTGGAGGCATGAAAGATTTTCTGTTCTAAACAACAGTGAGCTCATTTTCCCTAGTGGCCTCTCTGTGTTGGGATAGAGACAAACTGGTATCCGTAAACAACTTTAAAATGTAATTGATTGAAACATTTTATCAGAAAATAATATCATTGCTTAGTTGGGATAAGGTAGAGTAAGGGAAAGTAAGGTGAAAGTATGCCAAGAGTGGGAGTAGGGTCAGGACTGCAGTAAGAGTCTAGCTAAAGCTGCTGACAAGTTTAAGATCCTGTATTGGAGTTTTGTGTGTAAAGAGAACATAGTGTTAAGCTGAGTTACGAGGGTGAAATTAAGGACAGAATTATGTGTTTCATAACTCTTTCATTACTCTTTATATTGAAGATATTTCAAACCAGAAGACACATTCAAGGTTTAAAGTCCAAACAAGAAAACTGATTGTAAGGAAGACAGTGCATGTAAACCAGAGTCAGATTTTCACTGAAATAGTACTTATTGAGAATATGCTTGGTATTAGGCACTGTGGTGGTTTTGAGGATACAGCAGTTTTCACTTTTGACCCACCAATTTTTCTTGTGATTGTCTTTCTTCTTGAATAAACATGGTACTTGTCTATTTCTTTCCCCAAATTCTTTCACTAGTTTGGGGAGTTTTTTGTTTGTTTGTTTGTTTGTTTTTTCCTTATGCTCCTTTTCTTTAAATATAACTTTTTCTTTCAAACTTCCTTTCTTAGTTTCCTTTTCTTTTTAAATGTTCTCCTTTGCTGTTATACCCACTTCCGTTTTTCAATAATCAGCCCCCATCAGTCTCACATCCATATTCTAGCTTCTATCATCAACACCCAAATTCAGGCTCCCAAATCCACCCGGGATTATGCAATGATATTTTTAAAACAAAAAAGTATTTGGAGTCACAAGCTTTCATCCAGGTTGCACAATTTTCCAGCTTTATCTCTTGCTTTATTCCGTGAAATTTTCTATTTGCAAAATGATGTCAGTTATCTCCCATGAATGATGTTTTCTGCAAAGAACACATGCATATGAAAGTAAAAACAATTACTTCTTTTTAAATGTAAAGCTATTGCTCTATACATGAAGCTAACCTTCATAAAAATTTCCCTGTTTGGCTCAACGACACAGGAACCCACATCCTTTTAATTCTCAATTATATTCTGTTCTGTATTTTAATAACTTTTGCATTTGTTTTATCTCCACCCCCTTACCCACCTCTTGACTGTAAGTTCTAGGAATGCAGGGATTTATTTATGTATTCCATTGGTGCTTGAAACAATGTCTAACAAGTAAGAGGCCTTCACAAGTATTTGTTGGGCTAAACTGACAACTGGCTGTCATATATAAGAAAAAAAATAAAAACAAATTCTACTAAATTCATTATTTGTTAACAAAATGAGATGCATTAAGGTTTTCCAGTGAATCTGTGTTTCTGATGATGGATGAGAATTAAATCTGTTCTGGGCTTGAAGGTCTGCAGGCAGACTGTGTCCGCCTTGGCTGTCAGTGCTCTAATTTGTAATGAGAGAGTGGCTGTTGCTTCTCATTGTCGAGCATTAGAGTAAGCAAACCTACACTTTGTATCAATCATGCATGGCATGCATGCATCGTGTGTGCCTGCTGCCTCTTGAAGCTCCATTAGAAGAATATAACACTGGACAGAAACTGTCAAAGATGTGATCTGTCTGCATCCACCACTTTCTGTCTCCTGGTTGAATCATAGACTGACTAGAGATACTGGCATGCTGACAACACACAAGAGAGAGAAAACCCATAGATGTCATTCATGAATTGTATTTTATCTCTGTTTTGAAAGATTTGAATTCCACATTTTGAATTTCTACATTCTAGCTACACCCCATATACGCAAATTTGTGCCAGCAAGAAGAATATGCAGATATTTTAATACTGAGGATGCTAGCAATGAGGTGTTATATTTTTTAAAAAAAGGTTTGACTTTTGTCTAATGACGCTTTGTGTGCTTCCATGGCTTGTTGTGACAAGTGTATGCACACACAATCTGCATCAGCTTTTCAATAGAGAGGCTATGATGTTGTCTTATTATTTAACATCAAAAATTAATGTGACCATTTAAAAAGTAAAACCGTAAAATTAAAATATAATTAATATACCAATACTTAAAAAAATAAGCACCCAAAGTTGTCACAAAGAATGGTCTTATTCCTGTTATATCACTCTAGGTCCTTCATGTGAATCTTTAAATAAGAGACTGACCAACATAGTGAACAAAATGTTTAGCTGTTTTCAAGAGATGCAGCTATTCTTATAGTGACCATTTATATTATTGCTACATTGTAAAAAAAAAATGGCAGTTTGACATTAAATTTTACTTTAGTGAAGTCATTACTATGTAACTTAGAGACTCTGCTTTCTTAAGAGGTAACAAAACAGCTTCTATAAATAAAAAGAAAAAATAATTTCTATATGTATAATGTACCCTAAGATACTAGGTATAATGTCCCCTTAAATCTATGTCATTCAAATGTCTTAAGTAAGATTTTGGCAAATGTTGAATTGCCAATTTATAATTATGTATTCTGGTAACTCGAAGTGTCAATATTCTGCATTGCTATAATATCAATAGTAGAATGGATATTTTGCATTAAAAATATGTTATTCACAAATATATTCTTTCACATGGAATTAAATTCCACTTCTTTTGTCAGTGTGACTTAAGGGGCCTCAAATTATTTAACTGATTGAGCATTATGATTTGGGAAATTTTATAGGTGCTATTAATTAACTATATTGGCCATAAAAGACCATTAATATTTGCTATGGTTTGAATGTGTCCCCACCAAAATTTAGGTGTGGCAAATGTGATAGTATTAAGAGGTGAGGTTTTTATTATTTTTTATTTTTTTACTTTTTGAGATGGAGTCTTACTCTGTTGCCCAGGCTGGAGTGCAATGGAGCAATCTCTGCTCAGTGCAACCTCCACCTCCTGGGTTCAAGCAATTCTCTCACCTCTGCCTCCCGAGTAGCTGAGATTACAGGTGCACGCCACCATGTCCAGCTAATTTTTGTATTTTTGGTAGAGATGGGGTTTCACCATGTTGGCCAGGATGGTCTCAAACTCCTGACCTCAAGGCATCCAACTGCCTCGGCCTCCCAAAGTGCTCAGACTACAGGAGTGGGCCACCGCGCCTGGCCTAGGTGAGGTTTTTAAAAGGTGATTGGATCATGAGGATTTCTTCCCTTATATATGGGTTTAGTTACCTTTATAAAAGGGCTTATTGGAGGGAGTTAAGCCTTTTTCTTTTATTATTATTATTATTTTTTTATTTTTGCCCTTTTGTCATCTGCAATGTGAGGACATAGCACTCCCCTTCTCTGGAGGATGCAACATTGAAGGTGCCACCTTGGAAACATACCATGCCCCTCATCAGACAATAAACTTCCTAGTGCCTTTATCTTGGACCTCGAAGTCTCCAGAACTGTGAGAAATAAATTTCTGTTCTTTATAAGTTACGTGCTCTCAGATATTTTGTTATAGCTGCAAAAATGAACTGAGACTGTATTTCTTTTGTACGGTGAATTATTTTTAGTTATGTCTGGGAACTCACAATTTCTTTTCATAGAAACCATTAGTCTTGAGAATCATAGAGTGTGCAGATCAGTTAAACACTTATGAACATTCATAGAATTGAATACTACATAATTACCAAAATCATAATGCACTTTTTAATTCTATCTTAAAAAATGTTTAACAAAAATTGATTAAAATAATGAAGATAATGTAATGCCCTTAAAACATTTTACTTATAGCAGGTATTACATTTTCTGTTTTTAGATTTGGGATAGAAAAAAATAAAAATTTACACTAAAGTTAATATACACTTTACCTCTATTTCTACATGGTAGGAATGAATCTAATGAACTTCAAAAAATATTATAGTTGCTAGTGGCTTCTTAGTCATTTTGAGTTTAAACAGTGGAAAACATTTTTGGTTCTTGGTGTTCTATCATGGTTCTGCTGGTTTGTGGATCACAATGCTTTTAGTTGTTATAATAAGAACATAAATAACTCAGAGTAGCTTAAACCGTTGAGGAAAGATGTCTGCTCACAAAATTCTAGAGTTTAGTCAGATTCATTAATGTTCTAGTTAAGGATCTGGCTCCAGTTAAAAAAAAAATCTCTCCGTGCTATCCTTCTGCATTGTCAACTTTATCATAAAGATGAATTTCCTCATTGTTACTACATGGCTGAGAACAGCAACTGAGACAAATATTCATATGTAGGCTTGGAGAAGGAGAGGATTTTCCACAACCATCAATCAATGCATCCATTTGATTGGCCCAACTTCATTCACATGCCCAGTCCTGAACCAAATGCTATGGAAAAAAAATAAGTTATTAGATCAATCAGATTCTCTTTCTCAGATATAGAGTCAATTCCATTCAAACTGTATGTCTAGGACATAATGAAGGAGTAGGTAGGTAAAAGGGATAATGCAGAGGTAACCACCTGTCAACTTTAGTCCCACCTGGCATTTGTTAACATCTTTTCCTATTCGTTTCTCGAGATGGCTTTTAGCTCCATCCCCAGACCTTATGGTTAAAAGTGTCATCTTGTGTCATGCTTCCTCAATCATTAGATAGACACCTTTTCAGGCCTCTGGTTCTTGCTTGAGGCTAGTCTCTTTTCTTTTCTTTAATCCATCATCAATTCTTAAAGATTCTCAGCCTTTTTCCCTTTCACTCTGTTTTCTCCATCTGGAAGTTCAAATAGTCATATGTTGAGCCTTCTCCTTCTATTTTCATGTTTCAAATTTTCCTTTCATATTTTTCTGCTTTTTATTCTCTATCTCCTTCTCTTTCTCTGTTTCTCTCTCTGTTCCTTTCTCTCTGTCTGTCTAGATAATTTCCTCAGAAATATTTCCCATTGTACAGATTATCTTCCTAATTGTATTCAATCTTCTATTTAGCCGATCTTTAAGTCATTATTTTCAATGCCACATTTTTTTTTCACTTATGGAATTACCTTTTGGTGAATTTTCAAATCCTCCTATACTTTCAGATAATATTTTCTATTTTCATATGTTTTCTGTTCTGTGTTTATTTTATTTAATTTAAATGTACAGTTTTTTATTTCATGGCCTTCTAGAAACTTAGTAAGCTAACTGCTCAGTCTACTGTGTCTGCTGTCTTTTCTTCCCAGGGGACAATTTCCCATTTGCTTTCCAGATTTTGGTTGCAAGCCTCTACTCAGCAAGGGCTGTTTTCTCCTGTGGAAATGTGTCCACATTCTAGTACCTTCCCTGCTAAGTATAGCTCTTGCCTCTTCTCTGGGTCCCAAGAGCTCACTGGCTCAGGATCCAGTTTACTTTCGTGTCTTAGCTTGAGATTCCTTCCTCATGTCAGCAGATGGTTTTTGATTCCACAACCATCAACTATCTACATTTAAGTTTCACCTTCCGGCACTCCCCTGAGCAAGATAGGCAACGCCTTGCAGTCCATTCTTGAGGTCTGACTTTCTAGGAACCTTCACTTGCAGCATAAGGGGACTTTGTTTCCTTTATTTCTCTTATAGAACTTGTATTAATATATTTACTGATGTCTTATTTTATTTCTAATATTTATGCTCTTTTAAAAAGATGAAGATTCTTAATGCTTCAGAATTAAAAGCTTAAAAGTGAATTTCAAGTTCCCAATGTTCACTCTACTTTAAATCACACCATTCTAAACCTTTTCTCTAACAATAGTGAATAACTATCTGTTTTTCATGTTTTTTTAAATGAGGGATAATTTAAAAAAATAAAATATAATAAAAAATAAATGTACTGAGCCCCTATTTTATTCATATAGATTTTCTCTATAATTATGCAAGCTCTGAAAGTTGGCATTATCATTATAATTTCACAAATGAGAACACTGAAATACAGAAAAGCTAAGTAACTTGCCCACAGTCATTCAGCTAGTGATTGACGGTGAATGCTGGAATCTGATACTGTCTGAGCTCAAACACGGAGCTTTCCACCAAGACTTGCAACTGCCAGTAAAATCAATCTAACCACTCAGCTGTCTATGATATGGCTACTACTCATAATGAATCTTTACTGTATCAGATAAAAGCTAAGGAACTCCAATAACATCATTCACTTATGACAATAAAAGTTGCAGAATAAATTATGCATATTTGCTTATGGAGAGGTGGTTAACATGACTAACTTTGGATCATATATCTGGTGTTCAAAACCTAGCTCTGTGTGACCATGGACATGGTAGTTAAACTCTGTAAGCCTCATTTGTCTTATCTACAAGATGAACATCAAGTAGTATTTTCTTGATTTGTTTTGGTGGCCTAAATTAGCAAATACATATAAAGCCCTTAGAATAGTACCTGATACTTATCACGAAGCTGTATATATGTTAGCTATTATTAATTAAATTATTCATATGGCAGTACCTTGCATCAGTTCATCTATGATTGATAAAATATTTAGTAGGTATCAAATATGGCCACAAAATTCTCAAATTTGTGAAATGCAATGTGTTTACCTTTTCTAAATGGACCTGTTCATTAAAGTCCTTTATCATTAGCAGCTGTACTTTCTTATAGCAAAATATTTTTTATACTTTCAATTTGTGGAAACCTAAGAAGTGTATCACAATTTTATTGAGGTTCCTGTTTACTTAAATGAAATAAAAATACTTCCACTATTTTCTGAAATAAAAGTTCCTATGCACATTTTCAATGCCTGGGTTTTACTCTTTTCCAACAAATTACTGACATCAGCACTGATTCTCTTACTGTAATTTACATATTGGAATGCCGTGAACACATAAATAAACAATAACATGCTATAAGGAATATACTTTGAAATGCAATATCATAGAGTTAATAATAATTTTATGTATTTCCATGAAGAACGCTTAAACACACACTTATGATTAAGTTCTCAGTAAGTGATCTCTGCTAACATTTCAGTGACCTGTGTCTTTAACATTTCTTTTTAATTTAACTAATAACGCCTCTTCATGGGACTGGCACTAATTAATCCCTGTATGATGAAAACAGTGTTTGTGTTGTTTTTATTTTTCACAGACAACACCATTTAAAGATTTCTGTTTTTGAAGAGTTTCCCATCAGGTGGGCACAGATCCAGTAATTTTAACTTCACCCACACATATTGGGTTCTCCTGTATTCAAAGTGCTAGGAAGCTATTGTAAAGTGAGAGGGAGAATCAATAGCTGAGAGTGAGAGGTAAGTGGAGGATGTTGGGGTCGCAAGTGTTTGGAGACTTAGAATAGTACTGTGGGAGATAGGGGATCAGCAAGATATGGATAAAAGGATACATAAAAGTTTAAAACAGACTCTCAATATCGTTTAATAGTTTTCTTCCACAGGACTCAGCCATCTAAGATTGACTGAGTAGAGGGGTCAAGAGTGTCTCCATAATGTTTCTAAGCAGGGATGAAATAAATTAAAAGGAGAACATATAGCTAGAGACATAGAAAAAGTTTCTAGTCTATAGCTCTCCAGGAGGTAAGGGAAAAGCAGATTGATCAGATTTAGTGAAAAGTGGAGGAAGTAATGTCTGACAGATTATAGATAAGTAGAAATTTACAGCTAGAAAATTTTAGACATGAGAACATTTTTTGAGAAAAAAAAATTCAAAATAGACCTTGATGATCATAAGTGAGGTAGGGTAAGGATGGAGATGAAATATTACCTTCAGGCAGAGATTACCTGGCTTATTCGTTCACTCATTCATCCATTTATTTAATTAGACAGCAGAGATTTACTGACTCTTGAAGTGGATCCAGGTTTCATGGGGCTCAAGCAATTCTGTGGCCCTTAGGAAAATTATATAAAATTACAAATGTGTTATAAGTATACAATTAGATAAAAGCTGTAGAAGGGGCTCATGCAATTCAGAGGACTTAAAACATAATCTGAATTGGCTTTTTAGTAAATATATCTTTTGTTAAGTGCCCATATTTCAGATACTGTGGCAGGCACAGTAGATACCATGGAGAAATAGCACAGTGAGATTTAATATCTTACACAAAATCTGTACTGAAATACACATAAACCCATATGCACCCACACACATAGACTATCATAAGTCAAATATCTACCATGTTATTTGAGCATGAGAAATGATTTTATTTCCAATGAAAATAATGTATTTATTGTTCTCAGTGAAGTCCTAGGGATCTTTGGGCTGCATGTGGGCTTCTTCAACATAATGCTTGCTATTACATTTCATTATTTCATTTTCTTTTCTTTTCTTTTTTTTTTTTTTTTTTTTGAGATGGAGTTTCACTCTGTCACCCAGGCTGGAGTACAGTGTTGCAATCTGCCTCCTGGGTTCAAGCAATTCTCCTGCCTCAGCCTCCCAAATAGCTGAGATTACAGGTGCATGACCACGCTCAGCTAATTTTTGTATTTTTATTAGAGACGGGGTTTCCCTATGTGGGCCAAGCTAGTATCAAACTCCTGACCTCAAGTGATCTGCCCACCTCAGCCTTCCAAAGTGCTGGGATTACAGGCATGAGCCACTGTGCCTGGCCTCATTTTATTCATAAATGAAAGAATAGTGAGGAAAGAATAGTAGGGCTCAAACAATCTTCAATTGTCATTGCAATACACTGGTTGAAATCTCCTGATGGTCCAGTGTCTTTATTTATGCAATACTTACCCTCTACTCTCCCCTCCAGAACAATTAACAGAAGTTTGTCTCCTATCTTTTCTTTTTCCATTAAAAGAAAAACTCTGTTTCTTGACCCTCCAACACTTCTGATATCAAATGTGCAAGTTTTCCACACCAAGCAATTCTCCAGTTCACAAGACTAACTGCATGTCTTAAAATGTAACTCAATTCTGACACTAGCTATCTGGAGTTAGCACAAACTCCACATGTTAAGGGCTCAGTCCCAGAAGACTTCCCCTTCTTCAGATGCTAATTGCAAGTCCCAGATTGTCCCCTCTCAGTTCCGATCAACCAGCTCTAAATCAAGGTTTTCTACAACCTCCTCCTCATGTTTCATAGTTTGCTATAACAATTCACAAACCTCAGAGAAATACTTATGTTCACCAGTTTATTTTAAAAGATATTACAAAGGTCAGATTGGGCAAGGTCTGGAAGGGTCCTGAGCACAGGAGCTTCTGTCCTTGTGGGTTTGGTATATACCACCCCCTTGGCATATGTCTGTGTTCCTCAACCTGGAAGCTCTCCAAACCTTATTGTTTAGGGTTTTTAGGGAGGCTTCATAACATTGGAAGATTGATTACCTCATTGGCCACTGATAAGTAAGGTAATTTCCAGCCTCTCTTCCCTTCCTGGAGGTGGGGGGGGGGGTGAAGAAATTCCAACTCTCTAATCATGGCCTGGCCTTTCTTTCCAGCCCCCAACCTGATGCTCTCTAGGGACCCTCAGCCACTAGGCATCTCAGTAGCATACAAAAAGACACTCTTAATGCTCTGGAGATTCCAAGAGTCTTAGGAGTGCTTGTGTCAGGAACCAGAGATTAAGACCAAATACTATAATAAAAGATGCTCCTATTGCCCCCATCACTCAGGAAGTAACCAGGGTTTTAGAAGCTCTATGTTAGAAAAGTGGGGGCAGAGATCAAATATACATTTATTATTATATGTTGCACCTGTTCACTACAAAATGAAATAAATCAGAGATACTGAAGAAGAAATAAAAAACAAAATGTTTTTATAAATCACAAACAGTATGGCATTAAATCAATAAATGAAGTGTTTTTGGCATTATCACTATAACTTATTTACCAGTGCTATTGAAAGAGAACATTGTTTTAGATGCAATCTTGCTTTATGCTGAAATCTCTCTATGTCCTGTAAAATGTTGTTAATATAATAATGACAATACCAATGATAATAGTGGAATAATATTTTCCAGTTACAGAACACTTCTCTTCAAAATAAGTGGGCTAACAGTAGTCCTGATTTCGTTGCTTATTAAAACAGTTAAAATAATAGGTTTCTGATTTGCATAAGCTGCAGATTAATGGTGTTTACTGAGCAGTGGAACTTGTACTTATATTCAGAATGCCAATGGCAGGAGACATATGAAAGTCAGAGGCATCCTGTCCTACTGTAAACCAGTCACATGTTTATTCTTGGCAAAAATGATAAAAGCACATTAGCATAGCACCTCAGCCAAGCTTAATGTGGAAATAACTAATTGAAAATCCTGGAGGTTCATGTAAGAATAAAGTGACTACTTTGTTTATTTAATTAAAGCAAAAGTAACTTTTTAATGATCCATTTAAAGCCAAAGACACTTGAAAAACTGGAAACACTTATAGTCTTATTGAAAATTATAAACTTGCTTTGGATATTTAAATAAAAGTCATAAAAAATGATAATGCCTTTATAAGCCCCTACAGGAGAAAAAATTGGTATTTTTCATTTCACCTTTCTCTCTCTCTCTCTATCAAATCCTCTTTCTCCCTAATAAAAGATAGCATTCATCTGTTAATGTTGACATTCCTAGAGAAGAAGCTACACCATGTCATTTGATACACAACAAGGGAAGATGAATATAGTGTATTCCAGCCATAACAGCCTGTGTTTCTTTCCAAGGCTGCTTTTTCCCCCTAGACTAATCCTCTGGTCCTTCAGACATAATGAATGAGCTGAGGGACTTGCAAGAGATTCAGTGTCATTTGTATTTTATCTTCAAGAAACAACTGAACCCTTTGACAAAGATCAGTATGCACAGAAATAAATGCTTCCTGTAATGAAGTGTTGAAGGTGACTTATGTCAGTAATTGATACAAGCATAGTTTTTTAAGGCTACAAAGATTGCTCCCTAGGTATTTATTCCTTCTATCTTGGATTTTGTGATGGTGAGGCAGGTCCTGCAGATTTTGAAAGAAGGATTTAAATGAAAAGCTCCTTGAAAGACTTAGCAGTTTAATGTTTTATTCAGGACAGTTTTGCAACTTCATAAAGAAATAAAGGATGCTTAAACATAAGGTGATATATATGGGGGGTTGGATTTTGTGGTCTGTGTTCTTGGCTTGAAAACATACATATAAGTAGACATTCTTATTCAAAACTATGTCCTTAGTTTTGAAGATTTCAACAGAAATTCCAAATCTAGGCATATTTTAGGGGAAAACAACATGCCATAGATGTTGTCTTAGCATCTTCACCTCTACATAATTCTATCTCTCTATGAACATTCCATCTTACAACCTCACCAAATGTAATTTATTCCTCTGGCTATTTGCTTCTATTCCCATGCAGTTCAATAACTTAACTTATGTTCAGACTGTCTAATAGTCCAGACTGCTTTATTCTCCAGCTTGGCATTTATAAAGCATTTTGTACCCTTTAACACTATCAAGAATGCAGCCTAGTTGTAGGCAGTGAAGATAATATTTTCAATATATTAACTTATTTGTTCACTCAACATAGACTGACAGTAAGGACTTTTATGTATTAATATATAAGTACACTCATATCCTGTTTGGTTTGATTGACTGCATATATGCATAACATTTAAAAAAAATACCAAAAAATTTGGGAAGAAAGTAAAAGTTCCCTGAAATCCCATTAACTATATATCACCAATATTAATACATGCTTAGAACTCTTTCATCCATCTCTTTATGAAGACATACACGATTTTATATCAATGGGATTACACGTAGAAGATGATTTTCCTTGTGGATCCTTCTGCTTTGGGTGTATTTCCCATATTTTTCCTCCTTCTTGTTTTCACCACCAGGGACATCAAGATTACCTGATGTATATCCTTTCTTCTTTTTTTCCATGCTCAATGAATCATGCACACACTTGCCTAGATTTTTGTTCTAATTTTTCTCATTTTGTATATTTAGTTTATACAAATTAGATCATATTCTAGACACTTGTCTATATCTTGCTTTTCTTAGTTAACAATAAAACAAGAAATTATTCCATGTCTTATGAGAGAGTGCTAACTTATTTCTAAATTTATATATTATTTTTAATGGATCTATAGTTTATTTATTCATTTTCCTATTAATGAGTGCTCAGTTTGTTTCTATATATATTTTTGCCCTTGAAAGCAACATTGTCATAAATATTCTATACATGTCTCCCTATTAATTTACTGTTTTATTTAATGAAGTAGGGAATTCAAGAATGAAACTGGTGTGGTAAAGAGTAGGTGCCCTTTACATCTTAATACTAATTTTCCTAACAATATTGGATACTTCTTCTGTGAATTGATTATTTAAGTCCTTTGCTCTTTCTTATTTCAATTACATTTTTAAAAGCAAATTTAAGTTCTTATGTTTATAAAAGACCTTTGTGTATTGTAGATTTTAATCTGTTTTCTTATTTGTTTTGTAATATATTTTTTCCAATGAGATTTTCTGGTTGGATCTCAAGAGAGAGGGAGATACAAGATTGATTCTGTCAGTAAGAAAACAGCTCAGATCTAGGCAGGGGAAAGCCTGGTGCAAGAATCAAATCTTGAATTTCATAAAAATAATGACCATCAAAGAACTATGGATCTGCTTTCATGGTTCTCTGTGATAAATCGGTTTCTCTGTTCTTCCTTGTGGAAAGTTCCCTGCTGTTTATACGTCTTATGCTTTATTTGGTTTCCTCATAGCACCTCGTTAAGAAAACTGAAAAATAGAGATTTCCTCTTTGAAATCTAAATATCTAAAACCAGAACTGTGGGTCTTCCTTTATACAGAGAAAAATATATTTTAAAAAACTCAGAAAAAGACCCAGTTGGACTAAAAAAAATCTATATTTATTCAGCATTATGGTAAGTGTGACTTCTGTTGACTTTAGGAGAAATTAAGGGTACAGAACTCTTAGGAATCAGATAACTGGAGAAACACTTACCTTATAAATAATTAAAATTGAAACAAACTTCAAGTAAGATTAAATTGACTTAACTTTCTGGTAAGTGTTGAATTTCCTGTGATTTAATATAGAAATAAAAGAGCTTTCTTAATAATATGTGGTGCTATTATCTATTAAAAATAAAAAATTAGTCAAAAGTCATGAAATAGGTATAGTTAATTATAAATAAATTAAAATATGAACTTCATAGGAATTAATGGTGGTTTACAAAACTTGTTTTTAATTTTTTCTTTCTTTCTCATTATTTTTTCTAAAATAAACTCTCTGAGGCTCCTCACAAAAACAAATTTAGCTTTCATTTTCATACTTTCCAAACCTATAATAACAAAACAAAATTGAGCTTTTGTTTTTAGAGCAGCAGCCTTAATTCACTGTATACCTTTAGCAGAAGTTAAAAATAATTTTCAGTTAAATATTAAGATTGCTGAGATTATTTTAAAGTCTGAAATCACATAGACATTTGCATAGTACTGTGTTTTGACACAACGATACTGCTCCTTTCTAGGTGCAGGAAGGAATTGGAGTTCACTGGAGAATAAGAAGAGTTACAAAAGCCATGTAATAGAGAGTTAGATGAGTTCTTGGAGATTATCAATTTCAGTCACCCCTTCCTGCTGAAGAGGTCATAGAAACTCAAGGAGGTGAGACTACCTGGTCTAAGGCACACAGCTAATCATTAGTGGGGGCAAGTGAAACATGATAAATATTCTACTACTTTAAACACACAGTTTCGACCATTCTTGTTTATAGCTTTCTTACCACTTATTTCACTTACATTAATATTTAAACTCTACAGAGCAGTCATTTAACCGATATTGATTAGATAACTTTTAAATATAGCAACATCATCTCTGAAGGTATGAATTCATTCATCTAAAAAGTATTTAGCGTTTTTTTCTGGTACTCAACTCTACATTTCCTGAATGTGAATGCCAGAACTGCTGATTCTTAAATGGGTAAATATAGGCAAATTTCTTCATTTCTTGGACGCTCTATTTTCTCATCAGGAAAATGGGAATGATAATAGTGTTTACTTCATAGAGTTGGTGTGATAATTAAATGGGTTAATATACATAAGTCACTTACAACAATGTGTGGAACATAAAAAGTACTATACCAGGGTTTGCTATCAGTATCCCTGAGCAAGTATAATGTGCCAGACTCAGGTATTGTCTACATTTGGTTGTTGTTCCATCACTGACGTCAAGGGACTGGAGTTTGTGAAGAGATGAACAGAAAGACTAATAGACACACACACATACACACACACACACACACACACACACATATTAAAATGTGGTAAGGACTAAGATTGAGGAAAATCTGGAGTGTTGATTGTGCAGAAGATAATTTCAGGAATTAAAAGTGCAGCGTTTTACATGGTCCAGTATGTATACTCTAAAGGGACAGGGACTTGGTAACTTTTATGTCCACAGGGTATGTGGTGCCTGGTTTGGTTTCTGACTCATATCTATTTATAAATATTTTGTGAGTGAATGAATTACAAGGAATTTTTATTTTGTTTTGAAAATTTCTTAACAGAGAAGTCCTGTGCTTTGGTTTACACTTTAGAAATATATCTTGAAGTACTAGAAAAGTTGATTAGGAGGCACTAAAGTGGAGGTAGAAAGACCATTTTAGAGGCTGTTTTAGTGACTCAGGAGTCAAAGCCCAGGACAGAAGCAAGGAAGTAAGTACAGAGATGAGAGGAAGGATTCACCAGACAGTTTACTCAGGAGAATCCACGGAACAGAATTCTTTGTAAAAACAAAGAAGGGAATAAAAAGAAAGTTTCATAATTCTGTCTCAGGCATTCAATGAGTGAGGCTTCCATCAAATAAAATAAGGCAAAAAGGTAAAAGATGCTGATTTTAAGTTTGAATGTTGTGAAATGGAAACCCACACTTAGAGCTCAAGAGATTGGTCCTGGGGGGAACCATAGTACAGTATTTGAAAGTTTTGCCTATGATGCCTGGCAAAATAAGGAGAAAAAGCATGAAAGACCAACATCAACATTTAACAAGTGTAAAAGAAGAGACCTTAAATGATCTTGAGAAAGTGTGAATAAAGAATTAAGATGCAAGAGAGGAGTTTGTTCATGATGTTGCCAATTGAGTGATGGATAGTGTCCAAGTCAACAAAGCATATAAAACACAAATCAAGAGGTGTTCAATGTATGGATCATCTTTGTCACCATAGTTTCAGTAGTGTGGGCAGGGCTGAAGTACAGTTTTAGGGGATCGATGTATGAATGTCTGCATGCAAAAGAAAAGATATGCAAGATAGGCCATTCTTTGCAAGATAGGCCATTCTTTGAAAGCTTGGTTGTGAGGAGAAGGTTGATTTAGAGTCCAGTGCCTAGCACATACTTGAGTATTTACTCATTAGATATTTTTTGAAGAGACAGATAAATACCTAGGCTCCAGGCAAGATCGTGGCAGCATTTTTACTAAGTGATGAAAGAGACATAAGCATAAACATATTTATATATCAAAGGACATGGGGCCAGTGGAGAAGAAAAAAGTAGATATATATCTTTTTAATACATATACATAATGCCCTATAAAGTGATTATAAAAAAAGGACTATATTGCACATAGACAAAACCATTTTCCTTGCATAGACAATGTCAGGGATAAAGATAGATGTAAAGCAAAATTAAATGTTGATGTATTTGTAAACAAGGCCAGGAAGTTGAGAACATTTATATGATAGTACCTATTCTCTCTGTAACTGTGGGGGATCATGCTAAGAGTAAGAATGGCAAGGCAGGCAAGGAACTTAAAAGAATGAGATGAGTGATTAGAATGATTTTGAGTTAATGGTAAACGGAGCTGGTTATGGACAACTTGAGTGACCAACAACACAGACCACCTAGATGGTTTTAGAGATCAAAAGTCTCAGTAGGGTAAACTGCTCAGTTTCTTTGCTTTTCTTCAGCAGTACAAGTAGAGTCACAGAAGGAGGACTGATGGGTTGATAATTTCCTGGGGTTTTTAGGTCTAGATCAATGGAAGGACAAAGGTAAAGGGAAATGAATGGTACTGGCAAGGCAGGGGTTTACTACTGGGCCCTCACTTGAGAGAAAAGAAAATAAAACTAGAAGTTTGTTGAAAGGTTTATTGGTGATGAAGTAGAGAAATTAATTGCACAGTTTCTTAAAGAATGTGTATTCTAATTATATCTTGATATTAAAAATTGGAAGTGAAAGTTTCTAAGATTGAGTATTTCCAGTGCTTCTCAAGTTCCAAGGAATCATTCACACAAGTGGTATAGGGACAGTTAGTGGGATTAATCCCATCAAGGCACTGAGAGACTGGCTATTGGATGTAGAATACAGGGGAAGTGATTTGAAGAAGCGACTTGGAATTGTAAAAGATCATAGATTATTCAGAAAATCAATAAATTCTGTATCTAGGAAAACAGTTCAGCAGCAGTAGTAGTCAGATTTACAATGTGAAAAACACTTCTAAACGACTGTTTAATGGTTACTTCACCTGATGATTTCAGTAATTCATCTGTCCTAAAAGATTAGAAAATTATAAATATAATTTATTGTGTTTCATTTTTTATCTGTGCTGGGTCTTATTAATTTTTGCTCCTTTATATATATATATATATATATATATTAGTATTGTTCTGGTCACATATATGCACTCTATACACACACACACAGAGTAAGTAACTGTGATTTAGTGTTCAAAGTTTACTTAAGATAGAACCTCTAGATGAACAAGCACTTTTATATATATAAATACATCTGTGTGTGTGTGTGTAAAATTTGAATTCACAGATTAAAAAATGCTATGTTTATCTAGAATAGAGTTAATAGATGGCAATCTGAATAAACTTCATGTTCACTTGGTAATTTTTGCATATTATGTGATTCATATCTGTTGTTTTAGAAAAAATCAAACATGCCCTTAGTAGCAGCAGTGAGGAGAATCCTGAAGGAAATGTTACAATACGGCGGTTTTCTTTCGAAATGGGCGCCATTTTTAGGAGAACAGTAGTGCTTTGTGGATGGGTTGACAATTTCCTTTCCCACACTCTTTTCTCAGCCCGCCTCTGTGCTGAAAACCTGACCAACTCTTTCTACCTGCAAATCTCCAATCTCCTGAAATAATATTTGTTCAAATAGCATCAGTCTATTCCAGATAAAAATACTCTAGGCTTCCTCACAAGAAATAGTGTTATTGCAAGCTTGAACTATTGAAAAAGTAATATTGCCTCCAAGGGGGTACGCCATCTTAATAAGACATATCTTCAAGACAAGGAAAAACGTACTTTTCAAATCCTACATGCGTTATAAACCACCGCTTACGAAACCTTTGTTCTAAAGCATTGCCGATTTTACCTGAGGCAGGCATTTTACTGCATTTAAAAGGTCACCAAGGATGCTAAAGAATCTTAGGTGAATCTGAAGGCCTGGTGGAGATAATAAGAACTAAAGTTTTTGTTTTGTGAAGTTTTCTGAAGGCTTTCTCCCAGGCATTGAAATGTAACTTCCATTTTCTTAGTCTAACTTCACCAGGTAGTGCTGGCAGAAATTTTAAAAAGAGAAATAGCTGGTGGATGTAATAAACTAAAAAACAGGGCTCTCTCCTCACTCACCTGCTGTTCTGCTGAAGAAACTGTGGTAGAAAATATTGTTAATCCAGTTAAAAATACATGCCAACATCTGTAAAAATGAGAGACGGGTATTCTATTTGGAATTTACTTGGGTAACTTATTTTGCTAGTTAGCTCTAGGAAAAATTACGAAGCAGGTATTCACCAGTGTCTATTTTTTTTTCCTCCTGTTTCAAACTTTTTCCTTTCTTGCCCAATGAGTCCACCATTTTTGTCTAAATCAGTTGGATAAACCAATTCACTCTGTGGTGCTAGTGCCTTACTGCATGGCACTTCTCAGAAATATTTTCTGCTTGTCTTGCTTTATATATGTGAAACTTTTTATGATTTATTCATCCAAAAATATGTTTTTTGAGCACCTGTTAGGTGCCAGTCACTGTTTTAGGTCCTAGAAATATAGAACTAGACAAGACATGTAAGATCTCTGATGTTATGAAGCTTACATTTCAGTGGTAAGGAGACAAAAAACGCACAAAGAGATTTCACAATATACATGCACAGGATCAAGTGATTAGTGTTCTGAAGAGATTAAAAGAGAAAAGGGATAGAGTGGCTGATGAGCTTCATGTGTCCTGCCCCACACATCAAAATCAGAAGATAACTTAGGTTTGTCTTTCATAAATCCCTTAATATCAACTTTAAAATCTGAATAAAATGTTTTTTATTTAATTAAAGTGGCCAAGAAAGGAATAGTAACAAAACTCAAAGTGACAACAATATGGTAAGAGGGAAATCATGATTTTGAATCTGGCTTCTAGTTGGTACTAAAATTTTAATGGAGAAATTAATAAAACATCATTAATATTTTAAAAAATACATCATCACTGGAACACATGAACGCTATGCCCTAGAAATGTACCTGACCCAAACTGACATGTGCTGTGAGATTAAGATACACACTGGGTTTGAAGATTTATGATGAAAACAATTATAAAATATCTCATTAATAGTTTTTTTATATTGGTAACATATTGAAATTATGGCCTTTGGGATATATTGGATTACATCAAATACATTATTAAAATTAATTTCATATGTTTCTTTTTACCTTTTAAAATAAGGATACTATAAAAGTTTACACTCCATATATGGTTTACATTATATTTCAAATGGACAGTGCTGTGTGAAGCTATGGAGGCCTTAAATCAGAGGTCTGCATACTTTTTCTGTAAAGAGCCAAATAGTAAATATTTCAGACTTTGTGGACCAAAAGAAAAAAAAAAATCACAGCTATTATAGATGTAGTCACATGACCATTTAAAGTATAACCATTTAAAATGTACAATAGATCTTTAGATTGCAGGTCTTTTACAGATAGACAGTGGCCCAGATTGCCTCATGGCTGCCTCCTGCCATACAGTGAGGTGAAAAGATGAAGGGCTTCACAGCTCTAGGGTCAAATATTAACTCTGCCACTTAGCCAAAAGGACACTAGGCCAGACATTTAGCTTCTCAGTCTCTTTTTCCTTATTTGTAAAATGAAGGTATTAATATCTATCTCTTCAAGAATGTTATAAGAATTTAGTAAGATTTAGTGGAATAGGTTTGTAAACCACCTGAAAAAAGTGGCAGTTTCTTATTTCTCACAGAGTGAGATTTTCAATAAATACTGGTATATTGGCAAAGCGTATACCGGAGGAAAATAACACACATACACACACACACACACACACATACACACCCCGGGGGAGATTGGGGAGTGGGGGAGATTCTTTAAAAAAATGTGAAAAGGGGTCGTATAAATTGCTAGGAATCAACAAAATTTACACTTTTTCATATGTGTGTCCTGACCATCTAAAGAAAATGTGTAGCCCCTTGAATCTGATTGTACCCCAGAATGTCAGGATTTGGTTCACGCAACAAACAGCTTTCTGATGGTAAAATTTCAAACACCTGGGTTAGGGAATGTCTTTGAACAAAAGGCCTACCTGAAATCTCTCAAAACAGACTATATAGAAAATAGCTTTAATATCTAGTACTTTGGAGCCCTGGTTCTCAGATTTTTTTCAAGAGTGGGAGAAATGTCAGATCTCTACATGATACTGGTATACATGATGTGAGAAAAAAGAAAAGAAGTAAAAGAAACTTTCAAAACTCTGTAAATATTTTATCTTTTGTTTGATTAATTGCAATAATATGCAAGTAAGTCTGGCAAGTATTTGTAACAATACGTATAAGACATATACTGTATTTAGGACAGAGACAATCTTTAAGAAATACATGAATTGTAGATTCTGTAGTATCTCTGTAAAACCCTTAGGGCTTGACAAACCCACATGATTCTCTTTGGGGAATAATACCTATGCTATGAGATAAATTCATGAGAAATTTAGACTTAATTTCATTTCCACAGTAAACTAAACCTCCACACCCACCACCCTGATCATTGGCTGACACCACATACATTGAGCCATTACAATGGTATTTTCCTGTCAATGTAGGAGGCAAAATTCTATAACCCCGCTTCAATTTTTAAGAAAGTCCTCATTTTTATGTGTGTATTATATCATGATCTCACTGTATACTTTGGCCTTTTGCTGGTCTGTATAATTAAGCATTGATACTAAGTGCCTCTTTCACTGGTCATAGGCCAAGGCAGGAAACAGAACGATTCATTAGTGGCTGCTGTTTCCTTGCCCAAATACCATCAAAGATGGTCACTGAGTCTAAATAGGTGCCCCTGAGAATTTTCAAAAACTCATTTTTTTACCACATTGCATATGACTTACTATAATTGCCATGCAAAGTTCTTCTACAAAATTCCAAGGCTTCTAGGCAATTTAATCAATTTAAAAAAATCTCTGAGGGAGACTAGGCAAGGTGGCTCACTCCTGTAATCACAGAACTTTGGGAGGCCAAGGCAGGCGGATTGCTTGAACCCCGGGGTTTGAGAGAAGCCTGGCCAAGATGGTGAAAGCCCATCTCTACTAACAATACAAAAAAATAAAAAATAGCCAGCTGTAATAGTGCATGCCTGTGGTTTCAGCTACTTGGGAGGCTGAACTGGGAGGATCACTTGAGCTGGGAAGGCAGAATTTGTAGTGAGCCATGATTGTGCTACTGCACTCTAGCCTGGGCAACAAAGCAAGACCCTGCCTCAAAAAATAAATAAATAAAAATAAAAAATTGTTTCTTATATTAGTATGCACAGTGAAATATTAAAGATGTGCATATACAGAAAACATTGGTTGTTCATCTGAAACTCAAATGCAACTGGGTGTCCAGAAATATATTTGGCAATCATAACCTGGAGCCATACGCAGTCCTGGTCTGATAGTTGCAGTGTTTCCTTTCCCCTCATTTTATTTAACCTCTAGAACCTGAAATGTGTATTACCATCATTTGAAACCGCAGACATACTTGGTTGTAAACCACAGACATATTTGTTAGTAGAGGTGAACAGGAATAAAAACTGAGTGTTGGATGGGGGCTTCTGTGATTAATCCAGAAGTCCAGTTCTTTGATTAATTAATAGTGTTATCTTAGACAAATCACTAATATTCCTCCAGGCTTCAGTTTTCCCCCTGCTTCTTTTTCTTTTTCATATATTGAGTCCTTCTTACTACATGTCTAAATCAGACTGTACATGGGATCCTCAAACATATGCTTTAGGCAATTATAGTTCTTCTGTTTAGCACACAGGAAAAGTGGGTCACCAGACAGATTTAGTAATGGGCCCAATGTTGCATACTTATGATAGTTCCTGTATTCAACAGGTGAGTGCAGAAACGTATTTTATTCTTCTTATGACCCTTATATCAGTTGCAAAAGTCCCTGAGTCACAGTAGGTCTTCTTTTCTGAAATTTTATTTTTTATGTTTGAATTTATATTTGTGAAATGGAAATACGTTTGAAAGTCCAGGAGACTCTCCTCTTCCCAAGCATTTTCTCTCTAGCTTTTTATTGTTGCATAAAACCCATCCAATAGGCCTCTATTAAGTAGGATTGAGTATGATTGTCTATTTATATACAAATATCTCCAAAGAAGGTGGTGAGTTTGGTAATAGATTTAGCTATTAAATCTTTTCATACATTAACCAAAGCCAAAGTTATAAGTTTTCATATTAACCGGTTCAAATGTTCATCTATGAGCATTGTTCTAATGCCTGAAACGAGCACTACTTCAAGTACTTCTTTGTCACTAAAAGCTATTCAATTCTACTGAAGGTCAGTTATTCAAGCTTCATCTTATGTACTTTTTTTTTATCAAAGTTAATTATGACTGAAGGTTTGCCTCTATGATGTATGAATCTGGTTTTGTGCTGTGTTATCGTACAGAGAAGATAAAGGCAGATCACTTGGATTCAAATTCTAGAGTTTCCACTCATTATGTGTGATCCTAAACAAGTTATTTAAACTTCTCTCAATTTCTTCATCTGTAAAGTGGAGATAATAATGGTACCAACCTTATAGAGTTATTATGAGGTTAAAATTAGTTAATATTTATAAAGTGCTTAGAAGTACGTCACAGAGAAGCCCACATAAGCAGTCATTAATTAAATAGACCATAATGATCTAAGACCTCATCAGCACAATTGTACATGCTTTTATTTGGAGAGTTTTATAAGAACTATAATTTTCCTACTTTACTAATGGGAAAACTGAAGCCTGGAGAAATATTAGTGATTTGTCTAAGTTAACACTGTTAATTAATCACAGAACTGGACTTCTGGACTAATCACAGAAGTCCTAAATCTTCTGATCCTTGACACAGCTTTTACTCCTGTGCACCTGTACCAACAAAGTTAAAATTTTTACAACCAAATAGGTCTGTAGTTTCAAATGATAGTAATACACATTTCAGGATCCACAGGTTAAATAAAAGGAGGGGAAAGGCAACATTGCAGCTATCAGACCAGGACCGCATATGGCTCCAGGCTATGATTGCCAAATATATTTCAGGACACCCATTTATATTGGAGTTTCAGATGAACAACTAATGTCTTCTGTATACATACATCTTTAATATTCCATGGGACATACTAATATAAAAAATTGTTCATTGTTTATATAAAATGAAAATGTATCTGGTATTCTATAATTTAATTTGCTAAACTTGGCAACCCTACCCAGCCTCTAAAAGATGACTTAATCAGTGGAGAAACATAACTAGGTTAGCAATTCCCATGTGTATAGGTAGGACAAAACAAAATCCAAATTCATGTCTTTTTTTGTGAGTGAGGCAAAAAGTATCATATTTAGAGAACAGACACCATCATCTGCCTCATCTTTGACTTAGATATATTAATAATATTAATAATAATAATGACTCACATTGAGTGCTCTCCATATGCCAGGCACTTTATAATAGCTGTATTGATGTTGTCCTTTTAGTACTCATGCATCCTACTCTAGTTTTTAAAGTATTATTATTATTCCCATCATTTATGAGATAAATAAGTCAGTTGGAGCTAATACACACAGAAGTTTATTTCTTGCTCACACTGTGTCCACCAGGGGTGAGCAGCAGTCTTGTTCCATGGGACCAGGTAGAGGGGATGGCCTCCATCCAGGACATTCTGAGTTTTCAAGCAGAGGCAAGAGAGATCATGGCACTACAGAACAGCTCTTAATGCTACAGCTTTGAAGCAGCACGTCACTCTGACCCTCATCATTAGCCAAAGCAAGGCACACATCTAAGTCTGAATACAATGGGGCAGGAGACGATAATTCTCTCCCAGGATGCAGTGGCAAATATTTTGAGCAGTATTTCACTCTACCCTGTGAGGAAGCTGAGGCACATAGACATTAAGAGATTTGCCCACAGTCACAGGTAGGATTTCAACCCAGGCATTTTGCATCCACAGCCTGTTTTTAGCTTCTCTCCTATACTCCCTTATTTATATGTGAAATGAAAACATGTACATTCACCCTATATCTGTTAGGATAAATATTGAGCATGCTCACTGGCTACACAAAGAGAGAACTTTGGGATTGTGTCATTCCAGGTACCCCTGGCTGCCCCCCTTGTGATGTCAGCTTCAGAAGTATCAGTAGGTCACACTGGGAACATTGCTTTCTGCACTATGTACAATGCTGTAACTGAAATAGAATGTCTTTTAAGTTGTTAGATAGGGTTTTAAAAAATCTATAAATAGTGTTCTGCACTTTAAATAAGATCTATTAGCAAAGCTCAGACACTATTAGCCAGTGAAATGACTTTTGGGTCCCAGATGTTTGTACACTTTTTTTCATGATTTCCATGATTGCCACTGAGTGGTTACACCTCCTGTACCAAGCCAAATAATAGATCACACTTAAACTGACACCTCACCAGAGACAGAGTGCTTCTGCAAGGCCTTGGAGAGCCTGAGCTATTGAAAATGAATGGATATTAAAGTGAAATATTAGGCCACATAGTGGAGCATGGCTTGTTGCATAATAATGTTAAAATGATGTTATTGGCAAGTTGGAGAACACAATAAGGAGAAAATGATTATAACAGCTAGTAAAAAATGATGTCTTATGAAAAATTCATTTATTACCTTAAAGGGTTTGTTCATAATGTAACCATTTTTCCATTGTGGTAAGAAAACCTAAATCTTTTTTCTTTCATGCTCAGATGGGTGTTTTTCTCTGTTTTCTTTTAAAACATCCTTTCAAAACACAGATCTATTTGTGTTTCTTAATTGATGAGAGAAATAAATTTTACTGAAATCAGCATCAAGTGAAACAAAAATTTGCATATAATATGTCTGAGAGGAGATTCTGAGAACCTTTGCTGATCGTGTAATTTTACAAGTACATTTTATGGCACACAATTTTTCCATAAACAGCCACTTTCCATTCAAGCATCAAAGTGATCCAGAGCAAGGCTTTATTGATGCAGCATTAGGAAAAATCCATATGGGTCCAGACTTTGAAAATTTTGTTTCTGTAAGTGCATATAAACCTCAAAGACTAGACTGACATTCGGCTTCACATCACATTATATATTCTTCTCCAATAGGGTAGGAAATTTTTATTTTTGAGTCAATATTTTAATGGGATAACTTGCTCCTCTTTTTAAAAAAATAAGCTTAACACAGAGAACACTGCTATCGAGTCCAAAGTTATGTGTTTTAATACATTCTCATCCTCTTTCTAAAAGAATATGTTCATTTAAAAAATTGTGTCAGCATGCTTCAGATTTGCTGGACTGAAAGAGCTTACTATGCCAGAGCCAACAAGCACTCAGCTGGTTAAAAGTACGAAGCTGAGGCATGGAACAGGACAGTTGTTCTCAACCTTAGCTCATACTGGAATCCCCTGCAGAGATTTACAAACTTCATCTGCCTGGGTTACATTCCCAGCATTTCTGATTTAACTGGTCTGGAGTACAGCCTAGGCACCAGAATTTGAAGGCCTCCCAGTTGATTCTAGTGGACAGCTAAGACTGAGAATTCTTGGAATCAGAATCAAGAACAAAGAGCACATCAATGAGTAGTGGAACAGAGAGGAATCTTGTGGAGGCCTTAATGGTCTAATTCTCTTCTGGTAGAATTGGGAGTAACCTGATCCCCTTTTTTCTTCCCCTCCTGCTTGTGTCTTCCCCTCCTTCTTTTGCTTTTTCATATATCGAGTCCTCCTTACTACGTGTCTAACTCAGACTATACATGGGATCCTCAAACATATGCTTTAGGCAATTACAATTCTTCTGTTTAGCACATAGGAAAATGGGTCACCAGACAGATTTAGTAATGGGCCCAATGTTGCATAGTCACGATAGTTCCTGTATTCAACAGGTGAGCGCAGAAACACATTTTATTCTTCTTATGACCCTTGTATCAGTTGCAAAAGTCCCTGAGTCACAGTAGGTCTTCTTTTCTGAAATTTTATTTTTTGTGTTTGAATTTATATTTGTGAAATGGAAATATGTTTGAAAGTCCAGGAGACCCTCCTCTTCCCAAGCATTCCCTAACTTCTTGTTGTTGCATAAAACCCACCCAATAGGCAGCTATTAAGTAGGATTGAGTATGATTGTCTATTTATATACAAATATCTCCAAAGAAGATGGTGAGTTTGGTAATAGATTTAACTATTAAATATTTTTATACATTAGCCAAAGCTTTCCAAATTCTCACTTTGATCGTTAATCATTGGGAGCTCAGCTCAAATCCACTAAATCATGAGAAAGGGGAAAATCAAGACATTTGACTGAGACTCCATGTGGCTACAAGGAATTTGAAATGAACAAAGGGCAAACAAAGTGAAAGGGAGATAATCTATTTCTCTGAAGATTCCTCTGTGGTCAGACAATGGCAATATTGCAAGCAAAACATCTGCTTCTTATGACTAAACTTGCATCTTGCAGTCTCCCTCTTTGCTTTAAGTTTCTAACTCTTTGCGTATGTTTTACATATGCACATGCAAATAAGCTATTGTCCAGCAGATAAGTGACTTATAAGCAACCAGTAAGTGGTTAAGGAGGAAAAAAAAAAAACTTGAAAAGGGGACAAGACTGGAAATATTATGTGATATTGATAAATAGTATGAATTATCTGTCATCTATAAGCTATCTATTTACATATCTATCGTCTATTTTACTTGCAGAAAAGGACATAAAAGCAAGACTCATCTCACTCAAAATTTGTTTTGCATTTTCCTAGGAAAGTTAGACATCTCAAAATTATAATTTTATATAAATACAGCACTAAAAATATAATTTTATATAAATATAGCACTATTTTGGTTTTGCATTTCCCAATTGCTGATAGTAGTCAGTGACTGCTTTCATCCAGATCATCACCATGTTTTCTGTCATAGAGAAAGCCACAGAACAATTCCCTGCCACTGAGATTCCAGGAGGAATAATGTGTTTAACCAATGAATGCAATCAATAATACAATATGAGGTCACAGGGTTTATAGTCTAACAAATATTCCCAAACTTGCCTATTGCCATTCAAAGTCACCTCAGAAACCAGTAAAGCCCCACGAGCTTCTATTGTTCTAAACATTTTGCAGTCGCCTCTGCTGGACATATTTTTCACAAGTACTACACTGAGATTTCTTTCCACTTCTGGAATAACTGTTCATGTAAAGATGTTGGAATTTTTTTTCTTAGGCCTAAAAATGTTCAGGAAAACCAAGATGTTATGCTAAATTTGAACAGTCTTCAAACATCCTGTGTGGAGGAGCTGTCTCTCTGAAGTCATTCTTAGTCATTCTTTTACCAAATAATCAAGGACTAGTTTCTATCCTTGATTAGCTTGGGATAAAAGCCTTCCTCAGTAAAAGACATTGAAGAAGCATTTATGTGTGTTGGAATTAATGAATCAGTCCCTGGGCTTAAATCCCATCATCTGTCAGAGGAAACAGCTGGGGCATTGATTCCCTTTCTCATTTAAACCCTCAGCCTTCAAGTCAGTATGGAACAAGCATTTGCTGCACTTAGGGGAATTCTGTGGAATATTCTTCCAAGAGATTATTAGCTGGATTGATCCTTGCACAGGGTCACAATAGAGCTGAGAGATATAAAAGATATAGTTTTCATTTTCTAAATGACAAGTCAAAGCAGGTGCTACCTTTGAAACTGTCTTTGGTACAAAATAAGTGCCATTTGAGTCCTTTCTGCATACCAGATCCTTACAGGGTGCATTAGTCAGGGATCTCCAAAGAAACAGGACCAATAGGATGGATATATATACAGATATGGAGACAGATATAAAAATAGATAGAGAAGAAGAGATGCTCTTCTCAGTGCTCAAGTGATTATAGAGGATGAAAAGTCCCAGTCTGCCATATTTAAGCTGGAAGCCAAGAAAACCAGTGGTGTAATTCCAATCCAAGCAAAAGGCCTGACAGCCAAAGGAGACAACTATGTCAGTAAGTCCTGATCCAAATCTGAAGGACCACCAAGCAAAACTCTGATATCTGAGAGCAGGAGAAGATGACTGTCCCAGGTCAAGAGGAGAGGGAAATTCACCCTTCCTCTACCTTTTTGTTCTATTCAGACCTCAATGGATTGGGTGATGCTTGCCCACATTGGTGAGGGCAGACTTATTAAATTTCAATCTATTGATTCAAATGTTAATATATTCCAGAAACACCCACAGAAACTCACCTAGAAATAATTCTTTATTAGCTATCTAAGCATCTCTTAGCCTAGTCAAACTGGCATGTAAAATAAACCATCATGCAGGGGAACCTATACATTGTGGCCCAGTTGGTACATGGTCTCCTAGCTTTCTTGCTTTATCCTGTGAGTCCTCAATTTCACATATCTCCTATTTAGGAGGGGAGCAGATATGTAACACAAAACATTGTATATGCCATCAAAAATGCCAAATCTTTTTAATAAATTAGAGTGAATTTGATTGTAGAAACTGCCAAAAACTTCAAGATTCACTTTTCTAATAGGATAGGTGATCAAGTTGGATAATAGCCAGGTGATGGAATGTCTAGATGTGATTAATATAAAATGGGACTGCTTCCCAGCTACTCGGGAGGCTGAGGCAGGAGAATGGTGTGAAACTGGGAGGCAGAGCTTGCAGTGAGCCAAGATCTCACCACTGAACTCCAGCCTGGGCAACAGAGTGAGACTCCATTTCAAAAACAAAACAAAACAAAACAAAAAACAAAACAAAAACAAACACAAACAAAAAACAATGGGACTGCTTTTCCTGAGTAGGATTTAAAGTGGTCTGGAAGGAAATCCAAAAGGAGAATTAGAAAAGTATTTTGAACAATGAAAATTATACTGAAATAAGAATATCCCTCTACAAGATAACTCCTTGAAAGCCTGCAGTCTTGTGCATATCTAAGATATACAATATTTGAGAAAGATATGTACTATTTCACAATCTTTTCATAATTCATATGATTGATTTATTCATTCAATGACTAATAATTTTTCTCAATCTATATAGTCATGTCTCTGAAAATACACAGTAATTTGCATTTAATCAGAAAGTTTCTGTTTAGTATTTATTTATAAACAAGGTGAATTAAGTTGGAATCAGTAGACTTATTGGTGATGGTAGTAATAGAGTGTGGTCTTCATTCTTGTTTCCAATAGTCTAGATTTCATTTGCACACACAGAATAATTCCATGGGGAGCTGGAAGAGCAATATGTAGCCCTTAAGGGCCTTTTAACTTGGTTTTATCCATTTAGGTCTATTGTCTTAATAGCCATCAATTTAGTACCCAGACCTTGGGATATTAACTCAGTTTTACATCATTTGAGGTTGAACCTCAAAAGCATTACATCTGATATTACAGATTCATAATTTCTTTTCAAATAGTTGTTGATAATACCACATGGGCAAAACTATAATAATTACTTTGATATTCTTTCTTATGAAAAAAATACTTTTAAAATGTAAATGAAATACTGTAATTGAACAGGGTTTCCTGGCCAATGCAGATTCTGAAGTTTGGGTAGAAATGCTGCAAATCAGGGAATAGAGAAAAAAAAGTAAATGTCCTGTTAGATGAGAGTTAGGCCAGCTGTTATATCACTACATGAAAAAGTTTTGATGTAAAAATTGTATTATATTTTCCTAGCACTGAAATTCTTGGATGATCTTGAACTTTAGTAAATGAATCAAATTCAATATAATTACAATATAAATTACAAAAAATATACTAATATTCTATAGATGGTATAGTCTCTTTAAGTACTACAATAAACATGAGTGAATTTTAATCACAGAAATTTATCATGTGGAAGAATATTTGGGTCATGATAATACTAACAAGCTATGCAACCAGGTCTCAGCTATTGTTTACTAATTATGAAGATGTTCCCAATCAGCACTTAAATAAATATGTATAGTTGCTAAAACTTTTCAACTAATTTTAAAACAATATTTTAACAAAAATGCACCATTTTATGTTTTGAATGTATCTTTTCATGTTGGCGAAGAGAGTCTTTTCTGTTTAGGTTGGCCAATTAAAGGAAGCTGTAAACTTTCTAGGGCTTACAAACACTATAAAATTCTTAAATCATACAGCTTCTCCTTGCCCCTGGCAATTGGCTTTGGCAGTTGTAAAATTGATTTTTGGTGTGGCTTGAATCTGATCCAGCATCCCAGCTAATTGGAAAACCATGCTTGTGATATAGCATGTCTTGAAAGTGGGCAAGATAGCAGATGGTCTCTAAAGCAAATTAAAAGTGAACAAGCACATGTTTGACAGCAGCACTTAAAGTGCAAAGGGAAAATGGACAAAGTTCCATTACTCTGACAATGGCAGTACATTATATATGCTGTGTCTCTTTCTGTTTTGTAGAGAAACCTAAAGGCATATATGCCTTTCAGCTAATAGTCTCAGTAAGTAAAACCTCCTTCCTCTAGTACTTTTACTGTCTCCTTTACGTTCTTTCATCTGGGGTTTATATTTGCACTTTTTTTATTTTGAAAATGTTTTTAAATATATTATAGGGCACTTAGGTCATAATAATCACTCTTAGTCCTCTTCAACAAAAACAATAATTTCCTGCTCTCTCGTTTTTCCGTGATCTTTACAGCACACTGTGGTGTTGGATGAACTAAGATGTAATTAAATCATGAAGAGGAGGCTCCTATACCTGTGACTCAGTCTCGCTGCTCTTGGTGGCTAAATCTAATCGATCAGGCAGAGCAGAAGGAGTGTGAGCTTTGTTACTTGTGTCAGAGACAGTGAGGGTCATTTCCTTTAACTTGTTCAATCAGTATCGAGATGAGACTGGATAGGCAGCTGAAAACTCAGAATTCTCTTTCCTCTCAAGCAAGTAATGTGGGGTTTTCACTGGAGAGTATGATTCCATTAGTTCAACCAAAAATGGTTGGCAGGGTCACAGGAGCCCCCTCTGGCAGTTTTGTGGGAAAATAAGAATAAGTACAAATTTGAGGGTCAGGTTTTTTTGACCACCAAACAATTCCCTGCCTTGGCATGAATAATGAAGTTAATTCTGTTTGCCTGCATTTGTCATTGTAGATTTGGATAAATATTTTACAATATTCATTCTTCCTTGATGTTGTGGTAGTCATCAAAATCATCACTTTTTTAGATATTTCTTTAGTGTCATACAAAGGTGCTAAACTTTTTTTTGTTTCTTCTGAAGCCTATATATTATATTAGCAAGAACAAATATTTCACTTATTCTGTATCTAACATCATATACTAGGCATGTAGTAGAATTTGGAAAATGTTAATTGACCACTTGGTATTTTTGTAGACTCATGGCACTGTTGATTCTCTTGAATGATCAGGAGTGTTATGTTGTTATCACTTATTCAGTAAGTGACATGTTTTGGAATGTCTCTGAGCCTTTCTGGTAATTCACTTGATTCTGACATGTTCTTCATATAGTCAGTACATTTCCACCCTCAAAAGAGCTGCAAAAATCTAAATATTTTCTATAGTATTATGCAGAGATCAAGTCATTTAAGAAAAGCCTAAATAATGAACAATTTTTATTTCTTATTTGAGTAAATTTTATTGTTATGATGACACAGTTTCTCTCGGGGGGTCTATCTGTTCAAGGAAACGCTTCAGTTCACTAGAATTTTTGGATGTCCTTCTCAAAGCCTAGGTGAGAAATGCTTGCCACAAGCCATCTGGGTAGAAATACTTATTTGCCTCTAAAAAGTTTAAGAAAACAAAAAGTGCCCAATTTTATTTAATGTAGAATGCATGCACTGCTTTGAACTTAGCATAACTTGAATGTATATCAAAATAAAACAAAGAAATAGGCAAGAGTTTCCTGCTTATAAATTATTATTTGTTAATTTAGCTAGCAAAGCTGGGAAGTGGACCAAGGCCTTTTTCACTAGACTCTGATGATAATAGTAAATTTACCTAGAAGCATAACCATAGTCCATAGATTCTGGATTTATTTAGTTTTTGACTGTTGGATTTTTCACGTTTTTGGAATTTCTTTGAGGTAATGAAAATAGTGGCCATCTGACCTTGGCTGAAAGTGAAAAACATGACTCTTCTGATCTCTACAAGCATCGTGATCATGAAATTAAGTCATCTGTGAATCCCTAGATAGTTCTTTCATGCTAATGAGGACTATGGCCCCTGTAGTGGTGATGAACTTATTTTAATAATATTTCATTCAACCATAGACAACTTGTTTCAGAGACTGCCTCTCTGGAAAAGACTCCTGGAGGTAATTGCTTTTACTTATCTGCTTTACATTTTGTATGAATAGTTCAGCAACTGGAAAATATATATAAGATGAAAATTCAATATGTCTACAGGGGAAAGGAGAATCTTGAGAAGCAATATATTTCCCTTTCTCCCTCCCAGGTAATATTGATCTTTTTAAAACCCAGACATCGAGTCTTGGGTTTGATCTCCAAACTAAGGGTGAAATCATTGTCTCTGAAAAGTCAGATTTCTGCCCCTGGGCTGGTATGAATTTTGTTGCCAGGCCTTTAACATCTCCATCTTTGCTGCAACAAGGGATGGAATGTTGCAAAGACATAACTGTGGATTTAAAAAAATCTGAAAGGCTCTCTGTAGAGCCTAACACTGTAGAATCCTAGGCTGTAAGAGAAACTCTTTACTGCCTACTTCTCAATAACAAAATTCTGTAGCCTATTATTTCAAGAACTTATAAAACCATTACAACCAAATTGCATTGTCCCTTGACATATGCAAAATACTTTTTTATTACTAATCTTATTTTTGATTGACAAATCATAGTTGTATACATTCATGGGGTACAATGCAATGTTTTGATATATGTGTACAATGTGCGATGATTAAATCAAGCTAATTAACATATCCATCACTTCACTTACCTTTTTTAGTGGTTACACAATTTGAAATTTAATCTAGTTATTTTAAAATATACAATACAATATTGTTAACTGTATGTCCTTTCAGAACCAACAAAAATCAAAATAAAATAATAAAATAAATATTTTTGACTATATCTACTGTGCAATAGCTATCAAAACCTATTCGTCCTTGGAGTGGGTAAACCTTTTTGTAAAGAAAAAAATAATAAATAAATAAAACCAAAAATTTATTCCTCCTATCTATCTAAACTTTTATTTGCTCAACAGCTTCCCATTCCTTCCCTTCTCATCCCCCAAGCCTTGGGTATCCATCATTCTATTCTCTACTTCTATGAGTTCAACTGTTTAAAAATTGGAGATCATGCAATATTTGTCTTTCTGTGCCTGGCTTACTTGACTGAGGCATTTCCTTATTTATTCATCCATTGATAGACACTCAGGTTAATTACATATCTTGGCTATTGTGAATAGTGCAGCAATGAACATGGGAGGGCAGATACCCCTTTGACATACTGATTTCAGTTCTTTTGGATATGTATTCAGAACTGGAATTATTGGATCATGTGGTGGCTCTATTTTTAATTTTTTGAAGAATCTTCATACTGTTTTCTATAATGGCTATAGTAATTTAAATTCCCACAACAGTGTACAAAGATTCCCTCTTCTCTATGTCCTCTCCAGCACTTGTTATCTTTCATCTTTTTGATGAAAGTCATTCTAACATGTTGAGATGATCTCTTTTTGTTTTTAATGTGTATTTCCCTAATGGTTAGTGACTCTGAGCATTTTTCCATGTACCCATTGGCTATTTGTACATCTTCTGTTGAGATATGTCTGTTCAGGTCCTTTGCTGAACTCGTTTAATAGGGTTATTTGTTTTCTTGTTATTGAATTGTCTGAATTTATTGTATAGATTGGATATTAACCCCTTATAAGTTGTGTGGTTTGCAAATGTTTTCTCTTATTCTGTAAATTGTCTCTTCACTTCTTAATTGTTTCTTTTGCTGTGCCGAATATTTTTGGTTAGATAGCATTCCATTTGTTTATTTTTGCTTTTGTTGTCTGAGCTATTGTGGTCATAGCCAAAAAATCATTGCCCAGACAAATATTGTAGAACTTTCCGCTGTTTTTTTTTTTTAATTCCCTAGCAGTTTTACAGGTTCAGGTCTTATATTTAAGTGTCTAATCCATTTTGAATTAATTTTTGTATAAGGTGTGAGAAAAGAGTCCAATATCGTCCTTCTGCATGTGAATATTCAGTTTTCCCAACACCTTTTGAAGAGATTGTCCCTTTTCCCATTATGTGTTCTTGACACTCATGTCAAAAGTCTATTAATCATAAGTACATGGGTTTATTTCTGGGTTTTCTATCCTATTCCATTGGCCAATGTGTCTGTTTTTATACCAGTACAATGCTGTGTTATTATAATCACATTTGTTTTTTGAGACAGGGTCTTACTCTGTTGCTCAGGCTATAGTGCAATGGCATGATGATGGCTCACTGTAGCCTGTCTTCCGGGATCAAGCGATCTTCCTGTCTCAGCCTCCGGGGTACCTGGGACTACAAATATACACCACAATGTACACCACAATGCCCAGGTAATTTTTGATCCTCCCACCTCGGCCTCCCAAAATACTGGGATTACAAGCATGAGCCACCATGTCCATCTGTAATCACTGGAAAATATATTTTGAAATCAGGGAGTGTGATGCCTCCAACTTTCCTCTTTTTGCTCAAAATTGTTTTCGCTCTTTGGGGTTTTTCATGGTTTCAGACAAATTTAAAAGATTTGACTTTTCTATTTCTGTGAAAAAATGCCATTGGAGTTTTGATAGGGATCTGTAGATCACTTTGGGTAGTGTGGACATTTTTCACAACATTATTTTTTCCAGTCTATGAACATAAAATATCTTTCCATTTATTTGTTTTTTCTTCCATTTCTTTCATCAGTGTTTTATAGTTTTCAGTATAAAGTCTTTTTGTCCTCACTTAAATTTATACCTAACTATTTAATCATTTTGTTGCTATTGTAAATGATATTATTTTATTATTTTTCTAATAATTTATTAGTATATAAAAACACTACTAATTTTTGTATGTTGATTTTGTGTCCTGCAAATTTACTAAAATTGTTTTTTCAGTTTTAAAAGTTTTTCATGAAGTCCTTTCGAACTTCTCTTTATATATGATCATGCAATCTGCATACCAGGGTGATTTAAATTTTTTCTTTTCAATTTGGATTAATTTTATATTTTTCTCCTGCCTAATGTCTTTGGCTAGAACTTCCAGTACTATGTAGAAAATAAGTGATGAGAGTAACCATCCTTGCCTTGCCTCTGATATTAGTGGAAAAGCTTTCAACTTTTTACCATTGAGAATAATGTGCTACAGGTTTGTCGCATATGCCCTTTATTGTGTTGAGGTACCCTCCGCTGTACTTAATCTTTTGAAAGTTTTTACTATGACAAAGTGTTGAATTTTTTCAAATGCTTTTTCTTCATCTATTGCAACGATGATATGGTTTTTATCCTTCATTCTGTTAATGTGGTATTTCTCATTTATTGATTTGCTTGTGTTGAATCATTCTTGCACCCCAGGGATAAATCCCACTTAGTCATGGCAAATAATTCTTTTAATATGTTGTTGAATTTGGTTTTGCTAATATGCTTTTGAGGATTTTTGCATGTGTCCTCATCAGGGACATTGGCCTGCAATTCTTTTTGTCCTTGTCAGGCTTCGGAATCAGGATAATGCTGGCCTCATAAAATGAGTTTGGAGATATTCTCTCTACTTTCTTTTTCTTGAAGTTTAAGAAGAATTGGCATTAATTTTGATGTAAATGTTTGGTAGAATTTAGCAGGGAAGCCGTCTGGTCCTGGACTTTTCTCTGACGGGAGACTTTTTATTACTGATACAATCTGCTTGCTCATTTAAAATTTTCTGTTTTTTCATGATTCAGTCTTGGCAAGTTGTATGTGTCTAGGAATTTAACTAATTCTATATTATCAATTTTTTGACATATAACTGTTCATAGTAGTTTGTTATGATCTTTTGTATTTCTGTGTTATTAGTTTTAATGTCTTCTTTTTATATTTCTGGTCTTCTTTGAGTTTTCACATATTTTTCCTATCTAGTCTTGCTAAAAATTTGTTGATTTTGTTTATCGTTTTAAAAATCTAACCCTTTTGTTAATTTTCTCTATTTTTTCTTGTCTTTATTTTATTTATTTCTTTTCTAATCTTCATTATTCTTTTCCTTCTGCTAACTTTGAACTTAGTTTGTTCTTTTTTTTCTAGTTCCTTAAGGTGTAACACTAGATGGTTTATTTCAAATCTTGCTTCTTTTTAAATATAGATGTTTGTCACTATAAATTCATCTTTTAGGATTCATGTGCAATATTCTTATCCACTCAATTAGAAAGATAGTTTGACCAGCAAAAATAAAAGTGTATGTTTTTTTCTGCATATGTATTTTTCTATACTAATGAGATGAAAAATGTTGGTTAGAGCAATCATGAAAGATATACTGCTTCCTTTCAAATACTGATTTAATGGTTCTATGAGATATAGTAAAGACCCAATGTGGCAAAGCTGTAAACCAAGGCTTAGCAAACTAGGACTCATAGGCCAAATCCAGCTTATCACCTGTTTTTGTACATCCTATGAATAAATAATTTTTTTTTTGCAATTTTAAATGATTAGAAGAAGTTAAAATGCTTCATGACATGTAGGATTATAGAAATTTTAAACTTCAGTGTTCCTAACCATCATTTTATTGGAATATGGCCATGGTCCTTCATTTACATATTGTCTATGGCTGCTGTTGTGCTATGATGGCAGAGCTGAGTAGTTGCCACAGAGACAGTGTGGCCCACAACCCTAAAATATTTACTATCTGGCCCAATCCCTCTTCTAGAGGACATGCTTCTAGTGCTTATTTTGTTGTCAATTTATTCTTGGAGGAATGCAAAATAAATCAATACCTTCATGCTACACTGACCTGTCTGTACTCAGACTCTTACATGGTCATATCACAAACTAACCTGATTCAATTTGAAAGTTTCTGATGTCTAGCTTGTGTCAGAAAAATAAACAATATTTAAGTATAATCTCTATTTTTTATTGTTTTGCATGTTTCAATAATTAAAGACATATGGAAAATGTTACTTTTAGACCTTGGCTACTCTGGGCACACTGCCTATGGGGTAATCCTGCTCCACAAGGAGCAGTGAAAAAAAAAAAAAAAAGACCTACTAGATGTCACAAATACAATAGGAATGTATTAAACTAAATTATTATATCCAGTAACGTACTAATTATTCCTAGTTGTCAACCTGCTCTGCACCCATTAAAATAAAATTTGTATTGCTCCAGGAAAAAGATAAATAGAGATTAGAATTAGAAACTTAATATTTGGCTTTGTCTTTCAAAACAGTCTTCTAAGATCTAAGTCTCTATACTTAAGTCTGAAGTTTTTGGTTTTCAAAATTGAAGTTTTGCTGGAAAAAAAAAAGCTTTACAAAATAATTTCAAATCTAAACCATAACAAGGTAAAAACAAGGTGTCAAGCCTTACTTTTTGGTCTTTCTGCCTCTTTTGTTATAGGCTATTCCAAGGAGAAGGGTACAATATAACCACAGTTCTTAATAGAAGGGAAGAACTAGAAAGCCTTTGTTTTTGCTGGATGGCAGAGCATAATATGAAGAGTAAGGCTGTAACCTATGGTTAGGTGGTAGATGTATTAAATATATGAGAAACAGAGACCAGAAATGTTCTCCCTCAATCCTCCAGCAAAGCTTGGAATGCCTGTGGTGTCATGGTACCATGTAAATATGACAAAAACCTAGACATCCCAGCCCATTCACACCTGTGAGCAGACAACTGATTGCCTAGTTCTAGAAACGATTTCTTCCCTCATATACAGCACCAACAAGAACCAATGAAAGTGCTATCACTGGCCAGATAAAACAAGCAGACCAAAACAATACCTCAAAGGCTCTGGAAATTAAACTGCCATTGGAATGACAATCTACAAAGTAAGCCAAGATCTACATGCTAAACCTAAACAGAGTGAATTGGTGTTAAAATAAAAGATTTAAATAAGACTTAGATCTCCCTAACATAATAGACAAAATATCCAGGATAAGATTAAAAAATTACCTGTCATAACAAGAACCAAGAAAATATAAACTTGAATGAGAAAAGACAATCAACTGATATCAACACTGAGATGAATTCAATGTTGGAATTATCTGACAAGGATTTCAAAGCAGCCATGAAAAATATTTTCAACCGTCAACACATCAAACAACAGAGCCTCAACATATATAAAACAAAAAAAAATGATATAACTGAAAGGAGAAAGAAAATACACAATTATAGTTGGAGATTTTAACATTTCCCTCTCAGCAGCTGATAGAACTACCAGACAGAAATTTAGCAAGGATATAGATGATATGAAATAAACAATGGGAACTAATTGACATATATTGAAAAAGTGAATACACTTTTTTTCCAAGTGCTCATGGAACATTTACCAAGATGGACAATATCCTGGGCTATAAAACAGACCTCAAGATGTTTAAATTATCCTTTTCTGTGTTCTCTGGACATAATGGAATCAAACTCACAATCAATAACAAAAAGACTATTGGAAAATTTCTAAATGTGTGGAAATTAAATAGCACACTTCTAAATAATGTAGATGTCAAATAAGTCTCAAAAGAAACAAAAATACATAAAATTGAATAAAAATGAAAACCCTATCAAATTTTACTGAGCACAACTAAAGTAATACTGAAGAATTTGTAGCACTAAATGCTTACATTATAAATAATTAAAAGTTCTGAAATAAAAACCATAAGTTTTGATCTCACGAAAATAGAAAAAGAAGAGAAAAATAAACTGAAAGCAAAGAAAAGGAAGGAAATAATAAACATAAAAGCAGAAATCAAAGAAACTGAACTGAAGAGAAAGAGAGAATAAAACAAAAATCATTATCTTACTTCAAAGTATACTACAGGGCTACGGTAACTGAAACAGCATGGCACTAGTGTATAGTAAAAACAGACACTTAGACCAATGGAACATGTTAGAGAACCCAGAAATAAAGCTCACACCTACAACCATCTAATCTCTGACAAAGCCAACAATAACAAGCAATGGAGAAAGGACTTCTTATTCAATAAATTCTGCTGGGATAATTGGCTAACCATATGCAGAAGATTGAAACTGAATCCCTAACTTTCACCATATACAAACATCAGCTCAAGATGGCTTAAAGATTTAAATGTAAAACCTAAAACTATAAACACCCTGGAATAAAACCTAGTAAATACCATTCTGGACATTGATCCTGGGAGAGACTTAATGACAAGGACTCCAAAAGCAATGGCAATAAAACCAAAAACTGACAAGTGAAACCTAATTAAAGAACTTCCATACAGCAAAAGAAACTCAGCAGAGTAAACAGACCACCTATACAATGGGAGAAAATACTCAGCATAGTATGCATCCAACAAAGGTATAATAACAAGAAACTATAAGGTACTTCAACAAATTTATGAGAGAAAAATGAACAACACCATTGAAAAGTGGGCAGAGGTCATGAACAAACACTTTTCAAAAGAAGACATACATGCGGCCAACCAGCATATTAAAAAAAGGCTGAATATCACTGATCATTAGAGAAATGCAAATCAAAACCACAATGTAATATAACCTCACACCAGTCAGAATGGCTATTACTAAAAAATCAAAAATTAACAGATGCTGGCAAGTTTGAAGAGAAAAGGGAATGCTTGTACACTGCTGGTGGAAATGTAAATTAGTTCAGCCACTGTGGAAAGCAGTCTGGAGATTTCTCAAAGCACTTAAAATAGAACTACCATTTGACCCAGCAATCCCATTACTGGGTTTATACCTGAAGGAATATAAATTGTTCTCCCATAAAGGCACATGCATGTTTATGTTCATCGCAGTACTATTCACAATATCAAAGGCATGGAATCAACATAGATGCCCATGAATGGTGGACTGGATGAAGAAAATGTACATATGCACCGTAGAATACCATGCAGCCATAAAAAGAATGAAATCATGTCCTTTGCAGCAACATGGATGGAGTTGGAGGTCATTATCCTAAGGGAAGAAACGCAGGAACAGAAAACCAAATACTTCATATTCTCACTTAGAAGTGGGAGCTAAAGATTGAGTACACATAGACACAAAGAAAAGAACAGTAGACTTTGGGTCCTAATTAAGGTTATACGGTGAGAGGAAGGTCAGGATTGAAAAGCTACCTATCAGGTATTATGACGATTACCTGAGTGACAAAATTGTCTGTACATCAAATGCCCTTAAAATGCAAATTACCCATATAATGAATCTGCCCATGGACCCCTTGAACCTACAATTAACAGTTGGAAAGAAAAAATAAAGGCTGAATCTTAAAAAAAAAATCAATAAAATTGCTAAACATATAGCAAGATTGATTATAAATAAAACAGAAGACACAAATCACCAATGAGAGGAATTAAATAAGAATGTCGTTACAGATCCTGAAGCCTTTAAAAAGATAATAGGCTGGGTGCAGTGGCTCATGCCTGTAATCCCAGCACTTTGGGAGGCTGAGGTGGGTGGATCATGAGGTCAGGAGTTCAAGACCAGCCTGGCCAACATGGTGAAACCCCATCACTACTAAAAATACAAAAAATAGCTGGGCGTAGTGGCGAGCGCCTGTAATCACAGCTACTCAGGAGGCTGAGGCAGGAGAATCGTTTGAACCTGGGAGGCGGATGTTGCAGTGAGCTGAGATCACACCATTGCACTCCAACCTGGGCTGCAAGGCAAGACTCCATCTCAAAAAAAAAAAAAAAGCAAAAAAAAAAAGTGTAATATAAAAAACTTTATACTCATAAATTTTCAATTTAGAAGAAATGATTAGATTCCTTGGAAACTCAACCAAGATAAAATAGACTATCTGAATAGTTCCATCATTATCAAATAAATTGAATTCATAATTGAAAATCCCCCCCCCCCAAAAGAAATCTTCAGGCCAGAATATTTCACTGGAGAATTCTGCCAAACATTTTTTAAGATGAATAATTTACACAATGTTTTCCAGAGAGTGTAAGAGGAGGAAACACTTCTCAACTGTGAATGAGGCTGGTTTTAGCCTGATACCAAAATAAGACAAATAGAGTGCCAAAAAACAGACAACAAAAGCCCTCCAAACCCAAAAACTACAGACCAATAACTTCCATGAACTTAGATGCAAAAATCCTCAATGAAACATTAACAAACTGAATCAAATAGCATATAAAATTATTATAATATATAAAAATTGTACATCATGGCTGAGTGTTGTAGATATGGAAAGCTTGTTCCACATTTGAAAGTCAATATATCCTCCCATATAAATAAGTCAAAGAGGAAAAAATAATGCGATCAAATTAATTGCTGTAGAAAATGCATTTGACAAAAATCCAATACTCATTCATGGCAAAAATATCCAGCCAGTTGAAAAAGAGGCAAATTACCTCCACAAAAACAAAAGCAAGCCAAAATTAACATTATACTTAATAGTAAAAGACTAAATGACTCTTATAATATAAAAACAAGGCACAGATATCTACAACCACCTTTCTAATATTACTGGAATTTCTAGTCATTGCAGTAAGGCTAAATAAATAAATAAATAAAATACACACAAGTTGGAAAAGAAGAAAGTAAAGGATTTCTATTTGTTTATGACATTATTGTCTATGTGTAAAATGCCAAGGAGCCTACAAAAAACTCTTCTAATTAATAAATGAACTCAATAGAGTCACAAAGTACAAGATTAATACCAAAAATATCAAACATATTCCTGTACATTAACAATGAACAAGTAGAAACCAATATTTAAGACATAATGTCATTTACAATTGCTATTAGGAAAATTAAATACTTAGGTATACACTTAACAAAACAAATATAGGATCTGTTTTCTGAAAATTACAAAATGCTCATAAAATAAATGTTTATGGGTTGGACCGCTCATCACAGTAAAGATGCCAATTCTTACCAAATTAGCCTATAGGTTTAATGCAATTTCTATCAAAATTCTAGCAAGTTTTTTTTCACAGACATAAAAAAGATTATTCTACAGTGCATATGGGAAGGCACAGGACTTAAAATTGTTACAACAATATTGGCAAGGAAGAATAAGACAGGAGTAATCACTCCACTGATTTTAAGGCTTTGTATATAGCTGCAGCAATCAAAACAATATAGTATTGTCAGAAGGATGTGCAAATAGATCAATGGAACAGAATATAGTACCTAGAAATAGACCAAAGCATAATGTTTGATATTTAAAAAAAACAACTTTATTTTTTAGAGCAGTTTTAAGTTCAGAGCACAATTGAGTGGAAGACACAGAGATTTTTTATATATCTCCTACTCCCACACAGGCATAGCCTTTCTATTATCAACATTCTCTACCAGTTATCACCCAACTTCATTGTTTACATTAGAACTCACTCTTGATATTGAATATTCTGCAGATTTGGATTTGTGTGTGTGGGTGTGTGTGATGACATATACACCACTATAATATCATACAGAGTATATTCACTGCCATAGAAATCCCCTCAGTTCTGACTATTCATCTCTCCCTCTTTCCCAGTCCCTGGAAACAACTGATCTTTTTATTGTATCCATAGTTCTTCCTTTTTCAGAATGTCATCTAGTTTGGAATCACAGTATGTAGCCTTTTCAGATTGGCTTCTTTCACTTTGCAATATGCATTTAACTTTTCTTTCATTTTTTTCATGGCTTGATAGCTGATATTTTAAGCGCTGAATAATATTCCATTGTCTAGATATGTACCACAATTTATCCACTCACCGAGGGAAGGACATCTTGGATGTTTTCAAGTTTTGGCAATTATGAAGTAAACTGCTATAAACATCATGTACAGGTTTTTGTGTAGAGATATTTTTAACTCCTTAATTCCTATTAGTAAATACCAAGGGTCACAATTGCTGGATTGCATGGTAAGAGTATGTTTAGGTTTGTAATAAATGGCCGAAGTCTTCCAAAGTAGCTGTATAATTTTGCATTCCCACCAGCAATGAATGGAAGTTCCTGTGGCTCCACAACTTCATCAGCATTTGGTGTTTTCAGTGTTTTGACTTTTATCATTCTAATAGGTATGGAGTGCTATTTCATTGTTTTAATTTGCATTTCCCTGATGACAAATTATATGGAACATTTTTTTTCATGTGCTTATTTGTCATTTGTATATCTTGGTAAAGTGTCTCTTAAGGTCTTTGGCCCATTTTAAAACAGATTGTTTATTTTCTTATTTTTGAGTTTTAAGAGTTCTTTTTGTATATTAGAAAACAGTCCTTTACCAGATACATATTTTGCAAGTATTTTCTCCAAGTCTGAGGCATATATTTCTTTCTCTTGACAGTGTCTCTCATAGACCAGAAATTATTTTTTTCTGAGTTGGAGTTTTGCTCTTGTTACCCAGGCTGGAGTGCAATGGCATGATCGCAGCTCACTGCAACCTCTGCCTCCCGGGTTCAAGAGATTGTCCTGACTTAGCCTCCTGAGTAGCTGGGATTATCGACTAATTTTGTATTTTTAGTAGAGATAGGGTTTCTGCATGTTGGTTAGACTGGTCTCAAACTCCCGACCTCAGGTGATCCGCCTGCATTCGGCCTCCCAAAATGCTGGGATTAGAGGCATGAGCCACCACATCTGGGTTAGACCAGAAATTTTTAATTTTAATGAGGTCTGCTTTTCAATTCTTTCTTTCATAGATTGTGCCTTTGGTGTTGGAAAATGCCAATGCCAAATTCATAGTCATCTAGATTCTCTCCTCCATTATCTTCTAGGACATTTGTAGTTTTGCTTTGTACCTGTAGGTCTGTGATACATTTTGAGTTTATTTTTGTGAAGCATGTAAGATCTGTGTCTAGATCTATTTTCTTTGCATGCGAATGTCCAGTTTTTCCAGCACCATTTGCTGGAAAGATTGCCTTTTCACCATTATATTGCCTTTGCTACTTTGGCAAACATCAGTTGACTCTAACCAATTTTTGGTAACGAGGCAAAAGCAAGTACAAGGAAGATGCACTTAATTACGGCAAATGTCCCAGAGCAACTGGGCAACCAAAAGCCAAAAACTTAAACCTCATAATCCTCATAAAAACCCAAAATGAAGTATAGACAAATTTAAGATGTAAAACACAAAAATTTAGAAATGAAATAGGAGGAAATTTGGGAGATCTATGGCTAGGTTCTTAGACATAGCACTATAACCATGATCCATGAAAAAGAAATTAATAAATTGGACCTATGCAAATGTTTAAAACTTTGCTATGTGGAAGTTCTTGTGGAGAGAATGAATGACAAGCTAGAGAGTGAGAAAACCACATCTGATAAAGGGCTAGTATCTAGAACATAAAAAACTATTTGAGCTCAACCATAAAAGAACAAATAATCCAGTTATCAAATGAGCAAAAAACACTAACAGATACTTTACCCAAAGACACACACATAGAAAATAAACACATGAAAAGATGTTCAACATTAGGCAAATAGAAATTAAAACCAATATCAGCTATCTCTATACAGCAATTAAAATACCCCAAATATAAAATAATTACAATTCCCCAAATTGGTGATGATACAGTGAAATGGAGTCACTCTTAGATTTCTGGTAGGAGTATAATATAGTAGAGCCACTTTCAAAACCACTTTGGCCTTTTTTTAAAAAAACTAAACATCAAGTACTAAAAGACCCACAATTATACTCCTTGGCATTTACTCAGAGAAATGAAAACTTATGTTTACACAAAAACCTTATATTTTTACATATGTTGATAGCAGCATTATTTGTAGTAGTAAAAAACTGCAGTCAGCTCAGCTGTCATTCAGTAGATCAATGTTTAAACAAAAGATGGTGCACGCATACAATGGAATATTACTCAGCAATAAAAAGGAATGAACTATTGATACATGCAAAAATTTGAACAAATCTACAGGGAATAAAACTGGATTAAAAAACTCTCAAATCCCCAAATGGTATGTTACATGGTTTATGACATCATTTTTATAAGATTTATGAAATAACAAAGTTTTAGAAACTGAAAGTAGATTAGTGGTTGTCCAGTGTTAGGGACAGGGAGATGGGGAAGGCAGGGAAGTGGATATTTTTGGACCATATCCACCATAGTAGGGATAGCCATATATATTCATATCCCCACCAGGGATGTGGATACTCGGACCACATAAAGGATCCTTGGGATTTTGGAGCTATTCAGTATCTCGACTGTGGTGTATAATGAACTTATACAAAATTTTTTTAGAACTAAATACACACACATGAGTATAAGTAAAACTGGACAAATCTGGATAAGATTGCTGGTTTGTGTCCATAAGGATATTCGGTTGTGATGTTATACAGTAGTTTTGCAAAATGGTATAACTATGGGAAATTGAATAATGTAAAATGATCTTTAAGAATTATTTTCTAATTGTATGTGAATCTTCAGTTATTTCTGTACAATTTCAAATAATCATAGTATGAAAGATTAACAATGATTGCTAATAAACTGTTGCCACAAATAAGAAAAAAGAAGCCTGCAGAATGTAGGAACCTCTGAAGGCTGTAGACTTTGGCATCAGCAGTCAGTACGGGCACAATAATCAAAGTCTATGAAGGATCAGACTCTGCCTCAGCAGATGCCAGTGCAGAAGGGTGAGCAGCTCAGATCAAGCAGGAAGAGACACCTCAATGAGACCAGGAAGAACTAATGTATACTCCTTCCCTGGAACTTGTGCAAAGCCTCTCTCCCTACCCTTTCTTGAACTTCAATCATTGCCAGAACCAAGGGACAGACTAGAGGGAAAGTGAGGGAAACTCTGAAAGACTATTTTCCAGGAAGTAACTAAACATTAACATGGACACTGTCTGAAATAATGCTACCTGAATATGGTTAAACATAACTGGGTTGGACTAGATAGACAGGAGTAAAATAGTCTAAGTCAATCAGTTTATGTGAATAAGGAGCTTGAGAGAAAACTTGAGTGCAATTTTTTTAAAGTAATGTTAATTTTTTTTGCATATGTGACTCATAGTTTACAAATTTAAATCTTACTGAAATAATTGCATTATATACTCAGTGTATTTGAATATGGAGCTACAGGAGTGATGCGAAACCTGGAAAGTCTTAATAGGTTAGTTTCTGCTCAGCATCTACTTCAGAGCATCCTTGGAAATCTACTCCATCCTTTGGAGAGACCAAGTCCTTGAAGATAAGGAGACAAATGGTTGATGCCCAGAAATTTCCTGCCTGCGAATTCCTGAAGCTCAGTTGAGGACAATGCAAATCCTTCCTCATAAATTAGAATGACAATCTGTATTCCAAATAACCTGTGTAGAACTACCCAGTAGCAGAGCTGTGGCTGGATGAGCAAAGTAGAATTTTGAGCTGCCTTGAGATATGTAACCTAAATACAAAGAACATTTTCTGGATTGTATAACAAAATTTTCTACTGAGATTTCTTCCTCACTGTCTCAAGGGATCCAGAATCCTTTATCAGCTCCTGCTAAATAATGTAATACGAGCTTTACTCCTTTATAATATTTTAATCATCAGCTTGAATTTTTAGCTATTAGAAAAAGTGTCTAGTCCAGTTGTTCCTAATTGTTCCCCGTTTTGTTATTTTCCCCTCTGACCTCATATAATAAGCTGTCTATTTCCCTATGTATAATTTTTAGAGCCACACATAACTAAGTATGCAACAAAGTGTCAAATAGCAATTGTTCAATTTCCATTAGGCTTTCAAAAATTGCTGGGCCTGGTTTTTAAAGCTTCCTTACCACAGTTTTTAGATTCCTTGCATCCTAGAAATCAAGTACTGAAACCACTGTCACACTGGATGATTTTTTTTTTAACAATTCCTGAGTCATCTCTTTAGCATGATTAGAATAACATGAGAGCCATTTGCTAAAGTTGTAAGATTTTTAAATAGAAGACATGCTTTATGAGCAGCTATTCACTTATGCATGGCTTGAGCTTCTCGGGAAGTTTTCTTCCAAGTTATCCTTGAAAGTATCATAATATTTTTATTTTATTTTGTTTTAGTATATTGTCATTTATGAAGCAATATTACATAGGTCATATATGAAGTAATACATATATAATATTGTTATATATGATGTAATAGTATATATGTTATATATGAAGTAATACATGCTTGATGTGAACAGTATCTGAAAAGTTCCAAAGCCAAGATTATATATTCACAGCAAAGAATCTCAGTTGTTAGAACAATGTACCTAGTGTGTTAGGCCTGCTTTATCTCAGAAAGAGTTGGTAGATTTGAGTCCAGACACTATCTATGTTTCTCATAGTTAATTTAATACTGGTTGCCTGTTAGAGTGATAAAAATTCAATGGAATCATGAAAAAGAATAAAATATTCATTATTTTTAGTGAGAGGGGATGTTCTTGATCTTCTTTTCTTGCCGTAGCCTCTCTTAGTATCTTCCAAAAATGTTCATCATTTTACAGAAAAGTGTTCTTACTGCCAAATGTTTCCAATGAAAAAACAATCATCCGCATTCAAATTATTTTGTACTAAGATACTTTAATAAATTGCTCTATTAAGCAATCATCACTAATTGAGTTAGTGTAGTATTTTGAGGGAAAGAATAAAATGAGAAATGTAAATAAATGCAGATAATTGAAAATGGGCTGGAGTTCCAGAGAATTTCCTCTGTATTGAATACATTCTGAAACCCATTCTTATAAAATTCAAGTGAACTGCAGAACAAAAGATGAGATGATTAAAGGAGCATTGTGATAGATTAGTGAGTCAATGAATGGCTATAAGTAGTGGGAACTGGGAAATCTCTCCTCTGAAGCAGAAAAATTGTAAGGAGAATATGGATCGAAGAAGAGAAAATAAAGCGGAGTCAAAAAGAAAAGAGAAATTAAGAGAACAGAATGGAGGAATTAAAAAAGAAAGTATAACAAATGTAAAATATTTCCCTTGACAATGCTGTATCTAAAATGAATAAGCTATTAATACTTGATTTCATAAATATAGATGAAAAGTAAAACATCGGGTAAATTGTCAGCAAGTATTAAGATATTTGCAAGTAGTTTAAACATCTGTATCATTTAATTTTTCACTTTGGCAGCATAGATATTGGTGTATTCTTCCCTATTTTCCTCATCTGTCTTCATTTAGGTTGGAAATGGATATTCTAAATAATGAATATCCCATAGCACTTATCTGTAACCTAACTAGATTTCATCAGTAACTTTTACAGTTCTCCTGAGATAATGCCATGCTTTCTGATGCTATATTAAAAGTACTTTTTATATTTGTTAGTTGCAACTGGATGATGTTGTTTTCTAAAAAGGAAAATGGATTTGCTATTCATCATAACTGCTGTCTTTTACTGAAAATAAAAAGAAAATATTTTTGGTTGCTGATGAGTGTGTTTGAACTATTGTATTGAGACAACTCACTTAAAGATTTAAATCTCAAATTTACTAGATAAGACACACTAACAAACAAAAGGGTCTCCCTCTCATCAACAAGAGGAGTAAACCTTTCACTCTTTTCTCCTCTGAGCCTGGTTATTTTAGTCCAGGTGATTTTTATATATTACTCACGAACTTGATACAACCATGTTTCTAGGTAATTGAACTTTTACCATACGGTTTAACTTATTGTTGAATTTAAACTCAACAGTTGCTATGCTTTGTAGCAGAATCTATGGTGGGATACCGCAGCTTATAATACCATTGATTAATTTCCAAGTACCTTTCAGATTTTATTGCACAGTGTCCTGCTTTCACTATCTAATAAAATATTCTGCTCTTTCATAATTGTTTTAACTTTAATACTTATTTTGGTATTTCTCCTTTTCTTCTCTCATTTATTTTCATTTCTTAGTTTCCTTTTTTAAGCCTCTGAGCTATTTTTAAGTCATCATAGACATTATGGGGTACCTCTTTTAAAATGACATGGATTTATGATTTTTTGGACTTACGGTTGTTATCCCTATTCCATAAAATTTTGTTTTCTTCTCAAAGTTAGCACCTTATATTTTAAAAATAAATTATATAATTATATTTCATGTTGAATTCTGGCATATATATATACACTTGTCTTCTTACTTTCCTTTGTGGATAATTTGTTGTTGGCATATAGAAAGACAACTGAATTTTTATGACAATTTCATATATATATATGTGCGTGTGTGTGTACACATGTATATATGTATATATATATATATATGCTTTGGCTATTTCCTTTATTCTTTTAAAAATTATTATTATAAGAACTCTTAACATGAGATTTTTCCCTATTCAGTGTTTATGTGTTCAATACAGTATTATTAACTGCAGGCACAATGTTGTAAAACAGACCTCTGGAACATAATCACTTTGCATAGCTGAAACTTTGTACCTCTTGAATATCAATGACCCATCCCCCTCCCTCTAGTCCCTGGCATCCACTGTTCTACCCTCTGCTTACATGTATTTGACTATTTTATATCCTTCATCTAAGTGGCATCATGAAGTATTTGTCCTTTTCTTTTAACAGTGTTCTCAAGGTTCATCCATGTTGTCACAAATGACAGAATTTCCTTTTTTAAAAGACTGAATAATATTTCATTGTTTGTATATACAATATTTTCTTTAACCATCTGTCTATAAATGGACACTTAGATTGTTTCCACAGGTTGGCTACCATGAATAATGTTACAATGGACATAGCAGTGTAAATATTTCTTTGAGATCTACATTTCAATTCTTTTTTGTTTGTTTGTTTCTCTTTTTTTTAAATTTTATTATTATTATACTTTAAGTTTTAGGGTACATGTGCACAATGTGCAGGTTTGTTACATATGTATACATGTGCCATGTTGGTGTGCTGCACCCATTAACTCGTCATTCAGCATTAGGTATATCTCCTAATGCTATCCCTCCCCCCTCCCCCCACCCCTCAACAGTCCCCAGAGTGTGATGTTCCCCTTCCTGTGTCCATGTGTTCTCATTGTTCAATTCCCACCTATAAGTGAGAACGTGCGAAATGGGAGAAGATTTTCGCAACCTACTCATCTGACAAAGGGCTAATATCCAAAATCTACAATGAACTCAAACAAATTTACAAGAAAAAAACAAACAACCCCATCATAAAGTGGGCGAAGGATATGAACAGACACTTCTCAAAAGAAGACATTTATGCAGCCAAAAAACACATGAAAAAATGCTCATCATCACTGGCCATCAGAGAAATGCAAATCAAAACCACAATGAGATACCATCTCACACCAGTTAGAATGGTGATCATTAAAAAGTCAGGATACATTTCAATTCTTTTGGATAAATGCTCAGAGGTAGGATTGCTGGATCATAAGGTCTATTCAAGTCTTTAAGCAATTTTTAATCAGGTTGTTTTTTCTTTGCTATTGAATTGAAGAAGTTCTTTATATATTTTGGATATTAACATTTCATCAGTCTCACACCAGTTAGAATGGCAATCATTAAAAAGTCAGGAAACAACAGGTGCTGGAGAGGATGTGGAGAAATAGGAACACTTTTACATTGTTGGTGGGACTGTAAACTAGTTCAACCATTGTGGAAGTCAGTGTGGCGATTCCTCAGAGATCTAGAACTAGAAATACCATTTGACCAAGCCATCCCATTACTGGGTATATACCCAAAGGACTATAAATCATGCTGCTATAAAGACACATGCACACGTATGTTTATTGCGGCATTATTTGCAATAGCAAAGACTTGGAACCAACCCAAATGTCCAACAATGATAGACTGGATTAAGAAAATGTGGCACATATACACCATGGAATACTATGCAGCCATAAAAAATGATGAGTTCATGTCCTTTGTAGGGACATGGATGAAATTGGAAATCATCATTCTCAGTAAACTATCGCAAGAACAAAAAACCAAACACCGCATATTCTCACTCATAGGTGGGAATTGAACAATGAGATCACATGGACACAGGAAGGGGAACATCACACTCTGGGGACTGTGGTGGGGTGGGGGGAGGGGGGAGGGATTGCATTGGGAGATATACCTAGTGCTGGATGACGAGTTAGTGGGTGCAGCACACCAGCATGGCACATGTATACATACGTAACTAACCTGCACAATGTGCACATGTACCCTAAAACTTAAAGTATAATAAAAAAAAAAAGAAAAAAAAAAACATTTCATCAGATATGCCATTTGCAAATATTTTCTCCCATTCAGTAAGTTGCCTTTTTGCTCTGTTAATTGTTTCCTTTGTTATGCAGAAGATTTTTAGTTTGATGTGTTCTTGCTTGTCTATTATTGCTTGTTTCCTATGCTTTTGGTGTCATATGCAAAAAATCACTGCCAAGACCAATGTTGTAAAGCTTTTTCCTAATATTTTCTTTGAGGAGTTTTACTGTTTCAAGTATTTATGTTTAAGCCTCCAATCAATTTGAAGTTTATTTTTGTGTATGATATAAGGTAAGAGTCCAATTTCATTATTTTGCATGTTGGATATACATTTTTTCCAAAACAATTTGTTGAGGAGACTATCCTCTTCCCATTGTGCATTCGAAGCAACTTTGTAGAAGTTCAGTTAATTGTATATGCATGGGTTTATTTTGCAGCTCTCTATTCTGTTCCATAGGCTTATATGTCTGTCATTGTGCCAGTAACACACTGTTTTAATTACTGTGGCTTTACTTATACTTTGTATTTATTTATATTTATCTTTATTTATATTTTGAGATCTGGAAGTATGATGTCTCCAGCTGTATGGTTCTTAAGATTGTTTTGGCTATTTGTGGTTCTTTGTGGTTCCACATGAATTTTAGAATTTTTTTTTTTATATTTTTGGAAAAAAATACTATCAGAATTTTGATAAGAATTGCATTGAATGTATAAATTCCTTTGAATGTCATGGATATTTTAATGATATTGAGTCTTCTAATCCATGGACACAGAATGTCTTTCCAGTTCTTTGTGCCTTCTTTAATTTCATTCATCAATGTTCGATAGTCTTTAATATATAAGTATTTTATTACTTCTTTGGTAAGTTTACGCTTGAATATTCTTTTCTTTTCTCTTCAAAGAAAACAAAACAAAACAAAAACAAAAACAAAAACAGCAGGATACATGTGAAAACGTGCATGTTTCTTACATAGGTATACTGTGTGCCATGGTGGTTTGCTGCATCTATTGACCCATTCTCTAAGTTCCTCCACTCACCCCCCAACCTCACAACAGGCCCTGGTGTGTGTTGTTCCCCTCTCTGTGTTCATGTGTTCTCAATGTTCAACTCTCATTTATGAGTGAGAACATGCAGTGTTTGGTTTTCTGTTCCTGTGTTAGTTTGCTTAGGTTGATGGCTTCCAGCTTCATCCATGTCACTGCAAAGGACATGATCTCAATCCTTTTTATGGCTGCAGGGTATTCCATGGTATATATGTACCACATTTTATTTATCCAGTCTATCATTGATGGGCATTTGGGTTGGTTCCATGTCTTTGTTATTGTAAATAGTGCTGCAATAAACATATGTGTGCATGTGTCTTTATAGTAGAATAATTTATATTCCTTTGGCATATACCCAGTAATGGGATTGCTGGGCCAAATGGCATTTCTGGTTCTAGATCCTTGAGGGATCACCATACTGTCTTCCACAATGATTGAACTAATTTACATTCTAACCAACATTGTAAAGGCATTCCTATTTCTTCACAGTCTTGCCAGCATCTATTATTTCATGACTTTTTAATAATAACTATTTGGACTGGCATGAAATGGTATCTCATTGTGGTTTTGTTTTGCATTTCTTTGATCATCAGTGATGTTGAGCTATTTTTCATGCGTTTGCTGGTTGTATAAATGTCTTTTTTTTTTAAGAATTATCTTTCATATCCTTTGCCCACTTTTTGATGGGGTTGTTTTTTTCTTGTAAATATATTTAAGTTCCTTGTAAATTCTGGATATTAGATGTTTGTCAGACAGATAGGTTGCAAAAATTTTCTCCCATTCTGTAGGTTGCCTGTTCACTCTGATGATAGTTTCTTTTGCTGTGCAGAAGCTCTTTAGTTTAATTAGATCTCATTTGTCAGTTTTGGCTTTTGTTGCAATTGCTTTTTGTATTTTAGTCATAAAGTCTTTGCCCATGCCTATGTCCTGAATGGTATTGCCTAGTTTTCTTCTAGGATTTTTATGGTTTTGGGTTTTACAGTTAAGTCTTTAATACATCTTGAGTTAATTTTTGTATACGGTGTAAGGAAGGGATCCAGTTTCAGTTTTCTGCTTATGGCTAGCCAGTTTTCCCAGCACCATTTGCTGAATAGGAGATCATTTCCCCATTGCTTGTTTTTGTCAGCTTTGTCAAAGATCAGATGGTCGTAGATGTGTGGTGTTATTTCTGAGGTCTCTGTTCTGCTCCATTGGTCTATATGTCTGTTTTGGTACCAGTGCCATGCTGTTTTGGTTATTGTAGCCTTCTGGTATAGTTTGAAGTCAGGTAGGGTGATGTCTACGGCTTTGTTCTTTTCGCTTAGGATTGTCTTGACTATACAGGGTCTTTTTTGATTCCGTACGAAATTTAAAATGTTTTTTTCTAATCCTGTGAAGGATGTCAATGGCAGTTTTGTGGGAATAGCATTGAATGTATAAATTACTATGGGCAGTATGGCCATTTTCATGACATTGGTTCTTCCTATCCACGAAGATGGAATGTTTTCCCATTTGTTTGTGTCCTCTCTAATTTCCTTGAGTGGTGGTTTATAGTTCCCCTTGAAGAGGTCCCTCACATTCCTTGTTAGCTGTATTCCCAGGTATTTTATTCCCTCGGTAGCCATTGTGAATGGGAGTTCATTCATGGTGTGGCTCTCTGCTTGCCTATTGTTGGTGTAAAGAAATGCTTGTAATTTTTGCACGTTGATTTTGTATTCTGAGACTTTGTTGAAGTTGCTTATCAGTTCAAGAAGTTTTGGGGCTGAGATGATGGGGTTTTCTAAATATATAATCTGCAAACAGAGACAACCTGACTCCCTCTCTTTCTATTTGAATACCCTTTATTTCTTTCTCTTGTCTGATTACCTTGGCCAGAACTTCCAGTCCTATGTTGAATAGGAGTAGTGAGAGAGGGCATCCTTGTCTCGTGCCAGTTTTCAAAGGGAATGCTTCCAGCTTCTGCCCATTCAATATGATATTTGCTATGGGTTTGTCATAAACAGCTTTTATTATTTTGAGATATGTTCCATCAATACCTAGTTTATTGAGAGTTTTTAACATGAAGGGATGTTGAATTTTATCAAAGGCTTTTTCTGCATCTACTGAGATAATCCTGTGGTTTTTGTCTTTGGTTCTGTTTATGTGATGGATTACATTTATTCATTTGCGTATGTTGAACCAGCCTCACATCCCAGGGATAAAGCCGAGTTGATTGTGGTGGAAAAGCTTTTTGATATGCTGCTGGATTCGGTTTGCCAGTAGTTTATTGAGGATTTTCACATCGATGTTCATCAGGGATATTGGCTTGAGAAGCACTAAACGTGGACAGGTAAAACCAGTAACAGCCATTGCAAAAACACACAAATATATAAAGATCAATGACAATGAAGAAACCGCATCAGCTAGTATGCAAAGTAACCAAACAGCATTATGATGACAGGATTAAATTTCAACATAACAATACTCACCTTAAATGTAAATGAGCTAAATGCCCCAATTAAAAGACAAAGATGGGCAAATTTGATAAGGACTCAAGACCCATCAGTGTGCTGTATTCAGGAGACCCATCTTACGTGCAAAGACACACACAGGCTCAACATGAAGCGATGGGGGAAAATATACCAAGCACCTGGAAAGCAAAAAACAGTAGGTGTTGCAATCCTCATCTCTGACAAAACAGACTTTAAACCAACAAAGATCAAAAAAGACAAAGAAAGGTATTACATAATGGTAAAGGGAACAATTCAACAAGAAGAGCTAACTGCTCTAAGTGTATATGCACCCAACACAGGAGCACCCAGATTCATAAAACAAGTTCTTAAGACCCACAAAGAGATTTAGATTCTCACACAATGATAGTGGGAGACTTTAACACCCCACTGTCAGTATTGGACGGATCGATGAGACTGAAAATTAACAAGGATATTCAGGACTTGAACTCAGCTCTGGATCAAGTGGTCCTCGTAAATGTCTACAGAACTGTCTTCCCCAAATCAAGAGAATATACATTTTTCTCAGTGCCATATGGCACTTATTCTAAAACTGAACACATAATTGGAAGTAAAACACTCCTTAGCAAATGCAAAAGAACTGAAATCATAACAAACAGTTTCACAGACCACAATGCAATCAAATCAGAACTCAGGATTAAGAAACTCACTCAAAATCACACAATTACATGGAAATTGAACAACCTGCTCCTGAATGACTCCCGGATAAATAATGAAATTAAGGCAAAAATCAAGAAGTTCTTTGAAACCAATGAGAACAAAGAGACAACGTACCAGAATCCCTGGGACACAGCTAAAGCAGTGTTAAGAGGGAAATTTAAAGCACTAAATGCCCACATTAGAAAGCTAGAAAGATCTCAAATCAACACCTTAAAATCACAATTAAAAGAGCTAGAGAGGCAAGAGCAAGCTAATCCAAAAGCTAGCAGAAGACAAGAAATAACTAAGATCAGAGCAGAACTGAAAGAGATAGAGACATGAAAAACCCTCCAAAAAATCAACAAACCCAGGAGATGGTTTTTTTGAAAAAAATAAATCAATAGATAGACCACTAGATAGACCAATAAGGAAGAAGAGAGAGAAGACTCTCTCAATAAAAAATGATAAAGGGGATATCACCACTGACCCCACAGAAATACGAACTACAATCATAGAATACTATAAACACTCTGCAAATAAACTAGAAAATCTAGAAGAAATGGATAAGCTTCTGGATGCATACACTGTACCAATACTAAAGTAGGAAGAAGTTGAATCCCTGAATAGCCCAATAACAAGTTCTGGAATTGAGGCAGGAATTAATAGCCTACCAGCCAAAAAAAGCCCAGGACCAGAAGGATTCACAGCTGAATTCTACCAGAAATACAAAGATGAGCTGGTACCATTCCCTCTGAGATGATTCCAAAAGGAGGGACTCCTCCCTAACTCATTTTATGAAGTCATCATCATCCTGATACCAAAACTGGGAAGAGATGCAACAAGAAAAGAAAACTTCAGGCCAATATTCTAAGTATTCTTTGTGATGTTATTGTAAATGGGATTGCTTTCTTATTTTCTTTTGTGGATAATTTGCTATTGGTGTATAGAAAGACAACTGATTTTTTATGTTAATTTCATACCTTGCAATTTCACTGAATTCATTTTTTATTTCTGACAGATTTTATTTGATCCTTACGGCGTTTACTAATAAGATCATATCACCTACAAGCAGGGATTGTTGTACTTTTTCCTTTCAAATTTCAAAGCTTTTTGTTTATTTTTTTCTTGCCTAATTGCTGTGATTAGAAGTTTCAGTACTATCCTGAATACAAGTGGTGAGAGTGGTCATCCTTTTTTTGTTCCTGCTTTTTTCAACTTTTTATCACTGAGTATGCTGTCAACTGTGGGCTTTTCATAGATGGCATTAATTTCATTAACATAATTTTGTTCTATTCCTAGTTTATTGAGAGGTTTTGCTGTGAAAAATTTTGGATTTTTTTTCAAATGCTTTCTTTTTGCACCCATTAAGATGATAATGTTGTTTTTATCCTTCATTATGTTAATGCACTATATCACATTTATTAATTTTCATTTTTTGAATCCTTCTTGTATCCCAAGAATAAATTCCACTGACTCACAGTGTATGATCCTTTTACTATGAAGTTGATTCTGTTTGCTAGTATTTTGTTGAGGTTTTTTCCATTTATGTACATTAGAAATATTGGTCTGTAGTTCCCTTTCCTTGTAGCATCTTTGTCTATCTTTGGTATCAGGATAATGCTGGCCAAATAAAATGTATTTATAATGTTCTTCCCTCTTCAATTTTTTTTGGAAGAAATTGAGAAGGGTTTGCATTAATTCTTCTTTAATATTTAAATATTTGTTAGAATTCTTCAGTGAAACTATCCAGTCTTGTTTTTTTTTTCGCTGTTGAGAAGTTTTTCATTACTGATTCAATCTCCATATATATTGCTATTATGTCCTAATTTTCTATTTCTTTAGATTTCAGACTTGATTAGTTGTATGTTTCCAGAAATGTATTCTTTTCTTCCAGGTTATTCTATTTTTTGGAATATAATTGTTTCTAGTAGTCTCTCATGATCCTTTCTATTTATGTGTCATTAGTTTTAAAGTCACTTTCATTTTTTATTTATATGAATGTTTTCTTTTTTGTTTCTGTTTACCTAATAATTTGTCAATTTTGCTTATCTTTACAAATAATCAACTCTGCTTCATCATACATGTCTGTTTTTCTGTTTTCTATGTATTTCTCCTCTGATAATTGTTATTTCTATCCTTTTGCTAATGTGCTTTTTTTTCCTCTGATTCCATTGAGGTGTAGTTAAGCTGTTTACTTGAATATTTCTTCTTTTTAAAATATGGTCCTTAATTGCGATGAACCTCCCTCTTACTACTGATTTTGCTGCATATCATAAGTTTTGATATGTTGTGCTTTTATTTTTATTTGTCTCAAGATGTTTTCTGATTTTCCTTTTCACCTCTTTTTTGATTCATTGGTTATTCAAAAGTGTGTTGTTTAATATTTACATATTTGTAAATTTTCCCATTTTCCTTCTTAATGATTTCAAGTTTTCTTCTATTGTAATATGAAAATATACTTGGCATGATTCAATCTTCTCATATTTGTAAAGATTTGTTTTGTAATCTAACTTGTGATCTATCCTGGAGAACATTTTCTGTGTGCTTGATAAGAATGTATGTTCTGCTGTTGTTGGGTTGAATGTTCTATACAAGTCCATTAGGTTTATTACGTCTGTAGTGGTGTTCAAATCTAATGTTTTCTTATTTATTCTCTATCTATTATTAAAAGTGGGGTATTGAAGTCTCTTACTATTATGGTGGGACTATTTATTTTCCCTTCAGTTCTGTCAATATTCATTTATATATTTAGATGCTCTGACACTGGGTGTATATATATTTGTAATTCTTATATCTCCATGATGAACTGACCATTATAATTACAATATAATATAATAATGTAATGTCTTTCTTTGTCTTGTTTGAAAGTTTTTCACTTAAAGTCTATTTTGCCTGCTACAAGCAGAGCCACTCCTGCTTTCTTTTGATTGCCATTTACATAGAATATATTTTTCTATTCCTAAACTTTTAGCCTGTGTCGTTAAATCTAAAGTGAGTGAAGACAGCATATATTTGGATTTTTAAAATCCATTTAGCTACATTATGTCTTTTGAATAGGGAGGTTAGTCTATTTACATTTAATTATCAATAGGAAAGAACTCAATTTTCCCATCTTATTAGCTGTTTTGTCTCATGATTGTTTTGTCTCTATTTTCCTCTCTTGTTTTTTCCCTTGAGTTTTGTTTATTTATTATATTAATATGCCATGAATCCTTTCTCTTTTTCTTTTCTGTTACTTCCATATGTATTTTCTTTGTTATTACTATGGGTATTACGTAAAGTAATGTATTTGCACAAAACCTTAAATCAATTGCAAAAAAAAATCTACTCTTTTCTCCCCACTACTTCATGTAATTAATATCACATTTAACATTTTTTTAATGTGTGTTCATTAACAAATTTTAATATTTATATGTATTTTTAAATACTTCTGTATTTTAACTTTTATACAAAAATTAAAATTCATTTACCCACATCCATTACAGTATTACAGTATTCTCTATTTTTTATATAGTTACCTTTATCAACAATTTTTTTTATATGTTTGTGTATTGCCATTTAGCCTCCTTTCTTTTCAACCTGAAGAACTTGTTTATCATTTGTAAGACAGGTCCAGTGGTGAAGTCTCTCACTTTTGTTCTTCTGGAGAAGTCTTTCTCTTGCCTTTATATTTGAAAGACCATTTTGTTGGTATCATATTCTTGATTGATAATGTATTTTCTTTCAGCACTTTGAATATGTCATCACACTCCACTGTGGACTGCAATAATTCTGTTTAAAAAAATCAGATAGTCTTAAGGACTTTATACAAGAGACTTAAGTCTCTTGTATAAAGCATACCACTTTCCTCTTCCAACTTTTAAAATTCTTTGTCTTTGACTTTCAATAGTTTGATTATAATGTATCTCAGTTTGAATTTCTTTGGGTCATCTTGTTTACTGTCCTTTGAACTTTCTGAATTTGGATGTCTATTTTCTTTCCCAGACAGGCAAGATTTGACAAGCTTTTACCATTATTTATTTGAATATGGTTTCTGCCCCTTTCTTGATTCTCCTTTTGTAAATTCCATAATGTGTATATTAGTTCACTTAATGGTGTCCTATAAGTCCCTTAGGCTTTCTTCACTCTTTTTTGTTAATTTTTTTGTTCTTCTGACTAAATGAATTCTAATAACCTGACCCAGATTTGGCTGATCCTTTATTTTGCTTGATTTTATCCATTGGTGACTTCCTCTATATTAAATTTTTAGTTCAGTTATTATATTCTACAGCTCTATGATTTCTGTTTGGTACTTTTCTGTATTTACTATTTCTTTGTTGAATTTTTCACTTTGTTCATGCTTTGTTCTCTTGACCTCTGTGAGCATCTTAATGATGGTCATTTTGAATTCTCTGTTTGGTAAGTCATATATCTGTATTTCATTAGCATCTGTTTCTGGAGATTTATCTTGTTCCTTTGTTTAGAATATATTTCCCTGTTTCTTCATTTTTCTTGATTTTTGTATTGATGCTTATTCATTAGATACAGCAGCCACTTCTCCCCATCTCCACAGACTGAACTTTTATGAAAGAACAACCTCACTAATTAGCCCAGTCAGAGATTTTGGTGACCTCTTTAACTTGTGCTTGTTCAAATTACTGTCTTTGATATCAGCGGCCCCCAGCTCTTTAGAGTATACTGGGTTCTGTTAGCACTACAAGACAAAAGCCAGTGACTTGGACAGGCTTCGTAATAATCAGAGTATTGGATATATGATCCAGTCCTTTACTCCCCTTCCCAGGAAAAAAAATGGAATGTGGGTATTTTTTCACCGCTTATTTTGCATTGAGCTGAGAGGTAGGGCTGTGGCATGTGCTAGTATGATAATGGATCAAAACACAGTCTCTTCTAAGTGGCCCCTGACATCTAGAGTATGCTGGGTACTGTCAACACTCTGAGACAGACACAACAAAACCACTGCCTTGGACATCCCTCAGAATAATTAGGTTGTTAGACATATGGTCCAGTCCTTTTCTTATCTCACAAGGAAAAATCTGGAAGCAAAAGGTTTTCTACTAATCATATGACATTCTACTGAGGATAGAGCTTATGGTGAAAGAGTATCTCAAATAATTATACCAGCTTTGACATGGCTGGTTTCATGCTCACATGAAATGAATGAACCTCTCAACTTCAGAGCGTATTTTCTGTGTACTGCTGTTGAATCAGTGTGCCTGTAGAGAAAAATAGGGCCTAGGCCTTCCTCTTCTACCACATTGATAGCATGTAAATATTTTTAATATGCTATTTTCTGTACAGAATTGTAGCAATTAAATTTATAAACCCAATTAGACAACTTTCTCATTAACAATGCACTGCATTAAGTCTAAGTTTCTTTCTCTTTTGTGTTTTACCTGGAAGAAGAAAATTCAAAATAATTTTGTATTGTATTACACATTAAGTACTCAATAATGGTTTAATCTTATCTTTCATGTTCAATTAATATTTAGCTGACAGCTCTTTGTAAATATTATTTTAACCATTATACATATATATCTTAAAATTAAAAATTCTTTTTGATTAACATAAGTTCCCCTAGGAAGTAGATAAGTATTTTATCTTACTGTTCTTTTAAACTACACTTCACTTCCTTTCTTATCTACTACTTTCTGTGATAAATCTGCTAATTTTATACTTAAATAGGTTTTCCTCCTTTTTATGTATTGTTTTATTCCTCTTCCATTTATTTTTTCAAAATTACAGGTAAATGTTTAGTTTTTTATGGCAATAGCAAATATAGTTATATTTCCTAAGACATTTCAAGAGAATAATTATAAATAATAAATATTCAAATGACAAGTTCTTTTCATGTCATTTTGTTCTCTCAGTTACTATTACACTTTATCATGATTAAAAAATTATTTTTCCTTTGATATGCAGCAGTGTAATTCACCTGCTGTTGTTTGTAGGAACTTTTCATACAGGACTGTGTTTGTCTTTCAGTGTGTTTCTATTTGCACAATATGGCCTGTTTCTTTATGGTGTTAGTCACAGCAGCTCAGATACAGCCTTTGCTGTAGATCTTGGGCTTTCTATCTCTCTAACCATTTTTAATCATAAATACCTTTTACTAACTCATAGGAACAGTTTCAAAGCCATTTTCTATCATGTCAACATCCATGACAGTACAACAACATTTAGTTCCCCTATGCCTTTGACTGGTAACTTTGTCACCTCTTATTTGATCTTCTTAAAATTAAAAATAAATTATTCTTCTTTTCTTGAAATCTTTCTATATAATATACCTCAATTGTTGTGGAGTTTTAATATTTATTCTTTTTAAGGTGCCATGCAATTCAGTACATAAGATTATCTTTTTTATTTATTTATGATATTAAAGTTACCATGAATAACCTTCAACTATTTAGAAATAATAAATTTGTGATTTTCTTACTTTTTACTTTTGTATGCATATAATTAGAAGAGCAAATCACATCCTTCTGAAACCATCTTTTGGAAATTTAACTTCTTTGGTTAATATCGCACTCAAAATTTAAACAAGAAAACAAAATTACTGCCTAGATCCTGTTGAATTTGTAGATTATAAATACATTGGTGTTCATGTGAGCCTGGATGCTTTATAATGCTGTGATGTTTTTCTCTGTAAAATAGAGAACAAGCACAAAGTCTGTAGCAGAAAATGCTATTAGTAGGTTTTTTAACCCTATTAAATTTCCTTTTCTTACCTATCTTGATTTTATTCAAAACTTTAATATGCTCACCTAAAATACATCTCTTTGTAGCTATGTGGGTCTGTATTCCTAGCTCAATCAAATGAAATAAAAGTAGATATAATATGTAGGACCCTGGGGAAAGTATCTCAAAGGAACTGATTATGCTCCTTTGTGCTTCCTGAAATTCAATCATGAGTCTGCAGTTCTAGTAACTAGACCTTTGGGTGTTTTAGTAAGCATATGGGCACTTCTCATGACTTTTCTCCATGGTTTGCTCCAGCAATAACACCAAGCCTTCAGCTGCTCCACAGTAGGAGTTGAATTCTACATTTAGCATCCTAACTTTTCCAGCTGCTACCTGTGAGACTAACTTGTATTCCACTTGTCTCTGTGAGCCAACAGGGCCCATGATTTACTAGGCCCTTAGGGGTGACAGAGAGCAAAGCTATGGTTTGAAAGAATATGTTGTTTGAATGATCAGGCAGGCATTTCCCACAGCTCCCCTTCTCAGCTCAGAGCAGAGCGAGTGGGTAATAAACTACAGCTCCCAGCTTTTCCTGGAGGAGAGAAGGAATTGGATTACACATATAGCACCCCTATGTTTCTGGCTGTAACTTGTGAAAATGTTTTCTATCTTGCCTATCCTGGAGCATTGAGGGAACTTGGTATACTCAGGTCTCCAGAGGACTGCTAAGAACAAGACATCAGTTTCGATGAGCACAGTGGTTTGAGAGGCACTTAGAATCTCTCGCTGTGCTATTTGGTGGGGGTCACCTTCTATCTGAAGCCAGTCTGTGAAGACTGGATAGTGTCTGATATATCTAATCTGCAGGATCCAACACAGAGAGTCAAAGAAAATGAGTAAATAGAGAAATATTTTCCAACTAAAAGAATAAAGTAAAACTCTAGAAACTGGATCTAATGGCATAGTTATGTTATTTATTGAACATAGAATCCAAAATAATGACCATAATGATGTTAACTGAGGCCAACAGAGGAAAGCATGAACAAAGTGAGAATGTCATCAAAAAGATAGAAAGTATGGAAAAGTACCAAAGAGAAATTATAAATGTGAAGAATACAGCAAATAAGTTGAAAAATTCAATAGAAGGTTTCAACAGCAGAGATGATCAAGCAGAATAAAAAATCAGTTAACTCAAAGACAGGTTATTGAAAATCATCCAGTCGGAGATGCAAAAAAGCAGAAAGAATGAAAAAGAATGAAGTTTAAAGGAGTTATGGGACATTGTCAATCAGACCAATGTATGCATTGTGAAATTTATAGAACAAAGAGAAAAAGCGGAAGAACGTTTATTCAAAGAAATAAAGACTAAAAACTTCCCAAACCTAGGAAAAGAAATAGACATCTAGATCTAGGAAGTCCAAAGGACGTCAAATAAGATGAACCTGTAGAGACCTATACTGAGACCCATGATAGCAGCTGTCGTAGATCATGAAGTGGCCTTGAGGTGTGATATATTCACAATAGCCATGGAGTCACAATATCACCCTGCACTATCTACTTCCAGACTTCTTTTACTTGAGAGACAAATATTTAAATATTATTTAAAACTGATCCTAACTGATAGATGGTGAAAAGGAAAGTATGCTTAAGTTCCTTGACTTTCCATTTTCTTTTGAGTTAATTTTTATACCATGAATTTATAATTGATGTTACTGTGCTTTAAATCTATACTTTCAACTACTAATTCTCACATAAGTAAAAAATACAAATGCTTTTGAAATTATCAATTTGATTCTTTCTATTCTCAGTAAGAATATTTATTTTGGTTCCTGTACAGTTTTTTATAGACATAATAGTGATAAGTCTAATAAGAATAATAATAGCTAAAATTTATGTAGCACCCATATTGTATAAGGCAGACTAGGAGATGATAGCTAATAGCTAATGATAACATCTTAGCCCTAACCTTTCTAAATGGTACATTATATCAGCCATTATTTAGCAAGATTGTTTTAGGTAGACTTAAGTAGACCTCAGTTTAATTTCTGTGCTATTTATAAGCTGCATGACCTTGAACAAGTTACTTAATTTCTTTAAGCGTTAATTTTAAAATGAGGTTAATTACACTTATTTCTCAAGATTATTGTAACAGTTAAATAGGGCCACACTTCTAAAGCATTTAAAACAACACCTGACACACATTATGTGCTCTCAGCAAATAATGGTTATTGTGATTATTGCCATAACCTGCCAATTCTGCCAATCATTTTACACACAATTCTTCTTCACTGATCATGCTCCCTCTTTCAATTTCTACCTGAACTATTTAGTTGCTCCAACCAGGGTGTAATCTTGAATATCTCATGGAATGTAATAATTTCTTATATTTTTATTAATTTAATATTAGTGTTTAGGTATTTTATTTTCATTTAAACTTTCATTTATATATCTATTGTGTCCCATCTGTATTTTAAACTCCTTGTACACCACCTTTGAATATTATACTTCTTTATAGTTCTCTTAATAATTGAACAAAGAATGCTATCCACAGAATAAACCCCTAAAATATGCTCAGACAAAAATATCTGGACTACTTAAATCTACTAGTATGCTTCCTTATGGCACAATTTCTTCCCTCAGGTCCTGAACGTTAGCTCTTTCATTGTTTTGAAGTTTCTCTTTACCCAATGACTGAAGTTAAATTTTTTATGTTTATCCTCCAGGTTTTCTTTGATAGTATGTTTTCCACAGATTCGTTCATAGTAATCTGTCTACAAACATTTCTGACTTCCTGTGTTTCATTTTCTACCTCATAATTCTGCTTATTCAGGTTATATCTTAGAGGTCTTCCTCTACAATGCTACAGAAAGTTGCTCCATGAACCAGTGTTCACCCTCAAAGTCTGCTTCTTGCTGCTCCAAGATGAGATGAATACAGAAATGGAGATTAAGCATTTAAAAACTTTATAACAATTTGACATTGCCTTGAAATTCAAATGTGTGATTTTCAGACTTGTCTCATTTAACTAGGATAGATTACTTTGGGTATTAGATAGGTAGTACATTGGCAAAAGCTATGAGCAAGTCATGGGCACTTCACCAACATATAGGTCCAGGATACATTGGGGAAAAGTATGCGCATGTGCACACACACACACACACACACACCGAGAGAGAGAAAAAGTTTCTTCATCACAGATAGTTTGAGATGCATCACATTAATGGGCCCCCAAATGTGCAGGTTCTCAGAAGCTGTAAGGTTCAGAACTTGCTGGAATTAAACATGTAGGTGTCTACTGCTTTAGAAAAATACATTTTTTGTTTGGGAAAAGACTCTTACAGCATAGCCTAAGTATTCTTCACTACCTCTTCTTCCAAATGAACTGCATCGAACTGGAAGTTACCAATTATTTTTATGTTTCAAAGTCTGGATTTTCATGGGCTTTTGGTTCATTAGCTTTGACTTTCCTTAACATCATGGCATAGAGTAATGGAAATTTTTCTGTTACCAACTCTAAGTCAGATAGAAGGAAAACACAATTGCCACTGTACGTTTAATCATTTGGAGTGTGTATGGTGTCCATCCTCATTCTTAGATTTAATGTTTTTTTCTTTCCCTTCTAAACACTAAATTTAGAATAGGCAGTAACCAATTATGGCTCCAAGTCGTTGACTACTCATTCATTCCCCTTACACTTCCATTAATATGGCAACTGGCATTTAATTTCACTAACACTGAGCTTTATTATGAAATGGATTCCTCAAATTATTTAATGTAAACATGTTTTTAGATCCCTTTCATCTCCTGATGTAACTAAATTAATTCTTATTTGATCCAAATGAGGTAGCTGTTTATGAAAGGTAGTAAGCCTGAATATACTGAGAACTACCATGTGCCTAACATGGTGCTAGCCATGAGTTAGGATATTTAAAATGTTGCCTCTTTGATCACTTACTTTTAGATTTATGTTCTGGTTTAAGGGCTTGATAGTAAATATGTACTGAATATCGAGTTACAAGGCACCATGGTAAGTGGTGTAGAAAATAGAGCAAAAGCTGGATGGTTGGCACTCCATATCTGCTTGTTCTGTATCTGCAAATTCAAATAACCTTGGATTTAGAAATATTGGGAAAATGAAAAATAACAATACAACAAAATAAATAAAGTCATTTACACAGCACTTATGTTGTATTAGGTCTTATAAGTAGCCTACAGATAATTTAGAGTATGTGGGAAGAGGTGCATAGGTTATGTGCAAATACTCAGAAAAATACAGTCTTGACCCAAGTGGGACAGAGAATAAGATAAAATAATATCCATAATGGCCAGATCCATATCTGTACCCTAATGTTTTTAGATAAATGACTCTTTGCTTTTAATTTTGGCACGTTAAAAGTTACTTTTAACTGATATAGTAATTTATTTTTAATTCATACTGATTTTTGGGTTAAAATCAACCTGGATTGAGTGCATACTATCTGCCAGGCAATTCTAAATGCCTTTACTTGCATTCATCTATTTAATCCTCAGAACTACTCTAAGAAGTAGAGACTCTCATTATCTTCATTTTATACTATCTTTCGGTTTTTTGTTTGTTTGTTTAATTGTTTTTCTTTTTTTCTGAGACAGAGTCTCTCTCCTGTCACCCAGTCTGGAGTGCAGTGACGCAACCTCAACTCCCTGCAACCTCCGCATCCCGGGTTCAAGGGATTCTCCTGCCTCAGCCTGCCAAGTAACTGAGATTACAGGCATGCGCCACCACGCATGGCTAATTTTGTATTTTTAGTAGAGATGGGGTTTCTCCATGTTGGTCAGGCTGGTCTTGAGCTCCCGACCTCAGGTGATCCACCCGCCTCAGCCTCCCAAAGTGCTGAGATTACAGGCGTGAGCCACCGCGCCTGGCCCTATCTTTAGTTTTATAATTAATATAAATATAAAATATTTTATATTTTATAAAATGGGAAACCGAGGCACGGATAGTTTGAGTAATTTAACCAACATCTCATAATTAGTAATAAAATTGATGAATATAGACATTTAAGGAATTGTTCTGCATGGATATGCTTTATCAGTACTCTAGAAATTGAAGCAAACTGTAGTTTCCCAATTCAACAACAACAGAGACACAATTGTACTTGGAAATCTTCACTAGCCTTAGAACAATCAGTGAAGGTCTGCATAATTTCCTGATTAAGGAAATTAAGAACTTAATTAATTAAATTAAATAATTAAATTGAGTGATTAATTTTTAAGAATTGCTTAAGTGCCTATTATGCGTTGGCAGCATTATACGGGTAAATGAGACAAACAAGGTCCTTATCCTTACGTTCTGTGGGATCCAGAGGAAGGTCTGGAAAATATTCACCTATACTAATGTTTCCCTAAATGGAAGCCATCTCCATTTTTAATCTACTATAAAATGGTAAGATCAAATAATTTTACTGTCACTTCCTGAGTGATGGAGGGTTTTTCTTCCTTTTAAATGTGATCTTTTGTTATGTGTTATTTCGTAACCTCTCTAACCTTCTTTCTCTATGTTGTATAACTGGTCAGTCATAAAACTCAGCCATTTGGTGAGAAATCAATTAAAGTATAATGTATAAATTCCAGGGGACATTGGGAAGACAGAACAAATTTTAGATCCTGAGTTTAGTCACACATCTGCATAGTTTTGCATGTCAGCCTGTCTTCATCTCTTTCAAGCTGTTTCCCATTCAGGCTAATTCCTCTTGAAGAAGGTAGAATTTTTTCATGTTAGGAGCCAAGTGAAACCTCAGCAGAAATTTGAACCTGAAGCTTGTGAGACCAAGAGTGTCATTCTGTAAGGCGTCAGAAACCTGGGTTTTGCAAGTATTGAATTAGGCTGCCAGGGAATCATTTAATTTAATCAAATCTCAGTTTCTTTATTTACAAGATGAGGAGAAAAAAATAATAATACAACTTCATGAAGACTAAATGAGGTAAACAATGGAATATTCGGACAAATAAAAGCAGAACACCAATATAACAATATAATATGACAAAAATAATGAGGATTGTACAATCAAGCAGATGACAGCTCACTGGTTTAGCATAGAGGCTCGTGAATCAGACTGCTTGGGTTCATATCCTGGCTAAACCACTTGCCAGTGGTATAATCTTGGGCTAGATACATGATCTCTCTAACTCTCTGTTTTTTTTTTATTTCTGAAATTGTAATAATAATTATTGCACCTGCTTTGAAGTGTTTTCATGATTTTTAAATGAGAAGATACATGTCTTCAGCATAGTGTCCTAAAATAAGCCTGTATTTTATTACGTAGTTAGTATGTACTAGATAGTGTTCTGGATGCTTTATATCTATTGTCTTGTTTTGTCTTTAGTATAGTCTATTAAGATCGTTATTGTTATTACCTGAATATTATAGATGAGGAAACCAAAACAAAGTAAGTTGCCCAGAATTGTAAAGCTAATCGTGAAACAAAGATGTAAACCCCTACATTGTATGTTCATAACTCATGCTCTTAATCTTATACTTTATTGCCTACAATGTGGCAAAGACAGAAAATAAGGACAGAAAGTTATTACCTCAAATTCCAATTTACTGCCTGTGTGACCTGAAGCAATTTTAAGTACTCTGAGTTTCAGTTTCCTTACACAGGGGTGCACAAGTTTGTTGTGGGCATTAAATGTATTAACACTTGGAGAAGTATAGCATATGGCTTGCATATGCATATAAGTAACTTAATTATATCACAATTATGAATGTCTTAATTATTAATTAGTTTTTGCTGAAGGTGATTACCCTTAACCAGAACAACTAGGAAAATAGATGTCATTCAAGCAGAATTGGTTCTCTCAGTCCTCACAGTGTTCTGGTCTCAGTCATCTACACTGATTCCGCAGCTTCTTGTTACAACCAAATTTTTGTCTAGATAAGATATGTTTCCCAAATGTAGCCACTGTTGCTCAGTGATGCTCTATTTCTAATCTGAGGCTTCCATGTCTGTGTTATTCCTGCGGAGTGCTGTTGATTGCTGAGGTCATGGACACGGGAAATGTTTTTAAGCACTACTGGGGAAAAACATTAAAACAAATAAAGAATCTCTAAAGTTCTTATTAAGTACAGAGGTGAAGTCAGTTCTAATTGTTCTATATGAGGGCACTTCCTACTCAACCTATTCCTCCATTTCCACTCCTAGCAAAGGTATTACAGCCATTACTCCTTGCTCTTCTAAAACCAACATAGCATGGTTTCTAAATCCCTTCCAATGTTGAAGAGATTGGGAGAAATAAGCCCTCTCCCCCACAGCTGGTATGATGCTATTAAACTGTCTGACAACAACAATAATATGTGTCTGTATAATAGAAAATAACATTTACTAAAGATACAGTAGTGTGAGTGTGAAACACAAAGTGAAAGTGTCATAGCCTTTCAATATTGTTTTCAGGGTTTTATATAGTTTTCTGAAGACAGACAAACGTAAGATGTATAATACATACTATACAACATTTGGAAAGTACAATACATGAAAAAAAACAATCACCAATATTTCACCTTCTTCTCCAAGCTCCCAGGAGCAAACACTGGAGTTACCAGAATAATATGCCCAGGAATTTAAAGATATTTTTCTTCATTTTAAAATTTAGAATCTCCCCATGCACCCCCCACACCCATCCCCCAACCTTACATGTGAAGGGGAAGGCTATTGCGCAACACATACCACTCATTTTCTTACAATTCACATATCAACGCGTAGAACGTGCTACCTTCCTCTGCTCATTCTGGATTTTTGTGGTTTAGAGGCTGCTTAACCTCAAAGTCACTCCCAATGTCCCCCGTTATTAATGCCTTTGTGTTTTTCCCTCTTTCACTGTGTGGGCTGGAACTAGTGACTCACTTCTGATGAATACAACCAGCAAAAGTGAAGGAATGCCACTTCTGAGGAGGTGACAAAATAACTGACTTCAGCCTGGCTCCTCTCTTTTCTCTGCTATTCATCACGTTGTGAGCTGTCCATGGGGAGGCCCATATGGCCAGCAACCAAGCTCTCTGGGCCTGGCTAAAAGTCTGCCGGGGTTCAAGTTTTACTGACATTCATATAAGTGAGCTTGAAAGTGAAACTTCCTCCAGACAACCCTTGACATGACGTAGTTTCTGGTCAAAAATGATTGCAATTTTTGTGAGAGATCTTGAGCCAGAAGATGCAGCTATGCTGCACATGCGTTCCTGATGCACTAACACTGTGAGATAAATGGTTGTTCTTTTAAGTTGCTATAGTTTGTGGTAATTTCTTATGCAGCAATAGGCTATTCTTACATTCAGTAAATCATTCCCAATTCTATGTCTCTTCAACCCTGATACCAATTATAGTCCATAATGCTGGCTGGCATCACAGAGTTTAATTTTTATCTATCTTTTTAATTGACAATTAAAAATTGCATTAAAGTTTTTTTTCTTTTTATACTCAATTTTCCTGTATTGCTAACTGGAGTAGGGGTTTGCTTGGGAGAGAATAAGAATCTTTAGAAGGTGAAGTGAAGTAATCATATATCCATAATTTGATGGTTTGCACCCAAAGTGAATTTATGATCATATTGGCTGGCACCATCCTTGGATTTTCTTTTGACATTCTATTGATCTTTAGTTTAGTTACCATTTGTTTTAGAACAAGGCAGTTTTACTTCATCTCTCTGCTCTCTTTTTTATTTAGTTGTTCTGCATTGCAGATTTCTTTTAGTTTTTGTTACCCAGCATATTTTTCTCTCCTTTCTGCTTTATAGAAACCACCAGTCTATAAACCAAAACAGCCCATAAATCAAACAGCACACCCAAACATGTCATCATTAGTCAATCAATAAGTAAATACTCAATGATGATACCATGCAAAACATATGTTTAAACTTCCAGTTGGATAAACTCTTACTTGCTCTAGGAAGCCGGGACTCAGTCAAATGAAATATTACACACTCAGTGTTTACTTACCATTCAAGGTGAGGATAGTTCCTCAAAACATGGTTTTATACAGCATATTTTTCAATGTAGTCTTTCCCAAAGTAAGTTAAATAGTTGCAATTTAGGAATTTGTTACATATTTTATGATCACTTAAAACTACTCTTGAGTTAGGATTTGATCCTTTCTTTGGGTGTTTAGAGCAAAATTATAGGAGGATATTGGCATCCTTTTATCCATTTTGAAGTCAGGCAATCATAGTTACCCTGTCTGCATTCTAAAATATCATAAGAGATTTAGAGAGGCTTTTACTGAGAAAATGGGAGCATTTATCAAACAAGGATGAATTTGCTTTAGGTTATGTTTAATACAACTGAATTTCTTAGCTCCTGGTTATGTTAATATAATTTAAAGATGACCATAAAATTTTGTTCCCTGGAGCTAACCCTTTGAAAGCTAGTTGCTTTTTAAATTAATATGAATAATACATGAAATGTAGATGGAGATTTTTTCAGTCTCATTCTATTGCATCATTATAAGACATGGCAAATAAATGCCAAAAAAAGAAGTTCAAAAATAAAACTGGATAGCATGTATTATGCATTCATATTATTGCTGCACATCAATTTTTTTGACTAACTTTGGCAGTAGAGGACTACTGAAAATCATTGAAAATATTGATTGTAAAATGTACGCCGTGCTTTGAAAAATGGAGAAAATCCATAACTATTCAGCCTGATTTGGCAGTAGGATGTTCATCCATTATGTAGAAAGTTCTCACATATTATTTGCCATGTTTAACAATTAAAATAATATCAAAAAATGTTTTAAGACAAAGTATTTTGAGCTCAATTAAATCTTTCTCTGATACGTTAGAAAACATTTTGGATACTTCATTTATCTTCATTCTACCAATATTTATTGTAATACATGAAATTTAGGTAAAATTAATTCCAGGTTTTTAAATGTTTTTGTACAATAAACTACTGTAGTTTAGTGTACATTAATAATATATAGCATAAACTCATGTCATTTTTAAAATTGTATCTTCAAAAAAGTGTGTAATCTTCAGAACAACAAGTTGATATAAGTAGACAGCCTGAGGATTCTCAGAAATGCTTGGCAAAAAGATTAGGCTTCCTCTAGACAAGCTGGATAATGACCCCAGCTGTATTTATGGTTGTAAAAAAGCAATCTTTGCCAGGCTCGGTGGCTCACACTTGTAATCCCAGTACTTTGGGAGGCCAAGGCAGGGGGACTGCTTGAGCCCAGGAGACCAGCCTGGGTAACATAGTGAGACCTTGTCTGTACAAAAAAAGCAAAAAAAATGAACAGGGCATGGTGGCACATGACTGTGGTCTCAGCTACTTGAGAGGCTGATGTTGGAGGATCACTTGAGCCCAGGAGGCCAAGGCTGCAGTGAGCTGTGTTTACGACACTGCACTCTAGCATGGGCGACAGAGAAAGACCCTGCTAAAAAAAAAAAAAAGAAAAAAAAAAAGAAAAAAACCAATACTAGAGACACTTGGGTTTCCTAGGTTACATTATAGGCATAAATGAATAGGAGAGTTAGGCATTATCTGATCCAAGGGAACTCTCCTGGCACCCATGAATCATAGAAGGCACGTATCTATCCACCTATGCATACATTGGCCATACTGGATCTGTAAGTAGAGTTGAACTACATAAATACGTCTGTAAATGTATACATGCATACACAAATACATACACACCCTTTGATTAATGAGCCAAGAAAAACTCTAGGAGACTTTTTTTTTAATTAAAACTAGTTTTTAAATGTTGAAAACTGTAAATCATTCCCAATTGTTTTTCTAGAATTGTGTAATACTTCTAAATAACATTTGGTTAATATGGGTGCAGAGGGTTTCACTGGACAATTCTATTAACTATTTAATTCCCAAATAACCCCAATGCTACTTATCTTGCTCTAGGGAATAGAAAAAGAATTTTAAAAACTTTTAATAACAGCAACAATAGTGAAGTCAGAATTTCTACTTAATGGAGAAGTAATAGAGGAATTCCCATGGAGTTGGAACAGGACAAGAACATTCAGCATTTTCACTATTAAATTTTTATATCAGAGCAGAACTTCCAGCTTTGGCACTGTTGGTATTTTGGGCTGGATAATTCTTTGTTATGGGGCTTGGCTGTCCTGTAGGATGCTAGTAGCATATTCATGGCTACACCCTAGAAGATGCCAGTAGCACCCATGGCTCCCACAGTGGTGAAAACCCAAATGTCTCCAGATATTCCCAAATATTGTCTGGAGACAAAATCATTCCCAGTTGAGAACCACTGTAGTGATGGCATTAATCAATGAAATCTAAAGGATAAAAATGTTAATAACATAAAAACCAAAAAATAATAAGATAAATTATCTTTATTTGCACATGATATATTGGAAATTCTAAGATAATTTATGATACAAAATTTTAAAACAAGTGAAGTTACAGGATGTTAAAATTAAAATACAAACTCTATAGTCATACACAAATGACATCTATTTAGAAGATATAGCAGAAAAAATTACAATAGCAACAAAGAAAATAAAATGCTTAACATAAATATGTGAAATCTATATGAAAACAATTTTAAACACTTTCCAAAAGCATGCAAGTGAATTTGAACTAATGTAAAGATATGTCTTTTTCTTGAACAAGTTCCACTTCATATCACAAAGATGTCAATTCCTCCAGGTTAGTATATAAATATAAGATGATATTAAGAAACTGCCAATAACTTTTTAATGCAATTGGATGAGTTGATTCTAAAGTTTAGATTGGAATACAAATATCTAGAAGAGCTAGAAAAATCCTTAAACACAGGAGAAATGGTGGAGTGGGGAACAAATAACTCTACGAGAGATTAAAATATTTTGTACAGTAATTTCAAGTGAAATACTGTGTTATTGGCACAAAATCCAATGGAATATAGATGTACCTCATTTTATTGTGCTTTGCTTTATTTTGCTTCACATATATTGCACTTTTTGACAAAAGTTGAAGGTTTGTGGCAACCTTGCATGGAGCAAGCCTATTGTCATTTTTCTAACAGCACATGCTCACTTCATGTCTCTGTATCACATTTTGGTAACCCTTACAGTATTTCAATCATTTCGTGATTTTTGTATCTGCTGTGGTGTTCTGTGATCAGTAATCTTTGATGTTACTATTGTAATTGTTTTGGGGTGCCATAAACAATACATATGTAAGATGGTGAACTTCGAGAAATGTTGTGTGTGTTCTGACTGCTTCACCAACCGGTCACCATCTCTCTCCTTATCCTGTGGTCTCCCTATTACAGACACAACAATATTAAAATTAAGCCAATTAATAACCCTACAATGGCCTCTAAATGTTGAAGCAAAGGAAGAGTTGCATATCTGTCACTTTAAATCAAAAGCTAGAAGTAATTAAACTTAGTGAGGAAGACATGTCAGGAGCCGAGAGAAGTTGAAAGCTTGGCTTTTTGCACCAATAAGTTAGCCAAGTCATACTTGCAAAGGAAAAGTTCTTGAAGGAAATTAAAATCCTACTCCAGTGAACACATGAATAATAAGAAAGCACAACAGCCTTATTGCTGGAATGGAGAAAGTTTTAGTGGTTTGGATAGATCAAACTGACCACAACATTCTCTTAAACCAAAACCTAATCCAGAGTAAGATCCTAACTCTCTCCAATTCTATGAAGGCTGATTGGGGTGAGGAAGCTGCAGAAAAAAAGTTTGAAGATAGCAGAGGTTGATTCACTAGGTTTGAAGGAGAGAGGCTGTCTCTATAACGTAAAAAGACAAGGTGAAGTAGCAGTTGCTGGTGTAGAAGCTGCAGCAAGTTATCCAGAAGATATAGATAAGATAATTGATGAAGGTGGATACCCTAAACTAAAGATTTTCAGTGTAGAAAAAACACTTTTCTATTGGAAAAAGTTGCCATCTAGGACTTCGTAGCTGTAGAGAAAAAGTAAACGCCTGAGCTCAAAGCTTCAACGGACAGGCTGGTGACTTTAAGTTGAAGCCGGTGCTAATTTACCGTTTTGAAAATTCTAGGACCTTTAAGAATTATGATAAATTTACTCTACCTGTGCTCCATAAATTAAATGACAAAGGCTGGATAATGGCATATCTGTTTACACCATGCTTTAGAGTATTTTAAGTCTATTGTGGAGTTTCATTGCTCAGAAAAAAAAAAATGTCCTCTCAAATTATACTATTCATTAACAATGCCCCAGGTCACCCAAGAGTCTGACCTGACCTATCAGTACTCCTGGCTCACTGGCTTCCCCTAACCCACCAAGTTGCCCTTAACAACTCTGATCCCCAAATGCTTGGGGAGACTGATTTGAATAGTAATAAAACTCCGGTCTCCTGCACAGATGGCTTGACATGAATTACTATTTCTCTATTGCAATTCCCCTGTCTTGATAAATTGGCTCTGTCTAGGCAGTGAGCAAAGTGAGCCTATTGGGCAGTTACACTCAGAAGAAAGAATTTAACTGAAGGGCATAAGGCAGAGGAAGAAACCAACTTAAGTTTTAGAGCAAGAGTGAAAGTTTATTAAAAAGTTCTAGAGCAGGAAAGAAAGGAAGTTAAAGTACTTGGAAGAGGGCCAAGCAGGTGATTTGAGAGATTCAAGTGCATGGTTTGACCTTTGCCTTGGAGTTTTATATGTTGGCATGCTTCTGAGGTCTTGCATCTCTTATTCCCTGATTCTTTCCTTGGGGTGGGCTATCCACATGTGCAGTGTGTTTACTGAAGTTGTATGCATGCTGACTTGAGGTATTTTTTCCTTACCAGCCAAGTGTTTCTAGAGGAAGGTCATATACCAGTAAAACTATACCATTTTGCCTCTTAGTGTGCATGCTTGAGCCCACTTGCCCAACTCCTGCAACTTTATTGGGAAGCTACTAATACTAGCTTCAAGGTGGGAGACTGCCATTCCCTGGAGCCAGCTGCAAACAATTATTATTTTAGAATGACAGTTTGACAGCTATCTGACCATCACCTGATGGTTGCCTGACATTCCTGGAGGACAGAGGGGGATTCTCCTGCCCTGCTCATGTATGCCTAACTACCTACTCTAACAGAATTATGTATATGTGCCCTTTGCATTTTGTTTCTTACATTTAGTATGATGCCTCTGAGAGTTTTTGTATTTTGTGTATTAGTTATTCATTCATTTTTAGGAGAGTTTCACTGTATTAATATGCAAATTTATCTACCATCTTTTGGGAGGCACTGGAGATGTTTCCACTTTGGACTTCTATGAATAAAGCTGCAATGAACATTCTTATAAAAATCTTTTTGTGGATGTATGTTTTCATTTTTGATTATGAGAAACATTTTTCCAGCTTCTTCACATCTGTAGTGATTTTTCTGTTTATATCATGTATTTGGGTACAATGTTACAATTCTCATTATTATTATATTTTTAAAAAGATTATTGAGTTCTGTTCTGGCATGAAATCAATTTAATTAGATAAGCTTTACCCAGTAGAACTTTTGTTTCAGGCCTTGAGTCCTCTGGCCAGAATAATTCTGCTTTCTCTTTGGGCTTCACATCCATGTGCTGGGAATTAGAAAGTGTCCTCAGGCAGAAAACTTACTTCAGGATTTTCCCTGGTCTTACGGAATTACAACTGGATGCTGCTTGATGTTCAAAGCATAAAAGCAGTTACCTCATTCACTTTGTCCAGTTTTATAGCTGTTTAAGGAGGCAGGTAAGTTCAATACTGACTACTTCATTGTGGCAGGAAATGGAACTCAATTCGGGACTTAAAAATACATTAAAAAAAAGTCTAGTTCTGTCCACAGAAAGGGTCCTAAAGTAATGATATTTTATAGCAGTGGCCAAATTTGTTGCCTATATCTTGGTGTCTAAATACATTTCCCAGAAAAAACAAAAACTAGGGATATCCATGGAAGGAAAACTGATTTTAAGTACAGTTCATGGGAAGTAGAAGATGAACCTAGAATACTGTTTTTTGCCAAAAGCAAAGAAATACTTAAAGACCATTGAGGCACCCAAAATGGCATAGGATCCTCTCAAAATAATTCTCTTCTGAAAAAAAAGAGTCTCAAAGGAGATCCTTTCACAATTGGTTAAGTTTGAATATTTACATTATATAATGTTATGGAATCAATATTGAATTTCTTGGGTCTAATAAAAATGCATTTTATGTCTTTGTTTATTCTTTTATCATAATCATTATAGCTGTTCTTTACCTAATATTTATTAGGTGCTTACTATACTTCAGGCAGTGAACATTTTCTTACATTAATTAATTTAATCATTAAAACAATCGTTTGGCATAGATAAAATTATTATCACAATTACACAGACATCTCCAGTAATTTTCAATCTTTTCTGGCATAAAACAAAAGTTTTCTATAACACCCCTAGTACTTCAAAATCCAAATCAATTATCAGTAATTTTTTACTCATAATGAAGTTCTGAAGTACATTGAACTAAAAAACAGTACCAACTGTATCTGAAATTTACAATTTTATGTATATAAATTTATATATTCTGTATATAAATTCACATATTATGTATAATTTTCACCCAGCCTGGGAAATAGACATTGACCAGGACATTTGGAGTTTCTCATGTGTCCCTTTCCAATTGCAGTACCTCTTCAGTGTATATAATAATCTCTTTGCTTAAAAATAGCCTTAATACAAGTATTAGTTTGCTGGGGATGTTGTAACAAACTGGGGGTTTGAACATCTGAGGTACTAAGGATTAGGACTTCAACACAGGAACTATGCGAGGGACACAATTCAACCCACAATAATACAAATGTATGCAATCCTAAAACTATGGTTTAATTTTGCTTGTTTTTGAGTTTTATAACCACAATGCATTCATTTTTGGTGACTTGATTCTTTACTCAATATTATGTTCTTAAGATTCATCTTTGTTAACACATAGCATATGTATTGTTACATAAATACATGCTAATATATTTATGCACTCTACTATTGGTGGATATATGCGTTAGCTTAAATTTTAAATTTCTGTTAAAAACAATGCTGCCACGACCATTTTTATTCAAGTCTCCAGATGCACATTGCAAGGTGTTCTCTAGGGCAGTTCTCCCTGCTAGCTTCTTCTGTAATTGGATTAAACATTTGTGGTTTTATTGATCCCCTTAGCCCCGGTCTGCAAGCAGTCTCATTTATTACACAGTATGTTGTACAAATATTATGTCCTTCTATGAACTTGTATAATGGGAAGAAGCACTGCTTCAGGATGATGTTACTGGATTATAGGGCATGTCCACAATTACTAGATACTGCCAAATTGTTCTCAAAACTCATCAAGCAATTTATACTTCTATCATTAATGTGTTCCCAATTCTCCACACCTTTGGACAATATGTGGTATCAACAGACTTTTAAATTTCTATCGATCTTGTGGTTTCGAAACAATATTAAATTTTGGCTTTCTCAAGATTACTAAAAAGTAGATGACCATCATATATATTGGCAATTTATATTTCTCTTTCTCTGAATTATTTCTTCATGTATTTTGGACATATTTCAATTGAATTGTTGAACTGTTTGCAATTCAAAAGAATTTTTATATATTTAAATACTAATTGTTATTGCTTATATTAATAAAAGTATTTTTCTCAGCCTGTGGTTTGCCTTTTTACTCACTGATGATGCTTTCTTTTCATTTTAGTTAATTGAACTTACTAACCTTTCCCTAGATCTTTTTGGTGTCTTGTTTAAAAAGTTCTCTGTTGCCCAAAAGGTATGACTATTTCTTCTATATTTCCTTGAAAAGTTTTAAGATTTTGCCTTTAAAAAGTTTAATTTCTTTTGAAGAATCTTGCTTGGTTCTGAAGCTCTCTGATATGCTTTAAAACATTTTAGGTTTTATTTTAGATACAGGGGGTACATATGCAGGTGTGTTACATGGGTATCTCGCACCCAGGTAGTGAGCATAGTATCAAATAGGTAGTTTTTCAACCAATATCCTCCTTCCCTCCCCACCTAGTAGTCCACATTTCTGTTGTTCCTATTTTTATGTCCATATGTGCTCAGTGTTTATTTCCTACTTATAAGTGAGAACAAGAAGTATTTGGTTTTCTGTTTCTGCATTAGTTCACTTAGGATTGTCTGGCCTCCAGCACTATCCATGTTGCTGCAAAGGAAATTATTTCATTCTTTTTTATGGCTGCATGGTATTCCATGGTGTGCATGCAGTATATTTTGTTTATCCAATCCACCATTCATTGGTTGATTCCATATCTTTGCTATTATGAATAGCACAATGATGAACATAGGAGTGCATGTATGTTTTTGGTATAATGATCTATTTTTCTTTGGGTATATACCAGTCATGGGATTGCTGGGTCAAATGGTACCTCCATTTTAAGTTCTTTGAGAAATCTCCAAACTGGCTTCCACAGTGGCTAACCTAATTTACATTCCCACAAACAGTGTGTAAGTGTTCCCTTTTCTTTGCAGCCTTGGCAGCATCTGTTGTTTTTTTGACTTTTTAATAGCCATTCTGATTGGTGTGTGGTGGTATCTCAGTGGGGTTTTGATTTGCATTTCTCTGATGATTAATGATTATAAGCACTTTTTCATGTTTGTTGACTGCTTGTATATCTTCTTTTGAGAAGTGTATCTTCATGCCCTTTGCCAGTTTAAAAAAAAAAAAAAGTTTCACTCATGTTTCCTGGGCTGGAGTGCAATGGCATGATCTCGGCTCAATGCAAGCTCTGCCTCCCAGGATTCTCCTGCCCTAGCCTCCCGAGTAGCTGGAATTATAGGCCTGCACCACCAAACCTAGCTAATTTTTGTATTTTTAGAAGAGATTGGGTTTTTCCATGTTGACCAGGCTGGTCTCAAACTGCTGACCTCAGGTGATCTGCCTGCCTTGGCCTCCCAAAGTGCTGGAATTACAGGTGTGAGCCACTGTGCCCAGTCCTTTGCCAGTTTTTTAATGGGGTTAATTTGTTTCTTCCTTGTTGATTTGTTTAAGTTCTTTATAGATTCTGAATACTAGACTTTTATTGGATGTACAGTTTTAGAATGTTTTATCCCATCTTGTAGGCTGTCTGTTTGCTCTATTGATAGTTCTTTTGCGGTGCAAGAGCTCTTTAGTTTAATTAAGCCCCACTTGTCAATTTTTGGTTTTGTTGCAATTGCTTGTGGGATATAGCCAAAAATTTTTGCTAAGGCCAATGTTGAGAAGGGTATTTCTGAGATTTTCTTACAGGATTTTAATAGTTTGAGGTCTTACACTTAAATATTTAATAAATATTGGGTTAATTTTCATATATGGTAAATGGTAGGGTCCAGTTTCATTCTTCTGCATATGGCCAGCCAGCGATCCCACGACCATTTATTGAATAGGAAGTACTTTCCCCATTGCTTATTTTTGTTGGCCTTGTCAAAAATAATACGAGTCTAAGTATGTAGCTTTTTTTCCTGAGTTTTCTATTCTGTTCCATTGGTCTATGTTTCTGTTTTTGTACCACCACCATGATATTTTGGTGACTGTAGTCTTATAGCATAGTTTGAAGTGGGATAGTGTGATGTCTCTGGCTTTGTTCTTTTTGCTTAGGATAGCCTTTGCTATTTGAGCTCTTGTTTGGTTGCATATAAATTTTATAACAGTTTTTTCTAATTCTGTAAAGAATAATATTGGTAGTTTGATAAAAGCCTGTGACAAACCCACAGCCAAAATCACACTGAATAGGCAAAAGCTGGAAGTATTCCCCCTTGAGAACTGGAGCAAGACAAAATTCCCACTATCACCACTGTTATTCTTCATAGTACCAGAAGTCCTAGCCAGAGAGATCAGGCAAGGGAAGGAAGTAAAAGGCATCCAAATAGGAAAAGAAGGCAAACTACCTCTCTCCACTGGCAATATAGTTCCATACCTAGAAAGCCCTAAAGAATCTGCCAAAATGCTACTAGAACTGATAAAAAATTTTAGTAAAGTTTTAGGATACAAAATCAATCTGCAAAAATCAGTAGCATTTCTATACATCAATAATGTCCTGGCTGAGAGTCAAGTTAAGAACAGAATCCCATGTACAATAGCCACAAAGAAAATGAAATACCTAGGAATACAGCTAACCAAGAAGCTGACAAATCTCTATGAGGAGAGCTATAAAACATTGCTGAAAGAAATTAGAGACAACACAAATAAATGGAAAAACGTTCCATGCTTATGGATTGGAAGAATCAACATTTTTTAAGTGGACATGCTTCCCAAAGAAATTTATAGATTCAAAGTAATATGCCTTTATATGATATAAATTTGTGATCTAATTAATTTTTTTCTCATATTGGGTGATTATTAATTTTATGTGTCAACCTCACTGGGCTAAGGAATACCCAAATAACTGGTAAAACATCACTTCTCGGTGTTTCTGTGAGGGTATTTCTGGAAGACATTAGCGTTTGAATCAGTAGACAGAATAAAGAAAATAGCCCTTTCCATTGTGAGTAGGCATCATCCAATCAGTTAAAGGCCTAAGTAGAATAAAAAAGTGGAAGAGTAAACTTGTTCCCTGTCTGAGCTTGTACATACAACTTATCCTGCCCTTAGACAACCACACTCTTAGGTCTAAGGTCCTTGGACTTGGACTGCAACTTACACCATGGCCTCCCACCCTCCTTGCAGTTCTCAAGCCTTTTAACTCACACAGAATTACACCACCAGTTTTCCTGGGTCTCCAGCTTGCATAGGACAGATGTTAGGACTTCTCATCCTCCATAACCTTGTGAGTCAATTCCAATAATACATTCTCTCTCTCTCTCTCTCTCTCTCTCTCCCCCAACCCACCCACCTCACAGGTTATGTTTCCCAGGAGAACCCTGAGTAATACAGCATATGGATAATACATTGTTGCAGTATCATTAAGAAAAATAATCCTCCCTTTCACAAATGATTTGCAATGGCAGTATTTTTTTGTTTCCAAATAAGCACAGGCCTGTTGTTGGACTATTTACTTTCTTCCGATGTTTTATTTGTCCAGTATTAAACTGGCATCACAGTGTCTTAATTACTACAGCTTTATAATAAGTGCTGTTTTCTGATTGAGCAAGTCTCCAAGTTCTGCTTCAGGAATATTCTTAGCTCTTTGTTGTCTCATACAAATTTTAGGACCAGCTTATCAAGCTCCATAAAATACCTTGTTGGTATAAGAAATAAAATTGTAATGTTTCTAGACATTAAAGGAAATCAGCATTTTTTTATTATATTGAGTATTCCTATCCATAGAAATGTTACTTCTTTCCAGTTATTTAAGTCTTCTTTAGTGTCTTTCAATTGACTCATTATTTTCTTCAGAAAGGTCTCATAATTCCATATTAGATATATTTCTATCAATCTTACTTTTGGGTATTAAAATTATATTCTTCTTACAACTTAATTTTCTGACTTTTGAAACTGATATAAAAATGCAACTTGTCTAGATATACTGATTTTACATCTGACAAGCTTAATAAATACTAATTCCAATAAATAAGGCTGTATTAATTAGTTATCTATGGATAATGATTTACAGATTTGCCAGTTGTGGTTAAAAATACATGATTTGTGTACACGTGTAAGTGTGTGTGTGTATATATTTGTATATGTGTATCATATGTATTATATGTATTGTATATTACATGTATTTGTATATGTGTATATTTATTATATACATTTGTATCTGTGTATACATGTGTAATATATATACATACATGGTATATATTGTATACATATATTGTAAATGTACATATACCCATATACACATATACAAATCTATAATTTGAAATTTGTTAGACTTGCATTAGTACCTTATACAAAGATACTTTTTAGAAAGTTTTATCTGACTTTAAAAAATATAAAATTTTACTTTGTTGGATGCAGTGTTCTATATAAGAACAAGTTGATTAATTTTGCTCAATTCTTAATATATTTGATCTCTTACTGAGAGCAGTGTCTTCATGTCTTTGATTTTGATTGGAGATTTGTGTCCAACTTCTTATGCTTCTGTTAATTTTTCTTTACATAGTTTTTGGACAAACTATTAGATAATAAAATTTTATAATTTTTATATCTTCCTGGAACAGTAAATTCTTTGTCAATATTTAGTGATCCTTTCTAATTCAATCATGTTTTTGGCCGTCAAGTCTATATGTGTCCCACAATAGCAAACTTTAGGTAGGATTTGCCTATTGTAATTTTATCTTTTCCAGTTCAATAAATCACTGTGGCTTTACATTTTAGGCATGTCTCTTATAAATAGTATATAGCTATCTTTTATTTCTTTAATAAGTTAAATAAATATCATTTTTTGGTTAGTCACATATTTAGATTCAATTCTGCTGCTGAGTTTATGCTATTTGTCTTGCTTTATATTTCTTTCAGATGATTTTTTCACATTTTTTCACCTTATTTTATCTCTTTAATAGTTTGAAAGTTATACATTATCAATTTTTTATGTTTTTATGTAACCTATAAGTTGCAATATTATCATTTTAATGATTCAAATTTATCAGTACTATTTTCATATATAGTTTCATTTACTTATTCATTCATTTGTTTATTTGTAGATTCAAGAACATGTTTATTATTTTTTGTCACCATTTTTTTCTTGCATCTCAGAATTTTCTTCTGGGATCGTTTTTTTTTTCCCTGATGCACATTCATAGGATATTTTGTTTAAGCTGTCTTTGTTGCACACTCAGTCGAATAATTTTATTGTGTGTGCAATTCTGGGCTGACAGTTAGTGACCCTCGGCAGTGCACACTATCTGTCCCTGTCTGAGACTTATGTTGTTGCTGTGGCCAAGTCAGCTTCTAGTCCCTTGTTGGTATTCCCTTGCTGTAAATTGTTCTTTATGTTGGTAGTTCTTCAGCTTTATTACAGTGGGCTTGGATGTGAATTTTGTTTCAAAACCACTTGGGTTTTTTGCATTTCTGGTTTCCCACCATTATCACTTTGCGTATTTTCTCTTTGCCATATTTTTTGCCCTCTTTTTGAAAATCTAGATAAACATACATTAAACCTGACTCTATTCTTCATGCATCTTGTCCTTTCTTTTATTTTCAGATCATTGTCTGTTTGTCCAGAATTGCATAACGTCTTTAGGAAAATGTGTCAAACAGGAGAATGCCATAAATAATGGCTAAGTGAAACATGGACACATCAGCCCACTTCTTTCTACATAGACATTACATAATCTCTGTGACTTGTATGATTTTTAGCTTTTGCAAGTAAATGTTATTATACGTTAACGTAGTCTCATGGAAAACTTTACAAATGAGGCGACTCAAGATTATCCCTGTTTTGCTTTGTGAGTTTGGGAAATTCTTTGATATTTTCTGTTTTTAAAGGACGGTAAAAGTAAAAACTATAGAAGCACTAAAAGTTAGCTAATAACTGCAGTAAAACTTTAGTTGACATTTGTAACAATTCTTTGACTTTCCAAAAATGTCACCGAACTATATGATAATATTATCAAAATAACAACAATAATATTATTATGAATCTTACAGTTTTAATATTCCTGGATATACATAGATTCATGTTAGGACCAAAAAAGGTAATTTGGAGCTTTTTCACTTGGAAATATATTGTAAATTTTAGGAACTATGTGTTCAACTATCTCAGTCACATAGCATAAAAAATAATATGTATAGTTATATAATATACATACATTATATATAATGTATAATATAGATGCAATAACATTTTGATAGCTATATCTAATTAACATACAATATTAATGTTAGGTTATTATATAACGTGTAATATATTGTTAATGTATACAAATAACATATAATATATAATTAATATGTATATAATATCTTATACTGAAAATTGACTGACTTATGTCAGCAGAAACTGTTGTAACAACCTTCTGCTACAGCCACTGGGTTAAGTTGAAAGATAATCCTATACCCTGGTTCTTGTATTTAAAAAGGGAGAGAGAGAGGATAGCATTGCTTGGGGTTTTCCAAATTCCCACTAAAAGCAGAAGGAAATAGATATTTTCCTAAGAGTTATTTTCTCTTCAACTATATTTTAATCACAGAAAGTTACACATTAAATGACAATTTGCTTATATCATAAGAAGAATCAAGTGAGTTCCTGTGAAGAGTTATACCTAAATTATTTGTAAAATTTGCTGCAAGCTCAAGAATCATCCTTCTCTCCTGTGATGGAGGAGAGCACAATCAGTTGACTCTTCTAATCACATCCTGCCCAAACCTGAGCAGAAAGAAACATACTCCTCTGCAAGAAAACTACATGAATCCCCTGTTATCCTTTAGATAGTGACAGCAGAAGAAAACTAATGTTTAACTCTTTTTGGAAATAAGAAATACTGCTTTCAAATATTCTTTATGCAAGCACATTGTAGTTTGTTACAATTTAAAGAACAGTATTGTTTCAACTTTTAGAGTATTTCCTATATAAAATCTTAGTTCCTCTTCACACTTTACAAGTTAGTCGAGGTATAGTACTGGTAATATTTAGTATTACATATAAAACAGTAAAATAGATATGAATGCTTACATTGTATCTGGTACTATAAAGCACTTCAAAATTGTGACATTTAATTCTATCCTCAGTTCATAGAATATGTACTATTCCTACATTTGCTTTACAGATCATAAAAATAAGGCACAGTTTATTGACTTATAAGAGTTCACTGCTAGTAAGTATTAAAGCAGTTATTTAAAGCTAAGAAAATTGCTTTAATTCACATAGCTAAGTCAATATGAGTCAATACCGAAGTGTGAAGTGTGGCAACTTCCACTGTTTTCAAGGGCTGGATGATTTCTTTGGTTTGATCATATGTCCTAAGGTCCCTTTAGGTAATGATGGTAAAGACGCTTTCCAACTTTAATTAATGAGCTCACTGTTAATGTTACATAATTCTAAGTTGCAGTATAACATTGGATAGCAATTAAACAAAAGTACTTGGCAACTTCTACAGGGCATAAAATGTTTTGGTTCTTTAATTTTCACCATTTAGGAGAACTTTTCCCATTTTTCTTATATAGAACCTGTAACTAAAGATAAGTTCCCTTCGAGGAGCCACTACTAATGAATTTCATCCTTAAATGAGAAAATGGCATTGGAGAAGAGTTTTACTCTGTTTACATAGCCACCTATAAAATAACCAAAGGGGCATTTGTGGAGAAATTTCTGTTTCAAAGGAAGTACCTAAGAGATTTATTACAGGATATTTGTTATTTTCCCAACTATAAAAGTAGTGCAAACCCATGGTAGAAAATTAGATTTAAAATGACAACTAAAAGTACTAAAGCTTTAAAAATTCCAGAGAAAGCAGAAATTTTTGTTAGTGTGTGTCTGAGATATTGTGTGTTTTTTCTTTGTTTATTAAATTTTATCTTTAGTATTCTGCATACAATGATTAAATAATTATTTCCAGGGAAACAAAAAAGAAACTTCCATCATTATCTCAGTAAAATATTTTCTCTAAATATCTTTCGTATTGATGGTGAAGCACTTCAATGAGCCTTCACTTATTCATCTATCATTTATTTGTTGAGCATATAGAATGAAACAATCTCTATTCCAGGTGTTTGGGATACATTAGAATACAAAAGACACTAAGATCCCTGCTGTTGGCTGGGCATGGTGGCTTATGCCTGTAATCCCAGCACTTTGGGAGGCCAAAGCAAGTGGATCACTTGAGATCAGAAGTTCAAGCCCAGCCTGGCCAAAACAGGAAAAACCCTGTCTCTACTAATAATACAAAAATTAGCTGGGTGTGGTGGTGGGCACCTGTGATCCCAGCTACTTGGGAGGCTGAGGCAGGACAATTGCTTGAATCTGGAGGCCAAGGTTGCAGTGAGCCAAGATCATGCCATTACACTCCAGCCTGGGCAGCAGAGTGAAACTGTGTCTCAAAAAAAAAAAAAAAATCCCTGTTGTTGAAAGACTTACATTCTAGTGGAGGGAGATAGACAATAAGTATAACAAATGAATATATATTATGTACCATGTAGAATGTAAAGAAATATTACAGAGGAAAAAAAGAAAATGGAACAAGGTAAGGGAGTGTGGTAGGCAAAATTGTAAAATGACCCCTCAGAGACCCCTATGTTTGTCTAATACCTTCTTCTTGAGTGTGAGAAAGAACCTTGAGTGTGATAAGATATCACTTTCATTGTATGACAAGAGGGATTCAACAGATGTAATTAAGATTCCCAATTAGTGGTAGTGAAAGTACTAATTGAAGGTAGTGAAAGGGAAGATGATCCTGGGTGTGCCAGATCTAATCATGTGAGGCGTTTAAAATATAATGAAGCATCAGTCATTCTCCTCCTGGCACAGGAGATAAAGCAAACTACCAGGTAGTGAGACAAAGAGACCATGTAGCGAGGAATTGAAGGTGTTCCCAGGAGTTGATAGTAGCCTCTGACTGGCAGACAATAAGAAAGAAATCTTAACCCTCCAACCACAAACAGATATTTGCCTATAACAGTGTGTTTGGAAGATAACTCTGAGCCCCAGATGAGAACCTTTCGCTATCTGGCATCTTGATTGCAGCCTTGTAAGATCTGAACAGTGTGCCGAGCTAAGAAAGCCTTAAACTCCAACCCATGGGAATGGTGAGATTATAACCATGCATTATTTTATGCCTTGAGTGTACGTGGCAATAGAGCACTAATAAACGAATTTGGTCCATGAAGGCTTCTTTGCAAAGGTGAGATGTGGGCCAAGAGGTGAGGAAGAGTGAACGTGTAGCCGTTACAGGTTTTGATTATTGGAATCAGGTGTTGAAGTAAGTTTCAAAATGCTTGGTTTTATTGGTATGAGTTTAAAAAAAGAATAAACTCTTTCATGATAAAAATATGAGATAGTATTTGAACTAATAAAAAATTCACTTCTCAGAAAAGAAGTAATCATCATTTTCAGAGACAATATTTCAAATTGCAGAAATCTTAGAAAAAGGGTACCCAGAAAAGATAAAATTCAAGGATCTAGAGGAATGCAGAAATAAATGCCATCAAGGGATGAAGGTGGAGGGTTGCAATAGCAGAAGACACTGTTCATTTCTTTATATAATGAATATTTGAAGGAAGTGTGACCTGGAGAGGAGCTACTTAGCAGCTAGTCAATCAATCTATTCATTAATCAATAAGTAATTAGGGAGCCTTTGCTGTGTGTGCAGTAAGCACTCACTTGCACAGACAAGGAACACCATAGATTTAATGGCATCAGCTCTTCTTAAGAGCTTTAACTCAACTGGATAAAGAAAACATGTAGAGGAATTATTTATGAGACCACATGCAAAAAATATATATCCTCTTATGTGGTATGGCTGCAAGTTGTAAAACAACACAAGCTATGGAACAACACAAGTGAAAAACAATGCAAATTGCAAAATCCAAGCAAACCTTCATGGAAAATGTATAGTTTGAGTTGCGTTGTGAAGGGAATGGCATAATCAAACTAAATAAAGAGGATTTAAGAACATTATGGAAAATGGCTGCACTGTAAATGAGGAAACCCAGTATTCTGATAACAGCTTTAGATTTAGAGATGAATGTATGGGCACAGAAAGATGTTGGGTAAAGCAATTTCACGAAGCACTGCTTAACAACTTGTCTGAATCTGGTGAAATAGAACACTCATGTAAGCAACAAGTTACATGAAGCAGGTTTCCTACTTACAGATAGACAGCAAGATACAATAGAAGCCTAGGATTCATTGTGCACCAGTCACCCAAGATTCAATAAATCTACATGGGGGTAGATGAAGTCTTATGTGCATGTGCCATATTTGCACTGCAGCTGACAAACCCCACAAAGCACCCAAGTCCACATTGTAAAATCTGTGGGCCACAGGACAAGGTAGGTTAAAGCACTGGAGAACATCTTGTTTCTAGATGGGGAATGCGAGATAGCCTAGGGCATTCTATCCAGTCCTTCCTCATCTGAGGATGTGGCATTCCTAACACATTCTAGAATTATTCTTGAGAACTATAAGTGAGAAAGGGAGGAGAACTGGCTATGTCCAAGTTCACCCAGAGAACTTTCCTCCAGTTGTTATTGCTCTTAATTTCCTTTTGTGGTAGAAATGATGTGAAATTAAAATGTTGGATTCTCTAATCTTCCTCTTATCATTCTCTCACTAGTCTTCTATCCTAGAAAGCAAACAGTGAGCATCGTATTTAATTCACAAACACTAAGTTCTATTAGAAAGCCATTTCCTAAATATACATTCATAAGTACAATAGATCAATTTTAGTGAATGAATGTATCCCAGAAGATTAGAAAATATTGGAAGTTGTAGTTATTTAAGATAGAATTTAAGTTCAGTATTTTCTATGGTCCTCTCTAGAGCTTAAATTCCTGAAATAAATAGCTGCGTCTTGAGTTGGGATTTTCAGCACCAAGGACAGTGACCATAATTTTGCTGAATGGATTACTAAATGAATGATGAATGAATGGCAATCTGGTTTATTTAATCATGTATGCATTTCAGCAGATGGTAGAACTTAGGGGTGTATTCCCCACTCTCATCACTTTTCAAACCTTGCAAGCTTCATTCTGATTTTCCCACACGTGTCCACCCTCTCTTGGAACACACTCAGTTTTCAAGCCATAGCCATGTTCCAAAATGAAACACCACCACATTGAGTCAAAGCAAATAAAATCAATTGATGCATCATATTTTGAATGAGTATTGGCAAACACCAAGTCTGGCAGACAGATGGGATTCTACAAAGAAGGTACAGATGGACCAGTCAGCCCAGAAGGGAAATCTTTCAATGTTTGTTTGAAGAAAACACAAATGTTTTATTTCAGTACAACTTTCATTGTTGTTATTGTTGAAGTTGATATTTTCAAACCACGTAAATATCTTTAGAAGTGTGAGACCTGTTACAAATACCTGTTTACTTTGTATTATTTGTTCTTAATCAGGCTTCCAGAAGATATTTGTTTGTTTTAAATTAGAGACTTACAAAGTTATCTTTATTCCAACAGAATTATTGAAGTTGATATTTTCAAACCCTGAAAATATCCTTAGAAGTATGAGACTTGTTACAAATACCTGCTTATTTTGTATTATTTGTTCTTAATCAGCCTTTCAGAAGATAATTGTTTGTTTTAAAGTAGAGATTTACAAAGTTATCTTTATCCCATCAGTATTATTACACCTTATTTCAGAATTAATGCAAAGATTCCTAGCATAATAATCATTAAATACTTTTGGTAGTCCAGAAGAGAGTGTTTCTGAGCAGATTTCTTAGAGTCAGATAACAATACAAATATTTTAGCTCTTAAGAGTGATTGAAAATCATTTCAGAATTAGAAAATGCAGTTTTTAACAATTTCATTGTTTTAAGAAATGTAGAGTGTGCAATCACAGGTGCTGATTATTGAGAGAAAGACACTGTAGAAACATAAACCTCCTGAGAAACTAAATCAATTGCATAAGGAAGCTCTGGTCCAAATGATGGATTTTATTTTAAATTTGTGGGTCTTGTGAGCTAGAGCTAAATGTGCTATCACAGGTGTTATTGTTTTGCGTTGCCTTTAACACCATCCTGGGAAGCTACAGAATCTAACTCTATGTTTTGTAGAATTAGCACTTCTTATTACTCAATAAATATTTAATGGTATGATATGCTAACCACACTAATGTGTTGAATATTTTAATTTCCTGCATTCCTGTGTGATTTAGCATTGTATTAATTAAAACTTTTTAAGAGTCTAAACTTGGGAGAATATAGAAAAGTTCAAAAACTAAGTTGAAACTTTGCCAACCAAATGGCCCTCTCTCCCTCTTGGAATAGAAAAGTTGTTTGCATTAGCTGATTAGCTCCATGGAATAGGTTTACTCGTGTGATGTTGTTATTTACAATGAAACTTCTTGTTTTTAAAGAGCAGACCATCAAAGGAAGACCGTCATTGAGAACTCACTCAGAATGGAAATAAGTTGATTCAACTATCGTTTTTTTGTTTGTTTGTTTGTTTGTCTGTTTGTTTGTTTTTTGAGACGGAGTCTCATTCTGTCGCCCAGGCTGGAGTGCAGTGACGCCAATCTCGGCTCACTGCAAGCTCCGCCTCCCGGGTTCATGCCATTCTCCTGCCTCAGCCTCCCGAGTAGCTGGGACTACAGGCGCCTGCCACCGCGCCTGGCTAATTTTTTGTATTTTTAGTAGAGACGGGGTTTCACCGTCTTAGCCAGGATGGTCTCCATCTCCTGACCTCGTGATCCGCCAGCCTCGGCCTCCTAAAGTGCTGGGATTACAGGCGTGAGCCACCGCGCCCGGCGTTGTTTTAAGACTGTGTCTTTATTTGGGACAATAGCTTCTACCTATTGTGTTAGCTTAGGTCGAAGTTATAGAAAATAGCCTGCTAGCACCAGTGGGAAATAGTGACAAACACCTACTACAGGTGACTTTTAATGATAGGTCTCATTTATCTCTCAGGACCCTGCTTCTGAACTTACAAAGTTACTGTCTGACCCTGTTATATATAATTCATAATTTTTCTAATGTGGTAGGAGGCAGAAGACATGAAAAGTTGCAGTAAGTTTTAATAAAATAAAATCCAACATGACTGCAGAAATAGCCCAGGAAATCTGTTCCTCTGGAAAATTGGTGAACAATACTCAACTATATAGACATATACTTCTCAAATCACAGCAATTGGCTTGTTATTTTGTGGCGACATTTATGGACACACAAAATGTATAATAAGTTTATCATGGAAATTTATTCATAACAAAATCAGGACAACATTTAGCTGCAAAAAATACTATATGACATTCTTACAAAGATATTCTCATCAAATTTAACTGTGAGATATTTGCTTTGCCTAAAATTGCATACATTCTGTACATTTGTCTGTAACCATAAATACATTAATTTGTAGCATGCTTTACTTTCTTCTTTGTTCAAATTGGTTTATTTATTAAGTTGTGGCAGAAGACAAGGGATACTCAGAATGCATAATTGGATGTGGTTTTCAGGGAAAATTTTCAATGAGAGAGAAAGGCAAGGAGACTTCTTTTCTGGAAAAGAAGTGACAAAAACTGCTAAATTTAGAATGGGAAAAAGCAAGCAAAACTCTGAGATTCTATATAGTGGGAAAGGGCAGATTACCTGTAACATTTATTTTCCAGAACTTTCTTTAGGAAGTTCAGGTTTTACATTGTCAAATTACTAGAGGTTCTAATATTGGAAGAAGTTCGGGAAAGATAAAAGTTATGGTTCTAGATTTTGCCATTGTTGAAATGTAATTTTATTATCTGCTTTATCAGAAGGTGTAAATATATCGAAAAAATCTTTAAGTCATCATAAGTCACATCTATGGCACTATAACAATGATAATTTTAAGTATCATTAAGATACTTTTGTCAAATTTGTCAAAACAAATATGCCATATCCTGGTTGTTTTCAAAAATGCTAATTCATGTTTCTCTTTTCAAGTTGAATTCTGGTGGCTTATGTAAATCAAGGCTTCAACCTGGTTCTTAATTTGTCTGTGGTGAGGGAAAACTTATGAAATATGGTTCTATAAAAGACAGAGTGGCGGCCGGGCAGGGTGGCTCATGCCTGTAATCCCAGCACTTTGTGATCCACCGAAGCTGGTGGATCACAAAGTCAAGAGATCGAGACCAACCTGGCCAACATGGTGAAACCCTGTATCTCCTAAAAATAAAAAAATTAGCTGTGTGTGGTGGCATGCGCCTGTAGTCCCAGCTACTCAAGAGGCTGAGGCAGGAGAATCACTTGAACCCAGGAGGCGGAAGTTGTAGTGAGCCAAGATCCCCCACTGCACTCCAGCCTGGCAACAGAGCGAGACTCCGTCAAAAAAAAAAAAAAAAAAAAGACATAGTGGCAATGCCAAAGGTAGTAGATCACATGGGAGATTATTTACAATGGGTCACATAAACACTGGCTTCCAGGGTGGGAGACTGATTTATTTCATTCGATTGAATTATGACCTTCTAAAGCTCTTTCTTCATCATGGTCAGTGAATAAACAGAATGTGTTATTGAATAAATTTAATAAGTATTTATTGGTATTTAAAATACATTATTATTTTCAAAGATTTGGAATATAATAAAATGAATTCAATTACAAAACTTATTCAAATTTTTTTGAGATTATATAAGGCATTTTAGTTATTGCAATATTTTATATATTATTAGATTATTATGGTGCCATATATATGATCTATGAAGACTTTTATGCAGTTATTAATTATTATTTGGTCATAGATTAAATTATACAAACTTGACTGAATAGTTTTGATGAACACACATCTTGTCCATAGAGTGTTTATTCTGTGGTATTTTCCTCAAATAATCATTACCCATTTATTATTGTGGGATATATATTCATAAAATAATTGTCAGATATTTCTCTAATCTCTGGATACAATAAAAATATTAAATTTTATGTACCCTAACAAACAACACAATAAAAAATAAACTCCAGAAGATTTAAAGCATAGTAATAAATAAATAAAACATTACTTAAAGTAATAGAAGAAAATAATAGGGATACTACTTTGATTAGCTTAGGTTGAAAGGGGACCTTCCAAGCAAAATATACAATAAAATATTAGAAGAGAGAAGACTGAGATATCAAACACTAAAATTATTTTTCATTTTAAGGGTAAAATACATTATAAATAAAAATGTAATGTATTTGCAACGTATATGAAAAGAATCAATAACCTTGTTATTCAATGTGCTTCTACAAAAAATAAAGATCCAAGAGGCTGTGCACGGTGGCTCATGCTTATAATCTCAGCACTTTTGGAGGCCAAGGCAGAAGGATCACTTGAGCCTACGAGTTCAGGACAAGCCTGGGAAACAAAATGAGACCTCGTCTCTTCAAAAAAAAAAAAAAAAAAAAATTAGCTGACATGGTGGCACATGCCTGTGCTGTCAGCTGTATGGGAGACTGAGGTGGGAGGATTGCCTAAGCCCAGGAGGTCAAGGCTACAGTGAGCTGTGTTTGTGCCACTGTACTACAACTTGGGTGTCAATACAAGACCCTGTCTAAAGAAATAAATAAATAAAAATAAAAAGAATATAATAGGATAATGGGTGAAGTCTATGAACAGATTCTTCATAGAAGAAATACAAAATTTCTAGAGGTGCATATAAAATCTGATTATATTAACGATGATCATGAAAAAATTATAAGAAAAATAGGCTAAAAATTTTCATGTTCTAGAATAAAAATTTCTAGTGAGAGTAATAGTTTATGTGGCTGGTGGAACTGTAAATAGATACTAGTGTTTTGAAGGTCAATTTAACCATATCTAGCAAAGTATTAAAAGAAAGCTCCTTTCTGTATATTCCTGCAGCTAAAAGCAATGACAGCTGCTGAAATCAGGGTTGCTGTGGGTTGAATGTGTCCTCTCCAAAACTGAAGCACTGCCGATGTGATAGTGTTAAGAAGTGGGGCCATTACGAGGTGATTAGCCAATGAGGGTTACTCACTCCTTAACAGAACGAAGACTGTTATAAAAGAGGCTTCATGAGTCACTTGGCTTGCTTGGCCTTCCACCTTCCGCCACGTGGTGATACGGCAAGAAAGCTCTCAGCAAATGTTGGTGCCTTGATCTTAGGCTTTCCAGCCTCCAGAATTGTGAGAAATAAATGTATGCTCTTTATAAATTCCCCAGTCTTAGGTATTTTTTATAGCAGCACAAATAAGATAAGGGTATTACAATATTTCCTTAAAAATGATGAAAAAAAAAAACCAAGAAGAAAAAACACACAAAACTATACCCACAGCAAAACACAAAAGCAGAATACACAAAGTTCAATATAACTGTAAGTAAAACAGTAGAAAGCACCAAATAACTTCAAGTGGTCTCTTAAGTACCTGTCTTACCACAAGCCCTTACTAACAAGAGAAGGCAGACAGACAAATAAAAATAAAATTAAAAAAAAAAGAAGAACCGGGAAGAGAGAAGAAGGGAACTAATGTAATGTTTAATCTAAAACCACTCTCAAAAGAAGCAAGACTGTCTTGAGGTTGAAAATATAAAAAGAATTGTTAAATTAGAGCATAGTCTACAGAAAGGACTTTGACACATTGATTTAAAGGGAAATTTTGAAATGCATAGCTTCTCTAGGAGAAAAGTGGGCAAAAAGAGAGATGAGGAATCCTTCGCCAATTGGGAAACATTTCAGTCTGGGAACAAGGCAAGAATATCCACTATCTTTTCTAATGTTCAATATTGTCCTGTGGGTATTAGTCAAAACAATTAGGTGAGAGAAATCAATAAGAGTATAAGAATAGGTAAAGAAGAAGTTAAACTTTCTATTTTCCAATAATGTGAAAACCAGAATCCTGGAAAACTCCAGATGATTAATGATAAAACAGACTCAGACAATAAAAGAAAATGCAATGACGTAGCAAGGTATAAAATTAACATACAAAAGTCCCATGACTTCATATACACAGTCAATAATTACTTAGTGAAAATGATGGTAAAGGAAAACCTCACTTACAATAGCAATACAAATATTAAAAACTTAGAAATTAACTTAAGAAGAATAGACTAAAATTTAAAGATAGGGATCTTTAAAACATTCTAGAAAGATCCAAAGCTAGATTTGAACAAATGGAAAGATGTCTACTAGAACTATATGATTCAACACTATAAAAATGCCACTTCTGCCAAATTTAATTTATACATTTAATTCCAAAGATAATGCTAACAAATTTTATTATGTATTTAGACAATTTGTTTTCCACAGGAAAAACAAGCCTGCAAGCAAAGCCGGAAAAAACATCCAAAAACAAAAACTTTGAAGGGAATTAGCCCAACCAGGCACTAAAACATACCATAAAGTCTCTATAATTAAAAAGATGAGGTACAGGCGTATGGATAGAGAGGTAGAACAGTAGCATAGAACAAATCTAGATATGAACTTAAGAGTATATGGAAATTAAGTGTAGGATAAAGGTGGCTTCTCAAACCACTGTGAAAGATGGACTTTTTAGTTAATGGTGCTGGGACAATTAGAATTTAGAAAAAAAAATAGATCTATACCTTATACCATCCAGAATAATAAACTCCAAATGTATCAAAAATCCAAATGCCAAAAAATAAAACATAAAATTTCTAGAAGATAAGCAGACAATCTGTGGTTAAAGTTGCAATGAGTCTGAATTAAGGACAAATCATGTATTTATGGTCATTTAAGTCAGGCTTAAAAAAATGTTGCCTTGTAGCTTTATTTTTTAATCCAAAAGTTTAATAACTAAATAAAATGGGTATATATAGATATACATGTATATATAGATTGTATGTACTTATTAATATAAGTCAAGAGCAAATTATATATAGATTATATATGCATATATATAATATATACTTAATATAAGCCATATTTTAATGATTATATTTACTTATTAATATAAGTCATATAGACACATATAAGTAATTTGCTGTTGACTTATATTAAGCTTGGCGACATTCTGAATTTTTAAAAATGGTCATCAGTTTTCACTGTTTATGAATTTTGCATAGTAAAAGTAAACTTAAACAGCCTAGTTCTTTTACAAAGAAATAAACAACAGAAAATATAACTAAAGTCATACCTACATGAATGGGTTTAGCGATCTTTGAAAGCAGATTGAACAGAATTGCTGACTGCTCTAGGTGCAAAGTTCTAGATTAGCTATGCAAAGATGTAAGATACATATATTTCCTACTTTCAAATAGTTTACAATATAAAGAAGTCAATGGGACCCCAAAAACCACCAGCCTGCATTCACAATAATTTGTTAATTTTGTTAAGATAAACTACTCATAGAATGAACCAGAGAAATGATTTCCTGAGTTTGTGAAATACTGAACTTAAGAATACATCTTTGTGTTATCACTAATCTTCTTTCTAATGCTATACTGAATTATTGCCTTTTGAAGAACTTTACATTCATATTTTCATCTCTTTGCAAAAAAATTCTAAAGGTGCATAATATTATAAAGTCAAATTTGCTAGCTTCAAATTTTGGATCAGCTTGGTTAAAATGATAAAGGAATAAAAAATTATAAATCTATTTGTTGAGAGATAGCATTAAAGAGGAAACCTGATAACATAGGCAATTTATACTTTAATTGTTCCTCCCTGTAAGATGAGGAAGAGAAGTCTAAAGAAAAAAGATACTTTCTGGTAATCACAGGGTAACAATGATCAAACACTTCTTTTGGAGACTGTCAAGGTGCAGCAAAGGTGCTAATTTGAGAATAAAACATATGTACAGTACTTGGTTTCTGGTTACCATTATTTTGGTGCCACTCATTGTATCGAGTTTTCAAATATGTTTTTATTTACTATCCCAAGAATGTAATCTTAATCCAGAAAAATTAACCAAAAAATTGTACAACATGTTTTTATAATAGTGAGTTATTATTTATTTAAGTGAAAAAGTACTTAAAGGAAATTGAATTTAGTTACTTTAGCAGTAAATGAGTAAACAAGACTTTTGTTACTTGATTCATTAACATACATATGGAGGCAGATACACATAAATACACATAACGATTATGGAGGCAGAGAAATCTCACATTATCTCCTCTACGAGATGTAGAAACAGGAAAGCCAGTCAGGTAATTCAGTTTGAATTCAAAGGCCTGAAAACTACAGGAGTCAATGATACAACTTCCAAGGTCAAAGGCCTGAGAATGGGATTTCGCTGGTGTATGTCCCAGAATAAATAGGCTGGAGAACCAGGAGATCCAAGGTTTAAGAAAAGGTGAAGATGGAGGTCTCTGCTCGAGGTTGGGGGGGCGGCGGGGGTGTGGTGGGTGGGGAGAGAGAGAGAGAGAGAGAGAGAGGGAGAGAGAGATTGAGAGAGAATTCACCCTTCATCGATCTTTTTGTTCTATTTGGGCCAGTAGACTGGATGATACCCAACAACATTGGTCAGGGTGGATCTTCTTTACTCAGTCCACTGATTGAAATGCTTATTTAAATTTACTAGATATCTGAGCATTCCTTAGCCCAGTCAAGTTCACATATAAAATTAATCATCACATATATACACACTTTATTACAATCTGCTGGTGTTGATACTTTATCAGTTTAAGTATAATAATCTCACCTCCCTTTATTTAAATTCCTTTACCTTCCCTCAAGTATTATATACTTACATATTTCCTCTATGAACATTGAGAGCCACATCTGGCAATGTATTTTCTGCTTCAGTTCTCAAACATATTTTAGAAAACTCGAGAAAAGAAAAGCCTATTTATTTAACTATGTCTTTGTGCTTTTCATTGTTCTTTCTACTTTTCTGATATGCCAAGATTTTTTTAAATCATTTCCTTTTGGTTTCAAACTTAATTTTTGTTATTCTTTTAGAAGTTACAAATTATCTTAGTTTTTCTTCATCTGAGAACGTCTTTATTTCTCCTTCATTTCTGATAATGAATTTTGCCAGATTAGAACTATTGTTTGACATTTATTTTGTTTTAGCACTTGAAAAATGTGCAATTTTCTTCTGGCCTCCATTGTAATGATGAGAATCCATTGTCATTTAAATTGTTTTTCCCTTATAGTTAAATTGTCATTTTTTTCTTTCTCATCACTTTCAAGATTTTCTCTTTGCTTTTAGTTCAGAAGTTTAATCATGACCTGTCTTGGAATAAATTTCTTTGGGTTATCATGTATGGAATCCTCTCAGCTTCTTGAATCTTCTTGGTTTATGTCTTTTTTTTTTTTTAACAAACTGGAACTTTTTCAGGCTTTTTGAAAAAAGTAATTTATCAGTCCCATGTTCTGTCTTTTCTCTTCCAGTGAGTCGAATGACAAAAATGTTAGACCTTTTGTTGTAGTTTCACAGGCCCTTGAATTTCTGCTCTTTTTAAATGTCTATCTTTTCTTTTGAAATGTCTATCTTTGTGAGTGATATTAGGTAATCTCTCTTGTTCTGTTTCTAATCCAATGATTCTTTCTTCTGTCCTCTCCATTCTATTGTCGGTTCTCAGCCACTGGGGTTTTCTATTACATTTATCACCTTTTTCAATTCTTACATTTCCATTTTTTTTTTTTTTTTAGTATTTTTTGTTTCTTTGCTAAAACCTTCTATTTTAAAATGTATTTCAAGCATATTTATAATTGCTTATTTGTGACTTTTATAATGTGGCTTTAAAATTCTTGCCAGATAATTCCAATATTAGTGTATTCTCATTATTGACATTTGTTGATTGTATTTTCTCATTCAAGTTGAGATTTTTCTGAGTTTTTGTTAAGATGAGCAATTTTTGAAAATCCTAGTTGTTTTTGGTATTATATTAGGAAACTGTAAATGTTATTTAAAGAACAATCAAATGAAAAAAAGTTCAACATCACTGATCTTTACAGAAATGCAAATAAAAACTACGAGATATCATCTCACACCAGTCAGAATGGCTGTTAGTCAAAAGTCAAAAAATAATGGATGCTGGCAAGGTTGTGGAGAAAAAGGAGTGCTTACACACTGTTGGTTGGAGTGTAAATTAGTTCAGCCATTATGAAAGACAGTGTGGTGATTTCTCAAAGAACTGAAGATAGAAATACAATTCAAGCCAGAAATCCCATTACAGGGTATATGCCCAAAGGAATATAAATTGTTCTGTTATAAAGACCATATGCAAACATATGTTCATTTCAGCACTATTCACAATAGCAAAGAAATGGAATCAACCTAAATTCCCATCAATGGTAGACTGGATAAAGAAAATGTGATATCTATACACCATGGAACACTATGCAGCCATAAAAAAAGAATGATTTCATTTTCTTTGCAAGGACATGATTGGAGCTGGAGGCCATTATCCTTAGCAAACTAATGCATGAACAGAAAACCAAAACCTGCATGATTACACTTATAAGTGGGAACTAAATGATGAGAACACATGGACTCATAGAGGAAAACAACATCTGGGGCCTATCAGATGGTGGATGGCGGGAGGAGGAAAAGCTCAGGAAAAGTAACTAGTAGGTACCAGGCTTAATACCTGGGTGATGAAATCGTCTGTACAACAAACCCTCATGACACAAGTTTACCTAAATAGCAAAACTGCACATGTACCCCTGAAGTTAAAAAAAAAATTAAAGCAAAAAGCCTTCATACATGAAAAAAATACATTTTAACTGGCCTCCTTAGGCACTGAATTATACTATTATTTAGTTTGCTTTGATTCATTTAGTAATTGATGTGCATATCTCTGCGTGTGATTGTGCATTGTGTGTGTTGCTTTTGAAGTTTCATCAAAGACAAATCAGAGCTCTTTTTTCCTCTGTAAATTCTGATATATTGTCTTTTACACAGATTGTATATTAATGTGTGTTGTTGAAAAACTGACTGTTGAAAGCCAGCTGCAAGAATTCAACCCAGAAAATGTATTATTCTGTGAGAGAGAAAATGCTTACTGTGTGTCATCCAGCAAGTCCTTTTGCCTTTCTAAAGCTCATCTCTCATGTAGCATTGTGAGCACTTTCAAAGGCACATGAAGATATATTGATTTTGAGTACCATTTTTGTGCATTTGTAATATGGTCTTCCTCCTTTTCTTGTTCTTGTTCTTTACCATATTATTTTTATTTTCATTCTTATTATATGGCCTTAAAATATTCTTTTTAATATTTGAGGAGATAATGTTACTCTATGTTTTCATGAATCACTACCCTTGATATTTGACATTTATGTTTGTAAGTCAACAGTTTTCTGACTGTGAATTAGCCAGTTTCTCATTTTAATAGCAGTTGTGCTCTGACAACGTTGATTTGGCATTGGAAAGTTGTGAACAACCAGTTCATAAGACAGTAATCTAAGAGGAACATGTGTGTCAGGTTATTATTTTAATTAGTTCTCATGAGCTGAGTTCCCTGAATAACATATTGCCAAAATATTTCTCCTCTTCTTAGCAGTGATTGAGACAGGTGGATGACTGTTATACCAGAGTTGATAGAGCAGAAGCAACATTTAAGAAGTATTTTCAAAGTGTCATTTGTTAAAGGCTTGGACACAGGCTAATTTGCCCTCAAGTAAAATTTAAAATTTGCCCTCAAGTAAAGTTCAAAGTGAGTAAAAAATAACTATGAACATGCACAATATATAAACATATGTAGCTATATAAACATATATTGTTATCATTATGAGAAAACTTGGACCATGTGTCTAATAATGAAATAAGTAGTCTGAAAGAAACCCACAATTTTATACAATAGAACAAGCATGAATTTCTCTGGGTTATCCAAAGAATTTAAGCTGAGAAAATAAAAAAATGGAATTTTGATGTATTCAGAAATGAAAAAATTATGGAAATTGGAGTTAGTTAATCTGTACATATTAGCATTATCTTAGAGGATTTTATAATAAGCAAGAAGATGAATGATAAATGTGCTAATTTTTCACAATATGAATATTAATTGTATGCCAGTTGATATTTTAGCACTAGCTTTTGTCATCTACAGGTTCAGACTTAACATCAGAGAGAATACTTTCTAATTAGTTGTTTGCTTGTGACTAAAGGTTATCTTCTTTATTCATCTCGGGAGGTACTGAGACTTAGGCAATTTTGTAACTTTATTTGCTCATGTTACAGCTCTTTCCAAAGTTATCACATAAGTTTTCTCACTGCTATTTTCCATTTCTTTTGCAACCTTGATATTCAAAACACAATGTGCATTTTAGTGGATGCTTAAAAAACGGATAAACAAATATAACCGAGTAAGCTTTACTTCCTACACAATTTGAGAATATTCCACAACCTATATACCATGAATACCACACCCTCCATTTAAATATATTTGTGGTGTGCTTGTCCACACATATGTGCATGTATATATACAGGTACACACATGCACGTGCAGTATAAGTATATACATGCACATATATACTCATACATATATGTGCATATACATACATATATGTATACACAAACCTACACATATTTTCCCCCCCAAAAAGGCCCAATTTACTGAAACTATAGAAGTTAGGTATGGTATTATGCATTAACATGTGCATTTATCAAGCTGAAATTCTTTGAAATGACTCTCAAAAATGCAAAAATGTCTTCCCAAAGAAATATTATTTTCCTGAAATGTAAAACAAGGAAAAATGTCTTTTTCGGAAACTTTTGGTGGTGGTGGTGGTGGCATCTAACTGTAGAGTTACTGTCTGTATGAGGAGGTAGTCAGATGGCAGAGGAGTTCTGGAATTAAACATGTGTTCAGTAGTTGAAGTGAAAGAACATGGTCAGAAAATAACAAAGCTATTATCTTGACTCTTCACAATTTCAAGCAAAGAAAGCAAGTGAGACTTGAATATCTGGGCCCCAGAGGCCACTATAATCATAAATAACTCTCATGAATGTCACAAACTGAGAGTTCTCAGAACCAACCTGCCTTTTGTTATTAGTCATATTTTTTTGTGTGTTGATGGCTCTCTTTAGGAAAATACCTCTTATTAGTAATACAAATAAAAGAAAAGCAAAGAAGGATGGAAAAGGGAGGAGAGGAGCTCACTGGAGTCAAACTTATATTTAGAAAGTAATCTTCTATTCAAACCATCTGAGCAGAAACATACCATGGAGAAATTTAATAATGTTAACCCATTAAACTTTATGAAAACCTGTGCTACAAAATGGAGCACTATGCAGAGAAACTAATGATCCGAAGCTGCAATTAGCTGGGCAGCATTGAAGGCATATATAATCCAGGCACTTTAAACATGAAAACTTGAAGCAACGTGGAGACAATTCAGAATGGAAGGCCATTCTCCATATCATTTCAGCTATTAACATGCGTGCTTACTGAGCACTTGCTGTGTGGCAAGTTTGCCCTTGAGTACTATGTGGAAACACACATATGGGTAAATCTTGTAGGTGGAAACCATATCTTTGTATCTCTTTGTCTAAAACATCCAGCATATTGCAGGCCTCATAATTCATTCTCAAAAGCTGTTTGTTAAATTCAGTTAAAATGGAAAGTAGAGTTACTGTCTGTATGAACAGGTCGTCAGATGGCAGAACAAAGCATAACTATATGTAAGAAGTAGCAAACAAGGTAAGTGCTGAGAAACGGTGAAGGCAGTAAGTGCCAAGGTAATAATCATCTGGATGTGAAAGTGAGAAAAGAAAACAACTCAGACCGTGGGTATTGCAAGAACAAATGTTAAGAAGAAAGAATGTGTGGCATGTACTTAACAGATAGTTCAGGGGATCAGCTGGGATAGTTGGTTGGTGGTGGTAAGAAACAGCAGACATAATTAGACAAATGCAGTGGGACCAGATTGGAAATTTTGGATTTTATCTTTTAGAAAAACTGCTAGCATTTAAATTTTGAAAAATATAATGGTTGGATTGAAGCATAAAAGAATATTAGAGGCAGAGTCAGCAAATAGCTTGCTTCAGTATTTAGCGTGAGCTGATTCAATAGCTTGGTCTACTAAAAGGGTACCTATATAAGGACCTAACTTAAAATGTCTTTAGAGGAAAGAGTATGAACTTTGGAGAAAGATAGACATGGTGTTAAATCCTGGCTCTGCTGCTTTCTGGCAGTCAGGCTTGGGAAAATAATTTAATATTTTTGAACCTTAGTTTTTTCATCTGTAAATGAGCATAAAACTCCTATCTTTTAGGATGTCTAATAATACAAAACAGAATAGATGCTCAATAAGTTTCAATTATATTCCTTTCATGTGACCCATAAATCCCAGCTCTTTCTGTAGCCCAGGTAATTTGATCTTTACCAAATTAACACTGAGAGCTCTGAAATTAACCCTGCATCTAAGGATAATTAAGGAGAGTTAGTATAGTATCCAAAATGCCTCAGAACCTTCTCTTTCTCTTTTTTCTTTTCTTCTTTTGTCTCTGTATGTGTGTCTTTTTCTCCATTCTTCTCTCTTAGCAACACATACCTCCTACCCTCATTATTCATGAATACCACTAAAACCATTTGCATTTGTGAGAAGGAAAGCCTTCACAGATAGGTTATCATTACCTTTGTTTCTCACCCCAAGGCAATAGAAACTGATTACTAGATCTTTTTGTGGAGAACATAACTTTCTCCTCCAACTTTTTCACCCCAATCAGAGGAGCATACTTTCTGTTTACCTTTTTCCCCTCAAGCAATTCAACTGCTTTGCAGTAAGGAGAAGCTTGATTTGCATACAGAAAACAATGATACTTTCTGTCTCAAAGTAAAAAGTAGCATGGTTTGGTAGAAAGAGCACACGATTTGGACAGTCTGGAGTTCAAAATTTTGTTTTGCTACTTATACACCAGATGTGAAACCTTAACTTTGCTGTTTTGAGTACTGTTTTTTTTTCCACTAAAAATGGGAAAATCGTAAATTCTGCATTGCAGAGTTGTTGAATTAAGTGAGATATCTTATGTAAACCTCTTGTATCAGTAACATAGCAATCTAAATTGGCCCGACTTAATTTCTGGAATTAAACTACCTCTGTTTGAGATACAATCAGCTTTCTGCATCCATAGGTTCCACATTTGTGGAATCACATTCATGGATGCACAACCATAGAACAAAGATAGTCAGAAAAATAAAAGGATGATTGTTTTGGTACTGAACATGTACAGAGTTTTTCTTGTCATTATTATGTAAACAATACGGTACAAGAAATATATGCATAGCATTTATGCTATATTAGGTATTATAAGTAATTTAGAGATGATTTAAAGTATACAGGAGGATGTGGGTAGGTTATATACAAATCCATTTTATATCAGAGACTTAAGCATCTGTAGATTTTGGTGTCCATGGGGAATCCTAGCAGCATTCCCCCATGAATACTGAGGGATAACTATTAACTCCCCCACTTACTAGCCGTAAGTCCTTTAGACAACTTATTTATCCTCTTTCTCATCTATAGAATGTGCATAATAATGGAACCTACCTCTTTAAATGTTTGTTGTTATTAAGCAAACTAACGTGATAAAGAGCTTGTAAGTGTGTGTTCTGAAACATTTACTGAGTAAGCCCTCAATAAATATTAGCTCTTGTTATCTTGGTACTGCTTCCTTCTACAGTTTTGCTTCTAGAATCCAGTACTGATACACACACACACACACACACACACACACACACACACACACACACACACACATTTTAATATCATGCTTGCTCTATCCAAGTTCCCTGCATCTTCCCAAGGAGAACTATTCAAGTCTGAGCTCCTAGACATTATGTCTCGCTTACAATATTTTCAAGAAACCTTTCTTTCATCCAAGACATTAGTCTTAAAGAAGAACACAGCATAGTTCTGTTTCCACCCAAATGGCAAGCTATAATAATGAGTTATTAATCAGAGAAGGTTCTGGCGTCGGAGATTTCTACCTGCGGTAATGGATGACCCAACAGTTAGGTGGGATGCAGCTGTGACAGTCTAGGGGCATCCATCATCCTAGGCTAGCCGTCTGGAAGTCAATGGCAGGAGAGCCTGAAAACAGTAGGCAAAATGGCCTCAGGTAACGCACCAAGGCTGAGCATGAGGACTCCAGTTTCTGCCTATTGGGAATCCACAGGAATAAACCTCTTTCTTCTTTTGGAAAGATTAATGGGAACTAGGATACAATGTGAAAATCAGTTGTAGAAAGAGAGCAGCTCACTTTTCAGAACTAGCAACAGACAAAAACAAGGAGGATGAATTCCCATTTGTTGGAAGGTGATTCACTAGGTTGCCTTGATTTAGTGAGAAATCCACTATGTATGTAGGCATCCAGATGTGGTAGGAATAATACAGAAGAGAAAAGAACTATGTCAACTGTAAAACCAAAAGAAAAAAGCTAAGTAAGGCATGACTGGAGATGGATAAACCTATCTGGCTTAGGCAATGCTATATTTAGTGTCTAAATTTGGAAGGCATTAAGTGGAAGGCTAAGAGCTCAATATTTCTCTTTTAGGAAGTAGGGAGCCATTAAAATTTTAAACAGAGAGGTGGAATAATGCATGCAGTGCTCTAGAAAGCTTCTCTGCTTGTGTACACAGTATATATTAAAGGTGTAAGGACGGTAGTATCAGTTAAGAAATAATTCTGTCAATAGTCCAGGTTTCAGGAAAAAGCCTCTCTTGCATTGTCAAAGTTTCAATCAAAAGTCTTGAAGATACATTTGGATTTTAGCTGATATTCAGGATGTGCTAATATGAAAACATAACCAAAATGCACCTCTATTAGTTTTTCTAATAAGGAAGTTTCTATCTAATTGTAACTTTTTACCTGTTGACCAAATCTCACGATCTCCCCATTCTCACCACACTGCCTAGCCTCCGGTAACCACTAATCTACCCTCTACTTCCATAAGATCAGCTCCTTTGGCTCCCACATATGAGTGAGATGATGCAATATTAGTCTTTCTGTGCTTGGCTTATTTCACCTAACAAAATGTTCTCTAGTTTCATCCACGTTGCTGAAAATGGCAAATTACATTTTTTAATGGCCAGATAGTATTTCATTATGTATGTATACCATTTAAAAAACTTATTTAACCTTTGAGAGAAAAAAAATTTGGTATTCTATTATGCTGCAATGTGACTATGGTTAAAAGAATTGTATTATATATTTCAAAATAGCTAGAAGACAGGATTTTGAATGCTCTCACTATAAAAAATAATAAATATATAAGATCATAAATACAGCTAAATACCTTGATTTCATGATTATGCAATATATGTTTGTATTAAAACATCACACTGTATCCCATGAATATGTACAATTGTTATGTCAATTAGAAACAAAATAAAAATCATGAAGTCCCTGAGAAGTAAATAAATCCTGTTCTTTTGGTATTAGTTAAGCTTACGAATAACCCTTAAAGGTAAAATAAATAAGAAAGCACACACATTCAAAACTGTGTAAAATGATAAAACAGGCAACAACAGTAAATAGAAAAGAAAGATAAGGTATATTACATTACTATGATATGCTGTGAAGTAATCGTTACTCTCTCTGGTGGACTAAGCAATCCAGCTACTGAATTTATTGGTGAGCTACAGATGATGGGTTACTCAATGGTATGACTATCTATCCTCAACTATGGCCTGGCAATTAAAGTAATTTTGATTTCTGTAGCTGGCCCATCCCCTTTCTTCCAAACATTCGAAGATATATATTTCTCTTTTTAAAATATTTTTCAAAGTAATCTTGACAATCTCAAAATGTTGATCAATTTTTACTTTTGGCAGAAAAGACGAAATATATAATAAGAAGACTCTATGCATTAGCTAAAGAGTGGGTCTACATTTTATATCTCTTAGAGTGCAGGGTTCTCTCTCAACTGTTCTTTTGAGGGAAATATGTTCTCGGCCTCCAAAACAGGAAAAAAAAATGGAAACAAGTTATGGACTTACAAACTCAGTGATGAGATTCCAATCAGGCACCTGGGCATGTTTTAGATTGGCTATAGCCATTATCATTATTTTGGACTTTGCAGCAGACATGGAAGGAACAGGGTCACATGCCGGGTTGATAGTTACAGCAAACCACCATGGCACATGTATACCTATGTAACAAACCTGCGTATTCTGAACATGTATCCCAGAACTTAAAGCAAAATTTTTTTTAAAAAAGAAAATGTATGTCAATTCATCCATCAATGGACATTTGCATTGTTTCCTATATATCTTGACTACTGTGGATAATGTTGCAATGAATATGGGGTATAAATATCCCTTCAAGATCCTGATTTTAATTATTTTGTGTAAATACCCAAAAGTGGGATTGCTGAATCATATTGTAATTCTATTTTTAATTTTGGTATGTACATGGAGTAAGATATTATTGAGCCATTAACAAAAGGAAAATCTGTGAAATGCAACAAAATGGATGAAGCTTAAGGATGTTATGCTAACTGAAATAAACAGGTCACAGAAGGACCAAAAAAAAAAAAAAAAAAAAAACAGGGTCACATCCCATGAGTCATTCAAGAGTAGACAGGGCTGGAGCAATATTTGTCAAAGTGAATCCCATGATGACATCAGAGATCTTCTTAAAATGGATTAGGCTCTCTGAGGTTGGGGCCTAGCATCTGTATAGTTAATCAGATCCTCAAGGGAATTGAATCATGCTGAAATCTGAAACTTACTAGTGTATCTTTTCCTGACATACATCCTTCTTTTCCTCTTAGGACTCACTGTATTTTTTCGTCACTAAAAATAAATACTTACTAGAGTGGTAGCTCCATCTGAGACATTCAAATTTGTAAATGTCAAATTATATGTATGTGTGTGCTTTTGTGCACATATGTGCATATTAAGTCTATAGAAAATCCCTCACCAACTGTTACTTTGGCTCTGCATAAAAGTTTCATCTGTTTTGTACAACTTTTTATGTCTTATTTTAAGTGACAAAAAGTAGGTAAGCCAAATGAAGAGGACATTTCCCAGGCTTCCTTGCAGGAGGTTGAGAACTTGCAGCTAGGTTCTGACCAAAGAAATAGAGGGAGAATTTATATGTAGAATGTCCAGGATTGATTTATAAACTATTTTTTTTAACTCTGTCTATGTGTGTCAGAGCCAGTCAATGAGGGATTGTACTATGGAGTCATAACTTGTGACTTATCTGTCTGTCAAAACTCACTTCTCTTCAGGTCCTTGAGGTTCTTAGGTATTCCTAATTATTCTCATCATACACAGAAACTTGACTTTTTCATACAATATACTATTCTATGACCCCTTCCATCAGTGTCATTACCCTGGTTAAATTTACTTATGTCATTGTTTGTTAAGGTAAAGACTAACTAGTCTGATAAACTTAATGGGCAGTGAGAGTTAATGGCTTAATTTTCTCTCATTATTTAATTAATGTGTTAAGTATTTCTCATTAATTAAATAATAAATGGATTTAAACAAAGTTCTTTAACTTGAAGCCGTTTGGAGTTTTTTCCTGACTTTCTTTCTATCCCCAATTCCCATTAATGCTCAAAACCACACTTTGCTCAAGCCAAAGTCTTTGTTTATTCACGGTGTCTGTTTCCCACTCTAAACTTTCTTCATGTTGGATGGGCTGCTCACTAAGACTCTTCCCCAAATGTAATTCCTTCCCAGACTTCAAGGTCTACCCTTATTCTCAGCCTTCCTTGATAAACCCTAACAAAGGCCTCTCTCTTGCTACATGATACCTCTAATAGGATTTTTCCAACAACTATGTGCTGTCCATATAAGACACACCAGGCTGTGGGGGTATAAGAAAAATAAAACTCACTTAATCTCTCTCGTCAAGAAATGCGTCATGCCCTGAGTATAAATAAAGAAATATAATAAAAAGAGATGACATATAAGGAGTTACATTTAGTGGAGAAGTGCAATCTATAATCAATTAACATCTAAGGTGTATGACTTTGTTATGCTAGGTATCTATTACACATGCTTTTCTAAGGTGTACTATGTGTGGAAATTATGGATTACCCTTTATTAGATATGCCTAGGAATGTGTTATAAATCTAGTGAAAGCTAGAAAGAAACAGGGACAACTGAAGAGGAAATATATTTTTTAAAGCATCAGGGGAGAATAAACTAATATATGTATGAGTGGTGTGCTATTTATAAGCTTAGAATTCAAGAGGCTTAGCCCATTTCCACAAACCCTCATGGAATCTGCCTCTATCATGTGAACAGGCCCAAGCTAGCCTGCTGGATAATGAGACAGAAGACCCAGAACCACTGTCGTCCTGATGACAGCCACTGGCCAGACCCCCTACCAGCTGACCAAAGACACAAGAGCAAGCATGTCTTGCATCAGCAAAGCCTGCCACACATCCACAGAATTGCTCAGTTGCTCCATAAACTTGCTAACAATAATTAATAATTTTTGATTTACGCCACTAAATATGGAGTGGTTTGTTACTCAGCAAACAACAAACATTAACATATATTTGATTAGTAGTTTAAAGGGCTTAAAATGGGAAGAAATGATATAATAATAATTATTAGTAATAGCATACATTTACTGAGCATTTACTATATGTGAATTATTGTTTGTATATGTACTGAAGGATACTGTGGGTGGGAGTGTCTACTGAAAACCATCCTGAATGGTAATGCATTATTCTTCTCCTCTTTATAGATGAGGAAACTCAGACCAAAGGTAGTTAAGTAATCTGAGCTAACACGAAAAGCTCTAAAGAGCAAAGTCAGCATTTGAAGCAAACTTCTTATTTCCTATCTTTGTAACATCTGTCTTGTATCTTGTATTGCCTTTTAGTAAAAAGAGCAGATCAGAACTAATGTCAACATGTGTTAAGATGCTCCTTTAATGTGCTTCTCCTGCATGTTCTCACTAACTTCTGTGGCTTCTTAATGAATCATATAAGCCTTAGTATGCCAAATACCTGTGACAAATTCCATTTTTGAAGAAACATAGTTCCCATCTCAGTTTCTTGTTTTAGTTACTTAATCCAGAAGAGAGATATTGATGAAAGTTTCATGCCCAGTGGTGAACCATGGAGGAAGACTTTGGAACAGGCTGAGACTGAGGTTCTTGAATACATGGTTGTACGAGTAGAACTTTTTTGCCTTTACCCAAGGCAGTCCCTAATATTCATTAAGATAGCTCTGGAGCTTTGAGACAACCAGGTAACAATAATGACATTTTTCATAAGTGGAAACTAGTATGCCATATAGGCCATTCCAACACTCACAAATTAATGTTCTGTTTCCTTTTTAACACATAACAATTTTACTGGAGTTACAGTTGATGTCTATTAAAAGGAGTTTTCTAAGGGCATCCTGCGATCATGTTAGTCATCTAGGTATTTTTTAATGCTAGCTTTTTTTGAGGTAAGATTTTTATATAGATGCAAAATTTCATGCATTTTAATAAATGTATATAGTCATCTAACCACAAGTACAGCCCCTGGAAAACACTGATTGATTTCTGTCCCTATAGTTTTGACTATTCTGGAATGTCACATAAACAGAACCGTATGGTAGTAGCTATCTATGCCTGCCTTCTTTCACTTAGCACAATGCATTTATGTGACAACCACATCACCCACATTGTGACATGGATCAACAGTTTGCTGTTTTCATTACGGAGCAGTGTTTCATTTTATGGATGTACCACAATGTATTCATTCATCCCCCAGTTAAGACATTTTTATTGTTTCCATTTTTTTTGTGATTATGAACAAGGCTTCTATCTATAAACGTCTATATACAGATCTTTCATTTTGGGGAGAGTAAACATGTAAGCATTAGATTTCTGGGTTATGGTATTATGGACTGAATGTTTGTGTCCCCTCAGAAACAATCATGGGTTGAAGCCATAACCTTCACTGTGAAGGTATTAGAAGGTGGGGCTTTGGGCGGGGGGTGTAATTAGGCTTAGATAAGATCATAAGTGTGGAACTCCCATAATGGCATTAACGTACTTAGGAGACATCAGAACTTCCTCTCTCTTCCTTAGGAGAACACAGCAAGAAGATGATCATCTGCAAGCCAGAAAGAGGGCCCTCATCAAGAACTGAATCTGCCAGCACCTTGGTCTTAGACTTTCCATCTTCCAGCACTGTGAGAAATAAATGTCTGTTGTTTAAGCCACTCAGTCTGGTATTTTATTATAGCAGCCTGAGCTTACTAAGATATATGGTAAGTATATATTTTATGTAGATTTTTGACATACTTATCTTTTAATTTTTCTGCGGAGGACCAATTCACTTATTTTCATCAATTACATTTTATTTGTACCTAAAATTTAAAATCTTTTCAAAAGTAAACTAAATATTAATATATTCTAATTTTTGCTTGCTATATTAATGTTCCCAAATAACTCTTAAATTCAAACATATGGTCTATACCATATGCCAAATACATGTGAAAAATTCCATTATTCAAGAAATAATTACATATTACTTTATTTTCTCCCAAATATTTAATTTATATGTTAAAACTTATGCTTCACATGCTGAAACCAAAGTAAACATCCTATGAAAGAAAATGGCAGGCAGGATTAGTGGAAGAAACTTACATAAATGTAAAATTTATTCAACACTTTTTCACGAGGGCCTAATTTAATCAATGCACCTGCAGTTGATTGCTACCTTTTAATGTGTATATCATATATCGCACGTAGAGTGAGGGGAAGGCACATCACTGTTACACCTTAAAATATGAATAAAGAGATAAAAATAGGAAAGAGAAAAAAAGGAGTTAGATGATTACAACATTTTGCAGGAAGCTAGCCAGACAGGCCCTAACTATATTTTAGATCTATTGAATTAAATCATAAATGAGTCATTGTCTGGGAGAATAATTTATAGTAAAGTATCAACTTGACTTTGTTGGCATAGAAATTACTGATATAATGCATTCTATAGCAATCAGGACAAAACATTTATTTGGAGTGCACTTATATCCTAAAGGAAAGGTAGATAGTGCTTTGCAGAAGAAAAGAATAACAAAATGGATACCATTAGAATAAATTTCACAAGTTTAAAACTGCATTAAAATCCAGTAATGAATGTATCAATTTAGAGACAGTCAAGAATAACTGCCCTAAAATAATAAGAAAGCTGAATCAATTAATTGGAATGTCTATCTCACTATCTATCTATGTGCCTATCTATCTATCATCTATCTATCTATCTATCTATCTATCTATCTATCTATCTATCTATCTATCTATCTATCTATCATCTGTGTATTAGCTCAGAAGAATTCCCTTTGGAAATTATCATGTTATCCCATTCATTCAGCTTTTGGGCCACAGCAGATGGTGGAGCCTCTGTGTTTCTTACAATCCCAGGGAGGACGGAGAGCCAGCATGATGGCTGGCATTGTGACAGCCTGGGCCCTGGAGTTCCTGAAGTGATGCCTGCTGGCACTGGATCTATACAGTTATTTTCTAAATGGTTAAGTCTCAGTAGATTCTGATGAACATCTTTCCAGGATAATTAGACATATTTTAGAGATTACCATTTGCTTTTCCTTGAAATAAATCTACTCTCTTAGCTGCATGTCTGCACGTAAGTCCTCCACATCACAGTCCATTGTACTCATAACAGAATGATAACAGAAATTTCTCCTTTTTCTTCTCACTAACTTTTTTGGAACAGGTGACTTTGTCCCTTTATACATGTCATACTCTGTGCTAAATTGTACCTATATATTATTTCCAATCATCATATCTATCCTGTGATTTGTAATTCTTATTTTAAAAATGAAAAAGAGAGCATCAGGCATAGATAATTTATAATATGTTAAATTGGTTGATTTGAATTATATAGTCAGGTATGTCTTGAGGTTATTTCTGGTGGGCACTTTGGACCTTATACAAGAACAATCATTTTTCTCTTCTTCCTCATTAGCAGGTACCTTGATATTATTCAGGTATTCTTTTTCTTTCCCCCAACTGATAGCACTGCAGAAATAGAGCCCAGTAACTTTAAAGCATCAGGACAAAACTTTCCTCTGGCAGCTTGTGTTAGATAGGGAATTTACACCTGATTAAGGTAGACTCAACCAAATCCAAGAAAATTATTAATATTCAATGCTGAGGATTTTTTTCCCCAATGATTATGAACGGGAAGATTCTGCCTCTATTGCTCTGGAGCAGGTATCTTGTGACAACAAGCAAAACTAGGGTAAGGATGATGCCAACCAGGAATGATGGGTAAGGAAAGAGAGCTAGAAAGAAACATGGACCTTGGTAACACCATTGAGCCACTGACTCAATCAGCCCTGGGACACACCTTTGCCCTGGGCTTCTTGTTACATGAGATAATAAATATATTTGTATTGTAGGCCAGTTTGTCTAGTACTTAAATGTAAAAGCATGCTAACTTATAGCCAGTATAGTGTATTCTCCTCAATAAGCAAACGCCAATCAATAGCTGTCTCCATCCCCCGTATAGAAGCACATTAACTCTCAATAATGTTTCTGCGTATCTCTGTGAAAAAGAGCAAAAGATGGAGATCTAGCATGTGGCCTATTTCAATAGTAAAGCAGTTTAAATAATGATTGCCTGTGCAGGATTCTCATTTTATGGAACTAAGTAAAGCTATATACACATGTTTAGGGCCATGGCCATATATTACAGTTTATCCCTGCACAGAGCTCTATGTAATTTGAAGGCAGTAGCAGATAAATGATGAAGATTGCTCTCCTGGAACATAACTGCAATGAAGATATCCAGAGCTGAAGCCCTCGTCACCAGCAGACCACCTAAGGTGAAAGCCTGATAAATTAATTCATCTTGTAGCAGAAGGTGGCATTCTTTGCGTTTAAATATATTCAGTTTATCTGCCATCATCTGTGGGAATGGATCACTGGACAAAAAGCTATCTCCAGAAACATTTTGAGATAGGATGATGATTTTTCTCTAAAAATTGTATTTTTATGTAAACCACAGCCCAAATATAGTTGAATTGCAGTCAGAGAGCATATTCATCTCCAAATTATGCATTGAGATGCAGCTGATGACCTTGAAAGTATATCTATTTGGAAGGGTTTAGTGCTGCTCTTAAATAGGTCTATATTTTTAAATACATTATGTTTCCATGCAAAATATAACAAAATATGTGTGCCTATTAAAAACTTAAAATCAATGTTTCAAGTTTAATGCTATAAAAATGAATTTTCATAAATATGCATAACAGAGACATGGATGCTAAAGATAGAAAAGCAGTTTTTTTGTTGAAATACAAAATGCTTATATCACTCTGAGGATTTTTTTATACGTGAAGTTTTTTTCCCCCTTAAGCTGCTGAGGCAGCAATGCATATTTTTATTACTGTTTTCTAATTTTGAAAGGAATGACAACACTGTGGACAGTCCTATTAAAACAGTCATCTTTTAATAGTTATAAGTAGATAAATTAATTGAAATTTTTTCCTTTCCCATGTTAAGAAAGCTACTGGTTCTAGGGCCTGCCCCCAGCATGTGGACTTTCATGTATATGTTCGGAGAAATGTTCGTATACAATTAAATTCCCACAACTGGTAGTTTTTAAATTGTATTAATTAGTATATTGATGTCTGCTATTTTCTTTAAAAAGCAAGTTTTCAGTGAACCCAATTCAGTGTTGTTTTCTGCCACAGCTTGAAAATGGGAAGTTATTTTTTGTCTCCTTTAGTTATAAATTAAACAATTGTAAGCACTAGAGAAATTCGACTCCAATCTAGTATTTTATTACATGATACTAAGAGAAGAAAAGTAACTGGGTCATCTCATTATTACATCCCTGAATTTCGAAGATGTCTATAAATTCCTTGAGAATATGCTGAGCTCAGTCCGTCAGGTACCTTTTAAGTCTTTTAAGGACTCTTCAGGAAGAGCTTCTTTTTTTTTTTTTTTTGGACTAAAGGAGACATTTTTCGCAATTACTCTCACAAATGCAAGACGTCTTTAGAGCAGCTCAGAGTGGACCAATCCTATTTATTACCATAACTGCCAAATTCTTGTTAAGGCCTTTATTTTCCTGGTTGGAAAAGACATCTCTGCACATGTGACTGATGTGCAAAGTACTCCCTGAGAATTAATATTGACCAGAAATTTTAGAAAAGTTTATTTAATTTTATCAATCAAATACTCTCCAAGACGGGGAAGTCTCTAATTTGTGGTTTTGAAAATAAAGTAGAAGTATTACACAAAGTAGGTCAAACCTACATTCTGGCTGGTTCTCTGCAATTTTAATTTGGAGTTAATTTTTGTCCTTAGTGAACTCCTTAGATGCTTCATTAGTTCTTTCACCATTCCAGAATTGTGAAATTTTGTGATCTTTGCCCAAAATTATTTTTCATATCAACCATTTATTCAACCCTTTATTCACATGAAGCATAGGCATGGTTCATTTACTATGAACAAGGAACTCATTTGGACCAAATAGGCAAAAAAAAAGTTAAGGAGAAATCCTAAGTTTTAGAATTGTTTAAACTCCTCACAAATGAATTCCATTGGCCTAGAGATTCCTGTAATACTTAAGAAAGGTTTGCTTTGTGCTGGACACTGGTCTAAGCATTTTGACTATATTGACTCAGTTCACAGCTCTACAAGTTAGAATTTATTGGTGTTACTTCTACTATGTGTTATAACTCATCTTGCAGGTGAGGAAACTGAGGCAGAATCAGAATTTAAATTCTAGCAGAACAGCTCCAAATTTTACATATTTAATCATTACCTAAACTTTCTGCCATAAATATTTCTCTGCAAGTGAAACTTGACTTACTGCATAGACAGAACTAGCAAAACTCTATTTGCCCTTTAATTCTTTCTTAGTCTGGGTTCTATTTTAGAACAATTCTTTGCTTGTTATAATTTCAGAGGTTTTAGATGCATTCCATGAATTGAAGAGAATGGGATCCCCTTCCCCTTGTGGAATATCTCTCTCAGTATTTCCTCTGGGTGGCAATGGAGTTTTCTAGAAAAAGAAAATAAATTATATATGCAGACCCTTCTTGTATGTCAAAAAAGATATACAATGGGTAGAGGGACATTCAGTGATGCATTTAAACCATACTAAATGCTAAATGGAAAGGTGACTATTTGCCAAAGTTATGTATTATTTTTTGGCTGTCGTCTTAAAGTTGCAATTAAATCCCAAGGTTGATATTGTCCTCTCGAGATACTGACCTATTTAGTTAAAAGTTTGTAGTGAAGCAATTGTATGTTGATTACATTATTAGGTATGAAAGATACTGTCAGTAAGTGTAAATCATGGTTTTTGTCCATGTATAGTTCAGTAAATGCATGAACCACACCACACATGCAGAAATGAGAGAATATATGGCATGACTGTATTTGCCTCTAAATGTTAGAAAATCTAGGAAGAAAGTACTGAATGTATGTGAATCTTGGGCAAGGGATGGATAAAAAGAAGTCGGCATCAAAGGGAAAAACTGTAAGGAGAAGTGACACTGAAGTTGTCTAAATCCAGATTTAGAAGACAGGACACTTCTTGTTTGTGTGAAAATATATGAGGAAAACTATGAATATGAGGGTAAGCACAGTTCATTTAGAGCATATTTAAAGTAGACGATATGAGACTGAACAAGTACAGTGGAGCTAGGGTGAGCAAGATTGTCTTTGGTTCAAGACATTTGGCTGTGCTGTGTCTTAAATATTCTGTTCCCACCTTGTCAGCCTTACCTGAACACATCAGATACACAAAAACACCTCTGCACCTTTGATCAAACTATTCCTGTAGCCTACAATTATCTTTTCTCTATCTCCAGCTTATTAAAAGTCATATACCCTTCAAGGTTCCACTGAAACTCTTCTCTGAGTCATTTGATAATAGCCCCCCAATTAAACTTAATTATTCCATCACCTGCACTCTATAGTATCTGAAAGCTGCTGTAATTGGGCTGTTCTGTTCTAACACATTAAATGTGGTTTGCTGTTTGCAATGACTCTCTTTCCCAGAGAGCAGAGTTGGTGTTTTGGCATCACTCCATGGCATAGGTATATGTTTTTGAATAGATTTTTCTCGATACTATGTGTTGAATTGAGAGGAAACAGTTTGAAAAACAGCTCTGGGGTAAGATGTAATCCTAAGGGTAGATGGTGTCCAAAAATAAAGTGGAAGAAAGATAGCTTATCTATGGCCAGCTCATTCTTAGAGCATGCAAAGTACAGACATCATGGGCCTGGAATGACATATCCGATCCTTGTGTGATGTGCTAGCTTTATGCTGCCCCATGGTGATAAACAGAACTCTTTCCATTCCAGCCAACCCTTTTATGTATTTGTGTTCCATGAACAGTGCAAATCATTTCCCAGTATTCCCAGTAATGAAAAAACAAAAATTACAAAAAAGATTCAATCTCCTGCCTTCTTTAGAACATAAAAGTCTATTGCACATAAGAAGGGCTGTTCATTGTTATAATCCATGTTTTGTTTTTAAGTTTAAATCTTCCAAAGTTGGATGATTTTTAAAAGTACATATCATCTCAGAGAAGCCACATAAAAACTTTTATGAAATATACATTTATTTATTTAAGTACCTCTTAATTCACATTTGGCCTACTATATAAATGGATCAAAATGTGATTAAAGATAGTCTCTTTCTCTCAGAGACTAAGAAAACTAACTGAAGCATACTGTGGAGAGACCTTTACTCCTAATAAACGACTTCCTGAGCCCAATGCAAGCCCACAGCACCCTCATCTGTAATATATTCAGCAGAAATGCAATGTAACACAAATTTTAAAAAATTATTATTAAATATACAAAAGAAACTATAATACTAAAATTAGTAGGTTGGTGCAAAAGTTAATTGCGGTTTTTGCCATTGAAAGTAATGGCAAAACCGCAATTACTTTTGCACCAAAATATTTCCATTTTTGTTCCACAGAGCTGCACTCTATTTTTGATTTCCTTGCAATTAAATGAGGCTTTGTGACTGAGTTTCAACAAAGTCACCAGTCCCCATTTCACTAGGCATGTGGATGGATAGCTTGTGCTCCAGGTCCAGGCCTGTCTAGTGGAAATCTACCAGCCATGTTCTTCTCAGCTCTTTTCCACCTGCTGACTGTGTGCCAATGGTCAGGGCAAACACGAAAGTGGCAGGGCCCAAGTAACCTCCATCATGGCATGAGACAAGCCTTACAATCCAGACCCATATTAGACTCTTTTTAGAGCAAGAAATAAACTATTATGTTCAGCCACTGGATGTGTGTGTGTGTGTGTGTGTGTGTGTGTGTGTGTGTGTTGGTAACAGTAGTCAGCCTGCCTTAAACAACAGAACCTCAAAAAAGCTTATCTGTTATGAACAGTGGCTGTCCATTCAGGGAAATTTTATCCCCCAGGGAAGACTTGTTAATGCCTGGAAACAACTGGGAGAAAGTCCTGTTGGCATGTAGTGGGTAGAGGCCAAGGAGGCTGCTAAACATTTTACAATGCATGGGACACACCCCACAGCAAAGAATGATATGAACCCAAAAATCAGTGGTGCAGAGGATGATAAACCTTGCATAATGAGGGCGAGCACTAGATAAAGTGTCACTCTTATTAACTGTTGAAAAACACATCTTTATCTTAAAGTGAGTTCTATTGCAAATATATTAGCAATTAAAGACCTTGACCTAATGGAATTTGAAATTTCAGGATATTCTTTATGGTCTGAGTCTACACTATACCACAACAATTGCTGGATAAAACTTGAAGTAATTTGAATTTGTCATCAGAGCACTTCTTATCCTCCCCATTGTCTTCCTGAACTCAATTTTCAGTGCTTCTTTGTCATAGCATGCATGCATGCATATATACACACATACACAGAAATGCACACACCGCAGTAAAACATCCCTTGCTATCCTAATGTCTTTTTGCTTACTCCTGACAAGCTGTGATATCTCACTGAAGAACCATAATTGAGTAAATGGTCAGGCATCAATCTACATTTTCTATCATTCAATATGTCACTTTTCATATATTTGATTATCCAGGTCCCATTCTCTCAAGACTTTGCACTCTTATAAGTATCTAATACAATTTTAAAAACCACATATTAATGATTTCATGTTGTTTTTCTTCCATAAGAATACACTAAGTTTTTCATAGGGTCCTATTATTCCAGGAGGACAATACCGTGTTATGAAAAGAGCCATGGACTGAGGATATGCAATCTGTAGCACTAGCTAGATGACTATTGATTAACTAGCAGAGTAAAAGGTAGGCAATATGTTCTCTATAAATCAGTTTTGTTGCTTGAATGGGAAGAAATTTAACTGCATGGTTTCTAAGCTTCATTTTAATAAATTTACTTGAGCACATTCACGCCACAAATACTAAACACTGCTTTTTTTTTTTTTTTTTTTTTTTTTGAGATGGAGTTTTGCTCTTGTTCCCCAGGCTGGAGTGCAATGGTGCGATGTCCGTTCACTGCAACTTCCGCCTCCTGGGTTCAAGCAGTTCTCCCGCCTCAGCCTGCAGTATAGCTGTGATTACAGGCATGCCCCATCATGCTTGGCTAATTTTGTATTTGTAGTAGAGACGGGGTTTCTCCATGTTGGTCAGGCTGGTCTCGAACTCCCAACCTCAGGTGATATGCCCGCCTCAGCCTCCCAAAGTGCTGGGATTACAGGCATGAGCCACCGCACCTGACCTAAACGCTGTTTTTGTATAGGCACTGTGCTGGTGTTGGAAACTTGATGATGAATAAGGTAAACATGACCTTTTCCCTAATGGAAATCACAGTCCCAATTCCTGTGTGCAGAGCTTGGTTCAAGGCACTATGGAGGCTCCAATGATGTCACAGAAGGCACTTGCTTTTAAGGACTGGAAGTGCACTAAGAAAAATGACAGGTATACCTATGACTGTAGTATGTGTTGGGCTGTGGTAGTTACTTTATTAGAGTCAAAAATAAAGTGCTATTGGTGACCAGAAGAAGGATTATCTCCAAGTTCATGAATCTGAGATAACTTTCAGAAAGAAGGGAACATTTGAGCTAATTATTTAAGAGTACAACAAATTCAGAGACAGAGAGAAACATTAAATATCAGCAAGAATGTACAAAATGGTGAGCAGAAAATATTGGAATAATGTTTCTGTAACTGGAAAATACTACAATGTTATTAAGCTTCAAAGTGTATGTCTTTGTTTGTTAGAGTTGTTATAACAAAATATGACAGACTAGGTGGCTTAAACAACAATTTATTTTCTCAGCTTGGAGGCTGGCAGTTCAAGATCAAGGTGTTGGCAGGGTTAGTTTCTTCCGAGTTCTCTTTTCTTGACTTGCAAATGTCTGTCTTCTCCCTATGCCTGCATATGACTTTTCCTCTGTTGCACAAGCATATCTGGGCCCTGGTCTTCTTTTCCTATGAAGAGATAAGTCAAGGCCGGGCATGGTGGCTCATGCTTGTAATCCCAGCACTTTGGGAGGCAGAGCAGTTAGATAACCTGAGGTCAGAAGTTCAAGATCAGCCTGGCCAACATAGCGTAACCCCATCTCTAATAAAAATACAAAAAGTTGCCAGGAATAGTGGTGGGTGCCTGTATTTCCAGCTACTCTGGAGGCTGAGGCAAGAGAATCACCTGAATCTGGGAGGCAGAGGTTGCAGTGAGCCAAGATCACCCCACTGCACTCCAGCCTGGATGACAGAGACTCTGTCTCAAAAAATACAAAATAAAAACAAAAAATAAAAAATAAAAATTGGCTGGGCACAGTGGCTCACGCCTGTAATCCCAGCACTTTGGGAGGTTGAGATGGGTGGATCACCTGAGGTCAAGAATTCGAGACCGGCCTGGCCAACATGGTGAAACTCCACCTCTACTAAGATACCCAGGAGGCCAAAGGTTGCAGTGAGCCAAGATTGCACCACTGCACTCCAGCCTGGGCAACAGAGCAAGACTCTGTCACCAGAAAAAAAAAAAGAAAAGAAAAGAAAAGAAAAGAAAAGGAAATACAAGTCAGATTGAATTAGATTGGATTAGGGCTCATCCTAACAGCCTCACTTTAACTGAATCACCTCTTTAAAGGTTTATGCTGCAAATACAGTTATTCTGAAGTACTAGGGGCTAGGGCTTCAACATGTAAATTTTGGGGGGACACAATTCAGCCCATAACAGTGTGTGAGGGCTATCGTGAGAGATGAGGCTGGAAATGTACCAAATAGGGATTTAATAAAATTGAAGTAGATGGGACTTTCTCTGTAGGTCCCATTCAGGATGTAGAGCAAGGCATTAACATCATCACATTCTACTTTAAAAAGGTAAATCAGGCAACAGAAAGAATAGTACAGATAAGAATGAACAGACAAATCTCTTTGAAAGGTAAAATGGAAAGACATTCAAACTTATCAGATGTGATTTTTAGAGGACAGAGAAGGGTCAAAACATAACCCAAATTTCCCTGCGTCTATCATTGGAAGCATGGGATCCAGTAATAACAGTATGAGAGTCAGAAAATACATGGTTTTGTGTAGGATGTGATGCCTTGGATTTCAGGTACATAGACATGGAGGTTTTGCTGACTGTCAGAAAAGGTGGCCAGAAAGCACTTGGTACACATATTTGGAATTGTAGGCAGGTGAGGAGGGTTGGTCCAGCAGCCTAGAGGTGATGTAAGCAACTTCAGAATGAGTTAGGATCCCAGTGCTTCCCATGTGTCCAGAGGAAAGGAAAACTGGCCTGAGACAGGGAGTGATGGCATGATAGGTTCTGACACCATCACAAGAAGGGGTTTTCAAAAGAAGGGGACGCTTTACATCCTCTAAACTGTGATACCATCTCTGCTCACAAGAGTGCTGTCCACCTGATGAGTATTGAACTAGCCAGATCCCATCTGTCTCACAGTGGAAGCCCTGCAGTTTGAATTTCCCAAATTCCCAAGAAACTTTCTAACATTTGTCAGAGAGGAATGGCCCAGCTAGTGTTGATTTGGAGATTTCCTTTAATCAAGCATTTTCATGTAGAGTAGACACAACCCAGAGATTCTTATCCAGTAACCCTGAAGGCAGGTGGTAGTGGTCACCCTCTGAACTCTCCTCTCTGGTTTCCAGCAGGGCAAGTCATGTTTTCAATGAAAGTTCTTCTATCTGACCCCATTAGCATTATCCTAGTAGATCTGGCATCGACAAATTATTATTTAGTCTGCTGGGGAATACACACTCTAGTCTATTTAAACTGCAGGAGACTTGGACTCTTGCCTTTGTTAGTCTCTGAAATGCTATTACATTAATTGTTTCACCCCGCCCTATTTGATATACTATTCACAATGAGAAGTGGGTGCCTTTATGCAAATGCATGCAGCATTATCTTTCCATTTTCCCACTCAGCATTCCATGTCTTTTCTCCTCATCTGTTTCCTGTTTTTGAATGCAATTTATTTTTTAAGTACCCAGAAGAGATACTTCAACATTTGTTGATACTAACTAGTTCTGATCTTTCCCGCCCCCATCCAGAAGCTCTGTGGAAAAACTCCAATTGCAAAATAGCAAATGAAAACGTTATGAAATCTCTCAGGAGAGCTAAATAAATGATTAGATGCTCAGGCGGCAAACTAAATTACCAGAATCCTCTCAGGCATATGTCTGAATTTGACAATCTTCCTGCTTCTCTGACTCTCCTATTGAACTGACCTCTGGACACCAATTCCAATGTATAAGTCTTTTCACACTGAACCAGTATATACATTATTATAACTGGAAGTCCTAGACTTGGATTACCAAAAAAAAAAAAAAAAAAAACTGAAAATAAAAGCAGTGTTTATCACTCCATTACAAGTTTAAGTGCTATGCAGACACCCTCGGGATTTAAGATCAGAAACTTTCCCCAAATTAGAATTGACAATGTCTTCGTTGCTGTATTTGGGTTTACCACTTTGGAGCACTGAGCTATATGATGAAATTATTGAGCAGGTAGAGCGATGAAAGCAGTTGAGTTGGAATAAAAGGCAATAAAGAAGAATATTACTCTCTTTTTGAACACAAACAGAAATCTGTGTTTGATAACTGTGAGATATGTACATTTCAAAGGTTAAGATATGGAGGGCATAAGAAAATAGCTCTTTCATGATTGTTTAAGTTAAAACTGTAGAAGCCAGCAAATATAAAAGATGAATCCTAAAAGGACAATTGTATAGAAGTCAACAACATCCTTCCCCTTAATAAAAATAAACTGACTAAAGGCAGTATGCGGCATTTCTGCTCTTTTAGGTTGAACTATATGTTTCCAAGTACTATATAATAATAATATTTCCCACACTTCAACACAGGAGTAGAGAAATCTGAGTGAATTGTTATCTAAATGAACAGACCTCAGGAAATGGAAAAGCTGTTCAAATCTAACATGGCAGCTTAAGAAACAAATTCCTTCCTGGGAAAACTTTGTAAGCATGATGAATGGAAACTTCTCCATTATCTCTTGCATCGCTGGAGCTGAAGCCTCTCCATTTTTAATTTTTAATTGGCTGTAATAACCTGAACTGTTGGTCAGCCACACTAAACAGCTTGGTTTAAAAGGAAAAAATAAATAAACTCCTACTCAGAGCAGATGTAAGTTCTCTGTAGGGAGAAAAATAGTCACAAAATGTTTGTGGAATATAAAATTCCAAATAAAAATCCTTTTAATTTGTTTTGGATGTTGAAGTAGGGGGAGTGCAGCAAGCAGAGTTTGTGTGCTTTGCAAGCAATTTCTGAAAATGACAATGCCAAGCCTATTTAGCTCTTATAATTACCTGTCATCGTGCTTCCAGGAAGTGGCTGGAGACAAGGGAGCTACACGCCTGGCAGTGCAGTGCTGCCTGGGAGATAAAAAAATGGGGACATGCCTGGGGCTTGCTCATCCTGATTGTGTTGTGTGGGAAGATAAGCCCACTGACTCAGTCCTCCACTGTAGGTAAAGCAGTTATGTGGCCCCAAGCAACTGCACCTCTGCTCCAGGGTGAAAAAAAAAAGCGTCAGACAAGTTTGACTGCACTACCAAGACTAGAAATCAGAGATACTTCTATTTTTAGATGCACTCAATTTTTTTGAAAAAGTATAAATCTTATAAATTGAGTTATTTGATTTGTTAATTCCTGCTAATATCTGCCTTTTTGATGTAATATTTAGTTTGACTTTAAACTTTGAGACCTTCCTGCCATCCTATGTCTCCTCTCAATTGCCAGCCCGGTTGTTGGGGAATATGAATGATTTCTTGGAGTGTCTTATCTCACTCCTTGGATATATTTGGCCATTTTCATGACCTAACCCTACCTCCAATTTTTGGTGTATTATAATATGGGTACATTAACTTTAATAAAGATATTGCTGTAGCAAACAAAAGATATTCTAGGAATACCCAAGGCTGTCCAAGCTCCACTGGACTTATCTTTCAGTTCTCTTCCAAAATATGAGTTAAGTGAAAGGTATTAACTCAAGAATCAGAAGACTTTATTTTAGTATATGCTTTATAGGGTGAATTCAGAAAACAAAACAAAAAAACAAAACAAAACAAAGAAAGACAATTTTTTTTGTTTCTTCATTTGTAAAACATGAAGTATATCTTTTGCCCCTCTGCTTCTGAGTGGGCTGTCAAGTATAAATGAGATACTATAAGTGAACTCATATTTTGATCTGTAAAATGCTGTGCAAGGCGTGCATGATGATAATAGTAGATATGCAAAACCTTATTCATGGTAAACAAAAAGCGCCTGGATGACAGGGGAGTCACACACGTTGTCCTGTTCTGGTTTGTCGTTTGGATGTGTTTGCCTTCTGTCCAAAATAAAAGGTTAAGGTACATTGTTGCCGTACGTGGTTGTGAAATCATTTTAATAAAACTGGCTAGAATAAATATGTGTGTTTGATCATTCATTTATTCACTTAAGATATATATGTGTATTTATTCATTTACTTATTCATTTGTTCTGGAATGGAGTTTTGGCCCTCCAGAGATTTTAAATCCCTTCTTCAGGTCCCTCTTATACCATTCCAGAACTTTGTTTGAGATTGCATGGAAATCTAGCCTCTCAATTAAGACAACAGCTGCTTTGTACAAGAGAATAGATAGGACATCTGCTTTTCGTACTGAAAGGTAATCCTTCTGTCAAAGGGATTTGCAATGTGTTGCAAGGAAATGATATTTATTGAGAATAGCGTTGGATCTGTATCTGTAGGGAGAATAAGTAAATAAAATTATACTAACACTTTGGTTGAGATATGGGGACAAAAAAGAGAGAGGCATATATGGGATTGTTACCTCATCATGTGTCTGTCTGTTTCTGCATTTGAGGCTTTGCCTAATTTGGATATGACTTTGTTTTGCAATTGAACTGATATGGTACATATCATAATGAGTTCATGGAATGCTAAGGGGCTGCATTGTGAAGCTTTGGACCCCTAGGGAGCCTTTGGTGTCCTGATATAGAAAGGATTTCTATAGGTGAATGGCCTCATGATACATTTCTTCCACAAGAAGAGACTGGTGAAACTACAAATTACTTGCTTCACAAGATCAGCATATTTTCAGAAGAACAGAAGATATGCAATGTTGTCAAAGTAAAATGAACTTCTGAGCCAAATTAATTACTGTCTGAAGTGTTGACATGCTTGAAACTTGACATGAATATACAACTCGATCAGACTTCATTTTGGCTTTTCGAAGAGTTGTATGCAATAGTTTTACTGTTCACTTGAGATACAATAAAACTTGAAACGAGAATGCAGTCAATTAAGCTGCCTGAAAATGAGATGATGACTATCGTAGAAATATATTGGAAAAGATAGAAGGGAAGAAAGAACATTTCTTCAGTGCGCACTGGATTCTTTCATGAATCAAATCAAGTGCTTACATGCTAGAATTAGGACCAGGTTCAATCCAAGTAACAGTCATCTTGAGACACTATGTATACATCAGTAGGACATGGGTAGCATTCTTCAGAAATCACAGCCAAACTCTGATCCCTCATATTCTGTATATCGATGGTTACATAGCTCAGCTTCTTTTTTTTTTTTTTTTTTTTTGAGATGGAGTCTCTCTCTGTCTCCCAGGCTGGAGTGCAGTGGCACGATCTCGGCTCACTGCCAGCTCCGCCTCCCGGGTTCATGCCATTCTCCTGCCTCAGCCTCCCGAGTAGCTGGGACATAGCTCAGCTTCTTTAAGGGTATGTTGGGAGTGCAATGCTCATACAGGGATGGAATAAGTAGAAATTATCATCCTTGGAGATGTACCACAAGGAATATTGACAAGAAAGATATTTTTAACTTGCTGAATTAATGACAATCATAGAATAATTTATGCCAGAAAATTCAATATTTTATGGATTAAATACTTAAATATAATTCTCAATTGTTATATCTTTTCTCTGTCTCTTTGTTTCTCTCTCTCTCTCTCTCCCTGTAAAATATGGATATAACTTTATTATGTGTGATATTAGAAACCAGGCTTGCCACACTAGGGTATTAGTAAAACCTTATCTTTGTTCTTATTCAGGTTCTCTTGTGTACTCTGAAAACTATATCATCCACCAATATTGACTAGAATTTATAGCCAAGTGAGGTTGGCAAAGAAAACCACTTAACTCTCCAAGTACTGATTTAAACCCAGCTGACCATACATTGACTTTCCAGCACTTACTATGGCAGTAGGCACTCAATATATATTTCCAGAATGAGTTAATCAGCATCTTACCTTTGTCTACATTTATACATCTCAGATTCATCATTTTATTCCTTTGCATTAGAATGGATCTATCAATGACAAAGCATTTCTGTCACCATTGCCTAGATGTGTCCAACATTCAGGCCTCAAATTACAGAAGTTTTACCACCCCAAATTGTATTTCTGAATGTTTTTAGTGCCCTGTCTAGGTATTTCCAGTCCTTTCTTGCTGTGTCAGATTCTGGGCAACATAGAACATGTATGCTATTTTGCTTTCCTCGAATGTGATAATGATGTACAAAAAGCCTGCAGTTTATGAACACCTGTAAAAGGCTGATGCAGTTGCAGAGGAAAAATATTGGTTGTTGTCATTTCCTAGACTAAGTGTTCACTGGACAATTTCTCTGTTTCCCTCTATTAAGTGATCCCTCTGCTGCTGCAGCTGGTGTTAAAATCTATTCCTTTGCAAACAAATGCTGCTTTCCCATGGTATTGTTGTTTATCTAATTTGGTCTGCTTTACATGTTGATTATAGCAAAAAAACCTCAATGTCAAAAGATCCTGGGAATAAGAAACAGAGCTTGTGACATGCTTCTTTTCTTTCTACAGTATCTATCCTTTTGCTGGCACCTCCTGTTCATTTTGGGAAAGACTTTTTTTCACCTGCTGAATTATATTCTTCTGTGACTATTCTCTTTATTGCAGTTGCTTGTTTTCAATTCACCACAAATGGGAAGTCATCATGCTGATAGGTGGGTATTACTTTGCTCAAGAAGAGGGTTACTGTGTGGGGAGGATAGAGCAAAGAGAATGCAGCACTAAGAAGGAAAAACCTTTTCTATGTATGTTTACGTATGTTTTCATTTTCCTCTGCAGATTACTTTCAAAGCCTTTGAGCTCACATTATGACCTTTTGTTTAGACATGGTTTTGTGGTTCTGCATTGATCGAGCCACTGCTGCATTTGGTTGACTTTTCTTCCAGCTGAGAAGCAGGTAAGGCACAGCAGTACAATAGAACAGAATTGGAATTAGGCAGCATGCAAATTGTATAAGTCAGGCCCATGGCCAGACAATAGCCCTTCACTCTGGCTGTAGTTGATAACCTAGTGAAGGAAAGCTGTCCCTTGATTGGATGAAGCCTGCTATTGCACATGCACAAAAGACCAAAATTAAAAAGAATTGACTGTGAAACAAAAGGAGGATTTCTGAAAATAACCAGAGAAAAGCACATTTTCTTCAACACCTTTTGCAAAGGAGAGAGCCAGTCTAAGAAGAGCTTGCATAGTCATTGGAATGTATATTTGACAGTAGGCTTGTTCTTTGACCAAGGGTAAACTAATGGGGTGAACTTTGGTCAAACAATGGAAATAATGGTCCATAAGGAAAACAAAACACTGTTCTATATGAGGAAGGAGCTTGATTTGGTTAGCAACCTAAAGAACTGAAATATCATGAGAAGTTCCACAGAGTCACATTTTTTAAAGGGTATTTTAAATTTCCCATGGTAAAGCCTTTTTGCTTGGGTTTGATTTATGTTTGCCCTTGGAGCTTAGCTATTAACTGTAAGGTTCCTTAACACAGGTCTCAATTTGTGGGGAAAAAAAAATTTCCAATTGAAGACTGGCAGAGTAGAAAGAAAAGCTAAGAGCCAGGAATAAATAATACTAAGATAACTCATAAGATCAAATCGATTCAACTAAAAATTTTTAAAAAATTAGTATGCTTTAAATATTTGACATTATGATAAATACCTCACATATATTATGATATGTGGTCCTTACAGTATAATCATTTGTAGCTATTTTGATTCTTATTTTAAATATTATGAATCTCATTAGGGCTATTTTAAGGTTCAGTTCAATAATTTACATAAGGTTTCACAGCTAGTAAGTGGCAGAGATAGATTGAACACAGCCCATGGTCCAAATTCCATATTCTTGACCACTGCACTATATTTCCCCAGATGAAGTCTTTGAAACTCGGTCCTTGGAAGCAGTCTGAAGAAATATGATGGCAATATGATGGCAAAATAAATTAGAGAAATACTGTGAGATACAACAAGTTCTCCTATCCCTTGGTGATCCACCACATTAGGTGATTGACAAACGTGCCATACATTTATCAATTGAAGCATGGTAAATTCTAAAGTTACAAAGTTTATTATATACTTTTAAGAAATCTAAAATTTTCTCAGGATAATTGATGATAAGATTCTTCCTTTCTCTATTACACCAAGCTTCAGCACACTCATTTTGCTATACTTTGGAGAACGATTCCCCATTTTAACAATGATGTTTCAAGCACCTGTAAAATCAAAGACACTGTGCTAGGCTTTGTTTATAAATTTAGTCTCTGCCCTTAAAGAGCATATGATCAAGTGAGGGGTTCAGGGTACGGAACACAGTGCACTAAAATCCATAATGACGACTGTAATTGGATAGAGAGAGGCTAACAGCTATGGGAGAAATAATAAAGGGGCAGTTCAGTGATTTTGAAGAACTGTTATCAACTGTTGATAGTGGGTGGCAAATAATTTGCAGAAAGACTGTCATTCCAGTATCCACAGCATAGGTATATGTTAATTGCCAATGACTTCAGTATCTTCTAATAAGGATAAAAATTTTAAATTTTGTTCAATCAAATGGGTTACAACCAGTAATGGAGCATGATGACTATATGGTGTTCAATCAGAGATTAATGTTAGGAAGATGATTGCTACCATTAATATGTTGGATCCATTCATAATATGTATGTTGACTATGCCAATGATTTTCTTATAGGATTAATAAAGAAGCTAATTCACAGGCCAGACATTATTATCTTTACATAGGAAATAATAATTATGAACAATTTTATTCCACCAACAAACAGGAATCCTTGCATTCTACTTAATAATGCATTTAATGTGTTTACCTATGTTGATCTAAAGGAGTACATAAAGGTATACATGCTTAAATTATACTACATAATGTAATGATTATAAAACCATATCGGAAATTAGTCTCTCTTATTAAAATTAAAAATATGTTTTAAATAGATAACTCTCAAGAATTTGTGATTGAGGTCAAATAACAGATTAAGAATTAAAAACCAACATCCTAAATAAAAGAACTAAATCAGATATTATGAAAGGCGTGACTCCAAAAATAAAACTTAGATGCAATGGAAGAAAGAATTGCATAAGTCAGATGATATGCAACAGAACGTTCATTATACCTTAAACGTTCATGTACTAAGGGTCTGTTTTGGCAAAATCTGAGAATAATTAGTCAAGATAAGCCTTAGAATTTTGCAGTGTATTCAATGAACAAAAATTTTGTTTTGCAAGAACTGATAGGAGGAGGGAAGGTAGTTCCTCAGCAGTTAAAAGTAAATTGGGCAGAAAAACACAACAGATGTCTAATTCTGGCACCAATTTGCAGTGCTTCCATTTTTGTGACCATTGGGTATAAGGCAATATACTGTCACAATCATGAATTCAGCTGGTTGACTAATACTAAGACCTATGGCAAGTAAGGTGTCTCTCTCTCTCCTGCTCTCTCTCTCACCCCACATGCCTCTCCCTCTCTCTGTCTTTTTAGACAGAGTCCCACTCTGTCACCAGGCTGGGTGCAGTGGCGCGATCTCAGCTCACTGCTACCTCCACCTCCCTGGTTCAAGCAATTCTCCTGCCTCAGCCTCCCAAACAGCTGGGACTACAGATGCGTGCCACCACTCCCAGCTAATTTTTGTATTTTTAATAGAGACAGGGCTTCACCATGTTGGTCAGGATGGTCTCAACCTCTTGACCTCCTGAACCGCCCACCTCGGCCTCCCAAAGTGCTGGGATTACAGGTGTGAGCCACTGCGTCAGGCCAGTAGAGTGTTTTTTGAGGGAAAGCTGAGAAGTCAAACTGAGTCTCAAGGCATCATTTGAAACAACAAAGATGTATACAGCATTAGCCTCAGTCTGTGACCAAGTTTTAGTCCTGTGGAGAGTTCCCTTCAGATCATTTCCCCAGAGACCAGGGCCAGCTTCTTGTTACTTTATATCCTCTGAAACAGTTGCATTGAAGCAAGGTTTTATTTCACATTGATGTAATTCTTTTCTTAGTGAAATTTAGCAGCTAGAGAAACTAACACATTTTCTGGTAGGCAGTAATGATTACAAGCCTGTTACATCTGCTTTCTTATCACAAAACTTGCAATTCTAGAAGCAACTGGATACTCGCTCTTCTTTATCTCTGGAGGTAAGATAATCACAAGTTGAGTACTTAGGAGTTTTGAATACACATGCTTCCTTCTAATGAATTTTGCATCTTCCTCTGATCTCTGTGATACAGAAATTGTGATGTGTTTTGTTCATAATCTAGAGCTTACCAAAGTAGTTTAAAATAAACTTGAAGATAAATTAAGATATTCAAGGCTGCTTCAGCAGTTGAAGTGTATTTACAGATCTGTTAATTAACTGAGGGTACTTCCAACTTTGGACTTCACATGCAAAACGTCTCTCAGTCCTCTGTATGCCTTTGGAATGTTCACTTTTTGATATCTGTCTTTTTAATTTTATAAGAATTTACTTCATTAATTTGTATGCGTAAGTCCCCATGTGAATGGAAAGTAGAGTTAAAGATCAGGAAGTGGGTTTCTTGTTTCAATTGTTGCCTTTATTTCCATCTGTTTTAGTGACTGGATTTAGAATTGTCATGAACAGCACACAGCTTTCTCATCTAGCCCCATTATATATATATATATATATATATATATATATATATATATATATATATATATATATATATATTCTCCTAACCCTTTTGCAAATTTAATTGAAGAAATAAAAGAGGAAAAATATCTGTCATATCGCTCACTGTAGCTAAGGGACTTTCCCAGAACCTTAATTTCTCTTAAGTGGACTATGTCTTCAAGATTTCTTTCCATCAGCATAAGAAATAAGAACACTGTAGTACAACACTTTTTTTTTTTGTAAGGAACTAGAGAAGATCCCAATACTCATAGAGGACTGTCTAGCCTCTTTTTCATGCTTTAATAATAATAATAATAAAAAGGTGGAGGTTTTATGAGAAAAAAATTAGAACAGGACTCCGAAGTTAAACATCAAGTACCCAGTACAGGCCTACATGTAATTGGCAGTTTGAAAATTGCAGTTTATACAGACAAAATGAACATACAATTGGGAATATATACTGAGCCATTTCTTTGCATTAAATTTTAAGAATTTTGTCTTTTTTGATATGGGCATTATCAGGATGCCTTTTTATCACTTCTTTCTAGTGGACATATTTGTTGTAGGTCTGTAAATGACCTTCCCTTGCCTCTGGCTACAAATTCTAGATGTGGGGGATCCCAACTAATGTTTATCTTTAGGTGTCAGTGTTTCTTTAACTGTCAATAGACATCACAATAGCTTTTATTTCATTCTGTTATATGCTATGCTTTATAACATTCAACATACAGTGGGGTCTCAGTAAATATTGCTGACAAAATGGGTTGCCTGCAAAAGCCAAAATTTTCAAAATGCCAGCTACATGTAGTCCCTGTGCTGGAGCTTTTTTTTTTTTTTTTTTTTTTTTGAGATGGAGTCTTGCTCTATCACCAGGCTAGAGTGCAGTGGTGTGATCTCAACTCACTGCAACCTCCAACTCACTGGTTCAAGCAATTCTCCTGCCTCAGCCTCCCGAGTAGCTGGGATTACAAGCACGCTCCACCACGCCCAGCTAATTTTTGTATTTTTAGTAGAGATGGGGTTTCACCATGTTGGCCAGGATGGTCTTGAACTCCTGACCTCGTGATCTGCCTGCTTCGACCTCCCAAAGTGCTGGGATTACAGGTGTGAGCCACCACGCCCAGTCTGGAGCCTTTTTGTTTTGTTTTTTTTTTTTTTTTGGCCTGATTGCAGGGTGCAGTTTAACATTCTTCTCACAAGTTTTTCAAAGTTTGCCTGATGGCCAGCTTTGTGACAATGTCTGTCTCGGTGACATCACTTTGCAATTAACATTAGTTCTTACAGTTCTGATAATGGCTCCGAGATTTATCCGGAGTGAAATGAAGGAATGACTATTTTCTTTGAAAACTAGTTTGTGAATCCAACAGAGCTCTTCTCAATGAATGTCCTTGATGTGGTTTCAGACCATGATTTTAAATTTGTCTGTCTCAAAGGGGCTGTATTGTGAAGGTTGCAAGCCACTGTTCACATACTATGTTTATTGTAGTGCTACAACAAGTAGTTTTCTTAATATTGCTGTTCACCTCATCTTTGTTGTTATTGTTCATGCACCTGGAGGCTACTTGGCAATGGGTGTACACATAGAAAATAAGAAACCAGCAAATTTCATTGCATAATAATAATCTAGGAAAGGCAAGCACTGTGACAGAAATTATTCTCATCATATTACTCTGCTTTCTATGAAATACACATGCTCACATTCACAAATTGGGTTGCCTCAAGCTTTGAGGATAAGCATTGCCCTGTTCTGTCTCCAAGGAGAAACACAGTAAAAACCTGAGATAGTGCAAGCATTATGCATGCTCAATTCACTCAGCTGCAATTTGGGGGAAATTATAATTGTATTCCAGTCATAGAGCATATTAACTCACTTTTACAAATTATTATATTTGCTGTGTTTCTGTGTGTGTGTGTGTATACACATACAGGCATGCATGTGTATGTGCAGTATTGGAAAATGAAAGAAATCACTTTTTTCTTTTTTTATTAACAAGTATCAATTGTATATACTTATGGTGGACAACATATTTTGATATATGTATCAATTGTGGAATGGCCAAATTAAACTAATTAGCATGTGCATTTCCTCACATAGTTTTTTTTTTTTTTTTTTTTGTGGTGAAAGCTCTTAAAATCGACTCTCTTAGCAATGTTTAAGTGTACAATATATTGTTATTAAATGCAGTTACCATAACATATATTAGATCTCTTGACCTTATACCTCTTGTCTAGCTGAAATTTTGTATCCTTTGACAACCTCTCCCATCCTCCCACCCCCAGCCTCTGGTAAACACCATTCTACCCTCTGCTTCTCTGAGTTCAACATTTTTAGATTCCACCTATAAGTGAGATCATGAAGTGTTTGTCTTTTTGCTTCTGTCTTATTTTACTTATCATAATGTCCTCCCGATTCATACATGTTGCAAATGACAGGATTCTCCCCTTTCTAAAGGCGGAATTGTATTTCATTGTGTATTTATACCACATTTTCTTTACCCGTTCATAGTTGATGGCTAATATAATTGGAATATTGCATCCTCCAAATCATAGGTCGAAATTTGCTTTCCAATGTTGGAGGGGGGCCAGGTGAAAAGTGTTTTGGTCATGGGGGTGAACCCCTCATGAATGGCTTGGTGCCGTTCTAGAGGTAATGAGTGACTTCTTGCTCTATAATTTCCCTTGAAAGCTGGTTGTTAAAAAGAACCTGCTACGTCCTCCTCTTTCTTGCTTCCTCTCTCTCCATGTGACATGCCTCTTCTAACATAATTGGAAGCTTCTGGGTTATGTACCAGAAGCAGATGATGGTCCCACGCTTCTTATACAGGCTGCAGAACTGTGAGCCAAATAATTTTTTTAAATAAATTACTCAGGTTCAGGTACTGCTTTATAGCAGCATGAATGGACTAAGATAATGGACTGAGATTGATTCTCAGCTATTGTGATAGTGCCACAATAGACATAAGAGTGCAGATGTCTCTTTGACATACTGATTTCATGTCTTTTGGACTTATACCCAGAAGGAGGATTTCTGGATCCTGTGGAAGTTCTATTTTTAATTTTTTGAGGAACCTCCATACTGTTTTCCAAAACTGTTGTACTAATTTACATGACTACCAGCAGTGTACAAGAGTTCCCTTTTCTCCACATCTTTGCCAACACTTATCTTCGTTTTTTTGATAGCAGGCATTGTAGCAAGTGTGAGGTGATATCTTGTGATTTTAATTTGTATTTCCCTGATGATTAGTGATGTTAAACATTTTTAACATACCTGTTTGCCATGTGTATGTCTTCTTTTGAGAAATGACTACTCAGGTCCTTTGTCCATTTTTAAATTGGATTATTATTACTTTCTTACTATTGAGGTGTGGTTCCTTATATATTTTGGATATTAATCCTTTGTCAGATGTATGTTTTTCAAGTACATTTATCCATTCTGTAGGTTGTCTTTTATCTCTGTTTGTTGTTTCCTTTGCTGTGCAGAAGCCTTTTGCTTTAATGCAATCCCATTTGTCTATTTTTGCTTTCGTTGTCTGCACTTTTGTGGTCATACCCCCCAAAAAATCATTGTCCACACCAATGTCATAGAGTGTTTCTCCTATGTTTTCTTTTAATATTTTATAGTTTACAGTTTTACAATTAAGTCTTCAATCCATTTTTTGTTGATTTTTGCATATGGCATGAGATGCGTGTCTAATTTCTTCCTTCTACATGAGGATATCCAGCTATCCCAACATCATTTACTGAAGAGACTGTCATTTTCCCATTGTGTAGTCTTGGTACTTTTGTCAAAAATCAATTGATGGTAAATGCATAGGTTCATTCTTGGGATCTCTATTCCATTCATTGGTCTATGCATGTATTTTTATGCTAGTACCATGCTATTTTGATTACAATTGTTTTATAATATGTTTTGAAATTAGGAAGTGTGATGCCTCCAGCTTTCATCTTTTTGCTCAAGATTACTTTGGCTATTTGGGGAATTTTGTGGTTTCATACAAAAAAATTGTTTTTTTCCCCTATTTCTGTGAAAAGTGTCAGAAATTTGGTAGGGATTGCATTGAATCTGTATAGCATTTTGGGTAGTATTGACATTTTTACAATATTAATTCTTCCAATCTATGGACAATCTAGATATCTTTTCATCCATTTGTGTCTTCCTCAGTTTCTTTCATCTATGTTTTATAGTGTTAAGTGTACAGATCTCTTACACTGTTGGTTAAATTTATTCCATTTGATGGTATCTATTGTAGATGAGATTATTTTATTGATTTCATTTTTGGAAAGTTTTCTCTTAGTATGTAGAAGTGCTACTTTTTTTGTGTGTTGATTTTGTGTACTGCAATTTAACTGAATTTATTAGTTCTAAAAGTTTTTTGGTGGGGTCTTTAAAATTATGTCATCTGCAAACAGACAGTTTAACTTCTTTCTTTCTTATTCAGATGACTTCTACTTATTTCTTTTTCCTAATTGCTCTGGTTGGGACTTCGAGAAATATATTAACTAGAAGTGATGAGAGTGGGCATCCTTGTCTTGTTCTTGATCTTGGAGGCAGATCTGAAGTTTCCCTGGATCCCCTTAGAAAAGTTGCTGAAAGAAACTAACAAATACCTAATCCTCCTACTTTGTTTTCTTCCCAAGTTGGATGGCCAACTAAACACATTGCTTCTTTTATTCTATCATTCTGTTCATTGATTAATACTCTCTGTCCCAATGTTCAAATTCTGTGATTTAGTGGACAGGCAATGGGTTTTGGCATTATACTGACCTGGATGAGAATATGACACTAATGTGTGTCACAATTATCTTAAGACATGCTAGAGGTAAGCTAAGTATCCAGTTTTGTAGTCCAGCAGGTTGAATGCAAAGATTGCAACATAATCAACAACAGGATACAAAGTGTTCATAAAGAAGAACCAGACAAAGCAGGTTGTTGGAAGGAGAGTTTATTGTTCTTTTTGCTTACTTTTTCTAATTGTATGAATTGAACTTAATTTCTACCATTAATACGCATAAAATAAACATGGTATAACGCATGGAACAATGCTCCTAAGAACATGTACAACATAAAAAATAATAAATTTGTAGGGCTGTTTCTTTTAATTCATTTATTATCCATAAGTATTTAATGCGTAACTAATACATGCCAGACACAGTGTTTAGGACTGGGAATATGATGTTGGTTAAGTCAAGGTCCTAATTTCAGAGAATACAGAGTATAATCAAGGTGATAAACTACAACAGATCATGTCACTAAAGTGACTTAGGTGTAAGGATACAAATAACTATAGGGTTTAATGGGTCCTGGGAAATAAGGAAACAGAAAGAATGGTAGACTGTGATTTAATGGTATGCTACGGAAAGATTTCTGAAGACTGTGGTTTAGCCTTAAGAAATGTATAGGAAACATTCAGTAATAGCAATAATAAAATTTGGTGGAACATATGGAATTTCATATAATTAAGGCAATACTCTGTGAATGTTATTCTACATAACTATTTTTAATACAATTTTGGCATCAAAGAGTTTAATATTTTAAACTTAAAGTAAAAATATTTGTTTTACCCACACAGTTTTTTTTTTTTGCATCAATAGTGAGTAGGCAGATAATTCTGTCATGTCTATCAACAAGTTAGAAAATAGGCTATGTAAAAATCTACTTATTCAATAATTTATTTATTCATTATTTAGATATTTGTTGAGCACCAGTAGGTGCTGTGTCTAATTTCTGTTGGCAGACATAAAATCAAATGCATAAGTTAAAAATATAAATAAGATAAAAGATGTTATTCTTGCAATAATTAAATACAAAATCTGGATTATAATCAGTAAAATTTTGGCTGTACTTTGTATTGATCAAATTGATAAATTGTCATTTAGTAAGGGAAAAATGAAAAAATAGAGCATATTCAAACTTATGCAATCAGAGTGATTACAAGGGAGAAAAACACATTCCTTTAATGGTTGACTCCAGACTCAAGTGATTGAAAAATAAGTCTTTTGAATGGTCAGCCATTCAAATTATTTTCTTACATGCCTGACTCACTTGCTTAGATTTGGCACAAATTCAACCAAATTAAAAATAAGTGTATTCATTAATGCATGTTTTTCCCAAAAGGAAAAACTCAGGGAAAAAAACCCTATTTTATTTATATGATTGTGAAATTAACATGATCTTGTCTGCAAAAGAGAAAAAGATGTTGATTTATTATTTCCTCTCCTAGTGTCAATTTTATATTTTTGGTTTGCTCATTTGTTATTTTATTTTTAATTTTTATCTCTAAATAGTAGGTATATATACTTATGGAATACATGTGATGTTTTGATGCAGGCATACAAAGTATAATAGTGATATCAGGGTAAATGGGGTATCCATCACCTCAAGCATTTATATTTCTTTGTGATAGAAACATTCCAATTCTATTCTTTTATTATTTTAAAATGTACAATAAATTATTGCTAACTATATTCCACCCTATTGTGCCATCAAATACTAGATCATATTCATTCTATCTAACTATATTTTTGCATCCATTAACCATTTCCACAACCCACCCCACTGGTGTTAGCTACTTCAGATAGTACTTTTTCTTAAAAAAAAAAAATGATTTGGCTCCTGATTGGAAAAGAGGTATCTGTGGCTAATTGCTCCTTGAGATAAATGGTGGAGAGGATACCTGAGTTTTACTAACAATGCCAGTGACAATCAATGTTAAATCCAAAGGCAATTTCTGAGCCCTCATCTTATTCTAATTGTCAGTGTCACATTTGTGACTGCCACAATTTTTTTTACACAACACTCCGAGTTTACTTCCTCCTCTATCTCTATTTTTTGTTTGTTTGCTTGCTTTTTTTTTTGTTTTTATTTTCTTCATCCTGGACTCTAGATGCAGAAGCACCAAGAAGTTTGATCTTTTTCTGTCTTTTCTCTCTAGACTTACTCTTTTAACTGAATTCATATAGTCCCATAGCTTTAAATATGACCTCTACCTGATCATTTCCATTTTTTTCTTCCATCTGGACCTCTTTAATAAAATCCAGTCATCTCTATTGTGATGCCTAAAAGAGTCAGATTTAACAAGTTCAAAAATAAACTTTTAATTCAAAATGTACTTAACCTACTCTTTCCCTGGTTGAATAGGTCACTATGCGGATCTACATTCTATCATTTGATGGCAGTAGAAACCAAGGCTACTGTCTGTCTCTCTCACTTATGAACATGTCATCAATTATGCCTTTAAATGATACATAAATGTGACCACTTCTCATCACTTTCAACCAGTTTCAGTTTTCACCTGGCTATTTGCAGTAGTGCCTCAAATAGTTTCCCCAAATCCTCTCTTGCCTGCTATTTTCTTTCCTGCCTACATCAGCCAGAGTGATGATAATGCAACAGATATGCGGTCATATCACTTTCTTCTCAAACCTTCAACTCGCTGTGGTCTTGGTCCTGTATGTTTCAGTTCCAGCTGGTTTTCTGACTACCTCTCTGATCACTTGATAACTTCATCACTCTAATTCAACCACACCATCCTCCTCCTCTTCCCTTAAACACACTCACCTTAGGCCCCTTGAGTGCTAAATGCTCTGGCTAATAAGCTCTTCCCTATGTTTACTCATTGTCTCTTCCTCACTTTCTGTAGATATCTGTATAAATATTCCCTTAACAAAGAAATCTTTGCTGACCACCCCATACAAAATAGCATTCCTCACTCTTACTTTCTATCCAGTTATTACCACGTGGTTCATTTTATAAATGTATTTATTTCTGTCTCCCACCGCTAGAAGGTAACCTCCATGAGAGTGAGGACTTTGATTTTATTTACTGTTGTGGCTCAAGCACCTTAACTAGTGCACTAAAAAAAAGTGGGCACTAAAAACAACACATAACTTATTTTCTGAATCTATGAATTAATAAAAGTATACTCAAACTTAGAGCAGACTTTATTTGTCTCATTGCTTTTGAGTCAGATTAGTTGCATAGGACAATATTTTTTATTTTCAAGTTTAATCAGGGTGGAAGAGATAAAGATACGTTAATTTCAGATTTAAAGGAGTAGTGATGCAGGATTAGCATATTATGGCTTACTGTTTGGGTAGAAGCTTCATGGGGTGAAAGTCCATGCTGACAAAACTCCAGAAATGATTAATGTGGCTCACCTGTAACTCACAACCAGCAATTTCTCATAGTTCTAGTAAGCAAGTCTGCTGACTCTCAAGAATTATCCCAGTAAGTAATAAATCACAAAAGCAATTAAAATCCCCCTTAGAGTTCAGTAGACTTCTTACATTCGACCCCACATCCAATTGTCTAGGAGAAATTATTGACTTAAGTTTAAGATCAGAAAACAGTGCAAAGCAACTTACGTGAAGTATTGTAAGATAGGTTATCTTTATTTTTTTCCCTGTCTGTTTCTCAGCTCCCATGTTCAAGAATATAACCTTGCCAGAGAATGACATGCAAAAATGTTGGTTATAGAATTGACAAGAAATAGTCTACCTTCTTAAGTTGTAAATCTACCCACTTAAAACTGGAAAATAAAACTTGATCTGATATCAGACTTATAATTGAGCCCGTTGTCACCTTAGTCACAAATAAGGCACTGAAAAGAAATGTATTACTAGGGTTGATGTGTGTCATGATACTGGCTCTGACAAAGTCTGTGAGGCAGATAATGTGCTGGGATTCTAGAAGAAGAACAAAACCCTTCAAGTTGCTACTCGCTTTTAGCCTTACGTCTCTTTTTCTCTTCCATGTTTTCCCCACACAAACACTGTAAAATTCCAGGAATTGTACATTGCAGCTTCTATATTCAGACCTATTGCTCTTTTGGGAGTATATACTTGCTCTGAAAATTCTTCTCTTTTACTATGAGGGATGGGGGAAGGTTTTTCATTTCTTTTTGTTTTTGGTACCTATTTAGTTCTTCTAAGGTTCACATTCTTTTTTTTTTCTCTTGGTACCAGGAAGAAGAATTGCTTGGAAGTACAATGAAATAGAAGAAAACCTCAGGAAGTAGCCTTTTTAAGGGTACTGGGCACCCACCTGCATGTCTTATGGCAGAAGTTACAGGGCAGAGACCTGTTGATCACTTGCCTTCCCTATCTCTTATCTATCTATACTCATCCTCCTTTCACCCTCCCACAAAAAATGATGGAACAATTATGTGAACTCTTTTATTGTTCCAGGTTCTCACTATAAAAATTGTGAAAAGATCAACTAAATAATAAATAAGAAAAGACTGTGAGATGCTGAGGAAAAGTGCTGCATTTATAGAAAGTGCCATGTTATGATATTTTTTTCCCTACAAAACGCTCTGCACTGCCATAAAATACCCGAAGACTTTAGTAAAAGTGTTAGTTATTTCTGTACACCTCTCTGGGAATATTTGTAGGTGTTTCACCCCTTTTATTTTTCTCTTTTCTCCCACACCATTTTCTTTCTTCTTAGTCTGTTTTAGTTCCATCCTTCGGAACTCTCATTATAAGAAATTTCTTCCTAGATTGCAGTTTAATATCTAAGTCAATCAGACACTCTCTAAGGTTAGGAAAGAAATTAGAGGTCACCTAAAGTAGAGAAAATGAAGCAAAAATAGATGAATCCTTGAAATAACATTTTATTGTCAAATTATTTATTATTCATACTGGGACAAAACATTAAAAGAGTCAGAAATAAATACTCAAGGTCTAGGTATATATACTTAGAAAGCAAAATATGGCACACACAGCTGGAAACAGCCAAACTAAAAAAGCTAGACAGTTTCTAAGGTAGATGATTTTACTCTCCTAAAGAAATCGTCTCAAAAATTCATCTGCCTATCTTAGGACTGTTCATTTTCTAGTTTTAACGTGGAGTTCACAGCCTGAGTCGGCATGAAGAAAACGACCTCTGGGACTGAGTAGCTAATCTAATTGATGTGAACGTGGGTCCATAGTGGGTACTGTGGTGCCAGTATAGGCACTGGAAAAGGTAATTTGTTAAATGGCTCCCGGTGCTGTGTTAATTTGTCTCACACCAGGAGCTTTTGCTCTCAGAATGTAGCATATACTATTCTCCTGGCTCATGAGGCCTGGGCCTAGGAAGTAATGAAGCATGGTGAATTAAGCCGCTTAGGGCATAATATGCAAGAGGAGGAGCAAAAAGAAAGCCTTGGGGAGGTTCTTATTTAGTATTAATTATTTTTATTAGACATTGCCTTTGAGCCAATATATACCTATATATTAACCAACATTTTGAACTTGTAGCTAAGATTTTGTCATGTTTATAGGGCTAACAGGCCCTTTTTGACTCAGACCCTACAAAATAAATTAGTAACTTACTAGTTTATGGTATATGTAAATATGTATTGTGTGTTATGTATAATATGCAATATTATAGATAATTAAGATAGTCATTCCTTTATTAGTAGAGGGACCACTTATATAATAAAAAATAATTCCCTTATTAGTGGAGTATTTCTGAGCACTCTGACTCAAGTAAAAGGACATCTAAGGCCATATGTACAAAAAATTTAGAATGTTTTTAGTTATTGCCAGAATTGTTATCTTTATTTTGTAGAGAAATTTAAGTTCACGCGGCTACTAAGGGGCAAATTCATAATCCACATTTTTTACTCCAAACCCTGTGCTATTTACTCCAGGCACATATACAGTCTAAGTGAAAAACAACTTCTTACCTGACCAATGATACTTAGCCATACTTTGCTAAGTATCGGGAAGGTAATTACAGCAGTTGCTTGGCATCAACTGGGTTCAAGGCAATGTTGCACAGAGGAATGGATGCGCAGTGAATTTAATACTGACCTATTTCTAACTTCTTGCTCTTTCATTAACAGGCTGTGTGATAATAGAAAAATTACTCAGCTACTCTGTATATCAGGTCACAATTTATTAAATCAGTAAAGGTGTTGGTTTATTCCATTACATGCTAACACTTTCTGAGTACCTATCGTGAATTGGGCACTACACTGTGTGCTAAGATTCAAAAGAGAAACAAGGTACCATGCCCCAAAGTGTTTAAAATATTGTTGGAGAAATTAGCTTAGATGAATCCTGAAGTCCCTTCAGGCTTTACATTCTAGGGTCTAACAGAGTGCAAAAGACCACAATACAAGCTGTTCATCACTGGCAATCCTGACAGGCTTTTGAGAATTTAGAGAAAGTCTGACCAGAGGCATTGCCACCAACAGAAAGATTCCATAGACACAAATGGCCACCTGGTATCGGAATAATTTCTCCTGAGCAAATCACAGCTACTTGACCAAAAGAGTTGATAAAAGAAAGAAGGCTCTAAAAGTGTTAAAAACAAGCTGTGCAATGGAATTGGAATAAATGGAAAGAAAGGAGTCTCTTTGACAGAAGCAAGACACTCAAGACCCTCCAGGCTTGTTTTCATTGTTAATTGCTCTGCCATGTTTTTTCTCTTTCAATGTAGGAGAGTTCTGGGTTAAGAACAAGACTTTCCCCCAATCTCCAAACACCTAGCAGTTGTTTTATTCCCTCTAGCCAGAAAGATTCTACCAGAAAGTCTTCATAGTCCCATAGGCCACACAGAATGTAACACTTTTACTGCAAGCAAGAAAGCAGGATTTCAAGTCTGGGAGGGCTATTTTTCATAAAGTTAAGGGAAGAAAAGTAATACCTATTTATCTACATATCATACATGTGTGTAGTTGTGTGTTTCTGCCATGAAAACAAAAATATTTGCCAGAGGGTGTTCAGAAAAAAGCACTGTGAGAATATGTAGCTGTTCCCTGCTAAAGGCAGACTTCCCTTGACAGATTTGAGCTAGCTAACTAATTTTCCCCTGGGTACAAAGCGGACTTCATGGATCTCAGAACATCTAACATTGAAATGCATGCTCAGGATTTGCCAATGCCAAGACCACAAGACTTTCATATGAAGATGAGTCTAGTAATTCCAAAAGGCAAGAGGCATAGCTGGTGAGTACCTATGCATTTTCTTTTGAAGGGAAAGGACTGCCACTTAATGTTTTTAAATATTAGGATCACCATCCCAGGACACATATTTAATTCTGTTTTCTCCACGATGAATTTGTATGAGTATAGTTAACAATAATTTCTAACTATGGACACACTATTCAGTCTAAATCCAGTTAAGCACATAGGCCCGAGTCTACTAATCATTTTCTCTGAGCATATATTTAGCAAAGGAGTATTTCTACTAACCTACTGGTAGCAAGTGTAAGTGCAGGTTCAGAAATAGGAGTCCGTGTTCTTTGTATAGAGGTGGCTGGCTAATATGCCACGTTATGAAACCAGAATATTAGAGCCAAAATTAATCTAAATGCTCTACTTAATATGTATGTGAGAGAAATACAACTGGTGTCTAGTTTAAAAAAATAAGAAATATAGTAGGGAAATGGAGACCCTTTGCATGATAATGCCCCTGTGAGAGGACACTTTTGTTCTTAGATATCCTATATTAATCTTTAGTTTTCCACTTCCTTAATACCAATGTAACAAGATATAAAGCTACACAAATGAAAAAGAAGGGACTAAGAAAAAAGGAGATTTGGAGTTTTACAGCTATTTTAATTAGAGGATGAAAACTGTTAATTTCATTTCTAAAAGACCATGGTCTTGTTTTGACAGAATTAGAAGACTGAAATACATGGTGATTGACCTTGGAGAAGATTATTGAATATGTTAATGGTTAAACATTTGCTTAGCCCAAGGTATGCTCCTGAAATAAAACAAATATGATGACAAGGCCTTCCTGGGAAACATTAGCAAATATTATACTTCACATAAACTGAGTCTATACAGGAAAAGCTGATTTAGGTTAAGACTAACATGATGTTTTTCTTTTGCTCATATGAGGAGTTTATGGAGTCTATTGTGTAAAAATAAGTGCTAGAATATAGTCAAAATTATTAGATGCAAGGTTAATTTTTGCTGATTTTGATAGCTGTTCTGTGATTATATAATGTCACACACTGAAACATTTAGGATTTTAAAGGCATGGCTCATGCAACTTATTTTTAAATAAAATATATACAAAGAAGGAGTGTAGGGAAGAGGGTATTAGGTGTAGAGGGAGACAAAAAGAGGAAGAGGTAGACACTCATAAAGCACATATGGGTGAAGGGTTTACAAGAATTCTTTGTGCTATTCTTGCAACCTGTGTCTATGTTTAAAATTGATTCAAAATTTAAAGTCTTTATAAAACATGAATTCTTCTATGTGAATATATTACAAAATAATTTTCTGGGAAAAAACAGAGTAGCAAAAGCTTACACCTATTAAGAATATCAATCATGCACATTCTTTGGTTTCCTCTGTTCTATGTGGCTACTACTGATCAACAGTGGCTCATTTCACTAGTGTGTTCCAGAAGAAAAGTTGCACTTTCACTGGCTCCCTTGATATTCCTGAATCACTGTCATAAATACGGACAGAAAATTCCTCTCTATTCTTCTATGTATAGTTTTTATAGAGAATGTGAATTTCTTACTGGATGTAAACCAGAGAAGAAGCTGGTTCTTTTAGAGGTGTGTGTGTGTGTGTGTGTGTGTGTGTGTGTGTGTGTGAGAGAGAGAGAGAGAGAGAGAGAGAGAGATTGAGAGACTGAGAGAGAGAGAGAGTTGCTTTTGAGAATGGTTTGGACCAGTGTACAGTAGAAATAACCCTGTTTTAGGCTTCAGGAGACTTGGAATTTACATGGGGTTGTCTGTCAATCTAGCTGAATAACTTGGGAAAATCATTTAACCTTCCTGAGACAGTTTCCCTAATCATGAAATAGTTGGGTTTCCGTACATTAGCACTGAGCAAGAAAATTTTCTGTGATGAAGTAAATGTTTTATAATCTGTCCTGTTCACAGTGACAACAACAAAGCCCTGTGGTTATTGAACGTTTGAAGTGTGGCTAATGCGTCTAAGGAAAATAACTTTTAATTTTATTTAGCTTTAATTAGGTTAAAATAGTCACACACTGCTAGTGGCTACCACGTTAGAGAGCATAGAACTAGATCATTTAGATTTTTAATAATGACATATCTATGTTTAAGTTCTGGTTTTACTACTTAGTGATTATATAACATTGGGTACATTGTTTTAATTTTTGGGTCTCAGTTTTCTCATGTGGAAAAAATAAAAATAAAGGTGAATCAATATCATATACACTGTTTTAATTCTAAAAAAGTGCTTTCACTCACCCATATTTTCTTATTTCTGAAATCAGATTGCATTTTCTAAACAAAGCAAAAAAAGAGAACACCTTTCTGGCCACCTGAGCAGTTGTAATCTCAGCTGCACAGAGAGGAAAGCTGTTTCTTTATTTTTACCTAAGTTATATTATTTGCTTTGGTAAGGACCTAATGTTTATATTAGGTTTGCATTTGGATCCATAATTCTATCTTAATATGCTTTGAAAAAGATTATTTCCAAATATAAAATAAATAAAAGTTACTGTATTTCCAGAAGGTAACTTCTATTATAAGTCTAGCAGTAACATCACAGGTAGAAATTCCAAGTCTCAAGAGTAAACTGAAAATGTTCAAATCTAGGAGAGATTAAAACAAACAATCTATGTGTCAGGAAGTCCTGACACTTGGTAACTTGGTCTATCTCTTAAAAGCTCCAAGTGGTTTTCAGAAGAAGCTTTTTCAATTTAAGGGGAAAAATAAATCTATAAATCTAATAAAATAATAAATTCCTTAATCTATACTGTCATCCTAAGAATGGTAAGTAGATAAAAACCATGAACTTGCACTGTGACCATCAATGTCACCATGTCATTATTTATGAATACACATGACCAAGAATAATTCAGAAGAAGCTTTGAACTCAGAATGTAAGTGCACAGACTTTGACCAAAATGTTAAAAAAAGATAGAAGTTACATGTAATTGTGAACCTAAATGTATGTTCTTCTCTGCATTTCATGTGCACATATAATCTGTGTTAAATTTGAATGTTTGCTGTTTATTTCCTTTTCTTTACATGTTCCTGTCCAAATTCCCAGGAAAAATATGTGCTGTCTCATGCTAAGTTTTTGCACTGGGCCACACCAGGCCCCCTAATTTGTTATAAATGAGCTATCCAAAAAAGAGGGAAACAAGAAATAGTATGACGTGCTCTTCTATCTTTTAGGAAACAGATTTTCCAAGTGAGGACTAGAGTATACTACTTGTGCCTCAGTGCTTCACAGAACTCTTTGTGAAATGAACTGATGAATTGGCATCTATTTGTTGTTTCCCGAGTCTACCTTTTCATCATTCTTTTTTTTTTATTATTATTATACTTTAAGTTTTAGGGTACATGTGCACAATGTGCAGGTTAGTTACATATGTATACATGTGCCATGCTGGTGCGCTGCACCCACTAACTCGTCATCTAGCATTAGGTATATCTCCCAATGCTATCCCTCCCCTCTCCCCCCACCCCACAACAGTCCCCAGAGTGTGATGTTCCCCTTCCTGTGTCTATGTGTTCTCATTGTTCAATTCCCACCTATGAGTGAAAATATGCGGTGTTTGGTTTTTTGTTCTTGCGATAGTTTACTGAGAATGATGATTTCCAATTTCATCCATGTCCCTACAAAGGACATGAACTCATCATTTTTTATGGCTGCATAGTATTCCATGGTGTATATGTGCCACATTTTCTTAATCCAGTCTATCATTGTTGGACATTTGGGTTGGTTCCAAGTCTTTACTATTGTGAATAATGCCGCAATAAACATACGTGTGCATGTGTCTTTATAGCAGCATGATTTATAGTCCTTTGGGTATATACCCAGTAATGGGATGGCTGGGTCAAATGATATTTCTAGTTCTAGATCCTTGAGGAATCGCCACACTGACTTCCACAATGGTTGAACTAGTTTACAGTCCCACCAACAATGTAAAAGTGTTCCTATTTCTCCACATCCTCTCCAGCACCTGTTGTTTCCTGACTTTTTAATGATTGCCATTCTAACTGATGTGAGATGGTATCTCATTGTGGTTTTGATTTGCATTTCTCTGATGGCCAGTGATGGTGAGCATTTTTTCCTGTGTTTTTTGGCTGCATAAATGTCTTCTTTTGAGAAGTGTCTGTTCATGTCCTTTGCCCACTTTTTGATGGGGTTGTTTGTTTTTTTCTTGTAAATCTGTTTGAGTTCATTGTAGATTCTGGATATTAGCCCTTTGTCAGATGAGTAGGTTGCGAAAATTTTCTCCCATTTTTTAGGTTGCCTGTTCACTCTGATGGTAGTTTCTTTTGCTGTGCAGAAGCTCTTTAGTTTAATTAGATCTCATTTGTCAATTTTGGCTTTTGTTGCCAAAATTGACAAATTTTGGTGTTTTAGACATGAAGTCCTTGCCCATGCCTATGTCCTGAATGGTAATGCCTAGGTTTTCTTCTAGGGTTTTTATGGTTTTAGGTCTAACGTTTAAGTCTTTAATCCATCTTGAATTGATTTTTGTGTAAGGTGTAAGGAAGGGATCCAGTTTCAGCTTTCTACATATGGCTAGCCAGTTTTCCCAGCACCATTTATTAAATAGGGAATCCTTTCCCTTTTCATTGTTCTTATAGCCTCTCTTTCTTCTACCACAATCCCTTCAAAGACTATGGTGCTTTTAGATGCTCGCTTTGGAAAACATACTCATACCTTTCATATCTAATCCCTGACAACCAATTCTGAGCAATAAGTTTTTTAAATCAGTTTCATCTTGACTGTAACATTGTTTTTCCTGAGGTGTGACCATGCACTGTTGACATAAATCCCAAGTGCATCTGTGACAGGCCTGCCAGAGAGACCAGCTTCGCCTCACATGTGGGTTAACAGGAAGTGGGGAAAAACTTGAGAAGCTAAAGAAGAGCCATCTACCAACACTTGCACACACACATTTAAATAACTGTATTCTGTGAAACAACTACCTAATGGGAAAGAAGTTAATAACTAATGTATAATCAAAGTTGGGGATCTAATGGGGATCTAGGAAGGGTTCGGTGTAGCTTATGTTTACTGAATGAAGCTGGAGCTGGTGAGAAATAACTTGTTAATGTATCAGCACATGACTCACTGACATCATAAACATGTAAGGCATTATGTGGCTCATATGATTTAGAGACTGAAAAATATCTGGAAAACAGAATAATTGATGTACAATGTGCATATCTTTGAACTTAAGAAGACTGCTGGACTTTGAGATGCAAAAAGATAGCATATTGTGAAAGACAGTCAATTAAATTCATGCTTTTTGAACAATTTTTGGCAGATGTATTTTTATTTTTAAGGTTAACATTAGTTATTACAAATAATTGGTTGACTACAGCTTTAAATAAATACCATGTAGGTCATGCATGTCTTGAAAATAGATCATGTATATGTTAAAAATATTATACCTCTAAAACATATATCTGAGGTAAAAAAGAACAGTGTTCAAAATGTATATTATGTATAATCATCAGTTGAAAATCTCCTGCATCTATTACAGAAGATTTTTTTTTATTTCAGGGGAAGACTGCGAGATTCATTGTAAAAATATATTTTTATGTTCTTAAGAAGAAAAAAATTGTTATGATAATACTTTACATTAGGTTGATGTGAAAGTAACTGCAATTTTTGCCATTAAAACTAATGACAAAAACCACAATTACTTTCACACCAGCCTAATACATAGTAATCACACTATTTAGTAAAGAAATGAATGAATTATTCAATTTTTCAACAAATTAGTTCAACAAATACTTATTAAATACCTACTGTTTGACTGGAATTGTGTTAGATTTTTGCAAGAGAATATAAATGATTTATGTGAAATATTCTTTGAACTCAGAGAAGTTGTCATTGTTTAGTGGTACTGTCAGGTGTACAGAAAGGCAATTTTACATTAAAAACAGAATAATCCTTGGAGTAAACAATGAAGTGCTAAGCATTATTGACATCAAAATATAGGGTATGTGAAGTAATTACTGTATGTCATCACAAAATGGAGAGATCAACATGAAACATAAAAATCAACTTTAATATTTGTTTCTTAGAAAGGATCACATCCTACTTGCTCTTTTTATCTTGTTCCTAATGTGATTGTCATACTTCTGACCACTATAAATACTAAAGTAGAAATTCACTACCTTGAAATTCCTACCTGAAATATGAAAAGGTTACTGAAGTTTTATAAAGAGTTCTTAGTCTATCAAGTTTTTGACATTATTTTCCAAAAAATCTTTAGAATATTCAAACGTTCATTTTCAGATCTGAATTAACATTTTTCCCGTCATGCCCAATTTGATATTTAAATTAGCAGAAAGCATCGCAGTAATGAAACTGTAAGTCACGTTTTATAAACCAAATAATATATATAGTATTATAAATATATTTAGAAGGCTTTACATTGTATTCAAATATGAATATTAATGATTTGGCAGTGGGTTATGTTTGCAGTCCCCAGGTTAACATTATCACACTCACCCATATATTTTGAATCTCACCAACATTATTATAAATAATATCTTTTTTACCATGGGAACTCTTACATTAAAAATGTTGTTATAGAATGTGCATATTTTTGCATAATACAAATATGCAATCAAAAGGAAAATACCTTGAAAAATAGCTTAGTCAGTTTTTAATCTTAAGTGTGTTGAACTTTGATTTTCCAATTCTCTTTAATCACAATGTTTAGTAAATCATGAAGTGAAGAAGAAAACATGTATTTGATTTTAATTTCATTATTACCATTCATTGCAAATGAAAACATTTGTTAACAGAAAATGTATAAACCTTAGTATTTACTCATTTGTTTAAGAAACACTTACTGAGTACCTTTACAACTAAATTAAGAGCCCATTCATGATTTCCTGGGTGAGTATTCTTTGACAGTTTTGGCTACCACAGGTGGCTGGCTAGTAAAATTGTTTAGAAAATTGACTACAGTAATGTCAAGATTATTGTTCCATTGTTTTTATAGATCAATTAACCTTGATCTTTCTAGTCCTTTAGTCTTAGTTATCATTCTCACAGATATTGGCTTGAAAAATATTAAAGAAATCAAGGATAAAGAAATAGGGAAAATATTATGAATGGTTCAACAAAATTCTGTGATGTTTACAAAAAATACTATTTTAGAGTGTGTAGCCTCTATCTCTAGACAGAGAGCATTACGAGATTTGCAGTTATTAAAATAATTGTAAAAGGTTGAAGCTGATAATCGGGGGAAAATTGAGGTGATTAAAATAAATGGTGTAGCATGAGTAGAAATTTATGCGAGAGAGCCTTGAGTCAAAGAATTGAAGTTAAGCATAAAACACCTAAGCCCAAAATCTAATAAACCTGTGCTTCTATGGGTGGTTGGGTGAGAAAGGAGTCAGGGAATCAATGGAGCTGAGATTATGTTTGAAGGGCTGCTTTAGCAGTCAGAACATTTTTATTTCAGGTCATGGTCTGCAGGCACCATAGCTGACACTCAGATATCTGGCCCTGTGTGAGGAAAAGGATGGAACCACTGAATGGCTGAAACCAAGATGATCACAGGCAGAGTGCAAAGACAAAGATGCCTTGTTTTCTCCGTCCAAATTATATCTTACAGTCAAGCAACAAAACTGTCTTACATAAGCACCATTCTATCTTTCTGTTTCACAGTTAGAATCTATAAGGTTACGAGCAAAAACTTCTGACAAAATAAGCTCACTCACATTCAGGAGGGTAAGCACATGAGGTAGAAAATGTGAGTTAATGAGAGAGTGAAAGTTTTTCCATCTCATGGTGTGCAAGAATTAAAGACTTCTGAATAATTAGAGTTGGCAAGAGCATAATGTTCAGAGGAAGAATGTTCATAGCAATGGAATTAATAAAAGTTGCTTATTTGTGGTACAATATTAGCATTATTTAATATACTAAACTAAACAATTGAATGAGCTGGCAGTGATTTCAATCATATAAGTGATTTGATTCATCTTTTCACTGAGAAACACTAACATAACAAACTATATAAATTAAGTATGAAATAATTGTGCTCTTGCTGAAAAAGAATCAATTCTTCAAAAAAAAATCCATTAACTGATGAGCTTGTAAAAATAGTTCCTACATATAAGGATTTCTTTAAAAATTATGTATAAATTCTATTTTAAATGCCGATAATTTTTCCTTTACTAATTCAATGACTACTCCTCAAGAGCTTGTGTCTTCAAAAGCAATTCCAAATGCAGATTGTTTCAGTGGCTCACAACATGTTTATGCGATTTTCATGGACTCTGTCAGTAGTCTTGCTATTGGTACTGTGTGTGTGCAGAAACTGGGGGGCATGAGGTGTTTGTCAGGAGGTCTTCTGAATTTAAAAGGAAGAGGAATCTTGATTTAAACTGTGTATCAGAGACTGTAAAATGACAAGTGAAGGTGACTTACAGAAGCAATTAGGGTTTCCCAATGTCTAAAACAAAACTAAAACTAAACAAACAAAAGTAGAGAATTAATTGTGAACATTTGAAATCAGATTTCACCCCCACAGTTGGCTAGAACCTAGTGACAGCCATTACCTTCAAAAAGGTACATGTTCTCCAGCCCTGTTGTTTCTGTCATCTCTTGGTCTCTAGACATATGAGTTTGCCACTATCAATATTAGTTTTGGGAATGACTCTAACAAATATTATTAAAGGAGTGATTTATGTACGCTTAGGAATGAAATCGGTAATCATCATTAAGTGTAAGTCATACCAGACTAAACTAATTTCATCTGATGATGGAGAAGCTAGTCTGAGGAATCAGAAATAATCATTCAGCAAACAACATTAACTTCTTTCATTCTATTTTCCACCAGTGTGTTTTGGTGGCATGCATAGATAATCACATTTTTAATAAGAAAATGCTCTCTTACTTTTAGTTCAAGAAATGGATTTGTGGATTTTTATTATATGTTTATTATATTTGTTACTGTGTTTCTTTGCCAGTCATAAAAAAGTGGTTGCCTTGCTCAGTTATAAATGATACTCATTGTGACAAATAGCTCATTGAATAACTTCCTTCCATTTTATAAATTTTCAGAAATTGAATTCTACCAGTTTCTTATCCTTTCCATGTTATTATCTAATAGGAAAGTGGAATAAAATAATTAATACTTATTTTTATATTCAGAGAAATTGAATATTTGTCTTAAGAGCTGCAGTTTCCTACCACTGATTTGCTATTAATGACATATTACCAGGGATATTAAACTAAGATCTCAATATTAAGTGCTTTTCTCTTTATTAACAAAATGAATATGTATAAAGTGGATATATCAGTACTTAATGTAATTAAGTTTAGAATATATTCTTTTATAAGCAATGCTTATAACAATCTACAAGCTTAGCTGTTATAGGCAACTTCTATATGAAGTTTCTCTATAAATGATTTATCCATTTTTTAAATATCATACTTCTTAGCAACATCAACAAAACAATTATTAAACTGTAGTGTTCTTGAGATTATACAATAAGTTCCCAAACCATGTTACCTTGTTACAATTTAATGTCATAATTTTGGTGGTTCACAAAAGAAACACTCATAAAAATTATTGGTAATGGATGTGTAGAACTTTGGCAGCTTTTCCCAACAAATTGGTTTTCAAGGAAATCAAAAGGTATGTTGCTGCTCTACATTTACATTTAACAGATCATTTTTACAGTAAACTTGGTGATTTTACAATTTACATTAAAAATATTTTCATTTTTGAGGAAAAAATAGGAAGATAGAAATATTATATATGGGTACTTACAAGAGGGCAAGAAAACCAGGGATAAAGTCACAGTACTACAATGAGTGAAAAGAAACGGGTCTGAATCTGTTTTTAAATTGGATATTGTGAAATAGAAAGCATTGTGAAATAGAAAGCATTGTGAATGTGAAGAGAAAATGAGAAAGGAATTAAAGATGAATTGAAGACTTTGAACCTGGGGAATCGACAAAGTGTCTATGCTATTGGAGTAATTAGGGATACGTGATTAATCGCGAATGGAGGGAGTCAGTGAAGGATATTTGTGTTTAGTCTCCTAGCTACTGAGATACACAAAATGGATGCACCTTCAGTCAAAAGGACTGAGAGGCATATATGGATTTTCAGTTCCTGGAGGGTAGTGACCATGTACATTTCACCATTTTTTCACTCTGAGCCTAATGCGTACAGAGTATACAGTAAATATTTGTGTAATGATTGAAGGAGACACACACAGTCCGGCATACATACACACACATTACACAATTTGTGTATAATCATATGTATCAAACACATATATTATACTACAACATATCATATATCTATATCCATATATACATTATACTACACTATTTAAAATTAAGGGCACTGAATGTGGCTTTGAGATCATGGATGAAATTAAGGGAAGTATGAAGATGAGAGTAAATTCTTAGAGGTGACTAAGTAATGAAAGTATAACAGTGAAATAGGAAGAAGTGGATTGTTAACCTGACCAACAATTCAGGTCATTAATCAAAAGGCGAAGATTTGAGAAAACTCTTCTAAGGACTAGTTTAACCTAAGACTGACAATGTTTAATACAGCAGTCAGTGTCCACATGTGGCTTTTGAGCACATAGAATCAGGTCAGTCAGACTGAGATGTGCTGTAACTTTAAAATATATACAAAAATATGAAGTTAGTAACAAAATGTGCAATCCCTCATTTATGACTTATATATACATTGTATTAAATATAACATTTAAAACTAATTTCACCTATTTCTTTTTGACTTTTTAATGGGGCTACTAGAAAATTTCAGTATTCAAAGGTAGTTTATGCTTCTGGCTGACATAGAAAGCACAGGCTGAGAAGTGTCTTGAAGCTTCTCTTTTGATATTGAAAACTTCCAAAATATTGACAGGAGTTAGAAAATGTTTTTAGATTAACAGATTTATAATCCTACTGAGTATATTTTTTTCCTGCGAGAATGTGTTTTATTTCTCATTTGTAGAAATAAAACCAAATTTATTAGTGTTAATAACTTTATTTCCCCTATGCTATGAAAATCTAAAGTACAGTGATAACAAATATTTATGATAGCTTTTCATTAAAATTATTTAACCTAAGGAAAATGTTAAAAGTAATCTTAAAATAACAATAAATTGGGGTTGTTCAGTCAAGAAAAAAATATGTTTAAAAGGAAGCAAATTAATTTAGAGCAACTCACTGCTAATAAAAATCAATCGAACACTGAAAATATTTAAGATTTGTTGACAGGTATCACCTCAGAGGGTCCAATGAATGAACTTAAATTATTTTCCCCAGAAGATCACCTGAGTACTTTCAATTGATAAAATAATAAAAATAAAATATTGTTTCATTACAGTGAACATTAATACTAAGCTGGGGGTTAGGTAATCTAATAACTATTCATAGTTTAATTTGCTATGACTCACCATTTCATTCCACTCTATTTAAGTTTCTACACTCAATTAACCAACCCTGAATGCTGCCTCCTATCCATTGAATCATTGTGATGGTTAATACTGGGTGTCAAATTGATTGGATTGAAGGATACAAAGTATTGATTATGAGTATGTCTGTGAGGATGTTGCCAAAAGAGATTGACATTTGAATCAGTGGGCTGGGGAAGGCCCACCAACCTTTAATCTGGTGGGTACCAAATAATCAGCTGCCAGCAAATGTAAAGCAGGCAGAAAAATGTTAAAAGGCGAGACTGGCCTAGCCTCCCCTCCTGGATGCTTCCTGCCCTTGAACGTCAAACTCTAAAGTTCTTCAGTTTTGAGACTTGGACTGGTTCTCCTTGCTCTTCAAGCTTGCAGACAGCCTGTTGTAGGACCTTGTGATCCTGCAAGTTAATACTTAATAAACTTCCATATACATGTGTGTGTGTATGTGTGTGTGTATCCTATTAGTTCTGTCTCTCTAGAGAACCTTGACTAATGCAGATTTTGGTGCCGGGAGTGGTTCTAGAGGAACAGAATATTAAGGATGGAGCTCTTTCATTGGTTTTGGGGTTTCTGGAGTTGGTTGCTTAATATGATTAGACCCCAAAATGCTAAGGACTCTACTTCTATTAGTATGGAAAACACTGATAGTCCTTGGCATGAACTGTTCAGAGAGTCATGCAAAATAAATGCATTTGACATTCCTGATTCACCACTCTGCTTGTGAGAGGCAAGGTGTTTAGTGGCTCTATACATAATATCTTTGATCATATGTGGAGAACCAAGGAACATAATGAAGGTGGTTGGTTTCTCCTAAATTCAGTGGACAAACTGATGAAAGAAAATGATGAACTCAGGGATTCTGTCTCCTGTCTTCACAAGCAAATACTGAACCTCAAACCTCTAAGTTGCCATGAGTGAGAGTCTTATCTCCTGTAGAGAAAAAGCTGAAATTGTGGAAAGACAGACACAAGCTCTTATCATGAGAGTGGCTGACCTGCAATGAAAGGTGCATGCACAGCCTCGCCAGGTGTCTACTGTTAAAGTGAGGGCATTGACTGGAAAAGAATGGAACCCTGCAACTTGGAATGGGGACGTGTAGGAGGACCCTGCTGAAACTGAGGATATTGAATTTGTAAACTCTGATTAAACTTTTTTTTTTTTTGCTAAAAGGAACAGTTTTCCCACCCCCAGTAGTGGAAACATCCCCTCCCCAACCCATGCTGCCATCAGTCTTTCTACCTTTGCCTGAGGAGATAAACCCTGTGCTGCCTGAGGCAACATTGATGGCCTCCCCTGACACATAGTCGCCATGCAAAATAATGTTGATTCTTTTCAGGAGCCACCCCCAACACCCCTGTTTTCTTCTAGACCTATAGCTAGACTAAAGTCCAAGCAGGCCCCTAGAGGTGAGGCTGAGAGTGTGACCCATGAGGAGGTACGCTGCACTTGAAAAGAATTGCTTGAGTTCTCTATATAAATAAAAATCTGGAGAACAGGCATGGGAATGGATATTAAGAGTGTGGGATGATGATGGAAGGAACATAGAGTTGGATCAAGCTGAATTTATTGATTTGGGCCCACTAAGTAGGGACTGTTTTTAATGTTGCAGCTCTGGGAGCTAAAAATGGTTCTAATAGTTTATTTGCTTGGTCAGCGGAAATATGGATTAAAAGATGGCCCACTGTGAGCAAGCTGTAAATGCCTGATCTTCCTTGGTTTAATGTAGAGGAAGGGATCAAAAGGCTTAGGGAGACTGGGATGGTGGAGTGGATTAGTCACTTTAAACCTACTCATCCCAGCTTGGAGGGTCCAGAAGATATACCCTTGACCATTGCCTTGCAAAATAGATTTGTGAGGGCAGCACCTGCATCTTTGAAAAGCCCTGTAATTGCTCTTCTCTGTGTGTCAGAGCTAGCAGTGGGAATCACAGTCACTCAGCTACAAAATTTAAATACTATAGAAAAAATAGGATCCCAAGGTGGCAGGGGCCAAGTGGTGCCACTCAACTGTAAACAGCAAGGTGGGCATGGCTACATAATGGGCAGCAGAGACAAAGCAGCAATCAGAATAGTCTGACCCATGTAGAACTCTGGCACTGGCTAATAAATCACGATATTCCTAGAAGTGAAGTTGATAGAAAGCCTACTGCATTCCTACTTAATTTATATAAGGAGAAAACTTCTAGGTCAAATGGACAAAAGACTAATTTGAATTATAAAAACAGAGAATCACAACCCCTCTATCAATTTCCAGACTTGAGCCAGTTTACAGACCCAGAACCCCTTGAATGAAGGGGAGGCCGGGTCCCCTAGAGGAAGGACCTCACTACATTACTGACAATTTATGCAGTGAATCTTTTCCCTATCCTTCCCCAAAGAGACTTCCAGCCTTTTACTAGGGTAACTGTACACTGGGGAAAGGGAAATGATCACACATTTGAAGGACTACTGGACATTGGCTCTGAGCTGACATTGATTTCAGGAAACCCAAAATGCCATTGTGGTTCTCCAGTTAAAGTAGGGGCTTATGCAGTTCAGGTAATTAATGGAATTTTAGCTCAGGTCCCACTTATAGTGGGTCCCCGGACTCATCCTGTGTTCATTTCCCCAGTGCCAGAATGCATAATTGGCATAGACATACTTAGCATCTGGCAGAATCCCCACATTGTCTCTCTGACTGCTAGGGTGAGGGCCATTATGGTGGGAAAGACCAGACGGAAGCCATTAGAGCTGTCTCTACCTAGAAAAATAGTAAATAACAGGCTGGGTGCAGTGACTCATGCCTGTAATCACAGCACTTTGGGAGGCCGAGGCAGGTGGATCACGAGGTCAGGTGATGGAGACCATCCTGGCTAACATGGTGAAACCCCATCTCTATTAAAAAAAATACAAAAAAATTAGCTGGGCATGGTGGCGGGTGCCTGTAGTCCCAGCTACTCGGGAGGCTGAGGCAGGAGAATGGTGTGAACCCAGGAGGCGGAGGTTGCAGTGAGCCGAGATTGTGCCACTGCACTCCAGCCTGGGCAACGGAGCGAAATTATGTCAAAAAAAAAAGAAAGAAAGAAAGAAAGAAAAATAGTAAATAACAATATTGCATCCCTGGAGTGATTGCAGAGATTAGTACCACCATCAAGGACTGAAAAGACACAGGGATGGTGATTCCCACCACATCCTCATTCACCTCTCCCAATTGGCCTGTGCAGAAGACAGATGGATCTTGGAGAATGACAGTGGATTATCATAAGCTTAACCAAGTGATGACTCCAGTTGCAGCTGCTGTACCAGATGTGGTTTCATTGCTTGAGCAAATGAACACATCTCCTGGTACCTGGTATGCAGCCACTGACTTGGCGAATGCCTTTTTCTCCATTCCTGTCCATAAGGCCTACCAGAAGCAATTTGCCTTCAGCTGGCAAGGCCAGCAATATACCTTCACTGTCCTACCTCAGGAGTATATCAACTTTCCATCTTTGTGTCATAATCTTATTCAGAGAGAACTTGACCACTTTTTGCTTCTGCAAGATATCACACTGGTCTGTTATATCAATGGCATTACACTGATTGGATCCAGTGAGCAAGAAGTAGCAAACACACTGGACTTATTGGTGAGACATTTGCTTGCCAGAGGGTGGGAAATAAATCTGACTAAAATTCAGGGAACTTCTACCTCAGTAAATTTTCTAGGGGTCCAGTGGTGTGGGGCCTGTCGATATATTCCTTCCAAGGTGAGGAATTCCTTCTAAGATGCTACATTTGGCCCCTCCTAAAACCCAGAAAGAGGCACAATGCCTAGTGGGCCTATTTGGATTTTGGAGGTAACACATTCCTCACTTGGGTGTGGTACTCCATCCCATCGAGTGACCTAAAAGGTTTCCAGTTTTGATTGGGGTCCAGAAAAGAAGGCTCTGCAATAGGTTCAGGCTGCTGTGTAAGCTGCTCTGCCACTTGGGTCATATGATCCAGCAGATCCAATGGTGCTTGAGGTGTTAGTGGCAGATAGGGATGCTGTTTGGAGCCTTTGGCAGGTCCCCGCAGGTGAATCACAGTGGAGGCCTCTAGGATTTTGGAGCAAGGCCCTGCCATCTTCTGCAGATAACTACTCTCCTTTTGAGAGACAGCTCTTGGCCTGTTATTGGGCTTTGGTGGAAACTGAACGTCTGACTGTGGCTCATCAAGTCACCATGAGACCTGAACTGCCTATCATGAATTGGGTGCTTTCTGAACCATCTAGCCATAAAGTGGGTTGTGCACATCAGCACTCCATCATCAAATGGAAGTGGTATATACATGATCAGTCTCAAGCAGGTCCTGAAGGCACAAGTAAGTTACATGAGGAAGCAGTTCAAATGCCCATGGTCTCCACTCCTGCCACCCTGCCTTCTCTCCCCAAGCCTGCACTAACCGCCTCATGGGGAGTTCCTTATGATCAGTTGAGAGAGAAAGAGAAGACCAGGGCCTGGTTCACAGATGGTTGACAATATGCAGGCACTACCAGAAAGTGGACAACTGCAGCACTATAGCCCCTTTCTAGGACATGCCTGAAAGGCAGTGGTGAAGGAAAATCTTCCCAGTGGGCAGAACTTCGAGCAGTGCACCTGGCTGTGCATTTTGCATGGAAGGAGAAATAGTCAGATGTGCTAGTATATACTGATTCATGGACTGCAGCCAATGATCTGGCTGGATGGTCATGGACTTGGAAAAAGCATGATTGGAAAATTGGTGACCAAGAAATTTGGGGAAGAGTTACGTGGATGGACCTCTCAGAGTGGTCAAAAACCATAAGATATTTGTTCCCATCTAAGTGCTCACCAATGGGTGACCTCAGCAGAGGAGGATTTTAATAATCAAGTGGATAGGATGACCTGTTCTGTGGACACTGCTCATCCTCTTTCCCCAGCCAACCCTGTCATCTCCCAATGGGCCCATGAACAAAGTGGCCATGGTGGCAGGGATGGAGATTATGCATGGGCTCAGCAACATGGACTTCCACTCACCAAGGCTGACATGGCTATGGCCACAGCTGAGTGCCTAGTTTGCCAGCAGCAGAGACCAACACTGAGACCTCAATATGGCAACGTACCTCGGGGCGATCAGCCAGCTATCTGGTGGCAGGCTGATTACATTGGACCTCTTCCATCATAGAAACAGCAGAGGTTTGTCCTCACTGGAATTAACACTTATTTTGGATATGGGTTTGCCTATTGTGCATGCAATGCTTATGCCAAGACTACCATCTGTGGATGCACCAGACTGCCTTATCCACTATCATGGTATTCCACATAACATTGCCTCTGACCAAGGCACTCACTTTGCAGCTAAACACGCATGGCAGTGGGCTCATGCTAGTGAAATTCACTGGTCTTACCATGTCCCCCATCATCCTGAAGCAGGTGGATTGATAGAATGGTGAAACAGCCTTTTGAAGTCACAATTATAATGTCAATTAGGTGACAATACTTTGCAGGGCTGGGGCAAAGTTCTCCAGAAGGCCATGTATGCTCTGAATCAGCATCCGATATATGGTACTGTTTTTCCCATACCCAGGATTGATGGGTCCAGGAATCAAGGGGTGGAAGTGAAAGTGGCACCACTCACCATCACCCTTAGTGATCCACTAGCAAAATTTTTGCTTCCTGTTCTCTCAGCATTACATTCTGCTGGCCTAGAGGTCTTAGTTCCAGAGGGAGGAATGTTGCCATCAGGAGACACAGCAATGATTCCATTAAACTGGAAGTTAAGCTTGCCACCTGGATACTTTGGGCTCCTCCTACCTTTAAGTCAACAGACTAAGAAGGGAGTTACAGATTTGGGTGGGGTGATTGACCTGGACTATCAAGATGAAATCAGTCTACTATTCCATATCAGAGGTAAGGAAGAGTATGCATGAAATACAGGAGACCTATTAGGGTGTCTCTTAGTATTACCATGCCCTGTGATTAAGGTCAATGGGAAACTACAACAGCCCAATCCAGACAGGACTACAAGTGGTCCAGACCCCTCAGGAATGAAGGTTTGGGTCACTCCACCAGGAAAAAACCACAACCTGCTGAGGGGCTTGCTGAAGGCAAAGGGAATACAGAATGGGTAGTAGAAGAAGGTAGTCATCAATACCAGCTATTATCATGTGACCAGTTGCAGAAAGGAGGATTGTAACTGTCATGAGTATTTACTCTTTCTTTTGTTAAAAACATGTTTGTGCATGTATACACTTGTACTAAGAAAATATCTTCATTTTATTTCTTTTTCCTTTATCATGTGACATAAGATTTATTGACCTCATATCAGCATTTAAGTATTGTTAACTTTATGTAATAGTACTTGGGTTGGGGATTGATGTGTTTCCAGTTGTACAAAGGATAGTTGTATTATGTTAGGTGTAATTAGGACCTTATTATTGCCTTTATTTGAAGATTATGTATGATCTCAGGAGATGTATGTGGGTTCAAGTTGACAAGAGGTGGAATTGTGATGGTTACTATTGAGTGTCAACTTGATTGGATTGAAGGATACAAAATATTGATCCTTGATGTGTCTGTGAGGGTGTTGCCAAAAGAGATTAACATTTGAGTCAGTCGGCTGGGGAAAGCAGACTCACCCTTAATCTGTTGGGCACCATCTAATCAGCTGCTAGCGAATGTAAAGCAGGCATAAAAATGTGAAAAGGCATGACTGGCCTAGACTCCCAGCTAACATCTTTCTCCCATGCTGGATGCTTCCTGCCCTTGAGCATCAGGCTCCAAAGTTCTTCAGTTTTGAGACTTGGACTAGCTCTCCTTGCTCCTCAAGCTTGCAGACAGACTATTGTGGGAACTTGTGATCGTGTGAGTTAATACTTACCCATTCTCTAGAGAACCCTGACTAATACAATCATCTAGCAGTCTAATTGAGTAAGTTGAAATAGCAAGCTCTTTGTACCTTTTACATTAGTCACTCCACTGACCCTCTGCATATTCTCTTCATAGAATACTCTCGCTTTCCCCAGTCTTCCTTAACTACAACTAATGCTTCAGAACTCAACAGAAGTAGCCCTATTCTACTTTCTTGTCAAATTCCCATATTCACAACTTTATTTGTGGAATTTATTATAATTACAATGTTTCTTGCATCTGTGTGGTATTTTTATTAATGTTTGTCTCTTCCAATAGACTCATCCTAAGGTCAGAAATGAGGTCTTTGTGATGCTCAGTGTTGTACCCACAGCATACCACATTGGTGTCTGGCACATAATGGGGACTCAGTAAATATTTGCCAAAAAGTAGAGCATCTATGTTCAGAAGCTTTAAAATAAAGTACCTGAACTCTTTCTTGGGTTTCTTACCTAATGGCTACTTTTAGGTAATACATTTTGTTTAGGCAATTAGGAATTCAGTTGATATAAATTATCAGATCTTTGTATTGTTATATTCCTTTTTTTCAAATATCATTTTATTTCTGCACTTAGGGTTATATATTTTGAAGGGTAATAAAAATAATTTTCTCCTCTTGATGAGTAACTCTTACAAAAATAAATTAATCAAGTCTCCAAAAATATTACATGCTAGTGGTTATAGAGGCTACAGATAGATCTCTTTTTCTCCCTGAGCATATAAAAATAGAGAATGCAGGTATGTAATAAAAATTCTGGTTAGAAAGTGATATTGTTCCTAGAGAGGTCCAGGGCTTTTCAGCACAGAGTCTGGGGAGACTATCTTCAATTAAGGTAATATTCAAGGAAAATTTCAAAATAGGCAGGATTTGGGCCTGCAGAGTGTGTAAGGTAGAAATGTATTTTCTTTGAAGAAAGACTTATAAGTGGTGGCATGGAGGCCAGGCATTGAGGGACACATATGGATGATGATTATTTCACCATCTTTCTAACAGGAAGGGCAAATGAATGCAGAATGGTACAGTTGTCTAGAATGTAGACTTAGAAGGCAAGATCATGATTTCAATTCCTAGCTCTGCGACCTATTGTACATGGGACCTTATGCAAATAATGCCTCCTCTCTAAGCCTCAGTTTCTCCACATGAGAAAAATGAGAGTAAGAATAATATCAATTTCATGAGATCATTGGGAGGACAAAATAAAATAATGTGTATTAATAATTTAGGACAGAATATCCCAAATAAATCATTAAAAATGGGAGTTAATTTTAAAAAGCAGTTTGGGACACAGTTTTATAAAAGTTCTTAAGTGTTTGTCATTTTATTCTGTAGGCATTTTTTCTATGAGGCCTTAGAAGTCATTTTAGTATAGTGATTAGTAGCACAGATCTTGAAAACAGGCCACCTGTTTGATTTCTGATTTGCTTGTTTGTAGGTATATAATTTTAGGTGTTTGTTCTCATTTATGAAATGAGATGATTATTATGAAGATCAAACAATTTTTTATAATGCAAAATCTATAGGTTAGAAGCTGGCATGCAAGAAGTAGTGTAGATGGATAGATAGATGATAGATAGATACATAGACAGATAGAGAGATAGATATGTTATCTATTACTATTGCTTAGTCATCAAAAGCATTTTAGAAGAATGTGTCTGAATCAGAGATGTACTTGATATTAAAACAATGACCTATCCCTGTGTAGAATAAATTGAAAAGAGAAACACATTAGAAAGCATCTGCAATCCTCTTAATTGGAGGGAGTGAGGGCATGAATTAAGATAGAAATAGTGAGAAATTAGAATTGAGGGAAGGATTTACAAAATAAATAAACCTTAGAATAGAGAGTACTTGGAAACTAATTGGATATGGGAAAATAAATACATGAGTGGTAGATGTCAATATTGAGATATTCAGTCTGAGCATTGACAGATGATGCCTCAGACAGAAATAAGAGATTGAGGAAATACACAGATCTGAGATGGATGTATTTTGGACATGTTGAGCTTGTGCTGCTTTTGGCACTTTTCACTGAAGATGCCTACGAGGTGAAAATGAAGATCTAGGGCTAGAGCACTGAAATATAGATTAATAGGTGCTAGTTGAAATTGGAAAATAACAAGGAAGAGAGGTGAGAGACATAAAACAATAAGACTGAGAGAAGTTACACATAAAAAATATATCTAGCAGGATGAAAGAAAAAGTAAAGTTACAGAAGAAAGGGATAGGAGGGAATCTAAAAGGCCATAGTTTTATAGAAACTAAAGAGGAGTGTTTTAAGATAGAATTAGGCAAAATATCAACTGCTACGAGGAGGTTCACATATAATGAGAGCTAAGAAAATGTCATTAAATTATAATGAGGAGACCCTGACATGGATCACATAACATCTCAGCCCTTCTGGTTTTAGCATCCCTGGATGGACAGTTCCAAGCATCATTAACAGTGACACACATAAAAGCCAGGCCAAGGTAGTTCTCTCTTCTTCACTTCCTCCTAGATTACAGATGGTTCAACAACCTGAAGGCCAACCCAGGAGTGTGGAGGAGTGAAGGTCTGAAAGAAAACCCTCAATCAAGGGGGAATGTAGTTTCAGGATGATATGGTTTGGATATGTGTCCCTGTCCAAATCTCATGTTGAATTGTAATCCCCCATGTTGGGGAGGGACCGGGTGGGAAGTGATTGGATCACGCAGTGGATTTTTCCCTTGCTGTTCTCATGACAGTGAGTGAGTTCTCATGACATCTGGTTGTTTAAAAGTGTGTAGCATCTCCTGCTTCACTCTCTTCTTTCCGCTCTGATCACATAAGGAGTGCTTCCTTCCTCTTGGCCTTCTGCCAGGACTGCAAGTTGCCTGAAGCCTCCACAGCCATGCTTCCTGTACAGCCTGTGGAACTGGGGGCCAATGAAACCTCTTTTCTTTATAAATTACCCAGTCTCAGGTAGTTCTTTACAGTAATGCAAGAATGGACTAATACAAAGGATAAATGCCCCAGCTCTACAGTCCTCTGTGGGAAAATGCTGAGGCCTGTTGTACATGTCTTCTCAGAGGATATCTAGCAGGAATGAACCCCAGTTTTTCACATAAAAAATCAGCATATTAGCACACTTTTCCCTTTTCTCTCTCCCAGGAATCAATGGTCCCACTTTCTCAATTCTGTTGCAAGAGACCCAAATGTATTATCTGCATCCACTTCCTTGTCTAAGCGTTTGTTTCCAGGACAAAAACCTAAGTTAAGACAGTTGATACCAGAAGTGGCTTTCAAAATCAGATCTTCATGATGAAATTATGGAATGAATTTATCCCACAGTCAGATGACAAGTAGGGTTTCATTGCTCACAGCAAAGGAAGTGGTTGTAACTCTTGGCATGCATTGACTAACATGAAACTGTGGTGGATTGGAAGGAGTTACAGATTAAAAGAAAAGCATTAGCCAAGCCAAATCTTTACCCATTGGTATTCATGGCCACACAGGTAATTATAAAAATTGTGTGGTTGCCTGGCTTTTATTAACTACCTTGGTATCTTGATGAAAGGTGATGACAATTTCAGTTCAGCAAAATATCTACTCAGAGAATGCTGTGAAAGTTGCATGGTAGTATTTAGAGCTATCTTTATCTCCTACGACTAGATTGCAGACTGTACTAAAAATAAGGCTTTCAAATGAATCATAAAGGTGGCAGAACTTGCAAAGAAGACTGACTTCCTTTGGTTTTAGTATAAATGTAGAAGTTGTCGTCAAGGAATATCATTTTAAAATTGAAGATTTTGGCAGTGGATCATTGCTCAGAGGTGGTGAGATTCAAGGTATAAAGCCAAGATTATAGGCAGCTGACTTGAAACAATAAAAAAAGATAAAGAATTGAGAAGACGAAGAAGCTACAAGACTGTAGTGCTAGAAAATTTATTGATGAAGGCTTGTGACTGTGACCAGAGAATTCAATGCATTTTATCAGAGTGAATGGGGGGAGGAGCTCGTAAAAATATGTAGCATGGGGCCTGTAGGCCCTTTGTTTTGGCCAATTTGTCCCATTTGGAATGGCTGTATTTATCCAATGCCTGTACCTCCATTGTATCTAGGAAGTAACTAACTTGCTTTCGATTTTACAGGCTCATAGGTGAAAGGGACTTTCATTGTCTCAGGTGCAACTTTGGACTGTGAATTTTTGAGGTAATGCTGAAATGAGTTAAGACTTTGGGGGACTGGTGGGAAGGCATTATTGGTTTTGAAATGTGAGGACATGAGATTTAGGAGGGCCAGGAGCAGAATGATATGGTTTGGCTGTGTCTCCACCCAAATCTCATCTTGAATTTAGCTCCCATAATCCCTACGTGTCCTGGGAGGGACCTGAGGGCAGGTAATTGAATCATGGGGTTCGGGTTTTTCCTGTGCTGTTCTCGTGATAGTGAATAAGTCTCACGAGATATAACGGTTTTAGAAAGGGCAGTTCCTCTGCACCTGCTCTCTTGCCTGCCCCCATGTAACTAGAAATCTCTGCCTACTTTACACTTTTTGGGTCAATCTGCTAATGAATTAAATTCTGATGTTAAAACAAGATTTGCTTCCTGCCACTGTATGCTTCTATACATCTTTGTGCTTTCTATGTCCATATCTTTTTCTACACACACACAATTATGCAAAAAGAGATATATATGTAGCGAGAGAGAGAGAGGAGAGAGGCTGGAGAACTAGATGGACAAAAATGTCTTTTCAAGTAAGAAAGTAAGTAATGGGGGCTGGAAACACATTCTTGAATAACATAAGAACATAACTGAAAAAGTAGAGTAATGGAGTAACCTGCAGGAAAATTTCTACCTTGGAATCCTTGTAGAAGTGATATGTGTTCACGATTTCCAGTGAAACATAGAAAATGTGCAACTGAGAGTCTGCATGGTGGTCTGATTCAATATGCTTGGAGACCGCAGTCATTGTAACTGACTACAACTTGCATTCTTAAGGCAGGTGGCAGGATGTAGGCTGGGTTTTCTGCCTCCCTCCAGGGCTCAGTGACCTTGGTGTATGAAGTCAAGAGTAAAAGAACTGGTTTAGATGAAAATGTATGCAGCTTGGGCATTGGCAAGAAATGAACTTGGCTCTTTTAGTTGAATTCTATAATAGCAGGATGAATTTTTTTTAAAGAAAGAGAAAAAAAGAAAATAAACAACAACAACAACAAAAAACCTTCAGGTGCTGAGAGGAATGGGTTTTGTAGAGTAAATTTTCACAGGTTAGGTCAGCATCTAAACACTTATTCAGAATTTTATTTCATCACTTAAACAATGGGGAGGCATTGAAGGGGTTTTACTTTAAAGAGATCAATGTGATTGCTGTGTCAGGGTATGGAGAAAAGAGTCACCGGAAACAGAGGGAACATGAGGAGCTTTTTATATTCTTCCAGAAGAGAAGTAATAAGGGCTTCGGCTCTTAATATTAGATGTATATGTTATGTACCATTTTCTGTTAATTAAGCTTCTTAGTATAACAGTGCAGAAGAGTTCGTTTTATGGATATCCTGGAGTGCTAAGAAAAGGGGAGAATACTCCACCCCACAATAGTTCATTAAAAATTAATTTCTGCAAAATTTCTTAAAAGCTTGAAGGGATTAAATGGTCATATATGTACCTTAGGTAATCATTCTGTGATAAATCTCTTTGGTTATATGCATCTAAGAGTCACTTAGTAAAATGAGGAAAATATAGGTAATATCTATATGTTTAAAAATCTGATCATATGGTAAACTACAGGCATTTGATGTTTATAAATTCTGAACAGGTATCCTCTGTAAATAAGCTATATTATAGAGAATACATACAAATTCTCCTAATGCAGTTGAGTATTAACTTCCCATGCATGGGTGGGCAGATTATTAAACAAATCAGGTATAACTCAGAGACTAGGAAAGTGGGGACAACTGAAATTAATCTGCATCAGATTCTTAAAGAAAAGTCTTTAGAACAATATAAAATGATAAGTTAAATTCCACCTGTTGGAAAGTTGAATTCTGCTGACTTAATTTGCAAGCAAAAAATGTGGATGTAGAAAGTAAATCAGAAAATCACATATTTTCATTTAGCTTTTCTATATACCTTATCAGAAAAAGGAAAAAGAAAGCCATGCAGAAAGGACTGGAAAATAATCCTTGTGATGCCCCTGGTTTGAGCATTCACAGCAAAATCTCAATCTGTAGTAGTGCTTAAAACTAAGGAAATGAAACAAATAAACTATTTTACTTTTTTTTTTTTTGCTTCAAAACTAGGAGTATTTATATTTTAAACTTGTAGTTGGAAAGATGAATAAAATATCCAACAATGCATTCCTTTATTGCTTCCATTTTAAATAGAAATATTTATAAGGGCATGGATATGAAGTTTTGATGTAAAAGCTTTGTTGGAACCTTAAGGTCATGTGCAATGAAGACAAGCTACGCACTGTAGCTTATAAATTAAACAGTACACATTTTTGCTTCTGTGGGGCCCTGGCTTCTACAGCAGGAAGTGAAGAATCAAGTGACTTCTTGTAGTCTTCTATATGTTGACTTTTGCTGTACACTTTGGTGAAAACATTTCTGTTCTCCAAACTAGATCTCAAAGGAATGGTGTTGAAATGCAGTCTACAAGTAGCATATATTTATTTCTGTAGCAGTCAAAGGATGGTTTCTCTTAAAAACACGTTCTTGACCCTCACTTCCTTTTTTTTTTGTTTTTAAATGGGGTCTCACCCTTTCACCCAGGCCGGAGTGCAATGGCATGATCAAGCAGATTCAAGTGGTTCTCCTGCCTCAGCCTCCCGAGTAGTTGGGACTACAGGCACGTGCCACCACACCCAGCTAAATTTTTGTATCCTAGTAGAGACTCGGTTTCTCCATGTTGGCCAGGCTGGTCTCGAACTCCTGACCTCGTGATCCACTCACCTCGGCCTCCCAAAGTGCTGGGATTACAGATGTGAGTCACCGCGCCCATCCACTTCCTTATAAATTGAAAAATTTCTATAAATGCTTGACATAATGAAGGCATTTACTCCAACAGGCACTTTTTAAATTTCTTTTTATATTGAGGGTAATTTTTGTTCCAAGTTTTGCCTTTTCTGAAATGAGATAAAAATGTGATGCAAATTCCTGAAAGTTAAGCAGTTCACAGCTCCATTTATAACTAAATTTACACAGATTTAAAAGTAAATTAAATTAGTATGTATTATTTGCCCGAATGAACCATATGTCTATACTCAATAAACCAAGAAAGATAGTTTTATGATAAAAAAAGTTATGTTTTATATGTAATATCCTCCTAAATTTAAATTTAAATTTTAGGCAATTTAAAGGGTAGTGAAAAGCATATATTTGAAACTCTCAGAAAACTGAAACAATTATAATAAATCATATTCTTATGCGACAAGTAAAATAAATGAAGTATAAAGCACAAAGTACTGTGGAAATTTCACAATAGTGCATCTCACCTATGCAGACTCCACTGTACTGCCCAGATGATGAAGAGAGAAAAGGAGATAGAATGTTTTTAGTATGGGAGACTCAGCTTATCTTTTCACTAGTCACCAGGGATGAACTTGGGAAGAGACATGTTACTTGATTCCTCTCGGAGTGTATATAGCTCACTGTATTAAAGGTAATTTAGTGCTAGAAAATACTTACCTACTTTTCATCCAACTTGGCCCCTAAACACACGCTAACCACTAGATACGATGCGCAATGGAGAAACAGTGACCCACTCCAAATCTAATCGGAAAACAAATGCATGTGTTGGATGTTTGTAATTTGGGGCTAGTACTTTATTCTCTAGAGCAGTGCTTCTGTATGGGATCTATATGAGTTTTCTTGGCTGCCAAAATAAAGTACCACAAACTGGGTGTCTTTAAACAACAGAAATATATTCTCTCACAGTTCTGGAGAGTAGAAGTCTGAAATCAAGGTGTCAGCAGGGCCATGCTCTCTATAGGGAATCTGTCCCCATGCCTTTCTCTTAGCTTCTGGTGTTGCTGGCAATCTTGGGCATTTCATGACATTCACCACTCCAATCTCTGCCTCCACTGTCATGTGGTTTGCTCCCCGTGCCAAGCTGTCTCTCTCCACTTATAAGGACACTAGCCATATTGGATTAGAACCCACCCTAATGATTTCATCTTAACTTAATTACATCTACAAAGACCTTAATTACCAAATACGCTTCCATTCACAGGTTCTTGGAATTAGGAATTCAACATATTTTGGGGTAGAGGGACAAAATTCCACCCACACCAGGGTCTTAGAGTTAATTTTTACTATGGTAGATTTTTATTTTTAACCGTCTATATTGATTTTGGACTTCAATTCCTGTTTAGAATGTGACTCTACAGGACGTAAAAGTAAAGGTACCAGAAATATTTCACAAAAAAAGTTGTTTTATCTTCTGTTAAATTTCTCTTCCAGTAAGAAACATTAATTATTGTGGTCTATGAGTAGATAATAAATTTTCCTAAATATCAACTTGTAGTCAGAATTCTGAAGAAGGTACTAGATAGTAATTACTTCACTTGTGATATGTCCTTAGTTTTTCACCTCATCTGGTGATATTTGTTCTGCCTTCATCTGAGCTGACAGTACAAGAGGCAAATATTTAAGGCTAGTTCAACCACAATTAACTTTAATCCAAGTATATAACTATGCAAAATGAAAAACTGATCCAAACTAATATTAAATATCCTGAAAAGAAATAGCTTTCCTGAATTCAATCAGTTACCACACTTTGTTTTTAGGCAGCTTTAAATTTAGTAAATCTTAAAAAGATAGGGCAAAATCTCACAGACTTATGTGAAAATAAGCTATAAGCAGAAACATTATTCTTCTTTTTCAAAAGACTAAATGAACACTTATGTTCTCCGTAACAGAAGTATTGGTTATAACTTGGGTCAAACAACCCAGGTATAAATTCTAGTTCTGTTACTTACTAAGACAGATTTTACTTCTGTAAAATTGGCATAATAGTGATACAAATATCATAATGTATTAAATGAAATAACGGAAGGAGAAAACTTAGCACAGTTCCTGGTACAAAGTAAGTGTTCAAAATGTTTGCAATAATATTTATCTAAAAATAACTCCAGTGAATATTTATTTAATATGTAAATTTTTCCAGGTGGCTTCAGGCTAGATGCTGAGGTAATTAATAAAAATAATTAGAATATTTTTTTCTGAGTTCAAAGATCTGTTAATTTAGTGGGAAAGCTTATAATTTTAAAAACCATCACAATCAATATGTTGCAAATATGGTAAAAAAAATAAAGTAAGTAAGCAGAGTCTAGAAATATCTTATTTTCTAGGAGCTTTGCAAAGAGCAAGTTATTGGAAATTAAAATCTGAATGTTGTTCTTAATTGCTTCTGAAGTGCCATGAAGAGAACATCTTGAACGTGTTCTCCAGTAAAATTACATTGGCGTATATGCTATTTCCAATTTATTTACATAAAACCAGGCACACTGTACTTTATGAGATATAAAATAATTTCCCAGAGTGGTTTTGGCTACACGTGATCTTTGCCTAATGCCCTGACATTAAAATCAACCTCACTGTATAGTGTAATACTCCTATAAATTAGCCCAATCTTACTGAGGGATAATTTTACATTTTTGCAATTCATACCAGAAAAATACCTTGACATGCAATTCCACTTTCATAAATTTAGACTCAGTAAAAAATTAAGGATATGTACCAGTATTTAGCTATAAGCATGATTATTTCAGGCTTATATTCAATAGTAAATATTGGAAAGACCAACATCAACGTTCAAATACAGAGGATTTACGGAATATGTGTTTTTATTTCAATATAATCAATAGAAATACAGTCTTTTAATAATATTGCAAAATTATATGTAAAAAAATTGAAGTATAATTATGATATTTTCAGTAATGGGAGCAGATTGCAAAATAGCAAACACAGATTCTATTAATATTTATGAAAAAAGTATAAACTATATATACACAGGAAAAAGTCTGTCAGAAGATATGCTAAGAGTGATTTCAATTTTCTTTATTTTGCTTGTACACGTTTTCTAATTTTTCTATACATACTTAACAAGCACAGTTTTAAAATCTTATTACAAGTGAATTGTGTAAGAATCTGTAGCCACGATCTGAAACTATGGATTCATTTAGTAGAACAATTAGGTTTTGCTGATTTTTAAAAACCTTATGGTAAAATAGAGCACATATTTTATTGTGAAAACTTTAACCCTCTTATTGTAAAATAAAACATGGATAAAGAAAAGTCACACAGAAGACATATGCACCTTAAATAGTTCTTATGAGGCAAACACCCTTGCAACCACCAACTTTGTTAGTCACTTCAGAAGCCTCTTGTACCCTGTTCCAATCACAATCCTTGTCTTCTCCTAATAAGTAACCATTATCTTGATTTACAGCACTTTCTTGTATTTCTTCCTCGTGTTTTATCATCCAAATATGCATTTCTAGACAATCTTGTTTAGTCTTGCCCATTTAGATGTTTAGTTTAAACGTTGTTGATGCCGTGAGAATATTTGACATGTTTCTCAGTGCCCCGTATATCCTGAGATTTGGCTGCTGGATTGAAAGTCCTCATTAGGCTCAGGTTTAATACTACTCTCAAGACTGTGGGGTGACGTGTTTTCCCACTGGGGGCTCATAATGCCTAGTTGTCCCACTTACTGTATAATTAGCAGCTGCTGATGCTCTATGATTCATTTATTCACTGACAGTTGCAAAATGGTGATATTCCAGCTCTATAATTCCTTTCTCATGTATTAATTGGACTAATTGCATGTATTGTATGGATTTTTATAAAAAGATGCTTCCCTCATCTATTATTCAGTAACCCAGTGGTAAAATTCACATAGGAAAAATAAGATAAATGCGTGATTCTTCAGTTTTTAGTTTGCTGACTTTTCTAAAGGGGACCAATTCATTTTCTGTCTTTTAAATTATTATTTACAATAGATTTAACCATATTTGGTGGGATTCAATACATTGCAATTCCTTGTTCTGAAGCTCATATTGCCTCATTTAGAGTCTCATGTACTCCACTGTCTTTAACAGTTAGATCTTTAGCAGTTGTAAGAAGGTTCAGGCTCATCTTGCACATTTTCTGCTTTGTAAATGGATTTAGCCATTTCCTTAAGAAGGAGGTAACATTGTGAAATAACTTGGAAAAGAAGCATTTTAAGACCACAAGATATTTGGATGCTAGAGATTCTCATGATATTGTGTTGGTTGTTGCTTCTAGGCCTTTTGAGTGGCCAGGCTAGAAAACATAACGGTTAATTCATACATATTAAAACATACACATATACAGTTATCATACATATATACGTATATATGATAAATTCAAGTTCATACTGATAAGTCAAATTTAGAACTATGGAGTTTTTTTTCTTAATCTCTTCTATATTACTTCTATATCTCCTTTCTTCCACACTAAGAAACCTACTTTTTAAGGACACAGGGGATGGCTGAATCAGACTATCCCGTAATTATTCATTTACTTTATCTCTCATTACACACACACTCATCTGAGAATAACTGTACTAATATTATCCCTGTCAACATAACATTTCTTTAAATATGCATTCTCCATTCTTTCCCCATTGTAATAGTTTTACCATACCCACATTACCTGAACATATAGCCATTTCATATTATATTCTTTGCCTCTTAGCCCTCAGCTAGTCTTCCTTCTGCAAGTAGCCTTATCACCACCCAGCCTTATGTCAGTCAAGCTTGTATGGAATTCAGTCTCTGTAAGATTTGTAAGAAAGATTCACAGAAAAAATATTCGGTGGGTTCTTACATGTTGATATACATTTGGGTCCATATTTTGAAAGTCAATTTTGCTGGATACAAAACCATTTATGCATATTTTAATTTGGGGGGATTACTTTAGTTTGTAACTGTTTTATTCTAACATAAAATGTCACTGTTGAAGTGCTTAATGATGACCTAATTCTTCCTTACTTTGTAAATCACTAAATGTTTTTGCCAGAGGAAAGAATCTTTCTTTCTTTCTAAAGCACATTTAGTAATTTTAGTAAAATATCTTTTTATTAGTTTCAGGTATGTGATTTGCTTTTTCAATATGGAGTTTCTTTATTTTAATTTCAAAAATGCTTTCATGATTTTAGTTTTTATTCTGTTCTCTTGCAGACTCCTGTTTCCATACGTTAGATTTTTATCTATTGTTAACATTTGCCCTTTCTTTCCAGTCTTTCATACCTTTTGCTTTATTTCTTTTTGATTAAAAAAAATCTTTCATCTTGTACTTCTCTTAAGGCACCATATTCTTTGTATTCCTTCTTGTGTTCCCTCTAATTTAGTCTTTATTCAAAAATTGTTTTTTTTCTTTCTGTTCCAATTTTTTTCTTATAGTTCTATCATCTTTCTGAGTTTTTCTAATTTTGAGTTTTGTTATTCTTTAATGTGTTGAATCATTTCATAAATGTCTTTCAACTCATTCTGAAATGGAATGTTGTAGACCTCCAATCGGTGGACATGTCTTTCTGGTGTTTTGTAATCGTTAGTAGGGATTTTATTTTGCTCTTCATTCTCTCCCTCTTTTCTGTGGTAACACTGTTCAGATTTGATTTTGATATTTTTCTGTTGCTCATTTTTATGTGAAGTCAGTTTCCTAAAATTTTAGAAGAAAGCATGGTTTAAGGTAGCTTCTCTCACTTCATAGACATCTTCTGTTGTTTTTGTGAAATGTTCAAAATTATGATGGCTTGCTTACATTTCTGGTTCTTTTCCTCATCCTGTCCCTATCCCCTGCCCAGTCACTTTCATCAGCATATTATTATTATTTTTTTTTTCAGAGTTTCACTCTGTCACCCAGACTGGAGTGCAGTGGCACAATCTTGGATCACTGCAACCTCCACCTTCCAGGTTCAAGATTCTCGTGCCTCAGCCTCTGTAGCTGGAACTACAGGCATGCGCCACTGTGTCTGGCTAATTTTTGTACTTTTAGTAGAGATGGGGTTTCACCCTGTTGGCAAGGCTGGTCTCCAACTCCTGACCTCAGGTGATCCGCGTGCCTTGGCCTCCCAAAGTGCTGGGATTATAAGCTTGAGCCACTGCTCCTGTCCTATCAACACATTCTCTTCCTCTCCTCTAATTGGCCCCTTTCCTGCTCCACTTTAATTTTACACCATCAGTTTCTTCCCGGTGTAAATCCTGGTTCTGGAAGAGAGCCAAGCTGGCCAGTTTCAAGGATTTGTAAGATCTAGACTTCTTCTTTTTGCAGACTTACCTCAGGCCCTTAGCACTGATTGGTTCCTGGATTGGGCAACACCTCTCCTGTTTTAACAGCTGTTATCAAATTGGACCAATGCGATTTCCAATAAGCACCTGCAGGATATTTTAAGATTATTCTGTTCTCACCGGCATCCCTTGCTCTGTTGCTTCCACACAGATATTAATACCATGCAAGTCTCCTGGCTGTTGGTGATTCACCTCACCTGCTTAAATACTGTGGTTTGTGGAGAAACCTTGTGGCCTTGTTTTCTGGTAAATACTGTCTACAGGTTTTATTCTTTTTTTGTTCTTGTTTCTTGCAATATCATTGCTCTATTCTTATGTGGGATTAGGAGAGAGTCACAAATGTGCCATTGCTTCTGCCCCACCTTCCTTAATTTTTAAACTGCACAGAAGTCACATATATATAGATAGCCTTGATAATTGGTTCCTTTCCTCATTATTAACTGGTCAGTCATTATTAACCGGTTAATCATGTACTATGTTCTTCAATATGGACTATGGAATTAAAGTAAGGATTTGCCTTTCCTTTTGCATTTTAATGAAATATGGAATCACAGATTGAAACAGGTTGTATGTTTTCCGCTATGATATAACATATTATGTTTGAAGAAGGCAATAGTCAAAGGACACTAGTATTTTTCCTATATTATATTGTAGCACTTGGGATGAATTTGGGTTTTAGTGTTTTATCTGCATATCTTAATTAAACAAATTGTGATGGTTAATTTTATGTGTCAGCTTGGCTTGGCCATGGTACCCAAATATTTAGTCAAACACTGTTCTAGATGTTTCTGTGTAGGTATTTTTTTGGACGATCTTAACATATTAATCAGTAGATCTTGACACCTTGAGTAAAGAAGATTGCCATCTATAACACGTCATCCTGTCAGTTGAAGGCCAAAGGAAAAAGGCTGACCTCCTCCAAGTGAGAGGGATTTCTTCCAGAAGAGTGCCTTTGAACTTGAACTGTAAGTCTTCTGTGGATCTTCAGCCTGCAGGCCTGTCATGCAGATTTTGGACCTGCCAGCCTCAAAAATTATGTGGATCAATTTCTTAAAATCTCTCTCTCTCCTCTTTGTCTCTCTGTATATCTATAAATATGTAGATATATCTATATCTATATATGTGTGTATATATCACTATATCTATATTATCCATATATAATGTAGTATATCTATATAATATATAGTATATAGATATCTATACTATATGTATATCTATACTATATATGTATAGTATAACTAGATCTAGTATCTATGTATATATACTGTCTATATTGTGATAGATGTAGGTATCTATGTTATATCTATATAAATTAGTCTGTCTATACTATAGATGTACTACACAAAGGAAAGTTTACTAGAAAAGTAGTATGTGCACACCAATGTAAAAATTCTATAATCTTTGACTACATATGAATAATTTGTATATGAGTCAGGATTGTTTAGAGACAGATCCAGTAGGGTGTGTGTATGTGTATAGATAGATACATCTATACTGTATCTATATCTTATCTATAGACATAAATCTATATCTATAGATATCTATATTTACACTATATATATCATATCTAAGATATAGAATATCTATACTATATAGATATTTATATCCTGTCTATACTCTAGCTATATCATATCTATCATATCTATAGATAGATATGATATAGCTAGAGTATAGATAGATATATCTATCATATCTATCATATCTATAGATAGATACGATATAGCTAGAGTATAGATAGATATATCTATCATTTCTATCATATCTATAGATAGATATGATATAGCTAGAGTATAGATAGATATATCTATCATATCTATCATATCTATAGATAGATACGATATAGCTAGAGTATAGATATGATATAGTACAGATGTATCTATGTATACACACACACACACACACACACACACACACACACACACACACACACTCTATTGGTTCTGCCTCTGGACACCCTAGTAGGAATCCATACCAGATAAGAAGAGCACTAGGACAGTTCGGCTTTAGGCTTCGAGAAAAATAATTCTTTTTTTATTTTCCTTTTTAAACTTTATTTTATTTTGGTAAAAACACTTAATCTGAGATCTACCCTCTTAACAATTTTTAAGTGTATAATGCATTATTGTCAACTATAGGTACCCTGTTGCACAGCAGCTCTCCAGATCCTATTCATCTTCTTTAACTGAAACTTTATAGCTACTGATTAGCAACTCCTCATTTCCGCCTCCGCCAGCCCCTAGCAACCACCATTCCACTGTAGAAGCCTGTGAATTTTATTATTGTGGATACTTCATGTAAGTGGAACCATACAGTATTTGTCCTTCTGTAACTGGCTTATTTCACTCAGGCAGATAAAATGTAAGCTGTGAGGGACCTGTAACAAGGTTGAGACATAAGGAAGAAGTGAGGAAGCAAAATTCCCAGCTTGCCTCCAGCCTAGACTCTAAATAAAAGTAACAAAAGGAGTCTACATAGGTCGCTTGTGACATTGCCATGCTTTCCAGGGCAGGAGACCAGAAAAGGATTTGGAGCTAAAACCCCTTATAGCAAAATATAGGATATATTTACGAATCTATGTCTATATCTATAAATTTATATATGTATAATATATACTATGCATACACATATATGTTTATGTATATACACACATATTTGTATATATTATACATATACGTGTGTGTGTGTGTGTGTGTGTGTAACCAAACATAGATAGGGAATTAACCAAGGATACATGATACTGGGATTCTGGCTATTTTCTCCTAGAAGGCGGAATGACAGTCATAAGTCCTGTCCGGAAAGACAGTCATAAGTTAACATGACTGTCATGTTAACAATTAACATGGTTCATTGTTATTAATGATTAAAATGAAAAAGTTTGCCCAGAGGCAGTCCCTGTGCTATTCTATCTATATGAATTTATTTTCTTAATCGTTGCAGGAATTGTACTGAAGGAAGCATTATTGTCAACATTTCATAAACGAAGCAACTGAGTTTCAGAGAAGTTACATAACCAGTCCAAGGTTATGTGTGATTATCTTTGAAGAATCATCTTGACATTTCTCCAAACTACATCATTAGCTTCAACTTCTTTCTGTCTTTATTCTTTTTTAAGGGCAAGGGCAAGTGCCAGGACAGATCTTTTAAAACACTCAAGTTTCTAATCATGCTGCTCTGACTCCCTTTGGTCCACTTAGCTTGATTTCCTGTACATATTTCTCTAATACACTTCTGATGTGTTTTGTAATGTTTCTTGACACTCACCCTGATTAAGCAACTGGCCCGAAATTGCACGAGGATTAATGATAGAACTATAAATTAAAATTTTTCATTCTCCTATTCTTTTAGTTTATTGAGCTATATTGCTTTCCCAAAGATGCATTATAGATTACAACATCTTTTCAAATAAAGGAAACTCATTTGTGTTTCCAGTCCTACAAATCTAGGTGAGAAATGCATGGCCACCATAGGCAAAACAAAGTTTTAAGGTTAATATTTTCATGCTTACAGTACTCTCAAGAAATTTTATCTGTTCTCTTGTGCTCATTGTCCAAGTAATCAGAAGGATATTAATGTTAAAGAGTGAAATGAAATATATTATTATACACTAGTTCTGTATTGCCCAGGGACTGTCACTCCTTACTTTAAAAGTTCATTTGAATATTTGCTGAATAGAAATTGTAGCTAAAATAAAAAGAATCCCTCAGGCAAAATTAAGCATGAGGTATTTTACATGCATAGAAAGAAAAGGGTTAATTAAACCATCACATTTAGAGCCACTTTTCTAGGACATTTCCTTTTACAGGAGCTATTTGGGTAAATGTATGCAAATTGTACATGGATTTGGTGAGCAGTAAAAGGATATTGTAAAACTTCATTAATTATAAATTCTAGAGAAGAGACAAAATGGACTTTGAATGAACTGAGTCCATTTGCTCCATTATGTACATTTATCTGTATAGATGTGGAATTTACAGAATTCAAACTCCATTTATTGGACACCTGCTACATGTCACATGAGGCTAAGTGACTTACATTTGGTTTCTCACTTAACCTTCACATTTAATCCATGAGAGTGCTACTCATATCCCTCACTTTTTATGTTAGAAAAGTAAGGCTCAAGTGTATCTCACACAAAGATGCACAATATGAAGTAGCGACTCAGGCATCCTAAAGAGTTCTGATTTAGTCTCCGGACTTTTCAAGTGATATTCTTTCCAATACACATCCCTTCTATACATTCATGTGCTTATTTTTACATAGATGTAGCTATTCTCACACATCTGAGGTATTTGCATTTCCTTTTTTGATACGAGTAGAAACACCAATGTTTGCTGTATTTTGAACAAATTACTATTAGTCCAATTAATGGACCAAAATTAACCATTTATCTGGCCCCTAATTTCTTGCTCAGCCAATAATGGACAACAGGAAATATGTATAGTGTATTTTATAAATTTTTTTCCATTTCTACCTTATCAAGATTTTTAACAGGAATAGGTAATAAAATGTATTAAATGCTATTATGGTACATCCATTGAGATGAATATGTTTTTCTTCATACTTAAACTTTCATGTAGTGAGGAAAATCAAAAGACTTCATGATGTTAAACCTATGTGGTCATGATATTTTATTTAAAAATGGACTTAATGTCTTATAATGTTAGATTTAATTTGTGAATATTGTATTGATGAGCTTTTACATTTGTGCAGCTATTACAAGAGGGACAGTGACAGACAAAATAATGCAAATATGAATAAAAGATGTAAAACACATAAATACACACAGATGGCTCCTGAGAGCATGACACTTGGTCACCTTACCGTTTGGATCAGCCAAATTACCAGTCTTCAAATCCCATGAAAATGACCTACAGCCTAAATGGAGTGCTGGAGTGCTAATACATTAAAGAATCACACCTTCTGGGGGTGGCGTGTGTGTGTGTAGGGGTAGTTATATGTATCCCTGTGGCCATTCCTAAATGCTCTGAGGAGCATGAAACATGTGACCATTCTGGCTATGAATCCACCAGCTGATTTGGAAACTCAAAAATAAAAAATGTATCTCTACATATCAACTGAAATCAGGGAATATTTTTCTGTCTTGGCAGCATTGAAGTTATGATTAGCCAATTCCAAAATACTAATCAGCAAACACAGACAGAGTTCAATCAGAAGTCCTCAAAAGTCAATTCCACGGGTTCCCCTGAGTTAATGGAATTGTCTTTTAAGACCAATCTCACAGCATTTCTGTTCATTCATGTGGGTATGCACTTATGAATTTTTAAAATCAGTTTTAGGTTTTCTTCATGGATTGACTTATTACAACTATTTCAAATATGAAGAAAAGTACAGGTAATAATATCATGAACACCTGTTGGAAGGAATAAACTATAACAGAATGATTTGAAGTTTTCTTTGTACTCTGCTTCCCATTTTCCTTTTTTAGAGGAAAGCACCACGTTCAAGGTGGTTTGTATTCTTGCTATTTGCATTTCTATACCGCAGTGTTAGTAGTTTACAAAAGTGGTTTTAACTTCTCCTTTAATAACAGCATGTTGTAGGTATCATTTTGCAGTTCACTTTTCTCACTTGATATGACAATTTTTCAAAATTTATTCCTGTTGATATTTGCAGACCTAGTTTCTGCTCTCTAACTTTTGTATCAATTGTAAATAATTGTGGTTGTGGTTATCACACAGTGTTTTGTAACAAGGACATTTGGTTGTTTTTATTTTATATTTTTACAACAAAGGTTGCAAAGAGTTATTCACAAATGGCTTCTATCTCTTGCATGAGAATTTCGCAACTGAAAATAGAGCTGTTGGCGGAAGAGTAAGCTCACATTTAGGTTTAATGTATCTTGCCAAATTGCTCTCCAATAACAAAGGTGGTCCCACTGTGTGTCAGCTGGATTGGGGGATATCTGCTTTGTATTGAATTAAAAATAGCATGTTGATCAATCAAAAGTAACCTGAGGGGACTGAGGAAGTGGTTTAAGCAAGACAAATGGTAAACAACTGCCACTGAAAAAAATCTTTTTGATGTTGCAACTGTACAAAGAAAAGACACTGCCTATGATGCCCATGACAAAATGGAGCCGTGTGCTTTCCCTCATGTTGACAGGCATTTCTATAGCAGTTTCAGTCATGCAGAAGCATCAGTTCAATTTTTACCACAATTTTATAAACAAAAGAATGAATCAGAACATACCTAATCGGAAAGTATTTCATGTGATTATTATAAATTATGTTCCTCTGACCCTCCTCGCTCTGCACAGAGCTTCATCTTCTGGAACAGATCCACCAAACGAGAGCCAGAAGATGCAGCAGCCCAGGTCTAATTTGTATGCAGAGACCCTGGTCAGACAGGCAAAATATCTTTGTCCAAAAAACCTCAGAATTGAATATCCAAACCCCTATCTAGTTAGTGTGCTTCTTAGAATACAAATAGAATTACAAAATGTTTCAGTAATCAAAAAGGGACAGCATCGGCAAACAGTTGACATCAAAATGTAAGCATATTTATTTTAAAACTATTTACCCTTTATTATAGCTTTTATTGGAATTTTGGGCTTTATATTTGAAAGTATGTGTGTGTGCATGTGTGTTTGGAGAGCGAGAGAGAGAAAAAGCCTGAAAGGACAACGGAGATATATAGATATGGGCATTGTTGGGTACTGTCAAAGTTAATGTGTACTAATTTCATTAATCAATTGGCAGCATTTGGGGAGCAAAGTTAAATATATGCAGAGATCAGAAAAAAATCACCACATAAAAGCTGTGAACTTACCTAGTTTCTCTTCAGCCATTTTATTTATTCTGTGGACTTGGAAATCTGACTTTAAAAAAAATTTTCTGCATGATATAAACATCAAAATATTTAACAAACATTTATTGACCAATTTCTCTTTATTGCATGCTTCACTTTGTGCAGAAGATTTTATATCAATAACTACAACCAACTGAGCTTTTATTCTCTGTCAAAATATTTGTATACTTTTTCAATAATCCTAAAATAATTCTATAATAACACTGTAAGGATGGAATTATTAATCTTTCTTTTCAGCAAATGAGAAAGTTGAAAAAATATTCAAGGTAATCCCACGGTAAGAAGCAGATCTGATATTCAAAACCAAGACTATCTGATTCCAAAGTTTGTGTTTTTTCGGCATATAATTTTTTTTCTTAGCTGTAAATATATTTCCACCCTTTGTTCAGGCATCTCAGACACAAATGAGGGGAAATATGTAGAACAAAACAGTATTATGGTATACCTTAGCTGAATTTTTGTTTCTTCTCTTGTATCACTCCATTTGTAACAGCAGCTAGGTGATACTGTTAAAAATATAACCTAGATCTTAGGAAACTTCTTCTCAGACTGTCCGGTGCAAGTCCATTCCCACTCAAGTCAAACCCAATGTCCTTCCAATGGGCTACCTGATCCCACAGATCTTCTCATTTTTCTGATCTCCTGTCTTACTCTCCTTTCTGTTATTACTGCTGCAGTTACACTGTCCACCTTGGTGTGCTTTAAACACACAGCCAGCCTCTTGCCTCTGGACTTGCACTGCCTGGTCTTTTGCCAGAAGGTTCTTCCTGCCCAATCTTTCTTCTTCTCTATATCCTCACCTCCATGAAATGTACCATGGGTTTTTATCTTCTTTTTTCACTATGATAACTCCAATCCTAAAGGAATGCTTGGCATACAGAAAGCATGTATTTAGTATGTGTTGGATGAAGATAAATGGATGAACAAGTAATAATCAATGAATACATGAATAAACAAATACAAACATTGATGTAATTAGGGTATGCACAAAAAGTTAAGGGCTCTCCGAGTCTGATCATGAAGGCTAGGCAAGGCTTGACAGAAAAGACACTTCAAACAGGGACCTGAAAAATGAGTTGTGGTTATTCCAGTGACATATTTTAGATGTTTGTCCTCATACAAATCTCATGTTGAATTGCAATTCCCAATGTTGAAGGTGGGGCCTGACAGGAGCTGTTTGATCATGAAAGCCGATCCCTCATGAAGGACTCGGGCCATCCCTTTGGTGACAAGTGAGCTTTTGCTCTGAGTTCACAGGAGATCTGGTCATTTAAAAGTGCGTGGCACTTCCTTCTTTCTCTTGCTCCTGCTCTGGCTATGTGAGTGACTGCTTCTGCTTTGCCTTCCACCATGATTGTAGGCTTCCTAAGGCCTCCCCAAAAGCTGAACAGATGCTAGTACCATGCTTCCTATAAAGTCTGCAGAACCATGAGCCAATGGAAAGTGTTTTATTTATAAATTACACAGTCTTATGTATTTCTTTATAGCAATACAAGACCAGCCTAACACACTTGGTGAATAAGGAAGAAAAGTGACCTGAAGGCAGAATGAAAAACATAAGCGAATGTATAGAGAGTCTTAGAAGAGCATACTTTTTTGGGGAACTACAAGCATGACAATTTAGTATTGAATAATAAACATGAGGCTTAAAGGAAAAAACTCAAATACTATAAGGAAGCAAGATGATGAAGTACCTTGGATGCCATGCATATCAACCAATGTCTTAGCAAGAGACCCTGCGGAGATGACACACTTGTAGATGATACACTCACCAGGTCCTAGAGGACATATTAATGAAGGGGCCTCTTATAAAGGTATGAACAGGTTAAGGGAAACTAATAAGGTATGGTGAAGTACTCCTCAGCTGGCATCACACATAGGCCTAAAATGGAAAGAGAGAAAGTGATAACAAAAGAGTAATTACAGAGAGCTAATTGCAGCTCTAGGAAAGGACTCCCAGTCAGTAGAGAAATACAACCAATTTACTACCTGGGAGAATTAATACCCTAAACTCATTCTTCTCTCACTTCCAATCTCCTGCCATTACCTCTCATTGCTAAACCCAACCAGAAGCCAGAGGGGAAGGAAGCCAACTGATGATGTCAGTATAGATCAGGCTCCCAGGGCACACAGAGCAGGGTGATGAAGGGTAGACCGTGAATCAAAGTGAAATAGGAAACGCCCAGTAGAGGAATAAGAAATTTCACTGCATAGGTGTTAGAGAATCATTAAAAAAATTTTAGGCGGAAGTATTGCAGGATCAGATTTGAGAAAAGGAAAGATGACTCTGGCAAGAGAAAAATAATAAATGTAGACAACTAGTGAGTCAGTAGAGAGGGGACAGTATTAAGTGGGATTACAAAGATCCTGGTGAGAAATTATGAGGATCTGCACAGAGCAATGACTGTTGGCGAAGGAAGGAAAGAACCAAAATCAGAGACATAATAGCAATTACATCACAGCTAAAGGCCTGTCACGAATGTCTGCAGGCAGAACAATGATCAATCCCCTGAATTGTATATTAGCTTACGTGTCTAATATGAAGGATAACTCCTTTTCAGCTTCAGTAAGACTTTGCACCTTGTGTAGACAGGATATTTTCTCTGAAATTCAAACAGTCCAGAAATGATTTCAGTCTAGGCAGAAGGTACCTCTTTAACTAAATATTTGATTTGATTATTGAACTGTGAAAAGTATCCAAGTTCATTTAATTGCTAGCATTTTTCCTAAGGATCAAGAATTAAGGATATTAACTGTTATTGTACCATTAGCTAGTGTGCTAGCTAGTTGTATAGATAGAGATTCTAAGTACATGCAGCAAGTGTTGTTTTTGTACCCATGCTCCTTGTACAAAAACAAAACAAACAAAACAAAATACACAAAAAACACCAAGTCTTCCAAAAACTTGTAAGTTGAAAGAAGGCCTCTAAATGTAGCAAATAATAAACTTTGTCTAAAAGATTCAAATCATAGTAAAAAAAAAAAAAAGAAAAGAAAAGATAAAAAGAGCTTTGAGTTAGGCCAAACTATAAAGCCTGGTCAAGACATGAGAATTGAGAATAATGAGCTGACCTTCTTGACCAAGATTACTTTCAGTGATTGTGGATTTAGCACACAATGCGAAGGGTAAGCAGGTAAGCAGGAGATCACACACTCATGATGCAGACAGGAGCTGGGGCTCCCCAGTGCCTCTCCTGTTTCTTACTGAGGAGTACCTCAATGTTAGGAGCTTCTGCAGCCTTATTCTCCATACCTTGCCCTATGCATCTCTTCTTCAGGGCTGTCAGCTCAGCAGTATATTTTTATAATTGACAATTTCCAACAGGTTACTTGGTGGGATTTCTATTTCTAGCATTAGTGTTAGGAAAAGTGAAGGAATTCTCATCTTAAGTTAAATGTTATTTAACCCCTGGACAACTGTATGTAGTCTTTGATTATCAGTGGTAAACGGTACTAGAATTTCTAATGCTGTTGTTTTGATATTGGACACTTTTACATTATGGATAGTTTGGGGAGGGGTGTATATCAGCTAATTAAACTCTTAGAAAAGTTTTAATTTCCTAATAAGAGCTTAATGAGACAGATATAAGCATAAAACTAGCCAGACTCCTTTACAATTTCAGAATATTCAAAAAGGGATACAAAAATGTAAGGGGTAGGAAAACCAAGGAGGGAGTGTATAACAAATAATTTGGAAAATCCTTGATGTTTCAGTTGCACAGGTGAAACTTTCAGGCACTGTGAGGGTTAATACTGAGTGTCAACTTGATTGGATTGAAGGATACAAAGTATTGATCCTGGGTGTATCTGTGAGGGTGTTGCCAAAGGAGATTAACATGTGAGTCAGTGGGCTGGGAAAGGCAGACCCACCCTTAATCTGGGTGTGCACCACCTAATCAGCTGCCAGCATGGCCAGAATATAAAGCAGACAGAAAAACATGAAAAGACTAGACTGGCTTAGCCTCCCAGCCTACATCTTTCTCCAGTGTTGGATGCTTCCTGCCCTCAAACACTGGACTCCAACTTCTTCAGCTTTGGGACCAGGAATGGCTTCCTTGCTCCTCAGCTTGCAGACAGCCTATTGTGGGACCTTGTGATCGTGTAAGTTAATACTCTTTAATAAACTCCCCTTTATATATGTATATATATATATATATACACACACACACACACACACACACACACACAAACATATATATGTATATATTATATATATAACATATATAAATATGTATTACATATAAATATGTTCATATATTACATATATATGTATATATGTATATCCTGTATATATATCCTGTTAGTTCTGTCCCTCTAGAGAACCTTGACTAATACAGACATGAACCCATTTGGTTTATACTTTCAACTATGCCAGAGGGACCATAAATTCCTGAGGTAAAAGACTTTATCAGATCTTATCTGATATTTTTCCACCTTAGTATACATTATCTCCCCTTCCAACATGACTTTGTTCTTTCAACCCCAGTTAAGTTAGCCCATCAGATGATGCAAATGTACTCTAAGTGTTCTAACTCACCTTAACTCAGCAGAACTCACTGTTAACAGTAGAAAGGAGACTCAAAAATACCTTACAATCAGACTGGCTTTACAAACTGGTATTTCAGTGTCTAATCATTCTATAGAAGACTGTCATAATAGAAATATTTTAGAGAAATTATTAAAATATTCAAAGAGAGTCTATAGTGATGTGCATGGCATACTTTAAGATTCTATTTTAAACCCACAATTCATGGAAGTAGAACATAAATTATGCATCAATGAAAGGGCCACCTTTTTATCTCTCATGAGATCCATTGAATAATCTTGTATATCCATGAATAGGGAAGAGGTGTATGCCTACTGCAGGGTGTCTCCCACCTTGGTGTCCTTCCCAGGCATCTGGGAATTCTGGATAATTCTTAACGTTAGTGCAATGTTTTTTTTGGATATCTGTAGCTTCTTTGGGTCCTCATTATCTGTTGGGATATAGGATGCCACAGAAAAGGAGGGGGATAGAGGCTGACATTTCTGTAAAAGGAAAAGTACGGCACAAGAGAAACAACAACTTTATTCTACTCATACCATTTACAAAGTTCTATTTGACCTTAACAAAGTAGACATGAGTATTGGACAGAAAATTAGACTCAAAGATATTTTATTATCAGAGCTGTTTTTTAGGATTGTTATCCAAGTTCATAATCATTCTACAGAATGTCATCATTCTGAAAGACTCTAGAGAAATGCTATTAACATATTCCAGGAAAGATTTTAACAACTGTGCACAGCAGATTTCAGGATTCTCTCCACTGTATAATGATGCAGAAGGTATCTAGTAAATGTCTTAAAATAGGCATTTTTTTTAAATCAGAAAGCTAATGAATAATTTTCATTATAATTTAAAGAGAAATTAGAAAAGAGAAATAATTTAAAGCCTACTTAATTCACTCTCATTTCTGATAATAAGTCATTCTCCACTGAGCCCTGTCTCTGCCCTTGCTTTTTAAAGGGATGTTTAGTACACAGTCCTTCTGATTGGGTAACCTAACTGGAGTTGTTAGTTAAGTCATGAGAAAAGAAAATGAGGTCAAGATTCTTAAAGACCATTTACTTGCTGATCCAGAAGATCAGAGTTAAAGGGGCACTAAAATATATGAGAGCGTGCTGGTGATTTGATTTAGTGTCTTCTTTTCCCCTCACATTGCATGAGTATCACTCATGAGTCAGAAAAAAAAAATGATCCCAAAGAGAAAGGGCTTTTGGGCATAGGCAAGGACGAGTTTCTACAGGGCACTCTTGTCGGAACTCGGGGACATTAGCTGGGATGGTCTAACATCCTTTCTGTCAATATGAACACACAGACTGCTCACCAATGCTAAAAAAAAGTAATGGGAAGGGTCTCTTGAAGATCTGGATAAGCTCTTGGTAGAACAATAGGCTTGAGCTCAGGTGCTGTCGTCCAGTCATGAGTGCCAGGGTGTTTTCAGGAAGTCAGACTACTATCCTACCTGTAAATCTGCATAGTTGCAGTGAGGCCAGAGTTAGTCCAAGATAAACTATCTCCGGAGTATTCATAACATGCAGGAAGGAATTGAAAATACATGTGCACTGAAGGGAGATCATTATGTCAGCCTTGTATAATTAGTGAATCATTGGGGTTCAATCTTGATAGTTTAAGACAGATTGGAAGATTTCCATATGCCTAGTATATTCCATAAAAGTGAACTATAACAGAGAATCTGCTACAATATGTTTCTCCAATGAGTCAGGCCTGTTTAGGGTAAGCTACACATAAGGTAAAACATGTCGTCTTTGGAAGCATTCAAGCTTGGAATGACTAGGGTTCATGTGTTGATTCTGGTACTTTGTAAGTGAACACCTCAGATGCATTAATTAAACACACCATTAAGAAATTCTTCATCTGTGAAATAAGATTAGTTCCAATTGTTTCCCTGCTGCACATGACATCAGTATTTCTCTTAAAGAAGAAATGTCTTTACTTAGAAACAGACTCTGATTGGGGTAGAGACAGTGAAGCTTTAAAAGCATGATATTGCAGGAGACGAGGGACGAAACTAACAGCTCATCTTCTCTGGTAAGTTGATGAGAATTGCCAAAGGATTTTATTTGTGTAACAGGAAAATATAATGTTTTGTTTTAAATAATATTCTGTATAATCTTGCAATGAAGTGCTTGTCTCCGTTACCCCCATGAATCTCCTTTCTGTAAAAGCCTATTGCAAACTCTAGATATCCTATGAATGGCAGTTTTTTGGAGGTTTTAGGAATGGAATCAAGAAGTAAAAACTGTATCCCAGGAGGAACTCACTAAATTAACAGAATAAAATGCATAACATAAAATTGAGAATTCATGAAGAACATGAAATAACATCTGAAAGTGCTAGAATTAGAAGAAATGTTGGAAAAGGCACGGGCTTTCCATGTGAATAGGATGGAGCTTGAGATGATTCTCCTCCTGAGGTCACAAAGGAAAGGATGACACTGCTGACATCTTGATTAATTAGTTGATATGATATTGTAATCAAATACCAAATTAGATTTCATTACATAATGCATATATTTCTTCAACAACATGGCCACCATCTCCTTTCTCATAAATTTATTGCTTCTTTTTTTCACTTCCCCTGGATTTCTATGCCCATATGCTAAGTATGGCTATTCATGACTTCTACTCTAAGATTCTTCTTGAATCTGCTCTTAGTGATAATGTGCCATTATGAAACTCTCAGAGTCTGTATAATTGGTTAATATCTTCCTCAGAAATTTGTGAGGATTCCCTAAAATAAGATACAGGAAGAAAGCAAGCTGTAAAATACAGTTTTTATATTTAAACAACAGCTCACAATTTTTCTAATAAAAGAATAAACTAAGGCAGAGAATAGTCTCTAAACAACCCCCTCTCCCTGTGGACAATGCAGCTGGAAAAAACCCTAGAGACTCCCCAGCACCGTCTTCATGTGACTCTGTTTAATTGCACACTAGAACTTGAACTCTGTCTTTCCCTGAGCTCTCTCTGCAGGAAGCTGTGTTCCCAGTGCCCGCAGACTGGGATGTGATGGTGGTGTGATGATAGACTAGAGATAGTCCTGGTTCCTAAACCCCATACGTCCAGATTGTCCTTCAAACGTGACTTTCCACTGAGTAGTTACCCATACATAGAGATAGATGCCAGGCATTTAGAGTAAGTGCTTGGATTGGCTAATCTATCTTCATTTGGTTGTCATGGGAGGACTTGAACTATTTCAGAATTTACTGAATGTGAATAATGGCTTGATTTCCCTCATTTCTTTGTATGAGAATGTGGCAACTTCGATTTAAGATGGGTTGAGGGTGGGGTGGGGGGTGAAGCTTGCCTTTCCTCAGAATTTTTTCTGCTGTCGTTTAACTCAATTTCTCCTGATTGTGGTCAATGGCAACGACACATCTCTTTGATATCCTTTTATATATGTGTTGACAGCTTTGATGTTTCCACTTTGTCTTCCTGTATCCCCCAGACTGCGCACATACAGTTCTCTTAACCTTCCCACACAGATCTTATTTTGTAAATTTTCTACCATCTCGTAGCTAGCTTCAAAGCATCCCATCTGTTTCCTCTGAAGAAAATCCATAAAGAAAATCAAAAGGGCAAGTAGAAATAAAAGGGCAAATATATATTTATAGTTTCTTCCATCTACTTCATTTTTCTCATTTGCCCATTAGCAAGAAAGGTGTACAAAAAAGAAATAAACCTGATATTCAAACCAGCAGTTGATCTTGTGCTATGCGACAGCATGGCTAAGCCAGGTGCTTCCTTCTGAAACATTACTACTAAGCTTTGGTGCACAGTACAGTAAATTCAATGCCCGAGTTAAAAAATAAAAAGTTTCTTACTTCATTGGTACAGAGCTCATTGCACTAGATCTAATCTTCTTGATGTCGATATGAACAGGAGTATGGATGACATGTCTTTTTTTAAAACTGTAGTTTAGATAAATACAAGATAACCATAAAACCAAGCTTTACCAAGATTTTTCTGGGAGACTAAATAGATTTTGAAGCCACTCAAGTATTTTGCATCAAGTTGAGTCTTGCCATGAAGCTTACTTAAGATTGAACTACCCACAATGGAAAAGTGTTACATACACACTCATATACACAAACATATAATCTCTACTCATTATTTAGTCCTTCTGTGTCATGTTCAATAATGGATTTATAAGGTGTTGCTCTCTGAGGTTGAGGTGTTGGTTGTTTCTGCCATCTTATTTGTTTGTTTGTTTGCGATGGATTCCTGCTCTGTCACCCAGACCGGAGTGCAATGGCTTGATCTCCTCTCATCGAAACCTCCACCTCCTGGGTTCAAGCAATTCTCGTGTCTCAGCCTCCCAAGCAGCTGAGACAACAGGCGCTTGCCACCACGCCCAGCTAATTGTTGTGTTTTTAGTAGAGATGGGATTTCACCATGTTGGCCAGGCTGGTTCTGACCTCAGATGATTCACTCATCTCAGCCTCCCAAAGTGATGGGATTACAGACATAAGCCACTGCACCAGACCTTGCTAACCCTTTTTTTTTTTTAATGTATTTTACTGGGAATGCTATATACTTCATCTGTGTCCTGATATTATGTTGGTGATATTGTCCAATACCAGTTTAACAACAATAAGAGAAAAATAAAAAATACTGTGTTTTTGACAAAATCAGTGTTGTTAATGTTAATTTACTTAGTGTTGGCATTTCCATTGTGGACTTTCTCCACCAGAGATTTTAAGAACTCTTAGAATAGGAATTTATTTTTTTCATTTCTCTTTTCTAAGAATATGTAAGAATGGCAAGCAAAATCTTTGATTTTGATTATAATACTAGGGTGCTTTCAAGAAATGGGTTAGTATAATTTTGAATTGTTTGAATCAGTACAATGAATACAGAAAAATGAAAGATTAATTCCAGAATTAAATTGATTTGTAGGAAAATAATTCCCTCCCCATTCCACCCTTCCCAAAAATAGCAGATAAGTGAAAACTTACTAATTTACATGATGTTCTATATAACTATGCATAAATTTAGAATATGTTTTTCCCCCAATTTGGTATCAATAAAATTTTTAAGTGATCTTTGTTAACTTATTTGAATGCTCTACAATAAGAAAAATATAAAAGTGAAAACCAAACCTGTGCTAGTTTTTCAAGGTAACTCATCATTTTTCTTACCTTTATGTTACTTCTTTACACTGTGAACATCTGAGATAAATCTAGGTAATATTGTAGTATAGCAGAAATGTGATTATTTAGATAACCTCACTGCTGCAGATCCCATATACCAATGCCTGAAATTGCATTAATGACATGTAATCACTTATTTCTCTATCATAGATAAGGTTTGAAATGTAAATACCTTGGAAGAGGGTATATATTGATTTTAATTTGTGTGAAAATAAATAGGTAGTCTTAGATACTTTTTTGAATGTTTATTTTCAAACAAAGAATAAAGAGAAAAAATACGGGCAAAAGGGTGGAGTGTATCGCAGAAGGAGAAAGAACACAGAGAAACGATCTTGAAGGCACTGAGTTGCTTCTTTTCCTATTCCACATTAATACGAAGGCCACCCTAATGAAGACCCTCTCTCAAAGCTGACCTGGTATATTTTCACTCTACTTGAACCCTCGGGAGTGATGCCACAGATAAGCCATTACCTGCTTTTAAAAGTTAATTTATTTTCTAACTAGAATTTTAAAAATATTCAGACTATTAAACATAGGGCAGTGTGCCATCTGGGACAGCCTGACCCACTATATAAATTCTAGGAGTTGATTAGCCGGAAGATTCTCTTTCTGTTTGGGGTTATTGTAGGCATCAGTACAGGAATATTTTTTCAATAATGAGTAGAATCATGTCTCAATTGTTTACTTGTCAGGATCAACTTGACTGCTTTCTGAAGATCACTGTGACACGGTAAATGTGAGAAAAGTAAAGGAAATTCTCAAAAAGAAATGGTTTAAAGCCTGAGTTTTTGTCAGTCACTTAAAAGTAAAAATAAAATCCATATACATATTTTTAATATGTACAAAATACCAAATTTGATTTTATGCTACACTGAGCATCCTTATGGGATTAAATAGTTTGGCTGGTAATTTTTGATATTACATAATTTTTTTTATTTTAACTTTTTGTGTGTCTGGTTAAAACTCTCAAATGTCATCACATATTTTAACACATTGTCTTGTCCTTATATTATCTCATCATTTCTAAAATCATCAAGAATGAAGAGAATAATTGATTTTCTTAGTCATATTCCCTCCACCCCAAGGGAATGTATAAATGCTTCAACCTTCCATTTTAAAATTTTAGGAAAGTCTTTTAATTATCTCAAACTTGGAACTTAATTAATAATCTTTTACCTCATAATTAGCTCATTGCTTTATCAGATATACATGTATTTGCTAACTCATGATTGGAACATTTGTTCTAGTTATTGTTTTAGGTGCTGCAGAGGAAAGGGTGAATAACACATGCATTCAGCCCTCCATCAGCTTGCAGTCTTTGAGAGAAAAACATTTATGAAAATTATGAAACCGTACTACCACAGTGCTTAAAAAGAAAATCTGTGTGGGATCTTCCTAGAAGAATGTGTACAAATCCGGAGGAAAAGCCATCAAATTCAGTCTCAGGTGTAGTAAACTAGGCTGAAAAAATCTGTAAGGTAAAGTGATGTAAATGACGTCTTCATCTTGAAGTGCAAATGCAAATAAGAGCTGCAGACCAGTTGGGAGGTTACTACAATAGCACAAGAGACAAATGGTAGTATGTTTCATACCATGGTGATACTTAAGCTGGGGAGATTTATACTGAGATAGCTTTGGTAATGCATTCATTAAGTCTCAGTTAATTGGATTCAAGGGGTACATAGACGGAGTCTCGCTCTGTCGCCCAGGCTGGAGTGCAGTGGCGTAATCTCCACTCATTGCAAGCTCCACCTCCCGGGTTCACGCCATTCTCCTGCCTCAGCCTCCCGAGTAGCTGGGACTACAGGCGCCCGCCACCATGCCCGGCTAATTTTTTGTATTTTTAGTAAAGACGGGGTTTCACCGTGTTACCCAGGATGGTCTCGATCTCCTGACCTCGTGATCTGCCCGCCTCGGCCTCCCAAAGTGCTGGGATTACAGGCGTGAGCCACCGCGCCCAGCCTCAAGGGGTACATATTCTTAATTAAATAATATAATCATAAATAAGCAGAATTCAAGCTCTGAGTTTCTAGTATTTATTAAGAAACTATGCTATATTATGCACAGAAATGTTTATTATGAAATAGGAAATATAATATGAATACTTACTCAGAATATAATAAATGATCATCATAAGTAGGTTCAAAAGCTATAAATCTCCTATAATTTCTCCAACCTCTAGATGGACTCTGAGGCAAGATGGCTGTGAATGACTACAGAGCTTTCTTTCTTTTGGGCAACCTATGTTGGAAAATTTTGTTAAATACATTTTTATCTTGGACAGTTAAAACCCTAAATAGGCTGGACATGATGGCTCACGCCTGTAATCCCAGCACTTTGGGAGGCCAAGATGGGCAGATCACCTGAGGTCAGGAGTTCGAGACCAGCCTGCTCAACGTGGCGAAACCCTGTCTCTACTGAAAATACAAAAATTAGCTGGGCATGGTGACGGGCGCCTGTAATCCCAGCTATTTGGGAGGCTGAGGCAGGAGAATCGCTTGAAGCCAGGAGGCAGAGTTTGCAGGGAGCCGAGATAGCATCACTGCACTTCAGCCTGGGCAACAAGAACGGGGCTCTGTCAAAACACAAAACAAAACAAACAAACAAAACCCTAAATAAACAAGCTTCTTTGTGGGAAAAATATATTTTTTATCTTGGACAGCTAAAATCCTAAATAAATTTATTTGTAGAAAAATAAACTTTAGTATATTTTAAAAATTTCTTTATGACTATCAAATAAAAGTACATATACTAATTATAAATAATTTAAACAATAGACCAAAGTTGAAGGATAGTATTAAAAATAATTTATCTCTTAATAAAATTTACTTCAGGTATATTTATATTGATGGAGAGAGAATAAAAGAGAGTAAGAGAAAAAGAAAGTTATACAGACACTCAATATCGAATCATATCATACTAAATAAAATGTATTCATTTTAAGTCTTCCCAAGTTTACCAAGAAAAAGAGAAATTATAGTGAAATTAAAAACATTGCTGAGCTTTTAATAATTAATTATTCATCTAAGAAATGAAACAAAACAAAACAAACTCCGTCAGATCTTTGGAAAGTTCATCCTACAAGTTTCTGGGAACTTTATCATTTGGCAATTATTTCTTCATCCAGAAACAGATATGCTTGATTATTCTTTGCATTCTTTGTGCATGACATTTCAATTTGTTAACTGCTTTGTCACATCACTTATCTATTTATGCGTTAATAAAACACCTTGTTGGGCATGATGGCTCACGCCTGTCATCCCAGCACTTTGGGAGGCTGAAGTGGGTGGATCACTTAAGCCCAAGAGGTCGAGACCAACCTGGCCAAAATGGTGAAATCCCGCCTCTACTAAAAATACAAAAATTAACCCGGCATAGTGGCACGCACGTGTAGTCCCAGCTACTCTGGAGGCTGAGAAAGGAGAATCGCTTGAACCCTCCCAGCCCCCAATAAAAACACCTTAAAGCAAAACCCAACAGTTTTGCACAATGGTTGAACTAATTTAAATTCCCACTGACAGTGTAAAAGTGTTCCTTTTTCTCCACAATCTCACCAGCATCTGTTGTTTCTTGACTTTTTAATAATCGCCATTCTGACTATGAGATGGTATCTCATTGTGGTTTTGATTTGCATTTCTGTAATTATCAGTGATGTTGAGATTTTTTTCATGTTTGTTGGCCACATGAATATCTTCTTTAGAGAAATGTCTGTTCATGTCCTTTGCCCACTTTTTAATGGGGTTGTTCATTTTTTTCTTGTAAATTTTTTTAAGTTTCTTGCAGATTCTGGATATTAGACTTTTGTTAGATGCATAGATTGCAAAAGTTTTCTCCCACTCTGTAAGTTGCCCGTTCTCTCTGATGATAGTTTCTTTTGCTGTGCAGAAGCTCTTTTATTTAGTTAGATCCCATTTATCAATTTTGGGTTTTGTTTCAATTGCTTTTGGTGATTTCGTCATGAAATCTTTGCCCATGCCTATGTTCTGAATGGTATTGCCTAGGTTTTCTTCTAGGGTTTTTATAGTTTTGGGTTTTACAGTTAAGTCTTTAATCCATTTTCAGTTAATTATTGTATAAGGTGTAAGAAAGGGGTCCAGTTTCAGTTTTCTGCATATGGCTAGCCAGTTTTCCCAGCACCTTTTATTAAATAGGGAATCCTTTCCCTATTGCTTGTTTTTGTCAAGTTTGTCAAAGATCAGATGGTTGTAGATGTGTGGTCTTCTGAATTCTTTATTCTGTTCCATTAGTCTGTTTTTGTACCAGTACTATGCTATTTTGGTTTCTCCAGCCTTGTAGTACAGTTTGAAGTCCAGTAGTGTGATGCCCCCAGCTTTGTTCTTTTTGATTATGTTTGGCTTGACTATGAACACTTTTTTTGTTCCATATGAGTTTTTGAATAGTTTCTTCTAATTCTGTGAAGAATGTCAATGGTAGTTTAATGGGAAAAGCATTGAATCTATAGATTACGTTGGGCCATATGGCCATTTTCATGATATTCATTCTTCCTATCCGTGAGCATGGAATGTTTTTCCATTTGCTTGTGTCCTCTCTTATTTCCTTGAGGAGGGGTTTGTAGTTCTCCTGGAAGAGATTCTTCACTTCCTTTATTAGCTCTTTTCCTAGGTGTTTCATTCTCTTTGTAGCAATTGTGAATGGGAGTTCATTTATGATTTGGCTCCCTGCTTACCTGTTGTTGGTGTATAGGAATGCTTGTGACTTTTGCATATTGATTTTGTATCCTGAGACTGCTGAATTTGCTTATCAGCTTAAGAAGCTTTAGGGCTGAGATGATGGAGTTTTCTAGATATAGGATCATGTGATCTGCAAACAAAGACAATTTGACTTCCTCTCTTCCTATCTGAATACCCTTTAAAAATAACATTTTTAAAATAAAAATTAAATTAAAAATTAAAAAATCAGAGTCTTTTGAGCCAGATCCAGTTGACTACACATTCCAGATCCACAAATTACTTATTATGTTGCTTTGGGAAAGTCACTTCATATCTCTAAACTTACATTTCTTCATATGTAAAGAATAGCAGTACTACTTTATTGGGTTTTTGGGATGATTGAGGAGATAATTTATGTGAAATGCTTAAAATAGGGTGTGCATTATGCACATTCTATTAATGTTACATATCAGAGTAGAGTTTATATGTTTATTTCCTACTATCTTTCAATGGGCATGCCCTCAGTATAACATTATATTCCACAGATGTTTAATTTTATGTCTTTTTTCAAGAGCAGTTAGGTAGTGAACAACACGCTGAAGAATTTGATATGGATTGCTAAATGCCCATGTGAAACATAGCTTATAGGAGGCTGAGGCAGGTGGATCGCTTGATGCCAGGAGTTAGAGACCAGACTGGTAACATGGTGAAACCCATTCTCTACTAAAAATACAAAAATTAGCTGAGTGTGGTGACACATACCTGTAGTCCCAGAAATACCATTTGATGCAGCAATCCCATTACTGATTATATACCCCCCAAAAGTATAAACCATTCTATAACAAAGATGCATGCATGTGTATCTTCATATCAGAGCTACTAACAATAGCAAAGGCATGGAAGCAAACCAAATGCCCATCAGTGATAGACTGGATAAAGAAAATATGGTACACATACACCATAGAATACTATGCAGCCATAAAAAGAAATGAGATCATGTCCTTTGCAGGGACATGGATGGAACCAAAAGCCATTATCTTCAGCAAACTAACGCAGGAACAGAAAACCAAACACCACATGTTCTCACTTATAAGTGGGAGCTGAACAATGAGATCACATGGACACAAAGAGGGGAACAACACACACTGGGGCCTGTCAGGGGGTGTGGTGGGGGGAGGGAAAGCATTAGGAAAAGTAGCTAATCCAAGCTGGACTTAGTACCTAGGTGATGAGTTGATAGGTGCAGCAAACCTCCATGGCACACATTCACCTGTGTAACAAACCTGCACATCCTGTACCCCAGAAACTTAAAATAAAAATAAAATTTTTAAAAAACCAGTTTATTATTTCTCACAGTTCTGTCAGTGAGAAGGGCATTCTTCTGCTAGTTTCCCGTGGACTCACACATGTGGCACCCTTCAGCTGGAGAATCCACTGAACCTCTCTCCTCATGTGGTCATTGTTCCTTAAGGCCACTGGACAAGACTGGAATTTCTCAGCTGGTGGCATCTGTAGTACCAGAGTGCAGTCCATAATGTGCAAACACTTACCAAGCCTCTGCTTGCGTCATGTTTGCCCATGTCTCATTGGTCAAGCAAGTCCCATGGCCAAACCCAGGATACTACGAAAGGGACTACATAAGGGCAAGAATATTGAAAGTGGGATTGATTGGTGGGACAACTGATGATATAATCTACCTCCTTTTTAATAAATAGTACACGCACATTCTAATTCAAATTTTAAAGTAAGATAGACTGTGCATCTTTGCCACTTTAAAAAATATCTTAGATAGGTAAGCTCTTTTTTTTTTTTTTTTAGTTTCCTTTAAAAAGGAGTTAAAGCAAACTGCTGTCAGTCATCTGGGTTACCAAAGAGGGTATCTCATCGTTGTCTCATCTCTTTAGAAAAGGCCATCTGTCTGCACACCTTCAGTGGAGGGTCTCAGCATATCTTGATGTAGGACAGAGTGAAGTTTTCCAAGCTATGTTTTTTTTATTGAAAATATTAAAATATGACAATCTTCTTCTTCTTCTTCTCCTTCTCCTTCTTTTTTTATTGAGACGGGGTCTTGCTCTGTCACTTAGGCTGGAGTGCAGTGGCACGATCTCGGCTCACTGCAATCTCTGCCTCCCAGGCTCAAGCCATCCTTCCACTTCAGCCTCCCAAGTAGCTGAGACTATAGGTATTTTCCACCATGCCCAGCTTTCACCATGTTGCCCAGGCTGGTCTCAAATTTCTAGCCTTGAGTGAGCCACCCATCTCCATCTCCTATAAACTATGTTTTAATTTAAGATAATATCCATTGATCACTGTTATGAAGGTTAGGGAAGTGATCCTCTTCCAATTCTTCCGCCACTTCTTTCTTTACTTCCTGATTCTTATTAGTTATATTACCATTATTACTCAATTATATATATCATTAATATTCTCTAAATTATGTTCTCGAAGTTTGTAATTTTACTTAGCATTTCTTTCAGAAAGTTTAGTATAGAAGAGCCCAAGCCCTGAAGTCGGAATACTTGGGAGTAAAATCCCTCTTCCACTTCTTCTTAACTGTTTATATTTGGATATACACACACACACACACACACACACACACACAGAATGATGCATGCATATATATAGCTAGATATAATTGTGTTGATATACATAGATATGTATATATTTGTGTGTACATGTACACATAAAGTTTTTCCATCATAATAAGTGATCAAATACTATTCTATATTTCCATTATAGTGTGCAGACAACTGATTCTTACCAGTGGCTCTTGTACCCCAATACTTTTTACCTTTAAATATGTTTAATTTGATTCATGTCTTAATTGGTTGAATTTCAACTTTAAGAAATTTACCCAAAGAATACTCATAATGGCAGCTATCATATTACCTTGTATATGATGGGAGCTTGGTAAATATTTGTTGAATAAATTAAAGCTGGATATTACCTGTATTGCTTCATGGCATAGATATTTTATGTTTTCCTTTTTTATTTGACTTACATCTTAATTGGATATGATATTTGCAGTTCAAACTTTATTTCCTTGAGAAATTTGTAGACATTTTTGCTATTGAATTTTAGTATGTGGTAGTTTGAGTCAAGCCAGATTTTTTCTTTTTTTCTTGCAGATAGTTTGGGTTTTTTAGCCTAAATGTTTGAAGAATTATTTTTTAATGTTGGAAGTTTCCCAATTTAACTATTATGCATCTCATTGTTGAGCAATCTGTATCACTTATTTCTTCTTCTTTTTTTTTTTTTTTTTTTTTTGACAGTCTTGCTTGCTCCCTCACCCAGGCTGGAGTGCCGTGGCGCGATCTCGGCTTGCTGCAAACTCCGCCTCCCAGGTTTAAGCGATTCTCCTGCCTCAGACTCTCGAATAGCTGGGATTACAGTCATGCTCCACAACACCCAGCTAATTTTTGTATTTTTAGTAGAGACGGGATTTCACCGTGTTGGCCAGCCTGGTCTTGAACTCCCTACCTCAAGCGATCTGCCCACCTGGGCCTCCCAATGTGCCGGGATTAGAGGCATAAACCACCATGCCCAGCCTATATCAATTATTTTTTCTGAAACATAGATTATCTTTTCTTCTGAAGACTGGCCTTTTTCTGTCATAAAATGTTTCTGGTAACAAATTTTTCAGTTAATATCTGCCCATTTGTTGGGCGTTAGGCCTCAGAAACACCAGTTGTCTTTGTGTTGGGTCCTTTCTGCCTCTTCTTCATAACTACATTTTCTCTGTTAAAATCTTAGGCCAGGCACAGTGACTCATGCCTATAATCCCAGCACTTTGGGAGGCTGAGGCAGGCAGATTACCTGAGGTCAGGAGTTCGAGATCAGCCTGGATAACATGGTGAAACCCCGTCTCTATCTAAAATATGAAAAAATTAGCAGGGCATGGTGATGGGAGCCTGTAATCCCAGCTTCTCGGGAGGCTGAGGCAAGAGAATCGCTTGAACCCAGGAGGCGGATGTTGTAGTGAGCTGAGATCATGCCACTGCACTCCAGCATGGACAACAGAGTGAGACTTCATCTCAAAACAAAACAAAACAAAACAAAACCCTTATTAACAGCCTATTAATAGAAACTGCATGAAGCATTTCTTCATGTTAGAATTATGACTTTCAGCCTTGTCTCTTTGTTATTTTAAAACTATTTATTAGGCTTTAAAAACAATACTCTTATATTTTCAATTAGCAATCTCTTCTATTATCTTTATGTTGTTTTTTGCATAGTTTTTAGTCCTTATTTTAGTTAGATTGTTTTTATTAAAATTTCCTATGACTTAGTGAACTTCTGAGTGATGTTTTTGCTTCTCATGTTAAGTTTTGATCTTTGATATACTTGCAGAATGTCATGCCGTTTCTCATCAACTTGCTCATGCTTATTAAATTCTCCTGCAATTGTATTTGCTGTGTAAAGTGTGGCAGTTTTCTAAAATTTATCTTTATTTTGTTTGAGAAGACTTTGATTCCCCACTAATTTTAGTTTGAGAGTAAGGAAATTTATTGTTCTTTCTACTCTTTTTCCTTTCTTCACTTATTTGGGTCAGAGGAAGCCTCATTGAATGCCAGGACTTTCACCATTACCTAGTACGAATTGTCTATCCTACTAGTGGTAGTGGAGACCATTTAGGAAGCAATGCTAAATGTGTATGCTCAAAACAGTAGAACTACAAAATAGATGAAGAAAACCTGAGAGGACTGAAAGAATAAACAAATGCACGACTATAATTGGAGAAGTTAACAACTGGTAGACCCAAAATAGGAAAGGATGCAGAATAACTCAGTAACACCATCAAATAAAAAGTATTTAATGAACATTTTTAGAGCACTCCACCGAACAGCATCAGAATACACATTTCTTTCAAGTGTCCAGGAAAGATATGCCAAGATAAATCACATCCTGGGGCATGAAACAAACCTCAACAAATTTAAAAGAATTGAAAGCATACAGAGTACGTTCTTTAAACACCTTGAAATCAATAACAAAGATAAAGGATAAATCTTCAAATGCTAGAAATTAAACAATATACATCTAAATAATCCATGAATAAACAAGGAAGTCTCAATGGAAATAAAAAATTACATTGCCTGAATGAAAATAAAAATAAAAAATATTTAAATTTGTAGGGCAAAGTTAACCGGTATTGGGACGAAAATTTACACCACTGAATGCATACATTAGTAAAGAGAAAATGCCTTAAATCAATAGTCTAAACTCCCACCTCAAGAACCTAATAAATAAATAAATAAGTAAGTAAAATAAACCCCGACCAATCAGAAGGAAAAAAGAAATGATAAGGAAGGGAGATAGCAGAAATTAATGAAATTGAAACAAAAAATAAATAACAGAGAGAAACAACGAAACAGCTAGCTGGTTCTTAAAAAGATTGATAAAATTCACAAACCACTACTAAGACAGAGAAAAAAGAGAGTAGAAAAAATTACCAGTATCACAAATGAAACAGGGACATCACTATAGACTTTACAGACACCAAAAGGATAACAAAGAAATACTTTATAACTCTATAAATGTGAATTTAGCAATTTTGGTGAAATGAGCTAGTTCCTAGAAAAACACAAACTACTGCAATTCATGCAATATAAAATCAATAAGTTAAATAGTCCTATAACTGTTAAGGAAATTAAAATTTTAATTTAAAAAATACACCAAAAAATCTAGGTTCAGAAGGTTTCATTGAAGAATTATTTCAAATGTTTAAAAAATTAATATCAATTCTATACAATCTCTTTCTGAAAATAAGAGTAAAGAATACTCCAAATTCATTTTATTAAGCTAGAATTATCCTGAAGCCAAAACCATACAAAGACATAGAAAATACAAAGACAAAAGAAAATAGAAACTACAGACCACTATCTGTCTTGAATATAGACACAAAAATCCTGAGTAAAATATTAGCAAATATAAATCAGTAATATATTAAAAAAAACCATGATTAAGTGGATTTTAATCTAGAGATACAAGGCTGGCTTGATTTTGAAAATAAAGTAATGTAAACCACCATATTAACAAGCTAAAGCAGAAAACTCTCATGTTCATATCAGTTGATTCCAAATATATACATACATGTATGTGTGTAAGTGTTTCAATGTTTTTGCCAAATTCAACATTAATCATGATATAAACTCTCAGAAAAATGGGAATAGAGAACTTCCTGAACTTTATAGAGAACATCTATAAAAAACCTGCAGTTAACATCTACCAATGGTAAAAGACTGAATGTTCTCTCCTCAGATAAACAGCAAGGCTAGCGTGTCTGCTTTTATTCAGCCATTCTTATTTAACATAGGACAGGAAGTTCTAGCCAGTACAATAGAGAAAAGAAAGGAATAAAAAGCATGTTCATTGGAAAAGACAAAATAAACAGTGTCCATTTGCAGATGACATATTTGCCTACATAGAAGATCTCAAGAAATTGTGAAAAACGGCCGGGTGCAGTGGCTCACGCCTGTAATCCCAGCACTTTGGGAGGCTGAGGCGGGCAGACCACGAGGTCAGGAGATCGAGACCATCCTGGCTAAGACGGTGAAACCCCGTCTCTACTAAAAATACCAAAAATTAGCTGGGCATGGTGGCGGGCGCCTGTAGTCCCAGCTACTCGGGAGGCTGAGGCAGGAGAATGGCGTGAACCCGGGAGGTGGAGCTTGCAGTGAGCCGAGATTGCGCCACTGCACTCCAGCCTGGGCGACAGAGCGAGACTCCGTCTCAAAAAAAAAAAAAAAAAAAAAAGAAATTATGAAAAACACTCCTAGAACGAATAGGTGATTTCAGTAGTGTTACAGAATGCAAGATAAACATACAAAGCTGAACTGAACTTTTATATACCAGTAATAGACATGTTGACAATGAAATTAAAATGTCATTTTCAATCACTCAAGAAAAGAAAATACTTACGAGCAAATCTAACAAAACATGAGCAGGAGTGTATGCGGCAAACTGGAATGTTGATGAAAGAAATCAAAGGAAATGTAAGTAAATATAGAGGGATTTCATAGATTATAAGACTCAACATCCAGCCTGTGCAACATTGTGAAACCCTGTATCTACAAAAAATACAAAAATTAGCTGGGCATGGTGGCATGCACCTGTCTGTAGTCCCGGCTCTTCAGGATGCTAACGTGGGAGGATCACTTGACCTTGGGAGGTTGAGGCTGCAGTGAGCCTGACCACACCACTGCACTCCAGGCTGAAAGACAGAGTAAAACCCTGTTTCAAAAAAAAAAAAAAAAAAAAAAAGATTCAACATAGTAAAGATGACAATTTCCCCAAATATATATATATATAGGTTTTAAATAATTCTTATCGAAATCTCACCAAGATTTTTGATGATATAGAAAATATAATTCTAAAATTTATATTAAAAGACAAAGAAGCTTTAATAGCTAAAACAATTTTGAAAAAAAAGAAAAAAAATCAAGTGGGAGGAATCCTTCGACCTAAGATGCATTTTATAGCTACACTAATCAAGACTATGTAGTATTAGTGGAATGAAATACACAGAGACAAATGGAGTGAAACAGAGAATGCAGAAATACAGTATATTTCCATATATATATACCCAATTAATTTATATATATATACACCCAATTAATTTATATATATATATATACACCCAATTAATTTTTGACAGAGATGCAGAAGTACTTCAATGGAGAAAAGACAACCTTTTCAGCAAATGATGCTGGAATAATTGGACATCCATAGGCAAAACAAACAAAAAGACCTTGGGAGAAGTCTCATGCTTTATATGTAAAAACAAAACAAAACAAAACAAACAAAAAACAAAAACCTCCAAATAAATTCATGGACTTCAATGTAAAATATAAAACTAAAATAGTTTTGATTTAAAAAAAAACCCTAGAAGAAAATATTCAGGATCTAGAGGTTGGCAGAGTTCTTAGCCTTGGTACTAAAAGCACAATTCATGAGAAAAAGTTGAACAATTGAACTTGATGAAAATTAAAAACTTTTACTCTGTTAAAGCCCCCATTAATGGGTGAAAACACAGAGTGGGTAAAAATTCTTGCAAAGTACATATCTGACAAAAAGCTAGTGTGCAGAATATATTAACTGCTCTTAAAAGTCAATGGGAAAATAACAATCTGATTAGAAAATGGGCCAAAGATATGAAGAGAAATTTCATTGGTGAAAATACACAGATATAATTAAGCACATGAAAAAATGTTCAACCTTATAAGCCATTAGAGAAATGCAAACTAAAACCACAATGAGATATCTCTATACACATATCAAGGTGGCTAAAATAAGAAAATAGTGATAAATCATGGCAAGGATACCAAAAAAACTCATCACTCACATATTGCTGTCACTCTGGAAAATAGTTTAGCAATTTTTTAAAGAAAACTGAACGTGCAACCAGAAGCTGCACTACTCTGCTTTATCTCCAAGAAATGAAGACCTATGTTCACACAAAAACCTGGACTTGGATGTTTATAGCAGCTTTATTTATAATAGCTCCAAACCAGAAAATATCCAGATATTCTTTAACAGGTAAAGGGTTAAATAAATATGGTATTTCCATACTCTGGAATACTCAGTAATAAAAAGGAATAAACTCATGATACACAGAACAACATGGATGAATGTAAAGATAATTATCCTAAGTGAAGAAGAGTCCTTCTCAAAAGGTTGCATAGTGTAATTTCTTTTACACAGCATTTTTGAATTGGCAAAATTATAAAAATGGAGAAGAGATTAGTGGTTAACAGGTGCTAAAGAAGTGGTCCAGGTGAAAGGAGAGTAGGTTTGGCTACAAAAGAGCTACATGAAATTTCGTGTGTTGATGAAAATATTGTGTATTTAACTGTATTCATGTCATTATCCTGTTTGTGATATTGTATCTTTCAATATGTTACCATTAGGGAAACTGGATTAGGGTACAAGAAATCTGTCTGCATTATTTCTTGATGATTACAAGTAAATTTACAATTATCTTAATTAAATTAAGTAAATTAATTGAAAGCTTAATTAGAAAGAACACAACACAGGACTTATGAGATAAACAGGTTGAGACACAACACTCCAAAACTTAGTAACATATAATAAAGATAGGAACCTAATTAAAATAGTAGCAGTTTTACACATTTTAAGTGGTCACGAAATACATAAACTCTGTGATAAATATTACATTTCATCTTAAAAAAGACAATCCCTTAAAGCCTAAAGAATTCTGTGCTTACTCAACCACTAGGAAAGGTTTAATAATATCATTAATATGGTTTTTGTAATTTCAAAACTATTACTAAGTTCTTATGTGCTTTTATGGGAAGAAAAACATGAGTCAACTTTTTAAATATCTTAACTGTACAATTTTTTTAGATAGGTTATAGGAATAATCAATAATATATTATAAACTTACACTAGGATGAAATCTAGTTCTTATATAATCTTGTCATTTATTCAGTTGATTTGGTCTGTCATGAGGTAGAGAATTGTAACAACTTTTTGAGTACGAGACTGTTATACATTCAGAGTAAAATAATTTGGATTTTTAAAGCATTTTTTTTACAGACTCTGTAGAGACTTGACAAAAATGGGAAAATGTAAGTATCTTAGCTTCATTTTAAGCTGATCTTTGTAAAGTGGAGTTCTTCCAAAGTAAGCATTTATACTACCATTTTGAGGAAAATGTAATATTGAAATCTGTATGACTGTGCATAAACTTAATCCATGTGTGCCTATGTTTAGCAACCAGCTAGAGAATTAATATCCATCCCTTCTCTAGTGATAAAGACTCCAATTTTTTACAACATTGTAAAGCCTTCTTAACTAAATCATGGTTATGATAATAAATTCATATCTTGAAGGGCTTAAACTCAAGAGAATAAAAAACTTAATAATGAAAGTTAATGGATTACAATCCATTTAAACTGTGCATTCAGAAAGACTTTGTTTCATTGGGGAGCTTTCTCTAGGTTAATAAATGAGAATCTTTTGTCCTGCATGTAAAAAATAACCCTGGATAACCACACAAGCAAGGTCAGCTCACTGATCAAAATACTAACAGGGAAGTTATGGACATGAGGTGCTTTAAGGGCACTTTATCTCCAGACCTGGACCATGACCTTGACACAGGACATTTTTTTCCCTCTCTTACAAAATAGCTATTTACAGTGAGTTTGTTTTTGAATGACTCATTTGAGAAAAGAAGTAGCTTTTCACACCTAAAGATGAAAAATACCTGTAAGGGAAAAATGTCAAGTTACTCCCTCATCTACTTATTGTTTGTGGGTCTCAAAAACACAAGCCACTTTGATGGTGGGATTAAATGAGTCAGGAAACACAGGATTTGGCCATGAGTCACTTAAGCTGAGTTTTGGAGTTAGGTCCCGTAAACCCCAAGAGATCCTCTTTGTTCCATAGGCACACCAACTGCCTTACTGCTTTAGAATGCTCTGAAGGTGATTTAACTGACCCGTACCAAACTGACCAGCCACTCTGAACTGGGTGCCCTGACCCAGGTGCGTGTCTAAAGATGCACGTAGGACGAGTTAGAAATTAGGAATTGTGAATAAGAAATACATAAATTGGGAAAATGGACAAGGTTTCACTCAAGAGGTGGAACTGGAAGGGAAAACTGTGACTCCCCTGAAAGAAAATAGCCATGAGTTAGGCGGAAGTCTGGGAGACAGGACCAATCTGCATATTAGACCCTAGAGGCAGAGAGAGCAGGGGTTATGGCAAAGTGTAAGGCTGTGTCTGGCCATTAGAGGACACACACACACACACACACACCCCTCCCAGTCCCAATCCTGAGTATGTAGCTTTGGGAAAGGGAAGACCATGACACATGGCAAAGAGCTACATCACTGTGAGCCAGTGATGGGCAGTGCAACAATGTTGTGTAGTGCAACGTCCTTTAGAAAGAGCTGGTTTTAAAAGTGAAGAAGAAAAAAATAACAACAGTAGAATATCAGCCCTTAAAAAATCTACCATGACAGAGGTAGTGGTAATAGCAAAGATGACCCTAAACATATCTGATTTTATGCATAGGTGGTATAAATCTCAAGCCACATAATTCAGGTATATTGAGAATGATAACTTGTTCTATTACTCAATTTTATATTTTACATCCTCGTTCAGCCGGAATGGAAGAAATTGAAATAATAATTTATCAGGGTCTTTCTTGATCCATGCATCTGTGTTCAAGTTGCAGGAGCCTAATGAACTGCCAAAGGGTCATTTCTAGTTATTTCTTCACTCCTGTGGAATGCCAGGTCATAATTTATTGTTCTTTAACTAGCCCTTTTGTGCCCCAGAGCTCTCAGTGACACATTAGTGACATACTTGGGGTCACAGGGATTAGTTTGCCATGCTCTGCTTTCCTGGGAGAGCAGAAACCTCACTGAGGATGCCTGAAACATAGAGATAGATTGATGTAGATAGACAGATAGATAGATAGATAGATAAGCAGATAGATTGGCAGATAGATAATAGATAGATGATAGATAGGTAGATAGATAAATAGATCAGCAGGTAGATTGGGAGATAGATAGATAGATAGATAGATAGATAGATAGATAGATAATAGATAGATTGGCAGGTAGTTAGACAGATAGATAATGACTCTGTCATATGAGTGAGACTTCCAGCTCATAGTGATAATGACGCTCAAGAGTACCGAGTTCTGAATTACCTTGCATGCTGTAGTAGTATACTACTGGATGAAGCTGAGAAGAGATCACATCCATTTTAACCCATTATTTAAGATCTTGGAGTGACTGCCATGGTGTCCTCACAACCCAGTAAATGCTCATCTTGTAGAACTTTCTACAGTATGGCCATTGAAATGCTACTTAGCACAGATCCAGGTGGTCAGAAATCCTAAAATGTGAGAGACACATAACTTTGTTATTAATAATAATGTTAAATAAACTCGGTCGATACTTGACCGAAGGCTATGGAGCATTAAACAAATGTAGATCAAAAGCACCTAGAGGCTTCATGTATATCTAATTTTTCTTTTTAGGTGCTCTTTCTAGTAACCATAAGACAACTAATATTTAAGATAGTATTTATTAAAACTAAAAACAAATAGCTGTATATTATATCAATAAGGTATTTCCATTTAGTTTGCTCAAAACTTGTGCATATGGCAACAATTAAAGCTAAATATGCAATAGTAGTTGTATAAAGTAGTTAGGTTTACTTGTTTATAACTCTTTTAGGTATACAAGTTAGTGTTAGGGAAACAACTCAATCCCTATAGGAAACTCAAGGTTTCCTACTGCATCTAAGAAAGAGCAAAACTGGTAGGAAACAGGGCAAAAATACTTTAATATCCTCTATAATAGTATCAAACAATTATTATGTGTCAAGTTTTATTCAACATGTAACTCATTTAATCTTTAATGAGTAATAGACTTATTATCTTCATTTACAGATAAGGAAACTGAGGCACTGAGAGGCTGAATAGCTTGTCCAAGTCAGTGGATGAGCCAAGATTTACAACCTGGCAGACTGCTGTAGTCTATGAACTTACCTTCTTCCCTCCACACCCCAGATACTCCAGTTTCCTTGGATCTTGTAGTTAACATGACTTCAAAGGCACTAGGGCTTCAAAGTGGCATTTAAATTTAAGAATAGTCAAAGGTAATAGTTGCAGTGTTGAGTCAAATTATTAGAGATTTTAAATAAATTTGTTTACTTATTTGTAATAATGAAAATATTAATTTGTTCAATTGATTGAAGACTTCACATATCAGGATATATTATTTAGGTATGTATAGTTGCTGAACATTTTTTTATGGCCTTGTCTAAAGAATTTCTCCCTTCTTAGTGACTAGTTGTGGTCAATTTGTACCTGAGTTTATGATAATTTCCAAAGCATCATATGGAAATATGAAGTTCAAGACATTAATTGGGGTCTTTAGGCAAAACCAAAAATGTAAGTTTAATTTACTTTCCTAAAGAAATCCACAGATCAAATCTTCCAATCATATATAATTTTAGAAAACGTGGTATGTGGTATGGAGTGAAATTTTGAGTCAGTAGACTAGAATATGTGTTTGCTTGCAGTGTGAACTTGGGAAAGCTACTTAACTTCTCTAACCCTTAATTTCCTAATTGTAAAATACAAATAAAAACGTGAGTCAGGGCCAGGTGCGGTGGCTCACGTCTGTAATCCCAGCACTTTGGAAGGCCGAGGCGGGCGGATCACGAGGTCAGGAGATCGAGACCATCCTGGCTAATACGGTGAAACCCCGTCTCTGCTAAAAAAATACAAAAAAATTAGCCGGGCGTGTGGCGGGCGCCTGTAGTCTCAGCTACTCGGGAGGCTGAGGCAGGAGAATGGCGGGAACCCAGGAGGCGGAGCTTGCGGTGAGCCGAGATCCCGCCACTGCACTCCAGCCTGGATGACAGAGCGAGACTCCGTCTCAAAAAAAAAAAAAAAAAAAAAAAATGTGAGTCAGATGAGTTGGCTCACACCCATAATCCCAGCACTTTGGGAGGCTGAGGAAGGTGGATTGCTTGAGTCCAGGAGTTCGAGACCAGCCTGGGCAACATAGGGAGACTTTGTCTCTACAAAAAGTTATCCAGGCATGGTGGCATGCACCTGTGTTCCAAGCTATTCAGGAGGCTGAGTTGGGAGAATTGCTTGAGCCTGGGAGCTCGAAGTTGCAGTGGGCCATGATGGCACCACTGCACACCAGCCTGGGCAACAGACTGAGACCTTGTTTTTTTTGTTTTGTTTTTTTTTTTGTTTTTGTTTTTTAAATGTCTATATAGGTCTCTGTGGAGATAAATGAGATAAAATACAAAGGCATCCTGAAAAATGGTGGTACCTGCTCAAGTAATATTAGCTACTATCCCTATTTGAGCAAGAACATTGTAATGGCACCTAGAAAAATGTTTTGTCGTCAAATCACTGAGGTCAGCCAATAAGGTATCTTTTGGGCCTGAAAAGTTCTTGTCATGACTCTCATGAATTGCAGAAAAGTATACCCTCTTTGGTCAGAGTGCCTGGATTTAAATCCTGTATCTGCCACTTACTAGCTTGTGATTCTGGGCAAGTTGCTTAATGTCTCTGTATTTCTGTTTGCTCACTTATATAATTTGTGTAATAATAGTACTCTCATTGGTTGTTATGAAGATAAAATAAGTTAATATTTATAGATTTCGCACAGCAGTGATTTACACACAATTACTACTACATAGGTGTTTGTTAAGTAAATACCTTCACAATGTCTTGCTCATTTAAACTCTAATAATGGTATTAGACTGTATGGTTTATTTAGTCACATACATTTCTGGCATTTTTTGGTTTATGGCTCAAATAGAAAATTATATCATACCTTGTAGAGGTAAGCAGAAGTACAAGCTTTCGGATATTCTGCAAATATTATTTTACATAGCTGAATAGTTCACCTTCATGATGCTGACAAGTCTTGGTTGATTTATTATTTTTGGAATGTGGTGTCCATTGTGTATTTAAACTGAAATAATACAAGTAAAATTGTGAATTTGTTATATATTCTCAAATTTTGAATTTGTTATATATTCTCAATTTTGAATTTGTTATATATTCTCAAAGATGTCTGACATTATATATCATCCACATAATAATTTGAGTTCATACACGAAGGAGAAAGCCTGAATAAAAGTGCAGTTACCTTGGTGGTGAGTATTGTGATTATTACACACAAACACACACACACACACACACATCTTATTTCTGTAATAATGGAGTATTATAGAAATAAGTAATCAAGGGTCCAAATCTGCAATTTCCTGCAATCGTCAAGATTCTTGCAAATCTGCAATCTGTTGCAAACCAATAAAATTGCTCCTCAAATATAAACCCCATTCTCCATGTTGGATTCAGAGATTCTAATCTTGTTTTTCATCCCAGTGTATGATTAGATGCTGGCTGATTGAGTTTCTCAGACAGTGATTAGACGCCTTGTCAAGGTTACAGTCAGTAACTCAAACACTCCATCTCGTATCATTTAGAGTTGGAAGGTGGTAGCTGCATTTATTTCTGTTAAGTGAGCATTGGAAATAAATGGCAGGGTTTACTTTCCAACTTAACGCTTTTGTGAAGGTGAATAATGGATAGCTAAAAGCACTGGTGATATCTTAACAAAAAAGAATGGGAACTTGGATTTAGCCTGCTCTATCTGTCTAAAATAATATTCCCTGTTTTTACCTGTTACTGACCTCTCAGTAGTACCCTATTCTGTAAGCTTATTTTTTGGCAAAAACAAAAAATGTCAGAATTAAAGAAGAGATCATTAAGTATTTCTTCTGTGGAGTGTGAACCATGTCATATACATCCTTAATATATTTTGTCAGAAGGTAACATCTACTTTGAGAGTGAAATTTAAAAATAAATCTTTTAAGAATATAGTTATGAATGGAGGCTTAAAAGGAGTGCTTTCTAGATCAAACCGAAGTCCACAAAAATATGATGTGATGATAATATGTCTGGGCTTCAACACAGAAAGAACAAGCATAGTTTCTTTGTAAGAAGTTACTGATGAGCATCACAATAACCAACTCAGGTGCATATGCCATCAAGAGAGAATACAGCTCTTTCTAGTTTCCTTGTAGAAAAATGGCCATTTTGTAAATAGCAAGAAATGACTTTCAAAACTTTGATGGAAAGAATGTGATCTCTGCCCGCTGCTATTCAGTAGTGATTCTCCTGACTTGTGTTGAACGGGGAGCAGGGTGGTTAAACATGACCAACCCATTGACTTTAAAGCACAACAAAATATGAGTTTTTAAACTGCCTACTCCCTTTGGCCACTCCTGCCTCTTGGTTTAACTATTGATCTCATTATCAAAATCAAGCTAAATTACCCTAGCTGCTAAGGTTTGTGAGAAAGCACAGCAAGGGAAAGGTTAGTGGAACCCATCTCTTGACTGCTGAATGCCTGGGGTCCTTTTACATGGCAGGATAATACATTGTTCCCTATGCTTTCGTTGCCACAATCCTACTGTTCTGCAACCCAGTATATAATTTTTAAATCTATCTCATTATTAGCACATTTCGATAAAGTTCAAATTTGTATAGACTCAAAGCCATTAACATTTTGTAGCACATTCTGGGTGGCACATTTCTCATTCAGAAAAATGTCTACAGAGGAACGCTTTTCTGATAAATTACACTCCTTGGTTCATCATTTAAAACTTGAGACATCCACCTGCATATACATCTTATTTAAAGTGTCAAAAGAGGGCAAAAAATTGCACTGACATAAAGAGCCTTGTTACTTAAACTTCAGGGATCACTGCATCCATTTTCCTTTTTCTCTGTTAACCGTTTTTTCCCCTACTTTTCTCTCTGTTCATTCTTTTTCAAATGGGAACCAATAAGGAGACAGAGAGAATGGGTAAGTGTCTTTTAAAACATAGTATTTAAACCCAATATTTGAAGGAAAAATATCAAAATGATTTGTTCACGCATAAAGAGGGCAACCTAGAAATTATCTAGATACTTAGAAGCATTCTTTTGCAGATTCATAGCATTGCAAAATAATAAAATTATCTTCAGATAGATAAAGCTGAAAAAAACAATCGAAGTATTTTTATTTATATAGGAAGACCCAATAAAACCGTTAAGGTCTGGAGAGGTATTTTTGGAATTTGAAAATTGAATGTTTATATCTTTTACTACTGTTTAGGGATTTGTTATGGAATAAATTATAAAAGAACATCAATGTCATGTGGCTTAGTAGAGGCACTGTATAATTGCTTGCTTTATATACATCTGGGTATATTTTGGAATATAATGGATAATCATCTCCAAAGTGTCATGGGAAAGGCTCTGCTGAATGACTCCATTTTCTTATTTTGATACTGTACAAGTTACCACTTGAGATTTATTGTCTTAGTGGTTCTCAAACTTTGCTGGACTCTAATTTGCTTAGGAGGCTTGTTAACAAGGATGCCCAGAGCTCAAATGCAGAAGAGCCTGGGATACAGTCTTGACTTCTGCAATCTTATACACTTCTTATATGATTCTGATGGACACTAAATTTGGGAAATATTGAGTTCATGGAATTCTTCAGGGAATTTCTGTTAAACACAAATGTTTTTGGATATATTATCTTGTAGCACATTATCACATGCTAGATTTAATACTTTTTCTGATTTATTTCTGCCTCATAAGATGGTGCTCAGGAAAAAGAACAGTGGTGTGTGATAAACTTGCTGGAAGGAGAGGCGGGCATTGGGGAATTGAGTGGGAGGATGGAGAAAACTTTGATTTAAAGCATTTGCCAATTCCTCTGCTGTAAATATTCTTATCATGGCTGACGTTAAGCTGCTAACGGATTGACAACCGCTCATGAAATATTGGAATATCTAACAATCATCCCTTGTGAGCCAATGAGATTTGGCTTCTGCATTCCACTGAGACTATGAGTAATTATTTTTCAGAAGAAGGGAAGATAGGCTCTGACAATATGGTCTAAGGTCAATAAAGTGAGGCCAGAATGTGATGCTGTGTTGAAGACACCTAGGGAAGGACTATGGTTAAAAAAAACACATACACACAAGAAGGGAACTGTGTTTTAAACAGGGTTTTATTTGGGGCATGGTTCTCTGGGCCTTTTGAGAAGGCTGTATGGATGGGGAAACTCCAGGAGGATGGCTGAGGTCAGGAGTCAGGTTAATGGTTTTGTGTAGGCAGCCAGAAAAGAGGCATTTTAGCGAAGAGTAGATGAGCCATTAACCAGAAACCTAACGGGCAAAAAATAAAAAAATAAAAATAAAGAAGTAGATCAGTCAAGATGCCAAAGCCAGAGGATGTAGAGAGCTAAAGTCTCTTGGGCAGACAAAGGCATGCAAAGATAAGACAAGTTACAGATGAGACTGAATGCCAATTCAGGGCAAATATCAGGAACCCAGAGACTAATTGTGCGCTACATTTTTGCAGTGTTAAGAACAAAGGATCTGTTAACAGAGAAGAGCTGTGTGGATAACTAAAACCACTGAAATACAGAGATAAAATCCATATAAAGGGGAAACTCAAATTATCTTAACTAGAGTGATGACTTCCTAAACTGCAATATCAGTGTCATGGTGTGAACTTTCTGACATACACTAAGGATACCTCTTCAATTCTTATGTCTGTGACTTGGAAGCCACTTTTTGATGAAAGATTTTCCTTGTGGTTTAATATTTGAGGTTCCTTTTTCAAATACTATATCAAAAAATAGCTGCACAGCTTCCTGAAATAACACTAACATAACATTCTCTGTTAGGGATCTTCAATTAATTTATTAGCCTTATACTCACAGGGGCAGATCCTTGGAATGTGTATGAGCTTTTGTTCTTTCATCTGAGAGTCACTTATAGAACATGAAGGATTATTACTTTCTCTACTTCCCAGTCCCCTCAGGATGAAGAAGTGAGCCCTCTTATCCCAGGCAGAAAAATGAAGGATCAATGATTCATGACATCTTAAAAGTATCATAGGGGTTCATGAACATGATGGGAGGACAAACAGTTTTCCTTTTTCTCAAAGAAATGCCTGTTATAACTGTATAAAAAACTGATATAATATGTTAGGATAAAGATACTATTTCAAGAAGCAATTTGCCTCTTTGTTATAATGAGAATAAGTCCATATAATGAATTATAAGGAAAAGGAAATAGAGCTGATTTTTATCCACAGAAACAAATGTTGAATGAATAGCCTTATTACGAATGTATACTCATTTTTTTATTTGATTTTGTCCAAATGGTTTCTCACCCTGACACTCATCTTTCAATATGATCCAGCATAAGGATTTAGAGACAAACAGTAATGTCTCTTATTGGTTTTGTATGTGAGCTGCTTCCCCAAACCAAATTGCTTCATGAAAAAGAATAGGAGATTTGATATCACAGAATTAAGAGGAATATGCTATTTACAACTGCCAGCCTTGAGAATCTCAGATCAAAAGCCAATCTAAAACAATACCTTGAGATATTAAGGCAGGGTGTTTTACACCATACATTCCAAGAACATACTTTATTTTCCACAGCTTTCCTCTGTCCTTTAATTTGGATCCTACTAATTTAATTTGTGTAATGATCATGACAAGGGTTGGGTTAGAATGAAATCTTTCATTTACAATAATTTAACAATAGTCAGAAACAGCATAGTACAAAGAAATTTTGTTTGCCTGATAATCATAAAATAATAATATGAAAAGGTAATGTACTTTAAGCTTCTTGGTAATCAGAGGAAAAGAAAACATTATTGATTGTATGATTAGTATCAGAAGTGAGAAAGCACACCAATTTTTCAGATAAAATATTATTTTCTCCTTGAATTCTAAATTAATTTATATGAGAGATACTGAATACCATCACAATTTAAGCCCCTCAATAATTATAGTAAAGGTAGTATGCCCTTAGGTTGATAATTCCACAAAAGACGAATCATGTAGTTCACACACATGGCTTTGTATTCAAACAGCGGATCTTAGTACTCTGCAAAAATCAAATTCTATAATAACTGCCAAAGTTATAATAGATAATAGTCTCCTAATTTCTTCATTCTTGATGGGTTCTCTTTTTTAAAAATAAAAAGCAAAATCTATTAGCTGGTGATCTTAGTATATGAGCACCTGTATACATAAGAATAGCATCTTTTGACATTATTGTACAAGGGGATGACAAAAGACAGCTTTACTTCCTCTCGAGTTTGCCCTATATGAAAATCTATCTACTTTTCCAGAAAAGTTGTATTGGAGTTCATCAAAGCCATTAGAATTGACATGTAAACATATCAGTGAATTTTTATGCATGTTAAAGACAATAATGCTTTAATCATATTATTTTACAATCAAAGAATTATACCAATTGCAGGTAACAGACTTATATATCACTACAAGCATTCCGTTTTTTTTTTCCAGAAGTACATCAAAGAGGTAATCTTTGTGTTCAGAATAGCATAATTGTAACTTAAATTAATTTTCTCAAGGAGAAAATAAAAATAATTACAGAGAATGAGACGGATTCAGTTGTTTTGCAAATAACATTTGCAGTTATTTAAGAAAGGACTTTTTTGAAAAAAATTGTGTGAGTTAAAAATGACTATAGATAATGGCTGTAGTGTTCTTACAGTTTCTAAATACTATATTTTAAATCTATCATCAGTTGTAGATAATTGTTTGAAAGATAAAGACACAGTTCCTAACTATGAAACAGAAAAAGTGATGATTTTTATAAAATTTGAAACTTTTTTAGAGACCAAAAATCTGAATATCTGAAAGAGAAGATTTGAGCTTCTATCATCTTGGAGGTCTTTTTCTAGAAATATCTTTGGGTTTGTGCTGACTAGAGGAGACAATAAGTATAACCCCACCTTGCAGTGACCAGATTGAACAGTTTAAATCCTACCTATTAACAAATGAAGGCTACTGTGAAATAATAACAATACATGTGAATAAAATCGTAACAGCACACTAAATGAGTTCTTTTAGGAGGAAATAGTTCTGTGAGCAGACGCTAAATCAACAATGATTATATTATCCTAAAAGTGTCTATCAACAGCTCTTTTTAGGTTACTGTAACGTCCTGAACAATATAGCAAAATATGCTGAAAAGTAAAAGAGTAAGATTAAAAATATATTTTAAAACAAAACCCCGAAATCCTGAATTCTGACCTTGTCACTGAAAAAGAAATTGAACTAGATAGATTGAACTAAACACTATTATTCTATTAATTTGCATTTGAGATCAAATATTCATAGTTGTATATGGATGTAAATCTGTCTCAATAGCCAATAAAGAAACTAGATTGTTCTGTGCCTGGCTTATTTCACTTAAAATAATGATCTCTAGTTTCATCCATGTTGTTTAAAATGACTGGATCACATTCTCTCTTAAGGCTAAATAGTACTCCATTGTACATAACTACCACATTTTCTTTGCCCATTCATCTGTCGATGGACACTTAGGTTGCTTCCAAATCTTAGCTATTGTAAACAGTGCTGCAATGAACAGAGTGCAGATATCTCTTTGATACACTGATGTCCTTTGTTGGGGGTATACTCCCAGCATTGAGATTGCTGGATCATATAGTAGCTCAATTTTTAATTTTTTGAGGAACTTCCAAAATGTTTTTGAATTCTGTACTCAAAATGGCCAGTGAAACAGTTATGGTGCCTTTATTTGCAAAAATCACAATCTATCGGACTGCTGAACAGCAAGAGCTCACTGTCTGGTTCCTCACTTGGCAGGTGCCATTGGCCTGTGGTTTTGTCTCTGAACTGGGATTTCTGGTAAACAACATGTTTGGAGGGTTCTTGCTTAATTTTACCCCACAGACTCAAAACTGTTGGTCTGAGTTCAGTAAATGTGTAAACACGAATAACTAGTAAAGCATTTGACATCAAGCAGTTGCTTATTTTGGTCTAAGCATTTGACCTCCAAAAGTATATTGAAAGTTCCAGCCATTAACCAGCTTGGGGGAAATAACAGAATCTAATACATTGTGCTTTGCTGAACAGAATCTAATACATTGTGCTTTGCTGAAATACATGTGTACATGCTTCACTATGTACACAGTGAAGTGCATAGGAAGTTTAAGACAACAGATTTTTGTTGTGTTGTTGTTGTTAAATGATAGATAAAAATAGCCGTTTGTCCTCAAAATTAATTTTATGTTTTTAAAATTGAACCATTAACTTTCTTAGTGTTTTGTTTGTGAACTTTGTATATTACACACAGCTTGTCAATACAACTATCATTATCAACTTTAGAAAAGTAAGAGATATGATATAGAGCAGGGATCCCCAACCCCCAGCCACAGACCAGTACCAGTCCTCCCGCTGTGCACCTGGTCCATGGCCTGTTAGGAACCTGGCCGCACAGCAGGAGATGAGTAGCTGGCAAGCACACATAACTGCCTTAGCTCTGCCTCCTGTCAGATCATCATCAGCAGCATTAGACTCTCATAGGTGTGCAAACCCTATTGTAAACTGTGCATGCAAGGGATCTAGGTTTCAAGCTCCTTATGAGAATCTCATGTCTGATGATCTGAGATGGAACAGTTTCATCCTGAAACCATCCCCTATCCCACCACAAGTTTCATGGAAAAAATTGTCTTCCACAAAACTGTCCCTGTTGCCAAAACGGTTGGGGACTGCTGATATAGAGAATGAACAACAATGTTAAAATTAGTAATGTGCCTCCTGTCACTTTTCCTGAGTTTATACTTTTACTGTTTTGGCAAACACAAGTGGATCTCTTTGTCATTCAAGTTTGTTTGCCCCATGCTTTCAGGTACTTCCCTAGACTGCCCATATTCAAATCTAATTCCCTCTGCTTAAATACATATAAAGACATACATGAGACAAAATAGAGAATTGAAGGAAGTGAGAGCTATGGAGGGTGCTTGTATATTATCCCAATTGTCTACTGCTGGGTTACAAACAACCCAACACTCAGTTGCTAGAACAGTAATAACAATCATTTATTTTGTTGCAAATCTGCAGTTTGGAGATGTTTCTGAAGAGATGTTTATCTCAGCTTTGTGAGGCCTCAGCTGGGATTTCTCAGCCACAGCTGGAGGACCCATTCTTACAATGGCTTACACACAAGCCTAGTAAGTTGTCAGGGGCTGTCAGCTGGGCAATCAGTCGGGGCTATTGCTGGGGCCTCCCATCTTGTCCATACAGGCTTTTCCATGGTACTGCCTTTACTTTCTCAACACATGGATGCAAAAGTAAGTGTTCAAGAGGCAAAGTAGAAGCTGATAGTCTCTTATGGGCCTAGAAATTGGTACACACCAGCTTTTGGCATATTCCTATTGACCAAGCAGTTCTGCACCCACCAAGATTCAAGAGGTAGGAACATTGATGCTACCACTGTTTGGGAAAGTTATAAAATATTTTTGACCTCCCTTAATCTATCACATATATATTGCCCACCTTGATATCTCAGAATGTTAAATGCTTCTGCCTGTAGATGAAGACACAGTAGGTGACGAACTACACTGTTATTTTTCTGCATTCAAATTAATTTTCCCAATAGCTTCCCAGGGTCTCTACAGTCTAGTTATTTAATTTGAGAGCTGAAATTTGTCTTAGGATAATTTCCTTGTTTTAATGATGAGAAGAAAGAAAAAATAATAGTTATTTGATGGCAAAATTCAGATGGAACCTAGATTTCTAAAAGAGTTCCCTCTCCTCCATTTGGATTATGCATTTTCTTCAGAAAGTTTTCATTAACCTGTACCTAGAAAACCTAGAATGTCTCAACATCATCACAAGATAAATTTACCAGATTGGCCAGCTGTCTCCTAACGAAGCTCTGAGTGAATAAAATGTATGTATTTGGAAGGTGAAAGAGAAAGAGTGCACTGAATGCTAATCACTAGACCACGAGGGAAAAAAGGTGAAAGAAATCCTAGAATGATTGAAGACATATGTAAATAATTTATGGATAAGGATTGGGGTAGTTGGTGAATAGAATCAGTGAGGTAGCAGTAGAAGGAAACATACAAACCTTGGTTGATTCAAATGTATGGAGGGGAGAAGTGAAAAATGAATTTTGAGGGAAATTTCTGTTTTGCCCTGAGGACAAAAAGAGAAGATTTAACAGGGCTTAGTTTAGTTTAATTCGAGCACTAACCAGAATGAAAGTATAATTATGATATTTTGATCTGTAAATATATAGGACTGAAAGCTCTTTTGCATATGAAATGAAAATGATATGCACTATGCTTTGTTGAAGAATAATAAGAGATGTCTTAAGTATCACATAAGCCCATCTAAATGCCTTTTACATAGTGTCTTCTTTTATTCAATTCTAGAAGATTTTAAAAACTGCTTGAAATTGATTAGGCCACCTTGGTTCCCTAACATAATAAAGCTTAGAAAATAGATTTCACTGTGCTGCAGTATATTGTAATTTAAACTGAGTGATTTTCTAGCCACCACAGGTAAATTATGAGCCAAACCACAGTATGGCCTTAGGTGAACCTATTTGAGAAACGAGTAACTTACATGTTAACTTGTTTTAGCAGAGAAAGCACAGAAGATGCTATTTATTAACCTTGTTCTCTGCAGGTAGAGAATTTGTATGTTACAGTGCATCTGAGTGGTTGGACTGAATTGACCAATTTGGAAAAATTGACCAGTCACCTCAGAGCTAGGCATACACAACCAGGTTTAATTATAATTTAGATGTCGATATCAGCGTTTTCCCCAGAACAGTTGAGGTGATTTGCCGCTGTGTTATATTAAACTAGGATAAGAGTCAACCAAAGCATTCAACTATTTTGTTTCCTGTGGGTAGCACAAAAATAACCTATATTAAAAGCTCTATCTATAATAGTTGTATAATCACCACAAGTAATAATATTTTAAAATTAGCAGCTGACATATGTCAGGACTTTTAGCTGAAAGCAGTAGACATTGACTGTGGCTGATTTTAGAAAATGTTGGGGTTATGCAAAGGAATGTCTGAAAAAATGCCAGAAATCCAGGCTCAGGTGTTTGTGATAAAGCCCCAAACCCTATCATAGATCTGGCCCAGTGATAAAGCCCCAGACCCTACCATAGATCTGGTCCAGTAATGATACCAGGGGGCTAACCTCTAAGCAGACACATCTTCCACAGCTTTTACCATGGGCACACAAGCATGGAACTCTGCAGCTAGGAAGGCTGCCATGGCTTCCCACATATCACCCAAATGAATGGTGATGGGTCCTAGCTTTTGTCTGGATCAGTACAACTCATGGGTGGAGCCAAAGTGTCTTAGTCAGCCAATGCTACCATAAAAAAGTTATAGACTGGTGGCTTAAACAAACAACATTTTTATTTTCTCACAATTCTGGAGGTTGAAATTTGGAAGTTTGGAAATTGGAGGACATACCTTGGAGTGTTCTTGATGGAGACAATTCTTGATGCCAGTTAAGATTGGACTCCTCTCCGTGAGTGGTTTTGAAAAGTAACGTAAGTATTCACAGCAATCAAGAGTTCAGCTCAGAAATAAATAGACGGACAGGAAACAACTTTTTTTGCAATCATTCTGTCCCATTGCCTTGGATCAGGCCTGTCACTAGAGTGGGTAAACAATGGCAGGGGATCCAATGCCTGCTTGTGTACAGTTAAACTAATCCTTATATCACAATTGTGCCCTATAATCAGAAGTCACTTGACACTGGCACGAGAGTGAAAGAAAATGATTTGAACCTGGAATTCTGTAATTGGCTATGCTAGCATTCTAACAAAAGGGATAAATGAGATTTTTCCAAACAGGTGTATACCACAGAAAGAGAAAAAATAAATCCATGGGGAAAAAAAAGTGTGAGTGAATGATTTAGTAAATCTTATATTTAACTCTGAACATTTATTTTGCTTTACATTTAAAAATATTGTTGTCTATTTTCTACTAAAAACCTAAGACATAATCAAAATAAGAAGAAGCTGCACTGAATGAATGCTTATATTTTTATTTTCTGGTTGGGAAATAGACTGTATAAATATTTATTAAGACTTATTTAATAAATGTGTTAGAAATGTGAAAGTAGCCACTAGATTACAATACTATATCTACATATCAGATCATTAGAAGGAAAAGTTAGAATTAAGAAAACAGAGTCAAAAAGGCAGAAAGGTAAGAAAAGGAGTAAGAAAATTGAACAAAAAATTTAAGATAAAATATCAGGAATAATGCAAAATGCATCAATAATCACACTAAAATAGAATGAATTACATCTTTTATTAGAAGTAAATTCTCATTTGAATTTTGGTTAAAAAATAAACACCTCATAAAAGACAAAGTTTGACAATAACACAAAATTTGAATATAATGCAATGTTAAAACATTAGAAGGCAGATGCTGAATAAAATTACAGAGATGTAGCAATACTAACATTAGACTGAACATTTTTCATTATATATATATTCAGCGGGATTTTAAAGAAGGATAAAAAGAGGTGTTTAATAATAATAAATGTTATTATCCACTCAAAACACATTAGTCACAAATATTTATGTACCTAATAAAAATAGTATTAAAATATATTAATAGCTTTGAATTTTTTTTTTTTTTGACACTGTGTCTTGCTTTGTCACCCAGGCTGGAGTGCAGTGATGCGATCTTGGCTCACTGCAACCTCTGCCTCCCGGGTTCAAGTGATTCTCCTGCCTTAGCCTCCTGAGTTCAAGTGATTCTCTTGCCTCAGCCTCCTGAGTATCTGGTATTACAGGAGCACGACACTACGCCTGGCTGATTTTTGTATTTTTAGTGGAGATGGGGTTTCACCATGTCGGTCAGGCTGGTCTTGAACTCCTGACCTCTTGATCCACCCGCCTAAGCCTCCCAAAGTGCTAGGATTACAGGCGTGAGCCCCCATGCCTGGCCAATAGCTTTGAATTTAAAACACCTAGTGAAACATGAAAATATTTGACAAATCACAATCACCGTGGCAGACTTCAGCAAATTTTTCTCAACAATTTTAAGATCAAGAAATTATACCAAAGGTTGACTAATGGGAATAAAGTCTGATATGATAAAAAATTTCCTTCATAGAGTGAAAATTTCTAAAACACAGCTCAATGTAGGAAGGATAGAAGCAGTTCATAAAAGAATACAAGTTAAACAGTTAGTAAGCATTTAAATAGATGTACAAGAGCATTAATAACTAGAGAAATGCATATGTAAACACTTTTTTAACTCTATCAAACTTTAAAGAGTGTGGCTGGACACGGTGGCTCACGCCTGTAATCCCAACACTTTGGAAGGCCGAGGCGGGCAGATCACGAGGTCAGGAGATCGAGACCATCCTGGCTAACACGGTGAAACCCCGTCTCTACTAAAAATACAAAAAAAAACAGCCGGGCGTGGTGGCGGGCACCTGTAGTCCCAGCTGCTTGGGAGGCTGAGGCAGGAGAAGGGGAGTGAACCTGGAAGGCGGAACTTGCAGTGAGCCGAGATCGTGCCACTGCACTCCAGCCTGGGCAACAGAGCGAGACTTCATCTCAAAAAAAGAAAACAAAACAAAACAAAACAAAACTTTAAAGAGTGTGGTAATATCCAGTGTTGGTGTGGATACAAAAAGGAGTGATCTCATAGAGTGAGATCATGATTGGTTTAGCCTAGGAGCAACTTGCCAGCGTGAGCCAAAATTAAAAACCTGAAAAAAACCCAATCTTTGATCCAGCAATTTCAATGCTATGACTGTACCCTAATGAAATATTTGTGTGTTTGTTTAAGAATGCTACTGTAACATTGCCTATATGAATGAAAAATTATAACTATTCTAAACATCTATCAATTAGGAAACCAGTTGAATAAAATTAGAGTATATTAACAAATAATTACATATATTAGCATGTAAATACTAGAAAAATTACTAGATATCTCTTGATGTCAAACTCTTAATTTTAGGAATTGCTGGGGCAGGTGGTGGAAAGCAATAAGGAAAAGGATAAGGAGTAATGTTCCTGTTTTTCTCTAAATATATATTTGAATATTTTTCAGAAAGGAAATATTAATGTGTCCTATATGTGAAATTAAAAATAACCACAGCAGGCTGAATAGATGTTTACCCCATATTACAATTAAGTGAATTGAATTATTAGGGTAACTATTAAACCAGTAATTTCAATGGCCATGATATGAATTTAGGAAGGTTCTTTTCAAGACCAGTTGAACTGTCTTTTATTAGAAATAGTTAAAAGCCTTAAAGATATTAGGTTTTAGTCATTTATATTCTTTCCCACACTTATTTGTCATTAACTAGATGCCTGTGCTTTAGCAGATTCCAAAGTATCAATGTGCCTGATTGAAGTTTGATGAACTGGTACATGTCAGTGCATTTCCAGGGTTTTCTCTATGTTGAATCAAATTTGATAGCAAGTTGTCATTCTTCCTTATGGCTCATGTCATTTGCATTTGGGGGAAATACAATTTTTTTTCTGGTAAGCATAAGTTTAAATGAAAACATTGAATTGTTTTTAGCTTCTTTCCTTTAAAATACTACATGTTAAAATATGTCAATCATGTGCACTTTTTTAAGCTTTACAAATGTTACATAATATGAACAGTTTATTCTGCCAATAACTTTAGGTAATGGAAATTTTATTGTATATTAGTTGAAATCAATCAAGTTTATAAGGCACATGATAAAAATGGAAAACAATCCAGTCATGTAACTGTAAAAACTAAATGCTGTTTTGCCTGCAGAATTGTTTGGAAATAGGTTTATTATTTCCTTATAAAAGTCAGGAGGTATTTATGATTGATGAAGAGAAAAAAATCACTACCTTAGTTAGGGATATGTAATATAAATCTGAGGTTCTGGCTAAATCTGAATAGTATTCATGGCACATAGCCTAGAGTCTTTTCCCTGGTGGTTTTACAGCTTGGGCTTTATTGTTGAACTACATCATTAGCTAACTATATCATTAGAATTGGGAGTATTAGCAATTTAGCAAATCCTAGACTGATTGCTTAGGTGCAAACCTAGATTTGTCACAAAAAGGAACTATTCATTTTTTTAGTCATCTAAACAAATCCTGCCCATCTTGGCAACTTTAGGTGTTATATCTGGATTACAAAACTCAACAAAAATGTGTAATTATGAGATTTTGTTACTGGAGAGTTTATTGTGTGTGTGTGTGTATGTGGGTGCACACTTGTATATTTGTATGCAAATGGATAAAGAACATGGAAAGAGAAAAGGATATCACAAACAGAAGAATATTTTCAGAATTGTTATCTTGTCTTCAAGATGGGGGATGATTCTCTGCACTCTTCTCTTTAATTCTTGATATTTTTGCAATTTGCCTCTGTTGCCTCAGTTTCCATGGATTGTTCAAGACAAATTAGGAAAATTGGAACAGGTCAGTAAAAATCCTCTAGGAATTTTTGTCTTCTAATAAGTGTTGTAAGTAGTGTCTAGGCATCTCCTTCTCTCTCCCACCCCACCAAGCAATTGAAGGACTAAAATATGGTAATTTTTGGAGAAAAACTATGGAAAAATTTCCAGAGTTAATGATGACAATATACAAGCAATAATTCCCATCATCGTGTGACCTCTATAATAGGGCTGTGTAATATTTCTGCTGGTTTTGTTAAGACATATAATGTTCTATGCCTAGGGGTGTTGTGGCATTAGCAGTGATTGAGTAGCTAAATATAGCAGAGGTTTCCACACCACTATTAGAAATAGTGCTCCCTGCACAAAAATTGTGGTGATATACTCATTCATATCAAAAGCTAGTACAAAAATATGAGGCCAATAAATGTCCAATAATATGTATTTCAAATAGGTAACTAGAATTATACCCATATAAGGAGTACAGTAACATCACTAAAAATATTATTGAAGTAAATTTACTGACACTCAATGTATGTAGTGGAAGAAAAAGCATTTGCTTCAAGGCAATCTGTGAAATTAACCATAATCTAGTTTTCTAAAATGTAAGATACATGTGGGTGATTTTGTATATTAAAAATGAATCTAAAAGTAATATCTTCCGTGTTGATTGGTTAGACTGGAAGCTCTGCAGGTGCCAGGGAAACTTTATTGTTAACTATTATGTCCCAGATAGCTACCACGCTATGTGGCATATAAAATATGTTCAATATATATTTGAATAATTAAATTATATTTCTAGAGCAAATAGTTTAATACCTACCAAGTAATATTTGGTTAAAAAAAGAAAGAAATTATTACTATTAATGTATATCAAGAAACAGAACTAGAAAACACCATGTAATTACCAGAAGAGTTATTCAGCTCTATAGCTTGCATGTATGGCACCTTAAGGCAATTACATGAGGTCAGATAATTAAAAGGACCCATGAAACTATATAGAAAGCTTTAATAAAGGTGAAGGATACAGTCCAACTGGAGAAAAAAAGCACAGGCAAATAGCAGAGAAGTTCTAGAAGTACAGGCCCAGATCCAGGCGCCTTGCTCAGTAACACAGGAAATACTTTATTTTGACATCATGAACCCACAAGAAACATACAAGTTACCTTAGTTTCAGGAGAGCCAAAGCACTGGTAAATGTAGCTCAGACTTGGCTAGGCAACCATATAAATCTGACACATTTTCAAAAAACAATATAAACAAGCTGGTACAGGTTGCCTTCCAATGAGTTTTGGTCTTTAAATAATCACAGTATAGTATCATTAATAACTATAGGATAGGAATAACTTTCATTTCTATCTTGGCCAAGGACAGTCAGTACCATGATTCCAGGCATTGTTGGAGATAAGAATGGGACAACTTAAGCCAGGTGCAAGTTAAACTATCCTTGCTCAGCCTTTTCATGGGAATTCGAAAAAGGCACTATCCTGGTATATCTAGTGCTTGATGAGCCAATAATCTGAAGGAACAGGTAAAGCTTTCCTCCTCTGGGATCATAGCCCCATAGACATACAGTCTCCAGTAAGGGACGGATCCAGTTGTGGACAATGACCACAGTCTCAGTCTAGCAGACACGCTTCTTAAATTGAGATTATGGTGACATCTACTCCTGAATGCAGTTGATATCAAAGGGGTCCAAACTACCCCAGTGCTATGGGGCTGTACGGTGTCTCCTTCAAAATATACATGTTGAAATCTTCCTCTCAGTACCTCAAAATATGTCTATATTTAGAGATAGGGCCTTTAGAGAGGTAATTAAGTTACAATGAGGTCTCTAGGGTGGGCCCTAATTCAACATAACTGGTGCCTTTATAAGAAGACACAGAAATACACAGAGGGAAGACCCTGTGAAGACAGGGAGAGGATGGCTACAAGCTAAGGAAAAAGGCCTTGGAAGAAACCAACCTTGCTCAGATTTGATCTTGGACTTCTAGCCTCTAGAACTCTGAGGAAATGGCTTTCCATTGCTTAAGCCACCTAGTCTGTGGTATTTGTTATAGTGGCCTGAGAAAGCTAATACAGCACATCTGTTAGTAAAGTGGAGCTCAATAAGGGTGAATGTAAGATTATTAGTGTTTGAAGAACAAGGTAAGCCGATGATGTCAAGATGGTAAAAAATTACAAAATACTTAATAAGTATAAACAAATGATTATAACAATTTCCAGCAACCATGCCATGTATAGAGTCAGGACACAAGATTCAAGAAGGTTTGTGAGATGGGACTTGACCTTGGTTTTGTAACATTTGATATGAGGCAAGGAGGTTCAAGGCAGCATTTCCAATGTAGAAGAGGCAGAACTCACAATACCAGAACTGGAGTTTCAAGTGAGCATTTGATCCCAGTCAAGAATCACATGCGAAGAAATTACAAGATGGGACACAAGGTAAGCATAGGAAAAGTAAACATAAACTTAGAGAGTAAAATGGTAATTTTACTCATTTAGGATTTGCTTTTTAAAATCCAGCCTAATTAAAATGATATTAAGAAGCAAAACAGAAATGAGGACATGTGCTGGAAGGAAAATGACAGATAGGAGTCAGGACTAAATTGCCGCTCTCACTTGGATGGACAGAGCAGTGTGTGGGGACTCAGATCGTGAACTGTTGCTCCAGAAACTACTGCAGGTACATACCAGGAAAGCTGAGAGAATCCACAGACCATTTGAAGGAAGCAGACTGCTCCTGCAGGACCCAGGAAACAGTCCAAATACTGTGAGTGCCCAAAGTGTCAAAGGGTAAAAGGGGGATCATCTGCCCCTGAACACACACCCTCACTGAGGAACCTGAAGGTCCAGATCATGGGAGAAGGATTTGACCTCACCTGGAGCTGAGATGAATTTATAGAGCCCAGCAAAATACAGAAGCAGCAGCAGGAAGAGCCCTGTGGGCTCTCTTGGTCCCCAGGGAAGCCATTTCTGACTTCGTCTTGAAATTGTCCTTGGGGAGGGCTGCCAGAGGAAATGAGAAAAGACCACAAAGAGAAGAAAACTTCCAGCTGAACTTTGTAATAATTTCAACTGAATGTAAAGTTTCCTTGATGGATCTTGGGGGAGGGGTGAATCTGGAGTGGAGACACAGCACAGAAGCCACAGTAGGCAGCGAGGTGTAAAACCTGAAAACCCTGCTTGCTTTCTAAGCCAGGAGGCTGGTAGCCTGGAACAAATTATCAGTACTGATCATCCGCTGCCTGGAAATAAACTCAGTGCTACTGGTGGGCATGGTGGGAGTGAAACCAGCCTTTTGGGCTGCATGGGAGCTAGATGAGGCCTTTGGCTGCCAGCTTTCCCCGGCTTCCCTGGCAACCTGCATAACGCAGCAGAAGCAGCCATAATCCCTCTGGGAATATAACTCCATCGGCCGAGGAACCATACCCCATACCCTATAGCAGCCACAATAAGCCCCACCCAAGGACAGTCTGAGCTCAGACACACCTAACCCTGACCCACTTGATGGTCTTTCTCTACCCACCCTGGTAGCAAAGACAAAGAGCATAATTTCTTGGGAGCTCTAGGGTCTTGTCCACCTCCAGAGCCTCCCTACACTACCACAGCGATGCTGTCTTGAAAGTGCCACCTCCTGGCAGGAGGCCAACCAACATAAAACTAGAGTAATAAACAAAACTAAGGGGACCCTCACAGAGTCCATTTCACTCCCCTGCCACCTCCACCAAAGCAGGTGCCGGTATGCATGGCTAGGAGACATGAAGATGGTTCACGTCACAGAACCCTTTGCGGAAACACACCCAGTATGAGCCTGGAGCCTGGTAGTTCCACTGGGTGGCTAGATCCAGAATTAAAAATAACAATTACTGCAGTTCGGGCCTCAAGAAGCCACATCCTTTTGGGAAGGGGCAGAATGCTACATCAAGGGAGCACCCCATGGGACAAAAGGATCTGAACAGCAGCCCTCAAACCACAGACCTTCCCTCTGACATAGTCTACCCAAATGAGAAGGAACCAGAAAAACAATTCTGGTAATATGAAAAAACAAGATTCTTTAATACACCTAAAAGATCACACTAGCTTACCAGCAATGGATCCAAACCAAGAAAAAAGCCCTTAACTGCCAGAAAATAATTCAGAAGGTTGATTATTAAGCTGATCAATGAGGCACCAGAGAAAGGTGAAGTTGAATTTAATAAAATCAAAAAGTACACAAGATATGAAGGGAAGGATCCTCAGTGAAACATACAGCATACATAAAAAATAATCACAACTTCTGGAAATGAAGGACACATTTAGAGAAATGTGAAATGCACTGGAAAGTCTCAGCAATAGAAGTGAATAAGCAGAAGAAAGAACTTCAGAGCTCGAAGACAAGGTTTTTGAATTAACCCAATCAAAGACAAATAGAAATGAATTAAAAAAAACAAAGCTTTCAAGAAGTTTGGGATTATGTTAAATGACCAAACCTAAGAATAATTGGTGTTCTTGAGGAAGAAAATAAATCTAGGTTTTGAAAAGTATATTTGAGGGAATAATCAAGGTAAGCTTCCATGGCCTTGTTGGAGATCTAGACATCCAAATACAAGAAGCTCAAAGAACACCTGAGAAATTTATCACAGAAAGACAATTGCCTAGGTACACAGTAGTCTGGTTATCTAAAGTCAAAATAAAGGAAAGAATCTTAAGAGCTCTGAGACAAAAGCACCAGTTAAACTATGAAGGAAAACCTATCAGATTAACAGCAGATTTATCAGCAGAAACCTTACAAGCTAGAAGGTATTGGGGACCTATATTCAGCCTCCTTAAACAAAACTATTGTCAACCAAGAATTTTGTATCCAGAGAAACTAAGCTTCACAAATGAAGGAAATATAGTCTTCTTCAGAAAAACAAATGCTGAGACAATTCTCCACTGCCAAACTAGCACTACAAGAACTACTAAAAGGTGCTCTAAATCTTGAAACAAATCCTTGAAACACATCAAAATAGAACCTCCTTAAAGTATACATCTCACAAGATCTATAAAACAAAAACACAATACATAAATAAATAAAACAAGGTATTCAGGACACAAATAGAATGATGAATAGAATAGTACCTCACATCCCAATACTAACATTGAATGTTAATGGTCTAAATGTTTCAATTAAAAGATACAGAATAGCAGAATGGGGAAGAATTCACAAACTAAGCATCTGTTATCTTCAAGAGACTCACCTAACACATAAGCACTAACATAAACTTAAGGTAAAGGGGTAGAAAAACATATTCCATGCAAATGAACACCAAAAGCAAGCAAGAGTAGCTATTGTTATATAGGACAAAACAAACTTTAAGCAACACCAATTAAAAAAGACAAAGAGGGACATTACATAATGATAAAAGGACTTGTCCCACAGGAAAATATCACGGTATTAAATATATATGCACCTAACACTGGTGCTCCCAAATTTATAAAGCAGTTACTACTAGACCTAAAAATTGAGACAGCAACACAATAATAGTGAGGGACTTCAATACTACACTGACAGCACTATAGAGGTCATCAAGACAGAAAGTCAACAACAACAAAAAAATAGATTTAAAATATACCCCAGAAAAAATGGTCTTAATAGACACCTATAGAGCACTTACCCAACAACTGCAGAATATACATTCTATTAATCAGCACATGGAATATTCTCTAAGATAAACCATATGACAGGCCACAAAACAAGTCTCAATACATTTAAGAAAATTAAAATTATATCAAGTACTGTCTTAGACCACAGTGGAATAAAATTGGAATTCAACTCCAGAAGGAACATTCAAAACCATGCAAATACATGGAAATTAAATAACCTACTCCTGAATTATCATTGGGTCAACAATGAAATCAGATGGAAATTTAAAAATTCTTTAAACTGCACAATAATAATGACACGACCTATCAAAACCTCTGGAATATGGCAAAGGCAGTGCTAAGAGGAAAGTTCATAGCATTAAATGCCTACATGAAAAAGTCTAAAAGAGCACAAATAGACAATTTGAGGTTATATCTCAAGTAACTAGAGAAACAAGAAGAAACCAAACCTAAACCCACCAGAAGAAAAGAAATAACAAAGATCAGAGCAGAACGAAATAAAATTGGAACCAAAAAATACAAAAGGTAAATGAAACAAAAAGCTGATTCTTTGAAAAGATAAAATTGATAAACCATTAATGAGATTAACCAAGAAAAGAAGAGAGACGATCCAATTAGAAAAGAAATGGGAGATATTTCAATCAATACAAGAGAAATAGAAAAGATCATTCAAGACTACTGTGAACACCTTTATGCACATAAACTAGAAAACCTCAGAGATGGATAAATTACTGGAAATACACTGCCATCCTAGATTAAACCAGGAAGAAATAGAACCTCTGAACAGACAAATAACAAGCAGTAAGATTGAAATGTTAATAAAATAATGCCAACAAAAAACGTCCAGGACCAGACAGATTCACAGCTGAATTCTATCAAGCAGTCAAGGAAGAATTGGTACCAATCCTATTGACACTATCCTACAAGATAGAGAAAAAGGGAATCCTCCCTAAATCGTTCTATGAAGCCAGTATTGCCCTAATACTAAAGCCAGAAAAAAAAATAACAAAAAAAGAAAACTATAGACCAATATCCCTAATGAAATTGATGCAAAAATCCTTAACAAAACACTAGCTAATCAAATCCAACAGCATATCGAAAAGATACCCAAACATCAAGTGGGTTTCATACCAGGTATGCAGGGATGGTTTAACATACTCAAGTCAATAAATGTGATACACCCCATAAACATAATTTAAAACAAAAATCACATGATCATCTCAATAGATGCAGAAAAATCATTTGACAAAATCTAGCATCCCTTTATGATTAAAACCCTCAGAAAAATCAGCATAGGAGGAACATATCTTAATGTAATAAAAGCCATTTATGACAAACCCACAGCCAACATAACACTCAACAAGGAAAAGTTGAAAGCATACCACCTGAGAAATGGAACAAGAAAGAGATGACCACTCTCACCACTTCTATTTAACATGGTACTGGAATTTCTAGCCAGAGCAATCAGACAAGAGAAAGAAGTAAAGGGCATCCAAATCAGTAAAGAAGAAGCCAAACTGTTGCTGTTTGCTGATTATATGATCATATACATCTAGAAAACCCTAAAGACTCTCCAAAAAGCCCTTTGAACTGATAAATGAATTCAGCAAAGTTTCAGGATTCAAAATTAATGTACACAAATCAGTAGCTCTGCTATATGCCCACAGCAACCAAACTGAGAATCAAGTTAAGAACTCAACCACTTTTACAATAGCTGCAAAACAACAACAACAACAGAACCGTTAAGAACATACCCAACCAAGTAGATGAAAGACCCCTACAAGGAAAACTACAAAACATTGCTGAAAGAAGTCATAGACAACACAAATAATTGGAAACACATCCCATGTTCATGGATGTGTAGCATCAATATTGTGAAAATGATCTTACTGCCAAAAGCAATCTGCAAATTCAATGTAATTCCCATCAAAATACCACCATCATTCTTAACAGAACTAAAAGAAAACAATCCTAAAATTCATATGGAACCAAAAAAGAGCCCATACAGCCAAAGCAAGACTAAGCAAAAAGAACAAATCTGGAGGCATCACGTTGCCTAATTTAAACTCTACTATAAGACCATAGTCACCAAAATAGCATGGTACTGGTATGAAAATAGCCACATAGACCAATGGAACAGAATAGAGAACCCAGAAATAAAGCAAAATACTTACAGCCAACTGATCTTTGACATAGCAAACAAAAACAAAGTCAGGAAAGGACACCATATTCAACAAATGGTGCTGGGATAATTGGCAAGCCACATGTAGAAAAATGGAACTGAATCCTCATCTCTCACCTTATAAAAAATCAACTCAAGATGGATCAAGGACTTACACCTAAGACATGAAACCATTAAAATTCTAGAAAATAACATCAGGAAAACCTTTCTAAACATTGGCTTGGGTGAAGACTTCATGACCAAGAACCCAAAAGCAAATGCAACAAAAACAAAGATAAATAGATGGAACTTAATTAAACTAAAAAGCTTCTGCACAGCAAAAGAAACAATCAGTACAGTAAACAATCCACTGAGTTGGAGAAAATCTTCACAATCTATACATCCAACGACAAACTAATATCCAAAATCTACAAGGAATTTAAACAAATCAGCAAGACATGACGGACATGAATAGACAATACTAAAAAGAAAATATAAAAACAGCCAGTGGGGCTGGGCGAGGTGGCTCACGCCTGTGATCCCAGCACTTTTGGAGGCTGAGGTGGGCAGTCCATGAGGTCAGGAGATCGCGGCTATCCTGGCTAACATGGTGAAACCACGTCTTTACTGAAAACACAAAAAATTAGCCGGGCATGGTGGCGGGCACCTGTAGTCCCAGCTACTCAGGAGGCTGAGGCAGGACAATGGTGTGAACCCGGGAGGCGGAGCTTGTAGTAAGCAGAGATGGCATCACTGCACTCCAGTCTGGGCAACAGAGCGAGACTCCGTCTCAAAAACAAAACAAAACAAAAAAATGGCCAAAGAACATATGAAAAAATGCTCAACATCACTAATGATCAGGGAAATGCAAATCAAAACCACAATGCAATACCACCTTATTCCTGCAACAGTGGCCATAATAAAAAAGCAAAGAATAATAGATGTTGTGAAAAGTGAACGCTATTATTCTTTACTCAGAGGTAAGGAAGTCATAATACAAAAAGGATATTTGTGCATGCATGTTTATAGCAGCACAATTTGCAATTGTAATAATATGGAAGCAGCCCAAATGCCGGTCAATCAATGAGTGGATAAATAAATTGTGACACACACACACACACACACACACACACACACACACACCCCATGGAATACCACTCAGCCCTAAAAAGAAATGAAATAATGGCATCCACAGCAACCTGGAATGAATTAGACACCGTTATTCTAAGTGAAGTAATTCAGGAATGGAAAACCAAACAATGTATGTTCTCACTCATAAGTGGGAGCTAAGCTATGAGGTTGCAAAAGCATAAGAATGATACTATGGACTTTGGGAACTCAGGAGAAAGAGCGGGGGTGGGTGATGAGGGATAAAAAAACTACACATTGGGTACAGTGTACACTGCTCAGGTGTTGGGTGCACCAAAGCCTCAGAAATCAACACTAGAGACCTTATTCATGTAAGCAAACACCACCTGTTCCCCAAAAATCTACTGAAAAAAAATAAGAAGCAAAACAAAATAGGAATTAAGAGCCAAATTCTGGTGCCAGAGTCCGATGCAAATTATAGGTTATGTGACTTATCATCTGTGTGATCTTAGACATGCTATTAATTTTAAGTCTATTTTTCTCCCAGTTTCCCCATCTGTAAAACAAGTGTAATAACAGCACCTAATTCAAAGAGGTGGTTTTTGAATCAAATGTAATAATAACAGATATAAGATTCTTAGAAGTGTGCATATAACTTTGTATATTACACTTTGTATATAAGATGTAAGCATTGTTGTAAGCCATTCTTATTATTCTTCCCAGAGGCAGAAACGGAGCAAAGCTGCAGCAGAAGGTGGAGCCTGGACTGATGCTTTTAAATGGGCCAGATGCCTCTGCTCTAACGTGATTAGTATTTGGTCAGAACAGACATTTCTCTTCTCATTAATTCCCATTCCTGGGTGAACAGTTTGTTTCAACATCTCCCATTCTGTGCTATTATACAATTCCTAAGCCTGGCTCACCTCTCTGGCTTTTGAAGACTGAACTGTTTTTCTTTTTATGGATTTTATTCAGTAGATTATACTTTGGGATTGAAATATATTTTACTTTCTTGACCATATCTATTAGACTTTTAAGCTCCATGAGGGCAGGAGCTACATCTGTTTTCACCAGTGTGTATTTAATATTGAACAAAGCACCGGGAACATAGTTTAAAGAAAGAAGGACTTACCCTTACCACATGGACCTGGCATTCGATTCTTCTGCTTTGGTAATAACTTCTGGCTCCCTTCTTTGACACCGTTCATGGCTCCCATCTTTGCTGGCTCTATACTCACTTCTGCAAGTTAATATCTTACTCACTCCAATTCCATCCTTAGAACTCAATCACCTATTAGAATTTCACCATTTGTGACCCCTGAATGAGTCCTGGGCATGAGGAGTATTGAGATGTCGGTATGAGAATCAACAAAAGTTATGGCACCAATAACTTCAGAATGCACTGCATACACAAAAAAAAATCATAACTTATCCCAGTATGCCAATTTTGTGCATTGTGTTCATGTCAACATTCATCCCTACTAAAAAACAGTTATTTGGAAAACAATCTTTTCACAGAGTTATGGGATATGTAATAGATAATACCATTAAGCTATATCTAAATGACTAAATGACTCTTCTTTCGTCTTCTTTCATTCTAAGTATATTTTACTATCCCCAACCCATCTCAGTAGTAACTACAAGGTTGAGAATATGCTATCATTGACTCACAATGCCGTGCTGCTAATGGTGTTCTCAAAGATGACTCGGTAGGTGTGAAAACTGTCCGTGGAAAGATGGTCACTTGCCCTAAGTCATATTACAATATAGATATAGACTGTGTTCCGTCTATTGCATTAGAATTCCTCCCTATGGACCTGCCATAATAAAATGAAAAGTTAGTCATTGGAATATATAGTGTACATCCCCATCAGGGTATATTATACCTTATATAGTGATAATTGGCTACATACCTTGGCAATAAGCTTTGTCCTTTCACGTGGGGTGCAACTTTACGCTTGGTGCTTCAGCTATTACTGATTATATTTCATCAATTTATATTTTTTCTCCAAAGTAAGGGCACATAATTATTAGCACTGATGTTGGATTGTATTAAATTAGTTGCAGTTTTGAATTTAAAAATTGCTTTCCAAGCAGGATGGATTGTTCACTTATTTCATCAGGCAGTTGTAGCAGTGAAGATTGAGAAGGCTTTAATGACTTGGAATTTTCCTTTTATTATGCTATTGAACAAATTACAGAGCTAATGAGATTTACACTAAGTGGAAAATCTCTGCATCACCTGCTGTTTTATGGGTCTTAGAAAAAAATTATTGATAATTCTTCTCTTTCTACAATTAAACAAAGTTTTGTTTTTAAACAATATTTTCTCTGAATGTAAAATGTAAAATAAAAGCTCACATTCTTTCCTTGTGGGAATTAAATTTTATGTGAAAAATGAAACACAGAGTTCACATCAAGGGTCTCTTTGTACACTAAATACTTAATCAAAATAATGCAATGGTAGGAACTAAGTTTGATATCAGGAAACCTGAGTTCAAATCACAGCTCTTTTACATTTAGTTTTTAAATAGAAAAAATCACTTACTCTCTCAGCCTTGATTTTCTCAGGTAAAAAATGTCAGTATTTATGTGAACTATAAGTCAAAGTACACCTGTAAAGAACGAAACCAATTGCCTAAAACATTATAAAACCTCAGTAAATGGTAGTGGTGTTGAAGTTGTCATTGACATTGAAAACCATCACTATATATTCTTTTTAGGACATTTTATTTTATTTATTTATTATTATTATTATTTTGAGAAGGAGTTTTGCTCTTGTTGCCCAGGCTGGACTGCAGTGGCACTATCTTGGCTCACTGCAACTTCTGCCTCCGAGGTTCAAGCTATTCTCCTGCCTCAGCCTCCCAAGTAGCTGGGATTACAGGCGTGCACTACCATGTCCAGCTAATTTTGTATTTTTAGTAGAGACAGGGTTTCATCATGTCGGTCAGGCTGGTCTCAAACTCCTGACCTCAAGTGATCCACCCGCCTCGGCCTCCCAAAGTGCTAGGATTATAAGTGTGAGCCACCACATCTGGCCTACAGGACATTTTAAATAGTTGGTGTGGATGGAGATGAGCAACCCTACAGTATTGTAAGAAAATACACTAAATTACCTTTAATCTTTCATTAGTGACTATTACAAGACAGGAAGGTTTAAGAAGAAAAGAAAATTAGAATTAAAAGGAAAATGGATTAGATGAAAATAGCAAATCAGAAAGCATTACCATGACAGGTCAATACTTTCACATGGACTTAATGAATAGGAATAAGACCTTTCTAAATTTGATTGGGCAATAGTTTAGAGAAAAGGAAAAGAAAGAGATTAAATTAGATGATGCTTATTGGTCATAATTCACATGGAGACATTATTTTATTTGGAAGTTTATGGGTTTTTTTTTCTGTTCTCTCTTATTTACCCAAGACACTTTGTTCCACATTGCTAAAGTACCACTGCCGCTCTGAAATAAAATTAGCAAAACAGGCCCACAATCCAACTCTGATCTCAAAAGAGATGACTCCCCCTCTACCCTAGGCACAGTGGTTTTTTTTTTCTTTTTTTCAAGTTTCTAAACAATAAAGGAAACTACTTTCTTATTACCTTGATAGATATTTCTGTGGAGCTGTACGAGGGCACCCGGCTTGCCACTGAAATCTAGATAAATGATTCAATAAAGATACACAAGCATATAATAGAGGTTCATGTGGTCTGCAAAAGATAAGACACACCACATTAACCCTCTCCATGAGAAATAAGAAAAACGTACACATCTATCTAAATACCTCTGGAATTGTGAGCTCAATGCCTTTATATCATTGACTGAAAAATACGTTTCTGTGGAAATATCCCCCTTGCTGGGACTTTTCTATCCAAAGCAAACTGCCAGTTTAAAGTAGTCCTCAGTCAAGCAGCCATAAAGCAGCAAAAGAAAATAAGTCTGTGATTTTAAAACCTGCTGTTTGGTACAGAAAATAAAAGACAGCATATTCTAAAGGAGCTGTGGCTTTCCCCCATGAAGCACCTCTCAGCTCCAGAGACTTGGGGTAGCAATTCTTCAAAACAAGTAACACTGTAACCCAGGCTTGCCTCAAATTTTCCTGAGAATAGGTCCCCCGAACCCATACTTCACCATGCACTTTCCTCCCCTGCTTCTTAATGTTTTAAATTCTTTTATAGAAGTACAATCTTTTAATTTTAAGACTTAAAAGTGTTTAATATGCAAATAGCCCCCAGTAAGATGTATGATCTATCTTTTAAGCATTAGTTCAACAATCATTTATCAAGCACCTACTCTATTTGCTGTCTGCCAGGTACTCTACCAAGTCCTGGTGATAGAGATATCAATACTAAGAGGTCAGAAAGCACCTAAAGACTACTTAGTGGTGAATATAAAAAAGCAAATGAGCAGATACAGAGAGTGAGACAGTGCTACTTTTCCAATAGTGGTAAGAAAGGGGTGTCATGGGAATATGAAGAAGAGAAACATAATCCCATATCAGAATATCAAGGAAAGGTTGAAGGAAGTGGCTTCTAACCTAAGACCTGAAAAAAGGAGGGTTAGTTGAAAAGGAGAGGGGATGAATTTGAAGAGTAGTTCATACAGGGCAGGTGAGCTAGGAAGAAGTAGGATTATCCCTTCATAGAAAGAAAGAAATACAAAGACCAGAGTCCCTGCTTTGAATGCATTCTGTGTAAACTAGGTGGCTGCGACTTGAAGCATAGCTGGGAAGGGCGCAGAGTGGCACAGATGAGGGTGGCGAAGGAAGCAGGTTCTGTCGCACAGGGCTCTGTAAACCAGAGCTTTTCAAAGCATAGGCAGAAGACCGTCACTTTCAGCTTGTTGTGGGAGCTAAGTAGAAATGCAGAACCTGATTTAGGGGACACAGCATTGAGCCTCAGGTTCTACAATTCTACCAGGTTCTCATATACCCATTTTTAGCAGCAAGCTATAAACCACATTAAGAGTTGTTTCTTCATCTTATGGACAATCCATGGATGGATATGATTTGTACTTAAAAAAATTACTCTAGTTGTATCAAGGAGGCCATATTTCTTGACACAATGCATCATTCATGACATTGAATGAATTAATTAATATGTGATTTAATTTATTCTAATAAATCCTAATGTTTAGATCCTAATTTTTTTAACTTAAAAAAACTTTCACTTAGAGGATCTTTCTATGAAGGTAGAGATGTTGAAATACACAAATTGTAGAAAATACTATTGTGCTTGATTTATAGATAATTTAATGAATATTACTGGACATTTTCATTCTGATATACCAATGAAATATAGATCAAGGATTTCTTTTTTGTTAAGTACAGTTTCTAGTTGCTGCGAATTTTTAATATGCTTCTGATGAACTGAGATTGGAGTTGTTTGGGCTGTGGCTGGACAATCCTGGGGGCCACTGTTTGGGAAAACAAGCTCATTAGAGAGAGAGGGAGTATCAGTGCTCACCTACACTTGGAAGTTTGACTTGGTAGATTAGCTTTAGGGGAATTGGCCCTACTTGTCTTATTTGCTCTGAGCCAGGGTTGTCACGAAAAGGAGAAAGTGAGTATTTTAAATTATTTTTTATAGAGAGGGAGATAAAATGAGAATGAGGGCACACAGCTGCCTATTTCTCAAAAATATTGCTCAGCTCAGAGCCTCAGAGTCAAAGAATTCCTCCCAGGCTGTTATTGATTATGACTTATGAAAGGGCACCTGTCCAACCTGACAAGTGTACACAGTGCTGTAGGCTTCAACTTTCCATTAGTAACAAGAGCCCCAAAAGGTTAATTTGTTTTGGCACTTGCTGATTACTTTCTGTGTTCATCTCATTCTGAGACTTCACATTCACCATCTGATTTAGGGGCTCTACTTAGCAACATATTGTCATTTTTCCCGACTTATTGCTAGCTTTGGTCCTGTGATCTCTAAATGCAGGTAAATAGCTGAAATCAATTTTCTGTTTAGAGGGGTTGATGACACCTAGAGGAATTTGCAAATCTCTCTTCTTGGATGTGTTTGGGAGTCATGCTGAAGCATTATCCCAAACGGATGGAATTTGAGGCCTTCTCCTGTTCATGACCTTGGTGCAGGTCCCCTTAGTTTTGGCTTATTTGATTCCTTGTAATGGTTTTCTCAAGTACTTCATCAGCTGCAAACTTTTTGAGGAACATTAATATTTTAATTTATTTCTTTTTGTAAAAAAAAATTTAATAAATTTAGTAGACAAAAAATTCCATGCTGTTTGCGCATATTCAGGACCTCTAATAATCCAACCCTCTTACCTTACTTCTATGAAAGCCCCCAGGTGGGTTAGCCTGCCAAAGCACATCACATCCATAATCTCTCACTCAGCCATCAGACCTTTCATTTAACTACTACCTGGGCTTCCACGAGCTATATACAGGTTTCTATCCTACTTTCTTTCTCTCTTACCTCATTTCTTTAGACTTCCTATCATGAGGTTATTGACCCATGTAGGATTTTGAAACACATACCTGGAATCTAGGGACACACACACACACATATACACACCACACACACCTCACATGGCATTGCAGGAAAAAATGAACTAAAAGTGTTTGCTTTCAAAATCAGTGATAAAATTGAGTTCTTAATATACAATGTTATAGAGAGGTACTGTGTTTCATAAAGACAAGAAGAATAATAAAATAAATTTGACAAAACAATAGTCAAAACACTAAAGCTAGCGGAGTATACAAATAGAAATAGAAACAGTTGAAAATGTATGAGAAGACAGTCAACCTCACTAATTTCTATTGAAATGAAATAATATGAAGAGTTTGTTTTGACTACCATACCGGTCAATATGAAAATGTTAAATTGTCAGATATATTTCTGCCTAGCAAACCATCCCAAAACATGGTGACTTAAAACAACAACTACTTATTTTTTTCTCATGTCTCTACTTCAGAGATTTGTGCAATCACTTTTTCACTCCGTGTGCCACTGGTAATCCTGGCTGGGGCCGCTCACACAGCTCAGTTCAACTGGGTAGCTGGACTGAATTGAAGTTCCAGAAGGCTCCACTCACACATCTGATTCACCGTACTTTTTCATGTGGCCTTTCTCTTTCTCTTCATGTCATCTCGGTATTTATTTGGTAATCTTGACCTTATTTACTTCCTGGTGGCTGGCATTCCCAAACAAAAGTGAAAGCTGCCAGTCCTCATAGGGGCTGGGCCTCCAGCTGGTGTAGGTGGGGTTATATCTGCTGTATTATATTGGTCAGAGCAAGTCAAAATCAGTAGAGATTCAAAAGGAGGGGAAAAAGACTCCTCTTTCAACGGGAGAGGTGGCATACATAGAGAAGGAATCATAAGAGGAAACTTTGAGGACTGCTGCAATTGAAATTCAGAGTTACAAAGAGTGGAAGGAAAGAAGGAGAAAGGTCTCATCAGGTTTTTGTGGAAATGAACAATGAAATAGAATACTAAAAAGGCACATACAATTATGTTCAAATCTATATAAATCAACAAAATCATATTATTTTACTTAGAGATGTATTTACTAGGAATCTATCCTGTAGAAAACCCAAGCTTCACAAATACTTAAAAAAAATTGTTCAGTACAATATTTTTTTTGTAAAACTTAGGGGGAAAAAACCAAATGCTTATCGTTGGAAGTTAGGTTAAATATAATATGGGATGTCTACATAATTAAATACTGTGAAACTCTTAAATACCTGGGACTTTTGCTAAGATGAAAAGGTGTCCAAATTGAAATTCTGTGCCAATTAATTCTTATTTATTCACTGACTTATTTAAAAAAAAAAAGCAGCTAGTGTCTGTTGTACTAAAGCAGTGGAAGAAAGTTAATCTTTGTAAGACTTGACCTCTGATCAGGGTTTTCAGGACCTAGAATTAAATTATTACATTGTGAGTACTAAATCTGAAGTCAGATTTTAATTTAGGATTATTTTCAAACAAAACTTTTAAAATTTAGCACTCTCTTTTCTATAGCCTGAAGCTTAATCTCTTTTGAAATAGGATTAGTAGAAAATTATAGCTAATTCATTTAACTACAACAAATCTGTATCCAATGTACAATTACTTTTATGGTAGGACTTATAGTTACTGATTGTTGGTGTATAGTTATAATGGACAAATTTTAACGCAGAATAAAGTAAGACTGATATATTTTTTTCCTGATTTGTAAAATCTAATTGTTTAATCTTCCTAATGCAATATCAGCATTTAATTTATAGATGGTAAATATTATTCTGTAATTAGTGTTGCTCAGGGACTATCATGACATGTTAACTGTGGTAAGGGAAGCTAGTCATGAACAAGAGAAGTAGTGAACTCTTAATAACCTGCACTCATAGAAGGTAGGGTCTGGGTGTGTGGTCCAGTGCAGTGCAGAGCACCGAAGCATACACACTACAGTGCTAGTATCAGCCCAGAATGACATATTTAGTAAGAAATTAACAACCACATTAGTGCTCTCCTTAACCGTAAATTTATTGTTCTCTAGACTTGGGGCTGGTCTGTTGCTAGCTAACTTGACAACCCTTGAAACTGCCTGGCTCTCCCAATGCTAGAATTCAATCAGAGATTCTGCCTTCTAGATGCCCAGGTATAAGGTAAGGCTAAGGAATGAGCAGCTGTCTTGTATCCCTCTATCAATATCTCTTCACTGAATAGGACAGGCTCTTATGCTGAGTGATTTTATGGACAACCAGAATGGCCCTTGGCACTTGTGAGTAACCTTGGCTCCTGGCCATTTCAGCCCATATCTCACTGGTGATTGTGGCTTATTAGGCTTGGGATGGTCAGAAGTCTAGAGAGTCTCTGGGATGGTGGGAGGCAGGAAGAAAGTCCCAAAGATCTCAAGAAAGATATGACTTGTTATCTTTTTTATGAAGTGTGGTCTAAACTAGCACTCATCCCACCTGAAGAATAGGGAACAGAGGGAAATTCTGAAACATTCTTTCTCTTTTCTGCAACTAGATTCAGAATAACACCTTCAAGATCTCAGCTGAAACCTTAGGCAACTCCAAAGATTCGCAACTTTGGGGGTTTGTGGATATGTTGTTATTGGGTAGAGAAGCCTAGTAGTGTCCATAATCTCTAGAGATACTGCATTGCCACTGACATCACATGATGACTGGGTATGCCAGGCTGTTGCTGTTTTTAACGTCACCACTTGATTACGATGTGGTGAAGCACACTGCATACCAGTGACCAGGTAGCAGCATCAATCTATTTTAGCTCATTTCATTTGACACATCATTGAATAATAATGAGAGCTAATTTAAAACAGTCTAGCAGTCTGCCTTTTCATGGAATATGTCTATGCTGAGAATAGTTTCACTGTGGATTGAAAAATTTACTACTCCTGAGCATGCAACTAATTTTGGAAAAAAGTGATTATGATTTAATTTAACCTTTATATTTGACTAGAAGGGACCTGGCATTTTTTTCTATTATGGAAATACTGAAACTTTCTTCCTGGAAGGAGGATGCCATAGATTAGCTGGAGGAATATCAGGGATTCTATCTGACTCACATACTGTCTTGAGGCAATTCAGAATGAACATTTAATTTGGCAGGAATCAGTCTAAGATGAGCGATTCAGGTGAAGGAGCTATAATTTATTTTTTAACCTCAATCATTCAGTGTCATTTTGGCAGTTCTCTGTTGGTAAATATGTTTCTTCAGCTCTGAGTCCTCTTGCAAAAGCAAATCTAAACAAGTCTGTCAGAACTGAATTGTCAGTGCTAATCACCACGGTTATATTTGGTAATACATCTGTGGTAGCTGGAATTCAGTTGACTCACAAAATCGTCAAGCCTAATGCATCCTTCACTTACAATGCCATGACATGACTGATTGATTTAAGAACAACTTTTCTCTTCTCCACTCTACCCTCACACACTCCCACACACACACCCAGTTGTCTGTATGTTATTTAGAAGAAATCTGTATTTCCTCAGTCTCTATTTCACTAGGGATGTTAAGGAGAGGTAGACAGAAAAAAAAATACACACACACACACACACACACACACACACACACACACACTTTTGCTTCTACATCCAGGACTTGCATCCAGGCCTCTTACTTCTCACAGAAGATTTTTCCCCTCAACCACATTTTTCTCTGACTACTTCTTTCCTTTATAGCCAAATTTCTTTAAAAAGGGGGCTTATAGCTGCCCCTACTGTCTCACCTCCTCTCAACACTTGATTCCACTGTGATCTACTTCCACTTTCACAACTTCACTGAATTTACTCTTGTCAATTATAGACAATGTCCTTCTGGCTGGGTGGGTGGCTCACGCCTGTAATCCCAGCACTTTAGGAGGCCAAGGCAGGCGGATCATGAGGTCAGGAGATGGAGACCATTCTGGCTAAAACAGTGAAACCCTGTCTCTACTAAAAATACAAAAAATTGGCAGGGCGTGGTGGCGGGCGCCTGTAGTCCCAGCTACTCGGGAGACTGAGGTAGGAGAATGGCGTGAACCCGGGAGGCGGAGCTTGCAGTGTGTCGAGATCACACCACTGCACTCCAGTCTGGGCGACAGAGCTAGGCTCCATCTCAAAAAAAATGAAATGAAGTGAAATAAAATAAAATAAAACAATGACCTTCTATGGGCTTAATGTATTGCACACTAGTAAGTCCTTTACTATTTGATCTCTTGCATTACTTTGCAATGCAGTTTACCCACTCTGTTAAAATAAAAACAAAACAAAATATAGAATCCCTTTTCCAACCCTAGCTAGGATGTATTACTCCTACCTGAGTTTCTAACTACCTTCTCCTTATGGCTTCTTGCTGTTGTTTGAGACATTTCTTCCTAACACAGCATCTTGAGTGCTGATGTTTTCCAGAGTTTCATGTTTATTCCTTCCTTTTTATCATTCAGTAAACTACATGGTTAATTTACTAATTACCATGACCTCAATTTCCACAAATGTGAACATTTTGCCAAGTCTTCAATAGTTACGTATGGCCAATTCATACAATGTAAATGTGTCAGAGATAACTAACTGGTGGGTGACACTCAACATTCAATTCACTCATTCCAAAGGTCTTATTATGCCTTCTCAGTCCTGAATGTACCCTTCTTACTAATCTGAATTAAGAGGATTGGTTCCCTTTTGACATTTGCCTTGCCAATAATATTGCCTGCCATTTAACCCAAGGTTTCCAATGCCTGGCAGATAGTCTCTGTCACCACACACAGCACTGGTCACATAGTGTGTTCTCAATACATGTGTGTTTAACGAAACTGAAAAGAATACATAGCAGGATATAAGAAGATGCTAAGCCACATGAAAGGATAGTAATAATGGCAGCTTAATGTACTGGGTGAAATGGTCAGAGAGACATGAGGGCTGGCACTAATCAACTGCATAGTCTCAGAGAAGGTTCTTAATCTGAATTTCACTTTCTTCATCCACAATATAAGAGTATTGGACAACATGATCCCTGTTTTCTCTTCTAACACTAAATAGTGCTGTCTTGACCTATAGGGTGGATGGACCTCATTACAGACAATCCTTGGGATGGTAGCAACAAGGGATTAAGAATCTTGTGCAAGATATATTCCCAAATATTTTCTTCCAAAATGCTTCAGTTGAAGGGGGACAACTGAGATGAGTCTGTCAGAAGCTGATATTTCTCTCTCGATAAAATGTTTTCATTATTTCACTCTCTAACGGAGTGGTCCCAAGAGTTTAGGTGTTTGTTTTGAACAAGCTGCACAGATGCACAGGCACACATCTGAAGCTATATCTGTCTGCCTTCCCATGGAGCAGTTGAGCAAAAAGTAAATGATGTGTCTAAACAGCAAACCAATTCTTTCTATATATAGGAACTTAATTACTTCTCTTTTCATAATGCATGGGGGAGGAATAGTGTCCCTAGGTATTGAAATTCAAGCCACTGTTTCAAATGAGACAAGCATTTCCTAACTTAGCCAACTTTAATTAGAGCTATAACTTTATTTTTCTATAAAATGCTTGAAATCAAAATGAAGAGATTGTGTGTGTATATATTATTATGTGACAATGGGGGTATTTTTAGGCACCACCCCAAATGAGCAATAGCATGATACAGATGTATATATATGGTGGTATGCTATAGGAATATCTGCAGATGCTGCCTTTAATTTGTTGCAATTTTTAGGATTAGACAACTTAACAGGTTAGTCTTGGATATCTACTTTGCTAATCTTAGTTTAGTTCAACTACGACTTTCGGTAACACAAGCTCTTAACTCATCAGTATAGGCCTTATCTATGAACAGAAATATGGAAAGAGAGAAATAATTTTGAACTTTGCTGAGATCAGAGGCAAAACAAAGCAAAACCCAAGGTATGTGACTCCATCATCTGTCTCCACCCACTCCCCCAAAATGTTTTCACTTGGAATAAACCACATAGCCAAACCAAAAACAGCCAAAGGGCCAGCTCATGTAATTTTTATTAACATTGTCAAGGAAAATGGTATGAAGTTACAAATTTCTCATTATTTCCCCAACTGAGGTGCAAAACTAACATAATAATATGAAACTCAAACTGTCATTGCTTTTTCATTGTAGACACACATTTTGATTTTTAAAACAAGCACAAATAAAGAAGAAAAATTTACCAGTTTTTATCAGTCAGTGTCCTAACAAGAAGCAGATGGTTCACTCACAGTGCTTATTCAATAGAAGAGAACTTAACAATGAGAATGCTTACAGGAGTGTGAGGAGGGCAAAGAGAACTAAAAAGAACTCAGAGCCAGGTATCGGTGAGAAATCATTACCATCCCTCTGATTAGATGGGCACAAGAAAAAAAGAGTGTTACTGAAACTTAACTAGGATTTTAACCATGGGAGAATGGCCACCCAACAGGACATAAATTCATATGTGAACCAAGAACTACAGCCAGATTGGGAGAGGACACGAGTAAAAATATCCCACCCTTCCTCTCCTCTACTACTCATCTCTGGCTCTGGGAGGGCTCGGAATTCATTGTCTGAACCCAGTGAGCAAGAGGCCAGAGAGCCTGATGATGGAGTCCATAGCGGTCCACCACCCCAGGGCCATTCATGGCAGAGAGGTCAGGAGAATGGATCTAGAGGAGCAGAGAATCACACACACAGCAATGGGTCAATCATTTGGAAGTATGCACTGTTAAAATGCTGGTATAAATCTTTCCAAGCTTTTCCAAACTTACCTCCTATGATGATTGGGACTACTTTTTTCCCCTTTCTGAGACTTGTATCAAATTGTAAGTATGTGTGTCCACGGCAATATTTCAAAGGATAATGACATCTGTTAGAAGAATCAGAAGAACCTTCTTGTCCTCTTCTTATAAGTAGAAAGTTGCCTTTCAGAAAAGTCCTGCCTGGAGTATTACTTTCTACATGTTGATTAGGTTTTAATGAATTAGATTTTATAGATCAAGGAAAAAGACATGGATCTAAAATCCAGCTACCCTGAATTATCTTTTTTTTCCTTCTCAGAAGTGACTAAGAAAAAATGTTCATATGTAGTATCTAGTGCATTTCCAGATATTCACAGCTGTTGACTGGGATGATAAAAAACAAAGCTTGTAGTTTATAGTTTTTAAGTGTGGAAAGTATAGGATTGTCTTTTATCTCTGACTGTGACATTCATAATAATCACTGCATTTTGCTTGTTTCTGATGATCAGGTGCTACCAGACAGTCTCTCTGATCTGGGGAGCATACCACCACATTGCTCTTGGGGAAGCCAGTCCTTCAGCAATATATGTTGTCTATGGAGGGCAAGACTGGCATAGAGAGGACAGCTCCACTGACTTTACTAACAACGTTGGTGCCCATCCTAGTAGCACATCCCTTAGCACTTTGGTAACTCAAACTGTCATTGCTTTTCATTGTAGACACACATTTTGATTTTTAAAACAAGTACAAATAACAGATGGTACACTCAAAGTGGTCTAGTCAACAGAAGAGAACTTAACATACTTACTCTGGCTCCCCCATGATAGTTAACCAGTTAGTTGTTTGGCTTTAGATAGTATATCCACTTTAGAATGCTTATTCATTTGAGGTATTTGATTACTTCTTCCCCTTTTTCAAGGTAGATTTGGTGTCTCTACTTCTCTTAGAGTGGACCATCTCTTTTACTAAGCTTCTACGGCTCAACCAGTGTGTATAAGCACTGTATCCCAGGGTCCTTTCTAATAGGTTCTAGTTCTAGGATTTGAAATCTTGTATTATATGTGAATGCTCCCATATTGGTACTTTCTCTTGTTTTACTTGACATCTGTTCCTCTCCCTCCTTGATCCAGCATTATCAGCATCTGGCCCCACACATACTCTCCATGTTCTTGACCCAGCATGTTGGCTGGGTCCAGCAGCTCCTTCTGTGCACTGCCTCATTTTCTTCCTTAGCCAGCCCAGCACTTCTTGGCAGGGCAGGGTTATGCTGTGAATTGACCCTTTCATTGGTCCAATAGGAAGATAGATGAGGGTAGATTATGAGGGGAGCACATGTTATCTAACAAAGAAGACTCTTTTCATTATATTTAAGCAAGGGGAGAAAGCTTATGTTTTGATCTGTTGGAGAGGTAGTTTAGGATATTACATGCCTAAAGTGTTCAGAATGATCTGGGTATTCAAGAATTCCAGCTTCCTTGACCCAGATGTAACCATTTCAGGTGTCTGAGTCTTATTCCTTCATAATCAAGGACTTGACCCAGCCCAGCATATCTGCTAAGGTTGGTAATGCATCTATCTCTAGAGTTCTGCTAATCTTAGTCCTGGCACAAGAACATCGGGTTATTTTGACCTCTGGCTATTCTGGAAGAGACTCTTTATATGCTGCTAAGAAGAACTTCTGGCTTAGAAAATTTACCTTATATTGTTGATTAACTAGTACATTGAGGGCTTCCATTCATCTGATTCTATAATCCTTGAGTTGTCCTTGGATCTCCCAAATGCCTACAATGTTGCACCTCCTGGTGCAGTCCCTTCTCCAGGATTCCAGTATTAGTTTCACCACTTGTGAAAGGTTTGTAATTGCCCTCAGACTACCCCAAGTGCTATCTATCCACCATCTACCACCAGAGATAGGGGCTCCGTGGCCAGTTGGTTAGTAAGCCACTCCTCTTCTAAAATCACTTCTAGTACCAACTCTAGTAAGTGAGGTTCTTCAGGGAACAGTTTCTGGGATAAGTGTGCAGGAAGTTTATTGCTGAGAAATTCCAGGAATAACATTTGTGAAGGGTGAGGAAAGCAGGATTGAGCAGAGGGCAGAGTTCATCTGTAATGCAGCTATAACAGAGGCCTCCGTTGATCCAAAGGGAAGCTCTGGAATTGGGATAGTTTTTCAGAGTTGTCCTGAATTGTCAAGGCATTTGTTCTCCATCAGTCATTGTGTGCGGGCTGCCCTCTGGGAGAAGGACAGAGCAGTTCCTGGCAAGGGGCTTAGCTCTGTGTAATTGGCAACTAACCCTCCTGGCCACTGGAGGTGTCAATCCATTGCTTTTGCTACAAGTACTTCCTACATGGGTGGTGAAAGAAACAAGACATCAATGACTTTATTGCACTGAATTTTCTTAGCTAAATGAAATGAGTAATTTAATAATTTAATAGACTACATATCTAATATCAATCATGTCAGGTAAGATTTGTTAAAGGATTGGAAAAACACTGGAATTTCTGCATCATTTTCTGGATAACATTTATGCCATTATGGGACCTTTGGTATAAGCTCATTTCTTTGGTTAGTCATAGAATTTTCATATCTCATACCTTGTAATTTAATTAATTGGCAATGGCTTTTTATGTGGGACTCTTGCTCACATGGAGTCTAATCAATATTCTCAATTTGCACATGTAGTCTAAGTATAGCTTTAAAATGACTCCAGATCCATGAACAGTTGAAAGCTTTTGTGATAAAATAACATAAAATATACATAATTATGAACTTAATATTAAAAACCACAAATGCTTCAAATAAATTACTAAAAGAACACCTTTGCAAAGACCCTCTGCTCCAAAGTTTAGTATACAGCAAGAGAAAATTAAGAAAACTGGACTTGATTCTGACAAATGTGTAAGTGTCCAGTAGAAGAAATAATAGTTATACAAAGGAAGCAAAGCTGGTCCTATCAGGGCTAACACTGGTGCCTTTATGCAAATTACAACAAACGGAAAAATCAGTATCTTCTCTAGGTGGACTTGCCTCCAGGAATACACTGCTTAGGAAATAACTATTTCTTATTTGTATCAGTTAAGAAAAGGACCCCCCATATTGTAGATTGATGAAGCCCTATCCTAGGGAGTGTGCTTGGCAAACAGAATGTAGTCTGGATTCCAATCCCTACCTGCTCTTTCAGTTTATGCCTTCATGCAGTGAAAAACTTGTATAACTGCATGTTGGCCTTGTAAGCCTTGGGTCCATAACGGGTAGCGAAGGCAGTCATTCAAATAGTATGTCTAGAGATCCCGAAGAACGACATACGAGCCCAACATATGGCTTGTATAATTCAAGACTGAATCAGTATTAAATTATTAAGATTCACATTAATAATTATTTTTGTTGTTAAGAATTGGTTTTAATATGTTTTTAGCCATTACCACTTTAGTTCTAATTAAATTTTCATTTCAATTGACTGAATAAATAATGCTTACAAAAAGTAACGGTTAACTATGGGAGAAGAAAATTCTGGTGCAGGAAGTAATGACTGGAGCTGCCAGAGCAACTGCTTTGGAGTATATGCGAAGTAGGGACCTAGAAGAGGGCAGCTCTAGAATATTTTGGTGCAAAACATCAGCCAATAAGGAGCTGTCCTAAAAGTACAGGGAGTAGAGAGTAGTATTGATACTTTTACTTTCTAAAAACAAATCCCTCGTGAAGTCTTAGGAATGATTGTATTAGAATCAGTTATACCAATCATGCTAGAATATGTGGAGGAAAAACATAATTGACTTACATAAAGATGCAGCTCAGGGACACCCCTGCAAGATGGAAAAGAAAGAGAGAGGCATTTCCTTTCTAATTTAGCGCCATGTCACTTTTCCTTAAACATTTCCAATCAATTCATCATACTTATTTAATAACCTTGATCTTGCCACTGATTTAAGTACATTTTCTGAGCAGTTTTCTGTCCAGTATTTTTTCAAAACAACAAACAAATATTGGTAAAAAGGTGACAAGATATAGATAATCTTGTTCAGTGTTTGTAAGGGGCCTTTTTAAACTTTATAATTTTTTGTAAAATTTTTGCCAATTATGCTGTAATGAAATGAAAATAAAAGTAAATAAAGTAAGTGAATAAGCAAACGAAGCCACCCAAATGCATACTCAATCAAATTATAAGGAGATTGAAACAAATAAGCTTATCATATCTAAAAGACACAGTTTATATTGGCAACTTACTCCAACTTTCATTCATAGGATCCCTAGATTTAGCACTGAAATTGTCTAGGTGACACCCTTCAGATTGTCACATGAGCAAACCTCAATTGATTACTGACAAGATAGCATTTTGTAACAATCAAAGAAGGACTCAATACACTATTGATGCCTCATTATTAAACTCAATTTGAAAAGGACTGGTTATTTGGGTTCTAGAACCCTTTAAATGTTGGAGTACAGTATTAAATATTGAAATACTTTAAATACTAAGAGCATCTCTCTTTATTGCCAACTTGCTAATGACACTTCCATATTTGAAATTAAAAAAATAGAAGGTTGACTCAAGAGATCTTTGCCAAATGTTTCATCTAGTTTCAATTAGGCTCTTTCTTTAGACTGGATCTATGCCCCATGTACCTCCTTTATGCTGAAAGACGTAGATGGAAATCACAGGAGCTCAGTACAGTTAAGGTGTAGGTGGGCAAAAAGTTCATGGGCAGATTTCAGGCTCTGTTTCAGAACAAAAGACACAGATATGGCCTGAAGGAAGAAAGCAAGGCTCAATGAATGCTCTGAAAACCAATAGATAAAGACTAAATGTCTTGGGAGTTTCATACCTCTGTTAGCAGTAGGAAAGAAGTCTGAGAACTAGAAAGTCAAGCAGAGGGGCAAGGGACTCCAAAGTGAGTTAAACATTCACTCAATGCACATTTGCTGAGTCTAGGAATAAGCGTAACCTGCCTTCAAAGCCTAGGCTAGTGTCTATCATTATCCGTGAGATGCAGGTCAAACATTTAAAATTTTGCATGAGAAGAGGAGATTGATGGTCTTAAAAAAGGCTTCAAATTTAGTATGTTAAAAATGTAGAACAATAAAGCAATGATTAGAATAAATGACTATAATATTATATAACCAGAAACATCAAAGTTAAGAATAAATGGTCCCTTCTTGTCCTTCATATAACTTGTACCTAATCTACATTCACTTATACTTGAAAAGTAAGAACACGACGTATTCCTGAGACTAGAACTTTGATTGTAACTTTTATCCTAGTTTCTTAGACTTAAACAGTCATTTGGTACCATGTTGCTCTTGTGTAATTTCATGGTGCATATTCCTTAGCTCCTTAAGTAGCTGATGGTTTTTAAACTCAATATGTAATTGTTTAGGAATTTATAAAGGTTGCATTGCTCATAAAAAAAGCACTTCCACCTTTTCACTGTATTTTACTGAAGTCTTCGTCTTCATTCATAAATATTTAGGTCACACTGGAAGAAAAAAAGGCCCTTGCTTTATAAGTCTATCTTGAGAATCAGTACTTTCATTTTTTTCATTCATTCATTAAAAATTGATATTATGGACAGCCTATTTGTAATAGATTCTGTTCCTAAACTTTCGGCAATAGAGGGTCATAAGGAGACAATAGGTATATATGAAGTAAATAGAAAAGAGATGTTAGATTGCACTATATGCTATGAAAGAAATAATGTAATATGATAGAGAGTAAAGAAGAGAGGTACTCAGAGAAAAATGAAGAAAAACATGGGAAAAAGATAAAAGTAATAGAAACAACAACAGGGAGAAGAAAGGGAGTTATATGGCAGGTTGAATCACCGAATAGTAATTCATCCTGTGACTAGGTGAATGGGGCAGAGAAAGTTCTTAGAGAATAGACAAAGAATGTTTTCATGAAAGAGGCAAATAACCCAAAAGGGGAGTGCTTCTTACAATGGACTCTCAAGAAGTTCATGCTTATTCTTCTTAAGTTCCAAATATTTGGAATCTATTTACAGCGAATTGCAGTAGGTTACGGGTGGCTTTCTAGAGGATTGAGACATAAGCACAGAGCCGAGGGTGAGATTTCACTGATATATTACTGAACCTGCCCTAAAGTAACATCATGAATATTTTAGTCATCTCCTTGCTCAGTGTGCACAAAACTTCTCTACGATTATTAAAACATTGAGATGCATTCCTATGTCCTTCAATAGTATTCTTATTTGTCACCTCCTTAAGTTATAGAATAAAATAGAAGAAATATCCAAAATTTAGAGTACATTTATAAAGATGCTGAGACAGGTAAGCATTTATTAAAATTAAAACAAAATGGCAATATCTTATTCTGTCTTTTTTGTTTAATTGATTTTTATTTAATTGATTGGCATTTTAGCAGCTGTTTTAACACATTATTACAAAGATTATAATAATGCCTTTCAACTGAAAATAGTTCTTTGGTAGCTGGGAGTTATAATTTAAACAAGTAATTAATAAATGTTGATTCCCAGAAACATTTTTGTTGCACAATATAAACACGTTCAAGGAAAGCATAAATACTTCTAATACTAATCCTGAAAAATAATGTATATCCTATTAGAACACAGAAAACAAATAATGTGTAATAAACTAGAATTGAAATTTTCCTGGTTTAGCTATCAGACTATAGCTAGCCACCGAGAAGGAGCCTCCCTCCTTTGTTGCAACTCTATTCTGGCTTGTGTACACCTATCACATGCAATTGTCTGATGAGAATTAATTGTAGGTGAAAGAAATGATAGTTCCTTTTAACTGACATACACTGGAATTCAAAGGCAAGGATTCAACACGAAGTAGAGGACAATCATCCTTCACCATTACTTCAAAGCCCCAGAGTGCATGGAACTTATACTTACCAACAGGTAAAGCCTCCTGGAATTTTCTCACTTCGTCAGGAGAATCTTAGTTTATCCCAGAGGTAATCATTTGGTGGTGGTAGCAGAAAAAGAAGAGAGCAGCATGACTAGACTCTTATAAAACCCTATTTTGACAAAGTTAAAAAATGTGTAAATGTAGAAATACATTTTTTCCTCTTTAAAAGTGATGCTTTGTGTTTTATTAATTATACTATCCATTTGTATGTGTGTGCATTCACAATGTGCCAAACACTGTTTTAAGTATTTTATTTGCAATTTTTATGCAACCTTATTAGTTTGATAGCACTACACTCATTTATACAGATAAGGAAACTATGGCACAGATAATTTAAGTCTTTTATCCATGATTTGCTAAGTAGTTAAGTAGTGAAGCTGGGATTCAAGTCCACTAGTCTGATTCTAGAATTTTGACGCTTAACAGGATAGGTATACAGCACAGGTAGTTCCCACTTGTTTCTCCATTTCCAAGTAAATCTACTCTGAATACATACCTTTGCCTATTATCTCATTTTATTAACATAAAAGATATTACTAGGCTATATCTAATTTTAATTTCTATTTTAAATTTTTGTATTTTGTAGTGAAATCATTGTCTTGCTATACACAGTAGCATGTAGATTTCCTTTGCCATTGACATCATTAATGTTTTAAAAATCCTATAAAGGTCAGAAGACATTAAAAAGTTTCCTAGGAGGTGAACAACCTGCTCCTGAATGACTACTGGGTACATAACGAAATGAAGGCAGAAATAAAGATGTTCTTTGAAACCAACGAGAACAAAGACACAACATACCAGAATCTCTGGGACACATTCAAAGCAGTGTGTAGAGGGAAATTTATAGCACTAAATGCCCACAAGAGAAAGCAGGAAAGATCCAAAATTGACACCCTAACATCACAATTAAAAGAACTAGAAAAGCAAGAGCAAACACATTCAAAAGCTAGCAGAAGGCAAGAAATAACTAAAATCAGAGCAGAACTGAAGGAAATAGAGACACAAAACACCTTTCAAAAAATTAATGAATCCAGGAGCTGGTTTTTTGAAAGGATCAACAAAATTGATAGACCGCTAGCAAGACTAATAAAGAAGAAAAGAGAGAAGAATCAAATAGAGGCAATAAAAAATGATAAAGGGGATATCACCACCGATCCCACAGAAATACAAATTACCATCAGAGAATACTACAAACACCTCTACGCAAATAAACTAGAAAATCTAGAAGAAATGGATAAATTCCTCGACACATACACCCTCCCAAGACTAAACCAGGAAGAAGTTGAATCTCTGAATAGACCAATAACAGGCTCTGAAATTGTGGCAATAATCAATAGCTTACCAACTAAAAAGAGTCCAGGACCAGATGGATTCACAGCCTAATTCTGCCAGAGGTACAAGGAGGTACTGCTACCATTCCTTCTGAAACTATTCCAATCAATAGAAACAGAGGGAATCCTTCCTAACTCATTTTAAGAGGCCAGCATCATCCTGATACCAAAGCTGGGCAGAGACACAACCAAAAAAGAGAATTTTAGACCAATAGCCTTCATGAACATTGATGCAAAAATCCTCAATAAAATACTGGCAAACCAAATCCAGCAGCACATCAAAAAGCTTATCCACCATGATCAAGTGGGCTTCATCCCTGGGATGCAAGGCTGGTTCAATATACGCAAATCAATAAATGTAATCCAGCATATAAACAGAACCAAAGACAAAAACCACATGATTATCTCAATAGATGCAGAAAAGGCCTTTGACAAAATTCAACAACGCTTCATGCTAAAAACTCTCAATAAATTAGGTATTGATGGGACGTATCTTAAACTAATAAGAGCTATCTATGACAAACCCACAGCCAATATCATACTGAATGGGCAAAAACTGGAAGCCTTCCCTTTGAAAACTGGCACAAGACAGGGATGCCCTCTCTCACCACTCCTATTCAACATAGTGTTGGAAGTTCTGGCCAGGGCAATTAGGCAGGAGAAGGAAATAAAGGGTATTCAATTAGGAAAAGAGGAAGTCAAATTGTCCCTGTTTACAGACGACATGATTGTATATCTAGAAAACCCCATTGTCTCAGCCCAAAATCTCCTTAAGCTGATAAGCAACTTCAGCAAAGTCTCAGGATACAAAATCAATGTACAAAGATCACAAGCATTCTTATACACCAATAACAGAGAAACAGAGAGCCAAATCATGAGTGAACTCCCATTCGCAATTGCTTCAAAGAGAATAAAATACCTAGGAATCCAACTTACAAGGGATGTGAAGGACCTCTTCAAGGAGAACTACAAACCACTGCTCAAGGAAATAAAAGAGGATACAAACAAATGGAAGAACATTCCATGCTCATGGGTAGGAAGAATCAATATCGTGAAAATGGCCATACTGCCCAAGGTAATTTATAGATTCAATGCCATCCCCATCAAGCTACCAATGACTTTCTTCACAGAATTGGAAAAAGCTACTTTAAAGTTCATATGGAACCAAAAAAGAGCCCTCATCACTAAGTCAATCCTAAGCCAAAAGAACAAAGCTGGAGGCATCACGCTACCTGACTTCAAACTATACTACAAGGCTACAGTGACCAAAACAGCATGGTACTGGTACCAAAACAGAGATATAGATCAATGGAACAGAACAGAGCCCTCAGAAATAATGCCACATATCTACAACTATCTGATCTTTGACAAACCTGAGAAAAACAAGCAATGGGGAAAGGATTCCCTATTTAATAAATGGTGCTGGGAAAACTGGCTAGCCACATGTAGAAAGCTGAAACTGGATCCCTTCCTTACACCTTATACAAAAATTAATTCAAGATGGATTAAAGACTTAAATGTTAGACCTAAAACCATAAAAACCCTAGAAGAAAACCTAGGCATTACCATTCAGGACATAGGCATGGGCAAGGACTTCATGTCTAAAACACCAAAAGCAATGGCAACAAAAGCCAAAATTGACAAATGGGATCTAATTAAACTAAAGAGCTTCCTCACAGCAAAAGAAACTATCATCAGAGTGAACAGGCAACCTACAAAATGGGAGAAAATTTTCACAACCTACTCATCTGACAAAGGGCTAATATCCAGAATCTACAAAGAACTCGAACAAATTTACAAGAAAAAAACAAACAACACCATCAAAAAGTGGGCAAAGGACATGAGCAGACACTTCTCAAAAGAAGACATTTATGCAGCCAAAAAACACATGAAAAAATGCTCACCATCACTGGCCATCAGAGAAATGCAAATCGAAACCACAAGAGATACCATCTCACACCAGTTAGAATGGCAATCATTAAAAAGTCAGGAAACAACAGGTGCTGGAGAGGATGTGGAGAAATAGGAACACTTTTACACTGTTGGGACTGTAAACTAGTTCAACCATTGTGGAAGTCAGTGTGGCGATTCCTCAGGGATCTAGAACTAGAAATACCATTTGACCCAGCCATCCCATTACTGGGTATATACCCAAAGGACTATAAATCATGCTGCTATAAAGACACATGCACACGTATGTTTATTGCGGCACTATTCACAATAGCAAAGACTTGGAACCAACCCAAATGTCCAACAATGATAGATTGGACTAAGAAAATGTGGCACATATACACCATGGAATACTATGCAGCCATAAAAAATGATGAGTTCATGTCCTTTGTAGGGACATGGATGAAATTGGAAATCATCATTCTCAGTAAACTATCGCAAGGACAAAAAACCAAACACCGCATGTTCTCACTCATAGGTGGGAATTGAACAATGAGAACACATGGACACAGGAAGGGGAACATCACACTCTAGGGACTGTTGTGTTGTGTGGGGAGCGGGAGGGATAGCATTAGGAGATATAACTAATGCTAAATGACGAGTTAATGGGTACAGTGCGCCAGCAGGGCACATGTATACATATGTAACTAACCTGCACATTGTGCACATGTACCCTAAAACTTAAAGTATAATAATAATTAAAAAAATAAAAAATAAAAAGTTTCCTAGGAGGTTTGGATTATTCTTTACAAATTTGACCATTGTTATTTTCTTTTGCGACGGCATTGAGGTTATTTCCAACTCTGCAGTGTAGCATGAGTTCAGTAATGGGATATACTGAGTCGTTCACCCCTAGGCAACTGGTTTAGATACAGCCTGAGGTGGGAGAAGCAGAGAACTCTTTTCGTCTGACAGTTTCTTGTTAGTGTGGGTGAGATGAGTTGGTGGAGTCATACCAGTTCCTGTAGTCAGATATCCACACTGTAATTGGCACCAGACATTACAATCTCTTCAGTGAGTTCTTGGAGGACAAATAGAATTACCCTCTCATTAACTCTGAGGAAGCCAACCAGGTGAAGTTTTAATCTCAGAGTGAAAAAGGTACCTACTTGCCTACCCCTGCTATCTAAATTCTATGTACAAATATAGCTGCTGAAATTTATTCAAACATGATCATTAAGTTAATGGAAAACCCAGGGATTAAAAATATCAAATTGTTTCAATGTCTTTAAAAAAGGACTGGTTTCCTCTCTCCCTCTTTTCTTCTTCTTTTTTTCTCTCTCCGTCTCTGTCTCTGTGTCACCACTGTCTCCTTTGTTTCTCTCTTACACACACATGCACACACACACACACACACAAGAAATGTCAAGAGATAATATGCAAAATACAAAACTCTAAATAATGCGTATTTTAAAAATCTAGTCCAATACTAGTAAAGGTCTTTGCATAATGCCTTGTATTATTTAAAAAAAAGAGAGATAAAGAGTTAGTATGTATGCTCTTTTACCATATTTTTTCCTCACCAAAATATGTAAACACCTTCCATTTCACATGGGCATCTAGAGTCTTTAAATAGACAGCCAGAGGGCTAAGAAAGTGAAACTAGCTGGTTTGGATTTATCTCCTTTTCCTTTGTGTCTTGATAATTTAAAAGGCAGAGTAATTTCATCCTGGATTATATATTAATCTTCTGAGTGATTTGTTACATGTTCTTTGGTTCTCTAAATACTCACCAGAGACAATTTCAATTTGTTTCTCTTTCCTGAAGTTGCCCTGTTACTTAGGCTTTATTTCAAGTTCTTATGTTTGGACAGAGGGTAATGGAAGAACAGGCCACCAAATTATCTTTACAAAATGAGACAATTTAAATTTGAGCAGTTACCAAGTTATGACTTACCAATCATTTTTATATATGTTCTCTAGATATACCCCACTTAGTTTGCCTGATGTAAGAGTCAGGATAGGAGCATTTGAAATATTTCCATTCCCTTCCACTGCAGTGTTTAAAATTATGTCAAACACTGCAATCTAGTCTTACTACAGCAAATAAGAACATGACAATGGTGTTCCTTCTACCAAAAGTATAATAGATTGTTATTTTGCAAAATTGAGTAGAGACATATTTATGTTTCATATGCATACTGAATCAAAGAACAAAAGGGATCTTTAGACACCTTCACATTTTGCAGAAGTGAAAATTGAGTACCAGATAGATAAAGTAACTTCTGTAAGATTTTGTTGTTGTTGTTGTTATTGATATATTTGAAAGTTATCTCCTCAAATAAGATCAGTGCTTTACATTTTATCTCCGTGGCAGAAATCACCTTTCACAGTAACTGTACAATGACAAGCAGAGTCTATATTCCACAAATACAAAGGTCAGTTCTAATACAGAATTCAACTCAGCCTGTGTGAATTCAATGCCAAATTCCTATCTTTCTTTGAATAATAAATAATATTAACAGTAACACACAAAAACACCATAAGGTATGTGCTTCTTTCTTATTATATAAGGCCCTTTCTAATATAGAAGCAATTGGGTGGAATGTGTAATGCTATGAAATTAGTCATTCATAGCAAGTAGTCTTGTGGATCTTCCACACAGAATTGATAGATGGCATTAATGTTGTTCTTGCCAAATTCCTCTTCAAGTTTAAAAGGTGAATTTTCTAACTTTTCATCCTTTTTTAAAACCCTTTCCCAAAGAAGTAAACTTAAAGTTCTTTGGAAGCATAATTTAGTCTTTCCAGTTTTCTCTAAAAATTTAACAGGAAAAAAATGTGGCACATATATATTATTTATTGAAAGTGCTTACTTTTGAAATGCAGTATATTTGGAAGCACATTTGGTACATGTTTCATTTAAATAGTTAAATGAAATCATTAATAATTAGCTAAAATATTTGTTCCAATACATTCTTCCATGGGATTCAGGATATCAGCCTGCATATCAGTGAAAGTCCTTTTCTCTTGCTCAGTTTGTTTGTGAGATGTTTTGGTTTCTTTTAAGTACATACTTTTTTAAAAAAACTAAATTTGAACAAATACTTTAAGTCTTATTGTTCTTTCCCTAACTTTAGTTCCACCAATTCTACCATGGAAGTGGAAGTGAAAACTAACTCATTAAAAGAAAAATTCCTTCAGTACTAGGAATCTGCATCGTACCATATTAAACCTATGCTATCATTGGACAAACATAGCAGCTCATTTAAGACTCACGAAGAGACAATGGAGGTAGAGAGAGGACACTGTGAAAGTATCACTGCACTGCTCACCTCCCTCCAAATTCCAAATGCAAACTCTGAATTTAAAAGCAGATTAATGAGCCATTAACAGGTTCCACAAGAGTGTTCTTTCCAAAAGCAATCAATAGTTCCTCCTTTCTTTCCCCCACTATATATACACACACACACATATATATATATAGTTTCTATGTTCTTAGAGATATTTGTTTGATTAACTCATCGTTACTGCTATGCTGGATAATATGCATTTACTAGGAAATAGCTGAAGCCCTAGCTTTTAAGACAGTAATGAATTATTACAGATAATGGAAATTGCATTCAAGCAATAGCACAATAAACAGGTTGTTCTGTGTGGAGTGTTTATTTATTTATTTTTAATTTAATATTCATGGCCAATTCCACATTGTATCTTTTCTAGACATAGTACTCATTAGCCTTCTGGAGTAGAAAAAGTGTGAACTTTAAAGCGGACTCTCAGGAGAACAGCAATTTGGCTCAGGCCCCAATCCAACATTACACAGAGAGTACTGGTGGCTGACAGGATTTCTGTACAAATGGGCTCCTGGAATGCCTCAAACCCTACAGAAATGGCTTTAAATTGTTAACATGTTAGGGCTGAACACAATGCCAGAAAATGTGCTTATATTTTCCCAGATGACAAAGACCACTCCATTATAACTAAGTCTGCACCTGTAAACCTGGTTATGTTAATCAAAATGCCTGACTTATTGTGTGTGGTTTGTTTTGTTTTGTTTTGTTTTGTTTTACCTGACAAGAGAGTTCCAGACTTGAAGGGAGGGGAATGTCAGGATCCAGAAGAGGTAAGATGTAAGTGTGTAAAACATAATTTCTGTTTCTTTTCTGTGTTTATCTTCTATTACTACAAGGGCAAATACTGTGTGCAGTTCTTAAGAATGGTATTGAGCTGAGTGAGGGTTACCAGGAGAGCTGTAGAGCACTTGGGGATATGAAATTAAATGTAGAGGAATTAAAACATTCCCTAGCATTAGCTAAATATACCAAATGACAGAATAATATTTGTGAAAGATTAACAAATATTTTTCCTATATCCTTAGTCCACATTTGGATACATAGGAAATTTGTGTTTTTACTCACTCTGCATATGTATGTAACAAAATAATGCAGAAAAAAAGGAAGACTCTTCCTTGCTTTTTAGTCTCAAAAGCTAAGGGCTCGCACAAGTTATAAATAAAAGATTTGGAAAAAAACCTCATGTCTAAGAGCAAGGCCTTTACCACTTCTTCAACTTGAATAACACAATAACAACAGCAAAAATTCCTTAAGGATGTTCGAGTAAAGAGTATAATAGGAGTTGAGATGTCAGTAGATCCTGGAAGTCCACATAGGTTCAGAACATGAGGCAGTGCCTGAAGGGAAATAAATAGAGGAGCAACAGCATAGAAGCCTGGGGCAGATAGGAGGCAGCAGAATGATACATGGAAACTGTCTGCATCAACGTGGACAAAACAAGGGCCAGGTCAAATAACTGGAGAAGCAGGGTTCTGATGCCACGTTCCTCTAAATGTCCAGACTAACCTGCACTCAATCACATATTTACCTATTGTCTCCTTAAACTATTTGGTCATAAATTTGGTTACTCTTAACTGGAGATTGGAGTAACCATCCTCCTGGAGATAATTAGAATTACACAACAACTTCTAAACAGTAATATTTAAGAAATATGAAATATCTGAGTTTGGCCAGTCATGGTGGCTCACACCTGTAATCCTAGCACTTTGGGAGACTGAGGCAGGTGGATCACTTGAGGCCAGTAGTTTGAGACCAATCAGGCCAACATGGCGAAACTCCGTCTCTACTAAAAATACAAAAATTAGCCAGGCATGGTGGCACATGCCTGTAATCCTAGCTACTCGGGAGGCTGAGACAGGAGAATCACTTGAACCCAGGAGGCACAGGTTGCGGTGAGCCGAGATGATGCCACTGCACTCCAGCCTGGGTGACAGAGTGAAAAAAAAAAAAGAAAAAAGAAAAAAAGAAAAAGAAAAGGAAACATCTGAGTTTTTCTAGAATCATGTTTTACATCACTATAAAACTTTATAGGCCGGGTCCAGTGGCTCATGCCTGTAATCTGATCATTTTGCGAGGCCAAGAAGGAAGATTGCTTGAGGCCAGGAGCTCAAGACCAGCCTGGACCATATCATGATACTCTGACTTTGTGAAAAAAAAATTTTTTTTTAATTAGTAGGGTGTAATGGCATGCACCTGTGTTCCCAGCTACTCTTGGGAGGGTGAGTTAGGGGAATCACTTGAGGTCAGGAGTTTGAAGTTGCAGTGAACTATGATTGCACTACTGAACTCCAGCCTGGGCAACAAAGTGAGACCATGTCTCAAAAAAATATGTATACAGAACCCACACTGAAAACTTACAGGACATGCCAAAGTCTAGTGGACAACACATAAGGATTAGAAAGGTAAATTAATGCAGGAGTGACTGATACTCAGTGCAGGCAGCTTTGATACTTTATAATTATAATTGTAATACTTTTCTTGAATTCCATAAATTACCTTAATATATGAGAATATGTTCAAGTAGTCTTTTAAATATTTCTCCTTAGTCACAATTACTTACTAATAAAAAAGTGACCATAAAAAACTCTTTTTTTTCTTTGCCTGTCCTTTCATGTCAAGATGTTGCTTGAAAAATTGTGGGATATGCCAAAATCTAGCGGACAAAACATAAGGATTTGAAAGGTAAATTAACGCAGGAGTGCTGACACTCACTGTAGGCAGCTTTGATACTTTGCAATTAAAATTGTAACACTTTTCTTGAATTGAATTCCATAAATTACCTTAATATATGAGAATATGTTCAAGTAGCCTTTTAAATATTCTCTAGTCACAATTACTTATTAATAAAACAGTGACCATAAAGCACTCTTTTTTTTTTCTTTTTTCCTGTCCTTTCATCTCAAGCTGTTGCCTTGTTTTTATCTATTCTAATCTCTTCTGCCCTGGAAAGTTCTTCTCTAACCACAGCTTTTTGAGCAGACAGGTTAGCAGGGGGATGAAGAATAGGGCTCAGGTGAGAGACAAGAAGCCTGAAGTCTGATTGACCTGCACTTCATATTTTCTGAGTGCTTATGCTCTGTTGCAGTTCATTCAGTTGTTGGCATTATTTAAGTTGCATCTCAAACACAGTAGAAACAGAAGAGAGATAAAAAAGAATACATTTACTTTGAAATGTAATAACTAAATTCAGTTTTTATTAGATTTTAGCTTCTGGACAAAAACTTGGTATTCAATGGAAAAGAAGGCATTTGTTCACTATTAATTGATTATGACCTGCTAACACCACTGGGTCAATTTCACCATCAGATTCTCAAGCTTTGTATAATTTCTGATGGTGAACTGGCTGGTCCCTGGATGATTTCTGGGCATTTGTCTCCTGAAATGCATCTGCATTTATCTTGGTTTTTCTCTCTTTTTTAAGCACCAGCATTTAGTTCTTTGAAGATTTTTTTTTTTTTATTTCTTATTTTTCAGTGACCTTAGGTTTCTCCCCTGGGTGGGAATTTTTTTTTATTTGATTTTTTTTTTTCAGATAAATTTTTAAACAATTTCCCTCCTTTCCAGAGCTTTTTACTTACTTCTCCCTTGCTGTTAACTTCCCTTTAGTTCGGTGGGGATAATGGAGAATAGGAGAGGTCTGGGGCCACTTTCACTGTTATGGAAGTAAAAAGAAAGAAAACTTGGCTTAGAAAGCAAGTTGTTCTAATGGCAAGGAAAATATTCAAGTTGAAACCTCACAGTATCTGCTTTGCCCTCCTCCCTACTGGGTTCCAATTAGTTCAAAGAACATTTTTTATTTTTTTTTTTTTGTAGCACTGTTTATAAGGCATCAGGGAAATGATGTTTGCTCTCTGCCAGTAACAACGTTTAAATATACGTGTAACCAGAATGAGCCGGTTTCTACCCCCAGAAAAGGGCTTCTTTGCATGTGCTCTATATAATAATATGTCTTTAGTGCTGTCATAATTTATTTCATTATTGCTTCATGCATACATACATTGTAATTATCAAAAAAGTTTATGCTGAGAAAGTCACCGATGGCCTTATTATTTGCATGCCAGTTCTTTAAAATGCATTTCCATTGCACAATTCATTTTAAAATAAGTTTTTGCACTTTCTTACAGTGAAAAAGGATGAAACTTTCCAAGTTGCAGGTCCAAGGAAGAAAGTCCAATGATCAAGCTTGAGAAACCTATTCTCCTTCCCTTCACTAAGATTTTCCAGGGGCAGAGAACATCTGGAAGGGATACAGTGTCTTGGAAATGCTACTTAAATCTTCATTGCTGAGAGGTTTACTAAAGCAGTGGGGTACACAGTGATAGAACAGGTATCGGCAGTGCTTTTAAACAGGTAGTTATGACCTGATGGTTTAATTAAGACTCATACACTTAATTCTACCATACATGACTTGTGGGAATTTATCAAATTTGTTTAGATGTTAATTGTATTCAGTAATCCTGTGTGATCCCAAGAAGATAACATACTAAAAGTAAGGGTAGATGCTCTCCAACCAGTTTAAATTAACTCTGTCCATGTTGAAAAAAACAAAGACTTCCTCTAAAACCTTCATGTAGCCATAAACTTTTGTGAAGGAAACAGTGTATTGAAGGAGTTAAATACAAAGTCATTGGAATCTAATAACCCTCACGCTGAAATCCAGCACCACCACCTATTAAAAATGGAAACTTGGACAAGTGGTTTCATCTTTTTTAACTTCAATTTCTGTGGCCACATAGATGCTATAAGGATTAAATAAAAGAAAATTAAGTGCATAACACTTTATTTGTATCCATTAAAAGGAAATTATTTTAATTCCTCCTATTATGATTATTCTGATAATGTGTTTTTTTTTTAGTATTATTGTGTGCATCATATAAAATAGTTTTGTTGCCTTGTGTCTTTTTTTGTCCCAGCATTGCTAAAAATAAATAGAGCAGGAACTTGGCAAAATCATAACATTAACATAAAATGTTCATCACTTTATATTTTATTGTATTGTATCTTCTATTTTTCAATCACTCCTACCACTACAATACACACATCAAATATTATCTAAAATTATTTGCACACGTTTATTTTGTTTAAAAGTGAAGATAAGACCCACTTCCTACTCCCCCACCCATCTCTTTATTCTATGGCTTCCGATTTTTCTTAATTTCAAAAGCAATCTTTAATTATATGATTAGATAGATGGCCTACACGGTAAGTTTTGGGACCTTACATTCAAAGTGTCTTGGCAATCAAAGACCCTTTCCTGTTTTCCTGAAAGAATGGAGTGAAAAGGAAAGTATAAACAAAGATAAATTTTTTTCTCACAAATTCTCCACTCTGAAGTACCCTGGCACTCTGCTCATACAGTTAACAGTGAAAGTGATTGTGTTGGGATTCCCTAATTTTAATACCATGGCTATTTGCTTTCTAGATTAAAGCTAATATTAGTCGGGGAGTGGTCCAGACATAACTGTGATGAAGATCACTTTTAATGGTTCCCTTCTTTTCTCCTATGAGCAACCCTCTCTATTTACTTCCCACCAACAATTCTGATCCTTTCCCTGTTCTCAAGGTGCCCAAGCCTCCCACTTAAATGTGCTATTCACCTCTCAGAGTACTTAAAGCCCTAATTTGTCTTTTCTCTTCTCCTGTATCTTATGAAATCCAAGAAAGGTACACTCCCTCAGGGATACATTTTAGTTTGTACCAAGGTGGTAATGGATCAATAACTAATATGTCCCCTTTCAAGACAACTTTGTAATCCTAGCAGTGTCTCTCAGTGAGAATTTCAAATATATGGGAGAAGAATGAAGATCTGGGATACATACTGGGACGATACATACTTTTTAGCAATATTTATTTATCCAATAATTTATTTTTCAAATACATCGTAATTGAGCATCTAAGGTTTAGCACTGCCAGTATAACAACAATATAGAATCACTGAACTCAAGCTCTGGCAATGCAGTGAGCTAATACTAGAAAGGGAAACAGTTTTTATGTTGATCAAAGAGATCCACAGAGGAGATTTTGGTCAAGCAGAACAATCTAGCCCACTGAAAAGAATCACCAAAATCTTTATATATATATATGTGTGTGTGTGTGCGCGTGCTTTTGTGAGTAGCTTTGTTCGCTACTTCTAAAGACAAAAATGTGAAAAGATATTGACCCTGAAATCTCTTGGGAAATGTGTTCATACTGCAAAAGCAGGAAAGTACATGCCTAAACATTTGACCATTGGATGAATATCTTCCTAACTCTTTAGGAAATAATTATCTTTTCATTCAGTCAAATGCGTTGCAGACATCTTTAAGACCTTATTAAAGCCAGTTTAAAAGGAAAAATACACACATTACACAAATTAAGGGAAATGCTTGGAGGTATTCATTCTATATTAGAATATCATTGTCACACTTTGTAAGTATCAAGAACAGTTTATCTTCATGATCCTTTCAGAATTACCCAGACTCCTCAGGCAATGACATTTTAAAGAGGATTTGGCTGAGAATAAAAGGCTTTTGATGAAAAAAATTAATTTATGTCAGAACTGCACATTCCAAAAAGTAGCCATCTGGGAAGTTACACTGTTTTGTCGTTGATATTCTCCCTGGCTCAAGTGGAAGCTGCCCTTGGGACCTTTATATCCCACCATTATAGGCCAACATAAAAGTACAACAAGTTTTCTTCCAATAAAAAAATTCTGGATAATTATTATAATTCATTATACATGAACAATGGATTATATTATTATTATTATTTTCAGGGCAGACTATTTGAGATGAGAAAAAACTTTAGTTACCACCTAGTCCAGTACCTCTCTTTACAAATTGGGACCACAAAAGATACCAGACTACTCTCTTAGCTTTGGAGCCAAAATTAAGACTCTTTTCTTTTCTTTTTTTTTTTTTTTTTTGACACGCAGTTTCCCTTTTTGTTGCCCAGGCTGGAGTGCAGGGACGCCATCTCGGCTCACCGCAACCTCCGCCTCCCAGGTTCAAGCGATTCTCCTGCCTCAGCCTCCCGAGTAGCTGGGATTACAGACATGCGTCACCATGCCTGGGTAATTTTTTTTGTCATTTTAGTAGAGACGGGGTTTCTCCGTGTTGGTCAGGCTGGCCTCGCCCTCCCTACCTCAGGTGATCTGCCCGCCTCGGCCTCCCAAAGTGCTAGGATTACAGGCGTAAGCCATCACTCCAGGCCTAATTAAGACTCTTAATTTACTCCTTCTACTGTCCATGGTACAGACCTTATTGGTTTTGATTTATCTTTTCATATTATCGTATCAGTATTACAGCAAAATGAATATAGATAATAACATGAATAATAAAATACCATAATATTACTTCTAGAATTATATTATTAAATAATATATTATTTATACTGTTATAGTATAATAGAATATTAATAATAATTTTAAAATAAAACAAATAATGAAAGGGAAATTGAAAAAATTATCATGATAATGTCTGAAGAAAGATCAGATAAAGAGAAATTTGTGGCCAAGGATTATATTTCCCATATTTATTTTTAATGTTTTACCAATTATTCCTTTTTAACTTGCAAATATACTGAGAAATAATTATCCTACAAGAAAGTTGGTGCTCCAAATTTTTAAATACCTCACCTCAAGATTCATGGCTTCAACAAATGCTAATTTATTTTGCACACAACCTGAAGATTGGTCAGGGCTCCAGCTGCACATTTGATCACTTTTCATGGTTATATTTTACTTTCTGTATATATTTTTGTAGTAAACATGTATGAAATAAGAATCTAACAGTATAAAAAAGTGCTGATTTAATATATTAATCATTAGCTAATTAATGTTGTGTCCAGGAAATCACAGAAGTGATTACCTAATTCCTTAAAAGGCCTCCTAAGTTATTTCCAATAAGTACTTATTTTATCAGACCAAAATGGAAGCATAAGTCAGAAAAATAAACGTATAGACTTATTCCATTCCTGGCATATTACCTGCTACATTGGCACAATCTTGGAAATGTATAGGGCATTCAATAGTTTTTCCTTGATTAACAAGAGACTACAGACTTTAAATTAGGTCTTCTTGCATTGGTACAGTGGAGGGTACCTCGTATATAGTACAGACAGGAGAAGAACAGGCTGAGAACAACTGCAATACAGAATAGAATTTGCTAATTAGCTACTACGACTTAAAACTTCAAATTTTTCTGTTAATTTGATTCACAGAGTGGAGTAGGATGGGATTTGTGGATGTCCAATGCCTCGGAATGTTGGGATGGCTTTTCAAGAAACCATCATTACTATCTAAATAATATGGGAACCATAGTATATGTCAAATTCTCCAAATGAGTATTGTCCACTCTTCCTGAGTGCTGTCTTCATACACTCTTGATTCAGGGGTCAACAAAACAACAGCAGCAGCAGCAGCAGTAATAACAACAACTACAAAAGCAGCATCAAAAACTATCCACTTCTCAGTTACCTTTCTGCCAATAAACAAACGTAAAATATTGATCGCAATGGAAACCTTTTGTAAATAGCAATCCTCAAGTCTTGCGTCTGGCAAAAAAGTGTTATTAACATTTAAAAGTTAAAAATATTTGTGACTTTTGGTACTTAAAACACTTATTTTTCTTAATCTTTTATCTGGAAGTGACGTTCTTAAGAGAATAAATTCAACTTAATTTTGTTCTACCATCAGGTGCATGATTTCAGTATGATGGCCAAGCCATCTGGCTTCCATTTTCACAGGACACTAGAACTGTCTTCTTTCTTCATTCCATACATTTAGTTTAATTCTCATAATAGCCTATTACATGTCACCACTAGACTTCTATAGAAATTTCTACTTGAGATTGCTGGTTTAATTGAGGTAAAATTGAGATAGATAATTACTGCTAAATTTTGACTAGATATTAGCATTAATTTCAATTGACATTTTGTCTAACAAAAATGATAAAAAACAAAAACTTTGATGAAGGTTTCAAATGCTTAATATTTTCTCTAAGTACCAGGTAATTTCCTTTTCATTATTTTTGCTATTGTTTTTATTTATTGTGTTTGTGTGCATGTTTGTATCAACTAAATGGGCCAGTCAATCTGGTGAAAAGGGTAAAGTTACTTACATGTGCATTTTCAGGCACAAACTCAATTTACCTTCAGCGACATAAAACATCGAAGGAGGGAAGCATGAAACATACATAAATAAATGTGACAAGTTGGCCAAAGACCATTTATCATCCTGGGAAATGAAGTCACATGATTTATAGTGCAGTAAGCATTTTCAAAATGTGACTTGCAATTGTCTTAAAATCAACAATATGTTCTATTCTGATTCTATTAATTTGAAAGCAAATCAAAATATAGCAAGTTTGTTTTCTAATAATTATACTTATGCAGGATTTGAAATTTAAATTTGGAAGTAAAGAAAAAGGTATTCCAGAGAATTGTAATTGAAAAGGATGCTTACTACTATAATTTTTTATTGTAAGTTCAAGCATTCTTCAAACACCAAGTTTTATGAGACAGAGTGTAAATGTTGATATCCTGAGAGATAAATAGCCCTACATTAAAAATTAGAAAAAAGAACTTCATATATGAGACTGGATAACCTCATTTATTTTATTTTTAAAAAGGTTGCATATCTGCAAATCAAATATCCTCTGAAGAAGAAAAAATGCATTATTCACCACAGTTTTTTTTTCTTTAATGGTTTTTTTTTCAGAAGCCTTAAGGTTTCAGATTTTGCCTGTAAATAGTAATAAACATTAGTAATGACAATGAATAAAAATGAATGTAAATGGGTTTAATCTGACCGGTGTGATCATGTTCAATCCTGGCTAACCAAATTCTGAAAGGCAATTTTGAAAACGAACGTGGAGTCTGAGAGATAAAAACGGTGAACCTCGGTATCTGCTAGTCTGCTGTTCAAATAGATAAACCTATGGAATGATGAGACAGGGGAGTTTGAAGAGGCTATCTGATGCGTCACTCATTTCTCTACTCACAGATGATGGAGAAACAAAGCCCTGAGAAGAAAAACTATGTCTGCTTTTCCCCTTTGCATCAAGATATTAGAGTCAACTTTATTTGAGCTGATTGTTTTCTCAACTTCACATCCCATTCTATTGCAGTGTCTGCTCATCAAAGAGGAATGACAGATCCTCCTTCATCAACATGTTTTCCTTAGGAATGGTGCCAGGATGCAGGGCATAAGTGAGAGGACAGTTCCCTTGGTTATGAGGTAACTAAAAATAGCCACCTTTGAAAGCCATCAGAGGTGAGTGTGAAGTTTGCAATCAGTTGTCCTCTTTGCCAATGTCAATCTTCTATTTCTAAAATAAACATTTTAGGAGATAAGAAATCATAAGATAGTTTGATCTTCATTCAGTCTAGATGATTGAAAGATTCTAGTGAAGGACAGCAATAATCAAAGGCTAAATGAGAAATACACAGCAGAAGATAAGCATAGTTTATGGACAAGGATAAAAGGACAAAACGTCCATCTGACATTTATTATAGCAAAACCTTAAAAATGTACACATGGATGTTTCATGGAGCCCTGGATGAGTCAATATTTATATTTTCTAGAGGGCCATCTTCCTGAACATCTGTATTAGAAAACAGGTCCTGAGAATTCTGTAATAATGTCTTAAACCCACCAGAACTTTGTAAGGTGAACTTCTGAAATAGCTTTACTTTTCTCACATCATTAGTTTTCAAACAGTCTCTTTTGAGTTTCTCTTTCTTGAACCTGGCAAAACCAGAATATCTTCTTACTTACTTTTATTCAATAACAGTCTCATCGTGAGGTATGACTCAGAAAAGTCTGATATAAATTAAAACATTGTTTTCATATTCAATTTAAAGTCAGGTCATTTTAGGCTTAACTTGGGCTAAGAAACCTAAAGGGGAGAACGGCAGCATGGTCAGATTCTTTACTATTAATTGGCCTCTTCTGTTCCCTCTCCTCTACTTACCTATTGTCTCCAACTCAACCAGTATAAAAGTAAAAGTAAAGAAATATCAATTTCTTACTTGACTGATGTGTCATGTGCTAAAATGTTCTTTTGGTGTGTCAGATGCCAAAATACTCTTTCTTATCTCTTGGGGTGTTTTAGGGGGTCATCAGTGACCACCACCTGCTGTCCTCCTGGAGGGCTTTTGACTTTACTGTGTTCTGTGGTTGATCCGCTTCTCAATTGGCTACTAACTACCTTTGCCTTAGCTCCAGCTGCTTGCGGGACATCCTGTACAGGCTCTTTCTGTTGTGGTCATCCAGCCCTGGGGAGGAAAACCTGTAGCCAGGATTGTTGCCAGATGTTTTAAGTTTGGCTTTTTGAGAGGTTCTCACTGCCTACCAGAAATTGAGATATTTCTGCCTTGAGTAGAAGTGAATTGTGTTCTTCACTCCTTGCTTTGCCATATCAGGCAATTCTATCCAAACGTTTGCCACTAAAGCTTGCCAGGTCAGAGTCAAGCACTAGCTTCTGCATTGTCTGAACCCCAGAACTACTGATGTAGTCGTCCTCCCCAAATTTGATCTGAAATAGATGAGTTGCCCAATACTCATTGACTTCTCTCCAGAGAAATTCTTACTATCTGTCTTGTGAATCCTTAGCCTTCTCTTTAATGATCTGGTGGTGGGTGATATGTTAAAGGTGTCTGACTCAGCTTTACAGTATTTTCATGTGTTCTCTATGGCTATAACCTGAATAATTATGTTCTCTTAAATTCATATGCTGAAGTCCAGCCCCCCAAGATTATGGTATTAGCAAATGGAGATTTGATGTGGTGATTAGGGCAAGAGGTGGAGCCCTCAGGAATGAGATTAGTGCCCATGTAAAATAGCCAACTTCCATCATTTGAGGACAGAACAAGAAGTCACCATATATCAGCCTGAAATGAGGCCCTCACAGACACCGAATCTACCAGTGACTAGATATTGGACTGCCAGGCCTCCAGAGTTGTGAAAAATACATTTCTGATATTTTTGGACACCCAGTTTATGGTTTTTTTGTTATATAGCAACCTGGATGAACTAAGACAATATGGATGGTCCAGCACCAATAGTAAAACTCTGCCAAAGCAGATAATTGGCTTAGTTTCGACTTTACATTATGTAATACATAGGTAGGACATTTTGCAATGTGACACAATAAGTGATAACTATTTGGAATTAGAATTGTCTCTTTGAAAGGGATAACAATCTTAATTTTAAAATAATTTTCATATTTATTTAGTTGAATCTCACGTTCCATATTTCTCTCTTCTTCCTTCCCTACACACCTATACTCACTCTAAACTTATTATCCATGGATAATAATGCAACACAGGAACATGAATCTCAATAAGGTTCACTTGATTTCAAACAGAAATGGCAGGCAGGAGTTGGGGAGAAGCTAATAAATAGATTCAGAAGTACCTTGAGGCATTTAAGGCCTGAAGGTATAAAAACTATGTATCAAAAAACAATAGCACAAGTAAGAGAAAAGTCAAAGGTAAAAGTCACTCATTTCATCTGCTTCAATCTTCTCAGTCTCTTGGGTTATCTTTATCTGAAGTTATGTCTCATTGTTTTAGATAGCTTCTTGCTCATTCCGCAACATGTGCATGTGTCTCAAACGTGCTTGTTCATGGCTTCTAGCAATTCTGTTGGAAGAGGATTTCCTAGCAGCATCTCTAGCATATGTGAGCTAAAAATTCAATAATGTATTATAACTCCTTTTATATAATACTGATAGGATGCAGACAGCAGGTATAACTTAGAGTGGTTATAGGTCCAGTTATCACTAGTATGTTCAATTAAATTATGACAGGTCTCATTCTTTGATATTATACCATGAATGACACGGCTTTAAGGCCATTTTCATGGAGCCCTGAAATATCCTAAAGAAAGGGAAAAATATTAGTAAGAATGCCTACAGTGAGACAAAGCTCTATCTGATGAAGTAAAAACATGGCAAACAACAGCTCATCATTCAATAATTAGCAAACTAAAAATTTGTGTCCTAGTTAACCTTCTATTATTCTAACTATTTGCTTTCAGTCAAAGATTCTTTCCTGACTGTATATAAAAATATATTTCCTGAGTTTTGCTCATGTAAAATGCAACTTCAGCAACACTGTGAAATCTGCATATACATTAATTATCTTGATAGATACAGTCAAAGCAGAAACCCTGAGTTTAATATGTTGACATTTTAACCTTCATTAAGGAGAAATAATTTTTTGCTTGAAATTTTTCTCTCCTTCTATTGACATTAACCACTGTGTTGGCACTTGTAGCCATGTGCTGATCTGTCAGTCAATCCATTCGTAGCATTTTCGTGTCCGGATGTTGGCTGACCCAAAAAGTTAACAATAGTAATATATTCTGATGATGATGTTGTTTGAGATCTTGGTGATTTTTATTGCTCATTAAGGGACAGGACCTCATGTTTACTTGAATGTCCTGCTGTCATCTCATATTTAAGAACTTTTTTTTTTTAAGCACCATTATTGACTGGGCATGGTGGCTCATGACTGGAATCCCAGCACTTTGGGAGGCCGAGGCAGGCGGATCATGAGGTCCGGTGATCGAGACCTTCCTGGCTAACACGGTAAAACCCCGTCTCTACTAAAAATACAAAAAATTAGCCAGGCATGGTGGTGGGTGCCTGTAGTCCCAGCTACTCGGGAGGCTGAGGCAGGAGAATGGCGTGAACCTGGGAAGCAGAGCTTGCAGTGAGGGCCAAGATCACGCCACTGGGCTCCAGTCTGAGCAACAGACTGTATCTCATTTTAACAGTGAGATACAGTCAAAAAAAAAAAAAAAAAGCATCATTATTTCCTGTATAATCAATTATTCCTTCAACTAATGTTTCTTTAGTAAATTTGTACCTCTCAAACAAATAAACATTAAGCCATTATTATATGATACAAAATTTTCAATCTTGTTAACAAGCTACACTTGTTTTCAAAAATAAAATTTCTCCAAGGAAGCTAATGATGTCAGCTATGTTGCAATGAATAAGAACACCTAGAATGATTTGACAAAAACCATACTCAGGTAGTCATGAGTTTGCTATTGAGTTTCACTTCAATATTATTGCCATGTTTTATTTAATGAATCCATATTTGTAAAACTATATGGAAAAATAGCTGACACATAAAAAGAGCTAGATGAATGTTTATTAAGTTAGTAAAAAATAAAGCCTCAAACATGAAAGGCTGAAAGGGAGGAGAAAGACGTCTACAAATATTGATATAAAAGAACATTATGTTAAGACTATCTTTTTATTTCCTTACAGGTGCTCTGTTTAGAAAGATGACACAGCCTTTAAAAAAGTCCAGGCATAGGTATAGAGTGTCTAGTCTATAAGAAAGGCAAAAGGACAAAAAGCTACCCTCTGGGAAAATAAAAAAAAATGTTACAAAGTTCATGTTTCACAATTAATGCATACACCAGTGGACATTATATATATGTTTGGATATGGTCTTTTTATCAGCAGTATATAGGCAATGATTAATGACTAAATTGCAGCAGAAATGCATGGCAAGTAAGATGGATGAAAAAATTCATGAATTTTTCTCTTCTTTAATGACAAATAATCTTTACTTAAAGATAAAGATGTTTATACATTTTGGTTAATTAAGTTGTCTCGATCATAGAGGTAGTTTGATTGAATGTTAGTATACTATTTTAAAAAATAGGAGATCTCAGGCATAAGGACCTACTTTAATGAAAAAATAATTAGGCTTAAGAATGCAAGTGCAAATGGAAGCAGATTCACAATATTATTTTAATATTAAAAATTGTTTAGCTGCCTACCAGGTGCCTGCACTCATTCTACGACTCATGATACATTGCATATATAATACAACTCTGGCCCCATCCTATGAACTTTAAAGTCTTATGTAATCTGGCCTCTGTCTGCCTCTTTGACTTTGGCTGTTGACACTCCCCCACTTACTGACCATGCCTCAGCCTCACTTGGCTTCCTTCAGTTCTTTGAACATTTAGAGCATCTTTTCACCTTAGGCCATTGCATTGCCCATCTTGCTGCCTAGGGTACTCTTGTGCGTACTGTCTTGAAACATCCTTCTCTAACCATCCTAAATATACAGCCACCTTCCCCAACCGTGAAGACCCTTTTTGTCATATAATCCTATTTAGTATTCTTCATAGTATCTATTCCTATCTGAAAATATTTTTATTACAATAAGCATAGAAATTAACATTCATGAGAGCAAAAACTTGTCTAGTTTGTTATACCACTGTATCTCTGGACCCTAATATTGTATCTGGCTCCAAGAGAGTGTCTAATTAATATTTTTAAGTAAATTGAAAAAGAAATGAGATACATTTCTTGTATTGAAAAAGTATGAAAATTATTTTTGCCCCTCTCCTAAATATTTTCTGTTGATCATGCACAGATCCTAAAGCTACCAAATAAATAAAAATCCAGATTAATCACAATCAGATAAGATCTATGATCATTTTTGTAAGGGCAAGCAATTTGGAAAATTTTGCAAACTGATTTTCCTGGGAATGCTGTTTTTTCTTCTCCTTAATCTATAAATCCATTGCATCTATATCCATGTAGGAATCCACGCATGTCTCTCTCCAAAGCACAAGAGAGAAAATACTTCCTCTTGGGATTCTCTATTTTCTGCTGATACCAATCTAACTTGGCGAGATCAGGAAAGTATATTTCGTTCCCAGGCCATATTTTTAGAAGGCTTCAGGCTAAAATGATAAAAAAAAATAAAAATAAAAATAAAAAACAATAAAAATATATTATCTCTATGAAAAGATTTTTTAGGGAGCTTGTACAGTTTGTTTTATACTCCTTGTTCTTTGTTTTCTAAGGATAATGAGACTACGGAGTCCTCACCTCTAGACATATGAATACTTAGGAATATGATATTACTCTTGGGAGCTGGATAATTCTCCATGGTTCATCTTTATTTATCTCGATATCTCTAGAGATATTCTTCATAGTCATTCCTCGTTTTCAAAATTCATCACACAAACTTGTCCTCCAGGGCTCCTTAGGTTTTTCAGAAACAAAGTATCTTCTTTTGTTGGGTAGATATGAGTGGTTTTTATTTCCTTGAAGGAAATCAAATACATTTAAAACAAAATACATCACTCCTTTAGCATTATAGAAAACTTTCAATGCTGTAGGTCATATAAGTATTAATAATTACAAAATAATCACTGTCTTGACAATAGGATGGTTTTCAAATGTGTTTTTATATTACATCCTTCTATATGGAAATGTGTGAAGAATTACTACTCTTGTGGATTGCTTCAAAAACACTTTGCCAGGTCATTAATTGTCAGAAATCAGAATATTTAACTGTATATTGAAATTACCCAATATATGTATTCAGTGTACATGTATTTAATATACTTTTTAGTGCAAATATGGGCACACATCATTTATATTTGAAAGGAACTGAGAAAGACAGAAACCTGAGTATTTTACAGAATTTATGCAAATAAAAGAGATGACTGCCGGAAGCCAAATTAGCATCTGACTTTTAAGAAGAAACCCTCTTAAAGACAGTTTGGGGACAATCTAGAGAGTCTATATTAATTATTGCTGCTAAATATAAATGATAGCCTTTTGATGTGTATATTAAGTATTTGTGGGCACATGATATTCCTAAGACATGATAAGTAATGGGAAAACAGAGCACTGAATCCCATCTATAAGAAGTTTTGATAATATTTTTATCCCTGGTAGTCATAGTAGTAAAAGTTTTATTGAAAGGTGAATAAGTGGATTTGAGATATTTTGCATAATGATAAACAAAGTATATCTTGAAAATGAGAGTTGAGTATTTGGAAAATGTTAATTCTATCAATTCTTTCTGTCATAGGCTATTACTATAGGGAGCAAAATAAGTTTTGAAAGAATGTGAAATGTAAACATTGATGATAATGTTTTTTAGGTCACTTGTTTTGAAGAAAATCATCAGAAGAACTTTGAACTATAAGATATTGACTATTAAATCATGTTATTTTCTTCATTTGTCAAAGTTATTGGGATGTAGCAAATACTTGAGACTTTGAATTGAGTAGATTTTGAGTAGATTTATGAATGAAATCAAAGGACACACAAAAACAGTGTAATTCACCCATCTGGAGACTCCACGTATGAGTTTGAAAACTTTTAGTATGTATGCCAATTAGTCCATCCAGCCAAATAGGCACAACAATTTTCCGATAATAAGAAAAATAAGACCAAGAAGCTAGCTGGAATACTAAGAAAAACAACAGAGGGAGTTAAATTCTTCATTAAAATTGACCACTTCTAGAGGCCTTGCAGGAAATATTAAAATAAGTTCTTCAATGAGAATGAAAATGATATAGGTCAGAAACTTGGATCTGCATGAAGATACACCTTAAAAAAGGAAGAGCATCAGAAAAATGAATAAGTGAAGGTAAAATAAATTTTTTTTTTTAATTTTAATTGATCTAACAGGTAAACATGTATTTAAAATAATGATAACGTGCTTGACTATATATATAGTGTATGTGTGTGTGTGTGTATGTATATGCTTATGTATGAGAGAAATGAATATTTGCATTCAATGCTATAATTTTTTTCTCTAATATTTGCTTTCACTGCCCCCTACAAATTTTGAAAGATTATAGCTCCATTTTCATGTGGTTCAAAATATTTTTTAATTTCTCTGGAAAGTTCTTCATTGATCCATGTGTTACTTCAAAGTGTGTTCTTTAATATCCAAGTATTTTGAGTTTATTCAATTATCTTTCTGTTACTGATTTCTAGTTTAATTTTATTGTGATCTGAGAATATACACCGTATGATTTATATTCTTTCTGAGTAAGGTGTGTTGTATAGCTCAGAATGTGGTCTATCTTGGTGAATATTCATTATGAGCTCGTGTTCTGCTGTGGACTGAAGTAGTCAGTAAATATCAATTATGTCTCATTGACTGATGGTGTTGAACTCAGCTGTGTTCTTACTGATTTGCTGTGAGCTGGATCTACCCATTTCTGATATGGTGTTGTTACAACTCAAACCATAATAGTAAATTTACTTGTTTCTCCTTGCAATTCTATCAGTTTTTACCCCAGGTACTTTCATGCTTTGCTGTTAAGTGCTATACATTAAAGATTGTTATGTCTTCTTGCGATATTGTCCCTTTTGTTTTTATGTAATACCTCTCTTTATCCCTGAAAAATTTTCTTTCTCTAAAGTCTTCTATGTCTGAAATTAATATAATCATTTCAACTTTTTTTGCTTAATGTTAGCATGTTATATCTTTCTACACCCCTTTACTTCTAATTTACAAGTGTCTTTATATTTAAGGTGTTTTTTCTTGTTGAAGAAAAACACAGTTGACCTTTGAATAACATGAGGTTAGGGTCACTGAGACCATGCACAATTGAAAATCCATGCATAACTTTGGTTCTCCCAAAACTTAAGTACTTACAGGATACTATTGACTGGCAGTCAATCAACACATATTTTCTACGCTATATGTGGTATATATTATATATTTACAATACAGTAAGCTACGGAAAAGGAAATATTATGAAGAAAATTGTAAAGAAGGGAAAGCATATTACTATTCATTACATTGAAATGGATAATCGATAATCATAACAATTTGTATCCACATTGTTTTCATGTTGAGTAGGCTTAGAAGGAAAAGCAAGAGGATAAGTTGGTCTTTCTGTTGCAGGGGCAGCAGAGGCAAAAGAAAATTCACATGTAAGTAGACCTGTGCAGTTCAAACCCATGTTGTTCAAAGGTCAACTGTAGTTCAATCATATTTTTTAATCCACTCTGACAATCTCTGTCTTTTAATTGGTATATTTAGAGCATTGATATTTAAGGTGCTTATTGATATAGTTGAATTAATATTACTATATTTGCTACTGTTTTCTATTTGTTGTTTTTGATCTTTATTCCTGTTTCTATCTTCCACACTTTTTCTGATTTGTGATATTAATTGAGCATTTTATATTATGTCATTGTTTCTTCTATCTTAGCATATTAGTTATACTACTTTTTAAATTTTTTATTTTTATGGTTTTCTCAGAGTAAGTAGTATACATTTACAATTAATTCAAGTTAACTTTAAAATAATGCTAAACCTCCTCACAGCTAGTTCAAGTAACTTATAATAACAGAATATTGCTAATTTCTTTCTCTCCTTCCTCGTATCATTGCTGTTATTCATTTCCAATCAAGAATTTCATATCCAGCCAAACTAAGCTTCATAAGCAAAGAAGAAATAAGATCTTTTTCAGACAAGCAAATGCTAAGGAAATTAATTACCAACAGACCAGTCTTACAAGAGTTCTTGAAGGGAGTACTAACTATGGAAAAGAAAGACATTACCAGCCACTAAAAAAAAAATGCACTTAAATACATAGACCAGTGACATTATAAAACAATGAAACAAACAAGGTTTCATCATAGCCAGATAATAACATGATGGCAGAATTAAATCTATACTTCTTATTACTAATTTTGGATGTAAGCAGACTAAATGCCCCAAATAAAAGACATAGAGTAACAAGTTGGATAAAGAAGCAAGACCTAAGCCTTACAGTCTTCAAGAGACTGAGCTCATATGTAGTGACACCCATAGGCTCAAAGTAAAGTAATAAAGAAAAATCTACCAAACAAACAGAAAACAGAAAAAAGGCATGCGTTGCTATTCTAATTTAAGACAAAATAGGCTTTAAGCCAACAAAGACTAAAAAAGAGAAACAAGAGCACTACATAATGGTAAACAGGTCAATTCAACAAGATCTAACCATTTTAAATGTGTATGCACCCAACACAGGAACACCCAGATTCATAATGCAAGTTCTTAGGGATCTATGAAGAGACTTAGATAACCACACAATAATATCAAGAGTCTTCAACACCCAAATGGAATTATCAGACAGATCATGGAGTAAAAAAATTAACAAATATATTCAGGATCTGAACTCAGTAGTTGACCAAATGGACATAATAAACATCTATAGAACTCTCCACCTTGAAACTGACCACAGAATGAGACATAAAATAATACTCAGCAAATTCAAAAGACCAGAAGTCATACCAACCACACTCTCAAAACACAGCACAATTAAAATAGAGCTATATACTAAGAAGATTGCTCAAGACCATACAATTACATGGAAAAACAACCTGCTCCTGAATGACGTTTGGGCAAATAAATAAATCAAGGCAGAAATCAAGAAGTTCTTTGAAACTAATGAGAACAAAGATACAACATACCAGAATATCTAGGACATAGCTAAATCAGTGCTGAGGAATGTTGATAGCAGTAAATGTCCATATCAAAAAGATAGAAATATCCCAAATTAACAGCCTAACATCACATATACAGCAACCAATAAAACAGAGCAAACTAACTCCAAAGTTAGCAGGAAAAAAGAAATAACCAAAATCAGAGGACAATTGAAAAAAAATGGAAAAAATGTACAAAATATTAACAAATCCAAGATTTGATATTTTGAAAAAAATAAGATATACCATTAGCTAGATCAACAAAGAAAAAAGAAAGAGGATCCAAATAAACAGAATCACAAATGACAAAGGAGACATTACTACCAACCTCACAGAAATACAAGAAACCCTCAGAGAGTACTATGAATACCTTTGATCACACAAAATAAAAAAAAAACGAGTTACTGGGTGCAGTGCACCAGCATGGCACATGTATACATATGTAACTAACCTGCACAATGTGCACATGTACCCTAAAACTTAAAAGTATAATAATAAAAAAAAATAGAATAAATGGATAAATTCCTGGAAACATATAATAACCTCCCAAGATTGAGCCAAGAAGAAATTGAATCCCTGAACAGACCAATAACAAGCTCCTGATCTGAATCAATAATAAAAAGCCTACCAACTAGGAAAAGCCCAGCACCTGATGGATTCACAGCCAAACTCTAACAGAAGTATAAACAAGAGCTGGTATGATTCTAGCTTAATTTTGAAACTATTCAAAAAAAAATTGAAGAGGAGGGATTCTTGCTTATCTCATTATATAAGGCCAGCATCATCTGTTACCAAAACCTGGCAGAGACACAACAAAGAATGAAAACTTCAGGTCAATATCCCTTCCTGAACAGAGACACCAAAACAAACAAACAAACAGAAACACAACAAACAAACAAGCAAACAAAAACCCCTCAACAATCTACTGGCAAACCAAATCCAGCAGCACATCAAAACCTAATCAACCATGACCAAGTAGGTTTCATTTCTGGGATGCAAGGTTGGTTCAACAAATGTAAACCAATAAATGTGATTCATCACATAAACAAAACCAAAAACAAAAACCATATGGCCATCTCTTTTTTTCTTTCCCTTCCTTCCTTCCTTCCTTCCTTCCTTCCTTCCTTCCTTCCTTCCTTCCTTCCTTCCTTCCTTTCTCTCTCCTTTTCTTTCTTTCTTTCTTTCTTTCTTTCTTTCTTTCTTTCTTTCTTTCTTTTCTTTCTTTTTCTTTCTTTCTTTCCTTCTTTCTTTCTTTCTGTTTTAAGATGTTTCCTTGTAGTATATATTTATTCATAGAAAAGGAAAACAACTTAGTAAAATGCTATCAAAATTTTATCAGAAAATGTCTTCTCCCAGGTCTAAAATTTCTTAAAGGAGATGTTTTTTCTTTCAAGGTACCACAGGTAACAATTTTACCAAAATTTTTGCCACTACAAAATATAAGTTGCCATTTATTCTATCCTTGCAATAATAGCTTTCTTGCCATGTTTCTTACTTCCCTTAATAGTTTCTTTGTCCCATGCTGTCTAATCTCAAAGCAAGTCCAAAGGGTTCTAGGTTTTGTTACAACAGCATTTCACTTCCAAGTAAAAATTTCTTTCTATAATGGTAATTCATTGCTCCAATAGAGCTGCTCAACAAATCACATCGAATTCAGTGGAATAAAACAATAAACTTTTATTTAGCTCACAAACTCATTGGTTAACTATTTTAGTTGGGCTCAGCTGGGCAATTCTGCTGCTCTGAAGTGAGCTGGATTTACACACATGCACACTCTTCATTTGGCTGTTGGCTAAACGCGGAGGTCCCCAGTTGGAACAACTAGTACAACTCAGCTGTAATTCACATGTTTTTTGCTCCAGCAGACCACTCTGAGCATGTCTAGCATTGGCAGAGATTCAAGAATGGCAAAACATAAATGTCCAAGTGCTTTTTCCTACCTCAGCATGTGGCAAGTATCCTTACATTTGTGGCAAGTATGATTTGCCAGAGCAAGTTATATGGCTGAGACTAGAGTCACAGACAAATAGTACTACTGTGTTACAGTATAAAAGGCTTGGATACAGGGAGGGTAATTTGAACCTTTTTTTGCAATATATCATAGCTGCTATTCTAGAAATGACCTAAACAGTTAATAATATACATTTGTAGAAACAATGATCTTTCAAAACATGAATGCAATGAAATGATAATTAAAATATATATTATGATGTTACTGATTATCCCTTTGTAGTATAAATTGAGATACAGAGACTCAAAAGCCTACAGGTATATATAATAAACGTGCTAGATACAACAAAATCAATAGCTCAAGTGAGATGATTAAGTTATATCTGATCCTTGGTTTTAAGATGAAAAAAATAGGGAGTAAAGAAAAGCTAAATATCAACCAGTCATGGTGGCTCACACCTGTAATCCCAGCACTTTGGGAGGCCAAGGTGGGCGGATCACTTGAGGTCAGGAGTTTGATACCAGCCTGACCAATATGGTGAAACCCCGTCTCTACTAAAAATACAAAAATTAGCCGGCCGTGGTGGCAGGCACCTGTAATCGCAGCTAATTGGGAGGATGAGGCAGGAGAATCGCTTGAACCTGGGAAGTGGAAGTTACAGTAAGCTGATATTGCTCTGGTGTACTCCAGTCTGAGTGATGACAGAGTGAGACTCTACCAAAAAAAAAAAAAAAAAGGAAAGAAAAGAGAAATATCCAGGTTTTAATGTGAATTTTCCTGATTTTTAAAGTGTTGGAATTTAAATGAAAGTACACGGGGCACAAAAACAAAAGCACAAATGCAGAGCAGGCAAATTACAACCACATTAAAATAGAATCGATCAGTAAGACTGAAATAATTCCTGAAAATTTCAATGTCTATTCTCGTGCAGCTTTCTCTGTGCTGGTATTGCTGGCCTACCAACTTAAAACCACTCAGCATTCTAAATTTGTCTTAAAACAGAAGATCTTCCCTAAAATGTAGCCTAGTTTGTAAGAGTTCTAACATATCACCTGTTTTTCTAGAAAAATTATCCAGGCTTCCCACATTTTTATCCACTGGCTTGGGTAATTGCCACTGGGCCATTAGGAACCACAACTACTTGTCTTCAAAAGTTTTGTGCTTTTGTTGCCATATATCAGCCATCAGGTGCCACACTGATCCTTTCTGAATGAATCTCATACTATATTAAGCCCTAATTTGCTACATATCTTTGGACAATTTGTATGAAACTCCTGGCTACTCCTCTCTGAGGGCAGTTGTATGGTGCTGTCATTTTTTTAACAACTTATATTGTTCAATTAAAACTTATTTTTATTTTATTTTATTTCATTTTATTTTATTTTATTTTATTTTTGAGACGGAGTCTCCCTCTGTCACCCAGGCTGGAGTGCAGTGGCCGATCTTGGCTCACTGCAGCCTCTGTTTCCTGAGTTCAAGCAATTCTCTTGCCTCACCCTCCTGAGTAGCTGGGATTACAGGAACACACCACCAAGCCTGGCTAATTTTTGTATTTTTAGTAGAGATGGGGTTTCACCATGTTGGTCAGGCTGGTTTTGAACTCCTGACCTCGTGATCTGTCCACCTCGGCCTCTCAAAGTGCTGGGATTACAGGTGTGAGCCACGGCGCCTGGTCCAACTAAAGCTTATTTTTGTATTTCATTGGCTTACTCAATATATGAGACCTACATTTCTTATTTACAGAATTAGATAATTAAACTAAATCACATTCAAGATGCCTTCTAGCTATGCAATTTTATAAGTATTTCAAACACTCAGTATTTTACTGTTATTCCCATTCTGCTCTTCTAATTTACCTGATTTGCTGCTTTGTCTTTGAGTCTGTTTCATAGGTTTGTACTCAATAACATGATACCTATCTCAGGAGAAGGAAGGTGGGCTAATCACCCACATCAGAATCTTCTACCTTTGAGCTGCTGCAGTTTTTGAGTAACTACATGACTGGTGGTGTTGTCAATGAGCAGGCAGGAGCAAGTGAGCCCATGCTGATAATTTGAAGTTGAAGTTTAGACACAATGTCACCTCTTTGAAATGAGGTCGGCCTTCGGAGAAATACCTCAAAATTGTTGAAAATATATAATATTTTATTAACTAACATAACATAAACAAAAACACATTTTTTCTGTGTGTTATCTTGACTGTTAGTGTAGGGCCCTGTTCTCAGAAACCCTGAAGAAAGAAGCATAACACAATAATCTAACATGCTCTATAAAATTTTCTAGCACAACCCAGAATATTTACATGAAAGATGCTCTAATCATGCAAAAGAAAAAAACTTTCTACTTAGTACTGATAGTTCACATTCAAATCCATTTATCAGTACATTCAAGCATACAGATAACATATGAGCAAAATGAGAAATAATACTGTGATTTCAAGCTTCACTGAACTAGGGTATAGAAATTCTGAACTAAACAATTGTTAAATGCCTGCCAGATAAATTACTGTGGATGAATTGTTTTTATTCACTGTCTCTTCTTAGAAGCAACAAATGAAAATATACATTTCTTTATGATGTAGTCACCATATTTAAACTCACATGATACTTGCTTTAGCCACCCTACTGACTTAGAAAAAGAAGAATCAATAAATGCCTTGTCTGAATATGTTCCAATTGGATAGCAAGAGTCTTTTAAATCACCCAGATCCTACCTAGTTCTTATGTGTGTGAGCTCAGGATGATGACACAAAAGAAAGAAGGCATCTCTCACTGTTGCATAAAAGAAATCCAACAATGACCATTTCAATCACCTTTCTGTTGTTCTAAATGCTATTTTGTGGCTCAAACTTCACTATGACTGAACTACTGAACACCTTCCACTTAACTTAAGGATTGGGTAAATGACACTTCAGAGTGCAAAAATACTAAAGAATTCATGCCTACATGTCAATATATATAATATGCAATTCAATAATCTTTTTGATCTTATTAAGGTCATTGTGATTTTCAAACACTGTAATGGAGGTTGAATGTTGACAAATTTATGGGGAATAATGAATAAAAGATTAAGGAATAGTTGTAATGGGAAGCATATTTACAATGATCTGTAGAGACGCAAACTGAAAATAACTCAATTATGGTTTTGCTTAACCTATTAGATAATGTTATAGATAATAAGCTGTACATTTGGAGCCAGCTTCTTGGTGATGACTTGTTTGGCTTGATTTCTCACTTAGGTCAAGTGCTGTGCTGTACTGATTGATAGATTGTCTCCAGCAGGAAGTTTGACAATGGACAACCTAGAAGCAGATGTGCCTGGTACATATCAGGGGTGATGGAGGTTTCAGGATTATGCTGACTGAAATATGGAGGCTCTGTATCTGTATATAGGTATCTGTATATAGTCTCATTTTAACTCACTTGTATATTGAGAGAGAGAAAGATAGTCTTTTGCTGTAGCTCTTAGCCCTCTGAAGTCCTGGCATACCATGGAGGGAAATGCATAACAATACTCAAATTTCCGGTATCTGTGAAAAAATGTTCCTTTAAATCAGAGTCCACCCAATTCCACATTTCCTCCAGCATATTGTTATCAAAGCCCAGTCATTTTGGGGGTGGCAGGAGAGAGAGATAGAGTGGGAGAGAGAGAGAGAGAGGAGAGTGGGGAGAGAGAGAGAGAAGAGAGGAGAGAAGGGAGAGGAGAGAGAGGAGAGAGAGGAGAGAGGGGGAGAGAGAAGAGGAGAAAGATAGCAGAGAGAAGGAGGGGAGAGAGAGAGGAGAGAAAGAGGAGAGACAGAGGAGGGAGGAGAGAGAGAGAGGGAAGGGGGGAGAGAGAGAGGAGGTGAGAGAGAGAGAGGAGGGGACAGAGAGAGAGGAGGGGAGAGAGAGAGAGGAGGGGGGAGAGGAGAGAGGAGAGAGAGAGAGAGAGAGAGATGATTTCCAGAGGCACTTTTATCAATTTTAAATTAAATTGATCAATTTACCTATATAGGGTCTGGTATATTTATGAGGTAAGTTGTCTTCTACTTCCTCTGTTAACCTGGTACACTGTTGCTTGCACTGATAAATTTGTCAAATAGAAGTGGCTTGATTCAAACGATGTATAAATCGATCTCTTCTTATATATATTTTGTCCTTTGTGCTGAGGTCATTATATTTGAATTGAAAGGCACTATGTAATGTATTAATGATATGTTGGGGTTTTCTTTGGGCCTTTGCAGATTTGTTTTTATGGGGTTTATAGCCCTCATGAAACTTCTTCTTCTTGGCTTACAATAACATAACATTTTTTTTCTAAACAAGCTGTTTTTAAAATGCCAGAGTATTTGAGAGGTACTTTAGTACTTTAAATTGTGAATAATAAAAATACATTTATGTACTTTGTATATCTGAGTATCCTCCCAGAACTGTTCATTAAACTTTGTCAAGCTACCATTAAAATCCACACATTCAGAGGATAAAACTTAGAGAGCTTTTAAAACTTAAGTATTTAATGCACTTGATTTGGTCTTTTAGGCCCAGGAGGGGGCTAGCTAAGTGCCTGAGATGTTCAAAGTTACCATCATAACAGCTAAGTCCCTTTCTCCCCTCCCTAGGGAGCTGGTAGGAGCTCGATCTTTGCAAAGGGATTTTTAATCTTTTATTCATTATTCTTCACAAAGCACTTGCCTGATAACAGGGTACAACCTGACAGTAGGATGTCCTTTTTCCCAACTTCAATAATCTGTTTTTTTCTCTACCTTCTGTCTTTTTCTCATTTAATGTGACCTCCTCTTTCTCAAACCCTGCACACTTTAATTTGGTCATTTTTTTTTTTTTTTTTTTGTCTTCTACTGTGGGGATTCAGAGTGTTCAAAACCCTACTTCCAACATCATTGTTTTTCCATTTGTTAGAGCTAAGGTAAACTGACATTACATCTTGAGGTGACCATGTCTACATCTTTTGCTCATAGAATTTACTGAAATTGATTAAGTTTTTTTCTGGGTTGGCCAGGCTGCCCAGACATGAGAAGGGCTAAGTGCTGAATGGTGTTTGCCGAGTATTTGCATTGTATGATTAGCAGAATCATAGAATCTTAGAATGGAAACAGAACTTATCTGTCTTTGGTCAGTTTCCTATCATGATTCCTTCTCCAATAATTCTATGGAAATGTTTAAATCTTTGCTTTAAGCCTTTCTAAGATTTTAGAGCTCAGTACTATCTACTGAAGCCTTTTACATTGTTGGACAATTATAATGTTATAAAGATCTTTCTCATATTAAGCAGAAATATCATGAGCTACATTTTCCTATTCCCATATTCAGGCAATTCTAATAAATCTAAATGCCTTTCTAAGGCATGACTTAAAAACTGTCCTCACATAACATTTTATTAATTGATGCATTTGTATAGTTTAATAGTATGAGCAATTCACAGTACGGATTAGGTATCTGTATATAGTCTCATTTTAACTCACTTTTATATTGAGAGAGAGAAACAGAAATACTTTATTAGTAATACAAATATAAGAAAATATTGAGGGGATAAATAGCCCCTATCATGTTGTAAGTAAATTAGTGCAAACCAAAATATTAGTGTTCTGTTGTAATTTTTAAATCTAGCTAGTTCCTGGAGTTTTTATAACTTATACAAATGAGAATGAACACAAAGATTGTTACAATCCAGAGTTTTGGTTTAATTTCATCTAAAATAAGTACTGTGATGTTGAATTTTAACAGCTTGCTAAGAGTGAAGAATTCTTTTTGTTGTAATTTAATCACCTCCAAATGTTATTTATTGAGTCCCTGAAAGTATTTTCTTACAGTATCTAGATTTTCCTCAGAGATCTCATTTGTGCACAACCCTTACTTGTCTCAGCTTATGAAAGCTGATACGATCTCATCTGAAAGTAATACTGCAGGGAGTCATTTGTTTCATAGAAATAAGCAATATCATCATAGAATACTGTGGGGCACAGGATGTGATTTTAGGGGAAAAAGCATTTTTCTGAGTACAAATAAAAAAATGAAACGCATTATCCATATAAAATATCAAATGTATTTAAAAATTTACATCTTGAAAATTAAAGCAAATAAAATCTCAAAGAAAAGGGTAAATTACTAATAGATGAAATGTAGAATTTCATTTTTTTACGTTTACTCATTTCATTTTCCACTGTTTATCTTTTATTCATTATCTTTCCACTTCTACTGTAACTTCAATTTTCATGGAAAAGCTCAGATGTGAAAAAAATAGAAATATTATAGTATTGATATTAGAAGCTCTTGAGCTAAGCAGATCAGGGTCCAAATCTCAGAAGCACCACTTTCCAACTATATAATCTTGGCTTAGAGTCACAATTCTGTAACTCCAAATGCATGCAAGTGAAATCATTTTGACAGCTATTAGTGCTCTTTACCAAATATTTACAGTATCTGCTTTCTGGGCAGAGGGTACGATTGCATTGCCTTGCCACCTCATGTTTGGATGGGGGCAAATGATTAGTTCTGGTCAATTGCTTATGAACAGAAGTGACTTGCGTCAATTTCAGATCAGAATATTTGTCTGCAAAGACTTCACAGAACACCCATTTTTTTTCTCTCAAGATAAATGTAAATGGTAGCTTCTTTGTGGCCCTTCCACCAGAAGTGAAGAAGCCTGGTGCAGAGCTTCTACTTGACCTATGATAGATATGCTGCTGGAGAAGAAATCAACCTCCTGGTACGATATGCTATTTAGCTTTGGGGGCTGTTTCTTACTGAAGTATAATCTAGCCTACTAATTATGAAATAGTCATTAGCATTGTATCTCATCCATAGCAAGAGCCTAGTAAATATAATATTGAAGCAGTGTGTCTAAAAAGCATACTTTTCATGGTTTTTGTTTTTGTTTTTGTTTTTGTTTTTTGAGATGGAGTCTCTCTCTGTAGCCAGGCTGGAGTGCAGTGGTGCAATTTCAGCTCATTGCAATCTCCGCCTCCCGGGTTCAAGCCATTCTCCATCCTCAGCCTCTCGAGTAGCTGGGATTATAGGCATGTGCCACCACACCCAGCTAATTTTTTTGTATTTTTAGTAGTGACAGGGTTTTACCACGTTGGTCAGGATGGTCTCGATCTCCTTACCTTGTTATCCGCCAGCCTTGGCATCCCAAAGTTCTGGGATTACAGGTGTGAGCCACTGTGCCCGACCATGGATTATTTTTTAATACAACAAAGAGAAAAGACTTGCAGAAACCTCTCTGCCTTGGTTTAGGTCTGTTGAACATATTGAATCTTTAATATTGTCAACACCATGCAACGTCAAAAAAGGTCCTGATACATTTTAATAGGTCTAACTAGAGTTGAGTGTTCATTTTTATGCAATCTCAGGAGATTTTATGGAGTTCTTTAGGAAATCTTTCTGAGTCAAATTTAGATTGACAACTAGCCAGTTTTTAAAAGTTTTGTATGTATTTTTGGTTTCTCAAAAGGTACCATTTATTCATTTGCAAGTCTGTATTTCAATAACTTCCTGTCTGCCAAAGATCTAGTTTAATGCTGTAAAATAATCCTACACATCACAACCCATCTGTGTTTCCCAGAGATACCATAACAAAGCATCACAAACTGAATGGCTTCAATGGCAGAAATTTATTGTCTCCAACTTCTGGAGATTATAAATTTGAAATGAAGGTGTCAGCAGGGCTGGTTCCTTCTGACAGCTTTGAAAGATGATCTGGCATGTGCCTCTCTTCTAGCTTCTGGTGGTTTGGTGGCAATCTTTGGTGCTCCTTTCTTTGTAGATGTGTCATTCCAATCTGCCTTCTCCTTCATATGATGTCCTCTCTGTGTGTCTTCACAGTTTCTTGCCTCCGTGCATGTCTATCTTTAGTCCAAATTGTATCCTTTTTAAGGTATCAGCTATATTGGATTCGGGCCAATCCTAATGAGGTCATTTTTATTGAATTACTTATGTAAAGACTATTTTTAAATAAGATCACATTCAGTGGTACTAGGAGTTAAAACTTCAAAGTATCTTTTTTGGTGGGACAAAATTCAGCCCATAACACCACTATATTAATTGGCAATACTAGTCGAAGTGTTTACTGGATAGCTCTGTATGTGCATGCCAACAAACAGTGAGTGCGTAACACAAATGTAACTGAATTATTACTAAAGATAACTCCACCATATGCACCATGTGGATTATAATCTATGGTGCAAATCCACTTTCTCTTCCTCACTTTACTGAATCATCTGAGAGATAGAAACAGAGAAAGTGAAGTAGGTGGCTGGGATTTTCATAATTCTCAATATTGAGTGTGTGTGTATGTGTGTGTGGGTATGTGTGTGTGTGTGCATGCACACACCCACAGGATTGTATTTCCTCACCACCTCATGTTTACATGACTTTATCTTGTCTTCATATTTGAATTAGGATGAATAAATACTTGCATTCTTTGAGAGAGTCACAGTATCAAATTACCTTTCGTTTTCTTGACAAAAATAGTTTTCTTAATGATAAAAGTTAAGGTCCATTTTCAAAATTAATTTGCTGAGCCACAGCAATCTTTCCATAAAAGATAACATTGACCTGCAATTTTATTATCAACCACAAAAGTAATACCTTTTTTCATAGCTCTTCCTCAATGCCCAATAAACTGTGGGTTAAGAAAGTTTCAAGTAGGCCGGGTGAGGTGGCTCATGCCTGTAATCCCAGCACTTTGGGAGGCCAAGGTGGGTGGATCATTTGAGTTCAGGAGCTTGAGACCAGCCTGGCCAACATGGTGAAACCCTGTCTCTACTAAAAGTACAAAAATTAGCCAGGTAGTAGTGTCATTACCTGTAATCCCAGCTACTCTGGAGGCTGAGGTGGGAGAATCCCTTGAGCCTGGGAGGCGGATGTTGTGGTGAGCTGAGATCAGGCCACTGTTCTCCAGTCTGGGCAAGACAGTGAGACTCTGTCTCAAAAAAAAAAAGTTTCAAGTAGAGAAAATGGGAGAGTAATAAGAAGTATTCTGCCTGCTGGTACAAGTAGATGATAACAGAGAAGAGATTTACCGTGCCTGCAAGGTCAAAATGTCAGCTTTCCAGCTGGCTCCTAGAAAATTCCTGATGAGGTAGCATCCATATGCAACAGTCATGTTTGGCTACTTAGAGGATTTTCTTTTCTTTATTTTTTGTTTTTGTTTTTGTTTATTGAGACAGTCTTGCTCTGTCGCCCAGGCTGGAGTGCAGTGGTGCAATCTCAGCTCACTGCAACCTCTGCCCCTGGGTGCAAGCAATTCTGTGCCTCAGCCTGGCTGGAATTACAGTTGCCTGCCACCACGCCTGGCTTGGGGTTTCACAGTGTTGGCTAGGCTGGTCTCAAACTCCTGATCTCAAGTGATCCACCCGTCTCAGCCTCCCATAGTGCTGGGATTACAGGCATGAGCCACCACGCCCAGCCTACTTAGAGGATTTTCTAAAAGTTATAATTACATGAATATGGATTGATCGTCTTGAATGAATTTACTTTTTATTAGATAGTCTCCTCTCAGTATGACAAGAAGGTTGAGGTTCATTTTCTAATACAGTATACATAACACACCAATAAGAAGAAGTATTTCTATGCAAGAGTAAAGAGGTGAGTTTGGGCCATCTTTATTCACTTTGAGACATTTCTTATGCATGTAACCTTAAGCACTATGCTGGGAAATGGGGGCTTATAGAGGAAAACAGCATGCTAAACATGTTTAATGACACAAAATGGTACATTTGCAAATTTAATCCTAAATAGTAACACTTGATTGATGAGGTGATTATTTACCTAGAATTGAGTACTTCTCCAGTGAATGTTTAAAATAAGACAGCATACTCACCTTTTAAAGGAAATATTCAAGATTTTCTTGTGTTTAATATTAAAAGAATGTGTTTCAGAAGTACCTGAAAATATTTTTCTGCAGAGGATTTACAAATTATATGCACAAATTTATCCTAAAAGAATCAGAACTGAGAAAGTATGCTAAGAGTTCCATTTTAGGCTTATAAACTGACTAATGAATAAAAAGCATTTATTTCATCCGTGGTCTGAACTCATATTTACCAAGAATATTTATTTTTATCTACAATGCTTGGGAAATACTTTTTCTTAAAGCCAATAGTCTTGTGGAGTGTTCAGCTTAAATTGTTTTGTGTAAATGGAAGCTGAACTTACAACCTTTTCCCACCCCCTCAAGGAAAGGAAGAAATTGAAATCCATTATGTGAATACAGCTATTTAAAACAACACGGAGTTTCAAGCTAACACAGGTGATCCTAAGAATGCAGGGCTGGACCACAACTAAGAGGTCATGCAGTCTATTCCTTTTACTTTTGGAAAGAGTGTGCTTAATCCACACGAGAAAGGTAAAGAAACAATTCTGAAACTTTGAAGCAACGAAGATTCCATAAGTTCTACAATGTCTCATTTCTCAGTTCTTCTTTTTTTATATATACTTCAAGTTCTGGGATACATGTGCAGTGCATGCAGGTTTGTTACATAGGTATGCATGTGCCAGGGTGGTTTGCTGCACCCATCAACCCACCATCTATATTAGGTTTTTCTCCAAATGCTATCCCTCCCCTTGCCCCCCACCCCCTGACAGGCCCCTGTGTGTGATGTTCCCCTCCCTGTGCCCATATGTTCTCATTGTTCAACTCCCACTTATGAGTGAGAACATGCAGTGTTTGGTTTTCTGATCCTGTGTTAGTTTGCTGAGAATGATGGTTTCCAGCTTCATCCATGTCCCTGAAAAGGACATGAACTCATTCTTTTTTATGGCTGCATAGTATTCCATGGTGTATATGTGCCACATTTTCTTTATCCAGTCTAACAATGATGCACATTTGGGTTGGTTCCAAGTCCTTGCTATTGTGAATAGTGCTGCAATAAACATACGTGTGCATGTGTCTTTACAGTAGAATGATTTATAATCCTTTGGGTATATACCCAGTAATGCGATTACTGGATCAAATGGTATTTCTAGTTCTAGATCCTTGAGAATCACCACACTGTCTTCCAAAATGGTTGAATTAATTTACACTCCCACCAACAGTGTAAAAGCATTCCTATTTATCCACATCCTCTCCAGCAACTGTTGTTTCCTGACTTTTTAATGATCATCATTCTAACTGGCATGAGATGCTATCTCATTGTGGTTTTGATTGCACTTCTTTAATGATCAGTGATGATGAGTTTTTTTTCATATGTTTGATGGTTGTATAAATGTCTTCTTTTGAAAAGTGTCTGTTCATATCCTTTGCCCACTTTTTGATAGGGTTGTTTGTTTTGTTCTTGTAAATTTGTTTAAGTTCTTTGTAGATTCTGGATAATAGCCCTTTGTCAGATGGATAGATTTCAAGCATTTTCTCCCATTCTGTAGGTTGCCTGTTCATTCTGATGATAGTTTCTTTTGCTGTGCAAAAGCTCTTTAGTTTAATTAGATCCCATTTGTCAATTTTGGTTTTCGTTACCACTGCTTTTGGTGTTTTAGTCATTAAGTCTTTGCCCATGCCTATGTCCTGAATGGTATTGCCTAGGTTTTCTTCTAGGGTTTCTATGATTTTAGGGCTTATGTTTAAATCTTTAATCCATCTTGAGCTAATTTTTTATAAGGTGTAAGGAAGGGGTCCAGTTTCAGTTTTCTGCATATGGCTAGCCAGTTTTCCCGACACCGTTTACTAAATAGGGAATCCTTTCCCCATTGCTTGTTTTTGTCAGGTTTGTCAAAGATCAGATGGTTGTAGATGTGTGTGATTATTTCTGAGGCCTCTGTTCTGTTCCAATGGTCTATATATCTGTTTCGGTACCAGTACCATGCTGTTTTGGTTACTGTAGCATTGTAGTATAGTTTGAAGTCAGGTAGTGTCATGCCTCCAGCTTTGTTATTTTTGCTTAGGATTGTCTTGGCTATATGGGCTCTTTTTTGGTTCCATATGAAGTTTAAAGTAGTTTTTTCTAATTATGTAAAGAAAGTCAATGGTAGCTTGATGGAAATAGCACTGAATCTATAAATTACTTTGGGCAGTATATCCATTTTCATGATATTGATTCTTCCCATCTATGAGAATGGAATGTTTTTCCATTTGTTTGTATCCTATCTTATTTCCTCGAACAGGGGTTTGTAGTTCCCCTTGAAGAGGTCTTTCACCTCCCTTGTAAGTTGTATTCCTAGGTATTTTATTCTTTTTGTAGCAATTGTGAATGGGATTCCACTCATGATTTGGTTTTCTGTTTGTCTATTATTGGTGTATAGGAATGTTTGTGATTTTTGCACATAGATTTTGTATCCTAAGACTTTGTTGAAGTTGCTTATCAGCTTAAGGAGTTTTGGGGCTGAGATGATGGGGTTTTCTAGACATAGGATCATGTCATCTGCAAACAGAGATAATTTGACTGTCTCTCATCCGATTTGAATATGCTTTATTTCTTTCTCTTGCCTGAATGCCCTGGCCAGAACTTCCAATAATATGTTGAATAGGAGTGGTGAGAGAGGACATCCTTGTTTTGTGCCAGTTTTCAAAGGGAATACTTCCAGCTTTTTCCCATTCAATATGATATTGGCTGTGGGTTTGTCATAAATGGCTCTTGTTATTTTGAGATACATTCCAGCAATACCTAGTTTATTGAGTGTTTTTAGCATGAAGGGGTGTTGAATTTTATCAAAGGCCTTTTCTGCATCTGTTGAGATAATCATGTGGTTTTTGTCATTGTTTCTGTTTATGTGATGGATTATATTTATTGATTTGCACATGTTGAACCAGCCTTGCATCCCAGGGATAAAACCGACTTGATCATGGTGGATAAGCTTTTTATTGTGCTGCTGGATTTGGTTTGCCAGTATTTTATTGAGGATTTTTACACTGATGTTCATCAGGGATATTGGCCTAAAATTTCCTTTTTTTGCTGTGTCTCTGCCAGGTTTTGGGATTAGGGTGATGCTGGAGTCAAAAAATGAGTTAGGAAGGAGTCCCTCTTTTTCTATTGTTTGTAATACTTTCAGAAGGAATGGTTTCAGCTCCAATTTGTAATTCTGGGAGAATTCAGCTGTGACTGTGTCTGGCCCTGGACTTTTTTTGATTGCTAGGCAATTAATTACGACCTCAGTTTCAGAACTTGTTATTGGTCTATTCAGGGATTTGACTTCTTCATGGTTTAGTCTTGGGAGGGTGTATGTATCCAGGAATTTATCCATTTCTTCTAGATTTTCTCGTTTATTTGCATAGAGATGTCTATAGTATTCTCTGATGATAGTTTGTATTTCTGTGGGATCAGTGGTAATCTCCCCTTTATCATTTTTCATTGTGTTTATTTGATTCTTCTCTCTTTTCTTCTTTATTAGTCTGGCTAGTGGTCTATTTTGTTAATCTTTTCAAAAAACCAGCTCCTGAATTCATTGACTGTTTGAAGGGTTTTTTTGTGTGTGTGTCTCTATCTCCTTCAGTTCTGCTCTGATCTTACTTATTTATTGTCTTCTGCTAGCTTTTGAGTTTGTTTGCTCTTGCTTCTCTAGTTCTTTTAATTGTGATGTTAGGGTGTCGACTTTAGAGCTTTCCCGCTTTCTCCTGTGGACACTTAGTGCTACAAATTTCCCTCTTAATACTTCTTTAGCTGTGTCCCAGAGATTCTCGTATGTTGTGTCTTTGTTCTTATTGGTTTCAGAGAACTTATTTTTTTCTGCCTTAATTTTGTTATTTACCCAGTAGTCATTCAGGAGCAGGTTCTTCAGTTTCCATTTAGTTGTGCAGTTCTGAGTGAGTTTCTTAATCCTGAGTTCTAATTTGATTGCACTATGGTCTGAGAGACTGTTTGTTATGATTTCTGTTCTTTTGCATTTGCTGAGGAGTGTTCTTCTTCCAATTATGTGGTTGATTTTAGAATAAGTGCTATATGGTGCCATCATCACTATGAAGAAACTGCATCAACTAATGGGCCAAATAACCAGCTAGCATCATAAAGACAGGATCAAATTCACACATAACAATATTAACCCCAAATGTATACGGGCTAAATGCCCCAATTAAAAGGCACAGACTGGCAAATTTGATAAAGAGTCAAGACCCATCAGTGTGCTGTATTCAGGAGACCCATCTCACGTGCAAAGACACACATAGGCTCAAAATAAAGGGATGTAGGAATATTTACCAAGCAAATGAAAAGCAAAAAAAAAGCAAGGGTTGCAATCCTAGTCTCTGATAAAACAGACTTTAAACCACCAAAGATCAAATGACAAAGAGGGCATTACATAATGGCAAAGGGATCAATGCAACAAGAAGAGCTAACTATCCTAAACATATATGCACCCAATACAGGAGCACCCAGATACACAAAGCAAGTTCTTAGAGACCTACAAAGAGATTTACACTCCCACACAATAATAGTGGGAAACTTTAACACCCCTCTGTCAATATCAGACAGATCAACAAGATAGAAAATTAACAAGGATATTCAAGACTTGAACTCAGCTCTCGACCAAGCAGAGCTAATAGACATCTACAGAACTCTCCACCCCAAATCAACAGAATGTACATTCTTCTCAATTCTTTATACAAATATGAAAAGATAATTTATTTCTCAGTAGGTTAACTCTAATTTCTTTTTTTCTTTTTCTTTTTTTTTTTTTTTGATGCAGAGTCTCAGTCTGTTGCCCAGGCTGGAGAGCAGTTGCACAATCTTGTCTCACTGCAACTTTTTCCTCCCAGGTTCAAGCAATTCTCATGCCTCAGCCTCCCAAGTAGCTTGTATTACAGGCTCCTGCCACCACGCCCGGCTAATTTGTGTATTTTTAGTGGAGATAGGGTTTTGCCATATTGGCCAGGCTGGTCTCGAACTGCTGACCTCAGGTGATCTGCACAACTTGGGCCTCACAAAATGCTGGTATTACAGTCATGAGCCACCATGCCTGGTCAAATCCAATTTTTATATCACATCTTTTAGTATAAGGCTTCTCAAATTTTAAAGATTCATAAAAATTACCTGAATATCTTGTTAAAATGCACTTTCTGAATCAGGTGGTCTATGGTGGCAGGTTTTTCAGGTTTCTCATTTCTAACAAGTTCCCAGTGATGATGCTGCTGCCTGGTCCAGGGACCACATTTGGGGGTGTGGTAGCAATGCTCTAGAAATGGGAAATGTAGATCTAGAAGTACACTAAGAAGACGCTTAGCCTGACACATGTGTTTTATTAAAGGATTTCAGCTACTTTGGTAGATAGCTTTCTTTTTCTGTTTCACGTATTCATTAAAACAATTGTAAAATATTCAATGGCAAACAGAATCCTAGTATTTTGTATTTTTGTATGTAGCACAGAGGCTGTACAACCACCAAACAAAATGTTACAGAGCAGTGCAAGGATTTGGCCAACAATGCATATGACAATGTCATATTGAATAATATTAGGCAAAACATATAGACTTGAATTAGCCAATAGCCATATCATTTGTTACATACAGCCATTATACACATTTATACGTTTCTGTCACTTGTTAACTATTGAGACACTGGAGTTTCAAATCCCTGTTGATGGCTGGACATTAAGTTGGTAGTTGGCAAGATAAGTTTAGATTCCTTTTTCAGTTTTAACATTCTATCATGTGGCATGACAGTATTAAAGAACTTGCTCACATTCACGTAACTGTCTTGCCTTAAAGATGGGAACATAGCAGCTTTCAGTTTAAGTTAAGTGCATTATGTAGCCTCTAAACCTTCAGTCATTCAAATGGTCCTTTCCTTACCAAGAGACCATAAACATATATATAAAATTGGATCTTACATTTGATTTTTGAAAACATTGGAAGTACTTTTTACAATTTTCTTAGCTTGTGTCAAGTGGACCAAACACTTTGATAAATAATTAACATTTCACTTTGTGAATGTGTCATCATCTAGGCAGAACTATTAAAAATGCATTTTATCTAGGCAGGTTTTGGATAGTCACATTGTGGAAAATGTCCCTTAACACATGAGAATTTTTAAAGAAAAATGTGCTTTGTTGGTGTAAATCTCTTATCTAGTAGCAGGTTCTTGTATTTCCATTTGGATTTTTCTTAATGCCCATTTTCTCTATAGTATGAGACTTCTTACCACTATTTGTTACAAATCATATTATACATGCATGCTATTACAATCCCCACTTTTCAAACAGTTATTGTTTTCATTGGGGAAATTGGGTTTATATTCTCCTGGATTTTTTAATTACTTGAGTATGTCTTCAAGAAGTGGGGCATAGAATGTGGATATGTTCTAAGACTGCCTGCTGCCTAATCCTTTCATTCATCTTACATTGGTATGTCCAGGAAATATGGATGCTATTTCCGGATCATGGAACTAAATGACTTAAATTAAATGTCCATTTTTTTCAAACAGATGTCACTACTGATACTCATCTGTATTTTGTTCTATTGAATATTGTCTATTCTCTTCTTTTACATCTTATAGATTAAATATACATAATAATAAAATCTGGTTAACAAAAAGGTACTTGATGATACTAAAATAATTAGACGCTTTAAAAATCTATCATTTTTAATATGAATTACTTTTCTATTTAAAAGCACCAAGCTGATTATGCTATAGTGAATCTATTAGTCTGAAAGTGTACAGTCAATGGAAATTGAATATAAGAGAATATCAAATATATATCATAAGATTGAGAGGTTACATACTCAGTAATTGATATGGTTTAGCCGTGTCCTCAACCAAATCTCATCTTGAATTCCCATGTGTTGTGGGAGAGACCTGGTGGGAGGTAATTGAATCATGGGGGCAGGTCTTTCTTATGTTGCTCTCATGACAATGAATAAGTTTCATGAGATCTGATGGTTTTAAAAATGGGAGTTTCCCTGCACAATCTCTCTCTTTGCCTGCTGTCATCCATGTAAGATGTGACTTGCTCCTCCTTGCCTTCCGCCATGGTTGCAAGGCCTCCCCAGCCATGTGGAACAGTAAGTCCATTAAACCTCTCTTCCTTTTGTATACTACCCAGTCATGGGTATGTATTAATCAGTAGCATGAAAGTGGACTAATAAATTGGTACCAGTAGAGTGGGGTGTTGCTGAAAAGATACCCCAAAATGTGAAAGTGACTTAGGAACTGGGTAAAGGCAGAATTTGGAAGAGTTTGGAGGGCTCAGAAGAAGACAGGAAAATGTGCAAAAGTTTGGAGCTCCCTAGAGACTTGTTGAATGGCTTTGACCAAAATGCTAATAATGATACAGACAATGAAATCCAGAGTGAGGTGGTATCAGACAGAAATGAGGAACTTTTTGGGAAATGGAATAAAGATGACTGTTGTTATGTTTTAGCAAAGAGACTGGTGGCATTTTGCCCCTGCCTTAGAGATCTGTGGAACTTTGAAACTGAGAGAGATGATTTAGAGTATCCAACAGAAGAAATTTCTAAGCAGCAAAACATTCAAGATGTGACCTGTTTGCTGTTAGAAGCATTCAGTTATTGAGGAAGGAAAGCATAAGAGTTTAGAAAATTTGCAGCCTGACAATGCGATAGAAAAGAAAATTCCATTTTCTGAGGAGAAATTCAAGTCGACTGCAGAAATTTGCATAAGTAATGAGAAGCCAAAAGTAAATCCCCAAGACAATAGAGGAAATATCTCTAGGGCATGTCAGAAGCCTTCACAGCAGCCCCTCCCATCACAGGCCTGGAGGCCTAGAGGGAAAAAATGGTTTTGTGGGCCAGGTCCAGGGTCCCCGTGCTGTGTGTGTGCAGCCTAAGGGCTCGGTGCCCTGCATCCCAGCAACTCCAGCTATGGCTAAAATTGGCCAAGGTACAGCTTGAGCCATGGCTTCAGAAGGTGCAAGCCCCAAGCCTTGGCAGCTCCCATGTGGTGTTGAGCCTGCAGGTATACAGAAGTCAAGAATTGAGGTTTGGGAACCTCCAACCAGATTTCAGAGGATGTATGGAAATGTCTGGATGCCCAGGCAAAGTTTGCTGCAGGGGTGGGTCCCTCATGAAAAACCTCTGCTAGGGCCATATGAAAGGAAAATGTGGGGTTGGAGCCCCCACACAAAGTCTGTACTGGGGCACCACCTAGTGGAGTTGTGAGAAGAGGGACACTGTCCTCTAGACCCCAGAGGGTAGATCCACTGACAGATTGCACTATGTGTCTGGAAAAGCAGCAGATGCTCAATGTCTGCCTGGAATGCAGCCAGGAGGGAGGCTGTACCCTGCACAGCCACAGGGGCAGACCTGCCCAAGACCATGGGAACCCATATCTTGCATGAGCGTGACCTGGATGTGAGACCTGGAGTCAAGGGATATCATTTTGGAGCCTTAAGATTTGACAGTCCCACTGGATTTCTGACTTGCATGGAGTCTGTAGTCCCATTGTTTTGGCCATTTTCTCCAATTTAAACCAGCTGTATTTACCCAATGCCTGTACCCCCTTTGTATCTAGGAAGTAACTAACTTGCTTTTGATTTTACAGGCTTATAGGCAGAAGAGACTTGCCTTGTCTTGGATGAGACTTTGGACTGTGGACTTTTGAATTAATACTGTAATGAGTTAAGACTTTGGGGGACCATTGGGAAGGCATGATTGGTTTTGAAATGTGTGGACATGAGATTTGAGAGGGGCCAGGGGCAGAATGATATGGAAGAGGTAAGGAACAGATTTTCCTCCTGAGTCTCTGTAGGGAGTGTGGCACTGCTGACACCTTGATTTTGGCTGGCCTCCAGAACTGTAAGAGGGTAAGTTTCTGTTGCTTTATGCTACAAGGTTTGTGGTTCTTTGTTATGAGAGCCCTAGGAAACTAATACAAATGGTATTCAAAGCAGTAAAGAAGTGCTTATGAGCATTAATAATGATCAGAAGGTGTCTAGGAAAGAGGGCAGGCAGAGAGTGGAGGGAACAGCATTGCCAAGCCCTGGAAGTGAGAAGGGATAATGGCACGTTTAAGGTAGAGCAGTGAGAGAAGTTCAGTACAGCAGATCCTGACAGTTCTGAAATGATTCTTTTTTCCTTCCTGGCCAGTGTTCCAGAAATTATACTTTACTCTTTACGTAATAAACAATATCAACAAACTATGCAACAGAAAGCTTCACAGACAGTTTCCTACACCAAGGAGAAGTATAAAAATTCACTGCTTTTTGATTGTTTTAGAGCTTAGTCTCCAGCTCTTTCAGAAAAGAACAACGTAGGAGGTAACAGTGAAATCAGTAAGTATTGTGTTTTTTCTGAATTGAGCAAATTGAAAGCAAACTCAACCCAGTTCCTAGATCACAACTCCCAGAAAATAATTGACTGGGTAACTCGAGCTCAGCCAAGGGGTCCTTCTCAGCCAATCAAAGGAGAGAGCTTCAGGGAGACTTATGACAGCCTCCAAATCCAGGTGGAACACAAAAGCCCCTGCAAGATACTCTTAGAAAACAAACTCAGAAATTCCAATCTTTGCTTGGGGAGCAGAATATCCTCAGAAGCAGGGAATGCACACCCACAGCACTTACGGCTGAAGGCCTACATTTTATTTTCACTTGAGGGCTTTCCTGGTTGGAACACTGCTGTCATATTATACCTGCCCCTTATGGATACCACTGTGCTTATAATACTCTCTACTATGAAAAAAATACTTGTTCATTCGGCATATTGAAAAGAGGGAAGGCATAAATATAAATGCTTTGCAAAATATTAAGAAGGAAGTGAAGTGAATTTAAGAAGTTAATAACAACCTTGCTGATAAGGCACAACAAATGGGTTATAACTAGAGTTTGCAAGCTATTAATATTCTATGGATATTCAGGAAAGGGAGATAGCTGCAATGGGCTAGTTATATTTTTCAGGCATCTCACAGCAATTCCTTCTTTTTTAATATCTGGGATGCAAACCCACATGTACTGTACAAGACTTCATTTCTTGATCAAAAATAAGGTTGATTTCTGTTCCAAGATTATATTTGCTTACTGAATAATTGGTACGGCTTTATTGATGATCTTTTAGAGACACTCATTCCACTTATTCTCTCTGTCCAGAATGTGGCTTATTTAATTTCTTAATAATATAGCAATAGCTGAACCATGCCAATTCGTATAACAATCACAAAGCAAAAACAACACACACACACACACACACACACACACACACACACTGTATCCAGTTATCAACTTTAAAGCAAAAACTATCCTCCCCACGATATCTTCACTATCTTCTTTCTCTTATAGTTTCAATTCCTAGCAGTAGATGTACTCATAAAGGAATCACTGAGAATAGAGTTTTAAAATGCATTACAATTTTTTCAAATCCTGAGATTTAGTTCTTTTCTAATTGTCACATATTGTGAAATGAGAGAAAGAAGCTTTGAGCAAATGAAATAAGGGAAGGGCTAATTTTGATTAAGGAAAATTACATGATTCCTTAAATCTGTAATATGAGGCCTCCAGGGGATGTCATCTTGTAGAATTTTATAGCAAGCACTGGGTAATTTTACAGCAACCTGAACATATTGAAAGCTGAAAATAATGTTGAGTTGTTCACTAGGGTGCTGAAAAGATGAATAAGAAGCAAAAAATTAAATTAAACTTATGTAATTTACTAGGATGACATAGTTTTTATATACATCCAATGGATTAGTTTTTTTTTTACAAAGGTTTATCTACTTTGTGTTTGGAAAATCATGGGAAGAACCTTTTCAGTTTCTGGCTGAAAATCATGACTGAGTCTCTAAAAATATCACAGCTATATTAAGAAGTCACAATAAGAGAGGGAATTTATAGGCTAGTACGTAGAATACATTAAATGTAATTCTATGGCATTCTTATTTTTTACCAAAAATCACAAGTGAATATATTCTGAGTCCATGTAGTATCACAAATAACCTTAAGTTGCCATCATTTAACTTAGTGTCCCACATTTGTATTAGAGGCATCAACATGAACATTACCCTCTCTTTGTATATCATTAGTTCTAATTTGTCAAATTTCCCTTTGCACTTTGATTTCTTGGTGGAGAAAAAAATATGACAAGATGATATTCTGTCCACTGTATAAAAACCTCCTGAGTAAAGGCTCAAATTAAGAAATTGAAAGGGAACTGGTTGAGGGAGGCATACAAAGGCCCATATCTTTTCTATGTAGTTAGCATACCATATACTTAGTTTGTGGAGAGTTGGTTTGTTGGTTTAAAATCATAGTGTCAAAGCATGCACAGCTGTTCTGTTTTGTTTTTCAGAAGCCTGGGGTTCTCTTTTATATTACCCTCTCTTATGACCCATGTTAAGTAAATATTTAAGTTATCAAAAGGGTTGTCTAAAATATAACTGGTCTCACCAGGCACGGTGGCTCACGCATGTAATTGCAGCACTTTGGGAGGCTGAGGTGGGAGGAACAGGAGGTCAGGAATTCAAGACCAGCCTGGCCAACACAGTGAAACCCCATCTCTACTAAAAATACAAAAATTAGCTAGGCACGGTGGTGTGGACCTGTAACTCCAGCTACTCAGGAGGCTGAGGCAAGAGAATTGCTTGAACCCAGGAGGTGGTGGTTGCAGTGAGCCGAGATTGCACCACTGCACTCCAGCCTGGGTGACAGAACAATACTCTCCATCTCGGGGGGAAAAAAAGAAAAAAGAAAAAATATATATATATAGTGATCTCTACACATCCATGTCACCAACTTTCCACATAGAGATAGTGATATTTTTGAAAGTTAAATTTCACATTGCAGATGTTCTGTGTGGGATACTTCAATGTGTTTTCTCCTGCTCTTAGGGTCAAGTCCAAAATTTCTTACATAACTTATAAGCCCAAAAGAATATCAGCCCCAAATTCAACTTTATGTACTCCTTGCACTGTTCACAGTGATACCTGGGTAAACTGTTGTGGTCATTGATTAGAAGATGGAACTATTACCAGAAGAATATTGGATGTGGAATTAGGTATGCTGGAACAAAAAGAGCATGAATGGTTACAAAGCCCAGGTGGTAGTTATAGGTCACATCAGTTTACATATATGTATTTTAGTGACATGAACCCAGTTCTTATAACTTTGCCTGGCAAAAAGAGTTGGAAAGAAGGAAGCGTCTACAAAAAGAATTGAAGGTGCTTCCCTGAATTTTACGGTAACAAATGGAAATGAAGCATGATTCAATATAACAATGTGGTTGGTAGTTCTTACCCTGGCTAGTTGTTGGTAATAGAGATTGGTTCTGTGCTCTGCCCCTCTCTGTGTGTTCCCTTGGGTAGTCATTCCAGATCAATTTGCTGATTTATAATGCTGTGGATAATAATGCTTGCTTTCACCAAGCCATTGTAGAAGATGAATGTTTACTGTGTGTTTAAGATTAGAAGGTAAAAGGTGGTATGCAATCAGAAATGGTGTGTTGAAAGGTTATTAATGACGCTCAAAGCTAAGAGGAGAGGGACAGGCAATTCTCTTTAGGGCTCAGTAGCATTTAATGCCAGGCAGGAGCACACTTATTTTTAGATATACATTTCCCTGTTCATTGAAGACAGGATTCATAAAGAAAAACAATATTTTGACATGTAATAGGATTACAATTTTTTAGAAATTAGGTTAAAATCGTCAAGAAAAAGAAACATCCGAATAAAGGTCAGATGCGAGGCTAACACCTATAATCCAAGCAATTTGGGAGGCTGAGGCAGGAGGATCTCTTGAGCCCAGGGGTTCAAGACCAGCCCGGGAAATATGGCAGAACCCCATCTCTACAAAAATATATAAAAATCAGCCAGGGATGTTGATGCATGCCTGTAGTACCAACTACTGGGGAGGCTGAAATAAGAGAATTGATTGAATCTGGGCTGCAGTGAGCTCTGAGGCACTGTACTCCAGCCTGGACGACACAGTGAGACCCTGTCTCAAAAAAAAAAAAAGAAAGAAACATATTCATTGAGCAATAAAAAGTTGTCTGTGTGATCATTAAAAAAGTATTTTAGTTAAAAGATGCATAACACATTTGAGTTATAAATAAATTATGTATATATGTTATACACACACATAAATTTACTTATTTCCATAAGAAAGAAGTATGCCAATTAGGTAACATTACCTTTTTTCCCCATCCCCTGTTTTCCTAAATCATTTTTGTACAGATTCCTGGCTGATCAGTGTCCCCAAATCATTCTTATTGAATCTAAGTGGAATTATAACTATGTAATTCCATGTAGCTTCACCTGTTTCAACCCTAGTTCATATTGCTGCACTGAGAGAACCAAGTCTGGCAAAAATCAGGGCTCACACTCTGGCTGCCATGTAAGAAGGCTCACGATTTCAGACATCTAGGATGCTGCTATTTAAAATGCTCACTTTGGTATCTTCAGGGCTTTGGAGGACTGTACTTGTCCAGCCTTCAGAGAACAGAATAGACTTAATCGCAATCTAAGAGAGAAGCAACAGGTCTGCCTTATTCCAAAGCTCTCAAACATAGATGATCAATTTTACACATTCCTATGAAACCCTGGACCCCATTCTCGTTGCTTCTCTTTTTGACTGTCCAGGTTCCCACCCATATCTTGCTCTGGTTAGTCACAATCAGAATCTTCACAACCACAATCAGAATCTTCCCACAGCCCTACCTGCAACACCTGCTTGTCTCTGCCATTACAATATAAGGTATGGTTTGATTCTCTTATGTACTGTGTTTGGTGCCCATGCAGTCCCTCATGAGTACCAGCTGATTTTCTTCCGTGTGTGTATAAACAATATCATGTTCCTTTAATTCAAATAATAAAAAGATATATAATCAGCACTGAATCTTTGAGTCACAAGGTTTAACATAGACTTATCTGAATTATTCTACATCCTTGTGACTTGGGAGGGGGACATGTTTATTACTTTTTCTTTTACAGCTTGAAAGTATTCTTTTCAAGTGTTCATTTTGTCCTGTGCAGCAATCTCTAATTCACTCCCTACCCAAAGTTGACTAGAATACTTTAATCTATCATGATTAATATCAAGGATTCTATAATTAAAACACCTCATTTTGATGGGTGGTTTCCTCACTTCCTATCTGTGACGTTGGGCAAGTTACTTAACCTCTCTAAGCTTATCTGAGCCTATTTTATAGCATGCACCAAAAAGCTATTACATTATGGCCATTATTTTTACTGTAGCTCAGCATAGCTCTGAAGACTGTTAAACATTTCACTTTTTATAATACTGTTTCTTAGACTTTATTTGAATATAAAGTTTATACCTTCATTAGAAACATTATTAGATCACTTTATCAGTCTGCTTGGGCTGCCATTAAAAACATACCATAGACTAGGTGGATTAAACAACAGAACTTTATTTCCTTACAGTTCTGGAGGCTGGAAGTCCAAGATTAGGATGTCAGCAGGATTGATTTATTCTCATGCCCTCCCTCCTTAGCATGTAAAGACTGTCTTTTTGTGGTGTCTTCATGTGGTCTTTCCTGTGAGTGTCTGTGTCTTAATCTGCTCTTGTTATATGAAGACAAGCCATATTAGAAAAAGGCCGGTCCTAATTACCGCATTTAAGTGTAATTACCTCTTTTAGGGCCCTGTCTCCAAATACAGTCATATTCTGAGGTATTGGGGGTTAGGACTTCAACATATCAATTTTAGGGAGACACAATTTAGCCCAAAACAATCAGTATCTCTGAAATGTCTAAATTCAGGAATTTAAGATTTTTTTTTTCATTGAATAGAAACAAAATAAAACTAAACATCAATGACAAAGAGAGGCAGAGAGAATAACTACTAATGTAAATGTAATTTTTTTTTCTGCATTGGCTTCCCTTGTCTCTTCTTTTCAGTGAAGTCAATGAAGCCGTTGCCCTACATTTACTTGTATTATACCACAGAAAACCTTCCCTTTGAACCCCAGAGCTTATATCAAGGCTAGTTTAACTTGAATATGACTAATTTACCATGTCTCTTAACAGCAGCTTTTACAATCTGGCACCTGACCCAGAACCTATTTCTGGAAGATTTTAACCTATGTGTAAACAGCACATAACAGACACTTTCTCTAAGGCCTATGAAGGAATATATAAATTGTTCCATATTAATAATGATGATGATAATAGCAAATCCTTCTATAGTGCTTTCTACATGCCAGTCACTATTCTAAGCACTTCACAGGTATCTGCTCTTTATTCCTTTTGTGGGCTTTAAAGTTCCTATTGTTGAGAAATGCAACATTAATTTTTGTACTGTCAAGAGATTCCAGGAAGAGAAATTTTAAAATGCTGTGGCTTTTGTTGACTGTATGACCAACCTCCTATCAACTTAAGAATATCTTGCGGAAAAATGTGAGGTTTTATAATTTATTCATGAGTTTTTAGTCACTTTTAATTGGAGACAATGAAGTGGTTATACCAAATAAAAGGCCTACAAATTAAATTTACATTTTTCTAGTCATTATACTAATATATGCTTATCAAGTGCTAAACTTTTTAAATCATCTGCAGTAAAATGCTTAGAGAGAGGAGGGTGATAGTGCTAAAACTGGTTGAAAATCTGACACATATTAGACATTAAGGTAACAGACTTGTCCAAGGTCACAGAACTAAAACATGGTGGAGCTCCCTAATTCCATGCTACAATTTTAAGCTATTGATAATATCCTGCAAGTTGTTTTATTACATATAAATCCAAGTGGAGACACTTAGAGAAATTGATTAAAAGAAAAACTGTTGAGCATAATCAAACAGTACTGTTGAAAGGCTGTTTTATTTTATTTGCAGAGCATTTTATGTTAGCCACTATCCTGTTATAAGGACTTGTTCATTGTGAGTATGCGGCACTATAGTAATTGGTTATAAAGAAGAATGTAGAACAGCAGGTGTACAATAGAAATTGCTCTTTGTAGTTTAAATAAATTTCTAAGAGCTACCATATATTTAATTCTTATTCCATGATAGGTACAAGGACTTAGATTTCTTAAATCTCATGCAAATAAGTACTTTTAAAACCAATTTTCAGGCTGGACACAGTGGCTCACACCTGTAATCCCAGCACTTTGGGAGACCTAAGTGGGAGGATCATCTGAGGTCAGGTGTTCAAGACCAGCCTGGCCAACATGGTGAAACCTTATCTCTACTAAAAATACAAAAATTAGCTGGGTGTGTTGGCATGCACCTGTAAGCCCAGCTACTTGGGAGGCTGAGGCAGAAGAATTGCTTGAACCTGGGAGGCATAGGTTGCAGTGAGCCAAGATTGTGCCACTGCACCCCAGCCTGGGCAACTGAGTAAGACTCTCACTCAAAAACAGAAACAAAAACCAAAGCAAACAAGAAAAAACAATTTTCTATGTCTATGTTGGATAAATTTAAATTTATTTACTTTCATATCAAAACAAACACCTTAATTTGGGACTAATGTAATAGTTTGTAATTGATTTTAACCTCCTCCAAAAGATACTGTAAGAATAACTCGTATATTAATCATCCTAAAATATAAAATGTGGTGTCATTTTCCAGTTTTTAAGATTTCATCGTCCTAGGAATTCAAGTCCAGGCAGCACCGAATGTCTCTTAACCTTAGTCCACTTATCTTTCATGCCTTGGGGCCCACTGTTTCACTTGGTTTCAAAAAAACAACCTGGCTCAGTGTATTATTGTAGATTCCCTAGAGAAATCCATCTGCTTTTTCCTCTCTTTTTTCTCACATGATTGTCTTGCCTCACAGACCCTTCCATCATCTTCCAAGTGAGGAAACCTATTGAGGTATCAAGGGCCAACTTCAATGAAAACTTCCCCGACTTCCTCTGAATGGATTTGAGCTCCTCTTCTAAATTCCTCTAGCTCTTAGTTGTTATATGCTAATAATATTGATCACATACTAAAGCATCTCATTACATTTCAGTGCAGAAATAATCCTGCTTATTATCATATAGATCCTATCATATAGATCTATAGATCATTAAGCACTGTGTCTGTTACACAAAGGAAATTTTTGATAAATATTTCTGGGGAAAAGGCAATCAGAAAATGGGAAGTAATAAAAGAATGACATTTGGTGCTGTGTCCTTCCTCTTATTTCTAAAATAAAATACATAAAAATTTGGTTTTTGCTAACATAACCATCTGAAGTGATATGACAGGCCTTTGGCTAACTATCTAATGATATACTAGCAATTCACAAAAATTTGGGGAAAATGAACATATATTCACTAATTCACAAGTAGTCACCCATGCTAGATTAGAAGATGAAGAATTGAGTAAAAAGTGGAACCTATTTTAATTATGTTACAGCCTACTGATAAATAAATAATCCCAGTATGGAGTGGTAAGTCCCATAATAAATATCTACAGAGAGGTCTCTGGAAGCACAAGGAAGGACCGTCTGGGTTTGACAGGGGATATTAGAAAAAGTTTCAAAGAACACATGACATTTGTTCAAAATCTTGAAGGATGGAGATGAGTTTGCCAAGCAGAAAAGAATAAAACATTATTTTATCACTTGAGAAAGGGCCTGCCCATAGTTGGTAAATTCAGGATGTGATATTTGGAGAGAGAGGATATTATGGGGTGAGAAAGGAAGGGAGTAGCCATGTTGGGGAGGAATCAGAGAGCCATGCTAACAAGTTTAACTTTAATTGCATGCAAGACTGACAGCCATTAAAAGGTTTTAGGCAGGAAAGTGATGTGATCAGAGCTACAGTATGCTGAAGAATAAATTAATGTGATGAGCCAAAATCAGATGCAGGGAGGTTACGGGACTGCAGCAAAGCTTCAGGGAAAGGCAGTAGTAATAGGATGTGCAGGAAAAAGTAATGCAGATTGCAGAAACTTAAAATGGGTGAAAGAAAGAGAGAGAGGCAAAAGATTGACTGTGGCTTACAGTTTTTGATAAATAATAATGCCAAAAATCAAGATCTGGATTAAGAGGGAGATCTAGTGTGAGGAAGAAAGAAAATCAGTTAGCATTGCAGGTTTTTATCTGATTCTGTAAAATCAACAACTGTCCAGTAAGCAGTTATAAATATTTTTCTGGCATGAGTTGAGACTCAGCTAAAGATATATATTCCAAAACCAATAGTTTAAGCGTGGAGGTAAAAACCTCCATGCATAGAGGTATATGAAATTGGCTATGGACATTTTTGAGAGAGAAAAGGGCTAAGTATAGAGTCCACAAAGAAGACTAAAAGGAAGGTTTTGAACTCAGCTGAAAACTAAGGAAAAAATATTGTCATGAGAAAGAGTGAAGACAGTTTTAAAGAGAATGTGCTATGGTTTGGATGTGGATTGCCCTCATCAAAATTCATGTTGAAATTTGATCCCCAAAATGTCAGTGTTAGGAGGCAGGACCTAATGGGAGGTATTTGGTTCATGTAGGTGGATCCCTCATGAATAGATTAATGCTTTCTCCCAGGAGTGAGTTCTTTCTTTCAAGGGAATGGATTAGTTTCCACAAGAGCAGGTTGTTAAAAAGAGTTTGCTTCATCTGTTTCTCTCTCTTGCTTTCTCTCTTGTCTTGCAATCTCTGCACATGCCTGCCCCTCTTCCATTATCTTCCATGAGTGGAATCAGCCTGAGGACCTCAACAGATGCACCTGCCCAATCTTAAACTTTCCAGCAATCTGAATTGTGAGCCAAATAATTTTTTTATAAATTATCCAGCTTCAAGTATTATACCAACAAAAAAAAGGTAAGCAACAAAAAATCAAGTGAGACAAAAAGTCTCCATAGTTCTTGATACCATGAAACATACAAAGGAAGAATTAGGAAGATACAAAGGGAAGACAAGGGCTTCAAGGACACTTTTACAGGTGATATATACATATAGACTCTCAACTGTGATTATGATTTTACAGGTATATGCATATGCTCAAACTAATCTAATTGTATACATACATTTAGTTTTATATGTTTGATATGTGAAGTTCTGAATATCAATCATACATCGATAAAGCTGCTTAAAAAATAAAAATAAAAAATAGAAGCATACAACAAGTCAACTGGCACTTAAATTAGATAGTGGAATTCTGTGTGTCACTTAATCTTTATCACTTATTTTAAATTTAAAGTCATATTATTGTCTGTATCTAGACCAAGAACTTTTCATAAGACAAGATGTACTATTACATCTTGTATATATAAATGTATATATAAAAATTCAGCAGAGAACATTTATCATGTATCTATTTCCTATAGACTTCTGGACATTTGGAGGTATTTTAGAAAAAATATAATAGTCACAAACTCAATTCAAAAGAAGTTATTATTCATTAAAAAACTCTCCTATTTTTTCCATGTGGCATGGTAATTTAGTTTGTATCAAGAAGCTCTGATATAGGGTCCATTTACTTCATCAAGCATCTAACTAGCATCTAAAAATGGATGCTTTCTGTCCTTCACACAATTGAACTTATCTGTGGCAACCGTCAATCTTCCTAAGGTGGCTCCCAGGAGACTACCAATCGTCACACAAAGCAGAGCCCCAGAAGTCTTTGTGTGCTACTAACTGATCAGATTATGTTATTTATTCCTGTCATTCTCCATTTCTTTCACTGCTACTGACCGTATAATAGGCTGGCAGACAGCTCTGCATTTATCACTCCTCCATCTATAAGAAAAAGGATCATAATTTAGAGTAACTCATGTAACTGGTACGATGAATTTCACAGGGGTTTGCTTGACTCCGTTTTACTGATTCTAACATTCATATTGGTCTGAACCACCCCTTTATTCCTAGGAACTTTTCAGTGTATGTGGAGGATCTTCATATTTTCTTATGCAACACAAGCCAAGTCTCCACGATGTGCATGAAAAATTATAATATATCTCTATTGTTGTTTTTTTTTGTGTTTAACTCAGTGAGCTATATAAATTTTTTTCATTTGAAGATAATATTCTATTTTTTTAAGCTGAAGAAACTTCAAACTACAACTTGTGAAATGTTATTACTTCAGTGAAACTCATTTATTCTTATTATTCCATATTTTTTTTTTTTTTTGGGACGGAGTCTAGCTCTGGCGCCAGGCTGGAGTGCAGTGGCATGATCTTGGCTCACTGCAACCTCCACCTCCTGGGTTCAAGTGATTCTCCTGCCTCAGCCTCACAAGTAGCTGGGATTACAGGTGTGCACCACCACACCCAGCTAATTTTTGTATTATTAGTAGAGATGGGGTTTCACCATGTTGGCCAGGATGGTCTCAATCTCTTGACGTCGTGACCCACCTGCCTTATCCTCCAAAAGTGCTGAGATTATAGGCATGAGCCACAAGCCCAGCCGACATTATTTTTTATATCGTAATTGCTCTCCAGAGCTTTATACAAGGTGTGCATAATTACCCACTATGTATACTTCTCCTGTTATAATTTTTATGGCCAACGTGATCAACATGTGCAAATTGCATGTATCAGTCTGATTCCTTAACTGTGATAATTGGATTCTCCATGCAATTAATTACAGGTAGCAATGACGTTTTGAGCACCTTATACGGGTGCTGGACAGTTTTGTTTTGTTTTAGTTTTGTTTTCTAAATATGAAATAGCATTAAGAAAGTCTAAGTTCTTGGAGCCACACCAGATTATAGGGGTGCCTTTCAACAGTAAATAGCAATTTTCATTGTCACACCAACCACCTCAGGACAAGGAAATCCCCAGAGGAGATTCAATGTTTTTAACTTTATAAGCCAAGAAATTAAACATCTCTTTATTACTAAGTGATGTTCATTGGTGTTGGATTAGAATGTGATACAGTTTGAGTGGTGTATACACTCTGGGGTATCATGAACAGTGACTGCCCAACTGCAAAAAAAAAAAAAAAAAAGGAAAAAGAAAAAAAAAGGAGTTTAATCCATTCTACATGATCAGGTAATCAGGAATCAGACTCTGCATGCTTAAAGCCAAAATATGCCTTCCAAATATGTGCATGTGTGTGTGTGTGTTTGTGGGTGAGTGAGTGTGTGAGCCACTTCTGAGCAAAGTGGCGGACTGGATGGTTGATCTACTTATCCACTTATGGCCACATTAATTATACTTCAACCCCTTGTTTTGTTCATGTGTGCCAGGAAATGCAATGAGTCAATATACTTACTGAGATTGCAGAAGAGACTGAACACTGCGCTAGGCTCTGAAGAGAAAGATGAAAAAGAAGAAAGGTGTGATTTACCTTGATAAAGAATGGTGACAATTGTATAGGGTTTTTGTTAAAAATTAAATGGCAGAATACACGTACAGCACTAACATCATGTCTACCAAATACCAGGCAGTTGATAATGACAGGAGCTGGTGTTATTAAGGAAAATGACATCATAGAGGAGATAGACACAGATGTTGGTGTTTGCATACCAACCAAAAATAATGTGCAGCTTGATACTGTGAAAACGGGTATGTAATATAGTTAGGAAATGGCATAGAAAAAGACCAGCCACATGTATACCTTGAGAATTTTTGATTTTTGTTGAGGGTGCTGTGACAAATGTGAAGGATACTCATTTAATTCATTTTTAACTTGGAATTCAGAGTGCAATTTTGGCTAGGCTCATTTCTTAAAGTAATGGGAAAATACACACCCAGCTTGTAATGCCCTTTCGCCTCATTACTCATGTATCTTTATCCCTCTGGTAAATGTCAGACAGTAAAATCAAAAATACAGTTCGTTTGGTGTGTAAGATACAGCCAGGCATGATTCTGTGTGTCTGAGGGAGGCACTGCTGTTCTTCAGTTCACTCTGTCCCCTTTTCACGCATTTTCAACGGGTCCAATTCCCAATGCAGGTAATATTGGCTGTCCTTGTCTGAGGGTGGTCATGCAATCCCTTGACAGAAGTGAGATTAAGGAATATTTGACCTGCATGCCGGGGAACTGATGGTATTTCTGTCGACATACTCATCTTTTATGGGAGAACTTCAATTCCCCAATCAATGACTGTTCTTGTCTTATGCTTTTCATAACAAGAAAGGTTAGCAGAAAACGAGAGACCTGTGAGAGTTAGTCATTTTCACAGAGTTCCTATGATACAGTGGGTATAATAAAAGCAGATACAGAAGCAATACTAATTGTTGTTTTCTGCATTTCAACAAAGATTGAATTACAGCATCAAGACAATGATAAATTACTTGGTTTCATCTTTAAATGTTTCTGTCTTTTGAAAGACTGAGATTTCTGTTTCTGTTTTTCAGAGCATACTTAAAAGGTGATTATTAAAGCTGCAGGCATTGCTAGATATTAGTAGTCTACTCATCTACTAGTCTGCAGATGTCCTTAGTATTATCCTACACAAAAATGAGATCAGTGAGCAATAATAATTCTCTGGCTTAGAATTTGCAACATAAAGGCGACTTCTATACTTACTATTTTTGCCCAAATGAAACAAGTGGCCAAATAATTCATTGCAGTGTCTCTGGTCTTTTTCTTTCTACAGTGCTCCTGAGTATATGACTACTTGTACTTGCTAGCACTGAGGCAAGTACAAACTCTAGGCATCAGGCTTTTGGTCTCACTCTTAGCGAATTTGAACACTGGCTTTTTTGTTGGGCTTCCATTCTTCTCTCAGCGCAAGAATACCAACGTTTATGACCCAGGAAGCACCAACTTATACTTCACAGAGCTAAGGTAAGGATACGTTTAGTCAATATAGTTCTCATATCTGCCAAATCAGTTAAAGTGTGTTCTGCAGATGAAACTACCAATCCATTGTCTTTTGTACTTGTCTACCATGAAAACTTTTGTCATGTCAGTTAATTATCTTGTACAGCATGCTGTGGCCCTGATGACATACTGGACCCAGACACTACTCAATATGTGAAGCAGTGATATATAATACAATTGATTAAGAAGTATCTATATTGTGCTTAGCTTCTTGCCAGACACTAGGAGGGTATGAGAAATATAAGACATGAATCTTGCCCCCCAAAAGTTTTTAATTTCATTAAGAACTCTGACCCTAATGAAGTAACTACAGATAATCCAGACTGCATTTTAAAAAGGTGGTTCATACACTAGAGTTACACAGGGTTAAAGTACTTTCAGAGTTCAAGGAATGAACAATTAATAGTCCATTGGGATAAAGTAATGATGTGAACAGATGAGCGCAGAAAATGAAGATTTGGAAGAATAAATAAGTACATCTTGATAGCAAAGATAGGGACCAATTATAGTGGTCTCTGAATTCCAATACAGCACATAATCTGAGCTTGTGAAGACTTCTGAGCCAGAAAGTATAATGTTCAGATTGGTGTGCAGTGACTTTGAATATAGAGTATATTGTTGAAATGAGAAAAACTTCACTCCAATTTATGTTTGAAATCAGATAAATCAGGCTTGACCTACCTACAAAAGGTAACAATAAGTACTATCTCAGTCACAGTGATACTGGGGGAAAGGGTGCTTCGGACTCCCCTTGATTCACATACAAATTCCTGAGTGGAGAGAACGGTTCTAGTCTTTAGTCCATGATGGTGATTCCCTACTCACTCTTATTCAAGTTTGTGTGGTCCTTTTAAAGTAGCCTGCTACATTCCTGTTCTTCCAATATGATGACATGCTCTTTCTCCTTGGCTCCAAAACCATGGCCTTTTTGTGTTCTCTCACCTTGGTGAAGATCTGTACTCTATTACGGATCCTTTTGCCATTTGGGGCACTGTGTGGGAGGGGAGAACAGTTCAATTCACTCTAGAAAACTGTCAACTCTGATCACTCCATCACCTTGCTAAATGATGTCTCCACTATAGAGCCAGCTCTGCTTTCTTCACCCTAAGTATTATCATTACCCCATTGGCTTATTTCTTAACAAAAGCTTGGATAGGGAACAGTATTTCCTGGATTTCTCCACATTTCTGCCTATGGCCTTGCTTCATAGCAATCATTGCTAACCTAACAGCCCAGGATTGGAACAAAAGACTTTTAGGGCTGAACATAAAAACTACCTTCAATTAATTCCCATCTTCAGTATCAAGCAGAATAGTGTAAAATTAACATCTCAATAATTACCCAGTCACAGGTGTTTAAGCGAGTTAATTCTTGTCAGCAGGATGCCCTGGATGAGGGGCTAGCAGGAAAGGAGAAAGGGAGTTTAAAGGCTGTGTCATATCCATATCCACAGGTGTCTGCTGAGACACCCACCTAGGATGATGAGAAAGTGACTCTCTAAAACATAAATTGATGAGCTACAGTAATAGAAAGAGAGGGCCATATTGCAAGGCTGTAAAAGGTGTGGGTCAAACTTTTAATCTTCTACATTAGATAATAAATATCCTTATTAGGAGATCTCATAAAAAAAAGAATTTGACATCCAATCTCCTTGTTATTTCACTTTCCTACTCTCCCCACAGTGATTCCTGCTGTGAGATTGTCAAGCAAACATGTAAGACTTAGTGACGCACTTGTAGCCTGGAGCAGTAGAGAGCAGTTTCTAACAATCTTTGCAGCTTCCATATGGGAGTTGCAATGATTAGTTTTTTTTCCTCCGACAAGCTGTATTTAGCATAGAAAAAAAAGTGGCACTATGTTGAAATAGCTGAGAGGAGACAACTTGGGTAACAGGGAGAATGGCATTAGGTTCGGGAGATGCAAGGAATGTAGATAATGTAAAAAATTGTAAGTATAACCAGCATCAGTTGAGTTTAGATGTGGGGGTGGGAGGAATCAGGAAGTTACTAACCACATGATTGCAGAAAATAAGCATAAGAAGTTCGGAATAGATACCTGGAAGGGTGTAAAGCAAACAAGAAAATATGGTTTTTCTACTTACCAAAATGTCTTCAATAGAATTATAAAATATACTTTTTGTTTTTGAGATGGGGTCTTGCCCTGTTGCCCGGGCTGGAGTGCAGTGGTGTGATCACAGCTTACTGCAGCATCGAACTCCTGGGATCAAGTGATCCTCCCACCTCAGCCTCTCCAGTAGCTGGGACTACAGTCTCATGCCACCACACCTGGATAATTTTGTATTTTTAAAATTTTTGTAGATACAGGGTCTAGCTATGTTTCCCAGGCTGGTCTCGAACTTCTGTGCTTAAGCCATCCTCCTACCTTGGCCTCTCAAAGTGCTGGGATTACAGGTGTGAGCCATCATGACTAGCCTAAATATACTTTATTTTTACCCCAGACCTATAAATGATAACTAACGAAAAATTAAACCATGATATAGAAACATAATATTTACTCTTTGATTAAGCTAATATACTTTAAATTCACACTGTGTTTGTAAATGAGTCTTAATATATACCTGTGATAGTTATTATTTTCCTCTCTGTGGATAGCACTCAGTAGAAAGAGAAACGTGGAAAGTGCTACCATGGGAATTCTGAAGCATCGCTCTACTGAGAGCCAGATTGGGGAAGTGGAGTATTCCAAGGGGTGATAGCCATTAGCACTCTTCACAAACATTCTAATTCTCCTTTTTCTGAGCTCATGCAGTGTTGTACCTCCCCACCCACTTTGAAGTTAGCTGTGGCCTTACTTTGACCAACAAAATATGAGCAGAAGTGCTAGAAATTGCCTGCGTCTCCCTCCAAGAAGCAGTATTTAATTGGCCCTGTGAGGCAATGTAGTGCTCTGTTCTCCCTACCCAGGTGATGGAAGTCTGTGTTAAGATGAAGCATTGCGCACATGTACCCTAAAAGTATAATAATAATAAAATTAAATAAATAAATAAATAAATAAATAATAAAAAATTAAAAAAAAGATGAAGCCTATGTCAACCTGGGTCTACAATGAGCAGAGGCCCATTGGCCCATATTGGATATACAATTAGAGTGAGAAGTAAATATTTTGTTTTTAGACATGGTAAGATTTGGGGGTTATACTGCAGCATGAAATACTCCATCTTGATTTTTATAGGTGGTCTGCAAAATTTGCCTTCACATTTGGAAGACTCAAAATCTAATTTTTGAAGGGGTAGAAATTTGAAATTGGAGCAAAACCAAAATGATATCAAAGCAAGGCAGGTCCAGAGTGTGTGGAGCAGTTCCAAGACAGCATCCTTGAAAGACCCAAGCATCCCAATATGAACTCTCAGAGAAACAGAAGAGTTTTACCAAATATTTTGGCTCACTTTTAATGATAAAAGCATCAGAATTTGTGTTAGGCTTCAAATATATACATCATTTATGCTTCATGTATTATCTGCAAGTTAGAAGCATTTCAGAGAAAAAAATAAGAACTTACCTTAACATTCTATTGGCCACACAGCTTTTCTGAGAAGATTACATTGATTTGGGTATGACATCAAGATGGTGAGACATGAAAATTGGCTAGCCATATGTAGAGACCTGAAACTGGATCCCTTCCTTACACCTTATACAAAAATCAATTCAAGATGGATTAAAGACTTAAACCTTAGACCTAAAGCCATAAAAACCCTAGAAGAAAACCTAGGCATTACCATTCAGGACATAAGCATGGGCAAGGACTTCATGTCTAAAACACCAAAAGCAATGGCAACAAAAGCCAAAATTGACAAATGGGATTTAATTAAACTAAAGAGCTTCTGCACAGCAAAAGAAACTACCATCAGAGTGAACAGGGAACCTACAAAATGGGAGAAAATTTTCACAACCTACTCATCTGACAAAGGGCTAATATCCAGAATCTACAATGAACTCAAACAAATTTACAAGAAAAAACCAAACAACCCCATCAAAAAGTGGGCGAGGGACATGAACAGACACTTCTCAAAAGAAGACATTTATGCAGCCAAAAAACACATGAAAAAATGCTCACCATCACTGGCCATCAGAGAAATGCAAATCGAAACCACAATGAGATACCATCTCACACCAGTTAGAATGGCAATCATTAAAAAGTCAGGAAACAACAGGTGCTGGAGAGGATGTGGAGAAATAGGAATACTTTTACACTGTTGGTGGGACTGGAAACTAGTTCAACCCTTGTGGAAGTCAGTGTGGCGATTCCTCAGGGATCTAGAACTAGAAATACCATTTGACCCAGCCATCCCATTACTGGGTATATACCCAAAGGACTATAAATCATGCTGCTATAAAGACACATGCACACGTATGTTTATTGCGGCACTATTCACAATAGCAAAGACTTGGAACCAACCCAAATGTCCAACAATGATAGACTGGATTAAGAAAATGTGGCACATATACACCATGGAATACTATGCAGCCATAAAAAATGATGAGTTCATGTCCTTTGTAGGGACATGGATGAAATTGGAAATCATCATTCTCAGTAAACTATCACAAGAACAAAAAACCAAACACCGCGTATTCTCACTCATAGGTGGGAATTGAACAATAAGAACACATGGACACAGCAAGGGGAACATCACACTCTGGGGACTGTTGTGGGGTGGGGGGAGAGGGGAGGGATAGCATTGGGAGATATACCTAATGCTAGATGACGAGTTAGTGGGTACAGCGCGCCAGCATGGCACATGTATACATATGTAACTAACCTGCACATTGTGCACATGTACCCTAAAACTTAAAGTATAATAATAAATAAATAAATAAATAAATAAAAAGTTGGTGAGACATAATGAGAAACTATCTAGATGTTACTGAGTTTATTATCCCTCATAGAATCAAACAGAAAACTGAATTCTAATGTAACTTTTTTCAATTTTTTAATGAACTTTACTATATGCTGTGAGAATTGTAATAAGAAAATTAGAAATATATTTCTCCCAGAATTGTGAGTGTCTGACTCTTTTGTAAGACCCAAAATATATCAAGAGTAAGGTGACACTTTCTTGATCTTGGAACTTCAGAATGGGAAATTGAGATGCCTACAATTTAGGTTGAATTGAATTTCAGAACGAAGTGAACTTCCTTTGGATGAACAATTCTCATTTAAAATGTTAAGCAGCCAATAAGCATTCAAAAGGCAAGGAAGTTCTCACAGATTCAGTATTGCAATAGCTCTGCTATTTAAAGTGGAAACAAATCTCCACGAATAATGTTTGAAAGACTGAGAGGACAATCTCTAAACATGAAGCCACATAGCTATTGTTTTAGATTTGAGATTCCTTAGAAATACTGAACAAATAGATGTCAGTCTCTGTGCCTAGTGAGTTGGGTACAGCAAGACATGATATTTGACTTATGTTTATAACACCTAAAGCACTGGTGAACTAAAAAAAGTTCCATAAAACATAGAATATATCCAGTGTTCCTGGAAAAAAAAATACCAACACCAAATCAAAAACTAATACCAAATAAAAGCAAAACCATCCCAAGACAATCTTACTCGTTCTTTGAATAAGTTTAGGACTTGTCTATTCAATTAAAATATCTGATCCAGGTTTCTTATGGCTCACTGCTACATTGCTTAGTTCCAAGCATATCTTATAGGAAGAGGCAGACGGATTATCTTTTTTTTTTAAATATGTGTAATGAACATGTAAAGGATGATGATAAGACTAAAGAATGTTACGTATGTGTGGAGTGAGTGTACACTGGTGATTTTGGTCTTGGCTCATGGATTACATCTTTTATAGCTTAATAGGTAAGCACATTTGGACTAACAAAAGAAGACGCTTTAGTTTTATAGTAGTTGATGTACCATCTTTGGCTTTCTTTCCTAAGGGCCAGGGCCTGCATAGGACGACTGCACAGTGCAACTTGCGCATATAAATCACAGCCTGCCACCTGTTATTTAATAGCTAGCACTGCTGACTCAATAACAGTAAGATTCTGTAAAATTGTTCCCTCCAGCCCTGGGTGTTCCCCATAGAGGTAATTGTCTAGAAAATAAATTTCCTGGAAAAAGAACAAGAAGTTACAGACCTAGGAACATCTTTTAATGTCTCAGAAGTTAACTTTCAACCATGCTGATGTGTCTGGTTCCTCATTCTTTAGAGTTACTGTAAATTTTCAACACACATAAGTGGATTTACGTAATTTGTTTTCAAGTAAAGGACTCTGAAATACCCATCAAGCATCTATAATGATTGCAGAGGCTACTGATTACTTAGACTTTCATTTTTGTTTTCCTTTCCAGCAGGTTTGTCAGCATCCAAGTAATATATCAGATACAAGAAAAAAAAACACCATTGCAAAACCAATTTGCTAAGGGGCTTGTAAAATTCAGCTTTAAAAAGTTACTGAGGCATCAAAGTAAAGTACCAAAGAGCCAGATATTTTGATCAGTTTCTCAAGGTCAAACACATTACTAATTCATCAAATATTTCTTTCTGCTAAAGTTATTTGAAAAGCAAACAACCTGTTCTGTGCAGATGTTGCACTTAATAACCCTAATACTTTAAGAAAAAAGGCAGTGAGAGAACAAACAGAATTTTCTACTGTTGTAAGAAATATCTTCCTTGGTTTGCAAAACACTTGCATCATTAATAAATATGTTGAATACTTTTAATAATAGGACCTGAGAAATTTTGATTGTCGTAGTTTTAGCTGATTGTCTCTAATGTCAGTTATATATGCTAACTTAGAGGACAAACAATTACAAATTAATTATAATTATAGACTCAATTGAACCCTCTTTCTGTCTAAGATATCCTGATTGCCTTTGTCTTGGAAATAGAAGTTGCCCAATGTATGCCTTTGTATAGATGAGTCCTGACTGATCTGGCCTCTAAAGTGGAAAAATAACTCAGCAATGAAGTCTGGACACCTATTACTACTTTTTCAGTAACAAGTTTCTCGGATCCTGGCCATGGGACTTCTCCTCTTTGGCCTTACAAAACGTGGCCTTAGGAATTGAGGATGCAAACATCTCATTTGGTTCTAAAGTTTATCTTTTTCTCTTTAAATTTATTCAGAAATATTGTATAACGGTTTTACACTCTACATGTAATAGAAAAACTTTTGTAGGTATTCTGCTCAAGAAATGACTTCCAAAGGGAAGTTAGCATAAATTATTGAGTAGATGCCACCATTTTGCATGCCAAAATCGAAGGAGGCCTTAACTTGAGAAACAAACATCATGATCTGAGACAACAGTGGGCCACAAGTATTTATCTTCTGCAGCTTAATCTACTCACATATTGATGTGGGGTTGCTCTACCACCAACCTACATAAACGAATTCTGATTGTCTAATCAACAGGTTGAAAATATGCATGAGAATGAAGGGTAAGTACAGAAGCTTAAGGAAAGAAGAAGGAGAAAAAGGAGGAGAAGGAAGAAGAACTAGTAGAAATAGCAGTAAAAGTAGTAGCAGTGGTGGTAGTGGTGGTGGTGGTGGTGGTGGTCGTGTGAATGATCCCTCCTGATGTCTAGAAAGTATGAAAGGTACAAGCTATAGTAGAGCTTTTGTATCCCTAGCAGGAATAAGAGGAGCATTATTGCCTTTCTTATTCTAAGTGTTGTCGCAATCATATGAAGGTGGCACTGGGCTATGCCTGTAAGAACACTTGGCAAGGGAAAGTCACAAGGTCACCCATAAGTCATGACATGAAATGTAGTTTTAGTGCAAAGTCCAACCCTATAAGAAAATTGAGAGAAACTAATCACTTAATAGGGCTGACTTCATTGAATTTTTTGAACCACAGTATAAGGCAAATGGATAAACTATTCCTCATGTTAGACTACACTAGAGAGTGGACCTTTTACAGTGATGCCCGTGACTAAATGGCAGATGCTTAGCAGGTCCTCTCAATACCTTGGCTCTAGCCTAATGAGTTAAAATCCACTTCTAAATCAGTTTCAGTGAGGTGAGTCTATCTGGTAGTGTAGTCCCCCTGGAGCAGGTGTCAGGCAAGGATGCCAGCAGGTGGCTAGATGGGCACTGAGACAACAGGACTGGATTTGAAGTCAAGCGGATATTGATATTCAATCTTCTCAAACACCATGGAGCTCCAGTGTAACTGATTCCCTTCTTGTCAGGCTTTCCTTCAGGTAAAATCAAAGGAGGTGCCAAAAACAATTTTCTCGCCCAATTAGTTTTTGATCATGTATTAGTCCGGACTCTTGCTGCTAATAAAGATACACCCAAGACTGGGTAATTTATAAAGAAAAAGAAGTTTAATGGACTCACAGTTCCACATGGCTGGGGAGGACTCAAAATCATGGCAGAAGGTGAAGGGGTAGCAAAGGTATGTCTTACACAGGCTAGAGTGCATGTGCGGGGGAACTGCCCTTTATAAAATCATCAGATCTCATAAGACTTATTCATTATCATGAGAACAGGAGAAACCCACCCCCATGATTCATTTACCTCCCACTGGTTCCCTCCCATGACATGTGGGGATTATGGGAGCTACCATTCAAGATGAGATTTGGGTGGGGACACAGCTAAACCATATCAGATCACATGTAAAATAATATCATCAATGGTAGAACTGGAAAAAAGTGTGCATATACTAAAAATATTGCTGATAATTTCCTTGCGTTATTCACCACTTCCTGCCCAGAACAAGAAACGTGGACATGCTGATTGGAAGAGCCAGTGGGAGGGTAGGCAGTGCCCAGGGATTAGACACTAAACAAATATCTACTAACTGCTATATTAGTTAGGGTTCTCCAGAGGGACAGAACTAATAGGATACATGTGTATATAATAGGGAGTTTATTAAGCAGAATTGGCTCACGTGATTACAAGGTAAACTCCCATGATAGGCTGTCTGCAAGCTGAGGAAGAAAGAAGCCAGTAGTGGCTCAGTCTAAGTCCAAAACCCTCAAAAGTAGGGAAACCAACAGTGCAGACTTTAGTCTGTGGCTGAAGTCCTGAGAGCCCCCGGCAAACCACTGGTGTAAGTCCAAGAGTCCAAAGGCTGAAGAACGTGGAACCTGATGTCCAAGGGCAGAAGGGACAGATGGAAGCATCCAACACAGGAGAAAGACAAAAGCCAGAAGACTCAGCAAGCCAGCTTATCCCACCTTCTTCCTCCTACTTTGTTCTAGCTGCACTGGCAGCCAATTGAATGGTGCCCACCCATATTGAGGGTGGGTTTTCCTCTCCCGGTCCACTGACTCAAATGTTAATTTCCTCTGGCAACACCCTCACAGACACACCCAGAGACAATACTTTACCACCCACCTATGCATCCTTCAATCCAATCAAGTTGACACCTAATATTAACCATCACATCTGCCCACTGGAGAAATTGATCCCACCAAACCATTGCTTCACAGAAACAGATATTTTTCACTTAAATTCTGTGCAAAAAAACCCCACAAAAAATAAAAACGAAAACAAAATCTTACTTTAAGCTGCTTTATGAGGCTATTGTCTGGAAATCAGTGCTCGCCTTTGTCTTTGTATGAAAGATCCTCAAGGGCATGGATTATGGATGCATCTTGTTTTGTATATCACCTGTCACCTTGCCACAAGAAAACAGGACATGCATTTTCAATGATGATAATAGCAAAGCCACCTACACCTGGTGTGCAGAAATTTTGACTACATGCTTTAAGCAGAATTCAGGGGAGCAGTTTCCAGATTGCTATGCCTGAAGTTTTACTGTGCAAAGGGTAAATATTCACAGGTGCCATGGAATTCAATACAAGGTAAATGATCATAATCCATTCGGCTTCAAATCTCTCTGGGTTTACTGTCTCTGATGAACCTGACAGAATCAAGAATTTGTGTGTATTGCAGACTTAATCTACATTCAGGGTTATCTTTCTTTGTGTCTGGCTAAGGCAGATATCTATTTTCAACAGACTCTGGCCAGCATTCCCCATTATTTCTTATAGCAGATTCTATTTACTGTCAGTGACATTTGAATGTAACATCTAGATAGGGGCTGCGGAAGTGTAATCCACATTATCCTAATGGCAGTCCTGAAATTGCAGAAGAGGAGTGTGATAAGTGTTACATTACAGAGAGGAGAGACAACAAGTACTGTGAGTGACACCGACAGGCATTAAGGCATTCTTCTTCTTAGTGTTCCTTCCCAATAGGGGCGGTCTTGAGTCTTTTTGGTTTTTTGTTTTGAGATAGGGCCTTGCTCTGTAGCCCAGGCTGGAGTGCAGTGGCACGACCAGAGCTCACTGCAGCCTCAATCTCCTGAGCTCAATAGATCCTGCCTCTGCAGCCTCCCAAGTAGCTGAAACTACAGACACATGCACCACCATGTCCAGCTAATTTTTGTATCTTTTTGCAGAAACAGCATTTCGCCATGTCACGCAGGCTGGTCTTCAACTCCTGGACTCAAGCTATCCACGGGCCTCGGCCTCCCAAAGTGCTAGGATTACAGGCATGAGCCACTATGTCCGGCTTGGAGTTTTTAGTCTCATCAAACCAACTCACCCAAATGTCCCTTGGTGACAAAAAGTTTTCTGAAAGATTAAGTAATCTTTGTTTCCCAAGCCTGACAAAATAAAAAGTTTTCTGTCTCTCTCTTTCTCTTTTGCACTGTTTCTCTTTAAGTCTTGTTAGAATACAGAACTGTAGACATTTAGACAGAGCCAGGGTCATTGTCTTGACTGGCCCACTGACCAGATTAGTAATTCTTAAACTAGGGTCCCTAGACCAGCACCACAGGCATCTGTGGGCTTGTTAGAAATGCACATCCTTGGACCACTGAATCAGATATTTTGAGAGTGGGCTCAATAATCTCTGTTTTGAGAAGACCCCCAAGTAAACCTGATGCACAGTAATTGTTGAGAAACACTGAATAAATTGTATACCATTAGCCTGTTTTTAAAAATCATCTGAGCCATTCCTTTATTATATGAGATGACCATTAAAATCTCACTCAGTTTTATCATATAATGAAACATTTGGTGATAGCATAAAACTCTATTTTGATGGCTCAGTTTTTATGATTTCCTTTGATATAATTGTTTCCTTAAGAAGGTGCCAGTTTTGAAAAGGAAACTGTTTTGTTCCCTTTTGTACAGCACAAGCTAAGGATCTATGATGGAATGATAATTAATCTGTAAACTATAATTATGTTGTCGATTCTGGCTGTATATGGGGCATACCTGATTCATCTGCTACTTGATGTCCTGCATGACCATCACCAGACACCAAGCAGCAGAACAAGACCATGGACCACAGAGTCCTGGAAATGTCTACCTCCTGAGCTGAGCCACCACCAGGAATGGTGTCAGTAAATGCATGAGCACCAGAGTATTTTGAATGAAAGGAAAAAAGTGCAATTCAGGATATGACTCCCTACCCCAGCCTACTAGCAGATCCCAAATGTTGTCATAATCCAGTAAAATATAACACTACCAAGTTGTGAGGCACTGAGAAACCATTGCAGGTGATAGCCAACTGTGTGTTCCCAACTCTGAGCAGTTCTGCCTGTCAGAATCTTCCCATCTCAGTCCCCACCCACCTCTTCAGCCTCATGTTTCCTCAAGCCTTTCTTCAGATTGACCACACTTCACTTCTGTGTCTACGAGGATTTGCCTTGTCACTAAAATTGTTATGTTACAATAGGGCCCCATATCCATTAGGTAATTGGCTTTGTCATCACCTTCACTTCTAGTTACTTTCTTGGAATGTTAAATGAAACATTCTTGCCTTAATAGTAACATCAGTTCCTACATATCTTCCTTGTGTGTGTTTGGTTGGCTGATTGTCACTTTCTACTCTGAATGTTGAATCAGACTGCCACTTTCTACTCTGAATGTTGAATCACCTTCTTGCTCTGCCCTCTACTTGCATTTTCTTGTCTACTTACCTGTCCACTTATCTTTTGATCTTTTTGCCTCCCCTTCTTTGGGCATCCCTGTCCTTCAGCTTGCCTGGATATGACTTCTAGCCTTGTGTGATCTTGGATATGTGTGCGTAGCCCAAAGTTATACCATTCAACAGACTCCAATGTCATTAAAGGGATCTTGTTCCACCATGTATTTTTCTGCCTTTTCCCCTAAATTACCAAAATTTTTGGCCTGTTAACATTTCTGTCTCTGTATACAGATCATAGTCCTTTAATGTACTTTACTACATGCAGAAATTCTATTGATTTGGATTCAAGTCTTTCATATTTGGCATTGCTTTGCAATTCACTTGCTCTTTTATAGACCCATTTTGACAGTTCTCAAGAAGGCTGGTGAAACAAGCCTGGCTGTGATTTGGGCTGCAATTCTTTCTTTCTCTCCGTGAGAAATCTTTGTAGCACTGTAGTCAAAGCTGCATACAGAATTGTCTGACCAGCTGCTGTCCATGGATAGAGCCAAGGCACCAGGCTGACCTCATACCTAAGAAGCAGTTATTCAGAAGTTGTACATGATTATCAAAGATGGAATTTATCTCTACCTAGGGCTAAAAGTTTAGGCAGTTCTGTACTGATTACTTTTTTCAGTCACATCAAACTCATCCTCATACAGAATAAAATAAAATAAGTTTTTCGTGTGCCTGTCTTGCTTTGGGAAATGAAGAAATGAGAGTAAGTATCATCTTGTTTATGAAGAGCAAATACTATGATTAAAAATCAAGATTAAAAACCTCACACTGTTCAGGACAACTGGATCACAAGAATATTTTGGTTTCAAGTATCACTGAATTTTATTAATCTCTCTAAGAAAACTTTATACAAATAATAATTAAGCCTTGGATTTGCTGAATGGATGTTGGAAAATAGTAAGGTAAAGAGAGGCCAGCAATCTCTTTTGAACTACTAGCCTTCTGGACCAGTGTGACTCTGCCTTTGATGAGGAGTACAGGAGGAGGAGAAAGACTTTTAAGAAGATTGAGCACTTGTCATAAAACAAGACTGCTAGGGACATACATAGCATGGTTGAAAAAATGACTTTTGGAGTCTCACTATGGTCTGTACTAGCGCTAACAACAAATGAAAATACAATGTGGGCCAATTTGTAATGTTTAATGTTCTAATAGCCACATTAATATATGTGAATAATCTGATAAAATTAATTTCAACAATATATTTTATTTACCCAAATATGGATGAAATTATTATCCAACATATAATCAATGTAAAATGTTTTTAATGAAATACTTTCATTTAAAAAAATTTGAACTAAGTTTTTGAAATCCAGTATGCATTTTAAACTTGCAGCACATCTCAGTTCAGACTAACTATAACTCAAGTACTCAATAGCACCTGTAGCCAGGGGCTCCCCTATTGAACAGTGTAATTTTGGTCCCATAGCATCCTCCATTGACCAAGCAATGAAGAAAAAAGTCCAACTATGGTCCAGGAAAAATATCCAGTGCTGGCTGTGTCTATATTCTAATAGTGAATGCATAGGTCATCATACATAGTACATGATAAGCACTAGGAATTGGGAAGACAATAGTTAACGTCATATCTCTATTTTGCAATAGAACTCTATAAACAGACATCTTGATGTTACAAATTTTCTATGTGGTTGATGATGTAGTTAAGTTAGGAAAAGTAGAGCCAAGCCGTGCCTCCAGAGATAAGTCTTTTAGTTAACTTGATCCTCTGGAAAAACATTCTCTATGATGAAAGCTCAAATGGTTCTTGCCCATGTCTAATACATTGTGAGGTTTGGCTCTATGTCCCCACCCAATCTCATGTTGAATTGTAATCCCCATGTATTGGAGGAAGGGCCTGGTGGGAGGTGATTGGATCATGGGAGCGGATTTCCCCCTTGCTGTTCTTGTGATGGTCAGTGAGTTCTCATGAGATCTGATGGTTTAAAAATGTGTAGCACTTCCCTGTTTGCTCCCTCACTCTCCTGCAACCATGTGAAGAATGTGCCTTGCTTTCCCTTTGCCTTCTGCCATGATTGTAAGTTTCCTCAGGCTTCCCAGCCATGCTTCCTGTTAAGCCTATGGAACTGTGACTCAATTAAACCTCTTTTCTTCATAAATTACCCAGTCTCGGGTAGTTCTTTATAGCAGTGTGAAAACAGACTAATACAAACATCAAATGTAGAACTCACTAGTGAATTAAATTAATCCAATTCAGCTGTAAAGATGGTTTAGCTTTAAACCATCTTTCAAGTTCCTGAAATTAAAATTTTCAGTCCATTGGTTATTTCATCATCTACTCATGGAATTCAACAATATTTTTATCTGATAGCCATTCCAGTTATTGTTTATATCTACAATATTCCTGTATGAGAGCTTTAGATCTACCCACTTCAAAATATTTGGCTTGGCAGATTAGCTCTCCTCTAGTTTCAAAGATTTCTTTGAAAAATAATAGTACTTCATTCATTCAGGGACAGAACTGAAAAATTCTGGGGTACTTAAGGTAGAATGATTCCTAAAGATGTCATCATCCAGTTGTTTTCAAATGGGGCAGGGATATGTGAGTAGGGAATGCTCAAATACTCGATGATAGGCAAAGATTTCCAGGGCATTGTTTTAAGAAATTTAATGTCACAATCCTGAAAAATAGGTGTATCCAGCTCAAAATTAATTCTTCTGGTAAACTGATTGTTTCATAACCTTTTTTTTTTTTTTCAGAAGAAAGATTCTTAATGTTACTATAGTACGTTGCTTTCATGCATTAAATTACCAGGGCACCAAAGAGAGGGAATTTCTCCTTTCATGGTTAACCCGAGTCTCTTAAACTCACAGGACTTCCATATTCCTGTTCTAGAGTATAAATTTATTTTAAGAATAAAACAAGGTCCTAGAATTTGGCTGGCAGAATGACCTGGGTGTATGTAGTCAAAAGAGCTTTAGCCCTCCTGATCTTTGCTCTTACTTTTACTCCCATGTATGTTCTATTACATAACAAAAGGAACTTTGTAAAAGGAATTATGATTAAGAGTCTTAAGATAGAAAGATTATCCTGGATTATCTGGATGAACGCAGTGTAATCACAAGAGCCCTTAAAAATAGAAGAGGAAGGCAGAAGAGTCTGTCAGGGAGATGCAATGGCTGAAGAACAGGTAGGAGAGATTTTAAGAGTGAGAGGGACTCCATCTACCATTACTGGCTCTAAGATGCAGGGGCCACAAGCCAGTGAACATAGGTGGCTTCTAGAAGCTGAGAATGACTCCCAGCTCACAGCCAATAAAGAAATGGACTTTGGCCCTTCAATTGCATAGAAATAAATTCTGTCAACCACCTGAATGAACAATGAGATGGATTCTCCTCTGCCTCCAGAAAGGAACATAGTCTTGTTGATTCCTTTATTTCAGCCTTGTAATACTTAAGCACAGACTACAGTGCCTACTGGAATTCTAACCTACAGAAACTAGGCAATAATAGATGGCAGTTGTTTTAAGCCACTAAGTTTGTGTTATTTTTTTACAGCAGCAATAGAAAACTAATACAGGATGGAAATAAAAATTTCTTTAAATACTTGGCCTATTTTATTTCCTGACCTTTGTTAAGGAATAAAATTCCCTTGAGGGACAGTCCTGTGAAAGAAGAAGAAAACAAAAAAAAATATATTGATAGGAAATAATGACCACTAAAATGCTTTCTTTTTTTCCACATAAAAACCTAAGCAGTTATTTTCAACTATCATTAGGAGAGTAATTTACTCTTCCATTAGAGTCAGTAATTGGAAAGAAAACCACCCATGAAAAGCTGAATGAGTCAGTGATTCTGAATCTTTTATGTGATACTTGAATGTTTCCTAGGACTGCCAACATTTTCAAGATAAAATTTTTCAGTCATGCTGGAATATGTTTAGTATATTGTTTCAGCAGTATCCCAACACTGAGGGCTTTTGTCTTTGAAATAGTGCCATAGCTGATCCTTTAACATGCCATTCCACATTTTGAATTAGGAAGCTTTTATGAATGATGATGTGTGGGGGGCATGATGAGGTAAGAGCCACTTAGCAAGACCAACGGATCCTATGAGACCTTCCCTCACACCTCTGTGGCTATAAAATGGTTCTGTTGGCCTAAGGCAATATTATATACGATACCATGTCAATAAGTTAGGAAATCCTATAAGTCCTCTGAAGATTTTTCCTGTTCTGGCAATTATAGGATGGAAAAAAACACACCATAATTATAGTAGATATCAGTTTTGGTATGAAAAGTCACTGTCATATTTCTGGGGGGTTGGGTGGTGCTACATTAGAGGGGTCCAATACATTGAACTTACTACCAAGTGGCTGGTCTCCTTGAAGAATGGTGATGCTTACAAAGTTTATTATTGGTCTCAGCTGCTGGAAAGTTGGACACTCAGCAATGGTAGTGGCTCCATTAGTCTTGGTGAGAGGAAGATCATATTATTAGGCATGTGTACAACCTTAAACCACATCACCACGCTCACTCTTCTCATGGGCTTATTGCATTACCACTAAGATAACCAAGAAGAAAGCCTTTCTGGCTTTCATGAAATGAATCATCTTATCATCTCATTGTAAGAAGACTCCTACACAGTAGATATTTTTTTTTTTAGACGGAGTCTTGCTGTGTTGCCCAGGCTGGAGTGCAGTGGCACGATCTCGGCTCACTGCAAGCTTCACCCCCCAGGTTCATGCCATTCTCCTGCCTCAGCCTCCTGAGTAGCTGGGACTACAGGTGCCTGCCAACATGCCCGGCTAATTTTTTGTATTTTTAGTAGAGACGGGGTTTCACTGTGTTAGCCAGGATGGTCTTGATCTCCTGACCTCATGATCCGCCCACCTTGGCCTCCCAAAGTGCTGGGATTACAGGCATGAGCCACTGCGCCCTGCTCACAGTAGACATTTTTTTAAGGATATTAACTTAAGATACAAAAATAGACATACTTTCTGTTCACTAAATAGGTCAATTCATATACTTCTTTTCCTTTTCTTTGTCTCTGTTCTCTGAATCTCATTGCATCCAGGTCCCTGGGTAACCCACCAAACTATGCTACTTCCCAAGAGCTCATGTATATATGCAATTCACACCACTTTTTTCTGTGTATAAAGAAGATGGCTAAAGGATTCTTTACAGCTCTGTCTACTGGGAGGATCTCCCTTCAACACACTCCTTTATCACTTTTCCATGAGTGTGGTTAAGATTTCCTAGTAGTCCATTTGGGTCAAGCTTCAACATCAATGAACTAGGCTGAGTTTTTCCTCCTCCAATATCTGGTTAATGTTAATAACCAATAAAATTATAACAATAAATTGAAGAGAGACAATGATGCAATATTGGCTTCTGAACTGGTTTTTTGTATAATTTAATGCTGGTTTTGGAACCGCATAGACTCATTCCCAAATTTTCTCTATGTTTATAGACCATGACTGTGTCTGCCTTACCTATGACACAACGGAATCTACAATACTCAGCCAAAGATGGGCAGACCCACTTCCACTATCACTGGATGTTCCAAGGTCAGGTGATCAGCTCTCCTCCCACAACCGAGAACCCAGTAGCATACCAGGACCAGTTTTCAAACACAGAGATGTTCCCTGCCCCAGAATGTATAGCCTTGCTGAAGAAGCTTAGGAGCCTTCACTCTAACTCTCATACTATGGCTTGACAGAAACTACCTCTAGCAATATTAGCTTAGCTGAAATGTCCTGAGTGGCAGAACCATTTGTAATGCAGACTGGATTTACTGCAGAATTTTAACTGTCTGAGTGCCTCAAATATGGAAGCCTCCCATATCACCCCAAAATGGATCAGAGCTGTATTACCAAAAGCAGTCTATGCTACCATCAAAATCTAAAGAGGCCACTTTCTTAGCGGTAGGTGGTGTGAGGGGCAACAATTTATCATTTCTTCTATAGGGGATAAGTAAGAGGATTACCTTTGATAGCTCTATCCTAAAAAAATACTCACAATAGTGCAAGCTTCTGAATCTTCATAGAGTTAGATCCCTTTTCTGACATGTGTGTCTTGCTGGGACATCTAGAGTACCACCACTTACTGCTCACTGAGACCTAATAGTATGATTCATCATTTAGTGGGCCAGCACCATATTGTGAAATTCCAAGATGACCAAGTTCTCTGCAGACACTACAATGACAGAAAGCAAGAGTGTTAATAATGCCCTGAAGCAAATGAGCGCTCATGTGCTGCATCACTGTCATGTGAAGGTGTATGGCTCCTACCTTCCTTACTAATGCAGTCAAGAACATATTTGCCAGATCCCTAGCTATAAACCAAGAGCCAGAAGCTGTGTTGATCTGCTTCTGTGAAATTACTGTATCCAGTACAACAGGCTTTATTTCCTGCCATAATTCATCTTTTCCTTGTTTTTGCTTTGTTTTGATTTTGTTTTTGAGACATGATGAAATCTCTTTATGATTTTGTTGGAAGTGATAACCTTTGCAGTCCTTTCTAGGATATGACATTTTTTTGTTTTCTCTCTTAACTGGGGAAAGCCTCATGAGCTTCCATTTAGGATTTTCTGGCATGAGTCTTAGCTCAGAGGTCAAAAAACCAGCAAAATATTTATGATAGCCGATAAGTATATCTATCCTGGTCACACATATGGGCAATGGGAACCACTTGGGCTCTGTTGAGATGCACATAGACCAAAAATTCATTCATCACCTGGTTTCCGTAAGTTTCTCTCTGCCTAGTGAAGCACGATGGCATTTTCAGCTTTCTGGAACCAGTATGAGCGCAAACCTTGCATCTATCAAGCCTCAAAAAATCTAAATATTCCCCCTTTCCCAATGCAAAATTATTTTAACAAATGGCTTCAGATTTCTTTCGGGAAGGATTGAAGGAATATTTACCATATTTCCTTGCAGTGGTGTTACAAAGTGCTTTCTCAAAGACTTTTGACTTCAGTTTCAATCTGCATCTGACAAACTTAGATCTAGAATCTGAATAGATCTAGAACATGGATGAAATGCTCCAGTTCTCAGCATTTGATTTTTCAAAATTCTGCTTATCAGCATTTGATTTTTCAAAATTAATATTAGTACACAACTCCAGCAACACCCAGATTGACTGCCCGTTTGTCTCACTATTGGGACTATCATGGTCTGCTATTCATTGCCACAGACCTCTATGGATCAAATATCCCTTTTTGCTACTCTGCTTTGCTGCCTATTATGGAAATTGCATTTACTTTACCTCTGACGGTTATACACAGCCTCCAGATCACCACCATTCCAGAATCTGCTACTCCCTTTATTACTAGGGAGACAGTACCAAGGAAGCATCTCCCATTACTGTGCTACAAAAGACAGACACTTTCAAGCTTTTCAATGATCACCTATTTTCTTAGTAATAATAGTATCGCTGGACCTACTAAGGAACATAGCTAGGTGGTGGATTCTCAAGTCTAACATAATGATTTCATTATAACACTCCCACTTCTCTTGACCTCACTGACTACTTTCTCAGTATATTTCAGGAAGTATTTTATCTATTGGCCATCTTCAGAGCATGTTTCAAGAAGTTATTGCCAAAAAAATATATGCCCTTGTTAGAACATCGAAGCTCCAGTCATGGGTGAGTGGCCCATGTAAATAACTTACTCTATAGCCCACATGTAGTCTAGCCCTATTTTCTAACCCACAAGATTTACTCTTACATTTGCTTCCAGTCACCAGCAGTGCACACAGGCAGAGTCTAATTCCTTCAGCATGTGAGTGACTTCTTTCATTAACTAGAGTTGTACTTACCCACTGGGCTTGTCTGGGATGTGATGTCGAATGCCAGCCTGAAGGCAATAGGAGTGGCATGTGAGGATTCTAAGAAGAACAAGTGCATTTTGTGAGTTGCTGTCACAGGCTTTCTGTCTTTCAGAGTTTGCCTTTAGTTGGAAGCTGACTTTCAGAGCCTATTTTTGTAAAATTGGTGCTTTCAAAGTAGTTAAAAACAAAAGTCAAAAAATATACTTTACAATCCTTCAATTTCCTATTGCTGTCATGTAGTTCATATGCCACATCCTCATACTAGACGTTGATATGCTCCTTATAGCAATTAGTCTCAGGGGCAAGCTTTAGTCATTATAATATCACCAGCAATGGGGAGTTTTTGCCATGCTATTGGTGACTAGTCTTTCTGCAAAATCCCATCCTGAGGTTTTTTTATTGCTGTTCCTCTTATCAACTGTTTTTGCCTGGGTGCCCCAGAAGGAAGAGACTGTGCTAAGGGCTCAGGAATTACAATCCTGGGAAGTGAGAGGAAAGGAAAGCTATTATTCAGGGTTCTCCAGAGAAACAAAACCAACAGGATATATACACGTAGATATATGAGATTTACTTTGGGAACTGGCTCCTGCAATTAGGGAGCCCAAGAAGTCCACATATGCCATCTGCAAACTGGAAAACCAGGAAAGCTAGTGGTAGATGTCAGAGTCAAGAGGCCTGAGAACTGGGGAGTCAATGGCATCCTTCTCAGTCCTGAGCTGAAGGCCTGAAAATCTGAGGTGCTGCTGTGTCCTGGAATCCAAAGGCCTGGAAATATGATGTTCTGAAGTGTCAAGGCAAGAAAAGATGAATGTTCCAGCTCCAGAAGAGAGAAATAATTCACCTTTGATCTGCCTTTTTGTTCTTTACAGCCCCTCAATGGACTCAGTAATATCCGCCCATCTTGGCGAGAGTGGATCATCCTCACTCAGTCTACTGACTCGGCTGCTAATCTCTTCCTGAAACACCCTGGCACATACACCCAGAAATAATATTTTACTGGGATCCCTCAATCCAGTCAAGTTGACAGACAAAGTTAACCATCACAGAAAATGAATTAGGAACATATGAAGAGACAATATGAGATGCATTATCAAGCTGGACACTGCCAAATACAGTTGATTTCTCAATCCATTGTGAGAGTTTTTCAATAAATGATATAAACTGTATCTCAGGTCTGCACATGCAGAGTAAGAAGAAAGAATTTATGCATCATATTCCATTTCACATTGGTCAAAAATTTTCCAGGAGTTAATAACTGCCTGCTTTTTCCATCTGCACATGTGCAATCTCTGATCAGGACCAGCATCTATTGGAAGCACCATGACACAAGTGAGAAGTACACAGCATGGGTATGAGGCACTGTCCAGCACTCCTGCCTGAAATTAGGTGGAGCCCACACAGACAGGTAGCTGGAAAAAGGGACAGGTGGGAAAATAAACTGTAAAATGAATGAAATATGTCCGGCATATTCACCAACATCTATTTGTACATTTTGAGAAACTGAGGCCCGTAGAAGAAAAATTAATTGCTCAAGTCCTCACATATAGAAAAAATAGAGAAAACTGATCCATTGTACTGGCTCAACAGAAACTAAGTTTTGGGCTATTCCCTCTGATGTTAGGGCTTTAGAGTACTTGTGTTTTTTAATAGCCTGCATTTGTGTGTACAGATATATCTTGTTTTTTTCTTAATGGACTTGTGTCTATATTTGTATTTGTGGTTTTTAATAGTCTGTCAAAGATTAGCCAGATCTGATAATGGTAAAAGAAAACTGCTAGACTCCATATCCTATAGAAGAATGATAGTAAAATTCTACTTTAAAAATGGAAAGGGGAAAAACGCTATGGACTTATTTGTAACAATGTGATCAGTTATGTTGATTCCTGGCTCAAGATTCTTTGAAGGGCAATGAGAAGGTGAGTCCAAAATGAGGTAGTTGGTTTCACCTTAATCTGAGATTTCTAAGTGGAACATTATCAGTTTATTTAGGCAATAAATCAGATATAATTCATCATCACAGGCAGGCGAGAGTATGTGTTCTTTTTTGAGAACTTTCTGAAGATATTTTATTCATTAATGGGAAAGAAACTAGTAATTATTGAGTGTTTAATATAGGCTAAGCAGAGATTTTCACCCTTTAAAATACCTCACCAAAAGGAGTTGTTACACTTAAATTTCAATTACTTCTAAGGTGGAAAAAAATCACTAATTTGTCTTGAATTAGAGTTTTTTTCTTCAGCAAATTCTAAGTGGGTTAGAATCCTTGATGTAAGACTGAAACTGCTGTAGACCTGTGACCCTCTGGACTGGAAGGGAGTCTAAAGAAGCACTGTGTGTACAGTGAACTAGCCCAGGAAATGCTGGTCTGATTTTAGAGCCTTGGGACATGGGATTGCAATTGACTGCCTGTATTGATGTCTGCACAGTGAGTCCACTAGTCTAATAGCTGCCTAATGAGCTGAGGCATCTCTCTTTCACCAAAAATAAAAAAAAAAATCAGACTTTTTCAGCACCTGGACAAACCATCTAAAATTGAAAGATCAAAAAAATCATTTTAGTTGAAAAATAGTTATATTTACCATTTACATTTACTATGGTTTTTGGAAAACCTGAAAAGATACCATTTTATCTTAAACATTTAAAATAAATATATTTAATTAAATGTTTCATTTTTAGATCATTGCTGCCTCATATGCAGTGATAAAATGATACAGAGTGATTATAGATACATTTTCTAAGTTTTCTCCAAAGGCAACATCTTGGAAAATTACACTGCATTGTAACAAACAGGATATTGGCCCTGAGACAGTCAAGATACAGAACATTGCCATTGCCACAAAATTCCCTCATGCTGCTCTCTATAGTCACCCACACTTCACTCTCTGCCAATCCCAGGCCCTGGCAATCCCTTATCTGTTCTCCATTCCTATAATTTTGTCATTTCAAAAATGTTAAGAAAATGAAATCATACAGTATGTGACCTTTGGTGATTGGCTTTTTTTATCACTCAGCCTAATTCTCTAGAGATTCGTCCAGCTTCTTACATGTATCAATAGTTATTTTCCTTTTATTGCTGAGAAGTAGTTGGCAGTGTGAATGTACCACAGTTTGTTCCTTGTTCACCTGTTGAAGGCCATCTGGAGTTATTTCCAGTTTTTGTCTATTATAAATAAAGCTGCTATAAATAATTTTGTACAGATTTTTCTGTGAGCATTTACTCCTCTGGGATAACTGTGCAAGAATACAGTTGCTGAGTAGTGTTTAGTTTTTTCAAGAAGCCTCCAAACTGTTTCCCAAAGTGACTGTACCATTTTATATTCCCAACAGCAAAATGTAAGTGATCCAATTTCTCTGCATCCTTGCCAGCATTTGAAATTGCCACTAATATATAAAATATATATTATATATATTCATATATATGATCTATATATACACATATATATATACACACACACTAGTGGCAATATATATACCAGTGGTGTGTGTATATATATATATAATATGTGTGTGTGTGTGTGTATATATACACTAGTGACAATGTATATACTAGTGGTATATATATATTAGCTATTTGATATGTGTGTACAAATATATATGTGGTTTTCAACTTGCATTTTCCCAGTGATAATGATGTTGAATATCTTTTTATGTACATTTTTGCCATTCGTGTATGCTTTCAGTAAAATATCTCTTTATGTCTTTTCCCATTTTATTATCCAATTTTTTTAACTTTAGTTTTGAGAGTGTGTATATATTCTAGATACTAGACCTTTGTCATACATGTGGTTAACAAATATTTTTTCCTACTCTATAGCTTATCTTTTCATCCTCTTAAGGGATTTGTGTATTTATTTTTTTACAGACAGAGCAAAATATTTTTAATTTTGATAAAGTACAATTGATTTAGTTTCACTTATATAGATTGTGCTTTTGGTGTGCCTTTTTTCTAGCCTTAGATTCTGAAAATTTTTTCCTATTTTGCTTTGGCTTACAGTTTTACATCTTGAATATAAGTCTGTTCTCCATTTTCAGTTAATTTTTGCTTGAAATGTGAGACTTAGACCAAGCTTCTTTTTTTCTTCTTCTTTGTCTATGGATATCCACTTGCTCTAGCACTATTTGTTGAAATCTATCTTTCCTCAATTGAATTGTACTTTTGTCAAATTTGTTTTGGGCATGTTTGTATTGGTCTATTTCTGGTTCCTGTGTGCTGTTCAATTTATCTGTGTGTTTGTCTCTGCACAAATATCCTGCAGTCTTGACTGCTGTTGCTATATTATACCTCTTGAAATTAGGTAGACAGAGTCTTCCTATTTTATTCCTCTTTTTCACTTTTGTTGGCTTTTCTATTTTGTATATTTCCATATAAATTTTAAAACAGTCTTGTTCATATCCAAAGGAATTTGATAGGAGTTACATTAAAACTGTATATCATTTTGGGTAGAATGCATGTCTTTATTAATTTTTGGTCTTCCAATTCATGAATACCATGTCTCTCCATTTATTTAGATATTAGGTGATTTCTGTCATAAACATTGTGTAGTTTTCAGCATACAAGTCCTCTACATTTTTGGTAAATTTACAGTTAAATTTTTTTGAGTGATGTAAATATTATTGTATTTTTAATTTTAATGTCTATGTATTCATTGTTAGTATATAGAAATGCAACTAATGTTTTCAGTGTTTACACATATGTGTTTAAAGCATCAATAATTATGATAGTAATCCTATGTATTATGTATTTCTATTGTTCTCATTTTGGAAACTATTTTACTCAGATGTAGAAACTGGGCCTAAGAATGATTGAGTTACATGCTGTATCAGTTACAACTGCTGCATAGCAAACAACTTCAAAAGTTCAATGGCTTAAAACATTTATTTTCTCTCATGCATTTGTCAGTTAGCTGGGGATTACCTGAGAGGCAACTGCTCTAGGCTGGGCTTGGTTAAGCTGCAGACTGAATCCAGCTCTATTCTGTAGCATCTTTCTTTGGACAGTGGGCTAGGAGAGGAATATTCTTCTCTTGGTGGTAACAGAAGTATGAAAAGGCAAGCCAAACCATTTCAACCATGTTAAGCACATGTCAAACTTCTGCTTGTATCACAAATGTTAATATCCATCGGCCAATGACAGACACATGCTATAGTCCAACATCAGTGGAAAACAGTGATATATTTCATCTCTACCGGGACAAAAGGCAGCTTGGCACAGGGTATAGATACAGATAGATAAATTATTGGTGCAAATAATTCAACCCTCCACATGTACCCAAGATCCAGCTATTATTAGTATAAGGTAGAACTAGAGCAGAAGTCCAGGTCTGTCTGAATTCAAAGTACATATATTTTAAGTGATTAATATTATTCCCAATCAATAAAATAAAATGATCACAGGGTAGGGAATATTTGTTGAATAATGGATTGAATGAAATATTCAATTCTGCTCCTTGCTAAAACTTACTTTGGATATGTAGATATGAACTTCATTTTTGTGGCAGTGGTGTAAAATTTTTCATCAGGTAAGCAGACTCAGTAATGACTCTGCTTTATTTCCTGTTCCTTCAATATCCAAATATCCTCTGATCACACTGGGTTATGGAACCTAAAAATGAAACTTTCTCAGTGTTGCAATGAAGTTGTTTTCAGATTTCAGTAAATAATGTTCTCTCTGACATTGTCCTGACTTCTATTTCATACCGTTCTCTAGCAAACAACATTATCATCAAAGATCTCCTGCATTTTCATTACCTCCTCATCCCTTAATGTTTTCAGAAGACCTTTTCAAATGTCTTTTAGGAAGTTAAGTTATCTTTAATGTGTACATTATTTTTACAAGTCACTTGTGTGTTTATAACAAGTTTCGTAATTGCTCTCATGAGGAGGAAGTCTCTATTTACTATTCAGGGAGTGAAATTAGTACGAAAGAACATCAGAAAGAAGAAATTGAACATTTCTTCAACAGACTTTCAATTATAAATTTTTCCAAAATGGATGAGAATTCCAGAGGATTTTTGTTTTTGTTTATTTTTTAAGAGGAAGTTGGCAGCTTCTGAGGACAAAACTTGTGATAGAATCTTTAATGTTCTGGAAGAAACTGTCATAGCAGACAGTAGAAATCATGCGCGCATGGTCTCATGATGCTGGGCCCTCCTATTTTGTCTTTAGAATCCTAGAATAGATAATTAACAGCTTATTTTATGCAGGAAAATCATGAAACCCATACATGATTTATGATGTATTTTTCTATCTTAATCATCTTAGTCAAGGACGTCGTCACTAAATGTAATAGCCAATGAGGTGGGAATGCAATCCTCTAGCCTGTGGAGGTCTTTAGGACTATTGATGATTGATGTAGCAAGATAGCCACTGAGCTTATTCAAATTGATGTAGAAGGACATACTCTCAGCCTCATACCTGTCTTGCCGGCATCAGATTCCAATACATTATCAGCACCTGAAAATACAAAATTTTACGAGCTAAATTTCTGTAGAAATACCTTGATGGGAAACAAAAATCCTTATCTAATGTTTCAATGGCAAAAACAGATGCTTGGCTACTTTTGCTAAGTATCTGGAACATTACTGTCAGCACTCCTGTCACTTATTAATAGTTTTCAAATGATGTGAGTATCTGACAGGAAGAAAAAAAAGAACAGTCTGTTTTGAATTCCTTTTAAAATAAACTGTTTCCTTTGAGGGTTTCTCTTGGGTAGGTGGTGTTTAAAGCTGTCCCTGTGGCTCCGATTTACCCACTGCTTCTTTGTCAAGGAAATTGGTTCTTTCATATTAACTGTTAAATCTGTCTTACCACTCAGTTTCTATCTGTTTGAAAATAGCTTTCATTTTCAAACTTTGCCAATTTACTAGAGTCACGCTCAAAGTTATTAACCAAGCACCCACTTGGGCCATGAATTGAGCTTGCTTGAAACAAAGGGTCCCTGCCATCTGGTAGTTTATCCTGTAAAATTGGAAATAGTATTGCATAAAAATATATTAAATGTAGGGAAAAGCAAACAGCAAAGCAAATGCATTTATGAGATCAACAATGCAGACTGACAGAAAGAAAATTAAATCTATTCAGTCATTATATCAAAAAAGAAATTTTTATTTGTGAAACAAACTGGTACTCACAGGTGCTCATGTTTGGTTTGTTCTGTGATCGAACACATAGCTAAAATGTAAAAACCTTAATTAAACCTCAAATGGACGTTATTTTCTTGTTTGTCATTTTTAGTTTGCATTTGGGTAGACAGAAATAGAGTAATGATGAATTGATAAAGTATAATAATTTCTCAATTTTTCTTCTGTGGATGATTGTTATATTGCCAGTGCTTGTTTTTTCTGTTTGTTTTTTTGTTTTTGTTTGTTTGTTTTTGTTTGTTTGTTTTTTGTTTTGCTTTGCTTTTGAGACGGAGTCTCACTCTGTTGCCGAGGCTGGGGTGCAGTGGCACCATGTCGGCTCACTGCAACCTCCGTCTCCTGAGTTCAAGCAATTCTCCTGCCTCAGGCTCCCAAGTAGCTGGGATTACAGGCACTCACCGCCACGCCCGGCTAGTTTTTATATTTTTGGTAGAGACAGGGTTTCACCATATTGGCCATGCTGGTCTCAAACTCCTGACCTCAGGTGATTCACCTGCCTCAGCCTCCCAAAGAGCTGGAATTACAGCACTTTAGGAGGCCAGTGCTTGTTTTATACCTGGAAAATAGTAGACCATCTATATACAATTTTTGGATAAATTAAAATATCTCATGTGAGGCAGTTTCAGGCTGCATGAATATGATTGTAAACTCTGGTGTTACACTGCCTGATTTTGAATTCCAGCTTCAATACTTTCTAGTTTTGTGATCTCAATAGATCTACTTAACCACTTTGGGCCTATTTTTTTTTTTTTTTTTGGTCTGAAGAAGAAAATAACGATAGTTTTTTTCTCATAAATGAAATAATATACAAAAACAATCAAGAGTGATGAATGAGGCATAATAAGCACTCAAAAATTGTCAGTTATTGTTATTTAAGAATTAATTGACCAGGTGTGGTGGCTCACATCTGTAATCTCAGCACTTTGGGAGGCCGAGGTGGGTGGATCACCTGAGGTCAGGAGTTTGAGACCAGCCTGACCAATATGATGAAACCCCATCTCTATTAAAAATACAAAAATTAGCCAGGCGTGGTGGCATGTGCTTGTAATCCCAGCTACTCGGGAGGCTGAGACAAGAGAGTCACTTGAACCTGGGAGGTGGAGGTTGCAGTGAGCCAAGATCACACCATTGCACTCCAGCCTCGGCAACAAGTGTGAAACTCCATCTCAAAAAAAAAAAAAAAAAAAAAGATTAATCACAGAAAATGTTTCCTTTGCTTGTCTTGGGGACATTTTCCTCACATTTTTTTCTGAACTCTGAGAATTGTAAGCTAATTTCATTAGCCACAAGGTACAATGCAATAATAAATATTTAATAAAAGAAAAGCCACACACTGAATTAAATTTAACATAAATTATTTGTGCATAAGTTCGTGTTTAAGATTACCTACACTTCCATTATCACAACTTATGGAATGAAAAATTGCTTCATGCTTATTTATTTCAAGTTTCTGCCCTCGTTTTACATTAAATATATCAGGTAAATTAAAAAAACACATATTAATATTTACTGAAAACAAAACATATTAATATTTACTGAAATACATATATAAGAAAAATTTCAAGATTGAGGGAAACAAAATCAAAAATATGATAGCAGTAAAGAAGCATATAGTTCTTATGATTGTTCTCATTTTTGTCTGCGCCCCAAATGAGATCTCTTCAAAGTGCTGCAATCAGTTATACAGGTTTTTATTCATTTGCTTAACATATTCTTATATAAAACCTACTGTGTGCACTATTGAAAAGTAGAAAGCATAATAATTCTGCTGAAGAAAGACTTTTTCTAACATTGAATTCTTAAAGTAATTCATCATGGAGTTATTACAAAAAGGACATGGAAGAAACAGAATCAGCAGTATCTTTAACAAAATCTTTACTACAAATGTAATGATCAATTTATATGTCAGTTCTTCGTATGACCTTTGAGAAAAGCTAGAAGCAATAATCAAACTTTGATTATATTTATAATGCATTATGTTAATATTATATATAATATAATAACTTGAAAGTAAAAAGCAAAAATAATTGATCCTTTGTCAAAGCAGCTGAGGGAGGATTATAATAAAAATGAAAATCACTTCAATAAACACTTATTGACTGTCTGTTGTGTACCTGAACCTGAGATAGGTGCTGATGTTTTAAAATTAATGAATTAGAGCAGTTTCACCTCTTTTGCTTGGTGAGACTTCATATCGGCCAATTACTTTACAGAAGTGGTCATTTTAATTTTACTGAAAAGCAAAAATTTTTTTACACTGCCAGTGATAATTTTCAAAACATTACATTGAAGAATTAAGTATAGGTTACTTGCCCCAAACCACACAACTACATAGAAATTGAACAACCTACTTCTAAATGATTCCTGGGTAAAAAATGAAATTAAGACAGAAATCAAGAAGGCCTTTGAAACAAATGAGAACAAAGAGGAAATGTACCAGAATCTCTGGGACATAGCTAAAACAATGTTAAGAGGGACATTTATAACACTAAATACCTATATCAAAAAGCTAGAAAGATCTCAAATCGACACCCTAACATCACAAGTAAAAGAACTAGAGAACCAAGAGCAAACAAACCCCAAAGCTAACAGAAGACAAAAAACAAAACAAAAAAACAAAACAAAAAAAAAAACAAAAAAACAAGATCAGAGTGGAACTAAAGGAGATAGAGACACAAAAAAACCCTTCAAAAAAATCAATGAATTCAGGAGCTGGTTTTTTAAAAAAATTAATAAAATAGATAGGCCAGTAACTATACTAATTAAGAATAAAAGAGAGAAGAATCACAATAAAAAAGATACAATAAAAAATGACAAAGGGGAGATCACCACTGATTCCACAGAAATACAAACTACTATCAGAAAATATTATAAACACCTCTATGCAAATAAAACAGAAAATCTAGAAGAAATGAAAAACTTCCTGGACACAGGCACCCCCTAAGACTGAACCAGGAAGAAGCTGAATCCCTGAATAGACCAATAACAAGTTCTGAAATTGAGGCAGTAATAAAAAACAAAAAAAAGCCCAGGATCAGACAAATTTATAGCTGAATTCTACCAGAGGCACAAAGAGGAGCCGGTACCATTTCTTCTGAAACTATTCCAAACAACTGAAAATAAGGGACTTCTCCCTAACTCATTATGAGGCCAGAATCATCCTGATATCAAAACCTGGTAGAGATACAACAACAAGAGAAAACTTCAGGAAAATATTCCTGATGAATGTCAATGCAAAAATCCTCAATAAAATTCTGGCAAATCAAATCCAGCAGCACATCAAAAAGCTTATCCATCATGATCAAGTTGGCTTTAACCCTGGGATGCAAGGCTGGCTCAACATATGCAAATCAATAAATGTAACCCATTGCATAAAAATAACTAAAAACAAAAACCACATGATTATCTCGATAGATGCAGAAAAGGCCTTTGATACAATTTAAATCCCTTCATGTTAAAAAAAAACTCTCAATAAACTAGGTATTGATGGAACATATCTCAAAATAATAAGAGCCATTTGTGACAAACCTACAGCCAATATCATATTGAATACTGAATAGGAAAAGGCAAAAGCCAGAAGCATTCCCATTGAAAACCACCAGAAGACAAAGATGTCCTCTCTTACCACTCCTATTCAACATAGTGTTGGAAGTTCTGGCCAGCGCAATCAGGCAAGAGAAAGAAATAAATCATATTCAAATAGGAAGAGAGAAAGTCAAACTGTCTCTGTTTGCAGATGACATGATCCTATATCTAGAAAACCCCATCATCTCAGCCCCAAAGCTTCTTAAGCTGATAAGCAACTTCAGCAAAGTCTTAGGATACAAACTCAATGTGCAAAAATTCCAAGCATTCCTATACACCAACAATAAACAAGCAGAGAGCCAAATCATGAATGAATTCCCATTCATAATTGCTACAAAGAGAATAAAATACCTAGGAATACAGCTAACAAGGGAAGTGAAGGACCTCAACAAGGAAAACTAGAAACCACTGCTCAAGGAAATCAGAGAGGACACAAACAAATGAAAAAACATTCCATGCTCATGGATAGAAAGAATCAATATCGTGAAAATGGCCATACTGCCCAAAGTGATTTATAGATTTAATGCTATTCCCATGAAACTACTATTGACATTCTTTACAGAATTAGAAAAAACTACTTTAAAATTCATATGGAAGCAAAAAAGACCCCATATAGCCAAGACAATCCTAAGCAAAAAGAACAAAGCTGGAGGCATCATGGTACCTAACTTCAAACTACACTACAAGGTAACAGTAACCAAAACAGTGTAGTACTGGTACAAAAACACACATAGACCAATGGAACAGAATAGAGATCTCGGAAATAAGACCACACATCTACAACCATCTGATCTTTGACAAACTTGACCAAACAAGTAATAGGGAAAGGATTTCCTATTTAATAAATGGTGCTAGGAAAACTGACTAGTCATATGCAGAAAATTGAAACTGGATCCTTTCTTTACACCTTATACAAAAGTTAACTCAAGGTGGATTAAAGACTTAAAATCCAAAACTATAAAACCCTAGAAGAAAATCTAGGCAACACTATTCAGGACATAAGCGCAGGGAAATATTTCATGATAAAAATATCAAAAGCAATTGCAACAAAAGCAAAAATTGACAAATGGGATCTAATTGAACTAAAGAGCTTCTGCACACACACACACACACACACACACACACACACACACAAACACAAACTATTATCAGAGTGAACAGAAATCCTGCAGATCCAGAATCTATAAGGAGCTTAAACAAATTTACGAGAAAAAAAAACAACCCCATTAAAAAGTGGGCAAAGGACATGAACAGACACTTCTCAAAATGGCTGGAGTATAGTGGTCTAATCATGGCTCAGTGCAGCCTCAAACTCCTGGTCTCAAGTCATCCTCCCACCTCAGCCTCTGGAGTAGCTAGGAATATGAATGTTTGCTACCACACCCAGCTAATCTCTTTTTAAATTTTTTATTTGGAGACAGGGTCTCACTATGTCACCTAGGCTGGTCTCAAACTCCTGGCTTTAAGTGCTCCTCCTGCCTCAGCCTCCCAAAGTCCTGGGATTACAGGTGTGAGTCATTGCTGATAGCCTAAAATTAGTTTTCAATTTTCATGCCATCACCAACAAAAGGATAAAGAGACGACAGCTCCAAAAGTGTGGGCACTAGGGAAAATCATTATTGTATTAAGAATTCTCCACAAATAAAACATGGAGGTGAAACAGTGTGAAAAAAACAAGACTTGACTCCAATTGTGTTTCAGTTATTTGTCTCCATGAATCTGTAGCATTCATTTAAAATAAGGATTACTGAAGAGAGAAAACATTTTAAATGAATTAAGTCCATTTTATTAGAATATAATCCTGATTAAGGCTAAGGATCTCATTTGATCCATATTGTTCTTGAAAGATATTGATAAAGCTTCAGAAAATTTAAAGAAGAAAATCCTAGAGAAATTTTTTTTTCAGTTTTTCCCGTAATTGAGGCCACATTAAGCTTGGTATTTCTCCCTAAATTTATTATTCTTCTGTGAATAATTTTTGTTTCAACTTGTCTTTTTCAGAGGAAAAATTATCCCACTTTTTTGCTCTCAGATATTTACATTGAAGTTTAAAGGTTTTAAATAAAGATACACAATAGAGATAAATTTTTCTTTTATCGGTGGCATTTGAAGTATTTTTTTTTCTCAAAAATGAGTGCTTTGTGTTCAGTTCAATTATTTATACATTATATATTGCTCCAGTGTGCTGTCTCAAAGATATTTCTCCCTGGAAATGTATATAAAATGATTATAATTTAATTGCTTTTAAATGTTACATGATGAAGTATGAAATTATAGTCTTGCTTTTTGCATTTGGATTGCTAATGATGGCTGTTTTTGGTGTAAATATGTGTGTATATACTTTTCAAACAAGTGCTGGTAATGATTTACTTATAAGAATTCTTTGGCCAGGCACGGTGGCTCACGCCTATAATCCCAGCACTTTCGGAGACTGAGGCTGGAGGATCACAAGGTCAGGAGTTCGAGACCAGCCTGACCAACATGGTGAAACCCCGTCTCTACTAAAAATACAAAAATTAGCTGGGCGTGGTGGTGCGTGCCTGTAATCCCAGCTACTCAGGAGGCTGGGGCACGAGAATCACTTGAATCTGGGAGGTGGAGGTTGCAGTGAGCCGAGATCATGCCATTGCACTCCATCCTGAGTGACAGAGCAAGACTCCCTGTCAATAACAACAACAAAAAAATTATTTGACCATGCTATAGGATAACATAATCATGTTTTGTTTCATATATCCAATCACTTAAGCACAGTTCTAGGCATTGACCAAGGAAAAAGAACAAATGAACATATAATGAGGAAAATGTTACAACAAGACCTTGGCTATATTTATGGTCCTTGGCTGTATGATGCTCTGGGGAATTCTGTGTCCTAGTAAGATTTCTCTTCTCTATACATTCTTTAAATTAGGAGGAAAAAAGATAAGAGCTGAGAAAAATAAAAATAGGTATTCCTCTGCCTAATGTAAGACTGTAGTTTTTTTATTATTAGTTTTAATTTTTTTCATATATATTCATCCATCAAATACCTAGTCTAGTTTCAATACATATGTGGCCAGTTGATTTTATGTATTTTTTTATTGGTAATACATTATGTCTGCTCACTCATTTTCAAATTTGAACTACTGATATAAATGAATTTGTCAGACATATGGATAATTGGCCACCAAATACCCAAAATCCTAGAAAAGATTCAATTTATATATAATACCTTCCCATTGAATGGATAATCTGTTAGTAGGTCAATCTTTATAGACTAATAGGAACTCACTATTCCCCTAGTTAGAATGTGGTCTTTTTATATTAAAAGGCCAAACATATTATCTCTTCATAGGCATATCTTAAAATACTGTTTTTAAATATATGATATAAAATATACATATTATATATATATATGCTTATTTTTCTCAGTAGTCCCAGAATAAGCCAGACATTTTGCTACTGAAAATAAGATGTTATGTAAAGTTAATACTAAAATAAATAAATTTCTTCACAAATTGTTCCTAATTTATCTTTGTATTATTATCTCTCTAATGGCTATAATTGTTGTCATCTGTATTCATGAATATTACTTGAGTTCTAAACCTCCATTTTATGACTTTGGTCATGCTTTTTTTTTCCTGCCCTGAATTTTTCCTCTTCCCCTTTATTTTCTTTCTAAGACTGTGCTTTTAATTCCAAACGATAGTCTCAAATGACCGATGAAGTAAACTAAAAATACTTTAGCCTGCATCAACATTTCTTTTTCTTTGCATTTTATAGTACTTATACTTTATACCTGATTTATTCATCCATTGGTTCTTTAAATAAGTATGTCTTAAATTTTACGAGTTACACTATAGTCTGGGAACATAACAATGAATAAAGCTCAATCCCTGTCCTCAGCAATCTAATAGCCTAATGTCTCAGCTGATAAAAACATACTATGAACTTTCCAAGTAAACAGAAGTTTCTTCGAGTTCAATTATCTTATTTTCCTTCTTTACTCATCATGGTATCATAGTACTTATAACTCTGAAAAGCACACAGTACGTTCTTAATTAATATTTGACAAAATGAATGTATGAAAGCATTAATGCATAAAATTGTGTGACGGTGCAAGTGCTATAGTACAGAAGTTTACAGGAAAAGGAACCTAGCTGCTTCAAAAGCACCTGAAGAAGAGATGTTGGACTATTGAGTTGATACTTAGATAGCAAGGGATGGCTACTAGGTGTAAAAAAAGAAGAAAGATGTCACAAGAAATGGCAAAAAGACATGAAAAAATGCGGTATATGGCACTTTAGAGAACTGTAAGGAATTTGATATAATTCATTCCAAGCTTCAAACCCTTCTATATTTCTCTTGACAAACTCCCAGATCTTTTAAATACAGAAAGGATTGTTGGTTGGTTGGTTGGTTGGTTTTTAATTTAAAGCAGATCCAATTTCTTTGCTTAAAACTCATGCTGATGTCAAACAATAAGTAGAGAATAAATCTTGGATTAAAAATCAGAACATGCTAGTTATAAAAAATATAACTTTAACTCACTGTAGGGCCTTTGAAAGTTAACTTTCACTCTCTAAGCCACAATTTACACACAAATATAATGAAAATGTTGCAATAGATAGTCTCTCTAGTCCTTCCCGCCACAGAATATTCTATGATCCTTGACTCTGAACCTCTAAAATTTCCCATTTTCAATAGGCTGAGCAAGAGAAGTAAAATACAAAGGGAAAGACATTATGAAAATATTACAGAGATAACATATTAGGAAGACCGCAGCACTGCTTTCTCAGAAAAAGTGAAGGGAAATGATGGCTATATATCTAATTATGAAGAGTATAATCATTATTTTGGAGGCAAGAGAGGTCAGATCAGAGGACTCTGAGTGTTATGCTATGACCTGGCCATTGTCTTTTAGGAAATTTAGAAGCGGCAGAGTCTCAACAAAAAGGAAAGAACTGGTACAGTGAATTAAAAATTAAAAGACTCTAGTTATTGCAGTGCTTAGAAATATCACAACAAGTGCAGTCAGGAATTTAGTCTGTGCTACACACATCTTTCTAACTTTACAATACTACGTTGACAGACAAGCACCTTCATTAACGCAGTGAGGCACCTGGTCTTGAAAAAAGGAGGCAGTTCAGGACATGTGAAAACACTCATTCAGTGCCATAAGCAAGCTTCCACCACTGTAGTTACCAGTCTGTGTGTGTATGAATTCTTGTGATGTGTTCAGCTCTGTCTTAGAGCTGCTTCTATGGCAACTGACATGGATAAAAAAGGATAAACATTTGATAAAAGCAAACAGGAAAAAAATCTCTTCCTCTGGGGTGTAATAAATATGGTGAGTTTTGTAATGGGAAGCTTTCACAGCATGATGTTTTGGAAGGAAAATCCATATTAGGCAACCTGCTCATGGACGGTCCAGCAACTTACCAGAATGACTGTGGGGCTTACAAAACGATCAGCTCATTTGCTCATCTATACACGCGTGGGAGCAAACCCTATATATCGTATACTGTGCTTGGCACTATAAAGAATGCTAAGACACATGCTACTAAATGTTGCATCTTAAGTGGAAAAACAAATAAAATAAAAATCCAGACAGTTAATTAAATTACAGAGATGTATGTAATAAACATCCTAAAAGCTGTAATAAAACAAATTTTAGAGATTTTAAAGGAGCAAAACATAATTTCAACTGAGTATATTAGGAGAAAAAGCAGAGAGGAAGTGGTGTTTGAGTCAATAAAATAACGCATACGTTAAAAGTCAGATATTCATTGAATATTATTTCAAATACACAGAAAAATAATAATAAAAAAATTATTTGGAATCACCAAAATATAATTACTGTTTAGCATGGTGGTATATTTTCTTCAAGTCTTTTTACATATAAATGAGAGAAAAAGTAATATTTTATTTAATGCATTTTTTCTGATTTTTCTCCTTGTCCCTATTCTATAAGTATTTTCCCACATTTTCCCCTAGCCTTAATGAATGTGATTTCTTACAAACACATTGTGATTACTCCTTGGAATCCCTCCTTCTTTAATGGTTGAGGTCTCCCTGGGGGATCCAGGGCAATCAAGAGAAGATAGAGACCGAGACCAGTCAGTCTTATAGAACCTAAGGAAACTTTATTGAATTCATAATGCCTAGTGTCATGATAGAAACAGACAGTCAGGCAATGTGATTTCCAAAACCCGGCTAAATGGAGTAAAACATTTTTCCTACTAATATATCAAATGGAGTAAAACAGTTTTCCTAATAATACATCATTTGAGTTTCAATCAACTTTATTTCTTTATCAGTGCAACTTCATCCCATTATAAAAATCCACATCCCACATTATTTAGCAAGGGTCATTAACGGAGAGGCAGAAGAAAAGCTTTACGTTTTCTTTGGGTTTCTCATCTGGCTTTTTCTTAGTAGTTTGTGGGCCATGAAAATATTGGATATATTTCAGGGCTTCTGATAACTAGGTAACCAGTATACTGTGATAGGCCATTTTGCCTTGTTATAAAGAAATATCTGAGGCTGGGTAACTTAAAAAGCAAAGAGATTTAATTGCCTGATAGTTCTTCAGGCTGTACAAGAAGCATGGTGCCAGCATCTGCTTCTGGTGAGGACCTCAGAAAGCTTCAAATCATGGCAGCAGTAGCAGATTTCTCATATGATAGAGAGAGGGAGCAAAAGAGACAGAGAAGGGAGGAGCTTCCTGGCATTAAACAACCAGATATGTAAACTAACTGAGAACTCACTCATCACCAAGATAATGGTGCCAAACCATATATGAGGGATCCAACCTCATGATCTAATCACCTCCCACCAGGCCTCATCTCCAAAACTGAAATCACGTTTCTTTTTTTTTTTTTTTTTTGAGACAGAGTCTCGCTCTGTCACCCAGGCTGGAGTGCAGTGGCATGATCTCAGCTCACTGCAACCTCTGCCTCCCAGGTTCAAGAGATTCTTCCGCCTCAGCCTCCTGAGTAGCTGGGATTGCAGGTACCCACCACCACACCTGGCTAATTTTTGTATTTTGTAGACATAGGGTTTCACCATGTTGGCCAGGCTGGTATTGAACTCCTGACCTCAGGTGATCCACCCAACTCGGCCTCCCAAAGTGCTGGGATTACAGGCATGAGTCACCGTACCTGCCTAAAATCACATTTCAGCGTAAGATTTGGAGAAGACAAACATCCAAATCATATTATTGATGCATTATGTTTACTGTGTCCACGTGAGCATCTTGGAGTCAGCATCTACATAACTAAATATGATTATGCCAACTTTTGGATTCAACATGGCAGTGTAAAGGATATGCGACATCTCTCTTCCCCAAAACCACACCTCTATATATTACACACAAATAAGAAATAGAAGCTTCACCACTGATGAAAACAAGGAGTCATTTGTAACTTGCACCAAATGTAGAGAGCAAATGATAGATAGGTAAATGACTTGGCAGAGAATCCAACCCAAGTGTTTGCAGGGGAAGTACCAATAAGACCCTGATTTCTCCACTGGAATCCATTTTGAAGTTAGGTGATAAAGAGTCAGGAATTGCTGGTACTGCAGAAAGTAGGAATGGCACAGGAAGTGAAAACTAATCAACGGTTTGATTGTTGTAGAAAGGAGTGCTCGGGCTCCGTCTTTGTTTCCCGTCCCTTTAGATTGATGTTCTTTTCTTCTCTTTTCTTCTTTTTTTTTGAGACAGAGTCTCACTGTGTTGCCCAGGCTGGAGTGCAGTGGCGTGATCTCAGCTCACTGTAACCTCCGCCTCCCAAGTTCAAGCGATTCTCCTGCCTCAGCCTTCTGAGTAGCTGGGATTACAAGCACGCACCACCACACCTGGCTAATTTTTGTATTTTTAGTAGAGACAGAGTTTCTCCATGTTGGTCAGGCTAGTCTCGAATTCCTGCCTGCCTGGGCCTTCCAAAGTACTGGGATTAAAGGCATGTGTCACCATGCCTGGCCTATTTTTCTCTTAAAAACGGAATCAGAAGGACTTCTGACATGGGATATCAGGCATTAGAGGAGGACAAATTGAGAGCTCCTACTGGGAACTGAATCCCTAAATAAAACTCTGCCTCTAATACGGAGGCCTCTTAGCACTTTTTCCCTATGCAACTCCAGAAAATCAACTGCCATGTTAATAAATATAAAGAAAAAGGAAGGAAGGACCTTCTCTGATTAAAAAGCAAAAAGTGGCCATCTATTTGCTCTGCATTGAAACCTCCCTGTTTATAAGAACTACCTAATCACAGAGATTTCAATTCCAGCTTATGTTTCTCTTTTTTAGTGTCTCTTTATTGCATATTAATGGACAGTTCACTTCTAGGAAGAGATAAAAGTGTCCTTGTGCCTCTTGGTGATGTCTTCTCTTAGCAAGAGTAGTATCATGGGCTATGTCCTAGAGACTGCAAAGTCATACCTCCATCTGGGAATATCCTGCTCTAATCTCCTAATTTGTGATATTTATAAATTCCCACTAGAAATTCTTAATTTATAAATCCCACTCCTAATTTATAAATTCTCACTAGAAAACTCATTGTCTTCTGTGTTACCATTTCTCAAACAAATATATCATGATTCTGTTTTGAAAGTCTCATAGCAATATGCTCTTATTATTTAGAGATATGAATGTAAACATCTGAAAAAAGTACTAAAAGAATTGAATGCGATTGCATCTGGAGAGTGGGATGAAGTAGGAGTAAAAGGAAGGACAATTGTTGCCTGGAAAAATTCTGGCCACTTGGCAGCTCACACCTGTAATCCTAGCACTTTGGGAGGTTGAGGTGGGCAGATCACTTGAGGTCAGGAGTTCGAAATCAGCCTGGCCAACATGGTGAAACATGGTCTCTACTAGAAATACAAAAAAATTTAGCCGTGAATGGTGGCAGGGGCCTGTAATCCCAGCTACTTGGGAGGCTGAGGCAGGAGAATCACTTGAACCTGGGGGGCGGATGTTGCAGTCAGCCAAGATCACACCACTGTACTCCAGCCTGGGAGACAGAGTGAGACTGCCTCAAAAACAGAAAAGAGAAAAATATCTTTTAAACTTTCTGATTTTTAAAAATAGCTTACCTAATACCTTGATACCTTTATATGAGAGAGAAGAAAAATGGATGTTAGAAATGAAGTATTACCAAATTTAAAGCTTTTTTCTTTCTTTCTTTTTTTTTTTTTTTGATATGGGGTCTCACTCTGTTACCCAGGCTGGAGTGCAGTGGCAGGATCTCAGCTCGCTGCAACCTCCACCTCCCGGGCTCAAGTGATCATCCCACCTCAGCCTCCTGAGTAGCTGGGACAACAGATATGCACCATCACGCCCGGCCAAGTTTTTATATTTTTGGTAGAGATGGGGGGTTTCACCATGTAACCCAAGCTGATCTCGAACTCCTGAGCTCAAGCAGTCTCCCCACCTCAACTTCCCAAAATGCTAGGATTACAGGCATGAGCCACCATACCTGGCCCCAAATTTAAAGTATTTTTAAATCAGATGGCAGTAGACATTTCAGTTTTATACAGATTTGCCAAGTTTTGGGAATTATTGTATTGTAAAAAGTTCCAATAAAAAATAATTAATATACAAATATTTTAATTGTGTGTTTGTTTGGCCTAAACATTCTTCTTTCTTTCTAATATATTTATAATTATTTTTCCTTGCTAGATTCCAAAAAACAATTCTGGTCTAAAAAGAAAGAAAATTTTCCAGCCTCTTGAAACTTGTCAAATTACTTTTTGAGATATTTATAACAATAGTCACACTTATCAAGTAACAACTGATAGGTACCCTCAAAGTAGGAACATTCTATGATTTTGGGGACCTGCAAATAGCCCATTGTGGATTATCCACATAATGGAAAACAGCAGGAAAAATAATTAGAAAGTTGTATTTGGACCAGTTAAGAAAGGTTTGACTGAGACATATTATATTAATATATTATTTTGGCAATGGGGAGTCATTGTTTTTCTTTGTAAATGAGGAACAAAAAAGGGCATAATTTAACATGAGAGTTTCCTCATGGGTTTCCTTTGTTTTTTCTTTTCAGAACAGAAAAAGAAAGGAGAAGAAGAAACTCATGTCAAATTATGTTGATATAAATGAATTGGAAAGTAAGATTAATAAAGTTATTGGGTTATTGGCTTATCTATTGGTATTAAGAGGTTAAAGCAAAAAGTGAGTGCTTGAAGGTGTTGGTATTGAGGTCAAAACAGTAAGTGAATGCTTGAAGGAATATCTACAAATGGAAAGTTAAAAAAGGAATAAAAATATTTCGCCTTTTTAGCAGGGAGGGTGTAACTAAAAGGTAGAAAGAGTGATATGCAGAGATCTAAGTCAGAAAAAGATCAGTTAAGTTTAGGAACAGAAAAATACATAATATGAGGGCTACTCTGAATGTACACAGTATTATTGTCTTTGGGTAGAATATTGACAAACTAATTTCTAAGATGTCATTGATTGCATCATTAAATTATCTTAATATGGAGTTCAGGCAAGGTAGAGAAACTGATAACCCAAGAAAATAGAGCAAGATTATAAAGATAAGCCATAGTGAGGCAAAATTTGGTTTAGTGAAAAAAAATTATGTGGAAGGGGTAGAAAGAATACGTGGTCAGAGAGGAAATTGTTTCTTGACCATTCGTAAGCAGTTATCTAGACTTTCTAGGACATTTCAACAGTACTGAGAACAGGCTGGGAGTGAAGAGGCCCCGTGCTGAGCAGGCTGTGTGCAGTCTCAGAGCCAGAAAAGCTCTGCTCTCTCTCAAATGGGCCAGGCACATGCAGTCCCAGCCATTCTCCTCAGGCAGCTGGCTGAGAGGTATAGTATCCTTCCTTCACAATGCCCAAAAACCTCAAGAAATAATAAAATTAATAGTCAGGTACATAAAAGTAGATATAAAATAAAATTTTTGAGTACCTCTGCAATATCCCTGGTCCCTTTATTTGGTCCTTTTGTGTCATAATCACATTCCTTTGTGATCTGCTTTGGCAATGAAAAAGTAAGTGTAGAATGCTTTGGAAATTTTAAAAATAGATTTTTTTATCCTCTTTCTTCACACACTTTTGAAATCTATTTCTCTTAAAAACCCTAAGCATCTGGGTAGGAAATGGACAGTTTACTTCAGTTGAATTTACATGTAATAAAAGGTAGCAGTTATAAGTGCACAGCTTGATGAGTTTTGACAAATGTAAATACCCACATAACTGAGAGGTGACAACGTGCTGGCAGTCCTCACAGCCCTCGCTCGCTCTCCGTGCCTCCTCTGCCTGGGCTCCCACTTTGGCGGCACTTGAGGAGCCCTTTAGCCCACTGCTGCACTGTGGGAGCCCCTTTCTGGGCTGGCCTAGGCCGGAGCCGGCTCCCTCAGCTTGCAGGGAGGTGTGGAGGGAGAGGCGCGAGCGGGAACCGGGGCTGCGCGCGGCGCTTGCGGACCAGCTGGAGTTCCGGGTGGGCGTGGCTTGGCGGGCCCCACACTCGGAGCAGCCGGCCGGCCCTGCCGGCCCCGGGCAATGAGGGGCTTAGCACCCGGGCCAGCGGCTGCGGAGGATGTACTGGGTCCCCCAGCAGTTCCAGCCCACCGGCGCTTTGCTCGATTTCTCACCGGGCCTTAGCTGCCTTCCCTCGGGGCAGGGCTCCGGACCTGCAGCCCACCATGCCTGAGCCTCCCACCCACTCCATGGGCTCCTGTGCGGCCTGAGCCTCCCTGACGAGCGCCACCCCCTGCACCGGGGCGCCCAGTCCCATCGACCACCCAAGGGCTGAGGAGTGCGGGCGCAAGGCACCGGGACTTGCAGGCGGCTCCACCTGCAGCCCCGGTGCGGGATCCACTGGGTGAAGCCAGCTGGGCTCCTGAGTCTGGTGGGGATGTGGAGAACCTTTGTGTCTAGCTCAGGGATTGTAAACGCACCAATCAGCGCCCTGTCAAAACAGACCACTCGGCTCTACCAATCAGCAGGATGTGGATGGGGCCAGATATAAAAGCAGGCTGCCCGAGCTAGCAGTGGCAACCGGCTCGGGTCTCCTTACGCACTGTGGAAGCTTTGTTCCTTCGCTCTTTGCAATAAATCTTGCTACTGCTCACACTTTGGGTCCACACTGCCTTTATGAGCTGTAACACTCACCGGGAAGGCCTGCAGCTTCACTCCTGAGCCAGCGAGACCACGAGCCCACCAGGAGGAACGAACAACTCCAGAGGCGCCGCCTTAAGAGCTGTAACCCGGCAAAGGTCTGCAGCTTCACTCCTGAGCCAGGGAGACCACGAACCCACCAGAAGGAAGAAACTCCAAACACATCCGAACATCAGAAGGAACAAACTCCAGACGCGCCACCTTAAGAGCTGTAACACTCACTGGGAGGGTCCGCGGCTTCATTCTTGAAGTCAGTGAGACCAAGAACCCACCAATTCCGGACACATAACCACTATGCTAGACCAGATACAGGAAATCTTCATAACCTCAGGAAGTTCTCCTGTGCCTCTTTGCAGTCACTTCCTCTCCGTGTCTTCCTCCCACCCCCGCCATCTGAGGCAACCACAACTGGAATTTCTATCATATTGTGTTAAATTACTACTTCTAGAAATTCATGTAAATGAAATCAACCAGAATGTGATGTTTTCAGGTAAGGCTTCTTTTATTCTGCATAATATTTTTGTTTCTGTTTTTAAGATTCATTCATGTTGTTTGTGTATCATTAGTTCATTTTATTTTATTTCTGAATACAGATTGAGTATTCCTTATCCTAAATGCTTGGGACTCAAAATGTTTTTTTTTTAATATTTGCATATACATAATGAGAAATCTTGGGGATGGGACCCAAGTCTAAACACAAAATTTGTTTTTGTTTCATACACATCTTATACGCATAGTTTGAATGTAATTTTATGCAATATTTTAAAATAATGTTTTGCATTAAAGTTTTGACTGTGACTCATCACGAGGTCAGATGTGGAGTTTTCCACTTGTGGCATCATGTCAGCGCTCAAACAGTTTTGAATTTTAGAATAGATTTTCAGATTAGAGATGTTCAACCTGTAGTGGGTTTTATTATGAATTTATCACAATCAATTTTTACGCTCATTTGTTGTTAGACATTTATGTTGTTTGCAGTTTGGGCCTATTATAAAGATTTTATGAACATTCTTGGACAAAGCTTTGATACACATATGCTTTTATTTTTCTTGACCAAATAGGAGTGGAATTCCTGAATTATAAGGGAGGTAGTTGCTTAAGTTAATGAGACAGCCTAAGATAACATTTTACAATCTATGGTAGAGGGAATCATGGTCCTCTAAAGATATCCTAATCCCCAGAATTTGAAAATGTTACCTTACATGACAAAAGGGATTTTGCAGATGTGATTAAATTAAGAATCTTGAGATGGGGGATTATCCTGGGTTATCCTTGTGGGCCTAATTTAATTACAAGTAATTCCTTATAAGAAGGAGGCAGGAAAGTCAAAATCAGAGAGAGGAGATATGATGATGGGAGAAAAGGCTGGAATAATACACTTTAAAGATGGAAGAAGGAGCCATAAGCCGAAGAATGCAGGCGGCTTTTAGAACCTAGGGAAGTCAGAGAAATTGATTATGTCCTAAGCCTCCAGAAGAAAGATAGCACTGCTGATACCTTGGTTTTAGACTTCAGACCTGTAACCTCGAAAATTGCATGACAGTAAATTTGTATTGTTATAAGCCCCTAAGAAGTATTTTTATTTTACAGCAGCAAGAAAAAAATAATTAATACACATTGGTACTATCAATGTGTGATAGTTACAATTAAATTGCATCTCATAAAAATTTGAAATGCTCAGTCCATTTAATTTTGGTCATTCTAATGGATATATACTCATATCTCACCGTGGTTTTAATTTGCAGTTTGTATTTACCTAACGAGTATTAATTTTGACTGCATTCTTAGTACTTTCCAAAAATCCATAAATTTTCTTTGGTAAAGTGTCCAATTTAATTATCATTTTTATTATGCTGTTTGCCTTTTATTATTGAATTGAAGTTCCCATTTATTCCATACACTAGTTTTTTTATGATATATGTATGCAAATATTTTCTCTAACTTGTAACTCTTATTTTTCTTTTCTTTTTCTTTTTTGAGACGGAGTTTCACTCTTGTTCCCCAGGCTGGAGTGCAATGGCACGATCTGGGCTCACTGCAACCTCTGCCTCCCGGGTTCAAGCGATTCTCCTGCCTCAGCCTCCTGAGTAGTTGGGATTACAGGCATGTGCCACCAAGCTTGGCTAATTTTGTAGTTTTAGTAGAGACGGGGTTTCTCCATGTTGGTCAGGCAGGTCTCCAACTCCCAACCTCAGGTGATCTGCCTTCCTCACCCTCCCAAAGTGCTAGGATTACAGGTGTGAGACACTGCATCTGGCCTTATTTTCTAAATAACATATTTTAATGAGCAGAACATTTTAATATTGTTGTAGTTTAATTAGTCCTTACTTTTTATGGTTAATTCTGTTTGAGTTTTCTTTTCTTTTCTTTTTTTTTTCTTTTTTTTTTTTTTTTTTTGAGATGGAGTCTCACTCTGTCACCCAGGCTGGAGTGCAGTGGCTCAATATCGGCTAACTGCAACCTCCGCCTCCCGGGTTCAAGTGATTCTTCTTCCTTAGCCTCCGAAGTAGCTGGGACTACAGGTGTGCGCCACCACGCCGGGCTAATTTTTGTATTTTTAGTAGAGACAGGGTTTCACCATATTGGCCAGGCTTGTCTCAAACTGCTGACCTCGTGGTCCACCTGCCTTGGCTTCCCAAAATGCTGGGATTACAGTGTGAACCACCCCACCCGGCCTAATGCTGTTTGAGTCCTAAGAAATATTTATCACTTCAGTATAAAAATACGTTCTCTATTTTTTATGTTGACTTTTTTATAGTTTTAGCTTAAATGTTTAGGTGTATGATATAATTAATGAAATGTTGTTCATCATTTGATGTAAAGATTGAGGTTTATTATTATTATTTTTTCATTTTTTATTTGGTTACAAAATTATGTTCTTTAGTGGTGATTTGTGAGATTTTGGTGCACCCATCACCTGAGCAGTATGTGCTGCACCCAATTTGTAGTATTTTATCCCTCACCCCCCTTCCCACACTTTCCCCCAGAGTCCCCAAAGTTTATTGCATCATTCTTATCCCTTTGCATCCTCATAGCTTAGCTCCCACTTATGAGTGAGAATATACGATGTTTGGTTTTCCATTCCTGAGTTTTTTCACTTAGAATAATAGTCTCCAATCCCATCTAGGTCACTGTGAATGCCATTAATTGGTTCCTTTTTATGGCTGAGTAGTATTCCATCATAGATATATACTACAGTTTCTTTATCCACTAGTTGATTGTTGGGTATTTGGGCTGTTTCCACAGTTTTGCAATTGCTTATTGTGCTGCTATAAACATGAGTGTGCAAATATCTTTCTGACATAATGACTTCTTTTCCCCTGGGTAGATACCCAGTAGTGGGATTGCTGGATCAAATAGTGGTTCTACTTTTAGTTCTTTAAGGAATCTCCAAGCTGTTTTCCGTAGTAGTTGTAGTAGTTTACATTCCCTCCAGCAGTGTAGAAGTGTTCCCTGTTCACTGCATCCACATCAACATCTATTATCTTTTGATTTGTTGATTATGGCCATTCTTGCAGGAGTGAGGTGGTGGTAGCGCATGGTGGTTTTGATTTGCATTTCCCTGATCATTAGTGATGTTGAGCATTTTTTCAGATACCTGTTGTCCATTTGCATATCATCTTTTGAGAATTGTCTATTCATGTCCTTAGCCCACTTTTAGATGGGATTGTTTGTTTTTTTTCTTGCTAATTTGTTTGAGTTTTGGGTAGATTTTTGATATTCGTCCTTTATCAGATGTGTAGATTGTGAAGATTTTCTCCCACTCTGAGGTTTGTCTGTTTACTCTGCTGACTGTTCCTTTTGCTGTGCACAAGCTCTTTAGTTTAATTAAGTCCCACCTATGTATCTTTGTTTTTGTTACATCCACTTTTGAGTTCTTTGTTATAAAATATTTGCCTAAACCAATGTCTAGAAGGATTTTTCTGATGTTATCTTCAAAAATTGTTATAGTTTCATGTCTTAGATTTAAATCCTTGATCCATCTTGAGTTGATTTTTGTATAAGGCGAGAAATGAGAATCCAGCTTCATTCTCCTACATGTGGCTAGCCAATTATCCCAGCCCCATTTGTTGAATAGGGTGTCCTTTCCCCACTTTATGTTTTTGTTTGCTTTGTCAAAGATTAGTTGGCTGTAAGTATTTGGCTTTTATTTCTCTGTTCTCTATTCTGTTCCATTGATCTATGAGCCTATTTTTATGCCAGTACCATGCTGTTTTGTTGACTATGGCCTTATAGTATAGTTTGAAATCAGTTAATGTGATGCCTCCAGATTTGTTCTTTTTGCAAGTTGAGAATCAAATAAAGAACTCAACTCCTTTTACAAGCTGCAAAAAATAAAAATAAAATCCTTAGGAATGTAACTAGTCAAGGAAGTGACAGACCTCTACAAGAAAAACTATAAAACACGCTGAAAGAAATCATAGATGACACACAAATGGAAACACATCCCATGGTCATGGATGGGTAGAATCGATATTGTAAAAATGACCATACTGCCAAAAGCAGTCTACAAATTCAATGCAATTCCCACCAAAATACCACCATCATTTTCACAGAACTAGGAAAAATAATCTTATAGTTCATATCAAACCAATAAAGAGCCCACATAGCCAAAGAGGTTTATTATTTTTCACAGAGCTTTCTAGTTGTTCCAGGACTCTGTTGAAAAGACTTTTCTTTCCTCATTAAATTACCTTGCTGCTTTCATTAAAAATAAATTGACTGGCTGTATATGGTTCTATTTCTGGACTCTCAGTTTGGTTCAATTGATCTATTTTTGTTCATTCTTAATTTATAAAATATTGATCTTGTATATTACAAACTTATTTTTAGCAGCACTTTTTGATGAGTATAAAATTTTAATTATGTAGAAATTCAATTTATACAGTTTTTTTCCTGATATTGTTTTCATATTTTTTTTTTCATATTTTTAACCATACCTAAGAAAAGTGTTTCTACTCTAAGGCAGTGAAAATACTCTCTTATTTTTTACAGAGTCCTTAGGCTTTTCTGTATAACATCTCATCATTTGTAAATCAGAGTAGTTTTATCTATGCCTTTCTAAACTTTGTCTTATTTGTTTTTCTTACTGTATTTCATTGGCTAATGCTTCTAGCACATTATTGAAAATAAATGGTGAGAGGAAATATCCTTGCCTTGTTCCCAATATTGGAAAGCCTTCAGTAGTTTGCCGTTAAGTTCAATATTTTAATTGGAATTTCTTTTTAAGTTGCCCTTTAACAGGTTGAGTAAGTTCTCGTCTACTCCTACCTAACATTTTAAAAGAGAATGTGTTGATTCATTGTGAAATCCCTTTTCTGTGTTTATGGAGATTACCACAAGTTTAATCGTCTTTATTCTACTGATTCTTTTCTTCAATATTCTATTAATTACATAATATTACATAATGCGATTTTTGAATGTTGGATCAACTTTATATTCTTGTGGTAACTCGTCCTTGGTATATTATTATTCTTACATATTGCTACATTTAGTTTTCTACTATTTTGTTGAGGACATATTTGTTATATTTATAGGGAATATTGATCTATGATTTTCTTTCTGTGATTTCAAAAATCAAATAAAATTCTTGCAAGGTTTTGATATTAATGTTATGTGACTTTATAAAACTTTTTGGGACTAGTCCTCTCCTCCTGTGTTTTTATAGTTTACATAAGTTGGTTTTTTCTCCTCTTAAACATAATGTACTAATAAAACATCTGAGTTGGCATTAGGATTTTATTTTTTAAAAGTTTTAAGTGTGAATTCAGTATTTCAAAGTAGATATAGAATTAATCAGATTTTCTGTTTTTCTTTTATTTTTTGGTAAATTGTATTGTTCAAAGATATTTTCTATTCTATCTAAATTGTTGGATTTATTGGCATATAGTTTTAAAATGATTTCTTATTTTTCTCTTTAATGTTTGTATGATCTTTAATGTTCTGAAATATACCTCTTTCATTTCTGGCAATTTATGTGTGAGTGTATTTTTCTTTACCAATTTTGCTAGCTGGAATATTCCATAAATGTCAATTAGATCAAGTTAATTGACAGTGCTGTTTAGGTTATCTACATCCTTGATGATGTTCAGCTGGTTGTGTTTATCAGCTATTGACAGAGAGGTGTTGAAGGCTTGAGATAGTCACAATTTCACTTTCCAGTTTCTTGTGTTATTGCTGCCAGGCTCCATCATGATTACTGTTTCCTTCCCCTTACCAGAGCCATGTGGGGGTCCTTCCAGATCCTCACTCTGAGAACTTGGTAGGGTTTTTGGAGGGAAAGCCTGCAAAAATGTGGGCCCTTCGTAAGACTGCAACAAACAGGGGTTTCTCACTTAGACTAATCTGCACTCAGCTTCTAGCAATTTGTCAAAATCACTATTTAAGTTTCTTTCCACTTGAGGCATCAGTAGCTTCTGCTCCAGATAAGCAGATCTTGATTGCCATATTTCTCTGAATATCTTTAGATTTAATGGTGATATTTTCCATGTGACTTCAGGCCTCTGATGAGTCCATGAAAATATTTTGGTTTTCAATTTGTTCAGCTTCTTTGTGTTGTAAGGTCAGGAGTGACAACTTGCATGGCATTTACTTGTCATGAGGACAACCAGGAGATCTCAATTACCTTTTAAGACATATTTTGAAATGAAAAATATTTTATATTTCACATATATTTTTCTTGTCTGGTGCTCTTCTTTCTTTTGTATAAATCCAAATTTTCACCTGGCATAGTTTTCCTTATGTGTTAGAAATGTTTGTTGTTGTTGTTGTTAATCATTTGATGTAGTATAGGTTGGCTTAGCATAAATTATCTTAGCTGCTGTTTGTCTAAGTCTTATTTCTCTTCATTTTTGAAGATTGTTTTTTTCGTTTCTCACTAGAAAGTTTTCTATATGTCTTTTTTGTCAAGGTGTTTTAAAATTTTTCCTTTATTATTATTTATATATTTTTAGAACTTTGATTACAACCTGCTTTTATGTGGTTTCTTTGAATTTGTTCTACTTGCGGTCCACTGAGAGTTTTGACTTAGTGAATGTATTAGTCCATTTTGCATGACTATAAAGGAATACTTGAGGCTATGGTAATTTATAAAGAACAGGATTTATTTGGTTGATGGTTCTGCAGACTGTACAAGAAACATGGTGCTGGCATCTGCTTCTGGTGAGGGCCCTTTTCCAGTTTTACCACCTCCAACACTGGGGATCACATTTGAACATGCAATTTAGAGGGGACAAATGTCCAGACCATATCAGTAGGTTTATACTTTTCATTAAATCTAGAATTTTGTTTGTATTATTTCTTCTAATACGTTTTCATCCTTTTTCCTCTCTTTCTGGGATTCTGATTATACATGTGTTAGACTTTTTGATATCACTACATAAGTATAAAGGCTCTGGTAACTGTTAGTCTTTTTTCTCTATATGTTTCAGTTTTTAAAATTTCTATTAATATGTCTATGTTTATTGATATTTTCTCTGAAAGTTTCTATTATCCCATCAAATTAATGTTACATTCTGTATATTGTATTTTTTGTATTTTATGCTTTTTAAAAAAGTTTCATTTCTCTCCTATTCTTTAGTCCTTAAACATATTTTTAGTAGCTTTTTAAAAAAGGTTTTATCTGTTAATTCTATGTCTGTCGTGTCTGCATCTATTTCTATGAACTGACTTGCTTTTGGTTAGGGTCACATTTTCCTTTTTACATTACTAGGAATGTTTGACTTAACATTGAATACTGTGAATATTACATGGTGGAATGATTGGTTTTGTTATCTTTTAGAAAAATATTAGACCTTCTTCTGACAGGTGATTAAATTATTTGGCAATCGGTTTGATCTTTCCAAGTTTTCTTTTTCATTTAGTTATGGTGGGGCTATAAAAGCTTTTGATGCAGAGCTAGATCAGCACTACTACCAAGTCATGCTTTTCCTGAGGATTTTATTTAGTGTCCTTCATGTTAAACAAAGAATGTCCATTTTGATGGACTGGAACTCAGTTTCTGGTAGCCTAATACGAGCTTTGAAAATCATTTAGCTTACTGCTTCCTAGTCATTTTTTTTCTTGGCCACATGAAGTTTCATCTTACATATGCATGGCATAGAATTTAGCATAAAAAATGGAATCTTGACCAACTTTCTGGACCTCTTTCTCGGTTTAGCACCCTCATCTTCATTACTCTGAATTTCCAACTTTCTTATCCTCCCTCAACTGTGATATCTCACTCCTAAATTAATAATAACTTAATAAAGTAAAATAATGCTTTACTTGTCTTACTGTGCACTGAGCTCTAAAATGTTATCTTTAGGCAGGAAACCAGGATAATTGTAGATAGATCTCTTCTCCTTTTCCTCTTCTTCTTAGGGATCACAATTCTACAATGATTGTTGTTCAATCTGAAAAAAAAAGTTGTCTAAATATTTTGCCTAGTTTTTTCGATGGTTACAGCAGTAAGGGAAGAACACTCCCAGTTATTTCACCATAGTCAGAAGCAGAAGTAATAGAGTTATGTTAAAGTTATTTTCTACTAATTCCAAAATCTGTGTCATTTACCTGCTTCTATTGAATACTGTTCTGTATACGATTAGTTATTACATTTTCCCTTGTATTTTTATTTCTAGCGCTTATTCGTTTATGTTCACTTTTTAAAGTTGAAGAGACTGAATTTTGTTATCTGCCTCTAAGTTGTAAAGATTTTTTTTTTTTTTGGAACAGCCTGTTATTAGTACAGTATCTTGATTTTACTGAGGGTTAGCTTTAACTTTTACTTTACATAGGTCAATCTATTTCTCTTTTGTCTGTTAATCCTAGAGAGATACCCTTAGTTCTGAGATACGGGTTTTAATTATAAGGCATAACCCTTCTGGGAATTCAGTGGAAAGCCTGAGATGGCTACTAGGGCCCTATAATTTGGCCTAAAATGAACATCAAACTCTTTCTTGCCAGCAGCAATTGAAATCTGTGCTAAGATCTTTCTTCCTTAAGAGCTGTTGTTTCTCATGAACTGTATGGAGTCTCATCCTATGTATGAACAATTCAGATGTCAGCCACAAATTTACGTACAAGCTTATGTGACAGTTTATACTCACGCTTTATGTTCTCTTCTTTGTCCAGAATTTCTTTCCTTAAATTCCAGATTCTTACTCAGGACTAAACTTCAACATCTGACTGCCTAGTTCAATAGGACTGCAGCTTTCTTCTTGATCTCTATCTTCTACATGGCTATGACTCTAATTTTCTTTAGACAATCTGAGTATGATCTTCTTATTCAATAGTCATAGTGGCTCTAATTTTACCTTTTTCTTTTTGTTCCTCAGTTCCTTTCAACTGTTGTTTTACATATATTATCCTGAGTTTATGATTGCTTTTATTAATACTAGGAAATTTATAGTAGGAAATAGTAGTATGATATAATTTATATAGTCTACTCTACCATTACTGGAAGGGCTAGAAGAAAAAGAGTTATTTATTTATTTATTTTTTGATTAGTTAAACTTTATCAGATGTGTGCACATACATTATTCCCTATTTGCTTTTTTAAATATTAACATTTCTGACATTGATTACAATGTGGGACCTCTCTCAAATGACCATTTAGGCATTTTGGCTGTAAGTGTTCTTTAGGAAATAACAGTTAGTAGTGATTCAGTACCATTTCTCAAGATGTGTTTGGGGAAGTCAGTTTATTGGAGTGTGATGAGTTAGTCACAAGTAAAAATAAGGATGTCTACGAGTGGACCATACCATTAATGAATGCACTATCTTTATTCAGTTCTTGAGCTCTGAGAATACTCCTCAGGCTTTGTTGAACATATATATGTTTTCTTGCTTCCTCCCCTTTATTCACTCAACACTGATTGTGTGCCTACTATGTACCCATGTATTGTTCCAGATGCTGTGGATCAACTGAGCAAACCCAGAATATACCCTGGAGTATATAGTACAATGGCAGAGAAAGACAAAAATGTATATGCATACACACACATACACACACAAACACACACACACATAGGTTTAATTTCTGAATATATATATATATATATATATATATTCAGATATTCACCATGAAATAGTAGATCAGTGTGAAGGTCTAGAGTTGCAGGGGCTATTTTAATTGTAGTAGTAAATAGGGCCTCTCTGGCAAGAGAATATTTAAACAGAGATCTGACTATAGTGTGTGTAGGGGGAAGAGCCATGTAAATAACTGTAGAAGAGCATTCTAGGTTCTAGAAATAATGAGAACAAAGGCCTTGAGGATACACTGTAATCAACATGCTCAAAAACAAAACAAAACAAAAACCATAAAGGCCAGTGGGATTGAAGCAGAATAAATGGAGAGGATAGTGGTAGAGACCTTAGAAATAGGAAAGGCTAGATGATGTTGACCATGATAAGAGATTTAGATCATAATAAGAGTAAAAGAAGCCAAAGAGCTTTAAAAGCATGAGAGTGGTGGGATCTTACTTGTATTTTTAGCAAATTATTCTGACTGCTGTTGGAGAATAGATTGAATATGAGCAACATGGAATAAGGAGATTATTTCTGTAGGACACTATTACAGTAGACTATCCAAGAGATGATGGTAGCTTTACCCAAAATGAAAGTCCTGAAAGTAAGTTGTTTTCTTTCCCAAACCCTTAGCCTGCTTCAAAGGGATGCTTGCTTTATTTTTTTAATGATATAATAGAGTCAAGTCAATGTGTGCCCCCTCTTAAAAGCACCAGGAGTGAAAAATAGCAATATGCATCTCATAGAAAATAAAATTGCTTTACCGTTAATAGACCTTTCGAATAGGACTCTAGTTTAAATAAAATTGGGATAAGGAAATGCAAACCTATTAGTAAAGATACAAGGCATTCATTTTAAAGCTAATCACATATAATGAAACACATATGAAGGCTGTTCCCAGTAGCCTTAGTGAGACAAAAAACATCATCTCCTTGTGCTGTAAAAATAGCTATAAGATTTCCATGTGAACAAATTTTCAACTATAGGATGGTGCAAAAGTAATTGTGTTTTTGCCATTTCTTTCCTTAAATTCCAGTTGCCATTACTTTTAATTTCTTTTCTTAAATTCCAATTTTTTTTTGCCATTACTTTTAATGGCAGAAACCTCAATAGAAAATACTAGAAAATATTTGAAACCTGTAACAATAGTATAAAAAAAACTATACGTTTGTGCAAAAGTAATTGCAGTTTTTGTCGTCCATTAATTTTTAATGGCAAAAACTGCAATTACTTTTTCACCAACCTAATACTTTTTGTTGATGCTTTACTCTGAGGGGCTTGAATCTTGGGTTTTAGCTTAGTATTTAGTTTGGTATCTAAATAGGCAGAGAATGCTATAATTGGAGACCTGTCTGACATCTTCCTATCCGGGGATAAATGATTTTGTAAGTGAAGGAGGCAAAGGAGCAGTGATATCAAGTAGAATCAGCAAACATTTATGGAATACCCTCCAGGTTTAAGCACAAGAACAGTGTCACAGGAAAATACAAATATTAGCTCTAATAGAAATAGGTCTTAATTTTTATCCTTTAAAGAAAACAGAGGTGCTCCTTTGTCAAAAATCTAGGTGGTCATTTAGCTCCATGTGAAAAATAAATGTTAGTATTTTCTACTTAGATTTGTTCTCCTAATTTCCATCCCGTAGACCGAAGGCATGTGCTGTTTGGAATATAATCTAATTATTGGTTTACGTAGTCTATCAGTATGTTTATCTGTAAACTTTATTTCAAAGAGATCACATCGCAGAGTGGTGAAACCCTCAGCTATTGTTAATGGTAATGTTTGCTATGGGGAGAAGAAGCTGTTGAAACTCACTTTTATGATTCCTCGCCAGCCTTCAGCTTCTCCTGTCACTTCCATGCTGAGAAAAGAGAAAACATTAGCTGATCTCTAGAGAGAATCTCAGATAAGACTGTTGGGGTGAGGGTAGACTGAGCACAATTTTCTGTCTTATCTTTCATCTCAGATACCTCACCCAATTTCTCATCAAAGGGTCTCTTTGAACATTTCTTCACACAAAAAGAAAACAGCAGTTGCTTTCTTTGTGGGTGCTAGATTTTCATAACATAGGCAGGGTATGATTACTTCTCATGTGTTTTTATTTTCTAGCCTTATGAAAAAAGTTTGCAAGTTTTACATTTTCATAAATAGGCCTGGGATTTTTGCAAAATATGCAGCTTATTTTATGTAGTTTTTCAGTTCTATTAGATGTTACTCAGTTACATTTTTTTTACTTTAGATCTCGTGAAAGAGAAAGGTGAGATGTTAAGAGAATACACTCAGAGACTTATTAAGGCAGTAAAATAATGAAAGCTTGCCACAAGAAATGCTGGGGTAAATGTATAACACACACACACACACAAAGACCAATAGGAGAATAGAAAAATGAACGAAATTAAGTATAGATATATGTATTGTTATCTTCTTGGGTTTGTTTGGATTTTGTTTTCACATTTGGCTAGATATTCTTTCTCCAGCTCCTTAATTATTACATGATGTATTAATGAGTAACTATTATTTATTTCTGGAAAATAAGCAAGAAAATTAGCCTTTTGTTGTATAGTAAAGTGGATATAATGGTTGGAAGTAGGTAAAGGAAAATACCTCTCTACTTTCCTCTTGTTTAGATAATATTTAATTCTTTTGAAAGTCTATTAAGTAGATAATTACTAGTATTTAGCTTCTTCCTGTCTTACAGACCTAAAATGTGATCTATAGATGAGTAACAAAAACATTACTTGGGAGCATATTGGAAATACAGAATCTCTGGATCCACCCTAGAACAACTGATTCAGAGGTTCTGAGATGGGTCCAGGAATCTGTTTTATCAAATTCTCTACATAGTTCTATGTATGATAAATTTTGAGAAACTCTGTTGTAGTTGTGTAGAAGTGCCCAAGATTTTGCATTTCTGAGAAGTTTCCAGGTGATCTATAAATGATAAAAGAAATAATCTTCCTCTAGTATATAACCAAGATTATGTATAATAATCTGTGCTTATTCTAAAATGCTGCTGGTCCATAATTCTGAGATTTTTTTTCTTTTCTTTTTCCCTTTTTCCCATATGAAAATAAATGCAAGTTAAAAGCTGTTGGAACTCCCCAAATACTTTATGTCTTAAGGGAGATGTGTCTATGATCTGAGTCATATATGGTTACAATTTCTGTTTCTCATATTATAGATTAACTAGCTTTCTTATTTTTCTTGCTCTGTACAATGACTAGAGAGAATTAAATGACATCAGGGACAAAAACCTCCTGCCTTTTTAATTAATGATTCTTGTTATAGATTAACTTCCCCTTTGTTGTCCTGCTTTGCTTAGACCAGATGACAGAAAACCCATGGCTATTAGACCCCCTGTAAAAGGTGTTAAATGTACCCTTTCCAAAAGGAAACGCTGCCTATAACGAATCAAATTGCTGTAACTACTTGTCAGTCTTGTATAAAAAATGTCTGGATAAAGAAAATGTGGCACGTATACACCATGGAATACTATGCAGCCATAAAAAGTGATGAGTTTATGTCCTTTGCAGGGACATAAATGAAGCTGGAAACCATCATTCTCAGCAAACTAACACAGGAACAGAAAACCAAACACCACAAGTTCTTACTCATAAGTGGGAGTTGAACAATGAGAACACATGGACACAGGGAGGGGAATATCACACACTGGAGCCTGTCGGTGGGTGGGGGACTAGGGGAGGGATAGCATTAGAAGAAATACCCAACGTAGATGACGGGTTGATGGGTACAGCAAGCCACCATGGCACGTGTATAGCTATGTAACAAACCTGCCCGTTCTGCACATGTGTCCCAGAACTTAAAATATTTTTTAAAAATGTTGTCATCCTGCTAAAAACTCTTGTCTCTGCCTCTATAAATGAAGCCTTAACTTTCCTACTTTAGATCACTGGCTCCATTCCTTTGAGTTGCTCTTCAGGGTGGTTCATCCTCACAGTTTTCACTTGAATAAACTCCCTTTAAATTGGATTCTAACCCTTTTGATTACTTTAGGTTGACACTCTCAGTGTTTACCTAATACCACTCTCTCTTTCCCGTACATGTGCACTGGTTTACTGAATGACTGGTATCCAACAAGCTACAAATATAATTTTTGTAAAATTTTTCCAATGACTACTGCCTTCAAACCAGCAGCAGGAAAAAAAATCTCTTTTTCCTGGATCCATAATGATATTCAAGATAGATTCTGCACCTTTACTTGTCTATAGCCTAAGTCCCATCAGTAGGAGAAGCAATTTGGTTATACTTCCCAACCTCTAGTTCTAGCTCCTCTGGGATGGGAGAGAAAGATGGAAAAAAAGGTCTCCTATACTGGGCTACATTTTGGTAATGTGGAGAAATCCCTAGTTTCTTATGTCTCTGTTAAGTATATTTTCTGATAGTAGAGTCATTGAACTGCCGAAGTTCTTTTTTCTTCAAGGGCACCACAAGTCTTGGGTGCTGTGGAGAATTGCTGATTATTTTTTTCTCCCAGACATATAATACCTTGGTCCCTTATTGTTCAATTGATGTAGCCTTTTCCAATAGGCTTCTTCAGTACACTCTATGAAGGAAGCAGACGTAAGAGTCTATGTACGAGTGAAACTTACCCTAGGATACCCACTTCAGGTTCACACAACAATTCTCTCACTATGTACCATTTTGACATTAGAACCTTGGAGAATCTGGAGCTTTCTGCAGGTGAGCCAATATTAAGCCATAAAGTAACAGATCTGGTCTTGTTCGTCTTACTGATTATCTGATGACATCGTCTGAGGTTGAGGATGTACAAAGTCAACAAGTTCTTCTTGATTCTTCTCCCTACCCACCAGTACGTAGACAGCTTATTAACAAGCATTGAGGAAATTATCAGCAGGTACTATCAAGCTTTCTGTAGAGAATCTGGTTACTCAATGCCTCTTTGACCTTGTATATAATATATGTTAATTGTCAGGCAACCAGAAATATCCAATTACACACATGTTGTCCTCTTCTTTGCTACCAACATACCCTCAGCCCATCACTTACTCTATGGGTAGCCCCTGCTGCTATTTAAATTTTACTGGTTAAGGAGAGAATTGCAATGGAAGCAGCCACATTTAAAAACCTTAGCCTGAAGTATTTGTAACTCAGATGACTATAAAGTGGTCTGTGGCAGAAAAGAGTTCTGAGGGCAGAAAACAAAAATCATCACTATCTTCCTCTTTGAGAAACTAATTTTAGAATAAGCACAGATTATTGTACACAATCTTGGTTATATCCTAGAGGAAGATTATTTCTTTTATCATTTATAGATAGCATTTGAGATCACAAAAGTATATTAGACATTGTTATGCCCAATCCCTTTATTTGAAAAAAGAATCGAATATAGTCATGCATTAATTTAATTGACATTTATTAGGTGGCTTCTATTGGCGAAAGACTGAATTTTAATAGGCTTTCTTGAGAAACCTTAGTGGTTAATGAAGGAGTTTACCACCTGGGCTCTGCCTGCTTCATGGGGTCAAGTTTAAAAAATGTTTCCAAGTGACACTCTGTCTTTGTCAATTTTCTGTTACTTATGACAGAATACCTGAAACTAAGCAATGGATAAAGAAGAAAAACGTATTTCATGTAATTCTGGAGGCTTGGGAAATCAAGGTCAAGAGGGAACATCTGGTGAGAGCCTTCTTGCTGGTGAGGACTCTTAGCATCTTAAGGTGGCACAGGGCACCACAGGATGAGGGGGCTGTGCGAGCTTTCTCAAATCTCTCTTCCTCTTATAAAGCCACCAGTTCCAATCCCGGGATAACCCACTGATTCATTAATCTATTAATCTATGAATGAATTAATCCATTCAGGAGAGCAAAGTCATCATGCCCCAGTCACCTCTTAAGGGCTCCACCTCTCAATACTTACACATTAGAAATTCAACTTTAACACGATTTTTGGAGGGGACAAAATTAATTAAACAGCACATTTTAAGTATTAAAAATGATTCAAGTAAATACTGAATTAGTCTTCTAGAAAAAGCCCTTTCATTTAGAGATAATGATGAGCTTAAATTGGAGCTGATTTTGGTATTTTAAAATTTACCAAATTATTTCTAAATGTGCCATTTATCACATCTTAGTAAGTCACAGTGAGGTGTCACTGCTTGCTTAATGGTATTTCCGGTATAATTCAGGAACACTGCAGCCATTATGCATAGCAGCCCACATTACTCTTGACAGGTAGCTATGCCTTCCGGGAACCAGGGCCTCTGCTGCTCCTGGAAGTAGCCACAGGGGTGCTCACTGTGATGTAAACACCTGCCCACCATGCTGGTAATGAGAGCCTATCACACCTGGTATCCCGTTAACAGCTGTAGGATGACCTGTCAACCATGGGCCAAATTCTGACTGATTACCACAAGGTGAAAAGTCTCAAATCCAATCAGCCATCCCATGAGCTATTCAGCCACCTGTACATGGTTAACATCTGTTATTTGACGTTTGTGATTTTTTTTTGTTTTCAAGCAATGCATTTTTTAATCAACCAATATGAATTATGAAAGGTGATGATCAATCCAGAGAAATATTATAAAAATATCTCTAACAGTGAAATTCCCATTGTAGATATTGTTGCCTTTAAAGTGCACATTTGGCTAAAATCTTAACTCTTCAGTAATAAAGGTTTTGGTAAGAGTGACATGAGGAATGTTGAAGGGTACTTGAGGACATGAAGGAAATGATAACTCTTATGAAGAAATTCTAACCATTGTATCTACCTTAGGAAATGTAATGAAAGCAATAATTATAAATGAAAATATTTTTAAAGGTAAATGTATGCTAATTAGGGGATGACATAGTTTGGATGTGGTCCCCTTTAAATTTCACATTGAATTATAATCCCCGGTGTTGGAGATGGGGCCTGACGGAAGGTGATTGGAGTATGGGGGTGGATTTCTCATGCACAGTTTAGAGCCATCCTCTTTGTACTATCTTTGCCATAGTGAGTGAATGAGTTCTCGTGAAATCTGAAATCTGGTTGTTTAAAACTTTATGGTACCTCCTTCCTCTCTCTGTCTTGCTCCTGCTTTTGCCATGTGACATATCTGCTCCTGCTTCACCTTCTACCATGAGTAAAAGCTCCCTGCGGCCTCCCCAGAAGCTGAACAGATGCTGGCACCATGCTTGTACAGCCTATAGAACTGTGAGCCAAACACCTCTTTTCTTTATGAATTACCTAGTTTCAGGTTTTTCTTTATAGCAATGCAGGAATGGGTAACATAGGGGATATTATTGTTTTGAAGTACCATATAATTTTATAAGATGAGTAGTTTGATGAAATTGCTGTAAGAAGGTGGATGACTTTAATTTGGCCTTTAAATAGGTCAAACTTTCTGAGTCAATGGGAGAAGAGAGAAGAGAGAAGAGACCAGCAGCAAATCAGCATAGTAACAAAGCTACAGCAGCAAGAATTAATTAATGTGCATGAGGAAATGGGTCTGAATAAAACAAATGGGTTGTGGAAGAGAGCAGTGGAAAGGCAACTTTTGTAGGGTAGAGGGAGTCAGAGACTTCAGAATTAATACAAGTAAAAGATAAAAGTCATTGTGAGTTTTTCAAGGAGGCCCTTGGGTGGGCCCAAAACAAGGTTCAGGAGTCTGACTAATGTTTGATCAAGAAAGCATCAAAGGAGATGGTAAGTGTTGTCAAATGTAATGTTTAAAGAAAGATGAATAAGTTTGTAAGGGTAAAACAGACTCTGTTGCACATTTTGGAATTCTGTAATTGGGAAGGTAATAATCAATATATGTAATGTATGTCAATGTTTCTCATGTTATTAGCACTCATCTAAGTAGTTGTTTTAATGCCTCTTCACAAAAATACTCCTAGGAACAGAAAGACGTTGGAGTACGGTTTATTTCAAATTAGTGTGGTGGTATAGTTTGAAGCAGCAGGTCAAAAACATGAAATGCATTCAATGACTTATATTTTACTGTAAAAATACATCAGATTTTTTTCTGCAATCTACTAGATATCCTGGCTAACCTTTCAAAATCTGAAAGTCTAAAGCAAGCAAAAATTAATGAAAACATCCCTTTTAAATAAACTTTATACAATAAAATGTAAATATCTTTCTTTACAACTCCACATTTCCAGATACCTCACAGTCTGAAGACTACTGTCAACTTTTGAGACATATTGCTGTTTTTAGCTCTATGTTTGTGCCCCCTCCCCCACCCACCTCCATCAGGCCACCAAGTTATCTCAATTCATCTCCCAGGCATTGCCAAGAGAGAACATTCTACCTCTTCAGGACTCAGGTCAAAACGATGATACCTGTGGTTAGAATAAACGAAGTAATAGGAATCTGTTCTCAGATATTAATTTACATAGAACAGTGATGAAGGAGATGAGTATGTAATAATCCAAATGTTCTTGAGCACAAATATTAGGGTTTATATAAAACTAAAACCTCCTTTTTTTGTTGTTGTTATTGTTATCAGCCTTCTTGTCATTGTTGCGTCTTCTAATTTTATTCTGATTTCTAACCAGTATCTACATTTTGGGTGGTTTCACATTGTTGCCCACTTCCATTTCCAAACTAAGATTTTATATCCTGTTTATATTATAACCACTGTAACTTGGTGTCTAAGCTCCCCTTGCTTGGCACCTGTTCACTCCTCCCCCTATAATGCTAATCTATCATTTTTTTTTCCACTAAGGTTGTGCAAACCATTCCATATGTTCTTGAGCCAAAATATATAAAGGATCAGCAGTTATTGTTTTCAGCTGGTGTTAAATTGGCCTATGTGTATTTTCAGAATTCTTGTACTCATAGTGCCATTTTTGATATAAGCTGCTATTTCTCTGTCAAGTAAGTCTACTTATTTCTGCAATGCTATTTGAACTCAACATTCATTCCTCCTTTATTGTGGATTATCGGCTGAAAGTGTGTGCACATTTTAGAGGACACTGCTAGGTTAACTTCCAAATACTTTACATCAGTTTGTAGTTCCTGTAATCATGTAGGAGAATGACTATTTCCTATCTGTCATTACACTAGATAACATTTTTAAAAATTATTTTAACCCTTAGTGGTATAAAATTGTTTCTCAAAATGTTTAATTTACATTTACTGAACTGTTGGAGAGTTTCATGTTTTTATTGGCCGTTTGAAATTCTTTTTTTGTAAAATATCCCTTCATAGCCTTTACTATATTTTCTAAGTGATGATTGCCATTTCCTCATTGATATATAAGGGTACTATGTAACTATAGATAGAGAAGTTTTCTAGTATATGTATTTCAAATATTGTGTCCCTGACTACAGTTTGTAAATTTTGTATACAGAAAATTTTGTCATATAGGTTATTAGAAATATATCTAGTCATAGTAAATGTCTCCTTGATTTGGGGTTTTGCTCAGGCATGTCTTCCTCACTGTGAGAATATTTTGAAGTCTTTGAAGTCATTCATTTTCTTCTGATTAATATCTTTTTTTTTTTTTTTTTTTTTAGACAGAGTCTGTCACCAGGCTGGAGTGCAGTGGTGTGATCTCGGTTCACTGTAACCTCTGCCTCCCAGGTTTCAAGCAATTCTCCTGCCTCAGCCTCCCAAGTAGCTAGGACTACAGGCATGCACCACCATGCCCAGCTAATTTTTGTATTTTTAATAGAAACAAGGTTTCACCATGTTGGCCAGGGTGGTCTCAATCTCCTGACTTCGTGATCCACCCACCTTGGCCTCCCAAAGTGCTGAGATTATAGGCGTGAGCCACTGTACTCAGCCATATCTTTTTAATTCGCGTATTAAATTCCATTTGGAATTCATATTCATGTTTGAAATTAGGAAGAGGTTTAACTATATACACACACAAAACACACATTGACATATATTTACAAATAAACAATTGTATAAATTCCTTTATTGAAAAACTCGTATTTTCCAAGTTGGTTGAGTCACCATTATCATATATTAAATGATCATACATGTATGGTTCTGCTTATATTTATTTCTCTACACTAGGTAGAATATTTAATAATGTTGGAACAGATACCACTGTCTTGTTCTGGCCTTATTAAAAATGTCTTTATACTCGAGAAGCAATATGATGTTTGATATTGATCTTAGATAATTATGTTTCATAATATTCAGAAATTCATTTAGTCCAATTGTATCTTGGTAATTTTATAAAAAATGTGTGCTGTATATTATCAATATTTTTGTGTCTACTATATATTCATAATTTCTCCCCATTATTTGCTAACTTGATGATAAATGTTTGTTTTCTCATACTTATCCATCCTTGAATTGCTAAAATTGAATATGTTTGGTCACATTTTTGCATTTCTAATGGGGCATGGATACATCTGTTACAAATTTAGATGCTATATTTAACTATGAAAAAATGTTTTTTAATAAAGGACCCATAAAACAAACATGCTTCTCAAATGATTAGTGAAATATGTATGCATTTACAATATAAATAAAATAGTTGCAAAATTATCAGAATATTTTGTTTGTTTGTTTTGAGACAGAGTTTTGCTCTTGTTGCCCAGGCTGCAGTGCAATGGCTCTATTTCGGCTCACTGCAACCTCTGTCTCCCAGGTTCAAGCCTCCCAAGTAGCGGGGATTACAGGCACACACCACCATGCCTGGCTAATTTTTTGTATTTTTAGTAGAAACGGGGTTTCATCATGTTGTCCAGGCTAGTCTGGAACTCCTGACCTGAGACGATCTGCCTGCCTCGACCTCCCAAAGTTCTGGGATTACAGGTGTGAGCCACTGCACCCGGCCAATTCTCAAATTCTCAGAACTTTTTTTTTTTTTTTTTGAGACAGAGTCTCACTTTGTTGCCCAGGCTGGAGTGCAGTGGTGCGATCTTGGCTCACTGCAACCTTCGCCTCCCAAGTTCAAGCAATTCTCTCCCATCAGCCTCCTGAGTAGCTGGGATTACAGGAAGCACGTGCCACCACACCTGGCTGATTTTTGTATTTTTAGTAGAGAGGGGGTTTCGACATGTTGGCCAGGCTGATCTCGAACTCCTGACCTCAGGTAATCCACCCACCTCGGCCTCCCAAGGTGCTGGGATTACAGGCATGAGCCACCATGCCCTGCCAATTCTCAGAATTTTATACGCATGTGTGCACACACACGTGTGCACACACAGAGACTCACACAGATTCTCTTTAACCATGAAAGTCTAAAGAGCAGTTATGAAAAGAAATAGGTTATGGAATAAATTTTAGCAGAGCATGACTCTTTATAAATAATGCAGTGTGAAATTTTAGAGAAAAATTTAGCTTAAAAAATCCTAGGAATTTAGCTTTGTGCTGTCAACGTAAATAATAGAAGGAGGCTGTCTAAAAGAAAATAATGGGTATCAGGGAATAGATCACTGCAATGGAATACATATGTCATAGTAAACTGAATATTCAGGGAGGAAAATAGAAACAAAGGTCTTTAAGGAAAAAGAGGAGGAGGATTACCTAATTATCCTTGGGTACAAAGATCAATAAGGAGGGTCACAGTAGTCAAAGGTTGGACAGGCAGTGGCTGAGATGTCCTTGCAAAAGAGAAAGTATTTTTGTGTAAGATTGGTATGGTCTGTGTGCAAGGTTGTGGGTTTTGCAGTCTTTTATGATAATTCTTTTGTGATCTTTTTTTTAAATCCGTCGTTTATGTATGAGAATTCTCTTCACGATCTTTTTTGGCTCTATTCGACAGGAACTCCCCAACCCCCACCCCCTAACACACACACACATACAAGTAACTTCACTTTGATTCTGATAACTTTCACATTTCCTCCTTTTGATCAAGATCTTTCTTCAAAAGCATCACTAATCAATCATCCCATAGTTATGTTTGGATGTTCCTTGGTGTCAGGATGGACCTGTCCTGAGTTGCTGGTCTTATCCCACATTGGAAGGACTGAATGGTGGGTAGGAGTCAGTGTTAAAATGCTTTTAGCCACATTTGAGCAACATGGGAGGATTGAAAGGAGTGACTCGGAGACTAATTCTACCGGGAGTCTGTTATTAAGTTCAATTATATCTGTTCCATAGTTTCATAAAGTGCTGGGCCAGCATTATTCTCTTAGGAGTTGGTGTCTGCAAAAACTTTAAAAGTTACAGATACAGAGTTTTAAAAGGAAAAATGAAAAGAAAAATTAATAGTAATATGACAGTCCTAGTTTTATAATAGTTTTGAGATATGAACTGAGGCTGAAAGGCAGCCAAATGAATAAATTAAAGGGCCTTCAGCTTGCCAAGTGGAAAAGTGGGCACTAAGATGGTTAAGAGTCTCATTATAACATGTGCTGGGAAACATCTTGGGAAAAGCTGTCTAATGGGTGAAAACTTCAACTTATTTTCCAGGTTTGTAGTTTGATGTCTCTGGTTATGGCATTGGGTGGGTTTGTGAATATTTGTGTGACCCTGGACATCAGGCTTGAGAATTGTTTCGAAAAATGCATCTAGTTTCAGCTTATAGGGCTTCAGAAACAGAGCAGTTTTCATTTTTGTTAATTCTGTGGAAGAAAATTAAATTGGAGGAAATGAAGAGTTTAGGATTTAGTCTATTCTATTGGTGAAGAAGAACTTGAAAACAATGCACAGGGCTACAGTCTAATATCAGGTATATAATAGCTTTTCTTTAAAAACATTTCTTCTGTCTACATTAATCACATAGGAATCTCAGATTTAAAAACTTGTTGATACTAGAAAGCCAAACGAAAGCAGACTTCAGATTTTACCAGGTTCCAGGCCTTCGAGGAAGTTACAGTTTTTATGTTATCACTATAAGGCTGGAAATCCTTGAAGCCAGGTATTCCATGCACTCAAATACAATATTTTAGTCTAAGCCTTGGTAATATAACCAGTGTTTTCACTTGCATCCTGTTACAATGAGAGGGATGATTTTTATTAGATATATGCAAATAATCATATTGCCATAAAAATACTCATGAGTAGTTTCTGAATTATGGAGAAATCAAGTAGGTAAAAAAAGACAAATGCTCTCATCTTTGTTTACAGAAATATATTTTAACTGCTGTAAACTATATTTAGCTTAAGAAAGAAAATTTTCTTAAATGTGGAAAACATAACATTTAAGTGAAAAACCAATGTGTCAAGTAAAAGTCATAAAAACATTACCATCATCAATTATTCAATTATTTCATAGAAAAGCAATTTTGGCTGTAGCTGATTACAGATGCTTTTAGAGAAAAATTAAAAAATAACCATAGATTAAAAAAACTTTTAATAGCCATGGTTAAACTCAAATGAAAGTTCACCATTGACCATAGAATTTAGTTATTTCTGTTATATACAACCTTTTATGTAATAACCAGAATCATGACAGTTGGAGAACCAGATCATCAAATGTTTATAAATTTTATATCATCTTTAGATTAGACACATAATATTTCCATACAACGTAACTTTAAAGAAGATTTAACATAATAAAGTTATAACTAATAACATTAGATTTTATGAATTTACATAATTTTTGAAACAATTATATCAATATTAACCCATAAATGTAACTGAAAAAATACCTAGACTTATTTATCATTTGACAATGTTTCCCATACAATCTACCAAACTAGGCCTGATAATTTACTGTATCCACAAGATGAGGAATACATTCTTGAGGCTCTCCAGGACTCCAACTTGAAAATCCCAAAGTCAATCCTAGGTCACATAAGACTTAATTTTTAATTTTTTGTGATTTAAAAGATACCTTTATTGAGGTACAGTCAATATACAAAGAACAACATTTAACATGTGCAATTTGATGAATTTGGATATAAACACCTGATACCATCACCAAATTTGCAATGATAGACGTATCATATCCAACACTTCCTAACGTTTCCTTGTGTTCCTTTGTTTTCATTTTTGTTTTTTTGTGGTAAGAACACTTCACATGAGATCCTCTCTCAACAAATTTTTAAGTGTACAATACTTTATTATTATCTATAAAGAATATTTAATACAGCAAGTCTATAGAATTTGATCTTGGGAAGGTCTGCCAAAGATGTCAAAACTGTTTAAAACACTTGATCATGACAGGATCAGAGGTTAGTGTGAAATAGCAATAATTTAAGCAGAGGGATAATTGAAAGCTTCATAAGCAATACAGAAAGTTACATAGATTTATAAAATCTTAACCTTTTCAAAGCTCAGTTTTCTTAAGTAATCAATAATGTAGAAAAGAGAACACAGGGCATTATCTTAATAAAACACAAAAAATTATTATTTTTAGGTTTGTTACCAAAAAGGTAAAGGAAAACCTCTTGTACTGTGATTACTTCTCCTTATTGGGAGTCTATTCCATTTAGATAACCTGGAAGTCAACCTGATAAAAAAGAGCAGTTGAATTTATCAGACACAGGAAGAGTGTGTTCAAGGTTATGCATGTATACCAGATTCTAGAGGAATGTAAACAAGAACACTAATACCTTGATCAGGGGAACACGTAACTTTTAGTAACAGCATGGAAAGTATTCTGCTTAAATGAAACAATTCAGACACATCAAGAAAAATCAAGTGTATGGTACCAAGTTACACTGGAGGAAAACTTTGCTTTCCTAGGCCTTCGTGATACACATTTCAGCATTAGGTCAAAACAGTAAAATTAGAACAGCAGAAGAAGGTTATGTGACCTGACAAAAAGGTAAAAGGAAAGAGAGATTATCCCAGTCCTCTTCGGGAAAAAGAACTAAAAGTAATGATCCATGAACTATAAATAATATACTGTTAATTACAGAAAAAAATTAAAGTTTTGAGGTATATATCTGAGAAGCTTCAAGAAGAAATCTCTGCTGCAAGAAATGAGATTACTCTGCTGAATAAAAAAGGATAGCATTTTGTATTTGAAACTAGAAAAAAATAATTAAAATTAACTAGGAGATACATGGCAGAAATAGAATCTGCCTTCAGTTGAAAAGATGGCTATTAAACAGATTTGTAAAATAGAAATCAATACCTGTTCCAGTTTTGCTAAGAGCAGATTAATACTTCAAGAAAACCCTGTTGTAATATAGGGGACCAAATTTTCAGTTTTGTCTTAGTGTATTTTTACTATCAAAGCTCAAACTTTTGAATGGCATATAAATAATTTTCTTCTAATTATAGCCAACTTGATCACATGCAAAATTACTTTGAAAAACAAAGGAATGACAATGTGAAATTAGTCTTACTTACCAATCAACAAAGATTCTGTTTTAGGCTGGGTTTATAGTCTTAAAACCTTTGTGTCAAACCCTAACTGCTTAAAATATCTAGCAGAGACAAATAGAAAATTATATGTATGACCCATAAACCCAGGAAAAATTATGCTATTTTGAATATATTTCTATTTGTATTTTTCCAACAAGTTTAAGACCAAATTATTTATTAAAGATTAACTCAAATTGGGTGAAGTAAAAGGCATTTGAGTTAATTACTACATATTTTACATGAGTGCTCATTTATTTAAGCCAAGCTGGATAGGATTTCTTAGGGATTTCTGGCTAACAATGCCAGATTTTACCATTTAAACACAATATAACATAATGTATGTGCATAACTATAAACACCTTTACACACACACACATACACAGAGATCTTATAGCTTTCATTTAGAATTTTAGTCACAAGGCAATAAACATAGCAATACAAATTAACTTGTTTACAAAAGATAGTTGTATCCAAATACTTCTGACAAAATAGGATCAGTTCACGTGAACAAAATTTCTTTGCTCCAATAGGTAACCTAATGAAGACAGTGGATTGCAATTTTGGATAAAGCAGTTTTCATAGCATTTTAAATTTAAAATGTTTTTTAGTCAGTTTCAAATAAGTTGAGGTTAAATCTTTAAAATTTACATTTTAGCTAGAACCAGTTGAACTGTGGAAGAGAAACAAAATCCTCAAATAATCTGAATTTTTCAGGAACAAATCTATCTTTTGTTTGCTATTGGTTTGCTTAACTAGTCAAAATGGGCAGGGAAGCATTTTAGCAGTTTCTTTTCTTTTTTCTTTCTTTTTTGCCCTTGCATGGCAGAACAATTAATTTCTATGCCTGACTGAAACAATGTATATTATTACTCTGATATCAAGATTTTGACCTATTTGATCTGAAAGCCTAACTTTTATAAACATTTATCTAGTTCTTTTTTCGTTGACTATCAAGCCTTCAATTAACTGTTCTATCACCCTAGCAAGTATTAGGTAAACCTAAATTTACATTTCCAAAATGTGTTTGGGTTGTTGATTAACATGGAGCTCTTGTAATTTGTAAAACCACTAATTTAAAAGCCCTTTAGGATTTTATGTTTAATATTGGCTGGAATACCATAAGCAGTGAGTTTTATTTCAACACCAGTAGACCTGTCTGGAGATTCAAAATGGCAGAAAAACAAACAAACAAAACAGTTATAAAGAACATAGAAGGCTCTACATGTTAACTCTGGAGTTATGTGCATTTGATACTTGTTTTGCAGGTTTTTGTAAGAGAATTTGAATAGTGACCATTTTAACTCTGAACCTTCCTTGATGTAATTTGTCCATAAATTAAAAATGAACACAAGAATGAACTACGCTGTGTAGCTGGCTAGAGTCACATAAAACTTTGGCATTCCATAATGTTTGAGAATCCCATTGTATTTCCTATTGATTTTCTGAAAGAAGTGAAAAATTTTATAAATCCTGTCAGAGTGGCAGAAATTTGGACCTGTCTTTTAGATGGTGGTGACTGACGAGTCACTTTGCATTAGCCACCACGTGTACATCATTTAGAGAGTTTATTTCTGCTCTCAGAGGATTTTTAGAAACAAGCAAAGGAAAAGAGCCAAATAATTTATGAATGCATGTAACTAAATTAAAATAAAATAATAAAGAGTGTTCGCAGAAAATTTAACCCAGGCGTACAGATCAAACAAAATATTAAATTAGGCATGCAGAGAGAACCAAAAGTAACTACACCAGAAAATTCATGCCTCACAGGCAGAACAAATTCTGTAAAAACCAGACTGCTCCAACCAGAAAGACACTTGTTTTCATACCTGAAAGAACTTGCCAGAAAATACAAAAAGTATTTTATTATCCCAAGAAGGATGTAAAGATTTTTGTTAAGGCAGGCTTATAACCAAATCAAATCTCAAATAAACTGAAAACCTCCTATCGAAAGAGGGAGGCTCAGTCTGAGAGAATACTCACCTGGGGAGAAAAGGTGAGTTGTGGAAACAAAGAGCTCAAAGGTTTCAAATGAGTACCTCACACAAGTTTCAAGAATCAACAATTTTTTTTTAGTGATTTTTCTTAAGATCCCGTTTTTGACACAATTTATGTCAACCTAAATAACAAATAGAGATGATCTAAAAGAAAATGATATTTATTTAAGAATAGGACATTGCAATGAAAATATGTGTGTCATAGTAGCATATGTGTGTATTCAGGGAGGTAAAGGAAGACAAAGTTTTTTAAAGGAAGAATGAGGAGGATTACATTACTGTCTAGAGATAATTATCCTTGACTACAAGCATCAATGACAAGGGTTACATCATTCTAAGTTTGGACAGGCAGTTGCTGGGCAGATGTCCTTTCAGAAGTGCTTTTTGTGTAAGGCTGTGATGACCTGTGTGCAGTGTTGTAATTTTTCCAGTGTTTTACGACAGTATTTGTTATCAGGCATTTATGCATGAGAACTCGCCCTTCATGGCCTTGTCCAGCTCTATTTGTCAGGGTTTTTTTTGCGAGGGGCTTTAACACAAATGACTCCATTTTGATGCTGACAATTTTCACAGTGCTTCTACTATTGAAAAAAAGACAAAAAATTCCAAGCCACATTTCTTTTCTATTATGTTATAGTTAAAAGCTCTATTCACTTCAGTGCTCTTTTGAAAGTGATATAACTTCCTGACTTTTCTTCCACCACTTCTCCTCATTCTCTTGCTTCTTTAAAAAATCCTCTTGGCTTTTGTAATCTGATTCTGTTAAGTGTGGGCCAAGGCAATAATGAGATGGGATCCAACAGTAAGCTGTGAATAGAGGCAATTTCAAAGACAGTAAGATGGGTTTCAAGTCCTGTCTTGGGGTCATGATGCCAGGTACTCTCAGGGCAGATGGGTGACTCTACATAATCAGAAGTTGAGTCATGACATAGGACCCATCCATGGGCAATGCTGGCTCAAGGGCATGATGACTGAAGCATCTCTTGAGAGTCACCTAGTGTTGCTGGTGAAGCATGCAGGATGAGTTGACTCAGTTGTTTGTCCTCTCAGATCAATTTGCTTCTTGGTATATGCTTTGAAAACCTGAACACTGAGGCATACCAGACATGATCAGGCTTGTATATTCAGTTTTAATTCTCTCTCTTGGAATCCACAGTCTTAGCATACACAATTTTACCCCAAGAAGAAAGAAACATTCTCAGAGTTCAGCTGTTTTGCAAAGGGAACTATTTTGCCATTCTTCAAACAATTGCCACACTGGAATTAAAGTGTTGAAATCTTCTCATTGTCTTCTAGGAAGAAACCATTACCAAGATACCTGTCCCTCGTGTTTCACTGTGCAGTCTTGGAACTGCTCCAGATTCCAAAAATCTTATATATAGTCAAAATAAATATAATAACATAATTTTACTTAAAACGTATCTCTTTTTTTCTTGTTTAAAAAGTATATAGTTGGCCCTCTGTATCCATGGGTTTTACATCTGTGGACTCAACCAAGCATAAATCAAAAATTTAAAAAAAACAACAGCAACAATACAACTGAACATACAAATAAAAATACAGTATAAAAACTATTTACATTGTATTATTATAAGTATCTACAGATGATTTAAAGTACACAGGAGGATGTGCATTGATTATATGCAAATACTACATTATATTATATAAGAAACTTGAGCATCTTAAATTTTGGTTTCTGAAGGGGCACTTAGAACCAATCCTTTATGGACACAAAGAAACTATAGCAAGAAACTTATTAGGTATCAGAAAGATATGGAAGGCAAATTGAAGTAATAACATTTCTATATTCCTCTGAGGCATTGAGCATATTCATAAGTGAGACTAAGTGTGTTTTCTTTTCTCTGTTCTCTTCCTTTTCTTTGTCCTCCCTCTTTCTCTTCTCCCTTTCTCTCTTCTCTTATTGTCAATATTTTAAAAATTTTTTGTGTGCTGCCAGACATTTTAGTTTTAAGAGCACATAGCGTAGATATCAGAAATATAAGTTCTGCGGTGAGGGTGCATGTATTTACTTCTAACTCTCCCCATATAAATATTCTGAGCAAGACACGTATCCTTCTTAAATTTCAGACTTCCTATCTTTAATATGGGCATGAAAATGCTGTTCATATTAAAAGTTACTTTATGATAATTAAAACCATTTAAATAGAAGAATGTATATCAAGCACTGATTTTATAATTAGCATAGTTAATAAAGTTATAGTAAATTATTTTAACTAACAGTATTTATTAAATAAATCAGGAAATTTTTTTGTCTTTTGTGTTCCTGAATAGTTAGGTAACATAGAGAAAAAAAGAAGAACTTGTCTGTGAAACACTGACTCCTAATACAGTGCTTAATCTTTGATGATATTTTCTGTGTGTTTTGCGGCTGTCAGTTTAGCTTCTTGAGTGAATTAAGATCAAATGTATTTTAAAATTTAAGTTTTCAAATTTATCATGAAATTTTATTGAGTATACTTTTTCTGATTACTTAACCTCATTTATGTTCTTTTACTCAATGTTATTGTGTTGAGTTTTCATAGTGTTTCTTTAGACAAATTTGTTGGCTATGTCTCTTTTACTAATCCTTTATAAGCATTATAATTTTTTATTAATTTTAATGTTTATAATTTTCTGTTTTCTTAACTTTGCTTTTATTTTAATTAATTACTTTTTTTGAGATGGGCTCTAACTCTGTCGCCCAGGCTGGAGTGCAGTGGTGCAATCACGGCTCACTGCAGCCTCAACCTCCCTGGGCTCAGGTTATCCTCCCACCTGGGCCTCCCGAGTAGCTGGGACTACAGGCGTGCACCACCGTGCCCAGATAATGTTTTTGTATTTTTTGTAGAGACAGGGTTTTGCCATGTTGCCGAGCCTGATCTTGAACTCCTGAGCTCAAGTGACCTGCCCGTCTTGGCCTCCTAACGTACTGGGATTACAGGTGTGAGTCACTGTGCGCAGCTATTTTTATTTTTTAATTTTATATATTTTCTTTGACTTTATGTGTGTGTCTTTTATTAAATGAAGTAATCTAAATATATCCTTTTTTAACTTATAAAAATAAAAACTCTAAGACTCTACTTTTCTATTGAGTACAGTGATTTATATTGATTCTCAGTGATTGATCTTTTTCAATATATGGTTCTTGAACAACCTGGATGTTTTTCAGAAGTGAGATGCCTGGGACTCAGTCAAAAATGTCTACATGAAAATATTAGAAAGCAAACAACACACAGTTGCACTAAAATAAATAATTGTTAACTATAACAGTTTCCATATTTTTAGTTTAATAATTTCCACTACTTTCTTGATTACATTGCAGTTTAGTTATTTTAAATCTAATATTAATTTTAACAAATATTTTAGGCATTTCAAATATGGTTAAACTTTTATTTTTATGTGTTTTGTTGTAATTTATCTTTTCATTGTTGATTTTGTCTGTTTGTTTATCACTTTTGGTCAGAGAAAAAGCACCTTTACTATTTAGAATTTATTTACATTCTCCTTATGTTCAAACATAAAATTATTTTATAAAATGTCTTATAAACAAAAATTGTAGCCTCTATTAATTATAGCATTAATATTGTTTTCATACTAACCCATATTTTATATTCTTCATTGCTCAAATTCCAGAGAAGTAAATTAAAATCCCTCACTATAATTGCGCTTTCTCAAAGTTTCCTTGTATTTCTAAGAATTTTGTCTTATGCATTGCACTGCTTGTGTACTATATAAATATATTTCATCCTTGATTGTTTGTTGCTTTCATAATTACTAATTTTTCTTTTGCCAATCTAATATATTTGGCCTAAATTTCTATTTTAATTTATGTGGGTTTGCTTGAAATATTGGCACATCCTTTCTCATCCTGTTACTTAAATGTAACTGAAATTTTTTTGGCCCCTTTGGCTTTTAAAATGGGGTACTAACCCATTCACAATTATTTTGATAAATGATATATTTGGTCTTATTCTTAACATCTCTTATACATTTATTTTTCTTGGTATTTGTAGTTCGTGATTTCAAAACTTATTGGGCTTGATCAATTTTTCTTTGAGTTAAACCAAGAAAATTTGTATTTGTACAGCTTGTCAATTTAACTTAAGGATTCACTAAATATTGAAATTTAAAACATTTCTGTTTTTATATTCAAGTTCTTCAAGGTGAAAGCACCCTTACTAGTAGATCTTCCAAAATTGAGCCTGAATCATGATTTGAAAATATCAAGACATTGAACCTTGCTCCTAGTGTAAATAACTGTAAGACAGCAGATGGCTATATAGCTCTTCATAAGATATATTTTCTGAAATAATGCTAATACACAGCCTTGTACAATTTTATACACTGGTTGTATTTTGCTTAAATAAATGCTTTGAAAATATTATAACCTGTTAATATTTAAGTACAGTCAAATCACCACAAAGATTTCTTTTCCTTTTATTAAGTCTATCTGCAGGTGTTTTTATTTAATCAAAAACTACTATATGCTAATGTTTTCTATTTACAGAATGACTGGCTGTTGGAATTCAAGTAGCTCACAATTCTGTGTAAATGCCATATAATTTCACAATATATCATAATCAAGTTTATACTAGAAACGTATACTATAGAAACACTGATGAGGAAGGTTTCACAGATATGACATTGACATGGGATATGAAAATGAGACATTGAGGAATAATATTTTAGTTAGAGGGATTAGTGTAGACAAAGTCATAGATGTGTGAGTGTTTGTTGAACACTAACTGCAATGTGGTTACAGTAAAATCCAAAACATAAGATGTGAGATGAATCCAGACTGGGCCAGTTCTGAATGGCATGCCAAGTTGTTGACTTTTAGAATATAAACAAGAAGGAATTAACAGTAAGTCATTGCAAATGGTGAAACATGATATAACTAGATGGATTTTGAGAAAGGGAATACTAACAATGTTGCAGAAGATAAATAGAATGAGGAGGAGATGGAAAATGAGAGACAGTAAGAAAAGGTTTCAGATATGAGAGGCATTTTTTAAAGTTAGAATTTATGTGATTTGCTTGCTGTTTGGATATTAGAGATGAAGGGGAGGCAGGAATTCAAATAAATATTACCTACTTAAAGATTATTACTTAATACTTATAACAACTTTAAGACTTATAACAACTTTAAGAAATAGATATCATTATCCTCATTTTAAAAATGCTTAGTTCTTAATTTTTGTGGGTACATAGTAGGTATGTATATTTATGAGTTACATGAGATGTTTTGTTACAGACATGCAATGATTAAGAATTATATCATGGAAAATTGGGTAATCATCCCCTGAAACAAGAGAGAAGATCCTGAAGTTTAGAGAAAAAAGAATAAAAAGAAACGAACAAAGCCTCCAAGAAATATGGGGCTATGTGAAAAGACCAAATCTACGTCTGATTGGTGTACCTGAAAGTGATGGGGAGAATGGAACCAAGTTGGAAAACACTCTGCAGGATGTTATCCAGGAGAACTTCCCCAATCTAGCAAGGCAGGCCAACATTCAAATTCAGGAAATACAGAGAATGCCACAAAGATACTCCTCGAGAAGAGCAACACCAAGACACATAATTGACAGATTCACCAAAGTTGAAATGAAGGAAAAAATGTTAAGGGCAGACAGAGAGAAAGGTCGGGTTACCCACAAAGGGAAGCCCATCAGACTAACAGCTGATCTCTGGGCAGAAACTCTACAAGCCAGAAGAGAGTGGGGGCCAATATTCAACATTCTTAAAGAAAAGAATTTTCAACCCAGAATTTCATATCCAGCCAAACTAAGCTTTATAAGTGAAGGAGAAATAAAATCCTTTACAGACAAGCAACTGCTGAGAGATTTTGTCACCATCAGGCCTGCTCTAAAAGAGCTCCTGAAGGAAGTACTAAACATGGAAAGGAACAAACAGTACCAGCCACTGCAAAAACATGCCAAATTGTAAAGACCATCGAGGCTAGGAAGAAACTGCATCAACTAACGAGCAAAATAACCAGCTAACATCATAATGACAGGATCAAATTCACACATAACAATATTAACCTTAAATGTAAATGGGCTAAGATCCTAAATCTAAAAGAGTTTAGATCATTTGCTCTGGTACTTGCTGCTTACAGATACTGAAGTTCCAAGAAAACCCCAGTTTATCTGATTGCTGAACTGACATCAAAACCTTACCTCCACAGAGGCAGCTTGGAGTACTGAGTATACTGTAATTCCTCAACCAATCTGGGGAATAAAGGAGAGAAACACGTTTGATGGTGCCGGGAGAAGGAAGTTATACATATTCTTGCAGATAATTTTCAATCTCTGATTCTCACTCAACGTAATTCTTAAGAACTATTTTTGTGCTATTTTTGAAAGCAGGTAAAAAGCTCAATTGACCTACCTCATTATAGAGTTGGTGCAGTAGAAAGTGGGAGGGTATAAACATTTTAAGCCGATTTAAATTTTCTGCAGTAAAACTGTTCCTAATATATGAATTAACCTTTTCATAGCTACGTAGTTTCTACTCATCCTTTGACAAGACTTTGTTTACCAAAAATGGGGAATTTTTACATCTTAAATCACAACCACTTTGATCAAATATGCAATATTTAAAAAAATTGGAAAAATCTTAAATTGTATTAAAATATAAAGTTTTAAAAATTTCTCATATCAAAATTTAGCTCTAATAACATATCAGAAGTTATAATTATGCACACATTGCTTTGAGATATATTGCTATGAAGAAAAATTATTTTAGCATTTAGCTTGAAGCTGATAATTCTTTTTTAAGGTTCTATAATTTATGACATAAAAGGGTTTAATATTTATAATAATCACAAGTAATAATGAGGCTTATCTCCCTTCTAAACTTTCTTCGCCAGATTTGAAAACATTTTATTTAAAAGGCATTTTGCTATAAAAGAAAGTGCGCTTTTGGAGTGTTTGCCAGTGTAATTAATGTCATCACACTTAAATGCATCAACAAGCTCAAATTGATAGAGCTTGTGCTACGAAAAATGGAACATTTTTTATTATCAGCTACTTTCTTTGGTGAAAAAAATCAAGAGTTATGAGTTATATGTTTTCACATAAATGTATTTATCAAAAGACATGGCATAATTTGATATGGATCTTTTGCCTCTTAATGCAAGGAAGTAAGAAGGTAAAAAAATGACACCAAAGATGTGGGATGGACATTTTCTTTGATTAATGTGTCAGCCTGGAGAATTCCATAAAAACTGTAATGGTGTCTGGTTAGAAAAAGGTGATCTTATTTTTTAATGTGTTTATGTTATAATTTTTTAAAAAAGGAAAACTGTATTTTCACAATATTTCAGCACATTTTAAATCATCTGCAACTCTACTAACCTAGCACAATTAAAGTTCTTATATCTTCTCTATTTTGCTCATTTGCCTGTAAAATTTTATATCATTATAATCATAGCATATGTACCATTTGGCAGTTTAACATTTTCTATTACATTATGTAAATTTACACAATTGTACACATTCTTCATATATTTTAAATTGTATTTTAATACACAATAAGAGTAGCAACATTTTTCAAAAAGAGAAAAAAGAGCTAAGTTATCAGCAAAGTTATGGAATTTTCTGTTGGTTAGAATTAGTTTTACTCAATGAAACATCTTAAACCGAATTGTTGTAATAGCTTTATGGTTATAACTAATTTTACTGGTTTGCCAGAGAGCAATGACTGACATTGGAACTTCACCCTGGTGAGAATGACTTTGACCTTCATATCACTTTCACTTCTTATTCCCATGAAACCTTAGAACTCTTAGCCTAAAGTCAGTTTTCCCCCCAATCATTTTCAACATGTGTCCTTTCCAAACACAAGTAATATAAGGTAGTCTTCAGCACGTTTTTGTGCTTGTCTAAGAGAACGTATATGAATTATTCTCAGAAACTTCATGATGAATTACTAGAGAAATAGATTTAATCCATAAATATATGTGAAATCATAAAAATTTAATATGTCTGTAGACACATATGCAGGCACACATCCTTTCCTCCCCCCTTTCACCATCACACATCTTTCATCTTCCTTTTTGTTTTTGTGTCGGACTCTCACTTGTTCTATTCTGTCATCTTAAAATGGTTAAATTGATTGGAAAAGTCCAGGATGTTATATTTCATTGATCTTTTCAGCACACTTGAGTATTCTAATATAGAGTTTGGGAAACAGTAACAGTGGCCCAGGTGAAATATGCAGATGGAAATTTCTCATTAAATCTTCTCATTTAAATTCATCGTTTAATTTAATATCATTTTATATTCATTAAGATTTACATAATAAATTAGACCCAGGTGACCAACTTGATATCATTTCTAGTACTATAATAGTGAGCCCCCTAAACCCACAATGCCGTCAAATGTCTTCCAAAACCCCTCAGTTCTCCCATGTCATTTCTAAAACAGATGCTCACACACAGGGAATAGTAATATTCATCATTCATTCTAGACAGGTTAACAGAGTATCTTCCAAATACTTAGCATTTTTCTAAGCAGCATGGGAAATGCAAAGAAGATGAAGTTCTTGACCTTAAGAGACACGGAATTTAGTTGAGGAAGCAAGACATATTGACAAGAACACTCTCATAACCAAACAGGGCATCAAAGTAAGGTGACAGGTCTAAGAAAAGAAAGCAAACATTTTAGAGAGTCACAAAATAATTGAGTTCCATGCATGCGAATGAGAGAAGGATCTAAGATATGGCTTAACCTTTTAATATTTAACACTCTGTAATGTGCAATATAGAGATGCCTTGTATCTCTCAGTTATTTGTTAGTTCTGTAAGTACTTCTGACTCATCTGTGGTTGGCTAAGTGTGAGGATCTACCATAATCTTCAAATGTCTACTGTTCTATCAGCTTTTTTATTTGCTTCCACTGCAAGCTCTCAAATTCACTTTTAGAATAGTGGAAAGATCATCTGACTCTTTCTGAGTTTCAGATAGTGATCTTATTATCATAGTATTCTGCAGTTTGTGTCTTAAGTCTCCTGCTCCAGCTGCTTGTCTACATGCTGGCTTTCTCGCTTTGCCCTACGTTTCCATCTTCATAAGTTTCTGGACCTTTCTTTGACGGGTTTTTGACCTACATCTTTGATTTGCTCTCAAGTGACCAAGGTTTCGCCCTGCTCACTGTCTTCTCTCTGCTTGGTTTGCTGTATGGCTTTTCCTCAGAACTCTAATCTATTGTGTTCACTGATACAACTAACTCCCAGGTTTCTGTGTCTTCTCCTGCTGTGTCATGTATTCTTTCCCATGTATCTGTATGGTAAACTCTAAATACTGTGGTTTCCATTGAATCTCAGCTGCATCCCCTCAACTCATGAATTCCAGTGGGCTCTGCCTGGGATCTCCTTCCTCCTCGGCAGCCTAGAGACTCTCTCCAGGCAGAAAGCTGGAGCAATAATAAGCTGATTGCTATATGGAAGGGGGTGGTACTTTCGTTTAGTAGCTAGAAGCCAGAAATGTTGCTAAAAATTTCATAATATACAGGACAGTCCCCCACAACAACAAAACATCCAGCCTCAAATGCCAATAGTGCTGAAACTGAGAAATTCTAGCCTAGGCATAAACAACAACCAGTGTTTTGGAGCAGAATTATGCTCACTTTTCCTCTTTCTGTATGTTTTAGTCCTAGAGTCCTATTTTTCTCTTTCTCTATATTTTAGTCTGATTCAGTCCTTTCTGTATAATTTAGTCCCGTGTGTTTGGTTTCAATTCAATTTCTGCATATTAACTGGCATATTCAAGGCAAGAGCACTGTTTTTGCCACTAATGAGTAAAGACCACAATAAGATCTGTAAATGTAACAAGTGAAAAAAAAATCAGTAAGATACAAAGATATAGAAAGACTACTAAACTTTCTGTTATCCCCAAATAATAAACTCCATTGAAATTTGTTAAGGATTGAGATATACCTTAATTATTACATTTTAACACTCTATAATTACTTTATAAAACCTACCACGTGTTATTATTCTAATTATGTAAGGAACAGAGAAGTTAAGTGATGCCTGAGGTGGTATGGGTGATAAGTAGAAGAGTTATTGTTTTAACTTGTTTCTTTCTGACTCCTAAGCCTTCATCCATCACTTCTTATGCTGCATGAAACAATAGAGATAGGCCAATGTGAAACTTCAAGCTGTTGAGTGAAAATATTTCATTTTACTGTGTCACAACTAAGATTTTTGTTGGTGGTAGGGGAACTCTGTTCTGATCTTGGGAGAAATAGGACAATATAAACTGTCCACCTGGAAAATCAACAGAATGTTTATCTCAAGGTATTATGTATTTTTAGTAGAACATCTAAGAGGAAATAAGCCCCCTGAAGACAGCCTTTTAAAAGGAGGAGAAATTACTTGACTTTTTGAGAGTCAGAAGAATTGTGTGGCCCAGGGTTCCCTATATATAACATCCTTATATGTAACATTCCTATATATAACCCTATATATATAACATAACATCCCTATGTATAACATCCCTATATATAACATTACCAGAGAGAAATTTTTGTTCTTCAGTTTAAAGCTTTCTAATGCAGAACAGGTGATACTCTTGGGAGCAGCTGAGTTCTTGGTACTCTAAATTTCATGATTATTTTAAAAATAAGGTTACCAAGCTGAAATTAACACAATAGAAATCATACATCTGCAGTGGAGTGTAATATTAGTCTACATTTTTTTTCTTATGATATAGCATTGGTTTGGAGCAACAGAGTTTGTATATAGTCTATAAGTATCTTGGCTTCTCATTGCATCTTCGTGGTTCTCAGGTCCCCTACATATATCTTCAGACTGACTCCTTCTTGACATCATCTGTACCACACAAAGCACCTGGGTTGTTCTCAAAAGCTTTACAACCAATCTCCAACAGGTGTTAGGCTTTACTCATGCCTTTATGCAGTCTAATCTTATATGAGAACTTGTAATTAACAGACTAGTGGGGATTTCTTTTCTTCTTCCTCAAATATACTCTACAAGCCCTGCTTACTTTATGAATTAATGTGAAGAGCTTTGTAGGGCTGCCATTATGGGTATTTCTGTCTCGAATTTCAGTACCCTCTTTATGACTTTGTCTTCTGCTGGCTGTGTGCTCCCTGGGGTACTGGAACAAAGAAAATTGTTTTATTCTGCTTTTTTTTTGGATGGAAGATATTTCCATATTAGAGTTAATACACTCTCAGATACAGTAAACTTGTTTGGCAATTTCACATGGGCTGTACAGTAAGCAATGATGGCTGAGCCAAATATGAACCTGTGTCACTTTGGTTAAAAGGTATAACACTTTAAGGAATACCAAAGCTGAACAAAAAAAGCAGACGAAAACAAGAACAACTAAGTGTCCTGCCAAAATGATATAGTTTATACAACTGTTGTAATTCACATAAACATTGGCTAAAATCCAGGTTTTTTTCCTCTGGAAACAGTGATGGATAGTGCTCTCTCACAAAATTCTGTCATGTTTATAGAAAGGTGAAATCCCATTCATGTGACAAACAGCAAATGTACACAGTAAGTAGGCATTTAAACACAGTCTGAAATTTTATGTGAAGATACACTAGTTTCGTCTGTTTTCCTGGCAGAGAGGGGAAGTGGTAGAAAGGAAGTAGATTATACATATATAAGCATTTTTAATGCATTTTGATCACCAGCCTTAAAATGTAATTCATACATAAGATCACTAATGTGTTCTATTATTTCTTTTCTTTCTATTTCTTTCCTTTTCTTCTCTGATTTCTATTCTATTCTATTCTATTCTATTCTATTCTATTCTATTCTATTCTTTATATTCCAGACCATTTTGCTTTATTCTACTCTATTTCCTGTTCTAAAAAGATGATAAAATGATTAAACAACTAAATTGGTGTTTTGATTCAAAAATGTATTACAGCCAAATGATAAAGATTGATTTGTACACTTCCAGTTATTTTTAAGCAACAGTTAAAAGTCAATATTCTTTTTTGTTGCTAGTACCCATTTTTAAACAGCATTAGTGAGATATAATTCACATATCACAAATTTGCCTATTTAAAGTACATAATTCAATGGTTTTCAGTATATCCTCTGAGTTGAGCAATCATCACAAAAATCTAATTTTATAACATTTTTATTACCCCCTAAAGAAATCTTGTACCCATTAACAGTCACTCTTCACCCAGTCCCCTCCTTCCGGCCTGGCTTGAATAACCACTAATTGAGTTTTTTTCTGTATCTTTTTTTTTTCTAGGCATTACATATAAATGAAATTACACAATGTATAGTCTTCTGTGACTGGTTTAACATAGTATAACATTTTTAAGGCTTAAGAATGTCATAGCTTGTATAAGAATTTTCATCTTTTTTCTGATGCTCTTTTTTAACAAAATTTTATAGATACATACTATTTTACATATTTATGGGTTACATGTGATATTTTGTTACATGGATAGAGTATGTAATGATCAAGTCAGGATATTTGAGCTATCCATCATTTTGAGTGTTTATCACTTCTACGTTTTGGAACAATTTAAGTTCTCTCCTCTACCTATTTTGAAATGTACAATACATTGTAAGTAACTATATTTAAACTTTTTATCTAGCTGTATGTTAGTACCTGTCAAAGTACCTGTTTTTATCCCTCTTCCCATTCAGCTCACCTTCGTAGGCTCTAGTATCTATTATTCTATTCTACCTGTATGAGACCTACTTTTTTAGCTCCCACATATGAGTGAGAACATGATATTTGTCTTTCTGTGTATGGGATATTTCAATTAACATAGTGACCTCCGGTTTCACTATGTTGCTGCAAATAACATGATTTCATTCTTTTTATGGCCAAATAGTATTCCCTTGTATATACATACCTCATTTTCTTTATTCATTCATCTGTTGATGGATACTATTTGGTGGATTCCATATGTTTGCTAGTTTAGATAGTGCTGTAATAAACATGAGGGGGCAAGTATCCCTTTGATATACTGATTTCCTTTGGGTAGATAGCCAGTAGTGGGATTGCTGGATGGTATTGTACTTCTATTTTCAATGTTTTGAAAAACCTCCAGCCTGGCATAGTGGCTCACCCCTGTTATAGCAGCACTTTGGGAGGCTGAGGCGGGTGGATCATGAGGTCAGGAGAGCAAGACCATCCTGGCTAACACAGTGAAACCCCGTCTCTACTAAAAATACAAAACCTAGCCGGGCGTGGTGGTGGGCACCTGCAGTCCCAGCTACTCGGGAGGCTGAGGCAGGAGAATGGTGTGAACCCATGGGGCGGAGCTTGCAGTGAGCCGAGATCACTCCACTGCACTCCAGCCTGGACGACAGTGCGAGACTCCGTCTCAAAAAAAAAAAAAAAAAACCTCCATACTGTTTTCTATAGTGGTTGTACTAATTTACATTCTCACCAACAGTATATGAGAATTTCCTTTTTATCCACATCCTTGCCAGCATCTGTTGTTATTATGTTTTGTCTTTTTAATAAGAGCTATTTTAACTGCAGCAATACGATATCTCGTTGTAGTTTTTATTTTTGCTTTTCTGATGATTAGTGATATTGAGCATTTTTTCATAAACCTGTTGGACATTTGCATGTTTAGTTTTGAAAATTATCTATTCATGTCCTTTGCCCATTTTTAATGAGATTGTTTTATTTTCTATTGCTGAGTTGTTTGAGTTTCTTATGTATTCTAGATATTAGTCCATTGTTGGATGAATAGTTTGAAAATATTTTCTCCCATTCTACAGGTTGTTTCTTTACTGTTGATTTTTTTCTTTGCTGTGCAGAAGCTTTTTAGTTTAATATAGTCCCATTTGTCTATTTTTGTTTGAGTTGTCTGTGCTTTTGAGGTGTTAGCCGTAAAATATTTACCTAGACCAATCTCCTGAAGTGTTTTCCCTATTTTTTTCTAGTAGTTTTATATTTTGAGGTCTTACCATTTATGTAACTAATCCATTGTGAATTAATTTTTGTATATAGTGAGGGATATGGGTCCAGTTTCATTCTTCTGCATATAGATATCTAATTTTCCCAGCACCGTTTATTGAAGATGGTATCCTTTGCTACTGTATGTTCTTGATGTCTTTGTCAAAGAGAAGTTTGCTATAATATATATGTATTTGTTTGTATGTTCTCAATTCTGCTCCATTGGTCTATATCTCTATTTTTATATCATATCATGCAGTTTTGGTTACGATAGGTTTGTTATATATTTTAAAATCAAGTAGTGTAATGTTTTCAGCTTTGTTCTTTTTGCTCAAGATTGCTCTGTATATTCTGGCTTTTTTTTTTTTTTTTGCTTTTATACAAATTGTAGGCTAAGTTTTTCTATTTCTGTGAAAAATAACATTGTTATTTTGATATGGATTACATCGAAACTACAGATTGTTTTGGGCAGTGTGAATTAGAGATAATCCTCTACTCCTCATATTTTTTGAATTAGTTTCAGGAGGATTGATATTAGCTCTTCTCTATATGCTCTGTAGAATTCAGTAGTGAATCCTTCCAGTCCTGAAATTTTCTTTGTTGTGAAACTTTTTATTATTGATTCAATTCCACTATTCATTATTTAACTGTTCAGATTTTCTATTTCTTCCTGATTCAATCTTGGTAGCTTGTACCTGTGCAGAAATTTATCTACTTTTTCTAGGTTGTCCAGTTTCTTAGTGATCATTTCTATTTCAGTGATGTCAATTGTAATGTCTCCTTTTTCATTTCTGATTTTGTTTATTTGTCTCATCTCTTTTTTTTTCTTGATAGTGAGTGGTTTATCACTTTTGTTTGTTTTCAGAAAATAAGTTCTTCATTTTGGTGATCTTTTGTATTTTTATGTCTATTTCATTTAGTTCTGTTCTCATGTATATTATTTCTTTCCTTCTGCTAATTTTGGGTTTGGTTTGTTCTTGCTTTTCTGATTCCTTGAGCTGCATCATTAGATTGTTTATTTGAAATCTCTACTTTTTTATGTCAGAATTGATTGCTATAAACTTCCCTCTTAGCTCTGTATTTGCTGTATCCTAAAGATTTGGTTATTGTTTTTTTCATTTTCATTTGTTTCAAGAATTTTTTTAATTTGCATTTTATTTTTTTAATAGACCCAATGGTCATTCAGGAGCATGTTGTTTAATTTCTAGTATTTATATAGTTTCCAAAGTTTCTCTTGGTATTGATTTCTAGTTTTATTCCAGTGTGATCTGAGAAGATACTTGATATTATTTTAATTTTTTGAAACTAGTTTTGTGGCCTAATATATGGTCTATTTTGGAGAATGTTCCACATACTGATGAGAAGAACGTATATTCTGCAGTTATTGGTTAAAATGTTTTTTGATTGTTAGGTCTAAAGTTCACTTTAAATCTAATGTTTCTTTATTGATATTCTGTCTCAATTATCAGTCTAATGCTGAGACTGAGAGTTGGGTATTGAAGATTCCTACTATTACAGTCTCTCTCTTTAGATCTAATAATATTTGCTTTATGAATCTGAGTGCTCCAGTGTTGGATCCATATATATCTAGAATTCAGTCTGAGCTTCTTCAGAATCAATACTTGGAATTGTTTTTACAAGATTTCATGATATTCTTCCTGATTGGGATCCGTTTCTGAAAAGTTATTTTGTTCTTTTAGAGGCGTCATATTTCCTTGTTTTTTTCGTGTTTCCTGTGCTCTTATTTTGATATCTGCACATCTGATATAACAAGCTCTTTTTCCAGTTTTTTGAATTTGCTTTCATAGGAGATGACTTTTCTGAGTATGTATCTGTAGTGTCGGTTGGGTAGGGCACTTTGGCTTTACTTCTTGGTGTGTGTGGTAATGCAGTCTCTGTATGATTTCTTCACTGTAAACAGTATCAGTGGTACGTGTGATTTTCTCAGTTGCTTAGAATGTGGTTTTTTCATGGGGGCTGTGGTGAAGTTTTTCTGGGGACAGGGATTCCTTTTAGGCCAGTCTTTGGGCCCCAGTAGTGGTAGCAGTGGGCTTAGTGTATCTGCCCTTGGATTCCAGAGTAGTGTACACTGACACTGGTGTTAACGAATCAGGCAGGTCAATTCTTTGACCTCCATGTGCCTTATCTGGATTCCAGTAGTGGCAGTAGTGGGCCAGGTGGATGAGTGGCTTCTCAGTTCCCTGGCCAGCCATATGGTATGAGTGATTGCATTGGCAATGGTGGGATGACCCTCAAGGTCTTGAGTGGTGTGTGCTGGTGGTGACAGTGGCTTCAATGAGTTCAGTAGGCCAGTGTCTAGGCCCACAGATGGCACATGCAGATAGGTGCCAGTTGTGGCATTAATAACTGGGTGTGTAGGTCTAACCTCAGGCCCTGGGAGGAATGTTCTAGTGTCAATGGTGATGGACTGGGTTGGGCAGTCCTCTGGCCTCCACACCGTATACTCTGGCATGGGATGTGAGATAAAGCTGGGCTAGGGAGTCTTGTTTTTAGGTCTCTTGATGGTATACGCAGGAGCCAGTCATGGTAGGTAAGGGTGGGTTGATTCCCAGGCCACCATCAGAATGCTTGGGTGGTGGGCATCAGAAGTCACATTGTTGCTTTGCCATTGGAGAGGGAGGTGCCACTCTCAGAGACAGCAGCTTAGGCTGGCAGGTGTGGCATAGCATGAGTGCTACTTGTGCCTCAGCTCAGGCAGCTTTAGCGACTCAGTCCCTGCTGTGGTAGCTGATACTCACAGCTTTAGGTAGGGTAGCCTGCAGTTGTTCACACCTCAGCCCCAATGGTGGTAGCTTACATCTCAATCATGCCTCAGCCCTGTCTGCAGTAGTCCATAGTCACTCATGTCTCAGCTCTGGGGGCAGCAGTCTGCTCTTTTCCTGTGCCTCACCTACAGCACCACTGGGCTCCAGGGCAGTGTATAGTCTGTTGGGGACAGAGCTCTACAATGACTCCTTGCTCTAGCTGCTTAGGTGTCAAGGAGTGTGTGGTATTCAGTATGAGCTTCCTCCCTGTAGCAGTGCCATCACACAGTCTCCTGACAGCTTCCTATGTTAGTTTCATGGCCCATGACATTTGAGGGGCTCTCTCGATAGGATCTGGGGAGTCCATGGTGGAAACGTGTCCTCTGGGAGTCTCTCACTTACACTTTACCCACATTGGGGAGTCTCTTCTGCCATCCAGCCAATCCTAGCTGAGCAGGCTGCCTTGCTTCCTTCATCTTCCTTATTTTAGATATTTCCTGTTACTTTTCTGTTGAATTCCAGTGTTCTTTCTGGGATGATCTACTCGAAGCATGGTTATCTGCTCACCATTTGGTTCTTCTTAGAGGAGGAGGTGAGTATGAAAAGCCTATAGTTAGCCGTCTTGAAGCTCCTCCTTGTACCTACTTCATTCTTTTGTATTGCCGAGTAATATTCTATTGTATAAATATACCACATTTTGTTTATGCATTCATTAGTTGAAGGAAAACAGAGTTGTTTTAAATTTGGGGCTATTATGAATAATGCTGCTATGAGCATTTATTTGCATATTTTATTTTGTGTGTGTATGTGCGTTTGCGTGAACACCTGTTTTCTTGAGCATACATCTAGGAGTGGAATCACTGGGTCATATGATAACTGTATATTAAACATTTTGAGGAATTGCCAGACCGTTTTCCAAAGCAACTCTACCTTTTACATTCTCATCAGCAATGTATAATGGTTCCAGTTTCTCCACATTCTTGTCAACACTTGTTATTATCTATCTCTTTCATTGTACCATTTTAGTGACTGCAGAGTTGTATCTCCTTATAGTATTGATTTAGATTTTCCTATTGACACATTATTTTAAAAGTATTTTTACATATTTTCATGTGCTTATTTTCTATTTGTGTATCTTTGGAGAAATGGCTATGCAGATTCATAGCCCATTTTTAAAATGGGTCATTTTTCTTATATTATTGAGTTATGAGTGTTAGTTATACATTCTGGGCATAAGTTTCTTATCAGATATTTAATTTGCAAATATTTTATCTCATTCTGTGGTTTGCCTTTTTACTTTCTTAATGGAATCAATTTCAACACAAAAGGTTTATTTTTCATTAATTTACAAGTAAAAATTACATATATTTATGATGTATAATATGATGTTTCAGTATATGTATACATTGTGGAATGGCTAAATCTAATTAGCATATGTGTTACATCATATATGTATCAGTTTTTTTGGAGTGAGACCACTTAAAATCTAACCTCTTAACAATTTTCACATATACAGTATATTGTTGTCAATTATAGTCACCATAATGTATAATAGGTTTCTTGAAGGTATTTCTCCTGTCTACCTGAAATTTTGTTTCTTTTGACTAACATTTACCAATTATGCCACCCACCAGCCTCTGGTAATTATCATTTTACTCTCTGTTTCTAAGTCCAACTTTTTTACATTCCACATATGTGAAATTTTGCAGTATTTGTCTTTCCGTGTCTGGCTTATTTCATTTAACATATCCTCCAGATCCATCCATGTTGTCACAAACGACAAGATTTTCTTCTATTTTATGGCTGAATAGTATTCCATTGTGTATATATAACACAATTTCTTTATCCATTCATTTGTGGATGAACATTTAGGTTGCTTCCATGTCTTGGCAATTATCAATAATGCTGCAATGAACACAGGACTGCAGATGTCTCCTCAGCATACTGATTTCATGTGCTTTGAATATATTCAGTAGTGGGATTACTATAAAATGGTAGTTCTATTTTTAATTTTGAGGAAAGTTCGTATTGTTTTCTATAATGGCTGTACTAATAAAAGGCTTTAATTTTGATGAAGCCCAACTTATCTATTTTTGTTGTTGTTGTTGCTTGTCTTTTTGGTGTCATATCTAAGAAATTACCTAAAACTCTGTAATGAAAATTTACTTTTAAACTTTCTTCTAAGAGTTTTGTATTTTTAGGTCTTACGTTTAGAATATTATCAATTTTGATTTAATTTCTTAGTGAGTACCTTTCAAAATCAATTTCATTGTTAGGTCTAAAAGAGTAGAGAATATGTTTATGATAACATAGCAGAAATAAATAGAAAAAAGTAGAGACAGCACAGACACACTGATATAATAAATCCATTTTGGTAAGCCATTTGGGTCAAACCAATGAAAGATCACAGCACAAAAACTTTATAACTGAGTTCAGAAAATGAGTCTCAAGCTGATTAGAATAGTTGGACTTTCCTATTTAGGAAAAGTGAAGCTGAGGGGAATGATCAGTCCTGCCAGGTAATGAGGATTGACCTCCTTCATGAGACCAGCAAATCTTAAGTTGTTCAGGAGAATGTTCAGATTTGACTGCAATATGTTAAAAAGAAATAACTACTTAGCTATATGCAAATTTTTAGCTATGAACTATTGCTATTCTTAATCCTCACCAGCTTTTGTGGTTGATCTCTTTCATCATATTATACTGACTTTCAAATCACAAATTTCCTGGTTTCGACTTTTAGAAGCTATTTTTATAGAGGCCTTCAAACTCAGGAAGTTGAATGTACTCACTTTCAAATGTATCAATTCTGCAGTTTTGTTAATAGATAAGTTGACAAGTGACAGAAAAACTTTAGCATTCTCCTTCTATTGAATTAATCTTAAAAGAAAATTACTCAGTGAACTCTTTCATCCTCTCATATTCTAATATAAAAACAAATGCTGCATTAGCAAACTGTAACCACTCATCAGTCCAAATGAGATTGAGGTGGAATACTCACTGTCCATCAACCATGATAATCCTTGGATCAGTACAGAGCTGGCACTGTCAGAAGGTTTCGAACTGTGACCTGATTAAAAAGAAAAGCCTAACGGATAGAATCTTTGCGGCAGATTCCCTTCATTATTCTCTCTAGACAAAACGTCACAGGCAGCATCTGGTGTCAGGAACAAATCATATTCTGACTTATATCTACACTAAACACTTTTGCAGCCATAAAACATGCTGCAAACTGGCTCAGAGACATCCATTTTTAAACAGCTGACATTAATGATATATGTAGAGCGAACAAAAAGCTGTATTTTGCCCATCTCAGTATGCTATATTTTCTGGTGAAATCCTTTTGGAAGAAAAACTTGTGTATCAAACTTCCTTTCAAGAAGAAATGTCCCCTCCAGAGTATGAAATGCTGTTAGAGCTATTTCCTCATTTAAGAGGGTGAAGTGTGTGGTGCAGCAATATGCAATTATGTACCATTAGCATATTTTTGCAACTAGTAAACATCCAGCAATATGACCTTATATTTTACTGTACAAAGCTTGATTGAATAACTTACCACACAGATTACTACTAGTGTTCTTAAAATATACAGTAAGAAGTGCAAGTGCAGAAAGAGGCAAAGCAATATACATCCTTTTCTTTGATGCAAAATAGTATTTGTCCCACTTCTGCTGTGTACCATAGAACAAGCTAAAATACTTCCTAAGGAGTAGATATTAAAAGGTTAAAAGGTGGCAATGATTTCATATTTGCCCAATGTAAATGAAGTATATCAAGAGTAGACAAATTAAAATCAGCTAGAATTGGCTAACATGGTGAAACTCCGTCTCTACTAAAAAAAAAAAAAAAAAAAAAAAAAATTAGCCAGGCGTGGTGGTGGGCTTCTGTAGTCCCAGCTACTTCGGAGGCTGAGGCAGGAGAATGGCGTGAACCTGGGAGGCGGAGCTTGCAGTGAGCCGAAATGGCACCACTGCACTCCAGCCTGGGCGACAGAGCGAGACTCCGTCTCAAAAAAAAATAATAGCTGGGCGACAGAGTGAGACTCCTTCTCAAAAAAAAAAAAAAAAAAAAAATAGCTAGAATTATGAAAAAACTTGTGGCATTTGAGCACTATGTTATAATAAACTAATCATATAACATTTCAGGGCATAAAATAGCTCGAGGAGATGATTAGGTCATGAAGGTGGTGCTCTCATGAATGCGATTAGTGCCTTTATAATAGAGGATACGGAAAAAAGCCTCTGACTACGAGGCCAAAAGTGGGCCCTCACCAGAAACTAATCTGCTGGTACTTTGCTCTTGGACTTTGCTCAGACTCCAGCACCATGAGAAATAAATTTCTGTTGTCTATAAGCTACCCAGTTTATATTTTCTTATAGCAGTCTCAATGGACTAAGACAGAGGTAAAGACAAGAGGTTTTCCAGAGATTTGCTGGTGCTTCATCCTAGAAGACTGTTTTTAGTTCTCAAGGGTGTTAAACTTTGGACTTTTCTATATACAGCTTGAATTTTTCTTTTAGCCCCTATCCTTATAAGTGGTTCTTGCATTCCTATATATGTGTCTTGTTATTTTATCTCTTAAATTTCTAGTCCTTTTTAAAAACTCTTTAAATTTATTTGTGTTCATGTTTTATCTTTTCAAATCTTATTTTTCTACTTTATTTTTCTTCAAGATTTTTTCATATCAACCATCTCTTAACATTATGTAATCATCCTAGCTCATTAACCATGTATTTTTAAAAATTTGTCTTAATTCAGTTTATTTTTACCCTCACTATTTTATTTTTCTTATTAGTATTGCTTAGCATTGACCGCTCTTTTTCATTTTTGTTAAATAATGAGGCAAATAAAATTCCTGGACATGTTAAGCTTGGATCTAAAAGCTAAAACATATTTCGAATAAGAAGGTTGGTCTGTTTTTTCTTTCTCCAATTATTACTGATATTTTTCTATGATGTGGGTATTTATTGGGTTATAAGCTATGTCTGTTACATTTTGAAACATCAAAATAATTGATGGAAGTCAACATATATGCAGTTTAGACGTTTCTGAACATAATGTTCTGGTTTTACATTATCTGTTCAGACTCTGATTCAAGCTAATCTAGGTTTCTGTCCTTCACTGCCTAAACCTGCTCTCTGCTGTGTGCCTGCCATGGTTGGGCCACATTCCCCTCTAATTATCCTTGAATATCATCCTAGTCCCATGTAGTGGTCCTCCAAAGGTAAAGCGTTCACTTCTAAATAACTAAAATTGGCAGCACCATAGTATATTCTAAACGGAATTCTTTCTGATCTAACAGTAGACTAATGAAAAGATTCTCCTATGAGATTTGTCAAAATGTTTCTGAATTTTCATGTATCATTTAGTCATTTTGCAGAGACTTCAGATTTGAAATCCAAAGTCTCTATCTAATGGAATTCATCATTATTCCTTAATACATGAAAACAGACCACTGCAAACTGGACCTAGGATGCCTGCGCAGATTTCTATTCAGGAAAGATCCCTACAAGGATCCACGTTGCATTTAAAATTAATAATCAATGACTTTGAATTATTCAACAGAACTCCTCTAATGAGAAATAATGAAGAATTATTAAGACTACTGAGTTAAAATTAAAACCCTCTAGGTTGAGTTTCTAGATTATAAGAAACTTATAAAACATGTGTTTTTGGTGCCTGCTTTATAGAGTTCATTTGGTAGTAAGTAAGGACCAGGAATCTGAATATTTAATAAGCACACCCCCATGAATCTGAACCAGGTGGTCCACAGACTGAAGTTTAGAAACACGACCTGTAACACTGATCTTTCAATTTCCCTGCCCTATTCTGAGCATCAAGATTTTTATCCAGATCAGAAATTTTGACAAATTGGCATTTTAGAAAAAAATGAAACCTTATTAGAGTTATTTAAGAAAATAACAAACCTAGATTTGTCCCATAGGCTTCCATTCAGCTGTATTTGATTCTGTCTATTGATCAACAAGACCACTTTGTTTTTTTTTTCCCTGCATTCAGTAACTAATGCTGAGAAGCAACCCTTAGGGAAACAATTGTCCCAGTCCAGATTGTGTATTAGTAAAGGTTTGGCAGTGAGTTAATCAATCGTGGCATCCAAATCCCCAGAAATTATCATACCAGCCAATGAATGGAAACACTGTTTGAACTGACAGAAGTTAAATTGGGAGCAAACAACTCTACAGGCTGTAGAACACTGGTAGTTCAAACACTGAACATGAGCAGTATGGTCAGCCCTTTTTAGACCTGTTAATAGTTATTTCCCCCCTTATAACTAGAAATAAACAGGTTTAAAAGTACAAATGTGAAGAAACTTCTACTGTAAAAGTCATGTATTTTAGGCCTGAAATCTTGCTTTCACATTTAGAAGCCCTTTCTTCTAATTGCAGGTAATAAATCTTACTCTAGTTATTTAGAGATAAGTTTAGTCACCCTACCAAGTCATTTACTTCTGTTAGTTTCAATAATCCCATTAGATTTGGGTGCCTTTTTCATATGAATTAGTAAATATTATTTTTTTATTATTCTTTTTGAGTTGGTGCATACAGATAGTCCTCAGCAAGGTGCAATGAACAAGGTTGGCACTTTTCATGCTGTTGCTCACATACTGGCTATCCTGAATTATCCTTCATAATCAAGACTTTGATTGTTATCAGAGGGCAATATAAGAACCAGCATTTTGAATTCTGTTTCTTTAAGCTTTGAAGGTATTAATAAGAAATTGTCCTCTTATCCCCACAATATCACCCTCTATACATGCAAATGCATTTTGTAGGATTTAGGTGAAGAAGGGTCCATTGTAACTACTTTTTGAAAAATAAGTTAGAAAAATCCATCTTTCCTCCTTTCTCGGTGTCTGCCAGAAAAGATGGCCATTATGATACAAATGGTTTTCCTTTTGTTTCTTCTTAAATTCTGCTCATTTATTTTTATGTATTAATTTTATTTAAAAAATTCTTTTAGCTTTGGATTTGGTTTGTTTTTATCCTGATCCACCAGACTAGGTGGAAAGAATAACATTGTTTTGATTAATATTCTTTAGGTTGGTGACATCATTTCTTCACTGTTCCAAGTAATATCCCATTTTTTATTTTTTATTTTTAATCCTTTTATACCCCGTTCCCAGTTCTATTTTCCTATTCTGACATCCATTTTAACATATTTAAGGTGAATGTTGCTAATCTATTTTTTTTACTGTGTCTTGTATGTGTAAAGTCAATGAACCACGAACAATAATATTTGATGTTCGCTCTATGATGTTACATTGAAATGTATCTCACTGCACTTTTCTTTGCAAAATTTTTTCTCATCGTTATTTTAAAAATTCATTCATTTTGATACTTATAAATCGGATCACCATTTTTAATTGCTATATAGCATTTCATCATAATGTAATTGATTTCTTCCTTCACTGATGGAAGAAAGGCTGTTTCCAATATTTTTGCTGTTATGAATTATTGTGAATATCTTTCTATATTCATGTGAAAGTATAGGTAAAACAATTAAAGATGAAGATTTTTTTTTTTATTTTCGGATGCCATTTTATCTATATAGGACAACCAAAAGAATAAATGGGTAAATTTAAGTAAGAATTAATTTTTTTAAGTTTAATAGGGCATCTGAATACAAGATCAATATTTTAAAAGCAGTAGTGTTTTTCCATTAGTTTCAGTAATTACAATTACAGCCTTTCTTTTCTCTCTTTGAATTCCATTTCTTTATTTTCCTTTTTCAAATTTTTATATTACACTTATCATCTCATTATTCTATTCTGATGTAATTGAAGAAAATTCCTAAATCAAAATTTGGATTTGTTTACTATTTAGTGCAACAATGGACTGTTTTTGTTTAAAACTGTATTTTTTATCTTCACCTCCACCATCTCCAGGTGTTTGTTTATACATTTTTTTCTAACTCTTTCTGCTGATGTTCCTTTGATTAAATACCTTCTGTCATCTTCCTGAAATTGTTGGTTTTATTTGGTTTGACTTTTTCTGGCTGCTCTGTCATCTATTCCCTTGGATATAATGTCTTTTGTTTGTTTTCAGTTTCTTTAGGCTCTAGTGTTTCTTGGATGTCTGGTAGTTCCTTGCTTCATTAATATTTCCAGTTGAGAAACTGCACAACACTGTTGGCTGCTGCTCCTCTATCGCAGCCCTCTCCCAGCTTTCAGCAAGGGCCCCAGGCTGCTGTTCTAATCCTGTATCTGACCCCATTTGCCCTCAGTCTCTAAGGTCCTTAACAACATCTGTTGCTCCAAGATATTCCCTTTTACCTCTAGGCATTTGCATTTTTTTTTTCTTTTTTATCCTCAACATATATTGATTATGGAGAAGGCAGACAACAAATTGAACTATCTTCTATTTGTGTTTTAATGTAGAAAGAATTATCCTGAGGTGGTCATATAATTTATCAAACCCGTACACTTATGAATGTTAAAAGTGACACTAACTGAAACATACAGTCTACTTTAATTCTTCTTGAAAAAAGATGGACTATCAAAAGATTTCATAGGTTTATAAAAATAAATTCTTCTGGCAGGCACAGTGGCTCAGGCCTGTAATCCCAGCACTTTGGGATGCCGAGGCGGGTGGATCACCTGAGGTCAGGAGTTCGAAACCAGCCTGGCCAACGTGGTGAAACCCCGTCTCTACTAAAAAAAATTACAAAAATTAGCCAGGTGTGGTGGCATGCACCTGTAATCCCAGCTATTTGGGCGACTGAGGCAGGTGAATTGCTTGAACCCAGGAGGTGGAGTTTGCAATGAGCCAAGATAGCGCCACTGCACTCCAGCCTGGGACAGAGCGAGACTCTGTCTCAAAATAAATAAATAAATAAATAATTCTATCTATCTAATGAATTTTCATGAAAAGATCTGTGATACATATTTTAAAGTAACTGGTTTTTTTTTGTGACGGAGTCTCACTCTGTCATCCAGGCTGGAGTGCAGTGGCGCGATGTCGGCTCACTGCAAGCTCCGCCTCCTGGGTTCACGCCATTCTCCTGCCTCAGCCTCCCGAGTAGCTGGGACTACAGGCACCCGCCACCACGCCTGGCTAATTTTTTGTATTTTTAGTAGAGACGGGGTTTCACTGTGTTAGCCAGGATGGTCTGGATCTCCTGACCTTGTGATCCGCCCGCCTCCGCCTCCCAAAGTGCTGCGATTACAGGCTTGAGCTACCACGCCCGGCCTAAAGTAACATTTTACATGAAAAAGCATGTAACTTATTAAGTATGATATTATTTTAGAGAAACTGTACACTTAAAGTTTGGAAATTGCTTTTCTTTTCCTTTTCCTTTTTTGCTTTCAAATGAGATGAATAACAAAACGACTGTAGTGTATCAGTGGCATGATGTTGCTCTGTACACGACAGTTTCCCCACATTTATTAAATTTATTGAAAATAATCCTTTTGTCTATAATGGTAGAAAGTAGTTGCCAATTAGTTCTAACCTTAGCAAATTAACTAATTTTCCTTTTCCTGTCTTGTTGAGATGTATGAGACCAGAAACTGCTATAGAAATTGGATAAGAAATTAATTGGAGTTCCAAAAATCTCACATTCTGACAATAAAGCTTTGTGGTCAAATGATGAATTTCTAGCCTCGATTCTGATTTAATGAGGTTTACATATTACACTTGAAACCATAATATGGTAAACAGAATAACAGTCCCCAAAAGATGTACATGATCTAATCACAGAACCTGTGAATGTGTTGCTTTATGTTGGAAAAGAGATTTTGTAGACTTTAAAAATCTCAATATTGGAAGATTATCCTCGATTATGTGAGTGAGCCCAATAGAGTTGCAGAAGTTCTTATAAGGGGGAGGCAGAAAGTTCAGATTCAGAAAAGGAGATGAGACAATGGAAGCAGAGGTCAGGCAGTAAAAGAAGGATTTAAAGATACTAGGCTGCTGGCCTTAAACATGAGGGAAAGGGTCATGAACCAAGAAATGTAAATAGCCTCTAGTAGCTGAAAAAAGTAAGGGAAACTTTCTCCCTTAGAGCCTTCAGAAGGAATGTAGCCACCCTGATGACACCTGGACTTCAGAGCTTCTGAACTCCAGAACTATAAAATAATAAATGTATGTTGTTTTAAGGCACTAAGTTTGAGGTAATTTGTTACAGAAGCAATAGGAGACTAATGTGTGTATCTGTCCTTGGAAACCTTACACAGAATATGTCCTCTGGTCATTGGACTCAAGTTTTGCTGAACTGTCCCCTTATTTCTGCCATCCAAAATGACAGCACAGTATCAAACAGGATTTTAACATATATAATGTCTATAATTATATAAACACAACTGATTACATATTTATATAATATAGTATGTAATTATAATGTAATATATAATTATGTATTAAATAAAAATAAATATATTTATATCTAAATATAAATATATTTTTATATAGACTTAAATTTATTCAAATATAAGTAAATATATAGTCACAGCATCAGTGTATTTTTGGGAACTTGCTTTGTGGTGCTATAAGTGAAGTCAGACTAACCTTTGTGGCACAATTTATACTCATAACAGATAATTTTGCTGTCAAATCACCACTTAATAATTTCCTTTATTAAACTTTCATCTACAAAGAGCACACATGGGTTAGTGATATAACTCCCCAAGTTGTTTCTAAATTCTCCAGCTCTTCTCTCGCAATCCTAACTCTCCCTGCATTCGGAATCCTAAAGATCTTCAATTATCACGGCCTTTCTTGAGATTAGGGAAACTGCTCTTTAATCATCACATTTTTTTACTCACTCAAAACTATAATTCCTACAAAATTTTCTCATAATGCCCAGAGCCAAGTTTCAAGAATTCAAAAAATTCTTTACTCGATGAAAGCCAGTGCTCTGAATTTTATTATTATTTCTGCTACACAAACAAAAATATTTATTTATAAATTATTATGTCCTGTTTGTTCTAGGCTAATGTGTACTTCTCCTTGAGGCAATAAACGCTACTGGGTGGAGTGTAATAATAGTAACAACAAGAAATGAAACCTTGCTTACTTCCTCAAAAAGCTCACACTGTACTAGATGTATTGCTTGGCTCATTCACCTCAAGGAAAAAGGATCAACCCTGGATAGTGATGCCCCTTACATATGTATTCACAGAGACGAGGAAAGCAATCACGGGCATGCCCCAGAGGCCAGGACATTTTAGAGCTCTTTCTCTGCAATCTCTGCTTTTGGGAAATCTCTGCTTAATCAAAGTATCTGTTTTTTTGCCGCCTAAAGAGTGCTTTCATTTGTAAGATCCATTGTGTATCTGTTTTTGTGCTTTAAAAGTAAATATCAGAAGAAATTTCCTGTTGCTGTGCAGTAATCTTAGTCAAATCTCAGCTTCCAATACCACCAACCATCACCATCAGCATTTCAGTATTTTTTTTTTTTTTGCTTTTTAATGTAATTTCTGGTGACCATTTGTGTGGATTAGTCTTCACATTTGTGGACTGAGACTCGCAGGAATGAGTTTCCTAACATATGTAGGGGTAAAGGGAATTTTCCCTACCCTTCAAATGTTTGAATTAGCTAAAAAAAAAAACTAACAAACAAAAAAAACAAACCAACCAAAAAAATCTGACAGTAGATTAACAAAAGAAAAAGGAAAGTTTAGTATGAGTACAAGGAAATCACAGGACAGTGATTACCCAATGACCCAGTGAGGTGTAGAAGCTTATATACTCTTCTTCATAGTGAACAGGGAGATGGGGAAAAGTAGGTAAATTTGAGGGGTGGTACATGATTTTTAGGACCATCAAATGGGCCCAAAAAACAGACAATAGTTTGTAAATGATTCTCTTTGGAAATTGAATGGGACTGAAGAACAGACAATGGCTTGTGACAAAGTCAGTGTTTGATGACATTCCTCAGTCTTCCTTTCTACAATATGAGTTGAATTTTCCTTGGTTAATACATTTTAGGGAGGGGGTGGAAGGCAAAGGCATTCCTCCTGGAGGAACTTCAGATAAGGGAACTTCAGAGAGAGAGTTCACCCTATGCTTGTGAGTGGAAACAGAAGGTCAGAAAGTCCGTGGTTCTGAGACTGCTTCCAAGGCCTTTTAATTTTCTTTAGTTCAAAGTGCTCAGCATGCCAAAGTGCCATACTTTGGAGAATTATTTTCTGCGCTGCAATACATCCAACAGCTTTTTGCCAATCTGGAATAGTTATTATTTATAAATCAAGCTGGTGTCTTACCCAGGAAGGTACAGATTCAATATTACGACGCTGAAGAATAAGTATCTGCCTACAGAAATAGGTGTAAGCATTGCAGAAAGCCTCCTGAAATAAAACTATCCAGCAGACTCTCCTATGTGGCTCATTAAAATCAATCTGCAAAAGCAACAGATATGTAGTGGGAGAAGAACTTAGATTAAAGAAGAAAGTTCTGGTTAGATTTGAAACATATAAAGAAGAGGGTAGGCTTGTGAGATGCAAATTACCATGTACTGTGAGAGTCCATGGTTTTGGTTTGCTAAGGGATAGCACTGGGGTTCTCAGAATGTGGTAGTGCAATTAATAAAAGAGAAAAATGAGGTCATCTAGTGGAGGTTGGAGAAGACCCATATTTCACACATTCAGGTAGTCACACTCTTCAAGCATTGTGGGTTTTGATAACAACATGCTCCCTTAAAATTGTGGAAATGAGGTACACTAATACTAAATTCTCAAAGCTTATCAACAGTGCAGAAACATTTCATTCAGATCCTTCTTTGGGAACTGGATCATAATATGGGTTGAAACTAGTGTCAGGAATTCAGCTAAGTTGGGAGAGAATGAGATTGCTGAGTTGTCAGGTGTCAGGATAGCCGAATAAAACAATAAGCCAAAAAAGAAAGCCTTAAGATTTTAATCTCTTATGGCTGTGATATATGCAAGAGGCTAAAACCAGAGAAAACACAGACTCCCTCTGCTCCATTTTCCACCACAGAACAGAGCACCTGTGGGAGGTCAGGTGAATCAATATAGATGTGATGTCCTCTCACAGCTGAGGGAGCCTCCAACAAAAGGCTTGGCAATGTTATAGACTCTGGGGTTGGTGGAGAGGTGAAGGGAGAGCAGTAGTCGTGGAAAAGTGCTGGGTGCTGTGTCAGAGTGGGGAAAAGTGTCTTTAGGCCCCACCTACAAACCATAAGGAAGCCTTGGTAGAGACACCTGAAGAGAAACTCTGCCCAAGGCCTCAGATAGAAACCTAGGAAAGAAGACACCTGGGCTAGGAAGGTAAATGCATGAAGAGCATGACCTGCCTGGGGAACCTGAATCCTTGACTGCAACCCCCTGCAGAGACCTCCCCGTGCACTGGCTGTGCACCCTATCTGCAGTGGGGAGAGCAGCTTTCTTCTCCATGAGACCTGCTAGGCAAAGCCTTTGTAATTGCTTATGGTCAGGCTTGATAGGTCACACAAAGGTTTTTAAATAGAAGGCGGACTCCTCAGGCAATAGAGACCACCAAACTCTACTACTTTAGACAGTCACTTAAAATACGTAATGTAAATAACTAATGCCTTTTAATTTTATTTAAATTTATTCCTTCTGGCTTAGCCTAGTAGTAGTTTGTGGATGTCACGACAGGTGACATTTGATATTTAACTTTGAGGAGATAAAAATGGCAGAGTCTATCTAGAAGTGCCTCTCAATGACAGATATTTGAATGAAATGTAACATCTAACACAAAAATGTTTTCAATATTTGGATTTGGGTCATTTTGTAAACACCACTTGCAATGTTCCAAATTTATTAGGATCTCCACTAAAATGAATATTTTTGTTGCATTTATTATTACTGAAGCTGCCACTTTATTTCAAGTACCAGTATAGGCAATATGCAAAATGTTCACTTTAAAGTGTATGCAGGAAAGGAACATTAAATATTGAATGAATATACATATTGTCTGTGTTTGCCTTCGTGTCATTCACATGATCACCCTTCAAGCAGGTTTTCAAGGGCAAGGGTTTATTAGTTTAGGCTACAAGCAGTAAAGATTAGAACTGACAGAGACCCAAGGGTCAATAGAGGACGTTTTTCTCCATACTGAGTGTTAACTTCACTTGTGGCTTAGCTAGGAGGATTTTATTTAAACAAACAATGGGAGTAGGAATATAATAACCAATGACTCTTTCACTTGCTGTAAATTACAATAATTCATTTTTAATTTTATTTTTATTTTTTGAGACAGAGTCTTGCTCTGTCACCCAGGCTGGAGTGCAATGGTGCAATCTTGGCTCACTGCAACCTCCGCTTCCCAGGTTCAAGTGATTCTCCTGCTTCAGCCTCCCGAGTAGCTGGGATTACAGGCGCCTGCCACCACTCCCAGCTAGTTTTTGTATTTTTAGTAGAGATGGGTTTTTCACCATGTGGGCCAGGCTGGTCTTGAGCTCCTGACCTCAAGTGATCCACCCACCTTGGCCTCCCAAAGTGCTGGGATAACAGGCATGAGCCACCGCACCCAGCCAAGAATTCATTTTGAATAAAATTCTAAGAGAAAAATATTTTGAAAAAGCAGCAAGTGCTGAAGCAGATACATTAAAAATGGAGCATCGTTCATAGCTTTGACTGATATTTTGGTGTTTGCAAAATATACCTCACTGGGTAAGCATTTTTGGAAGTAAAAGCTGATACAGTTTTCCTCATTTATTTAAAACACAATATTGGTAAATTTCAAAACATTTCTGCTGTGCAAAAGTTTAGAGAAATGTGCCATTTGAAATATCAACTTCTCTGAATAATTGGGAATAAATGTTTTTAGCTAAACAACAGATTTGTGTTTTAATTATTTGTGTTCTTTCCCCAGATATATGATCTCTGGTTGTTTTGTGATCCCAGGATCTACTGAGATGTATAGCATAAGAAGTTATACACATCCTGGATTTTGTAAGTTTCCCAGCTTCTCCATTGTTCTTGAGTATCATTTTTCAGGGCAATCATAAAAATGGGCAGGGCATGAAGCATTGCACTTCTAAAACTTGCAAATCTGAAACCTGGATTTCCAAACATATCAGAGGTATGTGTAAAATAAGAATACCTATTTTCTGAGTGAAGGCTTGAGGGAGTCCTCTATGAATAAATGACACTATTTTGACTACCTAGAGGTCATTTTTGTGTTCCTTTGTTTTATTTGTTAGACAGGTGGAGCTGCTTGGTATTTAAATTCTACCCAGGAGGAATGTTACTGTATTTCTTTGGATTACCTATCATTTTCTCCACTGAGATGATGAAAGGTTTCAGATGTCAGAGGATAATGGAAAACAGTGAGGTGAAGAGTTCAGCTTTCTGCACATGCATCTGACTTTTACCGTCTTGTAAGACAGAGAATCTAGATTCTTATGGCTTATTAGAATTTTCTAGGAAGCTTTTAATATATATCTTTATACTTGGCTTTACCCCAGTCTTTCTAGGGGTAGGGACTTGAGCATCAGATATTTTCAAAATCCCCAACTGATTCTAATGTGCAGGAGGTTGTGAATCATTGGTCTAATGTCAAGTCAATGATATTCTCCAAAATCAAGTTTCTCATCTATATAATAAAAATGTTGGATTATAAAATGGCTTCCACTTTTTTTTGAAAGGGGACACAAATCTCAATCTATATCTTAAGAAAAATCTTAACATTTGTGGAAATAAACAAAGACCAACCAAATTAGAAAACAAAAGCTTTTATTCAAAGCTTGCTATAGCAAGGGAGTTAGCCTTTGTCCCTTGCATTTTGGCAGAGACTCAAAGGCAGGCAGAGGAGTGGAAAAGTTTTAATTAGTGGAGAAAGAGAAGGTTTCAATTATGCCCTGATCAAAGGCTTTTGGCATGGGGAATGCTACAGGCTAACTAGAAGTGGGACATCCTATGGAATGGCTAAGGGATACATACATTCTCTGATTGGTCCTAAGTTGGACATGGGAACCAAAATTAGAAAAGTTGTAATTTATTAAGTTCCGACTATTCAGAGCTGATTGTTACAGAATTTTTTGCTTCTAGATTGTTACTCGAGATGGCAATCTGGCTTTCCACAAGTCTGACTTACGGCAGGCTGGCTTCCTGATTGGGATCCTAGGCAGGTTGCTGCCAGTTATAGGTCAGAGTTTTATTTTTATATATGGTCTGGCCATGGTCCATTGGTATATTCAGTCTCTCACATTTATAATCCAAATTCCTGTCACTCCCTTCTCCCTGTCTCCCACAAAAAAAATAAAAGGAAAGGAAAGGCTTAAACCTTATCTCATATAATAGTGGAATCTATTCCCTACTTTAGTTCTCATCAATCATCTCCTTCCTCTCTATCCTGGAGGGAAAGCAGAATTGCCTGAATGTACCTCCTGAGTATTGGCAGCCTGCTTTTCTGCAGTTATCTAGCTCATAAGCATTGTTTCAGCATCTCTGAAACATGATCTCCATTCCCGTAGAAGGACCCAAGTTAGAGCAGCTCTTTCTCTGCTTTCCCTGTAACATAAACATGGCTATTAGTATCACGTTATTACTAAAGTTTTACAGATTATGGAAGTGGTGTTGGGATACTTTTAGCAAAAAGAATAAAGCAAATCATAATATAATACCCTGAATTCTAAAATTCATCGACCATCTCCACCACAAGAACATTCTTACTGGTCGTCTTCTGAGATTTCACTTCATACCATGTTGCAGAGCAAACTCCCCATGTCCGCCCTTCCATTAATTCTCTCTTCTGCTTCTTGTGCACACCAAGGTCACTCTTAACACCATTCTGACAGCATTTTGTTTCAAAGGTATAGCAGGAGGAAATTGAGCATGTTTCTTATATTATAATACGGTATAATTTGCATATTTGGTATAAAGCTCTTATCTATATCAGGCCCAAAGAACTTTGCTTTTTGACCAAAAGGCTTATTAAGATATTTTCTCCAAACCAAATTCAACAGTGTATTAGAAGAATCATGTACCATGATCAAGTGAGATTTATCCCTGGGATGCAACAATGATTCAACATATGCAAATGAATAAATGTGATACACCACATTAACAGAATCAAGAATAAAAATTAAATGAACATCTCAACTGAGGCAGAAAAAGCAGTCCAAAAAATCCAATTTTTTAATGATAAAAATTCTCAACAAATAAAGTATAGAATGTTCCTCCATATCACTATCAGGGAAATGCAAATAAAAACATCAGAGAGATTTCTTCACATCTATTAGAATGTTTATTATCAAAAGGTGAAAGGTAAGTGTTAGTGAGAATAGAAAGAAAGGAAACTTTTTACATTGTTGGTAAAAATGTAAATTTGTACAGTCATTAGGAAAAAACATAGAAATTCCTCAAAAGATTAAAAAAAGAACTACCACATGATCTTGAAATCTCATTTCTGGGTATATATCCAAAGGAAATAAAATCAGTATGTTGAAGAGACATCTGCACTCCATGTTCCTTGCAGCATTATTTACTATGGCCAAGATATAAAATCAAGCTAAATCTCCATTAATGGATGAATGGATGGAGAAAATATGGTGTATATATACAGTGGATTATTATTCAACCTTAAAAAAGACAGAAATTCTGCCATTTGCAACAACGTGGATGAACCTGGAGGTGAAATAAGCTATGCACAGAAAGACAAATACTGCATGATTTCTCTTATATGTGGAATCTAAAAAGCAGAACTCATTGAAGTAGAGAGTACAATGGTGGTTGTCAGGAGCTGAGGAGTCAGGAAACAGGAAAATGTTCATTAAAGGGTAAGAAGTTTCAGCTATGTATGGGGAATAAATTTTGGAGTTCTAATACACAGCATGAGGACTATAGTTAATAATACTGTATTGTGTATTTGGAACTCACTAAGAGAGTAGATCTTAAATGGTCTTATCACACCCACATACAAGGTAACTGTGATGTGATGGATATAGTAACTTGCTTGATTGTGGCAATCTTTTCACAATATATGTGTATACCAAAACATCACGTTGTACCCCTTAAATATGTACAACTTTTACTTATCACTTTTAATTCAATGAAACTGAATAGAAGCGATATTTTCTGGAATAAGAGTCTTTGACCTCTAAGGCAATTGCTACTACTCCCCTGGATTATGGGAGAAAAGACAGTTTAGTTTTTTTCTCATTTTTTTTCTTCTTCTTGTATATTTTAATCTCATATGTGAAACAGATAAGATCACCAAATCTGATTCAAATTAAATATAGATCAAGTGTGGGCAAACTTTTCCTAGAAAGGGGTAGTAAACATTTTAGACTTTTCCCATTTTATGATCTCTGTCACAACTCATCTCTGTCACAACTCATCTCTGTCACAACTGCTGCAACAAAAATCTCCTGTTGAATCATAAAGTGGCCACAGACAATACATAAGTAAGTAGTTATAACTGTGTTCCTGTAAAACTTTATTCACAAAAACACATGGTGGGATTTGGGAACAAGACATAATTGGCCAACCTGCCATCTAGAGAGACTGACTCTAGAGCCCTGGTCAATCATCTGCCACTCCTTTCCATATTCCCCTTTCTTGTTCTATTTATGATCCCGTGGAAGTTTCCTCTGAGCTCTATTGATTCTAAGGGATACAGTTTGGAAAGGCACGTTTATGGAAAATACATGAAGAGTCTTAAATTTCAGAATCACATAAGTTTAATGAAAAAATTTGTTAAAGACTAAATGTGTTTTTAAGTCATGTTTTTCATATGTCTGAATTTGGAATTTAGATCTATGGTAGAAGTAGAAACTTTCCACGTGAATTTTTCCAGAAGAATAGAAGTTTCTTGCAGTAGAGTTATACGTATGTATTTCTTGCCCCATTAGGGCTGTGAACTTCTTAAAAGTGGGTATTTTATTTTTCTCATATCTATGCCAAGCATAATAATTTATATAGAATAAGTGGTTAGTTAATATAGAATAATTGCATTGAAAAATTTGCATCCTTCTGTATTTTGAGATTGTTAGCACTTTATCCTAATTATCAGATTAGTCTCTGGAAATAAATGAAAATGAAATTTTTATAAACCCTATTTCCTCTTAAAGTCACTGGCATTCATAGGAAAGATAGTTGCTTAGGATAATTAAATCTTAAATACTTTAGAAGTATCCCATATTTGGAAAATAGCCCAGGAATCACTGGGGGAAAAGAGAGAAAAAATAATTGGTTATGCAGCCGTTTAGACATCCAAACTTCCTGAATAACAACTCCAAATTCTATTTCGTTTTCTTTTGAAAAGAGGGGCTGGCTACTGTTGGGCCAGTCTGACTTCTATGACCACCTTCCTTCTGAAGAGCTTTGCTCATGATTGACTAGGGACTCAAGCTGATTGACAGGTTTTCCCATTGCTGAACATATATTAGAGGCCTGTGTTAATTAAGAAATTCTCCCAACTACTTCAATTTTTTTAGGGTATACCCTTAGATTCTGGTAATTTATTCAAAACCAAACAAATGGGTGCCCAGAATTGTCCATTTTCAGGTTGTATAAGGTGTGTGCTCTGTGCTCTCGTTTAAAAACAAGCAAGTAAAGAAACAAGAAAACTTGAACAACAAAGCTAAAATACAGTTCTCCCATTGAGTGCATTCTAACTTTTTATTTTATTTTATTTTATTTTATCTTTGGTTATTTTTCTTAGGTAAAGAACAGCTTCATTACTGGGTACAAAAAAAAGCAAGATAAAGATCAAAACAAACCATGTGCCACGAGTCCTAAATATATATCACCATTCATTATGAAATGTTTATTCTTAACAATGAAGTGCTTAAAAAACAAAATCAAGCTGAAACTTCTATTTTCCAGTGAAGAACCAAGATGGAGATCATCAACTGGGCAACATTTGTGGTGTAATTTCATGTAGATCACTGTCATAAGCTTATTTTATACACAAGCACCCATGTAAATGTGCACACACTCAATAGCAATATATGTAGCTCTTTCGTGGATCAATTGCCATAAAATATATATTAAAAAATTATGGCTTGCAGCAAGTGCTATTGGTTAATCATTGAATATCCTTAAGTTTTTAAGTGACTCAGAAATATTAGTCATATGGGAGGATAATTTAGCTAAAATGAATACAAGGATTCTTGTACATTCATTCTCATTTCTTTTTTTCTTCTTAGCAGTTGTTTTTCAGGGTACCAACAGGAATAGCTACAGAAAACAGAACACTTAAAACAGTAAAATCAAGGCCTTCTAAGTGTATTAAAAGAGTAGAGAACTATCCAGAGGTAATAGGTGAAGCCAGTGCCTCTCTCTAGCAGAGCACCGCAGGATAAACCAGGAACCATGGCTCTCATGGTTTTGCAGTTAGAGCCAGCGTCCTGCCAGCAATTGAAAGGAGAGATCTTACCCTGTGCTGTAGGTAGCTTCTGAAATGGCTGCCAAGGATCCCTGCTTCCTTGTATTCACGCCTTGTGTAATCATCCCTCTAAGGGTGGGCTGGACCTAGAGACTTGCTTCTAACAATTGTAATTCATCAAAAATGATATGTCACTTCCAAGACTAGATCCCAACAAGGTTTCAGGTTGAGAACCCTTTCTCGCCCTCTCGTGTGCTGGATCTGAGGAAAGCAAGCTGCCATGCTGAGAGCTGCCCTATGAAGAGGCAAGGTATTTTGAGGTTCTGGTACTATGGTAGGCACTAAAAATTTAGCAGTCAGCAAATGATACAACCTCACTCCTTATGGTGCTTTCATTATTACTTAGCAAAAGAGAGCATCGATTCTTTGTCAAGCAGACCTGGGCATTTATTCCAATTTCTACGCATATTATCATGACTTGGAGGAAGTCTTTTAACCTTTCTAATCTTTAATTTCTTCTTTTTTAAAATGTAGGGGTGATAAAAGTACTTCTTCCATGAAATTGCTGGGGGTTAAGTGAGATAACAGTAAGTTTCTTTGTAAAGAGATTATTGTAAGCATTTATAACGAGAAGTACTATGTTGCTGTTCCTCTTATCTGTATCCTGGTCATCATTGTTAGAAAAGGGCAAACACTTTTTTTCCCATTTCTTAACTTCCAGAAAGAGAAGTTGTCCCAGAGTACATTATATGTCTCTCTTGTCTTTTTACTCTTTTCACCTTTAGGGAATTGAAATAATTTATTTTTAAGTCAGTAACTGTGACAGAAGAACACAAAATCACTGGATGAGAGAAATAGATAATTTTTAAAGCAAAAAGATCAGGCAGAGCAGCATCTTGCATCAGTTCCTAGCACCCCAGTTCCCACAGGGCAATATGATGAAGGCCAAGTGTTACCTGTGTGTGTAGAGGGTTACATCACAGGACAGGAACCGTGACAATAGGAGACTGACTTTCTGTGGGGCTGGTGGCACATCTACCTTTCTTGTTACGAGAGACAGAGAAAGAGTGAGAGAGACAGAAAAAACATATTACCCTTGTATAGAAGCAAATATCTTCAGGAAGGAGAAAAAGAGGATATTACGATTATTTATCCTTAGATAGTTCTGGGAAGGTTTGTCTTCATATCTCTCTGGAGGCATACGTTATCTGTAAGACTGCTCTTCAAAGAAAGGCCCTCACCATGTAGGTGCATGGAAAGTCATCTTTCAATAGTAACCTAGTAGGAAATCAAGAAAGAATAATTTACTAGATTGAGCTCAGTTCTACCTTTTTACCTCAAACAGTGGCCTTTCCACTGGAATCATTGACGGTATAGAGAAAAACTTGATTCAGGAGGGTTAATAAGCATGAGGTTCCAGCAGCAGGTCCAGTTGGCTCTCACACACATCGTTCATATTCATCACAACAGCCCCATGTCACCGAAGCAATTATTTTGTTCAATATGATTTATTTAAAAATACATGAAGATGTAATTTAGTTTGGAAACATTTTCATCCAAAATCATGAGAGTCAGTTTTAGATGTTTAAAGCTATTGCTTATGTATCATCTCAACTAATTTCTGGAAGTTGATTTAAAAAAAAAAAACACTTTTGTATTGGGTAACCCTCATATGAATGTGTAAATTGTTGCTGTTTTGTTAACTAACTTGTTTTTAGTTGTCTGGATTGCAGCAGGGCCCATTACTAAAGCAAATAATAGGGTGGCCCAACGTTTTACGACAAGATAGAGAAGGATCCTCTAAGCATGTGAGAGGCTGAACGTTGAAAAATAAGTAGGAGCTGACCAAGGTGGTAGGGGTAGAGTGAGGAGAAGGTTCTAAGTATAAAGAAGAGCAAAGGAGTGATCACTGCACTGAGAAAGGACTTGGAAATGACGTGTCTCTGAAAAAAGGCCACTATGGCAGAACTTCCTAAAGGAAGGGAAAAAGGCATCAATATGAAGCCAGAGAAGGAAGCCAGAACTGGATCCTATAAGGACTTAGAGTGCAGGTTGAGGATTGTACCCTTTATCTTAAGAATTACTATAGTATAGTAATAAGGACACTGGGATAATTGCATAATCGATTGCAAGAGAACAGAAATTGATGAGGAAACCAGTTAGCAGGCTATAGCAGTTGTCCAAATGAGGGACATAAATGGAAGAAACTTCCTGGGTTGGGCAGGAACTTTCCAATATAGAGACTTTCCCTCCACAGAAAGAAGAAAAACAGGTCCTCACTGCCCTATAGGACAAACCAGAACACGACGGCCAGGATTCAGCTCCTAACCAATCAAATAGAGGATTCAAAAATACCCAATCAAGAGGAGGATTGAAAAACAGACTCTTCTGAATGGACAAAGGGAGAATATGGGAGGGAACAACATGGGAATATAAGTCAGACTAGCAACGGCACCCTCTTCCGGGTCCCCTTCCACCACGTGGAAGCTTTACTTTTGGTTTGCTCAATAAACTGCGCTGCTGCACACTCTTCTGGCCTGTGAATTTCTTTGAGCTGTAACACTCACTGCGGGACCGTGGCCCACTATTCCATTCTTCGGAGTCAGCAAGGCCAAGAACCTAAGCTCAACTCCAGTTACACAAGCAGGTAATTAAACCGGCCCAGCAGAGTAGGTGACATTAGAAACAGTGGAAAGCAAGTAGATTCCAGATATATTTAGACAAAAGGATTATATTCAGATTAATTCTCCAGAGTGAATTCTGTGTCTTATACACTTAAGGATCCACAGTAAATGTTCACCAATCGTGCTGAGCACATCACCTACCGAACATTTTTTGATTTATCTAGCTTCTTGCTTTTTTGTAGAAAACCAAGAAAAGACTGCACAGAACATTCTTTCTCAAGTAAAAAGTAAGCTCAAAGCTAAATTACACAAAGCAGGTAACTAATTAAGAAACAATTGTTTAGACAACTGTTGTAAATCTCCACTTTTCCTGGTTAACAGTGGAAGGCAGAGTATTTGTTTTGATATGTATAACGTTTCCTGTGGGGAAAAACAATAAAAAAGTGTCTGGAAGTCATAAAGTTGGATAGTGCTATCTGAGACACCCTTTCAACAATGAAAATTATAACCATATGACTCCTCCATCAGCTAACAGCTGTTGGAAAAAGGCCTAAGCCTTTCTTTCTGTGTACTGAGTCCAATTAAGCTGTAAAATCCTGACATACTAAATTGGTCTGTGGCCCATATTTTGAAGAGCTTTAAATAATTACTTACTCCTGCTGGAGAAGCTCAGTTTTTAAAGACATTTGGGTTATTTAATTGGGTGGCATTCATCCTTGCACTTATAGTTTCTACTAGGGGTGATGTGGTTGTGATAAATCCATTATAAATTGATTCTATGAAGACAATCCTTAAAAGCTAACACTTCCTTAAAAGCTCCAGGGATTATGTGTCTGTAGCTTGAAGAAATGACCAGTAGATGGGGCTCGGAATAATAAAATTGTAGCCAAAAATAAATAAATAAATAAAAAGTAAAATGATCAATTTATGTATTGTTTAGTCACAAATTCTTATTGAGCCACCACTGTGCATCTTGGATTATGCTAGGCACTAGGAGTACAAGAAATTAAAAAAAATATGGTTTATTAAGGTATACGGATATATTTTTTAAAATTATAATCATGGCAATGAGTCTAAATTAGAAGCATGCTGATGTTACAGTGTTGACGCAAAGAAAGAAGTGGTCATTTATCTGAGGTTAGAATTAAAATGTTTATGGAAGCCTGTCATTTGAGCTGAGTGTTAAAATGAGTGTATTTAGTATGAAAGGGAGAAGGCATGCATTTGAGACAGAGGGATCAGTATATGCAAAGCACAGCAGATTGAACTTTATATGCTTTCGGAAAGAAATACGATTTTGGCTAGGTTGAAGTAACCAGAAAAGAGGAAGTTAACCATTAAAGAAATTATGGGAAACAAAGACCCAAGGAGGCCAAGGGAAGCAAAGAGTTTAGCGATAGTTAAGGCTGGAATAAGCATGGACACAATCAGAAAAGACAAAGTAAACCATTAAAGAACCACAAATTCAAATGAATTCATGGGTTAGGCAGAAAGGTGTCTAACATGAAGAATGCCAGGAGGTAAGATATAGGAAACTGTTTAGTTCTGTATTGAAGGGGATGAGTGAAGCCACTAATTGAATACATTCAAATCTAATGTTTTTAAAACACCAAAAAGTGCCAAACAAAATGTATCTGAAGAATGAATGGATTAAGAGTTTTAAACTCCTACGTTATCTTAAGGTGCTGAGATAATTAACAAACAAATTCAAGGAGAGTGACATGATCAGATTTAGTTTTAAAACAGTCACCATGGCTATAGAGTGAGGAACAAACTGAGATGATACATCTATGGAGGAGGAGAAATGATATCCTACATGCCTGATAGGTCTACCAGAATAATTGTTAAAAAAATTAGTGCCCATCTAGTAGGCTATTATAAAAGATAAGGTGGTAGATTGGACTGAGATCAATGGTGATAGCAATAAGTATATATTTCTAAGAACCACTTAAAATACACAATTTTTAAAAAATGTGATAATATGATAAGATGTGGTGGAGAAAGGGATGAAAGAAAGCTCCCTATTTTACAGCTATAATTACAATCAAATATATTGTTTGTTCAAAAGGGCATGTCAGATTAGCATATTTTAAAAGGAAAAACGCTGCCAGAGGTTAACAGCTTAAATCAAAACCTAAAGTACTCAGATGAAAATGAGAAAGTCAGATTTTAATTAGTTCCTTTTTTGACTTTTAATATTTGAGGCATTGGAAGGCATGCAAGTGGAGACACCTCTGGGCCTGTAGTGTCTGTAGAGAGCTGTATTTAGAGATATGGAGTACAAAATGAGGATATTTAATTTGGGGTTAGTGGTATGAAGGTAGGTAAAGCTATGGAAGTGCATGGGCTATTTCCAAGGGCAGTAACAGAGTGAGACCACAAAAGAGCTTAGTATGGAACCTTGAATAACAACAAACTTAAAGGAAGATCAGATGGTGAAGAACTGACACAAAACTGAAAGAAGTCCATTGAAATGATGGGAAACAAAGACCTACGGAGGCCAGGGAACAATGGCTTCTTCCCAAAAGAGAACTCACTCAGATTGTGAAATGTTTCAGAGTGCTACACAAGTTAAACAGAGACTGAAAAGTGTCCATTGTGTTCAAGAACAAGGAGCCTGGAGAAGGTTGCAGCAAGTTGAGTTTTCAGCAAGCGGTAGGGTAGTAAAACAGATTATGATTTAAATTTGAATGGCAAGTGTGAAAATGTCGATGGAAAGTAGAAGCATCACAAACAAAAGTTTGGATGGGAAGAGAATTTAGAACAAGAGCAGAAAAGGATATTAACAGACAACTTTGAAATAATGAGATCATTTTTAATGGGAGGGAAGGTTTACATAAAGAAATTAGAACTATAGATATATCAAGACCTGTATTCAATTAGTGGTTTAATTATTTAAAAACATTTTTTCTGCTTCTCTTAAGCAGTAACCATTGCAAACTACTCATTTTGAAATCCACTTAATCTCTAAGCCTCCTTTGTAGGAATTCTTCTGTCATCATCCCAGCACCTATAAGGAACTAACTAACATAATTGGGAGGGGGTAGGAGAGTTTTGAAAAACTGTGTGATCAACGTGTGTACTACAATACGTGGAAGAACATTGCCAAAGGTTAGGTGATTTAAATCAACACCGAATGTACACAGTTGATGATTAGAAAGTCAAATTTTAATTAAATCCTTATGGATTTGTGAAAATTCTTAATTATTGTTGCTGTTTTATCCTTAACTAAATTTCACTCTATTGAAGTACAGCAGAGCCTTCAGTCTCCTGGTGGAATGCATGTAACCTGAGCAATTCATTATAAAGCAGTTTCTCTAGGAGAGCTTAGAAGTGTCAGAATTTATGAACATCCAAGCCCATTTGATTTGATTTTGTCTCTGGAGCATGTTTGCTAATGCACAAATATTATTCATTAATGTGCTAAGGGGTGTTCGCTAAAGCTGAGTGGTGGAATTACCTTAACTTTAGCAGAAAAGCTATCACTCTTTTCAAGCAAAGAATGCTGATGAGAAAAGTCTCCCAAAGAGTTGTGATGGTGTAGAACAGCCCCAATAAATAAAGTGCATGTTACTGCTTTTGTTAATGCCCATGGGAAAATAATTACATCTACATCTTTTCCATTAATCTGTTTGGGAGATTTTATGTCTAATGAAAATGATGGAGAAATTCAAAAGTGGGCCTGAAGAATGATTAACTTTTAAGTCCCTTGTTATTATTCCTTTTAGTCAAGAAGAAAAGAAATGGGCTGTCTAAACTCTGGCAGTATGAACTCTAATTTTGTCATACTGTTTAGTGCGTAGGAAAAAATACTGCTCCCTTACTTTATATGTAACAAGATAAAAATATATGTATCATGTAAGAAAAGCCCAGAAGTTGCCAGTTTAGGGCTGGCATAGCAGCTTCATGTTAACTGGGACCCAGGATCCTCCATTCTTATTGCTCTGCCATCCCGAGAATGTTGTCTCAAGATTGCTGACTTAAAACAGCTCCTTGTGCTCCTACTATCACATTCATATTCCAAGTAGAAGAAAGGAGAAAGGGAAAAAAGAGAAGTGTACCTTCTCCCTTTTCTAAATTTACAGTTCATTAAAATATCACATAATAAAGAAACACACTCAATGTACAGCTTGATAAATTCTCACAAAGTAAAGACAAACTTTTAACCGTCACCTAGATCGAGATATGGAACACTATCAACACTCTAGAAGACACTCTTATGACCCTTCTCGTAATTATTCCCCTCAAAGGTAATCATTATTCTGAATTTCAAAACCATAAGTTAATTTTGCTTACTTTTGAAACTTACATAACTGCAATCATAGTGTATGTTCCTTGTTTTTCTCAAAACCATGTTTGTGATATGTATTTATGGTTACTTCTAATTATAGTTTTTCTCTCATTGATATATGGCATTGTACTGTAAAAATATACCACAATTTATCGGTCGATTCTTCTAACATTGGGTAGTTACTACAATAGTGCTATTTATGAACATTGCTTTATGTGTCTTTGTAAACATATGTCTGTATTTCTGTGGAGTATAATTAGATTGAGAAGGCCAGAGTATAACTTGTGTCTATCATCAGCTTTAGTAGCTATTACTAAACAGTTTCAAGAGGTGTTGTACCAATTTATATAACTTCCATCAGTGTGTGGGAATTACAGTTATTTCATAACCTCGGCAACACTTCACATCATCTTTCTTTGTAATTGTTAGCAATTCTGATAGGTTTTCAGATTTTAATTCACATTTCTCTGGTGTCTATGCATGAGGATCTTTTCCATATATTTAATAATTATTTGAATATCTTCTTTTGAAAAGTGTCTGCAAAAGTTTTGGCCAATTTTTCTTTTGAGTCTTTACTTTTTCTATAGATCTGTAAAAGTTCTTTGAATATCCTGGATGTGAGTTCACTGTGGCATATATGTTTTGAAAATATCCATCATAACTCTGTGGCCTGTATTTTCATTCTCTGAAACTTTTGATTTCATTTTATTTTAATCTAAGTTTTCATTTTTAATAAATTTCATTTCACCAATATTTTCCAGTATAGGTAGTTCTTCTTGTGTTTCATTTTTTAAAACTTTGCTTTCTTCAGAACTACCGTGATATTATTACTGTTTTTGTCCAAATAGCTAATTATTTTAACATTTATATTTAGATCTGTAATCCATCTGGAACTGGTTTTTATCTGTGGTGTGAGGTAGAGGTAAAGTTTCAATTTTTTTTTCCCATATGGAAACTCTAATACATTAGCATCATTTATTGAAAGGCCTTCTTTGTCTTATGCACTGCAGTGTTATAAAGCAAGCAACTTTGTTATAAAGCAAATTATTATATTTGTGTGAATCTGCATTGAATCAGGTCTCTTTTCTCCCCATTTCTTCTGTCTATTGGACTTTCTATGTACCAACATAATATTATCTAAATTACTGTAGTTTCATGACAAGTTTTGATTTCTGGAAGCATAAGTGCCCTGGCTTTGTTCTTCAAGATTGTCTTGGCTATTCTTAGCTCTTTGTATTGCAATGTAAGTTTCAAAATAAGCTTGTAAATTTGTAAGAAAATAATGGAGAGATTTTGATTAAGACTGCCTTGACTTTATAGATAAATCTGATGGAGAGTTGCTATCTTTATAGTTTTGAATCTTCTAACCTGTGAACATCGCATTTGCTTCCAATTATGTAGTTTTCTTTATCTCAGTGGTATTTTAGGCCTTTTGTTGCTGTTTTTGTTGCTAGTTTGTTTTAGTGTATATGCCTCATATCTTTTACGAAAACAATTAATGGGTTATATTTATTATAATATAGCAAATATTATCATTTAAAATTAACTTTCCTGTTTGTTACTAATATATAGCAATACAGTTGATTCTACATATTTACAATATTTAGTGACCTTGTAATATTCCCATATGAATTCACTTGGATTTTTCTACCTGCATCATTATGTCATCTATAAATAATTACAGTTTTATATTATCTGTTTCATTTATTGTTTTACATCCTATTTTTATCTTTCTCTATTGCACAATTCTAGCTTCTCAAATTCAAGGTGGATACAAATGTTGGTAACACGTGTCGTTGTTTTTTCCTCCAGTTTAGGAAAAGCTCTAAATATTTCACCTTCAGTGTAAAGTGGTATAATTTTCACAGGTAACTGTTAATCAGGGCAAAGAGTTTTCTTTTTAATTTAATTCAATGAGTAGTTATCATGACTGAGTTTTTAAATTTAACAAATAATTTTTATTTACCTATTAAGATAATCATATGATTTTCTTCTTTATTCAGTTAATTTGATAAATTGTACTACTTATATTTTTATTATTAGGCTAAGTTAACATTCCTCAAATTAAATTGTAGTGAAGATTAATGAAGTAATAGGTTATTAGGCAATATTTGAATGTGAGATGAGGCTGGTTAGACAGATAATATAGCTCTACCTATAGATATAAATAAAGATGTATACCTTACCCGAACAGGGAGATAAATATTACCAGAATTACAGTGATGTGTGTGACTCAGAGCCATGAATCCCATATCTGTATTACTTTCTTCCATCGTATAAGCCAGGATATGGCAACCACCACCACCCGCCTCTTAAAAGCACACATCCCACACAGATATATCCTAAGTAGCATTTCATTTATCTCTCTCCAAAACAAACTTGGCTTTTCAGGAAGTATTGAAAACTGATCAAAGTAGCAAGCACCAAATTGCAACTTGATGTGCTGTGTTTTCCAGAAAAATGCCATTTCCAGAAGAATGCCATTTTTTAAAGCATCTGAATTATAATTTTTTTAAAAAAAGAAAAGAAGATACAGATCTATGATAAAAGGAGATTTTATGTTAAAAATGAAATACTCCAACTCTATATTAGTTTTCTTATTTTTAAATTTGTGAGTTTTGAAGACCAGAAGAATTGTGTTCTAATATAGGTTGTGCCCTGTCACTTGATAATTAATGAGGCTTAATTAGTCATTCTCCTTTTGTGAACTACCATTTCTTAATTTGTTAACCATGAATAATGCTATCTTTTGTGAAAGGAAAATAAATCTTTGGGCCTCAAAATCACTAAGCTAAAGAGGAAAGTCAAGCTGGGAACTGCTCAGGGAAAACCTGCCTCCCATTCTATTCAAAGTCACCCCCTTGCTCACTGAGATCAATGCATATCTGATTGCCTCCTTTGGAGAGGCTAATCAGAAACTCAAAAGAATACAACAATTTGCCTCTTATCTAACTCTGACCTGGAAGTCCCCTCCCCTCTTCCAGTTGTCCCACCTTTGCTTCGAGTTGTCCTGCCTTTCCAGCAGACTGGACCAATGTTAATCTTACACATGTTGATTGATGTCTCAGGTCTCCCTAAAATGTGTAGAACAAAACTGCTCTGACCACCTTGCACATACGTTGTCATGACCTCCTGAGGCCATGTCATAGGTGTGCATCCTCAATCTCGGCAAAACAAACTTTCTATATTAACTGAGACCTGTCTTTAATACCTTTAGGGGTTCACACTTTCAAAGGATTGTAATGGGTTAGAGACAATAAAGTCTAGCACAAAGCCTAGATATGATTGTTACTTAAAAGTTATTATTCCTATTAATATTCTATATAACAGTTTTTCTTCTTCATATACTGATTTCAATTTTCAGCTCAGGAGAGTTTCTCCCAATTCATCCCTCCATGCTTTACTATCCCCAAATTTTATCTCTCTCATTAGAAAGAAAGAATAAAATCACCCTGTGGTGGGCACCTCTCTAACATGGCTCTCAGTGACCCCTTCCTCCTGGTACTCACTCCCCAGTGTAATCCTCTTTTCTTGAATGTGGGTAAGACCAACTGACTGACTTCTAATGCACTGAATAGGTAAACGTTATGGGATGTCACTTTCTAGGATAGGTTACAAAAGACTGTTGACTTCATTGTAGCCCACACTCTCTTCCCTTGTTGTTTTCTCACTTGGAGGAAACCAGCTGCAATATTGGGAGCTGCTCTCTGGAGTATGCCACATAGCAGGGAATTGAGGGAAGCTTCTGATCAACAGCTCATAAGGAACTAAGGCCCTCAGTCCAATGAACTGTGAAGATCTAAACCCCACCAACAATCACTTAACTGAGCTTGGAAATGACTCTAACCCCAACTGAGCCTAAGATGACTGTAGCCCCTACTGTCCATCACCTTGATCCAACCTTCATAGAGACCTAGAGCCAGAGGACTTGAAACATATTCCTCTGTGCTATAACAAATGTCACTATGTTTTTAGGCAAGCCACTAAATACGGGGGTAATTTGTTATACAGCAATAGATAACTATTACAAACCTATTCACACCAAACTTTTATTTCCCAAACTGCTCTATTTGTAATAATCCCTTTCTAGGGTATTTAAAAATACGTGAGTGGTTAAAGACACATTTTATACACAAATGTATTCTTACAGTTATTTCCCTCTACCTCCATATGCTAGAAACTGAACAGGCAGTAATTTTCTTCTAAGTAGATGTCAAATGGGAAAAAATCTATATATGATGCTCTAGTAGGAATAAAAAACACTGTATTTTAATAAATACATTATATAATAAAGTAGTCAGAAAACAATTTTGAGCAACTAATTTTTGAAAAGCAACCTGAGAAATACAGTAAGAATACAATGTAGTTCTCCTCCCAAGGGGGTTACATTCTAATTAGTAAAATAAGAGCTATACAGATGAAAAGCCTACTAGTACTCTAGGTAGTAAATGACAAATAAGTCACACAGACAGTAAGCAATCTGGAAATAAAAAGAAGAAAGTAGTTTCCCAGGGTAAGCAGAGCATGCTCTGGTTCTTTAAAATGATTAGAATTAGAAATTAACATAATTTTGTAGTTTATACTTTTATAAATATGAGAACTCCTTTCCTTATGTTTATTTCATTCCTGATTATCTATAAGCAGGGATAGCATTTTATTTTACTCATGAATCTATAGAATGGTAAAAACAAAGAAAAGGTTAAATAGTTCCCCTGAGAATAGTGGCAGTGTTCGAATAAAAACTAATGTCTCAAGACTCTTAAAATAGATTTTACAAATATCAATTAATTTTTAAAATTAGCCAAAAGAGAAACAAAACTATCAAAATATATCTATCATATTACTTGTTTGATATTAAAAAAACAATTTCAAAATTATAATTTGTTTTAAAATTTTAGTTTTCCATAAAATTTTTAAACATGATTCCATTTTAAACTTTAAAAAATTTATAGAATGGTGAAATAGGAATCGTTTTTGGTGGTACTGATGAAATTGCCTAGTAAATTATTTTGTTTGTGCTCTGGGAGAGAGTTAATACTCAGAGAAGTGTGCAGAAAGAAAGGAAGTTCTGGTGCCATAGAAGTAAATTTTTATTTTAAGTTCAGGGGTACATGTGCAGGTTTGTTACATAGGTAAACTTATGTCATGGGGGTTTGTTGTACAAATTATTTCATCATCCAGTATTAAGTCTAATATCCATTAGTTATTTTTTTCTGATTCTCTCCCTCCTCCCACCATCCACCCTCTGAAAGGACCCAGTGTGCATTGTTCCCCTCTGCGTGTCCATGTGTTCTCGTGATTTAGCTCCCACTTATAAGTGAGAACATGTGGTATTTGGTTTTCTGTTCCTGTGTTAGTTTGCTAAGAATAATGGCCTTCATTTCCATCCATGTCCCTCCAAAGGACATGATCTCCTTCCTTTTTATGACTGCATAATATTCCATTTTGTATATGTGCCACATTTTCTTTACTCTATCACTGATGGTTATTTAGGTGGATTCCATGCCTTTGCTATTGTGAATAGTGCTGCAATAAACATTCATGTGCATGTGTCTTTATGTAGAATGCTTATATATCCTGGTGTACCCAATAATGGGATTGCTGGATCAAATGGTAGTTCTGTTTTTAGGTCTTTGAGGAATCATCATACACTCTTCCACAGTGTATGGAATCATCATACACTCTTCCACCCACCCCCCAACAGTGTATAAGTGTTCGAGTATAAAATGATAGCATCTGTTATTTTTTGACTTTTTAATAATAGACATTCTGACTGGTATGAAATGACATCTCATTGTGGTTTTGATTTCCATGTCTGTAATATCAGTGATGTTGAGCTTGTTTTCATATGATTGTTGGCCACATGTATTTCTTTTGAAAAGTGTTCATGTCCTTTTCCCACTTTTTTATGGGGTTGTTTTTTTCTTGTTAATTTGTTTAAGTTCCTGATATATAGGCTAAATATTAGACTTTTGTCAGATGCATAGTTTGGAAAAATTTTCTCCCATTCTCTAGGTTGTCTGATCACTCTGTTGATAGTTTCTTTTGCTCTGCAGAGCTCTGTAGTTTAATTAGATCTCCATTTGTCAATGTTTGTTTTTGTTGCAATTGCTTTTGGCATCTTTGTTATGAAATCTTTGCCTGTGCCTGAAGGGTATTGCCTAAGTTGTCTTCCAGGATTTTTATAGTTTGGGGTTATACATTTAAGTCTTCAAGTTATCTCGAGTTAATTTTTGCATATGGTGTAAAGAAGGGGTACCATTTCAATCTTCTGCATGGCTAGACAATTATCCCAGCACTATTTATTGAATGGGGAATCCTTTCCACATTGCTTGTTCCTTTTTTTTTTTTCAGGTTTGGCAAAGATCAGATACTTGTAGGTGTATGGTCTTATTTCTGGGTTCTCTATTCTGTTCATTGGTCTACTTGCCTGTTTTTCTACCAGTACCATGCTGTTTTGGTTGAACATTGGTAAGAAGAGAGGAGCATGACATTTTAAACAGAAAGAAGTAATTAAGGCAAATTCAATGCAAAGATTTAGTATAATAAAGACTTAGGAATATCCACCAGATTTAAAAATTTGGATGCTCTTTTTGATTTTAGTGAGAGATAATATTAGTAGAGTCAGGGGACAAGGCTGGAATTCAATAGATTAAGAATGAACATGAGGTCAGAAAGTGGTAACAATGAGAATAGATCATGTTTTGAAGTCAGATGAGAAATACAAGAAAAATATTTGATTATTGGCGGAGGATTTAGGCTCAGGGTTATACAGAGACAAAGAAATGTAAATCTAAACTAGGACCTAGGAAGTGGATAAGTACAAGGAAGAGAGAGTAGAATGCCTTTGAATAGAAGGGACACTACATCTGAGAATGAAGAAAAATATTACAAAGACAGAAATCAAAACAAATATGTGGTTGCATAGTTGTGTAAGAGAAGCTTTGTATTTGAGAAAGATGATACCTGATTGCATTTCTGTCTGCTGAATATGATGAGCCTGGGGGCATAGAGGTTAAGGGCAGTGATGAAAAGACCTTGGAGAACATGTTGGCCAAAACAACTGGAGGGTTTGGCCATGGCTTAGAAGATACACACTAGATGGAGACCAGAAACATGTAGTGGCACCAAATAGCTTTTTAAAAATATATAATTTCTTCCATTGCTATGCAGTATTATTAATATTTTATTATACTAAGACTTGAACAAGGGATCCTATTAGTGCTTGTGATGTCTTGTTTCCATAGCTCTATGTGACATTCAGGTCTTTTGTTTTAAGACGAGTTTGCTACCCATTAGTCTAGAGACAGCTCTGAAAAATTAAAGTTAGAAAATTATCCACATATTGGTCATTGAACAAATACTCTTGATTAAAGTTATCTTATTTAGATGATATAAAATTAATTTACTGTTTTGTCCTCTGTGGCACAGGCATGAGGTGACACAGAGGCATAAGTTATTGGCAGGTCTCAAAATAAATGCCTTATATAAATTTATTGGAAGGTTATTTCTCTTTTGGACTGGATGTGGGGGATTGTGGTTATCATACATGTTTTTTTTTTTTTTTTTTTTTTTTTTTTTTTTTTTTTTTTTTGAGACCGAGTCTTGCTGTGTTGCCCAGGCTAGAATGCAGTGGTGCGATTTCAGCTCATTGCAAGCTCCGCCTCCTGGGTTCCAGGGTTTCACCGTGTTAGCCAGGATGGTCTCCATCTCTTGACCTTGTGATCCACCCACCTCGGCCTCCCAAAGTGCTAGGATTACAGGCGTGAGCCACTGTGCCTGGCCTGTACATGTCTTGTATTAGCCTGGACATTAAGATCACTCATGAAAACATTTTCTCACTTTACTGTACACTTTATAAACTCTGTACACTTAGGCTACACTGCATTTTATCCTGCTTTTTTTTTTGTGGGGTGACAGAGAAAAGCATTATGAATTATGACCTAGAAGGGATGTTAAGAGGCATTTGAGACCTAGAAGTAACCACCCCAGATACATTATGGTTTATATTGAACATTGGATGCATTATTTTAAATAAAATGTCAAATGGGCTTTTATTTTTAAAGGCAAAACAAATAGTTTATGTATAACCGTGGGCAAAAAAAAAAAAAAAAGTGCTTGGAAACCAATGTTTAAAATGTTCCTTTTGTTGAAATAACTTGTCCCAACATACAAGTGAAGTCAGAGGCTATTATTGTAGTGAGAGACAATATGTGCAGAATAAACACCTTAGACCCAGAGTTATGAAATGGGGGGGATTTGAAGCTCAGTTCTGATGTTTACTAAATCCTCGCTTTGGGGCAAGCCATTTAACCTGAGTTAGAATAGCCTGATCTAAAACAAGAATAATGTCTATTGTCCAGGGTTATTTGGTGAAAAGATAATGACATAGTATTTCTGAAAGCATTTGGTGAAATATAAAGTACTCGAAAATACTGTCTTTATTTAAGGGGTCCTGCACAAAAATTTCCATCTATAAACCTATTTTTTTAAAAAAAAAACATTTCTGCCAATCTGGAGGCTTTGGGCCCCAGGTTATGTACAAGTTAAGTAGGTAAGTCAGAAGGGCAAGAAGGGCAAGCCTAAATTTATGTGGGATGTATTTTGATTTTTCATGATATGAAGTGTTTTTAAAAATTTAAAGAACACAGAAGAAAAGAAATAAAAAATAATTCCTGTATTTACAGTTCTGTCACTTCAGACAATGTGATTTTTTTCTCAATCTTCTTTCCAATTTGTTACATTTGAGAATTTTTTTTTGGAGGGATATATGTAAGTAAAAAGTAAAATGTTCTATGTCACTGTCTTCACAGACATGACTTCAAAGGCTCTATTGTGTGAGACTTATCACTATGATTGATTAATTAGTATATAGTCACGCATTGCTAAGCAAGGGAGATACATTCTGATAAATGCATTGTTAAGCATTGTGAGAACATTCACAAACCTAGATAGTACAGCCTACTATACACCCAGTCTATATGGTATAGTCTATTGCTTCTAGGCTACAAATCTGTACAGCATGTTACTGTACTGAACACTGTAGGCAATTGTAACACAATGGTAAGGATGTGTGTATCTAAACATAGAAAAGGTACAGTAAAAATAAAGTCTAAAAGATAAACAATGACATACCTGTATAGGACTGTCACCAGGAAGGAAACTTGCACAACTGAAATTTGCTCTGGGTGAGCCTGTGAGTGAGTGATGAGTGAATGTGAAGGCCTAGGACAATATTGTTTGGTACTGCACACTTTATAAACACTGTACACTTAGGCTACATTGAATTTATTTAAAAAATTCTTTCAATAATAAATTAATCTTGGCATATGGTCACATTTTTGCTTTATAAACTTTAATTTAAAAAAACTTTTTGACTCTTTGCAATAACGCTTAGCTTAAAACACTAACACATTGTTTAGATGTATAAAAATATTTTCTTTTAAAGTATCTTTATTCTGTAAGCTTTTGTCTATTTTAAACACGATTTTTTAACTTTTTAAATGTTTTTGTAAAAAACTACGACACAAATACACACATTAGCCTAGGCCTACCCAGGGTCAGGATCATCAGTATGACTGTCTTCCACCTCCACATCTCGTCCTGCTAGGTCTTCAGGGACAGTAGCACCATGGAGCTGTTATCTCCTATGCTAACAATGCCTTCTTCTGGAACACCTCTTGAAGGACAGACCTGAGGTTGTTTTACAGTTAACTTTGTTTTCAAATAAGTAAAATGAGTAGGCTCTAAAATAACACTAAAAAGTATAGTATATACATAATCATATATAGTATACATATAAAAGTATAGTAAATACATAAACTAGAAATAGTCATTTATTATCATTAACAAATATAATATTTGTTGTTAACTAAAAGGTTGTTATATGAAGCATGACTGTATTTACAGCTTTTTATTTTTATGTGTAATGTAAGTGAATCTTTGCTATATTTAGCATTATTTTTTTTAATTCCAATGACCTTGAATTTTATTGTTTTATTTCAAAGAGAATGTCTTTAAAAAATCAATTAAAATAATAAATGTACTACAATAGACTGCTCTGGCTCCCAGAAAATTGTAATCTTCATGAGGGCTCAGGTGGTGTAATTAACCTTTGCCATCCCCAGCAGTACTTGACACAGTATTTCAGCAGAGTTGGCACCTATTATTGGAGAGTGAATTGTTTGTTAGCTTCAGTGTATTTCATTCCCCAAGCTAGAGAAATTGCTGTCCTCCAATAGCTATGTAGAGAAATGATGTCATGGCAGGGCCTATAATATTTTGTCATGATATTTTATTTCAAGGCTAGTTGGGCAAATGATAATGTAGGCAGAGCACATTCACAAATTGGATAAACAGATGGGCTTTTATTGCCGGAAATAATTTGTTCTTGGAAGAAACATCTAACACCAGTGACTGCCATATTTTGACAGAAGAATGACATTTGGGATTGGAGTCATAACTGACCTGGCACATTTTGGATGGATAGCATTGCTGAAACAAATGAGTAGGAATTATTTATTAATATAGTAAATTTAGTACGTTATTTACCGGAAATCCCATTTACTTGCTTATATTTTTTATTTCTAAATATGTTATCTTATATGTGCAATAAGTACATGAATTCTCACTGGTGCTAAAACCAATGAGCTTAGCTTGTACATTAGACAGTTGAGTTATAATTTCAAATAACTACAATCAGGAGCATTTCATTACTGCAAGCCCGTGGACTGAAGTACAAATCTGATATGACATTTTATTACCCACTTAATGCTGGTCCAGAATCGTCAAAATTCCAGATAAATGATTTAGCATTATTTGCATTTTTTTATATTGTGAACAATTTAAGGTTAGGAACCACTTCTCATATATTTTATATACTTTATTTCCATCTCCCAAAGCCTAGTGCTGATGTCATAAACAAATTCTAAATACCTGCTTGCTAGCTGATAAATTGATGAATGGATGAGTAGATGGATGGATGAAAGGACGGCACAATCACCCACCCCATCACTAGTCATTGTCAAACTTGTTCCATTTTTTCTTTAGTGCCTAAACTTCTTTGAATACTAAAATTTTAGTAACGAATGGATTATTCTTTTGCTTACTTTCCTATTCACTCAATAGCTGAGTTATGAAAGTCTGTCATATGTTTAATACTGCAAATGGGCTCAACCTGCAAACACTGCAGAAGGCCAGTTGCTGCTTTAAGATTATAATCTAGTAGACATATGGCATGTGCCACAGAAGTGTTAGAGGGTGTTACTAAAGTACTTACGATGGATGCCTAACTTGAATGGGAAAAGTAGTAGAGGAGAGGGACAAGAGATAGAGGTAGAGAGAGAGAGAGAGAGAGAGAGGTGGAGAGAGAAGAAATTCAGCATTGAATTCACTCAGTAAAGATTATTTAGAGCATCAACTCTGTTTCAGGCATTATTGATAGACCTCAGAGTAGCAATAGTGAACAAGGAAGACACAGTTGCTAACCTGGCAATCTTCACAGTTTAAAGAGCAAAACATAGACTCTAGTAGAAGAAAAGGATTGATACGTAAGTCAAGCAATAAGTGGTGAATTTCAGAGGGGATTAGACACCCAAATATCTGAAATAAATGGACAACTGAACTGGAAGTATTGTTTATGTAGAAATCAACCTTTACAATGTCCTCAAAAAGCCTAATCAACTTGAAATTAATCAATCTAGGGGAAAGTCATAATACCTTATTAAGCATCTACAATACAATTGACATTTTCCCAACACTATCTTTTTAGCCCTCTTTGAAGTGACTCTAAACTTTATTTTGAAGATGAGGAAGCTAAGATGAAGAGATATTAAAAATTTTACCTAAATAGTCATGCAAGTTTATGGTTAAGTAGGGATTCACAGTGATATTACTAAGTTCTGATATTTATTGACCACTTGCGTTTATAATAAGCCTCTTAAGCCTAAAAGAAAAGAGAAACTGCTGAAAGTTTTCTCCTGACCAGGATCTTGCATTTCAGCATTTGAGTAAGAAAAATGCATTGCAATAAAATAAAGAAGCGAGAGTAAAAATTCAAGAGAAAATATAGTTAAATACATTTATAGATTTAAGAAAGTGTTTATTGCTTCTTTTAATATAAATGTTCAACCTGATTTTCGGAGTGAAATGTTCTCAGTTTTCTATTAACATCACTTTTATCAGCATATCTCATTACCCAACTCTGTGCTTACTATAATTTATAGATGCCCAGGGCTCCAGGAAGGGAATGGCCTCTGTCAATACCATATAAATAAGACATAAGGCTGCTAGGATTTTCAAATCAGAGGAATAAAATTATTTTAGGTTTTGTATAGAAAGAGTGACAGATTATAGATTTATTTATTAAAGCCAAAATTGTTTGAATAACATAAATGCTACAACATATTGAGTGTAATAACAAAATCAGTGCCCAGAGTAAAATTGAAAAGAAAAGAAAAAAAAAGAAGCACATTTGAACATTATAAAGAAATATCTCTGCTGGTTTATGCCGGGAGAAAGTCAATAAAAGTTCAAACCATAATGTGATACTAAATCTCAATTACTCTTTGTGAGGAACCATTAAAACAATTATGTAGTTTTATTTATTTAGGAGAGCATATTGATGGTTTCTTTCTTCTTGGTTCTGGTACTTACCTAGTAGGGTAGATATAAAATAGAAGGCTTTGTAGGATATAATTACTTCCAGGGTTTTGTTTACGGTGCCTTTTCCTTTATCAAGTGATAAGTTTGTTGAGCATGTAACTGGAACTAATAGTTTAGCCCTTTGAACAATGAAATGCCCAAATGCACAAATGCACAAATCACAGAAGATCAAAACTGGCATGAATCAAATTAGTATAAAAGGATGGGTGAAATTTTTAAAAAGTATGTATTGGGGCAGTTTTTTTGTGAGAAGTGATTCAATTTAAGCATTAAAAACTGGATATATATGAATTCTAATAAGCAGATTGTGCATGTAAATGAATGTGACATTTGGATTATTTCTAAGAGTGTGACTCAAAATATTAATGCCTTGCAATGAGTATGAGATTCTAAAACTGAAGAAGGGAAGAAAAGGACAGTCAAATAGAACTAGGGAAATGGTAAATCAATGTTTTACATTGTTACAAACTTTTTGCTTTATTGTACATGAATATCTTTGTGTGACTATGTATTCAAAGAACAGAGAAGGGAAAGCTAGAGAGTGTTACCCTAGAGAGCTACCTGCATGCTACATCAATATGATGTATATTGTATGTGTAAAAATTACGCATATGTTAATGTGTGTAAAGTAAATAGGAGTGCAGAAAAATAGAAATGCAGTCTCCAACCATTGGAAATATAAAAATATATAGAAAAAAATGTAACAATTGCAATATATATCCATGTCATTGTGATTATTTAAAAACTGACTTAATCTATCACAAAGAAGTATAACCCCTTTTTAAAAAGCCAGAGAAACTAAAGAAACATAGTTTTGGTGTCTTATAATGCTCAGATTTTCTTCATTTGATATCAATTGAAAAGGAAAAATTCAGTCTCGAGGAAAGTTATACATACTTTATTGAGCATCTACAACATACCTGACACTTTCTCAACACTATCTTTTTAACCTTTTTGAAACAACTGTAGATTTTGCAGATGAGAAAACTAAGATGAAGGGATTAGAAATTTTACCAAAATCATAATGGAAGTGTATGATTAAGTAGGGATTCAAAACATTGTAGAGTTCTAATCTTTCTTGACCATTTGTATTTGTAATAAATCCCTTAAGCTGAAAGAAAAAGAGGTGTTGAAAGTTTTGTATTGGTCAATGTATTGGTCCTCTACAACAGGGATCCCTAACCAGGCCACACAGCAGGAGGTGAGCAGCAGGTGAGCGAGTGAAGCTTCATCTTTATTTACAGCTGTTCCCCACCACTTGCATTGCAGCCTGAGTTTCACCACCTGTCAGATCAGTGGCAGCATTAGATTCTCATAGGAATGCAAACCCTATTGTGAACTGCATATGTAAGGGATCTAGGTTGTGCGCTCCTCATGAGAACTTGTCACTGCCTCCCATCATTCCCAGACGGGACCATCTAGTTGTAGGAAAACAAACTCAGGGCTCCCACTGATTCTACATTATAGTGAGTTGTATTATTATTTCACTGTATATTACAATGTAATAATAATAGAAGTAAAGCGCACAATAAATGTAATGCACTTTAGTCATTCTGAAACCATCCCCTTATCATGCTGGTCTGTGGAAAAATTGTCTTCCACAAAACCGGCTTCTGGTGCCAAAAAGGCTGGGGATTGTTCTACAATACAAGTAGTATTGTATTTTAGTTTATAGGTTTTTTAAAAATTGGTCATTTTAGTTATCAATGTGTTGTTCCTAACAGAAAATGGAATGTAATTAAATATCAATAAATACAGTTCAAAGTCCAATAGAGAAAAAAAAAAGATGGTTTTCTTTTTTCCCTCTTTTAGAATAGTTTATGATGTTAGTAATATATTTTTATTATATAAAAATTGGAACATTTACATAAGAAAAAAAAGTGCAATATTTACAATCTTGTCCTAGAAATAACTGTTGCCAACATTATGGTAAAGTTTCTCCCAGATGTTTTTTTCCTTATGTATTATTAGTTAAATTTCTTATAGCATCAAGTAGCATATCCTTTTTATTCCCACTAAACCATTTATCAAGACCATGCTTCTTTCTTATAAAAGTTTATCCCAATATCACTTATAACAGTGTGGTATTATTCTGTTAATGAATTAATAAGTTATTGTTATAATAAGTTACAGAAAATGTAAATGCTTAGAAAAGACCAAGCAGGTAACTTAAGTGTCTAAATTAGACAATGGAGGTCTGTGAAACAACCAGAAAACCCAAGCCCAGCCTAATGAATTTTAAATTAATGTTTTACTTTAATATAAAATAAAAACATAAATAAATATCACAATGCTAGCCAAACCAAACTCACCTCTAATAAATGCTGTCTGAGGATTGTTACTTTGTCACCCCTAAACCAAAATAGCCGATTATGGATATTTAGGTTGGTAAAAGAAAGTTTACCAAAATTAACCACAATATAGAATGCCTAGGTACCCCCACTTTACCCTAAGAGACAAAAACAGATGAATATCCCCTAAGAACTAAGAATATTCTCAATCTGGAGAAAATTTACATACTTTTAATTTGAACAATTGATACTGAAATGTATCTTTAAAAATATTAAATTTTGTACCAAATACAAAATCTAGGGCAGGGGATACATACATGCAAACAAAATGATAAGAGTAGTTGTGTCAGGGAGGAAGAGAATTGGGTGGCTAGGAGACTTTTTGTCATATAACCTTATCTTTGATGGCGAGTTAACCAGTTTGTGTAGGTATAGTTGTCTTTTCCTTTTCACTCTTTTAATATGTGTTAGAATTTTGAAACTGAGAATTCATATTCCTCATTAGTTTTTAAAACTCCTTAACCAGAGTATTAGTTTTCTAGGAATGCCATGACAAACTACTACAAAGTGGGTAATTTAAAACAACAGAAATGTATTATCTCATAGTTCTGGAGGTCATAAGTCCAAAATCAAGGTGTCAGCAGGGTTGGTTCCCCCTGGAGGCTCGGAGGGAAGAGTCATTCAATGCCTCTCTCCTAGGATGTGGTAGAACCCAGAAATTCTTAACACTCCTTGGCTTATCAATATATCACTATAATCTCTGCCTCTGTCTTCATGTAACCTTCCTCTCTGTGTCTTCTCATTTTAGTCTCTTATAAAAACAGTGATGATTAGTTTTATGGCCCATCCTAATCCAGTATGATTTCATTTTCAGATCCTTATTTTAATTGTATCTGTGAATTAAATCTTTATTCCAGATGATGTAACATTTTGAGATTCTTGATGAAATTATCTTTGGGGTATGGTGTGGGCCACTACTTAACCCACCACAAGCATTATTATCTTTTCAAATATCTCTTCCTTATTCTATTGTTTTCTTTAAGAATTTCAAAGTGAGCATTAGATCTTTGAATGCTATCTTTGAAGTCTCACAGCCGATCTTATATTCTCTCTCTCTGCAAGTCTGTGTTATATTCTGTATAACTTCTTCACATATGTATCAGTTAACTTTTACTATTTGTCAAACTACTCTGAACTTGGAATAATAATTTATTCAGCTTATGGTTCTGTACATCAGCACTTAGGTCTGTGTTCAGGTGGTTGGTCCTTCTTGTATGAGCTGGGCTTGGATGATGTTAGCTAGGTGTGTTCAAGTGTCTGCAACCAATTGGAGGGTCTTTAGGCTGGGTGCTTTATTATAGCTATGGATGAAACAAGCTTTGGTCTCTCATCCTGTAGCATGTTAGCTTGGGCTTATTTGCCTCATGGAAGTAGAGGTCCAAGAGTGTGAGCAGAAATGTTGTAATGCTTTTTTAAAGCCTAGATTGGACCTAGCACAATGTTGATTCAACCATATTCTGTTGGCTAAATCAAGTCACAAAGCCAAAACTTTACTATTGTAAAGCAAAAGTTGCTTACTATTGTAAGCAAAAGTTGATAGACTTCATTACTACCAGACCTGCCTTACAAGAGGACTTGAAAGGAATACTAAATATAGAAAGGAAAGACTGCTACCAGATAATACAAAAACACACTTAGACACACAGACCAGTGTCACTGTAAAGCAACACACAAACAAGCCAACATAATAACCAGCTAACAGCACAATGACAGGATCAAATCCACACATAGCGATACTAACCTTGAATGTAAATGGGCTCAATGCCCCCACTTAAAAGTCACAGAGTGGCAAGCTGGATAAAAAGCAAGAACCAATGGTATGCTGTCTTCAAGAGACCCATCATTCATACAGTGACACTCATAGGCTCAAAATAAAAGGATGAAGAAAAATCTACCAAACAAATGGAAGACAGAAAAATGCAGGGGTTTCAATCCTAATTTCACAAAAAATGGATTTCAAAAGAACAATGATCAAAAAAGACAATGAAGAGCATTGCATAATGGTAAAGGGTTTAATTCAACAAGACCTAAGTATCCTAAATATATATGTACCCAACACAGGAGCACCCAGATTCATAAAGCAAGTTCTTAGAGACCTACAAAGAGACATCGACTCCCACAGAATATTAGTGGGAAACTTCAACACTCCATTGACAGTATAAGACAGATCACTGAGGCAGAAAATTAACAAATATTCAGGACCTAAACTCAGCATTGGATCAAATGGATTTGATAGACCTTTACAGAAGTCTCCACCTAAAAACAACAGAATGTACATTCTTCTTATTGCCACATGGCACATCCCCTAAAATCAACCACGTAATTGGGCATAAAACCATCTTCAACAAATGTAAAAGAACTGAAATCATGCCAAATAAACTCTTAGACCAAGGCACAATAAAAATAGAAGTCAACACAATGAAAATTGCTCAAAACTATACATTTACATGGAAATTAAACAACATGCTCTGAATTACTTTTTGGTAAATAATGAAATTAAGGCAGAAATCAAGAAATTAACTGAAACTAATGAGAACAAAGATACAACATACCAGAATCTCTGGAACATAGCTAAGGCAGCATTAAGAGGAAAATTCATAGCACTAAATGCCCACATAAAAAGTTAGAAAGATGGCAAATTAACAACCTAACTTCACAACTGATAGAATTAGAGAAGCAAGAACAAATCAACCCCAAAGCTCCAGAAGATGAGAAATAACAAAAGTCAGAGCTGAGCTGAAGAAAAATGAGACACAAAAAAACATTCAAAAGATCAAAAAATCCAGGTGTTGGTTTTTTGAAAAAATTAATAAAATAGGCCACTGGCTAGACTAATTAAGAAGGAAACAGATAAGATCCAAATGAACACAATTAGAAATGACAAAGGGAATGTTAGTACTCACTGCAGAGAAATAAAAACAACCATCAGAAACTACTATGAACATTTCTAGAAACACAAACTAGAAAACCTGGAAGAGATGGGTAAATTCCTGGACACATACACCCTCCCAAGACTAAGCCAAGAAGAAATTGATTCCCTGAACAGACCAATACTGAGCTTTGAAATTGAATCAGTAATAAATAGCCTACCAACAAAAAAGCCCAGGACCTGAAGGATTCACAGTCAAATCCTAACAGATGTACAAAGAAGAGTTGGTACCATTCCATGAAAGCTATTTCAAAAAATTGAGAAGGAGGGACTTCTCTGAGTCCTTCAACTCATTCTCTGAGGCCAGCAGCATCTTAATACCAAAACCCGGCAGAGATACAACAACAACAACAACAACAAAAACTTCAGGCCAATATTCTTGAGGAACATCAATGCAAAAATCCTCAACAAAATACTTGTAAACCATATTTGTCAGTACATAAAAAGTGAATCCACCATGATCAAGCAGGCTTTATAACCTGTGATGCAGGTTTGGTTGAACATATGAAAATAAATAAATGTGACCTATCACATGAATGGAACTAAAGACAAAAACCACATGATCATCTCAATAGATGCAGAAAAGGCTTTTGATAAAATTCAATATCCCTTTATGTTAAAAACTCTCAATAAGCTATGTATTAAAGGAATATACCTCAAAATAATAAGAACCACTTATGACAAACCCACAGCCAACATTATACTAAACTGGTAAAAGCTGGAAGCATTCCCCTTGAAAACCAGCACAAGACAAGGATTCCCTCTCTAGCAACTTCTATTCAACAAAGTATTGGAAGTCCTAGCCATAGCAATCAGGCAAGAGAAAAAAAATAAAGGGCATCCAAATAGGTTGGGAGGAAGTCAAACTATCTCTGTTTGCAGACGACATGATTCTATATCTAGAAAACCCCATAGTGTCAGCCAAAAACCTCTTTTAGCTAATAACTTCAGTAAAGTTGTAGAGTACAAAATCAATGTGTAAAAATTACTAGCATTCCTATACACCAAAAACAACCAAACCGAGAGCGAAATCTGAAAGGCAATCCCATTCATAATTGACACACATGCACACACACACACACACACGCCTAGTAATACAGCTAACCAGGGAGGTGAAAGATCTCTACAATAAGAACTACAAAACACAGCTCAAAGAAATAAGAGAAGACACAAACAAGTGAAAAAACATTCCATGTTTATGGATAGGAAGAATCAATATCATTAAAGTGGCTATACTTCCCAAAGCAATTACAAATTCAATGCTATTCCTATGAAACTACCAACAACATTATTTACAGAACTAGAAAAAATTACTTTAAAATTTATATGGATTCAAAAGCAAGCCTGAATAGCCAAGGCAATCCTAAGCAAAAAGAACAAAGCTGGAGGCATCACACTAACTGACTTTATATTACAAGGCTACAGTGACTAAAACAGCGTGGTACTGGTACAAAAACAGAAATATAGACCAATGGAACAGAATAGAGAGCCCAGGAATAAGACTGCACATACACAACTATCTGATATTTGACAAAGCTAACAAAGACAAACAATGGGAAAAATGCTCCCTATTCAATAAATGGTGTTAGAAAAATTGGATAGCCATATGCAGAAGATTGAAGCTGGATCCCTTCCTTATGCCATATACAAAAATCAACACAAGATGGCTTAAAGACTTAAACTTAAAACCCAAAACTATAAAAACCCTGGAAGACAACCCAGGCAATACCATCCTGGACATAGGAATAGGCAAAGATTTCATGACAAAGACACCAAAAACAATTACAACAAAAACAAACATTGACAAATGGGATCTAATTAAACTAAATAGCCTTTGCATATCAAAAGAAACTATCAACAGAGTACACAAACAACCTACAGAATTAGAGAAAATATTTGCAAACCATGCATCTGACAAAGATCTAATATCCAGCATCTATCAGGAACTTAAACAAATTTACAAGAGAAAAACAACTCATAAAAAAGTGGTCAAAGGACATGAACAGACGCTTCTCAAAAGAAGAAATACATGGGGCCAACAATCATAGGAAGAAAAGTTCAGTATCACTGATCATTAGAGAAATGCTAATCAAACCCACAATGAGATACCTATCTCACACCAGTCAGAATGGCTATAATTTAAAAAGTCAAAAAATTGCAGATGCTGGCAAGGTTGCAGAGAAAAGGGAACCCTTATACACTGTTACTGGGAGTGTAAATTATTTCAACTATTATGGAAGACAGTATGGCGATTCCTCAAAGTGCTAAAAGCAAACTAACATTTGACCCAGCAATCCCATTACTGGGTGTATACCCAGAGGAACATAAAGTATTCTACCATAAAGAAACAAGAATGTGAATGTTCACTGTAGCACTGTTCACAATATGGAATCAACCAAAATGCCCATCAATGGAAGGACATGGAATCAACCTAAATGCCCGTCAGTGCCAGACTGGATAAAGAAAATATGGTACATACAAACCATGTAGTATTATACAGCCATAAAAGAACGAGACTGTGTCTTTTATGGGAACATGGATGGAGCCAGAGGCTATCACCCTTAGCAAATTAATGGAGGAACAGAAAACCAAATATCACATGTTCTCACATAAAGTGGAAGCTAAGTGATAAGAACTTATGCACACAAAGAGGAAAGCAACAGACACTGGGGTCTACTTGGAATGGGGAGGGTAGAAGGAGGGAGAGGAGCAAAAGAGATAACTAATAGGTACTGAGCTCAATACCTGGATGATATAATAATATGTACAACAAACCCCCATGGCATGTGTTTATCTAGGTAACAAACCTCCACATGTACCCCCAAACCTGAAATTAAAAGTTAAAAAAAAGAAAATATAATAGTTTTCTAAAACCTTGTGTCATTTTACACTCTGACTAGCAAACACTCTATGAGACATTCTAAAAGATATGTATTGATATGTCCATAATGACTGATTTAGCTAAACATCTTTTCACATGCTTATATCTGTGTATCTTCTTTAGTAAAGTGCACCAATACATTGCAGACCTTTTGTGGGTTGTTTGCTTCCCTATTGGGTTTGAAGACATTTTGATATAATCTTGATATAAGTACTTCATCAAAATATTATTTACAAATGCTTATTTTTTCCATCCTATGTCTCCATTTAATTATCTTAGAAATTTTTGAAGATTAAAAAGTATTAATTTTGATAAAGTCTAATTTACATTTTTTTTTCTTTTGTGGGTCATGGTTTTGGTGTCATATCTAAAAAATCTTGAGTTCTGTAAATAAAGAGATTAAAAGTCACCATTCCATCCTAATAGTAAGCAAAAAGCTGAACAAACTGAAAAATAAAAAAAATCTTAGATCCATAAGAGAAGTCAGATGACAGGGCAAACCACTGTCCTTAAAACTGGAGAAACTGACAGGGGGATATAGGGAATCACAACATATCAGAGCAAAAACTTCCATGGGAACCAGTGTCAAGGTAATAAAACCTAAACTGTATTTGACATTGCTGGAGGCTAGGTGTGGACAAGTATGAGAATTAAAAACTCCAGAGGGACGTAGTCATAGGGGGACCCCACACTTTCATAAGTTTACCCTCCAGGAGTTTACTCAGGTTCTCACAGTAAATATTGGGAAAAAATCCCTACAGACAGAAATAAAGAATATGTTATTGGAAACTGGAGAAAAGGCAATCCTTGTCATAAACTGACAAAATCCTTGGCTAAATTGTGTTTTGCGGAAGGCAAAAGGTATGAGCAATGAATTGGGTATTTGGCTGAACAAATTTCTAAGCAAAGTGCTTAAAGTGTGTCCTGGCCCCTTTTCAATTCTTACAATAAAATGTAAGAAAAGAGAAATGATTAAAGGCCAAACTTTTAATCAAAAAGGAAGCAGGACTTAAAAATTTGGAAAATTCTCAGCCTACTCGTTGCAAAGAATGATAAAATATGTTCAGGAGAGAATAGAGGTAGAGACAAGTGATTTTCATAAGATTAGTCTGGACTTGCTATTTCAGCAGAAGCCAGGGACTACTCATCTAGACAAGAGAGGAATAATCCTGAGGGCATTTTGTAAATTACTGGAGTTACCACCTCCCATCATAGGTCCAGAGTGCAAGGAACTGGAGGTCGAAGCCATTTCAAGGCTCTGCTCCATGAATTTTAGCACAGTGCTCCTTGGCTGCCCTAGGTGTGACTCCAGTGGTTTCAGGTGCAGTGTGGACTGAGTTGGCTACCTCTCCAGAGGGCACAAATACTCAACATTGGCAGTGTCCACTGTGTGCCATCTCATCTTCCCCAGAGCATACAGTGCATGAACTGTTGAGATGTGGCTATCTCCATCTAGATTTTGAAGGACAAGGCTGCCTGGATCCTGGTGCCCAACCCCTATCCTGTATTTCCAGAAAGCATGACATTGAGTAAAAAAAGATTATTTTTGATCCTTAATATTTAATTTTGTTTGCCCTGTTTGGTTTCAGACTTGCTTGGGACTTGTTACCTCTGTCATCTTTCCTATTGCTCCCTTTTGGAATCAGAATGTATATCCTAAGCCTGTACCAACACTGTACTTTGGAAGAACATAACCTGTTTATTTTATAAGCTCACAACTAGAGAGTGTCACCCATATCTAGTTTAGATAGTATTTTCACGTAACTTTGGACTTCAGACTTGAGTTGATGTTGGAACATGTTAAGACTTCTGAGGCTATTGGGATGGAATGATGTGTTTTACAAGCAAGAAGGACATAAATTTTGTGGATCTGCGGTAGAATGGTATGATCTGAATGTCTGTGTCCCCCCCAAATTTTATATGTTGAAAATCTAATCATCAATGTGATGGTATTCAAAGATGGGGCTAATTCAGAGATTGGATTATGAGAGTAGTGCTTTCATTAATGGAACCAGTACCCTTATAAAAGAAACACCAGAAAGCTATCTTTCCCCTTTCAATACACACAGTGTATTGAACACAGGGAGAAGCTATCTATGAAAAGCTATCTTTGTCCCTCTTCAGACACCAAAATTTTGGCAACTTGGTCTTAGACTTTCCATTCTCTGCACCTATGGAAAATAAGTTCCTTTTGTTTATAAGCTACACAGGTTATATAATTTTGTTATAGCAGCCTGAACTTACTAAAACTCTTCCAAAACAGAAAGCACCAGGTCCAGATAAGTTCACCGGTGAATTCTACCATACATTCAAGGAAGAAATTTATCAATTAAAAAAAAAGGATCTCTTTAAGAATATAGAAGCAAAGAGAATACTTCTTAACTCATTCTATTAGTCCAGCATCATGCTGATATTAAAACCAGACAAATGCATTACAATAATTAAAGGGTTTAATTACTTTCACAAGCATAGTTGCAAAAATCCTCAACAAAATACTGGCAAACAAAGTCCAACATTGTATGAAAACAATTGTACACCAAAACCAAGAGGGAATTTTCTCAAGAATGCACAGCTAATTCAACTTTTAAAAATAAATTAACATAATTCATCACATAATCAGGCTGAAAAAGAAAAGTCACATGATTATATCAATAGATGCAGAAAAGGCATTTCACAAAATCCATTTATGATAAAAATCTCCCTGCAAAATACAATGCCGGGAAACTTCACCAACTTGATCTAAAATATTTATTTAAATAATGATAGCTAACATAATTCTAAAGTGTGAGAAAATAGCTTCTTTTTTATTGAGATTGAGAACAAGGCAAAGACTCCAGTGTGGTCAAGATGCCATTTCTTTCCAGTTTGATCTTCAGATCCAATGCAGTCTCAATCACAATGCCAAACAGTTATTATTTTTTTTAGCTATTAGCAAATTGATTCTAGAGTTCATATAAAGAGGCACAAGATCCAGAATAGCTGAAACAATATTGAAGAAGAACAACAAATTTGAAGAACTGACACTACTCAAGTTTAAGATTTACTATGAAACTATAATAAGAGAAACAGTGTGGTATTGGCAAAAAAAAATCTACAAATAGAATAGAGAGCTCAGAAATAGATCCACATAAATATAATCAACTGATCTTTTAAAAAGAAGCAAAAAAAATACAATGGAGAAAAAATTGTCTCTGTAATAAATGGTATGAGAACAACTGGACATTCACATGGAAAAAAATGAATTTAGACACAAAACTTAGGGTCTTCACAAAAGTTAACTGTAAATGGATCATAAACCTAAATGTAAAATGCAACACTGTAAAACTCTTACAAAATAACAGAAGAGAAGATATTGATGACCTTGGGTTTGGCAATGAGATTTCAGTTATGAAATTAAAGGCACAATCCCTGAAGAAAGTCAAACTCTCTCTCTTTGCACACTCTATACCTAGAAAACCCCATAGACTCTACCAAAAGGCTGCTAGAACTGCAAAACAACTTCAGTAAAGTTTCAGGAAACAAAGTCAATGTACAAAAATCAGTAGCATTTCTATACATCAGAAATCTCCAAACTGATAGCCAAATCAGGAATGCAATCCCATTTACAATAGCCAAAAAAGAATAAAATAACTTTAAATACAACTCACCAAGGAGGTGAAAGACCTCTACAGTAAGAATTACAAAACACTGCTGAAAGAAGTAACAGATGACAAAAACAAATGGAAGAACATTTCGTGCTCATGGATGGAAAGAATCAATATTGTTAAAATGGTCATACTGCTCAAAGAAATTTACAGATTCAATGCTATTCCAATCAAATTATCAACATTATTTTTCACAGAATTGAGAAAAGCTATTCTAAAATTTATATAGAACCAAAAAAGAACCAGAATAACCAAAGCAATCCTGAGCAAAAAGAACAAAGCCAGAGATATCACACTATCTGACTTCAAACTATACTACAGGGCTACAGCAACCAAAACAGCATAAATCTGGTACAAAAACAGACACAGAGATCAATGAAACAGGATAGAGAACCCAGACATAAAGCTGTACATCTACAACCACCTGATCTTTGACAAAGTCAACAATAACAAACAATAGGGAAAGGACACCCTATTCAAAACATGGTGCTGGGATAACTGGCTAGCCATATACAGAAGAATGAAACTGGACCCCTTCCTTTCACCAAATACAAAAATTAACACAAGATGGATTAAAGACTTAAATGAAAGACCAAGAACAGATGGTGGCAAGGTTACAGAGGAAAAGGAACACGTACACTGCTGGTGGAAATTTAAATTAGCTTAGCCACTGTGGAAAGCCCTTTAAAGATTTCTCAAAGAACTTAAAAATTATCATTTTATCCAGCAATTTTACTACTGCATATATACCCAAAGAAAAATAAATTGTTCTACCAAAAAGACACATGCACTAATATGTTCATTGCAACATTATTCACAATAGCAAAAAGAGATTCAACTGAAGTACCCATCAATGATGGACTGAATAAAGAAAATTTGAAATATACATACATACACACACACACAGCCATAAAAAAAGACCAAAATTATTTTCTTTGCAGAAATATGAATGCAGCTGGAGGCCATTATCCTAAGCAAACTAATGCAGGTATGGAAAACCAAATACCACGTTCTCACTCACAAGTGGGAGCTAAACATTGAGTACACATGGACACAAAGATGGAAACAATATACACTGGGGACTGCTTGAGAAGAGAGAATGGGAAGGGGATATGGGTCGGAAGGCTACCTATGGGGTACTATGCTCACTAGCTGTGTAATGAGATCACTTGTACACCAAGCCCTAGCAACATACAATTTACCCTTGTAACAAACCTGCGTGTGTTCCTCTGGATCCTAAAAGTAGAAGAAAAAAATTAAGAAAAAAAATACAAATAAAAGATAAGTTGGACTTAACTATAGTTAATTTTATTTCCCATGCATGAAATGCTCTCAAGAGAGTGAACGGACAAGCCCCATACTGGGGGAAAATATTTGAAAAAGACATAGTTGATAAAGGACTATTATTCAAAATATACAAAGAGCACTTAAACTTCAACATAAGAAAACAAAACAAAACAAAACTTAAAAATAGGCCAAAGACTTAACAGACCTTACCAAACAAGATATGCAGATGGAAAATAAGCATATGAAAACATGCTCCACATCAAATATCATAAGGGAAATGCAAATTAAAAGAATGAGATACCACTACATACTTATTAGAATGGCCAAATTCAAAGCACTGACAACACCAAATGCTGGTGAGGATGTGAAGTGACAGGACTCTAATTTATTACTGTTAGAAATGGAAAATGGTACAGTCACTTTGAAAGGCAGTTTGATGTTTTGTTTTCTTTTTAAATATAACTAAGCATACTTTTATAATATGATTCAGCAATCATGCTTCCAAAGGAGTTGGAATTTACCCAAAAGAGTAAAAATCTTATGTGCACAGGTGTTTACATCATCAATCATAATTGCCAAAACTTGGAAAGAACCGCAATCCCTATTTAGTTCAATGGATAAATAATCTGTGATACATCCAGAAAATGGAACATTATTCTACAATAAAAGAGATGGGTTATCATACCATGAAAAGACATGGCAATTACTTAAATGCGTGCTACTATATGAAATAAGGCGACCTAAAAAGGCTACGTACTGTAGAATTCCAACTATATGACATTGTTGAAAAGGCAAATGTATAGAGACAGTAAAATGATCAGTGGTTGCCAAGGCATACAGAGGAGGGAGGGATGAATAGGCAGAGTATGGAAGATTATTAGGGCTGTGAAACTACCACAATAATACTATAATTATGGATTTGTATCGTTATACATTTGTCCAAACTCATAGAACAAACAACAGCAAGAGTGAACCTTCATATAAACTATGGACTTTGCGTGATAATGATGTGTCAATGTAGGTTTATCAGTTGTAACTAATGTATCACTTTTGTGCGGGATGGTCATAATGGGAGAGGCTAGGAATGTGTAGGGGCAGGAAGTATATGAGGAATCCCTGTACCTTCCTCTCAATTTTGCTGTGAACCTAAAACTACTCTACACAACAACAATAAAACCTTTTTAAAAAAGACATAGAACATCTCATCACCATATACATATTTTTGCACTCCTTTTCAATACATGCCACCACTACTACCCTCATCCTTGCTTGCCTAGAGGTAATCTCTATTCTGATTTCTATAAACTTTAATTAGTTTATGTTGTTGTTGAACTTTATATAAATGAAATCATATACTGCAAAAAGAAGATGCTTGCCTAATCCATAGTTACAAAAATTTTCTCATATGATACCTTTCAGAAGTTTTACTTTAGTTTTAAAATTTAGATAATTTAGATCTTTGGTTTATTTTGAGTTAATTTTTGCATTGTGCAAGTTATGAAACATTTGTTTTATTATTGCTGTATGTGAATATCTAATTGTTTTATTTGTTGAAAAGTTTATCCTTTCTTTACTGAATTGATTTAGCATTTTTCTTGAATGCTAAACAATTAATTGACTATCTATGCATGAGTCTACTTCTTGTCATATAATTTTATTCTATTGACCTATTTTTGTATCTCTTAATGCAGCACTATATTTATTACCACGGTTTCATAATAGCAGGTCTTGAAATCAGATAGTATAAGTTCTCTAATTTGTTTCTTCTTTTTCCAGTATATTTTGACTATTGACATCTTAACAATATTACAGTTTTTGATTCAGGAACCTGGCATAACTCACCAATAATTTTAGTATTCCTTAATTTCTCTTAGTAATATTTTTGTACATTAGTGGCTGCTTTAGTGTTTATAGTATACGTATTTAATTCAACACAATCTATTTTCAGTTGATATTATACTATTTCACATATAAGAACCTAACAACTAAATATTTCTATTTTTCCTCTCTCAGCCTTTGTGTTATTGTCATACAATTTATTTCACATGTTATAAACACCACAATATATTATAAAAAATTATTTACACTGTCAGTTATCTTTCAAAGGCACTAAAATAATAATAAAAAGAAACTTTTTTGTATTTACCCACATACCCACCATTTCCAGTGTTCTTTAATCCTTTTGTGGATCCAGATTTCCATCTGGTGTCATTTTCCTTCTCTCTAAAGGACTTTCTTAATATTTGCTTGTTTTAGACATCTGATGGTGATGAATTATTTAAGATTTTATATATATTTTGAAAGTCTATTTCATCTTGGTTTTCAAGGATGATTTCATTAGGTATAGAATTTTGGATCCACAGGTTTCTTTTATTTTTTCATGGTTTGTTTTATTTTGTCTCCCCTTTTTATACTTTAAAGATATTGTTCTACTGTTTTCTGGATAGTCTTTTCTCCCAAAAGAAATCTGCTGTCATTATTTTCATTGTCTTCTGTATTTTCTGTGTCTTTTTTGTCTAGTCGCTTTTAAGGCTGGCTTGCTTTCTTTTTCTTTCTCTCTCTTTCTCCTTTCTTTTCTTTTCTTTCCTATCTCTTTTTTCATCTATCTATGTATCTATATATCTTTTTTCACCTATCATTACTAATTAGAGTGATTTTTTTTGGCTATGGCTTTCTAAACTGTATAAGTATTCTTAATTAAAATCTTAACTCCTTTTAATTTAAGCCAATGATTGCATGTATTTTTCCCCAAAGTCTTAACCAAAGCAGGAAAAAAAAAAAAACAAACCCTATTTAAATTTGCTGTCTTATTTGTTTGTTTGTTTTACTGGCGTGTGTGTATGTGCATGTGTGTGTGTGTGTGTGTGTGTGTGTGTGTGTATTTCTAGCCTGTGTGTGTACTGGAGATGTAGTAGCTTAAAGATGTTGGATGTATGTGAGGATTCTGTCGGTCCACCACGACCTTTTCCTCCTTTCTCCAGGTGATGATTAATACTCACAGTTTTGAATTTCTGTTATCATCATATATCTTAGAACAGATGTGGCTTCAGTTCTTGCTTATCACTTTGGTGTCAGCTTTCTTTTTGTTTTGGCCCTCTTTGGATTTTCCTTTAGCCTCTTGAGAGCTCTCCTATGCATTTAAAGATATAGTTTATCCAGCATTCCTAGGTGTTTAATACTGCATAGTTTTTCAGAACATCAAGGTTGTCATATTGCCAGAACAATTCTAAGTGACAGTTTTAAAGATATCATTTACATTATTCACTTCAGTATAATTGTTATTATTTTTATCATGAATCTAAAGAACAAAAATTGTCTAGAATTTATCCTGGTTATAAACTCTTCTTCACAAAGCATTAGTGAAATTGATGTATCTTAATTTAGGTGATACCAAATAATTATTTTTATTGATATTCTTTCCCACCAATTGAATTAAGCATTTCTTCTGACATTAGTATACTATCTTGTATCAATAAATGTTTAGTTGTTTTTCTAACATTCAAAGAGTTATCATATTTTCTGTGAATATTCTCTGTGTTCTGATTATGTGAGAGCCAGGACAGGCTAAACATTTGCTACATTAAGACCATGCATGTGTACCCAGATGTAGCCCATTCCCTAGCTCTGGTCTTATAAATGCTGGTGATAAACCAGACAAAAGAAAAAATAAGTTATCATATTTTTAAAATGTTTCTTGTGATGACATGCAATATCTTAGATAAAAAATAAAATAACAAATAATGAATGTCTGTCTTAGCAACATGTTAAAATGAATGTTTAAGAGACAGTTGATACTAATTAAGAAATTAGGAAGTTAATTGCTCAGAATAATATTGGTTATCCTAGAAAATACATTCTCAACAGAAGCCAAATTTGGCAATACCAATTTTGAAGTATTCACTGGACATGACATGGTTTAACATTATAATCATTTACCTTAACACCCCTTGTACTAATTTATATTTCATTAGCAACATTGTCTTTATATTTTGACTTTCCAAGTAATTTCTTGCAAAGTAAATAAGTTGGCCAGTAAAACTATAAGTATTGTCTACCTAGCAGTTATATTTCTTTTTGTAATTTATTAAATTAGCATTCAATTTTACATCAGTTCTATGAGCTTGGCTAATATGAGACAATGTGAAAAAGATTGAAAAAATAAAAATTAATCCTGAAATACTGTGAACAAACATACTCTAGATGCTATATATATGTCATCAACTTATCAGCTACTCCCTAGAGGACCCCTTTGCCTTAGTTATATAAGCAGTTATTCATTTCCCTATTATTCATTGAATCAGGCAACCATCCATCCCCTCCTCTATCCATTCATCCATCCATTCTGACACTGAACCAACGTTTTTTAAGTATCATATATATATGTATATATATATGTTTCTTGTGATGACCTGCAATTTCTTAGATAAAAAATAAAATAACAAATAATGGATGTCTGTCTCAGCAACATGTTAAAATGAATGTTTAAGAGACATTTGATATTAATTAAGACATTAGGGAGTTAATTGCTCAGAATAATATTGGTTATCTTAGAAAATATATACTATATATATTTTTATACATATATATATACTATATATATATGCACACACACACAAAGCACAACAATGAAAAAAATGGTCACAAAAGAGAGTGTAATCAGGTATTTTTAGTTTATCTTTAATATAAAATTAAAAAATAAATATTTGTTACTCTTTCAATATCATCACTTCTTTCACTTTATCTGAAATTATTGTATCTGTGTCTGTGAGAGAGTAAGATTTGATCCTGGGCATTTTTTTTAAGTGGGAAAATAGAGTAAAAGTAAAAATTAAATGGATAAAAGTAAACAAAATCAAAAAGTCACATCACAATAGCAATCATTTGTGATAGTCTTTTTTTATTTCAAAAATATATGTTGAATATCAACCATGTCCAAGGCATACTTTTAATTGCTGTACTTTCAAAGATTATGTATCAGTGTTTTTGAACTTGGCACTTTCTTTTTTCTACAGCATGTTCTAGGTCATTATTTATTACACATTGAATTTTTTATATTAAATTTTAAATGACTTACAATAACCATTATTACAAATCTAAAGATTTTTCATTTTAAATTTATTTTTATTATATAAATTTAAGGTTTACAAGTCGTATTGATATACATATATTATAAAATGATTACTATAGTCAAGCAAATTAACATATCCATCACCTTTCATTACCTTTTTCTGTGATGAGAGCACCTGAAATCTACAGTTGTCACAAATTTCAATATATAATGCAATATTATTAGCTATATTCCTCATGCTGCACATCACATTTCTAGATGTATTCATCCTACATGGCTGCAAGTTTGTACTTTTTGACTTACTTCCTATTTCCACTTTCTCCCCTCCCCTGATAGACACTATCCAACTCTGTTTCTATGTATGCAAATTATAGAGATTCCATATATAAGTTAAATCATGCAGTATTTTTCTTTCGGGGCCTGGCTCATTTCATTTCATTTCTTTTGGGGCCTGGCTCATTTCATATTATAGCACATTTACCAACAAATGGCACCTCTATGTTTAGCAACTGAGCATTAATATTTAAAACATATATACTATGTAGACATACACATTTCTATTATCTATGTATGTATCTATAAGGAGGACATATTTTTTAAAACGTAAACAATCTTTGTTTTCCTGAGAAATTGGATTTGTTCTCAGAGAAAATGGAATAAACCAAGAGAAATCTTGAAATGTAACTGGTCATGTTAATCATTAGCCAACATTTTGGATTTCCACAAATTATGGGATGTAAAACTACTGACCTGCTATTTAGAAGCATAGCTTACAATTTTTTCAACTGTCTCGTTAAAATATTTGATTGTCTTTATAAATACTGGCCATGTGTTAAGAATTTTTGATATTTATTTACACTTTAAAACTACAGAAGAAATATTTGATATCTTCCTATTATAGTACAGACATATTCCTACAAGTGTTGCAATTTTTACTCTAATGACTGATACTGTACAATCAAACAGTAATTGACTGTTTTAAAATGTTTTACTAAACTGACCAATACAAGTCCTAAGTATATTCTCATACAAGCTTATTAAGGTAAATGGAACTAAATCAGCACATGTAACAAAGGATCATTCAAAATCAAAAGATCAAGGATTTTAATTTTATCCATACATACTGAGTATTTCCCACCTATAAGGCATAGTGCTAGGTAATGCAAGGAAGAACATAATATAAGCTTTGTTTTATGTTGAATTGAATATGATAGCTCATAAATGTAAATGACAGAAAAGAGGTATGTGGCAAAAGGATAGTACAGAAAAGGAAGGGATTAACTGTTTGGCACAACATAGTCTTTAGGGAAGCAGTCTTGCTTGAATGGGGCTTTTGATTACAAACAGAAATTAACTGGATAAATGGGGGTGGTAAAAAAAGAGTATTGGCAATAGAGTGAAATAGAATTGCATATTCAGAAAACTACACATAGTTAGTTATCCTGTAATTTAAAATGAAGATTTATAGCAATAAGTGGGAGATGAGTATAAAATACAGAGATGTGATTCTGTAGGGTCACATGACCCATGATAATACCTTTGTTATATGGACAGTGGCAAGCTACTGAAAGATTTTTAAAACCAGAAACTATGATAAAAGCTGTTACTCACATAAACAATTGCTTCTTGCTTTAGGAAATATGTGATTTATATTTTCCAAATAAAAAAGAAAACAATTGAATCATTCCAAAGTCATACAAATTTTAGTTTTGGATGGGGCCTAAGGAGTATTCAAGGCCAATCTCCACTTTGTACAGATAAAGAAATTAAGATTCTTAGATACATAATGAGAATTTTAAGGTCTTACCACCAGGCAGGTGCAGAGCTGGACTGGAATGCAAGTCTCTTAATTAATTTTTCGGAGTTATTTGAAGATTTCACATCACTGTGACTTTGGAAGATTGTTGCAAAATGTCATCACCTGGCACTGCTTGGTCCCAATCATCATTCTCCTATAATAGCTTTTATCTTTAGCTTTCGTTAATGCTGATTTTTAGGGTTCCTTGTCTTTCAGACGAATGTTTGGCATATGCTTGGTTAATAGGAGTAGCATTTGGTTTTTATGTGACTTCTTTTAATCTGAATCTGGTTGAAAACAAAGTGAATTCTGGCGACTATCTATGCCCCAGCCCCAGCATGGAAGTTCAAATACAGAATAGCTGTGTATTGGCAGAGTCCCAAGACTGAAACAGAAGGAGATGCCAAAGGTCTGATGACAGAGTCAAGGTTTTTGGCTTATCTATGAAGGAAAATTAACACATGTGCTTTAAATGAAAAATACCCCATCTTCATGCAAAATGCAGCAATATCAATTACTAGGGTAAAGTCTATTCATATCTTATTTCAGAAGAAGGCGGGTTATTTTTCATTCTGGACGCACTGATTGTTATTCAATAACCTTGCTGAGTTTTGCCCTTACCTACATTTATCAACTATGAGAGTTGTTCACAAAATAAGTTTATGAGGTTAATTACCAGCACATTATGCAGAATGCAGAAAATTTGATGGTGGTTGAATATTATGCTGGCATAGGAGGGAACGTTTCAAAGAGCTCAGCTCTGATTGTTTGTGATATGGTGTTTCCTTAATTAAGAATGGCTGTTTGTATACATATGCACTCCCCACCCAAGGTGCGTGCCAAGGTTTAATTTTTTTAACTCAACATTTCTTTCAGTTGTAAAAAGTCAAGATAAATTTATTGAGTTGTTGAAAAAATGCTAATACTTAATACTTTTAAATTGCTGTTTAAGAAAGGAGCTTTTCCACCAATCTAAGTGAACTTGAGTTTTAAAAGAAAATGTACTTATGTGTGTTTCTGAGTGTGTGTGTGTTTGTGATTATATGATAATCATAGACTGCTTAGTTTTCCTCACAAAGCTGTTGGTATATCATTAGTCAACTAAGGCTTTCAGTTTTTACACTGATATTTAAATGGAATTTATATTTTAAACATTTGCTTGATTAAGAGATGAGCATCAGTCTGCTTCTTGAGATTCATGAACTAATAACTTTCAGCATATTTTGAATAAAACAAAATGGAAAAGTAGAAGACTGGACAGAAGCATATGTATACCTAGCAGTCTGTTGTGTTTATACAATTAACATTTTATGGACACCATTACCCTCTATTTGTTAAGCTTAACATATTTAATCAGGCTTTGGGATTACTGAGCAACAATCAGCCTTTTAATTTTTTTTAGAAATTGAAAGTTTTAAATAGAGAAAAGAGGATTTCTTTTTTTTTTTTTTTTTTTTTTTTTTTTTTTTTTAGTGAGACGGAGTCTCACTCTGTCACCCAGGCTGGAGTGCAGTGGTGCAATCTCTGCTCACTGCAACCTCTGCCTCCCGAGTTCAAGTGATTTTCATGCCTCAGCCTCCCGAGTAGCTGGGATTACAGGTGCGCTCCAACATTTCCAGCTAATTTTTGTATTTTGAGTAGAGACGGGGTTTTGCCATGTTGTCCAGCCTCAAGTGATCCGGCAGCCTCAATCTCTAACAGTCTGGAATTATAGGCTTCAGCCACTATCTATGACCGAGAAGAGGATGTCTTTTTGTCATTTTTATAGTCCCAGGAAAATTGGGAGAATTCCTAGATAGCTATGGATCACAACACCTTGTAAAGTATGATGTACCAGAAATTATTTTTCTGTCTGAGAAAGTTTATTTTTTCTCATTTTTATTTTAGGTTATTTTTAGGTGCCATTCCATCCAGCTAAAATTGTCTTCGTCTAGACCTTGAATAACTGACTCCTGGTTGTCACTCAGGTCTCAATTCAAATGGCCTCTCCTCAAAGAGGTTCTCCTGATAATCTAGTCCACGGGATCCCATTCCCTAACATTAGTCACTGTCTCTCTCTCCACATGTTTTTTTCATTATCTCCATTATACTTAGAACTGTCAGAAAATATCCATTTGCATTTCTGTTTACTTGGTTATTGTCTGTCTTCTGTTTCTAAAATGTAACGACTTTGGTAGTCCCTGTAACCACCATATTCCCATTATTTAGAATGGGAGTACTGTAGTTCAAAAGCATTGATTGAATAGAAGAAAGAACAAAGGAGAACTTCTTATATGTGGTGTTTTCCATAATACATCCAGTAAGTAATGTAAGTGTGTGAAACAGGCTAGGTATGGTGATTAATGAGGATTAGTGGAAGGTGTAAAGACTGTGATGAAATGTAGAACATCTGCCTCATCTGAACTCAGCTCTGTTATTATGATGCATTTGGACTCCCAAATGCTAGATTTTATGTGTAATTCATGACTTTTAATGTTGGAAAAATAAGTGTTTGAATTCTTACTGGCCAAAAATCTATGTCCTTGTGCCATTTAAATCTCTTTGAGCCTCTTGTTTGCAACCACAGCTATAAAATTAAATATGACAGTGGACAGAGGATTAAAAAATGCCAGGAATTTGGATAGGACATGTCATTCCAAATAATTTATATATTACATTATATTTCCATCCATAAAGATAAATTCAGTTGTAAGAGAAACCCAAAAATAATAGTGGTTTAAATAAGATAGAAGTTTTATTTTATCTCGTAATGAGACATGGTATCTTGACTTTGTAGATTTCGTTACTTCACCATTCTTACAAATGAGTTTTGTCTCATGGTCCTCAGTAACTGCTTCATCTCAAGCCATCTGTCTCTACTCCAATGAGCAGAGTGAAGGAAGGTAATGGCAGAAAAGTGATAAAAGAATATTAATTACTCAATTCTTAGGAAACTTCCCTGCAATCTAAGATATATATTCTATATAATTCTAAGATATATATTCTCTACAATTTTAAATTATTCAGAAAATATTTACTGAGAGGAATTGGGTATGAATACATGACACATTTTTTTATTTGTCCTCTAGGATATAGTGATTAGAAGGCATCATTCTGGAAGATGGGGAAACACCAGTGAACAAAATGACATCTGCCTTCATGGAATTTATGTGCAGGCAGAAGAAAGACAAAATTAAAAGTGACATGGAAGTAAAATATATTATATGTTATATACAGGTGGATAAATTCAGTGTATCTGTCATGTATGACAGATAAATATCCTGTCATACATGTGCAGAGGCAAGCCTGGGGTGCACAAGTAATAAACCATTGCAATAATCCAAGTAGAAAGTGTTGAGGGCCTATATTCGCAGGACAACTGGTGAAGTATTTTTGAGGTAGAATCAGCAGGATACGGTAGTCAGCTGAAGAGAACAGATGTCTGAATTTTTCATATCACGATTCTCCTTGTAATATAAACATTTTTCTTTTAAAAAATTACTGCAAGTGGACTCTTTGGAACAATACCTCTTTATTTTTGGTGCTTTTAATGGTTGTAGGAAAAAGATCTTTAGAGCAACAGGACAAAAAAAAGAGTAAATGATCTTTCTAGTCTCATGCTTTGCCATGAATATTGTCCCATCTGGCCCCTGCAATCTCCATCTCTACTACTGAAAGGATATTCCATAAAGCATTTATGAGTTCCAGCTTTAGCGTACGGGAGTCTGTGACCCACAAATTGGCAAGGCAGACCACTATAGGCGGAATAATCATGTATTTTTAAAAACTGGCATCTTTCAATTGTGAGAAAAAATGATAGTGTGAATTAGACCATATGCCTGTTCTCGGAATGTAATTATTACTGGCTCTAGCTAACATCGCCTGAATCTCAAATACAAACTAAAGAAGATCTGTGGCTTTGATACATGCTGAGAAACTTTCAATGATGTAACAAAGCATCTGAATTGGGAAGCAGGAAAAAGCTTTAACTCTTTTGCTTAATATGATGTAATTTAGTAAATATCTTCTGTATGGTATGATATGTAAAGGTGTATGTTGTAGGGATATGTTTCTGGTTGATGAATTGAAAAGTAAAGGGAACAAAAAACAGTTATTCAACTGGTTAAATGACTCTACAAGATACCAGGCTATAATTTTGACTGACATTGTAACTCAAATGACCTTGGCTGACAATAGCCTATGTTATGGTATTGCTTAGACATATCTTAAAGAAGGCCATCAAGCCTCAAAATAGTAAAAATATCCAGAACAGAAAAAAATCCAACAACATGGAAAGCTCAAGCTCAACTTTGGGATAAGATGTGACATGGTTTGGCTGTGTCCCCACCCAAATCTCATCTTGAATTGTAGTTCCCGTATTCCCCACGAGTCATGGGAGGGACCCAGTGGGAGGTAATTGAATCATGGGAGCAGTTACCTCCATGCTATTCTCCTGATAGTTCTCATGAGATCTGATTGTTTTATAAGGGGCTTTTCACCCTTTTGCTTCGCACTTCTCCTTCCTGCCACCATGTGAAGAAGGCCATATTTGCTTCCCCTTCTGCCATGATTGTTTCCTGAGGCCTCCCCAGCCATGCGGAACTGTGAGTAAATTAAGCCTCTTTTCTTTATAAATTACTCAGTCTCAGGCAGTTCTTTATAGCAGCATAAGAACGGACTAATAGAAGATGGTTTTGTGTCTTCAGAACAAGCTACTCTACTTTCATCTGTACAATATCAACAGAAAAGTGTAGTAGAAAACTAAATGAAAATAATCAGAGACACCTGGCTGTTTACAGCTGGTATGTTTATTCACCTTTCTTGTGATCCTAAAAATGTTTTTAAGTTTCCTGTGCCTCAGTTTCTTTATTTATTGACTGAATATTACATTTCAAAAAATACTAAAAATGTAAAATTACATTTATAGGGTGCTGAGTCTCCAGCAAGGAAAAGTAAATGTTTCAATCCACTTGTTCCTAGTTCTTGCCTTTGTAACAAATAGAAGTTAAAAATATAATTTTTCAGGACAAGAGGAAAATTCCCATGTGGTTTCTCCACCCCTGATTTTGGCCATATTTATTTTGATGGAAATTTCTAGGGGAGGGGAAAAACATGTGCTTATGCTATTTTGTATAGGTAGAGCTGTTTGATAAGTAATAAAGGAGTAGATTGAAGATGACATGTGAAGGATCATGAAAAAGTATCCTAGCCAGAATACAATTCTCTTAGCTAGCCTTGGTGATTGAAAAACCACTGCTAGCACTATTCTCATAAGCTGGAGTAAAGAATCACAAAATTGGTCTTAATCAAATGAAAGCAATCACCTTATTTAAGACCTCATTGATCTCCTTTAATTTTGGTATATGTTAACCCATGAGAACTAAAAAGCATTTGTCAGAGATCACAATTTCTTTCTAACCAGCTTAACTTTCTCCATCCTCAATAGACCCTCTCACAAGAGCTCAGGTTATCTCTGTGTAGATATAAGAAAGATTTTTGCCGCTGCCTCTTCCTATCTCAAACTATTGCCTTCTTCTCCCTGCCCCTGTTTCCATCTTTTCTTATCACTCTTCATTTCTTAACAACTTTTAATCTAGTTTCTAACTGTGTAACACTACTGAAACATGCTCATTAATATACCCCTTTCTTTTTAAATCTTACATCTTTTGTTTATGCTTCATTCTCCCTATAGCCTCACTAGCACTGAGCAAAGTAAATGTCCTTCTTTACTTGAAATTCATTTCTCTTTTTGCCTCTGTTGCCCGGAATACTCTTGTTCACCTTATACTTCTTTGGATACTCTTTCTGTCTCTTTAGGTGGTTCTCCCTTCTCCTGACCCCTAAATTTAGAATTTCCCAAATCCAATTTTGCTTCTTAACATTTGAAGATTAGGGCTAACTATTGCAAGACATTCTTTCCAGACTGGCTGCAGCAAAGCTTCATAGAAACTGGTACACTGAATGCTTAAGGCAATCAATCTTGGCAGTGCTACAATGTCAGTTCAGGGCAAGGTTCTGCCAGGATGCATAACTGTAACTAGTGGACTTGTGCCCCACACCTTGATCGTGCTGGTGGTGGGGATAAGACTCCTACAACCACAAATACTGGAGTGATAGATCAGCACTCCACTAGCCTTACAGCTGTAGTCTCAAGGCTTGGACCTAGTTTCCTGATTGCTCCAGGGGAGGGAGACTGGTGCTCTCTCAACCAATGAGTGCTTAGATGTTGGACTACATTTGAGCCTAGGTTCTGCGATATCATACCAGTATTGAATCTCAGTTCCTAATAATGCCATGAAAGATGGGTACCTCCCCAGTCAAGGAGCTTAGAAGCCCCCAGGCCAAGGGTCAGGTTCCTCTCTAGAAGTCTAATATATCTTTATATGCTGCCACAGACTGCAAAGAGCCAGGGTCACGCATACCTACTATTACTGCTTTCATTTCTGTGACTTTTCCCCAATAATGGTATTCCAGAAGGCTGGTGTGTGTGCTTTCTGATAATTCTGCTTAACTTGATTCACAGCCTTCTTTTTCTCAAGGTGTTTACCCACTTCCATGACTCTCTATTTACACTGAGTTCAGTGGCAGAGAGTCCAGTTTATTACATCTTGTGTTACCAATCCCTAGCATGAAGGCTGCTAAAGGTAATCATTTTGCTCTACCAAACTCTACAAGCCACCAGCAGGAAGTCATGGGCATTTTTTGAGTAGGATAATAACATCATCAAAGCAGTTTTTTAGATGCATTTTCTCTTTAAAAATAGCTCCCTTTGTTTTCCTTCTGTCTTTGTGAAGAATATAATCATTGACTGTCACCCAAGCCTAATACCTTGGAGTCATTTCTGAATTTTCAATCTGTCAGACTTTATTATGTTAGTGACAATGGGAGGATGAGGGGATATAATATTGGTTACAAATTTTGATTGCTCCACATTACCTTTCTTCTTGGATGTCATGTAAACTCTGGGCAGGAACCAAACTACCAAACAGCTCTGTAGTAGTAGCTTTTCACATTATTGTTATTAAACTATTTCTTTTGTAAATGCCTTGTCTCCTCATCTAAATTAAAAGCTCTCTAAGGGCAGTGACCCTATTCTGCAGTACCTGCACAGTTTTGTGCATAACTACTGCTGAGGAAATATTGGTTGAATTTGATTAGATGATGATAATGCCAAGGTCAGTCATCCTTCAGTTACATAAAAGAACAAAAACACGAGGAGGAGAGAAGCATCACAGGGTAATCACGAGTGAAAAGGAGCTAGGAGATGTTGAAAGACTGTCGTCCATCTCCCAATTTTCATTAGATAAGGTCTTAAAGAGTTTAAATCCCACCTTTACCAATTATCATAAACATACATCCTTTCAGCTATACCCCAGACAACTGATGCTTTCTAGCCTGATGACAAGGTGTTCTCTAATTAAACCAAGGAAGTCCTCTGTTTTTCCTGTTGAAAACCATAGGAAAGGTAAACATGGAAACATTTATTATGTTCCCTGACACACATAAAATTATTCTGAGGTAATTTGTAGACAAAATTCACAGACAAAATAAACAAGCCTATGTTTCTCTGAAGGGCAACAGCTTCTACAAATGTCCGACCTTGTTTGCAGGGTTCAGGACAGCATTACGAGATCTCCCAATCTGAAATTAACGCCATCCATCTACACACCAGCAAGTGTCTAGAGAGGTGGCACCCAGAGAATCAGCTTGCAGACTGAGTGGGAATTGAAGGCCCAGGTTACCTGGGTCTTAGGAGCAAAATTTGTTTTTATGCGCTCATCAAGCCAATGCCTGCCTATTCCATCAGCAATTTCATTTTGTGAACTTGTTAAGAAACGTATTGGTATTGTACAAAATATTTAACAAAAGAGCTCTGAATTTAGTTGTGGAGATTTCAGCATTATTATGCCTGTGCAGAACTATACCATATGTTTAAAAATAAAATTCAGCATGTAGAGATAATGTCGCATCATTCCGCATTCCTTTTCTTCTTGTCTCAAAGTTCCAATGCAAGGCTTCTTCATCTGTCATTTTCTGTGTATGTGCATCTTTATGTTTTATGTGGTTTTTGTAGCTCAGCAACAACATACTGATGCCTTCGATGGCATTTTGTCTACTCCCCTTCTTTAAGAGAGTTCGTATTATGATAGGCAAACCTAAAAAATTAGAATCCCTCAGAGGGGACTCTATTAACTGATCCCCTTTATACTTCTGCAGCTTCATCAGCCACCAACCACTCCTCATGTTGAACCTTCTATTCTAGAACTGGAATTATATGTAGTTCTCTCAAACACTGGGCCTTCACACATCTATGTGTCTTTGCATTTGCTATTTCCTCTGGCTACATATTTCCTGTACAAATAATAAAATCATAAATTGTATCTGGCTTGAAAGTAATACTTTGATATATGAAGATTCCTAATCTTTATTATGAAAGGAGGAAGGAGAAAGAAAAAAATGGTGTAAAGGTATAGAGTCTTTTTCCTCTGAGGTTATAGAAGAAATTTTTACTTTGCCACTTTCCTCTGTGCAAGTTATGAAGCCTCTTTGAGTCTTAGTTTCTCATATGAAAAAATGAGGATCATAATATACATGTCATGTGGTTGTTATGAGGATTAAATAAGGTCATATGAAATGTTATGGGCAAAGTAAATAGTAGTTTTTTGTTTATTTCAGACCATCATTTCTATGACTTCAAGACTTTCTCTCAGCTAGGGCCCTTATGATTCTGTGAGTATTAATTTTTTTCTTTAGGGCTGTCTAAGAATAGGTATCAAGAGACATTAATCTCCTATATATTTATTTTTTGTATATGTCTTCTCGAGGCTTATCTAAATTAATATTATTCACTCTTAAAAGAATAAAACATTCAATTACATTTAAGAGCTTTAGCAAACATGTATAGGGTAAGGGTGGAGGTACTGTCAGAATTTAGAGACCTTAGTACAACTGTATTTCACAGGAAGAAAGTCAGCAAACAGGCCCTTCTCCATCATCCTCCCTCCAGAATCACAACATCCTTTCTTATTTTTCTGTGTGCTCATTCTCCATTCTGCTCTCTGTAGATAAGTTTCTTTCATACCATTTGTGATGTCTGTTCTACTGTGATTTCAGCTCCTCTGCATCTCTGTTTGTTGTAACTTTATAGCTCTAGTGTTTAACAGCAGAAGACCCTCAGTGTCTTTATCCCCTAGTTCACATTATCATTAGCTAGGTTGTCATCTTTGTTCCAGCCTGCTCTGGCCAGGGAAGTTAGCATTACAGCTGGTGGAATATGTCCCCTGGTGGATGGACACTCCACACCCCGATAGCAGTGTCGTGGAAGACGATTTGGGTCTGAAGCCAAAGGGTAGCAACTCTATTAAAGGGTTTACTGTTAAATCTTACTAGGGTTTGAGGCTACCTGAAACCGAGATGAAGTTCTCAAGATCTATCAGAGGATTTGGCTGGTTTAGAAACAGGGTAGAGAGCAGGTCTAACGATTGACCTCAGCTTTTGGATTTGGCAAACTTTTCTTGTCTTATTTGGTTTCCAATCCACTTTCCAGAAACCATTCTTCTGTAAACAGTCCTCCCATCTTGTCTCATTTAGATTTTCTGGGGTTACTGAAGCTTCAAGTCAGAGGAAGGATGGAATAAGAACATAAAGCAACTGTGGTTTCCAGTTTCTCCCCCAGGTTTGATTTACAGGTTTCAAATAGGTGTTGTGTAAACTGAAGTGCAAATTAAATGAGATACTCTACTAGAAAAATAGTGTCACAGGTAAGTGACAAAAATTTTATACTGACCTGGCTGTGGCAGACATTGTGGCTGTCTCCCAACATCACCTTCACCACTTTCCTGTTATGCTATCCTCATGGAAGGTAGATGAGATTGACTCACTGCAGTATCTGAGTAGGTGAGGTCAGACTTGTTAAAGCCACAAGGCCATAGTTATTGCTTTAGGAAATCTGGTTCTAAGCTCATCAGCTATGGAAATCCTCTGGCCACAGAAATTATGTAAAAATGAACATTTCACTGAATTTAGTAAATATGTAGCATTTTGTAGGGAAAATACTTTTCTAACAGGTTTACGAAAAAGGAAGATCTGTCCTTGCCTTGGACAAGGAAATATGTAAATCAGATTGCAACTGGCCATCTTGGTACTATAAGGGAGCAAGTTTTTATATGAAACTTTTTGTTATGGAAATCAGATTACAGAAATCAAAAGAATGTGAATATTAATGACATTATAGGCTGCATAAGTGAAACAAATCTAATGCTCTTTTAATATTTGTACTTTTTATCTATATAAATCCATAAATTATCTCTGTTATTTAAGTCATTTGTAGTAATTTGTTTTTTCATTTGTACAAAAAACAATTTCAACTTGATACCCTGGCATTAGTATGCACACATGCACACACACACACACACACACACACACACACACACACACACCAGTTGTTGGGTTATATAATTCTGATGTTACCAAGTATTCTATCTTTAGGCATGGCTGCATTATAGGAACTCAACTGATTACATCAGGATTTGTTTTGTCTCTCTTGAGTCTTTCTTCCATTTAATTGGGTTCATTTTGTGGTTTCATGCAGCAGTTCCTAGAAACTCTGTCCTCACCCCACCACAGTCCAAAAATCGCTATTTATTTCATGAATTCTCAGCCTCAAATCCCAAGGTAAAGACAAGGAATTTTTTCCCAGAAATCCCAGCCAACACCTTATTGTTCCTCATTTACTCTGATTGCATCTCAAACCTCTCATTGAATAATCAGTGTGAACCTAAAAATATGCTACTCAGTCAAATGTCTACCTCTGAAGAAAGGGGTGGAGTAAACTATCCCCAACTGAACATGGTAAAAGTAAAGTGAGGGGTGGTACTCCAGAGGAAAATTTGATGTAGTTATCAGATGAACGGATAAAATCTGGGCAGGTACAAAAATAGATATCTACTAAAGATACTATCACATTAAATCAAGCTTCATTAAAATCAAAAGTTAAATATTTAATAAAGGTTATCAAAAGCTTCAGCATTAAAAATGAAGACTGAAAGAATTTAAGTAATTTTTCCAAGGTCATATCCAGTGAATTACAAATTAATTGAGAGTAGAATCCAGAACATCTCCTTCTTAGTCTCAATCTGTTCATAAAAATGGAAAGAAGACATACTATTCCGTTTTCACACTGCTATAAAGAAATACCCAAGACTGGGTAATTTATAAAGGAAAGAGGTTTAATTGACTCACAGTTCTTTATGGCTGGGGAGGGCTCAAGAAACTTACAATTATGGCAGAAGGTGAAGCAGGGACATCTTACGTGGCAGCAGGAGAGAGAGAAGAGTGAGTGAAGGAGGAACTTGCCAAACACTTATAAAACCACCAGATCTAGTGAGAACTCATTATTATGAGAACAGCATGGAGGAAACCACCCACATGATCCAATCACCTCCCACCAGGTTCTCCTCTCAACATCTGGGAGATTACAATTCAAGATGAAATTTGTGTGGGGACACAAAGCCTAACCATATCAGGAGGTATTAAAAAGAAAAAAAGTTAAGTGCCTCAGTCAGGTTTTTTACATGGTATCATTTTGGGGCCATTAACCTACTGGAAGAAGGGTAAAATTTTGTCTTTCTTCATTTTAGGAGAAATAAAATAGATGCTCATATTTAACACAAAATTATAATTTAAGGAGAAAATCACCTCAAATATGTCAGAGCATATCTCTGTGAATGCCCTTTTTCTATTTCTTGGCAGGTCTGCATTCTAATTCATTTAATTATTAGATTCTTATATGGATTTCTCTTGCTGCCTGGTACTCAGAAATAAAGGAAGTTAATTTGCAAGAATATTTTCTTCCACAGGAAGAATTAAATATAAGTCAATGACTTACAACTGTCTTAGCAGAGCATCTGAGATCCTGATCTCATCTAAAAAGGCAAGAAGAGGAAGGGAAACATGTCTACAGACTATCATTTTCCCAGATAAGGAATCAATTTTCATGTAACCACCTTCCAATGAACATGTAAATGAAAAGCAAAAGAAAGAAGCAAAGGCAGCTAAACAATGACTATAGGCTTGAGAGCTTAGATTCAGAGAGGAATAAGGAGGAAAAATAAAATATCTGTCAGAGTTCAAGGGCTTCAATACAAGGGCCAGTAAGACAGATTCTGAAGTCATGAGGCTTTCCATTGGCTTCCAAAGCTACAGCTTATGTTTCTCATCTGACACTGGCAGAAGGAACTGTAAGTATTTTATAGGCTACTCACATGTTAGATTTCCAAAGAGCTTTTGAAAGTATCATAAAGGTTGTAATAAAACATTTTTATATAGAATAGGTCAGAGGTTCTATTTAAAATTCCTTTCAATATAAAATGAACGTGAGGCATTCTCAGATAGAAACTCTACATAGAGTAGACAGAGAATGTCTAACATAATGACACCAGATTTTGTCCCAACAGAGGGGTCAAAAATAGCTGCAGTGTAGTACCTCAGGAGCAGTAATTTTGTATTACTAACATTCCGTTAGTAGTACCATGTAGGGGATTTGATTGAGAGCAGAGAGAAAACAGCCCTCCCGTTATTGGCCTTATGTCTTATTCATGTGTAAAAGAAGAGGTATGCAGTGGTTATCAGCAGTGGTAGACAGAAAAAAAAGAAATACAAGATAGTATGAATTTCCAGCCATGTTAACATGAAGAGAAGTCATTTATTAATGCATTTATTCATTCATAATTCTTCAAATATTTCTGAATGTTTCCTGTCAGCCAAACTGTAGTATTACTCATTTAATTCTTCTAGAAGCACTCTTGTAGAACATGAAGTGTATTCATTGAAAGAAAGATTAGAAAAATGTAAAAAAAAAAAACCAGCTAAGCAATTGTGTGCATATATACATATAATGTGAAAAATTATTTTTTAAGTTTTTGTTTAGATATAATTTTAAATTCCAGAGGTGTTACATAAAGAGTTCAAAGAGTTACTTCTAGGAATGTATGTTAAATAGAAGGAACTAATCAGGCACACGAGCCCATATTTATTTATAAAGATGTTCATTTCAGTCTTATTTCTGACAGTAAACTTGTGAAAATAATCTAAATGAATATCAGTTGAGGACTAGTTAAATTAAGATGTGTTTATGTTATCAAATACTGTATAGTCATTAAAATCATGGTCTCAAAAATTAAATAATTATTTCCACATTGTAACCTCAATTTTATGATGTATGTTCACAGATATATATAAAATTTAATGGAAGTTTATACCCAAACAGTGCTTATTCCTAAGTGATAACTATGAATTTCCTGCATAGTATGTCTCATGAATTTGAGCTTTGTCAGACAAAAAACAGGATTTGAGGAACGAGTATCAAGGAAACATTAAATCTGAACTGACCCTCAAAACTTTTGTATTATCCCAAAGTGCAAATCTTTAAGGCTAAGTTAGTCTATGTAACTCACAAGAGTTTGAAACTGTGCTCTGAGTAATTCACCATTTAAATGACCTTTAGTTTGACAGAGTAAAGATTATTTATATGGCAGCAAATGAGACTGGCTTTTCTTCAAGACTTCAACTTTTAAAGTGGAGGTACTGTCAACCTTGCTCTGAGTTGACACCACCAGGCCCCAGGCCAATTTCTAAATAGCTTGGGGCTGGGGTTTGTATATCAAAGTCTATAACAGATGTGCAAGCTCTTCTCCAAGGCTTCCAGGAATGGAAATGCTGAGAGGTAAGTAGACCTAGATTCCTGTAAGAGCCATGGAAACAAAGGATATTAAGGAGACAAGAACAACACAATTTATAAATAAGGCCAAGCTTTATATTGTATAAAATCAGAGAGAACTGGGTAGAATATTAGAAACACAGTTGTTGGAAGATGCCTACGATGTCATGTAAATTTTCTTCCTTACTGGTTACCTTAGTTTAAAAGTAGAGCATTAAGGCAGACTCTTGATACCTGTAAAGTCTTGAGGTGCCTGGAGTCAATAAACAAAGAGACCATTAATTGGAGAGAGAGGCTAGAAAGACTGCCTGAAATCTTCAGATGGGAATTTATGGCAACAGCTTCTAGGCCAGTCCTACTAAATGCAGAAAATCCCTGCTGACTGCAGAGAGGGACACATCAGCTGCCACCCTAGTGTAAATCCAGCTGAATTTTGAGATTAAAAGTTCAGTTAAAATAGAGGGTTTGAGGGCATCTATAATATACAAATTGGAGGAAAAAATGTGGAATTTTATTAATTATAAAGATACTTTCTTGTTGAATCTACATCGGGACAGTTTGATTTCAAATGGCAGGTCCCTCTAATTATCATTCAAAAAAAGTGAGACCTTAGGAGGCAAATCTGTGTAACTGCGAGTACAGGAATGCTTTCCTTTAAGCATGACTAGTTCAGAAGGTTGGCACCAAAGACAAGCAGCTATTTGCCTTCCCTGTTTCCTAGCTACAACAGTGAAGCAAGCTCCACGTAGGCAGCTGGAAATGATTTCTGACTGGGCAATTATATAAATGTCACTCTAGGTGGTTATCTTATCAGGTTGTTTTTTTTCTTTCAGAGACCCAGTGTCATATTTCAGGGGTAGTGGATTACTTAAGATAAAGAGAAGGCTTAGATATATTGCCACAATAAAAACAAAGATGTCTCAGACACTGGCTTTGTAATATCAGCTACAGACGGAGACTGTTGGAGAGGCTGTGTGAATGTAAAGCAAATCCAGTTCACTCATTGCTCCAGCTGTATTGATAGTCATACTTTCCAAAGACTCTAGACAGTGACTGATTTATCCATTACACAGTCTGCATTTTACTTGAGGCAATTCTTTAAACGCAAGGTCACTACAATGCATGCCACAATGCCTTTTAACATATATTAGAAGCACCTAGAATCTTATCAATAAATCTTGATTTGGGGAAACCCATTAAACTCTCTGAACAATAATAGGCATATCCAAGAGTGAGGTCTCAGAGACAGACCACAATCTGCCTCTCTGTCTGATTGAGATGTGTTAGGAATGGACAGTAGCCTCTGAAGTGTCCCACAGAAGCTCAAGCAGGTAAAACAGGTAATGCAATTTTACATATCTGTGAAGTAGAGGTTGTTTTAGTGAAGTGAGAATGACATGTTAGCTTTAGGCTACATTTTCCATTAAAGAATGGGGGCAAAAGAGTTGTATGTTAACTTTTAGAAAATGTTAATTCACATATTTATGGTTATGTTTTTCTTCCCATTTGTTCATGTCGTTCCTCATTTGTAGAAGAATTGTACTTCACTTTCCAATGATATGCAACTTAAAGTGCTCCCTGTGGTAGAAGTATATATCCCTGCTCCACACGACTTTCTTTAGCTAACATAAAGTAAGCAGAAGTGCTAAATGCCCCCAATTTGCAGAATTTTAAATGTGGCCAGAATGTGGTGATACCACTCTACCCTCTGCCACAAGACTGCTTCTTCAATCTGTCAGTCTGGGTCCTGAAATTAGAATCTAACTGAAGTAAACTGAAATCAAGCTGCAGCAGATACATGTGAATGAGAAATAAATACTGCTGTAACCCAGAGATTTTGGGGCCATTTGTTACCACAGCATGACTTAAAAAGCTAATTAATATATGATCTCAGAATATAAATAAAGTTATACTACAAAAATATATACCATTAGTACATCAGGGTTTTAAAAATTGAACTCACTCATCTATTCATTCAATAACCCATAGTCAACTATCATTTGTATTTTTCCCCTCTGCCTTTATCAACTTTTAGGCTGTATTGACCTGTTGGTCTGGCACTGTGCAGGCATCACTAAGAACAATTTAAGTGAACTCAACGAATAGGGAACTAAAGATTTAAACTTAGGTAGAAAATCTAGAAACCCGAATTCCACTGGCAATTCCATTAAGATGTGAGAATTAGCTTAGACAGGTCAGAGTAGACTTCTTAGCCACAAAGGGAAATGGCTCTTTTCTTGCTACAGTTCAAAATCTAGAGTGACTGATTCGTCTTTAGCCAGTCTGGTTTCTGTACTCTTCTCTGGACATGGCATATTTGCTATCATGGCCTTGTCTTTGCTTCTACACCTTGCCTCCTCTTGAACCAAATGCAGTATCAAATTAGCACTTGATATATGCCAGGCACTGCACTGGTCTCTTTCATATATACTATCTATTAAAATACTCTCAATTAACTTGTGAAAATAGGATAATTACATCATTATTGTGGCTTCATTTAATTGTGCAGGAATCTGAATGTTTATGAGTTTTAAATGACTTTTTGAAAAAAGCTAGCAGTTTTTGCCTCAACACCAGTGTAATTTCAATTATATAATAATGGTTTCTTTGTTCACCCTCAGAAACTTCTACCAAGAACTCCAGGCACAGACTAAGTCCTGTTCCCTCATGAAGTCTTCCTCCCCTCCTTCCGTTTATCTCAACTTTTCTCTTTCTTTCCTAAAATGCCACCTTGCAAATGTCCTCATAATAGAATTTAAGCAAACATTACATGACTACTTTTACACATTTCTTATGTGCATGTTATCCCTGCTTAATTGAACTTAAAATTCATTAGAATACAGACAGTGTCTCATTCACTTGTGATCAATCTTTTCTGGATGAGCAAATCACTTCCTTTTTCAGGAAAATTTCTGTGTGGAAGGAGAGAGATTGGACAGAATGACTCAGCACCGTTTATGAATGATTATAATGAGTTGGGGTAAAGAGAGGTAACAGACATGGGGAAAAAGATGACACACGATGATAAGAAGTGCAAGCAGCATTCTAAAATTCAGTTCACATCTTCAAACTCTGAGTTCAAGATGCTTTCCACTGTACCATGTGGTCCCTATCACTGAGTTCTATAGCATGTTTTCTATGTTTTAAAGCAAAAAGTTTCTCTGGTTTGTCCTCCTCAAATTGTCCAACAAAAATATATATTGAAAACTCTCAGATTTGCTACACATCACTTGTGAAAAATTGCTTAAGAAATAATTCCTCAACTCATTCAGTTTCATTAATTTTGTCCTTTGAAGGATGGAAGAATATATCTTTCTAGCAAAAATCGGATTTGTGCATGACAGCTACTTGAGCTCAGAGGTCAAAGAATGAATTTGGGCTGCCTCCCTGCATTCCCATCCCTTCAATCTTTTGTTGTGCTTCCACAGCAGGTAGGATTTGAAAGAGATTCTGCCCTTGCTAGAAGAAAAAAAAATTGTAAGGTAGAAAATAATCAAACCTTGGCTTGAGAGGAGCCAAAATGAATGCCGCTTCCAATACTAATGTAAACCTTCTACCAATACTTAGGATTTACAAAAAAATTTCAAAAGTGTCATATTTCATGGCCAAGGAGACCTAGTATGGTGGCGATGTATGCTATGCTTATGCCTGGGAATAGAGTAAGAGGTTAGGAAGATCAGGAGATAAATTTTCAAGGAAAAAAATCTGAAAAAAGATTGGCATTTCCACAAATGTGTGAAAGGGAATGCAGACAGATAAACCTAAAGCTAATATCACCAAACACCAATATCCCTGTCAAGCTTTAAGGTCCCAGTGACTTTACTAGGGCAATTTCAATTTTAGCTTTTATGCTCCTGTTCTTACTACAGTTAGTAAAAAGCAAAGGACAGGAGTCAAAAACAGAAATGATCATTTGAAATAAGAACCAAAGCAGACACCTCTGTTGGTCTCTTTTTCTAGCTCTACTTTTCAGGAATTCTGTCTCCAACTATATGACACACTTACTTTTAGAAAGAAACTGCTTTGAGCATTCAAAAAAGGAGGTGATGATGTCAAATGACTAAACATTTCCCAAGTTCTAAACTTTAAAGTCAGTCCAATACTTTCTGTTGAAGCTTTAAAGTATTGATGTTAAGTATAGGGCAGCCTTGTTGTGGAACACAACACACTTTGCTGATTTGTTGGACATTGATGATGTTTAAATTGAGAGACTTAATGACATTATCAGATCTGTTTTTGAGATTGTGATCTTCCATTTTATATGGGACATGCCTTTTTGTCTTTTTTTTTTTTTTTTTTTTAGGTCAGGTGGGCTCCTGTCTTTTATTTTATTTTATTTTATTTTATTTATTTATTTTTATTATTATACTTTAAGTTTTAGGGTACATGTGCACAATGTGCAGGTTAGTTACATATGTATACATGTGCCATGCTGGTGCGCTGCACCCACTAACTCGTCATCTAGCATTAGGTATATCTCCCAATGCTATCCCTCACCCCACCCCCCACCCCACAACAGTCCCCAGAGTATGATGTTCCCCTTCCTGTGTCCATGTGTTCTCATTGTTCAATTCCCACCTATGAGTGAGAATATGCGGTGTTTGGTTTTTTGTTCTTGCAATAGTTTAATGAGAATGATGATTTCCAATTTCATCCATGTCCCTACAAAGGACATGAACTCATCATTTTTTATGGCTGCATAGTATTCCATGGTGTATATGTACCACATTTTCTTAATCCAGTCTATCATTGTTGGACATTTGGGTTGGTTCCAAGTCTTTGCTATTGTGAATAGTGCCGCAATAAACATACGTGTGCATGTGTCTTTATAGCAGCATGATTTATAGTCCTTTGGGTATATACCCAGTAATGGGATGGCTGCGTCAAATGGTATTTCTAGTTCTAGATCCCTGAGGAATCGCCACACTGACTTCCACAATGGTTGAACTAGTTTCCAGTCCCACCAACAGTGTAAAAGTATTCCTATTTCTCCACATCCTCTCCAGCACCTGTTGTTTCCTGACTTTTTAATGATTGCCATTCTAACTGGTGTGAGATGGTATCTCATTGTGGTTTTGATTTGCATTTCTCTGATGGCCAGTGATGGTGAGCATTTTTTCATGTGTTTTTTGGCTGCATAAATGTCTTCTTTTGAGAAGTGTCTGTTCATGTCCTTCACCCACTTTTTGATGGGGTTGTTTGTTTTTTTCTTGTAAATTTGTTTGAGTTCATTGTAGATTCTGGATATTAGCCCTTTGTCAGATGAGTAGGTTGCGAAAATTTTCTCCCATTTTGTGGGTTGCCTGCTCACTCTGATGGTAGTTTCTTTTGCTGTGCAGAAGCTCTTTAGTTTAATTAGATCTCATTTGTCAATTTTGGCTTTTGTTGCCATTGCTTTTGGTGTTTTATACATGAAGCCCTTGCCCATGCCTATGTCCTGAATGGTAATGCCTAGGTTTTCTTCTAGGGTTTTTATGGTTTTAGGTCTAACGTTTAAGTCTTTAATCCATCTTGAATTGATGTTTGTGTAAGGCATAAGGAAGGGATCCAGTTTCAGCTTTCTACATATGGCTAGCCAGTTTTCCCAGCACCATTTATTAAATAGGGAATCCTTTCCCCATTGCTTGTTTTTCTCAGATTTGTCAAAGATCAGATAGTTGTAGATATGTGGCATTATTTCTGAGGGCTCTGTTCTGTTCCATTGATCTATATCTCTGTTTTGGTACCAGTACCATGCTGTTTTGGTCACTGTAGCCTTGTAGTATAGTTTGAAGTCAGGTAGTGCGATGCCTCCAGCTTGGTTCTTTTGGCTTAGGATTGACTTAGCGATGAGGGCTCTTTTTTTGGTTCCATATGAACTTTAAAGTAGTTTTTTCCAATTCTGCGAAGAAAGTCATTGGTAGCTTGATGGGGATGGCATTGAATCTATAAATTACCTTGGGCAGTATGGCCATTTTCACGATATTGATTCTTCCTACCCATGAGCATGGAATGTTCTTCCATTTGTTTGTATCCTCTTTTATTTCATTGAGCAGTGGTTTGTAGTTCTCCTTGAAGAGGTCCTTCACATCCCTTGTAAGTTGGATTCCTAGGTATTTTATTCTCTTTGAAGCAATTGTGAATGGGAGTTCACTCATGATTTGGCTCTCTGTTTGTCTGTTATTGGAGTATAAGAATGCTTGTGATTTTTGTACATTGATTTTGTATCCTGAGACTTTGCTGAAGTTGCTTATCAGCTTAAGGAGATTTTGGGCTGAGACAATGGAGTTTTCTAGATATACAATCATGTCATCTGTAACAGGGACAATTTGACTTCCTCTTTTCCTAATTGAATACCCTTTATTTCCTTCTCTTGCCTAATTGCCCTGGCCAGAACTTCCAACACTATGTTGAATAGGAGTGGTGAGAGAGGGCATCCCTGTCTTGTGCCAGTTTTCAAAGGGAATGCTTCCAGTTTTTGCCCATTCAGTATGATATTGGCTGTGGGTTTGTCATAGATAGCTCTTATTAGTTTGAGATATGTCCCATCAATACCCAATTTATTGAGAGTTTTTAGCATGAAGGGTTGTTGAATTTTGTCAAAGGCCTTTTCTGCATCTATTGAGATAATCATGTGGTTTTTGTCTTTGGTTCTGTTTATATGCTGGATTACATTTATTGATTTGCGTATATTGAACCAGCCTTGTATCCCAGGGATGAAGCCCACTTGATCATGGTGGATAAGCTTTTTGATGTGCTGCTGGATTTGGTTTGCCAGTATTTTATTGAGGATTTTTGCATCAATGTTCATCAAGGCTATTGGTCTAAAATTCTCTTTTTTGGTTGTGTCTCTGCCCGGCTTTGGTATCAGGATGATGCTGGCCTCATAGAATGAGTTAGGGAGGATTCCCTCTTTTTCTATTGATTGGAATAGTTTCAGAAGGAATGGTACCAGTTCCTCCTTGTACCTCTGATAGAATTCGGCTGTGAATCCATCTGGTCCTGGACTCTTTTTGGTTGGTAAGCTATTGATTTTTGCCACAATTTCAGATCCTGTTATTGGCCTATTCAGAGATTCAACTTCTTCCTGGTTTAGTCTTGGGAGGGTGTATGTGTTGAGGAATTTATCCATTTCTTCTAGATTTTCTAGTTTATTTGCGTAGAGGTGTTTGTAGTATTCTCTGATGGTAGTTTGTATTTCTGTGGGATCGGTGGTGATATCCCCTTTATCATTTTTTATTGCGTCTATTTGATTCTTCTCTCTTTTTTTCTTTATTAGTCTTGCTAGCAGTCTATCAATTTTGTTGATCCTTTCAAAAAACCAGCTCCTGGATTCATTAATTTTTTGAAGGGTTTTTTATGTCTCTATTTCCTTCAGTTCTGCTCTGATTTTAGTTATTTCTTGCCTTCTGCTAGCTTTTGAATGTGTTTGCTCTTGCTTTTCTAGTTCTTTTAATTGTGATGTTAGGGTGTCAATTTTGGATCTTTCCTGCTTTCTCTTGTGGGCATTTAGTGCTATAAATTTCCCTCTACACACTGCTTTGAATGTGTCCCAGAGATTCTGGAATGTTGTGTCTTTGTTCTCGTTGGTTTCAAAGAACATCTTTATTTCTGCCTTCATTTCGTTATGTACCCAGTAGTCATTCAGGAGCAGGTTGTTCAGTTTCCATGTAGTTGAGCGGTTTTGAATGAGTTTCTTAATCCTAAGTTCTAGTTTGATTGCACTGTGGTCTGAGAGATAGTTTGTTATAATTTTTGTTCTTTTACATTTGCTGAGGAGAGCTTTACTTCCAAGTATGTGGTCAATTTTGGAATAGGTGTGGTGTGGTGCTGAAAAAAAATGTATATTTTGTTGATTTTGGGTGGAGAGTTCTGTAGATGTCTATTAGGTCCACTTGGTGCAGAGCTGAGTTCAATTCCTGGGTATCCTTGTTAACTTTCTGTCTCGTTGATCTGTCTAATGTTGACAGTGGGGTGTTAAAGTCTCCCATTATTAATGTATGGGAGTCTAAGTCTCTTTGTAGGTCACTCAGGACTTGCTTTATGATTCTGGGTGCTCCTGTATTGGGTGCATATATATTTAGGATAGTTAGCTCTTCTTGTTGAAGTGATCCCTTTACCATTATGTAATGGCCTTCTTTGTCTCTTTTGATCTTTGTTGGTTTAAAGTCTGTTTTATCCGAGACTAGGATTGCAAACCCTGCCTTTTTTTGTTTTCCATTTGCTTGGTAGATCTTCCTCCATCCTTTTATTTTGAGCCTATGTGTGTCTCTGCATGTGAGATGGGTTTCCTGAATACAACACACTGATGGGTCTTGACTCCTTATCCAACTTGCCAGTCTGTGTCTTTTAATTGGAGCATTTAGTCCATGTACATTTAAAGTTAATATTGTTATGTGTGAATTTGATCCTGTCATTATGATGTTAGCTGGTTATTTTCCTTGTTAGTTGATGCAGTTTCTTCCTAGTCTCGATGGTCTTTACATTTTGGCATGATTTTGCTGCGGCTGGTACCGGTTGTTCCTTTCCATGTTTAGTGCTTCCTTCAGGATCTCTTTTAGGGCAGGCCTGGTGGTGACAAAATCTCTCAGCATTTGCTTGTCTGTAAAGTATTTTATTTCTCCTTCACTTACGAAGCTTAGTTTGGCTGGATATGAAATTCTGGGTTGAAAATTCTTTTCTTTAAGAATGTTGAATATTGGCCCCCACTCTCTTCTGGCTTGTGGAGTTTCTGCCCACATATCCGCTGTTAGTCTGATGGGCTTCCCTTTGTGGGTAACCCGATCTTTCTCTCTAGCTGCCCTTAACATTTTTTCCTTCATTTCAACTTTGGTGAATCTGACAATTATGTGTCTTGGTGTTGCTCTTCTCGAGGAGTATCTTTGTGGCGTTCTCTGTATTTCCTGAATCTGAATGTTGGCCTGCCTTGCTAGATTGGGGAAGTTCTCCTGGATAATATCGTTCAGAGTGTTTTCCAACTTGGTTCCATTCTCCCCGTCACTTTCAAGTACACCAATCAGACGTAGATTTGGTCGTTTCACATAGTCCCATATTTCTTGGAGGCTTTGTTCGTTTCTTTTTATTCTTTTTTCTCTAAACTTCACTTTTCGCTTCATTTCATTCATTTCATCTTCCATCGCTGATACCCTTCCTTCCAGTGGATTGCGTCAGCTCCTGAGGCTTCTGCATTCTTCATGTAGTTCTCGAGCCTTGGCTTTCAGCTCCATCAGCTCCTTTGAGGACTTCTCTGCATTGGTTATTCTAGTTATACATTCATCTAAATTTTTTTCAAAGTTTTTAACTTCTTTGCCTTTGGTTTGAATTTCCTCCTGTAGCTCGGAGTAGTTTGATCGTCTGAAGCCTTCTTCTCTCAACTCGTCAAAGTCATTCTCCATCCAGCTTTGTTCCATTGCTGGTGAGGAACTGCGATCCTTTGGAGGAGAGGTGCTCTGCTTTTTAGAGTTTCCAGTTTTTCTGCTCTGTTTTTTCCCCATCTTTGTCGTTTTATCTACTTTTGGTCTTTGATGATGGTGATGTACAGATGGGTTTTTGGTGTGGATGTCCTTTCTGTTTATTAGTTTTCCTTCTAACAGACAGGACCCTCAGTTGCAGGTCTGTTGGAGTTTGCTAGAGGTCCACTCCAGACCCTGTTTGCCTGGGTATCAGCAGTGGTGTCTGCAGAACAGTGGTTTTTCGTGAACCGCGAATGCTGCTGTCTGATCGTTCCTCTGGAGGTTTTGTCTCAGAGGAGTACCCGGCCGTGTGAGGTGTCAGTCTGCCCCTACTGGGGGGTGCCTCCCAGTTAGGCTGCTCAGGGGTCAGGGGTCAGGGACCCACTTGAGGAGGCAGTCTGCCCGTTCTCAGATCTCCAGCTGCGTGCTGGGAGAACCACTGCTCTCTTCAAAGCTGTCAGACAGGGATATTTAAGTCTGCAGAGGTTACTGCTGTCTTTTTGTTTGTCTGTGCCCTGCCCCCAGAGGTGGAGCCTACAGAGGCAGGCAGGCCTCCTTGAGCTGTGGTGGGCTCCACCCAGTTCGAGCTTTCCGGCTGCTTTGTTTACCCAAGCAAGCCTGGGCAATGGCGGGCGCCCCTCCCCCAGCCTCACTGCCGCCTTGCAGTTTGATCTCAGACTGCTGTGCTAGCAATCAGCGAGACTCCGTGGGCATAGGACCCTCCAAGCCAGGTGCAGGATATAATCTCCTGGTGCTCCATTTTTTAAGCCCGTTGGAAAAGCGCAATATTTGGGTGGGAGTGACCTGATTTTCCAGGTGCCGTCTGTCACCCCTTTCTTTGACTAGGAAAGGGAACTCCCTGACCCCTTGCACTTCCTGAGTGAGGCAGTGCCTTGCCCTGCTTCGGCTCGCGCACGGTGCACTGCACCCACTGATCTGCGCCCACTCTCTGGCACTCCCTAGTGAGATGAACCGGGTACCTCAGATGGAAATGCAGAAATCACCTGCCTTCTGCCTCCCTCACACTGGGAGCTGTAGACCAGAGCTGTTCCTATTCGGCCATCTTGGCTCCTCCCCCCGGGAAAACGGGCTCCTGTCTTAAAGAGTTTTCGCCTACCGTCTCTTTTGAAACAGGTTTTTACTCAGCTCCAACAGTCTTTAAAAGGCTTAAACTTAGTTTATATGTCCTCTAGTCCCTCCCTTCACTAGACACAGAGCGTGGCCTCTCTGCTGGAGGAATGATCATCCACCCAGGACTGAAATCACTAACACACCTCCCACCTGTTTCTGCCACAGGACTAGGAGAAGTCAGAGTCTTTAGCACTGGTGGGTGTGATAAATAAAAGCAGATTTCTACCTAAAAAGTTTTAGCCCAGTATTTGCTGCCAATGAGGAGAGATAGAAGGTCTTAACTTTCAATAGACTAAAAAATAATTAAAGATCTTAAAACAATTCTTATGTGGTGAGAGAGAGAATAATGAATGGCATTTTCATCCACAGTCACACGTGCCTGATGGATATGAGAATATTCTTTAATGATTACATTAAGAGAAATATAAATAAAATTATATTTGCATACTGAGATTTTATAAAGAAAAAACCTATCCTATGGAGTGCTGTTGTTTCTTTTTTTTTTTTCTGTTAAAAGTATAAACCTTTAGGGTTGGGCATGGTGGCTCATGCCTATAATCCCAGCACTTTGGGAGGTCGAGACAGGCAGATCAACTGAGGTCAGGGGCTCCAGACCAGCCTGGCCAACATGGTGAAACCCCATCTCTACTAAAAATACAAAAATTAGCCGTGCACGGTGGCATACGCCTGCAATCCCAGCTACTGGGAGGCTGAGGCAGGGAAATCCCTTGAACCCGGGAGGCGGAGGCTGCAGTGAGCCAAGATGGTATCACTGTACTCTAGCCTGGGCAAGACAGCAAGACTCTCTCTCAAAAAAAAAATAAAAATAAAAAAAGTATAAAATTTTAGTTTAGGGAAACAGTCGTACTTAGATGGGAGCATCTTGATATTTAGCAATATTTCTACATTAAACAATGATGGAAGCATATGGGACCCGGCATGATTATAAAACTTGTTTAGTGACTAAAATAAGGATTCTACCTTTTTTTAAAAAAAAAAAAAAAAAGAGAGAGTATTGATTTAAAATTGTATAGATCCAAAGGGAGGCTAACAGGAGGCAGCCTGGATGGTGATAATGATCCAGGAGTCAGGGACACAGAAGGACCCAGTTCAGCTTTTGCGCCTACTGCTGTGCCACTCCTGGCAAGTTATTTATATTTCAATCCTTAGTTTTCTTATCTGTAAAATGCAAGAAATAATACTAATTCCTTTTTGTTGAGATATAATAATTCTTTTGAAAGTAAAAAGAATTTTGTATAAGTTGTACTGCAGTAAAAGTCACTCACTATGATTATTCCTTCAAAATAATTATTGAAACTCCCACTACCTTCTAATCATTTTAGAATCATGAAATATGGGAAAGGAAGAAAGAAAGAAGAATCCTACTGAATTTCATGGTGTCTTCATAATGAGTATTTATCTGAGGTACTTTTGTGTGTACCTTCCTATTTTTGCCATTACCTCTCCAATATTTTGTTTATCAAAATCTCATCCAAACTTCAAGTAATGCCCTCTCCAACCCTTACCTTGTTCTTGATAAACTCAGATGAGCCTTTATCTACACATGGACATCTGTGTATCACCTATTTTGTTGTCTATAATCTCTTGCATGGTACTTATGTGCTGTATCCTCTCCTATGTAATCTCTTAGCTCTTCATTTTTCTGAAAAAAAAAGTTTCTTGAATCTAGAGCCTATAAAGTTAGTCCAATTCTACACATTCACACACTTCACAGACTTTTATATAAATACACACATATACATATATGTGTGAGTATACATATTGTGTGCAGTGTGTGTGTATCAGAACATATGTACTTATATACATATATGCCTAAGTATAAAGGACTTAAATACATATGTCTTTTAACACATAAGATTTAAAAGTTAAATTCTTACTTTTATTTAAAAAAAAATCTCAAAACTATATGGCTATTACTCTAAAAGCACACAGAGAGCTGAAATGTTAAACCAAATTGTGTATGACTTTCTCAAAAATATCAATCTTTTATTTTTACATTAGTTATAAATCTTAGCAATACTTTCCTTTAGCATAATAAAAACATTTACTCTTTGTGCTTGCAAGAGTAAATCTTATTCATGTGTGTGTAGGGGGTTTCTTAGATCCAGTCATGTAGTAGGTACACAATGAATTATGTTGAATAAATTAATGCATATTTTTGCTAATAATGACACTTTCTTTCTTTCTTTTTTTCTTTTTCTTTTTCTTTTTTTTTTTTTTTGGAGATGGAGTTTCGCTCTTGTTGCCCAGGCTGGAGTGCAATCAATGGTGCAATCTTGGCTCACTACAACCTCCGCCTTCTGGGTTCGAGCGATTCTCTTACCTCAGCTTCTCCAGCAGCTGGGATTACAGGCATGCGCCACCACTCCTGGCTAACTTTTTGTATTTTTAGTAGAGACAGGGTTTCTCCATGTTGCTCAGGCTGTCGAACTCCAGACCTCAGGTGATCTGCCCGCCTCGGCCTTCCAAAGTGCTGGGATTACAGACGTGAGCCGCCATGCCTGGCCATAATGATACTTTCAAACATACAAACTTTGAAAGATTTTACTACTCATAGGCAACCACTAGCAGAACTTTCAAAGAAAGTGTCTCAGAAAGAAGTAAATAAATGTACACACACAGGAGAAGAATTGAAAATACATAAGAAGTAGTGAATATTTCTTTGTTGCAAGGAATAGCAACTAACTTTAGCTAACATAAACAGAAAAGGAACTTATTGGAAATCTAGCATATATCTCACAAAATGTTTGGGAAGACTGAATATTGGGGCCTTGAAATATAGGCATGAAACAAACAAGAGGGAAACAGAAACCACAGCTAGTGTCCAGCAGTTGGAAGGATTTGGCTAGGACCCTGCTGCCAGTGCCATCACCACAATTGTGGGCACCTCACCACAACTGGACTCAGGGTGTGCCCTTTATTCCCAGGCTAGTGTAAATCAAGTTTAAACTTCCTTAAGCATGTTTATCACTCAGGTAAGTTTTAAAAATCACTGGTAGAAGGGTCTGCTTGCTAAAATTATTCAGATGCCCATCTTCAAGCTCCCATGGTTTATGGTAAGGGAAGATCTATCTTCATTGGCTTCCATAGATGCATATGATGAAGAACTCCCTCAAATTAAAATGTAAGTTGAGGTTAAAGGGCACTGACAGAATCTTCTGCAATCCATTCCTTCTACTTTCTTTTTTTTTATTTTTTTATTTTTTATTTTTTTTTGAGATGGAGTCTCGCTCTGTCACCCAGGCTGGAGTGCCTTCTACTTTCTTAGCACACATGTGTAGCCTTATTCCCATGCTCAGAATTTAAGGGAAAAAATCTCCACTATATGTTAATGAAACTGACCTTTCTTTATATAAAATTGAAAGCACATTTATCCCATTTTCAAAGACATAAAACTTCAAAAATATGATCAGATTATTCATACAACTCAGGGCCCAGACGTTCTAGACTATATGTCCTTTTGCATTTGTAAACTACAGCTAATTTTCTTTTAGGCATCAAAAGTGCCTAAGTTATATTTTTAAGGTCTTTAAAACAAGTTTGGATACTTGGCTAAGCCACTGTTCATTAGAAGCACTAGTGTCATATATTCACTTGAGCATCAAATATTTGTTGAATATCTTCTATTTGCTGGGCTTTGGGGATAGAGCAGTGAAATAAGCAAATGAGGAAGTGTTTGCAGTTATGGAGATTTTGTTTGTAGGAGAGAGCAATATTTCATATAAACATATAAAGAACTTTATAAAGTAGTGATAAATATCATAATCAAATCAAAGCAGGGTCCAGGAATCTAGAGAACATGAGTTGGCAGGGGAGAGTGGGGGTGGTCAGGGCTTCCTAAGACGATGGTGGGCAGGGATCTGGAAGTGGTGAGGAGATGAACATTCCAGGCAACAGATGAATTGAAGCAGACATCCTGAATGACACAATGCTTGCCACGTTTGAGGAACAGTGAGGAGCCCAGAGGCCAGAGCTAAATGAAGATGGTAGAACATGAGGGTGGAGAGAGGATAGGAGCTTGGTCTCGTTGAAGTTGGTAGACCAGTAGTCCTCAAACTTTTACGTGCCTGAAAAACACCTGGGAACCTTGTTACAATGTTGTCTTTTTTTTTTTTTTTTTTTTTTTTTTACAATGCAATTTCAAACTTTTGAAAATTACTGATTGGCTAAATTGTGGGATATCGATGACTAAATGAAGTCACTTGTGTTAAAAACTTTGATAAATAGGGCTAGGGAAACCCATGAAGAGAGGGTTCTCATTGACAAATATCTGACATCAATGACTATCATATTAGACTCCCCAAAAAGCACAACCTTGCACAGAGACCACCACAATCTTACACAAAATAGTACCTCTGCAAGGACATCTATCCCTACCTGCCTGTCCAACCTCAAACTGAAACAACCCTTGTTATTAATCCTTTAGTCAAGGATAATTATTTCAAAATAACTTTGAAATTCTCCTTGTTTTCCCTTTCAAAACCTTGCCTTCATTTATAATACCTTGTGGAATATGCACATAGTTTACTATGGCATATTCCCATTGCAATGCCTATTCCTGAATGAATATTTTCTTTTAGAGGGTCTCTCAATGTTATGTAGACAGTGCTTCAGAAGTGGGACCAAAATGAGGTCACCTTGGATGAACTGGCTGCCTCTGGAATCCAGTGTGGTACCAACTGAGTCCTTCACACTCTACATTTCCATGAATTGCCTTTTTTGCCCTAATGAATCTCCTCTGGGATTATCTGACTACTCATTATTTGCAAATTCATTTTTACATTATTTGGGATCTGAGTCAGTGATAAGCCCACCTTAAATACAGGACCTGGCATCCCCCTTGAGACTACAAAAGTATTGTTTGCTTTTGGCAGGCCTTTTCTGGTATAAAGACAAGTGTCCTTATTTGAATACTCTGGTTTCCAAGAATAGATGTTTTGTCTGTGAGACACATCTTATCTGGTGAATTCACTTTGGTTCTGTTTCCCTAGTTTAAAATGTTGTTTTGTCTGAATGCCTGGCTTAAAATTTCTGTGAACACTATTATTTTGGTTTGGTTACATGCATCTGTAAGTGATTTGGCTCTTTCATGTTTGATTCTCCCCTTGCTTGCTCTTCCAAGAGCAAAAATAACCATTCTAAATAGTGGTCGTTAGATGGCCAACGTAAAGTGCCTAGTGCAGTCACCACCATCTAAAACACCAGTCCAAACTCCTGACAGTCTCTGACAGGATTTGTAGATTTTTCTTTGCTTTTGAGAAATTAACATGAAATGGAGTAAGATCCTCAAATATTAAGGCATGCCAGGCATCCCGGGACTCCAGCCAGCTACATGGCTTTTTCTTGTGCATATTTTTAAGTCAATGACTATCATGGGGCTCATTTAAACTCCCCAAGCCCATTTTCCATAGATATGAATTAGAAACTGCAACCAACTGTAAAGTCAACATGTAGAATCTTCTAAGTTCTTTATCTCTCTATTTTTTTTTCTGCCTACTTTGAATCCATTGATTTTCTGATGGTATTAAGATAAACTAACTCCTTATGCCATTCCAGCCAAGATAGAAAACAAAACTTCAAGGGATTTCAAATTAATGGCTTTACAAATTACAGCAGCTCCATGGCAACCACTAACCTAGACCAAGGAGTCATCCTTTTTAATGTAAATTTAGGTTTGCCTGGCTAATGATAACTTAGGGTGAGGGAATAGTTAATTGAAAAATTGATAGTCTGAGAAGAAAGAACTAGATAAATGTTTATAAAAGTTAGGCTCTCATATCAAATAGGTCAAAATCTTGAGCTCAGATCAGTAATAAATGTTCTCCGTCTGGCATAAAATTGCTTTGTCTGCCACACATGGCCCTGCTAAGAGCCATAAAAAGTGCAAATTATGTTTTCTTAAAAAATGCTTTCTTCCGTGCATTAACTAGTCAGACCAGCAAACAAAAGAAAAATATGTTACTAAAATTCAAGGTAACCTGAAGATTTTGTTTTTCTTTTACACTTCAGCCAGTCATAGCTTAAATGTAGAAGTCTGAAAATTTAACTCTAAACACAATTTGAAGCTGTAAGGGGGACGAAAAATGTAAATAAGGATTTTTTTTAAAGCCAAACTGGTTTACCCAAAATTTTGGCCCATAGCCTTTGTAAGATTACCTACCACAGCAAATAAGTTTAGATATGTCAACAGTTCCCATTTTATTAGAAATATAATTTGTACTTAAATATGTTTTATAAATTTGTGGATTTGTAGTTTGTATTACTATCTTTTACTGTCTCATAATTAAAATTCTAAAATGAAAGCTCTAAATCTTTGATTGTATGTGAATAGATATTTGGTGTTTTTATACATATATAAATGCATCATGTTGTATTTCATGGCTACATGGTAAAATCTGCACTAGTCAGCTAGATATTTCTTAAGAAATTCTATTCAGGTTGTCTTAGGTAAGTGAGCAATCACATAAATATTGTTAAAATGTATAGTAATTAATCCAAATGCTTTTTAATTCATGAGACTTAAGTAAATCTTTAACAAATAAGCTAGTATTAAATTTGTAGATAAAATAAAAAAAGAATCATTTTGAGAATTGTCAGCATACATTTTTATCTGGGATTATCGGTCAGACAGTTTTGTATTTGTCTCTGCAAGATGTCTTAAGGTGTCAGGATTTGACACAAAATTTATAAAATTATAAACCTAGAAAACACAGAGTGAATGTTCTTTGTTTTTGTAACTCTTTGATAAGTAAGGTTAATTTAATATTGTTGGTTTAATTAAACAACTGTATCTTTTGACTTATCAGTAAAATATCTATAAATCTAAGTTTTTTACTTAGGTGAACATGTGATATTTACAGTCTATAAAAATGGTTAACAAGGGTATATGTTAAAATAATGACTAGTTCTGTTTACATTATCAGTATATATAAGTAATCCAGGAATAATTGATCAAAATAAATAAATATAAATGGAATAAATGTTAATAAAGAAATTTTTATGTATTTTAAAATCTTAAAGTTAGGTTAAATTAAGTAATAGATAACAATTTTCAAGTAACATAAAATACTAAAACATTAATTGTTGAGTATAAATATTTGTTATTGGCTTCTTAAATTTTACAGAAAGACTGCATGTATTTATGTCTATTAATATGCATAAAATTATGTTATGGAGAAATATTTCTACAAATGACAAAATGTTTTACATCTGGAAAATACTGACATGTGACAAGATAGTTCAAAATGTCTTGCTTCCTAGATTTAACTAGAAATAAGTTTACTAAGAGTTAAAATTCTAATTAATATATATAACTTTGTGCACAAAGTATGCAAAAAATGTGTTTTTTATGAGAACAATTATATGACATATGTGCTCTTTTTGAGAAGAAAATTTGTTTTGTCTGATATAAGAATAGCTGCTCCTGATCGCTTTTGGTGTCCATCTGCATAGAATGTACTTTTCCACTCCTTTACCTTAAGTTTAGGTGAGTCCTTATGCATTAGGTGAGTCTCTTGAAGGCAGCAGATGGTTGGTTGGTGAATTCTTATCCATTCTGCAATTCTGTATCTTTCCAGTGGAGTATTTAAGCCATTTACATTCAATGTTACTAATGAGATGTGAGGTACTATTCTGTTAATCGTACTATTTGTTGCCTTTTGTTTTACCTTTGTTTTTACCTTTTGTTTGTTTGTTTGTTTGTTTGTTTGTTTGTTTTTCAGATGGAGTCTAGCTCTGTCACCCAGGCTGGAGTGCAGTGGTGCCATCTCCACTCACTGCAAGCTCCACCTCCTGGGTTCAGGCCATTCTCCTGCCTCAGCCTCCCGAGTAGCTGGGACTACAGGTGCCCACCACCACGCCCGGCTAATTTTTTTTGTATTTTTAGTAGAGACGGGGTTTCACCATGTTAGCCAGGATGGTCTCAATCTCCTGACCTTGTGATCCACCCTCCTCAGCCTCCCAAAGTGCTGGGATTACAGGCGTGAGCCACTGCGCCCGGCCCCGTCTGTTTTTTAATTGTACTTTTGTTTCATAGGTCTTGTGAGATTTATACCTTAAAGTGATTCTGTTTTGGTATGTTTTCAGTATTTGTTTCAAGATTTAGAGCTTCTTTCAGCAGTTCTTTTAGTGCTTGCTTGGTAGTGGTGAATTCTCTCTGCATTTGTTTGTCTGAAAAAGACTATAACTTTCCTCGATTTATAAAGTTTAGTTTCACTGGCTACAAAATTTTTGGCTAATAATTGTTTTGTTTAAGGAGTCTTAAATAGGGCTCCAATCTCTTCTAGCTTGTGGGCTTTCTGCTGACATATCTGCCGTTAATCTGATAGGTTTTCCTTTATAGTTTACCTGGTGCTTTTGCCTCACAGCTCTTAAGATTCTTTCCTTCGTCTTAACTTTAGATAACCTCATGACAATATGCCTAGGTGATGATCTTTTTGTGATTAATTTCCTGGGTGTTCTTTGAGCTTCTTGTATCTGGATGTCTAGGTCTCTAACAAGACTCAGGAAGTTTTCCTCAATTATTGTCCCAAATATGTTTTTCAAACTTTTAGATTTCTCTTCTTCCTCAGAAATGCTGATTATTCTTAGGTTTGGTCATTTAATGTAATCCCAGACTTCTTGGAGGCTTTGTACATATTTGCTTATTTTTTTTTCCTTTGTCTTTGTTGGATTGGGTTAATGTAAACACTTTGTCTTCATGGTCTGAAGTTCTTTCTCCTGCTTGTTTGATTACATTGCTGAGACTTTCCAGAGCATTTTGTATTTCTATAAGTGTGTCCATTGATTCCTGAAGTTTTGTTTTTAATTTATGTTATCTATTTCATTGAAGGTTTCTTCCCTCATTTCTTGTATCATTTTTTTTTTTTTTTTTACTTCCTTAAATTGGACTTTGTCTTTCTCTGGTGCCTCCTTGATTAGCTTAAAGATTGCCCTTCTGAATTTTTTTTTACAGGTAAATCAAGGATTTCTTTTTGGATGGATTCATTGCTGGTGAGCAAGTGTGAATTTTTGAGGGTGTTATTGAACCTTATTTTGTCATATTACCAGAGTTGGTTTTCTGGTTTCTTCTCATTTGGGTAGGCTCTGTCAGAGAGAAGGTCTAGGGCTCAAGGCTGTTGTCCCATGGAGTATTTCCTTGAGGTAGTACACTCCCCGTTTGTTTAGGGATGTGGCTTCCTGAGAGCTAAGCTGTTAGTTATTGTTATCTCTCTTCTGGAACTAGCCACCTAGCAGGTCTACCAGGCTCTGGGCTGGTACTAGGGGGTTTCTGCACAGAGTCCTGTGATGTGAACTATCTGTAGGTCTCTCAGTCATGGACACCAGCCGGTATTTGGGGTGTCAGGTCCTGCAGGAGCAATCTGCTTCCTTCAGTGGGTCTGTGGGTTCTCTTGCCTTTCCTGATTTATTCCAGCCGTAGGTCTGGAGCAAAAGTTTATGATGCAAGACTTCACATGCTGCTGTGTCTGTCCAAGTGGAAGCTATAATCTAGTCCTGCCTCCTGTCCACAATGATCCTCCTCATTCAAAACAAACAACTCATCAGATAATATTCTGTGTTCTATGTTGTCTTGGTGTCTTTATTAGGTTTTTCGATTACATAGAAAACTGAACTTTCAAAGTATTGGTTTTTGTTTTGTTTTTACCTTCATGTAATTTTCTGTATCACTTTTGAAGTAGAACTTGGATTATCATTCTGGATAAATGAAGGACATTATCTTACAATGACATGTCATGATGTTTTGATCAAGGTTTTAAAATTTTTGGCATTTTTGATGGGCGTCCCCAGTATCAAAATTCTAAATTAAGTCTTTTTCACCTAGAATTAACTAACTGACTTAACAGTTGATCCTTTGCAGAGCATTAAGGGGCGTTATCACTCATGTTGCAGTAATATCAAATGATTAGGCATATTTGGTAAATTGTATGGATAATATTGTCAAATGATAAATGATGCTGAATCTTCTTTCAGATAGGTGTGTTTTAAATATGAGTTTCAAAAACTATATAAATTTATAGAAATCTAATATGGTTTTAGTCATAATCTCATTTGTTATGTTAAAATGTTATGTGCCACAAAAATAACCAAATTTCCATGTCAATTGATCAATATAACTAAACTTCCATCATATTTTTAGCCATGGCTATTCTAAGTCTCTTTTATCCACAATTTTGATACTTCTCTAAAAGCATTTGCAATTAGATTCATGGAAAATAACTAGTATTCTTAAACACAGGTTTCTAAAACTTGAAGATCAATGAACTACTAAAAATTTCCAGAACTCTAATGAAGAAAATAATGGTTTCATGAAACTGCTAATCAAGATCAAGCAGAACAAAAATTAATTATATGAGATTGAATGACTGCTGAAAGTGGTGCGCTTATGCCTTTTATTTAAAATAGTGTTTTTGCTCTTTACTTACTTTTTTCCTATATTTAAGAACATTTTCTATCATAAGCTATCTATATTTTAGAGCAATTTAATAAAATATACTTCTGTGAATAAAAGTGGAAATATGTGCTTTTTATTTCTACCTAGCCACTCCAAAATATAAAAACTAATTATGACTGTTCTTGTTTCTTGTAGCAATATGCTTATTTGTACAAGTTCAGTAAGAATGTACTCTCTTTATAGCTGGATACAATTAGAAACATTGTTCATATTACCAAGGCTTCTACTGGAATGCCATATTGAGAACAGGGTATAATACCTGGCTTCCAAGATTCCCGGCCTTACAGTCAGTGAGTAAATATTATCACATCCCGAGAGGCCCAAGAACCTTAAGACTACATGTGAAAACTACAGTCTGCCTTTGTTTGGCTTCCTAATCTCAAAAGGTTTTAAAGTTTGAGATTCCTATATAATCAATCACATATAAATGATCAGACCAAAATTGATAAAATAAACTTACTTTCACAAAAATTATCTTTATTATCTTTAGTAGAATTGGAGATTATTATGAATAAAAAAGTTATTTTTCTAAAGAAAAACTATAATACAATCTTTATTAAACTGAAGCTCTATGCATGGTTTTTGAGTTCTTCTTATCCTCCTATAGACTGGACTGGTTCTTAAATTCTTCATGGTTCCTCTAATCTAATTATTTTCCATAAAACTATTAAAACCAGGAACTACTCTTCTTGAAGAACTATAAGCTGAAACTAAATAAATTTCAAGAGACAAGTCTTAGGCCTGACAAATGGGCCACACAGAAAGTTTATAAAGCTGCCAATAACATCACTAGAGACATTTAAACTGCAAACTAAGACAAGAAGCTGATGACTTCATGCTATAGGTAGCTTTTCTCAAGATGTCAGAACAAGACTCCATATCATAATGATATTCTTACCCCTCTCAATGCCTACCATTTTACTTGACAGGATAAGAGTGTAATTGAAATTTTACAATCAGTAGCTTCTGTTGGTAACTTGACAGAACCTGACCTAAGAGATCCTTTAATCTATTTAGTGGGTGACTTTGGCAACAACCAAAATATGACTGGTGTTCATTCTCTGCTTTAATTCAACCCAGCCGTGAGATAGTAGATGATAAAATTGCTTTATATTATCTATTGGCTAGATAAGAAAACTACTTTGTTATTGCTAATACTACATGCTGTACCTGGACAAATTCATTTGGGAAAATTGAGACTCATATATATATAAAATAAGAAAACAAGTCACATGGTTACAAAACAGGTGTCACCTAATTTGCATTTAATTTATTCAATTGGTTGCCTTTAAGACTAGATTCATGACTCAAAACTATTATACAATACTAAACCATTATGTTAAAAGTTCTTATGTTGCTTTTATATTACTTTACATGTTAAACATTTTACCTGTTACTTGCAAAATTTCTGCAAAAATACAACTCTTAACAGAATAGTGCTGGCCAGCATTTTGAGATGATAGCCAATGCCTATGGAAGAGACAAAATTAAACTTAATAATGGTCTCCAGTTAGACTTGGCTTGAAAGCCACTCCCTCCAACTCTCCCTTGTTGCTCAAACATTGTTAAAATTCTGTTGACATTTATGGCTAGTCTCCAATCACTCACAAACTTGAGACAAGACCAACAAGCCAGGAAAGGTCTATAATAGCACCAAGAGATAATCAAAACCAAACTACAGGAGGATTGGTCAGCAATGCTTTCAGAGAAAGATTGTAATAAAAAGGAAAATTGTACAAGTTGTCAGAATCAAAATGGAGTCATTTTTTAAAAAGAAAAAACCCTGAATAATAGAACCAAGGAAAGCCATGAAGGGTGGCTTCTCATGCAAAAGCACCTGATAACAAAAACTATCACAAAAGAATATAAAAACCACAGCCTTGCATAAAGCCCTTTGCAAACTAATACAAAAAAATACTCTCCAAGGACATTGGCCCAACAACTCCTTGTCTTACCTCAGACTTGGCACCACCCTTGTTATTGATTCTTATAGCCAAGGATAATTATCTCTAAACAATTATGTAATCTTCCTCATTTTTTTGAAACTGTTTTTCTTTATCTCCCTGAATACATGTATTGTTTACCATGGCACATTGATTTTCATTGCAATGGTATATTCCTGAATATATAAAATTGGTTTTAAAGGGCCTCTCTCTGCCTGTTATTCAGGCTAACATACCTCTTTCCCTCCCTTCAGCTAACACTTCATTTGGTTGAGGTCCCTTTTGTAGTGAGTGAATTAAACCTAGTTGCACACACGTAAAAGCCTTGACCACATAAGATTAGAGGGGCACAAGAGGGCACTCTGATGATCACCTTCACTCGTATCATACTTCTCTCAGCTCTCAATGTACTGAAACAACCTTGTTTCTTTGATGATCACAATCAATCACTTCAACTCAAAGTAATCTTTTCTGCCTATTCATGCTGTTACTGGAGGAACTGACAATAGCTATAATGCACACTAAGCTTTCAATTTGGTGGAGTCCGTTTGTGGTCCTCTGATGAATGAATTATGCTTTAGGTAATCAAAAATAAGCACTAAGACTCTGAGGCAGCATAACAGGAAAGAGAAGTCTCATGTATCACACTATTACCTAAACTTAGGTCACATAACCACCTTGAACTGATGTTTATCTCGACTTTTCTTGAGAAATATACATTTAATATTTTGGTCTCCTCTTCCTCTTTCTTCTTCTTCCTCCTTCCTTGACCTCCTCCATCTCTTCTTCCTCTTTCTCTTCCTCCTCCTCCTCCTTCTTATTCTTTTCTTCCTCCCCTCTCTCTTTTTCTCTCTCCCTCTGTCTTGTCTTATATGTATTATTCAAGGTCATTTATGAAAAAAGAGATTCACTATGCATGTGATGGGACAGGAAAGGAGGAGTTTTGAAATTAAAAGTACATAATGAAAGCCTATATGTTTAGAGAAGAGGTCAGCAAGCAGAGTAGTAAACTAAGAAGTCAAGTGCGATGAGCTATTGATGTGGGACTGCCAGCCTCAGTGGGCCCACAAACAAGTGTCTGGTGTTAGAGTTAAAATCACTCTTAGCAGGAGTGAATTGTAAGTAGCAAGTAGGAATAGGAGCTAAACGGAAAGCAGAAGGAACTGGGGCCAAGCTGGAAATGACCAAGTAACCTGTGCTCATCCATCGATCATAAACCTTAAAAAATATTCAGACAGAGATGATGGCTACTTCACTTCTACTCTCCAATTTTGCATGATATTTCCACCAGAGGACCATCAATGATTATTTTGTCAGATGCTAAACTGGCACCACATAGTTTCCAGGTTAATCAAGTTGGCATAACCCTATCCACCACACTGTGTATCTGTATTTATATGTGTATGTGTTTATAAAAACTGTTAAAAATAGATAAGTACAAAAATTGTATCTTTGTACAAATCCTTTATTCAAATTTTTATTTTATATTGATAACTATTGTCACATGTATTTATGGAATACAAAGTGGTATTATAATTTTTGAATGCAATGTGGAAACATTAAATTAAGATAATTAACATTTCAATGACCTCAATTATCTAGTATATTTTCTGATAACATTAAAAATTTACTCTTTAAATAATATTAAAATGTACAGAACTTCATTACTAGCCATATTCACTATGCTGTGCAATTAATCTAAAGAAAATCCAGCTAATTTTTCCTTATACTCTTTGACTGTTACTGTTCCATTTTCCCTATCTCCTAACTTCTAGTCACTACCAGCCTAACTCTCTGCTTTTATGAGTTCAATTTCTTTAGATTTCTTGTATAATTGAAACCGTGGTATTTGTCTTTCTGTGTTTGTCTTATTCCACTTAGCATTAAGTTCTCCAATTCCATTTATGTTGTTTCACATGACCAAATCTGTTCTTTTTTAAAGCTCAACAGTATTACATAATGTATATATGCCACATTTTCTTTATCCGTTCATCCTTTGTTGGACACTTAGGTTGATTTCATAGCTTGAATCAGCCTGTGAATAGTGCTGCAATGAAATGGAACTGCAGACATCTATTTGACATATTGATTCTCAATCTCAAGTAAATACTTAGAAATGGGGTTTCTAGATTGTATGGTATTCTATTGCTAGTTTTTTGAGGTACCACCGTAATATTTTCTATAATAGTTGTATGAAGTTACATTCCCAACAATAGTATATAAGAATTTCCTTTCTCCACAGCCTCGACAGGACTTGTTATTTGCTATCTTTTTTTTATAATTACCATTCTAACAGGCACAAAATAATATCTCACTGCAGTTTTAGTTTGCATCTCCCTGGTGATTGGTGAGGTAGATATTTTTTTCATGTATCTGTTAGCCATTTGGTTGTTTTTTATTAGAAATATCCATTCAATTCCCTTGACCATTTCTTAATTGGATTATGTATTTTCTTTCTATAGAGTTGTTGGAGTTTCTAACGTATTTTTATCAGATGTATGGCTTGCAAATATTTTATCTCAATCTGTAGGTTGTCTCTTCGCTTTGTTAGTTGTTTTCTTTGATAGGCAGAAGGTTTTAAATATGATTTCATTTGTTACCTTTCCTTTTGTTGCCTTGTACTTTTGGGGTCAAATTTTAAAAATTATTGCCCAGACCAGTGTCATGTAGTTTTTCCAATGTCATTTTGTATTTTCCTCTAGTAGTTTTATAGTTTCAGATTGTTTAATTTTTTCATCTATTTTGAGTAGACTTTTGTATATGGTGTAAGATGAAGGTCCAATTTTATTCTTTTACATATGGATATCCAGTTTTCCTAGCACCATTTATTGAGGAGATTATACATTTTCCATTGTATATTATTGGTAATTTTGTTGAAAATCAATTGACTGCAGAGGTATGGATTCTTTTCTGGGCTTGCTATTCTGTTCCATTGGTTGATGTGTCTATTTTTATGTTAGTGCCATGCTATTTTAAATATTATTGCTTTAAAGTATAGCTTGAAATCATGGAGTGAGATACATCTAGCTTTGTTCTCTTTTCTTATATTGCCTTGGCAATTTGCTTTTTGTTATGGTTCACATACGTTTTAGGATAGTTATTTTCTGTATATCGAAAAATGACATTGGAATCTTGATAGAGATCTCAATAAATGTGTAGATAGCTTTGTGTAACATGGACATTTTTACAATATTAATTCTTCCAATACATAAATAAAAAATATTTTTCCATTTATTTGTTTCTTCCTCAATTTTTTTTTTTGCTAATATTTTATAGTTTTCAGCATACGGGTCTTTCACATTCTTGGTTAAATTTATTATTAAGTATTTTATTTCTTTTTTTGTAGCCATTTTAAATGGGATTGTTATATTTATTTATTTTTTGATAAGTTTGTTGTTAGTGTAGAGAAGCACTACTAATTTTGGCATGCTGATTTTGTATCCTGAAACTTTACTGAATTTTTTAATAAGTCCTAATAGTTTTTGGTGAAATGTTTAGGGCTTTCTATATATAAGATTATGTTGGCCAGGCGCAGTGGCTCATGCCTGTAATCCCAGCACTTTGAGAGGCTGAGGTGGGTGGATCTTTTGAGGTCAGGGGTTCGAGATCAGCCTGGCCAACATGGAGAAACCCTGTCTTTACTAAAAATACAAAAATTAGCTGAGTGTGGTGGCGAGTCGCTGTAGTCCCAGCTACTCAGGATGCTGAGCATGAGAATTGCTTGAAACCAAGAGGCAGGAGTTGTGGTGAGCCAAGATAATGCCACTACACTCCAGCCTGGGCAACAAGCAAGTCTCCATCTCAAAAAAAGAAAAAAAATTTAGAATGTTATTTCTGATTCCAGTTAGAATTTAGGATTTTAAGTTCTGGCTAGAATGTGTAATGCTATCTTAAATAGATATGGCAAGATGGGACATCCTTGTCTTCTTTCAGATCTTAGAGAAGACATATTAAAATTTTTGTGTTAAGCATGATGTAAGCTGTGGGTTTGTCATATATGCCTTTATTGTGTTGAGGTACATTTCTTCTATACCTGATTTATTGAGAGGGTTTTTCATTATTATTATGAAATAATGTTGAATTTTGTTAAATATTTTTCTGCAACTATGGAGATGATCATATGATTTTTGTTCATCATTCTGTAAATGTGGTTTTTTCACACTTGTTGATTTGAGTATGTTGAATCCTTTTTGCATCCCAGGGATAAATATCACTTGATTTTGGTGAAATCCTTTTAATTTGTTGTTAAATTTGACTTGCTGTTTTTTTTTTTTTTGAGGTTTTTGCATCTATGCTTATCAAGAATATTGGCCTGCGATTTTCTTTTCTTGTGATGTGCTGGTCTCGCATTGATACCAGAGTAAGGGGGGAAGAGGGAAGTATTCCCTCTTCTTCCATTTTCTGGACTAGTTTGTGAAGAATTGATATTAAATCATTTTAAAAGTTTGGTAGAATTTAGCAGCAGTAAAGCCATCAGGTCCTGTTCTTTTCTTTGTTTGAAAATATTTTATTACTGATTCAATCTCCTCTCTCGTTATTTGTATGGTAAGATTTTCTGTTTCTTCATGATTCAGTTTTTGTAGGTTGCATGTGTCAAGGAATTTATTCATTACACCTGAGTTTTGCTTTTGTTTTTTGCCTAGAATTGTTCATATCAGTTTCTTATAATCCTTTTCATTTCTGTGGTGTCAGTTGTAATCTTTTCTCTTTCATTTCTGATTTATTTATTTGAGACTTTTGTTTAGCTATAGCTTTGTCAATTTTGTTTATCTTGTTAATGAATCAACTCTTAGTTTCATTGATCTTTTATATTATTTTTCTAGACTCTATTTTATTTATCTCTGCTCTGCCCTTTATTATTTCTTCCTTCTTCTAAAATTGAGATTAGCTTGTTCTTCTTTTTCTAATTCTTTGAGGGAAAACATTACGCTGTGTATTTGTAATGTTTCTTTCTTTTTCTGATACAGGCATTCCACAAGTTTTGTTATAATGTATATCTTTTTGTTTGTCTCAATATGTTTTAATTTTTCTTTTAGTTTCTTCATTGACCCATTGGTTGTTCAGGAGCATGCTGTTTAATTTCCATGTATTCATACATATCCCCAAATTTTTTCCTGTTACTGCTTTATTGTTTCATACCATCGTGTCCAGAAAAGGTAATTGATATGATTCCAATCTTTTTTAAATTTGCTAATCCTTGGTTGTCTTGTAGTTTACCATATAATGTATCCTGGAAAATGTTCTGTGTGTTCTTGACAAAAAAATGCACATTCTATTGCTTTTCAATAAAATACATTGTATATATCTGTTAGGTCCATTTGGTCTAAAATGTTGTTCAAATCCAATGTTCCCTTATTAATTTAATGTGTGGATGATCTGTCCATTATTCAAAGTAGAATATTGAAGTCCCCTACTATTATTTAATCACAATCTATCTCTCTTTTCAGATCCTTCAATATTTATTTATTTAGGTGTTTTGCCCTTGGCTGCATATTGTTATATCCTCTGGATGAATTAACTCCTTTATTATTTATTTATTTATTTATTTATTTATTTATTTATTTATTTATTTTTGAGATGGAGTCTCGCTGTGTTGCCCAGGCTGGAGTGCAGTGGCATGAACTTGGCTCATTGCTAGTTCTGCCTCCCGGGTTCATGCCATTCTTATGCCTCAGCCTCCTGAGCAGCTGGGACTACAGGCGCCCGCTGCCATGCCCGGGTAATTTTTTTGTATTTTTAGTAGAGATGGGGTTTCACTGTGTTAGAAATTCTGCACTTTTTGTCCTCACCTACATTTTATGTTTTTGATGTTTAAATGTACATAATTTTGTAATATTGTATGTATCCCTACACAGTTTATTTTAGCTATTATTTTTAATACTTTTGTCTTTTATCCTTTATAGTAGGGATAAAGTTGCTTTATGTATCACCATTACAGTCCTAGTGTTCTGAATATTTCTCATTATTACTTACATCATTAAGTTTTGTGCTTACATACATTTAATTTTATTAATTGGCAGCCTTTCATTTTATCTTAAAGAACTGTATTAAGCAATTTTTCTTGAGGCAGGCCTAGTGGTGATGAACTTCCTTGACTTTTGTTTATCTGTGGAAGTTTTTTCTTTTCTCTTTTATTCCTGAAACAAAGCTTTTTTGAGTAAAATATTTTTGGTTGTCAGGTTTTTACCTTCACTACTTTGAATATATACCACTCACTCTCTCCTGCATAGCAGGGTTTCTGCTAAGTCCACTGATAGCCATACTAGAACTCCTCTATTTTTGATGTACTTTTATATCTTGCTGATCTTGGGATTTTTGTTTGTCTTTGATTTTTTAAGAATTTGATTATTATGTGTTGTGATAAGCTCCTTTTTGGATTAAATTTTACTGAAGATTAATGAGCTCCCTGTGTCTGGATGATGGCTTCTTTCTTCAGATTAGGAAAGTTTTTCATTATTATTTATTTCTTTAATCCATTATTACTTTAAATATGTTTTCTGGCCCATTTTCTCTTTCTTGTACTTTTTGAATTCCTATTATATATGTAGCTTAGATCTCTTGATGATGTGCCATATTTCATGTAGCATAGGCACATAGGCTTTCTATATTTTTCATTCATTTTTTTTTGGCAAGTTCACTGATTCTTTCCTCAGCTTGATCATGCTAGGTGTTCAAACTTTTTATTTGCATGTTTCAGTTAAGTCATGATATTTTTCATTATTAAGATTTCTATTTTTTTGTAAAACTACTTGATTTGTTTATTTATTTTTTTTCAGGTTTCATTTAATATGTCATGCATATATTCTTGGAGTTCATTGAACTGTTTACAGAGGATTATTCTGAATTCCTTTTTCTGAATTTTATAGATTTTCCTTTCTTTAATGTCTATTATTGGAGATTTGTTAGTTTCTTTTGGAGGTGACATAATTTTTTGAGTCTTTGTATTTGTTATGTTTTTGTGTTGATGTTTGCACCTTTGTGGAGACAGACACCATTTTCAATTTTTACAGATGTTCTTTGAGAGGGATAGACCTTTACTATTTATTATATCTTATGATTCTGATTGGGCTGGCTGGTATTGACCCTAGGGAGGCAAAGCTTCCTTTTAGGTTCTTTAGATGTCTGGGCTGCTGTCTTTGGTCTGAATTTATGTGAGGCAGCAAGTTAGGTTCTGCAATACAGGGAGACCACTGGCTAAACTGTCCAATCAGGCTGTACTTCTGGATGGGCATTGCAATCACTTTTGATGCAGCTGGGACACAAGATGTATTCTCTGGCCAGAAAGCACCCTTATTTGGGTTCAGCAGTTGGAAAGGGTTGTAGGAGAGGCCCCAAGGTTAAGTAGATCAGGATAGGTGGACTGACTGTTATGCTCAGTAGAAATGTAGTGTTGAGATCCGCCACCCTCCATGAATGTGGTCTGGTGATGAGCTTTGAGTCTGTAAGGAGTGCTGACTAAATTCCTTGATATGGCAGAACTAGTGCCTGCTTGTTGTCTCATACTCTCATAATCATAAATTCCCTCATAATCTTCCATGAGATGAAGGCTGGCAAGTTTTCATGGTGGCACCGATAATCAAGTCTTCATGTTAGGTGTGGAGGCTCCCAGGCTGTAGCAGAGAGAGTCTGTAACAAACACAGGGCCTCTTCAGAATATGCTATGGGACAGAGGCTGGCAAGCTGGTCCCTGTAGCTCAGATGAGTGAGTCTCTCTCTGGGTCACTGTGTGAATAGTACTACGTTGGAACAACAACTAAAGTGGGGTAGAGCCAAATTACAGGCTAACTTTTACTTTCACTGCTGAGACCAATATCAGTGGGCAAATGAGCCTTTCTGTCAAGGCACTAGTGTGGGTGATTCTCCTTGGCAGATGGTTTTGGTTGCAGGCTTATGGCCAAAAGGGGTTGTAGCCAAGCCATTGAGGAACAGAGCAATTTCTGGGTTTGAACTTGGGATCACCACTGGTACTCCTGCCACCTGGGTATGGGTTTGAATTCTCAAAATATTCCTCCTAGGTCTTGGGCTCCATTAGGGTTTTGCAACCTCCTGCCTCAATCCCAGGGCTTCCACAGTGAGACTTTTGTCTATGGATAAATACAAAATTCTTGTTGTCGTTAGGGAATAAAAGTGAGTGAGCTCCTATTCTGTCATCTTATTGATATATTCACCCCTGTCATAAAATTATACCCCCAAAGTATACACACAAGACAAAGCTAACAAAAATCTTGAGAAAAAAAGCACATTTGAGCAGAGAAGTAAAAGTAACATTTTAATTATCCATTGATGGATAGGAAAAAAAAAAAGACAGAAGGCGGCATTCAGGCAGAGGAAATAACATAAACAAAGAATGAGGAGAATGTGTAATGTGTTTAGGGAATGGCTAGTAGCTTTCTGTGGACAAAGTAAATGATAAACATAATATTAGGAAACATGATAGAAAAATAGATTTAACTAAATTGAGGATAACTTTAAACTTCATGTCAGGGAGTTTAGACTTAATGGGGAGCCAATTAACATTTTTAAGTTTGAGAGTTGTAATCAGGTTTGTTTTCCAGATAAATCACTCATGAAGAAGGGAAAAAATGAGGCCAAGCACGGTGCCTCACACCTGTAATCCCAGCATTTGGGGAGGCCGAGGTGGGTAGATCACAAGGTCAGGAGTTCGAGACCAGCCTGGCTAACATGGCGAAACCTCATCTCTACAAAAAATACAAAAATTAGCTGGGTATGGCCATGCATGCTTGTAATCCCAGCTACTCTGGAGGCTGAGGCAGGAGAATTGCTTAAACCCAAGGGACGGAGGTTGCAGTGAGCCCAGATCACGCCACTGCACTCCAGCCTGGGTGACAGAGCAAGACTCCATCTCGGGGAAAAAAAATAAGGGAAAAAAATGGAATAGAGGGCCAAGTGATTAAAGCAGAGATAATTGTTAAGAAATAATTGAAATAGTTCTAGAGATACATGATTCAGAATTAACTAGGACAGGAATAATGCAAAATGAGACGGGCGGAAAACCATGAAGTTCACGATGGTGGCCAGATCCAATTGTCTGGTGACTAAATATGGAAAGTGGGATGCAAAATTATTTAAATACAATTCCATATTCTTATTTTGGGTGAATGTATGGAGTGTAAGCTAATTTAAATTCATATTAGCGTTAGTTTAGTCAGGAAATCTCAGAATGTGAATTGCACAATATAACCGGAATTGCTGCACTGATTTTCAAGGGAGTCTCCATAGAGCCAATTATCCATGGCTCAGATAAGTGGTTTTCAGACATGGTAGATCATCAGAATCACAAGGTAAAAAAGGAAGGCTAAGGGAACAGGGAACAGCAGGAATGCGGGAGAAAGGGGATGGCTTTAAAACAAATCACATATCTGGCTTTATTCCAGATTTACAGAATCAGATTCTTGAGCGATGGAGCCTCAAAATCTGTATTTTAAGCTCATGCAGTGATTCTAAGTTTGTGAGCTGGCATGTTGACTTGCACAACTTCAGGGGATGCCAATCATGTCATGTAGTATTTGTGAATGTGAAAAAGTGCACAATGTACAAAGCAGTAATCAGTGGCCTTGCTTACTTAAGGTCTAAGATATTTCATTATTAAGAAAACACCCAGAGGCAGATCACAAATGGAGCAGAATGTAAAGAATAAAGAAAGAAACAAGCCCAGATTGCAGTAATAAAAGCAAATGTTTCTATGGATATCCATAGGACAGGTCAGAAGGCAATGAAATAATAGCCATAACAAAGCTTCTGCTGTGCAACTTTCCAACCTTGTCTTTATATACTTTGAACATTATAGTGTGAGATTCTATGAGGCCAGAATCTTTTTGTTCACCAGTATATCCCCATCATGTAATACAGAGGCCAGCATATAGAAAGTGCTCAACAAATATTCACCAATAAGATCAATAATTTATTCAACACATACTATCAAGCTACATATATTTCCTAGACTCTGTGCCAAGTGTCATGATTATATAAACTAATAAGATATTGTCCCTGCTTAAAGGGAGCCAACTGTTTAAGAGTAAAAGATACATTTATTTGTAAACAAATAAGATCAATGATATTACAGGTTTGTGGATTGGAGATGGAGCAAAGAGGGCTTTCAAGGTCATCCAGAAGTTAGGATTAATCATCTGAAGGCACAAAATGATGTTACGGTAGAAATGTGCAGACACACAATAATAACAGTGTTATATAATTAATACCAAGAGTGCATACTCAGAGCTAAACCATTTTTATATAAGCCTTTATTACATGTTTGTTAATGTGCATGTACTCAATTGTTGATCAAAACTTGTGACGGGCTTGAAGATGTTCTGCAGTGTACTCTGTGCACACTGTGTACTCAGCTTTGATACACACTTAAGGAAGCTTTTATTGGCATTAAGAGGACCAGCTTTCTGGGAAATAAGATATGCCATGATTCTGATTTTTCACACCATAATTGCATGTTTTAATGAGTCTCACTATGTTGCCTGGGCTTCTGCTAATGATTTTGAAATAGTGTTTTGTCCCAAGACAAGGTGCCACAAGAGGATGGGACATAATACCAGACACGTCTGGAGAACAGTGTTCTGCATTCTACTACCCTGGATGATCCATGGTTCTTCTCCTATTTCTTTTGCAACTTATTAGCCTTTTTTCACTTTCTGGAGAAGACATTAGCTAAATAGAGTTTTAAAAGATAATTTGAAGTTGAACAGGTATATGGGCTTGAGAATGAGAAAAATGATACAGAAGGAAGCAGTTGTCCACAGGAGTTTTGCAGATCATGTAGCTTTTCTGAGATAGCAGAGATTTTGGTATGGCTGAAGTTTACTGTGTGATGGTCAGGGAAGAGGACTGCAGGAACAGAAAGTTTAGAGACATGAGTAGGGGTCAAACTCATGCTTCCTTCACAGCTATGGCCTCAGGGTCTAGGAAGTTACCTATACTTTGTAAATGGTCACTTTATTAAAAATAAATTAATGAATGGAAGTATTACTGAAATAAATTTGGAATTTTCCCAGAGGAAATGAGAAAATACTGAAAAATGTACAGTAGGCAAATAACATAATAAGTTTTCCAGTTTAGAATGATCAACTTAGCAGCATTGCAGTATCTTGTGCATTAATAAGATGAAGACCAATTAGGTGATTATTGCAATATTCCGAACTAGCGTAGATAAGAATCCCACCAAAAAGGATAAAGGTTAAATTAGAGATGTGCCTAAATAAATCTATTTTAGGTCTATGTCAATGAGTGGATGTTACTCGTAATAGCTGGGGATAACTAGAGGAAGAATGAGAAACTGACCAAGATAGAAATATAGGAAAAGAGAAAGTTTGAGAAAATATCATGAGTATAGTTTTGTATCTAGTCTTGCTATAGATGTCCATGGAATATCCATGTAAGGATATCAAGAAAGCACTAAAGATTTGGAGCTCAAAAGAGAAGTCTGATCTGGAGATATATACCTGAGATTTATTAGTATGTATGGGGCTCTTATTAACACATATGTGGCAGTCAAAGCATGGAAATGAATGACGTCTCTCAAAGAGAATACTAAAAATGTAGAAAAAAATGGTAAAATACTAGCACTGCAAGGCAGTAGACAAGGAATAGCCTTCAAAAGAAGCTGAGAATCTCTGAGCATACAATAAATTCAAAGGGTGAAGTGAGTAACAGTTTAAGTAGCTATCCATGATCTAGATAACTAAGTACCTAACTCTAAGTACCCATGGCTGAGGAATAGAAAATGTTTTTAGAAGTATACTCATTAACTAAACAAATCAAGCTTGTCAGATTTATGCTATAATTAATATTTTTTGTAACAAGTTATCCATTAGGTAAGCCTATATGTCACTTTTCTTACAATTGTTTTGTCTTCTCAAATAATCCCTTTTGTCATTTTCCTAAATTCCCAAGTTAAAAGACCCCTTGAGATACTTTAAGCCAAAAATGCCTAAAATTTCAGGTACCCAAACAACTGACTGAAGTTTACAAAAAAAGTCTCACTTTCTCAGACTACTACATACCTGGAGGCCTTTCAGAATTATTTGGATGAATGACATCTCTGTATCCAAAAATAACTCATTGATTTCAATATGGCAAGTATGAGTTCTATAAGCTTAGGGACTTGCATAGAATAGTTGTCTGTAAATATTGTGTTAAGGATAGGATTGTACTAACACAGAATCTCTGACCTTGAGATGCTGAGCTATAGTAGTAAAAATCAGAGTCCTGACATTAATTATAAGCAAAACTGTCAGATAAGGCAATTTGCACCTCCTTCTCCATGACCTTTAAGAAAAGATGACTCTTAATGGATACATCTGCATAATGGCTTTCCTCTGTTACTTTTACTTAGAGCTAATTGACTATAGATTGAGAAAGATTAAAAATGGATGTTTATGGCCTGGGGTGCCAAGGACCATGCCTCTGTGGAATATCAAACCTCCCAGGAAAAGTATAAAGTTTGTAGAAGCAAATTGCCTACTAATCTTTTACCATCCACTTATGTGGGACATTCTAATTATTGTGTAGGATGGAAAAGTAATGGGATTTTATTGAAAGTTGAAATTTCATAAAAATATTTGTGAAGGCCTCTCACTTTGAGTCAGGTATAGATAAGAGCAACACCTATCTCCCAAGCTAGATAGCATTTCATGTGGCAAAAAAATTTCCTTAGCTTTTGACTGTCAAAAAGCCATACAGCTTTATAGTCTTTTAAATTATATCAGGTTCCTAGTGGTAATGACTAATGGAGGTAATGAATTTTGGTACTTTTAATATTAAAATAAATTAAAAATTAAATGGAAAATATTAAATAACTTGACCAGAGACATGTAGTTCATTAAAAATATATATGAGACTAGAATGCAAACCTTCAATTTTCACAAATAATGCTTATTTGTCTGTTTGTAGGTTTGTCTTACATACACTATGCTGCTGTGAACAGCCAACTAAGAAAATCAAAAGCACCTGTGGATATTTAATATTTAATAAAATGATCATGTTGCTCCAAGTGCAATGTGAAGAATTGCCCTCCCCCAGCCAAGCCAAAAAGTTTTTAAATAAAAAATCATACTATGATAAAACTAAGTTTAAAAGGGACATAATTGGTTACACACACACACACACACACACACACACACACACTCTAATACACCATTGAGTTCTCAGTAACCTTTTAATCTATTTAACTCAGAAACCTTAAATTAGATAATAGAAACTTATGCTATTAACCAGAACAGTGGGAGAACCCATTAGCAACAGACCATGATGTTACATCTCTTTCTCCACTTGCAATAGTGATCAAGTGCCTTGATTGATTGGAACATCTTAGGTGTTTCCTAATTGCACAAAGAAGCTGAATCAAATTTGCCTTATTTTATGAGAATTACATTAAAATGATTTTTACGTGCATCCTGTATATCACACTACCTTTTAATATATTCCAGAATCAGAATGAATGATCATCTGGAATAGATTTAAATGACTTAGAGTGAAAATAGAGAAAGCATTCACCTATCTCAAACTGTTTGCTGATTAGTCATGGTATATAATATTATCTATCTATCTACATACACACATTTATATAACTTATATATAAACACCCCCCACACATATCTATCTATCTATCTATCTATCTATCTATCTATCTATCTATCATCTATCTGTATTTACTGTTCTTTGTTTCTTAGATATTCATACAGTTAGATCCTCTGAAATGTTTTAGATCTTAACTCAAATATCAACCTATCGGAGAGTTTCTCTTTGACTAAATAATAGTAACTGACATAATAATTCTAGATGTTATTAGCTAATTTTATTTTATTAATTGCATTAAATCCTTTTGAGAAAAATCTTATGTTTAATTATTTCTTTATTCTGGATAATTAAAACCGAAACTCTACAAGACCAGTACCTTGTCTGTCTTAGTCACCCATGCATCAGTTACCCTGTGCCTGTAATGATACCTACCAAAAAAAGGAGCTTAATAAATAACTAGTATATATTTATTAAATGAATGTATTAAATGATTGGAAAGATAAACAAATGTTTATTACAAAGTTATCACCAAAATGTTCTAAAATACGTGACTTATAATCACATAATTACTAAAGCCAGGCTTCCAATTACAAAAAAAAAAAAAATTACTAAAGCCAGGCTTCCAATTACAAAAAAAAAAAAAATCTAATATCAATCAGAAAGCTTTTGACAGGAGATAAAACAGAAACTCAAAAACTAAAGAAACATGTATACATTAACAAATGTAAGCATCAGCAAAATCAGGAAAAGGGACCAGATACCTTGTCTTTTACTGTAATGCTTTTTCATTTCATTATTTAACACAAGTATGTGAAAGAAAATTAAATTAATTGTTAGTTGATAAAGGTAATCACTATCTCTGTCCTCCTTTCCATTTTTACATAAGAACGCAACTAAATATGCACTCTTTAAATATATATTATTCATCTGTCCCCAACCTTACCTATATACAATTTAGAAACATAAAATAGTCTTAGGCAAAAATAATGATTATATGAAGAAGATCATTTAAGGATTCCTTAAAACAACTTGTTGGAATAAAAAAGAACATGGGATTTGGGAAGACATCTGATTTCCTCTCAGGGATTTAGAAAACTAGAAAAAGCATTACTTCCAGTCATAAAAGAAACAAAACAAAACAAAACTGGACAAATGCAAAGTCATGAATTTCCTTTAATCTGAAGTGAGATTATCAGGGAACAAACTGGTCTGAAATCTAAAGAGAGGCAGATGCCAAAATCTAGGAAAACAAGACATGCACACTGAGTTAATTGGGGGTAGACACAACAAGATGCTGGTAACAAGAGTTCATCTAGAGAGGTTAAAGAATTGGTAAAGGTTTCCAATCTTGCACTGGAAAGAGTGTGAGTCTTTGGGAATCACAGAACCTGGGGAGGCTGAGCACTTTTCGTGGTCTTTCTCTAAAAATGCCACTGTGTGCTCACTGAAAAGGTTGGATAAGATTGTAATAAAGTATCCCTTGTGGAATATACCTGGGAGAGGAGAAGAGCAGCCATTGCAGGAGGGACACAAACTGCCTTCAGATTCTTCCTCCCCACCTCTCTTACGGAGCAAAAGCTTTCATCTATAGGGACAGACAACAAATAAAATCATTCCATGTACACTCATGAAAACCCATCACAGCTAAGAGGGAAAATTGGGGGAAGATTTTGTGTGAGCAATGAAGGAATATGTGATGGCTCAGAATAATGACTTGGAGAAATGCAGGCAGACTTAGCAGTCCTCATGTCCCTATGAACAGAGTGTCTACCTAATCAGCCACCCACCTTCAGACTAACACGTGTTAACTAACAAATAGCTATCAAATACTACTGAAGAAAAAAATAAAGAGGAGAAAGAACATGGCAAGAAATCCTCCCTGATGGGCAGCCCCTAGAGCTGAGGGTAAAGAAGATGTTAGGAAAAAAAAAAAAAACTATCTGGTAAACTAGCCATTACTTGTATCATTAAAAATCTGAAACCGTTGCAGAATACAAAATCAACATACAACAATCGGTAGCATTTCTATTTGCCAGCAGTGAACAGTCTGAAAGAGAAATAGAAAAGTAATCCCATTTACAATGGCCACAAATAAAATACCAAGAAATTATCTTAACTGAAGAAGTGAGAGATCTCTACAAAGAAAACTTTAAACACTAATGAAATAAATTGAAGAAGACATCAGAAAATGGAAAGATATATCATGTTCCTCAATTGGAAGGATTAATATTGCTAAAATGTCCATACTACCCAAGCAATCTACAAATGCAATGCAATCTTATCAAAACACCAATGACATTCTTAAAAGAAAGACAAAAAAATCCTAAAATTTATATGGAACCAAAAATACCCAGAATAGCCAAAGTTATTCTATGCAAAAAAAAAAAAAGTGGGGAAATCACATTATCAGATTTTAATAATACCACAGAGCTACAATTACCAAAACAGCATGATATTGGCATGAAAACAGAAACATTTATCAATGGAACAGAATAGAGAATCAAAAGACAAATCCATACATCTACAGTGAACTCGTTGTTGACAAAGGTTCCAAGAACATACACTGGGGAAAGAACAGTCTCTTCAATAAATGGTGCTGGGAAATTTGGGTAACCATATGAAGAAGAATGAAACTAGGCCCTTGTCTCTCAATACATTAAAAAATCAAATCAAAATGGATTAAAGACTTATATAAGACATCAAACTATGAAACCACTAAAAGAAAAGATTGAGGAAAGTTTGTAGGACATTGGATTTGGCAAAAATTTCTTGAGTAATACCCCACAAGCAAGGCAAGCAAAGCAAAAAAGGACAAATGGGATCAAATGAAGTTAAAAACCTTCTACAGAGCAAATAAAACAATCAATAAAATGAAGAGAGAATTCACATAATGGGAGAAAATATTTGCAAACTATTCATCTCACAAAAGATTAATAACTAGAATATGTAAGGAGATTAAACGACACTATAGAAAAATATCTAATAATCTGGTACAAAAAATGGGCAAGAAATCTGAATTGGCATTTCTTAAAAGAAGACATACAAATGGCAAATAGGTAAATGTAAACATATTCAGCATCACTGATCATCAATGAGATATCATCTTATCCCAGTTAAAATGGCTTATATCCAAAAGACAGGCAATAACAAATGCTGGTGAGGATTTGAAGAAAAGAGAACCCTCATATACTGTTGCTGGGAATGTATGTTAGTACAACTGCTATGATGAACAATTTGGAGGTTCCTCAGAAAACAAAAAATAAAGCTACCGTATTATTCAGCAATCCCACTGCTAGGTATATACCCAAAATAAAGGACATCAGTATATCAAAGAGATATCTGCACTCACATGTTTTTTGCAGTAGTATTCACAATAGCCAAGATTTGGAAGACACCTAAGTATTCCTCAGTAGATGAATGGCTAAAGAAAATGTGTTACATATACACAATGGCGTACTATTCAGTCATAAAAAGAATTAGATATTGTCACTTTCAACAACACGGATGGGACTGGAGGTCATTATGTTAAGTAAAATAAGCCTGCAACAGAAAGACAAACTTCACATGCTTTTACCTATTTGTGGGAGCTAAAAATTAAAACAATGAAACTCATGGAAACAGAAAGTAGAATGATAATATCAGAGGCTGAGAATGGTAGTGGGAGTTTGGGGGGAAAGTGGGGATGGTTAATGGGTACAAAATACTAGTTAGAAAGAATAAATAATATCTAGTATTTGAAAGCACAACAGGGTGACTACAGTCAATAATTTAATTGTACACTTAAAAATAACTAGAAGAGTATAATTGGATTGTTTGCAATGCAAAGGATAAATGCTTGAGGTGATGAATACACCATTTATCCTGATGTGATGATTACTATATACCCACAAAAAATAAAAAGTAAAAAAGTAAACAAATAAATCTCAAACACAGGACAACTTCTAACTCAATGGCCAGCATTTAAGACCTGGAAGAAAGAAGAACATGCTCATTCTCATGCATAAAAATAATTTACTTTGTTCTGTACTGTTCTGCACGTGTTTGGCTTTCAGGAGAAAAAAAAAAAGCATATAAAGTGCCTCAACCAACTAGACATTGCTATGCAAAATAACAAACCCACAACTAACATTATGCTGAATGGGGAAAAGCTGAAATTCTTTTTTCTAAGAACTGAAATAAAACAAGGATGTCCACTTTCCCCACTCCTATTCAACCAACTGCTGAAAGTCCTAGCCGGAGACATCAGATAAGAGAAATAAATAAAAAGCATCTAAATTGGAAAAGAAGAAGTTGAATTATCTCTCTTTCCAGAGTAGATGACATTATATTTAGAAAAACATAAAGGCTACCCCCAAAAAACTTATAGATCTTATAAATGAATTTAGGAAAGTTGTAGGATACTGAATCAATGCACAAAAAATCCATAGCATTTTTACACACTGATAATGATTTAGCTGAGAATGAAATCAAGAAATGCCATTTTCATTAGTGACAGAAAAAAAACCCTTAATAATTAATTTAACTAAGGAGTTAGAAGACATTTACAAGAAAAGCTACAAAAGACTGATGAAGGAAATTTGAGGGATTATAACTGAATGAAAAGATATCTTATGCTCATGGATTGGAAAAATTAATATTATTAAAATGCTCATACTTCCCAAAGCAATCTATAGATTCAGTATAATTTCTGTCAAAATGCCAACCTCATTCTTTCACATAATTAGAAACAAATTCTAAAATTTGTATTAAATGAAAAAAGAGCCCCAATAGTCAAAGCAATCCTGGGTATAAAGAAAAACCTGGAGGCATTACACTACCTGAATTCAAAATATGTTACAAAGTAGTAACTGTACTAATCAAAACAGCATGGTGTTTGTAAGAAAGAAAACAAAAACTACAAACAAACAACAACAACAACAACAACAACAGAAAAACCACATATACCAATGGAACAGAATAGAGAATCCAGGAATAAATTCGCATATTTACAGCCAATTGGTTTTCAACAAAGGTCCCAAGAACAAGAACATACACCGGGGCAAGGACACCCTCTTCAATAAAAGGTGCTGAGAAAATTGGATATCCATATGCATGAGGATGAAACTGGACCTCTCTCTTGAACCATATGAAAAAATCATGTCATGATAGATTAAAAATTTAAACAAAAGACCAAAAACTATAAAACTACTATAAGAAAGCATATGGAAAACATTTCAGCATGTTGTTCATGGGAAATTTTATGATTAAGATGTAAAAATCACAAATGAAAATAAAGAAATGGGACTATATTAAACTAAAAAGCTTCTGCATAGCAAAGGAAACAATCAATGGAGTGAAGAGTCAACCCATAGAATGGGGGAAAATATTTGCAAACTATTCATCCAACAAGGAACTAATATTCAGAATAAACATGATAATATACATTTAATTCACCAGAACAGTTTGGAATTTACTCATAATGCAATGTATATATCTAGGGGAATTTTTTTTTTAAATATGAGAACAATTTTTACAAACAGAGGTCAAAGGTTAAAAATAGTTTTTACTGCTATATTATACATCAAAAAACTCAATGGGAAATAAATCAGATAAGAGATATCTAGAACTAGGTTTGGAAATCAGCTATACAATTATTCATGCATAAGACAGTTTACATCAGACCACTAGAATTAAATTAGTGAATATCAATATGTACAGCATTTGAGCACATTAAAAATTAGAAAATCATGTGTTATAAAACATACACACAAAATAGTAAGATGGGAAAAGAATATGGATAATGTTTTTCAAACTTACAAGCTGGAAAAGAGACAAAAAAGTAGTTATGAGGGGCTTCAAATAATCATAATCTTACTCTATTCTAAGTAAAGCATCTAAAAAATGACAGACTTTCTTTAACAGAGACATAATGTGTAGAATCTAAAGTCAGCCTACCTCATCTTGAGTACTAGCAACACCATTAACTTGATTATATCTTAAGGTATATTATTTAAAGTTGCAAAGCCACAGTCGACTGTAACATAAATAACTAGTATACCTGTTTCATAGAGTTTTGTGTGGGGTGGGAAAAGAATGTGGAAATATATATTAAATGTTTAAAACACCTATGACACAAAGGGAATAATTTGTGAATTTTAAGTATTATTATTAGGCTCATCTTACAATATGTTGATGAGTAAATCAATTTATATGTAAATGCTTTGACCAAAAGGAAAAACTGATAAAGTTGAAGTCAGGAGAACCTTGGCCTAGAAAATTTAAGACGACGAAGTCATTTGAGAATTCCTAATATCGATGTAGTATACTTTGGATGTTTGTCCTCTCCAAATCTCATGTTGAAATGTGATTTCTAATGTTGGAGGTGAGGTCTGGCGGAAAATGTTAGGGTTATGGAGGAAGATCCCTCATGAGTGGTTTGGTGCCATCATTGTGGTAATGAGTAAGTTCTTGCTCTATGAGTTCCCATGAGAGCTGGTTGTTTAAAAGAGCCTAGAACTTCCTCTTCTTTTATTTATTTATATATTTATTTATTTATTTATTTGCTCCTATTCTCACCATGTGACATGCTTACTCCCCCATTGCCTTCCACTATGATCGTATGCTTTCTGAGGCCCTCACCAGAAGCAGATGCTAGCACTACACTTTCTGTACAGCCTGTAGAATCACGAACCAAAGTAAATCTCTTTTATTTATAAATTACTCAGTCTCAGATATACCGTTATAGCAATGCAAATGAACTAATATAGAAAATTGGTACTGAGGAGTGGGGTGTTGTTATAAAGATACCTGAAAATGTGGAAGCAGCTGTGGAACTGCGCAACAGGCAGAAGTTGGAAGAGTTTGATGGTCTCTGAAAACAGGAAGATGAAGGGAAGTTTGGAGCTTCTTAGAAACTTGTTAAGTGTCTGAGACCAAAGTGCTGATAGAAATATCGACGGTGAAGGCCAGGCTGAGGAGGTCTCAGATGGAAATGAGAAAGTTATTGTGAACTGGAGCAAAGGTCATTCTTGTTACACCCTAGCAAAGAACATGGCTGCATTGTTTTTATGTCCTAGGGCTTTGTGGAAGGCTGTAGTTTCTAAGCAGCAAAATGTTCAAGATGTGGCATGGCTCATTCTAACAACCTATGTTCAGATACAAAGCAAAGAAATCACTTAAAGTTGGAAATTATATTAATATTTAAAAGGAAAGCAGATAATAAAAATTTGGATAATTTGCAGCCTAGCCATGCAGCAAAGAAGGAAAAGGCATTTTTAGGAGAGGAATAGTAGTGAGCTGCAGAGCAACTATGTGCTAGAGAGATTCACATGACTAAAAGACAGCCAGATACTAATATCCAAGAAAATGAAAAAAAATGCATTGAAGGCATTTCAAAAGTTTTTGGGACAGCTCCTCCCATCACAGGCCCAGATTCCTAGAAGAAGATAATGGTTACATGGCCCAGGCCCAGGGTACCACTGCCCTGTCTCACCCTGGGAGGCTGCTCCTTGCATTCCCACTGCTCTAATTCTAGCCATGGCTCAAAGGGCCCCAAGCACAGCTCTGGCCACCACTCTAGAGTATGCAAGCCATAAGCCTTAGTGCCGTAAGCCTTGGTACCATAAGTCTTCGCGGCTTCAACGTGGTGTCAATCCTGCAGGTGCACAGAATGCTAAAGTGAAGGAGGCTTGGCAGCTTCCACTTAGATTTCCGAGAATGTATTAGAAAGCCTGGATGCCTACGTAGAAGCCTGCCACAGAGGCAGAGTGCACGCAGAGAAACTCTACTAGAACAGTGACAATGGAAAATATGGGGTTGATGCCCTCATACAGAGTCCCCATTTGGGCACTTCCTAGTGGAGCTGTGGGAATGAGGCTACCACCTTCCAGACTAAAAAATGATAGAGCCAACAGCAGCTTGTACCCTGAACCTGGAAAAGCCTCAGGCATACAACTCCAACTTGTGAGAGTAGCCATGTAGAATGCACCCTGCAAAGCCACAGGGATGTAGCTGCTCAAGGCATTGGAAGCCCACCCTTCACTCCAGTGTGCCCAGGATGCAGGACATGGAATTAAGGATTATTTTGGAACTTTAAGATTTAATGCCTGCCTGGCTGGGTTTTGATCTTGTGTGGCTTCTGTTGCTCCTTTATTTTGACCAATTTCTCCCTTTTGGAATGGGAATATCTATCCAATGACTACACCACCAATGTATCTTGAGAGTAAATAACTTGTTTTGATTTTATAGGTTCATACCTTAAAGAAATTTACTTTGAGTCTCAGGTGAGACTTTGGATGTTACTTTTGAGTGATGCTGGAGTTGTTTAAGACTTTGGGGGACTATTGGGAAAGCATGACTGTGTTTTGCAATTTGAGAAGGACAAGAGATTTGGGGAGCAGGGACAAAATGATATAGTTTGGATGTTTGTCCTTCTCAAATCTCATGTCAATATAAGATTCCTGATGTTGGAGGTGGAGCCTGGTGGGATATGCTAGAATCATGGGACAGGATCCCTTATGAATGGTTTGATGCCATCCTCACAGTAATGAGAGAGTTCTCACTCTGTGAGTTAATGAGAGATCTGGTTATTTAAAAGAGCCTGATACTTCTTGTTTCTCTGACTCCCTCCAGTGCTATGTGACTTCCTGCTCCTCCTTTGCCTTCTGTCGTGATTGTAAGCTTCCTGAAGCCCTTACCAGAAGCAGATAGTAGCACCATGCTTCCTGTACAGCCTGCAGAACCATGAGCCAAAATAAACCTCTTTTTAAAACTAAATTACCCATTCTCAAGTATTCCTTTACAGCAATGACAATGGACTAACACATCAAGGTAGGGAATACTACTTATATTCACGAAGTTTAGAAAAATACGTATCAAGATTTTACGAGAAATGAAAGTATTTTCCTTTGAGCAGAGACTTTATAAAACAATAAGGATCAAGGAAAATATATGTCATTCTAGGGGAAAAATAAAAAGTAAGTGATGAAATCACAAGTGATCATAGTTTTAAAAGGTAGAGCTATAGCTAATAAATTATTTTGGCCACAGAAAAACTTTCCAGTGAGCAATGACTTCAAAAGGAAAAGACATCAAACAGCAAGAAAAAAATACAAAATAGTGTCCTAGAACTGTAAAACCAGACAAAGAGCATTAAATCCCAGAATAGACTGCAATAAAGCATATTAAGAGCAATCTAAGGCTTTTAAAGCCCAGAATAAAATGAAAAAGAAGGAATAGAACCAGAGCTTGAGTTGTAATGTTAATAGCGAATAGACATCAAGTAGAGAAACAGAGCTTCAATTTTCTCCTATTTTCTTTTGTAAGAATAATAATTCTATCCACTGGAAACAAGAAAAAGATTTTTAAAAGAATAATAATCTTTAGTCTTCAGTATCCCATTAACTGAAGAAGTGGTAAAGAATATTTGAATTATAGAAAGAAAACAGAAGAAACCAGAAAGCTGCAGAAGAATAAATTCTTCAGCTTCCATAAAGGTAAACATTAAAGATGCCCAAAATTATAGCACCTAATGTAGATTCCCAAAAGTGTGTAGTCCAGATTACAAAACAGATGGTCTGTGAACACTCAGAAAATGAAGAACATAACATTTGGTCTCAGCATGATCTCTGTAAATGAAACATGACAAACTAAATTTATTTCCTTTTTTGATATAGCTCCCAGACAGCTAGATGAAAGAAATGCCCCAGAAATAATACATCTGGATTTTAGAAAAACGTTTGACAAGTTCTCAGCTGTCCTTGTGGACAAGCCAGAGCAATGTGGGCTAGCTGATAGTGCATGGGATGGATGTGAGCCTACTTCTGTGCCCATACCCAGGGTGGTAATTTATGAATCAGTGTCAGGCAGGTGGAAACTGTCTAGCACCATGTCCCAATGCTCTTTTCTTGGCCTTGTTTTATTCAACCTATTCATCAATATCTGTTTGAGCTCTTGTTGTAGCTGTGTGTAAGCATATCCAAAGCAGAAGAGAAATTCACTAGCATTTATTCAGCAGCCACTGTATGTTTGTCATAGTACGTATATTATCTAAATTTATCTTTATAACAGCCCTATAAGGTAGAGGGTATTAGCCCTATTTTACTAGGAAGCAAATTGGAACTCAGAGAGTTGAGATACTTGTCTCATAACCAGCATGTAGTTGAACAAGGAAATGGGTTTGTATAATTCAAGACTTTATGGCCTTTTCACTGTATTATGCTACCTCAAAATAAAGATCAACTGCAGAATGTGATTATCATAAAAATTATTGCTGTCTCCTGTTACATTAATAGTCATTTAGTCACCTGATTAATGGAGGCAGTTATTTAACCATGCTCTGCAGTGGTCTGGCTATACCTGGACTTATGAGCGCAGGTCTTTATTACATGTTCAGAGAGACACATAAAATGCAGAGTGTTGAGATAATAACTAGGTTTGGGAAACCAAGTTATGTGACTAGTTGTCTGGCCAATATAAGACATATACAGTTAGGATAGTTGTTTTCAAAAACCAGAGGGGCTATGAGGGAAAGGAAATATCCCATAGAGTCTAAGTAGTAAATTATAGAACAAGTAAGTAGCAGTTACAAGAACAGGGCACTATGTAAAAGTACTGTGTAGATAAAAGGACATTACAAAGAAGTGAATATTCTACCTTGTAGGGTATCCAGCTCTTTATAGTTGAGCAAACAATAAGTATCATCAATTTTCCAAGCTGTTGTAAGGGAGATTTGTTTTTTTTTTTTGCATTGAATGTAAAGTTGGACCAGATGACTCCTGAGACTTTCCTTTTTTTTTTTTTTTGCATCTTCATCCCTAGTCCCCCTGTAATATCTCACCCTTTCAGGCTTGTAAATTTACTGTGGACCACAACTACCAAGTCAGTCCTTCCTTCCTTTCTTCCTTCCTTCCTTCCTTTCTTCCTTCCTTTCTTTCTTCCTTTCTTTCCTTATTTTCTTTCTTTCCTCTGTCACCCAGGCTGGAGTGCAGGGGAGTGATCTCAGCTCACTGCATCCTCCACCAGTTCAAGCATTTCTCCGGCTTCAGCCTTCCAAGTAGCTGGGATTGCAGGCTTGTGCCACCATGCCTGGCAAATTTTTTTGGATTTTTAGTAGATAAGGGGTTTCACCATGTTAGCCAGGCTGGCCTTGAAGTCCTGACCTCAAATAATCTGCCCACCTCAGCCTCCCAAGGTGCTGGGATTACAAGTGTAAGCCACCGTGCCCGGCCCTGTAGTATTATTTCTATATTATGTAATATACTATAAATATATTAAAATACGATAAGCAGGCCATTCATTTTATTCATTTAGATAAGACCACTAGCGTTTTGACATTATTATGCCCAAACTACCTAATCACCATATCCCCAGTTTTACCCTAAAACAATTTATACAAAACCCTTCTCTTTTCAACTGTCTTTTTCACCCTTCCAATTATACTTTACTGTCAAGACTTCACTCAATTTTCTCTTTATTTGAAACCACTCTAGCCTACAATGACCTTACCACTCTGAAATTCTAAGCTTCTAGCTGTATTGTACTCTCTATCAGATGCTTTGTCTTAATTTATTATAATTTTTAATTTTTGTGGGTACATAGTAGGTATATGTATTTATGGGGTATGTGACATGGTTTGATACAGGTATGCAATGTGTAATAATCACATTATGAAAAATGGGGCATCCATTCCCTCAAGCATTTATCATTTGTTTTACGAACAATCTGATTGTACTCTTTTAGTTATTTTAAGCCATTTCCTGTTTGCCCTGAGAAATGAGTGCTGGCAGTGAGCTTCACTTTTTATTTTTTCTAAATGGAAAAAATGGGTGAAAATTGTACTATTAAATTATTATTGACTATAGTCACTCTGTTGTGCTTCTAAAACAAGGCCTTGTCCATTCATTCTAACTAATTTTTGTACCCATTTATCATCTTCACCTCCCCACTGACCCTCATACTACCCTTCACAGCCTCTGGTAGCCATCCTTGTACTGTCTATCTCCGTGAGTTCAATTGCTTTGATTTTTAGATCCCACAGAGATCATGTAAAGTTTGTCTTTCTGTTCTTGGCTTATTTCATTTAATAAGATGTCCTCCGGTTCCATCCGCGTTGTTGCAAATGACTGAATCACATTCTTTTTTATGAGTGTGTCTTTTTGCTACTGAGGACGGGGTTAATAGCTTCATTTCTTGTATCACAAAATAAGTCCTTTTTATCCATAAAGGTATGACCTAAATGCATCCAAGTTCTTAAAAATATTAAGAATTTTAAAAATTCTATTTTGACCTCAGACTTAAACTTTGCATATTAAATGTTTTTAAAAAACTGCATATTAAATGTTTAGTTAATAAACTTAGAATATATTAGCAAATGAATTTTACTCTATAAATTTTATTTAATATAATATATGTATATTTGTGTTTTATATGCTGTGGGTTGAGAGGGGCATGGAAAAAAGGGGTGAAATGATCTTCTGATCTTATTTCACACAACACATCACTCTGGTTAGGCACGTAGCAATTGCTGAAATAATTCTTGCTCAATTAAATTTGATTTTAACAATAGACTTAATTTAAGGCTACATTAATAAAGATACTACAATAATAATGGGAGGATAAACATAAATAAATGAAACTGAACACAGATTCAGGAATAGATTCACACATTCATGGTCAATTGATTTTTGACAAAGATGCAAAGGCAATTCAAAGGGGAAAAATAAGTCTTTTCAATGAATTGTGCTGGTACATCTGATATTTGTGAGATAACAGAAATGAGCATTAATCGTTTTCTGACATTACACATACACCAAAATAAATTGAAGTTAACCATATACATAAATATAAATGCTAAAAAAAAAAACAAAGCTAGAATAAATATAGGATAACATTCTTGCAACCTTGGGAGTAGACAAATATTTCTTAGAACACACACAAAAAAGCATCATTAGGGAAAAAAACCCTGATATATTTGACTTCATAAAATTAAAACCTATTTCTCTTTGGAAGAATAATGCTTATAACTCAATAACAATAAGAGAAAGACACCTATCAAAAATAGATAAAATATTTTAAGAGACACTTTGCCATGGAAAGTATACAACTGGCCCCAAACTACGTAAAGAGATGGTCAACATCACTGGTAATCAGGGAATTGCAAATGAATACCTCTATGAGAGGGGCTTTCACTTCTGATCAAGATTGAGTAACAGGTATCAAATTCATATGGAACCAAAAAAGAGTCCAAATAGCCAAGACAATCCTAACCAAAAAGAAGAAAGCTGGAGGCATCACACTACCCAACTTAAAACCACGCTACAAGGCTATAGTGGCCAAAACAGCATGGTGCTGGTACAAAAAGAGACACATAGACCAATGGAACAGAATAGATAACTCACAAATAAGACCATCCACCTACAACCATCTGATTTTTGACAAACCTGACAAAAACAAGCAATGGGGAAAGAATTACCTATTTAATAAATGGTGCTGGGAGAGCTGGCTAGCCATATGCAGAAAATTCAAACTGGATCTCCTCTTTACACCTTATACAAAAATTAACTCAAGGTGAATCAAAGACTGAAATGTATAGCCCAAAACTATGAAAACCCCAGAAAAAAAATCTAGGAAATATCATTCGGGTCATAGGCACAGGCAAAGATTTCATGATGAAAACACCAAAAGCAATTGCAACAAAAGCAAAAATTGACAAATGAGATCTGATTAAATAGAAGAGCTCCTGCACAGCAAAAGAAACTATCATTAGAGTGAAAAGATAACCTACAGAATGGAAGAAAATTTTTGCAATCCATCCATCGGACAAAGGTCTAACAGCCAGAGACTACAAGGAGCTTAAACAAATTTAAAAGAAAATAACAACCCCATTAAAAGGTAGGCAAAAGACATGAACAGATACTTCTCAAAATAAAACATTTATGTGGCCAACAAATATATGAAAAAACCTCAACGTCACTGATCATTAGAGAAATGCAAATCAAAACCACAATGAGATACCATCTCATGCCATTCAGAATGGAGATTATTAAAAAGTCAAGAAACAACAGATTCTGGCAAGGTTGCAGAGAAAAAGGAACACTTTTGCACTGTTGATGGGAGTGTAAATTAGTTCAACCACTGTGGAAGAGAGTGTGGTGATTCCTCAAAGATCTAGAAGCAGAACTACCATTCATCCCAGCAATCCCATTGCTGAGTATATACCCAAAGGAATATCAGTCATTCTGTTGTAAAGATACATGCCCGTGTACGTTCATTGCAGCACTATTCACAATAGCAAAGACATGGAATCAGCTCAAATGCCCATCGATGATAGATTGGATTTTTTAAAAATGTGGTATATATACACCACGGAGTATTATGCAGCCATAAAAAGGAATGAGATCATGTCCTTTGCAGAGACATTGATGGAGTTGGAAGCCTCAGCAAACTAAGGCAGGAACAGAAAATCAAACACCAAATGTTCTCACTTATAAGTGGGAGCTGAACTACGAGAATACATGGACACACCGGAGGGGAACAACACACAGTGGGGCCTGCTGGGGGGTTCTGGGGAGGGAGAGCATAAGGAAGACTAGCTAATGGATGCTGGGATTAATACCTACGTGATGGGTTGATCTGTGCAGCAAACCATTATGGCACATGTTTATCTATTTAACACATTTGCCCATCCTACACATGTACCCTGGAACTTAAAATAAAAGTTGAATAAAAAAATTTATTCTACTACTTGAAACAACAATAAAAAATACAGGTAAAATACATGAAACAATGCTTTATCAGAAAAATGAATACCAGGTAATGAAGGACTGTGATCCTTGAGAAAAGGGAGACAAACAAGTTGAATCCTATGATTGTTACAGCTTACTGCCCTGAGAAAATTTCCAGATGATAATATAGGGAGGAGGAAGCTAGGCAAAGCTTGGCAAGGAGTTCTAGAGTTGCACAGAGAGAATCCAGAGAGACCAAGATGTATAGAGTTTGCAGGGCAGAGTACTGTAGAAGAGAGAACACCACAGAAAGATTACTTGAGAAATTTGCAAAGATTGTTTTTCTTGAGCATTCAGATAAGTACTGGTCAGTACATGTATGTGAGGAAACTAGGCCAGATTGGGGAAAGAATCATGAATAGAAATAACAGCATCGGGTGTTCACAAAGGACTGGGAATAGTGCTTGTCTCCTTCATTAAAACTGGAAATCCTCATGACTTATGAGGTATTGTGTAGACTACACAAAAAAGATTTGCCTCAATGGTGAGAATAGTGAGTCTTAGAGGGAGCACTGCTCCTTCCCTACCTAACACATCTTAAAAGTAAAATTTGAAAGGATTGAACTGTTTCCAAGTAAGCTAATGGCACACTAAAACAAAGCTCAAAAACATTTCTAGGAATGCCCACATTCTCAGTACTCAACAAGGTAAAATGCACAATGCCTGGCATCCATTCAAGAGTTACCAGACATGCAAAGAGAAAGAGGCCAGAAAATGGGACTCATCAGAAGGAGAAAAGTCAAACAATTGAAACTACCCCATAACTGATAGATATTAAAAGTAGTAGACAAAAACATTATGACAGTTATTGTAATTGATTTCATCTACTCAAAAGAGTAGTTATTAAATGGAAAACATAAAAATGATCAAAATCTAACTTCTACAGATATAAACTGAAAAATGTGAGATAGAAAAGTCTAGGGGTTGGATTAACAACAAATTGCATATTGGAGAAGAAATGATTATTCAACGTGAAGATGTAGCAATACAAACTACTTAAGATGAAATACAACAAAAAAAATAAAATTAGAAAATAAGAGTATTGATGAACAGTGATGCAAGTGACCTAATTGATATGCAATTATAGCCCCCAAAGTATGCAGAGAGAGAAAAGATATTTAAATAGATAATGTTCAAGTTTGATGAAAAGTGTAAGGTCCACAGACTCAAAAGCTCAACAAACCCCAAGCACAAGAAACAAACAAACAAAAAAATGTCACCAAGGTGTATCATAATTAAATTTCTCAAAATCACTGATACAGAGAAAATCATAAAAGCAGCCAGATAAAAATGCACATTAGGTACAGAAGATAAAATAAGACATCAGATTGCTCATAGGAAACAATGCAAATGAGAAAGCAATGGAACAACATCTTTAAAATACAACATAAGAACATTGCTAACACATAAGTCTAAAAATATCTTTCATATATTAAGAAAAAATAAAGACATTTTCAGATATACAGAAACTAAAATAATTTCTCATCGGCAGAACCACACAATGACAATGTTAATGGAAGTCCTTCAGGCAGAAGGACAGAGTATCTTTGCATTTCACGGAACATGCGTAACACATTCCAGCCTCTAGGCCTTTGCACTTGCCTTTTCCCCTGCCTGGGGCTCTCCTATTGCAGAATTATGAATGGCTTACTCCATTCCTCCATGGATGTATCCTCTGTTCCAACATCTTTTCCTTCGAAAGACTTCCCCAAATACCTGAATTAAGATAACACCCTCTACAAACCCTTGTTCTGTTTTTCTTTATATCACTTACCACATCAACAAATTATATTGTAGGTAACCTAGCACCCTCCCTGTTTTTTTTGACCCAGCTAGTGGTTACACTATGTGTTCACTTTGTGAAAATTTATGGAACTGTACAATTATCATTTTTGCATTTTTATGTGTGTATTTATTTATAGTTTTTCAGTGGCTCATACCTCTAATCCCAGCAGTTTGGGAAGCCAAGGCAGGAGGATCGCCTGAGGCCAGGAGTTCAAGAGCAGCTTGAGCAATATAGGGGAACCCCCATCTCTACAATAAATAAAAATAAAGGCTTTCATATACAATAATGGTAGACCAAGAAATTTGGACTAGATCTTCTGCTGAGAACATCTAGAAAAGCTGACAACCAAACAAAATTTAAAAAACAACTGGGCTGAGTGCAGTGGCTTACACCTGTAATCCCAGCAGTTTGGGAGGCCAAGGTGAGAGGATCGCTTGAGCCCCAGAGTTTGAGAATAGCCTGGGCCACATTTGGAGACCCCATCTCTACAAAAAAAATAAGATAAAATAAGAATAAGTTAATTAAAAACACTCGCTTGAAGATCTCAGTGAGCTGGCAACAATGAAGAATTCCTAAGGAAGCACAAAAATTTTGGTAGGGGAGCTGTTTTCCTCTCTGTTCCATTCTATTCTGTAAGTGGTTGCTGAGATGTTGAATGGCTATGTTAATAAACATAGCCATTTTAATAAAAGCATTTAAAAAATAAAATCCTAGTGTGACACCACAACACAGTCATTAGAATGGCTAAAATTACAAGTACTGTCATGACTAAGGATTGAGGAAGATGTTGAGCAACTGAAACTCTCATTCACTGCTGATAGGAATGAAAAATTATACAGAAATTTTATAACATGATTTGGCAGTTTTATCTAAAAGTTTAACCTCTCCTAGCCATTCTATACCTAGGCATCTCGCCCAATAAATTAAAACATATATTCACACAAAGACATGTATACAAATGTTCTTTGCAGCTTTGTTCATGATAGCTAAGAACTGGAAACAACTCATCAAATGACGAATATCTATTAAGAGTTGAATCAAAAAATAATAAATGTAATTGTATATTATTAAATTCTACTCAACAATAAAAAGGTATGAACTACTGCTGATACCACAAAATGTGAATAAATTTCAAAATTAATATGCTAAGTGAAAGAGGCCAGACACAGGCGAGTAGGTACTGTATGATTCCATCTATATAAAATTGTAACAACTAGAAATAATCTATAGTGACAAAAGGAAAATTGGTGGTTTCCTGTCTGGGAGCAGAAGGAGGGATGAACGATAGAGGGGTATGAGGAAACTTTGAGAATAATATAAAAGATTATGTATCCTGATCACTCCATGAGTAGACATCTTTCAGAAGTCATTAACTTGTGTCCTTTAAATGAATGAGGTATATCGACATAAATCGTACTTCATGGACATTGATTCAAAATGTAGTTTTGCTTGGTTCTCTCTTGCAGACACTTCTTATCTTCTGCACTTTTACTTTTCTTCCCATGCCTTTACCTAGTCTTGGCTCTAGAAAAGCACAATAAATAATGTATAGAACTTTCTCATATTTGGCACCAAATTATATACTAGCACAGGTTAGAAGTCTGAATCTGCCTTAGTCAAGTCATTTTCTCTCAAAAACTCTACTATTCTAAGAAATTTTTTCTGTAGCTTCCAATATGTGACACTGCCTGAGTTTGGCTCTCCTGCTTTACTGGGCAAATGAAGTAGCAATATGCTCGTAATGGATATGCATTACCTACATGCAATTACCATTCTGAACCATGTGGATCAGACTGAATACCATCACCTGAAGCCTTCTGCCATGTATGTAAAATCCATAAAAATGGTAATTTGAGAAAAGGTAGGATTTACTAAGTTATGGGAACAGAGACCTGCTCTCAAGGCATTATTATGTGTAATGAGAGTTTGTTCTCCCAAAGCAAGGCTTTTAACTAGCAGTTTCATTTGCCAAATGTGGCCTCCCACTGGAATACTCAGTTAATGCTCTGGTTCAGTACAATTGTACAGCTTTCAGGGAGATGAAAGTTGTTGCACAGAAGCAGACCCTTTTCTCTCTAGATCATGGAGGTTTATTTGAGCAGCCTAGTAAATTTGGCGATTTCTCTTGTAATCTGATGGTAGTTTCCTCATTACTGAGAGCATCCTTCATTTGTTCAGAAAAAAAGAGGTACTTTTTATTAAACTTTAGCCTCACTACAGTCTTGTGTATTAAATGAAACAAGTATTATTTTTGTGGATAAAATATAAACCAAAGTCACAGAGAGATTGAGTGAAGGACAATGAATGCAAACTACGGAGCAGTCAGACCTGGATTTGGATACCAGCTCTGCCAGTTTTCTTTGAGCAGGTCACAATCTATAAGAGCTTCGTGCATTTTCCTTAGTAAAATAAGGATATACATATTTACCTGACAGATAGCATGTAGTAAGGATAAACATATGCATAAAATGCTTGATATAGTTTTTACATTATCCAAGACATAAGCTATATTATCCAAGATACAACCACTACACAAAAGATATATCTTAGATAAATTATATCATGAAGAACTAATTTAAAATTAAGAGCTGCTAACCATGTTAATTAAAAAGGTGTATTAAGTACCCACAAGGAACAATATTTCACACTGAAATGATCAGGAAATAACTGGCTTTTCTAATTAAAAAAAAAAAAGCTTACTACCCGCCTCACTGCCCGCACACCCCCACTCACCACCACCCCCAGTGCTCCCAAATGCTGTGTATGGAGAGAGCCAAACAACTGCCAAGTAAAATGACAAAGTATTACATTTTTAAAATAAATGTAGATGTAGCACAACCTGAAAAACTCAAATATCTTAGACTCACTTAAAGCAATTGTGAATTGACAGAAGCTAATGACTGCAATAATCCTTAAAATTAATGAGTGTTACATAGAGTTCATTTTCTGATTCAGCATGAACTCTACAGAACCTCATTTTATAAAATAATAGAGGTAATCCCTGGCTTATTTACATAATCTGACATTTTGTAAGTGATGAAAGTGATGGCTGGGATACCACTTTGATAGCAGATTAATTTCTTTTGAACTTAATTTACTAAGGACAACCTAAAGTTGGGTTGTTTTATACTAGTGTAACAATTTTTCATTTGTAGAAATATAACAATATATTTTCCAAATGTACTTTCAGAGTGTCCTCTGCAGAGGCAGACCAATTATTCCACTGGATTTAAAGGGATGCTACAGTCAAGACTTGTAATATAACATAGCATGTTCAAAAGAATTCACAGACTGTGAACTTAGGTAGATGCTGGATTAATTCTCAGCCTTGAAGTGTATGCTATGTACAATCATGAATAAAACCCTTAACTTTATTCAGTCTGTTTATCTATTCACTAGGAATATCAATAGTTATCTCACAGGGCTGTTGTAGAACTAAGGTAAGATTTTTAAATTGCCTTTTATATAGTAGACACTCAACAAATAATAGTTCTTTTAGCACATGGAGGAATAATAGGCTATTTACCATCCAACGCCTGTTTTTCCAATATTATTGTTCTCACATCACATTTATATTTGTGTATCCACTAATTTATTATTAATATTGATTACTATTAACAAGATAAATGAGTCCCCTAAGGCTCTAAAAAATTACCAAAGGATGGAGAGTTAACTACTGGTCTTCATGTTTCTAAGGACACAAAATTCACAATGTACTTGGCAGTAATTTATTGCCCAATGAGGTAATCCAGACTTATAACCTTCAATGCCCTCTTCATGTGATGGGCTGTGCCTTGCAGAGTCAGCAAAACAACTTGGCAAACTACTAAGGCTACGTTATTCCATCAAGGCTCAAGTTGATCTAAATGTTACAGGGAAATAAAAGTCTTGAGGCTTTATTAGAAAAGTGAACCAATTATACTTTCTTTCTCTGCAAGATATCCAACAGATATCTTGGAGGAACTATGCTAGATGTGGATCATAATCTCCAAAGCATATTTGTCTTTAGAAATCTAAAGGCACAGAAAAGGAAATAAAATCCTTTCTCTTTCTCTTTCTTCCTTCCTTCTTTTGATTAATATTTTTTGAGAATATATAGACCCAGCACGATTCTAGACACTAAGGAAATAGTAATAAACAAAATAGATGGGAATGAATATGTCAGTAAGGGAATCAGACAGTAAAAATAAGTAAGTATTAAGTGGTCCGCATGGTGCTAAGTGCCATGGAGAAACACAAAACAGGGTCTGGAAGATAGGAAAACCTGGGATGAGGTTGTTTTATTGGCATTTTACAAAAGGCAGTCAGGAAGATTTCACTGTGAGGACAGTATTTGAGTAGAGAAAGTGAGAGTAAAAATGTGAGGAAGAGCAGTCTATACTCGACTGATAAACAGATAAAGAGAGGACAGTATTTGAGTAGAGAAAGTGAGAGTGAAAATGTGAGGAAGAGCAGTCTATACTCAACTGATGAACAGATAAAGAGCATATTCTTTTGGAGGTCCGTCAAGTAAGTGAGACTATCTGGAATGAGTCAGGAAAGAAATGGTTGGTAAAAATCTAGAGTTAATGAGGACCGGATCATTAAGAGTCTCCTAAGCCATTATAATGACAACAGCTTTCATTCTAAATGAGATGGGATGCTACAAAGCTTTTGAGCAGTGGTCTGATGTACTCTAATTCATGTTTTTAAAACACCACTCAAATTTCTCCTTTGAGAATAAACTATACAGGGAGGCTAAGCAGAAACAAAACCACTTAAGGGAAAATTGCTATAAACCACATGAGATTTAGCAAAGACTTGTACTTTTATAGGAGCGAAAGAGTTGGTGCATTTTGAAGATAATTGAAAGAATAAACTTTGATTTGATTTTGGATTTTAAGATAATGAGAAAAGTAAGTTTTGCTCTTAGAAACTAGTAGGATGGAATTGACACTTCCAAAGATTGAGGGGAAAACAGGTACATATTGGAGCAGAAAAAAATGTTCGATTTGGACATTTCAAATTTAAGATATGTGTTATACATCCAAGTGAAGAGTGAGCAGAACAGTGCATTGAATTTATCCTGAAATGATTGTATGTCCTTTTAAAAAGTAAATATTGCAATAGTTTTTAAAAACAGCATGGTTAATGTTAGTTTTGAATTTTCAGTAAAATATGATATATCTTAAAAGGACTGTAATCCCCAAAGCATTCCTCACTAGGAACTCTACCAACCTAATACATAAATTTTTAGAACCAATATATTAAATGTTTAAAGTTACTTCAGGGCTTAACTCCAGGCCCCTTTTAACTTGACCATGTAATTTCCCTTCTTTTATAAGACAAGAAAGAAAAACAATATTGAGCTCCTAATGTGTGGCTGTGAGTCTAAAAACCTGACTATCCTTAATTCTCACATAAACCCTGTGAGTAGGCATTATTTCTGCTTGAAAAAATAAGAAAATAGCCTTCAACTAATTAAGGGGCTTAACCAAAGATGCCCAACTAACAAAAAGAGCTAGAATTGAAATCCAAACTATGCTGTATTTTTTCACTAAAAAATTTGCTTGCCCACAGAGTGATGAAATCAGACATGCAGAGTGAGAAATCAACCAACCACTTGTACTAAATTGAGAGAGTGATGGGATTGAACCAGGGTTGAAATGTGACTATTATTTTCCTTATTCTCTTTAGATCAGGCTTGATCAAAAAGCAGGCCTAGTGTATTATATAGAATCCTATGTTAATATGGAACCAATTTCAGACATGTTTCAACCTACTATTTACACGCAATTTAATTTGTATATTTAAGATTTGCTCCATAGAGAATCTGTTTCAGTTCTTTCCTTTCCCACAGGACTCTTAATTGCTCTATCACCTCCCTGTGGTGCTTCTCCAGCCACGACTCAACGACTTTAAATGACTGTATTTATTTTAAGAGAAACTTTAGTGCCTATACAAACAGCATGTTCTCCTGCAGCACATCTGTTCTCTCTCTGAGTTTTATATCATCACTTTGCCAGAGGTTTTACTTGATAGTTCAAGGGAGCTTGGTGTGCTCTGATTCAACTGGATTCTTATTGGCAGTGAGTATAATTAACTTAACATTTAGTACATACTGTGTATTTGGGACTGTGTGATCTTTGCCCGATTCCTTAACTGTGATCCTTAAGGGCTTCATGTGTGAAAAGGAAACAGTCATCCTTGCAAAGATGGGTTATAGCTGTCCTCTTTACTTATATTCTATTTTAGTTACACTTCAGATTAGTGAGACACTAATGGTTTTGTCTAGTATTTACATTTGTACCCAAAGCCATGTACTTGATTTCTTTCTTATATTTCCAATATTCAGGACTCTTAATGACTTAGAGTATTAAAAATGGAGAAAATGGTATATAATGTTTGCTGGGCTTTGTGCTTGCGTGAGATTTTGAAATGAATCTATCTTGCCTTAAAACGTGATTTTTCTAGTGAAGTATATTTTGACAGGTTCTTGCCATTAAATTGCTATATTAAATTTAACGGCTGTGTCTTCACCTTCATATATATCATTTAACGTAAGAAAGAGCTGGGATCATGATTAATTCTAAAACATGGGTGTATTGGGTGAGTTTTGGTGTGCTGTGGTGTCAAACAAATTCCTAACATCTGATATAGGTTAGCCAGTCTTCCTCTATCTTTTAGCTTTGCCATCTGAAGCATATAGCCTCCAAGGTTATGGCAGCAGGGAAGAAATGGAAATGTACACCTGTCAAGAAAATCATTAATTGTGCTCACACAGTTCATTGGCCAGGAGTAATAATTTGGCTCCAATCTAATTGCAAGAAAATTCAGTGAGTACCAAATCACTGGTAAAGAGGAAGTATCTATTTCTCCTTAAGAATTGAACATCAAATTCCTCTATATGCCATCTGGATTCTACTGCTTCAAGGAGAACAAATCCCAGCTTAGTAGTTCTGTATCTTACGGAATTTTACAGCAAACAACAATAAAATCCTAACAATGAAATTTATAGCTGGAACACAGAATGCTGGCAGAAGTTAACCTACTTTAAATTAACAAGAGCACACAAATATAAATGAATGCATGTTTAATGACAAGAAGTATTTTATCCTGCTTCATAGTAAGTATGCAAAAATGCATTAATGGTTTTTATAATTGTACATCATGGAATTTGTTTTCTTTTAGTAAATACTAGCATTCAATAATTCATTAATCTCTATTAACTCTCAGCTAGAACTGAGTAATGGTACACCTAGGGATGAGAGTTTTAGTTACTCAGGATATACCTTGCCTGCAAGCCCTGTATAGGCACTTATCCTTTTTTAAAGTAAAAGAATTCTTAAATCACAAGAACAGATTTATTAAATTTCAATCAAAGTCTGGGGCTTCAACTTTGAAAAAGATGTTTTAGACACCAATCTGGGCTTTCTTTTGCTGCTTATGTTTTTTTTTTTTTTTGAAATGTAGACAATTCTCAAATTGATTGATTGATTGTCTCTAAAAGGTTGGAATCCTCTAAAATAAAACCAATTTGACAAAAGCTGTCATAAAATAACTGAGCAACATTGGAAGAGTAAGAAAGAAAAGAATAAGAAAATTAAGAAGTGTTTGGTCTTTTTGATGAAAGCCAACTAATTTGGATTTTTAATATAAAATTAATTCACTATAGAAATGCTTTTATTGTTGGCATTATACTCCCCTAGAAGTTACAGTGAAAGTGACAGATGAAGCAATTTCTGGATAATTCCAGAAAGCAAACAAACACAAAAAAGTCTGTATCCATATGTGGGCTTATGCTTCACTGAAATTTTTATATTTCATCCAAGTCTTTGCTCACACATGGACACAGGGAGTTAAGACAAATAACTAAACTTTTCAGGTTTTTAGTAAATGTTCATTAAATTTTATAACACGGTTACTAACCAACTGTGCTTACAGAAAATAGCCGTGTTGAATACAGGTCTATATAAATATACTGTAGGGAATATGAATAATAACCAAGTGTGGTGAATCTGTGAAGGCCCAAAAGATTATGTGCGGTTTGTGTGTTTTTTACTAACTATATATTTTTTTCATATCACTTTATGTTGTGACTACATTTAATTCTGGTGATAATAGTAGTACATGCTTATTGCAAAATACTTGGAAAATAAAGAAAAACAGGAAAAAATAAAACCTATAAGTAAATATTTCAAGAAAAAAACAAATGTTTTGGTTTGTTTATTTCTGTTATTATTCCTAGGAGCATATCAATTATGTGAAAATTTGGGTCATACTGTATTTGTCTGATATATAATGCATATTCTCCTCTACTTACAGTGTAATTATGACCTGATAAACAAATTGTAAGTCAAAAATTCATTAATACCCCAACAACAAACCCATTGTAAAGTCAAAAAATTGTAAGTTGAATCGTCAGGGACTGTTTTCCAAGCCTGGTTGTTAATGGCTAGATGATACACACAAGCATGTGTACATACATGCCATGATGCTTAACAGCCCCTATTTTGGATATTTGAGCTACCTGTAAAACCTTTACTATTATAGTGAACACTGTACTGAACATCCAAGTTATAAATCTCTGTCAATCTAACCCATTTGTTTCTTGATCTGAAATGTTGTTCTAAGGTTGCATGTTGGGCTCTTGATAAATTTTGCCAAGTTACAATGGCATTCCGTGAAACAATCAAAATAATATTTTAGTTATTTAAATTAATAAAATATACACATTACTCATAGAATTGTTTATATGCATTGAGAAAATGAGTGGTTAATTTGTAAAGAAACTTTGTGAAAAAGAAGGATCTAAGAGGAGAAATCTAAGATTATTACTGAATGGAAAATGTAAGATTTGTACATCAGGTGGTATTGACGATATAGAATAGGTTAAGTGAAGCAGAAAGTGTGCCAACAGAACAAAGTGAGCAAAAGCTCATAGGACGGTTTTACAAGATAATGTATTCCCTTCTGGAACAGAATAGTGAGTAACTCATAATAAAGTGAGAAAAAACAATTCTGATTTATAGGATGTGGGAAGCAATTAGTATTTGAAAGAAGGAAATAACAGGATTGCTTCAAAAATAGAAGAGGATATTGCTGAAGTCTTTAGGGTTTCTAATATGATTGAAGAATGGAGTTCTAGAAGCATTTTTTAGAAATCTGATTTATTTTGTTAGGATTAGTTAAGCAATACTGGTTGAGGAAAGAGCACAATATTGGGAAACAAAATATTACCGACAGAACTATAAATGTTTTCAGTTATTCTTTCCAATTTCTTATATGTCTTGTGAATATTTAGCGAGGCATTGTCCTAGACGATACAGGTACAAAGGTTAACAACAGAAAATCTGTATGTTGTGAGGACTCATAAAATAAAGGGGAGGGGATAAGTAATTATTAGCAGAGTTTATATTATAATACTGAGGTATAATACAGTAAAATAGTAGAGAAATAACACAATATGATAATGGAGGTCTTAGAGCAAAACAAAGGAAGTGAACACGTTTTTGAGGAAAATTCAGAGAAGATTTGATGCTGAGGTGACACTTAAATGATGTGTAGGAGTTTTCGAGAACTCATTCCAAGCAGAGAAAAGTACACGCAAAATTCTGGAGGCCAATACAGGCATGGTGGATTCAGGGAAGCAGTGTTAGTTCAGTAGGGCTATAGTCCCAGACTGACATTCCACTCAAGTGGAAAGTGACGCCGGATTCAATTTTAAAGATCTTGTAAGGAGTTTGTGTTTTATCAAGTTGTGTCAAAAACTCAATGAAAATTTTAAGCTGGTAATTAATGTCATCAGATGTGCATATTAGAAAGACAATCCTAGCAGCAATATAGGGAATGGTTGGAAGAGGCAAGAATTGGAAACAGGTAGACCACAAGAGGGACAGAGTAAGCGTTTTCAATGAGGGCAATAGAACCCTCAAAGGGGTAAAAATTGGCTAGGGGAAGAGGAATCTTAGCTATTAAAATGGTTTGTGAATCTCCAAAGCTCAATCCTACCCAAAACAATTGTATTGCCTGGTATTTAATTTCTCTCGTTAGGGAAAATAAATTTAATTTTGTTAGGGAGAATATATTTAATTAAATGTTTTAATGAACAAATAATGATTTTAAATTAAAATATATTAGTCTTCCTCTTGGAAAGGATAATGAAAAAAAGTTAAGAAAAGTAATGCTAGACTATTACTCCAATTTTGTAAAAGATAATCTTAACAAGTTTAAATAGGAAATTTGGGGCAAGAGATAAAGCAATAGATTGAAGAAATATTTAGGAGGTAAGATTATTAGTAAAACATGCCCCCAGCACCTTGTGTTTTCTTATAGTGGTTATTCTTATCCACATTAGGCTTTTAAAAGATTATGAGTATCCCAGCAACCTGAGACTCTAGCAGTCAATTTGCACCTATAATACAGTGGTCCCCCGTTATCAGAGGTTTCACTTTCTGTAGTTTCAGTTGCCCATGATCAACTAGGGTGTGAAAATATTAAATAAATATTTCCAGAAATAAACCATTCCTAAATTTTAAATTGGGCAACATGCTGAATAGCAGGATGAAATGTCACACCATCCCTGCTCTGATCCATCTGGGATTTGAGTTATCCCTTTGTCTAGTGTGTCCACGCTGTATACACTACCAGCCTGTTAGTCACTTAGTACCTCGTCTAAGTTGTAAGAACAAAGAAACAGTATATATAAGGTTTGGTACTATCTGTGGTTTTAGGCATCCACTGGGGGGTCTTGGAATATGTCCCCCACAGATAAGGAGGTACTACGGTAAATTACATCTTTGTGCAATCTAACACCCAGAACTTGAATTAAGTTTCTATGTTGGTTCTTTAAACAAATAGTACAATTAATAAGAAAGTTGTCAAGTAAAATGAGGCACATTGTGGTTTTGTCCTCTTACTTGACTCACACAGGTACTACTTTACATATATTCACAGATAAGTAGATTATGTAAGCTACTCCAAAATTAGCCTGTGAAGAGAATCACCTTGATTTTCTGCCTGAATCTTTTTGTTTTTAACTTTGAGAGATATTTTAAGTGACAAACTGGGGTTACTGCTCTCTAAATAGCTTGATTTAAATGCTCCCCAAAGACTCCATAGTAAATATTTGAATTATGAGACTGTAGAAAGTCCACGAAATGTATTCTAAAGATGCAGAAAGTGTTAATGGTTGTTTGTTAGAGCCGATTTCTACTAGAAAAACAATATAAAAATAGTCCACAATAGCATCTAGCTAAGCCATGGCACAACTATGTAATAAAAATCTATGCAGATATAAAAAGAATAATGCATATATGTATGTATATGTGTTTATATACATCATATATAAATATATATAATGTGTATATATACATATATGTATATAATATATAAATATATTATAAATATATTCTGCAACTTTTTTCACCTATGATCTAGTGTATCTTGACATGTCAAGATACACAAAAACATGAACACACAGCAATTTTATATACATATGTGTGTGTGTGTATATATATATACACACACACACATATATATGTAAAGATATACATACCAGAATTAGGTGAAAAACTACAGTTGATTAACCATTTGTAAAATATAATAAATTTACATAAAAAATCATGGGAAAGACAATAAAAACAGAATGTATAGTATTTTGATACATACACAATTATGTATTTCTATGCAGAAATTGCTGAAATAATATGATAGAAGATATTAATATTAGGGATATGTTTGGATCTGTGTCCTCACCAAAATCTCATGCTCAATTGTAATCCCCAATATTGGAGGTGGGGCCTGGTGGAAGGTGGTTGGATCATGGGGGTGGTTTCTCATGAGTGATTAAGCACCATCCCCTTGATTGTGATAGTGAGTGAGCTATCATGATCTGGTTGTTTAAAAGTGTGCAGCACTTCCCTGTCCACTATCTCTTCCTCCTGCTCTGGCCATGTAAGACATACCTGCTTCCCCTACACCTTCTGCCATGATCAAAACTTTCCTGAGGACTCCCCAGAAGCCAAGGAGATGCATGCCAGCATCATGCTTCCTCTACAGCCTGAAGAACTATGAGCCAACTAAACCTCTTTTCTTTATTATCCAGTCTCAGGTGTTTTTTATAGCAGTGACAGAATGAATTCATACAGAAAACTGGTACTGATGGTGAGGCATTACTATAAAGATACCTGAAAATGTGGAAGTGATTTTGGAACTGGGTAACAGGCAGAGGTTGGAAGAGTGTGGAGGTGTCAGAAGAAGACAGGAAGATGAGGCAAAGTTTGAAACTTCCTGGAGACTTTTTAAACTGTAGTGACCAAAGTAGTGATCATGATATGGACAATGAAGTCCAGGTTGAGAAGGTCTCAGATGGAGATGAGGAACTTATTGGGAACTGAAGCAAAGGTCATTTTTATTATGCCTTAGCAAAGACATTGGGTGCATTGTACCCCTGCTCTAAGGATCTGTGGAACTTTTTAAACTGAGACTGATGATGTAGGGTAACTGGCAGAAGAAATTTCTAAGCAGCAAAGGGTTTCAAGATGTATCCTGGCTTCTTCTAGCAACCTATGCTCATATGCATGAGCAAAAAAATGACATGAAATTGGAATTTATATTTAAAAGGAAAGCAGGAATTTATATTTAAAAGAGAGCATAAAAGTTTGGAAAATTTGCAGCCTGTCCATATGGTAGAAAAGAAAAGCCTATTTTCAGGGGAGGAATTCAAGTAGGCTGCAGAAATTTGCATAACTAAAAAGAATGCTAATACTAATATTCAAGACAATAAGGAAAAAAGCCCTGAAGGCATTTCAGAAATCTTCATGGCAGCCCCTCCCATCACAGACCCAGAGGCCTAGGAGGGAAAAATGGTTTCATGGGAAAGGCCCAGGGCCCCACCGTGCTGTGCAGCCTCAGGAAACTTCTCCCTCAGGCACTCCAGCTTCAACTGTGGCCCAAGGAAGCACAGGTAGAGCTTGAATTGCTGCTTCAGAAGGTGCAAAAAATAAACCTTAGTGGTTTCCATACAGTGTTAAGCCTGTGAGTGTGCACAGTGCAAGAATTGAGGCTTGGGAGCCTCTGCCTAGATTTCAGAGGATGCACGAAAAAGCCTGTATGTCCAGGCAGAAGCCTGCTGCAGTGGTGGAACACTCATGAAGAACCTCTACTAGGGCAGTGCAGAGAGGAATGTGGGTCTGGAGCCCTCACACAAAGTCATCACTGGGGTACTGCCTATTAGAGCTGTAAGAAGAGAGCTTCCACCCCCCAGACCCAGAATGGTAAATCCACCAGCAGCTTGCTCCCTGTGCCTAAAAAAGCAACAGGCACTCAACACCAGCCTGTGAGAGCAGCTGTGGGGGCTGAACCCTTCAAAGTCACAGGGACAGAGCTGCCCAAGGCCTTGGAAGCTTACACTTTTCATGAGTATTCCCTAGATGTGAGACATGGAGACAAAGATTATTTTAGAGCTTTAAGATTTAAAAACTGTCTGCTAGGCTTCAGACCTGCATGGGACCTGTAACCCCTTTCTTTTGGCTGATTTCTCCCTTTTAGAATTGGGGTACTTACTCAGTGCCTATACTCCCACTGTATCTTGAAAGTAACTAACTTGTGTTCAATTTTACAGGCTCATGAGTGGAAGAAACTCGCCTTGTCTCGATGAGACTTTTGACTTTTAACTTTTGAGTTAATGCTGAATGAGTTAAAACTTTAGGGGTTATTGGGAAGGCATGATTTTATTTTGCAAAGTGAGAAGGACATGAAATTTAAGAGGGTTCAAGGATAGAATGATATGGTTTGGATCTGTGTCCTCACCAAAATGTCATGTTCAATTGCAATCCCCAAAATTGGAGGTGGGGCCTGGTGGGAGGTGATTGGATCATGGAAGAGGTTTCTCATAAATGGTTTAGCTCTGTACTCTTGGTTGCAATAGTCAGTTATCATGAGATTTGGTTGCTTAAAAGTGTGTAGCACCTCCCCTCACCCTCTTCCTCTTCCTCTTGTCACTTACAATGAGCCTGCTTCCCCTTTGCCTTCTGTCATGATTGAAAGTCTCCTGAGGGCTACCCAGGAACCAAGCAGATGCCAGCATTATGTTTCTTGTACACCTTGAGGAACCAGGAGCAAATTAAGCCTATTTTCTTTATAAATTACCCAGTCTCAGTTATTTCTTTATAGCAGTGCAAGCATGAGCTAATATAATTTGATACTACCAAAGAATGGCAATGAAGAATCGGAGTTAGGGACTGGAAAATATTTGCTGCTAACATTTTACTCTTCTGCTGTACATTTTATAGCTTGATCATAAAATAAAGTTTACACTTAAAAATTGTTTTACTTCATTATTTGTATGAGTGTTTAGATTGGAAACGTGTATATGATACTTCAAGTTCACTCATTAGTATTCCATATGAGCTTGAGAAAAATGTGTATGTTGATATTTCAGTAGCAGAGTTTTAAATATGTTTATTGGGCCAAGCTTGATAATTATGTTATCTAAATTTTCTATATTTCTATTAATCTTTTAGGCTTCATGATCTATTAGTTTATGAAAAGTATGTGAATATATTACCATATAGTAACTGATTTAATAATTATATTAATTCTGACTTTTTTACTTGATATGATTGAGGCTATACTATTGAGTATTGAATACATGGATAAATACGTATTTTTGACAATTTGTTCTTTCTATCATCATTGAATAATTCTTGTTATTTTTCCTGCAGTTTCTATCATTAAAATTTGTAGTTAAATAAACAAGGCTGAGTTTTGTCATAGAGGTGAAATGGTTTGAATTATCATATATTGCTAGTGGGAATATAAATTTTATAACCACTTTAGGAAGCTATATATTTGACTGTAACAACTAAAATCGAATATATGCATTCCTTATCATCCGACAATTCTACTCCCAGATGTATACTTAACATGCACATGTCTACTAAGCCAATATATGTAAGAATATTCGTGGTGCCATATTTTATAATATCCACAAACTGGAAACATTCCAAATATCCATCAACAGTGCATGATGTACACACATTGTAGTAAACTTATACAATCTATGTAATATAGCAATAAAAATGAATTCAAATTCATGGATGAAACCTACAAACTTAAATGTTGAGTAGAAAATTAAACCCTGAAAAATACTTGCAAGCAATACTAAACCACATGGAAGTGAGAATAATATTCAACTTTGGGGATAAAGAGGAGATATTACTTGATAGTGTGTGTGAGCAGTGCTTTGGTAAACTGCCAATTATCCTTTCTTTGACTTTGCTAACAGTTATATAGTTTTTTTGTTTTATGGTAATCTATTTGTTATTATGTAAATTTATGTTTTGTGTACCTTATTGTACATTTAGAATACTCAATTATAAAAAAGCAAAAATAGGCCTGGTGCAGTGGCTCATACCTGTAATCACAGCACTTTGGGAGGCCAAGGCAGGCAGATTACCTGAGATCAGGAGTTTGAGACCAGCCTGGCCAACATGGCAAAACCCCATCTCTACTAAAAATAAAAAAATCAGCTGGTTGTGGTGGTGAGCGCCTGTAGTCCCAGTGTACAGAGGCTGAGGCAGGAGAATCTCTTGAATCCAGGAGGCGGAGGTTTCAGTGAGCCAAGACTGTGCCACTGCACTCCAGCCTGGGCAACAGAGTAAGGCTCTGTCTCAAAAAAAAAAAAAAAAAAAAAAAAAGTAAAAATGAAGTTTTCAAGAAATAGGAATACATGAATTCTTTTAAAACTATAAAATATATTTACCTCTCTTGCCAAACCAGCATGATTAATGAGGAAACAATAGAGCATTTCTTGTTAAGTCAGAAACAGGAAAAATAGGGTCATTACACTATTTTGTGTTAAAAATAACTTTTCACTGGAGGTGCTTTGCAATTGCATTTGGGCAAGAGAATGTTATTTGAGATTTTTAAACACATTAAAAGAAAAAGCTAAAACTTTTCAGTTTTCATAGATTCTGTAATTTTATACATGTGACATCCAAGAGAAAACCCTAAAAATTTAACAAGCTAGTTACTGAAGTATTAAACTGGCAGAGACACCAACAGCTTTCTATATATCAGCAGCAACCATTTAGAAGATAAAATAAACATCACCGTTTACCATAATAACAACAATAAAAATCAAACTCCTAAGAATACAGTAAAAAGAAAAGTAAAAGTTATATACACAGAATATTTTCAAGCTCTACTGAAAGACACAAAAGATTTGAACAAATGAAAATAAATTGAATATACTTGGGCAGGAAGATTCTGCATCATAAAGGACTCATTTTTCTATAAGTGATATTATGTTAATGAGATCTTCAAAAAATACTATCTTTATTCTTTTCATCCATGGTTCATATGAAAAAAAATAGGCTAATAATAAAAACCTGGAAAACCCAGAAATAGAAGAAAAATAAGGAAAGGACTGCGCCTCTCAGATGTTGGTATATGTTTTAAAATCTGAAAATTAAAACACAGTATACAGTTTCATTAGTAAACAAACAAACTGATGTAAAATAATAGAAATTCCAAAGATCAATCAAAATATGTATGGGTCTTATTATAATATAAAATTGGCATCTCAAATCAGGTAGGAAAAAGTTATAATTACCCAGTAGTCTTAAGACAACTGAATTAGCCCTTTGAAAACTAATTTAGAGTTATGCCTCACATTGTAAGGATATCTTCTAAACAGGCCAAAGATTTAATTGACAAAATAGTAAATATTTTTAAATACTATAAGTTATGGAAAAATTATTTATGTTCCTAGAGAAGGTAAGATAGGCCTTTCTAATTATGTCTCAGAATCTAGAAATCATAACCGAATAAATTGATAAATTGTTCTAAATATCGAGACCATGATTCTCAACAATAACTAATAATGTTTATGTCCAAAATTGTAATTCCACATCAGAAAATTGTGCAAATAACAAGAACTAGATAAAGTTCAACTTGTTAGGAGAGATGACAAAGGTCAATCACTTTCTGCACTGGGAGAATTTGTCAATTCTGAGCATGGCCTGAACATTAGGCATAACCTAAGCAGAAGGGCTCAGCTGGGGAAAAGAGAGAAAGCGGAGTTGGTTATGGTTGTGAACCCTAACATGACAGATCATTATTTAGGGGAGCCTCAAACACACATCTGCCTTTCCCCAGGAGAAATTTGTTGACATCTGTCATAGAATAGAAAGCTGGAGGGCTAAGTCTGCAACACCTAAACAGGGCAGAGTAAAATCTGTGGTCTTGTGGTTCTTAGGAATCAAAGTCCCACTAGAAGAGGATCCCACGTCAAATACACAAAGCCCCCTTCTCTCTTAAGACATGTGCTAGATTCTGAAGCTTTGTGGGTGGAGGCTAAGGAGCTAAACTCAAGACCTTCACAGGACAAAAATGATTCTTCTAGAAATGTTTATTAGTGAGGAGACAAAAATAATAAAATTCAACAACAACAAAAAAGAGTAGGGTAATGCCCAAAGGAAAGGACAAACTGAAGTGAAAAGAATCTTTCTAAAACTGCAACTCAACCGAAACAAGCCTAATTCCTGATTGGTTGAGGTTACCAGTGTATCATCTTATTTGTTGTCTTAGTCATCTCAGACTGCTGTAACAGAGTACCATTGACTGGGTAGCTTATAAACAATTGACATTTATTTCTTATAGTTCTGGAGGCTGAAAGTCCCAGAGTAGGGTGCCACCATGGTTCTGGTGAGGGCGCTCTTCCAGGCTGCAGATGGCAGACTTCTTGTATCCCCATGTGGTGGAAAGACAGCAAATTAGCTCTCTGGCCTCTCTTATGAGGGCACTAATCTCATTTATGAAGGCTGCACAATCATGACCTAATTACCTTCCAAGGCCCCACCTCCAAATACCATCACATTGCATACTAGACTTCAACGTAGGAATTTTACACAGGAACAAACTCTCAGTCCATGATGCTTGCCTGACAAAGAATATCACTTCTGTTGAAACGTAACATTACTGTAGGATCCCCAGTTCTCTTGCTCACATATCTGACATAGAAAGAAAAATTAGAAAACATGTGGGGGCAGGGAATTATGATCCATTGTTAAGAGGAAAAGCAAACAATAGAAATAATCAAGGACCACAGTTCTCCTAGGTTTTTCCCAGTGAAAGACTGGGAAAATCCACCAGGATTATGATGCTGGCCCATTGATGCCTAGAGAGGGATTCTTCTAATAGGAAAATATTGCTTACTGATTTCCACCACCATGACTGAGGCTTTCTCAGAATTGTGCTGCAGTCTGAGGCACTTCCTACCTGATACTTTCTTTCCTCTCTCCCTTAACAGGAGTCTGAAGTCACTGCAGTCTTAAGTCTCTCCCTGTTTATTCCATTCTTCAGAAGTGTCTCCCTCAATAAATATCTTGCACACCTAATTCCATCTAGGCATTTGTTTCTCAGAGGATTCAAAAGACATAAATAGTGGATTAAATAATCTATTGCTATGCTTATTGGGAGCCCAGTATAAAAAGGCCAAAAATGTCAACCTAATTTTAATGCTAGCCTAAGAAAATGTCAAACAATGAGCAAATCTTCTATTTAAAAAAAAAAAAAGACATTTAAGCTGGTCTAAGTCCTATTACATAACATACTAGCTATTTGTGATTCTTCAAGCCATTCCTGTGCTCTGCATCTTAAAAATCTGCAAACTTTCTGCAGTAGATGTGGACCAGTCTTTTGGAAATGAGGTGTTGAAGGTGAGCAATGCAGTGAGCAGTGTACTCACATCATACTTGGCAGAATCCAATTCCCGGTACCATATAATTGAATAGCTCTAGCTTTCCTGACTGGAATTCCCTTGGAGCTTAACTCCACACTGTTCATTTTCTTTCACCATCTGTTGATAACAATACGCCACCACTCTCTGGGGCTACTGGCCTGCAGTCCAGTGGTTGCTGCCTTCCAGAACTGCATGAAAACATTTTCAGAGATCTAGCCTAGTCTCAGGAGATACACAGAAACAGGGGCACAGACACACCAGTCATCCTTAATTATAGAATCTGTGCTGCTACTCTAGAGTTCCTAATAATGATGTCAGCTATAGGTATACATCAGCAGTAAATTTAATGAGTTAGCTAGCACACTGGTTCAAACTGGCAAATCAGACACAAATCAGAAATCTGTATTGTTTTACCAAAAAATATTACAGGATATTGTCTACCAAGAGGCTCATGCAAAGCCAAAAGAAATGTTGAGTTTTAAAGGCAGATCCCCAGGTCCTTCCTTGTATGTCAGAAATGTGCTGGACGAGAAAAGATGAGGTCTCTAAGTGAGGTTCATGGAGTTTCTCAGACAGAGTACAGCATTTAAACAGAGCTGTGCAGTTTATACTACATTCTCTGGCGAGCCATGCCTCATGGTTCCTGTGTCCTATTTATTAAAGGTAAAAAGAGAGATTCTGCTAAAGGCATTTCCAACATCAGTCCCTTCATCCTAGCAAATGTCATTAATCAATTTACCTGAAGGTCCAGTTGACAAGGTGATTAGACTTGGTCACCTGCCTTTTTTTTTGTCCCCTGGGGTCATGTCCTTGCAAACCACCTCCCTCTCAGGCATGAAGGAATCAAAGGCTAACTGGTTTAATTCATTCCCTGGTGAATACAAAATGTAAGAATGAAAAAATAGAAAAAAAATCCAAAGGAAATTGCTAACAGAGAGTGAAGAATAGATCGTGAAGAGATATAAAACAGAGAAGACCATGAATTCATTAGCAATCAGAGGTAGAGTGATCTCTTCAAAACATATAAGATTTGATTTCATACGTAGGACCTAGTGCTCTCTTGCTCTCTCTCTCTCTCTTTTTTTTCAACTTTTCTTGGTTGTTTAGCCTCTTTAGGCTTCAGTTCCTCAACAAAATGGTGAAATGGTGATAATATTATCCACAGGAATGCTGTGAGGATCTAAATGAGGCAAATTATGTGAGAGTGCCTGGTACCTGCTAGAAGCACATAAAAATGTTATATGTTAATATTTACTTTTTTCTATTACTTTTAAAAAATAGAAGAAAGTACTTTTAAAAGTACTTTTCCCTTTTAGTGGACATAACGCAAACATCCCAGGTATCTGGTATCTATTCTTGTATGCTTTACCTGTTCTAAAATTCTCAAAATTGGTATTGTATTCCCTTGGGGAAATTTTAATTGCTCTTTCTGACTACAGAAGATTAAGGACTAAAGAGGTCAGATGTCAACTCCATAGCCGAATATTACTTTAAAACTAAGTTTATATGGTGCTTTTAACTAATGCTATCTCTCTAAAAACTAGGACATAAGAAAAATCACAATTTATAAGTTAGGAGTTAGGGGAAAGTTCAAATAATTAATCAGCTTCATTCTAGCTCTTGCCCCTTTTGCACACATAATAGCAATATTTGTGTGACATGATACCAAATGCTAAAGCTGTACCTAAGAAGGCTCTTCTCTCAAGATATGCAACTTTCTGCTTAATAATATAGCCTCACTCACTCTGAATGAAATGAACAGAATCTCATTTGCTATCACTGATAACTAAAAGTCAGACACTAATGTCACATAAAGCACTGTGGCAAGATCTCCAACCAGACAATTGATCTCATGACATAGGGAACAATAAAAGGCAATACCCTAGGCTGATACCAAATTGTTGCTATTTTCTGGAGAGATGCTTCCTAGGAGAGGTCACTTTGAAAAGCAAGTAGTCTCTCTAGGGGTGTGTGTGTGTGTGTGTGTGTGTGTGCACGTGCACGTGTGTGTGTAGCTGATATTTTACGACATTCCTCATTTAAATTTTATATCAAGGTGATAGGGATGTTCTTATGAAGATAGGAAAATAGCTCACACTGCATTATCCTCATCTAGCATCTCTATGAGTTTTAGCACAGATGTGTACAATGTTGTGATTCATTTTGTTTGTATAAAACAAGTTTATTTTTGAACCAGTCCTGCCAACAGTATTTTGCATTAACTTCAAGCTACAGTGAGCTTGAAATTATTTTATTTCCTTACTAGATTTTTAATCTTTTAAAAATGAAAATTATTTCATAGAACCCCACAAAAGTGAAAATCTTATATTTCTTTTTCAGAGTCCTTGCAAGCTCTGCTGACTTCAAATTATTGGTCTTCCACCAAGTGATGCTCTTCTGATGAGTGTAGCATCAACTTACTTGTTAAATGTGGCAACCGAATGTCATGATGAGGAAGTCATGTTCAAATGAGACTAGAATATGCTAACAATTTGGACCCATGGGTGAAGCCCAGTGATTTTTTGTTTATATTTAAGTTAATAGGCTTTATTTTTAGAGTAGTTTTACAGAAAATTGAGCAAGTAGCATACAGAGTTCCCATATATTCCCTCTCTTTCTGACTTAAAGTCTCTCCTAGTATTATTTTGTATTAGTAAGGCACATTTGTTACAACTAATGAGTAAGAATTGATACACTGTTATTAACTAAAGACTAGGAGGTACCTTAGGGCTCACACTTTGCGTTGTACAGTTATATGAGTTTTGAAAAATGTGTAATGTCAAGAAACCACGTGTACAGAATCATACAGAATAGTTGCACCACCCTATAACTATCCTGCAACTCACTTGTTTATCTGCCTTCTTATCTCTCCTGAACCCCTGGCAACCACTGATCTTTGTTTACTTCTAAGTAGCTTCTCTAATTTTTAAAGTTTTTTTGATTTTTAATTTTGGTGAGTACATAGTAGGTATGTTATTTCTTGGGTACATGAGATGTTTTGATATAGGCATGCAACACATAATAATCACATCATGAAGAATGAGGTATTCATCCCCCCAAGCATTTATCCTTTGTGTTACAACCAATCCAATTCTACTCCATTATTTTAAAGTATACAGTTAAGTTATTATTGACTATTGTCACCTTGTTGTGGTATCAAATACTAGGTCTTATCTAATCTTTCTGTTTTGTGTACCCATTAATTATACCCAACTCACCCCCACTCCTCCACTACCTTTCCTAGCCTTTGGTATCTTTCTACTCTATAGCTACATGAATTCAATTGTTTTCATTTTTAGATCCCACAAATACATGAGAATATGCCATGCTTGTCCTTCTATGTCTGGTTTATTTCACTTAACATAATGATCTCTGGTTCCATCCATGTTATTTCAAATGACAGGATCTCATATTTTTATGGCTGAATAATACTCCATTGTGTATAGATGCCACATTTTTTTATCCATTCATCTATTGATGGACACTTATGCTGTTTCCAAATTTGGCAATTGGGAACAATGCTACAACAAATATAAGCGTGCAGATAGCACATCGATAAACTGATTTCCTTTCTTTTGGGTATATACCCAGCAGTAGAATTGCCACATCATATGGTAGCTCTGTCTTTAGTTTTTGGAGGAACATGCACACTGTTCTCCATAATGTTTGTACTAATTTACATTCCCACCAACAGTGTGCAAGGGTTCCCTTTTCTCCACATCTTCACCAGCATTTGTTATTGCCTGTCTCTTAGATATAAACTATTTTAACTGGGATGAGATGATATCTCATTGTAGTTTTGATTTGCATTTCTCTGATTATCAGTGAAGTTGAGTACCTTTACATATACGTGTTTGCCATTTTTATGTCTTCTTTTGACAAATGTCTATTCAAATCTTTTGCCCATTTAAAAAATCAGATTATTAGATTTTTTCCTATACAGTTGTTTGAAATACTTATGTATTTTGGTTATTAATCCCAATCAGATGGGTAGTTTGCAAATATTTCCTTCCAGCCTGTGGATTGTCTCTACACTTTGGTGATTGTTTCCTTGGCTGTGTGGAAGGACTTGATGTGATTCCATTTGTCCATGTTTCCTTCAGATGCCTGCGCTTGTGAGGTATTGCTTAAGAAATTTTTGCCCACACCAATGTCCTGCAGATTTATGCCCCCATGGTTTTCTGTAGTAATTTCTTAGTGAGGTCTTAGATTTAAGTGTTTATTCATTTTGATTTGATTTTTCATATGGTGAGAAATAAAGGGTCTAGCTTCATTCTTTGCATAGGATACTGAGTTTACCCAGTGCCAATTATTAAAGAGATTGTCTTTTCCCAAGTGTATGTTCTTGACACCTTTGTCAGAAAGGAGTTCACTGTAGGTGTGTGGAGTTGTTCCTAGGTTCTTTATTGTAGTCTATTGGTCTGTGTGTCTGTTTTGATGCCAGTGCCATGCTGTTTTTGTCACTACAGCTCTATAGTACAATTTGAAGTCAGGTAACGTGATTCCTTCAGACTTTTTTATTTTTTTTTGCTTAGGATAGCTTTCACTATTCTGGGTCTTTTGTGGTTTCATTTAAATTTTAGGACTGTTTTACTATTTCTGTGAAGAATTTTATTAGTGTTTTAATAGGGAATTACATTGAATCTGTTGATTGCTTTGGGGAGTATGAACATTTTAACAATATCGATTCTTCCATTCCATTAATATGGAATATCTTTCAATTTTTTTATGTTCCCTTCCATTTTTCTCATCAATGTTTCATAGGTTTTATTATAGAGCTCTTTCACTTCTTTTGTTAATTTCTATGTATTTAATTCTATGTGTGGGTATTGTAAGTGGGATTACATTTTTTTTTCAGATTCTTCACTGTTGGCATGTGGAAATGCTACTAATTTTTGTATGTTGATTTTGTATGCTGCAACTTTACTGAATTTATCAGTTCTAATCATTCTTTGATGTAGTTTTTAGATTTTTTCAGATACAAAGTCATATCATCTGCAAACAAGGATAATTTGACTTTTTCTTTTTGAATTTGTATGCCGTTTATATATTTCTTTTGTCTGATTGCTCTAACTAGAACTTCCAGTAATATGTTGAATAATAGTGGTGAAAGTTAGTATCCTTGTCATGTTCCAGATCTTACAGGAAAGGCTTTCAGGTTTCCCCATTCTGTATGATACTAGCTGTGGGTCTATCATATATGGCTTTTACTATGTTGAGGTACGTTCCTTCTATCCCCAGTGTTTTGAAGGTTTTTATCATGAAGGGATATTGAATTTTATCAAATGCTTTTTCAGCATCAATTGAAGTGATCATATAGTTTGCATCCTAGAGATAAATCCTACTTGATCGTGATGAATGTGATGATCTTTTTAATATTTTGTGAATTTGATTTGCAGTTTATTGGGGGGATTTTGGCATCAATATTCATCAGAGATATTGGCCTATAGTTTTCTTTTTTTGATGTATCTTTGTCTGGTTTTGTCATCAGAGTGATACTGGCTTTGTAGAATGAGATTGGAAGTATCCCCTCCTACTCTTTTGTTTTTGGAATAGTTTCAGTAGAATTGATATTAGTTCTTCTTTAAAGATTTGGTAGAATTCAGCAGTGACGTCATTGTGTCCTGGGCTTTTATTTATTTGGAGACTTTTCATTATCGCTTTAATTTCATTACTTGTTATTGGTCTATTCAGGTTTTAGATTTCTTTATGATTCAATCTTGAGAGGTTGTATGTGACTAGGAATTTATCAACTTCTTCTAGATTTTTCCATTTATTGGCACACAGTTGCTCATAGGAGCCACTAATGATCCTTTGAATTTCTGTGGTATCAATTTTAATGTGTTATTTTTTATCTCTGATTTTATTTATTTGGATTTTCTCTCTTTTTTTCATAGTCTTCCTAAAGGTTTGTCCATTTTGCTTAACTTTTCAAAAAAATAACTTTTTGTTTTATTGATCTTTTGTATTTTTTTCATTTCAGTTTCATTTATTTGTGCTCTGATGTTTATTATTTCTTTTCTTATTTTGGGTTTGGTTTGCTCTTGCATTTCTAGTTTTTTAAGATGCATTGTTAGATTGTTTACTTGAACTTTTTTCTCTTTTTTGACATAGGCACATATAGCTAAAATCTTCCCTGTTACGAACACTTCGACACAGGGTGGGGAACATCACACACCGGGACCTGTCATGGGGGGTGGAGGGAGGGGGGAGGGATAGCATTAGGAGATATACCTAATGTAAGTGATGAGTTAATGGGTGCAGCACACCAACATGGCACATGTATACATATGTAACAAACCTGGACATTGTGCATGTGTACCCTAGAACTTAAAGTATAATAATAAAAAAAACACTTCCCTCTTACTACTGTTTTTGCTGATTCCATAGAATTTGGTATGCCATATTTCCATTATCACTTGTTTCAAGACATTTTTTCATATCCTTCTTAATTTCTTCATTGATTCAGTGATCATTCAGGAGCATATTATTTAATTTCTATTTATTTGTATAGTTTTCAAAATTCCTCTTGTAATTGATTTCTAGTTTTATTCCATCACAGTCAGAGAAGAGGCTGGATATTCTTTCTTTTTTTTTTGAAGGTTTCAGACTTGTTTTGTGACTTAACATATAGTCTATCATTGAGAATGATGCAAGTCCTGAGGAAAAGAATGTGTATTCTGCAGCCATTGGATATAATGTTCTGTAAATATCTTTTAGATCCATTTGGTCTATAGTACAGATTAAGTCCAACTTTTCTTTGTTGATTTTCTTTCTGGAAGATATGTCCAAGGCTTAAAGTGGGGTGTTAAAGTCTCTAGCTACCATTGTATAGGGGCCTGTCTCTCCCTTTAGCTCTAAGAATATTTGCTGTATATATGTGCGTCTTCCAGTGTTGGGTGCATATATATTTACAATTTGTATATCATCTTGCTGGATTGACCAATTTATCATTATATACTGACCTTCTTTGCCTCTTAGAGTTTTTGTCTTGAAATCTATTTTCTCTGTTATAAGAATAGCTACTACTCCTCGTTTTTTGCTTTCCACAGGCGTGCTATATCTTTTTTCATCCCTTTATTTTCTGTCTATGTGTATCTTTATAGGTGAAGTGCGTTTCTTGTAGGTCATAGATCAATGGGTCTTTAAAAAAAAAATCCTTTCAGCTACTCTATATGTTTTGATAGGAGAGTTTAGTACATTTACATTCAATGTTATTATTGACAAGTAAGGACCTACTCTTGCCATTTTGTTATTTGATTTTGGTTGTTTTGTGGTCTTCCTTCTTTTCTTCCTGTCTTACTTTAGAAAAGGTGATTTTCTCTGGTGATATAATTTAGTTTCTTGCTTTTCATTTTTTCTGTATCCATTGTATGTTCTTGGCTTGAGATCATCATGAGGCTTGCAAATACTATCTTATAACTCATTATTTTAAGCTGATGACAAATTAACACTGTTTGCATAAACAAAAGAAAACTAATGAAAACTATGCCCTAACTTTGTCCCTCCACTTTTAAACATTTCATTGTTTTTATTTATATGTTATTATACTGTCTTGATAAGTTTTATTTATTAATTTTATTTAATCATTCTACTTAAGATAACAGTAGTTTGCATACCCCAGTTACACTGTTATAAGATTCTGTGTTTTTCTGTGTACTCTCTATTACCAGTGAATTTTGTACATTCAGGTGATTACTTATTGCTCATTAATGTTCTTTGTTTCTGACCTGACTGAAGTACTCCCTTCAGAATTTCTTGCAAGATAGGTCTAGTGTTGACGTAATCCCTTAACTTTTGTTTGTCTGGGAAAGTTTGTATTTCTCCTTCATGCTTAAAGAATAGTTTCACAGGATAAACTATCCTAGGGTAAATGTTATTTTTTTTCCCCTTCAGCACTTTAAATATGTTATGCCATTCTCTCCTGGCCTGTAAGGTTTCCATTGAAAAGTCTGCTGCCAGACGTATTGGAGCTGCATTGCATGTTATTTGTTTCTTTTCCCTTGCTGCTTTTCGAATCCCTTCTTCATCCTTGACCTTTGCAAGTTTGATTTTTAAATATCTTGAGGTAATCTTCCTTGGGTTAAATCTCCTTGCTGTTCTATAACTCTTGTATCTGGATATCGATATCTTTCTCTAGGTTTAGTAATTTCTCTGTTTTTATCCCTTTGAATAAGCTTTCAACCTCTAGCTCTTCTTCTATTTCCTCTTCAAGGCCAATAACCCCTATATTTGCCCTTTGATGCTAATTTTAGATCTTGTACACATGCTTCATTTTTTAAATTCTTTTTTTCTCCCCTGTGTATTTTCAAATAGCCTGTCTTCAAGCTCACTAGTTCTTGCTTCTGCTTGATTAATTCTGTTATTAAAAGGCTCTGATGCATTCTTCAGTATATCAATTGCATTTTTCAGCTCCAGAATTTCTCCTTGATTCTTTTTAATTATTTCAATCTCTTTGTTAAGTTTATCGGGTAGAATTCTGAATTCCTTCTCTGTGTTCTTTTGAATTTCTTTGAGTTTCTTTAATACAGCTATTTTGAATTTTCTATCTGAAAGGTCACGTAACTGTTTATCGAGGAATAGTCCCTGGGCCATATTTTGTTCATTTGGGGATGTTATGTTTTCCTGATTGCCTTGATACTTGTAGATGTTCTTAGATGTCTGGGTGTTGAAGAGTTAAGTGCTTATTGAAGTCTTCTAAGTCTGGGCTTGTTTGTACCTGTCCTCCTTGAAAAGACTTTCCCGATATTTGAAAGGATTTGGGTGTTGTGATCTATGCTGTATCTGCTTTAGCAGGCATCCCAAGCCCAGTACTGCTGTGGTTTTTGAAGACTTACAGAGGTACCACCTTGATGGTCTTTGACAAGATTCAGAATTCTCTGGATTACCAGACAGAGACTCTGGTTCTTTTCCCTCACTTTCTCAAAAACGGTCTCTCTCTTTCTCTGTTCTGAGCCACCTGAAGCTGGGAGTTTAGTGACATGAGCACCCCTGTGGTGACCACCACTATGAATGTGCTGAGTCAAACCTGAAGCCAGTACAGCACTAGATCTCACCCAAGGCCTGCTATAACCACTCCCTGGCTATTGCCTGTGTTCGCTCAAGGCCTGTGGTGCTCTGCAGTCAGACAGCGGAGAAGCCAGCCAGGCTTGTGTCCTTCCCTTCAGGGTGGCAAGTACCCCCATGCTCTAGGCAAGTGTAATGGTGTTGTCTGGGACCCAGGTACTAGAGTCAAAAATCTTAGAAGTCTACCTGGTGTTCTATTTACTGCGGCTAAGCTGGCACTAAAATCCCAAGACACAATACTTCCCACTCTTCCCCTCCCTTTCCAAAGGCAGAGGAGACTCACCCAAGGCCACTGCCACCATGGTTCCACGAGGAGTACTTCCAGACTACCACCAATGTTCTAAGACCCAAAGACACTACCATCAGCTTTGTGAATGCTGCCTGACCTGGGACTCACCCTTCAGGGAACGTGGGCTCCCTTTGGCCTAGGGAAGCTCCACAAATGCCATCCAAGAGTCAATTCCTGGGACTGGGGACCCCAGTAGTACACTTGGTGCTCTACCTGCCTGTGGCTGAGCTGGTACCTAAGATGCAAGACAAAGTTCCCTTTACTTTTCCATTCACTTTCTCAAGCAGAGGGTTCTCTCCCCAAAGCCACCAAAGCTGATAATGTGCTGAGTCTCACCTGAAGCCAGCAAGTCTCAATGTGTCACCCAAGGCCCTCAATGTAGTACCTGGGTATTGCTGCTGGTTATTAAGGGCCCAAGTGCTCTTCAGTTAGCAAGTGATGAATGCTGCTGCCAGGACTGGGTGCTTCCCTTCAAGGTAGTAGTTTTCCTTCTGACCCGAATGTGTCTAGAAATGTCCCTTCTGGCCCAGAGTCCAAAAATATCTGGTAGCTAGGGCCTAGAAAGAGGGCCTCATGACTCTGACCCCTGCCCTATCCTGCTTTGTCTGAGTTAGTATCAATGATGCAAGACAAATACCTCCCCCCTTTCTCTCTCTCCACTCTCAAGCAGAAAAAAAAGGAGTCTCTTTTGGATCCACGAGCTGTGCAATCTGGGTTTTGGGTAGGGGTGATTCTAGCACTTCCTTACCCACCCCAGCTGATGTCTCAGTAAGTCATCTGCCCTCTAGTCCAGTGTCTTGGGGCCCAGTTCAGCACTAGGACTCTCCTAGGAGTTGCAGTCCTTATGGCCTAGACTGCCTTTTCAGTTTATTTAGAGTCGTAGAGAACTTCAGTCCATGGTGGCAAGACTTGTGGGAACTCAAATTATGACTGCTGGGATTGGCAATTCCCCTCTGACTAGGGCTGGTTTAAATGCTCCCTCCATGGATGGGTGTCAGCTGAGTTTGGTCCAGCCTTTCTTTCTGCTATAACCCGGCAACTCTGAGTTCAATGCCTCACAATTACTGTGCTCTCCTTCCAACAGTGTACAGAAACTCTCTCAGCACCACACTGCTGCTGCTGCTGGGGGAGGGGAGAGGGGTGGTGTCAACCATTCAAGAGATTTTTTTGTCACCTCCTCAGTGCCTCTTTCAGGGATATAACAAGTTAAAACCGGATATTGTGAGTGCTCACTTCATTATTGGTTCCTACGAAAGTCCTTTTTGTGTATGTGAAGATAGTTGTTAAATTGGTGTTCTTGTTGCAGAGACAGTGGGGCCTTCTATTCTAATATCTTTTCCACTGATCTTTTTAGTCTCTATAGTTTTGCCTTTTCCAGTATGTTAGATAGTTGAAATCACATAGTGTGTTGCATTTTCAAAAGCTTCTTTCACTAAGGAATATGCATTTAAGTTTTCTTCATGTCTTTTGTGGCTAAATCATTCATTTTCTTTTATCACTGAATAGTATTCCATTCTATGGTTATATCACAATTTGTTTATTAATTCACCTTTTGAAGAACATTTTGGTTGCTTCCAGTTTTTGGCAACTATAAACAAAGCTCCTAAGACATTCATATGCAGGGTTTTGTGTAGACAAATGATTTCAATAAATTTTTGTAAATATTTAGCAGTACAATTGCTGAATGATGTGGTAAGCTTATGTATAGTGTTATAAGAAACTCTGAAACAGCCACACAAAGTAGCTATTCCAGTTTTTATTCCCTAAATCAATGAATGAGAGTTCTTGTTCCTCTCCATCATTGCTCAAATTTGATTTCATCAGTATTTTGAATTTTAGCTATTTTGATTATGTGTGTGTGTGTGTGTGTGTGTGTGTGTATATATATATATATCTCACCAAACTCAAAGCTACATAGATTTTCTTCTATGTTATTGTATAAAATTTTAAAGATTTTTATTTTACATTTAGGTTTATGATCTGAGTTAAATTTTATTGAAGAATGTAAGGTCTGTTACTAGATTCATTTTTGTTGCACATAAATATCCAGGTGTTGCAGCACTATTTGTTGAAATGACCATATTTTTGCCATCGAATTGCCTTAACTTTTTTGACAAAGATCAATCTACTCTATTTGTATGGGTTCATTTCTGGATTCTCTATTTTGTTTCATTATTTGTCTTTTTTTGTTTTTGCCAGTGCCAGACTATCATCTTAATTACTGTAGTTTTTTAGTAAATGTCAAAGACCTATAGTGTTAGTACTCTGACTTTTTTCTTCAATGTCGTTTTGGCTCTTCTGGTGTTTTGCTTTTTTGCATGAGTTTCAGAATCAGTTTTTCAGTATCTGTACAATAACTTGGAATTTTGAGTGATATTGCATGCATATACAAATCAAGTTTAGAAGAACAGAGACAAAATTGAGTCTTCCTTCTATGAACACAGAATATGTCTCCATTTATTTAGATTTTCTTTTATAGCTTTCCTCAGCATCTTATAATTTTCCTCATATAGATCTTGTACAAATTTGTTAGTTTATATCAAAGTTTTTCATTTTGTTGAGGATGCTAATGTAAATAAAAATTTGGTTGTAACTTCAGATTTCATCTATTACTGGTATATAGAAAATAAATAGAATTTTGTATATTGACCTGGTATCATGCAACCTTTTTGTAATTGCTTGCCAGTTCCAAGAGTTTTTTGGTATGTCAGTTCTCTCAGATTTTCTACGAACTTGCCATTTATGAACAAAGACAGTTTTATTTCTTTCTTCAAAATCTGTATATATTTTTTCTTCATTTAGTTAGCTCATTGCATTAGCTACAATTTCCAGTATGATGTTAAACAGGAGTGGTGAGAATATAGAAAAAAACTAGTTTCTCATCCCTAAGGATGACACTAGCTGTATTTTTTTGGTATGTGTCCTTTATCAAATTGAAGACATTCCCCTCTATGCCTAGTATAATGAGAGTTTTTACTATAAATTGATGATGAATTTTGTGATTTTTTTACATCTAATGATGTGATTGTATAATTATCTTTTTTAACTTGTTGATATGATAGCTTAACATTAATTGATTTTTACACATTGAACCAATATTTTATACCAGAAGTAAATCCCATTAAATTATGGTATAAAATTATTTTCATATATTATTTGATTTGGATTCAATATTCTAGTATTTTGTTGAGGATTATAATATGAACAGGAAGCAGGGAAATACTGGGTAGAAGAGGGTGGTTCCCCAGCAAAAGCCCCACCCTCAAGCCTAGAAACCCATGGCCCTAAATGGGAACAGACATTCCTGTTTTTTTGCCCAAATGTTGCCTTGTCCAAGACCACTCTGACCCACCATTCCTTCATCCTGTACCCATAAAAACCCCAAAAGCAGAAGAGTGGCAGAGTGGCAGAGGAGCAGAACAGTACAACAGAGAAGGAGAGAAGAGAAGGAGCATCTGAAAGTTGAGAGGAGTTTGTCTTGGGACATCAGAGAGATCAGCCACTGGATGGCCCAACTCCAGGGAAACATCATCTTCCCACTCCATCCCCTTTCCAGCACCCCATCCATCCCACTGAAAGCCACCTCTATCAATTAATAAAATCCCTGCATTCACCATTCTTCAAGTCTGCATGATCCAATTATTCCTGGACACCAGTGAAGGCCCAAGTACAAAGAGGGCAGGATGTAAAAGGCTGTTACCCTGACTCTCCACTGAGCTGGTTTAACACTTAGCCATCTGTGGACAGCAACTGCTAAAAGAGCATTAATTGTAACACACCCCTAGGGTGTGTTACAGTGGGCCACAGCCCAAAAGCACTCATCCCAACTCCTGCACCTGCCTGTCTGTGTGCTGCCCCTCACATAAGGGATTTGAGCTCAGGGCAGCCAGCTGGGCAAACAAACCATACTCCTGTCACAAGTCCCACAAAGGGGTCAGGAAACTCTCCTGTCTCAATTAGTGCATTCACATTTATGAGAGATATTGACCTTTACGGTATGTCTTTATTTTCGTTTGTTATTAAGGCAGCGCTGGCCTTATAGAATGAATTAGAAAGTGTTCCTTCTGTCTATATTTTTACAAGAGGTTGTGGAGAGTTAATATACTATTTTACTTAAATGCTTTGTAGAATTCATAGTGAACCCATCTGGACCTGGTGTTTCTGTTTTGGAGGACTATTGTCTATTCAGTTACTCTAATAGATATAGTCCTATTTGGATTATCTATTTCTTCTCATGTGAGTTTTGATAGATTGTGTTCTTCATGAAATTGGTGCATTTCATCTAAGTTGTCAGATTTGTGGGCCTAGAGTCTTTCATAATATTAATTTATTTTCCTTTTGCCCACAGGATCAGTAGTGATGGCTCCATTTTCATTTCTGAGAATGGTAATTTGTGTCACTTTTTTCTTGGTTAAATGCTCATTTTCCCTTCTGACATTTTTGTTTTCTTACGTACATAGACACACATGTGCACACACACATACTTTCTATTCTCGAGAGAGAGAGGTATAGAAATGCACATTGTGACAGACTGTTAGTCCTTCTGCTTTTGTTGGCAAACAATGTGAATAATATATAAAAAGGAAGCTCACTTACTTGACTATTATCAAACCCAGGCGTGCACCATGTGGAAATCAGGAGAATAATAACTGCCAGGCTTTTGATGGCCTCCTGTATACCCAAAGCAATAAATGGAAAGTAATTTGCTTTTTCATAAATTTCTAAAACTCCCCAAGATGGAACTTCACTGTATTTTTCAGAGAAATAAATTAAATTAGTCAACATAAGCTACAAAATATATGAAAAAATGTGAGGTTGTATTTTGAATCCATGTCTTTCAGACTTCAAAACCTATCCTCTGAAAATTCTTCTTTGTTGCTTGTGATAATTCAACCTCCATTGACCTGAGTTCTGAGTTCCAAGAAAAAATATCTAACTAGTATAGTTCTTGTTTTTTAGCACAAGATAAAATAAATAACACTTTCGTAGATACTGGAACTTAGCTACTTTTTAGCACATTAAGTTATTTTAATGCTGTTGCCTATTCCTAACGTTAGAGTTATGGTGAAAGAAAAAAAAAATAGTAAGTTGTGAAATTATTTTCAAAGCTTATTTGAAAGTATAAATTATTGTAATAAAAGTGGCATATGTTATGAATAAATCAATGAACAAATATGATTGATAAACTTTATTGATTATATGTCCAGAATTCTGCACTACTTATGTGTGATTTTATGCCATTAGTGAAGCCAGTGGTTATAAATCAGTTGCAGGGAGGGGAGACAGGTGCCTTAAGGTCATTGTCTTTACTGATGCATTTTTATTATCACTATTTGTTATTGACAGTTTCAATATTAGAAACTATTAGATATATCCCCTTAAATGACTTCTAGAAGCAAATTTTTTCCAGGTGATTTTGAAATGCCCTTTGAACAAAAGCTTCTTAAATAAATTTGAATAGACTGATCAAGGGCACATAATATATGTTTAACACAAAGAATATGAATTCAAAAAATAATCTTTCTGAAAATAACAAAATGATTATGATTAATTACATACATATACACATCTTCCATGAATCTCTGAATAAATTAGAAGTGGCTTACCTAAGTTCTTTACATTATATTTAATCTTATTAATTTCCTTTGTATAGGTATATGAGAAATGGTAGGCTTGATAGCCCCAGACCCTAGTCTAAGATAATATCAGACACAGAAGAGATACTTTACTCAGTCATTCTTCATCACCATACTTGTCAAGAGCATGCCCAAGAGGTGAACAGAATTTGCAATACATGGCAGGAGAAAGGTAAAGAGATCCAGAAAGAAAAGAAAGAGAAGAAATGGGAAGAAAGAAATGATAAAACAAAAAAACGAAAAAACAGCTTTAGAAGCAGTGGCTCTTTCTTTGCAGAGTAGAGTCGAATCTCCCATCTGATTTTTATTAGGTTTCCTTTTTGAAATGGGAAGATGAGTGGGAGAGGTGTGGGAGGATACAGGAGCAAAGCATGAGTAAATTGTTAGGGGAGAGAAACATTTCTTGAATGAGATGTTATAGATTGCTACACCATTTACTTAGGATATAGAGTATTTCTTTATTTGAATTTTCAGCCCTGATAAAATGTTTGTAATTTCTACACTGTCAGAGGAAAAGTCCCCATAGCATTTTGTAACTCCCAATTTGCATAGTTGATTTTACATGTTTTCAACAGTCTGTCAAGCTGCTGACAGCTGTAACATTTCTCCTCTGGAACACTGGAAAGACACTGTGTTGGAATATTGTGTTGGTAAATTAGCAAGCCATATTAGAATTCTGAGAGGGATGAAAGCAAATTTCTTTGCAGCTGCACATATGGGGCTGGTGGTTAAGGGCATGACTCACAGGTTTAGGATCTCTGGAAACAAATGCTTCTCAGTGTCAGATAAGTCTAAGCCAGTCTTACCTAGAAAACACTTAAAAAAGTAGTGCCTGGAAGTCACCTTAGATTAGTAAAATCAGAATCTCTCAGAGACCTGGGCATTCACACACACACACACACACACACACACACACACACACACACACAAAATCATATTTTATTTTAATATGTAGACAAGGTTTAGGGCAATTTTTCTAAGACATTAACAAGGGAAAGTAAGCTGAGGGAGACTAGGAGCTGGGCCAAGGACCATCACATATTGGTGGAGATCCATCTAGTATCTGGTACTGTCAGAACTCTTTGTTTTATTTATTTTTATTTTTAAATTTTTTTAGACACAGGGTTTCACTCTGTCACCCAAGCTGGAGTTCAGTGGCACAATCATGGATCACTGCAGCCTCGAGATCCAGGGCTCAAGCTATCCTCCCACCTCAGCCTTCCAAAGTGCTGGGATTATAGGCATGAACTACCACATCTGGCTATCAGTGTTTTATCCCTCACACCACTCCCACCCTTTCACCCAAGTCCCCAGAATCTATTATATCATTCTTACACCTTTGCTGCCGCATAGCTTAGCTCCCACTTATAATTGATAACATAAAATGTTTGTTTTTTCATTCCTGAGTGACTTCACTTAGAATAATGGTCTCCAATTCCATCCAGTTTGCTGAAAATACCACTATTTCATTCCTTTTTATGGCTGAGTAGTATTCCATGGTGTATATATGTATACATATATATATATACACACACACACACACACACACATATATACGTATATATATATACACACACACACACACACACACACACACACACACACACACACACACATATATATATATATATATATGCCACATTTTCTTCATCCACTCATTGGTTGATGAGCATTTAGGCTGATTCCATATTTTTGCAATTGCAAATTGTGCTACTACGTACAAATGTCTTTTTTGTATAATGACTTCTTTTCCTTTGGGTAGATACCCAGTACTGGGATTGTTGGATAAAATAGTAATTCCTACTTTAAATTATTTAAGGAATCTCCATACTGTTTTCCATAGTGCCTATACTAGTTTACATCTCTATCAGCAGTGTAGAAGTGTTCCTTGTTCACCGCATCCACATAAACATTTATTATTTTTTGATTTGTTGATTATGGCCATTCTTGCAAGAGAAAGATGGTATTGCATTGTGGTTTTGATTTGCATTTCCCTGATCATTAGCGATGTTGAGCATTTTGTAAAATACCTATTAGTCATTTGTATATATTCTTTGATAACGTCTATTCATGTCCTTAGCCTACTTTTCGATGGAATTATTATTATTTTTTTTGCTTATTCTTTGAATTCCTTGTAGATTCTGGATATTAGTCTTCTGTGGGATGCACAGTATGTGAACATCTTCTCCTATTATGTGGGTTGTCTGTTTACTCTGCTGAGTATTTCTTTTGCTGTACAGAAGCTTTTTAGTTTAAGTCCCATTTATTTATCTTTGTATCTTTTGTATTTGCCTTTGGGTTCTTGGTCATGAACTCCTTGCCAAAGCCAATGTTGTTTTAGTCCGTTAGCATACTGCTATAAAAAACTACATAAGACTGGGTAATTTATAAAAATAAAAAAAAAAAACTACATTTTTTTTCCCCTAGGCCTCCATCCTGTGATGGGAGGAGCTGCCATGAACATCTCTGAAATGCTCTGGAGACATTTTCCCCATTGTCTTGGCTATTAGCATTTGGTTCCTCATTACTTATGCAAATTTCTGTAACCAGCTTGCATTTCTCCCTAGAAGATGGGGTTTTCCTTTTACCACATGGTCAAGCTGCAAATTTTCCAAACTTTTATGTTTTGCTTCTCTTTTAAACATAAGTTTCAATTTTAGATCATGTCTTTTTGAATGCATATGACTGTACACTTTCAGAAAGTGCAAGGTCACCTCTTGAATGCTTTACTGTTTAGAAACTTCTTCCACCAGATACCCTAAATTATCTCTCTCAAGTTCAAAGATCTACAGGTCTCTAGAGCAGGGGCAAAATGCTTCCAGTCTCTTTACTAAAGCATAGTAAGTGTGACCTTTGCTCCAGTTCCCAATAAGATCCTTATTTTCATCTGAGACCACCTCAGCCTGGATTTCACTGTCCATATCACCATCAGCATTTTCGTCAAAACCATTCGACAAGTCTCTGGAAAATTTCAAACTTTCCTGCATATTCCCGTCCTCTTCTGAGCCTTCCAAACTGTTCCAACCTCTGCCCATTGCTTGGTTCCAAAGCTGTTTCTACATTTTCAGGTATCTTATAGCAATGCCCCAATTATCTCGGTACTAATCTTTTGTATTAGTCCATTTTTGCACTTCTATAAAGAACTACTTGAGATTGGGTGATTTATAAAAGGGAAGTTTAATTATCTCACAGTTCTGTATGGCTGGGAAGACCTCAGAAAACTTAGAATTATGTCAGAAGGTGAAGGAAAAGCAAGGCATGTCTTACATGGAGGCAGAAGAGAGAGAGAGAGGGTAGAACTGTCAAACACTTTAAAACAATTATATGTCCTGAGAATTCATTCACTATCATAAGAACAGCGTGGGTTTGGTTTGTTCTTGTTTCTCTAGTTCCTTGAGGTGTGAGGTTAGGTTTTCAGACTTTTTGATGTAGCTGTTTAATGCTATGAACTTTCCTCTTAGCACTGCTTTTGCTATATCCCAGAGTTCTTTATAGGTCATGTAACTATTATTGTTCAGTTCAAATAAATCTTAAATTTCCATCTTAACGTCATTGTTTGCCCAAAGATCATTCAGGAGCAGGTTATTTAATTTCCATGTGTTTGCATTGTTTTGAGGGTTTCTTCTGGAGTTGATTTCCAATTTTATTCCACTGTGGTCTGACATAATTTCAATTTTTTAACATTTATTGAGACTTGTTCTGTGGCCTGTCATATGGTCTATCTTGGAGAATGCTCCATGTGCTGATGAAAAGAATTTATATTCTGCAGTCATTGGGTAGAATGTTCTGTCAATATCCTTTAAGTCCATTTGTTCTAGGGTATTGTTTAAGTCCATTGTTTCTTTTTTGACTTTCTATCTTGATGACCTGTCTAGTGCTGTCAGTGGAGTATTGAAATCCCCCACTATTAATGTGCTGCCATCTATGTTATTTCTTAGGTGTAGTAGTAATTGTTGTATAGATTTGGAAACTCCAGTATTAGGTACATATCTATTTAGGATGGCAATATTTTCCTGTTGGACTTTCCTTTTACCATTATATAATGTCTCTCTTTGTCTTTTTTAACTGTTGTTGCTTAAAGTCTCTTTTGTCTGAGATAAGAATAGTTACTCCTGCTCACTTTTGGTTTTCATTTGCATGGAATATCTTTTTCCACCCCTTTACCTGATGTTTATGTGAGTCCTTATATTTTAGGTGAGTCTCTTGAAGACAGCAGGTACTTGATTGGTGGGTTTTTATCCATTCTGCAATTCCATATCTTTTAAGTGGAGCATTTAGGCCATTTACATTCAATGCTAGTATTGAGATATGAAGTACTGTTCTACTCATTATGCTAGTTGTTGCCTGAATACACTGGGATTTTTTTTCATTGTGTTATGGTTTTATAGACCCTTTGAGATATACACTTTAAGAAGGTTCTATTGTGGTGTATTTCAAGGTTGTTTTTCCAAGATTTAGAATTCCTTTTGTCATTTCTTGTAGTGCTGGCTTGGTAGTGGTGAATTCTGTCAGCATTTGTTTGTCTGAAATAGACAAACAAATCTTTTTTTTACCTCTTCTTCCTTTATAAAGCTTAAATTATCTCTTCTTCATTTATAAAGCTTAGTTTCACTGGATACAAAATTCTTGGCTGAAAATTGTTTTGGTTAAGGAGGCTGAAGATCCCAATCCCTTCTGGTTTGCAAGGTTTCCACTAAGAAAACTGCCGTTAATCTGATAGGATTTCCTTGATGGTTTACCTGATGCTTCTCTCTTACAGCTCTTCAGATTTCATTTGTCTTGACTTTAGATAACCTGATGACTATGTGCCTAGGTGTTGATCTTTTTGTGATGAATTTCCTGGGTGTTCTCTGTGCTTCTTGTACTTGGAAGTCTACATCTCTAGCAAGACTAGGGAAATTTTTCTCAATTGTTCCCTCAAATAAATTTTCCAGACCTTTGGATTTCTCTTTTTCCTCAGGAACACCAACTATTCTTATGTTTGGTCCTTTACCATAATCCCAAGCTTCTTGGAGGCTTTCTTCATTTTTAAAAATTATTTGTCTTTGTTAGATTGGGTCAGTTCAAAAGCCTTTTCTTCAAACTCTGAAGTTCTTTCTTCTACTTGTTTGATTCTATTGTTGAAACTTTCCAGTGTATTTTACATTTCTCTATGTGAGTCTTTCATTTCCAGAAGTTACGATTGTCTTTTCTTTACAATATCTGTTTCTCTGGAGAATTATCTTTCAATATCCCGTATTTTTTTTTTAATTTCTTTAAGTTGTTTTTCACCCTGCTTTTATGCCTTTTTGAGTAGCTTAACAGTCAACCTTCTGAATTCTTGATCTGGCAATTCATAGATTTCTTCTTGATTTGGATCCAATGCTGGAGAGCTAATAAGGTGCATTGAAGGTGTTATAGAAACTTGTTTTGTCATATTACCAGAGTTGTTTTTCTGATTCCTTCTTATTTTGTAGACTGTTTCACTGGAAAGACATAGAAGTCAAGATCTGCTGTTCAGATTCTTTTGTCCCATGGGGTTATCCCTTGATGTGGTGCTCTCCCCTTTCCTCTAGGGAAGTGGCTTCCTCAGAGCCAGACTGCAGTGATTGCTATTGCCCTTCTGAGTCTAGCCACCCAGTGGGGCTACCGGACTCCAGGCTGGTGCTGAGGAATGTTTAAAAAGAATCCTGTGATATGATCCATCCTGAGATCTCCCAGTTGTGGATACCAGTACTGCTCTTGTCGTTAAGTGGCAGGAGAGTGAAGTGGACTCTGTTAGAGTCCTTGGTTATAGTTTTGTTTAGTGAAATGGTTTTCTCAAATGTGGGTTATGCTAGCAGTGAAGTTGTCACATGGATAGACTCAGGACCTCTGTTTAGCCAAGGTGTTGCAGGTGGTGAAATTAGCTGTTGTTACCTTCTTTGGAGCAAGGTTGCTCTGTTATGAGTTGCTTAGTGGCTTGAGTTGCTTGGCCTCCAGTCAGGAGGTGTTGATTTCAAGAGAGCACCAGCTGCAGTAGTAGAAGGATGATATAGGCTTGCCCTACATTGTCTAGGACAAGTGTTCAGTTTTCTCAGGTGATGGGTGAGGCATAGAGCTCCCAAGAGTTTATGTCTTTTGTCTTTGGCTACCAAGGTGGGTAGAGAAAAACCATCAGGTGGGAGTAGGGTTGATGGGTCTGAGTTCAGAATCTCCTTGGGCGGGGCTTGCTGCAGTGGAGTTTTTCAACTGTCTTGCAGTATTTGCAGCAGCAAGCCACTGCTTTTAAAGGGTCCACAAATTCTTACAGTCTTCCTGTTGTGTTCCTGCAGTGGTTCTTGGAGCAAAAGTTCTCAATGTGTGTCTCCAGACGCTGTTCTGTCCATGCAAGCAGGAGCTGCACATTAGTCCTATCTCCTATCAACCATCTTTTCCTCCATCTACCCATAAATTTTTATTTTCCAACAATAACTCCTAAAGTACACCAAATGTCAGTGGATGAACAACTAAGCTACAGGCTTATTTGCAAAAGTAACCTGAGGCTTTGAAAACACCAGTAAATGCAAACAATCAATATCATGTTAAGCAAAAGTTATATCTAAGTACAGAGGGTCCCCAACTTACAATGGTTCAGCTTATAATTTTCCAGCTTTACAATGGTGCAAACATGATATGTATTCTGTAACAACTGTACTTTGAATTTTGATCTTTTTTTCTGGGCTAGCAATATGCAGCACAATACTCTCTGGTCGGGGTGATGCTGGGCAGCAACAATGAGTGACAGCTCCCAGTCTGCCACGTGATGATGATGGTTAAACAACCAATATTCTGCAGTGTATGGTGTGGCCAGCACTTTATAGATAATTATGAAAAGGAAAAACTGTACAGTCAAAACTTAATATCTTCCTGAAGAACACTGTGCCTACTACTCTTAAGCCTCATCAAAAGAGAGAGAAATTGATGACCCTGTTGCTATAGCATCCCCATCATCCAGCTATTAATTTTAGTTCAATTCTTCAAACACTCTCCAGGCCTAGTGTGCTTTTGGCTGTGTACATGAATGATGAACACTCATATTCTCAGTATAGTATTCAATAGTTTAAATAAGATATTCAACACTTTATTATACAATATGTTTGTGTTGGATGATTTTTCTCAACAGTAGACTAATGTATGTATTCTGAGCATGTTAAAGGTAAGTTGGAGTAAGCTATGATATGTGGCAGGCTATGTGTATTAAACACATTTTCAACTTAAAATATTTTCACCATAGGATGGGTTTATTGGGCCTGTAACATCATCATAATATGAGGAGTATCTGCAGTATATCTGGCTCAATTAAGATAACCTCTTGGCAATCACATTCTCTCTTTATTTCGTTTTATATGACTGCACAAATTGAATTCTTGCTCAAGAAAAAGAGAAAGTTAAGGGAAAGTGGAGGTTTGAGAGATATCAGAATCTGGTGGCATGCCTCCCTCTTATGTTCTGAGCCTGTGGATATTTCTTTAAAGACTCCCTTTAAGGGGGACACACGCTGAGTGTTCTATTGCAGCACTTGAAAATTACTAGAGCTCAGCCTGGATCTGTGGTGTCACTGTAGGTGGCTGTCTAGTCATAAGCCAAGAATCCTGCAGGAGGACAAAAACAAAAGACAGCTGTAGGCCAAAGAAAGCTCTGGACTGACACCCAGAATTCTAGTTAAAGAAGCAGGTGGTTTGGATGTGTGCCTTCACCAGGGATCTGAGGTTAAGGGGGTGGGGAAGATATTTGGCTTTCTGGCTGATTACTGGGTGAAGAGAATAGGAGGCAGAAATGCCATCTTTTAATGGCATCAATGCAGATAATAAAGAATTCTAGGGTACAGCCACAGAATTTGGGATAGCATCAGGGAGTGACCATTGAAATGAAAACTATTAATAGTGGAGACGAAATAGATCTAATTTTTCTCTGTGGAAATCTTAATAGAGGAGAAAGGAATTCAGCCCAATAAGATTTGAATGACATCTCAAGGGCTTTATAATCTATCCTAAAAAAGATGACAATTTAGTATAACTATGTAGTAATAAATACATAAATGGGTATGTACATGAACACATATAGACATAAACATGTCTCTATTTCTTTACATATATACACACATACATAATAACCACGTAAATACAACTGTTGAAATGTATATGTAACAGAACTATATAGGTAAATATGTAGATAAATATTGTTAATAAATATAACTCTAAAATCTACAGAATGGAAGGAAATTACAACTTTCCTGTTATGGGATTGTTTTGGAAGAGGAGTCAGTAAGGCACCGATGTGTGACAAAATTCACTGAGTCGTCTGGACATCCCAGGCACAGGTGATCCTGACCAATTGCTGTGACAAGTCTTGACTTTTTTGGTTGTTGTTTTTGGTGTATCACTTTAATGAGACCATTAGAAGTGAAGATAAAGATAAGTAGAGACTGTTTACTTGGCTGAGGCCTAAGGGCAATTTTAAAAAATCTAAAAAAAGTGCTTTGATTAAGATACGGTGTTCTATAAAGTAATGTAAGGTGGATTAATTTTAGTTGAATCATGTGCATGTGAATTAAATTTTTTCTAAAGCTAAATTTATTCTTGTTTCTGCCAGAACATTTTTTTCACCAGATACTTATCTTTATTTTCTTATTTAAACATTTGTTGCAAGGCATTCAGTATCTGAAATCATGGTTCTAGAGAGATGCAGACCTGGTCTTTCTATTTTGTGCTGAAAAAATGATGTGAAAAGTATCTAAATTAGCCTGGTTGTGTTGCTGTCTGGGCTGTAGTACAGGTGTCTCTGCCCTACTGCCATTTAAAAGTGAATAACCCAGACTTCAAAAATGCACTGTTCTTCCCCATCCTGGACCAATGCCATACTCTTTTGTTGAAAATAAGATTATTTTATTTGAGTGAGGGCTCTTTTTGTCATTCTTGGGCAGGAAAGTAGGCATGATTAAGATTGGGATACAAAAATATTTTCTTCCATACAGGAGTCTAGGGAAAGTTTACCCTCATTCTTAGGAATGGGGGTTTGGGAAGTTCATAGTGCTTGGAGTAAGCTGGCCCAGCCACATTGAGACAGATTGTGATGATAAATATATGTTCACCAAATCAGAAAAGAAATCTTTTTAAATTGCTTCTGTTATTAGAAAAATTTTAGAGATCAAAGAACGGCCAGCTGGGTATTTGGATAAAGTATTTTGTGAGCAGGTAGGGTGAGGCAAGGAAGGATAGGCTTCTAGTAAGAACTGTGAGGAGTGAAAGCTGGTAAGAAACAGATGGTAAACAGGATTTAAGAAATACTGGCTGGTTTATATTGGCTCTCTCTGACATTTTTAAAGAAAGGCCTGCAAATATATGAATTATGATTAATAAGTTTCATTTGTTGTTTGTGCTTCTGTGAATGTGTAACTATAGAGAGACATGGGCTCTATGCTTATATTTGAATGGCAAAGAACCCATAATTATTTGAATACATATGCAATTTACAGTTTGTTGGTTAGCTTGCTTGCTTGTTAACAATAGCTTTAACTGGGAAGAGGTACAGTTTTCCCTTTGTCTAGATAGAAGATTATTTGACTTTCCTAGATTAGAGTCTGATGAGGGAAGGAATAGAATAGATTAAATTTTCAAAGAGACTGTATACAGTTGATGAGATTCATTTGGTGAGTGGAGCTTTTGACAAGTGGCAGAGAGTAGTAGCTCAGGACTATAACATGTAGTGTGAGTGTGTGGGATTACTGACCGGGCATTTTCATTGCAACAGGATGCTTTTGCTCAACGTATGCCTTACCTTTAGTAAACCATATTAAAGCTTCATTGGGCTTCTTCTGTATCGGGGAACCTGCCCCGATATTCACGTAGGTTCTTTTCTATTTTCCCTAAGCATCGGCCAGCTTGAGAAATAAAGGGACAGAGTACAAAAGAGAGAAATTTTAAAGCTGGGTGTCCAGGGGAGAAATCACATGTCGGTAGGTTCTGTGATGCCCGACAAGCTGCAAAAACCAGCAATTTTTGTTAGGGATTTTCAAAAGGGGAGTGAGTGTGTGAATAGGTGTGGGTCACAGACATCAAGTACTTTACAAAGTAATAGAATATCACAAGGCAAATGGAGGCAGGGCAAGATCACAGGACCACAGGACCGGGGTGAAATTAAAATTGCTAATGAAGTTTCGGCCACCATTGTCATTGATAACATCTTATCAGGAGACAGGGTTTTGAGAGCAACCAGTCTGACCAAAATTATTAGGTGGGAATTTCGACTTCCTAATAAGCCTGGGAGCGCTATGGGAGACTGGGGTCTATTTCACCCCTGCAGTCTTGACCATAAGAGACAGGCACACCTTGGGGGGGGAGCCGTTTATAGGACTATACCTCCAGACGTGTATTCTCTTTCCCAGGGATGTTCCTTGCTGAGAAAAAGAATTCAGTGATATTTCTCCCATTTGCTTTTGAAAGAAGAGAAATACGGCTCTGTTCCACCTGGCTCACTGGTGGTCAGAGTTTAAGGTTATCTCTCTTATTCCCTGAACAATTGCTCTTATCCTGTTCTTTTTTCAAGGTGCCCAGATTTCATATTGTTTAAACACACATGCTCTATAATTTGTGCAGTTAATGCAATTATCACATGGTCCTGAGGTGACATACATCCTCATCAGCTGACAGGATTAAGAGATTAAAGTAAAGACAGGCATAGGAAATCACAAGGGTATTGATTGGGGAAGTGATAAGTGTCCATGAAATCTTTACAATTTATGTTTACAGATTGCAGTAAAGACAGGCATAAGAAATTATAAAAGTATTAATTTGGGGAACTAATACATGTCCATGAAATCTTCACAATCCACGTTCTTCTGCCATGGCTTCAGCCGGTCCCTCTGTTTGGGGTCCCTGACTTCCTGCAACACTTCTGGAAGCCAAAAATAAGCTAGGTTCTTTTTCAGATTGGCATGAAGGTGTGAAGGTGGGTCTGAGATGAACTAAAACATTCCTCTTGGGTTTAGGAACAAAAACAAAGAGACTAATAAGAAATTAAGTTAAATAATTCATCGAGAGTATATGTTGGACATGAAATTTGCCTAGGTTGCAAAATCAAGGGATCAAAGCAAGATTATCTAAATTGCTAAAAGGTTAAAATAGCCCTTAGAGTAGAAAAACGCTTGAGAGTAAAAGGACATAGAGAACAAAATTTCTTGCCATAGGGGGAACTATATGTAGAACATCGTTAGTTCAAAAAAAGTAAAATGGCTGGGTGTGGTGGCTCTTGCCTGTAATCCCAGCATTTTGGGAGGCCAAGGTGGGTGGATCGCCTGAGGTCAGGAGTTCGAGACCAGTCTGGCCAACATGATGGAACCCCGTCTCTACTAAAAACATAAAAAATTAGTTGGGCATGGTGGCAGGCGCCTGTAATCCCAGCTACTTGTGAGGCTGAAGCAGGAGAATTGCTTGAACCCAGGAGGTGGAGGTTGCAGTGAGCCAAGATCTTGCCATTGCACTCCAGCCTGGGCAACAAGAGTGAAACTCCATCTCAAAAATAAGTAAATAAATAAATAAAGTTTTTTTAAAAAGTGAAATAATTGACATTCTCTGGAAGATAACATAAAGAATGAAAAATAGAGCAGCAGAACTCTAAGTATTATGGGGAATAAATCAGTATCCTGATCAGTCAGTGACTACATATATGGGAGGCAAGTAATTAATGACTTAGAAAGTAAGAAGTTGAAAATTCAAAAGTAAATAGAGAAGGAGGTGCATGGCACAAAGCAATTTTGTTTTAGAAGTAATAAACTGACACATCGAGATCCAGACACTTCTCACTGTCTTTGCAAATATCAGAAAGAGGCTTCTGAGTCGATAAGAATGTTTGTTTATCTTGAACATGAGCCAAATAGTAGCAACAATTGGCAGAAGATTGTGCATGAAAAAGGAGGCTGGGGAATCAGGGACATATGTTTGTTGTGAGAAAATGCTATTGCCCATGTACAGGGCCCTCTCCAGAGGGATCTGGATATCAGGGCAAATCTATCACACACACAATCCCTCCCCTATCATTTTTATACAGTTGAACTTGGATTGAATTACATAACTTTTTCTTTAAAAGAAAAACAGAAAAGCAAGAGCCTCAAAAAAGCAGCTCATAATTTCAGAAAATGTGTCAGAGTGGTGGAGAATGTATGGATTGATTGTAATAATAATAAAGCTAATATTTCTTAAATAATATATGCCAAGCAATGTGCTAAACATGCTATATATGCATTGTTTCACTTCATGAGCATAACAAACTTGTATATAAATTATAATAGTATCTTTATTTTGTGGAAATAAAGTATGAAGAAGTAAAAGCACTTTGCCCAATTATCAAACAGTTATTAAAGATTTATGATATGACAATAACTATTGTAAGAATTTCTCATACTTTAGGTCATTTAATTCTTATTAGATGCTACCTTTGAGTAATATTGCTCCCATTTAAAAGATCATAATACAAAATAGGTGAGTTTAAAAATCCAATTAGCACACCCTAGAGTCTGTATGTTTAACTTTTGAAATAGGCTGCTCATATTTTTTGCCCGTGAGCCTGACTGAAGAAGACATCCTCAGACCTTTGTGTGCCCATTAACCAGATCATGAATTTAAGACTCCTCCCATGGCAGTGACAACTACAGAGGTTGTCATATAGTGAAGAATAATGGAAGCAAAACATTGTAGCTAAATTATTATCTTTACATATTACCAACTTTTATAGTGGTGTAAAAATAACAATAGGTAAGTAAAGGGACGATTCATGTGTAGTTAACTGATTTCTATCTTAAAAAGTATAAAATTTATCCTAAAATATGACTATTAACTTTTTCCAAGACTATCATGCATGATATAAAATTATTTAGACTCCACTTTATAAAACATTTAGAAATATACTTTTCTTAATAGAAAGCCAGAAGGTGTGGTGCTCACATTGCATTTCTTTGTAAAATTTTCATCAATCTCCAAAAATATAAAATGTGGCGAGTTCTTCATTGTGTCAAAATTAAGTAGTGTGCAAATATAAACATATATAAATAAATAATCCCCCTACACAACAGCTTTATGACAGCATCCAGTTCTCTAGATTAATTTATAATTTACTTCATGAAATCCAAAGACTTGAACTTACTGATGTAGTGTATCTCTCTATCTTTATATAGAATGATACAAAGTTGTGCTATGAATAACAACAACAACAAAATCACAGGAGATGAATGCAAGGACCTCTAGACATTTACAGAAATCAAAGTATCTTTAAAGTGTCTGCAAGGCAAATTTCAGAAGTGACAGATTTTATTTTAATCATTTATTTTTTGTTACACAACTTTTTAAACTATGGATGACAATTACTCGTCTGGTTTAGTAACAAATTAATGAGTATCTGACTATTTAACAGATGTACTCTTCTGAGGATTCGTCTTATTAAAATAGTCAGATGTTGATATAGAGCTATAAAATCATTAACTATAATTTCAGGCCTAAGATCAGTACTTGTGACATTGTACCTGTACATTGAAGTTTACCTAGGATTTACCAACATCCTGAAGATTTCTGCAACAGATACTCTATAAATTTTTTCCCTTGTTTATATCAAAACTAAAACTTTTTCTGACAACAGAAAAATAATATAGTGGAAATTCAGATACAGGGCAAAAGCATGCTTCACTCAATCATTTATTTTCCCTGTTCTGGAAGACTGATTAATATATTTATAGTCCCCGATAAAAGCCTACTCTCCACCTATGTCCTCCTAGATATAAGTGAATAGTTAACAAATACCATTAAGTGAAATTCATCAATACACTAGCCAGTCTTCCTGCCTCGTTGCTCATTGAAGAATGAGTTACTATGGGAACAGTGGCAGATTTGTGAAGAGCCCAGTAAAAATATTACACTTTAACAGGGATTCCTAGCACTTCATCCCTGAGAACATGTTGGCTTAAAATCTGACATTTTCAGAAGCAAAACATTTAAAAAGTCATCTAAAAGCTGTGCTTTAAAGACATATTTTTCATCATTTTTTAAAAAAGAAAACAGCTCTCATTCAGAAGGCTACAAAATTCTAATTGACGTGTGTCATATTCATATAGATATTTTGGTACACATTTAATTTGACAAGAGTGCAAAATGAATTTATCTATGGAAAACCTATTAAGATGGAGTCAATTACAAACAACAATAAACTTTTTTAGAACTAATACCTAATTAAAATAAAAAAGAATAAGCAGTGCAGCCGGTTGTTTTGTTTGTCCGTGATAGCAACTGGCTTGATCACAAGGGATTCTCACTTCAAATGTTTGAAGCCTCTATCTACATCTTGACAACTATTATCTTGGGTTCCTCCCTTTTATAACATTCTACTTTTACTAAGTCTTTTTTTTTTCTCATAAAGATATCTGTACCTGAAATAATTAATCCACAGAGCTATTCAGTATCAACAATATACTTTGCAATTTATTGTTTCCAAATGATCACACTTCCCAAATGGTCAAGAATGAAGTAAAAAGCTGAAACAAGTAATTAAACATTTTCTTTAAAAAATGTGAAACAAATGGCTTCTATTAATACACACTCCAACAATAGTTTTGGTATTTTGTGTCAGTGTTGATAAATATTACAAATACAAAATGTATCAGAGTCTGTTAAGTTTCAATGTCCTGTGTTCCTTTTTTCACAGTGTGGATATCAATTTGTCCAGAAAATACTAGGAAAAATTCCCCTTTCTTCACTGTTGAATTCCAAGTGTCTAGCAGAGTACTTGATACATAAGTGATGTCAATAAGTATTAACTAAATGGATGAATAAATAAGCGTTCTCATTAGGTAGAAGAAATTGAAGAGAAATAAACAGAAATGAGTAATTGTTTAGTGCCCACTTATGTGATGTCAGGTGTTATGTTTTATGTTGTCCATCTTACCTGTTCTCAAAAACTATTCAAGAGAGTTGGGGAAGAATAAAATGAATTGCTTAATTAATTGTTAGCAATCAAAATTCAATATCTCATTTTTCATAAAGCAACAACAGAGAAAATTTTATTTTCATTTCTAATTTTTTCACTTTTAATTACTGCATTTAGAAAGGTATCCTTGCCTGGCATAAATGTTTTTTAATGACTATTAAAACCTTATTTATAACTACTGTCACCGTTATACTAATTTGTGTAGCATTTGAGTATCAGAACCAATGATAAATATTTTGTCAGATAAGGGAAAATGCCCCATGGATTTGCAAAGGTTGTTATCTTTTGAGGTAATTATGACATATAAGAAGGCATTTGAGCAGTTGATAAAAAGAGAATTGTAATTATAATTATTGACTGACTTTTCTGTTCCTCTAAAAATGAAAAAGTGAGAGTAAATGACAAAAGGTTCTTTCTTTCCAGTAATCTCAACTAAACATACATCTTCAAGTATTGTTTTCCTAGACTAACAGCAAAATGAACAAAGGTGTTTTGATTTTGGAGCCCAGAGGGCTTAATTCTCATGTAAATTGATTTCCATTGTTTCTCCTATTGAGAATCTGTGTCTCCATACAGTACTCTTCCATGATTTAATTAACAAGTATTAATTAAATGTATCCAGAGTTTATTCAAGGATAGTATATTCTAGCAACATTTACAATCTATTTGAAATCCTTTTTTACATTGCTGCTGGTTCTGAAAAACAAGATCTGCCACCATGTCAGGGACCTGAGCAATGAAATAACATGAAAACTAGTTTTCCTTGATTTATGGAATGAATGAGACCAACAGTGCTAAAGACATCCATTTTTTTTAACGACCTTAGATTGAGCTGTGATTCTCTCTGAACTTGTTTCAGGTGCCCCTCCAACTGCACTTAAATCTGGTTCAATATTCTTACCTCTGACTTTGACTTTATAAAAAAAATTGGGTTCTAGGATATCCTGTGAAGGCTGACTAGTGAAATATGTACACATATTTTCTTTAAAAGTTTCATATTTATTATGGAAAAAAACGGCACTTATTTTTCACCAGTGTGGTTTCAGTTTACTGCAATTCAACAAATATCCTCTAGTACTTCTGCTAGGCAGGCAGTATTCAAAGACAAAAGAGGCCAGACCAATGACTTCCAAGAGCTTATTTAGTTTTAACACTATCCATGTTGGTAGCTCCTTATATTTTACTCATCAGGCAAGACCATTGATTGGTAGTTTTATTGATGTGTGGATTGCACTATTTCCCAACGAGTTCAGCTTCATCATATGTCAATTGAGTTAAAGTGTAAGATCCTTGGGAATTGTGTTTACTCACCTTTTAATCTGAGTGCCTAGCAGAGGGCCTGTCATATAGTAAGTATGAATACACATGAGTTGAACAAATGTCTTTTGTGGAATAAGACATGATTCTTTCTGCAGGTGTTATCATTCACAGGGAGGAGAAATCAAAGCATTCACAAAATACAGGTGGCTATGTCTTCCCTTTCAGGATTTTAATGTGGTTTTCATTAACAATATAAGCATTCTAAAAACTTGTTTCTATTTATTTTTGAAAGTTTCTTCTATTTCATTGCCTAAACTATTCTTCTTTGGTTTCTTCCTGCTCAAATTGTTTGATGATGTGAATTGGTGAGTATTAATCATCCACCCTAGAAGTTCTTCTCACTGCTTACACATGTAATCAATAGTAGAAGGAGAAACTCTATGTTGTCATGTTGGAATAGCTTTCAAAATACCAAGGAAAGAGTTCAGAAACAGAAACACTCAACAAGTCTGCCTGGCCAGCAAGATAAGCAATGACTTTATACTCCCTAGCACGAATTAAAACATTAATTCCAACAGCTTTGTTGTAACAGTGGTTTATCACAAATCCTCAGTGTTCAATTTTTCAGCATTTGCCAAATGTACTGCCTAGACATATGGTAATGATTCACTTTGAATATTCAAATGCTTGATCTTTCTATTGCATTTTAAAATTCATATAGTAACAAAATAATTTTGGTTTCCTTTGGCAGTTTTACTATCCTCATGAAATGTTTCTTTAGGGATCTTTATACTTCTTATTTTGAGAGAAATGGCCTTCTCTATGAACATGTATCTGCTGGTTATTACAGAGATACAAAACATGAAACAGCATGTTTTGGCACCTATGAAGAACAAAATCTAAAAAACAAAATATCTGTTGGATGCATACACATTTTCTGTTATTTCATTTGGAAGAAAAATTGGCTCTTTTATTGTTCAAGATAGTCTCCACATGAGTTATGTAATCTCCACTTCTCCACATAAGTTATATAATCTCCACTTAAAATTTGCCAACAGCAATAAATTTGGTTAGAACAAAATATCTTGGTTAAAAATATTCAAAGTCATTTAAATGAAATTTGCTAATCTCAAATGCTATAGACTTTAAGTTCTTTATTCTAATGTTTGGAGAGGATTTATAAGCCCGTCTTTAAGGATCAATCCTTATTCAATTTTGTTATTTTTCAACATGAATAACCAAAGGACTTAGAATTCTAAGAAATGATGTTGGGATATGAGTAGCAGACGGGTGATCTATCAAAACGCCTTCTAACTCAGAATATTTGACTTGATGACCAGACTGAGTTGATAACATATTTCAAACATAGATTCAGAAACAATTTTGCAACTTCTAAGTGTGTGGTATAAGAAGAAAAACAGTGAAACCCACAAGCCTTAACCATAGTTTTCACAATGGATAGGACCTATTTGTTGGACATTTTTAAAAGAAATGTAATATTAAGCCATAATTTAATTATGATTATACTGCCATAAATATAGCTGTTTTACTTATATTGTCTTATTCAAACTATCCAATTGCATAATTTCCAACTTTTTAGAATAGTTTGTGTATATCTAGAATACAAAAACTAAAGAACAAAACTACTGGCCGGGCGCAGTGGCTCACGCCTGTAATCCCAGCACTTTGGAAGGCTGAGGCAGGTGGATCACTTAAGTTCAGGAGTTTGAGACTAGCCTGACCAACAAGGTGAAACCCCATCTCTACTAAAAATACAAAAATTAGTCAGGCGTGGTGGCAGACACCTGTAGTCCCAGCTACTCGGAAGGCTGAGACAGAAGAATTGCTTGAACCTGGGAGGTGGAGGTTGCAGTGAGCCAAGATCGCACCACTGCACTCCAGCCTGGGCGATTGAGTGAGACTCCGTCTCAAAAAAAAAAAAAGAAAATTACTATGTTTTCTTCTCTCTAAACCATTTTACAATAATTTTTTTAATTCTCTACTTTGTAGTTAAATCATTTTTTTCCATGTTTATTGGTTTGTTTAAATTTGGTTCCACATAGCATATTTTTTGTATCAGCCACATAGAGGGGATACTCACCCAACCCATCCAACGCACCATACGCTCATAGTTGAGGAAAATGGTGCAGGAGTCCATGTGAAGAATAAGCCATGTGTCATTCATAGTATTCAAATTACTGGATTGCCTGGAAGAGTCAGCTAAGTGAAGCTGAGGATTGAGAAAAAAAATGATCTAGAGAATCACTTCAAATAATTGTCAATGGTGGTTTAAGATGAGCATCTTTATCTTTTATGAAGAAAAACACTTACGAAAGTGATAAAGTCCTAACCTTCTGCTTTGATAAGAAATTATATTGATAAAATAATTTACCAAAAATAAAGATGAAAGGTGTATTTTATAAGTAAGTGAAAAACAGTAACATTGGTACATGAGATGAGAAAATTGGCACAAAAAAATCTCAATTTCTCCATTTTAACCAATGAAAACTTGAATTAAGTGATCACTAAGGAGGTCCCCTGTTACTTTAAGATTTCATGAGAGTATATAAGTTATCAAAGAAGCATAATTTTATAAATCACAGAGGTTACAAAGGTATCAGTAACCTATGGTAGCACCTGACTTTTCTTCTACATTAACAATGGTGGTACATCAAGACGGTTAGGAGAAGGTGAAACAAACAAACAAAAACAGTTAGCAAAGATGATCAAGGGGTTAAATGATTGAGAACTTGTCAGTCACTAAGGTCCCAGAGTTAACTAAGCCCAAGTGATTAAAAATTCCATGATATAATTACAGGTTGTAGTGTTAAGTATTTGGGCCAAAAAGTAAAAAGAATCCAAATGCTGCCTACCCTCACTAACTAACTAGAGACAGACAGAAGCATTTTTTTTCCATAGTAGCTTTGTAACATGGGTGCCAAGCAATTATGTATAACTTAATTTTCAAGCTCACAATCATCAGTGTTATTATTCACAGAAACAGCTTCCTAGCGGATAAAAAATTATATAGAATCTTGGAAAAATGAAAATGTTTAGAAAGACTTGTTTTTAAAAGTCTATTGTTAGCTTTTTCTCTCTTACTCGCTTACTCTCTCCGTCTCCCACTTTCTCTCTTTCTCTGCGCCATGTTATTGAGTGAATGCCAACTACATGCTAGGATATGAGCTCTTTGGATGACCTAGTTAAAATCGGCTTGTACTTCGTCAGTTCAAAATCAAAGACCCGAGAGGCTGAGTGCGGACTCTGGAGGTCGTTTATCTCAGACCCCTGCCTTGAGGAGTCACTGTTCTAACCCATCCTAGACTGAGGTTGGACGAGTCATTTCCAAAGGACCCCAGGGTGCTATAGAAGCTGTGTTGCTGACTCAGTTCTCTGCATTCTCCTTCGCAGTCAGGATCCAATCAAAGTTCCTGAGAGGTGGAAAGGCCACCGCACGTTTAGATGTTCTGTCTTTCAAACGTACTCGAAATGAGTTTCTCACAATGAGCGGCCACTTAAAACTTCCTAGGCTATCTGAAAATGACAGAGATTTAACTGTTTCTTTAAAGAACTAAACTTCACTTGATATATTGAGTCTTCTTTCTGTTCCTTAGAACAGTCAGTTAACTTACCAATCTTCCATTTTCTCTTCATGTTGGGCATTTAGTGGATACCTGGGTGTCATTTAGTCATTTATTTCCCAGGGTAGTGAGGACTGTAGTGCAGATAAGTGAGTTGTTTGTGAATTTGTCATAAAATTTACAGGAGGACAAAAATGTATTTTATTTAAATATTTTAGGGAATTAAAAATAAAGGACATCTCTGATTCATATGGAAGAGAAACTGGGTCAAATATTGGCAAGTGATATCTTTCTCTTTTCACATGCAAATTTGCACTGCGAACTTTAAATTCAGTTAATGCTCATGATTATAGGAAGGTCATGAGTAGACCTTGAATTTAGGATATGTCTAAATTACTGTGGTTTCAAGACCATTTATTAATTGTAGATGTCCTGGATATATTCTATTCTCCTAGGATCCAGCACTGGTGACTTGGTTTTTGGCCACAGATTTCTATATTAATTACATTTTGAAAGATTTTACATTTATATGTATGTGCCTTTTTCCTGCTTTTCTGAAGCATCTTATAAGAAACATCTTTGCACTTCTGATATTCCATCACAGACCGACTCTACCTCCAAATCCAGGAATTCAGGTCACAGTCACCAATAGATGCCATGGACCTCAAGAGGAGCCACAGAAAGACTCGTTATGAGTTCTTCATCAATCCCATGAGATTACTAATAAAATAATTCTAAGTGCTTGCTCAGAGGATAGGGGCTCCTCTTCCTTTTTAAAACTCAGGAATAAAACATGGTCCTCCCAATTTAAGAGTAATGCCAATGATGATAGTGTATGAAATCAGACAGATCTTACATGAGAGGCGAACTTCTAGCTATGTGTCTTTGCTGCATATATATCCAATGATCCCCTACTAATACATTAAAAGAAGAAAAATATGACTCTAAAACAAACATTTAGAATCTACCTAACATAAAAAATGAATCAATAAAACATGAATTTCATGGTATCTTCTTAGAACTCAGGCCAGAGAGCCTCCCTGGAAGGAAATACCTGTAACTCATTCATGTATGAGAATTCAAGGAATCTATTTAACCTACCTTTCTGAAATTTGGGGGCTTATCTGTAGCCTGTTTGCCTTCCATTTCTAAGAGGTTTTAAAGATTTAGTACATTATAGAGGTAGATTTCAAATCAGTGGATAAAGGGTGACATAAATAAATGTTTAACTTCTTTACAAAATAATACAGTATTTGTATTATATATCTTAGGGGTCAGCAAATTTCTTTTTGTAAAAGACCAGATAGCAAACAGTTTGGGGTTCGTAGATCTCTGTCACTCTTTTCAACTCTGTCATTGTATTGTGAAAGTAGCCATAAACAATACATAAGTAAACTATTTGTCATGGCCAAATTTGGCTTGCTGGAAAACATATTTGGCCCATGGGCTCTAGTATTCCAACCTCTGCCTTAGACCACAAAATTTCAAGAAATATAAAGATTTAAATGTAAAATAATAAAACAATAAAAGTACTAGAAGAAAACATAAGGGAAAAGTAGTCTAATGTTGATGACAAAATATATTATTAATTATAATCTCAAAACAACTGATAAACTTGACTACATATAATTTTAAAAATAACAAAAGTATGAATAAACACTAAAAGGCTGGGCATGATGGCACATACCTGTAATCCTGGCTACTCAGGTGGCTGAGGCAGGAGGATCACTTGAGCCCAGGAGTTTGAGGCTGCAGTGAGCTAAATTCACAGCATTGCACTCTAGCCTGGGTGGCAGACCGAGATTCCCCCCCGAAAAAAAATTGATAGAAAAATATATTTGCAATCCGTACCATAGATCAGGGGTTCCCAACCCCCAGGCCACAGACTAGTACTGGTTTGTGACCTGCTAGGAATTGGGCCGCACAACAGGAGGTGAGTGGTGGGTGAGGGAGCATTATCACCTAAGCTCCACCCCCTGTCAGATCAGCAGCTGCATTAGATACTCATAGGAGTGTGAACCTTGTGGCAAACTGCATATGTGAGGGATCTAGATTGTGTGTTTCTTATGAGAATCTGATGCCTGATTATCTGAGGTGGTACAGTTTCATCCCAAAGCCATCCCCTACAACCCTGATCCATGGAAAAATTATCTTTCATGAAATCAATCTCTGGTGCCATAAAGTTTGGGGACTGCTTCCATGGACAATAGACAGATACTTTTACTTCATGAAAAACCCTCCTCTAAAACAATGGGCAAAAGGTATGAAAAGATCGCTCAGAGAACACAAATATAAATGGATCTTAAACATATGACCCATACTCTCAGCCTCATTCCTAGTAGGAAAATTTAAAATTAAAATGACCATGACTTACCATTTTTCATCCTTAAGATTAGCAAAGATTAAAAAGTTTGATAGTACATTATATTCATGGAGGTGAATAGGAACTGGAACTCTTCAATTTTCGCATAAATCAATGTATATTCTATGAAGGTCAATCAATTTTTTATTTAACCTTACATGAAAATATTTAAAATAATGGGCAGTTGAGATATATAGATTTCCATTGACACTTTGAAACGTGTTTGGGTTTAACTTTAAAATTCAATTGATGAAAATCTAATGCAGCAATAAAAATTTTTCTGTGGATTAATGCGTAAAGCACCCACAGGAAATTTATCCTCACTTCACCGTAAGTCATTGCAATTTCACGTAGATACAAATTTTGAAAGTATTGTCACACCTATTATTTAGATGTTTTGTGACCTGACTTTTAAATTACAGCTTTGCAGAACTCTTTGGCATCACCTAAAGACAGTGGCATATTATCTGTATTTCTTGTAGTGTTGGTTAATTCGTAAAGACTTTCTAATTTTCAAAGTATTTTTGACTATGAATGCTCCAGGTGTGTTTCTGTATTTGAATTTCTTGTGCATTTCCACTTTTTTCAACAATTTTATAATTTCTGATAATCCTGCCCATGATTCATATTCATAAAAATCCCTGACTAGTCACTTTTAACTCATTGTGATCACAAAGCCTTGGTTGGCATTCTTCGAGAGAGTTTGTACAATTATCTTGATCTCACCACCTTCATATTGTTGTATTAATATTGAAGTGAAGAAAAATTTCCACAGAAATTTCAGATAGTGAAGACTGGGGAAGGTTGGAGCTAAAAGCAAATGTTCTTGCTTTATACAATAGGAATGTAGGATCCTAACAGGCAATCCATCTTCGATCATGTTTTTAGCACTGAAATGATCAGATAAATCATATGATTCAGAAACTTAGATGTGTGAAGGCTGGATTCAAGGCCTAAGAGATTATAAGCAAAAAGTTTAACTAGAAGGCTATTATAATAGTCCATAGGGAATGAAGGATTCAAAAATAGGAGTGAAGAATCAGGAAATTGTTAAATTAATGCATAAGGCCATGTCAGTGTGGAGGAAGGAGTGTTTACCGGGGGTTTTACTTTGCCGACTCATTCTAATATCTCTTATATTAGGGTAACTGTACTTACTTTTTGCAGGAATTTTAAGCACATTTCTCATCTTGTTTGAATAACATAGCTGTCATCTGCTTAGCACCATGACCCTTTACTATGATAAAAAATTGTAAGCATTAATGTCACATGCTTGTCTACAGCTAGTAATCTATTTCTGCTAATTCATCGGTGATCCCATATTTCAGGTAGGTTTTTCACTTTGAAGCCTTATCATTTATACTTTCCATTGGAAAATAAGAGTTTTTACTAATCTTTTAATGAAGATGTCATTGCAAACTGCACAAATGCTACTTGAAACATATGGAAGCTTTGTGGTCTTTGGGAATAAATGGTTTTCAGCAAATAATGAAACAAAATCTTTCATCTGGATGAGATATATTGCATAAATGAAGCTGGTTGAACAAATAGACATTGCTGATATTTTTCACTTCACTAATTAGAATAGACACCGGCAACCAGTCCAGTACTCTTCTTATAGTTGCCTAAGCCAACTGGACAGTCCGAATACAAGTAATGGTTTATTTTCTTCCAACTGTATAAATTGGTCAGGTTTGCAAGAGTGGGTTTTTTATCCCCAGAGATGCTGAATGGTTAGTGGGGTTGATGTATAAGTAATAGAAGGTCTAGTTGTCAGATTCACACTGATTTCTGTGATTCTTTGATCTGAATATGATATTCAGTGTGACCAACCAGAGCCATCATAAAAGGGAAGTTACAGGTCAGGACTCTGGGGCCAGACTCCCAGGTTTTAAAGTAACTTCCTCAGTTGAAGTTTAGTTGACTGTGGACAAGTTATTTAATTTCTCAATGTCTCAATTTTTCTCACATGCAAATTGTGAATGAAAATATTACCTCATGTGGTGTAATATGAATATTAAGCAAGTAAAATACATATGAAGTGCTTAGAATATGTCATAGCCCAATAGTAAGCATTTAATAGATGTAGTAATTGCTGATATTAGTTCTACCTGGTGACAGAATTGATGGTGGTGATTAGACAGATTGCTAACTTTTGAGATTAACATGTTACTTTCAGAAAAATACCACAATTCCTGGAAATGTCTAGTTCAGGTCAGCTAAGAAGTTCATCTTATTAGGACATTTTGGTTAAAATTTCCCTCTAGGAAATAAAACTGAGCTTATAATGCAAGGACCACCTTGGGGAAAAAGGTCATTTACTTTAGGAGCGAAGATGTTCATATCTTCTAAGACGTTTTTCATCCCACTTTACAAAAGCTTTTTGTTCTTATTTTGCTACATGAACCCCGAATACAGAATTTTTTCTTTGTTGCGACTGTACTCAGCTGGTCACTCACCAGCTCAAACCAAAGACGGATTCTGACTGCTCAGAAAATATATTGAATAGGAAGACCAGAAACCAAATAATATTTTGACCCTTTTCTTCACATAATTCTTCGTAATAAGTAGTTCATTTCTTCTAAAAAAAAAAAAAAAAAAAAAAGAAACCTTCACAAATCTTGCTCTTTTTATTTGGGCAAAGGGAAAATAAATTTTTATTTCAGTGCCTTTTTTGTAGGTCAAATGGCACTATAAAGAATCTGAGAAGTTTAAAAAATAATTTAATAATAAACAGAGAAAGAACTCTCTGCAAAGAGCATCTATAGGAATCGCCAGAGGTCATTTAAGGAAACACAGTGGCCTGACATATATATTTTCTTTAAAAGATTTTTCATTTCCCAATAAAAATATTCATATTCATTATTCCATGAACTTTGCTACTGTTCTGTCTTTGTATAACTTCAAAATCACTTTTTTAATGAGTTCATGAGTTTTACAGTAAACTTTGACTGGTCATGCTAGTTGAGACAGAAGAGAATATAGGAAATGAGTATCTTCAAATCACATTTCAAATAATAAGTTATTCTCCCAAAAGTAGGCAGTGCTATGGCTAACCCATGCAATAAATTTATGGGAATTAAAAATAGAAATTTTCCAAGCAGGTGCTGTCCAGAACCAGAAGAAATAGCAGAGTAAGCAGAGCTTCCACTTGCCTCTTAAGTGACCTTGTCCAGTGCTCAATTTATTCAACTATGTGTGATAGCTTGACTTTGAGGAAAATAAAATTTTGCTTGGCAGTTATACTTGGTAACTTAATAGTAGAGGCAAAAATAAAGGTGTTCCTAGGAAACTAATTCATATTTTACTTTAAATAATTTAATTATTTAAATATCAGTGCAACAAAATTAAAAATATTTAAAATAATTCAATGGTTTAACATTCATAATCCTACCATCCTCTCCCAACTATATCTGTTTTGTATATTATATTAAACATTTATCACACTTACTATATATAGTCCCACAAAAATGCACATATTAATTTTCCTTAATAGTAGCCATAAATATGTGCATGTTTCATATAACCTTATTCATTATCTTTTTGATGACCGAAAAACATACCGTTTTAAGTAAATTTATTGCAGTGTTTCATGATTAAATTGTTTCTTAGTTTTTGCAGCCTCATTTATCAATGATCACCTTTTTATGCTGTGATCTCAAAGTGCTGGTATTTCAGTGAAATTACCAAGATTTCTCTCTCTGAAATTATACAGGTGTTATTCTCTACAGAAGGTTTTTCCTCGTGTTCTCCTGCTAATTCCCATTATTTTTTTTCCAGAGAATCCTGCTCATCCACCATGTCTTAGCTTGTAGGTTACCTCCTATGGCAGATAATGTCACTTAACCAATAGCCAAATGCTACTTGATCTTATTTAAGTAAATGTTGGACTTTACTAGTAAAAAGCTAATTTTACAATGAGTATGGGCCCTCCACTAGTGTCAGAGTATGAATTATTATAAGATTTACTTAATCATGGGAATCTTATTCCCTTATGTCAAAAGTTCACTTTATCATCCTGTCACTAATGAGGCCTATGACACCATTCATTCTGGCAAAGGCACTAGTGTATTCTCATGATTGTGGTAAATTAACTTTTTGATGTGCTGCTGGATTCGGTTTGCTAGTATTTAGTTGAGAATTTTTGTGTCTATATTTATCAGGGACATCGTTTTTTTGTTGTGTCTTTTTCAGGTTTTGGTATCAGGGTAATGCTGGCTTCCTACAATAAGTCAGGAAGGAGTCTATCCCTCTTAATTTTGTAAAGTAGTTTCGATAGAATACGTCCCAGCTCTTCTTTGTATGTCTGGTAGAATTTGGCTGTGAACACATATGTTCTGGGGCTTCTTTGATTTGTATATTTTTTTATTATTGATTCAAATTTGGAACTCAGTATTGGTGTGTTCAGAGTTTTAATTTCTTCCTGATTCAATCTTGGGAGGTTGTGTGTTTCCAGGAATTTATCCATTCCCTCTAGATTATCTAGTTTGTGTGCCTAGAGGTGTTCATAATAGTCTCTAAAGATTTTTAAAATTTATTTCTGTGGGATCAGTTGTAATATCACCTTTGTCATTTCTGGTTGTGCTTATTTGGATCTTTTATCTTGGCTAGTCTTGGTTGTGGCCTATCAGTCTTGCTTATCCTTTCAAAGAAACAATTTTTTACTCTGTTGGTTCTTCGCATAGATTGTTGGGTCTCAATTGCATTCAGTTCTGCTGGGATTTTGGTTATTTCTTTTCTTCTGCTAGACTTAGGGTTAGTTTGTTCTTATTTCTTTAGTTCCTCTAGGTGTGATGTTTTGTTGTTAATTTGAGATCTTTCTAACATTTTTAGGGAGGTGCTTAGCACTATAAACTTTCCTCTTAACACTACCTTTGCTACATCCCAGATACTGTAGTATGTTGTGTCTCTGTTGTCATTTATTTAAAATAAATTGATTTCTGCCTTAATTTCATTGTTTACTGAAAAGTCATTTTGAAAGAAGTTGTTTAATTTCTATGTAATTGTGTGTTTTTTAGAGATATCCCATGTATTTGTTTCTATTTTTATTCCACTGTTGTCAGATAATATAATTGGTATGATTTTGATTTTTAAAAAAATATTTAGACTTCCTTTATGGACAAACACATAACCAACCTTAGAGTATGTTCGGTGTGCTGATGAGAAGAATGTATATTCTGTGGTTGATGGGTGGGATATTCGGTAGATATCTATTTGGTCCAATTATTCATGTGTCAAGTGTTAGCTTTTTTGATTCAATGATCTGTCTATTGCTGTCAGTGAGGTGTTGAAGTAACCCATTATTATTTCATGGCTATCTAATTTCTTTCATAGGTCTAGAAGTCTTTTTTAATAAAAATTAATCTGAGTGCTTCAAGGTTGGGTATATATTTATTTAAGATAGTTAAATCTTCTTATTTAATTGAACCCTTTATCCTTATGTAATGCCCTTCTATATCTTTCTTTTTTTAATGTTGTTGACTTAAAATCTGTTTTATCTGATATAAGGATAGCCACCCCTGCTCTTTTTGGTTTTCTATTTGTATATGTGGTCTTTCTCCAACCCTTTACTTAGAGCCTATGGGAGTCATTACATTTAAGATTAGTCTCTTGAAGACAGCAGATGGATGGGTCTTATTTATTTTCCTCCAATTTTCTACGATATGTCTTTTAAGTGAAACATTTAGACCTTTTACATTAAAGTTTAATATTTATATGTGAGGTTTTGATCCTATCATGAAGTTGTTGCCTGGTTGGTTTGTAATTTCTATTGCATGGTGCTTTACAAGGTCTGTGGTCTATATACTTAAGTGTGATTTATGATAGCAGGTATTGTTCCTTTGTTTTCATATTTAAAACTCCCTTGAAAATCTCTTGGAAAGCTGGTCTAGTAGTAACTAATGTCTTTATTACTTGCTTGTCTGGGAAAGATTTTATTTTTCCTTTGTTTACAAAGCTTACTTTGCTGGGATATGAAATTCTCATTTGGAATTTCTTTTAAAAAATGCTGAATATAGGCTCCTAATCTTTTCTGGCTTGTAATATTTCTATTGAGAAATTTGCTGTTAGCCTGATAAAGTCCTCTTTGTATGTGATCTTATCTTTTTCTCTAGCAGCATTTAAGATTTTTTTACTTTTGCATTGACCTCTAACAATCTAGTGACTATATGTGCTGATCATGTTTGTTTTTCTTAGTGTCTTTCATAAAATACCTCTGGAATTTGTGTATTTGGATATTTATCACTGGCAAGATTATGGGAATTTTCTTGAATTATTCCCTGAAATATTTTTTCCAAGTTGTTTACTTTTTCTTCTTCTCTCTCAATAGTGCCAGTAATTCATAGATCTGCTTGCTTTACATAATCCCATATTCTCAAAGACTTTGTTTATTTTTCTTACTTTTTTAATATTTTTTTCTGACTGGGTTAGAAAGACTGGTCTTCAAGCTCTGACATTTTTTTTCTTCTACTTGGTTCAGTCTGTAGATAAAGCTTTCAATTATATTTTAAAATTCCTGAAGTAAAATATTTAATTCCAGAAGCTCCAATTGATTTCTTTTTATGATGTTTATCTCTTCCTTTATTTCCTGCATTGCTTCAGAAATTTCTTTATGTTTATTTTCAACCTTGTCTTGGATCTTGTTGAGCTTCTTTGCAATCCATACTTTGAATTCTTTATCTGTCATTTCTCAGCTTCCCTTTTGGTTAAGAACCATGACTGGACAGCTAGTGTGATCCTTTAATGGTGTCACTACATTCAGATTTTTTACGGTGCCAGAATTCTTTTGCAGGTTCCTTCTCATCTGCAGTTGTTGACACTTCTAATTTTTGTAATTATTTTTGTGCAGGTAGATTTTTTTTTATTCCTGCCCTATAATATTATTATTATTTAAAATTTTATTTTCCCTTTCTCCTCTCTCTAGTTGGTGTGATGTAGAGAATGTTGGGTAAGGTTTTATTGCTTTGCTTCTGTAGCCCTATGCACTTTGGTCAGGAGGTTTTATACTGGGCCCTGTGGTTTGACCTACAAGCCAGAAGATGTGCTTATGGCTAACAGGCTGCTGTTCCAGGCAAGTGTGTACTGTGAATGTCTGGAGTTCTGCACTGTCAATGTGCAGCCAATATGGCTGAGTACATTGTTTACTAGGAGGAGCCCTCTGTTGCCTCAGACAAAGGGCTGGTCCATGGAGTCCACAGTGGTTTGATCTCCTTGCTCAGGCTTGGGAGAATGGGGCAAAATAGGTGAGACCAGACTGGGCAGGCTGCCTACACGTCCCCTGATAGCACTCAAAAGCACCAGGACTAAAAGAATCCAGTGGGCAGTCAACATATGCCTGGAGGTGTGCCTAGGTGCCCCCAAGTTCTCTGAACAATGAAGGGGGCAGCCTAAACTCCTAATTCAGAAAACTGAGTGTTCCAGATGCTTGGATATCTGCCTGGATGTGGCATATAGAGGGCCCCACTGCACCACAATCTCTACACAGGAAGTGTTGGGCAGCTCAGGCTGCTAATCTGTGTGAATTGGGTGCTCTGAATGCCTGCAGATATGTCTGGGTGTGGGATAGAGAGGACCCTGCTTCACCACTGTCTCTGCACAGGAAAGATGGGCTACTTAGGCTGCTGATTAAGGTGAGAGGGTGCCCATAATGCCTGGAGATAGTCCTAGGCATAGAGTGGAGAAGGCCCCATTTTACCACAGGCTCTGCACAGAAGAGTGGGGCAGCTCAGGCTGCTGATCTGGGTGAGTGAGTGCTCTGAGTTCCTGGACATCTTCCATGTGTGAAGCAGAGAAGGCCTTGCTTCAACACAAACTCTGCACAGGAAGGGTGGGGAGGCTCAGGCTCCTGGTCCAGTTTAGTGGGTTCTCCAAATAGTTGGAGACATACCTGAGCATGCAGTAGTGAGGGCCCCATTGTGCCCAATCTCTGTTCAGGAAGGGTAGGGCAGCTCAGGCTGCCAATCTAGGCAAACAGGTACTCCAGGTTTCTGGAGATCTGTCTAGGAATGGAGCAGAAAGGACCTGGGTACACCATAGTCTCTTCACAGAAAGGGCAGGGCAGTTTAGGCTGCTTATCCAGGAGAGTGGGTGCTCCAAATGCCTGGAGGTCTGCTGGGGTGTGGAGCAGAGAGGGCTCCCTTCACTCAGGTCTCTGCATAGGAGGTGTAGGACAGCTCAGGCTGCCAATCTGGGTGAACAGGTGCTTTGGATGCTTGGAAATCTGCCTAGATATGGAGCACAGATCACCACTGCACTACAATCTTCCCAGGAATGGTGGAGCAGCTCAGACTGCTGAACCAAGTGGGCAGGTGCTGCAGATGTCTGGAGATCCCTGTGTGTGGAGTAGAATGGCCCACAGCAGCACAATCTATGGAAGGATGAGGTGACTCAGGCTTCTGTTCCAGGAAAGTATGTGCTGTGAATGTCTGGCTTTCTGCACTGTCAGAGTGCACTCTGCTGCACCACTTCTCAGGGGATTGGGCTAGGGCACCCAGCAATGAAACACATAGACCAGTTTCAGCTCATCCATTTGGCTCTGGCTGCAAGTCTCATTACTCAGGAGAAACTGCAGCTGTAGCAGCTCTCCTGTAGCCCCATGACTGTGATGGGGGAGAGCACAATTCCAGCACTTACTGTTGTGCCTTCCACAATACTAGCTATGGAAATATCTACCCCATTCCAGAGTAAGTGCTCCAGTCTCTGGCCCAAGACTAAAATATCTATATGGCCATGCTGTCAAGTCACCAAGAATGACAGATCTTGCATGTGCCCAGATTAAAAATTGCATGCTGCTCTACATCTCAGGTCTAGAATGTCTGCAGCTTTTCCCAGTTTCTTTTCCTTACAGTATCTCCATGCCTCTTCCCAAGTTAACTCCAGTGCTTGGGAGAAACAAAGTGTTCTCCTCTGTCCTGGGTTGCTCAGATCTCCAGTGGAGAGGTGAGTCACAGAGGGAGGCTCTCTGCCTCTCTCATACACTGGTGCTTCACTCGCTTTCATCAGCCAGCCACCATCATGGGGGCTATTTGACCTCATTCTCTTCCTCAGTATCTAGGTTATCCTTCATAATTCTGGTGAATTTTCATTTTCCTTCTCCAATTAAAGCTCACAGTGTTGACCTTTTACATACTATCTTGCTGTTTCCAAGTAGCTGAGGCATGTTAAAAGCGTCTAATCTGTCATCTGTCAACATACTCCCCAACTCTTCAATTACAGAGTTAGTCTTCAATTACAGGGTTAGTCTTTCAGTCATGTCTTACCTCCACAAAGAATCATCTCTTTAAACTGTCAGGTGGAGTCTGATAAAGACGGAAACTGACTATATGTATGCAGAAATCTAGAATTAGAGCTGGAAATTACAGCCTATCAACTGTTTTTTTTATTGTTTGTTGTTTCTTAATTATAATTATTACTTTTTATTTATTTAGTTTTATTATACTTTAAGTTCTGGGATACATGTGCAGAACGTGCAGGTTTGTTACATAGGTATGTATGTGCCATGGTGGCTTGCTGCAACCATCAACCCATCATCTAGGTATTAAGCCCCACATGCATTAGGTATTTGTCCTAATGCTCTCCCTCCCTTTGCTCCGACCCCATGACAAGCCCTGGTGTGTGATGTTCCCCTCCCTGTATCCATGTGTTCTCATTTCACCTCCCACTTATGAGAACATGCAGTGTTTGGTTTTCTGTTCCTGTGTAAGTTTTCTGAGAATGATGGTTTCCAACTCCATCCATGCCCCTGTAAAGGACATGAACTCATCCTTCTTTATGGCTGCATGGTATTCCATGGTATATATGTGCCACATTTTCTTTATCCAGTCTATCATTCACTGGCATTTCGGTTGGTTTGAAGTCTTTGCTATTGTAAATAGTGCTGCAATCAACATATATGTGCCTGTGTCTTTGTAGTAGAATGACTTATAATCCTTTTGGTGTATACCCAGTAATGGGATTGCTGGGTCAAATGGTATCTCTGGTTCTAGATCCTTGAGGAATCGCCACGCTGTCTTCCACAATGGTTGAACTAATTTACACTCCTACCAACAGTGTAAAAGCATTCCTATTTCTCCACATCCTCTCCAGCATCTGTTGTTTCCTGACTTTTTAATGATTGCCATTCTAACTGGAGTGAGATGGTATCTCATTGTGGTTATGATTTCCATTTATCTAATGACCAGTGATGATAAGCTTTTTTTTCATATGTTTATTGGCTGCATAAATGTCTTCTTTTAAGAAGTGTCTGTTCGTATCCTTTGCCCACTTTTTGATAGTGTTTTTTGTTTATTTCTTGTAAATTTGAGTTCCATGTAGATTCTGAATATTAGCCCTTTGTCAATAGATAGATCGCAAAAATTTTCTCCCATTCTGTAGGTTGCCTGTTCACTCCGATGACAGTTTCTTTCTTTTACTGTGCAGAAGCACTTTAGTTTAATTAGATCTCATTTGTCAGTTTTGGCTTTTGTTGCCATTGCTTTTGGCATTTTAGTCATGAAGTCTTCACCCATGCCTATGTCCTGAATGGTATTGCTTAGGTTTTTTCTAGGGTTTTTATGATTTTAGGTTTTGTTTAAGTCTTTAATCCATCTTGAGTTAATTTTTCTATAAGGTGTGAGGAAGGGATCCAGTTTCAATTTTCTGCATATGGCTAGCCAGATTTCCCAGCACCATTTATTGAATAGGGAATCCTTTCCCCATTTCTTGTTTTTGTCAAGTTTGTCAAAGATCAGATGGTTGTAGATGTGTGGCATTATTCCTGAGGCCTCTGTTCTGTTCCATTGATCTATATACCTGTTTTGGTATCAGTACCATGCTGTTTTGGTTACTGTAGGCTTGTAGCATAGTTTGAACTCAGGTGGCGTGATGCCTCCAGCTTTGTTTTTTTGCTTAGTATTGTCTTGGAAATATGGACTCTTTTTTGGTTCCATATGAAATTTAAAGTAGTTTTTTCTAATTCTGTGAAGAAAGTCAATGGTAGCTTGATGGGAATAACATTGAATCTATAAATTACTTTGGGCGGTAGGCCATTTTCACTATATTGATCTTCCTATCCATGAGCATGGAATATTTTTTCATTTGTTTGTGTCCTCTCTTATTTCCTTGATCAGTGCTTTGTAGTTCTCCTTGCAAAGGTCCTTCACATTCCTTGTAAGTTGTATTCCAAGGTATGTTATTCTCTTTGTAGCAATTGTGAATGGGAGTTCACTCATGATTTGGCTCTCCGTTAGTCTATTGATGTACAGGAATGCTTGTGATTTTTTGTACATTGATTTTTTTATCCTGGGGCTTTGCTGAAGTTACGTATCAGCTTAAGGAGTTTTGGAGCTGAGAAGATGAGGTTTTCTAAATATACAATCATGTTGTCTACAAACAGAGACAATTTGACTTCCTCTCTTCCTATTTGAATACACTTTATTTTTTTCTCTTGCCTGATTGCCTTGGCCAGAACTTCCAATACTATGTTGAATAGGAGTGGTGGGAGAGGGCACCCTTGTCTTGTGCCTGTTTTCAAAGAAAATGCTTCCAGCTTTTTTTTATTCAGTATGATACTGGCTGTGGGTTTGTCATAAATGCCTCTTTTTATTTTGAGATGTGTTCCGTCAATACGGGGGCCTGACTGTTAGAAGAAAAGCCAACAAACAGAAAGCAATAACGTCAACATCAACAAAAAGGGCACCCACACAAAAACCTCTTGCAAATGTCATCAACATCAAAGATCAAAGGCAGATAAATCCATGAAGATGAGGAAAAACCAGCACAAAAAATGCTAAAAATTCCAAAAACCAGGATGCCTCTTCTCCTCCAAATGATCACAACTCCTCTCCAGGAAGGGCACAAAACTGAACAGAGAGTGAGATTAAGGAATTGACAGAAGTAGTCTTCAGAAAGGGGGTAATAACAAACTCTTCTGAGTTAAAGGAGCATGTTCTAACCAAAGACAAGGAAGTTAAGAATCTTGATAAAAGGTTACAGGAACTGCTAACTAGAATAACCTGTTTAGAGAAGAATATAAATGACCTAATGGAGATGAAAAACACAGAAAGAGAACTTTGTGAAGCATACACAAGCATCAATAGCCAAATCAATCAAGCGGAAGAAAGGATATCAGAAATTGAAGACCAACTTAATGAAATAAAGCATGAAGACAAGATTAGAGAAAAAGATTAAGATGAATGGACAAAGCCTCCAAGAAATATGGGACTATGTGAAAAGACCAAACCTACAATAGATTGGTGTACCTGAAAGTGACAGGGAGAAGGTTACCAAGTTGGAAAACACACTTCAGGATATTTCCCAGGAGAACTTCCCCAACCTAGCAAGACAGGCCAACATTCAAATTTAGGAAATACAGAGAACACACAAAGATACTCCCGAGAAGAGCAACCCCAAGACACATAATCGACAGATTCTCCAAGGTTGAAATGGAAGAGAAAAATTTAAGGGTACCTAGATAGAAAAGTCAGGTTACCTACAAAGGGAAGCTCAGCAGACTAACAGCGGATATCTCTGCAGAAACCCTACAAGCCAGAAGAGAGTGGGGGCCAATATTCAACATTCTAAAAGAAAATAATTTTCAACCCAGAATTTCATATCCAGCTAAACTAAGCTTCATAAGTGAAGGAGAAATAAAATCCTTTACAGACAAACAAATGCTGAGAGATTTTGTCATCACCAGGACTGCCTTACAAGAGCTCCTGAAGGAAGCACTAAATGTGGAAAGAAAAAACCAGTACCAGCCACTGCAAAAACATACCAAAATATAGAAGACCAATGATACTATGAAGAAACTGCATCAACTAATGTGCAAAATAACCAACCAGCATCATGATGACAGGGTCAAATTCACACATAACAATGTTAACCTTAAACGTAAATGGGCTAAATGCCCCAATTAAAAAACACAGACTGGCAAATTGGATAAAGAGTCAAGACCCATCCGTGTGCTATATTCAGAAGACCCATCTCACGTACAAAGACACACATAGGCTCAAAATAAAAGGATGGAGGCAGATTTACCAAGCAAATGGAAAGCAAAAAAAAAAAAAAAAAAAAGCAGGGGTTGCAATCCTAGTCTCTGATAAAACAGACTTTAAACCAATAAAGATCAAAAAAAGACAAAGAAGGGCATTACATAATCAATGAAACATAACCAGGGGATCAATGCAACAAGAAGAGCTAACTGTCCTAAATATATGTGCACCCAATATACGAGCACCCAGATTCATAAAGCAAGTTCTTAGAGACCTACAAAGAGACTTAGACTCAGACACAATAATAATGGGAGACTTTAACACCCTACTGTCAATATTAGACAGATCAACGAGACAGAAAATTAACAAAGATATTCAGGACTTGAACTCAGCTCTGGACCAAGCAGACCTAATAGACATCTACAGAATTCTGCACCCCAAAACAACAGAATACATTCTTCTCAGCGCCACATAGCACTTATTCCAAAATCCACCACATAATTGGAAGCAAAACACTCCTCAGCACATGCAAAAGAATGGAAATCATAAAAAACAGTCTGTCAGACCACAGTGCAATCAAATTAGCACTCAGGTTTAAGAAACTCACTCAAAACCGCACAACTACGTGGAAACTGAAAAACCTGCTCCTGAATGACTACTGGGTAAATAATGAAATTCAGGCCAGAAATAAATAAGTTCTTTGAAGCCAATGAGAACAAAGACACAACATAACAGAATCTCTGGGGCACAGCTAAAGCAGTGTTTAGAAGGAAATTTATAGCCCTAAATGCCCACATCAGAAAGTGGGAAAGGCCTAAAATTGACACCCTCACATCACAATTAAAAGAACTAAAGAAGCAAGAACAAACAAATTAAAAAGCTAGCAGAAGACAATAAATAACTAAGACAAGAATAACTAAAATTGAAGGAGATAGAGACATGAAAACCCCTTGAAAATATCAATGAATCCAGGAGCTGGTTTTTTGAAAAGATTAACAAAATAGGTAGACCGCTAGCAAGACTAATAAAGAAGAAAAGAGAGAAGAATCAAATAAACACAATAAAAAATGATAAAGGGGATATCACCACCGATCCCACAGAAATACAAACTACCATCAGAGAATACTATAAACACCTCTATGCAAATAAACTAGAAAATCTAGAAGAAATGGATAAATTCCTGGGCACATACAGCCTCCCAAGACTAAACCAGGAAGAAGTCAAATCCCTGAATAGACCAATAACAAGTTCTGAAATTGAGGCAGTATTTAACAGCCTACCAACCAAAAAAAGCCCAGGACCAGATGGATTCACAGCCAAATTCTAGCAGAGGTACAAAGAGGAGCTGGTACCATTCCTTCTGAAACTATTCTAAACAATAGAAAAAGAGGGACTCCTCCTTAACTCATTTTATGAGGCCAGCATCATCCTGATACCAAAACCTGGCTGAGACACAACAAAAAAAGAAAATTTCACGCCAGTATCCCTGATGAACATTGATGCGAAAATCCTTAGTAAAATACTGGCAAACCGAATCCAGCAGCACATCAAACAGCTTATCCACGACGATCAAGTTGGCTTCATCCCTGGGATGCAAGGCTGGTTCAACATATGCAAATCAATAAACATAATCCATCACATAAACAGAACCAATGACAAAAACCACATGATTATCTCAATAGATGCAGAAAAGGCCTTCGATAAAATTCAGCACACTTCATGCTAAAAACTTTTTTTTTCAAGTAAAGTTTATTGGAACATAGCAATATCCTTTTATGTTCATGTTGTCTGTGCTTACATTTGCACTGCAACAGCACAATTGAATGTACTTGTGACAGAGAACATGTAGACCTCAATATTTGCTATCTTTTCCTTTATAGCAAATGTTTGCCAACCCTTGCTCTTGATAATCCAAGATCCTCATCACAGAATATGAAAAGGGATCATTTTCTTTAGCAGGAGGTCTACCAAAATTAGAATTTACAGAACAAATGGAGCATACAGTAATTTCTTCTTATCCACTGTTTTGCTTTCCTCAGTTTTAGTTACCTGGTCAACTATGGTCCAAAAATATTAAAAGTGTCATTCCATAAATAAGGAATTCATAAATTTTAAAATGCAAGCCATTCTGAGTGGCATGATGAAATCTTGCATTGTCCCAATCCATTCTGCCCAGAACATGAATCATCTCTTTGTCCATTGTATTCATGCCAGACACACTACCTGCTAGTTAGTCACTTAATAGCAATCTCTGTTATCAGATGGTAAAAAACATAGAATATATAGAGTTCAATATTATCCACAGGTTCAAGCAAACACTGTGGGTCTTGGAATGTATCCCCTGTGGATAAGGGGGACTACTGTATGCACATCAGGTGCCATGAAAATATTTGAAGGAATGGATGTTTTCACAGTAGCTGCAGTATAACTTAGTTTTCAACTCTTATTTTGAATGTCCTATGCTACTTCTCAGGATGGAACTATGATCTTCCTGTAGTCAGTACTTCCCAAAATATTTACATTAATTAACATGTATAAACATTTTAGTAATAGTATGATGGCGTGCTTATACTCTAAAATCAATTTATGACACATATGGATTATATTGAATTATTACAAAAGAACACTCAAAGAGTTAAATGAAACTGCACTTTTAAAAATAGAAGTTGTTGCTAAACATTGAATAATACAGGAAAATAAAACTCGAAAGCTTGGTATGTGCAGACTTCTTGGTCAAAAGGTATAGTAACATTATAATATATTTAATTACCAAATATGTCATGCAGATAAAAAGACACAGTCAAGCAAATGCTCATATACTTGTATACATCATTTTCTTCAGGTTTATTTTTTAATAAATATTTCAGGTACAGATAAGTTCTTATATATATTTATATATAAATATTTATAAATATTTTTAATAAATATTTCAGGTACAGATAAGGTCTTATATATTTTCATGCATGTTTTTTTATTTTTACTATACATATATATCCATTAACAATACATAACATTATCTTCAAGTCTTAAAATTATATAAATGGTGTCATGCTTTATGTCTTTCCTTACAAATGTCTTAAATGTTATTCCCTTAAATTTATTCACATTGACAAATATAGATCTAATTTATTTATTTTATCTGATGTATGGTCTAGGGTCTTTTGACCAATATTAATAATAGCTTACAATTATTATATGTTCACTATGTATCGGATTATAAACTGAATCCTATATTAACCTTTGAATCTTGACAACAAAAACATGAGGTCAGTACAATTTTATTCCCATTTTACAGATGAGGGAATAAAATCAGAGAGCTACACTGTGTTCAAAGTGACAGAGTCAACTTCAAACAAAGTCTGCCTCAAAAAAAAAAAATCACTTTTAATTACTCTGCCAAAATTGGCTGCTTTAAGCACAATTTAATTAGTTCTGCTGTTGATGGGTATTTAGGTTATGATATTTGCCATTATAGACAATATTTTAATAAACATGTTTGAGCATGTCTTCTTTTGCCAATGTGAAATTTCCTTTAGTTTTACAGTAGTGAAATTGCTGAGTTGTAAGGTATGTGCATCTTCAACTTTATTAGGTATTGACACATGTGCTTTCTCAGGTAGTACACTTAAAATTACATCAATATATAAGCAAATGTAGTTGGTATTTGCAGATTTAAATTTTTTTTTCCTTCAGTATCATGAATTGAAAGTGATAGCTCCTGGATTTTTAAGTTGTTATTTCTTTAATTAGCAGTGAGTTTGGGCAACTTTTCAGATGTTTATTCATCATTCAGTATTTCTACTTCTACATGTTGGTTGGTCTCTAAAAAACACATTATAAACACTATTTTTAACTTATTAGGTAATAAGTCCATTTCCTAATTCTGTACTTTGCTTTAGTTTGATCATGCATTTAGTTCAAGAGAAATTTTGAATTTGAATATATTCTCATTTATCAATTTTTTTACTATGATTCCATGTCTTATTTTTTAAAAACGTTCCCCTTCCATAAATTTTAATTATTTTCTTTTAAATGTTTGAAGTCATGTTTTTGAGGCTGGGCATGGTGGCTTATGCCTGTAATCTCAGCATTTTGGGAGGCTGAGTTGGCAGCATCACTTGTTGCCAGAAGTTCGAGACCAGCCTGGGCGACATAGTGAGATGCTGTGTCTAAAAAAAAAAAAAAATTAAAATTAAAATATGAAAAATAGCCAATTCTGGTGGCATGTACCTAAGTTCCAGATACTTGGGAGGCTGAGACAGGAAGCTCCCTTAAGCCCAAGAGGTCAAGGCTGCAGTGAGCCACAATCACACCACTACATTTCAGCTTGGGTGACACAGCGAGACCTTGTCTCTTAAAATAATAATAATAATAAAGTTATATTTTTCACATTTAAATTTTCATCCACCTGTATTTGATTTTTTACTATGTCATGAAGTATAGCTCTAATTCCTTATTTTAAAATGTTGGATGAGGCTGGGCACTGTTGGCTCACGCCTGTAATCCCAGCAATATGGGGGGCCGAGGTGGGTGGATCACCTGACGTCAGGAATTTGAGACCAGCTTGGCCAAAATGGTGAAGCCCTGTCTGTACTAAAAATACAAAATCAGCCGGGTGTGGTGGTGGGCACCTGTAATCCCAGCCACTTGGGAGGCTGAGGCAGGAGAATCTCTTAAACCCAGGAGGAGGAGGTTGTAGTGAGCAGAGATCATGCCATTGCACTCCAGTACTCCAGCTTGGAAGACAGATCAAGACTCCATCTAAAAAAAAAAAAAAAAAAAAAATTGTGGGATGAGATCACTTCTTCAGTATAATTACTTGATAAAGACATCCTTTGAATACTATTTTATATTCTCATTCATTGTGAATTAAAATATATGCTATGTCCTCTCAAAAACTCAGGTGTTGCCAATGTAATAGTATTAAAGGGTGGTCCTTTAAGAGGTGATTAGGCCATGAGGGCTCCTCCCTCATGAGTGGAATTAGGTGCCCTTACAAAATAACTTGGCAGAGGGAGCTTGTTTCCTTTTTTGTCCATGTGCTGTCTTACATGTGAGGACACAGCATCAAGGGCCGTCTTGGAAGCACAGTCTGGACATTTGCCAGACAAAAAACTTGCTAGCACCTTTATCTTGGATTTTGCAGCCTCTAGAAGTGTGAGAAATAAATGGCTTTCTTCTAATAAATTGCCCATATTTACTCTACCTTTATAATTAGCCTTCATGTATGATAAGACAAACCTCCCCACTTTGTTACTCTTCCTCATAAACGTCTTGGATATTCTTAAGCTTTGATATTTTATAAACATTTTTTTAAATCTTGCTAGGATATTAACTGGAGTCTCACTGAATTTGTAGAGTAATCATTGATATAGACCCTTCTCTTCCATGGTTATTGTATAACTATAAATTATTTAGTTATTCTATTATGATTTCCATGAATTTTTCTTTTTTTCCTAAAGATCTTACAGGGTTTCCTTGTTATTACATTTATATCTAGCATAATATAATTTTTTTTATTTTTTGTTATAAATGATATATTTAAGATGTGTTTAGAAAATCTGATGTTTACTAATGTGGAGGCTATTGAGGTACACCACTCAAATATCCCTTCAGGAATGAACCTATTGCATATGGTTAAGTCATTTAACTGTCTTAAGCTGCTAAACTTTGGGGATCCATTATGGTGTTTGAGGCATATATACATTTTCTCTGGCCAGCTCTCAGTTGCTCACTGAACATGATAGGGACTTAGGGCCTGGTGACTACCCTATGCAATACTCTTCTTTGAATTATTTACCCAGAAACATCCTATTGGGCCACCTAAGGCTTTTATTCATTGCTGTACCACAGTTTAATGCTCTTCCCTCCTGTTTTTCCAATTGAAATTTTTTTTCATAAAGAGATTGTTTAACTTAAAATATTAACAAATGTATAATATAAAAGCTTCTATTCTACTTCTTAAATAATCTGCTACCTTTCCTAATCACCACTTCTATTATCAAAATGCATGATATAATGTGCTTTTTTTATATCCTAGGATTCAATTTGTCATGCTAGCTTTCACCAGAGGGAATGTAAGCTTCCATGAACCATTGTCAAAAAGCGTCTGACTACATCACTGTCTCAGGTGCAACTTGCTTTCTCCAACCCAGAATACATTTTTATATTCAGTTGGAACAAATATAATCTGCCAAAGAACTTGATTTTATGTTGTTACTGAAACATAGGGAACTTAAAGGAAAATACATGGACAGATCATTAAAATGCACACATAAATTTTCATATTGTCAAATAGAAAAATAATACAGGTTAATTAATCCAGGTGATAAAAATCTTGCAGCAAAAATTCAGTTTGCATCCAATTTACTGATTCAAACATTTGTTACTACATATGGTTTTAGATATTTCAAGATATTTGATTTGATATTTACACCTGACAGTGTGTGACTCTTCCATACGGCTGTTTTTTTTTTTTTATTATACATAGTATTTAAGTTATATAGTACCAGTGGTAGAAGTTTTCATTTCAAGTGCTAAGAATACATTCTTTTACGTATACATACATATATACACACATGCATACACACACACACACTCACAAGAAACACAAACTCACACAAGCTTTAAAGGTTAGAATAAGCCTTCAAGACCAAAAAATAATAGCCCTATCAGCCTAAATACATATTGAGGAGATATGGTAGCAAAATACAGAATTTCTTATGTAGGCTATTCTATGTAAAGGACATAATTTTTAACTCTATTCCTCATATTTTTGACAGAGATGACAAAAACTAATTCAGATTTGTTCCGATTCCTACAAATCAGCTACTAATACCTAACTATCACCCTCTTCTTGCTTTCTATCTCTTGGAGAAGCAAATATGATTAATATGACTCTTGTTTAGATTATACAAAGAGTAAGAGGCTCAAGTTTGTGTGAAAAGTCTATAGAAATGGTAAAATAAACAGAGAAGCTGAGATTGTCTGGTTAAGGCCTAGAGATAAATGCAGCACCTTCCCAACAGAATAATATTTTCTGTTTTTTTGTTTGTCTTCTTGGTTCCATGCCCAGAGACAAAAAGACTGACAGTCTTTGACTATGCAGCAATGGCAAGAAAAGTGTTTGAAAAGAGCCATACAGTTAGCAGAAACATGACCAAAGAACTAAAAAAAAAAAAAAAAAAAGGAAAAAGTAATGTCTTTAAGGTCTCAATGAAATAGCCCATCCAAACTGGCAGATAGGTTTGGATTACTTATGACACAAATGTTGAAGAATGAATTTCTTTTGGAAAAATGCCTATGCAGAATTCAACCCCCATGTGCTTAGTAATTGGGACCTTCATAACAAGGAAATTAGCCTCCCAATTCTTAAATGTAAGACATCAGGGGAAGTGCCTCAGCAGGAGATGATATGTATCATATATATCAAAAGGGATAGATAGATAGGTAGATGGCTCAATGATAGCTAGCTACAGGTCTCTGTTTCTTTACTGAAAAATGTAATTCCAACTCAACATATTTCTTGGAAAAACAAAAATTCTCAAACTTCAGACATCTCAAGTTATATAATGTGAAACACTCTTCTTTGCTTGATGGCTATTGAAGAAATATTTGTACCAGATATTTCACGATGAGTAAATGACAAAATGGCAGTTTAAGGGCTAGCCACTCTTTATACAGAAATTTACACAAACAAATGAATCCAAGTTGATTTACATTAAAAAATGGATTGGTATTGCAAGGGTCAAGACCAACTTCAAATTTAACCAGGCAAAGCATTAGTTTCTGATTTCTTTTGTAGAGCCTTGACTTTTCTATGGTGACAGAAGATGTAGATCTTGGGAGAAGCAGATTGCATTGCTTCACAAATGAGTCACTCATACTGCAACAAGCATCTCTTCGCTTAATGGCAATATTTCATCTCTGCTTTAAATGACAATAGTTGAGATTATTATGTTTGTTTTTAGCAAACCCATAAAGAAGAAAAATTAAACCCAAAGAGTAAATGGAGCAAAGATCATAACTGAAATGAAATTTTAAAGAGGTGGGCAGGAGTTAGAAGGACAGTGTTTTTGCATATAGTCCCTTCCAATATGACCCTGAATAAATACAAACAATAGCTGAAATTGAGTTTGAACCTATGCGGATAATAACCATGGAAAAGGGGATTTTCTCAAAGGTTGTCTCCAGATGCTCTTATTTGCAAGTGGTATGGCCCAATGCTACAGAATTTGCTATTGGAATCTGACGTATGTACAAATGTCTTACATAAAATTGATTAGTTAAATCAGGATATATGGAAGATGCTAACTACTTTCCTGGCTCTGTTTTGATACATTCTTGGTAATACGTTGCCTAACAAATGCTTCAGAGTAATGTTAACAGTCATGTAACTCATTTTGTGTGATATATAATAAAGTTCTAACTTTAAGCAATACATTTTATAGTTATATTTTTGATGATTAATTAAATAGAATCTTTAATAACATCCATTTTTCCTAGGCACATTTTTGCCTTTTTCTTCATTAGCATGTGATGTATAGTATTTACCCTAAATTAATATGTAGCAAAAAGGATGTATTTATTCATAAACACATTTTTAATAACACATATAATGTTTGGCTTTGGATCTATTGCATATTAAGAAGATAGGCTATTATTTAATTATGCTAAAATTATACATAGCCAAAAAAGTTTCCAATATCCAATCTTTAAATGTATTTCACTTTATATTTTAAAGTAATCAACTGACTAATCTGATTATATTGTACCCTTTTCTAGATAAAATTATGGAAGAAACTTCAACATATTAATTGCAAGTACTGTTCCATAAAAATACTTTGCATGTATTTATTTGTATTGCTATGTTGTCATGTTCATATCTAATAGCATTCTGTCTTTTTTTTTTTTTTTTTTGAGACAGAGTCTCGCTCTGTCACCCAGGCTGGAGTGCAGTGGCGCAATCTCAGCTCACTGTGAGCTCCGCCTCCCGGGTTCATGCCATTCTCCTGCCTCAGCCTCCTGAGTAGCTGGGACCACAGGCGCCTGTCACCATGCCCAGCTAATTTTTTATATTTTAAGTAGAGATGAGGTTTCACCATGTTAGCTAGGATGGTCTCGATCTCCTGACCTCATGATCTGCCCGCCTCGGCCTCCCAAAGTGCTGGGATTACAGGCATGAGCCACATCACCTGGCCATAGCATTCTCTTTACTTGCGCAGTGTAGCCTATCTACTCTTGTTTAACCCATGTTCATTTCACCAGAAATTTCTCCTTTTATCATCAATATTTTACCATCCATTTGATCATTCCTATTAGCATACAAATATACTATCCTTTCTCCTTAAAAAAAAAAAAAAATTAGGCCAGGCATGGTGGTTTACACCTGTAATCTCAGCACTTTGGTAGGCTGGGGCTGGGGGATTCCTTGAGACCAGGAATTTGAGACCAGCCTGGGCAACATAATGAGATCCTTGTCTCTAAAACAAACAAACAAACAAACAAACAAACAAAAAAGCAAACCAAAGTTGTTCAGACTTCACTGTCCCTACCAACTACTTCTTATTCTGTTTCTCTTTATAGCAAAATACCTAGAAAGAGATATTTTATTTCCTTTGCTCAAACATGCTTGTATAACTACTCTGATTATGTTTTATATCTCATCACCCCATTAGGAACACTGCCATCATTTTCACCATCGAAGTGATCAAAGCCAATTTATTTGACCTGTAGCAGCATTTTAAGTAGTTGATCATACCCTTTCTCCTTTATATACTTTTCCATGTGTCTTCCAACTATTCCCCTTTGGTATTCCTTCTACCTCAATGGTCATTCCATCATTGGCTTCTTTGCTGATTCTCCTCCCCAGTCCCTAAATTCAAGTATCAATCTTTAGTGCTCTTCTCTTCTTTGTTTATACTCATTCTCTTGGAGGTATCATCTATTCTCATATATTTAAACATTAGTATATGCCAAAGACTTCTAAAATGATATTTCTCACCCATAATTCTCTACCAGATTGAATTTCTGTAAATCCCATTGTCTACTTCTCATCTCTGCTGGATGTCTAATAGACATACTTCAACATACTTCAAAATGAATTCTTTTTTTTTTTTTTTTTTTGAGATGGAGTCTCACTCTGTTGCCTAGGCTGGAGTGCAGTGGCTCAATCTCGGCTCACTGCAACCTCCACTTCCTCGGTTCAAGCAATTCTCCTGCCTCAGCCTCCTAAGTAGCTGGGGTTACAGGCACACACCACCACACCCAGCTATTTTTTGTATTTTTAGTAAAGATGGTTTCACTATTTTGGTCAGGCTGGTCTCGAACTCCTGACCTTGTGATCCGCCCACCTCGGCCTCCCAAAGTGCTGGGATTACAGGCGTGAGCCACTGTGCCCAGCTCAAAATGAATTCATAATAACCCCTTCCAAAATCTGTTCCAACCATAGTCCCCCCACCCAAACCATTTTTCCAGCACTCAAGCAGAGATCGTTGGAGTCATCCCTGAGTCATCATTTTCTCTAACAATCCCACACCCACTCTTCAGAAAATTCTGTTGTTTAAAATCCAAATATTTCTAGCACTTCCACTGCTACTTTCAAAATTTATTTCCAAGATTACTTCAATGTCATCTCAACTGACCCGTGTACTTATATTTTTGTTTATTAGTGTCTATTCTCAATACAAGAGCCAGATTTTGTTAGGAAACACTCTCAGAATCCATACCTATGGTGGCTGGGAGGAGGGAAGGAAGCATTTTTGGGGAAAAGGTGAAGCTGGGCTGTAATTGAGTTTCAGAAAAGGTCAATGAACCCTGAAGGAATCTTTGAAGTTATAATGGCTCTTTTAAATTGTTCCATGGCTGTGGATCACCTGAGGTCGAGGTCGGGAGTTCGAGATGAGCCTGACCAACATGGAGAAACTCCACCTCTACTAAAAATACAAAACTAGCCAGGCATGGTGGCTCATTCCTGTAATCCCAGCTACTTGGGAGGCTGAGGCAGGAGAATCACTTGAACCCAGGAGGCGGAGGTTGTGGTGAGCCAAGATCACTCCATTGCATTCCAGCCTGGGCAACAAGAGCAAAACTCTGTCTCAAAAAAAAAAAAAATTGTCCCAAGGTTGTAAGGAGTGGCAAGGCTTTTATGGCTTTTATTTCCCTATCAACCATTTAACGCATATAGTCTGCCCCCAGAGACAGAGAGTTTGGGTGAATAGACTCTCTTTAGCTGACAGCAAATAATAGGAATGCTTGATAGCTGAAAGCTACCAGGTAGCAGCACTGCCAGAACCATTTAATGCATATAGTCCGCCCCCAGAGACAGAGTAAGAGTTTGGGTGAATAGACTCTCTTCAGCTGAAAGCAAACAACCAGAATGCTTGATAGCTAAAAGCTACCAGGTAGCAGCACTGCCAGAAGCTGTAGAATAAGTCCTTTAATTCTGATAGACAGTGTAGTTGGAACATCACAGTATCCACTACACAACCAGTTGAAAATCACTGGTCCTTAAAGAAATCATTAGGGGGTTAATTAGGTGGCATTTTTGTCTTAGTTCTTTTAAATTGAGAGTAGAATATTACTAGGGTAGTTGTCTCTCTGACAAAATATAAATTCCATCTCTTCCAGTGAGCTTTATACAAAACCAGAGAGACAAATATAACGAAGGTACAAGCATTAGGTAATATGCTCATTCCAAAGAGGAGAAATTGGCCAAAATGAAAGGTTCTATGGGCCCCAGGCTGTATAGTCATTAAATCTTAAAGCTTCACAGTAATCACCTTTGAATCCATGTCCCACATCTGGGTCAAACTGGTATGAGAATTGGCTCCTAAAGCCTTGGGAAGCTCTGCCTCTCTGGTTTTGCAAGGTTCAGCTTCTGCAGCTGCTCCCACTGGCTGCTGTTGGGTTCCTAAGGCTTTTCCAAGTGTAGGGTAGAAGATGTTGGTAGATCTACAGTTCTGGGATCTGGAGTACTGTTGCCCTCTTCTCATAACTCCACTATGCAATGCTCCAGTGGGGGCTCTGTGTAGGGTCTGCTCCCCCACATTTCCCCTGCACACTGCCCTAGTAGAGGTTTTCAATGAGGACTTTGCCCCTGCAGCAGGCCTCTGCCTGGAAACCCAGGCTTTTCTATATATCCTCTGAAATCTAGGCAGAAGCTACCAAGCCTTAACTCTTATACTCTGTGCACCCACAGTCTTAACACTACATAGAAGCTCCCAAGGCTTATGGCTTGCATTCTCTGCAGAAGCAGCTTGAGTTGTATCTGGTGCCCTTTGGGCTCATGCTAAAGCCAGAGCAGCTGGGATGTGGGGAGCAGTGTCTTGAGGCTGCACAGGCTAATGGGGCCCTGGTCTGGCCAACACAACTATTCTATTCTCCTAGACCTCCAGATCTATGATGGGAGGGGCTGCTGCAAATGTCTCCAAAATGCCTTCAAGGCCTTTTCTCCACTGTCTTGGCTATTAACACTTGGCTCCTTTTCATTTATGCAAATTTCTGCAGCCTGCTTAAATTCCCCCCTGGAAAATGGTGGGGTTTTTTTTCTACCACATGGCCAAGCTACAAATTTTCCAAACTTACACATTCTACTTCCCTTTTAAATATAAGTTTCAGTTTTAAGTCATTTATTTGCTCACACATATGAGCATAAGCTGTTGGAGCAGGCAGGCTACATCTTGAAAGCTTTGCTGCTTAGAAATCTCTTCTACCAGATACCCTAAATCATAATTCTCAAGTTCAAAGTTCCACAGATCCCTAAGGCAAGGGAACAATGAACCCAAACCCTTTGCTAAGGCATAACAAAAGTGACCTTTGCTCCAGTTACCAATAAATTCCTCATTTGCATCTGAGACCTTCTCAGCTTTGCCTTAACCATCCATGTCACTATCAACATTTTGGTCACAGCCATACTACCAGTCTCAAGGAAGTTCTAAAATTTCCCTCCTCTTCCTGTCTTCTTCTGAGCCCTCGAAACCCTTACAACCTTTTCTTGTTACCCAATTCCAAAGTTGCTTCCACATTTTCAGGCATCTTTATACCAATGCCCTACTCCTTGACACCAATTTCCTGAATTTGTCTGGCCTCACATTGCTATAAAGTAAGGCCTGAGACTGGATACTGTATAAGAAAAGAACTTTATTCAGCTCACAGTTCTGCAGGATGTACAGGAAACATGGTGGCGTATGCTTGTGAGGAGGCCTCAAGGAACTTTTACTCATGGTTGAAGGCAAAACGGGAGCAGGCAGTTTACATGGTTGAAGAAGGAGCAATAGAGAGTGAGGGGGAAGGTACCATTCACTCTTAGACAGACAAATCTCATGAGAATTCACTATCACAAGAACGGCACCAGGGGGTTTGTGCTAAACCATTGCTGAGAAACCACCCCCATAATTTAATCACTTCCCACCTGTCCCCACCTCCAGCATTGGGGATGGCAATTTGACATGAGATTTGGTAGGGAAACAGATCCAAACCATACCAGCTATCTTGGACCTAACCAGTCTCAGCTAGTCTGAATACAGAGAAAACTTCTTACAGCAAATATCCAGTTTTTTAAAGATAAGCAGAGTTAGTGTTGAGTAGAAATTCAGGTATGTCATGTAGTCATTACACTGGGTAACAAATACCCCCTTTTCTTATATTCACTCGTTTAGAGGTTCAAACGAGCCAAGGTTCATCTTCTATAACTTCTTCAAGCTGAATTTAGATGTTGATATGTCCCCTGAGAAGTGAAATTCTTCTGTAGCTAGTCTTAGGTAGGTCTGGTTATCTTCTGGGTGTGAGCCTAGCTGTTTATATCACTGAGTAACTGTTTTCTGTAGTTTTATGGCCTCTATTTGTTTAGACACAAATAAGAGCGACAGTTTAGGAGACAGGGCCCCAAAATCAAGAGAAGTATAATAGCAGCTAAAGGGCCCAGGAAGAATAAGAACTAAGTGAGATTAGGGATGGCTTATTTTATGTTTTTATATTCCTTGAGGGTCTGTGTCCTTTTGGTTAATTGGTGGAACCACTTGGCCTGGTTGTAGATTATTTTAACGTCTTTTTGAATTAATCCTGAATTATTTACCCAAGTACAAGAGGAAGACTTGGTGACTATACACACCTCACCTTGTTTTGACAAGTAATCAAGAGCCAGACAGTTACCAAGCACAATATTGGCTAATTAGACTAGGGAGAATTCAGGTAAGGGGATCATCGTTCGCATCAGCTCGCATTTCCGTAACGTTGTGAGGTTGCAGAGGGTAACCTCATGGTAGGCAAACCTTCCCCAGGGGTTTAGGAGACTGCGTATTATCCTGGTGGAAGCTAGAATAAGCCTAATCACCCTTTTATTCCTTGGGCAAAAGGAGGACAGGAAACAAAGATTTTGACTTCTCTGGGGATTAGGTGCCATAGGGTGCAATCTCTTTGAGGTCATGTGTTTTCCAAACAGGGGTAGGCTCTGGATGCAACAAGGTTACTCCCAAAGCAAAAATGAGAATACATATAAGAGGGCAAGTAAACTAAGTCCTGACAGAAAGTATATGCAGGCCCAGGGTTGAGGGTTTTAGTCCTCAAACACATCAATAATTTTAGATCTGAGAGTGGTTCAACTCAGTAGAAGGGATTTTCTTCCTTAGGTTCAAGCAGCTGCCATTAGCTGGGTATGTCCTATAAATGAAGACTGCAGTCTCCAGGTGGCATGTAGATGCCATTTTATTCCTAGACCCTCAGAAGTAGCCTTGGTAATGGAACATGTGAATGCTATTCCAATATTTCTTTGAATTGACTCAGGCAGCCTGAATCTGAGGACAATTTTTCTTCAGTAGCAACTTTACCATCTCATGTGCAATCTCAGTGTGGGTGGCAAAGTCTTTTACCCATCCTGAAAAAAGTGTCAGTGAGAACCAGGAGGTATTTAAAGGTTTTTAAGGCTCTGGGTGTATCTGTGAAATAAATTTACCAATCTTCCCCTAGGCGTTTATGTTGGTACTTCACCAGCTGAGAGCTCCCTTTTGCCTCCCCCACCCAACTCTGCTGGGTGCTTATTAGAATTTTTAACATAGCATGTGGGGAAAATCTCAACTAGCTCCTTGTCTAGCTTCCTGAACTTTGGGGCCATCATGCTCTTGAAAAGCCAGTTATGAAGGGCCTCATGACCAAAGTGAGTGCTAGAATGAGCTTCTCTAATGGCCTGTAATGTAACTTCTTTTGGGAAAATAAGTTGTTCATGAGGACTTATTAGCTCTCCTGGATGATTCAGAATGTCAGGTATATTCCAATTTGGAGGACTTTTTCCATTTTTTTAAAGAGTAAACCAGGGTTTTTTGTTTTGTTTTGCTTTAAAACAAGGAGGAGGATTCAAGAGGGAAAGCAAAAAGTGGCATTTGAAGGGTAACTTTCTTAAAGCTGCTTGTTTTGGCATTAGATTGGCTTTATTATTTTCTTTAATTACCTTAGTTTCCCCCTTCTGGTGGCCATGGCCATGAACTGTTGCCAGCTGGGCTAAATTTCTTACAGTTTGCAATAACTTTGTAACTGGAGAGCCTTGCCTGGAGATAGTCATTCTACTCCTGTTTCTCTTATGAGGGTCTGGGTATGGTGGAGAGTTCAGATGGTTGGGGGTTGTCCAAAGGTTAACTTCTCTCTTTTCAAAGGAGGGCCATGGCTGCCCTCAACCAAAGGCAGGGTGGCCAGCATTTAGCAACTGGGTCCAACTGCATGAAAAAGTAGGATACTACGTGGGTCAGTGGGCCCAACCTTTAAGTTAGTACTCCTAAGGCTTTTCCCTTTTCATGAACATAAAGATAGAAAGATTTATTTAAGTTGGGTAGGCTTAAAGCTGAGGCCCTTGTGAGCTAGGTTTTAAGTTTGGGCAATGCTTGGTTACATTTTTTCATTCATTTAAAAGGGTCTGTGCTCTTTTAATTGTTTTTATAGAGGATGGGCAATGAGGCCAAAGCTAGCAATTCAGAGGATGCCAAATCCTGCCATGCCCAGAAACCCTTGTAGTTGTTTCCAGGTCTTTGGTTGCTGTAGTTAGCATGTTACTTCCCATCTCCCTTGGAACTAACTTTGTTATTCTTCTTCTAGGAGTAACTACAGATAGGTTACTTGTTGCTGAGATATTTGTGCTTTTGGCGGGAAATCTTAGAACTCCTTTCTCTCAGGAAGTTAAAGGCTAATGGGTATTTTGATCTTAAATTTTTTAGAAGGGCTGGCAACAAGGATGTTATCCACATACTGGAAGAGGGTTCCTTGTTCAAGAGTCAGTTCCTCTAGGCCTCTCCAAATATTGTGGGGGCTGGGTATAGGGTTTGAACTCTTGAGATGACATAGTCCACGTTAGCTGCTGGGTTTTTCACCTGTCTGGGGAATCCTGCCATTTTGTTGAGTAAGTATACCCCTGGGTGTGTTCAAAACAGAGTAGGTGGTCCCTGTCCCAACCAAGGAGCCAACAGGCTTGTCCCCTATGTCCAGTGTCAGTCAGGACACCTTGAAGGATACCTAGAGTGCCGATTGAGGAGCCCCTAGGACCTGTAGACTTTTTTTTTCTACTTAAACCATCTGCTACTGTGAAACACCTGGGTGGGACATTCACCCTTCCCCCTCCTTTCAGATGGGTCCCTTTTCCAGTGACCCTCTTCCTTACAGAAGGCACATTGGTTTGGTCCTAGTCTCTTCGGTCTTTGGAATCTTTTCTACTGGTTAGAGGACCAGCAGTAACTCACTGGAGCTGTGATTTTCCATGGATAGGTAACAGCCAGTAGTTGGGATTGCTTTTTGGCCTCTCTTTCTTCTTTATGCTCCTCCTCCCCTTCTTTCTTGGTTGTTGAACGCCTTATTGCCTAGGTATATTAGTCTTAAGATGGGAGCATTGAGCTCTAATTTTACCTTTTAGAGTTTATAGCTAATGTCTGATGTCCTCTGGGAGACAAATAGATTTCAGAACTGCCTCTCTCCCTCTGCTGAATCAGGAGTAAGAGCAGTATACAACTTCATATTTTCCCCTCAACCTCTCTGGGAAGATATATAGAGTTTTCTGGGGTTGTTGATTAATTTTTCTTAGCTTACTCCAATTAGTGGGTCTTTCTTCTGTGGCCTTATTCCCTTTAACATTAATGTTTCATCATGCCTGAATCTTGCCTTTTTCATTCCTGTCTCAGGATCCTAAAGGGGTCAAGGTCTGTCACAACCTCATTCTCTGGTCTCTTAACAGGATTTTTTATCTTGTCTCTGTGGGCTCTGTCCATTTCCTCCCTAGCACTTCTGATAACCGAGGATTTTATTTTTTAATTTTTCATCCAGTGAGGAGAATGTTCAAAAGGGACTGGACATCTGCTCAATTAGGGTTATAGGTCTGAAAAATACTCTGAATGAGGTTTTGAATCCCCAGGATTTTTTCCTAATCATCTAGAATGTGACTTCTAGTTGTAAATATCTGAAGTTGTGAAGAGAACATGTACAATAACCATCCCTCTTCCCATTGGTGACCTGCCAGAGGTCATCATAGAGGAAGGCTGCTAAGATGCCTTGCACTGGGTACTGTCCGGGTTGACTATCTGAAAGGAATCAATGGGTGATTGGTGGCAATGAGGTGGGTTGCCTGCAGAAGCCACTGGGGATAAGGGAGCTGTAGGTCTAAGATTATAGAATTAAAAAACAAACCTCTTATAATTTTATTAAGAGTAAATTAATACCTTAGAAAAATCTTATTTTAACATAGATGACCAATCTTAGAAAGACTGTTATAGGTAATTTCTTTTTAATTGTAGGCAATTAAATCACATACAAAATTTCTTTTATAAATTTGTTTTCCCACAATCTTTATTGGGACTTAGACCATGAACAACATATTGATTTGTTTGTACTACTTCTTTTAAAATAATAAGTCATTTTACTTTAGGACAAAAATTTACCGTGTAAGATCTTCTCTCATACAAAATTATTTTCTTCTTTTTATAACCTTCCTTATCAAAAATATCTCTCTATATATATAATCCTTTTACTTCTCTGTCTCTCTCTCTCTGACTTACTGTTTTTAATCTTGTGTTATAAATAACTTCTAAATAATCTCCAAATTACAAAATAATATATATATATATATTTTTTTTTTCTCAATAAGAACACAACTTACCTGATCTGGGTTTAAGATGGTGATGCCCATATTAAACACCTACTAAGGCAGCTTCCTATCCTTTCTCTCTTCTGAAGTACAAATGGAGTTCAGGTTCCCCTCCAGACTCTTTCACCAAAGCTCCTTCTGAGAAAGATTCTTTGCCCCCAGTTCCCATTTCACTATATGAGAATGAACCCTGGAAATATCTGGAATCAGAAGAATACCAAGAACCATAGGGTTCTCATCCCAACTGGGTGGACTATTGCCACTACTACAAGGGTGATATACCCCCACAGCAGACTCAAAAGACATGTATGCATAGGAAAACAGTCGCTGGGAATCCCTGCCCCATCTGCCAAGGTCACAAGTTGCATGTTGACTTTAGGAATGTTAAGCTCTTGGAACAGTTTGTCAGTGCCCACACGGGTATTATCTTCCACGCTCCATACACAGGAGTCTGTATGAAGCAGCACAAGATGTTGACCCATGCCATCCAGAAAGCCAGGGATCATGGTCTCCTCAGTTACCACATCTCCCAAGTTGAACCCCGGGACCTTGATTTTAGTGCCTCTCATGGAGCTATGAGTACTTCTCTGCCAGTCCCCACCCTCGTCTCAGGTGAACCCTGGTACCTATGGTACAGCTGGAAACAGCCATCAGAGAAAGAACTGTCTCACCTTTGCCAGCTCTATCAGGATTATCTCTAAGAAGAGAGTGGCCCCCGCACCTGAGTCAATGCCCAAGATGCTTCCCACAACACCAGTGGAAGCCTCCTTCACTGAAGAGACAGGCCCCTAGAGTGCTCTGGAGTCATAGACTGGGAAGAGAGGCTGGGCCCAGAGGCTTATACCTGTAATAAGAGCACCAGTCTGAGGTGGGCAGATTGCTTGAGCCCAGGAGTTCAAGACCAGCCTGGACAACAAGGCAAAACCCTGTCTCTACCAAAAATTACAAAAATTAGCATGGTGGCTTGTGCCTGTAGTCCCAGGTACTTGGGAGACTGAGGTGGGAGGATGGCTTGACCCCTAGAGATGAAAGTTATAGTGAGCCAAGATCATGCCACTGCACTCCAGCCTGGTGACAGAGCAAGACCCCCTCAAAAAAAAAAATGTTTAAGAAAAAAAAAATACTGGGAAGAGACCCAGAGGGACTAGGAGGTAATGCCTAGATTTATATGATGGGATAGCACCCAGAAGAGTTATGTCTTTTATGGCCAAGGCAGATCCAGGAAAGAAATGAGTGTGCTGATAGGGATAAATCTGAAGCTGAGAGAGGGCAGTACAGAAGTGTATGGAAAACCCCAGCTCCTGTATATTGTAAATACATGGGCTGGGCTAAACCTTTTGCTGCTGTTTCAGAATTCTGCTACCTCAGCTTTTCTACAATTAAACTCTATCTCTAGTCAACAAAAATACCTCACAACTTACAGAAGTATATATTAATTAAAATTCTTATTCTTAGTTGCCTCAAATTTTAGTAAAAACCTGAGAAGCAAGAAATCCTGAATGGTTTTTAGATGTCAGCATTTTATAGGTGAAACCATTCCACGGTTTTTAGAAACATGTTTTTTCGTATTATAATCCCTTTTCATTGGAAATGACCCAGACATCTAGCAGGCATTGACTATTGAATTTAGAATAACTTTAAGATTTTAAATTACACAAAAAGCTTACCTACAAGTATTTATCCCTTTTATATGTATTTAATTCTTTCATTTTTAAGAGTTTATCTAGATTACTTTTGAAAACACACATATTAGAGAAAGCTAGTTATCATTTCAACTTAATTTGTTATTAACCATTTTTATAGCCTGTGAATATCAGGTGTTTACCTAAGAATGAAACTTAAAGTTAAATACATAGCTATTTTTGCCACTAACAAACAAGAATTTGCTGTTTTTATTGAACCAGCAATATTAAGTTAGTCTTATCTGTCAAACAAATTACACAAGATTATTTTTGGCTGGGTTTATAGTCTAACAGCATTTGTGCCAAACCCTGACATCTTAATCAGTAAACTCAGATAAGAATGTATGCTAATAATTTTCAAGGCTTTTTAATTTCAATTTTATTAAAAAAATAAAAGTTTTTATTTATCAAAAATTACTAAATTCATGTAAACTCAAAGAATATTTGGGCTTTTAAAATTTATGAGTATTCATTTACTTAGAAGCCATTTGGTAGCATGCTAGACATACCACATAGCATAGTACAAATGTATACACTTAAATACATTTAAGCATGTATACACACACACACACACACACACAAACATACCCTCACACAAGATCCAATGGCTTTTACCTTGAAATTTTAGCCATGAGATAGTAATATAAATTACCCATTTTAGAAAATATAGCTGAATCTAATTTTTTAAACAAAATTGGAACCTATTGACCTGGCTAAACTTTGTTTCCCCAGTACGTAATCCGAGGAAGGCTATGAATGAAAATTTGGGGAAAGTATTTTCTATGGCAGTTTATTTTAAAAACCCTGTTTTACTTTTTTGTTTTTTTCAGTCTCAAATGAGTTTCTAATGTTTTCATTTCAGTTAGACCATAAATAATGAGTCTTATCTCAGCACCAGCAGCTTAGTAACACCAGATTCAAAGCAGACAGAGGAGAAAAGAGAGGAAAACATAGAGCTTTAGAAGACTCTACTTAACCCTAAAGTTGCAGGTTAACCATTTGAACTCTAGATTTTCCTTATTGTGCACAAAACCAATATTGACCATTGTACCCAGCTGTCTCTGGTGCCTTCCTGAAGGCCAGCCAGGTGTCTCTGACACCCCGTCTCAGAGGGTCTCCCCTAGGCACTTTAGCCTCAGAATGGAGATTTCTTCTAATCCCTCAAAAGTGTTCCCTTCACCTCTCAGTCTCTGTATCATCCTCCTCAAATGCTCTGGTTCCTCTCACACTTTAGAGAACTCCCACAGGGCCCTCTACTGAGGATGGGACCATGGTCTGGTGCAGGGCATCCTTGTGCACAGCCCTGATTTTGGGTGAGCATACCCACTGTGCTTAGCTTAGGGGGCCCTTCCCAGTACAGCTAGATAACCTTTGCCTGCCTGCTTATGATCTTACAACAATGATGTGTTACCTTCCCCAGAGCTGATCCCTGCACGGAAAGTCAAGACAAATGTGTGTTCATTACCAACTGATGCTGTCAGGTGCCAATTGTAGAGTCTCTAGGGTGGTAAGGGAGATTCCCAAGCAGATAGATTGATCATCTAGCCCAGGACCCCATGCTGGGTCACTAGTTTTGTTACTGACAAAGCCAGTACCCATAAAAACGGAGTCTTTCCCTGTTTGGTGTCATGAAGCCTTGACATAAAACTGAACATGAGCATCAAGCAGTAAAGGCTTTATTCAGTGTCCATAGAATTGAGAAGCAGGAACACGGCTTACAAATCAACTTCTTGACGAGTGAGGGATGAATGGTTTAAAATATATAATTTTTTTTTCTAATAAATGGGTTGAACATTAAAAGCGAGGGGAGTAATCCCTGTCTTTTCGGGCAAGGGCAGTGAACTTCCCAGAACCAGTAGTATCACCTTCCTTTTGGTCCTTTTATGACTTCTTCCAGTCATTGTCATGGCAATTGCTAACTGTCATGGTGCTGGTGGGAGTCCCATTTAGCAAGGAAATTAGATTATAATGAAGCTTGAGATCTTTTAAAAGTCATTTGATCAGCTATCTTGGTTCTAACCAGTCTCAACTGGTCTGATTACAAAAGGAATTTTTTTACAGCAGGCATCCTGATTTTTAAGGATAAGCAGAGTTAGGGTGGGGCAGAAATTCAGCTCTATCATGTAGTGATTACACTGGGTAACAGTAGGTCTCCTAAGGCATCAACTATATGATATGAAGTTAGTCACTTCAGTGGCTTCAGAAAAGTTTCCTTAGTACCAGGTATTTTCTACATTGCTTCTTTCTGCATGAAATTAGTTCTAAAAGTAGTTGTTAATTTCTTTAGCCTATATAATATTTTTTGCCTAAAATACATGCACCCTGAAAAAGAAAAACTGTCAACTTTTTTGGTCATTACAGCTTGTTTGTTTTCCAAAATAATCAACCTTCAATAAACCTTCCCGAGCGGAGAGATTGACCATCTAGCCCAGGGCCCCACGCTGGGTCACTAGTTTTGTTGGCTCATTAAATGCCAGATGTGGTATGAGGCTGCAGGCTTATCAAGGTGAATAAAGTACTGAACATGTATGATCTCAAGAAAGTCTGCAATTCAGAAACGTCAGAAAATAAACAGATTATTTTAATGCAACTTGACATGTGCATTGACAGAGATTTGCCCAGGGTCCTGGTTGAAGGTCACCAGAGAGGAATCCTGAAATACAATTAGGGTTAATCTGTTGAAGGCAAAAGGTGGATATACTGTTTCAGACAGAAAGAGCTATGTCTACAATGGGTAAGAGGTTAGAAAGAGCGCAAAACACACTGGAAATTGCAGGGGACAATAGGCCTGGGACAGGGAGTCTGAGGGAGACAGGAAGAGGCCAGAGGGAGGTTGGGGCCATAGGCAGTGAGAAGTATGATCATATTATATTTATAAAATCATTTTTCCAAATCAGAATTCCTTCAGTAGGATAGAGAGTTTGCTTGGAAGGAATTGTAAGTTGGAACACAAGAGTCAGAAACTGTAGGAGAATTCTGTTTTTTTATTCATAGTTAACAACACATTGAAAACATCACCATTTGAATCTATGTGAATTATCCTTTCCCTAATTTCAAAGGTATCTACTGAGGACTAAGCTCTGACTTTTTTATCTTGCCCAAATTCCTATCTAAGAGGTCCAGGGAGTCATGCCCTACAAACCATAAATTCCCATCAGATGGGTTTTATTTAACCCTATATATTGTGACTTACTTTTCAATCTGACTCTGGCATAACATTATGAGACAAGGAAAAAAGTCAAAATATTTAACCCAAAATATATTCCTTTGCCATGCCTTCAAATTGCTCTGCAAAGTCTTGTGGGAAATACCCACATTCTACAGAGAATTCCCTTTCCCCTTTGTTTTCCTTCCTTCCTTTCCAGATCCAGAAGACAATCAACTAAGGGCCAGGCACCCTTTTAGGTCTGATAAGAAACATTTTACAACCTGCTCTCTCTCTGAAGTCTGCTATCTGAGAGCTTCCTCTGCACAATAAAACTTGGTCTCCACAATCCTTTATCGTAACCTAAACATTTCCTTTCTATTATTTTTTTTTTTTTTCAGATGGAGTCTCACTCTGTTACCCAGGCTGGAGCGCAGTGACATGATATCAGCTTACTGCAACCTCCGCCTCCCGTGTTCAAGTGATTTTCCCACCTCAGCCTCTTGAGTAGCTGGGATTACAGGCGCCCACCACCAAGCCCAGCTAATTTTTTGTATTTTTAGTAGAGTGGGGTTTCACCATGTTGGCCAGGCTGGTCTCCATCTCCTGACCTTGTGAATCCGCCTGCCTCGGCCTCCCAAAATGCTGGGATTACAGGCGTGAGCCACCACATCAGGCCGATTTCCTTTCTCTTGATCCCAGGTCTTCAGAACAACTCAAGCAATTGTCAAATAGAAAATGTTTAAATTTACCTATAGCCTGGAAGCCCCGGCTTTGAGTTGTCCCGCCTTTCTGAACGAAACCAATGTATTTTTAAAATGAGTTTGATTGATTGATTGATGTCTCATGCCTTCCTAAAATGTATAAAACCAAGCTGTACCCCGACCACCTTGGGAACATACTTTCAGCACCTCCTGAAGGTTGTGTCATGGGCCATAGTCACTCTTTTTTGGCCCAGAATAAATCTCCTAAATTATTTTACAGAGTTTGACTCTTTTCATCAACACTGCAAGTAATATTAAATCATTTTATGTGTGTGACTATAGATTATACAGAGAATCCACTGAAAGATACAAGTCTTCTTCTTCTATAAAAGTGTATGTATGTATCTATATGAAACTGTGTATACTTAATTTCAAGGTGTTCATAGTTTTCCTGAAGCCCATTCATAGTTGCTTTAGGGAATTGAATTAAGAATCTTAAATCTAGTACTTATGTATCAATTTGAAATAAGTATGTTTGTCCCCTTCCCCTAAACCCACCAGTACACAACAATAATTTTTGTTTCCAATTCATTCATCTAGTGACCAGAAACATGAAGTACTACATTACTTGGCTTCTGGGCAGGACCAGATGTATATCACTCTGGTTACATAATCCCTTATCTATGAGTGTATAAACTTCCAGGGAGTAGTACCTTTCCTTATGTCCATTATAAATCACTCAGATGGTATTATAGCCCTATTTCCTTCTGTTTCATTCTCACTGGAGTTAGAGGCCAAATGTGAACACAGCTTAAAGAGTCATTTTGCAGGAGTAAGTGTAGGTGCTTGAAGCAGGGGCCCCATCATTTATGGTTACAAGATGTCACAATAACTTTATTAAGGGAATAGATGTTTATCCATGTTCTTAGTGAAGCTCAATTAAAAAACTACACCTACCCTTCGGATGTTTCCCTCTATTGAGCCCTTGAAACAGCTGTCTTTGGCTTTAGAGTACAGTGGAAATCTTTTGTTAAAAAGTGAGAAAAGTGGAGAGTTTTATTTTTTCATTTATTTCTGCTCTGCCACTTCTATATGCCTTCCAATGTAAGCTTAATTCACACAGCAGGTGCATACTCATTTGATTGAATGACTATTTTTTAAACAAAGCCTGGCACATAATTATAAAGCCTCTAGTTAACATAAAAGTTAATATATATTTTCCATACCTTTCAAGTTGGAAAAATACAAATTCCATGCCAAATATTTTAATCACCTAAATGTGGATCTACAGTGATAAAAATGAAAGCCACTTAAGAAGTGTCCTGATCTGCACACAACCTTACATATTCCTCAGTGAAAGGCAGGCTGAAAAGCTTTGTGATACACAGGAGGTAGGCATTTTTTGACAGTCATATCTGTCTGTCTGCACACCTGAGAGATTATGGAGAGATAGTTCATTGTGAGCTTCGATTAACAGAAAATGTCCAGTGGTTGAAATCCCAGTAAAAATTATATATACATATATAGTTTGAGCCAAGTGTTTGATTATAAGAAAAATTGTCCATTAAGAGTATTTGGTGGCTGGGGGCGGTGGCTCATGCCTATAATCCCAGCACTTTGGGAGGCCAAGGTGGGGGGATCACCTGAGGTCAAGAGTTCAAGATCAGCCTGGCCAATATAGCAAAACCCTGTCTCTACTAAAAATACAAAAATTAGCCGGGCATGGTGGTGGGCACCTGTAATCCCAGCTACTCGGGAGGCTGAGGCTGGAGAATCTCTTGAACCCAGGAGGTGGAGGTTGCAGTGAGCAGAGATCACGCCATTGCACTCCAGCCTGAGTGACAAGAGTGAAACTCTGTCTCAAAAAAAGAAGAGTATTTAGTGAGTGATACTGGTGTCAATAAAACAAAAATGGTTGATGATTGTAAGATTCCTTGAAAGCCTTCTTATCTCAAACTATTTTCATCACAAGTCATATCTTCCACGTACTATAAACATTCCTTTCAGTTAGAAGGAATCCTCACAAAATACTGGAGAATTGTAACACGTAAACCTAGTTGTTAACCACATTGAGATGGATTTATTAGATTTATCAATTTCAATTATCAATTTATCAATTTTGTATCTCTTGTTTTTTTCCCCTAGGGACTTGTCTAAATTCTGAGTGATGAAGACGTTATGGTGCCAAAACATTCATTTGATGAGAAGTCAATTGGGGGTCAGTTTATTGATTGGTTAAGGTACCCCTTTATTCATCCATGTTCAACCACTTTTTAATGAGTTGTGTGACATGTTTTAGGGCACAGGAGTTACTCTACAGCTTTCATGTCATTCTAGGGCACAGAGATCTTTGTGAAGTTATCTTTAGTCCTGTAGGCCGCGTTTCACTGCATGGCCAGTTTCTCTTGAGAGTAGTGTAGCCTCCACTTGGCTGTAATTGGTAAATGAGGCAAAATTTCCTACTGATATTGAAAACTTCTGTTCTAATTTGGGATGTGTTTTCCCCCTACAGCCCACAGGGCCTTGACCTACTCTTCTACTGTACGTGATTTAAAACAAACAAACAAACAAACAAAAAAAACAGGAAAAAAGGAAACCACTGTTTTCAAGTATTGGACAGCAGAACAGGACTGTTATCTCCAAGAGAAGGGAAACAAACAAGCTCAGCCAAACAATCACCCCAAATGTTAAACTATTATTCCTGATTTAAAATGAACTGGTTAGCTTTTTAACCTTCAGTTTCTTTACTTGTGAAATAGGGATAATATTAGTGCCTACCTTATCAGATTGCTATAAGAAATTAATGAGAAAATTAAGTTTGGTGCCTAGCACAAAATAAAAGTTTAATAGATGTATCTGTTATTATCATTATTACTCTTTTAAATTATATATTATACACATAATATGTGATATATATTTATAATATATGTCAAAAGATGAAATATAACAAATTTAGCTTTAGATCAAATGGCTTTTATTCACAATTCATGCATCAGGGCAGCCTCCATTCTACGAAATAGAATTAGCTTCTATTTGGCAATGGCAGAACAGTAAGGCAGAGTGGACTTCCTTATTGTGCTGATATAGGTAGACTGGAATATCCTATTTTCAGGAAAAAAAACTGGTTTGTTTTAGGATCTATCTGCTTTCTTAAAGTCTCAGTTTGATTATGCAGCATGTGTCAAGAATGATTCCATTTTGGTTTAGTCTGGTCTGTTGGGGCCTAGTGCAGGTGCTCAGTCCAGTACAGTGACCTCCCATAATTTTTGTTTGATATATATGTATTATAATAGTAATTATAATTACTTATCATTATTTTTATAAGTATCTGTTCAGGGTATCTGTATCATAGTGGTTATCCAGAAATAGTTTCCTTATATGGTAACAGTTCCCATTCCATTTACTCTTACTTAATTCAATCTCACATTTGTACTGTGGAATATATTTTGGTGAGCAAAGTTAGAGAAGTTTCTCGGGGTAAACCAGTTGGGTTAAAATATTTAAATTCCAATATCATCTAAATATGTTGGTTATCTCAAGCTTATAATAATGATAAAGTTAAATTATAAAATCATAAAGGTTGGAATAACTTTGAACCATTTTTTAGTCTATTGCTTTATCTTTGTGCAGAACATCATGTGTCTACAAAACTTTTAAAACTTACAGATAACATGAGGAAGTAGAGTTCTACCACTTCTTTCATTATCTTTATAATTTTACTTTTGCCCAACCTCTTGGACTTCCACCGGTGCTTCAGTTGTTACCATTTTCCTTACTCCTAAATTCTTGGATACCCTCACCCAAGGTATTACTACAGAAACTGAATAAAATCCAAAAAACCTTATTTGCTTTCGCTTAAATGAGACATCTTTGCTATCAGTGCACTTATTTGGTAGTTGCTGTACTGTTTTAAGAACCATTTATCCTGTTAAACGGAAAATATAACATGCAACATTCATGTCTTTGGGGAGGATGAATTACTTAGAAACACACAGTGTGCTTTCTAAAACTGCTTATTAACTGTGTAATTAAATACTAACTCCCATATATATAAATATATATACATAAATATATATACACATATATGTATATATATTTATTTTTCTTATTGTATATATGTGTATATATTATTATATATGTATATATTATTATATATGTGTATATATTATTATATATGTATATATTATATATGTATATATAATTATATATGTATATATAATTATATATGTGTGTATATATACATATATATGTGTATATATATATTTTTTTCTTTGTCTTTTTAGAGAGTCTCATTCTGTCACCCAGGCTGAAGTGCAATGGTGCAATCTTGGCTCACTGCAACCTCCACCTCCTGGGTTCAAACAATTCTCCTGCCTCAGCCTCCGGAGTAGCTGGGATTACAGGCACCTGCCACCATGCCCAGCTAATTTTTTTGTATTTTTCGTAGAGATAGGGTTTCACCATGTAGCCAGGCTGATCTCTAACTCCTGACCTCAGGTGATCCTCCTGCCTCGGCCTCCCAAAGTGCTGGGATTACAGACATGAGCCACTGCACTCGGCCCAATAATTTTTAAGTTTTGACTTGCTCACTTTAGTTGCAGTAGCTTTAAATAAAATATTGAATTGGTGTTTTCAGACGAAAGTAGCTTGGATTAGATAACTCTAGCTCATCAATCAACTTTCTGTAGTTATTTAGTATAACATAAGGAGAAAGCACTGCATTGAGAGTGAGGAAACCTTGGTTTTACTCTTGATTCTGCCACTAAAGAACTGTGGAACTTCATATATCACTTAATTACCATAAATTTGAGTTTATTTATTCATCAATTGAAGAACTGACCTCTAAGACTAATGCCTATTTCATCTTCTCTGACGCATGATTCTAAGTTGTACAGCATTTCCTACGTGAGCTGGTTAGATGTAAAAGTTCTACTTTTTTTTTTTTTTAACACACATTTGCCAGTCACTGGTGGGTGCTAAGTCTGAAAGGCCATTTATCACATATTACTGGTTTATTATAGTTACTTCTGTACATCTGTTTAAAGTGCCTACAATAAGCATTTTATAGCACTTCAACAGTGTGTTGAACATTCTGCAAAAATGAGAAGCCTTGTTTGCCAAAAGCACATTTGAGGAACTTATTGAGATAATGAAGATTATTTGGTAACCAGGGAGGAACTGTTAATTAACTCTGTAGATTAGTTGAATCTCAGATCCATCTCATGAAGATAACTTATCACAGAAAGATGCCATCGTCTAAAGTGGTGATAGTTGGGGGTCAAGGGAAAAAAGTTGATTACCTCCAAATATTTCTTACTCTGACTCTCAAGTCTGGCTCAGTTAGAATGTCATTGCATTTGGTTTAAAAGGCTTTTGCAAAATTTTGAGGTAATCAATATTTACATAGAAAAAGATAACCTCCCTTTTATATCATTAAAAATGGTAATAGTAAATATAATTTTTAAAATGTTCAAAATACTAAGCAAAATTAAGCTTTAGATCTTCTTTATTCTACCACAGCAGTCTATTAGGCAGATTTCAGACCAGGAACAGAACAAAAATTAGAGCTTTATCTCTGTCTACTGCATTGCGCTTCCAGGCCATGTTTGGTTTTTTCTTCATTATATTTCACCTGCCTCTGTGCTATCTTCAGAGCAAAAAGTTCAAGTAGAATTGAACTTCCCATACCATCTAAGAGATATGAACTCACTGTGCCATACAGACATAAAGCCTACACAAATACTGTGTGCCAGACTAATTTTTTATAAAATGACTTCCATGCCTTGGTTATCTAATGCTAGCTCTAGCACTCTCTGCTTCTTGACCTTCTCAAAGCTGCTGCCTGGACAAGGGGAAAGTGAGAGTTCCTGTGCAAGGGAAGCCATGGTTGGTTGCTCCCGCAGTGGTACACCAAATTAGCCCAGTGCTGGTCCTTGATTCCTCTCTGCTCCTGGTAACCACAAATACATCCTGGCATTGTTACCAGTGGCAAATGTCTGAGTCACAGAGCACCAAATATATTACTGGTGGAAAGTGTCCGAGTTACTAGCTGCAAATCCATATGCATCTGCAGCAACCTCAATTCTTGCCTCCTCAGAAAAAGGAATTCAACTAAAGGGCACAAGGCAGAAAACGAGAGCAAGGCAAGTTTCAGAGCAGGAATATAAGTTTATTTAGAAAGGCTTCAGAGCAGGAAAGAAAGGAAGGTATGCTTGGTAGAGACCCAAACGGGCACCAAGGTCAAGTGCAACTTTTTTTTTTTTTTTTTTTTGAGACAGAGTCTCGCACTGTCGCCCAGGATGGAGTGCAGTGGCGCGATCTCGGCTCATTGCAAGCTCCACCTCCTGGGTTCATGCCATTCTCCTGCCTCAGCCTCCTGAGTAGCTGGGACTATAGGCGCCCGCCACCACGCCCGGCAAATTTTTTTTTTTTGTATTTTTAGTAGAGATGGGGTTTCACCGTGTTAGCCAGGATGGTCTCGAACCTTGATCCTAGGACTTTATCGGCTGGCCCCTTTCCCATGATTCTTCCCTTAGGGTGGGCTGCCGCATGTGCAGTGCCCTCCTTACGCTTGGGAGGTGAGCATGCACAGTGTGCTTATGAAGTTGTATGAATGCCCACCCGAGGCTCTCTTCCCTCTACTGGTGGTGTGCCCCAGGGAGGTCATACTCTGTGGTGTCTCACTCTGTCACCCAGGCTGGAGTGCAGTGATGCGATCTTGGTTCACTGCAACCTCTGCCTCCCAGGTTCAAGTGATTCTCCTGCCTCAGCCTCCCAAGCAGCTGGGACTGCAGGTGCCCACCACAATGCCTAGTAAAGTTTTATATTTTGAGGAGAGACAGGGTTTCACCATGTTGGCCAGGCTGGCCTCAAACTCCTGACCTCAAGTTATCCACCTGCCTTGCCTTCCCAAAGCGCTGGGATTACAGGTGTGAGCCACCATGCTGGACCCTGAATTTTTATTGGAAGCCCATTTTGCTTCTCCTTGGCATCTGCATTCAGTTAACCCTCTAATGCAACAGCTGTGGAACATCAGGAGATTGTCTTTCCCTGGCTTTGTCTGCCGAATTATCATTTTTAGAGAGGCAATGCGATAATTGTTGAACCATCACTGATGATCACCTGACATTACTGGTGGGTGTGGGAAGAGCCCTCTCCTGCCCCATTCATATCTGTCTGACTACCCGAAGCAGCATAGCCAATTTTTGATGCTGATTCTGCCTTTTTTGCATCAATAATATGCTTCAGGTAATTTTAGTAGTTATTTCCTTTTTTAAATGTTTCAACTATTTTGAACTTTCAAAAATTTCTCAAAACTTGTGAGTCATTGACTTTCTTCCGTGTGTGTGCGTATATGTGTGTTTCCTTTCTTTTACTGTGACTCTAGATTTTTGCATTTGTGTTTTCTAAGCACAATTTGAGGGAAAGATACACATGCTTCTTCAAAAGTGTAAAGATGCATCTTCAAAAGAATGATTCTCTTTTACTACTTCTCCATCAACCTTCATTAATAACCTCAATCAACCTGTTTTCTTCCGAGTGAGCACACTTTCAATAATTGATTTTATTTTTCTTTTTTGAGATAGTCTCACTCTGTCGCCGAGGCTGGAGTGCAGTGGCACAATCTTGGCTCACTGCAGCCTCTACCTCCTGGGCTCAAGTGATTGTCCCACCTCAGCCTCCCAGGTAGCTGGGACTACAGGCACGTACCACCATGCCCAGATAATTTTTTGTATTTTCATCATGTAGAGACAGGGTTTCACTGTGTTTTCCAGGCTGGTCTCTAACTCCTGGGCTCAAGTGATCCTCCCACCTCAGCCTCTCAAAGTGCTTGGACTACAGGCATGAACCACTGTGCCTGGCCAATTGCAATTTATTTATAAACTATACTTGTATTATTGTTTATCACTTACATGTTTATTTGCATAACTCAATTGATATATTTTTCTTTTTGTTAATATTGCATAACTTGGATTCGTATAGAATGTACCATAATTTTCACAATATAATTAATAGAAATATACTTTTTCACCTAATAATATTTTTAATCCTAAATCATGTTTTTAAAAGCCAGTTAAATTCCCTATGTGGCCAGGCATGGTGGCTCATTCCTATAATCTCAGCACTTTGGGAGTCTGAGGTGGGAGGATTGCTTGAGACCAGGAGTTCCAGACCAGCCTGAGCAATAACAAGATCTTGTCTCTACAATTTAAAAAAAAAATTTAAAGTGAGAGATAAGTGTACATAATTTATTTCCATTGTCATTCCATATTATGTATGTATTGTTAAAATACAAATCTCTAAATGTCATAAACATGGTCAAAGATTTTACTTAGCTCATAAACTAATACAAGAAACAGTAAGATGTTAAAAATAATTAAAAACAGAATTCAAGAAATGGAGATTAAAGGAGGACAGACAACTTTACCCCCAAAACATGGTTCCCTGGTATAACGAATATTTTATATTAAAGGGCCTTAGATCAACAGACACTGGAAAATACTCCCCGCCCCCCAAGATACATGAAGACAGGAGGGACTCATCAAGGAGAACAATTGTTTTTCTTCCCCTTCCTGTTATCCCATTATCTATTGCAGAAAAGAAGACCAAGAAGGTAGCCATACCTGAACAGACTCTTTCACAAGATCATTCTAATTCCAAAAACTATTTACAAGTAAATATCAGTTCCCTAATCCATTTGCTTTTGTTAGTAATCATTTATTGCCCCTCAACAGAATTCTTCTCTCACCTCCCATTACCCGTTTTCCAGGATGCAAGCCCTCATTCTTTTCTGTAATCTCCAGATGATATATAAGATTCTGAACCCTATTTGGGAGTGGGTAATCATTCTGTGGTACTCCTCTGAGTATATGTTAATACATTTGCATGCCTTTTCTCTTATTAATCTGCCTTTTGTGAGTTGATTTTTTCAAGGAAGACTTTTAAAAGATTTATGTAGTCTGTCAGTCACAGTAAGGCTGAAAAGAATTTGCAACTAGATACAAAACTCATTAATACCTGAACAGCAGTAAGCTCTAACATTTGCAATTACTTCCTTTCCTGGATAAAAATAATTTTGCGTTACTATTGAACAAGAATCAAATGTGTTGTTCTCAGTCAAGACACATTTTCAAATATCAGTTTTCTACAAGTTAATCTCTATACTAATCAATAGTAAAAGACAGTCTAATAAAGGGAGCCATCCCTAGAAAATTAGAGAATCCTCAGTCAGGTTTTGCCATAGTCATGCTCAGCACTACACTGAAAGAACACCTAGTAATTTCTTTACCTATTTCCATGTCTTGGATATTTCTTCTTAAAAGTGTCAGCCAGGCACGGTGGCTCGTGCCTGTAATTCTCCAGTTTGGGAGGCTAAGGCTGGTGGATCACCTGAGGGCAGGAGTTCAAGACTAGCCTGGCTGATGTGGCGAAACCCTGTCTCTACTAAAAATACAAAAATTAGCTGGGCGTGTTCGCACGCACCTGTAATCCCAGCTACTTGGGAGGCTGAGGCAGGAAAATCACTTGAACTCAGGAGGCAGAGGTTGCAGCGAGCCAAGACCACACTATTGCACTCCAGCCTAGGTGACAGAGCAAAACTCCGTCTCAAAAAAAAAAAAGTGTCTATACATGTGTCTGCAAAGAAGCAAGACAGTGTTAGAATTATTACACTCAGGAAACAAAGGAAGGGAGAAAGAGTTAAGATTCAAGTTTTGACACCCAAACTAGTGTGTTTGAGATTGTAGAAAGAAAAAAAAATGTTGAAAGCAAGCAAGGTTCTTTTAAGAGAGCAAAATAACTTTGTTAAAATTATTTTATCTATCCATTTAATATATCAAGAGAAGTTCTGGAAAACTTGATTGTTGAGTTTCATCCAAAGAAAATTAAAAAAAAAAAATGGAGAAAAATCCACATCCCCTACAGGCCTGGTAGGTTAATGTGATGACTGGAGCCAGTGCTGAGGAGTCAGGAAACCATGAATATGACCAGATCTCATTTCTTTGGACTGAACTCCTCAAGTGGGGTATGAATTTCTTTCATTTTGGGGAGTTCCAAGAACTCAAGAGCTTCTGCCCAAGTTTTCTTCATGTGTCATGGCCAATCCAGTATGACAGAATGCTCAAACTTCCCTAAAGACAACCATCTAGAAAACAAGTGAGAACACAGCATATTTGGGCAAAGGGAGGAGCTAGACCTTTTAATTGAGTGCTGCCTTGCAATTTTTGCGGGCAGTGATAGAATATAGAAGTTCTCACACGCCCTTGCAAGGCATCACTATGGTACAGGAAAGGATTTCTATAGTTGTACCTAGGCTCGAAGCTGATGGGACTCATGCCCACATCTCAGCAGGCTCCACAAACAGGTAGAGCCAAGGTATGGCCAGTTTATCAAGGAGGGCTGCCAGTACCCTGGCCAAACGGAGAAAGGACAGACTGTTGCCCAGCCACAGATTACAGCAAAAGCGGTCAGCAGATGGCATCTAGGGTGGGAGGCCATAACCACTCACAGAGCAGCAGCCAGTACTTCAGAGGGAAGGCCAGGTCAGCTGGGCTTCAGAGAAACACGAGGATAGAGCTGGAGCCTGAGGAGGGGAGGGATGAAGGGAGGGAGGACACTACTGGGATCAGAGATATCACTCTTTCCCAAAGCCTCAAGCCTTTGAGGCCACTAAACCCCTCCTTCATACATCTAGATTTCACCCAGGAGATAAGCAGGAGACCAAAGAAAAACTCCAAATTTTATCCAAAATTTTCTGAACATCTACCTTAAATGACTTTAAATATGAATAGACAAATTTTACTGGATTAGAGGGTCTTTTTCCCCCTCCCCTCTTCTAACTCAGAAGGGTTGAAGCAGATAATGAAACCAGATACCTATGGGAATTAGTCAGCATTTCTTTATGTGAGTAGTTGTACTTGAGTAAATATGCAATCCTGTTTACCAATCTATTCTGTTTTACTCAGTTATTTGAACTCTTTTTTCTCTTTAAAAACAGCAAAAGGAATGAAGGAAGGAAAGCAGAAAAGAAGGGAGGGAGAGAGGGAGGGAGGGAGGAAAGAAGGAAGGAAGGAAGGGAAAAGAAGAAATGAAGGAAAGAAAAATAAGAAAGAAGGGAGGAGAGGAAGAAGAGAAAAAAGGAAAGAAAGAGAAAGGCAGAGAGGGAAAGAAGAAAAAGTCTGGGGCATGTTTATTTAGCTGGAGCTGTGTATGTGTGGTGGGGCATTCTATTTGTTTGCAAATGTTTGCATATATATATCCTGCTCATTCAAACTAAGTAATATACACATCCTCTTCACAATAGACTGTAGCGTAAGTTTGGAATCACATTAGAGTTCCCTGTGAAGTTAGAGAAGTAGGAGGGGATGACACTGTACTTTATGCTTCTTGTCTGGGATTCCTAAAGGAGGCATACGTGCAGAAGCACTGAATGACTATGAGGGAGCAGTAGGCAGAACCCAGACACACTGGCAGAGCTGGAGTCTGCCTTCGAAAAGCCCACAGCTTTTGAGGCCTCAAGTGTAATGCTGAGGTTATTGAGAGAAAGAATTACTTAGCTGGTTGTGGTTTCATTAGGCAAATGTATTATATTAAGAAAACACACACACACACACACAGCAACAAACAAACAAACAAAACAAAACTCTAGTGTGGATGAAGAGTAGGGCCGAGAGCGAGAAAGCTATTTCCCTGTGGGTGGAGCATGGCCCTAGGGAGCCTCCTCTTGCTATTCATAGGTACCACCTCTGCTGGGCAGAAACAGGATAAGCATGCCAAGGATGACAGCACTGGAGTGTGGGGGGCATAGACTACCAGAAACATCAAACAACCTAGAAAGAGTGGGAAGGAAGGAGAACAAGGGAAATTTAAAACCTGGGAGAGAATGCTCACCAGAGGAGAACTGAACTGTAGACCTGAATAGAATGAGAAATCAATCACTGTATTATACAGAAATTAACCACGGAAATGACTAAATTAAATGAATAATAGGCTCTAAGTCAAAAAGTTTAAAAAATAAAGAATAATGCTTTTTTTTAATATCTAAACTTGTCACTGTGGTTGTAATTATTAAATGTATATACATTAATATTACTTATTAAAGTAGATGAAATAAAACCTAAATTCCAGTTCAGCTGCTTATGTCATTATATCCAACACTGTACATGTGATAACTTTCACAAACTTGAAAATGTAGTGAGGGAGCCCAAACCTATTGTTTCACTATCTGCTGAATATTTTAATTTGAAGTATTTGGAGATTTTTTTTATTGTAACGCACAATGGTGTGTGAGAACCACGGGGCACAAACTAAACAAAAAAGGAGAAACAATATAACTGAGAGAGAACCATAGTTGTACTAAACAATAAGAAAGCCCAGCATATACCTTAGGACAAAGACAACACTAACAAAAGAGAAAGAGAAAGAGAAAGAAAAAGAGAGAAGGGACGATTTAGCAATTAGAACAAAGCATTATATAGCTAAAGGTTAAGATTTGATTTGCTGAAGATCAGGAGCTCATGGTTATTTTGAAAATTAATTCCTCAGCACTTTACTTTCTATGATGCCTCCAAATGCTGTTTCTTTACATTGCAAAACTATATATACAAAAAATTCCGCTTTCAACTGCTGCCAATGGCTGATAAGAATGGGATTTTTCTTTCCACAAGGTAGGCCTTCTTATATTAAGACACTACTTTGTGTAAATTGAGTCATAATTTGTCTTACTTTGGTAAAATACAGATAACATCAAATTTACCAGTTTAATCTTTCATTTATTTATTTTTTTAGACAGGGTCTGTCTCTGTTGCCCAGGCTGGAGTGCAGTGGTGCTATCACAGCTCACTGCAACCTTCACCTCCTGGGCTCAAGTGATTCTCCCACCTCAGCCTCCTGAATAGCTGGGACTACAGGTGTGCACCACCATGTCTGGCTAATTTTGTTTATCTTGTATAGAGACCAAGTCTCATTATGTTGTCCAGGTTGGTCTTAAACTCCTGGGCTCAAGCAATTCTCTTGCCTAGGTCTTCCAAAGTGCTGGGATTACAGACGTGAGCCACCATGACTGGCCATTTTAATTATTTTAAAGTGTGTAATTCAGTGGCATCAAGTACATTTACAATGTTATGCAGCCATCATTAGTATCTAGTTCCAGAACCTGTTCATCAGTGCAAATAGAAAACCTACATGCATTAAGCAATTACTCCCCCTCCCCCATTCCTTCCAGCCCCTGTCAACTGCTAATCTACTTTCTGTCTCTATGGATTTGCCTATTCCAGATATTTCATATAAATGGAATCATAATATATGACCTTTTATGTCTGGCTTCTTTTACTTAGTATAATGTTTTCAAAGTGCATGAATATTGAAGTATGTGTCAGTTCTCCATTCCTTTTTATGGCTGAGTAGTATTCCATGGTATGGATATGCGTATTTTGTTATTCATTGATAGACAGTTGAATTGTTTCCACCTTTTGGCTATTGTTAATAGAGATGTTATTAATATGTGTGTACAAGTGTTTGTTTGAGTACCAGTTTTAAATTCTCTTGGGTACATACCTAGAAGTATTATTGCTGGGTCATATAATAATTTTATGTTTAACTTAATGAGATACTACCAAGCAGTTTTCCATACATGCTGAACATTTTACATTCCTACCACCAGTTCATGAGGTTTCCAATTTCTCCATGTCTTCTTCAACACTTGTTTTCTGTTTTAAGGCGTTGTTTTTGTTTTTGTTGAGTATGATCATCTTGCTGAGTATAAAGGGGTATCACCTTATGGTTTTGATTTGCATCTTCCTAACAACTAATGATGTTGAAAATCTTTTCATGTGCTTGATAGCCATGTATATATTATTTTTGGAGAAGTACCTATTCAAGTCTTTTGCCTATTTTAAAAATCGAGTTGCTTATATTTTTGTTGTTGAGCCATAAAATTTTGAACATGAGAGTTAATTAGAAATTATCTTGAAAAGCACTTTTGTCTTGCAAAAGAGGCAACTAAGATGATGGGAATTAAGTGGCATGACCAAATCCACCCTGTTATTACTGAGCCTGGAATTCGGACGTAGGTGTCCTGTCCTCTAGGTGTTCAAGCTGTCCATACCACAATCTTTTATATGCTATATCATAAAACCAACATAGGTTTTGAAAATAGTTGACTAGAACAGAAAGATGATCTGTAATATTGAAAGAATGATGACCACCTGGGCAATTTTAAACATATATTTTGACTTAGCAACAAGATTTAGGACTTAATAAAGGAGTTAAAGGAAGATGTGTATACAACATCAAGACCTATGAAATGTGGAAATACGTAGTTTGAGTGTTATTTTGTAATTAAGGCAATTAACAAAGAAAATGCCAATTATAAATAAATTTTAATAATTCCAGCCTAAATCTGGCATGTATTTTATGTTATTTTATTTATTTATTTATTTATTTATTTATTTATTTTGAGATGGAGTCTCACTCTGTTGCCCAGGCTGGAGTGCAGTGGCGCCATCTCAGCTCACTGCAAGCTCTGCCTCCCAGGTTCACGCCATTCTCCTGCCTCAGCCCCCCGAGTAGCTGGGACTACAGGCACCTGCCACCATGCCCGGCTAATTTTTTTGTATTTTTAGTAGAGACAGGGTTTCACCATGTTAGCCAGGATAGTCTCGATCTCCTGACCTCTGCCCGCCTCTGCCTCCCAAAGTGCTGGGATTACAGGCATGAGCCACCGCGCCCGGCAAATCTGGCATTTAAAATATCTATCAAACAAAATTAAAGAGGGAGATTTATGTATACTATAAAATAATTAATATAAAATATTACTAAACGATTAGTTTGCTCTTGTCACCTGTAATATGTTTTCAAGCCTTTTTGTTTACTTATTATTATTATTATTAAGTTTCAAGTAGTTGTAAAGCATGAAAGGGCATAAGAAGAAATGAAAAGCTAAAAAAATTTGAAAAATGGTTGATAGTTCTCCAGAGACCAGACTGCTTTTGGCAAGGTATTAACTGGAGTGCAAGGAGGCTGTCAGGCTTGCCCCGCTTAGGACTCTAAAACCAACCTTTGCTGTTCTGTATCAATCAGAGCATGGAGGGAACCTCAGAAAGAACGAGGCCAAAGGTCTAAAGCCACTGAGATGGGAGATAAAAGATGGAGCTAATCAGATGCTTAGATGGTCCAGGAACCAAAGCATGGATTTAGGATGAAAGCATTCGGCTATTTCAGATACAGCAAACAGAACAGAGCATGACCTTCAGCTGGGGAGAGAATGCGCAGGGCCCAAATTTTCTCAGAGGTCAGGGATTATAAATGAAGGATCGTTGATAAAAACACAGACAGGAGTAAATTGCCTTAGTGCTTTGTGACCTGAGAGGTATATTTGCTCTGCTATTCTTTCCTGTATAAGAAAGAATAGCCTTTAGCTCAGCTACTAAAAAGCATTGTAACATTTTTTCCCAGAGTCTCCTTTCATTGTTGTATAGTTTTAACATAATCGAAATTTATTCTTTCCTTTATATGGGAAAGTCTTAATAATTATCAGCAGTTTTTCTTCACTTTTGACTTTTAAAATAATTTGAACGGTTTAACTAGTATTTGGGGACTATTCCAATATTCCTACGTGGCGTCTTACGTTTGGTGGACAGGGGTATAATGAAGCAGCAAGAGAAGCTAGGACTATTACACATGAACTGAAATGCATTTGGAATCACATTTCTTCTGCTTAGATAGTTAATTTGCCTTGAAGACAAAGAAGTAAACTATGTAGGAGCCCAATTTCCCATTAGGATCTTATAAATTCCTCCTTACAGATAATGCAAACCATTAGTTTAAAACAATGGGCTCTACCTCCTAAATACAAAATATGTTTCCACTTGATATCTGGCAATATGAAAACAAAACCATGCATTTGTTGTAGAAATTAAAATATAGACACATTTATTTGCTATGGAAAATGGTATAATTCATTCTTAACGTTTTCTGTGCTTCCTTTGCAGGCATTCTTTTACTTTTGGTTTTAAGCAGTTGTCTTATATCCAATTTATAGTGACAACTCTAATTCACAGATACTATGTACAAATCCCCCTGCCACTTCTCTATTTGCCAGCTAAAGTTTAGTGCAGGAGGTATATGGAATATGAAATTCTAGGAGTAAAGTTTATGTGATGAGTCAGTCTTTGCTCCTCAAAACATAATGTGGCAGATAGAGCATGTTGCACACTCAAATCCCATCTTCATGTATTCTTTGCTAATATAAACCAATTTGTTCTGATATTCAGCTTTCAAACAAGATGACATTTTCTCCAGCTCAGGGATAAATACTGATCTTCCTGAAATTCCAGTACTCCAATAGGAATTTCTGAGATGAGAGAAATGTTCAATTTCTACGCTGTCCAATATAGTAGCCATTAGCTTTATGGACCGCTTGAGTATTTGAAACATGGCTAATGAGACTGAGAAACTAAATTTTAAATTCCATTTAATTTTCATTCATATAAATTTAAGTTTAAGCAAATGCATGTGACTACTAGCTATCATACTGGATAACACAGTGCAATTAAACATGGTGATTCCATGCCAACAATTACATTGACATCAAACATTAGACAAAATTTTGGCTGATGGATGCGAAAAGATTGTTGCTGGAATACAAAATAGTGTCCTCTCACTCTTGACTATGCTCTACCTTCCACTGTTGCCTGGAACTCTGGCACCATTCTTACTGCACCATGGATAGTAACGACATAGCAGAGCAAGGCTGCTCCAGAGTAAATTGTTTCACTAAATTTCACAGCTAAGAAATTAGTGAGAACTAGCATTTACTACTATTAAAGCTAACTTTTCAAACCATAGGTCTTAAAATGTCTGCTATTAGTTGCAAATGTGAGAATTTAGAAAGTGTGTTTAACAATGGGTGCAATTGGTTTTGCTTTAGCGTTTTCTTGCCTTTGGAGATAGTCCTGTTGTTTTCTCTTGTCTTTCATGGAGTGGGAGGGGAGGGGACAACCTTTGAACAGCAGCACAGGCTCTTCGGTTTAGACCTGAAGTTTGTGAAATTCTAGAAAGGTCTGTTGAGGCAGACTATGCATCTTCTTTACTGAAAGCATTTAAACATAGATTTGATCATTATGTGTCTACAGATAACACTTACAGATTAATAAAAATAAGATAAATGCCACAACAGAACAAAATTACAAAAATATATACATATAGGCCACCAACATGTAGAATACTAGTTAAGCTTGATGAAAATAAAAGAAATACAAACTAACACAAGGAAATATTCTATACATCAATCAATTGTAAGGTAATTATAAAATATAAAAATTCTCCCAACATTGCCAACATTCATTCTCATTCATTTCTGTTGCCAGTAGAACCTGAGTAAAACACATACATCTCAAAACTTCATGTCATTTATTCCATTTCATCCAGTGATCTCACTTGAAGTAATCTAGCCTAGTGAAGTATTGATGAGTACTGTCAAGTCATTATGTATAAAAATATTCACAGCAATGTTATCCATAGCATAGAGTATGACACTAGACACGGCAAAATAATCAGAGATGCAGTCCAAAATTTAAATATAAAGATGTTCATTGCAGTGTTATTCATAGTAAAGATAGTTCCTACCTTTGTGTGTAAAGGCGTCTTGAAAATATGTGTCTATTCTGAATGTCAGTAAGATAATAAACTTACATAGAATAAAGAGGTTTCTATTCCATAAGAACCAGAAATATTATGTTGTGATAACACCTTGCCAAAGTTACAATTTCAGTGATATACTTTTAGATATTATGCTTTATGTTCTACTTTATTTCAGTTTTATCTTGAGAATACCTTTTCTTATTAGTATCTATGGTTTTCCGTACTTACATTCTTCACACAATAAAAAAGAATACGTACAAAATACAGTATAATCTAATTGATTGTACAAACTTGCAGGAGCAAAATCAGAGAGCCAACTATGTTTGTTCATTATCTGATTTATCTCTAGTAAAGATTTAATTCAGCATGTGAGAGGTGATTTAAGGCTAATAGGGCATATTTTAGGATAGTTTGAATTTTTTAATTTCAAGCATATTTTGTCAAGAAATACCTGTGCTTATATATTAAAAAAAGAAAACCAAAGTACCCAACATAAATTTTGAAATATAAGAATCACAAATACTTTACAGGAAAGGCTTTCAATTCTTTGGCTTATTGGAACAGCTATTCCAAGTGGAGAAACTTCCAGTTAATGTGCTCTCTGGGCAACATCCATAATCTTGGCTACTTTTTTAGCTATTGGGAAATCATCCCAAGGATGCTTGGACCCAGAGGCTAATGATAATGAAGGAGACAACATTCCTACAGATGCTGTGTGCTACAGCTTTTCTTTTTCATTCCTTTAAGTAGAGGAGCAAACTAAGTAAGCAATGGAGCTGACATTCCTACAATTCAACTAGTAGTACTAGTCAAGGCAAAATTTTCTTCCAGGTCTGGTAAAATAAATATGTACCATTATGTATTAATAGCACACACAAGTCTTAGATGGAGATAGGACAAATAATATATACGTAGTAAATTATTGGATGTTTTCTTTGGTCTCTTTTCAAGATATTAACATAAATGTTAAGCTCTTGTATATTCTGTTAGCAGCCTCTGTTATAAACTATACCATCAATTTGTTACAAATGCTTATTAGCTCCTGATCTACTGGAAGTGTCTTAAGGGCAGAGAACATGTTTGTCATATTGTTTTATTGCTGGCACCTAAAACAGTGAGTGGCATATGTTATGTGCTCAGCAAATACTTATTACATAATCAAATAAGTAAATAATTAAATACGTACATGCTGAGTAAATGAGTGATTGAGCTCCAGGCTGGGAATTTATGGAAATCTGCTTAAGGCCAAACTCTGTAGCCTACACATTTTAGTATGATTTAACGAACGAACTTGACATATTTAGCCTTGCTACTCCATGTACTACGTTTCAGTCATGCCAAACTACCCTTGGCAGTCACATCATTCTCCTTTTTTTTTTTTTTGGAGACAGAGTCTTGCTCTGTCACCCAGACTGGAGTGCAGTGACACAATCTCGGCTCACTGCAAGCTCCACCTCCTGGGTTCACACCCTTCTCCTGCCTCAGCCTCCTGAGTAGCTGGGACTACAGGCGCCCACCACCGTGCCCGGCTAATTTTTTTTTTTTTTGTATTTTTAGTAGAGATGGGGTTTCACCATGGTCTTGATCTCCTGACCTCATGATCTGCCTGCCTCAGCCTCCCAAAGTGCTGGGATTACAGGCGTGAGCCACTGCGCCCAGCCTAGCAGTCACATCATTCTCAAAGTAAACCATACTCTTTCAGATCTTCCCTTTTAGGTATTTTTAGAGCTTATAAAAGAATATATTAGGAAGTAATTGTTTAATAAATGTTGAGTTGCATGGAAATTTAGAGAAGGAAAAGCTTTTCCTCTACCCTCTTTGGTTCTGTCTCTAGGGCTCGTGAATTAAATTGACAAAAGATAGATTAACAAGAGAAAAAGCATGACAATTTTATTTTATGCAGATATTTTTATGTACATGACACAGGGGCTTCACAGAAAAGAAGTGAAAAACCCAACAAATTAGTTAGATGTGGGGGCTTTTTAGATAACTTTTTAACAATGGTTGATAAATTATAGGAAGGTTAACTAGAAATGTGTGTTAATAGGCATTAGTAAGATTGTCTATGCAGACTCTCTTTGTCATCTCTGATCTTTCTGGTACAGAAGAGAGAAACACATTCACAAATGGAAATTTATGTCACGTCCAAAAAGGAAATTTATGCCCTGCTGTTAAACAGAAAGAGTGAGAGCTCTTCTTGTATCTACTGTTTTTCAGTTGCTTTCAGTTCAAAATAATCTATAGCCAAAGTGGCATGTTTTGAGGTGGCATATTTTGTTACCTTTCCAAATCTTTTTGAGCATTTTAACCTTTGATCATGTGCTGGTGTTATATTTACAGTAGGTTAGTGTTCAGTCCCATAAACTTCATAAGAAGTTATTAATACAGGGACCCATTATATTTTAAATTCCAAAATCTCTCATTTGTCTTTTTAGCACACCTGTTCAGTTTTGGTCTTCATAGTCTAAGAGAAAAGACTTGGTCTCAGCTGTTTCTAAGATCAATTCTGGAAAACTTCTTTAGATCAATAAAAATACCTTATATTAAAAAAAATCAAACAAATAAACTTTAAATCACCTTCATGAACATATGAAGTAAGAAATGATTTCAAAAAAGGAAAATAAAATTATACCTCTAAGTTATATTGGCTTATTTTTCTCCAGCTCTCACTATCTTAGTATCCTGCACTTATTTCTTGAAAATTAAATTTCTTGTAAGTAGAATGTCATTTCAGGCCTTCTTCAGTTGGCCTCTGATATTTGCATATAACTGCCATTTCAGTGAATATGGGTTTTGCTTAGCAATTAATCAGAGTCAGAATGCCTTCCGTTGTAGAAAGTAATTCACATGCAGATAGTTTCCTTAACTTTCTTCATTGAATTCCAAAGGAAATGTATGAAGCATCTGGATTTTTGACATACCTCTGTCTCAATAGTTGAAGTGATAATGTTTTTATTGAAGAGATATAAAACACCTGGGGTGTTAACATTTAATTGAAGCTTTTTTTTTTTGAAAGAACAGAAATGAATTTGTACTTTGTCATAATCTATTTCCCCAAAGAAGCAGTTACTCCACAGAAATCAGGCAATAGAACTGATACCTCATTTGATTTTTAGCCAAATGATCAAAATACTCATTATCTAAAGAATACTAATCCAATTGTAATAACACTGAAAATAAGAATAAATATCATCTTGTGTTAAATATATATTCCATTCAACAAAAATATATATTTTAAATATAGTTTTAGCTTATATTATTTTCAGCCTATAACAACACCTGGATCTGGCAAGATTCAAAGTCAAGTGTGCCGAGAATTATCCTATCTGGTAGAATTTTGAAGATTGTGAATTGTGTTATTGCATTTTCTTATAAACAAACAAACCACATAATAGCAAATAACATTGTGATTGGCTAAAATTGGAAGACTTTAAAATAGTAACCCTGGTAAATACTGTCATTTTAGAGAACGAGCCTTTTTGTAAGAAATAATAAGTAATTAAAAATTTCAATCTTATCTTTTCTATATAACTAGTCCATTATATGAAATAGGAGCTCCGGAACTGGAGGATCTCTTTTGCACAAAAATTTAAACTCACATATCCATGAAATAATATGATTTTTTTTTCACTTTTATTGCTCATGAGCACTTAGACTATGTGTTGAAGAATTTTTAAAGTTAAAATCATGAAACACAGAAAAAATGAACATATTTCAAAGATTTTATTCTACATAATAATTAGTAAAGGAATCAGTAAGATGTAAAAACTGGCTCAAAGGAGAATTCAAAGGATACACATGTATAAACAATTAGAAATACTGAAGTGAATTTGCAAACAAATGTAAATTAGGTCAATATCCACAGGGCAATGGTCAATTGCATTTGCACTGGACAAAATTAATTTTCATTTCTAACAAAAAGAATCATTTGCATTACTATCAGTTTTTCACAACTTAGAATTGTGAAATAGATTGAAGACCATGAAAGGCTTAAATAAAGGTATTCTGGACAGAAAACTACTAATTGATTTTTCCCATTTCAAAGTCTTATGGTTTTTCCTGACATATGTCATTGTGAGGTCATAATTTGAAAGGCAGAGTTAATGTTGCCTTTCACTGTGAGGAAGTAAAATTAATGAAATAAAGGACATAACCAAAACCAGTCACTTTTCAAGAATGGCTGATAAAATGTGAATACTTGTTGTGTACTTTTATTTTATTTTATTTTATTTTATTTTATTTTATTTTATTTTATTTTATTTTATTTTATTATTTTTTTTTTTTGAGACGGAGTCTCGCTCTGTCGCCCAGGCCGGACTGCGGACTGCAGTGGCGCGATCTCGGCTCACTGCAAGCTCCGCTTCCCGGGTTCACGCCATTCTCCTGCCTCAGCCTCCCCAGTAGCTGGGACTACAGGTGCCCGCCACTGCGCCCGGCTAATTTTTTGTATTTTTAGTAGAGACGGGGTTTCACCTTGTTAGCCAGGATGGTCTCGATCTCCTGACCTCATGATCCACCCGCCTCGGCCTCCCAAAGTGCTGGGATTACAGGCGTGAGCCACCGCGCCCGGCCTGTTGTGTACTTTTAAAATAAAAAATTGTAATTAACCTTTACAAAGGATAATTTCCTTATACCTACCTCACATGACCATTTATATAGATTTTTGGTCTTTCTAATAATTGTTAAAGAAGTATGAGAGAAAGATATGAGTTGTATTAATAGAAGAACAAACTAAGCTAAGATTCTTAACATGAGGCGGAAGCAGGTGGATTGTTTGAAACCAGGAGTTTGAAAACAGCCTGGGTAACAAAGCAAGATCTTGTCTCTACTTAAAAAAACCATAAGGCTAGGCGCAGTGGCTCACGCCTGTAATCCCAGCACTTTGGGAGGCCGAGGCAGGCGGATCGCCTGAGGTCAGGAGTTCGAGACCGGCCTGACCAACATGGAGAAACCCTGGCTCTATTAAAATTACAAAATTAGCTGGGCATGGTGGCGCATGCCTGTAATCCCAGCTACTCGGGAGGCTGAGGCAGAAGAATTGCTTGAACCTGGGAGGTGGAGGTTGCAGTGAGCCGAGATCGCGCCATTGCACTCCAGCCTGGGCAACAAGAGTGAAACTTCGTCTCACACAAAAAAATAAAAATAAAAATGTAAAAAAAAAAAATGTAAAAAAAAAAACCATAAAAAAATTTAAAAAATTTAAAAAAAGGGTTCTTAACATGACAGAGCATGGCACTCTATAAATGTATAAACAAATTTGTTTTATGAGTTTATAGTGTGATTTACATATGATGCAGTTTACATGTAGACTATCATGTGAATATCTCCCCTGAAATTGTGCAATGTGGTAGACTTGGTATATTTGCCAAAACTTGTATTTCAGAGATAATATCTAAGGCTTAAACCAGATTCTGAATGGAATCCACAATTTCTAAAAGTAAAAACTTCTATTTCAGAACAAAATGATTCTGACCTACTTGTGTGCCTCATATTATTTCATTCAATCTTTTGGACTATTTATAGCAGAAAAGACAGCCAGGCTAACACAGAAACTGAAGTATGCTGGTGCGACAGGCAGATTTGTCTGAAAATCACACTGGGGACTCACACTAAGTTGCCTGAACATTGAGCTATTTGGGAACCTCCATCTTCCCACTCATTTTTATTTTATTCCAGCAAAAACATTATGGGTGCCTCATAATTGAGGTTCTCATTGGACCGTTGCCTTTTCCCCCCCCGGAATGAGGAGCCACAATTATCTCATACGAGACAACTCCTATAAAGCACTGGTACTGCTATCCAGTCTGTCTGGCACTTCAGTCAGCTGATTATTTGCCAATTGCTCTATAAAAAAGGGAGAGAAATGTCTTGATGGAGTCTCTTCCTTGGAATGCAGACATATGTTACACATCTTAGAGAGAGCCCTCGCGTGAGGACTGTGTGATGCTATTCAAAATTAGAAGGCCTGTGGTTTCTATTCTTATGAAACCTTGGCTGCAGAGTTCCTCAATAAAGTCTATTCCTATTCTTCAACCCATGCTGTAAGGTTTTGTGAATTTTTTACCTAGCTTTAGGAAAATACAGTGGGTGATGCTAAAGGGAAATAAATTTATGAAACGTGGTGATCACAAAGAGATCAAATTCATACACTAATCACTGTAATAATATATACGTACCTATTCTATTATTTCAATGATGCTTATGACCTTGATAAGAAAAAAAAAAGCTGGGAGATTTGGGGATTCAGAGACATATAAGCAAGTACAGCAAACTTGGGAGACAGCAGCCGAAGCTAAATGGTAGGTAAGACTTCAGGGCTCTTGGGACTTGAAGAAAGAGACAAGTATAACTATCAGGACTCACCAACTGGAGTGAATTTAGGGAAGAGGATATTATGATGGCTGTCATTTGAATACATCCCTGACTCCACCAATATAGTTGAGCATGTTCATACCATTGGCATGAAAGAACTGCCTATAAAACAAAAAAGAACAGTTTTACTTAAGCTTTGGGACTCTAGTAACTCTGATATGGCTCCCTGATGAAAGGAGCATAACGTAAAGTGATAGGAGACATCTTCCTACCAACACTAGAAAATTAAGCACAGATTGACCAGAGCATTAAAAGGCATTTGTCAAGTGCCTGAGGTGAGTGACATTTGTGAGAAAAGCTGACTGAGAGAGATTAGTCACAATTTGAAAAGAAGTACAAGTGAGTTCTGAGATATCACCTGGAGCAGCCCAGGAGCAGTGGTGAGAGTATCTGGGCCATATGCAACAGCAGGAAATCAGCAGTTCAAGCCAGAGATGGCAGGAATTTCAAGGGCAATAACATAGTTTGAATTGTCTATCCAAAAATATTTATTTGCAGGCACTGGCATAGAAACATGGATATGGCATCGAAGCACAGATATAGATTTTGACATAAAAAAACTTATTACAGCACAAATGGCATAATCTATACTGTCTACAATGAGCTCTTTCACTTTGTAGATATATCTTGAATACCTTCCCAAACCTGTATCCAAGCATCTTCAGGCTATAGACTTAGATACTTCGATTTGAAGCCTGGGTTCTCCACACGCTGAGCCCACCCTCAGCCTGGGCTTTGCTCTTGTGTTCACTTGCTTAGGACATGCTTTCTCCATCTATATGATTTACATCATCCCTTGACACAGATCACTTCTCAATTGTCACCAAGCACCCTTTTTAACTCAGTTCCCTGTTCTTCTCTACTCCATTCTCACCCATCATTCTTTATCCACAGACTATTTTTTTATGATAGCACTTATCACTAATAGCCTTGGCATTATATATTTATCTGTTTATCATCTACCTTTCTTACTAAAATGTGAACTCTAGAAGGAAAAGAACTTTTTAGGTTTTATTCACTGCCATATTCCCCAAGTCCTGATATAAAATAAGCTCTTGATAAATATTGTTGAAAGGATGAACATATCAATTATTTAACTTGCTGATTATCAATGGTGTGACTTTCTGATAGCCAGCTTTTTCCTTCATACATAAAAAATATTTTATGTATTATGCTAATAACACTACATATTTTGCATAGCAGATGTAAATATAAAAAGAGATTATTTTAGTAATTATAATAATAGCTAATACTTATTGAGTACATACTGAGCAGACTTCTCATTTCAGCATCTCTCCAACCTATAAAATACAGATTATAATTAAACCCACTGTGGATGAGGGTGCTGTGTCTCACAGAGTTCAGAAGTGATGGAGAGATGATGTTATTCCAAGCTGTCAGATTCCTCAAAACTGTACTATGCTAGTTTCTTGATGCATATACCATAGGCTCAATTCATGATGATTAATATTGTTAGTAACATTATTTATTGTTGTTATTACATTGTTCTTTACATGACCACACAGTAGTCACAGATATATGTGGTTTATTTTACTTGATATTGCTATATGTTTTTAAGAAACTTGTATAATATTCTTGAATGATTTAATTCCAAAAGGAAGCCTCTATATTTATTTCTATTTTAATAAAGAGGGTGCTAATGTCTTGGTCATTTAATAATTACCAAATATTTTAGGTGGTCTACCCTAAAGGTTCTGCACAAAGGGACTTCTGGAGTATTCATTAAAATGCAATAAATGTGCTTTCTGACTTTATATTATGTATCAAAATACTTAGGCAAAATCGAAAGAATGGAAATAACATACATTACCTTTAAAGATCAAAGCTCACTTAAGAAATGCACCTATTTTATTTATTTATTTATTTATTTATTTATTTATTTATTTAGAGACATAGTCTTGCTGTGTCACGCAGGCTGGAGTGCAGTGGGGTGATCTCGGCTCGTTGTAATGTCTGCCTCCCTGGTTCAAGGGATTCTTCTGCCTCAGCCTCCTGAGTAGCTGGGACTGCAGGCACTTGCCACCACGCCCGGCTAATTTTTGTATTTTTAGTAGATGGGGGGTTCCACCATGTTGGTCAGGCTGGTCTCAAACTCCTGACCTCGTGATCCACCCACCTTAGCCTCCCAAAGTGCGGGGATTACAGGCATGAGCCACCGCACTTGGCCAAAATGCATCTATTTTAGAGCCCACTGAAGGGAGCAGCACAAGTCACTATAATCCCTTCTTGAAGAAAACATATTTTACCTGTCACTAAAAAGACTATTGAATGTTTATATAAATATTAAAAACATTTGAGAAGTAATTATGGTTCAAGATTACAATTAACATTTCTAAACGGAATAGAGTACCTGTAAGATGCTAACTTGTATAAACAACGCATGAAGTGTGCTACAATAATCTTAATTGCCATCAGTCTTCCAGTGAACCTTTTCAAAAGATACATCAAAAGATTTGCCAACTTAAACTGTCCAGTTGTTTGGAAAGCCTTCCACAATACCACTTACAAAGAACATGTAAAATAAATTAAATGCATATTCCATATATTTTATTGCTTCTCCAACTTTTGCACAAGCAAGCTAGAGTTACACACACACACACACATATATATAAAACATTTATTAATGTATAGTATATTTCTCAGTCTGTTTAGGCTGCTATAATAAAATACCTTAACTGGATAATTTATAGACAATAGAAATTTATTTCTCACAGTTCTGGAGGCTGGGAAGTCCAAGATCAAGGCACTTGCAGATTTGGTGTTGTTGAGGACCTGTTCCTTATAGATGGCTACTTGTTGCTACATGCTTACATGGTGGAAGGGAAGGAAGCAGCTCCCTCCAACCTCTCTAATATGGACACTAATACCATTTATGAACGTGGAACATTCATGCCTCAATCACTTCCCAAAAGGCTCCACTTCTTAATACTATCACATTGGGTATCAGGTTTCAACATACAAATTTTGGTGTGAACCTCAAATTCAGACTATAGGTATTTATCTTTGGGAAGTTATTTAAAATTCAGAATTGACCCTTATAATACTCCTGATAGTTATTATTAATCAGATCTATTTCAATTGAAATAAAAACACATTTCTGTTTTTTTTGTTTTTGTTTTTGTTTTTTGGCAGAAAGACAGTATTTCACAAAGTTGAATGCACAGAAAGCCCTGTGACAACTCCTGGAAGTTTTCCATCTGAATATGTGCATCTCTATTTTTTGTGTAGTACAAGTTTAGCTCAATATTGAGCTAAGAACAAGGAATAACTATCTCTTGCAACTTCTGCTTCTCTTCATCCTCAAAAACATCCTCCTAGTTCAACCTCTGATTACTTGTGCTAAGCCAATTGTACCAGATTCCTCTCACTTAAGAGAACTACAAATTGGTTGGATTTGACAATAAGCCAGCTTTGCCCAGAGCGAAAGGTAAGCCAGTTCAGTAAGTAAAAAATACAGAATTCTGAGCCATAATCAAAAAGGAATACCTGTTATATCTTTTAAAATGTATGTGTCCACATTATATGTAACACATTATTAAAAATGATTTCATGCATTTTTATTTTCCAGAGAGATTCATTTTATAAATTTATACTCATTTCGTTTTTCTGACATGTATTACTTTGATATTTCTGACACTTATCACTTTGTGTGTGTGTGTGTGTGTGTGTGTGTGTGTGTGTAACTGTCTGTATCTAAGGACCCTGAGGGAATACATCCTAAAATTCTAGAAAAGTGAATTGAATTATTTGGAACCCTATATGTTCATCATCATATTCAATTAATTTGGAAACATGTACATAGTAGGAAACAGCTATTGTATGAAAGACATTGTTGGATTGTTGGCTGCGTTGAGGGAGATGTAAAGCTTTAAAGCTGTGGTCCCTGTCACAGAGAGCTCACAATTTAGTTGAAGCAACAGAGTTACATTAAAGTAAAATTCAAGGGAGTGTGTAATTTGGCATGAGATGAGAGATATAGACAATGAGTACTATGGAAATTCATAGGATGAAGAGAATACTTAGTACTTTGCAGCTGAAAAGCCCTCTGATTTATTCTCATCTTTAACAGAATCATTCTGCTTTTATCTGTTTTATTTGTTTATGCTTCTGGCTAGGATTTCATCTAAAGAGAGGGTTCTGTGGGAAAAATAATTTTGAAAATCACTATTGCCATAATAAAGTGGAACAGTGACAAAGATATTTAAAACAATATTGGGTAATCTAACGTATATGCATATGCTTGTTTTTATAGCGCATCATGTGGTGCTTTGGAAGTATGTTGATTTACTTTTATAACCTGCCAACCTGCCATGGATTTCAAAGTAAATGTAGATGCCAGTGTCTTTTCAAAGGCTTTAGCCACCTGCGATTGCCTAAGGAATATCATACGATCTTTTTAGCAAAGCACATTCCCCGTTCAGTCTCCAACTTGCCTTTCTTTATTCTATTTCTTTTGATTACAACCTGATGCCCAATACCACAACCATACCACCCTATGAGATGTTTATTTTTAATTTCCATTTTACAAATCAGAATACTGAGGTTCAGTATGGCTGGCCATCAGTAGATCAGAGGCTGTCACATAAACACACAGATCTGGCTCTAAATACATGTTCTTTCCTTAATGTCATGTTATGTACCATTAGTCATTCACTTCTACAACTGCAATGTTAATCTCATCACCCTTGCTTAAAATGCTTGTTAAATCAATAAAGAAACAAGAAACTAGATATAAAAGATAAATTTATAATAAAATTCCACTCTTAAGCTTACCTCATGTGGGAACATAGCATCAAATTTTCAAAGTGGGTTTCCTAGTTTCTCATTATATTTTCTTCTACAGAAAAGGGATACAGTTTTTCAGTCTTTGATGGTGTCTGAACACTAGATGTCCATTCATCTCTGAGGCTATTGTTAAATTCTGATAGTAACATTTTGAGAATTTCTATTGCTGTTTCTGATAAGTGAAATCAGTATAGTGTTACAGTTTTCTAGAATATTATATGAATGCTGTGGGTAGGTAAAGATGAGAAGTAAAAACATGGCACATAATTCACAACCTCATAAAAAGGGCCTATAGTGATTTCTCTTTGTTTTATAGCTAACCAAGTATTTTCCTTTTTTTGAAAATAAATTGAGGCAGAAAAAAAGCTTTCTTTTAATTTATATATTGTTTTATTTTAAACAAAAACTATTAGATGAAGTGCCAATTTTACACAGTTTGCAATTTGACAATACTTCAAAAGAGAGACATTTTCATCCAGTCAAGTTACTATTTGAAAAATAATTACATTTTCAGTTGACTTATTAGATTTGTAGATAGGGTATGACAAGCTCATTTAATATCCCAACTTCCTAGATATTATTTAAGAAATGAGTTTTACTTAGGCTGCCAATTCAGGATAACACAAGCCCTTGTAAAGAGCCTGCTCAAAGTTCCCAAATTTATAGAAAATGTAGATACCATTAAAATAATAAGAACTAGAAATAGTTCCATCTTCTCCATAATAGTTCTTCATAAAATGACAGCAATCTATTTTAGTGCCAGGAGACACTGAGTTAGATCTAGGCAAAGCTTTTCTCTTGTAGAATGTGTGTGTGTGTATCTGTGTGTGTGTGTGTGTGTATCTGTGTGTGTGTGTTTGTGGGTGAGTGTAGTTCCCATGGAATTAGGGGGTTTTGATAAAATTATGGGAAATGTTATTATACTCTGTAAGTCAGCCTGGTTAAATGTGATAGAAGACAATCTTTAATAAATTCTCCTATTTATTTGTCTTTAGCAAAAAAAAAAGAAAAAAAAAAGTGAAACTATGCATATACCTTGATTTGCCTCCCAAATAATCCATTCTTCCCTGGTATGCCCTATTAAGTACAACGTGCTTATGCATTTTATCTTTAATAAGCAAGTTGTAGTAGTAGAAAAGTTTAAGCTTTGTTATGAAAAGTTAAAAAGTCATTTTGTCCTTGATGCAAATCTTTCCTTCTGGATGAGAGGCTGTTGTACATTAGCAAAACTGGCAACCCTTTAAAAACAGTTCTGAAAGCAACTGTGATATTTGAAGATAAAAAGGATAAGGACATTACCTGCATTCTGTCCTGCCAACCTGAGAGGTAAATCCTTTGATGTTCAAATGAGAGAATCTTAAATTCCTTTATCTTTCTACTTTAAAAAAAACTGTCCATAAATTCATTTTATAAACATGTATTATATTTTCCATACTGAATCTCTGCTATTATGCATGCATACTAGATAAGTACATTCCATTTGAATGTCAATGTCTGATTACATTTATTTTTCTATCTTCACTGAGGCAGACTCTTTCACAGGAAGTGGAAATCTTGGGTATCATTCATTACATTAGAGAATTGAAATAACCTAGAAAATTTAAATACCAAAGAAATATTTACTCATCCATCCATTAATTCATTATCAATCAGCACTTTTTTGTCATCTAAAAATGAACAGAACTTTAAATTCTAGTTTTACAGTCCTCTATGGCTGCTATTAAGCAGCAGAGGGTAAATAAATGAAAGAAATTAGGTATAACCTGAATTTCTCTACTGTGTAAATGGGACAGAGATGAGCAATATTCTGCAAATACCCACATGTACACTGCAGGCATTTCTGGGGTTTCCTGGGAAAGTCTCACATGTACTCCAAAAATTACCCTGATCCTCATGGTCAGAGAGCTATTGCACTTGCTGTGACTTCTCAAAGGGCTACAGTGTCTCCTTATGTCCCTGCTGGGCTGCTTGGTCTCTCCCTGTGCTCTTCCCTGCCAAAGCCATTAGTACAGAACATTGATAGGGACTATGCTGAAACACAGAATTTGTTCTGAAACAAGGGACATATTTTTTAATATGGCCAAATATACAAGAGGTACAAAAGATAATATAATCTCTGTACATCTACCACCCAACTAGGGAAAAAAATGCCAATATATTGGAAGACTCCTCATAATGCTATACTCTTTTCCCATATCATTTAAATGTTTTAATTTTTATTTTTACTATAGGTACATATCATTAAACTATATCTAATTTTACATGATTTTAAATATCATATAAATGATATAGTATATATGTATATTTCTATCTTGCCTTTTTCTCCTAAATCTTATGCTAATTTGTTCAATGTTTAGTTTTCAATATTAATTTTGCTTACCTTTCACCTGAGTTCATTTATTTTCACCATCATTGCATTACTCTGTTCTCATACTGCTATGAAGAATACCCAAGAGTGGATAATTTATAGAGAAAAGAGGTTGAACTGACTCACAGTTCCACATGGCTAGGGAGCCCTTCAGGAAACTTACAATCGTGGCAGAAGGCACGTCTTCACAGGGTGGCAGGAGAGAGAATGAATGCCAGCAGGGGAAATGCCAGACAGTTATAAAACCATCGGAATTCATGAGAACAGCATGGGGAAAACCGCCCACATGATTCAATTACCTCACATCAGGTCCTTCCCACAACACATGAGGATTATGGGATTACAATTCAAGATGAGATTTGGGTGAGGACACAAAGCAAAATCCTATCAACCATATAAATTTTCCTTTGTATATCCTACCAGATTTATTATAAATCTAAACTAATTTAGACAGTGTGAGAATTGGAAGAAAGAAAATAATCAAAATTGGTAACTTGGTATATGACAGCAATAGTAGCTCATTTGAAAAAAATAGTGATAATGGGGATGGAAGAACTGGTTGTTCACAAAGGAAAAAAGTAGGATTTATATTTCATAACATATACACACAAATCAATTTCAGGTGAAAACAAAAACTTTAAATCATTTGAGTAACTACATGGTGCTCTTTGCATAACTGTGGGATTATGCCATGGCTTTGAAATGTGTCAACTTGTCACACTGAACTGCATTTCCCAAAATCCCCTTCCTAGATAAGTATATTCCATTTGAATGTCAGTTTCAGTTGGAGGATGCAAAGGAGAGTCTCACTGGTTGGTGCACAGAGGGAGGCAGGAACTGGGACTGTGGTTGCTCTGACTTCCCCAGAGTTTTTCTTCAGTTTCTCTGCCTACTGGGCTAGGTGTGTGTATTTACCTCCATGACTAAGGGCCCCAGCTTCTGCTGGATGCCCAGCAGACACATAGGCACTGAAATCAGAGGGAACAAGAGCAGACCAGAGTTTTAGTCTACCCTTACGGGATTTCAGCCCATGCTCATGAGTTTCTTGCCTCATAGTGACCTTCTTTTCCTGACTGACTGCAAAGCGAACTCCGAGCTCCAGTATCCAATGTAGAGACAGTCTTCCTAGAGACTGCCTAGACCGCATGTGTCAACCTCAACTACTATCATGATTTGTATTATTTTTTGGAAGTTTCCTTAATTCCAAATCAAATAGATGTTCTTGGGCCCTGTACACTTGAATATTTCATCAAACATGTATTAACTCCAGCAGGGTTTTTTACATTATCATAGAGATATTTTATACGAATATATTAATACATTTTCTCCTTAAAGCATGATTTTAATTCTGTTTGCAAATATTTTCCAAAAGGTGAATTTTGAACTTGCAGTTATGTGTGTCTGAAGAATTAGAAATCATACGTTCATATTTTCTATCTAAAATATTACTTCAATTTAAAAAAATCATTTCCTTTTTATACTTTAGTATCTCTTGTGAAATCTTATTTTGATGGTTTCTTCTAAATGAAACATACAAACAAGTTGTATATTACTTAAAAATTGGTTTATTACTCAGGAAATCAAATCTGCTATCAGAATATATCCAGAAAACTCTACAGTGCAAAATAATATTTAAAATGTAGGGGAAAGAAAGAATATTCCAAGTTAAATCATTATCTCTTTTCATCTGCTGGAACTGTGGACTTCTTAAAATTTAACTTTCAAATTTTAAAGCTGAAAGGAAGATAGCACTGTTGATTGCAAATTCTAATATCCCTTTCTTCCCTTGTTTATCAGTCTTTCTCCTTGGTTCATACTGTACTCATTCTACTGTTAGTAATAACGTTAATTCTGATAAAAACCAACCTTATATCTTGCCTCTCGTATCTTTGTGCTTTTCCAAACTTATCCAACACATAAAATTTATTTTAATTGCTGAAATAGGGTCTCATTTCTCTCATTACTTCTGCTTTCCTCCCCCACCTTCAGATTTTGTATGTGTTTCTTCTTCTGCCAGAGACACTGCCTCCACCCTTGAGTGCACAGATTATGTCTGGCTTATTCATCATAGCATACCCTCAATGCCACAACGGCACCATGTTTGGCACGTTACAAGCATGAAATAAAAATTTTATTTAATTTTATAAGCATCACAAAATCCTCATACTAGCCTGCATTGTTCCTGTAATCAGCCACTCTCTTTTCAACCTCTTCTTCAATTAGGTTTCATGAGCAAGTCTCACATCTGCCTTCCTAATCTGCAACACACAACAGAAAATATCTCAACAAATTATTTCCAGTGTTTTTCCCTTTATCACTTCCAGTAAAGACAGGAAGTATCTTCATTTCCTTGTAGTAGTTATTTAAAAATCATAATTACGGTGATCAGGGGTAACTATATCAACCAGGCTTCTGGAGGAATCAGGTACCACTGTAACATTCCATAATTTGAATAGACTGTAATAAAGATAACATTTACAAAAGCCTACGTAGAATTTAGAGGCAACATATGACGTAGTGCAATACTGTGGGATAGGTAGCCCCGATAACACACTTGGGCCTAAAGCAGCAAGAGAAGAGAGTGAATTATTGGAACCTAAAAGAAATGAGTCATGTGGAAAGGACCACCTTGAAAGAATTATATCTTTTGGTCTAGGGAAGCAACTCGGCATGGGTGTCCACATGAGATGTCGGCAGGAAATGATATCTTGGCATTCTTTCTGCCTTCTTACTGATCTCTTCAATGGACAATTCCCATCGGCCATGCCCAATCATAGCTACAGTAGGAAAGTCTTGTTGATATAGTCCACACACGTCAACCTTTATGGTCAGAGAGCAAGATGAAGAAGTTTGAAGAGTTGATCAAGGATAAATAAAAAGTACCCAGCAAAGTAATCAGTTACCATTAGTATAAATAAGAAAATAATGTGACTGCTTAATGCGAATAATTTCAAGTATTTTTTGTTAACATTTAATGATAAAAATTTTATAAGATATCAATAATATATTAAAAAGGAAGTTTTCAAAAAAGAGCAGTAAAATCATAGATTGAAATCAGACCTGTTTTAGATTAAGACTAAATTTAGAAAGCACATTATTTGTTTAGGCCTATATCCCTTGATGAAATAAATTCTGGAATTTTCTCTATACTGTGAAATGTCTATTGTATGAAGCTGTTCTGATGTGGTCCATGAATCTGAGTGTGTGCCCAATCTTTTTGATATAACTGTGGTCTGAATTTAATCTATAATTTGAAGAAATTGCTTTTACATCTCAAACTCCAGTCTGGCACATATGAAATATGGGCTGTATTATTCTGTACTCCTATTTACTTGTCATTGTGTTTTTACCTTGTTATCTGTAACATCTCAATCTGATTAGTTGCTGCACATTCTTCTGTGGAAGTGGTTTTCAAACTTTAGCATGCAAGCCTGAAGGGCTTGCTAAACATACATGGCTGGGCCCCACCACAGAGTTTCTGATTCAGTTAGTCTAAGGTGCGACCTAATAACTTGCATTTCAAACAAATTCCTAGATGATGCTGATGCTGCTAGTGTGGAGATCACACTTTAAGGATTACTGATTTACAGGATTATATAAACCACTATCTCTTAGCATAATACATTTTTCATGTTATATAACCCTGGAAATTATAATTTTTTAAAAATATACATTTTTAAATATTTTATTTGTGGGTTTATTTGTGGGATCTAATTAAAATAACAGCTTTGAAAATGTGACACCATACTATACTCAGAAATTTAAAATAATTAAGGTACTGACTTAGTCTATTTTGTGCTGCTACTACAGAATACTACAGACTGGATAATTTATAATGAACAGATATGTATTTCTCCCAATTCTGGAGTCCAGGAAGTCCAGGATCAAGGTGACAGCATCTAGCAAGGGCCTTCTTGCTGTATCATCCCAGGGAAGAGGGTTTAGAAGGGCAGAGAGGTGTGCAAGAGAGAGTAAAGGGGGCCAAAATCCTATTTTTATAAGGAACCCAATCTCTTGATAATGACAATAATCCATTCATGAAGGCAGAGCCCTCATTGCTAATTATCTCTGTAAGGTCCTGTCTCTTAATAACATTACACTGGCACCTAAATTTCAGCATGAGCTTTTCAGGGACAAACATTCAAACCATAGCAGGTAATGTGGGAGTAGATGACTTTATATTAAGAATGATTAAGAAACTTGATTAATCCTGGTTTTAGAAGAGTGAAACCAACTAGATTTGATCAAATTTTGATTTCGAATTAATATTTAAAATTTAGGAATTCTAACATAAAAGCATTAGTGCTTTGACCAAACTATTATATTATTTAAATAGACCTCACACCTATTGTACAAAAAGATATAATATCTTCAGTGGACCTACTTTCTAATGCCAAGGGCAAGTATTTTCATCAGTAATATGTTTAAAAATGTATTTCTTATAAAGCAAATTAATCACACAACTTTTAAATCACTAATGGCTAATTCCATTTTGAATTTAGAGCTATAAATTTAAGGACTGACTTTTGGATTAATAACAGAAAGATACATTCATGGTAATGCATGTTTATCTATTCATTTGTTCAATAAGGTAAAATTTGTTAAGAATTTATCTTATTCTAAGCCTTGTTCAACTTGACAAAAATACCCTGAGGTGCTTGAGCAGCCCTTTCCTTTCTTTGTTTTTTCAACACTAAGCATGGTACTCAGGATAGAGTAGAGTCTGGATATATATATATGTTCATAAATTAATGAAATAAAAGAGCATAAAATGTTCTGTGTAATATAATAGAAGCATACACTGACAACAGAAAAACAAAAAAAAACAAAAAAAAAAGCAAAAGAAGAGCTGGTCAATCCAAACAATCAGCACTGTCTAGTAGAAACGTCTGCAATGATGGAAATGTTCTGTTTCTACCTACCTATCCAATATGGTACCTGCTAGCCCTCATGTGACTATCGAGTATATGAAATGGGATTAGTGAAACTGAACTGAGAAAAAAAATTTTTAATTGTATTTCAATTTAATTATTTTAAATTTAAGTTTAAATAGCCGCATGTGGCTAGTGGCCACTGTATTTCAGTATTTTCACAGAATAGACAGCACAGTACTAAAGTGAAAAGAGGGGTCTAAAAAGAGTTTTAAGAAGCGGTGAACCATGAGCTAGGTTTTTAAAAAGGAGTTGATGTTTTCCAGGTGACTTTCTTTAAGTATATTTGGAATAAGGCTCCAGAAGCTACATGATGTGCTGTCTGTCCTCCCCCAGAGAAAGTCCAGAGACTGTTGATTGAACATACTACTGTATATGATAAAGCCAAAGGTAGTGGCCTAGTAAATGTGGACATGTAAGAGAAGTAAAGACAGGAAAAAGAACTGAGAGGGCCTGCCGGTTTTGGGGAATGAGATGAGGACAAAGTGGTTTTTGAGAGTCAAGCAAGAAGAAGTGAAGGATTGATGGAATTCTAAGCAGTTTTATTGCCAGAAATCAATTAAGAAGTAAACCCAGGCAAAAAGATTAAATTTGGCAAGTGAGCAGTTGTTAGCAATGCTCTTGTAGATTCAGTGGAGTGGTGCTATCTGTTGGAGGTTCTTGGTATTGAGATATGAGAAGCGAGAGACTAGATAATTATTTTGAGGAATAGGCTTTGAAAAGAAATGATAAGGTCACAGCAAGAAAGAAAAGCAGGGTAAAACATTTTTTTATTGTTGTTTATTTCTTAAGGGGAAAGATTTGAATGTGTTTGTAGACTCCAAGGAAAGGGCCAAAGAATACATAATAGAAACAAAAATAAGCTGCAAATATCTAGGATAAATCAAGAATGAATTGGGTGAAAATCCCAAGTGATGATTCGCCTCAAGTGTAAGAAGACCTTAGTTCACCTATAGTGAACAAACACTTGTTGAGCCCTTCTTAGGTACCAGACACCTATCTGAAGATTTTAATCACATTAAGTAACTAATCCTAATATCAGCCTAATGAGGTAAGAAATTAATTCTAGTTTTACAAGAGTGTTTTACAAGAGTGTGTAGATGCTCACCTAAAGCCATCCAGCTACTAAGTGGCAGAGCAGAGATTCTTTTCATTGCAAAAGTTTTCTCTTCAATAGGTGATTTCTTTTTATCTCACCCTCATCTGAATATACCACCTCTGTCTCTACAGCAATATTTCTTTGCCACCTGACCCCTTCTCCTCTGTGACAAACATAGCCTAAGTTTGTTCTTAGGCATGAAACTAACTCTCTATCCCCGACCAGGAGGCCTCCCCTCCCAGTTCGCTTCTGGTCATGCCAACACAAGTCACATATCTTAGAAAACTATTCTAACATTCTTCATGTACCTAGTGTTAATACAACAACAATCTCATGTTCTCAGCTGTTTTTATAAAATATCTGAGGCAATATAAATGATTATGTGTGAAACCGCATTTCACGATATTATTTGTATCAAATGATGGTATACTTTGGATCCCATAAATAATTCAGAAAAGAAAAGCTCTGTGTAAAATTAAAACCCTAAATTTAAGTCCTGGCTTTGCCAACTATTAGTTATAAATGAGGGACCTTGGAAAAGTATCTCACCCATCCAAGCGTTTAAAATAGATCTCATAGCATTTCTCCAAGGATTGGCAAGATTGTGAAAATGGAAATCCCGTGTAAGGCGAAGTACATTTAAAAAGGTACCTCGCCCTAAGTGGGTTTTCTTGCTGTGACACTTTTATTAAGATATAATTTGAATGCCATACAATTCACTCTTTTAAAGTGTACACTTCATTGTTTTTTAGACTATTAACAGAGTTTTGTAATAATCACCAGAATCAATTTGAGAATATTTTCATTACCCCACAAAGAAAACTGATACATTTTAGTCTTCATTCCCCAATCATCCCCCTTCTAGACCTAGGCAACCACTAGTCTACTTTATGTCTCTGTAGACTTGCCAATTATGGGCATTTTATGTAAAAGGAATTCCTTTGTATGGGCAAATTATATTCTATTGTATGGATATACCACATTTTAAAATTTATTCATTCCTCCGCTAACGAACATTTGGGTGTGTTCTACTCTCTGGCTATTATGAATAATACTGCTATAAACATGCACGTGTAAGTTTTGGCATTGATATATATGTTTATTTCTTTTGGATGTATACTGAGGAATGGAATTACTCAGTCATATAGTAACTCTAAATTTTAACTTTTGAGGAACTACCAGACTATTTCCCAAAGTGCCTGTCAAGTAAGCATATTAAATAAGTTAAAGTTTTTCTCTTTTGGTTTCTATTTTACTTTTGGGTCTCGGCTTGGATGTTACTGGATCAGAAAGCATTCTCCGAGTTAAGTTCCCCTCTTTTGTAACCCCATGCAGCCTATGATTACATTTTAATAGTACATTATGCCATTGCAATATGCTAATTGGCCATTTGTTTTTCTGACATCTCTTGGAGTGTCTTATGAACTTTTGATTGCCCAAATCCTAATACATAGCAGGTACATGATCAATATGAGTGAATCATAGTGTTTGAGCTCTAAGTAATTTTTACATGCTTTACATTTCTTTATAATTTCTATTTTTATAATAAGCAGGTATTAATTTTCATACTACTTTAATTAGAACAAATTATATAATTATAATACATAACTATAGTTATATAATTAGATACAGTATATAAATTATATAATCTATTTTAAATCATTTCTTCTGAGCATGTTTAATTATATCATCAAGAACAAATTAACTTAGAAAATTTTTTAAATGTACAATTTTACCTATTTTATCAGGCATAGGAAAAAATACCTTATAATTACCTTTTGAATGGTAGCATTTTTGTAAGGTATATTTTTGGATATTTCAGTTCTCTACAATAAAAGTGATTTATATTTTTTTAAAAAATCTTTATATTTGAAAGTAGCATTCAATTTCCTTGGTACAGAATCCATGTTCAACGAGAAATCTCATAAACTGGATTTAGTTTCCAAAGAGAAGTGAAAATTCCCTAAACCAAAACATGAATATTGTAATCTTTGCAAAGGTAAATATAGCCCTTAATATACAATGAATACATTGCCATTCTGAAACTTAATTTAATAAATCTGTCTCTGATAGCTTCATCAACTCTGAGTGCACTAACACAACTGTGTATTCATATAGGTAAAATAAAGGACCAGGTTTTATGTGGTGACAACTTCAAGATATTGCTATCATTAAGAACTCAGCTTAGAGCTGGCAGCCAATATTCCACCATGACACATCATTTTTACTATTCAAAACTTTAGCCAAATATACGATATTAAAATATTTGTGGCTCAGATAATCTGAATCTGATTACATAAGAAAGTATTCATATTACATAAGAAAGTATTGGCCGGACGCACTGGTTCACGCCTGTAATCTCAGCACTTTGGGAGGCTGAGGCGGGCAGATAACGAGATCAGGAGATCGAGACCATCCTAGCTAACATGGTGAAACCCCGTCTCTACTAAAAATACAAAAAATTAGCCAGACGTGGTGGCGGGCGCCTGTAGTCCCAGCTACTCAGGAGGCTGAGGCAGGAGAATGGCATAAACCCGGGAGGCGGAGCTTGCAGTGAGCTGAGATGGCACCACTGTGCTCCAGCCTGGGCGACACAGCGAGACTCCGTCTCAAAAAAAAAAAAAAAAAAAAAAAAAAAAAAAGAATGTATTTTGAATAGAGTCAACCTCAGTGGGTAAGTCTCTGGGTGATGGTAATCTTGCAGTGTGCTCTTTACCACAAAATGGGAAAATGGTTAAGCTATGAGCTTTGCTGCCAGACTACCTATGTAGGAATTCTAGTTCTGTATCTGTGGGAACGTGGACATAGTAGCTGTCCTATTCCTCAGTTTCCTCATTTGTTAAATGGGTGCATGAGTACTTACCTCACAGGATTCATGTGAGGATTACACGCACTACTGCTTATATAACGACTGTAGAACCAATTGGAAGCTTTTAAGAATCCTAATGACCAGGTTGCACTCCAGACCATTTAAGTCAGAATCTCTTGGACTGAAATCTAGACATCCATGTTTTTTAAAACTCCTCAGATGATTTCAATGCGCAACCAAAATAGAGAACCACAGCTCTGGAAAGTTACTTTCACCTTCTTGTGAAAATAAATTAGGGGCTATTTTCCATAAATCAAGACTTTGTTATTAGTAATCACGTTACTGCTCACAACGCCAGAAGTTGTGGAGATGATGGCAACCATATTTTCTTTCTTTCTTGCGACCCAGAAGCATTCCATCTCACCTGATGTCTTAGAGATCACAGAAGCTGGACTCATTGGATCCTATTAGTATGATCTCAGGTTCATCTTGTGACTTAGGAAAATAATGATTACAAAAGAACAAAAGAAAAGAGAGAGAAGGAAGGAAGGAAGGAAAAGAAAGAGAAGAAAGAAAGAAGGAGAGAAAGAAGGAAAGAGAGAAAGAAAGGAAATAAAGAGAGAAAAAAGAGAAGTGAAGAAAGAAAGAGGGAGAAAAAGAAAGGAAGAAACATATAAAGCAATATCTACACCATTCGGTTAATTAGATTAAAATGTGACAAAAGAGATTTTGTAAAACAAAATAAAATGTTAACTGTACTAACTGTTTTACTCTGGTTTGTCTCAATTTATTATGTGTTCTGACTAACAGGTCATTGTTATCCTCCACAAAATAATAATAATGACAGCAGATATTTTTCATACAATTCAAGCTTATGGAGATAAACTTTCACATGTGATCTTATTATCGGAAAGGGGTCCCCATCAAGACACCAAGAGAGGGTTCTTGGATCTCTCACAAGAAAGAATTCAGGGTGAGCCCACAGAATAAAGTGAAAGCAAGTTTATTAAGAAAGCAGAGGAATGGCCAGGCGCGGTGGCTCACGCCTCTAATCCCAGCACTTTGGGAGGCCGAGGTGGGCGGATCACAAGGTCAGGAGATAGAGACCATCCTGGCCAACATGATGAAACCCATGTCTCTACCAAAAATACAAAAATAAGCTGGGCATGGTGGCACATGCCTGTAATTTCAGCTACTTGAGGGCCTGAGGCAGGAGAATCCGCTTGAATCTGGGAGACAGAGGTTGTGGTGAGCCGAGATCGCGCCACTGCACTCCATCCTGGCAACAAACCAAGATTCCGTCTCAAAAAAAAAAAAAAAAAAAAGAAAGAAAAAGAAAAAAAAAGAAAGTAGAGCAATGAAAGAATAGCTAGTCCATAGACAGAGCAGGGTGTTCTCAAAAGCAAGAGGAGAAAGGCTTCCACCTTAGGTACGATGATTGTTCATATATAAGATAACAAAGCAAAAAGTCATGGGGAGATGTGCTCTACTATAAGGGCTTGAGACAAAGGATTGTTAATCTTTGTGCAACTACTGTCTTCTGCAAGAATCTATATTATTATATTTAAAGTGAAACTTTCTTAAACTAATGATGCTTTTGGTCTTTTTTATATTTGTTTATTTATTTACAGACAAAGTCTAACTCTGTTGCCCAGGCTGGAGTGCAGTGGTGCAACCTCAGCTCACTGCAACCTCCGCCTCCCGGGTTCAAGAGATTCTCCTGCCTCAGCTTCCCGAGTAGCTTGGATTAAAGGCACCGACCACTACGCCCAGCTAATTTTTATATTTTTAGTAGAGGCGGAGTTTCACCATGCTGGTCAGGCTAGTTGTTCTTAAGATATCAGGACATCAGGATATTTCCTGGGTCTGATATTTCCTGAGTCCGCTAAGTCCTAGGTCTGTTCAGTAAACATTATTAACTTGTTCCCTTAACTGTAAATATCTTGTTAACTAAGAATGCCTAGCCTCCTGGGAATACACCCTAGTAGGTCTCAGCTTCATTTCACCAAGCCCCTATTCAAGATGGAATCGTTCTGGTTTGAACACTTCTGGCTCACAAAAATTTCCTCACTTTGTGGAGTCAGTAGAGCACCTGCTATATGTTTCTCCCGGTTCAGAAAAGAGGAAAGCTAGTCTCAAAAACTTTCCCAAGCTTATTCAGCTAGTAAGTGGCAAAGAGTGCACATCTGAACTGCAAACTGACCTCTTCATTCTCTTCTGTATACTTTATTCAGGCTGTTTTACTTGCATGGCTCTTATTATGGCCCCGAGATCAATATCTTGCCAAAACCATTGGTCAGTTCTTTATTCTTGTCACATTTCTTTTTCCAGAAACATTGAACACAACTGATGATGCCTTTCTAGATTTTTTTTTTTTTTTTTTTTTTTGGTTCTTATGATATCAGATCTTCTGATTGTCCTCCAATCCCAAAGGCTTTTTTTTTTTTCTCTTTTTTTTTTTTTCTCAGTTTGGCTAGCTGGCTTTTCTTTCTTTGCCCTAACTCCAGATCATGAAGCTCTCCAGGCCTTGGTCTTAGACCCTCTTTAGTATTTCAAACTTTCTGTCCAGGTGATCTCATTAGTGAGATAACTTTTAAATATCATCCATAAGACAATTCAGTCTGAATTGATACTTCAAACCCTGATGTCTCCACTGACCTTCATCTATTTACACATCCTTTCCTTTTCAAGTCTACCAGACATTTCAAACTTCAATGCCTAAATAATCCATTAAGTTTTATCCTCAGATCTGCTATGCTACTGCCCAGACTGTCATTAGTTTCATCTAGACTACAGTGGGAAACTCTTACCTCTCTCTTGGCTTCTATCCCTCCCTGGAGTTCGTATTTCTACACAGAAACCAAAGTGACCTTTTAAAATTATGTTTTAGACCACAGCACTCCCTTGCTCAGTACAACTTAAGGACTTCCAAAATTCCTTACCATGAGCTAAAATCTGTGTGTAATCTGATTTCTGCCTTTCTTGTTCATCTATTCATTCACTCAAAAAATATTTATTATTCAGTTATCCTGTGCCTCTAAGAATCCACAATGTACCTGCTCATGTGAAACTTACATCTTGGTTGAAGAGAGCAACTAGAGGGGAAGAGGGTGTGCGTGTGCATAATTGAATGTTCTTTAGGTTGATGATCAGAGTAAACCTCTCTGTGTCTGGGCCTCATGGAGTGACATTTAGCATATCTCATTTAAATGAGATCAGGTTGAGAATCTAGCATCTGGAGGAAGATATTGCTGAAATTCTTTGTCACTTATACTTCATCAATATCCTTCCAATGTGGTTGCCTTTTTTTCTGTACCTTTAGCACCTCAAGCTTATTCTTGCCCTGAGGTGTTTGTACTAGTCCTCCCTTTGCTTGGAAATCTCTGCCATCAGATAGTTGCATGTTTGGGTTCACATCATCATTTGTATTTCAGTCAAAACTAGCTTCCTTAGATAGTCCTTCCCCGACAACTCTCAGTAGCTCTCCATCCCCTGCTACTTCACTCTCCAGTCTCCCTACCAGGGTCTCATTAGTTACTTTATGGCTTCATACATCGCTCCATGAAATGTTTTGTTTGTGTGTGTTGGGGGTGGGGATAGGGAGGGGATTGTTACTTACTTCCTTTTTGTCTGGCAACTTTCATGACACCAGAAACCTTGAGTCTTATTCACTGTTGCCTATCCAGAGCATAGAACAGTGCCTGCAACAATGAGTCTAGACTTGAACTTTGACCTTCAGATTCCATGCCTTTCCCACTATACTGAAGAAGTTTGTTGCTAATTACTACAAGCTTTCTTGTATCCCATAACCTCTATTTGCTTTGGCGAGTTTTACTTATACACTTCTATGAAATTCTCATGATTAGACTCTATAATGGCAAGGAAAAAATGGGTAAGATCCTCAGAAAATATCAATTAAAATATTTGGAGTTCTGTCTTCTTATTTTAGCATGAATTGGTTCATCAGATGGAGATAAAACAAATCTTAAGCCTTAGGGGATGAAAGATCTGAATGGGAAAACTTCAGCTTTGAGAGATCTGGAGATGGAAATGAGTCCAGCATGGTATATAGGCACTCAACAAATACTTAGGAACTGCGTAGTGGCTCACGTTTATAATCCCAGCACTTTGGGAGGCCGAGGCAGGTAGATCACTTGAGGCCAGGAGTTTGAGACCAGCCTGGTCAACATGGTGAAACCCCATCTCTACTAAAAATACAAAAATGAGCCAGATGTGGTGACACGTGCCTGTAGTTCCAGCTACTCTGGAGGCTGAGGCGTGAGAATCCCTTGAACCCGGGAGGGAGAGGTTGCAGTGAGCCGAGATTGCGCCACTGCACTCCAGCCTGGGCAATAGAGGGAGACTCTGTCTCAAAACAAAACAAACAGGCCGGGCACGGTGGCTCACTCCTGTAATCCCAGCACTTTGGGAGGCCCAGGCAGGCAGATCACGAGGTCAGGAGATCGAGACCATCCTGGCTAACATGGTGAAACCCAGTCTCTACTAAAAATACAAAAAAATTAGCGGGCGTGGTTGCGGGCGCCCGTAGTCCCTGCTACTCGGGAGGCTGAGGCAGGAGAATGGCGTGAACCTGGCAGGCGGAGCTTGCAGTCAGCCAAGATGGTGCCACTGCACTCCAGCCTGGGCGACAGAGCGAAACTCTGTCTCAAAAAACAAGCAAACAAACAAACATTTCAAATGCGTATTTTTCACCTGTCATATGCCCTTAGGGATTGAATAAAGCATCAATCACCAGCTTTAGGTTATTCATCAAACCGACCAGTCAGGCTGATCTGGTCAGTTAGGTTAGCTTTCAACCCAGGGGGAAAACAAAACAAAATGAAACAAAAAAACAGTTTCAGTGTTCAGTGTTTCTTTACCCTGTCCCCATATTAGAATCTCCTGGGGTGACTTTATAAGGTACCAATGCTTGAACCTCATCTGCAGAGATTGTGGTATATGCAGGGTGGCCTCAGAGGTGGGGAGTAGGGAGCTGCAGTCAGGACATGGCATTTAAAAATATCCTCCAGTGATTTTAATGTGCAGCCAACACTGAGAAACACTGCTCTAGGAAAAAGTAGCCCACCCAAAATGAAGTGACAAAGTAAGAGAAATGGTCATTTAACTGACTGTTTACAGAAAGCATTGCTCTGAAAAGTGCTTTGAGGATTACATACAACTCTTTAAATTACCTTGATAAAATCAGAATGGCATATAGAATGTATGGGACACATCACAGGAAAGCGTATGAGTATTACTATCAGGAAACAGGTTTACGTATCCTAATAGGATGAGAGAGATTCTGAGCTGCTTCTCTGCAGGAGAGTAATGCTTTTTTCTCCTGGTATCCTTTCCTCAGGGCCCTGAGTTATAGCAAAAGAAAATAAAATGGAACCCTGGAGGAGCCCCATAGGAAATCCATGTGAGAAAAACACCGCACTTTATAAGTGCATGCGGAGCAGGTAGGAGGAGCAGAATCATTTCTGCACCTGAGTTTTGCTGTACTTCCAACATTTCAGATCTTAGGCAATAATTATTTAGTGCAATAACAAAATATCATTCAATAACTACTATCAGGAATATAATGTGTTGAGGGCAGATTATTTAATGCAGCACAAGTAGGTGCTTCACATACATTAACACATTTTGTCTTCAAAAAAATCTATCCAAGGTGATATTTTATCTCTACGTTTTAAATGAAGAAATAGGCAGAGAAAAATAACAGAATGTGTTCAAGATCACTTAGATGAAAAGTCATGGAGTGGGGATCCAAAGTCAAGCTTTTTTAGACTATAAATTAATGTTCGTTGACGACAGTACTCCACAGTGCTATTATGATAAGTCCAACACAATGTCAGGTACAGGGGAAGAATGCTCACAGAGGGAAAATTATAACTGACCAAAGACTCCCAAGTTACTGTTCTGGAGTCAGAAATGCTCCTGAAGGCTACCAGTTCTCTTTTCTCTCCTCTCCCCATCTTTTTTCAACCAAATGATCAGATTGTCTCAGCATACATCTTTCTTGAGAATTATAAGGATGAACAACCTGACTTAGAAAAGGAATATTCACATGTATCTCAAAGCCAAATGCAGAGATCATAAGGAACACGGGTCAAAGCCTGGTGTTAAGAAACAGAGATTAGCAATGTGGAGTTAAAGTTCACAGCTAGAGCCAGAGACGGTGAACTGTCCAGCTGGCAGCAACCACATCAAATGGAGTCCAAACGACTACAGAGGAGATCTTTGCCTGGGATGCTGAGAAATTCAACCAGGCTTTTGGATTCCAAACTCCAGGTTGAGGAAAACTGAAACTGCAGCTTCTAATGTGATGATAATGAGACATTTAAAAATGAAAATGTAAAGATTATATTAAGCTAGGTAATTTCTTTCACTTCCATGCCATTCCTGGAGCCACCTGAAAGGAAATACCAATGATTCATTTTCTCACTCTCCTACCCTTCTGAGAAAAACCTACCAATAGTCTGTAAATAATAAGAAAGGGAGAGCTGGTGGCAAAGGCTTTGAGACAAACTCCACACACATACGCCATTCTTCTAACTAGATTTTGTGCTTTTTATGTGTTCAGTCAAGAATGAAAACAATATTATAAATGTTGTGCTTTCCTGGGTTGACAGATGCTCATCTTGGGATGGAGTTATATACACAAATAGAAAATGAGCTGTAACAAGTTCTTTGCAGAGGATAAGTGGGTGTTTTTAGAATCCATGATGAAAACCCACTGTAGCATGTATATATTTTTCCTTATTACACAGATTTCTTCTGTAGAACTTTCCTTCCACCACTTTAACCCTCTAACTGACAATTTTCAGTGTTCCTATGTTATTACTGCTTACTTGGTATAAAGCAGAAAGGATGTTTTACAGCAGCTATATGAAGTACCATTGAGAATTAAATTGCTTTTCTTTCTCCCTCATCATTGTGAATTTGGTACAGATGAAAGATGAAAGATTGGCAGCCAGGGAGTCAAGGGTTCACTGTTATCTATGAGATGTACATGATATGGGTAGAAGTGGCCCAAGCTTCCCTCTTCAAAACAGCCGTATGCCAGCTTTCAAATCTTGGAGAAAGAGCTCTGTGGGAGAGTGTGTCATTTGTAAAAGACAGGATTTCTTAAAAAAAAAACAAAAAAACAAAAAAAAAACAAAGAGTAGGGATTTACAAAGCAGTCAGAGGAAAAAAAAAAAGTTGGGAAAATAATTTACAAAGGTGCCTTTTGGGTTCCTGTTTAGCTCGAGAATGGTGTGAGCCACACTCCTTTTATTTTGCTCATCTTCATCTGTGTGTCTGTTGGCCACCGGAATTCTCTGCCCATTTTTGTTGTGTCTGAACAAGCGCAGTTCCTGTAACAAACTCTCTCAGCCATAGCCAAGTCCTGAAGCTTCCTATAAAAAGACACAGTCTGAGACTCCAGACCATTGTGGAATGTCTCCACATGCTGCTGCTTTCACTTCATCTGTTTTCTATCTGCCTGTTCTTGCCTAGGTGATTTAGCTTTCTTACTGCCTTGCACCTGGTCTCTGCCTTGCAGCTTAGCTTGATTCTAGCTTTGTTCCTGCACAAAGCTTTTAGCTCCCTCCTTGCAGCTTGGCAGCCAGGTCTCTACCAACCTATACCAAGCCCTGCCTCTTGAAAACCTGGCCCAGGCTCAGGCAGTTCTGACAGGATACATCACACGCAAAATTTGTAATGGGTTTCTTTCCATCCTGCCTGAACCCTTCTCTTTCCTGTTGTTTCTCATTGATTTCAAAGCGCCTCTAAACTGCCCAGGGCTTCACCATGAGGGAGCTCACCAAATGCTCAAGTCAATCCTTTTCCTCAGCTATCCACCCTGCTGGGCTTCAAGCTGCAGCATTTACCTTCCTTTCTTCCTACTGTGAGATTTTGATGGCAGACTCACCTAGCTTGCTTTGTCAAGCATAGCTTCTCATAATGCAATATTTAATACACGTTTTTATCATGATGATGAATGTGCTGACCCCACAATTACATTTTGTCTAAATGTTTTATCTCTCCAGTGCAAACCTGCTACTACTCCTGTGATCTCTATTTTTGTTTATAGTTCCACCATTTTTCCAGGCTTCCAGCCCCAAATAGCAAGAACTCCTCTGATTTCCCTCTTGCTGTCACACTAAACCTTCTTTCAAATCCTGATTCTCATCCATCCCCAATTTTCTATTCCCACTACCGTGGGATATTGAAAGTGTCTCCTAATTTGCCCTCCTGCTTATAGACTTCTCCCTTCAAATCCACTTTATATCCTACTGCCACTTTAAGCTTTCAGAAGCTGCTGAATTTCTGCTCCTCATTTACTTACTAAAGTCATTCCAGAAAAGGTAGTTAATTCCTTTCCATTTCAGTTTCTCATCTATAAAATTATGATATCTCAAAATAATTATATTGTTAATTATTTTTTAGTGCTCCATTGTGACAAGGATTCTTTGCTTGACCAAACTTTAGTCAGGATTCTGAACCTTCTCCTAAGCCCATCTGTGCATTTACTGGTAAAATCTAATTTTAACAAAAACCCTGCATCCTTGATATTGGCTCACCCTCTACATCTGATCAGTGATTCCTCATCCACCATTTCACAGGTGATGGCTGCTCACTCTGGCCTATCTTCAGCAAGAATCCATTCAGATTTGTTCAGCTAGAATCTTCGTTGCCCCTCATATCTCCTCTTAAGTAATTTTTCATACATTGACCTCCCGCTCTGCTCCTTGGCTATTAATTCTTGCTTGTCCATGCTATATACAAAGTTGAACCGTATCTCTCTCTCCCCTACTGCAAAAATCCCATGGCCATAGTCTGTATACCTATTGGGATGATCTGGAAAAAAGTCTTCTCTGCCATGCTTTATCAAACATCAATGAATTTTTTTCTTCATTAATTGTCATAGAACAAAGCACAAGACTTTGAAAGAAAAATAAAAACTTGATACTCTAATTTACTATGCCAAAAGGAAAAAAAGTAGGCTGAAAGTTGAGTTGTATGAGAAGCTGTCTTTCCTTTTGTTCCTAAGCAGATAGCTACAGATAAAATGTTAAATATATCCACAGGTAGCTACTCTATGTTCAGCTTATCTTATGCAAAGTGCCAATTTACTGAGCATGAGACAAATACATAATTGACTCTTCCCTTACCTGCTTTTTTTCTCTTGACAACATGTGGATTACCAAACCCTCCCTCTTTCCCTTCTAGCCCACTTTTCCCCTTTAAATATTGAAGCTCTCAGATTCATCTTTGGAGAAAGGCACAGACCACAGATTGTTCTGTGATTCTGTGTTTTTTCCTTGTGGGCATGTCCTTAACCTTGGAAAAATAAACTTCTAAATTGAGTAACAGCTATCTGAGATACTTTTTGGTTTACAAATTCATGAGCAATGAAACGGACTCTGAGTGGAGATGGCCCTGACATTTCATAAATCTCCTGTGGGTGCTTGGTACCAGCTTAGGCTATCTTTACTGCTCTATCCAATAGGACAATTTGCTGAGGTGTGGGAGCTCCCTGCTCCAGAGAATCCCTGATCTCCCAAATTTTTGTTGAGAGCTAAGGTTTACTTTGCTGTCCAACTTTTCTGGAGTTTCAGCTCACTTCCAACAAGGAAGAGAAGTTTGAGTTTCTTCCTGCTTCTAAGATAGAGAGCAGTCTTGAGCCTGGGCCCCATTCATAGATAAGTAGCTGAATTGGGGTTTTGACTTGGAAATTCTCATTAATGACTAAAAGTTAAGATTGACAGCCAGCTGATCTTAATTTCTCTTTACCATTAGAGCATTCCATAATTGTATTGTGTGTTTTTGTTGTTGTTGTTGTCATTGTTGCTTCAGTCTTTTTCCCATCAGATTTGACCAACTGTACCCAACTTGGTGAAATCCAAATGAGAATTTCAAATTATGGAGAAAAAGGCCTCTGACTTGGCTAAAATTCCACACAGCTGCAAAAACAAAAAACAAAACAAAACAAAACAAAACAAAAATACACGTGCTTGGTTTCTCTGTTCACTCCTTTCTTAAAATAATGGTTTTTTGTTTACTTTTATTCCACCCTATTCCTCCTTTCCCTTTTGTCATCTTTAGTACCAAGCAAAAAAAGAAAAAAAAAAGAATTAGAGAAGGCTTCTAATACACTGACCTCTTTAAGAACTCAGGATAAAGGTGCTGCTCATCCCCTTTTGGGGTGTTCTGCTTTCTTTATGGAATTTCAACAGTCATGGGCAGATTCTTCTCAGGTCTAAAGCCCTGCTTTTTTGTATTGCATTACCTAACCTCTTTGGCTTTTGTGGGTACCAGAGATTACCTTATACTATGAGAGGATTTGACCTTGGTATGTGTAATTTTGGACAAGAGCTACAATGTTAGTGATGGTTAAGAATAGGTTACAGGAAATAGTCATTACTACAGGGGGCCACTCATTTCTTTGCACATTTAGATAAGAAAATTGTGCATGATTTCTTTGCCCTGTTCCTTAAACGGCTCCACCCAAAAGCCAGTAATCGAATCAAGCTAAACTGAAAATACCACCTATCAAACTAAGTGACTTTAACAAAACTCTTTATAAAGAAAATTTACATCTTTAAAGGAAATCTCCATTTTGTAAGAGCATCTGTATTGGTCTGTTCTCATGCTGCTAATTAAGACATACTTGAGACTTAGTAATTTATAAAGGAAAGAGGGTTAATTGACTCACAGTTCCATATGGCTGGGGAGGCCTGGACAATCATGGCAGAAGGCAAAGGGGAAGCAAGGCACATCTTACATGACATCAAGCAAGAGAGCTTGTGTAGGCAAACACCCCTTTATAAAACTATCAGATCTCCTGAGACTATCATGAGAACAGCACAGGAAAGAGCCACTCCCACGATTCAATTACCTGCCACCAGGCCCCTCCCATGGCACGTGGTAATCATGGGAGCTACAATTCAAGATGAGATTTGGCAATACAGCCAAACCCCAGCATCTCTGTCTCTGCACCTAAACCACTAGGAAGTATAACTAGAGTGAAGACAATAGCTTAAAGTTTACACAACAGAACTTTCCTTTGTTTCAATCTAATTGGAAATTAGATATTGCCTTTGAGATGTGCATTTTCCACCTTGCTTCACCTAAGTCATGTCTTTGGAGATGCAAATTTAGAGTTGCATCTAGTTAGCAATTATTTAGGACATGAAACAGATAATCAAGAAATTAATAGTCTAAAGTAGGGAAGGCAACATTTTTGAAAACAAGCAAATGAAAAATCTTAAATGTATAAGATCTGCCTCGTCTGGGTCTGTTTATATGTGCCATATATTTATATGTGTTATGTAGAAATAATATGAAACTACCAATTATATGAAAGAGCTCTAATTACTTGACTAAAAGTAAGTGTTTATCAAATTAATAGAAGCTAGCTCAGAGTCATTTCTGTTCACACGACTTTAGTAATCTTTGGTAAGATTAATTTGGTAAATTTAGTTTCAAAATTCTCCAGTAATTTAACATCATGTTATGATAAATTAAGTAATTCTAGGGTTTTCACTGGAAATTAGTGGAATAGTAGGAAGGTAAGATGTGTTTTTGGTACTTTATAAAAGACATGAGGATGTGGTTTTTGCTTAGAAAAATGTAGTTTTTTTTCTAGTTTAAAGGACCTTTCTACTGGTGTTGAGATTAAAAACCACCATTCACATCCAACCATTATTTTATAAAGTGTTAAGTTTGTATTGATTTTTCATGGCTAGAGTTACAAAGTAAAAACTATAAGATCTTTATTTGTATGAGTGTGTATGTGTGCTTAGGTGTGTTATGTGTATGTACATGTGTTTTGCTATGTATTGTGCCCATGAGATACCAAATTAGTTTAAAAATTAAAGTACTCATAAATTTAGTAAACAAGCCCAAATGCTTTTCAAGGTCATGTGACGTAAGTAAATATTTAATAAATAAGCTGGCTTTATAATTATTGGTAAAATAAAATTAGAAATGTTTTCTGAATTGTCAACATATATTATCATTAGGTTTATTAGCCAAATGGTTATATATTTATCCCTGCTAAATATTATAAGGTGTAAAGATTTGGTATGGGGGTTAAAAAACTATAAATGCAGCTCAAAAAAGAATTATCTTTGTATTTTTTAAATAAATAAAACATTTAATATTGTTGGTTTAATGAAAATAGCTAAATCCTGAGTTATAGGCAAAAAAAAAAGCACCGAACACATTTATTTAAACTTAAATTTTCTACTTAGGTAAATACCTGAAATTCACAGACCATAAAAATGGTTAACAGGGAAATAACTTTAAATGATGACTATCACAGTTTTCATAAGTAATCTAGGTAAACTATTTAAAATACTAATTAATTAGGTCAATATAATGGCATAAGTACTTATAAACTTGTCATATACTTTAGAATTTAAGATTAAATTAAATAATAAATATTTATTAAATATCTGAGACATTTTCAATTTTTGTTTAATTATAGAACTTTAAAAAAAAAAACACACACAATGCTTTCCTATTAAAAGGAAACAATTTTTCTCTAATTCAAAGGCTATTTGTAAAACAAGGTAAAAGGAACCAGTAAATAAGAGAGATGGAAAGAAAGTTATAAACATATAGAGGTGTTTTTAGTAGGAAAGTTTAAAAGGAAAATAATTTTATATGAGAAAAAATCTTATATGGTAAATTTTTTTGTTCTAAAATAAATTGACTAATATTTAAGAAAATGGGATTTTAGGATAAAACAGGAAATTCAAGCTTGTCAATGGTTTGCGTAAGTCATAATAAGTTTGTAAAAAGTGAATTTGTGGAAAAACAAACTTTATTTGATCAGATTGGCTATAATTAAAAGGTAAGTATTTATAATACTGTTTCTAGAGATTGGGCTTTGATATTAAAAATATACTAATAAACTAAAGAATTGATTAAAACAACAAAAACACAAGAGATTTCAATTTTTTTTAACCCAACGGTTTCCCTTTTACTGCATCTCAATGTTTCCAGCTTTCTCCTTCAACTTTTCCATCAGCTCCTATAACCTTTTTTCCTCAGGTTCTAACTGCTGTTGTGGTCTGATGTGGTTTAATCTTAAAGGTCTAAATAAAACGTTTTATTTCTTCTGTGCTCTTGGCTTTAAATTCTTCTATGAAATGAGAAACATTCACTTATGACCCGGGACACACTTTTTCTATGTCTAACTAATTCAAGTACCATTTTCATTAGTTTTGAACTCTAAATGGACTCCCCATAGGGAAGAGCAATCACACTTCAGGCCTTCTTTTTTCTTTTTGATAACTAACCTAACAAACAGACATTATGTTTTATTGAAATAATTTCTATATCATTGTTACTAATTTTTTGGATTTGCCTAGGAAAACTGAAATTAAAAAAGATTAAGGTTATTACATCCATGTAACTTTTCGTATTGCTTTTAAAGGCCTTGTGCTCTTAAGTTATAGGACTTTAATTCCTGGGTCTAAAAAGTATACCAAATACTGCTAAATCTTAAACACTGACACCAATTAGATTGTCATCTTCAGACTTGGGAGAGGATGACAATCAAAATAAATATATTTGTGAGACACAGAATCAGAAATTAAAACTATTCAACCCCTCTAGGCCCAGGGTCTATTACAAAAGAGATGGGCATGTGAGATTTTAAGGGCTGATTTTGAGAGACATAACTCATTCAGAGTTTCTCTATAAATTAAAAATTATTATTAAAGGCACACTAATGCAAGAGCAGCAGCTGGGCCCCTGTATCATATTAACAAGGTTTTCTTGGAGCATTCACCCATTATTTAATTTGAAAAAAAACGAAAGGCCATAAAAAGGTTTATAGAAATTATATCTTACGGTCAAGATGATTAGAATTTAATAGATTTGTTTAGAAGATTTGAGAGACAGATTTAATTGGTCTCATAATGTGTTTATTAGGGCTTATTATTTGGGAATGTAAGTCTCCTATCTCAAATAATAAAGGCTTTTGCTTCTTTTTTTGAAGTCTTTTGGTTGTCACTTTAACTAAATGAAAGGCTTATTTTAGGGATCTCCAAGCCCTGGGCCATGCACTAATACAGGTTCGTGGCCCTTTAGGAGCCAGACTACACAGAGTTGGTGAGCAGCAGGCAAGCAAGCATCACCCCCTGAGCTCTACCTCCTATCAGATCAGCGGTGGCATTACATTTTCATAGGAGCACGAACCCTAATGTGAACTGTGCATGTAAGGGATCTAGGTTGCACTCACCTTATAAGAATCTAATGCCTGATGATCTGAGGTGGAACAACTTCATCCTGAAACCATCCCCACCCCCTGCATTCGTGGAAGAATTGTCTTCCACAAAACCAGTTCCTGGTGACAAAAAACTTGGGGACCACTGGCTTATTTTACAATGACCTGAGATACTATTTTGTGATATCTAGTGTTTTAAACTTTTGATATTTGACAAAATTTCCAAAATGAAATATTAAATTTAGTCTTTTGACCTCATTAATTATTTCATATTAGATCCCCTGAAGTCCCAAAGAGATATATTTGGCTTATTTAGTATAATAATATCATACCGGAAGCATTGTCAAATACAAAATGGTATTTAACCTTCTTTGTATTAGATTTATATTATTTGGATTAAATAATAACACATTGGCATAAATTTGTTATTTGCTTTCCAAAATCTTGCTGGGCGCAGTGGCTCACGCCTGTAATCCCAGCACTTTGGGTGGCCGAGGTGGGCGGATCACGAGGTCAGGAGATGGAGACCATCCTGGCTAACATGGTGAAACCCTGTCTCTACTAAAAATACAAAAAAATTAGCCAGGTGTGCTGGCACATGCCTGTAATCCCAGCTACTCAGGAGGCTGAGGCAGGAGAATTGCTTGAACCCGGGAGGTGGAGGTTGCAGTGAGCCGAGATCGTGCCATTGCACTCCAGCCTGGACAACAAGAGTGAAACTCCATCTCAAAAAAAAAAAAAAAGAAAGAAAACTTTCTCTTATTTTAAGCATTTATAGCTTTTAACAATTGAGTATTCCCTAGTGAGCAGAATTTAAAACACAATTTATTTCTACATAATTTCTCTAATATTTAGAAACTATTTGTGAATATTCTTAATCTATGGCAATGTAGTTATTTTCATAAATTCAAAATGAGAAACTGTTTTATTTTACAACAGTACATAATTGAAGACACTGGTTATTTTACCAATGCTTTAACTGGAATGATGTATTTTCATATAACCTTGAGAACATGAGGCTGACTTATACAGCTGATAAAAGCCCCCTGGGAAAACTGGCCTCATACCTCATCTTTTATAGGGGCCTTACCTGTGGTATGTAAAGAATGTCCATTTCTGGCAGGCCTAGGAACTCCAAGTTTTATCAGGACCTTAAAAAGAGAGGAATTCACTCATTTCATACAGGTATATGCAGACACAAATAAATTTTTGGCTGGGCTTGAGGTTTTTAAAAATCTCTTAATGTTAGATTCCTTATGGAAAAGTTTCCAGCAAAGCCAATTAAAAAAGAGATCTTATATGGCAAATAATTATTTCTCCTGCACTTTATGCAAATAATCAAGCTAAGTATATAAGACTACAATTTATTTTACAAATTAATTGGTCTTACTATCATTTTTTCTTTAATAAAATCGGGGAATTGAAGAGATAAAATTATGTTTCCAAATAAACTATACTATACCTGTTATTAGATTCTTGCCTTGTCCAGTGTTTTTCAGTTTTTATTATTTTCTACAAATTGGACTGAATCCTAAAATTTTTCTGGCTGCAAGTCTCCAAAATCATGACTTTTTTCTTCTATTGACATTTTGCCTGATTTCAAAACACTAAAAATTAAGTTATGCTTTCCTTAAATTTTTGCAAATGGATACAAGATGACTTAAACTTTTGAGGAAAATAACAGCAACGTATTCATATACATGAAACATTTTCATACCTGCCTACTGATTTATGGACTTCAGAATAATATGGCTTCTATCAGTTTTCCAGGATTGTGCTACCTTTTTGTTTTTTATTTTCCATCTTTTGCTCCGTTTTCTTTCTCCCTATCTCCTCCTATTTGTTTTCTTCATGAGACATGAGTCTTCACAACCTGCTAAAAATGAGTTTGCCTAATAACGTGGGACCTATACCTCTAGGAATAAACTGTTCTATCAGCAAAAGATCAGAAAAAACCCAAGACCAGAGACTTGTTTTCTTCTAAAATACTTTCTCCTAAAGATTTTAAAAGGAAAAAAGAGGAGAAATGTAAAACAAAAATAAAAACTTGGGACCCCAATTCACTACGCCAAAAGGAAAAATTAAGCTTAAAGCTGAGTCATGCAAAAAGCTGCGTTTTCTTTTGTTGCTAAGCATATAGCTACAAAGGATTAAATATCTCCACAGGTAGCTACTATGTTCAGCTTATCTTACGTAAAGTACCAATTTGCTGAGCATAAAACAGATACATAATTGACCATTCCCCTATCTGCTCCTTTTCTCTTGCAACATATCAATCGCCATACCCCTCCCTCTTTTCCCATCCAGACCACTTTTCCTCTTTAAATATTGAATCCCTTAAATTCATATTTGGAGAAAGGCACAGACCACAGATTGATCTGTGATTCTGTGTGTTTTTCTCCTGGACATGTCCTTAACCTTCGCAAAATAAACTTCTAAATTGATTGAGACCTATCTCAGATCCTTTTTTGGTTTACAGCTCTTAACCAGTCTTTGAAAGCTTTTAAATTTCCATCTATTTAGTCAAACTTATTTTCCTTTTCCCTCATTTTACTTTCAATGATTTAATGTTGGTGAAGATAATAATGACATTAATGCCTAATATTTATTTAACATTTACTATGTGCCAGAGCTATTTTTCTCACTTTTACATGAACTAACTCATTTAAACCTTAAATTATAACAAGAATAATTATAATGCACTTTTTGCAAATGGGAAATTAAAGCTAAATGAAATTAAGATAATTTGTCCCAAACTGCACAGCTAGAAAGTGGAGGAGCTCGAATTTGAACTTACAGCACCTCTCACATAGGTAAAGTTTTAAGTCCTTTACACAAATCAGTTACATTTTTAAAACTATTACTCTTTTATTGTGAAACATTAAGAACTGACAGAAAAGTGAACAAATATGTATAGTTTATGTAGTTATTACAAGACAAAACCCAAGTAAACTATAGAAAATTGTCAACTTCCCTGGAGCTTCTTTGTGCCCTCTCAATTACCTCTTCCATTCACAAATGTAACTACTCCCTTGATTTTGTTTCATGGTAAACATTTCCTAGGTTTTATTTATAGATTTATAGTCTTATCAGCTAAATATGTACCCTAGCAATTTATAAATATATATAGCATACAGTATGTTTGAATATACAGGCATTTTATATATATAGTATACAGACATTTATATATAATAATTTAAAATTATATAAAATTATATATGATTTACATATAATATCTGTATATTCAAACATACTGTATGCATTCTTTTGTGCTAGGTTCCTTTTACTCAATATTTTATATGTGAGATTCTTCCTTGTGGTTGCATGTACCAGAAATTAATTCATTTTCATTCTATATATTATTTCATGAAAAGGTCATTTTTTAAATCCATTTTTACCTTGGATGGATTTTTGAATTGATTCTACTGTACATCTCCTGTATTTACATGCTAGGGCATACATGCATCCATTTCTGTTGAGTATATATCTAGAAATAAAATTTCTGGGCCAAAGAAGATAAGTATGTTTAACCTCACTAAAATATGCCAAACTATTTTCCCCAAAATGGTTGTACCTATTTATATTACCACCAGCAATGTACCCAAAGTTCTCATTGTTTCTCACCCTCATCAATATTTCACCTAGTAGTCTTTCTAATTTAGATCATTCTGACAGAACCACAGTGGAATCTCACTGAAGTTTTAATTTGCATTTCCTTGATTACTAGTGAGTATGAGCAAAGTTTCACTTGTCTGAATACTTGAATATCCTGTTGCTTGAAATGCCTGTTCAGGTATCTTGCCATTTTTATATCAAATTTTGTGTCTTTTTCTATTTGCTCAAATATTTTTATGTATTTTTCATATGAGTGCTTTATGATTATATTTATTGCATATATATTCTTGTATGTTTTAGCTTGCATTTTCATTTGCTTAATGTTTTTTGGTTTTTATTAATATCGTCCAAAATAGCAAGGTTTTCTTCTTTTTCTTGTTTTCAATAGGGGGCATTTATTTCATCTTTAACATGGAACAAATAGTCCTCAGAAATCATCCAACTTCTTTCTTTGTTTTATTTTTATAATTTAAACTTTAACTTTAGATTCAGGGGGTATATGAATAGGTTTGTTACAAGGATATGTCGCCTAATGCTGAGGTTTGGTGTATAAATGATCCCATCACCCAAGTAGTGAGCATGGTACCCAATAGTTAGTATTTCAACCCTTGCCATGATGCTCTCCCTTGTACTAGTCCCCAGTGTCTATTGTTCCCATCTTTATGTCCGTATGTACCCAACCAGCTTCTCATTGTTTCTGCATCTGAACAACTCGTGGATCTCTTTATCAGCCTGTTGAACTATTTTTTTTTTTTCAGATGAGATCAGGTGCATTCAAGATGGTATGGCCATAGACCTACTCCATTTTCAGAAACATAGCTTCTATCCAATTTTTTTTTGGATATTTTTTGTTTTTAACTGTTGGCTTACTGAACCAAAGCAGCTGAATTTGATACGAGTTCCATGTCATTTCCTTCTAGGACTACCTCCACTTTCTGGGCTTGAGATACTAAGCAAGTAACACCTAGCCTCATCTGAACCTGCAGATATATTTTTTACTTAAGAAATTTTGTATTTAAATGAGACCCATTCTCCTTAATAAGGATGTTGATAAATAAGTCAGCATACAGAGGACTCACCTTATTACAGAAGCTGTGTAATACCCTTGATTATGTTCTGTATATGACTAAAGACAATGGAAATGGTAGCCAGTTATTTCTCCATTATTTGTCAAACAGGAGTCTTCCTTTTCTTTCTAAGCAGATGGAGTTCTACCTTGATATAATTTTTTAAAATTTATTTAGTTTACTAGTTAATTCATTTTTAAATACAGATGTGTGTTATGAACATTGATATGATTGAAGTCACTCTGCAGAGCTCCTCTGGGGCCCATGACAATAACTGTGCATCCTTTCAGAGTGATGTTAACAGACTGATGTATCTACCTACCTGTCTAGTTATCTACTAATTTATTTCTTTGCATTACAAAGTAAGTTACAGATAATACACATTCCTGAACACTCCAATATTCATATTATTAAAATAAATTCAATAAATGTTTATGGGTTTTTTGTTTTTTGATTTTTGAGGTAAATTTACATAGAATGTGTATTAGTCCATTCTTTTATTGCTATAAAGAAATACCTGACACTGGGCAATTTATAAAGAGAAGAGGCTTAATTGGCCCACAGTTCCACAGGCTGTACAGGAAGCATGATTCTGCCATCTGCTTGTCTTCTGGGGAGGCCTCAGGAAACTTACAATCATGGTAGAAGGCAAAGTGGGAGCAAGGGGTCTTACACGGCAGGAGCAAGACCAAGGGGGGTGGGGGAGGTGTTACATACCTTTAAAACAACCAAATCTCGTGATAACTCACTATCACTAAGAAAAACACCAAGGGGGATGGTGTTAAACCATGAGAAATCTCCCCCATGATCCAATCACCTCCCACCAGGCTCCACCTCCAACACTGGGTATTAAAATTGAACATGAGATTTAGGAGAGGACGCAGATACAAACCATATCAGAGTGAGGTGTACAATCTTGATTACTGTTGAATAAAATTTTTTGAGGTAGAGGTCTTACTTTGTTTACTGGGCTTGTCTGAAACTCCCAGGCTCAAGTAATTCTCCTGCCTCAGCCTCCTGAGTAGCTGGGACTACAAGTGTGCACCACCATGCCCAACCCAGTTTAGTAAGTTTTGACATATGCATATACAGATTAATGTGGCCAAATTCATATGAATAAAATAATACAGTATATACATTTTGGGATAAAGTTTCTTTCATTAGTGTAATATTTTAAAAATTCATCCATGTTGTTGTGACTACCTGTGCTTCATTCTTTTTATTGCTGGTTAGTATTTAATTGTATGAATATACAGTAGTTTGTTTCTCTGTTCTCCTATTCATGAGCACCTAGGCTGTTTCTAGTTTTTGGCTACTGTGATATATCAAGCTACCATGAGCATTCTTAGAAAAACATTTAGTGAACATATGCTTCTCTATCTCTTGGGTAAAAACCTATAAGGAAAATTGTTACATTATAGGACAGGTACATTTTAGATTTCTAAAAAACTGTCAGAACTTTTTCAAAGTGTTTTACACTCCATGAACAGTTAAAGAGTGTTCTGATTACTCTGCATCTTCATCAGTATTTAGTATTATTATCAGAAACTTGTTTGTTTGCTTTAGAAATTCTGGTAAATGTTGTCTCCCTAATCAGTAATGATGTTGAAATCATTTCATGACCTTATTGGCCATTTGTATATCTCCTTTTGTGAAGTGATCATTCTATTCTTTTGCCCATTTAAAAAATTTGTCTTTGTCCTTTTATTGCTGAATTATAGACTTTTTCATGTATATATATGAAAAATATATATTTCATATAGATAAAAAATTTATATTTATATGGAGAGGTATCTAACTACATGTAGATTTCATATATATATATATTTCAAAATTATGTTTGTAAAATATTTTCTCCCATCTATGAATGCTTATTCATTTTCTAAATGTGTGAACTAATTTAGCTTTTATTTTTTCTTTTATGGTTATACCTTTTTGCATCCTGTCTAAAATACCTTTGCATACTTCCAAGTTGCAATGATACTGCTTTCTCTTTTTTACAAGCATAAATATTTAGCTTTAATGCTTAGGTTTCCAACTCATTTAAATTTAAATTTTGTGGGTAGTGCAGCTGCAGTTAGTTTATTTTTTATTAAAAACTCTAGTTGTTTCAGCATATTTTGTTAAATAGATTTTCCTTTTCTCATTGGATTGCTTTGCAACTTTATTGAGAATTGGTTGACTATATAATTGAAGGATTATTTCTGAGTTCTCTGTTCTCTTCTACTAATTTGTCTATCTTTATGCCAGCATCATTCTGTGATATTTACTGTAGCATTATAGTAAAGTTTAAAATCCTGTAAGTTTATTTTTTTAATTCAAGATTGCTTTGAATACTCCAGATTTTTGCATTTTCACATAAACTTTGAATCATCTTGATTATTTCTAAAAAAAAAAGTCTGCTGGAATTATAGCACTTGCATTGAAACTATAGATCAATCTAAATTAATTCACATTTTAACAATATTAAGTATTCCAATCCATAAACATTATATATTTTGCCATATATTTACATCTTTGTTAAATTTTTTCAACAATATCTTGATGTTTTCAATGTACAGGTTTCATTTTTGTTAAATGTATTCCTGAGTATATTAAATTCGATGGATAATCTTTCTTTTACTGCTGTGAAACTTTTCTCTATCTTTGTTTTCTGCCAGTTGGCTATACTGCAACTGGTGTGATGTTCTTCATATTTATTCACTGAATTTCTTGAATCTGAAATTTAGCATAATTCATCAAGTGTGGACATTTTTTAGCAATTATTTTTTTGAGAGATTTTTCTTGCCTCGTCCTTTTTCTCTTTTCAGCAGTTTTCTATGTCATGCCTAGGTGTTGCTTTTTTTAATTTTTTTTTCTACTGAGTCTTCCATAGGATTATTGATCTGTGTCAATTTTTTTATCCATTTTGGAAAGTTCTCAGACATTATTTCTTAAAATATTTTTTCTAGACCCATTCTTACATTTTTGCCTTCTGAATCCATTTATACAAATGTTAGACCTTCTCACTGTACCTTTATATTTTATACTCTCTCATAATAAAATTTACATATGTTTTCTCTTCATGCTTTATTCTGGAACTTTTCTTTTGATGTATACTTCAATTTACTAATTCTTACTTTAGCTGTATCTAAGAAACCCTTATACCTTGGTATGAAATTACTTATTTATTTATATGTTCCAGGATTTTTATCTGGTTCATTGCTTTCTATTTTCCAAGTTAATCAAGGCTACATTCAGTCTCTCATCTCATCAACTCTTCCCCTGAAATACTCCCAGGGGAAATGATGGTTCTTATTTTCTTGGGACTGTAACATTTCCTGAGTTTTGAGATATTTTTTCACCATCTTATTAGATTTCTATGCCTTCAATCATACATTTTTAAGAGACTTTTTTAAGGGCAGTTTTCAGATTCTAGAAACATTGAGGGGAATGTGCTGAGAGTTCGCATACGCTACCTCCCCACCTCCACATACACACAGGCACACACACACACACACACACACACACACACTGCACATAGTTTCCCATATTATTAACTTCTTGCATTGGTGTGGTAAGTTCATTAAAATTGATGAATCAATATTAATACATTATTCTTAACTAAAATTTATAGTTTATATTAGGGTTTGCTTTTTGCATTCTGCATTCTATGATTTTAAGAAATGTAAAATGACATGTATCCATCATTATAGTATCATACAGAAGTTTCATTGCCTAGAATTCCCTATGCTCTACCTATTCATCCTTTTCCCTGAATCATCTCAAAATCATGATCTTTTTACTGTCTCTATAGTTCTGCCTTTTCCAAGATGTCTCAGTAGTCTAAAGAGCACTGGAGTTGAGTACTAATCTTCTCCCATGCTGGTTAGGCTCTGGTAAAACCCAACGTACTGAACACTTTGGCCCAGTTGTTTTCCTTAAGGGCAGACTTTTATTAAGGAGAACAGAATACTCTGGCATATTTCAGAATGGTTACTTTTCCTGCCCTCCTGCCAGAAGCACAAGGGAGTTTTTCATTGATTTCACCCTGAGAACCTGGAGGAGCTCCTGAATGTAAAACTTTGTATTTTATTCCCAAGTTATCCATGTTGAGCTTGCAGCAATTCGTCAATTACTATATATTTAATATGTTTCCTCTGGTACTGGCCCCAGCAGCAGGCTTTTACTTTTGGGCTTCTGGTCTGGTGGCTATGATTCTTTGTATATTCCTGCCCCTCCAGTTTTGGGGCAGCAGTTTGCCCTATGACGTAAATGCTCTGATAGATTTAAGAAGTGTTGTTTAGCTCTTCTAAATTTTCAGTTTGTTTAGCTTTTTATCTAGCTCCTTACATGCCAGACCAGAAAGAGAAGGTCAACAGAATAATCCATACAACTTAAAAAAAAAAACATACTTTTTGCCAATTTGTTTTATCTGAATTGGATTGTTGCCTTAAATTATATACTATTACGTGAAGCAGAAGTCTTCTTTATTATCTATGTTAACCTTCATATCAGCTCTATGAATAATTGATTGATCATTATTCCTTGGATATTTCTGTTAATACCATGTTTCTTTGCTTGCCTATATTTCCCCCTTAGTAGCTGAAATGCCTCTCAACTATTGAACCTAAACTTTAAATAACTTTAGTCTTTCTAAATTCTACTCATCCTTTATAATCTAATTGAAATGGCTCTTCTTCCATTAAATATCAAAAGCATTACCTGCCTTCTTAAATACTCTCAGCACTCTATTTGCACTCTTCGTCACTTTCTTTTGTGCATTACTTATTTATGTGCAGATAGGTCACTATATAGTTATAAAAGCACATCTTCCCAAAGATTAATTTTTTATTTACCTCAAGAATCAAATTTAGTGCCACATAACTAATAAAATATGCTTAGTCAGGTTTAACACTATATCTCATATGTTAAAAGAATGAAATTTAACAAAGCCTAGAACCAATTCCTGTGCTAAGTGACTGAATCAAGATTGAATAATCCCAACTCAGAGACTGCTTCCCATATCTTTTCTGTAAAATCATCTTCTCCTGTGATCTTAAATCCCCATTCTATGTTGGCTATCATAAACATGATCACGAACTAAATTGTATTTAATGTCTAGTAACTTAATATCTTTTTCTTGTCCTAAGACTTTTTTTCCCAGAATTAGCAATGTCAGCAGGGTAGGAAGCAGGAAAGAAGAGATGAGGTTAATAATTAGTTGGGCCCCTTCATAAAGAGCAGTGGACATTCATAGGTTCTATGAGAAAAAAATGCTCTATGACAATTAAACTGGGAAATGCTAGATCAAGCAAAAATAAATGCTTATTTTTAAATTTACATTGAAAACTTCCAAGATGAAGCTATAGTTGGTTTATAGTTGGTTTCTTTGTGTAGAAAATCCATTTCTAAGAGATAACTCAAGGGACTAGTGTGCCCAACCTATTTTGTGAAAAGCTTACCTAGATATTAAACTTTATCCTGAACTTTAGAAACTGTCTACCTTCAAATTAGGATAAATGTAGGTAAGATGGCAAAAGTAAAAAATCATTTTTTCTATTTTAAAGGAAAGCTAAGCTTTTCCACAATAAAAGGGAAAATTGAGTTGAGATGTAATAATGTGAATTTTTTTCTCAAAATAGAAACATCTATTAGAATTTGCATTAGTCATACCTTTGCTATATCTACTTTTGGTTTTCACACCTTAAAAAAAGATTAAGAGAAATAAGACAGGGTCAAGAAAAGTCATAAAAGTAATTAAAGAGTTGTAAATCAAAAACTTTGTGAAAAAGTTAAGGGTACTATGACATTTAATGTAAAAAAATTTAATTCTACAAATACATATCAAGTGTGACTCTCCACTCTTCATGGTTATGTAAGAGAGAATATACAGAATAAGTTATGCACAGCATAAGCAGCTTTAGCATTTAAAAAAGATGAATTTCTGCAGATCAATTATTTGCCATATCTTCCTATTGGAATACTGCTTTGCTGGTAGGTAGTATAGTGTGAGTAGTTAAGAGTACAAAGATTGGCCTTAGATAGATCCAGTTTATGTCCCAACTTCCATATATACTTGTTATAAGAATTTAGATGAAATGTTATTTTTTTCTGTGTGCTTTCATTTTCCCCATAAAGGGGAGGATATAATGAATGGCACCTAACTTAGTAGATTAAATGAAAATATACCTGATATATGTATATATACAGTCCTTGCCTGTTGGCTATTGGATACTGAATACTTAATCAGTTATAATTTTTCTATAATAAATTAGTTTATAATCATATCATATAAAATCGCACATTATGTAGGTCTGTAGAGTAATTGTTCTTCCTCTAGAAACTAAAGTGGAGGCAGTTACTGTGAGCTAAGAGAAATGCCTATTATTGGAAGAAACTAATAAATTCATGATAATAATGGCCAATAAGTATTGAGCGTTTACTATGTGACGGCTTGCATTATGCCACCTCAAATATATTAACTCATTTAATTTTCAGAAAAACTTTATGATGTTCTTATTTCTATTAAGCACATCATATGAATTTCTAAAAATTCACATTATTACATCTCAACTCAATTTATATGCCTAATTTATAGGTGACAAAGAAAGAGATGTTAGTAGCTTGTACAATGTCACATAATAAGAGTAGAACTAGAATTCGAACCCAGGGGTCTTGATCCATTAATCTGATGTCAAGGATGGCAAGGCAAATGCATTTAGAATTTTTTTTTCCATACTGGTATAGACAGATCTCCATCTAATGTGCTTTAAGCATGTTCATTGATATATTAAATTGTATACATATTAGTGAGAGGGAGCATACTGACAGCTGAGAAGTCTTTTAAATTTTAGGATATCAACATAAGTAGCATTCGTAATATACAGCTTAAACACACATGCAAACACACAATATATTCTCAGCCTATTGACAATAAAACAAAATTGTCATTTCCACAGCAACTGTGGATTTGGTCTTGACCAGTTTGTTTTGGAGCTTTTGTGTCTTAATGATGCTAGTATTTTTAATGTATTGTAAGTGAATGATTTAATCTTTTTCTTCTTTTAGTTGCTTTTCTTAGCATAATTAAGATCTACACATTGCTTAATTTTTGTATCTGAGATTTTATGCATTTTGACATTAGTTGAGAAATTTAATGATGACAGGCAAAAGGAGAATATTTGCTTAAAGAAAGAATGTATAGACAATTGTTAGCTATTAATGACCCTAAACGCATTATTCTTAAAAGTTTTAAGTGTTTGAAAAGATGCTGGTTATCCATGCCTGTTTTTTATTTAATTATTTTGCATTATTTAGCATTATTTAGCAATTCAGAATGCAAAAATTGAAAGGAAAAAAGCTATGAATGGAGAAAAGATTCTCAGACAACAGTCCACATACCCTGTTTGATAATTTAGATACAGTTAAATAATTGATAAAATAACAAACAACTAGTACAATTTAAAAAACACTGATTTTTAAAATTAATTATGATGTAAATAGAATGCACCCCAAATATTAAAAATTATAAAGTAGCTTAAACATATATGAAAAAAGAGGCCAGGTAAGTATTTCAATCCTATATGCATACATAAGTATTCTCACCCATCTATGTCAGTTCCAAAGACATGTGACAAACAGAATAACATACCACAGTGACACAAGTTCATACCTCACGTGATGCACAGCTACAGTTTCTCTGCTGGACTGCATTACTTGGACCTGAATGATAAACAGAGAAAAATGATATAGAGGATATGAAGCAGTCAAGGCTAGAAACTTTTCTTAGCTCTGTAGGTATCAACCTTTGCCTAGTTGCTACAGAAGCCATTTTAGGCAAATAAGGTCTAATTAGATTGTGAATTCTTATTAATTAGCTTCATAATTCTTATGAAGGGAAATGAAAATATGCTAATCTCTGTTTACCTGTGTTTATATGCTTTTTGCTCTTTCAGCATTTGAGCTGTCAATTTACACTTAAAAATTAGGTTGCAATAAATATAAAGATCATACTCATTTGGTTTCTTTTGCCTTCCTATAAATGGTAGGTGATTTAAGTTATCAGATTCTAAATGAATGATTTAATCTTTTTTTCTTTTAGTTGCTCTTCTTAGTATAATTAAGACAAATGCATTTTCTAATTTTCACATCTGGGATTTTATGCATTTTTGATGTTAGCTGAGAAATTGAATGATGACAAGCAAAAGATTTACTTGAAGAATGTATAGACAATTGTTAGCTATTAAGAACCCTAAACGCATTATTCCTTAAAGTTGTGTTGTTATTGTTGTTGTTTTGAGACGGAGTCTCACTCTGTTGCCCAAGCTAGAGTGCAGTGACACCATGTCTGTTCACTGCAACCTCCGCCTCCTGTGTTCAAGCGATTCTCCTGCCTCAACCTCCCGAGTAGCTGGGACTACAGGTGTGTGCCACCACGCCCGGCTAACTTTTTTGTATTTTTAGTAGAGCTGGGGTTTCACCATGTTAGCCAGGATGATCTCTATCTCCTGACCTCGTGATGTGCCTGCCTTGGCTTCCCAAAGTGCTGGGATTACAGGCATGAACCACTGCGCCCAGCCTCTTAAGGTTTCAAGTGTTTGAAAAGATACTGGTTATCCATGCCTGTTTTTTATTTGATATTTTGCATTAACAGCAATGTCTTTTTCCCAAAATATCAATTGGATATTAAATTATTGGTGATTTACATTTACTCTCATTGAGACAACATAATTTGACATGAAAAAATTGTGATATGATATTAGAAGTTATAATAAAATATGTTTAACGCAAATGAAAACAATAGTATTTAGCCTACAATGAACAAAAATTCAGTTGTACCTATTAACCAGTCAGCAAGGATTCACTGAGGTTTTACTTAGTATGTATATTCACTACTATCCCAAGTAAAAGTAAAGGTGACCAATAATTTCAGAGAGTGTGCTGTGTATCTGTCATTATGCTAAGCACTGTGAATACCCATCACATTTATTTTTCTGAAAGTTCAAGTAAGTTTGGTATTATAGTGAAACTGCCAGTGCGAAATTAACGGAGACAGTGAAAGAGATCGAACCCAATCAACTCCATCTTGCTTCTAACCTCCAAGTTGTCCTTGTTCATTTCGGGGTGTACGCTGAACTAACTTTGCAAGGAACTTAGTTTATAGTTTGTAGTTTAAAACAAAGACGGTAACAGCCCTTTCCCAAAACAAACCCCCTTCTTGCCTGGGACAAGGCTGCCTTTGTAGGACTAACAAATTAGCCACAAGATTAGAAATTATGGTTTAGTAGTCATGCAGCTGGAGGCTACAAGATTCTGACACCCCCTAAACTGCTCCTAAGATCAGTGCTTGAGATACTTTGCAGACCCTGCAAAGGATGGATAAGTTGGCACCACCCAGATCTATAAATGGGCTCATCTGATCTTGTGACCGCCAACCCAAGAACTGACACAGCACAAGAAGACAACTTCAGCTTCCTATGATTTCATCTTCAACCCAACCTCTTAGCACTCTCGACTCGCTGGACTTCCCCCACCCACCAAATTATCCTTAAAAATTCTGATTCTTGAATGCCTAGGGAGACTGATTTGACTAACAATAAAACTCCCGTCTCCTGCACAGCTGACTATGCATGAATTACTCTTTCTCTGTCTCATCACCTGTCTTGATAAATTGGCTTCCTCTAGACAGTGGGTAAGGTGAACCCATTGGACGGTTACAATATCCACTTTACACAGAACATAAGTGAGGTGCTATAACTGTAAGTTACTTGCCCAAGTCATAAAGCTAAGAAATTGAGTGGCCAGGATTTGACTCTAGTACTATGTAGCTCTAAAGTTTATACTCTTTTTAACCATACCATGTTTTCTGCCTTCTGTTTGGTGGTGAGAAAACTAAAATAAGGGAAATATACTTTTTTTACCCACACCATGTTCTCTGCCTTCAGACTGGTGGTGAGAAAACAAAAATAACTGAACGAAACAGAGAAAGCAGGTGTTAAGTTAAGTTTAGCCTAAAGCTGGCTCTATACATATATTAAGTTTGGCTTAAAGGTTTCTATGTACATAATGAACTGTAACCTAACTGGATGCATAAACAGACTGTAACTTACCCCTATACTAATCACTAAGTTTTGGCCAAAGGCTGCCCATTATTGAAGCAATGTTCAAATAAGGCAAACGTCGAACTGTAACCAATCCAGCTGTTTTTGTATCTGTGTTCTGTTTTCTTAAATTACTTTCCGTTTTCTGCCTATAAATTTTTTCTCACCATGTGGCAGTGCTGGAGTCTTTCTGACGTTATTCTGGTTTGCTGAGGGGCATGGGGGAGGGATTCCCAGTTTAAGACTTGTTTGCTCAATTAAACTCTGTTAATTTAATTCATCTAAAGTTTTTTCTTTTAACACAGGTATCAGCAAGAGCCAGGAAATTTGGAAAAGGATAGCTAAATTACTGTGGGAAAGAGAAAGATGAGAGATCTATTTCTATAATAAGTAGCACATTGTGTATTCAGGCTAAAAATACCTGTAAAGTCCAATGATTGGGGATGTAAGAGTGGAATAATGTTGCATATTATAGAATTGGTCATTCACAATCACTGAATTATGTTTGATAGATTTCAGTAAAATTTTGCTGACCTACAATAGTTAAAGGTAGGGGATTATGGCCAGGCGTGGTGGCTTATGCCTATAATCCCAGCACTTTGGGAGGCCTAGGTGAGTGGATCACTTGGGGTCAGGAGTTCAAGACCAACCTGACCAACATGGTGAAACTCCATCTCTACTAAAAATACAAAATCAGCCCGGTGTGGTGGCACGTGTGTGTAAGCCCACCTACTTGGGAGGCTGAGGCAGGGGAATCACTTGAAACCAGGAGGCGGAGGTTGCAGTGAGCCAAGATCATGCCATTGCACTCCAGCCCAGGCAACACGAGTGAAATTCAGTCTCAAAAAAAAAAAAAGTTGGGGGATTACTGAGAGGTGAAGCCAGCTGGGCTTCTGGGTCCAGTGGGGACTTGGAGAACTTTTGTGTCTAGCTAAAGGATTGTAAATGCACCAGTCAGTGCTCTGTGTCTAGCTAAAGGGTTGTAAACACACCAATCAGCACACTCTGTAAAATCACACCAATCAGCACTCTGTGTCTAGCTAAAGGATTGTAAACGCACCAATCAGCACTCTGTAAAATGGACCAATCAGCACTCTGTAAAATGGACCAATCAGCAGGATGTGGGTGTGCCCAAATAAGGGAATAAAAGCTGGCCACCCAAGCCAGCAGTGGCAACCCGGGTCCCCTTCCATGCTGTGGAAGCTTTGTTCTTTTGCTCTTCAGAATAAATCTTGCTGCTTTTCACTCTTTGGGTCCACACTACCTTTATGAGCTTACTGTGAGGGTCTGTGGCTTCATTCCTGAAGTCAGTGAGACTATGAACCCACTGGGAAGAACAAACAACTTCAGACGTGCCACCTTTAAGAGCTGTAACACCCACTGCAAAGGTCTGTGGCTTCACTACTCCAGAAGTGAGTGAGACCACAAACCCACAGGAGGGAAGAAACTCTGGGCACATCTGAACATCTGAAGGAACAAACTCCAGACACACCATTTTTAAGAGCTGTAACACTCACCACGAGGGTCTGTGGCTTCACTCTTGAAGCCAGCGAGACCAAGAACCTACCAGAAGGAATAAATTCCGGACACATTACTACTTATTTTTCTTGCCTTCTACTTCACTAACAGGTAGGAAAATGAAAAATGAAAAAAAGCAAGTGTCAGAATGAACCCTGCCACATACACACATATACAGGCATTGGCAAGTAAGCACATAGAAATTTATTCATAAAACTTGTCCTCTCAACTCAGCTTGCTCTGCTTTTTCAAGCATTCGACTCACAAATTGCATGAAAACTTCACTCAAGGTAACCAATCTTCTCTTCTACTTTTGGTTAAAATATACTTCTACAAGTGGCTTTACTTGGGATTTAGTCATATTCCAAGTGTAAAATTCCCAGTGGAAAATAATGTTCTGGCATTTATTATGCTAAACAGCATATTTACTAGGATTGCACTGAGTGAGAAAGAACTTGGTTGCTTTTTCAAATGGTGACTACATACCCCTAGGATGGTGGTAATGGTGGGGGTGTGTGTGTTTATGTGCATTTCAATCAATGCTTCAATTGAAGAGTTTTAAGGAAAATTACAGAAAAATATGACAATTACTCACATAAGGCTTCATGGTGCTCTTGAAGCCATGACCTGGAATTCTGAAAATAGCTTACCACGGTAAGAAAGGAGGAGATTCTATGAGAGAACTGGCACGCTTGGAGATCTGTAGGTAGGAGCAAGCTTTGTGTTTTTATTAGGTAGTGACCAACCCCACTAGAAAAAAATATAATGAATTTTATAATCCCCAGGCTTGCTCTCCAACTTTGGTTCATGTGCCAAAGTTGATCATAGAAGCACATCTTTGAAGGATAGTGGCGGTGCAAGATCAGGTCACATAGCAATTAAGACCCTTTTAAGGAGCGGAGAGGAGAGGGAGACAATCTCTAGAGGATTCCCACATTTTCAAGTAAATTTCCCCCAGTGAAAGTTTTAGCAAATGAATGAATTGCCTAAGGAGTCTGTTTTGGAACTGCAGGACTGAGGCTGTTTAGCTTTGGGTTTCTAGGTGTCACGAAGTATGATCATGTTGCCTCTCAACTAAGATTCCTCTCAGCCTTTGCGATTCTAAAACTGAGGAAGACTTTGAAAAAACACTTTGTAAAAACACTTTGTAATCTTTTTCAGTGATTTCTTAGTAATGCCTTTCTCAGGAGCTAGGCCCTAAGGCCACCTTCTAGAAGGTACCACTTTAAAACAAGTTTCCTTTGAAAATTCTCCCTCCTTAATAATCTTTTATTGTTCCTTTAAAAAGGGTTGATGTTGCAGGGCAAGTCCCAGAGAAACTAAGCTCTGTCTGCCTTTTCTTTTGGTGGTAGTTACTTCCAAGTGATTGGTGTTTTTTATTATTGTACTACAGGTGCAGCAGCTAGAATTATTTCAGTTATGGATTTTACAAAAGGAATAATCCTTTTAGTAATTGCAAACATTTCTCTCCATTAAAAATGAAGTAAAATAAACGGTTTAAATAGACAAGAACATATATGACTTAAATTTTCAGGCCATGTTTAAAATATAAAATACACTAGCTAAAGGAAGCAAGTGTAAAAAGAAATAAAAAACAAAGACTACAATACACATTATTATCACCTTAAATTTTTATCAGTTTTTTTTTTTCTCTAAACATTGGCTTATTATAATTTTCTCACTCATGATATGCCTCTGGCTTCCTTTACAACTTCTGGTGAAGGGTGTCAACTTAAATTAAGCTGTAATACTATCCTTGTTAAATTCCTCATAAATATTGCTCTGCTTCTTATGCTGAAGCAGAAAATACTCTCAATAATATTTTATTATGAAATAAATTGTTCCTTCAATCATTTATTTCCAAAGATCAGTTTTAACTCTCTATTGATTTCTCCCAATTCGAAAGACTTTGAACTATCTTTGATAAGGGTGATGTATGATGTTAACTATTAAGAAGACAGGACTAATAAGTCACTGAGTAAAAGACAAAATACCTGCCAATTATTACTTATTAAATGACATCCACTAAACTAAAAATTACATACCTAATGGCAGGTATCTTTATAATAACTGAAATAAGTGTTATTTCCATTGCGTTGAGAATATGGAATCCCAGAAATGCTAACCAAATTCTACAACATCACACAGCTGGTTAGTAGTGATACGGACAGGAGACAGGGTGGGAAACACCAGGTGGAAGAGGGCGGTTCCCGGGCAAAGGCCCCACCCTCAAGCCTGAAGATCCGCAGCCCTAAGTGAGGGTAGGCATTCCTGTTTTTGCTCCCAGAAAGTTGCCTTTTGGCCCACGACACCACCTATCCTGTAACCATATAAACCCCAAACCCCAGGCTCCAGAGGCAGACAAGCAGGCGAGGAGATGAGGAGACAAGCAGATGGACGGTGGAATGACACGGCAGAGAAAGAGAAAAGAGGAGGCGGAAGAGAAAGAGAGAAGAGGGGACACATCTGAATGCAGAGAGGAGTTCTCCTGGGGGCGGTTGGAGAGGGGTTCGGCAGCTGGACAACCAGGCTCCGGGGAAGATCACCTTCCCACTCCATCCCTCGCTTCTGGCTCCCCATCTCGCTGAGAGCCACCTCCACCACTCAGTAAAACTCCTGCATTCATCCTTGGAATCCGTGTGTGATCCAAATTTTTCAGGAAACTGGACAAGAGCGTGGGATACAGAAAGCTGTCACACTGGCCCTCTGCCCTTGCAGAAAGGCAGAGGGTCCTTTGAGCTGATTAACACTCAAGCCGTCCATGAACTGCAAGGCATAAAAGGGCACAAAACGTCCACGTGGGCTCCTTCACCTGTCTGTCTGCCTGCTTCCCCTCCCATAAGGGGTTTGAGCAACCGCGAGGACCTAACAGACGATCCACACCCGTGTCATACGTCCTGAGACGGGGATCAGGGAACTCTCTCGTTTCAGTAGCAGAACTGGAATTTGAACGCAAACATATCACATACCTTCTTTTTCTATATTTCACTAATTTCAAAATCTCCTTCAATTAAATGACCTGTTTTTGGAATTGAATACCCTATTTTTAAGTTTTGTTTCCTCTTCCTTCTGCAGTGATTTGTATTAACTTTTTAGTAACGAAATAATGACTTTTACTCTTCTTCTTTCCACCAGGCATGTCCTTGCATTTCTAGCTTATCTAATTACGTTTGCCTAGAAGTTCCAGAAACTGAATCTTGCGACAGTTCAAGTGTCTGTACAATTCTTCCCCACCAGCTTACTTCAGGGCTGTGGCTAGTTTATAAGCTGGTTGAGCACAAGATGGCACCAGCCCATTCACCCGATTGCAACAAGTCAAATAGACCTGCATTGCCTCAAGCACCCCACATGCCCTCCATACCAAACTTCTCCTGCTTTAACCCTAGCTTTTTGCCTAATAATTTTGACGCAGTTTTGTTTAGGCAGGAGCCTGAATATCTTCCCCACTGCTAACTTTGGAAAATAAAATAATTTTCCTTCTACCACACCTTGTCCTTATTTGATTTTGAAAGCAGGAGTGGCTGACCCTGCATTTGGTTACATTTTTCAGAGTCTGGAGACTCTTACTCATTCTACATAATCACGAATATTTTAGACAACATCCATATGTTAGATATCCTACTTTTGTTATTGAGAGTAAAATATAATTTTTAAAAACATTTCAAGGAAAAAACAATACTTTTAGCCATAGCTGTCATTATCTCATTTTTCTTCTCGAAAACATTCAGGAGGTTCTGAGTATTGCTCTGTTTCTTGAATTTCAAGGTCCCTTATAATCTGGACTTAGCTTACCTCTTACACTACCTCATACTCACTTGCAAGATGCATGATTGGCCAGGCGCTGTGAGTCTTGCCTGTAATCCCAGCACTTTGGGAGGCCAAGGTGGGTGGATCACCTGAGGTTGGGAGTTCGAGACCAGCCTGGCCAACATGGAGAAACCCTGTGTCTACTGAAAATACAAAGTTAGCCCAGCATGGTGGCGCATGCCGGTAATCCTGGCTACTTGGGAGGCTGAAGCAGGAGAATCCCTTGAAGCCGAGAGGCGGAGGTTGCGGTGAGCAGAGATTGCACCATTGCACTCCAGCCTGGGCAACAAGACCGAAACTCTGTCTCAAAAAAAAAAAAAAAAAAATGCATGATTTATCCAGAGACTGCAAACTGGTAGTTGCTGCATTCTGATGACAGATACATTTTTATGTGGCCTGAGCTTATTTTATCATATATATACATACACACACACACACACACACACACACACACACACACATATATGTTAATGGTATGCATCATTATTGTGAAGATTTAACAATCAAGCTATTTCATATACAAATCAAGATTTTTTTACTGCTTGTAAAACATTAGAATATATGGCAAATTTAGGCTTAGATTCTTGTGTGGCAGCAATCCACAGAAGATGAGAAAAATTGTTTTTGTATTTATATTTTCTGTCAGTCCCTTGGTCACATTTAAGTTTTAGACACTTTAGCTAAACTGCTCTGCTGCTTTCACTTCATGGCATATAACATGAACTTATCTCTCTGCCCATTGAAGTTCTACTTATTTTTTAGATTAAGGTTAAGGTTATCTCTTATAAACCCTTCCCAAATCCCCTTCCCTCTACATTCCTTCCACCCTCATTGCATTCCTTTTATGTTCTACATGTTTTTCTTGACGTTAATATTGCTGATATTTTCAATTTGCTTAGTATTTTTTTGTACCTTATGCTAATTCTTTCTTCATAGTTCATTTTTTTAAAAGGTAAATCTCATTTGGTTATTTATAGGTTCTATTAATTTTCCCCCTTGGAGAAACTTCTAAAAATTTCCAGTCTTCTATCCAGGCTGGTTGTTCATCAGGCCTACTGCACAGCTAACCTGGGAATGGTATTTTGCTCTCCTTTCCTTTTCCTATTTGAAAAAAAATGATATATTTCTTTTTCTTTTTGCTCATACCCTTCTTTTAGGGATCACATTATCTAGAAATTCCATGGGTTTAATATTGAACAGCAAAAGACATGATGATGACAATGAAATTCTTGCTTCTTGATTCATAGTGGCCCACTCTGGACTGGCTGTTCCATACCAGTTACCTCATCCCAGGATGGTGCAGTTACCATGCTGAGTAAAGCTCTGCCAAACTCCTGCAGGTTTCCTTGCATATCTCCTTGTTGAATCTTCTATTTTTCATATTCCTTATTCTTATTTTACTTGCATTTTGTAAAATTGAAGGCTAACCTCCAGTGGCTTCCTGACAAAAGGTTGACTTGGAATGGTCTTTTATGCGAGGACTTGCATGTTTCAAATGACTTTTCTCTGCCTTCACTTTTGATTAATAACTTGAGCTGACATATAATCTGTTAAAAACAATTTTCCTTCAGAAATTTGAAGGCACTGTTTCATTGTTGAGAAGCTGGGAGCCATACTAAATTCTTATGATTTGTTATGTTAATGTTTTGCTTTTTGCGGGGGGAGGGGTTGGCTTTTATTTTTGTCCTTTTGAAGAAATTCAGATATTTACTTTTTATTCCTCAGAGTACTGAAATTTTACACTGATGTGCCTTGGTGTAGATCTAGCCATGATCTTGTGCACTTGTGGGCATTTTGAACCTAGAAATTTGTGTTCCGTTTAGGGAAATCTTTATAAAACTTTTCATTGATTCTTCCATATGCTTTCCTATTCTCTCCTTCTAGAACTTTTTAAAATGCTGCACTTTCTGAATTTGTCCTCTAACTTTATGTATGTTTTTTTCCTTGATTTGGTTATGTATTGCAGCCTAATAAAGTAACCCACAACTTAGTGGCATAAGATAAGAACAATTTTATCACATCTGATGATTTGGGGGATTGGGAATTCAGGCATGGCTTCATTGGATTGGACAATTCTCTGTACTCTTGAGGCATTGACTCATACCTCATGCAACAGATGGAGTGGATGAGCCAGGACACTATCTCATGACGTGACACCCTTGGTGGGGAAGGATGAAGGGCTGGGCTTACTGGGACTATTTACCAAAGTGCCTCCCCACCCCAGGTAATCTCAGTGTAGTCTAACTTCTGATATGGTGCCTCAAGGGTACAAGAGAGGAGGTTTCAAGGGACAAAAATAATGAAGGTGTTAGTGTCTAAAGGCCTGTGCCTAGAAATTAGCACAGCATCATTTCTACCTATTCCATTGGTAAAACAGTCACTGAAACCTCAGATTCAAAGGAAAGGGAGTTAGATCTCCTACATGGCTGCTCAGCAAAAGTATTCCAAGAATCAAGAAGGAAGCTGTCAGTCTCTTAAGGCCTGGGCCTGGAAACTGGCAGAATATCTTGAATTAATGCACAAGATCAAGCTGTCAAATGAAACTCATAAGTGAAAGATTTTACACAGTGTCTTAGTCAGCTTGGGCTGTCATAACAAAATACCATAGACTGGTTTGCTTAAAAGCAGTAATTTATTCTTAAAAATATGGAGTCTAGGAAGGCCAAAACCAACATTTGAGTTAATTTGGGTCCTGGTGAGAGCCCTCCTCCTGGCTTACAGATGGCTGTCTTCTCATTGTGTCCTCACATGGCTGAGAGAGAAAGCAAGCTCTCTGGTGTCTCTTCTTATAAGTGCACTAATCCCACCATGAGGGCCCCACCCTCACAACCTCATTTAACTCTAATTACTTCCCAAAGGCCCTATCTCCAAATACAGTCACATTGTGGGTTAGGGTGGACAAAATTCAGTCCACAGCACCCAATAGCAAGCTTTGCTAATTGTGTCAAAGATACAGGTAATTGAGAGATTCATGCAATGTGGAGTGATCTAGTAATGTCAAGGGCATTCCTGCAAATCGTTTCCTTCTGCATCAGAAATATATCTCTAATGCACAACAAAAGATGCAGTTTTTCAACTGAGCAGTCCTGGGGCAAGAACATGTTGTTCTTACCTGAAATTCAGTGTTTTTCGTAAATATACTTTTCCTTTCTTGAATACCTTTGCTTGATTCCCAGAGTGCTAAAACTGATTGCTTTTGACAGTTCTGCCCAGCTTATACTCAATAGAATTGTATGGTTTTTATGACATTTCTTTTATGACATTTCCCAAGAAGCCCAACATCACAGATTACTTTTGTCTCTCTCTCTTTTTTTTTTTACTCAAAATGATCTTTTAGTTAGAGAACATTCTGCTGAGGGGTTTCAAAAAACACAATCTCTTTTTCTTAGTAAATATTAGTTTATATACCCAAGGTCCCAGACATTAGACCAGGTACACTGCATTTATTTCTCCCCAGGGACATGCCCCTGGTGAAGGGAGTTAATAAATCACAAGCCAATTCTGTTGATCTTTTTTTTCCCATGTCACTTCTGCCATATTCTAGTTGTTAAAGCAGTCACTGTATCCAGCCTAGATTTAAAAGGAGGAAAATTAGATTGAATTTTCAATAAGTGCCCAAAATCTTGGCAGACATTTTGATCTATCACACTCCTGTTGTCCATTTATTTATTTACTTATATATTTTAGTCACTTTCTGGCACATCAGCTCAATTATTCTTTTCAAGTCTTATAGTGAGCATTATTGCTAGCCTTATCTTTTAATTTCTAAGAGCTCATTTTATTTTTCAAATGCTTTAATTTGTAACATTTTTAATGTAATTAATGTTTCTATTCTTATTTTTCTGGGGAGATTAATGACAACTTTATGTATGTGTGTATATATTTATATATGTGTGTACATATATGTATAGGTATATATAAAAATATATAAACATAAATATAAATATACAAGTAAATTTTTTATGTGTATAACATATAGGTATGTCACCATTTTCTTTTTCTTGAATAATTTCTTTCTCTTGTTGATTTTGTCTACTGATTAATTTTTGTAGGTACATAGTAGGTGTTTATATTTATGGAGTACAAGAGATGTTTTGATACAGGCATGAAACGTGAAATAAGCACATCATAGAGAATAGGGGATCCATCCACTGAAGCATTTTTCCATTGAGTTGCAAACAATCCAACTATACTCTTTAGTTATTAAAATGTACTGTTAAGTCATTATTAACTATAGTCACCCTGTTGTGCTATCAAATAGTAAGCCCTATTTATTCTTTCTAATTTTTTTTTTCCCATTAACCATCCGCACCTACTGCCCCACCCCAGCCCCCCAACTAGCTTTCCCATCCTTCTTCTCTTTATGTCCATGAGTTCAATTGTTTGATTTTTAGATCCCACAAATATGTGAGAACATGTGATATTTGTATTTTTGTGCCTCACTTGTTTCACTTAACATAGTGACCTCCAATTTCATCCATGTTGTTGCAAATAACTGGATCTCATTTTTTTCATAGCTTACTAGTACTCCATTGGGTATATGTACCACATTTTTTTATTCATTTATCTGCTGATGGAAACTTAGGTTGTTTCAAATGTTGGCCATTATAATCAGGGCTGCAACAAACAGGAGTGCAGATATCTCTTCAATATACTGATTGACTTTCTTCTGGGTATATACCCAGCAGTGGGAGTGCTGGATAATATGGTAGCTCTATTTTAAGTTTTTTGAGGGACTCCCAAACTGTTCTCCATAGTGGTTGTACTAATTTACATTCCCACCAACAGTGTACAAGGGTTCCCTTTTCTCCACATCCTCATTAGCATTTGTTATTTTCTGTCTTTCTGATATAAGCTATTTTAACTGGGATGAGATGATATCTTTATTGTAGTTTTTATTTGCATTTATCTGATGATCAATGATGTTTAGCACCTTTTCTTATGCTTGTTTTCCATTTTTATGTTTTTTCTTGAGAAATGTCTCTTCAAATTCTTTGCCCATCTTTAGATTGGATTATTAGACTTTTTTCTATAGAATTGTTTGTGCTCCTTATATATCCTGGTTATTAATTCCTTATCAAAGGGGTAGTTTGCAAATATTTTCTCCCATTCTTTGGGTTGTCTCTTCACTTTGTTAATTGTATTCTTTGCTGTGGAGAAGCTTTTTAATTTGATGTGATACCATTTGTCCGTGTTTGCTTTGGTTGTCTGTGCTTGTGTGGTATTGCTCAAGAAACTTTTTGGTTATTCTGGGTCTTTTGTGGTTCCATATAAATTTTAGGACTGTTTTTTCTGTATCTATGAAGAATGTTATTGGTATTTTGATAGGGATTGCATTGAATCTGTAGACTGCTTTGGGTAATATGAACATTTTAACAATATTATTGCAACCCATGAACATGGAATATTTTTTAATTTTTTGGTGTCCTCTTCAATTTCTTTCATCAGTATTTCATTATTTTTATTATAGAGATCTTTCACGTGTTTGGTTAACTTCTATGTATTTAATTGTATGTGTAGCTACTGCAAATGGAATAACTTTCTAAGTTTCTTTTTCACATTGTTACTTTTGACATATAGCAATGCTAATTTTTTATGTTGATTATGTATCCTGCAACTTTACTGAATTGTTTATTCATTCTAATAGTTTTCTTGTGGAGTCTTCAGGTTTTTTCAAATATAAGATTATATCATCTGCAAACAAGAATAATTTGATTTCTTCCTTTTCAATTTGGATGCCCTTTTATATTTTTCTCATGTCTAGTTGCTTTAACTAGGATTTCCAGTACTTTGTTAAATAACGGTGCTGACAGTGGGCATCCTTGTTGAGTTCCAGATCTTAGAGGAAAGGCTTTCAGTTTTTTTCTCATTCATTATCATACTAGCTGTGGGTATGTTATATATGGCTTTTATTATGTTGAAGTATGTTCCTTCTTTCCTTAGTTTTTTGAGGGTTTCTATCATGAAGGTATATTGAGTTTTATCAAAAGCTTTTTCAGCATCAATTGAAATGATTATGTGTTTTTTCCCTCATTCTGTTGATATCATGTATCACATTGAGTGATTTGTATATGTTGAACCATCCTTGCATTCCAGGGATAAATTGCGCTTGGTCATTAATATGGTTTGGCTGTGTCTCCACCCAAATCTCATATTGAATTGTAGTTCTCATAATCCCTACCTACTGTGGGAGAGACCCAGTGGAATTGAATAATGGCAACAGTTACACCCATGCTGTTCTTCTGAGAGTGAGCTCTCACAAGATCTGATGGTTTTATAAGGAGCTTTTACCCCTTTGCTTGGCACTTCTCTCTCCTGCTGTGCTGTGAAAAAGGACATGTTTGGTTCCCTTTCTGCCATGATTGCAAGTTTCCTGAAGCCTCCTCAGCCATGTGGAATTGTGAGTCAATTAAACCTCTTTTCTTCACAAATTATCCACTCTTGGGTATTTCTTCATAGCAGCATGAGAAAGGACTAATACTGTCATAATGAATAATCTTTCTAATGTGTTGCTGAATTTGGTTAACTAGTGTTTTGTTGAGAATTTGTGCATCAATATTCATCTGATATATTGGCTTATAGTTTTCTTTTTTTGATATGTCTTTATCTGGTTTTGGTGTCAGGGTAATATGGTCTTCATAGAATGAGTTTGGAAGTATTTCCTTCTCCTCTTTTTTTTGGAATACTTTAAGTAGGATTGGTATTGACTCTTATTTAAATATTTGGTAGAATTCAGCAGTGAACTCATTGGGTCCCAAGCTTTACTTTACTTGGAGACTTTTTATTATGGCTTCAATCTTGTTACTTGTTATTGCTCTGTTAGGTTTTTAATTTCTTCCTGGTTCAACCTTGGTAGGTTTTATGTGTCCAGGACATTGTCTGTTACTTCTAGATTTTCCAATTTATTGGTATATACTTGCTCATAGTAGCCACTATTAATACTTTAAGTTTCTTCACTATCAGTTGTAATGTATCCATTTTTGTTTCTTGTTTTATTTATTTGGGTCTTCCTTCTTTTTTCTTAGTTAGTCTGGATAAAAGTTTGTCAATTTTGTTTAATTTTTCAAAAAAACAACTTTTTGTTTCATTGTTTTTTTGTACTGTTTTATTTTAATTTCATTTATTCTGTGCTGATCTTTATTATTTTTTCTGTTAATTTTGAGTTTGAGTTTTGATTTTTTTAATCTGTTTATCCAGTCTGTGTGTCTTGATTGGAAAATTTATTCCATTTACAGTCAGTATTATTATTATTTATATTATTATAAATATTTATATATTATTTATTTATGGTTTTTAAGATGTATCATTAGGTTGTTTATTGAAGTTCTTTCTGTTTTTTGATGTAGGCACTTAGAGCTATAAACTTTCCTCTTAGAACTGTTTTTGCTATGTCCATAGGTTTTGTTATGTTGTGTTTTGATTATTATTGGTTTCAAAAAATTTTCCATTTTCTTCTTAATTTCTCCATTGACACAGTGGTCATTCAAGAGCATATTGTTTAATTTCCCTGTAGTTGTATAGTTTCCAAAATTCCTCTTGTTTTTGACTGTTAGTTTTATTCCATTGTGGTCAGAGAGGATGCTTGATATTATTTCAATTTATTTAAATGTTTTAAGACTTGTTTTGTGGCAAGTCTATCCTTGAGAATAATCAATGTGCTGAGGAAAACAATGTGTATGCTGCAGCTCTTAGATGAAATGTTCCATAAGTATCTATTAGATCTCTTTGATCTATAGTGCTAATTAAATCTGATGTTTCTTTGTTGATTTTTTGTCTGGAAGTTCTATCCATTGCCAAAAGTGAGATGTTGAAGTCTCCAGCTGTTATTGTTTTGGATCCTATCTCTTTCTTTAGGGCTAAGAATATTTGCTTTATATATCTGGGCACTCCAGAGTTGGTTGCATCTGTATTGATTTGTTATATCCTCTTGCTGAATTGACCCCTCTATCATTATATAGTCACCTTCTTTGTCTGTTATAGTTTTTGTCTTGAAATCTAATTTGTCTGATGTAAGTGTAGTGACCCTGCTGTTTTTGGTTTCCATTGGCATGGGCTATGTTTTTCCATCTCTATTACTAGTCTATGTGTTTCTTTATAGGTGAAGTGTGTTTCTTGTAGGCAACAGATCAATGGGTGTGTTGATTTTTTTTTTTTTATCCATTTATCCAGTCTGTGTGTTTTGATTGGAAAATTTATTCCATTTACAGTCAGTATTATTTTTTATTATTATTATTATTTTTATTATTATTATTCTTTGAGCTGGAGTCTCACTTTGTCACCCAGGCTGGAGTGCAGTGGTGCGATCTTGGCTTACTGCAACCTCTGACTCTCAAAAAGTACTGGGATTACAGGAATGAGCCACTGTGCAACCAATTTACAGTCAGTATTATTATTGATAAGTAAGGACTTACTCTTGCCATTTTGTTATTTGTTCTCTGGTTGTTGTGTGGTCTTCTCTTCCTTCTTTCTTTCATTCCTATTTTCCTCTTGTGAAGATGATTTTCTCTGGTGATATGACTTAGTTTCTTGCTTTTTGTTTTTTGTGTATCCATTGTATTTTTTTTGGTTTGAGGTTACCTTAAGGCTTGCAAATATTATCTTATAACCCATTATTTTAAGCTGATAACAGTATAACACTACTTGCATAAACGAACAAACAAATGAGTGAAAAGACAACTAATAAAACCTCACATTAACTTAATCCTTCTGCTTTTTAAAATTTTGTTGTTTCTGCTTATATCTTATTGTTTTAACTGTGTCTTAAAAACTTGCTGGCCAGGTGCGTCGACTCTTGCCTGTAATCCCAGTACTTTATCAGGCCGAGGTGGGCAGATCACTTGGGCTCAAGAGTTTGAGACCAGTCTAGGCAACGTGGTGAAACCCCATCTATACTGAAAATACCAAAATTAGCAAGGGATGGTGGCAGGTGACTGTAATTCCAGTTAACTGGGAGGCTGAGGCACAAGCCTTGCTTGAGCCTGGAAGGTGAAGGTTGCAGTGAGCCGAGATCACGCCACTGCACTCCAGCCTGGGCAACAGTGAGACCCTGTCTCAAAAAAAGAGAAAAAGACAAAGAAAAGTTGTCGTTATCATTTTTGATTGGTTCATTGTTTCTTCATTCTACTTAGGACAAGAATAGTTTACACACTACAGTTACAGTATTATAAAATTCTGTTTTTTTTGTGTGTGTACTTACTATTATTAGTAAGTTTTGTACCTTTCAGTGATTATTTAATGCTCACTAATGTCCTTTTCTTTCTGATTGTAGTACTTCCTTTGGCATTTCTCATAGGACAGGTCTGAAATTGATGAAATCCCTCAGCTTTGGTTTGTCTGGATACACTATTCTAGAGTAAAGGTGTTTTTTGTTTTTGTTTTTGTTTTTTCCTTCAACACTTTAAATATGTCATACCACTGTCTCCTGGGCTATAAGATATTCACTGAAAAGTCAGCTGCCAGACGTATTGGAGCTTCATTGTGTGTCATTTGTTTCTTTTGTCTTGCTGCTTTTAGGAGCCTTTCTTTATCCTTGACATTTGAGAATTCGATTATAAGATGCCTTGGGGTAGTCTTCTTTGGGTTAAATGTGCTTAGTGTTCTATGACCTTCTTGTACTTGGATATTGATATCTTTCTTTAGTTTTTGGAACCTCTCTGTTACCATTCTATTCTTTTTTTTTTTTTTTTTTGAGATGGAGTCTTGCTCTGTCACCCAGGCTAGAGTGCAGTGGTGCGATCTCAGCTCACTGCAACCTCTGCTTCCTGGATTCAAGTGATTTTCCTGCCTCAGCCTCCCAAGTAGCTGGAATTACAGGTACCTGCCACTGTGCCTGGCTAATTTTTGTATTTTTAGTAGAGATGGGGTTTCACCATCTTGGCCAGGCTGGTCTCGAACTCCTGACCTTGTGATCCACCCACCTCAGCCTGTTACTATTCTTTTGAATGAAATTTCTACCCCTATCTTTTTCTCTACTTCCTCTTTAAGGCCAATAACTCTTGAACTTACCCTTTTGAAGCTATTTTTTAGATTTTATGGGTGTACTTCATTTTTTTTTTCTTGTATCTCCTCTGACCGTGTATTTTCAAATAGCCTGTTTTCAGGCCCACTAATTCTTTCTTCTGCTTGACTGATTCTGCTATTAAAGGATTTGAATGAATTCTTCAGTATGCCAATTGCATTTTGCTCCAGAATTACTGCTTAATTCTTTTAAATTATTTGAATCTCTTTGTTAAGTTTATTTGATAGAATTCTAAATTCCTTCTGTGTGTTCTCTTGAATTTCTTTAAGTTTCCTGAACAAACCTATTTTGAATTCTCTATCTGAAAGTTCACATATCTCTGTTTCTCCAGGATTGGTCCCTGGTGCCTTACTTAGTTCATTTGGTTGAGGTAATGTTTCCCAGATAGTGTTGATGCTAGTAGATGTTCTTTGGTGTCTGGGCATTAAAGAATTTGGTATATATTATAGTCTTCATTGTCTGGACTTATTTGTAGCTGTCCTTCTTGGGAAGGCTTTCCAGATATTTGAAAGGACTTGGGTGTTGTGATCTAAGCTGCTTCTGCTTTATGGGCCACCCCAAGCTCAGTAATACTATGGTTCTTGCAGACTGATAGAGGTATTGCCTTGATGATCTTGGACAAGATCCAGGAGAATTATCTGGCTTACCTGGCAGAGACTCTTGTTTTCTTCTCTTACTTTCTTTCTCTTTCTTTCTCTCTCCATCTCTGTTCTGAGCCATCTAAATCTGGGGGGTGGAGTGATACAAACACACCTGCAGCCACCACCACTATGACTGTGCTGAGTCTCTCGCAATGCCTGCCTTAACCACTCTCTGGCTACTGCCTATGTTTGCTCAAGGCCCTAGGGCTCTACAATCAGCAGATGGCAAAGCCAGCTAGGCCTTTTTCCTTCCATTCAGGGCAATGAGGTCCCCCAAGCCCTGGGTGGGTCCAGAAGTGCCATCTGGGAGTCAGGGACTACAGTCAAAAACCTCAGAAGTCTACCTGGTATTCTATTATATTGCGGCCAAACCAGTACTCAAACCACAAAACTCAGTTCTTCCCACTCTTCCTTCCTTTTCGAAAGGAAAAGAGTGAGAAATCTCACCACATAGCCAATGCCAGCCCTAGCCATGAGGAGTACTGTCAGACTACCACCAATGTTCCCTTAAGGTCTAAGGGCTTTTAAGTCAGCTTATGGTGAATGCTGCCTGGTCTAGGACCCACCCTTCAGGGCAGTGGGCACCTCTGTGGTCCAGGGCAGTTTTATAAATGCTGTCCAAGAGTGAAGTCCTGAAATTAGAGACCCCATGAGCCTACTTGGTGCTCCATCCTCCTTGTGGTGGTGTTGGTACCTGAAGTCAGCAAGTCTCAGAGGCTCACCAGGGCCTTCAATGTAGTACCTCATATTGCTGCTGGTTATTCAGGGCCCAAGGGCTCTTCAGTAAGCAGGTGATAAATGCTGCCAGGAATACATTCTTTCCTTCAAGGCAGTGGGTCCCCTTGTAGCTCAGTGTGCATCTAGAAATGTCTGGGAGCTAGGGCCTGGAAGCAGGAGCCTCATGACTATCCTGCTGTGGCTGAGCTTGTATCCAAGATAAAAGGCAAAGTCCTTCTGATTCTCCTTCTCTTCTCCTCAAATGGAAGGAAGAGGTCTCTTGTGCAGCCATAAGCTGTGCATCTTGGGGTCAGAGAAGGGGTGATGTCAGCACTCCCTTGGTTGCCCCAGCTGGTGTCTCACTATATCAGGGCGCCCGCGCCCGCCTCCTCATAGTCTACTGTCTCTGGGCCTAGTTCTGCCCTAGGACTCACCTAAGAGTTGCAGTCCTTATGGACCAAACTGTCTTTCAAGTTTACTTATATATCAAGAGCACTTTGGCCCTCAATGGTGAGGTTTGTAGGCACTCAAGTTCAGGTCGCTGAATAGACTATTCCCTTCTTACTAGAGCTGATTTAATGATCCTTCTGTGGGTAGGCATCAGCTGAGTTTGGTCTGGTTTTCCTTTCTGCTCTAACAGAACAGACTGAGTTCAGTGCCTTATTATTGCTGTGTTCTCCTTTCCCCAGTGCCCAGAGACTTTCTCTGAGCCATACCATATCTGCTGGTGGTAGCGGAGGGGTGGCGTCAGTGATTCAGGAGAGTTTTTTCTATCTTTTTGGTGCCTCCTTCAGCAATATGAAGTTAAAACCAGGTACTATGAGCACTTGTCTGATTTTTGTGTCTTATTAATGTGTTTTCTCTGTGGAAATAGTTGTTAACTTGGTGTCTTTTGGGGGAGGACAATCAGTGGAGCTTTCTATTCTGTCATCTTGCTTGGTACTATTGTCTATTGTTTTTATTTCTAATGGGAGTAATTCTTGACAGTCTACCCTTTGCAGGAGTAGGGTACTAAAAAGTTTCTTGCAAACTCTGAGCACAGAGATAGATCTTATAATATTTAAGTTTTAGCACGTGACAATCACTTGGACCATTATATGGTACCTCAGTGTTAACTTTAGGTTTGGTGTTGGTAAGATTTCTTGAATTCTCTGCAGGTAGTTATATAATTCTGCATCATTCTGTGAGCCTGAGTCAAGGAAGAGAACTTGGAGCACCAATATCCAATAGTCAGAATATATCAATCCCCTACTGCTGGTATGGTACTCACATATATAATTGAGCTATTTGTCCTCTTATCAAATCTCTTCTCTTTTATTCTCTCCATAGCATAAACCTGTCATCTGCCAGAGGTCATTTATAGAGTAAATGCAACACCTTTTAGCATATTCTTCGTGTTTTAGCCATTTCCTTCATTCCAAAGGTAACTGGTTTTACCAATTCTTGAGCTTTTTGAAGACTTTATGATAGTTCTCAGCTTTCTCAACTACTGATTTAGGATTACACTTCCCTGAGTCTGCTAAGAGATTATTCCTCCACCCTTTTCTCAGTTTCAAAATTTTCTTATTATAGCTTCCTTTCCTGTTCTCCCTCCCCTTGTGGATTTATACATTTTTAAATAATTTCTTTATAGTTGCTGTAGTGAGATTTAGGATTGGAGCAAAACTAGTTATATACATTTGGTCCCTTACCTTAACCTTGATGTTTCCCATCCCATTAATATTGAATTGAATAGTTGTCTCTATATAAGGAAAAGAAATGTATTGAAGTATTTACACATACACACACATAAACATCCTAGTTGGTTGAACTGATTATACAATGTTAAATAACTCATTTGATACTTCATTTTAATTAGACACATATTTACTTTGCTAGTGGAATATTTAGGCCTAGACAAAATATTGGAGTTTCTCATATTGCTAGTTTTTTTTTTCCATCCTCTAAGTTTTTTCCTAAAGAGAATCAATTGATATGATTCAAAATAAAAATAATCCACAGGAAACCTCATTAGACATCTTCTATATTATTGGGTCCTGCTTTTAAAGATCTATAATACAACTTGTTGGCATTTTGATTAAGATGTATTAAATGTATAAATTGATACAGTTTTGGAAAATGTTATATTTATATAGTGAATCTTCTTCTCAATTGACATTTATCCAAATATTTCAGGTATTTTTAAAACAACATTTTCTAAATGTCTTCCTAAAAATATGTTTTAAAAATTTATTCCTAAGATTTGGTGCCATTTCCAGTCATATTTTTGTTTTCTAAATTAATCATATCTTCTAAATATTTCTTTTGAGTATATAGGCAAACAATTGCTTTACATGTTGTTCATTTTAAAAGTTTTATCTTACAGCTTTGCTGGATTCTTTTATTAGTTATGATTGTCACTTTTCTTGAATTTTTAAGCAGATAATCATATGATTATAAATGAGGAGAAATGTTTTTCTTCCTTTTTAATCATTCTAGGAGCTATTTTTAAATGAAATTTTATAAATGATTTTAAATGGAATTCTAATGTTTTATCATTAAGTATAATGTTTGTTGCAAGTTTTAGATTAAGGAAGTTTCTTTCTATTCCTGAGTTGCTAAGAGTTTTCATTAATACCTGCTGAGTAATATTAATATTTGTACGTTTGAGGTGCTAATTTTGAAATTTAATATGTTAATGAGGAAAATGTAACATAAAACTAAATGTTTTATGTCAAAACATTCTTACATTCTTAGAGAAACATAATTTGATTATGAGTTTCTGAATATTATTGAATTTGCTTTGCTATTATTTTATTTAATGCTCTTTTATCCAGATTTATGTGACAATACTTGCCCTTCTTTATAAGCTATTTGATGTTAATATTAGATTATACTTAATCTATGAAATGAATAAGGAATAATTTCCTCAATTTCTATTCTCTGAAACAGCTTAAATAAAATTGGATAATCTTGTTCTTCCACTTTTTTTGTAGAATTTAAATCTTTATTTGGCCTTTGCATGCCCTTTGTGCCTATTGTATATCTGTTAATAACTGACTTAATTTATTAAGTTGCTGTAGAATTAGTCAGCCTTTCAATTTCTTGTTGAATCAGTTATTTTCACCCAAAAGTATTGCCATGAAGATTACTATAATATTCATGTTAATTGTTTAATCTCTGCTCTAACTGTAAGTATGCAAATTTTTTCATTGCTGATATTGGTCTTAACATTTTTAATGCACAGTATTTTCCTTACTTTATTTTTAAACTCATACTGTCTTTTGTTATTACTGCTTCTATATTTAATACAATTTAAATTCATCTGTATGTTTAACAATTTATTTGCTTACCATTTCCCTCCCAGTATCTTACTTTTTCTGACTTCCAATTTTCTTTTTCTTGAAGATGTTATTTCTTTTAGAAGTTATTTCTTTGAGAAACTTTTGGAGAAGGTGCTTAGTTACTGGTGTTGGAAAATCATTTATTCCACTATAAATTTTAAATGATTGTTTACTGGGGTATGGAATTCTATATTACTAGTTACTTTTTCTCAGCATGTTAATACATTATCTCACTATCTTTCACTTGCTTAATAGGTCTATTGTAGTCTAATGTTCTTCTTATTTAGGTAATTTGTCATTTCTTCCTTTTGGCTTCTAAGCTCTTCCTTTTGTGGTATCTGGATTTACTTTTGTATTTGCTTAGAGGCAGATTTATTATATCCAAATTATTTTATACTCATTGTGATTTTCAAATCTATGGATTTTTCTATTTTTTCTATTCTTGGAAATACTCACACTCTTTTCATTCATTCTATTCACTACTTTGGCAACTCCTAATGGATATATGATGGAAATACGTATTCTACTTCTGGGTTTCTTAAGCAATCTTCATATAAATGAACACAGTTTCTGCTGCTTGCTGCTTACAAAGCCAAAAAACACAAACAAGTTTTGGTGGAAGGAAAGTGACTTTGTTTTCCAAAGCTAGCAGTGGTGAAATGGTTCAGTCTTCTGCCTTAAAGAAACCATTTCAAGTTTTCTGGGCAGAATACACAAAGAGGAGTTTGGAATGAAGAGCAGGCAGAAGGGGTGAGGTGGTGTGGTCTGAGTGACTTACTCTGATTACCTGTCTTGAGTTATTACCCCATCTGGTGAATGGGTTGGTGCTATCTCAGGCCAGACTGAGTTGTAAATTAGCCACAGCCTTGAAGTGATCTCCTGGTGGGGGAGAATTTCATAGACACCTGGATTGCCTCAAGATTCAGTCTCTGGAACTTCTAAGCAAACCTAGTTAGATAAGCTAACAATGCAAAGGAGTGCCTGGTGTAAAGAAGGAGTGTCAAAGTTATTATTTTCTTATAAAGGTCCACAGAAGGAAAGAAAAAAAAAACCTTAAAAATAGGGTACTCCATTTCATTTACACATCATATTTTTTATGTCTCTGTGCTAGATTCTGAATAATTTTTTCAAAGCTATCTTTAGCTTTTCCACTGACTTCTTTCCCTGGATCTATTATGTTGTTTTATTCTCTATTAAATTTTTAATTAATGTTTTGTTAATTCTTAGTATTCTCAAAAGATACTTTTTTTTCTTTTTTTTTTAAATTCACTCAGGTTAAGAAAGGCAAGCTTTTTGATTGTCTATTTGTGCCAGAATAGAGATTCATTTTTATTTTTAGGCCATGTTTGCTCTGAGGACATACATGGTCTTTGAGAGCCTCAGCTTTGTGCATTGATTTGGAGCCCTACTCTGTCTCCTCTATACCAAAGTTTTCATCTCCTGTGGCCATTAAGCCCCAGTTCCTATTTTTTCCCCAATAGAAAATCCTCACTTTCTCCCCATTATATTCCCAGTACCATTTCACATTTATCATTGTTTCTGATTCCCTCTTTATAATTTACCTCTCATGTTTTCCTTACTTCTGTAAAAACTTAAAGGGAACTTAAAGGAAATTTAAAAAATATTTTGTAAATAATTTCTGGGTGTTGTGGTGTATGAGATTTTCACATGACATAGTCTGCATATTGTTATTCAAAGGAGGGCGAAAGAGGAAGATCAGCATTTATTGATCTCTTTATACAGCCTCCTACATAGCATTGCACTGGGACTTTCACATATATCACTTCTCTCTCTCTTTTTTTTTTTTTTTTTTCGTGGCGGAGTCTCGCTCTGTCTCCCAGGCTGGAGTGCAGTGGTGCAATCTTAGCTTACTGGAACCTCTGCCTCCCAGGTTTAAGCAATTCTATGAATCAGCCTCTGGAGTAGCTGGGATTACAGGCACATGCCACCATGCCCGGCTAACTTTTGTATTTTTAGTAGACACGGGGTTTTTCCATCATGGCCAGGCTGGTCTTGAACTCCTGACCTCGTGATCCACCTGCCTCAGTCTCCCAAAGTGCTGGTATTATAAGCGTGAGACACTGCGCCTGGCCCTACTTCTCTTAATCTTTACAAAAAAATATAAAGATTGAGGATATTATTAGCAGTGATGGGGTTAGATATGTATTTTTAGAAATATCACTTTAGGCCGGGCATGGTGGCTTGTGACTGTAATCCCAGCACTTTGGGAGGCCGAGGCGGGCAGATCACGAGGTCAGGAGATTGAGACCATCCTGGCTAACATGGTGAAAACCCATCTCTACTAAAAATACAAAACATTAGCCAGCCACGGTGGCATGCGGCTGTAATCCCAGCTACTTGGGAGGCTAAGGCAGGAGAATCACTTGAACCCGGGAGGCGGAGGTTGCAGTGAGCTGAGAAAGCACCGCTGCTCTCTAGCTTGGGTGACAGAGTGAGACTCCATCTCAAAATAAATAAATAAATAAGAAATATCACTCTAGAGTGATATTAAGAACAATTGTGGGCACCCCCAATGTTCTTGAAAATGTAATTTATCTATTGGAAATATATATATATATCATATATATCTCATATATATCCTATATTATATAATATTGGATATATGTAATATTTCCAATATTATATAATATTGGTTTTATTATAATTCAGAACAACATGGTAAAGTACTTATTTTTCCTGGAGGACTGTGAATAAGAGACAATGTGTTATTAAACTAAAAGTATACTCTCAGGTGACATATTGAAGTTTGATATCTGCCAGGAATGGTAGCTTATGCCTGTAATCTCAGTACTTTGAGAGGCTGAGGCAGGAGAATTACTGCTTGAGGCCAGGAGTTTGAGGCCAACCTGGGCAATACCAAGAGATATTTTGTCTTTAAAAGCAAAAGAAAGAAAAATTTTAGATTAAAAAAAGAAATTTGATATCAATTAAGTTTGCTTTCTACTTTTCAGGGGCTATATTATTGAAGTAGTAAAAGAAGATTAATGATAAAGACACTTCACTTCTAATAAGGCAGTCCTGAAACCTGAATCCTAGATTAAATACGTCATAGATCTCTGATGGATTCTCCTAGATTGACACAGTCCTGAATCACATACAAATCATACTCATGTAGGTACTTGTTACTTGACTTTTAAAAATATTTTATTTCGATTTATATCCCTACATTTTTAGCACTTTGAAGGGAAAAAAAGATCAGCAGACATCTCCTTCAGCAATTCCTCTCTCTGCTTTGATTTGTGACCATTGTGTGTGTTTCCTGCTGCTCGACTCTTCTGTTCTTTGACCTTGTCTAGATCATCTCTCTTTTGGCCAGCTTTTAATGGAAGGCTTTTATTGAGTCTTTTCACCCTAACCTCCTAATATTTGCCAACCTTTAACCTTGTTAAAGGTTCAGCATCTTCAGAAGTCACTTGATATGGGCACATTTTTCAACCATAGCCTTTGAACTTTTAAGTGAGGGCAGGACCTGGTTTCTTACTGTGCTGATGCATGAGTTATCTTGAAAATCTGAAGTCTGCAGCTGTTAGCTCAAGGACAACCCAAGGGAGATGTCCTTTTCCTTCTAAACTTCTAAAGAAATTTCTTTGTGCTCAGTGCAGGCAGAAGGAAGTGGGGGAGATAACAGCACTATAATAAGCCGACCCCCTTAATCCAAATGTTTTAAGTCCAAGAAACTTTTTTCCCCTTCTCCTTAAGGAAGTGAATAGCTGCAGGAAGAACATGGTATCGCATCGTGGTTTTTCTTCACAGAATAGATGTGCATCTACTTTAAACAAGATCATTAAAAGACTTGTAACTATAGAAAAGAAACCTGAAGTCAGCTTTTTCACTCTTAAACATGCTTCACAATTTTTCTTCCTGGTAGTTTAGAAAGAGAGCAGTTGCACAGAGCAAGCAGAGCAAGATCCTGTCTGAAAGAAGGAAAGAAAGAAAGAAAAAGAAAGAAAGAAAGAAAGAAAGAAAGAAAGAAAGAAAGAAAGAAAGAAAGAAAGAAAGAAAGAAAGAAACATACATAAGAAAGTATGTATGTAATACCACTTTGGAAACCAGCATTCACCTGAGATGTCTAATTACTATATGTAAATGATATTTCTTATGTATAAATCACTTTTCTTTGAAGACATTCTTTAACATTTTACCCTTGAAGGATACTATTAAATCCAGAACAAGCTCCATTATCACTGAGAATGAATTTCACAATACTTTTGGTTGGTGATATAACGACTGGTGTGTTTTTTCCATCTTTTCCCTTGGTATGTCTTCCTATGCAAAAGAAGATATGGTGCTCTTTAATTGGTTAGAGATTTTATCGCTTATGGCACAGAATAGAATATGCACATATAGGGCCAGGGATGGGGACAGTGAAGGAAAAAATTGGATCATTAAGCATTTGTCAAACTGTTAAAGGAATAGCCCGGAGAAAACAACCAAACTAATTGTACATAGCTACTAACTGCTAAATTTCTTTCAAGAGAACCAGGAGACTTCATAGGACTATACTGTCTACTTACAGAGTTGCTCATTTACTTGAGGAGACAAAGATGAAACCTAAGACAACTAGAAAACTAGTGGGAGATGTTATTGGCTATGTCTAAGAACAAATTGTGGACATGGAGGTGTCATTTTCTGTGAAATTCAGGAAAGTCTTAAGACTTGAACTGAACCTTTAAAGATAAGCTGAAGTTAAACTGATGGGAAAAAACAGTATTTAGAGTGTTTTAAGTGATTGTAGGGTTTATGTGTGTGTAGGAGGCGTGGGGAGGTGGGCAGTTTGAAACCCTCAGTGAACTTCTAATGGGAAATAAGCCTGAAGAGACAGTATATTTCTATATATCTTTCAAAATACATTAGTGAGAAAACTATATATATGACTTCCTGAATCCATGTGCAGGATTCATCATTACTTCCCTATTGTTCCATTTCAAATCTTTGTAATGAGGTTTAATATAAATACTTATTTAAATAAAGCAAATGTTCTATTTTTAAAGAGGTTTTCCCATTCCATCTCAATTAGATAGTAGGTCCATAAAGCCCGTACTATACTTTAAATCCCAAGTGTCTAACTTAGTGCCTGAAACAAACTTGGTGTTGATTGAATCTTTGTTAAAGGGAGAGAGAAAAGGAAAGAAAGAGAGAGAAGAAAGAGAGGGAAGCAAGAATGTTAACTGAGTGACAAGACAATCATTACTATGGGAAAAATGCTTTCCAGTTTGTTAGTTGTTGTTCTTTTTTTGTTTGCTTATTTGTTCATTTGTAACTGTAAGAGAAAATATCTTCCATTGAACCGAATAATTCTAGCCAAACATTCTTCTTCCAAACTTAACAAAATTAAGTCTACTGGGAACTTAATTGGTTTAGACAGACAAACTTCTGGGTGATTATTTCTTTCTCATCTTTCAACTAGACTCTTTTGATATCAATAGCATGTAGTCATTGTTACATCTTCCCCTTGGTGGTAGCTGCTCTGTCTATCCTGTTTATTGTGCGTCTCTTTTGAATAGTACTTTGTATTTTAGTACTTAATAAATAAGTATTGATATTGTTAGAACTTTTGAAATCTATTTTTAAATTTTCTTATGTTTTGTACAGAGGACATTTGCAGAACACATTATAAAAACACAAACTGTGACACTTTTAATTGTGATCATTAGACTAGGTTTTAACTACATACCTGCTGCGTTGATGGGATCATATTTTCCAACCAGTCTGCTTTAGAACTAATGGTGTATATAATTGAGTTGCTGAGATTTCCAATACCTGAAGAAAAAAAAAAAAAATATATATATATATATATATGTTGTAACTATTACTGAATACTTTGTCACTCACTTTCACTCCTTAGAGAAAGTAATAAAAGTACTAATGAAAATTAACCATAATTTTTATCAGACTACATGCTTCTGGCAGGTTTTGAAGGGAGTAGGGAGTGAGAGGTTGTAGATACCATAACATTGACAAGGTGGTATTCCCCTGTTTTCTTTCCATTAAAAATGCAACTCTTAAAGACTGTTCTTATGCCTTAGGCTGAATGATGCCAGCTCCAATAAAGACAATTCAAAAGCCCCTGAGTTAAAAAAAAAAAATGCCTGCCTTATGCAGACTCTGATAGACTCTCTCAGTTCTTACTTAAAAGTCAAAAAAGCAGGTAGATTTTGAAGAATAAAACTGTCAGACTACATGCTGCGTTTTTTTTTTTTTTTTTTTCAGTGAAAGAGAAAGGTCACTGGGAAGGAATGCTTAAATTAAAATGGAAATCTGGGGCTTAAGGAGCTAAATGTGGCTCTAACCTTTAACAAAATAAGCACAGAATTGTTTAAGATGAGGTTTTCCTTTATTTCCCCTTTTCCCATCATCACCTCTTCAGTGAAAATGTCATATACAATATATCAATATTAACTCTTCTTCTTGGCTTGCATCAAGAAAGCTATGTGAAAATGACCAGTATGAGGAATAAAAATAATACCCTGATTTACAAGATGAGGGTAGTTTTATAGGTGGGAGTTGTATTAATCTATCACAAAATGTTCAGAAACAGTAGAGATGGTGTGTGGAGCCACAGAAAGCCTCACCTTGAAGACTAGTGCTTCCCTCTTCCTGGTGACCTAGGGGCTGTCTTATGTTAAAGTCAATTAAATGGTATCAGTGTTGGAGATAGGATCTCCACAGTACAAATTCTCACTAAATTCTTAGCCCAAATCTAAACAAATCCATCCATTTTTATCCCTTTGCCATAATTTTCAACTTCATTCCAGTAAGTTTCTCTTGTGGAATTTCATTAAGTAATTTATCTTAACAACGTTATATTACCCTGATAGCAGTTTACATCCTGGATACATCACAGTTAGAAATGTTTCAAGCAGTAAGTAAACACCACTATCAACACTAATATAATTTGAAGCAATAAAAATTCTGAGTCAAGAAAGCACATCTATAAGACAGAACCATATTTACTCATTTTTTTGTTAGTATTGACTAAAATTGGAATGTAGCAAAAATTACAGTTTTTGATTAAGTTGACAAATATATTGAGTACACACTGTGTATCAGGCTTGCTAATAAATGCTGAATATTGAGATCTAAGAGGCAATAAGATATGGAAATGGCTCTTCAGGAAGTTAGGGTATTCTGAAGAAAAAAATTGACTATACAATGTTAAAATGGTAAGTATATAATAAAATAATTTGGAAAATCCTTTTATTTGAGGATTTGAAAAATAAAAGACTACAAATAACTTGAATGCTTTAGAGGACAGGAGAGATGATAACACAACAACTTTATTTTTCATGAATTCCAATATGAAAATCCGCTGAAAATGATTGCTCCTCCCTCTGGAAAAATGCACATATAAAAACATACAAATATATGTATGAACATTTTCATAACATTTGGAGACTGCTTAGGGACCCAAGTAAAGAAAACTTGACTTTATTTGCCAGTGATTTAGTGAATACTTGTGACATACAAGACCTTAACTTAGGACTACCAAGAACACATGAAATTTCTGTCCCCTGAAAATCTAGAAGAGGAAACAAGGTGTAACATTGAAACAGAATAGATAAACAATATAAAAGAGGCATGAACTCTGTGTCTGGCTTCTGAAGAATAAACATTGAAAGCTTAATAGTTTTTCATTTTTCTTAAGAGGGTATAGAATGGAAAAGGATCATTAGATTGGGTTTCCTACTTGTAGAAACTACAAAATATTTATTATTTTGAAACAATATTATTACAACTACTTGAAATTAACTTTCTACTTCTGATGGTATTTTAATACCTTAAAATATTTGAGTATAAAATTTATTCTTGTTCACTTTCTTTCATTGTATTTATCCCTCTGAAGTACAGAGCCAACAACAGAAATGTGCAGAAAACAGGAGATAACTTTGAATATTGACATTCCAGCTGTCTTTGTTGAGTAACAAACTATACCATAATTTCTATGGACTGAATGTTTGTGCCTCCCCCATAAGTTCATATGTTGAAATCCTAATGCTCAATATTATACTAAGATGCAATAGGGCCATTGAGGTAATTATGTCACAAGAGTGGGCCTAATATGACCAATCCTATATCAATGAGATTAGTGTTCTTACAAAAAGACACCAGACAGGCCCTGAGTACAGTATCTTAGGCCTGTAATCCCAGCACTTTGGGAGGCTGGGGTGGGAGGATCACCTGAGCCCAGGAGTTCCAGACCAGCCTGGAAAACAGGGCAAGACACTGCCTCTACCAAAAAAGAAAAAAAAAAGAAAAGAAAATAATTAAATAATTAGCCTGGCTTGGTGGCATGCACATGTAGTCTCAGCTACTCAGGAGGCTGAGGTGGGAGGATTGCTTAATCCCATGAGATCAAAGGCTGCAGGGAGCCATAATCGCACCGCTGCACTCCAGCCTGGTCGACAGAGCGGGACCCTGTCAAAAAAAAAAAAAAAGACACCAGAGAGCTTGCTTTCTCTGTCTTTGCCCTCCACCATGTTGAGGATACAAGGAGAAAATAAATGTCTGCAAGCCAGAAAAAAAGCCATCACTAGAACTGACCATGCTGGCACCCTGTCAACCTCCTTCAGACTTCCCAGCCTTCAGAACTGTGATAAATAAATTTCCATTATTTAAACCACCCAGTTTATGGTATTCTGTTATAGCGGCCCAAACTAAGATAATAACATAATAATCCTAGAGGATTAAACAAAATACAACTTTTTAAAAGATAATTATTGTTACTAGATCTCACAATTTTGAGAGTCAGGAATTCAGACAGTGCTGAGTAGACATGGCTCATCTCTGTTCCATGATGTCTGTGGCCTCAGCTGGGAAGACTCAAAAGGCTGAGGCTAGAACAGCAAGGGGCACTTCTCTTGGGCTTCCAGATAGCATGACGATCTTAGAATAGTTGAACTTCTTACATGTAGACCTAGGGCTCCAAAAAACAAATGTTCCAAGAGGCCTTACAAAAGCTACAAGGCATCAGCATTGACCCACACTATATCCTACACATCACTTCTGTCTATCAATTTCCATTAGTCAAGGAAGCCACTAATGCCAGCCTAGATACAAAGAATGGGGAATTAGATTCTAGTTTTAGAGGAGATAACAGCAAAGAAAATTGGACTATATTTAATCTATAAAAATGGCAAGTACATGTATCTTCTGATGGAATTATTAACAGTCTATAATTTTAAATAACTCAGGAATTGCTTATGACCTATATACAATATAGTCCATGGCCTTCCAGAATAAGTGTTGCATTGGACTTAAAAAAAACTGTGAGTAATACTCAGTACAAGCTCTGGCATATAAAAGGTACTCAGTAAATACTTTCCAAATGATAAAATAAAAATTCAAAACAAATATTGATTAAAAATAATTGATAATTTATTAACAACAATGTTCAAACAAGTGGTTTGATAAATTCACTGTGACATGTACTTATCCATTGTAAGAGTAATGTGCTGGAAATATTTTTACTAGCTCAAAAGAGCCAATTGTTAACAGTGTTAACGTTTTCATAATTACAACCAGATTTATAGCATGATGGTAGCTTGAAATTGATCATGATGAAAGTATTTACATTACAAAATCAGCAGGTATTTCAAATCAGGCCTTTTTATTACTTTCACCTCTCACCTCCACCCTTAGAGAGCTGGACTTAAAACATTTATCTGCAATACTTCTGAGAGTATATCTGCAGCATAGTGAAGATCTTGCCTGGTTCTTCATATTTTTCTAACTCTTCCATTTAGACCTGTTCATCTAAACCCATGCTCTTGGGAAAAATCCTTTCCCTCGTCAAAGATATTTAAGAAGACTTTGCATAGTTCAGATTTTAAAACATCAAATTGGCCTAGGGCGGTGGCTCACGCCTGTGATCCTAGCACTTTGGGAGGCCAAGGCAAGTGGATCACCTGAGGTCAGGAGTTTGAAATCAGCCTGGCCAACAAGATGAAACCCCGTCTCTACTAAAAATACAAAACTTAGCTGGGTGTGGTGGTGTGTGCCTGTAATCCCAGCTACTCTGGAGGCTGCGGCAGGAGAATCACTTGAACCAGGGAGGAGGAGGTTGCAGTGAGTCGAGATTGCACCACTGCACTCCAGCATGGGCGACAGAGCAAAACTCTATCTCAAAAACAAACAAACAAAATAAATCAGTTTTTATTTATGGTCTGCTCTGTTTTGAAATTTGTAATTAGATTTTCTACATTGAGATGTATGAAGTGCCAGTCCTGCTCCTAGGACTGCTAATTGGCACCCAAACTTGTCTTTCCTAATTCACAAATCTGTACTGTGTTATCATGCCATTTCCTATAAGACTGTGGTTTGCCTTGCTCTTCACAGTTCTCTAGTTAACCCAGAAGTTTGACCCAGAAATTTAACTCTATGAAAGATCTTACTAGCTAGGATCTCTGCATTCTTAGCCAGTCTTCGGGAACAACAACTTGTCACTCATTCTTGATCTCCCTGCCTCTACTTTTCCCTGGCTTGGACCACCCCTACCAAGGATTAACTGGAAAATGCTGCCAGGTAGAGGTACTGTTTTACTCTACCTCTATTGCACTCCAGGGGTTCTCCTCCCTTAATTCCACCACTCACACAGACACATTAACACATCCCATTGACCTCCCTCACTACCAGAAAAGCTGTGGGAAGCCAAACCCAAAGTTAAATACTTTGTTAGGACTGCTTTGACATAGTAGTAATGGTGACATGACCAGTTTAGTCATATCAGATTCAAAAGTTCATGCAGCTTATGCATGATTAATTGACAAGATGGCAACCACATGTAAATAGCTACTGGGCTTTCTGCCACATGAGATATTATCAGCTTATATCTGTATCAACTGCTCAAGCAGCAAGCATTTTATCTGAGAAAAAATGTTAAAAGGTAGTCCCTTGTTCAATGCATTTCAAATCTCATTTTTTGAAGAGGTACTAAATATTGTGCAAAGAATTATCCAACTCATTGTAAAAAGATTTGACAACTATTCATACAATAAAACAATAAATTATCCTTAATGGCAAAGAAATCACATTAGCTAGAGCACTTGAAGCTCTCTGCTTATTGATAATAGACACTAATCTAAAAAGCAGTAATCTCTCCGCTTACTTTCATTTTCATATACATTTGTTTGAGCAGTAGTGTTTCATCAAGCATGGTAATGCTCCACTAGTTTTGCCAGCTTTAGAGTAAACCTACAGTCATAAAATAGTGTACCTCTCCAAAAGAAACCTGCTAAGCCCAAAATATATATATTACTTTTCTCAAAAAGTAATTTGTGTATTTATAGTTATATTAGATAATTATTCAAAGATCTTTGAAACATAATGTTGCTTGTTTGTGCTAATTTATATTAGGGAGGGACTTCTTCAATTTAATCTTTCAAAAGTCTTCATATAAAATGTGCCTATTGTAGCAGAGCTCTTTAGACACATAGTAATAATTACAATTTCAGTGCATCCCTTTCTAAGTACATTACCTTAGCTGTGGGGTGATATATGAGGGACATGAACTAGTACATAGTGAAAACTTATGTATGTCAGCTAATGCACCTGTTCCTTGTAATATAATGGGTCAGAGGTTCCAGTGTGAAGTTAATACTATACTTCTTGCTATTTTTCAAAATTCCTTACATTTGTATTTTTAATACATTCAATGCACAGTAATTTTGTAATTTGTGCATGACTGATATTAGGGCTCTTATTTTAGAGCTATAAAAAACACGCAGAAAGACACATTTACATATTGCATACTCACCTTTTGGCAAATAAGAAACTAAAATCTAGATTCTCTGAATTATAGTTTCTGAATTATATTTTTATGTATAAAATATATTTTCATTAAAGCGTTCATTCACACTTGCTTACAAGCATCTGTTTTATAATCACAATTTATTTAGAAGATGCAAATAAAATGGGTTACTTAGATAAGGTGCCTTCCTTCAAGGAGCTCATAGACTGCAGGAGAAGAAAACACATAAATATATATCAAATAATTGCCTTTGTAGAGTGTCATAAATGAGAATTTGGGGGGTGGTCAAGGATGATTTGCAAGAGGAGTGATATCAATCTGCACATTTGTTTAAGGAGGTATCACTATAAACATAAAATGGGAGAAGTGAGAGAAAGGGGTGAGAGTACGTAGGAGGAGTACACTTAAATGCCTAGAGGCAAGAGGGATCAACGCATTAGGGGAACCAGAAGCAGCTCAGGACAGCTGGACCACAGAATGTGCAGAGGCAGTAACATGACAGAGGTTGGGGTGAGAGTACATAGGAGGATTACACTTAAATGCCTAGAGGCAAGAAGGACCAACACATTAGGGGAACCAGGAGCAGCTCAGGACAGCTGGACCACAGAATGTGCAGAAGCAGTAACATGACAGAGGTTGGAAAGGTATAGAAAGGTCATAGGACCTCTCAATTTTCATTCTGAAGGCAATGAGCATCATGAATTTAATATAAAGTGATAAGACATTTGGTGTTGACTTAAATGCAAAAATTCAGATAGATGCTGATGGCTTTCATAAAAATGCTTATGCTCCTCTATCAGGATTCTACACTTAAAAGACATTTTGCTAAGCAGAATGTGGTCATATCTATAGGGGGTTCTAAATATGTCCTCCAGTTACAATTGTCTTTCGTTTTATTATTGGAAAGGATTTGAAACTATAGTTATCTATGTACTCTATCTCAACACATGGTCATTCAGTTCTACATGTGGAAAGAATAATCTGTTCAATGAATCATTTACTTCTCAATTTAATTCAATGTGTTTGTTTGCACTTTTAGTTTTGACTACTACAGCAGTGGTTTAAATTGAGAAGACTAGATATTTGATGATACATGAAGAGGTAATGATATTTTAGCAAAGCTAGATCATTCATGTATAGCACACGAGAGAAAAAACTCTTTAAAACACCATGAGGTAAAATAATTTGGGCCACAAGAGAGGTACTGTGGGTAGAGGAGAAATCATTGCTGATCATTACCGAAGCTGGGTGATGAGTGCTGGGGGGTTCATTATACCCTTTTTTTTCCTTTTGTATGTTTGATGATAAAAAATTAACAATTAATCTGTTGCTTAGCATTTGCCTCTTTAAGGTTATTAGTAAAAGCACGAATTCTGAGCTAACTGGGGAAAAGTCTTACCTCTTTGAAACATTAAGGGAACTTCTAACACAACTTTTATGATTAATAGCTTAGCTTGTGTGCCAATTTTTTCAAGTTAATATATAGCATCAATTTGATTTCTCAAAAATTCCAGCAAGATTTCTTTTTTTCCTGGAGGTAGAAAATTAGACTAGAACGTTTATATGGGAAAGTAAACATTTAAGAAGAGTTTTTAAAAACTCTGAAAAATTAGAGAAATGAGGAAAGAGAATTAATTAATAGCAAATATTAAAACAGAATATAGAACCTCTATAATATAGCAGTTTGACATTGGTACATTACTAGACAGACAGATCAATAGAAGATTCTACAAAACAACAAATAGCTTGGTTTCCTCAAAATGTCAGTGTCATGAAGGACAAAACACAAACAAAGAAAAAGTTACCGGGTGTGTTCTGGATTAAAGGAGATTAAACAGACATGAAAACCAAACACAATGGGTGATGTGTGGTTGGATTCTGAATTTTCAGAAAACACATAAAGGACATCTTGAAGGCAATTGGGCAGATTTGAATATGGACTGAATATTATACAATATTATGATGTAAATGTTAAATACATTAGATGTTATGAGGGTATCTTGGTAATGTATAGAATCTTCTTATTCTGAGGAGTCAATGCTGAAGTATTTAGAAATGAAATGTCACTTTTCTGCAACTTAAAAAATCTAAAATGTATGGTTCTATGGCTACAAGAATCTAGGACTGTTGAAACATTAGTGAGGTTTGGTGTACTTGCAGACTCAGGAACATGGGAAGTCGTGATTGACCTTCAGGCCTCTCACTTGTCCAGGGACATTTAAGCTTCTGAGAAAGCAACACAGTAGCCAGATGAAATAATAATGGCTCTTGTAGGTAATAGTTCACTTTGATAATAATAAGAAATATATTTCTGCTAAAGACAATGCAAGGTAGACTGCCGGCCTGCATGAATAAAACCATAGTTGTCTCTCCCAAGGATTGTCTGATGAGTCTGCACTGTGACCCTGAAGGCATTAAGTAGTAAATAAAAGACATAGCTATATTATGGATGCCCCTGATGGCATACCTGTTTAATCATCTTACCTGTTTAGAATTGCTCAGAAGAATACTAACCCTGGGAGGTAGGGAAGCAAGAGCTGACAGTTTATCCTGCTTTGAACATTGCTACGTGCTTCACATCACACATAATGAGGAGAAAAGCATTTTGTACCTTGAGACAAGCCAAAAATAACATAGGATCATTCTCTTTGGTTCTGGTCCCTACAGTAAATGAAATCTTGAGATTTTAATATAACCTGAACATCTTAGTAAAAACAATTTTATCCCCAATTTTTGTATGCTAATGTCTGAAGCGATATCATGACCTTTATGAATACGATAATCATGGGAAGTTTTTCCACTATGAACACAGTAATGTACACTTGGCAACCTTGGAAATATGGTTTTTTTTCTTTCCTTTTAAATGCTCATTATGTTCTTTATTTAGTGAGTCAGTCTTTTTATGTCTGACTCTCTTGCATTTTTGCAAGTAAACTTTTCCTTTTCTTTTCTATACAATTTTGTCTCTGAGTTTTCCTTTGATGGAGGGAAGGACTGCATCTCCCAGAGGCAGGTTATACTCTATATCCCAACAAAATTGATGTCAACAATATATTTGCTACAACAGCAGCCACCACACCAACTGAGAGAGAGGGAGAGTGTCTGCAGCAGAGGACCAAAACCAGAAAAGCTCCAGACCGAAAGGAACTAGACAGACCATAAGTGTTAACAGCAGAAAGCCTTCAATAATGACTTGATGCTAATAATGGTGTGCAGTGAAGGAGGTGGGAATAGTGGTAGCCGTATTCTGGAGGGCTCTGGGGCCAGTTTATTCAAGTGATTGTATCAGCCATTAGGAGGTATCTTATTTGTTTACAGGTCACAAAGACCAGATACAATGAAAGTAGATATTTTATAAGAGACAGAGGAGCAGAAGAGGAGTCTTTGTAAAGAAGATTCAGGATTTTGAAGGCAGGGCTTCAGCAGTAATACCAGTTCTTTATGCTAATTCTCGTCTTTAACAGTTCATTAGCAGTGAAAATATATAATAAGTGTGATGCATATGAGTGTGTATGATATGCCCATCATTCAGTGAAGTTTATTACCTTGATATTCAAAGGGGAATGAGTTTGCCATGTGCCCTATGAGGACTTGATCTGCCTAGACAAGGAGGTACCTTTTTTGAGTTTCACAAAGGTGTCACTTGGGTTAAAGGTGACCTTGCAAAATAGTGTCTTAAAAACCAAACTAAATGGGATGAAGTTGAGGTCAGAAAAGCCACGGATGCAGATATATCCACCAAAAGCTTGTCGCTGGAGTTAGTTGGCTTGTGTCATGACCGGCTTCCTGGAAGGGCATTCTGTGCAGTCATACAGTGCCTGTGATCAGAAGGACCCTGCATTTAGTTTAATGTTCTGCTATCACCATCTTGAAATTCTAATAATTTTATTTTTGATTTTGTGTTTTGTAAGTGAAGCATGGCAATGAAGTACACACATGGACAGAGGGGATACTTGCAATAGGCATCTTCCTTGAGGCCACATTTGCATATGGCAGACTTGCTGCCCTGTGAGCACAGAATTACAGTGGACACATGATGTGTGGTAGCTCAGCAAAACTGAAAACTACAAATTAAATGTGGTTACCTCTATGTCTGAGTAAGTGGAGGTGCTCACAGCCTTGAGAGGCCACATGTGTCATTTGAACCAGAACTTGCTTTTTATTTTGCACTGGCCATGTCTGTTGTGCTGAGTAAACCAGAAACTGAGATTTCCACACTTCAAGTACAATGAATTTGACCCCAAAGCAAGAGGAACTCTGTACCTTCCTCCCAGAGAACTGAGAATTCAGAGGATTTCGGGAAGAAACACATATACCTAGGAGTGAACAAATAGTGACCTTGTTTGCAGAATGTAGGCTAGATAAGAATAAACAGATAAAATGAATCCTTGAAGGTATGAAACATAATACACAAGGGGAAAAATACACACTAACTTTGGCAATAAGCATTCCTATCTAAACACACACATCCAAACAAAGCAAAAACCAAAAAAGCAAAAAGACCAAAAAAACCCATAGAAAATTGATAAGAAACTAATGAACGTGGGCCAAATATGATAGACAATAAATCACTAAAATTTTACAGGTAAAAACACAGTTAAAACTTTTCTTCATAAATAATGTGTTCATGAGAAATGGTAATTTGAATTCCAGACAGTATAACTTTTATTGGTCTCTAGAAGCATACTTGTAAATTTCTTTCTTTTTTAAATTAAGAGCTATATAACTTGAGGTTGATGAAAATGTACTGTATCAGTGATCTTAAATAAGTTGAACAGGTGAACCATCTCTGAAACAAAACTGTCCAAAATGAGTTACAGCTAACCAAGACTAATGTCACAGCCATGGGGATGCATGGGTGGAAATGTCTCACTTGTAAACAGAACTTTCCTGTTCCCAAAGAACAAGGGCAGCTGTGAGGGGAAACAAGTACTTTCAGACTACTGCTTATGGAGAATAAAGAGCTGCCAACAATTATACAACAGAGAGTCCTACACATTGCAAGCACTGAGGATTGGCAATGTGTTTACTTTCTTGGCCTGGTGGTCTGGGTTGAGGATTCCTTCAGACCAGAATGGTAATATTGTATAGAGTTTATGGGTAAGAAATACCTCAGTTTATTTTATTTTTAACTTGTATTTTAAGTGTACAGATACAAGTGCAGGTTTGTTATACAAGTAGACTTGTATCATGGTGATTCGTTGTACAGATTATTTCATTACCCAGGTATTAATCCTAGTACCTAATAGTTTTTTTTCTCATCCTCTCCGTTCTCCCACCCTCCATCCTCCAAAAGACCCAAGTGTGTTTTGTTCCCCTCTGTGTGTTCACATGTTCTCATCATTTAGCTCCCACTTATAAGTGAGAACATGCAGTATTTAATTTTCTGTTCCTATCTTAGTTTGCTAAGAATAGTGGTCTCCAGCTCCATCCATGTCCCTGTAAAGGACATGACCTCGTTCTTTTTAATGACTGCAGAGTATTCCACAAAGACCCCAATTTAAATACCAGTTTTACCATTTAACAGCTATGTGAGTTAGAGCAAGCAGCTTCTCAACAGGATTTGGTTTCTATTTGTATAAAGTGGGAATAAAGAGGACGTATCTTTCTGGGTTGACATGAAGTTTAAATGAGTTGATAAGCATAAAGAACTTAGCCCCATGCTTGCGTAACATGGAATTAATAATTGCTATTATTGCTATGTGAACGATCTCAACTAAAATTCAGAAGCATATTATTGTCGTATGTTCATAATACATATTTGCTATTATTATTGTAATAAGAGTATTACATAGCTGAACAGCATTATAAAATATATGCCACATAGATAATAATTATAAAATTGGAAAACATCTTTTACCACATTGTTAAAGGCACTGAGATTACATGTTTAAAAATCCCTTCTTTTGTTCTAGGCAAATGGACTGAAGGAAAGCATATTGTATGAATCAGTGTGATGCCAGATCACTTTTTACTGATACAAACTGCTGAGAGATGACCCCTCAAATACATGCCAGAATATGAGCAAGCTTTGGTCAGTAAAAAGGAAAGAAAAAAAGAAGAAGAAAAGACAGAGAGAGAGAGAGAGAGAGAGAGAGAGAGATTTAATCCACAGATTGCTCAATCCCCATTGACGCCAAAGTAGACCTCAAGGAACCTGTGGGTTGTTTGAAGGATCTGGGAACCCTTAGCAAGATTGTGGTGATAGAGACTTAGAAAGGGTAGAAATTTAATAAAGTAGAAGGGGTAAACCACAGTGGTTTTGAGGTCATCTTTTGTTTATTTCAGTTGCATATGGAATAAATTTGAAAATAAGCATTAAAACTGTAGAGGTGAGTAAATTTATTAGGAGAGTAAGGGACTAATTTTATCAAAATAAAAATGAAATTTAACCTTTGGTGAGGTTGTTTCCTTCCTTCTATCCTTCCTTCCTCCCTTCCTTTTGATAGCTAGCAGTCACTATATTGAGTGTTGGTTATAAGTAGAAAATACACAGTCTCAACACTGTAGGAGTTTATGACTTGAAAGAGAATCCACAGATACAAGCAAGCAAAATCTATAGATATACAGCATAGAGTAGAGACACAAAAGAAAGATTATGGCTTACCCAAGTTGTTGGGGTGATCAAGGAAGGTTTTAGAGAAAATGATATTCAACTTTAACCCTCCAAATGAGTTATAAATTGTTGTTTATCATATGGAAAAGGGAGGAACTTGTATTTCAGGCAGGAAAAGCACCATAAGAAAATTAATTGATGGGCATTGCAGCATGCTGCACTTGGGAAATACATATAGTACATGCCCGAGTTTCAGTAGGAAGGGAATTAGGTTTAAGGGTGCTAAAATCAGCTGTGTCTTCAAGGAGGGCTTCACTTGCCAGGCTAAGGTGTTAAAGAAAAAGAAAATTTAATACCAATAATACAATTTTCAGAAACATTGGTATTATTTAAAATATATACTACCCATTTATTTGCCGTAAGTTGTAATAAGCAGACATTTCATAAGACATAAGGGAAAGTTGGTACTGTAAACTGTTCTCTCAGGCATCTAAAATACAGTTACTTATAGAACTTATGTGTGATGATTTGTTATATTATAGAAGGTTAGAGTGGCTATTATAATTATGGGTTTGACTCCAGTGGCATGGATGATGCAGTTGATACAATTTTCTAGGATTCTGTCACTATTTTTCTATGAACCAGATCATATATATAAATCATTGTGGGCTTGCTTGACAGAAACTAAAATTGTTACTTAGATTGGTGACCTTCAAATTTTATTTAGTTCATGGTCAACAGACCTATATAATAAATTATTTTGTCTGATTACTTAAGGAATATATATTATATTTAATTTGCTCAGACATTTAAAAGGAGTTTATATTGCCTCTAATAAGGCATTTTACAGTAATATTATAGAAATATTTCTGTGACTGGCATGGTTGATTTTTAGCTCATGGAGTAAAAATGCTTGATAAAAGGTTAGCTTGGCCATTGTATTAAAGAAGTCAATTCCATTTTTGATGTTCGACTGTGGACAGTTTTTAGACTCCCATTACTCTTTCTTGCTTGCTCTATATCTGGGTAACCAGGATAAAAAGGCTCACACAGACTTCAGCAGGCCAGAGGGAATTTTAAATAGTACAGCCTACAGCCCAAATGGGAATTCCTATCCCAGCTCTACTCCCCACCCTCAATGAAAACCCAGGCTACCCCCTACCCTGCAACCTGAATCTTGGCTTGCCTTCCCATCAGACCCCTGCTTGAGCCTCTCCCCTCCTGGGAATGACCAGCTAATTGTGAGTATTACATTCATATAATTCAAATACATTTTTTAGTGCACTGTGTCATCTATCTGGACATCCAAATAAATTCCCGGGAGAGAAGGTGGATAGACTGATTAACACAACCATGTTGTAATTAGTCTTTAGTGGACTCTCAAGATTTTTTTCTACAGTCAAAGGTTCCACTTCCATTAATAATGATAGCCCACAATATAAAGATTCCCAGAGAATAGTGAGAATAAGAGAGGTTATTAATGTGAAGAGCTAATACGAGTTGCTGCCCTTCATAGAAGATTCTGCCAAGCCTTTGAAAATTCATCAAGAATTCCTACAGAATAATGGTTGATGGTAATGGAAAATTCTCCTGGTATATTCTAAAGGGAACAAAAAAGAAAGGCTAAAAATGTTTTGTCTGTTTTTAAAGAAAATAACATACATATGCAAAAATAAGACTAAATAAAAAGTGATCACTTGTGTCTTGTTGAAATGACAGCCGATTTTAAAATTTTCCAAATATTCACTATATTATTTTTTAAAGTTAAAAAAAAAGCTTTATTGAGATGTAATTCACTGTTTAAAAGTGCATGACTCACCTTTATTATATTCAAAGGGTTGTGCAACCATCATTACCATTAATTTTAGAAACATTTTTGCCATCCACCCCAAAATAAATGCTGTCCCATAACAGTTAATTCTTATTTATTTCCCTACTCCTGCTCCATTCCATTTTGGACACTTCAAGTGTCCTAAGTAGTTTTGTGTCTGGTTTCTTTCATGTAGCATCATGTTTTCAAGGTCCATCCATGTGGTAGCATGGATAAGTATCTCATTCCTTTTTTAATTGATAAATAATATTTCACTGTATGGATAAACTACATCTTATCCATTTATGAGCTGATGAGCATTAAGTTATTCTCACTTTTTGGCTATTATGAATAATAATACTATGAACATTAATTTACAAATTTTTTCGTGGACATATGTTTTCATTTTTACTGGGTATATACCTAGGAGTGGAATAAAACCTGCAACCCTCATATGTGGTTGGTGGGAATATAAAGTGGTACAATCACTGGATAAAAGAGTTTGGCAGTTCATCAAAACGTTAAGTATACAGTTACCATGTAATATTATTTTAATAACAAATGCCATTTAAAATGATATAAAAACAAAATATTTTTTATAGTTTGAAAGCTGACTCAAGTAAATTCACATTTTTTAAAACCATTTATCCAACCATCTATCTATCCATTCATCTACCTATTTGTCCACCCACTTGGAGGCTATGCTCTGGTGCCCTTTACTTTTTTCTCTAATTTTTATCCTTAGATGGAGTTGGGCCAACGCACATATGGGATTTATTTCCATCTGTTTTGCATTCCTATAAAGGGTTATCTGAGCCTGGGTAACTTATAAAGCAAAGAGGTTTAATTGGCTCACGGTTCTGCAAGCTTCTCAAGAAGCATGTGCTCAGCTTCTGGTAAGGCCTCAGGAAGTTTTACTCATGGTGGAAGGCAAGGGGAGCCGGTGTGTCACATGGCAAGAGAGGGAACAAGAGAGAGAGAGGAGGAGTATGAATTAATAGAACTAGAACTCACTCAATCCTGTGAGAATGGCACCAATCCATCCATGAGGGATCCTCCCCCATGACCCAACACCTATCACTAGGTCCCAACTTCAATCTTGGGGATGAAATTTCAAAATGATATTTGGAGGGGGCAAATGTCAAAACTATATCAGGATTATATTTACTTGGATTCATGAAGAATTGCCTTCTACATGCATCATTTTTATGTATTATTCTTAGCTGTTATTAACTAATACTAGTACTCTGCCATTTAAAAAATATTGTTGTATGGTCTGTAGAAATATGAATTGATAACTCATTTACCACATTGCTGATAGTGCTTTTTCTGAGTCTATTGATCAGCTTGGGCTGCCATAACCCAAATACTGCATACTGAGTGGCTTAAACGATGAACACTTATTTACTCACAGTTCTGAGGGTGGACGCCCAAGATCAAGGTGGTGGCAGCGTTGATTTCTGGTAAGAACTCCCTCCTTGGTTTGTAGATGTCTGCCTTCTCACTGTGTTTTCACATGGCCTTTTCTCAACATACACACTCCTAGTATCTCTGTATCTCTCCCTCTTCTTATTGTGATGCTTGTCCTGTTGAATTAGGGCCTCATTCTTAAGATCTCCTTTAGCTTTTATTAGTTCCTTAAAACCCTTCTCTCTAAATGTAATCACATTGGAGGTTAGGACTTCCACACAGGAATTTTGAGGAGACACAATTCAGTCCATAATACTAAGATACTATGTTATGGCTTTTCTATTGTAGTGTTGTAATGCAGCTTTGAATACCTAAAGAAAAGATGGTGTAGCTTAGCTGTGCCCTGTGATAATCATAGCCATGCTCCTCTTCTTTGCTCTAGCTGTGAGTAAATACACAATCTATTTTAAAGGTCAATGATCACAATTATGTGGAACATGCAGGCTGAATACATGGATTTGGTTCTCTGCCACCCCTTTCTCTTCCACTTTCTCACCTCAGCAATAACTGTAATAACTACCTACTCCTATTTACCCAGCAGTATGTATTTACTTCCATTTTTATTTTCCCCTACTTTTGATTCTTGTGTCTTACTTATTTTTACCAACATTTTATTATTCATATTCTGGCTTTTAGATGCCTTAAATGTTCTTAAATAAGGCAAAAATACATGAAAAAAATAAGATGAGTAGTCAATACAGTCAGGGAACTTGAATTATTTCAGGGACACAACCTGTCTGTTATATACGTACAAGCTGTGCACCTATACTTGCAATTTTAGCTGACTGTTTCCACTCTTTTTTCAGTTTTTCACTTTCCTTTTGAATTCCCCCATTAAGCAGAAAGTTAAAAGGTTTTTGCGGGAATACATTTCCATTCATTATAGTAAAAACACGTTGGGAGACTTTTATATGCAAGTATCAAAAGAATCACACTAGTACTAACAAGAAGGAATTGCATTATAATGTCATTTTTGCAGTACTAACATACTCTTTTTTCTGAAATAACTAAGAGTAGTTTGGGGGAAAGGACACCACCTAAAGGAATACAGATCCTTCTCATTGTTTTCATACCTTATCCATATTTACCACTGCGTCTGACAGATTTCCCGATTCCTAAAGGTGGACTATCAAGCACAGAATTTAAAAGTTTCTTTCTTTCAACTTCATTAAATATCTTGCCAAGATATATAGGACAGTCATGGAAAGAGAACACAGATAAAAACTTAGACCTTTCTAATAAAATTAAAAGTTCAATGATATGTACATTCAGGTGTAAACTAATAGTTACTTAAAGAAAAGACAATGAGGGCAGATGATTTCCAACATATGAATAGGGATATGAGAGACTGAAAATACGAGAAGTGTGAAACTAGTATCTATTTTGGACGTCGTTGGGTAAATTAAGTCACTTGTGAGTATCTCAAAGAACGTAAGTTACTGAAAGAAATAAGTTTATTGGCTAATTGGTAATCCATTTTATTTGTATAAAAATAAAATACACATAACAGTTCATTGAAAACAAATTTTAAAAATTTCGGTAAAAGGGAAATGAGCATTGATACAGAGTGCAATAAAAGAAAACAGAAACACATGTAACAGTTCTGTCTCAGTCACTAATGAAATTGAGGACATTGCTAGAAGAAAATTGTGGGTTTTAACTACAGATTTTATCAACCACATTAATATATAGTGCTATTACTGGTTAAATATACTGTGTTGTGGTGAAAAGTGTGTTCGAATAGGAAGTAGAAATGAAGATTTGAGCCAAGGTCTAACTTTTATTTGCCCCATAACTTTGGGCATCTCACTTAGTTTCCCAAAGCCCCAGAAATATTTTTTCCTATCTACCTGACCCAATTGTTTAACAGTCAATGGACAAAGGAGGAAAAGAGAAACAAGAAAGCATTATATATTCAAAGGATACTGCTACTATTACATTATGATTTAACATTATTAAACTCTTATTTTTCAAGTGTTTTACAATAGACATGCTTAACATATGAAATATTTCTATATTGATTTTAAAGATGCTACATCTGATCTATCTGTAATATGTAAAAAACTGACAGAAAGGAATTTCATTAGCAGTGTAAGTAAAAGGGCATTTTGAGTGTTTTAAGTGCTATAACCTAGGATTGAGAAAAGCAAAGCCATGCCCTCAATGTGCTAAGACTGCACAATACAAAGATGAATGGCTCTACAGTCACAAAGACTATATGACAAGACGGCTAGAGAATTTAGCAATTATGATGAAATGATCATAGCAGAGAGGCAAACCCTATTCCTTAGCTACCACTGCCTTATATTTAGAAGGACAATTTCACAGAACATTTTATAACATGATCTGGAAAATTATGGCCAGTGAGCTATTCCTTAGTTATCACTGCCTTATATTTAGAAGAATCGTTTCATAGAACATTCTATAAGATAATTTGGAAAACTATGGCCAGTGAGCCAAATCGGGCATGCTGCCTGTTGCTGTAAATAAAGTCTTATTGGGACATAGTCAGGTTCATTTCATTATGTATTTCTATGATTGCTTTCACCCTACATCAGCAGAGTTGAGTAGTTACAGAAGAAACTATATGGCCCCAAATATTTACTATCTGTTTCTTTACAAAAAGTTTGATGACCCTGTTCTTGACCATTGTCTTCTTGATGTAATTAGAGATCTCCCAGAAGTTGAGAAGGAAATCTGATTGAACCATTAAACCTACACATGTAGTCATAGCCCTGAGTGCTGACAAATGGAGCAATGCCAAATTATTTATTTCAATTGCTTGTGTAACATAGTACTTCTCAAATGTTAATATGAAGATCAATGATGAAGACTAAAAGTAAACATGAAATTTTCCTTAAGGAGGAGGTCACTGCCTACTCTGCTTCCACTTTTTAGAGTGTCTCCTTGAGAACACAATAGACCTGATTAAAAGGCTTCATCTTTTGATTTTACAATGCAAGTTTGTGAGCCTTCCGACTCTTGAAACTGTGAACACTTACCTCCAGAACTAGCTTAGGGGCTTACAACAGGCATAGATGAGACAGTCTTATCTCTCAAAGAAGTAAGATAAGTTTTAATTGTTTGCATCTAGACTCTGAATAGACTTGTGTGAAATTCTGTCCAGGCTTTGTAGTTACTTTCCCATTACCTTACATGCACAGGACTCTGATAATGTTTACCCAATATTCATGTTGTATTATCTGTCTGTCTCCTCTTCTACATTAGTATGGAGCGGTCTTTTGATAGTAGAACTTTTATTTTTCTCACAGAAGGAATCTAACTAAAATGCAGATTCTTCCTTGCAACAGTGTGGCTCCCAAGATTCTGCGCCAAGGTGACAACTGATACTGATGTTCCACGACCACACCTTTGAGTTACTAAATGCAAATAGAAAAAAATATATATTTTAGATTGCTAAAATTAAATGAAATTTACCTTTTGAAACCCTCATTTCCATTCATGGTCACTTGCAATTTAAAATGTACTCTCCTTTGGGTAATGACTGAGTCAAATGCGTAGCTCTCCTTCTCTTTCTCTTTCCTGGGGTGGTTTCAGTCGTGAGGTGATAGGGGAAACGTCCACGTGGCTCAGGTCTCATTTGTGTGCCTTTTCTCTGTGTCCTGATGGCATCTGCTTTGCTTTCCCCATGTTCTCATCAGCGTGGGCTTCTGTCTCTGAGTCTGTGACCTTCACAGCATGGTCAGTTGCTAGGACCATCTCATCTAAATCCTTCTTGTCTCAGGCTCAGAACCTTTGTTTCATCTGACTTTCCTCAGGACTTCTGAACCTCATGAAATCCATAGCTGTTTACCCTCCATGATCCTAATGTCTCTTAACTTTAGCAAGCTTCTCTTGGAACTAACAAACTTGTCCTGCCTGGCTAGAGCTTCATGACTTCTTCAAAATCCTCATAGTTTCCTAGACTATGATGAGGATGAATGGGGGCTGTAAGGGAAAACTCTGCTGCCCCCAAGTCCTTCTAAGCCTATCTTTGGTTTTATCTTCTACAGTTTCTACTGCCCCTCCCCTGAGACTCACTTAGGATACAGTCATGACTTGTAGTCCTGTCAGAGAAATTCACGCACCCTTAAGGTCTCTGTCTTTATTTAAAATTTGGATACTTCATTTGTCGTGGATTTTTTTGAAACATTGCATTAAAATATTACTTATCTTGATTACTGAATTTTTTGGTACCCCTTAAATGTAGCACCCAAGACAAGTGCCTTTCTTGCCTACTGCCAGCAAGCTCGCTTCTTCCAATGTTCTCCAGTCTTCTCCATAACCTTTGAATTATAACCTCATTTGAGTGGGAAACCAGCACTTAAATTATCATTTGTCATCATTACCTACATTTGCTTGTGGATGATCTTACTGCTTTGCTCCCTTTGGAGCTTGGCTTTCTGACTCTCAAGATCCTTTATCTCTTTCAGAAAACGAACAAACAAAAAAATACCTGGCACATTAAATGTATTGACTTTTATAACTATTGTTTTCTGCCACAAGTTTTTCTAAATAAATATATTTGGCGGCTCAATTGACTTTGTTTATTGATTGATCTATTAATTTATCAATTGCCAGTCACAGCCACTCTCTCCCCAAAGGAAACACATATATAAAGCAATGATTTTTTTCCCAGTGAATAAAAATGAGTTAATATTTTAAAATATTATCCTGCAATAGTTGTAATAATAACTAAGATAAGACTAGACTAAGTAGAAAATTAGTTGGCCAGTATTTAGCTTCTACAATGGAGATAAACAGATAATAAAGTAACTTATTTTTTTTTTTTTTGAGATGGAGTCTACCTCTGTGCCCAGGCTGGAGTGCAGTGGTGCGATCTCGGCTCACTGCAAGCTCCGCCTCCCGGGTTCATGCCATTCTCCTGCCTCAGCCTCTCCGAGTAGCTGGGACCACAGGCGCCCGCCACCACGCCCGGGTAAATTTTTGTATTTTTAGTAGAGACGAGGTTTCACGTGGTCTCGACCTCGTGATCTGCCCGCCTATGGCTTCCCAAAGTGCTGGGATTACAAGTGTGAGTCACCGCTCCCAGCCAAAGAAACTTTTTAAAAAGACAAGAGGATAAGGAATGACCAACTTGACTATAAGCTCCTCTGAAGTCCGGGATTGGGTTTCATATAGTTTGGCAGAAAGAGGAGAGGTAACTAATATCTAGTAAATAAGTGTGGAATCATAGTTGATATTTCAATTATCCCATTGTTTATTTCCTGCTCAGTATGTTTCTTGGCATCTCAAATAAATTGAACAGAATAAGAAAATCAATTGCGAGAATACATGTTTTCTCCAAGCATTTATTTTATGCAAAGGTCATTGGCTATTTATAAATACGAAATTTAAAAAAAATTTTAAGTGAGGCATTTCAATTCGGGTTTCCTTTTGGAATCAAAGGTGAAGTAGAATGGAAGTGGGAGGAAAGGGAACAGAGGCCAGATAGAGAAAATAAACCTTGTGAATTGATTTAGAAAAGAGATAATAAACCGGACAGAGAGCATAAAATTCCTGCTGTCTATAGAATAGCTGGCTGCCAGCTCCAGAGGAAGAAAGAGCAATGTGCAGCCAGCAATAGATGTGTGGGAGGCAAGACAGCTCTTTGGGAGTTATGAGGTTAAGGAAATAACTGTGTTTGAGGCAGAATGACAAGTGACCTCTTGCTCATTGAAAGAAATCAGCATGAAGGAGGGTTGGAGAATGTCCTGAATTCCCCTCTATGTTCTTCAAATAGCTAGTGGCTTATTGTTATGAGAGCCCTGAGACGTACTTTCAATGATCATTTATACAGACAGTTGAGTTTTTTAATGAAATACCATGACTCCTTTGGGAGAAGGACTTGAGGACAGAGAACAGGCAAGACTACAAGCAACTCCCACTATAAGAAGTGTTCCCTGAGAGCGGACTGGCACTCGGTGCAGAAACGGAGCACTTAGGCTTACATCATGATGCCAGGCTGAGAGATAGGGATTTCCTTAGGGTATTTTGAGTCTACGTCTTGCACCCCTACCCTTCATCTAAATGAATATAAAATAAGTTGACACTGGAGAACTAAAATAATAATGATGATAATAAAGACATTGTCTTTCCTATGGATTTCAGAATGATCTTATAGTCTTTCTTAATGAAAAAGATTAATTCACTATGTGTATTTAATGTGACTATGCCCTGATGTGATTACTTTTGTTTTTGTACTTTAGGTGAGAATTTTCACATTTTTCATTTACTTTGAGTCACATTATTAAATGACTTAGAGCACTTCCTCCATCTCTACCATCTTCATCATTTCCTTAACATGATGAATGAATTCAGATTCAGACAGTAGATGGTGCTATTATTTCAAAGACCATACAGTACATAAGACTTCCAGATTTTCTTAAGACTGCAAGAGACAAGGGAAAGAAAAGAAGAAACTTGACTGACATCATTTTCTGGTTTACAAAGGTTATGGAGTGGGAAGTTATTTTTTGTAGTGACCTACTCTGTCCCTTTTGGGGATAAAATAACAGTCAAAGTTTTCTTTAGTAATTAATAAACTCTGACTCCCTAGAACAGAAAAAACAACCACATTTAATTTTCTCCTTGAAGCAGCAACAGTCACAGATGCTGTTGCTCATACTGACTACCATTATGGACAGAAAGCAATTCACAAGCGTTCAGCAATGCAGAAGATATTAAAATGTAAAACACATGAATGTGAAGTTTCCTCAAAAATACCGAATAAAAGGTTTTCCTAATATAAAGCAATTTATATGTAAAACATCTGTAATCACAAAGCACCTTAAATATAATATTCAAATGCAAGCAATAAAAACCCTGTATCTGATGATGATAAATCAACATATTAAAAGCTTTCCTCTCCTGGCAGCAGATGCTCTTTGAAAGGGAATTGGTAACAGATGTATACCATAGAGGGGGTTCAAGCAGTGGTGACACAGGCAAGGGGCTGCATGGAGCCAAAGCTACAGTTAGATCATAGAACCTGCAGCTAAAGCACAATTGCTGTCGAGGTTCCTAAAGAGCAACACTACAAGTTGTCTCTTTAAAACCCCATTACTCAAACTTAATAGCCATTGATGGAAACACTTTACCTGACTCCGTGGCAAAGGCTTAGGTTCTTCTCATTTTTCATGCCCAAGCAAAACATATGGTGATAGGCAGACTTGAGAGTGAACCAAATTTTCTACCTAAATTTGCGACCCCAAGCACCTAAGTGCAATGAAACATTTGAACTAAATGAGTGGTGATATGGCGAAAGTGATGGCAAATGCCGACATCTGAAGCATCTGGATAATTAATTATGTCATTTTTAATTTGTATGCTTTTTGCATGAGAAGACCAGCTGTAGTTTCAAACATTCATTTCTAAGAAATACCAAACAGTGTTTTAAATGTTTTTTTAAACCCTTAAGCTCCCGATAAAATAATTTTGAATTAGAAAATGGCTTTTAATTGTTTAGTGTTTTTTATTACTTCAGCATTGCTAATATCACTTTGCTCATTCCATGACTCCTAATTGTGACTATTATGGAGGTGGGGGATGGCAGGGAAGAAATTTTTGCCTCACCTATTGCTGGGGTTGTGGCTGAGAACCCTATAACAGAAGACAACTTAAAAGGAGACAAGTTTACAAGTTTATTTAAGGTAAGTTGTACATAACACATGAGCCTTCAGAAATGAAGACCCAGAGAAAGAGAAGAAACCATTTTTATGCTTAGGTTTAATGAAGAGTGGACAGCTGTAGGGAGGTATGATTGGAAAAGGGGGTATAGTCTAATGGTAATTAACTAGGGCAAACTTAGGATGGCCTGTTTGTTCAGTTTTTTCTCTATGTCCCTGTGTCTTCAGAGATAAAGATGTTCATTTTCTTTAGGTATAGGGAGGGCACCTCTTGAATGAGAATCTTGACTTGCTTCAGGGGAAGGTCAGAAAATTCTTCCTAGGTTTCATGACCTGATTCTAGGGAGAAAGGTAGAGGGCAGTGAAAATGATCCTCCTGCTTCTGCTGTTTTATCAAACATCAAGGTGCCAATATTTTGGATTTGGCTTGTTCTGAACCCCATCACTATTATATTAATAGAATTGCATGAGTAATGTCAAAAATAAATACTATGCAATTTTTAGTAGGTTCTTTGAAAAGACTTGCTAATGCTGCATTTATTTCATACTATAACACATTTTTCTCCATGATTATCTATATGTGGCACTTTAAAGCATGGGCTCAAATTCTTGGGTATTCCTATCATTGAAAGATGATGTCTATGTCCCCTTCCCTTGAATCTGGGTGAGTGTTTGATGGAGACAATGGAGAAGAAATAATGCTGCTTGCCTTTGACATCTGAGGCAAGGTCAGAAGAGGCCTTGCAACTTTGACCTAGATCTCTCAGAATGCTCACTCACTCTCCACAGGTTTCCTCTGGATAGTGTCTTCCTCAGAATCCATATGCCACATTCTGAGAAGACCAACCTACATGAGGAGGTCCTGCCTCAATTAGGTGACCTGGTCCATAGTCCCAGCTGTCTCCAGCCTTCAGGTCATCCCCGCCCAGGTACCAGAATGAGAGAAAAACTTCCAAATAATTCCACTACCCAAATGTTGTCACCTGAGCTGTTCAAATCATCCAAGCTAAGGCCCCATTGTACCTTTTTTGAATACATGACTCATGACATCACCGAGCGTAATATGTGTGGATGGGCTTGTTACTTAGCAATAGAAAACTGGAACACTGTAGTTGGTTTATAAATAGCAGCAACATTGTTACTTGTAAATTGTGAAGATATTCAGGTGAGTTTGCTTAGTTTTAGGCATTTTCAATATTCCAAGTGTCTTCTAACTGGTTTCCTTGCTTTGATTCTCCCCTCCCTCCAACCAACCAAATGACATAACTGACATATATATCCCCAACACATCACTCTGCCTTTGCCCTACCACAAAATACTATTGTGATTTCCCTCTGCCTCCAGTCCACACTTCTTAGCTGGATATTTACTGACCTGCATTTTCTGTCATGTACTTATACACATTTATTTCCAACTACTTCTACAAATTGCTTACTAAATCCCATGAATTTCATGTGAAAAGAAGAACAAGACCCTCTAGGGTTTCTTTCAAAGTACATGTCCATTCAGGCAAGTCCACTTCAAACCCAAGCACGCCCTGGAGGATAATGATTTTATGGCTTTATGTTTGTCCATGGGTTTATGGCCCATCTTTAAAACATAGTGAAGGACATGAGATTTAATTAAGAACTGTAAATGTTCATGTTATACATGTCGTTTCTCAATATCTTAGCTTTTTCTATTTTCGCTATGTAGGATTCTGTCTTCTGGTGTTTCCTCCTCAATCAGGTTCTTTTCCTTTCAAGTAGCATTTACATTCTTTCTCTCTAGATGGTCTTCCTAGCGTTAGAGAAGACTGTTTTCAGATATCATGTACTGACCACTCATTAAACACCAGGCATTTTGCTTCCTTCTTTACTTACATTATGTCATGTATTCATGGCACTTTTTCAAATGCTTTCTAAACCAATCATTTGGCAATAACCATATCTCACTCCTCTCTGTTTCTCTTTTTTACTGTTTTTGTTTTCTGGAATGTACAATATGACCCTGCAGGGACAAGGATTTTGCTTTTTAAATTTTCTTTGGTGTTTCCAGGATATTTATACAATGAAATTAACATAGTGCGTGGCCAATAACAATTTGTAAGGAAAAATCCACCTAAAATAAATTTCTCAGTATTAGTATTTAGTCTATTAGATTCTAGATGTCTTCAAATATTGGCTTCTTTCATCATATAAATCAGGTGCTTAAATGGTATAATGAGATTTAATTTTGTTAGCAATTTTGTAATTCCACTGAGGCCATTTCCAAACACAAGTTATTCTCGGGGGGCTGTTCTTACATGATGAATTAGTTATACATTTTCTTAGGATGAAACATAAGAACATTATATATTTCTTAACTTCTACTGAAGTGAATGAATTTCTACAGGGCTTTGTTTCTTGAACCTAACTATCCTACTTCATGCCAGTGATAATACATACTTTAAATGAAGAATTATCTCTTCCACAATACATTTACAGAAATATCCAATAAACCTTCATATTCATGATGTTTTTCAGAAAGAAATTTGGTAAGAAATTTTAAATTTTCTATTGTTAGCAAGATTTTCACTCAATGTTTCTGTTTAAAGAGCATTAAAACTGGATAAATCTCATTAATTTCAGAAAATAGTGTGTATCTTTCAAACAGTAGCATATTACTTTAATATGTTAAATTTCCTCACTCTTTCTATTTCAGTTTTTCGTTTAACACTTAATGCCACAAATCCACACACAAAAATATGTTTTTCATATTTTTACATCACCAGTTCAATGAAATATTGCCTTATGCCATTAAGGCATTCTCATGAGTTCTGTGAGAGACAAGAGACAAATACCTTCTTGGCTATAGGTGTGTTGAGAAAACTTTTTTGGAATTTTAACTTTGTTGCAGATATAAAAAAAAACAGAATGCACTGGACAAACAAGATGATTTTACTCAGGCTATAGCAAAAGAAAAAACATTCATTAATAAGAAATATCTCAAAACAAAGGGGATTCAGGGTTTGATAGAGGCTGAGAAGAAACTCATTTGAATCATGTGGGAACCATCAGGAAGAACGGGGGTGGGTTTTTTCTGAGTCATTGAGGAAGGGTAGAGGTGGGTTTTATCTGGGAATATCCAAGGACAAGGGTGACAAGGGATGGGAGAATATGAGGAGAAGAGAATGTAGGCAACTAGGAAGGAAATCCAACCACTTTGTGGTAGAAAACAAAAGCTCTAACCCTGGGTTAAATGCCATAGTGACAAATATTGTCTGGAGAAAGAAGCAATTTTTTGGATGAATTAGAGACTGCGGAGAATGTGCTTCTAATTTTTTAGCTTCCTTTACTTCACTGGCAATCCCCTAACTCCCACTTGAGGATATAGGGTTATGGTTCTGTTAGAACATAAAAGACCCCAGAAATAAGAAGTAGAACAACAACATAATCAAGAGAAGAAATGACATAGGAGGGTTTTGAAAATGTCCTTTGAAAATGACTGTGTTGGAAATTGTTATTAAACTTTTTATAAACAAGATTAGAACTATAAAAAAATAAATGGAAACATGATTCTGCCCTTAAAGTACGAATAAAGGTTTTAATGTAATTTCCAGAAAACATAGTCCGTACACTGATTATTCCCCAAGCTCTCTTTTAACATAGCAATGAAATAAGAGATCACACAGAACTCTACTTAATACCAGCTACCCTTGCATTACTTATAGCTAAATGCTAATTAGTAAGGCCTCCAGACTACCAATAAAGAGAATCTGCTTCACAAAACCTGTGGATTTTCATTTGTTCTTGCGGAAAGCAAATGAGAAATGGAACTCAACTTCAGGCACTTGCCCATTTCCACTGTCACCAATATTCTGAGTCAAAGGGCCAAATGGTGATTTATTTAAGAAGACAAACTACGAATAAGTATGACAGAGTAGTTACCTGCCATTGTGTAAGTGTGCAAAACACTGGGAGAGTATATAAGACCATGTAATAAATGTTTCTTGCTGTATATGCATTTTTAACTTAGCTAATTATTCTTCCCCCTTTTAAAAACACTTTATTATTTTAATTACACCTTTCTCACTGATTCCCTCCCACTCTCTCTTTTGCTCTCTCTCTCACACACCCACCCCACACACATATGCACACACAACTTGACTAAATGTCTCCAAGACTCTTCCAAAGACCAACTTATTCATTAATGTCTCTAAGACTCTTACTAAGACCAACTTATTCATAAATGTCTCCAAGACTCTTACTAAGACCAACTTATTCATTATAGCTTCATCTTCACATCTAACTTACCATGGATGAGGCAATTGAACTATATACTAATGAAATGCCTTGTGCAAGATAACTGGGTGACACATCTAAAGCTAGAACCCAGAGTTATAAACTACTACTGTTAAGTAAAAAAGATAAAATGCAACACATTAAAGGAATGCTTGACAGAAGAAAGCTACAAATGGCACACAACCTCCATCAATGGAAGTAAAATTTAGTAAAAGGAATCATCTATTTGCTATTTACTGTTAAGTGTAACTCCCTCATAATGATGGAAACACAATGGCCAGTGAGGACATTTCCAGCTGTGTTGACTATTTTTACTTATTATTTGTAATATTAATTTACTATTTTAATATGAAAGTACTATTTATATCTGTGTGATTTATATGAAACATAAATACAGCAGAGTTATTTCTGATGAAACATAAGATGGATTGGGATTTAATGGCAGAATACAACTTTGCTCTGTCAGAGTACACTGTGTTGCAGCATATATTTACTACCATTTCAAACTTCAATTCTGTTTTAAAATGTAAAAGTACTTTCTTTTTCATGTATAATTTAAGTTGTATAGTCAGGAAATTTTATTATTATGTTAAATATATTTCAGATCTAGAAATATAGACATATTTTATTGCAGACATACACATAAGTTTTGTTCCCTGAAACTTCCACATTAATTTCTCAAAATTAACACAATTGAAAAAACTATTCGTGATGAATTGTTAATTGTAGTAATATAAGATTCCAGGTAAAGATTAAATATAACCATTTTTACAGTGCTTTTAAAATCATAACTGTGCCACTGGCAACTAATTCCTACCATGGATCTTTGTTATCTTAACAAGAAGCCATGCTTCCACTGTTCCAAATCTATTTGGAAAACATAAATATTTTTAAATTTATTTAATTTCATTTAATACAATATGCACTATGACAGGGTCCAAAGTGTGCGAATGCCAAAAAGGGATATAACTAGGTTTTGGACATTCAGGAAGATGTGATAATTAACAAATGATGGGGATAGCTAAGGGAATAAAATCATATGAGAAAATGACATAAATGAAATCAGTGAGATGGGAAAGCAGATGAAATATTTAAGGAATAGTAACTGCAGGGTATGATGATTACCTTTAGTGGGAAGGCTTTTGGTGACCTGATAAGAGAGAACCTTAAATGCCAGGCAAATATTTTGAGTACCACTCTCTGTGAAATAGAAGACAGTGCAGGCATTTGAAGAAGGAAACTGTCAACTTCATTCTGTTTAAGAAGAGAAATGTGATGGCTATATGAATCATAGATTAGAAAACATGAGATTGGAAGTAAGTGCAGGAATTAGGAAACTATTACAATAGTCCTGGCACACAGGTTGGGACCGCTGGTTCAGAAGCATTGGCAATAGAAGAGAGATCACAAAAATAAGAGGTAAGAAAAAGATATAAGAGCATAAGAGACAGAGTTTGAGAAGTGTATTAGAGAGAAAAACTGATGGTGACTCAAACCTTAGTAAAGGCAGAGTAGCAGACTTGGAAAAGGCGTTACTGAGGTTACTTCTGGCCTGTGAGAGTGGAACTGGCAGAATGCTTACATTCAGATATTTAAAAGCTAGTTAGGAATCAAGGCTTAAAGATATGAACTTAGGAGTCGTCATCAACTTAAAAGTCAAAATTGAAACTCTGACCTTACGTGATACTATCAAAGGCAAAGTGCTAAGCAAAAGTAGAGAAAGGTGATATTCAAATAGCGGGGAACTTAACATTAAAAAGCAATTACAGGAAGAAGCAACAAAGGCATCTACAAAAGAATATTCTTAAAAGTATGAAAAATTGGATGAATACAGTTATTAAGAAAGGAAAAGGTAGAGGGTGACATTTTATAATTTTATAAACTAAAGTCATGAATATATTCTATAATTTTAAAAAGTAAAGTCATGAATATATCTATTGGGGAGTCACTAGTTCCTTCTAAGAGATCATTATCAGCTGAGTTTTTCCAGACTGTGTGGTGTGTGGGTATATTGTGAAACAACAGTGAAACAGATTCCTGTTTTGAATTACTCAGCAGTAAATGGTAAGTAATTTGGAAGTGAAGTCGAGTCAGGAAAAAGGATATTTTAAAAGCATAGAGAAGTTCGATTCCAAAAGATGTTGTGTCTTAGGCCAAGGAGTAAAGAATGTGTGAATGATAAACTGCAGAAAAATGAAAAAGGAAAGATGACTTTGTGGCAAGAACATCAAGAAAAATATAAGGTGTTGTTGGAAAACATAATTGAAAAGAGTTGGAAGAGTATGCAAAGTGGCATGTTTAAAAATATAGAAATAAAAATAAAAATAAAAAAACATTTTTGAAATACATAGAGTGTGATTGAAGCAATTTATATAAAATGATGTCAATTAATGTTATTCTGGGAGAACAAGAATAATAAAAATTAGATTGGGAACCAAAAAAGTGTGGGAAATATTTGGAATTCCAGCTAGGAAGAATGGAATGGACCTTACTTTGAGATAAATACTAGAATTGGATAACAGCAGGGCTGCCTGGCAAAGGCCATTGATTACATGAATCTTAATCATTCTATAACTTTCTTTCTACTGCAAGCAGATAGAAGGAAGAAAGAATACAATGAAAATCACAAAACACTGTGACTTGGAAGATAAACCATTCTAGGTGAAAATTGGCAATATAAATACTAATCAATTTTAGATCACAATCTCAATTAATATTTGTATTGTAAGTAGACTAATAATGAAAAAATACAGTTAACCCATTCCTTATGACACTAAGTGGTATAAGGAGTTTGTGTTCTCTGTTATATTGTTGACTTTCATAAAATAATGACTGTGATTTGGACAATTCTTTGACACTTTAGGGTAGAAGATACGGTTTCTTCACCTAGTTGTCCAAATCCTCACCTGTTCTAAGATTTTTAAGAAGGAATAATTTTTATATTAATATAAAAATAGCTAAGATCTAACACTACAGGTAGAAACACTGGTTCAACATTGAAATTCTGGGCTTTATATCTAGTTTTGGGTCTTTGTGTAGAACGAAGGTACCAAAAGCCAAATGGTGAAGAACACAGATCTTCAGTCTGCGTGTGTGGGTTCCAGCTTTACCACTTCTTAGTTGCGTGCCTGTGGGGAAATTACTGAAACTCTCAATTTTCTCATCTGTAAAATTGAAATAATTAAACTATCAAACTCAAAAGAGTCAATGAGTTTTCTTAAAAGATTCCATTTAATGAGCAATTCATGGCCCATAGTAAGTACTGAGTAAACATAGACTGTTATTAATACTATTATCATGTATGATGCAGAAATTATATTTACAGCATTATACCTTTAACTTTGACAATTGTCTTGAGACCTGTTATCCTCCATTCCTTTTTATCTCCCATTTACAAAGATATTACCAGAATGTAAATTTCAAGAGAGAAAGAATTTTTGTTCAGTTTTGTTCTCTACTCTGGAATCAGGACTTAAAATGGTACGAGATACATCATAGCCTCTTAATAAATATTTCTGAATAAATTTGTCCCATTTTAGTGTTTTAAATGACATATGGAGATATAATTGGATCAATATGTTTCTCTCCCCTTTAATGTGTTTCATTTTGTTAACAGACACAAGTTTATTATTAATAATTACAGCTAGTCAGTTGTTGGGTTTGTCCTGTTAGTCAGATAAAATAGATAATTATGCTAAGACAGAAAAATGAGGAGACATGACATAAATATTATTTTAACTGTATGGAAAAATACTAATGAAATTGTTTAGTTGGACACATCTTGTTAATGCAAAAGAACATGCCACTTTGCCTCAAAGACAGTAGGGGGGCCGCATGTATAATAGAAGATGCAGAAATAGTTCTAACACAGAAAAACAAATCACTAGAGCATCTGTGTTATCTTGGCTATTCAGAAAAAATCACAGGAGTCATTCTGTACTTGAATGTCATTTATGTTAATATTAAGTAAAAGTGTTCTTAATCTTAATGAATACAGTATTTATAGTGAATGACATTCTTTCCATTCCTCCTCACCTCCCCCAACTACCCTGCCATTTCTCCAAGTGAAATGCTTGCCTTGTCATAGTTAGTCAGGGGAAGAATAGAAAGGCTTGGTGTAAAATTTTAGTGATCTGGATTGATGTATGTTGGAGTAATTATATTCTGCCTGTCTAAAGTTTTTATGCTATTTGAAATGGAAAAAAAATGCTTCTTTGATTTAAAATTTTGAGTAATGTGACTCTGCATAGTTATGTCCTTGTTATGTTCCACTCATTGGTTAAAAAAAAAAAGATTCAGCTATGATTGGCTGAAAAGAATAACTTCGAAAGGCTTTTTTTTTCTTCTTTTCTAGCACAGCAACATTTATCTAAATGACAGGCATAAGACTGCCATCACAATACAGGTTACTGCATTGCCTTTAGCTATTGGATTTTTTTTCCCTTTCCCCTTGGATTGTCTGAGAAGTGAAGCAACCATTTCACTGGAGGAAGTTCATTGGAGGAAGGTGAATTTACACAGAAGGATCAATATTCCATGTAGCAAGTAAATGCGTCATGTGAATCTCACTATAATACCCTACCATCGTGAAATCACCCCTTGTGTGAGCCTTAGGTACACTTTCAAAGTAGGTCCTATCTCTGACGTGTGTTCGTTTTCTCTTTGATGTGCCTACTGTCCTAAGTCACCATAGCTTAAATACCATCCTCAAATTCATCGTTTCTTCTAGAATCTCTCAGCTGATATTTAAACATAAGCTGAAGCAGGGAAGAGAAAATTCACTAATATATGAAACCGAACTGAAGCTTTTTTTTTTCTTTTTCTTTTTTTTTTTTTTTTTTTGAGACGGAGTCTTGCTCTGTCGCCCAGGCTGGAGTGCAGTAGTGCGATCTCAGCTCACTGCAACCTCCGCCTTCCGGGTCCAAGCGATTCTCCTGACTCAGCCTCCCAAGTAGCTGGGATTACAGGCATGCACCACCATGCCCGGCTAATTTTGTATTTTTAGTAGAGATAGAATTTCTCCATGTTGGTCAGGCTGGTCTCGAACTCCTGACCCAGGTGATCTGCCTGCCTTGGCTTCCCAAAGTGCCGGGATTACAGGCGTAAGCCACTGTGCCTGGCCCTGAAGCTATTTTATAATCAGCTTTATTCTTCCTTTAAAAAAGATGACTCACACAAATATAGTGAGAAAACTCTAGTGAGAAATTCCATCTTCTTCCCATCAGCTAGTCTCAGGGTCAACAGGATTCCTAAGTGTGGAGTGTGGGATTACAAATGGTTCATGTCCACAGAGAAATGGCCTTTGGCAACTTGATGAGAGAATAAAAGAAAGGTATAGCTAGATAAAATGTCACAAAATAAATCAGAAACATTTTCTAATTCTCTCTACCCCTGAGTGGGCATTTGTAAGTCGTGGATTACTTTTGGCAGAGAGAAAAGTACTTCACTTCTCAGTGCTACCTCAAAGAAACTATCCTTCTTTACTCTCTACTATTGCCTGACTGGCCTTTGCTCTAAAGCAATGGTTCTGATTCTGGCTACATATTAAAATCTCTAAGAAGCTTTAAAAATTACCAGTATCCTGGACTCAACTTTGAAGATTCTGATTTAATTGGTTTAGACTGGAGCCACACATTGATTCTTTTACTGAGTACACTACATTATGATGATGTACAGCAGATGGTAAGGACTATTGATTACATACAGGTATCTTTTATACCTCACTCTTCACCTAACATCTGTAGTTAAAACTAAAATCATGCCTCATTTTGTGGAAAAAGGAACTCTTACAAAAAAGGACAGTTGGCCTTTTGTATTCGTGGATTCCATATTTGTGGATTCAACCAAGCTTCGGTAAAAAATATTTAGAAAACAAAACAATAAAAGATACAATAATAAGAATGTGAATTTTAAAAACTATACAATATAGCAACTATTCACAGCATTTACATTTTATTCGGTATTATAAGTAATCTAGAGATAATTTAACGCACATGAAAAGGTGTGCATAGGTTATGGGCAAATACTCTGCTGCTTTATATAAGGGACTTGAGCATCTGCAATTTTGATATCTGCAGGGTCCTGGAACCAATCTCTCATGGTTACTGAGGGAGACTGCGTTTAACACTTCTATTACCATCTAATATATGGTATAGTCACTTTCACGTCTGCCCTTGAGCCAACAGTGTTCAGCGTAATAAAGTTTTCCCAAGCCACTCCTACCTACTGCTTTTCTTGCGTGCCTTTTCCAGTTTCCATCACCTCCTTCCCATGGTTCCGTGGTGCTGTGTTGTAACTTCTGTGGTTCCTCAATTTGGATTTGTTCTTTTCACTATGACTTGTATCACTAATGATATGTTTCCACCTGTCTGAGTCCTTGTTTTCTTCTAGGTGTGTGCTTGTAAAAAGCTCAGGCAATTTTACTCTGTGGCCTAAAAGTTTTGATATTACCTAGATTTGATTTACTGATTCTTCAATTAAAGACATCCCAAAAAAATAAGAATTTCAAGCACTTTAGTAGGGACATTAGAAGAGAAATTCTAGCATAGCACAGTACTTCCCAAAATTGGTGTTCCAGAAATCTAGTTCCCCAAATGATCTTAAGTAGATTTAGAAAAATGGTAAAATGGTAAAATAAGTTTGTTAAAGAGTATATTCTATGCCCTTGGTTTGAAGAATTTATCTGTATATTAGCATATTAAAAGCACTGAAAAATCATTTAATAAATAAATTATTTTTACTTTTGTGCATTATTTTCCAAAATTATTTGACCTCATAATTTGTGTTTTTCTCATATAACTCCTCCTATCACATTGAGTATACAATTGCCTACCAATAAAGTCTCTCCTTCTTTTGGAAACTCCTCAAAAAGCTGGGAAGAGATTCTACATACGTAATGCCACTTAAAGCTCACGCATGAAGGGCAACAGTTATGAAAAATGAAAATACTATAGCAAAACTATCATGTATTGAATAGTTATTACACAATTATAACATCCTATTGTAAGGGAGGAATTATTATTCTATCCACTTAGGGTCACCACTGGGGCTTGCAAATTAGACTATAAAAAGATGGATTGGCAGGAGAAAAGGCATTCTTTTTCATTGAATGTTAATACTTTTATTTTTATTTGCACAGATGCCTTCATAGAAAAGAAATGAATATCCAAAGAAATGGTTAAATTTGCAGGCCTCCACACATTGTGGAGAAGTGACAAGATAAAAGAAAAGAAGGTTTGGGCTTCTAGGGGTAATAGTTTGTGGAAAGATAAAATATATGGGGCAAACAAATGGAAGATAAGGATTATTTAGTATGATTAAGTTTGTGCAAACTCATCTTGGTGCCATTTTCACCTCCAGGAAAAAAGGTTGTCTTCCCTTCCTGGTAAGAGAGAAGACAAGACTTTCACAAGGAAAATTTAATTTTTGCTTTTAGAAGATAGGAAAAGAACTGAGAGATTGCTTTTCCACAATTGCTTTCAGCTTAAAATAGTTCTTATGCTAAAGTAGCATATTTTAGGATGGGATATTCTGATTTTATTATTTTGGTTCATTATGTATGTACATGTATATTACATATACATATTTAATATATATCATATATGTATATATCACTGTGTTAAATATCTGCATAATGGATGGAGACACTAAAATATTTCTTTTAGAAATCTCACTTTATCAAATCCTCATTTTATTATAAAGTAGATGTGACTGTAATATATATTTTATAGAAAATGAATCTTAAAGAGATTGAAACACATATCCAAGATAATATAGCTAAAAATCAAGAACTGGAAATCAAAATCCTATCCAATTCTAGGCATATTTCTTTACTACTATGCAAGATTATCTCTTATGGTGCTATGGTTGAAGCACAGGTAGAAAGTTGTACAGTGAGAAAATAGTGGATTTTCTCCTTTTATCTGCATAGCACACTGATTATTTTCTTTATCAATATAAGCAGTTTATCTTATTTTAAATATTAACATATTTTTATTATCACTTGTACTAGAAGCAGATCACTGGCAAGAAAATGAAATAAAATTTAAAGTAAGTGAAATAATTTCTTTGTATTTGTTACAGGTTGACATCAAAGTTGGTTCTAAGGTTTTTTAGTAGGTCATACAAAAATGGAAAATATAATCTATTACATAATACATACCGTCCAAAATATAAAAACAAACAAGTGACTCAACACAGGCAACATTTTTCTTGATACTTTCATCGAAGACTTTTGTTTCTCAAGAATAGTCACAATTAGCACTGTGAACAATGTCCTCACAGTAGTTATAAGTATTTTATCAAGCTTCCTCATATAGACTAAGGGCAAGTTACCAAAACATAATTCAGTAGAAGCAGAGAACCCTGGAAATGTGGTGGTAGTAGTGACGGCGGGGGCAGAATGGGAAGGTTGCAAAAGCAATTCCATGCAATCCAGATGTACAGTGATTTATTGGTCTACAAAGGTCAAGCGTAGATTATTTTAGAGTGTCTAGAGAAATTTTAGAGAATCTAGAGAAATTATTTATTGTAATATATTCAAGAAATCTTTCATAAATATTTTATCTTAATACAATGAAGACTTTGATAGCTATTGAGCAGCAATGAGTGCTAGATTATATCACTAGAATATTCTTGGACCATCTATCATCCAACAGACAAAATCTCGTCATCGAGGATTTTTTTTTCTTTAGGTATTTTGGTTGCCTCCTTTAGCTCTCTCCCCTGAACTAACCTCTCTGTATAAATATATATTAAAATTATATTAAAAATCAAAAGGAAAAGTAACACCCCTCTGCCCAAATATTTCCTGAAGAATCAAGATAGCTCTAATACATTTGCAGCCAAAAACAGTCATTTTAAGGTTATTTGCTATAGTGTTCATCTTTTGTTCTTGTTTGTTTTCTTGCAAAAAAAAGTGGAAAGGAATTAGGTAGTAATAAGGGAGGTTGTGGTACAGTCATCAATCACCCTCTTGGAACTGCTCCAAAACCTCCATCTGCATCAACTCGAGAAAGAATGCTGAGATCTTTTTTGTCCATTTACCATATGGTCTGGTCTATCTAACGACACCCACGTGGTTTAAACAAAGGAATGATCATTGTAATTCCTCCCATGATATCAACGTGACCACTTATTCTGGCATATGGCTATAGATCCTATACTTGGTATAAGCTTAACAGGAGAGTCATCTTCCTCCATTAGCCCTGACACTTTCATTTCCATGTGTAGAATTGGTTCAATTCAGTCACTGAACTTAAGCAATTATTAATACATAATTTAAAGAGGGAATTGCTGAATTAAAACAGGAAAGGCTGCCCATTACAGTCGTCATTCAGTCTTGTAGGATTTGTGTAAGAAGGCAAGTTTTGGGGGCTCAAAGATCTAAAGTCTTTACTTTTTACTTTCTCTATGGGTTATCTATGTGATGGATATTTTTGCTCCAATTCTGCCAGGGCCCATTAGGGTATGTGTATGTGTGTGTGTGTGTGTGTGTGTGTGTGTGTGTGTGTGTGTGTGTGTGTGTGTGTGTGTGTTGCAGGGGTAGGGGAGAGAGGAAGAATGAGTTGATATATATCTTGCCTCTTTTCACCTAGAAATTTTAAAACTTGCCAGCCTTTCTTTTACAGGGACATACAGCTAAAAGTTTTCTGGCTTTCTTATTTTTTTTTCCCCATTAAATACTGAGAAGAGTGATATAAGGTTGGGTCATTTTGTGTTACTTGGGTTTTTTATATCTGCAAATCCCTGCCACAGGTGTCCAAAGAATGTTAAAGATGAATCACCCTTCCTTGAGAAAGTTTTAATGCTTTTCAAAATTTTTAAATTATTTGTTACTCTTATTGTTTTTTAGATAACTTGAATACTGTGTAGGAGTAAGAGCAAATGAATAGGACAGAAGAGAAATAGATGGCCAGAAGATGTTAGGTATTTGAAAATGATAGCATGTGTTAATATTGCTGGTGATGCAATCATGTCATCAAGTGGCTGGGTTTGAGTGGAGAAAATAATTTTTATTTCTAAGAAGGTCAAGAGATCGAATTTTTAGGCCATGTGGTTTGATGTTGAAGTCTCTAAGAATGATGGCAGAATTGTATGAAAAGAAAGACATTTATCCAGGTGAATGAGAATGCTATGGTTTAAATGTATCCCTCAAATTTCTTGTGTTGGAAACTTAATCTTCAATGTCATAGTGTTAGGAGGTGAGTCTTAATAAGAGGTGATTAGGTCATGAGGGCTCAGCCCTCATGAATTGATTCATATTCATTATTGAGGGAAAGGGCTCACCAAGCTTATCACCAAGTGGTTTTGTTATAAAAGTAAGTTTAGTCCCCTTTTGCCCTCTTGCTTTCACCCTCTCTTGCTTTTCTACCTTTTGAAATCTGATTTTGAAATGGGATGACACAGCACAAAGACATTCACTCAATTTTTTGTCTTTCCAGCCTCCAAAAATGTAACTCGAATATATTTCTGTTCATTATAATTCACCCAGTCTTTGCTATTCTGTTATAGCAACACAAAACAGACTAAGTGTATTAGTCTGTTCTCATGCTGCTAATAAAGACATAACCAAGGCTGTGTAATTTATAATGAATGGAACTATATTGTGAGGGTGGCAGGCCTCACAATCACAGCAGAAAGCGGAGGCGAAGCAAAGGCGTGTCTTACGAGGTGGCAGGCAAGAGGGCGTGTGTAGGGGAACTCTCCTTTATAAAACCATCGGATCTCATCAGACTTATTTACTATCACAAGAACAGCATGGGAAAGACCTGCCCCCATGATTCGAATACTTCCCGTTGGGTCCCTCCATGACAGGGAATTATGGGAACTACAATTCAAGATGAGATTTGGGTGGGGACACAGCCAAACCATATCACTAAGGTAAGGGAGAAGGCAGAGGAATGACAAAAACAAGGAACAGTAATCTGATAATATGTGGGAGAAGAAACTAGAGTTTGTGAAAAGAGAAGAAGGAGAATTAATTGGACATAAAAATGAGTACCATAAAACTCCTTAGCCTAAGCTTTGAGGTGCATGACATGAGTGTGAAAGGGAACAGAAACCATGGAAATCTGGGGCTTCAGGAGATAGCCCCATTTCAGCTATAAAATAAACGTTTAAAGAAGAGTTTCATGGTATAGAAAAATCTGTTCATTATAGACTTTGAATCACAAAGGGCAGCATAAAAAGGGTTTGGAGAGAAAAGGTAAGAATAGGAGACAGGTCGTAGAATATGTTTGGAGCCACATGGGAATAAATGTCTGTGTGATGACTGAAGATCTAGAATGCTTGGACTTTGTATGAAGACTAGGGTGAAAGAAGAGGTTATTAACAATGCAATTGACCTCTGAACTCAGCTTTTAATAAAAGCAAGAAGAAACAAGATTTTATTGTAGTGGGTTGATCTTTCAGACTGAAAGTGTAGGGATATTTGCAAATACATAAGAAGCAACATCCGTGGTAAGTAATAAGAGTCACAACCACTATTCTTCCCAGTTATTGTAGCAAAGACCTACAGTTGCTCTGTAAATTCTCAGTAAATTTACTAGATCCATCTAATTCTACTACTGATTAATGCATAGATTTTTTTAAAAACAGTGCCATCACAACCACACAGAATAAAAACATTTAAAATATTTTTGCATAAAATATTTTATTAATCCTTACAATAGGCCTTGATATCGAACACTACAATTTTAATTTTTCAGTGAAGTAGCTGTGACTCTTTGATATTAAGGTTGTCTGCAGCTGAAACATCACAAATCTAGAAATCTATTCCAGATTTTGCCAGCTTCAAAACTAATGATCTTTCCAACCTTTCCAAGTTGATTCCTGCTTTATGGCCAGAATCAATTTGTAATGAAATACATTTGTCACGTTACTATGGTAGTTCTCGATCTGTCATCCTGAGACCAGCACTACCAGCTTTTGCTGTGCACTTGTTAAAAAGGTACATTCTCTGTTTGCTCTGACCAACAAAATCAGGTAATCTCAGCATAAGATTCAGAAATATACATTTAAATAAGCCCTTTGATTTTGATGTATGCTAAATTTTGGGAACGACTGCTTTACTCATAAATCATCAAAGAACAAATAGGACATGTTATTAACACCAAATCTTCCCTTTTTGTGTAACTATAGTATTTGAGCAATTGTTCACTGTAATAACAACATGTTTTTCCCTGCAATTCTGAATTTGAACTTCGCAGTAAAATCTTGTGAGTGACGTTGTTTGGGAAATGGTCCCTCAACTTTATATATCTGCATCGGAAACACCCTATCCCTCAAAGATCTATCCAACCAGGGGTAGGGTCTTAAAGAATCACAAGTTGACTACATCTTTGGTGACTGTATCAGGTCTTTCTCGTGATATTTCATTTGTTCTTTGACCTCTATTTTCAAGTTATTTTATCTTTCATGCCTCCAACAGACTTAGATCTGTTTCTAGGTTTCTCTCTCCCTTAAGGAGACGTGTATCCAAGGCTACAGTTTATTTCAGCAACGAGCCTCAGGAAATCTTAGCAGAGAAAGGTCATCACGTCATTACCTGCTATCAGATATTGGTGTGCTGATATGAAAGTTTAGGCACAAACTTGATAAGCACTGATATTACTGGAAAACACTCTCTAGCAGATAGCAGTGAGCAAATTTATTCTGTGAAATAACTTCCCCGAAATAGGGTTTTAAAGGTTCTTACCTGACTGGCCAAACAGTTTTAAAAATGACACTGTGCCTAGCATAGGGTAAACAAAGGATATGAATTGACTAAATGAATCTCTGAACACATTTCCAGAATCAGGAATTCAGATCACATTCTGAGGAAAGAAGGCACAAGGCTAATACATCCTATGATAACAGGTTGATATGGAGATGCAAACAATGTTTTAAAGTAGTAATCATATTTAAAAATTATTGTTAATCAAAAATAATTTTTCAAATAATCAGCACGCAACAAATGTTTTGTTCATTGCTAATAAAAATTAAGAATACATTCTTAGAAAGTATTGCTTTCATTTTCAGATCAAGGTATTGAAAATTATGTTAAGTTACTAGGATGTCCATTCATTGCTTACATCCACAAAGGTACAAAGATTCTGCATTTATGTGTACATAGCACATGAGCATAGATATCCAGTAACCATTTTGTGTGCACCTGTGATAACTGTTTTATACAAGAATGTAGCCAAAATCATTTCCATAATTATGCAAATATAAATTCATTATTTGGGCCCTTGTTTTCAAGTATTTCCTAAGAGAGTAGCCTTGGTTTGTAAAGAAATTTGCGTGGTGAGAAAGAATATTTGAAAAACACAGAAACAGAGGTAAACGGAAAAACATTAGAAGCAATAACGATATACAAACTTAGTTATTAGAATATAATTGAAGACTAGAAGGCTCTCTTGATTTCCCCAAAATTACCTGACATAGTTTGAATACACAAATAACTAATGAAGGTAAATGTACTTTTGCGAATAGTTTTCATCTCTGCTCTGCCCTCCGTATAATTATTCTGGGCCACAGTTTCTTCACTTGTAAAATGGAGAAGCAATAAAATAGCCATGTGCACAAAGTGCTGGTTTCTAATTTAGTTTTGGGGATCTTGTGGAAAACACATACTGAACTTTTCTTCTTATAGAAGAAAATGTAGACCTTTTTTGAATTGAAAAATAAGTTTGTGATATCTGTCTGAGAGCTTATAATATCTACAAGCCCCCAAACTGGAAAAAGATATGCATCGTCCACATCCAACAAGGGTTATTATGAAGTACCTTCTGTGTGAGCACTGGCCTCGGACTTTCATCTAGAAAAGGAGTCAGAAAACTATTGTTGATCCTGATCACAGACTTAGTAACTAGCACTGTACTAAGTATTCTCCCATGCATTACTTCATTCAACATTATCTATCAGATGCAAAGAAAGTAATTCATTTGAAACTACAGTGTAGCTGTCAATATTAAGCAAATGCTGTATACTTTATTGTTTCCTCATAAATTTCCATGGTGAAAAAAATGAATAAGTTCCTTAGGAAAAGATAATTCAAAGCACTTTGCAACTACACGGTGTTATTATTAATTATCTACCTTTTTATAAACCTAGTCCCAAGTGATACTGAAGGAGGCAAACTATATTGGAACATAAATCCTTTTTATTCATAGATGATCAAACTTCCCAAAAGATTCTCTAATCTCTACCACCTTTTCAGCTTCCAAAACCCCCTCTTCAAGCCTCCACCACTCTGAATAGGCACTGAAAACTTTCAGGGAGTAAGGGAGTTGCTAAGAATAGTAGCAATATTTTGAATGTTGGTGATAATAACAACTGCTGACTATATTTACTATATTTATTATAGTCCAGGTCTATTCAAATTAAATGTTTTGTATTAAATATCTCATTTAATCACCATATTAAAATAGATGGCATAGCTATTAAGCCCATTTTATGGATGAAATGATAGAATTTCATAAAGTTTAAATAATTGGCAAAAGACACAGACAATAAATGGAGGTGTCTGGATACAATCTCACACCTTCTGGCTGGGAGTTTGAGCCTTTGCGTCTGTCTCCTGAGGCCTTTTAAACATTTTTTTTCACCCTTAAAATATTGGATGAATCATAATATTCTTCCTCTTTAATAGAGTTCTGTATTTCTAAATTACAACTTCTTTGTAGTCATCAGGAAGCTAACTTTCTCCTGTCCTAGAAACATTAACGGAGCTGTTAACTAATTTAAAATAAGCATGGATATCAAGTAAACATTATGTGTGCACCTTGGGGTAACTGTTTTATAAAAGAATGTAGCAAAAAAAAAATCATTTCCATAATTATATATGCAAGTATAAATTCATTATTTGGGCCCTTGTTTTTAAATATTTCCTAAGAGAGTAGCATAAGTTTGTAAAGAAATTTGCATGGTTGGAAAGAATATTTGAAAAGTACAGAAATAGAGGCAAACTGAAAAATGAATTAGAAAAAATAATGATATAACAACTTAGTTATTAGAATGTAATTGATTCCAAGAAACATGCTTGAAACCTGGGTAAGTGGAGCTCATCTGGGGAATCTGTTACTAAAACTCACTTGGGCAACATAACCAACATTGAATAGAATTTCTGACTTGCCTCAGAGAACGTGATGTCTTCTCTCACTTACCAATTGTAAATTTCTTACTAAAATTGATAGCTTAAAAATAATTTACTGTTTTATTCCATCACATAATGGAATATTTAAATTTCAGGGCAGTCTTGACTTTTTAAGTTAAGAAATAACTTTGTGGTATCCGTCTGAGAGCTTAGAATATCTATAAGTCCCCAAACTGGGAGAAGGTATGTGTCCTCCACACCCATCAGGAGTTGTTGGTAAGTAGCTTCTGTGTGAGGTGAGTGAGTGAGTGAGGCATAGGTAATTATGTATACCTTTTGAAATAACAGTTGCTAATAATTTATCCAGGTTCTTAGTATCAACCTCAAGCTCTGAATAGATATTAGTAAATCTATGATCCCTGATCCAGTCAGCCATTCAATTTTTGTTGTTGTTTTGCTTTATAAATATTTTTTTCATAGTTTCCACTCTACTTCTTTTCCTTCATTACTGAATGCCAAACTTAATTCAGAATTCCATACAATTTCTTTTTAAAATACCATCAAAGACTAATTATCTGGAACGTGAGCTTTTATGGTCACACAGCACCGTAAAAATTAAGTTCACTGAAAAGTGTGACTGAAGTTAGACTGAGTTTTACTGCAGCATTGCTGGATAAATGAATATTGAATGGAAATTTGCATAGGGAGAGAGATGTCATTTTCAGAAATTAGAGTTTTAAAATATGAAGCTTATTTTAAGGGAAGGATTATTTGTAGGTTTTGTGGTCATCAAGGGTACTGTTGCTTTTACTCTATCAATTAAAAACATGTCTATTCTTCAAGACGCATATAAGTTAAACTTCCAGAACCCTTCCCTAATCACATTAGCCATAATGATTTCTCTCCCTAATAAAATAAACTCTAGTGCGACTCTCTGAGTCACATGGATAAGTAGTATGTATATGCTTCTTTATTCCATTTATTTAAGTCTCATTTAATCAACAGAATTATAATTGCTTCAAGGGCAGAGATCAGGCTTTATTTGGTTTTTCATATTCCTCCAGATGTTTAGACCAAGTGTCTGCCATATAAAAACTTCGTTGAAGGATTCACTGAATCAAACACCATGTTATTACTCAATTTGATAGCTGGATGCCCAGTGAGCAGTGAGAGATAGGGCCCTAAAGAGGAAAAAGATTTGTTTCTTAAGAGAACTGGACAAACAATTTGAGTCAATTCAGATCAAAGAGCATTTATTACCCAGACCACTGCCGGCCACATTGATCTCTTCTTTCTTTGAACTTCTGAGCACTCTTGTCTCTAACACTCAACAGAATGTTCAGTCATATACCCCCTTCTATTATGATTTGCTTGTTCTGAGTATGTTGGTCCTATTTCCTCTTTATTAGGTTGTGTTAAGTTGAACCAAATGATAATTCAACCATTTTGATGTACACAAATTGCAATATTGTGTAGTTCTGTATAAAATATGCTTTAGAGCAGGCTCTATATTTTGTTTACCAACCTTTTCCAGCTTAAGAGATTGGTGTAAAAAAAAAAAAGTTCTAAATACTTAATTGACTTCAACACAAAACAAGGGTCAAAGTGTGATAGAAATTATGCTTTATGATAAATAGTTTAAATGCCTTAATATGTATTAAGTTATGAATGCTTTATTGCTTTGTGCATTCAAAAATATATATGTATATAAACATTTTTCATTATTATTACATCTATGTCTCTATGTGATAATTAGCTTTGTTAAAAATGGAAGAATCTGGCATAGTTCATAAAATCTGAATATGTGGGATCTTATAACAAGTAAAAAAGTGCACATTCTCTCAGCCAAAGTGTGGAATTTAGTCATACTACAGTAGGTTTGATTCCAGGAAGTCTGCCATCTGAGCCAGGCAAGTCAGCGAACAAACTCCTTGGAGCATATGGTCTGTCCAATGTTCAATGATTTTCTGGAATGGAGATTTCACTTGCTGTGCTGATAATCTATTTTAGTGTCTAATTTCCCCGACCATCAAGAAATTTCTCTTTATGTCTAGCAGAAATGTCTTAGTAAGATTTAAGTCCATTTTTTCTTATTTAGCCCTCTGTAAAGCTATGTCACTATTGATCAACTCTTTCCGCCTCTCCCTTTGCTGCCTGAATGGTGAGAAGATTTAGGAACTGCCTTCTAGTTAACAAGCACTAAGGAACCTGCCTGTACCATCTGTGCTCATCTAATACCTGCTTTAAAGAAATTTTAGTTTAAGAGAAAGAAAATGGGGGTTGTGTTTCAAAGCGATAGAAATAAAAATACCTATGTATTTGGTTCAAAATATTGGCCTTAGAAAGAATTGTTATTATAATTAGTGTCAATGGTGATAGACAACCTTTTTGCAACTGTCTCTGAGAAACGTCTGTGAAATATGTCCCAAAAACAGTCTGGTTACTGACTAACTGTCAAACACAGACTCAAATACCTGTAGCCCTTAAATATAATATTCTGCCTCATGAGCACTTGTGCTTTCTCTCTGAAATCTGTCAAACAACCTTCTACTCATTTCCTTCTTCCCCTTCGGTCTTCCTGACCCGACATGACATATCATTAAGGAATGGTTTAAGACTTCTCCATGAGAACTCTTCACTCTTTTCTAATCTCCTTCTGCATTTGTAATTCAAGCTCCAGAATTTACATTAGCTGCAGGTTTAGTTTTTTTTTTTTTTTTTTTGACTTACATGATTTAATCTCCTCTCCCCAGTTGTACTATAAAATCCTTAAGGGCAACAATGCACATTAATTGATTAATAGTCCCTGCCAAAGCCATTCTTCTTTTAGGTTCTTTAAAGGCAAAAAAAAAAAAAAAAAACAGAGTAAGTTCTGTATCGTAAAACAGACACATCAGAAATCATTGGTGATTTGGACTTAATATTATGAAACCAGCTGGACTTCTTCTAGACATACCACTGTTTGCTACTGGCCTCTCTTAACTCAACATTTTGAGCTGCTGATTTGTATCATCTAATTTGGCTAAGCAGCAGAGAGCCAATGATGGCATCCTAGATATGCCACCACAAGTTAGGCAATAAACAATGAAAAATGTTGAGTCTCTAAAGCCTGCCTCAGTCACACAGTTAACATGTTTTAAAACCCACCTTAACCAAACAGTGAGCATATTTTTTCGACATTTTCAGTATACCAAGGGAGAGTTTTTCTCCAACTAGCTATGGCTGTGCACCCAAACTTCCCTGTTTTAATTCATTTTTCAACCAAAATCTACAAAGTGTTCTATATGACAGTATCAAAAAATAGAGATACATTAGAGTGAGGATGTTAGGAGCAAGGGCTTCTGATCCAAACCATGGAGATCAGCTGTATTGCTTACTCACATTATGGACTTGGGCAGATTACTTAGTCTTTCTGAGCCTCGGTTTTCTTATCTCTAAAATGGGAATGATAATAACAACTGGGTTGTAAAAGTAAACTTTAATATATGTTAAGAAGTTACAATAATATGTGGTACTTAGCAAGTAGTATGTAAGCATTAGCTTTTACTTATCTATTGGCAGTACTATAGTATTATTACATTTTAGTAATATTACTTTGTTTTATTAAATACATTACATTAAAATATTTTAAAACAGACTTAAAAGACTCAGTGTATGCCCTGTGGGATAATTGGCCTGTATAACACAATGGACTGATTGAATATAAAGGGAACGTAGACAAAGTTCAATAGAGGCAGTGTAAGGAGTGCCTCAGTTGCTGAGGGAGTCAAGGGAGCTTCATAGAAAAGGGGACTTTGGAAGGAGGAAACATTTTTCACATTCAAAGTAAAAGGAAGCAATTTCTAGGCAGAGAGAACTTTTGTGCAACAAAATTGTACTAATGACAACACATAGAGCTCAAATAAACCATTGAGAGGCAGTCTCTGGCCTCTGCAAGGTTACATGAGAAGATGAGACACATGACAACCATAGTAATAGACAGAATGTAATGAATTTCATGTGAGTACTGATAACCATGCAATTGTATTTATTCTTTATTATCATTTCTTCCTTTTGTCAACTTTACATTGCAGATATTTCCTCCATTTACAATTTTTAAAGAGTTAGTTAGTGGCAGAATGAGAGCTATTCAACAGAAATTTATCTATGAACTTTGTGAAATTTACAGCAAAGTATGCTTATTTAAACAGGAATCTTGAAACTTTATTGAAGAGCCATTTCAGACATACACTAATGGAAGAGTAGATTTTGTAAGAGGAAAATTAAGGTTTGAGTGGTGGTGTTAGGTGCACAGTCCCCAAAAGCAGTACTTTGAAAAAGCTTCCAAGGCTGAGAATCATTTTATTTAAGTGAACTTGTCTTCTTTTCTCCTAAATGCAACAAATCTGGAGTGGTTGTTTACGGTGGTTACTATATCATGCTTAATAAACATTATTTTTAATCATGATTAATAAACATTAATCACTCTAGTAGGAATTGCTAGTTTGAAGATTATGCCTGAAGTGTTTGCTTTATATATTCCTGTAAATAATCAAGATAGAAAAAGAAATAATATTTTTTAAAAAGAAAGGGGGTCAGCAAAATTTGGAGAAACAGGTGTGTTATTTTTCTACCAATTATCTCAACCCTATTGACCTTTCTTCATTTTATCTATTCTGGTCCATTCTGTTTGCTTTTCATTCTCTGCTTGGATGTGTTTTTATTTCTGCTCTTTTGTTGGCTTTTGTCTCTTATACCACTGAAGTTCAGAGCTTCCTGACTGTTTCTCCCACCCCTCTACAGGAGACTGAGTCCTCATACACAGAACTAAGTGAAAATACTAACCAAGTTTTCCAAATAGCTTAAACAAATGCATTTACACATATGAACCATTCATAGATTGCTTCTGTTTTCTACTTTACTTGTAGCATCTGTCCTGTGAATATTGTCAGTCACATTCCAGCCAACATCGTAATTATGCCCAAGAACATTCACTCCATTCAGGCAAACAATCAATTTAACCGACTTCTTCCCCTACTGACTTGACTGGTCAATGGGAGTGACAAGAATATTTGCCTCAGAATTTTATATAAACTGTCTTCGAATTTGTGTTTTTAAATCATGGCTTAGGCCACTTCTCTAATGCTTGTGCATCTGGTGCAGTTATTAAAGACTCTCTCTAAGAATGAGTGGCAGAGCAGCTTTAAAACAATTACAGGCATTTAAAAAGTAATTACCAGAGAATTCCACTGCAAATGAAATATCTATTTTGACTACCATGAACAACTCTGTACAAACATTTCCCCCCCTCTCTGTCATAGGTGTGGCTATCCATTTCACAGAAGATTTAATTACAAATTTGTCTTCCTTATCTTCTGGGCTCACACAGCTGCCTGAGAAAAACAGAAAGATTGCAGGTAGTGGTGGCAGAAGGGTTTGAGTATAGACAAGCAGAAAGTAAAAATTTAAAGTTAGGGGGAATTTTTTATTTTTATTAGACATAGATGATGTCTTGTAACCATTAACTTATAAGTGTATTAACAATTCATTAATAACCAATATATCCTCAGAGAAAAAGTTGATACATCAAAACATAAAGCTATTCCTTTTGTTGCTGTATATAAGTGTGTGTTTGTTTTCATTTTCTTTTTTCTTATTGAAGTAGGTTATACTACCTTTCAGTACATCTCCTATAAATATGGGCACATATGTATAATATATCTGATTTATTTGCTGTTAAATATTAAATTCCATACTTCATACTATACTTTTGTGGAAGTTAAATTAAGGCATAGGATACTACACACTTCTTTAATTTATTTGAACGCCCTTCTCTAAGAATCCTAGAAGCCTCTTAGCCTGTGCTGGACAGTAAGGGAACCACTAGCCACATGTTGCTATTAAGTACTTGAAATGTGGCTAGCATAAATTGACAAGTGCTGGAAGTATAAGAAATGCACTGGATTTCAAAGACCTAATTCAAAACAAGACTGCAAAATACCTCATCAGTAATTTTTATATTGATTATCTGTTGAAATGATAACACTTTGGGGCTGGATGCGGTGGCTCACGCCTATAATCCCAGCACTTTGGGAGGCCAAGGCGGGTGGATCACCTGAGGTCACGTGTTCAAGACCAGCCTGACCAACATGGTGAAACCCTGTCTCTACTAAAAATAAAAAATTAGCCAGGCATGGTGGCACATGCCTGTACTACCAGTTACTTGGTAGGCTAAGACAGGAGAATCGCTTGATCCCAGGAGGCAGAGGTTGCAGTGAGCCAAGATTGTGCCACTGCATTCTAGCCTGGGTGACAGAGCAAGACTCCATCTGAAAAAATAAAAATAAAAAAAATACTTTGGATATATTGATTTGAATAAAATATATATTGAAATTAATTTTACTTTCTTTTTTCTACCGATTCAATGTGGCAACTATAAAATTTACAATTTCCTATGTGGCTTGCATTGTATTTCCATTTGATAGCATCAGTCAAGATGAGGAAGGGCTGCATCATGAATTCATAAAGGCGTTGTGAGAAGGAACCATTCATTCTGGAAGATTTTGGCCTTAGAGGAGATGGAAGTTGGCACTTCTGCAGGGAATCAAATTGAATACTGACTGCATTCTTAATTATTCTTAGAGTTAGATGCTACTTAAGTCCACAATGGTGTCCACTGACTAAATTTTTGGCAGAAAAATTCCACCATTTCAGCTACAGAATAAAATATTGAATCCATCAAAGAGAACATTTAGTTGGAGGGAACAGAGGAGGAAGGGTAGAAGAAACAGTAAAGAAAGCTAAAACATCAACAGAAGTTAACCATTAAATACAGAAAGCAAACAATTTCCTAGTTTGGTACAATTTAAGTATAGAAAAGACAGCTAAATAATTTGACAAATTACGTACTTAAAGCCAAGAAGAAATCTAGATTTCCATTTATTTCCCCCGTCAGTGACCCATGAGATGTTTATGTGGTTTAGCATAAACTAGTATTTTGTTCCTGTAGTAAAATTTGGGGAAATTTTACTATTTTGTAAGATTTTCCCCCCATTTGTCCTTACTAATAAAAATCATTTCAACTGCTATGTTGCTATGTTTTTCTTCTTTCCCCCTTGATATAGTTTGGATATTTCTCCTTGCCCAAATCTTGCATTGAAATGTAGTCTCTAACCTTGGAGATAGGTGTCTGATGGGAGGTGTTTGGGTCATGGGAGAGGATCCCTCATGGCTTGGTGCTGTCCTTGCAATACCAAGTGAGTACCCTGAAACCTGGTTGCTTGAGTGTGTCTCACCTCCCACTCCACTCTCTCTTGCTCCTGCTTCCACCATGTGATATGCAAGCTTCCACTTTGTCTTCTGTCATGAGTAAGAGCTCCCTGAGGCCCTCCAGAAGATGCTGGCACCATGCATGTACAGCCTTCACAACTGTGACCCAGTTAAACCTCTTTTCTTTGTAAATTATCCAGTCTCAGGTATTTCTTTATAGCAATGCAAGAACAGCCTATCACACACCTTTGGGCAGGCTAGTACTATACTCTTTGAGAATAAATTTTTCAGCAATGAATTATCTTAGTACAATAGCTAATGACTTATGAGAGAGAGTTTAGCATCACATAATACAGTAAAAAGTAATTGTAAAGTGGAAGACTAATGCCAAATATAAAAGATAGTTTGCTCTAATAATCACAGAAATGTATTTTATAATATCTCATCAAAACTAGGCAGAAAATTACCATATCCAATCAGTCAAATTGAAAGCCTGGCTCCTGTCTAAAAATTCCTTGTTTGGGGACCGCCTTCCATTCTTCTGAAACATGCAGGAGCATGCTTGTCATGAAAATGTAATGCTTCTCCTTGAAATGCTAATTCTTTTTGCCACTTTATCATCCCAGTGATCCTTCTAATGGATGTTTCGTTAAAATAATGGCATTCTTTGTGGTGTTTGGAGAGATGAACTCTTCTGAAATGGATAAAACTCTAAATCATTTCCAAATATCACAACACTGTGCTACAAGTCAGGCAATGGCACATGTGGTCAATTTATGCAGGAAAACAATCAATAAGCAGGACTATTAATGCTTCTGTAGGTCTAGTATGGATCACCAGACCTGGATTACATATGGATTCTAATATTTTATGATCAAAATAAATTCAATAAGCAATAGTTTCACATGATTCGTAGGGAGATTTTTTTTTACATTTATTTTCATGTATTTAACTTACCATTAGCAGTTTATTGTAAATGATACAACTGAGGAATAGCCAAATGGAAGAGATGCAAAGTATAGTCAAAGAATGGGAGTAAGGAAGAAGTGTGGAACTTCTACGACCTCCGTGAGCACACCATCCTTGCAGTATCTTGATGTGTTCGTAAATCCAAAAACTCTAGAACATCTTTAACATCTTTAAGCATAGCACTTGCTTATATTATGACATTTTAAATGTATGCTCATATGATTAATGTATTTTAATTAATTTTTTAATCAGAATCTGTCACTAACTTCCATACATCTGCACTACGTACAGCTTCAACCTACATTTTGATTAACAGATAGTCAGTGTAACCTCTGAGTGCCTAAATTTCTGGACTGGTCCTTTTCCTTTCAGAAGGTATATGCCTCTTGCCTTTTATCCTGAAATATTACTTCTCTTTTTTTTTATTACTATACTTTAAGTTTTAGGGTACATGTGCACAACGTGCAGGTTTGTTACATATGTATACATGTGCCTTGTTGGTGTGCTGCACCCACCAACTCGTCATTTAGCATTAGGTATATCTCCTAATGCTATCCCTCCCCCCTCCCCCCCACCCCACAACAGTCCCCGGTGTGTGATGTTCCTCTTCCTGTGTCCATGTGTTCTCATTGTTCAATTCCCACCTATGAGTGAGAACATGTGGAGTTTGGTTTTTTGTCCTTGCGATAGTTTGCTGAGACTGATGGTTTCCAGCTTCATCCATGTCCCTACAAAGGACATGAACTCATCACTTTTTATGGCTGCATAGTATTCCATGGTGTATATGTGCCACATTTTCTTAATCCAGTCTATTGTTGTTGGACATTTGGGTTGGTTCCAAGTCTTCGCTGTTGTGAATAGTGCCACAATAAACATACGTGTGCATGTGTCTTTATAGCAGCATGATTTATAATCCGTTGGGTATATAGCCAGTAATGGGATGGCTGGGTCAAATGGTATTTCTACTTCTAGATCCCTGAGGAATCGCCACATCGACTTCCACAGTGGTTGAACTAGTTTACAGTCCCACCAACAGTGTAAAAGTGTTCCTATTTCTCCACATCCTCTCCAGCACCTGTTGTTTCCTGACTTTTTAACGATTGCCATTCTAACTGGTGTGAGATGGTATCTCATTGTGGTTTTGATTTGCATTTCTCTGATGGCCAGTGATGATGAGCACTTTTTCATGTGCTTTTTGGCTGCAAAAATGTCTTCTTTTGAGAAGTGTCTGTTCATGTCCTTCGCCCACTTTTTGATGGGGTTGTTTGTTTTTTTCTTATAAATTAGTTTGAGTTCATTGTAGATTCTGGATATTAGCCCTTTGCCAGGTGAGTAGATTGCAAAAATTTTCTCCCATTCTGTAGGTTGCCTGCTCACTCTGATGGTAGTTTCTTTTGCTGTGCAGAAGCTCTTTAGTTTAATTAGATCCCATTTATCAATTTTGGCTCTTGTTGCCATTGCTTTTGGTGTTTTAGACATGAAGTCCTTGCCTGTGCCTATGTCCTGAATGGTATTGCCTAGGTTTTCTTCTAGGGTTTCTAGGAATCCAATTTACAAGGGATGCGGAGGACCTCTTCAAGGAGAACTACAAACCACTGCTCAATGAAATAAAAGCTGATACAAACAAATGGAAGAACATTCCATGCTCATGGATAGGAAGAACCAATATCGTGAAAATGGCCATACTGCCCAAGGTAATTTATAGATTCAATGCCATCCCCATCAAGCTACCAATGACTTTCTTCACAGAATTGGAAAAAACTACTTTAAAGTTTATATGGAACCAAAAAAGAGACTGCATTGCCAAGTCAATCCTAAGCCAAAAGAACAAAGCTGGAGGCATCACGCTACCTGACTTCAAACTATACTACAAGGCTACAGTAACCAAAACAGCATGGTACTGGTACCAAAACAGAGATATAGACCAATGGAACAGAACAGAGCCCTCAGAAATAATGCCACACATCTACAACTATCTGATCTTTGACAAACATGACAAAAACAAGCAATGGGGAAAGGATTCCCTATTTAATAAATGGTGCTGGGAAAACTGGCTAGCCATATGTAGAAAGCTGAAACTGGATCCCTCACTTACATCTTATACAAAAATTAATTCAAGATGGATTAAAGACTTACATGTTAGACCTAAAACCATAAAAACCCTGGAAGAAAACCTAGGAAATATTACTTTTCATGTTGACACTCAACCCAGGAGAGCACACTCCCCCTACTTCATCTCTCTAGTCTGGATTAAAATATCCATCTTTATGCTTTCTTAGAACCCTGTATGGCTCTTCCTACACTGAACTTGAAATGATCATTTTATCTAGCTGTCACTTGAAGTAAGTTTTCCCCATAAAATATGGACCATCTGATTACATCACTAGTACTTATTATACCACCTGGAATATGGAAGGTGCTTAAAATATTATTGAGGTTTTTACAAAGAAGGACTAGCAAAATTAAATAATTGTCTGGGCATGAGATTCTTCCCTCTGTTCTTATTCCTCATGCTTTGTATTGTCCTTCCAATAAAGGGTTCAGAAGTGCATCAGATATACATAACATTCATGCTATGAACATGAGGAGTATGGGAGAGGAGAAAAAACATTACTTAGTGTTGATGGTTTCTCCTGATAAGATAAAACACATAATGAGTATTTAATCCCAGAGTGAACATGGTGAGATGGGAGACACCCATTTGTGATTCCTATAGTTTGCCTCAGTTTCCATGTGTCTCCCAGAATGTGAACATCTTGCTATAACAGTATGTGATTCTACTATTTAACTACACATTTATCTTTCTATCTGGGAGGAAAACCAATTAGAAACCCACTTCACCCATAACAAAATAAATACTTTTCTATTCCAATACATAGGAAATACTGTGTGGTCATAAATATTGAAGAATGGTATTCTGAATCCCAATTTAGCATGTCTTTGTGGGAGATTTAAGGGCTGTTCAAGAGTATTAGACTCTACGAATTTTCTCTGTTGCCTTGTAGTGATTATGTGTGTAAACTTTTCATGTCAGATGGATATGTAGTCAACACCTGGTTCTATTACAGACTAGCAGTTAAATAGAGAAAGTTATATAATCTCTGGCCTCCAGTTCTCTTATCTGCAAAATGGAGATAATGGGGTTGTTGGGAAATTAAATAAAGTATTATTATGGGGAATAGTTCACTCAATAGATTCCACGAAGTACAGGGCTCTGCAATGACAATGCATATAGTTATTAGTATTACTATTTTTATTTCTAATTATTTTGCTGTCCTGTATTTCTGACTTGGTACCCTTGAAACTCACTGAGCAATTCTCTTTTCTCTGGTCATCACTTTTCTGCAAAGCCCCATTATCCCAGAGTGGCAGTAATTTTCTCAGGTCTACTGAACGAAGTACTTTGATAATTATATTTAATTAATTAATTAATTTTGAGACAGAATCTTGCTCTTTTGCCCAGGCTGGAGTGCAGTGGCATGATCTAAGGTCACTGCAACCTCTGCCTCACAGGGTTCAAGCAATTCTCCTGCCTCAGTCTCCCAAGTAGCTGGGACTAGAGGTACACACCACCACACCTGGATAATTTTTCTATTTTTTTAGTAGAGATGGGTTTTTGCCATGTTGGTCAGGCTGGTCTCAAACTCCTGGCCTCAAGTGTTCTACCCACCTCAGTCTCCCAAATTGCTGGGCTTAGAGGTGTGAGCCACTGTGCCTCGCTGATAATTATATTTAAATTCAAAGGGGAAACTTTGATTTTTATAGACATTAAGCATTTCTAACATTTAAAAGAAGTTCCTCTGTATATTCTTTATGTCATATTCTCCATGGAAACTATTTTTATTTTTAAAATGATTTATTTCTAAAATCCTGAAAATAAAGGAATGAATAAAAACCCCATCATTAACTTTCTTATCCATTAACCAACTAGAATATAAAATACATTTCACAATCATGTTGGGATTTGTATACTGTATTGATCTGCAGGAATCTACACAAGAAAAACATTGCTCTATGTTTTCTGGAGGGAGAAAAATGTTACTTGTCACTTAAATTTTTTTTTTTTTTTAGGCAGAGTCTCGTTCTGTCACCAGGCTAGAGTGCAATGGCACAACCTTGGCTCACTGCAACCTCCACCTCCTGGGTTAAAGCAATTCTCCTGCCTCAGCCTCCCGAGTAACTGGGACTACAGGCATGCACAACCATGCTCAGCTAATTTTTGTATTTTTAATAGACACGGGGTTTCACCATGTTGGCCAGGATGGTCTCAATCTCTTGACCTCGTGATCTGCCTGCCTCAGCCTCCCAAAGTGCTGGGATTACAGGCAGCAGCCACGGTGCCCGACCTGTCACTTAAATCTTATATCATTCATCCAATTTTCCACTCTACTTAGAATAAGAACATTAATTTATTTCTCATTTATAAAAGATTAATATGATTTCAAAACTTGAAATTTATGACTAAAAATAATAAATGGAAAAAGTCGTTTCTAGATTTGCATGTTTTCAAATTATAAATTATAATTTTAAAGTTGGGTTATGGCCATTTAGAGAAGAATTGGTCACGTAAAGATGCTGTGTTCAATACTGCTCTAATAAGAGATTTATCTTGGATTCATGTTCCTAAAATTAATGATTAATTAGTTTAATTTAGTATAATACCTCATGGAGGCCCTGTCCTCTGTTCTCAAATTTCTTCTTTTAAACAGCAGCTTTAGCACAGGAAGAGCTATTTAAGATTCAGGTTCACGCAAATTCCCTATAGCAATCATCTTTTATTTGCAATATTTCTAGTGTACACATTAGTTACTTTCCTATTCCAGAGACATTTTGACATCTTAGCATTACCCATTGCTCAACATGTGAAATTAGCATAACATTTTTTTCATATCTTTTTGGGAAAGTCATCTTTCATCTAAAGATCGGGAATAATGAGCATTTAGTTGAATGACATTCTACCTTACAGTCCAAAATGAACCCAATTTGAAGGTCAATTTCTTCCTTTCTTTGTTAATAACAGAATAGCTCATTCAGTTTGTGGGCAGATCACTAATAGAATCTCAATTACAGTCCCTCCAATTGGTTCAAATTAGTAACATCTCATTTGCAAGAATCACCACCTGCAGAGGAGTTGTCAGATGCCTCCATTCATGTTCATCAATTGTGCTGATGACCTGGTATTGCAAGGAAAAAGCAACTCCTGGGTAGATTCACAAGAAGTCTCATTCATCCACGTGCTAATTAAAATAGTTTCTTTAGTTGAACACCAGAAGTATTGAATAAAAATCTGTAAATACAGAGAGTGAAAGCTCCATTTTAAATATTCTTAAGGTACTTACCATTTTTTTATGCATAAAGACATACGGGTACAGTCAATGGGTACATACCCTTACTAAGAAACGCCCACCAGCAAAGATTGTGAACATGTGACTAAGCGGCCATCTATATTGAATCACATATTTTCAATTCTGGATTATGAGCTATATACACAGGCTGGTTGGGAATATTACACAGTGGTTGGAAATACCCATAGCAAGAGTAATAGCTATATTAATTATCAATGTGAAGTATCTTACAAAAGTAAACTGACATTGACGTTGAAACTAGCTGAGGAAGAAAGTAATGCCTATTTTACAAAGTATAGATAAGCAAGTGTTTATCATGTAAACAAGCCATAACTTCCTAGAGACTGGTAAGAATCACTTTCAGAAAAGTGAAGGGTAAGACAAAGTCAAACATCAGTAAATAAGCAAGATTTATGACTTCAGTGGAACCTGATTCCTTGGAAGTTAGTTAGGGAAGATAAGTACAAATAACTGGGAAGTAAAGAGTGCAGAAGGAAGAACAGCTTTTCCATGAATCATTTTCCTACACATCACTGTTCTCCATTGTGTCAATAAATATACTCAAAAATCAAAACATTTGTTTTGCATCTCTACGGAATCAGCCTTGCCTAAGCTAAATGTGGTACCTGGACCAGCAGGAGAGTCTTCACCTGGGAGCTTCTTCAATATCCAGAATCTCAGATCACACCCCAGACTGGCTGACTCAAACATGCAGCTTAACCAGATGCCCACATGATTCACATTCCCATAAAAGCCTGAGAGGCACAGGCCTAAGAAAACATTCAATTATAAAATGAAGTCACATCTGCCTTTTCACCCCCTTGTTTTGCTTATCCTTCTGTCTTCTTAGAATGCCCTCCTAATCATACTTTTAATTCTGGATTGCATCTCTTACATGATGCCTGTATGAACCTATATGAACTTTAATTTACTGCTTCTTCTGCACTAATTTGTATTTATGGAATTTTTTAATTGAGAAAAAATGTGATGTTTATGTACATTTGTATCTTTAGCAGTTGGCACTGTGCTTGTTTTATAATCGGTGATTTATAAAATTTCATGGATTAGAAAATCCAGATGATTTGGAAATCAAGTAATGTAGTCAAATGTACAAATCAGTCACAAATAGATTATGACAAATGAAGAGGTCTACTGTAAAGCCAACTCAATCAACATTGAAATTTAGCAAAATTATATCATAATAATGATAATTGCTTTGTTTTTATTTGCATTACATATACATTACTGTTCACAGGTCTTTCAAATTGGCATATGAACTAACAGCATAATTCTCACAAATTAGACAAAATTTGTATTTATTTACATAATCTGTATTTTGTATATTCAAGATACAAAGAAAATAATACTTTCAAATAGACAAGTAAAGGTATATATGACCAAAATAGAAATTATTTGCACATACTTAAAACATTTTTTTGCTGCCTTTTCTTATTAGGTCTTCTAGGTAACTACTACTGTAGTTATTAGAATGGTGCAAAAGTAATTGTTGTTCTTGCCTTTGAAAGTAATGGCAAAAACGACAATTACTTTTGTGCCAACCTAATAATATCTCTCTTTTGAAATTGCAAAGAAAATGGCTAAATGCTTCAACAGCTGAAAATTTGAAACAAAATAATTTATATGTCTGTTATAAATTTTATTTAAAAGAGTATATAAGCTTATGCACAGAGTATTATAAAATGTCAAATTCCCTCCTGAGAATTTTTTCTCAGGAAAATAAATGTACATTAAGGAAAAATAGTGGCTTAAAAGAAGACATTAGATTAAAAGTGACTTTTATTGTTCTTTTTTTGTTTGAATCTCTACAGTAAACAAGTATTTTTTAATAACATCTTTTAAATGAAATCCAACAAAAAGTATCATCTAAACACCAGGAAATATGCATTAAACTACACATGTACGATAAAGACATAGCTTTGACGTATGGCTACACGGTTTATGAATGTGATTATTTTCTCTCTCTTTAATGACAAATTCAGTCAGATAAATGTCAAATTAGAAAGCACTCTGGCAAACCTTGTTATATGTAACCCGCATGACTTATTTCTACTGTTTTAAATCTACCTGGTTAGATAGGATTCTTATCTTTAGTTTTTAAAATATTTATACGCACAGAGTTAAAAAAATAGAAGAGGACTTATAATGCAAATTCTTGATTTCTCATAGTACTCTTTCCACCAGCCCCAACCCCACTGTTCTGTTTTCATGTTTGATGATTATTGCAATAGTTTTAAACTGAAAGCTTAAACTGCTATTTCCCAATTTAGATTAAAAAACTCCCGCTTATCTCTCACCCCCTCTTTACTCCCCACTCTTTCTCATTTTTTACATAAGGTCTTATATAATCAAAATCTACCTCATGTTCTATTAATTTTTAATAATACTATGTGAGATGAAAATATTAACTTCCTTATATTTCTCTCTAAAGGGTGGAAGAATATGCCAGCCCAAAATATGCCACTTTGGCATAAGGATTATTATCATTATTATTATTATTATTTGAGATGGAGTCTCACACTGTTGCCCGGGCTAGAGTGCCATGGCACAATCTCAGCTCACTGCAACCTCTGCCTCCCAGATTCAAGCTATTCTCTTGCCTCAGCCTCCCTAGTAGCTGGGATTACAGGAAACCGCCACCATGCCCAGCTAATTTTTTGTATTTTTAGTAGAGACGGGGTTTCATCCTGTTGGCCAGGCTGGTCTCGAACTCCTGACCTTGTGATTTGCCTGCCTCTGCCTCCGAAAGTACTGGGATTACAGGCGTGAGCCACCATGCCCGACCAGCATAAGGATGATTTTGACTTGAAGGCAATTGAGATGAAGCAGATATAAGAAACGTTCTCTTCCTTCCCACTATTTGTCTAAAGGCAGGACATATATTTACAAAGGTGTTCTTCCTTGTTCCTCTAGCAGGAAGGACAAAAGTTAATCACCAGGAGACAACTTTAGACTCTTATCAGCCTGGAGCCCACACCTGAGACATCTACATAACAAACTTAACTCACTAGCCTTTGTCTACCACTAGTTTCCGATAAACTTACCTTTTCAGAATTTGCAGCCCCTAGATGCTCAAGGTGTTTTTCCTTTGTCCTGTGACTTCTCTAAAAATGTATGGTTCTTTGTTGGAGATGCTATGTAAGCCAGAGTTCTAAACTGCCTCCTTGAGAGTTATTCATCCCTGAGTTTTCTCCCATGTAGGTATAAAATACATGCGTTAATAATCTTGTGTTTGTTTTTCTCTTGTTAGTCTACCTTTTGTTATAAGAGTTCTAGTTGAGAACTTGGAAGAGGAGAAAAAAAAATACCTTTTCCTCTCCCACAACTTCAAATATCCTTACTCTTTTTCTTCACTAGTTTTTATGAGATTACTGTTTCATTTCCAGAGCATGGTCATATTTACATTTTTTCTACTTATCAAAATTCTTGGAGATTTGTCTATTTTATAAGTATTTGCAAGAACTAGCTTTTGGATTTGTTTATTGTTGCTTTTCATAGCATTCTTCCTTCCTCTTTTTTAGTTGTCTTCTACTGACTATAAAATATATTTTTTCCTTCCAAGTCAATTGTTTTCTTTCTTTGGTTGGCTTATATAGGTTTTGGTCACCCATGTTGCTGGTGATTCTTTGCTAACCATTTATATATAAGAATGAGAACAGTGTTAATAATTTGAAAATTCCGCCACCGCCAACACTAATAATGGAATTCCAGGATCTGTCCTCTTGTTAAATATCCCCTCCTATTAAGAAGATGGTAGAAAATCCATATTTATATACAGAGTTTGATAATGATGTAGGGTTTTTCTTTTCCCTCACATTTCAAGCTGGGGACTTCCGGCTGTCAAAGCCCTTCCCAGGCCCTGCTTAGCCATGTTGGCATGCCTCAGCTCACCTGTGTTATAGCTTGCACCCATGTTCAGCGGTTCCCAAGCTCTTGCAGCGTGCCCGGGGAAGAATGAGGGTACCCTGGACACTGAAGGGTGAGGAGGGCAGAGAAGAATTTTATTGAGCGATGAAACAGTTTTCAGCACAGAGGGGATGTAGTAGTGGCCCCCTACCCAAAGGTGGGAAAGTCCCCCATGTGGCTGGATCCAGAGGCTTTTATGGACTCAGAATGAGGAGTGCATGCTGATTGGTTTGTGAGCATGCAGAAACGGTTAAAGCGAAGACACCACCCAAAGTTGGGCACAATAGTGTAAAAAAAACAGTTAGGAAAGGGTAGGTATATGTATAATAGGTGAAGAGTGGGGACCAATCAGAGGAAAGTGTGCCAAATAGGAAGACAAGTTCTCAATCTGATCGGCGGATTTAACTTGTAGCTCGGCTTTCAGGCTTTAAAATGTCTTCAGCTTGGAGGTGGGATTTCATTGGGGACTTGCCCCATCTGCCTAGGCATTTCGCTGCTTCCTGCTGCTCTCAATAACCACCTCAAGTTTAGCAATTAGAGAGTAGCTATTACACCTCTTACCCCCAAAAGTCTACAATAAAGGGAGTTTTGCTCTTTGATATCCATGCTATCAGTTGGAGTCCTAGTTCTCCACAGTCAGCTAAATATGCTTAATGCATTGTGTTCTGACTTTTGAATAGAAGAAAACACCAAGCTATGGTAGGTCTTAGTGAATTACCCAGGGTATGGGGAGGGATGGTGAGAGGTGGAGGAGGAAAACCCTAGAGAGCATCTGGTTCCATGAGCAGCTTTCCAATGCACTCCCCTTTGTTCAGCATCTTTCTCACCCCATCATCCAGCACTGTGGACACCAACACTGAAATCTTTCTGAAGTTTGTAGCCCTCCTTGCATTATTCTGGCTGCCAAATATTATTAATTTTATTGTTTTTTTATTTAAATATATCATTAACCTTTTATAAACTTTCTGCCTTTTTGAGTGTTGACATATCTTGTATACTCATGGATCTCTCATTATTTTTTCTGCTGTTATGGGCTTTTTTTTTTATTTTCTTTTCATGTCATTGCTTCATATGAGTGAGGTCTAAGAAGAAAGGGAAGACAAATATATGTGCTTGTAAGCCATCTTGAACTGTCTATCTTTATCAGTTATTTGTTCAACTTAATAAAATCACAATTTTATCTTTTAGGTAGTATACATGTATATAAAACTGATGTGTAATATTAGTTAAGAAAAATGGACTATTAAGTTTTATAATTTATATCTAAAGAATCACGTTTGATCCAGTTTATAGGTTAAAATGAATTTTAATCCAGAGTGCTACTAAGAATCTCAGTGAGATCTAGGACTTCATAAAAAATTACCATATCTTAAAATATTATGCCAAAACTAATGATAATCATAATAATTTCTACATAAAAAAATTGGTATGTATTCTCTGAAGTTGAGCTGGGTATGGTTTTCCTTCTGATTCTCCAAGGTTCCTTTTGACATGGATTTTATGTGATCCTTATGCAAATGAAATGCACATGAAAAATATACCCAGCTGAATCTAACACATAATTAAGGATTCTATATTTAGAATATATAGAATATATCAGTAACACTGCCTTGCATGCTTTTACAAAGCAAAGCAATCTATTAAACATTTTACGGGTCTGAGATTACATAATGTTGACATCAATTCCATGTGGTAGGTAAAATATTTACCCTCTTTTTACAAATCAGGAAACTAAGACTCAGACTTGCTAAGGAATCGTATCTGTTAGTTCTCCAGTGGTAGGTACTTTCCAACTCCACAGCTTTGGCATCTATGGGGAGAAAAGACTGAGGGTCTTTTGAAAGCTTTTAAGGCCAGTCTGAATGGACAGAACTGGGACTGTAGAAGCCTGAGGTTGAGCAATGGCAAGCTATGAACCTATCCCTTTCCTGGATGTGGCCATCATCAAGCCAACCCCTGGGAAGGAGAAGGGAGTATTTATCCAAATCTATGGTGTCATCATATAACTGATAACTCATGGCCTAGACATACTATCCCATTGCAGATATATTAAAGTTGAACATAAAACTTTCAGATATATATTTTTTTCTCAGACTGGAGAAACCGCACCCAACCCTGGCCTTCCTGATATAAGGACTGACCCAGATGCACAGACCAGCCAAGAAACAAACCATTCTGAACTATTCTGAGCACACTAACTCTCCCTTCCACACACACTCCCAGAACCCTAGCATTCGCAGCCTTACCTACACTGCCTAGGCTTTCAAAAGCAACAAAAAGTAATTTGGACAGAGATTACCTGTCATATGCAAAAGATGCTTGTCTATATTCTGCTATAGAACATGCCTAGGTTCATCTGGAATGGTGTTTACATGCTCATTCCAGCCACCACCAAGGGGTCTTTGAAAAGAATAATTTTACAAATTTATACTGTCATGACAGGTGCCAAATAATGATTTTATTTTTATAAACGTATGCATTACTGAACATTATATTACTTAGTTTATTTGAAATTAATATTACATTTTCTAAAATGTGTTACTTGTCATATTTTGAAATTAACATGTCTCCATAATGCCTACAAAATTGTATTAATTTTAACTCTTTTATAATAATAGATTTTTCCTAACAAAATCTATTATGCCTTTAAAATATGTATTTAATTATGTGTTGTCCTCTTAGACTTTTATTATTTTATATTGATAAAAAGATTATCATAAATTATATTTGAAATATAGAATACAACTCAGTAATAAAAGGGAATGAACCACTGATACACAAAACAGCTTGGATGGGTCTCAAGAGCATTAGGGTAAATGAAAAAAGCTAATCACAAAAGGTCACATAATACATGATTCCATTTATAGAACATTATTGAAATGGCAAAATCATAGGGATGGAAAACAGATTAGCAGTTGCCATGATCTACGGATGCTGAGAAAGGGGTAGGTATTGTAAAGGGCACAAAAGATCTTTGTAGTGATAGATTAATTTGATTTCTTAATTGGTTTGGTGGTTACAGAAATCTACAGGTAATAAAATAACCTAAAACTTTATATACATATTGCACCCATGTCAGTTTCCCAGATTTGATATTGCATTATAATTACGTAAGACGAGGTAACCATTGGAGAAAACTGGGTATAGATTGCATACGACCACTTGGCATTATCTTCACAACTTTCTGTAAATCTATAATTACCTAAAAGTGCAAAAAATTTTAAAAAATTGAGGCTTGGCCCGGTGGCTCACGCATGTAACCCCAGCACTTTGGGAGGCCAAGGTGGGTGGATCACCTGAGGTCAGGAGTTCGAGACCAGCCTGGACCATATGGTGAAACCTCATCTCTACTAAAAATACAAAAAATTAGCCAGGTGTGGTGGCGGGTACCTGTAATCCCAGCTACTTGGGAGGCTGAGGCAGAACTGTCAATCCTGGGAGACATAGGTTGCAGTGTGCTGAGATCGCACCATTGCACTCCAGCTTGGGCAACAGTGTGAGACTCTGCCTCAAAAAAAAAAAAATTGAAATAAATATTTAAATGTAAAAATGCATTACATTTAGAAAAAATAATAAGCTTTACTAGAACAATATATATTTCCTTGACACAGCTATTAGAGAGGCAACATAGCATTTTTGGCTAAGAATGTGGACTGTAGAGGTAGAACACATACAAGCTCTGTGACTGGGCAAATTGTTTAACCTTTCTGTCCCTCAGTTCTCTCATCTATAAATTTTAGTTAATGATAGTATCTACCTTATAGGGTTAATATTAGGATTAAACTTTTAACAATTTGTAAGGCATATAAACAGTTCCTGGAGCATCATAAGCTGTAAGAGGGCTTATTAGGTAAATAAAAATGCAGACTATAATATTGTTACTATTGATATTGTAAGTAATTCATGCAATAAACATTTGTTGATTGCCTATTATAAGGTAGAATTATTCAAAGTGCTGGAGATAGAGCAATTAAAAAAGTAAGCTCCTGACCTGAACTTGGAGTTTATATTCTAGAGGAAAAAGATATAAAATCAATTAATAGGTGATGTCATAAAGCTAAAAATGGGAAAGGAAATGACACAGGCAAACAGGGTGAAGGCTATAGAATGACAAAGGATACTGTTTGCATGCAGTGGACAGGAAAGTGTCCTCTAAGGATGAGAGATTTGAGCTGGGATGTGAATGAAAGGAGGAGAAAATTACTGAGGCAGGAGCATGCTTGTTGTGCCTGAGGCATAGCCTGGAGGCTGGAATGACTGTCATGGCCAGAAAGAGAATAAACCAACAGAAGATAGGTGGTCAGCACAGAACTATTTGAGGCCTTATAGGATATGGTATGGGCTTTGGATTTTTTTCTGAAATGGGAAGTCACTGGAGCATTTTGAGTTGGGAAATGAAAGGACTTCATCTGCATTTTTAAAGAAACATTGTATACCTTATCACCAATACATTATAAGGATGTAAGAGTGAAGAAGGCAAGTAAACGTTTCCTATCGTTCCTGTAAAAATTGCCAAAACTTTGTGACTTAAAATAAGAAAAAAATTATTCCCAGTTTTAGAGGCCAGACGATCAAAATCTGTTTCATCAGGCTAGTATCAAGGTGGCCACAGGACTAGTCCCTTCTGGAAGATACGGGGGAGAATCCTTGTCCTTGCTTTTTCTATCTTCTTAAGGCCACCTGCATTCCTTGGCTTGAAACCTTTCTGCTCACATCAATCCAAACTCTTGCTTCTGTTGTCAAAGCCCCTACTTCTTCCTTTGAGCTCCTTCCATTCCTTTTGTGGTTACACTTGGGTTCTTTTAGGATAATCCAGAATACTCTCACCATCTCAAGATCCTTAATATAATCACATCTGCAAAATATGATTTTGCCACATAAGGTAACATTCACATATTCCAGGAATTAGGACATTCTGCCTCCTGCAGTAAACTTTTTAGGAAGCTATTGCAGAAGTCCAAGTCAAACGCAGATGGCTTGAAATAGGTGATAGCAGAGGAGGGAGGTATTTTGAAAATATATTGTCTTTGAAATGTAGAGTAGATTTGTTGGTGGATTGGATATAGATATTACAGGCAGTCAGGATAATGTCAACATAGCAAACTGAGCAACTGAGTGATTGTTGGTGCCATTACATGAGATGGGTTGACTGGGAGAAGTCCCATGGGAGCTTCTGGGCCCAGAGATGGTCCTGGAGTATGTTAAGGTTGAGATTTCTACTACATATCCAAAAAGAGTAAGCAATTGGTTTCTCAAATCAAGAGGTCAGGGGAAAGGTCAGTGCTGGAGATAGTAATAGGCTAATCATTGTGACATTGATGATATTAATGCCATAGGATAGGACATAATTATCCTGAGTATAAATGGAGAAAATGAAGAAGTTCAATGACGACTGAACCCTGGAAGGGCAACACTTGAAGAAGTGAGAATGTTGAGTGAGGGGGAAAAACAAGTAGTATGTGGTGTCCTAGAAAACTAAATGCAGAACATACTTCAAGAAAAGGGTGAGCATTGGTGTCAAATGATTCTAAAAGTGTGAGTAAGCTAAGAACTGAAAATTCACCATTAGATTCGACAATATGGAGAGCACTGATAACCTGGAGGAGAGCGATATCAAAGAGGTGATGGGAAAAATAAATCCAGAATAGATTATGTTAAAGGAAAAGGGGTTTTATTTTGAAAAATTACATATGAAGCACAGAAAAATATGTAGAAGGAGGTACTTCCAAGTGTTAAATGCAGTTATCCCCAGGTACTGAAATAATGCAGAATAGTGTGTGTGTTTGCATGCATTTTTTTGGTTTCTACTTTTGTTTTGTTTTAACTTTATTTTAGGTTCATGGGTACATGTGCAGGTTTGTTATGTAGGCAAACTCATGTCACAAGGGTTTGTTGTACAGATTATTTCATCAGCCAGATACTAAGCCTAATACCCAATAGTTATTTTTTCTCTACATTGATTTTGTATTTGGAAACATTGCTGAAGCCATTTGTTAGTTCTAGGAGCCTTAGGTGAAACCTTTAGGGTTTTCTAGGTATACAATTATATTGCCAGTAAAGAGAGATAGTTTTATTTCCTCTTTTCCTATTTGCATGCCTTTTGTTTTTTTCTCTTGCCTGATTGCTCTGGCATTTCCTGTGCTATGTTCAATAGGACTGGTGTTAATGGGCTTCCATGTCTCGTTTGAATTCTCAAGGGGAATATTTCAGCTTTTGCCTGTTCAGTGTGATGTTGGCTGTAGGTTTGTTACAGACGGCTTTTTTTTATATTGAGGTATGTTCCTTCAATGTCTTGTTTCTTGAGAATTTTTATCATAAAGAGATGTTGAATTTTATTGAAAGATTTTCCCACATCCATTGAGATAATCAAACGAGTTTTGATTTTAATTTTGTTTAAGTTGTGAATCACATGTATTGATTTGCATATGTTTAACCAAACTTGTATTCCAGGAATACAGCCTACCTGATGATGGTGAATTAACTTTTTAATATGCTGTTGGATTTGGTCTGCTAGTATTTTGGTAAGGATTTTTGTGTCTATGTTCATCAGGGATATTGGCCTGTAATTTTCTTTTCTTTTTTTTGTTGTATCTTTGCCATGTTTTGGTATCAGTGTAATGCTGGCTTCATAGAATGAATTAGAGATGAGTCTCTTCTCCTTGATTGAAAAAGTTCATTGCTTGTATAATGAGACTTTCTGTAGAGGGCATAATAGTCACAAAGATCCAAGATCTGTACAGCTTTAGTGAAGGAAAGGTGAGTAGCTTTAGCTTATATTGTGGGTAGGGGTTGGGGCTGGGATAAGTGCTCTATTGGGCTGGATTTTGTGTGGTTCAGATGTCCATGTTTCTGCCAAGGAAAGGAGCGTCTGAGTTTTTGTATTGTCTTGTTAGATGTGGTACAAAAGACAAAGGGGGAAATATGAAACCTGAAGGTTTTCAGCAGGTTTGTGAAAAATAAAATCAAACGTTTATTACACTGAGGATATGGGGAATTTTTTGCTTGATAGGCCATGGGTTCCCAAATGCACAAGGGGCGTTTTCTGCAAGGATCCAACTGAGTGGCAATTTGAGTCAATTAGAGAGATGTACCAACCAATAAAAGTAAGTACTTACTAATAAAAAGTAAGATCATGACAGATAAAGAATGACCAGAGAAATCCTGAGCTTCTTGAGGTAACTGTGATAAACTGGGATACAGAACATATTGAGAACAGCACCGATGGTATCTTAGAAGGAGGTGAATAATTAGTTCCAATTATGGACTCCATTTGGGGACAGTAATAGTAATAATAGTAACAGCAACTACCATATAGCTAGTACTGTTAAAATAATGCCTTTTTTTCAAATGCAATTTTTAAATCCTAAACAGCCTATTGAGGTATGTGTTTGTTCCACTTTTAGAACTGAAGAAATTTAGAATCAGAGGCACTATTTATCCACCGTTTTATAGCAGATAAATATCAGCTTTGGGAACCCAAACCAGGAGTGTGTGATTCTAAAGGCTATTCTCTTTCAATCATGCTATGCTGCTTTTTTTCAGACAGGAGTAGCTAAACCTACCTTAGGATTTCACCTAGTAATTTCTATTCACTTAATAGAGAGGCATTTAGGTTGAATGACTTGCTAATATTGATTTGATTCACCCAGGAAATTCTAGCCCGAAGAACTCAATATATTTTCGAAATATTTCTCATTTCTTTCTAACTCATGCCAAAATAACTGAATTAAAAGTGAAAAATCCAATCACAATCCATCATCTCTAGATATGTTTGTGTCATGTAACTACTGACGCTGACAACTACCAGATCCACTCCTTGGGTGGATACCTCCTCTAATTATATGTACAAAGCCAAGAGCTGATAGTAAATCCTTCACTGCTTTCTATTGAAGGTTCTATTCTGTAGTGATTCATCGCATATCAATTTTAATTCCTGTTAAACTAACACTTGTCATGAACAATTCTATTCTGTTTTACTTTTTGGTGGAAGAAATATACTCCTAAGCAGCTTTATTTAATTGAATATATATTTTTTAAGCTGTAAACATGAGATGGATGCTAGTGATTTCAGGGCCAAGAGAAAAACCTTATTAAACTCCATAAGGAATGAGTAGCATTGTCTCCAATGATGTATGAACTGTTATTCATGTTGAGTTGACATCTTGCTGAATTTAAATGAACTGTAGCACTTCTTGTGTACACTGTCACTTTTAGAAACAGGTTTTATACATTTGAATGTATATACTGCACAAAGTTTTAAAAAATGGGGCTATAAAAGCTGCACAGGCTGGGCACGGTGGCTCACGCCTATAATCCCAGCACTTTAGGAGGCCAAGGTGGGATAATCACCTGAGGTCAGGAGTTAGAGACCAGCCTGGTCAACATGGTGAAACCACATCCCTACTAAAAAATTCAAAAATTGTCCAGGTGTAGTGGCAGGCGTCTGTGGTCCCAGCTACTTGGGAGGCTGAGGCAGGAGAATCACTTGGGCCTAGGAGGTGGAGGTTGCAGTGGGCCGAGATCGTGCCACTGCACTCCAGCCTGGGCAACAAGAGTGAAACTCCATCTCGAAAAAAAAAAAAAAAGAAAAGCTGTAAAATGGGCACTTGATTAACTTTGTCACAAAATGATACTAGGGAAAAGCCTGAGGAGCATGCTTGGTATTCAACTCAAAGATTTTGTTTCTCTCTCCAAAGTAAAAAATGTTCATTTACGAAAAATATAATTAGATAGCCTAGAGAACATAGTCTAGAGAATGTGAAGGCCTCACAAAATTGTTTAGTCAATATTGAGGGAGCAATTTTAAGAATTGTGAATAGACAAAAAAGAAAGTTGCCCAAAATAATGACGTATGACATTAAAAGTTAATTAATGTAAAAATCAAACAATGCATGGAAATATTTGAAGGTGCATCTCCAGCTAGACTGAGATATTTTTACAATTTATTGCTGTATCTACTTAATTTTGTTTTTGCTTTCTCTATGGCTTTTTGTTAAATGATTGATTAAAGATAATAATGAGCATTTTATTTTTATTTTATTTATTTATTCATTTGTATTCTTTGAGATGGGGTCTCACTCTGTCATACAGGCTGCAGCACAGTGGCATAATTACAGCTGACTGCAGCCTCAGCCTCCTGGGCTCAACTGATCCTTCTACCTCAGCCTCCAAAGTAGCTGAGGCCACAGGGGCGCACCATCACACCTGGTTAATTTTTGTATTTTTGGTAGAGATGGGGTTTTGCCATGTTGCTCAGGCTGGTCTTGAACTTCTGGGCTCAAGTGATCAACCTGCCTTGGCCTCCCAAAGTACTGGGATTACAGGTGTGAGCCACTGCATCTGACCAGTAATAAACATTTTCATAGGTTCATACATTTGACAAAGAATATTAATCTATATTGTCTCATACATAAGACAAGAAAGATCATAATCATCTTGGAATAGCTTGGATAAACAAGGTTTGGAAATTATTAGAATTGCCTAAGGTCACACAGCAATTTGAGACAGAAACATAAATCATTTACTTAAAAGTCTATGCTTCCATCTATATTATTCTGTGAGTCATGAGCTAAAATGCTTTATTAAATTTAAATATATATTGCTTCTAGAATACAAAGTAATCTCTTTGTAAATGTTACTTGTGATTATAGACTATTTTGTATTTTAACCAAGGGGTAATATGTCAATAAAGAATAGTCAACTTTTTAAAGAGACAGGGAAAAAAGTTCCTCAAAGTCATTGCCCATGCTGATATAATTACTATATAATTTAGAATCATAAAACAGAGCTGATATTTGATCCATGGCTCACAATTATGTTTTGTACTTCCCAGCACAAATTAAAGATGCTGTCTTATCTTTCTTTACTCTCATCTATAACATCAAGAACCATGATAGATGCACAGTAAGTGCTCATTGTTGCTAAAGAAGTCAGATTCAGGGCTGACTTGATATGAATGTGAGTTTACAAATGGATCTGGACCTAAAAGGAATTTTATTAGAATAATGATGATGCACAAAGCCATAAAAATTTCACTTCTATGCCCTAAAGAAGTTGAGACTAGCTCAGAAACTGAAAAGTAAATTTCAGAAGTTTTTTTAGACCAGCATATTTTTGTAAGTTGAGCCAACCTTTAAAATCCATGAGATACAACCAAAAATATGGATTTCTTAATTCTCCAGAATGTTGAAAAATATGGCAATCTCTTACCAAATGTTATTACCAAGTGTTGGCCATGAGAGGCAGTTGTCTCCTACTGGGAACATTTTTGCTCTATTGTTTGCTATTTTCTCTGACTGGCCTGGTCTTTGTCATTCAAGTGACAAGTGCTACATTTTCTGACTTTCCAGGCTGCTGTAGGCATTTGAGTTTGTAATTTAATGCAAAGGGAGGAAGTGTTTCTTGACTTAATTTTTTTTAATTGTTTAAATTTTTGTGGGTACATAGCAGGTATATATAATTATGGGTTACATGAAATGTTTTGATATAGACGTGCAATGTGAAATAAGCATATCATGGAGAATGAGGTATCCATTCCCTCAAGCATTTATCTTTGGGGTTACAATCTAATTACACTCTTTAAGTTATTTTGAAATATACATTTATTATTCACTATAATCACGCTGTAGTGTCATAAAATAGTAGGTCTTATTCATTCTAATTTTTTTTCTACCTGTTAACCATCCCATCTCCTCCCCACCCTCTTACTGCCTTTCCCAGCCTCTGGTAACCATCCGTCTACTCTCTATGTCCATGAGTTCAATTGTTTTGTGTTTTAGAGCCCCAAAATAAGTGAGAACATGAATGCTTTTCTTTCTGTGCCTTGCTTATTTCACTTAACATAATGATCTCCAGTTCCATTCATATTATTGGAAATTACTGGATCTCATTTTTTTATAGTTGAATAGTACTTCATTTTGTATATGTGCCACATTTTCTTTATCTATTTATCTGTTGATGGACATTTAGGTTACTTTGAAATCTTAGCTATTGTAAATGGTGCTGCAACAAATTTAGGAGTGCAGATATCTCTTCGGTATACTGATTTCCTTTCTTCTGGGTATACACCCAGTAGTGGGATTGCTGGATCATATGGTAGCTAAAGTTTTAGCTTTTTGAGGAACACCTAAACTGTTCTCCATAGTGGTTATACTAATTTACATTCCCACAAACAATGTATCCTGGTTCCCTTTTCTCCACATCCTCATCAGCATTTGTTATTTCCTGTCCTTTAGATATAAGCCATTTTAACTGGAATGAGATTATGTCTCATTTTTTGAGATTTGATTTATATTTCCTCTGATGATCAGTGATGTTGAGCACCTTTTCATATGCCTGTTTGCCATTTTTATGTCTTCTTTTGACAAACGTCTATGCAAATATTTTGCCCATTTTTTGATCAGATTATTAGATTTATTCCTATAGAGTTGTTTGTACTCCTTATGTATCCTGGTTATTAATCCCTTTTCAGAGGGGAGTAGTTTGCAAATACTTTTTCCCATCAGTGGGTTGTCTCTCCACTTGGTTGATTGTATCCTTTGCTGTGCAGAAGCTCTTTAACTTGATGTGATTTCATTTATTCATGTTTGTTTTGGTTGCCTGTACTTATGGGGTATTGCTCAAGAAATTTTTGCCCAGACCAATGCCCTGGAAATTTTCCTGAATGTTTTCTTGTAGTGGTTTCATGGTTTGAGATCTTAAAGTCTTTAATCTATTTTGATTTGATTTTTGTGTATGGTAAGAGATAGTGGTCTAGTTTCATTCTTCTGCATAGGGATATCTAATTTTCCTAGCACCATTTATTGAAAAGACTGTCATTTCCTAAGTGTATGTTCTTGACATCTTGGTCAGAAATTAGTTCACTGTAGGTATGAGGATTCATTTCTGGGATCTTTATTCTGTTTCATTGGTCTGTGTGCCTGCTTTTATACCAGTACCATGCTGTTTTGGTTACTATAGCTTTGTAGTATAATTTGAAGTCAGGTAATGTGATTCCTTCAGGCTTATTAGTTTGCCGAGGACAGCTTTGGCTATTTGGATCTTTTGTGGTTCCATATAAATTGTAGGACTTTTTTTTCTATTTCTGTGAAGAATATCATTGGTATTTTGATAGGGATTGTATTGAATCTGTAGATTGCTTTGGGTAGTATGGACGTTTTAACAATACTAATTCTTCCAATCCACTAACATGGAATACTTTTCTTTCTTTTTTTCTATCCTCTTCAGTTTCTTTCATCAGTGTTATGTGATTTTCTCTGTAGAGATCTTTCACTTATTTGGTTAAGTTAATTCCTATATATTTAATTTTATGTGTGGCTATTGTAGATGAGATGGTTTTATCATGAAAGGATGTTGAAATTCATCAGATACTTTTTCAGCATCATATAAGTTTTATTCTTCATTCTTTTAATATGATGTATCACACTGCTTGATTTGGATATGTAGAAACATCCTTGCATCCTAGGGATAAATCTCACTTGGTCATGATAAATAATATTTCACTTAGGTTTAAAAGCAAGGAAGAGATAATGAAAGTAAAAACCATGAGACTAGTTGATTTTTTAATCTCAAAGAAATAAAACAAATTTTTCAATGAAAGTACAGTTTTACTTAATTCTATCCATTTTAGCTATTTTCCAAGCTGTTCTCCAAGATCTAAATCTCATCTGTTTTCCATCCTCTCCCAGAAAATCAGTACCACTATCTTTAAGTAATCTGTATTAAGCACTAGTTGTTCTTTTTAAAAAAAATGGAATTGTAAATAAAAGATACAAGTACATTTTTTGAAGAGATAACTGGCACTTGTCCTTAAATTTTTATTAAAATAACTAAAATACTCTGCATAAGAAATGTCTGTGATTAGCTTATACTTACATTTTATAACTTTTATTGCACAATGGTCCACAGAATTTAAGTATTGATTACTACAGCTTTGTAGTATATTTTAAACTCGTGTTATGTAATGCCTTCAGCTTTGTTCTTTTTGCTCAGATTGCTTTGACTATACAAATTATTTTGTGGTCCCATATACATTTTAGGATTTTTTTTTACATTTCTGTGAAAAAGTGTAATTGGTATTTTGCTACGGATTGCATTGAATCTGTAAATTATTTTGGGTAGGTTTGTCATTTTAACAATATTTATTTTAATTCATGGGCATGGAATATCTTTCTAATTTTGTGTCCACTTTAATTTCTTTCATCAGTGTTTTATTTATTTTTTTGCATAGATCTTTCACTTCTTTAGTTAAATTGATTCTTAGGTATTTTATGTTCTTTGTAGCTATATTGTAAATGAGATTGCTATCTTTGTTTTTATGATTGTTCACTGTTGGTGTACATAAATGCTATTGAGTGTGATACTGGCATAAAAATGAACATATAGATCAATGGAACAGACTAGAGAATCCAGATACAAATCTATACATTTGTAGTGAACTTATTTTTCACAAAGTTGCCAATAACATACAATAGGATAAGAACAGCATCTTAAACAAATGATGCTGGGAAAGTGGATTTGTAGAAGAATAAAACTATACTCTCTCTTTCATCATATATATAAAATCAAACCAAACTGCATTAAAGACTTAAATCTAAGACCAGAAACTATGAAACAACTAGAAGAAAACATTGGGTATGCTCCAGGGTAAAGATATTTTGTGTAAGACCTTAAAAGCACAGGCAACAAAAGCAAAAATAGACAATGGGTTTTACATCAAACTAAACATCTTCTGCACAGCAAAGGAAATAATCAACAAAAGGAAAATAAAACCCACAGAATGGGAACAAATATTGCAAACTACCCCTCTGACAAGGGATTAATAACCAGAATATGTAAGGAGCTCAAGCAACTCGATAGCAAACAAAACAAAACACCAATAATAATAATAATCATCATCATCATCTTATTTAAAAATGGGCAAATATCTGAATAGACATTTTAAATACATACAAATGACCAACAGGTATTTGAAAAGATGTTCAACATCACTAGCAGTCAGAGAAATGCAAGTCAAAACCATAATGAGATGACATCTCACCCCAGTTAAAATGGCTTATATCTAAAAGACAGGCAATAACAAATGCTGACAAGGATGTGGAGAAAAAGGAACCATGGTACACTGTTGATGGGAATGCAAATTAGTACTACCACTATGGAGAACAGTTCGGGGGTTCCTCAAAAAACTAAAACTTTAGCTACCATATGATCCAGTAATTCTACTGCTGAGTACATATTTAAATGAAAGGAAATCAATTTACTGAGATATTTGCACTTCCATGTTTATTGCAGCACTATTCACAATAGCCACAATTTGCAATCAACCTAAGTATCCATCAACAGACAAATGGATAAAGAATATGTGGTATATATACACAATGGAATATTATTCAGCCATACAACAGAATAAAATCTTGTCATATGTAGCAATGTGGGTGGAACTGGAGAACATTATGTTAAATGACATTAGCCAAGTGCAGAAAGGCAAGTATCACATGTTCTTACTCATGTGTTGGAGCCAAAAAAGTAAATTTCCCTTAAGATAGAGAGTATATTGGTGATTACTAGGGGCCAGGAAGGATAGGGGCGAGGGGAGAATAAAGAGAGTTTGATTAATGTGTACAAATATACAGCTAGGTTGAAGAAATAAGAACTAGCATTTGATAGATCAGTAGGGTGACTAAACTTAACATTATTCTATTGTACATTTCAAAATAGCTAGAAGAGAATAATTTGCATGCTCTTAGCATAAACAAGAGATATTTAAGATGATAGATACTCCAATTGCCCTGATTTGATCTTTCTACGTTATATGAATGTATCTACATGTACATATATTCTGTACATATTTTGGGGGTACAAATACTATTGAGAATAGTAATTTAAAAAGAAACTTTAAAAAATAATTTTAGCATTAAAGTTAATTATTTTAATGCTTTAATATTATTTATATAAAGTTATTATTTTAATAACTTTAATTTGTAAAGTAAAATTGCAAATTTGAAATGATGGATGATTATTAACTCTTAGCACTACAGATTGAATATTTACCTCAGTGGTTCATGACATCATTCCAGCAATGAATATCTCAAATTGCCCATAATATTTTATAGAATCTGAAACTTATTTAACACATTTTCTCAAAACTATAAGCAGAACATATTATTTTGAAACTTTTTCTATAAGTAGTAAACATTTTAAGGTTTGGCTCATAAAAAATGTCTTTGACTTCAAAAGGCAGAGCTAAGATTTTTATTCCTCTTCATATTTTGCTCTCAACATTACAACCATGTTGACTTGCCCACAGTTACCACAGTGCCTGCACAATTCCAAAAGGCACAAGCAACCAGCATGTGGTGTTTGGCTGTAGGAGAGCACAAGACATATCATGACGAGTGTGTTAAGGAAATGGGATTGCCACAATATTAAAGAAAAAGTTTATTACAGATAATTGCTTGCTCTGTTTATGCTTTTTCTGTAGAACTAGGATAAGCAATTTAGGTTACAGAGATTTATAACAGTTTTCATGAAGATGTATGAAATCCCAAACTTGCAAGCTTTTTTAATCCACCTATAAATCATTTTATACATTTAATTTCTTCCTGTATAAATTTTATGAGACCATACACAGGCAAAAAGTTTAAATTACTACGTGCTTTCTGAAGAGGGAGTTTTCTCTGGGATTTTTTCCCCCACATGTTCCCTATCTAATACATGATATAAATTTTGAGTTCAGTTGTAAATAGTTTTTAAAAATACTGTTTTATTGCTCAAACATTTGCAACCCTGTAAGGTATGAGACAAAATCTAGTTTTACGATAGAACTACCTCAAAGCTGGGTTTGTCTACACTAAATGAGAGACATGTCTCATAAATCTCAAGAATAACAAGTTCTAATCCCGCATCAGAACAGTATATTATTATTCAGAGGATTTGATCTAGAAATGGGATTAACTTGACTTTTAACCAGAGGTGCTTGAAATGAAGTAATTATTATACCCCTAGTGCTGTGCATAGCTAGAGGTAGAAAACATGGTTTCAATTTACTAGAAACTTAGATGGTTTTCCTACTTTGGTTTCCTAAAGGGAAGTCTTAGGATTCTGAGTTACCGTGACAAGTCCTAACTGAGCTCAAGGAGAAACACTCTTAGTCAGATTCATAGCTGGTATCGTACTCTTTGGAAGCACATTAAGGCCTAGGGAAGTGATATTATTAGTTTACTATTGAGAGTTCCAGTAGTGTTTAACTACATTCTTCAGAGCTATCTAACATATTATCTGACTTGACATGAAATGGGACAATGTGTGCAAAACACAGGCTCTTACTTAGCTCCTGCTGTGATGCAGGGGATGAGGAGGTGATGATAGGCTTGATGAAATATAGCATATATATTTCTAATTCTTTTTCAAGCAGATATTTTAACTTCCTCTTTGACAAAACATATTAATAATTGGGTTAAGACAGAGAATAAAATGTGAACTCCTTGGGAAACCTCATGGATTTTGCTCGTCTTCAAGGTAATGAATCTAGTGCACGTGGTTTTGTTCAGGTGGGCTCATTGAAACGGGACTTTGATTTATTTAGCTTGTGTCTTATGTTTTCCCCAACAATGAGACTTTCTTTGGAAAATGCAATTTCCTTTTGGCACAGTTTCAACTCTTTATAAGGGATCTGTCTCTATTCATTTCTTCTACTTTTTCTTTAGGGAAACAGAGCTTTTGCACTGTAAACACTTTAATTTGTGAAGAGTAGCATGTCTGTTCACACAGATACACACATCACAAAAGCACCGACTTTTGTATCTGACTGCACTAAGGAAAAAAGTCATTATGTATAAATATTAAAATAACTCTATTGCCAGTGCAGTGAAACCTTTAAAAAATAAGATTTTTATCTGTCTCTGCTTTAAATAGATAAGTTCAATCAAATATACCTGGTTGGAATATAAATCTTTAATTTTAAGATATCATTTGAGAATGATTTATGACAAAGGAGACCTTTTGTTATCTCTGCCTGCAATGTTTCCCCACATGTAAATTATTTAATTAATTAGATTGATATTGACAAAGCTCTTCCTAGAAGTATAGCACATCTGTGCCTTGGAATATTAAGCCTTATTAAGTCTACCTCTGAAAATATGAAGTGACACTGACTATTATTCATAACGTAATAAAGTCTAGTTCATTACAGTGGTCAATAAAAATTTCAGAAACTCCTTTTAAAAAGTAAATATTAGATTTAATTCATGAGCATGTACACATGCACACGTGTATATATGTATCTGTGTCCAATTTTAAGGAAACTTCCATGCTTACATTCTCCAGGATTAGGCACTTGCAGAGGACCAGAAGCTTAGCAATTTGGTTAGTTATAAAGCTTTTTTGAGGAAACCATTTAATCGCTCTTAGCATTATCTAGAAAATGAGGATGTCAGTTAGTTCTTAAGTTTCCTTTGGTTTCCAAAATTCTAGGAAGCTATTTACTTTAAAGCAGCGGTTCTTCAAGTTTAGTATGCATCAGAATCCTGAAGATAGCTGGTCCCTACCCCCAGAATTTCTGATTGAGTATATCCTGAGTGAGGCCAGAGAATTGCATTTTAACCAGCTTCAAAGTGGTACTGATGTAGATTCTGGGACCACATTTGGAACCAGTACCAGAAGGATCTGAACAAAGTGTTAACACAGATTTTTTATAATTTTGAGGTTAATGGCATGTGAATTTATCTGATTTTAACACTAAAGGATATTTCTTCTATCCTAAATTTTGTGGGCCCCACAAATGAGCAATATTTACAAACTAAGTGTATCTTTTAAAAGAGTTTCTCCCTTATAATGCTCTGATTGTGTAACTGAGGATTCATCTATACATGCTTAATACACTGGTAGAAATTATATTTAAATGAAGATCCAAATAAAGGTAAGTAGACAAATGTCTAGGTAAGGAAATAGACAAGAGATTCTTCATATAATTGTTAAATATACTAGAGACTCTAAGGTAATTTTAATGTTATGTAAAAGACTATAAAAAACATTAGTTAGTTAAGTGCCTCTTCATTATTGAAATTCAGGTTACCTGTCGGGACACTCAAATGCAAGTAGTTAGTTACCTGTGCTAAAATGGTACCATTGTTGGCTATCAACTTGCATTTTAAAGCAATAAGTTAACAAAATTGCATTATGTTTATTGTTGTCATCAAAATATAACTGGCAACATTAATCTTCTAGAATTTAATTTCACTTGGGTTTTAATTCCATTCCCCATTGCCACAGGGATTTATTGGATTTTTTTCATACTCAACTTTATAGAGTTTATGCATGAGAAAATGATACGCCACAGTACTGAAGTAATTTTCTAGTTGATAGTTTTAGTGTCATCCTCTTATTTTCCAGTATTTTACATACAATAAAAGCTCTATGCTACTAAATTTTGACTTGGTTTAACACAAACATGATGCTTATAGTATTTCCCTAAAAAGATAATCAATTCAGCTAACAACAATACCACCACCATCAACAGTAACAAAAATACTTCCCAATGATATGCTAATATCTTATTAGAAACAATAGCATTAACTGATCTAAATTTAACTCATTAATTTTGGCTATGGCATTACAGTACTTTGGTTGATTTAGAGAAAAGACTCTAATCGCACAAAGAACCAAATTTTAACACTGTGAGAATCAGTTTTTAAATTCATAACAATTCTGTTTCAAGATGCTGTTTCATTTCAATTCATAAGAAATTTACTGAGCATATGCATTCTGTTAGACCTTGAAATACAAAATTAGATTTGGTGTCCTGGATGCCCCCGCCCCCAAATTACAATGTAGCAGTTAAAAGACGATGAAATCATGGGAATTTGGTGATAACATTAAGCAACAGAACTGTTTATACAATATGGTAGAGAGATATCTTGGAGAAGAGATTTTCTGGGAGTGAGAGCTGCATGCCTCACAAAGGGAATAATATTTGAACATGTTTGTCAATAATTATTAGTTTTGACAAAAGTCATAGAAAGGTACTCTAGGGAGAGGAAATTTGCATACATAATCACACTGTCATAAAGACAACACACATGTTCAGGGAACTACAGTTGTGGTAGTGATGGAGGATGTGATGAGTGTCAAGATAAAGATAAGAACCATGTCAGGAAGGGCCTTTCCTGTCTTGCTACGGAGTTTATTATGAAAAGAGAATCCACTGAAAGGTTTGAAGCAGGTGCATTTGAAGTGGGCCATTTTGAAAAATAACTCAATAATACACAGAATAAATTGTACAGCAGTGATCCTGGGGGTTAGCAAGTCTGTTAAGGAGACTTTTCAGAAAACCATTAGAACAACAATTAGCATTTGATCAAATACAATGAAAAATAAAGAGAACAAAGATATCTAAAATATTAAGAAATCTGTTAGCTAATCAGATACAGTAGGCAAAGAATCGTATTATGCACCACACAGCTATTTTCCTTATGTAACCAAGTGAATATTGATGCCAATGTCTGAGGTACTTAATAGAGGTAAAGGGATAAACTAAAGACAGTTTATTTTCATATGATTGGTTATACGGAATCTAGGGCTCCGTGCAACAGCCAACTTAAAATATCTAATAGACAGGTGGATACATAGGGGTAAATCACAGGAGGAAACTGGGATCAAAGGTGAACATATGATCTTCATCAAAATTTTGTAAATAAAACATGAATACGTGAAGGGAAGTAAATTAACAAGAGAATATAGACAAGAACAGAACCCTGGGGGTACCAGCATTTAAAGCGTAGGCAGAATTATACGCATCTCGAAAGAGAATTAAAAAAGAGCATCCAAAGAGGTATCAGAGAAAAAGAAAAGCCAAGACTGAAATTTTTTTGAATAAAATAAAAGTCAAGATAAATGCTTTTTAATGCCACTTTCTGGACAGTTGTCTGGGGGGACTTGCACCAACCTAGTTCTCCCCCTTTTGTCATGTGCAGCTTCTCAAGAATAATTTCATAATGTGCTAGGAATGCAACATCCTGAGATAGGGGGTGACTGGCCAGAACGGCGCTGGTTTTTGTTTCAGTCCCTACTGGAATGCAATGTTCTTCAGTGATTTAGCACAGTGATTCCTGTTGTCCTGGGGTATAAAGCCCAAGGTGGGCTGCTTTGCAGAACTCCTCAACTGTGGCGCAAGTGGGGCACATGTAAACAAGATTTTCGTAACTTGGGCAGCTTTCTTGAGACTTGGAGGATTGGATTAACATGAATCCTAAGCTTCTACCCCTTACTGTATATCTGTGAATCATAAGATTTCTTCATTTAATTTGTACATGGTTTGTATCACCAGATTAATGCAAAGTAGTACAAGACATTGAAGCCCAAGCTGCATGGGCTAAAATGGTAACCGGTGCACAGTGAATCTCTTTCACACCATTTATTTAATTCAGCATAGAATTAATAAGTATTGGCCGGGCGCGGTGGCTCACGCCTGTAATCCCAGCACTTTGGGAGGCCGAGGCGGGCGAATCACGAGGTCAGGAGATCGAGACCATCCTGACTAACACGGTGAAATGCCATCTCTATTAAAAATATAAAAAATTAGCCGGGCGTGGTGCCGGGCGCCTGTAGTCCCAGCTACCTGGGAGGCTGAGGCAGGAGAATGGCGTGAACCCGGGAGGCAGAGCTTGCAGTGAGCAGAGATCACGCCACTGCACTCCAGCCTGGGTGACAGAGCAAGACTCTGTCTCAAAAAAAAAAAAAAAAAAAAAAAAGAATTAATGAGTATTTACTATGTGCCAGTTACTCAGGGATACAGTGATATACAAGGTAAGTTTGATCCCAGACATCATGGAGGTTACAGAGCATTGGGAAGAAATACAGTTAAAAAAAAGTGATAATAATGAGTAGTGAATTTTAAGATAAGAAAAGCATAAGGTGCAATGTAAGCTCACAGGTTGAGTCCTTGACTTACACAGGAGGAGATCTGAAAGGCTCTTTGGACAAAGTAACTTTGAAGTCAAAACCTTAAAAGCTAAATACTAATTAACCCAGTAGTAAGGAGAGGAACCAGGTGTGAAAGCCCAGAGTTGAATAAGATCATAGCACATTTAGGACAATAAAAATTGTATGACTGGAAAGCAGCATGGGAAGTTCAAACAAGATAGAAGTTCTCATCTTACTTGGCATGTGAGGAATAATTGATGCTGGTGACCATTTTCTCCCTGAAACACTACTTCCTTTAAGTTCCCTGATACACTCTTGTCATTTTCCATCTAACTTTCTGCACTCTTGTTCTCAGTCACTTTGCCATGTCATCCTCCTTTACATAGCCTCAAAATCAGTCTTCACTATGTCATCTCCCTGAATAATCTCATGTACTCCCATGGCTCTTATTGGCTTCTACATCACGATCATACAGCCTTCCATACACTTATCTCTAGTCCACACTTTGCTTCTGAGTTCCAGACACAGTTATCCAACTGCCAACTTGGCAGCTCCCTTTAAAAATATCTTTTATTTCAGATTGAACATATGCAAAATAAAGCCTTGATCTTTTGTGTAAAATCTGGTTCCTAGAAACTACTACTTATCTCAAGGGAGGCCCAGCCATTGAAGCAGACTTGCAACTTAGATATAGGGCACCCATTCCTGAGCCTACCACATTCCTCAACTCACTATCTAAGATTTGCAGGGTAATTCATGGTAAAAGTAGTTTGAAGTACTTGTCCCTCTACTTTCCTTTTCTGCCATTTCAAGCAAGACTCTTATTTCATCCCTTAGGGATGTTTGCTCTAGGACTGAGAATTTTCTCTAAAATGCTGTCTCTTTCGGTCCTTGATAGCAGTCTAGATGTGGTTTCAGACTAGAGTTAAAATCTTTTGAGTGTGGAAAAAAGAAGCCCCAGGAGATGGCCAGCCTGAAAGTAGATGGCCTTATGCTGGCCCAGAGAAGGGTAGATTTTAGGAAGGAAGTGGGACCCTACGTAATCTACAAAAGCAGGAGGCGGCACCCTAGGCTTCAACCACGAGGGTGAAGAATGAGCTTTGAGGATAGGTATTAGAACTATTTCTGAACACACATTTATTTTTGGTGTGATTTTTAGTCTACAAATTTAATCATGCAAGGAGTAACATCTCTGTGTTAGCATACACCCTCACACAGATTGCCTCAAAGTTCAAGAGATTTATGCTGTAGCTCCTATAATGGGGAAAGGGACCCTAATCTTCAGTTTTTCCTCATCAAGTTTCACTTTCTCATTGCACTCAATTTTGTCAACCACTTTTGTTTAAGGTTCTCAAAAATAGAGACAGAATACTTGTATGGACCTGAAATGTGCCAACAAATGAGTATCTTATTCTAGGAACACTCCTGAAAACATCATCCATTAAAGTGAGTTATCGTGGTTTTATTTTCATTTTGTGAGACTTCTCTGGAAGATAAATTGGCCTACATGTCCTAGATGAGTACATTTGGTTATGGGTATATAAGGGGAGTTTCTTAATGCAAGAAAAGCTAGGTTATAAAAATATTTTTGTACTCTAATTTGAAGGCCCAGATATAATCAGTCTTGAAATATTTATATCCCCCTAGTATCTGAGCGACCCAACCATCTGTCACTGAACACAGTCCTGAAATAATAATAAACTAATGCTGGTACAGGAGAACTTGTATGTTTAAAGGTCCTTTTACTGAAGCATTATTTCTACTTGAGAGTTTTGGGAAACTAGAAGTCTGATTACATGTTATATATCTCTTCATTTTTTTTTTAAATGAGTATTTAAATTTTAATAACCCAGAACCAGAATCATGGGACAATCTTGATAATTTCTGTCACTATCTATGTGACCTAGAGTAAATCATCTAATTACATAAATTTTAGTTTTATCTGTTAAGTGGTAACTGATCTCAGAGATCTAAGTTTCACCATTTTAAGATGAGAATTACATATGTATGTATATATACACATACATACGTATACATTTTCTTCTCTATTGCTTCATTTAGGTATGGTATATATTAGAAGAGTAAGTTCTATTTTGAGGAAAATAAGTCAAAGTTGCTCTATGCGAAGACTATGTGTGTGTTTACTAACCTCCTTATATGTGTAAGAATGCGTGTGGCTAGTGCAGCCTTTTTTTTCCTAAAAAAAAAACTGTGTCATCATTTTTCTATCTATTGATACATTAAAAATCACCCCAGGCTGGGTGCGGTGGCTCACGCCTGTAATCCCAGCACTTTGGGAGGCTGAGGCGGGGGGATCATGAGGCCAGGAGATCGAGACCATCCTGGCTATCACGGTGAAACCCCGTCTCTACTAAAATTACAAAAATTAGCTGGGTGTGGTGGCACACACCTGTAGTTCCAGCTACTCAGGAAGCTGAGGCAGGAGAATCACTTGAACCCAGAAGGCAGAGGCTGCAGTGAGCTGAGATCGTGCCACTGCATTTCTGCATTTCCAGCCTGGGCGACAGAGTGAGACTCCATTAAAAAAAAAAACCCGAAATTACAGGCTTAGAACAGCACCTATAATTTACTTTTACTTTGCTCAATATTCCACAAGTTGGGCAGTGCTTGCCTCTGTCTCATGTGGCAGTAGCTAGGGCAAATTCACTGAGGCTTGATGATCCACTTCCAAGACTGCAGCCTCATATGGGTGGTGACATGGTTTGGCTGTGTCCCAATCCAAAATCTCATCTTGAATTGTACTCTCGATAATCCCCATAATCCCAATGTGTCAAGGGAGAGATCAGGTGGAGGTAATTGATTCATGGGGGCAGTTTCCCCCATGCTGTTCTCATGATAGCAAGTGAGTTCTCACAAGATCTGATGGGTTTTTAAATAAATATTTGGTAGTTTCTCCTGCAGTCATTCTCCTTCTTGCTGCCCTGTGACGAGGGTGCCTTGCTTCCCCTTTGCCTTCTGTCATGATTGTAAGTTCCCTGAGGCCTCCCCAGCTATGCAGAACTGTGAGTCAATTAAACCTCTTTCTTTTATAAATTACCCAGTCTCGGGCAGTTCTTTATGGTGTGTAAAAACAGACTAATACAGTAAATTGGTACCGAGGTAGTGGGGCACTGTTATAAAGATACCTGAAAATGTGGAAGAGACTTTGGAACTGGGTAATGGGCAGAAGTTGGAACAGTTTGGAGGGCTCAGAGTAAGCCATGAAGATGTAGGAAAGTTTGGAACTTCCTAGAGACTTGTTGAATGGTTTTGACCAAAATGCTGATAGTGATGTGGACAATGAAGTCTAAGCTGAGGTGGCTTTAAATGGAGATGAAGAACTTCATGGGAACTGGAACTGAGCCATGCTGAACTGCGAGTCAATTAAACCTCTTTCCTTCATAAATTACCCAGTCTCAGGCAGTTCTTTATAGCAGTGTAAAAACAGACTGATACAGATGGTGAGTTGGTGTTGGCTGTTCATTGGAAATCTAGTTGAGACTATCAGCTGGAGGCTTTGGTTCTTCACCATGTGGGACTCTCCAGGAACTGTTTGGCTTCCTCACAACATGGATTCTAAGGGTGAGTATTCCAAAGGTAACAGTGTTCTGAGAAGCAAGCATCTCTTTGTCCCAGGCAGAAGCTGCAAGGCTTCTTGTGACCGGGTGTCAGGAACTCCAGAAAGTCATTTTTCACCACAATCTCTTGGTGAATGAAGCAAGTCACAAAATTAGCCAAATTTAAGAGGAGTGAAGTTCAACTCTTTTCAATGGGAGAAGTAGCAAAGAATTTGTGCCCATCTTTAATCTGATACAACCTGTTTTACTTAAGAGTCTTTACTAGGAACTGCTAACTGAGGTTCCTACTTCAGTTCATATTTTACTCCAGATTTTCTAAGGTGGAGGTAATGGTGATAATTTTCTGTTTCTACTGTTAAGGGAGATATAAAAATCATTAATTATAGCTCTAAATGATGAGTTGAGAAATAAAATGAGATATACAAAATACAAAGAGCAGTCGAAACCCAAGAAAGTCTTCAGAAAGGAAGTAACAATGAACTAGCCATTTAAGTGTGATACATTATGCACCCACAGGTTCACCATGTATCCATGTGCAAGTGTACACTATGAACCATTGTAAGTGGACTGGAAGAGCCTGAGTTATTGGGTAGAATAGGGCCAAATTCATTCCAGGCACATACATGGTCAAAGCAGGGTGGTCAAAGGCATGCAACCATGAAAAGAAGCAGTTGAGTTCAGAGGCAGGTGAATATTTGCGTATGGCTAAACAATATTGCACAGATTAATTTAGGAAATTAGGACCTGAGGTGCCACTTGAAGCAATGTAGCAAAAATATTTTTGGTTTAATATTAATAAATTTGATTTTTTTCCCAAATATTTTCCCTTTATCCTTCACCCATTCAAGAAAGAATTAGTGTGTTCTTACCTCCAAGAAGTGTTATGGCAACATAGAAAGCAAAGATAGCTGGGTTTGAGAATAAACACGTTTCCTTTCTTTGGGGTAGAATATAAGTACTAAATAATAATAACTCAAACAGAAGGTGCAGAGAAAGAAGCTAATAAGTAATTCTTTGTTACTCCCTATAAAATCTGCAAAATGTCATATTAGACTAGCCAATTTATTTTCACCTATATTATTTATTAGTATTATTTTTATTTAGGCTTCAGCATAGAGAGAAGAAGAAATGATCTTACACCTACTTTCTTCATTTCTACTCAGCTTATGGAAATGCAGCAGACTACTCTGTGCACTTTAACTAAAATAGTCCTGCTGAGAAAGGCACTTCCCAGACTGGGATTTCATCTTTCATGCAGACCGCAGACACATTGTATAAGTAATGCATACATTACTCCTGCCTGGATAGGGTGATCTTTCACTTGTAAGGCTGCCTCTCCAAGAAGCCATTGTAGCTTCACTTGTAGTTATGCTCTTCTAATTTTTGAAAAGGTTAGCACAGCTTTATCATTAATAGCCACTTGATCATTGCAGAGATTAACAAGTCATGTTGGAGACATTAGTCAAGGAAGCTGAGGAATCCATCATGAGGTCTTTACATCCCCCCAGACTGTGCAGTAGCACATTGATGGGCATTTTCATGCTGCTATCTCTAAATTGCATGCAGGAATTGAAAGGGTATGTTTATTAGATATGAACCCATTGGTTTTTAATCAAATTTAGAGGGCTGCAAACAGAGCTATCTACCAATCTTTAGCTTTTGCTGACAGTAATGGATTTATCATTCTCCCCATGACATTCCTCATAGGATAGTCACACCATTTTCTATTAGATCCCCGAAAGGCTCTGTGATGATCTAGGGAACCAGTAACCTAGCATGGCAAAGGCAGAGCTCCTGAATTAATGCCTGATTGTAATTTAAGCAACATCGACCCAGCAAAAGGGAAAGATACATAATGAATATTGTAGAGATTATTTCAGAAGGCTGGTGTTACAATAAATAAAATACAGTGAGAGAAATAATAAACTGCACCACTGAAAAACACACCACTCTCTCAAGATTCTCAACTTAATAAAAATTTCCCAGATTCCCCTCACTGCCATTGAACTTAAATATGTTTCAATACCCAAGATTTACCCATGCTTCAATAACTGTAGTAGAGAGCAGGGTTGGCAAACTACAACCAGTAAAAGACATCCAGTCCTCCATCTATTATAACAACATTGTATTGGAAAACAACCACACTCATTCATTTATGTATTTTTCGATGGTTGTTCTCATGCTAAAAGAGCAGAATTGAGTAGTTGTAAGAGACCAAATGGCAAGAAAATACCAATTTATTTTTTCTCTGGCCCTTTACAGAAAATGTTTGCCATTTCTTGCAAAGGTGCTAGGGCAGAGAAAATAGTACTTTCTGGATATGTGAAATTTTTAAGGGAATTTCATACAGTTTAATTAAGTTTTCCCTTTTATAAAATATAGCCTTCTCTAACACCTTAGAACAGTTAATATAGATCTATCTTTAAACGTACATTTTTTTCTGCCTTTTTTTTTTTTTTTTTTGAGACGGACTCTCGCTCTTTCGCCAGGTTGGAGTACAGTGGTGAGATCTTGGCTCACTGCAACCTCCACCTCCCAGTTCAAGTGATTCACCTGCCTGTCTCCAGAATAGCTGGAATTACAGGCATGTGCCACCACGCCCAGCTAATTTTTGTATTTTTACTAGAGACTGCGTTTCACCATGTTGGCCAGGATGGTCTCGATCTCTTGACCTCGTGATCCGCCCGCCTCGGCCTCCCAAAGTTCTGGGAATACAGGCATGAGCCGCCGCGCCCAGCCTCTGCCACTTTTAAAAAGTATATCCAAAATGATTTAAATTTTACTTAATGATTATTTAAATCCTGTTTGATTTTTTATTATGAAGTACTGTACTTATGCTGTGCTAGAGATATTCAGAGTAATTCAGAGAATATTCAAGGTAAACAGAGTAAATGAGCACTTATTCTAGGAACAGGCAGGCACTTGCTTTAAAAAATAAAGAAATAAAATAATCTGATGTTAGCTATGGTTTGCACACTTGTTTCTTTATACTAAAGGTAAAGTGAAGGACATAGAACCTTGTTTCTCTGTAAGGCTGTCTTTCTGAAAAAAACATGAATTTTATGATGAAAGATTGAAGTAGACTTTTCCCAGGTGGTTTTTCTCTCCCTTCAGGAAATCATTATCATCTTTACTGTTTTTATCCTTATCCTTAGATTTGTCATTGGGCATCCAAAACATTTCTTATGACTCCTACATCACTGAAGCAGTGAAAATTAGGCACTTCCTCGTCAGCTTGTACCAGTTTGCCAGTTTCACAAGGTGGGAGGCAGATGTGTCTATTGCCATGAAAAAAAAAAGTGATATTTTGGTAAGGACTATATCTTAGAAAATCCTTAAAATTTGATCAAGTAATATTTTATTAATATAAAAATGTGGCTTTTTTCTTCTTTTAAGAACATTATAGGCACATTCATGTAAAATTATGAGTGAAACTCTTGTACATTATTTGCATAATTTTGATAAAACATTATAGGTAATAATATTTTATAGATAGAAATATACACTGACTTATAAGTTAAACAAGTGAGGAAAAATTGGGAAATGCAAAAATGGTAAAATAACAATATCTTATTAATTTTTCTTTCGCCAAATAAGTTCCTATAGTAAGCTAGCAATAATTTGTTAGCATTGCCAACTCATGTGGCTATAAAATGATCTTTTAGGGCTGGCTGTGTTGGCTTGCTTCTATAATCTCAGTGTTTTCGGAGGCAAAGGTGGCAGGACTGTTTGCAGCCAGGAGTTCAAGACCAACCTGGACAACATAGTGAGCCCACCATCTCTACAAAAAAATAAAATAAAATAAAAATTAGCTGGGTGTGGTGGTGTGCTCCTATAGTCTCAGCTACTCAGGAGGCTAATATTGGAGGTTCATTTGAACCCAGTAATTTGAGGTTACAATGAGCTGCAGTCATGCCACTGCACTCTAGCCTGGTTAGCAGAGCAAGACCCGGTCTCTAAAATAAAAAATAAATATAAAATAATATTTCACTGATGAATATATGACTCTGAAAAAATACTTGATTATAGTTTCTTCAAATATACAATGAAAATGATAAATGTATATATATCACATGATTTTTGTGAGTAAAAATTTGTAAGTCAAGTAGGATGATACCTGGTACATAAATAGCCTTTAGTAGTAGATAGCATTATTATTTCATTTGTTTTTTATCAAATGATTATTGAAGAGAATAAACAAATATGAAATATAATTGAGTACTTTTATAATGTTTTTAAATACAAATTAATTATAAATCTTATGAGATTCTGCAATTATAAAATATTTTAAAAAGTAGCATCTAAATATTTAAACATATACATAACTTGTTAATACATGCATGGATAGAAATCTAAAAAAGAATTTATTTTACCCATATTTTAAAATGATCAGGAGATCAATTATACAGAAACATATTTTTTATAATGCTGATTTACACATAGTTAACATATAGTAACAATAATATTCAATAATTTGTTGATAGGTAAACATGTGATAAATACTATTCTAAGGGCTTATATCTTTTTATTTATTTACTTTTACTTTTTATTTTTTGAGACAGGGTCTCACTCTGTTACCCAGTCTTGAGTGAAGTGGTACGACCACAGTTTACTGCAGCCTTAACCTCCCAGGCTCAAGCAGTCCTGTCACCTCAGCCTCCTGAGTAGCTAGAACTACAGGCATGCACCACCATGCCTGGTTAATTTTTTAAATTTTTTGCAGATAACATGGTCTTGCTATGTTGCCAGAGGTGGTCTCCAACTCCCGGACTGAAGTGATCCTCCAACCTTGGCCTCCCAAAATGCAGGGGTTACAGTTGTGAGCCATGGCCCCAGGGCTCCTTTTATTTTATAATGAAAGATTAGCACATTTGATCTCTAGTACATATTATTTTCTCATGTTTCCAAATGAAGTGACTGAGATATTAAAAAGCTACAAAGATGATTGGGGAATTCATAATTCCAATTCAAGCAGTATGTCTCTAGGCCTATGTATCTTATATCAGATCACTCATGGATGTTAATTAACTACTCACACATTTGTTCCATTTTCAAGTTGAATTTTTTTTCCAAATAAATTCTTCATTTAAAAATAATTTCCAGGAGTGATATTAGTAAAACAGCAAACAAAAACTCTAAGTCCTCATTCCTTCATGAAAACATCAGAAACAAACAGAAATTGACTAACTATCCTTATAGGACCCTGGAAAACAGCCAAAGACCTATAGAAAGCAAGCAAATATTCAATCAAGAAAAGGCAAATTTTAAACAGTAGACAATTTTACAACATTTTTACTTGCTCTTTTCTTACCCAATTCTTGGCATGGCACAGTTCTGGTCTTGAAGGAGCAGTAAGGCAGTTTCAAATTCCCTCTCTCAAGCCAAAAGGAGCAAGTTATATTTCATTTGAGATGTTATAAACTGTCTGGGGACTGCCTGAAATACTTATCTCTGTCTCATCTAACTCAGATCTCAGTCAGGAGAACAAGGTGGCAATGATCAAGAAAGCTGCAGGGGCACTACAGACTCACAGATTCCTGGAGTAAGAGATTACAGGAAAAGCATTAAACAGACCATCTAAGCTCCAAGGAGAAGTTGGAATAAGACTTTTCTTGCAAATTAAATCATTCAAAAGCATGTATGTATGTAGGAGAATTGAAAAGTGACAAGCAGGCCCAGACGAGGCACATGCACGGAAAAATTCTCAGAAGACTTTAAGCTTTTTACTGTGGGCTTATCTCAAGGTGCAAAGTATGTCCAACATATCAGTAGAGGACTTCTCTGACAAAGAGACAAAATACAAAAATTAGAAAAGGTAGTTTATTTTTGTTTTGTTTTTTCCTCACACTCTCAATTTTTAACAACAGTAACCAAGAATCACAAAGCCTATAAAGAAATAGAAAAACACATTCCAAGAAACAAAATGAATTTCCAGAAACTATCAAGAGGAAACACAAGCATAAAACTTAACATATTTAGATTTCAAACAACTATCTTACATATGTTCAAAGAGCTAAAGAAAAACACAAAAAACTTAAAAAAAAACAGGAAAATAATATATATAAAAAAAAGAAATATCAACAAAAAGATAGAAATTTAAAAAAAAATCTGGAGCTGACAACACCATAACTGAGTTGAAAATTTTGTTAGAGGGAATCAAAGACAAATTTAAGCAAGATGAAGAAAGAATTAGCAAACCTGAGTACAGGACAATTGAAATGATTGAATCAGAGCAATAGAAAAAAAAAAGGAATGAGGAAAAGTGAACAAAGCTCAAGGAAATTGTGAGATATCAATAAGTGAACTGATATACACATTTAGGAATTTACAGAAAGAGAGAGAAGAAGAAAGATTATTCAAACAAATAATGGCCAAAAATTTCCCAAGTTTGATAAAATGCATAAATTTACAAATCCAATCTAAGAAGTACAATGAGCTACAAGTAGGATACACCTAAAGAGACCCACATCAAGACACATTGTAAGCATACTGTCAAAAACAAAAAACGAAGAAACTCAAAAGCAGTTAGGTTAACTGGGGTGACTACAACAGTATCAGACAAAATATACGTTAAAAGAGACAAAGAGAAACATATATTGATAAAATTGTCAATACACCAGAAAGATATAATAATTATAGACATGTGTGCATCAAACGTCAGACATTCAAAATGCATAAGCAAACATTGACAAAATAAATCAAGAAAAATATATTGTTCTACAAAAGTAGTCGGAGACTTCTATACTGTTCTAGCAATAATGGATAGAATGATCAGACAGAGATCAATAAATAAGTAAAAGACAAATAACAATGTAGACTAATAGAACTTAACATGTATACAGAACACTCACTTAATAATAGCAAAATATATACCTCTCTTAAATGCACATGAAACATACTCTAGAATAGATCATATGTCAGGACACAAACAAGTCTTCATAAACTCATAAATTGAAAAATAAGTCATAAAAATTATCTTTTTGTATACTATGAAATGAAAATAGATATCAATAACAAAAGAAAAATTAGAAATTCAAAAATATATGAGAATTAAACATACACTAAACAAGCAATGGGCGAAGAAGTCCCATGGGAACTTAGAAAATACTTTGAGATTAAGGAAAATGAAAATACAACATAAGGAAACTTATGGGATACAGCAAAAGTACTGCTAAGCTGGATATTCATGTCTAATAATACTTACATATAAAAGAAAAAAAAGATGTGAAATCAACAATGAAACCTTATACCTTAACCACTAGAAAAAGAAGATTAAAATAAATCCAAACAGAACAAAGAAAAGAGTAATGGATAGAGTGAAGATGAATAAAATAGAGAATAGAAAAACAAAAAAATCAATGAAATTAAAATTTGGTTCTTCAAAAAGATTAACAAAAATAACAAATTTTAGCTAGATTGAGCAACAAAGAGGAAATGTAAGCTCAGAAATGATAAAGGTAATATTAGAAACAAAAGTAGAGTCACTGTTACTGATTTTACAGAAATAAGGCTTAGAAGAGAGTATTATGAACAATTGTAAGCCAATGAACTAACTTCGATAATATGAACTGGAAATATACAAACTATCAAGACTGACTCACAAATAAATAGAAAATCTGTATAGACATAACTAGTAAGGAGATTGAACTGGTACTCCAAACATTTCCAACCAAAAAAAAAAAAAAAAAAAAAAGCCCTGGCCCTGAAGACTTCACTGGTGAATTATACAAAACATTTAAAGAAAAATTAACACCAATCATTTGCAAACTCTTCTTAATACATGAAGAGACACAAACACTTCATTCATTCATCCTGTGAGACAAGCATTATCTTGATACCAAAGCCAGAAAAGACATCCCATGATAATGGATTGGTTGAACTACTATTGTTAGGAGGGCAATACTACTCAAAATCTTCAGACTTAATTTGATCCTTATTGAAATCCCCAAAGTGTTTTTGCATAAATTAAAAAAATCAATACTAAAATTTGTATGAAATTTCAAAAGACTTTGAATAGTCACAACAATCTTGTAAAGGAAGAACAAAGTTGAAGAATTCACACTTCCTGATTTTAAGAATGACTCTTAATGCTACAATAATCAAAACAGTGTGGTACTGGCATAAAGAGAGATATAGAGACCTGTGGAGTTGAATAGAGAATGCAGAAATAAAATCTATACATAGTCAAATGATTTTTGAAAGGGATGCTAAGACTACTCAGTGCAGAATGAACCGTCTTTTTAACAAATTGTGGTGGGAAAACTAGTTATCCACATGTAAAAGAATAAAATTGGATCACAGCCTTATGCAACATACCAACATTAAATCAAAATGGATCAAAGACATAAACATGGGATCTAAAACTATAAAACACATTTAAAAATAGAGGAAATGGGCCGGGTGCGGTGGCTCACGCCTGTAATCCCAGCACTTTGGGAGGCCGAGGCGGGTGGATCATGAGGTCAGGAGATCGAGACCATCCTGGCTAACAAGGTGAAACCCCGTCTCTACTAAAAATACAAAAAATTAGCAAGGCGCGGTGGCGGGCGCCTGTAGTCCCAGCTACTCGGGAGGCTGAGGCTGGAGAATGGCGTGAACCCGGGAAGCGGAGCTTGCAGTGAGCTGAGATTGTGCCACTGCAGTCCGCAGTCCGGGCTGGGCGACAGAGCGAGACTCCGTCTCAAAAAAAAAAAAAAAAAAAAAAAAAAAAAAAAAAAAAAATAGAGGAAATGATAGATGATATTGGATTTGGAATAGCTTCTTTAATATGATGTAAAAAGCACAGGAAACAAAAGAAAAAATGAATAAATTATACTTCAAAATTTAAAAGAAATTGTGCAACAAAGGACACTATGAAGAACATGAAAATCGATCCATAGAGTGAAAGAAACTATTTTCAAATAATATACTTGATAAAATATTAATATTCAGAATATGTAAAGAACTCTTACAAGTCATCAACAAAGATAACAAATGGACAAAGAACAAGAATAGCTTTTTTCTTCTGAAGAAAAAATACAAAAACCAATAAGCACATGAAAAGATGCTCAATATCATTAATCATTAGGGAAATGCAAATCAAAACCACAATAAGTATCACTTCACAATCATTAGGACTGTAGTTATAAAAAGAGAAAGAGAGAGCAAGAGAAGTGGGGGAGTTGGAGGAGGGAAGAGAGAGAGAGGGAAAAAAGTGTTGGTGAAGATGTAGGAAAATTTGAACCCTACACATTGCTGGTGGGAATGTAAAATAGTTTCACACCTATGGAAAACAATATGGCAGTTCCACAAAATATTAAACCTGGAATTACCTTATTATCCAGCGATTCCATTTCTTTGTATATAACCAAAATAATTGAAACAACGGCTAAAACAGATATTTGTATAGCAATGTACATAGTAGCATTTTCACAATAGCCAAAAACAGGAAACCACCAAGTGTCCATTGACAAATAAATAAATCAAATGTGGTATATGCATACTATGCTACATTACTTAGTCTTGAAAAGGAATGAAATTATGATACCTGCCACAACATGGGTGAACTTTAAAAATATTTAGCTAAGCAAATGCTGGACATAAATATGACAATTATTGGATAATTCCACTTACATGAGATACGGAGAGTTATTTATTGGATATAAATTTTCAGTTTAGAATGATGAAAAAGTTCTGGAAATGGATGGCAGTGATGGGTGCAAAACAATGTGAATATACTTAATTCAACTGAATTGCACACTTGAAAAATGGTCAAAATGGTAAATAATCTTACGTTTTACCATAATTAAAACAAAACAAAACAAAAGTTTCTCTTCTGATGCTTCAAACAACATGTCAATTGAGTTGATATCATTTAGTCATATGTTCAAAATTAGCAAAAAGATCCTCAATTTTCAATATATCTGCTCATTTAGCTTTAAAGAAAATAAAGCAGAAAACAGCATTCAGCCCAATGACATTTGAAGGAGATGTCTCACAACGTCTTAGGGCAGCTTCTAGGCTCCTTCAATGCAAAGGACATGCTAAGTTGTAGGATAAGAGCTTATGACAGATGAGGATCCCTTCAATCCGTCTAAACATTCTCTTGATTTCTTACTCACCTTGTATTGTCCATTAGATAATTTGTATTGTCACATACCTCCAGTACAATTCATCGGTCAGAGGGTTAACAAAAACATGCTACTACAGAGGGTACAATACAGAGCTCCCAATTCACTAAACTCTGGGGAACGTTTTTAGAAGAAGAAAAATTCAGGGTCATATTTCAAATGTCTCTGGGTTTAGGGTATGTTTTCACACCAGCTGTTCACCCTTTATCTGCAGATGCTATTCCAGATGTTTGACTTTGCTATAGGTTGGATCCTCCAATTACAGCGCTAAACTTATAGCCCATAGAATATAATTTCACACTTGTTTTTGTAACGACATTTTAAATAGTTTTTGCTTGTCAGTAACCAAATGAATTAAATAAGCCAGAACTAGTCACCAAATAAAGGAAATTCACAAAAGGAGGGCAGGTGCTGTGTGGTTGGATCAGGTGCCCGTCATAAATGAGTTTCAGACAGGTAGGAAGATAGGCTGAAAGAAGGGAAGAACAGGAAGACATCATAGCAGGCAACAAAAAACTGTACAGACAGGTGGACCTTTTAAGTCAGTGTTTCAGGTAGAAACACTGGTTGGCAGAATAACAAGATGTGGCAGAAGAACTTGGCAGCAGTTAGTTTAATGAATCTTGGACACTACACAGCAGGTAAGAGTTAGTAAGGATAAGTTCATGGGTCTGGGATTCTGAAGAAGGATCTGGGAATACTAATCTGTGTAATAGAGAGTCTTTGCTTCAGAGGGACAGGGACTAATGCTGGGACTCTTGCAATACCTACAATATTTACTAATCACTACCAATGCTGAGATGCTTGCAATATCTACAATGCTTGCAATATCCACAATATTTACTAATCACTACCAATGCTGAAATGCTTGCAATCTCTTCAAGAAAAAAGACAAATCAGAAAACCAACTTCTAGAACTGAGGCATGAGTCAAAAAGATCATCCATATACAATTAATGCTTAGTAGATAGATAGGCTACAGACTTGTAGTATTCTAAATTCTCCCTAATAGGAAGGGATTTGTTTTCAAGTTAAGAAGAGGCTCCTTAACTTGGAGTTCACACATCCCAATTGTGGTACTAATCTAGACCTTGTATTTGTATGGAGTGTGCTTCCAATATTGCTACCCTGTTGAAAGAGGAGAAAGGAAGAAACTGGACAGAAAGGCAGTTAGGGTGGGTCCTCAGTTGAATTCTTTCCAACAAAAGAACAGCCTGTAGGCACAGATAAGGGAACTTGCACAGGCAGCTTGCCTAAGACATGTCCACAGCTGCACGATAAGAAAGGATGACTTGGCCAGACATGCCCACAATGGAAAATTCCATCCCCTGACACACATGCGCAATAAGCGGAACAAAGCAATGTGGAGTAACTCAAGCTAAGGGCCTGCATGAACACTAGGAGGACAGGGTGGAGCTACCAGAAATTTGTGCCTTATGCAAATAAGACATCCAGCTCTCATTGGTTTCTTATAAAAGCTTTTGCATTCGACTGTAAAAACGGCAACCCTCTTCTGGGTCCCCTCTCCGTGGTGGAAAGCTTTCTTCTTTCACTGTTAAACTTTCACTCCAACCTCACCCTTAGTGTCCACTCTCCTTAACTTTCTTGGTCGTGAGACAAAGGACTCTGGCAATGAGAGACTACTACATTGCAGTGCATTGGCGAGACTGTAACCCTGTTATTAGTACTTGGTTATCTTTAACTTCTCTTCTGTGTTCACGGTCTCCCTCACTGAACTGACTGACTATTCAGCAAGATCTAATTGCTGATTCTTGAGCGAACTCAAAAAGAAAGAATGTACATGTTGGTAATGTGAGATAAGGTATACTGTCATATACTGCTCATAGTACAAGTAAGTGAAGCAATATTTTCAGAGGGCAGTTTGTCAATATCTACCAATTTTAAAATTCCTGTTTAATCTGAAAATTTAACACCTAAGAATTTTTCCTGAAGATTTTTGTAACTGCCCGAGGGGTTCACTTTGCCTGCTGCCTAGACAAAGCCAATTCATCAAGACAGGAGAATTGCAATAGAGAAAGGGTACTTCACGCAGAACCGCCTGTGTAAATATTGTAGATATTGCAAGAGTCCCAGCATTAGGGAGACTCAAATAAGTTTCCCTAAGCATTCAGGGAGCAGAATTTTTAAGGATAACTTGGTGGGCTGGGGGAAGCCAGTGAGCCAGGAGTGCTGATTGGTCAGGGATGAAATCATAGGAAGACAAAGCTGTCTTCTTGTGCTGAGTCAGTTCCTGGGTGGGGTCACAAGATCAGATGAGCCAGTTCATTGATCTGGGTGGTGCCAGCTGATCCATCAAGTGCAGGGTCTGCAAAATATCTCAAGCACTGATCTTAGGAGCAGTTTAGAGGGGGTCAGAATCTTGTAGCTTCCAGCTGCATGACTCCTAAACCATAATTTCTAATCTTGTGGCTAATGTTAGTCCTACAAAGGCAATCTAGTTGCCAGGCAAGAAGGAGGTCTGCTTTTGGAAAGGGGTGTTACCATCTTTATTTAAACTATCAACTGTAAACTAAGTTTCTCCTAAAGTTAGTTTGGCCTATGCCCAGGAATGAACAAGGACAGTTTGGAGGTAGAAGCAAGATGGAGTCAGTTAAGTTAGATCTCTTTCACTGTCTCAGTCATAATTTTGCAAAGGCGGTTTCAATGTTGCAAAGATACAGGTCAAGAAATATTACATGCAAATTTATTTGTTACCACCAAAAATTAGAGATATTTTATATAGTTGTTATGATGATTAAATATGTTAATATTTATAAATTGTTTAGAATAAAGTCAGGCATATAGTCAAGGTTTAGTTAATAAAATACGCATTGCCCTTAAAAGCAGAGTGATTACTAAATATTTACTTATTTAAACAATAAAATATAAGATGATCTTAAAAGTAATGAGACAGATATTTCATAAAGATATAATACTGAGTAGAAAAACAATTTACAAAACCATGCATGGTGTGATTCTGTTTTTATAAAACACACACACATAAATAAAATAGGAATACAACATATAAATATGTAACAGATGTACAATATACTATGAAATATATTTTTACTATTTATTTTAATAAATTACCATACAATTAGGTATTGTACTTGAAATTATTGCCGGGCACGGTGGCTCACGCCTGTAATCCTAGCACTTTGGGAGGCCAAGGTGGGCAGATCACCTGAGGTCGGGAGTTTGAGACCAGCCTGACTAACATGGAGAAACCCCATCTCTACTAAAAATACAAAATTAGCTGGGTGTGGAGGCACATGCCTGTAATCCCAGCGACTTGGGAGGCTGAGGCAGGAGAATTGCTTGAACCTGGGAGGCGGAGGTTGCAGTGAGCCGAGATCAAGCCATTGCACTCCAGTCTGGGCAACAAGAGCAAAAACTCCGTCTTAAAAAAAAAAAAAAAAAAGAAAAAAGATATTATTAACCAATTTTAAGATAAGGACAATGAAGAAAATTCCTAGCATTGCTTTCATTTCTCCAAAGGGCTAAGAGGAAAAGACTATGCGTGCTTTGCTTATAATGCACAGTTAGAGTGGTACTAGATGATTCTCACTGAACCTTAGAAAAACCAGAAACTTTAGAGCTTTAAAGAGTAGCATTCCAACACAGAAGAAACAGTCTGTGAGGTTGTTGGGAACAACTATTAAAATCAAAACATTTGCCATTATCTCCAAAGCTGATGACAGAAAAAAACTCAAGGTTTCTGAAGACACTCCCATGTTATTAGCAAAAGAAACGAGAAAAAAAAAGGTTAGAGAATTTCCTGGATGAAAAAAATTGATCGTTGGGTTGATACAGAGGTGTTTGCGCGAGCATCTGAGATTGAGGAGTCCTGAAAAATCCTGTCTAATTTCCCACTTGTGATGGTTAATATTAAGTGTCAACTTGATTGGATTGAAGGATACAAGGTATTGTTCCTGGGTGTGTCTGTGCAGGTATTGCCAAAGGAGATTGATATTTGAGTCAGTGGACTGGGAGAGGCAGACTCACCCTCAATCTGGATGGGCATCATCTCATCAGCTGCTAGTGCAGCTAGGACAAAAGCAGCCAGAGGAATGTGGAAGGACTAGACTGGTTAAGTCTTCTGGCCTCTATCTTTCTTCCATGCTGGATGCTTCCTGCTCTCGAACATCAGACTCCAAGTTCTTCAGCTTTTGGAATCTTGGTGTTACACCAGTGATTTGCCAGGGGTTCTCGGGCTTTTGGCCACAGACTGAAGGCTGCACTGTTGGCTTCCTTATTTTGCAGGCTTTGTGACTCTGACTGGCTTCCTGGCTCCTCAGCTTACAGATGGTCTACTGTGGGACTTCACTTTGTGATTGTGTGAGTCACTTCTCTTAATAAACTCCCCTTCATTTATTCATCTATCCTATTAGTTCTGTCCCTTTAGAGAATCCTGACTAATGCATTCCCTATTTATTAAGTTTTCTTTGTTGAAGCCCTGCCTCTTCAAAGAAAATTTTCTTTATATAAAGTCCACAGTGAAAGTCAGTTTTCCAATTTTAGTTTTCCCTGACACCTACTAATATTGACTCTTCTACTACAGCACTTTTTCATCTCACATCTCTAAGTTCTGTATTATTTCCTAATTGTGTATATAAAACTTAAATTGATTGCCCCCATCTTCCCAAATAAACTGAAAACTGCTTCGAGTAGTACCTTAAATTATATTTCACATCTTCATTATAGTTACTAAGAACAACACTTGGCATATTAGAGTTTTTCTGTAAATCCTAACTAAACGAGTAAACAAAACTCTGTTTTAATGTGATTGACAAGAGGGACAGAGGGCCCAACCATACTGCTGAGTGGTATGACAATTATGATTTGTACTATTTTTTTCACCATAATAATCACTAGAATTTTAACTCAATTAGAAATCTAATTATTCATAATTGAAAAGCTTGCTGTCCGTTAACTTACTCATCTGAATATATTCAGATTTCTCCAGTGTGTTATTTTTATTCTCACAATTTTGGCCTGGAAAAAATGTTTCATATGGTGCAATTAAGCGTCCCCCTCTGGGTGGTAAAGTCTCATTTGTACATGTGGTTTCTATGTCAAGAAACTTTCAAGCTTTGCCACCCAATTCTGAGATTTTCCAGAAAAAGTGGTAAAGTGGTTTCAAATGTTTTTATTTCCGCTGGAAAGTTATTACAACTTCTTGTGAATGACAGGAAACTATAACTACCACTAAATATTCAGAAAAAATGTTATGGGGCAATTAAGTAAAATTAAAGTACATCTTAAAAAAAACCCAAATGTTAATAAGACAGATTTAAAATTCAGCTCAGGTAACGATCAGAGTCAAAGTAATGTTAAGTGCTAAGAGCTTTATCTATGCAAATATCTGTCCTTTAGAAATGAATGAAAGCTACAAATAAGCAATAAATAGTTTTAACTCCACTCACTGTTATTCACTTTTAATAATGTAACACAATTTGTATTATTGTCTTAGAACTCAGTTCTTAAAAACAGGTATTTAGCAGCCCATGCTTTCACTTCCTATTACACTTTGCTACTCCAATTGCTTCAAGATTCAGTACCTTCCTCAAAAATAACTCTTCAGAAGTCACAATGAGTCTAGGGTAATTGTATCTAATGGTTCCACAATGATCTGAATTATATCTCTAAGGCAACTTTGCTCTTTGATGCCGGCTTTCAATCGCATTTCCTTGGCTTCCTACATCAGTAGTTTTTAAGAACTCACATTTTCCCACAAGATTTAATGACCTCTAAGTCTACTTATGAGAAAAATAGAATATTTCTAACTTTTGGCTAACTGTTTAGAACAGTATGAAAGATACTTGAGAAATTGAAATCAATGATAAATAAAAATACTTGATTAGGTTTAGTTTTTAGATTAAAAATTCTAGATTTCATTGCTGATATGATATGGTAATATTAAACTGGAAGGTAAGATTGTGTTTTTAAACTTCTGGGTTCCCTTTTTATTTTACTTCTAACCCCTCTACCTCAGCATAGTATTTTATCCTCAGTGGCCACATGTGTATGGTAGACAGATACAGAAGGTGTGTGTAAGAATCACTTACATTTAGTGAATCTTAAGTATGTTTTGCTCTGACCCTGTAGTTTACAATATTAAAGACAGGTCAATTGTCACTCGATTATATCTTAGAATGACCACCCTCTATTCATATTTTTAAGTGAAATAAAATACAGAAGTATTTTGATTCTCATAATCTTTTGCTAGCTTAGATGTTCATGAAACTGCTTTGCAAAAATTATAACAGAAAATTATGACGGTGAAAAATATCAGACCTAATTGACACCATCTTGCTTCTCACCTCTAAACTGTCCTTGTTCATTCCTGGATGTAGGCCAAACTAACTCCAGGAAGGAATTTAGTGTATAGTTTAAATAATGGCCCTTCCCCAAAGGCCAAACTATTCTTGTAAAACAACTGAAAGGCCACCAACCACCAATTCAAGATGAGAGGGGCTGGAATTCTAAATATTACCAGCCATTATTCCAGAGGTTGTGAGATTTGTAATTTCCCCAATTACTCTTGAAGGTAACATCATTATTGTGAATGTCTTTTCAGGTTTTTATATTTCTAACAATCGAGTGGCTCCACCTGGACCTGCCAACCAGTTCCGTGGCCCCACTCAGGAACTCACTCAGCAAAAGAGAACAGCTGTGACGCCCTGTGATTTCATCCCCAAGCCGACAATCAGCACAGCACTCCCGAGTCACTGGCCCCCTACCCACCAAATTATCCTTAAAAACTCTGATCCCCAAGTTTTTGGGGAGACTGATTTGAGTAATAATGAACCTCGAGTCTCCTACACAGCCGGCTCTGCTTGAATTACTCTTTCTCTATTTCAATTCCCCTGTGTTGATAAATAGACTCTATCTAGGCAGTGGGCTAGGTGAGCCCCTTGGGCAGTAACATACATACCGGACAATGTAATCATTATTCTAAACTAGTTTGTTTTTGGTGGAAGTGTGTGGGTGTGTGTTCTAAAGTTTATTAACAAATAATTAATAAATAGCCTCCAGCACCATATGCATTGCATACTTGTAGAAGTAGATCTGGATATTGTTAGAACTCACCCTTAAATAAGTATGGGATTCTATTTTTTTTTTTAAAGTAGAAAAGTTAAATACAAACATAAGCATCTATTTAAAGTAGAAAAGGAAATATAATGAAATGCAAATTTTTAAAAGTGTGATTTCTGTGAAATTCAGAAAATAATAGTTTTTTCTATTTGTACCTAATACACTTGTAAAATATTTCTTTTGCATTTTTAAATTGTGCATCTTTGGTTGCCTCTAGAAAAAACTATTATTTTAATATGCTTTTTTCCTAAAGAGAATATAAGTATAGTTCAGTCTTTCTTCTTCTATAATTGATTGAATTTTATTATTATTATTGATAGTTGGGATTCATGAGCTTCTCACACAGAGACACTTCGTGCTTGTAGTACTACTATAGGTTTTGGCCCACAAACCCATAAATTGTAATAAGTTCTACTGTTTGAGATTTCCTATAAAAAATAAAAATAATGCTTTGTGCATTTAAAATTACATATTACTTGTCTATATTTTACACAGAATTTATACTTTTAGTTGACATTGTTAAAAGCCTAATCCTTTGCTTTAATGTCTGTACATTTGATGATACAAAAAATGTTTTATAAAGCAGCTTATGGTTTCATGCATTTCAGACCTTACTTCATCTGTACTTTTTGCTTATTCCTGAGGATATCTACTACTGTGGGCAAAATGACTTCCAGCCCTGCACCTTTGGGTCTTGATGCTGGGAGGGGAGTGGTCCTCAATGTAAAAGGTGGGCATAGTCCTGGAAGCCAAGTCTACTCTTGGACAGCTGCTTACTACACTCAACTCAAGCACAATGTTCTCAATGCAATATTCCTTAGTTAAATCTTAAAAATCCCTGTGGTCATATTGCACGGGTAGATAGAAGAGGAGTGCAGCATTGTAGAAATGATAGTAGAAGGAGCAATAACTTAACCGAGTGAAAGAAAAATATCTTAATTTTGTAAATTTGGCAAACACATGACATGTGAACATATTTCCAGGCTTACCTCAGAATCCGGAAAGAAATGTATGAAAGTGAGTTTTATTTTAAGTCTGAGCATACACAATGTTTTAAGCACTTGGCTGGCCACTTCACCTATAGTGTCTCATTTCATTTTCTCAAATAATCTTGACCTTTTGGAGGTATTTCTGTGATAGGAGTTATTAACAAATTATTTTAGGCAGATAGGAAAAAAGGGGCTCCTTGGAAGATTTTTCCCAGCTCTTGTCCAGCATGAAAGCCCTGGCTCTTAGACCCAGGCAGGCAACCTTTGATATGCAAATGCAAGCCGCTAGAAACTGGGTCCACCCAACGTGGTGATTCCCGCCGTTTTCCTCTTGCCCTTGTCCCTACATGTGCCTGGCAGCATGGCCACCCCCACATATCCTCACAGGTGGAAAATCATGGCGCCCTGCATTTGCATATTAAAAGGCTAGGGTGGGAGGGCCAGTTTTTTCCGCAGGCTGCATGAATGACATGCCTGGTCAAACCAATCCACTGAGCCCTATGCAAATCAGACACCGCCTCCTCCAGCCATCAAATATAGCTGGCTGATAATACCTAAGTGTGGGGTGCCTTCTTTCGGCTTTGGAACCACCCTCCCTCTGTCTCTGTACTGGGGAGCCTCTTCCTTCTGCCCTCCTCCCTTCTTTCTTGCCTATTAAACTCCCTGCTCCTTAAAACTACTCCACGTGTGTCCATGTCGTTTTTTCTAATTCTACTCAAGACGAAGAACCTGGTATTCTTCTACTCATCAGAGCTGTATCATCTCTACTTTACATATAACAAGCCAAACACTCAACTAAGTTATATGATTCTCCAAGATTCTATGAGTAGTAAATGACTACACCGGGACTGTATTTCTCCAAAACCCATATTAGGCTCTTTACATAAATGAGTCACAGACATTGGTTGGCAGAGCAATTGCTGTCACATAAAAATTTCTGAGCCTCATCTCAATAGTCTCAGGTAGTTCTAATGTAGGTAGCCTGAGGACAACCCACCAAAAAACATTGCTTTTATCATGCTGCTCTGATACACTTGAACCCCTTAATGCTCATTAAAATTAAATATGAACCAAGTATTCACTTAACTACTTAAAAACTTTCACTAGTAAACTTGACCTAAGATTAAAAATTCTTGATCAGAACTTGAATTCAACCAAGAAAAAAGAAAAAAAAAAGAAAGAAAATAAAAGGATTTCAAAGAGATCGGAAAGAATCTTGATTCAGGTTTTTGAAAATATTTTGTCTTGTGCTTTAAGCAACCTTAGTGTCAATATCAGGTATACATAATTAAGTTAGCCTTCAAACATTTTATCTTACCCTTTTAGCTCTTATATACATAAACTGTCTCCCTGTTGACCGCGAGGCAAGTCTTCAATTATTTCTGAGTCCTGTGCCTGGCATACTTGGAGAAGCTGACTCTAGACAGTAGTCTTCACTTCAGTTAAGTGGGTGATTCTGGGAGACAACAGAAGGCAACTGCAAGAGGGCACGCCGACAAGATCATTAAAAGGGCTGTGAGAGTCCATGAATGAGAAAAGCTAGGGACCAAGACAGGTATCTTTTACTTGTGCTGTATGTACAGGGCTCAGTCACTACAGTAAGTATTTCTGTGCTGTTTCCCTTTATTTTTAACTGGGGGAAGAGGAAGTAAGGGGGCTAATCAGGACTAGCTATAGACATATTTGGCTGGCAGTGGAAAATTACAGAAGCACTTCTGCCGTCACCTGGCCATGGTGTTTTTTGACATAGATGAAAAGAGCCCAGGGATCTGTCTAAAGAACTGGTAGAAATGCTCTCTTTTTAAGACCAAGCAAATTCATTCACACATGCTATTTTTTTGAAATGTATTTTCATGTTATTAAAATTCTCATAATCATTACTAAAAGCAGTTAAGTGTTTCTTGTCCTCTAGTCAGATTTAGTAGTCAATTAAAAATATATGACCTTACAAAACAGAACTATCTCTCCTTAAAAAACAACAACAACAACAAAATATATATATATATATATATATATATAGAGAGAGAGAGAGAGAGAGAGAGAGAGAGAGAGAGAGAGAGAGAGAGAGAGAGGAGAGCAATGGCCATTTTGCATACAGCAAATACAAATTTCAACAAACCAGATTAGAGAACCTATATCCCATCTTTTGAGTCTGGTGAATTTTTGCCCAAAATATTAAATGAGGCTGAGAATTATGATTTTTTTTTCTACTAGAGTATACTATAATTCTGTCTGGTTCCCACTGAAGTTTACATGCCTAGTTAATCCAAAGTAAGCATGACCCTAGTGAAAAACATTTTTAAAAAAGAATAGAAAGAAAAAATGCCCACAGCAAATTGGGCTATTTGGACAAATAACTACCTATTTGACGAGATAAGATCCTAAACCTACAGATTCAAAGTAGTTACAAACAAAGCTCCCACACAAATATATTCTGTAGTTAATATACTCTACTGATGCCCACACGGGGTTCAATTTTCTATACAGTATTGCCATATAAGATGGGTTTTGAAAATTCACAGAGTTGGTTTTTCAAACATCCCCTGCTTTGTCAAGTTTAATTTATAGGAGTAAACCCCAAGCATGGACCAGAATTAAACAACATTTATTTGGCACTAAATTCAGCAATACATACAAAGGCAAACAGCATGCACATACATTTCCACAAGGGGTAGGAGCACCTGCTCTCCACCTACAATATAGACTACTTGAAAAGCAGGTCGAGGATACAGAATGTGATTTACAGCTGACTACATCAATTTAATGCATTTGTTTCCTTGGGAGGAAAGAGAGTTGAGTGCAGTTAAAATAATAGTTTTTCAGTGTTCTTCAAACTAAAACACTAAAGGTCCTTTTAGCAATGCCTATCTGACTTTCAAAAGTAATCAAGGCATCATCAACAAATATTATTGAAAAGCTACCATGAGCTCATTGTGGTGGGAAAATTATATTCTGTCCAAATAAGAAGCTTCTGGAAAAAAATTGTTTAATCTTTATATGATTCAAATTCTCAGAATTGTTTAGGTGGATTAAAAAACAGAAGAACCTGCTAGGTGGTTAATTTAAAAACTAAACAAACACATACATCAGCAAACAGATTCGCTAATGACTTTGTCCTTATATAATTCCCTTAATTTTGGAAGTTCTCCGTTCCCTCTCTAGAAAGGAAGTAGTTGTCAGAGATTAATGTTTTCCAAAAACTTGCTTGGTAAAACATTAATGCATTCTTCGATATGCTAATAAATATTTTGTAAAAATAAGTACATGAATATAAGAGATGTATGGAGTTTTAGCTAAAGAAGAGAAACATTGAGAAAATGAAGCTGAATCTTTTTCATTACAATTAGACATCTAAAAACCTTAAGTATACTAATATACATTTTAACTCTTTTAGAAATATTTAGTTTCTCATATTAGTCCCATGAACGATATGAGTACAATCATACTGATGAGTTTTTAAGAGTCCCTTCCAGCTTTTATAAAGCATAAACTTATAAAATCTCAGGCCAGTGGTTTGGCTTTATAGGAAATTGCTTATCCTGCTTTTTGAAAGTAATCTAAGTTTGTTCCACGTCAAGGTGAATGCAAGGAAAATGGAATGACTAATTGATAAACTGGAAGAATTAATTCACTCTGAGAAAATGCAACATAATTCTGTAGTATGCTTTGTTTCCTCAATTAAATATAAATTAGATTTATTTTTAAATAACCTGTATCACTTTTGAGCATTCTACCTGTGATGTATCATTTCTCAGCTTAATTAAACTATAATGTGTAAAGAATACGTACACTTTGGTGATTTAACACTTGGTATTGTAATTCTTTCGACAGCTACAAAAATAAGACTGATGAATGAGTCAACATAAACTAATTTTGATGTTAAGCAAAATACAAACTACCATTAATCACCACATTATGCTAATCATGATAATGATACTTGATATTTTATATTGAACTTTGACTTATGTGTTAGGTGCTATGTTAAAAGTTTTAGACATATTACAATTTCAATCTTTTCACATACCCTAAGAGATAAACAGAATTTTTATAATGAAAAAAACAAGGTTTATAAATGTTAAGATACTTTACCAAAGTCATATACCTAATGAGTTATGTTATAGGGACTTGATATCTGCTGAGCCATTTCTTAATTAAGAATGTTGTACTTCAAACACACATAATAATCTGACACATTTTAATAACACACATTCTGACTATGATGCTTTGTGGCAATGAGGCATAAGTGGAAAAAGTTTTCCTCTGAATAGATATAAATTGGAATAATGTTTTTAAAGTCAAATTTCACGAATTTTTAAACCTTCTGAAAGCATTATCTTCTATAACTGGTGCATTCACAAATTCTCTTACATTCACATGAATGGAGTAAGATGTGAATAAAACTTGTCAACACTTTTCTTCTCTATCTCCTTGTGGCCTACAGCCACTTTGGGCTTTGGGTTTTAGGTGTTCTGGGTTTCAGAAGCTGAAAGCAATAAAGTCTTATTGCAGAAGAAATAAGAAGTTTCTCCTATAGATATCTACTATAACAAGGCAGGTCCTAGGAATGATGGCGACAGTGAGGATTGACTAATCTGTTCCCGTCAGTTCTCAGACCCTGTCATTAAGCAGCTACAGTCAATCCACTGAGGCTTGGCCCCAAGGAAGAATGGCATTACCAAAAAAAAAAATTGAAGAAACAGCCTGAAAATGCTATTCTTATGACTCATTCAATACAGCTTGTGTACTAGAGCATTGGTACATGTATAGTAATTTCAAGATTAGCAGCACAGTAAGGATTTTTATTTAACTCTCTGATGATGCCTAAACTCATTTTCATTGGAAATACTAAACTGTTATATTTCACAATTAGAGATAAGGTACAGAAATCAAAATATCTAAGTATAAAGAAAACATATCAACCCTAAATTTTTATCCTGGAAAAATAAACATGTCAGAAATCTCCAAGTGTAAATGATGCAACAGATCCCTTAAATAGTAGGATACTGTGAACCTAGAGACGTAGCTTTAAACCTAAGCACCTTCATGTTTTACCCATAGTCAGTCTTTCTTATTTAAAAATATAGAATTTGTGTATTATTGTCATTCTTCAGGGTGGAGCATTATTGAAAGTTTTCAGTAACACTGACATCACTAATTCATTATTACTTTCATAAAACCTCAATATAAAAAGACTTTACATATTTGAGAATTTGTTTCTAACCCCTCTGGCTCATATTCTGACTCAAAGCTTTAAAATTTGCCAAAAGGATTTCAGGTATCAGGGAAGATTGTATGACGTGTTTCTAAAAATATACGTGTATAACAATGACCTGAGAAGCTTGTTAAAACGTTGGTTCCCAGGTCCCAGCCTAGTTGTGGATCAGTGATTTGTTAGATCTTGAGAGATACCTGGTGGCATTCATTTTAAACAAGTACTCCAGGTGAGTCAGTCTAGGGTGTAGGAGCCACAGATAACACTTAAAGAAATGCTATTCTAGGGGTGCAGAAAGAGGATGCAGAGAACCACTTTGGCTTCGGTACTATTATGTGAAAAGTATTGTTGATCTAGAACCCAAATTAGATTAAGAAAATATGTAAAGTGAATGGCATTACAGCTGCATTGTATAAGGGTTCTCCTGAGTCACTTGACGCCTGTTATTTACCTGGTATAATACTATTATTGTCTCGAAGCTCTCTACAGATGGAAGTTAGCTTGTATTCAATTAAAACAACCTTTTCTGCTCCCTCTAAAAACAGTGCAGAATGTTACAGCAAAACAATCTATTGCATAAAAGCCAACAATATTTCTGTGAGGGGAAAACTATTAGAATTTTTAATGAGCTGCAAGAAACGTATGTAAAGGAGTCTAGCAGATACAATACATTTAATTTTTTTAAAGGACTTTTAAACATTCGATACTCAAAGCTATGAAAATAAAGACATTTTTCTAGTATTGGAGGGAACTCATATACTATATAGAACATTGGATTAAAAAAAGAAAGCAAAACACAATGGTAAATTAAAAGTATAAAAAGGGACCGGGCGTGGTGGCTCATGCCTGTAATCCCAGCACTTTGTGGGAGGCTGAGGCAGGTGCATCACATGAGGTCAGGAGTTCAAGACCGGTCTGGCCAACATGGCAAAGCCCCATCACTACTAAAAATACAAAAAATTAGCCAGGTGTAGCGGCGGGTGCCTATAACCCCAGCTACTTGGGAGGCTGAGGCAGGAGAATTGCTCAAACGCAGGAGGCGGAGGTTGCAGTGAGCAGCGATTGTGCCATTGCACTCCAGCCTGGGTGACAGAAAGAGAATCTGTCTCAAAAATAAATAAATAAATAAATTAATTAATTAAATAAAATAAAAAATAAAAGTATACAAAGGGAAAACAAATATGAAATATACTGGTCTTTATATTACCTGGCAAAGAGAATATACAGTAAATGTCAAGTTTAAGAAAGAAACACAAATTTTATATCTCATCAAATTATTTCTCTCCTTTGTAACATAGATTACATACATTGGCTAGTGTTTACAAATGTCTCCAGAACAAAATTTTGCCTATAAAATAAAGTAAGTAGAAATGTATATTTATAAAATCTTGACTAAGTCTTTTTATGCTGATCACTGTTCTTCAAAATAAATCCCCACATATGGTAAATCTGTCTTTTTTTTTTTTATTTTTTTTTTATTTTTATTTTTTCTTTTTTTTATCATACTTTAAGTTTTAGGGTACATGTGCACATTGTGCAGGTTAGTTACATATGTATACATGTGCCATACTGGTGCGCTGCACCCACTAACGTGTCATCTAGCATTAGGTATATCTCCCAATGCTATCCCTCCCCGCTCCCCCGACCCCACCACAGTCCCCAGAGTGTGATATTCCCCTTCCTGTGTCCATGTGATCTCATTGTTCAATTCCCACCTATGAGTGAGAATATGCGGTGTTTGGTTTTTTGTTCTTGCGATAGTTTACTGAGAATGATGGTTTCCAATTTCATCCATGTCCCTACAAAGGACATGAACTCATCATTTTTTATGGCTGCATAGTATTCCATGGTGTATATGTGCCACATTTTCTTAATCCAGTCTATCATTGTTGGACATTTGGGTTGGTTCCAAGTCTTTGCTATTGTGAATAGTGCCGCAATAAACATATGTGTGCATGTGTCTTTATAGCAGCATGATTTATAGTCATTTGGGTATATACCCAGTAATGGGATGGCTGGGTCAAATGGTATTTCTAGTTCTAGATCCCTGAGGAATCGCCACACTGACTTCCATAATGGTTGAACTAGTTTACAGTCCCACCAACAGTGTAAAAGTGTTCCTATTTCTCCACATCCTCTCCAGCACCTGTTGTCTCCTGACTTTTTAATGATTGCCATTCTAACTGGTGTGAGATGATATCTCATAGTGGTTTTGATTTGCATTTCTCTGATGGCCAGTGATGATGAGCATTTCTTCATGTGTTTTTTGGCTGCATAAATGTCTTCTTTTGAGAAGTGTCTGTTCATGTCCTTTGCCCACTTTTTGATGGGGTTGTTTGTTTTTTTCTTGTAAATTTGTTTGAGTTCATTGTAGATTCTGGATATTAGTCCTTTGTCAGATGTGTAGGTTGCGAAAATTTTCTCCCATGGAATCCAGGAGCTGGTTTTTTGAAAGGATCAACAAAATTGATAGACCACTAGCAAGACTAATAAAGAAAAAAAGAGAGAAGAATCAAATAGGCACAATAAAAAATGATAAAGGGGATATCACCACTGATCCCACAGAAATACAAACTACCATCAGAGAATACTACAAACACCTCTACGCAAATAAACTAGAAAATCTAGAAGAAATGGATACATTCCTCGACACATACACTCTCCCAAGACTAAACCAGGAAGAAGTTGAATCTCTGAATAGACCAATAACAGGCTCTGAAATTGTGGCAATAATCAATAGTTTACCAACCAAAAAGAGTCCAGGACCAGATGGATTCACAGCCGAATTCTACCAGAGGTACAAGGAGGAACTGGTACCATTCCTTCTGAAACTATTCCAATCAATAGAAAAAGAGGGAATCCTCCCTAACTCATTTTATGAAGCCAGCATCATTCTGATACCAAAGCCGGGCAGAGACACAACCAAAAAAGAGAATTTTAGACCAATATCCTTGATGAACATTGATGCAAAAATCCTCAATAAAATACTGACAAACCGAATCCAGCAGCACATCAAAAAGCTTATCCACCATGATCAAGTGGGCTTCATCCCTGGGATGCAAGGCTGGTTCAATATACGCAAATCAATAAATGTAATCCAGCATATAAACAGAGCCAAAGACAAAAACCACATGATTATCTCAATAGATGCAGAAAAAGCCTTTGACAAAATTCAACAACCCTTCATGCTAAAAACTCTCAATAAATTAGGTATTGATGGGACGTATTTCAAAATAATAAGAGCTATCTATGACAAACCCACAGCCAATATCATACTGAATGGGCAAAAACTGGAAGCATTCCCTTTGAAAACTGGCACAAGACAGGGATGCCCTCTCTCACCGCTCCTATTCAACATAGTGTTGGAAGTTCTGGCCAGGGCAATCAGGCAGGAGAAGGAAATAAAGGGTATTCAATTAGGAAAAGAGGAAGTCAAATTGTCCCTGTTTGCAGGTAAATCTGTCTTATATATGATCACGATGCAACTAGTTAGATGATTAAATATTCTATTCAAATGCTGAATATATAGTTAGAATCAAACTGATCATTAGTCATGTAGGAAACAAGAATGTTGGGTGGAGTCTGTTGAAATACCACATAGGAATAGACTGTCATCCAAACACTTTCTATTCTACAAAATAAATAATATGCTAATTAAAATGAAGTTAAGAAATACAATACTTGGATCAGGTACTGAATTCCTTTATTTTGTAGTCTACGATGAGCTCATTGGTTCTATTATCAAGTCTACCAAAATCTTAAATTATTAAGTGAGTCATGTACCTAGAGGAATTACTTGCTCATGAATTACCGAAACTTGATTGCATTAGTAACAAATTCATTTAACTGTTGTATTTCAGGCCCAACCTTAACAAAATCTATGGTGCAGAGATAGACCTGCTGCAGTTACAGATTTATTGATAGAGATTTAAGAGGTCTCTGCTGTATTTAAATTACTTTATATACATTTAACGCATTTGCGCTAATTAAAAAATAAGGCTTCACTTTCTTGCGTCTCCCTGTGTATATGCTGGGGCCATTTAGCTCAAAAGAGAAAGATCAAGTGACAGATCAAATGAAAATGTTAAAAAATAAATTATATACTTTAAGTTGCTGTCTCTGAATTTAGAGTTGCTATCAGATTAAAGCTGAAATTTTACTGAATTAATCCTGATGTTCTGTGTATTCATCTCCCAAGTCAATTATACCTTACATGTAGATAATGGTTAAAGCAGACTAGGAGACATATGGGTTTCAATTAGCTCTGACCAAAGGGAAAATACCCATTGTCAGGTTACTCAACTGATTTGTAGAGTCAGCTGAGACTGTGAAATGTTAGTCCACTGCTTTATCTCAAATTAATTTACTTCTCAGTTTAAACCTAAGATTTTTCCAGAATAAGAGACAATAAGACAAACTCTTCATTCATCTTTGAAAACAACAAAGATGGGCTTGGATTTTGACCTAATCATTCTGCATAACTAAGGATTACCTAAGGAGTGAGTAGCTTTCACTTGCATTTTTGTATTTTTTTTTTTCTGCCAATTTTGTTCTCATCTCATCAAGAGACAGAGAACAGATTTTCTAAGTGCCAGTGAAAGTACATTTTTGTTGCCACAGAGAGCTAGGGAACCTTAATCACCTTATGTTTCCTCTTAAAACTTCAATTGTTTTAGAGTATTTAGCCATAAATATAGTTATTCAGCTTAAAGATAATCTTCAGCTAATGAGATCAAAGATCTAACTAATTGTCTTTACTCTGCTGCACAGCCATTGATTTCACTTCTAAGTTCACTCATTCTTTCATGGATGCTTGCTGATGTGCCTGGCACACTGTGATGGACACTAGGGACATTCTATACATAAACATTATTATAAACACATTATATATAAGACATTATATATAAGCATCCATCGGGGAGCACTAAGACATGCTTATTTCATTATTTTGCAGATGTGATCATTGGTTCTAACAGTAGCTTAGAATACAAGGAAGCTTGTTCAAGTCAAGGTTTTTATATATTAAATATAGTAATAAAAAATAGTCAAAGAAACAAAAACCTTAAAACCTATAGATGCCAGGAAGGTAACAGAAGGGAGTAAAAGTGTCAGTAGGGATATTGTAGACTTGAAGGTTCACCTGCCTTGCATCATTCCTGCCTACTGTTGCCAAATGTGATTTTTAAGAAAGACTGGCAAGTCCGAGTTCTTACATGACTCTCATGATGTTTCATTTAATAATTGCTCAATTAAAAAAATAAATGAACATAAAACATTGTGGTGACCAAATATTGTTTGGCTTCCAGATTTGAACCAGTAGCTACCGTTTATTAAATACTATCATAAGCCCCAAATAAGCAAAACTGTTGAGACTGTAGGTTGCTTCATTTTCCAAACAGTAAGTTTGTTGAGTTCTTTAAGCAGAGTACGTGCTTTCCACCTATATAGACAAACATATTTATGGTTATATGTATTTTTATAAATAGATAATTTTGTGCTTAATGTTTTTATTATAAAAATCACTTTTTACACTAATGTTATGAAAATTTATGTAAGTGTATGAAGTCCTAGGTTTGTTACACTACTGCATTATATTTCTTGGCATGGACATATTATACACTGCTTTATCAATTATCTTTTGATGAATATTTAGATTATTTCTAAATCTCATTACTAAAAGCAATGTTGCAGCACATATTCCTATATGTGCTTTTCTGTATACTTATGTGTGTGTTTCTAGAATATACCTACACATGAAGTTGCTGATTAAACAGCTCAGTGTTTTGATAAACAATGATACCTTTCCTCCCTAAACTGTATACCAGTTTTCAGTACTACTAAACGTATATGAGACTGCCTATTCCCCCACATTCTAGCCCCTACTGGATTTTAAATTTTCTTATTTTCTTGCCTATCTAATAAGAAAAAAAGTTACATGATTTGCTTATTTTATTACTACTATGGAATTTGAGCATTACATATATTTACTAATGCTTTGATTATTTTTATGTGTATTATAAACCAATATTTTTCATTTTCTATTAGTTTCTTTTTATTTTCTTATTGAGACATATGATAATCATAAATGTTGGTTATTAATACTTTTTTGGCTATATGTACTTCAAATACTTTGTCCCGGTATGTTATTTTCTCCTTTATTTAAAAAAATGTTGTCAAATCTGCCAAGAATTTTTATGATAGCATGAGAATTTTTGTTCTTCTCCAGAAGACCTTAACACAAGATTCTTGTATTTAGTTTTAATTTTGAAGTTTCTTTATTATGATTCCAATTGAGATTTACTTTTATATATTGCATGAGATAAAAATTATTTTACCTGTAAATGGATTGCCAATAATTCCAACATTATTTATTGAATACAACCCTTTATCATTTGAAATTGCCTTCTGTATCACATGATATGTTCTTATATATTCTCTCAACTGCCTTCCAATCATTTGTGTTCCATTTACCTATTTGTCTATCCTCATGGAAACAACAAACTGTTTAAATCACAATAGGTTCAGTTTATTTTGATAAACTTGCAGAGTCAGAATTCCCTTTCCCCCTAGAGTGTCATGGTTTCATTGAGTATATATATATATATATATATATATATATATATATATATATATATATATACACACACAGCTTTACCATCCTCACTTCTATTTTTACCAAAGCCAAACTTGTCATGAACAGGCACTTCTCAAAAGAAGACATTTATGCAACCAACAAACATGAAAAAATGCTAATCATCACTGGTCATTAGAGAAATGCAAATCAAAACCGCAACGAGATACCATCTCATGCCAGTTAGAATGGCGATCATCATTAAAAAGTCAGGAAACAACAGATGCTGGAGAGGATGTGGAGAAATAGGAACACTTTTACACTGTTGGTGGGAGTATAAATTAGTTCAACAATTGTGGAATACAGTGTGGTCGTTCCTCAAGGATCTAGAACTAGAAATACCATTTGACCCAGCCATCTCATTACTGGGTATATATCCAAAGGATTGCAAATCATTCTACTATAAAGACACATGCACATATATGTTTATTGCAGCACTATTCACAATAGCAAAGACTTGGAACCAACCCAAATGCCCAACAATGATAGACTGGATAAAGAAAATGTGGCACGCATACATCATGGAATACTATGCAGCTGTAAAAAAGTATGAGTTCACGTCTTTTGCCGGGACATGGATGAAGCTGGAAGCCATTATTCTCAGCAAACTAGCACAAGAACAGAAAACCAAACACCGCATGTTCTCACTCATAAGTGGGAGTTGAAGAAGGAGAGCACATGGACACAGGGAGGGCAACATCCCACACCAGGGCCTGTTGTGGGGTGGGGGGCTAGGAGAGGGATAGCATTAGGAGAAACACCTAATGTAGGCGATGGGTTGATGGGTACAGCAAACCACTATGGCATGTGTATGCCTATGTAACAAAACTGCACGTTCTGCACATGTACCCCAGAACTTAAACTATAATAATAAAATAATAATAAAAATAATAATATTTTCCTTATCTTACATGATAGGGCTTATTTGGGATGCTCTTAGATTGACAGTGCCTCTGTTTCTGCTGCTACCAGTATTGACTAGATATTAGATGCTTACTCTGTATTAGTTAACTTTCTATGTACTTTAAATATGTATCTTAAATTAGGGTTTAAAGTACCTTCAAAAAACCTTTGACAGTATTGCAGCAGACTTGAGTCACTCTGATTGTAGCCCCTCTGATTCTGTTATTGTTTTCTTGCATATTTGCTTCGTCATGCTTTAGACCAACAACCAACATCTATGTCACCTTGTAAGAGGTCCACCCTCATGTTGCCAGACTCCTTTGCCCATGGACGTGGAGAGGCAAGTTCTTGGGACATTCCCCCAAGAGAGTCTTAACCCATGGCTGATAGTGCAGATTATATATTCTCCATTTCTCTTGTTCCCTGGTTGAGTCAACTCTGATATGTGCCTTACATCGTCATCGCAGTCTTGTATAGGATTAAATCCAACTCTACTCTGTACGCTATGTGACAATTCATTCTTGTCCGATGTCCTTCCCTTACTTTCCCACCTCTATCCTCCCTTGCCAGATTTTTCTATGAACAATTCCTAAGATATCACACAAAAACTCATCTCAAGACAGGTTCCTAAGGAACCCACCTGTCCTATTCTGTTTTGTCTTGCTATAATAGAATATCTGAGGCTGGGTAATTTATAAGAGAAGAAGTTTATTTAGCCCATGGTTCTGTAGCCTTAGAAGTTCAAGGACATGGCCCTGGCTTCTGGGGAGGGCTCCTGTGCTGCTTCATAACATGAAAGAGAAGGTTAAAGGGAAACTGGACATGTGCCAAAAAAAGAAGTCCTAAGGAGCATCCTGGCTTTATAATAACCCACACTCCAGGGAACTAATCCATTCCTGCAAGAACAAATCCAGTATACCAGAGTGAGAACTCACTGTCTGAAGAACAGCATCAAGCCTTTGATCAGGGATCTGCCCCCACAATTCAAACACTTCCCACTCAACCCCACCTCCCAACAATAACACCCAGGGGTCTAAATTTTAACATGAGTTCTGGTGGGTACAACCAAACCATATACAAACCACAGGACCATGCTAAAGCAGTTATAATATTAATAAGTTCATTTTACAAATAAACAACTGAAATTCAGAGATTTTAAAATTTTTTTCATTTTTTGCATTTCTTTATAAATGGGAAGAGAATCAGAGATTTTGCAGATTTATTCAATGTCACACAGAAAGTAAGTGGCAAAATCTGATTAAATATTTTTATGAAATTACTTATAAATACAAGATACTTGGGTTCAATTAACTTTCATTGCAAAAAGCATTCATGAGTTCAACTTCTGTTGCTATTCAGGGCAATCCATGGCTCCTACCAGTCCACTTGGTAGTGTTTGTTGTTATGGCTTCTTGGGGGGTATACGTTCTAGTCATCAAGGACTAGAAAATAAGGAGGAGTAGTGTGCTAGATTTTAACTGGTTAAGCTGAGAACCTTGTTTCCCTGAGTCACTTTTCTTTTGTGCTTCCGGGTTCCAATTGACCAAAAGAGGAACTTGCATAAAATTTAAAGGCAAAGTGAAGCAGCAGTCTTAATTCCTGGAAGTATTTTGGGGTTAGAGACAATGACAGACAAATGCAGAATTTCCCAGTGAACTCTAGCTTTTCTTGTCCTTCCCATTTTGCCTCCACCTCCTGCTGGCCAGCAGTGGCCCAGACTCATCCTCAGCTTGTCTGTAGCCTTGCAGAGGTGGCAGGCACACAGAGGTAACAGTCTCAAAGACCTCTGCATGAGCTCAACTTTTGTGATCCCACTTTAGCAGCTAGTCTTGGCTTCTTGGATTTTGCTGCAAGTTCAGATTTGGTCACTTGTACTGCTTTTCCAGGGGGATAAGCTAGTGACTTTGTCTTTAATTCTCAAATTCTGCCACCCAGATTTTTATTTCCTCAGTTTTTCTCATTATGTACATGATCTTATTCCTTTCACATTTTCCTTATTCCCTTAATATTCAGTAGCCATGCTTCCTGACTGAACCCTGACAGATGCAAAAATGTTAAAAATAAACTCATGTCTAGTTGGGACATTCTCCCAAACACTTGAAATAACATCAAAAATAGAAAACCTTTAAAAAAGTAACTGTCAAATATAGTTTATGTTTAGGACAAACTCATTTTTTTCTTTATTTATAAGCATTTTTAGAAGCATATCTTCTGAATATGCAATACATATTTTCCTAACAAGAGTTGCTATGGTTTTTGTTTTTTCTTCCTCTTTCTCTCTCTCCATTTTTTTTTCAATTTTAAAAATACCTAAGGAAATAATTTTGAAGTAAGATTATGCTGAATGTCTTTTTTTCTAGATTCCCTAGGAAAATTCTGTTGCTTTAATGTTATTTTAGAACTAACAAGACCAGAAAAATAACAGTTCATGAAACCAAGTCATGTCAGGTTAAAAGGATAAAGCTTAACATTCAAGCAATAAAAATAAAAAAGAGAAAAAAGATTCAGAGTTTTGAATTTATTAACAAGTAATTTTGCTTTCACTCATAAAGATATTTCACAATTTATGTTGTTATTATGTGGTTAATTTTGACTTCTAATTTTAGAGTAAAAACTGCAACTTCAGATTCCTAATTGAGAAAATACAAATGTGAAGGATTTCAATGTGATGTAAATAATTAATAATTGAAATATTTCCATAAAGAGAAAAACCATTAAAATAGACTTGAAATTCAAAAATATTCTACTCTCTTTACATTACCTAAATGGAGTAATCTAATTTCATCCCAGTGAAGAATAAATTATCATAAAATTTAGGATACCATGACCCTGGAGAAAAATCACACAGACAAGCAGCATTTTGGTCTCTGTCCTGTGTAAATAATTCTGCAAATGTAAAAGCCCAAAGAATTTCATTAGAGTCAATTAATGTCAGTAGACAAATAAAAACTGATGAAAAATAGAGTAAACTGTAGAAGCCTAATGCAGCAGGGACTCTTAAGATGGATATTTATTATAGCATGGAATGGAGGAAGTCACCTAGGTTGAGGATGGTATCTAAGGAACTGCTTTCTATCCTCACTTCTCAAGTTCCGGGGTAATTCAAAGTAATGATAATTTTCTCTTACTCTTCCTATCCATGAAATCTCAAATCCAGCCAAAGGAATAGAATAGTGCAATATAACTTCAGTGTTTGCAAGGAACTTCCCTAAAGAAAATAATACAATCAAAACTTTTGGTAGAAAAAGTCAAAGGTCATGGTGGGAGAAGTTGAGTGTGATAGGTCTTAGTGAGAGAATGTCAGAGGTGACAGGTCAGGGTGGGAAGGTAGAGGTTAAAGGTCATGTAGGGGAAGTCAGAGTTGGCAGATTAAGGAGAGAAGTCAGGTAATGGTAGAGAAGTAGAGATTGATGTGTCATGGAGAGGTTGCTCTGATGGGGCTGACAGACCGTGCTCCCATTTGAAGAATATTCTAAGGGATCACTCTTTCTTTTGTGGGACATAGCGCAACTCTTCTTTCCCTTTTCCAATAATGAGAAATAATCAAGTTAACAGAGATGGTAAAGATTTAATAATAATTTCCTTTAAATTTGAGAGTAAAGCACAAAGTCTGGATGAGTATGAGGCAAAAGAAAAGCCTAGAATGCAAGATTTACAGAGCCATTCACTCTAAGGGACATGAAAGTGCTGATCCTGTCTCCTCAAATTTTGTGTCCTGAGCCTCTCCTGCTTTACCATCACTCCAGTTCCTAGGGAGGAATAAACAGCATATGGAAATCTGTTTATGAGCCAGAGTAAAAGAAAGGAATGTTAAGCTAGGGGAGAAAAATATGCATGTAAACAATCAAACAAAGATTACATTTGAAGAGAGAGGCTTTAAGACAGACCTCAAAAAAAAAAAAACAAAAAAAAAACAAAAAAGAAAACAAAAAAAAAAAAACAAAAAAACACTTCAGTTGGATAGTACTGAATTATCTAAGTTTGGACTCATCAATCAAAATGTTGCAGGTACCATATTGCCACGTCTCTGTGGTGGATTGAAGCTAGAATTCAGGGCACAATAATAGAGAAGATGCTAATCAAAGCAGATGGCTAACTTCAGAAAATTTGAGCAAATGATATAACAATAGGTGGCCATCAGATACGTGGAAACAAAGTGACTGGGAGTCCAGGAAGAGTCACATATGGAGGCCACATGAGAGTCTCAAGCACAGTTCAGAATAAAACATAGCTCAGCTCTGGCTCTAGAAATGAAAATTTTAGAACAAGGCAGGTGCTGGACTTAAAGATATGAGGTACAAACCTGAAAAAGGAAGTCTAAACTAGGAAAATCAGTGCAAGAAATGGCTACCAGTGAGGTCTTGGTCTTGTTGGAGTTGCTTAAGTGTTAGAACTAGGGAATCTAAATTATCCCCAAATAATAAACAAACTAGAGTAAGAGATAGGGCAGGGCTGAGATTTTAGTCAGGCTATCCTAGCTGACTGAAAAGAGGGTCTTAAGAATAGTGAACTATGGTAGGCAGCACAGTGGCTTCCCAAAAATGATCCTGTACTAATTCCTGGAACATGCAAATAGATTTGGTTACATGAAAACAGGGCTACAATTATCATAGCCGATGTAATTAAGGTTTCTAGTCAGCAGAACTTATATTGCAGAGATTATCCTGGGTTAATCAGAATGAGTCTAAAGTAATCACAAGTGTCCTAAAATGTGGAAGAGAGAGGCAGAAAAGGCAATATCAGCAGGAGGTGATTTGAGAAAAACTCAGCTGGCCATTGCTGGCTTTGAAGATGGAAAGAAGGACAAACTCCTAGAATGTGAATAGCCTCTTGAAGCCGAAAAGGGCAAGAAAATTGAACTAAATGCAGCACAAATGACACCTGAATTTTATTTAGCCCAGTGAGATCCATTTCAGACTTCTGAATCCCAAAACTGTAAGGTAAGAACTTCCTGTTGTTTTAAGCCACTAAGTTTGTACTAATTTGGTACAGCAGCAATAGAAAACTAACAAATTAAGTAATACTTTGTGATAGGTTCAAAGATAATGTGGTCCTTTCCCTCCCACCACCAGCACACATACTTTTGGTATCAAGACAAGTCGATATAGTACACAAAGCCAAAATGAACACAATTAAAGGGCAAAATTCAAGAGACAGATTATGAGATCAGAAATTTAAGAAGGCTGGTTTCTTTAAGAAAGCTTCACTTCAGATGTAACTCAGAGAATTGGTTAATTTTGGATGGAGAGAGGGGAAAAAGAACATTTCAATTGAGAGGACCTTTATGGCAAGAGCAAAAAGCTGGGAATTGAGTGTGCAGATGGCAGTGAGAACACACAGATTTGGAGAGAAACATGTGAAGAATGATAATATGGATAATTACTATGTATTGTGTGGGAGGCACTGTCCCTTCATTCATCAAATTGGCACACACTGAATGCCCATTAAATGCCAGGCGTCACTTAGACGGGTAGAGGTACAGTGGCCCCAGATAGAAGATGACCTCAATATGTTAGTGGTTTTCACTTAAAAACAACACAAATAATAATGAAAACTTCCATTTGTAAAACAACTCTTTTAAATGGTGCATTGTGCTAAGTGGACATTTTCTAGATTTCTCAAAGCAATCCTTCAAGATTGGTATTATCACAGTTTTGCAGATTCAGACGTTAAAGCTTAGAGACCTTGAGCCATTGCCCAAGGATACTGAGCAGGTTAAATGTCAGAGTGGAAATTAAAGTCACATTTGTGTGTGAAGAGAATCAAAGATACTCTAGACACCATTTCAAACCCTTTCCAAAACTCAAGCTGGAATAATGAAAAACATTTGTTCTAACTATAAATATATCATAATCAGATGCTATATTATATGTTATTGCAACATAATAGGATACTCACAGAGAGATGGACTATACCCCTATAACCCAGGCCCACATTTACATTCTTTCATAGTTCCATGAAAGTAGAAAGTTTTGGAAATAGGTCAAACATAAAGTCTGGGTAGGTGGAAGATGCAGTGTTGGAGCAATCTAGATCTGGGAGCAAATGGCCTGATCTTGTCATCAGAACTTCCACCTTAGGGATAAAGCCTCTGCAGTCTTCACCTATTCCATGGCATGACCAGCTCACAGCAGTTTGAGAAAATAAAGATCAAAAAAAGGTTTCTTTTAGTTTTTAGTTTTTAGAGTTGTTTAAATTTAGAAATTGCCACAGCATTTCAAGCAGTCAGAAAAACAAATTTTTTTTCTTAATTGAATATATTGAGAAATATAGTGAATGTTTCAACAATATTCTTTGTTCTCAGAGGTCATAGAAAGATGGATCTTCCATAAAACTTATAATGATAGCAGCAGGAGGCAGACAAATTCCTAGGCAGACAGGGGCGGGTGCCTGGTGAAACTGGACCTTCAAGCCAGAAACAGCCTGAAGCCTGAAAACCAGGCTGCTGCTGGTTCTGGATGGAGTCCACGACCACAGTGACAACTTCTATTCCTGTTTGCCTGCTCTTTCCTGATTGATTCTTTCTGAATAATGCATTTTAACCCATTGAATGCTGTCTTTTCCAAGGCTACCTACAGCCTGCACTTCCCCCATTCTGAGCCTATAAAAACCCAGGACTCAGCCACACAGGGAGACTACCTGCCTTTGGGTAGGGGTACCCACTTTGGATTCCCTCTCTACTGAGAGCTGTTCCATTGCTCAATAAAACTCTTTTCTGCCTTGCTCGTTCTTTGGTTGTCCACGTAACCTGAATCTTCTCGAACATGGGACAAGAACCCAGGACCCTCCGAACAGCATGTGCCAAAAGAGCTGCTGTAACACTGTTGCCCTCTTGTCCTCTGCTGGTGCTAGCAGGCTGCCCCATGGGACAGGAAGTGGCAGCAGGGCTGGGCCAGCTCAGGAGCCACAGGCCGGAGCATGGCAACAAGATCGAATGAGCTGGGACACATCCACGTTTGCCAAAGCATATGGACAGTGAGAACAAACAAACTGTAACACGAATGAGCTGTGACCTTTCTGGGGCTCAGAGCTCAGGACTGCTCCCAACAGAGTTGTAACATGCTGCAACACCCACTTTGGAAATCCAGGGTCATTGGCGTCTCTGAGTTTTTTGGGTGCCACTGTGTTCCCCCATTTAGATGCCAGTGCCCAAGGCAGAAGCCACTGGCAGTACAACTGGCCCAGTCACAGCCCCTACAGTGCAGGCTGTAGGTAGCCTGTGGAGCCTACCTCATGGAGCCAGCACCTGTGCCAGTGCCTGAAGCTACCCATCCCACTGCAGCAGCTGGCATGCCTGGCTCGCCCTCGGCGGGCATGAGATCTGGGCTGGTAGTGTGAGCAGAGCACAGCCTGCTGGGCCAAGTGGGCAGAAGTCTCTGGCTGGCAAAGTGGCACCAACAAAAATCCTGTGTCAATAACAAAAATTTTTAGATAATGTATTCTGATAATATATGATTAGCTTAATTGCTATATATGTATGATTGGATTACCATATAGTCCTTATTCTCTATTTTCATTTTGATTGATAGGTATGCTTATCACATAAGGACTTAGAAAAACTATTGAGAATATCAAAAATTTTCTGCTTGAGTTTTTGAAAAACTTTGCCTTTTTATTATGCCCTGTCAACATTTTTATTGGAAGGTTCCTTTTTGAAAATATGATCTACATATGGTATATTCAGGAGCTTTTTCTCTCTCTTCAGTAAACTCGAATTTGAACAAAGAAAACATTTTTATCACACTTGTCTCCAGCTTCTTAACTCAGTATTATACTTTCCTTTCAGTACATAATGCCAAAGCAGGTGTTAAAAATGAAAAAGAGGCCGGGCGCGGTGGCTCACGCCTGTAATCCCAGCTCTCAGGGAGGCTAAGAGGCGGGAGGATAGCTTGAGCCCAGGAGTTCGAGACCTGTCTGGGCAATATAGCGAGACCCCATTCTCCAGAAAAAGGAAAAAAAAAAAAAAAAAGAAAAAAAGAAAAAAAATAAGCGTAAAAATGAAAAAGAAAACCAATCATTCTGACTTTGGAGAATATTAGGGTTCAAATTAAACGCATTTATTGAATAATACATTTTTATATCTGCTGTGAGTGGCCGTGAAACAGAGAGTTATTTCTTCAAATGCAGGAACTTAGGGAAGAAAATACCAATGGGCATGAAGCTCTCTGTGTGGTTAATCATGGAGTTCCGTTCCCCAGCACACATGCACAGTTCCTCCCATAAAGACGCTTTACAGTTACAATACACTCCACGGGCGAGCTCTTGTCCTAGTGACATGGAATGGACTCACCCTAGGAAATTCCATTCTCACATTCTCTCATATAAAGTTCATTGAACTCGCTCTAGCTACCTGTTTATTAAATTACTTTCCCAATCAATCCCTGGCAGCCCTGGGTATGTTTGATTATAGAGTGAGGAGCTGGTTTATCTGCACCATGCAGAGCTAGTTTGGTCTTAGAAAGTAAAATATTGGTCAGGCGCGGTGGCTCAAGCCTGTAATCCCAGCACATTGCGAGGCCAAGGCGGGCAGATCACGAGGTCAGGAGACAGACCATTCTGGCTAACATGGTGAAACTCCATCTCCACTAAAAATACAAAAAAAAAAAATTAGCCAGGCATGGTGGTGGGCACCTGTAGTCCCAGCTACTCGGGAGGCTGAGGCAGGAGAATGGCGTGAAACCAGGAGGCGGAGCTTGCAGTGAGCCGAGATCGTGTCACTGCACTCCAGCCTGGACGACAGAGGAAGACTCCGTCTCAAAAAAAAAAAAAAAAAAAGGAAGTGAAATGTCTTTTTTTTTTAATCAACACGGTGTATTTTTATCAGACCATTAACTTTTCAGCTTGATTAGTTTTTAGGTAAACATAAAATTTCAAATAGGAGACTATAGCCTCACCTTCAGTGTTGCTATTAATTTCTAAAACAAATCGAAATTAAATCAAATTTAAAAACCAAAGCACTAATACAGAGGTCTCAGTGTTTTTTATTGAGTAAGAATTTGCATGTGTCACAAATGATAGGAAAGCAATTCCATTAAAAATACCTGATTTCCAAATGACATTTAAGGGAAAAGAAGATGGAGATAAAAACAAATAAAATTGAATAGGGAAGCTGGTTTTGTGAATTATAAATGATGTATCTATTAGTGGAGTCATAAAACAAGAAAATGAGGTAATTGGACTGACTGCGGGAAGGGAAAATTATGTAAATGGAGAGAACCTTGTTAAAATAATCAAGACAGAGAGATTCACTGATTTAGTAGGTAGCAGCTTTTGAATTGCTTACATAATTAAAGCTTTTCTTTTGTAAGCTACTCTTTCAAAGAGTCATTGTCACTTGAAAGAAATTAAGGTGAGTTCATAATATCAAAATCAATAGAAGTTTTAATTTATAAACATAAATTTACAAATTTTTATATTTAGAACATATTTTAAAGATATAATTCATATAGCAATGCTATAGGCAGCAGTAGTTTTATAGAGGAAAAATGCCTTAAAAATACACTCTGGAAATCCTCAGAGAACATAAAGTCATATAACTTCTAACCCCACCTCCCTGGCACCCACCTTTTATGAAGTTCTCAAATGAAATGATAGAGGATAGGTAAAATTCACTACTCCCAGCTATGAAAATGTTGCTGACAGCTGAGGTCTCCCATTTACGGCTGGAGATTTGCATCAATCAATATGAGCCTGTTGTTAAGGATGCTCTGTGTTCATCTGCTAGTTTTAATGAGTACGCTAGGGAACTATGTTCTGATCTGGAAAAAAGTTTTGGTCTCAAGGAGTGTACAACACATATGGGATTCTATGAAGCTTAAAAATAAAAGGCAAAAGCAATTTCTCTCACTTTTACGTACCTGAAAGCATATATATGTGCATTGCCACACCCACACATATGTTTTACATGTGAAACAAAATAAGCTACAAGTTTTAGTGAGAATAATCAGTCTATTTTCATTTTGGCAAAATTAACTGCACTTATGCATGATGTAACATGAACACTCTCTTCTAAAGAACTTACTTATGTTAATGATGTTCACACTTTTCAGCACATTTCAATATTCCCTTCAGTTATAAACTACTAAAATTCTGTCTTTGGTCTTACTGTGACCTCATTTTTAGAGAATAAACTAATTCGTATATATAATCTCTGCATGGGGTTAATAGCAACAACTCCACAAACAGGTACTATAATCGCCTCCCTAGGTGTTGGTCCTGCATCAGTAGATTCAGCCACCTGCAGTTTGGGGAGAAAAAAAAAAAAAAGAATGGTTGCCATTGTCCTGAACATGTACAGACCTTTTGTTCTTTTTATTGTTTCCTAATGAATACAGTAATGTTCCCTAACAGTATAACAACTATTACATAACATTTACATTGTATTAGGTATTTTACCTAATCTAGAGATGATTTGAAGTATATGGGAGGATGTGTGTAGGTTATATGCAAATACCACATGATTTTATATAAGAGACTTAAGCATCTGTGAATTTTGGTATCCGCAGGGATCCTGAAACAAATTTCCCCCACAGATACCAGGGTATGGTGCATTATTACTGATTGCCCCCACCAACCCCCCCCAAAAAAAACTGCAGCCAAGAGATGTTACATAACTTATTTGAGCTTCCAAAGTTACTTCCTGAAGGAGCTTGACTTTGAGCCATGCTTTTAGCCACTACATTGCGCCTACTTTTCTAATAGTTTTGCAAACAAAATATTAAATATGATCTTCAATGATGCAAGGGGTTGCCTGTTTATCTAACCTAGATACTTTATTTTTTCACTTACTTTATCTTCACCTACTCATGATGGACATGATGTATTTGAAGATGCAATGTATTTGTTTGTCGCTGACTCTATCTTGAAAACAGAGCATTTGGGTATTTTTTCCAAATTAATGGGCAACAGCTCAGATGTTTTATTCTGTAGATACAGACTTTCTGGTGATAGCCACGACCTTAATTATGCTTCTGTTTTACTCTATTGAGTCAATTACTATAGCTGAATAAATTGGACCTCATTTAGGCAAAAATCTCAATTTATGATGCATTTTATTCTGAGAGTACTTCTTGAAGTGAGAAGAGACATGCACAGGATGTTAGGGCTAATCGATTTTTAAAACATTGAGTGCATATATTATATAGAGTTTAATTCATTCCACAAAAATTTTGATAATGTTAAATACATTCCTTAGTCTCTTTCAGAATTTTTATTGAAATTGGAAGGTGATAGGGTGATAGCTCCAAATATTCTCTTTTCTACATGCTGGCTCATAAAAATGTAGAAGTTGTTAAAGTCACAATATCTAAAAATGTGTTGGAAACCTTACAACTATATCGCTCTGAAACCTAACTTAAAGCGGTGGCTTTTAAATCTTTTATTCATTTAAAAATAAACTTTTCTTTAATTTCAAAATTAATATTTGAAACAACCAGAAACTCATAAGGAGATCAACATTAAGACTCAAGTAGATAAATGGGTAAATGAGTATGCAATTCACAGAAGATAGAATTGAATGACATAATTAAAAAGAATGTTCAGCTTACTTGTAAGCATAGAGATGCAAATTAAAACATTATTAATTTGAATTTGAAAACTGACATAGACAACACTCAATGCTGGTGAATATGCTGTAAGGTGGGACTCAAAGTGTAGCAGGTGTGTACCTAAATGCCTATAATCTTCTGGAAATTAATTAAATGCTATGTATGATTGACTTCTAAAAACCTTACAATTTTTGTTTCAGTATTTCTTTACAGGAAGGCATTCCAAGAAAACACCTAGGCACACAAAACTGCCTACAAATGCTAAATAAAATTCCTTAAATGGCATAAAAATTTAAAAATGGATAAAGATTAATTCCATAAAACAAAGGTGGGATTAAATGGACTATGTTACAGTCATGGAATAGTATATTATATAGCTGTTCAGGAATAAATGCAAACTACTTTTAAAATTCAATGTTTTATGCACATATCTATGCATATGTATCCATGTATAGATACCCATATATAAATACAAATGTGTATTTGTATTTATAAACCTTTACTCTTTAGCCGCGAAGTTGCTTTCTAGTTAACTACTTTTTCCTTCGTCTTTCACACTGACATTTTTATCAGCAGTTCCGGTTAAAAAATACTCCATTCACAAATATTTCAAAAGTATACCATTGTTCTCTCAATTTCTCAGTCTACAAAGTAGTTTTTGCTCATCAAATATTAATAAAGGATTGGTCAATGTCCTCTCTTTTTAAAAATTTATAGGTTCTGTTTAATCTATGCTTTTTGGTCTCAGCATATTCTCAGTTATGAAAAATGTCATTTCACCAATTCAGAGTGTGTCTCAGTTAGGCACTTTAATTTTCTAAGAGGACAATAACTTTATCTACTATCAAATTGATTGTCAAAACACATAGCTGTTTGCCTAATGGGCATTAAAGCCTACATGACCATCATATTTTTATCCTAGACAAAAACTTTTTAATTTTCTACTGCTCATTTTGTATCAGAAAAAAACTTATTTTTGAAAAAATTCAGAAATGATTGTCTGAGAGTCATGTTGTCTAAGATTTCTTTAGATCAGGTCTTTTTCAAATATTTGTATGGGAGCCGAGGCATTTCCTAAATTTTACACAGAGAACCGAAGTGATCTCTACTCGGATTACTCCTCTTTAATCAGTTCCATGCCTTATCTTCCTGTAGGGATACTATGCCACACATTCAAGAATCTCCTGGAATCTGCATTCCATATGAAAACTACCTCTCTGGATAGTTTAATTTATCAAAGATACTAGTTTCATTCAGAATGCATTTGGGCCAAATTTCAAGTAAGTTAAGCTTGTCGTATTGTCTTTGTTATATTCACCGTTAAAAACACCACCACCAAATGTCTTACACATCTAGCATGGACATATTTCAGGTCAGAGAACTCTAACAACTCACAAGAGAAATTCCTCTCAGATCTAAGTGTCAGGAAAATGTCAGCTTCCCCGGAACAGATGGTTTGTTCTAAAGACACTGTAAATCAGGTAACAGTTTTCCTCTTTGCCTTGACTGAAGGCAGTCTTAGAGCTATGAGCAGCTGTATGGGATGCCATGGTGAGAATTCCTCTGAGTTAATAATAACAACCCTGACTTTATTATATTCCCACACATATATTTTTTCCTAATCCTCAATCTTTAATTTTTTGAGAGTATTTTAAGTGTTAGTGAAAACCAGAAATAAAGCTGATCTTAATCTTTTAAAAATGTGTGCATGTATATATATATAAATGTATTTAGACGGTCCTCAGAAAAAGTCAAGACTACCTTTGTTGCAAATATTCTTCTGAACATATTTACTAGCTTTCAGTCATTCATCCATTCACCTGTTCAGAAAATCTTTATAGTTGACCTAGAAAAGCCTGTCTGTGTTTGGGAGTGGTATTGCAACAGTGAACCAGACTTAGCTCTTAATCTCACAGATTCAAGGGAGCTCATTTTCTACAACTGGCAAATATTATAGCAGACTTATTTTACCCAAAGCCCACAGCCTTTCAATAGTTCTCTTTAATAAATTGTAAGAAACTCAATAAATTAATGTTGAAAGCAAATCTATTTAACTCAAATAAGTAGTTAATTTAAAAATGAGGCTAATATTTCAAATAAATTTAGCTCATATGCATTCTCCTTGATCTTCTTTTTAACATACTGTGTGATTTCATTTTTCTTAATATATTTTGTTAAACACCATTCAGTGCAATGTATGTCAACCAAAATTAAACTTGATACAATACTGCAGTGTCTGTTTAAAGAAATGGAAGTTTTATTTCTCGTCAAGCCACTTATGTGTACACTGTCTGATTAGATCAGAATATCAATACCAATATCAATAAACCATAGCAATGAGTTTGCTTGGTCATAATGCTATTAACATCTTTAGAAGTAATTATAAATGATTTATTAAGTCACTTTCAACTGACTTTTAAATTAAAAGAAAAAATGATTAATAGGATTTTATTTTAAATTTTAGGGGATTTTTTTCTATAATTAATCCCCAAATTTTGCCTTCAGTTCTGCTCATCTTTTTGCAATTTTTATATTCAAGAGAAAAATAATGAGTTTAGATTTCACATGGTGATGATTTTATAGTACATAAGTTAAAAAACAAGATCACAAATTAAATCATGTAGATTTTAAAATTAACACCTTCTTCAAAGCATTTTTCCCCTTTAAAACATAATTATCAATTTTATCAAATCCTTATTTTAGGATTGAAATGGAAAGGGAATCTATATTATTATTAAAAAAGAGTCCTCTATAAAATTAATTTCAACATAAATTTACATGTTAATTGTCTTCTAAAAATTTTATAAAGGAGAAAAATGAGGAGCAAAATAATCAATGAAATAATATGTTTTTCTATTCAGACTCCAAGACTACACTATATTCCCTCTCAAAAAAAGTGTCTATTTTTTTTCTCACAAGAATGTAATTCTGCAGGCTGTAATCTCTTCAAAAGATGGTGGAATGTGGTAAAATTTAGGAACTACTACTGCTTAATAATATTTATATCATTTAAATTAGAGGTATTTGACTTCCCTTCAATCAATTCTTTCATACATTTATAAAAGTTATGATTGTCTTTTGTAGTGCTATTGGAATGGGCTGCCATCTCATGAAATGGATCCAGAAGGCCTAAGATGTACCACTTGTCAACAGAGTCATTATTGAGATTCTAATTACTGATATGAATTACATCAAAATCTAAGCATATGGCTTGGCATGATTGATTTCTAATAGCAAAATAATAAAAATAGCTTAATGTTTTTTAAAGGATTTAGCAAATCATGAAACTTATGAAACTATGCTCTTGCAAATTTACATAGCAGAATAAAAAAATGCTTTGTGAAATATGCCCTTACTGTAATTTGTTGGAATGAAGTGCTCTTCTGGATGCCATAGTCATGAATGAACAGAAACCACTGAAAATGGTAAGACTACAGTAATTACAATAAAAATGACCATTCACAGGTATTCTCATTTGTTTCCAATAAATGAGAGTATGATTTGTGCAAATAAATCATATAAACTCTGTTTGAGCAGTCATTAAAAATAGAAATTTGATTGTTAGCATACTTCATGAATTAAGGATATTGAAATTAATTATCATAATGATGTCTACCCAGTCCATCTGTTATATAATCACATGTCAATTCAAAGAAAGCTGGATTCAAGATAAATCAACAGTTAATATACCTCAAAAAAACAGTTTCTTGGCACTGGTTGACTGTCCCTACTCAAGAGCACCGAACAATGAATTAATTTGCATATAGGAAGATATCTTGTGGATTGTCTAGGATGTTACAGTTAGCTTTGTTGTTTTCAATGTCATGACCGTAAATGTAATAGAATATTAATAAAATTTATACTTTACTCAAAATGGAGGAAGACATATGTTATAGAGTGAGGGTCTAAAAAAAGAGGGATACTTACCCAGAGTAATGATTAAACTAACAGCATGCAGTTTAATGAAATGTTAATAATAGCTACCATTTATTGATCTATTATTATATTCCAGGCGTTATGCTAAGCATTTAAAATGTATTATCCCATTTAATCTTTATAAAAACTATACGGAGTAGTTATTAAAATCCACATTTAGCAAAGGAGAAAAATACTCAGCATTTTCAAAAACTTGCCCAAGTTTAGACAAGTACCAAGCTAGGGTTCAAAGCCAGATTTGGACACAAAGCCAGTATTCTTATTCTCTGTGTTACATTGCCACTTATCTGAGTTTCAGACATCTAACTCTCAAATCAGAAAAGGAGAGAAAAGGCGTACACATGCAAACAAAAAAGAGATCTTATTTTAAAGTAAGGCCAATATATAAGTATCATACATTTGCTAAAAACACTTACAGTATCCTAAGCTTTGATTATAAAAGCAGTGTCCAGAGCAAAGAATGCAATAGTCCTAAATTGATTACCTCGATGTTCACTGCCCAGACTCCTGTATTAAATTCTGGGAGTTGCACTTCCAGAGGAACATTAACAAACAGAAGAGTTGTCATAAAACAAGGGTAATAAGAATGTAATGACTGCTATTAATTATTCTAGTCACTTTCTATTTAACACATGCTATGTGCCTGGTGCTATTTTATACTTTATACAATTTTTTCCCTTAATCCTCACAATATTCCTGAAAGCTGGGTGTGATTTTTCTGATTTTGCAAGAAAGAAAACCAGAGCTCAGAAAGATTAAGTAACTCTCCTGACACCACAAAGCTATTATATAGTAAAGCTAGAAAAGAAACTCGGTTTATCTAACAACAAAGCCAGGACAACTCCTATGCTACTACCTTGCAATGTTAAAAGGAATTGAGGAAGTTTAGTATTAAGCAACACAAATATTGGAAGGATTAGACTTATATTAGATAACTCTGCAGAGCTAGACTAGAAACAACTGGAAGGGTGTTAAAGAAGAAATAGTTTCCTGCAGTAAGGATTTTCTACTGGCCAGGCCAGTTGGAACACATAATTTCAAGTTGTACCAAGGTCACTTGATACTACTTTTCCCCATGTGGGCCCATTCCTGACTCTAGGAGATTTTTCTTTTAGTTCTCTTAGCCTAATGTGCTCTTGTCTTGTGTCTTTTCTCTGAGGAGGTAGCATTTGAGCTGAACCTTAGTGAAATGGAGCAACTTCTTTGATTATTCTTGGAAAAGTAACCTCAATGTCATTACTCTTTTGCCTCTGCTTATCTATTACTAACCTGTCTTTTTTCCCCTCCTAGAATAAACTTTCCAAGAGAAGAGCTATGTAAGGCGCAGAATAGGTGACCAGTGAATATTTGTTGAATGCTGAATAAATGTTGAAGTTATTCGTGATTTAGATAGAGTATTATTATATTAAGTTCTCATTCATTCTAAGATCTATGACTCTTCTTCAGCCTAATAAAATGAAGGCAGCAAATAGGAGAGCTGGCATATAAGGACTATATTGTGTACCCCAAGCAACTTAAAACTTTACACTTTGCAGACTTAAATAATGTTTAATAGCACATGTGTACAAACAAATATACAATCATGTTATGGAATTTGTTTTAAAAACACTGAGGAATTTTGCAAGATAGTAAGAAGGTCTTAAACTAAGTTAATAGTTTATCAAATTCTATACACAATTTTCAAAATCTGCACACTATGCTCACTATGTGAGAGCATATACAGGCAACATGGCAAAAAGATGCTATTCTTAATGCATATCTACAACAGAAATGACAGTATGCTTTACTACCATAATAAACAATATTTTCTCAATGCATTGGAAATGTTTAGGATAAAGCAAAACATGACACATATATTATCTCCTTTAATCCTCAAAACACACCTATGATATAGAGTTTCTGACTAAGTAACAATTTTCCTATTTGACAGATAAGACAAGTGAAGTGTAATGGACTTAAGAAATTTGCCTAAAGATACACAGTTCATAAGTGATGAAGTTCTGTTTGAAATTTAGGTCAGTCTGGCCCCACAGTCTTAACTATTGAATGATACCCTTTTCATCATGCAATGTTATCCAAAATATCAATAAAACAAAAGGTAACATATCCAATGTCTCCCAGAGTAGAAATGTAAAACTGGACAACACTGTCCCTTTTTTTTCAACATTTGGGACTTATACATGAAGAAGTCACTTTTGAGGTAAATTTGAACCACATATTTCTTTTTAGGCTCTAATGAACACTTCAGAAAACTATTATAAGGAAAACAGAACAAACCCCACTTTTTGTGGTGAACGAGTGATACATCTCATGGTAACTCATCTTCCTCTCTTCAAAAGTACTGGGATGTTTCAGAGGCTGCTCTGTGGAAGAGGAAATATCTTAAGCTGTGAAGTTGCAGGGGGCAGGTCTAGGATCAATAGATAGTTGTTACAGGGAAAGACATTTTGACTTAATGTAAAAAATAAATTTTTATCAAGTTGGAAAATAAGCTTCCTTAAGAGTTGTGGCTGCCATATTAATGAAGAAGCACTTCTAGAGACAGGGAAACTATTGATTGTTAAAGTTACAGAAAATGGGACAGCAAGCCTTTTCTGTGAAGGTTCAGATAGTAAATATTTCAGGCTTTGATAGGTGTACAGCCTCTGTCGCAGTTACTAAAGTCTGCTCTTGTAGTGCAAAAGCAGCCCTAGAGAATAAAAATGTGAATGGGTGGGACTGTGTTCAGGAAAACTTTATTTAAACAAATAAGCTAAGACCATATTTGGCCTGTGGAATGAAGTTTACCAACTCCTGTTATAAGATGTATTAATCAGAGTATGGTCATTGCTATTGCAAAACCTACAGATATCAGTGACTTAATATGGGGAAATGCCAAACTATTATAGGACCCCCAGGCCATCTGTCCCATGGCCTGTTTTTGTATGACTCTGGTACAAAGAATCTTTTTTTTTTTTTTTTACGTTTTTAAAGAGGAGAAGAAGAGGAGAACAAATGGAGAAGGGGGAAAAAGGACGAGAAGGAGGAGAAAAAGAAGAAACAGAGACCGTAGGCTACAAAAATTAAAGTATCTACAAAGTGGACCTTTCATTGAAAGTGCGCCAGCCTAAACAGATGTGTCTTGCTGGAAAGCTTTATTCTAAGCAGATGCAAGAATTCAGATGCTTCATATTTTGTAACGCTGAAATCTTTAACATGGGGCCAACAAGTTTCCCGTGGTTTGAAGAAAAAGCATGAGGATAACACAGAGGATGCATCACTGTCTTATTAAGAAGTGATACTCAGGCCAGCCATGGTGGCTCACGCATATAATCCCAGCACTTTGGGAAGCTGAGGTGGGTGGATCACTTTATATCATGAGTTCGAGACCAGCCTGGTCAACATGGTGAAACCCCATCTCTACTAAAAATACAAAAAATTAGCTGGGCATGGTGGCACATGCCTGTAGTCCCAGCTACTCAGGCAGCTGAGGTGGGAGAGTCACTTGAACTTGAGGTGGAGGTTGCTGTGAGCCGAGATTGTGCCATTGCACTCCAGCTTGGGTGACAGAGTGAGACTCCATCTAAAAAAAAAAAGAAAGAAAGAAAAAAAGAAGTGATTACTCAGTAATTTTGCGCACATTTCATTAGCTTGAGTTGATCATATGTCTCTGCTTAGATACAAGAAGATTGAAAAATATAATGCTTGGTGATAGCTTTCTCCCAGTATTTACTTTATGCTATGGATAAAGAGCATGAATCTTTCATGAAATTTAGTTGCCTGTTGCCTCCACCACGTAGAGAGAATATGCAGATCAGGTTGAGGCTTGAAGTAGATATATCTTGAAATTTTCAATTATGAGATGTGATGTTTCTATGTTACTACAATCCTTGAACTGGTAGAAATACATGGATTTTTTACTCCTAATCCAAAAATCCAAAATGCTCAAAATCTGAAACTTTTTGAGCTCTGACATGATGTCACAAGTGGAAAATTGCACATCTGACCTCAAAAATCTGAAACTTCTTGAGCTCTGAAATGATGCCATAAATGGAAAATTGCACACCTGACCACATGTTATGGGTCACAGTCAAAACGTAGGCGCACAACACAGTTTACTTGGTGTCCCTAAAAATAAATAAATAAATAAAAGACCCTTCCAAGCCCCATTAAGTTGCAGTGTATCTTTTCCCTGCATGCCCAGATTTCCTCACACAAGCAAGCCCACAAAAATGGCAGGTGTGCAGGCAATATGCACCAACGAGTTCCCCATGATGCCCTATATGGGTACATTACTCACCAGGGTTTTTTGCTTATTGTTGAAAATGTCAGAAAGGCCTAGTGTTACCCACAGGGTAACACTAAGAAAAAGAGAAAGCATTTATGTTCATAGCACAGAAAGCCAAGCTGTTGGAGAAACCGGGTAGCAGCATAAGTGTGAAATGTCTTACAGAAGATCATGGTAATGGAATGATCACTGTATACGATCTGAAGAAACAGAAAAACAAACTATTGAAGTTCTATGCTGGAAGTGATAAACAGACATTAGTTAAAATAGAAAAACACTGCATGAAGTTAAAAATGAAGATTTCAATTGCATATGGAAAGAGTGGATCCACCAACATCACAGTGAACACATGCCACTTCATGGTATGCTGATCATGAAACAAGAAAATATCTATCTCAGTGAACTAAAAATGAAAGAATACTGAATATTCAGCAGGCTGGTTACAGAAATTTAAGAAAAGAAGCAACATTAAAATTTTAAAAATTTGTGGTGATAAAGCATCTGCTGATCATGAGAAGCAGACAAATTTATTGGCAAGTTAGCCAAGGCCGTTGCTGATGAAAATCTGATGACAGAAAATATTGCTCCAGAGATATCGATGTTGCTCCAGAAAGACACTGACCACAACTGTTGCAACAGCCCCTTCAAGAGTTAAGGATGCCAAGGACAGAATAACTGTGCTGGGATGTGCTAATGTAGCAGCCATGGATAAGTGTGAACTTGCTGTGACAGGCAAAAGCTTGGGTTCTCACTCTTTTCAAGGAGTGAATCTCTTACTAGTCCATTACTACACTAACAAAAAGGCATGGGTCACCAGTTCATTACTGTGCTAGCAAAAAGGCATGGATTTCACAAACATTTTGAACCAGTGGCTCATACTTAATTCAGGGAAACTGGACTGGATGATGACTGCAAGATTTTGTTGTTCCTTGACAACTGTTCTGCTCATCCTCCAGCTGAGATTCTAATAAAAAATAATGCTTATGCCATGCATGTGTGTTTCCCCAAATGAGACTTCTTTATCTCAGTCATGTGACCACAGTATCTTTAGATCAATGAAGAGTAAATATAAAAACACTTTTTTGAATGGCATACGAACAGCAGTGAACAGAAACATGGGTGTGGAAGGTTTTCAAGAAAAGTTTAGCATCAAGGATGCTGTGTATGCTGTTGCCAGTGTTTGGAACACAGTGACTAAAGAAACAGTTGTGCATGCCTGACACAACCTCTGGCTTGTGACTATATTCACTATGTGATGATGATGAACAAGGTGATAACTTTGAAGATTTCTGTATGTCAAGTGAAAAGAAAAATTATGTTTGGCTCCCTTACATATACAAAAACTATACCTTAAGAGTCTGTCAGTAGGTTGGAAGAAGTGGATATCAAAGAAGTTTTTTAACATTGAGAAGTCGGCTCCAGTTGTTTATTCATTGACTAATGATGAAATAAGTGAAATGGTTCTGAATTAACATGATCATCATAATAGTGATGATAAAGATGACGTTGTTAACACTGCAGAAAATAGTGCCTGTAGATGACATAATGAAAATGTGTGATTGGCTTATTGAAGGACTAGAAGAGCATGCATTTACAGCAGAACAAAAAATCATGTCAATTTATCAGATCAAAAGAAAGACTTCTAAGTCAAAAACAAAAACAAACAAAAAAAACCACCAAAATGTTAGTGAGGCAAATGAGTGGAGGAAACATTTTAAAAAGCCATCCAGCAGAATGTCTCCTCATCCTTAGAGGACTCACTTCCTGGTTCCTCAACTGCCTCTGATTCCTTCACCTAAAAAAAAAACACACAGGGTACAGTTATTTTTAATCAAAATACAGCACTACAGGTAAAGATTGAAAGCCTGTCACTGCCAGTTGATGCAGGTATTCCAGTGATGCTACTGTGCTGCTTAGCTACCCTGAACACATCCTTTTTTTTTACTTTATTAATGGTATGCCATATTTTTTACTGTTAAGTTCTTATGTGTGAGTAGTATAAAAAATGATTGCTTATTGGTAGTGTATAAATTCAGAATCAGGAATGATGGTGATGCCGAACAACCACACACTGTCCACATAGGTGACAGAGAGAGTGACATCTTTGCTCTCTGATGGGTCACTGTAAATAAACTTTGTTTCATCCACAAAATTATTAAAACTATTGTAGAAAATTTTCTTTATGATATGTTATGTATGAAATATAAATGAAATTTATATCTTGGGGTCCTATCCCCAAGATATTTCATTATGTACACACAAATATTCCACAATCTGAAGAAAATCCCAAATTTAAAATGCTTTTTGTTCCAAGCATTTTCAGATAAGGGATACTCAACTTGTAATATCTATGGGCTGAACAGAGGTTGATTCTGACACACTCCCCCATAACTTTTTGATTTTTTAAAAGATTGGAAATGGCATGAGAGTTTTCTACACACAGCACCTAATGACTTTGTCTCATAAAGTTCTTTTGTAGTTATGCCTATATAAAGATTCTCAGCATTATACACTTGTATGATAAAATTTAAAAATCTCATGAGACATTTATGTCAGATAAATTAGAAATAATGCAATCTTTTTTTGGTCTGGATTATAAAAACAAATTGATCATTTGGTTTTATAATATTTTAATTTATCCTCTATTTTCTATTTTGTACTTTACTTCATAGTCTCTATGTTTGAACATTAGCTAAGTCAAGTCATTTTGTGATTTATTCTCAGTTGTTAAGCTTCTAAAATTCCTAGTAACAAAAGATGGAAATATAGATTTTCAAAATAATAATTTTCATCACGTTATTATTTCAGTGCTCATTTTTATAGATTTTACTGAGAGAGAGAGAGAGAGCAGAAGAGAGCGACTGGAATTTGAAATAAATTTTGCTAGCTGCTGTAGTTAACATCATTAAAGGTGTAAGAGACTAATTGACAGAACTTTAAAAATGATTATCCATTTAAAGAGAAAATGGTGTAATCACTCTAATAATTAAGTAAAAGTGGGAGTAATAGAAACCGCAGACAAGTGATCAACAAAATAGCTAATAAATCAAATAAAACCAAGGAATAACGAAAAGGACCAAACAGTAGATTAAGAAGAAAAGAAAATAAACTGAAATTAATCTTCAGGATTTCTCAAGACAACAAAAGCAATAATGAACACAACATTATTGGCCAAAGTTACCTTTAAAAAAGAAGGTTCAACCAATACTTTATTTTAAATAACCAACACTGAATCTGCACAGTGCAATAGGAATATTGATAAATGGCACTATTCCAGGGTTAGCTGAATTATTTGAAACACACAGTAAAAACTGAGAATTAAGGTAAATCTAGAAATAGCCTCAAGGAAGCCATTGTTGTTTTTTTTTTTTTTTTTTTTTTTTTTTGAGACAGGGTCTCATTCTGTTACCCAGCCTGGAGTGTAGTGGCACTATCACGACTCACTTCAGCCTTCATCTCCTGAGCTCAAGTTATCTTCCAACCTCAGCCTCTCAAGTAGGAAGGACTACAGACATGTGCCACCATATCCAGCTAATTTATTTTAAAAAATTTTTGTGGACACAGGATCTCACTGTGTTTCCTGGGCTGATCTTAATAGTTTCAATGTATATGGACTATAACATTTCAGGTATTGACATGAAAAGATCTTACCAGTAACACTGGGTAGTATAATACTTTAGTCAAAAGAATTTTCTGGAAAATTTCTTAAGCTTGGTTTTCTTAGATTTTTTAATGTATTATATGAGAAACCCCAGAGATAGTCGTCAGGTAGTCAAATACATTCTTTTATGTTAACCATTTTTTAATAATGATGTAAGTGTTAATTCAGACATTAAATTAGTAAGTTTATTAGCTGGCATGAAGCAGAGAGTCAAACAGCTGAACATATCTGAGTCAACAAGTAAGAACTTTATTCAACTGTACTGAAGGAGAATTATTAGGTTTATTCTTATTCTTAGTGGAATCTTACCTCAATTGAAGTACTCTCTGACAAAGCTGTCAGTGCTGTACACACAGGGGCCCTCTGATGGAAACATTACCTCTCTTCTCATGGGAGAGGATTTTGTGGTCTCTCTGAGACTCGGGTTTCTGAAGATATTCCCTTTTTTCTATATCAGTATGTGCTGAGCACTTCGAGACGCCATGGGTTATATCTTCTGTTTAGGAACATGGCTTCACTCTGTTTCTGATGGTGGAAGAAAGCAATATAATGATTTGTGTTGTTTTTATTAGGTTACATTAGAAAAATTATAAAAATTTAAAAATCTAAGACTGGTACCATGCTTGTAACCTTTCTGGTCATTCCTCAAAACTTTGTAATAATTCTGGGCCATTCTACCCACTGGCAATGTCTCTTCCTTAGACATCTCTTGCACTTTATCTCCTAAAAAGAGAATTTACTCTCTCACCCAAAAAGAATTAAGAATCATCATCATTAGCTAAGAAAAAAAGTTCAGCTTCAAGCATAAAGGTCGACAGACACAAGGAACCTAGGATCTGACACAGATTTACCTTAAAACCTTCCTTCCAGCCACCTGGAAGAAATCTTTGTAATTTTAGTGCTTTGGCTCACCCTCTTTGTCTTGTCTGTCTATGATAGAACAAACTATCACATCTGTATTTTACACAAGCCTTCTATGCTTCTTTTTTGTTTTGCCCACTTGTGATGAAGGCCAAATTCATATCTATGGCCAATAATAGTCTCTTCCAGTTCTGATCCAGCAGGGAGTTCAGTACCATCGTAGGCTTTAAAATCCTATGCCTGGATCAATGAAATTATATAAGCTAAGTCACTCAAAGGGATCTTTCAGTCAAACATTTGGCAACTAAAATCCACATGGTTAGGAGAGAATATGGTACCATACACATAATCCCTGTCCTCACCTGCAGATGATTCCCTTACGTGCTAATGGTTACCCCCACCTCTCTGCCTGAGAGCATTCTCTTCCAAAGGGTCATAAACATAGAGTGGGACAGAATTGTTATGGAATTAACACAGGGCCTATCTGAAACCACGGCAGTTTCACTGTACTTTGACCTGTATTTAGCTTCAGTCATTATGCAGCAATATTTCTGCCATACATTTCTACTCTCTTCTGTCAGTCAAAGCAGTCATAACCCAGTACATATTAAAGCAGTCATAGAGCCAGTGAGTGAAGAGATCCCGTTTCCCAAAGTCAGAGAATCTGTGCCCACCTTTATTCTAACTCTCTATGTTTTCTTAGATTCCATCCAAGTGAAATACTTGTATCCATGTCCGTGAATCAAGGTCTATGTTTTGGAGGAAAGACACCGAGGTGATCTGAACTCTGTTGTGTCCTTTCTGAAATAAAAGGGTTCTAGGCAGAACTGGTGAATCAGCAGCTTCCATGATGCCGAGCTCCTGACTGATGATCACTTATTTAGAAACACACCTTAGGCTATGTATTATTTCCTTATTTATGGCATCATTTCTTTTCCTCCAATAATTCCCTAGGTTTTCTCAGAAAATAAGTTTGGGAGTTTGTTTTGTTTTTACTTTTTATTTTAGTTTTGCACAGATAAACTTACGTGGTCCCATTTGACGGCGATGGAAATGAATCAGACTCCCCCAGTAACCAGTAACTATTAGAGAAGTCTGACTTTCTTCGTTCATTGCTGGAGTAGCCAAAGAATGAATATATCTATTTAAAAATATTACAAACAAAATTACAATTATAAGCTTTAGTATAATATTTGCCCATCATGTATTTCATTGCAAAAGACTCTATAAATCAAATCTGAATATGTAAAGCCTAATTTTATTAAATGTGTCCATAAGAAAGGATGTGGGAAAATTAGAAACATGTACAGATATTAATAAGTGCAAAAATAAGAGGCAAACAGAAGTACCATATGAACACCTACTATATACATCAATGGACAAAATTTCCCTGATTCATGGGGAAGTTATAAATCTGGTGTGTACAAATACTTTTATGGCTTTGACCTACGTAGTTCAGAGCCAGGGTGGTGTTGCAGTTAAAATGACGCAGCCCATGAAAACAGAACAAATTCAAAATAATTCAAGGCTTTTGCTTGACTTGTACTTCTTGAAACACCATGAAGGTAACAAATAGTCCAGAGCAATGGTTTCTAAATTTCTTTTTATTTTTCTCTGTCTTTGACAGGCCTACCAAATTCCAGTATCTCCCTCATCTCTCATTTCAAAGCCTTCTCTGTATAAAATGCCCATCCAGAACTCCTACACTATGTGTCTTATATTCACATATTTCCTCTCCTCTTGATTTTGTTTTGGTTTTCACTTTTTGGTTTTGAGAAATTGACTAGTTACCTTTGGCTGGGGTTGGCAAATTTGAGCTGGATAATTCTCAATGGGTATAACATGTAACGGCACTCATTTAACTATTATCCTTATAAAAGATTATACATTGTAACATTTAATTGCTCATCTCCTCAATATCTGAAATTTCTAAACCTTTCACATTCATCCATTGATAAGTATAAGAAGAGGGTAAAGTTGGGAATGGCGCACAGTACTCAAGTGTCTGACATACCTCAACACTATCTAGTTATACTTGGAAAGATGAAATAGGGTATTGATCACATACAGACAAAAGTTACATAGAACATAAGCTTGTGCTAAATAGCCAGCCGCTCACACTTGAGGCAAAAGAAGTAGGTTCAGATTTCACTGTGTAAATTTCCTACTAGGTTAGTTTTGAAAGTTAACCAAGTGTGTGTTTGATTTCTCCAGGCAAAAATCATCCTCTTTTATTGTGTGTACAAATATCAATGGAGAACCATGAAGGAACAGCAACAGAGACAGTATCAAAAGGACAGACCCTGAGCACCCCAAATTTACTTAGCTTAGTGATCACTTCCGGTTTATTTGTTTGTCTGTTGGGTGTGGGGGGTGTGGAGAGAGAAGGCTGTTGCGCTGGCAATGCTTCTTCATTGCGGGTAGACCAGGAGAGGAAAATATCTAGGAACATGAGCAAGTTAATAAATGTCAACCCATCTCACTTTCTCTTTTGCTAATTTTGGCAGGGCCCTGGCAAAAATACTGCATATTTAAATGCATTACTCATGATCTACCCAAAACTGCATCATCTTTTTTTAATGAAGTATGTGAAATTCTGCCTGGATTTCACTGGAGCCTGACTGAATTCACTAAAGTATCTTATCACATAATTCTCAGGAATGGAGAAATCACATCAAATGCATTAGCAGAGATGAATCCAGAGTATGAAGTCAAAAGTATAAAAAAATGTTATGGGTAAGTTAGAAAATTAATAATTAAGAATATCATGTTTTTAATATTATGTTATAAGCTCTTAAAATCAATTGTGGTTAAAATATATATTTTTTAATATATAACATTATTAATATACATATATATATATTTTGCAATGACATGACCAAGTGAATATATTGTTAGGATTCACCCTTAAGAAGTCCCTCAAGCTTTAAAAACTTCATGGTAAATTCATGTCCGTACATTAGTAATAGCATTTAATTCCTTCTCTATTGAAAAGCCAATCCACCCCATCCCCACCACTGACATATACACATACAGGGAGGAAAAAGTGATCCGGAAGAGAAGCAACCACCAGATACTTTCTCATCCCAGACAAAGTGAATAGCAACCACCTTTCTGGATGTACAACACTCGAACTGATCTCCAACACACGCAGAGATGAATTGGTGAATGGCTGCCACTTTGCTGCATGAAGCATTGCATACAGGTGAGGAGGCCCAGTCTCCAGTCGGAAGCTCCATTTGACCCTGGCTTCCCATGGCAAGGAGTGGTGAACATAACTGCCTCCATCCACACGGACCCCATCTGTCAGGAACTGCCTTTTGGCTTTCTCAGTTCCCCTCTGCATCTGAATTCTGTTGAATACATACTGGCGAGCCTCTTTTGAAGCTCCTCTAACCGCCAGGGTAGCTGATATACTGAGTTCAGCACACGAGTCTCATTCAGTACTGACACCACTGCAGTCTTATTCTGGGGGAATGATTTAGTCCTGCATAAAATTCTACAATTTATGGCATAGAGTCCAAGAATGTCCTTATTGCAGAGTGTACATGTTAATAGGTATGTGATGTAGATCAAGTTGTATTTAAAGGAAAACTTTCAGCCTTAATATGTTAGAAAAGGAAAAAAAATCTGATAATCACCTATCAAAATTCCAACTCAATAAATTAAAAAAGAACACCACTGTACAATTCCCACCTATGAGTGAGAACATGTGGTATTTGGTTTTTTGTCCTTGCGATAGTTTGCTGAGAACGATGGTTTCCAGCTTCATCCATGTCACTGCAAAGGACATGAACTCTATTGTGGGATCTGACCAGCAGCCCGCAATGTAATGGGGCTCTCTCTTTGTTCCCAGGTGGATCGGCAGGTTGAGAAATAATAGACACACACAAAATAGTGAAAGCTGGGTACGGGGGGTCACCGCCTTCTGGTCCTGTGGTGCCAACAATGCACTGGATATACCAGCATTTATTATTAATTTTAGTGAGGGCGGGGGTAGGTTAGTGAGGGATTTAGGGTCATTTGATTATGAGGTGAGATGGTCACATGGGGATGAAGTAATTCTTTAACATAACATTTGTATGTAGAAGTACAGTATACAGAGATAAGAATTTACAATATAGTGATGTGTCAGTAATTTCTAACAGGGCCTTAAAACAGAAACACAATCTTTCCATAACCTATGATTAGCAAGATATTAATCAGCAGTAACAATTGCAAAAAAAGCTGGTTACAAACAATCCATGGAAACAGGACATGAAGCTAGACAATGGGTTAGACCGGAAATTCTCAGAAGGGAGTATGCCTTCACCCTAAAGAGGCCTAGAAGAGCTGTGGCAAGATGAGGGCTTTTATAGCCCTATCTTATCCATAAGGACAGGCGCCCCCCCATGCATCCGTTTATAGGCTCTCCACAAGGGTCACATTCCATTCCCAGAGCTATGAACATCTGCTTTTTTGGGATAGGAATCTTGGTGATGTGAAACCTCCCCGACTGCACATCCATTCATAGGCTCTCTGCAGGGGGAAGCACATCACGCACTGTTGGCTCATTCTGGCAGTCCAACCTGGCATTGTCTTTACACAATCCTGCATGCAATTTTGTATTTACAATAATCAGGAGCATTTCATCTTTTATTCCGTAGCAATAGTTTCAGGGGGTCTCCCTACAGAACTCATCATTTTTTATGGCTGCATAGTATTCCATGATGTATATGTGCCACATTTTCTTAATCCAGTCTATCATTGTTGGACATTTGGGTTGGTTCCAAGTCTTTGCTATTGTGAATAGTGCCGCAATAAACATACATGTTGTGGGGTGGGGGGAGGGGAGGGATAGCATTTGGAGATATACCTAATGTTAAATGACGATTTACTGGGTGCAGCACACCAACATGGCACGTGTATACATATGTAAGTAACCTGCACGTTGTGCACATGTACCCTAAAACTTAAAGTATAATTAAAAAAATAGAGCACCACTGTAAAACAAAAGGAATAGTAACAAAACTGCATTTGTATGTCCTAAATTTATACAAATTAAAAAACAATTGGTCTAAAAATGATGCAGATAAAGTAAGAAATTAAAAAAAATAATAACAGGGGCCAAACATGGTAGCTCACACCTGTAATCCCAGTACTTTGGGAGGCTGAGTTGTGCGGATCACCTGAGGTCAGGAGTTCAACACCAGCCTGGCCAACATGGTGAAACCTCGTCTCTACTAAAAACACAAAAATTAGCCAGGTGTGGTGGCAGGCCTATGTAGTCCCAGCTCCTCAGGAGGCTGAGGCAGGAGAATCACTTGAACCAGGGAGGCGAAGGTTGCAGTGAGCCGAGATCGTGCCGCTGCACTCCAGCCTGGGCAACAGTGGGAGACTCTGTCTCAAAAACAAAAAACAAAAAACAAACCCCAAAAAACATAAAACATAACATACAATAGGAAAAATTAACAAAAAAAGTTTCATCTTCACAGTCATTATTAATACAATGGATGATTCCCTAGCAAAAGAAATTAAAGAGAAAAAAGAGAATGCACAAAGAAACAAATTTCAGAAATAGAGTATTTCTAGAAATGGAATATTCCAAAAAACAAAAGAGGATATTAATTCAATTATATTTAAAAATTTAGGTTAAACTAACAAAATTTTTAGAAAAACAAAACATTGAAACAGACACAAAGAAATAAAACAATTAAATATTCTACATCCCTTAAATAAATGGAATGTGTTATTAAAATCTTTTCTACAAAGAAATGCTCTACGACACAGCAGCTTCATTTATTTATTCCTCCAAGCAAACAAGAAAGAAGGCTGGGCGTGGTGGCTCATGCCTGTAATCCCAGCACTTTGGGAAGCCAAGGTGTATGGATCACCTGAGGTCAGGAGTTTGAGACCAGCCTGGCCAATATAGTGAAACCCCTTCTCTACTAAAAATTCAAAAATTAGCCAGGTGTAATGGCAAGCACATGCATTATCAGCTACTTGGGAGGCTGAGAGAGGAGAATTGCTTAAACCCGGGAGTCAGAGGTTGCAGTGAGCTGAGATCATGCAACTGCACTCCAGTCTGGGTGACAGAGTGAGACTCCTTCTCAAAAAACAAAACAAAAAAATCTAAACAAACTCTTCCAGGGAACAGAAAGATGGGAACACTTCAAAATTCACCAACTCATTTTGTAAGAATGCATATCCTTGATACTAAAATTTGACAAAAATATTAATAAAAAAGGAAACCGTAGATCAATCTTTTGCAGGCACACAAATACAAAGACCATAAACAAATTATTAGCAAATCAGATTGGGTAATAGATAAAGGGATACTATATAATGAGCAATTTGAGTTTATTTCATAAATGTACGTTTTAAAATTGAAAAGTCAACCAATTTCACTACATATTCATTTTTCTATTGCTGCCATAACAAATTATTGACAAACGTTGTGCTACAAAACAATACTTTTATAATTTCTCGGTCCAGTAGGTCAGAAGAGCAGGTATGCTGTAGCTCAGATGGGGCCTTCCAAGCTCATAAGTTGTTGGCTAAACTCAGTTCCTTGTAGGACTTAGGTCCCTGTTTCCTTGTTGACTATCAGCCAGAGGCTAGTCCTAGAGGCAGTATGTATTCCTCCTGATGCTTTTCATATGCCCTCTCTGCAGCAATGGCAGATGGAGTCTTTCAGATTTCTTTTGCCATATCTGTCTTGCCTTCAATCAAATAATGTTCTCTGCTTTTAAGGGCTCATATGATAAGACTGAGATCACCTCAGTCTAATCCAGAATACTCTCCCCATTTTAAGATCTATAAATTTAATTACATAAGCAAAGTTTATTTTGCCATGTAATATAATATATTCATAATTTGTGATGAGACTATAATTATATCACATTACATTAGCAAACTAGAGGAGAAAAATATATGATAAACTCAATTAATGCAGAAAATTTATCTGATAGAAATTCCATACCCATTATGATCTTTAAAATTCTTAGACAACTAAAAACAGAAGAGAAATCCCTTATGCTGTTAGAATATCTGAAAAGACCACTTCATAAAGTTTATAATTAATTAAAACATTGAATGCCTTTTCCCCAAAGATTAGAAATGAACAAAAATGTTCACTATGAGTACTCCTTTTGACATTTTACCAGAGGTCTTAGAGCAATGAGGCAACAAAAATATATGAAAGTTGATAGATACATAAAAAAAGGGTTGTTATTTGCAAAAGACATGGTTTTATGCTATAAAAATTTAAAACCATCTAAAGACAAACTTAGAATGAGGAAGTGGATTTATCAAGTCTTTGGATAAAAGATCCATGTATAAAAACAACTGTGTTTCTGTGTGCTGAGCAAATTTTTTAAAAAATTAAGATACAATAAATATTGTATCAAGAAAACTTTGAAAAACCTAGAATAAATGTAATGAAATGTGGGTAAGACCTATACAAAGAAAGCTAAAAATATTATCAAGATATATTTCAAAAGATTTAAATAAATATAACCAAGTTCTATTTTTTTCTCTTTGGAAGAATCAATATTTTAAAGATGTCATTTCTGCCAAAATTGAACTATAGATTTAGGGCAACCTCAGACAAAATCTAACACCTAAAAAAAAAATCTAGAAGTTAACAACCTGAATTTAATATTTACATGGAAATGCATAGGCCCAACAATGACTTAACAATCTTAAAGGAGAACAAGCATTATCACTGCTATGGGCTGACTGTTTGTGTTCTCCCAAATATATATGTTGAAATCCTAACCCCTATGGGTGAGGCCTTTAAGAGGTGATTATTCATCATGAAAGAAATTAGTGCCTTTATAAAAGTGAGCCAAAAGATCCACCTTGCCCCTTCCACCATGTGAAGATACAGCAAGAGGGCACCATCCAAGAAGCAGAGAGCAAGCTCTCACTAGACGCTCAATCTGCCAGCACCTTGATTTTGGACTTCCCAGCCTTCAGAACTCTGAGAAATAAGTATTTTTCGTTTATAAGACAATTGGTCTATGGCATTTGTTACAGTAGTCTTAATGGGCTAACACAACCACAAATAAAGACTTACAAAGCTATAATAATTAAGACTGTGGTGTTGGCATTAAGATGCATATATAAAACAGTGGAACACAAAAGAGAACACAGAGTAGACTCCCACCTAATGCTGTTTCTTGATTGAACACAAGGTGACACTGCAGTATGGTGGGGAAATGATGGTCTTTTTAATGAACGGTGCTGAGTGAATTGAATATCTGCACAGAAAAAGAAAATAAGACTGAATGTCTGGGTCCTGTAGGACCCTGAAGAAACTGAAAGGTTGGGCACGGTGGCTCACGCCTGTGATCCCAGCCCTTTGGGAGGCCGAGGCAGGCGGATCACGAGGTCAGAAGATCGAGACCATCCTGGCTAACATGGCGAAACCCCGTCTCTACTAAACACACACACACACACTCACACACATTAGCCGGGCATGGTGGCGGGTGCCTGTAGTCCCAGCTTCTAGGGAGGCTGAGGCAGGAGAATGGCATGAACCCGGGAGGCGGAGCTTGCAGTGAGCCGAGATCACACCACTGCACTCCAGCCTGGGCGACAGAGCCAGACTCCGTCTCAAAAAAAGAAAAAGAAAAGAAAAGAAATTGACAGAGAGAAGCCAGCTACGTAGGCAATCTGATTTTTTTTTTTTAAGTCTCCCCTTGGTATGTGTTTTGCTTTCAAATGTACATTAGGTGAGTGGTGTAAACAAATATTTTACCACCATGTAATGAGGCGGATCACTAGCTTTCTATCCTGTAGTATCTGGTTCTCAATATTCACTTCTCCATTTTCTCCTTCAGTAAACTCCACATTGTAAATTCTATTTCCTTACCATAATTCGTCTAATTATAAAGTTGAACTGAAGTAACAGAGAACTCCCTCTAAAACAAACAATACACTGGCTTAAATATATTATGCATTTTACTTTTTCATCACATGTAAGTGATTACTGCATTGGTCAGTTGTAGAAACAGAATCCATTCTTGTGACATAAAGTAGGAAAGAATTCATTAAAGAATATTTTAATAGTGCATGGGATTGTGGGGGAGGTATAAGGAATTTACTCTAGGCAGAAATTCAAAGAACTGTCAAATTGCTACCTTGGAACTGATCTGCTAAGGGAAATGCTGCTAACTCATGCTTTAGACAACACAGTCTTGCTGTGACCAAGAGCTGCCACATCAGGAAGCCACTGCCAGCACTTCCAGTCCTAAAAGAACCAAACCCCTCTGGTGACATGCTTCGTAGGAGTTCTGTTCTCCCAGCTTCATGCTGCTCACTTTCTCTCCCTGTTCTACATGCGTGCATCTGCCTGGTATAAGACAGTTAGTCTTGGAACCCTACCAGCAAGAGAGCTTAGGAAACATAATTCATTCTAGAAAAAAGTTGATATGAAAATTGAGTCAGCAAATCTAGAGCATCTGCCTCAGCTTCCATAATGTCCAAATTTATGTAATAGCCTGGGTGTGGTGGCTCACACTTGTAATCCCAGTACTCTGGGAGGCTGAGAAGGGTGAATCACCTAAAGTAAGGAGTTTGAGACCAGCCTGGCCAACATGTTGAAACCCCATCTCTACTAAAAATACAAAAATCAGCCAGGCATGGTGGTGTGCCCTGTAGTCCCAGCTACTCAGGAGGCTGAGGCAGGAGACTCACTTGAACCTGGGATGTGGAGGTTGCAGTGAGTTGAGATCGCGCCACTGTATTCCAGCCTGGATGACAGAGTGACACTTCATTTCAAAAATAAAATAAAATAAATTTATGTAATAATACCACTTATTAAAATTTCTGTAATAATAAAAATGCCATTTATTAAGTATCTACTTGGTGCCAGATGAAGCTAATTTATTTTTTCTAATACTTGCAGCTAATTTTTTTCATAGACAGAATTTAATATTCTCCTTCAAATAAAGATTTAAAAGACTAACAATTAAAACAACAATAAATTTTTAAAAAACTTGCCAAGTTCAAAAATCTAATTATTCAAAGCCAAAGTATAAAACCAGTTCTGTGTGGCTCAGGGAATGAGTTTCTATCTACCACTCCGGAATCTTCCAACACTAACATGGCATCTGTATAACTTAAGATTTTTTATTTGCAAATCTTAAGAGTTTACTTAGCGGAAGACTGAAACAAACTCAAGATGTTGGGAAAAGTTGTGTTCATTTAAGGAATGAATACAATTAATAAGAAACAATGACTGACATGATGCCTAAGTCATTCAAAGGGAAAACACAAACAAACCCAAAAATATGAATGTTGACGCACTCACTGAGCCAGAATGTGAATGCAGTATTGCAGAAAGTTCTGACTCTATTTAATTAATATGTGCTTTTGGCAAAATAAGTGAGGATTTGGCCCAAGATAATAGCTTAGACATCTGTGTACTAGGACCTCTGAGCAAGTGCTCCGTGTCATCTATATTCAGCATCAGACAATTTTGTTATAATCAAGTTTTCTTGTCAGTCATGCAATTTAAAATATGACAAAAATAACCTTAAACAAATAGGACAATAATGAATAAATCTGGAAACCATGTGCAAAAATACAATCCTGAACATCCATTACTCTTCTTACCTCATAGATGAAGCAAAACAAATATTCTTTGTCTTTATAAAAAGGAAATGGTAGAAAAAGTACCTAGATTTTAAATGTATGTACAAAAATGACAAGTAAGTGACATAGCATGCCCATCCAAAAAAATGAATGATTCTTAAGGATCTTGCTTTTAATAAGGCTTAAGACCGCTAAGAAACTAAATAATGTAAAAATTTAGTGAAGGCCTTGAGATTTGGCTGAAATTTTAACTCAAGAACTTACAGAACTTAATCAAAGCTGCCTTTGCACAAAAGCAGATTTACATTCCAAATGAAAGCATTCAGAGTACCTGAAATCAGAAGGCGAGAGGAAGAAGGAAACAAAAGGTCACCTTATATATCATCATTGCAGTGTTCTTTGCCTTCCTTCTTGCTCAGCTAAATCACAAAGAAAGATATTTGGCTCAGAAAATTCTATCATAGTTTAAGATGTAGAAGTAACACAAAGTGGATGTTACCAATATTCCTGGTAAATAAAAAATGGAAAAATTAACTTAAGTCAAAGTTTAATTACTATTAATGGAATTATTAATAGATGCAAGTTATAGTCATCTACAAACACATAGTTGTAACTTAGTGATGATAACTACAAATGATTAAAATATTTGAAACACATTTAGTGGCCTAATTTTATTTTTGGCTTAATATTAATCTTGTATGGATATCTGAGGTGAGCAAAAATATAATTTTTAACTATTGCTGTTAAGAATTTTTATTTACATTTAAATATGCAACAGCACTCTGATAGGTAATTTCTATACATGACCCTCTTCTTTTTTTTTTTCCTTTTTTTAGAGATGGGGTCTCTCTTTGTTGCCCAGGCTGGTTCAGAACTCCTGGGCTCAAGCAATCCTCCCACCTCGACCTCCCAAAGTTTTGGGATCACAGTGCTGAGCTACCACACCCAACCCTACTCTCTTTTTTATCTGGCCTTGAAATGTTACATATTCTCATAGCTTGCTAAAATGCCTCTTTATTTTCCAACTGATTTTTAACTCATCTGCCTGATAAAAACTTCAACATTTGTATCTCCATGGAAACGTTTCCTAAGAATTCCAGTTTTCTTTAGCCAATGACGTACTTGACATCTGTGCTTGGATATATCATAATCATTTTAATCTCAGCATGTCTAAAGCTGATCTTCTAGTTTTCCCATGTAAATCTGATCTGTCCTTAGTTGTTCTTCCTCAAATGGGTATCACCTCATCCTTGCTTTCCTCACTCTACCTGCCCTCACATATCTGATCTATTAGAAGACCTCTCAGTGTTGCCTCTGTTTAATATCAAGTCCATCCACGTCTCTTTATCTTCACTGCCACTGACTTAGCCCAACCTATTATAATCTCTTCTGTGGGTGACTGCACTGGACTCTTAACTTGTGTATGTGCCTGAAGAGCTCTTCCCACATATCCTTTATATTAGCCAGAGTGATTTTTAAACAGAACCATGTCCACACCCTTTTTAAAGTTTTTAGACTACAAGAAACAAACAAAAAAATGGCCTTAATACCCAACAGATCCTTGGATATTCTGGCCTCTTGTTAAGCCTCAGTTGTGTTTAAAGCAGTAGGAGGTGATATGGTTTGAATTTTTTTCCCCTTCAACTCTCATGTTAAATGTGATTCCCAATGTTGGAGGTGGGGCCTAGTGGGAGGTGACTGGATGGTGGGGGTGGATCCCTGGATCCCTTAGGAATAGTTTAGCATCATCCCTTTGGTGATAAGTGAGTTCTCACTCAGTTAGTTCATGACAGCTGGTTGTGTAAAAGAGTTCTGGAACCTCCCTCCTCTCACTCTCTTGCTCCTACTCTTGTCACATGATACACCTGCTGCCCCTTCGCCTTCTGCCATGGTTGTAAGATCCCTTAGGCCCTCAGCAGAAGCAGATGCTGGTACCATGTTTCCTGTACAGCCTGCAGAATTGTGAACCCATTAAACATCAGTACTTTATAAATTACCCAGCCTCAGATATTCCTTTATAGTGAAGTAAATGGACTAACACAGCAAGTTTGGGAGTGGGGATAACAGGAATAAGACTGAGGGGGGAAAATGCATGTTATTCCCTATCTATCTTAATGGCTAGCAAAGAACCAGGCAAATGATCTGATCTCAATAAATATAGAGGAGTAAATAAATAAGAACCACCAAGAGGCAACCTTATCTAGTCATATTCAAAACCGAGGTTGTTGCTCTTTTAAATATCTGTACTGAATGATGATGATGATAATAACAATAATGTAGTGTCCATTCATAGAGCATATTATATTCTTTCCTCTGCACAGTAATCCCATGAAGTCCATACTAGTTAATCTCTATATTTTTGAAAAACAAAGTAGACCCCTGAGAAATTAATATAAAGTCCTGTGGCTACTGGCAAAGCTGGGATTTGTCCCATGTTTGTTTGACTCCAAATCTCACGTTCTCAATGTCTTCTTTTAGCAGCAATAATTGAAACAGCAGTTATTAAAAATCACAATAATATCAGTAAAAACTCTCAGAGTTCAAGGCGTGATATTAATCTAAATTAGGTCTGTCATACTTTTATAAATTGTGTTGAATTTTTATTCATTAAGAGCAGCTATAATTTACTATCCATTATAAGTTTTAGGGTTTATTTAGAGACAACGGCAACAATGTTTGGTATTCTTTGAATGTTCACAATATGTTTTTTCTGTAAATATTTCCACGTAGTAGTGGAGTTATATTTGTATTTTTAAAATATCAAAAATTTGGAAAGCACAAGTTCTCAGCAGTTTTCAGGAAGAAATTATAGGAATTAGATTTAATATGTGATGACAATAGAAATAACTGAGATAACGTGTATGTGGCTAACACTGACATTCAGTGTCTTCATGACAGGCAGCCTGAAATAATGGAAAGGACCCAGAAATTAAAGAAGACTGACCTGGATTTGAATACTGCTCTAAGATTTTTTTTAGAAGTGTCAATTTAGGCAAAATTTTGTCTTCTATGAATCTCAAATATCCTCATGTGTGAAACTGTGATAATAATACCTAACATCTAGTGACTTTTAAAGACCGGAAATATTTTTCATTATTACCATTATTGTCATTATCAGTACCAGCACCACCATCATCCTCAATAGCACAAACAAGAAACGTTTTTGTCTCTTTTTCCTTCAAAGTATCTTCTTTGCTTTGTCCTTTTTTTAGTCTTTTTTATTCTCTTAGGAAAACAACAAAGGTGTTAAGATTGATTACATACTTTGCTTTTCCTCCTGGCCACCATTTGTCACTGTTGTAAGTAAATAGCAAAATAAAATCTCTTATTAAATGAAATTCCATACAAATCCCACACAGCCTGTACTTGTAGGAAAAAAGAAAGGTCTCTTCTTTAGGTGTCTAGATTTTATCTTTCTCTGTAAATCAATAGTTACCTATATATACCATTTGCCAATCCTAGACATCATCTTGTATTTACATAGTATAGAAAGTCTGCATTACATGCCAAACACTTTAAGCAGGCTTCCAATTTATTATATAGAAAACCATCTTATTCAGTCCTGCTACTGTTCAGCCAACTACTATATCACTACAACAGAAATCTAATTAAGACTTTGACAAACACAATTTAGAACTATAATTCAAAACTATAATTAAAAGGTTTAAATGCAAAGAAAGTGATTTTTGGTATTAAATGTAAATGGCATTTTAATTCAAAGAATTCATCAGTTTGGAAGTTAATGCAATTAATGAAGCAAGAAATAAGATGCAAATCCAAAAGTTTATATTCTTTTGCCTAGGTGGCTGCCCTAGGCAAACCCTAAAGAAGAATCAAAGCCCATTACAGCCATAAGTAAGAATTGGACATGTGCTTCCTTTAGATGGTTATGTATAGTAAAATAGTCTGAAAAGGACTTCCTTAACAAGAGGTACATTCCGTTGAATGTATATATGTGTACATGGGAATGTGTACATAAATTAATGTTAGGGAAACAAATTAAATTGTTGAAAGTATACAATTAATATTATCATTTTTATTAAGAAAACGTAGCCTCTTCAGTGACCTAAAATTCAAGAATAAAAATCTAGAATATTACTTAAAAAAAGGAGAAAGCCCTTGGAAATTTTTAAATCTTGAAAAATTATATTGCCATTCTGAGCAAATGATTATACATATGTTAATAATATGATAATGTTCTACTTTTATAGTATATATAATAAATCTGTCAGAGAAAAACATGCATCATTTTCTATTTACCTCCTATAGGAAAGTATCCACATTTAGTTCTTAACTCACTATACTAGTGACCATCAAATCAACTGTTAACGTATTAATTTATGTCACTTTTAAAAATAAACAAAAGTGGTATTTTCTCTGAAAAATTATTTAAAATATAGCACATTAGTATAGTTCATACACTAATCTGATGGTCTGAGTTTGTGATGAGTAACCTTCTTAACTATCTCCCAAATATCTTTGTCTTCTGGTATTCACACTATTATGGAATCCTCTTTTCTCTACTGCAGGCAGGGCCTAATTATTGCTTCCAATGATTAGATAAGAGCAAAAATGATGGAATGTATCTTCTGAGATTAGGTTGTAAAAACTGTAACTTCTTTTCTGGCTGGCGTTCTTTCTTGCTCTTGTGTGCTTTCCCTGATTAATTAATTTGTATTAATCTATGAATTCCATGGCAAGGAACTTAGGTGGCCTCTGGCCAACCATCAGCAAAAAACAGAATCTCTGAGTCCGAAAGTCTTTGAGAAACTGCATCCTTCCAGCAGAAGCTTAAGTGAGCTCAAACTCTTCCTATTCAGGTCTTCGAATGAGACTGCAGCCCTGGCTAACTCCCGTATTGCAGCCTTGTGGAGGACTCTCACACTGAGATCTGAGTTAAGGTATGCCTGGATTCTTGATCCACAGAAAGCATGAGATAATCATCGTCGTTGTTTAAAGCCACTGAGTTTTGGGGCAATTTGTTATATAGCAATAAGTATTTTAGAACATCTAATTGAATAAGGTGGATAATCTACAGTCTAATGTTGCAGAAACATAATGTTGCTGCAATCTTATTAAAACCTATCCAGTCAGTTAAATGGCCATGTACCAGAATGTTACTTGTGGAATAATGATGTTACTGTAAACAGAAAAGATCTTGTCATCAGAGAACATATTTTTTAAAAAAAAGAGTTAACTTTTTATGGTTTAAGACCTAAGTTGCTGCCACTGATCTTTGTTTGAGTTCTTAAAAGATTTATTAATCTAACAGTCTTAATATCTGAAAATAAAAACAGAAAATGCTTTTAGTTTAAACTCCTGCTCTGGAAAATCCTTTATAATGTATAGGTTCACTTTCCTGACTTTATAAATATAATATTGTGAGCTTAGCTGTCTTCTTTTGATGGCTTACATGCAGTATCTCAGACTTATACTGAAAATGAATTCTCACTATACAGTAACTTGGATGTAGAAAGTGAAAGGAAGGGTGAGTGGGCACTTCAGTTGTAACAACAGGAAAGGTTTTGGAATAAAACACCGGGCTTAGATTATTTTCTAATGATTTGATTTTTTTGTTAACTTCAAGTATAGCAATAATAATAATAAACCAAACACTGCATTTAAAGACTTCAGTTCTATTTTTTGTATTATTTCTTGAAACTGATTGTTTGAAAATTACTTTACTCCTATTCCTTTGTTGAAGCTTTAAAAAAAAAGCCTTCCAATCATACTGTTGTTTAGTTAATCAGTTCATTCTTTGATTATTACATCATCGGTTACCAACATATGAAAGAGTATTGAAATAGAAGATAAATATCACGACAGATTAAAGAAGCATCTGAGCCAACTTTTCATTTTTTAATGGGGAAACACAAAGATGCCACTTCTGTTTGTGAAATGCACTGTGTCCTTAGATTTAAACTTTCAAATAGAGTACATACATTTATTTTTATACATTCCTATTCTACATTTAAGATTTTATTCAAATTGTAAAAATGCTAGCCCAAATGACTATGCAAATTCTGAGAGAAAGATTGTAAAGACTATTATTAACATAAGAGGTGGGAAGAAACACAGCTTGAGTTTGATATCCCAGGTGAAGTTTGCTGCTCTGAAAATTAGGAAAACACAACCTTTGACATACATGCTAGGAAATATAGACATGGATATTATTCTAAGAATTACCATGGAACCCCAATCTGTCAATTTAATTGTTATTCTTTTGATTATTACCACATCTAATTTATTCTTACATATTTGTTCTCGTACTCAAAACATTCACAACAATAGAATTTAAAGCAATCTATTAATTACTTACATTTCTACTTCTCTCTACCCTTTCCTTTATCTCTCCCACTCCTTTCTTATTTTTATAACAGGTTGGATGAAAAAGTAATTCTGGCTTGCTATTTCTATTATTGACGGGTCAAGGAAACCCTATACAAAAATAAATATATGTGAAGAAGATCTTACTCTTCTGGTTTGTTTCACTTAATTCTCCACCAAAATAACTTATTTTCCTTGAGTAAGAGGTTATTGAGAAGTGCAGCCTAACTGCAAGAAGAATTTACTTCAAGTTGTTCTAGTTGAGGGTCACTACTATCAACTCAGGTTCAAATTACTCACCCTGTCAACCAGAAAGTCAAACGTTAAATCTAGACTCACTATCATGGTTTGCAGCTGGAATTTATCTGTGAGATATCCCCATGTCTGCAGATAATGAATTGTGACTTGAACTTCTAACTTTAACACTAGTTGAAATTTCTTACAGAAAGGAATGATGTTGGCTCTCAAAATACTTATGTGTTTGGGGATTACATTAATGAAAAAAATTATCCAGTGTGTTTTAAATAGTAGACTTGTTTACATGTAACCTATGTAAAGAAATACAAGTCCATATTCTGGGCTTTCTAGCAGCTGAATTCAGAGACTTAATCCAACAGACAAAAATTAATAAAAGTATTAAACTTTTAGAACAGTCTTTCTCAGCAAGAGTGCATTCTTCTTCTCTTTGAAAATAACTGGGAAAGCTTGGAAGATCAAAAAACAAAACAAAACAGAAACAAAGTGTAGCGAGGACAAATCCTTTTGTCTCAACTGGGAGGAGAATAGAGAGAAATGGAAAGCATCTATAATTATCCATCTGTCATTTATTTCATATATTCATATATTAATTTCAGATACATTAGAAATATTGCAAATACATGACCAGAAAGTTATAGAAAGCTCCTATATAAATACTTCCATGAAGCCTAGAATTAGGGAAAATGTAGCCTCTTTCAAATGTACAGCTATTTCTTGATGTCAATAAAAATCTTGCTGCAATTTTCACATTTCTTTTTATATATAGGTCCCTCCAGCAAGAGAAACAAAACTTCATTAAAACTATTCGAAAAATATTTTAATTTTTTAAAAAATTTAAGAGTAAAAAAAATTGTGTTAGGGTTTGATGCTATATGTTAAAAATATTTAAATAATTACCTTTACAAATTTTACAGTTTAATGATAAACTAATGATTGTATGTATTCAGCATTTTTTATTTTAAAGAATAAAAAATGATATCACGTACAAAGCTACATTGTACAGACAATTTCAAGTCATCAATAGCGTATAATTTCTTAACTTGGGGTGTTTTCTTCACATCAAGAGAAACAGCCTGCCCCTTTCAGTGTTAAGAGCAGCACAGCTCTAGTCTAGTCTATGGTAGTCCCAAATAAGTACTCCAGGAAGACTGATTTGGAATGTTCCTGCTTCACTGTTTATATTAAATGTTTTCATTTTCTGTTTCCAATTCATCTTTGGAATTGTTTCTTTTTATTCTCTTCCAAGAATAGGCAATTTAATTTTTAAAGCATTAATCTTGCAAAAATTCAATTCAAATCTGATCATTTTGGAGGCTTTCAACTATCATGCCACATTCGTTTTGTTTACTTTGGAGGCTGCTGCCTTATATGCAATGAGTATTTAGTTATAATGGATGGTTATTCATGACTAAAAGAAGAAAAAAGTGAAATCTTTGTGATTGTGCCAGTGATATGAAAATTGGGACGGTAGCTAGATTAGGAGACGTGTCTGTTCTCCAATTCTCTATCTTCCCTAAACAGAAGAGAGCAAGAATCAAGTCCAAAAGTGTCAGAGTTGGATGGCAGTGGTTGGATCTCGGTTAAACCGTATTCAAACTGGTGGGACTATTTTTCTAACCTACTTTTTATTTTCTGCCTTTTTGTCTTTCTCTCTCTCTCTCAAATTAGTTCAAAGGGCAATTGTCCAGACGTCACTCTACCAAAAAAAGAGCTTAAACATTCTTGCTCTTTCTTTCTTTTTTTTTTTTTTTAATGCCTCAAGACCTTCATGGTCTTTTTCTTTTTTTTTTATTATACTTTAAGTTTTAGGGTACATGTGCACAATGTGCAGGTTAGTTACATATGTATATATGTGCCATGCTGGTGTGCTGCACCCAGTAACTCGTCATTTAACATTAGGTATATCTCCAAATGCTATCCCTCCCCTCCCCCCACCCCACAAGAGTCCCCAGAGTGCGATGTTCCCCTTCCTGTGTCGATGTGTTCTCATTGTTCAATTCCCATCTATGAGTGAGAACATGTGGTGTTTGGTTTTTTGTCCTTGGGTTAGTTTACAGAGAATGATGATTTCCAATTTCATCCATTTCCCTACAAAGGACATGAACTCATCATTTTTTGTGGCTGCATAGTATTCCATGGTGTATATGTGCCACATTTTCTTAATCCAGTCTATCATTGTTGGACATTTGGGTTGGTCCCAAGTCTTTGCTATTGTGAATAGTGCCGCAATAAACATACGTGTGCATGTGTCTTTATAGCAGCATGATTTATAGTCCTTTGGGTATATACCCAGTAATGGGATGGCTGGGTCAAATGGTATTTCTAGTTCTAGATCCCTGAGGAATCGCCACACTGACTTCCACAATGGTTGAACTAGTTTACAGTCCCACCAACAGTGTAAAAGTGTTCCTATTTCTCCACATCCTCTCCAGCACCTGTTATTTCCTGACTTTTTAATGACTGCCATTCTAACTGGTGTGAGATGGTATCTCATTGCGGTTTTGATTTGCATTTCTCTGATGGCCAGTGATGATAAGCATTTTTTCATGTGTCTTTTGGCTGCATAAATGTCTTCTTTTGAGAAGTGTCTTTTCATATCCTTCACCCACTTTTTGATGGGATTGTTTGTTTTTTTCTTGTAAATTTTGTTTAAGTTCATTGTAGATTCTGGATATTAGCCCTTTGTCAGATGAGTAGGTTGCAAAAATTTTCTCCCATTCTGTAGGTTGCCTGTTCACTCTGATGGTAATTTCTTTTGCTGTGCAGAAGCTCTTTAGTTTAATTAGATCCCATTTGTCAATTTTGGCTTTTGTTGCCATTGCTTTTGGTGCTTTAGACATGAAGTCCTTGCCCATGCCTATGTCCTGAATGGTAATGCCTAGGTTTTCTTCTAGTGTTTTTGTGGTTTTAGGTCTAATGTTTAAGTCTTTAATCCATCTTGAATTAATTTTTGTATAAGGTGTAAGGAAGGGATCCAGTTTCAGCTTTCTACATATGGCTAGCCAGTTTTCCCAGCACCATTTATTAAATAGGGAATCCTTTCCCCATTGATTGTTTTTGTCATGTTTGTCAAAGATCAGATAGTTGTAGATATGCGGCGTTATTTCTGAGGGCTCTGTTCTGTTCCATTGATCTATATCTCTATTTTGGTACCAGTACCATGCTGTTTTGGTTCCTGTAGCCTTGTAGTATAGTTTGAAGTCAGGTAGTGTGATGCCTCCAGCTTTGTTCTTTTGGCTTAGGATTGACTTGGCGATGCGGGCTCTTTTTTGGTTCCATATGAACTTTAAAGTAGTTTTTTCCAATTCTGTGAAGAAAGTTATTGGTAGCTTGATGGGGATGGCATTGAATCTGTAAATTACCTTGGGCAGTATGGCCATTTTCACGATATTGATTCTTTCTACCCATGAGCATGGAATGTTCTTCCATTTGTTTGTATCCTCTTTTATTTCATTGAGCAGTGGTTTGTAGTTCTCCTTGAAGAGGTCCTTCACATCCCTTGTAAGTTGGATTCCTAAGTATTTTATTCTCTTTGAAGCAATTGTGAATGGGAGTTCACTCATGATTTTGCTCTCTGTTTCTCTGTTATTGGTGTATAAGAATGCTTGTGATTTTCGTACATTGATTTTGTATCCTGAGACTTTGCTGAAGTTGCTTATCAGCTTAAGGAGATTTTGGGCTGAGACAATGGGGTTTTCTAGTTATACAATCATGTCGTATGCAAGCAGAGACAATTTGACTTCCTCTTTTCCTAATTGAATACCCTTTATTTCCTTCTCCTGCCTAATTGCCCTGGCCAGAACTTCCAGCTAACATCATAATGACAGGATCAAATTCACACATAACAATATTAACTTTAAATGTACATGGACCAAATGCTCCAATTAAAAGACACAGACTGGCAAATTGGATAAAGAGTCAAGACCCATCAGTGTGCTGTATTCAGGAAACCCATCTCACGTGCAGAGACACACATAGGCTCAAAATAAAAGGACGGAGGAAGATCTACCAAGCAAATGGAAAACAAAAAAAGGCAGGGGTTGCAATCCTAGTCTTGGATAAAAGAGACTTTAAACCAACAAAGATCAAAAGAGACAAAGAAGGCCATTACATAATGGTAAAGGGATCACTTCAATAAGAAGAGTTAACTATCCTAAATATATATGCACCCAATACAGGAGCACCCAGATTCATAAAGCAAGTCCTGAGTGACCTACAAAGAGACTTAGACTCCCACACAATAATAATGGGAGACTTTAACACCCCACTGTCAACATTAGACAGATCAACGAGACAGAAAGTTAACAAGGATACCCAGGAATTGTACTCAGCTCTGCACCAAGCAGACCTAATAGACATCTACAGAACTCTCCACCCCAAATCAACAGAACATACATTTTTTTCAGCACCACACCACACCTATTCCAAAATTGACCACATAGTTGGAAGTAAAGCTCTCCTCAGCAAATGTAAAAGAACAGAAATTATAACAAACTGTCTCTCAGACCACAGTGCAATCAAACTAGAACTCAGGATTAAGAAACTCACTCAAAACCGCTAAACTACATGGAAACTGAACAACCTGCTCCTGAATGACTACTGGGTACATAACGAAATGAAGGCAGAAATAAAGATGTTCTTTGAAACCAACGAGAACAAAGACACAACATACCAGAATGTCTGGGACACATTCAAAGTAGTGTGTAGAGGGAAATTTATAGCACTAAATGCCCACAAGAGAAAGCAGGAAAGATCCAAAATTGACACCCTAACATCACAATTAAAAGAACTAGAAAAGCAAGAGCAAACACATTCAAAAGCTAGCAGAAGGCAAGAAATAACTAAAATCAGAGCAGAACTGAAGGAAATAGAGACAAAAAAACCCTTCAAAAAATTAATGAATCCAGGAGCTGGTTTTCTGAAAGGATCAACAAAATAGATAGACTGCTAGCAAGAATAATAAAGAAAAAAAGAGAGAAGAATCACATAGACACAATAAAAAATGATAAAGGGGATATCACCACCGATCCCACAGAAATACAAACTACCATCAGAGAATACTACAAACACCTCTACGCAAATAAACGAGAAAATCTAGAAGAAATGGATAAATTCCTCAACACATACACCCTCCCAAGACTAAACCAGGAAGAAGTTGAATCTCTGAATAGACCAATAACAGGATCTGAAATTGTGGCAATAATCAATAGCTTACCAACCAAAAAGAGTCCAGGACCAGATGGATTCACAGCCTAATTCTACCAGAGGTACAAAGAGGAACTGGTAGCATTCCTTCTGAAACTATTCCAATCAATAGAAAAAGAGGGAATCCTCCCTAACTCATTTTATGAGACCAGCATCATCCTGATACCAAAGTCTGGCAGAGACACAACAAAAAAGAGAATTTTAGACCAATATCCTTGATGAACATTGATGCAAAAATCCTCAATAAAATACTGGCAAACCGAATCCAGCAGCACATCAAAAAGCTTATCCACCATGATCAAGTTGGCTTCATCCCTGGGATGCAAGGCTGGTTCAATATACGCAAATCAATAAATGTAATCCAGCATATAAACAGAACCAAAGACAAAAACCACATGATTATCTCAATAGATGCATAAAAGGCCTTTGACAAAATTCAACAACCCTTCATGCTAAAAACTCTCAATAAATTAAGTATTGATGGGACGTATCTCAAAATAATAAGAGCTATCTATGACAAACCCACAGCCAATATCATACTGAATGGGCAAAAACTGGAAGCCTTCCCTTTGAAAACTGGCACAAGACATGGATGCCCTCTCTCACCACTCCTATTCAACATAGTGTTGGAAGTTCTGGCCATTCTTGCTCTTTCATTGCTCCCTTCCCTCTCTTCCCCTTCCCTTCCCTCCCCTCCCCTCCCCTTCCCTTCCTGTCCTTTCCCTTCCCTTTCCTGAAACAGGGTTTCACTTTGTCACCCAGGCTGGAGTGCAGTGGCTAAATCTTGGCTCACTGCAGCCTCAATCTCCTGGGCCCAAGTGATCCTCCTGTCTCAGCCTCCCAAATAGCTGGGACTACCAGCACGTGCCGCCACGCCTGGTTAATCTTTTTTGGATTTTTGAAGAGACAAAAAAAAATGGGGTTTTGCCATGTTACCCGGGCTGATCTCAAACTCCTGAACTCAAGCAATCAGCCCGCCTCGGTATCCCAAAACTGTAGAATTACAAGTGTGAGCCACAGCGCCCAACTCATTGCTTTTTTTCGAGAGTGGCCAGAGTATGATAACTTGTAAAAGTCTGACTTGAATTTAGTAGGAGAAAACGCTGTTAGGTTTGAGAATGCAGTTTTTATAGTCCAATTAAGGACACTTTTGTGAGGGCAAGGGGCAAAATTAATAATTATTCTAGGACAAGAGGCATGAATCAGGAATGTATCAGGCAAAATCACTTTAGAGTCTTACAAGCCAGCCTAGCTTATCGGAGTTTTGTAACTGTTTTCCAATTATTCCCTATACATCTACCTACTTAATGAACCTCACGGGAAGGGAAGATGGTGGCCTGGGACAATATTTTACATAAATTATTGTAAAGCTCATGAGCTCTGAAAGAGCACCATGTTCAAATATTATCTTGGCTTCTTAATAACTGATTGAGTTATTTAACACTTTTTCACTTAGTTTCTTCATCAAGAAAACGAAATAGAAAATAGTATATATTTCATAGGAAAGTTAAGTAAATTATTGAGACTTGTGTTGCACAGTGTACGATCTGTCTTTGTAAATGTTTCATGTGCCCTTGAAGAGAATGTGCATTCTGCTATTGTTGGGTGGCATGTTCTATGTTGTAGGTTGGGTGGGTCATTAGGTCAGGTTGGATGATAGTGTTGTTCAAATGTTCTATATGCTTACTGACTTGGTGTCTACTTGTTCTATCAATTACTGAGAGAAGAATGTTGAAATCTCTACTTATTATTGTGGATTTGTCAATTTTCACTTTCATTTCTGCTTTCAGTTTTTGCTTCATGTAGCTTGAGGCTCTTGTATTAGGTGTGTAACATTTAGGATTTGTGTGTGTGTGTGTGTGTGTTTGTGAATTGCACCTTCAATCATAAGGATGTATTTTATCTCTGGAAGTATTTCTTGCCCTACAGTATACTTTGTTATTTATATATCCACTCCAGCTTATGGTGAAAGTTTATTCTGTTTAGCTTTTCCCTTTTCTTACTTTTAATTGGTGTCTTTATCTTTAAAGTGGGTTTCTAGTGAGTAGAGTGCATAGTTGAGTCTTGCATCTTTATCCAAACTTACACACTCTGGCTTTTAATTAGGTTTTATTCTCCTTTAATTAAAAGTAATCACAGATATATTTTGGTTAATTAATCTATAATCTTTTTTTTTTTTGAGATGAGTCTTGCTCTGTCACCCAGGCTAGAGTGAAGTGGCATGATCTCGGTTCTCTGCAACCTCCACTTCCTGGGTTCAAGCTGTTATCCTGCTTCAGCCTCCCAAGTAAGTGAAATTACAGGTGCTCACCACCACGCCAGGCTAATTTTTTGTATTTTTAGTAGAGAAGGGGTTTCACGATGTTGGGCAGGCTGTTCTTGAACTCCTGACCTCAGGTGATCTGCCCAGCTCAGCCTCCCAAAGTGCTGGAATTACAGGCAGGAGCCACCACGCCCAGCTGTAATGTTTCTGTATGTCCCATTTGTTCTTTGTGTTTTTTTTCTCGTTTTCTGTTTCATTAAAGATTAAATGATAATTTTTTTATTAGTACACTTTTTCTACTCTGTTGTCATGTTATGTAACTCTACCTATTTTTTCATAGCCATCCTAGGCTTTCCACCATGCATCTTTTATTTATCACAGTCTAGCTTCTATAGATTATTCTCCTTCACATAACAACAGTTATGATATCTCAATCATACATTTTATGTTTACATGATACATAAACCCTACAAAAATTCTTATTTTCTCTTTAAACAATTTTCTTTTTAAGAGACTTTAAAAATGAGCTAAAATCTTTAAATTTAGCCACATATTTTACTATTCCCAGAATTATTTAGTCTATTATATAGGTCCAAGTTTCCATCTGACAATATTTCCTTCATCTCAATGACTTCTTGTACATTTCTTATAGGTGTGCTACAAGGGATTCTCTCCGTTTTTTGTTTACGAGAAAATGTCTTTATTTTGCCTTATTTTTTGCTCTGAAGTTTGTATATCCTCTCCAGTTTGCTTTTGATTAATGTTAGCATCATATACATTTTTTCATCTTTTCATGATCTGTTATGTTTCTTATATGTAAAATGGGGTTTTTTTTAAAGCAGGATAGAGTTGGATCTTATTTTTTAATCCAATCTGAAAATCTCTGACTTTTGAGACATTTATTTATATTTAATGTAATGATATGACTAGCTTCAAATGTGCCATCTTGACATTTAATTCTATCTGTACTACATATATTGTTCCTTGTTTTCTCTATTTATACCTTCTTCGAAATGCAGTTTTTATTATTTCATGTTATCTCCTTTGTGAACTTATTAGCAATAGCTCTTTGTTGCGTTATTGTAGTGGTTAATTTAGGATTTATAGTATACGTGCTTAATTTATCAGAATCTATCTTTAAGTGTTATTATATTGTTTCATGAATAAAATAATAACTTTATAACAGTGCACTTTTAATGTTTTCACTCTCAGGCTTTGCACTGTTATTGTCATATAGTTTAATTCTTCACAATATTATAAACCCCACAATATATTATTTCCACTTTACAATGTTTTAAGAAATTTAAATAATGAAAATATAGTCTTTATTTTACCTATGTAGCTACCATCTCCTGTGCTCCTTATTTCTTGGTGGAGAATGGATTTCCAACTGATATTATTTTGCTTTTTCTTAAATATTTAAAAACATTTTTGTAGTGTAAGTCTACTGTGATAATTTTTTTCAATTTTTCTGTACTTGAAGAATTCTTTGTTTTACTTTCTGAAAAAATTTTTACTGACTAAAGAATTCTAGATTGACAGGATTTTGTTTTGTTTTGTTTCTCTTAATAGTTTAAAGGTTTTGCTTTATTGTGTCCTAGATTTCATTGTTTTCAACAAGAAATCTGTTATCCTTTTATTTGTCCCCTGTATGTAATGTCTTTCTTTCTCCAGGTACCTTTAAGAGTTTTGTATTTTATTATTTTATTACTTTTTGTTTCGATCACTAGTTTAAGCAATTTGACTATCGTGAGCCTTGATGTAATTATCTTTGTATTTCTTATGCTTGAGTTTCATTGCATTTCTTGAGTTTTAGATTTATGATTTCTTATTTGTACAATTTCTGGCAAATACTCGTGTTTTTTCTTCCCCCTCTTTCCTCTCCTCACAGACTCCAATTGTATATATATTTGACCATTTGAAATTTTCCAGTAGCTCCCCTACGTTGTTATTTCCCCTACTCTTTATTCTTAGATAACTTCTATTGTCATATCTTTAATCTACTAATATTTTCTTCTTATATCTAGCCTGCCATTAATCCTTTCCAGTGTGTTTTTTTAATATCAGACAGTGTAGTTTTTAACTCCAGAAATTTGATTTCAGTCTTTTTAATATGTTATTTTATTTTTATTGAACACATTTAATTTTTTTTCTAGACCAGTGGTTCTAAATTAGAAGCAATTGTACCCTTTCAGAAGATATTTGTCAGTGACTGAGTACATTTTTAATTGTCACAATGTGGGGTGGGAACTTCTACTGACTAACACTCTACTGTGTAGAATGTTGCTAACCATTATACATTTTACCTAACAGACTCCCCACAGACACAGCAACAACAAAAACAAAAATATGTGACCATTGACTAAAATGTCAGTAGTGTTGAGGATGAGAAGCTTGCTCTACCCTCTTGGGTATATGGAATATAGTTAGGATACGTGCTTTGATGTCTTTTTTTTTTTTAATTTTACTTTAAGTTCTGGGATACATGTGCAGAACCTGCAGGTTTGTTACATAGGTATACATATGCCATGATGGTTTGCTGTACCTATCAACCCATCATCTAGGTTTTAAGCCCTGCATGCATTAGGTATTTGTCCTAATATTCTCCATCTCCTTGCCTCCCACCACCTGAAAGGCCCTGGTGTGTGTTGTTCCCCTCTCTTTGTCCATGTGTTCTCATTGTTCAACCCACACTTATGAGAACATGTGGTGTTTGGTCCTCTGTTCCTGTGTTAGTTTGCTGAGAATGACGGCTTCCAGCTTTATCAATGTCCTTGCAAAGGACATGATCTCATTCCTTTTTATGGCTGTGTATTATTCCATAGTGTAAATGTACCACATTTTCTTTATTCAGTCTACCATTGCTGGGTATTTGGGTTGGTTCCATGTCTTTGCTATTGTGAATACTGCTGAAATAAACATACTTGTGCATGTGTCTTTATAGTAGACTGATTTATCTTTTATTTGGGCATATACCCACTAATGGGATTGTTGGGTCAAATGGTATTTCTGGTTCTCAGATCCTTGAGGAAGCGCCACATTGTCTTCCACAATGGTTGAACTAATTTACATTTCCAACAACAGTGCAAAAGTGTTCCTATTTCTCCATTGCCTCGCCAGCATCTATAGTTTCTTGACTTTTTAATAATTGCCATTCTGACTGGTGTGAGATGGCATCTCACTATGGTTTTGATTTACATTTCTCTAATGATCAGTGATGTTGAGGTTATTTTTACATATTTTTTTGGCCACATAGATGTCTTCTTTTGAGAAGCATCTGTTCATATCCTTCACCTAAATGGGTTTTTTTTTTCTGATAAATTTGTTTAAGTTCCATGTAGATTCTGGATATTAGACCTTTGTTGAATGGGTAGATTGCAAAATGTTCCTCTCATTCTGTAGGTTGCCTGTTCACTCTGATGATAGTTTCTTTTGCTGTGCAGAAGCTCTTTAGTTTAATTAGATCCCATTTGTCAATTTTGGCTTTTGTTGCAATTGCTTTTGGCATTTTCATCATGAAATCTTTGCCCATGCCTATGTCCTGAATGGCATTTCCTTGGTTATTTTCCAGTATTTTTATGGTTTTTGGTTTTATGTTTAAGTCTTTAATCCATCTTGAGTTAATTTTTGTATAAGGTGTAAGGAAGGGATCCAGTTTCAGTTTTCTGCATATGGCTAGCCAGTTTTTCCAGCACCATTTAAATAGGGAACTCTTTCCTCATTGCTTGTTTTTGTCAAGTTTTTCAAAGATCAGAAGGTTGTAGATGTGTGTTGTTATTTCTGATGTCCTGTTTTGTTCCATTGGTCTGTATGTCTGTTTTGGTACCAGTACCATGCTGTTTTGGTTACTGTAGCCTTGTAGCATAGTTTGAAGTCAGGTAGCATGATGCTTCCAGCTTTGTTCTTTTTGCTTAAGATTTTGATGTCTTTTTTCTAGTAATCCTATTATCTCTGTCATTTCATTTAGTTTTGATTGATTTATTCCCTCCCCCACCCATTGTGAGTTGCATTAAGTCTAAGTGTAATTTTTTTTCCACTGAGGCAAGACTCATCGCAATTCTCTAATATTTCTTGTTGAATTATGAGGTTTTCCACTCTGATTGTTGGGAACTGGCATCATTCCTACTTCTGTTTTAATACTGGAATTGTTCTTTCCAATACTTTTAGATGATCTTTCCCTGGCCTTAGATATTTTCCTTACATGCATAAGCTAATAAGTAATCAACTGAACACTTAAGTAGAACTCTTTGCTTACCCCCAGAGTCTTTGTGTGTGTGTGTGTGTGTGTGACTTTACCCCCTTTTGTGCCAACCCCTTTTAAGTCTAGCTACCTTATTTTCCCTGGACCCCCAGATCCATGTCCTCAACAGAGGGAGGCTCTGCCTGAGTACCTTCCCTGCACTGTGACTTGAAAACTTTGTATAGGTGATAAGTTGAAAAAAGAAAGGGCCCATCTTATTTGTTTCTTATCCCTCAAGGGTCACTGTCCTTCATTGCCTAATGTCCAATGCCTTGAGTTGTTTTATATTTCTATTTTGTTTTACTTTAAGATGTTGTGAATATTATATCATCTGTTTTTTGTTACTTTTATTTAAATATATTGTTTAACTAGCTAGTTAAGTTGCTAGTAGATTAACTTGGGCTTTTCCAGGCTTTTTAAATATTTTATTTTCCAAAGCCTATTTCCAGGCTTTGTTAGGACAAATCTGGAGTCACCTTTATTCTAAACGTGTTTATCACTACTATTAAGGTATGACCCTTCTAGGTCTCTGCTGAATGTATTACATGTCCAACAAGGTTGTGCCACTCTTTTTTGACTGTACATGTTGTCTAGCCCTGTGTGAGATCTGGAAATATCTATCACGCAGTTTCTTGATAATTATTCTTTTCTTGGCCTTGCTGAATCTCATCCTATGTGTGCATAGTTTAGTATTCAAAGGCTTAAGGAGACTTCTCTACGTATTTTTAGAGTGCTTCTCCACATAGCTTCTGTCTACACAGTACTTTGCCATGTAAAATTTAGTTACTTAGGTCTCCTTGAACTCTGATGTATTGAACCATAGCTCAGTGAGACACAATGTTCTGTGACCTTGCCTAGTTGGTGCTGACTACAAAGTGGCTAAAGGTAGAAACCTGGGACAATTGCAGGGATCAGCTATCTTGTTCCTTCTTTTTAGAGAGAAATACAGTCCTGTGCTGCTGCTGTCCCACATATAAAAACAGTATTTTCATCAATTTTGTTCAACTTTCTAGTTGTTCACAGATGGTGGGGGGAATCAGTTTCCAGTTATTCCATCATGGGCTAGAAATAAAATTTGGGATGTTGGAAGAATAAAATGTGTTAACCCAATGTGCTTGCAACAGCTCTTGGCACATGGTAAATAATCAGTAAATGTTAGTTTTTAACTATGTTTAGTCTTTCATCTATGCTATTCTCTCTTTTTCTTTCTGAGCTGCAGCTGGGCTAGGATTTACTCAGCTTCATCAATATATTAAGCTCTCTCCTGTCCCCTGTGACATTTAGACATGGCAGATCCTGTTCATTTTGCCTGGAAAGCTCTTCCCAGACCAATTATACTATATACTCACTGGTAAACTCCAAATTACATTTTTCTCTTAAATATCACCTCAATTGTAATTTTCTCAGTGATGTGTTTTTTGACACTCCCCCAGTCTAACTCCAGTGCTCCTTTATACTATTTTTTGGAGCTTATGATTTTTCTTCAAAGGAGCCCTCACAGTTTGTAACAATATATGTTTTTGTGTGGTATGATTAATGAAAGTCTATTATCCTAACATCAATATTTGATGGGGCTCCAGGGTTAATTAGAAAAAATGTAGGCTTACATGAGGCTAGCGATACTGCTCTTGTTTGCTCACCTTTGTATCCCAGTATCTGCTAAAGTTCTGGGTATAGAGAATGTGCTCAAGAAAAACTTTGTTGAAGGAATAATTTAATGCATTCCCTTTGTAGCTTTTCAAGGAATATTTAGGGTTTTCTGCTTTGTCCTTGAGAGTAAGTAAAAGAAATAAAAACTATTATGGTATTTTACTTAAAAATGAAATTTAGTAAAATAAAATGTATTTCATAAGGATATTTATTATTCCTTAGTTCTGTAAGGTCTTATCTCTGCTAATGAAAATATTTCCTTCAGAGAGCATAATTCCATCATTTCCCCAAATGAAGCAGGAAACAGCACCAACAGAAACAACACAAAAATCAAAAGCTTTTGAAATAGTTTGAAATAAGGAAACACTTGTTTATTCAGCAAATACCAAAGGAAATGAATAAATTCAAGCTAACCTAATCCCTTACCAGATTTGAGCATGTTTCATATGGGATTTTATCTTAAAGTTAGTTACAAATATTCCTAAATTAACCCAAGAAGAGTTTAATTTCTTCAGCTAAATTGCAGTCTTTTCCTTTTTACCTCAGAGTAAAAGTTTTATGGTATGCATTTTAACTTCAACTAGGAAAAAGTTCAAAAGGAAAGTAAAAGACAAAAAGATATTACTGACACTTAAAATTCATGCATTATAAAAATTCAGTCTCAGAACATCTATGGGTGATCGGCATCTGCTGAGGCTGTTGGAAACTACGAAGAGTGCCACTACCATGCACCCTTATGATAGCAACTACTACAACAACAATGACAACAACAAAAAGCCAGGCACTCTTCAAAAATCACAATATCTGCTGATATATGAGCTCATAGGGCAACCAATTAACCTGAAATCTAAGGAAAGAAAGATGCTTCCAAGAAGAGATTGAATGTAAGCAAATGTCATACAAGCAGGTAAGAAGGGCAAATGCCACATAAGCAGGTAAAAAAAAATTCATCCAAATTTTTAATGAATTGCTAATGACTGTAAATGGGCTACCATGAGAGTATAAGAAAATGATTTTGATTCCATTTGCAAGCTTTTCTCCATGGACTGGGTGCTCACAAGGCAGATGGGGTCACGAAAAGATATCCGAGAAAGCCTTCTCCTGATGTAGGCATAGTGGATAGTAACAGCAGCCTCTGGGAGAAAAGTATGGTACTCTGTCCTCATCCTTCTAGTCTGTCTCTTCAAGGGAACAAACAAAATCCTTTAAGATGCTGAGGCAAGGGTAGCAAGCCATTCACGTTTAGGTAGAGGAAAAGATCCAGTGCCTCTGGGGGATGAGATCACAGTAAAACTTTCTTCCTCAGGGAAAGGGCAGAAAGGTAGGCATAATACTGTACTATATATTTTGCTCATTCCGATGATTATTTGAGATGATACTTCTCCCTTAACTTAAATGCCTTAAGATGTATGCCTACAAGAAAACAACCCAATATGGTAACCAGAAGTAGTCAATGTATGCTCCATAAAAGAATGTTAACCACAGATCTCTCATCTATTATATCTCCCTGGGGAAAACACCAGGAAGTGAGACTGTTCTGCCTCAGAACCACAGGGAACTTTTCCCCTCCTTTGTAGGATATATCTAAAAAGCAGGCTTTCTTTTCAGTTTGTAAGTGTTTGGTGTTAGGTTGAATTTGATTGGACAATAAGAGTAAATTGAAGTTGATTAAAATAGTCCATTTTAAATTTCTCTACCTAGTTGAGGAGCCATCTGGAATAAATTTCATGGAAATTAAAACCTTAAGTGCTGTTTGACATTTTAACTTAAGAGAATTCAAAACATTTTTGCCTCTTTCTTGAAGAAGTAAATACAGAATCATTAATGATAAAAGTAAAAATGTTATATTGTCCAGGACTGGTAAAAGTGTAGTAAAAAAAGTCCTCTTTTAGATTGGTAGTATTGGTTACTCATACAATCCTCGTGAAAATCAATTTGGAAAGATGCATCAAGAACATTACAATACTCATATTCCTTGATCCAGTGATTCAACTTCTAGTAGGCTATTATAAAAAGAAGTCAATGTTATTGACAGATAGTTACATATAAGGATATCTTGACAGTGATATTAATTATAAAAAATTGAAAACAATGTAAATATTTTATAATAGGGGAATTAAGTAGTCTCCTATTAAATTAAATCCATATGATTGAATAGTATGCAGCCATTGAAATGATTTTTGAAAAGCTTGTAATGGTATGTTTCCAATAGTAAACATATGTGTATGTATATGTATGTATATGAGTATGTATGTATATACATGTATAGATGCATACTAATATATTAATATATGCAAATACTTATCGAGAGAGAAAACAAAAAAGATTGAGAGATTATAATTTTTTTCTTTATACTTATCTGTTTTTTTTTCTAACTTTTCTAAAGTGAGCATGTTTTATAGATGGAGAAATGTTACATTTAAGAGTTCCTAGAAGCGCTCCACTTTATCCCAGAGTAATTATTTATAGTGCTTCAATTTACTTGTAAAAGCCTCTTTGTTTGGATAATAAGTTATATGGTCCACCTATGTATAATTCAGAAAAAAAGATTTAAAAGTAACCACAAAGTGGCATAGGATTTGACTATGTGTAATTGCACAAGCAATTTGAAGGATATATAGAATTTGACCCAACTTCTACCACATGCGAACATACCAGAATTTTTAATTACATGAAAAAAATAAAGTTATATTGATATAACCTATATGGATAATAATATACCTTGTGAACAAAATATATTGAAACAATAAGAAATATCTGAAGTAACAGCAATGTAGATATAACTCTGAAGTTAAGACATAAGTTTTGTTCAGCAAATTTTTAAAGATTTTTTTTCTTCTATTACTTGAACTTTTACTGGGAGAAAGCTTTATGGTCCCACTAGCAGGGATTGTTAAACTTTTGCAAATGTACTAAGAGCTAAATTCTAGATCAAAAAAAAAAATTGACTTTTCACCCCAAATTCTTCTGTCACTAATAAAAAAATCTGAACCATATAAACAAATATTTACAAGATTCATATTAAAATTCTAAGCCAATAAATGGACAGATTTACAACAGAATAATTATAAATTGATGTAAGTTTAAGTATATTTTCTCTACTTTGTATCATATTTCTCCTCAATGTACAGCATAAATTATCTCTGAAATCATAATATTTTTCTGGGTGCCACATCAAATCAAACTTTAAATCAAAATTTAGATGCAACTATCTCTCAACTCCCTTCAATCTTACTCTAGCTGACCACTGCCACTCATCTGGTAAATTTAAGAAATAAATAAATTTTAGGATCATATTTGATATGGTTTGGCTGTATCCCCACTCAAATCTCAAACTGTAGCTCTCATAATTCTCACATGTCATGGGAAGGACCCGGTGGGACGTAATTGAATCATGAGGGTGTGTCTTTCCTATGCTATTCTCAAGATAATGAATAAATCTTGTGAGATCTGATAGTTTTATAAAAGGGAGTTCCCCTGCACATGCTCTCTCTCTTGCCTACTGCCATGTAAGACGGGCCTTGCTCCTCATTCACCTTCCACCATAATTGTGAGGCCTCGCCAGCCATCAGGAACTGTGAATCCATTAAACCTCTTCTTCTTTATGAATTACTCAGTCTCGGGTATGTCTTTATTAGTAGTGTGAGAATGAACTAATACAGTATTTGACTGAAACAATGAGAAACATAATACTTTGGCTAAAAGTTTGGTTTTATTGGATTGGACATGGGGTGATCCTGGCCATGTGGGTTGCCTATAAGATGAAGGGAGCCAGGACACTCAGGAAGAGAGACCACCCTGCAAAATGAACCCAACTGCCTGGTAATACCTACTACATGACAGGCAAATGGATGAGTCATGTTTTCCCTCATGTGCTGCTTATTTTTCCTAAAATAAAAAGCTGTAGACTATTGCATGGAATGTCCTACATTTATTATTTCTGTAGATACAGCTTTTTAAATCCAACTAATAAAGATAGAGCTATACAATGGGGAAATGATAATCAAAAGCATCAGTTGTTAAAAATAAAAGACTCCAGGTGATTTCCAGTTTGCTACAAGTCAGAAATATGATCAACAACGATAATTCAACATAATCATTAAGAAAAGTCCAGTAGCATGTTCAGAATAAGATGACGAATACTACCTATTGATACCCTGTTCTGTGCTTATTAGAGAGCAACTGAAATATTGTATTCTGTTCTGTAATCCAGGGATTTAGAACAGTTAAAAATAAAAGAAAAGCACTAAAGCAAACAATCTAAATAAATAGCCGCAATAATAAAAACACCAACAAAATAAAACAAAATCAGCGCTCATACATAAAGAGAGAAGACAGATTGACCAAGTGTGGACTGACTGATGAACCTAAGCCTGTCTAACTTGGATTAAAGGGGGCTTAGTGGGGTTACATGGCTCACTTGGGGGGATATAGGTAGTCTTGTGGAAAAGAAAGCTTTTTAATCTAGGGGCTTCCAGAGGGCAGACCTATAAATCTAGTGGGCAAGGTGCACCTGACTTCTCTTCCTTTAAAGTAGTAAAAATTGGTGGAGTAGAGACTAGAATTGGGAGCAAGGTGAGAATCTCAGGAGTATAAAGAGCAATTCCACTGAGGAGCCCCATTTGCTGGAGATACCTCTGCAGGGCTTGAGTGAAAAATAAAAATGGAGTCTTTCAGCCTGCTGGATACAGTCCTCTTAGAAAGGTGGAAGGAGTGAAAGTGCATGTAAACGCCCTTTTCCAGGGCATAATGTTTTCCTTTAGGGGAAGGGTAATGGCAAAGCACATTTTGAAAACATTATGTTGATGTATTTTTTAATGCTATTCCTCAGAAATCATGTTCTCAGATGATTTTTTTGCAATGATAGCCCCAAGGCAAGAGAAGTGGGTGAAATTTCCTTGGGAAGGAGGAGGATATGATGTAAGTGACATCTCAGCCTCACTAGAAAGGAAGTGAAGAGATCACCTCTAACGTCCTGGTAGACTGCAGGAGAGAAGAAGACAGAGAGAAGTAGCGACACTCCTGTATTCTGACCTTTCCTCTGTGAGATAATGTCTTAGAATGAAGGCATATTGGAGAGGCAGAAGATGAGGCCTCAAAATTCATGATCCCACTTCCACTTGTGATTCTAGCAGGAGTCACACTTTGCAGGATACCTCAGCCAAAGGGCCTCATGGCAAGTTAGGGCAGCCCCAACACGGTAATAAGGGTAAGGGGTATTTTTAGGGTAAGGGGTATTTTTAGGTCAAGAGGAAAACCCTGAGCTTTGGTTTGTTTTTAATTGGACTGAGTTTACCAAAATGGAATAAAGTAAATACTTTTCAGCTTTCAGGTGGGTGGGGACAGATGAGGTAATTTAGGGAAGTTATAAGGAAAAAAAGCTGTATAATTATTAAATTTTTTTTGTAATAAAATTATTAACAAATAATTTAAAAAATATTTTTAAATAAAATTATTAAAATAGTTGCTCATCTGAATGTAGCATATTAATTGGCAGACCCATAAATGAGTCGCTAGAGAATCATTAATGAGTTGCACATTAAGTGGGGCTGACGGTTTTCATTTCCTTGGGGTTCCTCAAAAAAAGCAAGACCCTAGTATGTATTTAGAGCACATACTAGCTATGCTAATAAAACCACTATGTAAAAATTTCTACCACTTTTCTTCCTGTATACCTGTCCTTTAGAGGAGGATAATAAAATGACAACATTGATTTTAAACTTATAGATAAAATTGCCTTCCAGACATTCTTTAGCTCTGGTCTTACCAATATTATTTACAATTTGACAGTTTTTCTGCAGCTTCAAAAGCAATGCTCATCTAAAATACCAGCTTGAAAATACCCAGGAAGAAAAATACTGAACCCCTGTGACCACTGTGTTTGCTTCTAGCCAAAAATATGTATCTAGGCAAATAATGGTGAGTGTGAAGTTTGTCATTTGATTCTCTATTCAACACATTTAAACAGTGCCTTATTTATTCATTTGTTTGTTTATTTATTTATTTATTTATTTATTTATTTTTGAGATAGAGTCTCACTCTGTCACCCAGGCTGGAGTGCAGTAGCACAATCTCCGCTCACTGCAACCTCCACCTCCCAGGTTCAAGTGATTCTCCTGCCTCAGCCTCCCGAGTAGCTGGGATTACAGGCACCTGCCACCACGCCTACCTCATTTTTGTACTTTGCATGTTGGCCAGCTGGTCTCAAATTCCTGACCTCAAGTGATCCGACCACCTCATCCCCTCAAAGTGCTGGCATTACAGGCGTGAGCCCCCATGCCCAGCCTAAACAGTACCTTCTTATTTTAATATTCCTTCTTTGTATTTTCTCCTATTGTTCCTATCCATCCAACCCACCACCTTAAATTTTCTCCATCTCACTGGACTGTCTCAAGAAATTTTCAGTTTTAAAGAAATGTAACGTAAGAAATCTGTATTATCCTTCTATTGTTGCCGTAACAAGTAACAACGAACTTAGTAGCTTAAATGCAACAAATCTATTTTCTTAGTTATCTGTGGGTGAGAAATCCAACATGGATCTCACTGGGCTAAAATCAAGGAATCAGCAGGGCTGTTTCTTTTTGGAGAAAAGAATTTTAAGCAAAATTTTTATCTTTGTTAAGTTTGGGTTGTTGGAAGAATTCAGTTCACTTCTTTACTGTCTACAAGCCAAGTCTGTCCCTAGCTTCTAGAGACATCTGCATTCTTTGGCTTGTCACTCTTTTCTTCATCTTCAAGGCCAGCAACCATGGGAAGAGTACCTCCACTCTTCAAATCTTTTCTTTCATCTCACGTCTCTGATTAGCTGGAGTAAGTTCTCTGCTTTTGAGGGTTCTTATGATTTAATTGGGCCTATCGGGATAATTTAGAAAAATCTTCCTGTCTCAGGGTCTGTAACCTTAACCATACTTGCAAAGTCCTTTTGCTATTTACAGTAACACACTCAGAAATTCTGAGGGTTAGGGCATGGACATATTTGGAGAGCCATTATTCTACCTATTATGGGCAGGCAGTGAGATATTGGTGCTTCTTTTTTCTTAGCAGTTAAATGATGGGACTGATTAAGAAAACATTGCATTTCAGTTCAAACTTGCTGCTTTTATAAAATGAAGCTGGTGATAACCTATCTTCCACTGACATTTACGTTTTTTGTTCCTCTTCCTTTAAATGCCTACTCTCAGCCTTTTCAATATGCCAACAAATTAATCTGATAAAACACGTTCACACGTGCATCTTTGTAAAATAAACTAAGAACATCATTTTCCAAAGAAGTTGGTTATTTGTATTTCTTATTTAAATAGTCCTAATTTCATCATCCCATATGTTAATGATTCACTGGATAGTCTCATGTTTAGCATCAGGAGAGGGCTTCCTCAAGTCCAGGCCCTATAACTGACAGATGTCGGAAGCATCCCAATATGTGGAATCATTATTGTTGATTATGAGGAGGATGCTGTCATGTGCCATCAACACCTCTTATCAGAAATGAAGGATTTATATCCGTAACTGCTAGAAATGCTGCTGGAAGACTGCCCTCTGCTGTCAGCCCTCCCTAGGGATTGCCTACCTACCACACTCAAGATGAAAAATTCTTTGGGACAAGTAACATCTAGTCATTGGTCAATTTGAGGTATAGAAGTAAAGCCCCCTTTCCCTAACTCAGGACAACTCTGAAGTCCACTTCAAGCTCCAGAGTTCCTTAGGATGTCAGCTAAGGTCTTTTGGGAGCTACACCATGGCTCTGTTTCTCCCTCTTCTCAATCCTGGTTTCATCCTCTCTCTTCCACAAATGTTGATCCCAAGTGTGTTTCCTTAGGAACTTCCTACATGCTTCCTAAAGCCTAGAGCTTCATTAGCACAAAAGAAGGTTATAGTGATGACTACTGCTATGCATAGAAATTTATGCAAATTAAGGTTACTTCAAGTATTAAAAAATGATGACAATGATGATGGTGATTTTTAGAAAATACGTGGAACTGCAAATCTAATGTTACATAATATATATTTGTAAAATAAAGCAATCTCATGTTTGTGATAAGATATAAGGCATAAACAATGGAATAATTTGTCACAAAAATTTGTTCCATCATTCCTCTCCATAACCTAATGGAACTATGTCGGTGTCTTTTTTTATTAAAATACTCCTTAATGCTTAGTTCAATTGTTAAGGGCCACTTTATAGACAGAAGTCCATTAATTTCCTATTGGTATAAGCTAATATTTAGGAATATATTGGTCAAATATATTTTGACCAGTTTTCTTGGATAATGTAAAAATAAGGTAGGCATTCAACAGAACTAATGCCGGGCTTTTATCCTGCATGAAAGTTTATAAAATTTATCTACTTTTCAACAGAGACATGTTAGCATTCAAATCATGTATCTACAGACATGTATGCTGAGTACAGCATATGGTATTATCATTAAGAAAGAGATATGGAATCCAAGCACTTTGGGAAGCTGAAGCAGGAGGATCACTTGAAGCCAGAACTTCAAGACAAGCTGAGGCAGCAGTGAGACCCCCACCTCTACAAAAATACTTAAATATTAGCAAGGTGTGGTGGTGCACCTGTAGTCGCAGCTACTCAGGAGGGTGAAGGGGGAGGATCTTTTGATCCCAGGAATTGAAGACTGCAGTGAGCTATGATCACTGAAAGAAAGAAAAAGGAAAGGAAAGAAAGCAAGAAGGGAAGAAGGAAGGAAGGAAGGAAGGAAGGAAGGAAGGAAGGAAGGAAGGAAGGAAAGAAGGAAGGAAGGAAGGGAGGGAGGGAGAGAGGGAAAAAAGGAAGAAAGGAAAGAAAGAAAGAGAGAAAGAAAGAAAAAGAAAGAGAGAAAGGGAGAAAGAAAGAAAGAAAGGAAGGAAGGAAGAAAGAAAGAAAGATGGATGAGAGGCACTGCAAAAATCTAGGATACCTTTGCAATTGAGAGACTTATTAAGGAAATGAACTAAGGAAAAAAGAAGAAATAGATGTGGAAAGCATTGAGCAGAATAAACAAGAGGTTTTCCTGACTGAATGGAGGAGGCAAGGTAAAAAGTTCAACATGACTTTGATTTCTGGACATTAATGATTGTTTTTCTTGGGTATAGAGAAGCAGAAATAGAAGAGTAGGAAAAAAGCTATTAAAAATAAAAATTGGTACATTTGATTTTGAATATATTGAGTTACAGATTTAAACAAATTCAGGACTGAAACATGGAAGCTATTTAAATAGTTTAAACAGCATTGTACTTAAGATATTTCAGGCCGGGCGCCGTGGTTCACGCCTGTAATCCCAGCACTTTGGGAGGCCAAGGCGGGCAGATTGCTTGAGCTGAGGAGTTCACGACCAGCCTGGGCAAAGGGGTGAAACCCTGTCTCTACTAAAATACAAAAAATTAGCCAGGCGTGGTGGCATGCGCCTGTAGTCCCAGCTACTTGGGAGGCTGAGGCTGAGTCAGGAGAATTCCTTGAACCCGGGAGGCGGAGATTGCAGGGAGCCGAGATCGCGCCACTGCACTCTAGCCTGGGCGACAGAGTGAGTCTCCATTTCAACAACAACAACAAATTTCATAGAAAAATATGGATTTAAAACAGAAAGAACTAAATGAATTTAGACAGTACAGACAATTTAAATGGAGAAGGATTTTTTCCCCTGAAATTGATTACTAATTGATCCGTGATATTAATTTAATGATTATCAAACATTACTGTAATGTTTTCTTCATTGTAATATAATTACAAACTCAAGTAATATAAATTTACTGTCTTCTCTCAACTATCCTCACAAATAAGAAAAGAAATGGTATAACAAATCCAACAGGGGAAATAATACAAAAAAACAGCTAGTCAAATCATATATATTATAGTATGGGATTGTTATTATTGGATATCATTGCTGTTCTGGGATTGAATTACATGTCAAACAGAAATCAGGAGTCAATAGTGAGGAAGTCACTAAGGGTAAGCTAGTGTACCAGATTCTTGCCATTCAAGCTTTTCTCATAGCCTTTAAGCAATGGGACATAACTAAGTGAATCTGAGCTTTACAGGCCTTCCAGTGTGGAGGGGCTCACGTCATCAGTGGGCAGAAGGGAGGAGGCACAGGGCATCAAAGCACCTGCAACACTAGATGTTTATGATATGTCAATCTTGGTTAGGTTATGACTTTACCTTTCCATTTTCTTGCAACTAAAACATGGGCAAGTAAAATGATTCATTAAAAAATAATGAAATGAAAAGGTTTAACCAATATAATTACACATTTTTTTCTAAGTGATTTCAGACAACTAACTGAATGGCGATGCTACGATTTTAATGTGTGTCTCTTCAAAATTCATACATCGGAACTTCAATCCCCAAGGTGTTGATGTTAAGAGGTGAGGCCATTTAAGGAAGTAATAAAGTTATGAGGACTCTGTCCGCTTGAATGGGACTCATGTCCTTATAAAGAACAGGAGAGAATTAGCTAGGCCTTTCAGTCCTAGTGCTCCTTCCCCACATGAGGACACAGTGTTCACCCACTCTGCAAGATGAAGATGCAGCATCAAGGTGCTATCCATGAAGAACGAGCCCCCAGTAGACACTGAACCTACTGACACCCTTGATCTTGAACTTTCCAACCTCTAGAACTATGAAAAATAAACTTTTAGTATTGATCAATTGTGTAGTCTCTTTTATTATAGCAGTATGAAGGGCTTTAGGGAGCTGCTATTTAAAAATAAGGTTAATTATTTCACTCAAACAGGCTTCAATGACATTTAAAATTACTATATGTATTCAAAAGTAACGGTACTATACTCCTTTAAAGTACTATACATAGTTGTTTAGAAGACAATTTTTATTTTTTTATTTTTATTTATTTATTTTTTTTTTTTGAGAGGGACTCTCGTTCTGTTGCCCAGGCTAGAGTGCAATGACATGATCTCGGCTCATTGCAATAGCTGCCTTCTGAGTTCAAGTGATTCTCCTGCCTCGGGTTCCCAGGTAGCTGGGATTCAGGCATGAGCAAGCATGCCCAGCTAATTTTGTATTTTTGTTAGGGATGGGGTTTTGCTGTGTTGGCCAGGCTGGTCTCAAACTCCTGATCTCAGATGATCCAACCGCCTCGCCTCGGCCTCCCAAAGTGCTGGGATTACAGGCGTGAGGCACTGAGCCCAGCCCCAAGAAAAATACTTTTGACTAATTTCTTAAATCATTTATTTAAGTTTTTAAACATCAATTTTTAACTGGAAGTTATTATACTGAAAATAGATGGCATATTAAAATCTGTTAAAGGCAGTGGGTAACTTTCAATATTTTATCACTAATCAGTTAATGATGCATCAATTAGTGTTCTTCTCTGCTCTCTTCTTTTTATTTCTCTTACTCTCCTGAATAGGTACAAAATTGTTTACATGTGCCTGTAGGCACATACAACACTCCTTGTGTTCACGTGGATGTGAAAACATTAGGCAGGCTGCAGCAATAGCCTTGATCTTATTGTCTTAACAAAGTGACTGTGTAAAATGAAATTTAAAAGGAAAAAGAAAACTTAGGCCTAATCTTTCATTCATTTCTAATTACTCCCTTTCTTCATCTTTTTCCCTCGTGCAAGCCCCCTAAATTTTCCTTAATGTGATCTTCCTAAGAATCAAAATTAATGAAGAAGGCAATTGTAAGACTCTAATTAGAAATTTTCAAAAAATAATTGTTGTAGTTCTTTTTGCATCATTTTTCTTCTATAAACCAGTGTAAAAATCTCAATGATTGATAAAATTTGTCAAGGGTAATCCTTAGATGTGTAATATGTCTCCCCCTTTCCATTTTACATTGCAAACGTTGAAGGCAAGGGATGATTTTATGAGATAAATATGATGTTCTATAAATGAAACTGGTTTTCTCTCTAATAAATTTGTTATAATGCTATTTCATTGTATTAACTCAAGCTTTAGGTTATGTGTTAAAAACAACAAATCCTCTTAAAGTGTCAATTGGTAGCCTTTTCTGATGCAAAAATTTTCACATTCTTCCACTACATTCCCATTGGTTGTATATTGCCTGACTGAAATAATAGGTTGTCTTATTAATTCACTGACATTATTTCAAGTACCTAAGCTTTCCCTAGATTTGAAGAAGTAAATCTTGATTAGACCTGTGCAGACACTGCTGCTACACAATATGTGTTTTTCTTATTTACAAGACTGGCAGCTAGACTACTTTTTCTTGCTCCTTGCATCCATGTGGTGCCATATAACCATTTCTCACCAATAGATTGTGAGTGGAAGTGACATGTGCTATTTTCCGGTTGATGGGGTTAAAACCAGGTGTGCCTTCTCCGTATTCTCTTCTCTTTTTTCCATTTGTCAATTTAAGAGAGAGAAATTTCAAAAATATAGAAGAAAACAAAATCGTAGGCTGGAATAAACCTAAGTTCCTAGATTCTATATAAAACAAAGAGACCTCTCTTTCACACACTATCCCCATTTCTGACCTTCTTGTGAGTGTTGTAAGAAATAAAGTTTTATTACTAAGCCTTGAGATTTGGAGTATTTTTTTAACAACAGTTAGGAAACTCAAAATAATACAAGCATGAGCTGATCTAGTACATAAAATGAGAAAGATCCGGCAGCAGGTAACATTATACTATATTAAGTTGAATGTGTTTAACAAAATAATTTTAAATATGTATGATCTGGCTTTCAAACCCTACTAAGGGCTCTTATTCTGCTATTTACCATTCTTCACCATACAAATTGGGGCTCTTTATTTGCTTTGTATTTTTGCCTATATTTGTATAATTATATTATGACTTCCAAAATTCAAATCAAAAAACAAAGGACTTGATACCATGAAAAAGAAAAAGCTCTTATTGGTTGTAAAGTGGATACTACCAGTGTTTCACCAGTCATTGAATTAACTCAGATTTTTTTTTTAAAGGAGAGTAATTCCATGACATTTTCAGATTACAATCATGCCAAGAAGCATGAGTGACCCAGTTACTGAAATTTATTTTACCTCTGAAATTAATTCAAAAACAGTTATTTCAATATATCAAACATTAATAGTGTCCTGACATTTTTGATAGTAGAAAAAAAGCAAAATTAATATATACCTGATTTCTCAAATGAGTAAAAGCATATTGATTTTTAACAAAATGTTATACCATGTAAAGCCTTAAAATTAAAGGTAATTTTTTAAAATAAAAATTTACACTGAAGCTTCTTCAGTTGCATCAGGCATTGATTATATACAAATAAAATTTTTCTAAATGTTAAAATAGTTTGAGAAAGAGAATAGTCTATCCTTCTCACATTTTTCTAAACTAATGATTTATATTAAATGCAATTAAGTATGTTCTTACGTAGTTCATATGTGATTCACGTATATGGTTTACTTCAATTAGATTTTAAGCTACTTAAGAATACCCTGAATCTAATAGTTTATATTCCCCAAGGCACCAAGAAAAATTCTGGACAAATAATAAGCATAAATTAACAGGCATCTGCTTGTTCTTCTTGCAGAATAGATTACTTCAGGAATTGATTCTCAGTGCCTAGGTTTGGCCACCACTGTGGTTGGGTAAGCAGCCTTGGCAATGCAGCTCAAGATGTTGTCTTCCTACCACCTCTTCAGCAAGAGATAGAACCAACATGGTAGAATGCTATTTTCATAAAGAAAATTGAGACAAAATTAGCCAGTGTTGGCAAGTTTTCCATGTAGACACAACTTAATTAAAAAAAACCATTTGCGCATAACATTGAGAGTAGTATTGGTAGAACTTATTTCCCAGATTTTATATCTTTAACCTTTTAAAATACTATGCTTAGCCATGGAAATATGGACTTTATTAATATAAAATTGAATAAGTAAAAATTCTTGTTTTTTCATAAATAGTAAAGTCTAGACAATTCTATACATTGTGAGATTTTATAAATACTTTTAAACTTTTCTCCAGATATTTATGTTTTTTGTCTACCTGGAAAAAATACCATTAGCAAGATTCATGTCATTCTACAGCATCTCTACTGTCACTCTTTCTTTAATCCTCATTATCTTCTTATTGTCTGTAAAATCCTAAAATTCAAAAGGATGTCAAACCATAGAGACTACAAGTTTACTATTAAAAAAATGACCACTGACAAGATTATTGCTGAGAATAAATTAATATTACCACCTTAAAGAGAAATCGTTGTATCATTAATAATACAATTTAACTAATTCTCTTAATCTTACATTTACATAGGAGTCATTTAGATTTACACAATCATATAAATTAAAAAAGTTTTATTCAAAAACTAATAAATATTGAAAACATGAGCTCATATTTTTAAAGACCCTTATGCATAATTTCCTAATATATCTTATAAGTTCCCAATAATATACTTTGGAGAGTACATAAATATTTGTTGAGTGTTGACACTGTAAAGAGATGAAGACTTTAAAGGGCATGAAGTTTATAGCTATTCATTAAGCAAGTGACCAACTTCATCTATACAACTTTTGAAAGACTCAAATGTACATTGGTCTGCTAAAGTACTATGTATATTCAATCCAATAAACCTGCTAGACCCTGGGCAAGATGTTTTCATATATAGTATCTTTTTCAAGAGTTCCCAGTGGATAGACTATAGCACACTGGTATGCCAGGAAGAAGTTACAAGAGTACCAACTAAAATATCAATCACTCATCTCATGGAATGGCCAAGGGGAGCCTGGTATGAGGATAGTCCACAGCTCACTTATCTCTGCTTAAGCAGCTTCATCTAGGGTTCCTCAGAGAGCTGGTCAAGTTGAACAGATTCATGAGCCCTCCCATAAAACCCCAGTGTTGGTGAGTACAGTGAGCAACAACTGTCTGCTGTAATTTTGTTGCAGTGGCCTGAGCATGGCCAATGAGGTGCTTTACTCTTGAGTGTATCTTTCCACTGCCTGCAATAGCATGTACCATACTCCTTGGATAAAAAGGTTTATGGAGCTACTGGGGAGTTTGTGTTCCATGTATTCAACTGGCTTAAAAGTCTTCATTAAAAGAAATACGCAAAGCCTCATTGCAGTATTATTCACTACAGAGCAGACATGGAAGCAACCTAACTGTATGTACCTTGATGGATAATTGGATAAAGAAAATGTGGTGTGCACATGCAATGGAATACTATTAAGCATTAACAAATAGGAAATCCTACCATTTGTGACAGCATGGGTGAACTTGGAGGTGTTGTGCTAACTAAAATAAGCCAGTCACAGAAGGACAAATACTACATGATTCCACTTACATGAGGTATTTAAAATAGCCAAACTCACAGAAACAGTGAGTAGAATGGTGGTTTCCAGGAGATGACTTGAAAGGTAATAAGAGCAATTAGTCAAAGGGTGCAAAGCATCAGTTACGCAAGATTAGTACTAGAGATCTACTTTACAGCACAGTGCCTATGGTTCACAGCACTGAATTGCACACTTAAAAATCTGCTAAGAGGATAGCTCTTATGTTGTGTTCTTATGATCTTCACAATCATCATGATAATCATCATTATCATAAGAAGGGTGGAGAAAACTGTTGGAGGTGATGGACATGTTTACGGCGTTGATTGTGATGATGGTTTCACATGTGTATAGTTATCTCCAAACTCGTCAGATTGCACGTTAAATGTGTACAGATTTTTACATGTCAATCATACCCCAATAAGGTGGTTTATAAAAAGAAATCCAAATAGCCATTTCATGGAGGCAAGTTTAGATTATTTTAAGTTTGAGACATGTTTCACTAATGGTTTTGATTTTCCTTTCCATAGTTATATTACAGAAGTTTTTTTGTTTTTTTTGTTTTTTTTTTGGTTTTTATTATTTCCTAAACAAGTGTACTCAAATATTTTCCATCTTACTCCAGTGTGTCATACAAATTTATTGTACCATGTGTGACAGGTTGTAAAATATACTGGGAAGTTTGTAAACATTTTAGCATTAACAAAAACCAAACGCATATTAATTTATATTAGTATTTAAATGTAAAGGTGTGAACTCCATAGGCGAGCAGTAGCTTAGGAGTTGGTAATTATCATAAAGTTTGAAAGACAGTGATTACTTATCAGCACATGGTATTTATGTAGCACTTTACAAACCTTATGCATACAATAATATTTAATTGTTATAACAACTCTATGATGAAGGTATTTATCCCCACTTCATACATATAGAAACCAGACCATTTTCCAGGGTAACAGAGCCAATAGTAGCTAAAATCTAAACTATGTTCTTTGTTAAAACTATGTACTGTCTCCAAATTATTAGTGATATTAACCCAATTTTCTACGTAATTGTTATGAACATCCTACAGAATAGGTTCCCTTTATAAATTGGAGAGTAAAGAACATATTAACAAACATCACTACTCCCTAACAAAAGATTTATTGTTTTGCTGTTGCTTCATTTCTATATGACCAATACCTGTCAATGTAATCTTTGTACAAACATGTTTTCTCTTACATTTGAACCTCCAGGACTATCAAATAGTAGGTAAGAAAGGTGGAGAAAAATGACTTGAAGTTGATACATCAACTAAATTATGTTTGGTGCAATGAGTAAATCAAAAATTAAATTGAGGTTCACTCTAGTGGACAATCTCGTGTTTTCCAAAAAGTAAAAAAACTTGCTCTTTGCCAAAATACCAAAAATCTGAACTATAATCATGCTCTGTTGAAGTAGCCTACAAATGCTTACAGAAAAGTGTGTTATGTCACCAGTTCAGTTATATCACTTCAAATATTATCTATTTCTAAAAACTTTTCTTTTTTTCTTTCTTCACCTTTTTTTTTTTTGAGATGGAGTTTCACTCTTGTTGTCCAGGCTGGAGTGCAGTGATGCGATCTTGGTTCACTGAAACCTCCGCCTCCCGGGTTCAGATGATTCTCCTGCCTCAGCCTCCTGAGTAGCTGGGATTACAGGTGCCTGCCACCAATCCGGGTTATTGTTTTGTATTTTTAGTAGGGACAGGGTTTCACCATGTTGGCCAGGCTGGTCTGGAACTTCTGACCTCAAGTGATCCACCCGCCTCAGCCTCCCAAAGTGCTGGGATTACAGGCACGAGCCACCACTCCTGGCCCCAAAAGCTTTTCTTGATAACAAGTTATGACCAAGTTGACCCAAGTCTGCACACTTCTCTGTCCTGTTACTTTAATAATAATTTTAATTCTCACTGGACCATGTACAGAGTAAATCTCAATTATCAAATTTTCAATAGGTATCTACAATATGCTCCTTTAGAGTGAGATGGTATATTAGAAAAAAATCCAGTTAACCATTATCTCCAGAGGAGAACTGACTTGCCCAAAGTCACACGGTAAGTAAATGTCAGACATGTTTAATGTCACCTCTCTTAATACTGTATCATTGCTCTTGCTGTTACTAGAGTGTAAATAGCTCCACTTGTCTGTGAACTAGACAGTAAAGTTTACTGAACACTTAATGGGAGTGAGCAATAGACTAACATTCTTTCTTCTTTCATAACAAGGTTTTTGAAATAGAGCCTCCTCCACTGAACCCATCTTGATTGAGCAGAAATGAATACAAACTGCCTTGCCCTACTTCTGATTGCAGAGGGCAACTTGTATTTCCACACTGTGAGAAGTAATGGGAAGCTCTACTAAGGCTTTGAATAATCTTAGTGCTTAATACTATCACTACTGACTTCTCTGAGTATAACTTCTCAAAAGAATTAAAAACACATGGGAGCAAAACTTCCAGCATTATGTTCTTCCTACTATCATACTTAAATGCATTTTATGATCTGTTTTCTTCGTGAGACAAATTTCTCATAAAGGAAGAATAAGAAACATGGTGTTATTCTCACAGTGGAATGTCCTGAACCAAACTGGTCATCGGAGACAATCCTACCACTTTGGACAACATAGAGGTCATATGAATATCAACAATCACCAGTCTGAAACTTCAATTTTACAGATGGAGGACACAGTTGCTCAGAGAGGTTAAAGATTTGTACAAGGGCCTTGGTTGAGAGAAGAACCAGGCCTGGAGTCTGACTTACTGACTTCCGTCTCTTCCTACCACACCACCTGTTTCCTAGTGGGCATAATTCTTTTGCATGTAACACAATAAAATGTATTGTATATAAAATGCACATCACTTTATATTTATCCTTATATTTCTATATTGACTCTGTTGATCCATTTAGCAAATGTTGATTGTTCTTCAATTCCACAGTTCATACAGAGCATACCCTTTGCAGTAGTAACTTCTGGGTTTGGATACCTCTTCCACAATATTATGCCATGTTCAAAAGACTTAAAAAATAAAACACAGCTAGAGACAAATAGGTCTGTTTGTTGCTATGCAAATCAGGTTAGTGTTATTTCTATATACCGTGCATAGAAAAACATATAGATATAACACCTTCAAGCCTTAATTTATAAGATTATAATCATGTATTCATTTAATTGAATGCAAGGCATCATTTATGTAAAATACACCATTATTTTATATTATAATAAGAAAGAATAAATGACAAATCCAATGCAGCTATTGCTACATAATGCTAAGATGCAATCAACAATAGGCATGTCAATATTTCAGAGACAATATAATGTGAACACATGTGTCATAGAACTTAAAAAATATGCTGTATCTTTTTTTATATGTAAAGAAAGATAAAGAAAAGGAGAGGTTACTATGTACTGGGCATTAGGTCTACTGACTTTATATGCATAATCTCATTTAATCTTCACATGTCCTTCGAATTAGGTGCTGTTTTATTCTGTTTTATAAATGAAGGAGGTGAGAATTATGACATATAGTTACTTTCCAAGATCACCTTCTTTTTAGTAAAAATAACCTGTTGTTCTCTGTATTCTGTTATTATTTGTCAGATGGTCATAATTCTGCAAGGCAACTTGTGCTAAGTCAAGCACTGTCCTCAGGTGCATTGTATCTAGTAGAGGAATCTCGTCACGCATACCTGAAAGAGAACATAATTCCAGGTCTTAACTTAATCCGAGATCATTTATTGACTTTTCTACCTAATGCTCTTTTGTGAAGATAAAAAAGGTTTTACATATATTTTGTGTTAAGTCAACACAAATAAAAACTTGAAACAAATATTTGCTCCAAAGGACTGAAAGTTAAACCAAGCCCAATCTTCATATTTTTATAAAAAGTAGAAGAAAAAAAGAAAAAAAAATGAGCATGAATTCTTATATTTTGAATATTTTTTTTACCTTTCTTTCCTTATACTTCTGCCTCCCAGAAACACAATAAAGTCAGTCAAACACAGAGATATTGAAATCTCTTCATTTGGATGATTAGGGAATAGGGTTTCTGTTTAGTTTTGTTTTGCTTTTTAAACACCATGGACAGTTTCTAGCAAGTTCAGTTAACTGGGTTTTGAGCACTACCATTCATGTGATGCTTTGTCAAAAGAAGAAGAAGAAAGAAGGAAAGAAAATAGAACACACACATACACATCAAACTAGTATGCATGCCAAAATATTACAGATAATTCAATCAGAATTGTGAGCTTTTATACAAGAGACCATATTTACTGAAGCAGAAAGTATTCTCTGTGTGAATAAGCTTCCCCGAAATATCTTGGCATAAATGTGCTTAAACTCATTTAGAATACCATGCTTTTTATGAATTCTACATGCTTGTCAAATTACTCAAACTATACTGCAAGCTACCTCTTCATGGTATCACTCTATTTTATGATGCTTGTTTGTAATATTCATTCAGAATTTCATACCCTGATCAACATTTTTAAATTCAATAATTAAATTGGTACCGAGATGGAGCTACTACTGAAATACCTGAAAATGTGGAAGCGACTTTGGAACTGGGTAACTGGCAGAGGTTGGAACAGTTTGGAGGGCTCAGAAGAAGACAGGAAAATGTGGGAAAATTTGGAACATCCTACAGACTTGTTGAATGGCTTTGACAAAAATGCTGATAGTGATATGGACAATAAGGTCCAGGCTGAGGTGGTCTCAGATGCAGATGAGGAACTTGTTGGGAACTGGAGCAAAAACGACTCTTGTTATGTTTTAGCAAAGAGACTGGTGGCATTTTGCCCCTGCCCCAGAGATTTGTGGATCTTTGAACTTGAGAGAGATTATTTACAGTATCTGGCAGAATAAATTTCTAAGCAGCAAAGCATTCAAGATGTAACATGGGTGCTGTTAAAGGCATTCAGTTTTACAACGGAAGCAGAGGATAAAAGTTCAAAAAAATTGCAGCCTGACAATTTGATAATTAAAAAAAACCATTTTCTGGGGAGAAATTCAAGTCAGCTACAGAAATTTGTGTAAGTAGCAAGTAGCCTAATACTAATCCCCAAGACTGTGGGGAAAATGTCTCCAGGCCATGTCAGAGGCCTTCATGGCAGCCCCTCCTATCACAGGCCCAGAGACTGAGGAAAACATGGTTTCATGGGCTGGGCCCAGGGTCCCCATGCTGTATGCAGCCTAGGGACTTGATGTCCTGTGTCCCAGCTGCTCCAGCCATGACTGAATGGGGTCAATATAGAGTTTGGGTTGTTCCTTCAGAGGGTGGAAGCCCCAAACTTTAGCAGCTTCCATGTGGTATTGAGCCTGCGGGTACAGAGAAGTCAAGAATTGAGGTTTGGGAACCTCCACCTAGATTTCAGAAGATGTATGGAAACACCTGGATGCCCAGGCAGAAGTTTACTGCAGGGGCAGGGCCCTCATGAAGGGCCTCTGCTAGGGCAATGCAGAAGGGAAATGTGGGACTGGAGCCCCCACACAGAATCCCTACTGGGGCACTGCCTAGTGGAGCTGTGAGAAGAGGGCCACAGTCCTCTAGACCCTAGAATAGTAGATCCACCTACAGCTTGCACTGTGTGCCTGGAAAAGCTGCAGACACTAAACACCAGCCCATGAAAGGAGCCAGGAGGAAGGCTCCACCATGCTAAGCCACAGAGTTCCCCAAGATCATGGGAACTTGCCCCTTAAGTCATTGTGACCTGGATGTTAGACCTGGAGTAAAAGGAGATCATTTTGGAGCTTTAAAATTTGACTGCCCCACTGGATTTCAGACTTGCATGGGCCCTGTAACCCCTTTGTTTTGACCAATTTCTCCCATTTGGAATGGCTGTATTTACCCAATATCTGCACCCTTATTGTATCTAGGAAGTAACTAGCTTGCTTTTGATTTTACAGGCCCGTAGGTGGAAGGGACTTGCCTTGTGTCAGATAAGACTTTTAACTGCAGACATTTGGGTTAATGCCGAAATGAGTTTAGACTTTGGGGGACTGTTGGGAAGGCATGATTGCTTTTGAAATGTGAGGACATGAGATTTGGAGGGGTGGGGGTGGAATGATACAGTTTGGCTGTGTCCCCACCCAAATCTCAATTTGAATTGTATCTCTCAGAATTTCCATGTGTTGTGGGAGGGACCCGGGGGAGGGAATTGAATCATGGGGGTTGAGGTCTTTCTCTTGCTATTATCATGATAGTGAATAAGTCTCACGAGATCTGATGGGTTTATCAGGGGTTTCTGCTTTTGCTTCTTCCTCATTTTCTCTTGCCGCCACCATGTAAGAAGTGTCTTTCACCTCCCACCATGATTCCGAGGCTTCCCCAGTCATGTGGAACTGTAAGTCCAATCGAACCTCTTTTTCTTCCCAGTCTCAGGTATGTCTTTATCAGCAGCATGAAAACGGACTAATACAATAATCATTATCTTAAAACTATCATTTGCTAATGTCATCATGTGTGTTAATAGTTTTAAAATCAGAATATCTCTAAACATTAATTTATCTTATATAACTATATCCTGTAATGTAGTTCAAATTCATTCATCAGCCTCAGTTTCTTTATATAAATTATTTTGATTTCCATTTGATTTACTACCAAGGAATACATTGGAAGTGAAAGCTCAAATTGTTTGTACTCTTTTTGTTTTTGCATCATTCTTGGGACAGGAGCAAACAGGGGTTATGGAAAGCTGAAAAAAATAATTAAGAAAATCAATTAATTTGTCCCAGATAGGGCCAAACATTCCTCCACATGATTCTAGTGTGATACTAAGTTTAAGAACCACTGACTTGTACAATGGAAGGATGATTACTACAAAGGCTACTAATTAATAAAGATGTGCTTTGTGGAAGGTAAGGCAGTATTACAACTGGGCCTCAGCAAAGATTGAAACTAGGATACAAAAAAAGATTTACAGAATTTATGAAATCTTTTCTCTGTCTTCTTTGTTTGTCTCTATTTGCTACCTTCATCCTCTTTCCTTAAGGTTTTTCTGCACTTAGTTCACATGATTGAAATAGGGCTGCCAGTAGCTCCGAGGTTGAGTGTTTAGCCAGGACTACTCCGAAATTTCTCAGCCTCAATTACAAATTGATGAGAGCGTAAGCCCGGCCTTATACTCATGCTTAAACCACTCAGCTCTGGCCTGGGTCAGGGATCATGTTTTGTGAGTTGGCTGCTCTCCCATGCCTATAGGTATAAGAATATGGAGGCAAGAGAAGGAACAGAAAACCCCAGTTTTGAAAAACACCTATTATTTTAACTTGAATGTTCCAGTCTCGATACTATGCACACAGTGGTTGATTAGGACCTGGTCTATATAGGCTTCAATTCTGAATATAGAAAGGAAAAGAAAACTTGAAAACTGATCTACACTGCTAATTTTATCAACGTTCTATCACTAACTTTCTACATATTCAAACAATGTCCTGCAATTGAACATTGCCTCTTCTTTGAGGCCTTTAATAAACATTAATATGTCAGTGATGAATCCTTCCTCTTGTATAGCTATATACACTTACTGATTATACTCATTTTGTAGTGCTATTTATTTTGTCCCTTATGCTTTTATTATTTATAATTGTGACATATTTTTTCTATTAGATTGTTTAAAATAATAGTCCTGGAGGAATACAAAAAGGTCCATAAATAACCTTTAAGTGAAGTATAATCTACGTTTTATTCAGCCAATTTGAGTAGGTTTCCTTAAGAAAATGAACCTTAAAATATAAATATAAAATTAAGTACAAAAAATATTTATTTATACTTAATTGCAAAATGAATATCAAATTTGCAGATATTAAAATATGACAAATACCACAAATACCGCAAAAACAGGAAAAAAGTGACAATTTTTGAAATTAATTATCATCTCTATAATGTTTTATTCCTGCTTGTTTTGACTCTCACTCCTTGATTGCCTTTTTATATGACCATTTTAAAAATGTTTTCTATGTAGAGATAGTATTAAGGTGGTTTATTTCTTCTAACATGCTTCATTTTTTGGTTCAATGTTTTTAATTCTACATAAAACATAGTCTAAGATAAAGTATTATTCAATATTTGTACTATTATCACATAGTTCTGTGCTGTTATCACAAAAATGATAAACTATATATTGTGTTATTCTCATCAAGGGAAAAAATTGTCTAGTACAATACCTATACACTGCATTATCAAATTTCTCATGTGAAGGAACTTCTGTGGACTAGGTGTAAATGAAAATCAAATTTTCTTCTTATATCTTTATGTATCTAGCGATTGGAAGAATTTTCCACAGACAGGCTTTTGCCCCTATATGTTTCAAAGTTTTTATCTCCTTCATTACCTACATGTTTCCAATGTCAGAAGCCACTGGACACGTTAAATTTGCAATAAGGCCACTTAGTCTAAACCTTCACTTCACAACTCTAGGTGAATAAGTGCAGTGTTTAGTAGGGATATTACTAAAATTTATTGGTACACAGAAGGTGGATAACAATTATCTTAAGTGAACACAGAAGTGATAACAAATTACATGATGTATGTAAAATAATTTTAACCCTCTGCAGCTTCCCCTTAGCTAATTCTCCAGAATGAGACAACCACTCTATTTACCCCACTTACAAGGAGAAAAGTGACTGTAGAGATATTGATAGCAAGACACATTGGACTTCATTGATTGTGGTTTGGCAAAAACATAGGATCATGTGAAGAAACTTCTATGGCTCCTTTCTACATCTTTGAAGCGCTTGTGCAAAGGAGGGGACATGAATTTTAGGCTTCGTTAGGCTCCTGGTAAATCCCTTTGAGAACTAGCCTTTTCCTCCTCCCACACTGAATACAAAGATACATTTATGAGGAATGAATAAAGATTATTACGTTCCAGTCAGTTCATGATAGTTTGTATTGGAAACTAGAAAATGAGGTGTAAGCCTGGGAACGGTGGGTCACTCCTGTAATCCCAGCACTTTGGGAGGCCGAGGTGAGCAGATCACGAAGTCAAGAGATCAAGACCATCCTGGCCAACATGGCGAAACCCCATCTCTACTAAAAATACAAAAGTTAGCTGGGCGTGGTAGTGCACGCCTATAATCCCAGCTTCTCTGCAGGCTGAGGCAGGAGAATCACTTGAACCCGGGGGGCAGACGTTGCAGTGAGCCCAGATCAAGCCACTGCACTCCAGCCTGGGTGATACAGTGAGACTCCGTCTGGAAAAAAAAAAATAAAAGGAAAATGAGGAGTCAGTTTAGGAAGGTGGAGACTAATGCTTCCTCCTTCATTTTCTATTAACTACAATTGAAAAACGATGTGAAATCAGCGTAATAATCACCTCTTTAAACATGGGTGAGATGTCAAATCTGGCTGGTAACAGCCAGATTTAGTTATGTGACAAAGTAAAAGTGACATAAAAATGAAAATGAAACCCCAGATCAAAACCAAGTACTGTGGAATTGAAATCTAGAACAACAGGGGATTAATTCTAGAACTGTGATTTCTTAAAGCAGGAGTCAGGATGCTAAGTCACGGCCAGGGTCAGACACTGCCATAGCAATAGGAAAGAGAGAGAAAGAACAGAGTAAAGCCGGAAATAACACAAAGTACTGAGATCATTCTTGAGACATTTCTCAAGAATGATCAAAAAGATTTAAAATAGCAGTCCAAAAAATCAAGACAGAAGTAAACAAGAGGCTGGATGCGGTGGCTCACGCCTTTAATCCCAGCACTTTGGGAGGCCGAGGCGGCAGATCACGAGTTCAGGAGATCGAGACCATCCTGGCCAACATGGTGAAACTCCATCTCTATTAAAAATACAGAACCTTTTATTCATTTTTAGGAGTAGGTTCATTAGCTTGAAAACTTAGAAATGTACAGATTATGGTGCCAAATTGATAATTTACATAATAATTTTTAAAGTTCTCATTGTCCTCTGTAAATTTTATTAACAAACATTTTGTAAGTTTTATTAACACATACTTAAAAAAAAAGCTAGACATTAAAGGCAAGCAAGACAAAATTCTAATTATCTTTTGTTGCAAAGCACCATATGTTGCTGCTTTAAAATCACAAAAGACAATGAAGAACATCTAGATTTTAAATAAAACTTTGATAAATCTAACCAGGGTGAAAAAGTTAAGCTGGTCAACACATTGCATAGTGACTGTATTTATGACATATTTAATCATGCCAAAATATTTATCATTTAGCAGAAGCATCCATTAATACAAAAAGGAGATGTGGTTTGTCACTTTAATACTCAATATAGTTTTGTATCCAGCTGTGGCCCTCAAGAAATTTGAAAAATTTTCATGTGGGATTGGAGTTTGGGAGAGGGATGGACAGAGTGGGAGGGAGACATGTGTATCCCCTTACAAAGCAAGCAGATGTTTACTCTAGTATTTGGCAGAAAAAGTTAAGTGAGTATTAAAAATATTGATTGTATGCATGCAATTTGGATAAAACAGATTTTTAGGCTTGCTTTATGATTTATTTAATCTCTTGCAGAGAAGAAAAATGGAATTGTTTCTTAAAGATTTTAAAGATAGATAATGCATCTAATTTTCTTTTGGGAAGTATTGTAATTTTATATTTGCATGTCAGCTGGAAAGAACACTATAAAAGGGAATTTTCCTCAATTACTAAACAGTAACATGTTTCAGTCACTATTCTCGGGTGAGAGGCAGCTGATCTCTCATCCTCAGGAAGGAACAACTGGACAGTAACCAGGGATCAGGCACTAACTAGGTTCTAAAAGTGTATTAACAAATCCAGAGTATCAATCATCAAAAGTCAGACAGGCCTTTTCTGTGACTTCGTATCATCGTGAAAATTTTAAGAGAATAAATATTTTTAGAGTCTTTAAGAGACCCATACAAACATTATGGTCAGAATAACAAGACAAGCCTGTCTCAAGGTTTAATCTAAATGAAGAATCATGAGTACTCACCTCAAGGCAATTTAACAGATCTGAATTTGCCTTCTGAAGTCTTTTGATCTAAAGCTAAAAGAAAACCAGTTATTCCAGAGTTTCGAGAATCATATATAACCCCAAAAATATTGATTGTGGGCAGAGTTTATCAATTTTTATTAAAATATTTTTGCGGCCAGGTGCAGTGGCTCACACCTGTAATCTCAGCACTTTGAGAGGCCGAGGCAGGTGGATCACTTGAGGTCAGGAGTTCAAGACCAGCCTGGCCAACATGGTGAAACCCCATCTCTACTAAAAATACAAAAATTAGCCTGGCATGGTGGCGGGCGCCTGTAATCCCAGCAACTTGGGAGGCTGAGGCAGGAGAATAGCTTGAACCACCGGGAGGCAGAGGTTGCAGTAAGCAGAGATCACGCCACTGCATTGCAGCCTGGGCGACAGAGCGAGATTCTGTCTGAAAAAAATATCTATCTATCTATCATCTATCTATCATCTATCTATCTATCTATCTATCTATCTATCTATCTATCTATCTATCTATCATCTATCTACCTATCTATCTATTTTTTGTACTTTTGTACTATCTATACCCATAGCTATGATGAGCACTGCGTCTTGCTAAATATTCATTTGATTTGACTTCTACCCCAAATTCTGGTTTTCAGCATTATGAAAAAAAATGTTCATTTATTTTGAAGTCACTTCTTTCTGTCTTAAACATTTTTCGACTTCAGGAGACCACAACTTAAATGTTTTGTTTGTTTGTTTTTGTTTTTTTTACTAACAGACACATGTAAACTATTTTATAAGATACATTTTGGTAAGCTACATGGCATGATCAGCCACAGTAAAAATATTAAAAATTAAGTAAGTGAGTCATATCTTTGTTATTTTTCATGTTCTATTCTTTGTTCCTGAAGCTCCCTCCCATCCACCCTAAACACCCAACATCCACGTTCTATTCTTCAGCTGTGGAAAGCCCACCAGAGCCCCACCCTGGCAACACGGTGGCCTGGGCCACAACCGACAATACTCCTATCGTCCCAAATTGCCTTCTTATTCTAACCTCACTTCTACCCTTCCTTTGCCAAAAATTCTATACTATCAATGAAATTTTAGCTACCTGCAAAATAAATGAATCTCAATAGTTAACCACTTCACATAAAGAATGGATGATTAATAAATAGTCTTTGTTGAATTTGCTTATGAAATGAATGTATATCCAAATTAAATTGTAACTAGATTGATTATAAAACCTCTTGGTGGGAAATCTTTTTCAAAAGCCCTAACAATTAAACTCCTAAAATAAATAATTTTTAAACATTGACAATGTTTTATTTCAGAGAGAAATTTTGAATTGTTTTTTATATGGCTGTATCTGCAAATTATATCTTGATTTCTTACTAGATATTCCTGTTTCTCTTCTACGCTTGGTTATTTTTTTTTTTCAAGATTTTGATTTATCATTTTCTCTACTTTTTAAATTTTGTAAATGTTCAAATGTCATAAGCTTTTCAGGTCTTTCAGTCTTGTTTATACACCCTCAGAATCATTTTTCTATAAAGGGGAAATTATATAAATAATAAGTCCTATTACCTTAAAATATATTACAAATCAGGCTGGACAAGGAGAATCAAGAATGCGCATTGCCCCTCATTTTTCCGATACCCCACCACCACAATCTTAGCACCTGGAACAAAGCAACAGCAATCTGCTGCTGGGGGTGGGGCACGTGTATGGAAAGAAACCCCACCTGAAGCACAAGTCTGCAGGGTTTCTCGAAAGCTAAAAGTGCCCACTGGCATCAAGGAAAGCCCTCTGCCATCCCAGGAACCACACTAAGAACAACACATCAAAAAACAACCACAGTAGGACTTGGGCTTGCTCTTAGGATGCAGTAAACTACAAAAGAATGCTCTCACTCTAACAATGACAAAACAACAACAAAAAACAGATAATCTTAATCCGATAGAAGTCAACAATTAGGTTTCTAAATTATGGTTAAGTATTGAAGCAAAATAACTCTTTAAGAAAAGTAGCTATGGACAAAACCATAATATTGAAGTCTTAGGAATGTCGAGATTGTGATAACATTTTTAAAATACTTTATTTTTAATTTTTAAATGCATCTATCTTAAGGCAATGATGATATTTAATAAATTGATGACATCTCTTGAATGACAGAATCTTTGCTCTCTATTTGAACAGATACAGACTTTGACCATTTTTGCCTATTACCAGACCTTGTTACTGGATGTTGACACTTCTTCAATTTCTTCCCTAAGTGGTGTCAGAATTCCTCCTTTATCAGTCAGTCAATCTGCCAGGAGAGCCTTCTGTTCTCTTCCCACATTTTCTAAGTTAATTCTGACTTCATAGCCTACTAAGTAAGAGTCAGGACATAGGGAACTGGTAGAAAAGCCACTTTTCTCACACTTTTCCCTTCCAGTGCCCCATGACAGCTATACCCAAGAGATGCCTGTCTAAGTGACTATCAAGACCACTTACTAACAAGCATCCAAGGTCAGAGTATATTCAACGTGGGATACAAAGACATCTTTTGACTTACTGGCCTCCATTTCTGAGTTTTGAGGAAAAAAAAATTAATCAGTGCAGACAGTAGAATAGAGAAAATACAAAAATGGAAAAATTATCTCTGAGGACTAGTTCAAATTCAATTTTTCAGTATTGTTGAATTTATACAAACAATATTTAATAGAATTCTGCTTATTCTTCAAAAAATGTTGTAATATTTATGGGTTTTGTTTCAAGAAATACTTAAGAAATTAACAACTGCATTTCTGAAAAATTCTTACATATTGGGCCAGTTTCACCTTTTATAAGGAGAGAAAGCATTTGACTTTTGAGAAAAAGAATTATTAGAGATCATCCCCAAACTTAGGTATTACATCTCTTCATTGGAAAAAAAGTTGGCATTTTTTTATAGAATAGAATGTCTCTGGGTCAGACATTCTATTTCACACTAGTTAGAGTAAAACTTTTTCGATTTGTTAGGTTTGTTGGTGGCCCAGAAACAAACAGTTTGTTTAAGGTTTAAGGCAATTGTTGGGGTGGGGTAAAGTGTTGTTGGTTGTTTTGTTGTTGGCTGGTTTGTTTAGTTTCATCAAGATATGTAGTACCACGTGAAAAATAATTGTATTTTCATTATTTATTCTTAAAACAAGATTATTTCTATTTTTAATTTGTTAGAAATTACAGAGAAAAAAGCAACTGTGCATATTCAAAAGCAATGTATATATAAAAACAATGAGTCAGCATTATGCTTTTAGTTATGGAGATGCCCATGTTACGTATTTCATTAAGAATCAGGCTGAAGGATACGACCGGACACTGAAAGAATACCACTAGATTAAGGAGACTGCCTAGTATACCTATGTCATCAAACACTGGTAATTTGTTTATTTTCTTATAGAGTGGGTAAGGCCCATTTTGATCATATTTCAAAAAGCGGTGTTCAGATTCACTTCAAATTACTTTCCTTAAGTATTTCTTCCCAAATACAACTTTATATAATAACTGATACTGTACCTGGCCATGAACACTGTTCAGTGGAAGTTTATTAGTTTCAGTAGTGGCAGCAACATAATAATTGAATCCCTATATACCCCATACCTCAAGAAGATCAAATATGAAACTTATGTCTCTAGGACAAAATGATTTTTGGATACATCAGGAGACATCAATGCCATTAAATAGAGGATCTGCTGATGCTGCTCTTCACCACTGTTTTTCTGCACCTAGGTTTAAGTCTGGTCCGTGATAAATCTTGAATAAATGTTTTTCTATGAACAGTTGAATTAATAATTTACTATGAATTACAAACTTTCTTATGTTACCTCTCAGAATTAGCCTATGCTACTGCTGATTAATGCACTTGGAGGATAATCCTGAATCCACCATGCCTCGAGCGGCCCAAGAGACATTCCATTCATATGTGTATGGGAGAAGGGCCCAGGAGAGCCTCATGGAAGGAGCTTCTGAAAGTGAAGAAAGCACTTAATCTTCTTTGTCAGGGGATTTACATGTTGATCCTACAAGTATCCCTCGCCCTCTGCTGTACTTCTAACAATTCATTTTGTGGTAAGTTTATGGAGAGTGCTCCATACTTATTCTAATTAAAGGAATGTGTCTTACATAGGTGATAGGCATGCTGAGATTTGGATGGATTTAAAATGTTAATATGTGAAAAATTATGGATATTATTTAGATGCTGGAAACTTGAGCCCTTACTGTTGTTCACTCTGCAAGTCTAATCAGATGATATTTCTCAAATTATTGATGTACAAATGAGATTTTTCTACCATAATTTCTTCCATGTAAAAATGTTCATTGTGCTTTATGTTGAAGTGAGTCCATACAGTGTATACACAATGCACAATGTGCAATAAAAATAAGGTAATGTCATGAATTTTCCAACAATTTTAGATACTCTAGTTAGGATTTGTTCTTCCTTTTTATTTTACCTGAAGGAACGACATTCTTCAAATGCCATTTTTACCACTTCATTTAAAATTGAGGAGGTGGAGCAAGGTGGCAGAATAGAAGGTGTCCCTGGCCCCTCCCTGCCCCTGGAACATCAAATTTTAACAAATATCTGCACATAGAAAAACACCATCATGAGAACAAAAAATCAAGTGAGCAATCACAGCATGTGATTTGAATTTCATATCACTCAATGAGGCATTGAAGAGGGTGAGAGAGACAGTCTTGTATAGCTGATCCTATGCTCACGCCCTGTCACATCCCCCGGCAATGGTCCTGGGGCATGGAGAGTCTGTTCACTTAGAGGAGGGAGAGCACAGAGACTGGGGAACTTTACATTAAACTTAGTGCTACCCTGTCATAGCAGAGAGTAAAGCCATGCTGGGATCAGCCAGTGCCCACGCATGTGGGAGCAGTCGAACTAGCTAGAGGGAAATTTGCCCATTCCAGCAGTTAGAACTCGAGTTTCTTGACAAGTCTTGCCATTGCAGGCTGAAATGCTCTGGGGTCCTAAGTAAACTTGAAAGGCAGAATAGGACACAAGGACTGAAACTCCTAGGCAATCCTAGTGTTAGGCTGGGCTTAGAACCAGAGTACCAGCATGGCGTGTTACCTAGGGAGATATCACCAGAGGCAGCTAAGGGACTGCTAGCACCACTTCTCCCCCAACCCTAGGCAGTGAAGCTTGCAGCAATGAAAGTAACTCCTTGCTTCTGCCTAAAGAGAGGAGAGCAAAGAGTAAAGTGGATTTTGTCTTGCATTTTGGATACCAGCTCAGCCACAGTAGTTAGCACACTGGGCAGAGTTGTGAGACCCCCATTACAGGCCCTAGCTTATGGATGTTATTTCTAGACACACCTTGTCGCAAAAGGCAACCTGCTACCTTGAAGGGAAGAACCCAGTGATGACAGGATTCATCACCTACTTACTAAAGAGTTCTTGGGCCCTAAATAACCAGCAGCAATACCCAGGGAGTATGCTGTGGGCCTTGGGCTCTGAGATGTGCTGACTTCAGGTGTGACCCAGCACATTCTCAAGGGTGGCAGCTACAGTAAATGACTCCTGAGAAAAGCAGAGGGAAAAGTAAAGGGGACTTTGTCTTGCACCTTAGGTAACACCTTGGCCACAGTGGGTTAGAGCAACAAGCAATCTCCTGCACACCCTGGGTCTAGGACTAAGCACTTGGACAGCATTTCTGGACCTGCCCTGGGTCAGAGAGGAGCCCATTGCCCTGAAGGGTGAGTCTCAGGCATGGCAGTATTCACTACAAGCTGACTGAAGAGCCCTTGGGCTCTAAGAAAACATCAGTGTTGGCCTAGCAGAATCTGCCATTGGCCAGTAGTGGTGGTGGCTCCCCAGAGATGCTCCTCTGCCTGTGGAAAGGGGAGATAAGGACAGGAAGTGCTTTGTATTGTGGTTTGAGTGCCAACTTAGCCACAGTAGAATGGAGCACCAGGTAAATTTCCAAGGTTTTTGGCTTCAATTCCTGGCTCAAAGACAGTATCTCTGGACCTGCCTAGGGTCTAGGGGAAGTTGCCACCCTGGAGAGGAGGGCATAAACCTGACTGGATTCACTACCTGCTGATCCTAGAGCACTAGGGCCTTGAGTGAACACGTGTGGTAGCCAAGTAGTGGTTACAGTGGGCATTGGATAAGACCCAGTGCTATGCTGGTTTCAGACCTGAACCATTATAGTTCCAGTGGTGGTGGCCACAGGGGTGCTTGCATCACCACACCCCCAGTTCCAGGTGGTTCAGCACAGAGAAAGATTCCATTTGTTCGGAAGAAAGCAAGGGAAAGAACAAGAGTCTCCGCCTGGTAATCTACAGAGTTCTTCAAAATCTCATCTAAGACATCAAAAGTGTTACTTGTATAAGTCTGCCAAAAAAAAAAAAAAAAAAAAACCACAATGGGTTTAGGGCCCAAGTTTCTTCAAATACCTGGAAAGCCTTCTCAAGAAGGATGGGCACAAATGAGCCCAGACTGTGAAGAGTACAATAAATACCTGACTCTTCAATGCCCAGGCACCAACAAGCATATACAAGCACCAGAATCATCCAGGAAAACATGACCTAATGAAATAAACTAAATCAGGCACCAGAGACCAGTCCTGGAGAAAGAGAGACATGTGATTTTTCAAACGTAGAAGTCAAAATAACTACTTTGAGGAAACCTTAAGAAATTCATAACACAGACCAAGAATTCAGAATTCTATTCAACAAATTTAACAAACAGATTAAAATAAAAATAATCAAGTAGAAATTCTACAGTTGAAAATTGCAGTTGACATACTGAAAAATGCATCAATTGCTTAATAGCATAATCAATGAAGCAGAAGAGATAATTAGTGAGCTTGAAGACAGGCTACTTACACTTACATTCTGAAATTACACAGTCAGAGTAGAAAAAAGAAAAAAGAATGAACAAGAAGGAAGCACACCTATAAGATCTAGAAAACAGCCTTAAAAGGGCAAAAGTTACTGGCTTTAAAGAGGAGGGAGAAAAAGAGATGGAGGTAGAAAATTTATTTAAAGGAAAAATATCAGAGAACTTCCCAAACCTGGGGAAACATATCAAAATTTAAGTACAAGAATGTTATAGATTTAACCCAAAGAGTACCTCAAGGTATTTAATCATCATACTCCCAAAGGTCAAGGATAAAGAAAGGATCTTAAAAGTAGCAAGATAAAAGAAATAAACAACATAGAGTGGAACTCTAATACATCTGGAAGCAGATATTTCAGTGGAAATCTTACATGCCGGGAGAGAGTGGCATGACATATTTAAAGTACTGAAGGAAAAACTTTTACCCTTGAATAGTACATCCAGCCAAAAATATCCTTTAAGCATGAAGAAGAAATAAAGATCTTCCCTGATAAACAAAAGCTGGGGTATTTTGTCAACATCAGACCTCTCCTAGAAGAAATGCTAAAGGCAGTTCTTTAATCAGAAAGAAAGGATGTTAATAAGCACGAAGAGATCCTCTGAAGGTACAGAATTCAATGGAAATAGTAAGCACACAGAAAAATGCAGAATATTATAACACCGTAATTGTGATTTGCAAACTACTCTTAAGTAGAAAGACTAAATGATGAACCAATCAAAAACAATAACAAAAACAAATTTTCAAGACTCAGTACAATAAAACATAAAGAGAAACAATAAAAACTTAAAAATTGGGGAGGAAGTTAAAGTTTAGAGTTTTTGTTTTTTTCTTTTTGCTTGTTAGTTTATGCAAACAATGTTAAGCTGTTATTAGTTGAAAATAATGAGCTATAGGATAGTATTTGCAAGCTTCATGGTAACCTCAAATACAAAAAAAAATACAATGAATACACATAAAATAAAAAGCAAGAAGTTAAATCATAACACCAGAGAACATCATCTTCATTAAAATGAAGGCAGGGAGAAAGGAAAAAAGGATGAGAAAACTGCAAAAACAAGCAGGAAACAAATTACAAAATGCCAGGAGTTAGTCCTTACTTATCAATAATAATATTGAATGTAAATGCACTAAACTCCCCAATCAAAAGACATGGAGTGGCTGAATTAATTAAAAAAACAAGATCCAATGATATGTTGCTTACAAGAAACACTTCACCAATGAAGATACACATACATTGAAAATAAAGGAGTGGGAGAAGATATTCCATGCTAATGGAAACCAAAAAAGAGCAAGAGTAGCTATACTTATATCATAAAAAAATGGATTTTAAGACAAAAACTGTAAGAAGAGACAAAGAAGATCATTATCCAATAATAAAGGAGTCAATTCAGCAAGAGGATATAAAGATTGTAAATATATATGCACCCAACACTGGAGCACCCAGCTATGTAAAGAAAATATTAGAGCTAGAGCTAGGAGAGAGACAGAGAGAGAGAGAACTCAATAAAATAATAGCTGGAGACTTCAACACCCCATGTTGGCATTGGACAGATCTTCCAGACAGCAAATCAACAAAGAAACATCAAACTTAATCTGCACTATTGAACAAATGGAACTAAGATATTTACAGGTAATTTTATTCAACAGCTATAGAATACACATTATCTTCCTTAGCACATAGATCATGCTCAAGGATAGACCATATATTAGGTCACAAAACAAGTCTTGAAAAAAATTTTGTGTTTTAAAACTTTATTTCAAAAAAATTGAAATAATATGAAACATCTTCTCTGACCAGAGTGTAATAAAACCAGAAACAACAACAGTAATTTTGGAAATTATACAAGCACATGGGAATTAAACAATATGCTCCTCGATGACCAGTGGGACAAAAAGTAATTAAGAAGGGAACTGAAAAGTTTCTTGAAACAAATGACAATGGAAACACAAAATACCAATACCTAAGGGATACAGTGGAAGCAGTACTAAAAGGAATATGTATAGCTATAAGTGCCTGTATGAAAAAAGGAGAAAAACTTTACATAAATAACCTAATGATGAATTTTGAAGAACTAGATGACAAGAGCAAACCAAACACAAAATTAGTAGAAGAAATCATAAAGATCAGAGTAGAAATAAATGAATGTGAAATGAAGTAAACAATACAAAAGATCAATAAAACATAAAGTTTTTTTAAAAGATAAACAAAATTCACAAACCCTTAGCCAGACTAATGAAGAAAAAAAGGGAGAGACCAAAATAAATAAATCAGAGATATAAAAGGAGACATTATAACCAATACTGCAGAAACTCAAAGGATCATTAGTGGTTACTATGAGCAACTATATCCAATGAATTAAAAAACCTAGAGGAAATGGATAAATTCCTAGACACACACAATACACAAAGATTGAATCATGAAGAAATCCAAGACCTCAGCAGACCAATGACAAGTAACAATATTAAAGCTGTAATAAAGTGTCCCACTAAAGAAAACCCTGGGACCTTATGGCTTCATGGCAGATTCTACCATACATTTAAAAAAGATTTAATACAAATCCTACTCAAATTATTCCAAAAGATAGAGGAGGAAGGAATACTTTCAAAATCAAACTCATTCTACAAGGCCAGTATTACTCTGATACCAAATGCAGACAAAGACACAGAAAGGAAGAAAGGAAGAAAGAAAGAAAGAAAGAAGGAAGGAAGGAAGGAAGGAAGGAAGGAAGGAAAGAAAGAAAGAAAGAAAGAAAAAGAAAGAAAGAAAGAAAGAAAGAAAGAAACGAAAGAAGGAAGGAAGGAAGGAAAGTACAAGCCAATATCACTGATGAACATTGATGTAATAATCCTCAACAAAATACTAGCAAATCAAAAGCAACAATACATTAAAAAGATCATTCTTCATGATCAAGTAAGCTTTATCCCTGGGATGCAAGGATGATTCAACATATGCATATCAATCAATGTGACATATTAACAAAATGAAGGACAAAAACCATGTGATAATTTTAATTGATGCTGAATAAGCATTTGATGAAATTCAACATCTCTTTATTATAAAAACCCTAAAATACTGGGGATACAAGGAACATACCTCAACATAATAAAAGCCATATGCAATGACCCACAGCTGGCATTATAATGAATGGGGAAAACAGAAAGCCTATCAATGGATGAATGAATAAAGAGAATATGTTATGCACACACATAGTGGAATACTATTCAGCTATATAAAAGAATGAAATCATGATGTCATTTGCAGCAATGTAGATGAAACTGGAGATTATTATGTTAAGTGAAATAAGTCAGGCACAGAAAGACAAATACCATACATACTCACTCATAGGTAGGAACTAAAAATCTTAATCTCATGAACATAGGGAATAGAATGCCAGATACCAGAGTCTGGGCAAGGCTGGGGAGGGGGATAAAGAGAGGTTTATTATGAGTACAAACATACAGTTAACTAGAAGAAGTTTTTTTTAATGTTTGATAGCAGACTAGGGTGACTAAACTTAGCAAAAATATTATGTATATTTCCAAGTAACTAGAAGAGAGGATTTTAAATGATACCATCACATAAAAATGATAAACACTCAAAATGATGGATACTTCAAATAACCTGACTTGATTATTACACATTCTATACAACATTCACATGTATATGTTGATATATATATACACACATAAATATATTCATATATAATATGAAAATTATTATATATAAATAAAAGGGAAAATATACAAATATATTGTGCTTCTATACACTAGCAATAAACAATCAGAACCTGATTTTTAAATATATAGCTTATAATAGCACCAAAGTTAAATATTGAGAAATAATTCTAACCAAAAACTAAAACCCCTCTATTCAGAAACCTACAAACATTGCTGAGAAAAAAAGAAGTCCATTTGTATATCTTCTTTGGAAAAATGTCTGTTCAAGTTCTTTGCCCTATTTTTAATCAGGTTATTATTATTATTATTATTTGCTATTGGGTTGTAACAGTTTCTAATATATTTTGGAAATTAACCTATTATCAAATATATGATTTGCAATGACCAGTTGGCATATGACAAGATGCCCAACATCATTAATTATTAGAGAAATGCAAATCAAAACTAATTACATATCACTTTGCACCTGACAGGATATCTACACTAATTAAAAAAAAGGATAAGTGCCAGCAGGAATGCAGAAAAATTGGAACACTTATACACTGTCAGTGGAAATGTACAATGGTACAGCATCTATGAAAAACAGTATGCAGTTTCCTGAAAAAATTAAAACTATGATTACCATATAACTCAGAAACTTCACTTATCTATATATATTTAAAATAATTGAAGTCAAGATCTGGAATAGATATCTACACTCTCATGTTCTGTAGCATTATTCATAAGGACAAAGATATAGAAAAAAAACAAGTATTCATTGATAGATAAAGAAAATGTAGTCAAATTAATGAAGAAATATATCTTGTCCATGAATTGAGAAAGTATTGATAACATGTAAATGTCCTCCAAATGCAAACTGAAACAATGAAACTTCCAGAAGGAAACTTGTGAAAATACCTTCATAACCTTTCCATAAGAAAAAAAAAATTAAAGGATACAAAAATTTAAGGAAAATATATTTTGGCATAACATAAATTAAGAACTTCTAGTCATTGAAAAATACTATTATGAGAGTGCATTAGTCCATTCTTGCGCCACTATAAAGAAATTTCTGAGACTGGGTAATTTATAAAGAAAAAAGTTTAATTGGCTCATGGTTCTGCAGGCTTTACAGGAGGCATGGCTGAGGAGGCCTTAGGAAACTTACAACCATGGCAGAAGTGAAAGTAGGTATGTCTTCCAAGGCTGTGGCAGGAGGAAGAAAGAGAAGGGGGAGGTGCTACACACTTTTAAACACAGATCTCATGAGAAGTCACTGACTATCACTAGATCCACCCCCTTGATTCAATCACCTCCCACCAGACTCCTCCTCCAACACTGGGGATTACGATTGGACATGAGATTTGGGCAAGGACACAAATCCAAATCATATCAAAGAGTGAATAAGGAAGTAAAATACTGAAAGATGATATTTACATTACATGTATCTAAAAATACATTGTGCAGAATATATATATAAACAACTTCTGCAAACCTATAAGGAAAAGAGCAACAACATAATAAAAGGCAAAAAGACTTGCACAGGCATTTCATAAAAATACAATGTGCCAATGGCCAATAAAAGTCAAAGTAGTGGTTATCTCTGGGGAAGCAGGACCACACGAAAGGCATATTCTGGAGTTTTTGGAAAATGATATAATGCCATTTACTAGTGCTGTATAAATTAATGGGTTATGCATTTAAGATTTTGTACCTATCTATGCATCTGTTACACTGATTTTTGGATTTTGGATGCAACTATCTATATTTCATTATACAACTAGCAAGACTTCTCATTTTCTTTCTTTCTTTCTTTTCTTTTCTTTCTTTCTTTTTTTTTTTTTTTTTTTTTGACACAGGGTCTTATTCTGTCACCCAGGCTGGAGTGCAGTCATGTGCTCACAGCTCACTGCAGCCTGGACCTCATGAGCTCAAGTGATCCTCCACACTAACCTCCCAAGTAGCTGGGACTACAGGTGTGCACCACTATGATTGGCTAATTTTGTGTTTTTTCATGGGCATGGGGTCTCACTATGTGTGCCCAGGCTTGTCTCAAACCCCTGGGCTCAAACAATCGGCCTGCCTTGAACTCCCGAAGTGCTGGGATTACAGCATGAGCCACCGCGCCCAGCCAACTTTAGGTTCTGATTGAACCCAGGTGAAGAAAGGATGCTACGTGACTAGAGGCTGTGGTACAGGAAGCCCTTCCACTTGAGCTTTATATGCCAGGAGTTCAATGCAGTTCTCTCTGTGCTGAAACTATTCTCCATTTGGAAATTTAATTGTCACTCTCTAGATTAGTGCCTATCTAGAGAGTATTCAGCCCTACAGAGCCCTCATGCAAGAGATGACTGTTCCTCTTCCTCAGTGCTGTGGAAGACAGATGTTTTACTCTGTAAAGCAAATGAAGCAGAGATTTGAGATCCCCAAGCACAGGGGAAAGAAGAGGGGAGGTAGGGACTGAAATAAGGAGAGATTTTATGAAAACATTCATTAGTAACTGTGGACTCCCAGTAACCTCCTCACTGATCCTCACTACCTTAAAGGAAGATTGCCATACAGGCAAATCACAATCCCCACCCCAGCTAGATCCAAGTAAAATATGGAAGATTTTTGCTCTGGAGAAACTGAATGACCCAGAGAAAAAAATCTCTTCAAACTAAAACTTCTATCATACTGCATTCATGTCAAGTGTTACCCAGAAGTAGTATTTTTCTTAACATTTCTGATCGGTGACACCAAACACTGACACAATTTCCAGAAGGGCATATTGTCACTGAAGTTGCAGTATGCATTGCAGTTCCCTGCCCTACAGCACCAACACACTCCGTGGCTCTAAGTAGGTGCTAATAAATATTTTCTGAGTTTATTAATAAATTCAGCCACATACTTGTCAAATCTTAGGAATCAAAAGTTACAAAGTACTGGAAATAACTTTTGTAGGTCAACTAATGTTCCCTAGGCACAATAATTTCTAAATAGCTTTCTATCATATTTCTGTGCTATATCAAGACAGAAGTGAACAAACCCACATGGAACTTTAGAGCTTTTATATTTTTGCTTCAGTGAAGCTAAGCCAAATTATTTAATAGCTTAAAGTCAATCTCTCTGCTATCTTTTCAAAATTTCAGCATCAGCATTAATGAAAGGTTTTTGTGGAGTTTCAGACTAGTAACTTAAAAAGACATTGGTAGTCTGTGTATCCATGGAAATCGGAAATGAGTAGACTTTTTCATAAGATTATGCTATCTTTGGGATAGGTCATAATGACACCTGGCGAAAAGGAATTGCAGGACAGAAAAGGGCCTGAAGCAAGGCCGTCCTCATTAATTTTATCTCAACTCTATTGCTCTCATTTGTCGCTGGCAATATATTCCTCCACCCTCAAGCTCCACAAGTTGTTTCCAAAATTTATATAGAGTCCTGGTTTTCATGGGCCATTTGCTATCCTAAACAAGTAGAATAACCCAATTCTTATTTACTGGAAAGGGTTAAAGAAGCATTATTGAATTAATTTCTTGATTACAGCTATTGTTCTCATTTTTAGAATACATCATCATGCTGCCTTTCATTGATTTCCTAAGTAAAGCAGCCATCCTTTTAAAGTTTCTCAGTTTTATACACTGCCTCATTGATTCCTATGAGGATTTAATAACATAATGCTAATAAGGTGCTTAGCACAGTACCTGGCACAAGTAAGTGCATGTTAACTGATTGTAGTGTAAGTTGTTATATTGTTATCAGTACTAGATAGCAGTTTCAGGCATTTTCCGTTATTTTTTTTAAAACCCAAGTATTTTATCTTATTTCCGGCTACTGCTGAAATGATGTAGAATCATCATAACTAAATGTTAAACCTTATTTTTTACATGATCTCTTTACTTCTCTTTTTGAGAGTAAATATAGAGTCACACAAACACTGGTTTACATAATTACAGTTTTGAGAAGATTTATTTCACTATTAGCTTATTCAAAAAATTAAAATTTTATATGTTTAAGGTGTACAGCATGAAGTTTTGATATAAATCTATACAGTGAACAGATATCTAAGGTCAAGCTAATTAATATATTCATCTTTTCACATAGTTGCCATGTGTGAGTGTGTGTGAGTGTGTGTGTGTGTGTGTGTGTGTTTTAGCACAAGAGGCTTACATTTTGGCCTACCTTGGCTTTTGATATGTCTTCCACACAAACCTTAATGATTTTTATAATAGCTTTTGATTTAACTTGAGAGATATATAACTCTTTCTTTCTCTTGAAAACTTAGAGGCCATTGCAGGGTTCTAAATTGGCCTAATTTCAATATTGCTTTGTCCCAGGAAATAGGGAGGACTGAGGAGGAGAGAGATGAGGGAATGCTTGGTGAGAGGAACAGGTAGAAAACACACAACATGTATTTATTAAGCTTGTCATCATATGTGGGTGTGGTTTGAGGCACCCCAAAACAATTACAATAATAACATCAAAGACTACTGATCACAGATCACCATAGCAGGTATGATAAAAATGAAAAAGTTTGAATTATTATGAGAATTACCAAAATGTGACAAAAAGACATGAAGTAAAGCTTATGCTGTTGGAAAAATATTGCCCATAGACTTGCTTAATGCAGGGTTGTCACAAACCTTTAATTTGCAAAACATGCAATATCTGCAAAGTACAATAAAATGAAGCATAATATAATGAAGTACTCCACTATTCAACACAGTATTATTAAGTGTAATCTCCATGCTATGCATTAGATCTCTAAAACGTGCTTATCCTACATAATCAGAACTTTGTACCTTTTGACCAACATTTCCCCATGCCCCCAGCTGCTGGTCTATTGTGTTTCTGCTTCTATGAGTTTTACTATTACAGATAACTCATAAAAGTGGCATCATTTAGTATTTTTCCTTCTGCATCTGGCTTATTTAACTTATTATAATGTCCTCCAGTTTCATCCATGTTGTTTCAAATAGGAGGATCTTTTTCTTTTTTAAAGCTAAGCCATATTCCATTATATGTGTGTGTATGCATTTGTATGTGTGTTTGTGTGTGTGTGTCAGTCACTATTTCTTTATCCATCTATCCATCCATTGACACTTAAGTGGTTCCACATCACGGCTATTGTGAAGATCGCTGCAATGGACATGGTAGTGCAGCCACTTCTTCAAGGCTCTGCTTTCAATTATTTTGGATATTTATGCAGAAGAGGAATTGATAGATCATGGGTAGTTCTAATCTTAATTTTTTTGCGGAACCCCTGTAATGTTTTCCAAAAGGCTTTACCAATTTGCCTTCCCACCAACAATGTACAAGGGTTCCTTTTTCTCCATAGGATAGCTATTGTCCTATTAGCTTTTAGAGTAATACCAGGAAAACAATTCATTCCTGTTCTGCTTTGTTTCCTTTGAGAAAACCTTAATCAGGAAGCATTTGTTCCCCTTTACTCTTTAGAACTTGACACGGAAAAATGTACCTCTATGTTATGTATCAATTTTTAACTTAAAATCCTTATTAAGCAGCCTTAACTGTTCTGCAAGAATATTTATTTGTTTCTCTTGCTCAATTCAATTTCTTTTCTAAAGCTAAACACATTATATTTCACCTATATTTTATAATTAGAATTATCAAACATCTTGGTATGCCTTGGACACACCTGTTCATGCCTATTTTCCTGGCATTTATTCTATTATGCATTTGGGTTTGATTTTTCATATTTTAACAATGTATAAAGAGTAACATTATTTTATGCCACTATGGCTTTGGCAGATCCGCACACTAACTTTCAGTTTCTGTCTGGTTCTTGACATTGTCAATTTAAAACTTAGTTAACACTGAAAAAAATCAACAAAAACTGGTGTCTCATTTCTAAGATCATCTACAACTCAAGGTAACAATATATTTATTTTATATATATACATATGTGTGTGTGTATATACATGTATATATACATGTATATATACACATACATATGTATACATATACATATACACATACATATGTATACATATACATATACACATACACGCGTATACATATACATATACACATACACGTGTATACATATACATATACACATACATGTGTATACATATACATATATACATACATATGTATACATATACATATATACACATTTATATATACGTGTGTATGTATATATACATATATATACATACATACACACACAAGTATATATATATATATGTATATATATGATCAAAGTAAGAAAATAATTGCCAGGCATGACATCCAAGCCCATAATTAGAAAGGGAAGATTGCCATAATGAATTGTATATTTTATATTTTATTTGTTCTTACATTCACTTTAGTTTTTCTTAACAATAAGAATAAAATACAGTGTTTATGGATGCACATAAGGATAAAATTATTTGAAAAGTCAAGGAAGTGATTACTATGAAATTCCAAGTAGTAGTTACTTTTGAAGTTTAGGAAGGGTTGAACATTGAAATGGGGTAAATGAAGAGGTTCTGGTGTAGCTAGCAATGTTTTATCTCTTGATGTGAGTGATAGTTACGGGGACGTCACCTTATAATACCTTCTTAAACAAACAATGCAATTTTGTCCCTTCATTTGAAACTTTTCATTTTTCTATTTCATCATTTGACAAATTATATTTGCTGGATGCAGTACTGTGTGCCTGAAGTCCAAACTACTCAGGAGGCTGAGGTAGGAGAATTGCTTGAGCCCAGGAATTCTGCTACAGTGCACTATTCAAATTGAGTGTCTACACTAAGTTCAGCATCAATATGGTAACCTCCTGAGAGCAGGGGATCACCAAGTTGCCTAAGGAGGGGTAAACCAGCACAGGTCAAAAACAGAGCAGGTCAAAACTCTCATGCTGATAAGTTATGTTAATAAAACAGCTTTCACTATGATGTTGTGAAAAAATTTAAGTCACTATGCAGTAAGTCAAATCTTTCAGAATAAAATGTACCGTTAACCCTCCTTATTTGCAGGGGGTATGTTCCAAGACTCCCAGGGGGTGCCTGAAACTACGTATAGTCCTGAATCTTATATATAGAGTACTATAATTTTTCTTTTATTTGTATATACATACCTATGATAAATTTTAATTTATAAATTGAGCACAGTAAGACATTAACATTAACAATAAAATAGAATAATTGTAACTATAATAAAGTTATGCATATTCTCTCTCTCTCTTTAATACTATGTTGTACAATACTCACCTAGTATTTTCAGACTAGTTGACTTTGAGTAATGAAAACAGAGAAAGTGAAATTGCTGCTAAGGAGTGATTGCTGCAGTGTCTAAATTCAAAAAATTAAAATATGAATAAAATGAAAAACGGCAATAAATTTAAAAAGGAAGTAAAATTACAAGAATTTGTGGCTAATAGGTTAAGCGTATTTTATGTTGATACACACTCATACACAAACATACATAGTTACATGTACTCACACAGATCTATAAATGTCTACACATAAGCATTGGATATCTGAGAGGTTTTTTTAATTTTTAAAATTTTATTTTTATTTCAGGAGTACATGTGCAGATTGGTTATATAGATACATTGTGTAATGCAGGTGTTTGGTATATGGATTATTTCACCACCCAGGTAATAAGCATAGAACCTGATAGATAGTTTTTTGATCCTCACCCTCCCCCAACCCTCTGCCCTCAAGTAGGTCCAGTGTCTATTGTGCCATTTCTTGTGTCCATCTGTACTTAATGTTTAGCTCCCACTTATAAGTGAGACAATGTGGTAATTGGTTTTCTATTCCTGCATTAGTTAGCTTAGGATAATTGTCTTTGGCTGCATTCATGTTGTTTAGGAGGACATGTTCTCATTCTTTTTTATGGCTGCATAGTATCCCATGGTGTTTGTGTACCACGTTTTCTTTATCCAGTCTACTATTGTTGGGCATCTAGATTGACTGCATGTCTTTGCTATTGTGATTAATGCTGTAATGAACATATGCATGCATGTGTCTTTATGTAGAATGACTTATATTCCTTTGGGTATATGCTCAATACTGAGATTGCTGGGTTGAATTATAGTTCTTCAAGTTCTTTGAGAAATTGTCAAACTGCTTTCCACAGTGGCTGAACTGATTCACATTACCACCACTAATGTATAAGTATTCTCTTTTCTCCTCCAGCTGGCCAGCATCTGTTATATTTTGACTTATTGAGAGTAGCCACTTTGAGTGGTGTGAGTTGGTAGATTATTGTGGTTTAATTTGCCCTTCTCTAATGATTAGCAATGTTGAACATTTTTCTATTTTTGTTGGCCGCAAATATATTTTCTATTGAAAAGTGTCTGTCCATGTCCTTTGCCAGCTTTTTAATGGCATTGTTTTTTGCTTATAAATTTGTTTAAGTTCCTTATACATGCTGAATAGTAGACCTTTGTCAGATGCATAGTCTTTAAGTGTTTTCTCCTATTCTGTGGGTTGGTTATTAACTCTCTGTATTAGTCTATTTTCATACTGCTATAAAAATCGGAGACAGGGCAATTTATAAAGAAAAGAGGTTTAATTTGCTCCTCGTGGTTCTGCAGGCTATAAAGGAATCATAGAAGCTTCTGCTGCTGGGGAGACCTCAGGAAACTTACAATCATGGGGGGAGATGAACAAAAAGCAGGCACATCTTCCATGGCTGGAGCAGAAGTTAGGTAGGGCAGGGGTGGTGCTAAACACCTTTAAACAACTGGATCTCATGATAACTCACTATCGTGACAAGAACACCAAAAGGGATGGTGCTGAATCATTCATGAGAAGCCAACCCTGTGATCCAATCACCTCCCAGCAGGCCTCACCTACAGCATTGAGGATTATAGTCAACGTGATATTTGTTCAAGGACACAGATCCAAACCATTTCACTCTGTTGATAGTTTTCTTTGCTCTACAGAAGCTCTTTAATTTAATGAGGTCCCATTTGTCAATTTTTGTTTTTGTTGCAATTGCTTTTGTTGCAATTGCTTTTGTCCTCTTTGTCATAAAATCTTTGCTGGAGCCTATGTCCAGAATGGTATCAATATTTCCTACATTAGCTTGCAAGGTTTCTATATTTTTAGGTTTTACATTTAAGTCTTTAATCCATCTTGAGTAGATTTTTCTATATGGTATAAGGAAGGGGTCCAGTTTCATTCTTCTGAGTATGGCTACTCAGCTATCCCAGCACCATTTCTTGAATAGGGAGTCCTTTCCTTACTGCTTGTTTTTGCGAAATATCAAATGATTGTTAGTGTGTGGCTTTACTTCTGGACCAGGAATAACATTGCATCTGGAGATTGCTTTGGGCAATATGGGCATTTTAACAATATTGATTCTTCCAGTCTATGAGCATGGAATGTTTTTCCATTTGTTTGTGTCATCTCTAATCTCTTTGAAGAGTGTTTTGTAATTCTCATTGTAGAGACCTTTCACCTCCCTGGTTAGCTGTATTGCTAGGTATTTTATTTATTTATTTTTTGTAACTGTAGTGAATAGAACAGCATTCTTGATTTGGCACTCAGCTTGGATAGTTCTGTTTATGTGATAACTCACTTGCATTAATTTGCGTATGCTAAACCAACCTTGCATCCCTCTGGGATAACCCTACTTGATTATAGTGGATCAGCTTCTTCATGTGTGGCTCAGATTGGTTTGCTAGTATTTTGTTGAGGATTTTTGTATCTATGATCCTGAAGGATATTGGCCTGAAGTGTTCTCTTTTGTTGTGTCATTTTGTTGTGTTTTGGTATCAGAATGATGTTGGCCTCATAGAACAAGATAGGGTGGAGCCCCTTCTCCTCAATTTTTTGGAATGGTTTCAGCAGGAATGGTACCAGCTCTTCTTTACATCTGGTAGAATTCGGTTGTGAATCCATCTGGTTTTGGGCTTTGGTTGATAGGCTTTTTGTTACTGATTCCATTTCAGAACTCATTATTAGTCTGTTCAGGGTTGGAATTTCTTCCTGATTCAGTCTTGGGACTTTTTTTTTTTTTTCTTATAGGAATGGGTCCATTTCTTTTGGGTTCCCCAGTTTGTGTGTATATAGTTATTCATAATAGTCTCTGATGGTTCTTTGTGTTTCTGTGAAGTCAGCAGTAACATACCCTTTGTCATTTTTGATTGTGTCAACTAGGGTCTTCTCTTTTTTCTTTTTTTTTTCCTTTATTAGTCTAGCTGGCAGTCTGGCAGTCTATCTATCTTTCAAAGGACCAACTTCTAGTTTCATTGATATCTTGTACGGCCCCTCACATCTCAGTTTCCTTCAGTTTAGCTCTGATCTTTGTTATTTGTTGTCTTCTGTTAGCTTTGGGGTTGGTTTGCTCTTGTTTTTCTAGTCCCTCAAAATGTGATGGTTAGGCTGTTAATTTGAGACCTTTCTAACTTTTTGATGTGGGTGTTTAACACTATTAACTTTTCTCTTAAAACTACTTTAGCTGTGTCCCAGAGGTTCTGGTATGTTTTATCTCTGTCCTCATTAGTTTCAAATAAGTCTTGATTTTTGCCTTAATTTCATTCTTTACTCAAAAGTCATTCAAGAGCAGATTGTTTAATTTCTTTTTTTTATTTTATTATTATTATACTTTAAGTTTTAGGGTACATGTGCACAATGTGCAGGTTAGTTACATATGTATACATGTGCCATGCTGGTGTGCTGCACCCATTAACTCGTTATTCAGCATTAGGTATATCTCCTAAAGCTATCCCTCCCCCCTCCCCGTATACCTCACAACAGTCCCCAGAGTGTGATGTTCCCCTTCCTGTGTCCATGTGTTCTCATTGTTCAATTCCCACCTATGAGTGAGAATATGCGGTGTTTGGTTTTTTGTTCTTGCGATAGTTTACTGAGAATGATGATTTCCAATTTCATCCATGTCCCTACAAAGGACATGAATTCATCATTTTTTATGGCTGTATAGTATTCCATGGTGTATATGTGCCACATTTTCTTAATCCATTCTATCATTGTTGGACATCTGGGTTGGTTCCAAGTCTGCTATTGTGAATAGTGCCGCAATAAACATACGTGTGCATGTGTCTTTATAGCAGCATGATTTATAGTCCTTTGGGTATATACCCAGTAATGGGATGGCTGGGTCAAATGGTATTTCTAGTTCTAGATCCCTGAGGAATCGCCACACTGACTTCCACAAGGGTTGAACTAGTTTACAGTCCCACCAACAGTGTAACAGTGTTCCTATTTCTCCACATCCTCTCCAGCACCTGTTGTTTCCTGACTTTTTAATGATTGCCATTCTAACTGGTGTGAGATGGTATCTCATTGTGGTTTTGATTTGCATTTCTCTGATGGCCAGTGATGGTGAGCATTTTTTCATGTGTTTTTTGGCTGCATAAATGTCTTCTGATTGTTTAATTTCTGTGTGATTGTATGGTTTTGATAAATCTTCTTAGTATTGATTTCTATTTTTATCATGCTGTGGTCTGACAGTGTGATTGGTATGATTTTGTCTTTTTTTTAAATTTCCTGAGAATTGTTTTATGAACAATCCTGTGGCTGATTTTAGCCAGTGTGCCATGTGCAGATGAGAAGAATGTATATTCTGTTGTTTTTGGATGGAGAGTTTTGTATATGTCTGTTAGGTGCATTTGTTCAAGTGTCAAGTTCAGTTCCTGAATATCTTTGTTAGTTTTCTGCTTTGATGATCTGTCTAATACTGTCAGTGGGGTGTCGAAGTTTTCCATTATTATTATATGGTTATCTCTTCTCTTTGCAGGACTCTAAGAATCTGTTTTATTAATCTGTGTGCTCCTGTGTTGGTGCATATATATTTAGGATAGTTAAGTCCTCTTGTTGAGTTGAGCCCTTTACCATTATGTAATGTCCTTTGTCTTTTTCATTATTGTTGGTTTAAAGTCTGTTTTGTCTGAAATTAGAATGTTTCTGCCTTTCTATGTTTTCCATTTGCTTAGCTGATTTTTCTCCTTCCCTTTACTTTGAGCCTATGTGTGTCACTGCATGTGAGATAGAACTCTTGAAGACAGTGTAGAGTTTGGTTTTGCTTCTTTATCCAACTTGCCACTCTGGGGCATTTAATTGGGGGATTTAGTTCATTTGCATTCAAGGTTTTTATTGATATGCGCAAATTTTATCCTTTCATCTCGTCGTTAGCTGGTTGTTATGCAGACTTGATCATGTAGTTGCTTTATAGTGTCAATGGTCTATGTACTTAAGTGTGTTTTTGCGGGGGCTGGTAATAGTCTTTCATTTCCATATTTAGCACTCCCTGAAAGATCTCTTGTAAGGCAGGTCTAGTGGTAAAAATTTCCCTTAGCATTTGCTTGTCTAAAAAGGAGCTTATTTCTACTTAGCTTATTAAGCTTAGTTTGGCTGGATATGAAATTCTTTGTTAGAGTTTATTTTCTTTAAGAATGCTGAATTTAGACCCAATATCTTCCAACTTGTATGGTTTCTGCTGAAAGGTCCACTGATAGACCGATAAGTTTTCCTTTTGTAGATGAGCTACCCTTTCTCTCTTGCTACTTTTTTTCTTTTCTTTTCTTTTCCTTTCTTTTCTTTCTTTCTTTCCTTTTATTTTTCTTTTTTTTTTTTGAGGCAGGATTTCACTCTGTTACCCAGGTTGGAGTACAGTGGTATGCTCAGTGCTCACTGAAGCCTCAACCTCTCAGGCTCAAGTGATCCTCCCACCTCAGCCTCCTGAGTAGCTGGGACTACAGGTGTATGCCACTATACCTGCCTAATTTTTGTAGAGATGGGGTTTATCTATGTTGCCCAGGCTGGTCCTGAACTCCTGGACTCAATAGATCTGCCTCCCTTGACCTCTCAAAGTGTTGGGATTACAGGCATGAGACCAGGATGCTCAGCCAATATTTTTTCTTTCATGTCAACCTTAGAGAATCTGATGACTATGTGTTATAAGGATTGTCATTTTGTATAATATCTGGCGGAGATTCTCTGCAATTTCTAATTTGAATATCGGTCTCTATAATGATGTTGGGGCAATTTTTTTGGATGTTATCCTCAAATACGTGTTCCAACTTGCTTGTTCTCTCCTTCCTTTTCAGGGATGCAAATGAGTCATAGATTTGGTTTCTTTACATAATCACATATTTCTCAGAGGTTTTGTTCATTTTTTTTTTTAAATTATTTTTCCTTTATTTTTGTCTGAGTGAGTTAATGCAGAGAACCAGTCTTTGATCTCTGAGTTTATTAACTCAGCTTGGTCTAGTCTACTGTTAATACTTTCAACTGAATTATAAGGTTCTTGTTGTGTGTTTTTCACTTCTATCCTATTAATTTTATTTTATATTAAAATGGGGCATTTTGTCTTTCTGCTCCTGTATTGTTGTATTGTAATCCTTGATTGGGTTTCAACAATCTCCTGAATCTTAATAGCCTTCTTTCCCATCCATATTCTGAATTCTATTTTTGTAATTTCAACCATTTAAGTTTTTGCTGAGGAACTAGTGTAATCCTTTGGAGGAAAGAAGACACTCTGACTTTTTAAATTGCCAAAATTCTTGTGCTAGTTCTTTCTCATCTGTGGTGGGCCGATGTTCCTTAAACTGTAGCACAATTTGAGTATAGTCAGTTGACTTTGTTTCTGGATGCTTTCAAAGGGCCAAGCCTTTGTGCAAGGTCTTTATTTGTAGGTGAACTTTTGTCTTTGGTTTCATGGGGTGGGGGTATGTTAGCAAAGTATTTTTGGTGTTAAAGTTTGGACTGTGATCCAGTAGATGGTGCTTAAACATAATGGCCAGTAGGTAAGCTTTTGCTCAGCCATGTGGCTCCTCTGTATTTCCCGTTTGCAGCTGTGCTCTTGTGTCCGGAAATTGGTGGGTTCTTGGTCTCACTGACTTCAAGAATGAAGCCACGGACCCTCACGGTGAGTGTTACAGTTCTTAAAGGCGGCGTGTCCTGAATTTGTTCCTTCTGATGTTCGGATGTGTTCGGAGTTTCTTCCTTCTGGTGGGTTCGTGGTCTCGCTGGCTCAAGAGTGAAGCTGCGGACCTTCGCATTGAGTGTTACAGCTCTTAAGGCTCCTCTGGAGTTGTTCGTTTCTCCCGGTAGGTTCGTGGTCTCGTTGGCTTCAGGAGTGAAGCTGCAGACCTTCGCAGTGAGTGTTACAGCTCATAAAGGTAGTGTGGACCCAAAGAGTGAGCAGCAGCAAGATTTATTGCAAAGAGTGAAAGAACAAAGCTTCCACAGTGTGGAAGGGGACCTCAGCGGGTTGCCACTGCTAGCTGGGGCAGCCTGCTTTTATTCTCTTATTTGCCCCCCTCCCCCCGCCCGTCCCCCCCCGCACCCACATCCTGCTAATTGGTAGAGCCCAGTGGTCTGTTTTGACAGGGCGCTGATTGGTGCGTTTACAATCCCTGAGCTAGACACAAAGGTTCTCCACCTCCCCACTAGATTAGCTAGATTAGTTAGATACACAGTGTCCACACAAAGGTTCTCCAAGTCCCCACCAGAGTAGCTAGATACAGAGTGTCGATTGGTGTCTTCACAAACCCTGAGCTAGACACAAGGTGCTGATTGGTGTATTTACAAACCTTGAGCTAGATACAGAGTGCCGATTGGTGTATTTACAATCCCTTAGCTAGACATAAAGGTTCTCCACGTCCCCACCAGACTCTCTCACTGGGGTTGCAGGTGGAGCTGCCTGCCAATCCCGTGCTGTGTGCCCACACTCCTCAGGCCTTGGGTGGTCGATGGGACTGGGCACTGTGAAGCAGGGGGCAGCGCTCGTTGGGAAGGCTCGGGCTGCACAGGAGCCCACGGAGGCGGGGGGAGGGGGGAGGCTCAGGCATGGCGGGCTGCAGGTCCCCAGTCCTGCCCCATGGGAAAGCAGCTAAGGCCCGGCGATAAATCGAGCGCAGTGCCGGTGGGCCGGCATGCTGGGGGACCCAGCACACCCTCCGCAGCCGCTGGCCCGGGTGCTAAGCTCCTCATTGCCCGGGGCCAGCAGGGCCAGCCGGCCGCTCCCAGGGCGGGGTCCGCCGAGCCCACGCCCACCGGAACTCGCCCTGGCCCGCAAGCACCGCGCGCAGTCCCGGTTCCTGCCCGCGCCTCTCCCTCCACACCTCCTTGCAAGCTGAGGGAGCCGGCTCTGGCCTTGGCCAGCCCAGAAAGGGGCTGCCATAGTGCAGCGGAGGGCTGAAGGGCTCCTCAAGTGCCGTCAAAGTGGGAGCCCAGTCAGAGGAGGTGCCGAAAGCGAGCGAGGGCTGTGAGGACTGCCAGCACAGTGTCACCTCTCACTCTCTCTCAGTGCTGTGAGAGTATGGGTTCCTCTCCCACTTGAGTGCTGGCTACAGAACTTGGCTTCGCACTGCTGGGCTGTGCACCACGGCCCTAAGGTGAGCTCAGGCTTTATGTTCCCTCCCCAGCTTGGGGGCAGCAGGGGCAGAGACCTTAGCAGGGGAAATGGCAGAGGGCCTTTCACTTGTCTCTGTGGCTCCACCTCAGAAATGCAGAGCTGCCACCAATCAGAGTGATTGACCTGTGGTGGGACAGCTGCACTGTGGGCCCAAGCCAGGGGCCCCTGTCTGGTAATGAGCAGGGTTTGCCAGAGGCTCACGGGGAAGACAGATTGGGCTCTTCTCCTTAGGGCAGCTTTGGTGTGCTGGAGGTGTGAGGAAAGCACTCGGGTTCTTTGTTCCTTCCCTAGGTACCGGCAGCAAGGACAGTACCACTGTGCTGGCAGTGGCAGAGGGGCTTTCAGTTGCCTCTTGGAGCTCCACTCCAGAGACATACAGAGTTGTTCCAATGGGAATGTTCAGGCAGGGATAGGGCAGCGTGTTGTGGGCCTGAGCTGTGGGCCCGAGCTGTGGGCCCCGCTTGATGAAGAGCAGGGAATCAGGGGCTCATAGAAAGACTGTGCTCCTCTTCATATGGTGACTATCATGTGCTGGAGGTGTGACTAAAGTCCTCGGGCTCTTCGTTCCTTCTTCAGTTAGAGGGCAGCAAGAGCAGAATAGCCACAGTGGCAGTGGCAGAGGAGCTGTTACCTCTGGGAGCTCCACCCCAGGCAAACAGAGCCACTACCAGTGGGAATGCTCAGTTGGGGGTGGGGTGGCTGCTCTGCACTCCCAACCTGGGGATCTGCTTAGTGAGGAGGAGGGGGTGGGGGCTCACCGGAACAGAGACTGGGCTCCTCCTCATATGGTGGCTGTGGCATGCTGGATATGCTAGCAACATGACCAGGCCCTTTGTTCCTTCACCAGCTGGAGGGCAGTAAGGGCAGTACCGCTGCAGCCGCAATGAGAGAGGGGCTGTGCGTTGTCTACAGAATTCCCTCCCCAGAGAAACTCAGAGCTGCCACCTACTGAAATGTTCAGGTGAGTGCAGCGTGGTTGTAATGGGGGCCCAGGTTGAGAAGTCCTGCCCAGTGAGAAGTAACACTGGCAGACATCAATGTGGAAAACAGTCTGAGCGCTTTTCTGTAAGGCTGCTTCACTGTTGGAGACCTGTGTCCGTCCCCAATCTCTTTGCTCCCTTTCGAGGTCGAGGGCAGCAGGGGCAGGAATTGCGGACCAGCAAAAATGGTGGCTTGCCTGCTGCTGCTGGGAGCTCCATTCTAAGGAAGTGCAGGGCCGCAGAACTGCTACTGGCCTGAGAACCCTGTTGAGGTTCTCAGGGGCTAGGGTTTTCAGTGGCTGGGGTTCCAGGTGGGGAGGCCTTGTCTAGTAAGGAGTAGCGGGAGCTGAGACCTGCATGGAAAACAGCCTGGCCACTCTTCTGTAAGGCAGTTGCACTGTGCTGGAGGCCTGTGTTAGTCCTCAATCTTTTTGCTTCCTTCCGAGCATGAGGGCTGCAGGGGTGGGAGCTGTGGAGCAGGAACAATGGTGGCCTGCATGCTACTGCTGGGAGCTCTGTCCCAGGGAAGGGCAGGGCTGCTACCTGTTAGAGAGGTCAGGTGGGGCTGGGTTGGCCAAGCTAGGGTCCCAGGCCAATGGGCCCTGTCTGGCAAAGTGCAGTGGAAGTGAGGTTTGCAGTCTGTCTGCTCCTCAGCCCCATGGATATAGCCCCTATCCTGGGGTTGTGCGAGGGAGCCTGGCCTTCCCTGTTTTCAGAGCTACAGCAGCCACTGGTGCTATGGTGGCCCACGGGTCCAAGGCCCCAGGACCCCACGTGTGCTTGAGTGGTGGCTCACCCCAGACTTCATGTAGCTCTCCATGTCTGTCTGGGGTCCCTGGTGGAGGGGCATCGTGGAGGATCTCCTGAGTCCAGGGTTGCAAAGGTCCATGGGGAAAGTGTGGGTGCCCTGGGGCTCTCACTTACTCACTGTTTCTCCACAGTGGGATCCTCCCCACTGGCTCTGCACCAATCCCATGTGGACGCATATCTTGTTTTGCTCGTCTCTGTTCCCCATGGGTTGCCTTGCTTCCTTGATGAATCCCAACATGTCCACCTGGACAATCCAGCCAAAGAGCCAATGTTTACTCACCACTCTATGTCTTCTCCATGAGAGCAGCCTACACTGGCTGCTTGCAGTCAGCCATCTTGGCACTCCACCAAGTTTTGTGTAATAACCAAGAAATATTATCTGTGAGTGATGGGTGACATTCCATTTGTTCTTTATAGTTTCTGATATGATTATGCATATGTCTAAATTAGAAGGAAAATTTTATTTAGAAAGAAAATATTTCAGGGACCTTTAACCTGTAAATTGATTACTGGGACAAGGCACAAGATAAAGTTACAATGTTGGTTATATATCCTGTGCTAGGCCGGGCACGGTGGCTCACGCCTGTAATCCCAGCACTTTGGGAGGCCGAGGCGGGTGTGTCACCTGAGGTCGGGAATTCGACACTAGCCTGTCTGACATGGTGGAACCCCGTCTCTACTAAAAATACAAAATTAGCTGGGTATGGTGGCACACACCTGAAATCCCAGCTACTCGCGAGGCTGAGGCAGCAGAATCGCTTGAACCCGGGAGGCGGAGGCTGCAGTAAGCTGGGATTGCACCACTGCACTCCAGCCTGGGTGACAGAATGAGACTCTGGAAAAAAAAAAAAAATCCTGTGCTATTAGAGAAAATTATACTGTTTTACTTATCAATTGCTATGTAAAAAATTACCCCAAAATGTAGCAGCTTAGCACAAACCAATATTTATTTTCCCCCAGGTTCCATAGAGGAGGAGTCTGGGTACAGCTGGTTCAGGCTTTCTCACAGGCTTCAGTAAGGTGTCAGCTGGGGAGACTGTCCTCTCAAGGCTCAACTTGGGGAGGATTCTCTTCCAATCTCATTCATGTTGCTGCCACAGGCCTCAGATCCTTGCTGCTCTTGGTCAGAAACACCTGTTCATTCCTTGTCATGTATTGCTTTCATAGGGCTGCTCACAAAATAGTGGTTAGCTTCTTTCAGAGTGAGCCAGTGAGAAAGTGTCCATAATAGAGATTACAACCTTTATATGAGCTATTCTCAGAAGTAACATCCCAACACTTTTGCTACATTCTATTCATTACAAGCCAATCAGCAGCTCCAAGGGGAGGGGATTACTTAAAGACATGAATACCAGATAGAGGGGATCATGGGTAGGGGCTGCCTGTCACGAGTGGATGAAAACCAAGTAGGCATTACTTTCAGATGAAACCATAACTACTAATGCTAGTCCTCAGGATAAATTGAATGTATAATTCTAATTGTATGTTTGCTTTAAAGATGCTATGTTTTCACCAATAATTAGGCAGATGAATATTTTATTGAACATATACAGTGAAGAAAAAATGGGCAATCCAAGACAATAGCATAAAAATATTTCTGTCGTATAATATATCTGGAGAATGATTCATTTTATTTATCAAAGTATTTGAGTTATTCAGGTGTTATAAATATATAATATTGAATTATTAGAATATATAGCTTCTCCAGCTAATTTTTCCCCGACCTTCATCTCTGCCTGTTGAAAATCCACTTGTATTTTAAAATATGTCTTGCCAACTTTCTGTGTCCTTATTTAATCTTCCCTCTCAGGTATGATCTTTCTATCCCCTGAAACTCTTGTCTCTTAAAAGCTTTTCTGTGGGATTTATCACACTTTGTCTAATATTAATGTCTATTACTATGTCTTTGAGATGAGAGTATATATCTTATTTAACCTTTATAGATTTGATAGTTATCAGTTGAATGAAAATATTTAAAAATAAAGTCATTTTTTATCAATGACATCTGTGTTATAAAATATTAAACAATATACTAATTTAAAAGAGTCAAGACAGCACATATTTATTTTACTTGGCATTTATAATTATATCTTGGTGACGTAAGCTCAGACTTGAAGTTTAGTTTGTACCATCTCATTTGAAAAACTCCTAAATACTTGCTTTAGAAGTGGATTAACTATAGAAGCAATTCTGATGTAAAGTTTTTTCTAATGAGGAAATAGCATCAAATATCACTCTTTAAAATTCCCGTAGACTAACATGTGAACTTGTGTATGTGTGTGTAGAGCGGTCTGGGAAGGAAGGAATCAGCAATATTTTCCCATTAGAAGCAAACATATTTTAATACTTTAAAGTATCAAATATATTAATTTATGGTATAGTTAAATATAGCAAAATATTCAATTTACGTTATAGACATTTTGTTTTTAAAATACACTAAAGAACTTTTATTTTTCCACAAGGAAGAAAAAGCAGTAAATTTTACCAATAAAATGCTTTGACTTTTTCCAGGGTTTTATTTCTCTCTGGGTATTCTATATGAAAAACCCAGTGGTAGTAAGACTATAATTTTGGCCAAGTACTATTCCAGGTTACAGAAGTATCTGTGGAATGCAAAAGTTCCTAAGAAAGCGAAATATATATTAACAGTATCAATTACCAATTTAATAAGTTGAGTTTAACTCAGGATCACCACAAAAAGAGAGACAAATTTCTGTGGCTATTGTCAGCACCCAACATAGACATCTCATAGGCATCTAAAATTTAACGTGCAAAACAGTGTTCCTCAGCTCATCTGTTTCTTCCACCTTCCTCATCTCAGTTTATGACAACTTGATTTCTCAGTTGTTCAGTTATTTATTGATGGTGCTCCTTCTCTGACACTAAATATCTAATTCATAAGTAGATTCTAATTTCAAGATATATTCTGGGGACAGCTGCTACTCTTCACTCCATAGCTACTGCCTTGGGGAGAGTCTTCATTGTCTCTGACTTGCACTGTTACAGAAGCTTCCAACTATTCTTCCTGTTTCGGCCCTTGTCACCCTACAGACTATTTTCAATGCAACAGCCAGAGTTACCCTGTTAAAACACATCAGACCTTTTCAAGTTTCTTTTTTAATATCCCAGAATGCTTCTTTCTCCCTGATTATAAGCCCAAGTCCTGATGAAGTTCGAGACCCTAGCTGATTCCTTCCCCTGACCTCTCTGAACTTGATTCTACTGTCTCTGATCCAGCCTCATTTTTCTCTGACTACATTGGCCTTGTCACTATTTCTAGGATGTTCCACCCCAGACACACTCCCATGTTAGGACCTTTCCATTGGCCCTTTCACCTTCTCCTGAGAGTGCTCTTCCTCTAGATGAGGGAGCATGGCTCGCTGTCTTTGTTCACAACTTTACTAAAGTGATGCCTTCTCTCAGAGCTCTTTCACACCATATTCAAAGTCCCTCTGCTCAGCTCCTGCACTTTCGGGATATTCCCCTGCTTTAGATTTGTCCCTAGCACTTTTGTAGCCCTAACACACTATATGTTTTATTTACTTAACTCATGCATTGTATGCCTCTCCATTCAGAACTTATGATCCAGAGAGTGGGGTTTTGTCTGTTCTGCTCACTGCTCTATCACCAGTACCTAGAACAATGCTTGGCACCAGGGGCCACACTCCACAAATTCATCGCCATGGCATTCTATGGAATAGTAATTGCTGGAGCAGGTCTGAATTGCAATGGGATTGGTCCCCCCACCCAGTGTTCACTAGGCATAAAACAAATATGTGAAAGAAATGAAATACTGTATGAACCAGTAAGTACAGAACTCTGGGTATTGTAAGAGCTGCAGAGGTAATTTCCCCATACTTATCAATACATGCAGATTTTTAAAAAAAGCAATCATTTATTAGAGACTCTGGTAAAATGTTTGCATTTATTAAAACTGACTCCTCTGCAAACCTTCCCCTCCACACACATTATTCTTCCTTTTTCTTCAAGTAAATGTATATAAAATGAAAGTATTTCTTACAATTACTGCCTTTTTGGAATTTTCCTCAGCATTAGCTTCTTAAACTAACCTAGCAATCAATCTGTACAAAAAATATGAAAATTTCACATATTGCTATATTGAAGCATTTCTTTTTTATTTGCTTACAAATGGAATAGAATGTGAATGTATAAATTTATGATTGTTCTGAGAAATAAAGTAAGCTTTGGGCTTCACTTTATTCTCACATGTAGAATGTGTTTGTGAAATAATGCACCCGTATTGGTAGTTGCAAGTTGGGCAAAGTGATGAATAAACATGATTAATTCATTTTAATCAGTTATAATATTTTAAAATAAGTGTCTTACCTTTTAAATAATTAAATTAGTATGGGGTTAGCTGTGGAAGATGCGTAAAACAATACTTTACAAAGTCAAGTAATTCAGAATCCAGATAACATTTTCATGCTGGAATTGTCTTTTTGTTTAAGGAAGCCATTCAGTTTCCATATTTTTCTCTTGATTTCAGAAGGCCAGGAATCTCTAACCATAAATTCTGTTTTATTTTTCTTATTTAGCAAACACTGACTGAGTATTTGTTAGGTTCCAGGTGCTGTATTATATGTCTTTAATACTTGTTATTTAAATTAAATCCTGACAAAAGCTATACAATACTGTGTTCTCGTTCCTATACTCTGAATTATGAGAATGGTTTGGGCAAATCATTGTAAACTGAAATGTGCATAGCCTGAGAATTCAAACTTAAGAAGAATTAGTGATAAGTAAAATACCCAAATATGTACTCGTTGGCAAAGAATGTCATATCTACACTGGAAATGAAAAAGCAAACATACTTAACAAATACAATTTTTTTCCTATTTTGACAGGTTCATGATTAATTTTGAAAATATAAATGAATGTTTTTGGGAAAAATGTAAGATTATCCAAATAAAAATAAGAGGTCCTCTCTGTATAATATCATTAATTATGTCCTATTTTAGAAGCATTGTTGAATATTGTAATAAGATATTTGTAAATTACTTCCTGAAACTAAAATGATTTTATATGGAATTGCTGTTCTTGACCTTCTTTCCTTCCTTCCTTCCTTCCTCTCTCTCTCTTTCTCTTTCTTTCTTCTTCTTTCTTTTCTTTCTTTCCTTTCTTTCCTTCTTTCCTTTCTTTTTCTTTCTTTCTTTCTCTTTCTCTCTCTCTTTCTCTCTCTCTCTTTCTCTTTCTTTTCTTCTTTTCTTTTCTTTTCTTTTCTTTTCTTTTCTTTTCTTTTCTTTTCTTTTCTTTTCTTTTCTTTTCTTCTTTCCCTTTGGTTATACAATGATACTATATCCAGGAGAAGGAATTCAACCTCACCAGAAAGAAAACCAAATTCTACAATCTCCTTCACTCACTTCCTTACCAATATGTCTATTGGATTTTAAAATAAAGCTCAAAAGTTTGGTTTTGGTGGAGATGGAGGTGAAAACATGTCTCTTCTTGGTCACTAAACAAACTGTGTTCTTTGCTTTTAGGGAATTGCTTTCCCCCCAAAGTTAGTCAGAACCAGCCATGTTACTACCTGATGTCTTTGAAGACTCCGGTCATGTCTTGTCTAATTTCCATCTTTGGATGTTCATGTCCCCCTACCTCAAAAGACCGTGCTCTGGTCTAAAACACTGTCCCCCAGTGCTTTTACTAACTAATGCCCTCAGGTGTTCTTTAGCTGAATAGCTCTTTCTTCACATTCAAGGAGCTGCCTAGTAGGATTTCTAGATTTTCTCTGTCTCAAGAAGAGAAAAGGCCACACAACTTGGGTAGAGATCAGCAATTTCCCAGCTCTCTTTCAGTCTCTCAGATATCTTTCAACCAGTGAGGATTAAGAGCAAGGAGGAGAAGAACTCCCTTCATAATATTTCTTCTCCTCATAGCTCACCTTCTCTTTTTGCTGCTGAATCTTATACTAACATACTCATTTCTATAATTCTGAGCTTCAGGGTTTTTAGGAGATGGGTGTTTTCTCTCCTTCATTCATATTCCTGATGTCTTGTCCCTTACTTTTCCCTTTTTATGACAATCAGTGCCTGCCCACATACTCCAAATCAACTGAATTTCTGAGCAGCACAGAGCAGGGATTATATCTTAAACTCCAAATTCTCTCCGTTGCTTTTCTCAAACTTCACTCACTGATACAGGCACATTGCTGCACAAACACACATTCTACATATGGGAAGAAATGAGGCCCCAATCTTACCCTTTTTCACAACAATGACAAACTTAGACATACATATTTGATTGCACTCATAAGCAAGTGAAAAACAAATGCTTTAAGATAGCAATATATGAGGTCTTTATATATTTTTTGTGCAGATTTTAATTGTTAGATTAGTTTAGGAAGCAGACACTGAGGAAAGTTTCAAAAAGGCAGTAATTGTGAAGAAATACTTTAACGTATAGATAGATATAGATATTGACTTGAAGAAAAAGGGGTATAGACATATATATGTATATATATACACATATATACATATATACACATATATACATATATACACATATATACATATATACACACACATATATATACGTATATATATACACACACATATATATATGTATATATATACACACACATATATATATATTTGTTGGGTTGAAATGTTGAAAAAACAGGTTTTAATGAAGTCAATCATTTCACTAGCATGTTTAGTCAATGTATTTTTGTATTTTTATTTACTAAGGAGTATGGCCAAATTACTTTTGTTGTTCTTCAGTTAAAATTGTTTCCATATATTGTCTACACTCTTGTAAATAATGTAGCCATTGCTTAGGTTAAAAAAGCCACTTAGGAGGTGTTTTTTTTTTTTGAAAGTGCATTTAGTCCTTGTGAACCTCAGTTTCCTCATTGCTGTGGGAATTGAGTATGAAAATAAATATTAAATTTTCTTGTCAACCCTTAAGTGTTGAAAAAATATAATCAATGAGGCAGATAACAACAAATAAAACCATCACTGTCTGGGTTATCATTTCTCAGCCAGCGGACTTTAGAATTATTTCAGAGAATTTACACCATTGAGGTTGGAAAAAATTCAAATTTCATTCCCTTTTCTTATTAACAAGTACCATAATTATTTGAAAGGTTTTGTGTTTAAACATAATTATCTCAGAACTCCCCAGTGCTCATACAGTAAGCATGCATAGGATTATTGGACATCATGTGAGCATGTTCATAATTAAATTGCTTAATCAATTGATCATCCAGTTGACTACACTATTGTTATAATTTTCAACCATCAACGAGTTTTAAATTATTTTTCACCCAGTCGTGTATTGCTGCTGTTTCTACAAATAGACTGATACTTAATGATAGAATATGTAAGTAATACTGATATTGAAATAGAGTATGTACCATGTGTGTCATAAACCATGCAAAAATGGGCAAATTATTATTTTTACAATGTTAAAGAGAGTGAGTAACATCACACCATATTCTAAAAGGGTTGGCAAATACTCTTTAGCCAGACAAATTAATGTAAAGCTCTTCTTTTAGAAGAGAAGTGGAGGAGCTCAGATCCTAACCAGTGTGCTTCTCATTATTTCAGTGGCTGTTGTCTGAGAGCCCATAAAAACACACTGAAAGCCAACATAACAGATACTTCTTTTCCTAATAATTCCAAATATGAAAGGTAATTTTGGTTATAAAGATCTATGCTGCAGTGGTTGACAGAGTATTTCACTTGGATATATTCATGCTGTCTACTCATCCAACATTAGACATTCTTCAATAAAAAATTATTTTCTAAAGTGTTGTTTTACCAGTTGCCAAATAAACTGAAGCTCTTATATTCAGTCGTCACAGAATCAAATGATGGCATCATAATGCACCTACTCTAACAATTGAATCTTGGTGTTCAGTGATCAGAACTAGCTTATAAGAGGAAATACATTTGAGACTCCTTTTAAAAACTTAGGTTTTATATCTATTTTAAATAGGTATGTCTTCCTCAAGTATATTTAAGGTACTTTTCTGACAAATTGAGACATATTTGAGACTGTTTTCTAACACTTTTGTACTAAGTAAAGCAATAGTAACTTTATTCATGAACAGTAAAGAATACAATAACATCGCAAATGGCACTGAAGACAAAAATAACAAAATAGTAGTTAAGACTAAATAAAATCTCCTAATCAAACTGCATCTATTTATTCCAGTGCCTCTTCTTACTAGTATATGTCCACAGACAAGGAATTTACAATTGCCAGGTTCTACTCTCTCATCTTCAAAATCGTGAATGTAATACAATGTACTTTATTGTGTTGTGAAAATTAAAGAGAGAATTCATGCAAATAGTTAGCACAATACCTGGAACATAGGAAATTCTCAGTAAATTTAAGCTCCTGTTATTAAGATCAATGGGTTGTGGGTGACAAGACAATTATGGGTGAGTAAATCATTATCTCCTATGCTTACAAAAATACGCCTCAAGTGCAAAGGGTGAGTTTTTGTTAGTCAACATTTTTTTTTTAACCAGGCTTATCATCTATAAGCCTTCTGTATGAAAATATAATATTCATAATTTTATAGAGAAAGCAAAATAGCATAATTAAGGAAATAATTCACATTTGTCTTAAAACAAATCTCATTTTTAGTGCTATAAAATTCTTTTACAAATAGCATGAGGTCAAATAATAAATTTGTGAAACCAATTGGCTCCACACAAGCTGAGCTAATGAGGGTCATTTGGGTCAAATCCTCAAATTACAAATAAATGTTATCGTTTATCAACTAAACACTTTTCTCAATAAATCTTTGCACTGCTTTTCTTACCTCTCAGCCACATCGTTTGAAATCTCTTCTGATTTAGCAAAACCAGTTTACCTGTGTCTGACCTCTCACCCAGTAGAAACTTTTACATTCAAATAGGAGCAAATTCAAATACTGCATAATGCAAAATGTAATTTGGAGGTAAATCACACCTCAGTTGCACTAACACAGTCATTTTTCATCTCCCCCAAATAGATCTACTCCAGGAAAAGTGTTGATCTATGGAGAAACTCCCAATGCACCTACACAAAAAAAGCATCTGTCTGCGTTCCATTGACAAAGACCACCCTTAGTGTGGACAGCACGTTTTCTTATCTATTTGATTCATGGGATGTTTATGTGGATAATTCCTTTGAAATCCAGCTTGATTTATGAACAATCTTCTCTGCTCTATTGAGCCATTAAATCCAGAGTATTAGTGCATTTGGAATACACAGAGATGATAATGACATCCAAAGAAGAGTCCAGCAAAACTTATTTCCATGAGGACTTTTTCAGAGGGATGAAGTAACATTAGCTATACAGGTTAGCATTATAAGACTTCCCAAGTGTAGATGAGAATAATGGCAACTCTGTGGTCCTAAGGATGAATATTGCTCTGGAATATGCATTTTACACTATATGAAAGAAATTAGGATCGATATAAGCTCACTTATCTTTGCCTTATTCCTCCTCATGTTGTTTTTGTCTAGATTGTCTCAGCCACTTGTTTTATTTTACTTAAATTTTAATTTCATCTTATTGTAAACCTCCATTCCTTCAGAAACAGGTCAAGAAACATGTCAATCTACCTAAGTGAATAACTAATATTAACAATTAAATAATAAATAGTACTGAATGAATATACGAATACAAGAATAAATAAAAATAAAATGTATTACTTCATCGATGGATTTCCTAGTAGATGGGGAAACGGTGAGAGGATATGAGCTTCAATAAGAAAAATGGTGCAAAATAAGGCAGAAGCAAATGCCCAAAACAAATCAACACATTCACAATTTTTCCAAGGACCTGTCATGTATATATTTTTTTCTTTTTTTAACCATTTGTGGCCCCTTTTTTTAACCATTTGTGGCCCCTTTCTTATATCTCATTTCTCTCTTTTGTAAGGCTTCTGTGTTAATTGACAGCATGTTCAGATATAAATCCATCACAGGAATGTGATGAAATTAGCCATTCAGACCCCTGATATTAAGAAATTCAAAGAAATGGATAGAGTATCCAACCAGTGAGGAATTAAAGAAGAAAGAAGAGAAAGAGAAGGAGAGAGAAACTAGCTGTAAAGTTGGGATGGGTCGGGGGTGGTGAAGAAAACCAATTATTCATTGAAGGTGCCAGAAGGAAAATTGATGGCATGAATCCATAGCTTCTCACCATAAAGGTGAATAATGACACAGACACTTAGATTGGGGAATGAGAAAAAAAAGGTGCATGCAAGGTTCTTCTATTTATATCTGATTAAGATATGAAAAGAAAATGAGAGACTGGATTACTAAAGAAAAATTCCAGACAGTTAAGCAATTTTAGGAATGATTCATTTTAAGATATGGCCATCAATTATTTATAAGGGTTAATAAATAGATTTATAAGCAAGAGGTACATGGAATCTAGAAATACATAAATGCTCTTCAAATTATTTACAGCTCTGACAAGTCATAACACATGAACTACTACCAAAAACACCATTTACTTGACTTTAAAATTTGCACCATAAACTATAAATGGACCAGTTATGGAGCATCAGCCATTTGTAATGTGCCATGCAATATTTAACATCAACTAAATGTGTTTTCACTAGCTGCTGACCACTTGGATTAATTTAATAAGCATGCCTAGTGCCTAATGATTTATTTGTGGGTAAATGATCATAACTATTTAATGGCCTTAATATTACAGATGTAATTCTGAAATAAAATATCATAACTTGGATTTAGTACATCCAGTTAAATAACAAGCATCGACATTTTTAAAAAATAATAAAAACAGTGGCCAGAAAAAGAAATTAAAGCACTTGCTAGTCATATGTCCCCATAGGTTTCCAGCTTCATATTGGCTTTATTTCTTTTTTTCCTTTCATTTAGGTCACCCATTAATTTTCTTTCTTCATTTGCACACCCTCTTCCATTTCCTGTACTATCTTTTGTTCTAATCCTCTAGTAATTCCCCAGTGAGCTCTCAGCTTCCAAAGGGCACTCTATTTCTATTAAGCATGGCAGTCAACAAGTGGAAATAGTCCTTGGTTGTCCTGCTTTCTGGGTGAATAGCAGAGTCCCTTTGCATCACCTCAAAGACTCTGATTCTCATGATCCTCAGTCTGGTGCTGAATTGTGCTTTTGCTCATCCACACACATCCCCTACCCCAACTGTAATGTCTAACACTGCACATACATTTATGGTAATTTGAATAACGCCTACATTTCAGTGTTTTCTATAGTACTGGAAGAGGTAATAAAGAATTAAGAGTTGCTAATAATCTGTGTTTAGAATAATGAGACTATATTAAACTAAAGAACTTCTGCACAATTAACAGAGTAAAGAGATAACCTGTAGAATGAGAGAAAATATTTGCAAACTATTTATATGACAATGGACTAATATCCAGAATATGCAAGGAACTCAGTTCAACACCACCACAAATAATCCAATTAAAAAGTGGGAAACATACCTGAATATACATTTCTCAAAAGGAAACATACTAATAGTTAACAGGTATATGAAAAAAATGCTCCACATCACTAATTATTACAGAAATACAAATCAAGGGCCAGGTGTGGTGGCTTATGCCTGTAATCCCAGCACTTTGGGGGGCTGAGGCGAGCCGATCACCTGAGGTCAGGAGTTCAAGACCAGCCTGGCTAACATGGTGAAACCCCAACTCTACTAAAAATACAAACATTAGCTGGGTGTGGTGGCACATGCCTGTAATCCCAGCTACTTGGGAGGCTGAGGCAGGAGAATTGCTTGAACCTGGGAAGCGGAGGTTGCAGTGAGCCAAGATCGTGCCACTGTACTCCAGCCTGGCACACAGAGCGAGAGTCCATCTCAAAAAAAAAATAAAAAAGAGAGAGAGAGAGAAAGAGAGAAATACAAATCAAAACAATGAGATACCATCTCACCCCAGTTAGAATGGCTATTATCAAAAAAGACAAAGAATAAAAAATACTGGCAAAGATGCAGAGAAACAGGAACTCTTATACACTATTGGTGGAAATGTAAATTAATACAGCCATTTTAAAAAACAGCATGGAAGCTCCTCAAAAACACCCAAAAATATAACTACCATATAATCCAGCAATCTCACTACTGGTTTACCTAAAAGAAAGAAAATCATTATATCAAAGGGATAACTGCATCACTATGTTTACTGCAGCACTATTCACAATAGCCAAGATGTGGAATCAACCTAAGTGTCCATCAACAGATGCATAGATAAAGAAATGTGGTATATATACACAATTGACTATTAGCCATAAAAAAAGAATGAAATCCTGCCACTTGCAGTGATATTAATAGAACTGGTGATCATTATGTTAAATGAAATAAGTCAGGCACAGAGAGAAAAATATGGCATGTTCTCACTCATATGTGGGAGCTAAAAAATGTGATATCATGGAGATAGAGAAGAATGATGGTTACTAATGGCTGGGGAGGGTGAGGGGTTATAAAAAGACATTGGTGAATGGGTACAAACATATAGTTAGATAGGAGGAAAAAGTTCCAGTGTTCTGTAGCACAGTAGAATGACTAGAGTTAACAATAATTTCTTGAATATTTCAAAATAGTCAGAAGAGAAAATTGGAAATGATCTCAGCACAAATACATTATAAATGTTTGTGTTGATATATTCCCTAAATAGCCTGATTTAATCATTGCACATTATATGCATGTATCAAAATATCACATGTACCCCACAAATATGTACAATTATGGACCAATTTTAAAAGGCCATGGCATTACCGTCTCTTCATACTTTGTTTCATTAGTCATCATAAACTAGGTTATGCTGTGGAAACAAAAAAGTCTAAGTTGCTGAACTAAATAGGACTTCATTTCTCACTCATGGTACATGACAAATGTCAGTTGTCAGAAGGCCTTGCTCACTGGAGTCATTCAAGGACCCAGGTCGAAGGAGTCCTCTACCTAGCACAGGATTCCAAGACATTGTGGTAAGATGAGAATCTAGAACCAAGGAAGATGTTTTTATGTTCATCACCTCCTGTTTGTTTTATTTTAAGGCTTTTCTCCAATATTTGTCAAATTAACTTAATATTTAGTGAATTAATATAGTTTAAAAGTCTAACCAGTATAAAACAACATGTACTCAGAAAGGTCCATCCACACATTCACTAAATGTATTTATTCACTTTCATTAGCTTGTGGTTCATCCTTTCTTCTTTTTTTTTTATTTTTTTGAAAAAACAAAAGAAAATAATGTCCTTTTTATTTTCAGAAATGTAACACTAACATTATGCTTTTTCCTCTTAATAATATATCCTGGCAATTACTCTATATCTGTTCATGGGACTCTTTCTCATTCTGTTTCTATAGCTGTATGGTTCTCCACTGTAAGAATGTACCAGGTCTTATTCAACTATCTCTTGTGTGTAATTATGTTGAATTTCTAATGTTTTACTGGTATAATAATGCTGCAGGGAATCTCTTTTGCATATTTGTTTTCATATGGTTGTAGTTGTATTATTCAGGGTAACCTCCTAGGAGTGAGTTTACTGAGTCAAAGGGTAAATGTATATGAAATTCTGTTAGACATTGCCAAATTCTCCCTCAAAAGAATTGTACCATTTTTGTATTTCTAGAACAATGAATGAAATTTCTCTTTCCCCACAGATTTGCCAGAAAGTATACAGTCAAGTTTTAACATTTTGTCAATTTTATAGTGAAAAAGGTTTTTATTACTATTTTCTTTATTTTGAATGAATTTGGACATTGTTTTGCACGTTTAATAAAAATTTGCCTCTTGTTCTGTGAACAATTAGGTCTTTTGTTCATTTTCAAAAGTGGTTAGCTATATTTACTCATGTATTAGATACTCTTATGTATTGTAGATATTAGCCTTTTATCTCTGATATAAATTCAAATATTTCTTTCAGTGTGTTTTTGCCTTTTGATTTTGCTTATAGTGTTACACAAGTCATTTTTATGTTGTTAAATTTATCAAATTTTTGTTTTATGGTTTCTTGATTTCAAGTCATATAAAGTTCTTCCCTACACACACACACACAAAATATATAAAAGGAGTCACTGATGTTGCCTTCTAGTGCTTGTATGATTCCATTATTTTTACTTTTGTATCTCTGATCCTTTTGGACTATTTTATTATGCTATTAATTTATTTTATCCTAAATAAAACTATCCGCTGAGTAGTACTTCTATCTTCTCTAATCTCTGATATCTTCCTGTCTAATTCTCCACTCTACTGATTCCTTTATCTGCATAACCATCAAGATCATTAAAGAAGTCAAATAATCTGATTTATATTTTGAATAATCTGATTTATATCGATTCATATTTTCCTTCCTATTAGTTTTTGTTTGGGGAAGAAATAACTGTAATATCTCAGTGGCATAAAAAACAAAGATTTACTTCTTACTCGAGTGAAGCCATTGTTCATTTTGGACTTAGCTCATCTGCCTGGCTTCAGCTGGGCTGTGGGCAGACTGCAATTCTGTTCCTTACATCTTCTCATTCCAGGATCCAGATTGAAAAAGCAGCACCTCTCTGGAATATGCCCCTATTTCATGCAGGAATGAGAGAGCACTAGCTAGCTCAAACACATCATCAGATTTGAAACTTCACCCTAATGCCAAAACTTCATCATTCAAGCAAAACATGTCATTCTTCCAAACCCAAGTTACAAAACAACAGACAGGACAGTAAAATCTTACAAAAGGGAAAGTGCAAATACTTGCAAAAAATAGTTTTATTATCGCTACTGTATAGTTTGTAATAAAATAAGAATGCTATTAAATATATTAGTTTAGTAATGTCTTAATTATTAATAAACAGAGGCCATAGAAAGTATACAGAATTTGAGAAGGTAAAAATGGAACAGTTATGTATAAATTCAACATCTAGGGATAAATATTATAAATATTATTAGTGTTTTATGTATTGCCAGTATTTCTCAATAATACCACAAAAAAATTATTCAAAGTATTATCAAATTTTTCTATCCTATATTAGTGTAGGAAATAGAATTTTATTTTTGTTAAGAAAACCATAATGTGTAATATATTAAAATGCATATATTATAGGTATGTAAAAATATGTAGTAGTTTATTGATTTTTTCTCAGTCTGGAGCCTTTTAAGCTACTATTTTATTTTAAATCTGGCTATGGAAAGAAACTTTTAAATGTCAGTTCATTCATTTCCTACACAAGTTATCCAATTAAAGGACTTTTACCAAGGTTGTTAGATTTTCAAATTTACATAGTTTGACAGTTGGCTTATTTGATAGTCTTACTTTAACAATGTTAATTTGCTATTCATCTATTTTATTATTTTAAAATTATGTTTATGCTATTAGAAACTGCCTAAATAATGACTTAAAATTTAGTATGAATATGAGGCAATATGAAAATAAATGCTTAACTCACTAGACTTCAATTTTCCTGAGGGCAGGCTCTCAGTCGCCCTGAAACCCCTGACAGAGAATAGACACTAGATGAATTTTGAAAGGATGAATTAATGAATAGCCTCTTTCCTGTGTAATTTTTTTTTTTTTTTTTTTTTTTTTTTTTGAGACGGAGTCTCCCTCTGTCGCCCAGGCCGGACTGCGGACTGCAGTGGCGCAATCTCGGCTCACTGCAAGCTCCGCTTCCCGGGTTCACGCCATTCTCCTGCCTCAGCCTCCCCAGTAGCTGGGACTACAGGCGCCCGCCACCGCGCCCGGCTAATTTTTTGTATTTTTAGTAGAGACGGGGTTTCATCTTGTTAGCCAGGATGGTCTCGATCTCCTGACCTCATGATCCACCCGCCTCGGCCTCCCAAAGTGCTGGGATTACAGGCGTGAGCCACCGCGCCCGGCCCCTGTGTAATTTTTTTTAAAGTGGCTTGCGTAATTTTTTTTCAATGCTAATACCAGAGCTCTATCCAAAGACATTTTAATTTAAAATCTGGGATAGGGCTTATAGATAAATGGTTTTACATGTTCCTTGGGTAATTCTAACATGCAACCCTGGTTCCGAATCATTAGTCTAGTTGCCTCAGCACTTTGCTAATGTCAATGTAGTTCTTATGTCATCTCTGTCACATAAGAAGCTGCTAAAATGGCAAATCTTCAGGCCTCACCTCAAACTCATATCAGAAACTACATTTTGACAATATCTCCCAGATGATTTATGTGTACAATAAAAATTTGATAAGTATTATGTCCAGTGTATAAAGTATTATGACAAAATGGTGAAGTATTACGACAAAATGATGACGATGGTCATAAGAAGAGAGAGATGGAACAGAAAGTACACCAGGCAGTGTTCTTAGTCAAAGTACCAGATGGCCAATCTGTGCTGCAGGTTGAAGTCCATAATGATTAGCACTGAGATCTTGTCTGTAGGTTTAACATACTTTGTAAGCACGTAAGTGTCGAAGCTGGTCAAAGAGGATTATTTTAAACATTTACCCAAGTAAATTTCCAAGTATGAAGAGTATGAATTAGAATGAGGATACATTCAAAAGCTTCTTACCAAAGCAGAAAGGTCTGAGTATTTTCAGTGGATATTTTGAGGATAACCCAAGTCATGCCTCATATACTATGGCAGAACTGAAAGAAGTAAAGAGAATGGTAACACTTCACCAGAGATTACAGATTTGATCTCTTCCTGTGGGAGCAGTTGTATTTGATAAGGCCTGATAGAATAGGGTGGCCTTGGATTTAAAGTGGTTTGGGTAGTGGTTTTGTCATGGCTGTTTCTTGAGTTTGAGTATATGTTTGTTGATTACTTCTAAACCATTCACTTTCATTTATTCTTCAGCCTAGCCAAACACTGACTGGTTCAAGTACTAATTTTTAAGCTTTTATATCTGTGATTATTCCACTGTTTCATCTTTTTATCCATTTTTACTGTATTTTGGAAAGAACACGTGAACTGTTCTTCAATTTCTGCACTCTCATTCTTCTCTTACTGTTTGTCAGATTTTCAACTCTGTTTAATTTCTTTGCAATCTTTAATTATCTATCCTAGCTTTTTATTCATGTCTATCTGCATCTCAGCTACCTTGTATTTTATGTCAACATCTCAATAGTTTTTTCTTTTTCTTCTTAAAGTCCATAGTTCTTTGACTTTTGTTAATTATATGATGCAGATGATTTTTTAAATTTAGTCCCATTTCTTTTGAAAAATATGAAAAGTTTAATTATTTTCTATATCTGGAGTACATTTTATTTAAATCGTGTTAAATCTTTAAAAGCCTTACAATATTTTCCATTTCCTCCTCTTTTGTGAAGAAAGGTCAATTTTAGCTTTATTGTTTGAATGACACAAGTACTTTTCCTACATTTTCTCCATATTATTTGTTATTAAACTCTTACATTTAGACTACAAATACAGTCAATATGCAAAATCTGCACTCAGAGTCTGCATTTATTTATTTAGTGTAATTGCAAGAAAGAGGAATGAGGCATTTTCTTATTCTGTTACCATCTGACACTGCTGACATTTTTTTAAATTTTTTGAATTATTTGAAAGTGTAATAGCCTTATCTTTGCCAGAAAGACTGAATGGAAAATTTTGGTCCACCAAGTGGCATCTTTTATTTGTTGCAGCTTCTTATTATCAAGTTTATATCAGAATTTAATGCTCATTGTCCAATTCCTTTGATTATGTCACAATACTTAACTATAATTCCATGACTACAGTTGCTGCTACACTTACTACTACCACTAATTCTACAATTTACACATAACTTAATACATTCTGGATACCAGCAAAAAAGGTCACATACAGGGCTTAATTAAATGCTTAGACTCTGTGAGGTAGGTATCATTCCCTTTTTAAAAGATGAATACATTTCTGCAAATGGTAGTCCATTAATGTGCATAAAGTAATGACAATAATAAATGATCATGACAAACGCTTACTCTGTTCCAATGACAGTTCTAAAGTGTTACCTATATTAATTCATTTAATCCTTACAACAACCTCAAATAGTAGATACTGGTATTAACTATATTTTACAGCATAAAAGTAAGGCTTAATAACTTGTTCACTATTATGTGTACAAGTAAGTATTCAAACAAAAGCATGGCTTGGAGGCATTAGAGAACTGGATTATTTTGCTGTCTTAGAAAGCCACATCCATCCTGCAGGTGTTGATGCTTACCCTCTCTGTGGACCCCAAATCTTCTGAGTTACAAGTACAAAGTAGGGTTGGGTGAAAATTTCCTTTCCCCACTTAACTGCTTTGGTTTGCCTTTAAGAGTGAATTGCATTTTACTAAAATTACATCCAGAAATTTCATTCTGGGGCTGGAAGATTGACATTTATATACTCATTTCCCTTTGTTGAATTAACAGTTGCATTGTTTCCTCTGCTCTTATGAGCATTCAACAGGAAATATGAATTAAACGTAGTTATCTGACTACTATCTTACCAAGAAGTCTATGAAGAATTCTGTTACTCTGTTGGAATGCTCCCGGTTGAAATAATTTAGTGAATCTCTCTTTGCCAATTATAAGAATCACTCTATCAATCAATGTGTCTTTAGTCTTTCCTTGCTCTGTTACATTTTCCTAGCATAGGAATCTGATTTTGCTAATCCCTTGCACAGTATTTTTCAATGGCTCTCCATTGGCTAGAAGACAAACTAAATTGATTACCTGACAGGCAATGCCCTTCATGATCTGGCCACTCCCAAATATCAACTTTATACCTTTGCACTCTTACCTGTTTTACTGTGAATCTCAATAGCACTCAAATGTTTGCATCTTTGTCCATGTTTTAGTACAAGCTATCTACATGACCCACATCTGTCATTCTTTAGAGGTCTGTTTGTTTGTTTGTTTTTTGAGACAGAGTCTAACTCTGTTGCGCAGCCTGGAGTGCAGTGGCATGATCTCCGCTCACTGCAATCTCTGCCTTCCAGGTTCAAGCAATTCTCCTGCCTCAGCCTCCCGAGTACCTTGGATTACAGGTGCCTGCCACCACGCTCAGCTAGTTTTTGTATTTTTTGTAGAAACGGGGTTTCAGCATGTTGGCCAGGCTGGTCTTGAACTCCTGACCTCAAGTGATCCGCCCGCCTCAGCCTCCTCAGGTGCTGGGATTACAGCCCTGAGCCGCCGCGCCCGGCCTAGATGTTCTTAATTACTTTCCTAAACTGGTCAGTGCCCTTCCCTTTATGTTTCCTTTTCTTTTCCCTCAATACTTTCTACAATATGTTTGTAATAGCAAATATCTTATTTATTTACAAAATTAATAAACATAAATTGAGTGTTGGCCAGGCACGGTGGCTTACACCTGTAATCCCAGCACTTTGGGAGGCTGAGGCGGGCAGATCACGAGGTCAGGAGATCGAGGCCGTCCTAGCTAACACGGTGAAACCCCCTCTCTACTAAAAGTACAAAAAATTAGCTGGGTGTGGTGGCGGGCGCCTGTAGTCCCAGCTACTCGGAAGGCTGAGGCGGGAGAATGGCGTGAACTCGGGAGGCGGAGCTTGCAGTGAGCGGAGATGGCACCACTGCACTCCAGCCTGGGCGACAGAGCGAGACTCCGTCTCCAACAAACAAACAAAAACAAAAACAAACAAAACAAAACAAAACAAAAAACCATATATTGAGTGTTCCATAACATACTAAATATCTACATCTAGCAAGGTCATTTCTCCACTAGAGACTCCGATTGCTAAAGTAACTCCAGAAATTTTGTAAAAGCACTCTCATATCTCTTCTCAACCTAGATGCTCCATTCTTTATTTCCACTCCTTGTTCTGTAGTCTTATATTGACATTTCCTTCTCTATTGAGACTTTTTTAGACTTTCTGTTTGTTTTACTCCTAGCTTGAACTTTTGAATTCTGTCTCTCTTTTTTTTTTTCTCTCTTTTTTTTTAATCTGGGCTCACTTTAACCTCTGCCTCCTGGGTTCAAGCGATTCTCCTGCCTCATCCTCCTGAGTAGCCAGGACTACAGGTGTGCGCCACCAAGCCCAGCTAATTTTTGTATTTTTAGTAGAAATGGGGTTTCACCATTTTGGCCAGGATGGTCTCCATATCTTGACCTCTTGATCCGCCCCCCTTGGCCTCCCAAAGTGCTGGGATTACAGGCGTGAGCCACCGTGCCCTGCCCCAAATTCTGTCTTTTTGATGTCCCTATTGGGTTAGAAACTCAACCATTAACACATAGTCTAGATTCCTAAATCCTAGCCTAGAAAAAGCACTAGGGCTTTCCATATAAATGGCAGAGACCTGAAGGCAGTTATTGTATTGACATTATTTCCTTTGATTAATTCATCTTGAAGGGAGAAGTTCTGTTTATGCCTAGCATAAAAATATGTATTTTTGTAAACTTAATTAAATAAATGAACAACTAAATAAATTTGTTATTGCTACCTTGGTCACCATAAGGTGATTTTTGACACTGTTACTCAAGTCAATTTTTCTTTAGGTAGTTATGGTCTAGGACAATGCTTTATGAATTGTACCCTATGGAGTATTCAAGAGGGTGATGTGGGTGTTTTGGAAGCAGGAGTGAAAGATAAGAAGGAGGACCAAGTATGCAGGGCTTCAGGCTACTCATATGAATTTCAAGCAGAGAAAATCCCCTAGTGTGCACTTTACATATTGGACTTATTCCAAATATTTCAGTTGAATAAATGTTTCCAAGACTTAAAAAATGTAAAAAACCCAAAACCACTGATCCAAATCTACACTAGCGAGTGGCAAAGGCAAACTTCCCATTGGGCTTAAATGTGCTTACCTTGTCTCTATTTTACTTAAACAAATTTCCATGAAGTTAAAACTTTTCTAACTCTGATACTGAATTTGCCAAAAAGACAAACAAAGCATTACATGGGTGGCAAAGTTGCTTCTACACTTTTAATGATGACAGACTTCCCAAGAATACCGGATGAACCAGATCTGCATAAGCAAAAGGATTTATTTACCCAAGCATCTCTTCACTAGGAAATTCAATGATTTAATAATTCCATACCGCTTTAACTCCCTGGCACCTAGAACTTTGAAGAGCCTCCTGCTTAGGTGACAATTGCCAACAATAAATGCCTTGGAAACACTAATGTTAAGGATTAGGGAGTTAGTGCAGACAAAATGAATTATGCTTAGCACTTACAGGTTTTCTATGGGCAATAGTAGGATAAATGAGGTATTATTAGTACTGTACGTTCTGTGCCAGAGGCAATATCTAGCACTGTAGTCCTTTACACTTCTTGATATGCCAGCCTCTGTACTGTGTACTTCCAAGCTGATGCTGATAGAGCAAAGAAAGACATAGAGACAAAATCCTTTAAGTTCTTGAGTTCCTTGAAACAAAGGGAGATAAAAAGCAATGCAATATGTTAATTTGAAAATCAAATAAAAATGTACTGTGGATTTTTTTAACATGCCTCCTAAGGCTATTAATCCACACCACAAAATCAAAGGGAGTGCTAAATCTGTCAGAAAGGACTTAAAACACTCAAAGATACTTTTGAATTTCATTTATTCTTTCCTTTTCTCATCACTGATGATTTCCATGTTTTCAAAGGAAAGGGGCCTCTTGGGGGTTTAAGGGAGTGATTTCTTTAATGATGTCAATATCTGAAGCAGAGACATCCAGAGACAGTTTGCAGTTTTACAACCCTTTAAGTAAAAGTGGTGAAATGCCATCTCTACGCTTTCTAAATAGATGGCATATTGATAGCAATGAACATTATTTGCCAAGATTAGCACAGAAAGAATGCCCCATTTCCAATCTCAGTACTGAGACTATTAGGTCAAGGAATAGCAGAATGAGGACACTGAATGTTTATGAAAGTGATGCTTTGATCCAATGAGACCTAAATTGATATGTCATACACTTTGCCTTCATTAATATGTATTATAACTCAACTTCCTGCCAGAAAGTTCCACACCATCTTCCACTTTTTAAATTAGGCACAGTAGACTACACAAGAACATTACATTAGTTTGAGAAATATATTTGCCAGCAAATAGTCTTCATAGAAGAAAATATGTACCCCAAATATTTGAAAATTACTCTATTGTAAACACTACAAATCATTTAAGACTTACTACATCCTCACAGAGTGCATAAGAGTCTGATAACACATCATTATTTTTAAGTTGTGGCAGCAGATAGTAAAATATTACAGACTCAAGCTTTTACTTTTCCCGATTACCTCTCAATGTCTGATATCAGCTTGCATGCTGAGCAAAGTCATCTCTATTGATCAACTGCAACTATAAATGCATTCACACATTTATGCATCCGATTATCCATTGTTCATTCATGTGATACATTGAGTGTCTGCTATGGGATAGGGAGCCGTGCTAGGTGCTAAGGGCCTAGATATAAAAACTGCAGTTTCTGCTCTTTTAAGAGACTGGTGATATTGTGGGATAGCTGTATAAAAAGTAACACTGGCAGCAGAACTATGATTAGGGCTAAGGCAGCACAAAAGCTGGGTGCTATGGTAGCAGAAGCTAGAAGCTCTAGTGAGTTATTTAGTTCTAGGCCTACATGTTTTCAGTAGAATTTGAGAAGACTAATGTTCCCTTTGTGACTCCTTGATTGAATGTGGAGCTCACCCTATATCTGAAAGCTTCTCAGCCATAGACTTTCTGTACATGGGTCTTTACTGTGCCCTGTCCAACTGCCTGGAGGAGTTACCCTCTTGGGAACATCTTTTGTTCAGTTCCCTTTATATTTGAGGCATTTGTTTCTGTTCTTTCTCTAAAGCCAAACACTCCTTTGTCACAGTTTCATGGGACTTTAATTAGTTTCTCAATGCAGAATCGTAATTTCAGTTTCTACCATCAGTCAGCTCCTGATATTGTAGTCATTATTTAAACTGGTACTTGCGACTCTACCTCTTGTTTTCATTCTTCACACTCTTGGTTCACTTCTGTCTGCTCATTAAAGTCAAAAAAAGTTTGCCAACTATACATAAAATTAGAGCCCTCTTCTAAATCAATGACATGTCTATATAAAAAGTTCTACTGTGTTTTAAAAACACAATGATTTCAGCTATATGTTAAGATACTATAAAAGTCATAACCTGCCTTGGAATTTACTGTGGGGCAATGCCATAATATTACAACATTACTTTCAGAGACAGAACTTTTAAGAACAAATTTTGAGCTTGTAATCACTTTACTTTGAAAGCATTCTGAAGTTAAAAAAAGATCATTTTTATAAACTGTCCTTCCCTGCTTTGAATTTGACTGTTGCAATCCCCGCAAAAACTAGGTATCTCTTGGATAGCGTTAGTCATCACTTTCTCATTATCAAGCATCCTGGAATATTGTTCCATACTGATTTTCTTTCTCTACATCTTATTTCAAAATTTATTCTTTTCACTATGCATTAATGCATAGCAAACTCCACAATATGTTTTCTACCAAACCCTGTGGCTATTTCTTGTATATGATAATTCAGAATTTAAATCAGGCCCCCATACTACCATATTTCTCAATAAAGTAAATTATTCAGGGAAGCAGGGGAGCATGTAATATGGAGTTACATTTATTCTCAGTTAAAAAAAATGAGAGAAAGGGAGAAGGAAAAGAAGACTGATTTGCATGCATGCTATCAAGTAATAACATTTTTTTCTCTTCTTGAACTCTTTTCTTGGCCCTTTACAGTTACTTTTCTTCCCTATGATCTAGTGAAGATTGACAACCTATTTCCTCCTAACATTTATAATATCTAAAGATGATCCTGAGTTTGTGCTATATCATCCAGTCAATCATCAATTGCTCCTGGAGTCCACTCATTTGTTTAGAAAACATTTATTGAGTATAGTAACAGAAGACATAGTGATGGCCATGATAAGATGTGATCACTGGCTTCACAGAATTTGTGATTTACTGGGAAATATATTTTAAACAATATTTAGTCATATAATTAATAGATATCAATAGTAAGAAATGATAGTAAAATTAGAGCAATGGATGTACATATAAATGAAATATTAAAAGTCTGGAGGCTCAAGGTTAGCTTCTGTGAGGAAATTGAGATCTCAAAGATAAACTAGTCACCTGAATGTAGTGGAAATAACACTGCAGGCTGCCAGGCATAAGGGGGAGTACATCTGAAGATCATTGCAGCACAATAAGATCTAACCTCTTTTGCTACTAAAAAGCTAATATTGCTAGAGAGAAGAGAACAAGAATGAGACTGATTTAAGATCAAGCAGTTTATCTCTATATGTTATGTATGGGTTTCTAGATGTTAAGACAGAATATGAATAAACATTGAAAGGCTTGAAGAAAAGTCTCACTTGAATAAAAAACCACTTTTATGGTTATGAGAATGAATTGAAAATGGGTCAAGAATCAATGTGGATGACCATACACCCTAGCAATTCCACTCTTAAGTAGCTTCCCAATAAAAATAAAAATATCTGTCTACAAAAACTCTTGCACAGGAAGCTAGCATTATTTGTAATAACAAAAAAAGTGGAAATGACTCAAAAGTCCACCAACTGATAAATAGAGAAACAAAATGTGGTAGGTTCACACAGTAGAATACTATTCAGCAATGAAAAGGAATGAAGTACTGATATATTCTACAACCTAATATAAGCTATGAACCTCAAAAGCATTATGCTAAGTGAAAAGAGCAATACACAAAGACCGCATATTGTATAATTCAATTTATATGAGATATTGAATAAAGGCAAATATATAGAGACAAATTACATTAATAGTTTCCTGGGGGACGGGTGTGGAAATGAACACTCTAAGTGGGCATATAGGATGCTATCAGACTGATGAAAATCTTATAAAACTGGATTATGGTGGCAGTTGCACATCTCAACAATTTACTAAAGGTAATTTTTACAGTTAAATGAGTGAATTTTATGATATAAGTTATATATCAAAAGAGTTGTTAAAAATTATAATAGATGTATTTGAAAGAAAATCAGGAAATGTGACAATCTAGATTTTGTGACTGATTGGCTGAAGCATTGTAGGAAAGTCTGGTATGTATATTTCTGGCAAGAACAACAGTGTGGATTGTGGACCAGATTGTACAACAAGGTGGATAGTTCTGCCAGTTATAAGTAGGTCCCGATGATCCCATTTTTGCAGATCAAGTTGTTCGTCTATTAAAAAATTGGCAATGACTGCTCTTAAAACTAAGGCTAAAATACAAAACCCTGTCACTAAATCTAGCACCATCTTTCAGCTCTACTGCTCTGCTGCAACTTCTCCAGCACAACAAACAAACCCTTGCCAAAAATACTGGCTATGGGACACACCTTTGATAATCCTGGATTTAGCAGATGCTCTGGTGACTTTCAGTTCTATGGCACTGAGGTACCTCCTCAGAAAATAACAGAATGTGTAATGCTGATTTGAGACAGCAACACACTCCCATGGCTTACAAGGGTCACAGACTGTATGTATGTGTATAAATCTCTGAGCATTGAAAGGAAAAGAAGGAAAAGAAAGGATACAAACACACACATACACACATTACAGGGTTATTCGAAATAAAATGTATTCTGAGAAAAACATGCTACTCGACTTTCTTTAGCTTTCATTTGTATATTTTGGTTTTGTACCCAGGCAACCTTGAATTTTCAGTCTTGCTGCTACATAACATATGGGGGTGTACAGACAATTTATGACAGACTGTCATTTGCATCTTTTTCACTGTGTGAAAAGGTTTTTTTTACAATTCATTTCAGTCTTTCTTATTTCATAATATACATCTCTCTATTCCTCTTAAAATCAAACATAATGCAGATACATAAGAAAAAGAGCCACAAATATGAGAGGCAAAGAATTATTATTTCTCATTTGCAGTAAAAGGAATTTATTCAGAACACTGAAAATTTAGTATTTTCTTTTACAGACAGCCAAAATTAAATTTTCTATGGCATCATCCCAATCTCTTTCATGGACACACAAAACACACGTTTTGTTTTTTTTTCTCTTTCTTCAGTAATAATAACAATAATAATACTTATCGTGTACTTACATATGTCAGGAAAATTTATAAATGCAATTTTTCTCTCTCCCTCTCTCTGTGTCTTTCTCTCTTGCATTCTCTCTCTCTCTCTCTCTCACACACACACACACACACACACACACACACACACACAATCTCCAGTCAAATAACTGTTCAGGTCACCTATGTAGTAAATGGCTGGCTGAAAATACAACACAAGGCTTTCCACCTCCATGCTTCAAGTATTTAACTACTATGTAATACCACATACCTCTTCTGGGACATTATCATTTCTTCCTACACCTATAAAAGTTTACTCAACCAATTGGCCTAGTAATATGAGTTTTAGGATTTTAGAAACTCCTATTCTTAGCTTAACAAACACAAATTTAGGATTTAAGAATCCTAAATTCTCTGTCTTATTTTCTTAGCTGTTGCATCAACAGACCTCCAGAATTACCAACTAATGCAGAAAAATCAATTGTCTTTGGAGCAAAAGATGTTGGGTCCACTAAGAAAACAAAATCAGAAATGCTTTGTCTAATTATTTATCACGGGACTTAGTTGACCCATCAGAAAACTTCATTCCCTTATCCAATCATTTTTGATACTTAGAATTACATGTGCCGAACAAACAGGATTATGAATCAGTGTGAAAAATGACAGAAAGTGCAAAATATTCAATGTTGATGAAAGACAATACTTAAAGCAGAGAATGTTAAGAGGCAGAAGACTAATCACGAACTGCCTTACATGTCATTAAAATAAATGCCTGCTTTATTCCGAAAATATTTTTTGCACAACTAGAAGTTCAAGTGTGAAATGATGAGGTAATATTTGAATTTCCAGAATGATTGCTCTAATTATAGATTAGCATATTAATATGACACAGACAGGACATGAAGTTATGCTGGAAGTTGTTGCCATAGTCAAGGTGAATGATGATTAAAGCCTACATTATATCAGCAGCAGCGATGATGATGAAAAGGTAATTTTTTAGAAATATTTCAGAGGCAATATCTAATATATTTGGCATTTTATTGGACGCGTAGAAGAGTAAAGAGTCAGGTATATTTCCAATGTAACTATATTAAGTGACTCACTGAATGGAAGGGTCTCCAAGAGAGATACAGAATACACAAAAAGATAAGGTTTGCAGGAGAATTAAATTTTTAGTGCCTACACATTGTGATCTATTAATGGAAGGTAATTTCAAATGAAGGGAGGGAGAGTTCATTCTGGAAAGGGTTATAAAAGGAGGCTATGAATTTCTATTTCTTTATAAAGATAATAGCATGTTTTCAACTCCTTCTCTCAAAGGTTATCCTGGTTAATCCTAAAATTATAAATTAAGTTTAGCAGTCTTATAATTTTAAGTTTCCAAATATTGCCAACATTCCAAACCATTTGCATAAAATTAAAAAACAGAAGGAAGTCTGGATACTCAAGTGGGCTCTGTTTCACCTGAGAGAAGTTGAAAGAGAAGTCTGCCTGGTTCTGCAGAGATAATCATTAGAATTGCTTCTGTCTTACTCAAATGGAGGCACACCCTCTCTTTGTCATCCTATGAAATCATCGCTCCTCTTGACTGCCAGTTTCTGAGCTGCTATGTCTGTTACACTGATTAGGAATTTCAACTTTCCATATCTCCTCAGTAGATTATGTGTTAAGAATTTAATAATTTTGACATAGATTAATATTCTGCCTCATATACTAAATCAGTAAAATGTAAGGATCATGTCTAATGTTACACTTATAGGATATCATACAGCAACTTCTTTAATGAGTTCTTTATGTAAAATTATTTGCCTTTCAGAGATAGAAATATTATATAATTTATGTATAATTTTTTACTATTTACCTTGAAGTCCGCAACAATTTGATAAAAATACATGAGCTGCTATACCCATTTCACCAATGAGAATACCCAAAACTCAAAGTGGTCACACAGATAAAGTCTTTCCACAATGTTAATCAATCTGAAAATGCTATAAAATACTTTTATCTCTCTAAAATACCCTTTTACGGCATAATTAAATATTTTATGATTTCTTTTTTCCTCCATATAATTCTTGATAATCTTTGTTATCTTCAAGGAACAATGCAAGAGTCTTAAAAATCCTAATCGGGTCATGCCTTTGGTTTTGCCAAATTTTCCACAGCAACTGATTTAAGATGAATACTTAATATTCCAAGCAGAAGCTGTGTCACTTTTAAATTTCATTGATGTTGCATTTTTTCTAATTTGGGCTGCAGCAGAATGGCTGTTTCTTCCAAGAAGTTATGGGAAAAAAAAGTTATTGATGTTTATTTTTGTACAGGGAATAAAAAGATACAATTGCTAGTATTCATTTCAAGTATTAATTTATTGCTTTTTTTAAGAAAAAATGTAAAGTTTTCAGATCAAATTCAGCACTTAAAAATTTTGTATCCCATCCCTATGACAAGAAAGAAAAAATAAAAACAAAAAAGTAAAAAGTGCATTGATTCTGATTCTGAAATCATTTAACTTAAGTAACTCTTTAGATGGTGTCTCTATAATTGCATCATCTACTTTCCAAAATACAATGTGACTGTTCACTTTACAGCCACATTATATTTGGGGCAGTTGGTAAAGCTTAGCTGATTTTAAACCATGTGTGTCCTCCTGGACTGAGCCTCAAAGCATAATCCAATCAACAGAGTGTAAATAAAAATTCAGATGCATAAAGTATTTTTTGATTCATTTAACACAATTTTCTCATTTCATATATGACGAAATTAAGACCCAGAGAAATGCAGTTATTTACTCAGGTCTTTATTTTTCACAATCCATGCAATATATAGCAATGAAACATTACTTCTGCCTCTAGCCTCTGTCCTCAATTTACATTCTATGCTAAAGTTTGGCCAAAAAGTGAAGGTGGTGAATAAGACATTTTAAATTGCTATTCAGAATAAAAATCAATACACAATCAATCAACAAACATCTATAGAGTGTGCACTATATCTAATTCTGTTATATACATCAAGAAGTTGCCAACAACAGTAGCTCATGGAGCAGATTACTAGCAGTAACGTTCCTAACTCGGTGATGTTTAGAGTCAGCTTCATTGTCTTCATTCTCTCTCTCCAACTGTGATAAAAGATAGTGTAGAAAACATCATATCCAAAGGTCATAGCATGTCAAAACCATGAATTTTATTTCAATTTCCAAAAGGGCTTTGTGTGGGTGTTTCAACATTCATTAATTGCATTTGAGTCATGTTTTTAAAGTACCTTACCTTACTTGAATGTCTTTCACATAAGGATCCCCAAGGACACTACAAATGAGCAACAGTCACTTTCAAGTTTCAAAACAGTTCTGCTAGACTGACTAATGGGGTTTAAAGGTCCCCAAATCAAGATGATAGAAAATTCACTGGACTTCTGAGCAGGCAATCACAGTAAGGTTCTGAAACAAGATGATAATCATCACTGGAGTTAGACATAATAAAGAAAAGACAGAAGTGGGTCTTAGGGGAATGAGTTAGCAAAAACAGACTTGCACCTGTACATTGAGTTTTAGCATTTCAGAACTGGAAGGAAAATTAGCTGTCACTTACTTTAAATTGCATCCCACCACATGTGAAGAAATTGAGGCCAAGAGAGGGCAACAGATATATTTCATATCACACAGCTAGGTAGAAGGGAAGCAGGAGGTAGAATCTATTTATTCTGATTTTAGTAATAGCTATATAAACATTAAATATGCTTCTGAATGAAACAATCTATTATAAAATATAGCATAGGTTCATTTGGTGATTATATTGAGTATAATCTGATTTTCTGAAATGTTCATAGTCATCACAAAATTAACCTAAACACATTTCTTCACATGAGAACTCTTACATCTATGAAGACATATTTGATGTGTATTTGTTCTTTTCTAATTGTCCCTTCCCTTTTGTCCCCAATCTCTTCTATGCATTTCAAGTTCAGTTAATCATTTCGATCTGACTTGAACAAAGCACAGTGAAACTATTACTTTCCTTCACTCTCCCTCTTTAAAATCGGGTTTTTAGTTTCTATTTGAAAAAACTCCAATTTTAATTTACACTAGGTTTTCAGAAAAAAAAAACCTTTGGTAATAAAAATAAAAAAAAAACTTTTGGTAATAAAAATAAAAAACCCAATTTGGGTTCAGATGGGGACATTAACTGTAGTCTAATTTAGCTACTTCTTATGCTTGAATCTCTCCTACAGTTTGCCTCTTGAAGTGGCTGTCCCCTGCCTCCATTTGAATAGTTCCAGCGACAGGCTACATATTACCTCCTGAGAGAGCTTGTTTCATGTTCAAATAGCTCTGGCTGTTCGTGCTTCCTTATTTTGTGCTGAAATCCATGTCTCTGTAGCATCAAAAACCTCATCCTGTTTTGCATTCTTGGGGCCATGTAGCCACATGGCAGCACTTCAAATATTTACAAACAGTTGTCTTGTTCACTCTGAATCATTTCTTCTCTGAGCAAAATATTCTTATTTTTCTCAATTACTCTTACATAATAAGGTTTAGATTCTCACTTATTTCTTGTGAGTACCTAATTTCTGTTCTCTGCAACAAACCAATTTGTTCATAACTCATTTCAGGTATTATATAAAGAACAAAACAACTTTCTACAGATTTATCTGCCTAGTACCAAATATTTCACTTAATATATGTGTAACGATAGACTCTAAAGTCACAATTGATGTTTTGATAATTACCACCTACTAATGATTCACATGAAACTTGCAAATTGGCTCAAATTTCTGATATCTTTTTTTAGATGTGCTACTGCTAAGCTGCAGCTTCCCTGCTGCTTCACAGTACTTTAAGAGATTCAAATCCTGAAACTCTACCATTGGAATTTCAGAGCCAAATGTAGACATCTATGAGCTCACCTTAGATTTTACTTTTAAAATTTCATCTTTGAGTTTTGTCTTATTTTGAGGAATGGAGATCTTGATTTGGTCAAGACATTTATTAATCCCTCCACTGTGCTCCACCAGTGTATCATGACCATATCTTTATTTCTTTATTTACTTATTCATTTAAAAAGAATGAAAAGAACAGAACAGGGTCAACTAAGTATAAAGTGTTACAATACACAACTAAAGATGTCTCTTTAGTCTACAATCCATTCATCAATCATATAGACTTTTCTTCAATTAAAATATAGTGTGAAGCAAAACAATTAAAGCAGATAAAAGCAGAGCTTATCTGAATGAAGATCTGTTCATGTGAACACATACACACACACTCTCTCTTTAATATCCTGCCTTCTTAGGGTCAGTGTTATCCTCCAAAACACCTCCATGGGATCTTTAGAGAACTTCAGAACATGGTTTGGATCTCAGCAATAATCCCATTTTGGAAATGATTATCCTACAAGCAATGATTCCCATCCGTGTTCTCTTGTATTCATGATTACCATGAGATACTGACAAACATCTATTAGAAATAAAGTTACATTATGCAATCTCAGAAAAATTAGTCTTTAAGTTGTATACATATCATATAAATTCCAGTGCAATTTTATTTGAAAAATGATAAAATAATTCTAATGCTTATGTAAAAAAAATCACACTTATATGGAAGGGCTCTCTTTTCTCCACATCCTCACCAGCATCCATTATTTTTTGTCATTTTAATAATAGTAATTCGGATGAAGATAAGATAATGCAATGTTTGATAGCAAAGTAGGGTGACTATACTTAACAAAAAAGTGTGGTACTTGGTGATGGACACTCTAAATATCCTGACTTGAAAACTACACATTATATACATGTAACAAAACTTCTCATGTGCACAAAGTTTGTACAAATATAAAAAGAATGATAATGTAAGTGCATAATTATTGACCCGGAACAATGTTTAGAATATACACAGAGTATACGCAGAAAAATAAATAGAATAGAAAGAACTACATTGTTTCTATTTCAGTTAGAAATATATATGAAGACAAAATACATCTATTCTAGAATCTACTTTTTACCTGTTCAGTTAAAATCAGTCTCAAGCTTTTGCCTTTTCTCCCATTATTCAATATTGCTCAAAAATGTAGAACATGTTTCCAAGTGCAGTGTTAATCAAGAAATATTTTTATTACTTTGGAATGTAAATGATCAATAAAGACAAAATACTTGAGGAAAGCTAGAAGCCAATTCTATCACTGAGTTCAAAATAATATTTTTTAAATACTCAAATTATTGGAAATATGCATGAGGTATTATCAATATTGTTAAACTCAGCTAAGTTATGACAAACGAGAAACACTGAGATTTCTAACTTGCCTAGTCTGACTATAGTATTTTCTCATGTTTGACCTCGAAGATATGGGGAACAGTGAATCATTATTTGTCACAATTTCATATACAAATAATTGCTATTATTCACAGAATATTTATTATATGCCAGGTACTCTGATACTAGAAGAATTAACTGGATTCTTTAATTTTATTATGAACTTTACATATATAACCAAATACCAATTATTCACAAAAACTGATTATATGTATTTCATTATCTCTATTTCTTTTTAATGTGAAAAGAAGCTTCTAGATTAAGTAATTCTGTCTCAAGTTCAATTATATGAATATATAAAGGATAGCCCCCAAATTCAAAGTCTGTTGTGTCATGTTATGGTGTCCAGGGCTCTTTGTGACATACCATACTATGATTATTCTGTGTAAATGAACTTACAAAGAAAGAAACATAGTAATGGGACTATTTATCATACAAATAAAATGGGAATTGTTTTTGAAGAGAAGATATTTAAACTAAGAAAATCAATGAAATGGAAAGTTTTGCAACTGAGATCCAAAAATTGCCCAGAGTTTCTGTCTGAGGGAAAAAAAAATGACATACATGGGTTTCATTATCTAATAAAAGAAAACAAAATAGTTTAACCATACGAGCAACAACCCTCCTTGGTGAAAAGCAGTAGACTGAGAATCAATAGTGCTTTCCATTTCTGTTCATTTTCCTAATTATGAGGCCCTGGGAAAATCCCTGGACTTTGTATAGAATATTTAAATTCTGAAGAGAACAAGGTAGCATCAATCTTTAACTAATATTCTTTTTTTTTTTTTTCTTAGAGAGGGTCTTGCTCTGTCGGTCAGACTGGAGTGCAGTGATGTAATCTCAGCTCACTGCAACCTCCATCTCCTGGGCTCAAGTAATTCTCCTGCTTCAGCCTCACAAGTAGCTGGGATTACAGGTGTGTACAACCACTCCCAGCTGACTTTTGTATTTCTAGTAGAGACGGGGTATCACCATGTTGGCCAGGCTGGTCTTGAACTCCTGACCTCAGGTAATCTGCTGGCATCAGCCTCCCAACTTACTGGGATTACAGGCGTGAGCTAGCACGCTTGGCCAACTAATGTTGTTTTTTTGTTTTTTGTTTTTTTTTGAGATGGAGTCTTGCTCTGTCACCCAGGCTGGAGTGCAGTGGTGGGATCCCAGCTCACTGCAAGCTCCGCCTCCCGGATTCACACCATTCTCCTGCCTAAGCCTCCCGAGCAGCTGGGACTACAGGCTCCCGCCACCACGCCTGGCTAATTTTTTGTATTTTTAGTAGAGACGGGTTTTCACCATGTTAACCAGGATAATCTCGATCTCCTGACCTAATGATTTGCCAACTAATATTCTTATCTACTATTTCAATTGCACTTTGACTCAAGAGGAAAATAATAGATAATCTTAAACTCATAAATGGTTATTTCTATCATGGGTTCATTAGATGGAAATACATTTGTGGCCCATTGTAGAATTTCAATTATCATTTTGCTCAAAATATAACATAATGTTTAAGATCATAAGCTTTAGCAAATGGTTGATCTGGTTTAAATTCCAAAACCACTATTCCTTAGATGAGGACAGCTGTAGCTACTGCACTGTAAGCCACATGAGAACAAGCGCCACATCTGTATTCTTTACCATTGATTACCAAGGACTAGCATAATATTTATATAGTTGAAGTTCAACAAAAAAATTATTGAATAAACGAATTTAACTCTCTAAACCAAAATGAGATAAATAATACCCACTTCATAAGACTGTTGAAAGAATAGGATTAGATAATAGGGGTAAAGGGCTTTATAAGGTGCCTGACAGTAAGAACTAAATAAATAGAAACTATCTGCATTATAGTTATCCAGCTCATCATAATTATTTCTTTGAATATTCAGCATTGTTAGACAAACCTGAGAAAATAATTCTTTGAAAATTATTATGAGAATGCTCTACACTCATCCTATATTAAGTAAATGTATGGTATCTAAATTATTGATATATTTTTCTTCTTTCATTTCTGAACATCAGGATCACAAATATGATCATATATACTGTGAGTGTATATATCTTAGATCAGGGTCCCCAAGCCCTGGTTCATGGACTGGTAGCAGTCCGTGGCCTGTTAGAAACTGGACTGCCCAGTAGGAGGCGAGCAGCAATGAACAAGCATTACTGCCTGAGCACTGCCTCCTATCCAGTCAGCAGCGGCATTAGATTCTCACAAGAGCACAAACCCTATTATGAACTACGCACATGAAGGTTCCATGCTGCACACTCCTTATGCAAATCACGAGTCTAATGCCTGATGATATGTCACCGTCTACCGTCACCCCCAGATGGGATCGTCTAATTGCAGGAAAAAAAGTTCAGGGCTCCCACTGATTCTACATTATGGTGAGAATGTAGTAATAATAGAAATAAAGTGGACAATAAATGTAATACCCTCGAAGCCCTTGAATCATCTTGAAACCATCACCACCACCACCCACTAACCCCCACGGAAAAATTTTCTTCCACGAAACCAGTCACTGGTGCCAAAAATATTGGAGACCACTGCCTCAGATGGCTAAATATCACCACTCACTTCTAAGAAGCTGCTCTCATTTACGCAGTCCAACTAAAATCTGACTTTATGTTTCCACATTTCATTTAGATAGTAAGTGTATGAGTGCTCACACCTACTGTGCCTTTGTGTTCTTGTCAATGGACACTTTTCTCTGATAGTAAATTGTTACAGTTCTCTTCTTTAAAGAAACAAAAACATTACAACTCAAAACAACAGAAAACAAAAAAGCTGCCCACATATGCTCATCATTATTTTCTTTCTTCCTGATAACCAGTATGTGAAAGCTACATAGAAAATCTGTTTTCCTTCAACCTCAGATAATTTAGCATCAATTTTGGGTAATTACATACACAATTTCTTTTTCCCCTAATTTCAAAAGAATCCAAATAAAAGTTTCATATAAACAGATACCCTACCAAAACAGCATGCCCTTTTAAATTTTATGAATATTATGGTAAGTACAAGTGCAACTGCAGCTTCATCTCTATGACATAGAAATCAAGTTGATTGGAAGTTGTTGCTGTCACTGCTCTTTGTTCACTAGCAATGAATAGAGCATACCAATATGTTCCGTCTTATATACACCTATATTTTGAATTATAAAATATTAAAGAAGAAGGGGACCTCAGCCCAGCATCTTATTTTATAGGTGCCTTAGATTGGGTTCTCTAGAAACAAAAACAAACAAACAAACAAACAAAAACTTAGATGAGAAATTGCAGCAGGGGCCGTATGAAGGAAGTGCTCTCAGGGAAAATTGGTAAGGAAATGGGGGAGACAGAACCAAGAAGAAGCCAAGAAAGGATGTGCTCTCAGGCAAAATTCCAAACCTCAACTTGATCATGAAGGGGAGGTCTGGGGAGTAAATGACACCTCGGACTCTATTTCACCTAGAACAAGGAGGCTGAAACTTTACTTTTCTGCATGGGGTAGTCTTTGGCTAAGGGCCACATCAGGGACGCATAAATTCCCATGCACTTTAAGGTGTTCATATTTTTACAAATTGTATAATATCTCATAAAGATAGGCAGAGATGCAGGTTGTTAGAAATTAAATAACACTGAGGACAAAAGTGGTAAAGGATCCAAGGCAATCTGGGTAGAACCTGAGAGTGTCCAATCCAACAGGTGAGGAGACTAGGTCTCAAGGTGCTTAAGTAAAAGGACCAAAGACACAAATCTACACAGGATTGCGATCTAAGTATCCTGTTCATAATCTAGAAACTGCTTATGTTGGTTTAAAGAAAGTACCAGGATATCCATGATAATTCCAGTTATTTTAAAGAAAAGCAGATTTGTTAATGACATGCATTGTGATTCCACCAAATGACAAGATTGTTTTAACATGATTTGTGTAGAGTTTCTGTTTCCTAAGATATTTACGGTTTTAACTATGTTTGACTTTTGAGAAATCAGCTGAGCAAACATTACAACGTCTGTTTTGGGGGAATTTTTATTTTTTCAATAAAAACTCTGTTAGTGGTAACAATAAAAATTACATGAGTTTCCTAACAAACAAGTTTGCTATGTCCATAAAAAGGACTTAACGTTATAGCTCTTTGTAAGCTTTATTTAATATGATAACACGCTATTTTCCTAACAAAAAATGCTTCTAGGTCATTTTCATTCAATAGCCCCAAAATTAAAAAAAAAAAAAAATTGTTACAGATATTTGTCCCAGTCAAGATGGTGGTGAATGAGACTAGATAGTTACTTAGCCCTGTACATAATTTTCATCTTTGGACTTACATTAGATATCATTTAATGACCATCTTTCCCATATGCTTGGTTTACAGGGAATAATAGTGAAATTCATAGTGATGCAATCATTATTTCAGCTTTTCTTAAAAACTGGGAATAATAAAAATGACAAATTGGGCCAGGCATGGTGGCTCACGTCTGTAATCCCAGCACTTTGGGAGGCTGAGGCAGGTGGATCACGAGGTCAAGAGATCGAGACCATCCTCTCCTGATATCTTAAGAACAACCAGCCTGACCAGCATGGTGAAACCCTGTCTCTACTAAAAATACAAAAAAAAATTAGCTGAGTGTGGTGGTGAGTGCCTGTAGTCCCACCTACTCAGGAGGCTGAGGCAGGAAAAGTGCTTGAACACAGGAGGTGGAGGTTGCAGTGAACCGAGATGGTGCCACCGCACTCAAGTCTGGTGACAGAGAGACTCCATCTCAAAAAAAAAAAAAAAAAAAATTGTTTCCAGATTAAACAACTGGGAGAAAATAGTGGAGAGAATTTCAAAGTATACTGAAGAATGCTTGGTAGGCTGTTGTTATTTCCTCCTCATGAGCACATTTTTTATTGCTCGTATACTTAAAGACAAAGTAGATAGAAACCTTGGTTTCTAACTCTTTCCTCTTTTGTATGAGAGAGAGAGAACAACTCTGCTACAAGGCTACAAGGACAGATATTATGCAACAGCATGGTTCTCTTCAATGGAAAGTGGAAGTTTGTTCAACAATTGCTAGTGTAATTTATTTTAATAGCATAAAAGAGCACAAGAAGTCTTTTCAAGTTCACCCTGCTATGTTTTGCCTGAGACTTAGCAAAGCCTTTGAAATGAAATGTGAAAAATATAATGATTATGGTTAAAACCTGGCACAGTGCTTTTGCACAGTAGGCACTTAATTGTATTGAATATGCAATTTAAAAAATACAAAGTCAATCCTTGATAATACATAATCGATATTGCTTTCAAATTGTTTTACTATGATGTTTTCTGATATAGTTTGGCTCTGTATCCCCACCCAAATCTCATCTTGAATTGTACTCCCATAATTCCCATGTGTTGTGGGAGAGATCTGGTGGGAGACAATTTAAAGCATGGGGGTGGTTTCCCCTATACTGTTCTCATGGTAGTAAATAAGTCTCATGAGATCTGATGGGTTTATCAGGGGTTTCCTCTTCTGCATCTTCCTTGTTTTCTCTTGCTTCCACCGTGTGAGAAGTGCCTTTCACTTCCTACCATGATTCTGAGGCCTCCCCAGCCATATAGAACTGTAAATCCAATTAAACCTCTTTTTCTTCACAGTCTCAGGTATGTCTTTATCAGCAGCCTGAAAATGGACTAATACAGTAAATTGCTACCAATAGAGTGGGGTGCTTCTGAAAAGATACCCAAAAATGTGGAAGTGACTTTGGAACTGGGTAGCAGGCAGAGGTTGGAACAGTTTGGAGGGCTCAGAGACATGAAAATGTGGGAGAGTTTAGAAATTCCTGGGAACTTGTTAAATGGCTTTGACAAAAATACTGATAATGATATGGACAATGAAATTCAGGCTGAGGTGGTCTCAGATGGAGATAAGGAACTTGTTGGGAACTGGAACAAAGGTGATTCTTGTTATGTTTTAGCAAAGAGACTGGTGACATTTTGCCCCTGACCTAAAGATTTGTGCAACTTTGAACTTAAGAGAGGTGATTTAAGGTATCTGGTGAAAGAAATTTTTAATCAGCAAAGCATTCAAGAGGTGACTTGGGTGCTGTTAAAGGCTTTCAGTTTTTTGTTTTTATTTTTGTTTTTGTTTTTTTGAGATAGAGTCCCACTCTGTCTCCCTGGCTGGAGTGCAATGGTGAAATCTCGGCTTACTGCAGCCTCCACCTCCCGGGTTCAAGTGATTCTCCTGTCTCAGCCTCCCAAGTAGCTGAGATTACAGGCACACGCTGCCAGGCCCAGCTAATTTTTTTTATTTTTATTTTTAGTTGAGAAGGGGTTTCACCGTGTTGCCAGGCTGGTCTTGAACTCCTGAGCTCAGGCAATCCACCCGCCTCAGCCTCCCAAAGTGCTGGGATTACAGGCGTGAGCTACTGCACCCGGCCAGGCTTTCAGTTTTAAAAGGGAGTCAGAGCATAAATGTTCAAAAAATTTGCAGCCTGAAAATGTGATAAAAAAGAAAATCCCATTTTCTGAGGAGAAATTCAAGCATTCAAGCGATCTGCAGATATTTGCATAAGTAATGAGGAGAATGTTAATCCCCAAGAAAATGGAGAAAATGTCTCCAGGGCATGTCAGAGACCTTCCATCAGTTAAACCTCTTTTTCTTCCCAGTCTTGAGTTTGTCTTTATCAGAAGCATGAAAATGGACTAATACATTGTCCTTTAGTCTTATTTAATTTTATATTTTCCCCCCATCTTAAGCTTTTTGTCTGGCAGTGGACCTTAGAAACCAAAATAATTAATTAGCAATCTCTTAATCCTATCTAGCTTATAAATGCGTGAGGATGATGTTGTAATTTTAGAAAGAGGGCGTTCAGCATTTATTTCTCTCTTCCTTCCTCTCTCCATTCCTTTCTCTATTCCTTTGTTTCTTTTTATTAGGTCATATTTTATTTTTACTTTTTTATGGAAAGCAGGCCTACCTATGTCCTTTACGGAAATTAAAAACAAATAGTCCTCATTATACCTTGTCTAGTTACCTCTGTCTATTCATCACAATACTTTAATTCATCACAATACTTTAATTTAAAGTAAGATGATCCTCTGGTATTTTAGACACACAGATATTTGGCATGCAAATTCAAAACCTTTTGCTAAGGCCATATACAAATAATATTTTTATTTATAAGCATTTGAGATATTTCATACTACCCCTTTCCTGATTAGCACTGATAATAAAGCAGATTTGATTATATTTACATGTATTATGTAGAGAGTTTCTTTCAGCAAAATAAAATACACTATTAGGAAGATAAGATATTATATACACAGAAAATTAATTTTTGGTATACTTTAATTAATACTTGGGAAATAGATGACAAATAGTCTTTTCTTTGGTCATATATTACTGCTTAACAAGTGAGTTTGACAGTCTCCATGAATGCATATTCAAGATATTAGCCTCTTTTATGAGTTGCTACTTTGAGATAATTATATTTTATTGTATCAAAACTTTGAATGTTCCCCAAGGTGGAAATAAGCAAAACAAACAAACAAAAATGAGTTATTTGGAAGATGCAACACCAGTTCTAAAGCCAATAGGTTAACAACTAAGTTTGAAATCCACTTACGTCAGTCCAAGGAAATGCATCTATCTTAAATCTGGTGTCTTTTTTTTTATATATATACAGCAGCTCTATTCGAGCTCCATCCTCTGGATATTGTCCCATTTTATTCCATTAAATAGCAATACCAAAGAAAATCCCTCTTCCACTAGAAGAAAGGGAGTCAGTTAAAGATTGTTAAGAATTTCTACTCTTTTGAAAAGCACTTTCAAGGAAGTTGAATAAGAAGTGACAAAATAAGACCATTATAATAAAAGAAAAACTGATAACAGAGAGCTTAGAAAAGTGGTAAGAGCCGAAAAGGAGTTACTCTATTGAGCTGTGCAACAGAAATATTTTGCTTCACTCTCTATAATATTTGCAGAACCTCCCCTAAACCACAGCAATTTCAATCCCCCATTTGAGAAAGCTACAAGGCCAGAGCATTTACATTCTTCTATTAAAATGATCATCATGACTGTATAGTCTCAGATGATTCTAGACAAACCTGTCTCCATTTCCATAGAGGAGCTATTTTGTTTCTGCTTTAATTTCATATTGCTTTAATTTTATACTTTATGGCTTAAAGCTCTTCGGCTAATAGATTATTTCAACTGCATATGTTCATTTTACACTTAAATATATACTGGGATTCACAGAGCTTATGCCTTTGGAGATAATTTTTATATTACCTAAAAATCATTCCATGTTGTGATAATGATCGTAATTATCACTCATCACCTAATAATATAGAGTTCTTCTGCAGTTACTCTCATCTTGAAATTCTGAGTCCCTTCTAACAGCCACTGAAGTCTGTCACAGCACTGTTATTAACACTCAGTGAATTTTTTGCAAGTATTCCCCAGAACAATTCCAACCTAACACTGATTTGGTGATAGAGAGCTCATGTAGTTCATATGCTAATTAAGGAGAAGCCCAAAAATCCCATAGAGAATGGAGAGAGGGAGACAAACTATCAGGGTATAGACACTTCTACTCTCACATAATGAACTCCGAAAATACAAACTTGGAAAATAAATATATAAATCTCAAGAAGAAGAATATTTAAAAGATTCAGCTCTGAGGCATGCTGTGGTAAAGACTGCTATTCTGTGCTAGAACTACAGAAGCAATGCCTGAGAGGAGAAGCAAATGAGAGTAAAAAAAAAAAAAAAAACAGAGAGAGAGAGAGAAAGAACCAGAACCCGCATTTGTGTATGTGTCTGCCTCCGTACTGTGAATAACTTCGAATTCATTCTTCATGCAAAAATCAAGAAGGAAAGAAATAAGCTATGGTGTTTGAACACCTACTGAATGCCAGTAATGCATGTATACTTTATTTAGTGTTTTTTTCTCTTGTTCCTTTTATTGTAATTTTATTTTAATTATGACTGACATATGAAAAAGTTGTACATATTTAATCGATACATCTTGATGACTTTGAAGAGAAGTATGTACCCTTGAAATTATTACTATATACAATGCCCTAAACTTAAGCATCACCTATAAAAGTTTTCTACCTCTTTTTGTTTTTTGGATAAGAACATTTAATATAAAATCTGCTCTCTTAATATATCTTTAAGCATACAATACAGTATTGTTAATTATAACTATATGCACTCTGATGCACATTAGATCTCTAGGACTTATTCATCTTGCGTAACTGAAACTTTGTACTCTTTGATAAACACCTTTCTGGTTTCATCTTCCCCTAGCTCCTAGTAAACCTCATTCTACTTTTCCCTTCTCTGGGTTGACTGCTTTAGGTTCTTTGTTTTTTAATTTAACTTTTATTTTAAGTCCAGGGGTACATGTGTAGGTTTGTCACATAGGTAAATTTGCATCATGGGGTTTGTTATACAGATTATTTCATCACCCATGTATTAAGCCTAGTACCCATTAGCTATTTGTGCTGATCCTCTCCTTCCTCCCACCCCTCACCCTCTGAAAAGTCCCAGTGTGTGTTGTTCCCCTATAAGTGTCCATGTGTTCTAATCATTTAGCTCCCACTTATAAATGAGAGCATGCAGTATTTGATTTTCTGTTCTTGTCTTAGTTTGCTAAAGAAAATGACCTCCAGCTCCATCCATGCTCCTGCAAAGGACATGAAATCATTCTTTTTTATGGCTGTATATTATTCCATCATGTATATGTACCACACTTTCTTCATGCAGTCCATCACTGATAGGAATTTAAGTTGATTCCATGTTTTTGCTATTTTAAATAGTGTTACAAGAAAAAAACAAACAACCCCATAAAAAAGTGGGCAAAGGACATGAACCGACACTTTTCAAAAGCATACAAACATGCACCCAACAATCATATGAAAAAAGCTCAACATTGCTGATGATTAGAAAAATGAAAATAAAAACCACAATGAGATACCATCTCACAGCAGTCTGAATGGCTATGACTAAAAAGTCAAAAAATAACAAATGCCAGCAAGGTTGTGGAGAAAGAGGAACACTTACACAGTGTTGTGGGAGTATAAATTAGTTCAACCATTGTGGAAGACAGTATGGAGATTCCTCAAAGTCCTAAAGACAGAAATATCATTTAACTCAGCAAGCCCATTACTGGGCATATACCCAAAGGAATACTTTAGATTCTTAATATAAGTAGGATTATGTAGTGTTTAGTCTTCTGTATCTGGCTTATTTCACTTAGCATAATGTCTTCCATGTTCATCTATGTTATAGCCAATGGCACAATTTCCTTCCTTTCTAAGGCTGAATAATATTACATTATGTATATATACTACATTTTCTTTTTCCATTTATCTGTTTATGGACATTTTGGTTGTTTCCATACTTTGGCTACTGTGAATAATACTACAGTAAACATGGGAGTGCAGATATCTCTTTGAGATTTTATTTCAGTTCTTCTAGGTACATACTCAGATGTGGGATTGCTAAATCATATGGTAGTTGGTTTTAATCTTTGAGGAGTCTCCATATTGTCTTTCATATGACTGTATAAACGTTCTTTAGTGTCTCACCTTTACACAAATCTTTACAGTAAGTAATATAAACATTGAGATGAAAAAGTAAACTAGTAACAGCTAGCGAGTACCAGAACTAGGATGTATTTTAAGTCAAGGTACGTTCCATTAGGTCATGTTGCCGCTCAGTGATAGAGCAAGGTATTGCTATGACCTGCTGACACTCAAAAGTCTCAGTATGAAGACTTCCAGTTTCCAGGCTGATATTTAAAGAACTTGAAGTTATCACACCTGTCCTTACAGCAATAAAAAAAAAAAAGTTGACTAGCCTAAAAACCAAAAAAAAGTCTTCTTAGATTATTGAAAGAATTGTGGGCAAAGAGAACACTGCTACCCCAAAAATTGGAGAGACAGACAAGCAGATACAGAGATCACAGCTTACTGGGGACAGATGCCCCACACAGATTCCTGCAGCTAGAGCTAGCACCAGAGGGAACATTTAAGGTATAATTCTACTGTCTAGAGGCTCAGTGTGGAGCAGCTGGAGAGTTAACAATTGGGCAATCAGTTTTACGAAACCCCACATTTTTGTAAATTTTACCTCAAGGAGTCCCATGAGGTTCTCACTGTGAAGACTGAAGAGAAATCTTATTTTGCTTTGCCCAGGGAGAGGGAAAAATAACTATTTAAAAATATTCCCAGAGTACACTGATCTTAACAAGGCTTGCCCTCAAGGAAGACTGTTTTACCAAGACCTAACATACTTGAGTTTTACCAAAACCTAATCAACCTGGAGGAGGGAACTACAATTTCAGCTCCCTCTGATCATCCTATCTCACCTATGTGAGGAGAGGAATTGAGACACACCTGGGAGGATCAGCCTAAGGACAGTACTCACTAAAAGACTGAGGTCTAATAGGATTATAGAAGAGTTCTTCTCCTTCTGCACCTTACCACCACATCAGTAGGGCTCCTGTATAATTACATATTATAGCTGAAAGAACTGGAATCCTCACACCCTATTTAATAAGGAGTCTCTAGGGAAACCCAAAAGTCAATAGGAGAGACAAAAGCAAGGACACTGGAGGAAATTTTAGTCTCGGACACCACAGCTACAGGAAACAGTAAATACCATTTAATTCTGAGTTAGATAAACAAAAAACCTCACACTAGAGGCCTATTTACCACAGGTCTTCTTACCCAGTACATCACATATGGCTTTCAAAAAAAAAAAAAAAATCACAAGACATACTATAGTCTGGAGAGACAAAGCAAGCCCCAGATATGACAGAAAGTTTGAAATGATCTATTTATCTATCCATCTCTATAGATAGATATAGATATGTATAATCGTTAAGTTCTCTAATGGAAAATGTGGACAACACGCAACATCAGATGGGTAATGAAAACAGAGATGAAAATTCTAAGAGGAATCAAAAGGAAATGCTGAACATCAGAAATAATGTAACCAAATTGAAGAATGCTTTGATGGGCTTATCAGTGAAATGGAAAGGAAAGTCAAGGAAAGAATCAGTGAGCTTGAGGAGAGTTAACAGAAAGTTCTCAAATTGAAGCACAAAGATAACAAAATATTTTTAAAAACTAGAACAGATTATCCAAGAAACATGGGACAATAACAAGAAGTATATTTTATGTACGATGCATACCAGAAGGGGAAGAAAGAGAAAAGAAAACAAAATAAATATTTGAAGTAAAAATGGCTGAGAATTTTTGAAAATCAATAACAGATGCAAAAGCACAGATCCAGGAAGCTGAGAGAACACCAAGCAGGTATAAAAAACTTTACCTCTAGGCATATATATTAGTCTGTTCTTGTGCTACTATAAAGACATACCCAAAACTGGATAATTTATAAAGAAAAGAGGTTTAATAGACTCATAGTTCCACATGGCTGGGTAGGCCTCACAATCATGATGGAAGATGAAGGAAGACCAAAGGGATGTCATGCATGGCAGCAGGGAAGAGAGCTTGTGGAGGGGAACTCCCATTTATAAAACCATCAGATTTCACAAGACCTATTCACTGTCAGGAGATCAGTATGGCAGAAACTACCCCCATGATTCAATTATCTCCACCTGGCCGCACCCTTGACACATGGCGATTATTAAAATTCAAGGTGAGATCTGGGTGGGGACACAGCCAAACCATATCATTCCACTCCTGGCTCCTCCCAAATCTCATCTTCTCATATTTCAAAACCAATTATGCCTTCCTAACAGTCCCTCAAAGTCCTAAGTCATTTCAGCATTAACTCAAAAGGCCATAGTCCAAAGTTTCATCTGAGACAAGGCAAGTCTGTTTCACCTACAAGTCTGTAAAATCAAAATCAAGTTAGTTACTTCCTAGATACAATTGGGTATAGGCATTGGGTAAATACAGCCATTCCAAATGAGAGAAATTGGCCAAAATGAAGGGGCTACAGGCCCCATGCAAGTCTGCAATCCAGACAGGCAGTCAAATCTTACAGCACCAAAATGATCTCCTTTGACTCCATATCTGACATCCATGTCATGCTGATGCAACAGGTGGGTTCCCATGGTCTTGGGCAGCTCTGCCCCTGTGGCTTTGCGGGGTATAGCCCCCATGGCTGCTTTCATGGGCTGGTGTTGAGTGCTTGTGGCTTTTCTAGGTGCACAGTGCAAGCTGTTGGTTGATATGTCATTCTGGAGTCTTGAGGATGGTGGCCTTTTCCTCATAGCTCGACTAGGCCCTGCCCCAGTGGGGACTCTGTGTGGGGACTCCAACCCCACATTTCCTTTCCACACTGCCCCACATTTCCTTTCCACACAGTGCTAGATCTGGGCTGTGTCCCCACCCAGATCTCACCTTGAATTTTAATAATCCCTATGTGTCAAGGACTGGGCCAGGTGGAGATAATTGTTCTCCATGAGGGCTCTGTCCCTGCAGCACACCTCTGCCTGGACATCCAGGCATTTCCATACATCCTCTGCAATCTAGGCAGGAGTTCCTAAACCTCAGTTCTTGACTTCTGTGCACTCACAGGCTCAACACCATGTGAAAGCTGCGAAGCTTGGGGATTACACCCTCTGAAGCCATGGCTTGAGTTGTACCTTGACTCCTTTTAGTGATGGGTGGAATGTAGGGCACCAAGTCCCAAGACTGCACAAAGCAGCAAGGCCCTGGGCCCAGCCCAGGAACCCATTTTTTCTCCTCCTAGTCTTCCAGGCCCGTGATGGGAGGGGCTGCCATGAAGACCTCTGACGTACCCTGGAGACATCTTCCTCATTGTCTTGGTAATTAACATTTGACTCTGTTACTTATGCAAATTTCTGCAGCTGGCTTGAATTATTCTCTAGAAAATGGAGTTTTCTTTTCTATCACATTGTCGGCTGCAAATTTTCCAAACTTTTATGCTCTGCTTCCTCTTGAATGCTTTGCTGCTTAGAAATTTCATTGGCCAGATACCCTATATCCTCTCTCTCAAGTTCAAAGTTCCACAGATCTCTAGGGAAGGGGCAAAAATGCTGCCTATCTCTTTGTTAAAACATAACAATAGTCACCTTTGCTCCAGTTACCAATAAGTTTCTCATCTCCATCTGAGATCACCTCAACCTGGACTTTATTGTTCATATCATTATCAGCATTTTGGTCAAAGCCATTCAACAAGTATCTAGGAAGTTCCAAACTTTTCCACATCTTCCTATCTTTTGAGCTGTCCAAGTCTCTAGGAAGTTCCAAATTTTCCCACATTTTCCTGTCTTCTTCTGTGCCCTCCAAACTGTTCCAACCTCTGCCTGTTACCGAATTCCAAAGCTTCCACATTTTTGGGTATCCTTACAGCAGCGCCCTACTCTACCAGTAAAATTTACAATATTAGTCTCTTCTCATGTTGCGAATAAAGACATACGTGAGACTGGGTAATTTATAAAGGAAAGACGTTTGATGAACTCACAGTTTCACATGGCTGTGGAGGCCTCACAGTCATGGCAGAAGATGAAAGAACAAAGGGGTGTCTTACATGGTGGCAGCCAAGAGAGCTTGTGCAGGGGAACTCCCTTTTATAAAACCATCAGATCTCATGAGACTCATTCACTACCAGGAGAACAGTATGGGGGAAACTGCCCCCATGATTCAATTATCTCCACCTGGCCCCGCCCTTCACATGTGAGGATTATTACAATTCAAGGTGAGATTTGGGTGGGGACACAGTCAAACCATACCAGCATATTATATTTAAACTTCAGAAAAATCAAATACAAAAAGAAAAACCTTAAAAAGCAGCCAGATTGAGGGTAGATGGTGAAGGGTACATTACCTACAGAGTAACAAGTATAAGAGTTGACTTTTCTTCAGACACCACACAAGTAAGAAGAGAATGGGGTGAAATACTAAAGTTTTGAAAAAAAAAATGAACAGACAAATACTAACAATCTAGAATTCTGTATCCAGTAAAATTATCTTTCGAAAGTGAAAGAGTCAGACATGGTGATATGTGACTGTAGTCCCAGTTGTTCGGGAGATTAAGGCAAGAGGATCAATTCTTTGGGCTCAGGAGGGCCAGCTTGGGCAGTATTATGAGGCCCCATCTCAAATAAATTACAGATAGATGACAAGTAGATTAGATAGATAGATGATAGATAGATAGATAGATACATACATACATACATACATACATGAATAGATATATAGATACATAGATAGATACGTATGTATACAAAACAGCTAGCTAGCTAAGTAGTTGGACAGTCAGATGTAAAAATAAGCGAAGGAGAAATCAAGAATTTGCCAGATAAAAATAGAGCCAGTTTGTCACCAGTAGATCTGACTTGCAAGAGACATTAAAAGTTCTTCAGAGAGAAGAAAAATGTCATAGGTCAGGAACTAAGATCCGTATACCAAATAGAAGAGTATTAGAAAAAGAGTAAGTGAAGATTAAATAAAAATTTTTATTTTTCTTACTCTTAATTGATTGAATAGATGTTTGTTTAAAATAATAATGAATATATTAGGTGATTATAGCTATGGATAAATGAAATGCAAGACAGCAATATAATAAGGGATAAGAATGAGGAATTAGGAATACTGTTACAAGGTGCTTGCACTAGTAGGGATGCAGTACAGTATTATCTGCTAGTCCCATAGATTAGCGGTACATTTGTATTGCAACTTTAGGCAACCACTAAAAAAACTGAAAGTCCCAGGTAAAGTGTGAGAGCATCTTCCTCTTTCTTCCTCCAGCAACTTTGTCTAACTTACTTTTCTGTATCCAGACTCAGTTACCAGATTTCCCAGACTTGGTTTCAGCACATTGACAGGAAAGACTTATACTGCAATTTTCAATAACTACAAAAGAATGAGAAGAAAGCTGAACTATGAAATTTCAAAGATGCAATATACTCTTTATTTTGGTTTAATCAGAGTGGGAAAAACACAGAAATATAAAAAATATATCCTGCAGAGCAGGATGTTTGGGTTTTGTACATCATATTGTTCAAAAAAGTCCTCGACTTAGAACAGACTATTCTGAAATGTGAATATGCAACCTAGAGGTTTTTGATCTCAGATGAATCATGCTGATTAATCATAAGTCCATGCCTGCCTACCATTTTCAATAATAGCTACAAGATAATCAGTGTGGTTAAAAGTATGGGTGTTCTGGCAGATGAAGAAATCAGCACATTATTGCACACAATTTTTTTTGTCATTTTATGCACATTCTTTCATCATTTAAGTCATGTCTCCATGAGCTTTAAAGCAAAATTATGAAAAACTAAAATAGAAGATTGAAACTGTAAATTGGTTTAAATCAACAGCAATAAAATCTATCCATTTCAGATGAATGCGGCTACAAAGTGGAGAAAAATAAATAGTTATAGACTTAAAGAAATTGTGTGATCATAATTTGTTTCTTTTTCTAGCCAAACCAAATATGAGTTGGACTGATTCACATGTTTTATGCTATTGGTATTGAAATGAGTATTTCAATTATCATTTCCTCCAATCTCTAATCAGAAATCCAATCTGTTCTTTTAGTAAAAGCTCCTGGCTTAAAAAATTTTAATCTCTGCAAAACTGTTTTACACTCACATTGTTTTCTTTAATAGCCCCATCCTCTTAACTGCTAAAGTTTTATGTGTATTTATCTAAGGCATGGAGTGTATTATGCATTATGCATCCTGCTGTTACCTTCAGGGGAACAGGGGCAGTGCTCTGTGAATGCAAGGACATCTATTAAAAGTTTATGGATGACTCTGCATCTTTTCTCCAAATTAGTAATGATTTTTCAAGCTGAAAAAAAAAATAGATACTGATGTGAGAAGAGAAAACTTGAAAGAAGGGCAAAAATAAAAATATTTCCCCAAGCCTTCTGTTCCAAAATATATCACCAGTTATTTTACCTTAAATTTGAGATTTTATTTCAGTCAGGATCCAAGTATCGTTTTCCAGGGCCCACAAAGTAAACTTCATAAAGTGTATCACCCCTCTCCTCCCACCTCTCTGGTGTGAGGTATTATCATGTCTCCTGCACAGGCCTTCTACTTTATCTTCCTGCTTCTGCCCTTCCCTGTAGTCTACCCTAAACACTGTGGCCGGAGTAGTTATTTTTAACATGCAAGTGAGACCATGGGATCTCTGCTCAGCATCCTCCGTTCCTCCCCAAATTCTCAAAAATCTCCCTAAACCTTCTCAAACCTTCCCAAGAGTTTCCAAAGGTCTTCAAGGCCTTCCGCATCCTGCACACCTCTTTCTTCTCCCTCTGGCTTTTGTGTTATTTTTTTCCTCTCTCACACTGCTCCTGCCACTGTAGCCACTGCTTTCTCTAGAAGACACTAGGCACACTCCTGCCTCAAGGTATTTGCGCTGCCTATTCCTTCTGCTGAGAAAGCTCCTTACGCCAAACTCAGCATGGCTAACTTCTTCACCTCTTTTAGATATTTGCACAGGAGTCACCATCCCCAGGATGCTACCTTGAATACTTGATTTAAAGTAGTGATAGAGCTTGGATGTTTTGTCCCCTATAAATCTTATATTCAAACGTAATCCCCAATGTTGGAATTGGACCTGGTGAGAGGTGTTTACATCATGGTGGCCGATCCTTCATAAATGGCCTGGTGCCATTGTCACAGTAATAAGTTATTTCTCCCTCTATGAGTTCAGGTGGCATCTGGTTGTTTAAAAGAGCCTAGGACTTCCTCATCTCTCTCTTGCTCCGGTTGTCACCATGTAACCACCTGCACCCCCTTCACCTTCTACCATGATTGGAAGCTCCCTGAGGCCTCACCAGAAACAGATGCCACCACCAGACTTCCTGCACAGCCTGCAGACCAGTGAGCCAAAATAAACACCTTCTCTTTGTAAATTACTCAGCCTCTGGTATATCTCTATAGCAATGCAAGAACTGACTAACAGAGAAGTCACTCAACCCGTATATTTAAATTTTGGGTCCTCCTACTCTGTTTCAACTGTCCTTGTGTATTCCTTTTTGCTGTCATTGTTGCTTTTTCCCCAGATATAATTTAAGAACCACAAGATTAGGAAGCTTTGATCTTTGTTACCTGACATTCCCAGCACCTAGAATACAACCCAGCAAATATTAGTCACAGAAAATATTTGTTGAATCAAATTGCTGAATTTCTGATACTTTCCCCACTAGTCTGCTCCCCAACACTACATTCAATGTTTTACGAAGTACACAGCCTTACAGGTAATGAAAAAGAAATCTTTTTAATCCCTATTGCTATATTTTTAATAAATTACAACTTTCTGGTTGATGGCCACAATAGTAGATAATGTAAGCAGAGTATTTAATTTTTTTTCCAAATGAGGAACAGAACAGTAAACTAATGTAAAATACTCACATTTTATATTACTACCTGCTCCATTTCTTCTGATAAGGACCAGAGGTCAACAATATTTTTAAGTAGCAAAATCTATCATCAGTTGAGGCGAAGAAACTGGGCCTTTGTAAAACATGAATCAAATAGAATGATATTGGCACAATTTGCCCTACCAAATATTTAACATTTCTATTAATACTAAAATATTGATATTTATTTGATTCTGAAAGAATTGTGACATTGAGTCATTTTGTCCCGCACAAAGAATCAGTCTTTCTTCATTGAAATCAATTGTCAGAGACTGACAGTTTTGGAACACTGGATGACAGACTGCTATACTTTTGCTTCCTCTTGGTATGTCAGTTTTATTTGCATATATAGCTGATTGCCTGATTTTCATTTAAATGCACATTGGAGATGTTGTCATTGGTATGATGTGCAGAAAATTAAAATCTTACACATTACTCATTTGGAGATCTAAAAATCTTGAAATAAATAATCCTTGAATGTCCAGGTGATGTGTTGCATGGCTGATTCCCCCTCCATGTCACAGGTAGCTGAAAGAACATTTCACATTAAGAAGTATAAATCTTAGTTATTCTTCACCTATAAATCCTAGATTTTGCCTCCTGATAAAAAGTACCCCATCTTTACTCTTTAGAAAGCAGAGTGTCATTTTTTGTCTAATTCTGACTGGCAGTAGACTTGCAGCATGAAAAGTTGCTCTCCAAACCTCCTCAAACAAATAATAAGGCATTGTTGGAGTACAAGCTAGAGTTTGCCACGTCTTCCTTTGGTTATCAATTTAAGCATTAATCATACCTTACATGCATTCTACTGCTTCAAAGGATTTCCCACTTCTTATCTTTATGTAACTGTGTAATAGTCCTGTTGAAAAAATGATGCATGTTATTCCCCAAATGTTACATAGAAAGAAACTAAAACCCAAAATGGTCAGATGATTTCTGTAAGGTCAAACTTTGAGGTAATTGTATGTTAGAGAATAAACCTGGATGCCTTGATTTTCAGCCCTGTATTTTTATGTAATCAGTATGTTGCACGGTATACATGCAGAGTTATCCCTATGATGAAACATAAATTAACTTAGAAATTCAAAACACTTGTTAATTCTCATCTCTTAAACATCTCCACTATTACAGTTGTCCCCAGAAAGTCTTCAGGATGTGCTTACAAACACACCCATACTTACCTTGCATAGGAGCTCTTCTGCCAGGCCGTACCCCCTTGTCTCAGGTTCACTGAGTCAAACACCACCTCACATGTGTGTTCAGCTAATTCTTCTTCAAGAAATAATTATTTCACTGAGCCTGCTCTCTCTCAAAGCCCAACCAACATCCTGCTACTTCCTGTTGATCTTAAGGGAACATGATCTCTGCAGAAATGGGGAGAATGGCCTCTTCTCCATGAGATTCTTTCCCGATTCATGGTAGTGGACTGGGAACAGAAGCTTCACTATCTTCCTCCTTTTCGCAGTCTCTATTTTCTCCTAATCAAAGCAGATGAAAAGATGCACAACATCACTAATTATTGGGACAATGCAAGTTAACAGCACAATGAAATGTCTCCTCACATCCACCAGGGTATGTATTCTACCACATTTGGACTTTTGTACTGTGACTAGAAAGGCAACTTTTCTGTGCTTTGAAGATTCACAATATCTATATAATATTATTAAATATATACAGTCGATCCTTGAGCAACATGGGAGTTAGCAGTGCCAATCTCTTATACAGTTGAAAATCCATATATAAGTTTTGACTTCCCAATAATTTAATAACTCATAGTATACTGTTGACTGGAGGAAGCCTTAACCTAAAAAGTCAATTAACACTTATTTTTTATAATATATGTATTATATACTATCTTCTTACAATAAAGTAATCTCGAGAAAAGAAAACATTATTAAGAAAATCATAAGGAAGAGAAAATGTATGTATTATTCATTAAGCGGAAGTGGATCATCATAGAACTCATCATCCTCATCATCTTCACATTGAGTATGCTGAAGAGGAGGAGAAAAAAGAAGGGTTAGTCTTGGTGTCTCAGGAGTGGGAGAAACAGAAGGAAATCCAAGTATAAGTGGACCTAGGCAGCTCAGTGGGTTTGTTCAAGGGTCAACTGTATTTGCAATTTATTTTTCATACCATATACCTTATGCTTTTCAAGTTTGTCCATGTTTGAGATACCTAACTTATTGATATCAGAATATGAGATACAAGCATCTTCAATATTATTGTTTTGCCAAATTGTGTTTTGCAGTAGTTATAACTTAGTAATTACTACAAAGTTGCAAGTACAACTACTGCAAATTATAACTACCAGTAGTCACAAATATTACTACTATCACACAATCATTACAACTTACAATCTCATGTTGTTCATAAGTAATGTGCAAATATGCTTATTTCCCTGTACCCTTACCAGTAACTGACATTATTGAATTGATTTTTTTTCCAATCTGATAGGTGAGAAATTGTGTATCATAGTTTTAATTTACATTTCATTGATTAACAGTGAGATGGAGAATCTTTTAATATGCATATTTACCATTTTGTTTCTTCCCATGTAAATTGATTGTTCAAATCTTTTCACACTTTACAATTATGCTACTTTGCCTTTTTAAGTTTTAGGAGTTCTTTGTATATTCTGATTAAAAATATTTTATTGCATATGTGTATAAATATCTTTGTAAGTCAGTAGCTTTTATTTCTACAATGCTTATGATTTTTTCTAAAGTTTTAAAAGTTTATTCTAGATATATTTGTACCTTTATGGTTTATATTTATTGAGCATTGTTTAAGAAATATTTCTTTCTGGTAGTCATAATGATACTCTGCTATATGTGTGTAAGAGTTTAATTATTGTATAGAGTGAGGTACGGATCTGTTTTTTCCCCATATGAGTACAATGCTATTTTTAAGGGGCTTATATTTTCCTCTAATATGAAATGCCTTTTAAAAAATTACCTTGTTCCAAGACACATGTAGGCTGGTATCTGAATTCCTTAGATTTATGACAGCATCATGATGTTTTCAATCACTTTTTCTTTAATTAAATCTTAATATAGTGTAAGGAAAATCTTTGTTCATGTTTTTTCTTCATTGCTTTATATACTATTATCCTTTATTCTTCTGTGAATTTTAAAATCCACTTCTAGGCTGGGCGCAGCGGCTCACGCCTATAATCTCAGCACTTTGGGAGGCCGAAGTGGGTGGATCACCTGAGGTCAGGAGTTGGAGACCAGCCTGGCCAACATGGCAAAACCCCGTCTCTACTAAAAATACAAAAATTAGCTGGGCGTGGTGACTCACGTCTGTAATCCCAGCTACTCAAGAGGCTGAGGCAGGAGAATTGCTTGAACCTAGGAGGCAGAGGTTTCAGTGAGCAGAGATCATACCACTGCACTCCAGCCTGGGTAACAGAGTGAGAGTCTGTTTCAATAAATAAATAAATAAATACAAAAATCAAAAAATCAAATCAAATCAAATCCACGTCTAATTCTCTAATGTCTTCTACTGGTTGCAGTAATTTCCAGAACTTCTTTGATTTTTGTATATAGACCAATTACTTCTGAATAATGGCAATTTTTATTTCTTTCTTTTAAATTCTTATACATGTTCTTTCTTTGTCTTATTTTACTTGACTTGCTTAACTGCCCAGTAAAATTATGACTAGGAAAAAAGAAAGAGATGCTTTTCTTGCCCTTGACTTAAAAAATAACTAATATTTTGCCATCAAATATTATATTTTGCCGGTTTGATTAGATATCTATGATTAATTCAAGGAATTCTGTTTTAGTACTGCATTTGTTAATATTTATGTCATACATCGGTGCTGAATTGTATCAAAAACACTTTTTACTCTTATGTATTTGGTTTTTTCCTTTAATTTGATAATGTGATGAATTGCTTTAATAAATTTTCAAAATCAAATCATCCTTGCAGTGTGAGATAAATACTTTTTAGATTTTTAATACATTTCTAAATTGAATTTTCTACTATTTTATTTAGTATTACTATTTTATTTAGTATTCATGTTTATACCTGAAACTGGCACATAATTTTGGTTACCTGAATTTTTGTTTCTAGTTTTGAATTAGAATTGTATGTGCATTTTGAAGGTGTCTGGGAAGTGTTCCACTATAGAAAAAGATTATCTGTTTCTTGAAGGTTTCATAGAATTTCCTGCATCTGGTGGATATTTTTGAGGATGATGGAGTGGGAAAATTGTGAAGTACTTACTCTTTTTTTTTTTTTGATAATTTTACATTCTTGTAGTTTTTGTTACTTTTAAAAGTACTGTTTCCATTAAATTTTCAATTGATATACAATGTATTCACAGCATGCATAATTAAGAAGCATAACGTCTTCATCTTTATCTTTCCTGTCTTTTCAGCAGTATGTGATACAATTCGTAAGTTCCTTTCCCAGACTACAGGCTCTTCTGTGCTGTTTTCCCTGTGACCTCTTCATTCTGTGCAGCTTCCACTCAGGTCCTCCTCATTCACCTGACTTTTTTTTACCTGGAGTGCCCCAGTAATCAGCCCTGGTGTCTTTTCAGTCTACACTCTTTTTTTTTTTTTTTTTTTCACTCATTAACTGGTGATATCATCCAGCCTCATGTTTTCATATCTGCAGCTCTGACCTCTTCCCTAAATCCCAGACCCATATATCCAAGTGGCTACTTCATGTGTCCACCTAAATATTCAATAGGCATCACAGATTTAAAATGTCCAAACTTGTGCCCTGATTTTACCCACTCAATTACTCTTATTCTAGTCTTCTCTCATAATTAACGGCAACTCTTCCTTGATTGCAGTCTTGTTAGAAACCTTGAGCCAGAGAACTCAGCTAAACCTTGCCTAAATTCCTGACCCACAGAAACCGTGGGATGATTAACATTGATGTTTCATGCTTCTAAGTTCTGGTATGTTTTCTACAGCAATAGATAACTACAGTCATGTACCACATAGCAATATCTGCTTAGTGGTGGACTGCATATACAATGATGGTTCCACAAGATTATAATGAAGTTGAAAAATTCATATTGCCTACTGAGTTATAATATTTTAATGCAATGCACTACTTACATGATTGTGGTGATGCTGGTGTAAAGTACTGCCAGTTGTAGAAAAGTTTTAAGACATGAAATTATACTTAATGATAATAATAAATGACAAAGTTACAGGTATAGGCATTTACTCTACTATACTTTTTGCTTTTATTTTAAAGTGTACCCCTTCTACTTACTTTAGAATGTACCCCTTCTACTTAAAAAAAATGTTGGCCTTGCATGGTGGCTCATGCCTGTAATCCCAGCACTTTGGGAGGCTGAGGTGGGCACATAACTAATGACAGTGATATTGAAAATAGTGATATTGATGATTCTGACTCTGTGTAGGCCTGGGCTAATGTGTGTTTGCATCTTAGTTTTTAATAAAGATGATTAAAAGGTAAAAATGAAAAAGTAGGAAATTTTAAAAACAGAAAAAAACCTTATAGAAAAAGGATATAAGAAAATAGTTTTGTACAGCTGTAAAATGTGTTTGTGTTTTAAGGTAAGTGTTATTAAAAAAAGTCAACAAGTTTTAAAAAATTAATAGTTTATAAAGTAAAAGAGTTACAGTAGGCTAAGAGTAATTTATGATTAAGGAGAGAAAATTTTTTATAAATCTGTGTAGCCTATGTATACAGTGTTTGTAAAGTCCGCAGTCATGTACCGTAATGTCCTAGGCCATCACATTCACTTACCCTTCACTCACTGACTCACCCGGAAATACTTTCAGTCCCCTGAGCTACATTCATGGTAAGTGTACAGGTGTACCATTTTTTTATCTTTTAACCCACATTTTTACGGTATCTTTTCTGTATTTAGATATGTTTCAATACAAAAATACTTACCATTGTGTTACAATTACCTGCAGCATTCAGTACTGCAACATGCTATACAGGTTTGTAGCCTATGAGCATTAGGCTGTAACATATAGCCTAGGTGTATAATAGACTGTACCATCAGGTTTGTTTAAGGACACCCTATGATGTCCATGCAATGATGAAATAACTTAATAAGGCATTTCTCAGAACATATCCCCATCGTTAAATGACACGACTGTGATACAAAGTATATTCCAGCTTTTTTTAATTATTTGGAAAAAACATATAAGATTGATACTATTTCTTCTTTCAATAGAGTGTACATATATAAAACATTTGTCCTAGAGCTTTCTTTGTGGAAAGGTTTATAATTACAGTTTTATAATTTCTTTCATGGTCATATTAACTATTTCTCCTGCTGTATTTTATTTGCCAAATAACTTAAGTGATTAGAAACTGTAGTTTTAAGACAAATGCAGAAAATGAATCAAATAATAATAATGGTGAATAATTATTACTTTCTTAGGGTCATCATGTCATAGATGGAAGAAGGTCAAGATTGATGAATATCATGCTTCTTCAAACTTCCTTAACCGTAAGGATTTTATCTCCTTCTAACCAGAGATCATTATAACATCCACTTCAGCTCTATGGGTCTTATAGTTAAAAAAAAAAATCCTCCAGGTTTCTGAAGTGAATATTTTGCTTTAATTGTATCACAGTAGTTCCTCCTTATCTTTGTTGCTTCAATTGTATTAGAGTAGTTCCTCTTTATCTTTGGGGGAATATGTTCAGTGACCCTCAGTGGATGCCTGAAACCATAGGTAGGACTGAACCCTATATACATTATTTTTTTTCTATACATACTTACCTATGATAAAGTGTAATTTATAAATTAGGCACAGTAGGAGATTAAAACAATCAATAATAAAATAGAACAAGTTTAACAATATACTCTTCAAAATTTCACAGATAGGAGATTTGTTCTTACCATAGTTCTTAGCAACCTCAGCATAGGATTATTTATCTTTCCTTGTTAAATTAAGAACTTTCACCTTTTCTCTTAAGGGAAGCATGTTACAGCTTCTCTTTGGCATATCCGAACTACCGGTGTTTCTACTCTTGGGGCTTTGGAGACATGTTAAGTAAAATATGGGTTACTGGAACACGAGCATCATGGTAATTCCAGAACAGTCTCTCTGGTCACCAAGAAGGCTATTAAGTGACCAACGGGTGGGCAGCATCTACATCGTGGATCCACTGGGGTGGAGTAGAATGATGTGCGATTTCATCATGCTACTCAAGAACTTATGAATTTTATATTTCTAGAATTTTCCATTTAAAATTTTCAGACCACAGTTGATTTTAGGTAACTGGCACCACAGAAATCAAAACTCCTGATAAGGGGGGAATTACTGTATTATTATAATATTTCATCATCTCAAAGCTGTCCCGAATATATTAATATAAATATGGGCCATAAAATACTACTTGATTCCAAATTCAACCAAAAGCCCAAGTAGGTTTTTAACAAATATTTTTAATATTTTAATCTACCTTATATTTGTTTTTAAAAGTTAAGTGTTGGATGTAAACATTTATAATATAGATTTTGTTAATGGTATATCTGCCACATTGAATCAGTCTTTATGTTGCATGCCATTTTTCAAAAAGGTCAAAAATAACAAAAAATTGTATAAAGTAAACAATTATTTGAATAAGAAGCATTCTATTAAAGGATGTTGAAGAGTATATTTCCAAGCATCTTGTAATTTGGAATTTTGAGCATTTCTCTAATTTGTACAACAGCACTTTTATTTAGTTTAAATCAGAATCAATTTATTTGTAAGGATTTTGACACACAAAAAACTGTAAGCAGCTAGTGTGTAGACCTAAAAGATTAGTTCTATGAAATGGCTTTCAAACAAGTGCTTTTGCTGTAATTCAGATAAACTTTGATACTCTAAATAGATATTTGGTAAACATTTAGCTACCCAAAAAGTTTGTGAAACAGCTCAGCACCTTTTTTTCTCAGCCCCCTAAGCTCAGTATATTCACTCTTTTTCAGTAAAGAAAAAGGAAAAGGTCAGAGATAAAATTATCTTGGTAAATAGGGTGAGACAAGAGCTATGGGAATTGACTGTTTCAGTTGTCTTCCTCAATATTTTTTTTCTATTGTCAGAACAAACTCTCATTCCTACTGTCTGTTATACCTGCTGAGTTTGGTACTCCATGGCATGGCAGAAATGTCCACCTCCCCTCCGCACACGCATATCCTACTCTAAACTTCAGCTTGTCTCATTTGCCATTCATGACACATATGATTTCCATTTGATTAAAAAAAATTACTAATTTTTGTTTGGTGCTATTGAGTTATTACTTTTTGTTAGCCTCTAAACATTTATTACAGTGAGGTGTGATGTATAAAGAGTGGAGAGGAATGAATATGTGTTCTCTATTTGCTACGCTAAATTGTTTATTTTTTTAAATAGTTGTAATAGCCATTTTGTTAAATTTACTAGGCAGAAATTTATTTCTATTTTGTAATTTTTTTTCTTGTAAAAGTCAGGTTTCATTAAAAATCAAGTTTCTAAAAGGTGCCAGGCCCTGTGGATTGTAGATTCTGATGTATTATAGATCTGGTGCATAAGGCAAACAATTTAATTTTTAGAAAAAAGCAAAGGAAACATACTTGTGACATTGAAATGGTTAAATATTTCTTAATCCAACAATAAAAAGTGTCAATCAGAAAAAAGATAATTTAACCTATATAGACTCTGTAAATGTTGATAATCATAACACTGTTAAGAGAGTTGAAAGGCAACCCACATCATGGAAATAAATACTTAAGAGTGCATATAGATTAAAGAAATACAAATCATGACAAAAAGAAAAGTGGGCTAAAATATTTGAACAAATTCTTATGAAATAAGCCATCCAAATAGGAGAAGAAGAAAGAGGAGGAAGGAAAGGAGGAAGAGGAGAATAAAGAAAATCAGATTATCTCATTAATCTCTAGAAGGTACAAATTAACACCATAATGAGATGCATTGCTCACTTATTCGAATGGCCAAATTGAAACAAACACATTTTGATGAGGACATGGAGAAAAAGGAAATGCATACTCTGCTGGTGGGAGAATAAGTTGTAAACCACTTTGGAAAAGCGTTGGCTATGTCTCTACTAAAGTTAATCATATGCACATTCTAAAACCCAGCAATTCAATTCCCGGGTATATACCTAAAATTACTATTTTTTAATTAAAAGGTATGTATTGAATGCTCACGGAAGCTCTTAACAGCCCCACCCGGAGATAATTCAAATACTCTAGTATAAAATGGATTTTTTTTAAGTATGGTATATTCACAGGATACATTAATATGCAGCAATGAAAACAGATAACCTAAAATTACATGCAAAAATATGAAAGAATCTCACAAATATGACACTGAAAAAAGAATACAAACACAAAAATCTGTGTTTTATGTAATTCTGTGAATATATTGTTCATATAAACTAAAAAAATTATGTTAATAGGCAAAATTCATCTATGCTGTTAGATGAAGAACATTCTTGGGTGGAGATAGGGGCTTTTTGGAGGATTTTCTAGTTGTTCATCTTGGTGCTGGTTTCACAAATATTTTCAACTTATAAAAATTCATTGACATTTTATATATAATTTTCATTATGTTTATGATACTTTAATAAAAAGTTTAAAATATAACAATTTAGCAAGGGTAGAAAGAGGAGGACACAGTTAATGATGAGGTAAATTTCATTTTGTATTCATAATTGTTGAAATGTGTATTGGGTAACTAAGAGTTCACTCTACTATTCTTCCTACTTTTGTGTAAAATGAAATCTTTTCATAACAGAAAAGGTAAAACATAGGTAAAAAGTTAAAATGAAAGAACAACTTCCTACCTGCAGATATATTGCTAGATCTGAGATTAATACCACCATAAAGTAACCTCTGAAAAGTTGACATATTTGAGCACGATGTTCACTGATTCAACTAAAGTGCCTAGAACAGTGCGTAGCCTATAGTAGGCACACAATAAGCATTTGCTAAGTGAAATAATGATTGAACCTGAAAGGCCACTCTAGGGTTGAAGAGGGAAAGCTTCCTTTTTTCCCTCTGAAGTTTCCCTAAAAATGAACCGATGAAAGGCAGATTAACAGGAGAAAAAGGCAACCAAAATTTATGTAACGTGTACAGGGGAAAACCACAGGAGAGTGATTATTCCATAACCAATCAGATCTGGATGCTAATGTACACGTACCTTTCTTCATAAGGGAAGGGGAGAGGGGAAATGTGGCAACGTTGAGCGGTGGTAATAAGTTTTAGGAGGAACAAATGGGCCTGGCACTCATACAATGGTTAGGAAATGAATATCTTTGAGAACTGAATGGGCCTGGAGGAAACAGACAATGGCTCATGACAAAATCTGTCCAGGTGAGGTTACATTCCTCAGTCTCCCTTCCTGTGACATGAGTTCAGTTTTGAAATCTGAGGGAAGGGACAAAAGGTAATTGTTTTCTTCTTTGGCACTTCTGACCCTTCTGCAGAGAAGGGAAAAATTCTTCTAGCATCTGTTGGTGTCCAAGGGCATTTTATTCAAAATACTGTGCATACCAGGGTACCATATTTTGGAGTGGCAGCCCTTGGATTTCTTCACCATATAGTTGAGGTAATTACATTGCAGAAATAAGACATAATAAAAATCTCCAACTCTAAATTTGGAGATTGTGGTTGTGTTGTATAAGTGCAAAAAAAGATAAAATCTGGCTTTAGTTTATTCTGGCTCTATACTCTTCCTCTCTTAGAAGTCCAAATCACTTCCTTAAGCAAACCAAGGTCCCTGGTATGAAAGTAACAATGTTTGTCTTTTCTGTGAGGCAAATGTCTTTGCTTAATAATCTCATCCATTCCACTCATTTCTTTGTACTTTCTTCTATCATAAACGAGCCCTTTCCTTCCAGGTAGCCAAGAGTATGTTTTATTTAAACCTAGATGACAGGTTGATGGGTGCAGCAAATCACCATGGCACGTGTATACCTATGTAACAAATCTGTACGTTCTGCACATGTATCTCAGAACTTAAAGTATAATAATAAAATATAATAATAATAAAACAAAACAAACAAAAAACCCTAAAATGGCTATATGGTACTTCAAAGAGATAGATGAAGGAAAATGACACAAGGAGGTTAAAAATAAAGGAACGATAAAAACTGTAAGATTCAAAAAAAAGGAAAGTGAACTGGGGAACAGGGAGAATGGCTACTAGGTGTGTTTTCTTTCTCCAAGAAACAATGTATTTAGAAACAATATATTGCTTGGCTTTATCCTCAAAGTAATCTTGAGGAAAAGCATTTAGAAAACAAGTCCAGAGAAGACTACACACACACACACACATACACATGCACACACACTCACACACACACACACAAATACTCTGAGTAGCCAGTTCCAAGGAGTGAATGCATATTTGACTTTCCATACTACAGTTGATTGTTGAACAACGCAGGAGTTAGAGGCGCCACCCTACCCCCACTCCTGCAGTTGAAAATCCATGTATAACTTTTGATTCCTCAAAAGCTTAACTACTAATAGCCTACCCTTAATGGGAAGTCTCACTGATAACATAAATAAATCATGAACACATAGTTTGAATGTTATATGTATTATTTACCGCATTCTTCCAATAAGCTGGGTGAAAGAAAATGTTAAGAAAATGATAAGGAAGAGAAAATATATTTACAATACTGTACAGTATTTATTGTTACATTAATACATGTTACATTACAAACCCTTTGTTTGAAATGGTGGGCAATGACCACTTCAGACCTCAATCTACAGTCCGTATCAAGCAATTCAAATTGATCTTGTAACGTCATGACTTTACGCCGCTTCTTGGGAGTATTTCCAGCATCACTAGAAGTGCTTCATATGGGTCCCCTGGTGTTATTCAAGGTTTATGGTATTGCACTAAACACGACGAAAAATACATAAGAACAGTGAGAGATACTTTTTACTGTGATACCCAACTTACTGGAGAGAGGAGCTGAGTAACACAAAGATGATTAATGTAACAAGACATTTTAAGCGAATACTTGAAGCATTTGAGCTCACCAGGATAGCAACAAGAGGTGGCTACGAAATTATTATAGTAATGCAGTATGCACAATTACAATCAAGCTAATAAAAGCAATGTATCATTTCATTTTCTAAAATGAAATCCTAAGTTGTAAAATACTTCTACAGGCTTTAAAATAAGAAAAAAATCAGATTATTAAATATTAAAGACACATTAGTTATTAGTTGTGCTTTAAAATAAGTATCTGAAATTTTCAAATTCACTTTTTAAAAAAGCCTGAGTTCCATTCACACTTATATAGGACAAATGAGTTTACTTTAATAAAGATTCCTTTTGGGTATGCTTTTAAGCAACATTTTGTATTGATGCAGGACAGTTGGCCAACAGTAATTGGTAGCAGCATTTTACCACCCAATTTGTTTTACAGTAGAAGCACTAACTTCAGAGTCCAGATTTTGCATCTTTCATAAAATAGGAAATCTGATTCAATGACTTAAGGAAAGGATAAGTTGAAGCTTGGTTTTGATATACGCAAGCCTTCTTACACAAGCCAGTCTTGTCTCCATACAATCCATTCTCCTGATTGAAACAGAGAGTGAGCATTCTAAAATGTAAATTTGCTTAAATTACAATCTGACATTAAAACACTGCACTGACTCCCTATTTCCTTTAGGATAAAGTCCCCAGTCATTTCTGAAGGTTCTGAAGGTTCATTTATCCTCCGTCCTGTGCATACCCCTTCAGTATTGTTTTTGAGGACTGCCTTTCTCACATTCTACTTCAGCTCTCTGTATGTGTTATCCTCTCTTTTATCTTCAACACGTGCAGTCATCTTTGTCTGATATTTCCACACTCAATTCTATCACAGTGTAGCCTTCCAAATTCGAACTTACTTTTCTCATAAGACTTCCCTGACTTTTTAATATTAACTTAATATCGCCTCCTAAGATTTCCACAGCATACATATTTTAGTAATTATCCAGGTTACATGTTTCTGTTACAACTGCCTATTGGCTTATCTCTCTCCACCATTTCTCTAAACCCTTCCTATTAAGAATATGGGTTATCTTTTTTTGGTAATCATGCACAAAGTATTTAACACAATGTCTATCTCACAATACATTCTCAATAAATAACTGTTGAAACAACATATGAACAAGTTATGAGAAACAAAGTCATCTTTTGTTTAAATCCTGAAAACACGTCATAAACAGTGCAAGGGTAATTCTATATTATTGTAAATATTCTCCACCCTGAAGGATTCAGAACTTACTTATTTTCACTCCCGACAAAACGTACTTTTCCAAGTTAAACTTGTAATATCCACATCTCCAGTTCTCTTAAAATTTACATACTAGCCTTTACTTATAATTTTCCCCTATATTGAACTTGCTATTAAATGACTTATATGGCTATTTCTCAAAATCCCCCCTTAAAGAGATAGAAACAAGAAATATTTGACCAGCCACAGTTAAGTTTAAGAAAGAGGAATGATTTTTCAAATTCTCTGGCTTCTGTTTTCCTACTCAAAGTCACATGAATGTTTTGCCACCTAAGTATTTGTTACTTTATTTTAATGTTTGCAGATGTCAAATACAATTTGGACCTCTGTTCAACAAATAATTTATGGTTGGGGACTCTTTTTAGATGGTAAAGTTTCCTCCTGTGTATAGCTAGCACTGACAGTTATTCTGAACAAAAGCAAACAACCACCTGAAAGTCCCTGAAAGAACTGGTCCAATAAACAGAAGATAGCTAACACATCAGTGGAGGGCATTAGAGCATCATTAAATTGAATTTGTTGCAGGGAAAGAATTGTCTGTATAACTGTCATCCAAAAGTGCATCTCTCCTTGACAAAATCCAATTATGTCAGGAGAACTAGCTAAACATGCCTAATTTCAAAACTGAAAGAAAACTGCAAAAGGCTATAGAAATTATCTGGTTGGACTTCTATATAGAATAGAGCTTGTTTGGGCTTATAAGAAAGTACTTCAGAACATCCAAGCAACCCTGTCCATGGCCTTCCTGTGACTATACTATTAATGGTTAAAACTGCATTCGCAGTCTAGAGATAAAGCAAAATTTTAATTAGGAAATAAAATTATATTTTCTTTGAAGTAAGCATACTAAGAAAAAAAGAAAGAAGGAAAAGAAGGAAGATGAAAGAAAGGAAGGAAGAGAGAAAAAAGGAATGAAGGAAGAAAGGAAGGAAGGGAGGGAGGGAAGGAGGGAAGGAGGGAAGGAGGGAGGGAAGAGAGATAAGGAGGGGACAAAACCAGATTATTTCTCCCAAGGCCTATTTGACAAATGGTACTTTAAATACATGATGCCTTTGACACACATTTCTTTGCTCGTCTAATAGCCTTTGCCTACAATGATATCTATTTTTCCTTTTCCTTCATGTAATAAACAGTCTGACTCCAACTGTGATGTTTGACTGCTGACAGCTTTCAAGCAGCACCCTGTCTCTCATCCTGGGCTCCACATCTGGGCAGGGTGATAAGAAAGCCTGGGTGTTCTTTTCCTTGGTGCCAGTGGGAAGTTCAAAACACACAAGCCTCTGCTGATATGGAAGAACATCCATCCCAACTCCAACTCCTAGCCACCATAGTAACCCTATGCCATCCTCTTTTCCCAGTTCTCAAACCATTTCAGACCTGCTTCAGAGGCCTGCCCTACCCTGCCCTAGAAAGCCTCATTATGTGAGTGAAAACCATTTTCATACCCTCTTGGTGGGTGTGTGAATTCATGAATCTTAACTTACAAACCAATGTTTGGGTGAACACAAAATCTCATGTATTATATATGTATAAATGGAAGTCATAGTATTAATGCACCACAAGACTGTGAATCTACAGAATGCATTTCAAATAGGGGTGAGAAATAACCAGAATGAATTTTTAAAAATTAAATAACAGACTCTGTTCACTGAAGAAAGAAAATGTGTCACACAGATTCAAGAACAAATAAATCAATGTTGCTTTATCATGAAATAAATAGTAGTGAGAACTGTATAATATTCAGTACTGTCAATAAGTTCAGCTGTTTACAAGGCAAAAGTGGGAGGTATATAAAAAGACCTGAAGCAGACAGAAACTGTATAATGTCCCAGGTTTATTTTACGTACTGAAAAGATATCAAAGTGAAGATATATCTCACAATGGGAAGAACACATTTCTGGAACGTGATTTATAAATTATTATAGCATTGTATTGTAACATATTTTCATTGATTTCTAATATAAAATAGAAGATAAACTCTGTGGGGAAAAAAGTTCACTGGCCAGGCTCGGTGGCTCATGCCTGTAATCCCAGCACTTTGGGAGGCCGAGGTGCGCGGATCATCTGAGGTCAGGAGTTTGAGACCAGCCTGACCGACATGGAGAAACATCGTCTCTACTAAAAATGCAATATTAGCCAGGCATGGTGGCGCATGCCTGTAATCCCAGCTACTCAGGAAGTCTGAGGCAGGAGAATCACTTGAACCTGGGAGGCGGGGTTTGCGGTGAGCCGATATCGCGCCACTGCACTCCATCCTGAGCAATAAGAGCGAAACTTGGTCTCGAAAAAAAAAAAAAAAGAAAAAAAAAGTTCACCCACATACTGATTTAAAAAGTATCCTGTCCTGTTCTGTCCTGTCCTGTCCTGTCCTGTCCTATCCTATCCTTTTATTTTTTGAAACAGTCTCACTCTATTGCCCAGGCTGGAGTGATGTGGTGTGATCTTGGCTCACTGCAACTACTGCCTCCCAGGTTCAAGCAAGTCTCATGCCTCAGCCTCCCAAGTAGCTGGGATTACAGGTGTGCACCACCACATCCAACTAATTTTTGTATTTTTAGTAGAAATGGGGTTTTACCATGTTAGCCAGGCTGGTCTTCAACTCCTGACCTCAGGTGATCCGCCCTCCTTGGTCTCTCAAAGTGCTAGGATTACGTTCCTGAGCCACCAGGCCTGACCATAAAAAGTTGTTTAAAATAATTAACTCAAGATGGAGAAAAAGTTAATATTTTTCTCAGGATTGACAACTAATTACACCTCAATGGCAGCTTTTAAAATTTACATATAATAAATGAAGTATAATTTACATATAATAAAATTCACACAAGTTAAGTCAACAATTTGATGAGTTTTAACAAATGTTTACACATAGGAAGCCCAGGACCAATCAAGATATAAAATATTTATGTCACCCAGAAAGTATTCTCATGCCACTTTGCAGCCAATCCATATCCTAAATTCCCTCCAGGAAATCAGATCTGACTTTTTTTTTACCCTAGAATTACTTTTATATTTTATTGACACTTACATACATAAAATTGTACTGTATGTAAGCTTTTGTATATGGCTCATTTTGTTCATGTTTTTGATACTCATCCAATTTGTTTCATTATTTTTTATTGCTCTGTAGCATTCCATTGTAATAATGTACAACAACTTTTTATTCATTCATCTCCAGTGGATATTTGGGTTCTATCACTTTTTGGCTCTTATGAATAAAGCTGCTATTCATGTGCAAGTTTTTAACTGCAAGGTCAGAAGATTTTTCTCATACCTTTTTCTTCTAAAGGTTTTTATATTTTTTGCTTTTATATTTAGGTTTATTGTCTAATACAAATTAATTTTCTCTATAGTGTGAGGTAGAGATCAATATTCATTATTTTTCCTTTTAGAAATTCTTCTGCTTTAACAGCATTTATAAAATACATATCTATTGTCATTGGATTACTTTGGTGTCTTTTTACAAAAAACAATGAACATATATATAGTTAGTGTATTTATGGGCTTTATTCTATTTCATTGAACTCTTGTTTATTCTTACACAATTATCACACAGTGTTGATCAGTGCAGCTTTCTAAAACCCTTGAAATCACATAGTTCTGTGTATTTTTTTCAAAACTTTTTGGCTATTCTTCTATGTTTGCATTTCCAGATAAATTTAAAAACTAATTCTAGTGTCCATAAAATTACTTTAGATGATTTTGATTGGCATTGTGTTCAATATATATGGATCAACTTGAAGAGACTAGATATCTTAATAATATTAATCTTCCAATTTATGAACATCATATAACATCATTTATTTACATAGGCTTTAATTTTTCTCAGCAATGTTTTGTCATTTTAAGTGTGAAAGTCTTGAATAATTTTCTTTACAGTTATTCCTAAATTATTACATTATATACTTTTGTAAATGAAACTGCTAAATTCACCTAATAGTTCTTGTTGCCTCTTTGTAGATTATGTAGGATTTCCTACTAAAAAATCTTACCATCTACAAATAGCAACAACTTTAATTCTTTTCCTCCCATTTTTATGTAGTTCATTCTTATTATTACCTTATTGTACTACCTACTACCAACAGCACAACTTTGAGTAGAGGTAGAGAATGAACATCCTTGACTCTTCCCATTTTATGGGAAAAACATTTAATATTAACCATTAAGTATAATATCAGCAGTACGTTTTTGATATACATCCTTCATCAAATTGAGGAAATTCCATACTATTCCTAGTTTGCTGACAGTTTTTGTCACGGATGAAATTGAGTTTTGTTAAATACTTTTCCTGTTTTCACTGAATTGATCAAATGATTTGTCTCATTTATTATATTTATGGGGTGAATTGCATTAATTGATGTTTAAATATTGAAACCACTTTTGCCTCCCTGGACCTCCCTCCTCCTCTTGGTAGTGATACATTACGCTTTTTTATTTTATTTTATTTATTTATTTATTTATTTATTTATTTATTTATTTATTTAAGATTGCTGTGCTAAAATCTTAGTGAGGAGTTTTGTTGATAAGGGATCTAATTTTATCAATAATTTCAAATAGTAAATTGTTGGCTTGGATAATTTTCTCTTTTAATGTTTGTTTTCTTGTTCATAATTTGTTCTTCTACCTTTAACATATTAAAGTATAAACTTATGTCATTGACTTTTTTTCCTCCAAGGACTCTTCTAGATTTATACCATAAAGTTTCATATGTTGTGTTTGCACTGTCATTTAATTGAAAATACTGTGTTTGCTTGTAATTTCTTCTTTGATCCATGTGCTATTTAGACAAGCACAGTTTAAATGCAAATATGTGAGGATTTTCCCATTATTATTTTTGTTATTGAATTCCTTTAATCCTTGATGGCCAGAATCAAACAATATATGATTTCTATATATATAATATAAAATATATATTCTATTTTATCGAGGAGATCTGCGGCAAACCCAAGATTTACCCAGTTTCTCTCTACGTTGGCAAGACTCCAATCTAAACTCTGTTTCTCCTGTGGATTTTGTTGAGGCATGGTTTTAAATTTTCACAGGGCAGGTCTAAAATAGACCTTCCTCTAGAACATGGTTGTTAACTCCTTAGGCATGTATATTCCATCATCTTAGTTGCATGCTCAGAGTGCTAAAATGTTCTCTTCACTCTGACTAAACCAGAATTCTACCATCTCCACGAGTTGCTCAAATTCTAGTATCTCTTGTGTTCCTGGCTCTGTAGCAACCACTTTCTGGTAGACCTGACATAATCTCACTCTTTGCATGCACAACTCTACCTTTGGTGAAGAATTCATGGCCATCCTTCTCCTATGGTTTCACACACACTTCCTATGTAGTTCCCTGCTCTCCAGTGCTCTGCCCATTAGATTCCAGCCACTTCAGCCATTCTGAACTCTGAGGTCCCCAGTTCAGCAGACCCACCATATTTTATTCTATTCTAGCTCTCTGTCTGCAGCCATGAAATTGTCTCCATGCAGAAGAAAAGGAAGGGAGAGCATGGGTTCCATCTCATGAATTCTCCTTCTCTAATTGGTCACAGTTTTGCTTTACCTGTTGCCTAACACCGGAAAATCGCTGCCTTAAATTCTTTCTCTCAGTTTTATGGCTTTTTTCTTTTGTAAGAAGACTAGTCCAGTGTCAGTTATGTTATTACTTCATTGGGACCAGAAGTGAAAGTCTGCTTAATTGAATTTGTTTTAAATTCTTGGCTCACCATCTTCCATCAATTTCAATTTTCTTTAAAATATATGAAAATTCATATTGTTGCTATATATTCTTATCTCCTTAAATGACTCTTATAGAAATAATTCAAAGTAGGAAATTTATGTATTTTTCTAATTTAAAATGATTTACAAGCCTATGTCTTCAATTCTAAAGTTCAGTACTCTATCCTAAACATCTTTAATATAAAATAAATGTATTTTATCTCCTCTAACTCTCCATAAGTAAACTACAAATCAATAATCTTGAGGGTCCTCAAGGAGAAGTGAGAAAGGATTCTATCCTGTGTTGAATATCATTTGTATTACATGAAAATAAATTTATTTCCCTGGTTCCATTAGGCTTATCCGTATAAAAATGTTGTACAAAGCTATTTATGTACATTTTGTCACTGAGATTCTAAAATTTTTCATGATATAATAAGCACAAAATTAATCCCCAAATTTCCCTTCTAGCCATGGATTTCATCTCAATTGAATTTTATATGCTACAGAAGTGTCAGCAGTGCCTAAGTAAAAATGTATCTAAACCTCTCCAGAATACTAGCAGAGTGATTTATTCATAAGTGTTTTTTGTTTTGTTTTTTTCTTTCAACATCTTCCCTAACTAAGGAAACATGTGAAAGAATTGTGAAAGGAGTCTTATATTGTCAGGGAATCAAAATTTTTTGAAGTACAGCTTTAGTCAAAAGATAGTTTTGCTGTGAAAAGAACAAAAGAGAAAAAGAGAGAGGTTCTGCCTGAAATGTATTAGCAATAGAGACCCGACCTTCCAACAATCTCTGAGCAGGAGAAGTTATTATGCAAATTGATGTGTCCAGCTGTTGTTCTTTTCCATGGTGGATAAAATAAAAGGAAATAGGCTCAGATTGCAGCATGGGGGATGTAGGTTTGGCAGCTCTGCAAATGGCCCTTTGCCTGTTAGCCTGAGGAAAGTGACAACTGATTGCCGGAGGGAATTAAGAAATACTGATTTCACTATTAATATATGGTTTCTCCACCCCTAGTTGGAACACAGACCAGTTAATACTCAACTGTTATAATACTGTATTCAACTTAACATGTAATGTAGAACTTTTATATACAGTAAAGAACATAGACAAAATTTTATAGATTTTTTTTAAAATTTGGAATTACATTCTAACAAACAGAAAGTCTTCTCTACCTCCTTGATTTGATGGACAAAAAAAGTACTTGGGTTAAATAATTTTGACTCCTAAATAGGGCAGCAATTGAAGTAGAAATAGATGATCCATACACAGGAACTTAGGCTTTTTCAATAATTTTTGACCTATATTATCTCACATGTTCTTTTATTCCCATTTTACAGAACAGGGAACTGGGTCCATGAAAGATGGGTCACTTGGCCCAGTGGGTATTAGCAGATCTTGGAATAATACTATATCGACATGGGTCTCCTCTTGCTCAATCTAATGATCTTCCCCCAGAAGCTTCCTGGTGCTCTCTCACTCATGCGACGATGTTCAACTCTAAATTTCCTTTGGAGAGTACCAACGGACTTGACTGGTAAAGCCAATCACAGTGCTTGTCATACCCTCAGACCCCTCTAGAAACTCTTCTTGGGAACTGGAGGCTAAAAGTATGAGAAAATAAATCAGTTGCAGATTCTGCTGGAAAGCTTAGGAGACATGACAACCTGGAGTCAAGAGGAAGGAGAAGCTATGGATATTCAGAATAAGATATGCAACAGATAAAGAATCACTGATTACAGAGTGAGAAAGCAGATGGTATTTGAATAGCAGGAAGTAACACTGAGAGAGAGAGAGAGAAAAAAAAAACCAGGCAAATGGAATAATGCAGCAGTGCAGGTTAAACACAGAACACTAAGAGGATCAGAGATCTTTTGCTCCTAAGATTCCGCTCATAGCTTTGATTCTGAATGTCTTCCCAGGGGAACTCTCCTTGGGGAAGGCTTATGATTCCCATTCTTTCTAAAAGCAGGCTACCCGTACTCCCTTGCCTTGTGCTTTTTTCTGAATATGCATGGTTGACATGTTTCTGGCTACTTGGGTGTACTTATCTTGCCAATGCCCCTACCAGCACTCAATATTTGAGGTTTCTTGAATATTATTGGTGTTTTGTCATTAAAAGACTTCAAGCAAGTGATATCAGAAAGCACTGACATCAGCGGCTGACAGAGTTAGTGCTGACAACTGAGAACAGAAATGTTTGGGGAAAATAATTTAAAATAATACTAAAATTAATGATGTTCAGTTCTATCAAGTCATTCAGTTAGTATTTAGATGTATACATGGTTGTGAAATAAACGTATGCTTCTGAGATGAGAGAGTAAACAGATGGATTTTCCTACATATATCTTATTTTTTGACATCCTAGGACAGTTATTTATGATCAGCATTGCAAGATTTAATCTTTATTTTAATTGTTTAAAATACTTCATCTTTGTATTCCTGGCTAGCTAGAACAGAAGTACCTTGAGGTAAAAATTCTGTAGTGTGCTTTCCTTAACTTATAGCAGTATCTTTGGAAAATTCACTGACCAAATTCAGGAAGTTTACTTTTTACTGAGTACCATCATGTTACAGGCAAAGTACTGAGTGCTTTATACTGCTTGGCATTTGATTTAATATTCATAAAAACCTTATTAATGATGTGTTTTTACACACAAGAATATGGTGTCTCAGAATGACAAGTGATATGCTGCACCACGATTTGGATGTATTAATAGCAGAGCTAGAATTTGAAACCAGCATCTCTGATTTAGCAGCTGCTGATATTTTCACCACTCAACGCTAGCTCCTATCAATTCATCGATTCATTCATACAACGCAAATGTGCGAAATATAGCTCCGTGCCAGGCACCGGCCTAGGAACTAGAGATGCAGTGCTGAACAACAACAAAAACAAGACTCCCAGCCATTCTGGAACTCCTACTCTGAGTCTTGACCTTTATGGTTCAGGGATTGTCCCCAAATCAGTAATCTCTATTCATTTCTTCACCCTTATCTTCAATATATAAAATCCAATGTGCAAGGTTACTATGTTGCATATACAAAATTAAGTGTCTAGTCTCTTCAGTTTTCCTTATACAGCCATATGCTTCTGATCCATCAAAAAGTTTCATTCCCAGGGTAAAGGAGTAGACTTTCCCTGAAGTCAGTAAAGGGAAATACACATCCAACCGACCCAGATATGGTAGATCATTTTTTTTCCAGAAGATACCATGGGTTTCAGTAACAAACTTCATTATTTCCAGACTACATTGTGAAATTAATTTTAATTAGCAAAACCCTCTTTTATGAGTTGAATTATGTCCTACCCAAAAGATATGTTGAAATCCTACCCCCTAGTACCTCAGAAGGTGAGCTTAATTGGAAATAGTTGCTGATGCAGATGTAATTAGTTAAGATGAGTTCATACTATAGTAGGGTGGGCCCCTAAACCTGTAGGATTGGTGTCCTTAAAAGAAGAGGAAAAACTTGGACACAGAGATGCACACACGGAAGACGACGGAAGAAACACAAGCAGAAGAATGTCATGTGGTGATGGAGGCAGAGATTGGAGTGATGCATCTACAAGCTAAGGATTACCAAGGACTTCAAATACAGAAACCTAGAAGAGACAAGGAGGGATTGTCTCCTAAAGTTTTAGGGGGAGCATAAGCCTGCTAACATTTGGATCTCTGCCTTCTAGCCTCCAGTATTGTGAGACAATAAATTTCTGTTGTTTTCAGCCACCAGTTTTAAGTAATTTGTTACTTGGTCTTTGAAATTGAATACACCTTTATACTTCTTTTTCTTTTTCACACTCTCTTTTCTCTTTCTCCTTTTTCCTCCTTTCTACTTTTCTTATTCCTCTACTCCTTCTTGTTCTTTTCTCTCATCTCTCACTAACCAGTGGCAAGAATTTTTTAAAAAATTACTTAAGTCACCATGTCTTCCAACTTAATTGATTTCCCAGGTCTGACATAATCTTAGCTGTTACCTTGCAAAAGCCACTGTCTGAATTATTTGATAAAGATCCCCTTTTATCCATGAATGCCAATGAATGCTTGAAAGGTTCAGAAACTCTCCCCTCAGTCTATGATGTTACAAAATACATGAATTGCTGGCAAAGTCTTGGAGCAATGTTGCTGCTCCATTTGGAGATGCTGAAGCATCTGTTTCATTGATCCTCTGGCATCTTTATGTCTTCAAAGACATGCAATATTCTTCCTTAAGGGAGTTGTTACAGTGCACTGCAAACAATTAGCAAGTCTCAGGACATGTGAACATGTGGATGCTTACCAGTCCCAGGTAGATGGGGTATTTTTCCTTGGTACTCAGTGTCACAACTAATCATATTTTGCCTCTCATAGAAGCACTGGGCCACTTCAGGAAGCGATTTTTCTACTCCAGATAATCACACTGCCCTGCTGGCTATGCAAATAATCTAGTATAGAACATCCTTCTTGAAAACCTTTGCTCAAGGAAATGTTATTTTAAGACCTGATTTTGTGCAACTAAAAAGGAACACTTGTCATTGACTATTTCCTTCTTTTAACATCTCAGCTTGCAAAGTTTTCTTGGTTACTTTGCCCTTTTATGTCAGGAACAATAATGAACAAGAAGAAAGCACAAAAACATTAGAGAAAGCTCACTTCATTTTTCAGGTCAATGCAGTTTTAAATGTATAATACACTTTTCAAAATAGGAATAAATAATATTTTCTAAGAAAGTGTATGTACTTTATGTAACAAATAATTATAAAGTGTTTTTATTATTCCTAGGGACCATAAAAGAGACAAGCTGGGAATATTATAATCTATTTCCTTAACACGTTTTCAGTCTAGCAGAGGAAGCAAGCACATACACAGATGACTACCTTTCATGCACAGCATATACAGGGCAGGCTGAATGACACATTGGAAAAATGTGCAGGCTCTGAAGTCACATTATCTAGGTTCAAATCCTGGCTCAGACATTTGCAAACCTCTAATCGTGAGCAAATTACTTAAACTTCTAAACTTCAGTATTCTCACTGGTCACTAAGTCCCCAGTCATGAGGCCATTTTGAGGGCCCTACAAGTTAATTTCAACATAAAGCGTTGGCATTGTTCCAGGCACATTGGGAGCCCTTAGAAATAGTAAGTTTTTATTCTACAAGAGGAAAAGATTTGGGCAAAGAGACTGAATAAAAGTAGCCTATTACAATAGGAATGCTGTTGTGGAATATTAACAATCTGGAAGCTATTCAACTTTGGCTGTGCTGAGTAGCTTCACAAATCTGTTCAACTCTCTCTACAGAGACCAACTAGTGACAACAACCAAAGAAGGAGGAAAAAAAAAAAAGAACTACAGGACATATGAAACAATGACTTAAAAAGAGGCAGTGACATTCTCACCACCTGCCCTGTTGTCTCCTGAGGTATCAGCAGCTGCTCCAAGGAGAACACTATCTATGTCATACATGGCAATTGCTTGAATGATTTTCTACAGAGACTTGCTATTTTTCTGTTGACAAGGCATATTGAATTGATCATTTGGCATTATATCATATTCAATTTACTGTCTCATAACACTTTGTTTTATATAAGGTGCTGTGTGCCAGAGGGCTCTGATGATGTTGAAAATGTATCACTTCAGTCACTCACCTCTACTGCTAATCTTTTTTGCTGCCAGCTTTTTAAACTTGAATTAATTTGGCAACTTAGCTGTGAAGTAAGCGTAGAAAATTTACTTTTGAACATAGGTAAAGCCAGCTGGAAGCTGAGGTGTAAGGTAAAAGAATGTACTTTGTTGGAGTTTGTTATACCAGATTTTTACCATTTGTTAATATAAACTTTTTAAAGAATAAACTATTTTAATAAAGTTTTAGATTCATGGAAAAGCTATGAAGATAGTTCAGAGAGTTACTATACATCTAACAGTTTCCCCTACTGTTAGCATCTTATATTGTGTATGATACATTTGCAGCAACTAATGAACTAATATTGACGCATTGCTATTAACTACAGTCCATACATTTTCAGATTTCCTTAGATTTTTCCTAATGTTCTTTTTTTATTCTAGCCTGTGACCCAGGATACACATTATGTTTAGTGACCATGTTTCTTCATACTCCTTTTGGCTGAGACAGTTTTTTACACTTTCCTTGTTTTTAATGACCTTGGCCAGCTGAAGTACTGGTCAGGAATTTAATAGAATTTCCTTAATTTTAAAGTATTTTTCTCATGACGAGACTGAGAATTTGGGGATTTGTGAGGAGGACTACAGAGCTAACATTCTATGCTCACCATCATATCATATCAAGTGTGCATGCCATCAACAAGACTTAGCATGTCAACCCTGATTCCCTGGTTAAAACAGCGTTTGTCAGGTTTATACATTGTAAAGTTTCCCTTTTCTTCTTCTTTTCCATACTTCATTCTCAGGAGGGACGTCAGTTAACTTGTATGAATTTCTGCTCCATCTCCTTGAGGGTAGAGTGTCTACACAAATTATTTGGAATTCTTTAATGCTTGATATTTGTCAAACCCCCCCATTTACTTATTTATTCAATTATTTACACCAATATGGACCTAAAGATATTTATTTTATACTTTGGGTTATAAACCAATGCTATGCTATTTATTTTACAGCTTAAATTATTTTAGCTTTGGCCATTGGGGTTCATTGAGTTGGCTCTTATATCCCTTTTACATCCCCTCATCATTGTGGGTTGTTTAGTTTTCAGAAATTTTTGAAATACTTCCTTACTTTCTGCAAATACAAGATACTCAACAATCATCTTGCCCCAGACCCATAATTGGCCATTTCTCCAAGAGGAACTTGTTCCGCTTATGGGGGAATACTCTTAGATAGTGAGATCTGACTATTGGGTATGCTCACTGCTCTTGGAGTGTCATTGCTTCCGATACCAGCCTTTTTGCCAATTGCACTTCCTCATAATTCCCTAGGATCTCATGGACCTCAAAATGCCCAGGTCCCCACACTCTAGCAGCTCTGAACAAGCTAGCCATTGGATAGCAGGGCAGAACCATCTTTTCCCCTTCCCCAAATGAAAAGTTATTTACCTGTGTCCAGTTTCTTCACTGCCCTTGCAATCAGCTTCCTAAGATAATTAGTGATTTAAAACTTGGACAGAATCTTACAGTTGATTTTAAATAAGTGTTTGTTACATTGAATTGAATCTGATACTCTAATTCCCATTAAATTGTCAACAACCAATAATGAATGAAAGTGTTACTATTCACACAGGACAATTGAATTTTTGGTAGAAAGTATCTGAAAACACAGCCATGGCTCAAATAAATGACACCAAAAGGTAGCAGATGCTCAGGAAGATGTATATGCAAGGAAGCAACCCTCAGTGCAATGATTTCTGATCTAGAATCTTGAAAAATTAAAAGGATATGGAAAATCCTATAATACATCAAACAAAATTAGAATAAACATTGTTTTCAGAAATTTGGGTGGGTATATATATGTGCCAAGTCATTATGTTCATCACATCACAATTCACATGTTTACGAGGCTATTTTTTTCATAATTTTATGTAAGCATAAAGAAGATATTAGAAATCTGGAAGATTTCTATGCCAAATCCTAATTTGGCAAATCAAATAATTTCTGTTCCATGTTTTTTCATTTCTTTGGAAACATTCAGCATCATTCATAAGGGCAGTGGCATGTCATACTCGTCAGTTTTTCTTTGCTGTGGTCTGCTCTTATGGATATGGAAAAGTAAAATCAATCTGTGAGAGGAACCACATTCTTTGCTTCTACTTCCAGGCTTATTATCTTTATTAAGTGACATTCCCATCCATCAGGTAAGCCGTAAGAAAATTAAGTGTGTGGGTTTAGCTTTATACATAATTCAAGTTCTGTCATTCGTAACTGTGAAGCTTTAGCCCAATAACCTCAGTTGACTCATTTGTAAAATGGAACTAATGATACTATGTACTGGTAGGGTTGTTGTAATCGCTAGGAACATTTAGTAGGGCGTGCATTCAGTAAATATTGTAAGCAAGTCAGTATTTTGTAAACTACAGATGACAACTTCTGAGTGAATCATGAAGTCAATTGAATGAGCTGTCGAAACATTAAAATAATAGAATTATTTTATAAACAGCATGACTAACAGCATACTTAACAGCTCAACAGAGTACACTCAAGTAGTTAGAGTAAATTTAATATCCAAAACTTTTGTTCTGTGTGCATGCATGCTTGTGTGTTTCTGTGTGTCTGTGTATGTGTGTGTGAGACTGTTATGTCTGTGTATAAGAACTAAGTCATTAGTTAAAATGCATTTCCTACTAATGGTCATGATAAGAATTATTTGAAATTCCAGACAGATGCTTCTTTACTAGTAATTAAATTGACCCTTCCCTACCCTTCTTTAAAGCTCAGCTTTCCCTTTTGGGGTAAACCTTCCTTTACCTCACTCTCTTGGTTAAAACATTTCTCACAATGTGAACCCCTAAATTGTACAGTTATCAGAGTCACATTGTTCATGTGATTGTTTGATTAATAGCTGCATCTCTTTTTAGCCAGTAAAGTTGCTGAAAGTGATGATTTGTCCTTTTTGCTCACACCTGTGTTCCCTGCATCTAACACGGTGCCTGGCCCACAACAGATGCTGATAAAATATTAAATGAATGAATGTGTCCTCCATGTCCTCCCACATCACTTCAAGCATATGCAGCCATTATGTCCTATAAATTCTTTGTACTTAATATCCCTCAGGTTCATCCACTCCACTGCATTATTTAGGCAACTTAAATCTTCTTGTATGAATTTCAGCAATATTCTTCTAACTGGCTCCTTATCTATGCCCTGCTGCTTTTCCTCCCACTGAATCCAATTAATTTTCTCCCTAAGTGATTTTTTACTAAAATAAAAATCTGATCATGCCACCTCTCAGCTTAGTATCTTTCAATGGCATCTAATTGCCCTTAGGAAGATGTTTAAACTCTTATTATGTAGGGGGTACAGACATTCACAGTCACAAATTCCATTGTACAAGTTTTTAACTTTATTTTCTTATAACTCGATTTGATTTTCAGATTCCAAACTACAACTATCTGACTCAGAATCAATTTAATCAATTTAATGTAAACTCAGTCCGACTTAGTGATTTATCAGTCAATTAAGATTTATATTTCAGTCACATCAAGGACTATAACCCTCATATTCTCATTTTTTTGCACTGCTTTTCCTATAGGAGTTGAGTCTAATCTATGGGAGAATAAGGGAGGACGACAGAAGGGCCTTATGCAATTGCCAAGACAACACGTTAGGAAAAAGGGCTTCAACTTCTTGTGCTCCATGTGCTGCAGGTTCATATTGGCCTTCTAATTCTGGATGTGCTCTCTGAATCTCCACTGGAGGTGAGCTCATCTATTTTAGGCGACTTGGACAGTCCAGGTATGCTGATGTAGCTGTATTACCTTTTCAGTGATGGTGGTCTATGGAGAGGGCAGTCCTGCACGCCTCCAGTTTCCAGAGGTAATTGTCTACATCAAAGCCTTCTGATGAGTGACCTCTGTGTTGCTACATTAATATTCCAAGTCAGCACTCTGGCAAATGTGTCCTGTATCTTCTCCATCTTCCTGTTTCTGTCTGCCCCTCTCTCCTATCTGCCTCCCGTTTCCCTTCTTAAATACAATGCCTCATTCAGAACCTATGGGAACGGCCATATGACATGCCTTTTAGAAACTGGGGATTACCAATGGGCTGCCACTGTGTCCCTCAAAGCTTTCAACAGGCATTTGGACTATAAGAGCCACATAGCTTCACTGAAGCACTGATTTTTCCTTTTTTCAAATTCCCCAAAGTTGAAGTCCTCAAGGAGGGGATTCTATTCTCTGAGATCCCCATATTTCTCCGCACTTGCTAAACACTCTAGGATATAATATGACTGCAATTTTTCTTCAAAGCCTATAGGAATTTTAGTATCAAGAATGGAAGAAAAAATTGAGCTATGCTCACTTACATCCTGTATTTTATCTCTGGATGATGACTTTGATACATTTATACATGACCAATTTGTCTTTATCCCTTTTATTCTCCCAAGTTGAAAAATTTACTCTGGGATTTATGGTTACTTAGAGACTTTCACAGAAACCTGACCAGTTGGAGTTGGAGGTCGTGGTAGCATTTATTTTGCCAAGCATTGTTCTAAGCACTTTATTTCATTATTTCATTTGATTCTTACAACAAATATCTGAGGAAGGTATGACTACTATTTTTTGCCAGTGGGGAAACACAAATATGAAAAAGAAGTAATCTGTTTACAATTGTACAACATATGGTAAGAAAAAATCTAATCCAGAGACATTTCTGTTGTTGTTCTTGCTGTGTATTGTTTTTGGCCTATATTTACTTTCTCTTCTAATTTTTATTTTTTAAACAAATTTTATTGTTTATATTTGAAGTTTGCAAGATGATGTTATGAGACATACATAGTAAAATGGTTACTACAGTGAAGCAGATTAACCTATCTATCATCTCACACAGTTACAGTTTTTTGTGACGTGAGCAGCTAAAATCTACTTATTTAACAAGAATCCCTAGTATTGTATAATTTTATTAACTATGACCCCCATGTCATACATTAGATATCTAAACTTGTTCATACCACATATCTGCTACTTTGTATCCTTTGACCTACATCACTCCTGTTTCTTTCTCCCACTCCCCCAAACTGGTAACCACTGGTTTATTCTCTATCTCCATATATTTGACCTTTTAAAAAAAATATTGTGCATATAAGTGTGATCATGAAATATTTTTCTTTTGAGTCTGGCTTATTTTACTTAGCATAATGTTCTTCAGGCCCATCTTTATCTACTCATCCATCAATGGACACTTCATTTGTTTCTATATTTTGGTTATTGTGAATCGTGATGCAGTGAACATGGAAGTGTAAATACCTTTACAAGGTGGTGATTTTGAGAGGTGACAGCATGCTGGCAGTCCTCACAGCCCTCGCTCGCTCTCGGCGCCTCCTCTGCCTGGGCTCCCACTTTGGCGGCACTTGAGGAGCCCTTCAGCCCACCGCTGCACTGTGGGAGCCCCTTTCTGGGTTGGCCAAGGCCGGAGCCGGCTCCCTCAGCTTGCAGGGAGGTGTGGAGGTAGAGGCGCGAGCCAGGGCTGCGCTCGGCGCTTGCGGGCCAGCTGGAGTTCCAGGTGGGCGTGGCTTGGCGGGCCCTGCACTCGGAGCAGCCGGCAGGCCCTGCCGGCCCCGGGCAATGAGGGACTTAGCACCCAGGCCAGCGGCTGCGGAGGATGTACTGGTTCCCCCAGCAGTGCCAGCCCACCGGCGCTGCGCTCCGGGCCTCAGCTGCCTTCCCGCGGGGCACGGCTCAGGACCTGCAGCCCGCGATGCCTGAGCCTCCCACCCGCTCCATGGGCTCCTGTGCGGCCCAAGCCTCCCCCATGAGCGCCGCCCCCTGCTCCACGGCGCCCAGTCCCATGGACCACCCAAGGGCTGAGGAGTGCGGGCGCACGGTGCGGGACTGGCAGGCAGCTCCACCTGCAGCCCAGGTACGGGATCCACTGGGGGAAGCCAGCTGGGCTCCTGAGTCTGGTGGGGCCTTGGAGAACCTTTATGTCTAGCTCAGGGATTGTAAATACACCAATCAGCACTCTGTATCTAGCTCAAGGTTTGTAAACACACCAATCAGCACCCTGTGTCTAGCTCAGGGTTTGTGAATGCACCAATGGACACTCTGTATCTAGCTACCCTGGTGGGGCCTTGGAGAACCTTTGTGTCCACACTCTGTATCTAGCTAATCTGGTGGGGACCTGGAGAACCTTTGTGTCTTAGCTCAGGGATTGTAAACGCACCAGTCAGCACCCTGTCAAAACAGACCACTCGGCTCTACCAATCAGCAGGATGTGGGTGGGGCCAGATAAGAGAACAAAAGCAGGCTGCCCGAGCCAGCAGTGGCAACCCGCTGGGGTCCCCTTCCGCACTGTGGAAGCTTTGCTCTTTCGCTCTTTGCAATAAATCTTGCTACTGCTCACTCTTTGGGTCCACACTGCTTTTATGAGCTGTAACACTCACCACAAAGGTCTGCAGCTTCACTCCTGAGCCAGTGAGACCACGAACCCACCAGAAGGAAGAAACTCCGAACACACCGGAACATCAGAAGGAACAAACTCCAGAAGCGCCACCTTAAGAGTTGTAACACTCACCACGAGGGTCTGCGGCTTCATTCCTGAAGTCAGTGAGACCAAGAACCCACCAATTCCGGACACAATTTCATCTTCTTTGGCTATATTCCCAGAAGAGGGATCACTGGGTCATATGGCAATTCTATTTTACAAATTTGCATACTGTGTTCCATAATGGCTGTACCAATCTTCATTCCCATCAATAGTGTATTAGAGTTCCCTTTTCTTCACATCCTTGCCAGCATGTCTTACCACTTGTCTTTTTGATAATAGTCATCTTAACAATGTGACATCATATCTCAAAGTAGTTTTAATTTGCATTTCCCTAATGAGGACTGATGTTGAGCACTGTTTTATTTATCTTTTGGGCATTTTTATATCATCTTTGGAGAAACGTCTGCTCAGGTCCTTTTCCCATTATTTTAATCTTACCCAGAGACCTTTAATTTGGAGTTCATGTTTTCAATTATTTTACTATGCTGCAAACATCATCATGATGCATAGTGCCTCCATATCTTGGTGTCAGATGTTTTCACCTCTGGGTAGAATATTCTTTCTCTGATTTTCTTTTCCTTATCATTTAAAATTAAATGCATGAACCCACCTCCTCTAAAAGAAAGGTATCTTCTTTATCACCTATCTCCCTTTTCCCCTGTTGCCTAATTTCACATTTCTTCTTTGTGATCTTGCCATGCCCCCGGCTGCTCTTCATCCTTCCAGACATCAGTGTCCTGTAATGGCTGCTTTAACTGTTTGTGTGTCAATCAGATCATGAGTTTAGTAAAATTTTGGCAAAAACCATATCTTCTTGATATCTGTACTCCAATGCATAATATAGTGTCTGGCATATTAATAAGTCTTTAAAATAATTTGTTGAATGAATTAGTGAGGAATGAAGGCACCCTGCAGTGTTGATGGTCAAATAAGAGAAACTTTAAAAATGAGAAATATGGCAGGTTTAAATATGCCTGTTTAATAATAATAGAAAATCTTGTTTTTAGGTCTCTGGGAGACGGGTAAAAATAGCAGTTCTTCTGAGGCTAATGACTCTCACTAACCTTAGATATCCATCTTGTTCCCTCGACTTTGAAGAAAACATCTGAAATAGTATGTTTTCCCAAAGGTGTCTATTGTTCATGAGTTTTGAAGTTACTAAAATACCAGTAAAGGAATATTCTTTCTGCTGCTTTCAAGGATTATCTGTGATTTTTCTGAAGTCAATCTTCAGAATCTCAACAGGCAAAAGACTACCACAGGTTCCTGTAAGAAGTCCTATAGATCTGGCTTTGAGCAATAGCTATGGAAAGAATTGTGTGGGCAGCAGCCAGTGGGACCCAAAAAACAGAAGTTGTCACAGCAATGGGGCACAATTAGTTCAAATATATCCAGGAGAAACAAAAAGAGTTTCACGGACTAAGACACCTGGACTCTTGGTAAATTTCCCAACCACTTTACCCACCAGAAAGAGCAGTATTCGGTGGGTAAATGTGGAAATGTGAGCCATGTCTATTACAGCCAGCAGTCATGTTGTTTGGCCAAATGGCTAACTTTCAAGGGTATCCACAGAAAATATTCAAGACTAAAAACCTGGCAGAACTTACTACTAGCCCATTCAAAAAAGACACATTTGTCCTGTTCTCTATATTCCCTAATACAAGCATCTACTAAAGGTCAACTGTTGATTTATTAAGGAAAGATAAATTAGGAATTCAAACAAAATGTTTGCAGAATGTCAGAAACGCAAGAGCCTGAACTAATTACTTGAACATAACTGCTTGAGATTTGACCAAGAATCAATTCATTAGCATTCAGCACCATCTCTTTTGCATAAAGAAGGAAAATAAAACATGCCAAAAAGAATGGACAGTTTCTAGGAGTGAATAAAGGAATAGCCTTTTCAGAGTAAAGCTGCATATCTGCTGTATATTTTAGGTGCAATTATCAAATGTTGATATGCTATTCAGCTTGCTAATTGCATTTCTGAATTCAGTGTGTGAAATATTGAAGGCATTTAAGAACCACAATAGTGGGGAATGGTTTCCAAGTGCTAATAGCTAATGTCAAGCAATATAAGTATGATGAATGCTACTGAATTCTCCAGATAGACATATATACCTCTAAAAATGTAAATAAAGATTCCTAGATTTGAAGACACCTTCTTCCTCTATTTTTATGGTAGCAATTTCTATATACAGACCTTTGATTAACTTTTAAATTAAATTGTGTTTTCTAGCATTGTAACCAATTTCTGAACAATCAATTGAACTATCCATGCAGGTGAATTTGCAAAACTTTCACTATTTTTATAATCAAATGTTGACATACTGTTTTTTGACTTTTGGTTCTTCATTTGTTTGGAGGTCGAGAGTGAACAAAAGCTTCTAGAGAAAATGTTAGCTACACAATTGAGTTTCCTCAATACCCTACTTAACTCTTGATTGTACACGGGTACACAACATTAATCTCTTCTCAGATTTTAAACACAGAAAATTTGTGGTCCTCTTTTCCTTATATCTCAAAAAGCACAAAGCAAGTAAAGGGTATACTGGAAGCAGTCAATTCATACTCAGTTGACTAACTCTACTCATATTCCTTCCAAAACACTGCAACATTTTGCCTGTTGTCTCATATAATAATAGTTCCCTGTATTTTTGTTTGTATGTTGATTTTTCAGTCCCAAACATTCCTCAATTCTAAATAATAAATCTTTAAACCAATTAAGAGTCATCACTGGATATGATTATTTTTTCCAATAATATTAGATACTTTCCAAATATTAATAAGCCTGTTTTCAAGATGTAGTGCATAGCAAAAAAAATAATGAGTATTGTTATGTGTTATAATCTGGGTATTAATGACCATCTGGGAAAGCTGATAGCCCAAGGAAATATCCTATGGTGACTTTATGATTTCTATTGTAGCTCATTGGTTTCATTTTAATTAGGTAAGAAAAGAAAAGAAATCTTTTCCCCCACTGTGGCTGTCTGAAGGAATAATAGTGCCCTGGGCAACAGGTATGCCTGTTTTTATTAAATTGGAAACAAAAATAGGATTCAGTTTCTTAGAACTGATTAACCCTTGGGGAAGAAAGATCTTGAAAGTACTATACAAACTGTCATTTTGCAGCATTTTAATTGATACACACACACACACAACTTCTGTTTATAAAACACCTAAAATAGCATTTTTGAATGTGTTTTAAGATTTTCTGGTGAATCATCAGCAGAATATAGATGTTTCCAGAATAAAATAATGTGATTTGTGACATAATTTTATGCAAGCGAGTGCTCTTTGATTATCATATCAAAAATGCTGTCCTTCTGACAATGACCAAAGATGTTTTTTCACAATAATAAGTAGATTACATGCATCTGATAGTAAATAGTTATAAAAATATGCAGGTTTTTAGTGCTGTTATTTGGTTAGATAATTTAAAATAAATGAATACTGAACATTCATGTACCTCAAAAATTCTTACTTATTGTTATACATTACAATCAGAGATAGAATATTTAAAAGCATGAAATACAAAGCAAGGTCCTTTGCTCCATAAAATATCAAATTCAAATTAAACATAAATAAATTGCTCACTAATGGGAATCGGGAAATGTTTTGTCTTGCTTGTTGGAGCAGAGAGAGGTCATGAGAAATAAAACAAGACAAAGACAAGAAAGTTTGAGGAAAGGCACTGAACAGAAAATTTAGTAGAAAAGATATGGAAAAAAAAAAAACCCTAGGGAGGTAATGAAAATAAGACACTAAATGTGAAAGAAAGATAATAGTAAGATACCATTCACAGCTGGGTGCAGTGGCTCATGCCTGTAATCCCAGCACTTCGGGAGGCCAAGGCCCGTGGTTGGCTTGGGCTTAGGAGTTCGAGGCCTGCCTGGGCAACATGGTGAAACCCAGTCTGTACAAAAAAATACAAAAATTAGCTGGGTGTGGTGGTACACTCCTGTAGTTCCAGCTAATGAGGGGCTGAGGCAGGAGGATGGTTTGAACCTGGGAGGTTGAGGCTGCAAAGGAGCCAAGATCACGCCACTTACTCCACTTACTCCAGCCTGGGTAACAAAGTGAGACTTTGTCTCAAAAGAAAAAAAAAAAAAAGAAAAAGAAATTTCATTCAGCAAATATATAGTTAAGAACAAACAAATACAAAATTCAACTTCATTGGAGAGCTCCCTAATTTTATTTTTAAGGGGTCAGGAAAATGTATTTTTGAATTTATTTTTTTTCTAGAGCTTTTTAAATGAATACTTTATGGGCACTATCTCATTAATCTTTTCTTACTGTACAGAATATAATTACTTCTGTTTTACATTTGAAGAAACATGTTTATGGTCTATTTTGATGTAGAGCTTTGCTGTAGTTCAGTGAACATGAATTGGGAATAAAGCTGAGACAGTCTGGCTCCATTTACCAAAACATGGACAGGACTGTAAATTCAGTGGGCAAAGTGTAAAAGGAGACACAAAATGCTTTTGTGTAGTTTTTTGGTAAGTGAACTGAAGTGATAGATGTCAAATGTGAGCAGTATATTTATTACCCTGCCCCAGTTTCTGAATATATATATAACTTTGTGAAAATATATTGAGCTTTATATGTGTGGGGGGGATTTGCATACTTTTTTAAAAAATTACAAAAAGATACTTTTACGAAACAGTATATAACAAAGAAAATAAATAGCAATCACTTAAAATTTGTCTTAATGAGAAAATTAATACTTGCTAAGCAATCTTTTACCTTTGGGAAGCTCCACACACATTTTATTTTTGCTTTCATTGATTAAAACATTTTTGAACTTCGTGTTTAGGATATATTTTTAGGCAGTGGGGCATTTTGTTGTTGTTGCTGTTGTTGTTGTTGTTGTTTCGAGACGGAGTTTTGCTCTTGTTGTCCAGGCTGAAGTGCAATGTTGCAATCTCAGCTTACCACAACCTCCGCCTCCCGGGTTCAAGCAATTCTCCTGCCTCAGCCTCCTGAGTAGCTGTGATTACAGGCATGCGCCACCATGCCCGGCTGATTTTGTATTTTTAGTAGAGATGGGGTTTCTCCACGCTGGTCAGGCTGGTCTCACACTTCCGACTTCAGGTGATCTGCCCCCCTTGGCCTCTCAAAGTGCTGGAATTATAGGCGTGACACTGTGCCCGGCCACAGTGGGGCATTCTTATAGGTGTCCCCAGGAGCAGTAAAATGTATTCATGTTAGATGAATATTATCTTTGAGAATCATCAAAAGCCACCTGATGCCAAGTCTGGAAATTTGCCACAGCTTCCACAGAGAAAGCATGTACACTAGAAAGATACAAAAGAATCACTACATGACCCATTGAAAATGGAAACCTATGAAGATATGTATCCAACAGTTAAAGATTATTTATGCCCACATCATTTGTCAGTGCAAAATCTTAGAAACAATCTTAATTCCCATACATTGGAGAATGGTTTAGTAAACAATATACACAATGTAAATGTAGCTGTAAGGTGAATGAGGAAGAACTCTATGAACTGATATGGAGTAATTTCCAGGGCATAACCATTAAGTGAAGAAAATAAAAATAAGAGAGAGAGACTTTGCAGTAAGTTATCTGTCATGTAAGGCAAAAAGATTATATCTATCTTTTTTCCACATATATATATTTTCCATATATATATATATATATATATATATACATATATATATATATCCCTTTTGTGGAAAAAAAAAGAACAATAGAAAAAACTAACAGGAATGAATGAATTTGTTTGCCTGTAGATGATGAGTGAGAATGGTATGGAAAGAACAAGAAATGGGAACACAGTAGAAGGGACAATGAGAGAGTGAAACTTCTATAAATATGCCTTTTGTGGTACGATTCTTAGAACTATGCTAATATTTCATATTCTCAAAAAATTAAAAGAATTAATTTAAATCAACAGGTCATATGAAGGAATCAAAAATGAGGCCAAAAAATAGATGTTCCTCTATTTCAAATAAATATCATAAACACATTGAAGTAGATGTAGAAGAAAAGAACTAACCTAATTAATTTTAGACAACAGTATTTTGACTATGTACTCTAAATGAATTAAAACTGTACACAATTGGCCGGGCATGGTGGCTTACGCCTGTAATCCCAGCACTTTGGGAGGCCAAGGTGGGTGGATCACAAGGTCAGGAGATTGAGACCATCCTGGCTAACATGGTGAAACCCCGTCTCTACTAAAAAAAAAAAAAAAAAAAAATTAACAGCGTATGGTGGCATGCGCCTGTAGTCCCAGCTACTCGGGAGGCTGAGGCGGGAGAATCGCTTTAACCCGGGAGGTGGAGTTTGCAGTGAGCCAAGATCATACCACTGCACTCCAGCCTGGGAGACAGAGCGAGACTCCATCTCAAAAACAAGCAAACAAACAAACAAAAAAACTGTACACAACTACACAACTGTTATACTCTAGTTAGTAAATTGCTTTTTTACATAAATATAAGCAACTAATGTTGAGACTATGTGTATTCCAGAATTGCATAAATATGTGACTATAATGTGAATAATGAGAGCCAGATTTCTTACTATTAAATGAAAGGGTTTTAAATAATCTAGAATGAAACATGTGGTATAGGATTAGAACTAAAGGTATTAGCATAAAGTAATAGTTTTTTAAATAGATAAATATAAAATATAGAGATGTATGTGTTTATGTGTTTCCTTACATATGTTTACTAGCTCTTTTTATTGAGAAGACCTAGAAACAATGACATACCAGTGCAAGGAGAATGCCTGTTATCCAGATCTTGGTTTCTAAATAACATTCTCCAACAAAAATAAATAATACTTTTTAGAGCAAGCTTTATTACTGGACTGGTACATTGAATGGACAAGGTAAGACTGGAACATTTTGTGGTCTCGGAAAGTAAGGAAGTCTTAAAAAGTGGTGGAGATGTCAAGGAAAAGTCAACATGAGGAGGCTCCCATGTCCAATTTTAGGACAATCAGATCAAGAAAATAGATGGTCATAGTAATGCATGATAACCTATACTCTGACTGATTGATTAATTAATTATAACCTAAAATCAAGCATATATCCATGAGTCCATACTAATAAGTAAACAATTAAACAATGAAATAAACATGGGAAGAGAGAAAGCTGTCTCTGAAAATAAAAGTAAAGGGAAAAATAACTTTCTAGGAAAGACCTAAACACCACCCTAAATAGGTGATCATAGCTCATATCGCCAGAGGTAAAAAATAACTGTATCATGTAACTTCTGATGTAATACACTGAGGAAGGAAAAAATCCCCATCATTTATGTGTTATTTCTGCCAGAAATTTCTAAACTGAATTTAGTCATGAGAAAACATGTCAAACCCAATTTGAAGGATATCTTACAAAGCAATTGGCAAGGAGTCATGAAAGATAAAGAAAGATTTGAGGAAGTGTTCCAGATGAAAAAAGATTAAAGTGATGTTACATTTTACAAAGGCTATACTGAGATAATTAATATAACTTAAATAAGGTAATTCATTTAGTTAGTAGTATTGTGTCAATGATAAGTTCTGGGTTTGATCATTGGTTATGGTTATGTAAAATGTCAACATTTGGGAAAGCTGGGTGAAGTTTGCATGATAATTCTAAGTATTATCTATGCAACTTTCCAAGCTTAAAATTATTTCAAAATAAAAAATCTAGAAGTATTAATGTTAAACACACCCACACAAATACCCACACACATACACATGCAGTGGGGCAATTATCTGTAAGACATGAAGACAAAGCAGTGGTTCTGATCTCTAGATCACAAAGCATAATGGAGTGATACTAAGACAGCACAGCAGAAGATTGGCCAACCTCAGAGTCAGTCATCACAGAGAGAAAAATTCTCAGCATATCATGACAAATGAATAGGACAAATAGTATCAAACAGCAGACACTGTAATTTTATATTTTAAAAGACCAGCAGAAACTGTAACTTTATATTTCAAAAGACATTTCCTGTCAGGATTGGATGCAGATATAAACCATATTTCTTTCTCTTCAACAGATACTTATAAAACTTGACATCACTTAAATGAAAAGGATAATGATAAGTTAGTGCCAAAAGGATCCACACTACATAATGTAATAGCTTATATTGAGATAGAGGACCTGAGATTTTCACTTGTTACATAACAATTTGTAAATATTTAGTTATACATACCATGTCCATTTGTTAGCACCCACTGGACAAGGCAGACTAGGAGAAGTTGGCTCCCAGAGCTGAACTAAGTCTGAGACTTTAAACAGAACATTCCAGATCTACACAACTGTCTTCTAAGCTATGGGAGAAGTAAAAATGTATGAAGAGCATATCAGTTCTGAATATCTACATCCCAGACTTCAGAAATCAATAAGATATAATGAAGCGAGTTAATAGAGAGAAACCAAGAAGACAACGAGTGTCCTCAACTTGAGATCAGTAAGTCAGAAAGAAGCAACTGTGCATGATGATCTATACAAGCAACTCCAAAGGAAAGGAACCTGCTTCCCAGGACAGAATCTTTTGTGTTTTATGGATTAGGCTGTTCTTGCATTGTTACAAAGAAATATTTGAGACTGTGCAACTTTCAAAGAAAATAGGTTTAATTGGCTCATGGTTCTGCAGGCTATACAGGAAGCATAGCAGCATCTGTTTCTGAAGGGCCTGAGGAAGCTTACAATCACTGCTGGAGGCAAAGCAGAAGAATAGGTATCTCATATGGTAAGAACAGGAATGAGAGAGAGTTGGGGGAATGGGGGAGTTGTCACACACTTTTAAATGACCAGATCTCACAAGAGAACTCACTATCAGGAAGGCAGCATGAAGCCATGAGGGATCTGCCCCCATGACCCAAACATTTCCCACCAGACCCCACCTCCAGCATTGGGGATTAAATTCAACATGTGATTTGGGTAGGAACCAATATCCAAACTATATCAGTATAAGAAAAAAATATTGTAGCTTCTCTTTCATTTGCTAGCTTCTCACATTTTTAATTTCTATTTTTAAGAATGTTTTGTGATGAATATTACACCCAAGTTTCTATATATAATTTATAAAGAAATATGCAAATATGAAAGTTACTAAAAATTTTTGTGCTGATAAGAATAAAAAATAAATGTTGCTGATATTTCTTGTTCTATTTCTATTTGGTAAGCAGTATATATTAATGTTTGCAGTTTGACACATATAGATTACATTTTGATTACAATAAGGGAAAGTGTTTTCAGTAATTTGGGTTAAAAGTTTTCCAAATAAGATACAGGTAAAATCAGATGTAAGAGCTATTCTGCATGAAATTGCCAAGTAATTGACAAGGTGAGTTTGTCTGCCCCAGCTGGCTTGTCACATCTACTCTTCTTTCTCTTCCTAGACACAGATAACTATATGCACTGTTTAAAAATTAGAACAATAAATGCAATATTTGTAAACTGGCCTATGATCTCTGACCTCTGGCCAGAATTATGTTTATAGCAGGTTGAGAGCAGAATTGAGACCACAGGTGACCATCCTGGCAAAAAAGTAGGTCACAGACTGAGATGTAAACCTTATTCCTTGATAAGGTAGGGTCAGAAACCAAGTTGGCCACAGAAATACTAATCAGAAAATATTTATATCTGTGGTTGCAGAAGTTACAGGAAATATATCCACACATATACTCTGTTTAGATAAAAATGCATTCTAAATTGGCAACCTGGATAGCTATGTGTGAAAAATAGTTTCTTCCTGAGATAGTTTGGGTTCAGCAATCTCCATGTCTGGAACATTAATCTTTTGCTATGAGACCATCTCTGCTTAGCAAAAATCCATACACTGTAAAAATATATCCTTAAAACTCAATACGATTTAGCATTCAAAGCCTGTGTCTTTCACCTTAGCTTTTGGCTCACCTATTCATTGCAAATAACTTACAAAAGATCATATTTGTACATTTTTGTGAAATTACCTTTTGAAAGGATAACTCAACATGCAACTGGGTGAGAGGCCATCTGAAGATTAAGAGGGAGTCTAGAAGCAGGGCTGGAGAAATGCCCTCCCCTATCAGCAGAAACAGTTCAAACAGCCCCAGGAGGTGGCCTCATGTGTTAGTCAAGAAGACACAGAGCTCTACAAAAGAAAGAAAGAAAACAGGTAGTTGCACCATGGGCTGGCAGAAGATGCCAGTGGCTTATTTTGGACCAGGGGTAGTCCATCTCCATCAGTCAGTCTGGAGAACGCCTTCCCTTCTAAAAATCACATTTCAAAAAAATAATTGGTCACATCATTGGCTGAATATATTTACTGTGCGTAAGTCATCTGGTACTGAGAAGAGGTAGCCAAAGGTTACTGTTTAGAGTCATTTTTTATAGGAAAAATATTTGCTCAAAGGATAATTAAAATAAAAGGAAAGGAAAGAAAGGAAGAAAAGGAAATAAAAAGAAAGATATTTCAAAATCAAATAAATTAATTTCAGCTTACCCTGGAAAATCTAATTTCTTTCGGTAATATTCCTCTCCAGTTACATGAGAGTTGATGATAAATAATTTGGGTGTTTTCATGAAGTATAGCATATCTAATAAGCTTCTGAGTAGTGTCCTAAATTCCTGGAAACACTGTCAAATACTATGTATCACACATGTTAACAAGAGCTTACTTATTCATGTACATATGAATCAGGAAGGTTAGGCAGTCCCTTACAGGATTTTAAGCTTTAAAAATGAAATAAAAAACAACTCAGAACAACACTGAAAAGGCCTGCTCTGGTTGGCCAGTGAGTATCACAAACAAACAAACATTTTTCTTATTGTAACCTCACACAGCACCCCAGTCCACTACTCCAACCTCTTCCTTCTAAGCAGCTGTTCTAGACAGGTGTCCTGGCTGTAACAGTCTTCCTCAGGCAGGATCCCTGTCTAAGACAGGTAAGGACCACAGCCTTACCTGTCTGCACAACCATGTACTCCTCAAAGATAGTTAAAGATCCTCTTATCTATTTCACAGTCTAATTATAAATCCCATTTGCCATCATCAAGTGGTGATTGTAGATTCACCAGTAGAGTTCAGTGTTTCTCTAATAACTATCTAGCTAGGGAAAAGTTTAGTATTCTGATTTCAGCACAGTCAGAAAGAGCAAATATTGAACTCAGCAGCTCAAGTTGAAGAAAAGACATTGCTCTCCTTAATAAATGCTTTTTATTAGTATCAGGCTGTCATTCTTTCTCACAGATACCCTTCTAATCCTTCCTTTTGCACATGGTCTTTTTTCATCATATTATGTTTATCCATGTAGTGAACATGTCTCTCTCCCCTACTTATTAACAGACTCTTTTAGTCAAGCAAGTGATTTCATTCTTTCTTATTACCAGCTTACTGCAAAACACACACATAAACATACACACACAACAGTGCAGACAAATGTTTCTCGCTTAAAAATATATATATATATATATTTAAAATAATTTTGTGAACCCTGCATTTTGATGTTTAATTTGATTCCATTCCTGATATTCAGACTTACGAACTTTCTTTTTTTCAGGTTCTACCATTTTCTTGTTGTTAGGAAGTAGCTTGGACAAGTTCACGCAGAGGAAAGAATCAGGCTTTCTGTTTCTATGGTCCTTCTCTCCTTCACATTCTGACTGGACATGTGACCTTGACATTTCTCACTGCTCAGTGATTCCAGATCTCCTACAGAAAAGTTTTGCTCCTACTAATTCTGTTTCTAGAAAGTACATCAATACTTTATTCCAAATCAGACACTCTCCATAATATACTAATAGCATTCATTTAGACCTTAAACCCAAATCTAACCAAGAATTTTGCACAGCATCATCTGGAAATAACAGTTTCTCATCTAACTAGATGTGTTTGTAATTAGACAGCCCAGATATACATAGCATTAAATGATAAGGAGAGTAGAGAGGAGACTTCAGATTTAAGTGTGTTGTTTCATTCAGAATTCTTGATATGTTGCTAATAATTTAAATGTGCTTCACATGCATGGAATGACATTAAGTCTATCACTCTATCATCACCAAATATAAATGATCAAATGGTGATGATTTATCTACTACTGCTAATCTTTTATTCCATGTATCATTTATTTTAAAGGTTTTTAAAATATAAAGTAACAAATATTCTTGCATAAAGCTCACAGTGACATCATAGAAAAAAGTTGGCAAGGAGATATTTAATACACCTCAGTATGGTATTTGTATTGATGAGTACCCACTTTGAGTCCAGAATATCTGCTCTTATATCCTAACCTCACTGGTTGGATTAAATTTCAGACATACAGCTCTGTCAGCCTTCATAGTCACAATAGAAGTATTCGTATTTAAAATTCAAGAAATTTCTGGCAACCAATATGAACAGATTGCTAATTTTTTTTACCCCCAAGGAATTTGCATTATTCATATGTTATGTTAAAAAGTATGATTTTCAGTCATCTATTTTCTGTTCTCATTTGCTAGTGTTAATAGATACAATGTTATTTGTTTATTTTGTGAGTTTATTTCCAACAAGGAACAGCTTTCTCACATTTCTCCATTAAATAGGAATAGCAGAACATACAGTCATATTTCATACTGTGATAGGCAACTTTAATGGTCATCTGCTTTATCTGATCAACATGGTCTGGCACATGTATCTGCCCTGAATAATGTGCTATAACTAACAGAGAAAGATCTAATCCCCAAACCCACTTCACTGGGTGATGAACAGTTTCCCCTTCTCCAATATTGTGCTTTAATCTGACACCTGGGAACTTCATCAATTTTTTCCAAAGCCATACCATTTTTTTTCTTACTTTCCAGAAGATAGTAAATAGGGTTGTGAAATTAGTATTGCTCCAGGTCCCCATATTTTGTTACTCACCAACAATGTGTCTTCAGGCAATTCACTTACTTAGTCTCTCTGAGCCCAGATCTTCATACCTGGACTGTGTATGATGATATCTGCTGTATGAATTGATGGTGAAGTCTAAAAAGAAAATATATGAAAGTAATTTATAAAATGCTAAGTGACATATATATATATATATATATATATATATGCAATTCAAGTAGGTAAAAAATATTGTATGAGTATGTCACTTATCTAGAGAGATCTTTAAGATTCTATCTTGGAACACAACAGGAACTGGGAGAATATCCCTTGCCTACGGCCAGCAAATTCGAGAACATCGAAACTCATGCATTCTGGTCATAAGAACCTGTGCACAAACCTGGGGTGGCTGAGGAGCATGAAAAATGAATTACAAAGTCAATCTGTATGAATCAAAATAGAAAGGAAAGTGGACATATGAACTAGTGGTAATTCATGTAGGAAAACAGAAAATGGGTTGAGAAAATAAAGCCAAAATTTTTAAAATTGTGAAATGAGAACTGGGAGAAATTAATTTCCAGGAGAACAGACAGTTGTAAAATTGCTAGTACTGTGTCAGCAATGTAGAACAACAGATGTTTTAAATTCCTGGGCTTCTGTTTTGAAAGCTGGTGGTACTTGCTACTTAAGTGGCACTATGGCCTTGAGATGGCGTTCATAAGCAGCCTTTTCTGAAGCATCTCAGATGCTGACCCTATGAGCTTGAGCAATCAGTCACACTCTGTACCAAATGGTGGCCTTTGAATATTGTGTTCTGGCATGTGCTCTCCTTTCCTCCCTGCTCCATTCCTTCCTCACTCTTGCCCCCTGGGACTGCATGCACTAAAAATGTAGCAGCAGATTTAAAAAATGTAACCATATGATTTCACTGGGGAACCTTACCTAAGAGAGTGAATATGAGGGAAAGGATAGGGTTCTTCCAGGACAAGGGCTGGGGTAGGTCCAGCCTGCCAATATTGAGAAGTTAAGGAGTAAGTGAGGGCAGGTGAGGCGAGGCTCTTGGTTCACCTGACTTACTGCAGAATTAGGCTGCCAGGGGAGTGTTGAATACTATAAAATATCTCTTTCTTGCCCCTACATACTTTCCCCTCTCATTGATTAGAATAAGGAGTTTGATAAGAATCTATTGCAAATTTATCCTTCCAACAATACCCAAGCAGTACTAGCATCAGCGATTCTTCTGAAAAAGTGCTTCAGATTTTTATTTCAACCGCATTTGGCAGGATGAGTTTGGGGACACATCTAGAAAAGGTAGTTTGAAAAATGTCAAATCTATTATCTCTTCCAGTTCTGTAATCTAAAAGTAGTACTTTAAATACCTAAGTGACTTGAAAACCTATTAGCATGAAGGAGAGAAATTAGCTTATTGGCTCCAAAATTGGAGCAAAGCTCAGTATGGAAAATCTCTGCTATCTTCCTTTTTTTTTTTTTTTCTGTTTTTTTGTTTCCTGAGTGCTAAAGTTGTCATTACTAGAGAATTGTATGCCCATTTTTGAAAGAGCAAATTTCCACAATGATTTAAGTGATAAGGAATAACCACTATGAAGTGGTAACTTCATAATAGTCCCCAAATCGCGTACATGGAATGGAGTAGTCTACTAATCTATTTAATTGCCACACCTTTCCTTTTTAAATTTTTTTCTCTCATTATCAAGGAAATTTATAGACAGGCTTGAATCTAAAAGTGTTTTAGCTTTAAACCTGTTGAACTTACCTATGCCCAATCAACAAATTCTAAGCTACCCACACATAAAGAGGAGAAACACGGCAGAAATGGTCATATATCCCATTTTCCAAGGTGCTTATGAATGTTGAACATTTCTGTCATTCTGCTCTAAAAGTGAGACCAGATGTCCCTGAAAAGTTCTGTCCAATAATTTTCAGTGGGATAAAAAGCTTTACCCACATCCTTATTGCTTTTTTGCTTGTCAAGTGAGAAGTACTGAAAATCCAGGGTGGGTGAAAAAGTAAGTGCACATATCTTTTGTGCAGTTACCAATTCTCTCTCCCTCACTTTCCTCAAGACAGTAGCTTGTCAGCAACCCTCTTACCCTCAACCACTTTCTTAGGTCTGGTAAAAACAGCTGTTGGGATGACATGTAGCATTTCGTTTCTGCTCATTTCAAATTTTATTCTGTCTTCGTTTGTTAATTTGATCACATTACTGAGACTTCGGCACAGACTCTTTCACAGTTCCCATTATCTGTCCGTGGTGCTAATAACATATGGTAATATTTTTCTAATTATGCTCCCTGCAAAATACCAAAAGCTGTAATCCTCATCTGGTCACTATGTGCAATGCAACCTATCCACACTTTTTTCTAACATACAAAAACACTTAATATAGGTATAGACTTAACATGCAGTGTGTCTCCACAGACACATGAGTAACTCTGCCTGATACTGTACTGTTACTCTCTCTGTATTACTCTTTTTCACCTGTTTGAAATTGTTTATTTTGGCCAGGCGCGGTGGCTCACGCTTGTAATCCCAACACTTTGGGAGGCCGAGGCGGGCAGATCACAAGGTCAGGAGATCGAGACCATCCTGGCTAACACGGTGAAACCCCATCTCTACTAAAAATACAAAAAATTAGTCGGGCGTGGTGGCGGGTGCCTGCAGTCCCAGCTACTCGGGAGGCTGAGGCAGGAGAATGGTGTGAACCCGGGAGGCGGAGCTTACAGTGAGCCGAGATTGCGCCACTGCACTCCAGCCTGGGTGACAGAGCGAGACTCCGTCTCAAAAAAAAAAAAAAAAACAAAACAAAAAAAAACAAAAAAAAATTGTTTATTTTTCCTATGCCTTGGTTTTCAACTATGTTGGGATCTTGTTCTGTTCAATAAAATAAGATTTGATTATATCCAGATATAGTATAATTTCTACTATTTTATGGTACATCTTGAACTGACAGACTCGAGAAACTTTATTATCTGTGCCAAAACAGTAAATTCTGCAACTATACCTCATTCCCCCCATTTACTCTAGTGTCTTTTAATACTAACTTAGAGATTTTACTTTATCAGGCTGTGGTTATCTCATCTTTTTTATTCACACTCAGCTCTAGTTTTGTTGCATTTACTCAAGCACGTCAAATATTTCTTTGTGTTAAAATAAATGATATAAAGTAGGAAGACAGGGAGCCCCCCACAAGTATCATAATCACCTATGAACAATAGTCTCAATATAGCTGGTAGGATCCTTCCACATCTCTGATAGGTGCCAGATGGTATTTCTATAGATCAACATAAACTACAACTGACCCTTGAACAACAACATGGGTTTGAACAGCACAGGTCCACTTATGCATGATAAAAGTTATGTTGAGTATGCCTGTCTCTGCTGCTTCTCCTTCTACCTTCTTCACCTCTGCCAGCCCTGAGATAGCAAAACCAACCGCTCTTCTTCCTCCTCCTCACCCTACTTAATGTGAGGTGATGAGGGTGAAGATCTATATGAAGATCCCACCTCCACTTAAAGAATAGTAAATATATTTTCTCTTCCTTATGGTTTTCTTAATAACAATTTGTTTTTTCTAGCTTACTTAATTGTAAGAATACAATATATGATGCATATAACACAAAAATACATGTTTTACAACTGTTTATGTTGTCAGTAAGGTTTCTGGTCAATAGCAGGTTATTAGTAGTAAAGCTTTTAGGGAGTCAAAATTTATACACAGATTTTTGACTACAAGGTTGGCGCCTCTAACCCCTGCATTGTTCAAGGGTCAACTGTAGTTGGACATCAGAAAGTGAGTATGAAGGGATTATCCTTTTATGTTTTTTAAACCTTCTTGGTAACTGGGCATATGGATCAAATAATTTGTGTATATAAATGTATATATATATACACACACACATATATACACATACATATATATATATGTTTTACATTTAGCTTTGTTAATCACTCTCTTGGCTTTATTTCAGCAGAGCTCAAACATAGCTCAATATAGTGTAAAAGATCATTCTTTCTGACTTTGTAATAAAATCTCTGTCCTGCAGTTATTCGTAAAACAAGAAATTAAGATTTTTCAAAATAAATAGAAATAAAGGAGATTAAATGTAACAGATATCAATTGTGTAGAGACAAAGAAAGTGTATGAATGGATCATTGATCAGCGACAAGATGAGAAAGAACATCCAGAACGTACTTAGAGGGCACAGAAAACACACACACACACACACACACACACACACACATTTTAAGCCACTGCAAGATACTATTGGTTAAAGAGGCTATCGGATCTCATTAATATAATGCACCAATGAGGTTAGTGAACAAAAAATATGTACTAAGGATATTTTTTCTGTGAAGATTGATACATTTATTTTCATGGTGTAATAAAATATTACAGTTTTTGTTTTTAGTTATGCTAAAGAATAAATTCATTTCAGTTAGGTGCTATTGTCTGGTTTCAGTTCCTTAATTCATAAGCTGTATACTACTCTAGAAAAGCTATACAAACTTTATGACCATTAGTTTTTTCCTCTATAAAATGAGGAGTTTAGGGCTAAATCTATTATAGCTAAGATTCTCCCCAGCTTTTTTAAAATAAAGTTTTTATTTTAATATAGTTTCAACTTACAGAAAAATTGTCAAGATAGTACAGACAAATCTTACATATCTCACACCCATTTCCCCTATTATTAACATCTTACATTGAGATGGCACATTTGTCACAATTAATGAACCAATACTGATACATTATGTTTAGCTGAAGTCTGTACTTTATTCAGATTTTCTAACTGTATGCCTAATATCTTTGCGTGCTCCCAGATCCCATCCAAGATACCACCACATTGCCTTGGTTGTCATGTCTCCTTAGACTCCTCTTGACTGTGAGTTTCTCAAACTTTCATTGTTTTTGATGACCTCGTTAGTTTTGAGGAGTACTGCTCGGTCATTTTGTGGAACAATTCTCAACTCATACGCCTATGTTTTAAAAATAATCCTATATAGGCTTTCTTTGTAAAATAATGCTTGGCACATGGCAAGTAATTACTAGCACATGAATGAATGAAAAACTAGATATTTCATTTATTTGAAGGAACTAATATATTCATAACAGGCATAAAGTATTTCTTTGGTCTGGATGGTCAATACCCATATTGACACTATGTTATTCCAGTGTTACAAAAATAAAACTGAAATATTTGTTTTTTTTCTTTCCCAGTCAAATTGAGCAACATCTTAGAAAGAGACTAATTTAGGATTTTAAAGAGAAAAACTATCATTCGGAGGTATCTCATGGTAATAGAAATGGAAATATGGGAAAATAAAGGGATTCTAAAAAATACTGAGTGATTTCCAAAACATTGCATTCATATCATCCTATTTGTCCACACAATCAGTGGAAGGAATGCAAATATGGATAAGGGAAAAGTAAAAAATATATATATAGTGTGTGTATATATATATATATATATATATATATATATATACACACAAAAAAAAGACAGAGGATACAGTACTCCATTGGAATCAGAAAAGAAATGAAATTAGATTATTCTGCCTATAGGGCAACAATGTGTTGGTAATGGAGTTATGCTAAACATAACCTTTCCCTAACCTTTATTCAAGGTAGTAGCTGAAAATTCTCTTTTCACACATAATTTCATCATGCAATTACCTCAGAGGAAAAAGGATAACAAATACAACCTTGACAATGAAATTTTTTGAAGCAGCCTTTTCTCTTTCTAAAAATCTAGGTCCAGTAGATATAATTTTAGATTAAATACAATGCTAAATTCTCTGACAAGAAAATGGACAATTGCTATGCAGGTTAACAATATATTGATTCATTTACTTTTCCCAATTCAAAAACGTGATAGCTCTTTACAGAGCATTTGGTTGCAATCACTATTATTTCAATTATGAGCTTAGCTGGGTAATAAAACAATAGGCTTTTCCTCAGTAGACTACTATTCAGTTTGTGTAATTTAAGTATTAAGTTTAAAGGAAAAAGGAATTTGCTCTTTTTTCAGTTCTTTCAGGCTGCTATATTTTACCATAATACAACAAACTAATAATTATCAATCCTTAAATGCCTTTCGTTGCAAATTAGTTTTAGGAAAGCAATTTAAAACTTTCTTCATTTTTCTCAGTAGACCACAAGATAATATTCTTTTAATTGCAGGGATTAGAATGCCTGATACTTTCCATTTTTAGTACAACATATTGACTTTTGCAGTAATTATTCCATTTTGTACTTTTCTAGAGATATTTACTTCATTGCTACTCTATTTCAGATAAACTAAGGAGCACAGATTCTTATTCATCCAACAAAAATTATTGAGAGTTCTCGTTGTGCCATGATTAAAAGTGCTTATAAGAGATACAAAGAGGTGAAAGGTCTGTTTTCTAACCCCTCAATTGGACTCTCAGAGGCTAATACAGCAGAAGAGATAATCTGCACCATTATAGCAGAGTACCTCTTGCTTTATCTACATATGTGGCTTTTCTCTGAGTGCATGCAGCTAATGCTACTTAATACCCGAGGGAAAGAAAAACAGAATGAAAAATCTATATTAATTCTTAATACGAGTAAACTCAGCTGGCTCAATTATAATTCACTAATTATTTTGAACAAATATAAAATAACAGGAAATGCAATAAAAGTAAAGCATAAAGGAATAATTTGGACCTGAAGATGTTGATTTTCTGGGGAAACTAAATTTTTACCTATTAAACAATATGAAAAAGAGACTAATAATTCAATTAGGATCCAAGAAAATGGGTAAATTCTTATGATCCCAGGTTTGTGAGGAGAGTTTTCCTAGAGGCAATGATATGAACTAAGTGGTTTTATAATTGGAAATAATTATGATCAAAATGCAGAAATGTCTTCTCCTCTTCATAAGTGAGCTTTTAGGAAAACAGGTTTTGTAATTCAGTAATGCAGTAGGAAGGTACCCCAGGTCAGAGCTATGCCAAAATACAGCTTATGATTAAAGAAAATCTGAGAATTGAAAGAAGTGCTTTGGATCAAGAAAGAGTAAGTGGAAATAGCAAGCATCCAAATATAAACAAGGAGAAGTTTTAAAGTTAATAGTTTGAGGTTGACGTGAGCATAAGTGTAGCGTTCTAACTGAGATCATAAATGGGGGTAGGAGTGAGTGAGGTAGAAGAGTCTTTAGAAGATGGGAAAGTAGAGGAATCATTAACAATGATGTGTCCAAAAAGAGCATTTTGTTATTAAGAATTCACAGGGAAGGTTGCATGCTCACTCACACACAAATAGTTTAATCACTTAAGCTGATAAATAAAACAATTAGCATAAGATTAATTTTGACACTGTGTCAACCACTGGTCTTTAACCACTGAAAAATCTAACATGTAAGTGACAAAATGAGATTAGCACCTTTATTCTTGCTAAATATCCGTGGTCCATGATGATTCAAAATGGCAGCAACTTATAATGTCATGCAACTCTGATCTCTAGAAAGCTTTGGGATGCTAATTGTAAGGCCAAAACTGATTTTCTTTCTCATTGGAAGGAAGTTTTTACATAGTGAAAAGTAGATACAACACGATAAATAGAATACGAAACCAAAATCAAGGGATTAAGCACGAGAGGAAAGCAAATCTGATATAATAAGGAACACAATCTGAGATTTGCTTTTATAGGAAAAGCTCAGCAGCTCAGAACTCTCCAGAAAGCAAAGTAACCATAAGACTCAAAAAGCCCTGATTTGTTGCTTACTGTCATATGTCCTTGAGGAAGTTATTTATCTCTGTGAGTCTCAGGTTCTTTATATATTAAAGGAGATTAAGATAACAGATCATTTCATTTGAGAATAAAACAGGAAAAATATACAAGAAAGTGCTTTACACTGATGTCCAAGCATTTGATAAACATTTAATAAATGAATGTGCTCTTCACTGTTTATTCATATTTTCCACATGTTTAAGGTATTACACTGTATTTGCCAAAGCAATTTTTTGCATATTTGGGGAAAAAATATGTCTTAACAAGTTTGTGTGTTTTCCTTCCTTCTTATGCAGCTTCTTGTGACTGTCTTTTAAGCTTTCCAATAACTGCACCTTAAATATCAATGTACTTTTTCTATAAAACAATTGTGTGTGTGTATTCCTTCACTAAATGGCCCCAAGTTCCTATGCTTTTGGTTTCTTTAAATGAGTTTAAATTCATTTTTATTAATTAAGATGATAGTTTGTTTCAAGTGAGATATACCTTGAATAGTATTTACACTTCTAATTGTTCTTATTTCCCAATTAAAATATATTTCCCAATATATCCCTCAAGAAAAGAATGCTTAGTGCATTTTGAACAAAACTCTCCATCCTCCAGACTATGGGTCCTCAGAAAAATGTTAATATAAAACCTACTGACTTTTTAAAGAAGCTGACTACATCCATACTATTGTGATCTGATTTTGTCTATAAAGCTTAAGTAAGAGCATTAATATTCACTCTCAAATATAACCATTTATAATTAATATCATGATAAAATTCATATTCAAATAATATTCGTAGTAATTTCTACTTAAATCCAAGGACTTACATTGCGAAGCAGAGAGACAGAATGTTGGTAGCTTGGCTGATATGAATAGTCACTATGAACACAAAATACTCCTTTTACAACTACATATGTTAGGTGTTAAGTCAGGAACACAATTAAAGAGTCATGATATAATTGCTTGGAGTCATTGCTGGAAAGAACATATTCAACATTCTCACTAAAAATAATGAATGTAATGCTTAAACTTCCTGGTAAGGCTGATTTAACTTTTATAATCAGGAAGAAAGAGAGACTCTTTTTAGTTTAGCTAGAGTTCAAAATAAAAAGACTTCATTACTGCTCAGGCAGCTGCCTAAAATGACATTTATCTGACATTTTCACCCATATATAAAGGCATCTTATGAAATAATTTTTTTAAGTAGTGAAGTTAAAGTGGTAATTATATCAGCAAAATTCTTCAAGATTACTGTTTTCTTTGAAAAATGTCACTCGGGTTATCATATATTAGATGTGAACTGTATTCTGATATTTGGTAATGTATATACCCAAATTAGCTCTCATTTTGTATCACTGAAAATACAATACCAAACAGAAAATTATTTTCGAATATCTTAGTTTTGATTTAAAAATTCTGTTAAAAAAATAGTAAATATTCAGATATTATTAGTCCATTACTTAAGACATTCCACCTGGGTGACCTGATTGTTCATAGCATAAATTATATGAGGAAAACTAAAATATAAAACCAAATGAAATCTTTCCAGTTACTTTTATAAAACTAGTATAGCCATAAATTGAAGCATGATTTAGATATTTCAGAAGAAAAGTACAGTTCATTCTCACATACCAAAGAAATAAAAAAAAAAATGCAAATCAAATTTAGCTATCTATCAAGTTAATAAGAAAATAAGCATGAGAAAAGATATTATAATAGTGAATATATATTTAAAATTAGGGTACAAATTAATATAATATTTCAAATGAAAGGATCAAAGGAGGAAAATAATAGATTATCTTTAGAGATATGAAGAATGCAAGGTCACAAATCTGGTATGGCTAGAGCCAGGATTGTAAGCAGTTTATTAAGGATTTGTTCAATGCTTTTTAAAAATGTTAGCACAATTAAGAAAGGCATGAATACTTGTGAATATTTAGAGACTCACTTAAATTAACTGAGTGAAATTGCTTACAATTTGAGGTTTCTAAGTCATCTAATTAGTCTTGGTAAGAAGCTTGTTAGTTACAATGTTTTAAAAACCAAAGGAAACCCATAGTGTAAAAGGTGACGCCTGCAAGACACATAAGTGACCTCTAAGGCCTGAATAAACTTCCCTGTGATTGATTTTTCTTCTGCAGTGTTTAAAAATGAAGATAGTCAAATAGATGAAGCGCTTACCCATTTTTGAAAACAACATACAGAACAAAACTAGAAAAAAACTTAACTCTCAAATGAAATGCGACTGGTCAACCATTTGCAACTGAAAACAAAAAGAACGCAAAACACATTAAAGGTCCACCTATCATTTAGTTGTATCTATGTATGTGTTTATTTGTTTATTTTTATTTTTAAAAAGCAGATTAGAAGTGGATAGTTGTCCAAATGAGTTGGAATTTTTTATTTACTAATACACCATCAGATCTAGCCAAAAGGAATTTAGGCAACTTTTTTGAAGTCGAGAGTTAAAGGAGTTCATTTGGTACGAATTCACACTGACCTCATTAAAAAATGCATTTTAAATAATAAATAAATAAATAAAACAAATTAAACTCAATGAGAGACTCAGGTTATCTTTGCCAGCAATCAATTATTGCTTGAGGAAATAGCATTAATAAATCCTAGATTTCTTTCTTTGAAAGTAATACTTGAGCACTGCTTTCCTGCTAAAACAGCATCTTTCAGCAGATTTTTATAGAAAAACCATACCCTCAAGAAAGCTGAACTAGAATGCTTTGTTTATTTCTAATTTTTTATTTTTCTGTGACCTATCAAAAGATGACATTGTTAAAATTAGCTTTGGCTAATGTAAGTTACAATACAAATGAGACTTTAGTCCAATGATTTTTAAATCTTTTTAAATAAGGTTTATTCACCTTCTCTTATGACCAAGTGGAAAAAACAAGATGTAATAACAAAGAATTGGGAAGTACCAGACATAAAACATTTATTGATCATTTCATAAGAAATTACATGACTTATGACTAAAAAACACAACAGATATTTTAATTTTACCAATTTTGATAGAACATGCAAAGCAATTTAAATACTTTTTTTTTTTTAATGTAGGCCCCATAAGAAAGGATCTGTAAGTAAATTTTGGGAAATCAAGTTTATATCTGTTTTAGCAAGAGTGATATAATCACTTATATTTAAAGAGTGGCATACGTGATGCACATATGTTAAAATTCAGTTACTGAGCAATTATTGGCCAAAACTTTAAACATATACATCTCTAAACATTGAAAAGTTAACCCAAATGCAGGTAAAATATTCTCCCAGGAAAAAAAGAAGGTAAGAGGCTCAGTCTAATCTCCTTGTAATATGCTAGTGATAGACCTTCTAGAATTAAAAAACTAAAAACAAACAAAAAAAAACCCAACAGTATCAAGTGGAAATTTATCTATGGAATGTTTCTAGCGTAACATATCTGGGTTGTTTAGGATTGCTTGTGTTAAAACAATCTAAATCTCTGAATTTATGAGGTATGGTTCTCTGGAAAATGCCCCATACTCCAAGCCGCCATTAGAGGATAAAATGAAGGTGTTCATGATGTAAGTAGCTCATTTCATCTATGCGATAAGGCTACACTTCTCATTTATAAACTTTATCTCTTAACTGGGGGGCCAGAACAAGTCATGAAAGAAGCAGAAGAGCTGATGAGGTAGGTTGGAATTCCAGAATGGCTCCATTGCTCTTATTTATTCCTCAAAATTATCCCAAACTTTGAAATTGTTAGCGAAAGTTTAAAATGACTAAGATCTCTCACGTGACTGACTGGACAAACTGATTCTTTGTGTTATGTTAAATGTTTACAAAGTTGCTAAATATTGTACAGCAATCAGCCTTTTCTATAGGCTACAGAGTTTTAAAAAGCAATTTACAAACACCACAGTATAGAAACAAAAAAATTTCATTTGGTAGATTACTAGAAATTAACACAGGCATAAAAAAGATTGTGTGGCATCAACCCTTGAGAGCTGAAGAAAGGATTTGCCTTTTTAAACTCTTTGCTGAGGATAACCTTTACAGCTTGTGCCTGCTGATGGGCCTCAGCAGATCACGCTTTGAAAATAAATTTTATAGTTCATTTTGAGACTCACATATTTAAATAATTTCAGAAAATTATTATTATAATTTGGGAACAAAATTAATATGACTCAAATTCTGAACTGAGTAAGATTTAAGTATCTTACCACAAATATATGAGACAACGGAGAATTAGATTTTTGACTGAGTATGTGACAATAAGTAGAACTACCCCAAAATGACTGATATCGCCAGAATAAATCAGAGAAAACCTTAATTACAGGATTTGGAAGTCATGGAAATGAATCAGACCATGATTTTATTGGCTTCATAAGATTTTATAATTAATTTTTAATCCGTTTAGTCTGTTTAGTTTAGTTTAAAACTATAACACCTGTATGTTACTTTATTTTTGTTATTGTCCCAAAATTGGTTTATTTGATTTTAAGGATACGGTTTTTTCTCTATTTTTATTGGAATTTTAAAAATGTGCTATTTTTCCTCTGTGCTCACAAAAAACTCTGTATACTTCTCTGTCTCATCAGTTGTCACCCTAAGTTTTAAGTTACTTGCCAGTATACAGGAGATATGAATCAACGTCTAACACCTAGCACTAAAGCCAGGGAAATAGCTCACAATAAGAACTGCTATGGTTTGAATATTTGTTCCCTCCAAAATTCATGTTGATTCCCAATGTAATCCCCAATGTGCTGGTATTGAGAGGTGCTATTAATCACCTTTAAGAGGTGATCAGGTCACGAGGGCAGAGCCTGGATTAATCCATTCAGGGATTAAGGGATTCATGGGCTAATGGATTAATGGATTATCGTGGGAGTGGGGCAGGTAGCTTTATAAGAAGAGGAAGAGATATCCAAGCTAGGATGCTCGGCCCCCTCACTATGTGATGTGCTGTGCCATTTCAGAGCTCTTCAGAGAGTCTCCACCAGCAAGAAGACACTCAACAGATATGGCTTCTCAGCTTTCTCAGCTTCTAGAACTTAAGAAATAAATTCATTTTCTTATAAATTTCCCAGCTTCAGAAATTCTGTTACAAGCAACAGAAAACACTAACACAGCACTCAAACAACAAAGGTAGTGATCCTAATAATTCAACCACACAAACACACACAATGTTAATATCACACTTGTCAGAAGAAATCGTAAAAGTATGATATTCACCTCAAATGTTTCTTTCAAATTACAAATAAATGTCCCTGGTTGACTGAATTTAAAAAACAAATGGAACTCTAGCTGCACGGAAGTCTGCGATGTTATTATCTTATAAAATATTGTATATAACAAATGTAAGTGATGTTATTATTTTTACCTTTTCTGTACAGGAAGACACACTTGAAAGAGTCCCTAATGACACTGAGCAACAATTCCCCATGTTTGTTACACTGGAAGTTGTTCTATCTACCTTATGCGCCTGTCTTTAATTCCTGGCATCTCACAAGTCTGAAAGACAGTTATTATCATTTATACAGGAAGAAACTAGGGCTCCTATAGGGGAAATGACTTGTTAATATCATAAGACTAGCAAAGCTTACTTACTCAATTCCTAATGCTCTTCAGAGCATATTATATCTGAACTCTATATTAAATTTGTGGTTGTTGTTTCTAAATTAGTCCTGAATTAAACTGTTTTTTATATTGTGGCAGACTAGTAGGGTCATTTGTAAAATTGTAGTTTTTATAATGAGCACAGTCATCAATTAGTATGTGAAATAAATATACTCATATTTTTATAGGGAGAGGGAGGTAGGGAGAAAGCAGTAACAAACACATGAGAAGTGTATATTGTGTATCTAATTCACAAAATTGGTAACAAATAGAAACTCCACCGGGTACAGTGGCTCATGCCTGTAATTCCAGCACTTTGGGAGGCCCAGGTGGATGGATGACCTGAGGTCAGGAGTTCTAGACCAGCCTGGTCAACATAGTGAAACCTCGTCTCTACTAAACATACAAAAATTAGCTGGGCCTGGTATGGATGCATGTAGTCCCAGCTACTCAGGAGGCTGAGGCAGGAGAATCGCTTGAACCCAGGAGGCAGAGTTTGCGGTAAGCCGATATCGCACCACTGCACTCCAGCCTGGGTGACAGAGTGATAAAGTGAGATTCAGTCTCAAAAAAAGAAAAAAAAAATAGAAAACCCGAACTGACAATTAAAAAAATTGATGGCCAACTTAGGTTTACTCATTTGCTTTTGTTATTGTTTAATTTTGTTGAGACAGGGTCTCACTCTGTTGCCCAGGCTGGAGTGCAGTGGCATAATCACTGCTCACTGTAGTCTTGAATTCCTGGGCTTAAGGGATCCTCCTGCATCAGCCTTCCAAAGTGCCGGGATTACAGGCCCAGAAGTTTATTTATTATTTTGTCCAGTTGCTTTGCATACCATATAAACAGATAATCAAACAGTGGGAGATGTTTAGTTACTTTCCTGAGATCTCAGAGCTAAGAATTTGGAGACTTTAGGTCTAATCACAAAGCCTATAGCCTCATCACAAATTCTTTTCCACTCTTACAGAGGGATTCAGAAAATAGGACCTTAAAACATAATTTTATAATTGTTTTCATTATGTATATATATATCCCTCCCATATAAAATTGTCATTACACAATGATCATAACTAAGCTGTGGAAGAAATGGTTATCATCAGTATTGGGTTAAATAGTGTTTCCCAAAATTCCTTTCTCACGTCAGGAACCTGGACCCTCAAAACATGATGTTATTTGTAAATCAGACCTTATTTGGAAAGACATAATCAGGTTAACATGAGGTCTGCATTAGAATGGAACCTAATCCAATGACTGATGTCTTTATAAAAGGAGGAAAGCTTGAACACAGGGACAGGCACAGAGGGAAGACAGATATACATGGGAGATGCCATGTGACAGCAGAAGCAGAAATTGGAGTGACGTATCTGCAAGACAAAGAACACCAACAATTGTTGGCACCCACCAGAAGATAGAAAGAGGCCAGGGAGGATGCCCGCTAGAGATTTCAGAGACAGCATGGTCCTGCCACCACCTGGATTTCAGACTTCCAGGTTGCAGAACTTTCAGAGAATACATTTCTGTTGTTTTAAGCCATTTAATTGGTGGTACTTTGTTACAGTGACTCCAGAAAACAAATAGACCATCTAATGATAACTTATACATGTAGAGAGATTAATGTATGTGTGTATATATGTGTATTATTTCTATAATTATATATAAATATATACACATTTGAATAATCTAAAATAAAAATATTGCCTTTTTATGATAGAAAAATCTGCATTATTATAGTATTTATTCATTATTTTTCTATAAAATATTTTTGAAATTGGCTTCTATAATAAAAAGCTGCAGTAATATAGTCATCATAAATTTCAGTTCATAAGATTTTAACAGTTGTTTTAAAATTTCTTAAAAATAGTAAAGCAGTTTGTACTTTAAAATAAGCATTTAGATTTAATAAGCAGGTCTTAATTTTTGGTGCCATTAATTCTCTTTATTTGTGTATTGCTTTTAAAATTGATATATAATAGTTGTACATATTTCAGGTTACATGTGATATTTTGATACCTGTATACAATGTATAATATCAAATCAGAATAAGTTGGATGGTCATCACCTCACACATTCATTTTTTTCTTAGTATTGGGAATACTAGAATTCTTCTCCTGTAGGCATTTAAAAATATACAAAAAAAAAATCATTGTTAACTATAATTTCTCTAGGGTGCTATCAAATGCTAGAACTTATTTCTTCTATCTAACTATAATTTTGTACCTGTTAACCAAAGCAAGTCTTGATTTTTTATGCCATTAATTTTTCCACATACATTTCTCATTGTAAATAGTATTAGTTTTCTATAATTAATTTCTTGAAAATATAGGTGTGAATGAAATGCAGGTTTTAAAATAAAATCTAGAAAGAAGTAGAAAATCTAAACTAGAAATGTGGACTAAAGGAATTTAGCTTGATTCCTGACAACATAAATGTGTCTTTCTGACTTAAAAGTAAGGAACTTTAAAAACTAAGAAACTTAAAAGCCTCTTAACCATGTAAGTGTTGGCATAAAACACTGCCTTCTGTGAGATGAAAAATTCATTAGATAATTAATCATTCCAATTGTTTTAGGATGAATATTCATTTTTAATGCATAATTTAAATGAAAACTACCAAATTACAGAAATAACACATGAAATCTTTGGCTTATGGGCATTTTGGGAAAGCTAAAGGATAGCAATGAACATAAAACTTCCAGAAGAGTTCACTTCAAAGGCTTTTTCCTCTCACGTTACATAATTTCTTTTTTTTCCAATTCTATTTATTTTCAGCTGGAAAAAATGAATCTGGGAAAGAAGATGAGAACAAGATTTCAGAAAGCTGTGAGAAAATAACCATGATATCATCATGCCTTTTCTGGATTAAGGTGAGAACAGAAAAATAATTTGCAGTGAATATTGAATGCTGCAGAAATGTATAGAAATAATGTGAAACTATCAAACATGAATTTTTTGTTTATTTCTTCTATTGCATAGTATATTTTTGTTGATATTCTTTTAACAAGTATGGTTAAATTACAAAATACGTAAGAAATAGTTTATCTCTCTCTCTCTCTCTCTCTCGTTGGAAATACAGAGCAAATAATACTTTTTGGCACTAGCTGGTCCATCGTTCCCAGATATTTTACTGAGTATTTTCTACGGGTAAGGCTATTCTCCTACATAAACAAGACAACTGTCAATATCAGAATATTATCTTTGATATGTTACCATTATCTAATTAGCCCAGTCTGTTTGGGTGTTTCCTGTTGCCCCAATAATGTCTAATCCAATTCAGAATTTCCTGTTACATTTAGTTGTAATGTCTCTCCAATCTCTTTTAATCGGGAATAGTTCCTTAAATTTCATGAGTTTGACACTTTCTCAGACTACAGGATAGTTTTTTTTAGAATATTTGTCTGATGTTGCCTTATGATTAGTTTCAGAGCTGCATCTTTGTCAGAAACATCACAAAAATGATGCTGTATTCCTCTCATTACATCCTATCCAATGACATACTCTTTCCAATTCTCTCATTATTGATGATGTTTATCACTTGTTTAAAATGATGTATTCTAGTCTTCTCTATATAAGATAATTCTTTCCCCCATTTAATTATGGATATTTTGTGAGAAGGTATTTCAAAATGCTGTAAATATCTTATTCTTCGTCAAAATTTTAAATTAATTTAATTTTTAATCTCTATTATACTATGGCTTCCTATTTTATTTATTGGATTATAATGTGTTACTATCATTATTTATCTAATTCTCAAGGTATGTCAGATTTGGCCAGTGGAGGCTCATTTAAACTGGCTTTTGTATTCTTTTGTATATTTCCTTTGAGCACTTTCTTGTGCTTTTGTATTCTTTTCTATACATCCTTTGAGCACTTTCTTGCCTAATGTCACAAGAATTCTAGATTAATTTTATGCTTTACCTTCACAAGCCTTCGAACCAGCCATTTCTACAATTCTTTTCGATCATTTCTTAATGAAAAAAGAGTATTTAGAAATAATATCTAAATACTGGGTGGGTTCATTGCTATTGGGTAAGCAATTGTTTCCAAAGACCACCAGTGAATAGAAGAATACATGTATTTATTTACATATATATTAGTTTATTATCTATCTCTCTATCATCCTTCTATCTATATTTCTATGTGTCCATTCATCTGTCTGTCCACTATCCAACCATCCCTCTCTCTACATTAACAACCATACATCAACACCAATACTTCAAATCTCAATCCAACACTAAAGGTTTATTCTAATTTTCTTCCTTTCCATATTTATAACTACCAACTTTGGCAGTGAGAAACATATATTTAATATTTACCTTATTTATTTTAAGTAACTCTTTTTTATGGAAATTTAATATTTACTTTATTAACTTTAACTTCTTTATATGTAATGAATGTGCATCTGCCCTGCTATCCTTTTTCTGGGGTAGACACCATCATCTCTTTGATCAAGCTCTGATACCTTGTTTTAAGCCCCTAAACTTCGTGGAAGTCCTTCTCATCCTGCTTGTTTTCTGGAATCTCATGCCAATTTGTACCTTCATGTGGCATGAAGTTTTGGTAAGAGTATAAATTGTTTATGGCCATAATCTGGCATATCTATAAGCAAACAAACTGTATTTTCCCTTGGAAATCTTTCTTGTGTTAGGAATTTAGCTTAAATAAATATTCTCACTTGTACACAAGAATGTATGTAAAACAATTTTTATAGCTTAAAAAGTACAAACTGCAAATAGCCTTCAATATGGAAAGTGGAAAGCTATATATAAAAACTCCCCTACACACACATACATATATATGTAATGCACATATGTAGATAAAAGCGTATCTCATTTTCTTGCATCTTCCTCATTGTGCTTTGCAGATATTGCATTTTTTTACACTTTATCTTAGCCAAAAGGCTGAGAAGCAACACATTTTTTACAAATTGAAGGTTTCTGGCCACACTGCATGAAGCAAATCTATCGACATAATTTTTCCAACAGTATGTGCTCCCTTCAGGTCTCTGTCACATTTTGGTAATTCTCACAATATTATATCTGTTATGGTGATGTGTCATCAGTGATCTTCGGTGTTACTATTGTAATTGTTTTTGGGTTCCATGAACTGTGCCAATGCATTAACTGGCTGTTCTCCCACTTAAGTGGGAGGGTTAAGTTCTCCCACTTAACCTCCCTCTCCTATGGCCTCTGTGTTCTCTGAGATACAACAATATCGAAATTAGGCCAAGTAATAACCTTAAAATGGCCTCTGAATGTTCAAGTGAAAGAAAGACTCACATGTCTTTTGTTTTAAATCAAAAGCTAGAAATGATTGAGCTTAGAGGAAGTTATGTCAAAAGTCATGATAGGCCTCTTGCATTAAATAGGTAGCCAAAATGTGAATGCAAAGGCAAAGTTCTTGAAGGAAATTAAAAGTGCTACTCCAGTGCACACAGAATAATAATAATAAAAAAAAACAGTCTTCTTATTGATATGGAGAAAGTTTGAGTCACCTGAATGGAAGATAAAACCAGCTATAACGCTTTCTTGAGTCAAAACCTAATCCAGACCAAGGCATTAACTTTTCAATGCTGTGAACTCTGAGAAAGGTAAGAAAGCTGCAGAAGAAAAATTGATAGCTTGCAGAGTTTGGTTCATGAGTTTTAAGGAAAGAAGTCATTTCCGTAACATAAAGGTGTAAGGTGAAGCAGCAAGTGCTGATGTAGAAGCTGCAGCAAGTCATCCAGAAGATCTAGCTAAGATAATTGAGGAAAGTGGCTACACTGAACAACAGATTTTCAATATAGACAAACAAACAGCCTTATATTGGAAGATTATACCATGTAGAACTTTCATAGCAAGAGAGGAAAAGTCAATACCTGTCTTCAAGGAAAAACAAAACAAACAAACAAAAAAACAGGCTGACTCTCTTGCTAGAGGCTAATGCATCTGGTGACCTGAAGTTGAAGCCAATGCTCCTGTACCATTCCAAAGACTCTAGAGCCCTTAAGAATTATGTTAAATTTATGCTGCCTGTGCTGTATAAATAGAATAATAAATCCTGGATAATGGCACAACAGTTTGCAGTAAACCTGTTGAGTATTTTAAGCCCACTCTTGGGACCTACTTCTCAGAACAATTATGTCTTTCAAAGTATTACTGGTCACTGATAATGCGTCTAGTCACTCAAGAGCTCTGATGAAGATGTACAAAGAGATTAATGTTTTCTGCCTGCTAACACAACATTCATTCTGCAGCCCATAGATCAAGGAGTTATTTTAACTTTGAAGTCTCATTATTTAAGAAATACATTTGGTAAGGCTAGAGCTGCCATAAAGAGTGAAACCTCTGATAGACCTTGGCTAAGTAAGTTGAAAACCTTCTGGAAAGGATACCATTCTAGATACCATTAGGAACATTCATGACTCATGGGAGGAAGTCAAAATACCAACATTAACAGGAATTTGGAAGAGGTTGATTCCAACCCTCATAAGGGGTACAAAACCTCAGTGGAGGAAATAACTGCGGATGTGGTAGAAATAGCAAGAGAACTAGAATTACAAGTGGAATCTGAATATGGGACTGATTTTTTGCAATTTCATGATAAAATTTGAAGAGATAAGGAGTTGCTTCTTATGTATGAGCATGGAAAGTGGCTTCACGGCCAGGCGCGGTGGCTCAAGCCTGTAATCCCAGCACTTTGGGAGGCCGAGGTGGGCAGATCACTTGAGGCCAGGAGTTCGAGAGCAGCCTGGCCAACATGGTGAAACTCCATGTCTACTAAAAATACAAAACCTAGGTGGGCATGGTGGCACACACCTGTAATCCCAGCCACTCGAGAGGCTGAGGCAGGAGAATTGCTTGAACATGAGAGGCAGAGGTTGCAGTGAGCCGAGATCGTGCCACTGCACTCCAGCCTGGGCGATAGAGTGAGACTTTATCTCAAAGAACAAACAACAACAACAAAAAAAGTGGCTTCTGAGATGGAATCTACTCCAAGTGAAGATGCCGTAAACATGGTTGAAATGACAGCAAAGTATTTAGAATATTCTATAAATGTAGTTAAGCAGCTGCATGGTGTGAAAGGATTGTCTTCAATTTAGAAAGAAGTTCTACAATGGGATAAATGCAGGCATGAAAACAAACAGCATCGCATGCTACAGAAAAATTTTCTGTGAAAGGAAGAATCAATCAACGTAACAAAACTCCACTGTTGTTGTATTTTAAGAAATTATTACAGGTACCATTAACTTCAGCAGTTACCACCCTGATCAGTCAGCAGCCATCAGCATGGAAGCAAGACCCTCCACAAACAAGAAGATAACAACTCTCTGAAGGCTCAGATTGTTAGCATCTTTTAGCAATAAATTCTTTTTAATTAAGATATGTACAGTGTTTTTAGACACAATGCTATGGTACACTAAATATACTACGATATAGTATAAATACAACATTTATATATACTACAAAATAAAAATTTGAGTGACTACTTTATAGAGATATTTACTTTATTGCATGCTCTAGAAACAAACCTGCAATATTTCTGAGGTATGAGGTTATGTATGTAAACACACACACATGCACATACATACATATATTAATTGACCATAAACACCCCTTAAGATAGTGATAAAGTCAGTAAAGATGTAAATAGAAATAGAAATAGAATAACTATAAACAATGACAACTGCAAACAAATTAAAACGTACGTAGATAGATATGTAGATAGATATGAGAGCATCAAACTGAAAACATATTATGCTAGGAGAATATTCGCAAATTCATACAGATATAATTTTGATAGACATGTAAAGCATTCATTTCTATTTTAGCCAGATTGAACCTCTTCTTGTTGTCTTTACTTCTCGACCTTTGCCGACTCATACCCTCCTTCTGTCTGGATCACACTGTGTATTCCAGTCTTCCTCTCCCCCTCCCCACCAGCCAAGGAATCCCAGGAGAATTTGCCAACTTGGCAGAATCTTTCACCACGTTATTTAACCTGGATTTGTTCCACCTGAAAATATCAAGTGCTCTAAAAAGTTGCCTTTTTTTCTAATGTAAACAAGCAATGTAAGGCATTTCTAGAAAATTACCTTGTAATTATCTAGAATCGGTTCAACTTGAACTAATTATAGCACAAGAAGATTCCCTTTCTGAGACCATATTTTCATTGTAAAGACCCTTTTCATCCTTAACCCATCATCCAGGGACAAGGGCACAAGCAGCATTAGGGGAAGCTAAACTTGCATCAGACTCTCTTGTGCTGGCAGGATTCTATATTGATTGACTGCATAGTGTTTGGTAAGTTCTTAGTCACATTGTGTAAATAAGTAAAACAAAATAACTAATATGCATCCAGCAGAATGTAGTGCATATAACACCCTGCATTTATTTATTCTTTGATGCTTATTTAAGTACTGCTTTAGCTCCAGGAGTTGGCAGAATGGCTACTTGAGGAAGATATTCTAGAAGCCCAGAATTACCTGGATGCCACATTACACCAAAACTTTTCCTTTTTGAGTTTTAAAATGTGGAGTGGCAAGCTCTACAGAAAATCTTGGCCAGATTCAAAACATAACATATTTATTCTAATATGCAATCCTCTCCTTCACTCTCCTTTCAAATTTCTTTAGCATATAAGGACATCTGTTTTCCACCCAAGAAAATTTAATATTATAATTAACTATAGTTTTAGCAGTTCGGTGAAATATAACTTTCTCGGATGTCTCTATAATTGAAAAAAAAATTCTATTTAAGTCTCTTATTCCACCCATTGGGCAAAATTCACTTGAGACTATTCAGGGAAATTTCATTCATTTAAAGGCTCTTCTTCTTTCTGCTCAAGGATGTGACTACATTTCCTGGGATGTATTGGTTTAAGTATTGATCTGGTGGGTTTTGGAGGGAGGAAGTTCCTGGTTTCATTCATGATCATCCTCAAAGATGTGCACATTAGGACAGACTCAGTTTCATCCATCTGATCATTGTGGTTCCATGTAGGTAATTACAGTGTATTATTTGTCCTGACCAAAATATATATATATACAACACCAGATTTCAGTGTCTTTTAGCTCCTCATTGCTGTTTGTGTGCCACAGGAAGCATATAACTACACTGGAATTCTGAGGCTATGCCAAGCCCACCGGCCATCATTGCCACCTTTCCCATTCAGTGGTTTCCAGGGCCTTCACACATATGATGAGGAGCTAATCTTTCTAATGCTTAGAAAAATAAGACACATTGAGGAAATCTGTTTTCTACAACTTTCCAGCAGAATGTTAGTGGGGAGGAGAGCACAGGGTTTATTTTCAGAGTCATCAACCAATATGTAATACTCTGGGTTCTATTAATACTCTTTATCTTCCCCCAGGCTATGCTAATTTCAACTAGTTACGGTAGTGGGAGAGGAAGCTCCATGTCTGAGAGATTACAGCCTGTTCTCCATCAACGTGTAACCCCAGGTTTTAAGGTCAAGAAAAACAAAAGTCAAGGATGTTATTATGTTCTTCTAAGTCTTTCTCTTTGGCAAAGAATAATATCTTTCAGAGTTGCCACTGGCAGGAAGGAGGGTCCATTGCAGAGTAAAGAGAAAAATTCCAACAGGTAATATTTTAATATCTTGCTTCACACTTGGCCAGTAGAAAACTTTTCCCCTTGTTGCCCTTTAAGACTGTGTTTGTGTATATCCTCAAAGCTACTAAAAAATGAAAACAAAAACAAAAAACTGGAGACTGTGATTTGCAGCTTTCAACCTAAAAATGCTAGAAAAGGGGCCAATACTGGGTCTTACTCTGGAAAGTTAAAAAATATCTTGAAAGCCACATTCCTCCTCTCCACCAAACTACCTGACTCCTACCACAGGGGCTGTGGTAGTGATGACAGATGAATAATGAAACCAATACTTTCATAAAGAGTTTTTAAAAATATGCTGATCCCAGGACAACTAAGAATTACATTATTATAATATTCAGAAAAGAGGCAGGCTAGTCTTTATATTTAATAAGAAATTCAGATGATTCTTTTCTTCCATTTGGAATATTCTACTCTACATGTATATTTTAGATGAGATTTTAAAAACTGACTTTCAAGTATGAAAAATAAGATAACATCCAGCAGAGAAGGCTTATTTCAAGCCCAATTTGGATTATATAAAAAAATCCCTCAGAGGGATTATTATAACGGATTTCAGAAAATATTAGTAATTCCATTCCTATGTTTACACACTAAAGAAAATAGCATAATAGCATCGATCAATGTCCCTAAAAGTTTACATTCTAAGCTCCACAGGATCACCCGTATTTCAAGAGATTACTTCAGTCTTTTTACTTCGGATATCTAACAATAAGTACTCTAGAGCAATCACGAAAATAGACTTTAAAGATTTATTTTAACATATTTTATAATCTTTGGGAGCAAATGCTTCCTATTTTAAAAGATTAGCATATTTAAACATATAAGCTCTATAACTTTCTTTTGACAGAAAAGTTAAAAATATAAAGGACAAATTAAAAATTGCAAAACAATATTCATAATATGTGTGCCAGACTTTTAAAAGTCGAAATATAAAATTATTGACTTTATAAGTTAATAATTTTAAAAGGTCTACAGCCCAATAGGATAAAAGAGAGAATTTTGGCTGGGTGCGGTGGCTCACGCCTGTAATCCCAGCACTTTGGGAGGCCGAGGTGGGTGGATCACTAGGTCAGGAGTTCGAGACCAGCCTGGCCATCATGGTGAAATCCCATCTCTACTAAAAATACAAAAAAAAATTAGCCGGGCATGGTGGCGGGTGCCTATAGTCCCAGCTACTCGGGAGGCTGAGGCAGGAGAATGGCGTGAAACCGGGAGGCGGAGCTTGCAGTGACCCGAGATCGCCCCACTGCACTCCAGCCTGGGCAACAGAGCAAGACACCGTCAAAAAAGAAAAAAAAAAAAGATAGAATTTTGAACCGTTAATCTCTGATGGCAACCACTAGAAACTGTGAGTGGTCATGTAATCTAAGGGAATGCCAGGCACCTAGGTTTGAAATGGAGATACCTGGGAGCTCCAGAGATGTGGAAATAAGAGAAAGAGGTAGAGAAAGAGTGAGGGCAGGACATAACTAGAATGAATGAATTGCAATGATTTTGTTAGTCCCTTTTTTAGTGTGCTCCAGGTTCGCATTTTAGTCGAGGAGTTTATGATTGGCTCACTTGTCTAAGCCTTGAATAGGAATGGGCTCAGCAGCTGATTAAACTATTACCTGATAAGGAAAAGGACTAATCTCCAGAGGTTAATCAGGAAGATGACTGGAAACAGAAATTAATGCCAGGCAACCAAAAGTTACAAGTTTTCTGCCAAGGACACAAACATTTCATGAAGGAATAAATGCAAGGAGCCAATAAAGTAACAAAAAATGTTCCAGTACTTGGCTCAAAGAAATAAAGAATTTCAACACAATATTTTTGATACTTGAAATTGTAACATATAGAAAATATTAAAAATACTTCCCAGGGCAACAAATGGGTGCTCTCTTAAATTGTACATGGAATATAAAATACTAAAAACTTTTTAAGTCCAATCTAAGTAAATTTAAATGTGCATACTATTTTATTCAACAATATTATTTCTAGTATAGAATTAAAATGGAATTATTTAAAAACTGTAAGGAAAGAAAGAAAAAGAGAAAGAGAAAGGAAGGAAAGAGAGAGAGAGAAAGAAAGAAAGAAAAAGTGAAAGAAAGAGAAAGAAAGAGAAAGACAGGGAGAGAAGGAAGGAGGATGGGGAAGAAGAGGGGATATGAGTAATAAAAATTAAACTGAAATTTCTAACAACGATTAATTTATTAAATAATATTGTTTAAGGAATTCTTAGGGGTTATTAAAATTAATGTATTCAACAAATATCTATTGAAATTTTCCTAAATCAGACAAGGTACTAATGAATTAATGCTATCCTACATCTATTGACATGGAAAGGTACACATTATATATCTGTATTTATGTATCTGTCTATCTATCTATCTATCTAGTAGATATATATATATATATTTCTTTTTTATTCATTTTTTACTCATAATATATTTTTAAGTATAAAAATTAGTGACAAATAGTAGGCATAGTATGATTTAATTTATGACAAAAATATACAGCTTTGATTTACACAGACACACACAGCTTTGCATGGATTATTTGTACACGCTGAGATGCTGCTACTTTTTATTTTCTTTTTTATGTGATGCCAATTTTCTTTTCAATCAGGCTCACCATTCTGCCTTGTACCTCCTGGGAGACATGTTATGTGCTAGTTTCTTGTATTTACCTCCTCGTCTACTCTGTTTGGCTTTGAGTATTCATACAATCTTGAGAAATGGCATTCAGAGTTTTGAGGGGCATGAGAATCAGGCAAGTTTTGCCTACAGTTAGAATTTGTAAATGAGCCCCAAAAGCCTGACAAAAGCCTGAACTCATATAGGTTTTGAATAAAATTTATTTTACTCTTTTTTTTTTTTTTTTTTGCTTTACTCTTCTCCCCTGACGTTTTGGTTGCCTTCCCTTTGAAACCTCCCTTCTTTCTTCTAATTTTTTTCTTACATATTTATTCACTTCACACTTCATTCTCCCTGTTTTTTTTTCTTTACCCGTATTCCTTAACCTGCAGTAATCCTATTCAAATATTGCATCAAATTACAAAAATTAAGATCATTTTATATCACATAGACTTTGCAAGTGTGTTTTTCTCTAATGTAACTATTGTTTAGAAATACACTCACAAGGGCCAGGCACGGTGCTCACTCCTGTAATCCCAGCACTTTGGGAGGCCGAGGCAGATGGATCACCTGAGGTCAGGAGTTTGAGACGAGCCTGACCAACATGGTAAAACCCCATCTCTGTTAAATCCAAAAACATAGCTGGGCATGGTGGCACATGCTTGTAATCCCAGCTACTTGGGAGGTTGAGGCAGGAGAATTGCTTGAACCTGGGAGGCAGAGGTTGCAATGAACCAAGATTGCACCATTGCACTCCAGCCTGGCTAACAAGAGCAAAACTCTGTCTCAAAAAAAAAAAAATATATATATATATATATATACTTACACGTATTACATGACATTCAGGAAGGCCAAACATCAGGTGCTTCAGCAGACTGTTCAGGTTCCACTTGTGGAAAAAAAAAATGAAAGAAAAAATACTGAGGCTTTTGACCACTCTTATATTTTGACAGCAACTTGAGCTTGCAGAATCAAAATAAAATGATTTATAATATAAGTCCATGTGGGTAGGGTAGAGGAAATGCTGCTCTCTTAGCATGTTAAGGTAAGAGATTGGTATGTACAAAACCAAGATAGAACTAATTTTTTAAAGAGAAATATGAGCTTCTCATTTAGGTCAAAAGATGAGGGGGGCAGATTTTCCATAAATAAAATTAGTCTTTAAAGAGTAAAAAAATCTGATTCAGATTTTTTAATTGTCTATATTTAAGGTGTACAAAATGCTGTTTCAGTAGAGATATACATAGTGCAAATAATTACTACAGTCAAACAAATTAACAGATCCATCACTTTCCATAGTTACCATTTTTGTTTTAGAGGCAGAGTTTCTCTGTTGCCCAGGCTGGAGTGGGGTGATGTAATCATAGCTTGATGCCATCTCAAACTCCTAAGCTCAAGAGATCCTCCAGCCTCAGGCTCCCAAGTAACTAAGACTACAGGCACATGCCACCACACCTGGCTAATTTTTTAATTTATTCTTTGTAGAGATGGATCTCATTTTGTTGCCCAGGCTGGTCTTGAACTCCTGGCCTTACGCTATCCTCCCACTTTAGCCTCCCAAAGTGCTGGAATTACAGGCATGAGTCACTGTGCTCAGCCCATAGTCACCATTTTTATGTATGGTAATATCTCTAATAAATTTCAGCATAAATATAATACAATATTACAGATTTAAATACTCAAAGAGGGAGAGCACCCAGAGCAGAAAGGCTCATATTTTTTCCCTGGATCATTCATGGATAGCCACAGAGATTGCTGGAGTCAGGAGCAGCAGAAAAGGAGCTGGAGCCCATCTCTCCCACATGGAAAGCAAGAGGCATGGCTGGGCAGGGAAAAACTGCCTTACTTCTCAGTCCCACCAGCCTGGGAACACTTCTTCTCTTGGAACTTTTTCTAATACTTTGTTGCTTTTATAAAAACTGAGGCTTGGTTAATGGATCTTATTCCCCAAGCTCAAAAGATGATGTAAGCCATGTCCACTATCTAGCCATTCACCTCTACACACCAATATGCTCCAGATGCCAACACACACCCCTTTCATTAGTCCTTTATGTTAAATTTGCAATTCACTGGAAAAAGATGATGGAGACTAATTAAATTACTTCATTAGGGAAAGGTAACTGACAGTGAGGAAGGGCATGTGTTGGGCACTCTGGAGAGTCAAGTTTAGTTGAAGGGCATTGGGATGTGAGAGATGAGGAGAGAGTGAGAAAATAAGACAAAGCCGGCAAGTTTTTTGAAGACACTGAAAAAGTCTATGGAGTGTTCATTGAGCATCTCAAAAAAAAAAAAAAAATGAAGCTGAGACAGTGGTCTCCTGGTGTTATGAGAGGGAACAAGACAGCTAGAATAAAGTTGCCACTTCATTATTGCTTACCCCACCCCCAAATACAAATTATTGTATTAAATCTTTTTCATTTGAGGCATCAACTGTGGTTCATGTTTTTTGTTTGTTTGAGACGGAGTCTCTGTTACCCAGGCTTGCGTGCAGTGTCACAAACTCAGCTCATTGAAACTACTGCCTCCCAGGTTCAACCTTCTCCTCCCTCAGCCTCCTGAGTACCTGGGATTACAGGTGCCTGCCACCATGCCAGGATATTTTTTGTTTTCTTTTGTATTTTTAGTAGAGATAGGGTTGCACTATGTTGGCCAGTCTGGTCTTGAACCCCTGACCACAAGTGATCTGCCTGCCTCAGCCTCCTAAAGTGCTGGAATTAAAGACATGAGCCACTGCACCTGGCAGGTTCATGTTTTTTAACTGGTACATAGTCTCCTTGTGGAGACCGATGTCAAACAAATAGACACCAAAATAAATGTAATCATACATTTTAAAAAATAAAACAGAAAAGAAAATAACTAAAAAAAAAACTAAGAAGGGGATCTACTTTAGGTCATGGGAGGGGCAGAACACATTTTGATGCAAAATCTCTTGTAGGCTTCAATGGCTAGTCCTCAGTCAATGGCTCCTCAATATTTATTACTTGCTCTGACAACTTCCTCATGAACTAAACTTTGTCTCTCTCTTATTTCCTGGGTATCTTCACCTGCTTTTATCTAAAATTTAACATGTTCAAAAATCTTATCCCCTTCCCATATATTTTAGTCCTTTTGTTACTACTATAATAGAATACTACAAACTGGATAGTTTATATTAAAAAGAAACTTATTAACTCACAGTTCTGGAGACTGGAAGTCAAATATCAAGGTACTGGTGTCTTGCAAGGGCCTTCTTGTTATGTCGTAACATGACAGAAGAAAAGAGGGAAAAAAGAAAGAGAGCCCATGACTAAAAACTCTCTTATTAAGGCATTGAATGCACCCATGAGGCTGGAGTCCTCATGGCCTAATTACCCGTTAAATGTCACACCTCTTAATATTGCTACAATGATGATTAAATTTCAACATGAGTTTTTGAGGGAACAAACATTCAAACCACAGCATCCTACAAATCATCTTCTCTTCTTTGTTGGTCCCTCTCCCATATTTGTGCCATTTCAATTTCTGCATTGTCTTAGAAAGCCAAAAATTTTAATTCATTTTTCACTATTAGACAAATTTGGGTTACTACTATTGCTAGAAACCACAAATAAATCTGGTTTCTAACTCTTCCCAACTCAGTTCATCCTAACTACTCAGCTAAGTAGATGCTTACCCACATTCTGGCTGTGATACTCCCTGTTCGAAAAGCTTTAGTGGCTATCAACCAAAACTCTAACATCCAACATCACTTATGAATTACTTATAAATATTTTTTTAATTTAATTCCACAAGTCCTCTATGATCTAACCATATTGGACTACTTGTAGTTTGTCACATGTGCTCTAAAGCTTTCTGCCTGCCTGATTTTTGCTTAGTTTTATCTCTCCAAGGAACATATCCTACTTTTTACCTTTTTTGCTTCCTTATCCCCATTTTCTATCATTATCTTAAATTTCATATCATCTATAAAGGAATTCCTTGTGCCTCTTGATAATAAAATTTCTCTGTTAAAGCTTTTTTTGTGTTTTTTTCTTTGTACAATTTACATGGAATTTTTCATATGCTTTTTATGTGATTTTGACATTCTCTCATTCCTCCTTGACTTTTGGAAATCTCTTACTTATCTGTTTGTTTCTTAGTGCATATAGTGGGTGCTCAGAAGTGCATCAAAATCCCTCAAGGACGTTTAATAACATGGGCAGCAGAATTACAAAAGGCAGCATCCAGAAAGTAATACAGAGTGGAAATTCACCTTAACTTGAAAAGCCTTGCATTCAAAGAGAATTCAACAACATACTTGTGTAGTGGAACTTGTAAAATGTTTTTGTCCCAGAGCAAGCTTAATGATTAAGCACTTGGCACTTCAGAACTGCATCATTGCACATGCTGGAACTAAGCCAGGGAATCAGTTAAGCAGATCTTCAGTTCAACCTTGCTATAGTCTCCGAGATCATTTGACAAGTTGAGAACTTCCCCAGGTTGATCTATTTCACCTATAGTAATGACTGGAGAAATACAGTAAGCACAGAATAGAACATATAGCAGAATTCTATTCCCAGAGACCTTTTATTATCCTTCTTTGTCATTGAGTTCTACTTGCACAATAAAATCTGTTATTTCACTCCTCATCAAGTAATGTTTTACACACTTATATAAATATGGTCCAAACCTCTTCAAAGAACAGCCAGTACTTACAAATGAAATTTTCATCAGATCAATTTCTTATTTCAAAATAGAAAGATAGTAATCTACATGTACTAGTGAAAAAAAAGACGATTGAAAAAGTACTGAATGATGATGTTCATCTTTGATAGTTTGCTGGATTTAACAGAAGACTTATAAATGGCAAAGCATTTGATCAGATTGGGTAGAGGGTAAAACTTGAGTTTTTTAATTCTTCTACCAATTGAGTAAGATGAGTTGGTAGAAATTAATCGTCTTAGTTTTTATGTCATTAGATTTCAACAGACTGAATTTCCTCTGACAAGGAAGGTACTATGCAATGTGCAATAATCTTTTAAATGTAATCATAACCTGGCATTGATAAAATATTCTCTGAAAACAAAAGTCACACCTCAGTCTTTGGTTTCAACAGCAGCATATAAGAATTCTCTTGGCAAGAATGACAGAAAAAAGATTTTCTATTCAATTTAGTCAAAAGCCTTTCAATTCATTTATCTTACTTATTAACAGTTTCTCTTCATTCGGCTTTTAATACATTTTGTGTAAGAAAAGTGAATCAAAAAGTAAATACATGATCTTTAATAATAACAATTACACAGAAATGTATGCAGTGAGTGGATGATGGTTTTCCAGGCTAATAGTATAAAAATAATTCAAAAAAAGAAATTGAATAGTAGGAAAAGAATTTAAAAATAAAACAGGACAGGCAACTATCTTTCATCACTTAATTTAATTCATAAAGATGATATCTTCTCTTATAAGTATGTCCATTGACTCTGTGAAGCTCAGGGAACATCTCAGCTCTGAAAATGGCATTTTATTAATATGAAGTAAATTTAATCACATATTTATAAAAAAGGCAAAGCTCTCCTGGCTTTCCAAGTGGGCCTGGAAATATTTTTTAAATGCATTTTCTAAGAGTCACATATGGACAAGAGATGAGGACCTCAAAAGAGGAACAGAGCAGAAAAGTGAACATAGCCCTGAATGAGATTAGAATCAACTTTACTAGGTGTTAGTAACCTTTCTGTCAAGGAGAAAGTGATTTATCCTAAACATGAATATTTTCAGCCATGAATTGACATCTTCACACATTCATTAGCAAATCATTTGATGGTTTATTTTACATTCTTACTCATTTATGTCTTCATATTCACATGAATTGGCATTGCAATTAAAATGCAAGTTGATTAAGGGCAAATATCATATCTCATTTTGATCTTTACCGAATATAGTATTATGTTTGAAAAATAGTGGGTGATCCAGTAGTTTAGAAGGCAATAGAAATTGCAGTGTTACCTTAGGCAGTTTACTCAATGCCTGCTGGGAAGTTTGCTGACCTTTTTCTTTCTTTTCAATCTATATGTCTATTGTTATGATAACACATTCCACCTAGTTTATGTTGAGTAAAAAAGAAATTAACCAACTAGAACAGGTCAATTACTTCTTTATCCTTTTAAGATAGAATGTCTCCAAAATGTCTTCTTCCTCAAATATACAAAATGCTGAAAAAAAAAAAAGATTGAGAATTTTACAGTTTTGAGAGTGATAGTGAAGATTGTGTCTTAAATCTTCTATATCCAGTCAAAATATACTTTTGGTATAAAAGCAACAGAAATCTAGTGCTAGATATTAAGAAAACTAACAAGGTTACTTCATAGGGATTTTTCATTTTACATTAAAATATGAGAAATGTATAATTATGTATAAGGAGAATGTAATGAAATAAAAATAATAAAACAAAAATGCTTTTGCAAATATAATCAGGATAAAAATATACAGGTACACATAGTTTCAGGAATTAAAATAAATTAAATAGAAATACAGAATATTAACATTTTAATACTATATATATATATTATTTTAAAAACTGGAAAACAACAATTAAATAAAAAATGTCTTGGAAAATGCTAACTACCAAATTGGAGCAAGGAGAAATTGAACTAAGTTAGGACCTATTACCAAAAACCACATTGTTCATATGGTTTAATTGGTGACTTCTACTTTTATCAGGAACTTATATATTTTCATTTCATTTAAATTAGTTTAGAGTGTACAAAAAGATGACAAAGCTTTGTTTTTTGAGAATGACCATCAAGACACCCTGAATGGTCCTTTTGCTAAAAACAAAACAAACAAAATGAAAACCTTAAAAGTGTTAAAACTCACACAAACACACATGCACACAGACATACACATCACATATCCATAGTAGAGCTACAAGGAAATACAGAACCTTTAGAGGCCAAAATAAACTGAAAGTAGGAATCCTGGGGTAGAAGTGAAGGTATTTATATACGAGTGATGGCTTGGAGCTTATATTTTGTTGGCTTCCCAGAGTACAAATGGGCCATCAGCGTTAAAGTTTAGGGCCCACATTAGGAAACCAGTGTTATAAAAGATGTATGCATAAAATGGAATCCCAAAGGGTCATACCTTCTGTGTAAGGCAGAAAGAAAGAAATATATCATGTAGAGGGGACACCAAAGAAACTCACTTCTTTCAACTTTGGTACTGAATGAAGAGCAAAAATGTCTATCCTCGGAATTTATAATTATAAGCCTGTCTTCAAGTAGGTTTACAGGCTTTCAACCTAAACAACAGAGAGGAAGACTCTCTAAAAGAAAATAACATTTATTAGGGAAGAGGTATTGCAAGGGAAATATGTGTGCCGTAATAAACTATGTGCATATTCAAGAAGGTAAAGGAAGACAAAGGTTTTTAGAGGAAACAGAGAGAGGATTACATAATTGTTTTGAGATAACTATCCTTGGCTACAAGGATCAATAACAAGGGTGATGCCAGTCTGAAGCTGGACAGACAGTTGCTGAGCAGATGTCTTTGCAGAAGTATTCTTTTGTGTAAGGTTGTGATGGTCTTTGTGCAAGGCTGTGGTTTTTCAGTCTTTTGCGATAGTTCTTGTTATCGAGAATTTGTGCTTGAGACCCTTCTCTTCATGGCATTCCTAGGCTTGATTTGTCAGGGTTTTTAACTCAAGTGACTCCATTTTAATTTTGACAACTTTCACAAGACTAATTTAAAATCACCTGTATTAGCCACAAATCCTTGTAATCAAGAGGAAGACTTCAGTCTCAATGTTTGAGTAAAGATAGCTTTCAAACTAATACCTCTCCCTCTTTTTCATCACATTTGGGAATCTGATTTAAAATAAAATAAACATTCATGACCTTACCTTAAGGTCAGTGGGAAGTTTTAACTATGCAAACCCCATCCCTCAAGTGGAAATGTGCACCCTGGCCCACCTTCCAACCACATTCTTATTTCCAGTCTTGCTTTATTTACTCTTGCCACCTGGACCAGCCTGCACCTACTCTGCTCACTCTAGAAAAACCTATGGCATGAGTAACAACTATTTCCCTATGCTGTTAGTGGATGTGGTGTCATCAGTCTTCATGACATCCAAACTATTCTATTGGGAATGTGTCCTTCCCATCCTCCATAGAGTGACTATAAAACATTTACTTTGAAAGCTACAGGAATACCTTGAAGATACTGCTGGTTCAGTCACAGACTACTGCAATGAAATGAATATTGCAGTAGAAATTCACACACAAATTTTTGTTTCCTAGTACATTTAAAAGTTATGCAAATAATTTGTATAGGAGGCAGGGAAATAACTAGGCAGAAAAAAGAGGGGTCCCTGGTGAAGCCTCACACTCAAGCCTGGACCCCCAGCCCAAAGTGAAAGCATGAATTCCTGTTTTCCCACAGAATGTTGCCTTTTCCAAAACCACCCTGGGCTGCCAAGTCCCCCAACCTGTACCCATAAAAACCCCAGGCTCCACAGGCAGCAAAGCGGCAGAGCAGTGGAGCAGCAGAGAAGGAGAGAAGAGAAGAAGCACCTGAAAGTCCAGAAAAGCAGCAGCTGGACATCGGAGACAATGATCGGAGAGGAGTTCGGTTGGGGATGGTCGAAACTCAGGCGAAGATTACCTTCCCGCTCCATCCCCTTCCCAGTGCCTCCTTCCTGCTGGAAACAACTTCTATAGGCAATAAAATCTTCTGCATTCACCACCCTCCTATTTGTCCATGCATCCTCACTCCTCCTGGGTGCCGACAAGGACCCAGTTTCAGGTGCAAAAGACTGTCACACTGAGCCTCTGCTGAGCTGTTTAATACTTAAGCCATCCACGGATGGCGAAGCTAAAAGAGTGCACTGTAACACATGCCCTCTGGGACTCTGGGAGTAACTGGCAACCCATAGATGCTGCTGCAGGCCCGTAGAGTTCTGTTCCTGCCAGTTTCCCAGAAGCACACATCCTGGCCTCTGCACCCGCTCATCTGTGTGCTCTCCCTCCAGCAAGGGGTTGAGAGCTGTGGGATGAGTAAGAGCTATGGCATGAGTAGTCACCCTTTCATGAGTCCTGCAAAGGGGTCAAGGCAACTATCGCATTTCACTTACACAAGGCTGTAGTGTATTAAGTATGCAATAGCATTTTGTCTAAAAATATACTTACATTAGTTAAAATATTTTATTGCTAAAAAATGCTAACAATCATCTGAGCCTTTAACAAATCATACTCTTTTTGCTGGTAGAGGGTCTTACCTTCATCTTGATGTGACTGATCAGAGTGGTGACGACTGAAGTTGGGTGGCTGTCGCAATTTCTTATAATAAAACAAGGGTCAAGTTTGCTGCATCAGTTGATTCTTCCACAAAAGATTTTCCTGTACCATGCTATGCTACTTGATAGCATTTGACTCACAGAACTCTTTTTAAAATTGGAGTCAAGACCCTCAAGCCCTGCCACTGCTTGATCAATTAAGTTTATGGAATATTCTAAATCTTTTATTGTCATTTCAACAATCTAGCTATGAAAGTTCTACCTGTTATGCTCTTCCAAGATAAGGCTGTTTTGTCTACATTGAAAAGTTCTTGTTTAGTGTAGCCACTTTCTGCAGTTGTCTCAGCTAGACCCCCTGGATAACTCGCTACAGCTTCTCCATCAGCATTTACTGTTTCATCATGCATTTTTATATTATGGGGATGACTTCTTTTCTTAAACCTTATGAACAACCTCTGCTAGCTATTAACATTTCTACTGCAGCTTTCTTACCCTTCTCAGCTTTCATAGAATTGAAGAGAATTAGTTCCTTAGTCTGCATTAGGCTTTGGCTTAAAAGAATATTGTGGCTGGTTTGATTTTCCATCTATACCAGTCTAACTTTCTCTATACTGGCAAGAAGGCTGTTTCACTTTCTTATCATTCATGTGTTCACTGGAGTAGCACTTTTAATTTTCTTCAAGAACTTTTCCTTTGCCTTCACAGCTTGGCAAACTGTTTAGTTCAAGAGCTCTACCTTTTGACCTATCTCAGCTTTCACTACGCCTTCCTCATTAAGCTTTATCATTTCTAGCTTTTGACTTAAAATGGCAAAGTGTGACCCTATTTTTGTCTAGAACACTTAATTGGCCTAATTTTAATATCGCTATGCCTCAACAAATAGAGTGGCCCCAGCAAAAAGAGAGAGACAGGGAGCAGCCAGTTCATATATGGGTGTGGTTCATGGTGCCCCCAAACAATTACAATAACAACATCAAAGACCACACCACAACAGATATTGTAATAATGAAAAAGTTTGAAATATTGTATGAATTGCCAAAATGTCACACAGAGATGAAGTAAGCATGTGTTTTTGCAGAAATGGCCCCAATAGACTTGTCAGACTCAGGGTTACCACAAGTCTTCAATTTGTAAAAAAGAAAAAAAAAAGTAAAGTGAATAAAAGGAGGTTTGCCTTTACAATCGAATGATACACTTTAATAAATTACTGCAGTGAATTCTGTCATGATGCACCAGATTCCATTTATAAGGCTGGTGTATCCAGATGCTGTAATTGTGGCTGCTGAGTTCACAGCTCTTTTCCACAGAGTAGGCCCGAGTGAAATGGGAGCCTCCTGCCTGGGAAATTTTGTCCCCTTAGTAAGCACCTCACCATAAATGATTCTGGAGTGTAAGAGCTACCACCCTTGTTTCAAGGTGTTGCTAATTACGATACATTTCTCTCTCGAGAGCTCCCTACACCATCAAGATAACATCTATATTATATTCTAGGTGAAACCATATTTTTGCCTTCCTTTCCCGTGTTCTGTATGTCACACTCACTTTCTCGTAAAATAATCCCTTAAATTACAAGCACATAAATTTCCATCTTAGGAGCTACTTCTATGGAACATGGCCTAAGACAGTTATGTATAAGTGAGGATGAAAACAAATTGAAAATGAGAAAGACAGAAGCTGATTTTCCGAAGATACCTGCTAAACACATAATTTTGAAACCATGAAATTATTTTGCATAATTATAAAACAAAATTAACTCAGTTGCAACCCTCAGAAAATTTGATTCAAAATGAGACAAATAAACAAATGAATAAATGTCTATCCAGTTATTAGATATAACTACACAGGAGGAACTGCTTTAAGTTACATCAAAATGCTGCAATTTGTCTGTATATGTTTAGTGGGATATAGTCTAAGGGTAAAAAGAACTGAAAAAAACAAAGCTTAAGCTGCATGTTTTTGTTTTTTTCCATTTTTTGTTTGTTTGTTTGTTTGGCTGGTTGGTTTGTTTTTTTGAGACAGAGTCTTGCTCTGTCACCCAAGCTAGAATGCAGTGGCCCGATCTCGGGTGACTGCAACCTCTCCCCCCTGGGTTCAAGCTGCTCTCCTGCCTCAGCCACCAGAGTAGCTGGGATTACAGGCATGTGCCACCACACTTGGCTAATTTCTGTATTTTTAGTAGAGATGTGGTTTCTTTTTGTCGGCCAGGCTGTTCTCAAACTCCTGGCCTCAGGAGATCCACCCGCCTCAGCCTCCCAAAGTGCTGGGATTACAGGCTTGAGCCACCCCGCCCAGCCATGTTTTTAATAACCACACTTTTGAAGGAGTCTTGGTATTGCTGTTCATGACTACTTTATATGTGTATTTTAGGATAGAACAAATACAAAATTGTATTGGTAATGTTAAAGGCCAATGTTTTTAATATAGAAAAAAGGAGAAGATATGCTTTAGCCCTAAAAACAAAATTAGAAGTAGCCTCTCATAGCCACTGAAAAAGTCCAGAATCAAGCAAATGGGACACCATGCTGTGCTCTCTAATACCTTACCATTTTCTTTAAAAGGCTTTAAAAAGGAACCAAGGCTTCTAGTGAAATGGCTGATTCCAGATTTAGGGTAGGAAATGCACAAGGCGAGTCTGCATCAACTTGTAATATATAAAGCAGAAAAGCTACCACCGACAACAAGGATCATATAAAATAGTTACCTAAGCCAACTTGGATAGTTTCCTGGAAGACAAAACTTTGTTATATCCATGAATTAACACTACTTAAAAATGAAATGTATTTAGGTGTGTTTATGTGTGTATCTATGTCTTTAGAATCTATCTAAAATTTTTGGAGGATGCTAGGGAACTTATTATTTTGAAAACTGGTATATAGAGAAAAAATTCAACTTCTTTATACATGCCTTTCAGATAATAAATGAAGAAAGAACGATAAAATAAGATGTAGGCAATATTCACCAATGGCTAGTAGTATCACATAAATAGAGATAATCAAATAGTACAGAAATCCTAATAATAATAATAATAATAATACAGAATGGCATGTTTAAAATGCTTTACGAAACAGTCAAATCTAACTCTAATAAAACCCCTAGATTTAACTACCAATTTACATTAAATTCGGATGTTGGGGAAACATACTATATGACGATTAGGGATGCAATCAGCAAAATCTAAAAAATAATGAAGTTCTACAGACAAAAACTAAATTGCCAGACAAGACAGAAATAAAGAAGGACAAAGAGAGGGTAGTAGTGGGGGGCGATGCAGAGGTGGGTGCATGGAAGAGAGAAGCATTATCAATAGCAGCAGTTTTCTATTAAAAAGATTGACACTCAGATCACAGCCCATACCAAATGAATTTAAATTTATGGGGATGAAAACCAGGCATTTGTATTTTTTGAAGATTCTTAGGTGATTTCAAAAGGCAGCAAAGTAGGAGGGTAGGGTAACAATCATGTATAGATTAAAAGAGACTTAAGAGAACTACCGAACAGTGTTTCAGTGTGTGGACTTTCATCAGATCCTGTTTCAAACGTCAAATATAAGAAATAACAAATATTAACCAATTTGCAAAAGGTAGACTCTGACTGGATATTTGGTAATAAAAATAAATTGCTTTAGATGAAATCATGATATTTAATCTTTAAGGAGTGCTTAGTTGTTAAAGACTCACACCAAAATGCTTATGTGTGAAATGATATGTCTTATGATCTTGGGATGGGGGGTAGATGGATATAGATGTATATAGGAAACGCTGTGTCATAAGGTGATCACTGTTGAAGCCTTGTTACAGGGATAGGGGAGGCCAAGAACACAAAGTTTCTCAGATTTTATCCTACTTCCAAGCTAACAATTTAGCTTGCCATAGTTTCATGAATGCTGACAAAAGACCACAAAATTTCATGATTAGAGACAATACTTTATAATTCACAGTAATTGCAACAGGGTATCAGTGCTAGTTCCCTGAGCCACAATTTCCACAAGCCAACATGAAAAGGGCCAGGTTACACCAAAAAAATAGATTGTGTTACAGAAGAAGAATCTTGAGCTTAGGGAACTGAACCTTTCATGATCAACGGTTTGCTTACCTTACCTTTGCCTGAGAGGGAAATATCTTTATTATACTAAACACTAAATACATTTTCTCTTTGCTCCAGAGGGAGACACTATCTCTAGCTTCCAAAGCTGTTTACTATAGAAACAACTTTTAAAAGACCTCTTTGTTTAGTGCCTTTGCTTGGACAATTGGCAGAAATGCAAAAGACTCATGAAGAATTGGATCCCAGTAGGTAAGTTCATTTTACTAACCTATCATTGTACAGTTTGGAATTATTATAATAAAAAACACCAAATATATCAGTAATCACAACTAATATAAAAAGAGTAATCTCTCCAATTCAAAAAGCAATAATTACCAGAATCAATTAAAAACAATTCTATCTATGTACAATTTGCAAAAGCCATAAAATACAAAATAAGGAGACACGAAAGCTTTTGCAATAAAATTCTAGAACAACATATACTAGGTAAATATTTACCAACAGAAAGCTCATCTTGCGATATCAAATATAATAGTCTAAATATAAAAAAGACTTACCAGAAATAAGGTTAAAAGTTTAGTTCAGCAATAAAATAATGTTTCACAATTTATGTTCCCAGAAATAGACTTAAAATACATAAAGCAAATATTGACAGAGTTAACGTAGAAACTAATAAGTTCATTACCATGGTTAGAGATTATTAACACATCTATTTAGTAATTGAGACATCTGACCGGCAAAAAAGTCTGTAAGCATCTGTAAGATTTGATTAAGACACTAGCAAGTTTAATTTAAATGCCATTTATCTAATAGTTCACTCAATGAAAGAATAGTATGAAGCATTTATTCTATTGCCAGATACAAAGCTAGAAAGCCAGCTCCAACAAATTTCAAATAATTTTCTCTCAGGCAAGACAAATTCCCTGACTACATTGTGACTGCTAGAAATCAAGAGCAAAAAGAACACTAAAAAAATGTGAAAGCTTTATAGGTTTTAAAACACAACTCAACTCAGGACAAACAAAGGAAAACTCATAATAGACAAACAGTTTTATTTAGGAATTGCATATCAAATCTCAGGTAATATAACTAAAGCAATACTTGAAAAAATGTATTAGCTTCAATCAATAACTTCAGAAAAAAAGAACAGACTAAATATTAATGTGCCTTGTTGCCAAGCCCAAAGTATTTCCTACTTTGGGAACAAAATGTATTAGCTTAAATCAATAACTTATAGGAGTTATAGGACTTCCAGGTCATCTTTTTTTTTTTTTTTCTTTTGAGATGGAGTCTCACTCTTGTTGCCCAGTCTGGAGTGCAATGGCGTGATCTTGGCTTACTGCAGCTTCTGCTACCTGTGTTCTAGCAATTCTCCTGCCTCAGCCTCCCGAGTAGCTGAGATTACAGGCACCCTCCATCACACCTGGCTAATTTTTGTATTTTTAGTAGAGACGGGGTTTCACCATGTTGGCCAGGTTGGTCTCAAACTCCTGACTTCAAGTGATTCGTCCACCTCGGCCTCCCAAAGTGCTGTGATTAAAGGCATGACCCACCGCGCCCAGCCAAGATCATCTTCTGAGTTGCTGTTATAGGACTGAGGTTCCTTTTTGCTGACAGACTATGGCTGGAGGGTTCTCTCAGCAACCAAAGATTGCCGTCTGATACTAGCAATGTGCCTCTTGTACAACATGAAAGAATCCTTCTTCAAAGGCATTAGGAGCCTCTCTCTCCAGTTGGCTAAGACGGAGGCTTATAAAACCAAATGTAACCAAGGAAGCAAGTATCCAATCATATTCACACTCAAAACTTTGCCCACACTCAAAGCTTTGCAATTATACAGCCCTGTGTGCCATAGGGTGGGAGTTTTCGGGGTCATCTTAGAATTTCATTTTAAACCCTATCTATTTTAGGTATTTATTTATATATTTTCTTTCTGACTTTTATTTTAGGTTGAGGAATAAATGTGCAGTTGTTACATAGTTAAATTACATGTCACAGGGGTTTAATGTATAGATTATTTTGTCACCCAGGTAATAAGCATAGTACTCAATGGGTAGTTTTTCCATCCTCACCTTCCTCCCATCTTCCATCCTCAAATAGGCCCCATTATCTATTGTTCTTTTCTTTGTCCTTGTGTACTTAATGTTTAGCTCCTACTTAACAAGGGAGAACATGTGGTACTTGGTTTTCTGTTTCTGCATTAATTCGCTTAGGAAAATGGCCTCCAGCTCAATTTGTGTTGCTGCAAGGCCATTATCTCATTTTGTATAGTTGTGTAGTGTTCCATACGGTGTATGTACCACATTTTCTTTATCCAATCCAGCATTGATGGGCATCTAGTTTAGTTCCATGTCTTTGTTATTGTGTATAGTGCTGAGAGTTACATATGCATGCATGTGTCTTTGTGGTAGAATGGTTTTTATTCTTTTGGGTATGCCCAAGGATGGTATTGATGGGTTGACTGGTAGTTCTGTTTTAAGTTCTTTGAGAAACCTCCAGACTGCTCTTCACTATGGCTGAACTAATGTGTATTTCCATCAGCAGTGTATAGACATTCCTTTTTCTCTGCAACCTCGCCAGCATCTGTTAGCTTTTGAGTTTGTAATAATAGCCATTCTGACTGATGAGAGATGATATCTCATTGTGGTTTTGATTTGCATTCCCTAATGATTAGTGATATTGAGCACGGTTTTACATGTTTGTTGGTCACATGTAAGTCTTCCTTTGAGAAGGGTCTGTTCATGTTGTTTGCTCATTTTTTAATGGGATTGTTTGTTTTTTGCTTGTTGATTTGTTTGATTGAATTCCTTATAGATTCTGGATAGGAGAATTTGTCAGATACATAGTTTGCAAATATATTCTCCTATTCTGCAGGTTGTCTGTTCTATTTACTCTGTTGATAGTTTCTTTCGCTTTGCAGAAGTAAAATCACTGTTAAATTCTTAACTTAAAATAGTTTTCACATCAGTATCTTTTAAAATTTAATTGTATAATCTATTTATTTTCTCTTATTCCTGTTTAGAATCTAGTCATCATTAGATTAGACACCTTCTCTGACTTTTTCACTGCTCTTTTTTCATGCTTATAATGAACCTTGAAAGAGGGGAAATATTCTATAGTGCTGCACATATAAATATATGATTTAATGGTCTCTAAAAAGAAGTCATACATTCAGGGGAAAAATATATTTTTATGTCTACCTTATAATGGAACACCAGAATGAAATGCAGCTGAGATAGCAGATGAAATGTAAAGATATAAATAAAGCAAAGATATGTAAAGTGCATATGCACATACATGTGTATGCACAAATATATTAAACCTTGTGGATTGAGGAAGCATATCTAAGAATGATGCCAAATTCAGGAATCATAAAGAATAAAAGATTTGACTACATAATAAAATTTCTATAGACTAGAAAACATTATTAAAATGGTTGTTTTTTTAAAAAAGACAAACTCCAAACTTTTAATAGATATGATTTTAAAATAATTATATATAATTAGAATATACAGATTTTTATTTTATTTTATTTTTTGACAGAGTCTCACTCTGTTGCCAGGCTGGAGTGCAGTGACAATCTTGGCTCACTGCAACCTCTGCCTCCCAGGTTCAAGCGAATTCTCCTGCCTCAGCCTCCCAAGTAGCTGGGACTATAGGCACACGCTACCACGCTCAGCAAATTTTTGTATTTTTAGTAGAGGCAAGGTTTCACCATGTTGGCCAGGATGGTCTCGATCTCCTGACCTCGTGATCCGCCCACCTCGGCCTCCCAAAGTGCTGGCGTGAGCCACTGCGCCCGGCCATGAATATACAGATTTTTAAGATAAAGACAGACATCCTAATTTTTGTAAATGGACAAAAAATATTAAAAGAAATATTTTAGAAGAGATGCAATGGGTCATGCTAATAAAATACTTTACTATATTTTCCTATCAGAGTAGTAAACATTAAGCCAGTGAAGTGCCATTTTTTTTTATCTTTCTGTTGATAACAGTAAAAACAATGATGCTACTCAATATTGCTAAAAAAAAGCTTCTTATACACAGTCAGTAGGAAGGAAAATTGATGCAACATTTCTGAAGAGAAATGAGGTAATCAATATCAAAATTTATTTTAATCTATAAATTCAACAGCTTGGAACTGATTGGACATCATCTAATTAGTGTTCTATAGAAAATTGGAAACAAATTTTTGTTTAATTAAATATTATGCTAAATTCATAAAATGCTATATAATTTATTCACTTCAAATGAATTATTTTATTTTAAAATCATTTAATTTATTAATTTAAAATGGTGATATAGATTTATCTTTTCTTTCTTTTTTTTTTCTTTTTTTTTTTTTTGAGATGGAGTTTCACTCTGTTGCCCAGGCTGGAGTGCAGTGGTACAATCTTGGCTCACTGCAACCTCTGCCTCCCAGGTTCGAGCGATTGTCCTGCCTCAGCCTCCCAAGTAGCTGGGATTACAGGCATGTGCCACCACACCCGGCTAATTTTTTTTGTATTTAGTAGAGATGGGGTTTCGTCACGTTGGTCAGGCTGGTCTTGAACTCCTGACCTCAAATGATCCACCCGTCTCGGCCTCCCAAAGTGCTTAGATTACAGGCATGAACCACTGCACGCGGCCCAGATTTATCTTTTATATGCAGTGCTAGACATCTAAAATATACTTCATATGCAAAATTACATAGATGTATATAGTTAGCTAAATATCTCTCTGAAGGGCTAAAGAGGTTTTGGGATCATTTTACTCTAACTAAAACACTTTAAAAATAAAAAATAAAAAAGAGAAGAAAATAAATAAACCTCCCTGACACCCTGACAAAAGTTTCAGTAATCTGTTCAAAGTTAGTGACACAGCTAATGGCAGATTTTTCTCTTTTTTGTATTATGCACTTTTTATTTTTTTGCTTTCTATTATAAATGTGTTGCTTCTGTGCTGAAAAAGATGTTTCAATGTTAGTTTTAATTAAATCATTTTCAACTAGGCATTAAGCTCTTAAAAAGATCATTTATAAAATAAAGTGTAAAAATACTCAAAATCACTCAAACATAAAAATGTCAAGTATCTAGGATTATTTTTATCTCTAACACAATGGCCTCAAAGTCTAAGTAAAAATAACCAGTTTACCTGAACAGAGATCACTAGACTGAAAAATCAATCCATTTGTATCAAAGTCCTCCACAGAGTGTCCTAGTCAGATAATCTGCAAGTCTTTTGACTTCTCAGACTTCTTCTCTTACTTTTTTTTTGCTTTCTGTAGTAGAAACTGCTGACTTGTCAGCTAATGCAGGCTGAAGGCACTATGGTGTAGAAAAAAAAGCACAGGGAGGACAAAAAAAATCTTAAATCATCTAATGTTAATTTAAAAAACTAGACTACATGCATCACAAGAAACGAGGTGAAGCTCATTTGTTGCAACTTGAACAATTTTATTCCAGTAGTCCTCAAACTTTATTATGCCCCAGAATCACCTGGAAGGCACTGTAACACACAAATGGCTGAGACCCACCTCCAGAGTTCTAATTTAGATTTTGTATGAGCTCCTAGGCATAGTTAGTTCAGGACAACATTTTACAAATCACTGCTGCAGTGCCACCCTTAGTTGACTACTTTCTTAAAAGTTATAGCCATGGAAAGGATATAGATGTAGATGATCAAGATAGAGATATACTAGCTAGATATACTAGATAAACTAGATATACAGATAGAGATAGTTCAACCATCTTCCCCACCAAAATGTAATCTCCACAAGTCAATAAGTAAAACGTAAAATCAAATATGTCCTTGAAATAATTCAGATATAAAAAAGGCATTCAAGAAGACAAAATACAATGGCATTGTACAAAGTGCCCACGGGTTGGTGTATCAAGTATGGTGGGTAAAGGCTAACTTTTTTAAAGGGATTACATTTAAATTCAGAACAGAAAAGAAACTAAGAAAATTCTCGTTAATAATATGGAGAGGAAGTGTTCCAAGCAAGAGAAACAGAAAGTTCAAGGCCCTAGAATGGTACTGAGATTGGAGAAATAATAGGGTAGAAAGAAGCTTGAATCTTACACTTTGCAATGGGAATAGAAGAACAAGAATCTTGTTTTGTCTGTCTCTGAATCCCAATGCCTCAACTAATGCCTGATACATAGAAAGTGTTCAATATGTATTTGTTTAAGAAATAAATGTGAATTATTAAAGGGATGAATGAGCAAGTTGCTGGGGAGAAATGTGGGTATGGATTTCAGTGGATGAGAACATCCTTCTTGCAAACAGAGATATAACTATTTTTATAGCTTTGGTTTAGTATTACAAATAACAAAATAAATTGTCAACATTTACTCTCAGATTGCTCTTACAAGTATCAAGCAAAGGACAACTTGCTATTATAACTAAAATTGCAGTACAAGAAATAAAATATTAACATAGTTTTGTATTTGAACATTCTGGAGTGACTGTGAACCACAAGAATATAGCAGAGATAAAGATATTTAGAAAATATTGACGGGCATGCATTGCCTTCCAATGCTTGAGTTTGTACTATAGAGATAAGACCAAAACTTGGGTAATTGCTACAGCCTTCACTTTGAGCAAGCTGGGAAGTGTGGATAAGCAATGTTTCATATAAACTGAGACTATTTTCGTCTTATCTGCGAGTGATGTTAAACATTGGTGCATTTTCTTCTTACATTTTCATTATTATTAAGAAATTTAATACAGTGTTCAATGCATTTTAGTCACTAGATTTTGAGAAGAGTAAAAAAAAAAAGAATTTGAGACGGAGTCTTGCTCTGTCACCCAGGCTGCAGTGCAGTGGCATGATCTCAGCTCACTGCAACCTCCACCTCCCAGGTTCAAGTGATTCTCCTGCCTCAGCCTCCGGAGTAGCTGGGATTACAGGCACGCACCACCACGCCTGGCTAATTTTTTGTATTTTTAGTGGAGACAGGGTTTCTCCATGTTGCCCAGGTTGGTCTCGAACTCCTGACCTCAGGTGACCTGCCTGCCTGGGCCTTCCAAAGTGCTAGGATTACAGGCGTGAGCTACCTCAGTGAGCTGAGATCGCATCACTGCACTCCAGCCTGGGCAACAGAGCGAGACTCCATCTCAAAAAAAATAAAATAAAACCTCTTCCTTAAGTAGGTATTATCCATGGTATGATTCACTATTATTTATTATATTTTTTCTTTTTTTAAACTATAAAAATACCACATGCAAAAAGATGCAAGAAGTCCTATATAAAAATAAATATAATGGAAAGTGAAAATGAAAACTTCAAAGCTTTTCTTTCTCCTGTCTCACCACAACTTGGCATACAAAATTACTGACCTTTCTCTATGATGTTGTAAATTATATATATTAAATATGTGCATATTATTAAGTATATGTTTTCTATAACCCACATTTAAAAAATCTGAAAAAAGTCTATTAAAGAATAATTTTTAAACAAAGTTGACTCTCATAATGGTAACATATGTTAAAGAGCTTATTTAAATCATTCTTAGTGAGAAAACTGTGAAGGTTTGTTAACCCATTCAAAGGAGAGTTCCAAACATACAAATATTCATAGATCAGGAATATGGAAGTGAATGTGCAAAAGGAGGCAAAGTGGCTTCTTCTACATTGGGAGGGGGAATTAAACTGAACTTTTACAGCACAGAATTAGCATATCTATACACAGGATCTTGCATTGTTACCAATCTCTATAATTTGGAGTTCTATAACTAGCTCAAAAGCAATATAAAGCTAGAACTGGATGACCAATTCCATGCGTGCTCTAGACAATGCTTAATTTTCCACTGATGCAGAAATTTCTCCCTACAAAACAAATGGAAATTTTATATTTTTATTATACATATCAGCTAAATCTCATTCAGCCAACTTATAAGAGGTTATGCATGGTAAAAATGAGAAATGTTCCTTCATGGTTTGTAATTTTTTATATACATTTTACAAACACACCTATATGTGCACACACACATTCTTTCCAGGATGTAACATGTAGAGCATTTCTTTTGCTATAGCACATTCACTAGAGTAGATATAATCTATTCAAACACTCCTATTAATGTACATTAATTTATTGCTTCTGTTGTTACAAAAAAATACCACCATAATTCTTATAATATTCAGTATTATTCTACCTGATGCTTTCATTTCTCTAGGTCAGATTTCTCTAAAATTTTTGAATCAATAATCATGAAATTTTTCCTACCAACTATTATTGAACTCGTTTTCAAAAACCTTGAGATGAGTTAAACTCTACCAGACACATATGAAGCAATCTATCCATACCATGACCTGTGCTGTTTAGCAACATTTTATTTTTTTTCAATCTAAGTGGAATTCTTAGAAGCCCTAGAATATGAGTGACTTTGTGAATTTCTATCCAGGAGCATCATAGGACTTCTTTCCATTTATTGTTGTAGGTCCTTAAATAAAATGTTTTGTTTAATCTACTTAAAAAATATTTTATTAGAAATATTTTACTTTCTTTAAATAGATTCTATATTTTAAAAACTCCTCCTCTCTCTCTCTCCGCATATATATTTCAGCATATGGCATATGAAAACACAGTTTTTTTAAAAAAAATCTCATATCCACTCTGCTTATGAGATTATCTCAATTTTAGTAGTTTCTTATTTGATCTCTTTTTTGATGACATTATGATATTTAATGATATTATAAACATGTCCTGGAACTGTTAGAGGAAATGGGTCCAAATCCAGACACCAAGAGAGGGTTCTCGGATCTGGCGCAAGAAATAATTCAGAGTGAGCCTGGACTAAAGTGAAAGCAAGTTTTTTAGGAAAGAAAAGGAATAAAATAATGGCTACTCTATAGACAGAGTAGTCACAAGGGCTGCTGGTTGTTCATTTTTTTAACGGTTATTTCTTGATTATATGCTAAACAAGGGGTGGATTATTCATGCCTCCCCTTTCTAGACCATACTGGGTAACTTCCCGATGTTGCCATGGCATTCGTAAACTGTCATTACACTGGTGGGAGTGTATCAGGAGGACGACCAGAGGTCACTCTCGTCACCATCTTGGTTTTGGTGGGATTTGGCAGGCTTCTTTACTGCAACCTGTTTTATTAGCAAGGTCTTTATGACCTGTATCTTGTGCTGAGCTCCTATCTCCTATAAGTTAGAATGTCTTAACCATCTGGGAATGTGGCCCAGAGGTCTCAGCCTTATTTTACCTAGCCCCCATTAAAGATGGAGTTGCTCTGGTTCACATGCTTCTGACAGAATTAAACACTGTAAGCTGATGTCCTACAATAGAGAACCTAGGATTCTAAGATCCTGGATCTAGAAGTCACCTTCCCAAGAAGCAACACCATTTTCTTCCACTCCTGAGTATTCTAAACTTAGGATTGGTGTGGAACTAGGAACAGACCTGTGATAACAGAGGCCTCCTGGATTGCTGATGACTGAAATCTTACCTGAAAGTTAGTCTTCCTGTTAAAAATTTTAACTCAGCCCAAGCTGGATGCCTCTGGCACTTTGGATTCCTACAAACAAACTGAAGCCTGGGTGTAAAGACATAAGCTTGACCAATCAGAAACTGCTAATTAACCTTTAAGTGGGAACTTTCAGTTGGATCACTCTCAAATAAGGCAAAGGCCTAGCTCTAGCTAATCAAGTAATTGCTTCACTTCTGCATCCAGCCTATGCAAGCCCTGTGCTCACACTGCTAAACTGGGGCACTCTGAGCCTCTTTTGGTTTTAAATGCTGCCTGCATCATGAATCGTTTAATGCTCAAATAAACTGTTAAATTTATCTTGTCTGAAGTTTTCCTTTTAACACTTCTTACTGTCCTTTGTAGGTTTTATGCCTGTATAAAAAGTAAATTGTATTAAGGAAAAAAATGGGAAATGAAGTGAATATGACCACACAAAAAAAACTCACCTGTCTCAAATGACATTATCTATCCTAAATAGAAAAATTAACCTTTATCCAAAGCCTCTTTCTGCTTACTTGCTAGTTCTACTGCCTAAATATAGCCCCAGCCTCACCATTTCCCAGAATCTGCAGGAGTTGCCTTCTGCCACATCTAACTTTGAAATGATAATCCTTTGACAGCCCTTCTGTTACTTGTTTAGACTTTACATCCTGATGCACACAAATTCACAGCCATCCAGGTGGAATCAAAATCTGAAAGGGATTCATCACTTTGAAGAAACCAGGCACATTATTTCACATTTTTTTCTATCCTTAATTTCTCCCCTGGGGATATAGCACTATATAAACTTGACAAACAATAAATAAGCAAATGAAATCAGCATCTCAGATAGGAGTTTAAGCTCAAAGACAAAAGAAGTTCAAAAAAGAAATAACCTAATTAGTTTCATTAGCATTTCAATAGAATTTGGACCCCTCTGAAGGGGGTGGGGATGAGATTCCACCAAGTGTCATTGGAAATGGGCACTTTGGTACTCTTGACAAGCTAGAGAAGAAGGTAATCATTTTACTTAACTTGTTTTTTAGGTTCACTCATTTAAAAGAACTAACAGTTCCATTGCTCTTGGCAGAATACAACTGTGATTGCAGCTTTTCTATTCAGTGCACTGGAAATATCAGTGAATTTCTCCAACTGAGAGTGAGACATTGGCAGTATTTCCCGATAGTATGTGTCTGTTGTTATTATTTTTCTCCTCTACCTGTTGACAGTTTGATTTTGATAAACTTTTCAAGAATACCTAAATAATATAATAATCTAAATCATTGTCACAAAAGAATATAGAAACAGATAAATACATTAATTCAGCAGCCTCAGAGTCTGATGAGTTGCATTAATCACACCAATGAGCGCTTAATGTGGTTAATTTCAAAAGCAGCAGGATTTAAGCACATACATACTTCCAAAGCTACATAATTTGGAGCAAGGAGGTGTATGAGCATGAAAATACCACATTATATACTCCTTGTGTCATACCTAGTTCCTTTTTGTTAAGATCTATTCTATTTATTCAGGGTAGCTTATAACTGAAAACTTATAAATTAAGTTTTTACATAGAGAAGTTTAAGCAATAAATTTTATTTATCCTATATCATAAAACCCTGAATGCTATAAATTCTATCTATATAGGACATGTTTTCATAATTCAGAGTTGATCAACTCTTTGTAGAAATTGTAAAATTTTAATTTTTTTATGGAAATGCAAAGTAAATGTATATATTTTTAGCAGAACTACTGAACATTTTTTCTCTTAAGGGTTGGGAGAATAATATTAAAAAAACATTAAAATGGAGTAATAGAATAATAGAGAGGAAGCATAGATGTGATATATGCTAGCATTGTCTCTAAAGTCTGAGTCACTTGAATGAGGAAGAAGGATAATGAAAGACAAAAGAAGAATCAGTGATAGTATAGTATTATCATAGTACTAATGTAACACAGTATAACTTTATACTGAAAAATTTATCTCATTTTTGAATGTTCTATTTATCAGTGGCGGAGACTATGTAAAAATGTTTATGTCTATGTATAAAAACTGAAAAATAAAGATAGAAAAATAAAGAAAAAGAGTTGATGCAGGAGAGAATATGGGTTATGAGTGAACTAAAAACTTGAACGTGTTGTTTACCAATGAAAATAATATTTCAGATCTGATAAAACCCATGACATTGTGAACCCCGATAATATGAGACAGGTCACAGTTAATTCAGAAACAGATTTCTAATTTTTTTTTTGCCATGGTTTTTGAAATTTATTTATTTTCATTTTTATTTTTATTTTTTGCCATTGTTGAGGACACACACCCATGACACAGCCTCCGGAGGTCCTGACGACATGTGTCCAAGGTGGTCAGGGCGCAGTTTGACCTTATACGTTTTAGGGAGATATGAGATATTAATCAACATAAGTAAGATAAACATTGGTTTGGTCTGGAAAGGTGGGACAACTCAAAGCTAGGAGGGCACTTCCAGGTCATAGGTAGATAAGAGACAAATGGTTGCCTTCTTTTGAGTTTCTGATCTCCTCTTCAAAGGAGGCAAGCAAATAGGCATTTATCTCAGTGAGCAGGGTGGTGACTTTGAGTAGAGTGGGAGGCAAATTTGCCCCTAAGCAGTTCTCAGCTTCACTTTTCCCTTTAGCTTAGTGATTTGGGGGCCCCAAGATTTATTTTCCTTTCACAATATCCTCTCTAAGGAATGGATATTGGCAATGATATTATGTAAACCCAGTAATTGTTTTGTAAATTTCTACCGTGCATATAGTATTGTGCTTCATATTGTAGAGACATAAAATATAGTAGAAAGTACATGCCATTTATCCTTAAAGAATATCAAGTTCACTTTAAACTGTAATTAGGAATGCTACAAAATGTCATTCGTTTTCCTTTTCTTTGCAATCAATTTTCCGTCATGGTACGTGGCTGATGGACACACTATGGGTGCTTTTACGTCACCAAAATAAGAAGAAGCAAAATGTAGCTGCCATTTAGAGAACATTTGCTATGTGGCATATGCTGCGTTAAGCATATCATATTCTTCATTTAATTAAACATCCACTATAAATGTGCCGAGTTTTTTTCTTAACTCTTTAACAAATGAGGAAAAAGAATCTTGGAGAGGTTAAGCACAATTTCCAAATTCTCATGAGTATTAAATATTAGAAGTGGGATGTTAATACAATACTATTAGAATTCACTCCTGTGCTCTTTGCTACTGCATAATGTCATTTCTACAGAACAAGCATTTCCTGTTAAGTTTAAAACTTTGCATTATAGCTTTATTGTTTTCTTAGAGTGTGAACCAAGACATCTGCAATCCAACTTCTTGAGATCAAAATTCAGGCTCAATCTTTAATCTTGAAGTCTTGGGCAAGGTTCTCATTCTGTGTATCAGAGTTCCTATATGTAAAATGAGGATAATAATATGAGAGTTAAATGCTTAACAGCATACAAGGCCCATGGTAATGTTGTGTTACTATTATTTTATTGAGTTAGCTAAAAACATATAAAAGTTTAATTTTAAAAAATTAACTATACAATCATTTATTTATAGTAAAGAAAAAAATGCTATATCACATTGACCTTTACTTACTCAAACAAAAAATAGCTTTGATCTCCAAAGACAGAGGTGATAAAACATAAGTTCGAGAAAGCATTACAGGTGCATTGAATACAAAGGAGTCACAAAAACAGGAGCAATCAATTTTGTCAAGAAAGAATGCAGAAAAACTCTTTGTAGAAAATGATACCTGACTTTAAATATCCCAAGTTCCAAAATAATCAATAATGTTCAAATACTATGGCATAAATAATCAGAGCCTGCCAATAAATAAGTATAAAAATTTTAATTAGAATAAGATTTGTAGTAGTTAAAATCTGAAATCAGAGTATGTTTGCAAACACAGTATCATGATTGAGATTAGTTTTCTTATAAAAGAGGCAAAGGGAGCTCATTTGTCCCTTCCACAATGGGAGGACACAGTGAGAAAGTGCCGTGTATGAACCAGAATGTAAGCCCTTTGCTAAACACTGAATTTGCTAGCATATTAATCTTGACTTCACAGCCTCCAGAACTCTGAGAAATAAATTTTCATTGCTTATAAGCCACCCATTTTATGGTACTTTGTTACAGCAACCTGTATATACTAAGACAGAAAGATAGGGCCTAGAAGTGGGGATGCTGTTATAATAAATAACTAAAAATGTAGAAAGGGTTTGGAACTGGGTAATAGATAAAAGCTAGAGTTTTGAGGTCTATGCTAGAAAATGTCTGCACTGTCATGAACAGACCATTAAGGACTATTCTGGTAGGGGACCAGAAAGAAAATAGTAGAGCTAAAGAGAAAGTTTCAGTCTTCTTAGAGCATAGGTAAGTGGTCATAAAAAGAATGTTGGTAGAAATATAGACAGTAAGGGCCATTCTTTTGAGAGCTCCCATGGAAATGAGGAAAATGCTATTGGACAATGGAGTAAAAGCCATGCTTATTATAAAATAACAAAGAAACTCGCTGACTTATGTGCATGTTCTAGTGTTTTGTGAAAGGTAGAACTTATGAGAAATGAAATTGGATATTTGGCTGAGGAAATTTCTAAGCAGAGTTGAAGGTACAACTTGGCTTCTCTTGAGTACTTACAGGAAAAGAAAAAGTGAGAAGAGATAAATAATTTAAAGGCCGAATTGTTAAAAAAAAAAAAGGAAGCAGAAATAAAAATTTGTCAAATTCTCAGCCTATCCATAATGAAAAAACGGTGAAACTCTGTTCAGAGGAGAACAAGAGGGTGGCCATTTGTTAAGAAGACTGATATTAATCAGCCATCTCAACAGAAGCCAGGACCTATTGCCCAACTAGGAAATGCAAAATAGAAGAATAACAATGGGAGAATAACCCCAATGGCATTTTGGAGATTATCAGGGCTGACCCTTCCATCAAAGTTTCAGAGTGCAAGGACGTACTTCTACTGCCACGTGCTGCCTCACATTGCAGGCTCCATTCCCTGCACTTTGTTTGATATCATGCAGTGTGACCTGTATCCAGCAAAGCCATGGGAATGGAGTTGCCCAAAGCCATGGAGGCAGGAATCCCTGAAGCCTTGGGGACTCACCCTCTGCTCCAGTGTGTCCAAAAGGTGGGAACTCTGCCCCACTGGTCCTGGAAGGCAGATCCTCAAGTCAAGCCTTAAGGTTGTGAATTAGCTCAGGACATAGGTATCCTTTTTTTCTTTCTTATTTATCACTTTAAAAATGAGACTGCCTATCCTACGCCTTTCCCACCATTTTATTTTGGAAGCACATTATGTTGGATTTTACAGGTTCATGGCTAGAGGGGAATTTGCCTCAGGATAATTGTACTTTGAGTCTCACCCATATCTGATTTAGATGATACTTTGGATTTAGACTTTTGAGTCAATGCTGGAATGAGTTAAGAGTTTTAAGGTTATTGGGATGAAACTAATGGATTTTTCATGTGAAAAGGACATAAGTTTGGGGAGACTAGGAGGTGAAATGCTATGCCCTAAATGTCTTTGTTCCTCTAAAATTCATATGTTGAAGTCCTAACCTTCCACATGATAATATTATGAGGTGAGGCATTTAGGAGGTGATTAGATCATGAGGGTGGAGCCCTTGTAAATGTGATTAGTGCCCTTATAAATAGGTCATAGAGAGATTGTTCAACATTTGCCCCATGTGAGGACACAGTGAGAAGAGGCCACCTATGAATCAGAAAGTAGGCCCTCACCAGACACTAAATCTGCTGGCGCCTTGATCTTAAATTTCTCAGCCTCCAGAACTGTGAAAAATATACTTCTGTTGTTTATAAGCTACAGAATTTATGGTGTGTTATAGCAGCCCAAATGGACTAAAATATATCTCAAAATACAGAATAACATTTCAATGTATCTAAATGTATTTTGTCCTGATTAAATCTAGTAGGTCCAAAGCAACTAATTACAAAATTGCTCTCTTCACAAAAACAATGTAAAAAACAAGTGTGACAGTGATAAAACTCTAATATATGGTTAATAGGTGTCATTAATTCAAAGAATAATCGGATTAATCACTAACCCCCAACCCTCAAAAAGAAATTCACTTGTGCCTAAATCTTACAGACCCCATAGGAAACAAATTGGGTTAGTGATTTATACACATTATGACCCCAGTCTTAAATAATTAATGACTTCACCAAATAACCATTGAGATTCTGTGAAGAATTTTACAAAATCATCAGTAATGGCAAACAAATTTCCATCAACTATGCTAGAGTAATAATTAAATTATTTTTCTTAACTCTTTATAGAAAGTATTCCTAGAAAATTATGATATAAACAGATATCAAGTTTCATAGCCAAAAGATGTAGAGAAAAAAATAATTATAGATGTGTCAGTAAATTAATTTGAATATTATGCTATTTTTCTGTATTGTGTAAAACTTGAAGCATTTGTCAACATCCTTAACATATAATTTATTATGCATTTTTTCTTAAATAAATTATAACATTCACACATAATTTTGTCTTTATGACTTTGTGTTCTTTCAAAAATATAATCCCCATTTTGTATAAGTTTTAGTCTCTGGAAAACATGGATTCATCTCTAAATAACAAATATAATTAGCAGTAATAAAGTCTTTGTAAAGCCTTTTCATGCTGCTTCCCAAAATTGATGTGAATGATGCTAATAAGTAGGTAAATTCTTTTGCAGTTCAGATAGTTTCTATCTTTTGAGGATTTAAATGAGTTGACTCTTAATAGATCATTAAAAATAATTTTGGTGATCTATTGCTGTGTTATGTTTTGACAAAAACCTACAAAGGAATTTTAAAAATGGAGCAAACACTTCTATATCAAAATTTCTTCTGTGTTCACCTAATTATTTAGGTAAACAAGATTTCTCAGTGCTTACATCTATGAAAAAAATAACGTTAACTGTTCATCCCTATCATGCTAGCAATAAGTTAAATTCATCCATTAGTACATAAATCAGTTGGAAAAAAAAGCCACTGAAATGTCATTAAGACATAAATTCTACTGCTTTTGCTTGACAATCAAAATTTAAAATATACACACTACTATTTGTATAACAATAGTTATAACTGAATGCAGTGAAATATTTAACACAATTTTAATTATTAGGATCACAAGAAAAAATAATTTTCATACATGTATACTCATATTACACACATGTACATATATGTAAAGTTAGAAATTAGCCAATAAGCAATTTCAAACATTAATAATTATAGTTAATAGCAATGATATTCTATGGACTGCATAAAAAAGAAGTAGGAGTTTAAGGGAAACACACAGTATTCTAAAATGGCACATGCTCAAAGACCTAATTTGTTTGTATTTAAATAGGTTAGATTGGATATGAAATTATTATGGTATTTAGATTTCATTAGTTACATTTAAAGGAATAAAGAGCCAGTTTCATTTTTAAATGTCAATAGTTACATCATGGTGGAGACTATCTCCTTTGCAGGTACTTAAAATTATAATAAATTCTTAGATTTCTATCTTAAGATATTTGCGGGGAGCACATAGTTTTTCCAAATTATTTTTATACTCAAAGGGAAAACATTTGAACACTGTGCTATGGAATTCCATGTGATACTTAATACAAATAATGTAAATACATATGTATTTACCTGGAAAACTATCTGCAACATATTGCTTAATTGTAAACACAAGATTTTGAATGTACCTAGATGTTGAAATGGGACTTACCCTGTCTTGGTTTCTACTGACATATCAACTAAATTGTATTCATATACTAAAATGGGAATGTGAAAATTCCCCACACCAATATACAAAACCTACTAATAAGATAATTAAGAAATTGCTCAGAATCTGTGTTGATAAATGTGTTTAGAGTGTGTAAAAAAGGTTGAATTGTTGAGAGCTCCTATTGACAGCCTGCTACTGAAATGATATCTTTCAAAAGACAGGGGCTAGGGAGGACCTATCTTTTAATCCAGAGCCTACTGTATGAAAGGCTTTGAGCTGGTCACTCTAAGAGCTTTAAATATATTATCTGCAGTGTAGGACACTGTGGACTCCTCCAGGAACATTGAAAGCAGCAGATCTGCCTAAGGTATTAAGTTAAGAAGTTGGGAGAGGGCTGTCACTTTGAGGGTGACCCACATATTTTCTCAGTGGTTTGATGACCAAAAAATACATGAATGTTTTCTACAGACTAGTGTTGGACCACATTGGAGAAAGAGAAACACTTCAATGCTGTTTTCAGTCCTTCCTAGAAAGTGAGAAGACCCCAGTAAACATATTCTATGTAGGATAGACCATTGGTGAGCCCAGAGGCTGAGAAACAAGCAGAAAAATAGAAGGCATCATCTACATCAAGTTGGTTATAGCCAGGAGATCTGAAGCAATGGAAACCCACAAAGAGCCTTCCAAAGTATCCTGTATCAGGCAGAACGCTGAGTCTATATTGTGGTTACTAAATACAAAACAAAACAAAGAAATCTGAATAACTTAAAAACAACCAATGTTTATTTTTTACCCCGATTCTATCTATGTTGGTATGGCAGGAGTGGTTAATGAACTGGAGAGACCAAAAGTGGGTTTAATTGCTCATGCTCTCACTTGTGATTCAAGCTACCTGGATTTCCACCATAGAATGTTTCAAGTCAGAAGAGAGTCCTAGAATGCCTCACACAGGCAATGAGCTTCTCAGACTGAGAGTTAACACGTAGGTCTCTGCCCACAATCCATTAACCAGAACTAATAAGTAAGATAACATAAGAAGGCTATCAAAAAATCTCAGTAACATACTTCAAAAGAGAAAGAGTCATTTTCAACCACATTATAGCTGAGGAGTCAGAGTCACTTAAATTCTCTCTTTTCCTTTCTTCGGCCAGGAGTATTCTGAAAAAGCAGCTCACAATTGGGAGAACAGTAGGTTTTGGAGAAATAGCAGGAGTCAATGTCTTCTCTGGAAGTAGGCAGTCACCAGCTCTAAGCTTTTTAGCTGGAGAACAGAGTGAGGAAATTAATCCATCCTTCCTTCCTTCCTTCCTTCCTTCCTTCCTTCCTTCCTTCCTTCCTTCCTTCCTTCTTTCCCTCCCTCCCTCCCTCCCTCTCTCTCTCTCTCTTTCTTTCTGTTCTTTCTTTCTGACAGAGTCTCACTCTGTCGCCCAGGCTGGAGTGCAGCGGTGCCATCTCAGCTCACTGTAACCTCCACCTCCTGGGTTCAAGTGATTCTCCTGCCTCAGCCACCCGAGTAGCTGGGATTTCAGGCACCCACCATCATGCCCAGCTAATTTTTTTTTTTTTTTTAATTTCTAGTAGATTCAGGGTTTCACCATGCTGGCCAGGCTGGTCTTGAATTCCTGACCAATGGAATATCCGAGTGTTAGTTAATATTGTTCTACATATTTAATTTATAAATTGAAAGTTTTAATTTATTTTTAATAAAGTGATATGACAATCTGTTACCTACAAGTAAACATTAAATTCACAAGATATTTTTTAATCTACAAATAGGAAATACTATCACTCATTACATATATTTTAAAGATAAGAGACAAAAGTAGTTAAATGTAATAGTTAGAAGAGCAGTGAATACAATATGACAATATAAGTTCACATTTCTGAATATATATGCAAATTTTTAAATGGCAAGAGAAACATTAAATGGATGAGTGGTGACCAGCCAGGGGACACCAGAGCTGTTATGATTTCTACTTGATTTGATTATACAGCATTGTTTTGCACAAACAGTTTGTCATAAAATAAGTATAACATAATTACCAGGATCTACTTTAGTGATATTTGAGTAAGGAGGTCTCAAAAGTTGAAGTGTCACATTTTTGGAGTTTTCTTCAGTATACTTTCACAGGCAATAATCCATCACTCATATTTCATTGTGACCTCATTTTGTCCAATAGTAAGTGAAAGCATTTTTCTTATCTATCTTCTTTTTAAAAATATCTCCTCCAAATTAATATTTACATTTTGCATTTGTTATAAAAAATTTGAGACCTCATAATCTTTTAAAACTCTTCAAAAGTTTTTTAAGTGGCTATTTTTTCTAAAAATGTTTTGAATAATCACCTGCTAAAGATTAAGTACAATCTCAGTTACTACCAATTTTCTATCCTTACTATTCAAAGTGTGGTCAAGCAACATGGCCAGGGGGTCTACCTCAGACCCAGTGAATTAGAATCTGCCCTTTAACAAGAACACTAGATGATTCTTATATCCATTAGAGGTGAAGACTTTTTTTTCTAAAATTCATACCATACTAGAGCAAGATTTTACCTTTCAAAAACACCAACAATTCTACAAATCTCTAGTCTTAAAACTTTTCTAAATCTTAGGTATATATTGACTAACAGATATTTTCCAATTTCTTACATTTCTTATAATTCCTTCAACTTAATCTAGATTCTCATGTCAACTTATCATTGCGCTCATAAAAATGTCTAAACCATTGATTACTGATTATTTTCTTTTACTATCTATCATCATTCATCTACATTTTATTCTTGGCATAGAATAGATTTCACCATGTGTCATTATGATCACCTTCTTACAAATGTCCTTAACTCCTTTGCACTTCTCACCTTCCATATGTAAGTCTGGCAAAATCTGAGCCTATGTGAAACCTAAACATTTAGTTTCTTTTCACCCACACCCTTTTGCTCAAATGTTGTTAAAGCAAATCACATGGACACGCTGACTACTCTCACTTTAGGGACAGAACTATGAATCATAAATGGGCAACCAATGCTTCCAGGCAGCCTTCTACACTCTCCTTTTCTTTCCTTTGCTTTCCCCTTTTATGTCCCAATTAAATGATTACTACATCTTCACTATAATACATTATAACAATGCAGAAAATTATAAATAAGGAAGTAAAAACTTCTGGAATCTCAACAGGCTGAGACAGTCATTATTATCATTTTGATTGTCACCCTTTCATTCACCTATTTATGCAATTATAAATATATACTTCTCCATAAATGGAATTATACTATTTATGTTATATTAATGTAAGGTGACTTTCCCTCTCCTGCCCCATTCTTTCTCTTGCATCAGCACTGAAACTGTGATATCCCTGTCACTCGCCTCTATAGTTTCTCCTTCTTGTGTGTATACACAAACAGCTCTATGTAAGGAGGTGTGTGTGTGTGTGAATATAGTCAGTCACTGTTTGCTTTACATAATGAAATTATATTTAACTCTATAAATCTTGCTTTTTTATACATTACCATGCATCCTAGAAATTATTCTAAGTCAATTGGCTTATAGTTAATATATTCAAATTCATATAATAGTCTAGCAGCAAAATTTATTCAGCCATTCTCCAATAATAAACATTCATGCATGAATAGCAAAGACCCATGGAATCAACCTAAATGCCAATCAATAGTAGACTGGATAAAGAAAATATGATACATATTTATACCATGGAATACTATGCAGCCATAAGAAAGAATGAGATCATGTCCTTTGCAGCAACATGGATGAGCTGGAGGCCATTATCATAAGCAAACTAAAGTAGGAAAAGAAAACCAAAACCAAATGCCACTAAACAATGAGAATACATCAACACAAAGAAGGGCACAAAAGATGAGGAGGGCTATGTAAGGGGGGCAGGTAGGAGAACGGAGATAATCAATAAACTACCTATCAGGTACTATGCTTATTACTGGAGGCATGAAATCATCTGTCCACCAAACACTCATGACACATAGTTTACCTAAATAACAAACCTGCGTATGTACCCTTGAGCCTAAAATTAAAATTTGAACAAAACAAAACAGTAAAATACACATGCTTTGGCCACTGTAGATAATATTACTGCAAACATTCTATATACAGGTCTTGTGGATTGGTAATATGCATACGAATTAGATTTCTGTGTTTATAATTTTTCAGTAAAAGGTTATGAGTATTTTGAAAATTTACTGTATTTACCCAGAATGCCAAAAAGATGTTATTTTTTCACATTTATAACAGATCTTTATTAGATCTTCATACAATGTTTGTAAGGTTAATAGTTGAATGCAGTATCTAGTTGTAAGCTTAATTTCCATTTCTCTGACTATTGGTATATTTATTTTTTCAATGAGTTTGTCAGTATTAGCACAACAAAAATAATCTTTTAAATCCAAGCATTCTCCTAAAATTCAAGTGTCTTTCCAGAGAAGAGTAAGGAATCATGTAATGACTTCTAGGCCTTGGGCCTAGAGATAATCCTGGGATAGAGATGTGAATGAGGAAGTTCAGAAGGGAAGAAACAACTGAAAGGAACTGGGACGGAGTGAATGAAATTAGGGAAATAAAGAGGGACTAAAGAGCTGCAGATCTGTTGCTCATCTGAAGTAAGTTCTATATGAACTGAAAGATAACTTGATAGGAAAAATAAATATTTTGCTTATCTTCAAAGTACTGGTATGCTTAAAAAGTTTTCCAATATTAATAACATCTTCTTTCTGGCAGTGCAATTTATGTGAAGTGCCATCTGATGGAGAAATAACTGAAAACGTGATTTATGGATGGAAAACTCAGGAGAACCAGTTAAGGTCAGAGTGGGCCTGCAGGCTTCATTCAGCCTGACCTTTTGAATCCTGATTTCAACAAAGCTGATAGTCATTTTACAGACTATCTCCTCACTTATTAGGGCTTTCATAAACCAATCAACCTAATAAAAAGATTATTATCAATGATTGATTACATGATTCTTACATCATGATCAGATATGTCTAGGCTTGAAGTTTTCACCTTTACCAGAGATCTACTCATCAAGAATATACAGAGACCAAAATGTTTCTATGTAGATCCAAATGAAACATGGAGTTTGCTTTAAAGTATTTAAAGTATTACCGGTGAATAAACTGGTGAACTAGATGAAACCAGAATGGCATATTACTGATAATTGTTGAAGTTATGCAATGAGTTTAGGCAATTTTTTTTTTACATTTCTCCTTCTTTCCTATAATATAAACAAAAAATAAGAGAATTATGTATGGGGTCAAACAGAGAAGACTGACTGAGATTTCTTTCTTTCTGCCCACAACTATCTATCTATCTATCTATCTATCTATCTATCTATCTATCATCTATCTATCTATCATCATCTATCTATCTACATCTTTACTCATTTTGAATAGGTACTATATTGTTACTTTGATCTGTTTCTGTGGGAATATGTATGTACATATTTGAAGTTGCAAATACCTGTCATGTTTTTTAATTAGTCTGTTAGCAAAAATGCAGAATTCTGCCCTTGGTACTTTAATTTAAATTTGTATTCCTTCTTGTGTGCTTACTTTTCTAGAAATAATTTTCTCCCCTTTATTTGACATTTTGATACTAAAATTTTACATTATGAATAAAGCAATACATTGGGGAAAATTGAGCTGTGTTTCAGAAACAAGATTGTAAGTCCTCAGTAAGCTATTTTCTCAACAGTCTTAAGTTGAGAAGGATTTAAGGATTTATTCTGCCTTTCAGCATTAGCTTCATAAATACTTGCCTGTTCCTTTTATGAGTTAAGAAAGGAGTCCTTTAGGTGGATAACTTAGCACCTGGAGTGTCCTAGATTCTGCAAAACATTTTGAAGAAATGTAGCATTTCTGTCCCTGAAGCATGTCATTTTAAGTTCAGGCAATTCAAACAATTCACATACGATTTTCTTCAATTAATAAAAAGAGGGAACTTCTAGAAATCTTTTGATCTGGAACTACCTACTTTAAAGTTCAAAATTTTTTAAAAAGAGAGAAAGCTTGAAAGTTCAGAGGGAAGGTCAGCGGCAGAAAATATATGTTGAAAATGAGAGCTATAAGTGATAAGCAAATAAAAACTAGGGCAGAATGAGAGAGAATCTATAGATAGAAGAAAAACATCTAAAACTTAGCAGCTCCACATTGGTCAAGGTTACTGAAATATGCAGCTCCCACTGTAGGAAAGAGAGAGAGAGACTGATATGCTGAGGCGCTGAGCTAACTCCCTTCTCCAATCCATTGGCGTGTTATACATTAAGATGACTCAATGTTGGTAAAGTTTTCTTGATTATCTTTATTTTTATTTTATTTTATTTTTGAGATGAAGTGTTGTTGTGTCCCCCAGGCTGGAGTGCATTGGTACGATCTCAGCTCACTGCAACCTCCGCCTCCCAGGTTCAAATGATTCTCCTGCCTGAGCCTCCTGAGCAACTGGAATTACAGGCACCTACCACCATGCCCGGCTAATTTTTATTTTATTTTATTTATTTATTTTTTTTTTGTAGAGATGGAGTTTCACCATGTTGAACAGGCTGGTCTTGAACTCCCGACCTCAAGTGATCCGCCCTCCTCAGCCTCCCAAAGTGCTGGGATTATGGGCGTGAGCCACCGTGCCCAGCCTTGATTATCTTTTAAGTGAATTAAAATCATAAACTTTTAAAAACCAAGTTTAAGAACTGTTTGTGTGTGTGTGTGTTTTCCAGTTAGCATGAATGAGTCATTCTTTCAATAAAAAGTGAGTTTTAAACTAAGTATTGATGGCAATTTTTATAGCAATTGATTTGTATCAACAGGAAATCTAAATTACAGAGTTGCCAAACTTCGATTAAAACGCTTTTCTTCCATTCTTACCTAGGAGGCATAAATTGCTGTGTGACCCTATTTTCCGGTAGATGGGGAATTTAACAATCAGATGACATTTAATAGCAAATGGATACTTGCTATTGTCTCAACAAAGCACCAGGTGGAATGAAGGTAATCAATATTTTATTTCTTATCCAAATATTTTTTTCTTCAATGACACAGATTTTTACATTGCTCCAATCAGTGTAAATTGATCGTTAAAACAGAGCTGAAAATAAATGTAAAGATTTTTATATCACCGAAGAAAATACAACTTTTTAGGTATCTCTCAGAAATTGCACTCTATGTTCTGAGTTCTTTTAAGTTGCAAAATTATTAAAATATTGTGAGTCTTGAGATAAAATAAGTTAAAATGCAATTCGTTGAAAACAATTTAGTGGCCATAAATATGGACTTCCCCTAAACTCTCCAAAAATCCTAGGCAGATTTTTTTGTTTCATGTGTTTAATGAGGGATTGGGTCTATTTTTCTTCAATGCACTTCAGTGATTGCTTGGCAAGATATAACAAAAGACCAGAAATGGTTCCAATTATCAGTGTAGAATGCCAGTCACACTTCATTTTTAATCCACCACACCAAGAAATATAACATACCAGCATAGCGTATGAAGATAAATTGATTTTCTATTTATTGAATTAAATCTCTGCCTTTGAGTAATTTTAAAGTTTTAAACTTGGCAGAATTTTATTTGAACACTAAGCTATATCTTTTTATTTTTTGACTTTTAAATTAGCTTCTAAATTTTCTCTCAAGTATCACCTGGGTTACTGTTCAGTATTCTCTGGTTTAATCTTCTTTCTAGAATAGGATTTATGTGACGTTCATAATAAAATCATGTAACTCTAATTGATGTGGATAAATTATACATCAGTTGTGCAATTCCTCAGTATCTGGAGCTCATTTGATATAATTAAAATTCAATTATTTAATTGCTAATTGGAATTAAATCAAGTTATTCTGGTCTCAAGATAACATATAGTAGATACTTTGCAGAATGTAAAGTTGGTATTGTTTCCATGCTTTTTATATTTATATATAAATGACATATTATATTAAAATTAAATGAGTTAGGATTCTAAAGAAAAATGACAGATTGTAATAAACATCTCTAAATAATTAGCTTACACATCCAAGAGCTTGATACCTCATTCAAATCATTTGCTTGAAAAGCATTGCACATTTTTCACTAGCCTATCATCACATTATTTTCGAGTTTTCTTACCTACTTTTCCAGTCACAAAAAAATTCAGATTCATTTTTTAGAATTATACTGTTTCTGACCAAAAATAGTGTTACATAGTTTGATCAGGCACATTATTCACCAATTTGGATATCATTCAAGGTGGGTTTTTGGCTATTTTAAAAAAGAAATTCATTCTCAAAGAATGAAGATCCGGCAACTGCAAGAGTATTCAGTGGAGTGAGCCTCAGATCTAAGAGCTGTTGATGCAAAAAAAAAAGAGCACAAATATGACATTCTTTTAATTATGTAATTTCCCAGGTATTAATTTGGTTTTGAGTATAATAAATAGGATCTATATATCAGAGTTTGTTGAAATTTAAGACAAGATTTTATTTTCTCAATCATCATAAAACATACTCTATACATACAAAATGCTTGAAAACATCAGTAGTCAAACTGATATTTGGTGTGTGGTTTGATTTTTGAAACTGTAAAGTGGTAAGTGTAGAGGACACGGATTTTTTCACAGTCATCTGAAGGTGTGGGTATCTTGTCCCCTCTCCTTCTATGTACATATACCTGGACACATATACACATGTGCACATAAAGTTATTAAATAAATCATTGTTACCTCTTATGAAAGTCATCAATGATATACCACATACACCTAAGATGGCCTTACTGGCTTTGGTCAAAATATATTATCAGAATTCTTACCTATTTTCCTGAGTTTGCTTTAGAAAGGTGGTACTGAAAATACCAATTTACATCTAATGTCTGTTCATTATGCTATCTCTCAAGGCTTATAAGAATGTACTTGACTATATACTACATACTATAAACTGTAATTATTACTATGAAATGAACTTCTTGTTGTAGATAATATCCCTACTTCAAATATTTATTTTCTTGGGAAAATATTTTGTAGGTATATGTTGTCACCACTGATTGATTAAATGCATTTTGATTGGATGTAATAAAGTTACTGCAATAGAGTGATGGTTTGTTTCTACATTCCAAAAATATATTATTTGTTCAAAGTAAAACTGGGAATTAATATATGCTCAATGCAACTAAAGACAAAGTAGATAGTATAAGTAGCTTACTGCCTAATCTATGTTGCTAAAAATGAGTTTGATTTTTTGTTATCAATTATTTTTTATACCGAACAGTATCATAGTTTACATATTTAGAAAAGAAAGGTGACTTTTATAACTCATTGTGGTCAGTTTCTAACTATAACTTTCTGTGGCCAAAATGATTATTTTAAAATTTTCAGAGGCTTGTCTCTAAAACAAACAAATATAAAACTTATGTAACGAAATTTTAAAGCAGTTACACAGCTATTATATCCTGTGGTGCACACCACGGTAAATACTTTTTACATTAAGTAAAGTTGCCCTGATGTTTTCGTTTATATAATGCTACCACATAACATGCATAGTGTATTAGTCCGTTTTCACGTTGATGATAAAAACATGCCCAAGACTGGGAAGAAAAAGAGGCTTAATTGGACTTAACAGTTTCACATGGCTAGGGAGGCCTCAGAATCATGGTAAGAGGTGAAAGGCACTTCTTACATGGTGACAGCAAGAGAAAATGAGGAAGAAGCAAAAGCAGAAATCCCTTATAAACCCAGAAGATCTCGAGACTCATTCACTATCATGAGAATAGCATAGGACAGACTGGCCCCCATGATTCAATTACCTCCCCTGAGTCCCTCCCACAACACATGGGAATCCTGGGAGATACAATTCAAGTTGAGTTTTGGGTGGAGACACAGCCAAACCCCTGGTCTCTCCAAATCTCATGTCCTCACATTTCAAAACCAATCATTCCTTCCCAACAGTCCCTCAAAGTCTTAACTCATTTCAGCATTAACCCAAAAGTCCACCATCCAAAGTCTCATCTGATACAAGGTAAGTTCCTTCCACCCACGTGCCTGTTAAATCAAAAGCAAGCTAGTTACTTTCTATATACAATGAGGGTACAGGTATTGGGTAAATAAAGCTGCTCCAAATGGGAGATATTGGCCAAAACAGAGGGGTTACAAGGCCCATGAAGGTCTGAAATCCAGCGGAGCAGTCTAATTTTAAAGCTCCAAAATGATCTCCGTTGACTCCAGGTCTCATATCCAGCTCATACTGATACAAGAGGTAGGTTCCCATGGTTTTGGAGCCATGGTTCCCTGTGGTTTTGCAGGGTACAGCCTCACTCCCGGCTGCTTTCATGGGCTGGTGTTGAGTATCTGTGGCTTTTCCAGGCACAAGATGCAAGCTGTCTGCCATTCCATGTGGTGCACGGTGCAAGATCTACCATTTTGGGGTCTGGAGAACAGTGACCCCTCTTCTCACAGCTCCACTACACAGTGCCACAGTAGGGACTCTGTGTGGGGGCTCTGAGCCTACATTTCCCTTCTGCATTGTGCTAGCAGAGGTTCTCTGCGAGGGCCCCATCCCCTGCAGAAAACTTTTACCTGGGCATGCAGGGGTTTCCATAAATCTTCTGAAATCTAAGCGGAGGTTCCCAAACCTCAATTCTTGACTTCTGTGCACGTGCAGGCTCAACACCATATAGAAGACGCAAAGGTTTGGGGCTTCCACCCTCTGAAGCCACAGTCCGAGCTCTACACTGACCCCTTTCAGCCACAGTGGGAGCATCTGAGACCCTTGGCACCAAGTCTCTAAGCTATACACAGGATAGGGACCCTGGGCCCCGCCCACAAAACTACTCTTCTTCCTGGGCCTCTGGGCCTGTGCCTGTGATGGGAGGGGCTGTCATGAAGGTCTCTGACATGGCCTGGAGGCATTTTCCCCATGGTCTTGGGGATTAACATTAGGCTCCTTGTTACTTACACAAATTTCTGCAGCTGGCTTGAATTTCTCCTCAGAAAATGAGCTTTTCTTTTCTACTGTATAATCAGGATGCACATTTTCTGAACTTTTATACTGTTTCCCTTTTAAAACAGAATGCTTTTAACAGCACCCAAATCACATTTTGAATGCTTTGCTACTTAGAAATGTCTTCCACCAGATGCCCTAAATCATCTCTCTCAAGTTCAAAGTTCCACAAATCTCTAGGGCAGGGGCAGAATCCCACAAGTCTCTTTGCTAAAACATAACATGAGTCATCTTTGCTCCAGTTCCCAACAAATTCCTCATCTCCGTCTGAGATCACCTCAGCCTGGAACTTATTGTCCATATAGCTATCGGGCTTTTGGTCAAAGGCATTCAACAAGTCTATAAGAAATTCCAAACTTTCTCACATTTTTCTTTCTTCTGAGTCCTCCAAAGTGTTCCATCCTCTGCCTGTTACCCAGTTCCAAAGTTGCTTCCACATTTTCAGATGTTTTTTCAGCAACACCCAACCGTACTGGTATCAATTTACTGTATGAGTTCATTTTCACATTTCCGAGACTGGAAAGAAAAAGAGGTTTAATTGGACTTACAGTTCCACATGGCTGGGGAGGCCTCAGAATCATGACAGAAAATGAAAGGCACTTTTTACATGGTAGCAGCAAAAGAAAATGAGGAAGAAGCAAAAGCAGAAACCCCCCTGATAAACCCATCAGATCTCATGAGATGTATTCACTATCATGAGAATAGCACAGAAAAGATTGTCCCCCATGATTAAATTACCTCCCACTGTGTCCCTCCCATAACATGTGGGAATTCTGGGAGATACAATTCAAATTGAGATTTGGGTGGGGACACAGCCAAATCATATCACACAGTATTTCTTTAAAATGCAAAAATGTTTATGTAAATTTCAGTTCAAGCTGCATATTGTGTAATATGTAATCATTCATTCAAAACTTGCTCTACAGCAGATAATCTGTGCCAGGTAGGATACAAGTCTCTATCCTCCAGGAATTCAGTTTATTAAGCCAGACAGATGTAAACTTGAAAAGGCATTATTGTGCTGTGAATGCTATATCCAGGGAAGCAACATCCATTCAGCTACTCAAACCATATCTCTGAAGTAGTTTCTATTCCTCTACTCAGTAAGTCTCCAGGCCAATATATTCAATTCAGAGAAAGATTTGCTGTTAAACTAATGAAGCTTAAACTTTAAGGCCCCTAATTTTCTCAGTTTCTTCTAAGGCCTTGGATCAGGCTGCAAAAATGTAGGGGCAATAGCATTAGAAATTGTATTAGGCAGTTAATCAAAATATTATGTTCTTTTTCTAAAATTTGGTTATGTTTGTGGTACTAATATCTATCACTTTATAAAATAGTTTGTTCTGATTTGTTTCTCATTCTAAATAAACATCCAATTTTATACTTACTTTTGCATTAACAATTTTGTATATTTTTTCCTACAGATTTATAGATTATATAAGCTTCAGAGCTGATAAAACCTGATTTTACTGCTTAATAGTTCCTTTACCCAGCCTTCTTTACCTGGAGTCTAGACTGGGAGAAGTTTTACCATCTGATTTCCTTTTCCTACAGTATTGCTCATCCCTGATCCAACCGTTTTATATTGCAATTATGATTTTGTTTCCAAGTTGCATACTTGGTAGTGTGATTCCTTTATTAAAATAAAATACTAATAGTTTTCTGTTGACCATAGGATAAAATATAAATCCATAATATGTTTATATGGGTTATAATTTTCTATTTCTGCTTTAACAAATTACCAAAACTTAGTAGCTTAAAAAAAAACAATATTTATTATGTTACATTTCTTAAGGTCGGAAATCTTAAAGTCAGGATGTCAGCAGGGCTACATTCCTTTGAGAAGCTCTAGGGGAAAACCATTTCCTTGCCTTTTCTAGCTGCACGAGGCTGCCTGCATTTCCAAAGTCATGGTGCCTTCCCTCATGTTCAAAGCCAGTGGTGAAGCATCTTCAAATCCCTCTCCACTCTGACTTCTTCCCTCATTACCTCCTTCTCTGATTCTGACTCTCCTGCCTTCCTCTTCCTTTTATAAACCCTTCTAATGACATTGGGCCCAACCAGTTAATCTGGTATGATATCCCCAACTCAAAATTCTCAACTTAGTCATATCTGTGAAGTCTCATTTGCCTCATAAGCTAATATATTTAGGGGTTCTGGAGATTGGAATTCAGCCACTTTTGAGTAGCCTATTATTTTGTCTACCATATATAGCATGAATGGCTTTTTAACGAACACCTCTGTCCCTTTTTGTCTCCAACCACATACCACCCATTCACAAAAGACCATAGCCTCTAGAATGTTAAAATCAACAGAAAAGTAGTATTTTTGAATTTATCTAATGTACTCAGGTTCAGTGATTTATATGTTCTCAATTAATTTTATGATAATCTGGAAGATGGTATCCATCTTTTACAGAAAAGAAAACTGAATTTCAAAGAGGTTTGAGTATGTACACAGGAACAGGCAGCCATAGGGTCTGAATCTAGACTCAGATCAGTAACTCCAGCCCCACACTGTCAACCCTCCAACTGTTATCCCATTATGTGTATAATAGGTTGGCACAAAAGTAACTGTGGTTCTTGCTCTTAAAAGCAACTGTTCCTCCAAGTATTTTCCCTGAAACACTGGGATGTTTTATAACTCCACCTTTTCCCCACAGCTCTCTCTGCCCCTAGCCTCATTGAAGACTTAGCTTAATCATGACCACCTCCCTGAATCCCTTTCCAAATCTGCCCACCTCTTTGGAATCTTTCATGCTCTCCAATGCACGCTGTATCCACTTCTATTGCACCCACCATGTTATCTCTGAGCATTTATTTACCTACAGGTCTCTCTTTATAAGATTCCAAACCCTCTGAGGATAGAGGTCATGACTTTAGTGCTGTATTTCCCAAGACCCTCCTGCTGTAACTGGACCACAAAAGGCACTTAATAAATGTTTGTCGAATAAATAAACTGAAGTATAAGGCATAGTGGGTATGAGTGATAAACTTTGCTTAGGAGGGTTAAGCAAAGGGTAAAACAGCACCGTTTACTTGAGAATCACGAGTGTTTCAGCATGGCTGGAGCATAGTATAAAGTGAGGATGATTGTCAGGCAGTAAGGTGGAGAGACAGGGAAGGAGAGAGCACAGGAAGCTATACCAAATCAGAGAGGTAGGACTTGATCCAGAAGTCTCTGCGAATATAATGCAAGAATTTAATCATGAAATATATATTAAATTTGTACTCTATGGATTTTTCTCGGTTTAACAACGGATTTCAAGACCATCTGTATTTTTTTTTCAAATTCACTGTGATAGCATTAAAAGACAGACAAATTACATCTTTCAGATCTATCATAAAATAGCTCTGTATCAGCACTTTTACGCTGTTAACTCCATGCTTCACCAGCTTTTTAAGCAAAATGAGAAATTAAGATATTGGCATTCTATAAAACTTGGTTCCCTTTGTTGAGCTTATTAAGGGGAGAGAGGCATTGTGTTTTCTTTTTTTTACCCTTATTAGCAACTTTTTTCAAAGGGAATTCTCTATTTTTAGGAAACACCCTCGACTTTAAATTTTTGGTGATGAAACAGTCTTGTACATTTAATCACCAGGAACTTAGTAAATGTTGCATATTATACCATGATTAGGAGAAGAGAAAGAAACTTGAATTAGGGTAATTTGTGACAAGATGGAGCACAGAAAAGAAACAGCATCAGAGGCCTTTCAGGGCAGTACACTGTGTCTTGTGAAGCCGATTGACTTCTTTCATTGGCAGAATTGAAAGTCTAAGCTAAAAACACTTTAATCAGCAAAAACACAAGCTGGTGTTGTAATGCCCGTTTTACATATTGAAAATAAGACACCTATAGGCTATTTCTAAGATCATAACCTTGGTAAGCAGTGAGGCCAACAGTTTGCCTTGCTTGTGCCAGCTTTTAGAACCCATGTTTTTTTCTACCACACATTCTCCCTCATTCAAGAGAAAACAATTGAATATTTGTAATATGTAAGCCAGTGCATTTGGCTTTATGGAAAATCCCAGGAACTTGTTCTAGGGGACTTTTAACCCAAATGTCAATATCACTCTTATGTACCATGATCCTACTTTATGTCACCCATGAAAAAGCAAGAAACAGTTTCAAAATTCATTCTTAAAAACAAGTAATTTTCAAAAATGATGCTCAAATGTGTGGCAGAAATATGGCTTTTGAATATAGAAAAATGTGGGAAGGTGAAAAATGGGGTAAGGTAGTTAGCTATTAAAGTTTGACTGTCATTGCAGGTTTCAATCTAGTTTCATTACTTAGAGATATCTATATTTTATAATGCCTGTAATGTGTTAAGTACCAAGTTAGGCTCTGGAGAGTCTGTGGCAATCCATAAACAATGACTTTGTTCTCAAAGGAAATGAATAATTTAATAATACTTTAGTTTAGTAAACTTTGTTAAGTGCTGTGAAATGCATTTCAGGGGCTTTTAACCTAATCTGGAGTGGTCAGGAAAAGTTTCCAGGTGGAAGAGAAGTTTAAACTGACGCAATTGCTTTTGGCGTCTTCGTCATGAAATCTTTGCCTGTACTTAAGTTCTGAATGATATTGCAAGGTTTTCTTCTAGAGTTTTTATAGTTTTGGGCTTTACATTTAAGTCTTTAATCCATCATAAGTTGATTTTTGTATATGGTGTAAGGAAGGCGTCCAGATTTGATTTTCTGCACATGGCTAGCTAGTTTTCCCAGCACCATTTATTAAATAGAGAATCCTTTCCCCATTGCTTATTTTTGCCAGGGGAGTTTGTTGAAGATCAGATGATTGTAGGTGTGCAATCCTATAGCTGGGTTCTCTGTTCTGTTCCACTGGTCTATGTGTCTGTTCTTGTATCGTTATCATGCTGTTTTGCTTACTATAGCCCTGTAGTATAGTTTGAAGTTGGGTAGCATGATGCCTTCAGCTTTGTTCATTTTGCTTAGGATTGCCTTGGCTATTCAGGCTCTTTTTTGGTTATGCATGAATTTTAATTTTTTTTTCTAATTCTGTGAAGAATGTCAATGGTAGTTTCATGGGAATAGCATTGCATCTATAAATTACTTTGGGCAGTATGGTCATTTCCACGATATTGGTTCTTCCTATTCATGAGCATGGAATGTTTTTCCATTTGTTTGTGTCATCTCTGATCTCTCTGAGCAGTGGTTTGTAGTTCTCCTTGAAGAGGTCCTTCACTTCCCTCATTAGCTGTATTCCTAGGTATTTTATTCTTTTTGTAGCAATTGTGAATGAGAGTTTATTCATGATTTGGCTCTTGCTTGCCTGTTTTTGGTGTATAGAAATGCTAGCAATTTTTGCACATTTATTTTGTATCCTGAGTTGCTCCTGTATCCTGTATTACTGAAGTTGCTTATTAACTTAAGAAGCTTTCAAGCTGAGTTTATGGGGTTTTCTAGACATAGAACCACGCCATCTGCAAACAAAGATAGTTTGACTTCCTGTCTTCTTATTTGAATACCGTTATTTCTTTCTTTTGCCTGATTGCCTTGGCCAGGACTTCCAATACTATGTTGAATAGGAGTGGTGAGAGAGATCATGCTTGTCTTGTGCTGGTTTTCAAGGGGAATGCTTCAGGCTTTTGCCCATTCAGTATGGTATTGACTGTGGGTTTGTCATAGATGGCTCTTATTATTTTGAGGTATGTTCCTTCAATATACCTAGTTTATTGAGACTTTTTAACACAAAGGGATGCTGAATTTTATTGAAAGCCTTATCTCCATTTATTGAGATAATCATGTGGTTTTTGTCTTTAGTTCTGTTTATGTGGTGAATCACATTAATTGATTTGTATATGTTGAACTGACTTTGTATCTCAGGAATAAAGCCTACTTGATCATGGTGGATAAGCTTTTTGATGTGCTGCTGGGTTTGATTTGAGGGTATTTTGTTGAGTATTTTTGCATCAATATTCATCAAGGATACTGGCCTAAAGTTTTCTTTTTCTGTTGTATCTCAGCAACAAGGTTTTGGTATCAGGATGATGCTGGCCTCACAGAATGAGTTAAGGAGCAATCACTCCTTTTTATTTTTTAAGAATAGTTTCAGTAGGAATGGTACCAGCTCTTCTTTGTAACTCTAGTAGATTTCAGCTGTGAATCCATCTGGTTCTGGGCTTTTGCTTTTTTTGTTTGGTAGACTATTTATTATTGCCTCAATTTCAGAACTTGATATTGGTCTATTCAGGGATTCAATTTCTTTTGGGTTCAGCCTTGGGAGGGTGTATGTGTCTAGGAATTTAACCATTTCTTCTAGATTTTCTATTTTATGTGCACAGAGATGTTTATAGGATTGTCTGATAGTTGTTTGCATTTCTGTGGGATCAGTGGTGATATCTCCCTTATCATTTCTGATAGTCTTTCTTTGAATATTTTTTCTTTTTTATTAGTCTAGCTAGCTAGTTATTTTATATTTCTTAAAAAAAAAACAGCTCCTGGATTTGTTGGTTTTTTGAAGGATATTTTTGTGCCTCAATCTCCTTCAGTTCAGTTCTGATCTTGGTCATTTTTTGTCTTCTGATAGCTTGGGGATAGTTTACTCTTGGTTCTCTAGTTCTTTTAGTTGTGATGTTAGGTTGGTAACTTGAGCTCTTTCTAGCATTGTGATGTGGGCATTTAGTGCTAAAAATTTCCCTCCTACAACTGCTTTAGTTGCATCACACAGATTTTGGTACATTGTATTTTTGATAGCATTTTTTTCAAAGAACTTGATTTCTGCCTTAATTTTATAATTTACCCAAAAGTCATTCAGGAGCAGGTTGTTCAATTTCCATATAGTTGTATTATTTTGAGTGAATTTATTAATCTTGAATTCTAATTTGATAGTGTTGTAGTCTGAGAGACTGTTATGATTTCAGTTCCTTTGCATTTGCTGAGTAGCGTTTTACTTCCAATTCAGTACCATTCAGGACATAAGCACAGGCAAAGATTTCATGACGATGATGCCAAAAGCAATTACAACAAAAGCAAAAACTGACCAAGGGGAACTAATTAAACTAAAGAGCTTCTGCACAGCAAAATAAACTATCAATAGAGCAAGCAGACAACCTACAGATTGGGAGAAAATGTTTGCAATGTATCTATCTGACAAAGGTCTAATATCCAGCTTCAATAAGAAAATTAAATTTACAAGGAAAAAAGAAACAACCCCATTTAAAAAGTGAGCAAAGGATATGAACAGACACTTCTCAAAAGAAGACATACATGTGGCCAAGAATCATATGAAAAACAGCTTAACATCATTGATCGTTAGAGAAATGCAAATCAAAACCATAATGAGATACCATCTCACATCAGTCAGAATGGCTTTTATTAAAAAGTCAAAAAACAATAGATGCTGGTGAGGTTGTGGAGAAAAAGGAATGCTTTTACACTGTTAGTGGGAGTGTAAATTAGTTTGACCATTATGGAGGATAATGTGGTGACTTTTCAAAGACCTAGAGGCAGAAATACCATTCAACCCAGTAATCCCATTACTGCATATATGCCTAAAGGAATATAAGTTGCTCTATGATAAACATACATGCACATGTATGTTCATTGCAGCACTATTCACAATAGCAAAGAAATGGAATCAACCTAAATGCCCATCAATGATAGACTGGATAAAGACAATGTGCTACACATACACCATGGAATACTATTCAGCCACAAAAAGAGTGAGATCATGTCCTTTGCAGGGACATGGATGGAGCTAGAAGCCATTATCCTCAGCAAACTAACGCAGGAACAGAAAACCAAATCCCACATGTTGTCACTTATAAATAGGAGCTGAATGATAAGAACACATGGACACATTGATGTAGGGAACAACACACACTGGAGCCTGTCAGAAGGTTGGAGTGGAAGGAGGTAGAGCACCAGGAAGAGTAGCTAATAGATGCTGGGCTTAACACCTAGGTGATGGGATGATGTATAGAGCAAACCCCTGTGGCACACATGCAGGATGTACAGGTTGTGCTCTACTTCTAACCTGCACATCCTGCACATGTATCCCTGAAAAAAAATAAAAGTTGGAGGAAAAAAAAAGTCATACAAAAGGCCACAAAGTACATAAGAAAATGCTCAACATCAGTAATCATCAGGAAAATGCAAATTAAAACCACAATGATCTATCACGTCATTATAATGGTATTTATCAAAAAGGCAAAAGCTAACAGTTTTGTACACTATTGGTGAGAAATTCGCACAGTCTTTTTGTAGAACAGTGTGGAGATTCCTCAGGAAGTTAAAAATAGAACTACCGCATCATCTAGCAATCCCCTTTCTGGATATACGTCCAAAATAAATAAAATCAGTGTGCCCAATTAAAAAAATGTTTAAGTTGACACAAAAAGCATAAGTAAGAATAAATGAGATGAAAGGCAGGGTGATGCCAAACATAGCCCATTGGCAGCTGATCTGCATGTTGTTAAAGGATACAACTTCTAGGAATAATACACGAAAGTGAAAGGGAAATAATGATTAGTCAGATTACACGTCCTGTCTCTCACAGTTTGCTATTCAATGCCAAGAAATAAAAAGCACCAGAAGTGTCATAACAGGTATAATGTTTCATGGGTACAACAGTCCATTTAACAGAGATATAAAAAATGGAGTGTTTTTGACTATTTTTTAACCTTCTGTCAGATGACTTACCACAAAAGCTTTCAGGTAAATTCAATTCCATTGAGCATTAGCTACGTTAGCAATACTCCAGTGATGCCCAAAAGTTCATCTCCACATCATTGTTTTTCCTTTAAAGACCCTCTTTTTTTTCTCCTTCACATCCTACTTTGAAATGCATAGAATTTGGTCTCTGCATGTCAATTCCCAATAGTATGGTTTAGCATTGAGTATGTATGCTGGTGGTGTGAGAAGGAGAGGGCTCTTTGTTTGTGTGCTGGAAAAAAATACCAGAAGTTAGGTAATTTATAAACAATATAAATTTATTTCTCACCATTTTGGAGCCTCGAAAGTCCAAGATTAAGGCATCATCAGGAATGATGTCTGGTGAAGGCTGTGCTCTTTTTCCGAGATGACACCTTATTGCTGCATCCTCTGGAAGGGATGAATGCTACATCCTGACATGGTGGAAAGGACAAAAAGACAAGATAAGTTTTCCTTGTAAAAGGATGCTAATCCCATTCATGAAGGCAGAACCCTCATGGCTTAATCACCTCCCAAAGGCCACATTTATTAATACTATGGCATTGGGGATTAAGTTCAATGTAACATTTGGAAGGAGCACCATCATTCAAACCATAGCAGTTCATTCCATTAGGATATAGTGGACTGACAACATGGTGGGAATTATGCATTCCATCTTGTTAGACTCCAGAGCTCATCTAGGCTGGCCCATGGGCTGATGTACCTCTATTTTGGCCACAGCCAGGTGCTGATGTTGGTGCACCTTTAGTCCCCTCCCAGCTCCCTATATGCAGTGCATGTGTACTTACCTAAGGTGAACCCCCTTTTCCCACATTGCTGATTCTTGGCGTGGTTTCTTGGCTCTCTTATCCAGCCAGACTCAGTAGTTTGCTGCAGGCCTGTGGGAAAAATACCTTTCCTCAGGTGTACCTCACCCTCAGATCAGTGCAAAGCTGAGCAGGTAACTGAGCACCTCCTCATGTCTTCATACCACCATCCTTTTTTCTGGGGCCTAACTGTGGGGCTTCCTTTCTTGTTCTTCTAATGAAAAGCAGCACACCGGCCTCCTCTTCACTAATATTTCCCATTACCTTGCAAGAAACTCCTTTGCTTCTTTCTCATCCTTCTGATTTCCTTGGGAGAGGAGACACAAACACCACCTTCTGTACCTGCCTTTCCCCACCTCATCTCTCTGTGTCCACCAATGCCTCACTCAGGGTTTTTCAACTTTGGCACTATTGATATTTTGGATCTTAGCACCATTGACATTCTTTGTTGTGGGGTTTGTCCTGTGTGGGTCAGATGTTGAGCAGCATCTCTGGCCTCTACCCACTAGATGCCAGTAGCAACTCTCCAATTGCAACAATCAAAAATATATTCAGGCATTGCTGAATGCCTTATGCAGACAAAATAGACACCCTCTGCCCCCAACAAAGTAATAGTTTTGTTTACTCTAGGGCAAAGGAGAGAAATGAAGTCTATCAAAATAAATCAATTTTTAAATGTTTCCACTCTCTCGCCTGAAATCTAGGATTTCTTATTCTCCTCTAATCTCAAGGAGACTGTAAAGTTGGCATTTTTAATTTGCTGAACCCTGGTAAACTCTCGTCTTCTTTTCCACCTCCGGGTAATTATAACCCCAAGTCTCCTGGGAAAGCAGAACAAATATTTCATACCAGTTGGTGCTTCCAGGCCACACATTAATATTTTACATGTTATCTGTCACATGGTTTTACCAAACATCACAAGAAAGGACTTATTGTACAGAGTTAATCATGAAATCATTTCTAACATTTTGACCAATGTAATTATTTGTTTGCTTTTTTTTTTAATGTTAAAATGTTTTCCATTTTGGTGGTATAGAAACCACCAAAAAAATTTTAAAAGCCAAGCAACAGCTATATGGCTATCCCCAATAAATCTCATATTACATAATCTTACTTTTCAATTTTCTCACCTTGGACTAAATAATCATTAGATTATTTATATTTACAATCCCAAACTGCCATTATTACTCCCTGCTACTAATCTGTCACATCTTATCTTCTCAACTTTCTACCCTCTGATTTTTCTACTGTTACAGAGGCAGAATGATTCTGAGAACAAGTCCCATATACTTTCCTGGTCAGGCCAAGCTGTGCTTTTTGAATATGATACACAATCCAGTAGATAGACTTCTAGGAACCACGTACATCATTTGGTCTATTTTAAAGCGGTTGTTTTCCATCTCTATCTATGTGTTTAGTAGTTTTACAATTAATATATGATGTATTTAGGTGTAAAGAAGAAAAGCAGTTTGCAAAGAGAATACAATTTTAAGTTTAATGCAACCTAATGTAATCAATCAGTAGTATTTAACAGAGAGAGAGAAAGAGTACTGCAACTGTTCTGACTATATACTAGTCTAGTTCATTTTAATGTTCCTACTATAAATGTCTGCATTCACACATTATTATAAACAGGAATCTAAATCATTGTAGCTAGTTTTATGGTATAAACAAAACATTAATAGGAACAACAAATTTAGGAGCAATAATGCATTTTCAAGCAAGGGTATTTTTCCCGCCATGTTCTAAAAACTCAAACACATAAATAACCTGATAGCATAATTCTTGAAGTGTATATTGTACCAAAGACTAATTATTTTTCTATAGAAATATTGTTAGAAGATTAAATTTTAAAAGGTCACTTCTATTGTGAAATGAAGCTAATTAAAATTATACTTAAAAATGATGGAGATTAAGTTTGTCTTTGAGACCTTATTTATTTTGGACATTCTAATGCCCACTATAATTTTTGGTACATAGTAGGAGTTTAATAAATATACACTGAGAAAAGAAATTATTAGAAGTATTACAGTATAATATGTGTGCTGGATAGAGTAATAAAAAGGAAGACATTTGTTACAGTTTTGAAGTGTGCCTGCACAAATTAAGTGCTCAATAAAAGTTTGTGATCTAAGATGTGATCGTGGGGAAGTGGAAGAGAGAAACCACAGAGTGCTGACAAAGCATTCACTGCCTGTAATAGCCCCTCAATGAGTTCGGCTTCCTGATATTCACATCATTGCATAACTCACTCCCCTTGAGAGTAGACTAGACCTAATGAATCACCTCCAAAGAACAGAATAAGGTGTGAGGGGACGTCGTGTCTGCAGTTAGGTTATTGAAAACCAAGACTTCAGGCCGGGCACGGTGGCTCACGCCTGTAATCCCAGCACTTTGGGAGGCCGAGGCAGGTGGATCATGAGGTCAGGAGATCGAGACCATCCTGGCTAACATGGTGAAACACTGTCTCTACTAAAAATATAAAAAATTAGCCTGGCGTGTTGGCTGGCACCTGTAGTCCCAGCTACTCGGGAGGCTGAGGCAGGAGAATGGTGTGAACCCGGGAGGCGGAGCTTGCAGTGAGCCGAGATCGCGCCACTGCACTCCAGCCTGGGCGACAGAGCGAGACTCCGTCTCAAAAAACAAACAAACAAACAAACAAAGACTTCAATCTTGCTAATGCTTCCCCTGACTCTTTTTGCATCCTTACTCAGATGAAGCCAGCTGCCATGCTTAAAGGTCTTTTACGGAGATCCACTTGGCAATAAACTGAGGATGGCCTCTGGCAACAGCCTGTGAGGAACTAGGTCCCTCAGCCCAACAGCTCTCCCGGAACTGAATCTTGACAACAACTATGTGCTGGATCTGGAATGTGTTGCCTCCCTCAGTAGAGCCTTAGGGTGACTACAAGCCCATCCAACACACTGAGTACATACAGCCTCTGAGCAACCTGAATTCATGGACCCAGGGAAGTCATGCCCAGAATCCTGACCAATAACAACTGTCAGAAAATTAATGTTTTAAGTCACTAAGATTTGAGGTAATTTGTTACACAGCAATATATTTCAAAACAAGGTCTCTCAGGAAATGATTTTTTGTCTTTGTCTATAAAACCACTATAATTCTGAGGTCAGTAAACCAGGTAACTCGTGTGATCTAAAGGTTATACATTAAAGAATAAATTAATAAAAATAACCATTGTTTTGTTTTTCCACAATCACTAAACTATGAGTTTTATCTAACATCTTGCAAAGAGATAGGGAAATACACAACAAAACTCTGGGATCTAGAAAAGGGGTATAAATGGTTGTCATAAACAAAAATAATAGCTGGTAAAGGGATGAGGCAGTTGCTTATAAAAGCAATAGAGAAGAAAACGTGATGTGAGTGGTTGGTGAATGGGTAATTTTCTCACTCAAACAGCTGCTGAGCCCTTGCGATATACCACTCATAGTGAGAAGCTCTGTGGATACAAAAATGATCAAAAATTGCTCTTTGCTCTCAAGAACATTGTGGTATAATGAAACAGACAGGCACACACAGACTTGCATACACACTTTCCACTATGAAACAATGTGATGAGTGTGAAGAAAGATGTTTGTGTGGTGTGTAACAGAGAAGCATTGACTTCTCAGAGGATGTGTCAGGTGTGTCCTCTGGGAAGCAGACAGTGAGGCAATATTAGGCAGGTGTGAGCTTTACTGGAAGCTAACACCTGTGGAAGGTAATAGGCAGAAAAAGCAGAAACTGACAGGGGGAGGCTGAGAACAAAATGTGGAGCTATCAGTGTCTTGTCCAATAGAGAGCTCCTGAGCAAAGATTGTCCTTTGAAAGAGTCTTGCTTTGGCCTAAATTCTAGCCCTTGTAATTTTTCCCTGCTCAGTAATTGGTTAGAAATAGCCTGATTCTTCACAGTGGGGATTCCAGGAAGGATCTCTTAAAGCATGGTGCTCTTGAATTGAGTTGGAAAGGGTGGAAATCTAGGAATGAGTGAGGCAAAAGAGCCAACAAATTGCATGTTCAAAGTCACAGAGGCTTGACGTGGCACTCTGTGTGGTTCCAAAAGGGTGGGGAAAGAATACTTGTGGAGAAACAACCAGATTTGAGCATAGAGAGGTGGACAGGTGTTGGATAATAAAAACCCATATATCTTATATAGTTCAAGCTTCATCTTAAAAGCTATAATGACATTGAAGTATTATGAATTTTGATCAGAAAATGAAAATGATCAGATTGACATTTTATAAGGTTGTTATTTTAAACCAATGTGAAAAAATAGCCAGTGCATTGTAGGTTGCTGAACTTATGAACCATTTTATGAAACTGTAATACATTTGTTCCATGAAAACATGTCTGATAGACAGTAAGTATATGGCCCTGTTTCAAACAGCAGCTGATAATTGAATACATTGACTCCTAAAGGTAGTGACCTCCAAGGGATAAAAGACATTTTCAGTCCCCTTCAGCTACTATATATCTTTTCTGGATATTCTCAGAGTCCCCCATGCAATCATGACCACACATTACCCTGGACACATTAGTTTCTCACTGTATTAATGGTCTGTCATATTATTTTTATTGTTAAGCACTTAATTGTGAATGAGTATAAGAAAATGATTGCTTGTGAGTAGCATATATTCAGTTAGAAATAATGAAGAAGACCAGCCACGGTGGCTTACACCTGTAATCCCAGCACTTTGGGAGGCCAAGGCAGGCGGATCAGTCGAGGTCAGGAGTTTTAGACCAGCCTGGCCAACATGGTGAAACTCTGTTTCTACTAAAATACAAATATTAGCCAAACGTGGTGGCGGGTGCCTGTTACAATCCCAGCTACTTAGGAGGCTGAGGCAGGAGAATTACTTGAATCCAGGAGGCAGAGGTTGCGGTGATCTGAGATCATGCCATTGCCCTCCAGCCTGGGTGACAAAGTGAGACTCTGAAAAAGGAAGAAAGGAAGAAAAGAAAGAAAGGAAGAAAAGAAAGAAAGAAAGAAAAAAGGAGGGAGGGAGGGATGGAGGGAGGGAAGGAAGCAAAAAGAAAGAAAGAAGAAAGAGAAAGAAAGGAGGGAGGGAGGAAAGAAAAAGAAAGAAAGGAAGAAAGAAAGAAAAGAAAAGAGGAAAGAGAAGAAAGAAAGAAAGAAAGAAAGAAAGAAAGAAAGAAAGAAAGAAAAAAGAAGGGAGGGAAGGATGGAGGGAGGGAAGGAAGGAAGAAAAAAGAAGAAAGAAAGAAAGAAGAAAGAAAGAGAAAGAAGGGAGGGAGGGAGGGAGGAAAGAAAAAGAAAGAAAGAAAAGAAAGAAAGGAAGGAAGAAAGAAAGAAAGAAAAGAAAAGAGGAAAGAGAAGAAAGAAAGAAAGGTGATGCCAAATGACCCCAGATTGTTCACGAGTGGCTGAGATAGTGACGTCTTTTCTACCTAATTGTTCCATGTATATGAACTTTGTTACATGCACAAAATTATTTAAAAGTATTGTATAGAATTGCCTTCAAGCTGTGTATATAAGGTACATCTGAAACATAAACAACTGTTGTGTTTAGATTTGGGTCCCATTCTCATGGGACCCAAGGATATCTCATCATGTCTATGCAAATATTTCAAAATCTGAACAAATCACAAATCTAAAACACTTCTTGTCCCAAGCATTTTGGATAAGGGATAGTCAACCTGTAACTGCTTTTATCAAAAGTCCTAGATGCACTGTAGATGAACCCTATTTGTGGTATGTAGCTTTGAAAGGACATCTAATGATTACCACCTACTGGAATTCATGCCATTAAGTGATACCTTCAAGTTGAGCATGAGCTGAACCTGGTGACTTACTTCCAATGAGTAGAATGTGGCAAAAGTGATAGGATGTCACTTCTGAGATTAAGTTGTAGAGATTGTGACTTTCCTCTGGCTTGTATTCTTCCTCTTTCCCATTCTTGCTTTTCCTCTAGCTCTTCTCATGTTTTTGGTCTGATGAGCTTCATTATATTGTGAGCTACTGTATGAACAAATCTACGTAACAAGAAACTGAGGACTGCCCCCAGCCAACATCCAGCAAAAAATCTAAAATCTACCAACAGCTATGTGAGTAAGTTTAGAAGCAGATCCTTCTCCAATTGAGCCTTCAGATGAGACCATAGGCTCAAACAATACCTTAATAGCAGCCTTATGAGGGAGATCCTGAATCAGAGAACCTTGTTAAGCCATGCCTAGATTCCTGACCAAAGAGCCTGTGAGATAATAAGTGTGTCTAGTTTTAAGCCACTACGTTTTCAGATAAACTGTTACTCAGCAATAGACAACAAATACATCATACAAAAAGTATTGGCTCCAGGAAAACATAAATGTTTTTCCTCTAGGAAGAGAAAAATGTTTTCCCAGTAGCTAAAGAGAGGCATGAGGAATTTGAACCTGAAGCAGGTTTCAAGGGTGAAAACAGGGAGTGAACAGAGCCCCGAGTATATCAGGGATTACACACAGGTTATTATATCTTCTTGAACAACCCAAGCATTGTATAAGCAACGTATTTGACAGATAAAATCAAATACTTAGTGGTGGAAATCTAGAAACAGCTGTAGTCACTGAGCTGAAGATCTACATGATACAGATAGTAGCTCTGCATTTATGTGAAATACATTTCTCCTTTTTTCTCCCTACAGTTCTTCCTTTCTGACACACACTCACATACACACACACACACACACACACACACACACCTTAAGAAGGGATAAGTGTGAGATCCTGCTGATATAGTTTATTTGTGTTCTTCAAAACTCATGTTGAAATTTGATCCCCAATGTTGGAGGTAGGGACTGGTGGGAGATGTTTTGGTCATAGGGGCAGATCTCTCATGAACTTGGTGACATCCTCACAGTAATGAGTGAGTTCTTGCTCTATCAGCTTCCATGATAACTGATTATTAAAAGGAGCCTGGCACCTCTGCCCTCTCCTCTCTTTCTCACAATATGATGTCTGCTCCCCTTTGCTTTCTGCCATAAGTGGAAGTTTCATGAAACATTCACCAGAAGGAGGCACTCCCATGCTTCTTGTACAGACTGCAGACCAACATAGAAAAGAGCCAAATAGACCTCCTCATTTCTTTATAAATTACCCAGCTTCAGGTATTCCTTCATACGATGCGAGAGAAACCAAGACACCTGCCATTAGGAAGATCTGGCCTATTGATCTGTTACAAAATATTATTTTACCTCTAAGATATTTCTCAAGGTTCTCTATTTCTTTTCATTTCTACCACTACCTGACTAGTCTAGGTTCCTATGCTCTCCTGCCTGAACTACTGCAAATATTTTAACTACACTCAGTCTTTCTCCCTGCTGTAATCCATTTCACATAAAATGTCACAAGAGGGACATTTCAAAGATACAAACAGGATTGGACATTTTTCTACTTTAAACTTTTCAATGGCTTTCCATTACCTTTAACAACTACTCCAAAAAGTCATTAATTTGGCCAAGAAGGATCCTTGTGCATTTGACCTTTGCTTATCTTACTAGCTTTATCTTATCTTTCTTATCTTCTGCTTGTCTCTCAGATTATTTTTTAAATGTTGTAATTTAAGAAAACTTCACTGATCTTCTAGATTAGGTCAATCTCCATGTTACATGATCTGTTTTCTGTCATTACTTTTCTTCAGAACACTTATTACCTTTGTAATTGAATATCATTTATTTAATGAGTTGTTTATTTCATCCATTAGATGATCATTTCAATTATTCTTTTTTTCTCTTCCATTATACTTTAAGCTCCATCTTCTTCGTTCTTGTATTCTCAGAACTTAGTATAATGCTAGTATAAAATATGTGATGAACAAATATTTGATAAAAGATTAAATAGATAGAACTGGATTCTATGAAATATCTACTTCTTTATTCCAGATTTCATTAGAGAACAGTCTGAATTGCCCAGACTAAAATCCTAGGGCTCTATCCAGGAAGTCACAGGTTTCTTCAACCAAGACTTTCTTCCCCAACCACCAATACTCCCCCGACCTCCCCTCAACCTCCACCAGAAACCTGGCCAGGATTCACCAAGCTCTGCCAGTTTTATCTCACAAATACCTGTAAATCCATCTCCTACTTTCTATCACTATTATCACTGATATCTCAGTGGAAAACAGTAAACTTTTAATTTGACGGATGTAACACTTTTTAATTTTACAGATAACATAAACTATAACCTTCTAGTTAGTTTTTTATATTTCTTTTTTATACAAATAAAAAAGTGTTTATAATTAATATATTTAGTCAAATGTACTTATAAGTTTAATGACTTTCATACAATAATATGTTGATTGAAGCTATACTGCTTTTAATCCTGTTTTTACAGATAAAGAAATTTAGACAGACAAGTTTTCTAGGACCATGTAGCTTATAAATGGAAGTTACCTGTAGAATTAGACATAACAGAGAGTTTGTAAGTAATAGGAACTGTAGAACCAGTGAGATTGGAATTTAAAAATCTAGTTCCAAATTCCATACTTCCATCCAAAGTCTATGCACATTCCCAATTCCACAGCACTACTTTTGCTGCTTCTCACGTAAATACATCCTTTATTTATTTAGCATTATTATCTTTCTAAAGCACAGATGTGACTATGCCATACTCCTATCCCCAATCCCCTCCATCACTGAAAATTGGATAAAATCTCAGCTTTTTGGTGTGATCTGTAAGTCTTTTCATACCCTTGTGTCATCCAAATTCCCCTTCCTCATCTCTTGCCCCTCCTGGTTTCTACATCACCCTCTAGTCTTACAAAGTTGGTCATAATTTCTCACATCTACTCCATTCTTTCAGGCCTCTGTATATTTGCTTACGCCATTCTCTTCCCCAACAACAGTTTCCTTAATTTCTGAGCTTGCATAAATGTCAGTCATCCTTCAAGATTTAGCTTAGCTACTGCCTAATCCAGGCAATTTTCCTAAATTCCACTGTTAGGTGCTGCTATACTTCCATTATTTTCCTTTCTCTATTATTTTGAAAACTTCTTCTTTTCTTTTTGCTTGGGTGTTTGTCTACTCACTGATCTGTAAATACTTTCAGAGTAAGGACTGTGTCACACACTTTGACATCAAATGGCAATCAGAGTGATTGGCACATGACAGACATTCAAAAAATAATTGCCAAAGAGCGTGAAGTGGTGATGAGTAGGAAGCAGGGAGAAACACATCCTATTGATTTAGACCAAACACAGTAATCAACATTTTTATTTCTTAACTTGTCATTTCATACAAGACTTGTGAAAGATATAACCTATATGGTGTTCATAGTTCTATTTTATAGATGAGGAAACATGTTCATTGAAATTTAAAAGTTTGTCAAACTCTATTAGTGGAACTCAAATGTAGATTTGAATACAATATAGAACATATCCTATATATTATATATAATCCTTGGATATTTTATATAATTCATAGATATTATAAATAATGTAGATTTCTTGGAAAAAAAATCTTTGTAATAATAGCTTACTGTTTATGGTGTAATTACCATGTCCAAAATATGCTGCCAAGCACATTTTTTCATTTATTCATATTCTTCAAGTAAATGTTTATCAAACCCCTGCTATTACCAGACAATATTCTAGCAACTGGAGATATAGCAGTAACTAAAACAGAAAAACAAACCTCTGTCCTTATGTAGTTTATTCAAGAATAAAAGGAACAAAACAATATATTTATAAATCTGTACAATATAGCAGTTGTTTAACAAGTGCTCTGGAGAAAAGTGACATGTAAATGGGGATAACAGATGAAGGGGCAAGGGAGAGGATTGCATTTGTAAATAGGGTGGTAAGGAAGGCTTCACTGTGATGACATTTGAATTAGAACCAGAAAGAGACATCATGTGGTGCCTGTCATCTGTACAGTCAGGAAGGTAACGTGGCAGGAATGGAGAAGGCGGGGTCGTGTGAGTGGGAAACATGATAAGAGAAGTAGGGACCAGGGTTGGAGGTGGAGACAAGGTATGATCGTGGATGACACTTCGATGACTTTGGCATGTACTCTTATGAGTTGGAAAATTATTGAGTATGAAGTGACATGATCTGACATGTTTTGAAAATATCACTTTGGTTATTGTGTTGAGAATAGAATACAAAAGGACAAGGCCAAAAGTAAGGACACCAGTTGGAGGGTATTTTAACAATTCATGTGAGAGATTGAAGTATCTGAAACCAGTTGGCAAGAGAGGAGAGGACGTAAGAAAACAGAAAGAATTTGCTATAGATTAGAGGTAGGGTGTGGGAGAAAAAGGAGCCACGTGTAAAATATCATTGTTCCCTATTCATTATGGAGGATGGATGTGTAAAACAAAATCCAATAACATGCAACAACATGTGAAAACATTTTGTAAACTTTCTCACTTTTTTAATGAAATAATTTTGATATCTTACTATTATTTGAAATAAAGACTATATTAGGTTTTAATTATTTGAGTGGTACAAAATGGTATTTCAAAGAAATTTCCAAAAAAATTACTATTTTGAAGCATTTAAAATAGTTATCACATTCTTCTTTTTTTTATTACTCATATTGGTACTGATTGCACTTAGTGAAAATAGAACCTATCTCAAAGAAATTTGTGATTAAGGAAGGCTTTTTCCATTTTTAATCCAGTGCCAATAAGACATCAAATGACTGGCAGCCAGAAGCGATCATAAAGGCTCTGCTATGGCATTTGGGACACTGGAGCTGGTTTCACGGCCTATGGAAGGAAGGACGTGTCATGTTTATTGCATAAGAAAATCTAAAGTTCTTTTTATCAACTGTGCATGTATAAAATTAGAGGCTTAACTAAGGCTGTTGAGCAGTGATATAAAAATAATCAAGGACACTACCATTTTTGACATGTGTTTTTGTGTAACTGTAAAAATGATATAATAAAGCAATCCAGGGTGAAACCAGAGAGGAAAAAAAAATGGCAAGCACAGTGAATGCGGTAATAAGAATGCCCCATTCAGATGACAGAACTAGAGGAAATACATCTTTTCTTTCAGGTAGTGTGAACTCCTGAATAAGAACTCAAATAAGACCAACAGTCAATGGCAATGCTTCCTTGGTTATGCTTATTACATGATTCTAGTTTAGATTCTAGCTGAACTAGAAGCGTCACAAGAAAAGAAATGTCAGAAGAATATAATACTATTGATCTGACGTTTACTTATGAAATTATCTTCCAACAATCTTTGCTCAGGCATCCTATTACTTCCTTTATTTTCTTCACAATGCACAGAAAAGTAAGTTCAATTTATCTTTCATGTTAAAAATGCAATAGGAATTGGGCACAAACTTACATTGCTGTTTCAACCCTCCTATTAAGTTGGGTAGGTCAACGGGAGAAATGATGACTATAAATGGAATTGATAATTTCTCAGGAGAGAAAGGGTAAATGATAATAAATAAGACTCAGCTTGGTAATCAGCATCTGGCAGTACGTAAAATGCCTTTAAAATTTTAATGACAGTTGCCAGCACTAGATAGTCATTTGTTAAATAATGTAAAAGAATCAGTGTTTTAAGTAACAAGCATAAGGTGGAAAAATAATAAGACTTGAAAAAGAAAAATATGTTAGTAGTCAAATGAAACCTGTCTTATCAAATAGTAACTTTGGGAGAATGTACACTAGTAGAATGAGTATATCACTGATTTTTTTTTTTTTTTTAGTTTGGGAGCTATGAAAAAAAAAAGTCTTGATGATCAATTTTTCACCTAAACAAAAAAAAAAGTGAAAGATTGATAGAAAACTCAAAATGAAAGATTAGTAAAGAGAATGAAGCAGAAAAGTGAAAGCAGCTAACGCAAATATTCTTCAATATGGCCTTGGGATAAAGCATGAATCGCCAGCATTAATCCTTTTCCCACTATTCTCCCTTCCCTTTCAACCCAGTACTCCCCAGACAGCAGACACAAGGAATAATAGATTGTTGCTAAAATGACATAATTACTGAGATCATATTTTAAAAAGTAAGAAAATCAATTCAAGGCAAAAGCCAAGTAAGTGCTTTCAGCTTGTTCAAATTGAGCAAATCTTGATAAAACTCCCATCTTCTCAGCCCTACCACAATGACTCTTAGTGAATTTCCCCCACAGAATGACCAACAACTTGAATAGTTCCCTTTTAAATAAAGTCATGTAAAGTGAAATGACTTTATTTATTTATGTATGTATTTATTTTGAGACCGAGTCTTGCTGTGTCACCCAGGTTGGAGTGCAGTGGTGCAATCTCAGCTCACTGCAACATCCACCTCCAGGGTTCAAGCGATTCTCCTGCCTCAGCCTCCCGAGTAGCTGGGACTACAGGGCACATGCCACCACGCCTAGCTAATTTTTTTGTATTTTTTTTTTTTTTTTAGTAGAGACAGGTTTTCACCGTGTTAGCCAGGGTGGTCTCAATCTCCTGACCTCGTGATCCGCCCGCCTCGGCTTCCCAAAATGCTGGAATTACAGGCGTGAGCCACTGTGCCTGGCCAAAATGACTTTAGACTATCACCCAAAGAATCTGAATAAAGGTGAACTTTCAGACTCTTCTGGAAGAGGTATATTTTATCCTGTCATAAGAAAAATATCAACTCCCATTATTCTCTATATAGAAGTCCTAAGGGTCAACAAACAACAGTTTATAAGTTTTGAGTTACTTTCTGATATATCTCATTGTTAACACAATTTAACATTTTTAAATAGGATCTTCCAAATCCTTATTGGTGTCTATGTAGTAAGTGCACAGACTTTCTACCTCAACTTCATAAACTCTGTAGATAACAAAATATGAAGAGTCTAGTTCTCGTTCTCTTTCATTCTCCACACACACACACACACACACACACACACACACACACGCACGCACACACATACAGCAAGGGAATACACACTAGAAAGTTTGCTCCAGAGGTGTGAAGAATTGAAACAGTTGTTTTACCTTGGATCACAAGCAGTTTGGAGGGGAAGAGGTGATAGCCTGAGGGTTATGGCACAGGTAAAATTCTGAGTAGGTGTTGATGTATTTTTAACTGTTGAGGGAAGTGTAGGCTGATTTACTTCGCTTGGAACCAGAAACTAGCCATGGCAGGTGTTTTACTGCATTAGGCATATGGGCATATGGGCCTCAAAATGTCGATGACACCCCTACTGCTTTCATTTTTTAAGTCAGCCTATTAATAACATCTGACAGCTGGGTCAAGCGCATATGCTATTTAGCCTGATTGTGACATTTTGGCTCATCAGGGCACCACCAGTGATTATTCAACCTTGAGAGTTGTGATCTTGTGTCTTTTAAAATCATGACTGCTCAACAGAGTAAAACAACCCATAAATTCTAACCAGAAAACTTTATAAGTTTGTCTATATACTGTAACTGAATTTACTGGTCCAAGCAGTCAAATCCTTTTATGCATGAAACAAGACCAGTCTTTAGAATAGATGGAGTGGATGAATCTATAATATTAAGACTTAAGCAGTCCTGACATGGAATGTTTTTCAATACTAATACCTCTAGTAATGAACACACAAATTATTCTCATCTGCTAATACATAATTAGAGAATCTTCACAACAGGCCTGGGTATGCACTAAAGTTTAAAGAGTTTAAGGTGAGGGCCATTTAAGAAAATGAGCACAAATGAAGGAGTAGTGAATCTATAATAAAGATTATTGGTACTAAAGATAAAAATCTAATACTTATCCAAGACTCAGTGTGTGAACTGTTTTAGGCACTGCAAATTCATGGATCCACTTACTCTTCACAACAGAAAAATGCTAAGAACTAAATATTACATGCATAACACAAAACTTAAGAATCAAGACCGGCAAAAGTATCAAACATCTGGATTAAAGAACCAAGAGAAATATCCACAGTTAACATCACCCCTTAGAATCCATCGTGAAAGGGAAAGCTCAGGAAAAGACGGAGAGGAGCACGTTGTACGTGACTGAATACACTCCTCTTCTTATGAACAAATAACCCAGAACCCTATTTGTTGGATTCTACAAAACCAAAATAAAATCAAAATCTCACTAACAGAAAACAAAGTGAAAATCCTCCTGGGTACTATTTATTTATTTTGTGTTTGTTTTCTCTCTCAATCTTCTGTAGTGAATTCAGACCATTTGTTAGAGGTATCTGGGTGGACAGAAGTAGGGCTGGAGAGATTTGATGCCGGGCCAACACTTATTTTGAGCATGCCATTAAAAGCTGTTGGCATGATTCTGCCAAACATACTTTAAACATTTCCAGCATGATAGCATACAGGATAAACATATAAGAGTTTCCTATTATAGGAACAATAGCAATAAAACTTGAGTTTTATGGCAATATTTTGATGCATAGTCCAGACTTCCTGCCAGGGTATCTCCTGAAGGGGCTTTCTGAAATGAGTTTCGAGGACTGTGAAAACCCTGGAACACCCTGACTATCAAAGAGGTGGAATAAAGCCAGCACGGAAATTACTGAGGTTTGGGAAGAAAAGCAACAACTGCCTCTTTTCTTGGAAGTTGAAGGCTGCATGGGGGTCCACAGTGGCTAGACCAAGACTAAAATTATAACTACAAACCAGGACAAGACAGCAGCAAGGCATCGTTTTTCAAATTAGCATGTCTGTCTTGTTTGTTTGGTGCAATGCCAGGGATCATGACCATTTCCCAATTTGGTTGATGGTAAGTGTAGCCCTAAACCTCCACTAGAAATTACAGTTCATCATCACACTAGTTAAAGTTTTGCTAACTTTCTGTCTGTTTATGTAAGAAAGTGTTAAAATGTGTCATTTATTTTAACTTTACTAACTATAACACATACATGCAAAACTGGTTTAACTTTTAATCCAGACTTTGGGCTCATAAGTAAAATAAAAAAAAATCTGGAAATCATTTTAAAAATAACAACAACAACAAAAAACCTACTGCTATATGTCAAATCTTGTAACACCGGTCCTCAGAAGCGTGCATTGTAATTGTTTTTGTTTTTGGCTTTTTACTTTTCTGTTTTTGTTTTAGAATATTTAATAATGTAATTTGTCAGTAAACAGGCTTTTTCTTTTCCAGGCATGTGCTCTCCACGCAGTGAAACTGACTTGCAATGAATCTCAGGTAGAAATGTGCTCCTATTCATAGGTTTTGAGTACTCAGTGCAAAAACGTGTTCTGCTAAACTTGGAGTAATCCCTGTCTGGTGTAGAATTTGAAATCACATAATCTTCATAGCAACAAATCTTTCTCTTCTTCTAGCAAATGAAAAGAGAAAGTGTGCCCCCATTCCCCCCAAAAAAATGCTGCACAGTAATTATTTATTTTCATTCAGTCTTTGATTTGCATTTTACCTGACTTCATTTATTTATCCAAGCTGAAAAAGCACATACTTAAATATTTTAACCAAAAGAATATTGGAAAATGATTTTAATCACATAAATTATTTCTCTAATCGTTAAAAGCCATAAGTATTTTCTCATTCATTGCAAAATGACTGAGGTTGTATAACATTGATCATTTCCTCATATAATTATTTTTAAATGAAATGCTGATGTAAAAATGCAAGTGTTTAATGTTAACTAGTGCTTCAGTGAAGAAACTGCATGGCGAGAAAAGGGGAGATCAATAAGAGAAATGCCTGGTAGTGTCTGAGGAAATGGAGCCTCCATGAAAAGAAAGGACCATACACAATGAAGAGAACCATGAATGCCAACGGCTCACCTCAGAGTCCCCAAGGTACTTCTGTCTGGTAAGTATCTCATTACTGGGGCATCGTTTGTAAGAGCTGAGACCTGGGCCAGTAACAGCAATTATCAAAGTAGGCGGTCAAATCACCCTTGGATATTTTAGAAGCCACACTTAAGGCTTCCTTTCTCCTCATTCTGTTGTGGATTTCTAAGGAGAGAGGCAGAACATTTTAGCAACCACCCTTGTAGTGAATTGTGTCACTTATCTGGAGAATCTGGTGCATTGAATTTATTTGCTGTGTTGGGACACAGAACACACACACACACACACACACACACACACATATATCTTATTCTCTTCAGGACACATTTAGGGTGTCTCCATATCGATTTCCTACAATGTAAGGGCACGAAAGCTGGGCTGTGTTATCCAGCCACAGGGCTCACAGCGGACCATCATAACAAGGGGTGACATCTGAAGCCACCAGTCACATCCCACTCCTTTGTCCTCTCACAGCCTCTTAGAGGCCTGCCTCAGTTACTGTGTTAGCTGAGTGGAATTGACTGTTTCAGGGAAGGAAGTGAATTGTCATGGGGAAAAAGGCTAGAGAGCAGGATGCCAGCAATGTCTCTGCTGGTATCCTTGAAATCCACAGAATCTAGAGTTGCCAAAGAAATATTATAGCATGCATTAAAATACTATATGTCTTTTTTTCCTGATGGCCAGGAATCTCTCTTTGGTAAGAAGATGGAGAATGAGATTATACTCTCAACTAATATGTCATCGATTCCTTATATTTTATCCTTCCAGTTTCACCTTTCATAGGAAGTAGGACACAGTTTCAGGTGGGAAAGCTCCTCTCAAATGTAAATACATGAAATTTTATTCAAGCAACAGTCAGTTCTTGGAGCCCACAGCTGAATGAGCTCAGCCTTCTCTGACCTCCCAGCCCTGGACTATTGATTCTAGAGACATGGTTTACAGTTTCTAATTTGGGCAGTGCCATTTAGTAGCTGAGACTATAAGCCCATTTCCTAACATTTCATAGATATGGTTGCACTATACACAAAATGGAAAAAGTAATTATACTTCCTCGTAGATTTTGTCATTATTAAATAAAAATAAAATGTAGAAACATTTAGCACAATATCTGACACATAATGAGTGCTCAATAAACCAAAAAAGGTTAGCTGTTGTAAGCATTACTCTCAAGCCAATGCCTCTCTCCACCCTCCTCTAACATACCAATATTCTACTTGCCTTTACTCTCTTCCATGGGGTTCAAATGCCCCTATGTTCTTACTTCTTTTCTCTCACTTTGGTTTTCTTCTATGATTCCAATCTCAGCCCAGTTAACTCTTAGCATTTTCTGGCTCTTGACTCAGTAATCACTTTATGTCAAAATGTTTCCTAGTCTCCTTAAACTTGATCATATTCCTTGGTTATTTGTTTTCTAAGGACCATATTGCTTTACTTTAGCGTCAAAATCTCAGTGTGTTTCTTCATTTTATGTTTGTTTCACTCATATGACATTAAACTCCATGAAAACAAGAAACAATTTCTTGCTCACCATTTTCTTCCCAATGCCTGGAAAGCTGCTTGACTCACGGGAGGAGGTCATAAAATATATTTGGAAGAAAATGAATGAACAAATAAATGCTGTCACCTGCAGGCCATTCTTTATTATTTTCAAGAAATTCTGTAATGACCCATTACACTATTTTGTCTGCATCATTCAGATCACTTTTATAAATATATTTAAGATAGTATAACAGCTTCTTCCATAATAGCAGCCTCTGACTGAGGTATTTTCTTTTAATTCCATCCCTTCCACTATCCTTGATGTACAGTTCCTATTGGCAAGCTTGATCATTCCTTCAGTCACTCCTTCAATTCAAAATGTGTCAGAAATGGTACTAAAAGACTGAGGGTAAAATGTCATCATTTTGTTGTTGTTGCTTGCTTATGTGTTTTTATTTGTTTATTTAGTTGAGGGGTGGTAGCAGACATAATGCATATAATAAAGATAGTAAAACAAGTATAATCTAAATAGGCAAATTCAATAATAATTCTCAGCACAAAGAATTGCAAGAGAATAATAGAGAGATTCTCAACATAGTCTGGGAGAATAGTGTCAGGGAACCTTCCAGAAGGGGATAGAGGAGGAAAAGCAAAGCAAAGTGGGACTAGAGGCATTGAGGGCATGAACATAATGGGACTCCAAGATGATTGTTGTAACTCTAGTGTAAAGTAAGGGGCAGGGAGACTGAGTCCTGAGTCCAGAACATTGCCGAAGTGAGAGCCTGGTGGACTGTGACTATTCCTCTGAGGAGTCTCTGCTCCCTCCTGAGTAACAGGCATTGCCAGATTTCAAGAGGAGAGGTACTGTAAGATTCATTTTCTGTTGAGCGCTGAAGGCTGTGTGGAGGATGTGAAGGAGCCAGAACTGTAGGAACAAGAGGCCCTTGCAATAGTGAACTACTGCAGATAGCACCTTCAAAGAGGTACTAGAAAATCATAGGGATGATGAGCAGACAGGTGGGAAGTGAAGAGAGAGGTAAGAAAGACTGGAGGTGGTGAAGACAGCCTGGGTTAGGAAGCCTCTGTGTGGCCACAGGAGAGCAGTCATGCCTATTGAGTGGTTCAGATGGGCCACTGTGGCAAGGAAGACAAGTTCCTGTAGTTTACAACTTCTTGAGAAGGAGCAGTTGTGTGTATTCCTGGCAAGAATCACATTCCTCTCACTCTTATTGCTCTCTGGTAGAAGACTACCAGGACTGATTCATTTATATCCTTTGTTCCATATCATTATGCTCTTCACCCCAGAAGGTAGCCTGGTTCACTCTCTCACAACCATCATAGGTTTGTTCTAAAAACCTCTACTTTGGGGAACTTTCTCCAACCACCCAATTTAAACATTCTCCACAGACAGACTGTCCTTCTCTCCTGTTTTATCTCTCTCTTTCGCAGAATTGAATAACATCTGACATGTATAGGTATTCATTTAATTGATTCTCATTTACCCACTCCATTAAACCACAGGACTACAAGTCCTTGTCTATTTTGCCTATTGCTATACCTTCAGTTCCTACAACAATATTTGGCACAAAGTAGGTGCTCAAAAAATATCAGTTGAAGAAATAGCCTTTGCTGATAGTAGTTGGTGTCCAAGAAATACAGATTTCTGCAAAATGTTTGAAAGTAAAATAAGCCTGGATTACCTTGGAGAAAGAATCTACCAAGTTTACAGAGCTACTGGGAAGTGTCCTGTCCTGCACAGGAGGAATTTGTGCTTAGAGGAATTTAGAGTGGACACGGAGGTGTAGGGTGAGGTATTCCACGGGTTTGGGGAGCAGCAGAGAGTTTGTTCTGGTCCAGAGTATCATGGTGTCTGCAGGGATTCACTAATCAGGAAGCAGAGCCAGCCACGAGGATTGCTGCTGAGACATCCTGTGGCTACTGTGGATTGTTTTTACTGCTCAATTCTCCAATAGGAAAAGTGCCTTCCCCTGGCTCCACATTGGATTCCTGCTCAGCACTGGATTCCTGATATCTGCTATAAGCAGAAGATGTGCTACCTCTACATTCTTCAAATTTGTATTTTAAAATTTGAAAAATACAATGCAATTAAAGCAGTTCTTTCCTTGTCTTTATTTTATCTTCCCCAACCCCAAGCAAAATACACTTTCTAGTCTTTTGACTATCAGTAAGCATCGGTGGCCAAGAAATCCCCACCCTATGGAGTGTACCCAACCTGCTGGTCACTGCTGCTGGCTCTGCTCCCAGGTACCCACTGGCCATATGTGGTATATGGCTTCTCCATCCTGAAGGTTATAAAAGGCTTTGAATATAACAGATTTCCTAAGTGACGACAGAAAATATGGTACTTGCCTTCTTCGGGTTCTTCTGTGTGCATTTATGCTTGATTACTACATCAGCTTTCTTTGTTCAATTATTTCTGTTTGTTCAATTATCTACCTGAATTCTTAAGTTCGGTTTCACTAAAATTTTAATTCTACTAACTGATGTAGTTAAAAATTCCTATGCTATTTCCACCTATAAATGCAATAGGCAATACAGCCTCTTGTTCTATAATGAGTACTTTCTGTATTCTAAATTGGTTATATTTATTAACTCTTATTAGAAACTGAGAGGGTGAGTCCTGTTTTATTGAGCAGCATGCTACCTGGAAACCCTGAGACTAATCAGGGTGTATTTAATGATAGGATGCAAGCGTGCTTTTGCTGCCAATTACAAACATCTACCCTTAGTCCTTAGTGCCAAACTGCACTGAAAATTCTTAATCAAATCTTCACCGTCTCTTATGTGTTCTTCTAAATTGCAAATTTACAGAGGGCAGGAATGGACGTCTTTGTTAAGTCAGTATTTCTAAAGAACCAGACCTCATGCCATGCCTGTTGGCACTCAATAAATATTGATTTATAAAAACTGTAAATTGGGAGATAATGATCTCCATTAATCACTGGGGAAGATTATGAAGAAATTATAGTTGCAGTTCAGGGACAGTGAAATACTAAATGGTATATTTGGATAATTTTAAAATCAACAACAGATCAGAGTTTGTGTATGTGCATGTGTTTGTGGGTGTGTGTGTGGGGGGGTTGTGTGTAGGGTGTGGAGTGTGTGTGCTGTGTGCATGGATATGTGTGTCTATGTGTATATATGTATGTTTGTGATTAATTCTAGGCAAAAGGAAGGGGAGGAAGAGAATTTTAGTTTTGAAAGTCATAGTGTTTGCTGCTAGAAAGATTCAGTTATTTACTCTTCATAGCTTAGCTCTTTTTATTTCACTATTCCTGTAACCTTTTGAGTTCTTAGGCTGCAGACCATAATGCCATATTTTTCTTTGTTGTAAAGATCTTATATCTTCTTTACTAACAGAAAGGAGAAAAAATTCAAATTCAAATGTGAAAGTAAAAAATAGTCCTACATTTTTGGTTTTTCAAAGACTAATTATTCATGTTTTGTAGCTTCTAATTCTCATTTATGAAATGATATAGTTTGATATTTACTGATTTTTAGGCTTTGAGAGGATTTTAGAAAGTACCTCAATTTTATTTCTGTTAAATACTAGTCTCATTATATGTTTCCTTAACTGTTACTTAATATGTTTCAGAATGATTCTCAGAGAATCATAACAATGGTGAAATCTAAATCTAAATCTCTCCTTTAGTGATTTGCAATATTCATTCATAAAATTGCAAACTATGCAATAAGAAATGGTTTTGCCATTGTTAAAACCAATATTTTCTCATATCATTTTAATGTAGAAACTTTTTTAAACATAGAAATTGCAGTAGCATCCCTTTGGGAAAGCTCTTAAATCTATTTTTTTTTTAACTTTAAAGAGAAGAAAATGAATCCCCTGCAAAAGAAGCAGTGACAGATAGAAGGTGACTATATCACAGTAGTATTTATCCCAAATTCAACTGGATTTCACAGCAAAGAGACAAGCTGTTTTTTCACAAATCATAATTCCTGGATCATTTCCAACACCAGGGTATGAAGTAAGTGTGAAATGAGCCACAGATATATAAAGGTTAAAGAATACACATAAATGTAGAAAAATCAATATTCATCTTTTCATCATGTTACAAGACTACAAATTTAAAGCCACAAGAGGAAAAAGAAAATAATTTTTTAAGGAGTTGAAAGTGTAAATTCTAAAACATTTTAGTTATTGCTGATTTTTTTTTTCTTTAGCCTCTTAATACCAATTTTCTCTTCAATACAAAAAAAAAAAAACATAAGTAAACAGGAAGAAACGAAATCCCGTTAGATATGTAGGAAATTTCTCTCAGGGACAATCCTGAGTTTTTTACATAGATTGACAAAAACAATAATTACTGGGTATTATCTATATTGAGGATGGCAGAAGAGATCATATTTGATACCTATGAGAAAAAGAGAGTGATTGAGAATATTTGTAGAGGTTGAAGGAAAATCATTTGGATGAGTTGGCTATATTTGAGGAACTAGAATCTTAGTAAGTTCTTATTACTAAGGCTGTAAATGAATATGCATCCATTACCAGGTGTTTGTTTGTTTAAGATGAAATCAAGTTTCAGAGTATGAATAAATAAAAAAAAATTGTGGCATATACATAAAATTGAATTTTATGGAGTCCCAAAATGGAATGAAGTATTGATACTTGCTACAACATGAATAAGTGTCCAAAATATTATGCTAAGTGGAAAAAACCTGACACAACATGTCACATGTTATATTATTCCATTTATACAAAATACCTAGAATAGGTTGTCCCATACAGTTAGAAAGCAGACTGATGTTTGGCAGGGGCTGGGGGCAGAGAGAAATGGAGGACTGCTTTATGGGTACAGATTTTCTTTTTGAGTTAGGACATGTTTTAGAACTTGATAGAAGTGGTGGTTGCAAAACATTGTTAATTCAATACTAAATGTCATTGAATTGTTCACTTTAAAATGATTAATTTTATGTTATATGAATGTCACTTTAATTTAAAAAAAAAATCTGGCTCCTAGAGTTTTGCTCTAAATGCAGCCTCAACTTCAGGCTGGAAATAACCCCATACCTCCTGTGTGTTGCTTGGTGTTAAAATAGCATGTTTTTCTTGGCATTGCTCTCTTTCTCTTTTCTGCTTCCCAATCAACATGTCCAACTTGCACAGAAAGGTCTCCTTTCTGTTGAAAAAAAAAATTAACAGTTTATGTTATTTTAAGAACATTGCAAAAACCAAGTTGAAGTCCAAATTAAATGCATTCTACATTCTTCCCGATTACTCTCTTATGCGTAAGACTAAAATAAAATGCGTAACAATGAGTAGCCAGGAAGCATAGAGGGAGGACACACATGTATGAAGTAGCTCTCACTTAGCAACTTTTAGAAATGTAAGTGGAGGGCGTAGGATGTTTACCATATGGGGTACAAAGCAGATTCTTCTGGCTAAGAAGGAAAGGAGGAAAGGATTTCTAGGCTGCCAGGAAGCAGGTAGAAATTCTGTCTGAAATGAGATCTTTCATGGAATAGTAAGAATTTGTTTCTTAGGAAGAAAGCATTTAAACTTTCACAGTTAGTGTCAATTCATTGGTACTAAATGGCTAGTTAATGTCATTGTTTTCTTGTTTTGTTTCAGATTTTCAAATTTATTGTTACCAAATTTAGAGTATTCTCTTATAATTGTCATTATGAAATTTTAAAATCATAGTACAGAAAAGCATAGAAAATTATATGATGAACACTCATGTACCCACCATCCTGGTGCCAAGTCTTATCATTTTGCTGTATGTGTTTTAGATTTATAAAATAAAACAGTAAAATATCCTTGATACCTTTGTGTACCTATCTCTAACCACATTATTTCTCCTTCTCCAGACATAATTGCTCTCTTGAAATTGTTGTTAATATTCCCACAGACACTTTTATGTTTTTACTTCATTATTTATGTCCCCATCATAATCCACAGTTTATCGTCATTGTTTGACCCTCAGAAGCAGATACGTCACATCATGACATCATCATAATTTGTCCATGTAAAGCATGTACTTGTTTTCATATTTTATGTATGTATTTATTCATTTATTCATGCGTTTTTAGCCTACTGCTCCCTACTTCCAATGACAACCCACTCTGATGGACGTTCTATGCATCCTTTGCTCTTGGAGAGCACAACCATTTTTATAGGGTGATTAAAGGTGACCATTTCTATTAGTTCCATTTTCATTTTTTTCTTTCTGTTCCTTGTTCTTCATTATAATTTCTCTTCCAAAATAAACTCTCAAAGCAATTTTCCAGACAAACAGAAGACGATGGTGGGGGAAGGCCTATTTTTAGGGATAGAAGACTTGTGTGGGATATGAGATTTGGGGAAGCTAGGTGCTTCTTTGTTATTAGCAAGTGTAATACTCAATGGTCTATAAAACCACTCTTTTCAACATTACAGTTTGAATAAAATTGCAATTATGGAAATAGGTAAATCATGCGTAAGAAAGCTTTATTCCCATTTTAGTGTGGGAAACCAATTCTCCCATGGTGTATAATTCTAATTTAGGGTCCTACCCATAGCTTGTAAATATCAATTTTTTAGCAAACAACTTCACGGAGTGAGATGAGTGTATGAAGTTCCTGGGTTGACAGACAGCTTATGCTTATAGTTTGTTCATAAGCAAGCTTTTCAAAACTAAGCATGCAATTTCCTATACAGCCAATATTTAGTAACTGTGAGTATGTGCAAAGGCTAATTCATGGAACTTAGAAAGCCTTTGGTAACTGAGAAACAATGGTAAGACTAATATAATTAGGACTATATCAAAGAATGCTTGGCGATGCTTATTGAGAATGGAATGTGGAGTAGGTGCATCATTTTCCTTTCTTTTCCTTCTTGCTCTCTTCCTTCCTTGCCATGGTTTAGTCCTAGTGAGAAGAAATGCCATGATCCTGAAATTGCTTGCCTTTTTCTAACTCCTCAGCTTCACCTTCCTGCAGCCATTTCCCATACTTCAGGAACAGTGGCCAGTGTCACTGGGAATATTCTATACTCTCTGTCTCAACTTACATCTCTATCCTCCATTAAACACCACATTTGCAAGTCAACAAGGGCGTCTAATAGTTTCTACTATTTAGAAGAATAATTTCTCTAATGCCAAATCGAAGTCTACTATTTGGGTTTCATATGACGGTGTAATTATATTATGACATCTTTCCCAGTTGCCTATATTCCACATCCAATTGGTAAGAGTCATACCATTTCTACCTTAAAAAATATGTTCCAAATTCAGCACTTTTCACCTCCTCCATCATTCCCTGTATATATTCCTGCCCTTCAGTAGCTCAATTCTGCATATAATAGTCAAAATAATCCTTTTAAAATGTTAATGGGATCTTGTCATAACTTTAATCAAAATCTTCCATCTTCTTCCTATCACATTTAGAGCAAAATTCAAAGCCTTTGTAATCTGACCCATGTCTTCCTCTCCTAACTCCTATCTCCACGTTCCCCTGCTTACTCCACCAGAGTCCCAGTGTTCGGAGCTCTGTGCCCTCTTAGGGCCTTTGCCTCTGTTGCTGTCTCTTCTAGAATGTTCTCTTAGGCTTGCATGATTCCATCCTTCACTTAGTTTATGGCTGTGCCCATATTTTATCTTCTCACACAGGCTTTTTCCTGGCACCAAATAGCATCTTCTTCCTTCACTGCTCTCTATTGCTCTACAATGCTCAGTTTTTTAGATAGCATGTATTATTGACAATAAAATATTATTTATTATTAGTTTATTTGCTAGAAAAGGAAAAAGAGCTTATCTTCATCACTGTTCTAGCAATGGCACATAGAATCTGTGTCTGGAATATAGAAGGCAACAGTAAACGCCCATTGAAGAAGTGAATGAATCCATTTCAATACAACTATTTTATTAGCATCCAAGGAGAACAATACATTGCACAGGGATATCCTGGGAATTTAAATAAGTTTACTATTTAAGATGTAGTACAGCAACTATAAAATGTATAACAGAGAAAATAGTAAAGGTTAAGTGGGAAAAAAAACTTCTCAAATGCGAAGTAAAATGAAGATAGAATTTTTTTATGGAGGATGAATAACAAAAATAAAATAAAATACACTTAAAGTGGAATTTAATAGAATCTAAAGTTGAAAATGTGCATGGAATTATATAAATGTGGATAGTAAAAGATGTTAGTGATGAATACCCAACCAAGAATTTCAGTAATCATTAAGCTTTATAATGCTGAGACACTATTTTCACAAAACATTAAAATATAATGAAAAACTACAGTTCATAAGGATGGTTTGTTCATAGAAACTAAAAATGTTTTCTTCGCAAATCCAAGGACTCGTATTTTACTGTTTTGATTATTATCATGGCCTCTCCTAACATGAATTAAACAAGCAATTCTGAAAGAATTGTTTTATTATTGTTGTTTTTAATCTATTTGCAATGATATCTTGAGGAAGGAACTGATATAATTTGTAAATTCTCCTGGATCCATTTGGAGTGAAGTATATTTGTCCTTTTTAGTAATAACATAAAGTATTAAACTATGTTACATGAAACAAAAAATGCGTGCTTAATGACTGAAATATGATAGTAGTGAAAAGATGTTTGTACGGCAAACCTTAGGTTTTAATAAGCAATAATAACAATTCTAATAAAATCCAGAAGTAAATAATGAAAATAATGCAAAGCCTACTGTATAACTATTAAGCTACAAAATGCGTATTTTTTTCTCTTATGGAATGGAGTGAATATATACAGGATTGATATGTTTCATATGTATTTATTGAACACCTAGGAGTTATTACAAGTCATTATGGGAAACACAAATGCCTAACAGAGTCACTGTTTTAAAGAAATATAAACGCTAATAAACTATAATGTATAATTATAAGTTGCATTGTTTACCACAAATATTAAGTTACATGTAAATGTTTAGCAAGGGAAATATTTAAATAAATGCTGTCATCAAAGTTTTATAATTTGAGAGAGTCATCAGAGTAGAGTTTCAGAGTCAGACTGCCAGGGTTCAAATCTCCCAGGCCTCCCAGCCATTGTCCTCACTTCTCTAAGCTCCAGTGTCCTCTTCTATTAATAGATGACTGAATGTGATCATTTATAAACATTACCTAACACTGCACCTGGCACATAGGTAGTGCCCCGTAAATACCCTTGCCCCCTAACATGAACTACCTGTAATACTAATTCAATCTTCTAATTGCTTTTTCAGTAAAAATTTGTACTTGATCTGTGCTGGGAAATACTGTTTTCCCAAGTGTAGAGTTTCTATATAAGGAATATTAAAAACTCATCTCTAGTCATGCCAGGGTGATTTTTTTTCTCCTTTCTATGCTGGTGAACTGAGGAATAACAACATAATCAAAGGAAATATTCTATGCAAAGACCATTTTACAACCTGTCATTAGGCACGACTACCCAGGTAATAGTTATTCAAGTACACATTGCTCAGACTATCTATTTTTCCCTCATGCTATCATTATCCACTAATAATAGAATTTACAAGACATTTTAAGAGGCCAATAAAAAGCAAGTTCCTTTGAGGGAATTCATGAATTTCCTTTTAAAAAACTTCATTAGCAATGAGAAACCTACCATTGACCAGGATGTTAATGGTGACTATTCTGTTCATCAACATGTTTATAATTCATATAGCAACTAATGATTATAAAGCATTTGATGATAGCAAGCAATTATAACAATTATGGACTTTCTTTTATGTGCAGAACAGCACTTGGGCTATGTAACAATAAAATAGGGCTGTAATTTAAAGTAACATTTCACATTTTTATACCGTCGAGGATTGCACTTCTGATGTTTAAAAAGTGCAAAAGATTTGTTTCTATTGGGTTGATTTTAAATGTGTCTGCCCCATCACAAATATGCTATTCTAATGATCATTTCAAGTAAAAAAAAATCAGTTAAGCCTCAGGAGAAGGATGTATTTATACCTGTAAACAGCAATATTCAAGCTTGAACAGACAGCAATCAAATCCAAAACACTGAGGGACACATAAAGAACAACATTTACATAGACACGATAGAGTGTTTTCTAGATAGCATTTAGGCATTTCTACATCACCCAGTTGAAGTGGTATTTCATAAATAATTTACAAATAAAGGAATTTGTAGAGAAAACAGGGAAACTAGGTGCACACATGATAAACTCATAGTATGTTTGGTCATAAGTGTGCTACATACAGAAGCATAATTTTGAGGTAATTTGCTAATGTGTTCATTTTTAACCACAGACCTCTCTTCATAGTTACTGGTATCTTTCCAGACAGGTAAGGCTAACTCCTGCACTACAGGATCACATTCTTAATGTCTTCTAAGTTATTTTCTTTGTTTCTGACTTGAGATGCCCTACTTTTTATTCCAAGGATCATTTTTACATTACAAAATGCTCTAAAATTATTATTGCATATTTTAATGTATAGAGATTAGAATAAAAGTGCTTCCAACCTTCAACAGCAGAAGTCTCCTTCTACAGGATCTACCACCTTGAAGAAACTCTATTAGTCCCAGACTGCTGCCCTTGGTGGCGTGTGTTCATTCTGGCATCTATTTTGTCTTTTTTTATTCTCCAAAGTAAATATTTTCACTTGGTAGCACTGAGTTGTATTATATCTATCATTGTATTTTAATAACTTTATGTAAGCAAGTTTCAAATGAAAAGATTTCCAAAGAAGAATGCTAGGCCGGGGGCGGTGGCTCATGCCTATAATCCCAGCACTTTGGGAGGCTGAGGCAGGTGGATCACATGAGGTAAGGAGTTTGAAATCAGCCTGCCCACCATGGTGAAACCACGTCTCTACTAAAAATACAAAAACTAGCCGGGTGTAGTAGCTGTAATTCCAGCTATTCTGGAGGTTGAGGCAGGAGAATCACTTGAACTCAGGAGGTGGAGGTTGCAGTGAGCCGAGATCGTGCCACTGCACTCCAGCCTGGGTAACAGAGTGAGACTCCATCTCAAAAAAAGAAAGAAGAGTGCTAGTGACAGCTAAATAGAAAGTTGCTTTGGGGGTGTGGAGAAAAAGGGAGAAAGGGGAGAGGAGCTGGCCTTGCAGGTTCTGAGGGGACAGCAACTCGGTTGCTAATACCTTCACTATAGAAATGTGTGTAACTCTTGGGAAAATATCTACATTTTTGGCAGAATTTATGCCCATGCAATCTGCAGGTTAGGGTTTAAAGAAACTCTTCCTTAAGTAAGGTTTGCATTTAGCATGTCCTTCATCCATGGTAAGGTATCATCTCTTTGATTAAAAAAAAAAAAAAAGGCCATTTTTCTGTGAGACATTTAGTTAGAGGAGTCATTTCTCTCTCAACTCTTAAGTTTGGCATTTCCTTGTATGAGACTAGGCAAGGCCAAGACTATTGATTTTAGATGACTTATGCAGTTTTTCAGTAACCCCGAAGCCTGATATATTTTGGTTAATACAACTTAAGGAAAAAAATATCATGTATTTTGGAAGCAAATCCATATTTATTTTATGTTTCTGTGGGACAAAGGTATCTACCTGTATTTACTGAGTGTGTATGCTGGACTATTTTAAGGTGGAGTAAAAGTTGTACTAAGAAAGGAACAGGTAAAATGTCTAGCATTTAATGGGCTGAATACATTTAATTTCACATAAAATCCTCTTCGTTATCCAACCTCTTTCAGTTCCCTGAAGGTTAATGCGCACTAAAAATACAAGCACAAATATTTATTTTTTGTTTTCTTTGGATTAAGGAGACAATCTCTAAAGGGCATTTCAAATGCATTTCATATTCAAAACTAATGTTGGATGTGACCTTAAGAAATTCCTCAATCCAGTGGTTTTCTTTGTGTTCATTTATTCCCATTTACTACTCATATTGCTGCTGGTTTTCCTGGTTTAAGTATACCCAACAAGTACAGTTCAGAAGAATGTACATGCTATGTATGTATTATATGTATATATGTATATAAAATATATAAAATTATATCATTACTTATATTTTTTAAATAAATATAAGAAACTAATTTCAATATTTAAGCTTAATTTTTACATTTTGCCTTAGGAAGATTTCTAAGGTATTAATTCTATAATCATAATAAACTTACTTTTTATATTTGTGATGTTATTCCTCAGTTGTAAAGTACAATTAAACCATTCATGGGGCCCGCAAAGTCTATATAATCTCGTCATAGATCAATTCTTTCTCAGTTCTTCCATCTCTTCCATTTTCTCACTCCATCCCAGGCGTGTTGGCCTTCTGTGCTTCCTCAATAGACAGGCACACATCTAGCCTTGCCTTTGCATTTCCTATCACTAGACCTGGAGCATCCACCCCCTACTTTCCCCATTCTCTACATATGTTCACATGACTCATAGCCTTACTGGATTCAGATCCCTTTTCAAATGTCATTTCCCCATAGAGGCCTTCCCTGGCCACTTGATTTAATATAACACCTCCATTAATATTTTTATACTCTGCTATATCTTTCTTCCTAGGTTTATGGACTTTCTTCTTTATTCTTTCTATGGCAGGAGAACACAGAGAAATGTGTTTTGTTTGGTGCTGTATCCACAGCAATGGGAATAGTGCTCACATGTGTATGTGTTCAGTAAATACTGTACTGAGTAGACATAGGCTGGTCACTCAGGTGCTAAGCCCTTTGATACATTAGCTCATTGAAAGCTCTAGGACCCTAGTGGTTGGTAGGAACCCATAAGGGAGGAGCAAGACACAGTAGGGCGACCTGTTTGTGACCCAGGTAAATGTGTAACCACTCGTTATCTCATCTTTTAGAAGCTTTCTGAAATCACAGAGAAACACTGAGGAGACAGGGGCAGATGGAGGATTACTGAACACATGAGGTCCACCACCACCATCAAAGGAGTGAAAAGAGTCAGCTCAAAAATGATTCAATGTACCAGGTTGTATATAGAGACCAAAAATTGCCTTCACTGCTATTGGGACATACAGTCCCTACTCAAGATCACGGAAACGTTTCCATATGGCTGGTACAAGTGCAATCATTTGGCTGTAGGGATATTTCTTGAGTCCTCCTCCATATCCAACATTTAAATATCAGCCAAATAACACATTTACATACACCGAATGTATCTTCTGTTAGAAAGGTGGAGGCGAAATGTTCTAAAACAAAAAGGACTACAACATAAGAACAGAAGGCAATGTCTACACACAGTTTTGAAGAGGTGTGATGGTACTTAATCCTGAAAAGCAAGAAGGGGAGAAACTCGAGCCAAAACCCCTCTCCCTTAAGGAGGGAAATGCCTTTCCTTCTGATCTGATGGCCCATACTCACTTCTAAAGCTTCCACATCAGTTTTCATCAGTCAAAAGGTGATGTATGAAAATGTGTATTGAAGAGAATTAGAGAAGTGTCTAACCATTTTCTCATAGTACTCTTTCAAATAAAGTTATTTTCTAGGATGCAGTATTTTCAAAATGCATTTGAGCTAGCAGAGGGCTATTTCCAAGTCCACAGTGCTCACTGCCCCTTCTCATGACTCTATATGTCCTTTGTTATTTAGTATTGAGTCTACTCCCCATGTCCTCCCTTGTACTGACCAGCATTTTTCTCCATACTGAAGAGAGTAAGTTCTTAGTACTTGTGCCAGATAAGAGAAACTTTGGTGGAAATTTATAACACAGTGGTTATAAGTGGTGATAAAATCAATAGAAGTTTGCGGGAGTTAATATAGACAAAAACAAATTAATTGGAAAACTAGCCTTTACAAAACAGATAGGTTAGTAATGAGGATGAGAGGCTAGAACTCCCATCACACCATGCTATAGGAAGAATCTAGTTAGAAGGCTGCAGGTCAGACCCTGGACCCTGGTGTTTCACGCAGCGCTGTATGTACTCACACCACCAGGAATAAATTCTAATGTATTTCCTACTTCTGTGCATTATTTCCCCAAGAACAGTTCCAGCTGGGAACATCTAACTGTCCCTCTTTCTCTAGCTTGGTTACTGGGATAAAGAGAAAGTATCTCAGAAGCTTTGGTTTAATATTAGGTGGGTAGACCCTTCTTACCAAGACACACACACATAAGAAAGGAGTTTAGTTGCTTGGTAGTCAACAAATGACAAAAATTGTCTACAGACATCATCAAGAATCCCTCTAAGAGAGTGGATGAATTCTTCGGGAAAGGTGGGTGGCAGCATGGAGGTGTGCCTGCCTTCTGAGCCCACACACCTTCTGTAGCCCTGTCAATGACTATAGATCTTTGATGGGCAAAGAATACTATGGGGGACTGTCAGCATTTGGAGTCACCTAGAGCTGAGTCAATAGGTCATGGCAGGGATTCTAGAAAATTGGGCAGAATATGTGAAAAATTATAGGTAATTCTTCACTAGTAAAGGGAGATAGAGAAAGATAGAGAGAGAGAAGGATAGAAAGAGAGAAAATTAGAAAATTTATGCTATACTTTCCCAAACAAAAGGCTGATTTGAACTGAAATCAAAGTGGTAGTACTTTATGATGTGTTCATATGACATCTGGAATAGGATGCATCTAAGGCCTGTGTTATATTATTCAGTAAGCACAGAAAATGTCCCTGAGTCTAAAACCAGTGGTATGGCTGGGATTCCAAACTCTTTTTCTCTAATTACAAATGAGAAACAAGGAATATATTATCCCATATGCCACTAAAATGCCCTGTGGATTAATTTATACCTTGAGGTATGTCTCTTAACTCTGAGAAGAGAGAATGAGAGAATTAAGCTTTTGAAACTCATTTCCATAGTTTTATGTTTTTAATACCCAATGCTAACGAACTTTTAATGCAGATTTTATCTGTTTATTCCATTTATTGTGAGTGGTCATTAACATTTGCTAGATAATGTGTTTTTTATTCGTGTTAGGAAATAGAAATGCAGAATATGTCTTTTGGATTCTCTGATTATCAGCAGATAGCTCAATCATATTCTTATACTAATTTTGTACACTGGCTCTTAAATTGGTAATAGACTGTTGTGTCCACAAAATATTTTCCTTTAAAAAATCTGTTTTCTTCTGAATAAAACAATAGGTCTAAATTAAGAATAAGCTTATATAAATCACTAAATGACAATTTCCTTGAGTTTAATAACTCATTCTATGGGTTTGGTAGATAAATACAATCAATCAATCTTTGAAACTGGGGAGATGTCTTGTTTATCTGAAGAAAAATACATATTGTTGATAGTTTACTTCTCTAGGATAACGTTGGATCTGTCAGGATTAATTAAACATATAAAGGGACTACAAAGAGTTCATGAAAAAATACAACTAAGAGATTTAAGGTAAAAAATAGACTTGATTTCTCAACTGAGCTCCATCAAGATCAAAACACTTTTGTAAATGATGTTATCAGCCATTTAGTCCATCCCTAAAGAATTAAGAATCCTGGGAATTTAATCATGTCAACGTAGTCATTTTTTATATTATTAACTGAGGAAAAATGGGTTCCCTGTAAGATTTTTTAAGATTAGAAAACAAAGAGAAGTTAGAAGGAGCCAAATCAGGACTGTAAGGGAAATGCCTAATGATTACAAACTCGTCCTTGTTTCATGAGATGAATGAGCAGAAGAATTGTCCTACTGAAGGAGGGATCTCTGGTGAAGCTTTCCTGGGCATTTTTATGCAAAACCTTTGGCTCACTTTCTGAAAACACTCTTATAATAAACAGATGTTACCTTTCTTTGGTCCTCTGGAAAGTCTACATGAAAAATGCCTAAGCATCCCAAAAAACTGTCGCCGTGACCTTTGCTCTTGACTGTTGCACTTTGCTTTGCTTGACTACCGCCAACCTCTTGGTAGCTATTGCTTTGATTGGGCTTTATCTTAGGTTCATACTAGTAAAGCCATGTTTAATCTCTTGTTACAATTCTTTGAAAACCTGCTTCAGGATCTGGCTCCCACTTGTTTAAAGTTTCCTTTGAAAGCTCTGCTCTTGTCTGCAACTGATTTGGATGCGATAGTTTTGGCCAGTGGAAAGTTTGCTCCATCTTAGTTTTTCAGTCAGAATTGTGTATGCTGAACCAATTGAGATTTGTATGGTGTTGGTTATTGTTTGTGCTATTAATTGTCATTCCTCTTCAATTGGGGCATGAACAAGATAATGTTTTTCCTTGGAAATAGATGTAGATAGTATGCCGTTGTGGGCTTCATCTTTGACATTGTCTCATTCCTTCTTAAAATGAGTTTCCATTGGTAAATTGCTGATTTCTTTAGGGCATTGTCCTCAAAAATTTTTCACAAAGCATCAGTGATTTCACCATTCTTCCACCCAAACCTCATCAAAAATTTGATGTTTGTTCTTGTTTCAATTTTAGCATAATTTGTGTTGCTCTGATAGGAGCTCCTTTCAAATTGATGTTTTATATTTCTTAGTGCCTCAAAATAGATCCTGTTCAAACATGTCATAAAAGTAAGTATGGGTCCATTTTGTTGCAAAAAAATTGAAAACCATGCATAGTTTTTTCATATACACATTTCCATGAACTTTCTGAGTTCATGGAAAATGTGTATATGAATTGGCAAATAGATGAAAATCAATTTATTGTGATACTGATTGAAAACAATAACAAAAGATATGTGATGAAGAAGAGTATCATGAGTCATCCAAAACTTTAAAAACATCCATTATTTTCAGGCTTCATAACTCATAATTCAAATATTCTGAAAATTCAATACACTTTAAAATTTCCAGAAAGCTTTTAGGATTCCTGGACTTGAACTCTTACTCTTTCTCTAATCATGCCTCATCTCCTGGTCACTGGCCTAAATTATACCCTCTTGAAACACTTATCATTACCAATTATTGTCAAGATATGTCCTTTTATGTGCAGGACATTTCACCTAAGACGCAGTTAGTTTCACAGACAGACAGAATTAAAGTATTTCCCAACAGTCACTTTTATTTTTTAATGCATCTGGGTCATAGTAATAGGCTAGATACTTCGAACAGTCTCCCATCAGAACAGTAGATAGGTTTATTGTTTTAGTTTGGCCACATGTTCATCTAAGACAAAATTTTTTAAAAATTCACAGATTCCAATAAACAAAGGCTTCGAAGATAATTCTTCCATTAATTAATTTCACCCATACTACATAGTAGGTTTCTTCTTGCAATGCAGAACCTGGAGGCTGGGTATCTTTCCCAATTGCTTCTCTCAGATGATCTTCATAAGAAATTTAAAGTGTAAAAACCTTCTTCCCTACACTTTGAGTAATTTATTGATTACAAGCTACATATGCACCAGTAGGCCTAGAAAGCTATATTAGAGACTACAATAACACCATTTATCTTTGTCTGTGCAACTCACGTTAGATACTTAAGAATTCAGTAATTCTTAGTCAGTAGTTCCATCCTACTCAAAATTATTCAGGATTCTCATTTGTTTATTTTTGTAGTTCTCACATAATAAGTCTTAATCTTTGAAGGCTAAATGTGCCTCACACTAATCAAAGCACTTTATACATATTTACTCATCTCATCTCTTATAGCAGAGACCTAATATGTAATTAAATTATAGCATACAGTCTGTTCTGAACTCAGGACATAAACCTTTAATATTTCTAATAGGATACTAAATAAATAAAAGGAGGATGAGGAGAAGGGGAGAAGAAGGAGAAAAAGAAAGAAGGAGGGACACTTCAGCTGACTAATATTTATTAGTGATAACTAAATGCCCATTATTTTATGCCATTGAGATTTTGAGGCCTTTTGTTACACAGCAACAGAAGACTAGCTGACTAATAGCAGGAGCAGAGCCGGTCCTTTTCAGAGCTTATTTTAGGTCTCCTTCAAATTCTCAATGTTCTCAGAATTCTGACCCTCTTTTTGTCTTTAAACAAGCTAAACTTATTTTAGGACCACGGGCAAGCTGTTTGGTCTGCCTGGACTTTTCTTTCCCATAGGCTGTCTTGTAGCTCCCTCTAATCTTTCTGGCTTCAGCTTAACTATTACCTGTTCAGTAGGGCATTTGCTAACCTCAGTGTCTAATTACAGACCCCTCTTTTCTTTGTGAGTCTTTATCACATGCATTGTCTACATCATTTATAGTGTTTATCACAATTCACAATTACCTGTTTGTTTTCTTGTTCATTGTCTTTACAACTCTTTCCATTATAGCAGGCAGTATGTCAATATTTTTGTCCCATATAACTGCAGTGACCCCCAGAGTGCCTATTAATGAATAACTATATAAATGACTCAACTCTGAGGAGTGGTTTTATTTCACTTACCATACCCAAATCCATAAAAAAACCACATGAACAGTACACACATTTAACCAACTCATTAAAAACAAAACATATCCTCTTTAGATAGAGGCCTTTTATTTTTCTACTTTGAACACGCTAGTATTTTATTTCTTGAAAGCCCAATATATGCAACAAGCTCCCTGATATACTGTTAATTCCAAGTCATGGTTCTGAAGGGTGGTCAGATGGCTTTTTTTCTTTTTCCATCACACTCTGTCTGGAACCTATCATTTTAGTGTTTTCCAGGTCACTGATTAAGAAAACAAAGGCTTAATAGCAGAAATATATTAATATTCATAAAATTCTGGTTACAACTTATTCATTTAAACACCATTTTTATTTTTTCCAAGCTTGACACTTCACTCTATGGTTTTCTGATATAACTAGATAGCACACAGCATCTTATGATTTATTTCTTCCAAACAATTTGGCTTTAATAGTATATTCAAAAAGTGCAGAAAAAGACTTATTTTTTTCTTCACGTTTTTTTCCATGTTCCTTTCAGTCAATATATAGCTATTTCATAAATTACTTGCTAGATATAAGCATAAATTCTTACAAAGTATATATATACATATATAAATACATATAATATCTACTATTTGATACAATGGCAAATAATTCTACTTATAGATTAGTCAATTTCTATGTATTTACCATCAGCCCATCTTTATCCAAAACACTAATATGCTGTTTATATTTGACATTTCTTTTTTCTGGACTTATTTTTTTCTTTCTGAATCAGCTTTTATAAGAAGGAAAAGTTAATAAGCTCAAAGATTCAAATTAAAAGGTGACACAAAGTGTACAATAATGAGTGTGCATTAGTTATTCTGTAATTTATATTCAAAATTGGAGAGATAATTTGCAAACACCTCATAATAAATCCTGAGCTAACAGAAACATTTGTCAGATTTTTCTCTCACTTTCCTTTCTGTGGTATGCAGATGTTCAGTTTCAAATTAGTCAGATTTTCATAGTTCTTTCTATACTGCTTTCCTTCTTTGATTTCATTTTGAAAAATAGAACAAAAAGCAAGCAAATTAAAATTCATAGGTAGGAAGTCGAGTTTGCAAAGATATTCTTTATTTTTTCTCTCTTTTTTACCTTTCCCTAATTCTTTCCAATTAATAAATTTTTAAATAATTTTAGTCTTTCTTAAAATGACTAAACAGTAAGAATATTTTTATGACCTCCAACTTATTTCCTAAGGTTAAATACCACATTTGTGCCACTATCTGACATTCTTTTTAGACTTGCAAATTCATCATATCCCAAAACAATGCTTTATCCCAATTTTGTATTTATGTCTAAGATATGTCAATGTATCAGTTTCACTTTTTATAGTCACTGAAACTCTACATCTAGTTACTCACTGAGTCTTTCAGATTCTCTTCACCACATATGTTGCTATTTCTCTAGTGCATTAACTGTTAGCTCATTCAATAGCTCATTCTGTCTCCCACAGTAGAATCTATTCTGTAGCTTCCACATGGTTCAGCTTTCTAAAAACTAGCTCTACGTATATCATTTGCTTGTTGAAAACTTGTAAGAGCTCTTTATTTTGTATAAAGTCGGGTACAAATTCAGTCTAATGCTTGAGGTGTTGCATTCCCAGAACCCTAATCTATTTTTTGTTTTCCAAATATTTCACATCATGAATTCTTTCTTCCTCCCTCCAACATCTCACAAAATTTGCCCTCTAGGTTTAAATAATTCATTCTCTCTGTAACATGTTTCTCCCATTTTTTTTTGATGGGGAGATTCTGTCCATGTTTTGAGCATTGCCTGACACTCCTTTTATTTCTATGAAGTCATTATACATCACCTCTAGTCATGAATTCTCTAAACCATAACATTTTGACCTCTTTTATGTCACTTGCTAATATAGTTAGATTTCATATTCCAGGGGACAGGGGACGATATTAATTTAGGAGACGGGAAACATGTATACTTACTCATACAGTGGACAGAAAGGGAAAAGGATCAAATTTTCTGTCCTCCACACTTTCCCACTGCTTGTAACAGAGCAAGATAGTCAGGTACCAGGTATCCCTCTTGGAATCAATGTGACTGACAATAATTGTTCAGCTAGTGCCATTTTTTCAGACTATTCTAAACATGACTGGTTATATCAATGAGCTTTTTCTGCATAGCAGATCATCTGAACACTTAGTGGCACAGTACAACCATTAATTTAGCTCATGACTCTGTGGGATGGCAATTTGGACTTGGCTCGGCTATGTAGTTCTTCTAGTCTTAGCATTTGCTAGTTTGGCTGAGAGCTAGCAGGTCTAGGGCAGTGGTCCCCAATGTTTCTGGAACCAGGAACCAGTTTTGTGGATTAAATTTTTTCCACGAACCAAGGGTAGGGGGTGATGATTTTGGGATGATTCAAGTGCATTATATTTATTTCCATTGTTATTACGTTGTCATATACAATGAGATAATTGTACAACTCACCATAATGTAGAATCAGTGGGAGCCCTGAGCTGCTTGTCTTGCAACTAGACAGTCCCATCTTGTGGTGATGGGAGACAGTGATATCTGATGTGTGTTGCTTATGTCCAGTGTACTCTATAGTCTCGTTTTGGTTGTCATCACTGCAGAAAACTTTGCTTCACAAGTTAGGATGTTGGAAATAAAAGCAGGCTTTTGTGACATCTCAGGATATTCTGCCTTGACTAATTCAGATCATATGGATATTTGAAGTCTCAAACCTCCTTTTAAGGCCACCATCATTTGCAATCTCAAGCACTTGACCCTCTTCTAGCACAGAAAAAGTCAATTCACCTGGCTTATTCACAAATGGGTTGCAGAGCCATTCCTTCCCATTTCAGGGGTCTTTTGTGGTTGAGAAGTAATGCTCAAGCTCTTTTGAAAGCTGAGATAGATGAAAACTCAGAAGTAATGCTCAAATTCTTTTGAAAGTTGTCTGAAACCTACTTTTAAGGTCACCATCGTTTGCAATCTCAAGCAGTTGACCCTCTTCTAGCACAGAAAAAGTCGATTCACCTGGCTTATTCACAAATGGGTTGCAGAGTCATTCCTTCCCAGTTCAGGGGTCTTCTGTGGTTGAGAAGTAATGCCCAAACTCTTTTGAAAGCTGAGATAGGTGATCATGCACCAGCTGATGGAAAGAAGGCCCTGGCTCAGTCTCTGAAAATTTCTGCTAATGTTTGAAACATGTCAAAAATCTCAGTGTTCACTTGTCACCCCCAGTTTAGCTTTGAATGCAGCCACTTTATTTGCTGACTCAAATACAGTTGTCATTCTCCCCTGAAGTGACAGATTGAGTTTGTTGAGCAGGTTGAATATCTCACACAAAAGTAAGCAAGTTTTGCATCCCATTCTGTGTGACTGAAGTGTGCTGCCAGCGGTGACTGCTTTTCTAAAAGAAATCTCTGGAGCAACTCTCGTAACTCAAAAACACTGACCAGCGATTGACCTTTAGGAAGCCATCTCACTTCTGTGAGAAGATGTGTGTGCTCTGTTTCCATCTCTTCACAGAGCTGCACGAGCAGACATGAGTTAAGGGCATGTACTTTAATGTGGTTGATAATTTTAATCACATCCTGCAAAATGCTGTTAAGTTCAGGTGACATATTTTGGCTAGCCAGCAATTCTCTATGGATGACACAGTGCATAGACTCATATTCAGAAGTGACCTCTTTGACCCGAGTAGCGAAATCAGACAGCCATCCAGTCATGGCAGCTGCTACATCCATACATGTACCAATACAAAATGACCATTTCAGTTTTCCTGCTATGTAATCATTCAAAGACTTGAATAGTTTTGCAGTTGTGGTGTTGGTTGGCAACAAACGTGTACATAACATATCATCATGCACATCCTCCCGAAAAATACATTGTACAAAACAAGTGTTGTTGCCTTGTTGTCAACATTGGTAGACTCCTCGACCTGGATTGCATACCACGGTGATTCAGGAGGCAGAGCTCAGAAGGTAATATGAGCAATGGGGAGTGGCTGTAATTACAGATGAAGCTTCGCTCACTTGCCGCTCACCTCCTGCTGTGTGGCCATGTTCTTAACAGGCCATGGACCAGTACAGGTCTGTGGTCCAGGGGTTGGAGACCCCTGGTCTTTAGAGCCTCAGTTGGTGATTTACTTCTTATCTACATGGTCTCCCATCTTTCACCAAGCATCACCAGGTCCCCCCATGGCAACTGAGCAGGATGTCAGAATAGTAAGCAGAAACCAGCCATTCTTCTTGATGCCTAGGCTCAAAATGGACACACCATTGCTCTTACCTCAGTCTGTTCACAGGAGAATCTCTATAATCACATTACAAGGGGAAATGGGCTACTTGCTATGCAGGGTTCTCAGATTCAATTATTATTATTATTATTTTCAACAGCTCAAAAAAAAAAAAAAGATTTACACTTTTGATTTCCCTCCTTAGAGCTCAGTGTTCTCACAGACTTTTCCCAGTTCAGCCATGACTATCGGAAGCTGGTTCCAGCCTCCCTGATGGCTCTCTTCCAGTGTTCCTGTCAGTAACATTGAGAGAATTACTTTAATTAACTTGTTTGTTCCTCAGGCTTATTCAGAGAAATGGGAGTATGGGAGTTAATTAACTAGTACATTTTAAAGGTACAGCCCTTGTCTGCACTTTTTGAATATGCGATTAAAGTCAAATAGTTTGGAAGAAATAAGTCATAGGATAATATACATTAATATTATCCAGTTACATCAGAAAACTAACTGCTTTTTCTTATTTATGTGGAAAAGTTTTTAAATATGAGAAACTATAACCTTTAGTGATGAATCTAAAATTACCTTCATTTCATCTAATCAAACAATTAGCAACAAATGCATATTTATATTTAGTTAATTTTCTTCCAAGACATATAATCATAGCAATTTATATATTTTTTAAAAATTTCCCATGTTGATGGGTATGGGGAGTCTCAACATAAGAGGCTGAATTGGGAAAGGGACTAGAACAGGCACAGGGTCCATGAGGGTAGGAGTGTTTCCTGAACTCTTAGGGGAGACATTTGAGGGAATCTATTAGGTATGTACAGCGTGAAAGAATCCAGAGGGCCATTCAAATAAGTAGGAGTCAAGAAGGGAGTAATCATTCCACACAGTACATAAAATGCAGAGAATAATGGAAGGTCACACAGAAAGAGATTCCAATCTGGACTGGGGAGAGGAGATGACCCAAGAAATCAGGATAGTAAGATCTTTGTACAAATATTTTGGGTTTTGCTAACCATAGAGAGTGACCGGGATATGGTACTAACAACTGATCAGGATAAAGTAGAAAGAACTTGGAGGCACAATTTCTGTGATTTGGGACAAAACAGAACACTAAATGGAAACCCATAGCTAACCAATTGAGTGCCAAATGATGGTTCTAATGGGAAACAATGCCTGTAGATAGAGACCTTCAATGTAAAAGATAAAGCCAGGGAAGAGTGTTGGAGGAATTACTTTAGTTATCTGTATATATGCTTTATTTAAATAAATAATTATAAACTCTTAAGTGTATTGAGCATATTTTAAATTACTGTTTTAGTCACAAAGTCTAGACAGTGTTTTGACTTTCATATAGATGTCCAGTAAATATCTAGGTAGAGCAAGAACTGTTATTTTGCCAGAAACAGAGATATATAACCCAAATACCACTTCAACAAAGGATCCAGTGTCCAGCTGCAAGAAGCGTACTTAGATAAAAGCCTCTAGCCCTTGTCTCCTTAAGCTTTTGAGCCAAGGTCAAGTTTTTCTGGGACAGCTAGCCCAGAGTAAGGCAATGATGCAACTGCTTAACCATTTCTGCCCAGTGAGAACTCCTCTAAAAGATCACCTTTATTTAGGAACTCTCTGTTGAGCTAGAAGAGTCTTTAACACGTGGATATCATTTTTTAAAATAGTTTCCTCTGCCAACCCTTCTTCCTTACTTTTTGACACACATTACTCCTTAATCACCATTTTCATTCCTGTCTCAAAAACTTCTATACAGACAATACTACTGGTGCAGTTACTTATATAGTTTTGTTGTGTCCATATGCTTCAGACAAGATTCTTTACACTGCCATTTTTGGGGTCCTTGATGAAGATGTTGTATTACCAGATGAATTGCCATGCTACTAATTGCTTCAGTTCTGATTGTTTATGATATTTAACCAGTATATTATAATATGAATTATTTGTGGCAGCCAAGTGGCTCATTTGTTATCATAAATTTTGGGAGAATAGAAGAAGAAGGTAAAGATTATGAAGGTACTTGAAAAATTACACACATGAAAGAACTGCTAGATTCTTGAATAACAGTAATAACAAGAAAGCTATAACTACTGAAACTCAGAAACCATCCAGTTCTTCATTCTTGTTCCCAAATCCCATCTTGACATCCAGATCATCTTTTTCTAAACACATATTGAAATATCTTCCTATTCCCATTCTTTTTTCAGTATATGATCACAGTACAACCTGGATAGAGTAAATGGAAGAAAACCAAAAAAGTAGGTAATATGAGTGAGTGCTAAATAACTAACTGTTACTGGCATAAGTAACCGCAAAGCACTTGAATAAGATAAGCAGAATGGGTGTGAATGTCCATTGCAGTGATGATGGTAGTAAGGCAGAGTGGAAAGCTGACAGAGGGAAGAGGTAGAGAAAATCATGAAACATTAAGAGCAAGTATTCAGATTAAGGTTTAAAATTCACAAGAGCTGATAGAAATTAGAATCCTATCTATTTTTTTTTGGTCATAAAAAGTGAATTTTCACTAGAAATGAAGCTGTCAGTATGTGTCATCTTTCAATTTAATAAGCACTGATACATTTTCACCTTGTCCTCACCCAACCTCTATTATCTATCTATCTATCTATTGAACATCATCATACAAGGCAGAAACAAAATCCTCATTTTATGATGTGGCCTAATATGCATATGTCTTAGTCAGTTTGGGCTGCTAAAATAAAGTACCATAGACTGGGTAGCTTACAAAAACAAAAAGACATCCCTCACAGTTTGGGAGGCTGGAAGTTAGAGATCATAATCAGGTTCTGGTGAGGCTCCTCTTCCAAGTTGCAGACTACTTTTTCCCATTATCTCCTCATATGACAGAAAGGGGATGAGAGAGCTCTCTAATGTCGCTTTTAAAAGCACTCATCCCACTCCTGAGGGCTCCATCCTCATGACCTAATTACCTTCCAAAGCCTCACCTTGCAATACCATCACATTGAAGGTCAGGATTTCAACATATGAATTATGGGGGGATATAAACATTCGCTCCATGGCTAGCCAAATGCAGAAGATTGAAATTAGACCCCTTCCTTACACCAAATATAAAAATCTACTCAAGATGGATTAAAGACTTAAATGTAAAACCCAAAACTATAAAAACCTTTGATGAGAACCTACGAAATAACATTCAGAACACAGGCCCCAGCAAAGATTTTATGACAAAAATACCAAAAGCAATTGCATCAAAAATAAAAATTGACAAATGGGACCTAATTAAACTAAAAAGCTACACAGCAGAAGAAACTATCAACAGAGTAAACAAACTGGGCATGGTGGCTCATGCCTGTAATCCCAGCACTTTGGGAGGTGGAAGTGGGAAGAACACATGCATCCAGAAGTTCAAGACCAGCCTGGGCAACAGAGTAAGGCCCTGTCTCTACAAAAAATCAAAAATTGGCCAGGCATGGTGGCTTGCACCTGTAGTCTCAGCTACTTGGGAGGCTGAGGTGAAAGGGAGGCTGAGGTTGCAGTGAACCATAATTGTGCCACTGTACTCTAGACTGGGTAACAAAGTGAGAACTTGTCTCAAAAAAACAAACAAATTGAAAACAGAGTAAACAGAAAGGGAGAAAAATATTTGCAAACTATGCCTCTGACAAAGGTCTAATAACCAGAATCTATAAAGAACTTAAATTAAAAAGCAAAAAACAATCCCATTAAAAAGTGGGCAAATGACATTAACAGACACTTTTCAAAAGAAGACATACATGCAGCCAACAAGCATATGAAAAAATGCTTAATATCACTAATCATTAGAGAATCACAAATCAAAACTACAATGAGATACGATCTCACAGCAGTCAGAATGGCTATTATTAAAAAGTCAAAAACAGATGTTGTTGAGGTTGTGGACAAAAGAGAATGCTGGTACACTCTTGATGGAAATAGAAATTAGTTCAGCCACTGTGGAAGGCAGTTTGGTGATTTCTCAAATAACTTAAAACAGAATGACCATTTGACCCAGCAATCCCATTTTGGGTATATACCCAAAGGAATATAAGTGTTTCTATCATAAAGACACATGAACATGTATCTTCATCACAGTTCTATTCACAATAGCAAAGACATGGATCCAACCTAGATGGCCATCAATGGTAGACTGGATAAAGAAAAATGTTATACATATACACCATGGAATACTGCACAACAATTAAAAAAAGTTAGCTTATGTCCTTCTCAGTAACATGGATGGAGCTGGAGGTCATTTTTCTAAGAGAACTAATGAACTAACCAAATACTACATGTTCTTACTTATAAGTGAGAGTTAAACATTGAGTACACATGGACACAAAGAAGGGAATACTAGACACTGAGGTCTACTTGAAGGTGGAAGGTGGGAGGAGGGTGAGGATCAGAAAAACTACTATTTGGTACTATGCTTATTACCTGGGTGACAAAATAATCTATACATCAAACCTCCATGACATGCAGTTTACCTATATAACAAACCTGCTCATGTGCCCCCAAACTGCAATAAAAGTTAAGAAATAAAAATAAGAATAAAAAGTAAACATTCAATTCATTGCAACATGATTAAAATATAATCTAAAAAATCTTAAATTATGGCATTCACAAAGGACTAAGATTTGACCCATTCATGCTGTATATCACCCATCCACCTCTTCACCTAATCATTTTTGCACATATTTGACAATTATATTGTGTTCCATGATATCTCAAGTTCTATGTATGCAAATGTTCTTAATTTAATGTTCAGGGAGTAAGATATTTTCAGTGACATATCTACATTTTAATTTGCCTAAAAGAAATGTCCATATCTGTGATTTTAATGTCAACATAGAATGATTTTGGGATTTACTATGCTTCTTGAAAACCAAAGCAATGTTGTGATCCATTTGGATGTTTACTAAGAAAATATGAAAAACTGAAAAGACTTACAATCAATGAGAATTTTTATAAACTTTAGCTAAAATATGTTGTAAGAAAACTCAGATTATCCTGTAATAAAAATAGAAGTTTTCAACATAGCTCTTACTTGAAAAGAAAGAAAAAAGATATCACACACAACTTCTTTGATAAGAACCTTAAGAATTACATTTTTTTTAAGAAACCATCACAAGTTTGGACTCATTTCAATTTAAGATGAACTAGATATATTGGACATGTGTTTCTAAGTTTGGAACATCATGCCTAGAAGGTCCCTGAATACATGAAAATACTACATTCTTGAAAATGTTTCCTGAGCACTTGGAAATAGCCACACAGTTAACACATGCTAACACACAGTTAACACATATATGGCTTCATATAAGTAAAAAGAAAACCATGAAATGAGTTACTCTGGAAACCCGTACAGATCCAAAATATGTATTCAAAATGTCCTAAAATTACTACTGTATACTTTTTTCTTGTGCTGTTTGAGCACATCACTGATACACTGGGGTTGATTTCAAGACAAGCAACTGCCATGCTTGTCCGTGAAAGGTGTTTCAATACCACCTTCAGGGACAGAATGAGGATTTCAGAAGATCATTTAACTGATCCATGATTTTTGCTTCTATGATTTTAAACGGAGATCCGGGTGCCAGAAAACCCAGGTTTTAAACTCTATTAAGTTAAATATGTTATAAACAAATCTTAATGTTAATAAAAAATCCAAAAATAATTAGAGATGTAAGATTCAGTCCATATAGATAGCTGTCTTAAAAAATAAGATTTTGTTAATGATGAATTATCTTTATGAATTATTTTTACTTGAATGGGTTACTCGAAGCAAATAAAGTAATGGCCTTGTACTTAGAGGTCAATTGATGTCATTGGCTTAATGAATGAACCCTGTTCAATTATAAGGGGTCTAAAGTATGAAATTCTTCACCTCTTCGTAAAAACAGATTTTTGATACCTAGGCTATGCATTTTTTTAAAAAATATTAAATCTGGTTTGGCGGATACTACTATTATTTACTTTACATGGAACAATGTTCTTATGTGAAATCTGCACTAGGAGATGAATCAAACTTGGCACATTCTGCCAAACAATGAGCTGGACATAGTAACAATTATGTCCCATCTCAGTCAAAAAGTCTGTAATGGGAAACTCTTCCATCATAAATCTGGTCGCATTAAAGTGATTTTTGTAAAGAAGAAATGACAAATATTTATCTAGGTCTTTTTACAATCTTCAAACTGTCATCTCTTTTTTAGATATAGCCATCAAAAGAAAAAGAAGCCTTGTTACTCTCCATCCACATCATAATAACAGCACTGAAGTTTGCAGGATATTTAGCATCTTAGATGTGGGCCTTTTTATCAATGTCCCTTTAGTATACAATTTAATGCATAAAGAGCTTCTAAAAATTCAACTAGTGATGCTAAATAAAATGATCACATATTTTAAGAATAGAAATTAAATAAGAGGAACATGTCTTAAATATATATGGTAAGATTTTCTAAGATTCAACAAAGCTTTTACTCATAGGTTAGTTTAAGCAAATCGTATAGCTTGGTATTCATGAATACACAGTCATTTTATGAAAAAATGCATTCTTGTTTACAAAGACGATAACTGAAATAAAAATGGAATAATCATTTTAATTGATTATTGAAAAATAAGTCAAAAAGGAGGATACCATTTGGGTACTTTATTAATCATTCTTTTTTTGGATTTGGATGAGTTGTAAGCTGCTCAGTTGAGTTAACTTAATTAGGAGTGCTCTCAGATATCATAAATCTCTTCATTTTAAGTGCATCATTAATTTTATGACAAAATTAACCCAACACCATTAGAGCAACGGCAAATCTTGACATATTTTTTTTTCTTAGACTGTTCTAGTTGATGTTTGATGGGGTCCACAAACAATTTTAACAGTTCGCTAAGTTTTAATCCTGAGCCTACTATAGATGATGGGATCTTAGGATCAGTGGTGACATTATCATTGCTATTGCTTTGTGGGGATAGTCAATGAATAACACAGCCTGCTGTAATACACGAAACCTTTCCTGACTGCATAGAACCATCCTTGATGTGTTCACTCTAATAGGGGAAGATTGCTGTCAGCTTTCTGCTTGCAGTGTTCTTATAACCTTGCATATTTAATTGTAATTGAGAGTCAAGTAACTTCTACAGGGTGTGCATGTTAATTAGTTATCAAATGAATAGGGAGGCTGTTTGTCTAGATTTTCTTCCTTTGTACTAATTAACTGAGAGTCAAGGATCAGGATCCTGTCTTGCAGAGTCCATTGAAGATATTTATTTCTAATAGTTATATATATCCACCTACAAGTAAAGGATTCAGAGTTCATTTTACTTTCTAATGTATGCCATTTATAGGAATGCAGTAGGCATAGTCCTATAATAATGATGACAAGACAAATATTTAAAACAATTTATGTTTTCTATTGAAATCTTTAAAGTGAATAAAAGTGCATTATTTTCAAAATCAATAGGCAGGCAGAGGATAAATATTTAGGCAATGATTATATTTTAATTGAATTTTGACAAAAATTATGTTACTGGAAAATGGTCCCAATCCAGACCCCGAGAGAGGGTTCTTGGATCTCACGCAAGAAAGAATTTGGGGCAAGTCCATAAAGTGAAAGCGAGTTTATTAAGAAAGTAAAAGAATAAAGGAATGGCTACTCCATAGGCAGAGCAGCAGCATGGGCCACTCAGTTGCTTATACTTATTGTTACTTTTTGATTATATGCTAAACAAGGGGTGGATTATTCATGAGTTTTCTGAGAAAGGGGTGGGCAATTCCTGGAACTGAGGGTTCCTCCCCTTTTTAGACCATAAAAGGGTAATTTCCTGACATTGTCATGGCATTCATAAACTGTCATGGTGCTGGTGGGAGTGTATTTTTTGTTTTGTTTTGTTTTTGTTTTTTTCCGAGATGAAGTCTTGCTGTGTCACTGAGGCTGGAGTGCAGTGGTACAATCTCAGCTCACTGCAACCTCTGCCTCCCGAGTTAAAGCAATTCTCCTGCCTCAGCCTCTGGAGGAGCTGGGATTACAGCCACAGGCCACCACGCCCGGCTAATTTTTGTATTTGTAGTAGAGACGGGGTTTCACTGTTTTGGCCAGGCTGGTCTCAAACTCACCCACCTCGGCCTCCCAAAGTGCTGGGATGGGATGGGATTACAGGTGTGAGCCACTGCACCCAGCTGGTGAGAGTGTTTTTCAGCATGTGAATGCATTATAACTAGTGTATAACGAGAAGTGAGGTCGACCAGAGGTCACTCTCCTCACTATCTTGGTTCTGGTGGGTTTTGGCTGGCTTCTTTACTGCAAACTGTTTTATTAGCAAGGTCTTTATGACCTGTATCTTGTGCCAACCTCCTGTCTCATCCTGTGGCTAAGAATGCCTTAACCTCCTGGGAATGCAGCCCAGTAGGTCTCAGCCGTATTTTACCCAGCCCCTATTAAAGATGGAGTAACTCTGGCTCAAACACCTCTGACAATTATATTAAAAATAAACGATAATTCAGGATTTGAGAATTCCATAGAAAATAAATAAAATGTAAAATTGAGGCAGTATTCTGAATGCCTCAAATACTTTTGCATCTAAGCATCTAAAATAAAAATATTTAGGCAAAAACTATTTTCAGTTTTATGCTTTGCCTTTTGCTAGTATAGCAATACCCAAATAATTGGTTACAGTAATGTCAGTCTTGCAAATAATTTTAAAATTCGTAAAACTGAAAATATGTTTTCAGTCAATAGAATTTGTATTGGCCATAACTGTATTTCCTAAACATATAGTGACCCTCCCCATGCTATTGTGTAATTCTAAAAAATGTGTGATGATCAAAGTCCCTGAAAGAGAGTAAAATTAATTCTGGGGTAACAATGAATGCATATTGCTGTTCTTTGAGCATAAAAGCAAACTTTTGACTGGTCTTCAGATGAGGATCAAAAAGAATGCATTTGCCAAACTGTAGCTTGCAAACCAATTGCCATCGCCTATGCTAATTTATTCCTATAACGATATCACAGCTGGCAAAATGTTGCAGTTACAGCTGCAACTCAGTTAAGTTTATAGTAGCCCACTGCCATCTGCCACAATACCTCTCTCTCTCTCTCTTTAGCAAATGGTTTTAGATAGGGACTATCACGATATCCTTTACATCTTTGATTTTGGTACTAATATCTGTAATTCCTCTACGAAAGTGTTATTGCTTCTGATCTATTTTGGCTAGAGGATAGGTAAGTTTTAGGAGTTTCCACTTAAACCCATAATCACTTTTCCTCCACAAATCAAAGAATTTGTGTCTGAGTTCTATCAGGTGTTACATATATGTATCTCAATTGTGGCTTGAAGGGTTAGGGAATAACTTCTGGGTGCGTATTTTAAGGCGCTAAATTCACTATGAGATAAACTTGGGTCTGGACTTCATTTATAACATTACCTTCTAAACAGGGGACATGATGATTTTGAAAAACTTTGTTATCCCCATCAATGTGGATACTATATCCAAAGACCTTCAAAAGTTCTGAGTATTTCTGTTTTCCATTACAAAGTTAGTCCAGTAATTGGCATAATTCTTGTGGAAAATGATTGAGTGAATATGTTTGCTTCCTCGAGGCATTTGGTTGTATTTTCAATTATTGGGTTCTTGGACTGTGAACTGGCTTAGATTTTGAAACTGGGTAAGGAATAATGATATGTGTTTTCATGGCTGTAGATGATGTAAATCTATTTGCCACCTGTAGATTTTTCTGGTTGAAATGCAAGTAGAGTCAGCCTTCCAGGTCTGTAGGTTTCACATCTGTGGATTCAACCAACTTCAGATTGAAAACTTTTTGGAAAACAGAAAATTACGTCTATAATGAATATATACTGATTTTTTTGTCATTATTCCCTAAACAGTACAGTGTAACAACTACTTACATAGCATTTATATTGTATTAGGTATTATAAATGACTTAGAAATGATTTAAAGTATATGAGAGGATGTATAGGTTATAGGCAAACATTACCGCATTTCATATCAGGGACTTGAGCAACTGAGGATTTTGGTATTTGCAGGGGTCCTGAAACCAATCCCCCCATGGATACTGGGGGGTGACTATAACACTTTAGTTGGCCACCCATTTACTTTGCCACACAGAAGCCCCTGGTCTATCAGCCATCGCCACACACCCCAGGCACCCTGGTGGCCACTTCAACCTTGCTGTCTGTAACAGTACGTCCACTTTAACTCTAAGTAAGTTCTGCCACTGAAAGTCTCTCACTTTAAAATCCTATCATTCCCACTGATGCCAGAAAGCGCAGTTTCAGAAAATATCTCCTTTAAAATACAGCCTATAGAGTTTGGGTTTTCTTTCCACCAGTGAATCCTTTATTACCACTTTGAAGAGAGTATCCTCTTATACTTCACATAAAGCATGATTGATCCATGAAACAGATTACATCTACACTCCCACCTACCTCTTTGAGTCTTCTGACCCCTACTATCTTGCTAAGACAGTTCTACAATTCCCATCTCATTTATTTAGGCCCATCATTTTTTCCCAAGATTTAGAGATCCACCCCGGAAATACAAAATACCTAGCTGCAGACAGCCTTGCCATGGTGTTAAACAAATTCTGCCCTCTTATTCTTTTCTATTGGTTTAACATTTTCATGACCTACTCTTGAAAATGTTTCCTCAAATACTAACCATGTCTTCCAAATCTTCTTGGATCAAGGACTGTATTTTCCTACTTGAGCTGGTCTTTTAGTTGATCTAAAGACAATGAGATGGGAGAGGACGGCAAAAAACAAGCTTCACCGTTGCACAGCATCTGTCTCAGGTAAGGTCCTTATAGAGTCTCCAGGCAATAGCAATATCTTTTCTGCCCATTGCTGGTGGGAAGGTACTCTGTCAGTCAGAGAATTCAGGGAAATTTGGAGCTTTAAAATGGTCACACTTGCCTGACCAAATATACCCTCCCCAATTCTCTTTCTCTAAGAGCACTGACCTTAGCTATAAGACAAGCCAGTGCTCTGCCAGAGTTTCTCCTTTGTAGCTCTGCTCTGTAAAAAATGAAATCCTGAGCCCAACATTCAGGATAGTCTGCCTGAAGCTATCACAGATAAGGGTCTCTTCAAAAGCTTTCAATTTGGCCTTCTGACCTAAACTGTGCCTCGAGTTCATCGTTGGCTAACCTGAATCTATTATTTTCTTTTCTAAGGCTTCAACAAATTATTCAACAATACAATTTTTATAATTGCTATAGTCCTTATATATGCCCTCGTGTATAAGTACTATATAATCCCCCATATAGTCCAGAGCCACAGCTGTTTTATTTAGTAAACCAATGCTTCACCTTCTAACTTCAACTCATCTCAATTCACCATCAGTGATATTCTTATTAATTGTGATGTTACTGCATGTTAAGAATTTTCATCTTCCCATTTACCACCACCAATAGGATCCTTATTACATCTGACTGGTAAGTGAACCTGTTTAAAAAATATTTCTTGATGCTTTCCTTTGAGAGGCTATTTCTTATTTTCCAAAACAGACACCAGGATAAGGGCTTACATGCGGTTTATACTCAACAGTGATCTGGGGAATAGGTGTGGGAAACTGGGAATAATGAAAAAGCCATACAAATGGGTGTTATCAAATTGTTACTGCTATTAGAAAAGACTTGTCAGGGATCTTCATCAGGTTAAGAAAGAATGAAGCACAAGATAAGCAAAGAGATAGAATAAGGCATTTTTTTTAATTGGTTGTTTGCTCTGCAAGGCACTAACACCTTCATATCTCCAGATTTCACATGCATGAGTGTTCCAGGTGGGTTACTGTAGACATCCTCATCCTCCCCATAGTCTGTCCCCAATTCATTGTCTTCAGACTGATTATCAGTGTCGACTAAAAGTGCAGTTTGTGTAAGGAAGAATTGCAAGATGACTAATATGAGAGGGAAAACATTTAAAAGTGGATCATAAAGATGTTGGACCAGAAGGGAAGAATAAAAGAGGATAATCTATTCAACATCATGACAAGGTCACCTGAAGCTAGTCCCATTGCATTGGCTTAGAGATGCCTCAAAGTGGAAAGTAAGAGTGCATCACAGGCCAAATTACGGCCATCAATGATGTATGTGCCCTAATCCCTGGTATCAGTTGATATGTTATCTCACATAGCAAAGAGGGACTTTGTAGATTTAATTAAGGTTATGGACCTCAAAATAGGAAGATTATCCAGGTTTGGCCAATCTAATCACATGAGCCCTTAAACAGAAAGAGCTTTCTCCTGTGTGAGGCAAAAGGGCTGAAACACAAGGGTAAGTCAGGGAAATTACAAGCATAAGGGAGGCATAAAAAATGGTTCTGAGAGGTAAGGCCCACGTGCTCAGACCAGCAAGAGGCCTCTAGGGGCTAGGTGTGGACCTCAGCTGACACCAAGCAAGAAAATTAGAACCTCAGTACTACAACTGCAAAGAACTGGATTCTGCCATCACCCGGAATGAGCTTGGAAGTAGATCTTTGTCAGAGCCTTCTCGTAAGAGTTCAGGCAACCAACAACTTCATTTCAGCTTTGTGAAACCTGGAGAAGAGAATCTAGTGAAGCTAACCTGGACTTACGCTCTGAGATAATATAAATGTGTTGTTTTGAGCTGCTAAACCTATGAGAATTTATTATGGCAGCAGGAAAACGCTAATACAGAGAGACTAAGTATGTCTGAGGCTAAGTGTTCCCAGGTGACACTCATGCCAAGTTAACTGCTACAGGAAGGCTTAAGAAGCGAGGTGGATGTGAGGATGCGCAGTGGGAAGCAACGGGTTTCTGATGCGCCCTTGAAGGACAACAACTGAAGGAGAAAGATAGCGCTGCTTATCTCTGCGGATGAATAACAAGGTAAGGAACCTGAACTGTGAGTAGAAGAAAAGAAAGCAATACTCCAGGATATTGTGCTAAGAGCATTAGTAATAGTTAAGGAGGAAAGCAGCAGTGTTTAAAAGCACATAACAAGAAGCCTACGGCTCATTCGTTTTTAATCCTCTCTAAGACACTTAGGTCCAAAAATATTGAGGAGTCATCATGATAGCAAGCTATTGAGAGTTTTTAGGTGAAACGGAGTTAACTAGGAAACAAACCGAAGCCATTGAAGATGTATCAATATTTCCCCTGAAAAAACTGAGTGTCTGCATAGTAAAAAAGCAATCTTTGATTCCTCTATACTCTGCATCCAGATGCAAAGTCCTACCCAGTTACCGAAACCCCCAATTACAATTGGTATTACCATAAATAAGATTATGACGAATGCGTGGGAAGTAGCAATAACATTGTAAATCTGATCATCTCCTAGCAGAGTTCCTGGTTGGCCCAAATCTGGTAGAATCAGAAGGCTTAAGGCGGTACCCACTATCTCTGCTGATGCGCCGAACAGCAGATACAGTGTTCTGATATCTTTGTGGTTGGTTGAAAATAATCGATTAATGAACATATAGTCGAAAAGGGTAAAATGACTGAGTAAACATTAGACTGTAAATCTAAATACAGAGGCCAAGGCCTCTTTTTACCAGCCCTGAGGTGATTTTTCATATCGAATTGCAAATTCAAAGGAGCAGCTTCAATCCTGCCGGGGTTTCTCCGGCCTTTTCCCCCTCCAACGGAGGGAGAAGTAGATTGAAGCCAGTTGATTAGGATGTTTAGCTGTTAACTAAATTTTCGTAGGTTTGAATTCCACCAATCTGGTGAGGGCTTAGCTTAATTAAAGTGGCTGATTTGTGTTCAATTGATGCAGAATAGAGTCTTGCAGTCCTTAGGTCTGTTACAGAAATTAAGTATAATTTACTTGCTAAGGGCTTTGAAGGCCCTTGGTCTTATTTAACCTAAATTTCTAAATTATAGTTAATATTATTGGAGAGATAGGTAAGAGGAGGGTGGAAGAAATAATTAATGAGGGGAGAAATGGTATATGTTTTGTATTTTCGAATTGTCATTTTATTTTCATATTATTAGATATGGAGATTACTGTTACTGAGATGGAATAAATTAGGCGTATATAGAAATACAAGTTCAGTTATGATGGCTGTGATGGTGGGGGTAATGAGGCTATTGTTTTTTGTAAACTCTTGAATGATAATTCATTTAGGTAGAAATCCTGTTAATGGGGGTAAACCTCCTAGAGATAATAGAATTAATGGAATTATAGGTATTAACCAGTTAGCTTTTTATTTTAATAAGTAGAAGAAGTACACTGTAAAATAATATTCCAAAGCATCATAAATACGTATACCAGTAATATGGTCATTTATTATCATTATCAAGTATTATGTACTGTACATCATTGTATTTGCTATACTTTGATAGGACTGGCAGCACAGTAGGTGTGTTTCCACCAGTATCACCACACCCACGCGTTGTGCTACATTTCCATGGCTATGTCAGGATAACTACAAAGTCACTAGGCAATGGGGATTTTTCGGCTCCATTATAATCTTATGAGCTCCATTATAATCTATGAGACCACTGTCATATATGTGGTCCCTCATTGACCAAAACATTGTTATGGAGCACGTGACTATACTAGTGAGGCTGATCATCTTTCTTATCATTTGATTTCATTTTTCATAGTTGGCTGCTCATGTATTTTGCCTAATTTTCTACTGGGTGGTTTGTTTCGAAATATTCTGAGTACTAATTTTTTTTATTATTCTTTAAGTTCTAGGGTACATGTGCACAACGTGCAGGTTTGTTACATATGTATACATGTGCCATGTTGGTGTGCTGCACCCATTAACTCGCCATTTACCTTAGGTATATCTCCTAATGCTATCCCTCCTCCCTCCCTCCACCCCATGATAGGCCCCGGTGTGTGATGTTCCCCACCCTGTGTCCAAGTGTTCTCATTGTTCAGTTCCCACCTATGAGTGAGAACTTGTGGTGTTTGGTTTTCTGTCCTTGCCATAGTTTGCTCATTTCTGTCCTTGCAATAGTTTGCTCAGAGTGACGGTTTCCAGCTTCATCCATGTCCCAACAAAGGACATTAACTCATCCTTTTTTATGGCTGCATAGTATTCCATGGTGTATATGTGCCACATTTTCTTAATCCAGTCTATCATTGATGGACATTTGGGTTGGTTCCAAGTCTTTGCTATTGTGAATAGTGCTGCAATAAACATATGTGTGCATGTGTCTTTATAGCAGCATGATTTGTAATCCTTTGGGTATATGCCCAGTAATGGGATGGATGGGTCAAATGGTATTTCTAGTTCTAGATCCTTAAGGAATTGCCACACTGTCTTCCACAATGGTTGAACTAGTTTACAGTCCCACCAACAGTGTAAAAATGTTCCTATTTATCCACATCCTCTCCAGCACCTGTTGTTTCCTGACTTTAATGATCGCCATTCTAACTGGTGTGACATGGTATCTCATTGTGGTTTTGATTTGCATTTCTCTGATGGCCAGTGATGATGAGCATTTTTTCATGTGTCTGTTGGCTTCATAAATGTCTTCTTTTGAGAAGTGTCCATATCCTTTGCCCACTTTTTGACGGAGTTGTTTGATTTTTTTTATTATAAATTCGTTTAAGTTCTTTGTAGATTCTGGATATTAGCCCTTTGTCAAGTGGGTAGATTGTAAAAATTTTCTCCCATTCTGTATGTTGCCTGTTCACTCTGATGGTAGTTTCTTTTGCTTTGCAGAAGCTCTTTAGTTTAATTAGATCTCATTTGTCAATTTTGGCTTCTGTTGCCATTGCTTTTGGTGTTTTAGTCATGAAGTACTTGCCCATGCCTATGTCCTGAATGGTATTGCCTAGGTTTTCTTCTGGGGTTTTTATGGTTTTAGGTGTAACATTTAAGTCTTTAATCCATATTGAATTAATTTTTGTATAAGATGTAAGGAAGGGATCCAGTTTACATGTCAATTTGTTTCAGGTGTGAGATAGTGATAGGGTCATAGTGCTTATATTCAGGATGAGTGCTAGAAATGTAGTAGTTGTTAAAATGAGATAAATAGGTTCAAAATGGTAATGTTTGGGTCACAAGTTAATACTGCTATTATCCAACCTATGTGAGTAGTTGAGGAGTAGGCTAGGATTTTATGCAGTTGTGTTTGATTGAGTTCCTGCTTAACCACCCACTATAATGGACAGGATTGTGGTAAATAGGGGGATATTTGTATTTATTAACAGGAAAACTTGAAACATAATCGAGATAGGGGCTAGTTTTTGTCACGTGAGAAGAAATATATCAGATATTAGGAAAGTTCCTTGGGTTACTTCTGGGACCCAGAAGTGGAAGGGGGCTATTCCTAATTTTATTTCTAGGACCGTTATTATTAAAAAGGATGAAAATTAATTAATAGTATTATTGTTCATTGCCCAGAGAACAGGCTATTGGAAATGATGCCTATTATAAGGATTACAGTTGTGGTTGCTTGTATAAGGAAATATTTAGTGGCTGCTTCTGTAGAGTGGGGATTTTTTTAAAATTAAGATTGGGGTGAAATCTAATATGTTTATTTCTAGGCCTGTTCAGATGAGAAATCAGTGTGAGCCTAGCATTGTGATAAGAGTTCCTGTGAAAATAGTAAGATAAATAATAAGTTGAGCTAATAGGTTAATTAGTACGGGAAGGATATAACCAACATTTTTGGGGTATGGGCCCGATAGCTTATAGCTGACCTTACTTTAGAACGTGGTGTGGTAGGTCACATGGAGAATTTTGGATTCTCAGGGATAGGCTCAATTCCTATAGTTCTAGAAATAAAAGGAATTTATTATTTATCAAAGTAATTCTTTTATCAGACATAATTTCTTATGTTTAAAGTGGGATGCTGTAAATTAGAATAGGCATTGAGATATATGCAGAATGCTAGTGTTAGTGATATGAAATTTTTTCATAGGAGATGTATGAGTTGGTCGTAGCAGAATCAGGGATATGCTGTTTGAATTCATAAAAATAGAGAAGTTAAAAAGGAGGGTTTTGCTAATGAGACTTGTGGATTAGAGTTCTGGTGAATATATAGTGTGTAGTGCTCTTGGGGAAAATTGTAGTTAGGGTATTTATTATGATAATATTCATGTACTCTGCTATAAAGAAGGCAAATGAACCTGCAGCATATTTGAAGTTGAAATCTGAGACTAATTCTGACTCCCCTTCTGTTAAATCAAAAGGGGCTCGGTTAGTTTCTGCTAGTGTAGAGGTAAATCATATTATGGCTAGGGGCCATGATGATAGGAGCAGTCAGAGAAATTCTTGTGTTGTGATGAGTTTGTACAAGTTAAGTGAGCCACTTATTAGTAGAACTGATAACAGAATAATGGCTAGGGTGACCTCATATGAAATTGTCTGGGCTACAGCTCGTAATGTGCCTATTAGTGCATAATTTGAATTGGATGCTCATTCTGACCATAAAATAGAATAGACAGCTAAGCTTGATGTGGCTAATATAAATAGGCCTAAATTAGGGGATCTGGTATAGGCAGGGGGGTTCACAAAAGGAGAGGGCCAGGGTTGGAGCAATAATATAGAGGGTAATATTAGATGTTGAGGGCCATAATGGTTCTTTGGTAAAAAGTTTTATTGCATCAGCGAATGGTGGAGCAGTCCATAGGGGCCCATGATGTTATGTCCTTTGCGTAGTTGTATATAGCCTAAGATTTTTCATTCAAAGAGTGTAAGGAATGCTATAGCGATTAGAGTGGGGACAATAAGTAGGAGAAGGTTAATTATAGGTATGTTAAGAGGAGTTGAACCTCAGATTATAAAGTTTTAAGTTTTATGCAATTGCCGGGCTCTGCCATCTTAGCAAACCTTGTTCTTGGGTAGGGCCTGTAATGATTTATTAGATTGAGATAAAATCATCTATGTGGTGAAGGCACTTTATGAAATGGGCCCTATTTCTCTTGTCCTTTCGCACTAGGAGAAATGTTCAGTAGATAGAAACCGACCTGGATCACTCCAGTCTGAACTCAGATCATGTAGGACTTTAATCAAATGAACGCTTAATAGCGGCTACACCATTAGGATGTCCTGATCCAACATCAAAGTTGTAAATCCTGTTGTCGATATGGATTCTAGAATAGGATTGTGCTGTTATCCCTAAGGTAACTTATTCCATTGATTAAGTTATTGCAACAATATATGTTAGTTCGCAAAGGCTGGTGTGGTGTTAGTTTAGGTTGTTCAAAGGTTGAATTATGCTCCAAGGCTACTCCAACCAAAATTTTTAATTCAGGGATAGTAGATTATCTCCTCTAGGCTTATTTTGAGTTTTTGTTTGCGTTAATAAATTTAAGCTCCATAGGGTCTTCTCGTCTTATTTGTGTATATCTGCCTCTTCACGGATAGGTGAATTTCACTGATGAAAAGTAAGAGAGAGATGAACCCTCATGTGGCCATTCATACAAGTCCCTAATGAAAGAACAAGTGATTATGCTATCTTTACACGGTCAGGATACTGTGGCCATTGAACATATGTCACTGGGCAGGCAGTGCCTCTAATACTGGTAATGCTATAGATGATATTTTTGGTAAACAGGCGATGGAAGATTTGCTGAGTTCCTTTTACTCTTTGTAATCTTTCCTTGGACCATACCTGCATTGGATTAAGAGGATAAATAATAAGGTATTTATTAAATCATTTATTAATATTAGTCTAACTGTTAGTGGATTATTCCAGTCTGATATAAGCTTATGCAGAGGAGAATCACTTCATGTTACTTATATTAACATTATTGCTTCTGTTGAGTAATAGATTAGTCCAATGTGATATAAGGAGTTCAGTATTGTGAGTAGGATTTAGGGTGGTCAGATGTTGAGCTTGAACACTTTCGTAATTGGTGGCTGCTTTTGGGCCAACTATAGTGGTAATATTTTTTACTCGCTGTAGGAAGGTTGTTTCCTAGAGTCTAAAGAGCAGCCCCTCTTTAGACTAACAGTTAAACTTACAGGGAGATTAAGTAATTCTCTGAGTAAGTTTAAAGTTGAACTAAGATTCTATCTTTGATAATCAGCTATCACCAGGCTTGGTAGGCTTACCACCGCTGCTCACGAATATTCCTCCCGTTTTGCCACATAGGTGGGTGTGCTCTTTCAGCTGTTCTTGGGTAGCTCGTCTGGTTTCGGGGGACTTGGCTTTGGTTCTCTAAGTAAAGGTATTTCTAGTTAATACATTATGCAGAAGGTATAAGGGTTTATCTTTGCTTTTTTGTGCTTGATTTAGTTCTTTCCTCTTTCCCTTATGGTACTAAGTCTATTGCGCCAGGGTAAAATTTCTATCGCCTATACTTTTGTTTGGGTAAATATTTAGTTAAGATAATTTGTTAGTAGTTTTAGAGAGATTTGGGGTTAGAGTTGGCTCAAAGTGATCGAGTTGTGATGAAATCTTCGGGGTGTAAGCTGGATGCTTTGAGTTAAGCTACGCTTTGATTTATCCAAGCGCACTTTCCAGTACACTTACCATGCATGTTGCGACTTATCTCCTCTATATATGGATAGAGAGCGTTAGTAATATTAGTTTCTAGAATAATATTTGAGGAGGGTGACAGGGTTGTGTCTGTGTGCTTCATGGCCTTATTCAACCAAGCACTCTGCTCTTTGTTTACTGCTAAATCCTCCTTAAGCCTTTAGATTGCATAAGGGTTGTTGTGAGATTTTTCGGGTATAGAAAATGTAGCCCATTTCTTGCCACCTCGTAGGCTACACCTTGACCTAAAATTTTTATGAATATACTTGTGCTTACTCTGCAACCTTTCTAGGGTTTGCTGACGATGGTGGTATATGGGCTGTGGGGCAAGAGGTGGTGAGGTGTATCGGGGTTTACGGATTATAGAACAGGCCCCTCTAGAGGGATATAAAGCACCGCCAAGTCCTTTTAATTTTAAGTTCTTGCTTGTAGTATTCCGGCAAATAATTTTGTTAATTTAACTATTATAGTTTAGGGCTAAGCATGATGGGATATCTAATCTCAGTTTGGGTCTTAGCTGTTGTGTCTTCAGAATATTAAAGCCACTTTCGTAATATTTTATTTCAGCTGGAGTTTTTTACAACTTAGATGGAGTTTAGCTTTATTGAAAATAGATCTTAAACACTCTTTACGCCGAAATCTATTAGCTTGGGTTAATCGTATGATCACGGTGGCTGGCACGAAATTGACCAACCCTAAATATTAGTATAGCTTAGTTAAATGTTTGTTTATTGCTAAAGATTTATCACTGCTGTTTCCTGTGGGGGTGTGGTTGAACAAAGTGTTCTGAGTTGCATTTGTGCATGCTAGATATTTGCATTTGTGTGTGCTTGATACTTTTGATTCAGGTGATCTAGAGGGCATTTTCACTGGGATGAGGATGCTTGCATGTGTAATCTTACTTAGAGTTAATAGAAAAGCCAAGACGAAACTGATTTGTTTATGGGGTTGTGCAGACCCATCTAGACATTTTCAGTGTCTTGCTTTGAATAATTAAGCTACATTAACTGCATAAATAGTTGAGTATAAAATTTAAGTATAATGGGAAAGAGATAAATGTAAGTAGTCATTTGCAATTACGGTAATTCAAGGGAATTTAAAGTTGAATTGGTAGAAACTTAATTGAAGGGGGTTTCTTATATTAGGGAATAGTTGATTTAGAGTGTCATGCACTAGGGTAGTGCTTTCAAAGGGTTATATTCAAGGCATTATACTAGTATTAGGGTGAAAATCTAGTTACTGTATTTATTAGATATGGAGGCTTATTTGGTAGATATCTTGAGATTTTTGGGAAAATTTTATATCAATCAAGGGGTAGTTGTTGGGATATTCATGATTAAAATATAACTTTTTTGGGCTCTGACTGGGTTGCATTTTAGTCTCTTGGGGTTTTCACAAGTGCATATTTACCTATGTCCATGATAAAGTCAGAGATGTTGGGGGGGGTTGTGAGTTAAATCATAAATAGTTCTTGAAAATAAGGGTAGGTGATTGTGCATATGTGTCTATTGATTATTATGTCCTTCAAGCATGAATTAACATCTTATGGTTGTTATGCGAGGTTAGAATATTCAATATAAGCTCAGCTTCTACAATTGATTTGGCAGAAATCCAATCCGAGTTCGTCTACAGCTGATTCAGAGGGGACCAGGCCTTCTGCAATGGTGAGTGATAGCATTCCTAAAAGTTAAAAATACCAAATTCATGATCATGCTCCCATGACTGGTTAATAGAGTGATAGTCTCTAGTCCATTGATATGCCTTATTTAAAGGGAAAGTGTGGGTGATCTTAACTGTATGGCCTTGAGGTAAGAACCAGATGCCAGGTATAGTTTCAGTATAGTAACCCCCAAGTGTTATGAGCCTGGAGCGAGGAAGGTAGTACTCCCAAGTGGGATGATAATTTCTCGAAGGTTGATAGATTAAGAGAACAAAAATTGGTGGGGGATATCCATGTTGGCAGGGATTTTTTTGACTGAATGTACTATGTATGGTGAATGATGTTATGTACTATGTAATATCAAGGATCTTTAGTATTGACTAAAAGAACGAGAAAAGAAGTAGGCAGCCATTCTTCTACCGAATAGTCAGTGCTTCTAGATGGGAGCAGAGCACTGCCCCGAGCCAAGCTTCACAGTCCTTCAGAAAAGGGTACGTCTGGAAAATATAGCAGACATCTGGGACAGTTTTCAAGAAAGGGAAGGGCTGCTGAAGCACTGAGAAGCCTGGTGCTGTCCTGTTGTATATGCTGAAGGTTATGCCACAACATTGGGCCAGATTCAGGGGTGGCAGGCAGGTATGGATTACAGGAGCCCTGAGATTTTTATGTAGTTCTTTGTTTCATTATCTAAAGAAATACATTGAAATAAGAGAGAATAATCATAATGGATTCTAGCACAGACCCAGTAGCATATGTGAAGGCGAAAAGGATCAGGAGTTATAAACCTAGAAAGTGTAATAAAAAGGCATCAAATTGACAGAAAATGAGAACAAAGAAAACATTGCACATCCTATCTGCTAAACAGCTCTAGAACTACAGCATTTTCTAATTCAGCATTAGTAAACAGAAAAGAAAAAATGAAGAGCCCCATGGACTGTTTTTTTTTTTTTTTTTAAATTACATAAAACAAAGAAATGAGAACACCATTCTGTAGACTTACAGGAATGTTGCCAAAAGATAACTTTTGAAAACTGGTTGGTATTATGAATAGGAAAAAGGAAACAAATAGTAGAAACCTCAGCAGAAAACTCTGAGAAGAAAATACACACCACAGGAGAATAAACAACTGAGTTTTAAAAAAGTTTTAAAGCTGAGTAAGATAAGGAAGGACTCTATATGCACTGAATTAAAATTCATCCCTGAGGTGCTTGCACGTGTGCACACACATGCTCACATATGCATACACAAGAAAGAAATTGAGTATACAGGGGAAAAAGTAAGTCAGTAATGCATGCCAGAACCTTGAAAATTTATTCAAGAATAAATGGGAGTGGTGAGGAAAAAAATTAAGATGATATAGATTATAAAGGAAAAAAAATGACCTAACCTAAGAATTGTAGGTGTTTGTGTATATTTAAGGAAAATTTGGACAGAAGTAATGAAGAGCATCTTAAGGAAAATAGATCTCAGCTGAAAGTATATTCTGGTGGGTAGACAAAATTAATAAAAAAAGATTTGTGCATTTTTGTCAAAATATTTTAATTATAACTAGTTGTTTTGTTTTAAGCCTGAGGAAAAATGATACAAAAAAATAAAGATACACTTGGCCTCAGACTTATCCCTGACAACATTGAATGTCTGAAAGCAGTGGGCCAAGTTCAACCTAATTTTGGAGGAAAAGGTTATAGCTTTAGAAATGTGCATCCAACTGAGCTGACATTTCTATTTGAAGGCCTTAGAGAAATATTTGTATATATGTGAAAACTTAGCAAATATACTGCAGGTAAAGTCTTTTGATAAGTACTCTTTATGAAATCTACTCATAAAATAAGAATTTAGTCAAAATAAAAAAAATCAAGAATGGAGAAATCATGCAGTAAAGAGCTATAAGTTGTAAAAAATAAATACTAAATGTAAAAATAATTTAAAATTTTTCCCAAATAAGGAAAAGAAGATAAAGAATAGAAAAATAATACTTTGATTGAAATAGTTTAAAAATAAAAATACAAACTATATCAACAAAGGCCATGGAGGTGAGTTAAATTAGGGAATTTAAGAATGTTAAAGTTCTCATTTTAAGGGGTGGAAATACTTATTTTTAAATTCTGGATCCTGTTACTAGAATACTTTTTAAGTTGAAAGTACTTACCAGCAGAAAAAATAACTATCAAATCAAAAGAGAAAAATAAAACCAAACAATATAGCATCTATATAGTATAAACAAACAAACTGAATAAAAATAATAAATGCACAAGGAAGATATAAAACCAAATATTTTAATATTATATTTTAAAAGCAGGATAGAAAAATTAAAGCATGACCCTAAAACAAAGAAAGAAAATACTCTGAAGTGTTAACTCTCTCTCTAGTTTTCTAATATAGTGGTAATTTTTCTCTCTTCTTTATGTATATTTTCTAAGTTTTCAAAAATGACAATTTTTACAATAAAAATACAGGTTATGATAAAATAATGTAACAGTAACATTGGCTTCCTGTAATGTCACTTTGGATTAAAAAAAAGAGATGCAAATTAGGGAAGATATGATGATCTTATAATAAGGAATACAAAATTAGGTATTAGCTACCATTATGTATAAGGGTAATGTTTTCTGAACTTCAAAGCCACAGAACATAAACATTAAATCCTAGGAAAGAAATGCTATCTTCACAATTAATGGCATATCAAAGTCAGTGTGTGAGAATGTGAGTGTGTGTGTGTGTGTGTGTGTGTGTGTGTAGTTGTGTGTTTAAATAAATTTCCACAGCCATAACTGACAATTGTAGATTGTAACATTTACATATATGTGAAAGCTCAGCAAACACACTGCAGATATAGGCTTTTGATAAGTACTTTTAGTGAAATCTATTCATAAAATAATTTGCTCAAAGTAAAAAAAAATAAGAATGGATAAATCGTACAGTAAAAAGAGCAATAAGTTGTAAAAAGAGAAAAACTAAAGGTAAAAGTTATTCTAGGTATAAATCTCACTGTCCAGTTATTTCTTACCTAAATTTTACATTATCTGTTCAGACATGTTAAGTCAATCTAAACTTATATTCCATATATATATAATTCCATATATAAAAATATATATATTCCATATATAAAAATATATATATTCCATATATAAAAATATATATATTCCACATATATAAATATGTATATATTCCATATATAAAAATATATATTCCATATATAAAAATATATATTCCATATATAAATATATACCATATATATAAATATATATATTCCATATATAAATATATATATTCCATATATATAAATATATATATTCCATATATAAATATATATATTCCATATATATAAATATATATATAAATATATATATTCCATATATATAAATATATATATAAATATATATATTCATATATAAATATATATATATTCCATATATAAAAATATATATATATTCCATATATAAAAATATATATATATTCCATATATATAAATATATATATATTCCATATATATAAATATATATATATTCCATATATATAAATATATATATATTCCATATATATAAATATATATATATTCCATATATATAAATATATATATATTCCATATATAATATATGTATTATGTATCTCCATAGAAAACTTTATTATTCAAACTCCTAAAGGTATTCTTTAGTATATTTCACAGTTTATTCTGTGTGTGAAAGAAGTATTTTCTCACTTATAAATGACTAGATTCCTGATCCAAGTAAGATGTGTATGGTTTCACTATCAAAGGCTAGAAGAGTCATATCATTGGCTCTCCAGGCCACTATTGCATAAGCAAGCTGGAAATCAAATTGAACCAGGAGGCGCATAATTTATGTATTAAAACTGCAGAAGAAACCACAGCTGAAAAATTATCTTGGAGTGAACAAATGACTGAAGTATCAGAATTGCATTGCTTTAGTTCAACAATATCTTACAAACCCCATTCTAAAGGGACAGATTATCCATCAGAGAAAATGAATACATTCTAAGCATAGAATTTATCAAATAGTCCATCTTTAGTACCAATTTTTCTTTTGATTCTTGATCACTTTGAGTACAAAAAAAGATGGGATTCACTAGAAACTATTTTTCAGAATAAATTGCAGCCACATAAGTATAACGTCTGCTAGAGAAAAGCCAAACCAAAAAATCCATTTCATCTATTTTTCTTTCTATACACTAGATACTTGCATAGCACTGTATGAAGAAAACATTGTTGGGCCTTTGGATATGATAACATCAGAAACAAAATGTCTTTCTGAATAAAACTGCTTCCCTATATTTTTTAATTGTCTTTGTCTTTTTCGGGACTTATCTTTCTAGATGTGTTAAGCTAGCAATAGATGTGGTAGCAGAATTGAAAAATAAACCATTTTTTGGCTCTTTTTCCTCAGATTCAAAATACATGGGGGAAATTTTTGTGCCAGATCGCCCTAAAAACTTCATAAGGAGTGCTTGAGTCTCTCCCTTTCTTGCAAGTTGCAATTAAAGCGTCATATTTAACTAATGATTAATAACTCTTAGTATACATTAAATTTTAGTGTATCTAGTATTGAGAAAAGTCATCGTTAAAGAAACTGATGAAAACTGGAATGGAGTGTAAGATAAAACTGCTTTTAAAAAGTAGTTAGCTATATTTTGCTTAGCTCACAGAATTCTTATTCTCTTATATTTTAATCTTTTAAATCAAACTACATGAAGTTTAATCTGTATACAATATTAGTATTCTCAGAGGAATAAGATTTTGTATCCAAAGGATGTGTTTGAAGATATAGCAATGAGGGAGAATAAAGAAAAATCAGCAATATTTTTTCAATTTCTTTCATCACATATACTAGTTTTCTGAGATTTGGAAATTGTAGGCATTTTGTATATTGCAGTACATTTATAATAGCCATAACATGTATTTAGGATTGAACTTTCTTCATACCTCAGCCATCATAAAAATGGAAAGTAACATTCTTAGAAGAAAAGCGCAGGCTTGAAATTCAAAAACTAACAAAATAAGCAAATGATAAAACACAAAACAAAATAAAACCAATCACTGATACTGAAATGGACACAGATAAAACACATTTACATAAACAAATGACTTATTTTATACAAAATTGTAAAAGTTTCCAAATGAAACTTTTCCCCTTAGTCATAGCTTTTGACTGTTTACTACATAGGCACTACATGAATACCAAACTTCTATAACTCATTCATCGTCGACACTAAAGAATTAAAATCAAAACTTGGGGATACCATGATTTTTTTGAGCAGGGGCCTTTGTGGTGGTGGTTGTTGTTCCAGCTGAGAGTAATCTAATAACAGGGGACAGAAAGTGCCTCTAGATCAGTAGTTCTGATCAGGGACAATTTTGTTCCCCAGAAGACATTTGGCAATGTTTATAGACATTTGTTTGTGTCAACTTTAGGTAGTAGTACTGGCGTTACTGAAATGGATAGAAGGAAATGATGGTTCTAAATATCCTTCCCCATAAAGGAAAACAAATAATTACTTGATAAAATGCCAAAAAGTTGAAACTCATTGCTCTAGATAAGAAGGCATTTGGGTAGAGAAGCAAGTTCATCAAGAAACATTAATATTTATAAAATATCTCCCATCAAAGCTTGAAGCAATAGTTTAGAAAGCATTTTTTGATGGCATTTATAAAGAATTGTGACTTTGAAAGAGAATTATAAACTTGAATTTCTAGCATTTATAAAAATTTTTGCAATAGAAAATTGGAATAGAACACAATAGAGCTATGGAAACAGATTAAATTAACTTTAAGTAGTTGAAAATATATATTTATCATCTAAAGTAGCTGCAGGGCCCCAGGGTTAAAAAAAACACATTCTAAGCTTTGTTGACTATTGTTTTCACTAGGGCCCTAGTGAGAGTAGGTCATCAATGTCAGGTCCCAACTGGCAGTAGGTTGCATATCATATATTATTTGCTAGATATTTATACTAATGTTAACTGTATTAATATCACACCACTCTGTGGGTTCTTTGAAATATTTTCAGTTGCATTTACACAGCTCTGACATCAGAAGGCCCCTTCAAATAATATAACTCAATGTTAAGTAAATCAGACGCACCTATATTTTCCATCTCTAGTCTGATGCTAAAAGTAGGTATAGCAAATAACCATTCTAACAAAATAATGTGGAAATAGCGTCTAATGGAAATCTGATTTTCCATAAAGTACAGTTTTGGGGAATAGAAAGGGACAGGAAGAGCTTTGGCTTGTTTAGCATGGTTGTCATGCTACTGTGTATAGAACCTTTCTTTCTATTGCAATATGGAGACTCTGACAGGCACAGGAAGGCAGGGAAAAGGATAAAGTAAGGGGAGTGTTTCTACTCCATGAAGACAGAAAATGCCTTCTCTACTGTGCATTGAAAGATGATACAATGAAATCAGTTTTCCCCTGGAGTGTATTATGTTCTAAGGATATAAAAATGCCGTGTTTACTAAAACAGTTCTCTCAGAATATTTAAGCTACATAAAGGAATTTTCTTATTTTTAAAAACTACCCAACACAAGCTCTTAAATATGTAGAATTTCATTTAAATAAGTCAGTCAACAATTTTTTATAAAGTATTTAACACTTCATTGTAGAAACATAGGCAAAATGACTATATTATAACCAAAATGAAAAATACTGTTCAATTTAAAAAATGTACTTAAACAAGAACCTGAAAAAGTTTATGATATGCATAACATTGTTCAAGCAAAATTGCACTAGTATTACATAAATCAATAGTTTATAAAGGCCTCAATATGGCAAAGTTTAGAAATAGGTAGTATGCATGCACATAGTACAACAAAAAGTCTTCTTATAAAACAGCAGTTTTTTTAATGCTTGTACAAAGGGATAAAGAGCAACCACATATTTAACATATTTCATCTGTTAGGTTAATACATTATGACAGCTAAAAGTCAGTCATGTCTATCAGAGGAACAAAAAGCCCTCCAAAACTTGTGAATAAATCTTTTGTGCCTTTAAAGATATTTGTATAAAAATGCTATCCTTTTATTTTTATATACAACTTAAATAAATCGCACTCGTTTCAACTCAAATTTGAAGATAAACAAACCAAACGTGAATGGGGTCCATGCGTTCTGTAAAACCCAGAGAAACCTGAATACCAGAGCAACTGGCACAGCATTTCGACTCTCCACTTTTGATTATGGGAAGATCATTGTTCTTCTACAACTTGGAAGGCCCTTGAATATATTTTGGATAGGGCAAATAATGGGTTGCTCATATTAAATCTTGAAAATATTTGCCAATCACTCTGTATACTAAAATGTCTGCTTTGCCCTTTGTTTTTTGACCTAGCAAAGAGGATGCGTTCACGTAATTGAAATTCTGTCACCAATTTGTGTGCTTATATATTATTCTTTAGTGTTCAGTGTAGTGTAAGGGGTTGGGTTAATCTTCCACAAAATGGATGTGACTGGGAAGAAATACCTAAGATGCAAGTACCCAATGCCCTGTTGTGCTCTAGGCTGGCTATTTATCTCGAGACTGAGGGAGAATAAAAGGTCTTATTCCATAGCAAGTGCAGTCGGCCAACTTTCGGTTATATTTTTGCTATGTTCTACCACCTAAATATAACTATTGCTTACAAGGTGTATACATTTAGTACATCACATAGAGTCCACTAAGTTTTGGAAAATGTAGTCATCTGTGTTCATGCAAATTATTAATTTTACATATTTTTAATTTTTTTCCTCAAAATTCTCATCTATTGGTTGGCAATCTAAGGCTAATTTCAAAGCAGGTGATGCTGAACTTGTGAGAGCTATATATTTTCAGCAGAGTCTGAATCGATCTTTATGGGCACAAAGAAGAGAGTTGACCATTCAATCATTTTTCCATCAATTTAAACAGAAAAATAATATGACACTGTATTACAGCCTTCAAACCGTATAATGGAAAAGTGCAGAGATTCTCCTCGTTGATTAAGTACAACCAAAAAAGTTCATATAAAATAGATTGCTCATATTCACACTACAAAGGAATACGTTGTTTTTAATTTTAACAAATTCAAAGGTGTGTCATATCAGCAGCATTGTTGTAAATTGTACTGTAGTGCAGTTCTTTTTCATAAAAATACCATACAAATGGTCAATCAATAGTCATCAGCAAAAAATAAAACCCAAAAAACTCAGAAAACAATTAACCAGGAAAAAGATAAAGAAAGAGGTAATGCTGATGCCAAAACAAGTATAATACTGTTGGAACATACAAAAGTAATCCTTATATTTTATACATTTATACAGCATATAAAAGATATCACTGATTATGCCACTGTCTCTCTTATACCAATTTCTATTTTCTTTGGAAGCAGTTCTTTCCTTTCATCAACACTTCCTAAGGAGTTTCGACAGTTTTGCCCATCCATATATAATTTTGCATATACCGGATTGGAGTAATTTGTTGGCTGAAGGAGAAAAAAAATAAATATAATTTTATTACTGGTCTTGGCCACATTAATTATTTACTTCCTAGAATGTCCATCTCCTAATCGTAACAATATTTATATGCAATACATTTAATTTATTAAATAGTAATGATTTAAAGGTTATTTACATGTTACATTTACAGACTTTACTCAACTCAAGCATGGTATTAAATGAAACATAATTTTACATTTTGCAAGTAACTTGTGAACCTAAGAGGAGCTTTGCCATATACAAAAAGCCAGAAAAAAATCTTTGTAAAAGCTATGTTCACTGAGACTTTATTATAAAAGCATAAAATGTGAAACTAAATTGTCATGTTTTCAGTTTTTGTGTTGTCCCCCTTATTGCTATTACAAGCCTATCCGTGGCAAGTAAGATGTGTTTTCAGAAAAACATTTGTTTGGTGCTTATAATTTTTCAACATGAACTTAAAAACAAGTAAACAAAAATGTAAAGAAATGCATTAGTGTATCAGATTTTTAAAGCAATATTTTTGCCTCAAACAACCTGTGTGTACTTATTAGAAATATTTTTGGACTTTTTCAAAGAATTGTGATGTACACAGTCATCTTAAGTTTCACAAACATAGCATTTTGAAGTAGAATTAGAGGCATGCAGCAGCTGACCTCTTTGAGTTGGAAAACATATACATACAATGTTCACTATTTAACAAATTGCAGTTTATCCCAAGAAAATTTTGCCTAGTGTTTGTTTTCCTTATTTTTTGTTTCGTCTTTCCAAAAACAGTACATTAAATCTTAGTTACAACAAGGAAACATTATAATCTTTGAGCCATGCAATTGAGACAAACATGATAGAAAATGAGGATGAAAACAGTTGATGGGAAAGACGATAAGGGAGAGAATTCTCATCCCTAGGAATCTTGATAATGCATATTTTTATTCCTCTTCTGCTTAAAATGAACTATGTAACTTTAGACAGAACAGCTTTCTCTAAACACCAGTTACTTAATTGAAACATGTTTTTGAGAGTGGTTTTGTTAGACCGTCTGTAATTTCTCAATATGATGACACATTTTAAAGTATAGTCTATTTAACTGCACGTCAAATTTGTATATATTAAATAAACCACTATGAGAGGAAATGAATAAAATCAAAAGTTTATTCAGTTTTAATTTCTGGCTAGAGCTTCTTTGCTAAGAATAACAAATACTCATGTTCACTGTAAAGGGACAATAACATTTCCAAATCCAGTAGAAGAGATATTTCTACTTAATGGCTTGCCTAAAATAATGTTTTAGATGTAATCTTGCATAGACAGGACACATAACATAAGCCCCCAATTTAAATGCTATTTTGAAATCTCTTGTTAATTAAAAACTTAATTAAAAACAAGCCTCTAAGTCTAGTAATTAGTCTTTGATTGTGAGGGTTCTGTGATGAAACGGACATGAAATAACGAATATTCTTCTCTCACCCCAGCAGTTAGTGGTCCTTTCAAATCAGAGTTTAGGTAGATGGGCGGCGCTGTGTGTGGAAGCTTGAAAGCACTGGGTCCTCCCCCTATGTACCTGGCCTGTATATAAACAGAAAATTTTAGTTTCTGATCTAATATTATAGAATCACTTTTCATCGATACATATCATGTTAATTCATAAAAATAACATAAAAATACCCTTTAGCCTTACACCATTTACAGTGTGTTCATGTTAGCTTTAACAACTTAAAACAACTTAAAATATCCAATATTAATATTATTAAAGATCCAATATTAATATTGGATCTTTGCTTCATAGGTAGACATTTCTCTCACAAAAGTCTTATTCAGAAAATATAAAGAATAGTCCAAGTAAGAATTGGCATGAATTTGAAGATAAAACTAGTACATATTTATCTCTTTTAAACTCTTCAAACTGTTCTGTGGTTACCCCCATAGTCAAATCAATTTTATTAACTGCATTAAGTACTTTCAATCCTTTTGATTATAAGATACCATTGAACTAGAAATTTTACCCTCTTTGAGAATAACAGAAATGAGTGTTCTACAAAATTTTTCTTCACATGTAATGTAATTTATACTGATTGCACCATGCATATATCAAACGCTTGTAACAAAGTGAATGCTCTATAAAATTCATATGATTATTAAGGTTGCTTCAATATGGCCCTTTGTTTCTCACTACTGTCTAAACCTATTAGAACTAGCTGTTTTTTTCTGTAGTTACTCATTTGACAACAATTCACATTTATATTCAAATATCAGGATCCAGATAGAATCAGTCATCTAAGTCATATTTGATGCAATTTTGGTTATTCAGTCATCCAATTGGTAAATATTTGAGTATTATGTTCTAAGTACATTAAAATATATTTGGGGGCACTGAAACATAGTTTTATCTTCCTAGAGTAAATGTGAAAATTTTTGAATGTGTAAAAAGCTATTCTCTTTAAGTGTACAAAATTGGATTAATTCTATCACTAGAAATAAAAATGATGAGGAAAAAATAACCCTCCTTCATATGAAAAATGTGTAAAGTATATCGTCATTAGTCTGTTATATGTATGAATACTATATTTTTATTCCTAAGAAAAATGCAAAGAATTTCAGAACTCTATTATTTGTCTTTCTCCTTCATAGATATAATAGATTATCAATAGCAATGTGTAAAATATGTATCATGTCTCCACTTCTGTGATATTTTAAAGCAGAAAATATCAAATGTAAGGTTACCAAGACTTTTTCCTTGAAAAATTTCAGATGTAGGAGTGAATTTTAATAACTATAAAATTATGTCTAATTAGAAAAATATAATATTCTCTGATAGTACACAATGTATCCATGTGAAAAGATTGATTTTCATAGAAGTGAATAGTTGAGCATCAATTTTAGGCTTAGAAAGCCTAATCATGGGTTCAGAACTAGACTGAATATGTGGGATCCTATTCAGATTCTTCAGGAACACCAATGACTGTGATTGCAAAATAATTTGAATGTAGATTGGCCACATTGGATATTTACAATGTAAAAGTGCATTTTGATGAAGTAACTTTTGTAAGTCAGAAAAATAAATAACTATTCAATAAATAAGTGAATAAACCAAGAAAAATTGTTTCATAATACTAAATTGATACTCTTAATTTAGAGAAAAAATATTCTAAAATTATCAGAAAGAATATTCAGATAATTCACTGAAGTAAATCTTCACAACTTTAACTGGATAATTGTATCATTTAGCTATTTCCCTTAAAAGTTGCCAACCTCAGCTTATAGTAATAAAAACTAACAAATATTTTTAAATTTAAAAGGCTGTGGATTGTCAGGCTATATGTATCAATGAAATGTTTTAAACTAGTAAGGATATTATGACAGATAGAAAAATATTTCTCAAAAGTGATTTAATTACAAAGAAGTCCAAGGACACAGCTTATCTGGCTCATCATTTAAACATTATTGGAAACAACATACTTATTTTGATAATAAAGTACTGTACTCTTTTATATTTAAAAAATACACTGACCAAGATTTTTACACTAAGCTGTGTATCTAGATTTGCTAATACCTCAACACATTTGATTAGAGCATTATTTTACATGAATTATACATATTTATGAGATACTGTGTTTTGTTATGTTTTTATACATGTATACATTGCAGAAAAAATCAAAGTATTTAGCATATCTATCACCTCATACATAGTTATTTTTTTGTGGCGAGAACATTAAAAATCCTTTTCTAGCTATTTTTAAATATACAATACAATATTGTTAACCACCATCACCTAACTGTGCAACAGAACACCAAAACCCATTCCTCTTATCTGACTGTGACTTTGTACCCATTGAACAACACCTATTTTCCTTCCTCCTCCCCTCTCCACCCTCTAGTAACCACTATTCTACTCTCTACTTCAATATTAACTTCTATAGATTCACATGTGAGTGAGATCATGTGGTATTTGTCATTCTGTGCCTGGATTATTTCATATATGACAATATCATCCAGCTTTATCCATGTTGCCTCAAATGACAGGATTTCCTTCTTTTTTATGGCTGAATAGCATTTTCTTTATTCATTGTTGATGCACACTTAGGTTGATTCTATATCTTGGCTATTGTGAATAATGCTGTAAAAATCATGGAAGTACAGATATCTCTTCAATGTACTGATTTCCTACTTATTATGTATCAATTAAAACAAAAAACATTAAAAGAAGGATTCCATGTCTGAAGTGATGAAAACAAAACTATCTTGTAAGTATCCAGTTCCTACCAAACCAAAACCCCATAGAACCACACTGTAAGGAATACTGGGAGGAAGTGGGTAGAAAAGAAAATGTCTCACCAAACTACTTTTCAGCCATATTTCTAGAAGCTGTGCATGTATTGGTCTTCTCCTTGCATATATTTCAACATTGAAAGTCAGTAGCTTTACTTTATAATAGACCTTTATCTATCTATATATCTATCTATCCCCTGAAGAAGACCTAAACAATTTGCTGTGTGATATCAATACTAAAACAATTTTTAAATGAGTTTTTCGTTTGCTTTATGTAAACAAAATTAGATAATGAATCATTTTTCAATAAAAAACATATAAAAACATGTTTATAAAAGAACTGAGCAAATAAATATGTGTTTTCTAAGATGTGTTACACTCAGCTTCAGGTGAATGCAGTCCATAATTGTACTTTCTCTTTAGAAGAGGCTATATCATTCAATACATCCTAAAGTCCCTTATTCTAACTTCAGATAACAGAAAAACTTGGTGAAATTCAGAACCATAAAACAGAGATGCGACTCAAGAATGTTAGTGCTCACTGCCCATTATCTTAAGACATACTACCTTTGTTGGGTCTATCATAAAGCCAGGATCTAAAAGACCTCCATCGTTGTGATCATGATCTACCTCATACATGTTATAAGATGGATTGCCAATTTCTACATTTATTCCTCCATTGATAATAGGTTGTCTTCTAATTGTTTTTGTCCTAGAATATATAAACATTAATATGTGTGAGTTTTGTATAAATATCACAATCAAGGCATATGAAATTATATTTATAGATTTACTGACTTATTTTGAAATAAATTGAATAAATGACATTTGTCAAGTAACAGAGGAACAAAAAGTAGTACATTGATAGGCTGTTTTCCCAGTTGTTTTGACTTAATAAAAACACACTGGAAATAAATACCTCCTAAATAGCCGAAATGACATCATTTGAAATTGAATATTTACCAATCTTTTTAAATTCTATTTTTTCTCCTTTCTGAAAACTATCACAACAAAATAGTGATAAACTCTAAGATTGTTTTCAATCCCCAAGTTACATGGTTAGAATCCTGTTTTACATAAGTCAAATACTGACTCAAAAGCTCTTGGTTTTTAAGCTTATTTTGTACAAGTGCAAGTTTGTTACGTGGTTATATTGCATAGTGTTGAAGCCTGGGCTTTTAGTATGTCCATCACCCAAATAATGTACGCTGTACCCATTAGGTAATTTCTCATCAACCACCCCACTTTCATTTCCCGCCCTTCTAAATCTCCAATAGTTATCACCCTACACTCTATGTCAGTAATAATGGACATTATTTCACGTCCATTTGTAAGTGAGCACACATGGCTCTTGTCTTTCTGTAGACAACCTAGTCTTCTAGATCTATAAGTTCATTTTCATATAAATTGAAATGATACTTCTAATGAGGTATAAGTGAATCAATGCACTATTTGTGAAAGAAATGTACAAATTGGAGATGTATATATGCATATCAGTATCACTGTATTGACATTACTAATCATACACATTAATATAAAAAGATGCTCCTCAGAGACCCTTGCTGTTTCAAGGAAAGATAACTGCAAATGTAAAATCCTACTTAACTTTTGAATAATATGATCTCTTGTCAGTTTTGCTAGAATATATACATGGACCATTCCCTTAACATAACATGGGAGAAGACTTGTCTAAATTATAATCACTTAAAAGAGAGGTATAAAATGATTTGAAAAACATTGTATTTTACAGTTGGCATAACTAAATCATGTTTAAAAAAATTAACAACAAACATTATGTTTCTGCACCTAGTTGTGTGATTTATTCACTGACTGCTAATCTAGAACATTGCATCTTACCTTCTTTTTCTTTTACAAAGCACTAAACCAATTACTAAGGTGGTTATCAAAGTCACCAAGAGGACGAGAGGCACAATGATGGCAATGCTTCCTGGAAAATAAATGAGTGAATAGATGAAGAAATAAATAAAATGAAGTAAAAATTGATAAAACTAAGTACTTTATTATACCAAATCACTTGACCATTGATATAATAAAAGCTTAGCCCAAATGTTTATATTTCGGGTTCATAATTATGTTATTGGAAAATCATTCTTCTCTTAAACACTTGATCTGATGGAAATGTTTCCTTAGATATCTTTCATTTATGTGTTGCATTTAAATACCTTGAGATTAGAGATCTGACTTTTTTGTTGATCTGTGTTTAGTGATTCCCATCACACACATTTACTAGCAATGATGCAAGTACCTGCTAGTACCTCTTTTTAAATCAACTAAGACTGAATAAACATTTACACAGTTTCACTGACCACATTCCCACCCTTAGTTTTGTTCCTTTAGTCATCCATACTTTCTGGTCAGGGGTCCATGTGACAAGTTAGGTGGCAGCCTGGTGAAACAAAAGGGGTATCAGTGTTTGATTTGGATGGAATCTTGGTGTAAATATTGGTTTCACAACTTACTTGAAGTGAGACCTTATGTAGGTTATTTAAATGCTTTGAGGCTCATGCTCTTCAACTGTAAAACACAGAGAAGAAGACTTACCACAAAGGGCAGTTAGCTTGATTCCACAGAATTAGGGGGTGAAGAGGTTCTCTTTCTCATGTTCTAGTTTCTGAACAGTTTTAGCAAGACATATTTTAGGAGTTTGGCTTATGTGGCAAATGTCAATTATTTTCCTTTCTTCCATATATGAGAAAGGTCTTGGGTACTAGCACTAACAGAATAGATCTTCAAAAATGATCAGTGAAATTTGGTCTTTGTTTTTATGCATCTGAGCACAGGGAGGAGGCAAAATGGAGGAGACTTGGTTTTCTATGTATATACTAGATTAGCAATAGGGTAATCGATATTTTTAGTCAGTGAGTAGGCAGACAATAATAGCCCATTGCTAATAATGTGACCCACAGGAGAATACACCCAAATATCACTTATTATAAGAAGAAAACTGAATACAGGGTTGCCTGATAACAGGAAAGTATGACATAGCTAATATTAACTTTTCTTACTGAAAAATATCTAGTACACATGAAACAAAGGCTTTTATCTACTTTGAATAAACCTCTGGTTGACAAGTCAACTTAATCACTGGTTAACCTAAGAAACCAAGCAGCCCAACAACTAGTTAAAATTGAACATGGAGATCTTGAATGGATTAAGAATAGAACATTAAAAATTCTGAAAGTCTATGAATTTTTCAGGCAAATACATGTGCATGTGAAAGTATCAAGGTAGAAATTAATGGTGATATGCACAATAACCAGCCACTTAGAACTGTATTATAAATATATAGATATGTTTTAAGGGCTTTATAGCCAGAGGATATCTGGGTGAGATAATCCATACTGGACCACTTGCCAAATACCAAAAAGGCTTCATTAAGAAAATTTCATGTATAAGATAAATCTCTAATTTAGAACTTCGAGAAATAACTCGTGTAAAATAACCAACCATCTCTTCTATCCACTTCTTCAGACACTTTCTAAAATGTAAAAGTCATTTTGTTTTTTCATGTAGTTATGAGAACTTATGGTGTTTGATATTACTATATTACCTCCTTTGTTTTGGGAAAGTGAACTTTATATGCATCTGTAATTTATTAGCAGCTGTAATTTATTAGCAATTAATGAAAGAGAATCTGGCAGCTTGGATGGTAATTAACACTTGTTCACAAGTTTTAAATACCAGAGAACAGCTTGGTTTCTTCAAAAACTATGACTTCAACTGCTTGATCATGATTTTACAAATATATCTACTTCATTTTCCTCTAAAATTTGTATAAAATTGGTGGGTGTAAAATACCTATCAATATAGTTTTAGGGTATATAAAATTTATTTTCTCTCAATGCAATTATAAATCATTTTTTAAAAATAGATTTTACTTGTTCTACAGTTTGACATTCCTATGAGGTAGGAAGCTGTTAATTAAGTATGCTAGAAAATAAAAGGTTTCTTTTTTTCCCTTCATAGATGGCAGTTGCAATCCCATATATTACAGCATTTTGTGTTTAAGAGCCTAGACTTCTGATATGTTTATGTAACCAATCAAAGTAACTACTATAAAACCTAGTGTCACTGATAAATAATGCAGGGTAGAAGATTAGCAAGTTTTTTTAAAATTTTATAAAATAGTTTTTATTGCTGGAAACACAGGTATTTTTAAAATTAACAGATATTATAAAAATAAGTACTTTTTCCCTAGTATTATATATGACAGTAAATTTCATACTGTAAATACAATGATCAATCCCTATTGCAGGTCATGTTTTAACAGTACATTGTTAATAGAGTATTAGAAACTGAAAAACATAGACTCTGTACTTATTAAGGGTGGAGGGGATATCTCAACAAGTTTCTCATAAAAAAAATAGAGCAAGTCTTTTTTTGCAACATGGTTCTGAAACCTCATCATGCAACATTTTTCCATTAGAAGAAAGAACTATAAGTGCTGTGTTGAAGAGCCCCTTTCCATAGGAGAGCTAGTACAGCATAGCAGTTGAGATAATGGAGCCAGGCTACCTCTATTCAAATCTGTTTTACTATTCATTACCAACATATGCTCAGGCACATTAATTATATTTGTCTCAATTTACTCATCTATAATATGGGTATCATCATTAATAGTTATCATACAGTATTATAGATAGGATTATGCCAATCAGAAAATACTACATACATGCTTAATGAACAAAACACATGTTCTCATAGCACTCTGTACAAGCTTCTATTCTGCACTTTTCACAATATAATGCATCAGTTTGTTTTTGAGATATTTGAGGGCACAATCTGTTTCTCCTTGTTCTGCAAATAGTGCAGTCCTTAGGATGTCATAGGGTCTATAAATTCAATTCTTATTTAGCAAATATATCTTAAGTGCTTGCTGTGCTCCAGACCCTGAAAATATACTCTATTTTGCACTGAGGATAAAATGACCCTTCTCTTATATTGCTTGATGTATAACAGAATAACAAATAAATGGGTTCATTCACTATAGTAGCATGAATGCTGTATTAGGAAAGTTTGCATTGTTCTGGGAATATAAAGGAGGTGCCTCCAACTAGATCTGGGGTGGAAGGAGACTAGTTTGTCTCTGAGGCTTAAGGAGCAAATCCTCTGTTGTCAGTGAAGAGACTTTAAAGGCCAAGAGGATTACGATTAAGGAAAAACAGTTGGGCTGGAAGGAGATGTGACTGCAGTGGAAAGCAGAGGTGAGATTATGAAGGAGTGTGTAAGCCATATAAATCAGATGGGCAATTGTACTATTTTTTTCTTTTTAAAAGGATGATGTTGAAGAAAATTTAGGAAGGAACATCTACTGAATTTATTGTTTGATTCAACTTAGGAAAGAGAGAGAAGTTTAAGGATGGAACTTAAGTGTTGTTTCCATAGCCAGGTGGATTGGCTCAAGTCTCAGCGGAAGTATCACCACTTTTCAGCCATCCATATGGATGGACAGAAAGGCAAAATAAGGTATATGAAAATGACTGTGGATAGGGGGCAGTGATGAGATCATTTGGGAACTGAGCTTGAGATCCCTGTGGAATATAGATGACACAGATACAGATATATCAAGCAAGCAGTGAAATACATGTCTCAAACTTAGGAGATAAATCAATATTGAGCATAGGAATTTTGGGGAATCAACAGAGTTGATAACTCATGTCAAGGATTATGTCCTGGCAAGGAGAGTGTATCTAGTGATAAACAGGTAAATTAATCAAGCAGAATAGAAAGAAAATAATGTCAAAAGGAAGACAGAGTTGCTTCAAAAGAGGTAGAAGAGAAACCAGAAGTGTTCACTATCATGAAGTTCAGAGGAAGAGAACATTTTATTTACTGATCAAATTTTCAATAGAACAATATTAGCATAAGTTATATAATTAAAATGACTGCCTTTGACATGTTGCTCTATACCCTGTTCTTAAGTTTGTTTATAGATATGTATAAATGTAGAGTATATATATTTGTTGAAATTAGCATCCTTTCTCTTAAGCATTTTGGTACATTGTAATGTTAAAAATTGTAAAGAAAATATGTTCCCAACTTAGTAAAGGTGATCCTTCCAGTGGTCTTCAAGAGGCTGCCTATCACCTTGGTCCTGTATCTCTAACTTCACTTTGTACCACTCTCCCCCTTGTTCTCTTGATACCAGCACACTGGTCTTCTTTCAGTCTGCTGGACATGTCTAACTCTTTCTTGCTCCACGGTTGTTGTACCTGCTGTTCTTTATTCTTGTACCTTGAGCCTCAAGTCTCAGCTGAAGTATCACCACCTCAGAGAAAACACTCCTGGCCTCACTTTTCCTGTGACATTCTCTATCTTTGCCCTTTTTATCTTTTTTGTTTTTGCTTCCTTCACGGACCAATCAAAACTCACAATTACTTTATACATTTGAATATTTCCTTTTTTATTTACTTCCTTGTTTTATTGCTGTTTACTCCATTAGAACCTCAGCTTCATGAGAAGAAGCACTGTCTGCCTTCCTCACTGACCTGCCTCTGGGATCTAGTGCAGTACTTGACACTTAGCAGAGACTTGATAAACCTTTGCTTTGGGAGAAATGGAAATAAAACATTATTTTGTTGTGTTTTTCAGTTACATCTCTATATTTGCAGATTTATAATTCCTGGTATAATATAACCAGTTTTTTTCTGTATTAAAACATAATGGATGATACAAAATGATAAAGACAAAGTAGCAAAAGAGATACAATGACCCCCTAACAGATATCTTGCCCCTATTGTCACTATAGTAAAATACAGCATCTCTACATTACTGCACCACCAATGCTGAGTATATTTTTGTCTTTCATAATTTCAGCGGATACAACAAATAACATAATTGAAACACTGATCATTCAATGCTCAATTTTATGTAAATTTTAAAATTTTATGTAAATTTAAAATAGAAGTATGCAATGAATATTTTATTATGCTGAGTTTAAAACTCTTCAAAATATCTTCAGAAGAGTCAGACTAGATTTTTAAAATGGAACCTGAGCACAAAGCCCTAGATAATAGATCTGCCTAATTCCACAAGCTGCTTTTAGATACTTTAAACATCAAAAGCCGGTGAACATCACTACCACTATTCAGAGATGATTATGAAGGCCATGTACAAATCAGAAAAGTAAATCTCTGTATAAATTGATAGTAATTAGGCAGACAGAGGCAGTGTATTCTGGACTATGCCAACAGAGGTCCACTGATGATAGAAATGCAGATTTGAAAACACATTCCTAAAGTTTCATCGTTCTTATTGGGCAGACGACTTCTGCTCAAGTTTGGGGAAGGTTTGACAATCATTCAAAACCACTAGATTTTACCCAAAATAATAAAAGTAATCCTCTTTCATGGGAAAGGTCAGTTTAACTACCTTTTCCCTTCTTTCAGAGCTACTGAGGCAAGTTTCTCGAAGCATAAATGTCTGATAATAAGCATCTAATAGAGTCATTATTTGGTCAACTTTGATCAAGTTTGTGATAATTTGACATATATGTAGCTAATAGCCCTTTCAAAATGCATTGATAGTTCTATTAAATTTCATGACTTTAAATTAGTGATGGGAGAAAGAGCTTCAGAATCATTGGAAAGGGTTACAACTATTTGCAACTCTTTCCCCTATTTGATGTTCTTTACTTTAGAACTGTTGCATGTAATTAAAACCAGTTTCTTACATTTGCCCATACAAATCGTTGGAGACCCCACTCTCTAACGGGAACACCTGGAGCATTCCAGCTCCAAACCATTTTCCAAACACCAAACTTTCCCTTTGTGGATGGAGCGTATACAAAATTTCCAAATTTCATACACAGTCTATGCTATTTCTTGTCAGAGTTTTAAAAAATTTTTTAAATTGTTTTTGATGCTCTAAAAAGGCTGTTTTCTTTATATTCGATCATTGAGAAACTACCATTAAAAAGGCTAAAATATCTTTTTAATTCCTAATTTATAAATGGAGCATGTTCTACAGCTTGATAACTTCAAATGCATTTTTTTATTAATGCTTTTAACGATTGTTGAGTTTTGCAAATAGTTTATAAAATCATATATAAATTAATATGCCTCCAGAGTTATTACTGGTAGCATTAGTTTGAGCCCTAAATCTTGGGAAGAGAGATAAAGTATTTTTTCTTTTTCTTTTGCATATCAAATTAGGCAAGACACATTTTGCCACTGTTAACCTTTTATCAACCAATTCCCCAAATCCCAGTGTCCTATTCCTACAATTATATGCTCATAGCTTCCCTATGGCCTCACCCTTCCCTGACCTAAGGAGAGCACACAAATTCTAAGATCAACTCAAAATGTTCCATAACCAAAAATCACTCACCTCACCTATCCAAATTTAAATATTCATGCCCAGACTGTCTATTCTAGACCTATTTTCCATTTTTCAAAGATGCCTAGGCTTATTAATAAACCCAAATTAATCTCTAAATTAGGAAAAATTGGACAATGATATCGAAACTGTCTGGGGGCAGAGACAACAAACAGGAATGTCAGCAGAGATGGGAAGCCTGCTTCTAGGGTACAAAAATGTTATATTTTATACTTTAATAGTCTCTCTCCTTTTTCACTAACTCTGAAACACTATGCTTTTTGCTTGTTTTTATGAAATCCTTGTCACCAGCAGTAAAGGACTAGGGAAAAATTGCTAAGGTAAGCAATCTTCCATCAAGGATGTTATTTTTTCTTTGCAAGTTTATTTACACCCAATAGACAATACAAATTTTTCAAAGGTTTTTCACTCATGGTCAAATTAATGACAACATGTGTGAACTGGCAAACTTTATTTCAGACTTTTATTTTGAAAAACTTTATAACATCATTTCAGGTTGTCAGAAACTGTACACAGACACACAACGATGATATAGACCCACAACGATGATATAGACACAAGTGACCCTAAGACTATGGCTGCACAAAAAAAAATTTGCAAAAATGTTGATCTATATTTTAATATACTTCAAAACCAATACTTTAAAGATAAAGAAGCAATAAATCAACTTATATCTTTATTAAGAATTGCTTGTTAACTTGCTTCTCTTTCAGACTAACCAATAAAGTCTGTCTTTCTCCCCCCAAGACACATTGAAATGCATTCCAAGACAATACACTTTGCTCTAATTAAAACATGGAATTATTTTTCTTCCTGGAGCATTTTCACATCCATTGTGATATCTGCGACTTTTTCAGCTGATGAATATTTCCAAAGAAAAGCTTATGCTAGGTTAGCAGATGTGCATTCTGAAAACTCCCCAAATTTGGGATAAACTCTCCCAGCCTAAAAGAAAATGTACACACTGGATCCTGTAATTAGATGAAAGCTCAGTGCTTCCTCTTTCAAAAACACCTCAATTGCAGTGGATCTCTTATAAAATTCCATGAAGAAAGTGTTCTAAGACTCATCTCACTCAATAATGACATAACAATGATTTATATACAGTGTAGATTACCCAAAATATTAATCTGAGAAACTTACTTGTGCTGATATGATCAGACTTGCTGCTCTTTGGGGCTGGCCTTTCACACTGTGTGCCTGACCAGTTGGTGGAGCATCTAAAAATATCCAAACAACAAACAAAACAGATCAGCGAATAACAAAGCCCAGAAGTCAGCTAATGTAGTAACTTTAACCAAATGAAAGGTTACAGGAGCCAGTCATCACAAATTCATAAATATTACATAGAGATTTCTGATGATCTCTTGCATATTGTTAGTATGCTGAGTGTAACTTTCATTGGACTTCCTTTGTTAAAATACTTTTTAAAATGTAGATTTATAGACATTTTACTTATTCTGTGTTAAAATTGGCACATTTTATAGCGATATTGAAATCTTGATTAAGAATTGGAAATTGATTTGAGAGTTATGGAAAATTACAAGTGGCCACTTACAAAAATTGAGTTTGCATATTAAGCAAATCCTTCTGTAAGTATCTGTGTCTTTTTCTGGTTGTTCTAAGTCCAGAGTGGAACTAACTACCAAACAGCAAATAGTCATCTGTCTTATAGTTCAAGCTGTGGAGTTTTTACTCTCCTAAGCAGAGATAACAAAATACAGAGCTTTCCCATTTTAAATCATACTTCTATTACTATGAAGTCAAGAGAATGTGCCCAAGTTTTTATTGGGAGAAGTTGTTTTTCCCATGTAAGTACTATAACACTATGATAAGAAGTAAAAGACAAGAATAATAGATCTGATTAAAAGCCATTATTTAAACATAAAGTGCAACTATGAAATTAGCTGGTTGCATAAAAATAAATGCTGGAACAGTTTTAGTTGTGTTTAAACAAGGTCTATTGGCTAACATAAGATGCCTTTGTGCATCTGTCACAGGAAATCCACAGAGAAACAATTTAATTGGCTTCAGTTCGTAGTTAAAATGACTGTCAAATACCACCATATCAAGAATAGTTGTACACAATAAAAAAACAGCTTCCAGAGCCATTCCAAGTGGAACTCTGGGCATGGTGGGCCAAACTAAATAACTGCAATTTCAGTGTCTCTGCCAATTCGGGCATAGCCAATTTTGATATCTGAGGCTGCTTCCTGAGCTAAGCTTCTACGATGCTATACGAATTATTTGTGATAGTCGTAAAATCAGTATTGGCTGTCCTAAAACATGGGCAAATTCTCATAAAATCATTATTACTGACAAAGTCAAATAATAAACATGAAAATATGTTTCAAAGAAGCATATATAGACTTGAACACAATTGGCAATAAGGACACTATTAGATAAGAGTTATTTAATTAATAAATGATAAATTTAAAACTATGAATATGGAGCATGATTTAAATGAAAATTAATATCATTATATTATGATTCAGGGCATCACTCATACATTAGCTCAACTTTTGTTACATCATAAAAAGCTAACACATTATATAATTTTCTATACATCATGTTTATTATAAACCATAATACAAGTAAATCATTAACACAGATAAATGCATAAGGCCAAGTCTACGACTCTTGTCTGTATTAATAGAGTTAGGTAATGAAATAGGGATATTTTCAAATCATTAGAATAAAGTGAACAACAAATAAAATCATTGTGTTTGTTTTTTCTTTTTAATTTGTGGTATTTGCAGATGAATGATCTAGAAAAATGTTCCAATTCTTCACATATTGTAATCATTGACACAGTCCACGGGTAGTTCAAAATAATATATTTGGGAACATTTTGCAAACATGTTCTTGGAGTGAATTCTAATGATTGTGAAATGCTTTTTGTGTTATGTAGCTTTACATCTGCCAAATTTTTCTAATTTACCCCCGAGAATATGTCATATGCTCCACTGAAAAACTAATCCTGACTGCTTAGTTATTTCATTATGTATTAATAGCTGTTGTGTACAAGTCTACATGTGTGCAATTATTTTGAATTATTGATTAAAATATCAAAATTTGCTTTATACATTATCTCATTTAAAAGAAAAAAAAAACTAAATCAGGTTCATCTTAGATAAGTGACCCAAGGCATATTTTATTGTGTTACTGAAAAAAGAACCTCTGGGACTCATTATTACACTTTCGGAAAAGATTTGAAGTCAGAAAGTGGAATTGCTTGAGAATTAGAAGATTAAATGCTACTTAATCATATTATGGTTCTGACATGAACATCATGTATTTTTAATAATTTATAAAGTAATTATATTTTGAGATCTCCAGATTAGCAGAAAGAGATTTTTAAATGAAGAAGATAAGGATAGTGGGATTCTAATTCCAAACTCTAGAATTATTTAAGTAGGACAGGTATTTGTTAATATTATGGTATAATTTCCTAATTTATCCATGGCTTAGGGTCCAGTATTTATGATAGATAAAAGAAGTCACCTGCTAGTGGTCATAATCCTCTCCTCTTTTAAATTGTGGGAGCCCATTTAAATTCATAATCTTTACAGACTATTTTACTTATTATATATTGGAAAAAACTCAAAGACTGTACTGGAGAAATAATTTTAACAGTTATACATCTTAATGTGCTGATGATCACTTTACCATTCTCCTTATACTCCTTATAAAATAATGTTTTATGGCCAAAGATAAAATATGTTCCACTGTTCTGCATTTGTCTTGGTCTTAAAACATCTCTTTTGAGTTATTAAATAGAAATCATTATTCTTGTTTGCCTACCTTACAAAATTATAACTTAAGGCATTTGCTGCTCCACAAGTTCTTCCAGTGGTTGATTTAAGACCAGGTATTTTTGTCATCTTTATAGCAATGCATAAATCTTCATACTTTAAGTAGACTACAATGATCAAAGCCATTAATGGCAGAGCATTTAAGAAATAAAATTTGTGCAGATCATCAAAATCTCCTGTCCAATTCCCCGCTGAATTATTTGCATAACCATGCTGACTATAATTTCTCTGGCATCTATCTCTTTTTTATTATTCCTCAAGCAAAATCCATATTCCATGTGCTGGTCATCTTTAATCTGTACTATTGCAATCCACTATTCTCTGCTATTCATCCGGGGACAATTATCTTCAAGTTAGCCCTGCACAACCCTGCTAGGCAATCTTTTCTTGTTTTTGTTTTGTTTTGTCTCACCGTAGCAAACAGCTCTGTATCATTCATGTTAAAATTGCAGACGTTTCCCACTGCCCTTAGTCTTAGGACCATAAAAATCAGCTTTATCTTATGTGCTGATTACTATACAACTGTAAATTATTTAACGTTTTAAACAATTCCATGAATTTTAACCAAGTATCATTGGATCAGGAACAGATGGATGGATAGACAGATAGACAGGTAGGTAGGTAGATAAACAGATACTTATTGACTATTCAAATAATTATTTATCCTTCTTTATTTACATCATCAAATGAAGGTACTGCTCTTAGCAGTTTCCTGCTGTCAATAGCTGCATGGTAAAGGGTATTGATTTAACATTCTTTGACTTCTTTTTTTTTTTCCTAGCATTATTTAATGCTAAATTGTTTCCTTAATCTTATTCTTCCATTTCCATAACAGTTGTATGTATAAGTGCTCTTAATTACAGCACATTTTATGGTATTCCCTTTATGTTCCAGACTAGAATAATGATTATGAAAAATGAGAAATGTTAAAATTCAGATTCTGGGGCCCCATATATCAGAGAATTCAAGTAACTTGGGATTGTGGTCAGCATTCTTCATTTCAACAAGGTGAATCTGATGTAAATAATTCACAAGTCACACTTCAAGAAATATTCGAGATACATTGTTATTATTATATTCTTACAGGCTTTGTTCTTATAACAAATATCATTCAATGTCTTATTGTGAGGATGAGAATAATAATATACAAGCCCAGCATGATCGCTCAAAAGATAAAATAAGCTACGTAGAAGTTCCCTACACAATACCTGGAGTATGCTTATTTATTTATTTATTTTTTGTAATTAATTCTCATCTGAATGTTACTGCATGAAACACATGGTGAGTTAATTTATCGTCTCCCTGAGCAGTTTGTGCAGTTATTGTATAGCTATAATGTTTTGTTTCAATTATAATTTTCTGTAGCATAGGGGAATAACTTCGTATAAAAGCTAGAGTGTACAAATATTACTAGGAAGCACAGTAAGCGCTTTTAGAATATCAAAATAAGTTTGGCTTTTATAAGGGGACAAACTATAATCTTTAAAATGAAAGTTATTACATTTAGTAGCATAACTGTAAGACATATAAACCGTCTAAAATAATAACTCTGAAATAGTAATTATTACAAAGAGAATTAAAATGAGATATAAAAAACTGAAGGTATATTAAAATCTTCAGATATTGTCCTTCCCGTAACAATGATCAATGTATATGAACTGCTCTTGTCATTTTGCAGAAATGTGGTCTAGAGTCACCCACTTTGGGAGGACTTCAAAATAAAATAATGAGATTAATATCTGCTCTTTCTTTTCATCAAATTTAAAGGTCATGGGATTCTTCTGACCACAGTGAAATTCAAAGGTGAACCTTAAAGCAATTTAAAATTGAATTTATCCTCTTATACGTATGTGCAAGGTTGCCCTTATTAACCATGATGATGGAGGCATTCAGAAAGAAAAATCTTTTAATATACCCCTTTCTTTCTCTACACAGGAAAAAAATAAGTGGCACAAAGGGATTAAAGAAGCCTTGGAAAAATTGTGCATGGTGTCATGCATGTCTCAGTGCCCTTAAAATCTCATTCAATAAAAATAAAAGTATATGATTACAGGTTATGCATCAGTTTATGCAAAAGGATTTTGCATAATGGTGAAGAAAATCAGTATAGTGAAGAAAATCAGAAAAACACAAAGTTACTTGCAAAATACTTTTTTTCTGGTTAACTCATCAAATTACACTCTTTTGGTGGTGAGCATATAAAACTACATTTATATAATATTTCTCACTTGAAAGGTCTACACTCCATGTATCCCCTGAGTCTTTTATACTCACTTCCCTTGCAGATAGTAGCATGACAAGATGCAAAAAAAAAAAAAAAAAAAAAAAAAAACCCAAAAAACAAAAAAAAACAGAAAAAAAACCTAGCATTTTGGGACAGATACTTAGATATTTATTCATCTGCTTAATTTTACTTTAAAGCCTTTCCATCTGTTATTTTTTTGTAACAATAGATAAAATTAGGTAATTTTAAAAGTCTTAGATGAAATTATTTCATGTGTACATAAGGATTCCTAATTTTTATAACATGCTTCAAAAATTTTCTATCTCAACTTTTACATGAAATGTTACATGAGGTTCAGTTAACACTAAACTTTGTGCTAGATCCTAGTATAGGTACTTTCATATAAAAATGTACTCATATCTAACTTCTATAAGAATCCTATGAGTAGGCATTATACACTGTATAAAACGAGGACGCACATGTTCAAATAATCTGCCCACAGAAGCGGAACTAATAAGTGGTAGAAATAAAATATGGCACTATTATTTAATCATTGTTTTAGATGACAATGCCATGATCCTTTTAATTCAATACAGAAGTAGGAAGAAATGCTTTTCCTTTCTTTCTCATGCCCAGGAGAGTACCAGGCTCTAATTTAAATGTAAAAATATTATTTAAACAAATGCAAATAAATGCAATTTTTTTCCGTTGTAAAAGTGTAAGAATTATCACACTGCCTTGGACCTGTGGTCAGCTGTGCCCAATAATCTGTCCCTGTCTGCGACAGTGAGGGACATATTAATCTTCTTGAAATCAACATCACATTTGTGGTGTTCCAAAATACTGTAGATGTATCTAATATATCTTTAAAGATCTATCATTTATAAATTCATCTAAAATGTATAAACAAATATACCCTTATGTCTCAATTCATACAATTTTGAACGTCTACAGCAAGTTACCATATATTTCATTCATTTGGTATTTTTCAATAAATACTTTGGTACTATAATTTCTATTTATTCAATACTGTTCTCAATCCAAATTTGACTGTTAATGTTTTCTATGAGAATAGCTAGGTGTTACTTTGCATTCTTTATTCAGATAGCTTAAAGTAGCATCTTAAATTTATGTCTGTTGTAATAAATTTACTTGATTCAACTCTATAATACACTAAAATGCCTAGTTTTAAACTATGACAGTAAACATTTGTTAACTAATACTGATAAGATCAGTAAGTCAAAACTAAATTGTAATACTGAGAAAATTTGATCAGAAAGAGTTTTTGATTTCTGAGAAGTGTTAATGTGGTAAAGTAAAAAGAGAAATGACATATTCAATAAAGTGTTTATTGAACTAATTAATTTAGGAAACGGTAAAAATTAATGAGAAGTTTCTATTGAAGAGGTGGCCATGAAAGAAATAAAATTAATAAAATGGATTATTTAAAGTAATTTTTAAGAATGGAGGAGAAACATAAAAGAAGATAAAATTTAGTTTACCAACAAATGATTCATAAAAGGAAGTTTGTTAAGTTTGAGTGATTTAAGTTAGAAATGTTTAAACATAAAATGTTGTGCAGTCCACTTGAGTAGAAGTGGTCACTGAAGTGTTAAACGATGACTAAATATATATTTAAAAAATATGTCCAGAGATGGAAAATGTTTATCATCTAGATAGTCCAGAGAAAATTTTACTGAAAGCTGATGAGGAAGATACAGGTATTTTTCTGAGTGAGAAGACAATTTCTATTTAACTGAATACATTACATGCATCAACTGAAAAGGAAAACGAACTATCATAAAATTAATATTAAGTAATATGGTGGATGTAATTGAAGACATAAAAGTAGGCCATTACATTAGACACACTGGTTACAATTCTAGAGCTAAAGGTGGGAAGAAAAGTGGAATGTGTGCTGCAATACTAGTGGAAAGCTCCCAAGATGAAGGCCAGTTCCAAAATTGGTTTAAAAATACAAAGCCATGGGGGGAAATCTCAATGCTTAGTGCCATACAGATAAGGTAGCTAGCTTGCTACCTAAATATCTTATGTTTTAGCTCAAAGTGAGAGTAAACAATAAAGATTTCTTCTACAAAAACCCAACAAAGGCCCTTCCTATTTCTTAGGGTCTCAGAGGTACAGGGTTATGAGACTTGAAATTATAAAGGCGATGTCTGGCATATTCAACTGCAGGTTAATAACTGCACTTTAAAATAAAGCAGTTTAATAACTGCTTTAATAAAAGCACTATTCGACATATATTTATTCTATACAAATTTAGGGCAATAGTAGCATATCAGGAGGTGTTATTACAAGGTTTTGAGTATGTGAATGTCTTAATTAGTGCAAAATGTAACTCTGATTCTCTGAAAATATTCAATTCACTTTCAGTTCCAATGCTCATGTGCTGAAATACTGATGTTAGCTACTTGAATATTTTAAAGTCTGAAACATTGGGAAATGAATAAGACATACAAACGGTGATCAGATATCTGGTACTTCAGCATAGTCCTTGTTCTAGTTCCAAGATTTCTTTTTTTGTTTTTTGTTTGTTTGTTTGTTTTGTTTGTTTGTTTTGTTTTGTTTTGAGATGGAGTCTTGCTCTGTTGCCCAGGCTGGAGTTCAGTGGTATGATCTCGGCTCACTGCAACCTCCACCTTCTGGGTTCAAGCAATTCTCCTGCCTCAGCTCCCTGAGTATCAGGGATTACAGGCACTTGCCACCACACCCGGCTGATGTTTGTAATTTTAGTAGAGGTGGGGTTTCACCATGTTGGTCAGGCTGGTCTCAAACTCCTGACCTCGTGATCCTCCCGCCTTGGCCTCTGAAAGTGCTGGGATTACAGGAGTGAGCCACCCCACCGTGCCTGGCCCCAAGATTTCTTAATGATTTCTACATAGCGACCAAAATGCAACACCAAAGCTTTCTTGGGACGTTGTGTTAGTGTAAATTTCAACTAACCATTTACTAGCATTTAGCTTTCTTCAAAATCTAGAAACTACACTCTCAAAATATGTTTAAAATTTGTAATTGTTTAAAAATAATGCAATCAAAAATTGAAATAAACTGAGATAAAATGAGAAAGATTTGTTTAAATCAAGCTTCAGTATGAATTAACAAATTTGTCTATCTTACATAAATGTTAATTAGTCATAAAACTCTTACCAGATTTGTTTAACATTTATAGGAAGATGTTGCAGACAGAAATTTCTGAAAGCTTATGACAAAATTACCCATTCACACACATTTCTTTCCTAATCCCAGTGTTAGATTACTTTTCCTAGACCCAAAGTGAGAAGGTTTAAGCAGACAATGCCCAAAAAATTGATTCAGGAGGTAGAGACAAATGTCTTCACTAAATCTAAAATGCTATAAAATATTACAGTAGTATTTTACATTACAGAGAATACTACTATTTGGGGTGAGTCATAAATATCTTTACATATTTGATCACTGTACAACACAAATATACTATATTTTTTATTTCTCTACTTATATATGCATTCATAAATATCTAAAGGCACCTTTGCCTATGACTATGCTAGACTATGATTTAACTAAAGGCAGAGATTATTGATTATTCATCTTTGTCTTCCCTCATTTCTTGAACAGTATCCAGTAAATACTCAATAGATATATTTTGCTGATCAGTGTACTTGCTGTTTGACAAATGAATAGATGAATGCATGAAAACATGGAAGAGGCATAGTTGAATACATAGGAATGCACATACATATACAGAGGTCTCATATATGTGTGCATTCCCTATTCTGCAAAGAATGTATAGCATCATTCATAAGAACATGCTTTCACCTAATTATCAATCAGTCATTTCTCACTGAAAGGAACATTAATCCACTATGGGAAACTTTTTACATATAAGACCAGAGAAAATAAGTTGTTAAATTTTATTCCTTCTTTCTTTCATTCACTTATTCTTTAATTCATTAATTCTTCCATTTCTAAATGAGATGATTACATTCTAGTACTTGGGCGTATGTAAATTGTGTATCATTCAGTTCTTGTCCCAGGATAACAAAAATTTAATTACAGAGGTATTTGCTTGATGGATACTTTAATGTGAAAAACAATTTTATGTAAAAAACAAATATACAATTAAATGTAATTTAATTCCATCAATTCACTTAAATAAATGATTATTTTAAATTTAAGTGCTAGTATGGATGACACAAATACCGTATGCAAGTTTTGGAATTAGCCAGGCCTGGGTTGAAATCTAGGCTCCTCTCCTTACAAAGATTATCTTCAAGCAAGTCACCTCGTTTCAGATTACTCATTTCTCATAACAAGGGAGAGTAATACTTCCTGTGTGCATCACACATTGCACTCAGATCTAGCCTCTTACGTTTTAACCTTAGTCTCCCCCTTAAATCTCTCTTCTTTTACAGTTTTAATTTTTCTATTTTGTATGGTTTTATGGTTTTCTTTTCTCTTTTTTCCTTCCTTTTTTTTTTTTTTTTTTTTTTTTTTTTTTTTTTTTTTAAGACAGAGTCTTGCTTTGTCGTCAGGCTGGAGTGCAGTGGCGCGATCTCAGCTCACTGCAACCTCTGCCTCCCAGGTTCAAGCAATTCTCCTGCCTCAGACTCCTGAGTAGCTGGGACTACAGGCGTGCACCACCAAGCCCGGCTAATTTTTGTATTCTTAGTAGAGATGGGGTTTCAGCATGTTGGCTAGGATGGTCTCAATCTCTTGACCTTGTGATCCGCCTGCCTCAGCTTCCCAAAGTGCTGGGATTACAGGTGTGAGCCACCGCGCCCAACCCTTCTTTTTCTTTTTGTAAGGCAATAAAACTCAGCAAAAAAATTTTTTTGCAGGTTTTTTGAGAGATTAAGAGATAAAATTTACATAAAATTTGTATCATCTGAGTTAGTTTAACTCGGCTGATAAATAATATTATGAATATTAAATTTAAAAAGTGTATATGGCATACCAATATCAATATAATTATAATGTCTGATTTTATTCCCAACAGAAAAAAATAGGCTTAAGTTTTTCTACTCCTTTAACATGATGGCTTTTTCTGCTACCATCCTAATATGATGATAATATCAGCAATTATTAATCTATTTTTTATTCTTAAGCAAATTTTGCTGGTAAGCATATGAGTCTAATTCTTGTCTAGGAATTGTATAAAGTTAATTTGGGATCAAGTGCTAGGTTGAAGTTTAATTAATCTAGTTTTATTGACTTGTTTAAGCACAGAACATGAGCATAAAATAAACCTTTGTTGTTATAAACATCTGAAATATGAGGTGGTTTATAGCAGTACAATCTAAGAAAAGAGGTCTAATAAAGACAAAATAAATGGATAAACAGTTAAGAGTTATACAAATAATATATAATGTATTGGGTTTGGTTTATTTGGTTATTCTTACCTAGTGATTATATTTAAGACCAAGAATATGTCCCAAAATCAAGGGAAAATAACATGATTACATCAGAGCTGCTTGATAATAGCTGCCCAATACACAACTACGTAATTGTTCTTTATTAAGCAGTGCCACTTGTACCTCGAAGCACAAACTAGAGTTTAAACTTGGACAGAAAAATATGATATGTGTTCCTTTTGTTCCCCGTGGCATGACTGGCATGGTGAAAGCTAAAGTAACCTACGACCTCTTACCTAGAATCATAAAGGATAGACATTGATGTGACAGTTTTTCTCGGACTTTACTGCTCCAAAAGACATGCACATTTCAGATTTTGTTCTTTGAAAATATAACAAGGGGGAGAAAGCAAATCAGGGACATACAATGTCCTGACTTTTGAAATGTGGACAACACTGGATGCTGAAGTTGAATTGCTCAATATCCCTGCCGAAAAGTTGTGGTCTGTTTGAAATCACTCATGACAACTTCCTTAGGCTCTTCTTAAGCATTCTCTAAGGGACCACAAGGTCACTGGTCCATGTGGAGGAGTGCTGCTCAGCCTGACAGCAGGACCAGTGAAGAGCAAATTGTGCAGCCAGCCTCCTTTCTACAAGGCCAATGTTTTGAGGAACCAAAGCCATAATTAGCCATCACAATGTAGAGGAATAATTCCTACCTTTCTAAACCTTGTGACAGAAACAGAACTCATTATCTTCCTCCCAAACGTGTTGCAACAAAGGCTTCTCCAATACCTGTGCATTTTCTTATGTATTACTCACCCTAAGGACTTGGAAAATAATGCTGAACACTTAATAAAATAATTAGATTGGAACAATCACAAAACTGAAGAATATGACAAAGTGCTTAACTCAGATCACTCTCTAAATGAATGTCCCTGTGGTACTTACATATTCACCTTGAATCCTTCTGCCTTAAAAAAAAAAAATCCACCCTAAAAATGTTTATAAGATCTACTTCCTGCCCATGTTTTCTAAGGTAATTGAGGGAGGACACCCTAAATAGAACTTGAGCTGGCTTTACATATTGTAGCCCCCTTCCCAGTCGCTATTACTGTCACTGTCATTGCACTACTAACCTTTCGTTTATGCCAAAATTTACCTAATTTTCAATAACAAGCACTTTTTAAAAATACTCTTTTTTATTGTTGGACCCCTAGAAGTTCAAATTATAGCAAGTTCTGATTATTGTGTTTCTCGTCTATTGCAATGGCTTTAAAATTTTCATTTTCTGGGTTTACTATGTTGAAGACAATATTCTGTGTTCTTTATATATATTACATTTTTAATCCTCAAAACAATCTAAAGAGACAGATGTCATTAGCAATTTCCGTATTAAGATGAGAAAAGAGGTTCAGAGAAGAACAATTGAGCAAACAAAACAATGTGGAGTCCTGACAGCGTAGACGGTCCTCTATACTGTTTTTTGTGCCTTGTTTACCATTAAACCCACTAACCATTTTTTAATTGAAAAATCTTTGTCTTCCTTTACATTGCAAATTAGAAGTCATTAAGAAATCTATTTTTTCAAACCTATGGGAACTTTTTCTATCAGATGACTATGTCATTAAGACTTTTCTAAGACATACATATAGCTGTGACACTTCATATTTCAAATGTTATCAGTGTTCCCCTACTGCTATAGAATGAATTTCAAACTCTAGCTAAGCATACCATATTCCTGAGAATTATTTCATGGTCTAATGTTATTGTCAAATACTATTTCACCAGCACCATTTATCTTACACCACTCAAATGCCTGAAGCACAGGCTGTATTTCTCCTTGCCTCATCTTTTTCCTTAAATAGACTCAGAGGCTTCAAAGGACGGGGGATATACCTGACTTTCCTCTTATTCTCCATCTATTTTTGAGAGACAATCACAAAGTAAAAACATACAACAAACAAAAGGCAAAGAGAAGAGAAAATGAAATAAATCAAGTTTTTCTAGTAAGTTAAGACGGTGTATTAAGCCTGTCTAGTTCTTGACTTACAGATATTTAGTGTGAGTTCCAGAAAACTCAAGAAACATCATATAACAGTTTTAGAAAGTATCATAGAGATGAGAAAGCCGATTGAGAATCATAGTAAAATAAATCATTTTTCTATTATTTTCTGACTCTCCATTCTTTGAAAATTTATTAATGAAGGAAGATGTGCTGTTATAATTATGATAGAATGATAAGTGTATCATAAGCTGCCGTACTCCATAATACAATACAGGAACTAACACAGTAATGATTTAACAATATTCATTAAGAACATATTACATGGAGAATACATGCGACCCATTGGGGTAAAATACATAAATCAGACATAACCTCTTATTTGAAGAAATTTACAACCTGCTGGAGAGAAACAGACATATAAATTTAAAGAAGCCATGGGAATAGAACAGGCAGCATTCCCAGGCCAATTTCATAAAAATGTTTCATGTCCAAAGGCCATACACAGAGGGAGAGGTCAATTGTAGCCATGAAATATGGAATATCATAGAGTAATGTGATAAATGTAAAAACCAATATGCCCTGCCCCCACACACACAGATGATGAAGGAAAGGAGATGATTTTATGAAGAACCATTTTCCCCAAAAAGATAAACAAAAAACAGATGCCCATATAAATCTAAACAAAAATAAATAAATAAAAGATGCAGGCAAAATGCTCACAGCAAGTTATTTTTAGTGTTTGTTTCGAATGAAGAAGTAAAACATAAAAACTAACATTGCTATCTTGTTTGTGACCACATGGAGAATTGTTCTTGCTATGGGCAAGAAGCAATAATATATATTATAAGGAGTGTCCTGGAGTTTTGCCATCCTGCCATTTCAAAAACACTGAGTGTCTGAACTGATGTGATTTCAGAAGCAATGTAATATTAAAGTTAGGTCTTTTGAGTTTTCCCTTTTCTGACATTTCAAATAATTTTAAAATGTTGTATTTTCTTCTGTTTTTAAAAGAGAATAGTATTTAAAAATTATCTGTACAAATTAAACATTACCCAAATTCCAGCAATAAGAGATGTCATTGTTACCATTTTGTTGTACTGCCTTTAATACTTTTCTCTGTGTATGTACATGTGTATTATATATAGATATATACACATTTGTCATTATATATGTGTATATATTAATATATGTATATGCGTGCATATATACCTTTTATAAGATTGGGTCATATGCTTTATATATATTACATTAGCCACAACTTTGTGGCAACTATTCCTAATTTTGTATTTATTGTTTTTTTATTTGTTTCTGGGATGAAAATCCCTTTCCCTATATAGCCAGATGGCCCATTCCCACATTTACTTAAGGTCTTTACGCAAATACCATCATCTCAGGAAGGCTTTCACTGGCAATACTAATATCAGATTTCAAATCTCCCCTCAAAATTCCATATCCCTCTTTTCTGCTCTGGTTTTCTCTTAACAGCTTTTAACATTTTTAACATACTTAATAATGTCGTAAACATTTATTTTCTTTATTTTCTGTCTCCACCCTCTTAGACATGAAGTTCCACAAAGCCAATTTTTTTTTGTCTGTTTTGTTCACTGATATGGCCTCTAGTGAATAGGACAGTGTCTGGTATATAGTAGTTGGTCAGTAAATATCTGTTGATGAGTGGATATAAGAGAATGTTGGTGAGATATATATATATGTGTGTGTATATATATATAATATATATGATGAAAGAAAGGAGATGTTAACAGTGTTAACAATAGGTTTTCTGTTACTCATTATTTTGGTTGCTAGTAACAATCTTTGTCTTTTCAGTGTCTACATAAGTATTTTAGAGAAATTTTGGAAAAATTTGTATCTGGGACTGTGATTCTGGCCCAAGCTGAAACCATTTCTCAACAAAGTCCAAATATAACTCACATTTAAATATATGAACCTCATAGTTTTATACTATTCTAGTGAACAACTAGTCCAAATCCATTATTTTACAGACAAGGGAAATGGGACACACAGAGGGGATGTAACTTGCCCAAAGAGACAGTGAGCTTGAATCTATAACATTGGATATAATATTTCTAATTCTTAGTGTTAGTTTCAGAAAATTAATGATATGAGGACCAAGGCATTTATGTAAATTTACAGAAGTTTATATCCTAGAAAAAATAGTGAAGTATGAACAAATAAACACACCTAATTATTGAATTATTAATAATTAGGTTGAATAACCTAATTATTAACACCGTTGAATAACCAACGGTGTTGGTTAAAGTAGAGAAAATTCAGATAATGGAACACTGGGCACCCATTAAAACTAAAAGCATTTAATTATACAAATTAACATGCAATGCTGTTTGTAATATATAGTAAATAAACATAAGAGTGTATCATAGGGTCTCATTTTTTAGTATATAATAATCTGCAAAAGTATATTTACATGAAGGAACTGAACGGAAACCAAAATAACAGTAGATAATACTAGGAAATGTGGATATTGTAAGAAATTCTCAGAATTGCTGATTTTTTATTTCTAAAAAAGTCTGTGGTCTCATAAATAATAAAATAAGGAAGGTGAATTTAATACTGGATTTGAAAAGTTTGTTTTTTAATTATGAGAGGAAATACTTTATATTATTCTCTGTTCAAATGGAGAAAGAATTGAGTTAGGTATCCTTAGGTATATAGAGAACCTTTACTAATTTCTCAGAAGAATTACTATTAAAAAAAAAGATCAGAAGAAAATGAAATATGTACAAAAATATGGACTTTCAAATATTTGCTACTTGACTACAATGCCGAAACTTTAGCCAGGAGCTTCTTGGGAAAATAGAAGCTAGAGTATGGAATGCCCAGGGAAACTCCAACAAGTTACCTTAATAACACCATATATCACAGTGGTACACCTTCAAAATTTAAAAATAAAAGCTAGTTTTAATAATAGTCAAAGTCACACAGAAATAAAAAAGACCTAGTGCCACAAAGCACAGATTTTAAGACTAATTTTATCTGTCCCCACATAGCATTTCTTTCCCATGGAAGTTTTTATATGTACATACTAGTATCATCATCTTAAAGAGGAAGAAACTAAGGTTTGGAGAGGCTAATAGGCTACACCAACAGTAATGGACGAATATGTATGTGAATCCAGGGAAGTCTGAATCCAGAACTTGTGTTCTTTCCTGTTAATGTTTCTTCTTGTGGAATCAACAGAACTTCTTTACTGTCTGGCTCACCTTTGATAGTGAAGATACTGGACAATAAATGGGTCCCTCTAGTGTTGTCAAGATAGGAGACTGATGTGAGCAGAATAATAAATGTAAATATGCATTCGAAATCCAGAAAACAAGAGGAATACTTCTAAAGGGGGGGAGTCCCTGACCTCCTCACTCTCCTCTACTATGTCCCTTTGTGAATGCCCAAGCACTGGTGATTTACATCCAGGAGAAGTTTATTAGTACATTTCAATATCTCCCTAGTCCTCAGTGGTAGCAGTCTGCAAGAGGAGTGGTTGCTGTGCTGTGGAGGATATATAAACAAAAAGGGGCTATGGAAATGTGCGAAAACCGATAAAAATATGTTTGTTTATTTGTTTGTTTTCTTTTTGAGACAACATTGCCCAGGCTGAAATGCAGTGAAGCAATCACAGCTCACTGCAGCCTCAACTTCTCCGGCTCAGGTGATCCTCCCAGGTCAGTCTCCCAAGTAGCTAGAACCACAGGCGCACACCACCATGCCTGGTTAATTTTGGTAGAGATGGACCAACTTTTGCCATTTTCCTCAGGCTGGGCCCGAACTCCTGAGCTCAAGTGATCCACCTACCTAGGTATCCCAAAGTGCTGGGGTTACAGGCATGAGCCACCACGCCTGGTCTGAAAATATGTTCTTAATAGACTGGCCACCCGTGGATCTTCCAGCCAAACTGCATCTGGTGATGCATCAAAAATCCAGCAGTCTTCCTTTATTTTGCCCTGTCTCTGACCCCTTTAGTACAAATGGCAGCAGTTATACTCAGGTGGTTGAATCCATGAGCCACACCCATAATCCTTTATAGCAAATGACTTTTCAGCCATACCCTTGATTTCTTCTTCAGAACCTATTTTCTACTTATTTTTCAACATGGCGAGGCTGAGAATTTTCCAAATCTTCAATTTCGCTTAACAATTCCTTCAATTTATCTTTCCCCTCTCACTGTTTACTATCAGCAGCAAGGAGAAACCAGGCCATGACTTCAACATTTCGCATAGTCTCTGCTAAATGTAAGATTAATCGCTTGCAGTTTCTACCTTCCACAAAACACTAGACAGAACAGAGTTCAGTGGAGCTCTTTGTCACCTTATAACAAAGATCACCTTTCCTCTAGTTTCCAAAAACATGTGCCTCCTTTCTATCTGAGACCTCACCAGAAATAACGTTAACATCCATGTTTCTACCAATAATCTCTTCAAAGTAATTGAGGCCTTTTTTTTTTTTCACGTGTCCCTCAACATTCTGCCATCTTCTACCCATTACCCAACTCCAAAGCCACAGTCACCTTTTTAGGTATTTGTTACAGCAGCACCACAATTCTGGTATCGAAATATTCATTAGTTTGCTATGGCTGCCATAAAATCCACAACAAATGGGTGGCTTACACAACAAGTTTATCTTCTTAAAGGCTGGAAATTGGGGATTGAGGCATCAGCACATTTTGGTCTCTTCTCACGCCTCTCTTCTTGGCTTACAGATAGCTGCCTTCACATTGTCTGTTCATTCACATGGCCATCACTGTGTGTACAATGTGTCTGATACTTCCCTCTCTGTTCTTATCACCCTTCTTACAAAGACACCAGTCAGATTGGATTCGGGATCACCATAATGAAACCTTTTTTTGTTTTGTTTTTTTGGTTTGTTTATTTTTTTTGAAACAGTCTTGCTGTGTCACTCAGGCTGGAGTGCAATGGCGCAGTCTCAGCTCACTGCAACCTCTGCCTCCCGGGTTCAAGTCATTCTCCTGCCTTAGCCTCCCAAGTAGCTGGGACTACAGGCATGTGCCATCACACCTGGCTAACTTTTGTATTTTTAGTGGGGATGGGGTTTCACCACGTTGGCCAGGCTAGTCTTGAACTATGTTAGCCAGGCTAATCTTCAACTACTAACCTCAAGTGATCCGCCCACCTCGGCATCCCAAAGTGCTGGGATTACAGGCGTGAGCCACCATACCCAGCCATTTGAAACTCAATCACCTCTTTAAAGGCCCTATCTCCAAATACAGTCCCATTCCAAGATACTGGGTATCAGGTCTTCAACATATGAATTCAGGGAGAGGGAGGCAGAATTCAGCCCATAAAATGACAAAAAAAAAAATTGTCTATATATGTGTGTGTGTGTGTGTGTGTGTGTGTGTGTGTGTGTGTATATAATTTTCCCACTGAAATTTAATTTATTTAGTTTGAGATGTTAAGTCCAATTCAATCAATATTTACTATATCTATGTGCCACACACAGGGATACCTGAGTTGAGATTAATGAGATAATAAGAGTTAACTAGAAAAAAAGGAAGAAGACACATTTGGGTTCAGTGAGCTATTTGACCCACAGACACCTAGGTGTGGAATGGTGCTGTGTTATGCAGTGAGTATATGTGTGTGTGTGCCTGTGTTCATGTTAATAGAATAGTAGTAGTGGGGCAGGTAGGGTAATTACATTTCTTTATTTTGAGCATGAAATCTATTGTGGATATTGCTGAGAAGTAATGCTGGGGATGTAAGTTTACAAAAAAAACCCTTAAATTCAATGTAAATAATAGTCTAACACTAGGGAAAAAATCTTAGCAGGTAGGAAGGCTTGGTCAACTTACTATTGAGCTCAATAATTCTTCACAGTAGTAGTGATTTCTATAGCTTACAATAAAACGTATTTAATAGTACAAACACTGTCAAAATAACACATTAGATTTTTTTAAAAAAACATTGTTTTAATATTATTCAATGTATCTACTTTAATAAATGTAAAAATGTCCCCCAAATAAATGCAAAAAAATCTAGTTTTTGTTCTTTTTCCTAGGCTTCTGTTGGCATTTTCTGTTTATTCCACACATAGTTATAAGTAAAAATGGCCATCAAGAGACAAAAGTGAATCCTTTCAAGGAACAAATTTATTCCTTAAATTGAAGGCTACAGTAATAACATTTCTATGTGGAAAAAACTGTCACCTTCATAGATCTGGATACTATATAGATAGTCCAAAAGTGCATAAGTTTTGCACAGTTCAAATAGTTTTTCACTCTATGAAGAAAATAAAAATATATTACCAACAAAAATAAAGCAAGCACTATACTGTATCTCTGAAAGCAATGTCTGTTTCCTGTAAATGTTTTTAGATGAAATAGTACATACTTACTTTTCATTAACAATACATGACCACTGCCAATTGAGATCCGTGACTAAAAACTATTTCCAAAAGTCTCCTCTGGTGAGGAGAATTGACCACTAGAAAGATATTCTGAGGGTTTCATGTTCCCTTAGCTGGACTTTTTTATTGTCCAGGGATCATTGACACTTTATTTTTAATTTTACTTATAGTCATTTACATTTTAGTACCATGTGATTTATAAATATCCTAGGTAAAACAAGCATAATCTTACATATTCTGGAAACTTCAAATCTGAGGAACATGACTGTGAAATCCTCCTGAACCATCTCTCTCTCCTTCCCAGGCCCTAATAGCAGGCCTTGAATAGTGCAAAATAGTCTTCTTAAATACATTAGTCTTTCTTGTCATAAAAATATTTTCCTCTAGATCCTACTTACTGTTTTTTTTTGTTTAATTCATAACCAAGTTTTCAGAAAAGAATCTACATTTTTCTCTACTTCTTCTCCTTTTGATTAATTAACTGTAGTCTGGTTTCTATCTCTATAGTGCTTCCAAAACATCTTTCACAATGGCCACCTAACTGAGAAATCCAATAAACCACTTATAACACTTGTCCTCTTTGAACTGTCTGGAGTTGATACTCATTGGCACTCTACTCCTTTGATTTGTAGGAATCTACTCTTCAGTAAATCTCCCTCAACTTCTAAATCTTCTCATTTACTTTTGTTGATTCCTGCTTGAGATAGTACCCAAATAGTGGTATTTCTGAGGGTTCCAACCTTCATTTCCTAATCCTCTTTCTATAAACCCACTCTTGTGTCATGGTATAAAATGTACCTAATAAACTGTCCCCAATATATCTCTTTAGCCTTCTCTTCTCCTGTTGTGCATATAACCTTTTTCTATTCTCAGCTACCTTGGCCTTTTATTTTTAGACCTATTCTCCTTTGATTGTGCTGTACCCTCTTTTGAAAAAAGATGTTCAACCCTTTCTTTCCTATAAAACTACAATATGTTTTCTAAAAATACTGTGAACATGTCTCTTCACGTATAAAGCCTCCCACTCTCCCACAGGAATCATTCATTGATCTCTATTTAATTGTTTTCCCAGAGCACTTTGGTTGTATTTCTATTATAATAATTAGCAAATGATATTTTAATTTTCTAAAAGCCATTCATCTTCCTAAAATGAATTTTAAGTTCCTCTAAAGTAAAAACTCTTGAGGTTGTTACAGCATAAAGACTGCAATGCAGTGTAAGAGTTATAACCAGGGTACGCACTTTAGAATTGAACAGGACTGGTCTGAGTCTCAGACATCCACCCCTTCCTAGTGTGTGACCTTAATGTTGTAATCTATGAAAAGGGAATAACAATTAGATAATAATACTACTTATGTGTAACAGTCTAACTTCACACATAAAATATGTGAAGGGTTTAACACAGTAAGTGGTACAGAGTATTTATTAGGTCAGTTTTAGCTGCTATTAATTAATTGTCTTCAAAAATTTATAGAGACTCAGATTATTACTAAATATTTAGTAAAGGAATTGATGAATAAACAATAACAGCGTAATTCTTCCTTGCTTCTTATATGGTTTAACTGGGTGAGGAATGCAGTATAGTCATCTTCAGTATCTGTGGGGAACTGGTTCCAAGACTTTCCTAGGATACCAAAATCCTTAGATGCTCAAGTCCCAGATAAAAAATATGGCATTGTGTTTGCATATAAGCTATGCACACCCTCCCCTATATTTTTAAATCATCTCCAGATTATTTATAATACCTAACACAATGTAAATGCTATGTAAATAGTTGTTTTACTGTATTGTTTAGAGAATAACGACTTGGGAAAAGTCTGTACAGAAAAATTGTGTCCGTGCTGAGCCTGTACAAACTTGAGAAAAGTCTGTACGGGGTCAGCACAGACACAATTTTTATTTCCAAATACTTCTGATTTGCACTTGGTTGAACCCACGAATGTGGAGTGTGGGGATATAGAGGGCTGATTGTATACACATTATGCCCACTATCAAAATAGATTTTAAGGCATAGAAGACCAAGGTACACACATTTCTAAAGAGCCACATACAAACAGAGATAGAGACATAAGTACACAAAAGTAGGAGAGGTTGCTCTAAACTACCACAATTAACATATTTTTTCCTGGTTGTGTTTATCAGATAGGCCAATTATCATTTTTAAATTGTATGATTTTGATGATACTTGGTAAGAGCAAAAAGTGGAAAAAAAAATCAACGTGGGCTGCTACACCCATGAGAGATTTTTATTCTGGTAATACAGGTACATTCTCTGCACAGGGAGTCCTCCTGAGACCTATTTATGGGTGGGAAAGGTGGGCCTGAAATGGATATATTTTGCCCAGAATTAGTGAGACAGGGGCAGGACAAATGAAGACTGGGATTCAGGAGAAGCCTTACTGGTGTTCTAAAATAGAAATAAAATAGGTACCTGAATCCATTTTTGGTCAAGGAGAACCTTAGGTATACTAACTCTGAAATGTTAATGAATCTATTGTTCTCTTCATTCTTTTCTCTGGTTGCAATGCCCAAGTTCAAGCCCTCATCACTTGTTACTTGAAGTGTGGTCAAACCTTTTGATGTAGAGTCCCTGTAGGTGATCTGCAAGACTTTCCTTTACATGCCAACAAGTATCACCTTCACAACAAAACTCCTTCAGCTCAAGCCTCTGCCTCAAGTCTCAGCAACTCATTATGAATAAAATAGTAGCATTTTGGTAATAAAATATCTGAATTTTAATACAACTGTGCTTTAAAACCACTATTAGGCACTTTGAGATTACCAGAAGTTATCAGATTCCAATCAGGGCTACTCATTATGACACTGGTTATTAAGGAGTATATGCCAGATGTGATCGATCTCTAAAGCTCAAATGCACAATGCAAAAATAATTTCCATTGTCATGAACATTGACAGTTACCCTAAAGGTGATCCTGGAAATTTCTCAGAGGAGATATGAGTTTACTATTGCATATATGTTCAAAACACCACAAACTGAATCAAGAAAGAATGACTTAAACTATTAAGAAATAAAATTTCTGGAAATTTTTCAGACTGTAAAAAAGGTCTTACTCTAAGATCTTTCATCTATAAAGAGGTCTTACTGATGAAGGTAGGGCAGTTCTCGGTAAAATTTTGGGAAACAAAATAGAGCGCTTCATCTGTGCTTGAAATCAAAAGTCAGTTACTAAATAAAAATTATTCCAAATATAGCATATGGAAGTACTCTTAAAACACCTGCTTCTGTACTTCTCTAATTAAAAGCTACTATTTTCTAGCAAATGTATTTTTATTAGACAGTTCCACAAGCTTTTTCATTTTCTCTGTTATATTTCTGGACACTCTAGCAGTCTGTGGTGCACACACTTGTTGGTGAGTGAAGCAAAGGTTAAGTGTGTATGACACAGATGAGCCCCGAGATTAAGTATACTCTGTGAAATGCATGTGGATGTTCATGATTTAAACCAATGAACTGTGGCCTGAAATGATGTCACACGAAGCGCAGCGATAAGTGGAAGTTTAAACCTACTTGCATCTCGGCTCATTAAACGCAGTTAAAGTGCAAATCCCCTCATTCTGACAGTAGTGATCACAAGGGTTCTCTTTCTGGTCACAGCGCTGACTTTTAAACCCCACAGAGCATCTGCAGAATTTCAGTAAAATACAGCTAAATAAAGCGTCTGACTTGTTTTGCCAAATATGTTTTAAATTCATTTCATACAGAGATAGTAACATTCAAACGAAAAGGTTCCCAGATATGCGCACTTCTCTCTCAAACACACTCATCACATGCTACTCTGACAAGGTCGGGAGCAGGATGCAGATGTGGGTTATATGTGGGCATCATCCTTTTGGTCAAACAGTGATGAAACTCACAACAGTGACCATGTAATCTGAATAATTTTATTTCAAATTGTCCACTCTGGACAATCAGATCATGGAGGGGGGAAAATACTAAATTCCAGATTTTCTCAGGAGTACTGTGAATATACCCAATACGTTTCCTAGGTGTTGAGAAACTCAGACACTCAAGTTATTCTAAAGGAGCCAGGGGCTTAATAGGTTTACATAATAAAACAGTCTAAGTCTCATACAAACATCAACTAGCATTATACATATGAAAGAATATTACAAGTTCTTGTGAAAAAAAATGGCCATAAGTACCAAAGTATTCATAAAAGATGATTATCTCTGGGCTTCACATATCAGAATCAGGTCAATAAAATTATAACAATTTTCTCTGGCATTTGCAAGTTCAAAGGTCTATGCATGTCTGAAATGGTACGATGCTGAGAACAGAATGAGCTCTTCCTCATGAAATCATTAGCAATTTGATGAAAGGAGATTCTGCAGCACATGAGCTGATGAGGGACAATACTTGATCAGAGATGTCCATGAAACACTCATTTAAAATTACCCCAGAAAAGGAGAATAATAGAACAGGGATTTCATGTACATACAAAGGCTTATTATAAGATGCCCATGACTTGATTAAATACTCACAGACACACAGGTACATTTGTCTCGGGGTCCAGCTGGCATGTGCCACCATTGTAACAGTAGCCATCACATAACTGACAGCTAGAGGCAATCTTTCCATTAGTGCAGCTGCAACAACAAAGAAAAAAAGAACAATTTCATTGTTATTGGCAACATTATTGCTGAAAGCTGACATAAACTCTCTGTGGATGAGAATATTCATCATATAGGAGAGATGGAGTGGCTGGTTAAAAGGAAGTTTTCAGGAAGTCTGACTCACTAGAGGCAGTTTAATTTATGTCAGAATGATGTCATAAAATTTTTCTTCTGATAATTCTCAAATTTTCAACCAGTTCATTTAATATAAACATTTTATACAGCTAGATATATGTGTGAAAAAATATACTCTAATATCTATCATTTACACTTCTGGGAGACATTAGCATCAGTATCTTGTTCCTTTTTCATGTAAGTAGGGTTTGGTGACATCTGTGTGAATGATAAACCACATGATCAAGTACTCTGGAAAAACGTGCTTTAGCTTTTCTTCTAAAGTGGAAAATCTGTTTCAAAGAATGCTAAGACTTTTAGACCCCACATTTCATAAGAAAGTGGAGGGTTATCCTGTAGCCACTTTTATCCCACTGTTTCTCTTTGAGTATGTACTGTAACTAATGTCAAACTATTTTTATTCTAACATAAAAAAATCATGGAGTAGTTCATAAAAAAACAGTTATGTTATAGGAACAATGTGCAATATGGCAACAAAGTAATGAGACAGGCTTTCTTGAAAAACTTACCAAATGTTTCTAAGTTAAAGTCGCATCACAGGTTAGGGACAAGAATAAATAGCTACTGCTACACTGTAAAAATAAACATAACAATACTGGGAAAAACGCAGACATTTTTTACTTGCCATGTTACATTTTTTTAAATAAACAAATAATTAGATTGGACAGTGAAAACTGTTGAGTGAATGCAGAAATGTGCATCAACATTTCAAATTATCCCGGGACCTACTCTGTGGGTCAAAACCAGAATTAACAACAGATCATGCTGGCAATTCTGATCATGTGGTCACACCAGTATTAGCTGCTATGAAACAATCAATGGTATCACAGTGCATCTGGACATAACCTTGACAAAAAAATCAGGCTACAATATCGATTGATCACTTTGATCCTCCCCATGATGGATATCTATTGCAGTACATCTGTCATAGGGTGATTCCTAATGATAGGTGAGATGCCTAAAAATAATCGGTTGACATGTAGTTCATTTATTCTGTGCATGTTTATTTGACCTCATGTGGGTTGTGTAGCTACTGGAAATGCCCTCAACTGCTTTTAACATTAATTGGTGTTTAATTTGAAGATGTTTCTGAAAAGCTTAGTTTGTGAAATCACATTTCTTTTCAAGGTAAACAGGAGCAGTGAGCAGTGTAACTATGTACAAGATGTGAAATAAAGATACAGGTAAACAGAACAAGACATAGAGAAGGAGTGGGTGGTCTCAAGTTTGTACAGAGACTATCCCATCCTTTATAACCTATAGAGGCACCCTAATATGGATGCAGTGAATTAATTAGCAATCAGTGGTATTGGTGTCTAATAGACTAAGTGCATCTGAGGGACTTTTACTTGTCCTCCATGCCCAGCCTCTTTGAAAATAATAAAGTCAAAAAATTATAGTTTCTTGTTTTATCAAAGGAACAGCCTCAAAAGGGAAAATTAGCTCATTATACATTAAATGATTTTCTACAAAAAAAAGATAACTGTTTATCAAATCTCATCATCTAAAAGACAAAAAAACCTGATTGCTTTTAAACCTGTGTTTCCAATGGATACAAAAGATGTTGCCTCTTTTTCCCTCTAAAGTTTGTGTTTGAATCCTAAGTTGAAGACAGAAATTTGTAGACATTTTAAATGTGAAATACAAATAGTTAAAATCATTACAATACATCAAAGAGTGCAGCTCATATTTTAAAGTAAATTTTCATAATTTTCTTTTTTAGAGGCATTCAGCGTATGTGCACACACAAACACACACACACACACACACACACACACACACACAGAATATGTGATGTATCACTTTCCAAAAGTTAATTACTAGTTATTCAGTCCATACAAATAGTTCCCATGACAATGGTCATCAAAAAGACATAATTTAGGTTATTCAAGATTATGATCAAGTCTTTCTTCACCAGTATTCACTTTGATTTCCAGAAAAGAGAAAAATATGCAATTGGCTCTGTTTTAAAGATTATACTCACTGTACTTGATAGAGTACCTGTTCTACTTAACAGTTCATAGGCTGTGTATTAGAAACACAACTGCCTATTTGTAATAACAAATATACTTGATGGCTTGAATTTTCCTAATTAAGTAAAAATGATTAACTTTATTGCAATTTTGTTTTACTATCTGTTCTTTACCTATAAAACAGAAATTCTAACATCACTAACTTCATTTTAATGCTAATGTGAAAAGTATCATAGAAATAAAAATGAACTTTAATCATCTAACATGTTTCAGAAAATCCAAAGAATTATGTTTGTATTGTCATGTTCAAGTGTTATAGCCTATTTAATAAATCAAGTATTATATTCCTAGTTTAAAAGTTCCACTATCTCCTCATTGTTAGCAATTGTTATTTATCCATTTTTATATATACATTTCCAAAAAGATCATTTAAAAAACACAAACTCTTATGTTGCACCTCAATAGCCTGCTCATTGTGAGAATCTGGTGTTTCTGTTTTGGAGAAGGGACTTTTGACTGTATAGCAAGCGATACTGAGGGACCCTGATCCCTGCCCTTTCTTCCTTACATAAAGGGAAGAGGGTCTGCATCTCCACATGAGCTTTTCCAAGGTAAAATGGGTAGGAAACTTTGGCTCACACCATTTCTCAGATGTGATCTCGGATTACCCCAGAGATCTCAGCCCATGATCTCTGGGGTAAGTGGAATGGAGTTGTAAAGAAGATTCCACAGCTTATCCTGATATGGTGCACAAGACATAGAGAACAATGTACGCTCACTAATTGAAATACAGTTCTGTCATGCTACAGTTTCATCACAAAGAACAAATGAGCTTTATGAGGAAACATGATTTGGACGCATGTTTCACTTTTATGTACTTATCAAAGGCACATAGTTATATATCAGTCATATTTTCAATTACTTTACTAAAAAATGTACTTTCAAATATCCCAATTTTGCAGGTTTGCGTAAATGTCATTCATAATGATAATACAAATCATATTTAAATTCTAAAATGAGAGTAAATAAAAAAATGTTGATGCTCTTTGCAATCAAATTTTATTGGGCCTTGTTTGGCAGAGCAACATAACTCATTCGGCACCCTTGGTGAGCTCTCAGCGGAAGCTGTGACATGGACACTTTATGGCATGCTTTCCTGTCTCATATTCTTATTTATTATACTCCCAAGCAAGGCAAGTGATAGAGTCCAGTTCTTTATAAGCCCTTCCTTTAAAAAGCTATTAAAAGAGGTCTGGAGTGAGGATTGATCTCTAACCTCAGTGGCATAAACTGGTTTCACGATAGAAACTGAATGGCACAACCCTTTAGCCGCAATGTTCTGTTTTCCATTCACTTAATCTTAAAGCCAAAGAGCAAAAGGCAGTGCAATGAAAGTCAAACTCGAAGATTTTTGTTTTACTTATTTCCCAGAACACATTATTCCTTCTGTTTGCTTTGATCATAATGTTCAAAGTCAGATTAAGAAAAAAGGATTAATGTGTGTTTTCATTAGACAGGTCTTTTGCTCCTCCTTCAACAAATCAATTTGCAACAGAAAAGCAAACCTACTTATTGTCAATAACAATGATGAAACAATTAACAGCCTGAGCTAATCTAATTGAATAATATTACATGTAGTTTTTGAAAGTATGCTGAATGCCAGCATTTCTTGCTTACTCAGGAATATTTGGTATAGGGAATGATATGACCGTCTTATTACATAATGGATTTTCATAATTTCTAGATATTCACAATAGATGTTGAATAAGTTCAGGTCAAATTAAAGTGAACTAGACTTACTCTCTAATCATAAAAACTGCAATGGGCACAATACGGAATTTTAGAATAAAAACAATCTACAAAGTTTTTACTATTTATTACTGAACTGCAATGTCCATTGGTGTCCAAATGCTTTTATAAATTAAGCTGGGTGTCCACTTACTTGCAAAATATATCTTCACTGTCTTTATTTATAATGCAGTGCCCCCCATGGCACCTTACACACTTGTCAACCTCACATTTTGGTCCTTCATAGCGCGTTGGACAGACACATTCAACACTTCCATCATCCCCAATGGTACATGATTCAGAATTCACACAATAGTGGTGGCACACGTCTAGGAAAAAAAGGCACAACAGAAAAATAAAATTATATTACAGGACATTTTTCTTCAGTCATAATTAAGGTGACCCTTTCATTTATTACTTAAAAATAATAGGTAGATTAATTTACAAAAGCAGCTTATAATTACACATGAAGTAGAATTCTTTAATAATGCTATTGATTCTCCTCTTTGAATTAGGCATCATTTTCCTCTGGCTAAGAGAGCTTATATTGCTATAATGCTAGGTGACAAACTCTTTTGGTTCTGAATATTAAAGCTTAAGTTAACAAGTTCCCTTAGCTTTCTTTCTAATGAACAACGTAAGTATAGTTTGAAATGAACAGAAATGCTTAACATTTCTTTGGATGTCATTTATTGTTGCCTCCTTCACACCTCTTTTCATCTAGAGAACAGAGTAATGTTTGGTTGTTGGACGCCGAAAGAATGAGGGTCGTGATTACATCGGTATAGCACTGGAGGCTATATGAGTAAGCCACAAACTTTCTCATTAATGCAGAACATTGTCAAACCAACAAACTGTGTATGCCACCCAGAAGGACTGCTGAGAGCAGTCAATGATCCAGGCACAAATGTTTCTTATGATTAGGTATAATTGAAGCCTGTCAGTAACAATACAAACCTGTGATCAATTAAGCAGTCTACCTGCTCTTGTTACCCAATAAATAGGAAGGGCTGTAGAAGCTCGGCAGTTGCCTTTGCTCACTAGAAGCAGAGAGCTCTCTTCTTCTTCCCCTGGCCCTTTCCTTAAAGCAGTTTCTTTTGTCTTAAGTTTTCATTTCTAAGTTTGTCCCTTCATTCAGTCTTGTAATGACGGTCTCAATCACTAACAGTAGTAACTGCTGTAATGACGGTCTCAAGTAGTCAAAGTGGCAGTCAGCCACATGTGGTGAGCAGAGGACTCATACCCCTGCACCAGACTTTAGTGTTGTGGAAAGAAGCTTCCCTGTACACGTAGCAGAACAAACCCAGGTATTTTCTGCATGCCTGAGCAGGTGAGCAAACAACGAGTTATGCCTCTCATGGAACTCGGAGAGGAAAGCAAACTGGGAGACTAACTGATCCATCATTCATGGGGAATAATAACAGAAATCTAGGCTATTATCCTTTTCTAAGGTAAGAGACTAATCTTCCCATCAGTCACGAAACTCCCTGTAATCTGAACCTATTGTTTTGAAGGCCATTTCTCATTGAGCGTCACAGACGATTTTCTCAACTAGGAAGGAACACTTCACCCAAATATTTCTATACCCCTTGAACATGCATAATGAAACAAAGACTATTTAATAATATAACAACCACTCTAACAATAGAATTAGACATTCTGCTTCTGTCTTTTGAAAAGCAATCATGTCTGTTTTTATATATGAATATATTATAATTTATCACACTTAAATATTGAAATTAATAATATAAATGATCCTATGCAAAATAATTGATTAAATTGATTCCAGACTTTGTGTTTAGAAAATGCAGTTTCCTTTTACCTATTTAATTGTGAAGCAATATTAAATGAGATTAGCTGAGATAAAAATCACAATTTATAAACTTCATCCTGCTATATTGACAATTATAATGGGTAAGAAAAATTAAAACATAATTTATAATTCTCATGTTTATGTTTATCTAGCCCTTTATTAAATCAGACAAATTAAATTTATTGACAGACTTGCTTCATATTTATGGAAATTTATTTCAAGCATTCCCATGCTTGCTGTTGCACTGTGCCAGGTACCTTCATTGAGATTTAGGGTTGAAGCCTATTAATACGGGTTTTGGCTATATTTAAGACATATAGCACTTTCAAAAGGTAAGAGAGTTGGAGATCTGAAATTTAACATAGTGTTAGTAGCCATACATTATGGTTTCTGTAGTTGTTCTAGGCTTGGAGGGTATATATACACAACACAAATGCTGTTTTTATTTATGAAGAGTATATCAACAGCAGTCTATGTGATCATCCAGGACAGCCTCCCATTCAATGCAGAAACCTCTGAAGAACAACCTTCTTTAGGCAGGTTGCAAGATACCTCTAACTCATAAAAAGCTCTTTTAATATTGTCCCCAACTGCTTTAAAATTTCATCCACTGGGGCTGATTAGCTGTCTGATGAGACATAGAAGTCTAGTGATGTTTCTTTGCAACATTTTTTTACTATGTCATTATTCAAAGGTTGCCATGGTGGATATAATTAATTATAGAATCATATAGGGAACTTATTTGCAGATGAAAATTCCAGTGCCGTTCCCTGCCACCCACTCCTAGATTATAATTCATAGGTCTGAAATGGGGCCCAGGTAGTTCCCATGGGAACTAGAAAATGTAAGAAATGATGATCTGGAGAGAATTTTACTAGTTGGCAAAGAGACTACATTGTCTAATACTTGTAAATAGATTTGATTTGACCAAAATAGCTTATTTATTAACTAACATTGAAAACCAAAATTAAAATGTAATTTTTCATGTAAAATTTTGAAGCGCTTTTTTTTTATAACTATACCCCTGAAAAGACCCAAATAACTAGAAAAAAATGGATTAATATTCTGGAGGTTGATGAATGTCCAGGACCACACTCCAGCAAAGAGTAGTTTGCATTTAACTTAAAGTACTAAAGGTCAAAGTTAAAAACTTATCTGCAGTATGCTAATTATAAGTAATTTTGTGCATAAATTAAATCTTAGATTAAGATTAAAAAGATGGGCTGGGTGCGGTAGCTCACACCTGTAATTCCAGCACTTTGGGAGGCTGAGGTGGGTGGATCATCTGAGGTCAGGAGTTCGAGACCAGCCTAGCAAATATGGTGAAACCCCCTCTCTACTAAAAATACAAAAAATTAGCTGGATGTGGTGGTGGGCACCTGTAATGCCAGCTGTTCAGGAAGCTGAGGCAGGAGAATCGCTTGAACCCAGGAGGCAGAGGTTTCAGTGAGCCAAGATTGTGACATTGGAGTCACGTGACATTGGAGTGTAAACTCCAGCCTGGGCAACAAGAGTGAAACTCTATCTCTAAATAAATAAATAAATAATAAAAAATAAAATGAAAAGATGAGCGCCTGTACATAACTCACTAGCAATCAAGGAGATGAAAATTAAATTAACACTTCAATGAAATACCGATACACACCCACCAGACTGATAATACAATAATAGTGGAAACTCTCATCTACTACTACTCGTGGGAGAGAATGTTGGTGCAACCAATTTGGAAAACGGTTGGCAATATCTCCTAAGTTTCAGCATACGCACACCTTATGACCTAGCACTTCCACTATTAACATATACCCAAAAGAAAAGCATGCACATGTATGTCAAGAAACATACACATAATATGCACAGCAATATTTTAAAAAGCCCAAATTTTAAGAAATCCAAATGTCTGTCCCAAGAATGGATAAACTATGTTTCATTTATACAATAAAATGCACATATACAAACACACACACACACACACACAAAATGCAGCTGTAAGCAAAAATATGGATGAATCTCACAAAAATTGAGAAAAATAGACACAAAATATGTATACTACATTTTTATATTTATATAAGGTTCAAAAGTTAAGTTGAATCTATGGTTTTAGAAGTCAAGAAGGATTTATCTTACAGGAGAGGAGAAAGGAGAGTGATGAATAACATGAGGGAACTTTTGCAGTGCTGATAATGTTTTTCTTGAATGCTGGTTTAAACTGATGTGTACACCTTGTAATATTTAATTGAACTGTTTACTTGTGATTTTTAAACTTTTCTGTGTATATTACACTTCAACAGAGAATGCTTTTTCTTTTTAATAAAAGGCACATAAGCAACCTTAGAATGTTTTAGAAATTCTCATTTATTTCGCTAACTAGGCTAAATAGTTTTTCTCTTTGTAGGGACAACTTTTAAAAGGAATTCATGGTTCACTTTTTATGCTTTACAGAAAATCCTTCACTCTTTAATGCGTCCAATTTTTTTTCATAGCATGTCAGATGCGCATTATTCAATGCAGTTGATTGGCCTCATGGCATAAAAATGGAATCCAAGACTGTAAAAGAAAGGTTTGCTTATGATAAAATTGGGAAATAAGCAAATATTAGAATTTACACTTTAATAAATAATTCTAAATTGCATGTTTTTAAGCCATGCCATTTTTTCCCCTCTAAAAATGGCAGAAATCATTTTATGCTCTGAACCCTTTCTCTACAGATATTCAAATGGGAAGACATTTCATTTCTCCCAGTTCTCATTCTTAACACTCCATGCTGAGTTGAAATTCAGGGGCAAAGAGTTGCTCACTACACTCCAGCCCTGGCAGAGTTGCCTCCCATTGCCTTTCTGTGAAAATCTTCTATCTCCAGTTATTTGGCTTAATATTTGAAGCATGTGGAAGCTGCTGAGTTAGATGTTTGACTGGACTGTGTTCTGCACCCCGGTTAGGATTCTAGGGCCTATTCTTCGACGTTTATGTAATGTCTTTGTCCCTTTCTCTTGCCTCCTTCCCTCTCCACTCTCTCTCTTTCTCTCTTTCTTTCTTGTCTTAAAGGCTTTACTATTTACTCATTTCCCACTCCAAGACTCCTGAACACAGGAGAAAGCAGATCTTAATAATAGACTTTAGCATCTGATATTTTAGCTACGATGCAATCATTGGATACTTGTAAATTGTAAAGCAAAATAATCTCTTCAAGTGTCCTCTGTTATTTCAAGTGTTATCACGGTGCATGCTATGTGCAAGTCCAGGAAAGAGTTTGAAACATCTGATGGTGTTGTCTATTTCTAAACTGGGTGATTCAAACAAAGCCCAGGTTTTCTGTAATTGACTCAGAGTAATATCTGCAATGTTAATAAATCATAAGAATGCCAGTTTAATTTTTCTCTCACTCCCTTCACATCTATAATGCACTTAGAATTACAAGCATCTATGTAAACTTGTATAAATATGTGCCATATTTTCATCAGTGTCACCTCTCTATATACTCTCACATAATTACTACACACTCATATTTAAATTCCAAGTATCAGTTCAGCTATTTATCTAATAAAATGAATACTTCATTGGTACTTAGCCCAGTGGAAACTGGCTTACTAATTTAGCAAAGTATGAAGAATAGTATATGAGAAGGCTTCTTCAGTATGTAATTGTTTACTTTGGTTCTAAAGGTTACTTTACTGATCTATAAGCTCTGAAGAAAAATAGAGAAACTTAATAGTTACTAAATAAACACCATTTTATTTTTTATACCACAGCACTAAAAATATTAATGATCCCATCGAGGTGACTACTTTAAGCACCAAAAATACTTTAAAACCATTTTGAAAGTAGCCTTTATAAAAGATAGATACATATTTTCTTAAGTAAAATGTATTGATATTTTACTAATCATTTATCACTAAGAGGATCAATTATTTGTATGAACTTACCTTTGTTGAAGTTTTATAGCCTTCGGATTTATTTTTTATATTTCACTTTTGCTAAGTGAAATGTTAGTGAATATGGAGAAGTAGGCAAATCTAAATGAAAAACTTAGTAATTTCCCCAAAAATAAAGGAGACAGTAGGCAGCAAAGGATGGCCTTCTACTTTCTAATACAGATACACAACCACTCAACTCACACTCCACTTTCACACACAAATTTGTATGTGAAATTTGTTGTTCAAATTTGAAATTCAGCTTAGTAATTAGTAGCACTAAAATAAAGTTGGAAATAGTGATAGATGGAAAATGACAGTTTTAGAAGAAAAATATAGATAAAAGATTTTGTTGTTGTGGGGGGTGGTATAAAGAAGGGATTCAAGATAGAAAAGAGTGGTTGAAGACAAGATGAGTCTAGGTACATTGGTCAGTAGAAACAGTCGATTTATGAACTGTACAGTTAATCATCTTATGAACGATGTGTAATTTGGCTATAAATATAAAATGGAAAGGATGAATTCATAATTGATTATTTGCTGTGGACATGTATGTGCCTTATTGTATACTAGGAACCCTGGAAAGAGCTCAGAAATGCATGATGGGACACTAGCTCTGAGATAACTGACAAGTCAATCATAAGGTTAAAGCAAGAAGAAAAAAGGACCCAACATTGATCTAAATGGTTACTGTGGCAAAAGCCTAAACTTATTACTACCCAAAGTAATGTCTTCCTTCCTATTGAGCATTCCATCTCATAAGTTTTGAGCATTTTACTGACCTGAATGGCATAACAGACGAGATAGTCTATATATGGTAAGAAGGAATAATAATGAAATGTAACTAATCTGTTCTAAGAAAGTAGAGTGAACCATGAACTTACACAACCCTTTATATTCACAATATAAAAATTTTTATAACCTCTGTTAGGGTAATTACACTAAGAACTACCTAGTAGCACCAAACACAATAATGTAATCTAAAGGACAATGATGAATATGTAATTACAGAGTATTCATATGGTAATTAGGTAGATAGTAACTGAAGAATAAATGAATGGCTAATGTCTGCCACAGAAGTAAAGTAATTTTCAAGGGAGATCATTATTGCACACTCTCTCTTTTTCTTTCTCTTTTAATGTTTCTTTTCATGTAACCAGAAATACAAGTAAATATATTTTCCTTTAATCTTTTCACAGTAATAGACTCTACATAAAAATATGTGCGTGTATGTGCAAATGCACAGGTTTACAAATATTTATGGAAAGCCATATAGCTATACAATCTATAACTGCATTTAACTTATTTCCCTAATATTTTTCTATAGAAAAGTAATTGCCAAAACTATTTAGCTATTTACTCATATTTGCAACTGGGCTATTCACATTGTAATAATTAGTGAAGTGTGAAATTTAAAGAGAAGAAAATCAAAATAAACTAATATCAGCTAAGCAGGGTATGAAGATACCATATAAGGATAATAAGAAACTGGAGAGCCTTTAATGGCTAATACAGAATGATCATATAGGAGAAACTATATGAGAATTAGACATTAATATTATTGCATTTTATGAATGGACACTTATTGTTCTACTTCACTGAATTTTAATCTGGCCTTTAAAAATAAATTTTGTGAAATGGTTTTATATTCATCATTTAAGTATGCATTTGATAATTTAAGGCTGCATTCACACACACAAACCAACAACAAATTAAAAGTAGGATGGAATTACCATCACAAAGACTAGGTAAATTTCACAGTGCATATCCCCAGGCATTCTGTAACTGAGGAGCCAGTTTCCGTGCAATTTATATTCCACCTTCACTGTTATATTTAATTGTGTCCCAGAGGCAGTAGATCCTATGAATTCTGCTGATATTATCCCTGCAGAGTGGTTTATGGTTGCTTCCATATCTGTATGAAATGTAGAATTTCCAGAGCAACCAACAATATAATTTTATAAACTTTTGATGAATACTTATACTGGGATGAGATAATAAGGAAAAGAAAAAAAAATGGCCAGAATTTGAGGTACTGGAAGCCTAAGTCCAGTCCTTCCTCGGTCTAACAATATGACCTCACCTGAGTTTCCTGATTAAGTTCTCCAAGATATCCTTTGGCCATCTTTGAACTGAGGCAGTTACATTAAATCATGCCCAAGATTATGTCATGATTCCTTCCTCACCCACCAATTTCCAATGGTGCCCTCTATCTAGGTTTAGCACCTTCTTTTAGTAAAATGATGTAAATGATAATTACGATGTTGATAAACACTCATTTTTCAGTGTCTCCTACATGCCAGGCACATGGGTTTTTGGTATAGTCAGAGGCATTAGATGGTGTTACCCTCTTTTTATAGATAAATAAACTGATGCACATAGAGGTTAAGCAATTGCCAAGGCTTGCACACAAACAAGAGGTAGAACAGAACTTCAAATCCAAATAGGCCTAACTCTAGAGGATAAACTCTTATTTTTCATATTTAGTGATTCATAAATACGTTCAGGAAAACAAATCTACAAAGTGATTTGAATATCTTTGCTGTTCTCTTTCCTTTCTGTGTATTTAAAATGGAAAGTATCCCATCTCTGTGGACATCTTAGGACCTACCCAGCAGTTGGAATATTAAAGGATCCTGTAGCAGCAAAGGCAGCAGACCCACAAGAAGTCTGCACGATAATGACACAGCCTATAATCTCAAAGCTCAGGGACACAAGCTGGCATTCTCACACCTGAGCTGAAGGTTCAAATGTCAGATGTTATCCACTGCAGTCTCTCATTCCAATCCAAGTTAGATGTTTGTCTCTCTATCTATGGATAGTTGGTTCAAAGCATGGGATTCTCACACTTGTAGAAAACACCCAACCATCAAGGTGATCTATTCATTATCAGACATGATCAACTCTGGGTCACTCTAAGCAAATAAGAAACCAAAATAATAGCCGAGAAATCACAAAGTAAGACATACCTACAGCATTATCATTTACTTACATCTAATTTCGGATGAGGACATTTGAAAGGTTTTCTGGAAAAGTTTTATAATTCTTAAATATGTTAATAAGAGCAATTGTGGACTTTCATTACCTAGAGATACATAGCAGATGAGTGTCAGTTTTTCATCTAGCATGGCTTAGGAGTCAAAACACATAGAGTAACTTGTATACATTGTATACAATTTGTATAGAATTTTATGTCTTTGAAGAATTAAATCAGGAGATAGAATTTAAAAAGACTTAATATTGGGATTTATCCTTTTTTACATTCCTCAAATGTTTTACACAGCCTAAGATTTTTAATAATTAAACTTTAGTGCATAGTGCTAAATATACCTTCCAAAGTCAGAGCTGTGTTTAATAAAGTAGGCAAACATTAAATCCAGGTATGCCAATTAAATATTCACTGAGGAAAAAATGCCTGCAAAACTCTGATTAGAAATGATAAATTTTCATCATGAAAGCATGCCTAAGGAAATACCACTTTCTATTATACTAATGAAAATAGTAATGTATTCCAAATATTTCTATATAAAGGAATTTTGAAAATTAAAGAATAAAATCATCTTGATCAGTGACATCTCTAAGTGTCCAGGGAGATGGAAAATGTAAAACTCAGCCAAATTATCAAAAATTTGATTTGAGTGAGTGACATATGGGGTGGGATTTTTAAAGTATCAGCATTTAAATTTTTGACAAACTGCCATTGTAAAATGCATATTAACAATGATGGCATCAATAGTTTTCAAAATAGTCAAAAATCAACTCATAGAGCTATCATAACAATGTTTTAATGAGACAAACTTATAGGAGGTATTCATAATTTTTGTTTATAAACAGTGTTTTGGGTTGAGTAGTTCTTTATTTTTAAAGTAGTCCAGCTATAAAAGATTTTAGCAAGTAACTGTAAATGGTAAAGTCATCTGAGACTTGTGAGCAAGCTGAGTTGCAGATGACAGCTAAATATGGCTTATCAGATGAGGCTAACTGAAACCCAAATAAGTGAATAAGCATATGAAGGCCTGAAAAAAGAATGGAAATGAAGCGTGCAAATATAGGCCACGCCTCCACAGCCATAAACAAGCCATTTGCCATATTTAGGCCCTAATTTCTCTATCAAGACACTGAGTATGTATTAAGGTTCAATTAATTTCAGCCTGATACAATTAATTAACATATACTGTGTTAGTATCTACAGTGTTAATATTTTACATGCCTCCAGAGTGCTTAAATTCTGATAGAATCCTAAAGGCTAACATAGTTGAAAACAATTATCAATACTAGATTTTCATTAACAAATACATGGCTTCCCCCCCTCCCCCCCAAAAAAAAACCGTTTTTCAGAGTGCAAAGTAATGACTCAATTTTCGAAAACTGGAAAGGAATTCATGGAGAAATGCATGGTGGATAAAGCTGGATAGGAGGTAATCATGAAAAAGATTTCTATCTCAGATGAGAGCATCATGAGGAAAGTTATTGTCATCATGTTGTATGTAGCCTAACTGGAGGGCAGGCAACATCTCACCTCATCATAGTGAGAGAATACAACACCATCTTATACACACCCATACAGTTCCTAATTTTATCTTTCCCTTCCTGTTTCCTTTTTCATTCTTTCCTCCTTTCTTTCTATCTCTTTTATATCCTTCCATCCTTATTTTCTTCCTTCTTTCAAGCTACCCACTTCAAATCTATAGTTGAAGCAACGATTTCTGATATACATAAATGTACTTTGCTTCTAGTTTTTTTTTTCAATGTTACAATGCAACCAAAAATATGAGTGAAAAGTTAGATGATAGATAAATAGAGGGATGATAAAGATAGATGTATATTTGTCTCTCTATACATATATCTTGCTACCACCCCAGTGTAGAAATCTCTATGTATATATCTATCTATATCTATATATGGATATCTATATACCTATATACCTAGATATACCTAGATATCTATATATAACTCTGTATAACTAGATATCTATCTCTATATGTACCTAGATGTTCATATCCATATACCTAGATATCTCTCTGTGTGTGTGTGTGTATATATATATATATATGGATATCTATATACCTATCTATATATTTATATATGGATAATCCCTATATCTCTCTCTCTATATATATATGTGTGTGTATATATATGTGTGTGTGTAGATACACATGTATATATGTGTGTGTAGATACATATACATATCTACATCTATATCTATATATGGATATCTATGGATAGAGATATAGATAGGTATATGTATCTACACATATATATACATAGAGAAATTTCTATATTGTGTGATAGCAAGATATATATAGATAGGTGTGTATATATACATACACACACATATACACATACATATGTATATATGTGTACATATATACACATACATATATATACACACATATATATATATACACACAGAGAGAGAGATATTTCTACACTGGTGTGATAGCAAGAAGAAAAACAGATTATGTAGAAGTGATTATTATTTAATCAGAATTCACTAAAATATTGAGAGTCACCTTGAAAAGGTCACCTGGCAGAATAATATATACAAACTAGCAAGGATCCCCTGGTTAACTGTGCCATTTCTTTAGGTCAGATATGTATAAACAAACAATTTATTGATATGTAATAATCAGGTTCCCTCTGTACTAAGACTTTCATAATAATTCAAAGGTTTCAGAAAATCACTTTAATTACATTGTTAATAGCATTTAACCTTTAACAAGATTAGAAATATGCATTCAATCACTGTAATTAATCAATAAAATACTAATCCCAGATACTTTTATTTAGAAAGACTATTTTTAAAAATCATCCTCATAAATTGTTCTGCCCTTAAGGAGAAGGGATTCAGTCATTACTCTTTCATTGTGTATAGTGTACATGAAGATAGTGCAGTGAGAAACTATATGATATAGTAAGTAATGTGTTTTTGCTTTTGAAGCCTCTGACCTTTCTCTTTATTCAGGAAGTGGTTAGATTCTTAATTATACTTCTTTACTTTTCATAATCTCTAGTCTCACTACCTGACATATAACATGTTTGCATATTCTTTATAAATAAAACAGTACAATAAGAGCAGTTTTCTGTTTTATTCATAATAAAATCCCAAGCCTCAGTGGCTGGCACACAGTAGATGCTCTACTAATATTTGTTGAATTAATAAATGAGCGCTTCCCCTTGGAAAGCAGGGCACTATGGAAGGCAGAGAACAAGAGTAATACTGCTGATTGTTTAGCTTTAAAACCCCTAAGCAAGTTATAAATTTTTATAAATATTGGATCATCCAAGGCTGGTTCGTCCTATTCTGAAACTAACCGAAGTTTGCCAGCATGGGTTTGTGTTCAGATGGAGGAGTAAAAGAGGGAGACTGGAAAGGAAAATCACTTGGGAAGCAAAGACAGATGCCATCAAGTGCCAATGAGAGAGCCCTTGGACATCCAGTGCCAACATAAAACAGACACTCAGATGCTGGATCAGTGAACCAACTATTGGCCACTCTAGACATGCCATATGAATAAAAATGTGACTTGCCAAATTCCCAGAAATATGGCATGCCACAGAATTAGACTAAACTTTTCAGCTTCCAGTGGTCATAATCTAATCTGTGCATGGAAGTAAGCCCAGTCATAAAACTATTTTCGTCAGTGTTCTGATCTACTTACTTTCAATGACTCAATGCAAAAGTTCATTCTAAATTCATGTATCATTTTAGAAATTATGAAGTGAAGCATCTGATGCTATAAAATTAATGTTTATTTTCATTATCTAAATTATATACCTAAATATATATAACCTTATGTATATATATTATCATCATAAGCACTCAAAGTATCTATTAAAATGAAAATTATAAAAATAAATATCTGCATTAATTTTACAATTTACAGAAGACTTTTCTTATAGATTATCGCACTTTAAACTTACAATTTTAGGAAATATTAACTTTTTTTTACAGATAGTGTAACTGTCACCTGTGATGATGAAAATAATAGTTTGAGAAACCAAAGTTATAGAATACTGTTTGTTAGTTCATATATATTTACTTCAGATAGTTTTACACGATTAAAAAAGAATATTTTAATTCTGCATCTTCACCTCTAAAACCTAGCATTTCTTCAACAAATCTAGATTCTCATTTGACATATTCTAGGAGTGTGAACTCAGACTATACATCCAACAAAATTCAAAAATCCACTGAAATTGTTTTAAAACATTTTATTTATTTATTTAGGTTTAGATAGGGGATCTGATCAAAAAGGTCAGAACCTAAAAAAATCAGAATCCTACACTACTTTCTAATGTAAGGAGCAATGAAATCTGGAGTTGAAAAATACTAGCTTAATTCTAGTTCTTCATGGTCTAGAGGTACCACAGAAATGACCTTAATTCTTGTCCTGAGATGTTAATCGAGAAATCAGTTAAATCAGGTGCCATTCATTATGTCGTCCTATCCATCTGAATTTATTTGTTTCTGCCAATAAGTTGATTCATTTCTGTCAGTTGATTTTCAAGGAAAGGTTGCTCTGAGATCATCATTATAAATCTTCCAAGTTCTCAAAACTAATAAAATACAAATTGTTTTGTCAAACTGAAATTTAGATCATATTATTACCATGGGTTTAGACATGGATCTTCAAGGGATATTGCAAGTAAAAAAAAAAAAAAAAAAAATCCAAATGTAGTCACTTGACCTTTGAACTAATCTAGCACTATTACAGACTAAGTGGCTTCCTATTCCCATGGTGCTCTGTACTTAAGGTGTATCTGATTCTGTGAAGCAACCCCTGCTACACTGGTTTTTCTCTTAATAGGTTATTTTCATATTATGGAGGATCTATATTGTGAAAAATTATTGTCTGTCTCTGGCATGACGTTACATTTTAATTTAACTTTGCTTTTATTTGTTGGAACTTTCACTTTATTTGGAAAATGTAGTGGATTAAAAAATGTCTACATTTATTTAATCAGATTTATGATGTATTTTTGCATCTATAAAAATGAAATTAAATGCACTATTTCATATATTGTTTTCTATTTCTGCTATTATATATTCTTTATTTGATGATAGGCTATACGACCATAGAGTAAATTATAAATCTTTCCTCCTTTCTCTCATCTTTATACCCTTGGACTCAGAACATATACATTTAAAATTTGGGGATTTTTTTTTTTCCTTGACAGCTGACAATGACATACTGACTCATAGTCTCTTTTGCCATTCTTATCTATAATAAGGATAAATACCAAATGTTTCTAGCAGTATAGCTACAAAAGAGGTTATATCTTTTATATAAAACAGACTCATAATACCAGTTTGTAGTGATTAAATCTTTAATAGTTAAACATAAAGGTTATCATATTATCTATAAGAAAGGAATTTAATTTCTTCTCTTTAAAGCATTTAAAGATTTCTGACTCAGCATTTTTTCAAAGCATGTTTAGTAGTAGACATTCCAAATTTGATATAAATAACCACGTTTAAAAGTTACTCTTAAATTTACATTTGAACTTTTAAAAGTGATGTTAGCAGACGCATTTAACTAGCAACAATTTGATTTGAGGCAAGCCTCAAATAAATATTTTTGTTTAGTCTGCATGTCTCTACATAATTTATGTGCTACATTGTTTTAAGTACTCAATTTTGTTTTCAGGTAATTATTTGTGAATCCATGCAGTTTACTTAACACCAAGTATAGCAGAATCACAGTCATGGCTTCTATTCATGAAAAGCCATGCATTGTTTTTTTTTCAGGGACAGATTTCCCAACAGATATTTAAATACAAATCCATTAAAAGGTTACTGTTAGCTGTGAGACATATCATTTTTCAACCTACAACTAAGTGACTTTGAGATGCCTTTCATTGTCTTTACACTGCTTTGTATATGTACTCTTCCTTACATTGTAAAAAGAAGGGTCAAAACATGTCTATAATGCTAACATGGCATAAAAGTAGAAGATTAAACCACCTTGGCCTGAGTAAAGGTGAAGCATTGTGAGATTAGAGTTGTCTCAATATCAGGTGAAGCTGGCATGGAAAAAAGTTCCTGCTATGATGCCAACAAGAGTAATTAAGCATTCTTAAAATTTTTTTATTCAGTAGTGCTCACCAAAATTACTAAATATAATTACTAATATTTCAAGGGCAAGTTCCGTGGTGTACAGATAAAAGTTTATCAATAGTTTAATTTTATAAACATGCTGCTGAAATTTCAAACAATTATGTGAAAAATAATGGTATGCTTCTAAGTAGTATGAAATAAAGTCCATTTCTGATCTTTTATCATTTTTGACTATACAATTCGAAGTCCGCTTTATCTAACTTTTACTCTAAAAAGATACATCAGTTGTTTTTCTATTCATCAAAGTTATACAAGCCAAGTGTCTTCAAAAAACTTTTATACTGATAAATCCCCAATGCCTAGAGCAATGAATGATATTTAATGTTGTTTAATACATATCAGTTGAATGAGTTAATTCTAATAATCAGCATTTGTAGTTTCAAATCACATATGAATTAATATCTGCTTGGAAAAACATACATTGGTTTCTAATAAATTTCCTTTTATGTATAAGCACGTACGCCTAAAATTATTTTCCTCTTATTATTTTTACTTTTTTTTTTAATGAAGGCATAACATTAAAACAAAAATCTGTTTGAAAAGTCTAGTTTTACTATTGGGTCAAAATGGTCTTCAACAAATTTTTACAACCCTGACAATTTTTTTGAAATAATCTACGGTAAAAGAATAACTAAAATAATTAATTATTTTACCCTTACCTCAACATTCTCTATCATTATCACACTAGAAAATATATGTATCTATTCCCTTCACATTGATTAAAATCTAATTTTATTTTTACACTTTTTTCCTTTAATCTTTGAAACTGGAATGTAAGCACCCAGTTTCTCATGGACCATCAAGGATCTTCATGAGTTTTTAAGAAAATATGGCCCAGAACTCTGATCCTGCCTTTGGAGAGGGATCTTGCTAGAGCACAGAAAAATAACTGGGCCTACCAGTCTGTAAACAGGATCTTTCTACTTTGCTCACATGCATCCAAACTCCTAAATTCCAGGCACTGAATTCACTTGCAAGATTGATGAGGTATGCAAAACACTGTGGCCTGTTTAATATTCTAGTGGGGTAGATATTCATGAATGATATGAATATAAAGTGAAAAATGGCAAAGAGAAGTGCTGAGATTCTAGGAAAAAGGAGAGTTAAGAAGACAAAGTAGGGGGATTAAAGAGGTTTAGCAGACATTGAGGGCGTAATGTGTCACGTAAAAGAGGTATTAACAATTATAGCAGATGCACTTTGGAGGCAATAAACAGGTTTTCAAGGTTAGAAGAAAAGGTACATAAAGTAATGTGCTGCATTAATCCAGACAAGGGATGATAAGAACCTGAATGAAGACAACACTTACTTTCTCATTAAGAGGAAAAGAGTTGGGAGAAAGTAGACAGGGCTCCAAAATGCTGTGCTAGTCTAAGTGTGAATGTTGTAAAGAATCTTAAATATTCAAATACTGAGGAAGGGGTTGGTTCTTATGGGTACTTTCACTTTCCAAATCACAATTCTTAAAGCTTTAGGCTCTGTTCGAATAATTGACCTTCCTATTAACAGGAACAACTGAAAAGATTGTTCTCTTTTCCTGATCATTTTAAAAGTACTTTGGTCGCTTTTAGCTGGGCCTGCCATAAGCTTAACAGCTCAAGATTAAAGTTCCTATTAGTGCCTCTTTTCTATGGTGTAGAAGCTTGAAAGACCAGGTTGAGCCAGTATGCCATTTGAGCTTTGAGTGTTCTAGTGAGTCTCTAAAAGTCGCAGCATGGTGGGCAGGATATTGAATGGCAGAAAAATATATTAGACCAGGAGAAGCCCAGTTTTCAGAGTCAGATCCACAAAGCTAAAAGCTGTGGTTCCTATGCTCTCTAAATTGCAGATTAGGGAAAACTGCTTAATCTCATGTTGTTGGCACTTGCAAATTTGGACTAATAGTATTAATCTCAAAGGGTTGTGTGAACATTTGTTGAAAGGATACATATTCACATATTAGATAAAATAATGTGTCATAGCAACGTCTCCGGGATGAAAATATTACACATGTTTACTGAGTGTGATTTATCTTGCCAGCCCTCCTGCTAATAGAAACAGGAAAAATAAATTTCCAAAGGCTTTCCCTTTGCATATGCTGTTCCCTCTTTGCATATGCTGTTCCCCCTTGCTGCTTACTCTTCTCATCTCTTGGCTTCTTGATTTCTTCTTATCTCAGCTTAGATACCACTTCAAGAAATTTTATTTTATATATATATATATATATATTTTTATTATACTTTAAGTTCTAGGGTATATGTGCACAACGTGCAGGTTTGTTACATATGTATACATGTGTCGTGTTGGTGTGCTGCACCCATTAACTCGTCATTTACATTAGGTATATCTCCTAATGCTATCCCTCCTCACTCCCCCCACCCCACAACAGGCCCCGGTGTGTGATGTTCCCCTTCCTGTGTCCATGTGTTCTCATTGTTCAGTTCCCACCCATGACTGAGAACATGCAGCGTTTGGTTTCTTGTCCTTGCGATAGTTTGCTGAGAATGATGGTTTCCAGCTTCTTCCATGTCCGTACAAAGGACATGAACTCATCCTTTCTATGGCTGCATAGTATTCCATGGTGTATATGTGCCACATTTTCTTAATCCAGTCTATCATTGTTGGTCATTTGGGTTGGTTCCAAGTGTTTGCTATTGTGAATAGTGCCACAATAAACATATGTGTGCATGTTTCTTAATAGCAGCATGATTTATAGTCCTTTGGGTATATACCCAGTAATGGGATGGCTGGGTCAAATGGTATTTCTAGTTCTAGATCACTGAGGAATCACCACACTGTCTTCCACAATGGTTGAACTAGTTTACAGTCCCACCAACAGTGTAAAAGTGTTCCTATTTCTCCACATCCTCTCCAGCACCTGTTGTTTCCTGACTTTTTAATGATCACCCTTCTAAGTGGTGTGAGATGGTATCTCACTGTGGTTTTGATTTGCATTTCTCTGATGGCCAGTGATGATGAGCATTTTTTCATGTGTCAGTTAGCTGCATAAATGTCGGAGAAGCCTAGTTTTCAGAGTCAGATCCACAAAGCTAAAAACTGTGGTTCCTGTGCTCTCTAAATTGCAGATTAGGGAAAACTGTTTAATCTCATGTTGTTGGCACTTGCAAATTTGGACTAATAGTATTAATCTCAAAGGGTTGTGTGAGCATTTGTTGAAAGGATACATATTCACATATTAGATAAAATAACGTGTCATAGCAACATCTCTGGTATTAAAACATTACACATGTTTACTGAGTGTGATTTCTCTTGCCAGCTCTCCTGTAGAAAAATCTAATAGAAACAGGAAAAATAAATTTCTGAAGGCTTTCCCTTTGCATATGCTGTTCCCTCTTTGCATATGCTGCTCCCCCTTGCTACTTCCGCTTTGCATATGCTGTTCCTTTGTGTATGCTGTTCCCCTTTGCTGCTTCCCTTTCTCATCTCCTTAGCTTCTTGATTTCTTGTGATTTCAGCTTAGACACCACTTCCTTCAAGAAATTTTCTAAAGGCTAAACTCTGTGGTCTTTCTGAAGGTTCTAGTAGCCTCTGTGTTTCATTAAATTGACCTATAATAACTCGTTTCCTTTTTAGAATCAGACATTACACTGTGAGTTTATTGAGAATAGAAAATGTTTCTGACCTCACTATTTCCTTTCTTAATGCCGAACATAGTGACAGGCTCATTGTAAACATCAAAACATATTCACTGATGAACTGACTCATGGGATAAAGCTACCCTAGAAGACAAATGGTAAAAATAATCCCATCGTGTCATCAAATACGATAGGCTTATATCTATAGTGCATAATTGTTTTATACGTTACTTGATAGTCTGTGGTTCTAATACCGATTGCAAAACATGATATCTTTGGATTACTGTCAGGTACTTCTAACTCTGTAAGTAGGGACATTACTTAATGTCTGTACTTACTGGAACCAGGGAGAATAAGCTGTACAGGTATACTTCTGATAAGTCTAGTTCTAATTGAAATTATAATGGTTCTGCAAGCAGATTACCAGAGGACTTTGAAAGTATCAGTGAGAGAACAAGCAGGTTTTCACTTAATTTGACTACCTATTCCTTAGACACAGATCCAACTGGTCTTAATTGGCCTGGTTGGCCTAATGTTATTATCATTTAATCACAAATAACTTCAGATATTGGTTAACCTCATGCTTAACACCTAGATTTAAATCCAAAATGTCATGCTCACTTGTTTATTTTTATTTATACTAGTAATTCTTGTTCTAGAATAGTGAGAAGTGCCGCTATATTTGTTCTTTAACAACTTACTTAAAGAATACTTGATTTTACTTTTACCATTATTTATCTTTGCCTCTCCTCCCTGGGCTGCTGCTGTTAAAATTAATTTGCATTTCAGACCTCAGGACTTTATATTGCTATTAGAGTTATGAAATGTTTTTACTCAGCACAACTAAGAGCTGATGTTTTCCCTCCCACTAATGGACCTTTAATTAGGCACTGTAATGAACCATTCTGTCATTCCTTCTTTTATAGAGAGAAGATTTTGTATATGCAAGATACAATTTTGACAGAACACCAGGTCCACTGAACCTTGTCGGCTTACATCTAATAGATTCTAAATTTATTATGTTTTTGTCAGCTGTTGAATTTGTCATTTTAATGCCACTGTCCACAGACTTATTATGCTGCCAAAAAAACAGCATCACCATACAGCAAGAATGTTTGTTGACATCTTGATCAACAACTCCTGGGGTCCAATTCTGACTATAATATTACTACTTCGGGACCTTGAGCAAGTTATTTAACCTCTGTCTAAGGATTAATTGGTTAATTTTAATAAGTGCTTTGCAGTAAAAGGTGGGAAGCGCTCTGACTACTAATAGTGATAATAAAATTATAATGCAGCTCTTTATAAAGCATCAGGCTACCTCAGACTGTGATTCTATTAAGTTGTCAATTAAAACATAAGCTAACTGAATTTATTCTTTGGAAGGATCCAAACTGCTATACAAACTATGGCCACATAATATTTTTAAACTTAGTTTAAAAAATTAATTAAGAATACTGTTGTTTCAACTAATGAAAAGATAAAAACAAGAGGGGAAAATGACATGTTCTATGTTGGTCTACCAATTGGGAACCAAAAGACAGAGGAGAAAATACTAGCTCTAGTTGAACCACATACAGTTACAAGATCATTGAACACTGATTAAATGTAATTTTACATTTAAAGTAAATTGATCTTAAATTGATCTTTTGTTAACATTTATTCAAATCATTTATTTTTATTTATGTATTTATTTGTGTGATTCTTTGTTCCTTTGTTCATTTGGCAAGTGCCATTGTTGGTTGTAGTCTCAAAAAGATCCCAGACAAGTAAGGGGAATGTACATAATCAACAGGTAAAAATGATCAGAGTCAGAAGAGGAGGGAGAGGTTGATTCAAACTGAGAATTTGAACAATTTCAAAAAGCAAATGGTGTTTAAGCTGAGCAGAGTCACAATGTCAGGGAAGCTGGCTCTATATAGGGAAGGGCAATTGGTGTGGTTTTACTAGAATAAAGGAGAGGCTGCAGACCTAGGATGGATAGTAATAGGGGTCTCCATTAAGTGGGATAGTAGTGTTGTCCTTCATTTGCATGGAATCATTTGGGGTCATGACAATGGTGGAACAGAAAATAAACACACGTGAGTTAGTGGGTGGAAGTTGTGTTGAGATAGTCTGCTGTGTTGTGAGGAGGGGAATGAGAGTGGTGAAGATGTGAGCAATACATGAGAAAGGATAATTAGTGTTATTTATTTATGCATTTATTTATTGAGATGAGTCTTGGTCTGTCGCCAGGCTGGAGTGCAGTGGCGTGATCTCGGCTCACTGCAAGCTCCACCTCCTGGGTTCACGCCATCATCCTGCCTCAGCCTCCCTAGTAGCTGGGACTACAGGTGCCCGCCACTGCGCCCGGCTAGTTTTTTGTATTTTTAGTAGAGACGGCGTTTCACCGTCTCTAGACCAGGATGGTCTCGACCTCCTGACCTCGTGATCCGCGGGCCTCAGCCTCTCAAAGTGCTGGGATTACAGGTGTGAGCCACTGCGCCTGGCTAATTAGTGTTATACAATAATATAGGGATGTATGGATGTAACCAGGTTGTATTTTCATATAAACTTCTGGCCTGTGATGCACATCATTTAAGAAATAAGTTAGGCAATGTGAAAAGGAACATTGGCCTAGGGTAGGGGCATCTACATATGTCAAGGAAAGGCTAGCCTAATATGATAAGAATAAACAATTGGAAAATAAACTACTTTAAATGTTTTCTTGCTTCTGCAGAAGAAGTCCCTCTGTACCATCAGAGGCAAGATACTAAGTGTTATGCTTGATTCTCAGATAAGCCGATGATTATAGCTTGACTCTGTGCTGTTTCATGTAGTTCCTAAAATGACCAAAGACCTAGGCTACTTTGTGTGAAAATTCAATGATATTTAATGTAACTTGGGGATGCGACCTGAGCCCTGAAGCTAAATTGGCTGGTTTGAATCTTGGCTCTCGCAAATGCTAAATAGGTAATATTCAGAAGCCTATTTATTTTTTCCTGGTGTCCTCTTCTGTAATGAGACTAAAAACAATATCTAGTTTATTGATAGGATTAAACGAATTAATAAAACTAATGCAAAAAAGGAATTACAAGTGTCCTTGGGTGTAGAAAAATCTCAATAAATGTGACTGTGATAGCAATTTTATTGTGAATAAAATGAACTATGACTGACCTTTTGAGAATAGATACTTTGGGGCAAAGAGAGGGAGCATGGAGATCCATTAGTAATAATCCAGGCAAGAGATACTGGTAGAATGGAGTGGTGAGAAGTATTCAGATGTTGAGTATATTTAAAGGTAAAATTGAGAGTGAAAACAGGAAGTGAAAAAAAGGGGTGGTCAAAAAAATTCAATTATTTTGGTCTGGACAGTGAGTATATTTTCTTTTAAAGAGATAGAAAAGACTATAGTACAGATTGAGCATCTCTAATTGGGAAGTCTGAAATGTGAAATATTCCAATATCCAACAGTTTTGAGTGCCAACATGATGCCACGAGTGGAAAATTTCACACCTGACCTCCCGTAATGAGGGCAGAAGATTAGTAAAAAATACACATAAAATTACCTTCAGGCTTTGTGTATAAAGTGTATATGAAACAAGAATTTTGTATTTAGACTTCTGTTCAATCCCCAAGATACCTCATTATACAGATGGACATATTCTAAAATTCGAAAAAATCTGAAATCCAAAATACTTCTGGTCTCAAGTATTTCAGATAAGGGATATCCAACTTGTTGAAAAATCTTGGGGTAAAAACAAATCAGTTTAAATTAGAGTGATAACAAGCTGTCAAATAGACAATTAGGTATAAAAACCTGGAATTCAGAAAATAGGTTAAGCAGGATATGTAAATTTACAGTCATTAGTATTTGGATGATGTTTAAAAAAACACGCAATTGGGTGAATTTGCCGAGGCAGTAGGTCTCAATTTTGGTTGCATGTGTGAAACATCTGAAAAATTTAAATATAGATACCCCAACACAGGCTAGAGGAATGAAAATCTTTGTAGACGATGTTTTAAGAAGGATGAAATGATTAACTGCTGAAAGTAGATGTAAAATAAGAATTGAGATTTGATCATTATATATGGCAACATGGAGGACATTAAATAAAATCAATTAACTTGACTTTCATAAAAGATATTTTAGCAGAACAGCAAAGACAAAAACCTGACAGAGGTGGGATCAAAGAAAAAATATAAATAGAAGAATTGTGGACAACAACTATATTTTCAAGTAATGCTTCTGTTAAAAAAGAGGAGAGAGTAGTAAAATAAGGTTATTACAAAAAAGAGATGTGGGCACAAGTGAAGGTTTTTTCCAGAAAGAACTTGGCAGACAGGAAAATAGTCATAAAGCAGGAGAAAAAGGGGACAGTTGTGGGAGATGTGTTCATAAGTAGCCAAGAGGGAGGGGTCAGGACTTGAGATGGAGAGCATAGGATTAGATGTAGCCTGGGGTTCCTAGTAACAAGAAGAAAGACAAGTACATGGGCATAGGAGAAAGAAGCTGGGGGGATGTGCTAGTTAGTGTGAGTTTGCGGCAGCTCTCTTTAGATGGTTTCTATTCATATAAATGAAATATAAAGCAAGTTTCTCAGCTGAGGGTAAAGTTAGGGAGAAAGCATTGGAGGTTTCATGAGAAGGAGAAGGTGTGACATAGACATCTAGGGGAGTGGGAGAGTCAATGGATTAGGGAACTACATAGAAAGCCTTAGTAAGTGCCCATTTGAAATTAGTGATAGAACTGAAATGAGGCCAGCCAATATAATTATGAGTTTTTCTTCAGTTGCATTCGCCTATGGGATGTCAATTCAGGAGAGATGGAGAATTGGATTTAACTATGGTTATGATTTGCTAAGAAGTGCAAAAGAGGGGAAGAGAGAGGAAGGGAGCTGAGGGTGTACACAGGGAATGGTTATAATAATGGACCATGCAATCAAAGCTGAGGGAGGAAGAAAGATAAAATCTTTACAATAAGAGAAAGGTGAAGAATGGGTAAATAATTGTTGGAGTGACAGAGACTGAACCTGAAAAATAGAGGATGGCTAAAATTAAGATAATGGAAGGAGTGGATACAGGAAATCAGAAGATTAACATAAACATCAAAGCTGGCTTCTGGGTGCTGCTTTTACTTACAGTACTGACATCTGTCTCCGGTGTATTCCGGCTGGCAGTGGCAGTAAGGCTGGTTTCCAGCAGTCACAATGCAGGTTCCTCCATTTTGACAAAAATCCTCACAGACTGTCTTACCACAGTTTGGCCCAGTGAAACCCAGTGCACAGCTGCAGGTGGGTCTCCCTATTGGAAACAATAAGTAATAAAAAGCAAATTATTCAACCAAAATAGTTTATTTTCAAGGAATTTTCATGGGATAAAAGTTGAGAAGCCAGGTTTCTGGTCAAGGTCTGTCCATGATTTACTCTGTGACTTTAGGCAGTAACAAGACTTCTTTGGGTCTCAGTTTTTCATATGTTCAAGGAAATCTAGGTTAGAAGATATCCAAGTTTCAATTCAGTAAAATAATCAAAGATCATTTTATGAATAATTAATTATACTTGCATGCATATATTGTTTGCTTAAAGTACTTCTTATTTTTACTTCTGTTCTCATATCAATTTGGCCCTTTCAATTATTTTTATTCTACTCATGTGATAATACAGATTATATTTTCATTAGAACCTAAAATACAATTTCACATTGTTCAAACATCATCTACCAACCACTGCTGAATCTACATAAAACATTAGATTACACATGTTATAAATAAATCTTGTAATAAGTTTAAAGTAGACATGTAATTTATAATAATTAAATTTAGTAACATTACTCTATTTGACTTAAATACACATACTGTGGTTAGTACATAAGTGCTAAATCTAATTTTGTCTAATTTTGATATTGTTATTCACAAGAGTGGACTGTACTTGAAGTCTAGTAAATAACAGGATGACTTAGAAGTTTAACATGAACAGCACATAAGACCAAATATGACAGATCATCTTTGACTATTTTTCTTTATTTACTCTGTGGGGACTAACATCAGGATGAAAGGTCAACAATCCTGTATGGTGTTTTGAACATAACACAGTTAACTCTTGTATATTAGGAATAAGTTTCTCTAACTGCTCAGACTGTCAAGGCCTGAGTACAAAATGAAATATGGAACTAGCTCTGTAGGAGAAGAGAAGGAGAAAGAAAACAAAATGAATGGATATCATTTAAATGGTAAAATAATAAATTTCAAAGTTTGCAAAAATGTAAAGAAACAACATGAAAGAGTATGAGAGAGACTTAGTTATAGATTTCAGTTAAGACTCAGACAATATCACTCAGTTGACTAGCAGTAGAGAATATTCAAGCCATCTTTCTCTTGTCTTTGTAGACCTAGAGAATATTCATGCCATTTCTCTGTCATCTTTGTAGACACAGAAGTGTAATTAAACTGATTAGAGAAATGCATGAGTGTAAATCTTACTAAGACTTAAGTGTGAAAATGATATAATTTTCTCTATCACTATAGATTCTACATTGAAGAAGTCTAAATCTTTTGAGAAACATTCCTCAGTGAATACAATGCTTACAAATAAAATTCATATACATTTTTAAGAAAATGAGTGAATTGAGGGTCCATAACTTATTAACTTTACTTTGAAAGGACTCTACATGCTCAAAAATGCTAGAGACTGATGCTCTAAATGAACAAAGTAATATACATTTTTATGGTGAGTAATATTTCTCTAAAACTTAGCATTTATGAATGTTATTAGTTTGGTGGCAGATAAATGCCTATTAATGGCCTGAGAAACAAGGTAAATTTTATATACGTTAAACGCTGAGTAATCTCATATTTTTTTGTTGCCAAAAAATGTTCACTAACTTTTAGTAGATATTTTCCTTAAAATGGCAATGCAATTTTCTAGTTGTTGTTGATATAGAAACACAGTATCTTCACTGGCACCTTAGTAGGTGAAAAACAAAGCTACAGGACAACAAAACAAATAATGGTAGTAAATGAAGAGGTTAATAATTGTTGGAACGTGATTAATGAAAAAAACAAGAGCCCAAAACAACAGAAGTAATTCTTCAATTACAGTCAATGGATACCTTACAGAGATATAGAACAAGTAAATAGCAATAAAAATTACCATGAGCAAAACAATGAAATAAACAGTGCGTAAAGTACAAAAACAAAGTACATTAGAACAATCTGAAAAGGTGCCACACAAACATATAATGTGATCACTGTGGATTCATTGTTTCCTATATGTGTTTTTCTTTTTTTTTGTTTACATTAGGGTTGGAAAAAGAAGTAAAATGATACAAGTGTGAAAGAAACAAACGGTACCTGCTGAGGTACTTGAAAATTCTTCTATCCCCATCACTCAAAGAAATGACACTGAGCTTTCATGGTTTTGTCTCATTTACAGCTGTTTTGAAACTACAGCAGAGTGACTAGGTTGTCCACAGCTAGCATATGTCTTAGATCATTCAGAGTGCAGCTGAATTATTTTAAAAGTTCTTATTTCTCTTTCTTTGAAGAGCAGATTTCTTTCTGACAAGTAGAAATCTTCATATTCAGGGGAATATTACCTAACAGAAATTATTTGGTGATACAGCTGATCTTTTGTTTTCTGATGGGAAATGAACTTTCTGTTGCAGAACTGTATAATGGGCCCTATTTGCTGTTTTCAAGAATCTCTCTAGGTGCACCCTAAGACGTTGGATTGGATTCATTTACAGAGATTTTTAGGTAGCAGAATTTGATTTTAATACTTGAAAAAGAAACAGTCCTGTTACAATGATTAAGGTATAGATTTATAGCAGCGATGCATCCAGGGAGCTGGGGAGTTGACAGCCTACAAGGGTAGCACAATATGAAAGAACATCAGTTGACATTAGGAAAGAAGGGGAGGCTCCATACCTTATGTTTCTGGGCTCTAAATCAGTCTAGTTTTGACAGTTTCCTTAGCTCAGACACTAAGAATAAGGTTTTCAGACTGCCTAGATTCATAGCCTATGAGTGTCAAGTACTGGTTGTAGGACCATGGGGAAATATGTGTTTGTATCCCTGTCTATAAAATCAACATAATAATACTGCCTACCTCATGGAGTTGTTTGGGAGAATCATGTAGAATAAATTAGATAACACATGTGAAGCATTTCTAGCTGTACCAGTCACATAGAAAGCACAGAGTTATATTTTAGCTCTGATTATTATTATCGTTATTGTTATTATTTCTATTGAGTGAGATTCACCTTTTTTAGGTAGGACTTATTCTGTGGTTATGTCTACCAAGGTACTTAACAGTTTAAGCAAATCATTCTGAAACTTTTATTAAATTTTATGTTTTATCTCTATTATTTATTTAAGATAAAATTAAATTTGAATTTACTTTTATGGTAGTGATGGGCTAGAGCTGAAATTCTCCATCAACTTTACTCTCAGGGTCTAACATTTTTAGACTTTGAAGAATGAGTCTTTCTTCCCCCTTTAGCTTCTAAATATGCTCGATTCTACCTTTCTAAAGGAAAGAACACACATACTACAACAGCAAACAAACCAAAAAGCAAATCTAATATCTGCCAAGTCCATCTATTTGTACAGATTTTAATTTTGGTACATCCTTGAGCTTCTTCAAAAGACAATCATACTCTCTTTCTTCCCCCTTTAGCTTCTAAACATGCTCAATTCTATCTTTCCAAAGGAAAGAACAAACATGCTACAACAGCAAACAAATCAAAGAGAAAATCTAATATCTTCCGAGTCTGTCTATTTGTACAAATTTTAATTTTGGTACATCCTTGAGCTTCTTCAAAAGGCAGTTATACTCTCTGCTCTCAATTTGATGAATGTGTGACAGAGTAAAATATTCAATCATAAAAATCACATTCCAATCCTTCACTGAAGGTACAGCTTTTTTTAATATAAAAAATTATGTATCTTAATATATTACTTTCTTTATGCTCTCAGAAAACAGGCCAGAATGCTCAATGTGAATGTATTCCTCATATAAACTGATTTTAATTATTTGGTGGTAAGAAAGGTTTAAGAATAATGTGTAGTGTTGCTTATATATATATACACATATATGTATATTTTCTGTAGTTTATAAATATTCTGTACTTTACATATATAAAGTACAGAAAAAATCAAAGTGCATTAGAATATGTATACTAATATATGAATATATATGCAATAGTGTGCATGTATGTGTATGTGTGTGTATATATACACATATACATATATATACATATATACATATACACATACCCTATTTCAAAACTCACCTCTAATCACTTCCTCACTGAATCCATTAATTACTTCTCAACCATTATCTTCTTCAAATTTTCTCTTTGATTACACAATGTTGGCTAATATCTCTAGCTGGAAGATCTTTCTCCAGTGGCTTCCGAAACACTAGCTTTATTGATTTCTCTTTTGTTTTCTGCCTGCCTTTTTGTACAATTGTCTTTATGTTTTCTCTTTCTCTCAAAAAGTGTTCTTCCAAACTTCTTTCTGGTGATATTACCCAATTTTATGGCTTAAATATTTATCTTTCTGTCTAAATGCCTCTGTCCCAATTTTCTGATTCTGGGCTCCTTCTTCTTCCTAAACTTCAGACCTTCAATTTTACTCCTTGTATGTTTCCATGTTGATGTCTCTGGACAGTTGGTAAGTTCATCGACTCTTCCCACTCCCTAAAAGAGTAAACTTTGTCCTCCATGGCATACATACTTTCACTAGACTATAGCTGCTTTTAGTGTTAGGTCTACTTCATATTCAAGTTGCACTCTGTTAGTTAGCAAAGTGCTTTGCTAGATAATTACTATGATGGTTCATTTCATGTGTCAACTAGCCTGGGCAAAGGGATGCCAAAGTAGCTGGTAAAATATTACTTCTGAGTGTGTCTGTAGAGGTGGTTGTGGAGGAGATTGGCATTGGAATCAGCAGACCAAGTAAGAAAGATATTTCCTCACCAGTGTGGGTGGGTATCATCCAATTAATTGAAGGCCCAAATAGAATAAAGGTGAAGGAAAGGTGAATTCTCTTTCTTGATCTGGGACATCCATCTTCTCCTGGCTGAGGACATCAGAGCTCCTGGTTCTTGAGCATTCAGACTCAAAGACTTACACCTGAATTGCTTCCTCCTCCCACCCAGTTGCTCAGGTCATTGCCCTTAGACTGAGAGTTACACAATTGGCTCCCTTAGTTCTCCGATTTTTAGATTTGGACTGAATCACATGACTGCCTTTGCTGGTCCTTGAGTGTGCAGACAGTATACCATTGAACTCCTCAGGCTCCATAAGCACATGTACCAATTCCAATTATAAATCTCCTTCATATATATATATATATATATATATATATATATATATATATGGACATACACACACACATATATATCGGTTCTTTTTCTTTGTATGATACAAATATATATGCATAAAATAAATGGAGATTAGTTTATTTATACAATTTTTCTTCATAGATAGAAATTCTTTACATATATCTTCTAAAATGTTCCAGCAATGGGTCATACCACAAAGTCATAAAAATAAACTCTTTTTTATTTGTTTGTTATTTATTTATTTATTTGAGATGGGGTCTCACTCTGTTGCCCAGGCTGGAGTGCAGTGGCACAGTCTTGGCTCACTGCAACCTCCGCCTCCCGGGTTCACGCAATTCTGCTGCCTCAGCCTCCTGAGTAGCTGGAACTACAGGCACCTGCCACGATGCCTGGCTATTTTTTTGTATTTTTAGTAGAGATGGGGTTTCATTATGTTGGCCAGGCTGGTCTCGAATTCCTGACATTGTGATCCTCCTACCTCAGCCTCCCAAAGTGCTGGGATTACAGGCGTGAGACACCACACCTAGCCCATAATAATAAACTCTTACAATTTAACTTGATAGCAAATAATAGCTAATGTCAAATATGGTGAAGATGTAATTAAAATCACTAATCTTCTATAAAAAATATTATTTTTTAATAAAAAATCTTTTTATTATACCTTAAATTCTAGGGTAGGTGTGCACAACATGCGGGTTTGTTACATAGGTATACATGTGCCATGTTGGTGTGCTGCACCCATTAACTCGTCATTTACATTAGGTATATCTCCTAATCCTATCCCTCCCCCCCTCCTCCCACCCAATGACAGGCCCCAGTGTATGATGTTCCCCTTCCTGTGCCCAAGTGTCCTCATTGTTCAATTCCCACCTATGAGTGAGAACGTGTGGTGTTTGGTTTTTTGTTCTTGTGATAGTTTGCTGAGAATGATGGTTTCCAGCTTCATCCATGTCCCTACAAAAGAAATGAACTCATCCTTTCTTATGGCTGCATAGTATTCCATAGTGTATATGTGCCACATTTTCTTAATCCAGTCTATCGTTGATGGACATTTGCGTTGGTTCCAAGTCTTTGCTATTGTGAATAGTTCCGTAATAAACGTACGTGTCCATGTGTCTTTACAGCAGCATGATTTATAATCCTTTGGGTATATACCCAGTAATGGGATGGCTGGGTCAAATGGTATTTTTAGTTATAGATCCTTGAGGAGTCGCCACACTGTCTGCCACAATGGTTGTTGATGGGACTGTAAACTGGTTCAGTGTAAAAGTGTTCCTATTCTCCACATCCTCTCCAGCACCTGTTGTTTCCTGACTTTTTAATGATCACCATTCTAACTAGTGTGAGATGGTATCTCACTGTGGTTTTGATTTGTATTTCTCTGATGGCCAGTGATGATGAGCATTTTTTCATGTGTCTGTTGGCTGCATAAATGTCTTCTTTTGAGAAGTGTCTGTTCATATCCTTCACCCAGTTTTTGATGGGATTGTTTTTTTCTTGTAAATTTGTTTGAGTTCTTTGTAGATTGTGGATTGTAGCACTTTGTCGGATGAGTAGATTGCAAAAATGTTCTCCCATTCTGTAGGTTGCCCGTTCACTCTGATGGTAGTTTCTTTTGCTGTGCAGAAGCTCTTGAGTTTAGTTAGATCCCGTTTGTCAATTCTGGCTTTTGTTGCCATTGCTTTTGGTGTTTTAGACATGAAGTTCTTGCCCATGCCTATGTCCTGAATGGTATTGCCTAGGTTTTCTTCTAGGGTTTTTATGGTTTTAGGTCTAACGTTTAAGTCTTTAATCCATCTTGAATTAATTTTTGTATAAGGTGTAAAGAAGTGATCCAGTTTCCACTTTCAACATATGGCTAGTCAGTTTTCCCAGCACCATTTATTAAATAGGGAATCCTTTCCCCATTTCTTGTTTTTGTCAGGTTTGTCAGAGATCAGATGATTGTAGATGTGTGGTATTATTTCTGAGGGCTCTGTTCTGTTCCATTGGTCTATATCTCTGTTTTGGTGCCTGTATCATGCTGTTTTGGTTACTGTAGCCTTGTAGTATAGTTTGAAGTCAGGTAGTGTGATGCCTCCAGCTTTGTTCTTTTGGCTTAGGATTGCCTTGGCAATGTGGGCTCTTTTTTGGTTCCATATGAACTTTAAAGTAGTTTTCTCCAATTCTGTGAAGAAAGTCATTGTTAGCTTAATGGGGATGGCATTAAATCTATAAATTACCTTGGGCAGTATGGCCATTTTCACGATACTGATTCTTCCTATCCATGAGCATGGAAATTTCTTCCATTTGTTTGTGTCCTCTTTTATTTTGTTGAGCAGTGGTTTGTATTTCTCCTTGAAGAGGTTCTTCACATCCCTTGTAAGTTGGATTCCTAGGTATTTTATTCTCTTTGAAGCAATTGTGAATGGGAGTTCACTCATGATTTGGCTCTCTGTCTGTTATTGCTGTATAGGAATGCTTGTGATTTTTGCACATTGATTTTGTATCCTGAGACTTTGCTGAAGTTGCTTATTAGCTTAAGGGGATTTTGGGCTGAGAAAATGGGGTTTTCTAAATATGCAATCATGTTATCTGCAAACAGGGACAATTTGACTTCCTCTTTTCCTAATTGAATACCCTTTATTTCTTTCTCCTGCCTGATTGCCCTGGCCAGAACTTGCAACACTATGTTGAATAGGAGTGGTGAGAGAGGGCATCCCTGTCTTGTGCCGGTTTTCAAAGGGAATGCTTCTAGTTTTTGTCCATTCAGTATGATATTGGCTGTGGGTTTGTCATAAATAGCTCTTATTATTTTGAGATATGTCCCATCAATACCTAATTTATTGAGAGTTTTTAGCATGAAGGGCTGTTGAATTTTGTCAAAGGCCTTTTCTGCATCTATTGAGATAACCATGTGGTTTTTGTCTTTGGTTCTGTTTATATGCTGGATTACATTTATTGATTTGCGTATGTTAAACCAGCCTTGCATCCCAGGGATGAAGCCCACTTGATCATGGTGGATAAGCTTTTTGATGTGCTGCTGGATTTGGTTTGCCAGTATTTTATTCAGGATTTTTGCATCGATATTCATCAGGTATATTGGTCTAACATTCTCTTTTTTTGTTGTGTCTCTGCCAGGCTTTGGTATCAGGATGATGCTGGCCTCATAAAATGAGTTAGGGAGGATTCCCTCTTTTTCTATTGATTGGAATAGTTTCAGAAGGAATAGTACCAGCTCCTCCTTGTACTTCCGGTAGAATTTGGCTGTGAATCTGTCTGGTCCTGTACTTTTTTTGGTTGGTAGGCTTTTAATTATTGCCTCAATTTCAGAGCCTGTTATTGGTCTATTCAGGGATTCAACTTCTTCCTGGTTTAGTCTTGGGAGGGTGTAAGTGTCCAGGAATTTATCCATTTCTTCTAGATTTTCTAGTTTATTTGCATAGAGGTGTTTATAGTATTCTCTGATGGTAGTTTGTATTTCTGTGGGATCGGTGGTGATATCCCCTTTATTGTTTTTTATTGTGTCTATTTGATTCTTCTCTCTTTCTATCTTTATTAGTCTTGCTAGCAGTCTATCAATTTTGTTGATCTGTTCAAAAAAACAGCTCCTGGATTCATTGATTTTTTTTTTAAGGGTTTTTTGTGCCTCTATCTCCTTCAGCTCTGCTCTGATCTCAGTTATTTCTTGCCTTCTGCTAGCTTTTGAATGTGTTTGCTCTTGCTTCTCTAGTTCTTTTAATTGTGATGTTAGGGTGTCAATTTTAGATCTTTCCTGCTTTCTCTTGTGGGCATTTAGTGCTATAAATTTCCCTCTACACACTGCTTTAAATGCGTCCCAGAGATTCTGGTATGTTGTGTCTTTGTTCTCATTGGTTCCAAAGAACATTTTTATTTCTGCTTTCATTTCGTTATGTACCCAGTAGTCATTCAGGAGCAATAGTAAATATTATTAAGGTCTATATTTTATTTAAATATTGTATTGCTTATAAGAAAAATGGAAATGTCTTGGAATCTCATAGAGTTTTTTAAATTTCACTTATATCACATGTCCCTTACATAGCAAAATCTGTCTCAGTAAAAATGGCTGAATATAAAATATTTCACCACTAATATTTAAAGGAACAATATCAATTTGGTGCAGTGTTAAATAATTTGTTTTTGGTATTAGAGAGAACTTGGAATAAAGTCACGTTTGATATTTAAATTGTGTAACTTTAGAAAACATAGATTTCCTCCCTACATCACATTCTGTAAACAGCAATAGCAAAACCTATTGTGTACAGGTAAAACACATGGCACAATGCCTGCCACATAGCCAGTCCACAGTAACTGGAAGTTTTACTATTAGTAGAAATATTGGCATTATTACTACTATTAATATTACTATTGTTAAACAAATTATCTATGCTTAGGCTATTAAACTTGACTGAGTATATGCCCTTGCTAAGAAGCTTCATATAAAATCCTATTGCTCATTTTTTTCTTGATTTTATACTTTTGGACATAAGATGCTCCTAAGAATTCATATATATCAGTTGAAATAATATATTTTTAAGTATATAACAATAGAATATTTTCTATTATATGGATAAATAACTGCATGGATATTGTAAAGATTTATCCTTAGTTCCCATTAAAGGAGCATTAAATTTATATGATTTGGTTACATTGTACCTCCAGTAAATGGACCTATTTAACTGTGTGTCACCTTCAGTAATATAGTCATAGTCAGCTATTTCTTTGATATGGGCAGATAGTGTTGATTTTCAGTGATAATAAGTAATGTATTAGAGCACTTAATTTGGAATAATCAAAGTTCTCAGATTCTGGTCTTAATACTTAACCAATCTAGATCACATCTGAAAAATGCCACAATGTAAACATCATAGAGTAATAAAAATTAAGTAACATATCTAAGGACTTTAGCAGAATTCTTATTTATAGAGCATTCACAATATAGCAATTGCTACATTAAAGATAATAATTTCCAAAATAGTATACTATGCTCAATATAGAAATTACTACCTATTTGCTAATAATTTTAGAGTAAAATTTGTTGGGATACTTATTGTCAAGTAATATATCAATCACTATTGACACCCATTTTCTCAAAAGCAATATACTTTCATTTGAATATTGTAGAGGTATTTGATGTTGATATTTTTCAATAACTTACTGCAAACCTGGTGAGTGTCTGTCTTTAAAAGCTAGATTTATTTGATAAACTGTTCTTAAACTGATTATGGAAACATTATTTATTGATATAATTTAATGACTATTTAATGTCAAAGTATGTAAAAAACCCTCTCTAATATTGGACAGTTATGTTATGATTTATTTTCCTCTATCTACACAACGCTTGAACAAGTATGGCTGATTGCCAAAAAGGAATGCTAGCAAAAGTAATTCCTTCTGAGCTTTCTGTGACATAGTGACCGATTATTATTTCTGTGCCGTAGATACATGCTACTGAGCATTATTAGTCTGCTCTCTTTTTAAGTCAATTTTTAATTCATACTCATTTGTCTATGTGAACCATGACGCTTACCCCCATTTAGCTTGGTCCTGGTTGAGTCAGTCTGGTGCTTTCAAATTTTTGTCTTTGAGTATGATGTTTTATACCTAACTAGTTTTATGTATATCTAACTAGTTTTATGTATATCTAACTAGTTTTATGTATATACATGATTTTTTAGTTCAGTTGGTCTAATAAAAACATTGAGTGTAAGGAATAGCAGTATTTAAGTGACACTTAAACTGCAGAGCATAGTTATAAATGTTTATATTTAATGCCCTTCTATGAAAATACTATCAAAATATGACATAATACTTACTCAAAACATTTCTACTATTTGGACAGTAGCCACATTCCTGTCCCTTTATATAGCACAGACATCATAAACTGAGACAAAGTACCACTGTGTCATCCAGTTAGTTACAGGATTGCAATAGAAAAGCCTATCTCCTGACCTCTTGTCCCTAAGACTACTGTCCTTTGTGAATCTGTCTTGACTTCAGACTTTGATTCAAGTAATAAAAGTTCTGAATGCTTTAAAAAAATGCTAGTCTTTTCAATAAGGAGATTTGACATTCTACTTTTCTACTTAATGTAATGTTTTCCTGGATTTAAAGTGAGTGTCCACTTATAAATAATTTTAGCAAGGTGACTATAGCTGTCAGGTTTTCTTAAGCATAAAAAAGATTATACAGAACTATTCAGCAAAGCCTGACAAAGAAAAAGAAGAATTGTGAGCTTTATCTAGCTCCCTCCCAGGTACTTCTTAATATATTCTGATATGCTTCAAATTATAGGTCACAATTTATTTATACTTCTATATACTTCTAGAAGGTTTATTTTCAGCCAGCATTGTGGAAATAAGATTGAAGCATTTTTGTCTTTTCTGTGAATATAAGTAAGCTAACTTAAGCCTTCTAACATTAGCCCAGAGAGCCGTAAGATTGAATAGTCTGGTATTGCTCTCACCATATGGTCCAATCGAATCACTAACTGTGACTCATGAAGCCAGCAGCAAAATTCGACAGACTCTTACCTTTATTCTCTCACAGGTATCTTATGAAGATTCAAAGGGAGAGAACAGTGTCTGGCACTTAGTAAGCAACCAGTAAAAATAATTATCATGATCCTGACAATATTTTAATTTCTAATAATAGTTTCTAATATAATTATTGTTGCTATTTTAATTTTCAATGAAAACAATAATACATGTTAATAGTGGCATATCTGGAAAATACAAAAGTATAAAGAAAGATCTATTTCTTTATACAGATATTTTATGTATACATAATTTCCCTACTAGGCTCATATTATACAGCAGTTGTATATCCTGTTCTTTTTGAATTTCAATTTTATCTCCAATTTCGTAATACTACAAATAACACAATCAAATGTTCTCACTTCTAAATTTTGTTTTTTTATTACTACATAATCCTTGGGACATATTTCAAAAAGTGTTCATATTTAGTCAAAGGGCATTGACAACTTTTTAAACTCTTGCTGAGTGTTTCAAAATTGCTTGCTGCAAAGTTTGCATCATCAACATTTTCTTCTGGTAGTGATTTGTAAATGCTGGTTTCATCCATGTCTGACTGGGCTCCTCCTCTGCTTTCTGCTCCCCAAACTCCTGCATATATGTATGAGACTTATCTTTTGCCACTTTCTTATTATGCTTTCTGTGTTTTTTCTACTTGCTTTGTTGGAGTTATAATTTCCTATATCACATACTTGTTAAATTATATTCTCTATTTTGTGTTTTCAATTTTAACATCATTAATTATTTACCTGAAAATGATCATACTGTCTAACACAATCTACAGATTCAATGCAATTTCTATCAAAATACCAATGCCATTTTTCCCAGAATTAGAAAAAGCAATCCTAAAATTCATACGGAACCAAAAAAAAAAAAAAGGCCTGAATAGCCAAAGTAATTATAAGCAAAAAGAAACAGGAGGCATTACATTACCTGACTTCAAATTATACCACAAGTCTATAATAACCAAAAGAGCATGGTTCTGGTATAAAAATAGATACATGGATCAATGGAACAGACTAGAGAACCCAGGAATAAAGCTACATGCTTATGGCCAACTGATCTTTGACAAAATTAACAGAAATATACAATGTGGAAAGGACATCCTATTCAATAAATGGTCCTGGGAAAATTGGATTGCCACATGCAGAAGAATGAAATTAGAGCCCTAACTCTCACCATATACAAAAACAAACTCAAGTTGAATTTAAAATTTAAATGTAAGAACTGAAACTATAAAAAATGCTAGAAGAAAACCTAGGAAAAACTTTCCAGGACACTGGCCTAGGCAAAAAATTTATAACTAAAACTTCAAAAGCAAATGCATCATAAACAAAAGTAGATAAATGGGACTTAATTAGACTAAAACACTTCTGCATAGCAAAATAAATAATCACAAGAGAAATATAAATAAAAATCACAATGAAATGCCATCTTACATCAGTTAGAATGGCTACTATTAAAAAGCCAAAAATAACAGATGGCAAGGATGTAGAGACAAGGGAACACTTATACGCTGTTGGTGGGAATGTAAATTAGTATAGCCTCTATGGAAAACAGTATGGAGATTTCTCAGATAGCTAAAAATAAAACTACCATTTGATACAGCAATCCCACTACTGAGTATATTCACCTAATGGGAAAAAAATATCATTATATCAAAAACATATGGCACGTGTATGTTTATAACAGCAATATTCACAACAGGAAAAATATGCAGTCAACCTACGTGTTCAGCGAATGACTGACTGGATAAAGAAAACGTGGCATACACACACACTATGGGATACTACTTCGCCATAGAAAAAAATAAAATCATGTTTTTTGTAGTAACATGGATGAAACTGAAGGCCATTATCTTGAGCAAAACATCTCAGAAAGTCTATTACCACCTGTTCTTACTTATAAATAGGAGCCAAATCATGTGTACACGTAGACATGTTGTGGAATAATAGACATTGGAGAAGTGGAAGGGTGGGAGGAGGGTAAAGGATAAGAAATTACTTAATGGGTAAAATGTACACTATTCAGCTAATGGTTACACTAACAGTCCAGACTTCACCACTACACAATATATCCATGTAACAAAACTGCACTTGTATTCCCTAAATTTACACAAATAAAAAAAGCCCAAAAAAGGCAAGTAGAACCAAATATCCAGTTTTCAGCATTCCCTAAATATAATTAATTAACCTATGTTAAGGGAGCTAGGATGCAAAGATTGATTTAAATATCTTCATTTAAATGAGAAGTCAAAGAAAAGCAAAGATGGGCAGTTTAAATGAATGTTCACTCTTTAAGATATCAGTTAGGTGACTGTGGATTTTATGCCCCACGTACATATGTGACTTGATATCCTTTACTACATATGTTTTGTCATTAGTTTCATAATGTTCTGAAGTTATCCAAAAATTCTGGTTTAACTTGACTTTGAGCAATTCTACCATCTGATGTGGGGACAGTTACCAAGACAGAAAACCCTTGAATGAATGAGAAGGAATGCTCTTTACTTCCGGGGGAAAAAAAATCCTTCACTGCCAAAGTCCTCAGATGTGGTGGCAGAGAGAGCTACAATGACAGCTTCTGCCTTCTTGTTGTGGTATTCACTTAAAATATTCAATTCAAATGTGTGCCCACCATATCCCAAATTGCACTTTCACTTCTTAACCTAGCTAGCTGTGCTTTTGCATATTTACAAACTCCCAAAGTAACATCTACTTCCCCTCAGCATAACTCCAAACTTTAGGAGTAGAAGAAAGTAATTGGGAATGTTGTCTCAAAAGTACAAACCCTCTAGTTCCATTCCTCTAAATCAACTGGGTAGGAAAGTTTGACTCACTTTGATATAAACATTAAAAGACTAAATAACAGACCTATAGCAGTACAAAAATACCAAACATCATGAATATACTATAGAGAATAAATGTTCATAAAAGTAAAGATTAAGTGTAAATATAGCTGTTAACAGCAAAAATGTCTTAATGATATCTATGATGCATAAAATCTTTCAAAAATTTTCTCTATTTTTCAATAACAAATGCTTAATACTATGCTTTACTCTGATTTCAATTATTTTGTCAAAAGCAAATTTCATCTTAAATCTATCCTCCTATGAGCAGGTCATAAAAATGGCCTACATGAATCCTTATTGATATAATCAATATCAAAATATTTCATTTTTAGTATCTTTTTGTATGAATATAGCTCATACATTTAATTTTTAGTGTTCATTATTACAAACAGTAACCTTAAGGAATGAGAAAAACTCATTCCTACATGTAAAATTTTAATTATGCCTCAACGATGTGTACTTTTAATTAGTGACATTTCTTTTGTTCAATTATTATTGTCCTATACAACTGTCATAAACTTATAAATTATAATTAAGCCTGCCCCAAACCCTAGTTATATAGTGTCCACACAGGAATTTGCCAAAAGGCTTAACTGTAAGTAAACCAACAATGAATAAATCCATGAATTGCTCACTGGGATTTGTTTAACCAATTAACATTTGTGTGGAGATAATGAGGTTCTACAGTCTAAAATACCAAACAATGTTTTTATAAAACCACATTTTAAAAGTGAAAAATGCTTTTTAAGTGACTTAATTACATATCATATAATTATTATTAGATGCTATAAAATAAACTGCATGTCTGTATCTCATATTGAATCCATATGAGAACTAATTTACATTACTAATGAGAACTAATTTATATTATTTAAAAATATTTTTCTTGAACATTTTATGTAAATCAGGATACAATTGTGTGCACAGACAAAATCGAACTACAGATTTTGAGCATGCATTAAAGTTTAGACAAATGATTTGAACAAAACATTAAAAGTTGTGCTGTATCTATATACAACTCAGGATGCATCAAGACAGCAAATTCAATGTTTTGTAGAGATTTATCCCTGAGATGCATTGCAGGTTCAATAGGCAGCAATAGTTTGGAATTCCAAATTGTTTACTTGGCCTAAATATTTCTAAATATAAATATAGATAAATCATCCAGCTATAACACCATGGTTTTCATTATCTCAATGAGAAAATTAAGTTACTAATTAAATAATAAAATTTCCAAACAATTAATTTTTTATGAGAAAAACTTTTTCCCTAAAGGAGATATTATGTGTGTTAATAAAATACACACACGTATTCCTTGAACCTGAATTCTTATTTGTATATTCAATAAAGGACACAGTACTACAATTTTTTCTGTAGTAACAGAATATACTTTATGAACTAGCCTCCCTTAACAGAATAAAAATATGTGGTAAGACTCCTATTGCCGTTTATATTTCAATCTAATCAAACTCCTGATTTTTTCAGAATGCTATTAAGTAATTAGAATAATTTCATTATGAATTAATAAGAAAATATTTATAGACATAAAATTATCTAACTTTTCCTATTAGAGTGCATTTCAGAAACAGCTTGATTTTTCAGATCCACACTGAAAATTCTTCATATAATTCTTTCAGTTAGCACTATATTAAATACTTCAAAACACAGCATAAACAATAGAAGCAGTGAGAACTCCCACTAAGATAGAAATTAACCATGTAGGGGAATGTGAAAATAATATAGAATTTTCCATTTGACTAAATTTGCATTTATGGTAGTAACATTAAGTGCTCATAGATTGCACTATAATAGTTGCATAATATCCCTTGCACTAAATATTGGAATTTGCAAATTAGATTTTTATTATGCATTGGGGTTATTTTTTCCTCATGGGACACATTTTAAATTTAATACAAGTCAGTAGAAGAATATGTTTCTATGTTCATTTATGTGCTGTACAGAACACTTTCTGCAAGCATAGCTATTGCATAAATTAATAATAATCTCAAATATATCCTAAGATGTAGAAACCTTGTATTTCCAAAGCACATTATATGATACAGTGTGATGCCAAAAGAATAGATACAATTTTAGATGGGAATCAGGATGCTATCAGATTCTCTGTTACAGTTTATTTACATTTAAAATAATCCTAATTTTCAATAACAATTGATTTTTAGCATTAGGAAAACTACGTGCAACAACAAAAACAAAACATAAACTTTGGGGTCAAACATAGTAAGCTTGGAAAATTGGCTCTACTAATCATTCTGAGCCAGGGGCAAATTATCTATAAACACTGAGCCTGTCACATGGTACATACTCAACCCAGAGTAATTGTTAAATTTTTGGCTTGAACTTTTATATACTGAATTTAGAACAAATGCCATTGATTTAATTTTGTGTTATTATATTGTGTTAGTCTATTGTTCATTAAGATATTAGGAAGTATATTTGTAACATTAAGCATTTTCGATTCATATATAAGGAAAAGTGAAAAAGATGTGAAATACAATGACAATGAAATATTTACCTAGAACTGATGGTACGCAAGTTCCTCCATTCTGGCAGTAGTTGCTACAGTGGTTGACTTCACATCTTTCTCCTGAATAACTGGGCCAACAGTGACACCTCAAATCACCTTTCTCATTTAAAATGCATCTTCCTCCATTTTCACAAGTTAACTTACATGAATCATCTGTTTATGAGAAGAAATGTACAAATTAGCATGTTTTCAGGGAGTAATTTAATAAAATAATTCAAATAGATACAATATTTAAATACTAGGATCTTGTGTTTCCATAAAATAATTAACCCCAAGTACAAAAGAAGAAAAAATTAAATACTATCTGAAAACAGATAGATTCTGGTTGTTGAATGGTAAATATACATATTAAATTAATGTGTATTCTTCTTTAAATTTAAAGCATTATTAACCTTTTCTTGTATTTGTAAAATACTGAATAGTAAAACTAACTGAAACTTTCTAAAAGTAATATATTTTCATCTTATTTCTTTTTTATTTTACTGAGACAGGGTCTTGCTCTGTCACCCAGACTGGTGGGCAGTGGCATGATCACAGCTCACTGCAGCCTCAACTTCCTGGGCTCCAGTGATCCTCCCACCTCCACTTTCCAAGTAGCTGGGACTATATTGTGCACCACCACACGTGGCCAATTTTTAAATTTTTTGTAGAGACAGGTTCTCACTGTGTTGCCTAGGCTTCTAAAAGTATTATATTTTCCAACCAAGAAATCTTCCTTATAATATGGACAAACATAGCTTATTTTTAGGAGTAGTTGCTATTAAAAAAGAAAACTTTAAATTTGTAAGATACATTTATAGCATATGCACACACATACACACACTATTTGTTCTATAGCCTATGCGTGTGTGAATATACATAGTATAGAGAAATGTTTACATGAAGAGAGACTCTTTGATGTTGGTCCTTATTAACCATATATAAATCTCCCAAACTAAAAGTCATTGAGATTTGGTACAAGTTGGTGACAGAACAGTGTCAGAAACATTTCTGTGTGTAACATTTATCCTAAATGATTCCGTAGAGTCTACCTACTTAATAACATTTTGACTCAGAATAAAAAAGGTTGGACATTCCTTGGGGTAGCAAAATTATTTTTAACAATATGGCAAGTATAATTTATGATAAAGATAGGTTTGGAATCATTTTCTAGGTTATTTTGCTGTGCATATTGGCATGGCCTTCTCCGTTAGAAATGCTGCTTTGCTGTGAGCAACATAGAGTGTTCAATGGAACAAAACTGATTGAGAAAGTTGTAATAAGCATTCTATTCTAGAATATGCCCTTTACTATAGTAATGTCCATTTTATAGTTAAAGTAGGTAAAATCAAAACAATTTATGATCCTTTTTCAAGATGCACTGGCACATACATGACAGAAGCTTGAATATATCACTGCAATGATTTCAAGAGCATCTTTAAGCACCTCAGTGGCTTCAAATGACACAATGATTCAAGTATCATGTCCACTGTCATAAATAGAAACTGTCAGCAGTGCCATACAATTCTGAGACTTGCCTCATTGAAAAGTTTCTAATACATTGTCATGTAGGCAGGATTCAGATTGGCATTACTGAAGTTTGTATTTGTAATATGAATAACTCTCTCATGACGTAATAGAAATATAAAAAATTACAGTGGTATAATGAGACCCGTGTAGGTCCTGGTTCTGCCGCTTACTAGGCATACAAGTTACCTGATTTGAGCCTCAGTTACTTCACTTTAAAATGTCCTTAATGACAAATACACAAGTTAACTCAGGTTTGTATGACTAGTAAATAAGAAATGGGAAAAAAAATATAAAATATAAAATTGTAACACTTTGTAAATATTAAGTACATAAGTGTTAAGTATGTACCATACACACATATACACAAATGAAAATTTGACTTCAGCCCTTATCGACTGTATCTAGACTAGGAGAAAGATGAAGCGCTGACAGTTGGGTCTCCAAAGTGTACTGTAAAATTTCAACAGGCGATTGATATGTTCATTTGTTAAAGTAAGCAAGTAGCATTCTTATTCAGCATTATCGACCGAGTGCCCAGAAGGTTTACAGAGGATGGAGCTCCGGCGGAATACCATCTAGGCAGACCTATGGGTGAGCACTGGAGGAAATGAATGAAAGTTACTGTGAGTGGACATGAATGAAAGTCACTGTAAGCGGACCTGGATTGGAGAGGGTAAAGAAAGGAATTACAATAGGTAAGTGATTTTGAAGAAAGAAGCAGTAAGAGAAGATCCATGGATTTTAGACTCCACCCCAAAGGTAATGTGGTGTCTTGGAAGGGTAATGTACTGGCAGGGGTTAAAATGGCAGCTTAAAAAAGCAGGGAGACTCTCAGAACTTCGTATACATTATCCAGGATAGGTAAGATGATGACCCAAAATAGAGTAATGTGGGATGAATAAATGTGGATGTATTCTAAAGGTCATTCAGAGGTAAAAATCACAGCAGTGTTATGTAAAGAAAAATGAGGAAAAATTAAGGATGATTCTTCAGTTTCTGACCAGGACAATTAGGTGGGAACACAAGGATGATGGGAAATGGAGGGGTAGTTTTGAGGTGGCATACTAAATTGAAGATGCCCTTGCAAATGTAAGTGGGAATCTCCAGCAAATAATTGAATACAGAGATCAAACTCTCAAGAAATACGCAGAGTGGAAATATGCTTGTTTAATTTAAAATTTACCAAAGCATTTCTAACTCAGTCAACGTTATTTGTCCTAATAAAGGTTGTGGATGTGGACAGTGAAGATAAGCACTTAAGGCATTATGATCATAGATAGGATTATTATGGGGTACTCATTTTTACCTGTCAGTTCTATGAAAACCACAAGGATTTTCAAAATCCTTACATGTTAGGGCATGCGCGTTACTATAACGTGCCTCATTAGGCACCAGAAATTTTAAAGTACAACACTGCCTGATGAAATGGAAGTGGAGTTACATTCTTGCAAAACTCATAATAATGGTTCTATAATGAAAAAGAAAGCTGCTTTTGTCAATAACTAAATCACCCCCAGAAGCCAACCTCCAGCAATTATAATCAACTATAGGAAAAAGCAGGTGAACACTTCCCCAAGAATGAGTAATATTTGAATTTCAAATTTCTTACACAAAGATTAAAAATGTTCAGGGTGCTCATCAGTTAACAATAGCAGCCAGAGGTAGGCAAATAATTATAAAGAAATGAAAAGCTTGGCTATAGCAAATGTTAATGTCAGAAAAAAAATAACTAGCATTTATCTTCAGCAATCAATAATTCTGAAATCCACTCATTTATGTTCCAACTAAAATGGTCCAAACTGTTTATTTTTCAAGACCTATATGTGTAAAGGCTAATTTGAGTGTTGTTATCACTTTGATTAAATGTAAGATTTTCTCTTACATTACAAGAATGGGCTTTGAGGTTTCTGAAATCATGCCTTTTAAGCAGGGTTGAAAGAGCAAAACACATCTCCAAAAAAAGTTTTAGATCGTGGATAAGTGTGCATGTAAATAAGCAAGATTCCTTCTTTCAAGCATAAAATGATACAATTTGGTGACTTAATGCAGCCAAAAACTTGTTTCATTTTCTTACCTACCTCAAAGTGACATATTGATTTTAAAGGGCTATGTGTCTACTTTTTGCAAGGTATTGTGCTAGCCCTTCTATGCACGTTATTGCTAGAATTTCCAATAACTCTGGAAGCTAGAATTTCCAATAACTCTGGAAATGGGTACTCTGGGTGACACAGAGATACTGGGATGTATTGTGTGACGATTAACAGAGTGGACCACCTACATTCACCCTGGGGTGCCACCATTTACTAAGTAATGTTAGACAATCAAATGAGCTTCTAATGCTTCCATTTTATCTGTAAAATAGGAGAAATTACTAGATAATAAAATCTGAAGATTAAATAAATTCATATATGTCTACAAACATACATAGAATTTGCTTTCCTCATAGGTTTTCAAAATATTTAGTATTATTACTAATGTCAGTGGTAGTAATATTAGTAGTATTTATTGTTAATTTGATGTTATATAGAATAAACTGAGACCAAGGGACGCAGGTATAGAGTCCAAGCACAACAAAGTTATTTAAGTGGTAGACTTCGGCCTAATCTAAAGCTTCATCTCAGCCCTGTACTAGGTCATGTCCTTGCAGGGTATTCATAGAGTTTAGTTTTGGACACATAATTTGGACCAAACAAAGAGGAAAGGAGGAGGATTATGTAGAAGAGGTTGTGGAAACATGGGATTACACAGAAGAGGATTACATAAAAGAGGAAAGGAAAACCACCAAAAACTGTCTGAAACTTGACTCTAAACAATACTTGTAACATCAGAGCCAATGTAAAAGTCACTTGGTAGCATTATTAGTTTATTTCTGTGCATTATCCTAATCTCTCTCCTAAATGCCTCTCTCACCCAAATTTTCTAAGTAGATACAGTACAGAGGAGGCACCTGTGAGGGCAATGGGTGAGGGATTATGTGGAACTGCTGAAGGTATGACATTTCTACAGAAAAGTTGTCGACAGTTAAAGGATCTGTTTCTGAGAGGTTAAGTGGAATATAACACAGGAACAGAAAACCAAATACCACATGTTCTCACTTATTAGTGGGAGCTAAATGATGAGAATGCATGGATACACAAGAGAAACAACACACACTGCGGCCTTTTGGAGGGTGAAGGGTGGGAGGAGGGAGAGGATTGGGAAAAATAACTAATGGATACTAGGCTTAATACCTAGGTGATACTTTGCAGAGTTTACCTCTATGACGCAGGCAGAACAGCTTTTGAGAACGTGGTACTAACAATATTTGGAAATGTTCACTTGATTCTCTTATTCCCCTATCACAGTTGAGATAACAGCTACTCTGACTGGGAGAATGGATAAAGGGGAAGGGAGCATCCCAGTGCCATGATGGCATCCCTTTTCAATAATTGGCACCAAAATGCCCGTCCAAAATACCAATCATGATTCACACTTAGCTCTCTGTTACAAATTTTCCAACCTTATTACCCAAAACAGGGCTTCACACTTCTACACACTAACTAAAATGAATGACTTATTATTTCCTTTACCCACCATATTTCCATACTTCTCAGACAGCTTTTCTGTCTTAGTGTCCTCCTCCCTCCTTCCATTTAATCTAAATCCAATCTGCCTTTGCAGACCTTGTTTAAATGTCATATCCTATAGGAAATTCTGACTGATCCCCTATTTGAATAATAATCTGAATTCTCCTAATAGTTTTAACTCTGTCTCTTCTGTGGCTTGTGTCACTGGCCACATAAACATCTATTTATTGGTGCTTATCTTATTCATCAATTCATCTTTTCAAACGCTTCGGCTCTGCATATCAAATGCTTAAAGAATATAAAATGAAAGTACTACAATAGTTTTAGACACTGAGTGCCTTATAAAGAGCACAAGTCTTCAAATTGGATGTAACCTTCAGCAGAGAACAAAGAGAAAAATCATGCAGAGGTGGAGATGCTGACTGTGAGGGTAAGGACCCAGAGTCCACGTGAGGAGTGCATTCTAGCAGAGGGAAATACAACAGGTAACAAACCCTGCCATGAATAATGTCTGTACCTCATTGGAAAATGTTTGCTGTGATCCTCCAGTGATTTTGGAGCGCTACATTTTTTTTTTTTCCTTTTTGTGGAGAATGGGTACTTGCTATGTTGCCCAGGCAGGTCTCGAACCCCTGGGTTCAAGCTGTCCTCTGGTCTCTGCCTCCTTAAGTGCTGTGATTACAGGTGTGAGCCACCACGCCTGGCAAGAACACTGCCTTTGTGTCTGTGACATAAAATTTAGTATGTGTGGGGGTTCATGCCTGTAATCCCAGCACTCTGGGGGGCTTAGGCAGGCGGATCACCTGAGGTCAGGAGTTCGAGATCAGGCTGGCCAACATGGCAATATCCCATCTCTACTAAAAATACACACACACACACACAAAATTATCCAGGCATAGTGACACATACCTGTAGTCCCAGCTACTTGGGAGGCTGAGGCAGGAGAATTGCTTGAACCCAGGAGGTAGAGGTTGCAGTGAGCCGAGATCATGCCACTGCACTCCAGCCTGGGTGACAGCAACACTCTGTCTCAGTAAGAATGAATGAATAAAATTAAAATAATTTTTAAAAGTATTATGTGTGGATTTTCTTTTAGTAACAATATTTTCCCCATTATACCTAATGTCTTGAATATGAGGTAACTTATTTATTGTCAGTCTAGCTGGATATTCAAGAGACATATTTTCTTTCCTTGTGCTACCATACTGTTTTGTGTTTTTTTTATTTTTTGTTATTTAATATTTAGCATCTGAAGTAATGTTTCAATTTTTATTGATTATTCCAGCTTCTAGCTTCTGAAATACAAACTGCATGAATGAAAAAAATCTTATCCATTTTGTTTCTGTTAGTTTTTAGTTTTTACATTAGTGTTATGCCTTCCTTCATCAGCCCTCATAATTATTATGATAATTATCATAATTATCAAAGAATAATTATTATTATTCTTTGTGGTAATAGCAGTAGTAGTAGTATTGTAAGTCCCATTTTACAGAGAAGAAGCTAAAATTTGGTTTCTAAATTAATTCTCAATTTCTAAGTTAGTGTTTGGCACACAAGAGGTAATCAATAGAAATGTATTGAATAAATAAATGGATTTTGGGGCTGAGTTGAAACCCATAGCAGAATGTTCTCAAAAAATATTGTTTTATCTAATAGAAGAGTTATAAAAAAAATCTCTTTTGGGTCTGTGAGTGACTTCAAAGTTCTCGATCTGTTGTTAAGTGCCTGTAAATGTTCAATGCTGCTTTGTGAATAAATGCAGAATGAATTGTTTGAAAGTCTTCTCCAGAGAAAAGTACAGTTTACACAGGCATTCAAGAACCACTGCTATCAAGGTAGCTAAACTGATGATGGAACAGATAATTTCACTCCATTTCACGAGGTGTGAAATTTTATGATAAGGATTAATTCATTATTTACAGAATAATAAAGTATACCCACCTAACAGGCTGTCATCATTGCAGGTGCCATTAATCAAATATTTTCCTTCTGGACACACACAAGTGGCCCCAGAAGGATTTAGCAAGCAAAGAAATTCGCATGCTAAATCCAAGCATGGATTGGGTACTGGTGAAACAAAAGAAAACAAAGAAGTGTGTAAATATAGATACAATAGGCTTCAAAAGCATAAAATTAAATAAGGCGAAATGATTAATTAGCAATGTTGAAAAGTAATCACATTAAATTTCCACTGATGTGGAGTATCTCACTCAATATCATCATTCTCCTTTATAGGTGAAGAAAAATTACCCAATGCTCATCATTAATAGTAAGTTTGCCTTATTTATATTTTCCAAAAGAGAGAAGAAATTATTCAAATCTATACCTTGTTACTTTTGCTTCTAATTGCTTTTGGCATAAGAGTTGGTCCTAGAACCTGAAGTACCATTGGGACTGTGTTGGAAACTAAAGCCAATGGAAGTTTTGGGGGGATCTGACCTTCATTTCAACAGCTTATTTATTTTACAGAGCTGTTCTAACAGACAAAAACAATCCCCCCGCCTTGTATTTATTAATAAAAAGGATGAAAATGCATATGTAGCTTGTCAGTACAAGGTATAAATGAAAAATACGACTTTTTTTTTGAAAAGACATGTCTAAAGTGGCTTCCTTTCCATCAAGTAGGAGTTTGTGTGCATGTCTAAATGTGTGCCATACATATTTTTGTTTAAATTTTTATCCAATCAGCATCCTTTGCAGTCATAGCTGATTTTTGACCTTTCCTAGAGATTATTTCATCAGAATTAAACAGAAAGGGCACCCAGGTAGCTGAGCTGGTGACTATGAGAGTGGCTTTTTTTCTGGAAGAACCACTACTCAAATGCCTATTATATTCAAGACAGGGTTTTGTCTACTTTTTATGAATGTGGCAATATTCAACTATGAATATAAAAAAGAACTGGAGGATGAGAGAAACTGTCCTCATATTAACCTTGGAACCTTATATGCCAAATTATTGGTAAAGAGCAGCAAGACTTTGGATAAAATTTCAGGATGTTTTAGGAAACTCTATTTGGTTTTATCTGTTGTGAGAAGTGATTTGAATAAACACCAACTGTTATCTTTCCAGATAAATGCACCAAACAAGATAAAATCCATTTCATTTGCCATAAATAGTAATTACAAATAACCCTTCAACAGCATCTTGAAGAGCGAACTGATCATTAGAATTTCAGCCATATTATTATTTTTCACTTTGTTGTTCACTGTTTTTGATAGCTGTGTTAGAAATATATTTTCAAGAGAATTACCTTAATTACCTCAATGACTTACCCACTCCTTTCTAGGAGGGAGACTAACAATAAGTCATATACAATAAATCAGAGAAAATATACAACTCTTGGGAAGAGTTCTTTTTGTATATATTTAAGAATGATAGTTACTTGTTGATTAGTGGTAAGAGTCAAAATGGCTAACAATAAATTTCCTTCCTTAGATAGTTCGTCTATGCACTCACAAGGTTCTATTAACACCTAATGCTAAATGATGAGTTACTGGGTGCAGCACACCAACATGGCACATGTATACATATGTAACAAACCTGCACATTGTGCACATGTACCCTAAAACTTAAAGTATAATAATAATAAAATAAAAGAATTTTAGAAACAGAATAACAGATTATTGTAAGAAAGACAGTTTTAATTTCAAGAAAACATGGCCAAATGCTGAACATTTTCCCAATTACAGCAGAAATAGAATTATCTATAGTTTGGTAAGTTGAAAAAGTCTAGTGACATCAAAATTAAAGTTACTTAAGTTACTGAGGTTAAGACATTTACATAGTTAAGATATTTAAAAATATATTATTTTGAGAGATACAAGAAAATAATTTACCAATATAGACAACTTCATAATATATTATACTTACAATCTAGTTGTTTATAACGATGAGATATCAAAACACCTTTTGTTTTATCAATATTTAAAGCTAAGTACTCTACTGAACCATGGCCAAATTTTTGAACTCGAAATACACCATTTTTAGGTCCTGCTCCATATATATAATCTTCAAAGATATCGATCCTATGTGGATGTAATAAACCTGGAATTTTAAAAAGGCAGTTATGAAAGTTTTAATGTATATACTCAGACTTTAAAAACTATGTTTATCCAAGACGATATTGAAAACCTTATTACTGTTTAAAAATAAACTTTCAGAATTGGAATATTTACAATATTAGCTATGAAGTTCTTAGAATTAATATATCTGAAGTAAGGATATGCAATATAGTAAACATGTTACTTAAAACATAAAAATACACTTCCATCATCATTTAACCATCTTTACCATCACAAAGCATTTTCTGGGGGTTATTATTTGCAGACTAATCCTCTCTGCTATGCAGTTGACAAAAGAAAAGCCAATGTTATCTGTAGTATACAAACAGGCAATTTACACAACTCAGTTTGTGTTCTGGATCAAATAAATGATCAAATTACATGCCCAAATGACTGGTTTATTAAGCAATCAATCAATCAGTTGATTTTTAATGAGTAAATCCAAAAATAATATTTGACATTACTATTATTCATTTCAGAAGTGGAATAAAGAAAACAGTTAAATGAAAATCATTCTTCATCTGATTAGTTTGTCTAAAAATAATAGTAACCATTATTTTCACATCTTGTGATTTATTTTCAGAGATTTTATAGAATAATTATTCTAACTTTTGAAACTGAAATTTATAACAAAACGACATTTATATTTTACTAATTATCTAGAGGTTGTAAAGTATAAAGTGTCTTTATATTCATATATTTTTCTTTGCTGTTTCATGAAATAGTAAAATGTGTACCAAAGCCAGAACAAGTTAACTTCATTGTAATTAATTACAGGGATCTGAACTTTTTTTTTTTTTTTCCATCTGAGGCCATTGATTAAAAAAAAAACACACACACTTTAGGCAAAGGCACAATAAAAATTTGATTTAGTTGTTTTTCTTTTAACTTCCCTGTGTTATTAAAAAAAGGGAAGCAAAGCTATATTCAGTAAATATATAACATGCAAATATAAAAATTTAAAGTGGATATGATAATTTGTGGTTACAAAAAAATTGTGGGAAGGAGTTGAAGTAGGGAAAAGAAAGTGAAACAGAAAGGGAAGAAATTAAATTCAGCAGAAAGAACTGAGACAGCCAGGCAGAGAAAAAGTATGAGGAAGAGAAGGGAGCTGGAAATATGAGACAGTAAAAAATAGGAGCCAGGCAGATAGGTGGGCATAAAACCGGTATAGCAACAGAGGAGCACAAGTAGATTAAGCAGTCACTGGTGGTAGAGTTAAATGGTCATTTTTGACACATCACTGTTTATGTGAATAAGGGTATATCCTTCGGTGGTAACAATCATTACTGTGATATTTTGCTACATACAGTAACTCATTGTTTGCTTGTTATTGCAATTGAAATAAAAGTTAGTGTCCACAGGTGCTGATCTTGACTACTGAAAGTGTTCTGCTCAGAATGGAATAGCCACGGAAGCCACAGAATGAAATTATTTTCTGAATCTGGGCAGCAATGGCCATGTTTGTTCAAGTCAAGATGGACAAACTTCTGCCCTGGCCTCTATTTTTTTCCAGTAGGAATGAAAATTTTAATTACTAGTAAGCCTTATAAGTTGAAAGGAGAAAGAATTTAAGAAAATCCAGAATGCAAAGTAAAGTATCCATACTTACATTTTTGTATTAGTATTTAACACTCTCAGTAACAATTAAAAATGAAGACAAAAGCACTTCACAAACCTTGTTTGCTGCTGACAGAGACTACTGAATTAGAGCCATCATACAGAACACTGCCAATGATGGAGAGCTCAAAGTCAGCCCAATATATGCGTTCACTAAAATAATCCACAGCCAAACCTGCAAAATCAACACACACAAGACAAATAGTGCAAGTAAATTTGAAATCATTCAAAATCATACTTTTGCTTCTTATTGTATAATTACACTTGACATTTGTCTTCAAGCATCATAGAAATTACCTGGTGCCCATCATGAAACTGTAGAAATTAGAAAAAGTAACTCAGTCTTTATCTCAAATACATAGGTTCAGACTACATGGCATTTACTTAACAAATTCTAGCAAAAGTCTTATTTCACATAGGAAAGTCTGTCCTAAATATCCCTTCTAGCCATATTTGTGGTTTCTTAATTTTAGCTATTCTCTAATAGACTTTTCTTTAATATTTCCATTTTCATCTTCATATTATATGGAGAATGAATTCATTATTTAAATCATTTATCGGACCATTATTTAAAATGAATTAGTATATGTATTTTTAATTCCTTCACGAAGGTACAGTTCTCAGAATATACAAGGTTCATGTATTTAATTAAAATATATTTTCACCCATTCAGAGTTGGCCAACGGTGTTATCGGATATCTGTGTGCATGCTGAAGTTAATGTGACTAAAGATTGATATTAGCTGGGTGTGGTGGCTCACGCCTGTAATCCCACCACTTTGGGAGCCTGAGGCGGGACGGTCAGGAGATTGAGACCAGCTGGCCAACATGGTGAAACCCTGTCTCTACTAAAAATACAAAAATTAGCAGGGAGTGGTGTCTGGCACCTGCAATTCCAGCTACTCCGGAGGCTGAGGCAGGAGAATCACTTGAACCTGGGAGGCAGAGGTCAGTGAGCTGAGATCAGCCTAGGCAACAGAGTGAGACCCCCTGCCTCAAAAAAAAAAAATGTTTATGGTAGGGAAGAATAAACAGTAAAGTTCTCGATTAAGGTTCTAGTGATATTTAATTTTCTCTGAGAGTGCTTGTCTTCAGTTTCATCACAGGTAGATGTCAGTGAATGATAATGGACTGAAATAATACACAGTAAAAATAATATTTTTCTACTTTTTTAGTTTCATTTTTTGATTTCATGAATGTGATTGGAATCCATCCAGTATATTTTTGTAGAAATATCATCAACACAGAGAATATCTAAGAAAGTAAACTTCCTTCAATATGGAAGAGTAATATGTATGACTCATGAATTCTATAATACATCTTCACTGCTGTAGATTAACTTTTGTGACATAGCTACTGTCTGAATATGACATATTGCATACTTCGGAAGTACAATGCAGTTAAATACCTTAGGCAACTGAAGAGTGTTCCCAATGAAAACATTCAATAAGCAACTGAAGTACATTTTAATGGCAACGCAACTGAATGAAAGGTACTTTTGAGTCTGTGCTAGACTTTTATTCCTGTGTAACTGGACCAAGACTTAATAATCAGAATGGAAATAATCCACATTGGAAACCACTAGTGAATAATTCTTCAGTTAAATACAAATATTTAGCTCACATGTAATCGAACTAAATATTTTGTTCCTCAAGTAATGTATAGAGATGTATCATGCCTGACCAGATCCTGAGAAATAATAATTAAGCAAGTGGTCATTGTTTTACTGGTTTCTGCTCAATTATTAAATCGCTATTTGAAGTCATGTAAGAAGATATGTTTTTGCATTTTCATGTAGAATTATGAGTAATATGAACCACAAATTACCCAGTTTTTTGCTGCTGCTCCTATAGTTCAAAACAGTTGACTGAGAAGGGTTAAAAACATAAAACATGATTCTCTCTCCTCTACCAATGTGCTACAATAAAGAAGTAGCTAAAACAAAAACCTGTTCCCGGTAACATTAGTTTTAGACTTAAAAACATTAATATTGATAATCACAGAAAGGAAGAAAACAGTGAGTATGTAATCCAATTTAATCAACAATATTGTTTTTCAGAAGCAGTAAAAAGGTCTCAAAAGTGTCACATATTGCATTGTTGGTCTAGGTTTGTCTAAGACCCACTTTTATCAGCTCTGGCCATATTTTGTACTATTGGATGGAATTACATCTTGATAAAAATTATATAACAAAGTTTATGGATGAATGGAATTTATACTCCAAAAATCCACAAATCAATACTTTTGATTTTCTATTAAGCCCTTTAATAAAAGAGATAGTCTTCTAAATTAAAAAGTTAATAAAGGAATCAACTAACTTTTCCTGTTACAGAGATGAGAATCAAGTTTATATGAAAAAAGTTCATGTCTATCTTTAAAATATCATGTCTTCTTTTGCTCTGTAATAAAGAACCAATAATAAAGTGGAAAAAAATCAATTCTCAAGAAACTCATTTTTATCTGAACAGAGGAAGATGAATATTTGGAACCAAGTCACTAGGAGCACAGAAAATTTGAAATAAAATGTCATACTTGTTTTAATTAAGTATAATAGAATCACAATTTGAACAGTTTATAAAAGATACATAGGCTCACTAAGTTTTAGTGACACAGGATAATGGAGCTAATTATGTAGTCATTTTCAGTATATCTCCCTTGATACCAAGACTACTTTATATTTTAGGGATTTTAAAATTTCACTCTTGTCAAACTCTAAAATTTTCTAAGATCTACTAGTTCCCCAATTTCCATTGTAGGCTGGAAGAAAATGAAAGAAAAAAAAAAAGAAAATGAAGAAAACAAAATATTATGTGAAATGACCACAGTATTAAGAGGCAGGACTTGGAGAGAACAATAAATTTAAATCACTGTTTTTCAGAACTAGAGAAAATTATATCCATTCTGTTTTAATGGAAAGCCAAAATTTGTAAGATAGTAATAACCACCAAGTGTGAATTACCATATTCTTGATTTAAGAGGTGATAAAGGAGCCAAAAAAGCTGGATACATACCATTATGTCAAATTTATTTTAAAAAATTGTTAGAGTTTCAGATTAGAAACTACATTAAAGTCATGTTTTCATACACACACACAAACACACTTATTTTTCATACACATACACACACACATCTATTTATGACAGTGATGGTAAACTAAATTCAAATAACAGCAAAATAATCCTAACATTCATATCCACTTTATTTAACTAGAGACATTATGTTGGCCAACAAATTTGCTTATTGAATCAAACAATTAATTATGAGTGGTCCAGGACCAGTATGTAGTTATTTATTTTCTTAGAAATTGCTGCAATCTGGGGGAGCTAGGAGGCAATGTAAATAAGCTTTTAAATATCAAGGAATGTAGTTTGAAATCAAACTCATGTAATACTACATACTCTCCTTACTGGATGCAAAGCTGGAAAGTATCCTTGTCTGACACACCATTCATTAACCCTACATACTCATGGGTACCTCCCCTGTACCACACACTGCCAGGTACTATGCACAGAGCAGACAACAAAAGAGTTCATGTTCCTCATACCTCAAAATAATAACCATTTATGACAAACCCATAGCCAATATCACACTGAATAGGCAAATGCTGGAAACATTTCCCTTGAAAACTGGCACAGACAAAGATGCCCTCTCTCACCACTCCTATTCCACACAGAATTGGAATTTCTTGCCAGGGCAATCAGGCAAGAGAAAGAAATAAAGTGTATTCAAATAGGAGGAGAGAAATTCATAATGTCTCTGTTTGCAGATGACGTGTTCCTATATCTAGAAAACCCCGTCTTCTCAGCTCAAAAGCTTCTTAAGTTGATAAGCAATTTCAGGAAAGTCTTAGGATACCAAATCAATATGCAAAAATCACAAGCATTCCTATACACCAACAATAGGCAAGCAGAGAGCCAAATCATAAATGAACTCCCATTCACAGTTGCTACAAAGACAATAAAATACTTAGAAATACAGCTAACAAGGGAGGTGAAGGACCTGTTCAAGGAGAACTACAAACCACTGCTCAAGGGAACCAGAGAAAACACAAGATGAAAAAAACCTACCATGCTCATGGGTAGAAAGAATCAATATTGTGAAAATGGCCATACTACCCAAAGTAATTTATACATTCACTGCTATTCCTGTTAAACTACCATTGACATCCTTCACCAAATTAGAAAAAAAAACAAAAACAAAAAAACTACTTTAAAATTCATATGGGCTGGGCTCCCACCTATAATCCCAGAAGTTTGAGAGGCTGAGGCGGGTTGATCGCTTGAGATCTGGAGTTCAAGACCAGCCTGGCCAACATGGTGAAACCCTGTCTCTGCTAAAAATACAAAAATTAGCTGGGCATGGTAGCAGGTGCCTGTAATCCCAGCTACTTGGGAGGCTGAGGCAGAAGAATTGCTTGAACCCGGGAGGCAGAGGCTGCAGTGAACCAGACTAGCATCACTGAACTACAGCCTGGGCGACAGAGCAAGACTCTGTCTCAATAATAATAATAATAATAATAATAATAATAATAATAATAATATGGAGCCAAAAAAGAGCCCGTATAGCTAAGATAATCCTAAGCAGAAAGAACAAAGCTGGAGGCATCACATTACCTGACTTCAAACTATACTACAAGGCTATAGTAACCAAAAGCTATGGTACTGGTACAGACACATAGACCAATGGAACAGAATAGAGAGCTCAGAAATAAGACTGCACATTTACAACCATCTGATTTTCAACAAACCTGACAAAAACAAGCAATGGGGAAAGGAGTTTGTATTTAATAAATGGTGCTAGGAGAACTGGCTAGCCATATGCAGAAAATTGAAACTGGACCCCTTCCTTACACCTTATACAAAAATTAACTTAATATAGATTTAAGACTTAAATGTAAAACCCAAATCTATAAAATTCCTAGAAGAAAATCTTGGAAATACCATTCAGGTCATAGGCAAAGGCAACGATTTCATGATGAAGATGCCAAAAGCAATTGTTAACAAGAAAAAATTGACAAATAGGATCTAGTTTAACTAAAGTGCTTCTGCACAGCAAAATAAACTATCAGAGTGAACAGACAACCTACAGAATGGTAGACAATTTTTGCAATCCACCCATCTGACAAAAGTCTAAATTCAGAATCTACAAGGAACTTAAACAAATTTACACGAAAAAACAACCCCAGTAAAAAGTGTGCAAAGGACAAGAACAGACACTTTTCAAAAGAAGACATGCCTTTGGCCAACAAACATATGAAAAAAAGCTCAGCATCACTGATTATTAGAGAAATAATCTAATAGTACTTCATACTATTAGATAGTACTACAATAGTATTTCATACTATTTGGCCCAGCAACCCCATTGCTGGGTATATTCCCAAAAGAATATAAATAATTCTATTGTAAAGATACACACATGTGTATGTTCACTGTAGCACTGGTCACAATAGCAAAGACACGGAATCAACCCAAATGCCCACCAATGATAGACTGCATAAAGAAAATGTGGTACATATACATCATGGAGTACTATGCAGCCATAAAAAGGAATGCGATCATGTCCTTTGCAGGGACGTGGATGCAGCTTGAAGCCATTATCCTCAGCAAAATATTTCATGTTCCTGCTGTCATGGAACACATTGCTTACCTGCCACACACTTGATTGAAACAACATATTTTTATTGTGTCTTATACGGTGCCCAATAACAATAATAATCAGTGTGTCATTTGAAGGCACATATTCGAATCACTCCTTAAAATTATACAATGGCTCAATATTGGCTAAAAAGTTATGTTGAAGCCCTTTGGCATTTAAGGTGTTCTCTTCTCACATATTATGTCACCCAACCTGTGCCCTTCTACATGTGCCATGATTCCTGACATCAGCAGAGCATCCATATGCTGTACATTGGAGCCCCTGGCTCAGAGGACTATATTATTTCATATATCTGGCATTTTTAAAGTTAGTTATCACTATATATATACATATATATATATATATATATAATTTTAAAAGGGTGTTTCGCTCTTGTTGCTTAGGCAGGAGTGTAATGGTGGGATCTTGCCTCACTACAATTTCCGCCTCCTGGGTTCAAGCAATTCTTATGCCTTAGCCTCTCGAGTAGCTGGGATTACAGGTACATACCACCATGCCTGGCTTATTTTTTGTATTTTTAGTAGAGGCAGGGTTTTGCCATGTTGGGCAGGCTGGTCTCAAACTCCTGACCTCAGGTGATCTGCCCTCCTTGGCCTCCCAAATTGCTGGGATTACAGACATGAGCCACCACACCCAGCCAATCTTTTGATTTTCTATTGATAAAGCCAAGGTTTGAAGGTAATAAATTCATTTCTGAGGTCTCACAGCTAATAAATAATCCCTTGAGATTCAAAACCAGGTGTATCTGACTCCAATGAAGAGCTTTTTAAAAATTTCCTCATGATGGATTACCTGTTTATCCCTCAAGTACTTATTCAAATGTCACTTTTCACACAGTTTTTCTTTATTGGAGATTATCTTTCTCACCTTTGAACTCTGCTGTTATAAAACACGACAATGACACAATTCTTACCTTTTGCAAAAACTACAATTCTGCATATGCCTCATTTTTTTTTCTTTCTCTAACGTAAATTTGTGAGAAAAAGGACTGTGTTTTGTTTATCACTAAGTTGCCCATAAGAGTTGTTGAGCAGAATGGGTAATACATGGAAAGTGTCAGATCCATGCATCTGTCACTGGTCCCAGTGTTGGAGACACTGTGGTGCCTTATGCAGATCTCCTTTACTAAACAGGAGTATCCAATTCCTCACTGGTGCTTTTGTAGTGAGGACTCGCACATACCCTCCTTCTCCAGATAATTGTGCTTAACTGGTTGAAGCAGCTTTGCTTGGAACATCACAGCCCCAAGGCCAATTAATGATTGATGGGGCATATCAAAAGCAGATCCCCTTGCCTGTCATAAATTTATACTCCAAATAGTGGCTCAAACCAAGACTAGCCTCGACCTGAAACACAGTTTACTGTGCTCCTTCCCCTTCTCTCCCTCTGTCTTTACAGCTTTCTTCTGCATACAACTACCGTCATAAATGACTTTTACAAGAATTCTCATTTTAGGCACTCGCCTAAGTACCGTGCTACAGGTAATTCCACAAACTGCTGCCAGTGTCATTCTTTAAAATAAAAACATGTTACATATACTATTAATAATGATTATGTAAAATAACACCAAAGAAGTATTTTAAAAATAAAAACTGTGTTTGAGATTATGCCACTTACCTTGCCGTATTCTTCAAATAGCTCTCTTCAAAGCTAGAATAGAATCCAGTTTTGCATTTGAGTCACCTTACCATCCTCATATCTTCCATTCTCTTGAATTGTTTCTATGCTTCTGGGCATACTCACCTTCTTTCTGTTTTCATGCTAAGCTAATTCCTTACTCAGAACGTACTATTCTATTTTCTTAAAAAACTCTTTCCTCATATTCACTTCACTTGCTGCCTCTCTTTAGTCAGGTCTCTCTTTCAATATCCCCCTGCTACAGATAACTTCTCTGATCATAACTAAAATAGTACCTCCATTGACAGCCCATCTCTTACTTTGCTTTTCTGTATAGCATGTATAACAATGTGACAGTATATATAAATACATATTCTATCCTCTATAGGAAGATAGATTTCATGAGGGTTAGAACTTGCTTCACATTGTTTCTTCAGCATTTGGAACAATTTCTGGCACATGGTAGACATTCAATGGGCATATTTGTTAAAGCATGGGATGAAAACAGATTTATGTAAATAGACTAAATTTCAAATATTGCTTCTCCCCATAAAGAGTAAAAACAATCTAAATGAATGGAAAGGTATAAAACACATTAAAGATTAATAAGAATATAAGCACTAAATATAAATAGTTTAAACTACAAAAGATATTACAATGCATAATTATTAAATAATATGTACTACGAACAATGCATTATGTCCTTTCTGTGGAGGTATAGTCGGTGGAGGGTAGGTGGCACAGAGCCCTTGAGGCTCCTGTAGTCTGAAAATGTTTTACTGAAGAAGTGCCAAAGTTAGATGTACAAGATGGGAAAGATATAACTAGGTAGACAAAGGTTGGAAGGACATTCCAGATGGGGGAGCTGGGAGAAAAATGGCATGGGAGAAAGATCATGAAGACAGAAAAGATCTGAACTTCTGGGCAGTCCTGAGAACACAGATGCTTTGGAGTAGTAGCTTAGATGGCAAGGTGGCCAGGGAGATTAAAGCCATATTGAAAAGAGCTCTGAATGAAAAGGCAAAAAAAACAAAACAAAACAAAACAAAAAAAAAAACACCAAACCTGTCTTTTACATAAGGTATTTATATTTAGCCACCTATTTGTTCATTTCATCTCTCATTCTCTAGGAATATTTCCAAATATCCCAACTCCATTAACATATATCTGTAAAAATACCCTAATGTATATGTATTGCTATAAACTGTCAAAATTTCATGCCTGTGAAATCCGACTAATAGCCTTACAACTTAGGCAAGTTTCAAATAATATTCCTGTAATGTAACTGACAGTATAAGGACCTGATTTTCAAGTTGAGAAAATAGGAAATGAAATGTAAATAACTTCATAAAATCATACTCTAAATAGTTTTATCCACTTGTAAAAATACTTATATTGCCAACAACACTAGAAATAACTGTTAACAGTAATATACTTGTCATTCTGCTTCATATTTTAGCGTGTGTCAGAAATCATACCTGTGGGTCTCTGTAAGTTCTTTTGTACTAAAATCCTTCTCAGTGTACCATCCATGGCTGCTTCTTCTATATGGGAATGATCCCCAACAACAGTCCAGTACATCATCCTGAAGAGAGCGGGTCAGAGAGGTTAGCCTGGTGATGGTGCTGCTATAACCAGACTCTGCTCCGCAAAGCAGTGGCTCTTCAGACCACGTGCCTCAGAATCACCCCAGAGTCTCTTAAAAAGAGTCAACTCAAAACACACAGAATGAGAACCTCCAATAAATGGCCTGGGGAATCAACATTTTAAAGAAAGTCTTGCCTACACACGTTAATATTTGAGAATCATTGTATACTATGATGTACTACAGCTCATTATTTAATATCCAAAATTCAATTTTGAAAATTTCATTAAAACTCAGAGAAAAAATATTTCCACCACATGAAACTCCCCTTTTGTTTTAACAGAATAGTCATTTTATTATGGATGCTGTATGAACACGCTATTTTTTTTATAGAGAAGTAACTATTTTCCCAAACAGAAATTATTCTTTAATTTGGAAGACTGCATAATTCTAATAATTAAGTATAAGTTGTCTCTTTTTACTCAGGAGTTATCAATCCACTTATAGATGATTAAGATTTTTAGTTAACATTTTTCTATTTCCTTTTTGGCCATTGCCTGTAGGTTTACATCTCTAACTAAAAGAAGGAAATGTCTGTAACACACTCTTTAAATTTGTGTGTGTGTGTGCATGTGTATATATATATGTGTGTGTGTGTGTACCTTCATCTTTTATTACCATAGAGAAAAATGTTAGTACTCTACATGTAATGTGTTTGATATTACGTTTAATATTTTAATAATTCAATTTTAGATTATAAACATCACACCAGGCTCATTATTCTGCAATACACACATATAACCATGCACAGACACACATACAGACACACAGGCATACTGAATGCATAATACAGGAATATTTCAGAAAAAAAATTTGTATCATCATTTGGTATGAATAGGACATGCTTTTTTACAGAAGAAATAGTACAAGGATATTTAAAAGCATGTGACACTATTACACATTGAACACTCATTACAGAGACAAAATCTATAGAGCATAATTTCTAAAAAGGATATTCATTATCAAGAAATAGAAATACTAAGCCATTAACCTACCCTCTTTTAGGATTTACTGCAATAGCATAGGGTTCTCCAGCCATATTTGTTAAGAGTCTGGTGCAGTTGGGGCCATTCAGCTGCCCTACGTTGATAGAGTACCTCAGACTGGTCCAGTGAGTAGTGTAGTAACTGAACCAATGCATTCTAGAATGATCAGTCCAGTAAATGTTTCCAGCCACCCAGTCAACTGCAATGTCCCTGGGCCTTTTAAATTCAGGACACTACAAGGAAACAAAACAACACACCACGGTATTTTCAACAGGAAATTAGCGGAGTTTTCTGTATCTTTACATTGAAGTTATGGGGGAATTGTAAGAACATAGTCATGAGTTAATTGCTATATAGATGTCAAAAAGATATTTAATGCTATTTTCAATCTTTGCAGATGTATTATCTGCATGAATCTTAATTGTACAGATCACTGGAGTTTAACCAGATTGCACCTGTTTAACCATTACTCTGCTGAAATATTTCCAGAACCATAGGAGGTTCACCCGTGACTTCCTGCAGTCAATATTTTCCTTAGAGTAACCATAATTCTGATATCTAACACCACAGATTAGTGGCGTAAAATGTAACAAAGAATCATAGTCTTTCATTCCAGAAATCTTTTGTTCAACATCATGACTATGAAATGTATCCTTATTTTGTATATATCAATTTTTAATCTTTTCATTGCTCAGTAGTATTTGTTTACTGTTCTGACAATATCCACTTGGCTTGGTTACAGTCTTAGGCCATTACAACTAAAGTTATGGATAGTTTAGTACTTTTTTTTTTTTTGATGGATACAAACACTCAATTTCTTTGGGTATTTACCAAGGAATAGAATTAGTGTCTTCAAGTTTATGCACACTTAGCTTGATAGGATGCTGCTAGAAAAAATTTTCAAAGAGTTTGTAGCAATTTACGATCTTTTCAGCAATGTGAGAAAAACTCAGATGCTCTGCATCCTCACCACACATAATTTTGTTCTACAATTGAAAAAATGATTAGTATGGCTAGACACATTTAGGGTAATACTATATCTTAACATCTTTTGAGGAAAGTCACAATATCTGTTATTTATCTTACATTTGATAGGTTGGATTATCTTAACATTCTGTTTTACTGTATTACTGTGAGACAAAGGTAGCAGAATTCATTGAGACTGGACAGCAAGAAAAATAACTTATTTTCTGTGCCCTTCAATTAACTTGATCACTTTGAGCAGGAACTAGTGTAGTAATTAATTTGACATGGCTAGGTTTATTGTGCATAACCAAAAGTGAGAAGGTATTCCCAGGGGTATTATGGCAAGAGTAGAAACAATTATTTGAAGGTGATTACAACTAGATGTGTAATCAATACGTAACAGCATCTTTAAGACCTGAGAAGCAGTGGAAATATGAGTTTTTAACACATGAAGTCTTCTTGTGTGGGTTCGGAGGAACCAATATTATCAATCAGTGGACTTGGATTAAAAGAAAAGAAACTGAACATCTCAAAAAGAACACGGGATGCCAAGAAACAGGAATTGCAAATCACTGTCTGCCGCATGATTACTGGGATCTCAAGGAAAATACGGCTTACATTAAACACAGAATCCATAGACAATTTCCAATGCTGTTTATGATCAGTTCTTTGACCTATTGGACTTTAAAACTGAAATTATGAAATTTTATTACCCTATTTCTCAACTTTAACAATAAATGTTATCCATATAACCAGTGATATCTCAGTTACCTGAATTAAATGTAAAGCACTCCGCAATACAGTATACTCTAGAAATGTCATATAAATAATATTCATAGATGTTTAGAATATAAATATTTGTCCTAGCCAAACCAAAAAATCATTTTCAAATGCTCCAGTATCATTTAAGCTAACCGTATTTTTATTTTCAACTTGTCATCATTTAAAAGTAAATATATCACCAAATGTCATGTGCATGTCAGTGTGAATCATAAATCTACAAACATGAAAGACAATGGGAAAAATCACCATTATAAGCTGTTTTAAGCCTGCTGAAGCATATGTGTAATTTTCTAACACTTATGACACAAACCTTTATGACATAAAACTTATAATGCCCTTTGTCTGATTGAGCATAGAAAAAGTATCTATTTTCTGTTTGTGAGATGTAAATGTTTACACCTTATTTTCAATCCTCATGGTATCCCTGGTAAAATATGTCATATTCCATGCAAGTTCCACTTCTGTTGAATTTAGGATTTTCATTTCATTTAATTCATTCTCAAAAAATTCTGATTATCCTTCAACTTTAGACTTCTAAACCTAGACTGATGCCAATTAATAACCCAGTTTCCTAATGTTCATAGAGCATTCAGAAGTTTGATTTAGTGATACTTTTTCAAGTAAACAGGCTGGTGAAGATTTTACTAAGGGTGAATTGTAGAAGGATAAATTTAGGTCACATTTCTAGGGTAAAGAACATGGATTAGAAAAACGAAAAAAAAAACTTACTTTTCATGATAAGTACAAGTTATATTGATGACTTGCAGAGCCATTTAATATATACATTTATTCTCCTTCTTCTGGAACAAGGAATCCCTAATGTCATTCAAGTAACAACTAAAGCAGTTAGAATATGGGGTAAAAAATAGACACATGCAATTAATTCAAACTAAATTTATGATATCATAAATGACAAGATGATTCTCAGAGAATAATGGCAGAGGGTGGAGATGTTACCAGGTGTTCATCCTCAATGACTCACAATAAACTAAATGCTTATTTATTTTCAACACTGAAGAGAGAATAACAAAACAAAAGACAATAAGGAGGAAGAGGGAAGAAAGGAGCAGAGGAGGAAGAAGACAACCCTATCAGAAGGTGACAACATATTAACCTACTCTCAACCTATGGCCAAATTAGGAAATCACCCTTTGTACTGAGCTTCACAGGAATGAAATAATCTCTACCATTCACATCTTGACCAGGATTCTGAATAGTATTAACCATATAAAAGGGAGTCTGATATTGAATGGATGTTCACTGGAAGATGAAAGGCAGAAACCCCTGTTGGATCTTCATATTATGATCACACAATTTATTTAAGGAGAGTTACCAAAATCAATCAGGTAAACACAAAAAAATGGAAACACACAGGAAAAGTACACTGACATTCTGAGAGTGGAAATGAAGATTGACATGGGAAAACAGAACAGGAGAGCTAAGCTACTTGCCTTAAAAAATCATGAAGCAAAACAAACAAGCATACCAGATTGGAGAGAAGAAAATATAAAAATTTCACTTGCCCCATTGGCTAGCTCACTAGACAGGCACACCCATGAAATAGAGACACTAATCAAATGTGTCCTGTTTGAGAGACTGCAGAAGCATGCAGCTTCCCTGACAACAAAAGGGCATTTCTCATCTTGTTGCACAGAGTGGAAGACACATTTTGACTGCTTTCTTCAGACAGACGATTTCTTTTCTAACAAGCTCTCTAAATACACAGCCAGTTTTGAGACCTGAGGCATCCTTCTTTGTAGGAATGCATTAGTCAAATGAATGAAACCCTTACATCTTACAAAAAAAGTGACAGCTTGATTGTAACAAAATTAGAGGTTACTAGTTTAAATTACTAATCCTTTATAGGTGTAGATTGTAAGGTATCTGTCACAATTCCAGCTTCAATAAACTGAAGATATAAGTCACTGAAGACATTTGTTTTAAAACAGGAAAAAGGAAAAACATGTGACAGGGGAGTTCAAGCATTTGAGCCATGAAAATACTGCTGTCTGTTTTAACAAATTTCTTACAGTTAGCAATATACTTTAAGAAAATTTAGTTTACACAGGATACATTGAGGTGATATCACATATTTATTTGTGATTTTTTTCATCTTGGTGTACATCTAAGAATAGAAAATTTGAGTTGTTTTATTAAAGTTAGTTATCTCCCAATGGAATTGTATTAAAACAAAGATGTAGAACCACTGTCAAGAAATTGTGTGCGTGTGTGTCTCTGTAGGATATTTTACTAAATGAAAAGACTATTTACATTTTGCTCCTCAAAATATGAATCGGATTCACTTCCAATGAGTGGATGTAAAATAATGACTACACAAATTCTAAATATTACTAAATTCTATTGACTTAGTAATGTTATTAAAATATCCAAATATTTCATATATCAATCAAGGAGCTCATACAGCAGTGGAGAAATCCTAAGTGAACTAAGAAAAAGTTATATTTAGAGCTAGAATGTGTACGCGATTAAAAAAAACTATTGCAGAGATGAAAACTTTGGCTTCTATTTATGATTTATACTGAACAATAGATTATTTCAATCTGAGTAATTTTAAGGCTGCAATGATCTACATTAGGACCATGTCAACTTGGAATAAACTTCTATTAGACGAAAAAGAAACTTCAGACATAATTCTCAGTTGTTGAAAAAGACCAAATTTGTCTTTGAATTAAAGACTCAATAATATATGTGATTTTGTTACTCTTTTTTTTTTAAGCCTCTTCAGTGTTCTTTAACCTTTTATTCCTGATTCACCTCGGTCCTCCATAAAAAGAAAGACTGGCTCTCTAAAGCTTTATTCACACTATCAGAAAAACAAAGATATCACAGATGATTATAAAACACACTGAATTTGGAATCAGAAGAACTGATTTAAATCCTAGTCCTAGTTTCTCTGTATATTATAAGGTGTATAAAATAAAGACTTTGGATTAGATGGTCTTTGAACATGTCTAGCTCCTAAACAGTAAATTGTATAACAGTTTGAAATATTATCCATTCTGGGTAAGTGTGCATTTCATATAGCCTTAAATACATATCTATGGTAATTGCTCATTTTTAGGCATTAGTTAGTGAGTGAATAATTTGTTGGTGCTTGGGGTGCTAATTCCGATATTATTCTCCTTCCTTATTTCCAGGTCATTCACATATGTGAAATAAGGAAATAAGGAAGTAGGATACCTCTGACAATTACAATTTAAACATGCATAACATTCGAGAAATAATTCAGGGTTACCTGAGAGTAAACCTGTCAAAACGATTGGTTGAGGAGTAAATTTAAGTTAAAATTAAAAAAAAAAATAAGTAGATTCTAACTTTTAAAATTAACATGTCACATTACATATCCAAAGTTTTGTTTTTTTTCTTGAAAATTAAGCCTACACGGTTTGGTATATCGAAACCAGGCTAACATTCCAGAATAGAAGAGCCAACTACCTGCTGCACCCTCATTTAATTACATGTGTTCAGTTTGTGTCTATCACCAGTGTTCCCAATGTTTATACCTAACCTATTTCAATCATCTTACCTACATAACTTCTTTATATAATCATTTTGCAACCAAAAGGAATTGAATTTAATAAAGAAATTATGTATCTATCAGAAAGAGGATGAAGACAGTAACAAACACATAGAAAAGTTAAGAGAAGCAAATGACAGTGTGTTTCCAGAATCATTAGGTAAGTTCCTTGTGGATCAACAGGAATTTTAGTCTTTGAAGCAGATGTGCATGTATATATGAATGATCTATATGATATACACAAAATAAATTGTGTTCTTATATCTCAGTGTCTCTCATCCATCAAATTCATTCAGATTATGAATACGTGTGTGTGCACACACGTGCTAGGTAAATATAGGAAATGCTGAGTTTCGTAGATCATTTTCTTGCCAGCTTCATTATAATTTTCTAGCATTTTATTACTCCTTAAACTGACAATAAAATTTCCAAGTCTAAACAGAACCTAGAAAAATAAAGGGGTCACCTTGTAGGCTACTTTCTAGGCATAAAATTAACATTCTTCAGTCTTTCTTTGAGCATGTCCCTTCAAATGACAACAGAGCCTTTGGAAGACCTAAAAACACATTATGTGGGATGAGATCTCTGATGCTTCAACAAGATCAAGACCATTCTCCAGGTGATAATAAGTATAATAATAATATAAGTAGTGTCTTTTTAATAAAAGAGCTTTGGTTAATTAGCAAAATTAAGGAAGACAGAAAAAAATAGCATGTAAATGACTTTGAAGGGAAGATAAAAAGTTGCATTCTTGGTAGCGAAATATGGCCTATGTATGGCTGGAACAAAACGTTGTGTCTGGGGATATATATGTGCTTGTTTATAGCTATGTAAGAAAATGGGAGAGGTGTGATGGGAGATGAGGCTGAAAATGACTAAGAGGCTTGTAAACCAATGGTTTTTTAAAGGATATCCAGCAGAATAATTTACTTAGGGACATACGATGATCAGGTTAATGTTTTAAGAATATTTTGGCTATGGTGTGGAGAATGGCTTGGGTCTGGGGTGGATAGACAAAACCAGAGGAGACTAACTTAATGAACTCCAGGGAGAAGAGAGGGAAAGTTAAATCGAGGTTTTTCTAAGACAAAGGTGGACAAAATATGGAATCTAAAAAACCACGACGAGATCCCATCTCTCACAAGTTAGAATGGCTATTATTAAAACATCAAAAAAATAGCAGATGCTGGTGAGGCTATGTAAGTATTATATAACTATTTATTTGTGAATTCATTTTGCCACATATAATTTATAATTATTCTTTCAACTTTCATAGTACATACAACAACTTCATTCTTTAAGGTTTGGGAGAAAGATACATACTCACATTTCCTGTTAGGCAATATATAACTAGCAAAAAAAAAAAACTTTGAAATTAAACTTTCAAGGAAAACCATGTATTTCTTACTATGGTTATAAAAATATTTACTATTCAGTGAAGGCCAATTATGCATGACATACTATAACCCTTCAGACACAAGAATGATTCATTATTAGGATCTCTATCATAGGGATTTCATAATAGATGTGACTTCTCACAAATTAATCTAGAAATGCAATGCAACATCAATCTAATTCTAATGTGTTTATTCTTATAATATTCCAAAACAATTTTAGAAATAAAAAATGCAAGATTTTCAAATAATTTTTAAATGAATGACTGTGGAGTTCATATATAGAGATATGCTATAATGCTACAGAACATTTTTAAAATATGTTAATGGTGCACAGATCCACAAAGAGATCCAAAGAATAGGATGGGGACTCCATACTCACGTATACGTTTTGAGAGTTTAGTGCCACAGAACAATAGAAATCCCTACTCAATCACCAGAGAAATGAAAGACTAATATTTAGGGTGGAAGTTAAATCTCTACATCAAACCATATACACATAAATGCATTCAGATACATCAGAAACATAAATATTTAAAAGTAAAAGTATTAAAAGAAAGAATAGAAAATGTGTGCATGTGCTGGATAAAAGACTTTCCTAAATATGATGTGATGTCCAGAAACACTGAAGGAAAAGACAGTCAGATCTGACTACATAAGAAGTAAATCTTCTATATAGCAAAAACCATCAGAAACAAAGCAAATTCATTTGAAGGAATTTTTTTTGTGTGTGGGGTGTATATCTTACAAAAGCTCAGTATTTACAGTATATAAATAGTGCATAATAAGATCTTATGGAAAATGAAACATTTTAAGGAAAAAAATAAGCATAGATCAAAATAAGACCCTTGGAAGAAGCAGAATTTTGAATGTTTAATAAAACATGAGAAAATATGTTCAAACTTCACAGTATAGAAAATACACATCAAAAACAATTGGCAAAAGTTTATTAGTATTTTGATGCCGGTTTTGGCAATAGCATTAGGAAAAATTCAAATTCATATATTGCTGATCATTTTTTAAAAGTAGCCTTTATGAAGGCAATCTGAAAGTACTTATTCAAAATTAAGTGCGAATACTCTTTAATCTCGCATTTTCACTTCATAAAATGCCTGGACTATCTAATACAGGCTTTGTTACCCTTATACTTGAAGATGACCGCTAAGACATTATTTGCAATAACAAGACAAAAATCAAACGAATTATGTATCTCAAAATATAAATATTGAAATGAAGGATGTTATATACATACTATGAGTGCAATCATTAAAAAATGGCATAGGTAAAATTAGCTGACACGGTAAGGTCTCAAAACTTGTTTAGTGAACAAAGTAAACAGCAGAAATGACTTTTTATGGTAAGATTCTACTACATATTGAAAAAACCCTAGTGACATACAAGTATGTAGGTTCATAAATAGGTAAATAGCTAATCAAATGATGGTATATCCACGTAACAGCCAAAGAAAGAATGCCTTATTGATATATGCAACAATATGGATGAATCTCACAATCATTGTGCTGGGTGAAAGGGGACAGAGAAAAAAGGGTACTTACTATATACATAAAATTCTAGAAAGAGCAAACTAATCTACAAGGAAGAAAACAAATCAGTAGTTGCCTGGTGATGGGAGAGAAGTGGGCAGGGTCTGGGGGAATAGATTACTGAGGGAATTAGATGACCATATGGAAAGAGTTGGAGGTCATAGACACGTTCATTAGTTTGATTGCGATGATGGTCAGAACTTGTGAAATTGTATATGCTGTGTATATTTGAATATGTAGAGCTTATTTTATGACAATTATAGCTTAAGCTTCTAAAAATGCTCTAGATGTACCAGCATGTAAATTTATACAAAAATATTTGCATGGTACAGAACAAATTGATTGTCTATTAAGGGAACTGTGGACTTTGAGGAAACAGTATAAGGAATCGTTTTCACTTTTTGGCATTCTGACTGCTGGGTTGTGAGTGAAAAGTGCAGCAAGGAGAGAAGTTAGGAGGCTACTGAACCAATTCAAAAGAAAGATGCCTGGCTCAAACCTAGGTGCCTTCAGCAAAGCTAACATAAAGTAGCCAACTCTTGGACATACCTTGAAGGTGTATTCAACAAGACTGCCTGATTTATGAGTTATGACAGAAGGAAAGGAATCAGCAACAACTAATGATTCAGCAAAGCTAATATAAAGTAGCCAACTCTTGGACATACCTTGAAGGTGTATTCAACAAGACTGCCTGATTTATGAGTTATGACAGAAGGAAAGGAATCAGCAACAACTAATGACTCCAAGATGCTTATTTTAAACATGTGAAAAATAGAGTTGTCGTTAAATGAGATTACAAAGGTGGATTTGGGGGATACAATGTGAAGTTTATTTTGGGGCATGCTAGTTTCAAGGTTTTGTTTTAGATACAAAAGAAAAACAAAGTAAGCAGTTGGACAGGGGATGATATCAATTATGTTAGCATGTCGATATATGTTAAACCATGAAACTATGTGAGCTCAACAAGGAAGTAAGGGAAGAGAGTAGAGGACTAAGGGCTGAGCCTGGGGTATTTCATTATTAAGAGGGGTGAAGAACAGGAGCAAGCAAAAGAGACTGAGTAAGTGAGGGGAAAAAAAGAAATGTTAAAACACCAATAAAATAACTACATTGGTGATTCACCTTAGAATCATTTTGTTTTACAGGCTTATTATTACATAATATGACATGATAACTATCTACTGAAAGCTTGGCTGGAGATGCTGACATTGTGGTGAAGGGTTTCTCAATTTCACTGCTGCCAACATTTTGCTCAGGATACTTTGTAGTGTGTTATCCTATCCATTGTAGTGTGTTAAGCAGCATTTCTGGCCCTACCCACTTGATACCAGAAGTACTCTCCCGATTGTAACAATCAAAAATATCTCCAGACATTTCTAAATGAGTAGGAAATCATACCTACTTGTGCTCTCTGATGTCTGCCTCCTCCATATTCCCTAAATTTCTTAAGGTCCTTAATGAATCTCTGCCATGAAATTTGTTGAACACTTCTTTGTCCTCATTCACTTGATTTCTTAGAAGTACACTAAAATTATGACCCTGATCTCTTCCTCAAAATACTCTCCTCTCTCAGTTTTTGTACCTCTATATCTTCTTATTTATTTTCTCTTAATGCACTGTATTTATTTTCTCTTAATGCACTGGCTACTCCTTGTCAGCATTTTAATTTTGCTTGAGAGCTTGATTCCAGTCCTTCTTTTCCTCCTTTCTATTCTTACTGGTAATCTAATCTGGCTTCATAGTTTTATGTATGTCCTCTATTCTGCTATTCTTTAATGTGTATCTCTAGCCCAGAATATGTTTGTGTATGTATGTATATATGTGTGTGTGTATATATATATATAGATATATATATAAAATTCATGTCCTCTCATAACTCATATATGTATATATATACACATATATATACATATATATACACATATATACATATATACACATATATATACATATATATACACATATATACATATATACACATATATATACATATATACATATATATATACACATACACACACACACACACACATATATATATATATATAAAAAAAATAGCATTACTTCTTTCTCATCTCAGCTCAAATCTCCTCTCTTCAAATTGGCCTTTACTCATCTTATCTTGGGATTTGCATTATCTGAATTTTTCTTTCTTAGATTATTTAATTCCTTTAATACATTTTAAACAAACAATTGGAATTTTCTGTATTGATTTCTTTATGAGTTTATTTAACTTTCTCTTTCTTCCCTAGAAAATAAGTGCTATGAAAGCAAGATTCCAGTTCTGTTATTATTATTATTCTATTCTAAAAACTCAGCACCAAAAGTAACAAGTAGGCTTTAAATAAGCCTTTGGGTATGAATGAATACATTTTGGCTGGTTCCCCCTAAAATGCTACACTTTTTGATTAATAATTTCCTCAGCATAATTTATTGTAGACTCATATAATAATTATCATTGGTATATTTTTAATGAGTAAATATTGTGTAATTAAGGAACTAAAAATCCATTATAGCAAAGTGTCAAATTTATACCTCTTTGACTTGTTTAGTAAAATTTTGACTAGATCATAACTGTTAACATTATCACTTACCTGAGTCAATATTATTATTGAGTACCTGTTTTGTGCAATTAACAACAATAAAACCACAAATGGTAATGATGTAATGATCTGATAGCTTTAGATTTTTTCCACAATCATAATAAATGATTGTAGTTGTTGACTGGTTTGAATGAACTCAGATGACTGTCAATTTTTACCAGTACCCAAATGTTCTGAAATAAGACTTTTAAGTGTTTGCCAAGACTTTGAAGTGTTTTTGCACACACACACACGCTTACTTGTAAGTGCATATGCACACCTATGCACTTTGTGTGTGCATGCATGTGTGTGTGTATGTTTGTGATACAGACTCATATATTGGGTATGAGGTTTATAAATAGAACTTCAATTAAAAATTGAGACCTATTAAGAGTAACTTAAATAGATATTTTGCTAAAAGCTTTTTGGGAAAACAAAATGGCCTAATCAACTTTTTAAGAAAAAGATATGATTATTAATCAGTAAAAATCATGTTTATCCTGAACATTCTATTTACAAAAATGAGAATATACCAAAAATGATATCTCATATTTACTTTTCAAAGTCAAGTAGATCAGATAAATCTGAGCATTTGTTTTGCTTAGGAATATTTAGGTTTTTAGTGGTAAAAATTTAATCTGTACTTTTAAAGTTATTTGCATTTTTCCAAACATTAACCTACTTTATAGTGCTTCCCCTCATATACTTTTTTGTATAGCATTTCATACTAAAAATGATAAATTGCCCAAGAGCATGTACAATTGTTGCATAATGCTGTTATATTCTGTTCTGGGTACTAAAATTAACATTCAGAAGTCTCATTTTGCCTTATGTACAGATTAAATCATGTCACTCTTTTAAGTTTTAAATTATTTCTTAAACGAAAAAAAAATCCATTCCTCTTGTATAGCCCAGAGGGTTAGAAAATTATAAAAGTATTTCTAACTAACTATAAACAACTTGATCTGCATTTGAAATTTAAATTTATAATAATTATTAGTATTCTAACCATTTTCATAGATCACAGAAGAGTATTCCCTTCACAATTTCCAAAAAAAAAAAAGAAACGGGATCACATGGAAAATAACCATTTTTTTAGAATGTACTTCATTTAACATTTAGTTGTCTGAATAATATTCTTCTGGTTTTTGATGCAACAGATTTTCTACTCTTTATGGAAATTGAACTATTCCAATATTTTTAGTATCTGCAAGTATGCTTTAAAAACATCCTGCTACCACATGGCTAACTTCTTCCATTTGGTTCACTGACAATGGAGTTACAACTAATGTATTCATAGCTTGATTTGTGTATTTTTCTCTCCCTTGTCTATTGATTCAGAGATAGGTAGAAATCAATGTGCCATAATCAGCCTGGGGAAAAATCTTGAGTTTTATTTTTCAAGGGGTGGGAAAGTCTCCGTCAGTATTATTTAATATTTGTGTCAAAACTTAGAAGATGAATTAGATTGCATGCTCATTAAACTAAGGGATGACTAGCTTGTTACTGTTAGAAGAACACGTGTTTACATGGCACAAGTGTTTACATGGCAGAGTAATTCATAAGATAGAAAATCAATTATTAATACATAAGACAGATTTCAGAGGAATAAACACAAATTGTCCAGATAATAATTAGATAGATATATGACATGTCATACATCTTTTGGAAATCAAATATATTTAAAATATATTATCTCAAAGGGGCTGTAGAAATTGTGTACTTCAATATTACAGTTGTTTTCAGATGAATAAGCTGAGACCCAGAGATGTGATATGCCTTTCAAGTTAGTTGCTCTACAATTCACATTACTCATTAAGGTGGTAATAATAGATTTAGTCTGTCTTTATAATATTGAAATATCAGGAATACAAAAAGATTTAGGAGGCAAAGTTAAATAGTTGCTTTTATCAGTTTATCAGTGTAGCTCTAAAGTATTTTTTAAAATAATGTATTGGCTAGTATTGTTATGAAATTTGGCTTATAGTGCTAAAACTCATGGCTCAGAGGTTCCAAACTTATAATTATGTCATTTAGTTAGTTATGATGGACTCCTTAGTAGAAAATGCACTCCTACTGTTATGCATTTTTCTTCTTTGTGAGTGCTATTTTTCTTCTTTGCGAATGCTAATAATCATGGGAGATTTAAATACAGAGGTGAAAACAAAAGCAAAACACAGGAAGTCTGGATGATATAACACAAGTTATTACTATCATTAAAAGTAAAGTTTTATATCCTATTCAAATAAGTCTAATCAACAGCTTTGCCATTGGATATGAAAGATTCTATAACACATTAATAAAGTTAAAGATAAAATATGTAAAAATATACACATATAAATATTCAAGTAAAATACATAAATATATTTGCATGTATAAGAATGAAAACTTAGTTACCAAACATTGAGTGAATTTGGCTTCTAATCTACAATAAATTTTGTGAATTCTGTTCACTAGAACAGCGGTCCCCAACCTTTCTGGCACCAGGGACCAGTTTCATGGAAGACAATTTACTTATGAATAGAGTGTGTGGGGGATTAGATTCTCATAAGGAGCTCAGCAATCTAGATTCCTCGCATCCACATTTCACAGATTCCTCACATGCACAGTTCACAATAGGGTTTGCGCTCCTATGAAAATCTAATGCCACCACTGCTCTGACAGGGTGCAGAGCTCAGCTCCCTCACTAGCTGTTAACCTCCTGCTGTGCAGCCAGGTTCCTAATGGCCACAGACTGATACCGGTCTGTGGCCTGGGGGTTGGAGACCCCTGAACTAGAACCCTGAACTAAAGGACAATCAATTTCCCCAAAGCACAAAACTAAATAAAAATCAAAGACTTTTCTCTGAAAAATTATGTCAAAATTGAAGATGTGTCTATGTTTATCAATTGTAAAATGCAGATATGTAAATTGCAAATAATTTTTAATATGCTAATATGAAGCAAAGAACATTTTGCCAATTATCATTATTAATGTCATTACCATCATCAACAGAATCATCCTGTTAATAGCATCCATCTAAATAATACTTCCTATGTACCTAGAAAGTTAAACATTAGTATATAAAATACATAGAATTAATGTATATTATTTATTAGTTGTATGTAATTATATACAATTAATTTTAGTATATAGTTAATATACTAATATGTAAATTGAATCATCACTAGAACCTCTTGAAATAGAGAGTACCAAGAAGCTAGGAGGCCAGTAAGCAACAGGAATAAGATTCAAACTCAGCCAAGGTAAGTCCACAGTATATACTCCATTCATTAACAACAGATGCCATGTTACCGTAGAAGCAATGTTTTCAACAAGCAGATTTCTGTTTTAGAGCTAACGAAAGTTAATGTTAGCTATTGTGTTTGAGGGAATAGGAATTGAACAATTCTGGTATACATGGATTTTTACTCAAAGGTTTCATCTAAGTTAATCTAAATCCGAATTTGAAAGCTAAAATAGCTTCTTTTAAAACCAGCATATTGCCATCTACTGCTGATAAAGTATATTCCAGATTTGCATCAAATGGATTTATGTAGTTCAAGTGTTTATGGTAGATGCTAGTAGAAAAAGTAGTGAGAACTTCTAGATAGGAACCTCTAATTTTTGTTAAACACAAAGCTTCAATTACATCCTGCTGGGACACCACTTGACTTTTTGGTTGTACAGGAATGGGCCAGGCCCTATAAAAACACATATTTATCTGTCATTTTCCTTCCAGGTTACTTAAAAATATAAAACACACAATAACTTGACATGCCCTAAAACAAAAAGGGATAATCTAATCTACAACCATAAATTGAAACATGTTCCAGTTTATTTTTTCTCAAAAACAATAACCATGATAATCAACATGTCCAGCATACACAAGTGCACAATATTTCTGTTTTGGATATTTCCTGAAATATAGTTATCAGGAGTCAGAAGAAATGGTTACACTATTGAGTTGATGTCCTGCCCTACAGTAGAAGTATATTTATGATAATGTAAGAAGAGAAATAGTTATCCCTGCATTACGCTACTTTCTAATGTAAAAATAAAGTGATGTTTCCCAATCTCATCTCATGATAAAAAAGCTTATGTTCATAATAATTGTAAAGCACTATGAAATAGATGTTCTGGAGATGTTATATGTCATTCATTAGCATTCTTATATAATAGTCAAATACATTAAAGCAAAAACATAAAAGCATGCAACTAAAATAAATCATGTACAGCTATGAGAATGAGTAGAGAAATGCATTATTTCTATTTAAGGAGAATATTGGGAGAATAATTGAATATATTACTTAGTATAATTAGATATTATATTAGATAAATTTTGTTTAAAAAGCAGGTGGGGAAAAGGTATGGACTTTCAAATATACAATGGTATTTACTTACAATCAAGCCACTGTTTGCTTGCCTTTTTTCTCTGCCATGGATCCTTTTGTAGAAAATTCCGCCTGGATTAAACTGAGTACTCCAAATAATCATATCTCTTTGATAATATACATCCATCCCTGTTATTCTTGAATTATGTTCAATATGAGAAATTTGTTGATGATCGCCACTGTAGTTGAATGGATATATAAAACCCAGGATATCAGTGTCATTAGCAATGTAGAGAACTTGATCTTCAGAGCCTGGAGATTATTATAATAAAATACAAAAATAAAGTAAATTTCAACTAATGTTAAAAGCAATAATTGTACTTTTAAATTATCTTGAATTATTATTCTTAATACAGTTTTTCCTCAAAAATCAACCAGTTTTATATTGTCTTTTAGTCTTTATGGCTTATTATTTCTGATACTCACTTATCTAAACATTTACAATAATTATTGATAGAGGTTTTTCTACTGCCAATCTTTCCTTATGGCTAGAAATTATGTACATATAAATGTCCTTTTATGAAGAGAGATTATTATTTGATAAGTCACAATACACTAGGTTATAATGCATCAATTGTCAATATCCAAGTACTATGTTGTATACTCATTAAGCTTCAAAAGTTTCTGATTACTTAATTTATGCACCTGAGTGATCATTACTTTAGGCTAAGAAATAAAAATTAAAATATGAAGAATCTTCCTCTTACTGTATTTATACATCTTAAATGCTTACTAACTTTTAACATAAAAAGATATCAGTATTTATTCCATTAAAGTTCTATAATCTCTAAATTATCTAGAATCCTGCTAAGTGTAACATTCTATTCTAAAGTTTTGACACCTACAATAGAGTACTAATGTCATTTTCATACTAACAAGTAAAACCCTAAAGCAAATGCCAAAATTATCAATTAAAATATTAACGAAGCCCTAAAGAGATGTTCGATTGCATACATAGTTTCTGCAAATAAATAATAATAATAATACCTCATGAGGTGCCTTTCAGCTCTGTAATGTTAATAGCTGTCACTTAGCAAATGCTTATTATGTGTCAGACGCTATGTTAAGCCTTTCACAGTTTATCTCCACTTCTTATAACTATGGAAACTGAACTGAGGCTCTGACACTTTAGTGAATTCCTTGAGGCCACACAGTCTAAAAGGTGCTGTGCTGGGATTCAAATCCAAGCATATCAAATGCTATAGCCCACAGTTGATCCATTACATCATCCTGTTTTCTTCTTGTAATAACAATCTTAATAATGTCCAATCATACTTTGTAGCCAACAATATTGAAGTTACAGTATTATTTAGCATAAACACATGAATATTAAAATCTATACCTACAATTGCCCAGAACCCTAGTTTATCATTTAATCTTTTTTTGTTTGTTTGTTTTTCTTTTTTTGAGATGGAGTCTTGCTCTGTCACCCAGGCTGGAGTTCAGTGGCGCAATCCTGGCTCACTGCAACCTCTGCCTCCTGGGTTGAAGCGATTCTCCTGCATCAGCCTCCCAAGTAGCTGGGACTACAGGTGTGTACCACCACGCCTGGCTAATTTTTGTAGTTTTAGTAGAGACGGGGTTTCACCATGTTGGTCAGGTTGTTCTTGAACTCCTGATCTCGTGATCCACTCGCCTTGGCCTCCCAAGGTGCTGGGATTACAGGCATGAGCCACTGCACCAGGCCTATCATTTAATCTTTTTAAAAAATAATATTGGTAAGTGGAGGACTTCTAAATTTGAAAGCAAGATCTTGTTTTAAAACCTTTAAAATCCTTACTCAAAATTCCTTTCTCCTTATAATGCTAATGTTTATTTTTATCCCTGGGGTATAATTTTTCTCATATTCCCTTAGAGCAGACCATCAAGAGAGATACTTCACATTCTATCACACTGGCTTTTAAAATTTTACCCCTTTTGAAAAATTGTTTTGAACACAATGACACAATGTGATTTTAACAGTAACCATATATTTCATAGTCATTTCCATAAACCATCTAAGATTAAATTCATTAATATTAACTAACCAACTGGCCAAATTAATCATCATTAAAAGTATTTTATCAGAAATGAAGCTGTTGCTGGAATGAAATATAAAACATTTTTCTCCATAAAATGTTTACAACAAAATTGTAATAGGATTTGCAATAGTGGTTATAATCTTACCTTCTGCTATGCAGGTGTTATTTCTTTCTTGAAAATTCTGGTCACACACACATTTATATGATCCTTCCACATTTATACATTGATGGGAACATGTGCCAAACACCAAACATTCATTAAGGTCTAGAAAAGAAGAGCTCAAAATAGCATCATCATACCCTCAATTCAGACTCCTATTCTTACCACGTTTCAAAAAAGCCAAAATTATTTTTAACTTATTACTAGCTTTATTGTCCTTTCACATCTTTAATCTGTGACCTGCTGTGTCATATTTTTGAAGGTATAATCATTTTTCACAATATTTGTAGTAGAAGATTTATCAATTGTCATTGCTTTTATTAATCCACTTAAAATATTAAAGCTTCAATTTCAAACTTCCCTGGGGCTTTCTTTTTTCTTTCTTAAAATTTTTACTTATTTATTTTTTTACCTTTTAAGTTCATGGATACAAGTGCAGGTTTGCTACCTAGATAAACTTGTGCCATGGGGGTTTGTTGTATAGATTTCCATTCACGCAAATAGACCTGTCTTGAGGTTTTCTTTTAAGCTGTTTCTGATGACCTACCTCCATGCCTTCGAAGGTATCATGGGCTATTCTTTCATCCCGTAATGCCCTTGCCCACTTTTCCATACAGAATTTCTACTCATCTTTCAAGATCCACCTGAAATAAAGCCTTCCTTGGTCTCCAACCATATATGGGAGTGATGATTCATCCTTAGTTTCTCCAGTTTTTGCTCTCCTGGTGTTTCTCTCTTACACTGTTGCTTATATTTCAGGAATGTGGTTACATATTCATATTCCCTTGAGGACATAAATTATGATACATTCCTTTTTTATTGCCAGATTTTGCACAATGACTGGCAGAGAACAAAGATTTGGGCACATCTCTAACACACTTCTGGACTCATATATATGAAGTGACTACGTAACAAGAAGGGCTGTATTGAGGTTATGTGATGTGAATTAAGCAAGCAAAATCTGCATGCCTATATATGAATAAATACCTCTAAATCACTAGCATAAATAAATAAATCACAGGCAGTATTCATGTGATTTAATCAGAGTCATGTAGCTTGGCACATGACTCTAATTTTAAGGGCTTATGAAGAGCCAGGATTGAGGCCAGGTGATTCTAGGGAATTATCTAATTTTCCTCTCTTTTCCTCCTCTACTTTTGTGTTTAGCCAGCATATTTCCCCTGCCTCATTTTATCACTTATAATCTCCTAATTACCTAATAAATCTGTGAGATAAATCCTTCCCTTGAATTAGAGAACTTAAGAATCAGCACAGTAAGAATAACTATCTTTTGCGTAGCACACAAACAATGTTCTAAGGGCTCAGAGGTAGAGACACTTGTAAATCACAACGTCAAGGCTTAAACTCAGGTTTTCTGATTTTGTTGACTTTACTGTGATACTTTGCCTAAGAACACATAAGCATTTTCATGACCACACATTGCTATTTGATTGAAATGTAGAGTAAAGAGATGCAGAAAAGTGTATTTCGTTGTTTTTAATAAATATTTTACAGGAATGAAGTAGAATGCATCTTGTCAGTACTTAACCATCACGATTACAACAAATATTTCTGATTTGTTCAGCCCCTGTAACTTTGAACCGGCAGTTATTTGTCACTATGGTTTCCCTTTGGTACAGAATCCAAATAAGCAGTATTCTGCATGATTTCATACAACCTCAACTTCCTCACTTGTCATTATACTGGCCTGAACCATCATTTTCGCCTCATCTCTAGAAAGCCTGGATCATGAGCTTTTGAAGGGGATGGAGGAATTCCACACATGCCTAGTACCCAAAACAGTACCTGGCACTCAGCAACTGTTAATCCCCTTCTAATTTTCTTCCACCATTCCTCTTTACTTTTTTCCCTTTAGATATTCTAATTGAAGTGTTTGGGCTTTAACATCAAATAGCAATTTCTTATGCATTTTTTCAGATACATAAGTGAAGGGCACAAACAAATTTAAATTTTTGGATTATAGAATCCAATTATGTCTTACCCTTCTTTGACACTGAAATAGAACTATTTTCCTTAAAATCAAAACTTTATTTATTAAAAATAGATGAACATTTTATTAGAGTTCAGAAGTTACTCGTCTGTCCTACAAAATAATACAAAAAAGTGGATTCATAGCAATTTAAAATAAAGAATGTAGTGTGCAGGTTATATTTGCTGTGGAATGTAATTAAAAATTAAGAAAACTTTAATAATATAATTTCTAAATTTAGTACATATATACAGAAAAAACCCACTGACAAATATTAGAAAATAAATGTTATTGAAATTAAAATATTGAAAGAATTGTGTGTGTGTGTGTTTATATGTAATTGATAGAAAGAGCCTGGGAAAAATAAATACCATAGTTTGAAAGATAATTCATTTTTTAACTAAAACACAGAAAACCTAGGTTGTCATCTTTCAGTCTCATAGTAATGGAACAATCAAATGTCACGAATAATCCAAATACACATTTAACTCAAAATGTAGATAAACATGACGTGACTACACTTTTTCCCCTTTTGGGTGAGTAGAATCAATTCATTTAAATAATTCCATTTTGATTAACACGAAGTAGAATCATTTTTCTTAACCTCAAAATATCACAAAGAGACATAACAAAAGCAAGCTGGTAGGTAAAAGCACTTAAAGACTTGAATTTAGCCTGGATAAGCCAGACTTAGTTATTTTAGGTTTGGCTGTACTTACATTAATATGAATATGAATACAAATAGCAGTTTTATTGGAGAAACTTGCAGAAAGTGCATATGGGTCTGTATTTCATGGTTCTATAGTTAGAACACTGATGTAATTATATTTACTTACTTACTATAAGATTTTGGCTATCCTACATGCTCAATTTTTAAATGATCTCAAGTAAGTTGACAGATTTATGTAGATCCTGACTTTGAATTTTTAAAGATACATTATGATCTATTTAAAACATGGTTTTAGGACAAAAGCCCATGACTCTCTAAATGTGATTTACCTATTCCAGTATTGCAAATTCCACACTCAAGAGAAATGGGTCATCATAAACATATTTTTTCATGAAGCAAGACTAATTCTCCAATAGTTCCTGAACCAGGAATTTCGTTATTTGCATTTCAAAACAGTATTGTAGCAATAGAATTGAAATTCCTGCAGCTCTGAATTTGCTATAGAAAAAGCTTTGTAGCCTCTGTCGTGGTTAGCTTAGCTCCACAAACAAGCTCTTGACCCCAGAGACTTTCATTCTCATAAGTGAAATGGTATCCCGTAGATACACACCATTTTGATGAAAGTCAATCCCCTGTGATCTCACAATTTAGAAGTCTTGGGAATCTTCATAACCCAAAGATTTATGAGCAAACTGTTGAAGAAAAGTACTCTACCTTCACATTGTCTGTTTTTCATGTTTCTCTGAAATCCAGGCTTACAGCGACAGAAAACAGATGTTTTTATTTGATTACAATATGCATCATCTCCACATGGATTCACATTATCTTCACAGGTATATTCAGTAGGAGCTGGGATTTAAAAATATGATCAAAACTAATATAATTCTAATTCCTGAAGTGGGGAGTTAACTTTTAAAAAATGTTTGAAATGGTATTTATTATTCCACAGATAACTCTTTTTGAATGTACAAGGTTACGGTCTTCTCTCCATATAAGCCCCCATGTCTTATAAATGTATAGAAGTATAAAAACTAAACTCATTAACATTAAATACAGATTAGACCAAGCTGCTAACAGTTGATATTTAGAGCTGCTGTTAAGCTGTAACACTTTTTAAAAATAAGTCAGGAGTCAATGATTCTAATGACAGGCTATCTTTATTATAGTACGATATATGAGTACTACATCCTTCTCTGAGAGCCAAAGCATTTCCTATAAGCTACCTAGAAATTTAGGCATTTATTGCTAACCTAAGCTTAATATTTGTAAACTCAATCAAGGGTACTGCTAAGTTACTCAAGCAAGTTGTCTAAATCAGCAGTTTAAATTTCATTTTTTTATGCTGGACATACATATGAAGAGTAACATTTGAGTGTGTAATGTGCTCATAATGGTTGGTCATAAGCTGCAACATTTTAGGACAGACAAAAAGTTACTTGTAATTTCCAGGATAGCAGTTGCAATTTTATTACTTTATCTCCCATTCAGGAAAACATTTTAGAAGGCCTTCTCTTTTAAATAAATGAGAGGGACATTATTATAGAGACATCATATCATCTCTAAGTTACTTAAATCAAATTTTTGAGAAATGTGAGAACTTTAATTATTATCGTTGTAACCCCACTGACTTGAATATTTTGCAATTAGTTAAAATAGGTCAGTGGAATGATACCATGGTTTAGACACATGCAGCCATATCCTGGTGGGTATTGCTTCATCCCTAAATGAGGAAAGTTTTAGATGCATAAATTAAAAAAAAAAGATGTAAAAGTAGGAAATATTGTGTGACTTTTGTAAGCAAACTGAATTTAGGATCATACATTTAATTATTTTTCTTTAATATAAAAAATCAAATACCAAGCATTAGACACAAACTATTCGCAATCAGCAGGTAATAACTCAAGTATCATGGCACTGTAACTAAAAAAAAAAATCACATCTTCTGTAAGAATGACTCAGCAATGGATTAAATTTTTTTTAACATTGAAAAAATTAAGACCTTTACTATCATTCAACTAAATATCACCGTTTATAAAACTTAACACTAAATTTGTATAAGATAAATTACTAAATGATATAGATTACATTGCTGACATCAACTTCGATATTTGAATATTGATTTCTCAGCTTCTGCTTTAACAAGGGTACTCATTACAAAGCCAACCTTGTCCACTTCATACTTTCTGAAATTAAGTAATATTCTAATGTTGCTTTGGCAAAGGTTTTTGAAAAAGGGCATCAGTCAAGCATACTTTGAAGAGCAATATTTCCATCCAGAACATTTTAGTCATGTACAAGCAGAAGTTAGACTTGTGTATCCCGGTGCTTTGCTTAACAGAAAACAAGCTCACCTATTCTGCATCCTTGCTCATCTGAACCATCTCCGCAGTCATCAAGTCGATCACACTGGAGATCCATAGGGATGCATTTTTTATTACTACAAGCAAACTCATCCTTTTTACAAGGCCTTGCTTTATATGTCAGCTTACCTATAGAGTCATACAAAAAATGATTAGTGCTTCACAGAATCAAAACACTCTTATTGAGCATGTAATAGCTCCAAAATTTTACTAACTACTATGAAAAACATGGGTTTACAATCCTTTATCTGAAGCTCTCAAGGCCAAATTTTTAAACATTCTGAAATTTTTGGATTTTAGAAAAGTAACTGTGTGTTTACTTTAAGTAAATAACACTGATATCTACAGAAAAATTTTAAAATATTTACCCTAAGTGTAATTTTTTTAGAGGGTGATATTAAATGGCTCCAATTAGGTCAGGTCAAGCTTTGTCTCCAGATGATTTTGCTGCATACATAAGTCTTTTGCATTAAAAACTTTTTGAACTTCGGAATTCAGAAAAAAGAATTGCATAGACATACAATCTATATAAGCTCCCTTTCTTCAAAAAATTAAGTCTTTAAACAAGGAGCATTTAAAAATCTCTATATTGTTTCTCCGGGATGAATATTTTCTAGAATAAAGGGTTAGTGGGAACTATGGATAAAGGTGCACACCTATAAGGCAAATGAAATGCTGGTGGAATATTTTTATACCTTGTCAGAAGATCAAATGTCTGAAAATAATGCCCTCAGATGTCCACATAAGAAATGTATTTTTTAAAATGTTTGTACTCCAAGTCATCAGAGAACCTCATAGCCATCACTGAATTATTTCACATTAAATGCATTTACCACCACAGTGATCTTCATCTGAATTGTCACCGCATTCATCAATCCCATTGCACATTTGCTCCGACTGTAGGCATATTCTGTTATTTCTGCATCTGTGAGGTCTCGTGGATGGACAAAGAAATTTGACTGAAGAAAAAGAAGAAAAAACAAAGAAGCTCCTTCGAGTACATTGCTTTATGAAGAACATTCTTCCTTTTTCTTTTATTCTTTTCAAATCCATAAGCTAGCTTTTCTAAATATCTTTTTTGTTGTGACAATTGCCTACTAGTGGCTACCAGAAAAATATGTGATGATTCTAGTTATTAACTACAGAAAAATGTGCACAGCTGAGGATCTTAAAGGAAATACGAAAGAGCCAAACTGTATGGTCTCATTCCCAGATGCCTTATCTTAGCTGACTTCACTTAGTGTAACAAATTAATTTATGCCTACAATTATGCAATATGGCAGGACACTTAGCTATCTCAAAGAGCAATTTCACACAGCATAGAGCCGGAGCAAGCATATGTTACAGGCCCAAAATTGAAAATAGGTCATTCAGTGAAAACAAACAAAAATCCCAACAATATTCTAACTTGATTTCTTACTCTTTGTCTCTGTAAACAAAAGTTTAGATATGTATTTGAGGCACATATATGATCTTAGTTATTCATCTTTAAAGTACATGTTTTTGTGTGTATTTAAAAAGACCACAATGAAAGCCAGGGAATTTTACATTTGTCTCCTTATCACTATCTAATCTGAAGACTTCCACTCTTAAAGCAGGAAGTATCTGTCATTAGTCTTCATCCTTAGATGTGAAGTTACCCAGGATTCTGTCCTTGTTCCCCTGATGTTCTCACTCTTGAATTATTTGCTTAGTTATGTTTATTCACTCTCATTGATTTACTACATCCTGAAGACTTTCAATTCTCTATCTAGTTCAAACATCTCAGTTGGTTGTAGGACATCCCCTCAATAGTTTCAAATTTAACAAGCTCATCACTCAGCTCTTTATCATCTCGTCTTACCCCTTGTTCTCAAACACGTTTTATTTCCATCATTCAGTTAGTGGCATATCATAGCCAAAAGTCTGGAATTATTCTAATGTATTCCTCTCATTGACCATCAATTCTCAGTAGTCACCAAGTCCTGTTGCTATTGTCCCCAGGTTTGGCATCTTCTAGCCATCTCACCAGTTACAATCAAAATAGTTTAGCTGTTTATGATCTTTTACAGAGAGATATCCTAAATGTCTCCAGCTTCATATTCCATCCTCAGATCCTCAAAAAGCCATGAGAAAAATCAGTTTAACATATTCATGTAACCATTTATTCTACATTTATCAATTTCCTTGAGAATACAATTTAAGATATTTTGAATGGCCTAATAGACTTGTCACTATCTTGCTCGTGCCAATCCTGCAGACTCATCCCTTGTCCCTCTCAATATTTGAGCAATATTGCTTTATTACAGCTTCTTAAATATGTTACACTCCATCCCTGACCTCCTTGCTTTAAGTGAAATTTGGTCCATTTTCCAAATATACTCCCTCCTCTTTAGGTCTTTTAGGAATGTCTCTTAATTTGCTCAAACCTTATGTCACCTCACGTTTGAAAACATCCTCATTTCCTACTACAGCTTCCATAGCTTTATCCTATCTTTACTTTCTATTTTCTAAAATAAACTAAAACAAAATAATGTTATTTTGAAGGCTAGATATTTGATTATATCTTCACGCTGCTGCTATTTTCTAATTAACTTCAAAATCACCACCTCCGCCCCAGTTTACTGAAGACTAGCACATTCCAGCATAGTCTTTTAAGATCTCCATTTAAATTCATTCCAGCAACTCAGATGACTTCAATATTCACATGAGGAAACCAACCAGTGAGGCTTCTTAGCTCCTTAAGTTTCTTATACCCTATGTCCTTTTACTCTAATCTTACGTAAGCCACCACTCTCCTAGGACGTTGTTTACATTGGTGAATTTCAACAAATTTCTATTTTTGATTCACAGTGGCAGTTTCTGTTGCTTGCTGTTAAGAATGCTAACTTATAGAAACAGTTGCAGCATAAATTTGCTGTTTCCTATAATTTACTTCATTTGTAAAACCACTACTAGAATGTCCTATTTTGAGCACAATCTCTTTAATGATTTTTAATCCAATCACTATCATTGCAACAACTCTTCAGCTTTATCTTAATTCTAGCTCATCGATGTAACTACCTTTTCCCTATTCACCAATGATTTTGTCTGTACTTTTCTCCCCATTAATATTTATAGTAACCTATAATATGTTGGATACTGCTCTAAGTACTAGGTAAGTTTAGAAACCCACTTTCTTCCCAATAACCTGGATTCTCTGGCCCTTTTCTCTTTTTCATCTCAGTTATCCAAAATAACCCTAAATTTAGGTGAGCGAAACCACCTGCTCTCCCAATATCTGCATCTGGGAAGCCAGAAATGTTGCAGATGATCATACTACAAGGCCAACTGATACCACCAAGTATGAATATTTATCAATGCTACTTGGAAAGCATATATATATATATATATATATATATATATATATATATAACAAAAATAAGTAGAAATACAAAGATGGGAAATTTCTTAAGATATTATTAAATAATTACAGATCTACCTGTATCTACATGTAGTCTGTCAACTCATTTCTATATTTTAAGAGCAGAGACAGAAGAATAGTTGTTTCCTATGTAAAAGTAATCATTTTTCTGGAACTCATTTTCCCATGCCTCTGCAGAAACCATCACATCTTTGCTGAAACATGTTATTACTTTGGTGTCTCTGGTGCCTCACTCTTCTTTTTTGCAGTGCCTTCTGTGGTCACTTACCTGAGTCTCTTCTGCCAGCTCATCTTCACTTAGGGGCTTGTTGTCACTCAATATTCTTTGATAATCCCCTTCCTGACCTATCTTTATTTCCACACAGCGTAATCTTGAATATTCCATTGTATTTAATACCACATTTTATGCTGGTTGTTGAATTTATATCTGTAGACTACCTCTTTCCTTTCAATGTGAGATTCAAGCATCTAATGCCTACTTGAAATCTCTACTCGAATGTCTCCTCAAATGCATCACAGTCCAGTCTTCTAATCTTTACTTGCAAAACTGTTCCCTTTCCTGTGACCCTTTCCATTCAAATGGGAAAGCAAAAACAACATACACATTATACCCCACAACTTGCTGTCTCTCATTCACCATATCCAATCCGTCATTTAATCCAATTTATTCTGCCTTTTATATCATCTTCAAATCTGTCTATATTGTGCTAGCACAGGCTGTTGTCATCTCAACCCAAGCTACTAACATAGCTTGCCTAAAGTGCCGCCATGGTGTTAACCACTATTAATCCTTTCTATCCCATATTTGTAAACTTTAAATATGACCATGGACCTCCTCTGCTTAAAACTCCTTAGTATTTCCAATTACTTTCCAGCTAAAATTTAGAATCCCCAAGGTTGCAGGTATCTCTGCTGTCTCTAGTTTCATCCTAAGCAAATACAGATGATCTCCAATTTAACAATAGTTCAATTTAAGGTTTTCTGACTTTATGACAGTGTGAAAGCAATACATGTTCTCCTCTACTTACTATGGGATTATGTCCTGATATATCCTTTATATGTTGAAAATATTTTTAAGTCAAACACACACTGTCAATTTACATTATTTCCTGTTTACAATAGGTTTATCTGGCTACAATCTGGTAAATCCAGGAGTGCCTGTAGCTACCTGGCTCTGTGCCCTCTGGGAACATGGATCCTTCAGTTCCTTGAGTAAGCCATGGTTTGCTCTGCCCAGAGCTTTCACAAATCTTATTTCCTTTGTCCGCAATTTTGTATCACACTTTCACTCCCAACCTCAAGCCTTTTCATCTATTCAGCAGCTAAATATTTCCCAGGCCTGAACTAAAATGTTATTTCTCATACTCTATGATTGATAAAGTCTTTCTGTTCCATACTTTTACAAATTACTATACTTTATAGTATGTATCACAGTTTGTAAGTATATATTTTTGTGCACATTAATATCCATCTTCCACTAGATTCTAAGCTCTGTGAGGTGAGGGTTCGTGTTCACTTCTTTCATCATTATATCACCAAAATAATCATGGTCTCTTGCTGAACAAATGTCTATTGAATGAATGAATGAATGAATGACACCTTTTCTCATGCTATTCACTTTGCTTAAGATGTCTTTTAGTCTAGCTCCTTCAACACTGTAGCTTTCTGAATTGTTCTTTAGGTAGAGTTCATTGAATCTCTCTGTGCCTTTTCCATACTTTTAATTAATTCTATCATTGCTGGAAATAGAGTGTATGAAAATTATTTTTATTTGTCCAGCCAGAATAAGATCTCCTTGTCAAAAAGAACCCTTTTGTTGTCCTAATTAGCACAATTTCTGGCACATAATAGCTTGACTCAATGTTGATATTGCTCACTGAGAGAAACGCAAAAATGTTCAGACAGTCAATCTGGATTTTACAAGGTTTCCCATCTGTGCTGTGTGGAATGCTCCTGAGAATCAGTTCATGGCCCTGGAAGCAGCTCTAGGAGAATATGACTCTGCAGCTGTACATCAATTATTGAAAATTTCCTATTCCACTCACTGGTTTTGTGGTCAAGTGGAATAGAGAATAGAAAAAAAATCACATAATTGATAAAAATAATAGCTTCTGGATTGATGTTGGTAGATAAGCTCTCATATTGTTAAATATTTTATGATTCAGAAACAATCTAATCCCTGGTGATTACCCAGAGTTTATTTCTAAGATTATGTAAAGAAAACTGAAGCTGAAACTTAGTTGCATTACTCATCATAATGAGTTGTATCTATAGAAAAAAACTCTCCAAAACCTGTTTTTTTTCAACTTTTAAGTACTTAACAAAATAAAGCTGCCTGCATTTTTGTATTTTTCCCTGCACTTTTGTATTTCAGTAGTGAAATGTCACCATCTATATCTAAATATTGCCTTAACTTGATGCAACAAACAGAACAAAAAGTGTAAGTACGTACACTCATGCTGTATTTTCTTTATTTACCTGGTGTGCCACTGAGTTATATCTGATGTGGCAGCATTTTCCTTTAAAGTATAGGCGAAACTGCATTTCTTGCAGAGATTAGATAAAAAGTATGATAACAGGGACCAAAAATGTTCATTAAAATAGATCCTTTATGTTGCTGATCTAAAATTAGACTTTTATATTTGTTGGTCTCATAAGCATACACCGGACAAATGTCAGTCAATTTGGAGAAACTTGAATTTGGAGAAACAATAACTTTTGTTAAGACTTTTTAAGTTTAAATGTTAAATAACTCCTAATTTCAGTTCTGTGTTTAGGACTTGTAATGATATAGACAGATATGTGGATAGATAGATATACAGATAGATGATTGATAGATACAGAGATATTTCATTAGTGGGTGGCTTGTGAAACTATGAGATTTTATTATTTATATATTTTTAATTTGCTTATCTGTATCCCTCCAAAATTAACCTAAACTCCAATTTGATGTGAAGCCAAAATTATTATATGAATCTTATTCAATTAAAATGTCAATTACTCTAAACCCACCCAAAGAGACCATAATCTCTCTTCTGAATAGTGTTGACATGTGCAAGTTCAGATTTAGGATGAGTCTCTATAAAGTCATAACTTCGGAACCGGATTATCCCTTTATTACCTGAACAAAAGCTGTATCTGTGGTTATACTTTATCTACCTAACCCCAGGATGGTATAATTGGTAGTTCACCTCCCCACTTCATTGATTCATGCTGGTGCCTGAGATCAGAAGATAAAAGTATAATCTAGAGCCACGTGAAATGCCATACCACACATATCAGGGGCTTCATCAGAGTTGTCTCCACAGTCGTCCTCTCCATCACACACCCAGAAATGTAGTTTGCAGAGAGAATTATTGCAAAGGAACTCATCAGCTCTACATATATTTCCTCCTTTATTTTAAAACAAAAAGAAACAAAGAGATTCAGAGTAATCAGTGCCAGTCAGCAGGATCCATATTCTTCTGAATCTTAGCAAACAGTATCTAGTTGACTGCTTCCATATATGTATTATATTTATTTCAAGCATAATACCAGGAACAAGTAATATTCAATTTTTTTTAATAACATGTATTCATTGTTGACATTTCAAAACATTCTAATATTACTCTCATATATGTCTATTTTTTAGAAAATACTGATGTTAGAAGAAAGTTTTTAAGAATCTAAGTTATACTCTGCTTCACATAATTTTTATGTTACTGAATACACAGAAATTTATATTTTTTAGTTTTAATTGTAATTATTTAAAATTTGTGTCTTTCTTGGGGAAAAGACATTTTTAGAATTATTAGACAATTTAGCTGTATCTGAAATACTGATAAACTAGATCACTAAAAACTTAGAATAGCCAGTAAAAATTTTTTTGCAAACACAAAGAAACGATTTTTTAATAGCAGTAAGAATTTGGCCATATCATACCATATTTCAGGGTTCTTTTTAAATAAAAGTTGTGCAGTAAAGCATTATTTTTTGGATTGTTAAAATGTTTGCATTTTTCTCTTTTAACAAATAAATAAAAACATCAGGAATACAAAAATATTCTCATATAAAATTCTTAAGTACATCTGCCACACGCAAAGGACCTAAGTAATGAATAAATTTGGGTTATATGTCTAGAGATGTAGCAATATACAGTGGAGGCTATAATGACTTGAGAGTTAGGAACTGTGGGTCCCAGTCTTGCTTTGGATAACTCTATTAATATCTCTGGGACTCAATGTTTTTATATGTTATAAAAGAGGTACAGTTAAAGTGATGTATAGCGTCACAGGTGCAAGAAGTACCTGGGGAAACAACATAGATATCACAGTATAGAATTAAGATAAATTAGATTGCTCCCAAAGGGTTACACTACCTAGTTAATCCTCATGTATACGTAAGAGATACAATTCATGGGTTGTCTAGATTTGACTTACTGAAGGTATTAACATATTTAAACACACATACATTTACCAAAATATGAGGCAGAGCAGTGACAGTGGTCATCCTTAAAAGCCTAGAAAATGCCTAGAAAGAGCCATTGTTCCTTTTGCAGATGTACTTTGGAAGGAATAATGTGCCCGAACTTGTGAAGATCAAATAACTCTTCTTGCTGTGAGTTCTGACTTGTTACACAAATCTCTGATAATTCACATCCAGTAGCAAAAGTTTTAATTTAAGAAGTGATAGAATCAGTTGGATTGTAGAAAGAAAACTCTAGCTCTGGTGTGGAGAATTCAGAAATGAAGAGAGAGACAGTAAAGACAACACTGGAGGAAAAAGACATATTTCAAGAGAGGTCATGGCAATCCAGAGAAGAACTGATGGTAACCTGATCTAGAGAAGCCACAGCTGAGAGCTCTTCAGAAGGAAAACTCCTCAGGACCTGATGGCTAAATAGATGAGAGTGGCAAAGGAGAGTGAGCACATAAACATCGTACTCATTTTTTAGTGTGTGTGGACCATTTGGTAGATGGTATTGTTCATTAAATAAAGGAACACTGCAGGAGGAGCAGGCTTAAGACATAATTCATTTGAGGTACCGGTCCATGTGGTGATGTCGAGCAAGCTGGTGGATAAATATGTCTGAAATATAGGATAGGTTTTTGAGCTGTAAATGTGCATCTGGCAGTGATCAGAATATAGTTATGATTTGAAGTTTAAAAGAGAACACAGAGAAAAACAGATTGGGTAGGTAAAGACGAGTCTACAAAAGAGACTGAGAAAAAGTAATCAAAATGGTTACAGAAATATCTGGAAAGAGTGATGCCAGACAATACATGGGAAAAGTGTTCTAATGAGAGGGATAGCACATGTAACTAATGCTAAGCAGGTTTAGTGAAATGGTGGTTGGTTTAATGAAATGATTGTCATTGGCTATTGAATGAGAAGAAGAAGGAGGTGAATGCCAACGTATCTTTCCAGAAGTTTGGCCATAAAGGGAAGAAAGAGACCAGAAAGTGAGCCTTGTTGCTTGTGTGAGGAAGAACAGATCCCTGAACACATTTAAATGCTTCTGATAATAATTCAGTAGATAAGACACATTTGAGGGTACAGGAGAGCAAAAGAGTAATTAATGTAATGAGTTTCTGGAGGATCCAGGGAGTGTGAGAGATTTGAGATCGGAGCAAAATGAATGGAATAGGCTTAGACTGGAAGTGAAACAAATCTTCTGTTTTGGGAGGAAGGAAGGAGGAAAGCCTGAGGACAGCTACAGGCAGATTTGCTAGTTTGGTGGCCAGATGTTGAAAAATGCTCATGATTGTTATTATTTCTTTAAAGAAGAAGGTGAAGTTATTAATTAAGAGAGGCAGCTTGGTAACAGATTTGAGAGAGTTGCCTTTTTAAAAACCTGGTATGATTAATGGCAGAAACATGATTAGGAAAACAAGGGCAAACTGCTTAGTATCTTAAGTAAAAGTTAAAGCTTAGACCAAGAATTTGTAGTGATATTGATCTGAATAATAGTACAATTGTCTGCAAAAATGCTTAGCAGAACTGGTACAGCTTACATTGCCATCTCTGAGAACCACCAAACTAAGAAACAGACAAAGGCAAGAGCTGGGTGAATCCACCAAAGTGAATATCACCATGTGAGACTCCGACAATTGAACATCTGTCATTGGGATACTCCTTTCTCTCAAACTTCTGCAATGCTGAGCTCCATACTGCTGTATTTACAATTAATCTCAATTATGAAATCCTGTGCAATAAAATTCAGTACTATTTAACAACTGTCTCACTCTGAAAACAATAAAAAAGATAGCATATGCAGTATGCAGTCCTTAGTACTAAAGAAATTAAAGAGATGAGTATCAGTATGAAGTGAGTATATTGCCTTAACTCAAAATCAAATGCCTAGAATATGAAGCAGAGTTTCAGCATAAAGATTCTAATGACTAAATCTCATCGCATGCTCCATTTTACAATGGATTACATTCAAACAAAATTTGTGAACGTTTGACATTCTCTGATTATTTTAGAAAACTCTATTTGTATCATATACATCAGTCTTGTTAAAAAATGAGTTCCCTAAGGTATTGCATTAGATAACATTATAATTTTCTCCACATGAGTGTTGGATATGCCACTGATTTATTTAAAAGAAGAGAACTATAAATGAAATCATATTGTAAGAGAAAGGCAAAGGTTTTGTGATAACCTACTAAAGACTTGATGTTGTACTCCAAAAAATTTGCACTAAAAAAATGCATCATGGGGCTACTGTGACATCTTGAGACTCACTTAAAATTCCTTATTTTGAAATGGCATAAAGCACATATAAACAACAAAAAAGGTATAATTTAAAGAGATTGGCTGAATTAAAATTCCAGTTTCCTGGTCATGTTCTTAATCAGCTCAACAGAAAATATTAGGAAAATAGAAAAGTATATATGAATTAACAATAATACATCTAAATTATAACAGAGACCTTGGAAAGTTCATATAAATCTGGTCAAGTGCATCATCACAGAAAATAAGCATCTAGAGTTCTCATCTTAATTGGGTTGAGAGAAGCTTTAATGCATGATAATACTTTATAATTTATTTGACTAACACATTGTTGAGCTGATAATTACTCAAAAGAGAACCCCCCAATCTTTTCCACCAGTATTATATAAAGTGTAAAGTTTGAAAGCTCAGGCCAAAACAAGCACCACACTTCCTTGAGGTCATATATTTTACCTTCAAAAATGCAAATGCTGCTTTTAATTCCAGAGTATTTTGAATTTTTGTCTTTTAAAGTAAACCAGTAAAACTGATTAATTGGGAAACTGTGTCACGCTTATCCTTCAGCTCTCTTATATTCCAGTTCCCAACACTCAGCTCCTATAAGCTCATGTATCCTGATTGGAAATGAATAGAAATGAGATTTAATAGAAAAGATATTTATTCTGGCATCCCATTTCCTCAATGCCTTAAAATGCCTTTACCCAATACCTACGCCACTTCCTGGGAGTAAATTAAATACTAGAAATCTAAAGTGGTAATGCCTTAAGGTACATTCATATGGGATCAAATAATGTAACCACTAAAATATGTCATTGGAGCTTAATTACCCAGCAGCAAAGAAAACCAAGTTAGAGGTGTGAATGGAGGGGAAAGGGGCTTTGAAACATTTGGAAATGATTGAATTAAAGGCTCTCAACTCTTTTTCAGTCATTAAGATTAAATATTTAGTAGAATAATTTTAGATCTGAAAGGTACTTGAGATTTTCTAGTTTGGCTAGGATACAAATCATAAAGAGGTGCAGTGGAAAGTAAGTCTGGGAGGATAAAATGGGGTCATTTTCTCATAACTGATTACTAGATTGAATTGTTTGTATGTAATCAGGTACCTTGAGTAAAAACTGACATAATCGGAAGGACACTTACATAAGATGAACCTTGTAACAGTAAATAGGATGTATTGGAGACCAGTTAGGTGGCATCATGCCAGCCCAAGCAAGAAGCAATGGGAGAATGAACTAGGCGGGTGGTAGTGATTGAAGCTGAGCAATAGAGGTGATTCGCTAGAATATGGAAAACAAGGAGTAGCTTAATTGTCATCCCCAAACCTTTGAACGCAAAAGTCGCATGAGTTATTGCTGCCAGACTTTCCACAATGTTTGCTGTCTCTAGAGTGACCAATTACAGAAAGTGAGTGTGAGAACTTAGCCTAAGGTAGAAAGAGCCGTTATAGACATTTAACATTTCATGGGTCTCTATTATAAATGGCAAATTCAAAAGGAAACTGAAGGCCTACTTTGGGTGCACTGTCTATGAGTTAACCCTGCTCTGCAAGGAGCTGTAAAAAAAAAAAACTATTTTTTTCTGCATAATACAGCACTTTATCAGGTTTGGGATGGAGATATTATCTAATCATAAACATCTGAAATAATATTAAAGAAAGTAAAATACTGTTTTTCTTAGGTGACTACATATTTACAAAAGTAACATTTTAGACAGGTTTAAAATACATAAACCTAGAGTGCACATTCAAGTGCCTTAAATCATGTGGCAATATCTAGCACCATCTCTATGGATGATCTTCCAAATACCAAGAAGTGTAAAATCTATTGAGAGACTTTGTAAGTAGGTCACAAGATATCTTGTATTTAAAAAATATATCTAACAAAATGAAACTAGCAAACATGGATTAATTTGTGATCATTTTAAGCTTCAGCACACAATTGCTTTGCGAAATAACTCTAAAGAAGTAACAATTGCTACGTTTAATATGGTGGTTTAAAACTAAAATGTTGTTATCTGTCAGAAAATAATCTTCGCACAGCTAGGAAATAATATATGACAAAAAGGAAAGTTGTCTTTTAGACTGACAAAAAAATGTAGGTTATTTTCTCAGTGATACGGCAATAAGGAAATTTAGGGATTTGGGGCACAACCTATAACCTATATATCATACAGCATATGAATGTAAGCAATTGAGTATGCCATATGTTGTTCCTATGCTTTCAGAGTAAGGCAAGCAATGTGAAAGGAAAGGATATACAGAAAATTCAAGATATACTTTTGTAGTCATGGTTTCATTGGCTACTTTCTCTGTATTCTCCACATATCCCTATACTTGACCCGGCATCTAGTCTGAAATGGTAGACACTCAGTAAACACTTGCCCTGTGTTCGTGTTTGTCATGCCCAGATTGGGATTATACTCTGTCTGACAATGATCTGGATTTTGCATATTTAGACCAGGCTGCTATGTAATGAAACTTGGAAGAGTAAAGAGAATTATTTAAAGATTCTATCCTCTGCCTCTAGCATACACTGTATATTCTGCACAGAACCTTAACTTTCATTCTCTCATTTACAGGCACACACACACAAAAATACCTTACCTCTTTCACAGTTCTCTTCATCACTGCCATCCACACAGTCATGAATTCCATCACACAGCCATCTAATTGGAATACAGTGGGCTTTATTTTTGCACCGAAACTGATCTTCCTTACATTCAGTCACACAGTCCATCTGTTCAAATACAAATGGACACTGCAGTTTTCATTAATGATAATGATACAATCATGGGCAAAATAAACATGCAGCTTGTAATACTAGAGCTTTATTATACCATGGGCTTTCTTTCATTTTGTCTTAATGAATATAACTTCTACAAATGAGAATGAGCTTTAGTATATGGACAGCATGAAAATTCAGGTATTTGCTGAAATGATTGCATTCAATGTACATATCTAACATGTTAAACCATGCTAAGAATCAAGATTCTTTCTCTTTATTTTCATTACATTTGTTTGCCCAAACCTAATTCATGTAATTCAAATATTTTAATTAAACAATATATTTTACCTCATCTGAACCATCAGCACAATCATATTCTCCATTACATTTCAAAGATGCTGAAATACATCCATCACTGGCACATATATATTCACGTGATGAGCAAGTAGGAGAAGCTGAATACAATTATAAATTTGAAATTGAGATAGAGTAAAAATAACAGGTTTTAGAAATAAAAACATAAACACATAAATATATGAATTTATAGATGGTAATAAAAATAGTTTATACTATATAACGACATTTAATGACTGGTATTACAGATTCATTTAAATTATTTAAATAATTTTAGAATTAGTTATAATATTATTGCATTATATTAAATATACTTCATGATGCAATAACCTGTGCAGTAAGAATTTAACTCAATAGTCCATAGAAGGAAAAAAAAACAAACAAACCTTGATATCCTTCATCCCTTTGATTTTGAAGTGTTACATGAGTTTTTTTTTTTACAATTTTAAATTAAATCATTTTAAATTATTGAAGTCTCCAAATACTTTCAAAACTGTAATAATATTTAGCAACCTTTGAGTATGTTAATTCTTACATTCACTGTATAAAGCACAAAGTCAAAATCTTGGCATGGTCTCACAGACCCAATAATATCTATTTGGTTGCATTGACATAAATAAAGTATTTGAATAAGTTCTAAGAATTGTATTGTTTTGGGATTTTAAATATGAATACATGTGTAATTAACAGAGTTAACAGAATGTGCAGTATTCCTTTATGATGCCGAAATTAAGAATAACAAGCAGCTAAATGTTATTTACAAGTGTAATATTTGCAAGTTTATAATATTTATAAGTGTATCAGTCACAAGATGTAAATACTACCCAGTCTAATTAATTGACAGAAATTATGATAGCTGCCTTTTTCTATGAGCTTGAGTTGGCTAGGCTTGCATTCAAATGTCTGGGCTTCTGGCCTTATGTTAGACCACTGTGTAGTCTCTCATACTTACTTAATGACTTTGTAGTCTGAATTCCTTAGCTCAGGGATACTAAAAAGCTTTTTCCTTGAGTTCAACTCCTTTTAATTGGCAGTGTTTGTCTAGGGATCTGTATTCATAAGGAGTCTAATAACATGTCTGTATTCAGTAAGAAGGAAATCTGTGATCAATTAACAATATAGCCCATGGACATGGTACTGGGGCATAGTAATGTGTGAGCCTTGTACTTGTGATTCTGACCTAGTCTCTCAAGGTAATGGTTTTATGGTCATACATACATTATAGTACAGTTTTCCACCAGTAATATTTTTCTGTAAGATAATGTAATTAAAATATATAATTAAAAAATGAAGTGTTTTAATGAGTATATTTGTAGAGACACCTAGCACATAAATTGAGTAGTGTATCTTTTTTCTGGCTTTGCTTTCTAACTTTACTCAAATTTTGGCCCAAGATGTAAATACAAACAACACAATTATGCTGCTTCTTAGCTAGCATCACATTGAAATGATTACATTCTATTTCATAATCACCATTTCCATAACTAAAACCTATCTTTTACTGTACTTTTAATTTCAACAGATTTTACTTTCCTATCTTGGGGAAACAGTTCCAAATGGTATAATAAGATATAGAAACCAGAAAATCAAATTTGGGGAAATTATGCTTGGATTCCATTCATAAGTAATGATCTTATTTTCCAAAACACTTTCAAAACATATGAAGCACACACTAATTAATTTATCCACAGATTTGCAGACCCTTTCTTAAAAATGGTAAACATATGACATATTTGCCACTGTTTTCTGCATATTGCTGCTTAAATTTAAATTCTATCAAGGTAAAATGTTAACTAAATGATATATTACTTCAATCCTTTTACCTGGCTCACAGCTTTTCTCATCTTCCCCATATTTGCAGTCTTCATGGCCATCACATTTCCATTTTGCTGGTATACACTGACCATTGGAACACCGGAACTGATCTTTGGAACAACTTGTCTCACAATTTCTCTATGAAAAACAACAGAGATATAATCAAAATTAAAATTTTAGAAACACTTCTACACACTCAAAAGACAAGAAAACTTATGTACAGAAAACCTGGAACTGATCCTGGAACAACTTGTTTCACAACTTCTCTGTCAAAAACAACATAGATGTAATTAAAATTGCGTTTTTAGAAAAATGTTTACAAACCGAAAGACTAGACAACTTATGCATAGAAACCCAGAAGTGTAAGAACCATGTCTGCTATATAAAAGTGGCTCAGATGCTAATATTTTAAGCCCATGAATATACAACAGAATTATAACAATTTTCTACTTTCATTTGTCCCTGTGAGTCATAATAAAACAAAAAACGGATAAAAAAAAATTTTATGGCTTCATCATACTAATTAAGTTACTCTGAGAGTATCATTATTCAGTAGATAGTTATAGGGTAATGGAATTTTAATAATTTTAGGTAATAATGAAGATTATGAGATAATAAAAGAGTTAAAGAATTATTTCTACCTGGCGCAATAGCCCCAGCCACTCAAGAGGCTGAGGCAGGAGGACTGCTTGAGTCCAGGACTTTGAGGATGTAGTGCGCGATGATGGGCACACATGAATACCACTGCACTCGAGTCTAGGCAACATAGTGACATCCTGTCTCTAAACAATTTTTTTCAAAAATTATTTCTAAGCAACTACATCCAGTTTATTGGCTATAGGGAGAAGAAGGCTAAGGATATGGAATGTGAAACAAACAAAAATCCTAAGACAAATCTGTTTTGCATGGGCAAAGCTTCCCCTGGTGTTCTTTCTTTCTCCTCTCTCCATCTCTTTTCCTTTGCACCAATCCTTTTACAGTTTAGTTGTTGCAGTTCTCCTTCTCCTCTTTTCTGACATTGTTCCCTAAAGAGCTGTGAAATGAACTGTCAAAATTTTCATTTCTGCTAGTCCATATACAGATTTTATGTGGAAGTCAAACAAGATGGCAAATTTACCTTTGAGGATCTGTATAGGAGATAAATGAAATGGAGTCACTAGAAATCACCTTCCCTGGGTCTGAACACTCTGGTTGAAGTGGAATACTCTAATGAAGTGTCTCACTGGGATGATGTTTTCTGTTGTTAGGGAATTTCTATTTTTGCCAAAATGTACTTGTCTGCTTCTTCCACAAAAAGTGTAACAATCTCATGGTTTGTGGAACTCCTAGCAAGTAAAGCACGTTGAACTACTACTTGCTGCTTCTTCCCAGGTTCATCCCCATATAAGGAAAAAGAGTTCACTTTCTAAATTCCTGAAATTTTCTCTTTGTGATAACAGTTTAAGTAGAAATGGAACTACTTAAGAAAAGGCTTTTTATGTGTAAGGATAATCGGAAATGTGGGATATCTGGAGGAAGCTACATAATAGCAAATGATGTGAAAGACATTAGAGAATGTCATAAGAAAGAGATGTCATATGTTTTATTCACCGCTGTATTCTCCATACTATTAGTGCCGGGGACATAGTAAACATTCAGTACAAACTGCTGAGTGAATTAATAAATTAATAAACTAGCAAATATAGAAAACAAATGTAAATTAACATCTCATATAACTTTATCCCAGCTCTACTGGGATAAAGATCATGCCTGTCTGTGAACCAAGTATCTAATACTGTCACATGATTATAATAACTATCCAGTAAACATTTTTAGGAGCGATGAATGATTATCTCTGCAAGTGGGCTCATTTAAGTAAAGCAGCTCAATGACCAATGGTACTGTTGTGTCATTTAGCCATATAAAATATTGTTTGGTAAAGTAAGGACTCAAAAGAGATCTATACCTTGAATTAAAGTTTCTTTAATGTATAACTATTTCTCGTTCTTCAGTTTTTTTAAATGCCATTTACTACTTGAAGAAAACAAGTCAGTTATACTATAGAATAGCTCACATTCTGAATTTGACTAATTGCACCCTAAGAATGTTGATACCTTTGCAACCTCCAAAGTGATTAATGAGCTTTTGCTTTTTAAAGTATTGTTGTGAACTCATTGATTTTTATACTGTGTGTATGTGTGTGTGTGTGTGTGTGTGTGTGTGTGTGTGTTTTAATCCCTTACAGTCGTTTTTCTTTCTAATGCACAAATTGTCCCTTTTGTCAGTGGAAGTTCCTTTAAGTAAGTTTGTTGTTGTGCACTTTGTACACTCTCTTAATAATCTCAGATGTTAGCAGCTCATCTTGTCAATTTATTTTCTCACACTTAAAATTAGGCATCTCTCAAAGGAGTGTTTCCTTTAATTGGAAAATGGTATTTAGAGACCACTTGGTGAATTTCAGGACAGTCATTACCATTGGTTTATAATTGGTTCTAGGACTTTTCACTGGCAGATGTAGAAATCATATATTTTTAGAAAGAGAAAGATTAATCAAGATCTTATACTGATACTTTTGGATTTAATAAGAGAGGATTTTACTTAACTTTTTGTTTCTACATTTATATCTCCTTTCTCTGAAATTTTGATTCTAATGACATTGACATAAATAAGCATTTGAACCACCCTACATGTTTCAAATTAGCAGAGCCAATATTATTATTAACAATGTCTATGGATGCAGTTTAAGATTTCTTTGTTTTTTTGTTCTTACAACATATTACGCTAAATGTAGAGCAAAAATATTATAATTTAAAATCACTTTAAGTAATCATTTTCTGTGTGTGCCACAGAGATAAATACTTGCTATACAATTAGATTGAACCATATTTTTAAACTTCTTCTTTGTTGTTTTGTTATTAACAAGCTAATCATATTATCAGTTCCATTCATACAGAAACTTATCTTCACAATTCTCCCAATTTTTATTCTTAATGTGAGAGTATTCTGTGTGTAATTCTGCTTTCTAGCCACTTGTTCAGTTTTTTTTTGTTCTAGACTGTAAAAAAAAAAGTAGAAATCAACTACCAATAGTGTTAGCTACTTACATATAGACTGCACTAAACATCTATAAATGTAGAGAAAAATGACTTTACTACAATTAATTTCATTTCTTCTGAGCCTTATCATGAAAATGTCTGGATATATGGAGATATATTTAGCCATCAAATCACTATGTCCACCAACTTATGGGATGAGATACATGGTAATAAGGATATCTACTTTCACATGAATAAGATTTTAAAGAAGTAGTAGTATTTGATTTCGCATATGCACTTTGCATATCTTGTGAATATGATTCAAGATAAATATATAAGCCTTAACCAATACATCCCCACCTCTTGATGTTTTACATATTACCCAGATTGGTTCAACGTATTAAATAAACAAAACCAAAGCCAAGATATTTTCATGGATGAGTTTAATTAAAATGTGTTTTTCTGCCTTAGAAAAGTTTAATGTAATTTTCAAATTTATGAATGCTAGGTAAATATGTGGCTGGTAAATGAGTGTAAAAAATGTAACTCTCCTTTGTGTTTAAAAAAAAAAATGTTTTGACTTTTATTTTGTGAAGAGCTCCATGACTAGAAGCAGTGTATTTTTCAACTTTTTCTCTTGAGCGACCTTTGCATCCTTGAGACTTAGGTTTTGCTAGCCCTCAGGCGAGAAATTACATGTGTTTGTTTTCAAAATCCAGGCTGTTGAATGTGGTTATTGTGACTTTTTCAAAATGGTCAGAGAAGGGAGAATTGTCCAGTCCTACAGGGAATGCCTCAGGGCTGGAAGAGACCTAGTTTGCATGAATTCTGTAAATACCAGAGACCTGTAGTATCTCCCACAGAGGCATGAAATCAGTGGATGCCTAGGGAATTGGGAACAAACACAGAAACCTCCAGAGCTGCAGCGAAAATCCTCTGGCCAAGTCTATGGTCAGCGGGCGGGCATTCATGAGAGGTGAGTACATATGCTTCTCAACCAGAGCAGCGGAGCTTTAGGGAATCATTGCAATACAGGAGCCATGGTATACACTGAGGAACAGGATCTTTTTTTGTTGTTGTTGAGGTGGAGTCTCGCTCTGTCGCCATGCTGGAGTGCAGTGGCACGATCTCAGCTCACTGCAATTTCTGGCTCCCAGGTTCAAGCGATTCCCCTCCCTCAGCCTCCCAAGTAGCTGGGACTATAGGCGTGCACCATCATGCCTGGCTAATTATTTTGTATTTTAGAAGAGACAGGGTTTCACCATGTTGGCCAGGATGGTCTTGTCCTCCTGACCTCGTGATCCACCCGCCTCGGCCTCCCAAAGTGCTAGGATTACAGGCGTAAGCCACCATGCCCGGCTAGAGCTCTTTTTTCCTTCACTTCTGACTGGACTTGATTGCGCAAACCTTGTGTTTCTGATATTATCCATGTGAAATCACTGATACTGGGATATGAGAGCTTGGGGTCCTTTTAGATTTGATTGAGAAAAATATATATAATCATGTGTTGTTTATTATTTTTAAAGCATCATGGAGTAATTAATATCTGAAACATAAGGACATAAATGCATAAATAACAAATTGTATGAAGTATTATAAATGTTAGCACAAACTAAGTTTATAGAATTATCCAGAGGATTTGTAAACTTTTTCACTTAAAGCTGTGTGTACATAGGCCTTATTATAAATGGATTGTGATTCATCACCGAAGCAAAGCTCAACCTGTGGTTTCATAAAAATTGATGACCCACATCGATGTCTGTAAGACTATATCTATTGAAGAAAGAGACTGGGGAGAAGAAACTGTTTAAAATGCATAAAAATATTAGTCCTGACTATAAATACTGCAGCAAATTTATGAACTAATTCACAGATGGCAGGGGCATCAGCTATAGGGAATAGGGTTTCCAAACATCCTATTCCTACAACGCAGCTATTCACCAGTTGAGGTAAAACAGACTATAAAATTAACTGTCAATAGCAGCACAAGAGCTATTCCCTGTGCTGGGGATGTGAAGCACAGCACATGGATATAATACTTATCTCAATGTGTCAGGAGCAAAGTATTTCTGAGCTGTCCTTGCCGCACTTATTGGACTGAATAATAATAATTACAAATGTGGTTCTAAAGCGCTGCTTTCTTTTTGATTTTACAAAGATGCCTACCTCATCAGAGCCATCTGCACAGTCAAAATCTCCATCACACCAAAACCTTGAAGAAACACAGTCCCCATTGGCACAGAGGAAATCTTTCAATGTACATGTCTGTGGCTCTGGGGATAAAAAAACAGCACAGGGTTATTCTATTATATGTAAGTGCATTGTAAAATTTATATGACATATGACATGAGGTAGCATTAAAGAAAAAAAAAGAGGTTAGTCAGACAGAACCAATATATTGTTTAGGAAAAATCTCATGAAGCATCTATGGTACATAATATAATAATTTTTCCAATTTATTTTTAAAGTCATAAGTACAAAATGGCATTACAAAAACAAGTTGGAACGTAGGACAAAAGATAAATGGTCTACTGTTTAATAAAAATAAGCCTGAAAATGTACCTATTGTCATACTGTAACAATGATCTTTTTTAGTTGCTGGAGTTCTATGTCATTTTATGTATTTACTTTAAGTAAGTATGACATTTTGTGACTCTCTGTACCCATTGGACTGTTTATTATTAACTGGGCAGTGAGTCTAGCCTTTGTATTTGACTTTATATTATGTATTCTAAAAACATTCTAATTATTCAATTTTGTCCCCAGAAAATCTGGAGTTCCTGGAACAAGAACAGTATATAGGGATAATATTACACAAAGCTAGTTTGTAAGATTCATCTTTAAAAACTGCACATTTGTTTATGCCATTGTTTATTGTGCCCTATATCACTTGCCTGTCAATTTAGATAATTTAGCAGTTATTGATTTAATTATGGTGTCCCATAGTCCACATAGGGCATAAGCCACATAGTAATGACTTACTACTTGGCTTAATTCCTATTGGAATATGTTTCATCTGGAAAATGAAGTAGGATTTCAGAAATTCGTTCATGCAAGTAATCAATATGACTGCTGGATATCATCTCTTGTTTTGTTTTTATTCTCTAAACAGGACTGATATCTTACATGATGAAAGACCTCTTCGTGTTTTCTCTGTTCATTCCTTGTGTTTGCAGCTGTATCACACATAATAATATTCTTACTGGGTCAAGAAGCAATAACTAACAGACATTAAGGAATATCCATATGATGCCTGATTTTCTGCACAAAGATTGTGAGTAAATCAGTCTGCATCTGGATTTTGCTCTACACAATCCCTTGGTTTCTACATATAGAGTAACATCTTGATGGTTTGGTATCATGAGGGTTCCTACATTCCTATATAAAGAAACCCTTTCAGGGCAAGGCACGGTGGCTCACGCCTGTAATCTCAGCACTTGGGAGGCCGAGGCGGGCAGATCAGTTGAGGTCAGGAGTTCAAGTCCAGCTTGGTCAACATGGCAAAAACCCGTCTCTACTAAAAATACAAAAATTAGCCTGCCTTGGTGGCAGGCGCCTGTAATCCCAGCTACTTGGGAGGCTGAGGTGGGATAATTACTTGAATCTGGGAGACAGAGGCTGCAGTGAGCTGAGATCATGCCACTGCATTCCAGCCTGGGCGACAAAGCAAGACTGTGCTTCGGAAAAGAAAAAAAGAAAAGAAACCCTTCAGAACATTGGATGGGAAGAACTATAGAAAAAGTAATGTGTGTCAGCAAGCATTTCGTTCTACTCTGCTACTTAGTTTAGTTTAAAACAAGACCTTCACGGTATAAGACAAGGTGCCATTTGATAGAATGGGAAAATGCCCTTAAGTGGATAATCTTCTCATGTTCCTACACTCCTTTGTTTAGTAAATGTGACAATAGAAATTTCCCTTTTTGTTTATATAAGGTATTCACATAGATTATGCTTTAATCTTAAAAATAACAATTAATACTAATATTTATTATAACTAATAATAATTACCATCTACCGATTGCTTATTTGTTGTCAGGTACTAGGTAAAGTTAATGAAAAGTACTTGAATTAACTCACCAGTGAATTTTTGTAACAACTCTCTAAGGAACGTGCTATACTTGTACCCTGTTTAAGATGCGTAAATTGAGGCACAGAGATAAGTAACGTACTTCAAATCACAGAGCGTACAGAAGAGCTATTAATTGAACTTGAATCAAGACAACCAGATACCAGGGCCTGTACTTTTTCCTAGTAGGCTGTATCATTGCTTCCCATACAATTGAGGAAAAAATAAGTGTCCACATATTACAGAGATTAACATTAAAGCCCTGGGAAGCCAAGTTACTTATCTAAAGCACATGGCTAGCAATATCTATTTTATTAATAATAACAAGAAGAAACTCATTTGCTGTTATCACCATTCCATACTGAAGCCATTTCGCCCTCCTGGTTGCAGACACATGCAGTTTTATTCTTAGAGGAAAGAAATTATAGTGAAATATGTTCAATTTATTTAACAATGGAAAATAACAGCCCAAAATTTTTTCATGAAAAGAATAAAGAAAGAGTAAATTTAAAACATGTCGTGCTTACATGTTTAAAAACAGCAGAAGAAACATCTAATTTCATAGAATTGGGAGTTGTAGAATGGGACTAATTCTTCCTCTAATGTTCTAATTTGCCTTTATCCTATTTAAAAGTAAGTGTGCTCATGATGTGCTACACAGCAAAGGCTTCACAGGCCTTGACACACTTTGCTATACAAAGGGTTGAAAGTTGTTGATGTAGGTTAAAAAAAGTTATCAAGCCAGTAGTTGAAAGCATTTGCCCAAGAGTTCCACAGAATGCTCATTTTCTAGAGACTTTGTCCTAACATTATTAATTATTCTGCTTCAAAATGGCAGTAGAGAGGCTGAGAGATTTGCTGGGAAAAGCTTTTCCAGGGAAAGTGGAAATTCTGCATGTTTCTATCACGTTTTTAAAAATGCCAGCAAATCTACTTCTGAATAATAATCATGAATTATTTATACATGTACAAATACCATCAAGGAATAGGGTACCAAGTCTATTTCTAACCATCATTCATATACCTCAGAATCTTTTGCCACTAGATAGCTCAAAAAGAAACTCTCTCTTCAGGAAAATGTAATTTAGTTACCACGGAAAGCCCTAAGGAATTTTTCCTTATTGCTTATCTTAACTTTGATCTTATTTGGATAAAATAAAAGACCAATTTTCAGACTTTATCATGATACTATTTTTCTTGTGAAAGAGAACAATAACAAAAACAACATGACTGTAGTAAAAGCTAACCCATCTGAAAAAAAAGTTGAATGTGACATTCTCCCCCGTATTTCCAAAATGCTATATTCATGCTAATTTTCTCTGATATTGCCTATATCCCTGGACCAAGAGTAGATGGGGAACTCTACACGGGAACAATTAACCAGGTTTTCCATAAACCTCATCTAGACAAGCCAGATTGGCAACCAAGAAGCTTTTGCAGGGTATGTTTTCCATGTTTCAGAAGGCTAATTGGGATTCTTCAATAAGAATAAAATATAAAGGGCTGAGTGTGGTGGCTCATGCCTGTAATCCCAACATTTTGGGAGGTTGAGGTGGGCAGATAACCTGAGGTCAGGAGTTCGAGACCAGTCTGGCCAACATGGTGAAAACCCCCTGCACAAAAAATACAAAAATTAGCTGGGCACTGTTGTGCGCACCTGTAATCCCAGCTACTTGGGGGGCTGAGGCAGGAGAATCACTTGCACCCAAGAGACGGAGGTTGCAGTGAGTCAAGATTGCGCCACTACACTCCAGCCTGGGCAACAAAGTGAGGCTCCCTTTCAAAAAAAAAAAAAAAAAAAAAAAAAGAGGAGAAAAGAACAAAATACAGGGGCATCATGTAGACTGATCATTTCTTTCAATACTGATGGAGGTAAAAACATACAACCACAGAACTGAAAAGAGCTTTGGAAGTCAACTTACACAAAACTGTAGAAAATTATGTTCAGGAAATAAAAGTGGCTTTCAAAACCATAGAGTTAATGGCAGAGCAGAAAGACTTTTGGACTTCAGTTTCTCTACTATCTTAAAAACTCTTAGTGATAAGTTCAAAAGTTATATGAATGTCGATGTTAGCATTTGACAAGAATTTTTAGAATACAATTAGTATAACTTATACTCTATACAAATAATCTTCTGATAGAAATTCAGTGTGAAAGTACTAGAAATTCAAATAAGGCAGAAGCAGCTTGTCTCTCTATGTAAACCTTAATTTTTAATCACTTGTTATTTTAAAATCCATTGGATTTTTAGTTACTTCTTAATAATGTAAGGCTATAAAGTAATTTATTTCATAAATCAGTAACTTAGATGGCATATATGACATATTTTATTTTTTGTTGATAAAGATATTATAGATATGTTGAGATTTCTCAATTATTTCCAAACCTCTGATCCGGATTACAAAATAACTCCAATGACAATGAGATTTTCTTGTTTTGAAGAGCAGAAATAATTGTTGAAGCAAAGTGTCCCTGCTGAACACTTAATGAGGGAAATGATAAGCAGAGGATAATAAAATGACAATGAACTAATTATCCTATGTATATATAAAAATATAGAAAGCATATTAAATTTAAAACGTAGTTGGCAGTTAATTGCCCCACTACTATTTGAACTCTTCCCATATCTATCACTGGACTATCTCCAACACAATTTAAAAAGTAAATGCATGAAATCAGATTCATAAACAAAGAAGTCCAAAAGTGACTTTAAATTATGTTGCTGTTATTTTTCAACTACAGTTATGTGTTACATAATAACATTTCCAACAACATACAGTGGTGGTGCCATAAATTATAATATTTTTACTGTACTTTTTAAATGTTGATAGGCAAATACATACCATGGTGTTACAATTCCCTACAGTATTCAGTACAGTAACATGCTGTATAGGTTTTTAGCCTACGAGCAATTAGCTGAACCATATAGTTTAGGTGTGTAGTAGTCTGTACCATCTATGTTTGTGTAAGTACACTTGATGTCGTTCACACAATGACAAAATTGCCTAGCGACAAATTTCTCAAAATGTATCCCCACTGTTAAGCAACACATGATGATATAGGTTGATTTATATGTCTGTGATATGTTTCACTACTTAATAATAGCTAACAATAACTGCCAAATGTAAATCAAAGTTCATAACATTGATCAATAATATTTAGAAAATAGGACAACATATACCACAGCCCTAATGTATTAGGACAGTGATGTGCGTGTGTGTGTGTGTGTGTGTGTGTGTGTGTTTACAATTATTTTCATAGATAACAATTGCAAATATCTTGATAGATTTTAGTACAGCAATAGTATTTTTTTTCTAAAGCTTGTTTCTATATGACTAATATTTTGGTGCTCCCCAAAGATATAATTGAATTCTTTTCTCGTTCTTTATTGACTAAATTTCTGCCTGTGTAGAACGACTGGCATTGTCAATGTTGAAACCTTCCCATTTCTTCTGGCCTATTCAAAATAGTATCTTCAAGCCCTATTCAATTATCTAGATCCCTGGATCCATCCTCTTACATGTTCAAAACATGTTAATATACTTTGATATTTGCCCTAACATACTCTGACATTCCTCTTACATGTGTAAAATGTAAACGTACTCTTATACTTGTCCCATATATGCCTACTAGTCTTCCATATTACAATTGTAAAATACTTCATTCTTGTTCGCTGTCATCTCTCCTCTGCAACTTCATCAATATTACTTGTCTTAGTCGACAAGCTCAGAGTGAACAGAAACTAAAAGAGAACCACACATAATTGGGTATTTTATACTGGAATGCTTGATTTTGCAAGCACTTCCCCTGCTTTTTCTTAAGGGCACTGTGGCTACAGTGATTTATCACTGAGTTTCCACAGTGACAAGTGAGAGTCAATGTTCTTTCTCCTTGCTTTCTTGTGCCAAAGGCTGACTTTTAGATGTCAGTACAATGATATTCAGCCGCTTAGAAAACCGCAGCAGACTCAGAAGCAGGCGAGCCCTTCCTTCTTCTCCTGCTTTTCCTATTATAGCAGTAGGCTAACTTCTCACATAGATTCAACCACACCATGAATAAAAGTTCTCCAAGACATGTCTACAGAGTTGGCCTCTCATCCACCTTCTTCTGCTTTCAACATCCTTCCGTTATAAGGCATTTGCTCTCAGTTACCTCATAGATGATTAACACCAAATATATCAAAAGAAAAGCTAAGTAGATATTTGTGCACTTAAGTTCTGTTTCATAAATAAGCAGAAAGTATATGCATAATTGTGGGATTTTTTATATTTATGCTTCTATCCCTACCAGCTCCACCCCGTCAGAATTTTATTTTAATCATTAAGTGGATCAGAGAACTTCCATATACAGTTTTTAAAAACTGGTGATTAAAGAAATCTAAAACTCTATTGACTCTCTGCAATGCTCTTTATCTTTCTAAAGACTGTGACCTGTTAGAAGATATGTATGTAAAGAGGGAGTTATAAAAGTTTCTATATTCAGGGTATTCTGTAATCACAATAATCCAGAGATTTCATGCTTAATATACTTCATTCCCAAAGACAGGTCTGATTAAGTTTTGAAAGTTATCCAAAACATTAGTTGGTATTTTGCAAGCCAAATATCCAAGTGGTTTATTAAGGCTTTCACTCTACTAATTATATGCTTTAATATAACATATTCCTATGTAGATTTAGTCTTCTGCGTCTGGGGAAATGAATGCTCTTAGTCCAATGAGATGTCTGCAAGAATAGTCATTATCGTTACTAATCTGCTTCAAGTCTTCTTGGAAGTACCAGATATAAATATTTAATAAATGGAATTTGATTATTATCTTATTTTAAACATGCTTGTATAGCTTTCTTTGTTTAAATGACAGTGTATAAAAGTGCCAATAAGAAATATATTCAGGCCGAGTGTGGCAGCTCACGCCTGTCATCCCCACACTTTGGGAGGCCAGGGTTTATTGCGTGGGCCCAAAAGTTAGAGATCAGCCTGCGCAACATGGCAAGATCCCATCTCTACAACTAATAAAGAAAACTAGCCAGGTGTGGTGGCATGCTTCCGTAGTCCCAGCTGGAAGGTTGAGGTGGGAGGATCACCTGATCCTGGGAGATCAAGGCGGCAGTGAGTCATGATCATGCCACTGCTCTCCAGCCTGAGCAACAGGGTGAGACCCTCTCTCAAAAAATACATATATATATTCTGAAATAAATGCTACAATCAGGAGATACTGTCACAATTTTATATAACTGCCATACTCTTCAGAAAGTAAAATTTGGGGAGAATTATTATTTTTAAATTTATTATATAAAATGGAGAAGACAGATGATAACAATAGTGTTATTCTATTTTCAGAGAAATGCATCCTGAATATATAAGGTGTTGACTACTGTAGAGAGAATAAGTGATATTTCACTGAAATATGCTCATGGGCGAATTTATAGTGTAAAAGGATTTGAGACTGAAATGAAATGAATACTATTTGTTAAAGAATGAGATGTTTTGTAGTGACTCCACATCATTCAGCTCATTGTGTGAACTTGCATCAAGGGTTTCCTTCATTGCATACTAATGGGTTGCATTAAACCTCATGATACTTTCATACCAGTTGTGAGAACTGTAACAAAATAACTCTTAGGATAAGCATTTCAATAATTCTACCATTTGAAATTCAGGTAGTCTGAATATTCTTGTCCAAATGTGAATATATGCATAAAAATGTGAGCCATAAGACAGGTTCAAATTTATACCTTAACAGAACTAAAAATTGCCATCCTGCTTATTGAATGGGCTGTCAAGCTCAAAACATTATTAGGCAAGAGTTACTTACTACAGTTTTCTTCATCTGAATTATCACTGCAGTCATTTTGGCTATCACACCGCCAGTGATCGGGAATACAGTTGTTGTTTTTACACTGGAATTCATGAGGTCCACAAGTCTTTTTATCTGTAATGGAAAGAACCAGAGTTTGCATTGTAGATTTCCATGAAGACATCCCTCACAACGTCCTCACTGCCATGCCAAATCCATGGCATATAATGTTTCCTTAATTCAGTTACTAAGAAGCATCCTTAGGAAAAATTGAAGGCAAGTGCTGAGGAAAATATATATTTTTTGTCTTGTTTTATGTTGTTACTGTTCATGCTTTCACCGCGAGCTAATCAGTAAGAAACCGATTGGACCATCCAAGCAAAGTCAACACAAATCAGTTTTTAAAAAATCAAAATTGGCCAGGCATGGTGGCTCACGCCTGTAATCCCAGCACTTCGGGAGGTTGTCCTTTCCTTTAGGACACTTCCTCTCTTATCCACCCTGTATTTCTTCTATGAAGCAACAAAATATATGGTTATTAATCATATTCTGTGGTTGTCATCTTGTCTTTCTCCCTAAGGAGCTCTTATTCGTAACTGATCTGTGATTAGTTGTTCTTTCTAAATCCTGTCCACTGCCCACTCATAAACTCATAGGTTATAATAATGCTTCACATGTGTACAGAGTTTGAACATTAATTATGTTCCATCTCACATGAACCTTTAAACAATTGCACTGAGTACCAGGAAAGTATTAACTAGCCTTTCACTTTACAGATGGTGAAATAAAAACTTTTGGAAATTTAGGAACTTAATAAATTTTCACTATTATTAAATGGCACAGCCAATATAAAGGAAGTGTGCTTCTACTCCTGATTTAGCGCTTTTTACAACAAATGTAACTTACATCTATATCAGCCAGAATCAGAATGCATGTAATAAGAATTTATTTAAAATTTAAATCATATGTATTTAAAGAGTAATATTGAACTATGTATAGCTAAAACAGGGCTCCATTAAACCTTAATGTGCATACATATAAGTCATTTGGGAATTTTGCTATAATGGAAATTGGGATTCAGTAGGTCTGGGTTTCTGATGAGCTGGCTGGCAATAATATTGCCTTTTGTCTATGAAGCACACTGAATAGCAAGGTTCTAAAGTATCAAAATTATGAATTAAATAACACTAAAATGATAAAATTATAAGCCTTAATACAATACACAATTTAGAACACATTTCCCTTTCGTGTACTTAGATCAACTCCTTATCAGCCATACTAGAGATGGATAGTGAAGTGCTTCCAGTCTCAGACTAGCAAAACAAATTAGCTAAAGGAGTGGGTAGGTTATTGGTGGTGGTTTTGTGCTTTACTTCGAAATGCAACTTACAGAATTCAGACTTAAATAACATTAAGAAAGCAAAAGTGACTTAGGTATACTTATGAAAATTAAATACTGAGCATCTATTGAGGATCCAGCCTCTTTGCTAAGCATTTTCATACACAGAATCATACCCAATCCTCACAATATTTTAAAGTATTGTTATATTTATTTAAACATATGAGGAAAATAACTCTCAAAACATTTAAATAATTTCTCCAATCTTACAAATATATTAAATGGAAAAGTAGGAATTTATATCCAGCTCCAGCAACATTTTATTAGAGAAATTCTTATGATAGATTTCAAATGCATTTTTCTATTTTTTTTTTTAAGTATTGCCTGAATTTCCCTTCCTCCTTTTCTTCCTGCCTGCTAATAATTATTCAGAATGTCAGGTGCAATGTTTTCTGCTTTATATTATGTCCACTTTGTCTGTGTTATATTTAACTTTAGGTTTAAAATTTGGCCTAAATTTTGCAGAATTTCTAATGTTACATTCTGCACACCTCAGTCAATCAGGAAATATGTTAGATTGAATGGCCACTGAAAATATGAGGTTTTGTACTGAACAATTTGGATGTCTATTTTATTTGCCAGTTATAATAAACTCTAAAAATACTGTTCCATGTGTAAACATTAGTCTTATTTACTCCTTGCATGTGTTGCTTGTACTTTCTTTTTTTTTTTTTTTTCCTGGAGATGGAGTCTTGCTCTATCCCACAGGCTGGAGTGCAGTGGCATGATCTTGGCTCACTGCAACCTCTGCTTCCTGAGTTCAAGTGATTCTCCTGCCTCAGCCTCCCGAGTAGCTGGGATTACAGGCATTCGCCACCATACCCGGCTAATTTTTGTATTTTTAGTAGAGACAGGGTTTCGCCATGTAGGCCAGGCTGGTCGTGAACTCCTGACCTCAGGTGATCCGCCAGTCTCAGCCTCCCAACGTGTTGGGATTACAGGCGTGAGCCACCATGCCTGGCCTGCTTGTACTATTTTTAAATCATGTCTTAAAATGTTAGGATATAAGAAAATAAGAAAGATCAGACTGGACCAGAAAAATAGCCCATGTAATCCAGTTTTATAGCACTGACTCTCAGCACAACAATTCTCCTTGACTGCCAAAGGTTAATATTTGGTAATGACAATCAATTTAATATGTTTTATATTTTTTTTTCTAAATCCATTTTGTATTTTTTCTATATTTAAACATTTGTATCATAGTTTGTGTTTAAAAATACCTGCACCTATTTCTTAACAAAAACAAGTTAGAGTTCATTGCTAAAATTTCCTTTTGGGGCATGAAGAAAGAGTAATGCAGGAAACATTAGCTGCCTTATGTAAAGTTATACAAATTTTATGTTTCCGAGTTATTTAACTTTTTGATCCATGAAATTACTTGTAAAAGTTACAAATACAAACGACATAGCATTGTTCTGCACTTCAAACCTCCCTTGAGGTGCACACACGCACACAAAGAGACACATTTTAGAGGGGGAACTGTATGAGTAAGGCCTAAAACATCAGTTCTCAAATTGGTTACACATTAAAATCACTTGGGGAACTTTAAAATATCTCTTTGCCCAAACCATATCCCATATCAAATCAATAAAATCAGACTCTCTGGGGTGGGATCCAACCATCAGTATTCATTGAAGCTAGTCTATGATTCCAATGAGAAACCAAAATTAAAAATCACTGGCTCAAAAAACTGATATAAAACAGAACATATATATTTCCATGTTATATTACCTCCAGAGTAATTAATATAAAACGCTCACAATATGTAATGTTTTACATTAATTTATACTGTTAAATAGCATTCATATATCTCATTATTCCCTTTTTCAAGTATTATAAGTATGGAGAAAACAAATATGGAACTTGCTTTCATTTTAAGCATATTATCACATAATATATGTGGTACTGGTAATAAATTTGATCCTCCCAGAAAGGTAATATGAGAGACCTTTAAATAGGAGAATTATATGTAGTATATAATGTAATATTATTGGTGTTTGTATATGGATGGGATATTTCTGAAAAGGGATTCAAAAATCTAGCACTAGGGATGCCTCTGGGAGCAAGACGTGGAGAAGTGAAATAAAAAACAACAGTGGGAATGGAATTTAAGTTTCTCTTTAGACCCAAAGGAATCTACTAACTACTACAAGTAATAAGTAAATTTAAGAAGGTAATAAAATATAGATCAATATATAAATTTAATTATATTTTTATATGTTAGCAATAAACAAAAATGAAACAAACTAACAATGGTATCAATGAAAAAAATGCCTATGAATAAATCTAGCAAAATTTATATATGATTTTTATACTGAAGACTATAAAACATTGCTGAGAAAAATTGAATAATGCCTAAGAAATGCAGATACATATCATGTTTATGGATTAGAAAACTGAAAATGTTGTTTAAAATGTTCATTTTTTCCAAAGTTTTATATATATATAGTTATATATATGTATATATAGTTTTATATATATATATATTCATATAATTGGTTTAATCACTGTCAAATTACAGCAAGATTTTCTTGAAGAAACAGATAAGATTGTTGTAAAATTACATGGAAAAGGCTGGGCGTGGTGGTGGCTCACACCAGTAATCCCAGCATTTTAGGAGGTTGAGGCTGGCAGATCATGAGGTAAGGAGTTCAAGACCAGCCTGGCCAACTGATTGAAACCCCATCTCTACTAAAAAACATGAAAATTAGCCAGGTGTGGTGGCATGTGCCTGCAGTCCCAGCTACTTGGGAAGCTGAGGCAGGAGAATCACTTGAGCCCAGGAGGCAGAGGTTGCAGTGAGCTGTGCCATGCTGTTGCACTCCAGCCTAGGTGACAAGAGTGAGACTCTATGTAAAAAACAAACAAACAGAAAAAAAAATGGAAATGCAAAGGTTGTAGAATAATCAAACATTTCTTGAAAAAGAAAAATTAAACTGGAGAATTTACAGTACTTGATTGTAAGACTTACTGTAAAGCTACAGTAATCAAGAGAATGTACTATTGGACAAAATGAATTAAAAAATAAGTAATGTACATATGGTCAATTGAGTTTCAATAAAGGCCTGTAGTCAATTTGATGAAGAAAGGCAAGTCTTTTAAAACAAATATTGCTAAAACAAGTGGTTACCTCTATAAAAAACATAAATCTCCATCCCATGCCATACATAAAAAAGCAATCTGAAAGTATAAACATAATGTAAAATTTCTAGAATATAGGAAAATACTCTTATAATGTTGGAAAAGACAAGGGTTACTTGGACAGGCATTGAAAAAAAGCATTCACAGTAAAATAAAAAAATGATAAATTAGACTTCAACACAATTAAAATGTTTTGGTCTTTAAAAGACACCATTAACCAACTGAATAGATGAGGGACATATCATTAAATAAAGAGATTTATCACATACATATCTTAGAAAGGAATTATCCAGAATATATAAAAATTCTTACACAGCCTACTCATTTGTTGGCAAAACACTTGAATAGAAACTTCACACACACACACACACACACACACACACACACACACAACATATTTGAGTAGCAAATTAAGGTTCTCAAAATCATTAGTCATCAAGCTAATGCAAATGAAAACTACAATGAGATAACACTACATATCTACTGGAATTACTCAAATCAAAAAGGCCATATCTAATTTTTATGAGAATATGGAAGACCTAGCCTCTCTTGCTGGTTTTCATAAAGGTAAACATATCTACCATGTGACTCAGCAATTTTTCTTGTAGGTATTCACCCAATAAAAATAAAAGTAAATATTTATAAAACTAATTTGTATGAGACATGTTATTGCTATAACCTTTCTGATTATGATAAGCAAACTTATCATAACTATTAACTACTAAAATCATTCAAATTGGAATATATTCATAACATTGAATATTACCCAAGAATAAAAAAACTAAATTCTTAACATACAATAAGTCAAAAATATTTTTGACAGCATTAAACAATATTTGACAGCATTATGCAAATGAAAAAGTCACAAGCAAAATAATGGCTACCATATCTATGTATATAAAATCCAAACACAAACAGAACCAATCCATGGTGATATAAGAATTAGTGGATGTGAAGAGGAGTGTTGGGAGAATTGACTGAAAGGAGCATCAGGGAAGTATCTGGGTAGAAGAAAAGTTTCTGTATCTTGTTTTGGGTGTCTGTCACACGTTGTATACTGTAGAAGAAACTCATCAAACGGAATAAGAGCTGTGTACTTCATTTTGTTTTAATTAAAATTACCTTGCTATTAGAATTGCAAGGAGTTTTTAAAAACCCAATTACACCATGATAAAATATTGTTCATTTAGTCCCTGAATACTTAGGTATTATCAGCATGGGAAGGTAGTATGAATTACAGAGAATTGCCTGTAAAACAAAACAAAACAAAAACAAACTTCCTTAGAGCCTCAGAATTTAAGCTCCAGAATTTGAATGCTTTATATTAATTAACTATAAGTCATAGCAAAAAAAAGTACATACAAAGTACATATATTATTTTCCTAGAGATTTATTTGACATTTGAGGCTACCATGTTTTTATTCTGTTTCATAATTAAAATGAAACAGAATTATTCTATTATTTATGCTCATCAATCATGCAAGTTTTAAAGTATTCTCAAGACTTTGCATGTATCCCAAAGTAATGGGAAACACACCATGGCTGGAGTGAGACTGTCTGGATTCAAGTTGCTACTTCCCTGTTTCAGCATGTAGCATTGGGCAAATGATTGAACTGCTCTGAGATTCAGTCTCTGAAATGGTAATAAAAGAGGGATATTTACACATGTGAAAGGAAAATAAATCTCAGGACCCTAAAATCACTAAGACAAGGGAAAAGTCAAGCTGAGAATTACATCAGGCAAACCTGTCTTTCTCTTTCATTTCATTCTTAAATAACACAGCTACAAAGTTTTTGTTTTTCTTTTACACTGCATACCTCCCTCACAATTTGCTCACAAGGAAATTCCTTGTGAACCTCAGGATATTTATCCTAAAACAGTTCCGCTGAATTTCAACCTGGCAATCTAAACGCTGAGTTTATCTTCACAGGTGCAGGGGACAGAAGATCATCCCTCTGTTCACCTGAGACAAATGCATATCTGATTGCTTTCTCTGCCCTATTGTTTATGTAAAAATGCAGATTCAATGACCTAGACTAAATTGTGTGATCAGTGCAAGGATTCAAAAGAATGCAACCTTTTTTTTTTTGGAGATGGGATCTTGCTCTGTCACCCAGGCTGGAGTGCAGTGACATGATCTCAGCCCACTGCAACCTCTACCTCCTGAATTCAAGCAATTCTCTTGCCTCAGCCTCCCAAGTAGCTGGGACTACAGGCATGTGCTACCACACCCGGCTAATTTTTGTACTTTTAGTAGAGACCAGTGCTTTCCTATATAGCCTAACTATAATACATGTGATTCAGAATATAGGATATAAATTGTCTAAAGATGCATCTTCTTCAAGAGTGCCAAAGGTTTTATTTTAATCTGTGAATTTAAGGATGTTTTCATGCTTTCATGTTTTCTGTACCACTTTTTATCTCCTCCTGAAAACATTCTAAATAAACATACACCACAAAGTTTTTCCACTAATATCTAACAATTAAAATGTTATATGTAGGCCTTTCATATATAACTTTTTTTTTTTTTCAGAGACAGTATTCTGCTCTGTCACCCAGGCTGGAATGCAGTGGTGCAATCATAGCTCACTGCAACCTCGACCTCCTGGACTCAAGTGATCCTCCCACCTCAGCTTCCCAAGTAGCCTGGACTACGCACACACCACCAAGCCTGGCTAATTTGTTTTCTTTTATTTTTTGTAGAGATGGAGTCTAAGTTTCCCATTCTACATTTTTTTTTTTTTTAGCTTTGTGGCAGAGGTCAAGATAAATACATTACATTATTGGGGAAACACTGTCAGTTCTTCAATGAATATGTGAAATAAAGCCTGTTGTGTATATATGTAATTTTTTGTTTATTAAATATGTCACAAAATAATGAACCAGTAGCTACCTAAACAAATTGAAATTATATATTGTTTCACTATTGATTAATGTTTTAGTTGTTTAGAAAATGAAATACCACTTGTAAGTCAGCCATGTGTTTTATTCAGCTGACCAGAAAAATTGTTTCGTTCCTTTTTTTTTTAAGTTTGCTATTAGTTTGAAAATATAATGCATAAAACCATTTTAGAGTAAAATTAGGAAGAGGACTGTAATTTGGGGATTAAGAGATATTGGAAATACAAAGTTTTGTCCTTCTTGCTACTATTCTTTTGTAGTTACCATTTTCCATCTTCTATTTCAGGAAACATGATAATTACAAATAGTTGGGTAACAGGTAGTAATGTTGGTTACCAATAAATAAATAAATAAATAAATATAGTAATGGAAATAATGAGGTGAAAAGAACTATGGGAACAATGAAGTTAAGCTTCAATCATGGCAGCTCCTTTTTCCTTTGATTTCCAGATTATAACATTATGGAGTCACAAGGATGGAGTTAGAACTGGCAAACTTTCTTTTGTAGAAGACCTCATCTTCTCTTGGGAGGCAGATTAACCATCTCTTAACTATCAAAGCATGACCTTTTATAGAGAAGTCATTATTTTCTCTTTTTAAATCAACCTTATACAATTCTGTTCTCTCATTTTAAACACTCCTCAACGTCTCTTTTTACATTATAAGGAAACAAATAACTATACATGCTGTTTTGCAAATGTACTAAATCTCCTTGACTGATTACAAGTTCACCCAAAGTGGTAACAGATGTGAGGAGAACATATTCTCTGTCTCCTTTTCTGTAGCCCGTAGGGTTTACTGGCACATATTTTTTTTTTTTTTTTTTTTTGGTGCATACGCACTTAGTAAATATATAACATTCTTATTGTTTTAATCAGCTTTCATTTTTGTTTTGTTTTTTGAAACTACTGTTCTCATACCTGGTGAAGCCGTTAATTCTGGATTCCTACTTCCACTACCACAAGGGAGGACGGCCTGACCTAGGGTGGCGTACTGTCTACTGCCCTAGAGCACAGTTGGTCCATTGTAATTTACTGCTGAAATGTGATCAATCATTATGCTTTTACATTAGAGAGGCACTGAGGAGGCAGTACAGGGATTGTATGGTGGCCAGGTGATGTCCTCAGGAACTGACACTTCTATCTTTCTGCTCCACCATCCATGACTGCTAGAGCTCAAGACATAACTTTGCAGGCCAGAGGAAAAGGGACAGAAGGGCAAAGGAAGAAGCCCTTCCATGTTGAGAAAACTACCCTTGAACCATTTTCTTGGAAGTCCCACATAACATTCTGCTTCTATCTCAGTGGTCAAAACTTAGTCACACGACAACACAAGAGAAGCTGGAAAATGTGATAACTTCTAGACAGCAATATGTCAAGCTAAGAGGTAAAGTTCTGTGTCTAAGGAGAAAGCAAAAGTAAACTGGTATAGAAACAGGCAATTAGAAGTTTCTGTCGATAACCTAGGAAGGTCAATGAAAGTTGTTTGAGGTCATGCCTATAGATTTTGAAAGAGATTATTTTTCTCCCATTGAGATTGTAAGTATCATAACCTCATATTTCTAGGGGCCATTTTAAGAACTGGTGTCTCAGAAGACACCAACAGAGTAAAGACATACTTATAAATGGAGAAAAAAATGAGATTGGTATCTAATGACTATACGTGAATACTTGGATACAAATTCTGCCCCACATCTACTCTATCCACTCCTTGTAATCAAGACTGAAATTCCATTTTACCACTAGTTTGTGTTGGATTTCTGTAATTTGCAGACAAATCCTGACTAATGGGAACACTTTGCAATTTTTATTGCTTAAAATATTACAGACTCCTAATAGTAATGTTGTTATCTGTATGTGCTACTTACATAATTCCCAGGCTATCTCATTGGTTTATAATTACCTGAGTAATGCAGTCATTTACTGCCAGAAGAGTCAGAATCAGTTTTATTTTAAAAAGGGATTCACAAACCCATGCTTCCACAGGAGCTGGTACAGCCACCTTTGTTTTAGCATAGTCTCTACATGACATATACTATTATAGCATTTAGTGATATTGATTATCTGGAAAGCTGCAGGTTAACCTACGTTGTAAAGTGTTTGGTGAATCTGAAAATTAATTTCATGTTACTTCTCATCCATCAGGGTAATATTCCTCAATGAGCACTTACAGGGACAACCTGTTCTTCTAGGGAAAGTGGACAGGTTATGTGGACGCACCAGCAGTTAAGAATAACAGTGCCAGCTGCAGCTTATCCCAGTGAGAGCCAACCACTTCTGTTTTGTTTCTGAATTGTTATTTTTCAAAACTTTTATGTTATTCTTCCAGATAGAGAAGAGAAAGTCTTATAAAGCAAAACAAATTGCCAATGACATATTTTCTTTATAAAGAGGTGAATCTATAATAAGCTAGCTTTGTAGAGGCTCCAATAATGACATTTTAAAAATTGCATGTCAATGCAATGTAATATTCAGTGGACATTTTTTGAATTCACATTATGCAGTTTCAGCAAGTGTCATATTACATTCTGTAATGCCATCTATCGCACTTGACTAGAATTTGTGATTTTTTTTTCTCATTTAGAAATTTGTGTTGTAACTTTATGGTTATGAAGTGAGTGGGGGGGAAGGGGAAAGTAGTTACACTCTCATCTTTTGCCAATGTACTCTAGGTCATGTTCAAAATGCCTGCTATTCCATTCATCGTTCTCTTTCCATCAGCCTGCAGTATTGACAAATTGTACAGTAATGTTGTACAAACAAATTTGCATTTGTGAACCACAAGTACAGAGGCATAACAGAAATCTCGATAACATAGAGGGATAGAGAGGTCTTCAGAGTCATCCTTGAGCCCCTGTTACAGATTCTGGTAGAATATTCTAGCAATTCCACTTAAGCTCCTTCAACCAGCTGAGAGACAAACAAAATAAGCCTCTTTTATTTTTCCTACTATTTATTCTATGTTTTATTTTAAAAGCAAAGTAAATACATTAAAAGTTGAATCTACTAAAATATCTTAAAATAGATATTTGATTATATTTGTCTAGCTTGTCTGATCCTGATCAGAACCACCATACAATTGCTCAATTCACTTTATATTTTTGGATGGAGAGATTCAGACTTTGATTTGGAGTGAGGCGATGAAGCAAGGTAGAAACAGCCCAAAAGTTAAAGGCGGAACTTGATTTGAATCCTAGTTCTGGCTCCAATTAACATATAACAGAGGGCGATTATTTATCTTCTTTGTGCCTCAGTTTACTCTACTAAAAACTGAAGGGAAATACATACAGCATGAAGTTAATATCTGGTAAAACAAATAGTAACTAGTAAGAGTTAAGTAATAGTAAACACTATTTAATAGCTAGTTAATAAATAGTATCTGAAAAATTAAAAGATGTGAATTGTACTGTCAACTTTATCATCAAGTTGTGTTAATTTTGGAGGAAGAACACAGGTATTTATTTCATTTTATTATTTTGTACTTCAATAGGTTTTGGGGAAACAGGTGGTGTTTGGTTACGAGTTAAGTGATTTAGCGGTGATTTCTGAGATTTTGGTTGTCAGCACTGATTTAGATCCTTTACATTCAGCACCTCATTGTTTTAAGTGAATAGATATTACTATAACTTTGTAAAGCATCCCATTCATTTTACAAGCAAATAACAAGTATTGGTGACTTGCTCAAGGTCACAGAGTATTAGAATCATAGAAGACACTGAAATGCTGTGGGGTACCAGATTCCCCATCTGAGATATATGGAAGATTAGAAGACCTCTAGAGTGTTTTAAACAAAAATATGCTTGATTTTATTATCTGTTTTTATTTTTAATTATCAAGCCTATAAAATTACTTTTTTAACATTTTTTCTAATCTCTATTTTTAAGTTCTGGGGTACACGTGCAGGATGTGCAGGTCTGTTGCACAGGTACACGTGTGCCATTGTGGTTTGCTGCACCTATCAACCCATCACCTAGGTATTAAGCCCAGCATGCATTAGCTATTTTTCCTAATGCTCCAATGCTCTCCCCTCCCCTCTCCCCAACTCCCAACAGGCTCCAGTGTGTGTTGTTCCCCTCCCTGTGTCCATGTGTTCATTTTACTTTGAATTAGACTTGTATTCCTTGGAAAGTGGCACTTATTTCCATTACATAAGTAACATATACTTTTTGGGAAATTTAACATGATGTAATATAGAAAAGTAGAAACAAATTGCCCATAGTCATACAACACAGGGGCAAGCTCCATGGCGTGTTTCTGACTATAAATAAAATTTTATATATTGCATATTTCACTAAAAATTATACACAAATATTTTTCTAGGTTATTAAAAATCCTGACAAGTGTCATTTCTATGGCTGTATAATATTTCTCTTGTAGATATACCTTAAACAATTATCTACAGCTTGTCATTTATAGGCTTGTGTTTTGTTTTTTCCAATTCGAATAAGAAAGATAATTAATATTTGAAATAAAATACTTTTTATCAACAGTTAAAGATGTGGATACCTGCTTCAAAAGATCGTTCTTTAGGGACATTCACCACATTTTTGTATTTGATAATATTTATATATTTATCTTGTTCTGTATACATTCTAATGATGCTTGCATAGGTGTTAAAATTCTTAGGTGCAATCTAATGTATTTGTTATTTACTTAGCAAAGATAAATATTCTTTCTGATTGACATCCTTGAAACTTTTCTCACGTAAGATGAAGCTTTAAACTTATCATTCATGTTTATTTGGAGTTTGTAATCATATCAATCAATAATTATGAATAGGAAGAACCATATTCTTTTCATAATGTGGAATAACTTATTTTGCCAACTTTATAACCACAGTTAGCAAATCTTTTTTTTGAGATTATAAAACCAAGGTGGAAAGTGAAGATAGAGGGGAATATAGAGAAAATTTTATCTAAATTATTATTTATCTACATACATATATTAGATAAACATTACTAAATAAAAACCCAAGGAAAGGGGAGATACTCATAAAATCAAGGAAAAAGGACACAGACACACACACATATCCAGTATGAATGTAGATACTTGTTTTATATGCATCCAAAGCATACTGCTAGTGATCTCTGGAACCACTCATACAACACCTGGACACAAACACACACAAACACATACACTGTGGAGAGGGCACTGTCAGATTCTCACAAAAATCAGATTTTCTGTTTTTTCTCTTTCTTTCTCTTTTGTTGTTGTTGTTGTTTTTGTTTTGAGAAAGGGTGTCTTCCTGTTACCCAGGCTGGAGTGCAATGGCATGACTATCACTCATTGTAGTCTCCAACTCCTAGACTCAGGCAATCTTCCTGTCTCAGTCTCCTGAATAGCAGGGACCATTGGCACACATCACTATGCCAAGCCAAGAATCAGAATTCTTATGTAATTATATTTGTCTTTGAACACGAAAACTGTATCTCTAATTGAATTCCAGGAAGAACAAATTCTGAAACTGAAGAAAAATTTTCCCATATTATTATTTGTTTCCCTATAGGTTCATCTCCTTGGAACAATGTGTCTAAATGTATAACTTGTGATGAATGGAATATTTTTGTTTCAGTATTGCAGGGAGTGTGGGAAGGCATTAGGGTCAGAATTACATTTTTTTAAAAATATGTTTTTCTTAAAAACTCCTCCAAATCATTTTTCCATCCAACATTCATTGGAAAGTGCATAATAAATTCAGTTGAGAATAATAAAATAAAAAATGTGCTAATGAGTCCGATTGAATAAACCATTCAAATACTTATCTTTCTTTTTCTTTAACATTTCTATTTGATCTTTTAGAATTGATCTAAAACTTAGTGCCTTATTACTTAAAAAGAGAAGACCAAGATACACACACACACACACACACACACACCACTTATTCAATGTGCCCTTAGATTTTCAGGATATTTGATATTTTTAAATTTTCTCATTAAAATACATTTACTTTTCGTGTATAGATTCCTGGAGAATTGCACTAAAATATACTTTTAACTTTCAAGTACTGCTAGTATCATCTGGCATCATTTTTTCTCTTATATCTTTTTTACACTGAATCATTTCAAATGTTACTCAAAATGTGTAAAGCATTTAATTATTTCTTTTGTTTTCCTATATAGATAAGGATGTTATAAAGTACAGTTTTATTTTCTTATATTTTCCTCCCTATGCCCCAAATATATTAGAGAGGCCACAGTTTATACAGCTTAAAATGCTTAGAAAAAAAAATATTGCTTATTGTCTGGAGTACAGGCTCTATGAAGAAAAGTACATTTTAGAAACACCATTGTCTGCTGGCTAATCTCTCTTTTTGGTAACCTACTTAAAGTATCTATTGTCAAATCATTTTTTATTTTCATTTGTAGAATCATTTCAACAGAGCAGATTACATAAGGTCAGGATAAGATCTAAGTACCCCAATGGCAGGCTGTAAAGACTTTATGGAAAAGCTAACAAAAGGAAGAGGAAACCATTGTGATAGATGATAATGATCAATAGTTAGAAGTCCTAAACTATGATCTAGTTATTTGGATACATTGTACATTGTAAGCTAGTTTCTTGGCCCTAACACACTTAGACAGTCTTTGGTATTCCCTTTTGTCAATTTTGTTTTTCCTTGAAAATAAATTTAATGCATTTTAAAATCCGATTTCAGTTGAATACAAAGCTTTGGTTGGTAATTTGTGGTTAGAGCAGAAGAACAACAACATCTTGAGATGTTGAGAGTCCCTTAGATGTAGAGATGGCCTTAGGTTCTTGAACACTCAAGTGATGAAGACTTTTTCTGGTGTATGGATCTGAAATATATGATGTCAGTGCCCCATCTACACTCCTTGATATTCACCATTTCTGTCCACACTAAGCAAATGGCTTTTAACAACAAGCACATGCAACTCTGCCTGAGCCCAATCTGGAAGTCCCCATCAGGCCATTAATCACTCCAAACCCTCTTCCAGAGCAGCCCTAAACCAACGACTGACAGTAGCTGATGAATACGTATTCCAGCCCTGTCTCTTGTTTTGGGTAATCCTGAGGATTCTACACTATCTCCCAGAGTTTCCTGGTAGGATGAATCTCGTTCCTGTAGCAACATACCTGATAATGTACCCTCTATTGGGTTTCTTCCTTTCCCTGGTTTACTTCCCCACTCCCCTATTAGTGGTTTCTGGAATTATCTCCAAAGTATACTTCTGTATTCATATCTTTGTGGGTATAGGTTCTAATTTTGGAAACTCCCAATTTGAGACAAGATTTATGCAATCATTTATTCAACAATCATGCATTGAAGGTGGCAGACTGGAAGCAGTGCTAGCATGTCTCTTCCACTTGGAAGGAGAGAATAACGTGTAGAGATTCACAGTGAGAACTTTTTTTCCAAAAAGCAACACAGGAACTTAATAGGAAAACCAAAAGAAACCACAGACCCTTTGAAAGAAGTGTCAGGCAGAAGCCTACATTGTGAGGCAGGTAAAAAAAACTCTTAAGTACCCAGAGTGTGAGATGGAAGAGACTGCCTCCAGGATACACATTCCCAATGGGGAACCTGAAATTCCATGTCACAGGGGAAGGCCTTAAACCTCCCAGAGCTGGAACTGATTTAGAGAGTGGTAAAAAAGATAAAAGTAAAAGCAGCAGTGGGAAGTGCCTTGGCGGTATTTCCAGTCTCAGTGTAAACTAAGGGAAGCCATTCCTTATTAGATCTCACAGGGAACTTCAAGAAAATCTGTTAACTATCTCAAGCAGTGGCCATGGGTTGAAAGAAGCTCCGAACTGAATTTGGTAATGTAACCTTGGGTGGGGATGAACTCTCTTGTCCAGAACTTGGTGGGGCTAGTGGGAAGTACACTGCAGGCATGAGTGCAGGAGCTGGGTGCCTGGCCTTGTGAGGCAGATGGGGAGTGACATGGTCTGAAAGCCTCTGTTGCTGTCTCTGCAGGGAAAGCTTATGGCCTGGGGCAAGTTTGGGTTCTCAGTGCAGGATACCTGAGACTTAGTCCAGTACTATTAGCAGAGCACTGTGGGAGTGAGAGCTGCCTTGCCAACTGCATGGAATCTGGGTGAGGCTTCCTGCTGCCTGCTATTCCCCATTCCTTGCGTGAACTCTTCTGTGTAGCCAAGTCAGTTGTGCTCTCCACTGGAACATTATTACCTCAGTGGCTTGAGAACTGCCCCCAACCCCCAAAAGGGCTGCAGCTTGCCCCACAAATGGAGAGTCAGAGTGCTGATCCACCTGAGATAGGCCCTGCCTGGCTATGCATCTCCACCTGCCCTGGTAGCTTAACACAAAGGACATAAACTTTTGGGAGCTCTATGGTCCTGCCTATCACCTGAGAAATGAGAATACCTCCCCTGGGCAACATAGAGCAAGCTCAAATCCCACTGCTACTACTGCATCAGGTGCTCTTTTGCAAGCACCACCTCCTGGCTGGAAGCCAACTGACATAGTCCCTCATAGTGTCTCTAGGTAGAATAACACTGTGACCAGGAAAGATAAAACCAGTGTGCAATCTCAGCTATCACCATTGCCTGCAACACCCTGGCTAACCAGGAGGTCCTGAGTCTGTCCATGTAACAAGTTCACTACTATTATAATCAGAATTTGAGAAAGACAGCACACTATCTGTAACTAAGGAAGCTCACAGAGTCTACATCAATCCCCTGCCACCCCTATCACAGCTTGTGCTGGTACCCACTGCTGAGCGACCTGAGGACAGGTCACATCACTGGATCCCCTGCAGACATTCCCCAGCACCAACCAGGAGTGTGGGAGTCTCACTGGATAGCTAAACCCAGAAAAGCAATAGCAATCGCTGTAGCCTGGCTCTCAGAAACTCCTACTCCCAGGGTAGGTGCGGAGAACCACATCAAGGGAACACCCCGTGGGACAAATGAACCCAGATGGCAGGCCTTGGGTTCCATATCTTTCTGCTGTTGGAAGTTTCTTGCAGCAGAGACAAAATTGCAGTGCTGGGATCATCAGGGAAAATCTGCAGCTTTACCCCAAAAGTCAGGAAGCCTTGAGGCTCATGAAGAGTCTTGGAGAAGGGATCTCTTTTCTTCCCTTGTCCACCACTGCAGACATGGCTGGGGCTTCTTCCATGAGAGCTTTGCATGGTTGCACCTGTAGACTGCCTTCACAGTGACTGCATCCCCACAGGAGGAGCACCGCACAGATTCAGGCTTGCATGAGAGGCAGACTCACAATTCCTCTCTACTTGGAATATCAACATTCCTACAGAGAAAAAGAGGTGCCTGTCTGATCTGAGTAGCTGGAACACTGGGACAGGAGTGAGTCTGGGAGGTGGATAGCTTTCCTGTTGGCCTGGCAGGGGAGCTTAGGTGGTCCCCACCCTTCCACCTGATAAGACCTCAGTGTGTCTAATTGAGAGCTACCCCAGCCACCCTCATAAAGGCTGGGACCTCTGACAACATTGGGTATTGCATTTATCTATCTGCTTTACCTACAACTAGTTTCTACCCAGGGATACCTCCTCTACTGTTCTGAAGCTGGAATCATCAACTTAGTAAATAAAATACTGAGGAAAAATTAAGTAAATGAGAAAGTGCATACCACAGGAGAAGGAGATAAGCTTCAAGAGACCTCTGCCATTACAACTCCTTAGGAGAGGGTGTACTTGCCCACACATCAAGTACATTGCTACTACAACCAGCATCTGAGGAAACCATCATACAAAGACTATATTCAAGGAACTCATACAGTCTTCACCCCTAAAAGCATCAGGAACCAAATTAGGCTATAATAAACTATAAACCTTAAAGTCATATACTTACGGGGAGAAAAGAAAGAAAAAAAATGGTCAAATCAAAAATAAATTTAAAAACCATTAGAAGAATTAGTTTACCCAAATGAGAAGAAACCAGAAAAGTAATTCTGATAACATGATAAAACAAGGTTCTCTAACACACGATCACACTAGTTCCCCAGCAATGGATCCAGAAAAAGATGAAATCATTGAAATACCAGATAAAGAATTCAGAAGGTTGTTTATTAAGCTACCCAAGGAAATGCCAGAGAAAGGTGAAAAATTACATGTTTTTTTAAATAGGATATGAATAAAAAATTTTCGAGAGAGATAGATGTCATGAATAATAACCAACCAGAACTTCTGGAAATGAAAGACACACTTAGGGAAATACAAAATAAAGTGACAAGTATCCCCAATAGACTAGAACTAGTAGAAGAAGGAACTTCAGAGCTTGAAGGCAAGGCTTTCAAATTAATCAAGTCAGACAAAGATAAAGAAAAAAGAATCAAAAGAAATGAACAAAGTCTCCAAGAATTATGGGGTTGTGTAAAATGACAAAAACCTATACATAATTGATGTTTCTGAGAGAAAAGAGAAGGCTAAAATTTGGAAAATTTATTTGAGGGAATAATTGAGGAGAATTTCCCTGGCCTTGCTAGAGATTTAGATATTCAAGTACAAGGAGTTCAAAGAACTCCTGGGAAATTTATTGCAAAAAGATTGTCACCAAGACACATAGTCATCAGGCTATCTAAAGTTAATATGAAGAAAACAATTTGAAGAGCTGTGAGATAAAAGCATCAGGTAGCATAAAGGAAAACCAGACTAACAGCAGACATCTCAGCAGAATGCTTACAAACTAGAAGAGATTTGGGACCTATCTTTAGCCTCTTTAAACAGAATAACTGTCAGCCAAGAATTTTGTACCCAGCAAAATAAAGTTTCATATAGAAAGGAAAAATAAAATCATTTTTAAACAAACAAATGCTTAGGGAATTTGCCACTACCAAGTCAGCACTACAAGAAATGCTAAAAAGAACTCTAAATCTTGAAACAAAAGCTGGATCTGTACCAAAATAGAACTTCTTTTTTTTTTTTTTTTTTTTTTTTGAGACAGAGTCTCGCTCTGTCTCCCAGGCTGGAGTGCAGTGGCGCTATCTCGGCTCGCTGCAATCTTTGCCTCCTGGGTTCACGCCATTCTCCTGCCTCAGCCTCCCGAGTAGCTGAGACTTCAGGTGCCCGCCACCACGCCCAGCTATCTTTGTATTTTTAGTAGAGACGGGGTTTCACCATGTTAGCCAGGATGGTCTCGATCTCCTGACCTCATGATCCGCCCACTTCGGCCTCCCAATGTGCTGGGATTGCAGGCATGAGCCACCGTGCCTGGCCAGTAGAACTTCTTAAAAGCATAATTCACAGGGTTTATAAAACAATAAGACAATAAAAAAGTATCTAGGTAATGACTGACATGATGAATAGATCAATACCTCACATATCAATATTAATGTTGAATGTAAATGGCCTAAATGCCCTACTTAAAAGATATAGAATGGAAGAATAGATTTTTAAAAATCACTAAACAAGTATCTGTTGTCTTCAAAAGACTCACCTAACACACAAGGATTCATATAAACTCAAGATAAGGGGTAAAAAACAATATTCCACACAAATGGAAACCAAAAGGGAGCAGGAGTAGTTATTCTTATATCAGATAAAACAGACTTAAACAAATACTAAAAATGAGAAAGTCAGCAAAGAAACAATGGACTTAAACTATCTCTAGAACACATTGACTTAACAGATTTCTACAAGACATGCTACCCAACAACTGGAGAATATACATTCTTCTCATCAGTACATGAAACATTCTCCAAGATAGATGATATGATAGGCTGCAAAACAAGTCTCAATGAATTTAAGAAAATGGAAATTATATAAAGTGTCTTATCAGACCACAGTAGAGTAAAACTAGAAATCAATTCCAAAAGGAACCCTCAAAACTATACAAATAAATTAAATAATCTGCTCCTGATCTAGGTTAACAATGAAATCAAGATGCAAATGAAAAAATTCTTTGAGATGAATGATAATAGTGACACAACTTATCAAAACCTCTAGGATATGGCAAAAGCAGTGCAAGGAGGAAAGTTCATAGCATTAAATGTGTACATCGGAAAGTCTGAAAGAGCACAAATTGACAACCTAATGTCACACCTCAAGGAACTAGAGAAACAGGCACTAACTAAACCCAAAGCCAGCAGAAGAAAAGAAATAACAAAAATCGGAGCAGAATTTAAGGAAATTGAAACAAAAATACAAAACATAAATGAAACAAAAAGCTGGTTCTTTGAAAAGATAAACAAAATTGAGAAATCATTAGGGAGATTAACCAAGAAAAGAAGAGAAAAGATCCAAATAAGCTCAATTAAAAATGAAAGTGGAAACATTACAACCAACACGAATAAATCATTTGAGACTATTATGAATACATTTATGCATAGAAACTAGAAAATCTAGAGGAAATGCATAAATTCCTGTAAACATACAATCCTCCTAGATTAAATCAGGAAGAAATAGAAACCCTGAACAGACCAATAACAAGCTGTGAGATTAAGTCAGTAATAAAATTGCCAACAGCAAAAAGCCCAGAACCAGATGGATTCACAGCTGAATTCTACCAGATATTCAAAGAAGAATTTGTACCAATCCTATGAAACTACACCAAAATATTGAGAAAGATAGAATCCTTCCTAAATCATTCTATGAAGCCAGTATCACCCTAATACCAAAACCAGGAAAGGACATAAAAATAAAACTACAGACCAAAATTTCTGGTGAACATAGAAGCAAAAATCCCCAACAAAATACCAGATAATCGAATCCAATAGCACATCAAAAAGATAATACATCATGAGCAAGTGTGTTACATCTCAGGGATGCAGCAATGATTTAACATATGCAAATCCGTTAATGTGATACTTCACATAAACAAAATTAAAAACAAAACCATATAATCATCTTAACTGATACAGAAATAAGCATTCAATAAAATCTAACATTGGTTTATGATAAAAACACTGAATAAACTAGTCATAGACGGAACTTATGTCAAAATAACCACAGCCATATATGTCAAACCCACAGCCACCATCATGTTGAATGGGGAAAAGTTGAAAGCATGACCCCCTGAGAACTGGAACAAGATAAGGATGTTCACTTTCACCACTTCTATTTGATATACTACTGAAAGTCCCAAGCCAGAGCAACCAGGGAAGAAAAAGAAATAAAGGACATCTAAATTAGAAAAGAGGAAGTCATACCAGTGCTCTTCACCAATGATATGATCAAATACCTAGAAAACCCTAAAGACCCCACCAAAAGGCTCCTAGGTCTAATAAACACATTCAGTAAAGCTTCAAGTTACAAAGTCAATGTACAGAAGTCACCAGCACTGCTATACAACAACAGTGACCCAGCTGAGAATCAAATCAAGAACCCAACCCTTTTAACAACAGCTGTAAAAAATAAAATACCTATGAATATACTTAATAAAGGAGGTGAAAAATCTCTACAAGGAAAACTATAAAACATTGTTGGAAGAAATCACTAATGACACAAAAATATGTAAACCCAGCCCATGTTCATGGATGGAAAGAATGAATGTTGTGAAAATGAACATACTCTCCAAAGCAATCTATAGATTTAATGCAATTCCTATCAAAATGCCATTATCATTTTTCACAAAACTAGAAAAAACAATCTTAAAAATCATATGGAACCAAAACAGAGCCTGAATAGCCAAAGCAATACTACGTAAAAAGAACAAATCTGGAGGCATTACAGTACCAGACTTCAAATCATATTGCAAGGCTATGATTACCAAAACAGCATGGTGCTGGTATAAAATCGGCACGTAGGCCAGTAGAACAGAACAAAGAATCCAAAAATAAAGCTGAATATTTATAGCCAACTGATCTTTGAGAGAGTATACAGAAACATAAACTGGGAAAAGTACATCCCATTCAATAAATGGTGCTGGGAAAACTGGCAAGCCACACATAGAAGAATGAAACTGGAACCCCTCTCTCACGTTATACAAAAATCAGTTCAAGAGGGATCAAAGACCTAAATCTAAAACATAAAACCATAAAAATTATAGAAGACAACATTGAAAAAACTATTCTGGACATTGGCCTAGGCAAAGAATTTATGACTAAGACCCCAAAAGCAAATGTGACAAATATAATAAATGGGATCTAATTAAACTAAAAAGCTTCTGCACAGCAAAATAAATAATCGGTAAACAGAAAACCATAGAATAAGAGACAATATTTGCAAACTCTGCATCCGACAAAGGAATAGTATCCAGAATGTACAAGGAACTCAAGCAAATCAGCAAGAAAAGGACAAATAATCCCATTAAAAAGTGGGCAAATGACATGGATAGACATTTCTCAAAATAAGATACACAAACAGCCAACAAACATATAAAAAATGCTCAACATTACTGATCATCAGGGAAATGTAAATTAAAACCACATTGAGATACCACCTCACTCCTATAAGAATGATCATAATTAAAAAGTCAAAAAATAGTACATGTTGCTGTGGATGTGGTGAAAAGAGAACACTTTTGTACTGCTGGTGGGAATGTAAATTAGTACAACCTCTTTGGAAAACGGTATGGAAATTCCTTAAAGAACTAAGAACAGATCTGCCATTTGAGCCAGCAGTCCTACTACTGGGTACCTATCCAAAAGAAAAGAAGTCATTATATGAAAAAGACACATGCACATGCATGTTTATGGCAGCACACTTCACCACTGCAAAAATATGGAACCAATCTATGTGTCCATCAATCAATGAGTGGATAAAAAAAATATGGCATATATATACCATGGAATACTACTCAGCCATAAAAAGGAATAAAATAATATATTTTGCAGCAACTTGGATGGAGCTGGAGGCCATTATTCTAAGTGAAGTAACTCAGTAATGGAAAATCAAATACAATATGTTCTCCCTTATAAGTGGAAGCTAAGCTATGAGGACACAAAGACATGCAGAATGATATAATGGACTTTGAGGATTTACAGGCGATGTGGGAGTGGGGTGAGGGATAAAAGGCTACATATAGGGTACAGTGTATATTGCTTGGGTGATGAGTGCACTAAAATCTTAGAATTCACCACTATAAAATTCATCCATTTAATCAAAAAACCACTACTATCCAAAAAGCTATTGAAATAAAAACTAATTTAAAAAAATTAAAATGGCATGCATTAGTGCCAATGCTGATCATGTACTAGGCGATCTTGTGAGCTCTGGGTTTTATAGCAATGAATGAAACAGACAAATTTCTGACTTTATTGAGCTTATATGTTAATAGCTAAGTGGGGATTCAGGAGACAAGGAATAATTTTTTTAAGTAATTTGTTGGAGGGTAAGAAGTGCTAAAAAGAGAAATGAAGTACTACAGAGAGAAAAGGATGGGGAATCCTATTATAAGGATTAAGATACTCAGAACACTATTTTAGAAGAGTGACCTCTTGAAGACTGAGGGATTGAGTTACACTACTATCTGAGGGAAAGGACACTCCAACAAATAATTCAAATAATTCAAAAACATGGTTGCCTTTGCCATAAAACCCTAAACCCTAAAGCTGCAACATGTCTACATCAGAGAAAAAAATGATATCTTTCTACTGAGTGTAATTTATACTCTGAGATAAATATGCTTATTTTGAGAAATAAGCAGGCATGGGAATGTTTAAGGAACAGTGTTGAGACCAGGGTAGCTGAGTAGAGTATGAACATATATTTAGCAAGAGTGGTGGGAAAGGTCAGAAAGATAGTCCTATGATAGAGGAGTAATCACATTAAGCAAGGCTCTGTTTATTCAGAACTTCTCTTGCTAGTTCTCTTCCTCTGAAAGGAGCATTTATATTTGAACTTTTGTTTTTTACTATGAATTTCACATGCTTATTTAGGTCTTTGTCAAATTAAAAATGGAGATTTGAAGGATTGCTAAAGGATTACAACATAGAGAAATCCAAATCTTGGAACTGCCATGATGAATTCATTGGCCTGTATATTCTGGGTAATTACCTTGTTCTCAGTTTTGGTGTAAACTGATAACTTTATAGGCATAACTTATAGATGTAAAACTTTATAGGTATAAACCTATAAAGTCGGTGATGTGATATCTACTGATAAAGTATGTGATAGGCAGTGAAAAAGCAAATTTATCTTTGAAAAAATATTGAAAAAGTATGTAAAATAAAATGCATCTAACGACAAGATATATTGACTGGAAGTAAATAATTTTTTTGACTAGATTTATTGATGAAAAGTAACAAGTTCGTCCACCATTTTAACCAGAATTGTGTTTTATTGTATTGGCATATTTTACTTCATTGTAGTTGATACAGAGAAATTTAGTCATCTAAAGAGATTCATAATTAAATATTGTTATAAGAAGTATTTTAGAATTGGTATTAATATTTTCAGATCCTAGCTAATTTTTTTTAGTTTAAATAAACATTAATAACAGCTAATATATATTGATTGTTTTCTCTATGCCAGATTCATGTAATCTTCTCAGCAATTCAATATGGAAAGTATATTGAACAACTGAGAACACTGAAGCCCAAGGTACCATAAATTACTTGTCCCAAAGCCCACAGCTCTTAAACTTCGGGACCAAGACTTGAATTCATGCCATCTGGTTCTAATATCTACATCATAAACCATTCTGAAACTGTAACATAAATAATTATCCCAAACAAAGCTTTGCACTTGCTTTCTTCTTTTATCATTTTACACTAAGACCTCAGTTTTATAGACTCTAAGAGATGACTAAAATTGTATACATGTCAAGAGTTGTGCCAGAGGTAATTCAAAAACATGGTTGCCTTCGCCATAAAACCCTAAAACTGCAACATATCTGCATCAGAGAAAAAAATGGTATCTCTCTACTGAGTGTAATTTACACTCTGAGATAAATACGGACAACATTGCAAAGCCCTCATGACAAGATTTGTTATTCCTGAGCTATATATTTTTTCATTATCTGACATATTTTAACCTTTGAAAAAAAATTATAGAATGTTAGTCTCCTTCTCCTTCTCTCTTTTTTTAATCAATCAGCACAGAACATGTCCCTTACTTGACTTACAGTTCAACTAGGTGTTACATATCAATAAATGATCACATTAGCCTTTATCTTATCATTTCCTCATTGGCTGCATAGTCAACAAAGTATTGATTTTTTTTTTTAGGATTCTGCTTACAGTACATGATTGTTCTCTTGGCTTTACTCCCAAATGTCTTTAAAAACCTTAATAGTGCACTTCTCTGTTAGATGTCTTTATTCACCTTTTAATAAGCCTGCTTGCCTCCTATAATAATGCTGCATCTGCTGTAGAATCATATTTATCAGAGAGACAGCACGCTATGAAAGAAGTCCAAAAAAACACTATGCTTGAGCTGAATTTAATATGAGAATTCAAATAAAGGTGCCAATAAAATTCTCATTTTAATACAACCATTAAACACATGCAGAAAGCAAAGTATCTCAATGGATAATATAAATCATCATTAAATCTGCATTAATTTAGCCTACTCAAATATTCCTTCAAGGTATAAATGCATTACTACAAACAGCAAAGAAACAGAATTATCCCTCATGTCATATCCTATTAGGTTTTAGAAAGAAAAGAATTGGTATTCTAAAACGTATATCCCATGACATGTCTTCATTGTCATCAGATTAATGTCCACAGTGAAAGCTGGTTGCAAGCATTGTCACAGGCCTGGGTTGAACCCTATGACAGCTAGCAAAGGGGGAGGTGAAAGGAAATTACTGAATGGGTGCCGGGGTTACCTCACTAGAGCCATATATCCCAAGTCACTAATACATGTACCACCTTCAGAAATTTGCTATTTTCCAGTGCCACCTGTATGGGTATTTATTTCTTCTTTTTCAATGCTAATTAATATACTGGTTAATTCAGCATTAGGGAGCCAAGTATTGTTTCACCAGAGATTTAGGCAATCTGTCTCTCTTGTACCTTGATAAAAACTATTTTGATATAATTAAGAAAACAACTTTATATAAGACTTCTACATCTGAATGAGAACATATTTTATTGAATTCATTATTTTAATATAAATTACTAATTTGAAATAGCTTTAGTTAACAGTATATTGAATATTTTAATTATGTATGCATTCTTTATATTATATAATTTCTCTGCTCTTAAATATTGAAACTATCTTGAGTGCTAAATGATCATTAAGATAATTTAAACAATTTAGATGGCAAATTTTCAAATATATATACTCCATTGGTATTGTTACATAAACTATATTCAAATTCTTGCTATTTGCAGATAATAAAGTTCCTATCTGGGGGAAAAAATCTCACAAATAATCTAATCCAAGTTTCTAAATTTAAGATTTAGAAATAGCCACAGAGACCTTATGTGACATGCCCAAGTCACACTGCTAGTTAGTTGGTGACAAAACCGCAATTAGGCAAAGGATTTCTGTTACTTATATGGAGAAATGATATTCACTGGATCCAGGCAGACTTCTTTCTGATTCTCTGTTTTCTCATCTATTAAATGAGGATAATAACAATAACAACCAAAATAATAATATCAATACCACCTAATTTAAAGGTTTTTCTAACATGTATGAGAAAGTACCTGGCACATTTTGGGGGCTCAGTTAACCTTAACTATCTTATTATCTCTTCCTGTTACCTCAGTTTCTGCTATTTAATCAATCCTGATAATAGCAAAGAAAGAATCCTGTAAATTAATTAAAAGCTATCAAGAAACTTCTCAGGTATCAGAATTTCACAAATCTTTTACAATTTCTGTTATTGGCTTTTGGTCATCCTTAATTATCCTTAGTAACCAAATTCTTAACCTCCTTTGGTCCACATCTTTAGCTAAAGCATTCCTTCACTATGTCACTTTCACCAAGTATCAAAGACTGATGACAAAACCAAAGAATAGACTCAAAAAAGAAGCAAATATATCAATTAGGTTACTCTACAAAGGTTCATACTGTCTTAACTAGGAATGACTGTTACTGGAAACTCTTACAAAATTCAACAAATGAATTTCAACTCTAGACATTTCTCAATGGTTTCTTCAGTTTACAAGAATAATTTCATTGGTAATAATAAACGTCTGAGATAGTTGACAATTTTCTAGCCTTAAGATGGCTTTGTACAGAACCATTTGGGTACTCCCAAATCAACTTTTGCTCATCAGAGAAGAGGAAAATAGAAATACTTTCTTAAATGGACTAGATATATTATATTGTGGAAAATATGTATGCAAATGCAGGTAAATATATCAAATTTAATCTAAATATGTCAAATGAAAACAGAATATTTATCTCCCTAATTCTAAGTAAGCGTGAGTGCTCTATTGACTCACAGCCATCAGAGAATAGATTGTATTCAGGAAGGGAAAAGGAAATTTTACTTATAAAGTACCCACTATGTGTCAGATCTAATGTAAATCATTTTGAGAACGTAATTGTACATAATTCTCTCAACAACTCTATGATAAATATGATTTCTTTTTACATCTAATAAAACTGAGGCTTATGGAGGTTCATACACACTTAATATTACATAATCAGTAAATCATGATGTCAAAATGTTTGCCGTTTTTTACATTCTATCATACCATTAATATGGTATCTACGTATTTATTCACATAAGTATACTGAAGATTTCTTGCCATTTTAGGTTGTGTCAACTTAACTAGATAAATTTCAAAAAATTCATGAACTATGTTTATGATATAAAACAATGGCAGAATCTCTAACATCTTGAAAATATGTTTTGTACCTAACATTCCAACAGAGTATAAGCATTTAACAGAATACTGGGAAGTGTAAGGGTTTTTTAAGAAAACACTCTATAATCTACAAAATATCGTAATAAAAATGGGTTTTAAAAGACACCCTAAATATATTATTGGTATAAAGTATAAAAGTAGTAGATATAATAGTAGTAGACTGGTTCCACTATTTTAGCTTTAAAGAAAGATAAATGTAATACACACACAAACACACATACACAATTCTATCACATTGGACCTAAAATATTGGATTGCTATCCTCAAGGTTATATTTGGAAGCCTAAGAAAAAATAAAGTCATCTTAATCCTTTATCTTCAGTCTTCAATTTCTTGTATACTCCAGATGTATTAACACTGGTTTTCCTTTCTCTGCCAATGTTTAATAATGTTTGCTTTAGAGAAAATCCCCTTAGAGACAGATCTGAACTAAGGTTTCTAATAGAAAATCTGTCACCGTGAACCTCTGTTGTTGCCTGCTAAAAGACAACGCTACACCTAGAAAAGCATTAGTTGAACAATTTTACCTTGCCTTGTCTGAGACATAGCTGGAGAGCCAAAGGTATCAATTTTTATTCTAAACTAAAAACATTTAAACAAGAAGACACTTACCATGTTAAAAATAAAATTTCATATACCATTTTTTGAAGAAAAAATATAAATCTTAAAACTATTTGTGTTATCTTCACAAACATTCACATACCAGGAACCATCTAGCTATCATATCATTTGCAGAAATATTTATTCCACGATAAGCAAAATATCATCTCCACTTCAGCAGGAGATGTTGGCACATAATTAAGTTGGTCCTTTTCAGAAAGTTTGCAAGGCTGTCATCTATTTATTGATAAAATGGAATTTCCATTTCTAATGGAATTTCAAGTCTAGTACAGTTTTTATTTTACTCTCTTAAAAGATAGTTCATATCTTTTTTTCCAGAAATACTTTCTAATTTATTTTTATTTTTCAAAGACAGGGTCTCATTCTGTCAGCCAGGTTGGAATGCATTGATGCAATCAGCTCACTGCAACCTCAAACTCCTGGGCTCAAGCAATCCTCCCACCTCAGGAGTACCTGTGACTGCAGGTGCATGGCACATGGCACCATGTCCAGTTACTGGTTTATTTTTTGTAGAAACAGGGTCTCACTATGTTGCCCAGACTGGTCTCAAACTCATAACCTGAAGCAATCCTCCCACCTTTACCTTTCAAAGCACTGGGATTACAGGCATGCACCACCACACAGGGCCCATCTTTTTTCTATTAACTGTAGAAGCACATATTATTTTTGTACTCAAGACTCAAAGTCCTTTGCTTTTATCCCTAAAGGCAATTAAATCATAGTTATTTAGTTTCAGCTTCCTGTAATTTCTACAACTAAATCTCTGATCTAGGGCCTCACATAATAATAGTAAAATATTTAAAAAAAAATACACTTATTGTTCTGATCTCGTTAGCTTAAGTCACCTAAACAATCCACATTTACTGTAAGTCAACTGCATGTAATAGTGATTTACCTAATAAAAATATGCCCTGGTTGAGGTAATGCCTCTATGGGTTTTGTGTTTTGTGGGAAGTCAGGGACCCCGAATAGAGGGACCAGCTGGAGCCGCGGCAGAGGAACATAAATTGCAAAGATTTCATTTTAATATGGACATTTATCAGTTCCCAAATAATAGTTTTATAATTTCTTATGCCTGTCTTTAATCTCTTAATCCTGTTATCTTTGTAAGGTGAGGAGGTACGTCACCTCAGGACCACTGTGATAATTGTGTTAACTGTACAAATTGATTGTAAAACGTGTGTTTGAACAATATGAAATCAGTGCACCTTGAAAAAGAACAGAATAACAGCGATCTTTAGGGAACGAGGGAAGACAACCATAAGGTCTGACTGCCTGCAGGGTCAGGCAAAAAGAGCCATATTTTTCTTCTTGCAGAGAGCCTATAAATGGATGTGCAAATAGGAGATATATCGCTAAATTCTTTTCCTAGCAGGGAATATTAATATTAGTACCCTGGGAAAGGAATGCATTCCTTGGGGGAAGTCTATAAACGGCTGCTCTGGGAATGTCTGTCTTATTCGATTGAGATAAGGACTGAGATACACCTTGGTCTCCTGCAGTACCCTCAGGCTTACTAGGGTGGGGAAAAACTCTGCCCTGGTAAATTTGGGGTCAGACCGGTTCTCTGCTCGTGAAGGCTGTTTTCTGTTAAGATGTTTATCAAGACAATACTTGCACTGCTGAACATAGACTCTTATCAGTAGTTCTGCTTTTGCCCTCTGCCTTGTGATCTTTGTTGGACCCTTATCAGTAGTTCTGCTTTTGCCCTTTGTCCTGTTTCCTCAGAAGCACGTGATCTTTGTTAGACCCTTATTAGCAGTTCTGCTTTTTGCCCTTTGAAGCATGTGATCTTTGTACCTACTCCCTGTTCTTACACCCCCTCTCCTTTTGAAACCCTTAATAAAAACTTGCTGGTTTGAGGCTCAGGTGGGTATCATGGTCCTACCAATATGGGATGTCACCTCTGGCAGCCCAGCTGTAAAATGCCTCTCTTTGTACTGTCTCTCTTTATTTCTCAGCCAGCCAACACTTATGGAAAATAGAACCTACACTGAAATATTGGGGGTGGGTTCCCCCAATATATGGGGAAGAGGTAAATTCTCACCAAAGAACGGAAGTGGAATGCGTCCATTCCTCACCTACCATAGTTTCTCTGCCTTTTTCTTAAAGCCTGGCCTGAGTTCTGAACAGGAGCAGACATCCTGCCTGTGTCCATGTTTCCCCTGGTTCTAGTCCCCACCCATTCCTAACTCTCTTGTCTTTTGCCACACTCCCCTCTAGTCTTGAAGGAATTAAAGTAGCAGCTGCACATAGAAAAGAAATGATGATAGTTGGTCTTGGTCCAGTTATAGAAGTTGCAAATGCAAGTTTGGCTAGTGGCCTTTCACCAGAGACACTGATTTTCCTCGAGAGGCCATGGATTCCTGTGCAATACATTTGCATCAAGGCTGAATTGGTCTCCTAGTGCAGGGGTCCCCAACCCCTGGGCCATGGATGAGTACTGATTGGTGGCCTGTTAGGAACCAGGCCGCACAGCAGGAGGCGAGTGGCAGGCGAGCTAGCCAAGCTTCATCTGTATTCACAATGGCTACCCATTGCTCACGTTACGACCTGAACTCTGCCTCCTGTCTGATCAGCTGTGGCATTAGATTCTCAATGTGAACCCTATCGTGAAATGCATATGTGAGGGATCTAGGTTGACCATTCCTTAGGATAATCTAATGCCTGATGATTTGAGGTGGAGATGAGGATGATACTAGAGCTGATGAGTGGCTGAAAATACAGATTAACATTAGCAGATAATAAATCAATTGTTTGAAGACTCATATCAAAACCCTATCAGAGGCCAGGAGTGGTGGTTCATGCCTGTAATCCCAGCACTTGGGGAGGCTGAGGTGGGCAGATCACTTGAGCTCAGGAATTTGAGACCAGCCTAGGTAACATGGTGAAACATGTCTCTACAAAAAAATACAAAAATTAGCCAAGCATGGTGATGCATGCCTGCAGTCCCAGTTACTTAGGAGGCTGAGGTGGGAGTATGGCTTGAGCCTGAGAGGTGGAGGTGGCATTGAGACGTGATCATGCACTGCACTCCAGCCTGGGCAAGACAGCCAAACTCTGTCTAAAAAAAAAAACCTGTCAGTGAGTGGCAAGTAACAAGCTGCATCTGGTGGCAGGCTTTATAGTGGCAAGTGAATCCATGTACTTCAATTGCACAGCTGCATCTGGTGGCAGACTTTAAGTCAGAATCCAAAACTTATTTTAGTCCATGTGTGGTTCACCCATTATTTTATTTACCACATCCATCCATGCCTCTTGCCCACACTGCACACTTGTTTCAGTCACAGTTTTGGAAAACCCACAAGCTAAAATTGATTAAAAACAAAGGTCATCTGAGAGCTTCTTTCAAAAAGGGGAAAGACCCAATGATGAGACAGCAGAAGACTCTAGGACTGTCAACAAAAAGAAAACTGCATTTAAAAGAAAATACTCGCTTTGTATAACATGTGGCAACCAGCTTCCCAACTAAGCCAGGAAACCTTCAAAACTGCTTTGCCACATGGAGACAAAGCACCGTGCATTAAAAGACAAGCCTTTGGAGTTTTTCAAAAGAAAAATAAAAAATGAACATGAAGAACAGAAGCAATTATTGAAGGCTAACACTTCATCAAATGTGTCCGCACTGACAGCATCATTCTTAGTGGCTAACCACATTACTAAAGCTAAGAAGCCCTTTACTATTGGTGAAGAGTTAATCCTGCCTGCTACTATGGATGTTTGCTGTGAACTTTTAGAAAAGGCTGCAGTTGAAAAGGTGGCATGTTTTCCTCTTTTGACTAAAACCATAACAAGACAAACTGCTGAAATAGCAGAGGATATTAAGGTACAATTGTCAAAGAAGATTAATGAATCACTATTATATGCAATCCAGGTTGATAAGTCTACTGATGTTAATAACAAGGCAACAAGGCTTGTTTTTGTGCAATACATTTTTCAGGAGGATGTGCACGATGATGTTATGTGCACTTTTGTTGCCAACCAACACCACAGCTGCAGAACTATTCAAGTCTTTGAATAATTACATATCAGGAAAATTAAGTAGGTCATTTTATGTCAGTACATGCACAGATGGAGTGGCTGCCATGACTGCACGGCTTTCTGGTTTCACTACTCAGGTCAAAGAGGTTGCCCCTGAATGTGAGTCTACACACTACATCACCTATAGAGAAATGTTGGCTAGCCAAAAAATGTCATCTGAACTTAACAGCATTTTACAGAATGTGATTAAAATTATCAGCAATACATTACATGCCTTCAGCATGTGCAGTAAAATACATGCCCTTAACTCACATGTGTTCACGCAGCTCTGTGAGGGGATAGAAACAGAGCACACACGTCTCCTCACTGAAGTAAGATGGGTTTCTAAAGGTCGATCACTAGCCAGAGTTTTTGAGTTATGAGAGCAACTTCAGAGATTTCTTTTAGAAAACCACTGGCAGCACATTTCAGCGACACAGAATGGGATGCAAAACTTGCCTAGTTGTGTGACATATTCAACCTGCTTGGCAAACTCAATCTATCACTTCAGGGGAGAATGACAACTGTGAACAAATCAGCAGATAAAGTGGCTGCATTCAAAGCCAAACTGTAATTACAGGAGTGAGGAGAGAACATTGTGATTTTTGATATGTTTCAAACATCGCAGAGATTTTGAAAGAGACTGAACCAGGACTTTCTTTCTCCCACTTGGTGGATGATCACCTATCTTAGATTTCAAGAGTTTGAACATTACTTCCCAACCACAAAAGACCCCTGAATTATGAAGGAGTGGATCTGTGACCCATTTGTGAAAAAGCCAGTTGAATCGACTTTGTCTTTGCTAGAAGAGGATCAACTACTTGAGATCACAAATGACGGTGGTCTTAAAAGTATGTTTGAGAAAGCTTCAAATCTTCATATGTTCTGGATTACAGTCAAGGCAGAATATGCTGAGATTGCCACAAAAGCACTGAAAAGCCTCCTTCCATTTCAGACATCCCATATTTGTGAAGCAGGATTTTCTGCAGTAACAGCAACCAAAATGAGACTACAGAGTACACTGGATATAAGCAACACACTTTGGGGGTCGGTGTTTCCCATCACCCCCAGATGAGATTATCTAGTTGCAGTAAAACAAGCTCAGGGCTCTCATTAAATTATGGTGAGTTGTATATTTACTTCATTATATATTATGATGTAATAATAATAGAAATAAAGTGCACGAAAAATGTAATGTGGCTTGAATCATCCCAAAACCATACCCCTCCCTGGAGAACAGTCCATGAAAATTGTCTTCCATGAAACTGGTCTCCGGTGCCGAAAAGGTTGAAGGCTGCTGTCATAGTGTGTAAGGAACCACCATTCTTAGTAACTTCTTAACACAGATAAATCTCTGGATTTTAAAATAACCCATTCAAACCTGGCTTTGCCTATGGACTAAATAAATATAAAACACAGACATGCCTGACAATCCAAAGTTATTTCACATCACTGCTATTTAGGGAAACATTTCTGAGCATCAAATATGGGACAAAAACACAAAGAGTATAGGTATTCCATGCTAATAATAATCAAAAGAAACCTGGAGAGGCCACAATCATATCAAAGTAGATATCATAGCAAAGAATATCACCAGATATAAAGGTTATTTCCTAATGATAGATGAATCAGTTCATCAAGAGAAACATAATTCCAAAAATGTGTGCATTAACAACAAAATTTCAAAAGATAAGTGAAAACTGGTAGAACTGAAGAGAGAAATAGACTAATACCCAGTTATAGTCAGATATTTCAGTAATAACCTCATAATAAGTGTTAGAATAAGTACACATACACAAAAATTCATAAGGATATGGAAGACTTAAACAATATTATCAACTAATTTGTTATCATTGAAATGTATAGAACAGTCCACCCAAGAACATCATAAGACTTTTCAAATGCACATGGAAACCTTATCAAAATAGGCCAAATTCTAGAGAATAAAAAGTACTTTGATACATTTTAAAGGATTCAGGTTTTGCAAAGTATATACTGTGATCACCAATGAAATCAAATTAAGACAAACAAAAAGCTGGAATATCCCAAATCATTTGGAAATTAAACAATATATTCTAAATAACTCCTGGTTCAAAGGATAAACAAAAAGTGAAGTTAGGCCAGGCATGGTGGCTCATTCCCATAATCCCAGCACTTTGAGAGGCCAAAGCAAGTGGATCACTTGAGGTCAGGAGTTCAAGACCATCATGGCCAACATGGTGAAACCCTGTCTTTAATAAAATTACAAAAATTAGTCCTGCATGGTGGCACATGACTGTAATCCCAACTACTTGGGTGGCTGAGGCAGGAGAATAACCTGAACCCAGGAAGCGGAGCTTGCAGTGAGCTGAGATCATGCCACTGCACTCCAGCCTGGGTGACAGAGTGAGACTCTGTCATAAAAAAGAAAAAAAAAAAAAAAAAAGGAAAGTTAGAAAGTAGTTTAGAACTGAGTGAAAATAAAAACACAACATATGAAAATATATGAGCCGATGCTAAAGCAGTATTTAGCATCAGCATTTAGAAATTTATAGAAAGTAAAATTTATAGCAGAAAAAAAAACTTGGATGCAGATAAAAAAAGTGCAATGGTTAATATCACAAAAACAATCAGTTCAATAAAAAAAAAGAATTTGAACAGATTCTTTACTAAAGTAGATGTGCAAATAGCAAATAAGCCCACAAAATGCTGTAAAATATCATTAGTAATTAATTAAATATGAATTAAGATATACTACACATCCATCAGGATGGCCAAAATTTAAATGAAGGAGTTGTTCCCAAGGATGTGTAGGAATTGCAATTCTCAAATACTGCTAGTGGAAATGTAAAATTGCACATCCACTTTAGAAAATAATTGGTATTTTCTTTAAGGGTTAAAAATATACTTACTATGTAATCCTGTCTTCAGAGTAAAGAAGTTATATGTCCATACAAGGACTAATACATGAATGCTCATAGCAGTTTGATTTGCAATATTCTACAACTTAAATAAACTCAAATGATCATAAATTGGTTAATGAATAAAAAATTAGTATATCCACACAACAGAATACTTCTTAGCCATATAAAAGAATTAATATTTGATAGATCCAGCAACAGGGAGAAATCTCAAAATAATTGAGTGAAATAAGCCAGAGAAAATGAATACATGCTGTATGACTTGTTTTATGTAAATGCACAGTAATCTAGTGACTTCAAGCAACTAAGTGGTTACCTATGGAGGCAGGGGTGCAGGAAGCAGTGGGAGGGAAATTTCTAGAGGTGATAAATAAGTCCGTTATCTTGATTGTGTAGAGGGTTTCATGGGTATATACAACTTTTAAAACTTATCAAATTGTACATTTTAAATATGTGTGGTTTCCTGGGCTGGGCACAGTGTCTCACACCTGTAATATCAGCACTTTCAGAGGTCAAGGTGGGTGGATCACCTCCGGTCAGGAATTCAAGACCAGCCTGGCCAACATGGTGAAATCCCATATCTGCTAAAAATACAAAAATTAGCCAGGGATGGTGGTGCGTGTCTGTAGTCCATCCACTCGGGAGGCTGAGGCAGGAGAGTCGCTTGAACCCTGGAGACAGAGACTGCAGTGAGCCAAGATTGCACCACTGCACCTCAGCCTGGGCAACAAAGCAAGATTCTGTCTCAAAAAAACAAATAAATAAAAATAAATATGTGGTTTCCTGTATGTCAATTATATATCAATAAAGTTGTTAAAAGAATGCATAAACACACTGCTTATACAGAATTGTGATGCTATGATTTTGTGCAAACTATATAATATTGGCCGGAAGATTTATACTGGTCACTAATGTCCTTTAACACTAATTATTATACTGAATACATTTTTTTTCTTGCCGACTCTAATTATGTAATTTTCCCCTTTCCTGACAAGAAATGCAAGATTTCACAAAATAATTCTTTGTCTTAAAATACCATGTTATTTAAAAAAGTTTATTATTTGTCCCCTTCTCTCTCCATTGTAGTATGCAAAAATGGGTGTTTGGGTCCATATCAATGCTAATTATTGAGCAAAAAGTGCTCAAGAAATAGACAAAGCATAATTTTAGGGTCTAATGTAAGTTAAGTACACATATATCTTTACTTCTTTTTAACCTCTCATCAGCTTTCTAAGGCCAAAACTATTACACCCATTTGCAAATGAAGAAACAGTGAAGGACTGAGTAAGTCTACCCAATTATTAAAGGTTCAAAATCAAGAATCAAGCTCTGCTTCTAGTAACTCTTGAGCTTATGGATCTTCTCCTGAAACTGTCCAGTGCCCTGCCACATCACCCTTTCCATCCTGCAGACGAAGGGATGAAGGGGCAACTCAGTGTGCAGGTTTGACAGAAATGTCAGTGGGTCTATATAGTAAAGCCTTCTTACAGGTCAAGCCAATTTTGTACACTAATCAAGCACAGAATATTGAAATGATTAGGAGGGAAGGTAGTACGGACACAAAAAATAAAATGTTATTTCTTTTCTTCACTCCTCAAATATTTATCGGTGTCAGATTCTGTACTAGGTACTGGGTACATATTAGAGAATAGAAGATACATAGAACCAGTTTTCTGGAACTTAGCAAAAGAGATATTCGATCCTTTAAGAAGGCAACATGAAAGCAGTACATAAATATACGACACCGAAAATCTGGTAGAATGTATGTGAAGTTTCTAAAACTGGGGATAAGATGGTGTCATAGAAGTTGGCTATGGGTCAACAGTGTGAACACTGGTTTTATTTGCTTGTAATCAAATACAATGTTATAGTACAAAAGCAGGCACACAGCAGTGGAGAACAGTGAGATATTTAACACATTATATGACTAAATATGCTGCATTATTTTCCATAGGTCACAACCAAAGCATATAACTTGGGAAAGTTTCAGGGGAGAGATAGAAAGCTGATTAACAGAATGGAAAATATAGCCCATGAAGAGAGATGAAACAAAATGGAATAATTTGGCCAAAAGGTGATGAAAGAATTTGATTTGAGAGTCCTTAAACAAAGGATTTTTATACAAAGGATAACGTTAGGTTATTTAAAATTTCTATTGAAAAGGATAAAAAGAAGAAACCAGGCTTAAATTAGAGCCTGGGGATGTTTATCTAGACATAAAAAGAGCAGTAATTGTTTATTTGTTTTCTTGTTTAGATCGGGGATGATAGATGTGGCCCTACTTTAACCCGATGACCTCCATTGACCATTTCTACACAAACATTCAATGAACTTTATAGGAATATATGTACTCTAGATGGAAATGTGTGGATTTGACATTTTCGGTCCTGCCTTTTATTGCGGCTTAGAAATGCATTCCATGTTAATTCAGCAAGATGGTTAGTGATCACTTTCCATCTGTCAGTAAGATGCTGAAAATTACCGAGTCACAGCATTGAGCCAAAAAAACAAAACCAAGTCGATGAATAATTTTGCAATGTCAAGAAGCAGTAAATTCCAGCTGTGAAAATTGAGTAGCATGAAAAAAGCTCTGGAATTTAAGGCCGGCCTCACCACCTCTCACCTTACACCAGTAGCTCTTGGATGATGGTCATACCGTTAGCCAATAGAATCCCATGTAATTGCTGTGGGTTTAATTATTCTAAACTAGAATTTTTAGTACCCTCATTTCTTGCATTAATTTCAGTGCCAATCAATACAGCATTTAGTGCCAACATTTAACTGTATCTCCCCCACAAAAAATCTGGACAATACAAGCTCAGTGGTCAAGTTCCATAAAATAAGGAAAGAAAAGGAAAGCTTTTTTTTAATTAAAAATTTTCAATACATTGAAGCAAATCACAGTGTTAATAAACTTTACTTTTGCATGGCAAAGTTATTGAAAGCATACTAAGTATAAGTATTGTTAGAATGAATGGAGGTTCTCTTATAAGTCACTCATATTTTAATCTATTTAATAATTATTTATTCATCCAAATTAAAAAGAATAATTTATAACAATAATTCTAGAATTGATTATCTCTACTAATAGATCCCCAGTATTATTTACTCTTTGCTTATATTGGGAGGAACTTTAGATAAAAACAATGCAGGCATCATTTTTAAAAACACTATTACAGTTCCTTAAATAGCTTGTGTAACACATAGAGCTAGAGCTTGAGGAATGTATCTATTCCCAAAAAATATTCCTAGTATGTACCTACAGTGAAATAAATATATACATACAGTAATCTAGACATTATCAAGAAATGTAACAGAAACCTTGAGCCACTTACATATACAAAATCAATAAAATATTATGCCCTGAAAGACATAATATCACTAATATCGCTAGAAAAGTTTTCAGGAAAGAGAAACTACATAATCTAAAAATTAAAACTGTATTTATATTAATTCATTCTGTTAATGAATAATGTTTACTCAACATCTACCATGTTCCAAAATGAATAACACTATTTTTGTCCTCAAAGAAGGTTGACTTTGAAGACTCACATGTTTTAGTCTGTATTGACAAAATCTGAAACATATTCATTGTGGAATTATTTACTAGGACCTGAATTTTAAAATCAAGAAAGAGATCAGGAAGAAGCACTGAGTGGGGAGGGCTTCCTTAAAAAAGATAATTTGGCATAGATCTTTTTATCCAGTCAAAATTATATGAAGAATTTTTCCAGACCCAAAAAAGTTAATCCAAAAAATTTTTTAAAATTACGAAGTATTTAAAATTCTTCTCAAATTTCAAAGGAGAGTTAAATATTTTTATGTAAACCATGATTATTCATTCCTTTAAATAAAATACAAAAAATCCTATAAGGTCACTTGCCATGTTTAAATTTGTCTCTGGATTCATGATACAGCTGTGGCCTAAATTTGCCACAGAAAATTCTACTTTTCCAGTAAACCTCACCATGCTTATAGAAAATTCACGAGCATTCATGAAGTGCAATACTGAAGAAAAGTTACAGACATTTTTTAATAGATGACCATCTCCAAAAACTTACAGTGCCAACATATAAACTGAGATAATCTTGGAATGTTGCAGGGAGTGGAATTCCCTTTAGAGTACATGTGTTGCTGTCACAGTCCATATTGAAGAAGACAATGTTTTCAAAAGTGTATCATGCATGACACAGATGGTAAGCTGTGGATCACACAATACACCAGATAGTTCAAACAGTGCGTGAACATGCTGCTAGATAACCTTGAAGGGCTCAGGAGGAAGTTTTGAATTGGTCAATTCTCTTTTGTTCTTCCTGGTTGCTGCCTTTAGAAAAGTTCAGTCAAGGATAAAGAGAGCTTCTCTGACACTTAACTAATCTCCATTTTTAACAAAAAGCTGGGTTTTGGTAGGCTAGTGTCAAATTAGAATTATTTTAAAGTAGAATTTAATAACATTGCTTATTTTATTGTATTTATTTTTATCTCTATGGTCAACCACTAGATTTCTATTTTCGATTATAATCCCTGGCCTGGTCTTGGAGGGACGTTTTTTTTTTATCACTGACTATGTTTAGAATTGCCATTGGCAGGTTTATGAGATTGAAAAGCAGACTGATTTTTGATTGGTTTATCATTGCTCTCAAATGTCTATAGACACTGTACCCCTATATTGCCCATCCTATGCCTCCTCACTGTTAGTGACAATAGATAGTAATTTTAAGACTATTGAAATACATATTTTTCTGATAAAAATTACCTATTCCATTAATTTGTATCTGAGTCTTACTTCTCTGCCTAATTACAATCTATAATAGATCAAGGAAGCTGTATTGAGTAATGGTTGGGTGTGAGTCTGGAGCCAGATCCCACTGATTCAATTATCTGTTCACCCACTTTCTTCCCCCAGCCCCGCCGAGACAGAGTCTTGCTCTTGTTGCCCAGGCTGGAGTGCAGTGGCATGATCTTGGCTCACTGCTCACTGCAACTTCCACCTCCTGGGTTCAAGCGATTCTCCTGCCTCAGCCTCCTGAGTAGCTGGGAATAAAGGTACCCACAACCACACCTGGCTAATTTTTGCATTTTTAGTAGAGATGGGGTTTCACCATGTTGAGCAGGCTGGTCTTGAACTCCTGACCTGGTGATCCTGCCTCAGCATCCCAAAGTGCTGGGATTACAGGAGTGAGCCACCGTACCCGTCCCTGTTCACCCATTTTCTGTCTGGGTGACTATGAGAGAACTCACACTCCCTGAGCTTTATTTCCTTAAGTATAAAATAGGAATAATAACAGTGTAGCTCTCATAGGGTTGTTGTGAGAATTAAATAATATTTTATACTTATGTGATCATCCACATAAGGCACACAGCTAATACATAGCACTTAATAAGCTTTCAACACTATTATTTGGAACATTCAACTTCTTTGGATTCCTGGAGTTACTAATAAAATGGCTTAATATTTTCAGGTGTTCATTAATTTGTTAAATAAAGAAATTTTATAAAAATTCAAAATCAGTTTAATTATACAAGTAGAATATTAAAGAAAACAGATAATACAAACTGAGCCCAATGCTGTGGGATACACTGACAGTATCCTGAAATGTTAAAGTGCTTGATGCTTCCTCTGCCAAGAACAGGAGGCGCTGGCTTGAGAGTGCCTTGACATTCAACCTTGTGTGTAGTTCTTCAATTTCTCATTTGTAATACCTGGCTTTGAAATGACATATTCCCAATATTAAGAATCATTTGAAAAGCTAAGCTGTAATTATTTGTACTTGGACATTACAAAAATGGACATGGTGAATTCTGAAAGAAAAAATGTATATTTTTGCTTATATTGTATGCAGTAATTATCAATTTTCTTTTTTCTGACTCAATGAAATATTTCTTTCAGGCCTCTGAGCCCAAGCTAAGCCATCATATCCCCTGTGACCTGCATTTACACATCCAGATGGCCGGTTCCTGCCTTAACTGATGACATTCCACCACAAAAGAAGTGAAAATGGCCTGTTCCTGCCTTAACTGATGACATTATCTTCTGAAATTCCTTCTCCTGGCTCATCCTGGCTCAAAAGCTTCCCTACTGAGCACCTTGTGACCCCCACATCTGCCTGCCAGAGAACAACCCCTCTTTGACTGTAATTTTCCTTTACCTACCCAAATCTTATAAAACAGCCCCACCCATATCTTCCTTCGCTGACTCTTTTCGGACTCAGCCCGCCTGCACCCAGGTGAAATAAACAGCCTTGTTGCTCACACAAAGCCTGTTTGGTGGTCTCTTCACATGGACGTGCATGAAATTTGGTGCCGTGACTCGGATCGGGGGACCTCCTTTGGGAGATCAATCCCCTGTCTTCCTGCTCTTTGCTCTGTGAGAAAGATCCACCTACCACCTCAGGTCCTCAGACCAACCAGCCCAAGAAACATCTCACCAATTTCAAATCTGGAAAGCAGCCTCTTTTTACTCTCTTCTCCAACCTCCCTCACTATCCCTCAACCTCTTTCTCCTTTCAATCTTGGCACCACACTTCAATCTCTCCCTTCTCTTAATTTCAATTCCTTTCATTTTCTCGTAGAGACAAAGGAGACACATTTTATCCGTGGACCCAAAACTCCGGCGCCGGTCACGGACTCGGGAAGGCAGCCTTCCCTTGGTGTTTAATCATTGCGAGGACACCTCTCTGATTATTCACCCATGTTCCATTGGTGTCTGATCTCCGCGAGGACGCCTGCCTTGATCATTCACCCACGTTCCCTTGGTGGCAAGTCAATTGCGAGGACGCCTGCTTTGGCTGCTTGCTCACCCACGTTGCAGCCCAGGGCTGCTCCCCACCCCCCTTCTCCGTGTCTTTACCCTTCTCTTTAAACTTGCCTCCTTCACTATAGGCAACCTTCCACCCTCCGTTCGTCCTTCTTCTCCCTTAGCCTATGTTCTTAAGAACTTAAAACCTCTTCAACTCTCACCTGACCTAAAATCTAAGTGTCTTATTTTCTTCTGCAATGCCACTTGACCTCAATACAAACTCGACAGTAGTTCCAAATAGCCAGAAAACGGCACTTTCAATTTTTCCATCCTACAAGATCTAAATAATTCTTGTCGTAAAATGGGCAAACGGTCTGAGGTGCCTGATATCCAGGCATTCTTTTACACATCGGTCCATCCCTGGTCTCTGTTCCCAATGCAACTGGTACCAAATCTTCCTTCTTTCCCCACCACCTGTCCCCCTCCGTCCCAACCCCAAGCATCACTGAGTCTTTCTAATCTTCCTTTTCTACAGACCCATCTGTCCTCTCCCCTCCTCGCCAGGCCGAGCTAGGTCCCAGTTCTTCCTCAGCCTCCGCTCCTCCACCCTATAATCCTTTTATCACCTCCCTTCCTCACACGGGGTCCGGCTTACAGTTTCATGCCGTGACTAGCCCTCCCCCACCTGCCCAGCAATTTCCTCTTAAAAAGGTGGCTGGAGCTAAAGGCATAGTCAAGGTTAATGCTCCTTTTTCTTTATCCCAAATCAGATAACGTTTAGGCTCTTTTTCATCAAATATAAAAATCCAGCCCAATTCATGGCTTGTTTGGCAGCAACCCTGAGATGCTTTACAGCCCTAGACCCTAAAAGGTCAAAAAGCCGTCTTATTCTCAATATACATTTTATTACCCAATCCCAACATTAAATAAAACTCCAAAAATTAAATTCTGGCCCTCAAACCCCACAACAGGACTTAATTAACCTCGCCTTCAAGGTGTACAATAATAGAGTAGAGGCAGCCAAGTAGCAACATATTTCTGAGTTGCAATTCCTTGCCTCCACTGCGAGACAAACCCCAGCCACATCTCCAGCACACAAGAAATTCCAAACGCCTAAACCGCAGTGGCCAGGTATTCCTCCAGGCCCGCCTCCCCCAGGAGCTTGCTACAAGTGCCAGAAATCTGGCCACCAGGCCAAGGAATGCCCACAGCCCGGGATTCCTCCTAAGCCGCTTCCCATCTGTGCGGGACCCCACTGAAAATCGGACTGTTCAACTCACCTGGCAGCCACTCCCAGAGGCCCTGGAACTCTGGCCCAAGGCTCTGACTCCTTCCCAGATCTTCTCGGCTTAGTGGCTGAAGACTGACACTGCCTGATCGTCTCTGAAGCCCCCTAGACCATCACGGACGTCAAGCTTCGAGTAACTGTCACAGTGGAGGGTAAGTCTGTCCCCTTTTAATCAATATGGAGGCTACCCACTCCACACTACCGTCTTTTCAAGGGCCTGTTTCCCTTGCCTCCATAACTGTTGTGCGTATTGACGGCCAGGCTTCTAAACCTCTTTAAACTCCACAACTCTGGTGCCAACTTAGACAATACTTTTTTAAGCACTCTTTTTTAGTTATCCCCACCTGCCCAGTTCCCTTATTAGGCTGAGATATTTTAACTAAATTATCTGCTTCCTTGACTATTCCTAGACTACAGCCACATCTCATTGCCACCCTTCTTCCCAATCCAAAGCCTCCTTTGCGTTCTCCTCTTGTATCCCCCCACCTTAACCCACAAGTATAAGATACCTCTACTCCCTCCTTGGCAACGGATCATGCACCCCTTACCATCTCATTAAAACCTAATCACCCTTACCCTGCTCAACGCCAATATCCAATCCTGCAGCACGCTTTAAAAAGATTAAAGCCTGTTATCACTCGCCTGCTACAGCATGGCCTTTTAAAGCCTATAAACTCTCCTTACAGTTCCCCCATTTTACCTGTCCTAAAACCAGACAAGCCTTACAAGTTAGTTCAGGATCTGTGCCTTATCAACCAAATTGTTTTGCCTATCCACCCCATAGTGCCAAACCCATATACTCTCCTATCCTCAATACTTCCCTCCACAATCCATTATTCTGTTCTGGATCTCAAACATGCTTTCTTTACTATTCCTTTGCACCCTTCATCCCAGCCTCTCTTCGCTTTCACTTGGACTGACCCTGACACCCATCAGGGTCAGCAAATTACCTGGGCTGTACTGCCACAAGGCTTCACAGATAGCACCCGTTACTTCAGTCAAGCCCAAATTTCTTCCTCATCTGTTACCTATCTCGGCATAATTCTCATAAAAACACACGTGCTCTCCCTGCTGATCGTGTTTGACTAATCTCCCAAACCTCAATCCCTTACAAAACAACAACTCCTTTCCTTCCTAGGCATGGTTAGTGCAGTCAGAATTCTTACACAAGAGCCAGGACTGCACCCTGTAGCCTTTCTGTCCAAACAACTTGACCTTACTGTTTTAGGCTGCCCATCATGTCTCCGTGCAGTGGCTGCCACCACCCTAATACTTTTGGACACCCTCAAAATCACAAACTATGCTCAACTCACTCTTTACAGTTCTCACAACTTCCAAAATCTATTTTCTTCCTCACACCTGACACATATACTTTCTGCTCCCCGGCTCCTTCAGCTGTACTCACTCTTTGTTGAGTCTCCCACAATTACCATTGTTCCTGGCCCGGACTTCAATCCGGCCTCCCTCATTATTCCTGATACCACACCTGACCCCCATGACTGCGTCTCTCTGACACACCTGAAATTCACTCCATTTCCCCATATTTCCTTCTTTCCTGTTCCTCACCCTGATCACACTTGGTTTATTGATGGCAGTTCCACCAGGCCTAATTGCCTCTCACCAGCAAAAGCAGGCTATGCTGTAGTATCTTCCACATCTATCATTGAGGCTACCCCTCTGCCCCCATCCACTACCTCTCAGCAAGGTGAACTAGTTGCCTTAACTCAAGCCCTCACTCTCGCAAAAGGACTACGCGTCAATATTTATACTGATTCTAAATATGCCTTTCATATTCTGTACCACCATGCTGTTATATGCGCTGAAAGAGGCTTCCTCACTACTCAAAGGTCCTCCATCATTAATGCCTCTTTAACAAAAACTCTGCTCAAGGCCGCTTCACTTCCAAAGGAAGCTGGAGTCATTCACTGCAAAGGCCATCAAAAGGTGTCAGATCCCATTGCTCTAGGCAATGCTTATGCTGATAAGGTGGCTAGACAAGCAGCTAGCTTTCCAGCTTCTGTCCCTCAAGGCCAGTTTTTCTCCTTCACATCGGTCACTCCCACCTATTCCCCTGCTGAAACTTCCACCTATCAATCTCTTCCCACACAAGGCAAATGGTTCTTAGACCAAGGAAAATATCTCCTTTCAGCCTCACAGGCCCATTCTATTCTGTCTTCATTTCATAACCTCTTCCATGTAGGTTACAAGCCGCTAGCCCGTCTCTTAGAACATCTCATTTCCTTTCCATCCTGGAAATCTATCCTCAAGGCAATCAATTCTCAATATTCCATCTGCTATTCTACTACCCCTCAGGGATTGTTCAGGTCTTCTCCCTTTCCTACACATCAAGCTCGGGGATTTGCCCCTGCCCAGGCCTGGCAAATTGACTTTACTCACATGCCCTGAGTCAGAAAACTAAAATACCTCTTAGTCTAGGTAGACACTTTCACTGGATGGGTAGAGGCCTTTCCTACAGGGTCTGAGAAGGCCATCACGGTCATTTCTTCCCTTCTGTCAGATATAATTCCTCGGTTTAGCCTTCCCACCTCTATACAGTCCGATAGCAGACCGGCCTTTATTAGTCAAATCAGCAAAGCATTTTTTCAGGCTTTTAGTATTCAGTGAAACCTTTATATCCCTTACGGTCCTCAGTCTTCAGGAAAGGTAGAACGGACTAATGATGTTTTAAAAACACACCTCCCCAAGCTCAGCCAGCAACTTAAAAAGGACTGGACAATACTTTTACCACTTTCCCTTCTCAGATTCAGGCCTGTCCTCGGAATGCTACAGGGTACAGCCCATTTGAGCTCCTGTATGGACGCTCCTTTTTATTAGGCCCCAGTCTCATTCCAGGCACCAGACCAACTTGGACTGTGCCCCAAAAAACTTGTCATCCCTACTATCTTCTGTCTAGTCGTACTCCTGTTCACCATTCTCAACTACTCATACATGCCCTGCTCTTGCTTACACTGCCGATTTACACTGTTTCTCCAAGCCATCACAGCTGATATATCGTGGTGCTATCCCCAAACTGCCACTCTTAACTCTTAAAGTAAATAAATAATCTTTGCTGGCGGGACTATGCTGAATCTCCTTAGGCACTCTCTAATTAGATGTCCTGGGTCCTCCCAATTCTTAGGCCTTTAATATCTGTTTTTCTCCTTCTCTTATTCCGTTTAGTTTTTCAATTCATTCAAAACTGTATCCAGGCCATGACCAATAATTCTAAATGACAAATGTTTCTTCTAACAACCCCACAATATCACCCCTTACCACAAAATCTTCCTTCAGCTTAATTCCTCCTACTCTAGGTTCCCACACCGCCCCTAATCCCTCTCGAAGCAGCCCTGAGAAACATCTCCCATTCTCTCTCCATACCACCCCCAAAAATTTTCGCTGTCCCATCATTTTACCACTATTTCATTTTATTTTTCTTATTAATATAAGAAGACAGGAATGTCAGGCCTCTGAGCCCAAGCTAAGCTATCATATCCCCTGTGACCTGCACTTACACATCCAGATGGCCGGTTCCCGCCTTAACTGATGACATTCCACCACAAAAGAAGTGAAAATGGCCTGTTCCTGCCTTAACTGATGACATTATCTTCTGAAATTCCTTCTCCTGGCCCATCCTGGCTCAAAAACTCCCCTACTGAGCACCTTGTGACCCCCACATCTGCCCACCAGAGAACAACCCCCCTTTGACTGTAATTTTCCTTTACCTACCCAAATCTTATAAAACAGACCCACCTGTATCTCCCTTCACTGACTCTCTTTTCGGACTCAGCCCGCCTGCACCCAGGTGAAACAAACAGCCTTGTTGCTCACACAAAGCCTGTTTGGTGGTCTCTTCACACAACGAACATGAACATTTCCTCAAAAGAAACTAACCAAATAATCAGAGTTCTGAGTCCATAAAGAGCTTTATTATTTCTGGAGGTAGTTTCTTGTGCCTCTGTGATTTCCTAATAGCCAGTTATTACTGCTCAGAGTCTGTTTGTATCAAGAATCTTGTGTTTTGGAGATTACAAACACCACACTGAGAAACTGGACAGTTGTCCCTAACGATCTGCTTCCTGAAGTAGAACTCATTATAGGACTGAGTGTATGCTAATTCCAACAGCACTAACTTCATCTGAAGAACTTCTAACAGAGATTTACAAAGTATTCCAGCAACCCATCATCTATGGACAATTTTAAGAAGCAGCTAGAAATATTTGTATAAGCTATCTAACATCCTGATACACAGATATAATGGCTGACAGACATACCTGTGTGATCCTTATATAGCAAAACTGTGATTAATTGAAATTAGGTAATATATTGGATTTCCTGACTCTTTTTTGTAGTTGGGATTCAGAAACTAATTACCAAGAAGATTAAAATAGAAACAGATTCTACACTTGATTTAAAACTTTTAATCTAATAATGTTCAGAATGAAAATCCTAAAGCCATATATGCTACTAAGTGTTATGAGACATTTTTGTCAATACAATTTACTTGGTAATAGAGGAAATTAGATTAAAACTTTAGAAGTGTCTCCAACAAGTTGAAACAGATGTTATACTTTTTTATTTTTTTGAGGCAGAGTCTTGCTCTGTTGCCCCGGCTGGAGTGCAGTGGTGCAATCTTGGCTCACTGCAACCACCGCCTCCTGGGTGCAACAATTCTTCTGTCTCAGTCTCCCGAATAGCTTGGATTACAGGCGCACATCACCATGCCCAGCGAATTTTTGTATTTTTAGTAGAGACTGGGTTTCGCCATGTTGACCAGGCTGGTCTTGAACTCCTGACATCAGGTGATCTGCCCGCCTCAGCCTCCCAAAATGCTAGAAGTACAAGCGTGAGCCACTGTGCCTGACAGATGTTATACTTGCAATAGTTTAATTAATTTAAAAAATGGTAAATAATTTCTAATATTTAAAAATAAATTTCCAGAGTTCTGATATGGAATTTTCATTGAGCCTGCCGCTCAGCATTTAATACGAATTGTTAGCACACCACTTCTAAAGAATTGATTTTAATGAACTAAAACAATATGCATTAACTTTATATTTTATATTTACACTTACAACAAAATGACTAATAACAAATTATTGTACATAGGCACATATTCTGTAACTTTTTATTAATTTAGTTTAAATATAAATTATAAGTTTAAGTCAGAGACCTGATTGCCTGAGTAAAACATACAGTTCACATACTATAAATACTATTAATCGAAATATAGTTTTGAAAACATTAGAACTACTTTAATTTCAATAAATAGTATCACTTTATATTTCTTCTGTTTTTTTTTTCTTCTTTTTTTTTCTCAAATATCAGTCAAAATGCAAGGGTATATCAAAAAGGAACATTTAAATACTGGGTGTGTGTCTCTGTCTTAGGACATAGAATTGAGAAAGGAAGTGCAATCATATGGATGATATGATCCATGGGAGTGAGAAACCTTAGGTCTCAGGGAAGATCTGTTCTCTACTCTATTTCTATGGCCCTTGAATAGTAATAGTTTCTTTCTTTCTTTCTTTTATTTATTTATTTTTTTTTCATTTTGAGATGGAATCTCACTCTGTCACCCAGGCTGGAGTGTAGTGGTGCGATCTCTGCTCACTGCAACCTCCGCCTCCTGGGTTCAAACGATTCTCCTGCCTCAGCCTCCCGAGTAGCTGGGATTGCAGGCAAGTGCCACCATGCCCAGCTAATTTTTGTATTTTTAGTACAGACGGGGTTTCACCATGTTGACCAGGCTGGTCTTGAACTCCTGACCTCAGGTGATCCATCCACTTCAGCCTCCCAAAATGCTGGGATTACAGGTGTGAGCCACCATACCCGGCCGAATAATAGTTTTCAAGTAACTTCTACTCTTGATCAAAGACAATTTCTTATGAAGATTTCTGAGGAATTAAAAATAATTTCTCTCAAGATTTTGGAGAAATAAAAATATTAATTAGAGAGGTAATATTTCAAAGGACAATAAGAATCTACAGTAACTTATTCTCACATCAGTAACCCAACAAGAGGTGACAGTTATTTTAAAACTAAATTCTGCACCACTTCTTCACTCCCTACTTTCATTATTTTCCACATGACCACTGAGCACATGACTGGTGGCCTAATTATATGAAAAACCTAAGCCAGACAGCTTGCATTCTAAGCATTAAATTTAAGATTGATTGGACATCAGAATCATCAACTATACCCCTCTGTTTAGTATACTCAGATCACAAAGCCAATAAATGCCACAGTAATAACTACGTGTCTTTTGTTATCATTATATTATGTCCAAGTGTTAATGGCTGAAAACAGCCTTTTTCATAGCGAAATCTAACACCATTTGGATCTTCAAACTGATGTTAACATATAAGCATAAGTGTAAGGTTTTTTTAAGGGGTAAAAAAATATATTTTCTATATATGATGAATTACTGGGTATTGGTGTTGAGAAAAAACATTAGAATCTTTCATTGTACTTATTTTTGATCACTAACACAAAGCATAATCAATCATATAGGCATGGTACTAAGCAAAACTGAGTAATAGCTAAAATTACAAATGCTAGAATATTCTCCATGGAAATTGCCAGCCCAAAAGATATTTCAACAGAATCTGCAAAACAGAAGCTTATAATCTAAAACAAAGACAAATATTTTTGTTCCAAAGGTAGGCCAAAAGAGGTAGAACTTTTAAATCTCCATATTTCTTACATATTTTGTTTTTTTCTATAAAGTATTTAACTCTGATTTTTTTCACATACTACTAAAAATCTGCAACTAGTTTTGTATATATGTAGTTTTAGAGAACTGAATATACTTGGCAAAGGACGAGAAAAGCAGCATTACAAAGATGAGTTTTTCAAACAAAAATATAACAGAATATTAAATTCCTGACTCAATTCCTTTTAAAAAGTTCAACTGCATCAATTTAGATTTCTAATTAAAGCAAATACAGCATTTCCCTTCTTTTCAAACTCAATTATAATCCCCACTGGGCAAAAAGCTATTTCTCTTACGGCTTTTGCTACCTATCAATCCAGAGTCTAGAATATTTGGCATGCCTCCTGACTCATTGTGTAGGCTCCTTTTTAGCTTTGTTCAACAAAATTTAAATCTCACAGTTTCCTGTTATTGTTAAGACAGAAAAAAAAAAAAAGAAAGAAACATCAACGAATAATTGCATATCCTTTTGGTGGAGAGTCAATGCACAAAAGTTACCAAAGGCATTGGATGAAAGCTATGAAAAACCTAATATGTTCATTCCACTTAGACTATTTAGTGACTCCCATGTAGTCATTCATTTCTCCTATAAAAGCTAGAGGACAATTTCCTGGTCCCATTCATACAGATAGGCTCTCCTTCAACGGTTCTATTGGAACCAAAACATTTCAATGCAAAATAAATGCCATTATGCGGGCTCTCTCTCACATACACACTCTCTTCCTTTCTCTCTCTCTCTCTCTCACACACACACACACCCAAATATACACACATAAATACATTCACACATACAAAAAGTCATTAGCAGAAAAGAGGAAAAGATTAAATTTGGCAAAACAAATAAATGGATGAAAGAAAAACACATGATATATCAAAAATTTTACCATAAAATGTAGTGATCTAATAATAGTACAAAAAATCTTACTGAATTAACAGAAGCTGCTTTACACATAGAAAATAAGTTCCCCACCCTACCAAGTTTGTAGAAAAATATACTTATTTTCATTACAGCTATTTTAAAAGTTTAGAAATATACCAGAAGTTAAATTATTTTTGAAAGCTTCCATTAAAAAGGATAATAGCATATGTACACATCATGATTTCAAAGAAGCAAGATCGAGCTATGTATTTTTTTAAAGTTTTAGAATTAGTTTGAAAATCAATCAACAGACACCAGTCACACATACATACCAGACAAAATGTTCAAAGTATATCCTGAGAAATAGTGATTCCACAGAATGTCATTAACTGTTATTTTACAATTCATCTGGGATCAAATAAGTATGGAATGCCGAGAAGTGGAAAGCAGTAAAGCAATATGGTTTTCATTTCTCTCTCTCCTATATTATACTGCTCACTGTCTTTTTTTTTTTTTTTTTAAATTGCCAGTGTGAGAAGTAGAGAAAGTGTCATCTCAAAAATGAGTAAGATATTAACCAGAAGTTTTTTTCAGGCAGGTAGAAAAATGTAAAGTTCCCTTCTGGATCCTGTGATATTGTGAAAAGAAAAAAAGAAGGGAAAGTTGTAGAAAGATCAGCTGCACATATTCTCAAGACAGATTGATATGGGATGGACCAAGACCTGGAAAGATAAGTGTCACACTCACCTGGATTTACCATGGGAAAAGGCCAAGCTTCTAGGAGAAACAATACTGGATGCACACAACATTTTTAAATATTCAGGAGTTATTTTGTGATATTAAAAGTGGGTAGAAGTTAGAAGTATAAGCTTGAGGCAGTATTCCTGGCTCCTCACAGGACCTGGGAGGTTTACAGGATCATGTGCTTCTGTAAGGATCTTGGCTCAACGAGTGTCATATATCAACAGCAACGTAAGATTAAGCAGCAGCTCATCAAGAATAAAGACTTGAAGAGAGCGAAACCCACAGTGCGTGAGTGAGGATGCCTGCACTTCACAGTCAGATTAGAGCACAGAGTGCAGATCAGACCAACCCCCATTAGAGACGAATGAGGTTCCAGAGACTGTGTGGATAGAAGGTCCTTTCTCCTTTCCAGCTGCTAACATGAAGGCACATAATCCCATGCTTCTAAACACCTAGATAGAGAGATACTGTGATACCATATGTTAGAAAATTCAAAATCTGTCTCCCAGCAGCTCCCTCAACACCTCCCAGCACACCCGCTTCATTCACAAGTCACAGCCACACAGGATAGGGGCACTGAGGATGTTCAGATAATCTGTTTGCTAGTCAAAATATAGTACATGTATTTATAATCCACATTTAAATTTGGGAAATACTGATTAAAAATACTACACAGATGTCCTAACAAAATATTTGTAAGTGTGGACCATTTTCCAAGATACAAAATTTAAGTACATTATCTTTACTGTATATAAAAGCACAAAGCTTTTCCCCCATAGGTTATCTTGAAATCATGCAACAAACAATTTCTAAATGTTATTCTAAATGGAAGTATATTTACAAAGTATATCTACATAGAATAGATAGATTTGCATATATGCATATTTACATAGTTGTATAATTACGTAGTACAAGTAAAAAATAATAAATGTGAATAATACATGATCACTTCAGGACAGTGGGAAGAAGGGGGAAAGGGAAGAGGTGGACGTTAGTTGTTATTGTAGAAATTTAAATGTTTTAACAGAGATATCTTATACCAAATTTTAAAAACCATTAAAAATAGAATATATTTGTTATATAACTTATATAACATGATACTTGTTATATAACTTACATAACATGATACTTGTTATATAACAAGTGTATATGTGTGAAATATTTCTTTTTGATTGTTTGTTTTTTCTGAGATAGGGTCTGTGTCTGTCACCTAGGCTACAGTACAGGTGCAACCATGGTTCACTGCAGCATCAATCTCCTGGGTTTAACCGACCCTCCAGCCTCAGCCTCCAGAGGAGCTGACACTGCAGGTGCTAATTTTTAAATATAATTTTTTGTAGAGATGGGATCTCACTATGATGCCCAGGCTGGTCTTAAACTCCTTGACTCAAGCAATCTTCCTGCCTTGGCCTCCCAAAGTGCTGGGATTACAGGCATGAGCCACCACTCCCAGCCTGAAATATTTTATAATTTAACATGTACTTGCTTTAACTTTAGGAAAAAAGAGTTATAAGGTATAAGAATACTTATAGCTTATAGCTATAACGGTATAGCTTAGAACTGTATAGCTTATAGCTATATATAGCTTAACTGCAGCTTATAAGCTTATAACTGTAGCTTATAACTTATAAATGTAAGCTTATAACTGTAGCTTGAGTAGTCTGTTTCAAATTTCCTGATCACATATTTAAAGGAAAATAAAAGAACATGTTGATAGGTTCTGTCTTTTGAGTTGAATGTTCTCAGTGTCATGTTGGGAAAGCCAGGTTGCGGAAAATACAAAGATACTGTAAAAAGTTCACGTTCTCTTCACAAGCCCTAGTTAGTGTGATTATAGCTAACACATTAATTAAAGATCATTAGCCAAACAGCAGGTTATAAACTGAGATTGTACAAAAGCAGCAAATGAGGCTGAGTCAACTTAGAGGCAAGAATCTTTTTGATAACTCAGAATTCTAGATTAGATGAAAGGATGCAGGAAAATAAGCAGAAAGCAAGACGACAGAGAGGAGTGATATGGCAGAGCAAAGGTGGGGGCTAGAAAGCTGGGGCATGAGTGCAGAGTTGACCACTAGAGACCAAACAGAAAATAACTGATAAAAACAGAAAATATTTTAGAGGCATTCAGAGAACTAAGAATCTAAACTGTAAACTGGGGAGAGAGAACATAATAGAAAGATCCAGATTCTAATATCATCTTATGAATCAAATTTTAGAAAAGTTACAACTCTGATTACTAAGCAGACATGTGAATCTAGCACAGTCTGTCAAATTCTTAAATATTCTATTAGTTCTTGAAATAGGAGAGAGTAGGCTGAAGGTGAAAAAAGTTTGAAGTTGAAATTCCAAATAAATACTCTGGAGCTGCTACAATTGGGATATTCTACTTATTTTGGTCAGACATTCAAATCTGGTGTTTGCCCAAGCTTGTAATAAGCAGTGCAACAGCCCTACAAGAGCAGTCAGCCTCTACAGTCTAATATAACTGTATTTATGTACATTTTTAAAAGCTTGTTTTTCCCTTGGTATAAAGTTTAAAAGAGCAGACACCTTCGAGTAAATAGAAGTGATTTTATATGAACTATTAACAACTCACAAAATGAATTTGTAACTATCTTGTCATGAATACGAGGCTAGCATAGATTTAAATCTTTACATACACAAAAATGGAGCTCCAAGATGTTCTTTAAAGACCTTTAGTAATTTAATCTAAATGTGCCAAATGTATATTTTTACAGATTCATAAATTTAGCCATCTCAAAAACTAGGCGTTAATAAAATGGGAAGTTATATATTTAATTTAATTTTTAAAATTTATATCCAAAGTCTCACCAAGACTAAATTATTAAGCCTGGTCTCCTAAACTATATTTAATTTACATCTATTCAAAGGCTCCTTAAATTAGAGATTAGTATATAATTTTTCCATAGATTGAATATTCGTTGTCAAAATTGTGAGTACTCGTAGACCCAAAAAATTATACCAGGCTAAATTCAATAAACATGGTATTTCAGTAAATATAAATATAGAATTTAAAAAAATTTACAATGATTATTTTAATTCCCCCCATTATATGTATATTTTGTATGTGTTAAGTTACTCTGCTTCATTTTTTTCATAGTGCTTCTCTCTCTTTCTCTTGCTTCTACATTGTTTTCTTTACATAATTTAAATAAAAACAGAACAAATTATTTAAATTAGAATATGTCAAGGTAGAACAAACTACAATGTTCGGACTTTAGAAATGAAATATCCAACTGATAATGGAACTATAGATAAATACAAATATTGGTGCTGAGAAGTAAGAGGTAACAACTAGGTGAACTCCAAGAGCATAAGAGAATTTCCCCTTGAATGTAGCATGGGTTAAGAAAAGTATGGACACAAACTGAAATAAAAATGGATTCTAAATAGAGATCCTGCAAGAGGGAATAGGTTAGACACTCATGCCACTCTTAATGCAATCCTACTCTACATCCTGCTAAGCCCTGAGGACATGGGACATGTGAAATAGTGAAACACACCCATGCTTCTAGAGAAGATCTGTTCTTAGCCATAAAGACATATAACTGAGTCAAACGATAAGGACTTGGCATAACATGGTGAACCTTTGCAAAGTGTTCTGTTTCTTTCCCATTCAATAAAAACAGCAGAAGGAGAATCATCCCAGGGAGTTTTAAAATAATTAGCATAAATATGTAACATTTCTGTATTTATTGAGGACAAAAGAGAAGGGAACAAAGTGGCCACTTATCCCTTTCAAAAATAAGGGGTGTGAAATGCTGTACTAAGATATGACACAGAATTTTCTTTACATTAATTAGCACCTGTGCACAATAAAATTGTGTAACTCAAATCAGATGACCACCCTCCATCCTTGTCCCTCTGTATGTATGTGTGTGTGTGTGTGTACACACACTGGTCTGGAACTTACAGCAATACTAGTGGCTGGGAGAATCCTATATAACCTCACTACTGAAAACATTTAAATATATTTTTCTCTTTATATGGAAAGAATGAAGTGTATTTATGCTATATCCACAGAGGTTCAAAGCAGATGCTTTGGTGTCAAATAACCCTGTTATTTGACACATCCCAGTTACAGGACTTGCTAGCTATGGGAATTTAGACAAGTTACAGAACCTCTTTGTGCCCACTTTCCTTATCAATGAAATAGGGGTAATAAAGAGATTAAGTAAGATAATCACTCTAAAGCTTTTAACATATTTCTCGGGCCATATGGTTACCATCAACTAAATGTTAGGTATTGTTGTTACTAGGGTGATTGATAATAATCTATTTGAAGCATATAATCTACCAAAACAAAGTCAAATCATGCTAACGTGAGGAAAAGGAAGGAGAGGAAAATACAGAAATAACACTCCAGTCCAGAAATTGTTCAGAGTTAACAAGTCATTATTCCACTTTGGTTTCATAAGTGAAAATGCAAAAGACAATAGAGCAAATTAGCCAGTAATATAAACTAGCCCACAAAACTCCCTGGTAATTGCTATGGACAAATTGGTGATGAATGCAGTTTGAGGCTTTGTGAATTGATTATGAAAACAAATTCTACAAAGTGGCAAATGGTAGTTTTATGATACTGTGGTAAGCTACACTGGTGGCATATTCTAAAGACCCAATTATAATAAGATAGTATTAGGAAAATCACTTAAAGACATGTTATTATTGCCAGCACTTACACATGTAGCTCATAAGTGTTGTTCAATATAAATGAAATTTCAGAGCACTTAAAGGTTTTTCATTATTTTCATTTTCCCCATAAAAGTTCAATGAAAGTACTCTGGAATCTAGCAAATGCATTTAACACACTTCTGTGAAGTCTGGGAGTCCTATCCAGTTTGGACAAACTTTGTCTTTTCTAATCAATTACTAGATGAAATGCTTTTTGCTTATCCAACAATGCCAAATTGGCATATTTGTCTACAGAACAGGCTCAATTAATGTTAATAAATGCTGATCAAATGAATTACACATAGCAAATACTCTTGATTTCTGTCTCAGTGTTAACAGCTTTAACATAGAATCAAATACATTAAACAAAATAAATATATATTCTCCATTTCTGCGATAACAATTAAGAAATAATTATTGTAAATAAAATTATTTTAAGTGAAAATATTAATGTTTCAAAAGCAAATGCTGACTGAAATGATCACTGTCATCTACTAATATGGAACAGATGCTTTTTATTATCTTTTTTCACACTGTAATGTATTAAAGAATGACATACAATATCATTGAATAACTACAGAATCTTAGGGATTTAAGCAAAAAAAAAATGAATTCTAGAATGATATGAATATAGTGTTTCCTTATTTCTGTTCACTAAATGTTAATGCCATCATGTGCATACTCTAATATAAGAAGATAATGGTCTTATTCTACCTCTTTGGTCTATGTTTTATAAAGTTCTGGGTTATATTAAGGAATACTTACTCTTCCATCTTATCACTCCAGGCTTCTTGTAAAGTAGCTAACCTAAGTTTTTATGAATCTGTGAACACAGAGACAAAACCTTTTCAGGTAAGACCTTAGCTTCAAAAGAATTGTGTTCAAATTTGTTTAACTGTGGTTGTCGCAGATGATGACTCAAATACGGAGAGATAAGACCCAGAGTCACAGACACTCACCGCAGTTGGCCTCGTCTGATGCATCTGCACAGTCTGGATCCTCGTCACAAACCCACAGCTTGGAAATGCAATGCTTCGTAGTCTTACACTGGAAATAGTCTGGAGAACAGCTGTTTTCAGCTTAGAAAGAAAACTGCCATTAAAATGTAGCTTTGGAGAACATATTTATTTATTAAAAGCAAATTTTACAGACAAATGTTTAAGACAGTTTATCGAAAAATGTATTGTCTTTAAATTAATAGGACTCTGAAGGTGAGGAATTTTAACTTTTAATTCCTTTTGAGATACTCCTGATATCCTCTCCAGTAAAATTAAAGAAAACATATTTTTGCAGTGATACACTGATAAATATCAGAGTTTTCAAAAAACTGTTGATTAGATATTTGAATACTAATTTTAAGAATTAAGAATTCAGGGACTTTCAAAATAAGTTTTTTTCCAGAAAAAAATAAGAATTCATAGGTATACATTTTTGTAAACTGAAAAATACTAAAATTGGAAGGCATTAAGTGAATAAGGAAATAAAAAGTACAAAGTTTATCAAACTGTCTAGGAATTGTGTTGAGTTTTACATATACGTGGAGTCTTGCTCTGTTGTCCAGGCTGGAGTTCAGTGACACAGTCTTGGCTCACTGCAACCTCCACCTCCCAGAATCAAGTGATTCTCCTGCCTCAGCCTCCCAAGTAGCTGGGATTATAGGCACCTACCACTGCGCCCAGCTAATTTTTGTATTTTTATTAGAGATAGGGTTTCACCATGTTGGCCAGGCTCATCTCGAACTCCTGACCTCAGGTGATCCACCCACCTCGGCCTCCTAAAGTGCTGGGATTACAGGCATAAGCCACTGCACCCGGCCTGTGTTGAGTTTTTGAGGGAAGTGAACATCCAACTTAGACTGTAAACTGCATCACAAATCCTAGACAGTTTAATGGATGAGCTTCTAGAATGGCTAACCATAAAGAACTGGTACTGACTTTATTCTGAATGCACCATCTTAATCAAATTGCTGGATGACTGCACATTATTTACTGATAAAAGTTTTTGAGGGATACAATAAAACTCAGCAAAACAGAAATGTTGACAGCGGTTCTGTTGAAACCCTGAAACTTGACAGGTGCTCCATTAGTCACATAATCTGCATGTGTGAGCATGCGTGCAAGCATGTGCATGCCAGCTTATATGCATATATATATGTATATGGTATAAACAGTTTTGCCTTCCATTTAACGTAATTTGAATTTTGATGGAAGATGGAAATATGAGATGAAAAGAAACAAAATATTTTACTATTATTCTTTCAAATAGTTTGTTAAGATACGTTAAATGGAGCAATATTTAGAATTTTGTAGAAGTTAAATTTTTGTTAGACCATTTTGCCCAGATTTTATATGTCTCTTCATGAGTGCAACATGTATTTCATGGAGAAAACACTCTCTAATTAAAAATAACTTAATTTCAAGAAACTGATTAATCACAGAAGTAAATTACTTGTATCTACTTAATATGGGCAAAAATAAATTTAAAAAACATAATCAACTGCCATGTTTTATTTGGTGCTTCTCTTAAGGATGATGTGGATGAATGAATGTTGTTCATGTTTGTCATAATTTACAGGTAGATTTTAAAGTAAACTTGCCCATATTTTCATTTTCTCTATATTTTTATTTAGAGCTTCTATCCCAGTTGGCATCTATTTCTAATTATTTGACCATAATTTCTTTTCAATTTATCTACATCATATGAATTTATGAAGTATAGTACTAATTTTTAGACTTATTTTAGGAGTCAAAGTTAAGACAAGACAGAGTATTTTGAGGTGACTTACGACAGTCTCTTTCATCTTCCTCATCACCACAGTCATCTTGCCCATTACATCTTAAGTTTACTGGGATACATTTCTGGTTCTTGGTACATTTGAATTGACCTGACAGGCAGACATGTGTGTCTAGAACATAGAAGGAGAGAGAGAGAGAAAATTTGTGTCTGAATTAAAATCACACAGACATAATCAGTTGAAAATTAGACTTATGTTCATTAGTTAGGAATTTAATCACCTACCACAGTTGAGTTCATCAGAATTGTCTCCACAATCATTCTCTCCATCACAGATGAAAGCTGGTAGAGCACAGAGTCCAGTCCCACACTGAAATCGGCCTGGCTGACATCTAAATTCAGCTAGGGGAGAAAGCATAGATATTGTGGAATGGTAATCTTACCTCACAACTTCTTAAACATAGAGTTTCTGACATTCAAGATATTTACTATAATAAATATATCCTGGAATACAATGTGAATGTCTCTCATCTCGATAGCTATTAGATTCAAATGTTTAGCTATACTTTGAGCAACTCAGATGGCCTCCAGATAACATTTAATAAACCATACTTTAGAAGATAGGAATTAATAACATATAAATATATTTTTTTAAAAATTTAAAAAACATATAAAAGTCTTCTCATTTTAATGAAATGATATTGAGAGGTTAAGTTGCAGAATGAAATTTATTGTAACAAAAACTGTTATTCCAATATCATCTTTTAAGAAATCATTTCTCCTTGATCATTTGGTGGCCTATGGTGTGTATGATTTGTCCACAATACATATTCTCTCTCTCTCTTTTTTTTCTTTTGAGACAGAGTCTTGCTCTGTCGCCCAGTCTGGAGTGCAGTGGTGCAATCTTGGCTCACTGCAACCTCTGTCTCCCATGTCCAAGCAATTCTACTGCCTCAGCCACCCAAGTAGCTGGGATTACAGGCGCCCACCATCACACCTGGCTAATTTTTTGTATTTTTAGTAGAGATAGGGTTTCACCATGTTGGCCAGGCTGGTCTCGAACTCCGGACCTCAGCTGATCTGCCCCCCTCGGGCACCAAGTTTTGGGATTACAGGCGTGAGTCACTGCACCTGGCCCACGATACATATTCTCCAGCACAACGTAAAGCAAATGCTTTCTATATCTATCACATTTTAAATCAGATTTATCGATATTCATCCCTATAATCCGATTATTATACAAGAGAACAATATCTTATAAATAGTAAATATTTTATATACTATACGTATATTATAACAAATGACTCCCAAGTGATAATGCATTTTATCATATTATCTGGGAATAATAATAATAAGGCAGGATCTGAGGATCTACTATGTATCAGGCACTGGGCTAGACCCCTTCACATACAGTTACTAATTTAATCTCACCATAACATTCTCATTTTGGCATTACCATTTTAGCAAGAGTAAACTAAATTTACTGAATATGAATAATTCACCTAAGGATGCACAACTTTTAAGTGTCAGACTCTGAATTAAATCTACTATGTTGTTTGCAATAAAACACTTATCTTTTGACTAATGATTTTAATGCATATTACTGATTTTGAGGTTAATATTATCTTTATTAGCTCAAATCAGTGAATCAAACACTAATAAATAGCATTTTAAACTTTTTTGAGAAATAAATTATGCTTTTATAATTACAATATTAAATAAAAATTTAAACATTCTTTAAAAAATAACTCTATATATGGTCTGCTTCCATAGAAATGAGAGTTCTAAAATGTTGAAAGTTATTTGCTTCCAATCTATAACATTTTGTTAATTAATAATACTAAATGTTTAAACTGAATGACACAATTATCTCATACTTTAAGCATGTGCCTTTCCTCTATTTCATTTTGCTTTGTATACAATTTTCTCTAATACTCCTTTGCTTTCGAAACAACCCTCCACCAGAAAAAGGTTGCAACTATTAAAGGAATGCTTTGAAATAACTTGGAAGCCCATCTGAGCTTCAACTCTGTCTCTAGAATAATCTTAAGTGTATTAGAGTATTATAAGAAACATTATTACAAATTTGTGATGCCAGAGAATTTTGATGCATTGCTCTTAACTACATTTATATAAATAACATTATGTAAGCTTGCAAGTATGGGACCCTGGGATGAGGCTTTCCTGTCTTCTCAGGTGATGTTATAAGTATTGTCAGCATCTCTTATTGTCTGCAGGTATTGATGATGCATCTACCCGAAAGTGAAATCTAAACGTTCCATAGACTCTTGCATATAATTTTCTACCTCACCATGACTCTCAAGCAAAGTGTCATTCCTACAGATATTCAAAGCTGTTAACCCATCAACTACAAGTAAAAGCCTATTTGCTCTACTAAAAGAAAGCTCACAGAGATAATGTAACCAACAAAAACATTTAAGACTACTAGAATAAAATATAGAGGGAAAGTTCCATGACATTAGTGTGGGTAAAAACTGTTTGGATATGACTCCAAAAACACAGGCAACAAAAGCAAACACAGACAAATGGAATTACATCAAATTAAAAAACTTATGTACAAAAAAAGAAACAACAGAGTAAAGAGACAATCTATGAAATGGAAGAAAATATTTGCAAACAGTACATCTGCTAATGGGTTAAAATCCAAAATATATAAAGAATATTCAATAGTAAGAAAAAAAAACTCACTGAAAAATGAGCTGAGGACTTGAATAGGCATTTCTTTAAAACATTATACAAATGGCCAACTGGTATATTAAAAAATACTCAACATCACTAATTATCAGGAAAATGCAAATAAAACCACAATAAGATATCACCTTATACCTGTTAAGTTAGGCATTGTAAAAAAAGAAGAAATATAAGTGTTAGCAATGATGTGAAGAAAAGAAAACTCTTGTATTTCATTGGTAGAAATGTAAATTAGTACAGCTATTTTGGGTAACAGTATGCAGGTTTCTCAAAAGACTAAAAATGTAGTGACCATACGGTCCAGCAATCCCACTACTAGATATACACAGGCATACCTAGAAGATATTGGAGGTTCAGTTCCAGACCACCACAATAAAGCAAATATCACGATAAAGCATGTCATACTTTTTTTTTTGGTTTCCTAGTACACATAAAAGTTATGTTTACACTATACTGTAGTCTATTAAGTGTGCAATGGCATCATGTTTAAAAAAACTGTACAAAATTAAATAAGAGTTAGGTAGGGCCTTGCTCTGGATTAGGCTTTGGCTTAAGGAACTGTTGTGGATGGCTTCATCTTCTATCCTGACCACTGAAAGTTTCTTCACATTAGCAAGAAGGCATCTGTACTGTCTGATCATGTGTTCACTGGGTAGCATTTTTATTTTCTTATAATAACTTTTCCTTTGCATTCATAATTTTGCTGACTGATACAAGAAGCATAGCTTTTGGTATATCTTGTGTTTTGAGATGCCTTTCTCACTAAGCTTAATAATTTCTAGCTTTTGATTTAAAGTGAGAGACATGAAATTCTTCCTTTCGCTGGAACACTTAGAGACCATTGTGGGCTATTAGTTGACCTAATTTTAGTATTGTTATGCTTAGGGAAAAAGGAGGCCCAAGGACAGGGAGAGAGAGAGGGAACAGTGGGTTGGTAGGCAGCCAGAACATACACAATATTTATCAGTTAAGTTTGTTGTCTTTTATGGATATGCTCTGTGGTGTTCCAAAACAATTACAATAGTATTAATAATGTCAAAGAATACTGATTGTATCACCAAAACAAATATAATAATAGTAATGAAAAAAAAATTGAACTAGTGTGAGAATTACCACATTGTGAAAGAGAGACAAAGTGACCACATGGTGTTGAAAAATGTCACCAATAGACAAGATTGATGCAGCCTTGTCATAAACCTTCCATTTGTGAAAAATACAATATCTGCAAAGCGCAGTAAAGTACAGCACAATAAAATAAGTTATGCCTGTATATCCAAAGGAAATAAAATCATTATGTTGTAACACTATTTGCATTCACTTGTTTGCTGCAGGTTTATTCACAGTAACCAATATATGAAATCAACCACAGTGTCCATCAATGGATGAATGAATAAATAAAGTGTGGTATATATACATGAGGGAATAATATTCAATATTTTACAATAGGAAATCCTGTTATTAGTGACAGCATGGATGAACCTGGAGGACATTATTTTATGTCATACCAGCCAGGCAAAGAAAGACAAATACCACGTGATCTCACTTATATGTAGACTCTAAGAAAGTCAAACTCATAGAGACAGAGAATAAAATGATGGTTACCAGAGGCTGGAGATTGGGGAGATTAGGAAGACATTGTTCAAAAGACACAAAATTTCAGTTAGGGATGGAAAAAATTACTTCAAGAGATCTATTGTACATCTTGTTGACTGTGGTTAAAAGTAATATATTGCACACTTGAAAATTGCTAAGAGAATAGATTTTAAGTATTCTCATCACAAAAAAGCTAAGTATGTGATGTAATGCATATGTTAAATACCTTAATTTTGCCATTCCACAATGTATACATATATGATAACATCATGTTGCATACCTTAAATATGTAGAAATTTACTTGTCAATTAAAAAAATTTAGATATTAGTATTTAACCAAAACAAGGATCATAGAGAAGCTCTCAGATAACAGATGTCTTTCAGACATCAGTGCCTCAAAAAGACACTAAAGTAATATTTGATGACCATATATTCTGAAAGGAGTTAAATGGAAAAACTCCTAATACTAAGTCTGTAGTTAATTTTTCACATCAATATGGTTCCAGGATGAAATTTCAGTCAAAATTACAAATAGAGGTCAGGAGCTGCAGGTCATTATAGTGAAATTTTCTCAGAGAACAGTCAATCTAGACAAGAAAGATCATCTTCTTAATTAAAGGACTAAATTAACATATTCATTCTTGTTTATTTCTAAGAATTACAAATGTAAGTTGCATTTAGAGTATTTACTGTTATCATAGAAAATTTACTTTATTGTGGGGAAAGTAATAACTTTCTCTTAATAAGAATCTCAGTAAGGTCACCAAAATAATTTATTCTTCCTTTGATATTCCTTTTAACTTAATAGGTTTTTTGAAAAGAATAATTCAGGAATAATAGTGTACTTATCCCACAGAGATACTACCCTTTATATGTTGTCTATCATAGTAAAAAACAAAAACTATATTTAAAAAATCAAAGAGCAGTGGATCTTTCAGAAACAAGATTATATTAGAAACACAATGACTTTTATAACATTTTTCCTTTTCATTGATTTGATTACTTACTGCTTTCAAACATATGCACTATGTGAAACAACTTCAGTATGTGAGAGACTTGGGCATGACCAGAGAGATGGAATACAGCCTATCTAAGTAAATATCTAGATAACCTAAATTTCAAAAAAGCTTTATAATAAGGTGGTAGCAAGCTCTCCAGTAGAAGAAGATAGCCAGTTTCTTCTGTCTTTGTGTAGTACAAGCCTAAGGATTTTGAACTCAATTGTCAAGGCCAAATTATGGCAACCATGTACTGGGATGTTGAGGGAATTATCGTGATTGACTACGAGCATCTTCAATCTGACAGTGAAGTATTGGAGTGACCTATGGAGTGAAGTACAAAAGGCTATCAAGGAAAAGTCTGCTGATGTCCCATTACAACCAAAGTTACCAACGATTGCTGAAAAAGCAGCAGCTAACCATGCCAATTACAGTCAAATGTCAAGACATACTTGGTAATATCTTTAGAGCAATTGCTAAGAACATATTAAATTACCTAATGGCAATCTAATGATTTATATTGGAAAAATCAGACTTTTTAAGAATTTTCAGGATTTCAATGCTGACAGTAAATTTAAGAAATTATATTACTTAAAGATAAGATTTCAGTAATTGAGTGACATTCTGGAAACTTGCCCATTTTTACTTCTAAGTTGGTGACATATTAAGTCAAATTAATGATGCTTATTACCCTACTGATCACTACATGAAATAATGTCATTATTCCACAAGTAATCAAATTTGAGAAAGAAACAAAATCTAACACGAATGGCTTATGGCACCATTCTAAGTGTAACAGTTATCAGGGAGATAACCAAGGTATTACAACAATTTTTATCTTACTTTTAAAGAATGGCATTTAAAATTTTTCTATTTCAATTTTGGAAAAGTGTCAGAAGGCAATACTTTAGGTGTAGATTCAATTTTCCAGGTCTGGGATATAAGGAACTCTAAATTCTAAATTTCAATATTTGCCAGTATACTCACGACAGTCATCAGGTTCATCAGATCCATCACCACAGTCATCCACGGTGTCACATTTCCACCAGAATGGAATACATTTGTCAGTTTTGCAACGAAACTTAAAAAAGAAAAAAAGAAAAAAAAATGTTGAAGAACCCAGTGCATATATAATGGATAATTTAAAATTTGGCAACACAGCCTAGTCTACTTTTTTGCTGCAGATGTGAACAATGGTGATTTTGGAAAATTCCACAATAGGAACTAAATACACAAAAAGCCACAACGTGATCTTCCAGGAGAGGATACTGCTCAGGAAAACCTCTTGAGATGACCTGCAAACACAGACAATCTCTCACATTTACATGTTTTCTGCAGAGCTACTTGGTTTTTGTGGTTGGTTAGTTGGCTTGTTGGTCGAGATAGGGTCTCGCTCTGTCGCCCAGGCTGGAAGGCAGTGATGTGATCTCAGCTATCTGGAACCTCAACTTCTTGGGCTCAAGAGATTCTCCCACCTCAGCCTCCAGAGTAGCTGGGACTATAGGTACATGCCACCTCGCCCAGAAAATTTTTATATTTTTTGTAAAGATGAGGTTTCACCATGTTGCCAAGGCTGATCTCAAACTCCTGGGCTCAAGTGATCCTCCCACCTAGGCCACCCAAAGTGCTGGATTACAGGTGTAAATAAATCACGGCCCCAGCCCTAAAGGGCTACTTGTACACTACAGCAGCAGAGATGAGTAGTTGCTACAGAGACCCTGTGGCCTGAAAAGCCTACAATATTTACTATCTGGCCCTTTACAGGAAAAATTTGGCAAACACTAAATAGGGCTAAAAGCTATCAGGAATATCAGGAAGAGATATCCAGTTGAACTAATTTAGGTAATTTGAATTAATTTAATTTAATTGCATTTTATTCAGAATCTTGGGCAATTCAATTAACATCTCTTAGTCTGTGTTCTTTAGCCACCAAATGAGGATCTGAAGATAATCTGCAGTATCTTTTCCAGCTCTGTCATGCTGTGATTCCATAAAGATTCCTGAACACTGAAAATACTGCCTTTAGCCATGATGAGTATGGGCCCCACATAAATTTTAAGAATATCTCTTTAAAGCAGTTGAGGCCAACACAGTTCTTTTCATTAGAATTCCTAGTAAATACACATGATCTTTTAGGACAAAGAAAAATTCTGATCATTTTTTAAAAAGAGGTAAAAATAAGGCTCAACATTTTTTTTTGGCTGACTTATAAAAAATGAAGGCACAGAAAAAAACATGTAATGAAACTTGTTCTCCAGATTACCTAAAAAAAAAACTTTTCACTAAAATATTTATTAATATGTTTTATTTGTTGTATTATCCTTTCCACTTGAAACAGCTAAACAAAAAGTCATGAGAAAGGTAATAATTCTATTATTTACAGAAATGGAAATTTTAACTCCTCCCTTTAAAAATTAACTATCAAGTGGCAGATTAACATTAGAGAAAGTAAGTGAATTGTTATATGGCAATATTTATTTACTTACAGGCTATTTAGCACACAAGTGACTTGATACTGGAGACAAACTACAGGAAGTTATTATTGCATATCACTTTTATGAGGAAGGTGATTTGAACCCAAATGTAGCTGCTGAGACAGAGTAATTATTGTTCCTACTAACTTCATTATTGCCCAAATATAAACAGTGACCAAAAAGCTCAGTTAGTTTATGTTTTAGTAATCTATTACCGTAAACTAATTATTTTCTCAGTACCATTCAGATAGAAGAAACTAAAGACAAAAATCTCACTTTCCATACAGAGCACATTCATCTGGAGCAGCTGCCACTAAAAAAATTCACTTGAAATTAGTTAAACCAAGCGGTATATAACGTTTAGTCAATTTCTCCTGGTATATCAAATTATTTTCCTCTTCAATTTAGTAGAAGTTCAATGAAAAGCATATATCACAATATTCATCTAGAATTGAAAACATTTCTAAATGTTGAGATGACTTTCTAAAAGTTATTAACTTCTTTTAGAAGTGTTTATGTTGTTATTCCCATATAAGTGACTAACAGCCAGCTGGCATTTTTCTTAGCATGTTACATACAAGAAGGATTTGTAACAGAAAACTATAGCCTAAGTTTAATTATTGCTAATGAAAATAGATTAGCAATCCAAAGCCTTGTTCATTTAGAATACTGTTACTTTCTTCAAATAAGAGATTATTTGATGTTGGCTTTTGCTAAATTTGTCTGGATATGATGGGGTGAATTCATGATAGATTTACATCATTTAAAAAATATGAGTGTGAATTTTTTCTCCCAGTGGCAATACAAGAAGGAATAGAGCTCTATGAATCCAATGGGAGATCTAACCATTCAACTGATTTTTCCATATTTGCTTAGCTTGTACATGTCTGTTGTGTGTGTGTGTGTGTTTTTTTTTTTTTTTTTTATAAAATAGGAGTGGAGAAAACTTATCTTTATAGATAGTGACTGTCTGGGGATATGAGGGAAAGCAGTTACCCTTAACATTAAAATTTCTAGTCATTACAATATATTAAAACACATTAGTATGAGAACATCAGGTCTCCTGAGTATCCTCAAAGTCCAATTATGACTGGAAAAATATCTAAATTGTATGTATTTTTAAATTCACTAAATGAACCCAATTTAAATAAACATGAACTGTTGGAATTATATATGATATAATGATTTTGCTCTTCTTTTGACTTTGAAAATAACATTAAAGGGTTTTGAGTTAAGGGAGGCCAGGGTAAAATATACTTATCTTATTTTTCATGTTAATCAATATTTTATTCTCACAGGAAGATCTCTTCTATTTCATGTCTTAGCTTCATTTTTACCCACTTAAATTCAGTAACTTAAAAAAGATTAATGCTAAATATAAATATAAAATAGTCTTCATCATAAATGTTCTCTAAGACTAATATCATCATAAAATAAACTGTAGACTGTAATTATCACCCACAAGTAAAAGCTATAAAGAACCTACTAAATATGTGTCTACTAATATGAATACAGGGATAAAATGCAATCTCAATATGGTAAAGTTTAGTTGAAACAAGAAAAGTCTCCATTTTAAAGCTTAAGTGAAGCCATTATTAAGTTGACTTTTTTCCTAAAATGATTTTCATTAAATATTTGAAATGACTAGTGTTATATGAATTGAACTTAATCTTAATTTTTACTAGATTCTCAGATTATGTTTTCAATCCTAATAGAATTCTTATTGATGTGATTTGCCTGTTTGTTTCTAAAATAATACTATTTGGGGAACATGTCATTTGTTGACAATCATTAGATGATAAATCAAAATCCCTAAGTAAGAATAAATTAAGAATGCAAAATTTTCATCAGGATGCTTACTAGCATGATTCTTAACTGCCTAGATTATTTGCTTCCTTTAAAGGTCTACCTCACTGAAAATCATGTTTCTACAAACTGATTTTTCTCCAAGAAGTATACAAGAGATATATTTTCCTCTCATTAGATCAGAAAAGAATCAGAGGTAAAATGGCCTCATAAACGAGATGAGTTACAGGGATAACCACTAACAGTTTGCATTACCTGTTCTTCATGAACTTTTTTTCTTTCTTTTTTTATTTGTTTTTATTTTTTGAGACAAGAGTTTCACTCTGTTGCCTAGGCTGGAGTGAGTGTCATGATCTTGGCTCACTTCAGCCTCCGCCTTCTGGGTTCAAGCAATTCTCATGCCTCACCCTCCCAAGTAGCTGGGATTACAGGTCCTTGCCACCATGCCCAGCTAATTTTTAATATTTTTTAGTAGAGACGAGGTTTCACTACGTTGGCCAGGCGGCTCTCCAACTCCTGACCTCAAGTGATCCACCTGCCTCGTTCTCCCAAAGTGCTGGGATTACAGGCGTGAGCTACCGGGCCTGGGCAATTAACTTTTTCCTTGAAGATGAAACTAATGAAGTGATACCTCCTCCTTTTTTGTTGTTTTCAGAAGTATAGTTGAAAAGTATTGTACACATTTGGATTTGTTTGTTCTGTCTTGCTATTGTTAAGTTTCTAAAAATTCGTGATAGACTATTGGGGGTATTTAAAAATTATAAATATTTTAGTGTTGTCATCATGGAAACCAAATTGGGAAATAATTTTATTAGATAAATAATTCTTTCAGGGTGAGTTAGGTTTTCATTTATTTGACTAATCTAATTTGTTGGCATTGGATAAACAGTTATAGGTTTTCATATATAATATTTGAAAAGTGTTATCCCTTTGATGCCTGTAGTGAGGCTGATGTTTTATTCTCTGTGCCTTGCTATTTGAGATGTTCATCTGTGCTTCAAAGAATGCTGTGATTTTGTTCTATTTTTAGTTGGCTATTAAGTCATCGCCACTGTAGTGACTCAGGCAGGCATCATCTCTACTAAGCCAGCGACAGCCTTACTTTTGGGCCTCAGCAGACTGATATATGTATGATCATTCCAAAGCAAGGGACCAAAGATTATTTTAGAATAACCTGGATGGAGGTTACCTGAAAATTTGACTAAATAGCACCAATAGTATTAATAATTCTATTTTAAAATATTAAAAAACGTGATTTCTCTCTTTAATTTTACCACTAGGAATAATTCAATTGCTAATTTTATCTCTCATACTGACTTACATTTCCAGCTCTTTAAAAATAATATTTTTATTACACAAATACTCAGGGACTTATAATTAGAATAACACATTTTGTAATAAAAGCAGAGTCTGTGGCTTGTGCTTTCAAAGAGCGGTCAGAACCTCTTGAGGGCAGCTCACACTAATTATATACATAACTTTTTAATGTAAATTTCGGCTGCAGTATAGGGCAAGAGTAATAATAACAACACCTACTATGTACCAGGAACTTTTCCCATTTAATCTGTATATGGCATAGAAATATTATAATCCCATTTAAAAGATGAGAAAACCAAGGTACCAAGAAGTAACAAACTCAATTTAAAGCTGAGTCTGCATTATAATCACAAAAGCTCTGGCTTCAGAGTCTATGCCCTTAACCTCTACACATTCTGGCTCCCTGAAAAAGTTCTAATTGTTGTTATTTATGCAGTTCTTTCATGTATGATACTCCTAAATCTAATCTGAAAGGCAAGCTGAGCTAAATTTAGCTTCTCCATTTTGAAGATAAAAACAATCCAAGAGAAATTCAGTCTCTTGCAATGAAATCATTGCTAGTAACTAGAAAATCAGCAAACTCAAACATAGAATTCTAAAAATACATTTAGTCATTTTAAAGACAAAATATAGTTTGACAGTTTTATCTTAAATCCAACAAGATAGTGGCTCACGTGTTACAAAGTACAGTTTTACAATGTCATATGACTATTGTCCAAAATTTGAAAGTAATAAAATCAAGTCCATGCAACTACCATACAGTAGACAAGTTAACTCCTGGGATATCTTCAACTGAGAATAATTAAGTTTTAAAGAAAAAGAGGTTTCAGAAGAAAGTTATTTTGATCACATGATTTATTTTAATAAAAACAAAATCTAGAGACTTACTCTCTATTGAATTTATCTTTCCCAGATCACCTACTCTAAGAAATGGAGAGTGGGGACAGTGACATGGAGCAGATTATCTTGAGAGATTTCCTGCTCTGTTTAAACTCCACCTCCCTTTACCCACTTAGGATTTGAGTCATTATTTATGTGGATCTGTGAAATAATTTTTTCTTTTCTTTCTCTCTCTTTTTTTGTTTGTTTGTTTCCTTTTTGGCCTTTATTTATTCTTCCTAATAGCTAAGGTCCCATTTTAATGAGATGTTATAGTGTTTTCCTTTATTCTGTGACCATCTCTACAATGTATGGAATGATCATTCAATGTTATGCTAAACAAAAGAGCTGATGTTTCACCATACACTCTATAATAAGATTCCCAGACCTCCACTCACCTGGCTGGCTGTGCAGTTGGATAAGCAAGTCCTATTATCAGCTGCCAGATAGAAGTTAGTGGGACATGCACAAGTGTGGGTTTTTCCAGGGGCTAAAAGGCACAAATGACTGCAACCACCATTATTTATCATGCAGAGATGTTTGGAGACTAAAGATAAGAAAGAAACAACAACAACAAAACAGGATAATCAAGACTAATAATATAACATGGGATTAGAGATAGGACTTTTAAGCTGCATAACTTGAATTAGAATAAATCTTTGTACTCAAGAACTCATCAAGACTATAAATATAATTTTACTTTGTCACAAATGCTACTCATTGTCCATTGACATTAATTCTACCATTCAATAATTTTAAAGGTGCATTTCTACAAAACAAAAATTTTAGTAGAAAAAAACTGTCCATGAGAAAAATAAACAAAGACTAGAAGCATTTTGGATGAAGACAAACATATGTTCAGAAATACAAACATAAAATAAAACAATGAAACAATGATCTACAACTACTAGTGTAATGACTTTGCTTTATAGGCCGGATAGGTTTTTTTAAGGAAAATAATCAAACCTTTATTTCACAAGGCCAGATGAAATTCCTATTAAACATATGCTGAAGAAAACTTGATAGAGTTGTCAGTTTTAAAACCCTAGAGCTACTTAAGCATAATTCCTCCTACTCAGCATTTCAGAAACTAAGGATCCTCTATTTTGTAAACAAATTATTTCAAGAATACAGTCTTCACTTATCTGACTAAATGCATTATTATCATTTTAGCTTAATATGAGTTGAACAAATCCATAATTCTTTGTCCTATTATTGAGCTTCTAATCATATGCCTTAAGAGCAGTACTTCATATTGACTGAATTCTTCCATAAAGTGATGCTAAATAATTAAATCTAGTAATCTTCATCAAAAATAAAATTACATTTAACCTTGAAATAATAAAAAATGGAATGTTACTGAAAGATGTTAATGCATTTATGGAAATCATGGAAAGAATAATTACCATCAGGTTGTCTATAAGAATGATACACCTGGATATCTGTGATGGCATGCCATGAGTAAATCAGTGAGAGTCTGTCTGCTCCCGATGTTTTATGGGCACGGCTGAGTGACTTGGTTTTCCCATCAGTCCAGTAGATGTAGTCTTCAAACAATGTTAGTGCAATCACCCCTGGAATATCTTGATTAGGGACTGTAATAGGAGATGGTAAGATTAATGTTCAGTCTTGGAAGACTGCCAGTTAAAATATTCAATACTACATGGGCTGACAGATACAACTGCTACATAACTTCGTGTGAATAATTGCTGTGACAACCTGTCAGGCCAGCAAAGTTCTTTATTACCAGTTAAGAGAATGCAGGATTGGGCACAGGAGCTAGCTTTGCTCAGATTTAGCTTGGTTCAACCACTGGAAAAAAAAATGAATGTGATTCTTTCACCATTAAAGCCTGCTTCACCAGAAACAAATACCATCCACCATTTTAAAATTCATAATTGATATATTTATGTGTGTGTGTGTGTATGTGTGTATATACATATACATATACATATTTACATATATACATATATATCTCCTTCTGGTTGTTCTTAACTTAAATACCTAAATCTAAAGATCATTGCCCTACTTTTTTCACATGTAAAATGATTAAATTATAGATCCTGGAAGAAATGTGTCTACTACCTGGAAATAAAGTGGTTATGAAACTACTATAAACCTTTTCAGCCACTGAGATTTTATGAGCACTTTTACTTGCAAGGTGAGATGGGATGGGGTAGAGGGAAATAAGTGTGGCAGATAATAATGTATTATGCAAATTTAATAGTCATAAAACAGTTTAGTTGCAGATTAAAAATGTTTTATAATTATTCTTCCTGATGTTTAAATGTAAACAGTAGAGTGAGCATCACAAATGTGAATTACTCATTTGAGTGAATCCAGGGTCCTATCCAGTAAATAAGATATGGTAAATCTGTTCAGTGGTTTGGGTTTAAATAATTTTAAACTGTGATAGAGTTTTCTTTGTGCTTCTATTTTCTCAAGACTGACAAATAATAAATGGAGAAGATGAAAATTCCCTAACTTATAAAAACGTACTATTTCTCTGTACTAATTTTGAGATGTACTTTTAGAAATTCTGACATGTTCATTAATGAGAAAAGGTACTATATTTCTAGTAATATTTACTTCTTTCTTAATTAGATTTTAATGACTGAAAATTAATGTTTGGCATATTCCTCATTCAGCAGTAACTGAAAAACTATCAAAATTTCAAATACAATTTACTATTTATAGGAAGCTTTACAGCCTTATTTTTTAAATGCTGGGTAAATTTATATTATCAACTAAAGTAAATATTTTAAATTTTTTGATTTTTTATTTGTATTCTGATAGGCCAAATGTTATCAGATAATTCACTACAACTAAAAGACAATAGAAATAAAAGAAATAAAATTAGAAACCTCAACATAAGTCATATATTAAGTCACTGAATACTTTCATAATATAAAATCTAGCTAGAAATTCATCTCAGAACAGATACTAATCATATGAAGGATGTAAACATTTCAAAAATCCAGATTTGTACACTTTAGATGTTTTGAATTTTGATGTAAAAATCTAGATGTGCACACAACTTAATTATCGATGTACTCTTGCAGACATAGATACCATTACTAAAATAATAAGTGAAATTAGAATGAAAAGGACACTTTACTATAATTAATTATGTGTGAGCTATTTATATAAACTATTCCCACCATTTTTCTTTGACTGTATAAATTCATACAAAAAAGATAAATGTGGCAAAATGTTAATAATTAATTGAATCTTGGTGATGGGTGATTATTATAAGAGCCTTTCACCTTATATGTAGATTTCAAGATTTTTAGAATAAAATAAAAATTTACAGGAAATGTTGAAAGCCTCAAAATATTTAATGTGAATCTCGTTAGATGCAAAGGTGATAGTTAAATCATTAAATATGGGCTCAAAAAGTTAATCATCATTTTTAACAATCTCAATCCATAAGAGATTCAGTTTACTTTTGTAAGAAAAATAAAGTTATTGTAAGAATCTGCCAATTAGCATTTCAAAAGGAAGTCTTTTTAATTATTCAGCAGTAACTACAGGTGATATTTATTAAGCACTTGGGTGCACAAGAACTAGGCCAGCGGGAGAGGCAATTTATATATTTTATTTTATTTAATACTCTCAAAAACTCTATTGTGCAGTAGTAATGATATGGTTTGGCTCCGTGTCTCCACCCAAATCTCATGTTGAATTGTAATCTCCAGTGTTGAGGGAGTGATCTGGTGGGAGGTGATTGGATCATGGGGGCGGATTTCTCCCTTGCTATTCTCCTGCTAGTGAGTGAGTTCTCACGAGATAAGTGTGTAGCACTTCCCCCCTACACTCCCTCTCTCCTGCTGCCATGTGAAGACATGTTTGCTTCCTTTTTGCCCTTCTGCCATGATTGTAAGTTTTCTCAGGCTTCCCCAGCCATGTCTCCTGTACAGCCTATGGAACTGTGGGTCAATTAAACATTTTTTTCTTTATAAATTACCTAGTCTCAGATAGTTCTTTAGGGCAGTGTAAGAATGGACTAATACAAGTAAAGTTCATTTTGCAGATGAGGAAACTTAGATGTGGAAAATTTAAGTAACTTGGCAAAAGAGGGGTAGAAAAAAACTAGTAAATAAAAGTACTGGTATTTGAATCTTAGCTCTCTCTGGAGTGTGCTCTCTGGCCATGTGATACTCTTCCACCATGGGATGACACCGGATGCCAGGGCCATGTTCTTGAATTTTCCAGCCTCCAGAACCATGAGCCAACTAAACTTATTTTCTTTGTAAATTACCAAATCTGTAGTATTTTTTCATAGCAACAAAAACCAGACTAAGACAGGAAGTACATGGAGCTAATAAAAAATCACCATGAAATGTGAAGGTATGAAAGAAACATTTAACAAACAAACCCTTAATTAATGCTGAGATGTCGTTAAATTTAGGGGAAAAGTAGTCACTGTTGCCTAAAAATGATGATGACTATCATTTTTAAGAGAAAAGTTATATGACCAGTTGTCTGTATAAAACTGCAGTTGTCTATATAAAACTGCATTTGCTTAACTAACAGAGAAATGTGAAAAGTACATTTAATAAATCTTTCATTTACAGGTATTCAGTAGACACACAAAAAAGAATAAACAGAGCTGCTGTGTGGGCTGTAGTTTCACAGGTACTGACTATATATCTAAAGCCTATTTAAAAGCTGCTTACTATAGTTAAGTCTCTATTCAGTGTAACAGCATTATGTATTGTACTGTTTCCAGAATTCCACTCAAGCACTAGGTTCCTAATTTTTATTTCATAGACTATATCTTTCAGAAGAAAAGGGTTGATATATGGCAAAAATAAATAAATCAAAGAAATACTTCTTTTGGGAGTTTTTCCCTGAGTCGAGTTTGATGCTATCCTGCTAAAGCTCAATGTAATTATGACAAATAGAAAAAGTGGCCATCGCTTGAACCCGGGAGGTGGAGGTTGCAGTGAGCCAAGATCGCACCACTGCACTCCAGCCTGGGTGACAGAGCAAGAGTCTGACTCAAAAAAGAAAAAAAAAAAAAAAGAAAGAAAGAAAGAAAAAGAAAAGGTGGCTATCCAGAACATGGTTTTGGCTTAACTGTTGCCTCACAGCTTGAATATACTCTATTACAATACTCTTGATTATTCATTTTTTTAGTTAGCATTTATCATGCTAAATAAGTATATTTCTGGGTAATATCATTCTAAATTTGTTTTTCTGACTAATCTACTTTAAATACTTAAGAAACGAATGCCCCAGTTACACCGTTCTCAGCTTTTTTTGAGTTAAAATCTCATAGTTAATGTTATGGGAGGATACAGCATTAGGATATTGGTAGCTTTGACAGGGCTTTCTGCACTGAGTTAGTATGTCAATAGACATTTCACTAGTAATACTATCTTATTTTCCATTCTTTATCTCCCCATATTTACTTTAAGAATCTAAATGTTATCTTAAAATATTACTTTATGCCCAGCAATCACTGTAATTTATTATTTAAAAATGACTATAGGCCAGGCGTGGTGGCTGACACCTGTAATCCCAGCATTTTGGGAGGCCGAGGCAAGCTGATCACCTGAGGTCAGGAGTTCGAAACCAGCCTGATCAACATGGTGAAACCCCGTCTCTACTAAAAATACCAAAATAGCTGGGCATGGTGGTGGGTGCCTGTAATCCCAACTACTCAGGAGACTGAGGCAGGAGAATCCCTTGAACCCGGGAGGCAGAGGTTGCAGTGAGCTGTGATCGCGCCATTGCACTCAAGCCTGGTTGACAGAGCAAGACTCCATCTCAAAAAATAAAAAAAAAATAAAAGGTTATAAAGTCTTTATTCATATTTTCAAAAGTAAAAAATAGGATATAGAATGCAATCACCAAATTCTGCTATTACTTTTATGAAGGAATCAAGTTTACAGAGTAACATGAGCTTAGAATTGACTTACTTGAGTTATAAAGAGTTTATATATTGATTTGAAGGAAATACCTAAACAATCAGTGATCCATTAAGGTCAACTTATGCTTCACCCTATGACTATGTTTGGAAAGGTAATCCCCTAAAACTTTAAAATTTACAAACATATCAAATCAAACATTAAATCCTACTATCTTTTTCTTTTTAATATATTTTAAGACACTCCCATTTTTTAAAAGAATTCTTGCTGCCATTATCCCAAGTAAAGGCTCATATCCCCTCACACCAGGAATACTGCAAAATTATTCTAACTTGTCACCTTATTTTTAATCCCTTCCAATCTCTTTTATATTAGTCAGAATTGCTGCAGAAAATAGAAAACATATCTTTAAATGATAGTTGCAGAGAGTTTAATAAAGAATTATTTATAGAGATGGACATGCAAAGGTACAAATCATGCATTGCTTTTTACCAGGTCTGTTACCAGAAGCTAGTGAAAAATGCAGCTGAGGGGAATAAAGCCATCCAACAAGAGCAGTGGTCTTTAATAGACAGGCTCAGCCACTGCTAAATCATTATAGTTGAGCGTAGATGGAAAGGGGATGAATAAATATTCTGACTTCCTTTTCTGTCTGCTATCTAATGTCCTTGCAATGCAATTCATGGAGGAAATCCAACTTGATGTGGAAAGGTAAAAGAGCCTGGGTGAGGTAGTCCACATAAGTCAGCTTTCTGGCACAGGAAGAGGGCAAAGAGGCAAAGCCAGGATAACTAGAACTCCCACTAACTAATATTTCTCATATTTTTTTCATCTAACATATATCTTCCCAAATCAAAAAGCATCCATGACACCATTCTCTGAGTAATATGGTGCAGACTATCTAGCTTGACTAAAACACCATCTGTCTTCAGAAGAGAGAACAAAGTATGCTCATTGATCCCCTCTTTTGAGAGACCCTGACACTAATAATTTCCCCTGATATTTTTCTGGAAGAATAAGAGCACAATGAGATGTGTAGAGAAGATAGGGCATGACTTAAAGTAGCATAGTGTGAAAAACAAAAAAGAAGTGATGAGAAAGAAAAACAATTAGCAGTGAAAAAACGGGGTGAGATTAAACAAAGGCTATGAAAAACTGCAGTCTGGTAAACAGGATAATATTAGATGGCGGTAGAAAGTGATTTAACGTGACAAAGAAAGTGGAAGATTCATGACAGTGGCCAGTGGGAGGGTGGGTGGATAATGGTTTCTAGTTGATGAAGAGTGACAAAGAGTGGGTGGGTGGGAAAATGGCCAGGGTAGGCTAATCTCCAGAGAAGGATCGTGGAGCCAGAGCTTTAGTTAAAAACACCTGGGAAAGAAAGATCATGCTTTATATAACCTTAGGGCCAAGGACATTTGTTCTCAGCTAATAATTATGTATGTCTCCTTTGGTGTTACTGTGCAAACCATTTAAAAAAATTATTTCCTGAAACCTACAACGAGCAGCTCTGAAGTGTTTTGTTCAATTTTGGCCTCTGTGAACATTTTGCCTGCTTACCCTTTAATGCAATCCTACTTGATAGTAACAAACAGTATCACAAATAAAACTTAGGCACCAAGGTCCAAAATCAATTTTTCAAAACAAATAAAAGCATTAAGAAATGACAGGAACATGAAGGATGGCCAACATTTCCAACTGTTATGATAGAATATTGAAAGTTTATTTTTCCGATATTAAATATCATAGTCCTTCAATGAGATCTTGCTGGGATGGAAAGTAGCTTTTCCTTTTAGTATAGGTCACAGTGCAGGAAGATCAGAGCTGACAGTGCCTGAAAGTAGATTATATGCTAACTTTTGAAGAGTGATATTGATCAAATGTCCAAAATAAACTTGTGTCTCTCCTTAGTATAGTAGTTTATACTGGGACACTTAAATAAGTGTAATACGTAATGTGGAAGCATAGAAATTAATACTGTGGCCAGGAGTGGTGGCTCACGCCTGTAATCCCAGCATTTTGGGAGGCTGAGGTGGGCAGATCACCTGAGGTCAGGAGTTCGAGACCAGCCTGGCCAATATGGTGAACCAACATCTCTACTAAAAATACAAAAATTAGCCAGGCGTGGTGGTGCATGCCTGTAGTCCCAGCTACTCGGGAGGCTGGGGCAGAAGAATCGCTTGAATCCGGGAGGCAGAGGTTGCAGTGAGGCAAGATTGTGCCACTGCACTTCAGCCTGGGTGACAGAGCAAGACTTGTCTCAAATAATAATAATAATAATAATAAATAAAATAAAAAAAGAAATTCATACTGTATTTAGAAATCTTTTTCAGATTTAAGCCATTATTAGAGCTGAAGGCATCCATGGCCCATTATTTTCTAGTATTTCTTGCCTCCACATTCTCATTTCAAATAATATGTACTCTCCATATAGATTAGGAATATTAGATTTAACATCATTTAATCTCTTCCTTTCCCTTACCTATTTTTAAATTGCTTATAATAGAAGGTCAAATATAGCCATTTCAATATTCACCATCCAAAGAGTATTCCTGTTAATGAATGTGAAGTTTTATAAAGCAGACTGTCTAAACTGTAGTACACTTGTTTTGAAAACAAGACTGACTAAAAATACTTTAGTAGGATGATGACAATTCTCTCTAACCTGTGAAGTAAACAAAGCAACATTGCTTCATGCACTTGGTAAAGTATATTCCTTTTGCTTCGAAACTTTCTGGGCCATTGTGCTAGTGATAAATCCTTCACAGTACACAGAAATGTGATAGTCTGAGCCTGACTATAAGTACTTACTATAAGAATTATTATATTCAACACACATATACATAGGAATTTCTTTGTTAGAGAGTCTTAATAAAAACTGAAGCCTTTGAAAAGCATTTGCCTCTGGGACACATATCAAGTATAGTTGTTTACATGAGTTTAGTATCTGGTCTTCTCATATTCCTGCAATTATAAATATATTTCTAAAATAAAAACGTAGAAGAGTGTAACATATTACAAGCATTTTCAAATGTGTTGGCATTAGACCATTCTGGCATTTCTACAAATAAATACCTGAGACTGGGTAATTTATAAAGAAAAGAGGCTTAATTGGCTCATGGTTCTTCAAGGTTTACAAGCAGCATGGTGCTGGCATCATCTGTTAGGCCTCTAGGGAGGCGTCAAGAAACTTATAATCATGACAGAGGAAGAAGGGGGACCAGACACATCACATGGCAAAACAGGAGCAAGATGCACGTGGAGAGGTGCCACACACCTTTAAATGACCACTATCATGAAGACAGCACAAACCATAAGGGATCTGCCCCATGACCCACCACCTCCCACCAGACCCCAACTCTAGCACTGGGGATTATGATTCAACAAGAGATTTGGACAGGAAAAAATATCCAAACTGTATCAGTGTTCTAGGTAGTCCCAGCAAAAAGGAAGAGTAAGTGAGAGAATTGATAGAACAGTCCTCCTCTGTCCTAGATTCAACCTCAGCCAAATTCCCGTTAAGAAATGTTAGAGAATCACTGAATGAATAGAAGCCCTATTCTATGAATAAGAACAATGCACAATAGTCTGGCAAAGCAGCATGCCTAAATTAGGAAGTAACTGGACCTGAAGTAAACCTACTGATCCCTAATCTACTTATTCTTTTCGCACACTCCACCCCTTGTATTTGGAATAGATGAGGCTGTTGAAAATGACTGAAAACTCAAATGAGGGTAATACTTAAAATGTCCCTATTTTTACAAGCATGTGGCACTCATGACATTTGCAAAAAAAAAAAAAAGAAAAAAACTCCCTAAACATATATGCAAATTTAATGTATTCAAGGGACAAAACTGAAAGACATGATTGACACTGAAATTCTAAGACATTTTAGAAATGGCAGTTAATTTCAATTTATTTTACTGGTTTAGAAACATTTCTATAGTAACTGAATTGTATTTTGCTCCCTTCCATTAACTTTTATTGTATTGTAAACAGCAGCACATCAACACCATTGGTATAAAATACCCTGTGAACTCTACTGTTTGTAATGGACTGTGAATGATAGAATTTTTTTTTCAAAAGTACTAAAATGCAATATCTTACCAAGAAAGAAACACTCTAGAATATTATAAAATAGTGCAGGTCGGGGGGTGGGAAGTATTATTTCAATTTCCTCTTTTCTTTTTTCTTTTTTTTTTTTTTTTGGTGGGCTACAGTGGATATCTAAATTTTCTAAAAATCCAAATGCAAGAGCTATTGGGTTTCGGAATATGTGAACACAAAATATTCTATTTGTCTCTTTCAGTGTTTTTATTTTTGTCTTCAGAACAAATTCTTAAAACATATTTCATGCCATTTCACCAGTAACATGCTGAGATCTAGATTCCTTTTTCCAAAATTAATTAGACTAACACTGCATGGGTTATGATTTAGATTTTTAAATCCAAACACAGAACTGCCCCCTCACAACACAAACTGGATTCCAGAGCAATAAACAAACAATAGAGTTAGACTACAATATTGACACTTTAATATGAGGCTCTTCAGGTCTAGGGGTATAGAAACAGTTATCCTTTAAATGACGAGCTGTAGTGAATATAATTGCTAGAAATTTTAAACAATTTTGCTCACAAAATATAAAAGAGTTCAGTGGTAAACTATAGTTCAGAATCATACCCAACTATTACTGTTCAGAGAAAATTAACAGTTAAGAGTATAATTTTTTCCAATATGCTGGATAAAATATGTACATAACCAACTGACTTAACACAAGGTTAAATAATTTTTTGATACACTGAAGAGTATCCTGAAAAAAACAATTTATTGGAACAAATAAACTTAAAAACTCAAGGTCAAACGTAACTTTTTCTTAGTTCGCCCTTTTGTTATTACTGTTCACACAGTATTTTCAGCCTTTTCTTTTCCAAAATACTACCTACCTGCCTAAAATATCTGAAGTTCAATGGCACAAGCAACCAAAATTGAAAAGAACTAAATCTGAATTTATTTACTTTGATACAAGTGGTCAAAAATAAACTTCAGTCAAAATAGAATTTTCTAATATTTACCTTTCTTTTCATTAAATGGAAAATGAAATCTCTAAGCTAAGGTATATATGCAATGTTATTTCTAAAATTTTTCTCAGGAGATATTTTTTGTTAATAGGCAATCCATTCAGAGAAGGCTATACTTTTTGAAATGCATAAAATCAATAAAAAATCTCAAATTTATAACAAATTTTTTCTTATATTCAGGGAATGTAGTTACTTTAACATAGCAAACTCTAATATGCAACTATCCCACTAAATCATGGTGCTATGGTCTTAACGTTGGTGTCTCCCCAAAATTCATATGTTGACACCTAATATCTCATATAACAGTATTAGGCCTGGTGCAGTGGCTCATGCCTGTAATCCCAGCACTGTGGGAAGCCAATGTGGGTGGAGCACTTGAGGTCAGGAGTTCAAAACCAGCCTGGCCAACATGGTGAAACCCCATCTCTAGTAAAAATTAAAAAAAAAAAAAATTTGCTGGGCCTGGTGGCAGGTGCCTGTTAATCCCAGCTACTTGGGAGGCTGAGCCAGGAGAATTGCTTGGACCCAGGAGGCAGAGACTGCAGTGAGTCGAGATCAAGCCACTGCACTCCTGCCTGGGGGACAGAGGGAAACTCCATCTCAAAAAAAAAAAAAAAAAAAAAGTCTTAAAAGGTGGAGGTGGAGGCTTTGAGAAGTGATTGTCATGAGAATTCTACCCTCATGAGTGAAACTGACACAGAAATTGATTGAATTGTGTTTGCATCCTAGTGTTTTGTGGAAAGCAGAACTCAACAGCAATAAAATAGAATATCTGCCAGAAGAAATCTCTAAGTAAAGTGTTAAAGGAGGTACTTGGCTTTGTTGCACTGCTTATAGTAAAATGCAAGGAGAGAAAGGAATTACAAATGGAATTTATAACCAAAATGAAAGCAGAAAAAGATTTGGAAAATCGTCAGCCTGGCCATCTTGTTAAGAATGAACAAACATTTGAGAGAGAGAATATCAAGGGTGTGGCCAAGGGATCATTTGATAAAGAGATTAGTATAGATGGGTGGAAGCCAGGTGCTATCTATCAAGACAATGTAAGAATGACCTCAAAAGCATTTTGGAGGTCTTCAAGGCTACCCCATCCATCACAGGCCCAGAATGCCAGAGGCTCAGAAGCAGAACAATTTCGAGGCTCTCTTCCCCACCTTTCAGTGTGGTGCTCTTTAGCCAGCCCAGCTGTGGCCCAAGCAGGCCCTGATGCAACTCAGGCTGTCCCTTTGGAAGTCAAATATAGTAAGTCTTGGTGAGGTTCACATACTGCAATTTCCACCAGGATGCAGAGTGCACATGCAGCAAGGGCCTGGCTGCCTTGATCTAAATTTCAAAAAATGCCACAGAAAGCCTTGGGGTTGGGGTAGACAACTGCCACAGTGGTAGGGCCACAGTAGAGAGCTCCTATTATTAGGGCAATGCATAATGGAGCCATGGGGTTGGGCCACTGCAGTGTCCCTTATAGGGCAATGCCAAGCAGAGCTGTGGGGGTGGAGTCACCCGGAAACTTCAGACTGCTAGAGCCACCAGCTTGCAACTTCAGCCTGGGAGAGCCACAGGCATGAGATTCCAACCTATGAGAGGTGGAAAATGGGCTACACTCAGCAAAATTATGGAGGCAGGCCCCCCTGGAACTTTTGGGGCCCAATCGCCACACCAGTGTGTTCAGAAGGCAAAATTTAGAAGATTTTATTCGAGAATATTAATGCTTTCTCTACAGCTTTCCCCTTCTTCTGAGCTCTCACCAGTTATGCTCTTAAGAAAAGATTATCTTGGAGCCTTAAGATTTAATGTTTTCCGTTTTGGTTTTGGTGTTTGGTCAGAATCCATTACCTCTTTCTTCTTTCTCCTTTTTGGAATGGAAATGTTTATCCTATGCCCAGTGCACCATTGTATTTTGGAAACAGATAACATGTCTGATTTTACAGGTTCACAGCAGGAGAACGATAAATCATATCTTAAGTTTCACTCATATCTGATTTAGATAAGATATAGAGAAGACTATAGACTTTTGAGTTAGTGTTGGAACAAGTTAAGAATTTGGGGGCTATTGAGATCAAATAAGTGTATTTTGCACATAAGAAGGACATGAATATTGGGGCCCAGGGATAGAATGCTATGGTCTGAATGTTGATGTCCTTCCAAAATTCTTATATTGGAACCTAATACCCAGTATGACAGTACTAAGAGGCGGGCCTTTGGGAAGTGATTAAGCCATGAGGACTCTATCCTCGTAAATGGGAATGGTGCCCTTATAAAAGAAACTCAAAGGAGCTCACTAGCCCCTTCTGCTGTGAAAGGACACAGCAACAAGGAACCATCTATGAAGCAGACAGTGAGCCCTTTACTAGACACTGATTCTACTGGCACTTTTATTGATCATGGACTTCCCAGCCTCCACAAATGTATGCAATAAATTATCCAGCCAATAGTATTCTGTTAAAGCATCCCAGACAGACTAAGACACAGGGTATACATTTTAAAGTAACATCATTGCTCTTTTCATTTTGAAGAAGACACAAAAAATATTAGGATTTACTGAGATGCATGCTTTCTTTTATAGTAATTATATTCTAGTGGCTTTGTTTTTGTGTGTTTTTTCCTCATATATTATGCAATTTACCTGTCCAATACTTGAATCAATCTGAAAGATTTCAGGTATGGATTCAACTTTATTTGTGTAAGTGTATACTTATGCTATAACTATTAATATTAGAGGCTCTAACAAGTAGGTTTCAATCTTCAATTGTCTGTTCAAAAGCAAGGGTGCTGTGTGAAAACTGGAAAGAAAGCAGTCCCTGGAATTAGGTAGATCTCGGTTCAAATTTTGATTCTCCTGATTACTAGCTCTGTGACTTTGGACAGGTTACTTAATCTCTTTGAACATATTCCCTTGCTGGCAAATGGCTTTAACCGCACTTATTACATATATAGGTTGGTAGAATAATTACAAGAGCACATATTGCATCAAGCACAGTCCCTTGAAATCAGTAGGCTTCTAATAAAAGACTTAGTTCATAAGAGGATGACCCCTGTTCTTGGAATCCCATTAGGCTAAGAAAATGTCTGTTGAAAGACAAAATAAATACTATGTGTAAAATGCACAGTACAAGGTAATGCTCAAGAGTATAGGTTTTCTCCTCCATCATTAATTTGATTAGTTTACAAGTGTTCAACTTTGAAATATGTTAATAATCTTTATGATAACACTCAGGACTGGGGATTGTTTTGGCAGTTTGATATTTTCATCAAGGTTGAATGAGAAAGCATTTAATTATTACAGATTTCCAAACTCTCTCTCTTAGGCTTAAATTAAGGAAGAGTCATTTGAGATTAAAACGTGGAGATTTGGGCCGGGCGTGGTGGCTCACGCCTGTAATCCCAGCACTTTGGGAGGCCTAGGCGGGCGAAAATCAAGAGGTCGGGAGATCAAGACCATCCTGGCTAACACGGTGAAACCCCGTCTCTCCTAAAAATACAAAAAATTAGCCGGGTGTGGTGGAGGGCGCCTGTAGTCCCAGCCCCTCGGGAGGCTGAGGCAGGAGAATGGCATGAACCTGGGAGGCGGAGTTTGCAGTGAGCCAAGATAGCGCCACTGCAGTCTGGCCTGGGTGAAAGAGGGAGACTCTGTCTCAAAAAAAAAAAAAAAAAAAAAAAAAAAAATGGCAAAGATTCTGAAAGTATTGATTGATCCATGTAACTGGAGGCTTAAACTTTTAGTTCTGGACTTCCCTTTCATGTCATATTTTTCAACACCCTTATTTCTACAAATGAGGCAACTGAGGTCCAGGGAATTTAACTACATTGTTCAGGGTTAATAAGCTAGTTAGCAGTAGATCCCATCCCAACCTGACCCAGAGCCTTGAGGTTCCCAGACTTCTTTTAAGATCTTAAAGGTTTGCTTTCTCCAGTTTGAGGAGATCCTTTCACTGAAAGATCAGTACTCCAGCAAAGGCGTATTACTTCTTATCTAAAATCAAAGCCTAAGATTTTCCTAGGAGGGTTTCAGTTTGGGAGTTGTAAGGAATCAAACCCAAATATATGGACCTACAAGAAGAATATTTTTATTCATATATTAGGATCAGTCTGTTTTTGTATAACAGTGTATTTAAAAACTGAATATTTCTACCTGGAGAACACCCTCAAATTGCCAAGTCTCTCACTGGACCTATTCCATGTCTCAAGAGAGAGTAGGAGGAAAGAGTGTCACTTATTTGCGAACTTTATTCTAGTTAAATTATCAGGTTTTCTGAAATGCCTTTTAGGGAAGGGCATAATATAGAATGTTTAAATACGTCTTTAGAATAGCACTTTTGCTCTTAAAATTAACGCATCTCCCACCAAAATAGAGCATCATAACATAGAGATTCTGAATATCTAAATTAGGAGTAGTTTGGCACTATTAATTCTTTTTAAAAATGTACAAATATATGCAAAACTAATAAGTCATCAAATATTGGAATTATTTTCCCCTAGCTAATTCAATAATAATATAAATCATTTACTTAATTTTTATAATGCCACTACCAGTATTTCTAAGCTTACATATATCTCCAATTTGATCTACTACATAACTATTGAATCTAACACTGTATCTCCATTCCCACAGCTATAATCACTTCAAACATTTTCTCCTAAAATATTTTAACAGTCTCTAAATTGGTTGCCCTTCCAGGGTCTTTCATTTCACATGCTGTTGTCAAATCTAATAACAGCACTCCATCAACTAAACACCATCAATAGCTCCCTGTGACCTAAGGATAAATTCCAAATTACTTAGCATACAAGGCTTGTGACAATCTGGCCCCAATTTGCCCTTGTTCATCTAGTGTCATTATCTCCTTCTTATATGACTTCCAGTCATAGGCAAATTGAGTAAACCCCATGCTATTTCAAGACTCTATTACATCTTTGCACATGCTGTTCCCTCTGTGTGAAGACTCCTTCTTACACTTTCCCTCTATGGGGAGCTTTTACTAAATCTCTCAAACTGCTCAAAGATTTTCCCACTTTAGCAGTCTTCAGTACTGCTGCATGCATTTTTGGAATATTTTGCACCTACTTCTTACCCACAATCTAATTTATGTCTTTACCTGCATATTTGTTTTGCCATTTGAGTTATTCTCTGAAGGTAGAGACTCATTCATCTTTACAACACCAGGGGCCTAGCATAGTGCATGGCACAGAAAGACAGGTCAGTAAATATTGAATGAATGAATGAATGAATAAATGAATGATGGGCATAGTTAACAGGAAGAAATCAGAGCAATGAATAAAATAAACTAATGAAGATGTAATTTAAAATATACTGTCTAACTTATTCAGTAGCATGTTTTTTACTGTATCATTATATTATTAATATTACATCATATGTTACTATGGTGAATAACAGTAGAGTGATACAGAGAAATAAAGATTAGGGAGAGGTTCATGTGACTAAGATTGCATCTAAATTTTCCTAAGCTAGTAAATTGACCGATGTATTTTGGAATTTCTTGTTCAGGTTTTCAATGTGGTGTGTGGATTTGATAGGAGGGTGAATTAGGGTAGATCGGGGAGCAAAGAAAGAGGAATGGAAGCTCTCAAACAAATTGTAAGGCACATGTACCTTGGAGATAATCTGAACTTTAAGTCACAGAATTTTTAGAAACCTCAGATATTCTTGGTCTAGACAAATAATAATAAAATAATGCTTCATTTATAAAATTACTCTGTGGTGTAAACTGGAATATCTTTGGGGAAAGAATACCCAACTTTTTAAACCATAAAGTCCAAGGTCTAACTTTAAAATTTGGCTTATGAGAAAGGGCTGTTGTTCTGAAAAGTCTCATATGTTTTTTATATTCTCAAATTACTTTGTCATGACTGGTATGTCTCATCGTTCTGGTTAGCTCAGATTTCAGTTTTAAGAAATATAATAAATGAGAAAAATAATATTGGTCTGGTTTTAAAAAAGTGGCTAGTGATGAAGTAACACAAAAGTTATCGATATAAATGTCTCATTTTCCACCTGCAAATAAACAACTAGGAAACCATAGCATCCTTTGTCTTTATGGGGCAAATGCAAGTAGAATAATCCAATTCCACTTTACAAACATGGCAAATTAATGGCTCTTTCTTTCGTTGATGGTAGAGTTGGCATAATTCAGGCTGGCTCCAATTAGTACCTCATTAGTAACTACCAGATAATTATTGGCCTGCGCTCAGATATTGGCAGGTGCCTGATAAGGCACTTAATGAATTTTTCACTAGTCTTTCTGAGAAAACCTTCAGGAGAAAATATTCTGAAGGCTGCAACTCTACTTTTCTTCCCATTTAAGTCTTGATGCATTTTCAAAATCAAGTTTGAAATTTTTAATAACATCATACTAGACTATCTTTCAGCCAAATATTTTACTATTTAATACATTTAGTACCATTTCTACCTGTTACACATGTCTCTCTATCCAAAGTCACCACCAGTGTTATGATTGACACTTTAACATGCACTTAATTTTGTATTAAGGTTATCAAAGCATTAGTCACCATATAAGTGACATGATTTTTTAATAATAAGTAGGAGATGAAGTCAATAGTTTCTAATAGATCTAATATTTTTAACAATTTTAGCTATTCAGACTTCAAAGACTCAAATGAAAGGCAAATATTTAATGCTGCAGTGTTTTTAAATAGTCACCTACCTAATAACAATATATATATAAATTTTGTTGTACAATGAAATTTTAGTAGAAAGTAATACATATACAACCTCCTAGCACTTTATATGGAGGCTAAAAATGAAAAGGTTTATAGTTACATAGGAAAAATATTGATTGTCACAATAAAACTTTCAACTATGCAACCCAAGAATGAGGCAGAACATTTCATTATTGATTCTTTGGGGGAGATATAACTTTTAAATGCTAGGTGTGATTTCAATCTGTCAACATTCCTTTTGCTGTAATTAAAATCCTAAAGTGTTCTTTAAATAACTTTTCACTTAAATTGCATCCTGATGAGTTTTTTATCTCCATAACTGGAATGTCAACACCTAAGTAAGTGACTCATCCAACTACACTCTTTGTATTACAATGTTCTTACCCTTAAGAAAGCGCCTCTAAAAACTTCCTGTCAACATTACTAGTTAGAAGGATGAAAAGATGTATTTGTTTAAACATCAACTGACAGGAATATAGGTAAAATTATTAAGTGGTGTAACTTTGGTACCTTTTACCTTTTTTCTTTTTAAACTCATTGCTTTATTCCACACTGGAACACACTGGCAGAGTATTACTCGATGATTAAGAATAATCCTCTCTTCCTTACCATTTCTCATCCTTCCCTCCTCCAGGGTTTTTGTCTTAAGCTTAATGCCAGAGAAGGAAGTAACTTGATAAGCTAAACTGAATTAACATGCAGACTTTATTTGGGACCTCGCTTTGAAACTCTTATTTTAAGTGATGTTTGGAAATGTAAACCCCTGATAGCAAAGGTGACACTAGGTTGGTGAAGATCAATAAAAATTCATTTATTTGTTCAGGAAAAAATCTAATTCTTAAAAAGCTACCTGTTACCTAAAACGTTTTGATGTAATTTGAGTCATTTGTGGCTTCTGCTATATCCGTGTCATGTTTAACTATACGTGACATCTTCTCTGTTATATCCTTGTCTGTTACTATTTTGTATGTTAATTATTGTTGCTGCTGTGATTAGGTAACAATAACTTTAGTCATGTACATAGCTTAACTGATAACTTATAAAACTATACTTTTACTCAGTTTTTTAAGAAAATTGAAATCCTAGCAGTTTGCAGTAATAGCCTCATATTTACAAGCAAATAACCTTCTATTTCAATTCAGTTGGGATGCATGTGGATATTAATTTATAAAACTACTGCCCATTTACTAGAAAATCTATTTAGAAAAATAGATTAAAGAAAACATTGATAGTGTAAAATATCTTGTGCATAACATATAATTTTTGAATACATCTAATTCTAATTTACCAATATTTTTATAAAGAAGTATAATAATGTAACCTTAAATTAAATATGTTTTATGAGAGAAAGCATATAAAATAAATATATATTTTTAAATAAATATTTTATGACCTGGTAAAATACTAGAATATTTATGTTACTGGACCAACCTTTGTGTCTATGAGATCCATCCATGTTGCTAAATTCAATGTGATTTTCATCGGCCCAGTAGAGTCTACGATTAACATAATCTATTGTTAGTGCCATAGGTCTAGAAATCTTGGTTTCTATGACAACACTCTGATTGGTTCCATCCATTCCAACACGGCCAATATGAGGATACTCGCAGCAGTCAATCCAATACAAATATCTAGGAAAGAAAATCAATACTGATTTTGTTTACAGATTCTCTGGGAGCAAAACAACAAACAATATATTACTTTTTTGCTCAACTGTTCCCACATTAATCTTGCCATTTTTCTGAATTGCAGCTTTTAAGAAACATCCTTTGATGCAAAATTTCTTATGGTGTTTTATTACACATCTAGTATGATTTGAAATATTCTTATAACTTTAAACATATGTTTATTTTAGAACACAAACTCATATATAACAATATTATATAATAATATCATGTGTTAACCAATTATAGATGTTCAAAACTAATATATGTAAACTTTCAAAAGATACCTATCAATGTTGAAGGAATACAATTATCACTATATATACTTTCTCTTTTGGTGTGTTATCTATGAAAAATTCAAAAGGAATTATGGAGGTGCACATTTTATTTCCTTAATATACATTGTTAAATATGGTATCCACTAACCAATTATAACTGTTTAAATTTAAACTAATTAAAATAAAATTAAATGAAATGAACTGTATTGCTCCTTGGTCACACGAGTCACATTTCAAGTGCTCAGTAACCATGTGTGTCTAGTGGTCATCATATCTAACAGCATAAATATGGAGCACTTCCATTATCACAGAAAGTTCTACTGGACAGCAGTGATTTACATTATGTTATTAGAAGTTCTAGATAGGACAGTTCCAAAAGTGGGGAAAAAACAGGAAGTGAATTAAGTAATATTGATACTATATAATTAGGTTGAGTTCAGTATAAATATTACACCCGATAAAATGCAAATAACGTATAAGCGGCAGATTACTTAGACGTTTTTCTCTGTTTGATTAAGCCATTTGTGTTTTTCCTCAAAGTAAGAAAAATTACTTTATGTTTTAGATGTTTCCTTGTCTACATAAAGATTTGAGTTACAGGATCTTTAAAGTTATTTTCACATTCCAACTCTGAAATTAAAATCTGTTAACACAAGTAGATTTTTCTCTATTTCATTCTTTCTTTTTGCCAGATATAATACTTAGCAATTAGTTCTTCAGATTTACAAGATTTGCATCAAAATAATTTGGTTTGAAAATATTTTAGATGATTGTAAAACTGGTATATTCAATTCAAATCTAAAACATTCTTTAAAGAAATTTTTTCTCATAAATTCTGACAGACATAATTATGTTCAGATATTTTAACCACATACTAAAAAGGAAAGAGTTTTCAGGAAAATAAAAACACTTATCAAATACAAAGCTAACCTAAATAATCATTGTAAAGAACACACACCATATTGTGTTTTGACAATCATTTTCTTGATTTGCATAAAGGTATGGCTTATAAAGATAATACAAAAGTTATTTGATAGTCAAACTATCATTGAAGTAATAATGAAGTATGGTGCTTAAAAAAGAAGAAATATATTTCTGATAAAACCTAAACAAAAGGTGTAATGTTATAAACAGAGATTCAAAGAGCTCTGAAAGTCAAAATGTAAAATAAACTTGGGTCTGGTAACACTAAGTCAATTTCACATAGGGCAATACCGGAATTCCTCCCTAGTGTTTTTGTATATACATATTAACTTTAAACATACTTTGAAAATCTCAAATTATCAAGCAATAATAGATCCTAAGCCCCTCAAAAAATGATGCTATGCTTTTTAAAATCTTGAATTATTTTTGTTATAGTTTTCTTTTGAAAAGTGAATACGTCAGTGAAATACATCTTCTAAGAAAACATACAATTCAGTACTTTCCAATAAATTTATGGAGAAGTACCTTGTTGCCTATACTAGGTATCATGACAGAAGAGATGCAAAAGAAGAAACTGAATCAGAAAGAAGTAAAAATAAAAAGATAGTTTACCTTGTTGAAATAAATCAGAACAATTCTCTTTGCCTTACTGACCTTGAATCTTGGGAATACTAACATAATACTTTTTGATTTATCTGAAATGTAATATATTTATTCCAGCTTCCCTCACATGTTAGATATGATTAAATTTATTTGTGCTTCTATATACCATGTTATGTTTTTTAAGAATTGCATATAAGAAAATAAAAATTAAAAGTAATAATTCAGTGATTTCTATAACATTAAAAATAACACATCCAAACTGGTTTAATCAGAGAGTGCCATCATAGTTCTATTTAGCTACTCTACATGTAATTGTACTTGCAATTTAAATATCTCAGAAGTGAAAAAGGGTTTCCATTAAATTTGATCAGTACATGTGATCAATGCTATCAATAAAAGCATTGAAAATTATTAGATGTCAATAATAATGTTTCTTAAGTAAACTACAAATTTCAAGTGGTCTAACTTCCATATAATTGCAATTTTAAATTTTCATTTGTATTTTGAAATTTTTCATCTGGTAGTCTTACCATCATCATGAACCAAGACACCAAGAAGAGAAAAAGCATATTATTTTCATGAAGTCCAACATTTGTTACATCACACTCAGTAAGTTTGGTAAGAGTTCCAGAACTGAAATTCTCTCCCTCGAATGAAAACCCTTTCTTACTGGGCCCAAATATACCTCTCCAAATTACTCCCCACTTATGAATTGTGTGAAATTTAGCTCAAATCAGAGTTTTTCATTACAGTCTCACATTTTCACTTTTCAGCTAATAAAAATTTTTTACTATGGAAGTACAAAAGAGTGAATAATAATTTTACCTAGATGGAGGAAGGCATGAAAAACTGTTGTGCTTACAAATAGTTCTTTGGAAGAAAAAACTTATCTTCACAACCACCTTATAAATTTCTTGAGAAAAATGACGTTTTATTTCTTTCAGATTTTAGGACAAAGTATAACTTAACTTTTTTTTTTTTTTTTTTTTTTTGAGAAGGAGCCTCGCTCTGTTGCCCACGCTGGAGTGCAGTGGTGTAATCTCGGCTCACTGCAGCCTCCGCCTCCCGGGTTCACGCCATTCTCCTGCCTCAGCCTCCTGAGTAGCTGGGACTACAGGGGCCCGCCACCACGCCTGGCTAATTTTTTGTATTTTTAGTAGAGATGGGGTTTCACCGTGTTAGCCAGGATGGTCTCGATCTCCTGACCTTGTGATCCGCCTGCCTCAGCCTTCCAAAGTGCTGTGGTTACAGGCGTGAGCCACCGTGCCAATTTAGAATTTTAATTCTGGTTATTGAGGGTACTGGAGATCATATAGCTTAAAGCTTCCCCTGATAAAGTGATAACTGAGAATATAAAAGGTTATCTGCTTTGTGTATTATGATGGGGAAACTTGGAACAAGGACTCAGGTTTCTAGATTCGTACACTGACTTCTTTTCTAACAAGCACTATATAGCATCTGAAGCAAAGAAACCCTAGAAACAGATTACATGGGCTCAGATCCCAGGTCCTCTCATTACTAGTTATGTGAACTTAGGAGCTTTAATTAGCCTTCCTGAGCTTGGATTGCCTCATGTCTAAAAGAAGCAATTACAGTTTCTTCTCACAGGGTCACTGTGAGTATTAAATGAGAGAATATATGAAACAAACGTAGAACATTGATAAGTATGTAGCAAGTGTTCAGCAAATATTAGCTATTATTATTTTATCTGACTTAAATAGGAAATATGCATATTAATATATTTTTAGTTTAGTAATACTCTCCTACTAGACTACCTATTGCATCTGGATTGTATGTATCTTTGAATATGATTTGCCTTGATTTTATGTAAGTTATTACATGATTTGCCTATTTAAGTATTCGTCAAGCAGAAGAATATTATGGATAATACTCTATTATACTGAAGGAAAATGTTGTTCACCTGTACTCAGGTAAGCATGAGCCTTCATAAACACAGGATTTATTTTGTCTCTCAATAAGTGGTAGCTAACTTCTGATGGCTAGATATCATTTCCTTTTCATACTTAGGCCCTATTGCTATACTTTTTTTTTCTTCAAATTTGTCAATAAGACTGTGCTAAACATAATGGTAATTTTAACTTCTGAAATGAAACCCTTAAAAATTACCTATGTAAAAATGTATTATAAATAATTAAAGCTAAAAATGACAACTGCCGTGAAAATGTTGAAAGAAGAGATCTAAATTGCACCCAGATAATATGCAATGTTTACCCCAATCTCATATGTAAAATTTCAGCCCCAAATAGTACCTATTCTGCGAGATATAATGAAGTATAAGCACATAAAAGAATGTCTGCTTGTAACCATAACAATAGGCCTCTGTGAATTTGAGAATGTCTTTTATAGTTGAATATTATACATTGTATTTCTATAAAAGTGATTAAATAGAAGTCTTTCTCAGCTTTTACTATTTTTCTCTGAATTCAAGTATTAAATTTGAAGAAATTTTTTCCTTCCACCTGCAATTATCTCTGACTTTGAATTATAAAATTAACCATATATGTTATTTCCCTGTGTGTTTTTGCCTGAATATGAGGATACTGACATGAACTGTTTGGATAGATTTTAAAAATTGGTTTAAAAAAGTTTTTCTTATGTGAATATATAGTTTAATGAAATATTTCTGTGTTCCTCTACAGAAATCAGAAACTGAATTTTCATCTTGGTCTGCCTTTCATTCCATCACAACAAAAGTTCCCTTATGACTCTTCTCTTTGAAACATGCAGGTTATTAACGTACCAATGTATTGGTTTGTGCATAGGTGCAGGCACAAGGTCTCTGTAACTATAACCTCATTCTCTGTGTACATCTAGTTACTCATTCATCAGTCTTCTTCAACAGTGAATTTAGCAGTCTCCGTGTTAGGCACAAAAAATGATTAAGACATGACCTTTGTGCTAAAGGAAATTACTTTCTAGATGGAGAGAAAGACATTTCAGCTAAAAACAGTCATATGATGTTAAATGTTCAATATGTGGTGACCAGTTAGGCACAATTAGAAAATGTTTTACAGAGGAAGTAATATTTCTGCTCATCTTGGAAAATTTGGTAGTTATTCCAACTATAGTAAATGCTGAAGGACATTCTAAAATATCAAGTTACAGAGGGTAAAATGTGTCTTTCTAAATTTATTTGCATTGTCATTATCCATATTGGCAATAATGGATATGAATACTGAGTAAGTGTCTTTCACATATTTTCATTAACATATATTTCAAATTCAAAACATGACCTACTATTTCCTTGTGGATTTCCTAACAGACTTTTTTTTTTCACTCTGTTGCCCAGGCTAGAGTAAAGTGGCGTGCTCTCAGCTCACTGCAACCTCCACCTCCCTGGTTCAAGCAATTCTCCTGCCTCAGCCTCCTGAGTAGCTGGGATTACAGGCCCGTGCCACCAAGCCCGGCTAACTTTTGTATTTTTAGTAGAGATGGGGTTTCACCATGTTGACCAGGCTGGTCCCGAACTCCTAACCTCAGGTGATCCACCCACCTTGACCTCCCAAAGTCCTGGGATTACAGGCTTGAACCACCGTGCCTGGCCTCTAACAGGCTATTGTCAGAATTTTAGTAAAAGAAAATAAATGAAAGTATGTCTTTTAAAATAAGGCATGCTGGTAACGATCTAGGCAGCTTTCTTCATTTCCAAAAAACTTTTATCATCTGTACTAATTTTACCTTATTTTGAGAGAAAAAGTCTCACTCTGTCATGCAGGCTGGAGTGCAGTGGCACCATCTGGGCTCACTGCAACGTCCACCTCCTGGGTTCAAGATATTCTTCTGCCTCAGCCTCCCAGGTAGCTGGGATTACAGGCCTGTGTCAACAGGCCTGGCTAATTTTTGTATTCTTAGTAGAGAGGGGGTTTCACTATGTTGGCCTGCTGGTCTCCAACTCCTGATCTCATGTGTCCTGCCCGCCTAGGCCTCCCAAAGTACAGGAATTACAGGCGTGAGCCACTGTGCCCAGCCCTTACCTGTCCTAATTTTAAATCTTTTAAAAAGGATAATTGTCAACATGGAAGAAACTACAGGATTTGGGGTTCTTTTTTTCCTTGATCCCTTTTTCAGATGGTTTTTGCACAACATGTTTATGATCCACAATTATTTTGTTACTGGAAACTCTGACATGATGTAATAGGAAAAATCTGGGACCAAAGCCTGAAAACTGAATTAAATCCCCAGTGTAATATTTTATCACCTAAACAATTCTGAGAAAGTCACTTAGCCAGTTCGTGGTTAAATGTGCCTATCTAAACTATAAGGAAAGTAATACAAATAATTCTATGTTTCTCAGAGACTCTGGATAAACAGTACATGCATCTGAAGTGATAAACTGATAAAGTTTTCTAACTCAAAAAATGCTATAGAAATGGTAGCCATCTTTATTATTATTATTATTATTATTATTATTATTATTATTATTATTTGGGAACTCCCAATCCCAATAGATCTACAAACTGATCATTTCACTTTCTTGTATTTTTCTCTTTTTCTGTGTTCCCATATTCTGGGGACAACTCCTCTACCTGTTTGCCAAAGACAGAAGCCTTGTAATGTTTGTTATTTGCTGTCATTTTGTATTATGTTCTGACTTGTTCCTAGCTTTCCTTTACTCTGTAAGTAAACTGGATCCATAATTACATATGTTTAATTTGTTCCAACTGTATAAGTTCCTTGTAATTTGTTGGATGTGCCACACTCTTCTGTGTGTCTGTTCTTTCCTAGAGAGACCGTTCTTTTTGCCAAAAAATATCTCTTGCCCTGTAGAGCACCACGTCACTCAGCTACTTCTTACTCTACCATTCTTGTTCAGGAAGCTTTCTCTGATCCCAGTTGAGACAGAAACACTTCTCATTTTCTCTACCTTAAAAGTTATTGTATTGAATTGTGATTATTTAATCAGCTACCTACATACTAGACTGAAACATACTTGAAGACAGGGGACCATGCATTTTATTTTAGAGTGTAACATACTTGAAGACGAGGGACCATGCCTTTTATTTTTATTCTCACTCCTACCAACAGTGCCAGACATATACTAAATATTCCAGAAATATGAGTTGAATAAATGAATGAGTATATGTAATGTTTTCTGTTAATTAGGCATATCATACATTCACTTTAATGTTTATCATAATGGCCTTTGTTATGATTAACTAAAGTGACACCTTAATTATACAAAAAGATAAAATTTGCAGCAGAGTTTTAACATATTTACATTCTCTATTCTCTTTTAAAATGCTTATACATATCCTGCATACAGGTAATTTTTATCAATATTGAAGGTAAATTATTTCAATTACCCTAAATTAATAATAAATTAGAATACTCATTTCCACACTACACAAAATAACAAGAAGCTTAAGATAAAATTATAGGAAAAATTAGGATTTCAATTGGATTTAAATATAACAGCTCAGAAGACTTTCTGTCTACTTGTATCTTTACGTTCCTACTAAATACCATATCTAAAGTGCTATTGTAATAATTGACATACTGTTATTAAAATGAAGAAAGGACCCCCAAGACATCTTCTAAAAGTATCATTGCTCTAATACATAGGACAGCCTAATGATCTTCATTCTCCCTTAAACAAATTCTTACCTTTTCTTCACTAAATATCAGGACAGAAATCATACTTCTCAAGGAAACGGTAGTCAGTAGTTTTGATATAATCAAAACATATGCAAGTCGCAGTGGCAATCTGATATAGGAAGGTTCAATTGCATTTCTATTAATCTTAAATTTAAGTTTTCATTTTTTGAAGCAAGATTGCATAATATTTTATACAGTTATGGCATTTTCACCCTAGAGCTCATCTCATCAATGCTAAAATCCAAGTTGCCTGATTTTCTCACTCAGGGGAACTAGGCAAACAGCATGAACAAAAAGGTGCCATTAAATTTTATCCATTAAAATAGTTGTTTTTAATTGTTTCATAAAGAGATCCAACTTTTACCTTTTTCTTTGGTTATAATATGACATATCTATATCATAATCCAAATATTATCCAAAAATGAAATCAATGGAGTCTTTTATAACATCTATAATAATTTTGTACTGTGCTATTTTAATTGACACTTTTAATGGATGGGTTTATGTTGATGATAACTTAAGGCTGCTTTCAGTTTATGGGGTAATAACTGTAACCTGGGAGAAATAAAACCTAAAGCTATTAATAGATTCAGCTGCATTCACTAGAATAGGACACAGGTTTTGCTTCATAAATAGAAAAGACCACAGACTGCTATTAGCAAACAGGTAATGTTTCTTTCATTAGAAAGTGAAGCATATTGAATAGCATGAAATGAGAAGCTAAGCCAGCCATATTGATTTTGAAGAAAAAAAATTGTTCAGACACTCAAATATATATATATATATGTACACACACATATATATAGACACACACACACACACACATATATATATATATATATATATATATTTTTTTTTTTTTTTTTTGAGACACTGTCTGGCTGTGTCACCCAGGCTGGAATGCAGTGGCATGATCTCTGCTCACTGCAACCTCTGCCTCCTGGGCTCAAGCAATTCTCATGCCTCAGTCTCCAAAGTAGCTGGGATTACAGGTGTGCGCCACCACGCCTGGCTAATTTTTGTATTTTTAGTAGAGATGGGGTTTCGCCATGGTGGCCAGGCTGGTCTCGAACTCCTGACCTCAAGTGATCCATCCGCCTCGGCGCCCAAAGTGCTGGAATTAGAAGCGTGAGCCACCACACCCAGCTATCAAAAATCAAAAATAAACTTTCTTATAAAATATCCAAGAAATTGAAATATTCACATAATTAAGAATGAATAGATGATAGCCAAATTTAGTACATCTGGCCATTATTTCTTAAAACATACATATAAAGAGACTTTCTAGTGATTCCGTTTAAATTAAAATAAAATTGATACTCTTTGAACCTTCTGTTGCTATGGTAAATAAAATACTCAAAAAGATAAAATGATTACATAATTATATAGTGAAAAGTTAAAATGAGCACATTACCTTGAAAACAAAAATACGTGCACAGTACAAAGCTTCTCCTATTAGGTACTATTTTTACCTAAATTAATGTATACAGTTAAGCTATAAAATATACTATGACATGATTACTTTGCCAATTATAAACATGAGGGACCAAAAAAATTAACAGAGATACATTAACGAGAAGCAAAATCTAATTGTTGCATATGGTATGATAAAAGCTGTGGTTTGGTGAAATATGTGAATAAAATTAATTAATTTAAATTGCAGAAAATTTGGAGTACCAAAGTTATCCTAACACTTGCTACTGTGAATGTGTCCTATTTCAAAACATCAACCTTTCTTTAAATTTGTTATTTTACCAAGTATGTTGAGTAGGTTGAACTTCTCCAAAGATCATTTTGGAGCATGTAATCACTCTAAATTACAGTGCAAAAAGTTAAAAAGTTATGTACACTCTACTGAGCAAAACAACATAATTGAAAGTGAATTATAATGGTCATAATCTATAGAACTTTAGCAAACATACACCAGACAGCTTTGACACCTTCAGATGTGTTCATCCCTCATTTGAAATCTCCAGCCTGTGGTCCTGGGTCCTTACTATGACTTCTCTCCATTCTTGCAATGAAATGCAAATGAAACGGATCCACCACAAACTCTTCCCAATAGTCCCATTCAGCTTTTCATCTTGAAGGCACATGATAATGCACCCTGTCATTTATTATCCATGGATACTGCTTATGTCTCCTGGTATGAAGTGGTGCAGGGATTACTTTGTCCATATTTGTGACTACCCCAACCACTGCAAAACATCATCTAAGAATTTGTTCTTAGCCTGCCTTTCCTTCAAGATTTAAAGGCATTAAATCAGTGAAATCTGTATGTTTTATTCATTTCTACCATGGATTTATCAACTAGTTGGAAAATAGCTGTGTTTAAAACTTTAAAAAAATAGTTTCTGTAAAATTCAATCATCTTAATTTTATTCCTTTCATTGTGATAATCACATTACTGTTTTTTTCTATTTCTAAGTGAGAATTTCTGCACACTTACACGTTACATTGGATTTCCATGTTAATGATCTATAGTACTAGATTTACTACTATGAATGTAATCCAGTCTTAAACTTTAAGATTTTTAACAGTTTTTACAAACCCAGCTTGAGGATCTAAAGACAAGTCTCTGGGAAACTTCAGCCTTTTGCTAACGAGTATAGTAGGGTACAAGCCATTGAGTTTGGATACTTCAATGATTCTTTTTTCTGTGTCAGACCAATAGAGGTTTTTTCCAATCCAATCGACAGCAAGTGCATTGGGGACCGCTGTGTTATGAACTACCTACAAAACAAGAATTTAAAAGGTTAACAGCGTAAATCCCTAAAATAAGAAGTGAGCAATTGCTTCTTGATTTTTACAGAGATATAGAATTCCATTTAAATGTAAAGAATGGAACTTAGATAAGAAGAGAATAATTGACCGCAATACAATTACTTACTTGTTTGTGAGAAATTACCTAATGTGTAATTAGGTCCCTAGAACTTACACATAGTTTTAAATAAAATGATTTAAAAAAAGTTGTTGGAGAGCTGCACATTTGTTGTTCACATTTTTGTTAATCTATTCATCCTCTTAAAATTTGGGACAAAATTCTCACGCACATACACACACACACACACACACACACACACACACACACAAACTTAGAGATATTATTTTTCTTTAACCAGTTTGGGAGAGATAACAGTAGCATTCCTCACTCTCTCTACTGCTCTTGACCTATTTAGTTAACTACAAGGAGAGAAGAAAACACCAACGAGAATAGGCATTATTTTGAACCTAGCTTAAGGGAGGTAACAATGTACACATTCAGCTGCTGTTATCAATTTTAATCCATGAATATACCAAATACAGTATGAAATATAGTCTTTGCATGTATAAATATAATATATATAAAATGATCAACAATTTTTGATCTATATCGCTGGCATTCTGAATTCCCAGTACTTTTAGAAATATGTCAAATAAAACTTGAAGCTATATAGAAGCCAACAGTTACACAGTTAAAGACAAGAAAATGCCAATAAAATTTTAAATGTATCTTTTTCCCTAATGCCATCAATAATAAAGATACAAATGAAAGTGGCAATATGCACATTTGTAACAATAAATGATATCAATCTCCTATACTTAAATGCAAGACATCTGTTTTTCTTTTACCCACCACATTTCAAATTTGGAAAATTGGCATGGCTATTTAAATGAAAATCTGTGAATTAATAAATTTAAGGGAATAAAGATGTATTTTATCTTTACATAACCTTATGTAAATAGGTGATTTAAAGTAGTAATGGAATAGTAGTGGCAAGGCAGTAGAGAATATGCTTTCAAAAATAGTAAAGTATCTTAAAAAAATATAAAGGTAATTAAAAATTTTTAATGTATTGTAATGAAATATATGATCAAGTTTGAGTAATATAATCTTCACAGTTTTTAAACTAATTGGAAAATAAATTTAAAAACAAAAATCTCATCGGTTTATTTGTTCCATCTAACCATTGGGTTGGCTCAAATTAATCTATCACCATTATATAGTGATCTTTTATTATATAAACCATTATTAAATACAGCTACTTTAAATCACTTGAATCCAGCTTACTATTTGTTTCATCATTGTACATGCACACTTTAAGATCTCATTAATATTTTCAAAATGGATTGCTTTCACCAAAAATGAAATTATGTATGATATTATAGATGGCTACAAAAAAGTTAAAGTAATTGATGGGTTTCATTCACTTGAATTTAAAACTTCTTTATAATATGTTTTAATGCGTATATATAGTATTAGTAATTTGATTTTAAAACTCAGAATAACAAAAGATGGTACCAAGTTGCTCATATCTAGAATATGACATGGATCATACACATGACAGAACTGTGACAGAAATGTGATCCTCTCCAATCAGGACGTTCATGATTTTACACAAATGAATTCAATTATTTACAACTGTAATTGTTCAGTTTTAACAATATCATAATTTCAATCCACACTGTAATGTTTAACTTTTTCGATTACAAAGTTTTAGACTCAACTTTCTCTTTTATTTAAATCAACAGAATTGAATTGCAGGCACTAATCCTTCTAGCTGAAAGCACCCATCCCATTTCCTAGGGTTGTGAATAAGGTTCCATATTTTATTTACTCAATTTGATGTTTATGTTATTGCAAGTAATAGTGTTATAATGAAACATAAGAATAAAAGGTCTCATTTTTCATATTTAAAGTTTTAATCACACTATACAAATGTGAAATTGAAACCACCCTAATGCATTTTATGAGTAATATCATGGTCATAAAATAACATTTTCTATACAATTCAATCATACTGGTATAATATTCAACAATCCCATCATTGTAATATTTAGTTACCTTAATGTCACTTCCATTTAAACACATTCTATTTATGCGACTGCCATTGGGTCGGCTAGAATCGATCCAATAGATGAATTCTTCTCTGTAATCAAAGTCTATAGCAATAACATTGTTTAATCCCTGAAAATAAAAAAGACTATGTTGTCAATGATAGTTCATAGAAATAATTATAAAATGTTTTAGGAGTTTACAGGAATCACTGTCTTCCTTTGAAACTAAATAGTTCTATTTATTATAATAAAGTATTTGCTACCAGTTCTCATTAAAAGTATCATATATTCACATTTTCCTTACATCGTATGTTTAAAAAATACTATATTAATTTGAAAATATTTTCCACATAGGCCACAAAATTTCAAAATATTTACAATGGTTTTAAATAAATAGCCAGTAACGTGAAAATAAAAATAACTTCTTTTAAGGAGATAAAGTTTAGAATTTCCACTTTAGGTTAATATGAAATATAAACTTTATGTCATTATAGTCTGTTCCATGGAAGAGCCTGAAAAAAGCATATATCTAAATTGAAAAGGTAGATCATCTGATTAAGATGAGCCCTGGACAGCCAACTGATGAGTCAGAAGAGAAGGTATAGAAATTTTACTTTCCCCCAAAGCTCTTGTCCCAACAACAATATAAAAGAGCTGCCTTTCTTCCTGCTTCAGATGGCCCCTTGGCAATACAGTGTGATATTAGAATTTAAAAGTTACAACCTTGGGTGAGTATTTGACCAAGGAGGAACTGGGTAATCAACATGTTTTTATTCCACATGGTGGAAATGTGAGGAAATGCCTCCCTTCAGACTCATGGTTATGCATTTTTTAGCAGGCAGCAAAACAGAACACAAATTCAATTGATGGGTTTCTGGATGCTACAGCTTTTTGGTTTGGCAGTTCTCACATTTGATTCGATTTGAGGACTGTACATCCAGGATCTAGGAATCTTTTAGCTGCAGAATTATTCAAATGATTGCCTAGGAATTAGTTTAATTCTGACTTATTGTTAAAGATTATACATTTACTACCTTAAGGACTGAGTAATTTATTAATATATACATTCTATTGATTAGAAAATAATGTTATAGACATTTGGCAAAACCTCAAGAGATCTCTGCCATGTTTTTATATCTGTGGAGAGCTTGCTTACATCAATATTCACCGTAAAGTTGATGCTATGTCTCAAATTGTTTTAGAGGGAAATGTATGAGTAGCTGTAGTCTTATGGGTAGAGACAAGCATCTTCAGAGAGGCAGGGGTTTTTTATTTGTTTTAGCTTGGTTGCCGGGAGGAGGGAGAAAGAGGAAAGTAAATCTCAGGTCTGAGTTTAGTTTCAACATCTACTCTCAAAATTCAGAATCTGATGATAATAATAAAACTGACTTAGATTTAAATAGTTCTTTGTAAGAGACAAGCCAAGGCTAATGATTACTCTTCAGATATTTTTTTCCAAGGGCATTCAAGACTAAGGGTGTCCTATGTATAGCAGCAAATAAGAGAAGGTTCTGGCAAATACTGCTTATTTTCCCTTCTCACAGCAGGGCTAAATTTTAGTAATAATAGTGTTAAAATCATAGGTTCAAATTTTATGCTTTTATTTAGCTTAAAATGAGCAATCTCATTTTCTTGAGGTCCAGATTACAAAGACAACCTGTAATAACCTAACCTCACAAAAATCTCGTGCCATAGGTCATAAACAAGAGACACAAGGCAATAATATAGCTCAGTGCAAATTCCTTGCTAAGCCAAGATGAATAAATGCAAGTATCTTTCCTACTGACAACACTATAAATCATGAATAATGACTATAAGTGCTAAAGAAGGGTAACTGATATTCAGTCACAGATTCAAAAGATTCATTAAATATCCATTTACATCCTAAAAACTGGAGAACTCCTTAACTAAATGCACATAACCATATATATGTAGGAAGTTGCCTATGCAAAGTAAGTCAAAGTTCTAAAATATAAATTGAATGTGTTCCAGGCAAGTTTGTAGAGGGCTTAATAAATTCATTCCAATAGTAGTTTACAATATCCCTTCTGTTCAACTGCTTTTCTCTCCAGAGCAATAATGTAAATAAGTTAGGATTCTGTGATGGCTTGGCAATTCAGGTGGCTAAATTAGAGAGCTTTGCAGGGAAAAAGCAGAGAGAAACATGTCTCTAACTTGAGCAAAGATTTACCCACAATCCCCAGTCATGGCAGAATTATCCTATTCCTTCTTTACAATAATCAATTTAGATAATAAAACTCCAATTCCAAATTTAGTAAGTCAACTATAATAAATTAAAGCTGCAAATGCAGAAAAATGGAAGCTCTAAATTCCAACATATCTATCTAGCCAAGCTGGTCATTTTTCTACAGCTTTACCCTTAATCCCAGTGCAATGGTCTCTTTGCAGAATCATATGCAAGAAACATTAAAACAGCCAGGGGCATGGTCAAAATAATGTCTAAAAACTAGTCATCCCAGTAGTTTCAGAGATGAAAATTTGTTTCATCAGAATCCTATTTGCTTCTTTCATTTCTGTAGCTAAAGACTTGCACTCTTTGGTTCGAGATGATTAATTTAGGAAATTGTGTTTTGTTTCTCACACAATTTTACTGGAATAAAGACACTGTTCAAATTGAATTGGAGAACATATTGGAAAGGTACTTGATTAATTTTCATTCCCAAAATGTATGTCACTGAAGTACAGTTTCTAAATATAGTATATGAATTTAAGTTATAGCTGACCTTACTACAGTTATGTTGTAGAATATAGAGGGCAAGAAAAAGCTCCACCAGTTGTTATAATTTTATGCAATAAAACTTTATGAGATTGTTACTGACTACAACAAAGAGAATAAAATTTGTGATATTAGAATCAATCATTCTTGCTAATCAGCTGCACATAAAAGTTCCAAATAGTTAAGACAAGGATATTGTCTTTTCATTTATTTTGGCTGTGAGAAAATGTGCAGAGATAATTGCTTCTATGTTCTATTTCATTCTGCATATGTGGACAGACTCTCTGGACAAAGATAATGGTTTCTACTGCCTAGAACTCCTTTAAAATTTCTATAACACTGTGATGAAACTGTGAGTAAAAATATGTTCCCTGAAAGAAATGACATATTCCCAGCAGCCCATAGGCAAAACTGGGCAGAAGGCTTGCCATGGGTTCTTTGGGTCTCTATTTCCTTACTCAATGGGCACCATTATCAATTGCTTTCCAAAGACATAGGTGTGTTCAGATCCTTCATGAACGTTTTCATCATCCTCACTGTTTCTTCATTCCCATATGTACTGCACTAAGAAAGTATCCGAAACTCATCCCCACTTAGGTACTAATGACTGGCAACAGTCTAAAATGATACCACCAGGAGAAAAGAACTATCTTAAAATGTTTTTTTAAAAAAAGAGCATTAAAGTAGTTCTGTTATGTGAAATAGACTTAAATGATGCATAGAGGAAAAAATCATTTTGTTCCATTAAGAACAATTTTTGACAACACATTATCTGTGAAAGACAACAAAAGGAATGCTGGTAGACATGTACTGAGCTACAAGGTAGGAAAATGAAGCAAGAAGCTATCACTGAAGCTCTATTATAGCTCTGTCATGAAGATAATGAATATTGTTCTATATTAGTTAAACTTATGGTTCAGCTGAGCTTAAAAATATTCTAAAGAGATAACTTTATTCCTTTAAACTGAGATAGTGGAGTCTAAATGGTCAGAATGTTATGTACATATGTGTGTGTGTGTATATATATACAGCTTATATATATATACACAACCTAGTGAAAAAATAGGCATGTCCTTGTTCCAGAGACTATACTAGAAAATATGTGTCTGATGCACCTAACTTTGAATTTATAGAAAGACTTAGAAGGGCTGTGAAGTCATATCCCAAGAAAGATAATTTTTAATATCTTATAATTTTGATATAAGTTTAAAAGCATAGGAAAAAGTTTAAAAATACAGAAAAAAATATATTAAATCAAGTTAGATAAACTAGGAAACTATTTGGGCAGCAAAAAACTTTCCCTCTTGAAGCAGTTATATGTACGTTTTATCCTTAAGTATTTCTCTTATGTTATTTATGTCTTAAATAGTTGTTCATTCTTATATTTTGATTAAATTTTTGTTAGTTTTTTATAAACAACATAACAATATTTTATATTTTACTCAGTCTTGTAAGATTTATAATTAAAGAAAGAAGTAGTGTGATATGGTGGATGTTGGTGGCACACTCCATACTCAGAACAAGGGTGTAAACCTCCTGGCTATTCAGGATAAGGCGAGTGTACATGTCTTAAGCACAAGGAAAGTCTGAAAACACTGGTGAACTGGAGAGCAGGGCTCTCTATCAATGCAGCAGCTGCTACACAGCTTGGATTTTGACCAATCAGGAATGTGAGTGCTGCCCTAATAAACTTTTCTGTTTTTTTCCTGAGTAGCCAGAAATCTGGATTTTCATCTGACGTGTTTATTTTTAACCTGTGACATAGAGGAAGACTAAAGAATCCAACTCTGTCAGGATGAGTAAATATCCTACTAGCTAGTGAATATTTAACACTTGAGACTAAATCCTGAAGAAAAATGAACGAAACTATTATAAAAAGCAGTGGAGGAATCTATCAATGAGTAACAAAATATTTTTAGGAAAGTAAATCTTCTTTATGTTGCTGAAAATACACCACAGGAATGGTGGTCTTCGTTTATACTTAAAACTGGCATAAACATACTAGAAAAATGAGAAATAACCTTAATTTTGGCACACTTGTTCTAGACAGTGCTTTCGCATATTTCTGTTACTATTACACAGTTTGAGGCAAAGATAAATTTGGAGCAGAACAGATACAAACTAAATATTTTCAAAGAAAATATTTCTCCTGACAACTAAAAATATGCTTCACAAACTCTAATTGCCAGGTAGTTCTACAGCTCTAACACATACCTAGTGCACATGTTAAATGTTACGGTGTCATCTTGGGAGTGTCATACCTGTTTTAAAAGTGTGTAGTTGGAGCCATCAGTGCTAATTTTCCTTATCTCATGATGATCAGCAAGAATTAAAAAAGGTTCTTCATCTAAACACCAACACAAATAACATATTAGACTTTAAGTATGTATGCTTTTCCCCTTTGCATAATTTCAGTTTAGTTTAGCAGCAATGTGATTTCAAATGCAGTGCTGATCTGGTAGCTTCAGGGTTTAAAAAGGATCATACTGAGCAACGTAGTTGGCAGTAGAATGAAGAGGCAGCACACGCCCAGGCAGTACAGAAAATTTAGAAAATTCTAAGTGCATCCCTTGCTTCCTCTCAATATTCTTGACATTCAGATAATTTATTCGGAATTAGTAGAAAATATCTGCTGTTACAATCTGATTGTCTGCATGAATTGCAGAAAAAGATAATCTTCACCTCTCTTAGAAACCTACAGTACAGCTAAAACATTCTTATGATCAGAAATTTTTTTCTGGATAATCAAGTGGCTAATGCTCTCAGGATGACCTCAGTGAAGACCAAGAGTATCACTGCATATATATATACCCTTTTACCTGCCTGAGGACTTGTCTTAAATAATTTCTGAACTCCAGGTTCTAAAATCTTTGTTTGTTAATTTTACCTTTCCTCATGTGTCTTTTTTTCTAATGCTTTAATAGTCTTTATTTCTACCTTATCAGCTTGTCCAATGTCTTTTAGTATCTCATTTACTTTAGAATCTGGGAAAGAGCGTGATAAAGATCTGAGCATTCTCAACGTACAGGAGACCCTCTAAACCACTAGTGTTTGGTTTCTCTTCAGAATTGATTTGGAAACAAAACGATTTCTTGAAGGAGAGAATTTCAGAAAGATTTTCTTTTCTATTTATTTAAATATGTATCTGGATAATTTGACGTCAATTTGACCACATTCTCAGTGGTTATAATCCTAGATTCATTTGGTGAATAATTTGCCCAAGCATTTTAACATCTTTTTTTTAAGACACATTCATAAACTTGTTTGCCAAATGAAAAAACGTAATGTTGATAGAAATTAGAAAAAAAAACACTAAAAAAGTAATCACATAATTGAATGTGGATTTTTTATAAATTATTTATTGTTATACCGTTATTGTCCTTTTTAAATTGTTTGAAATCATTATTTTTCTCCCCTTGTCTTTTAGTTTTGTAATTAATATGTAATACCAAAGGTATGACATTATGTTTCAGTATATACTATGTCACTCATGTTAAATACCCCCTTCTATCATCCTTGATGGGATCCCAAATTAGTCATTCTCATCTTCTTTTTGAGGCCAGACTGAGACTCAGAATACTTCTCAACACAGAATTGGCTCTCGAGTTGAAGGTGCCTTGCCACTCTGTCAATAGATTTCTCAATTATAAATATAAAATTAATCAGTCATGTTCTACTTCACTGCTTAGGCAATTCTGTTCTTTACAACTTAAATATATTTCATTTTTAAAAAATCTCTGTAGTGCAAGATTTATGCTTTAACAAGCATAAATGCTTTAAGAACACATTTTTATATTTAAAATTTGTATGAGTTTCTAAGTATAATTGCTAATAATAAACAACTATGGTGTGGATACATAATGTAACAAGACCCATATTTTAATTGTTACTATTCATCTCCTCTACACAATCCTTTATTAATGTTTAAAGTAATGGAAACATTGGTCATTTGTATGATTTAATCTCTTCTTTTTGTCCCAGGTCACTAAATGCATTATGTAGCAAGCATTAAGATGGTCTGAAGCAAGTAGATTGGTAGATTAAACAATGGGCTCCAATCCTGGTGAACACGGTGAAACCCCATCTCTACTGAAAATACAAAAACAAAATTAGCCGGGTGTGGTGGCGGGCACCTGTAGTCTCAGCTACTTGGGAGGCTGAGGCGGGAGAATGGTGTGAACCTGGGGGAGGCAGAGCTTGCAGCGAGCTAAGATCGCGCCACTGCACTCCAGCCTGGGTGACAGAGCGAGACTCCGTCTCAAAAAAAAAAAAAAAAAAAAAAATTGTCTCCAAATAATCCTCAAATTGATTCAGGGAAGGAAGATAAGTGATGGTGGAATGAAAAATTGAAAGGAGTTAATTTTTTTTTCTTCATAATGTGTAAAGTTTTAACCCATTAAAAAAACCCATATTTTAAAATTAATATCTCTGATAGCTATTTTATTAAAGTGGTTGAAAAAAACAGCTAATGTTTTAAATGTTGCCACTGACGAACATCTATTATATAAGAAACTGGCAATAATATTTGACTTATTATACTTAAAAACAAGCGGAATAGAGATGCCCTTAGTCACCATTTTTTTGCCCATTTAACAGTCATCATCATATTATTGCTTTGTATCATTTTAATATCTGTGATTTCTCTCCTAAAGAATTAAAGTTATGGGCCATGCTTTATTAAATGTATAATTTACAGGATCAAATACACTCCTTGGAATAAAAAGAAGTTTAACAATATTTGCTGAATCACTGGAAGAATTCAAATAGTCCTATATAGCTGATTTATTATTACTATTGTTGCTTCTTCTTATTGTTAACTTGTTCTCTCTAGCATATATGTATGTATGTATGGTGGAGGGGAGAATGAAAAATATTATAATAATGTCACAATAGTCTCTTTAACAGTTTTAGCCAAACTTGCTCCCAAGAACATGTGATTCAGCAGGAAGCAGTGCTAGAGATAGTTCTTTTTTTTTTTTTTTTTGTGGGCACTCTCAAAATCTAGAAAACACTCAATAATTCACAAGGCCATAAGGCAATGTTATTATGAACAGAGCATACAAAATCAGAGTGACAGATTCTCATATCAAGGGAAGTAGAGAAGAATTTTGATTTTTCAGAAGCATCAAGGAGGAGTGAATTCAATAAGAACGGCTATAAAATTCAGGATCCATATGTATAACTGAGGTTGGATCAGTGGGCAAGTTCAATTCGATACCTGAGAGCGATTTGCAGCCATTTGGGTTATCAGGTTGTATTTCATACCCATCTGTACAGAGGCACTTGTAAGTCCCGTATGTATTGATGCATTGCTGGCTACAGGGAAAGCCTGAAGAGCATTCATCAATGTCTACACATGTTTTGCCGTCATCCTTCAGTTGGAATCCAGGCCAGCATTTGCACTGGGAAAAGAAAAATGAGCATAATCAATTCATATCATTGTCACTGTCTTTTACTTTTGGATATCTCTTTAGCATTAAGCAAGAAAAGCATTTGAAAATAGATAAAGGCAAGTCTTTCTGTCTCCCAGCATTTGACCTTTGATGGGAATTATGTATATTATGTAAAGTTAGTTAGAAAGCACTCTCCCAAATATCTTCATTTGATCTTTTGAAGTTGGCAAGATTGTAAAAGTTAATTGACATTGCTAAGGCCGTGTGGTTAGAGATTGGCAAGGCAAATAAAAAAAGAGTGAAACTTTCTACTTCTTTTCTTATTTTTCTATTGCATTACATTGTCTTTTTAGAATATTTTAGCAACTATAAGAATTAATCCTTACATGGAGTTTTGAAAATTTTTAACATTGTCACATATGTTATTTCATTTGAGCAGTATAGAAATCTCTAATGTAGATATTATTAGGTTGGTACAAAAGTAATTGTGGCTTTTGCAATTACCTTTAATGGCAAGAATCACAATTACTTTTGTACCAATCTAATATTATCTTTAGTTAGTAGATGAGAAATCCAATAGCATGAAGATGGAGCTGTTTAGATAAGGCCAGTAGGAGATCTTGTACACACTGAAATTTTTAATACATAGTAATCCTCAATTAATATTTATTGACTGTGTTTGATTCCATACCTAGATATGTAGGTGTCCGAATAAACAGTAATATTAATGTAGATGTTTTTTATCTTAATAACTAAAACAATTTGTATCATATCTCTTTCCTTCAGCATCTCTATGATGTTTTATTTGTCCTTCTGATGACACATGATATTAACTAACTGGTATGTCAACTCATAGGCTACAAACATTATGCCACGTGTATTTTTTGCCTTCCTAAAAACGATGAGGTACTTTGATTGGTCATTGTCTCTCAGTTCTGTTCTCAGTCCCTGCCAGGTAGCATGTGAGAATTATTATTACAGAAAATGAACCTATACTTGGCCAGATGATTATGATCACAGACTGATTAGTTGTCTTCGAATAAAGGAAATTGTAAGTATTGAGTAGGATGTGAGTTAAGAAGGATTTCTGAGTTGTCAAAAGTAACTAGTATTCAAGAGCACTCCATAGTAAATATTTCATAATTTGGATAAAATTTATTTATTTATTTATTTATTTATTTATTTATTTATTTATTATCAGATAAAACTGATGGCAGAGCTTTGAATTTATTGATAAAGCTATTAGAATGATATATGTCCATATTAATAAAAAATCAGGAAACAATTTATGGTTAGAATTATTTTTAAGTACAAGAAACATTTTCAATACTGGGGAGGAAAGCATCCAAGTAACATCAATTTCATCTGAAATTAATTAAAGGATAAATCATTATTTTTCCCAATTCTGTTTACAAGAAATGAAACCCTTTAAGCTCTTGGCACTTTCATGTTTAACATTTGACACCAGCAATTTATCTAATAATGCTCAGAAATTATAATGGACTTTTAAAATCTCTATAACCCACTTAGCAATCCAGTGGATTAAAATGAAGGCAAAAGTCAGAGCTTGATTTCCCAAACTCCCTTCATTATATCTCACTGAGTGACAATATTACTTTCCTTGAGAAGATCCATCCTGCCACCAGGAGGAATTGGTACTTAACTATGGCCAAAGAAAATGGGCATACTTAATGCCATTAACTGTACACATAAAAAAATGGTTAAAATGATGAATTTTATATTATATCTTTTTATTCAATTTTGTTAAAATAAATATTTAAAAAAAAAGAAAATGAGAAATTTGACAGGGTAGTAATCCCAGATTGGCCTAAAAATTAAGCCAAGTGATTGTGTAGTCGGAAGCCAGAGGTCCAATTAGTAGATACAGAGCAGTGTTGAATCAAGAGTCACTTTAGGACAAATGAAAGGAAATTTTATAGAATGTGTTGAATTCCTCTAAAACAGTATTATTAAATGAAACAAAGTGCATCACCATTTTAATGGGGTTTCTGAAAATCACTTTGAATGCCTCATGTCAGGTTTATAGAAGAAGTACTATATGAAATAGATGGCTTGGATAAAAACACACAATGGAAAATTAATTTCTGGAAGGTAAAATTGATTAATGTTACTATAATATAAACCTGTATCAACAAAAGTTTAAGATTTACAGTAAATTTTTTAAAATTTTATTTTGTTTGAAATAACATGTGTAAAAAGAAAATGTATTTCTCAATCTGTTAATCTATTTTAATAAAAATATTTTTGGTCTCAAATAATAAAAAGACATCTGCAGGAAATTCTACTCATTAACTTTCATAAATTCAATGGAAGAAAATAATAATCTTTTGCATTTTCAAAGACATTTTATAGAAAATAAGATTAGAATGTTCTCTTTCACTTAAAAAAGACAATTTTTATGAAAGTGAGAATTATATGTATTCAGCCTCATCTTAATTTTTCTCACCATTCCAAATTATTTAGAATCTTCTTGAGTTACATTAATTTTTATAAGAAAATATAGCTGGCAGAAAAAATAACTAAGCCTTTTCTATTTCTCTCAGGAAAATTCCTTTGCAGCTTTTCAAGTAACATGACAAATATTGATCATTTTATTTCTACTGTATACATCATCACTTTTTTCCCTCCCAGAAGTACATTTATTTTTACATGGTAAATTATCCTTCCTATCAAAATAAGATTTTTGCTTCAGTTAAATGTTATTACTCCCTTTTGAATAGTTAGATACATTCTATTTGTTTTACTGCAAACATGCAAATTGGCCACAGTCCATAAGGTCTAAATTTTGCTTTTGTAAGCAATTCTCGTTTTATTGCAGAATTTAGAGGACGATTTCCTGTCATGGTCTGCTTATATTACAAGGAGAAGTAGGCTGCTGGATAGTTTTCACCATTCTCTGAAACAGAGAAATCTATCAGCTCACGTAATTTTGCAACGTGGTAGAAGCATCTTGTTGTACATAAAGCTTTTTACTCAGTTTCCTATCAACAAATTGTCATATATATGACATATATTTGTGTGCATAATATATACATGTGTATGTATATACATATACATAAATATGAATGCAATATGTAAAATATTTGGTCTGAACCTTTGCTTAAATCTTTTATTTATGATTCTGGTCTCATCCTGAATGTTTGTACAAGTCATATTTCCATCAATAGGTGTTTTATATTATTAACTAGCTTTTACATGTTTACATACTTAAAAACATCATAGCAATTCTGTCTGATAACATATGCGCACACCTTGTGAAGGATTAAATACTTTTGTCTATTTTAACTAGAATTATCACTTCTTTCTACGGCTTCTTGAGAAGACAAAATGAAAACACTGGCATTTATAAAGTATTAATAAACAAGTATTTATGTGTGAGGAATGTTTCAAGATACTTAAAATAAGCATGAATTAACATGTGTTTCTGGATGATATTGTCTTCTACCAAAAGCAGTTTCCAAATATGGTATGGCTGTGTGCTAATACTTCTTATATGCAGGCATTTAAAATAACATCTAACCTTATTTTTGATGTCATGTCACAAAGTATATAATTGATATTCTATAGGTTTTATAATTTACTACCAAGTTTGTTATCATAGACATTAAATACACATGGAATAAACACAAATAAATCTACTTTGAAATGTATCACATAGAACAAACACACACACACACATATACACACACACAGACACACTCAGCCATGCATCAGTTAATGACAGGGATATGTTCTGAGAAATACTCTGTTAGGTGATTTGTCATTGTGTGAACATCATAGAGCGTATTTAAACAAACCTATATGGTACAGGCCATCATGCACCTAGGTTATATGGTAGAGCATATTGTTCCTAGGTTACAAACCTGTACAGCATGTTACTATATTGAATGCTGTAGGCAATTGTAACACAATGCTAAGTATTTGTGTATCTAAACATCTCTCACCATATGTTTAGAAAAGGTACAGTAAAAATATTTAGAAACGTTTAAAAAATATTTAAAAATGTTTAGAAAAGGTACAGTAAAAATAATTCTATAGGAACACCACTGTATAAGCAGCACATTGTTGACCAATACATCATTATGTGGTACATAACTGTATATATGATAGAACTAAATAATTATTTGTAATGGTATGACTTAAAATTTTAATTAGTTACCTGCAATCATTCTAAAACACATTCCCTGATGAATTCAGGAAAGATTTCTATGTTAATTGTACACAAGTGATCAATAACATTTCTTTTCTGCTTCACTGGTTTTTAAAATATTTACTGCCAACATTAATTATCTGATGCATGCTCATCTCATTAAAAGATGTACTGGCTCACTTGCTTTCTTTCTTTCTGCCTGTAATATATTGTTTATGAATGAGTTCATATTCTAAGTTTACAAGTTTAACCACTTCTTAATACAATATTGGGTCTAAAAAACTTTTAAAAATATATATTTCTTGGTGTTTCAGTTTTTAATCTCTAATTTTTGCAGGAATTTATTATTGTGGTTCTTAGATTATGTCTATATACAGTAAAATCCTAACCAACCTAACCATGTAGCTAAGTTAATAATACCAGAAATTCAGAACTTAAAAACAGCAAATTGGTTGTTTAGTTGAATTTACTGTTAGATAGAACTGGCTTGTCATAGCATGCTAAGGCTGGCAGGAACAATGGCCCCACATCTTTGCCATACAACAATTGTCTACCATCCTTTAAAGAAAGTCATTTAGCCACTGCAGAAACACTTTCATTGGTGATGTGTGAGGTGGTTCATTCCAATATGAAGTGTTCTATCATTAGAAACTTCTGCCTTGTATTGAACAGAAACTGCTTTCCAACTCTTAATTCCGATCTTTTAAGCAACTCAGATTAAGTATGTTCCCTATTAGAATCCTTCATATACAGTATGTGAATACAGCTAGCAAATCGTCTTTGCTCTAAGCAAAACTTCTTCTGAAGATGTGCTCCAGACTCTAATGCTTCTGGATATAGAAATTTGGATACACTCCAATTCGTCATGGTTTCCCTTGATAAAATGCTGTGTCCATACATGTGCGCAGTACCCCCGGGCAGAACTCGGTAGAACAAAATTTAAACCCTGTAATGGTCCTAATTTTCATTAGACTGCCTGTGTTGTTTATACTAGTTATGTCCTATTGAAGATTCATACAGAGTTGTTGCTCCATTAAACACACTAATTTTCAAAGGAATTGCTCTTATTGAGGTTTTTCCACATTTACAAAATTGATTTTAACCTAATACACAACGTTGCATTTCAACATTGTGTTAGTTTTGTCCGTCATTCCAACATACTGAAACAGAGTTGGTTTTAGAAGCTATTTCTGTCCATCGATTCTGTCAGCGAATCACCCTCTTCAGGGAAATGGTACTTACAATCAACAATTAGGATATTACATATGGTTTATTTTAGTGTATTCACACTAAGTCCTAATAATTCATAGTTTATGGATTTTTTATGTCCTAATAATCCACAGTTTATGGATTTTATGTTTGTATGAAAAATATTCCATTATCCAGTGTTGTAGTAAATGATTAGCCCATTCCACTTCGAAGATGTACTGAAGAGAGAATGAGGGAAGAAATGGAAACTTAAGAGTTAAATACGTATTTATACAGCTATTAACATAGCAGTATTGTCTCTGATCACTAGTCTTCCCTGGTTTATTTATTTCCTTTATGCTCCAAAAATGTAGAAAAATGCTTCAATTTTATTTTTGTCTTCTTAACTATATTCTCACAACTTTTATATCACACTACTATTATGGTATCTTCATATCGACACTCTCCATTCAATTCGTTTTAATATTATGATGGCTTTTAACTTTTTCATCTATATTGGATTAAATAGCTTTCTTAACCTCCAATTCTAATGTATCGTATGATTTGCTACTTTTGATGAGTACCTACCTTATAACTGACCGGAAGGTCTTGACAGTCTTGAGAACATCCACTGACTTTCTTACTCAAACATTCATTTATATGGCAGTTTCTCTCATCTGAACCATCGCCACAGTCATCCTTATTGTCGCAAAGACCTCCACTGGGAATGCACCTGCCATTTTTGCACATAAAAAATGAACTGTTGCATGACTGTTCTGGAAAAAAAATAAAACAAATGGAACATAAAGGGCATGCCATTGTTTTATACTACAGTTGTTGAAAACATTCACAAATATCATTAACTCAGGTGTCAAAAATCATAATATAAGTTTATATAAAATCTTTTACATATTCAGTATAATATCTTACACCTAAAGTTCAGAAAACCAAGGGCAAACTGTACTTTCATGTTCAATACTTATTGCAAATATAGCTTGATCATGAAAATTAATTATCAAAATAAACATCCATAGTAAAATTAATGAACTATTTCTGCCTCCTCTATTTTGTGAAGAATGAGTTCAAAAGTTTAATGATAGTTTGACAATTCCCTCAAGCCATAGGTCTCTGAGAAATTATATGTCACTAAAAACTAAGAATCTAGAATAGGTAGATATTCCTAAATTCTTTTCTTCCTGGAAATATAACATTGACATTTTGAAGTCAGGGTATAAAACAGATATCAGTGGTGAATAATAGCTGTTCCAAATACAGCTATGGAAAATAGCTGGATGACTTGAACAATACTCACCATCATACATGCTAAAAGAAAGCCCATTATCATGTAAAGTCCATGAGAAAAAAATTATTTGAGTATATTCTGTAATATGTGATTATATATTTAGCATTTGGAATAGAGAAGTGATAAACAGACCAAGTTTTTAATATATGTATATTCAAATGATATGCAATGTTTCATCTTGCCTAATTATGAATAATACAGACTACTTCACAGTAAATTTTAACTTTTTTGCATTTGAATTTTCAAATAGGCCAATACAGTGAAATTATTCTTATATAAAATAATATATGAAGATATAATGAATTTTTGGCAGTGGGGAAGACAGGATGGTGAATTCAGCAGTACCACTGCCTCAAATCTTTATATTTTTGGCACAGACTTAAATTTCCAAAACTAGCTTCTCACAGAGTCAATTACTAGTACCCTGCATGGTGTCACTAGAAACATCACATGCTTAATAATTTGCATTTTCTCTCATTGAATACTATACTAGACAGAAAATCACAATTTTTCCATTGAAAACACTTTAGAGTAAATGCGGTATTGTATATATTTCTGTACCTGCACTTTTACACTTTGGGTTTAAAGGTGCTTCATCAGAATGGTCAGGACAGTCAAAGTCTCCATCACACTGCCATTGAGTATTTAGAAGACACCGCCCATCAGCACAACTAAATTCTTCTGTACCACACTGTCGATATCCTAGAGACGCAGAAAAAACATTTGACTAATTCACATAACAAATACTAATTGAAACGTCATCTCCTCAATGTACACTACACCGGATTAATGTGGATTACTCATGTCTCCCATGAGAAATATTTCTCATTTCTTTCTGTAACAGTGGTTATAGTTGCAAGAGATGTTTGTGGTTTGGAAGTAGGAATATGGTCCAAAAACTCAAGTTGGAAACTAACATTCTTATTATTTCAAGGTGAAGAAATAAGAAAGTGACCCTTGACTATACCATTTCTCTTCACCTATTATCTAGATCATAATATCTCTTAGAATGGAAAATGAAAGTGAAAGCTATTAGAATTAGCTTGGTTAGGTATAGTACCAGAACATATGGATAAACTGATTCTGAGCTATAACGATAATTCTCAGAAGCTCTGATATCATGTTTATGTTTAGAAAGCAGCACTCAAAGTGTAAAAACATTGTTAAAATGAGAAAAATTTAAAAGTCAATTTTAGAGCAATAAGCACAAAAACTATTATAATTATCCTACATCTTGATTCTTAGAGTCACTAAAAACTTTATTCAAATTACAGAAAAAACATCATTTGGTAAAAGTTCATATCTATGCCTATTTGTAAATACAACTTATTTGATTTTCAACATTGTTTTATAAGAATTTTTTCTAAGTTTGTCAACTATAAAAACAGTTATTCCTAGTAGAACTTTCTGATAAATATGGGTAAATGCTCTGTTTTAAGTGGGAGGGGGTAAGATTTTTATGGCTTAAGAAATAAACACAATTCCAACGGAAAATATACTCAATAATGAATATTTAATTTAAATTATTATCATATTGGAATGGTTAAACTAGATAGTTCTAAAATAGCCTTAGCTACCCTAGTATTTCTTCGCTCTCTCTCCTCCTTCATTAGTTCCTTCTTCTCATTTAACAAATACAGTGAAGTCTTATCCAGTCCAATAACAATAAAAATCTATACACCTCTTATCAGCACATTTCTTGTCTCTTTATTGCCCAATCTGGCTTCCACTTACTTGCCTGCAGTTCATCTCTGATCAATCAACATTTCATTTCTCTGACCTCTATCTTCTGAAACTCCTCTTAGAGATAACAAACACCAAGTGCTAAGTGTCAAATTCTGGATCTTGTCCTCCTATTTACTTCACCTTTTAGCAACATTTTATGTTTCTGACCACACTACCTTAGAAAGAGTTTCCTGACTTAATAATATTCACAGTCTACCTTCCTGGACTTCTTTCCAACTTTGATCTTGCTGTTCCCTTCTTTTCCTTCTGTATGAAATCCTCTCCTGTTCCATTCTAAAATATTGCCAGGAAAGCCCTAACTTCAATCTTCAGTCTTTATTTTCCTGCCAGCTTTAGGCTGATGGGTAGAAAATTAATATTACTTATCCTCGTTGTTCTTCTGATCTAGAATTAAATTATCACACAGTCACTATATAGCTTTATGTGATTGTCTGATTAACACCTCATATTCAAAAGATCCACAATAAAGTCTTTATTACATCTCACATCTTATTGACAAAATTAACCCTTAACCTCTTGTATCCCAACATTCATTAACAGCAGCACCAATCACCAAGTCATCCAAGCTAGAAATTCCCTTTTATCCTCCATGTCCTACTGTAAATGAAGTCTGACACATTCTGTACCTTCCACTCCACCATTCCCAACCTCGTTCAAAACCACGTCATTAATCATCAGAACTATCACAATAACCCCCTAACTAGTTTATTTCCCTCTATGGCTCCTTTGCTCCATGGCAGTATTTCTCCCACTCTGGTGAAAAAATATGGTTCCAAAACAAAAATGTGACTGTAACATTTCATTCTCTTGTTTCAAAATGTACACTGGCCTCTGAGAGACAAAATAATTAAATACAAATTCTCTAACACTTTATTTCAGCCTTTTTCAAATCTAACTTCATCTTTTTAAATGTCCACTTACCTAACAGAAGACTAATTGCTATTCCTCGACCATCTCAATTTACAGTCTTTGTAAACACATATAGAATTTACTGTTCCTGAAACTGCTCTAAGAACTTTACAAATATAAATTCATTTAATTCTCTGAACAGTCCTAACATTTAAGCCTTTTTATTAAACATACTTTACAGATGGAAAACCGAGGCCCAGGGAAGTGAAGTGACCTTTTCAAGGTCACATAGCTAGTAAACAGAAGATCCAGGACTTGAACCCAGGCTCTCCAGCTCTGGAGTTCATGCTATTAACCACCACACACCACGCTCTCTAGCATTACACAGGATTTCCTCTTACTAACATTCCCTGCTTCTATTCTTCAGTGCCTACCTCAAGAACGATTCTTCTCAGCTCTGATCTCATTGTGATTCTTGTTTCTATTTGACATAATATGTTATTGTACTATATTGAATTTCTGTTTTTTCCATTCATCTGTGACTTTTCCAAGTGGGGCCTCTCTGTCTCATTCATCTCTGTATCAACCAAATATAATGTCTAGCAGAGGGGAGATATTCAATCAGATATAACTCTGCTTCAGATTTATATCTTGTGTTATGATGTAGCCTTTAAAATATCACATCAAATGTAAGACTTCACGCTGAAATAATCATAAAAACTGATATCCACTAATTTCAGTGAGATTCATATCAAAGGCCAAGGCTATAGACGCTGCACAGGGAGAACAAAGGCAGGCACTAAATCTGTTGCCTTCTATGAGCATATATAAAGTTCACAGCTTTTCATTACATATATTTATTCTTGTCTATGCATTCAGATATTTTACGAAAACATTAAGTTCACATTACAGTTAAACTTCAACTGAGCATTTTTAATATATTGATGCTATCATTAAAGTTGTAGGTTGTATAGATATTATATATAACATAGAAAAATATATGTAAAGGCAATATACATTTCATGATAATAATATTAAATTTTATCAAATCATTGAATACATCAAAACATAAAGGGTAGAAAAATATTAAGTATCCGGCTTTTCTGATAATTCTGAATTATGTTTTTTTTACTCAAATATTTGATTTGGCTATACAACTGAACAAGCCAGCCATATACTGTCTTCAAATTTCAAGTATTTCAAAATACGTTAAACCAAAGACATTTTTAATTTTAATTTTAATTTATTTATTTATGTATTTATTTTGAGATGGAGTCTCACTCTGTCACCCAGGCTGGAGTGCAGTGGCATGATCTCGGCTCACTGCGACCTCTACTTCCTGGGTACAAGCAATTCTCCTGCCTCAGGCTCCCGAGTAGCTGGGATTACAGGCATGGCCACCATGCCTGACGAATTTTTGTATTTTTAGTAGAGATGGGGTTTCCCCATGTTGGCCAGGCTGGTCTCGAACTCCTGACCTCAGGTGATCCACCCGCCTCAGCCTCCCGAAGTGCTAGGACTACAGGCATGAGCCACCGCACCCAGCCCAAAGACATTTTTATAAACATTTTCCAATATTACTGATGCAAATATACTGCAAACAGGTATGATTTCCAAAGAAATGTATTATACTAGAGCTTAAATAAGTTATATGTGCTGTGATTGTGTATTACTGAATTCACTGGGTGTTGATGACACTAAGAAATGTGTTGCTTGTTGCTTTAGTTTTTTATTTACATACTAGTTTTGAAAGACTCTTAGCCTAGGAATCTCCTTCATGAAGTTTTAGATGTACTTACCACACTGCGGTGACTCATCAGAGCCATCTCCACAGTCGTCATCATGGTCACAAACAAATTGCTTGGGAATGCATACTTTATTATGGCACATGAAAGCATTTTCATCACATGTATTATTGGGAGCTAAGAAAGGCATCACAAAAAATAAAGTTAGATGAGCACATATGTTATCTTCCCCTATATTAGGAGCTTGGGGAATATATAAAATCATATCCAATAATTCATAGTTACTGAGAAAAAGAAAACTTTGCATAATATTCAATACATCAGATAAGCTAATAATTGCATATGTATTTATATTAGAATGTCTGAATATAAATACACATAATTCAAGGATTTAGTATTCATGAATTCAACTATTCCAGAGTGACCCTGAATTCAAGCCATGTAGCGATTTTAAATTTGCTGAAGGATGAATTCAAATGTTCACATGTTAGAAAAAATATCTCAGCTAATAATATTCTAGGCTTTTTTCCTTTACTTATGCCTACAGTAATGCTGGTAAAGTAATAAAAATGTTGTTTCCTTGTGAAAAATAGACTGGTAAAGAGCAATGCTAATGTTCATAAAGGAAGTGAAAAGAAAACTAAGAAGGTTTAGAATGTTATTGTCTTTAAAAAAATAAAATAAAACTTTTTGGTGACTTCTAGAGTGGGGTGTCCAATTAGGTAAAGGTAAGATCTTTGATGTCATCAGCCCCTCCGTAAGTACCACACAAATGAAATGGAATATTGACCCTTTAGGAATATTGATCCATGAAAGCAATGTTCCAACAAGTGGAAAAAATGGTTGATCCAAGTGATCAAAATTTCAGCAAAAATTCAAAAGAACATAACTAGTGCAGAGAAAGAAAAAATTAATACCATACGCATAGAATCATAAGAGGTTTGCAAGACTCATTTAAATATTTTCAGTAATCTTTGCATATATTTAAAAGGTAAATGCCATGTAGGACTCAAGGTTTGGGGTATTGCAAATAGCAATAATCCGCTATATGCTATTGTAGAATGCTGGAAAGAGAAAGACTTTGCAGAAAGTGGCTGTGGCACTTATATTTGTATCCTTAAGGAAGCAATTTACCTTCTTGGTGCATCTGTTTCTTTATCTGTTTAATGGGGATAATAAAATGTATCTGATACATTTCTTATAAGGGCTAGATAATGTATGTGAAGCAGATTTGGCTCATTTTAAGTATTTAATACATGTCTAGGTGCTCTTTAAACTCCTATTTATATAATAATTATTTTTGGCAGATTCCTCAAAACAGTTCACTACAATATTGTGGGAATTCAATAATGCAAATAACAGCAACAATTACAATAATTGATATGTAATGGGTACTTGAAAAACTTAGGTGCCTTCTATTTCCCAATTCCATGTCTTAATAAGCACTTTTCTCTACATGAAACACCTTTCTCTTTCTTTGTCCCTCAAGACTCAGATAATATTATCACTTTTTCTTGAAATCATTTCCTGAGGCATTTTACATATTAGTAGGATATTTTACATAATATTTCTTTGTGATTGACATAGTATATTTTATACACATCACTTTAACACTTAAGATACAGGTATTATCATTATTCTTTCACATTGCCTATAGCCCCCTCTCCCCAGACTGCCCCAGGCTCCATGAACAAATAAATCTCTCCCTTTATCTCAGAAATTATTGACATAGTGTAGGTAACACATAAGGGTTTTTAAAATATAATCAGGCATAATTTACTTTTAACAAAGATTTTTTTAAAGCTGTATAGAAGCCACATAGAAGTAGCATGAACAATTGCCTGTTGTAATCAGAGTAAAACTCTGATTTTACTAACTCCTCTTAAATTTGAACTGTATGCCAGCTTGGATAACTCAGGTGAATTACACCAATTCCGATACATGGATTAATCTTTAAAACACTGAGCAACAGTGACTTATTTGGCTTTAACACTTTCAGATCACTTGAGTACAATTTGCTGCATTTTAACGGAATGTACTTAATAGTACCCTTGTGGTACAAACGTGTTAATATGCCTCCCAGAGTGTTAACTTGCTACAATAGCAACAGCATACTGGGACCATCTGGATCCCTGAATTGATGCATAATCCTTTATTATGTAGCCCTCAGTGGCCTCATTGACCTTTACAGACACACATATCAGTTTCAAGATCAAAGTGAATTATTCTACAACAATAGTATGAGTTCTGTGCAAATAGGTCTGCCTCGAAGTTTTCTTTTTTCTTTTCTACTTTAACTATTCCTCACGTACATACCCCTGCACACACACACACACACACAAACACACACACACACACACACACACACAGACACTTATATTATGGCTTCAAATACAATGCTTTAAAGATGTGAAGGCAGGCCATTGGAGAGATGACTGACAGAACTCATTTTAACAAGCGGAGTTCGCAGCATTATTTCTGACAAATTGCTCAGCCCAAAGGATCCCCTATGTGACCTTGGGATCTGCATTCAAATATTCAGTCCCTTTATCCTCCTGATCATGCAAAGGAATTCATCTAAATTTTTACTGTTGAGTAATGCCCTGAAAATTTCCTGAGGTGACTTAGAGTCAGAAACTTAGTAAATTGTCTGACCTCCGAAGGTGCTCCTCTGATCCCTCAGCTTCATTCGGCTATATCCATACTATTTTTACATGACCCAAGGGTTAATACCCTATCCATAGGACTAATAGGTGTTTACTGACCTCCTGATCAGTAGTTATTTAGGATCAGAGAAGTCATTCACAGAGTCTCTGTAACAGACAATCTAAAAGCCTTCAGAAGGATGGTGGTGGACGACGCAAAAGAGAAAGTACCAAACCTACTGCACTCGTACACATAAAGTGCAGTTACATTAGCTGAGAAGTGAAATGATAAATCTGTGTTTATCAAAGTGGTTTTAAAATGGGTAATCCGACTGTGCATGTTTGAAACATTGAACAGTAGTTAAAGAGGTTGCAGAACTACTGTGATACCGTCATCCCACCTGATTAAGTCCAATACTACCTATGGGCCCAGGAACTAGGAAAGCAATGGGAAATGTGCTATGGCAAATACTACAAAAACAAATAACCAAGGATGCTGCAACAGTTTTCTTTGACATGCAGCCCTGGCCAGTGTTCATACCGCAGCCTGCTGTGGAAAGCTCATCGCTTCCATCTGGACAGTCCCTTTCACCATCACAAAGCCAATGTCGGGGCACGCAGGCACGAGAGCCCTGGCAGCTGAACATGTCAGCAGCACAGGTTATGGCACCTGAAACACAAAAACATAATGCCATTAAGATTACTCTGTGTCCACTGGAAAATGTCTACCATTTACATTTTCTACAGTAAGGGGGGAAGCAGAAGAATGTTGCTTATAAGGAGGCGATTGTAGTTATTGGGAATCATTAAACATCATTCTTCCCCTGTAGTTGTCCACACATTTTTATCTAAGAAGGCATTCTTTCCTAGCTATAATTGTTATATTTCTTAAAGCTACATGGTAGAAAATAATGTACTTTATCCTTGTAAAATGTGGCAAAGCATAGAAATGTCATAGAATTGTGAATACACTGAGATAACATTTCTAAAGGCCTGAACTAGAAAAATAATAGTAATTGAAATAATGCCATTTTTATTGCTTAATACGTGCTAAGCACTTAACATATTAACTCATTTATTCCTTACAATAAGCCCAACCCATAGAACTATTATCAGTATCATTTTACAGAAAAGAAAACTGAGGCTCGGGGAAGTTGAAAAGCTTGCAGAAAGTCACAAGTTGCACGCAATTTTGCATGCTCAACTGGGAGTCCTCTGGATCCTAAGCACCCTCTGAATCCTAAGCACCAACTTTTAACCACTCATGTCATTACTATTACTCTCCATCTTGTAGTACCAAAAAGTATAAATGCATGCACGTTCCATTTTTTTCATGCATAATAATTGGAATCTACCTTTGCTCTATCACTGCAATGTTTCTTTAGTTGCATGATAATGTCTTTCAAAAAAATGCTTGTTGACTTGGACTTTTAAGTACAAAGGGTTCCTCTTTCCTTCCCGTTATGATCATAGGGTAGCCATATGTCAAATGGCCCTCCCTCATGATATTTTCCTAGTCCCTGTGCAGTTACATACAATGAATGTTTTGAATGTTTTGTTTGTTTGTTTATAAAAAGTACCTGAGTGAATCAGTAACATGACCCTAAATCTCTTTTTTTTTTTAAATTTTACTTTCTTATGACCCAAAGTTGCCCAGAATTGATGCTAAAAAAGAAATTTGTTGAAGTGTTGAAAATAGTATATTATCTCCAGGAAGAAAATATAAGTGACTAGATGAAAAATATTTGTTTCTAACAATTGAAAGCAGTAGACAGTGTGTTTTAATTGGATTATCATTTATCCTCTTACTTTTCAGCCAGAGTTGTTAGGAGCAGAAAATTCTTTTTGAAGTAATGTTTTCAATATGGTAAGCAGTGGGGTATCAAAATACAATCCTCTAAGGGTCTTTTTTTTTTTTTTTTTTTTTTTTTTTGAGACGGAGTCTCGCTCTGTCGCCCAGGCTGGAGTGCGGTGGCGCGGTCTCGGCTCAATGCAAGCTCCGCCTCCCGGGTTCACGCCATTCTCCCGCCTCAGCCTCCGGAGTAGCTGGGACTACAGGCGCCCGCCTCCACGCCCGGCTAATTTTTTGTATTTTTAGTAGAGACGGGGTTTCACTGTGTTAGCCAGAATGGTCTCAATATCCTGACCTCGTGATCCGCCCGCCTCGGTCTCCCAAAGTGCTGGGGTTACAGGCGTGAGCCACCGCGCCCAGCCCCTCTAGGGGTCTTTTGCAATATAAACATACCTGTCCTTGACATATACCTTAGCCTGGAGGAAAGGATGAAGAGTGGATGTTGACAAATCCCCCCCGTAATCTAGACTTGCTTATTTAACTGAGGATCTATTTAATAGAATGGAGTTTAACATTTTATGTAGTACTGGAAGAAGTTAGAAAATAATCTATTAAATAAATGTACTTTCATTTAAAAATTATTTTGTTTGCTAACTAGTATGTCTTCAGTACTTTCTATAATAAAATTATCTTTCCACAGAAAATATTTTTATATTATTCCTCCTTATCTATCCTTTTTAAGCTTGCCATGAAACCATAAAGTGTCCTTTTTATTATTATATTCTCAATTCAATGCTTTGTATAACATTTTTACTTTTTAGCTTGAGATGTTTTTAACTGCATTTTTTTCTCTTAAGGAAGTTTTGATAAATGTAAAATTTCTTGTCTACTGCCATATTATCACTTTAATTTGTTCTCAAGGCAGTCATAATAGAAAGAGCCCCGATTTGGCAGTGGAGAAATCTAATTCTGTATGACCTTGATGAAGACTAGTGTCTGAATTACCCTATCTTTAAAATGATGGGTATGACTAGATCATTACTGAGATATCTCCAGCTATAAAATGGCATAAGGCTCTTTGCAGCTAATTTTCTGGCTCCCTTGATAGTATTCAACAGATTTTGTGTTAAGAACATGCCAAAACATCATAGTCAATTGGGAAGAAAATGGGCCAAAGAAAAAATTCATGACTTTATTTCATAGTTGCCACTGCCATCTGGAGATATACTGCCTTTCTCAGGGAAAAGAATCCCGAGGGAGAAGAAAGACAAGTTGATAAATTCCACTAGATCCATCTTGCACACCAACTCGGATAATAATATTTAATTGATAAGAGTCACTAGCCTATTAATATTTTGGAACCTGAATTCTGCTCATACCTCTGTCATAGTTAATTATCTGAGTGACCTCAGGAAAATGTATTAATTTCTGTGAGTTTCTCTTTTTTCATCTCTCAAAAGATGGAAATAAACTAGACCATGGTTTTCAAAATGGGACCCTTAATATTCCAAATCAGAATCACTATGTGCATATCAATAAAGAATGTGTTTACATCCTGCATCAGAATATTTTGAATTGGAAATTGGGAAACAACATTTTTAACACACTTCTGAGAACGATCTTTTGTACTCCAAAGGTTGAAAACAAGTGAGACGAATTATTTATAAAGTTATTTTCCTGTTCTAAAATAGGAGGTTCAGTTCATTGGCTGATGATTGGTCTAAAGCAGTATTTTCTTTATGTGTCTCAAGCTTGGTAGTTAGTACATAAAATACAGCTCATAATTAACGTAAATAAGCTCAGTATTTTGATTGCAGGTAAACATGTCCATTTTCTTATTAGTCTTTAATAAAAAAGCATTATTAGGACACTGACAATACTTCGACAAAGAAAGGAGGCAGGAGAAATAAAATCAGAAAAACCTCATAAATATAGTGTACATTGGTTATGTTGGATGATCATATTAGGTATACAGGTATATAAGTACAAATCTTTTTGTATCCAATTAATAGGTAAGGAATAACAAGATAAGGAAAAAAATGAAGTGGTCTATGATCACACAGCTTGAAAATGCAGATGTGGGAGAAGTCAAGTCTACATGACTTTAGAGACTTTGCCCCTATAATACTGTGTCCACTCAGAAAGCACAGTGTTATCAACGGGGCAGTTTAGTGTAGAGTTTAACAAAAGTCAAAAGTAAGATAATTTTAGAGATTGAAACAGTGCTCATCCTATTGTAAATAGGTAATTCTTTTATTAAATTTATTTTTAAAAGTAATAGCAAAGAGAAACAGACAGTCATCTAATTGATTACTGACTTTTTTTCTTTCACAGCTTTTTGATAGTGATCTTTCTATATTTGTCTGTTGTATAACTGTAAATGGTTTCAGCTGTGTAAATAAAAAGTAGATTTTGAGTGACTTAAATACAAGAAAGTAAATTGCCTACTTTCAAGAATATCTCCAATTTCATATTACTAAAGAGAACTTCAGTTGAGCTTGAATACTAAAAAATACCGCCTTTCTCTATATGTTTGTGACAGAAATAGCAGTCCACAACCCCTGAAATTTAAAAGAGGTGTTAAGTATACTAAAATCTATACATACACCTTATTCTATGACTTGGGTCCTTCTCTTCCTAAAAGAGGATGATAACAGCTGCCACCAAAGGCTGATGTAATGAGTAAAGAATATATAGCTACAGGTACAAATGCATGTACAGAAATAGATTAGATAGACAACCAATAGACATCTATAAAAATAGTGAAATTCTTGGCCGGTAAGAACAAATTTTAAAGACTAGCTTGTTTCCTTCTTTTACCCCTTAGGAAATTCAGTGAATAATTCTATTTAACTATTTGTTAAATATTTGTGAATATTACAAAGCAATCATACTGGGCTTGTAGTTGACATATAGTAGTTAAGTATAGATACGTGACACTAATACCTCTAATCTTATAAAGCTACATTTTAAAGTGCATTTTAATATCATATAAAATAGCCACTTTCCTTTACTTCTTATTTAAAACAATTCAGCAATAAGGATGAAAACAACACACACATATGCACATAAACAGCACGTGTGGCTTGTGGCAGTATAAATTAGTATACTAATTTTGGAGGGTAACTTGGTGGTACATAGGCAGCATAATGAAAAATAAGTTTGATTATTTGACCCTGTAATCTCAATCATTGATATTTGCTTCAAAGAATTCACCGAAAGCTAGAAATAAAATGTACAAATACATTTGTTGTGGCAATATTAAGGAAAAATACCAAATATTGAATAACAGCTTTATATATAAAAATATTAGAATAATGGATTGTCATGAAAATAATAAAAACAGCTACCTAGAAAGGTACACATAAATTTTATGTTAATTTTAATAAATTAGCAAATTTTGTGTATGCTATAAAATGATAGAGCATATATAATGCTTAAAAACTGATTGAGGACAGAAGATACACAACTTACCACAAATGCTGTCACTTTCATCTAACCCATCCCCACAGTCATCTTCTCCATCACAAATCCAATGCTTAGAAATACATTTTTGTGCGGAACAAGCAAATTGGTTCCAAGAGCAAGAAGAATCTAGGAAACAAACAAAAGGAAAAAAAAAAATAGTTTGAGACCGTCTTACAACAGATCCGACAGTGAGAAGATTCTTTCTTAGACTTTGCTAAAATCAACAATCCTATAATAAAAGAAGCCAACTTCTTCTTTTCTATGACAATTCTATAAAATTTTGGCATCAGCTTGCATATTCCCTCTGTGTTTCCAGGTGATACAACCACGATTTGTTCAACATGATTCTTATAAGGCTTGCCTTTGAGGTAGTCCTAATGCGGTCACTCTACTCCAGGTATATTTGTCTGTTATTATTATTTTTTGAATGTGTAATGCATAGATATAAAATATATATTTCTGGTATAGTCTAGTCATACTTTTTAACTTTAAATCTATCTTTGAGCCAAGAGAAAACACTTACGTCCTAAGTAAGGTAACAATATGGTGGACTAATCAGCAGATATGTTTGTTTTTAAAGGTGGGTGACTAAGGAGGTTATAGCTTGAAGACAACCTGACAGTTTTGTACGTAGCAACTGTGCTGATGTTTTTGTGTTGCTTCCTTGGAAACACTTGGGTTTGTTATACCTGACTAATAACACCTAAATTAATTGGCATAGTGGCTGGCTTTTTTATTATTAGATTATATTTTTATAATAATAACACACTCCATTTATTTCCAAAGCCAATTTTGTTATTGCTCTCCTCCATTCCCAGCCTCCCCTTCTACCCAGTATATTTGTCACTAGAAAACCTTCAAAAGTAAAATCCTTCTAAATTAAGGTGTTCAAAATATAAACTCTTGTAAAAATAGCAATTCTGCTTTTGATTTCATAAACAATTGCAAAACTTTGCATTTTCATTTAAAATGCTTAATTAGATGACCTGTGAAACAGAGAACATTAGAAAACTGGAGTTTGGAAAAAATAAAATTAAAGAAGATATGATCAGATAATGGCCAGTGTTCAGAAATTATGAATCCACATACAATATTTTGGAAGTTCTCTGTTAGTCTTGTTCAAAATCTGGCTCTAATGTAAAGATATATGGCATCTTAGTAAAATAAAATGCACCTTCACATTTCATGATGACATTTACTTTTAGGAGAGTTTGACATTTCACAGAAAATCCGTTTTTAATCTTTTTTCTACTCTATCTATTCACCACAGTGTATGTTATTTGTGCTAAATGTAAATAGTGAATATATACCTTGTTTTCCTATTGGAAATTTCTTTGATTTGCAAATCACAAAATCCATACATTTTAGAAACAAAACGTAAAAATGCTTTCTTAGTTTGACAATGTAACATGAAATAAAGTGTACACACACAGAAATTAGGAGGTAGAAGATGAAAGGCAAAAGTTTAAAGAAATAGAAGTTTATATATATTATTGAAAGCTATACATGTAATTAGTACAAAATTTCAGGATAATAATATTCAGTCAGCTCTCCACATCTGTGCCTTTAATATCCATGGATTCAACAAACTACACATCAGAAGTATTTGAAAAAATAAGATTAAATAATAACAATACAAGAATAAAATATAATACAAATAAAAACAATACAATAAAACAATAATTAACATAATATTTACATTGTATTAGGCATTATAAGTAATCAAGAGGTTATTTAAAATGTACAGGATGATGTGCATAGGTTATATGCAACTACTAGGCTGCTTTATATAAGGGACTTGAGCATCCATGGATTTTGGTGTCCACAGGGTGTTAGACCCAATCCCCCATGCAGATACCAATAATAGGTGGGGGAAATATAACAAGTAGCATGTGTCAAATCCTTATTTTTTATAGCAGAAAGCAAATACATCAGGTACCACCTAAAGTTAATAAATTAAGAAAAGGTATAACTTTATTATATCTATATTATAAACTGATGGAAGTAATTATTCAACAAAAACAGAGGTTAAAAGAAAAGTCTAGGACCAAAGAGTGTTAGTCTTCATTATAAGCTCTTCTGTTTTAATTTTAATCTTTACCATTTTTGTATTATTTAATAAAAATGAAAATTAATGTTAAAATCAGCTGACAATGTTTTGTATAAAATCCCTACATAAGAGAATACTAACATATAAGTAATAGTAAGGTTAACAAAAACTAAGCTAAATACAATGTCTCACCACAGTGGAATTCATCACGTCCATCCTCACAATCTTTCTGACCATCGCATATCCAGGTATTCAAAATGCATCTTCCACTAGGACAACTAAAATAATTTTCTTCACATTTGTGTTTGTTTTGAACTGTGATAAAATATGGAATGTCAAACAATTTCATTTTAGACTTCTGAAATATAGGTAGATAAATCATTAATACTCCCTAAACTGAAAGAGATAAATAACAAGTAAGCTTAAAAATAGCTAAGATTTTCTCCTAAAGAATGTCAAGGTTATGAAAATAAAGGAAAGATTCAGAAACTGTCCCAGAACAGAGACCCATGAGACATGATAATCAAATCCAATCCAGGATTGAGTCCTAGAACAGAAAGATTATAGTAATGTAAAATTGGTTTAAATTATAACAGTAGCACTTAGTTAATAAACATAAAATAAAGTTAAAAAATAGATACGACTCTAAATTGAGTGAGCCTAAGGCCAAAGAATAATATTTGGGTGGAAAATACTCTTAATTCCATATTCATAGCACAAAATAATAAAATTAATACATTGGTGTATCTTTGCTGGAAAAGTGTGAATCTAGTGTTTCTGTGGCCATCTATTTGGAGTATTCCTTAACAGGATTTAAACAATTATTCTGTATTTTAAGGAAGAATAAACGAGTTACACTGGCAAATCTGAAATTATTATGCCTTTCAGAATTATCATAAAAAAGTACCTGTATGTAAAATTATTTTGTAAATTATATATATTTTTTAAATTATGGAGTATTATCATTATTTTAACCTTCAAGAGTACATATAGAATACTATATTTATCTTTCCTTTTTTTTTTTTTTTTGTTGAGATGGAGTTTCACTCTGTCACCCAGGCTGGAGTGCAGTGGCACAATCTTGGCTCACTACAAACTCCGCCTCCCGGGTTCAAGTGATTCTCCTGCCTCAGACTCCTGAATAGCTAGGACTACAGGCTTGTGCCACCATGCCCGGCTAATTTTTGTATTTTTAATAGAGATGAGGTTTTACCATACTGGTCAGGCTGGTCTTGAACTTCTGACGTCATGATCCTCCCGCCTCGGCCTCCCAAAGTGCTGGGATTACAGGTGTGAGCCACTGTGCCCAGCCTAAATTTATCTTTTAACTGGGTGTCATCTGTTCCATTGCTCCTTCAGGTTTACATGATTTTACATGTTTGATCTATAGCCAAGCAGGAAGTAAACCCTAGTGTATATATCCCAATCACACTATAATGGTCTATTATGGCTATTTTAAGATAACAAAAATTGTAGGCATTTTATTTTTTATATGTTGACTTTGTAGATGTAATTAAAGATGAAAATATATTTTTTGAGTGAATTCAGCATTAAACCAAAACATTTTAGGATGCTTAGGATGTTTCCTGGATCTAATCTGAAGTATTTAGGCTGACCCATTGCTGGCTTCCTGTCTGTCTGTCTACCTGCCTCATAAGCCTGCATGCATGTCCCTTTCTTTCTTACCAAATATAAAAGTTGTGATTCTCTATTAGTGTTGAAAGTTAATTTTAAGATAACTTATTAATACTAGAAAGAGATGGAGATCACAAAAAAGAAAAATAAAATTTTAGTTTAATTAATATCTATCATATGCTGACCTCAAGATAATTTCAAAATTAACTACAGTCATACTGAGGTAAAGAATGTGTTGTTGTAAACAGAAAATTAAGAATCTTGGCACCAGTTTCGTAGAGCAGTGGTTTGTAGTTCTCCCTGAAGAGGTCCTTCACATCCCTTGTAAGTTGGATTCCTAGGTATTTTATTCTCTTTGTAACAACTGTGAATGGGAGTTCACTCATGATTTGGCTCTCTGTCTGTTATTGGTGTATAAGAATGCTTGCGATTTTTGCACATTGATTTTGTATCCTGAGACTTTGCTTGAAGTTGTTTATCAGCTTAAGGAGATTTTGGGCTGAGACAATGGGGTTTTCTAAATATACAATCACGTCATCTGCAAACACGGACAATTTGACTTCCTCTTTTCCTAATTTCTTTCCTTTATTTCTTTCTCTTGCCTGATTGCCCTGGCCAGAAATAAAAGAGGACACAAATAAATGGAAGAACAGTCCATGCTTATGCATAGGAAGAATCAATATCATAAAACTGGCCATACTGCCCAAGGTAATTTATAGACGCAATGCCATCCCCATCAAGCTACCAATGACTTTCTTCACAGAATTGGAAAAAACTACGTTAAAGTCCATATGGAACCAAAATAGAGCCCACATTGCCAAGACAATCCTAAGCAAAAAGAACAAAGCTGGAAGCATCACACTACCTGACTTCAAACTATACTACAAGGCCACAGTAACCAAAACAGCATGATACTGGTAACAAAACAGAGATATAGACCAATGGAACAGAACAGAGGCCTCAGAAATAACACTACACGTCTACAACCATCTGATCTTTGACAAACCTAACAAAAACAAGAAATGGGGAAAGGATTCTCTATTTAATAAATGGTGCTGGGAAAATTGGCTAGCCATATGTGGAAAGCTGAAACTGGATCCCTTCCTTACACCTTATACAAAAATTAATTCAAGATGGATTAAAGACTTAAATGTTAGACCTAAAACCATAAAAACCCTAGAAGAAAACCTCGGCAATACCATTCAGGACATAGGTAAGGGCAAGGACTTCATGACTAAAACACCAAAAGCAATGGCAACAAAAGCCAAAATAGACAAATGGGATCTAATAAAACTAAAGAGATTCTGCACAGCAGAAGAAACTACCATCAGAGTGAACAGGCAACCTACAGAATGGGAGAAAATGTTTGCACTCTACCCATCTGACAAAGGGCTAATATCCAGAATCTACAAAGAACTCAAACAAATTTACAAGAAAAAATCAAACAACCCCATCAACAAGTGGACAAAGGATATAAACAGACACTTCTCCAAAGAAGACATTTATGCAGCCAACAGACACATGAAAAAAATGCTCATCATCCACTGGTCATCAGAGAAATGCAAATCAAAACCGCAATGAGATACCATCTCACACCAGTTAGAATGGCGATCATTAAAAAGTCAGGAAACAACAGGTGCTGGAGAGGATGTGGAGAAATAGGAATGCTTTTACACTGTTTTTGGGAGTGTTCAACCATTGTGGAAGACAGTGTGACGATTCCTCAAGGATCTAGAACTAGAAATATCATTTGACCTAGTGATCCTATTACTGGGTATATACCCAAAGGATTATAAATCATGCTACTATAAACACACATGCACATGTATGTTTATTGCGGCACTATTCACAATAGCAAAGACTTGTAACCAACCCAAATGTCCATCAATGATAGACTGGATTAAGAAAATGTGCACATGTACACCATGGAATACTATGCAACCATAGAAAAGGATGAGTTCATGTCCTTTGTAAGGACATGGATGAAGCTGGAAACCATCATTCTGAGCAAACTATCGCAAGGACAGAAAACCAAACACCACATGTTCTCACTCATAGGTGGAAATTGAACAATGAGAACACTTGGACACAGGGCAGGGAACATCACACACTGGGGTCTGTTTTGGGGTTGGGGGATGAGGGAGGAATAGCATTAGGAGAAATGCCTAATGTGGATGGCGAGTTGATGGGTGCAGCAAACCAACATGGCACATGTACACATATGTAAAAAACCTGCACATTGTGCACATGTACCCTAGAACTTAAAGTATAATTTTTTTTGGTGCCAGTTTCATGAGTCTAAAGTAATAAGTGTCTATATTTCTTTTAAATACTTTATATAATTAATTTTTTTAATGTGAAAGACCTGCAGTGAGCTACAGTCAAATGCTCTAGAATTTAGGACATGCATAGCAAGAATACTCAACAAAACCCAAAAGAAGTTTGAAATCTAACACTAAGAAAACAGAAAAAAAAAAAAAAAAGAAAATTCAGGATTTGAAAGACAACATAGCAGGATTAAGAAAGAACTAAACAGAACTTTTGGAATTAAAAAAAATCACTGCAGAATTTCAAAATACAATTGAAAGCCTTAACAATAGATTAGACCAAGCAGAAGAAAGAATTCCAAAGCTTTAAGACTGGTCCTTCATATTAATTTTTTTCAAAAATAAAAAAGAATTTTAGAAAATGAACAAAGCTTTTGAGAAATATAGGATCAAGAAAAGTGATAAAATCTATGACTTATTGAGATTCATGAGAGAGAAGAGAAAGTATGCAACTTAGAAAACATATTTGATGGTATAATTCATGAAAATATCCCCAATCTTGCTAGAGAAATCAACAGACAGATTCAAGATAGCCAGAGATCTCCTGCAAGATACTGAACAAGACAATCATCCCCAAGGCACAGCACACGGTCATTGGGCTATCCAACATCAACATAAAAGAAGTTTGAAAGCAGCTACAAAAATTGGCCACATCACCTGTAAAGTGAAACCTAGCAGACTAACAACAGACTTCTCAGCAGAAACCTTAAAATCTAGAAGAGATTGGGGACCTATTTTTAGCATTCTTAAGGAAAATAAATGCCAGTTAAGAATTTTACACTAACCTCCATAGATAAAGGAGAAATAAAGTCTTTCCCAGACAAGCAATTGTTAAAGGACTAGATCACCACCAGATCAGTACTAGAAGAGAGCCTGAGGGGGTTCTTTGAATGGAAATGAAAGAATGATACTACCACAAAAGAACACATAAGCACACAGCCCATGAACCCTACAAAGCAACTACACAAATGACACTAAAAATCACCTAGCTAACAACACTACAACAAGAATAAAATCTCACATATCAATATTAACCTTCAATGTAAATGGCCTTAAAAGACATACAGTTGTAAACTGGATAAAAAAGCAAAACCTATCCTTCTGCCATCTTCAAGAGATCTATCTGACATAATGACACCCATAGGCTCAAAGAAAAGGATGGAGAAAGATCTATCATGCAAATGGAAAACAAAAAAAGAGCAGTATTTGCTATTCGTATATCAGATATAATAGACTTTAAACAACAACAGTAGAAAAAAATAAAGAAGAGCACCTAGATTCATAAAACTAGTACTTCTAGACCTACAAAACAACTTGATAGCCACAATAACAGTAGCAGAATTCAATACTCCAGTGACATCATTCGGTCAATGAGGCAGAAAACTAACAAGGAAATTCTGAATGTAATTCAACACTTGACCTATTGGACCTAATAGACATCCACAAAACACTCCAGACTACCGTAGCATATACATTCTTCTCATCTGTACACAAAATATACTCTAAAGTTAACCACAGGTGTGGTCATAAAACAAGTCTCAATAAATTTTTTAAAAATACCAAATTCTCAGGCCTCAGTGAAATAAAAATAGAAAAAGTAGAAATCAATAACCAGAGGAATACTCAAAACCACATAATATGGAAACTAAAACTTGCTCCGAATGAATTTTGGGTAAACAATGAAATTAAAGCAGATAACAAATGATTATTTGAAACAAATGAAAGCAGAGACACAACATACCAAAATCTCTGAGATGTGGCAAAAACAGTATTAAAAGGAAGGTTTATAGTACTAAATGTCCACATCAAAAAGATAGAAAGAGCTCAAATAACAATCTGACTGCACCTAAACGAACCAAGGAAAGAAAAAAACTAATCCCAGAGTCAACAGAAGAAAAAAACTAAAATCAGAGCAGAAGAAAATAAAATGAGACCCCCAAAACTATACAAGGATCAATGAAATAAAATGCTGGTTCTTTTAAAGGTTAGACAATGTTGATGGACCGCTTGCTAGATTAACAAAAAAAAAAGAGATAAGTCTAAAACAAGCACAATCAGAAATGACAAAGGCAACATAACAACTGATCCCACAAAATATCATCAGAAACTATTGTGAACATACTCTAAAATTTAGAGAAAATGAATAAATTTCTGGAAAGGCACAATCTCCCAAAATTGAGTAAGGAAGACATTGAAAACATGAATAGATCAATGAGTTCTAAAACTGAATCAGTAATAAAAAATATACAAATAAAAAAAGCCCTGGAACAGATATATTCACAGCCAAATTCTACCAGATGTACAAAGAAGAGCTGATACCAATGCTGCTGAAACTGTTCCAAATAATTAAGGAGGTGAGATTTCTCCCTAACTCATTCTATGAAATCAGGATCATCCTAATACCAAAATCTGACAAAGATACAACAACCACCACAGCAAAACTACAGACCAATATCCCTAATGAACATAGGAACAAAAACCTTTAACAAAATACTAGCAAACCAAATCCTGTGTCACATCAAAAATCTAATTCACAATGGGCAAGTAGGCTTTATTCCTGGGATTCCAGGTCGGTGCAACATATGCAAATCAATAAGTATGATTCACTACATAAACAGAATTAAGAACAAAACCCATGTGATCATCTCAATAGACACAGAAAAAGCATTCAATAAAATCCAATATCGCTTCATGATAACAATCCTCGACAAACTAGTCATGGAAAGAACAATAAGAGCCATCTGTGACAAGCCCAAAGCCAATCTCAAATTGAAGGTGCAAAAGCTGGAATCATTCATTGCCCCTGAGATCTGGAACAAAACAAGGATGCTCACTCTCACCACTCCTTTTCAACATAGTATAGGAAATCTTAGCCCGAGCAATCAGGCTAGAGAAAGAAATTTAAAGGCATGCAAATAGAAAAATAGGAAACCAAACTATTTCTCTTCACTGACATCATAAATGTACACCTAAAGACTCTGCAAAAAAGGCCCCTAGATCTCATAATCAAGTTTAGTGAAGATGCAAAATTAATGTATAAAAATCAGTAGCATTACTATACACAAAGTTCAAGCTGAGGGCTAAATAAAAAGCACAATCCCACTTACCATACGCAAAAGAACGAAACTGGACTCCTACCTCTTATCATATTCAAAAATTAAGTCAAAGAAGTTTGAAGACTTAAATGTATGATCTCAAACTATAAAAATACTGCAAGAAATCCTAAGAAATGCTTTTCTGGACACAGTCCTAGGAAAAGAATTTATGACTAAGTCCTCAAAAGCAATTGCAACAAAAACAGAAATTGACAAATGGGACTTCATTAAACGAAAGAGCTTCTGCACGACAACAACAAAAAAACTATCAACAGAGTAAACAGGTACCCTGGGAGAAAATATTTTCCAACTATGTATCTGGCAAAGAAAAAATATCCAGAATCTATAAGGAATTTAAATAAATCAATAAGAAATAAAAAAAACAAATAACCCCATTAAAAATGGGTCGAGTATAGAAACAGACACTTCTCAAAAGAAGACATAAAAGTGGCCAACAAACACATAAAAAAGTGCTCAATATCACTAATCATGAGAGAAATGCAAATCAAAACCACGAGGTACCATCTCATAGTAGTCAGAATGCCTTTTGTTTAAAAAGTCAAAAAGTAAGATGTTGGTGAGGTTGTCGAGAAAAAGAAACACTTATACACTGTTGATCGGAGTGTAAATTAGTTCAGCCCCTGTGAAAAGTAGTTTGGAGATTTCTCAAAAACTAAAAGTAGAACTATGATTTAAGCCAATCTCATCACATACTCAAAGGAAAATAAAGATACATGCACTCATATATGTTTATTGAAATACTACTCACAATAGCAAATATATTAAATTAATGTAGATGTCCATCAGTGGTGCACCGGATAAAGAATATATGGTACACATACACCATGGAATTCTATGCAGTCATAAAAAAGTGAAATCATGTCCTTTGCAGTAACATGAATGCAGCTCAAGAGCATTATCCTAAGTAAATCAATGCAAGAACAGAAAACCATATATCACATGTTCCCAGTTGCAAGTGGGAGCTAAACATTGAGTACACAACGAAGTAAATATGGAACAATAGATACTGGGGACTCCAAAAGGGGAGAGGGAGGAAGGAGGCAAAGGACTGAAAAACTATTAGGTACCATGTTCACTAAATGCGTGACAGGATCAATACAAGCCCAAACCTCAGCATCATGCAGTATACCCAAGTAATAAGCCTGCACATGTCCACTCTAAGTGTAAAATCAAAATTTAAACAATTATATACATGATAAAAGAACCATCACAAATTTAGAAATAATAAATGTGTCATCTACTAAAAAATCAGACTTTCATAGTAGATTGTGTGTGTATAAACTTTTGTGTAAAATACTTATGAATATAATTTCTTAAAATTGTTTAAAAATTATTATATATCAACTAAACATGAAAAACATGGGTGTAGCAGCAGGGTGGAGAGAGGCAAACCAATATGAGACAAAATTTAATAGTGTCCTATATAGAATCTCTACTTCCAGTTATACATAGTTCTTTTTATAATTTTTTTTTAATTTCATGTCCTCAAATAGAAAGAAACAGTCAAGAACTTTGCTGGAAGGCATTCTTCTAAGAATGTAGATGACAGTTTTCAGGGCTTATGTATGTAAAGATGGTTAACAGTCAGATATAAATGAACCTGTCTTAACTTGATTCAATAATGATTATAACTATTACTCAAATTACTACACCAAAGGATTTTGTAAACTGCATTAAAACATTGCTGTACAATAACACTGAGTAAGGCCAGTCGTAAGAAACATTGTTTCTCTTCTTTTATGAAGTTATTTCTAGGTATGTAATAATTCTGTTGAAGGATTATAAATTACAAACTTGAAAGACTTAATCACCAATTTTGAAAGGGTTAATAACTAAACATAAAAAATTGATCCAAGTTTAGGATGGTTTCTTGAATATCATTTTGTAACTCACTTAAAAAGATCAAGCGGTATGTTTAGAACAGGTTAATTACATTTCAGTCTGTGCCATTTAAATTTTAATGTCAATAATTGATATTAAGAATAAAATTTTAAAAATTCACTCTATACAACCAGGTAGCCTCAAAATCTCCAAGGCAAAGCCTGTGTTTTTCTAAATTCTAGTATTACCTGGGCACTTTAATTCATCTGAATAGTCTCCACAGTCATTAGACCCGTCGCATATCCAGGTTGGCAGAACACACAGTGAGGTAGAATTACATCTTATGAACCCTGTGGTTTTCACTCCAAGCTTATAGAAATGTGTGCAGTCTGTGTTATCTAGAAGAAGGTAAACAAAAAATGAAAAAGTACCTCATTTTCAAAGATTATGAGCCTTCTATGTAGGTCATAGAGATGAGAAAAGTTAACTTCATTTGAGGAAATAGATACGTAATTATCCCACACAACAGGGGTTAATTACATACCAATTTTGGACAAAGTTCAGTAAAATCTTGCACAGTGTTCAATGCAATGCCAAAAGTGCCCAAGCATAAACAGACAAAAGGTAGTGGAATATCTTACTGCAGTTCTTTTCATCTGAAGCATCTGCACAATCTATGTTCTGGTTGCATCGTGCTGATCTTGGAATACAAGTCCCATCTGCACAGCGGAACTCAACCGTGGCACAGGTTGAAACTAGAAAAACAGGTACATAAACAAATGCAAAGATGGGACAGAATGACTCCTTGCTTTTACATTTTGAATATTTCAATTATTTTATATAATTTTGTTTGGTTTTGCTTTCGTAACTCTGGGAAGCCAAACTTGACCCCTGAACCCCACCTTCAAGCGTGGGTTAGATGCCTCTTATATGTCTTCCCCTATCACACAATTCTTCTCTCTGTTGTGGTATTTAGCATATTGCATTGCAGCTGCCTGTTTAAGTACCTGAAGTCTCACTAACTAAATGTAAGCTCCATGAGAGCAGGGACCATGCTGTGTTGATATCATATTGCTGTGGTAATATCACCCTAGCACTGAGCCAAAAAAAAAAAAAAAAGAATGTTGCTGGAAATTCTCTCTCTTTCCACCTTCAACATTCCAAGGTTATGACAGTAGGCAAATGCCTGATTAAATGCCTACTGGGAAATCCCAACCTGGTTGCCAAGAAGTAAAGCATTTCCTGCTATAATAGAGAGAGACAGAGATAGAAACAGAAACAAAGAGATGGGCAGGGGGGAACCACTGAACACTGACTTTGTTTCTCAGAGGGAACAGCTTACCACTACTAGAAAGTCATCTATGCTATCTCATACTCTGTTACATGGCCATATCATCATTAATATTTAATATAATAAATAGGATGCCTCATGTCAAGGAACATATACACGTGTCATTCCTTATTATTGTTATTATAAAAGTCATCCAATTCTCTGCTCTACTTAAATGAAAATTAGATTCAATATGCTATTGTCATTATATACATTTTGTATAAAGTATCTTATTTTTAACCATATGTTCCTTTCTAAGTTGCTTACCCATTGATAATCATATAGTGGTTTCCAGTAAAATGCTGTGAATGGGTACATGACATGCTATGTATGTTAAATTAACTTAGGTGATATTTCTATTCCAAATTCAAATTTCTACAAGTTGATTACATTAAAGGACAACCAGAAGGGCCCTTTGATTATGCCACTTTTACTAGTGTTGATATTTTAAAGAGCCTATTTAATTATAAATAGAAATTATATCAATCACAAATGGTTAAAATGCTATTTTAAAATACGCAGATTTTACAAAAGGGTGTGTATGTCATTTGTATTTCATAATGTATGGTTCTTATTATATTGAATTGTATCTCAAAATTGCATACTTATCTGTTTAAATGATGATTAGAATAAATGTTTTATTTACAATTTGCAATTATAATTGCTTCACTTTTTTATTAAAAATGATAACACAACATGTGAAACAGATAATGCTATTGTAAGTAGAGATAAATGCATTGTTCCAAAACGGAAAAAAGTTTTTTTTCTTTTATGTCTATAAGAGCAAAACCTCTTTTATATTCATTTGTGTTACATTTCATATTCAATTTTTTTCAATAGAAATAGTAAATGCAATATATAACATAAATATAATCATGTCAATCATTTACCTTTTGTTTTTGGCTTCACTGTCTACTAGTAGTTTCTTACTAACTTTGTTCCGAAAGATTGCTTATAATCTCTTTTTAGAAGACAAATTGCATTTCTCTGTTTAATAACATTTTAGGTAGTTATGATATTCCTAAGTAAGCCTATAATTGTTCATCTCATAATGCACTTGAGTTTCTGTCTGCTTGAAGTTAGAGTTTAGGATGCCAGGAAGATACTAATAGGGACACTTGCAACTCGTTTCACCATCACAATCTGCCTCCAATCTCCCATAGAGAATTCTCTGTCTGAGTGAGAAGTAGTGGCAGAGACAATGAGGAGGCAAATGTAGGGAATGGCATTTCAGACAGTCAAGAAAACTGGAAATTCAGCGATTTCACGTAATAGCGTTTTAAAAACCAGCACTGGTAGTTCTGAGGTAACAGAGAAAGTAAAGGATAACTTGAGAGAAGAGTGGAAGGACATGTGGGACAAATGGAACACAGTCTTAGATTGAGTTCTGGAAACAAGAAAGAAATAGAGGACCTTGAACTACATGAAAATAAATTTTAACTTTGAAGTTCAGAAGAGCGGTTAGAAAGTAGTAATTTAAAAAACTGTATTAATAAGCATAAGGAAATAGATAAAGGAAGAAGTTCGCAGGACAGAACAAAGAGTAGAAGATTTGCAGGATGTATTTTTTTTTTCCTATTTTCCAAAATAACAATAGGGCTAATGAATCTTTGGGAGGGGGACAAGGATGGGCTATCAGAGTGTGTAAGAGGTGCAAGTAGGAACAGATTGTCCCTTTGTACCTGATCCTGTCTCCACATATTGCATTATTTGGTGTAGGGTTTGAGAACCACCAGAGAGTTAGACAGGGTGATGAAAGTTGTTGCAGAGTTTTGTAAGCAGTAGGAGCAAGGTGACTGTGGGGATTAATATTGCCTTCATTAACAGGCAAGGAAGGAGAATCCTGTGAGGAAAAAAAAAATCTACAGAAATAGTAGGAACTTCATTAAATAAGTAAACACATCTCTTGCCAAAACCTCTTTCTCTCTGTTGCTTCAACTATATTTCATCTTCACTTCGTTGTGGTCAGTTAAGTATTGAAATTTGTTTCATCCATAAGGTGATTTTTGAGGAAGAAAGATACTGAAATCTCTAATTTGCCAAGTGAATATGAAAGTTTTCTGACAATATTTCCTCGGGCTAAGAGTCCTGATAAAGAGAGAAAATGAAATAATAGGGTCCAAATAAAGATAAGCCAAGGGAGAGATACTACACTTTTCCCTCCAGGTAGTCCGAAAGAAAAAGTAAGCTTATGAAACATGAGTGAAAACACCCTACAGCCACAGCAGGAATAGCAATGAGGCACTACAAAGGAAGAAGATCTGTCAGGGATTGTGGATCAAAAGTAGCAGCAAGAGAGAAAGTAAAACCACTCTCTCTAATATACTTTAATTTTACTATTTCTTCCACTTTCTTTTTAGCATGTCAGCTAAAATATTTAGTGAGATTTGAAAGACTTAAAAATCAATGGCCTTTCTGTAGTTCTTAGGATGTTTCTTATAAATAACCTAAGTCAATTCTCTCTTCCAACATCCCTTACCCAACTCGTAGCAAAGGGAAGCTGAAAAGGGGGGGGGGAAGCATTAAGTTTGCTCTCATATCTCCTTTTCATTTACTTTCAAACAACATCTTTTATTTAATTATTTAATTCACCCCTTAGGTTCTAAGGGTGCACAAATCTAGAAGGAATGCCGATTTCTTCTCCAGCTATGTTTATCCTTTTCCTTTAGCTTGTTGTTTATGGAATCTTTCAAAGGTTTGCTATGAACTTAGGAAAAAACAAATGCCAGTTTCCTCTCCTTTAGGGAGGATCAGAACTGCTAGTTCCCAGTCTACCTAAAAGTACTTCCATAGCCCAAAGAATTTCATGTACTTCCCAAAGGGAGCAGTCTGTACTCATCTCAGCAGGGAAGGAAGCATATCATGCACTCTTCCTGAATATATTCACTCGACCTGCCATGCAACCAGAAGAGGAGTACAAAATGACGAACTTATGAACAATGCCTCATCTCCCCACCTCCAGATGGCCTGAAGTCTAAAGCTCTCCTGTCATGAAAGGGCCTCTATAAAGGGGCAGTAAATTAAAAAAAATGATGAAGATTTGGCATGTTTCTTTTCCCCAAAAAGAGAAGAAACCAAAAGCAATTCATTGCAACACCCTTTCTACTCTGTAAACAGACTCTCTACTCTTGTGAAATTTAAAAAACAGTAATAATTACTACTGACATCTAAATTCAGCAAAGTATAATAGTACTTTAGATAATTTACAGATGGCTCCACCATAGCCTCTTACTACAGTCTATCAAAATCTCCCTGTATATACTGACTTCCAATTGTATCACTTTATCTTTTATATTTTATTTTGATTAAAAAGTGATAGGTGATTTGTGTGTCTGCATATATGTACAAAAAAGCACTGCATCTCTTCATTGCACTGACAATAGAAAGAGAGAAGGGGTAACTGGAAGAAAGGGCTTGGAAAGAGACCTCTTTTCCATTCTCCCTGAGCCATTATCTATGCCTTTTCCTTTATCATCTTTTTGTACTATAAGGGAGATATTTGGTGGAAACACATTTGCATAATATAAGTCTTTATCAGACAGCCCGGCTTATGGGTTATGGACCCAGGGAAGTCTTCCTTCTATATCTTGAAAGGTACTCTACAAGGACACTATGTTAATAAACTTAAAATGAGAGAAAAATCAAAACTAAAAGATTCAAGTAAGAGTAATCTTTCATCCAAATAGCTACCCATTCGTTTATCCTAAAGGAGCTGGTCCATTGAATTAAATTCACTAATTTCTATTAAGTAATAAAGTATATGCTTGTGTTTCCATGAGAAATTTTAGTTTCAAATGTCCTGCATTCAGCGTGACCAGCTTTAAGGCATAAGTTTTGCTTGTTTATTTTTAAGATATCCAACTGTTATAATTTTACCATAAAAGAAAGGTTAAGGGAGAAGCTTCATTTGCAAAGGCACTGTTCTGCGCCCAAGAGTATGACTGAGATAGTTATAACACAGAAATCAAGAGTTTCGACTAAAAAAGAGGAAATATCTATTTGAGTTATTTTATTGTTATTCAGCAGCTGGTATTGATATCATTAGGCAGAATAAAATCTATTTATATTTTAGAAGACTTACTGCTTCAACCAGCCACATAAGAATTTAATAAACACCTACCATACATGAGGTATTATATTTCATAAACCCAAACACACTAATTCATTTACCACTTTTGAAAATATACTTTCATTTCTGGAGAAAACCCATAGTAACATATCATCTTCCCATAGTTTCTTTTGATGAATCTTGCCTTAAAATCTATTTTCTGTATTTATTGCTCAGTTCCTGCACATTCTTTCTTGATAGCTTTACCTTTAACCTGGCTTAATGCCTATATTATATTTTCCTCTCCTGCTTACAAATAATTGACAGAACCTATCTATTTCTAGGTCTTCTCATTTCTTTTCCTCCTTTCTTCCAAATGCTAATTTATTTCTCTCCGCTTACTTCCAGTGTCTGACTATATTTGACTTTTTAAAATCTTTTATGGGTACTAGGTAACTTAATTGGCAAATGTAATTAGCTCTTCCTAAACTACAGTGTCAACCTTAGATGATAATCTATGCAAGTGTTTCCCCAAAGTCACACTGTCTAAGATGGCAGAGTAACTTCCCAACATTCCATACAGCTATGAAATAATTTGCACACATTCTGCCCTCTTCCTCAACTCTGCATAGTCCTCTCATCACAACTGTACTTCATACCTTTCCTTTACATCAATCTTTTCTAAAAACTGTTTACATTCACTGTCTTTACTCCCTTACCACCCATTTTCTGTCTTCAACCAACGTGCTCTTGCTTTCCTCTACTGTTCCACTGAACTGACACACATGAATGTCATCAAGCGAGTATCTACTATTGGCCAAATATGACGGATACCTCCAGTTCATGCCTGCCCTCTTACCCTTTCTGTAGCACTTGAAAATGCTGAATGATCCTCCTTTCTTGAGAAAATAATTTCTTAAGCATATCCCTCTATTAGTCCTGCAGGCTACTTCACCTTTTCATATATAATTTGTTATTTAAATAAGTAATTTTGATGCACTCTACTCATGCAATCATTACTCCACACTTCCTCTGAGTTTTTCTCCTTAATGAGCCCCAAATCAATACTTCTGATCAACATCTATTACCTGAGTTCCAAATCTCTACCTATCTACATGCCTGTGAAACAGCTTCATTTAGATTTCCTCAAGTGCTCCAATCTCAAAATGCAAACCATCCTTATTGTCTTATCCCCATTCCCACACAAACAAATCTTATTATTATAGGTTTCGTTAACACAATCCTATTCTTTTCATTCCTTTTTGAAATGTAAATTTGATTATATTTGGCCTGCTTTAAACCTTTAGTGACTTTCTAGTGACTACAAGAAAAAGTTTGAGTTACTTCACATGGCACAAAATGCACCTTCATGCCCTGGCTCCTTCCCATACCTTCTCTGTTTTTTGTTTGTTTGTTTGTTTTGGTTTTTTTGGGGGGTGGGGGGTATGGAGTCTCACTCTATCACCAAGCTGGAGTGCAGTGATGTGATCTCAACTCACTGCAACCTTCACCTCTCGGGTTCAAGCGATTCTCCTGCCTCAGCATCCCGAGTAGCTGGGACTACAGGCGAGTGCAACCACGCCTGGCTAATTTTTGTATTTTTAGTCGAGATGGGGTTTCACCATGTTGACCAGGATGGTCTCAATCTCTTGACCTTGTGATATGCCCACCTCAGCCTCCCAAAGTGCTGGGATTACAGGCATGAGCCACCACGCCTGGCCCTTCTGTTTTTACCACTCTCTTATATGTAATCTGTCTGTGACTATATCAAATTACTTTCAGTTTCAATGGTAGTCCCTCTACTTGGAATTCTCTTTTGTTTCATTCATTCTACCTTATTTTTAGTTTAAGACTCAGTTTAAATTCAGTATAGCCTATGAAACCTTTGAGGATACTTGCAAGCCAAAAAACAAAAAAGACATATGGGTGTTCTTACGTGTGCAATCACAGCACAAGATATATATATATATATATACACATATATATCTCGATCTGTTTACATGGCTGTCTTAGAGTTAGAATTTGATATTCTTGAGTACAGGCACGTGTCTCATGAATTTTGCGTCTCGAACCTTAATGCATTGCACTCAATAAAGTGTGTTCATTGAATGGCAAGTCTCTAAAGTGATAATGCTTTGGAAATATCTGTGGGGTCCAGATTTAAGAAGGCTTTCAATGTCAGACTAAAACTTATCATTTATTCAGCAAACATTGGTATTCCATTAAAAGTTTCTTTATCAATGCAATATACATATATATATAAAAGCCAGTGCTAACATAGCATACACTATTGCCAAATACTGTTCTAACCTTATTTAATATTGTTTTTCTTATTTAATTATTTTTTCTACCTTGCTATTTGGGAAACTGAGACACAGAATAGTTAAGTGTGATATCCAAATTTAGACAGTAAAGTGTTGGGGCAGCAGTTCTAACTCAGGTAGTTTGGCTTCATCATCTATCCTAATAGTCACTTTTGGAAAATGTTAAACAGTATTAGCATGACTGATGACATAGGGATGAACTGGAAAAAGTATAGGCAGGGAAACCAGGTAAAGGCATACTCTGTTAGCCCAGGCTTAAAGTGGATTGAAATGGAAGATATTTCAAAGAACTGGAAGATTTGTTGATGACTGGATATGTGGGAAGGAGAAATTAAGGAGAACACCAAAGTTTCCCGTCCAGTGGTTAGGAAAATGTGATCATGAGTAAAACAGAGAACTAAGGAATAAAGGGGAACATTTTTGGAACAGAAAATTCAATATTACACATTCTGGTAGAAATGTCCGAATCCAGGAAGGTGGAACTGAAGAGGCGAGAAATTATAAGAGTTTTAAGGGGAGGAAAGGAGTAGAAAACAGAAATGGAGAACACAGTCAGAATTTTCAAGTAACTTTAGCAACTCCATTCCAACAGCATTTACCAAAGTGTGATCCATAGATGTTACTAGGTGTTATATGCCACAGAGCTCTCAGAAACGAATGTTGGAAAAGTTCAGGAAACACTTAGCACACCAATATTCTGAGATTGATGGAACAAGTATTTACCTTTACAATCTAATTCATCAGAGTTGTCTCCGCAGTCATTTTCTCCATCACATAACTTGCCATGAGGAATGCAGCGGCGATTATAGCATGGCTTGAAGCCTCTTCGACAGCTTCTGTTTTCTTATAAATAAAAGTAGAAACACACAACCAGAGATCATATAGAAATATTTGTACAAAATGAAAATCACAGATAATATTTCATTCATAATGACTGGATTATGGATCTATAAAACAAGTGCTGTGCCATATAATAGCTCTGGATTAGAATGTTTATGTGTTGTCAAAGAGCAGTTCATTCAGCAAGGGCCCTTTTTGACTTAGTGTTTTAACTTTAGTGATTCATTCCGGGAGATCTTTTCAAGTTATACCCACGTTATTGTTTCTGGCACTTCTGTCAAGTAGCACAGAAATAAACATATATCACATATTCAATTCTGAAGCAATAAATATGTAACTCAAATGTAACAAAAACACACCAACATCCATTTCCTATATCCTTTGCATCTATCTGCAAGGATTTTATAATAAGGAAATAAAGCAACAAAGCACGTATTCCTGAATCAGTGTCTCATGGAGTCATCTAAATATCAATAAATTTCTCTTAAAAATTATCTTAAAATATCTACAGAATTCCCTGAGAAAGAATTACCTTCTGAGTTCTATTTACCATTATGAAAGTTTCTTGACATTCTCTGATTTGGGGCAGAAGCTACCACTTACAATAATAATAGCTGCCACGTATTAAATGCCAGCTTTGCCCCAGGCTCTGTATTGAGTATATGTAGATAAACACTTGCTGGTTTCATGCTCTCGACTACCATAAGAGCTAGTTGTTTCGTAGTGGAAAACCAAAACACAGAGAAGTGAGTTATGTTACTTACCCTAGTCACACTAGGGTTTGCAAACTAGGCTAATTACACTAGCAGGTTTGGGAACAAAGATTTAACCTCAGGTGTGAGTCCAAAGCCCATACTCTACACCTGGCATTGGCAAACTATTGCCCATAGGCCAGATCTAGCCTGTGAGACTGTTTTCGTATGGCTCTGGGACTAAGAATAGTTTTTACATTTTTAAAGGATGGTAAATAATAAACAACAGAGGATATGTGACAGAAAGCATATATGATCCACAAAACCTAACATATTTACCAGCTGAACCTTTACAGAAAATGCTTGCCAACTCCTGCTCTACACAAATATCATCTGACTTCTACAAAGATAAAAATAACATGAAATATAATCTCAAGTCAACTTATAGTAAATGCAAGCCTGTGACTTTATTGCAATACAATTTATATGCTTTAATATTTTTATATCTTATAGAATATAGCCATTCATTAAAGCGAATATGTTGAGACAAATTCTTTAAGACATTGGTTACACATCAATTATGGACAAATTACATTAGACTCTCATTTTAAACGATGGTGTGTTGTCTTGTAACGTAAAAGAGTGAGAAGATGTCTGTGGATCTCACAGATTCTGTCTTTCTCTTATTCTAACTTTTCTTTAATTATTTAGGTGTAATTATTACCCGGATAATGGAATAGAGGAGAAAAGCAGATATAAAATGAGGCAGTTTCAGATGTAGATTCCTAAATTTTGCATAGTACACGATCCCAATGCTATTGGATTTCTAGGATTAAAAATAAATCAGGACAATTTTTTAAAAATCTGGATCAAATATACAATGATTATCAATGATCATGCAAAGACATATTTCCAGGAAAAAATATTGTTGCAATGAAGGGAAATCTCAGTTGCTTACTAGAGTATAAAAGTTAATCTCTACTCCTGAGGGTAGATGTTGACTATCACTTGGTGTTGCCAAGAGAAGCATAGCTGGTGCAATTCTATGTTTGATGTGGACCATGCCTAAGGCAATGAGCCTTTGTACCAAAGGACACTAGCCCCCATGCTAATCCTGGAGACAGAAATAGAATCGACAAGACTTTGATAACAAGCCAACGATGTGCTATTGTCTGTTGGTGAAACTCTGCTTCAGAGTAAGCCTGTCCATATCCAAAAATCACGATGTTTCTGAGTTACATTTTAAAGAAAGTAAGCCTAAAACCTATTGCTAAAGATGAATAAGTCGGGGGTTCAAAAGATTAGCTACTACTTTGAAAAATATTCACATTCTGGCTGGGTGTGGTGCTCAGAATGTGAATATTTTTATTCACATTCACGGAGTGCTGTTATCCTAGCACTCTGTGAGGCTGAAGTGGGAGGATTGCTTGAGCTCAGGAGTTTGAGACCAGTCTGGGCAACACAATGAGACCCCGTCTCTTTAAAAAAAAAAAAAAAAAAAAAAAAAAAAAAAGGCTATTTTGTGGATAGAAAACCATGAGGAAATTATTTAGTGAATATCATGGCTATCAAACAGGAGATAAAGTACCTCATTTTAACACAAGCAAAGCCACATCAATTGCCTTAGATACAGGTTAATGAGAGACATTAAATAAATTATCCACGTAAACCACACCGAGACAAGCAAACCAAAAACTGTAAAGAATCAGAAAACTTTATCTGAAACGAGCAAACCCATATTGGACACTTACCACAGTAGAGCAGTTTTTCATCTGATTTATCTTTACAGTGAGGAATGCCATCACAGGTGAGCTGGTAGTCAATGCACTCACCATTTCCACATTCAAACTCCGAATAAGCGTTGCAGGAGGAATTTTTAGCTGCAAGAAAAAAAAAAAAAGTCAATACTTTTGTGCAATGGCAAATATTTTTTGACACCACTACAATTATTTTTCTTAATTTTAATTATAAAGATAAACTAAAATTTATCAAAATGTACAATTAAAGAGCAATGGTTTATGACATTTCTTTATGAAATTAAGATCTTAAGAAATAATTTTTTGGCCAGGCGCGGTGGCTCACGCCTGTAATCTCAGCACTTTTGGAGGCTGAGGTGGGTAGATCATGAGGTCAGGAGATTGAGACCATCCTAGATAACATGGTGAAACCCCGTCTACTAAAAATACAAAAAATTAGCCAGGCATGGTGGCACGCGCCTGTAGTCCCAGCTACTTGGGAGGTTGAGGCAGGAGAATTGTTTGAACCCGGGAGGCAGAGGTTGTAGTGAGTGGAGATCTTGCCACTGCACTCCAGCCTGGGCAACAGGGTGAGACTCTGTATCAAAATAATAATTATTATTATATATAAGAATATATAATATAATATATAATAATAATATAATAATTATTATTATTGTTTTTTAAAACAGCCAGTTAAATGAACTCTGTACATACTGAAAGTGTTTTTGTGTTTTCTTACTGGGATCTATTATATATTTTTCAATATACTACTATTTTTCAGTGCATAGAGTACCCATTTTTGAATGTTTGATGTGAATCATCTCAGTCAAATGAACAATCCGGACTTTTCCCCACCGTCTGGTCTTCCTCCCTAACTATCTTCTGATGAAACCTCAGTAGCAAGTTATATTGTTTGGAAATATTAGAATTGTTAAAATAAGTCACTTGTCCCATCCATGTGTGGGAGGTTCCCGGGAGCAGACTCTTTCTTGCTGCCATACATGATGAGCACCTACTCCATGAAATGTACAGGAATCAGTGGGATGAGGTGCAGGAGGACAATGGTCAAGTGGAAAGCATGTGTACCTGATGCTATGGACTCCAGATGACCGCTGTCAGAAAGTCACATTTCTAAATCTCAGAATTTTTATTAAAAATTAAGAGTTTGAGTTTTTAGGTGATTTGTCCTAGTTTGTAAGCCAAGAGTCTGAAAGTACAAAAAGTTATTTTCTACAGGTGAGTTTCATCCTTATAATGGCAATATGTGATCCCTATTTTGAAGGGTCTCTATTGAGGACAATGGACTTATTTTTATTATTCAGTAATAGATTTACTAGCAAATTTTGGGATCCAATTTTTGGGGTATACTGTCTGCTTGCATGTACGTACTCACCCCATTGCTTGCTGAATAATTGTACGTTTAAATCCAGTTGTATTAATTATGTTGGAGGTAAGTAGAATTCATTCATCTCTGCTAATGAAAGAATATAGCTTAATTCTATAATTTAGTATTAATTTTTGAGCTTTAGTTCAGGAATATTCAATTAAACAGCCACTAATACTATTTGAAGTTTCCAAGGTTTTATTTATTTATTATTCCTAGAATTTAATTAATTTAGTAGAGGGTCTATCTAAGGCTTCTTTTTTATTTATTATGTCAACCTTTATTTTAGATTCAGCAGGTACATGTGCAGGTTTGTTACATGGGTTTACTACATGATACTGAGGTTTAAGATATGATTGATTCTGTCACCCGGGTACTGAGCATAGTACCAATAGTTAATTTTTCAACCTTTGTCCACCGTCTTTCTCTCCCCACTCTAACAGATCCAGGTGTCCATGGTTGCCATCTTTATGTCCATGAGCATCGAATGTTTAGCTCCCAGTTATAAATTAGAACACGTGGTATTTGGTTTTCTGTTCCCGAGTCAATTCACCTTATTTATTTGACTTCTAATTTAACTCTCTCGATGATAACAACATGTTCCAAAGATATATTTCTTTTCTCTTGGTGCAGTCTAAACTTCATTGTTCAGTCATTAGCTAAGGCAGAATGTCATTTAAGACAAGGTAGCAAATAATTTAAAACAGAACAATATTAAATTAAAAAAAATAAAAGGGTGCTAATATTGCTAAATGCAATCATCTTAGCATAGAACAAAATTCAGCCACTTCTTGAAAGTCTATTGAGATTCCTGACTTATTTTTCCTATTTTAAGTGTATATTATTTACTGTGTATTTTCCAATGAAAAAATAATTGTTAGGATGGAAAAGTCCATTTTTAATCTTTTATAATCTTAGTGCCTTTGGGGAAAAGACAAAAACTATTCAAAGATAAATATGTTTTTTACATTATGCAAAAACAAACATTGTATGAATACAATTCTTCCTCAGGTATGTTCATTTGATGAAATAGTATTGAGTGTTTTCTGCTTCTTTCTGGAAACATCATGGTTCAGCTGCCCTTATTCTCTTGCACAGCAATTACTTCATCTAATTATATTTACTGTATCTATTTCTTTTATGGATTACAATAAGATTAGCAATGTTGTAAGCAAGGGGACTGCCTAATCTTCTTGTCAACAGTTATGACAACAAATGGTTTTCCCTCCTTTGCCCTCAGGTAGGTGTTAGTACATGGCCTTTCACCCCTTTAATGCTGCCATTAACATTCATGAACCACTCTGGGTAAAATCACTTAGATGAGGACACAGATGTGCCAGAAACATTCTCATGTTCCTAAAGATAAATTTGACAAGGAGGAGCCAAGAGTTACTTTCTAATCTCTCTGCTGGGCTACAGGATTTCAATATGAATGCACAATGGACGTCGTCTGCCTCTACAACAGATTGTGAGCTCTGGGAAATCCAATATCACTCTACAGTTCCATGTGAATACAATTGTGCTTGTTTAAGATGTCAGTTTTCTTCCTGATTCATTTCCTCTCGTCAACAGAGAGAAGCTTAGTAGGGACAGTTGTATTGAAGGTATTATGCAGCAAGGACAGGCCTCCACCGAACAGAAATAAGCTTTGCCATTTTGACTAAAGGCATTGCTTCACTACTAGCCTGAAGTGACCTGTGAAAGAAACATGAGTGATTCTAACGCATGGCTAACACTCCGGGCTTACAGATGGCATCAGATCCAGACCATTACAGCTGAAACCACAAAGGCAAACTGAAAGAGTTTAAGCAATTGCCTGAGCAATTCAGAGAAGTGTTAAGTGACAAAGAAATATGGGAATTTGTGGCCCGAAATATGGAAATTGGCCATCTGCATTTAAAATTTTGACCAATTGCATCATTTTCTCATTTGCTTTGGCATAGTCTTAAATAAATCAACTTTTACTTTTTTTGCTAAGAGGTGCCTTTTTGGGTTGTAGTATCAACTTTCACAGTGAGAAAATATGTCTATGTTATTTTGTATATGGTATAAGAATTTTCAAGCTAAAGAAAATTATGCCCAAGCACTTGCATTGAAGAGCAGGTAAGAGATAAAATCCTTCCAGTGGAAAGAGAGTAAAAATCGACTGAAGATGAAGATGAAAAATACTTATTTTTATTATGTAGACATATCCAACTCTGTTAATTTTCTGAATGAAAAGATATGAGATGAGGATATATTAATAGGTGAGGAGAGACAAAAAATGTATCAAATCTGACACATCCTGAGAATGATTTCACTGATTTCCAACAAGATATTTCTCTCCTACCTTATACATAAATTGCCTTAACGTTAAAAGGAAATTAACCTTTTTTAAATTTTGCTTGCAAATTTTTCATGGCAATATTGAAACACTTGAACCCTGATTTATTTTGGAAACAGTTTTGGAAACTTAGCTGTTAATAAGTGTGTATTGTAATGGTGCTAATTAAAGTTTGTAATGCCTTTGGGAGGTATAAACACCATGCAAGGCTGCAATGTTGCATTCTTAATTAACAGTTTGGAAATGATTACACATAAGCTGCATGAGCCATTCTCTCTCATTTACATACTATGATGGACTGTGAGTGGTTTTACTGCAAGGCTACTGATATACTGCCTGTATACCAGTTTATTTCAGCTTCAATTACTTTTGCTATTGATTGAATTCACAAAGTCACAACTGGAAGTTTTCAGATGATCATTGTGTGCAGACACTTCTCTAGCTAGCCCCAGCACTTTCTAGTGCACAACAGGAGGGTAAAAACATTTGTTACCATTTTGGTTATCACTAACTAGCACATGGTCCTATAACTAAGCAGAACAGTGAACTCGGTTTTCTTTAGAGCAGAGAGATAACATGACTAAGCTTCTAATATTAGAAGAGAGTATAACTTCATGAATACACTAACACAATTTCAGTGATGTGTGTGGAATTTGGAACAGATTTGTCATATTACATTTCAATTCCCTTTACTTACTCACACATCTGTTGTCCTCTAGCAATATTCGGTCCCCTCTGCAGGAACAATTCACTCTCCCATTGGGAGTTAAAAGGCACAAGTCATGGCAGCCTCCATTCAATAATGCACATGGAGAAAGTTCACCTACAATAAAGAGGGTGTATTGGTAACATTTTATATCGAATTCCTGTTCTATGTTAGATAAATATTAATCGTAAACTATTAGACTGCCTCAATCTCTCAATAATATGTCATTAAAAAGGAACATTCAGGATTTTTGAAAATCTAAGCATTCCTAAGGCTAAGTACATTACAAAAGTATGTAACACTAATCAAATCTTTCTAACACATTTGATACCACGGCATCAAATGAACTAGTTCTGCTAGAAACCACATTGATGCTTCAAACTGTAATTTTGTAAGCACTGCATTGACTAAAGAACTGTTAAGCCCAGGTGCAAAGTTTATCTATCAAGTGTAATTTTCATGGAAACAACTTGATCTGAAAATCTGAAGTTATGAAGAGTGAGGATGAAATAAGATTTTTAGAAGAAATAATTAAAAATGAACTGCTCCTGTGATGATAAATTATGCAATATAGAAGTTGCCTTGAATATTTCAGATAATTTCAATATTTTGAACAGCCAAATCTTGAACACTATTCCTAAGAACTAGAAAAAAACAAAATCCACAGTCATAGTAACAAAAAATAATATTTTTTAAAAGAAAAAGCAAATCCAACTATTACTAGAAAACATATATACATTTTTAGAGATCAGAGATTATACAATGAAAAAACACATTTGCTTTCTATTATAACTTACAGCTATTGGTGTCATTGGCAACAGCTATGATTCCCATTGGCTGATGTGGAATATCGGAACGAAGAATTTTTGTATCTCCTCCTGTGTACTTGTTGGACCGCAGTATAGCTCTTCTTCCCCAGTCCGACCAGAATATATAATTGTCATAAACAGCCAAACTGAGGAAAGTCCCTGGCCCAGATTTAACTATCACCTGAAATAAATTAAAATACTGTATTTTTATGATGAATATATAGACATTTATACGTCCACACCTATTTTTGCTTCAAAAATAAAAGATTAGGATTAGTTGGATTTAATTAACAGAAATCATCAGATAAAAATAAAATTTTACTAAATGAATTATGATAATATGCTTTATATTTTATTTAAAATGTTGTAGTCATTGTTAGTGCTTGCAGTGTGTTTACATAATATTTCAAGTATACTTTTATTTAATTATTCAATGTGTATAACAAGTGTATTGTTTTGTATTATAAACAAAAATCAACAAGCCAAAATATTAGACGAAGATTATCAACATTTATTAACCTTTAGTAAGAAATCACCAGATATATGTTAGATACTCATCAAGTTCCCAGAACTACATATGGCATATAAAGAACCATAAGATCTAGGTTCTTTCTTCAGGAAGTTCACCGCATGAGTGACTAAACTAGTTGCACATGTCTGAGAATAAAAGTTTAGAAGTAAAGACCATACTTTCACTCAGATCAAGATGGAGTAAAAGGGACTAGATTGATCTTTTCATCTAAAACAACTACACAACAGCAAAATATAGTAAACAACACTTTTCAACACATTGCACATCAGGAAATGAAAGGCAGTGATTCCTGGGTAATAGGAAATACTGGGTGCATCCCATGGCATCCACCGTTTACCAGAGAGAGATTATAGGTAGCAGCACACACAGGACAGAAACAGAGCCCAGAGAACTCCATGAATAAAAGTTACGGGAAGTGAAAGTTATGGGTGGCTATATCTCACTGGGCAGAGGGTCAAGAGTTGACAGTTCAGCAGAGGGAACTGTGGGTATCTGAAAAGAGTCATCCTGGAGCATTCAGTCAAGTACTGATAAGTGCGTGCACATGTGTGCGAGCCAACTCCTCCAGGCTGGTGAAAGAACCACAGGAAAGAATTAGAGAGGAGAGTCCCCAAGTTCACACGGGTCCAGAAATCATGCCTGTTAACACCAACCAGATTCAAATATTTAATTCAAATTCTAATTCATGAGACTCTGAGTACTCCGCAGGGTCTGCCTTAGCAGTGGGGAACTATTAACCTAGACTAAATAAACTTTGTTCTAGTCTTCTCTAACAAATCGTAAAAGCCAAGCCTGAAAGGAGAAAACTGTTTCAAACTAGCTTAACTGTCAATAATTTTTTATGAGAATATAAAAATGTATACCAGCAAAGTACTATGCAAGGAAAATATAAAAAGGAAGAAAATTCTCAAATCAATGACTTTTGCTTTCACTTTAAGAAACTAGAAGAAAAGCAACTTAAAGTAATAAAAGGAAGAAACTAAAGAAGGGAAATTTAAAAAAATAGAAGACAGAAAAACAATAGAGCGAAATCAGTAAAACTAAAAACTGGGTTTTTTTATGTCAATAAAATGGTTAATACATCATGATAAAATTAGGTTTGTCCCAGGAATACAACCTGATTCAATATTAAAAAATCATTCAGCATAATTCACCATAATAGCTGACTAAAGAAGAAAACTCATATACATGTCCCAATACATGCAGAAAAACCATTTGATAAGATATGGCTTCTATTATTGACAAAAACTCAAAAAATATGAATAGAAATATAACGAGGCACAAAACAGGGGTGATCACTCTCACTACTTCTATTTAACATTATCCTGGCGTTTCTAACTAGTATAATAAGGCAAAAATAAATAAATAAATAAAATAAAAAGAATCTACATGGGAAAAGAGAAGTCAAACTGTATTTATTTGCAGGTGACTAAATCTTCTACATAAAAAAACATTTAACAGAATCTACAACAAATGCTGCTAGAATGAATAAATTAATTTAGTAAAATTGCAGGATACCAGGCTGTTATTAAAAAATCAATTGTATTTCTGTATACTAGCTATGAACAATTGGAAATTGAAATAGGAAATAACTATTTACAATAGCCTCTACAAATATAAAATATTTAAATATGAAAACATGTACAAGAATCTGAAAACTATAAAACATTGCTAAGAGAAATTAACAAAATCCTAAATAAAGAGACGTATGGAGAAGAAGAAGTATAATATATATGTGTCATTTATCATCTTTACAATCTTTAAGTGCACAATTCAGTGGTAATAAAAACATTTATATTCCTTTAATAACTTTTAAGTTCAGGGGTATATGTGCAGGTTTGTTATATAGGTAAATTTGTATCACAGGGGTATTAACTTTTGAGTTCAGGGCATATGTGCAGGTTTGTTATGTAGGTAAATTTGTATCACAGGGGTATTAACTTTTAAATTCAGGGGTATATGTTCAGGTTTGTTATATAGGTAAATTTGTATCACAGGGGTATTAACTTTTAAGTTCAGGGATATATGTGCAAGTTTGTTATACAGGTAAATTTGTATCACAGGGGTTCACTGTACAGATTGTTTCATCCCTCAGGGATTTAGTACCCACTGATTATTTTCATTATTTTTCCTGATCCTCTCGCTCCTCTCACCCTCTGCCCTCCAGTGGGTCCCAGTGTCTATTGTTCTCCTCTATATGTCCACGTGTTCTCATCATTTAGCTTCCAATTATAAGTGAGAACATGTGATAATTGGTTTTCTGTTTCTGCATTAGTTTGCTAAAGATAATGTCCTCTAGCTCCATCCATATTTCTACAAAGGACAAGATCTTGTTATTTTTTATGATTGCATGGTATTCCATGGTATAAATACAGCACATCTTCTTTACCCAGTCTACCATTGATGGGCATTAGGTCGATTCCATGTCTTTGCTATTGTGAGTAGGGCTGTAATTAACATCCATGTGCATGTATCTTTACAATAGAATGATTTATATTCCTTTGGGTATATACCCAGTAATGGGACTGCTGGGTCGAATGGTATCTCTATTTTTAGGCCTTTGAGAAATCATCACACTGTTTTCCACAATGGTTGAAAACATTTTTCTTTTTCTCTACAACCTTGGCAGCATCTGTTACTTATTGACTTTTTAATAATAGCCATTCTGACTGGTGTGAGATGGTATCTCATCGTGGTTTTGATTTGCATTTCTCTAATGATCAGTCATGTTGAGCTTTTTTTCATATGTTTTTTCACTGCATATATGTCTTCTTTAGAAAAGTGTCTGTTTATGTCCTTTGCCCACATTTTTATGAGTTTTTTTTTTTTGTAAATTTAAGTTTCTTATTAATGCTAGGTATTAGTCCTTTGTCGGACTCATAGTTTGCAAAATTTTTCTTCCATTCTGTAGGTGGTCTGTTTACCCTGCCGATAGTTTCTATGGCTGTGGAGAGCTCTTTAGTTTAATTCTATTACATTTGTCAATTTTTGCTTTTGTTGCAATTGCTTTTGGTGCCTTTGTCATAAAATCTTTGCCTGTTCCTATGTCTAGAATGGTATTGCCTAGCTTGTCTTCCAGGGTTTTTATAGTTTTGAGTTTTACATTTAATTATTTAATGCATTTTGAGTCAGTTTTTGTATATGGTTTAAGAAAGGGGTTCAGTTTCAATCTTCTGCATATGGCTAGCTATTTATCCCAGCACCATTTATTGAATAGAGTCCTTTCCCCTTTGCTTGTTTTTGTCAGCTTTGTTGAACACCAGACAGTTGTAGGTATGCAGCCTTATTTCTGGAATCTCTATTCTGTTGCATTGGTCTATACGTCAGTTTTTGTATGAGTATCTTGCTGTTTGGTTACTGTAGCCCTGTAGTACAGTTTGAAGTCAGTTTGTGTGATTAGGACACCTTGACTATTTGGGCATTTTTTTGGTTTCATATGAATTTTAAAACCTTTTTTTTCTAGCTCTAGGAAGAATTTCAATGGTAGTTTAACCAGAATAGTATTTAATCTATAAATTGCTTTAGGTAGTATGGCCATTTTTAAAATATTGATTATTCGTATCCATGAGCATGGAATGTTTTTCCATTTACTTGTGTCACCTCCGACTTCATTGAGCAGTGTTTTGTAGTACTCCTTGCAGAGATCTTTCACCTCACTGGTTAGCTGTATTATTAGGTTGTGTGTGTGTGTGTGTGTGTGTGTGTGTGTGTGTCTGTTGCAATTGTGAATGGGACTGCATCTCTGATTTGGTTGTTGGTTTGGTAGTTGTTAGTGTACAGGAATCCTGGTAATTTGTGTACATTGGTTTTTGTATCCTGGGACTTTGCTGAAATTGTTTATCAGCTTAAGAAGCTTTTGGGCTGAGACTATGGTGTTCTCTAGATATAGAATCATATTGTCTGCAAACAAGGATATTTTGATTTCCTCTTTCACTTGGATGCCCCTTCTTTCTTTCTCTTGCCTGATTGCTCTGCCCAGGACTTCCAATACTATATTGAAAAGGGTTGGTGAGAGAGGGCATCCTTGTTGTATTAGTACATTCTTATGCTGCTAATAAAGACATACCTGAGACTGGGTAACTTATAAAGGAAAAAAGGTTTAATTGACCCACAGTTCAGCATGGCTGTGGAGGCCTCAGGAAACTTACAATAATGGCAGAAGGGGTAGCAAACACGTTCTTCTTAATATGGCAGCAGCGAGGAGAAGTGCAGAGCAAAGAAGGGGGAAACCTCTTATAAAACCATCAGTTCTTGTGATAACTCACTCACTATCATGAGAACAGCATGGAGGTAACCATCCTCATGATTCAAGTACCTCCCACAGGGTCCCTCCCGTGACACATGGGGATTATGGGAACTACATTTCAAAATGAGATTTGGGTGGAGACACAGCCAAACCATATCACTTGCCTTGTGCTGATTTTCAATCGGAATGCTTCCAGCTTTTGCCTATTCAGTATGATGTTGGCTGTGGATTTGTCATAGATGGTTCTTATTATTTTGAGATATGTTCCTTTAATACCTGGTTTATTGAGGTTTGGGGTGTTGAATTTTATCAAAAGCCTTTTTTGCATCTATTGAGATAATCATGTGTTTTTTTTGTATTTAGTTCTGTGTATGTGATGAATCACCTTTATTGATTTGCATATGTTGAACCAAGCTTGCATCCGAGGGATAAAGCCTACTTGATTGTAGGATAAGCTTTTTGATGTGCTGCTGGATTCAGTTTGCTAGTATTTTCTTGAGAACTTTTGCTATCAATGTTCATCAAGGATATTGGTCCGAAGTTTTCTTTATTTGTTGTATCTCTACCAGGTTTTGGTATCAGGATGATGCTGGCCTCATGGAATGAGTTGTTGAAGATTCCCTCCTCCTCAATTTTTTTGTACTAATTTCAGCAGGAATGGTACCAGCTTATTTTTATACATTTGGTAGACTTTGGCTGTGAATCATCTGGTCCTGGGTTTTTTTTGGTTGGTGGGCTATTTATTACTTTTCCATTTCAGAGCTAATTATTGGTCTGCTCAGGGATTCAATTTTTTTCCTGGCTCAATCTTGGGAGGGTATATGTGTCCAGGAATTAATCTATTTATTCTCGATTTTCTAGTGTGTGTGCACAGAGGTGCTCATAATATTCTCTGATGGTTATTTCTATTTCTGTGGGGTCAGTGGTAATATCTCCTTTCTCGTTTCTAATTGTTTATTTGGATCTTTTCTCACTTCTTCTTTATTAATTTAGCCAGTGGTCTATCTAGTTTATTAATTTTTTTTTCAGAAAACCAGCCCCTGGTTTCATTTGGAACAAATCTGTGCCTTCCTGTTATGTAATATAGGAAGTAATTCCTTCCTTTTATGGATAAATTATATGAGTGGAGGCACTGTGGCATACTTAGAATGAAGAAATGGGCCTTCTGCCTTACCAAATTCCAAGCCAAGAGAGCTTGGTAATCAGTATCCACTTTAGAACTATAGACTTTTGTGATTTCCGCTTGCAGAGTTGTTCTAATTTTTTGTATTTTAAAATCAAATTAAATAGCCTAAATATAATTTTTTAAATAAAGGTATCGATTTGATTATTTGGCCTCAGTATTAATATTCCAAACAGGACTCACTGGGTTACTTTTCCCTGTAATCAGGAAAAAAAAAAAAAAGAAACTTTTACAGGAATGATTACTGCAAAGGAATGGTAATCAAGAAATAAATATTTAGCAAAATAAACAAAAATTAATGCATATAATGATTCTAGCCAATAAGAGAATTATACAAAGTATTTAGTAAGTACTTATACATAGTATTCATTTAATTCTTAAGATCATTTAGGTAGGCAAGTATTATTGCAAATTGTATTCAGATATGAAGAGACGGGCTTGGAGAGATTTTGCAACTTGCCAACAGTGATACACCTCATTAATGTAGGATCTGGAACTTGATATAAGGTTTAACTCCAAATTATAACAGCAAATGTATCAAGCTTACATGCCAGTTACTAATTTAAGTGTTTTACTAATAAACTGTGAGGAAGACATAATCTTCTTTACATGTATGAGAAAGTTTAAACACAGAGAAATTAGGTAACCTGGCCAAAGTGGCAAAGTTGCACCCAGTGTTCACATTGTTAACCATCTTCTTATTTCATCTCCATATCCCAACCCCCTCCTTTTGCCACACATCGCCTCCTTAGGAATTAATATACTCTAACATTAAAACATTTAGCAACTACTGAAATTGGCATAGTTTGGAGAAAACAGATAATTTAAGGAATATGATAATTAAAAGAATACCACATCTCTCTCCCTCATCCTCTATCAAAATATAAATTGTCAGGCGTGGTGGCTCATGCCTGTAATCCAAGCATTTTAGGAGGCCAAGGTAGGCAGATCACCTGAGGTCAAGAGTTCGTGACCAGCCTGGCCAACATGGTGAAATCCCCGTCTCTACTAATAACACAAAAAATTAGCCGGGCATGGTTGTGCGTGCCTGTAATCCCAGCTACTCAGGAGGCTAAGGCAGGAAAATCGCTTGAACCCGGGAGGCAAAGGTTGCAGTGAGCCAAGATCATGCCACCGCACTCCAGCCTGGGTGACAGAGCAAGACTCTGTCTCAAAAAAACCAACACAAACAAACAAACAAAAACAAAAAAACTGTAAATTATTGTGAGGTAATTAACAACATTATCTTTCTGATTTCCCAAAACCCTGCCACATTCATTCTAAATTAACTGCTAATTACCCTCCCATATGAGCAATCACTTCCATTTTTTTTCAGAATATATAAGTAATTTCTGTTTTATGAATCAATATTTATCAAACTTCAACATGCATCTGAATCACTTTGAGATGTTGTTGAAATTCAGACTTGGATTCACTAGGTCAGGTATTGACCCTGAGATTCCGCATTTCTCAGAAGCTTCCAGATGCCAATGATGCTGATTCAGGGACTCACTTTGGGTAGCTGAGAATTTTAAAATAAAGAAAAGTGGGAAAATAAACAAAATAATAATCTTGCCACACGGATATATAAGTATTCACCAATTTGGACTAGAAATTTATATTTCTTTCCTTTTCTACCTTACAAATTGGTATCAAATGTATGCTTTTGTATTCAATTAAAAGTGAGTTGATGGGACTTCTGCTGCCAGCCAAAATGGTGTAAGCCCACTACAGCCTATCTGTCCAACTCACTGCAACTTTCTCATTGTATCACTGTCATGGAGACGAGAAAAGAAAAGCAGTAATGGAAAGTTGAGTAGCAGCACATAGAAGGACAGGAGCAAAGTAAAATACTATTTTTACTGTCACTGTTTATGTTTTGTTTTCCCTACTTTGCATCTGGTGCTGCCCAGTAAATGAAACAGCTGTCAACACGCTAGGTACGCCTTTGCTACTTACTCTCAAAGGGTATAGTTTCAATGTCCCTTTTAGTTCCCATTAGTTTCCCAAATTCACACAGAGATCATGGGGAGATGGTGGCGGCCTTGCATTAGCTCTGCAAGCATACAGCGGGGCCTAGCATCGGCTGTAGTGTTGTGAGTTGTTGTTGTTTTTTTTTTCAATACTTTAAGTTCCGGGGTACATGTGCAGAACGTGCAGTTTTGTTACATAGGTATACACGTGCCATGGTGGCTTGCTGCACCCATCAACCCGTCACCTAGATTAGGTATTTCTCCTAACACTCTCCCTCCCCTAGCCCCCACCCTCTGACGGGCCCCGATATGTGATGTTCCCCTCCTTGTGTCCATGTGTTCTCATTGTTCAACTCCTGCTTATGAGTAAGAACGTGAGTCGTTGTGAGTTTTGAGGCCTTTGCACTGCACCTGCTCAAATGACCTGGCTGCACTCAAGACTTTTAAAAACCTGGATTGAAAATTGCAACCCCATAGGAGTATTTTGGCATTGAACTGGGGGGTTTCTTCATCTGTTTTCTTTTCTAAGCGCTTCACTTCATTACCCACTGCTATGCAGATGGTTTGTCCAACTTCTTTGTCTTTTCCTCCTAGGGGAAAGAGCACAGTACTCAAAGTGACAGGCGCTGGAGCACTACAAAGTACCCTAAGTTGTGAGTAAAATAAAATTTTAACCTGAAAAAAGCAAATATCCCCAAACTTCAACCTTTTTAGAGAGGAAAGGAAAATGTCTACCTTTATCTGTAATATATTAGAACATCCCATTTTACAAAATGACAAGAGAGTTCTTTCTTAAGTTCTCTTGTGCTTAGAAAAATTTTATCAATGTAAGTGCAGGACACACTGCTGTAAAACAGTGATTTTCACATCACTGTCAGTCCTCCAAACACACACACACATGCAAACAAACACGCACTGGAGGCTTGGAAAACTAATGCAGAAGTTTATCCTATTGGAAATCTGAAACGACTGCTAATACCTAGTAAGTACACAGATTAAATATAGTATTTCTCGTTTGGATTTCTTTAGAGATAGCATGTCATTTCCTAGTCAGTATTTCAGGAATATAAAAAGTCATCTGTAATAGTATTATGAACTGAGTGTTTGTGTCCCCTTCCCGCAAATTCAGGTGTTGAAGCCCCAGTATGATGATAATTGGAGGTGGGGCCTTTAGAGGTAATTAGGCTTAGACAAAGTCATGTAGGTGGGGCCCCAGTGATGTAATTAATGTCCTTATAAGTAGAGGAAGAGAAATGAGAGCCCTTTCTCTCTGTCATGTGAGGACACAGCAAGAAAGCAGCTGTCTGAAAGCCAGGAAGCGGTAAAGCCATCACTAGACCCTCATCATGCTGACACCTTGAACTCACATTTTCCAGCCCCCAGAATTGTGAGAAATAAATCTCTGTTGTTTAAGCCACCCAGTCTATGGCATTTTATTATAGCAGCCTGAGCTAAAAGCCACACTTTGAGATTTACAGCTGCTTTAAATTTTAGTAAATATATATTTTTAAAATCAGTATGAAGGACAGATTGCTTGCTATGAGAGTGTAAAAATAATAACTGCTCTGGTATGCCATCTAAGATTGTCCTGGGAAAGGGAAGGGCAAATAAGCAAAGAGGAGGGGGACTGGGAAGAAAGGACTTTGACAGAGGGAATATTTGGTGCAAAATCCAACAACAACAGGGAGCATGAAGTGCTGGGAAACTGAACAAAGGCTAAGTGAGTATGACTCTCCCTCAGACATCTGAGAAGGACACAGGCCTGATGAGAAAGGCAGGAAGGGCTAATATATAACACATTCCTTTCTACAGGCTATGGTTTGTGATTCTGAGTTTTATTCTGAAAGCAGCGGTCAGCTATTAACATTTTTAAAGCAGGTTAATGTCATTATTGGTTTGTAGTTTTAAAGATTCTGCCTCTGCTGTACAGACTAGCTTAGATAAGAACCAAAAGAGTTTCAGAGAGACCAGTCAAGATCCAGAACATTCATCCAAAGTATAATACTTCTGATATTTTGAGTAAGAGAGAAAAGTGAAGAACCCAATTAATACAGCAGTATGTACAAATGAAAGACTCCCTAAATCACATTTTACCAGAATTCATGAGTTTTCATCCTTTTTAGTTATCAGTAAGAGCTAACATTTCATGGATGCTTTTAATGCACAGGAAGTATATGTATTTCATGTGCAATACATAATTTAATCTACATAATAACCCCTGTGATAGATACTATTTTAAACCACATTTTACTGGTAATGACTGAAGCTTGAAGAAGTTAGCTCAAGGTCACAGATTTACTAAGCAATCTGATACAACGTCAGACTCGAAGCATCCAAGATTTGAATTAATTTTGACTTGGTGACAGGGACTAGAGAAACTCTTTTTTGATTTATTAGCAGGTGTATATGTGCTATTTTTATAATTAAATTGATGCCCCTTCAAGTTAGGGAAGATAGTCATTTCTTTGATTTCCCTAGTATCGTATTACAGACTAATGAAATAGACCATCAACAAACATTTTTGAATCATTAAGAATGAAAATGTTGATACTTGACATAAATAAAAACAGTTATTATGGATATTCTTATGAAAAATGACAGTTTTTCAATGTTATCACCAGAAGCCATTATAACAACCTTTTATTAACTTTAACACTAAGTCTAATAGTTTAGTTTTTACTTCTGCTGACATAGAGAGAGGAGAAAAAAATATTAAATTTAGTCCATAATTATGCACGTTGCCTTTGTAGGGTACAACAAGTTTCACTAAGAACTGAGCTAACTCCTGCCATCTCGTTTTTCATTAAATTTCATATGGAACAGAAAATGAAATCCATTAAATTACCTGTTTCAATTTCCATGTTAAAACACTTCTATTAAAAGTTCATGAATGCTGCCCCTTACAAGCCTAGTCAGAGTCTTTATGTAGAGCGCAGAAGCCTTGTCATCACAAATTGCACTCTACCATGCTATATGGTAATGCACCATTATGGCATAATCTTAAGGCACTTTTAGCTTGATCCTAGAAATGGGTTCATGTTTCAAAATGGTAATTCATGTTTCTTCACAAAACACATTTCTTGACACAGCTACTTATTCTTAAGTGTGTCGTCATAGATAAACTATGTCTATATCTATTGTCATACAGACTTGAATTTTCTTTTTTCAGGAATTCATAGTCGCTAGTCACATGCCCTTTGCATCTTGGAACTTCACTGGTGCCTTGTTGGTGAAAGCACTCAAACCAGTAAAAAATAAACCTGAATGTAAAAATATTCAGTTTCATAAACCAGACAACATATTTCCAACACCCAGATGCTAAATGTTAAACCAAACGATTTAAAAACCAGGAACTGGGAGGCTTCCCAAACTCCCCAACTGATTGCCTCATTGACAAGATTATAAACAATCATTATGAGAAATGACAGCTTGGTCCCTGCCATGGCTGGGTATGATAGAATGTTACTGATTTCAAAGAAATGTGGTAAATTGGTAATGTGGTAAATCAGTAACTTAAAACCAAAAAACTAAAATAAAATATTTAATATAAAATAGATTATTATATTTAACTTACCTGAGGGAGTTTGTAGAACAAATACAAGATGCCTAAATGACACTAGTGTCTACCCAAATTTGTAAAGAACAACATTCAAAGCATTGATCTAAAATATTCCTTTATTGTGTCTATTGTGCTCTTAACACACACACACACACACACACACACATGCAATAAAGTTCCTTAATATTGAATATTCTATTTCTTCTAATAATCTCTAAGGAAACTCTTCTAATAGTGAAATCAACCCTCTAGATAACTACCTTCAAATAGAAAACATGATTGCCTAATTTCTATTACTCTGAGCTTCTCAGTATACCCTCAAGTCTTTAGGAAGATTGTATCAGTTAAGCCTGAAGCAAGAAATAGCTAGTGTGCTCAAATTACAATACTTTGAGGAGGGCTGAATCAAGGGACTCTTAACAAGGATTTTTGGAGAGTATAGGGACGCCATAAGTGATGGTAGAGGACCCTGGAGCTGTACATCCTTAGGTCTGAAAGGCCAATGAGCTGGAGAGGTTTTCAGAAGCCTAGAGAAGAGAGCCACATTGAGAAGAGCCACCAGCTTTCATTAAAGAGGCAGATCCTTCAGAGAGGGATTTTAAAGAATGAATCCCTTTGATTTTATGTAGACCCTTTCTAATCTATTTATCTAACTCAACCAGAAGCCGACGGGAAAGAGAGCCAGTTTTTCTATGGGGAAGCCCCTGGAGGAAGAAACAGAAGAAGGAGGATAGAGAAAAGATATGGAAGATACACCAGAGAGTAGTAGTGGAAAGAACTCTATTCTGAGACTCATTATTTTTCATTTTTCTTTGGATAACTCTTTCTGATTCTTAGGACTCAGTCTCCTAATCTGTAAAATAAGATAGTGAAAAATCAATGGCTCACCTCTGCTCCCTTTCTAAGGAGAGAAAAGGTAAAATATTGCCTGAGGTCACCCAGAGGACTCATGAGAATAAATATAAACTGTGAGATTATGGAGGTGTTATAGCCACTGCTAAATGGAATCTGGGCAAGTTTTATATTTTTATTTTCTTGCCGTTATGTATGACTGCAATTATTAAATTTATAGCTTATCAAAAATTTTGAATTAAGTACATTTAAACAGTTTGTGATTCATAAGCTGATTTGTGTCAATGAAGAGTATTTTACTTTAAAAGATGAATATATATTTTTAGTGAGTTCCTTCTACTTTGAATTCCTTTCAGACACATTCATTTTGACAGTCAATTCAACAGTGTTTTTCTTTGGGAATCCTCCTCCAGCTGCCCAAGGTAAAATGGCTTCTTTTTCCTCTCCATATCCGGAACAGTTTTTGTATACATTCATTAGAACACTAATAGAGGATATTACAAGAGCTTTTATTTTCTCAGTCTCTCTGGAAAGACTGAAATATTTGAAACCAGTAATTGTATCTTTTTATTTTTGTAACCCAAGTGCTTAAAACATACTTAACTTTCAATAATTATTTACTGATAGAATAGTAAATAAATGAGTGATTAAAAAAACATTTTCTTCTGCTGTATGAGTTTATTTCTTCTGCTGCTGCTGCTTCTTTTAAAGTGTGTGTATGTGTGTGTGTGTGTGTGTGTGTGTGTGTGTATATGTATATGAACTACTAGCTAGGCTTTGTACTTTATTTGCGTATGTACACAAAATAAAATCTTTTCTTTGTGGAATGGTATTACCAACATTTGTATTTTACTGAAGAACTATAGACATAATCTTCCCAGGATCAAACTCATACCTTTGATAAATATTTCAATGATTTTACTCTCTGGATCTCGCTGTCTAAATACAACTCTCCTGGATTTTTAATATTTTAGTAGAAAAAGTGAAGAGCTAGTCAAAAGAGGATATATTAAATCAAAACCTCATATGTCCACACCATTCTGAAATGCCAGTATTAATCTTTCAAATTGAGATTCACAGACGCTCAGGAAAAAAAAAAAACAAATATTACTTTAGATGCTAGATTACAAGTCAAAAACTATCCTGTAGTTATACATACGCATGAATATGTGTCTTTCAATGTGTTTGCATGTATGAATAACAAGGAAAGGCCAATTTAATTTGACATTCCATACATTTGAAAAAAATACAGCCTAGGACTATTAGCATGGGTGCTAGAGTCAGAGGTTTGGATTCATATCTAGCAATACCTCTTATTAGTATATATTAGTAATTGTGTTTGTCATAAGATTCTGGAAAATGTTAAATAATATACATAAAACACTTGGCATGGCAACACAGTAAGCTCTTAATAATTGTTAGCTATAATTATTAATATTCTTGCCTGAATATTGTAGGAGTTAAATAAGTTGGTTTAGACCTGTTAAATAAGCTTTAAAATCTTAAATATTCTTTGAATCTTTATTTTTTAAAGTGTTGCAAACTAAAAAATCAACTTAAAAATTAACTTTTAGAATGGATTTTCATTTGTAAATTTAATGCTTTTTAAACTTCTGATTTTATCACATCATCAAATCTATGCTTAGAGGTAAAACTAATGTCTACTTTAGAGAAATCTTTGTGTTCCAATTTATTTTTTGCTGGCATGTCAACTGAAAAGTTCTACTAAGGGTACAAAGGTTGTTATGTCTATTTAGTAACTTTGAGGTAAATAAAAAAGCAGAGTTTTATCTAAGCAAGTCATACGATATGGACATTGGCTGGCCCGATGCTTCTATTCACATACAATATTAAAACTGCAGCTGTTACAAGTAGATGAAGTTACCCTGATCATCTACAAGATTTTCAATTCTGGAAATCAAATAATTGTGTTTGTTTGTTGTATACATGAGGGGAGGCAGGGTGTCTCCAACGGGGCTCAGGACACATTACCCCAAAATATGGAACCTTGGCATTTGAGAAAACAGCAGAAGCAGGAAGGCAACTCTGACCTTCTCTCTCCTTTCTCCCCTGAAACAAGCCATAAATGAATTATCTAGCCTTTTTGTGAAGTAGGTCATAGGACTCTAATCTGCCCTTGGAGGAAAGGACACCCTAATCTGCCCTATACTTGGAGGAAAGGCCCCCCCACAATGTACTCTATACGTGGAGGAAGGGAATGTCGCACAGTGACATGGAGAAGAATCTGAATAAACAGGCCTTACTAAGTTCCCCCCACAGTCTAGTATATTACTATTAGATCATAACCCACACGGTCCTCCCATCATATTACCCCACAACTATCCACTTCGTCATCAAACTTAGCACAAAAATTCACAGATTTCACTATTTCTTGGGTTTATTTCTGAAGACTCCAATGTCACTTAAAAGTTATATAAAATAAACTTATATGCTGTTCTCTTGTTACTGTGTCTTTTGTTATAAGGGTCTCAGCTATGAACTTAACAATGGGCAAGGAAAGACTTACCTTCGTCCCTACATCTGTTTGAAACATACTGTTCTGAACATTCTCATGATTGCCAACCAAAACAAACAAATTTAAAAAAAAAACAATTTTTTTTCAGTGTCTCTTTAAGAAAGTGACAAAGCTTTGTGACTGGAGGTTATATCTAAAATGTTTACTTTACTATAGAATTAAATTACATACATGTCCATAGGCCACCTCAGAGTCACTTTGATAAATATGGAAATATTTATCAAATGTATATGTAATGGTGGGAAAGTAAGTTCTGTATTTGAATTTTCATAAATATGTGTTGATGTCATCCTAAGATATTTCTTAATATATCAAATTAAAAGGCAAATATTTTAAAAATAAAAAGTAAAAACTACTACGGGTTCTGACTACATGACTATTTGCATTTTCATATACACATCTTCTTAACTATGCATCTAGTTTTCAATCAAATTTATTACAGTACGATTTACATACCAAGTGAGTTTTAATTCATTTTTAACAATCACAATAATTATGCATACATTACTTCCCACCTTCAACTCCCAACAATTTTCTTCCTCATAAGCAAACTCTCATCAATTTCTTGAATAAGACATTTGGAAAATGTTGTTTATTTTTAGACTTGCAAAAAATTTTGGATTATCATTAAGTCTGTTTACCCATAATCTTTAAAATTAAATATATGCTTTAGAAACTTGTCTCAATTTAAAATTCATCTTCTTCATTAGAATGCTATTAATGAAACAGAAATTCAATACAAAAATTTAACAGTAATACAAAAGTTAAAAAATGTGTAAAAGTGGCATCTTTCCTATATCCAGATTTGAGTGTCTGCACATCTAATCCTTTCCAAGGGCCTCAAAAGTTATTGAAATGCTCTCTAGTGCCCTATATGGCCTGACCCCCTGTGACCTCTCTGGAACTATTATCTACTGTGCTCCCCTATGCTCTTCCGTTCTCTCTGTGCTAGCCACAAATGCATCAGGATTATGCCTCAAATGCATCAAACACATATAATGTCTTTGTATTGGCTGTTCTCTATGCCTGTGAGTCTCTTCCCCAAAATATTCACACAACCATCTGGCTCACCCCTTCAGGATTTTGCTCAAATATCACTTTTTCTATGAAGGAGGCTTATCTTGAGTTCCCTATTGCAGCTTGCCTCTCTTTACTATACCACACTCAATGCCCTTATTCAGCTCTCCTTTGTACTTGCTAGGTTTATGGCTTATTATCTGTCTTCCCAGGAATATATTCTTCTTGGCAGTAGGGATCTCTTTCTGTGCAGTTCAGTGACGAAGCCTAAGCTCCAAAGAATATCACCTGATGCATATTAGGCGCTCAACAAATACTTGTTGAACAAAAGAATAAAGTGGTTAGTCACCAGGAAAATGCAAGTCAAATCCACGATGAAATATCACCTCACACGTGTTAAGATGGCTATCATGGAAAAGATAATAACAAGTATTAGCAAGGATGTGGAAAAGTAGAATTCTCCTACAGTGCTGGAGGGAATGGAGAATGGCACAGCCACTTTAGAGAGCAGTTTCACAGTGCCTCAAATGGTTAAACATAGTGTCTGTATGGCCGAACAAATCCGAGTTTACCCAAGTAAAATGAAAATATATGTCTACACTAAAATTTGTACAGAAAGGATCATAGCAGCAATATTTATAGTAGTCAAAAAGTAGAAATAACTCAAATGTCCATCTAATGATGAATAAATGTGGTATACCCATATCATAGAATATCATTCATGGTTAAAAGTAAGTGAAGTATGAATGCATGCTACAATATAAATGAACCATGAAAATATTATTCCAATTAAAGAAGCTAATCAGAAAGGACCACATATTATATGATTTAATTTGTAGGAAATTTCCAGAATAGGCAAATCTATAAGGAAGTAGATACCTGGTTGCTTAGGGCTGAGGGGAGTGAGAGTTTGAGGACTGACAGCTAAGTGGGGAAGGGTTTCTTTTTGGTGTGATAAAAATGTTTTAGGATGGGTGCAGTGCTTCACACTTGAAATCCCAGCACTTTAGGAGGCCAAGGCGAGGGGATCACTTGAGCCCAAGAGTTTGAGAACAGCCTGGGCAACATGGCAACAACCTCTACAAAAAATACAAAAAAAAAGCTGGGTGTGGTGCCATGTGCCTGTAGTTCCAGCTACTCAGGAGGCTGAGGTGGGAGGATAGCTTAAACCTGGGAGGTAGAGGCTGCAGTGAGTTGTAATGCCACCACTGCACTCCAGCCTGGGCAACAGAGCCAGACCCTGTCTCCAAAAGGAAAAAAAAAAAAAACAAACTTTAAATCACAATTTGTGCTGTCAAACAAGTAAGGAAATATAAGTATAGGCTACAATATCAAAAACATTTTATGATTTTTGATAATAGTACAGAAAAACAGATAATAGTCTTGCAAAAATATCTAATTGGTTTATAGATCTAACTGACATACTATGTAATACAAGGACAATTGAACATGTTAAACAATGTCATAGTATACAGTATGCAAATCTAGACTTCAAAATTCTACAAGATAAATTAACTGTTTTTTTTTAACAACCGAAAATTTCCAAGCCTCCTAAATAACCAAGATAAAAAGGAAAACTAGATTAAAAATATTTAAGAGACATATCAGTTATTTGCAATATATGGACTTTATCTGGATCCCAATTCAGAGACACACACAACAGGCTCATATATGTAGAATATATTAAAAGTTCCACAAAAAGTTATTAGAACTAAGAAATGACCAGAGTAAGTACAGAGAATACAAAGAACAATTGTATTTCTGTATACTAGGAAGGAAAAAATAGAAATTAAAATTAAATCAACTGCAGATTTGTAACAGCAGCAGAAACATATTAAGTACTCAGTGCAGAAAAAAGTCCAGTGCCAGCCTGGAATATCTTGTGGGGCCAGAAATAAAGAACTTGTTGAAAAACTGACGAGGCATGTCAAGAGAACATGGGAGTACACTTGGAGGACCTCTTAATGGCCATATGGGGGGACATTGGAGAAACAAATAAAAATAGTTTTAGATTATAATCTATGGAATAAATAAAATAAATTTCCATGATTCCACACTGACATAAATAATTGAAAAAAAAAAACCAAGTTAACAAATAAACAAGGGAAAGTTCTTCCTTAGAGGAGATTTCTGGTTAATAAATATGGAAGAAACTAATTGAAATTGAAAATTATCACTTGGCAAGATTTACATTAAATCACTGTTTCAGGCAAAAACATGAAACAAATGCTAAAATTAGTGGGCTAAGATACAATGAGGATTACAATATTTACATAGTTTCAAAAACTCTTCCTACAAGAATATTAATTAGTTTCATAGGGAATAAATAGTAACTTTACAGTGGAATAAAATGTCACTTTAACCAAGTGATCAAAGTTAGCATTACTGAGAAGGGCAAATGTCACTATTATAATCTCCCTCCCAACATTTATAACCAGAATTTAATCATGAGACAATATCAAATAAACCCAAATTGAGGGACATGCTAAAAAACAACAGGCCAATACTCCTCAAATACATAAAGTTAAAGCAAGAGAAAGCAAGACTGGGGTAATATCTAATATTAACTCTCAACAAGGAAATCTGGTCATCAAATGTAATGTGTGATCCAGGATTTGACCCTGGTTTAGAAGAGAGTTTATTAATACAGTTGCAGAAATTTGAAAAAGATCTGTAGATTAATTAATAATGTATCAATGTCAGTTTTCATAACTATTATGGGTATTTAAAATGTTAACATTTGGGGAAGCTTGGTCAAGGTTCTATAGGAACTCTCTGTACTATTTTGTAACTTTTTTGCAGCCTAACATTATTTTAAAAATTAAATCATTAAACATAAAACAATTTCATAACAATAAACATGAAATACATTTACTAAAATATGTACAAGATCTCTACACTGAAAACTAATAAACTGATGCCAGAATTAAAGAACCTAAATAAGTTATTGTATGCTTGCCATATTTAACAATAGCAAAACTCATTACAATTATGATATAAATTCTACCCTGACTTATCTATAATACAGTAAAATCCCATTCAAAATTTTAACATAAGTTTTTGTTGAAATTCTCAAACTAATTCTAAAATGTATAGGAAAATGAAAAGAAACCAAAATAGCTCACACATTATACTTACTTAATTTTTGACAAAGGTGTAAAGGCAATTACATGAGGAAAAGGTGCTCTTCAATAAATGAAGTTGGAACAACTATATATATACATGTTTGTGATTGTGTACACACAAAAAGAAAGATAAATGGGGATTTAGTGGAATGTACTGGTGCTCAGAAAACAATACCCCGAAGTGAAGACCTCAGAAGCAGCCTCAGAAGCAAAGTTTCTCCCTGACTTTCTCCTGTCCTCCTATCTCTGGCCCCTCATTCTCCCTGGAGGCAAGCCATAAAAAATACAATTCCTCTTCCCCAATGTGAGTGATAGAAACTAAAACTCCTTTTCTTCACAGCCAGCCGTAAAAGGTAGAATGATTACTGTAACTTTTCCCACCTCTCTGTCTAGGAGCTGGCCGTGAAGAAATTTTCTATCCTACCCTTGTACTACAGTAGGTCATAAGTCCCTCATTTCATAGAGATCCTGCCCCATACCGACACACAGAATCCAAAAAGAATCTGACCACACAGGCCTGGTTGAGTTTTCTCACCTCAGTCTGCTAGCATTTGATCATACCCTTCTTGTCCGATCATATTTCTACATGGCTGTCCATTCTTCATTGAACTTAAACATAAAAATGAATCATTTTCCTTGTGTCTTTGGGTATTCATTCTGAAGGTTCCCATGTCACGTAAAGCTGTGATTAAATTGTTATGCTTTTCTCTTGTTAGCCTATCTTTTGTTATAGAAGTGTCGGCTGTGACTCTTAGGATAAAGAGGAAAGGTATCATGCCTTTTCAGCCCGACAGAATGAAGGAAAGAATTAGATTGTTTCAAGGATGAATTGTCTCAAGTAATTAATATAAACTCATATAAGTAAAGAAAAAAATAACATCTATACAAATTTCCTCAAAAAAATAGAAAAATTGGAAATACTTTCCAATTCATTTTATAAAACTAGAGTAACCCTAATACCTAAATTTAACAGACACTACAAGAAATAATATATCAATATATTTTATGACTACCAATCTAAATATTTTAAGCAAAATATTAGTAATTCAAATTTAACACTATATAAAAAATAATACATGATTATTAAGATGGTTTATCTCAGGAATGCTTTAATATTTAAAAAAGATTAATGTAATTTACTATATAAACAAAATAAACCAGAAAATACATGAGATCCTTGCAACAGATAAAGAAAAAGCATTTGACAAAATTTAACCCTGATTCATGAGAAGAAGATACAGCAAATTAGAAATAAAAGGAAATTTCCTCAAACTGATAAAGAATATCAATGGACAATCTACAAGCTAACACAATACCTAGTGGTGGTGGTGATTATAAGACCCTATATATTTTCAAAGTTACTTTTAAAAGTTTAGTGACTTTATCTTATATAAATTGTGACTCAGTATGATTTTTAAAAGACAGCTGCAGATATTTTGACTGAATATTTGATAAATTAAGGAACCATTATTCGAAAATATACTAATGGTTTTGCAATAATGGAAACTGATAAAAACAATTTCTTTTTGTTTACACTAACATGTTTAGTGTAACTAACATTCACTAACATGTTTATAGATACAAAGTACTAACATGTTTACAGATACAATGTCTTACTGTGTGAGATTTGATTCACAATTATCTAGAGACTAGACATTAGAGGGGGTGTTTGGCAAACAAAATTTGCTGTAAGTTGAGAAGTATTAAAGCTGGGTGATTGGCACATGAGATTAATAATAATTTTCTCTCTATATTGTAGCCATTTGAGATTTTTTTCTTTTTTAAATTTCTTTTCTTTTCTGTTATTTATTTATTTATTTATTTTGAGACACAGTCTTGCTCTGTCACCCAGGCTGGGGTGCAGTGGCACGATCTTGGCTCATTGCAACCTCCACCTCCTGGGTTCAAGTGATTCTCCTGCCTCAGCCTCCTGAGTAGCTGGATTTACAGGCATGCACCACCACACCTATTTTTGTATTTTTAGTAGAGATAGGGTTTCACCATGTTAGCCAGGCTGGTCTCCAACTCCTGGCCTCAAACGATCTGTCTGCTTCAGCGTCCCAAAGTGCTAGGATTACAAGCATGAGCCACCATGCCCCAGCTGAGATTTTTTTAAGTTGAAAAGTAAAGTAAAATTAAATAAAAAAATTAAATGTAAGACAAGGAACTTAAATTACTGTTGTGCTTATAATAACAATTCTAGGGTATAAGATGGTACATATTTTTAATACCAGGAAACTGTTCAAAGTGTTAAATGTTTTCTTAAATATTAAACACTAAGTTACAGAACCAAGCATAGAACTCAAAGTTTCCCATATCTAATCCATGAATCCATGATAAGCTAAATGCTCTATTATTTCACACACACACACACACCCACACACACAAACACACACACATACACACATGCACTACTGTGAAACAACAGACAAAGTCTAATCAAGGCTTCAAAGAAAATTATTAAAGTGATAGTTGGAGAGATATTAGAGATTACTAATACTGAATAGTGCCATGAAATAAAATTTGATATTTTCTATTTCATTCTTCTATTGCTTAGATAATTCAAGCTATATAAATGCTTTTTCTTTTACTTGTCATGATAATTTTAAAAAATTTATGAAGCATTACTTTAGAAGGCAAAACTAATCTGAAATGGAAAGCAGTCTGACAGTTCACAATTGTACAGCTCAGCCTTACGAAGCAGATTACTGTCTTCTAATACTGTAACCACTTTTCCTCTACTGGTGTCATTCTATTGATTTACACCTACAGAACAATGTGTTACTCAGAAAATGGAGTACTTTTATCAAAGCAATTTCATGAGAAAATTGATTCATCATGCCAACATTTTATAGGACATTCAATCATGTTTTAATACTAAGAGTACTGCTTTCCGTGTTGAGTGTATCTGGAATTACATTCAAAACAAAATATTCAGAGGAGTTTTAAAGCTATTGTGACCACTTATTATATCTTAATCCAGGCCAAATGTCTTTTAAATGAAGAACTACATACTTTATTCATATTTTACCGAATAGACAGAAAAAGTGAGAAGATGAATGGATTGAAGTAGATGGACAGAAGCCTAAGGTCTGTTGTCTTTTGACACAGTCATAATTCTGATGCTTCTTCATTACTAACACAAGTGCAAGCCCTATGGGAGGGAGGGGTAGACAGGGTAACAAGGAGATAACACTCTTTGGGTTGTTTTGTCAATAATTTATCTCTCCTCTGATAGTAATATAGAGTTAGTGCATTTTGCATTCATTGAAAGAGAATTTTATTCAAAGAATACATGACTTTGAAATGTGATTGAAATTGGGTAATGGAAGATTTAATTAGATGAATACAATGCCACATTACAATATAAACTCTCCTTACATTCTTTAGTTTTTCTGAACTAAGATTTTCCTATTTTACTAACTTGTAATGTGGCACAACTGAAATTTTTTTCCTTATTTTTGAAACCTGGTAGCAAATTAAAAATCCTTTAGATATTCACTTTAGCAATATGTATTGTTTTCCACATACAATAACAAAAACTAAGAGATATCCTTGGATTTCAGATTTTCTATTAGAATTTAAAACCACTTTAATCAAATATATCATATAAGTGTTATTTCTAAATGGTACCAGAACTTTCAGCACACATTTATCAAGTTTATTTTCAATACTGCTTATGTAACATTCAAAAAGCAAACACTAAAATATGAATACTCATATAATCAATAAAAAATGTTATGCTAGGAGATAAATGTCATTGAAAGCTATTTGGCATTCAATACTAAGATATCCTCCTGACTTCCAAAATGATTAACCTTGACAGCATAAAAATGGAAACTCTCTTATTCCAGTCATCAATGGCTTTCCTCAATTAAAAAGTAAAATTTTTAAATAGAGAAACAAATATATACAGAATTACAGGACTTCTTGTGATGTATACAGTTTAATTAAAAATCAGAAGAAAGCAAGGCACCAAATAGACTCTGAGAAGCTCTTTGTTATAAAAGTATTTCAAATTAAATCTAGTCAGGAGCTTAAGATATACTAAGTTTTAGCATTTCAGCATAACTTAAAGCCACTCTTGTTGTTTCAGAAACATTGATATCCTGAAAGATCTACTTGTATATTTTTTAAAGTGTGTCTTTCAAGAAACACTGGTATGATTTAGCTGCAATTTAAGAAGATAGTATTACTTTAGGATTTTTTTATTGCAATTTTCAGAGGAAAAATGGAAGCACACTGAGAAAAACAGATTTTTTTTCACGGCAGATTCTAAGTGGAAAAAAAGTAGCCTGAAGAATATGGCAAACATACTCCATATTCCTCTAATTGTTTATTACGTAATAATATATAATATATATTTTATTTTATGACATATATATCTGTATATATACACACATTGCTGAACTTTTACATGAACATTTAAAGATATGATGAATATATGTCATAAAAATTGTTTTATATATCATTTTTTCTGAATTGTAATTTTTTGAAGATATATTATTGGCCACAGCATATTTTAACCCATGTAATAATAAAATGTTTGAAAATTAGGATTTAAGATTCTTCAATTTTTACACTTAGAAAACATGTTTACTTTTCTATATTAATATTCTCAACAAAAATTGAAATGGTGCCAATTTACCAGATCCCTCATTATATGGGAAGTTTTACTTATTTACATTTTTTGTTTTAATTAAATAAGGATATTTACTTATAAAGAAATTATATTTTCACCTGAAATTCTGCACAGTTTAAAATAAGTGGCAAGGGATTCTGACATTAGCAAGATGTTTGATAAGAAATCCCTAGTGCTCATTTCCCAACAAAAACAGCCAAAACAACAAATAAACAACTGCATTTTCATGAAAGTAAATAAAGGAGAGCACCAGAGTACATCGAAGGAGTAACAGAAACCCTAGTGAGCAGAAAAGCTCAGGATAGCCACACAGAAAACTGAAAGAAACACCTGGCCCTCACCACTTCATTCCTCTCCTGGGATGAGCTGGGAGTCAGGAGGAACTTCTCCCAGTGGGGAAAAGGTAAACAAAAGGATCCCAGTAGCTCCCATTAACACCTTGGACACTTACAGTACTCACCACTGGGGACCCCCGCAGTCCTCACAGGCACGAAGCCCAGCTGAAGGAGCTGCCTGGAGTCCACACGGCTATGCTTCCCCCAGAGAAGGAGTGACACTGTGTCCCACTCCCTGTACCCTGCATGGCTTCTCTGCTATGCCATTTTGGAACTGCAACTACTGATGGTGTGTATGTGGCTCCAGAGGTGAGTGGCCATGGCACTCTTTTATCACTGAGACTAAGCTGCTGCCAAACCAGCCCTGCCCAGTGTCCTGACATTCCCAAGCCATTCCACAAGTAGCTGCTAACCCCTTCGCCAGGGGGTCAAGCAGTTGTAGAAGTCCTCCACCCTACCCTTCCCAGTTGCAGGTGAGCCCTACCCCTAGAAGGCTGAGCTGAAGCTCTTACTGCTTCTCATGAAAACAGTGCCTTGGCAGAACCATCCCATGTATACCCAAGAGTCACTGCTGAGCCCAGCAACTAGGGGCTGGAGCTAAAGTTGTTCACCTCCTCCTGAAAAAACAGTACCTGGCCAGAGTTGCTTTATCTATACCTTCTAGCCACTGCTGCACTTGTCCCTAGGGGCCTCAGCTGGAGTTGAGCACTGCCTCCGGAGGGAAGAGTGCCCTGGTAGAGACACTTCAAAAACCCATCCCAGTTGCTGCTGAGATTTGCCCCATGGTATTCAAGCTGAAGCTGTGCACTGCCTCCCAGGGACATGATGCTTTGATGGAGCCACTCCATATACCCCTCCCAGTTTTGGCTGCACTTTGCCCACTACGCTAAAGCTGAAGCAATGCCTAGCTTCTCAGGGAAACTGTTCCTTGGCCTCTCAGAGAAGTAACATACCTGTGCCTGAGCTGAAGCAGTATCACACCTCCTGGGAAAACATACTGTACCCTGGTCAGCCAGAACCTCAACAGTGCCTAAGTTAAAGCAGCAGCCTGACTCCTATGAAATGGGGGTGTGGTCACCCACAGTGATCATGCACAATACTTAAGCTGAAGGGATGCACTACATCCCAGGGAAACAGTTCCTGGGCTACCTAGAACAATCACACCCTCACCCCCGATCCTGAGCTGAAGTGACACATTGCAACCTGGGGAATTGGTAGCTTGGCTGAACTAAGCAGCGGCACATCCCAAGTCTGAGCTGCTATAGTACCCCACATTCCATGGAAACAAAAATGGCTAGGCTGAGACACCCTGCCCCATAAGACAAACAACTCTAATACTCCATTTCCCTAAAGCTCGACTAGACTCCTTGAGTCCAAGCTGCTGAGATACCTTCTCTCTGGGAAGTACAATTATTATTGAGCTGCCCCTTGCCCCCAGGGTCCAAGCAACAGCTGTGTTCTGCCATTTTGGACTACTTACTGCTACTGCACTTGGCCTCAGAATCTGGGATACTGACAAGTCCTACAATCCCAGGGTCTAGAGTCACCACTATCTGCTGACTTATTCCTTGGGAGCCAAGTTACCACTGAGACCTATTGTCTCTGATTCCCAAATTCAGCCATACTTTGCTCCTCACGCCCAAACCTCCAGAGAATCCTTTCTTCCTCAGAGTTTGGCCCGTGTTGTGCCCACAGGGGCAGAATCACAGCTACATCCTGACCCACTGAGCCCAAGCTGCTAGGGGTTGTCTCAGAGTCATAGATCCTGGTTGTCTGAGCAATCAACATCCAATTCTGGAACAAAGAGTGAAGTTGCACCTCATGACCCAGGTGCCAAAGTAGGTTCACAAGACCTTAAGCCTATGACCCAGGCTCCATAGCTACTCCAAACAACTAGAACCCTGTGCCACCACAGTTGCTTGTCGCCTATGTCAGACCCAAAACAAAGAGGGATCTCCTTGGCTAAATCTCCATCAAAACCCATTGCCACCAAAGACCTTAACAACATATGCTACCTCTGCTGCTACCACAAACTTCCATAGTCAAAATTATTGAGACACTCATAGTTATTACTGATGTTGATTGCTGCTTAAGAAGTTTCACAGAGACTGTATCACTGCTTTTACTCAGAACCTGAGTCATCACACCCTTCGTAACCAGTACACTAAGACCCATCTGTGGATAAACATCTTTCTCTGTAACGCCCACACCATAACATTTGAAGAGGTGATTGTTCCACCAGAAGCACAGACAACAAAGCAGGGACACAAGAAACAAAAAAAAGAAGGAAATATGACACTACCAAAGGAGCAAAATAACTCTCCAGAAACTGACCCAAAGGAAAAGAAAATCTATAAATTGCCAGAAGAGAAATTCAAAATAATAATCTTAAGATAATGCACCATGGTCCAAAAAAAAAAAAAAAATACAGGTAAACAATTCAACAAAATCAGAGAGGAAAAATACCAAATGGATTAGAATTTTAATAAAAAGATAAATATCATAAAAAGAACCAAACATAAACCCTGAAACTAATTCCATGAATAAAATAAAAAAATATAACTGAGAGTTTCAACATCAGACTAGATCAAGCAGAATAAAGAATTTCTTAATCTGAAGATAGATTACTTATAATTATTCTGTCAGAGAAAGAAGAAATAATGAAAAAAAGTAAAGGAAGTCTACAGAACTATGAGACACCATTAAATGAACAAATATTTTCATTGTGGTAATTATGAAGGAAAAGAGATGAGAAAATCTGTAGAAAACCTATTTAATTAAATAATAGTTGAAAATTGTCCAAATCTTGATAGAGATATAAACAGTCAGATTCAGGAAGCTTGCAGATCTCAAAATATATTCAACTCAAAAAAGTTCCTTTCTGAAGCACATTCTAGTTAAATTGTCAAAAGTCAAAGACAGAATGCTACAAACTGAAAGACGACAGTGTAAAGTCATATATAAGGGTATCCCCATTACATTAACAGCAGACTTCTCAGCTAAAACCTTACAGACCAGGAAATAATGTAAAGGTTTTTACATTATTTCAAAGAAATGAAAGATAAAAAAATTGCCAGCCAAAAAATTATGCCAAGAAAAGCTAACCTTTAGTAATTAAGGAGAAATCAAATATTTCCCAGACAAGTGAAAATGAGGGAATTCATTATCACCAGACCAACCTTACAAGAAATGCTCAAGTGAGTCCTACATCTAGAAGCAAAAGGATAATCTACATGAAAACACTCAAAAGTATAAAGTGGTAAAGCAGATGCACAAGATGCACAAAAGAGAAAGAGAAAGAAACCAAACCTTATCACAACAACATCAACAAAAAAACCACAATGATAAATAATAAGAGGTGGATAAAGGAACAAACTACACAAAACAATAAAACAATTTAAAAAACAACAGGAGTATATCCTATTAATAATAACCTCGAATGAAAATGATTAAATTCCTCAATTAAAACATATAGACTGGCTGAAAGAATAATAAAACAAGACCCAGCAGTATGCTACTTAAAAAGGAATTTCTTTGACCTATAAAGACAAACATAGACTGAAAGTGAAGGGAGAAAGAAGATATTCCACGCAAACAAAACCCAAAAGTGAGCATAAGTAACTATATCTGCATCAGACAAAAGTAACTTTTAGTCAAAAAGTGTGAAAAGAGACAAAGAAGGTCATTATGTAATGGCAAAGAGGATGGAATAATTGTAAATAATTATATATACACCCAACATTAGAGCACACAATATAAACCAAATGTTATTAATTTTGAAGAAAGGAAGATAGGCTCCAATAATAGAAACTTCAACACTCCACTTTCAGTATTGAACAGAGGATCTAGATAGACATTCAATAAGGAAACATTGGATTTAAATAACACTTTAAACCAAATGGACCTAACAGACATTTATAGAACATTTTATGCAACAGCTACAGAATAAACATTCTTTTCATGAGCACATGGGACATTCTCCAGGATAGACCATATTTTAGGCCACAAAACAAATTTCATCAAATTTTTTAAAAATGGAAGTCATACCAAGTATATTTTTTAACAATGGGACAAAACTAGAAATCAATTAAAAGAGAAACTCTTGAAAGCACACTGAAATTAAACAACATGCTCCTGAATGACCATTGGGTTAATAAAAAAATTAAGAAGGACATTTAAAAACTTCTTCAAACAAACGAAAATAGAAACAGAACATGTCAACACCTATGGGATACAGCAAAGGCATTGTTAATAGGCAAGGCTATAAAAATAAATGTCTTCATCATCAAGTAGAAAGATATCAAATTAACAGCCTAATAATGCACCCTAAGGAACTTAAAAGCAAGAGTAAACAAAACTCAACATTAGTAGAAGGATAGAAATACTATAGATTGGAGCAGAAATAAATGAAATTGAAAATAAAAAATAAAATCAATAAATCATAAAATGAAAAGTCATTTTACAAAAAGGTAAACAAAATTGACAAACCATTATCTAGGGTAACCAGGAAAAAAAAACAAAAGACCCCAAAAATCATAATCAAAAAGGAGACATTACAACTGTTACCACAGAAATACAAAAGATTAGTAGAATCTATTATGGACAACTACATACTGACAAATTGGAAAACCTAACAGAAAGGGATACATTTATAAACACATAAAACCTACCAACACTGAACCAAGAAGAAAAAGAAAATGTAAACATAGCATTTAGGAAAAACAAGATTGTATCATTCATAAATGGTCTCCCATCAGAGAAAGGCCCAGGACTGGATGGTTTCACAGTTGAATTCTACCAAACATTTGAAGAACTAATATAATTTTTTTCAAACTTTTCCAGAAAATTAAAAAAGAAGGAATTCCTCAAATCTCATTTTATAATCTCAGCATACCTTGATATCAAAACCAAATAAGGACACCACAAAAAAGAAAGTATAGACCCATATCCATGATGAATATCAGTACAAAAATTCTCAACAAAATACTAGCAAACTGGATCTAGCAGCACACTGAAAAGATCATTCACCACGATCAAGTTGAGTTTATTATAGAGATTCAAGGATGGTTCAGTGTATGCAAATCAATAAATGTGATACATTATGTTACAGAATAAGAAACAGAAACCATATAATCATCTTAATAGACACAGAAAAAGCATGTGACAAAATTCAAAATCCCTTCATTATAAAAGCTCTCAACAAATTAAGTAAATAAGTAATGCATAAAGGCCATATATGACAAGCACAAAGCTAACATCATACTTAATGAAGCAAAGCTGAAAGCTTTTTCTTTAAGAACTGGAACAAGATAAGAATGCACTCCCACTCTCATCACTATCACTCAACATAATACTGGATGTCTCAGTCTGAGCAATTAGGTAACAGAAAGAAATAAAAGGCATCAAAATTGGAAACGGGAATGTCAGAGTGTCCCTGTGCATAGACAACATGATCTTCCATATAGGAAACCCTAAAAGCTCCACCAAAAAACTCTTATAACTGATAAATAATTTAGTAATCTTGAAGAATAAAATGATTAAAATACAAAAAATGGTAACATTTCTATACACCAACAACAAGCTAACTGAAAAAGAAATCATGAAAGCAATTCCATTTACAATAGTTTTAAGGAAATACAATGCCTAGGAATAAATTTAACCAAAGAAGTGAAATATTTTAACAAGGAAAACTATAAAACACTGATAAAAGAAATTGAAGAGGACACCAAGGTGGAAAGACATCCCATGTCTATGGTTTAGATGAATCAATACTGTGAAAATGACACTACCAAAAGTGATTTATAAATTCAATGCAATCCCTATCAAAATACCAATGACATTTTTTTACAGAAATAGAAAGAACCCTAAAACTTATATGAAATCACAAAATTTCCCAAATAACCAAAGCAATCCTGAGAAAAGTAAAAAAACAAAGATAAAGACATCACAAAACCTAACTTCAAAATATAGTTGTAAAAATCCAAAACAGCATGCTGCTGGCATAACAATGGACAATTAGACCAATGCAACAACAGATAACTTAAAAATAAAGTTATGTTTTTACAGCCAACTCATTTTTGACAAAGACTTGAAGAATATTGATTGGGGATAGTCCCCTCAATAAGTGGTGTTGGGAAAACTAGATATCCATATGCAGATGAATGAAACTAGAACCTTGTATCTCATCATATAAAAAAATTCAAAATGGATTAAAGACTTAAATGTAAAACTTGAAGCTATAAAACTACTAAAAGAAAACATAAAGGAAATGCTTTAAGATATTATAGGTCTTGAAAAATATTTTATGAAAAAGACCTCACAAACAGAGACAACATAAGCAAAAATAGACAATTGGGATTATATGAATCTAAAAAGCTTCTGCACAGCAAAGAAAACAATTAATAGAGTGAAGAGACAATCTACAGAGAAGAAAATATTTGTAAACTATTTATTTGGTAAGTGATTAATATCCACAATACATAAGGAACCTAAAAAGCTCAACAGAAAAAAAAATCATTCAATTAAAAAAAGTGGGCAAATAAGCTGAATAGACATCTCTCAAAAGACGACATGCAAATAAATGGCCAACAGGTATCTGAAAAAACGGTCAACATCACTAATCATGAGGGAAATGCAAATCAAAACCAAAATAAGATATCATCTCACCCCAGTTAGGAAGGCTATTATCAAAAAGACAAAAAATAACAAATGTGTGGAAAGGGGGACTCATATACTGTTGGTGGGAACATAAAACAGCCATTATGAAAAAAATATTGAAGGGTCTCAAAAAATAAAAAATAGAGTTACTATATGAACCAGCAATCCTGCAACTGAGCTTATATCCATGGGAAAGAAAATTAGTATGTCAAAAAGATATCTGCATTCCCATGTGTTATTACAGCACTATTCACAATAGCCGAAATACAGAATCAACCTAACTGTTCATCAGCAGGGCAATAGATAAAGAAAATGTGGTACGTATACACAATGAGATACTATTCAGCCATAAAATAAAATAAAATAAAATAAAATAAAATAAAATAAAATAAAACACTATCATTCATGGCAACATGGAAGTTTGTAGGACATTATTTTAAGTGAAATAAACCAGGCACAGAAAGATAAATATCACATGTTTTCACTCATGTGTAGAAGCTAAAAACATCGATCCCATAGTAGAGAATGGAATAGTGGTTACTAGAGGGTGGCAGAAGTAGAAAAAGGAGATGTCGGTTAACAAATGCAAAATTACAACTAGATAAGAGAGAAATAAGTTCTAGTGTTCTATAGCACTGTAGGGTGACTATAGTTAACAACAATTTATTGAATATTTCCAAATAGTTAAAAGAGTGAATTTTCAATGTTCCCAACACAAAGAAAATGCAAATGGTGATGGTTAACATAATTTCATCATTACATACTGTATACATGTATCAAAAAATCACACTGTATACCATAAATATGTACAATTATTAGCTGTCAATTAAAATATTAATAAAATCCAAAAAGTAGTAAATTAAGAAAATTTAGGGTAAAAATGAAGGATCAGAAATAAAGGATCAGATTTAGTGTCTTCATTATAACTAAAAGAATTACTTGTCAGTGTTTATGACTCCCAACAGACTATGCAGTATTTTAGAAATCAAACGATTTAAAGATTTTCAAATTTCTTCAAAAACAAGAATAACTAATCACCCCAAATTTGTAAATGGAAGGAAATTATCTTTGAGTGATATTTTCTTAAATATTTAAGTAAAAATGATAGAATGCACTGAGTTTTTATTCTGTTCCAACTTGACCATTTGGGATTTGATGACAGTCATTCTATGGAAAACAAAGGTAGAGAATAAGAGGACAGTTCTCCTATGCTGAAAAAAGTTATCTTTAAGAAAACAAAATTGACAGAATCTACATGAAACCATGAAATCAACTATTTCCAAGTCAGTGTGTTTTCCTAAGGCCCTCTTAATATCTGGTTTCTGCTATTGAAGTAGTCATTCAGTTCACTAGTTCCACTCCTGTGATTTTTCAAGAGCCATTACAACCTGGAGGATGTTGGCCCGGCAATTCTCACACTTTGAACTATTTCACTCAAGGACAGATTAGAGTAAAAATAATTAATTAAGCTGTACATTTTAAATAGCTGTACTACTAATGCTTCTTATGGCCTATAAATAAGATCTTTTACAATAGAAAAAAAGAAAGATTTGAGGATAACGGGAATGTTTCCATTTTTGAAATTAATTTAAAATTTAATGTTTTACTTTCTCTATATGTTATATGCATTTATCTATATTTCAAACTCTGACAGTTTGCATTTACTTTCCTGTAATTGGTTTAATTAAAAATTGGAAAAATCAAGAACATTCAAGTATTCCATGAAATGTTGTGCTCTGCTGTAATTTAATATTGTCCACATCATTTATTTTAAAATTTTAGTAACATTTCCCATGCATTTAAAACTATTTATTAAAAATTATAGTAAAGATAAATGCTTGAAGAAACAACATTATATATAGTATGTATCTTCAAATTGTTCTTGTATTTTGGTTTGTGATTTAAACTTCAGTTGAGTATTTCCATGAGGTAGCAACAGCACTTTGACCATTCTACACAATGTGCCATAAATGGCATGAACATCTGCACAAAGTTCTATTTCTCCATTTGCTCAGGGAAAAAAATATCCATAACTTAGTGATTGGAGGGTGTCAGTGAATTATGAATACATTCTGTGTAAATGAAGGCAATATAATCAGCTCTCTTGTACTAGACAGGTATTATAGTTTTCCACAAGGATTCATTTTAGTTAATTTAAGTTGAATCATTAAGCATTACAATTTGGCAGCTGCCAGGAAGATGACAAAAAATAAGCAGCTATAATTGTTCAAGGACATGTTCTGAACTAATCAGTATATAAATCACTTCCTGGCATTCCTTTAGTCATGTCAGATAATAAAACCTTCTCCCTTTAACTGAATTTTGATAACTAACCAGTGACTTCAGTATCACTCAAATGTTAAAACCAATATTAAATCATACTGAAAAAAGTAATTAACCAATATTTCTCAATGAATTCATTTTTAGGTGTTAAGTGTAATATGTGATAAAAAAGAAATATTCAGCATTCATAGCAAATAATTTGGTGCTAGCTTGCCCTTGCACATAAATAAAATAGAAGCTTCTTTAAATACTTACAGTAAATTATTATATTGTTACACTCTCCAACTTAATCTTCAGCTCCTCACCTTAGCCCTGATACCTAGCTATGGATGGACAAATCATATACATTTCGCCCTGGGGATGCTTTATAACTGAACATTACTGTGATCCTGCGATGAACTCAAAAGAGTCCTGAACTAAGTGTATAGATATGAGGAGTTGAGTATGTGCAGAGGGGGTTAGGGGTGAGAGAGGAACTAGCTCAACAACTATGATCAAATTACAACTCTATGAAATGGGAAAAGTTATCTGCATAATCTCTAAGTGCCCATCTATTTCCAACAGCTATATTATTTAAACTAAATGCTAACTCTCCCTATTGGCAGAAATAAGGTCTAATAATGTCCTCCTAATTTTGCAGACATGAGTAATCCATATAGACATAATTAACTAAATTAATTAATGTGTGCTCATATCATGGTGTATTATTATTCATGTAAGGTATGTTTTCCAATAGAGTTAATGGCATTTTTGTTAACCATGCCATGGCTTATGTTCAAAATCATCTTACTTTTAGTTCTACATATTTCATAATTGGTTACTTTCAATATTCTCTGTGAATTTTAATAAGAATGGAAGAAAAGCAGCTAAGGAATAGGGTTTTAGCTCAGGAAAAATTCTAAAAAGAATCAGGCTGGGCGCTGTGGTTCATGCCTGTAATCCCAGCACTTTCGGAGGCTGAAGCGGGAGGATCATGAGGTCAGGAGATCATCAAGACCATCCTGGCCAACATAGTGAAACCCCATCTCTACCAAAAATACAAAAATTAGCTGTGCATGGTGGTGTGTGCCTGTAGTCTCAGCTACTCGGGAGGCTGAGGCAGGAGTGCTTGAACCCTGAAGGTGGAGGTTGCAATGAGCCGAGATCACGCCACTGCACTCCAGCCTGGAGACAAAGCAAGACTCTGTCTCAAAAAAACAAAAAACAAAAAACAAAAAAAAAGTATCAAAGAACGCGTTCAGCCAAGCAGGAAGCAGTCATTCAAAAAAGTATCACAACAACAATGCTTGATCTTGGTACTCTTGATCTTTTGAAATGCAGTCCACATGCTAAACCAACAGGACATGTAAAGTTTTGATAAGCTCCACACTTCAGGTGCTGAAGACGATCCATGGAAATGCTTCCATCATATTATAATAAAGAATTTAAAAGCCACTACCCATGTTTGTGGTCATTCAAGCATTCGTGATACTAGCTATATCTCAGAAGCTTGGGGCACAATTTCTAACTCTAGACTTTGCTCCACAAAACAATTTCTCAGTGATTTTTGCAGACTCTCAAATGTGTTGACTCTCAAACTTTTCCTTCCTACTTCCTTTGGGAAAGCTTTTACTTGCTTTGTAAGACGTAAGTCAGAGAAAGAACAAAAGGAGAACAATTGTTGGTAAAGCAAGCCAACTTAAAAATGTTATCAGAAAAAGGAAGTGTTTTATTTCAGAACGTAGTTACTCAGACTTGGTTGTGTATGGATTCGCCAAAATTAACCATGCCACCGGAAGATACAAGACCATCGGAATCCAATTATTTTTGAGGTCAGATATCCAGAACACTTTTATTCACCATATATAATCTAAGATCAGCTTCAAAGATCATCTGTTATTCACTATACAAACCCTTGCCACTTCCTGCCCCCAAATTCTCCCAACACTCATCACACCATTATCAATTATTGTGTAGTTCAATTGTTTCTGGCTTTTTTCATTATAATATCATTACCATAAAAGTAGTCTACACCTGCGGGGACTAACTAGTTTTTATCCCAGTCGACTTTTGGCCTGAGCTTCATTCTGATGGTTGCTATTTTATACTCACCTCATTCTATACTTCCAAAAGTAAACACATTGAAGTCTCTCTCCTTTCTTACAGGCTTCCATTAATGTTTGTTTGCTTTTTCTAGTCTAGATGTTCTCCTGAGTTTTTAAATTTAGAGTATTTTGTTTCTTTTAATTAAACTGATTCCTTTTTTTTCAATGTAAGAGTTTTGTGTTTTGAATTCTATCCCAGTGCAGTTAGTAGTGAGTGGACAAAAGATGTTGCATACAAATAAAAACATTACCACACAAATTCAGTCCATGTTCCATCGCACTCACTCTGTTACCAATAAAGATTTGCCACTGGAAGATAGAGAGGTCTACTGGGAGATCAACTTTGAAAGTTAAGCCAAGTACAACACTGCAAGAAATAGGATACCTTGGCCAGGTGTGGTTGCTCATGCCTGTAATCCCAGCACTTTGGGAGGCTGAGGCGGGCAAATCACAAGGTCAAGAGATCCGGACCATCCTGGCCAACATGGTGAAACCCCATTTCTACTAAAGATACAAAAATTAGCTGGGCCTGGTGGTGCGCACCTGTAGTCCCAGCTACTCGGGAGGCTGAGGCAGGAGAATCGCTTGAACTTTATCCACTACTGAATTTTTTTTTTTTTTTGAGACAAGGTTTCACTGTCACCCAAGCAGGAGTGCAGTGGTGCAATTATGGCTCACTGCAGCCTCAAACTCCTGGGCTCAAGCGATCTTCCCACCTCAGCCTCCTGAGTAGCTGGGCTTACAGGTACGTGCCACCATGCTGGCTAATTTTATTTTTTTCAGTTTTGCAGAAACAGAGTCTCACTATTTTACTCAGGCTAGTATGAAACTCCTGGGCTCAGGGGATTTTCCCCACCCCCCAGCCTCCCAAAGTGCTGAGATATGGACATGAGCCACCAAACCTGGTTGCACTACAGATTTTAGAATTTGCTAAAACCATATTTGCTTGATTTATTGAATTCCTTATTTTTTAAATTTTGATCAAAATCAGTTTTTTGCCTTCAAATTTTAGTCATATATAGTGGCAGGAAAAATAAGGATGCAGTTGAATCTAATTATATTGCTTAAAAAATCTTAATGGAAAAGCAATTCTGATTTAACTGTTATTTAAAGATGAGTTTTTAACCTTCCTCTCTAATCTCTTTCAAAATAAATGATGTTCAATAGTTTAATCATTAAAAATTCCATCAATATAAAAGAATGATTAAACTTTATAATAAAAATATAAAGTCACATCAGCTTAAATGTTCATGATGCATATTTCTAACTTCTGATGTGTTCTTTGAAAATTACCAATGAGCATAATAATTTTGATCAAGAAAAAACTGGACAAGTTTAAACAACCCAATTTTATAGAGAAAAGCACCATTTGACAAATCCTAATTATGTGATTTTGACTTTTCTTTTTTCCAAGGCAGCCTGGTCTATCAAAGCTAAAACACTTACAGTTTTTTTTTTCACTTTCGTTCTCATCTACAATGACACAACTTTTTAGGTGGGGGCGGACGACTTTAACCCCTTTTAATGAAGTTAACATATTGGTGATTTTCCATTAACGTAGTACCATGCAAGGTAGAATGTGAGAATGACAAAGGAAATGAGTATTGAATAAGAAAATAAATTCTTTTACTGCTCTCCTTTTACTTCTCCTCCAGCCACCCTGGCCTCCTTCTACTCAGCAGTTACGATCCCTGCTCAAGGCCTTTGCATTTGCAGTGCACTCTGCCTAGAATGCCATTCCCCAAAATACCCAACTGGCAGCCTAACTCCCTCACTTTCTTCAAACCTCAGTCATCCTCTTGCTGAAGACTTTTCCAACCACTTTCAAAAATGAGTTAATGTGTGCAGCACACCAACATGGCACATGTATACATATGTAACAAACCTGCACGTAGTGCACATGTACCCTAAAACTTAAAGTATAATAAAAAAAAATAAAATAAATAAAAAAAATCAATCCCTTTCTCCCTGAGATGATTTTTTCTAAGTACTTATTACTACCTAACTAGCATTTATTTACTTAATTAATCTTGTTTAATGTCTGTTCTCTCACTAAAATATAATATACCCTAAGGGCAAGGATTTTTGTCATTTTGTTTACTCATATTTTTCAGAGAGAAAGGAGGTAAATTTCCCTTCTCTCAGCAAAATACAGAAGTAAACAGAAGGAGGAAGTCTATCTCCCTTCTCTCAGCAAGGGAGACAAGGGGAACGAGGAGACGGAACAGGGGAACAAGGAGACAAAGAAAGAAAAAAAGAGGAAAGGGAGCAAAGGAGAAGGGGAGAAATCTTAAACTCCTTGAACTAAGTAAGAAAATTGCATAATATGACACTTCGGGAGAACAAAATTTCCTTGGATTTCTCAGTGCTCCTGCCAAAGCCCTAGCCTCATGAGACACAGGAATATATATTGAAGAAAGATAGAGAACATTTGCTTTCACCTTCCCCAGAAATACTGTACTCCTCACATATTATCATGTCATAAAAATTAGATCAGTAGCTTTTTTTTTAGCTAATTTCTCTGATCTGAAAGGATAATACAACTTGTCTCCCCCATCAGGACCAAATGATAGCTGGATTAGGTCCCTAACTTAAGGCCAAAGTACCAGAAGACATGACCACTATCTCAAATGTCAAAAGGGATGAATCCTCAATTTGGACACATCTCCACACCCTGAAAGCTGGAGACACCTGGGCTTTATCTTGCCCTTGGAGAGACATCTTTACATTTTAAAAGGCTAGGGTAGGCCGGTGCGGTGGCTCAGGCCTGTAATCTCAGCCCTTTGGGATGCCGAGGTGGGCAGATCACCTGAGGTCAGGAGTTCAAGACCAGCCTGACCAACAGGGCATAACCCCATCTCTACTAAAAATACAAAAATCAGCCGGGCGTGATAGCACACACCTGTAATCCCAGCTACTTGGGAGGCTGAGGCAGGAGAATCGCTTGAAGCCGGGAGGCGGGGGTTGCAGTGAACCGAGATCGCGCCACTGCACTCCAGCCTGGGCTACAGAGTGAGACTCCATCTCAAAAAATAATAATAAAATAAAATAAAAAGGTTAGGGTAAAAACCATTTTCAGAAGAATAAAGTTTTCATTTCTGCTTTCCTTCTCTCCTTTTGGAAGAAGGAAATAGGATGGCTGACCGTATCCTATATATGCAAATGGAGAAAATCCATTGTTCTCTATTTCTGTCCATGTGAACTAACCCACCACCCACTTGGAAAGATTCCATCAGCTCTCATGGCATTGCTGGTGGTCTAGATGTGGGAAACTAATGGTCTCATTGTTACTGTGGCTGCTGATCTGGTGGTATCAATAAAGAGCTATATTTGTTGACCAAGTGTCTTGTGTTTCTGCAATATTAATAAATATAGAATATGTAACTCAGCAAATTGAGTAATATCTTAGACCAGTCACAGTTCATAACAAAAAAGACGCAAGGTCTGGAAATATTAAATATTGGGGAGGGTCAAAAGAATTCTTATGATCAAATACTATCATGCATTCCACACAGCTCCCCAGGTAGATACAAAGAACTAGGAGAACAGATGACCACACAAATCATTAAAAGGCCCTGTGTTGCCAATTGCAGAAATGCTCTCAGGAGACGTGATGAAGCATCATTTTAACCACGAAATAAAAAGCGATCATTTACACCTCAGTATAAATCTTAAGTTTGAAAAAATGATTGGACTCATGACAGAACAACTGTTTTCCTTTTGAAAGTAGGGGTGTAACAGCCTATTAAATAATTACTTTGATTTTAAATGTCTGTAATTCCAATTTCCATGATAGCTCATAATAGCTCAGAGAAAGAATGAGGAAATGCGGATGAAGTCTGTCATTATGTATTTATACAGTCAAAAAAATGAAAAAGAAAAACTACAGACTGAATTATCAAAACCTAATTCATATGAGTTAATGGCTTTTTATCTTTTTTAAACAGTCCTTTGGGAGGAACTAGAAGCAGAGAAGAGCACTGGGACTTCTCAACTGAAAAGCTATTACTTCAACAGTCTATGGGGAGGGCTGCTCCAGAAATATCCTCCTGGATGTGTCAATTTGTTTTCTTTCTTACTTTCCAAACTAAGCACTTGAAAATGAGGAGAGAGAAATAAAATATTGTGAAGCCCAGCTGTCTATGGTACACATGTTTATGTCAGTCAGCACGCTTATGATCTATTGCAGCAATAAATCAAAAGAACTGCACTAGTTGTGTAATTTGTTATGGCAGTATATCAGCAGGGTGAGTCCTCCAGGAGCATGAGTTACAGACATGAACCTTGCATCATTGCTTTTATTTACTTTCTCTATTTAAGTTTGATATAAGAAGACAGAGTGGGAGGACCTGAAGTCAGAATTGAAAGGTTCTTTTGCATAATTGTCAAAATGACTTTAGACACTTTAACGAAGGTAACATTATTCAAAGTTTTCGCCTTTGATTTACTATTTCTGTTCAACTAAATTAAAAAGCACAATAAGCCTTAAATAGTATGGTGGTGATGATGATCAAGGTCCTCATTTAACTATTTCTTTTCCAACTCTGTAGCACACCTCTTCAGATACGCTTTTTGTCCTTCTCAGCACATTTTGCTTGCACACACTATTGCTTCCCGGGATCGCATACCTAATAGAGAAGCACAACATAAGCTCTTGCCTCAGGCTTTGTTATTTTTTTTTTGTTTATGCTTTTACAAATCTAATCTGAACTGAGATAAATGTCTTCACGTTTTTTGTCCTTATCTAAATACAATTTCTACTATCATTTGCTTTGAATTGTTCTTTAAATTGACTCTTTACCATAAATGGAAATCTAGTATCAGAATAGACTGCAACTCCAAAAAATTCTACAATGAAACTGAAACTATCAAATTATAGCTAAATAGTATTGCCAACCAAATGTTAGCCTGAATTATCTTTCTCTCCCTCCCTCTCTCCTGTTCTCTTTTTCTCTCCCCCTCTTCTCTCTGTATTTTTCTCTCTCTTTCATTAAGTATCACAGGGATATTAAATACCTATTAGCAGTAAACTTAAATTTTCTTTCTGGGTCAATCAGAGGATTGAAAGAGCATTAACTAAAGAATGATTTTTCATACTACATCATTCACTTTAAATTGATATTGTTTCCGTGTATCCCCTAATATCGGTAATATGAGTCCCATGTCTTGGAGAAAATGCAAGGCACTGTGAAAGGCCAAAATTATGAAGATTCTCATGCGAATTATCTCAGATATTCTGAATCAGGTGAGAGAACATGGTCGTGACACACATATATCTATACCTGGTTTAGGTCTGCCAAAACCATAATTAAAAAAAAATTCTCATTTACCGCGTATTTGATTGTACCTTGGGTAAATTCTCTGTTATGCCTATAGTAGACTACAATAATTATTCTCAATTTTCACTATGCAAATTGTGAAGCTTTGAAAAATGAGACCCATGCCTCATACAGGAATTCTGATTTAATTGTTCTCAGATTGGGGTTAGGCATCACTATCACGTAAAAGCCCCCTAAGGGATGCTAATGTACATTCTGTGGTAAGAAACTCTTCTACCTCTTCTGATATGTCATTGACAAATGTGCTCTTATTTCTGCCCAAAGCAGGGTTATAATTGGTGCTACGGTTCGAATGTCTTCCAAAATTTATGTGTTGAAACTTAATTGCCAATATGATAGTATTAAGAGGTGGGACTTTTAGGAGCTGATAAAACCGTGAGGGAAGAGATCTCATTAGCCCGTCCTTATACAAGAGCCTAAGTGTGTGGGTTTGATCTCTTCCGCTCTGCTGCCATGCGAGGAAACCATGTTCATTCCTTCTGTCATGCGAGGATGCAACAATAAAGCACCGTCTATGAGAGGCAGGCCTTCACCAGACACCAGGCCTGCTGGTGCCTTGATCTTTCACTTCTCAGCCTCCAGAACTGTGGGAAATAAATTTCTATTATTTATAAATTACCCCATCTCTGGTAGTTGGTTATAGAAGCATAAACGGACTAAGATACTGCAGCATTTATTTTTCATTCAGTTAACAAGCCCTTTAATTTTCCAACCATTCAGCAGGCCCAAATGCAAATGGACTGGCCAGTTGATTAGGTTCAGCTTTTACATGTTGGGGTGATTTGACCTTCTTTCCCCATTTGTGCTCAGTCCCAGCTCTGGATCCTACAAATAAATACTAGGGTACTTTACCCTTCAATGAGCAGAATTATCATGTTAGCAGAATAAACTACAGATTGTACACATTTGCAGTAGCTACATCAGTGGTCATAGGATTCTGTTGGCATCTTCATGGAAATATTAGCATGAGAGCATGAGTCTACTGAAAGTTTCTATTGACAGTTTCTCCTTTTTTTTCTTTTTTTTTTTTTTTTTTTTTTGAGACAGCATCTCTCTCTGTTGCCCAGGCTGGAGTGAAGTAATGTGATCTCAGCTCACTCAACTTCTGCCTTCCAGGTTCAAGCAATTCTCGTGCCTCGGCCACCCAAATAGCTGGGATTACAGGCGAGCACCACCACATCCAGCTAACTTTTTATATTTTTAGTATAGATGGGGTTTCACCACGCTGGCCAGGCTTGTCTTGAACGCTTGGCTTCAAGTGATCCACTTGCCTTGACCTCCCAAACTGCTGGTATTACAGGCGTGAGCCACTGTGCCCAGCCAGTTTCTCCTTTAATATGTGTAAAACTATTTAGTTTTTCTTCCCTCTAAGATACGTCTTTACTTATATTATTTATATTTTCTCTGTTTTTATTTCTTAACATTTCATAATTATGCAATAATTAAGGTCATGTATCTTACTGACTTTAGTTTTAAATGTTAGCTTCTTTTAGTAATTTAACAATGTAATTGTACATTATTAAATGTATTTTATATATTAATGGTCAACCATATTCCTTTTGATGACTTATTTATTATTATGTGCTGCTAGAAATAATTTAGCATCTTGATTTTTATTTTTTTATATTCTCAAAATTCCTGTGTAAATAAAAGATCTTGTTATAATAACATTTTAAATCAAAGGACTATAAAAAAATGACTTTTCTGCTAAACAGTTTTGTTCTCTTCTATCAAATCAAAGCACTGTATAACTTAACAGTCTTCCCATAATGTCTTGGTTGCTAGGAAGTTCAGAAAAAGCACATGCTTGAGTTATTTAGCTGTAGTCATACAATACCTGAGTTTTTATTGTAAACTAGTTTAAATAATATTTAAATGGTTAAAATAATAATTAGTTTTAATCTTTTTTATCATTTTAAATGTTCTCAGAGAGTCAAACACAGGGAAATATTGCCTCAAGCTCAAATAAATTCATGTTAGTTTTCTTATGTGTAAAACTTACAAAAAACACATTATAACCTGCTCAAGAACAATACAAAAAATAAGAAATTCAGAGAAGAGAAAAATTAATATAAGTTATTTGAGAATTTTATGAATTCAAACATGAAACTTTTAAAACTACTTTTCCTTTTATCTGCTCAATTATTTCACCAAAGGAAATATTTTTAAGCTTATTTGTATGCTTCTCCCTCTGTTCAGTTTGTAAGCAAAGTTAATTTGGAAGAAATGTGCTCATATATATATATATATATATATGAGCAGAATGGCTTTTGTTAGCTATCTGTTATTTTAATCTTTGTAGATGAATTTATACAATGAGGCAGGTAGGAGAGGTGGCTGCTGGCCTTTTGATAAATTCTATCTGATGCCTAAAAATTGAAAGTTTCTAGGAAATGTTAAATCAATCCATCAGTATCAGTATCTCATGCTGAAGGGACACCAGTTATTTTCTGGATGAATACACTAGTTGCCCTAGATACTGACCATTATTCTTCTGTAAGAACACATCTCTTTTCAGACAGTCTGGCTTCAGTAATACTTTAATTTGCAAGACTAACCAAGCTGAACCATCACTGAAATGTATGTGGACTTAAATCAAAGGAATTGTGTAAGAAATAAACACTATTAAGCCTACTGCAATATCATTCCTATCTTACTGGATAGGAATATCAGTTACCCTGGATAGCTGAGGCCTTCAAAATAGCAAAATTTTGATTTTGGCCTTTTCTTTTTTTTAAGCTCTTTGTTTTTTTCATTTTATTCAGAGCATCCTTTTTATAATTTGTCTTTTAGTTTATTTACTCGTATACTCATTTCTTCAGTGAATTTTGCTGAACATAGCAATGCATCAGACTTTGGGTATATTGCTTTTGGAGATACAAAGATGAAAAACAAATTGCCTTTCTTTAGATGTTATTATTCCTACAAAAGAGGAAATGAGGCAACTTATGATTAATTATATAGTTATCATTCATGTTTATACAAATGTGTATGTGTGTAGTGAATGTAGTTACACAATTTTAAACTTGGTTTATTTTTTAAATTTCATAATTCAAGGGGGGATTTACAAGAATTAACGTTTTAACTCCTCAAAATGCATCCTATGAGGCATAAACTATTAGTCATATTCTACAGCAGAAATTAAGGTGTAGAAGGATTAAGAAATGTCCTCGGCTTACTAAACAACAGGTCTTATATCTAAGTTTCAAATTCATGTCTAAACAATCTAAGTTTATTAATTTCTCCCACATCATACTGCTTCCTGAAAAGCAGTATGTTCTATTTTACTACCAAGACTGCCTCCATGTCTAAAATATTCAAGATGTGGCACCATCTTCTTATGTATATGAATGTGTTATAAAATATATATCAAATGGCTGATCTTAGAGTTGGAAAATAATTTTAAGTCTAGCCCAAAATGTCAAATCTGAGATTCAAAAAGATTAAAATAATTGCTCAAGATCACACAGTTTTTTTGAACCAGTCCAACACTGAAACAATGTTATCTAACACTAATTTTAGTTTTCTTTTCACTTATTTCTTATTCTCACTTAGACACCTATATTTGGCAATGTCATATATTCATATAAACTTTATTATATACTCTGTGATCACATCTACACATTATCATTAAAGACAATAAAATTTAGACAACACAATCAACCATCTTTATTTTCATAATCTTTATTTCCCTTAGGTGGAAAATCAGTGATTTCAATGTCTTTGGCCTGCAGCTCATGCCATATCATGTGTGTTTAATAAGTCTTTAATAAGTCTTATTCCTGTTTAAATTCATTGGCAATGCAAGGGCCTTGTTTTACAGACTTATAGAACATAAATCAGCTTAGATCTTTAAAAGTGTCTTTAAAAAAACTCAAATAGATGTTTCCCTTTTTTTCTATTCTGAATGTCTAAAAATCTATGAGCACACTAACTTATGCTCCTAGAAAAATGGACTAGACAGACATTTCTTGATCCTTATGTACAACTTAAAACTCTAGAAATTATACATAAAACAAACATAAGGTGACTATAAAAGTAGAGAGAAAAAGCAACCCAGCTGGGTATCTTGGGACCAAGAAATTCCATGGAAGTGTGTTTCCTAAGTGTCATTTTGTCTCATATATCTCAGACTCAAATCGTATAAGCTGGCAACCCAGAAATGGCAACATACACAGAAAAAATAAAAATAATAATCTGCTCTCTCTAGCTAAAAGACCAGGAAAGAAACAACCTAGCAAGCACAGCAGAAAACTTTACTATAGCCAGCCACCACAGGAAAAAGGCTGTGACACACCCACACCAGCAAAGGCCAAGTGGGGATCCTGGGCTTCCACACACCCCTGATGGTAATGAAGTGTCCACCCCTTCTCTGCTGAGGTGGTGTCAGAAGCAGCTCACTGGAGGGTCAGGACTTCCACCATCATCCTCTAGGTGACACTGTAGAGGCCATCTAGGTAGCCTGAACTCCCACTCTTCATCCAGTAGCACAGAGGAGTCCCAATTTCATCTCTGGTGCCAATGAATGCTGAATGGGGGACCTGCTACTCCGATAGGGTAGCACCCCTCACTTTCCCCTCCTAGACCGATGTCAGGGAAAGACAGTTAAAAACAGAAGGGTTGAAAATACGGAGATACATGCAGTAGAACATGTTCAAGTTCAAACAAAATTACTCATCATACCGAGAACTAGGAAGATTTCAAAGAGACTGAAAAAATCACAACTAATAGATGCCAACACCAAGATGACAGGGGTGTAAAAATTATCTGAAAAAGATTTAAAAGTAGCTATAATAAAATTTTTTTAAAAATAAAGGCTTTAGGAAAGAAATGGAAAATCTCAGTAAAAAAAATAGAAGAAAGAAACCGGAACAAAATGGAAATTTTAGAACTGAACGTAAAATAACTTAAATAAAAAGTTCAGTGAATAAACTCAACAGCAGAATGGAGGAAATGGAAGATGTGTCAGTAAACTAAAAAGTAGAATAATAGAAAATAGCCAGTCACAACAACAAAGAAAAAGCAGAAAGAAAGAAAACTGAACGAAGCTCCAGTGACCTGTGAGACTATAGTAAAAGACCTAACATTCATGTCAAAGAGTCCTACAAGGAGAGGAGAAAGCGTGGGGCTAAAAAGGACTTGAAAAATGTCAAGGCTGAAAACCACCAATCTGGCAAGAGACATATACCTACAGATTCGAGAAGCAGACTAAAGCTCAGAGACTATAAACCCAAGACGCATCATAATTTAACTTCTGAAATTGTGATTTGTGACAACATGGGTGAACTTGGAGTACATTATGCTAAATGAAATGAGCCAGACACAGAAAGACAAATACTTCATGAGCTCACACGTGGTATCTAAAAAGTCAGACTCTTATTAGTAGAGAGTAGAATAGTAGCTACCAAAGGCTGGAGTGAAGATGGGATGGGGAATAAGATGTTGGTCAAAGGATACAAATTTCCAGTTAGACACGAGAAATTAACTTTGGAGATAAATAGCACAAAAATTAGTAAGTACATGGGTGTTATGATTAACATGTTAATTAGCCTGAAGAATCATTCCACAATACATACATATATCAAAACATCACCTTGTACTCCTGAGATATACACAATTATTATTTGCTGATTAAAAATAAAAATAAACTTCTGAAAACTAGAGACAAGAAGCAAATCTTAATAGCAGCGAGGGGGAAATGACATGTTACATAGAAGAAAACAATTTTAATAATAATAGATATCTCATCAGAAATCACAGAGAACAGAAAGAAGTGGCCCAATATTTCTCAAATATGAAATGAAAACTGTCAACCCAGTGACCTATGCCAAGTGAAAATATCAGAAATAAAGAGAACATCAAAACAGTCTCAGATGAAAGGAAATTAAGATAATATGCCACAACAGATGGCAAAGAATGGACAAAAGGAATTTTCGAAAGCAATAGGGAAGTAAGCAATTAAAGAAGAAGCCTGTGAACATCAAGAAAAAAGAAAGAACACTGTGAGCAAAAATACGGGTACATAAAAGTAGGCTTTCCTTATACTGAGTTTTCTAAGTTGTTTGATGGTTGAAGCAAAAAAAATCTAACACTGTTGTGTGCAGAGTAAATCTTGAAGATAATTATATTACAAACAGGGGAGGCTAAAGAAACATAAAGGGATGTAAAGTTTCTATGCTTCGCTTTACTGGGTAAATGGTGATGCTTGTAGACTGATAAGTAATGAATATATACTGCAGTACCTAAAGCAACTGCTAAAAAAGTTAGACAGAGAATATACCTGACGACACTATAGATATATGAAAGACATTTTGTAGATGTGGATAGATTATTCTAAAACTTATGCAAAATGGCAAAGAAAATAAAATAACTAAAATAACTTTGAAAATCAAGGCTGTGTGTTATTGACAGAGTGGCAAACTCATTAAATAAATGGAAAAGAACAGGGAACCCCAATATAGACACCTACAATTATGCCCAAATGATTTTTGAAAAAAGTATACAAGCAATTAGAGAAAAGATGGACATCCAGCTGGGTGCATTGGCTCGTGCCTGTAATCCCAGCACTTTGGGAGGCCAAGGCGGGTGGATCACGAGGTCAGGAGATCAGCCTGGCTAACACGGTGAAACCCTGTCTCTCCTAAAAATACAAAAAATCAGCCGGGTGTGGTGGCACACGCCTGTAGTCCCAGCTAACTCGGGAGGCTGAGGCAGGAGAATCTCTTGAACCCAGGAGGCAGAGGTTGCAGTGAGCCGAGACTGCACCACGCACTCCATCCAGCCTGGGCAACAGAACGAGACTCCGTCTCAAAGAAAAAAAAAAAAAAAAGATGGACATCCATAGGCAAAAAAGTGGACCTTGACCTAAGTTTCTGACCAAATGCAAAAATAAGTTCAAAATGAATTACGAATGTAAATGTGAAATGTGAAACTATAACATTTTTAGAAAAAATAGAATAAAATCTTTGGAATCTAAGGCTAGGCAAAGAATTCTTAGTCTTAGCATCAAAAGCATGAACCATGACAAAGAAATATAAATTAAAAATAATCAAAATAAATTTTGCTCAGCATAAATCTCATGTGAAAAGAATGGAAAAACAAACTACAAAGTGGGGGAAAATATTTACAAACCACATAGCCAACAAAAAAGTATCATCTAGAATATATAAATAACTCATAAACTGTAAGTGGGAATGTAAAATGGTACAGTCATTCTGGAAAGCAGTTTGTCAGTTTCTTAAAAAAAAACTAAACAAGCCACTAATGTATGACCCAGTGATTGAACTCTTAGACATTTATTACAGAGAGTGAAGAATTATGTTCATTCTAGAATCAGTACACAGATATTCATGAAAGCTTCATTCACAATAGCCAAACACTAGAAACCGCCCTGATGACTTTCAACAAGTGAATAAAGATACTGTGGCTTATTCATATCATAGATACTACTCAGCAGGAAAGAGAACAGACTAGTCATATTTGCAACAACCTGAATGAATCTCCAGAGAATTTTACTGAATGGAAAGGGTCAGTCCCTAAAGGAAATGCACTATATAATTCCATTATATAAGTTTCTTAAAGTTTCTTTATAAAGAAGTTATAAAGTTTCTTTACAAAGTTTCTATGTAAGTTTCTTAAAGTGACAAAGTTATGGAAGTGGAAAACAAATTAGTGGTTGCAGGTGATTAAGAAAGGAGTGGGAAAGAAGGGAAGTGTGCACAGCTATGCAAAAAAGCAACATGTGGGATCATTGGAATGAAGGAAATGTTCTGTATCTTGACCACATAAGTGTCTATACCCTGGTTGTGAGATTGTACTATACTTTTCCAAGATGTAATCATTAGGGAAAACTGGGTAAAGAGTACACTTGATCCTTCTGTATTACTTTGTACAACTTCATGTGAATCTACAGTTATCTCCAAATAAAAATGTTTAATTAAAAATTCATAAGCACAAATGCATATGTCGTCCTTCACTCATTAATATTTGTTATCTGTTCTAGAAATGCACACAGGTAAAAACAAATCACTTATAATTTCACAACCTAAAGGCTTCTATTAACAATTTTGGGAATTTTTAAATGTGTATATATATATACATAATATATAATGTATATATGTATATATATCTATATATGCATATATAATATATATTTATATGTAATATATAATGTATACAAATGTGTGTGTGTATATATATATATAGATGAATGCTTTTTTCCTATAGAAAATGATTTATAGTGGCTATGGACTGAACTGTGCCTCCTTGCAAAATTTACATGTTGAAGCCCTGACTCCCAATATGACTGTACTTGGAGACATGACCATTAAGGAGATAATTAAGATTAAATAAGGTCATAAGGGTAGGTTACTAATTTTATAGAATTTGTGGCCTAGATCTCTTTCTCTCTCTCTCTCTCTCTCTCTCCCCAGCCCCCAACCCAGTCCCCATGCACATCAAGGGAAGGCCACGTGAAGACACAGTGAGAAGATGACCATCCATAAGCCAGGAAAAGAGGCCCTCACCAACCTGACTATGCTGGCACCCTGATGTCAGAATTCCAGCCTCTAGAACTGTGAGAAAGTAAATTTCTGTTTTTTAAGCCACCCAGTCTAAAGTATTGTGTTATGGCAAACAGAGCACACTAAGACAACAGCATTCATTTTTTCATTCAAGAAATATTTTTATACATCTAGCCTGAGAGACAGCATATTAAAGTGTTCACTCTACGCTTATCACTTAATGTATACTAAATCTCCCCATGGAAAAATATGTTTTACATGATAATTTTTAATGGATTAATAGAATTCATAGACTTGCTGTATTCTTTACTTTTATCACATTTCTATTTAGTCACTTACTGTTCTAAAGATTAGAAAGTTATAAAGATCATTTTTAAATAAATTAGAAAGTTATTAAGGTCTGATTATAATTTGAATAACTATTCATGCCCAAGAATACTTAAAATATACTGAAATCAATATTGGACCTAATAGTCTGAATATTGAATGATGCCTCCTGAGTTCAGAAAAATGTCAAAGACAACAAAACGTCCGATATCCAGCAGCCTCTCAGAATTTAGTAGATAATGGGCTTTTTTATAATATACTTGATTGCAATGTCCATCATGTAAAAGGTACTGGATATATACAGTTCTATCTATTCAATTGGCTGATCTGTTAAAATTAAAGTCCAGAGAAGTCTTATGCTGACAGTTAGGTACTCTGCTTCTTGTCTATGATTTATCCAGCTATTGACAGACCCAACATCCCATGTATTTGAGGCATGTGAGACAGAATAGAAAGATCACTGCTGTCAGGAGAACTTTCTTCATATCTCCCTTTAAGACAATTACCCATCTTATTGGCTCTCAATCAAGGCAGTCCTATTCCTTCTACGACTTTGGAAAATGTTGGCAGCATTTTTGCTTAATAGGAGTGGGGTAAGGTGGGGATGATAGCTATATAGTCTAGTGGTAAAGAACCAGGAATCTGGATGCCCTGCAATACACGGAGCAGTTCTGTACAACGACTTGTCTGAGACTCTGCCCAGATTTCAAATGTCCTACAAGATATTCTCAAAGATGAAAACCTGCTTATAATTATCTGATCCTAGAATTTAATTCCATTTTACATATATACATAAGTATTTCAGGAGATTTAATATATACTTATTATTTTTCAGGGACCATAACTTCTATGTAAATTGAGAGATGACTTTATCTCATTTTGTATACAACATTTTCAAGAACTCATCATCAGTTTTGAAAATCCTATCACCCAAGTCAGCACTACTCTCAGTATTTGAGTAGTAAAACCTACTTGATATGTATCTGCCTTCACAGCTGTCACATTCATGATGAGTCTATGCATGTGAAAATATCTGACCACTTTCTCATGTTTCCTTTGATCATTTAGTGTGTACTGGGACATGTATCATTCATTGTAAATTACTTTTTCTATATATCTCCTTTATATTATAGTTCAGGTACTAAATAGAACTTGGAAAAGTTATTTATAAAGGCAGATATAATATAAAATTTTATTAGAACAGAAATAAGGATATTAAGTTTTTAAATTAAAAATAAAGATCACTGGCTCTAATAGAGAGTTAAGAACCATAATTGGCATTAAATATTAGACATAGTAACATTAGAAATTAATTTACCTTTTCTGGGCCTGTTTCCTAATCTGTGAAATAATACTGGTTTATTCCAGTTAATGGTGGAAAGGTTTTCAGTTCATTGAAATGGATGCTTATACTTATACTTTAATTTTTAAATCAAATATTTCCTTTTTTTTTTTAGAAGTTGACACTCATCTTCTTTCTTGTCTTTGGTGATAGCAAATGGTTTTGACTTGGGTAAGCATTTCAAACCTATGTTGTGAGAAAATTCACTTTTCTGGGCATCAAAACTTATTCTGTAAGTTTCAGAGTTCAGGCCCTTGAACGTCATTAAAACTATATTATCAATAAAAGAAGACAGCGTAGATATATAGATAAGAAAGATAGAAGATAGGTAAATATATAGATGCATATAGATGATAAGTTGATGCCTTGATTTATTTATGGAATAAAACAACTGATTTTAAAAGTAGAAAGATAGAGAGACCCCCATCACTACTCAAAGTAAAAAATTAGCCAAGTATGGTGGTTCAGGCTTGTAGTCCCAACTACTTAGGAGGCCAAAGTGGGAGGATCATTTGAGCCCAGGGTTAGAGGGCTACAGTGAGCCTTGATCACAACACTGAACTCCAGCCTGGATGACAAAGTGAGATCCTGACACACACACACACACACACACACACACACACATACACACAAAGTAGAAAGGAAATATTTAGTGCCATAAAAAGATAAAATATCTCATTACTTTCTGATTGTTCTTAGAATTAAAACTAGTTTATTTATTTAACTTGCTCTCCTATTCTTACTTAAAAGAGTTCATGTAATCAGAGCATGTTTATTTAGGGGTCAAGTTAGTCATAAAAATCCTTTTCATTCTAAAGAAAAGTCATAAGATTTAAGATTTCTTCCTGGGAATATATTCCTTAAACAATCTTGGATTCAGTTTTTAAAAGAATGTCAGTGGTAAGAAACATGAGCAATTCCAATTTCTAGGAACATAAATATCTCTTTTGGAAAGGTTTGTATCATGCAGGTAGCACATACTTTCCAAGAAATGATTAACACTTACAGGGTAACTGCAGGGAGATAGGTTATAATCATGCTGTCTTAGCCCCTGTCAACATGATTTATTGTTTCAGCTACTGGAACGAACAGAGATGATGATAGATACAAAACAGAAAAAATTAAAAAGAAACATTACAGAATTATTTTCTGGATTTTTTTGCCTTAATAACTAAATTTCCCAAAAACATTCAGTTTCCTATCACTGAATAAAGAATGCATTCCTCGATATTTAGGTAGAACCACCACATAAGTTAATGTGTTATTAAAATCAGAAAAACCCAGCCAATCATATTATTTTTATCAATGCAAGTCAAAATTGAACTGTGCGGACTTGTATTTTATTGTGACCACATTCTAAGATAAAACAGAATAATAAAACTCGACATTCAGTTTGATAGAAAAAAACTAATGGGTTTATTAAACTTCAGATTAAAAAAATCAAAAAATAAAAATGTATTTAAAAAACCCTTTTTTGATTTATTTTTGCTGTTTGAAAGGATCTGTTTCTCTGGTCTACTGATAAGCAATGGGTTATATAATATTTATATGATAAATATGAGTTGTAAGTGTGAGTTGTAAATAGTGTATCAGCATTTTTCAAATCTCTACAAACACATGCCCATGACACATCATGTTAATTTTTTTTTTTTGAGACAAAGTCTCATTCCATTGCCAGGCTGGAGTGCAGTGACATGATGTCGGCTTACTGCAACCTCCACCTCCTGGGTTCAAGCGATTCTCCTGCCTCAGCCTCCCGAGTAGCTGGGACGTGCCACCATGCCCGGCTAATTTTTTGTATTTTTAGTAGAAATGGGGTTTCACCATCTTGGTCAGGCTGGTCTCGAACTCCCGACCTCGGGTGATCCACTTGCCTCAGCCTCCCAAAGCTCTGGGATAACAGGCATGAGCCACCGCGCCTGGCCCATGTTAAAAAAATTAAAACAAACAAGCAAAAATCATCTGTTTTCTGATCAGAACAAAGCTACATGCTGTTTTCCATTCAGAATATTCATAATGTTCACGAGCATATTAAAAGCTTTAAGATGTAATGCAATGACTAAGCCTATCAGACTTTGTTTAAAACATAGTTTTGAAAATTTACTTGACTATGGTCTAATTCCTAAAGATATTCAAAAGAAGGAACACTTTTCCAACAGGCTTTGGAAGACCCACTTCATCATACTGCATTCGAGGGCACACAAGGTCTAAATTTATAAGAATCTCTCCAACACTTTAAAATCAATTAACTTAAATATAGGTTACTTCTTTCTCATTAAAGATACACTGTATCTAATATTCCAGATTATGATGTCTAGCTTCTTTCTAATCTTTTCACTCCCCTGGGGATATCTGATTTCCCTACTCTTGAGATTGCCTTCTGCTATCACTTGCTTTACCCAAAGTTAGAAAATATGCAATTATGCAAAATAAATGTTCCCTTCTGTAACTGTCACTTTTCCAGCACTCCTTTTTATTGTATTGCTTCAGCATTTTTTGACATTATAGAATGAACGATGTTTTGCGTCTCTTCTTATATTTCATGGTGACTATTTTAAGTCTTTTATAGAATCCTTCAATCTTCGTAACTATACTTTCTATTTCCTAAATATCATTCTTTCTAAATCTATAGTTTTTACCTGTCACACATTTCTTCAGTGCCTTTTACAGTGTACTCCAAAATATAAAAATGGAATTTATCCTGTTGTTTTGCAGATCTACTTAAAAATAAAATATAAATTGAATATATATATATATATATATATATATATATATATATATATATATATATATTAGTATGGTTGCCCAAAGGGAATAAAATAAGGAGTAGAAAAAAATAGGAGTAATATTTTGTTATAGCAGCTTGAATGGATTACAACAATTGACAATGCTTTCATTTCATGTAGTAAGTGGAAGTCACTGGTTCCTGTGAACACTGGCATGTGTTAGATTATCTGCTCTTTTCAAGGCGAACTAACAATAACAGTTGGATTTCAAGGCAAATCTAGGTACAAGCACACTAAATGATAGTGCTGTTTATAAAGGTCCCATTTATAAAAGAACACCCTGTGTATGAATTTTTGGCTTTTCAGAACAAGGAAAGATTGAGAATTAAAATATTGAGAATTATCATTAAAATGTCGCAGATTTAATTCCATATCATTAATTATCTTTGAGCATATGTTTTACTTCCTCAACTAGATATGGGGACAAAGAACGTTTATTTTACCTTTTTGAATTAACAATGACTTCTGCTAATTTCCACAAAATTAGAGAACATCACAATTATGTTGATTTTAGCTGTCATTTGTTTTTACAACTAAATTAATTATAAAGTATAAGAGCTTTGATTCCCACTAGTATGCATTATACCATGTAATAAACAAAACATGCACATGTACTCCCTGAATCTAAAATAAAATTACATTTTTAAAAAAGCATAAGGATTTTAAATGACTTGGTAATGTTCATGCAATTAGTCAATACCAAATGTGAGGATTAAATTTAACATTGCATAAAAAGTATAATTTTTAAAGAAGTAAACTTCCAACTTTCATTCTAGTATTTATTTTGTAAAATTATCTTTACTAATAATTACAGAATATGAATTTAATAAATATTAATTTCTGAAATGAATAATAAGCATTTAGTCTTCCCCTTCCCTGATTGCACTATTTGTCACACAGCTAAGCAATGGGTATATCTAAACATGAAAGTGAAAAGAATACTAAAAGCAAAGAGAAAATTCTTATATAACAGGCCATAGTAGAGTTGCTGTAACATCTGTCTAAGGCTTCAGAATATCTATTAAACAGTTTTAGACACAAAGTTATAATAAAGGTCCTTGCAATGGTGTGAGGGTGCAATAGTGATCTTTCTCTTTTAAAAGAGCTTTGATGACCCCAGCTTCAAATGATTAGCTTGTCTTGACATAATGGCGAAAACTATGTAAAGAGTATTTCAAAAAGATTACGCAGAAGCTCTATGTCTCTATTAGAGAGCAGTTTTAAAGGGGATAATGTGTCACTTAGAGTTGGATGCTGTTCATTTTCTTCCCTGTCGATTTTACTGATGTTCTTAAAATGTGTATCAAAGTAATGTGATGTCTGCTGACAAGTTGAGTAAATCTACTTGGTTTACTACGTAAATCAGCAGAACTTCAAATTTTACTAGGCATAGTTTCATATTCAGTAATGAATTGAAATATTTACTGTGCAAAGTGTTTATGGGTAACATATTAAAGATATGTGAGGAAGAAGGAGAGAACAAATGTATTGCTAATTGCAAGGCATGAGGAAGTGGTCATGTTTTGTACACTTAGTTGGGTCCTTTTTAAGTGTTTTCAAATTTAGCATGATGGTTTGCACAGGCGCTGAAGTGAGATCACCAGGGGTAGAATCACCTTCCTGCTACGTATGTGGCTAGGTGTTCCCGAACAAGTACTAAACTTCTTTGTGCCTCATTTTCTTCATCTGCAAATGGGGATCATCATAATAATGCCTTCCACGGGGAGGGCTATAAAAACATGAAATATAAAGTGCTTGGCACAGTATCTAGAACACAATTAGCAATCAGTGATTTAGCTAGTAGGGCGATTAGTAAATTGATACAGTCTGAAGTCTTAATAAATCTGCACAAAGTCTTTAAAACAGTCCATAAATAGTCCCTAAATTAACTTTTGCAAAATAAAGAATTTTTAAAATGTATTGCTCATTTTATTAACAAAAATATTAACTTTTAAAAATTAATTTGAATTCATATGAGGATAAAGATGAGGTAATCTAGATGCATGTAAGAATGCAGTAAACTTTGAAATAGTTTTCTAACTTCGGGGCCCAATCAGAAATCATCCTGCCTTGGACAGGGATGGAAAATGATGAGTTGCAATTAAACAATGCACATCTTTTAACTGTCAGAAAAAATCCTTTAAATTATGTTAGTGCTATCTTATTACTCGACCACTTACTGTAGCTATAATTACCATACATAAGAATAAATGGGTGGGGAAGTGCAAAATAGGTATATACAAAAATCAATTGAGGAGAATGAGTTATAAACTCATTTTTTTCAATATCATGACATAATAAAAAATGACACCACATTCAGGACAATGTTTTACCTGTCTTTTCAAAAGCATTATATACTAGGTTTATTTAGAATTTCTATGCTGCATTCTGAGTCATATACTTTTGCATTATATCTTCATAATTGCCCTGAAAGAAAATTTGCATGTCAGAAATCTAAAGTTTATAAAGGCTAAATAATTTGCCTAAGGTCAATTCAATCTTCAACTGAATTAAACAGTGTGCTTAGCCATAGAGAATTTGTTCTATATGTATAGAATTTGCTGATTTGTTGCCTGTTTCTGTAAATAAAACTTTATTTGAATACTGTCAGGTCTATTCATTTATATATTCTCTATGTCTGTGTTAGTGCCGTGAAACACTGTAGTTGTGATAGAGATCACATGGTCCATGAGGCTTCAAATATTTACTATCTGGCCCTTTAAGAAAAAAATTGTGTTACATTCCAGACCTTCTTCAGTGCAGTGGAGGCATGAGGAGCCTGAGGATCATTTTGTCCTTCAGGCCTGTACAGTGGTAGGGACATGGGTCCAGATTTCTCTAGTGCTGTAGCCACCCAGATCTAACCACTGAGGTTCCCAGTCACCAAGGCAGCTACTCCTCACAGGACAAGGGGGCGCCCTAGCATCTCACCATTCTTCAGGCCCTAAATACCTGCTGTAAGTGCTCTCAAGGGATAGCATAGCAACTCTTCCACTAACATTTCATTTTGAACCCAGAGAAAAGAGAGTCCAGTGATTAGAACAGATTTGACCCATTCTCCTCTCTTCAGAGCTTCTTAGGTTGCTTTAAGGACACAAACACAGAGGATCATTTCATTCTTTTCTAATTTTCTTTTATCCTGGGACAACTAATCAATTTTATTTCACATTTTTAAAAACTATACATAACAATGAAGCATATGCAAATCACTCTAACAATTCCAGTTCTATTAATAACTAGAAGGAAATTAGTTACTATTGCTCCAGAAAAAGTTTATGTGTTGAGCTGTCTCTATGGTAGCAAATGCATTTGAAAGAAGTTTTCAAAATACTATCCACAATTTTCTTATGTGTGTGATAGATTAGTTATTCAATTGGATTGTTTCAATCAACTGGCTATTTTGAAATTCCTTGATATGTACATTTTAGGAGAGTATAAATCACATGTTTTAAATATATCATTGTATAACTCTATAACCAAGAAATTCCTGATTAACTTACATGTCTCTGGGATCCATCGTATTCACACCTTTCAATTTTTCCTAGACTGCCATCTGAGAAATACAGCTTCTCTGCACGGTAGTCGATAGTAAGTCCATTTGGAGTGAGTATGTCTGTACTGACCACCACTTGAGCATTTTTCCCAGTCAGAGTAGATCTCATGATACTTGGATGTTGTTCATTCCAGTTGGTCCAAAACATTAAACTAATTAAAATGAAAATTGTAACTATAAATTAAACTTCTCATCAAGAGTAAAAATACTAATAGAAACATGGCAATACCAAGCTATTTTAAAAGAAGCAGAATTATTTACCTCATATTCTATCTTTAACAAAGTCTAGGTAATAAAAGGAGATATGCATATTATATATGCATGTTAATTTTCCCCAGGTTCTTAAATGAAACCTAGAACCTACTTCTAAAAAATAATTATCCTGTGTATTCCTTCAAATGATAATTTGGTTAAACTGTTAGATGCATAATGAGGATTTATTTTAATCAAGAACAAAACAGTGATCTTAAGTTTGTTTTCCACAAACTGCAAATATACCCTAACTTATTACCACATTTCAGCTGATCCAGTACAATCATTCTTATCCTAAGTATACTTATTTGCTTCAATTGATGAAAATAAAAATCTTCTTCCCCTTCCAATTTTACTTTTTAAATTCTGCCTTCTCTTTTGTATATGTTTTGGAGAAAGAAAATTACTAAACTCCTGTTTTTTACATTTCTTTTTTTCTCTCAGTGTGATTTTTCTATAAATTACAATATCATTTCTAAAACTCTAGGAGTGACTCTTAAATCCTTCAGCATAGTATCTGTTCTCTATGGATTCCCATGTATAACCATTTAAAGGCAGTTTAGCATTACAGCCAACAAAGTTATTCAATATGTGGTTTTGAGTATTTTATGACACTTATTACCAAATAATTTTCAAATTCACAACAAAAATGTTTGTATTCAATTTTCATTGTTGGTAATTTTACTTATAAGTTGTGACATTTAAAATAAAAAATACTGAATTAAAACATTTTAAAAGTTATGCATAGAATGTAAAGTATTAAACTCACAATTTATTTACAATATTTTCCTAGATTGTAGGCTTTATAATAAGAGAATTTTAGAGGTGTTAGTGTTCCTTTCATTTCCCCCCTTCATTTCACAGGTAAGAAAACAGAACGGCCCAGAGAGCTTAAGTAATTAAAGTTTTCACAAATAATTAGTAACTGAGCCAAATTTTAAACTTAGAGAACCTAACTTTGATTTGCGATTTAGGATTTCATTTTAAAATATCTGTTAATCTATTAACATACAATGGTGGTTTGAAGGTGTCATTTACATATATGATGATAAATTGCCTTTATTATACTTTATTTACAAATAATTATCAAATTGAAATATTTTATGTGTTTAATTTTAATTTACAGTTCACCATATGCAAGGTGAAAAGTGTAAATGTTAGCCTATGTAATAAATAATTACAGGATAAAACACTTGCTAATTAAAACTCATCATATATAATATCATGAGTGACTGCTTTATTTTTATTTCAAAACTGACTTACAAATTCCTTTGCCCAACTCTTTTATTCCTACTGTGGGACATTTATTATTGTCCTGAGATTCTTCTGGTGATGTGTTGGGGTAAATGCAGCTGAGTCAGCAAACCGTATTCTCATAGGACAGTGGTGGGAGCAGTCTCCCAAGCTCCATGAGTCATTACATTGCTCAGTCTTAAGAATTTTCACATATAAGATGATGTTCAATTAAGTGAATTAAATCTGACCTCACTTTTAGCTCTATAAAAGGGTTCAGATTTACAACTATTTTCACACTGACCAATTTCTGTTATTTAGTCCTTTCTTCTGACAAGTGGTCTGGGTCAGTGATTATCTGTCATTGCTTTTTATTCTTCAATCTTTTTTTTGTTTTAATCACACCTAAAACGAACTCTTCTAGCTCTTCTAGTTTTGCTCAGGAAGGCCAGATTGGTCTGATTTTTGTTTACTCATTTCATTTAAAAATAAAAAGAATTTTCTTATAGTTAACAAACAACTTTACCATATTGTATATGAGAGTGAAAGTCCATAGATAGGTATTTTTTTGTTCCTTACCTGTGCTTTGTTCTTCGGGGTTTTTTTTTTTTTTTTTTTTTTTTTTACATAACTGCTTTCTTTAAGACATCCTCCAAAACACAATTTTTTTCTTTGTTTTTATTCACTGAGTATATTTTATATCCGGAGCATTTTCTTTTGTCATGAAATTTTTACAAGCATTATTTTAGGTGTCTGTACAATATATCATCAAACAGCTGTAGACTACTTAGACTATTATCAAGCACCTAGTGCTGAAAAATAGCTGCACACAAAGATTTTTGTATGGTTGCAGTTTGCTTTCTTTTGTATTGCAATTTGGGAGATCTCCAGATGCTATAATTACTTGATTAAAATGCAAAAAAAAAAAAAACACTCTTAGTCTTCCGTGTATGTTAATTTTTTTAAATATATGGTTCCAATCAGCTATGTATTAAAGTCTTCTTCATAGGCCTTTTCCAGCATGGTATTGTCTCTAGTTTGCCTTTAATTATTTAAATTTGTTTTTACTGGATCTCTCAGGAAGATGAAGCCTGGCTTTTAAAGGGACCAGATTTTTCACATTTATAATGCTCTTACATAAAAAAAAAAGTTTTATGAATTGTGAAAATAAAACTTCAAATAAAAACTTTATTTTTAAAGTTAATTCTTAAAATTAACAGAACTCTGATATTCTTTTGACTTATAACTATAATGAAGAAATAAAACTACACTGTTTCTTACTTTTGACATTCATCCAAGGCTAGCACATGTGGATGGTCATCTTCTGACATGGTGATGACAGCTTCCCTGTCAAATGCTCCAGGCCGAGTCTGGTCCACAGTGTGTCTGGTGATGGATGAGGTGGTAGAGCTTGTCCAGTACAGTGTATCCCAGGCTCTGTGATAGGCAAGTCCTTCCACAGAACCCACATCTAGTGGGGGAAGAAAAAGAAAAAATATATACTTTTATTTACAAAAAAATGACTTCTGGACAGAAAAAGCATTTAAGACATACATGTATACCTGTTATTTCATCAACCATTTCTCCACAAAATCTCCAAAATAAAAATGCAGTCATTGTGATACCTACAATTGACAGCTTATTATACATATATAATGGGAGCAATTTTTGCAAAAAATGTCATTATAGACTTAATCTTCTCACAAATAAAATAAAATTAAATAATTGCCTTTCATTTTGGAAAATGGTGGCTCTCTTTCTTGTATCTTAATCAATTTTCAAAAATATCCAACGTGCAACAACTTAGAGATGTTTTGGAAAACCTTATGTCAGCAATACGACTTAGATACAATCATCATGAGTTTTCTCTTGATACTATAGATCTGGAGATGTCCAGGAAAAGCAAACACATCGAAAACTACAACAGTATGAGAAATCCAAAATCTAACTCCTTACTTGCAACTATCAAACAGTGGTAGATAATGTTTTAATAGGTTAATGTGTCAATTTATTTGCTTCTATCCAACTAATGAGATAAAAAAAAACAAAGCAAGAGAAAAAGAAATTAATTGCCAGCTAAAGCATGCTTTAAATGTCAGACAAAGATAAATGATGGTACACAGATCCTAATACATAAAAGTGACAAGGTGAAAAACAAAAGTAATTATTTCTTAAAATTGTATTCCCAATCTCTAGGGTAACATAAGTAGCTGTTTTATTTTTCACAGACATGCTATGAGTGCATCTTTAAGTATAATCAAATTATTACACTTTTCCTACATGTTATTTGCTTTACTCAGAATTATTATTCTGAGCATGTTTAATTTAACAAAGAACGTATACACTTTTTTCAGTCATACCAAGAAATTAACATTATTACAGACAGAGCATTTCCCCTGCTTTTCTCTCAAAGAATCCCTAATAGGAACTATCCAGCTGCTATAAAAATAGGTATCTGAAAAGAGCTGTTTCCAGGTTTAAGATGAGTTAATATTTAGTTTGGGGGGATCAATAGGATTTTGTGGGAGGGCAAAACAATAATTAAAGTTTTTGAACAATGTTTTTTTTCATATTTTTTTATTTCTTTTTTTACATACAACATGAAATATCCAATAATAATGCAATTAATGGCTATCATTTTAGTTGCCACATGCTAGAAATGATAAAAACTGCTTTTCATACATCATTTTATTTTATACATAAAATAAAATGTGAAGTTTGTGTCATAATTTTCCATTTCCCAAGAAGAAAGCTGAAACTTATAGTCACAGGGCTGATAATATTAACACAAAATTTTTACCGCCTGGCTCCCCCATTCACCTGATTCCAAAAGCCTATGTTCTTAGTAGCACCACTATTTGGATATGGGTTTATAATGGTTACTACTTAACCTCAATCTATACCAACCTGAAACCAAAGGAATGATTCATTAGTCTTAACTTGTTTGACTCTAGGAGAATTGTATATCTAGTAATATACCATAGATAGTCTCCTCTCACACAGTCAACAAAGCAGTCTACAAGGTATTAATGAGGGTGATTAGTATGAAAATGTAGCCTAGAGATGACGGAAGAAAAATTATAAAACACAGTCACTGTAAAATCAGTTAAGCTAATTTTATGTGATGCACATAGTTCTCCTATTTGGAGTGAGTGGAAGAAAAGTTGATCATGGTTAAGGATGTTTAAATCATTAATTAATAAATCACCTTTGCCAGTGTATTTTTTAAACTTCCAAATCATTTCAGAAATGCAATGAACTCTAGTAGTAGTATCTATAGCATTACACGCCTTTCATCGTTCACAAATAGAATGAGAAATGGCATAGCTCTGAGAAAATTTAAGCAAATGAGAATAATCCATCCTGATTCTACATCTTCTCTTCCAGTAACCATGACATATCTTCCTCTTCGTAACTTTCTCTTGCCAATTCAGGAAGAAAACACTTCGTATCACCATTGAGATGTGACAGATGTTTCTTTTCTATGGTTAACATAATTCCAGAGTTACTAGAGAACATAATACATCTCAATATCCACATATAATCTGTTTTACTTTATTTTTGTAATAGATGATAAACAGAAATTACAGTTAATAATGATCTGTTGCTACATTTTAAAATATTTTAGTCATGTACTTCTTTCTAAAAATGATGTTTAGATCCTTATAAAATTATATTTTAATTAACAAAAAGCCAATTAAAATTATTGAAATATTTTAGTTGAGATAAGACATATTTCTCAATTTTGTGATTATTTATCGACAGTGAGAGGGCATGTGGCATGTATATGTGTGTGTGTGCACACACATCTGTGTTTGAACATTGAGATTCCTAAAACAGTTGAACAGCCAGAATAGGACTTTGAATTACTGATTCTGGAAGGCAATTATGTAGTTTGAAAATAAAATAAAATGCCTATCTACCCAACCAGACTTGAAATATTGAGCAGAGTAAATCAATACAGGGCTAAATTCTTGGAACTCAAGGATGTAGAATAGGCATATGAAATATAATGCAAACCAGTAAAAATCCTGTCTCCTTACCTCATGCACTTGCCAAGAAAAAAAAAAAAAAAGAGTTTTCTTCCCTCTTACCCACTTTTGAGCAGGGAATTGAGATTGGCTAAGCATGAGTCAGGTCCTGACATGTTTTTGCAGAAGAAATAAGGGGAGGTCAGCACATCAAAAAATACAAGCCAGGCAAGTAACTCAGAACCGTGGTTGTACCCTATTTCCTGGATTCTAGTTTCCATAGCCATGATAGGGAAATTGATTCTAATAGCTTGGCAGAGAAATAAACCACTACTCTTGCAGCTATCCAAAGGACTTCAGTTCATAGAGAACATACTTTCATCTCATCACCACTGAAGAACAGCAATAGCCCCTTCTGGTCTGCACATTGTCTTAAAGACAGGATAAGAGCTTACCAAATGGGAAAGGCAGTGAAGGGTATTATTCATAGGGAGTCACGTCCATTAAACACTGGTATTCATCCGGCTAGGAAAACAGTCGCAGGTAAATCCAGTTGCAAAGTGGTTTGGATGGGTCCTCACCCAAATCTCATCTTGAATTGTAGCTCCCATAATCTCCATGTGTTGTAGGAGGGACCCAGTCGGGGGTAATTGAATCACAGTGGCAGGTTTTTCCATGCTGTTCCCGTGATAGTGAAAAAGTCTCACAAAATCTAATGATTTTATAAAGAGCAGTTCCACTGCACACACCCTCTTGCCTGTCACCATGTAAGATGTGCCTTTGCTGTTCTTTCACTCTCCACCATGATCGTGAGGCCTCCCCAGTCATGTGGAACTGTGAGTTGTTGAACTTCCTTTTCTCTATAAATTACCCAGTCTCGGGTATGTCTTTATTAGCAGCATGAGAACAGACTAACACACAAATTTAGCAGAAAATAACATTTATCTCAAGGACATGCTACAACTATAAAGCATCATAATGAAGTCCTCCTTGATTGTGTACTACCTTCTTACTTACTGGCTTGTTCTCCAAAGCCACAGAATATCAGTTTGTTGATTGAAATTATATCACCAGTATAAAGCATCCAAATCTTGTTTGGAGGATCTGAGTTATTTTGACACACAGAAGCACTCTCAATTTGCAGCCCAGGCAAAGAGCCTAAAATAAGAAGTTCCTGCACAAAATATTCCACATCTATATTAACTGTGAAGTTTCCAAGGATACAGGTCCAATTCACTATCCAGATCTGATGTTGAACTCTTTACAAATAGTACACATAACTGTGCTCTACTTTAAGCCTAACAAAACACTACTTACTGAAATTGTGTCTAAATTCTACCCTCTGTAAAAATCTTCTAAAAGTTCTGTTTCTTTTATTTTCCTTTTCTTTTTTCTTTTCTTTCCTTTTCTTTATTTTATCTTTTTCTTTCTTGCTTGCTTGCTTCTCTTTTTATTTCTCTTTCTTTCTCTCTCTTCTTTCTTTCTCTCTCTGCTTCCTTACTGCCTGCCTGCCTGCCTCCGTTTCTTTCCTCCCTCCCTCCCTCCCTTTTTTCTTTCTTCCTTTTTTTGAGATTCGCCATAGTTTTTCTAGTATACGGTCTCTCTCATTGCAATAAGACAACAATTTGACATGGTTGAATGACGGGCTTATTTGACAAAATTCAATAACCTTTCATTATAAAAATATTCAACAAACTAGCAATAGAACTTCCTCAACTTGATAAAAGGAATACCAAAACCCGAGGCTCGTATTATATTTAGTGGTGAGAAAATGAATGTTTTCCCTCAAAGACCAGGACCAAAGCAAACATGTCCACTTTTGCCTTTATTCAACTAATGTTGACTAAAACTGGAGATTCCAGCAAGGGTAATTGGGGGTGGGGTAAAGAGAGAGAGAGAGACAGAGAGAGAGAAGGAAATAAATGGTATCCAGATTGGAAAGAAAGAAGTAACACTATCACTATTTGCAGATGGCAAGTACTGGTATATACAAAATCTTAAATAATTTAATAGAAATGTATACTCAGGATGCAGGTTACAAAAGCAACATACAAAAAATCATTTGTATTCTATATAAGAGCAATGAACAATCTGAAAATGACATTAAAAAGACAATTTAATTTATAATATAATTTTAAAATATAGAATACTTAGAAATAAGTTTAGCAAAATAATTTTAAATGTTAAAACATATGCACCCAAACTACAGCACATCATTGAAAGAAGCTAAGGATTTTAAAAAATGGAAAGATAACAATGTTCATGGAATGGAAGGCCTAATATTATGAAGATGACAATTCTATCCAAATAGACCTACAGATTTAATGTATAGAAATCCCAGCTGGCTTCTTCCCAGAAATTGACAAGCTGACCTTAAAATGCATATGGAAATACAAGGGACCCAGAAAAGCCAAAAGAATCTTAAATGAAAAAAACAAAGTTAGTGGGCTCACACTTCCTGATTTCAACCTCAGTATAAAGTTTATAGTAATAAAGAGAGTTTGAATAAGAATAGACACAGCTACATGTACCAGAAAAGTCCAATGAGAAAAAAAATTATCTCAAATATATAGTACTCCCAACAATTGTATAGCCACATGTAAAAGAATGATATTTGATTCCTTCTTCATATCACACACACACTCATACACCCACACATATAACTAAAAATATACCTTAAACCTAAACATAGATGGTAGATGATGAAACTCTTAGGATAAAAAATAGGAAGAAATCTTCATAACTTTGGGTTAAGCAAAGCCTTCTTAAACATGACACAAAAAATACAAATGAAAAAAGAAAAACAGATGTTAGATCTCATCAAAATGAAAAACTTGTATGCTTCAAAAGACAAAAAGTCAACTGACAGAATGGGAGACAATATTTGCAAATCACTTATGTGATAATGGACTTGTATCTTGAATAAATAATGAATGCTTTATACACTCAACAATAAAACAACAACTAATCCAATTAAATAATGGGCAAATAATTTGAATAAATATTTCTCCAAAGAAGATACACAAATGACTGATGAACACATAAAAAATGCTCAACACTATTAGACATCAAAGTACTGCAAATCATAATCACACTTGATATTCATTATGACGACTGCAACAGTAAGAAGTTTTCACAAAGATGTGGAAAGATTTGAACCAATATATATTGATGGTGGAAATGTAAAATGGAGCAGCCTCTTTGTAAAACAGTCTGTCAGTTTTACAAAATGTTAAACATAGAGTTACCAAGTGACCCAGCTTTTCTACTAGTAAATATATACCCAAGAGAAACGAAAACGTACCTCCACACATACACAAATGTTCAACAAATGTTCATAGCAGCTTTATTTGTAATAACCAAAAGAAGAAACAGCCCAGATGTCAATCAGCTGATAAGTGGATGAATAAAATTTAGTACATCCACGCTTGGAATTATTCAACAATATAAAAACTGAAGCACACATATATGCTAAACTCGACCCCCTCTCTTTACACACACACACACACACACACACACATAGACGTGTGTGTGTATATATATATGTATACATATACATACAGGACACAATTATAGAAAATTATTTTAAAGTATGTGAATATGTAGATATGGTTTAATTGTTATCCAGTAGAAATTTTATAGAAAATTTAAATACCTGGCAATTTCCCTTGAGACTACCTTATTAGAATGCTTCACAAATGATTAACATGGATAATTTTCCTTTTTCTAACCATTCAATCGATGAATGGGATGCAATAGATTTTAATATGGATTGCTTACTGTGAATTAGACTACCACTAATATGATTTAAAAGCTCAGAGTCATTTTTGTTTCTCCCCACATCAGTAAATACATTAATAAAATAAAATTATTATCTAAAATAAAATAATAATTTTTTCCACCAGTCTAATTTACTAAAAATTAAACAAATTAAAAATCTACACTGTAATCTGAAAATTAAAACAAGAAGCAATTAAACTAGAAATAAAAATTTTCATTATTTTGTGTTAGTGAACGCATAGAAAAACATAAGAGAATCTGCTAAAAAACTACTGAGTTGGGTAAGCTGGCAGGCAATAAATAAGTAAATTAAAATCAATAGTTGTATATATACAAAAATAACCAGTGAGAATATATAATGGAAAGAGGATGCCAGTCCAAGTGGCTGCTAATCCTGCTGGTTCCAGTGAATGAGAACACCTAAAAAACTGTGCAACTGTTGATCACCTGAATTTAGATCTTCTTGTAGCCAAGGCATTGTAATAATGCTACTTTTCGTGATCGTGGATCTGTTAAGTTTAGGTTCTCACCCCTCTAACAAGAAGAGATCCAACCCTTTCAAAGGGCTTAAATGGGGAACAATATTATCTTACTCTTTCTTTTGTCCTTATTATTGCACTTAGTAAAACACATGATTTTCCCAAATCAAACATGTTTGCAGAGATGCAACTCTATTTTTAACAAAGGCAAGCTTTTATTGTCATCCCCCAAGCAGTTTTAATTTCCTGAACCAGAGCATCTCAAATATTTCCATGTTGTAAGAGAGTCTTTGCTTTACACTGCATAGCAAAACAGGCCTATTTATTTGGTTTTCCCAAAACAACAACAACAACAACAAAACAATTTGCCCTGAAAGAGTATTGAAGCAGATTAAAACAGCTTGAAGTTTTAAAGTGACAGTGATTTGTTTCTTTGTTTGTTTGTTTGTTTGTTTGACCCAGTGTGGATTTCTTTTGCCGGCTTTAAAAATATTCAACATCAAAGTTTCAGCCAGGATTTCAGACTCAGCTGAAAATTATATAGACTCAGACATGTCTCAAGAATTGCCTCTATTTCATGTCACTACTACTGGAAGGAAAGTAATACAAGCCATGAAAAGATTGAACATATATGTGATATCATTGTGTCAGTCCTTCTGTAGTCACCGGAGATAAGCACCGACTTTCTGAAGATTAAACTAACATTGGCATGTCCGGAGCTGCTAGAGCAGAGCATGAACTCCGCGGTGCCTGAAACCCTCAGGTATGCTGTAATTCGCCATCCAAGGAGAGGCTGTGAGACCCTATATGTACAGCCACTCCTTGAGAAATATAATTAGAAAATGACTTGGGATCCATCCTTTCCTTAGTGAGAAAGTGAAATAAATCTTCAGCTGAAAGCTATGAACCAGAACCCAACCTCTAAATTAAGTATTATTTAAGGTTTCCTTTAGGGTCCTCCTCTCTTCCTTTTCCCCTCTCTCTCTTATGTGAAACTTCTATTCCCATGGCATTAAATATCATTTACATGTTTTCATTTCTAGTCCATATTTCTAATCTAAATTCCATACGTACGTCCAACCATGAATTAATATATCTTTGGGTATCTCAATATCTCAGTATAAAATATGTAAATAGAAAAAGTGTTTCACCCCAATCTTAATTATCCATATAAATTAGTTCTCCTAATGATCTGTGAATTATAGTAGTATTTATCCAGTTACTCAGACTGGAAGCCTAAGCAATCGTCTTTCAATCTTCTCTTTTTCTTGCTTTTTGCATATAATCATCAGTAAATGCTTTTAATTTTATGCCAAAAACGTATGTTGAGTGTTTCCATTTTGTTTTCCCTTTCCACACTGATCACTGCCGTTACCTCTTGTCTAAGCTTCTGTCCCTAACTAGCCTTCCCAAATGTCATTCTTGTCAATTCATTCTCCATCCAGCAACTCTAGGTAATAAAAAAGCATGTATCATATCTTTGTCCTGCTTAAAATCCTTCAATGATGTCCCATCACATTTAGAATAAAATGTGGTTTACTCCCTGCCTGCTTCTTCCACCTTATCTCGGGTTAGTGTCCCTCCTTTTTTATTATGCCCTGGCCACAGGGTGTTCTTTTCAGGGCTTCCATCTATAAAAACTCAGGTTTGTTTTTTTTTTTCTTGACACATGTAATATTCTCTGCCTTTTTCTTCCCCGGGTCTGACGTTCCTTTGTCCATCCTCTTCACCTACTTCATTTCCTCTGTCCCTTTTTTAATATCCTTCACAATGTACTAAAATTTTATGTGTTGTTTGTGTTGTTTTTGCCTGTCTCACCCTACTGGAATGAGGACAGGGAACGTGACTGTCTTTTTCTTAGTTGTTCCCCTCAAACTGAGCAAAGTTCCAGGTACAGAGCAAGCAATCAAAATTACTTGTGGAATAAATCAATATGTATTTCTGAATCCATTGAGCAATCAAAATCACTTGTGGAATAAATCAATATGTATTTCTGAATCCACTGAATGCAGGGTCTGCATATTTATGCTTTAATTCTTAAATGCCCAAGACCTAATATATCAGAGAGGTATATAGAAGAATGAGAGCACAAACTCTGGTTTCAGCTAATAGCTTTGAATCCCCGCCCTACCACTTTACTAGCTATATGATCCTGGAAAAATTCATTTAGGCTTTCTGTATTTTTTAAAAATATTTTATTTTTTTGAGACGGAATCTCGCTCTGTCGCCCAGGCTGGAGTGCAGTGGTGCGATCTTGGCTCACTGCAAGCTCCACCTCCGGGGTGCACGCCATTCTCCTGCCTCAGCCTCCTGAGTAGCTGGGACTACAGGTGCCCGCCACCATGGCCGGCTAATTTTTTGTATTTTTAGTGGAGACGGGATTTCGCAGTGTTAGCCAGGATGGTCTCGCTCTCCGCCCGCCTCGGCCTCCCAATGTGCCGGGATTACAGGCGTGAGACACAGTGCCCAGCCTAGACTTTCTGTATTTTCGTTCCCTTGTCTGAAATACAGAGATAGTAATGGTAACAAATTCATAAGACATTTGTGATTATTATGTGAGTTAACATTTGTGAAGTATTTAGAACAGTGCCTAGCACAAAATAAGGGTTCAATATATGTCAGCATTGTTGTTATTATTATTACATTGCTCTACACAAAGCTACAGCCAATTATGCTTAACAATGTTGAAGCTCTGTTGGATAAATTATCATCCCCATTTTTCTACAGGTAGAATACTAGAAATAATAGGAATTATGTGAGTGAGTTTCTGAACTGTAAGAGACTACAATCTAGATTTATAAATATAATTCTGTTTTTATTATAAGAAGTTGTGCTCCAGTTTATTTGTTCCTTATGCCTTGTAATAAGCTCAGTCATTTGAACCACTTACACTGTCTTTAAATTTTAGTATAACTTGTAGGATGGCAATGTGAATATTTTCTGATCTTTTAGGTGGAGAAGTGGTGAGACTACTCGAAAATTAAAATGTTAGAAAATATCAAATTTTGATGGTATAATGTGAAAGACAGAAGGATAGAGAAACAGAGGGAAGAAAGTAAATAAAAGACTAAAAGTGATTTTTTTAAAAAGGTAAAAGTTAATGAAGTAAGAAAACAGAAAAAGGCTATTCCAGATGGTAGGGATCGTAGAAAGAGTTTGGTTGTTTATCATCAAGTTTTGCAAAGAAAAGGAATAAGTACAGAAAATTCAAAGAAACATAAGAGATGAATAGAAACATTTAATTTCCAGTAAATAAGCAGTGTGCTTTGACATTGAACTCAATATGAAAAGGTGTTAAGAATTTTATGTAAATAAAGCTTATTTACTCTCTCATATTTTAAAAACCATTTGATATAGTCCAAATTACATACACATAATAAATGTTATGTAATAAGTTACCTGTTACATGAAAATACTATATATTGCATGTGTACACAATACTACAATCCCAAAATGTATGGAAAGACCATTTGGCTCACCAACTAAAATTATCAATAGGAAAAATAAATGCTCACCTTATGAAAGATTTCTTATTGAAATGTACTATAAATAAAATTGACCTTAAAATGTTTAAATGGAGTGGAAAGGGTATAAATGTAAACACACTTAGTTGATGTTTAAGACAAAATAAAAACTTAAATTCCCTGAAAAGATTCTAATTTACAAGCAATAAGGATGATTGTTTCTTAAGTACCTACTATGTGCCCAGCCCTGTAAAAAGAGACATACAAAAAGAAGAATCCTAGTCTATACTAGAAGAAAAAGTCATTTTTCCATTGACATTAATCAAGTGAAATATTAGGTGGCAGATATTTTATGAGGTGTAATAATTCAGGAAAGTGTATGTTATTTTTAAATATGTTCATATCACCACTTTTACTTCAATCACACAGGCATTCTAACCAAATTTTCTTACTCTCTAATGGTAATCATTTGAGTTTCTTAAATTTATTTTTTGATTTGTATTTCTTACTAGCATTAATTTCTACATTTACCTCTGAACAAATTTTAAAATCTCCGTTTCCTTCCTTCATCTTCATCCCCATCATTCTTAATGACTTAAATTTGATTTATCAGAACTTGTACTTATTTATCCTCAGTGTGTATCAACTGCTATGAATTTCTTTACTCAACAAGTCACACGTCACCGATACCTCCTTTGCGTTTAAGCTTGGTATGCATCCTCTCTCATCTCCTACCTTTTTATTTGTCAGCATTTTCATTATGGTGGAATTTAATCTTTGTTTGAAACTCAGTGATTGAGCGCTTGATCCGTCTTTAATCACACAATTAATTACCATGCTCAGACTATGATAGCTGGCCTACCAAACAATGAACAACAAAGTCAACAATTTTAATACTGTCTTACTATTAGTGTCAACTCTTATGCCTTTCTATACATCATAATTCTCTTGATATTGGGGCATTCTTGAATTTTCTTATTATACTTTTTTTAGGAAGTGGAAGATTACCGGAGGAAGGAGCAGAAGCATGGACTAAGTTCATCTAGCACCACTTTTGCTTGGCATTTTGCTCTTTCTGACACACTTCAGTCTTGACTTGGGGATTTATTTGCCACCCAGCAAGTTATCTCTTTTTTTTTCTTTTCTTCCTATAATTCTCTTTTTCTTACCTTTCATGATTACATATGTTTTTGTTTCTCTCTTTCCCTCTGTCTCTCTCCATATGTAGTCAGCAGACTATTGTCAGGTATTGGCTAGAAAAACAGTAAATTATTTTGTCATCTTTGAGTTATCTTAGGCAGGCACATTAAAGGGGTCTAAGGTCATTGTAGTGATGTGGCACTAAATCCCTGGCATTATATAAATATATATATATTACAATTATATTTATATAATTATGTTATATATAATTATATACAAGGTGATATTTTATATATATAAAATTATATATAATTATATAAATATATATAATTATATACATATAAATATAAATAATTATATAAATATAAATATATATAATTATATACATATAAATATAAATAATTATATACATATAAATATATATATAATTATATACATATAAATATATATATATCTCCTCCTACTTCCCATGGTGAGTGCACTCCAAGGCTTTTAGTGAATGTAGGATTGTTTGTGACTCCAACTATAAGAATCTTCATGATGACCCCTGACAATGATTATCTTCTTGACCCAACTCTAGCCGGTTTCCTTGGAGCCTACTTCTCAACTAGGCCTCAGCCTTGTCGTTTAAAAATTAAAGACTCTCAGACAAAGGACTTAATCCACTCTTCTCTGCCCACATTAAAAGACTTAAGCACTAACATAATTTCTAACAGCACAAAGCCACATCCATATGATGACCCTAGTCCCCTTTAATGTGCCTGCCCCAGAAAAGTCAAGAATGATAAAGTAATTTACTGTTTTTCTAGCCAATACTTGATAATAGTCCACTGAACATGTTTTTTATAGTATTTATTCAAAAGGCTTTACAATTATGAATTTTTCCTTTGTCCCCTTGAGATGTGTATGTATCTCCTACAACTCAGGAAAGCCTTTCTTAAGGACCTGAAAGCCATCCATTAGAAACACAATCATCAGAAAAGATAGGACCTCTGTCTCCCAGTTTCTGTGGGAGAATAGTATTCTAACTTCGATTATTGAAAGCTAGTAGACACAGCTGGCCTAATTGCCTTTACCCTGACAAATTATTTATATTTTTTTACTTTCCAGACTTCAGAGAGCTCTCTTGTTCAGGCCCCTACTTCCTCATTCTCCTTTTAAATCACTCAGTCACCTCTGTACAAATCAAAGTTGACTTTAGTTTATGCTGCACCTTACCCCTATTGCAATGGCATATTATTGATCAAATCTATCCAAATTTTTATTCCTAATTCTATATCCTTCTATATCCTAATGCTATATCCTTCTCTTTAATTCCATCTTTAGAATATGATTTCAGAGATTTAAGGTTTAAGATTGTTTATTAACTTTACTGAGTAAATTTTTTTTCTTCCTAGGAGTACTATTCACCCCTCAAAGGAAACCTGTTTATTATGGTTGAATAATCAAGTCACTTAAAGGAAGAGTTGAAGATATTTCCTAAAAAGAATATTCAGGGAAAAATAGATTGAATATCTATTCTAAACAAATATTTTTTGTCTGTTGAGAATAAGAGCAGAAAATTGGAGCTGAGTCGTTCAGAAAAATAAAGTTGACTTTTTAATGTTATGTGGCAGAAGAGAAGAAAAAGTTATAAGCTGATGGCTGGAGAGAAAAATTTGAGGAGACAAATATTACGATGTAATTGAGCATTTATTGAGTGGTGTTTAATGAAACTCTCCTCCACTACCTCTCAATAGAATCTCCCATATAACATTGACTTCTTATTTAAGCTTGTTGACTTCCTAGGGATGTGGCTTCAAGGAAAATCCAGGAAAGAGCTTAAAGCTGTACATGGAAAATAAAACTGCCTTTGCAAATATTATGACAGTGAGAGAAATCCAACCTAGCTGACTCCATCTTGCTTGTAACCTCCAAGCTGCCATTGTTCATTCCTGGGCATAGGCCAAGCTATCTATGGGAAGAATTTAGTTTGTAGTTTAACCTTAAAATGAAGATAACAGCCCCTTCCTGAAACTAACTCCTTCCTTGCTTGGGGCTCAGGAGTTATGTAACAGAGGCCACAAGATTTATGTAACAGAGTTATGTAACAGAGGCCTCCCCAAATGCTCCTAGAGATAACATCACTACTGCAAAACCTAAGATTGTTATTTGAGGTATTTTTCAAACCTTGCATTCTGATGGACCAGCTGGTGCCACCTGGACTGGTAACCCATACCAAGAAACAACTAGTCTTGCAATCTCACCCAGAAACTGACTCAGTGTAAAAAGACAGCTTCAACCCTCTATGGTTTCATCCCTGACCCAACAATCATCATTCCCCATTCCCTAGTCCCCTGACTGCCAAACTATCTTCAATAAACCCTAACCTCCTAATTTCCAGGGAGGCTGTTTGAGTAATAATAACTTCTGTCTGACCACTTGGATAACCCTGCAATTATTAAACTCTTTCTCTACTGCAATACCGCTATCTCAGTGAATCGGCTCTATCTGTGCAGTGGGCAAGAAGAACCTGTCGGGCAATTACAAAGCCCAACATGACTTGGTTATGCTTAAAGATTTGGAGCATGTTCTTTCATCTAGCTAGCTTTGATAAATTTGTGGTTGGGGGAGAGAGGCCACAGATACATTGTTTGCATGGAGTGTTTCTCTTAGCTATTAGAGTGAAATACGTATCACAATGCTGTTTGTCAACTCCTCCAATCCCTGAAATTCCATTTGCTTTGAACAAATGCCCTCAGATAAATACCTTCTCAACATGCCTTCCTCACCTCTTTACACTTGTCCATATACAATAATATTTTGCCCAAACTGCTATCTTCATACTTAGTATTTCCCCAACTATCTGTAAATTCCTTAAAGATTCTATACTTATCTTGCTGACTTTGACCTGTTAGAATACAGAAAATAGTCTCTACATATTCTTAGTCAGTTCTGTATCTCCAGAACCTACTCATTATAGGTAGTGAGTGTATCTTACGTTTGTTGAATTCCCTAATACTCAAAAATAATTTTAAAATTAAGTTTGGAGCAATCCAACAAAGGCTAAGCAGATGAAGGTGGTTATCTGAACTTTAAGCTTAATTTTTACCCATAAAGTTACTAAAAAAAAAAGTTATTTAAAATGATGGAGCTATTAATAGTACCATTTCCTTGGAGCTATTTTTTCCCTGTAGTTATTAGCAGTCAGTAATATGTACTCATATTCAGGTACATTGGCCTACTTAAAACATAAACTATTTTGGAGGAAAACAATATGAAACAATGCTTTAGGACAGAATTACTAAAGAATGTGTTACTGAAATAGAACTTAAGACAATCACTTATATATCTAATTTTAAATGTTATCATAAAGAACTCTCATGTCCCAACATTCTCAATTTAAATCGTCTCCTTATTCAATCTATAGTTGTTTGCCTGAATTAAATTTGGATTTCAAAAATTAATTTTGGAATAAAATATATTTTTAAAGTGACTCAGTCTTTTTTTTTTTTTTTACTCCAAAGCTGGAGTGAAAAAAAGTCAGTTTCTAAATGATAAAGTCATTCCAGGAGTCCATTTGGTACTGCACATACTAAAGCCTAAGGATTTATTATTACAAGCCTTAAAGAATAATTTAATGTGGCTCCAAAATATATATGCTGATTTTTAAAAGATGCTTCATTTATGAATGATTCAGGTATAAATTGTTTATTAATATTTATTAACTATCATTTTTTAAATATGCTGACAGAAAATTATTTACCAAGTGATATTAAACTTTTTAGGAATCAAAAGTTTATCTTTAATAGTTTATGGAAAAAAATCAATTCTTTTATCCTTTGTTTACACTATCAGTTCATGCCCTAGCTGATTTCTTTCATTATTCAATGACTACAAATCTTGAATGCCATTTGTCCTATTAAACTACTCAGTGAAAACAAAAAGAAGCAGCAATACTAACTTTCTCAACCTTATTTAAATAACAATCATAGTTAAAATTTATAGTGTGTATTTGGGCTTCACATGTGCTAATTCCAATTTACTTCACAGGTTAATGATGTGGGGACTCGGGTGTCACAAAACTTACATAATATCTAGTCAATAGTATTTATTGAGCACTTACTAAGTGCTCAGTACTATTTTAAGAGTTTATGCTATTTAATCTTAGGATGCACACATTTACTTGATTGCTCTTTTCTTTTTCTTTTTGTCTAACTGCACAAATACTGTCTCCCTCTTATCTCAAAACTACCAGAACACAAAAACAGAATGTAAGCATCTTAAGATGTGTGTTACTCTAAATATCACACAGATAACTGTAACTGCATTTTATGGAAAAGGTGATACCTGCAAAACAGAAACTCAACTGCGTTTTGCTAAGTTAGTAAAAGGGTAATTATCAACAAATCTAGTTATAAAATAGATCTATTATGGAAATAAAAATCAGTGTGTCAATGTGATCTAGTCAGTGCAGTATTTCTTTCTCAGAGACTATTTTTAATAGCAAAAGTGGTAAGAAATTAATTTGATGCTAGGGATATTTCTTTCTGATCTTTTGTCTTTCTTGACTTCAAGTTTGTCTTTGCACTTCAAGTTATATAAGGGAAAATAAAATTTCAGATAAGGATAAATGTTTAGATATATCAGCAGTACTCTGCCTTATCAAACAGTTTAAAAAGAGATAAAGGACTTTCTATTCAGATAAAATGAGTAGATAACATTTATAATTCCAAGAAAATAATTATAGTTATCATTCATAAAAATATAAAAAGTAAGTTCTATTTTGAGAAATCTACATTTAACAGCTTTGTGTTGTTTCCTTGAACTAACCATCTGGTCCTCCAAAATCCTACTTAATTAGGAAAATTTTAAAAACTGTTGAGAACTTTCTTTCTATTCTTTTGAGAAAAAATTGAATGGAGTAGAATAAAATTACCCTGGAAGCTTAGGAAATCCTGTGAACTAAGTTCTGATTGCTGTCTTTTAACCTTTTTAAAACACTTTCAGTGTTAAAAGAAACATTTCTTGTTTATTTGAATTTTCATTCTGACATCATACACTAATTTTAAACATTTATTTCCCAACTTTGTTAAAATTTACTATTCGGTTATAATAATTGAAAAAACAGATGTTAAAAGATTTACAGTCAAAAGTGTATTGATTGCATGCATATATTCCTAGAGTAAAAGAGATTAAAGAAGGAAACACACTTTGCTTAAAAAATAAGAAAATAAATTAAGACAGAGAAAAAATAAAAATAATAAAAGAAGGTTTTATAGAAATGAGGGCTCTATAGAAATATCTAGGGCTAAAATAAAGTAATAATAGGAAAGAGTCACAAATATCAAATCTCCCAAAGAAAACAGATGGCACAAGATGTAAAAACCAATTTTTAATGGATTTTTATACATGAAAAATGCAACATATATGAAAAACTCCAAGGTTCTTGAGTGAGATTAGAAAGAATTGTGTGATAGAAAATGGATAGAATTGAAAAATTCAATAATCCTTTAGGCATACATTTGAGAAAATAAGTTAGAAACAAAGATATGCCTTCTGAAAGAGAAAGAAAATAATATCTCTTCATGCCATGCCAGAACAAGTTAGAAAAACAAAAGACACAAACTAAAACATAAGAACAAAAATCTGTTCATATTCAGGACAGAAGAACTTAGGACATACAAGCAGTTTATTTTCTAAACAAGTTTGTAAGTTTATTTCCTAGCTGATGAGATTGAGGTCAAGAGTGTCAGGGAATGACAGGGGTCTGGGAAGGTGGCAGAAAATAACACCTGGTCCCCTCATTCAGGACAGAAATAGTCATATCCCTTTGAGTCAGAGTTGGGGGCAAGACGGAGCTGGAAGATCTTACCCAAATGAAAATCGAAGAAGGTATAATAATGTGGGTGGGGAAATAATTATTTTTTGTTCGTAAAATGGGACCTCTAATTCCTGCACTTCCCATACCTCTCTCCTCAATTCACATATCCAAAATCTGAATATTTTTACAATTGCAGAATGGATTGTTTTCGTAACGTGACAAACATTTATTGATAATGATTTAGAATCTGATGGTATGTATATCTATCTACACACACACACACACACACACACACACACACACACACACAACTCTGACTCAAAAGGAGATGACTGCTGTTTCTGTCCTCTTTCAGGGGACCAGGTGCTATTTTCTGCCCCCTTTCCAGTCCCCTATCATTCCCTGACACTCTTGACCTCAAGCTCATCAACAAGGAAATAAACTTACAAATTTGTTTAGAAAATAAACTGCTTGTATTTCCTAAGTTTTTCTGTCCTGAATATGAACAGCTTTTTGTTCTTATGTTTTGGTTTTTGTAACACACATATCTATAAAGATATGTGTGTGTATGTATATGTATATACTTTTTTAAAACATTTTGCTAGATGGAAATTAATCACAGAAATGGCCAAGATGGATAATGGAATAAAATGGGTGAAAGACTGTGGCACTCAAAACCAGATGAAACTCAGGGCTGTCAATGTCTTGTGAATAAACTGAAAACTAATTTTTAATCCAATCAGTGCTATTGCCTGACTGAGTGACCAAGTGGGAGTCCCCGTATAACCTTGTTTCTCATTTATAAAATGGCATTAATAACCAGCAGTTCCTTAACTGCTCTAGGTGTGTTATCAAGATAAATGAGATCATTTATATGTAAAGTTTATGATTTGTTGGAAAGAAGCACTATGGAAATAAATGTTGGTATTATTATGGCAATGCAGAGGTGTACAATACATTATAACAAAATAACATTCCATCTTTCTATCACTTTACAGAAGCTTCACACAGAAAATGAAGAAGATATTTAAATATTTCATATAAGTAAAAATGAGAAAGATACTTATGACCAAAAAAGTGTCAAACAAATATGATAGATTCATACATTAATTAAATAACTATTGTATGCCTTCAATATAGATATTTTTAAACATCATATTTTTTCTATAAATTTAAAACCTGTCAAAGTTTAATGCAATCAGAATACATATTTTTCTTTCTCTTTTGTCTTTTTGTCTTTTCCTCTTTCTTCCACTGGATTCTTAAATTCTGAGACATTGAAGTAAATTATATTTTTTTAAGACTTAGGAATCAACATTTTATTCAAAATATTGGTGAGGTCTTCTGAGAAAATTATGAATTTTAATAAAGACAGAAAAGTTAGCCTGTCACAATAACAGTGCAAGGCCATTGTCCACTCCAAGTCAATCTGAATGTGGTGACATCAAAAATGACAGTTATCGAGTTGGTTAAGAGAGATGAACATGGAATGGAGGCTGTAAAGTTCAATGAGATTAAGTTGAAATTTGCTTAGTCTGTCAGTCAGTGTCATTCATGCACAACTACTGCATACAGAGAATTGTACTATATACTTCCTAGAGAAAACTCCCAGAAGGTCTGTATATATGTTTTAGGAAATGTTACATTTATCCTCTTCGCCTAAATGTCAAGAACAAAGTAATGTTTTTGGAAAGTATGCATTAATCTACCTATACATTTTTAAAACATAACCTTTAATTAATTATGTGAAATCATTAAACTTCATTGAAAAATATGCTTAAGTTTTTCTGTGGATATGTATTTAAGTTCCTATGTGTTAGAATCAATATGATGTTCTGTAAAGTAAGTGTAAAGATCTTCAAAAGATAGTGGTACCATAAATTCTTTCAAAATAAGAAGAATATCTTAAATTATAAATATTTACATGTTATAAGTTATGAATAATATATTTGAGAGAAGAAACATGAAATGGAAACAAGTATTAAATTTCCTTATCCCTTAAAATCAGGTTATGATATTGTAAACCAGTTTTCTTTTGCAGATATAACAATTATCCTGAACTCTAAAATTAACATGAAGTTAACATAAAAAATAAGAATTCTTTTGAACCCCCAGGATTGTTTTAATAGCATATATATTAAACAGTTGCTGGGTTTTCTTTCTATATTAAAATTTGTTAATGTTATTTTCTCAAAGTTCCACTCATCTATTGCAATTTTAAAATTAAAGTGCATATATGAGGTATAAAGTAACAGTTTTTTTAACTTTATTACTCATAGAAAATACTGATATTGGGCCAGGTGTGGTGGCTCACATCTGGAATCCCAGCACTTTGGGAGGCCGAGGCAGGTGGATCATGAGGTCAGGAGTTCGAGACCATCCTGGCTAACACGGTGAAACCCCATCTCTACTAAAAATACAAAAAAAAAAATTAGCCGGGTGTGGTGGTGGGCGCCTGTAGTCCCAGGTACTCTGGAGGCTGAGGCAGGAGCATGGCATGAACTCAGGAGCAGAGGTTGCGGTGAGCTGAGATAGCACCACTACACTCCAGCCTGGGTGACAGAGCGAGACTCTGTCTCAAAAAAAAAAAAAAAAGAAAAGAAGAAAATACTGATATTGTCAAACAATCTATAGAGTAAAGGAAGCACAGACAGAGATATAAGGAAACAACATTTTTTTTAATTGACACACTGAAATGAAACACTAAAGGTGTTAGATGCCTACCATCTTGATTAAATTTATTCTACCCATGAAGCAACAGTTTATGATTTTCAAATGAATAACCCACTTAAATGTAGGGAGCATTAATACAATATGATATTAATATACAAATACTCACATTATTCACCTGCTACTGACATTCTGAATTAAATCAGTAATGGGGTGTATAACTGATTAAATATCTACACAACAGAAAGCAACAGCTTATGATTTAAAGAGGTACTGGTAGAGTGATCACATCATTACACTGCCAAACACCATCTATCACTTTTACTGAACTTAACGAAGATGGATTACATCCCGCAGATGAGATGCAGCCTATAAATACTGTCATGCTGATCTTCATCTGACTTTCCTGGAGAACAGATGAGCAACAAATCAATAATTGAAGAAGTCATATTAGCTATTCAGTTTTATTCAGCACCCGGAAGAAATCATGTAGGACATTATAGCAACAAACAGCCTTAATTCAATGAAATCTGCTAATTCATGCTTTTTCTTGTAAGCTAACTTATTTTCTCATTCAATTTATTTACTTCATCAAATTTAAGGAAAAGCATCAATTTGGTGTAAAGCATCACTACCCACTTTTACATTTTGAACTAAGACTGGTTTAGCACCAAAAAATTATTGCACAACAAACTTTTTGTACCAAGTGCAATATGTTTGATTCAAGTTACAAACTCATATAGGTAATTACAAATGTACAACATATAATATTGGTTTTAAACTTACTGTCTTCAAACATTGAAACAAAATGAATACCATGAAAATATGCATAAACAATGTATTCATTTTACAGCTTCTGGATTGTTTTAGTAGTATTTCTCCATTAAACACCTGCCTGAATTTCTATTTACCATCTCATTTAGCTTTCACAGTTTACCTTTGTGGAAACTGCCTGTCAATTGCTTCAGTAATCCAATCACTGGAGACCAGATTGCTTCCTGTCAGTCGGTTTGTATAATGTTATGGTAATAGATAACAGGTGGTCAGTATTCAACGGCTGAGGTGAAGATGATTTCTCACAAGCTATAAAACATCTGAGGAAATGCTTTAACAGTTCATACTTACTACTAATTGCACCATTAGAACTTTAATTAATTTTTTACCCTTCCACTATGTTCCTTAGTTGGCCATAAGGCAGGAAATCATTCGGAACAGAAAGAAAGAATCTAAAGAGACAATAACGAGGGGTAATACAAAAAAGAATGAATGGCAGAATGGCTCACAGTTTGCTCTGAAACTAGAGTGAAGTTTGATTGCTTAATCAGTTCTGTATTTGATCGTGGCCCTAAACAGGGATCAGTTTTTAAGAAGCATCTTAATTCTGGGAACATGTTAACTACTGCCCACATTTAAACTGACTATCTTCAATTACTAACTATATCTTGAAAGTATTTCAAAATGCTTCTATTCTGATTTTAAGGCATCAGCAATCAAATCCTGCAAGTCAGAAATGGAGAAATGAAATATGAAATAGGTTTCACACAAGAACAATTTACATATTTTTAAAAATATGGCCTTAGAACATAAAAAAATGGAAAGAAGGCATTGTATGCAATGTCACTGAGCTGATGTTTAAGCTTACATTAATTTCTACTTTGGCATCTCCAGGTTTCTAGTTTATAAATAGAACATCTTCAGTCACATTGTGTGGCTAGACAGTCCTGTGTTTCACTAACTTGAATTTTGTAGTCCTTTTCCTCTATGACCAATTTGCTTGTAACTACCAATTTATTTATAATATCTACAGTTTACAACAATTTGTTTGAATAAAATACATCTTTAAGCAATAAAGTTGACCCCCTTAAGAAAAAACAAAACTAGAATATTTTAGAAAAACAGTAAATGCATTTTGTTTAAAAAAGATATAATTTTTTCTCCTTATCTAGTACACCAGATAAAAATTAAATATTTACTGAGACAAATTATATCAAAAGGCATTATATCAAAGTAACAATATATCTAGTAACAATAAATAAAATACAAACATCAACAGAGGTCAAAGTAATCATCTGAAAGAAGTCAAAATTTACACAAAATTTTAATAGATTATGCTACTATAAAGAACCTATGGTTTTATTTTGGGCTAAAAAATATTTTTGCTGGCCTAGCACGGTGGCTTACTCCTGTAATCCCAGCACTTTGGGAGACCAAGGTGGGTGGATCACCTGAGGTCAGGAGTTCAAGACCAGCCTGGGCAACATAGTAAAACCCCATCTCTTCTAAAAATACAGAAATTAGCTGGGTGCAGTGGTATGTGCCTGTAATTCCAGCTACTCTGGAGGCTGAGGCAGGAGAATCGCTTGAGCCTGGGAGGCGGAGGTTGCAGTGAGTCGAGATTCTGCCACTGCACTCCAATCTGGGCAACACAGCGAGACTTCGTCTCAATATATTTTATAAAATATATATTATATTTTATTTATGTATATATATATATATATAGCTTAGTTGTTTTAAAATCACTGTTAAAACATATTTTGAAAAAGTTTTAGAAACTAGCAAATGTCCAAGCCACATGGTTTAAAAGCTAAATAATAAATACAATGTAATTCTCTAGCAACTGAATTTAGCTATGACTGAACCCATTACAAAGGTTGCTTGTTGTCAAGAAGAGATAAATCTCAGATGCAACTTTGAATCTTCTTATCCACTCACAGAAAAAATTCGGCCAAATTTCTTAATATAGTGCCAGGAAGACTTTAGGCCTACTCACAAGGCAAACAGACTGTATATACCATGCAAACTTTAGTTCTGAAATCTGAAGCTTGTTCATGCATCCTATCCCTCTGTATTTCACAAATCAAATATTTATCAAGAACGTTGGCATCGAACTGTAGCACCACTCACCAGTTTACCATGCCATTTGGACCTGACACTCAGCAATTATTTTTCTAGCATCAAATGTAACACTAATCCTCAACAATGATTCATCTAGCAAATCTGACTCTGCAAGCTTCTACCCCCACCCCAGGTTAATATCCTTTGGAATTATTTTGAGATACTTATCGCTGAGGAGTGTCCACACCTGCTAGATATTCCCTAAGTCATTAAAAGGATTGGGAATATAGCATTTAACAGGAGATCAAGCTGCAGTGAGTTATAATATGATTGCACTCCAGCACTCCAGCTTGACAACAGCATAAGACCCTGTTGTTGTTGTTGTTTTTAAAGCAATCAACTCTATTTCCATCAGGTCCATTGAGTTTATATTATATATTGATGAGATAGACAACAAACACATATATACTATGTTGTGATAACTATTTCTGTAAAATACTAATTGCAAAAGATACTCCTTTAGATGGGAAAATCACAAAAGGCCTGTCTTAGGAGGTGATCTGAAAGACAGAAGGGGCAAATTGCATATTCCTATGGAAGAACATTCTAGGCAGAAGAAACAGCGTATGTCAAAGCTCTGAAATGAGAATGTTTAGGGTATTCACAGAACAAGGAGGCCAGGAGCCGGGAAAGAGAGAGCATAAGAAAAAGAAATAGGAGCAGAGAAAGGAGGAAGAGGAGAACATGCAGGATCTTTCAGGTTAAGGTGAGAAGCTCATTGGAGGGTTTTAACCAAACTATGAACAGTTGTGATGTCTGTGGTTTTCACAATCTAACTACTCTGGAGAAGGGTAGAAGCAGGTCAACTGGAAAGGTACTCAAATAAACAAAGTAAGATGACCATGCCTGTAATAATTTGGAATCAATGGAGTTAGTGATAAATGATCATAAATTGGATGTATTTTGAATCTAGATAAAATGTAAACAATAAGACAAAAGAACACAATAATTTTAAAAAGTAATGGAAGGCAACACCAAAGTCATGATCCAGGAAAGATGTAATTGATAAGCTGGAGTCCATTAAACTTAAAAGCCTGTTCTGCAAATGACAATGTCAAGAGAATAGGAAGATAAGCCACAAACTAATAGAATATATTTGCAAAACATGCATCTAATGAAGAACTGTTATCCATAATATACAAAAAACACTTACAACTCAACAAGAGAAAAATGAACACCTGACTTAAAAAAATGGGCAAAATGCCTTAACAGACACCTCATCAAACAAGATATACAGATAGTAAATAAGCATATGAAAAGATGTTCAACATCACATGTCATTAGGAAACTGCAAATCAAAACAACAATGAGATACTACTACATCTCTATTAGAATCCAGAACAGTGACTACATAAAATGCTGATGGGGCTATAGAGCAACAAGAACTCTCCTTCACTGCTGATAAGAATGTTAGGTGGTACAGCCACTTTGAAAGACTGTGTTGTGGCTTCTTACAAAACTAAATATACTCTCACCATATGATCCAGCATTCATTCACCCTATTATTACCCATAGGAGTTAATAACTTATGTCCAAACAAAAATCTGTACATGGTTGTTTATGGCAGCTTTATTCGCAATTGCCAAAACTTGGAAGCAATCAAGATGTCTCTCAATAGGTAAATGCATAAATAAATTGTGGTATATCCAGGCAATGGAATGCTATTCACTGCTAAGAAGAAATGAGCTACCAAGACATGAAAAGACATAGAGAAAACTTAAATGCATATTACTAAATTAAAGAAGCCAATCTGTAAAGGCTGCATACTATTTGATTCCATATATGACCTTCTATGGCAAACCTATGGAGGAAGTAAAAAGATCAGTGATTACCAGGGATTAAGGGAGATGGAAGGATAAATAGGCAGAGCACAGATACATTTTAGGGCAGTGAAACTATTCTGTATAGTACCACAATGGTAGATAAATGTCATTATATATTTGTTGAAAGTCACAGAATATGCAATACCAAGAGAGAACCCTAATTTAAATTATGGATTTTGGAGAATAATGATGTATCAATATAGGTTAATCTATTATAATAAATGTACCACTCTGACGCAAGATAGGGGCGGTTGTTCATTTGTGGAAGAAGGGCATATGTGGGAATTTCTGTACTTTTTATTTACTCAATTTTGCTGTGAACATAAAACTGCTCTAAAAAATAAAATCTAGTAACAATAAATAAAATACAAACATCAAACAATGTAGTGGAAGATATTTCAAAAGTAATTACAGATACAGGAATATCTTCCTGTATGCAAAGGAAAGCCCAGAATTCATTTACAAAGATTAGCAAATTTGAGTACACAAAAATTTAAAGCTTCCATTTAAAAAAAAAAAAAAAAGAGTAAATAAGGATCATCCAAAGGTAACATATTGGGAAAAATATATCCAAAATATTCAATAAAAGATTAATATATAAAATATATAAAGATCTCCCACAAGTCAATAAGAAAACTATGAAAAACACAATTTTTAAATGCAATATATGAATATCAGTCTTGACATGGATTCTACCTTTAAACTGTTATGGTGTGGCTTCTGAAGAACAACCATGTTCTGCAAAGACAGGAAACAAAATAGAACTAGACTGTTCTACAGCCTCTCAAGGGCTCAATGAATACTATCACTTTTTGACAAGAAGTGTAAGAAGTACTTTTAGCCTAGAGTATGAATATGAAAACTGAAGTCCTAGCTGCCTTTTTGGACCAGAAGTACTTTAATAATAGAACTTAAAATGGACAGTGGCTTAGAAAAAGCAATGAGGATATGGGTGGCAAGAACTCAAATATTACAGACAAATTGTTTACCAATTGTGAGGGTTAATAATGAGTGTCGACTTGATTGGATTGAAGGATGCAAGTTATTGTTCCTGGATGTGTCTGCGAGGGTGTTGAAAGATTAACATTTGAGTTGGTGGACTGGAGGCAGACACACCCTAATCTGAGTCAGCTGCCAGCATGGAGAGGATAAAAGCAGGCAGAGGAACGCAGAAGGACTAGATTAGCAGAGTCTTTTGGCCTCCATTTTTCTTCTGTGCTGAATGCTTCCTGCCCTCGAACATCGGTCTCCAAGTTCTTGTTCTTCAGCTTTTGGACTCTTGGACCTACACCAGTGGTTTGCCAGGGACTCTCAGACCTTCAGCCACAGACTAAGACTGCACTGTCAGCTTCCCTACTTTTGAGGTTTTTGGAGTCAGACTGGCTTCCTTGCTCCTTAGCTTGCAGACAGCCTATTGTGGGATTTCACCTTGTGATTGTGTGAGTCAATACTCCTTAATAAAGTCCCTTTCACATATACAGCTATCCTATTAGTCCTATCCCTCTAGAGAACCTTAATACACCAATTTAATTATTTATATATACAGAAAAAAAGAATATCTCCTGTCAACCACAGCTTTAGAGTAAGGAGGAAAAATCATGAAATTGGTATCTGTAAGACACTCTTTGCCACTTTCAACAACGTTTTATAAGATAGACATGAAAGCAGACTGGAGTTAAATGGCAAAAGGATAGAACGAAAAAAACTTTGACAAACTAGGCTTTTCTGCCTGAAGTCTGAAGTCTAAATTAACTTAGAGACTCAATTTTGTGCCTCTCAGTAATGAGACTACTAATCTGAACAGTTGTTAAGCAACAGAAACAAAGCATCAGCTTTAGCAGAGTATAAGACAGAGGCACCAAGCCATTACCAAGGACTTTCCTTTGAAAGTGGATCCAGGACACCAGCAGAGATCAGATGAAATGCGGTGCCTTCACAATCAAGTCTAGTCTTTCACATGGTGTCAAGATGTGTGTGTGTGACAGAGAGACAGAGAAAGAGAACAGAGGACACCAAGTAAAATACTAGTCTCCAAGTTTAAAATTATGTCTATCTGGCTGGGCGCAGTGGCTCACGACTGTAATCCCCACACTTTGGGAGGCCGAGGCGGGAGGATCACGAGGTCAGGAGATCAAGACCATCCTGGCTAACACGTGAAACCCCGTCTCCAATAAAAACACACAAAAAAAATAAATTAGCCGGGCATGGTGGCGGGTGCCTGTAGTCCCAGCTACTCGGGAGGCTGAGGCAGGAGAATGGCATGAACCCGGGAGGCGGAGCTTGCAGTGAGCCTAGATCCTGCCACTGCACTCCAGCCTGGGCGAAAGAATGAGACTCTGTCTCGAAAAAAAAAAAAAAATTATGTCTATCCAAGCTCACTCACACTACAAATGTGTAGATTTGCAAAGTACAAAAAAATTAATGATATCTGGGTTCGCAATATTATGGAGAACTGGTGGTACTCTCAAATTATCATTTATATTGTTAATTAATTGGTAAAGATAAGTGTATATTATGGTTAGGATTTGCATCCCCACCCAAATCTCATGTCGAATTATAATTCCCAGTGTTGGAGGTGGGGTCTGGTGGGAGGTGATTGGATCATGGAGGTGAATTTCCCTTTGCTGTTCCCATGATAATGAGTTCTCATGAGATCTGTTTGTTTGAAAGTGTGTAGCACCTCCCTCTTCACTCTCTTCCTCCTGCTCCAGCCATATAGGCCATGCCTTGCTTCCTCTTCACCTTCTACCATGATTGTAAGTGTCCTGAGGCCTCCCTAGCCATGCTTCCTGTACACCCTGCAGAACTTTAAACCAACTATACCTTCTTTCTTTACAAATTACCCAGTCTCGGGTAGTTCTTTTTTATTTTTTATTTTGAGATGAGGTCTCACTCTGTCACCCAAGCTGGAGTGCAGTGGCGCCATTTTGGCTCACTGCAACCTCTGCCTCCTGGGTTCAGGTGATTCTTGTGCTTCAGCCTCCTGGGTAGGTGGGACAACAGTTGTGCACCACCATATCCAGCTAATTCTTTTTTTTTTTTTTTTGTATTTTTGGTAAACATGGGGTTTCACCATATTGACTAGGCTGGTCTCAAACTCCTGGCCTGTAGCGATCCACCCCCCTTGGCCTCCCAAAGTGTTGGGATTACAGGTGTTAGCCACTATGCTGGGCATCATGTAGTTATTTATAGCAATTCCAGAACAGACTAATACAGTGTATATGCCCTGTGATTCAAAAAGTCTACTTCTAGGAATTTATACTACAGTATACCAGTATAAAAACAGGCTTATGTATTCAAATGTCAAATGCTATGATTTTTGTAACAGAAAAGTATTTTAAACTGCCTGAGTCCAGTACATAAAAATGTGATAACTAAATTATGGCAAATTCATAAAATGGAATACTATGTAGTTGTCTGAAGAATGAAGTAATCTATTGATATGTATAAAAAACAAAATTTTATGACATTGTAAGTTTACAAAAGCAAGCTTCAGGACTACAAACACATGTAAAGCAAATCTTCCTATCATACAAAGACACACATATATATGTGAATCTGCACAGATATTACCTCTCTGGAATGGGATTGGCACTTACTACAAATTTTTCCTAGAGATCTGGATTTTGATTTTGCAATTTAATATTTTTACATGACAAAAATTCAATAAACTAATATAATAAAAGAAACACAGGTAGTGCTAAAACTTTTTTCACTGCAATCAAACCCAAAATAATGGGAAGTATAGTGAGGATACCACAGAAATATGGATGATTTCAACATGGCATAGCAAATGCGAGAAGCAAGCTGTTTGGGCCATTCACATTTCTGGTTACTTGGCTCATGAAAAGAACTCAAATTAGCTACTAAAATAGTAGAATGGTGGTTCTTATAGCGTGGTTGATGGCCCTGCAGTATCAGCATTACCTGGGAACTTGTCAGAAATGCAAATTCTCAGGCCCTACCCCAGACCTACTTAATTAGAACCTTTGGAGATGGTGCCTGGCAATCTGACTTTTAACAAGTTTTCCGGGAGATTCTGGTGCATGATAAATGTTGTGAGCCACAGTAGAAGAGCATAGTGATTAAGAGTAAAGAATCAGACTAGTTTCAGCTCCAGCATGTAAAAAGCTTAAAAGCCATCACTCCATTTCGCACAATAAGAGAAAAGCTGCAAAACTGAAAATCAACAATCTTTCTTGGACCAATCAGTAAATCGATGTCATCATCCTGAAATCTGGAGAGACAGGCAAATACAGGTAACCACAGCTGAGATCAGCTCACCAGGAGAACAAACCATCATAGCTACAAATGGGAAGGAGCATTTGAAAAGCAACTTGGATGAATTGCTGGAGATGGACAGTAGACTTTAGTAAGAGTGAGAAACTCTTTCAACTTGCGGTCTTAGGAGAGCTGCACATTTTTGTGTGCTTTACTTCTAGGAACGTCACCACGTTCTCACAGTGAAGAATTAAGAAAAAAAACCCTCATGTTTCTGGCAGGGGAAAGGGAAAAGTAAGCGTTTAAAAAATAAACTCAGAATTCTCAATTACAAAGAACTTACTCAGCAAATAACTTTACTAGAGCCCTATCAAATGCTGGAGAAGGGCAATTACCCAGCTCCTTCTCCTCTAGCCTTAGTGTCTCACCTAAGGAGTTGGGAAGCTGAGGAAAACTTGTGAAGGTCACAGACCTGGGACAGAAGCCCACTGATAACTGAAGTTTGGTCACAGAATTCTAGGATACTTTACATTCCCCCAAACCTTACCACTAAATCACTGGCCTCTTGTTACTATAACCAGAGTGTAATAATAATATAATATATTACATTTGAAAGAGCTGCAAGGCTCAGCCTCTCTTTGAAAAGTAGTTTTTAGGGAAACCCAAAGACAGCAGAAGAGAAAAAGACAAGGACATTAGAGGAAATGGAAGCTGCTGACACCCATAGCTATGGCAAACATTAAACATAATCCAACTCCTTGCCAGGTTAACATAAAACCACACACACACTAAAGGTCAATTTACCTCAGTTCATAAACCTGATACATCATGTCTAGCTTTCTACAAAAATTTGCATGACATGCTAAAAGGCAAAGAAAAAAACAGTCTAAAGAAACAAAGCATGCATCAGAACTGGGCTACAAAATAGCAGAGATTTTGGAGTTATCAGACCAGAAACTTCCAATAACAATAATTATAAGTTAAAGTCTCTAATGAAAAAAGTAGACAATATTCAAGAACAGTTGGGTAATGTAAGCACAGAGATGGAAACTATACGAGTTAAAAGTAAGTGGTGGAAATAAAAAACACTGCACAAATGAAACTGCTTTAGATGGGTTCATCAGTTAGACTGAATACAGCTAACGAAAGAATCAGTGAGCTCAAAGACATGTCAGTAGAAACTTCTCGAGCTAAAATGCAATCATCAAAAGGACAATAAAAAACGAACAGAACATTTAAGAATAGCGACACAATTTTAACTGGCATAATATACATGTTATTGGAAAAGAAATGAGAAGGAAGAGACAGCTGAAGAAATATTTGAAATAATGGCTATTTTCCAAAATTAATGATAGACACAAAACCATAGATCTAGAAAGCTCAGAGAACACTAAGCAGAATAAATACTAAACTATCCACAATAAGACATATCATATTCAAACTGTAGGCAACCAAATAAAAAGATGATAAAATTTTGAAAGCAGCCAGAGACCAAAATAATTCCTCACCTATAGAAGAACAAGGATAAAAGTTACACCAGACTTCTCATTAGAAACCAAACAAGCAAAAAGACTGGTATGAAATATTTAATGTGTTGAAAGAAAAACAAACTCATCAATTTAGAATTCTGTATACACTATATTACTCAAAATTGAAGAATAAATAAAAACTTTCTCAAACGAGCAGAATCTGAGGAAATTGAGAATAATCCTGCCGTGCAAAAGAAATTTTGAAGAAGTCCTTCAGGGAGAAGGAAAATGATACAAGTCAAAACTCAGACCTATATAAAGATAGTAAAAGTGTCAGGAAAGGAATAAAGATAAAATTTTTAATTTACTTATTCTTAATTTCTCTGATAGCTGTTTTTTTAAAATAATAATAGAAACAATACAGTGAATGATTATAGCATATGGATTAGTGAAATGAATGACAGCAATGTTTTAAGGGATGTGAAGAAGAAATAGGGAAAACTCTGTTATAAGGAAACTGTACTACTCATGAAGTAATATGGCACTATTTGAGAGTGACCTTAGATTAATTGTAAATGTTTATTGCAAACCATAGGAAAAACACTAAAAATATAAAGCAAAATATAATTGATATGCTAAAAGAGGAAAAAATGAAATTATACAAAATATTCCACTGAAACCAGAGGAGATAGGAAAAGAGAGGAAAAAGCATAAAGAAAAAAGTGCTACAAATGTTAAGACAAATTACAATATGGTACATATTAAACAAACTGTGTCAATAATCACTTTAAATGTCAATGGTTTAGATACACCAATTAAAAGGCAAAGATTGTCATGGTGGATTTAAAAAATAAAAACAAGACCCAATTATATGTTGTCTACAAGAACCCCACATTAGGCCGGGCATCGTGGCTCATGCCTGTAATCCCAGCACTTTTGGGAGGCTGAGGCGCGTGGGTCACGAGGTCAGGAGATCGAGACCATCCTGGATAACATGGTGAAACCCTGTCTCCACTAAAAATACAAAAAATTAGCCTGGCGTGATGGCAGGCACCTGTAGTCCCAGCTACGTGGGAGGCTGAGGCAGGAGAATGGTGCTAACCTGGGAGGCGGAGCTTGCAGTGAGCCGAGATCATGCCACTGCACTCCAGCCTGGGTGACAGAATGAGATTCAGTCTCAAAAAAAAGAAAAAAAAAAGAAAAGAAAAAAGAAACCCACATTAAATATAAAAACATAGATAGGTTAAATGAGATGGAGAAAAATATACCATGCTAACACCAATAAAAAGGAAACTGAAATCCTCAAATATTTGGAGATTAAACAACACACAACTAAGTAACACGAGTCAAAGGAGAAGACTCAAGAGTAGCTCAAAAATATTTAGAGTAAATAAAAATAACAATATAACTTACCAAAATATGTGGGATGCAACAAAATCTGTTGTCTCTTAGAGGAAAATTTATTGCATTAAATGCATATATTATAAAACAAGAAAGCTCAAAAATCAATAATCTCAGGCTCTACTGCAGAAAATCAGAGAAGGAAGAGCAATTTAATCCTAAGGAAAGCAGAAGGGAAGAAATAAAAATTGAAGCAGAAGTCATTGAAATTAAAAACAGGAAAACAATAGAGTAAATCAACAAAATCAAAAGATACTTAACTGAAAAGATAAATAAAATGGATAAACTTACAGTGGATTCATTTTTTTAAAGAGACAAGAAGACACAAATTACTTGATATTAGAAATCAAGTCCTTGCTGTTGCCAAGGACATTGAAAGAATAATAATGAATATTATGAACACAAATATTTAGTCCCATAAATTTTGATAACTAAGTTGAAATGAACCAATTTCCTAAAAGATACACACTACCAAACTCATGTAGGGAAATATGAATAACCTATTAAAGAAATAGAATCAACAATAATTTTCTGAGAAAGAAAGCACCAGATCCAAGGAGTATCACTGGTGAATTCTGTCAAACATTAGAGAACAAATGATACCAATTTTATACAACGTCTTCCAGAAAATAGTGAAGAAAATACTGCTTCCTAGTCCACTGGATGAGGCTAGCCTTAAACTAATACCAAAACTGTATAAAGACATTATAAGAAAGGAAAACGGCAGACCAATGTTTCTCATGAATGTAGCTGTAAAAATTGTCAATAAAATATTAGCAAATCAAATGTAGCAGTGCATGAAAAGAATTACACACCAAAACCGAGTAGGATTTATTCCAGGAATATAAGACCAGCTCAACATTTCAAAATCAATCAATATTAATCCACCACATTAACTGATAAAGGAAAAACATGATCATATCTTTAGATGCAGAGAAAACATTTGATAAAATCCAACACCCATTTATGATAAAAATCTCTCAGCAAAGTAGAAGTACAGAAGGGACTTCCTCAACTTGATCACAGCTAACATACATGATTATTGGATAATAATATATCCAATACATTGATATTCCAATACCCCATAACAAAAATGATAAATTCATAAGTGGAGAAAATGAGATAAATTTCCCATGTAGAAGAATTCCGAATAATTGATATAAACACTCTGCCCTCAGGGAGACGAAGCATAACTCCTTACTCCTTAGATGTGGACTGTGAATAATGACTTCCTTCCAAAGTGTGCAGAACAAAGAATGAGGGAAAGAGTAATTTTACAATGGAGAAACCTGTCAAACACTACCTCAGCCAAGTAATCAAGGACGATATTAATACTTATAAATTATGTTGGTGGTATGCATATTTGACATGACATGATGAAAATGGCACTTCCTCTCAATTATTAATAGCCCTAGTCTTAGCATGAGAAAAAAAGACAATGGACAACCCTAGCTGAAGGACATTATATAATACCCCTGAGTACTACTCCTCAAAACTGTCTAAGCCATCAAAAACAAGGAAATTCTGAGAAACTGCCATGCCAGGAGGAATCCTGAGAGACACGACAACTAAATGTAATGTTGTATCCTGGATGGAATCCTGAAACAACAAAAACAACAGAAAAGTACATTATGTAAAAATTAAAGAAATCAAAGAAAACTATGAACTTTTGTCAATAAAAATGTAACAATATCAGTCCATCAATTGTAACAAACACATGACAGTAATATATTAGCAATAGGGGAAACTGAGTATGAGATATATGAAGCCTCTCAGTACCATCTTCTCAATTTTTCTATAAATCTCAAATTAATTCTATTAAATAAGGCTTAAGCGTCTGTTTTGAGTTATAGTGTTATCATTTCCTATTTTGAGACTATAAGCTACTTCATCTGTTGAAACTTCACTTTTCTCTCTGTAAAACAAGGATAGTAGAAAATATACCACATAGAGTTACTGTGAAGATTAAATGCTATGTGAAGCTTTTAGCAGAATGCATGGCATATGATAAACACACAAGATGCATGTTTTTATTATAGCCAAAAAGGATAATATGTGAATCCTGTAGGTTTTCCTATAAAGGAAGAGAGAAATTGGTAATGAAATTGGTGTATGAGCAGTTTCTCAGTACTAGGGCTGTAAGTTAAAAAAAAAATTCCTTATTTTTTTGTTATTTTTATATTCATTTATTATCCTGTTTTCTTTAGATATAACATAGATAAATTTTATTTTTCTTTTGCTTGGATTGTGACTGTAATGACTTTGGAGCTGAGGTACTTGAACTTCATTGTAAAGACAGTCTCAGAAGGATATCTTTCCACTGACGGGAATGGTACATTGGTTCATCTGTACTCTGAGTTTTATGTCCTATACTATATACTATATACTATATATAACATGTCCTTTATTATAACAGCAAGAACTTTTGTTGGGCTACTTACTAGCCATGGCCAAATATATGGTGCAAGTAAAGAAAGATGAGGTGTACATTTTATTTTCTGGAATAAACATATTTATCTAAGAGAAGACCATTAAGACAACTGATTGGTAATTTAATAGGATTCATTCCTGAAGTTGAGTGAAATAACATGTTGAACACCATCAATCAGGCAAATCTTAGCCAATCCTTTCTTTCTGGATCTATTTTAAGTTATTCTTAGTAATCTACGCTATCTTTCCAGCCTAGCCATTTCTTTGAGGTCTGTTGATAGCATAAATTTCCAGTTCACAAGTCTTTTATCAAAACTGAAATAAACACAGACCCATTGTCAGAAGCTACACTCTCTGGCAGCCAGTGTTCTGCAAATAACTGGTACTAAGCTAGGATTATTGGAGACAATATATTAAATGAAACTAGGAGCTTTGTGAGCCACTTTGAAAAATAGTCTTTCACAATTAAGAAATTTTCTCTAGATTACACCTGCAAAATTCAATATTGATTCTTGTATAAAGCTTCTTGAACCCTTAGCATGGAAGACTCAATACCCGTGGTAGATTATGTATAGTAGCATGGCATGCATTATACAATTAATTCAATAATACACATTAATTTGAGGTCAGAAGACATTCATCAGCTAATGCTTTCTTAAATGTGCTGTATAAAGCATGGCCAAAATAACTTGAGGATCATTTCTGGAAACAAAAGTATGATTACCATCACATTGTTCCTTTTTAGATAGAAAATGTATTCCTGCATTTAATTATTCATTAAAAATGTGTGTTTTCTATCTATAAGTCATGGTGGAAGGTAGTAAAGTTACAACTTAAATCTCATTGTCTATTCTTTAGCAGCTCATGTATCTCAGTCACTATATTGTACTTACATATTTTAAAAGCATACCACATCCTCCTTCATCATTTATAATAATGTTATTATAAAATATTCCAAAGAGAGTAAAGATACTGGGAATAGCATTGAATATGTGTTTAATTAGAAATAATTTCTACACTAAAACAAATAATATTACACATTATTTTTCTAATGAGTTTCAGTTTAAGAAGCTAAAGTTCTTGAAGTCTGGGAAATAAATGCATTACCCACAGATACGGCTTACTCCTTTCCAATATCCTCAAGGAAAGTCATTTTATTACTTCAGAGGGAAAAGACTCAGCGTAGCTGTGATGTTGCTTGCTGAAGTCTAAAGCCACCAGATTGAGAAGATGGCCCAAGGAATAAACAGAGCCAAATATCTTGTGGGAAAATAAGAAATAAACTTTGAATCTGTCCCGGTGAGAGTTTATTTTATTAATGGCTTTGGACCAAAAAGTGAAATGCTGCATTGTATTTTTAATAAACAACTACAAAGTTGCAGAATTCTTACCCAATGTAGAGATACAAAGTGAATATGGAGTGAGCAGAGATCACCTTAGGGGCAGAATTTCAGGAAATCACTTTTGGATCAAATGGCACTGAGATCCAGCAATAGAAACAAAGGAATGATACCCTGGAAAGAAGTAAGGGACAAATTGCTATTAACCAGAGGAATGGATGAAAGCCCAAATTTGACATGGGATCCTTAACTCCATGGTTTATCTTCTGCTCATGCCTTAGTCAACATAACTGGTAATTTCAATAACTGCAAGTCTCCTTTCAATAGTCCATACAAAGAGGAGGTCTTGGGGTGTACATAATTTTGATTCTTCTTTGAACATGTTTAGATATTTTTCTTTAGAACTATCTAATGTGTATTTTCATACATTAGAAGGTGACATAAGCTGTTAAGCCAAACAGCTTTCAAGCTAGGCCCCAAAGCATTCTGCTTCTGTATGAATTTTGTTTTAGAGTTCAATTTTTTTTTTCCTAAATTGGCTATATATAACTCAAATTCTCTCACTGCTTGGGCAGTTTAGTGTGGAATCCGTGCCAGGTGCCACTGTTGTAGTCCATCCTAGACACCAGAACCTGCTGCAGTCTCATAAAAAGGAAGGAATGGTTTTGCCTCTCCTCCACCCTATAGCTGCTTTTGAATGGCTCAATAGGTGGTTCCTTAACAGCTTAAATTCCAGCATTACTTCTCACTGGTCCCTCTAAAAACCCAATTTAAGAAATATCAATCAGAGATTCAATAAAATTTGACCATGTTAAAGTTGTAGGTTACAAAAGTCTTCTAAAATCAAACATTTAAATGAATCCTCAATCATACGTGATCAAGGTATTAGCACTGACTTTACTCTTCTACAGAAGAAGTCATAAATGCAACCAAAAAGATACCTGGATCATATAAAGTCATGTAATTAGAGCATGATATTATAGTTTTAAAACATTCCTAAAAACGTTTGTTACACATTATAATGACAATATCCCAAAGCTAGTAGTGGATATTCTTGAATTATTTAATGACTGTGTTTTTCTCTGCCACTTTCTCTATAATTTTACAGTAAGTAATTGATTCCTCAGTATCATGTTCTAATGTAGATATGAGAAAACTCTGACACAGTGAGCTGAGGTATGATGTAGTTCTCAACAAAGCACTGTTATATGCCACTTGTTTACCAGTATGGGCCAGCATTTCTGGAGGGGCATGGTCTAAATCACTTAATCGTCACAAGTACCATATGAGTAGGTGACTTTCTTACCCCCAATTTAAAAAAGACAAGCCATAGACAATTCAGGTAATTCTGTGGCGAGGCTGGGATTTAACCCCATGAATGATAATCTAGTGGGTGGTATCTAAAATAGAGTATGGCACATGGTGATGTTTAAAAAGATTAAACTCTCTGAGGATGGAAAATATGATATTCCTAGCAACTAACTCTATACTTCAAAGATAGTCCATGTCTGATTTGTTTTTCCTAAATAAAGGTATGTTTGGTTAAATGAATGAATCGAAGTAACTTATTGTCTGCCACACTGGCTATGTATGACATAAGGGATATCTTCCCAATGATGACTGGAGATTAGGCTTGTGTCAACAACTGGTGTACTCTACAAGGCATGGGTAAATGATTTTATATGTATTTGCATATATAAGTATATACACACACACACATATATATGAAAAAATATATATGAAATTACATATATACATGTATATATACAAAATTATATATGTGTATATATGAACTATATTTTCATATAAATATGAAATTATGTATGTGTATATATAAATATGAACAATTTATATATAGTTCGTATTTCATATTCATATAAATATAAAATTTCACCATTGTGCTTAATGTATAAGTAATTTCTCCAACGAGAAAAAAAAATGGGATATTTCTTGCCAGTTGCTTATTATTCTTTTCCCAAGCTGTGAAGGCCAGAAACATGTCATAAACTCTTTGAAGCGATATATTCTTGAGAGGCATTTTGGTTACATCTTTAAAGAAGGTATGAGTGTTAGTCCATCAAGAAATCACACTGTACAGTCACAACAGAGTTTCTAGCAATATCAACGTTGTGATAATCATAATGTAAAAAATTCAGTTACCTTAAGTACCACTCCAAAAAAATCTTTGTAGAAAATATTATGGATAGAACTTCAATGATTACTAATTAAAAAAACTAATCATCTTTCATCTTGAATTTTTTTGACCATTGTTGAACATTCTTGAGACACTACAACACGTATTTTCTTTTTTACCATGGTTGAACACTCTTGAGTTGAGATACTGAAAGATTCTAAGGCATCTTGCTCCAGACCTTCAGCTATAATACAAATCTTAGGCTTGCTTTACATGAATAATTATGCAGATTCATTTGAATGTCACTGACAGTTGATGAGCTTCATTCGAATAGGTCAATTAAAAAATTCTTTCTGATTTCAGTATCTGCACAGTACTTGCTGCATTTTTAAATTTATGCAGGGTGATGCTTGAGCTATGCTAGGTCTAAAAGGTTTCCCTTTTCTACTCTATTTTCCTTCAGTCTCTTTTTCTCCATGCAAGAAGCAGCATAATCCTTCTAAAACAACGTGAAATTATTTTACTGCTACAAGGCATATAGTAGCTTCCAAATGTTATCTAGAATAAAAACAAAGTCCTAATCATTATGTCAAGACCCAAGATGGTCTGTCTCCCAGTCGCCGTTCTGACCTAATCAACTCTCACTTCCTCTTTCTAACTCTCTCCAGCCACACTGGCCCACTTGCTTTTCCTTGATTCAACAAGTGTGCTACTACCTCAGAGTCTCTGTACTTGCTGTTCTTCCTGGAGCATTTATTCCCCAGCTTTCCTTAAACCCTAGAGTTTTCCACTCAAATGCTACATTGTTTTTTGTTTGTTTGTTTGTTTTTTTAAGACAGAGTCTTGCTCTGTCGCCCAGGCTGGAGTGCAGTGGCACGATCTCGGCTCACTGCAAGCTCCGCCTCCCGGGTTCACGCCATTCTCCTGCCTCAGCCTCCCGAGTAGCTGGGACTACGGGCGCCCGCCACCTCGCCTGGCTAATTTTTTTTGTATTTTTAGTAGAGACGGGGTTTCACTGTGGTCTCGATCTCCTGACTCGTGATCCACCCGCCTCGGCCTCTCGAAGTGCTGGGATTACAGGCGTGAGCCATCGCGCCGGGCCTCAAATGCTACATTGTTTAAGATTATTTCACTGGTCACCCTACTTGATAGCATCATTTGCTTTCATCATCCACTATTCCCTTGTCCTGTTTTCTTTTTTTTTTTTTTTTTTTTTTTTTTTTTTGAGATGGCGTCTCGCTCTGTCGCCCAGGCTGGAGTGCAGTGGCGCGATCTCGGCTCACTGCAAGCTCCGCCTCCCGGGTTCACGCCATTCTCCCGCCTCAGCCTCCCGAGTAGCTGGGACTACAGGCGCCCGCCACCATGCCCGGCTAATTTTTTGTATTTTTAGTAGAGACAGGGTTTCACCGTGGTCTCGATCTCCTGACCTCGTGATCCGCCCACCTCGGCCTCCCAAAGTGCTGGGATTACAGGCGTGAGCCACCGCACCTGGCTCCCTTGTCCTATTTTCTTTTGCTTCAAAAAAACCTATAACCATCTGATTAATATATTTAATTCAATATATCATTCGAGTCCCATACTATAATGTGTGCTCCAAAATTAGGGAGATGTGCACTGATTTATAAGGCCCATAAGAGAGCCTGACACAGGCTCAGTAAGTATTTGTTGAATGAATAAACAATAAATTAATTTTTAACAGCTGTTGTGCAGATCTGTAACATTATCTTCTGCTTCTGTGACCATGAATTACCATGGCCACATATTATGGATAGAACATGTGTCCGATGTTACTTCTTTTGTTAATACAATATACAGTCATGCATTGTCATTCACCAAGGCTGTTTTAATATTAAATTTGAAACATTCAGGAGTCTTCACAATAAAACTCCACATAAAAGACAAAATTATAATTTGTCATCTATGGTTTCCACAAAAATTGCCAGGCTCAAATGAATATTAAAACTGCAATCTAAGTAGCAAAGCCTTTTGCAGACGGCTGTTCTTTTTATGAAATTTAAATCTTGGAACAATGACTGATAGTATAAAGGGAAATTAGCTTTACCCAAGGTTTCACAAGTTCATCAAAAGCTTTATTCTTTAATAATCAATAGCAATGAGTAAGGGTTCTTACTGTGGGGAAAGTCTAAATCAACATATTTTTAGAATAACAAGGTTTTACTTTTAGTTTCATTATGAGTGTCTTTATAATAGAATATAACTCTTTTAGCATCTGATTGCCAAGGGATAAGCTTACTGAAATTAAGATTTCTAAAGTTTTCCAAAATAGGCATTAAGCTCTCTTACCACCTTGATAATATCACAGCTGGAACTTGTGACTTTCTCTCTTGAGACTATTTTAAGGATCTTCAAATATACCTTCCTAAAATCCTACACTGTGTCCCGTGTTTTACTAAACGTTATGCTCTGTGAGGGAAGGCACCTTCAGTGTCCTGTTCTGCACTAAATTTCCAGTGCCAAGCATGGTGCCTATGTAGTGAGGTGAGGCATAAAATATTAACACATCTTTATTTCCTGGTAAGTGACTTTTTTCTGTTTGTCAAAGGCATGCATATGACCATATAGAGAATAAAGATATTTATTGAGAGAAACAGTTAATACTTTGTTTTTACTTTTAAAAATAGGCTCTGGAATCTAAAAATGAAAATAATATTTCTAAAGGCCAAACCTAAGACTGGATAAAACAGGCTTATTTAAGGGGAAACAAAAAATCATTCAAGAATCCAGAACAATGTAGCAAATTACAAATGTATCAGAACAATAGAATTGGAAGAAAACTGAAGATGATCTAGATTAGCCAAAATCCTCACAGATACTCAGATAACCATTGATGATTCTGACAAGGGAGGTGAGTGACCTGGACCTTCATAGAGGTTTCTGGGGCTGGTGATAAGGGCTGTGCATCTCAGTGGGCCAGAGTTATCATTGAGAATCTGCCCCACTCTTCTTTCCCATTTGTTGTCAGTGCCAAATTGCCAGTGCCAAATTGCTAACTGAAGACAGAGTTCACATCTGCAGACATTCCCTAACTATTCAAGGGAGGGTTCCACTTAGCCTGTGCCGAGGAGCTACTTCATCTGTTCAGCTCATTCCACCGCTACACGCCTATGCTTCATCCAGAAAACTTCGAGTGCGTCTCCTGAGATTTTGGTGAGCCCCATCTGAACTTCGTGCACGAGCATCTAACTACAATGTCCCAATATACTTTTAGGTTCCAAAGTAAATAAAGATGGGGTCCTGGTGTTCATATGGGTTATGATAATGTGGGAGAGAAACCTGAATTATCAGCACCTACTGAGATGAAAGAGTGATAAAATGTACCCCAGTACACCTCACATAGGAAGGGACTAAGAGGCCGGGCACGGTGGCTCACACCTGTAATCCCAGCACTTTGGGAAGCCGAGATGGGCGGATCACGAAGTCAGGAGATCGAGACCATCCTGGCTAACACGGTGAAACCCCATCTCTACTAAAAAATACAAAAAAAATTAGCTGGGCATGGTGGCGGGCGCCTGTAGTCCCAGCTACTCGGGAGGCTGAGGCAGGAGAATGGCGTGAACCCGGGAGGCGGAGCTTGCATTGAGCCGAGATCGCGCCACTGCCCTCCAGCCTGGGCGACAGAGCGAGACTCTGTCTCAGAAAAACAAACAAACAAACAAACAAACAAAAAAATGGACTAAGAATATTTCTTAAACATTCACCTAATATCTTTTGTGACTCTCTGTTCATATGCACATATATACAAACATAAATATGCATTATTTCTATTCTATATTCCATCTTGTGATGAAAATGTTTTAAAGGGGTTGTGAACACATGTGTTTTATATGATGTAATATGAACACAGAGTTTTATTTACCTCAATTTCAAAGAATAAATTTCAGATTTAATTAAAGCCTATCATTCAGCTATACTTTACAATTCTGATTATAAAATAAATGAAATTGTTCCCTTTTTTCTTAAATACAGAAAAAAAAATGTATATATACCCAGGACGCCTTTCCTTAATGTTGTTCTTATAACGAGTTAACATCATAAACTTTTTCCTCTTTGAGTGGTTTTTTTCAATAGCTGTTACTATTCAGAAGACAACCATATCACAAAATTTGCTTTCTGTCTACACTTCATTGTTTATATTTCCATCAATAAAAAAGATGTATTGATCACTGCCTCTTCAGAAGGTACTAGGAAAGACATCGAAAAAAATCTTGTTTTGAAAAATAGAATAAACAAGCTGTTTAAAAGTTGATTTTATTCTTATAATGAGTAACATTTAAATGACAGAACAAGAATGTAATCTGATTGTTGGCAGTTGCTACATTAATTATATGATCACCATTAAAATGTGAATTTTAAAAATATAATGGCAAGCTGATGTGAACAAAGGTAACCCACTGAGGCCTTAGAAACTCTCCTGTTTGTTTAAAATGGAAAACAAAATAATTTGCTTGTATTTTGTGTAAAATGTAGCAGCCTTGGAGTTTTATCCCCTCAAAAGAAAGTCATCAAAATCAAACAATTTTGTTACCTACTTATTAAACTTGAATGTACGTAATCACTATTTCAATGGTGCAATGTTCATGCATATTGAGTACATTCAAACATAACATACTGTGTGTTCCATTTTTCTCCAATCTAGTAACCTTGAGAGTATGAATCATATTTGCTCAATAGCTTTATATTACATCTCAGAGAAAACAGTAGGAAAGGTGGGGGGTGGACGATATATGTCCAAAATAATGTTGAAAATTCTGTACACATTTTTCAAAGGACTTGTATTTAGTAGAGTGCATTGAATCTTGAACATCTCAGCAACTTTTTCTCGTTACTCTAGTAACATTTGTAAACTCATTTTGCAGCTTTGCTCTTTTTCCCTCTGCGTGCTGATTCCCCAGCTGTTTGGTCTGCTGCTATTACTTATTTCAAAGGCATTTGAGCCTTCTTAAAGAGACAGCAACAGTCACAGAACTGAGTGGCAGGGTCCTGCTGTACACACTTGATTATATAATCAGCCAGTAGCTTACATTGTTATAAATGTATATCTATTAATATGAATATGTAAGAAGATATATATTGTCCTTATATTGGACAGATACAAGAGTATCAAAATTAAAGCTATTCTTATGGCTTTATGTTAATATTTGATTCTCAATAGGACACATAATAGCATCAATCATTTCTTTCTTTCTTTTTTCTTTTTTTTTTTTTTTTGAGACAGTGTCTTCCTCTGTCACCTAGGCCAGAGGGAGTGGCACTATGTTCATTCACTGTAGCCTCAACCTCCTGGGCTCACACAATCCTCCCACCTCAGTCTCCCAAGTTGCTAGACTATAGACACGTGTCACCATGCCTGGCTAATTTTTGCATTTCTTTTATTTTTTATTTTTGTAGAAACTGGTTCTCATTATGCTGCCCAGGCAGGTCTCAAATTCCTGGGCTCAATCCATCTGCCCACTTCAGCCTCCCAAAAAGCTGGGATTACAGGTATGAGCCACCATGCCCAGCCTATTTAATTTTTAACAAACATAGGACTACATGGTGCAAACTTCGCTGTCCTGGTATATGACCCCATGCTCTTTGCCACAGTGAAATGGGTGCGTGAGTATTTACAGAGATGTTAAAGCAATCGATCAGTACAAGTACTCCTTATTCATTGGCCTTAGTATTTGTTTTCTAATCTAAATATATATTATTTTTTCTAATCTGAGTACATACATTCTTTGCATTTTTTGATTTAAAAAATCTAAAATATTAATGAATTGTTCAAGCCATTAAACATAAAATCTTCCTCTTAACTACCTCTCGGATTTCCACTTTTTCTAATTATATAGATTATTTTATGTGTAGCCATTATTTCTACCCAGGTCAGTTTTCACAGGTCACAATTTGCAGACCTTATTTTAATCAGGAAGCCTTTTTTCGGTCTAATTTGGATTTTACCATTTGCAGTTTTCTTCAATGCCCATTTCATTTTGTTCTGATTGTGCCTCTGACATAAAATGTTTTGAAGGTCAATATTTACAACATTCAGTGATATTAACAATATGTAATTCTTACAGTGAGGTTTATAAATGTATATTTATTATATATGAATATGTAAGAAGAATCCTGTCACTTTTACTTAATTATAGCATAGTGCTGACTATATAATGAGCTTTCCACTTGACTAAAATGATTGTTACCATTAGACATGAAGTTTATTAACTTCTTGTCTGTTCACTTCAGATTTTTTAATGTATTCAATTGCCCTTCTACTGTCTCTGAGTAAGAAATTATTCTTTCTTTCTATATTCCTCATATCTCTATACTAACCCTTTGCCAATATTCTTTTTTTTTTTTTTTTTTTTTTTTGAGATGGAGTCTTGCTCTGTCGCCCAGGCTGGAGTGCAGTGACACGATCTCCGCTCACTGCAAGCTCCGCCTCCCGGGTTCACGCCATTCTCCTGCCTCAGCCTCCCGAGTAGCTGGGACTACAGGCACTGCCACGACGCCCGGCTAATTTTTTGTATTTTTAGTAGAGACGGGGTTTCACCATGTTAGCCAGGATGGTCTTGATCTCCTGAACTCGTGATCCGCCCGCCTCGGCCTCCCAAAGTGCTGGGATTACAAGCGTGAGCCATCGCACCGGGCCTTGCCAATATTCTTGATTTCAAAATTCCTTACCATTTTCAGGACATTCATCAATCATTTGTCCTAATTATTGAAACCTAGTAAAATTCTGCTATTATTTTTCCTACTCCTTATTATAGTTTCTTGTATTATGTACCTTATTGTATACTATTTATAATTATATAAATTTTAGAGTTTAGATAGACTCCAATCAGTCATTAAAGTTCTGTCTGCTATGTAATAATTCCTAATTTCTTTATACAACGCTCAAAACTCAGTTCTCGTAATTTCATACCCTAAACATGCCAACAGAGAAATCAACTCCTCCTTTATGTCAGCTCCACTGATTTTGAAGCTATCTCTCATCCATTAATTGTTTCTTTTCCCCCCAGATAGTTCTCACAGGACAGGGATTTAAGCTCATCATGATAATCCTTCTAGGAAAGTGCTTGGGTCTGTGACAATCCATTAAAAACCTGGCAGGTAGACCTGATCACCGCATGTTTGAACATTAAAGAGAGAAGTTATATTTAGAGTTCTTACGATTGCATAGCAATGGTATGGTGGTATGTAGATCATTTCCCATCCTCCTAATTTCATGTTGTACTAGGTACTATTAACTTAGTGGGTGAAAAAATTGAAGGTCAGGGAGTTAAATGACTTTTCTAAGATAACACACTTGGCAAAACCCAGATTCAAAGTGAGCTCTCTTTGATGCCAGTCTATGCACTTTTTTATATCCAGCTGCCTCCTCTACTCCAGGCTCAGTTCTTCTATAAATAAAGTACACATATAGCATTCATATTTTTTAATGTTAGTTATCTTTTAAACATAAACTGTTAGCTTTTTAAGGTTGAAATAAAAGCAACTATTTCTCTTTGAGTATTTTATATAATCTAGATCTCAATATTGTTTTATTTTTAAAACAAAATGAAAGTTTTCAGCATCATTCCTAGATATATATATAAATGTATATGAGCAAATACATACATATGTGATATGTGATATATATCTGTATAGATGTATGTAATAGACATATGTACTTTTTCAGGTATGAAACATACCTATACACATATATATGTACATATGTATGTGTTCATATTGTATATCATATATATAAACATATAGATTGAAATATTACTTTCTCAATGTTTCTTGATATTTTCTAGACAAATGAAAGGATTCAATCAAATTTATACTCTAGAGAAATATAATCTGGGATTTTGAACACTAATGGGAAGATGTTTCACAATTAAATGAAATAATTCCCTAGTTTTTCTCCGCATTTAAATGCAGTATTCTGAAGTAATAAATCAAAACATACCATATTCATCAACAGTGTGCAAAGTTATTTTTTAAATCTGCCTTTAAATGCTTTTTTAAAAAAACTTGAAATCTTAATGTCTCAATAATGTTTTAAAAATTATATTTTTAATTAAACACCCACATATATACACAGGAGTTCTGCAATAAATAGTCTTTCCAACCCTTTATGCTTTACATCATCAGTGAACCATTGCACTGCACTTCAAATTGTCTTATTTTTTATATATTTTAATAACATCTATGTGTCAGAGTTTCCCATTTATTTACTTATTCAATAAATAATTATTGAGTGTTTACCATACATAAATTGACATGTAATTTATCATCCAAATCAAGACATTTTTGAGAGTGAAGACGGTGTTATTAACAATCATCAGATCAGCAGGCATGAAACAGGGCTATCCTGGGCACCTGGGGAATATGGGCATTCAGTCTAACCATGCACTGGGCACAAGTCAGATGTGGTTCCTGCCCCCATGAACTATTTAGTCTACTGGACAAATTAGACTACAAAGAAGAAAATACTTTTTAAAAAATTATGCATTTTTGCTCATCATCACAGGCCATCAGAGAAATGCAAATCAAAACCACAATGAGATACCATCTCACACCAGTTAGAATGGCGATCATTAAAAATTCAGGAAACAACAGGTGCTGGAGAGGATGTATAGAAATAGGAACACTTTTACACTGTTGGTGGGACTGTAAACTAGTTCAACCATTGTGGAAGACAGTGTGGCGATTCCTCAAGGATCTAGAGCTAGAAATACCATTTGACCCAGTGATCTCATTACTGGGCATATACCCAAAGGATTATAAATCATGCTGCTATAAAGACATGTGCACATGTATGTTTATTGCAGCACTATTTACAATAGCAGAGACTTGGAACCAACCCAAATGTCCATCAGTGATAGACTGGATTAAGAAAATGTGGCACATATATACCATGGAATACTATGCAGCCATAGAAAAGGATGAGTTCACGTCCTTTGTAGGGACATGGATGAAGCTAGAAACCATCAATCTGAGCAAACTATTGCAAGGACAGAAAACCAAACACCACATGTTCTCACTCATATGTGGGAAGTGAACAATGAGAACACTTGGACACAGGGTGGGGAACGTCACACACCGGGGCATGTGGTGGGGTGGGGGAGTGGGGAGGGATAGCATTAGGAGAAATACCTAATGTAGATGACGAGTTAATGGGTGCAGCACACCAATATGGCACATGTATATGTATGTAACAAACCTGTACATTGTGCACATGTACCCTAGAACTTAAAGTATAATAAAAAAAAATTACACATTGTTCTAAGTGTCGTTAATGAAATAAACATGGTACTGAGTTGTGAAATACTGTGGAGAATGTGAGGAGGGGTGGGGTGATCAGATCATTCTGTAGAAGTAATGTTTACACTGAGATATAAAGGATAAGAAAAATGTTGATAAGTAGGAATAGAGGGTGGGGCCGGGTTCAGGGGTAATCTCTGGAAAAGATCTTTCCAGGTACAGGAAATGAAACATGCCACAGTCTGAAGTAAGATAGCTTGAAGAATGGAAAGAAAGCCAGTGGGCTTCAAGTCTCAAGAACTGCACAGGAATGGTGTGAGATCCCAGGAGCCAGATGATGCAAGGTCCTTAGAGACAGAATACGACATATAACTTTAAATTTAATTGTAATGTGGAGCCTTTAAGCAGAAAAGTGGCATAACCCCTCACACAATATCACTCTGACTGTTGTATGAAACACAATTTATAGAGTTAGAGATAGGAGCTGGAGAATGTAGATTATGATTAATGGCCAAAGAAGCATCCTGGTAGTGGGGTGGGAGAGAAACAAACTAACCCAAAATATATTTTGGGGGTAGAACTGATCAGGTTATATCTCTAGACTTTGACCTCCTCAACCCTTTGTAATTCAGGCCAATATTTAAAAGTATCTTTTAAATATCTTTAGTACAGGTGTTTTCTAGGTACATAAAATTCAATCCAGCCAACACTACATATGAGATAACATTCACAATACTGTTTGTCTTCTGGCATTCTCTATCCTGGTAGTGATTTCCTACCTAATTCAAGGTGGAAATAAGAGTTACATAAAATATCCCCTTCCTCCACTTACTACAGTCAAATGGCCATCAATTTCTGTCCATTTCATTCTCTAAAGCTCTGAAATACAGACTTCTCTCTGTTCTTCATCCCTAGCACTATTATGCTTTATCTGGATAGTGGCAATCATATCCTACAAATAGCACTTTCAAGGGGAAAAAAAAAGTTGAAGTGTTCATTCAATCCCATATTCTCTCCAAATTGTCCCCAGACTACATGCTACTGAATGGAAGAATTGGGGCTGATTCTGTAGTTGAAAGATCTAGGAAATCATAGTTTCTTTTCTCTCAACAGCTCAGGACAATTGCTTTAGAGCTTTGATAAAAGACAAGTATCCACTGCTAAAGTTTGCTTCTTTGATTTTCCTCTTTGTTATATGATAATGCCATAACACTTAGCTTTAAACCACATAGTTTGGATGCTTGCCTGTAGTATCAGAATCACATTGGTTCCTCCTCACCAGATCCCGTGAATCTACCAAACTATAAGAATTAGGACTCACCAATAAAGACAATAGCAAAAGCTATATGTATTTATCTCTCAACCAGTTTTACATTTTTTGACTCCTTAAGAAGACAGTATAATACACCTGGATGGTTATAGTTTGGCAATAAATATTAGGTATATTTGTGCTAATGTATCCATACTATATTTTTGTGGTAAAAATATAAATCCTTGAAACATGTCATTCAATTTACTCTATCAACTTTAATGAAGCTAATATAACTGAAGCACTTGTAAACAAAGTTTAAATTTTCTCTATTTTGAGAAATATTTACTTTTATATTCAACTTCTGATCATAAAGAAATATATATTCTAAAAGTAAGCTACACGAAAGAGACAATTTTTCTTAGTGCAAATATAAAGTTTTCCCAAAATAATGTATTGGCAAACAAAGGTTTTTTAAAAAAATTTAATTTCTAGATACTTATTTGAATGTTTTACTTTTTCTAATATAAAAAAAAGGCAGAGGTTAATCAGAAAATTTAAAAGAGAGGAAGGCAATTCAGCTGGCTCCGATAGAAAGTTAGTTAAATCACTTTATTTTTATTTTTATTTATTTATTTATTTATTTATTTATTTATTTATTTATTTATTTATTTATTTTTGAGAAGGAGTCTCACTCTGTTGCCTAGGCTGGAGTGCAGTGGCACAATCTCGGCTCACTGCAACCTCCGCTTTCTGGGTTCAAGCGATTCTCCTGTCTCAGCCTCCCAAGTACCTGGGATTACAGGTGCCTGCCACCATGGCCAGCTAATTTTTATATTTTTAGAAGAGACGGTGTTTCACCATGTTGGCCAGGTTGGTCTCAAACTCCTGAACTCAGGTGATCTGCCTGCCTTGGCCTCCCAAAGTGCTGGGATTACAGGTGTGAGCCACCATGCCCGGCCGACAGTTAAATCATTTTAAAGATTGGCCTGCTGAGGAACTTTATTTAAATGGGAGCTGATGAAAATCCCTAGTGAAGTGTCTCCCACTGAAACAACTTAAAAATCTCAGGGGAAGTACAAAGTGAAAATTCTTGCCACCACTAAATTCTAGTAATATTGGAAAACTTGCTCCCAATAGTGAGAGAGATTTCCCCTCGAAAGTAATTACAAGGTTAATAGATCTAGACTAAAAAACACAACAAGCAGTGAGCCTCTTTAGCCAGGGCAACTCTAATAGAATAAACATGTTAAAGTGAAAGATGGCATGTATTGTTTTCTTAACCCCATGTCTCTTAGCTAGTTTCCAAATAGTAAATCCATATTAACAGCTAGTCATCAGTTAGTCATCCTTAAGTACATGTACAAGTATCACTCTGAAAAGAGCACCTTAATTCTCTTTTCTTCCGAATGGCCTTTAACAGTTCTTTTTCTTCAAACATTCCAGGAAACACCAGAACCATCTGGCAGTAAGTTTGGGAGATAAGAACGGGCAGAGAAGTTCATGTCCTTTGTAGGGACATGGATGAAATTGGAAATCATCATTCTCAGTAAACTATCGCAAGAACAAAAAACCAAACACCGCATATTCTCACTCATAGGTGGGAATTGAACAATGAGATCACATGGACACAGGGAGGGGAATATCACACTCTGGGGACTGTTGTGGGGTGGGGGGAGGGGGGAGGGATAGCATCGGGAGATATACCTAATGCTAGATAACGAGTTAGTGGGTGCAGCGCACCAGCATGGCACATGTATACATATGTAACTAACCTGCACATTGTGCACATGTACCCTAAAACTTAAAGTATAATTAAAAAAAAACACATACAAAAATTAAAAAAAAAAAAAAAAAAAAGAATGGGCAGAAGTTCATCTTATGTAGGGAGATGCAGTTACCCAAAAAGTAAATAGGTAGAGGGAAGAAAGCAAAGAGAGAATTGTAGTTCAGTGTATATTTCACAAAACTAAAATGTCATCGAACCAGATTTTAGGAGAAAATACCACATGACCTAGAATAGTTGCAGTAGATGAGGGAGTCATGAACACTGAGTATTAGATTAGGAGACATATACATCACACCACTTCTGAGCTGAAGATTGGAGGAAGCCATTTCGAGTGGAATGAACAGCAAATGATATACTTTGATTATTGTCAAACAGGTTTGCCTTCCAGGGTAGAAATAACACTGGAAAATAGATAACATGGTTCTAACATATTACCTTCAGAAAAAGGGAAAATGAACTTCATTCTAAAGGCTTAGGAAAACAATATGTTTCTTGAATATGGGTAAGCACAAGAGAATATATTAGAAAATTGCCTGATATTTAAAGTTCATAGAACAAAAAAAATGTAAGTTTAAGAGATTTTATAAAAAAAAGTAGCAGAAAGTCAAAAGGAAAAATGTTTTTAAAAAAGCAACATTTAAGATTAAAAGGGAGATGTTGGAGATAAGGAAATATTATAGGAAATCCAATAATGCAAGTACAAAATTAAAATCTATAATTGATACAGTGAAAAAAAACAGTTGTCATTTTCAAATATTGAATTCTTGATGGGAAAGACAAATTTGAGACATCTAGATAAATTCACAGAGATAAATATTTAAGTGAAAATACAATATGGAAGAAGCTTACTGAATTATAAAATGACTAAATACACTAGAATAAAGGAAGTTATCAAAGATATAATTTTTGACTCTACCTAACTAATGAAAATATTGCACAAGAAAAGTTTTTTAAAAAAGCATATTATCAGAAAAATTAGGGAGAATACCCATTTTTAGACATATTCTGGATATTTTTAATATTTAATAACTATACTCATTTGAGCTCAAGACAGGAAACTAAAGCTGTATACAAAGAAAAGAATCACACTGACTTCACACCCCTCTATAGGACCAAGTTTTACAAGAAATTTGTGTTATAAATTTCTGAGTTTTGAGCGACAAAGATTAGAAAAGAAAAAATTTAGAATCATGAAAGTTTCCTTTCATGTACAAAAGAAAGTTAACAATATTGTCACTTAAACAGGAGCAAAAATAAATTGTTCCAGTACCATATTTAGTTGAAAACATGCCAATCCAACTAAAAATGAATCCATCAGTGTATCTTGATAATGGAAAAAAATAGTTGTAGATTACTTTGTGAGATTACTGAAACCAGTTAAAAATGTTACTTAAAAAAATTGTTGAAAATAGTAATACAAAGCTTGATGTAAGTGTCAAAAGCTATTCTTAAAATTACTTTAAAATAAATACAAAAAATCTTAATTTAAATCCCTAGATATTTACAAAATCTAAGAAAGCTAAGTAGCACCATACGTTTGAGGAATATCTCCAACAGGAAAGACCCAGACCAAAAGAATGAAATGTTAATAAGCATCATCAAGACAATAGAAAGGATGTAGGAAACATTTAACATTATAAAACAAACATAGGATGCTATATGGAATATCCTCAAAAGAGTCCTAAGAAATTAAAATATAGTGGCAGAAAGTTCAAAATCAATAGAATGATGGAAGACAAATTTGAGGAAACCTCCCGGACTATACAACAATAAGATAAAAAGATAGGAAATAGATACTTTTCAGGAATAACAAGTAGCAAAAGTTTACTCCCTTGAATATTTCAGGATAAGGACTGAGAGGAGATATACATATCTCTTAAGGGAATATATTGGTGCAGTAGTGATAAGTACTATAAGCAAAGGAGAAAAAAAGAGATAATTGTTGAATCCGTGGAGACTAGAAAGTTGTATGAAAAAGGAAAAATAGGCATCATATACTAGATGGTTTAACAATCATTAAAATTTATATGATAATAACAACGTAAAGAATGACTATGGAATTAAATATGGTGATATGGTAGAAAATAGGTATTGGGCTGTAAAGTCTGCAAGCTATGTAAGAAAACAAGTTTTTTCATATTTAAAAGCCTAAGATAATATATGTGACCATATTATAAAGAAATAGGGGTAATTTATATGTTATTTATTTATATATACATGTATGGAGATAAATATGCTAAAGAAGCATACTAAAAGACTTTAACTATGGCCAGGCATGGTGGCTCATGCCTGTAATCCCAGAACTTTGGGAGGCTGAGGCGGGTGGATCACCTGAGGTCAGAAGTTCGAGGCCAGCCTGGCTAACATGGTGATACCCTGTCTCTACTAAAAACACAAAAATCAGCTGAAGGTGGTGGTGGGCGCCTGTAATCCCAGCTACTTGGGAGGCTGAGGCAGGAGAATCGCTTGAACCTGGGAGGTGGAGGTTGCAATGAGCCAAGATCCTGCCACTATACTCCAGCCTGGGAGACAAGAGCAAGACTCCATCTCAAAAAAAAAAAAAAAAAAAAAAAAAAGAGAGAGAGTTTAACTACATTTGGGGAATAGTAATGTGGACAGGGAAATACTGGATGAGTAATTGCTATTTTTATAGAATTTATAGAACTACTTGATTTTAAAACTATAAGTATATACAATTTTGAGAAAAATGAAACATGAGTGTTTAATTTTCTTTACCATGCTTTTCTGGATTGTTACACTTTTCTTCAATGAATCTGGATTACTGTTATAATCAGAAGGACTATTAAAAATCTGAGGAGACAACAATTGTGATTGAAAACATCTTACTATTGTGAGCAAATTATGACATTAACAAGGATGAATAATTTCTAAAAATAAGAAATATCTCGGTATTTAGGATGTTTTGTGAGAATTAATATGTATATAAGGGAAAAGGCATTGTTCTTTATCAGTTATTTTAAAGACTGTCAGTAATCAAAATTTGAAGATTGATCAAAGTGAATAAATGGGTCTGACATCTTCTTAAGAAAAGAAACCATTTAATTTTTCTGTACACTTTTTAAAATGCTGAATATTAGTCTCACTTCATCAGTGTGAGGCATTTTCCTCTAAGTGGGAACAGATGGGTTTTATTACTAATTCAGAAGATTTTTTTTTCCCCGATAACACAGACTGACACTATAGATGGGATTTCCCAGGCTTATTTCATTTTTGGCCATATGTTTAAGAGAAATTATGCTTACTCATAAGAGACGAGAAGGGATGCTAAGTAAAAATGGATTTATTTGACATCTGAAACTTATCACAAAGGGTCTCTTACTATCCTAAAGAAACATCTGCTCTCCGTATTGTTCACTCAACTCTATGCTAGTTTGTCATGTGAAATACTGCTGCCACAGCTATGCTTTTTCCCACACACCAGTAAGTATAATCATTACTGTCAAATGATATCATTAAATAAGTTTCACCCAAGGTTTCCTAGCTGGGCACAGTAGCCCTGAGGTTAAATAAGAGAAATTTGTATGGGTATATGTATGTATATATATATATATCTCCTAGCTCTCTAAAAATTGGAATATATGTGGCCTATCTCTCTAAAAGGATCTCCTATTGTACAAATTCTAGACCATCGAAGTATGCTCAACATGTAATACATGCTCAAGAAATTTTTAATCTTATTATATAAGGAAATAATTAAAATTTACCAATTCATCAGTAAAACAAGCTTTTTAAAAATTTATTCTCATTCTTATAAAGTACAGTGGTGACTTCCAAATTCTACATTTATTAACCTTGATGTTAATCGTCTATTTTATGTCCTAAATTTCTAGCAAATGAACTGTGAATTATCCTGCTCTAATAATTTTCTAGGTTCTTATAATTGTCACAGATATAAAATATCAAAATACCTCAATAATCCAAAATACCTCAATAACTGGAATCTCACTTGCAAGTAAATTGTTCTGTCCTTTGGATGTGACTCTATTGTTTCAGTTATTCATGAATTTAAGATAGTGGTTTCCTTCCAGATTAATCATTCCTAGGTGCAGGAAGAGAAACTCAAAGAATGTAGAGACTGAATTGTATTTATCTGTATTGCATCAGAGCACAGAGAAGTAGCTAGGTTATAAAAAGTACCTCATATTTCTTAATTAAAAGAATAGGCGCCAGGCGCGGTGGCTCACGCCTGCAATCCCAGCACTTTGGGGGGCCGAGGCGGGTGGATCACGAGGTCAGGAAATCGAAACCATCCTGGCTAACACGGTGAAACCCCGTCTCTACTAAAAATACAAAAAAATTAGCCGGGCATAGTGGCGGGCGCCTGTAGTCCCAGCTACTCGGGAAGCTGGCGCAGGAGAGTGGCCTGTACCCGGGAGGCGGAGCTTGCAGTGAGACGAGATCCCGCCACTGCACTCCAGCCTGGGAGACAGGGTGAGACTCCGTCTCAAAAAAAACAAAAAAAGAATAGGCAGAGTATACATTTATCTCTTTACTAGTTTAATTCCCAAAGGAAACAAGACACATTCAAGTGGTTTAAGTGGTACATAGGGGATTCAATAAATGCCATATTATAGTAATTCTAAGATAAGTCCATCTATGTCAGACCACAAATAGAGAATTAATCATGTTTTTTGTTTTGCCCACTTCTCAGTGATTTCATAATTATCCTCAGCATTGTCACCAAAAGCTCAGGGAAATCTGCTAGCAGATTCTGTAATGTAAAAACATCTTGGCAGGTTTTGTGACAATATATAATAATGAGACATAGAAACTGGACATTTTTTGTCTTATTTTAAAGGGATGTACTAATTCTAACAAAATGGTGATTGCACATTACTTTGGCACTATTTCAGGACACTGTCTTTACAATTTTCAAAAAATCATTGAGAAAATCACAATGTATATTATTGTAAGTATGATTGATAATGCCAGGAAAGCAGTAAAGGAAGAGATTTGTTTTGCTTTGTTTTTTTCCCCAAAGGCATTGCTAAATTTTCTTTAAAGAAAAATATCTTTGTTATCACATCAACCAGATATGACCTGATACAGAAAAATTCTACTTCTTTCTTCTTTCCTCTTTCTGATTATTGCTTTGTCGAAACTACTGCTTTTAAACCATTTGTAATTTTGCGGACTACTTCTGATTTTTCTGCTTGTATTAGATGTGCAAGTGTATGTCTGTGTATCTCCTTGGACTATTTGTCTGATTCATTCAAAAGAAAAGTTTTTTGGGGTTCACTTTCAGGGAATTTTCAATAACTTTTAACAACTATAGTGAGGAAATGTATGAAAGACTAAAGGTTGGAGAAGCAGAGAGTTAAAAAAGCAAATGTTACTGACAAAACCACAAAAGCATGTAAATTTGAGAGAAATGGCAAACTAAATGGTCTTGCAATAGCTAACTAGGGTCAATTTAAAACAAAAATTGACAGTAGTATAATCACAAACAAGACAATGAATTTCATCAATATATCACAAAACAGACTAAGTTAAAAGTGGTCATATTTTCCTTCTCTTATTATATTTTAAGTTCCCAATATTTTACAGAGCTTCTATATATACCTCAAAATGATTTTATCCTGTGAAATATAATAGTACTGATAGGCATTTATGCCAATGTGATATATACATGAGTGTTTTCTCAGGAACACACATACACATCCCTTTTGGTAAAGAAAGTTATGTATCTTGAAACATAAAAGTAAAAAAAAAAATTCTATTTGATTGCTTTATTTCATAATTAAAGGAAACTGTACTTCATAATATAGGGAAGTAGGCAGTGCGGTAGAAAACATGCTTTTCCATAGACTGAAAATCATTATAACTGCCCTATTGAGAAAAGAGAAAGAGAGGCCCAGAAACTCACTGATTTTCTCAGCACTTCGTATCCTAAGACCAGAGTAAATCTTTAGATATATACATTGAATAATATTTTAGATCATACATTGAATGATTATTCCATCTAACAAATATGGGTGAACTATAGGCCAGTACTGGAAATAAGGAGAAAAAATAAGAGGGCTGGCTGGATGGATGGATGGATAGATAGATATTTCATATATATATATACACATACATACATATATATACATACATACATATATATACATATATATACATACATATATACATACATATATATACATACATATATACATACATATATATACATACATATATATATAAATACAACATTATGGAATCATCAGTAAGCTAGAAATTAAATTATATCTATTGAGGTATTATTTTAATGTACTCATGATGTGTCACTGTGATTACATTAAAAACAAAAGAGCCTTTATCTCTTACCATAATGTTAAAATATTTACTGATGTAATAGCCTGTTGCCTGGAATTTGTTTCGAAGTAACCCGATGGTACAGTGAGTGTATGTGTTGGGGGTGGGAGATTGAACAGATAAGCAAAATTGGCTGTATGTCAATGCTAATTGAAACTGATCCATGGGCCCAAGGATTAACAGAACTTATTTCTTTACTTTTGTGCTTATTTGAAAACTTCCATAATAAAACATTTTAGAAGTAACATCACACATTCATAAGTTAATATCTACTTATAAATTATTCAAAATTTAGTTTTTTATACTTAAACCCATACTATTTTAAGTAAAACATTTTTATTGTGTCTTTACAAATTTCAGTTGGTTAACATTGAATAAAATAGCAATGAAAAATTGGAATAAAAAGTTTAAAAGGAAAGTTTAGCTTCTGGATACTTTGAAGGAAAAATATGGTCTTTTCACATTGATAATATAAAAACAAATTAATGGCCAGTAAACATATTTAATGTCAAATTATATACAAAAGGAAGTTTTTCTGTTAATTTGTTTTAACAATTTCTAACAAAAGTTGGTATATTAGCCATTCAAAAAAGTTCATGTTTTCTAATGGCTTTATATACTGCAACAGGATAACAATTAAACAATCTTTGGCAATAAGGTTGTAAAAATGCATCATTATTTATAAACAATAATCATTTTTAATAATTTTATTTTCTCATCCTGAATTTCCAAAAATAAAATAAATATTTCTTAAAATCCACAAAACTAGTTTTCCCACCTTTAATTTATCCAATTTTTTTCTTTTAAATTTGAAAATGATGATAAAACTCTATCATGTCTATTGATATGACAGTACATTAGGATCAAATGTTTTTAACGCAATATGTCTACATTTATTTATTTATTTATTTATTTATTTTCTGTCCAAGGTGGAACCTTGACCCTTTGGGGTTCTTTGCGGGTTCTGTATGAACCTTCAGTGAACTGGAACATGTGAGATAATAGGTTGTTTATGTACTATAAATCTACTTACAGTGAGCTGGAAATGCAGTAGGTAATAGGTTGTTTATGATTTGCAAATCTGTTCAGTGAGCTGAAAATTTGTCAGATAATGGGCTGTTTATGAATTCTAAATCAATATTCAGTGAGCTGGAACAATGTTAGATAATGGGCTATGTATGAGTTGTAAATCTGTTTTCAGTGAACTGGAAACATGTTAGATGATGGGTTGTTTCTGAGTTGTAAATCTGTTTCAGTGAGCTGAAAACATGTTAGGCAATGGGTTGTCCCTAAACTGTAAATCTGTTTTTTTTTTTTTTTTTTTTTTTTTTTTTAGTGAACTGAAAATCTATTTAATAAAAGACTCTTTACATGTTATAAATCTGTTTTCAATGAGCATGAAATGTGCCACAATAATAGGTTCATGTTGACTAAGAAGATCCCACTTTACTGAACTAGAAACATGTCATCTAATAGATACTTTATGAGTAGTAGATCTATTTTTCAGCAATTTAGACATATGGAATGATACTACCCTGTGTACATAAGCGTTGTAACTTTAATCTATTTTCAGCATGGTTTTATTTGATGAATAAAGGTTCTACTCGATTACAGCTAATGGAGTGGAAAGCTACTAAAGGTTTGCTTTTAGTGATGTGGTGCCAGACCAACTTTGCAGTGTACTGAGTTTTGTTAATGTTTAACAGTTACCAAGATGCCCCTGGTACTCAGGAAATGCTGTAAAAATATATTCTGGCTTCAGTGGACTTATATTCAAACACAGATATGTGCTACATAAGAAACAGGAAACATTCAACACAGTAAATATAGAATGAACCCCACCTACAAATTTAACATAGGCTGAGATACAAAGGAAGGTACAAAGGAAGAAACTTGAACTCTCACTGGGGAGACAACATGAGCAAATATAAAACGATACAATTTAATGTAAAAAATTTCCAAAATGCATGATCAAAGCCAAAAACAAAACCACAAAACTTTATATTAGGGTTACGAGACTAGTGAGAAAAACAGGATGAGAGATAAGAAATAAATTTTTAAGAGTCAAGAAAAATAGATTATTTGGGGAGTAACACATTGATTTTTAATCTCTTCTTTAACTTTCAGATATGCAACTGTTTATCAATAATTTCATATTTGTTAATAACTAATATTTTTGTTTTCAGGCAATATTAGGAGAAAAATGTATATTCTATCACCAGCCATTATTTAAATTAATGCTTACTTTTATCAATGTGATACATGCTTATAGTGTTTTTCAAAAAGTGTATATTATTAGAAATCCCTTACAACAACCTATCATTCACTAATGTCCCACTCCTTCCCCTCAAAAAAAAACTCCTGCTCTGCAAAAGTGTTTTTTTCAACTTTTAAAGTAACTTTTTCTGGGTTCGTCTTCATATTCATAAATAATGTGCCCATACCTCACTGGTCTTTATTAATTTTAGACAATGTTAAGTTAAATACCCATAGTTCTTTTTGCATACTTCCAGTATTTTTATATGTCAATTTTTATTGTTCATTGCAGAGACAAGTACTGTACTATGATTTTGTTTACTTTCTTGTATTTTTGTGATTCCTGTAATTAAAAACTATTTTTTCACTTGCTTTATTTTCTATGTACCTGTCTTTAATTCTTTATAAATGCTGTATAAGTTAAACACAAAATTATATTCCAGATGCTTATACATCATATAATCTATCAAAGCCATTTTTCTTCCAAAGAGCTCCTTTTCATATCTCCCAAACTCCCTCTCTGATCTGGACCAGGACTTTCCTGAGTCTCATGTGCAACTTTCATCTTGAAACAAAGTTTTGGTTGTTTATGTGCGTTATATGAGAGTCTCTTATATCCTGAAACTCACGTCTTTCTTTTCTTTGTTTTATGTCTTTCATTTACTAGATACACATTCTCCAACAGCTTTCAAAGAAAGGTACACCAGAGTTAAATATTTGGTAACTGTACATGTCTGAAAATGTCTGCATTGATTGATAATTTTACCTGCTGTCTTTCCAATTTGTTGCTATTTCCCATTAGGTTCTTCCTGTCTTTTTGTGTTTTTTTTTTTTTTAAACTCTCATTTTTATTGCATTTAGAAAAGACAAGCAGATAAATGTATGCTTTTGTCAAATGTTTTCTTAATATTATTAATAATCATGTTCTCTCTTCTTCTGCTTTTGTTAACTCCTAAGGTTTTTTCTATGAAACCCATTTGCCCTTCCCATTATCAGAGGCCAAAGTTAATTTAATCAACTCATAGACATACTTTTATGCCAAAGATATTAAATTATGTAGCAATCATTATTAAGAAAATGGTGAATAAATAGTAAGTTACCTACTCCAGTTTATATCTGAATGTTTCTCAGTTTAGCCATTAATTTGTACAGTCACTGGGTAAAGAGTGCTATTAAAAAACATGATAGGGATATAAAATGAAAAGCAGATAGGCCCAATTTTGTTATGGAGAAATTTCAACTAGAGTACTGGAGGTCTATAGAGAATGGAATTACATTACCAGGATTTTGAGACTATGGGTCCACAGAGAAAGTTAGTTTAAAAATTGGGCTGGGCATGATGGCTCATGCCTATAATCCCAGCACTTAGGGAGGCCAAGACAGGAGGATCACTTGTGTCCAGGAGTTCAAGACCAGCCTGGGCAAAATGATGAGACCCCATCTCTACAAATAATTAAAAAAAAAAAAAAAAACGCAGTGTGGTGGCACACACCTATAGTCCCAGCTACTGGGGTGGTTGAGATAGGAGAATCACTTGAGCCTGGGCAGTTGAGGCAGCAGTGAGCTGTGATTGCACCACTGCACTCCAGCCTGGGCAACAGAGCAAGATCCAGTCTCAAAACAACAACAAAATTGTCCACTGGATTAAATCCCATGAGTGAGCAATGTAGACAGTTCTGGACTAATTGTCCTCTGGTAATTACTCAATACTTATTAAAGTTTTAGGTTTGAAATCAGTTTGTTGTCTTTATTTCAAAATCATGTCATATGACATATGATACACACTAAGTATATCTCTGTTCTATGTTGTGATACACACAAAAAAGTTTAAGATTCTAAGTTGTATAGCATTAAAATATGAGAAATAAGCACTAAACAATTTATCTAATTGAAACACTTGACATAAGTCATCTGAATAATTACCTGAATTCTCTCTTTTATCATTTAAACTCAAATATCGTGTTAAAAACTTGGAAGTAACTCTAACGAACAAGAATAAAGTAGCCATATGGAAATATTTAGATTAGTATAACTTAGAGTAGAAAAAAACTAGAAGAAAGGTAATTTGTAATCAATAAGGGAAGTAATAAAACATGATATATCCATTATATATTACTACATATATATATCCGCTATATATATACTATTAAAAGGAAAAATTCCAGTTCACTTGACTACATTTGTATGAGGTATTTCTTGAGTGAGAAAATTAGAGATTGTAAAATGGAGGACAAAATAATCCACAGTTTTTATTTGCATAAGTATTACACATAGGTGTCTATACATGCTATAATTACAAATATTAAGGAAAAATTATTTAAGAATACATAGCTGGTATTAACACAGTCTTCCTTTGGATGGAAGAGGGTAATAATACAAGGGAACTTAAAATGATAGAAAAAGAAGTGAAGCAATTAAATTACACAAACACCAAACTGAATTAGATAAAGATGAAAAAATTTTAAATGTAGAGAACAAGGAACTAATTTGAGGTATGGTGAAAGGCCTGGAATTTACTAGTTTCCTGTTGATATTATTGAAAATATAATTTCAGTGGTAAAAGAAGGCCATTTTCATTGGAATGGATATAATTCCTTGCACAAATAGAAAGAATTAAATAAGAATGACTCTGAAAACTGCACAATATTCCCTATGGCAAACCATTTTTATCTTGGCAGTGAGTATCTGTTTTCAAGTAAAATTCATGAAACATTGCCTTAGGTCTAAAATACAAAGTCTCAGAGGAAACATCATTCCTTCTGACAGAAATTTAAAATTTTTTACACATATAAAGAGGAAATTGCCAATGGTAATCATTTTAGTGAGGCGCCTGCAAATGCTTTAGATTGCAAAAGTATTGATAACAGAAAAGTTGTAGGGTAGCAAATATTAATAACAATCTATTAGAGTAAATGTGTATAATTTCCAAATGGGTAAAGGGCTACAGTTAAGAAAGTGCACTAACTTTATAAAAATGCTTTTAAGTAAAACAACATGTAGCCTTCAGAACATGATTGAACAGCACACAAGAATTTCAGCTCAATGATATGTTAAATTGCATGCTATATATAAAAATACCTGTAACTTATCAACCAACAGAGAATTTGTGTTTTTGGTATTTGACATTCTGAAATTCATTAAAATGTCCCCCAAAATTCCTACTAAGATACTAAAAATATAAAATTTGAGATAAATTACAGACTATTACAAACACACCATGTTGGAAATACACTGGTCATCATCATCATCGAGTATTCACCATAGTGGCATACAGAAAAACTACAATAGTCCAGTGAATCATGCCAAGATCCACACATATCTGATATAAACAGAAGTTTACTGTAGCCAGCTTCATCAATTATCTTAGCTAGACCTTCTGGAAAACTTACTGCAGCTTCTACATCAGTACTTGCTGCTTCACCTTACACTTTTATTGTATGGAGACGGCTTCTGTTCTTAAACCTCATGAACCAATCTCTGCTAGCTCAAACTTAACTTTTGCAGCTTCCTCACTTCTCTCGGACTTCATAGAATTAAAGAGAGTTAGGGCCTTTCCTGGATTAGGTTTTAGTTTATGGGAATGTCGTGGCTGGTTTGACCTTCTCTCCCGACCACTAAAACTTTCTCCATATCAGCAAGAAGGGTACTGTATTTTCTTATCATTCGTGTGTTCACTGAAGGAGCACTTTCAATTGTCTTCAAGAACCTTCTTTTGAATTTGCGACTTGGCTAACTGGCACAAGGAGCCTGAAATCTGGCTTTTATTGCGTTTCAACATGCTTTCCTCACTAAGTTTAATCATTTCTAGCTTTTGATTTCAGATTAGGGACATGTGACTCTTTTCTCTTCTTTTTTTACTTGAACACTTGAGACTGCTGTAGGTTATTAACTGGACTAATTTCAATATTGTTGTGCCTCAGGGAATAAAGAGGCCTGAAGACAGGGAAAGACACAGGGAAGGACCGGCTGGTGGACCAATAAGAACACACACTGTATTTCTGACTGCTCATTTTGACGGCAAGTAATTAAGTTCACTCTCTTGAGTGCAGTTTGTGGTGCCTCAAAATGGTTACAATAGTAAGATCAAAAATCACTGATTGCAAATTACCATAACAGATATAATAATAAGGAAAAGACTGAAATATTGCAAGAATTACCAAAATGTAACAAAGGTACATAAAGTGAGCACATGTTATTGGAAAAATAGTGCCAACAGACTTGCTCAATGCAAGATTGCCATGACCTTCGACATGCAAAAAGCACAACATCTGCACAGAGTAATAACGCAAAATGCAATAAAATGAGATCTCCCTTCTATCTATCTTGAAGAAAAGAGTCATAAATTGAAGACATATTGTCATTTAGGAATTTCTCTGTTCAACTATTCTTTCCAAATACACCCTCCAAAAAAGATAAAGAAAAAAATTAAAATAATGAAGGAAAGAAATCAATGGAAAATAATTTATTTTTTAAAATAGGAAAGCATCTTTTATAAAGTTTAATATCATTCTGATGGTACTTAAAAATGCAAAACACTAAAACCAGTGCTCTAATTTTAGACTCTTATCAAAATAAAAAATATTTCATCATAATATAAACAGGAACTTTTGAGAAATAGACTAATGAATCCATAGTTTGTCCAATAACATACTATTTTTGTTCATCTCTATGCTTAATTTAGAAATATATTATAAAATAATTATATCCAACGTTCTTAAGTGCTTTGTGACATCTTTCCCTGATAATCCAATGTCATATTACTGTGTAGTGGCTTTAAACAAACAGAAAAACATTATAAAAAAAATTCTGATATCTGGAATGCCCTTTCTTTAAAAAGATTAATCTCTCTGAAACAATAAAATGCAACAATATATTGTTTCATTTCACTATAATTGCCACAGAGAAAAGGCAAACTTTAAAAATAATCACTTTTAGATTTAAACAACCAAATTAAGGCTATTTGATAGGAATTAATAATTTGTATCTTACCTTTAGAGATTAAAGCACTTTAGAATCAAGACCTGATTAATCATTTCTACTACTATTGTACTAATGAGAATAGCAAGAAAGTTTGTTTATATGTATTACTCCAAGGAAGGTCATGCTATGACATAATTGCACAATGTCAAAATGCAAATGTTTCATTTGGACATTACTTTTATTCATAGAAATTTGGACGAAGTTGTCAAATATTTTTTTCTCCTTTGACACCTAAAATAGCATAAAAATGTGGTAACTGAAAAGTTCACTCATATTTAATCATTTCAGGAGGAACTCTATTTCAAAGAAAAATAGTTTTAGAGTTCACATTGCAAAGCAGATTTGAATTTATACCTGGTCCAGTATTTTTCTACAACATAGACTCTATGAAAATAAGTAAACAACCATAATATTTGTAACTTCACAACACTGTTATCCCACCAAGTCATTCTTCTGATAAATAATTAAATATGTTCCTAAATTTAAGTCTTAATTATTTTCCCTTTTTTCCATAGCCTATTTCAGTGGCCACTTGGGCCCATTTTCTTCAGCACATTAGAAATGTGTTCATTATTGCAGAGCTTTTGGGGAACTAAATGAAAACATATTTCAATTTCAAAGCCACATATGGCCAAACCTGAGAAAACAACTTTACATGTAGGTTGAATTTACATGATGGCATATTCCCTGAGAAGCAAGAAAACTGTGTATGTCATGTGGCCAACAGGATCCTAAAACGCATGCTAGATTTTCATAAAGAGTTGTTGTTCTTATGTAACTTATCTAAGAATAATTTTTAAAAAATTCTGGATAATCTACCAGAAAACATGACTATCATCCTTACTGCTAATCTGAATTTTAAACAGATATTTTTTTCCTTAAGTCTTAGAGATTCCCACTTTATATACTCATTCTCAACCTTATTCATTCCAAAATACCACTTCAGTGGAGTAAAAAAAAAAAAATTTTTTTTTTTTTTCCTGAGACGGAGTCTCACTCTGTTGCCCAAGCTAGAGTGCAGTGGCATGATCTCAGCTCACTGCAACCTCTGCCCTCCAAGTTCAAGCGATTCTCCTGCCTCAGCCTCCCGAGTAGTTGGGACTACAGGTGCCTGCCACTGTGCCCGGCTAATTTTTTGTATTTTTAGTAGAGGCGGGGCTTCACCATCTTGGCCAGGCTGGTCTTGAATTCCTGACCTCGTTATCTATCTGACTTAGATTCCCAAAGTGCTGGGATTATAGGCAAAATTTTTTAATATGATCCATTTATTATACACACACACACACACACACACACACACACCACACAAATAAATTGCCTCCCAAAATGTTGGGGGAGGGCATTAGGAGTCTCGGCTTTTGATGAGATGATTGTGAAGAAAATTTTAATAACCAGTACTGAAACTCCTCTGTCTTATGTAGTTCACTTATAAGCCAAAGAGTAAGCGATCCATACAAACATACAAGTGAGAATGTCACTTGGCCCAGGATTAATGTTTCATTATGATCTTTGTTATTACTTGAATAAAAAGATGAAAAGGAAGATATTTGTATGCCAATCTCATGCTCAGAAATTGTAAAATTCAGTTAAGCATTCTGATGTAATCAAGAAACTAACATTTCCAAGGATTACTTTTAAAAAACAACTCATAGTACATTTTATTTCAAAATCTTGGCTTTAAAATGAGGACTACTTGAAAAAATTTTCCTAAAAAGTTGAATGTATTTGTCCATCTACAAGTTACCTGATAAGTATCTTGAAAAGAAAGTTGGTTTTGAGATGCATACGGGAAAACACCAGAAAGAAACTTCCTGTTCTGCCATCAGAGAATTATACTGTGTGAGGAATGAAGTCTCAAATAAAGCTAGCACACATTCTCCCTAAAGTACCAAACTTCCAACTCTTTTCCCTTGCATTAAGGCATAACATTTTTTTAAAAGTGCCTTGCTCAAATGCACAGGACAGAACATACTTATTATCATATTCTCAGCAGAAATTTGGCTTCTGAAGTAACTATTGTGTTTAAAATAAGGAGCTAGGAAAAAGTTTTCAGAAAGTTAGGCGCATTGGCATGCTGTGACCCTACGTAACATCTGCTTGCTGCTTGATGAGAGAAAGAACAATGTTGTTGTCCTCACTGTTACCTCCATGCCTGGGACAGAGCAGAAAAGAAATAAATATTGAATAAATGCATGAAAAATGCAGCGCAGAGAATCCACTTAGTTACCAACTAGAAAAGGTCCATATATTCAGGTTTTTAGCTATGATAACCTTTGCCTTGATACCACCCGGAGACATCAGGCAATAGAGTTGAACCATTTAAGTTTCATTTACCCTGATATAAAACAAATGTTTACCTAAAGAGCAGTTGATACATGAGTGCACACCTAGGTTTGCTAAGGCTCCAAGCTAGAATGACTGCTAATAATGTTTACTCTCTTCCTATACACCTTGGATAGTATTGTTGGATTTATTTTTAAAATTCTGTTGCTCCTTCAAATAATTTTTCTGCTCTACAGACCACAGTATCTTTGGTCAACTGGAAACATTTGAACACTCCATGACCTTTGTTTGAATATCTTTCAAAATCCATGTGTTCCTTTTTCCCTCCAGTACATAACACTTTTCCTAGTTACACAGATATTTTTATTCTTTTTAGCACATACAATTCAGCTCTAATCTTTTCTCTTTGTCTGAGTCTCAGAGTTGAAAAGTGATTTCTCCATTCTCTCAGAATATACGCTTTTTTGCTCTGTAAGACATTAATTACATTCTGCCTTATTTTACAGTTATTTACGAACTTGGCTAATTCTCTTCTACTTTATAATAGCAAAAGTTCCTGAAGTCACAAATCATACTGTGTTCTTTTGGGGGTCTCCTTTATGAGGAAGTAGTGTTTCATAACCAGTAGAAACTCAAAAGGTATTTAATGACCTAAACAATACACATGAAAACTGAAAATTGAAATCAGACTTCTTGTAGCTTAGAATGTTAGAATATTGGCCAGGAGCAGTGGCTCATGCCTGTAATCCCAGCACTTTGGGAGGCCGAGGCGGGTGGATCACGACGTCAGGAGATCGAGACCACCCTGGCTAACATGGTGAAACCCCGTCTCTACTAAAAATACAAAAATTAGCCGGGTGTGGCGGCGTGCACCTTAGTCCCAGCTGCTGGGGAGGCTGAGGCAGGAGAATGGCGTGAACCCGGGAGGCGGTGCTTACAGTGAGCTGAGATTGCGCCACTGTACTCCAGCCTGGGTGACAGAGCGAGACTCCGTCTCAAAAAAAAAAAAAAAAAAAAAAAAAAAAAAAAAAAAAAGAATATTTAGGGTCAAATATACATATATATTTATTATGTATTACTTCGGTCATTTTTTTTGAAATGGTATCTGAATTTAAGTAAAAAAATCATAATACATGTAACAATGGAGATTTACTGTAGGCATGTTTTTGTAATATGTTTCACATTGATTGTAATTAGACGATACTCAGCTTAGAGGGTCATAATTTTAAACAATTTTACAAGTGTAAACTGTTTGGTCTTCTGGACCTGCTATCGTTCATATAAATAGCCTCCTTCAAAATGTATTCCACAAATGAAAATAAACATAAATTTTATTTATATATTCATCCAAATTGGTTATAAACCTACATCAGAATTTCTGATATGTCTCTATATTTGCTGTAAAATATTTATCAAGCCACTAGATGTTTTAGAAATAAAGTTCAAGTAGTTTCTAAAAACTAGGGCAAATGGTGAATGCCACAAAGGGGTCTGTGAAACTGACCAGCACTTATACAAAGAAAAATAAAAAATATGAATTTTCCAGATAAGTTCTCTCACAAGAGAAAATGTAAAATACGGGACTAAAAATTGTATATTAAAGGTATTTATGTAAAACCAATGGGATAATGAAAGGATGAGAAATTAGAATGGAATGGAAGAATGTTGTGAAGAGTGTTGAATGACAGATGAAGAGATTTCTTTGGTTGAAGGTTTTAGGCACAGGGTTTCTAAGAGTCTGAAATAGGAATGTTATTTCACTGTATCGTTGAGAGAAGAGAACTGGGTATCAGGGTATCTGCATTCAAGTGCTTGCTTTGTCATTCATAAGCCACGGACATGGTAGTAGGAATTTAATTTCCCAAAATGTGTTTCTTTATTAGTAAATATTAATACCTGTTATCTGGCTCTTATAGGGATATAAAAAAAATAATGAGACAGTAAAGACAATATTTTTACAAACCAAAAAGTGTTATTATTTACACACAGTAGTATATCATGTTAATAATCCAACTTTATTCTTTATTGGGTCTACAGATCTACAAGTCACACAACCATATTAGGATGGGTTAATAGCAAGTGGAGGGAAGACCATTTAGGAAGATTTTGTAAAAGCTCTGGAAATAAGTAATGATAAACTAGAAGAGTTTTAAAAAGGGAAAGAAACAGAAGTATCCATGGAAGAGGAAATTAAATGGAAGGTGCAAAGGAAACTAATCACGTTCCAAGATTTAATTATCATTTTTCGATTAACATTCCATAACTAATCATGATGTCTTTACCATGTGCTAGATATGCTAGAAACAAAGGAGTATATAACTGTTACTTTTACTGACAGTTTTTTTTATACAGAAGAAATTGTTTTTTCCCAGTCTACCATGGGATTCCTTTTAATTCTTTATTATTGGTTGTAACATTATAATAAAATAAATTTAGGAACTGGAGTTTAAAGATTAAGGAATTTTTGTCCTAAAAATTGTTTAGATTGTTTCGAATCGTCCATGTCTTATACAATATTTCACTCACATAGTGATAATCGCACACATATTAATTCATATTACTATAGTTTTCATAAATAGTATTTAGCAATCACAAAATTAAAATATTTTGCCTGCATTGAATCTTGTAGAGACAGTACAATATCTTAACATAAATTATCCTTCGAAATAAAATACAGTATACTTAATGTTAAAATATTTTCTCTAAATTTGGGTCTGGACTCAAAACTTGAGAAGTAGCACAGATTTTGGCAAACTTCTCTAAGAATGTTTCCCAATGGGAATTAACAATACCACGTGACACTGGTAGATGTTTAAATGTAAGAATGCATAACATAGAAACAAGAAGACACTACGCATCCAATTTATGTTAATGTATCCAAAGGGACTTAAAATTAATGTTTGCATTTATATCCATTGCTTCCTGAAACTTAACTAAAATTTTACTGAAGTTACATTAAAATAATTTTTGTTTAAAGTCATGAGCCCAAAGCACAAAGAAAGTTGGAAAAGATATTGACAAAAAAAGGTAGAAAGAAAAGCGGTCAAGTAGTTAGTGATTTAATAGCCTCCGCAGTTCTAAATGGTAAGATAAAGGCGAGGAAAGTCCACTTCCCAAACCTAATAAATTTGCAAGTAATGGATACTTGTATAAATAGAGATAATGTAAATGCTAAAACTAGAAGGACTGGTGGAAGATCTATTTAGGAGGCAGTGAGGTCCCCAGATCCTCTTTATACTTTAGAAGGCTAGACCCTGCAGAGGATCCTGTATATAGAAGATTGGATATTTATTCCCTGAAGGGTAAAACATAGGTTCTCTGAACTGAGGAACCAATGTTATAGTTAATCTTTTAAAAAAATAAGTCATCGTATACAAAAAAATATAAGAGCAGTTCAGTACAAATCCAGGCAAAGAGAATCCCTAGAATAATGTTGAAGAAATATTCCAATATTACTTTTGTGCAGAATATGTGTCTTGATAAAATTACGACATATTAGGTTAAGGGGATCGAAAATGGCAGTAGGAAGTCAATAAATAATGCATGAGGTCAATACATAATGCCTAAGGCTGAAGATGCAGAAACTGAAAATGTAGCCACGTTATTTAAATACTAAAGTAAATACAGAAATCAGTAAAATGCTTTAAAGCAGGTGCCTATGATAAAGGGATATAGGGCAGGCCTACCATTTTAAATAAAAGTATGTTAGAATTGCAAACATTTTAAATATATCTAAATTGGTGGATTCATTTCTTATTGCAGTTATAACAAATTACCACTGCTTTGGTAGCTTAAAAGAACATACATTTATTATTTTACAATTATAAAGGTCAGAAGTCTACAATCTGTATCATTGAGCTAAAACTAAGGTATATACAAGCCCATATTTCTTTTGAGGGCTCATTTAGAAAAAAATATGTTTTCTTGGCCGGGCGCGGTGGCTCACGCCTGTAATCCCAGCACTTTGGGAGGCCAAGGCGGGCGGATCATGAGGTCAGGAGATTGAGACCATCCTGGCTAACACGGTGAAACCCCGTCTCTACTAAAAATACAAAAAAATTAGCCGGGCATGATGGCGGGCGCCTGTAGTACCAGCTACTTGGGAGGCTGAGGCAGGAGAATGTCGTGAATCCGAGAGGCAGAGCTTGCAGTGAGCCAAGATAGCGCCATTGCAGTCTAACCTGGGCAACAGAGCGAGACTCCATCTCAAACAAACAAACAAACAAAAAACATCCGTTTTCTTGTCTTTTCCAGTTTCCAGGGAACATGCACATTCCTTGGCCTCTTTCTCCACCTTCAGGTGCATTACTCGCACATCTGTTTTCATCCTTAACATTTTTTTCTCTCTATCTCTAATCTTTCTGCCTCTATCTTATAAGGACTCTGTGATTAAGTTGGGCCCATTCAAATCATCTAGGATATTTTTTCCATCTCAATATCCTTAACTTAATTACAGCAGGAAAGTCCCTTTTATCACGTGAGGTAACAAATTCACAGGTTTGTGATAGGACCTGGGTATCTTTTGGGAGCCATCATTTGAACTAATGCAGTTGTTCCTGGTTCTCAAAGATTTATGTCAGCTCAGTGTGCAAAGTAAGTATATTCCATACCAAGGTCCTCAAAAGTCTCAAATCATTAATAGCATCAACTCAAGTCCAAAATCTCTTCTAATCTCATAAAGTCAAAAGTCTGTAATTTCATCATCTAAATCAGCTATGTTTAAAATTCTGGGCATGGTCTATCCTGGTCCAAAATTCCTGTCCATCTGTGGACCTGTAAAACTAGAAAATAAGTTATCTGTTCCGAAAATACAATGTGGGACAAGTATAGGATGCTAGTTATAGACATTTCTGTTCAAAAATGGAGAAAATGGAAGGATAAAATGAGTCACCAGGCTGGGCTCAGTGGCTCACGCCTGTAATCCCAGCACTTTGGGAGGCCAAGGCGGCGGGTCACAAGGTCAGGAGTTGAGACCAGCCTGACCAACATGGTCAAACCTCCTCTCTACTAAAAATACTAAAATTAGCTGGGCGTGGTGGTGTGCACCTGTAATCCCAGCTACTCAGGAAGCTGAGGCAGGAGAATCGCTTGAACCCAGGAAGCAGAGGTTGCAGTGAGCAGAAATCGCACCATTGCACTCCAGCCTGGGTGACAGAATGAGACTCCATCTAAAAAAAAAAAAAAAAAAAAAAAAATTCACCAGTTCCAAGCAATTTTGAAATCCAGCAGAGTAAACTCCATTTATTGTTAAAGCCTGGGAAAAATTCTCTGTGGCTCAAATATCTGCCTTCTCTACCTTTCACTCTTCCCTCTGAATTATTCTTCCTTTTTGATGGGTTTGCAGATAAATAGTATTAACAACCCATTTCTTGCCTATAGAAATTTGGGAGTCTTACAGTCTTCTTTTATTTCCTCCTCTCTCTTTCTCTTACAGTCCAAACTGGCAATGTTTCTGCTGTTATAATATTCTCAAAAACGTTGTGTCTTCTTGTATGTCCTGGGAATTTGCACCATTAAACAAGAGGCCCCTACACAGGTATTTCCAAGATAATTCCATCCTTATTTTTTAGCTTCTGCAGAAATGGAAGAAAAGATCCACGAGTAACATGATCACTTCAAAGAGCTCTCTATGTGAATGAACACTTTTAGCTCTTCTTTCTTCTGAGGCACTAACAAAAAGTTGTCCAACCATTCACTTTCCTAACAGTGAATCTTCTAATTTTAGTGTCATTTGCAATCTGGACAGATTGAGAATTTCCCAAATAATCAAGCCCTGGTTATTTTTTGCTTAACAGTTCTTCCCTCAATCTATCATTTTACTTCTGCATTTTATTATAAGCAGAAAGAAGGAAACCAGAACACATCAACATCTTGCTTGGAAATATCCAAAGTTAAATACCAAAGTTCATTGCTTACAACTCCTGCTCTATGTATAATGGCAGAAATCAATTAAGGTATTACAAGTATTGCCTCTATAAAGTACATTTGATTACATTATATTATTTCAAATTTAATTATATTTATTTCATAGCATTCTTAATGTGCTTAATCTCTTTTTTCTAGTTTTCAATAACATATTCATTTCTCTTTGAGCCCTCATCAATATTCTTCATGTCCACATTTCTAATGACAGCTTATTTATAATGATTTAAGTATTCTCTGAGTTAATACAGTTTTTTCCACCATGCTCTTTACTTCTGAGTCCCCATGAGAATAATTTTAACATCTATATCTATGAACAGTCTATTCAAGGCAATCCAGGCTTTTTCTATTATTGTCCTAAAAGTTCTTCCAACCTCTACCCAGTACCCAATTTAAAAGCCATTTACAGATTTTTAGGTATCTGTGCAAACAAAAAATAAGATTCTAAGCCGTGAACCAAATGAATGGACCCCCTTCTCAGTCAAGGGGATTCCAAAGAAACTTGAAAAACTAGTTCGGGCCGTGACAGAAAGTGAGGGTCCATACATACCTCACTATACCCTCTCCCTTTTGGACTTTAGACACAACTGACCAGCATTAACATTAAAACAGAGATCCTAAGACTGACAGAACAGACTCTTTGTAGCAATAACATACCAACTCCAACCCGCAACATATTTTACCCCGAAATATATCTCTTTTCTTTTTTCTTTTTTTTTTTTTTCTTTTTTTGCGACAGAGTCTTGCTTTGTCGCCCAGGCTGGAGTGCAATGGGGCAACTCTGGCTCACTGCAACCTCTGCCTCCTGGGTTCAAGCGATTCTCCTGCCTCAGCCCCCTGAGAAGCTGGGATTACAGGCGCCCACCACCACGCCTGGCTAATTTTTTGTATTTTTAGTAGAGACGGGGTTTAACCATGTTGGTCAGGCTGGTCTCAAACTCCTGCCCTCAGGTGATCCACCTGCCTCGGCCTCCCAAAATGCTGAGATTACAGGCATGAACCACTGCCTGAAATATATTTCTTTGACATATTTTGGAATGGTCCTGTAAACCTCTAATAACATAACCAGCTCTTTCTCCATTCAGGCCCTCCTAATCTCAAAGACATTTACTGAGAGTCAAACACCTTTTAAAGGTCTGAATAGGACATATTTGCTATCTATTATCTCTAAGGGTGGCCATCTATGAGACTCCATCTACATAATAAGAACCCTGGTCTCCACAACCCCTTTTCTTAACCCAGACACTCCTTTCTACTGAATCCAGATCTTTAGATAACAATTGAACTCTTTCAACAAATTGCCAATCAGAAATTCTTTGAATCCACCTATGACCTAGGACTCCCCTGTTTGAGTTGTCTTGCCTTTCCCAACTGAAGCAATGTATGTCTCACATGTGTTGATTGATGTCTTATGTCTCCCTAAAATGTATAAAACCACGCTGTAACCCAAACACCTTGGGCACGTGTTCTCAGGACCTCCTGAGACTGTGCCTCTGACCATGGTCACTCATGTTTGGCTCAGGATAAACCTCTTTAATAGAGGTTAAATATTTTGAATAGTTTGACTCTTTTCGTAGACATTTGTTATAGCAGCACTTCAATTCCAGGATACAAAATTCCTATTTGTTTCTTGATGCTGTTGTAACAAATTACTTAGTGGTTTTATATAACACAAATCATCTCACAGTTCAAGAGGTTCAGTCTTACAATCAAGATGTCAGCAGAGCTGCTTCCTTCTAGAGACTCTGGGAGAGGATCTGCTGTTTGTATCTTACAGCTTCTAGAGGCTGATGGTATTATTTGGCTTGTGGCCACTTCATTCTAATCTCTGCTTTTATCATCATATCACCTTTTCTCACTGCCTTTTGACTCATGTGTCTCCTTGTTATAGGAAACTTGTAATATCATTGAGCCCATCCAGATTATCTAATCCAGGACAATTTCCCTTATTTAAAATCATCTGACTGTGACTTGATCATATCTACAAATACCTTTGCAACACTGTTTACGTTAGTGTTTTATTGAAGAACTGACTAAAGCCTAGTTAAGTTGACATATAAAACTGACCAGCACACTTAGACAGAGTTAACAGTAGGGTGCTAATAAATAAAGTTGCACCCATTTGCCAAACATGCATTTTAAGTTAATTTATGCCAAAAAGAATAAGTGAATAATTCAACTAAAATGTGACTAAAAATTAAAAATAAGCATTGCCTCTATAAAATACATTTGATTAAGTTATAACATTTCAAATTGAATTATATTTATTTCATACTGTTCTTAATGTGCTGAAAGTTACCAAATAGTCTTTAATTAACACTTATTTTAATAAAATATTTTAGTCTGGGCAACACAGTGAGATTTTGCCTCTACAAAAGTTAAAAAAACAAAAAAAATAGCTGATTGTGGTGGTGCTCCTGTAGTTCCAGCTACTCAGGAAGCTGAGGAGAAAGAATTGCTTTAGCCCAGGAGTTTGAGGTTGCAGTGCACTATGATTGCACCTCTGCACTCCAGCCTGGGCAACAGAGCAAGACCCTGTGTCTATAAAATAATATAGACAGAGAGATAAATAGATGTATGTGTGTGTGCATACACATATATATGTACATATATTGTAATTGCCTTAAAATGTTACTTAAAATTAGGTAAACATGAGGCCGTATTCTGCTCTCATTATCAATTGCTACCTCAATGTTTCAGTGTCTCTGATACAAGTTAGCATTATTGATGCAAGAAAAAAAATACAGAGAAGCTGATCTTTTTATGTCAAGCTGTGAAAAATGTCATAAGGAAATTTAGAATTACTACAATAAATTTAAAAGGCTTTTGATAAGAAAACTGTATTAAATGTAAAACTAAGTACTTATTTTCACATAAACAATAGCCAGTGTTACTGGAACATTCCTGGGGAGGAGTTATTCCAGAGTTCACAAGTATAAAAAATTTTCTTGACCTAGCTAATTTATGTCAGATAAAAGCGCAAGAGTACAATTTGCTTCCTACAGCACGTAATTATATAATAAATATGCTCTGGGTAAAATAAATAAGATAACAGTGCATATTTCTCTTATTAATACAGGAAAAATACCTTCAATCCATAGGTTTCAAAACCACATGATTTAAAAATAAGAGATATTTCTTGGATAATCCCGCTGTTAAAATTTGACTGTTGATTCATAAATTTAAAGCCAATGCTTTAGAATACTTTTTTTTAAAATCACCCCATTAATTATTGTTTATTTCCTTCCAACAGATTATCCCATAAGACTGCAAGGCATGCAATCATAAAGGTAAGCAGTTTGATAACTTCTCTTCACAAAATAAGTTTGCTGCTTTCATTACAAGTTTGACTTTTTAAATTTAAATAGACACTGTCATTTCAGATTAAGAACAGGAGGAGAAATTGAGACTTATGTATATGAGATTTGGATTCTTGAAAATAATTTTAGCTAATACTATTTAAAAAGTATAGATAGATTTCTGTTTAACTTACGGTTCCAGATATCCATCAATAAATGACTTACTCCCTTGTATTATAGGACATTTCTTTTTGCTTGTAAAGATTTTAAGATGTGAAAGTTCACAGGAAAAAAATAAATCAAATTATGTACAAATATTTATTGTGTACCTATTATATACCAAATACTATCATAAACAATAGAGATACAGCAAACAACATTCTAACTCTCTAGTTTTTCAAAACATGTTTTTCATATCAAAATATCAATGTGCCAAAAACAAATGAACAATCATTGCAATTTATTTTTGATAAATAGAAAACAGTCATACAATACTGCCACTTCTTAGGGAAGAAAAGCAGTGTTGTCAATAGAGATTAGCAATGGCATTTATACAAGAGTAGTCTGAGAATCAGGAGGAGAACCAGGATGAAACTGTGTCAGAGGATTGCAAGGAGAAATAAATTTTCAGATGTAGAGAGTAGTCAACAATTTCAACAGAAATGAGTTCATTGTCTTTGTCAACCACAGAGTCATCTGAGTCTGTTATCAGAGCAATGAGGGAACTTGTGAAAGATGGCAATGATTTAAAGAGTGAAAAGAGTCAGTGGGTATAGATTACTTGTTCAACCTTGGTGGCAATAGGAAAGGTGGAGAGGACAATGGGATCCACGAAAGAGAGCAATTTGTTTATAGTTTTATTTTTTAGTATAGAGGAGAAATGAGAATTTTTGTAGCTTTAGGAGGAGGCTTACTGAACAGAGAGAGAGAAAAAAAACCATACACAATGGTTTCAACAGCATAGGAATAAGGTTTAGATTTGAAAGGACCGTTTCTCAATGACTGAAAAATGGAAGTAGATGAAAATGGGTATACACAAAGGTAATAGCCAACATTAGGCCAGTGACAGTAGCTCACACCTGTAATCCCAGCACTTTGGGAGGCCAATGTGGGTGGAACACCTGAGGTCAGTGGTTCGAGATCAGCCTGGTCAACATGGTGAAACCCCGTCTCTACTAAAAATACAAAAAAAACTAGCCAGGCTTGGTGGCAGGCACCTGTAATCCCAGCTACTCGGGAGGCTGAGGCGGGAGAATCGCCAGAACCCAGGAGGTGGAGGTTGCAGTGAGCCGAGATCGTGCTATTGCACTCCAGTCTGGGCAACTAGAGCAAAACTATGTCTCAAAAAAAAAAAAAAAAAAGCCAACATTAATTGAATACACATACACACATGAAGGAGAATGAGTGGCATTGTTCTATGCACTTGCTATGTTGTGATGGGTAACATTAATCCTACTTTACAGATGAGGAAACTAGGACATGCAGTGCTTAATAATTTGCAGAGGTTGCACAAATAGTAAAAAGCAGAGCCACAATTTGAACCCAGGGAATCTTATTTTAGAGTCTAGATTCTTAATCATGATACTCCAATGAACCCAATTAATTCTGCAAGTGGAAGTGAGGCAATTTACTGAATACCTCTATTTTTTGCCTATAAGAAACAAAAAAGACATTCATGAAGAATGATGTGGACAGGTATGAAAGGCGTTTTAAGATGATGGTGAAGGAAATTACGGGATTATATATGTAAATCTGTGTGTTTGTGTGCTTTTTCTCTCATAAAATATCTTTCCTTTGGAATAAGAAGCTAATAAAATGTAAGAGTAATTTTAGGAGATATTTGTTAGAAAGATTCATGTTCTTAAATTCCATGTTTAGGTTGTAGTTTTCATTTCTTATCTGTGAGACTTTCAAAATCAGTATAGATTTTAATGCTTTTAAAACCTCAGAACATATTAGCATTAAAGACTGGACAAGGCATTTTTTCCCCTTTAAGTAAGCAAATGGATGTATTCTACATATAACTTAATACCAATTCAACCTACATATTTTCCTCTAAAAATAATTCACTGGTTTCAGCCTTTGAATATTGCATTAGTTTGTTAGGGCAGCCATAACAAAATACCAGCGATGGGGTTGCTTACGCAACAAAAATGTACTTCCTCACAGTTCTGAAGGCTGCAAATCTAAAACCAAGGTGTTGGCAAGTGTGATTTCTTCTGAGGCTTCAATCTCCCTTTTTTTTTTTTTTTTGGTTGGGGGGGAATGGAGTCTCTCTCTGTCGCCCGGGCTGGAGTGCAATGGCATAGTCTTGGCTCACTGCAACCTCCGCCTCCCATGTTCAAGCGATTCACCTGCCTCAGCCTCCTGAGTAGCTGGGATTACAGGCACCTGCCATCATGCCCTGCTAATTTTCATGTTTTTGTAGAGACAGGGTTTCACCATGGTGGCCAGGCTGGTCTTGAACTCCTGACCTCTGTTGATCCACCTGCCTCTGCCTCCCAAAGTGCTGGGACTACAGGCATGAGCCACCACGCCCGGCCAGGCCTCTCTCTTTTTCTTGCAGAGGGCTGCCTTCTTGTGCCCTCACAGAGTTCTCCCTGGGTCTGTGTTGCCTGTGTCCTAATTTGCTGCTATTAGAAGGATACTAGTCATATTAGATTAGAGTCCACCCATTATGACCTCATTTTACCTTAATTACCTTGCTAAAGGCCCTATTTCCACATACACTCATGTGCGGAGGTACTGAGAACTAGAACTTCAATATATCAATTTAGAGGACTATAATTCAGCTCATAACAATTTTTTTAAAAAGCCCTTAAGTTTCTGTTCATCTGTCTGGTCAACGCCAAAGTGGAATTATTTCTAGAGCAGGTTTTATACTTTCCTCTTCTTAACATCTTTATCATTCTGAAATTTCAATGAACTAATGTACATTAATGAACTAATGATGTACATTTAAATACTAATATTCATTGTTTTTTACCAGTACGTAGCGAATGAAGTTAAAACATAATGAGTACATTTAGTGTTTTGGGAATCAAGGAAGAACAAATTAAATCAACCCCTCCGTACTGTAACTTGGTCAGAATGTGGTGGCTCGGGTTTCCGTTAGGAGCCAGAGCAGTCAGTTTCAACGACCCCTTTATTATGAATTTGGTAAATACGTAAGTTAAACATTGAAGAACTGGAGAAACTGGTGCCTGAGCATAAGGGCTAGAATGTGGAATCAAACCCACCAAGATCCCACCTGGGTTTTCTCAGACCCTAAAGCAAGCTTCTCCAACACACAGCCTGTGGGCCACATGCAGCCCAGGATGGCTCTGAATACGACCCAACACAAATTGGTAAACTTTTTATGAGGTTTGTTTATTTATTTATTTACTTTTTATTTAATTTACTTATTTATTTATTTAATTTACTTATTTATTTATTTATTTTTTGATCATCAGCTATCGTTAGTGTTAGTAAATTTTAAGTGTGGCCTAAGACAGTTCTTCCAATGTGGCCCAGGGAACCCAAAAGATTGGACACCCTACGTCTGATCCAATAATAAAATCATTCTTACACATACACCTCGTTCCAGGGCCCACTTAAGAGTAAGAAACTTTCCAAGGCCCTAGAGAAAGCTTTCCAGACCCCAGACCCTAAAGATTAGACAGAGATTAAATGAAACACTCCTGCTGGTTCCTGCTGAAACAGCTCCATGCACTCCCACACGTAGGCATGGAGCTTTAAATGTATACGTGCACCGGAGAAAAACTTGTGACTTTGAGTTGGTCTTAAGTTGGCCCAACCTTCTTGCGGGTTGCAGAAATAAGCTCCCTTTTTTCCCAGTTGGTCTGCATCTCGTTATTGGACTTTGAGAAAAAGCGGCTGGGTGGGCCACATTAGTATGGGAACAAAAAGAGCAATAAACTCTCTCCAGTGGCTACTTCAGACTGAATTAAGATTTATTTTACCTTTACAATGAAATAACTGCTGACTGCCCCTTGGACCTGTTTATCTGGCAGGCACTGTGGTAAGCATAGCATTGTCATTCTTTTCATTAATCCTCATTAATTGATGCTATTTTCCACCTAATTTTAGTAGAGCTTAAGAACATTGCATCATCATGAGTGATGCACTTGGATTCAAATCTAAGTCTCACTATTCCCAAAGCCCATATTTTAACCTTAACAGGCTTACCACATATCTCTAGGTGTCAATGAACATTACGTTTGTGAGGAGTGAGCTAATGTGACCCAGGTCTCATCACAAAATGAGTAAGACGAACCTCTAAAAACCTAATTTTGTGATGCCATAGGCAAGAAAAAGTGTGAATATTATTTGTATATCTTTAAATATGATTTACACTTTCTAACAGAAAATACTAACAGTCCCACAATCATGCAAATTATGCTATTGATTTTGTGGGACTTAAAAGGCAGTGCTGTGTGAAATGGTTTGCTGCATTAAATATATTTGTAAAGCTAAGCAATGTGGGGTATAAGTCACAGGAAAATGAAACTCCCTAAAAGTAGCTCTGTCAGCATTATTGAACAAAGTTGTTAACACATTCATGATGGGTACCAAAGGAAAATTTAATATGGCTTACAGCAGATGTTTTCCATGTGACTATGTTTTGCTAGTATTATATATAAATTGCATTATTTCAGACTTTCCAAATGAAGAGTGCCGAAGAAACACTGAATCACATATTCCCATAACACTTAGCATATATTAAATACACAGTAAATATTTGCAGAACAAATGAAATAAAGAGAAAAGAAGGAATAAATAAATGAGCATCATCTATTAATTCATTCACAGCTAAAGTCAAAAGAGTAATAATTTATATTAAGAAATAATACTTTCATATCAGTGAAATGAAACACTCCATTATTGTCAATAAAAAATAAATAAATCTCATTTCTATGTATTTCTAAACCTGATGCAGAGTACTTCTGTTAAAGAGATGAGTGCAAGGAATACTATTACTTATAAAATGATAGCGCTTTTAATATTTGTCTTAAATGAGACTAAGCTGACACTGTTCTTGGTAGATACTAAATGAATATTTGGCAAATTGAATTAAATAAGAATAAAAATGATAATTTAACGAAAAAAAGACTATAGGGAGGTAATAATTTCAGATTTCAATGGTATTTTGTGCAAAAATATTATACTACTTGGCAACTAATTGGGATTCTTTCTCCTCTATCATAGATATTAAAAACACTAAGTTTAAGCAAAGCTCATCTTTTGTTGGGATGATTCAAATCACGTTTCTATCTTTACTACCAAATAAATTATTTTTTCATGGAACTCAACACTAAAGAAAAAAAGGAGTACTTCCTGTGCACTCACCAAGTAAAGTAAACAGTCATATAGATGAGATTCATGTGCTATGCCTAAGAAATTTCATGAATGGGAGAAACAAGAAAGGCATGTGTGGATGTAACTATATGCCACATTCTGAAGTCTCTTCTATTTTAAGAACATATTTGTCATCAGATGATTTTTATGTAAGATGCATGTTTGTTGTCTTAATATTATTTTCAGAAAATATTAATAACCTTAAAATATTAACAACTGTAAAACAGTTACGTGTTTCATCCTTATGGTTATTTGTCAGAGCTCATTATAATGCGACAGAATGGGCATTTAGGACCATCTACTCTGTGAGGCTTCTTTCATCATCCCTGCTGGAGGAGACTTCACTTTACTATGTGTGCTGTATAATTCTGTCTATATTCGTACCACACTGGTATCACACTAACTTGTGGTTATTTCTGCTGCTAAGATTTTCTCTCCTACTTTGTACATTCCATGAGATCAAGAATCTCAACTTTCAGAGAGCATATGATTCCTTCCTTTGATGAATATGCATTGATTACTTATTAAGTCCCAGGAACTCTGTGGCCAGGGTCAGACTGTCCCAAAGGCATTTGGAACAATAGTCAACAGAGTGTCCTGGACACTTGCCTTGGGCTGGGCTGCAGGTATACTGATGAGCAAGGCACAGTTTCTGTGCTTATACAGCAGAGAAGCTATTAGGGAATAAAAAAATAAAAGAAAAATAACAATATTGTAATAAGGTTAGGTGCAAATCATTTGTGGGAACTGGAAGACACACTTTTCTCTAGCTTGAGAGTATTGCGTGTGTGTGTGTGTGTGTGTGTGCGTGCACCTTGTAGGTGAAAGAAAGAGCTAAACTGAACCTGAAGTATATAGCATGTGAACCAAGTGAAATATAAGCAAGGAAACAGTACACTCAATGTTTAACCTGAGACAAGAGACAGAATGGCCCAACCAATACACTGCAATTGTTTAGCAGAGTAGATACGTAATAAATCTGATTTAGAATGTTTACTTCAGATATACATTTCAGAAAATATGAGCCTGATTCTTCCTTATATCTGAATCTGAGTAGCTCATATATGCAAATTACACAGAAAGAAAACCCTTCATTAGAGTACGTGTAGAAAACAGTCCTTGCTTTACACTTCCTGCAGTTTAAATAAATAAATCTTTTGTCATTAATACCTATTCAGAATGGCAGACTACGCTGATGCAAAAGTAATTGCGGGCTTTGACATTACTTTCTTTTTCTTTCTCCTTTTTTTTAAACCTTAATTTACAAAGAACACACGCATTCCAAGGAGGATCCCATTAAGAACAGCAGACTGGGGAGAACAATAGGAGGGTTATTGAACACTGGTCTGTGTATCCCAGATGAGGGATCACTGGGAATGTTTTCTCAGATATGACTTTTCACCTTCAAAGGAAAAGAGATCTTGACCTGGAGGCCCAACCACCTACAAGGCAGAAAACTCCACACACAATCTTCAGCATCATCAAACTATCCTGTTTCAAAGACCATCTTGGAATAATGGGTTATCAGTTGAGGTGGATAGTGCCACCTGGGGTCATAGATCATGTCTCCTTTTGGGGCACAGCTGACCCAAGGTTTGAGATCTTGAGAAACGCTCCCCTGGATGTCGTCAGCATCATATGGATTTCCTTGATCTGCTTTCAACTCCAAGTCCCAGTCTTCATTAAAAAGATTGCCAGGCTGTTCCTTGGGTGGACAGTTTGTCCCTTCTCTCAGCTCCCAGGTATTCCATCCGAGTCCTCCGCATTTACAGCAAATCTTCAGAATGGGTGCCTTCACTCCGGGCTGGACTGTCATTAGAGACACTCTGTGCTCCCCGGGCTAGTCGATCCATAGCCTTCTCAGTCTCTCTCTCCTGACAGGAGTGGTCAGCTGTAGCAAAGCCAGCCTCCGGGCTAGGGGATGCCTTCCATGCGCTAGGCAGCAGCCGACCCCGAAACAGCTCCGCGGCCCCCTGCGCCTGGGCCCTGGCAGACTGAGGGGTCCATGCCGGGCTGCCCGCGGCTTGCCCCCCTGGATGTTGTGGGCTACGTGACGCGCCTTTACTTTCAATGGCAAAGCCCGCAGTTACTTTTGCACCAACCGAATACATACCAATATCAGTCTAAAATGTTGCTACTTTTCAAATTTTCTCCCTTTCATTCTGAATATATATTTTAATAATACCAATGAGGATAAATCAGAGAGTGAGAAAAAAATGACGGAATCTATAAAATAGGTTATAAGTAAATGTCTCATGCTACATGAGAGGTATTTAATCAATTACTGAATATGGCTTCTATGTACAAATGCATGGCTCATGCCATCTGGGTGAAAAATTACTTAAAAAATTATGTTTCTTTTTTACTAATTTTGAAATCAATGTTCATCTTCTCATTGAACTCTGTTCTCTAATGCTGGCAGAAAAAGATGGTTAATGTAGATGTCTTTCGAATGGTGACTAAATTAATCTAATTTGTCTGTATTATTTATCAGACTAATAGGTACAACCAAGAGGCATTTTCACAGACACTTGCTGTTCCAGGCCTAAGCAATCCTGTCACCCTAAGCATGCAGGACACCATCAAATAACCTGCCTTGCCAGTTCATCTTACAACGTCTAGCCCATCCGAATCCCAGTTTTGTGAATAAAACAAAAATAGAGAAGTTTTTGCCATTTTCAGATATTCATAGATTACAGATACATTTTGTTTTTAGCTATCATTCTACACATACTCATATACATTTCTATTATTCTGAAGGCTGAAAAGGGATGAGGCAAAAGAAACATTAAAATGTGCTTTATTACATGATATAGACATTCTTGTATTTCTAATGCATACTTATTTACCAACATCCCTTTTTATATTTTTAGTTTTTAGGCTCTGATTGTCTCTATAATGGCATGCTAGCTAAGGTAAATTATAATCTGGGCCCAAGATGCGAGGGGTTGGAGACAGAGAAGTGTTTGGATCTTTGGAAAATCAAATGCTTCTAACAATAGGAACATATTCTGTCATCTTGATTACATCCCTTTCTATTGTCTTTTCATCTCTACCCCCTTATTTTTGCTACTCATACATGCATATTCTATTGTTAAAGCATGCATCCCTTCTGTCATGTAATTTTAAAAAATCTCCTATAGTGTCCATAGCATGTATCAGTCATGTGCAAATATTCAAAAAACACTGTGAGATGAGTGGAGAACTCTGGAATCCTAACTCCTTCTCATTTCCCTAAGGAGAGGGACCCTCTACTTTCTTCATTCACAGTATTTGAAAGTTTGAAGAAAGCAAGTACACCTGTTCTTCAAAATATATGTATGCTATGGTTGTCATTTTACATGCTGGCTAGATTCTATTAATTTATAGTTATGAATAGTTTTCAGAAAATGGATCAGTAAAGAGAAATAAAGATAAAGACTCAAAATTGTTTGTGCCAATTTATTACTAAGTCCTAGGCCTTGTTCCAACCAGCATTTATTAACTTGTTGAGTCTTATCATGCTTCTAATTTTGCTATTAACATAATCCTTATTTCTAAAAGGGAAAACTGAGGCAAGGAGAAGTTGAATAATTTGCCTAAAGACACAGCTTGTAACTGGTGAACAGGAGAAGACAGGCTGGGTTCAATCTAGATAAACATCCTGAATCTACAATCTTTGCTTTTAACCAATATTCTGTAGTTAAAACTTTCACATAGAGGTTCATATTCCCTTCCCTGACGAACAGTTCTGTTCAACCAAACAAACAATATCAGTCAAAGAATTGCTTTTACTCTGCAAATGAAGCTTTCAGACAAGTCCCCTAAAACTTAATTATATAGCTGACACATAGTGAATTCATAATAAAATCACTTTTTAAAATTATCTACTAAGCAACAACTTCTATTTTTGATTAGAAGAGGTGCAGAAAAGACTATATCCAATGGATCCTGTCTAGAACCACTTAACATATCTTTGGGGAGATCTTATAGATAAAAATAAAACAAAAGGCAAGCATGTAGTAGGCAGCAAATAAGGAAGTGATAAAGATATTCAGCACACATGACAAGTTCTGAACGGTTTTAAAAGAGGGAAATCACTGTGGGCTGCAGCGCAAAAAAGACTGAACTTCATGGTGTGAAGGGATTTGAACTAAATTTTATAGATGCTCCAAAATATAGACCACTGGGAAGGCCATAAAGTCCTTTCCATTCTAGATTAGTTACAGGAGTAAACATGTGGTTAAGAAAGAACATGTTTTTAAGATAAAAAGGATGTGAGTAGGACTAGAGGACAGGGTGGATTTAAGGTAGTAGGGAGATTTGTGGTGAGATGGATTAACTAGTTGGACATCACATAAAATCTGGAGAGGAGGTAAATGCTTTACAATTTGAGATGCAGAAAATATAAATCAGTGTTTTAGGAACTAACTCAATTAAGTGTTGTTCATGATATATAGAAAACTCCAGAAACTCAAGGCAGGGAAAGCAAATAGAAGGCTAGCAATCATTCAGTAATAAATGAATGAAAACCTGGCCTATAATGGTGAAGATTGATAAGAAAAGTAGTTAGTGAATAAATGGCTCAGGGGATACAGGAGAAGGGAGAGTGAAAATAAAAATTTAAAATAATAATCATTATTATAAAATAATAATAGTGAGGTTGGATCCTGACTGGGAAGAAAAGTAATACTTTTATTGATGAAAATAGGAGGGGTTCCAATTTGAGGTGGGAAAATGACTTCAGTATGTAAATTGTGAGTTGGCATTTACATACAACAGGAATGTTTCATAAATGGACACTGGTCCATTTGTGATGAGGTAAATTAGGAAATGTGGACTTGGTGACATAATAAATAATGAGGGTCTCAGTATAAATCATTATAATGATTGAGCTCTCTAAGAAGGAAAATATGTCCATCGATAGGAAGGAAGTTTCTATGGGAACAGCATATGTAGAGTCAGAAACAGGAAATATAGAAGGTAACATTTTATAGTATAGGAAAGTGGTAGGAACAGCACTAAATGCCTTATCTTTTGGTCCAAGTTTGGTATTAAAAAAAATGGAATGTGGTCATCACAGAATTAAATGAAGTATGTTGTGAGAAATGCAGAATAATGATTACAGGATGCAGGTAAAGAAAAAAGGAGACTAACTGATATGATAGAGTAGGCCAGATGTGATGTAAACAGATTTTGCTCAAATAGAAGGAACACTAAGTTCAAGGACGTTGGGTAGAGCAGTGACATAGAGTGATGAGATCCAAAGTCATCCGGAAAGATTTCTGAGAGAAGAGGAAAAGTAGAAGGAAGACCATTGGGCTTAAATTGCCCAAGGAAATGGAAAGGAATCATGGGATGTAGTTACAGGAGGGAATGGGTAACACAGGTTTCTCTACATGTCCCTGACATGCTTTTACATATCAGTGAAGTACAGGACTATACATTGTAAATTCTACTTTATAAAAATCTTAAAAAGTTAATAAGGTTTAGACAGCTAAAAGTATTCAATTGAATATGGCAAGAATGACAATCTAAGCCACATAGTATGCTATCCTAGGCGTTGCAAATAAGGCTAACTGGGAAAAGATTTGGCATATAATCTCATCTTTAATTATGTCCCTCTTAAAGTTATGTAATTAAAACTCAACTAAGAAAAAAATCTGTAAATGGATTTCTGTCCTGAGAAACTGATATCCACATGATTTTTTTTTTAGTACAAGTTCTTTTAATATACTCTTTCTCTCTCTCTCTCAGTATTTTTAACCAGATATCCTGAAAAGCTCACAATAGTAGGTTGAATATGTAAATAAAACTTCTTTATTTCTGGTAAAGCTTGTTTATTCTTGCATATAAGTCTAAAAACCCAAGACTTTCATATACCTTTTAGTAGGTATATAAAATTGAAATATTTTGCTTTTTCAAACAATAACAGGAAACTTCACTCCTGCAAATTATAATCATCTTTCAAGGGGAACCCTGAATTCACTTGTGCCCTTGCTCATTTCCACAGGTGATCTACTGTTTTCTTAGAAATTTTGAATTCATCACCCAGCCCCTCAAAGATCTATTTATAATTCACAGTATATTGATTTCATCTGCTCACTTCCTGCCATAAATCTCTCACAAGGAAAGTTATAATATGTACACTGTCTTTTATTACTTCCTATGAAAAATGCTGCTTCTAATCCTACATCATGGATTGTTTTCCCTTAGTTGTCACTTACAACTTACCTCATTCAAGTCAAAACTATAAAAAAAAAATCAGCCAATTGTTTTTTTACACAGAAACATGGGGTTATTTAAAGTGGCTTCATAGCAACTAATTATGACACACTTGTGAGAAAAAAAAATCAGCATTATTTGAGCTACACATGTAAACACTTATACTCTTGAAGGTAACAGAATCAACCCAATGTCATTAAATCTATTGACCCCTTTATAGTTTTGTTATTTCTTTTCCCTATTAAATAATCCTTTCCCATCTCATTTTATCTCTTCACCATCACATATAGATTGATTTATAGCTCATGGATAAACCACATGTGATTATCATAATCTACTATTGGTTTTCAAGGAATATAACAGATAAAACAAAAAAAAGAAAATGAGTTTTACAAAGTGAGGCCATAGTTTAATGTATTATTTAGGAGCTTCTGGAAATAGGATAATAACCTATCCACTGCATGGATTGCAGAAGGTACACATTCTTCCCCTCCATATATGTTTGCAGCCCATTTTCAGCTCTTCCCAATCAGTAAGTGAGTCTGTTTCTCTATCCTTGAATCTGAACTTGGTCATGTGACTTGCCAGTGAGACATTAGCAGTTGCTGTGCAAGCAGAGACTTATAAAATATCTTCACATATTGAGCCAGTTCTCATGTGGAACCCTGAGACCATCTCAAGGCATCCTACTGGATAATTACAGACTTGTGGCCTGGTTACTCAGCATATAGTCTGCCAACTGCCAGGCATATGAGAGAGGCCATCTTGATCATCCAGCACCATCTGACCCACCAGCTGGTTACAGAAATTTGAAGAGCTAACACAGATGAGAAGAGCTACATAGTCAGCCCACAAATAGTAGAATAAATAAGCAGTTGTTTTAAGTCACTGAATTCTGGAATGGTTTGTTTTGTAACCAAAGTTAATTGATATCATCTAATCTTTGAAGTCCTAGACTATGAATTAAAATAAAACATATTTAATTAAATTTAAAATGGCATTCAGTACAGTGTTAAAGCAAACTAAATATGGCCTGAGAAGAACTTCATATTCTATATATGAGTCCCTGTAGACGAACTGCAACCTAACTTCATAGGTAGAGAAGATTGAAAACCTAATTTAGGAGTATGCACCTATAACAATAGCTGAGTCTTGTCCAATCCCAGTGGCCATATTTCAAACATCCATACACTGCTGAGTGTTCAAACTGTGTTCAAATAAGGCAAATGCCAATCTGTAACCAGTCCAGCTATTCTGTACCTCACTTCCAATTTCTGCATGTCATTTCCCTTTTTTTGTCTATAAATGTTCTTCCACCACGTGGCTGCACTGGAGTCTCTTTGAATCTGCTGTGATTCTGGGGGCTGCCCAATTTGTGAATCGTTCATTGCTCAATTAAACTCCCTTAAAATTAACTTGGGTGAAGTTTTTCTTTTAACAACAGAAATAACTCTGGTCAAGAATTAGGAACCTCAGTATCCCCAGCCTCCTTCACCTATACAGAGCTTACTTGGCAGTGATCTAATATTGGGACGCTAATTCATATATGAATCACTATTCCCAAGTCCACCCAGCATCTCTATCTTGTGATGGATGTGTCAGTTTTCCAGTTCTCCTTCTGTTCATCCTTCTATCCATTCCTAATCAGCCTCACTAACTATAATAATTCCAGAGCCAACCACAGGTTTCTAGTAAAGTTCAAGTTTTATAACAAAGATTGGCTATAACTCTCTTTCACACGGATATAACTCAGGACTTTCTGATTCTGCAAACAGAAACCTTGTTAGAATTTCTAACATGATGTACTGGGGCAGTCTCCCAAGCCTGAACACCTATGCAGAAAACTTTTCAGCTTTATGTCTTGTTATGGTTTTAATTCTCAATATAAAACTTTCCATCCCAAAATATACATCATTGACATAGGATTATTCTGAGTTGAAAGCAATTGAGAAACAATAGACACAGGAAAAGCTCATCCATCTAAAGAATATCAGAGCATAAATTTCCCTTCTTAAAGGTGTCCCCCTCTCTCAGACCTGAAAAAAAAACCTTTATCACCAGAGAAGAAGAAAGCACCGAGAAGAATCCACACAAACAAAACCTTACAAAATAACCATTATCTTCCATTAATTTACAGCATGCATTTATCTTCCCATAATTTACAGCCTGTACAATCTCCAACCCCTTTCCTTTGTCTAGTAAGGTCTCCACAATTTCTCATGCTTTGTTAAAAGGGCATATCACTCTTCCGGGTCTAACCTCTTCTTCGGGTCTTTACTTCAGGTCTTTACTTTTTTTTTTCAATGAATGGCTCCTTGTACATGCAAAGATTAACATCAAAGAAAATTCATATGCTTTTTCTCTTATTAACCTTTCTTTTGTCAGTTTAATTCACAGATCTCAGCCACAGAAGCTAAGAGAATAGAAGAAATGATTTTTCTTCCCCTACATCTACCACAGGACATCTTTTGAGATAGACTCAGGAAATTTTGAATTCATGGAAGCCAGACTGAAACTAATTTATAGCTTGCAACAAAATGAAGAGGAGATTTCATATTTTTTTTCCTTTTCACTAATCATGACTGACTCCAGGTTCTACTCTCCATAATCAATGACCATGTAACCCTTTCTCTTCCTTTGGACCATAAAAATTAACCTATGCTTCCCATCTTGCTAACTCCCTATGGACAACTTCATCTTTTATTTTTACCCTTTTCCTATCTTAGCAACTTCAGTACCTAATAAAACAATGCTCCATTAGACCTTTCCAGTAGTTGTAATTATCTAAATAGGTAATCTTAAAATTGATTTAGCTAATAAATGTAGATGACTAAAAGTATCCTTTTCAGTTTTATGAAAACTGAAACTTGAAAAGCTAAAATTTTTACATTTTGAGAACGAATGTCTGTATTCTATGATCAAATTAAAACTATATGCATTCTAAAAGTTGATTTTTTAGCCTTTTTAAGACAAAAAAAGAACAATTAACAAAATCAAATGTGTTTTGAAACACTCCTAAACAATAAGCACATAGCCCTTTTAACAGAAGAGAGAAACATATTTCCAGTGAAATATAACTTAAAAGTGAAATATTGGCAGGGCGCGGTGGCTCACGCCTGTAATACTAGCACTTTGGGAGGCCAAGGCGAGTGGATCACCTGAGGTTGGGAGTTCAAGACCAGCCTGACCAACATGGAGAAACCCCGTCTCTACTAAAAATACAAAATTAGTCAGGCGTGGAGGCACATGCCTATAATCCCAGCTACTTGGAAGGCTGAGGCAGGAGAATCACTTGAACCTGGAAGGCGGAGGTTGTGGTTAGCCAAGCCAACATCATGCAATCCAGGCTGGATTGCAATCCAGCCTGGGCAACGAGAGCAAAAACTCCACCTCAAAAAAAAAAAAAAAAAGTGAAGTATTGCTATCAGGAGTCTTGAAAAAGCAATCTAAAAATATTATAAAGCTATTATTCACAAGTTTGAATCCTAATCACAAATGTGGGAATTATATCTCATTGCAATTTGTTGACAGTATCAAGCTGGAGATTAAACAAAAGTCAATGTCTATAAATATAAAGAGAAAAGAAGGGCAGATAGCAGGCACCTATCATGTCATTCAACATGGTTGCTAATGCAATTAAATTCCAAACATGCATATGTATGAGATTTGACCAATTAATTTACTAATGGTATCTATGTTAATATTGAAAAGTGATTATTTTGAAAGTTATTTATTTATACTTTATTAAATGTTTTAGATGTATAGAATAGTAGAGAGAATATGACTTGAGAAACCTTACCATTTTGCTATAAATGCTTCATATTATTAAGAACAATCTTATTATAGCTATTGTTGAAAGTATATAGTTCTCTCAATACCATTTCTTTTTTTCTTTTATCTCTCCAGAGAAAGCAAGATGTTGATGGTGTATGATTTTTAATGTGCTTAATTTTTAAATTTTGAACTAATTTTAGGCTTACAGAAAAGTTTCAAAAATTAGTACAGGGAGTTGCCTTCTGTTTCTAATGAAAACGCCTCACGTAATGATTATATAATTATCAAAAAATTGCTAAAATTTGAAAATATTACTATGTTATTTCAAAAACAATATGTTGTATTGTTTACATAGTTTTCAATATCACATCAACCATATCATTTGAGAATATTTTTATTGTGTTGTATTATTTGTTTTAATCAAATTGTGTTTAAGATAACTATGTAAATAGATGTAGCACTAGTTCTTTTTTTAAGTACTGCACAATGAACCATTATTCTCTCTAAAAGTGTGAATTGCTAGGTGAAAGTATATGAACCATTTCAAAATTTCAAAATGTTACAAATAGCTCTTCAGAGTAGTTGTACAAAATTGTAATTTTCATCAATTGTGTGTGAAAGTCTGGTTTTTTCTCATTACAAAACTTTTAAAAACTTTTCACAAATTATGGGTGGAAAAATCTCACTGTTTCATTATAAATTTTCTTAATAGTTGGAGAGATTGACTATACTTTAGTATGATTATATTTCCTTTTCTGTCCCCTAGCATAACTTGTCCATATTTATCTTCATCTCTGTAATGGTATGTTATAAACTTCAGTTGTAATCCTTTGTTGGTTTTAAGGATTGCAACTATACACCACTAGTGTTTTGTTTTGTCTTTTAAATTTCTACATAGCTTCTGCTGCAAAGAGTTTTTAATTTCAATGAGATAAAATATACTAAACTTATACTTCCTGATTTTTGTGTATCATTTGTGAAATCTGTTCTTACCCTGAGTTTATAAAGATATTCTGTATTCTTTGATATTAAAAAGCTCATCATATTTGCACCATTAAAATACTTGAATTTTTGAATATAGTTTGAGTTGGAGATAACATTTTGTTTCATTTTTTGCATATAAATTGTTCTAGTATAATTCATTAAATTCATTATTTTTCAATTTATTTGTAATGCTAACTAGGCAATGTATAATCAATTTACATAAAAGTTATATATAAATATGGATCTGCCTCTGAGCCCTCTGTTCTTTTTCATTTAATTGTTTTTTATTGGTAATATCATATTGTGTTAATTACTTTCACTTTTTAATAATAAAGACAATTGTGTCAAGGAGAGACTACAAATTTATATTTCTTTAAAATTGCCTTGGCAATTGGTGATATTTTGCTCTTCTATGTGAATTCTACTATCAACATGTGCAGTTTCATTAAAATATCATTTTGGCTGCTTTTTGTTTGTTTTTAGAAACAGGGTCTCACTCTGTCACCCAGGCTAGAGTGCAGTGGTGCAATCATAGCTCACTATGGCCTCAAAACCCTGGACTCAAGAGATCCTCCCACCTCAGCCTTCGAAGGATCTAGAACAACAGGTGTGTGCCACCACACTGAGACATTTTGGCATTTTGAATTGCATTAAATTTACAGATAATTTGGGATAATTTTCCATGGCTATGGAAATTGACTTTTTGCATCATGAAAGTAACACTCTCCCCCTTTAAGATTATCTTTTATGTCCTTCATAAACATTTTAAAATTTTCTATGTTAATGTTTTGTGAATACTTTGTTGTTATTACTAGCTTAAGAATAGCTTTTTTAAGATCACATTACTTTTTTTGGGGTGGGTGGCGGGGGGGCGTGGAGAGTCACACTCTGTCACCCAGGCTGGAGTATGGTGGTGCAATCTTGGCTCACTGCAACCTCTGCCTCCTAGGTTCAACTGATTCTCATATCTCAGCCTCCTGAGTAGCTGGAATTGCAGGCATACGACAACATGCCCAGCTAATTTTTGTATTTTTAGTAAAGACAGGGTTTTGCCATTTTGGCCAGGCTAGTCTCGAACTCCTGGCCTCAAGTGATCCACCCACCTCAGCTCCCCAGAGTGCCGGGATTACAGGCATGAGCCACCGCTCCAGGCCTAATCACATTTCTCGATTAGTCATTGGATGTAGGGACACCATTTGAATTTATATTAAGCAATATTTGCTTTTTTTAAAAAATATGCTATGTTTAGTTAAAACAAAACATCAGAATGCATCCCACTAAATAAGCATATTCTTTGGTAAAACAGAAACATATATACTTAGCTACAGTGTAAAATGTGAAATTTGTTAACTTAGATTACAGGCATTTAAGGACACTAGTTTAAGTTTGAAGCTGTTAAGTTCCTTACGCCATTACTTTATATTTTTTTAATTAGTGGGAATACATAGATATATTGTTACTGACTTTATATTCCTAAAACAAATGTTATTTCCCTCCATCTTTAATAATTCAGTTATAGAATTATGTATTTCCTTAGTAGTCTGAAGATTTTACTCTTGTTGCTGATGAGAAGTCTGTTTAAATACCATTGTCTTCCTTCTGCAGATAGTGTCTACTACTTCTGGTAGCATCTTAAGATTTTCCCTTTTTCATGATCTTCTGCAGTTTTACTTCAATTGCTGACTTAATTTAATTATTCTTAACGCTTACAGCAAATTTCCCATCTAGAGACATTTCTTTCTTCATTTCTAGTAAACTCTGTGTCATTATCACTTTGAGTATTACTTTTCTATCATCTGTCTCTTCTTTGCCATTTGTCAACATTTATTAGCTAAAAGACTATTAAATCTATTAGTTTATCCTCCAAGTTTCACAAGTGTTCTCATGTTTTTTGTATCTTACTGCCTCTAACATTAATTAATTTCTTATTAATGAATTAGCATCTTATTTATGCATTATCACTTTCACTAGTACAATATAATTTTTATTTTATCAATAAAGATTACTTTTTAATTTTAATTATAGTGATCATATTTTTTTATTTCCAAGATATTCAATTGTTTTAATTTTAACAAATTTTTTTCTTACATATGTATATTTGGCCTCCTGGATGTCCCTATTTCTTGTTCTTTTCATACTTTTTTTTTCTTTGCTTCTTTGATGAACCCCAAGTAAATATTCTTCAGATTCTCCTATCATTTTCATTTTCATTCATCTTCTGCTTGGTGGGGTTTTTTAAGCTGTCTTTCTTAAGAATCCATGTGTTGTGGAAATTGAATTTGAGCATCCTAAAGGGGTTATTTTTTAACCTCTCTTTTAGTACTCACTTCTCTCTACTGGGTGGTTTTAGAGTGGACTTCATTGAGCCTCTGCGTCTTAAACTGCAGCCCTCTCTTTCATAATTCATTTGAGTTTTTGCTCCACAGAGCATATGAGAGCTTGTAGAGTCAATAACTTGCAATGGACTTGCATCAGAGCTGGTCATAAGGCAGTTTCTGTGGCCTCTAAGCTTCTAGGGTTAGTCACTTCCTACAAGTCATTGGCCTAACAGTAGATGGCACAGCTTTATTTCAGGCTTGCTTCCCTGTGGGGCAGTATTCCCCAGTCCTTGGATTAAGTAAATTCTTTTTAGATGCTGTCTCTCTGTAGCATCTATGTAGCCTGGAATCTCAGAATTCTGTTTCAGTCATTTTCTCTGCTTTGTATTTCTGTTCTGTTTATCACTCAAAGAAAAGTCTATCTTGCTTTTTGAGATTAGCTATCTCTAATTTTCATTTTAAATATATTTTATAAATCGTTACTGTGGTTTTAAAGTCAGAAATGGCCTAAAAGTGTAGACTTTTAACAGTGTCTTCACCAGGTATCTTGATTCTTCATAGGAAAAGTGAACTACTGCATTTTCCTCTTTTTATACTGTGAACTTCCAAAGGGTAGAAGGAAGACATTTTCATCCTTATTCGCTCATACCTAATAATCTATGGCACACTGTAAGCACTTAATAAATATTGAATTGTATTTTATGGCTATTGTCATCTTTTAAACCTGAGGCCAAAATGTTCATTCTATGTGAATTGGGAAGTTAAAGAAGAAAGCCTTTATCCCATCCATTTCTTATATTCAGCTATATGAAGGATCAAAGTCTGAATCTGATAGTGAAATTTAGAACTCTCTGATATTTTTAACACCTAAAAATATGAATCTAGTTAAATACTTAAAACATGAATACTTAAAAACATGAAAATAATTTTGGGTAACAAGTTAGAGATATAACAAAAGAACATATAGTTTTTCAGATTTAATAAAATGGAATACCTAGATGGAAACACATTTTACATCTTACTTATATTTATTTATATGTGCCAATAACTGGGTGTTTTGAGGGTTTTAGTTTTGATTTGTTTTGTCTGTTTTCTTTTTTGGTCTGGCAAGTTAAACTATACATTCACCTAAAAAGCTTTCAGAGAGGATTGCAATGGTTAAGCAAAGGGCAACTTCTTGGCAGGAGGTGGGGTGTGGTAGGGAGGATATTCAGAAAGATTCGTATAAACTATCAATACAGACTAATTATATTTTTTAAGTTTTAGTCAGACCTTAATGCACTACTTTATATCTATAATTATTGTAATTATTTCTGATTGTCTAACTACTCTAATTCATATGCTAAAAATAATTTAAGACAAAAATCATTGTCCTCAATCAGAGGTTGCCAACCCCTGGACCACAGATGAGTACTGGTCCATGGCTTGTTAGGAGCCAGGAGGAATAGCAGGAGGTGAGCAGCAGGTGACTCAGCATTATCATGTGAGCTCCACCTGCTGTCAGATCAGCAATGGCATTAGAGTTTCATACGAGCGCAAACCCTATTATGAGGGATCCAGATTGTGTGCTCCTTTTGAGAATCTAACTATTACCTGATGATCTGAGGTGGAACAGTTTCATCCCAAAACCATCCCCTGCCTTCGTCCATGAAAAAATTATCTTCCATCAAACCAGTTCTTGTTGTTCAAAAGGTTGAGGACCACTGTCCTAAATGATCCACAAATGTGTCACAAATACAGTACAATAATTTTATATTAAAATCATGCTTATTTATATATTCTTTAGATACACTTTCTCATAAAATTTTCATAGAAAATGTATGGGTTGATTTTCCATTTTGTAGGTAAGGAAATAAACACATAGAAGTACAGAGGAAACAAACAGCAAACTGTGATTTGAACCCTGGGCTCGACCGATGTTTCAAACTCTTGGCCATCATGTTTCACTTCCCTACATATGTTTCAACACTTCCCTACAGTCAGTAAAGTGTCATGGATTCTACTGGCTTTGATTTTGGATGACAGAATTAGAGTGATTTGATTGTATGTATACTTTAATTAAAATGTTTTCAGTTTAATTTACTACGGTTGAAACAGGATCTAAAATATGACAAAACCTCCTAGGGCATCTTTGCCTTCAGACACGGCACTCACAACCCTTACAGTTCATCAGACCTAAACATAACACTGAGTGATCTCATGAAATATAAATCCTACTTTTAATACTCTATTATATGAATATATATATACATATATATGTATTAGCATTACAACACTCTCGTTTTTTTCATCATCTTATCTTGGATATTTGTACACCAATGTTCATTGCAGCATTAATCATAATAGCCAATTGTAGAAACAACCCAAGTGTCCTTAAACAAATGACTGGATAAAAATATGTGGTATGTACATACAGTGAAATATTATTCAGCCATAAAAAGAATGAAGTTCCAATATATGCTATATCATGGATGCACCTTGAAAACACTATGCTAAGTGAAACAAGCCAGGCGCAAAGGACAAATACATGATGATTCCACTTATATGAAATATCTAGAATTAGAAAATTCATAGAGACAGAAAATATCCATTACCAAGGGCCAGGGAAAGGGGGAAATGGGGAGATATTGCCTTACACAGAGTTTCTATTTGAAGTGATGAAAAAGTTTTAGAAATATAGTGTTGATGGCTGCAAAATACTGGAAATGTAATAAAAGCCACTGAATTGTACACTTAAAAATGGGTAAAATCTCAAATGTTATTTTATATATGTGGATATACATGTATATTTGCCCCAATTTTAAAAATTATAATGAAATATACCAAAAAAGATTGAGTGTACACTTTTTGGTGCATTGTATGATGTGTAAACTATACCTAAATAAAATGGTTTTTTTTTTTAAGCTGCTTATTTTGGCAGACCAAGACATTCAACATCACGTCATTCCCTACTTCATCTCACATCAATTCATGCCATACTACCTGCATTTCAATCATACCAAATGACTCCTTGTCTACTCCATGCTTTTCATGTCTTTGTACTAAACATTTTCTGAATGCTTAGCCCAGAAGAGTAATTTTCAGTCTTTTTGATCTGAGGATCTTTATACTCTTAATCATTACTGAAGACTCCAGAGTCTGTGTATGTGGGTCATGTCTATATCTATTTACCATATTAGAAATTTAAACTTAAATTGTTTTAAATATTTATCAATGTTTTTAAAGTTAGAATAATGCAACAATTGCGTTCATCTAAATAGCACCTTCTAAGAAAAGTAACTATTTCTTCAAAAATAATAACAAGAAATAATAACAAGAAATCATTGTTTTACAATGTTACAAATATATTTAATATCCATCTTACTAAAAGACAGCTGGATTCTCCTATCTGCCTCTTTATCCTCTCATTGTGTTGTTTTGGTTGAAGCATATGAAGAGCTTCCAGCCTCCCGAAGTTGTGTAATTGGAAAAGAGAGGAGCGTTTTAATAATAGCCTTTACAGATAACTGAGTATTCTTTCATATTACACCAACACGTGACAAGTGGTGGTTACTTAAAGGTTAGTTGCAGTGTGGAATCTGAAACCATAGTGATGAACTTTTCATCCTCTATTACATTAAAATTCATTGGTCTATCTTGCACTTTGAATAAATCATTTACTCATGCATGATTTTATCATGTCATTTGAAAATATTGGTTCTCTAACTTATGCATAGCTTCTAAATGTTGACACATTTTATTATGCAATACTCCCAAATCACATGCATTAATATTATCACCATGTCAACAGAAAAGCCTGTAAGTACTGGGAAGCTGTCAAGGTTACTGTGGTGGATACAAGACTTCTACTCTAATTTTTTTACTTCAGAGTTTGGTTTTTACCATTTGCAACACACACAGTAGGTAATTTACCTTGAAGTGACACACTCATTGTATTCATTCTTTAGAAAATATCCACCACACATACAGGCTTGGATAGCTATAGTTTAGTTATTCAAATCTAAATTTTTATTAAAAAACGATTAAATAAACTAGCTTACCTTTAGTATAGAACTAGGTAGAGGCTTTCAAAAGTGTAAGATGAAGCCTCATGTAATAAAATAAAAGCTTTGCAATACACAGTAAATGAAAAAAGCAGTTAGCTGAATAATATATTTAGTATCATTCCACTTTTATAATTAAAAATTACACACACATACTTAAAATTCTAGGGCATGTCACATGTTAGTTATGGGTAAGTAAATAGGACTGATGGTTGCAGAGATGAGTCAGGGATTTCATATTCAAATCCATATTATTTGAACACTCTACAACAAATTTATATATTATTTTGCAATTTAGAAAGCAAAGAAAAAATTGATTTCCACATAGTGAAACTGGAAGAATGGGAAATATATGGAAATCACACAAAGACATCAAGAAGAGAGAAGTTGTGTGAAGAATAAGAAGATGGTTTTTGTTAAACTTGAATGACAGGAAAAAGGTTTCCCTAAATTATGTGGATAATCCTCACTGAACACTATGCTTGAATAATTATGTCCCATAAAAACATTAAAAATATTAGATCATTTCCATAACATTTTCTCATCTGCTACATATACATGATATATCATATATAATATATATTATATATATATTTTATATATATACACATATATACAGAAAAAAAATCTCTGATGTTTGCTTGAGAAACTATGATTAACTATTACTGAACAGATATTCTTAAATATACAATTTGCCCACTGGAAAAAAAAAATCAATTAGAATAGTTTTACACTGAAAAATGATTTTTCATGAATTTTAGTGCAGTTATTTATAAGAAACATTATGATAAAACATATTAAACCTTCCATGATTAGAAGGTAATAATCATAATTTGCTGTACATGCTAGCAATTAATTGCTTCTTTGACATTTGGCGGGGGGGTGGGGGGTGAGGGTTAGATGATATAGTCACATTCATTCCTGAATATAAAATCTAGGAAAATGTAATTGCTACATGCAATTACCACTATTATTTCTCTAGTAATCTAAATGATACTCATTTCCACCTATTTAAAATTGAATTACTGTACTTACTTTCAACAATTACTTGTCTGTCTTCCCAGTTGTCTTTAATAAGCTGTATATTTCCAAAGTGTGCATCACTGTAAAAGATTCGGTTGGTACCTTTTCTTCTTTGATTATAGTCAAAAGCCAAGGCTATGACATTCTTGAAATAACGTGGATTCTCATATGGCCTTATTGGGGAATTTAAATTGGTTTCATCAGAAAGATGTATACTTTTTAATATTGTTCTTCCTGAATACAGTAAATAGCCTTCATGCCTCAGGCAAGTAACTCCATCTTCTGCCAAATATCCATGGGCACAAGCACAAGTTCTCCGGGAATTTCCTCGATAAAGACAGAGTTGCTTACAGCCACCATTGTCCCTGGCACAAACATTGGTCCCTAATGAAGAAAAATGATACACACATGCACATGTTTATGTTTTTCTTTTGTTTTTGAAACAAAATTCTCCATAAAGAAATATTAAAACTTTGATGTTGAATATTCTCTTTTTGCTCTTAATTTTAAGCTGGTCAATAAAAAATTAAAAAAGTATTGTTTTTTAAAAAATCACAGCAGTTTAAATCTTGGGTTTCTTTATTTGGAAAATCATAGTCTGTTTCATTCACCATCCAAGTTAAGCATTAAATTTTTCCCTTAATGAACCAGTTAAGTATATAAATCTTTTTTGAAACTTGATACTTATAGTGTTTCATATATTGTTCATTTAAAACATGAATTGATCTCACCAGAAATAATGCACTGCTTTAAACTCTATCTTTGAGATATGGAAAGCATCAAAGAAATCTATAGCTACAATGTGCCTAACCTCCTAAATATGCTGAGCATAAGTTCTTACTCCAATTTTAAGTGAAGATAAAAAATGCACTTAAAATTTCTTCACCAGTCTAATTCTCCTTTGTGAATTCATTATTATTATCTCCAACATTATTATAACTTCCTTTGATACAAAAAAGTTAGTTACAATTTATTTTAATGGAGGTAAACAAATTTTAAATACCCAAATCATTGTCCTGTAAGTTTAGAATAAATATTTTAAGGAAGTAATGACTTTGGAAATATTTTACATTAACAGCATCACCTTTGGGATCATAACCACTTATTATATAATATGATTCATATTATGTATAAAAATTTCAACTGCCTTTTATTAATATCCTACTTATGCTTTTAATTTTTTATCCAATCAATACATGTTTCAAGTTTTTCTATATTCCTTAGCCAAAACCTATAATCAAGACATGCCAGGTATGTAACATGTCCATGTACCTGTGCTGTCCTGGGCAAATACGCTTTTGTATGAAATATGACATATTTATTGTATTAGGCTACTATATGATACTTGCAGGAAATTAGATGTAAAGATAATGTTTTGAGGTTTTAGACTTATAGAAGAATTTCTAAGTTTGACAATGTTTTTAAAAATTGGAGAGAAATCACATAAAATATACATATTATGTATTCTTTCAAGAGTGCTGACCTTTCTCTCTTACTCGGTTAAATATTTTAACCTCCTTCAGGTTGACTCCAAGGCCGGTTCTCATGGTTATCGTTTCTGTGGCATCATTCTTGTGGCCCCTTCTGACAGACCCGTTTGCATGTGCTCTGCCAAAAAGTTGAACATACATGATCAACAATCTTCGACTAATTAAAGTCAAGCCAGTTACTTAAGCTGAAGATAACAGATGGACCAACAGAAGGGAAAGAAACCAACTTTAGTCTGTGACATTGAAATGCTTCAGCTTGGAATAGCAAGAGTACCTGCCTTTTCTGTGGAAATTACTGGCTTTGTGAGTTCCTTTTTGTGACCTTGCTAAGAAATGGTAAATCCTACAAGGGTAAAGCAACTGGCACTGAAATAACATTTTGAGACTCAAATACTTATGAAAAAATAAATTACCTGTCAGACCAGTAGATGTAAGCCCCAAAGACTGCAACTGAAAACATATCCACATTGCTTCCTGACAGCACCATCTCGCGATTCCCTCCAGTCTCAAGGTCGATTCTCTCTATCTTGTCTGTGCGAGCATCACACCAGTACAATTTATTTTCCTAAATATCGATTAAGAAGTAACGTTACAGACTATATTTGATTGTTTTATTAAGAAAATAAAGGAACACTAAAAGTAGGTAAATTAAAGTTGTCAGTTAAGGCACTTTAAATACTGAAAAGAAATCCAACAGACCTCATAGTCGATGGAGATGCCATTCGGCCATGCTATTCCCATGCTTACAAGGACAACCTTCTCTGAGCCATCCAAGCGAGCCTTTCCAATACAGGGCATTTGTCCCCATTCAGTCCAGAACAAGAGGCTGAAATTAAATTGTTAATTTGTAGTGTTTATGTACATTTATTTGTAGTATGCAGAGCTATGCAAAAAGACATTACTAATAACAGCAGTAGCATTCACACTAGAATAAAAATAATACATTTCGGAAGTTAATATACAGTGTGCTTATGGTTCCGATAAAATAATTTTTATCGTAAAAAAATAGTTAACCAGTCATACAAATCATAGGATGCACTCAACATCCTACCAAAATACCTTTTGTGCCTGCTATTTCCTGTCTCAAATGCTCTTCTCCAATCTGTTTGCCTAATTACTTCCTACTTTTCATATCTCAACTATTTCTTTCCAGAAGCCTTCTGTGTCTTCCCTGTACCATGTGCTCTGCTTCACAACACAGATTAGAATGGCAAATTTCCACTTGTATTTCCTTACATTATCATTTATTATAAATATTTTTTGCCCCCACTAGACTGTAAGCTCAACAAGGACAGTGATCACTCCTCTATTTTCATTCACTATTACTCCTTTAGCACCAGGTAATTAGAAATTTTGTGGTAAATACATATTTAATTTATGAATATAGACATGAATGCATCATAACTTTCTATTTTTTCTACTTAGACTGCTAAATGTAACTAATCTAGTTTGAATTTTATGTTATCTTGTGAAGTCATCTTAAAATACGGTTTTATGCAAAAGCAGAAATTCTTATTTTAGTAATCTTATAAAACAAAATGTAATGGGGGACTATGTGAAAGAAAATGTCATGCAGAAAGAACACATATAGTATGCCAAAATAAAACAACATGTCATAAAATAAAATGTAGAAAAACAGAATGTACATAATCCATGTATTTCACTCATTCATTCAAAAAATTCGATATTCATAGGACTATACAGAAATCCATGCTTTTAGATAAATATAATTCCTTCTTAATTCTTAATTTGAAGTTACATCTACTGAAGTTTTTATCCAACTATCAGACATCAGCAGTGAATAAAGTTTTAAAAAATATGGGAAGCATTGATTCAACAGCTGGGTGTATAGTTCCTAATTTTTAAAAATTATTGTATCTTTTTCTAGTTCTTAGAAGTTATATGGCACCTAAATAGTCAACATAGTACCTAATGGGTAGTTCCCCCAATCCCCAAGTAGTCCACAGTGTCTCTTGTTCCCATGTTCATGTTCATGTGTGCTCAATGCTTAGCTCCCACTTATAAGTGAGAACACTCAGTGCTTGCTTTTCTGTTCCTGCATCAATTCATTTAGGTTTATGGCCTCCAGCTCCAGCCATGTTGCTGCAAAAGGGCTGTTTTCATTGCTTCAAAGTATTCCACAGTATAGATGTACATTTTCTTTTTGCAGTCTACTATTGACGGGCACCTAGGTTTATGTTACGTTTTTGCAATTGTGAAAAGCAGGGTGATGGACATATGAGTGCATGTGTCTTTTTGGTATAATGATGCATTTTCCTTTGGGTATATGCCCAGTAATGGGATTATTTGAATGGTAGCTCTGTTTTAAGTTCCTTGTAAAATCTCCAAACTGCTTTCCACAGTGGCTGAACTAATTTACATCCTCACCAACAGTGTTTAAGCATTCCCTTTTTCCTGCAGCCTCGTCAGGATATTTGAATAATATATGTGAATAGTCACGTAAGAATCAGTGAGACTGCATACAGAAAAATTAAAGACTTATATTTTGTTTATACTCACTGGAGTTATTTAAGTACAAAGTGATACTTAACTAGATAAAAATATATGTATTATTTATGTATATTAATTTGTTTTAATAGTTGATATTTTTCTTGAAAATGCTGTGTAAAATAAACATTGTAGAGTTTTACAGACAAACAAAAATGAGGTATGGCTACAATCTCAATTATATTAATCCTGAAGAAAATTTCATTCATATTTACAAGCTTTATAAATCAGAAAGGAAAAACTTTGTAGCATAAAATCCAACTAATATTTTATTGGTAAGATATAATTGAAGCAGGCATTTAAAAATCTACACCTTTATTAACGTCAAGATTTTTAAGACTTTAAGGTACGCTGTCAGTGGATGAAAAATATTATTCAATATAAAATAACTAACTCGCAAATGAAATGTATTGCTACACTTAACTTTTTAAGGAAAAACATGTATTAAAATGGCAGGTAATGTTATACTGTGAAGGAGGCACTGTGAGACCAGGGCAGACATGTGCTTACCTGTCTAATCTGATTCTTATCATCTATTTTTAACATATTCCAAAGTTCACATAAGAAAAGAAATGTGCATATTAAAGATTTTAATTAATGTTAATCTACTTGCAAATGCACTAATAAAAATATTATTTTGAGTGAACAGATCAAATAAGCTATTTATAGGTTGGTACACAAATAAATGTGTTTATTGCTATTAAAAGTAATGGCAAAAAGCACAATTACTTTTGTAGCAACCAACCTACTTAGCCCTAATTCTCACAGCTATGGTAATTATGACTAGGAAGTAAATGATCCACAGTCCACATGGCCAATAAGAGGGCAAGCCAAGAACCACACTCAGGCTTTACTAATCCAGGCCTATATTGTCTTCCCTAGAATACACTGTCTCACCAAATAGAAAGATAACACAGAAATATATAATGATATTATATCAAATGTTATTTTTCCTTAGCTATAAGATGCGTAACAAAAAATCTCCATATTTAAAACCAAAAAACAGTCCTGGCACAGTGGCTTCACACCTGTAATACTAACACTTTGGGAGGCTGAGGCAGGCGTATCACTTGAGGTAAGGAGTTTGAGACAAGCCTGGCCAACATGGTGAAACCCCTTCTCTACTAAAAATACAAAAATTAGCCTAGCATGGTGGCATGTGCCTGTAGTCCCAGCTACCTGGGAGGCTGAGGCAGGAGAATCACTGGAACCCGGGACACAGAGTCCGCAGTGAGCCAAGATCACACCATTGCACTCCAGCATGGGGAACAGAGTGAGACTGTCTCAAAAAAAAAAAAAAAAAAAAAAAAAAAAAAAAAAAAAAACACAGACACACACAGAAAACAAAATATGAAAAAGGTCTTAGCTCTGAGAAAGAAGTCACTCTCTTTTTTTCCAAGTAACCCCTATTCATTTTAAATTTGTGATACTTTCATGCAAGAGGCTGAGATAAATGTAAAAAAAAATGCATAAAATTATTCTAAGTAAAACTATTTTTTAATCCAGAATTTACACAATTCTTTTCCTGTGGAAAACAGTAGTGATTAGATATGGTATCATTATATGTGAAGCCAAATCTTTCTGTGTAGGACTCACTTTTAGAGTTAAATAATTTATCAACTGAATAAAAGTAAAAGGTTTTAATCCTATCAAAATTAAGTAAACATTTTATGTCAAGCAAATAATAATTTATTTGCTCCTTAAACTGAAATTGAAAGTAAAGAAATGAATGGAATTTGCACCTTGAGAAACTTTGGGGATTATAAACCAAATGTAGAGAAAGAACCCTCTCCAAGCTCGTAAAACTGCAGAAAGAGACTTGTAATTTAAGGTAATAACTTACATAGATGCACCTGAGATATCATTAATGAACATAGATTCTTGGCATCTAAATGTGGTCTTTAGCAATAGGAAGAAATGAAAATATTTGTCCCTGGTTTTTGACCAGTAGGTTCAGACCCTACTGATATTAACATTGACTGACAAAATTACTATTGAGTTTGAACCTATTTGAGTTCAAATTTTGCAGTTGTGAAAAACGTGTTCACTATATGATATAGCCAAGAAAAACTGATTTTAGAGTATCAGATGGGCACATGTAGCCCTACTAAAAATACTTTCTGAAATCTAGAAAATATTAAACTTGTCCAAATCAAATGCTATATTGTGTAACTGAATTTTATCTGAATAATAAAATAGTATTTGTTAAACTAAAAAATGTTCTTTATTTAAATAAGCTTGCACTTATAAATTTAAAAACATATAATTTTAAAAGGGACATTTAAAAGTGGCTTTCAGAATTATAGAAATTTTATCAGAAACTGTCATAATACAAATGTCTTTATTGTCTTAACTAGACTCTAACAGTTTTGAGCAGGAAGACAGTGCAATGAGCACATATCATGAGTTAATTTCCAACTGATTATTGACATTTGGATAAATAGGTAAAAAGATCACATTTGGTAGCACTGGAGCGCCCAAAGGCCTAGCAAACCCTTAATGGACCCTGAAAGTTAATTGTATTTGTCTTCTGACAACTGTACAGATTGACATCAGAATTAGTCTAGATACAGGTATACTTTTCAGGAAAAACTTTTTTTTTTCCTGTCACAGGCAGTTATACTCAACCTGAAAAAATACACATTCAAATTATTATAAATGCCCATGAATAAATTTGAGACAGCTAACATTAGTGACAAAGCTCTGATTTTTGTGTGAGAAGGGTAATGGAGTGAAAGAAAATAATAAATAAGTCTATTTTTTAAGAGAAACAGTATTAAATGTTATCCTTATACTCTACATATGTGAACAGTTGTGAAAAGCAAGACTAGTTGGCATTAATCATTTTCTCTGGATTTAAAATTCTCTTCTTTGATTGCTAAACTGTTTCCCTAGAGCTCGAATTTGAGTTGCAATTTTTACAATAAATGTGCCATTTCTTCCTACTTTTCTGGCTTCCCTAAGTGAGTATGATTTAGATCCTTTGTTACATATGATAAAGAAAACCTGAGATAACCAAAAAATGTTCATGCTGGCACAGAAATGAAGATCAGGTAATTCTCTTATGTCGGCAGTTGGCCTTGGTCAAGAAAAGAATCGAGAATGTCATTGTGTCGTCTCCTAGCGTGGGAGTCAACAGTGAGTTACCCTATCTGCAAAAAGTAAGAGAAACAAAAAAGAAAGCCAAATAAAAACCCTACAGATGAACAATAGTAGCTAGCCTTTACATGAGCATAAGCTTTTAACTTGACAAAAGCTGCTTGTAATTTCCAATTTCTTAGCAGATGCACTAGAATCACTCAAAATTCATACAAACTGAATACTCTATAAGTCAACATGTCCATGGCTACATCTTCAGATCATAAGTAAAATAAGATAATATTATAAAAGTTTGAATATATTTTATGAGTACATGATTGGACATTTTTTATCTCCTGAGGAATAAAATGAAATGTAGAGCGTTCTCTTTTTCTGTGAGGCCTTATTCACATTTTCTTTTTCTTCATTTACGTACAGTTTTGTCTGAGAAAGTATTACAGGCCTATCCCAAATCATTTTTCAAGTCTTAAATATGTTGCTATTGATTAAAGAATTCTGTAATATAAAAAGCACTCAACCACAGGTAGCAGAACCCTGTGCTAAAAGGATGAAAATATAAAACCAGTCTACCCTTGGACACTACTGCACTTTTCAAATTTTTTGTTGTTATTGTTGGTTTTGTGGTTGGTTCTCAAACTTATTCTTGCACTGTACTCATGCACTCATCAACAAATACTTCATTAGGTATCTATTATGTGCTAGGAGCTGATGATACAAAATAAATCGGATTTAGGTACCCTCATAAAGTCCATTGTTAATGGCAGAGGCAAATGGGTAAATTAGTATCTGAGAAAAATGCTGATTAGAAATACTTAAAATTTGCTAGTCTCTTTAAGTCATAAATGTAGGGGCTTGAACAATGATAATGTTGAAGGGTTGTGGTGAGAAAAGTTGTCTTTCCTGTAAACAACTTCAGAATTTTTTTTTTCTTTTAGGCAAAAATAAAGATATAGGCCATTTGAGTTGTTCTTTCTGTTTAAGCTTCAAAATTATTTAACTTATTTGTCAATTTCTTTCTTTCTTGGTCTGCTATTCTTAAGTTTACATTTGAGCCTTTCTTGATTCACTACATTGTAGTTTTGAGTAATTATATAGGACAATTATTATGTGTATGAAGAGCACACACTGGAGAAGCGGAAATTATTCACAAACAAAAAATATTTATATATATGTATATATATATACACACATATATAATATTTCATAGCACATTAAAAATATTACACCATGTTATAGTTCATTTTTCATTTTATATATGTGTTTACACCCTGCCTCATTGCCCATCCTCTCACTTAAACAAACACTTAACATATACATGTACATATATATAATATTAGCTTGTTTGCATTTATAATTTTCTTGAATAGTCCATGTTTATGTACTTTTGTACATTCAATATATATTTGATATTTTCCTATAACTATGAATTTACCAAATATTTAACATCTAGCTGCCCAGAGCCTATACTTCTAGAGCTCATGAGCTGACTTAGAATTATCAAAATATTATAAAGAAGTTTTTAATTTGTTCCATGACTTGCAACCTATCTTACCAGCATTATTCCTATGGTAAATCAAATTTATTCCATTTCCTTTATATATGTGTTCCCTTGCTTTAAGATGCAAAATATACTCTAAGAGATGGTATTAAACTACACTACACTGTTGTTGTCTTAACAGGTGTTAAACTGTCAACCAAGACCTTTTATATATTGTTGAGCATACTGAAAAAGTATATACATAATCAAAAAGACCTTTTGAAACAGCAAGATCCCATGTTAATTTGAGTCTTTGCCATGGAAAGAAAAACTTTTCAGCACATTATTTACAGTCACAGAAATACAGAGCTAAATTAAGAGAGAAAACATGTATCCTGGTGCTTAAAAGGAAATAAAATTACAGTATGTGTTTCAGTTAGAGATTATATACCATGGGAAGTTAATCAAAATTTTTAACATCTTAATGGGGCTTCCTATACATCTTTTCATTGTTAGTATTAAATGACTTTTCAGCATGGAGAAAATTATTACATTTCAATTTTCACAAAGCAAGTAATACCAGAGGAGGAGCAGGAGCAGGAGGAGGCGGAAGAGGAGGAGGGGGAGGAGGAGCAGGAGGAAGAAGAAGAAGAAGAAGAGGAAGAGGAAGAGGAGGAGGAGGAGGAGGAACAAGAGGAGGAGGAGGAGTCAATGATAGCTGAAAGAAACTGATTTTTTAAGCTAAACTAAACTCATACATGATTCCTATTTTGTATTTGGCTACATTTTAAAAGAGCTCAAGTCTCTATTGTTTAAAAACAGGATTTGTGCCCACTTTTCAAGGCATGTTTTTACTTTGAATTCAGCTAATTCACTCCATTATGGTTCACATTTTCCCTTGGCAATACCATCTGCCATGTTTTAACTTCAAACAGAATATTAAAGTACTGTACTTTATTCCTATGATATAAATTTTGACACTTAAATGTCTATATAATATTAGCTGGAAATCAGTGTTTGAATAATTTTACAAGAATCTTCATTTTTAAGTCTTTTATTTTCTCTCTAAATTCAAGTCAATAAATATATGGAGAAAGTGTAGGGAGACATACATCTCTAATATTTCCAAGCCGTAATAAATATTTCCTAGAAACAAGTTTAACATTTAAATGAGTGTATCTACTCTTAACTATGAATATGGAAAAAGTTTATCCGTGTGACATAATATTTTTAAAATGCTTTTAAGACGAAGTAAATAATATTTAAATATTGCTACATATGTCAAAGATTTCTTGTTTTGTGGACTCACATACAATTCTCATTTTGAGAGCTCAAAATTAAGAAATCAAAAATATTTACTGAGATCCTCCTGCTGAGTCAGTGCTGAGCTGGTAGTTGCAATGGAGAGAAATAAAAAAAATCTGACAAACATCTGGAGCAAAGAAATGAGGAGACTTGTTGACAGATGGAAATAGGTGATGAAAAAATACTGGAAAATCTAAAGTTTCAACCTCTTTTGTGACAACAGGAAAAGAGATATCATATTTAAGAAAGGAAGGCAACAGATGAGAGGTAGGAGGACATGTTAAGTTTCAGTGACAGACATCCAAATAAATAACTGTAAAGGATATCAGAAATATAAATAAAGGGGTGAAGATATTTTATTACTATTTTGCATATATTTATTATATTTTTATATTTCACTATATATGCATGATTTACATTTTAAAAACATGGGATTAGATGGGTTTAAAAGATAAATATAATAAGAGAGAGAATGGCACACAAAGTCTTAAATGAGAATAAAGAGAATAAAATATAATGCTCACAGGAGCTATATAGAGTAGCCTCAGAGAGAACCAGAAAATGCAGGGTCAGAGAAGGCTAAAGAAAAAAAGGAATTCTTGGATGGACTATCAGTGGAGAAAACTGTCCTGGAGAAGGCAAATGGTATAAAACCTGCAAAAATAATAATAATCATCTCTGGATGTAGCGGCAAATAAATTTAGAAACTCCTGTGTAACAACAGAAGCTGAAACCCATTTTAGGAGTTCAATGATGAGACAATGGATATAGATCATGATTCTGAGAAGTTGAGAAGAAAACATGTGGAAAGTAATGACATTAGTAATGTGTTATCTAATGAGAGTGACCTGAGCCTATCTGAAAGCAAAAGGGAAAGGCTTCATTGAAAGGAACAAATTAAGGTTGGTAAAATAGAAGAGAATGATTTTTGCATGAAATGTCTGAGGAGACATTTATATCCAGAATAAAAGTAGAGAAGTCGTTTTAAGGAAGAAGGAAACCTTTTTCTGAGGTTATACTCACTTAAACATTTACAGCATTAATTCACATATTCTCTTTTCCTTGACTGCATTATCACCTGTCACAATTACACACCATTTATTTATTGCTTTACCACTGGCTGGCAGATTTTTCATCTTCTCCTTCCACTGCTGACATTCTATGGAATTTAATGACATAGAAACACCCAAGCTCATAGTACCTCATCTTTATTGCTCCAGGGACCTACCTAGAATCACCCTCTCTTAATTCATAGAGCTGTGTTGGTCACTCATACCAGCTGGACCTTATCTCTCTACTCTTACCCTGGTCTACTCTTGACTTCCCACTATTCCATCACTAGCTTGCAGGCCTCACCGCCTGATTGGTAACTCAAAGTTAACCCATTATAACTGCCAACTTTGATCTATAACCTTTTTTCTCCTTTTTGGTACATGTTTTCTTTTTCTTTTCTTTACTACCCGTACATTATCAAGTGTTATTATTCAATGTCATATAAAATTCCTGCTTAGATTCTAGAAATCCATCCTGGCTAGTCTCATGTTGCTGGAAAATTATTTGATTCATTATTGTGGAAAATATTTGCTACAATAGCTTCAGCAAAACTTAACCTATTCACTTTTAAGCTGATAACCTTAGAAATACAGACTAGCAGCTGTGACTTTCTTCAATTTCATCAATTTAACCTCTAAAATACATTTGATCTCCGCATTCTATCTTTTCTTTCACTCCATCCCCGAAGGGGAAGAGAACTAGCACCCACCTCATTTAATCCTCCCAATTAACTAAAAGGATATAGGCATTTGAGACCAAGAAGTTTAGAAATACCTCAAAGGCAAATGTAAAAATAGTAAATGTCTAAGTGGGGATTCCAAACTGTAATGGACACCGTCTGTGCTCCATATAAACATCCTCAGATGCTGTTTACCATTTCTGAGCTCTCAAATGACCTTTGTCCCTAACAGCTCACACAGACAATTTTCTTTGGAGGATTATCCTGGGGCCACTTGAATCTCTTCTCCCACAAGTGCTGAAAGTCAGAAATTTTGAGAGTGTCTGTTTTCCCGGAGTGGTCCTTATCCACTGGCTGACTACTTGGGAATCTGAATACCAAGTTCCGTCACTGTAAGGTAAAGTTTAGACTCTAGAGTCCCTCCAGGAATCAGTCTGAGGCCAAGATTATGTTCAAAATTAAATATTTGCTTGATCTCTTTCTTCCCCTTTTCGACTGACTATGCTTTCAGGTCCTGAGTTGACTTCCCATCCTAGAATCTCTTTCTGGGATACCTAATGTAAGATACAAATCTTGCCTCCCTGCTTTCTGTCTGTGATTCCTCCTGCTCTGCCCTATTGTTTCTCCCTTGTCAAGGCTCCTCCTATGCTCCCTGGAATTTGTCTCCCCTTTACGTTCATTTCCATCCTCTTTCTTCCAACCAGTTTATTTCCCCTTTGCCTATGAATATGTGCAATATCCCCATACTAAGAAAAACCTTATACTCTACAATCTTCTCAACTTATCTTCTATTTCTCCTCTTTCCCTTCATCACCCAGTTTGCATCAGTTTATTCTGTATATGCTAGCTCCACTTTCTAATTATTCTTTTGTCTACTCTTTATATTTGGCTTCTGTCCTTACTCATCTTCTGAAATTGATAAAAATATGCAATACCATCCTCATCACCAGTTACATGTTCTGTTCTCTGCTTTTTTTCTCTCTCCTGATCTCTTTATTGCTGGCACACTGTTCTTCCTTAAACTCTCTTCCCTTGACTTTTACAGTTCAGTAATTTCCAAAGCCTCAAATGGCTGTTTTTGTTGCTGTTGTTGTTGTTGTTCTTTTTTTTCTCTCTCCTAGTCATTCTATCCCCTAACTATAAGCATTCTTCATTTTTGTTATTAGACTTCTTTTTTTGGCACTCTTTCTTGGGTAACCTCGTACACTATCGCAGCTTATTACAGAGCCTGAATTCTGTTGGAATAAGTAAGAAGTGACTTTATATTTATCCAACTACTGATTCCATGTATGCTTTACTGAGTATTTCCTCTCCAAACTTGGCTGTCTCAGAAAGATCCCATAACTTCCCAGCCAATTACCATTAAATGAACAGTATCATACAGTTAAGATTAATTTTAGAGCACATTCTCTTCCCTCTCTCCAAATTTGACCTGACTCCCTTTGGTATTGGGATTTGCAGTGAAAAAGGTATAGAATTTTTTTTTTTTTCATTTACTGCTATTTTCTCTTTATTTTAGCCTCCCTCTTACATATTTGTCTTGAGCTCTCTCCATTACTTGGCTTGAGGGAAGGGAAAGAACCCTTTTGTCTAATCCACAGGGATGATAAATTACCATTCTTAAAGATTCTTTATGTTAAAGAATGTTACAACTTCGATAAACTCACATCACAACTCTGATCTTAGCTTCTGTATGTTGTTTGAGGCCAAGGGAAGGCTGAGGAGAGAGGGTCCAGGACTGGTTTGGAGTTCACTTGGTAAACTGGAGAAGGCATGACCCTGGCAATTTTTTAAAAATATATAGGGAGTCCTACCAACAATTATACAGACCCAAGTTGTCTTCCAGACACATCACCTACTCTTCCCTATGTGTACCTCGTGTACCTACACTCTTGCTGATGGCTTTTGCTTTGTCACTACCAAATCTTTAATTATTCTATTTCTTCTTCATATAATATATACCTACCCCATCTCAGAAACCTCCTTTCCCTTGCAGCCTCCTCCACAAAGCTTCTACTAATCACTATTATTGCTGCTACCACCCTCATTTTTACTACCTGCTCTAATTATATGGTATGATTTTTGCATTAAACCCAAGATAATTTTATAGTGATCTTATGAAACTTACTACTTCAACATGACATTTGGATATGAGCTTTAAATTTGAGTTTGATCAATTAGTCTTTTATTGTGCCTGAAAATAAGTCTTTACAAAGTGACACTATTCCTTTAACTGAAATGTGTACTTGTTTGAATTTTCAGTTTAAACAGAAAACTCATTGTGAATAGAGGCAACATCTTATTCATGCCAGCATACTTCACAGTGTCTACAAGTGTCTTTCATATGTACTTGTATTTTGTCAAGATGTACTGAATTGAAGGCTGAGGATGACATGGAGGGATGCTGACATGTCCTAGCTCACAGTGCCTAGCACTCAATAAACGTTAATTGAATAAATTGATAAAAACTAGAGTATATGAAGATTCTTTTGCCTAATATTCTGAATCAAGCTAGAGACAAGTAGGTGTAGTCATAGGCTAAGATGGATGTGGAGAGATAAGAGGTACTTAAGAAAAAGAAGCTCTGGGATATCAGCTTAAGGGTCTACAATGGATTTGAATAAGAAATGAAAAGAAAATCCACAGATTGACATGTAGCAGCAAAAGGCTTGTTAAATTAAGCTGTATGAATCTATAATAGGGTAGACACAAGAGGTTCTATATAATATAAATGGACTTATTGCAACTATGAAGCAAATAAATTCTTTATTAGAAACAAACTAAACATCCATTTCCAGTGTATCTATGGGATTGCATAACTTTCAAATTATATTCCTTCTTGCCTTAGAATAATGATTCACAGTGAAGCAACTGGTCAAATTTTCTCCTTTAAGGCTATAATAATTTATTACAGCCAGGCACGGTGGCTCATGCCTGTAAGTCCAACACTGTGATTGCACCACTGCGCTCCAGCCTAGGCAACAGAATGACAGGCTGTCTCAAAAACAAACAAGAACACGTACAGCTACCAGGCAAATCAATAAATATTAGTACAAATAATGTATACAATAAAAATACTAGGTGCTTATGGGGCCATACAACAATCTAAACTATTTTCAAAGCCAAATAAGGTCAAATAAAATTTAACAAGACAAAAATATAAGAAGAGCATTGCAGGTAAAAGGAAGAGGTTGGCAAAGGCTGGAAGTGGAATAGAATAAGAAATATTTTAAAAATTAAGAGAAGACCAACAGAGATTGATTGTGAAAGGAAAAAGAGAGTAACAGGAGTTTCAGACTGAAAATTATTATAGGGTCTGATTAAGAAGGATCATAACAGAGGCTTTGGACTTTACACATAAAGCAATAGAAATTCCTTGAAAGATTTTAAGTAAGCAGATGTATATTAAAAAAAAATCACTCTAGGCTTTGGTGAGTTTAGGAGACAGACTGGGATGTTATTGCAGTATATAAGATAATATCAAATTTAATTAGGGTAAAGATAAAGATAGAGGGTGTTGGATTGCTAATAGATTTATTTAGAAGAAAAACTAAGCATAACTTGGTGGCAGATTAAATTCGTTTCAGTTTTATATATATACATTTTGGGTACTCATGAAGCATCCAGATGAAAATGTCAAAACAGTTAGTTATACTTATTTAGAACTCAAAACAAAACAAAAAAAGAAGTAAAAGGAAGGAGAAGAAAACAAAAGTTTGGGATGAACATGTTTGACAACCACAGACACATGAATGAATATTGAAATTTTAGAAATATTGGAGAGCAAAGAGGGCTATCAAATGGCTATTTTACTAATTCAATAAATAATTGAATACCTAATTATGTAAACAATTCTAAGGAAGAGATTTAAATTGAGAATCTGGAATCATGTTGGTGCCTTTATTTGGATTTACACACACATAAAATAAATCTGTAATAAATGTGACTTCATCGAATATGTACTAAATTATATGAACAAAGTGAATATAAACATTTTTTTCTGCTTAGGTAAGATATTCTTGATTTTGTCTCAGACATTACAGCTAAAAGTAATTAGTTTTTTTTCAATAGAACTTAGAAAACTCACATAAAACTTGGAAGATATACGTAAATCTTAAAATTACCCTTTCTCTGGGTGCACAGCTATAGATCTTGGTTGATCCAGGCCTTGGGAAATAATTACATAACGGAAAGAACCATTGAGTCTTGCAACTTCAATTAAGTTGAAACCATGATCTGTCCAATATATGTTACCTAGGAGAAATAATAGAGGTGTTTATAATACAGTTTTGAGAAAAAAAATGTATTTGTCATGACTAAAATTAAATTTCTGAGCATTCACATAACTATCAAGAAACTGTTTACTTCCTACATTCTTTTTAAATGTGTTTCCTAAGCAGAAAGCTGTAAATAAACTAATATGCAAATACTTTCAATCCTAATCTCACACACCTCTGGTTTAAACCATATAATGATATATTTACATGGTAAAACGAAGTTGAAACTTCTCCTACCTAAAGAAAATACCTATTTTAACTTTCTACTGACTTCAGGCAAAAGAGAACTTCTAACACTTGTTTACCTGCCTTCTGGAGCTCTCAGGAGATTTGGGCAAAGTTAACACTACATAATCTACTTCTACATAAAAAAACTTATCCAAAGGCTCAAAAACATTAGAAGGAGCGAAGCCAAAAGCAAAAGAGACTATTTACCCCTGTGGCTAGAAGTACAAATAAAAGCACTGTTATGAGTTAGAAAAGATTTTTTATGAAGCAGTTTGAGCCCCTAACAAAATAGGTGTGAAACAGAAAGATAAAAAGCCATGGATTATACCAGCAATCCAGTCAACAGCTATCCCTTCCACTCTTCCCAAGCCATTGGTAATGATATCTTCTTTCCAAGTCTGATCTCTTTTAGCTCTGCTAATTTTATTGAAGCCCATGTCTGTCCAGTAGATGGTATCATTTTCTATGGATAAGACACAGAAAAAAAATACATATACACACACTGTAAAAGGTATCAATATCGGTGTTAGGATCATATTGCAACAGTATCTTTTAGGATATCATCCTGGGTATGCTAGATTTTTAAGTATTCTTCAGGATAATTTACTAATATAAATAGTAAAAAAAAAGCATGAAAAGAACATGAAAGAACTTATATTTCAGTCAAATGATTTTTGAAGTATTTTTTGAAATATTATAGAAATAATCTATTGCATTGTTTATTGTTTTTATTAATTTCTCTACTTATTTTAACTCAATAAATCCTTATCCTGCATGAATTTGCAGCTTTGATTCCAAACCATGTTATTTTGGACCACAGTTTTTCTCTTCACAGCTATACCTATGTCTGAATCTCCTATTAAAATGAATACTACTAGGGAAAATCAACTCAACAAAACCTCAAAGTAGAGAGAGGACAGAAAGAAACATAAGAGCATTTCAATTATATCAAGAGTGTTTTAAGCATAAGGCCACTCAGAAAGTACAAAGTCTTAAAAATGCCTTATAATCCGATTATTCCTTCTAAGGTACGAGTTTCTTAAATGTCAACTACAAGACCCTTACATTATTTTTCAAACTCTCATTGTCCAAATGGGCTTGAGAATACTTGAAGAATTGTTCTATGTGATCACAGAGTCTTTATATAAGAGTACTTTTTGAATACTTGAATGAAAAATGTGTCTAAAGACTATAAATGAAATATATGTGCATGCATATGCATAAAGGGTAGTAATTACAGGCCAATGATTTTAAACACAGCCACCAGAAAGACACTGGGGAAGAATCATTAAATAATAAATTTGCCAGCAACTAAGTACGTTTTTGTGTTGCGACCTACATGGCCATTTGAAGAATAAATCCTTTAAGACCAATAAAATTTCCCTCTGGCACACTGACAGACTATGAAAATAAAGAAAATGCAATTAGTATAATAAAGCCATTTATCAGCAAGCTTTGAGGTTCTGTTTCAAATGAAATATAGTCTTTACTTTTACCAGTTCAGGAAAAGATTCCAAATAATCCCTGTTCTCAGCAATGGTTAAGTCAGACACACAATTGTTTGCAGCAGAGCAGAGATACCCTATCCAAATATATGTCTAGAAAGCAAGGATTTGTTTGATTTTCTCATTTGGTAAAAACATCAATTCACATTTTTTCATTATTGTACCAGGGAATCAATCAACAAAAATAAATCTTATTTTTGCATAAATATTAAGCATTGTATGTTGAGTCTAATTTTCTTCCCTAAACATTAGACTTATACGTCCAACTGTCTCCTTTGTTTCTCTGCTTGTTTGTAGATAAAGCAATCTTGATGTACAATGGACAAATTCTCAATGAAATATGCTTCTCCTGAAGTCTTCTGCCTGACAACTCCCCTTTCCACGGTGGTGTGATAGTTGGCACCTCCATCCTCTGTTTCTTAGACTAAAAGCATCGGGATTGTCCTGATTATGTTTGCACATGCACCACTTCTAATCAATCACCAGATACTCTCATATTTAATCCATTACCAAGCATTTTTTGTTCACTTTTTTCTTCTTTCAATACATATCTATTATCCAACCACGTCATACTGTCTACTACTTATGTTGTAACTAAACCAATAACCACTATTGCCTGAAGTCTTGCAACAGCCTTCTAATTTGTTGCCTAGCTACCACTTTTCCCTTTCCACATGAGTCTTGCTTTGCCGCTTAGAAAAGTATAGCTACAGATATACTTTTAAAATATAAATAAGTTAGAATGGAGAAATTCCCAAAGGAAAAAAAAATGTAAATAAGAATTTCTCTCCGCTGTCTCGCACCAAACTCTCTAGTCACTTCCCATCTCATCCAAGGTAAAATTAAAGTTCCTTCTCATGAGTTTCATGATCTACCAACTCCCTCCAATCCTCCCTCGCCTAATTTTCTTCCACACTTCCCCTCACTTACCCATCTCTAGTAATAGATCTTCCTGTTCCTAAAATAAAATATTCTTCAGTACAAGAGTCTTCACATATTTTTTTTTCTTTTTGTCTTGAACGTTTTTCCCCAAGATATCTCAGCTGTCTTAGCTCAAATATCCCCTTCTTATTGAAACTTTCCTGCCTATTCTACAAAAATTATTCTTTTACCATGCTCTATTCTCTCTCACCAAAATGTATTTTCCTCCGTAGCACTTATCATTATCAAACACATTATATATTTGTTGGTTTGTTTGTTGAGTGTCTCTTTTGTCTCACAGAATGTAATTTCTTTGAGGGCTGGGACTTTATTTCATTTGCTGTTTTATCCCTGGTTATCTGGAATACTTTCTGGCACATAATAAGCTCAAAGTAAGCATTTAGTGAGTAATGAGGTAATGTGATATGCTGAATAAAGACTGGTTGGGAGGCAGATACAAAGAAAACACATCTCTTGCCATAAAAATGCTTTTTAGCTCATTAAGGAACAGAAGGTATACACATGAAGAAATGGCTAACAACCAGAAATTGTGTAAGATGAGCAACATGTAAGCCATACAGGCAAGTATTTTTGCAGGAATTCAAAGAAGAAAATCAGGACAATCTTTACAATAAAAAAAAAAAGGTACCCCTTCATTTCATATTACTTTCTAATACCTTTGTCAGTACTGCAAAATTTTAGTCAATATATAATCATAAATCATTCCTTCCCATATACACCATGACATCTTGAACATATCTTTGTCATATTGAACTGAAATTGCATTTTTGCATTTCTTCCTAGAACTAGACCATTAAATATTTCATGGATAAGGACTGCATCTCACCCAAATTTTCTCAATATAGTCACATGTACTATAGGTAGTTTGTAATACTGAAGCTATCTCTAAATGGTCAAGACCATGAGATCACAGCATTGAGGAACTAACATATTTTCTCGTATCCTTTCTATTAGGTACATTTGGGAAATTGGTGAGTAAATTAATCATGTGATGATGCATTAAGGAGAACCAAGAGTATAGAAGAATTAAATCACACATTGATACCCAAATCCCTTTCCTTATCAATTTTTTCACATATATGTTGTATACCCACACAAACACACACTAGACCAAATGTTTGCTAAGATAGGAAAACATGTTTTCTAATATCTTGGAGTATCTGCAAAATAAACACAAAGTAGGTAAAGAATGTTTTAATTAGGAAAAGAATCAGGTTGAAGGAGGATAACATTTTACAACAAATTGTAAAGATACAAAATGGAGATAGTTGCAAAGATAGAAAGAGAAGATTTTCAGAACCATGTCCTGATACTTATTTCCAAATATATTTCTTAAGTACCTCCATTCAATAGATACTTATGGAATTCTTAGTTTGTGCTAAGAATTACTGTAGGCATAAAATATGGTGGTGATCTAACAGACACTATCTCTATAATCATGTAGTTTACATTCTAGAGTAAAATTAAAAATAAACTATCTTAAGACATATGGTAATTTGGTAATGTATAATATAATTACAGGATTGTAAAATAGAATTTGTAATTTAAGATAATAACAATTATAATTACATCTCTACAGATATAATAAGACAAATATGAGTCTTTGAAGCCATTTTCAAGAATTACCATATAGGGAAATCGGCAGCCAGCTATTGTGCATTATAATTATAATTAAATTCAGAATTAAAGGGAAAACCATATATTGCTACAATGATATTTATCTGTAAAACAAGGAAAGACCTTTTGACAATGAGAAATATTACATTTTTTAGTTGGGAGAAAAGTTTTCCCTGGGTATTTAGAGACTAAATCATGCAGGGTTCTGTCTGATAATAAGAAAAAGGAAATAAAAGTGTTTTAAAGATATTTCACCCTTGTCTGTATTCTTATGATTAATTAACAAACACTTGTTGACCACCTTCTGTGAAAACACTCTACTCTACGTTATTATGGGCTTTTAGGTCCTAGAAAATTCAGTTATGTTTTCTGGCATAAATGTACATTCTATTTCAGAAAACAGCATAAATATATAAAAATATGCCAGGTAAAATATAATATATATGCTTACCATGATGCTCTGTCCTAAAATAATCACCAGCACACTAGGAAGATATAATAACAGGGTAGAAAACAAGGAGTCTAGGGCTGGGTTCTTATCACTGTTCTGCATTTACCATGAACATTTCACAAAGTTGCTTTTTCTTCATCCCCCATTTTCCTCATATATAAATATGAATAAAAATATAAATATATTCATGTAAAAAGTACATCTATGTATTTAAATAACAGAAGGCAGAATTTAGATAACCTTTAGGATCTCTTCTGGCTATGATCTTCTAATGCTTTTATTTTTCGCTTGCACATAAAGGGAATACAATATCTCAATGTATGGTCCAATTTTAGCTGTTATGAAGATCTTCTTTTTCCCCTGTAGTTTTTGTTCACTTTAATTAGCTCTGTTTGTCTGATTCTAAAAATGATAAAGCATATGATTTTTCCCAGAACATGCTACTCGTGGCTTTTATGTCACATTTCTTTTTAAACTACAGGACTTTACATTTATCCTATTAAATGTCAGCTTGTTAAATGGGATCATGGATCCTGCCTGTTGACATTTAAAAAAATTATATGTTATACAATGAAACTTTGTTGTGATATCCACAAATTTGATATGTAGGTTTTCTTCATCTTGATTCAAGCTAGTGATAAATGTGTTGAATTGGATCAAAGATGCACTTTTTTTTTTTTTTTTTTTTTTTTTTTTTGAGAAGGAGTTTCACTCTGTCGCCCAGCCTGGAGTGCAGTGGTGCGATCTTGGCTCACTGCAAGCTCCGCCTCCCAGGTTCATGCCATTCTCCTGCCTCAGCCTCCTGAGTAGCTGGGAATACAGGCGCCCACCAGCACACCCGGCTATTTTTTTTTTTTTTTTTGTATTTTTAGTAAAAACGAGGTAGCACCATGTTAGCCAGGATGGTCTCGATCTCCTGACCTCGTGATCCGTCCACCTCGGCTTTTGACATACCGCAGGAGACTTCCCTCTGAGGCAAATTGTTTCCCTTTTTGTCATGCCTTAGTAATTTATAATGTATATATATTTAAGTATATAAATTTTAAGTGTACAGTTTGATGAACTTTTACATATGGAACACAACCATGTAACCACTACCTTGATCAAGATATAGATCACTGATAGCATCACACAGACTCCTCTGTGTCTTCTGGGAGTATCTCTTCTCTTCCCCTGTGGGCAGCCGCTATTTTGACTTCTACTACCTTAGATTAGTTTTCTTTAAAATGTTTTGATAAATGGTAAATTACAGTATGTACTCTTTGGCCTGTTCTTTCATTCAAAATTATGACCATTAGATTCATCTTTTCTGTTGAAAGTGTCTTCCTTTTCCATGGTGTGAAAATGCCACAAATTATTTATCCATTTTGAACATTGAGGTTATGTTCAATTTCTGTCTGTTACAACTAATGCTATGAAAATTCTTTATTTTCCATGTCTTAGAAGAGACATACACTATCATTTCTACTGGATACCTACCCGGAGGTAAAATTGCTGAGATATATGAGTGATACCTTTAGTAGATAGGGTTTATTTTAATGCATTAATTATCTCAATGCTCTCCTAATTAAGAATCTAGAATCTATACTTTTTTCAACTATTGTTGAACTCTACTCTCCCCTTCATATCTGGCTAATTCAACCATTAATACCTCTTAGTACAGTTGGACAGGCCAGAAATTCTGAATATTCTCTTATTTTCAGAAACTAGTTCAACATGCTTATCTACCTTGGCTGATAGTGCTCACTTTACCAGATAAGGGGCAAATGAGCAGCTTCAAATAAGCAATGACTTTAGAATGTAAAGCTTCCCTTTACTGTTTAATAATAAGTTGTTTATTAGTAGTAAAATTAGTAATAAAAGCAAGATAAACTATTATTAAATAGTAAAGGGGACCGGGCGCAGTGGCTCACGCCTGTAATCCCAACACTTTGGGAGGCCGAGGCAGGAGGATCACGAGGTCAGGAGATCGAAACCATCCTGGCTAACATGGTGAAACTCCATCTCTACTAAAAATACAAAAAATTAGCCGGGCATGTTGGCGGGCGCCTGTATTCCCAGCTACTCGGGAGGCTGAGACAGGAGAATGGTGTAAACCCGGGAGGCAGTGATTGCAGTGAGCCGAGATCGCGCCACTGCACTCCAGCCTGGGTGACAGAGCGAGACTCTGTCTCAAAAAATAAATAAATAAAATGAAATAAAATAGTAAAGGGAAGTTTATCATTTCATCTTCTTCATCAATGCTAAGAGTGTTTGAGAGAGGAAAATCCCAAGATACTTGCTTTTTTGATGAGTCTTTTATAAATATCATGTGTATAAAAGGTGTATATTTTGGGTCAGTTCTCATGAATTGTCAAGCTTTAGTCCTTTGGTCTGAGAATCTGGGAGGAAAAATAAATATGACGAACAACCACAACTCTGTTAAAAATAATTATATCCAACTTTAACTTTGGGAACATCAAAAACTTGTAAACATCCCTAGTTCATCTTCTTCTTATTATTATTCAAATAGTAGCAAGTGCAACATGGGCAAGGAAAAAATTTTGAAGATGAAAAGACTTTGAGAATTATTGACTATTGAATTAAGAGGAGTCATCAAGAAAGTTAAAGAAAGAAAGAGAGGAGAAGGGAAGGGAACACATTTCTCCGTTTTTATCATTGTCATAGCCATATCCATTTAAATTATGTTAGCATAATTTAAAGGGGAATATTAGGGATATGAGAAGAGTGAGATGAACTAAGGAGCTTTGAAAAAGATTTTTCTTAAAATTCTGTAACTGTAAATTGAGGGAGAAGGTTCTTACATTAATATTATCTCTTGTTGCCATATGGCCAATAATTTGAAACAAGTTTTATCTGCACTAAGTATAAATGTGGCTTTATTCTAGATCTGGCACCTAACTTGAGAATAACTGTCGGATAGCAAAAAGTATATTAGCATAGTTGGTGAGGCTACTAATATTAGAAGTTAGCACCACAATTTATTAAAGATGAGTCTCATTACAAACTTTTTTTACCTTTAAAAACAAAACAAGAAGGAGAACAACAACAACTATATAACCTTCTGCCATAAACAGTTCCTTCCAGGAGGGTCTGAGGTTGGCTGTTAGATCTGGTAATGAGGACTGATTCTTGTACACAGTTCCTAAAATGATAATTTGGTGAATGAGGTCAGGGAAGATGAGAATCTGGTTGACATCTAGGAGACTTACTTTCCCTAGGTTTATTAGCTAACAAAATTGTGCAAATTTTGTAGATAAACGGATTCTTTCGTAATAAGTTCCGGTAATCTTTTCTTAGAGTTTATATACAATTCATTAAGAAGCTCAAGTTTGTCTGGGCACAGTGGCTCAAGCCTGCAATCCCAGCGCTTTGGAAGGCCAAGAAGGGAGGATTGCTTGAAACCAGGAGTTTGAGACAAGCCTGGGCAACACAGCAATACTTCATCTCTATAAAAAAATAAATAATAATTTTTAAAAGAACCTCAAATTAGATATACAGAACAAAAAATAATTTAAGGATAGTTCCAATTTATGAACAATAAAATTTACAAGTTTATGTTTAGCTTATCTAATTTATTTACTTCCATTTTATTGGATCTATTAAACCCTATTCCATATTTTAAAAATAAAGACAACAGTGCTCTATCCCAAAATTATGTGTTAAATTGCAAAAAATTCTATATAAAGTGTGTTTCAATTTCTTCATAAACTTCAGATTTGGGTTCTACAGGATGTAGCTATTATATGTGACTATTACACTATTTTCAGTTAATGTAGTCTTTATTCCCTTGTAGAGAAAGATGCTGGAATTTTGTTGTTGTTGGATCTTTGACTTTTGTTTGCTATATAGAAAAAAAGCTTATGGCTGTAGGAAGTCAATATAAAGTCATAGTACTAATGCTTATACGGAATCTTGACTTGTTTTAATTATCGAGATAAAAAAATAATATTCCTCTCCCTGCCACCCCACAACTACCAACTTTTACTTAGATTTTAATTATTTACTATCACTTCCTGATGATCTGGTTGCACATACATTTCTTCTTTAAAGGTCAGAAATATAAGCATTCTTCATATTTTTTTACTGTCATTTATCCTCAGTGAACTTAATAGGTAGGCCCAGGAATACAATTTTTGCCACATTTACAAAAACTGCCTTAAGGCCATGTAATGTATTAATACCTCTAATTTATCTAACATAATGATTTCTTTGGGGAACTAAAATCTTTCATATTTTCTTAAGCAACCTGTTTTTCCATTCTAAAATTTTGAGAAATATAACAGTTAACACTAATCCAAACCACCATCTTCTACCTTTTCAAAAATTACTCTTTTAAAGATATTTTTGGAGGGAGGAAGCTTTCTCATATCACTTCTACATTTTTCAATCATCATGTTTCTTGACACAATATTTTATTCCTGTTCTGTGCCATTTCAATCCAGATATCAAGACCAGACCTTTTTTTTTCATTCACTTCTCACTCTCCCACCCATATTGATATATAAAATCACTCATATAAACATGAAATACAAACAGTGAAATAGAATTTCTGGAAACATGTCATAAGGACATTTATTATAATAGCGTAAAAACTCCAAACTGAAAATTAGCTATCTTTATTTCAAAAGGTGTTCTTGGGAACATCACACACCGGGGCCTGTCATGGGGTGGGGGGAGGGGGGAGGGATAGCATTAGGAGATATACCTAATGTAAATGACGAGTTAATGGGTGCAGCACACCAACATGACATATGTATACATATGTAACAAACCTGCACATTGTGCACATGTACCCTAGAACTTAAAGTATAATAAAAATAAAAATAAATAAAAAAATAAATAAAGTAAAATAAAAAAGGTGGTTCTGATCACACCTGCCACTGGGGTTCAGTGGCAGTTTCATGTCATGTCCCAGCCTCACATCATATCCTTGACTCCTCCCTCTTCTTCTTCATCTCAATTTATCATTTCTCCCCTTTCTGATTAGCCATTTTCCAAAGAAAAACTCTTTCTAGCCATTGCCCTCAACCTTAGCAACCAGTTTGCATTTGCGTAGTTTAAATTCAGTAGTTCTCAAATGGCTACCCATTAGAACTGCTTGAGGAATGTTTTAAAATACCAAAGAGACAGCCACAACTCAGAGAATTAAAACTACTTAGTCACGAGTAGGGTGCAGGTGGGGAATTTACTAGTTAACTCATTAAAGGTACAAATAGGAAGAAAATCACCTTTATTTAACAGGGCCAATAATCTTGTGAAGGAGATTCCAATTATGAAATGCTACACAGCCCCTCTTCCCCTTACAATCCCATTGCTATCCCATTTGCTATTAGTGGTTCAGTACTAAAGAGATTTTCAGTGACAGAGAGGTTGACTTGGTCTTCTATGGGAGGATATCAGATTTGGGGCTAGTTTTTTCTCCAGTTGAGGGAAGTCTTTAACTTGCTTAAAAAAATAAATAAGTAAATAAAAGTTAAATCTCATCAGTTGATTCTGTTATATTATAGGCACCAGATCTCTTAGAAATCACTGCTGTTCAATCTATGCATGAATCAAGCCAAAGCACAAGGCAGCTCATCCAGAGATTACTTTGTTTGATTCTCCTCCACTCCCGATAAGCTGGCTACATTCCTGTTTGCATGGCAATTGAAAAATGTGGGAGTGATATGACAAAGCTTCCTCCTTCCAAAAATATATAAAAGAAGGTGACTTTTGAAAGGTCATACCTTTGGCATGTGACAAATATATGTTTCATATGTGTCATATGCCATAGATACGTAATCCTTGATTTTCTTCTTTTAAATTATATAGATATTGTGAGCTCTGAAGTTGGTCATACCTCCCTCTTTGCACTAGTTATTATAATAAAAATAATACATTTACTTTTAACTTTTAGCAAAATATACAAGTGTAATATGTGCATTTTATCTCTAGTTTTATCTTTTTTCCTTCTTTTTCTCTTTGTGTTCATTTCTTCACATCTTAATGGTTCATCTTGCATTTTCCTCATTTTTGGACACTACATAGAATAATTTTTGGAACAAGATTAGGTGCATCTTTTTCAAATATATCAAATCATATAGACAAGGGACTTCAAAGTCTGGCTCACACACTCTAGAGAATGGCTAGGATACCAAGAAAATCTAAGACAATGCAATAAAATGTTAAAATCTTGGCTGCTACATTTTATTTCTCATCTTTAAAAAATTTTTATCTGTGTGTATATTAAATCATATTTAATACAGTAATAAGATATATGATTTATAAGTAAATAGTAATAAACCTGTATTTTAGGTGAAATCTCTTTTTGAGTAGATTGTGCAATGAAAAGGAAAGGCTTAGTACTACTGATGAAGCTGCAACGTTCTGACCATTTTCACAATATAACACACAAAACAAACGTATTTTTATGGCACAATAATTTCTTGTAGAAGGTTGCTTGTGACAGGAGGGACAGGCCTGAAATCTCAGACCAATTCATGCTGTGCCTTTCTTCCCTGAGGATCAATGTCTCCACACGTATATCACCCATTTTTGGCATACAACTGAGCCATCTCATGCTGGTTGAAACCTCTGGAGGAGGCTATGAAAGTTCTAGGAATTGAGACGAAAGCAAGGTCAGTGAAGGTCATCAGGGATTACTTCATGGAGGAAGTGAAGCTTTTCCTAATACTTGAAGACTGGGTAGCATTTGGATTAGATAAGATGTGCAAGAATAATTTACTGAAACCAAGTTCAGGTAAAGGACCAATTTACTAAATGTGGTCAATTTCAGAATAGCAGGAGGGGACAACAAAATCATTCCAGCCAGAGTGATGAGCATAAACTATGATGACAGCCAGTTCAGAATCCATCCAGTGCCTCAGTACAAATAGGAATGAAGTTGAACTTTCTATTCTTTTCAATTTTTGAAAGCATTCCTTCAAACATGTTGCAGATTAATAAAGACCCAGATTCTTGATATTCCATATTAAAAGGGATTCAATAATAAAGTGCTAACAAATTACATTTGTTTCTTTCATTTTGACAAAGGCAAATCAATACAAATGCTAATGGACAATTTTCTTACAGTAACAAACCACTGAGAATTCCAACCTTGTAAGTAAATAAAATGAAATCTGCAGACTTCAAAGATTTTAGATATCTTAATCCCTTTCAGGTACAATGTTATGAAACCTTAGATAATGTACATTCTCTTTTAAATTACTATTTTATCAAATAAAAAATATATGCTTGTCTAGCTTTTGTGTCCTGAATGGAATTTGCATTAAACATTACTTGTTATTAAAAAAAAAATCCATTTTCTGGTTTTGAACTCTTTCCTATCAAGGTAATAAAAAGAATCTTTCACATTTTCTTAAGCAATAACTGTTTTTAGTCTTCAAAGCAATTGCACTGTGCTGTTTTGCACATACAATAAGTCAGTTCTTGCAGCCCTATTGTGGCTAATTTTGACTTTCAGGTAACACGTGAGAACTAAAATGTGCTGTCACCTTCTAGTCTTCTTCAGATTAGAAAAGGACCAATAACAGCTCCAAGGAGAAATTTTTTTATTTTATTTTGTTTTAGCTTCACAAAGGTAAGCTGCAAAATTGAGACAGCATGTTGCATAAACATATCTTCAGGGGACCAGCAACCCATTTCAGAAAACAACACCATTCCATTTCACTTTTATTTTTCAGTAAGAAAAAAGCAGAAATCTTGTTCCTCAAACGTTCGGTTTCTAAACTATGCCTCAGTTTAGTAAATCAGACAAAGAAGTAAGATATACTTTAAAAACAGAGGCCTTCCCAACAAATATGTTTGAATTTTTTTCCATCATCATCCCTGGTGAAAAAAATAACTTACTTAAAAGGTTTAATGAATAGAGGGATGTAGCATAATGACTAAAGCCTTAGATATTGAGTTCTGGTATCTTGAGTTAAAAATCACAGCCCTGCTACATAGTGGCTCTGTGATATGGGCAAGTTACTTAACCTTTCTTTTTAGTGTCTGAATAAAATGGAAGTAATAGAACTGTGAAGATTAAATGAATCCATCTGTGTTAAATACCTAGCATTTAATAAGCATAATAAATATCAACTATCATAAACTTTAAAATATAAAGTATATAACAAAATAAGATATGTAGATACTAATAAATTTAGTCATTTCATACACCTTTGAAGTTTTAATTTGGTTTAACATAATATTGTCTTTATGCATTTAAAACTGAAGAGAAAATACATTGGTATTTTCTTTGCAAAATAAAAAATAAAAAGAGAAGAATCTAATTTTAATTTACCTCATCCAAAGAAATAAATTCAGAAATAGAAAATTCTGTAAAAATATTCAGACACTGCTATATGTTTCAAGATCATCGCCTGTGATTTTTTAAACTGAAAGTTAACATTGATTTGGATGCACAGAGGCAACCCATATTTTTAGAAAGGTAAAGTTAAGTTTACTGTTAACAGTTACTACCATCACAGATAATTTGCTCTAAAAATTACTAGAAATTGCCTATGCTTACTGTGTAAGGGCTAGCCAAATTCACAGGTGACACATAGATATATGAGTCTTATAATATGATTATTTCCCAACATGACTTTACTGTTATTGAATCACAGCTATTATAATAAACTACAATACATAAATGTGCTATGCTTGGACTTTCAGGAAAAAAAATACACAATGATTCTTTTTATGAACAAATTCCCGCTTTAAAAAATTGTTTTAATGTGAATCAATACTTTCTATTGAAGGCCATGTGTATTAAAGGAGACACAGAAGTGACCAAGAAGCCTCCTTCAATCTTCCCAAAGACTCAATCACCCTCTTGTAAGTATTTGGTAGCAATTCACGTTACTTATCATTTTGTAGTAGGTTGCAGTTGCTTCTCAACCTATATTGGGGGTACATTGATAGAAAGCTTCATATTCTCTTCATAGTTAGCTACTTAGAAGATAGTACAACATTTCAGATATACATACACAGAAGCTAGATGAATGAATGATCATGCATAACTGCATTATTACAATAAAAAAGTTCAGATTCAACATGTCACTAAATGAACCTATCAGAGCTGCCCTCAATCTTCTCATTTACTTGTGCTTGCTCTCAACTGATGGAAGGAACATACTACCCTTCATGCAAACTAAAGATCTGAGAGGTATCCTTGATTCCTTCTTCGTCCGTATTCACCTAACAACCACATCCAATCAATCAGCAAGTCCTATGTGTTTTAACTCTTTTATTTATTTATATTTCAAATCTACATATACCACTACAGTTTCATTCAGGTTCTCACCATCTCTATTCTGAATGTTTGCAAAAGCCTCCTAAATGGTCGCCTTCCTTTAATTTTATTTATCTCAAATACACTCTAACAACTATCAGGATAATATAGCTGTAAGATGCAAATCAGATCTTTTGCTTAACATTCTTTATGTACTTAGGTTCCTCATGAGCCTTTGATGAAGTCCAGGTTCTTTAGTACATCATACAAGGCAATTCACTTAGATAGCATCCAAACTTTTTTGATGACTAAAACACTTTGATCACTTACTCTTGATATCTATTTTAATCCATTTTACATGTACACATATATAAGACATGAACAAAAATATAATTTTTAAAACATAAAGTATAAAATTAAACAGTTATAATACTTTCTTAATACTTTCTTCCCCATATTCAATTTTTTTGTTTTGTTTTGTTTTGTTTGGAGATGGAGTCTAGCTCAGTCACCCAGGCTGGAGTTCAGTGGCGAGATCTCGGCTCACTGCAACCTCTGCCTCCCAGGTTCAAGTGATTCTCCTGCCTCAGCCTCCCAAGTAGCTGGGATTACAGGCACCCGCCACATGCCCAGCTAATTTTTGTATTTTTAGTAGAGACGGAGTTTCACTGTGTTGGCCAGACTGGTCTCGAACTCCTGACCTCGTGATCCGCCTGCCTCGGCCTCCCAAATTGCTGAGATTACAAGCGTGAGCCGCCACGCCCAGCCTCGATTATGTTATTCAGTTCCCAGAGTGTGCGCCTTGCTCCCCTCTTGGAAGCGACGGACTCAGACCATAAGCGCTTTTCTGGTAGTGTCTCACACGCTTTCCTGCCTCCATCTTGACTCTAGCAGCACTAGCCTGTTTGTAGCTGCCCCAACTCCCTAGTACACACGCAACATGTCATTTCTCATCTCTTTACCTTTTCTCCTGCCATTTCCTCTGCATTTCCTTACCTTTAGTAGGAAACTATTACTCAGACATTAAGACTCATATTCTTCCTCTGCCAGGAAACCTTACTGACTATCACAGTCTAAGTCATTGTCTTTCTTGTTATTCCCCTAATAACCTGTGCTTCTCTCTATAGTTATACTTTACACAGAGGTTGCACAGCTCACTTTTTATGCATCTGCCTTTCCAGTTGACTGAGATGGGCTCTCATTCATCTTGGATTCACAATGTCTTCCTCCAGCTTTCCATACATGATAATTGAATAAATGTTGATATCCAATAAACAATAATAGGAATAGAATCAAGTGAATAGTATAAGAGTTATTAGCATAGTATCATCTAGAGCAAAGAAGAGTAAAAGAAGAGTAAGATAAAAAGAGTAAGAATATAAGTAATTTAATAAGGTAGTAATATTTTAGATTATTGAATCAGTTAAATAAGCAATTTTGCAAGGCCAAGGTGGGAGGATCACGAGGTCAAGAGATCGAGACCATCCTGGTCAACGTGGTGAAACTCCATCTGTACTAAAAATACAAAAATTAACTGGGCGTGGTGGCCCGTGCCTGTAGTCCCAGCTACTCAGGAGACTGAGGCAGGAGAATCACTTGAACCCGGGAGACGGAGCTTGCAGTGAGCCGAGACCGTGCCACTGCACTCCAGCCTGGCAACAGAGTGAGACTCCGTCAAAAAAAAAAAAAAAAAAAAAAAAAAGAAGCAGCAACAATAGGCATTTATTAAACTATGTATTTCCTCCTATGGTAAAATATTAAAATCATGTGGCAGGCTATCATTATAGTATCATTTTATAATGAATTTAATTATATATCAAATGTAAGTTAAATGACCAAAATAGGATTCCATGGAGTTTAAACTCAAGGGTCAAAGCAAAGCAATTTTGTAACTCTGAATACTTAAAATTACAAAAAATGTTTGGCAAGCCATACACCAAAAGATATAGTATTGTCTCATATTGTTTAGAATAACTCAATAATGAAATTATGTGATGTCTTGGGTTTGTTTAAATTAGATGAAACAATCTGGTCATGAATTGAAGCTGGTGATGGGTACGTGGGAGGGGTTCATTATTCTCTTCTCTCTACTTTTTTTTTTAATGTTTCAAAGTTTCCATGGTAAAATGTTTAAAAAGTACTCCACCAGATTGAAAGGAAGTCCACATTTTAATTATCATTGCTAATCAAATTCTGAAACTTTTATGATAGTAAAATATATCTAAAAGTTATGTCTAATCTTTGATGTTTTTTACTTGGATGACACTCTTAATATCCTACCCATGCAGGAAATGAAAAAACTCCAATTTCACCAAATACCTTACCTGAACTGCATGATGTTTCACTTACAGTGTTTCCATTTTAGGAGCAGAGAAACAGGCTTTAAAAAACTCTTGAAGGAAAAAAAGTATTCACATGAGCTAGGTTTTGGATAGTATATATTAGAATTAATAATACTCTTGGTCTCAGCAGAATCAGGAACAGGGTTACTGAAAATATAAGAAGTGTTGAAGCAGTTCAAGCAACAGATGTTTTTCACTTCAATTAAACCATGTTCATGCTGACCAAAGGTTAAAGATTACATTAGATTAGAAAACTAGGATGAAATGGAAAAAAAAAAATTAAAGATCTCCGTATCAGCTGGCATTATCAGGTAAATGAAGAGACATATAATTTAATTGTTAAAAAGAAAGGTTCAGAGTTTTTTAGAATGCATCCCAGAGAGATAAAAGGAAAACAAGATTCCTTAAGAAATTTTGATTCAGTGAGAATACCAATAACATATTTTTAGAAAGTTTGTGATAGAACATCTTAAGAAGGGTAGATCAAGGACAAAGACTTGTTCTGAAATAGCTATCTTGAAATATTTTCAGTTATCAAAGTAGAGATATAACAATTCTCTCTGTGTGTACTTGTGTGCATGTATGTGTGTCTGTGTGTATCATTTCCTCCTGTTATATTACCTTGAGCTATAAGCCTCATAGATCTTAAAAGAAAAACAGTGACAGACTAGTAGATAATTGGATAGGAGTCTACAAAAGGAAACTCAAAAGGAATCTCGAGTGCTTCAGGAAATCTTGTCAGTGACTGAGTAGACCTGCAATCTTCCCTCCAACTTAAATTTAGTCAATGTATAGTACGAATAACCCTTTCCTTAAAACACATATGAGGGAGAGTGTGACCATATAAATCCTATAATATATGTCCTATTCTATTCCCATTGCTTGTTGCTCTAGAGATGTCTAAGTGCTCAATTTGTATGAAAATTGATTATCAGACCCTAAAGCTAAACAGTGAAAACTATGTCCGCAGAAAGCTGTGTATAAGAAAGGCCAAAGTATTATTTTGAATATAAGAGCCAAAAACTAGAACAAAAACAAACATCTATCATTGCAGAAACAGTTAAACAAACTGGTGTACTCACAAAATGGATATTAATGCCACAAAGGCGCACCCTACTAACACATGCAAAAACAGGAGGGATGTCAAAAATATTATGTGACGTGAAAGAAACCAGGCACAAAAGAATATATATCATGTAATTCCATTTATATAAAACTGTAGAATAGGTAAAACTAATCAATGGTGATAAAAATGAGATTAGTGATCACTTCTGAGGATAGGCGGGCAGGAATAGGAGGAAACTTTCTAAAGTGATAGAAATAGTCCATTTATTGTTATTTACTCATCAAAACTTAATGAAAGGCAAACTTACTATCTGAACACTCTACTATGGATAAATTATATCTCAATACAAAATAATCAAAAACATACCAATATTTGCTGTAAGCAAAATTTAATTATCATTCCTAATCAAATCACCTATGGTAAATTTTAAGTAGATTGTCTGGCATCATCTTAAAATATAGATGTGCCTTTTGGGTGCAGGCCCTGGGAATACTCCTGCTTAACCTCAACGAAATTACAATACAGAAAATATCTCATAGGATGATCAACCATAATATATGGTAACAAAAAGTTCAGTGAAAATCCAATGGGGCAGATAAATTGAAAACAGACTCTTATTGAGTATTTGCTACTGCGAAGGAATCTTTCCTATCATAGTGAACACACAAATATAAATCAGACTTGAATCCTGCTCTCTAGGAAAACGAAATTCAGAAAAGTAAGAAGAAATGCACATGAATAACTATAAATTAGAAAGTTCCCCTAGGAAATATGCAGAAATTGGAATGAGAGTCTAGAAAAGGTAAAGCCTACATCAATTTGGGGACTAGACTTGGAAGAAACTCTCAGAATGTGGCACAAGGAATTATGCTGTTCATTAGAATATGAGGAGAATGATAGAGAAGAGTCAGAAATGAGGTTGGAGGGATGAATTGATTTGTGTAAAATATCTAGTTTGTTAGTTATGAGAAAATGGCTTTTAGCACTGAGAATTTAGGATTTTATTCAAGGCGACTGTGATTATGATGATAAAACAGTCACAGCTACAATGATCAACCATCCCAGTTTGTCCAGGACTCTCCTGATTTTAGCAGTAAAAGCCCAATGTCCCAGAACAGCCCTTAGTACTGAATATTAGCCTCTATGATCTCTAATTTTAGGGTAAATAATTGACAGATGGTCCCAGCTTCTGTGTTCTGAATCTATCTTCACATTTTTGCTAAGGCTGCTCTCAGCTAATGACTGTGTGAAGCAGATACTAACGGAGGCCCTTTCCTGCAACATGTGGAGCTCCTCTGACAGGCAACATTGGCTTGATAGGTGACAGTGACTCTCCACCAGCCTTGCTAAAACTTTCTTGAAACTGCACCATAGCCTGAGACTTTTCCTATCTGACCTAACTTCCTCCCCTCTATCTTTCATATGGCTCAGATCTGCCTCGCAGACAACTCTCCTCATTTTCTCTCACAGGTGTATTTCTCAATAACAATCTTACATATCTAATCCTGTCTTGACTCTGTTTCCCAAAAGACCAAACTAGCACAAGAGATGATGGGAGTGGGCTGAGAAAATAAACAGTAAGACAGAGTTTTAGGTTTGGCTTCCTTATCCCCCAGCAGTTGTCAAAGAGGACACGGTTCTGAGTAGCATGTGGGGCAATGGTTGGGCCATCCACACGATGTGCAATTGCTAAAGATTTCATGAGAAGTGACGTGGAAGTTGCTAAGGGGGAACATCCTTGCAGGTGCAATGAGTCATGCCTTTGAAAAAGAAAAAGGAAACAATGCCTATAAAGACAGCAGAGTGGGATGATTACTGCTACATTGTAATGACACACTACAGACAGATAATTTAAAAACTGACAGCTGTTAATAAGCAGTTAAGACTAAATGTGAGAGCCAGATTTGGTAGATTACAAAGAGGCTCATAACTCCCATGGTAGAAAAATGGACACAGCTGAGCAGAGCAAACAGACGCTCTAATTGAGCTCCAGAGAGGTTCAAATGTTCAGCAAAGGCAGGTCGGCAATGCTAAAACCAGGGACCTGGTTGGAAAACCTGGGAACCTGAAAGATGGGATGAGAATATCTGGATGTATGTCTTTGAGGGGTTTGGCTCCTGAAATACCCCTTGGACTCGCAGAGTTTGCAGAGATGGCCCAGTCTTCCCTATGCTAGTACTTCCCTTGTGCTGGTAGATATTACAGAAATATCTCACCTGCAAGGCAACAGGTTTCCCTTTAGGACATGCACTCACTTTCTGTCCTGGCTACTTGGCTATAACTATGGTTAAATCCCAGTCTAACCCAACTGGAGAATTACTGGGCCTCAAAAGGGAGGATAGAGATTATATACCAATGCAGCAGTGAGAAATAGCTGCACAACCAGAAAGGACCAGGGAAAAAAACCCTGCAATTGAATTTTAAGGGTACTTGATCAAAGTGGGCTAGAATATAAGACTGGATAAGCAAAAGTTCTTGGGGCACATTCTCGGTATATGGGAATTAACACTCTAGCAAGGGCTAGCAAGGCTGTGAGGCAACATCTCTGCTAGGGTGGCTCTTAAACACATGGAGAAACTATGCCTTTCTTCATGTAGAAATATCTGATCTTCCCTGATAGATGGTAGAAGAAGGAATAAAGAGGATGAGGGAAGGAAGTAGAGATGCAGAAATAGATATATTATGTGAGAAAGGAAAACCCACCGAAGTATTATGTTCCATGGGAAGCTTCAGGGGACATGCCATTCACTAGGGCTGATAGTACTGTAGTTGCAGTAGGGGAATCAGCATCACCAAGAAGTTCAGTGGTTACTCTACTCAGCAGGTAATCTATTACAGTAGGAGGGCAGTCCCAAAGCTTGGCTCAATAATATCCATTGTTTTATTGTTTCATATGGAACCAAAAAAGAGCCCGCATTGCCAAGTCAATCCTAAGCCAAAAGAGCAAAGCTGGAGGCATCATGCTACCTGACTTCAAACTATACTACAAGGCTACAGTAACTAAAACAGCATGGTACTGGTACCAAAACAGAGATATAGACCAATGGAATAGAACAGAGTCCTCAGAAATAATACCACACATCTACAACCATCTGATCTTTGACAAACCTGACAAAAATGAGAAATGTGGAAAGGATTCCCTATTTAATAAATGGTGCTGGGAAAACTGGCTAGCCATATGTAGAAAGCCTTATACAAAAATTAATTCAAGATGGATTAAAGACTTAAATGTTAGACCTAAAACCATAAAAATCCTAGAAGAAAGCCTAGACAATACCATTCAGGACATAGGCATGGGCAAGGACTTCATGTCTAAAATATCCATTGTTTTGAACCCTTCTCACCCCCTACTGCCTGAAATAAGAGAGGTCAGATCGTTGTGCTTACCTGCCAGAAACCAAAAGGCCGTAACTACCATGACTGGCAAGGTTGAAGGAACGTCGAGGGAGGCTTGACCTGAAGGAATTGTAGAGCTAGTTCATAGAGCATTGTTAAGGCCAAAAATACATTGGCAGCCAAACAAGAGTGCTGTTTAACATCTACAACACCCACCCTCCCCCAAAAAAATAAACAAGGGAAGACAAGAAGCCAGAGGGTGGTTGCCCCAATAAAAATGTATGATCCCTTGCACAGATCTCAGACCTAAATGAATTTTTAGTTCCAGAACCCAGCAAATGAAGAAGTAGCCAAGGCCCTAGGGAGAAGGACCTTGCAACATTGTGGCAATTACGTAATTGTGTTGATCCTCCTAGATCTTTCACCAAAAGGACTTATGACCATTTACTTGGGTCACTCAGTACTGGAGAAAGGTGACTGCTTAGATATGTTGAGGATTACTGGACACAGTGTCTGAATAAACTCTGATGACCCAAGGTGAAAAGCATCATCATTGACCCCTATATTACAGGGAGACAGGAAGGTGCTACAAAAGCTAGGTAATAAATGGGCCTCAGTTACATTCTGGCTCTTTGTGGGCTCACTGGATTCACAGATCCAGTAGGAGTCACGTTCTTAGTCCTAGTGTATAAAATTGAAATGGACATACCTGGCATTTGGGTGAACACCAACACTAGTTAATTGCCTCTGAAGTAAGAGCAATCACAGTGGAAAGGCCAAGTGGACATCCCTGAAATTATCCCCACTACCACCACTATTCAACCCAGATGGTCAAGACTGTAAAAACTAAAAACTCATCTCAAGGAGCATGGGGGTGGATAGAGGAGATTAGTGTCACAATGAAAGACAGGGTGCAGGAGTAGTGGTTCCTATTACATCTCTGTTTAATTTGCCAGTCTGGCCCCTGCAAAAACTAGATGAATGCCGGAGAATGATTGTAGGCTTCCAGAGCCTTAATCACGTAATAGCCCTGGTGGCAGCTGCTACGCCAGATGAGGTATCATGCTAGAGCAGATTAATAAAGCCTCAGGTACATAGTATGCAGCCATTAGTCTGATCCATGCACTTTTTCCAATGCAGAGATGAAAACAGAGTCCTCACTTTCTGTCTTTCTCAATGATGCGCTGGAGAATTTTGTGCTTCCTTTCACTGAAACCCAGAGATCAGTAGAGTTGGAGCTCCTTCTTACCAAAGAGAGAAGGCGCACTTTTGCCTAAGAGCCACAGCAAGATCCCTCTGAACCACAAGCTGCAGCTCTTGCCAAGCCACTTTGAACTTCTTGTATCTATGGATCAGCAGGTGAAAAGAGGTGTCACCATACTTGCATGGATGATGACCCTGTATCCAGTGTGGCCTGAGATCAATTACAACTATAACATTTGTAGGTAGTTTCATTGACCTCCCTTCTCTAAATTTCCTCATGGGGCAGGTGGTCGGTGGGTGGGCAGGGAAGAGGCCTACAGGAACTATGGAGGAGCTATTTCTCAAACCTGTGCAGAGACAGATCTGTGTGGCACATGGGATGGTCTGTGGCAGCCAATAACATGCACTTCTCAAATTTCTGAATGGGGAGAGCGTAACTAACTGAATCTACCATCTCATTCACACTAAGGCCTCAGCTCCCACATTGTCCCCCGCCAAAGACTGAATGTGGTATAAATACTGAAGCAGATCCATTCCTGAAAAATGCAGAACCCCTTTGAATGGCAACTTTGGCTTAAGGACTCCCTACCAGTCTTGAGAAAAATTTCTTAGAATTACTCTGCTAAAATTTCCTTCCCTTTCTCCTCCACAGGTGTCAGTGTGTATCACAGTCCATCAGATCTCCTAATCTCATGTCTCTATCGCCATCTTTACTCACAGACACTCTCCCCAACCAACCTCATACATGTCTAAGATATGAATATTTAGAAATGTGGATGAGCCAAGTATAGAAGCTCGTGACTAATTGCCTACATCAAATAACTCGAAGTGGTCAGAAAATAATTGTGCTTTATTTAGTCTATAATTGGATCTTTTGTAATAGCACCAGCACCTCTTAGAAAAGATAAAGTAAATAGAAACAGCAATACGGGGTCTCTGATGTTGCATCACATCAGTGAGGTGTAGCTAAGTCACGTCTGTGTCCAGTGGAGCATGTGCAGCATGGTCTGCCACATTCCCCATTAAGCTTCCCTGCTTCCATAACTACTTTATTCATATGTGAGACATCTCTAAGTCCCATAGTATAATCATTTGAGTTTGTTACACTGGCTTAGTAATCTCAATAAACTAAGCTTCAAAGGTATCTTTTGAGAAAGAGATAGAGACATGTCAGCCACCATATGGGTGAGGATGGAGAAAGAACATTGTAGCCTTTGCAGAGATTTGGGGATTTGCAAAGCAGGAATGTCAGAAGAACAACAACTGTGAAGATTTAGAGTTAATTACTGAAATAACTGGCTGAAGAATATGAACCCTGCAAAGAGTCAAAAAAAAAAAAAATGACAGAATAGGTACAATAAAACAGAAATAGATGGAATCAGAGCACCAAAAGCTGAAACAAAGATAAAGAGTAGGTTCTGTAGTGTAAGAAATTCAGAGGTTGTACATAGAAAGGAGAGTTTCCATTTCAGTCTACCTCCCTGGTACATGAGATTTTAAAAGTACATGAGATTAAACTTAAACAAACGCCTAATACCACATACTGAGTTTCTTATCATGTTCATCAAATCTCTACAATAGAACGGATGTTTTAAATGAATAATAGTAATTATTTGTTAGATAATATATTTGGATATTGTATTAATGTGCTAGGACTGCCATAAAAAATACCGCTGATTGGATAATTTAAACAATAGAAACTTATTCTCCCCATTCTCAGAAAATCTTCACAATCTATACATCTGACAAAGGACTGATATCCAGAAACTTCAATGAACCCAAACAAATCAGCAAGAAAAAAACAATTGCACCAAAAAGTGGGCTAAAGACATGAATGGACAATTCTCAAAAGAAGATATAAAAATGACCAACAAACATATGAAAAATGCTCAACATCACTAATGATCAGGGAAATGCAAATCAAAACTACAATGTGATACCACCTTTCTCCTTCAGGAGTAGTCATATACAAAAAATCAAAAAACAGTAGTTGTTGGCGTGGATGCAGTGATCAGGGAACACTTCTACACTGCTGGTGGGAACATAAACTGGTACGACCACTATGGAAAAAAGTGTGGAAATTCCTTAAAAAACTAAGTAGAACTACCATCTGATCCAGCAACCCCACTCCTGGGTATCTATCTAGAGGAAAAAGGTCATTATAAAAAGAGATCATACTGATGTTTATAGCAGCACAACTTGCAATTGCAAAATAATGAAACCAACCCAAATGCCCATCAATCAACGGGTAGATAAAGAAACTGTGGTATATGTGTATGATGGAATACTACTCCGCCATAAAAAGGAATGAGTTAACAGCATTCACAGTGACCTGGATGAGATTGGAGACTATTATTCTAAGTGAAATAACTCAGGATTGAAAAATCAAACATTGTTCTCACTGGTATGTGGGAGCTAAGCTATGAGGATGCAAAGGCGTAAGAATGATACATGGACTTTGAGGACTTCGGGGGAAGGATGGGACATGGGCGAGGGATAAAAGACTGCAAATAGGGTGCAGTGTATACTGCTCAGGTGATGGGTGCACCAAAATCTCACAAATCACCACTAAAGAACTTACTCATGTAACCAAACACCACCTGTTCCCCCAAAACCTATGGAAAAAGAAAAATGAAATTTATTCTCTACGTTCTGGAAGCTACAAGTTTGAGATCAAGGTGTTGGCAGGATTTAGCCAACATTCTGAGGCCTCGATCTTGGCCTGTAGATGGCCATCTTCTCCCTATATCTTCATATGGTCTTTCCTCTGTGCATTTTTTCTGTGTACTAATCTTCTCTTCTTATAAGAACACCAGTTATATTTGATTAGGGCCTACCCACATGACCTCATTTTACCTTAATTACATCTCAAAAGGCCCTAATATGGTCACATACTGAGGGGCTAGGGGTTAGAACTTCAACAAATGAATTTTGAGGGACACCACTCAGCCCATAATAGGTATCTTCATGCCTCTCAGAGATTATTTGTAATCCCCATAAGAACACATGATGCTGCAAATAACTTTAAATTACAAAACATTTCTAAGCAGAAACAAGAAGTTGTATCTGTATTAGCCATTAGCATTGTGCTCAATGACCACCATTCTTTAAAGCACAAGAAAAGCTAGCACATATGCAAGTCTACTAGAAATTGTATTACATCAGCTTCACATTTCCAGGGCAAGCAGACATTTGGGGAATCATCAATAAATTTCATTTCACCCCCAACCCAAATAACAACACATATGACAAAGCGAAGCCATGCCAGGCAAAGGGAAACACATGATCAATCAGTATATTATATATAATAACTACATATAATAACTGAACAGAAACACTTAGAAGAGATTAAGATCAAGTTGCCAACATGACTCTGAAGATGACAGAAAAATATGGAATATCTGTCCCAAGAGACTTACATTGCCAATGTTCAGCAACCACACTATTATTTTTTTTTTCTTTTAGGTTTAGTGGGTACATGTGCAGGTTTGTTACATGGGTAAATTGCATATCACAGGAGTTTGGTGTACAAATAATTTTGTCACCCAGGTAATCAGCATAGTATCCAATAGGTAGATTTTTAATTCTCACCGTCCTACCACTCTCCATTCTCAAGTAGGCCTCTGTGTCTATTGTTCTCTTCTCTGTATCCATATGTACTCAATGTTTAACTCCCAAATATAAGTCAGAACATCCACTATTTGGTTTTCTGTTTCTGCATTAATTCATTTAACATAATATTAGGCCTCTGTGTCTATTGTTTCCTTCTTTGTATCTATATGTGCTCAATGCTTAGCTCCCAAATGTAAGTGAGAACATGCACTATTTGGTTTTCTGTTTCTGCATTAATTAATTTAAGATAATAGCCTCCAGCTCCATTCATGTCACTGCAAAGGACATGATCTCATTCTTTGTTATGGCTGCATCATATTCCATACACACTAGTATTAGTTGACTATCTTACTTAATCCGTTCATGGCTTTCAGCTTTTGAAGGTATTTTGGCAAACATAAATTTGATCAATGGCTCTAAAATAAAATTAATCTCTGATTTCTTTTCATATGCGATTAAGAATGGAGCATCTAAATCCACAAAGTAAAGTAAGTTATTAGGAATATTTTTTCAGTAAAATAACAAAGAAGGTCTTCTCGTATTTGTCATAGGACCAATGTAATTGACTGAAAAGTACAGGCACAGGGTGGGTGAGAAAACTGAGTGTCGAAAGGGATTATTGAAAGTTATGGAAAGATGACTGAATGGCTCCTCTCTTTTAAGAAACATTCTTCTTCATGTAGTTCTTCATCTAGTTCTCTCATGTTTAGTTCTAATTTTAAAAAGTCAATCATTATTATCATTCTAAATATTTCTAGCATTGCATTTAAAAAATAAATCATTCTGTAATAAATAGTAGTGAGATATAATTAAAATATATGTTATATCCCAAATCTTGCTATTCAATAAAACAGACGACGAGAAGGAAACAATTCAACTGCTACATTTATTATGGCAGAATCCAAGAAACACTTTACATGGTACCATGAAACAGAATTATATTTTTTTAATCTATTATAAATTTTTTTTTATTAGAGATGGGGTCTCACTATGTTACCCAGGCTGATCTCAAACTCCTAGGCTCAAGTGATCCTCCTACCTCAGCCTCCCAAATTGCTGTGATTACAGGTGCGAGCTCTATGAATGATTTTTGCCACTGGCAGTATTAGAGTAATGCTACTACAATATTTTTTCTTAAAATTTATGTTATTAAGTATGAACTTTATGCCAAAAAATTACATATAATTTCAAAATTATATAAGATAGCTACCCACTAATAATATGACATAATACGTAACAATTGGTAAGAAAATTTGCATTGTGACTCATAATTGTATTTAAAAGGCAAAACGGGTGTCTCCAGCATTACCACTGGGGGAATTTGGGCAGTAAAATAAACATAAACTAATTAAAAATAAGACAAAGATTTTTTTTTATTAGTGAACATTTCTATTATAAATTTGAAATAGATGAAATAAATTCTAAAATGCAAACAGTATTTGCCAAAATAACCTTGTATTTCCATATGCATTTGATACTTTTAAACTAATGAACAAATTCCTAATAGTTGATTTTGGAGTGGACTAGAATTTCATGAATAACAAAGTGTTTCACTATATTAAATATAATGTGCAGCTCTCTAAACTACTTAGAAAATAACCAAAGCTTGCCAAACTAGATGGCTCATCTTTGTCTGTGGTTCTAAAGGAAACAACATAAAAATGCTTGGAGTAAAAAATGCAGATTCATACATTTGACCTTCTTAATATAATTGTGAAAAGAAAGGTTAGAGATTGGAAAAACAGAGAGATTGGAAAAACATACTCTAGATTCAGAATTGCATGCATTCAAAATCCAAATCAAATCCAAACCTGCCCTTTAGCAGCAATATCCTTTCAAGGAAATTTCTTAACCTGTCTTGTGTCTCAGTTTCCCCATCTGTAAAACAGGAATAATAATAGCACCTCCTCATAAGGTTCTGATGAGGATTAAATGAATTAATAAACTTAAAGCACTTTAACACAGTGCCTTGCATATAGTACACATGTATTAAGTGTTAGCTGTTATTATTCACTAAAGAGTAAAATCCAGGCTGGGAGCGGTGGCTCATGCCTGTAATCTCAGCACTTTGAAAGGCTGAGGCGGGTGGATCACAAAGTCAGGGGTTCGAGACCATCCTGGCCAACATGGTGAAACCCTGTCTCTACTAAAAATACAAAAAAATTAGCCGGGCGTGGTGGCGGGTGCCTGTAGTCACCCGCTGTAACTACTCGGGAGGCTGAGGTAGTAGAATCACTTGAACCCAGGAGGGGGATGTTGCAGTGAGCCGAGATCGCGCCACTGCACTCCAGCCTGGCGACAGAGTGAGACTTGGTCTCAAAAAAAAAAAAAAAAAAAAAAAAAAGTAAAAAGTAAAATCCATAGACATAGACTAAAACAGTGGTTATCAGTGGGTGAGAGGAATGAGAAGATGTTAATCAAAGGGTATAAACCCGCGGTTATAAGATAAACAGGTTCTGGGGATCTAAGGTACAGCATGAATGGTGATAGATGTATTAATTAATTTGATAGTGGTTATCATTATACAAAACATATATCATTGCATTGCATTGATATACATATACCATTGCATTGCATTGATATACATATACCATTGCATTGTATACCTCAAATATATACAATTTTCATTTGCCAATTAATTATTTTTAAAAATGAGAAAATAATGGCAGAACAAAAATAAAAGCACATATAACAAAATTTCATGGAAAATTCGTATTTTGATCTGAAGGACAGTGTTTAAGATGATAGAAGCTAAAGCCCCTAACCCTATCTGGAGAGAATTAAGATTGTATTCTTGCTTCCAAGTCATACATATGGTCTAAGAAGCAGAAGACATGAAGTCAAGCTCCACACAAACGTGAGGAAATTTACTTGTCAGCCGGCTCACAGAGCGGCAATTTACTTGTCTCCTTAGTTCATATCAACATGCTTCCATCTCAGGGCTTACTGTACCTCTGCCTTTCCATGAATCTGTGCAGGCTCACTTTTTCCTTTATTCAAGTATTTGCTACAATTCACTTCTTAGAGATGTTTTCTTGAACATGTGATCTAAAATGCAGCTGCTATAGATTTTTCACTCTGTAATGTGTTTTCCTGAAACTGATTTTCTTCTAGGCATTTATCATTATCTGACATCAAAGTATACTTTGGAGAAGCTTGTTTGTTTGTTACCCAGCTTTTCCTCTAGGATGCAAGCTCCAGGAGAGGAGAGATTTTGCCAATTTTTTTTCCTGCTGCATCCTTAGTATGTAGAATAATGTTTGACATACAGTAGGTGCTCACTATTGTTGAACCAATGAAACTGGCTACTGGTAAGAGCACAAAACAGTACTAATATTGGATTTCTAACTATTTACTGTTTAAAAAGAATAAAGTCAAATATATTATGTATCATTACTTTAAAAACAGAAAAGGAAATTAGCCTGGTAGTAGAACAAAGCAACCAGACATGTCATAGGTTGCTCACTTTTACTGAGAAAATTCTTGAAAACTAAGAGATATGCAAATGTTGTAGCCCTAAGAAATTTCAGGCTTAGTTCATGGTATTCTTTCCAAAACACCAGATTAAAAGAAGGCTGAAACATAAGAGAAGAGTATGTAGAGATTTTTCAGTAAGTTGAAGGTAAACCCTTTCAAAGTAATCAACTATACTAAATTTAAAGTCAATATATAAGTCCGATTGGTCAATTTCTATTACTCAAATTCTTTAAAATAAAACCAAAATTTTACTTTTTATTATATTTTACAGGAGGAAAAGAGTCAATCTAATTTGATTAGGCAACATTTTAATCTTTTAAATCAGTAGAATAAAGCTTTCTTCTGTCAAGTTAACAATGAGCTCTCATTTATTTCCTTAAAACTATGACTATCCCCAAAACAAGTTGCAAGATGAGTAAAAGTTGTTCTGGGTTTTCTGTGTGTATATGTGTGTGTTTTAACACATCTCATTTTGTGAGTTCACCCTCTCTTTCTTTCCCTCCTGTTTTTGTGTTCCATCAAATTTGTTCCCTTTCATGAAAGATTTTCTTCCTGAACCCAGATGCCCCACTGCCTGATCTTTCTTCACTTCCTACCCAATGTAATAGTCATTTTGCCATCCTTGGTATAAAAAACAGTCCCTGACCCACTGCTTCACAGTGACTATATATTTAGCTTATAGATTATTACTTGTATTAGCTTATGGATTATTATATGGAGCTTGTCTCATCAGACCCAAAGAATGAAGTAATTCAATAAACTAATCTGTTTAGCAGAAACAATATGGTAAGGCGGAAAGAGCATAGAATTTAAGAGAAAGGAGATTGTGATATGCATTCCAACAATAAAATATATCAGATGGGTAATTCTGAACAAGTAACCTCTCTGAGCCTGGGTTACAAATCCTTAAAATGAGGAATGAGGATGAGGCCTATGACATAGGGTGGTTGTGAGTGTGCACAATATGGGAAGTTGTCCAGCCTTGAGTTTAACATATGATTCATGATAAATTTCATAAATAAACACCTTAAGGGACCTTCTGGAAAGAATGTTATCTTTCTACTCTAACAGTGAAAGAAATGTGGGATTGGAGAAACTCTTCAGCACTTTTTCAATCCCCCCACATATAAGTTCCCTTCATTCCTTTACAGTTATAGAGTTGGCAAGAATACAATAAATTAAGATTATCACCTTTTTGAAAAGGAGGAAACTAAAACGAATCATTTTTAATCTAAGTTAAAAATTTAGCAAATAACTTTTTTATTCCTTTTATCTAATATCGAATCAAAATGTAATTTTGCTAAGAAGCTTAAATAGGTAGATGGTTTTCCTAATTGTTTTATTTTGCTACTCACCTAGACTGAAATCATGAAAACCAATTTAGTTTGACTCATAGTTGGAAAATTCCAATGCTCAGAGCACTGATAAGCTAGAAATGATGCAAGTTATGCTTCACAAGGTTAACTTCTGATCAATTCTGTATTTTAGTGTGATTATTCTGAATTTGCAAATGCACGCAGGAGAGCCATGTTTTGTTTTTTTCTCAGTTTGAGCACTTAATTTCTCACCACATGCATATGAGGGGGTTGTGCATTCCTGATTATTTGTTAAAGGCTTTTAGTCAGATTTTTGCCAGCAGCTGGCAAAATGAAGTCATTTTATGCAACAGAATAAAAGGAAAATATTTTGGCCTTACTTTCAGGGTAAACCTATGTTCATTAACAACAAAGAAGAATATATGGTACCAAGAAGGAAAAAAAAATCAAATGCGTACTACTTCCTTTCAAACAGACTTATGAAAAATTAAGAAAAAAAATCTGAAAACACATCCTAATGTATTAAAAAAACATGGTGAAGTAGAAAAAGTATTAAATTCAGAATCAAAATACATGTAGTCTAAACTAGTTCTGTTGCAGCTGTGCATTTTGGACAAGTAACTTAAGGTTTCTGGGTCTCTGTGTCAGTTTCTATGGCTGTGTAATAAACCATCCCAAAAGTGAGTTGCAAAAAGCATCAATATTGCTCGTGAATCTGCATTATAGGCAATGCTAGGCAGGAGCAGCTCTCTCTGCCCTGAAGTCTCTGCTCTGCTTGAAGTCATCTGAGATGGAAAGAATGCTGGGAAATGTAGCCATGTGAAGGCTCTTTCACTCACCTAGGTGACAAAATTCAAAACAGCTAGGTCTGGAACAGTTAGGATTCCTTAGGTACTTTGTTTCTATGCAGCCTCTCTGCATGATTTCTCCAGCATGCGGATTCAATGTAGCTGAACTTTTTCACATGTCAGTTGAAGGCTTCCAAGGCATGAGTCCCTACAGAGGGTCACTTAGAAGCCATATAGCTTTTTATGGTGTAGCCTCAAAATGCACATAGCACACCATAGTCACAGTGCTGCTCAGATTGGAGTGGAGAGAACATAGATTCCATCTCCCTCAATGGAGAAATTTCAATGTCAATTTGCAAGGAAAACATGTGGTATGGGAGTTATCGGTGTAGTCATTTTTGGAAATACAATCTGCAGCAATCTCCTTTAGCTTATATGAAAAATAATCAGGTTGGAATAGGTAAGGTCTTAAATCTCTTTCATCTCAGAAAATCTTGTGAAGTCTTTGATTAAATGGAAACAAGAATGGTTTAAAAGTGACCTGAAACAGCTAGCATAATGTCAACACATTGGAGTAGATAGGAGAACTGATAGAAAATGAGTAACTCTGAAAGTGTGTAAAGCATTGAAATGAGTAAATGACCACATTTTTCAGTATCAGGGGTTATATGTGATTGCAAATGCGAGACTATTTTCAAGGTATGCAATTTTCAGGACGTAGGGCGGGTTTATTGTTCCATGCCACTTAGTCTTTCTGTTTAACAACATAGTTATTATCATGGGTCATTTACATTTTGAACAGCAGATGTGATACCAAGAGCTGTTAACACAATATTATTGCTAGGAATTTTTAAAGTCCTATGAATATATATATATATATATATATATATATATATATATATATATATAATTCATATATATGTGTGTATATATTCATATATATTATATATTCATATATGTGTATATTCATATATATTATATTCTTATATATAAAAGTCAAATATCCATAAATATATATTCATATATGTATATATTTTCATATTTAATATATGTTCATATATGTATATATATTCATATATTATATTCATATATAATATATATTATATTCATATATTATATTCATATATAATATATATTTATATATGTATATATATTCATATATTATATTCATATATTATATTCATATATAATATATATTATATTTATATATATATTATATATATATATACACACACATAGGACTTAAAAAATTCCTAGCAATAATACTGTGTTAACAGCTCTTGGTATCACATCTGGTGTTCAAAATGTAAATGACCCATGATAATAACTATGTTGTTAAACATAGTTATACATATACAGTGTGTATATATATATATATATATATATATATATATATATTCGTATATATATTATACCAGATGTGATACCAAAAGCTGTTAACACAATATTATTGCTAGGAATTTTTTAAGTCCTATGTATATATATATATCATATATATGAATATTATATGTATATAATATGATATATATTATATACATGTATATAATATGTATATAATATATATTATATACATATTATATACATGTATATAATATATATCATATATTATATACATGTATATAATATATATACACACACACACACAGAGTCATGCATCACTTAACAACAGGGATACTTTGTTATGTGATTTTGTTGTTGTGTGGACATTATAAAATATACTTACACAAGCCAAGATGGTATAAACTACTACACGCTTAGGTTATATGGTACACAGCCTGTTGATCTTGGACTTCAAACCTGTACAGCATGTTATTGTACTGAGTACTGTAGGCAATTTGTAACACACTGGTAAGTGTGTGTGTATCTAAACATATCTAAACTTAGAAAAGCTACAGCAAAAATACAATATAAGAGATTAAAAATGGTACACATATATAAAACATTTATCACAAAAGAAGCTAGTTGTGGGTGAGCCAGTGAATGAGTGTTGAGTAAATGTGAAGGTCCAGGACATTAGTGTACACTACTACAGACTTTATGAACCCTGCACACTTAGGCTACACTAAATTTATTAAAAAATCTTTCTTTCTTCAATAACAAATTAACCTTAGCTTGCTGTAACTTTTTTCCTTTCTAAACTTTTAAACATTTTTTTTTTACTCTTTTGTAAGAATATACCTTAAAAGATGACCACATTGTACAGCTGTAAAAAATTTTTTTTCTTGCTTTATATCCTTATTATATAAACTTTATTCTGTTTTAAAATTTATTGATTTATTTTACTTTTAAAACTTTTTTGTTAAAAACAAAGATGTGCACACATATTAGCTTAGGCCTACACAAGGCCAGGATCATCAATATCACTGACTTCCACCTGCACATCTTGTCCCACTGGAAGGTCTTCAGGGGCAATAACACACATGGAGCTGTCATCTCCTATGATAACAATGCCTTCTTCTGGAATACCTCCTGAAGGACCTGCCTGAGGCTGTTTACAGTTAACTTTTTTTAATAAGTAGAAGTGTGCTCCAAAATAATGATAACAAGTACAGTTAATACATAAACCAGTAACATAACCCATCATTTGTTACTATTGTCAAGTATTATATACTGTACATAATTTTATGTGCTATACTTTCATATGACTGACAGTGCAGGTTTGTTTACAACAGTATCACCACAAATATGTGAGTAATGTCTTGCGCTATGACATTATGATGGCTAAGACACCACTGGGCAATAGAAATTTTTCATCTTCGTTATAATCTTATGGGACCACCTTTGTGTATGTTGTCCATTGTTGACAAACATGTCATTAGGTGGTACATGACTGTATATACTGTGCACACGTACACACACACACACACACACACACACACACACACATTTCAGTACATTATCAATACATGTAAAAATTTAAGTCATAATAATGTAGTCCTTTTTTCATGTCCATCCTTGACCCTAATGCCTCATCTAATACTGACTAGTGAATAAGAATCAATGTTTCCAGTGGTCATCAGAAGTCTAGCAGACTATATATGGTATATTGATTATGGTGAATACAAGGAAATAGGGCATGAAGAATTCCCTAAGACCAAATGGGAGGAATCTGACTATAAACAAATGTATAAAAGTTAACCAGTCCATTTGTCCATTCTTATTTCAAGTCTCATATTTGTTTTAATGTATAATGATTTCTTTTTATATTTTTGTTATATATCCACAGAGGACATTTATATGTGCAAACATATGTGTGCATATATATCTATATCTGTATTGCTTTGAGTAAGATCACTTTGAGTAAGTAGATGACTTTCCAGTGTAGAGAAATGTATTAAACAAAACATGAATGCCCACTGTTACCCATTTCTTCTAATAGAGTTATTTGCATTTTACCAGTTGAGAAACTTAAGTCCACAAAGGATAAACCTTACAAGGGCATATCATTTATCAGTCTTAGCCTTGTAACTTATTGACTACAGTGACATGAATTCTGCACTTCATGAGACTCTATTATTTCATACCAAAAACATGACACAAACATGACAGGTATCTCCTCAAGCATATCTAATACATGACCAAATATGCAAAGAACTTTAATATCTCAGTGGCCTAAATTAAGCAGTTCTTAGATGTCTTGAAATGCTGCCTCTATTGAATGAAGAACATTTTCCCAGTAAACTGAAACCACTCCAGACACTCATCTATGACCTGAACATAAAATTAGAGTATTTACCTTCACAGTTATAACTCTTTTTTTTTCTTTTTTTTTTTTTTTTTTGAGATGAAGTCTTGCCATTGTCCCTCAGGCTGGAGTGCAATGGCGTGATCTCGGCTCACTGCAACTTCCACCTCCTGGGTTCAAGCGATTCTCCTGCCTCAGCCTCCCGAGTAGCTGGGATTACAGGCGCCTGCCATCATGCCTGGCTAATTTTTGTATCTTTAGTAGAGACGGGGTTTCACCATGTTGGCCAGGCTGGTTTTGAACTCCTGACCTCAGGTGATCCGCCTGCCTTGGCCTCCCAAAGAGCTGGGATTACAGGCATGAGCCACCACGCATGGCCTCAGTTATAACTTTTTAGGCATGCATTACATGTAAGTAGAATCTCCATAAAATATATATAAATGGAAGTGAACTATAGCAACGTGAATGAACCTAGGTTTTTTAAAGTTGAAGAAATTAATCTTCAAAATCCTTGTGATGATCATAACAGCACACAGTGGTCCTCCAATTTTCTATCATGGCTTTTGGGATATTTTGAAGTGAAATGTTATCTTTAAATTTCATACAGAATTTTCATTTCATCCCTTGATACCTGAGTTGATGTAAAGAAAAATAATATTTTAATACTTTATTTTTCCCACACAGATGTCAATTACAATTGATGACATAGTCTCATGGTTTCAATTCTCCTCTAAATTATTTGCCACATACACCTAAGACATATGTCAATACCATTTTGATGAGACAGCATCTCCCTCAATAAAATAAAAATTTGATTTTTCAAGTTTATCAACCTTTAAAAAGACATTCTCTAGTTGGAGAAAGATGTTTAAACCAAGCTGCCCTGATTCTTATCCCTAGGATTCATTTTTCCTTTCTGAAATATTTTTAAATTAAAGATACCACTATCATAGGGGTTTCAGAAAAGTTATTACTAAACACAAGAGAAAAAAACGAATACCCATGTAGGATATATATACGCAGTACAATAATAACAGGTGGAGAGCTTTATTATAGACAGCATTTTTTTTAGTCTGAATGGAAGAGGATTCTGTCAGTTAAGAACACTTAGCCACTAAATAGGCTGGGCGCAATGGCTCACACCTGTAATCCCAGCACTTTGGGAGGGCAAGGCGGGCGGATCACGAGGTCAGGAGTTTGAAACTAGCCTGACCAACATGGTGAAACCCTGTCTCTACTAAAAATACAAAAATTAGCTCGGCGTGGTGGCACGCACCTGTATCCCAGCTACTAAGAAGGCTGAGGCAGAAGAATTACTTGAAAACAAACAAACAAACAAAACACTTAGCCACGGAATAAATAGAATTCTACTAAATCTAATTCTGGGTAATTATGACAACTTAAAATACTTTTTTTTTTTTTTTTTAATAGGCAGAGTCCCATTCTGTCGCCCAGGTTTGGAGTGCAGTGGCACAATCTCGGCTCACTGCAAACTTCACCTCCCAGATTCAAGCTATTCTCCTCTCTCAGCCTCCTGAGTAGCTGGGATTACAGGCACTTAACACTAAGCCCAGCTAATTTTTGTATTTTTAGTAGAGACAGGGTTTTGCCATATTGGCCAGGCTGGTCTCAAATTCCTGACCTCAAGTCATCCGCCTGCCTGGGCCTCCCAGAGTGCTGGGATGACAGGCGTGAGCCACCACGCCCAGGCAAATCTCACATTTTATATACATGTATCTTTATATATGTATTTGTTTCTGAATAATTGTATGTTGTAAAAATATATCAAATTATTTTTTAAATATACTTATTTTTTTCAAACAATTTTAGATTCACAACCAAATTGAGAGGAAGGTAAAAAGATTTTCATATATCCCTTGCTTCCACATATGCACAGCCTCTCTCACTATCAAAATCCCACACCAAAGTTGTATGTTTACTAAAATTGATAAATCTACATTGACACATTGTCACCTAAAGTCCACACTCTACAGTAGGGTTCACTCTTGGTGTTGTACATTCTTTGTGTTTTGACAAATGTATAATAACATGTATCCACCAATATAATATCAAACAGAGTAGTTTCACTGCCCTAAAACTCCTCTATGCTCCATCTATTAATATCACCCTTCCCCCATCCCCTGGCAAACCATTGATCTTTTTACTGTCTCCATAGTTTTACATTTTCAAAAAAGTAATCTACATCAAATCATTTTTTAACTATGATTTTGCAATAGTGTGATCATAGACAAATTTTTCCAGTTTAGATCAAAGAAATTTCAACAGTGTAACAAAATACTTAACAATTGATGTTCAGCTGAATTTGCTATAATTTCATTATTATAGCTATAACAATTACATAATGTTTGTACACTCATTTAAAGGCTTGTAGTAAATTCTACTTCAAAATCCTGTCTGACTTCAGTACAAAACAATATGATTTATCTCTCTAAAAATATTATTTAAACTAAGATTTAGTTACTTGATCTCACATTTCCTATACAAATGATATGAAAACACTATTTCAGAGAGTTTAGACAATGTCACTGATTTATAGCATAATAGGAAATGTCAAGGAGTCCACTTCCAGAATGTTGACATGAGAAGCCTAGTAGACTCAGCCCCCTACATAACTGGTGAGAATTATTTAATTAAAAATAAATCTCTAAAACTTGACCTAAGGGCATAAACCAAAAGAAGATGTTATTTAAGAAAATATACTAACTCTAGGTTAGAACAATAAGAGTCTGTGGCACTTGCACTAAATACTATTACTGCTTCCTCCACCACCTCAGTTCAGCTTGATGGAAGTTTTACTATGGACAGGAGTGGCCAAGAAACTGGGGTCCCCTTTACCTTTGGCTCCCAATAAAAAGTCTCATTTGGAAAAACACGACACCAACTTTTCTCGTACCCTCCAACTCTAAATTGCTGAGCCTAAACTTCTGTTGAATACAGAAAGAGTTCAAGAGCTCCCTTCCTCCACCCATCCTGTACTCATAGGGGGAAGACCTCCCAATCCAGAGAAGGCCAAGAACCCAAGGGCCCCACTGCCCTTGCCCCACCTTGCTGGTAGCACAGAAGTTCTATGCCAAGAGAGGCAAACCAGAGGCTAACATCCTGCCTACTGCCAGAGTACTGACTCAGAGATTTTGCTCACAGGTAGAAGCAGTCCATAAGAATGGAGAACATCAAACCTCTCCCCAAAAGAACTGATTTTATTTGAACAGAGTGTGCAGAGTTCAAGCCTAAGTCTACTATCAAAAACAATGGAGATTTTTGTTTTAAGCAATTAAGAGCAGGCTGCAGTTTTACGAGTGCAGCAAACTAAATGGTAGGTTCACTAACTTGTCCGAGAAAACTGTGGAAAAAGACAGCAAAGAAGAGCCCCTCTGGAGTGAGAAGAAACTTCAAAGACTGGTCTCAAAAACCATCCCTGCCAGAATTTAATTGTATCAGAGTGGAGCAATTAATGTCAAAAGGCATTATCAGCCAGCAAATAGTGTATATGCTACCAAACGAAAGGATCAAACTCAATAAGCATTAAAATCATACAAAGTGTGTTCTCTGACAACAATTATTGAGTTATAAATCAACAACAACAACAAAGCATGGAAATTCATAAATGTGGTGGAAATTCTACAACACATTCTTAAATGACAAATGAGTCAAAAAAGAAATCACAAGATAAATTAGAAAATACTTTGAGATGAGTGAAAATGAAGACTCTATATATCAAAACTTAGGGAATGATGTTCAAGTAGTTATTGGAGAAAAATTTATAGCTGCAAATGCCTACATTATACAAGAAGAAAGATCTCAAATCAATAACCTAATCTTCTTGCTTAAGAACTAGAAAAAAAAAAACAGCAAACAAGCAGAAACAAGGACACGATAAAGATTAGAGTGAAATTTTTAAAAATACAGAGAGGAAAAACAACAGAAAATACTAACAAAATCAAAAGTTGGTTCACTGAAAAGATCAACAAATTTGACAAATCTGTAGCTAGACTAACAAAGGCAAATGGAGAAAAAAATGAAATTACTAAAATTAAGAATGAAATATGAGAGACACCCCTACTGATACAGTAGATACAGAAATAAAAAAAGAAATATAAGGGAATACCATGAATAACTATATGCAAAAATTACATAACTTAGATAAAATGTACAAATTTTTCAAAAGACACAGACTATCAAAACTAAAACATAATGAAACATATGAACAGATCTATAACAATTAAAGAAATTGAATTGTAAATCAAAATCGAATCCCTCAAATCCCAAGAACCAGATGACTTTACTTGATATTTCTAGCAAAGATTTTCAGAAGAAAGCCAATTCTTCAAAAATCCTTCCAAGAACCAGATTATGAGGAAACACTTCTTAATTCATTCTATGAGGCCAAAATATGTGTTACCCTGATAGCAAAGCCAATGATACCATAAGAAAGAAAAATACTGACCAACATCTTTTATCAATATAGACACAAAAATCTTCAACAAAATACTAGTGAACTGAATCCAGCAAAATATTAAACAGAAGTATCACCATGACCAGATGGCATTTATTCCATCTGTACTCAAAGCTAGTTAACTTAAACATTTTGGAAATATATTAATTTATTACACCGTATCAACAGAATAAGTGACAAAAGGTATATGATCATCTCAGTAGGTATGAAAAAAAAGCATCTAATAAAATATACACTCCTTCATGATAAGAATACTATACAAATTAGGAATAGAGGGATCTTTCTTAACCTGATAAATGATATCCACAAAATAAAAAGAGCTAATATCATATAGTTAATGGATAATGACTGGATATTTACCCCTTAAGATCAAGACTAGAACAAGAATAAGACAAGAATGTGTCTTCTAAACATTTCTGTTTAACATAGTACTGAAAGTTCTAACCAAGGCAATTAGGCAAAAAAGAAGTAGAAGGAGAAGAAGGAGGAGGAGGAGTAAAAGGCACCTAAGTTGGAAATGAAGAAGTAAACTTTCTCAATTTGCAAATGATGATCTTGTATAGAGAAAATCCTAAGGGATCCACTAAAAATCTATTTAAACTAATAAATTCAGCAATGTTGGAGGATAGAAGATCAAAATACAAAAATCGATTGCACTTCAACACATTTATAATGAACTTGAAAAATAAAATTAAGAAAATTTCACTACAAATAACATGAAATTTAGAAATAAAGTTAAAGAAATACAAAATTTATACTCTGAAAACTGAAAATCATTTTTAAGAGAAATTTTAAAAGACTCAAATAAATAGAAAGCTATCACATTGATATACTGGAAGATTTAATATTGTTAAGATCACAATAATCCTCAGTTGTTTTCTACAGCTTCCTCACAATCTCTCTCAAAATCTCTGCTAGTTTATTTGCCAAAATTGGCAGGCTAATCCTTAAACTCATAAGACAATACAAGGACTCAAAAATAACCAAAAAAGTCTTGAAAAATGAGAACAAAGTTGAAAGCCTCACACTTCCAATGTTAAAGCTGAATACAAAGCTATAGTAATCAAGACAATTGATACTCATAAAAATAAAATAGATATATAGATCAATGAGATAGAATTTAGATAAATAAAGCCTCACATTTACAATCAAATGATTTCCAACAATTTGCCAAGATAATTTAATAGTGGAAAGACTCGTCTTTTATACAAATGATACTGGGATAAGTAAATATCCATATGCAAATCCACATGGATATCCATATGTGTATAGCAAAATTAACTAAAAGTGGATCATAAATCTAAATTTAAAAGTTAAAACATTGCATTTAAAAAGAAACATGGAATTAAATGTTAGTATCTTTGGATTAGGCAATGGTTTCTTAGATATGATACAAAAAGCACAAGCAACAAAAGAAACAAATAGCTAAATTATACTTCATCAAAATTTAAAACTTTTGTGATTCAAAAGGCACCTTTGAAAAGAGAAAAAAACTATAGCATGGCAGAAAACTTTTGCAAATTATCTTACAAGGGAGTTTTATCTAGAATGTATTCAAAATTCTAGTAACTCAATATTAAAAAGACAAAGACCCCAGTAATAAAATGGGCAAAAGCTTTAAATAGACATTTCTTCATATACACATATAAATGGCTAATAAGCACATTAAAAAGATACTCAACATCTTTAGGCATCAGGGAAACATAAAGTGAAACCACAATGAGATACCACTTTATATTCATCAGAATGGCTACAGATCATAACAAGTCTTGGAGACAATGTGCAGACAATGAAACCCTCACACTCTACTGATGTGAATGCAAATATTTCAACCAGTTTGGAAAACAATCTGGCGGTTCTTCCAAAGTTTGAACATAAACAGTTACCATACCTGTCAAGTTCACTCCTAGGTATATACTCAAGAGCAATAAAAACATATGTCCACACAAAAACATCAATGATCCTAGCAGCTTTATTTGTAATAGTCAACAAAGTGGAAATAACTCAAATGTCTATCAAATGATAAATGTCTAAATGTCTTATAGCAATAAAATGGAAGATTATTTGGCAAAAAAAGCAATGAAGTACTGATATATGCTACAAAATAGAACATTATGCTAAGTGAAAGAAGCCAGTCACAAAGGAAAACATATCATATGATTCCATTTATACAAAATGTCCACAGTAGGCTAGTCTGTAGAGACAGAAAGCAGGCTAGATGCAGTGGCCCACACCTGTGATCCCACACTTTGGGAGGCTGAGGCCGGCGGATCATTTGAGGCCAGGAGTTAGAGACGAGCCTGGCCAACATGGCAAAACCGCATCTCTGCTAAAAGTACAAAAATTAGCAGGGCATGGTGGCATGCGCCTGTAGTCCCAGCTACTTAGGGGGCTGAAGCATGACAATCGCCTGAACCTGGGAGGCGGAGGTTGCAGTGAGCAGAGATCATGCCACTACAGCCCAGGGGACACAGTGAGACACTGTCTCAAAATGTAAATAAATAAAATTTTAAAAAGGGAAAAGTGGTTGACTTGAGGCTGGGAGTTTGAAAAAATATGAGCAATAATATTAACAGGCATTGTTTTCTTGATGAAAAATTCTACAATTGTATATTAATGATGGCTGCACAACTCTGTAAATATACTGAAAACCATTGACTTGTACATATGTAAAATAAATCCCAATAAAGATGTTAGTTAAAATAAAGAAAATTCTATTTTGAGACATTATCACAAATGATAAAAATTTACAGCCAAAACTTAGAAACAATCCAAATATCCAAAAGTATTGGAAAGGTTAAAAATTTTATGCTAATCCACATAATATAATGTATTCCTATTAAAATAGTATTTACAAATTGCTAATCATAACATAGGAGAGCGTTCATGTTAGAATGTAAGTAAAAGAAACAAGAAACAATCATATCAATAATAAAATTTATTTGTATTTAAAAAATAGCATGAATATTAAATACCAAAATATTAATAGTTGCTGTCTGTGTTGTTGTAGTATTGGTGATTTTTATTTCAACTTTCTTTCATGTTTTCTAATTTTACAAATTTGCTATAAATTTAAATTTTAAAAAATTTAAACAAATAAAAGTATTTAACCATGGATTGAGGTTTGCCATCAATAAGTGATTGCAAAACTGGTATTATTCTACCAACTAATTTTCATGTTTAATGATGATTGAGCTAATAGATGTCTATTTTTTAATTTAAATCACCATTCTTTTTACTTAACAGGGTTTTAAATGAACATTAAAAATAATTGAGTATGCAAATATACTCATTAGTATCCTTTATTGTTATCAGTAAATTAAAATCTGAGCCAGTGAGCTCAAAATATCAGTTGCTTTACCACTAAAATAATATTAGGAGAGAGGAGTAAAGAAAAAAAATTATAAGGCTATGGTCATATTTTAAATAAGTTATTATTAAGAATCACTAATAAATCTTAGCTCTTTTATTCTCTATTAATGAGAATAGTATGTCATAGGAAACAAAAATAAAAATTATGAATCCTCTTATTCAGTATTTAGATAACTTTTTATATATGTTTAGAGCCTTGAATTACTAGACTGGATCATCAGTTTTATCATTATCTCATATTTAATTTGTAAGGAAAGCAGCAAAATATAATCCCTCTTGTGAATGTTTGTTTTTTTCCCCTGAAGAACAGAGCAGATGATACAATACCGTCTACATTTTTTGCTCAAACTATTCAAGTCTAATTCTGATTCTTTTCACATAGGTTTTAATGACTGTTGACTGAGAAAATAGATTTTTTTTTAAAAAATAGCCTATAGGTTGTTATTGTTGATGCTATTAATATTAGAAGTTGAATAGTCAAAAAGCTGGCACAGATCCAGAGAGATCACTATTAAGAGGTTGCTTTGTATAACTCTAAAATACTCCAACTCCAGAGATTCATAATTTTTGAATAATCTAGTCTAGAATTTTATACTAGACGCTGACAATCAAGTTATATTTCTGGTTCCACTTCAGTTTTCTCCTACTCAATCTCTAGATCCTCTCATTGAATTTTCAGTAAAATTAAATAATAAATAAAGGAAACAAACTTTAAGACTAATGAAACTAGTTTTATTTGTTTTATTTTCTTTAACACAGCCTTTGATAAATTCACTGACACATTGAGTTAGCCATAGTGTGTAATGGGAGACTGCCCAGTATCCTAGAAACTGATTTGTTTCATTGTTCTTGAGCACCATTGCAAGCATAAAGAACTGGCAACTGTTGCCAAGTACTTTGGAGCACCCTTTGTGGCCAAGGAACTCTGGAGAGGAATACTTGAGGCAATACTGGAACTCAGTCTAAGCATAGTTAACACCAGTAAACATTCAGCGCGCCTTGGTGACAAAGAATAAAGTCACTACAATAATAATTCTATTGGTGATATACACGAAGGTGTGTATGCACATACAAAGGTGTGCATACAAATACAAATGCACAAATACAAATACACAATTTCCCAGGCAATCCTAGACAGCTGTAAGCAATTTCTTGAAAGAGCTTTTATTAATCAAAGAGCTACAGTGCTGAAGAGTCCTTAAGTAAGATTTGGCTTAAGTTACTATATCATGAAGCCTTTTCCAGACACTAGATAAAAACTTCAAAGAATGGTTGGAAGAAGTTTCTGGCTTTTGTTGAAGGACTCTTCTGGAATGGTAGCCAGAAGCAAATGTGGCAAACTCATGACATGAAAAGCTAGGTACTAATGAAAGAGATGCTCAGGATAACAAATAGTAGCCTGGGGAACACATCAGATAACAAATAGTAAACCAGGGGAACACATCAGAATCACCTAAAATAATCTTAGATTTTGCCCTGCTATAGGTTTCTTGACCTTAGCACTATTTGTATTTTGGGATGGATAATACTTCATTTTGGGAAAGGAACAGGACACTAAACATGCACAGGGCATTGTTTGGCAGCATCCCTGGCTTTCATTCAACAGATACCAATATGACAACTAACAATGTTTCCAGATATTGCAAAGTGTACCTTGGGGTACACAATTTCCCCCACTTGATAAACAATCGTAGATCAACTAAGTCAAATTATCAGTACTAGGGCTACCTTGCTCCCTAGCTTGGCCTTCTGAATCCCACATATTGAATGGTTAGATATTTCTGGCCCTTGGCCTTATATTGCATGTTTTAAAATTGTTGTTGTTGCTGTGAAACACCCATCCTGGCTGGGCGCAGTGGCTCACGCCTGTAATTCCAACACTTTGGGAGGCCAAGGTGGTGGATCACCTGAGGTCAGGAGTTCAAGACCAGCCTTGCAAACATGGAAAAAACCCTGTCTCTATTAAAAATACAAAAAATTAACTGGCGTGGTTGTGGGCACCTGTAGTCCCAGCTACTTGGGAAGCAGAGGCAGGAGAAATGCCTCTTGAACCCGGGAGGCGGAAGTTGCAGTGAGCTGAGATCACACCATCGCATTCCAGCCTGGGCGACACAGTGAGACTCTGTCTCAAAAAAATAAAATAAAATAAAATAATAAAAAATAAAATAAACAGAAAAAGCCATCCATCCTTTCTTAGATATTTGTGGAATCTTTCCTTACTCAACTTACTCTAGAATGGCAGTGTGGAGAAAGCAAATGATGAAAAAATATATACGTGTGAATTTAAATCCCATCTTTGTTCTATTCCATTTGTGAAACATTTGGCATTTTATTTAAGCTTTGTCTTTAATTTCTGCCTAAAGGACTTCTCCAGTCAGCTACAGTCTACTATTAACTGGAGGCAAAATGAGGATCAAGACAATGACCATAAACTTTTACATTAATAATTCATTATCACATAGTTTAAGCCAGAATATAGAAGCTGTCCATACAGGAACATCACTGATATTTCAAACCTGCCATCCGAGTTCACCCTTTAGAAAATAATGTGTGGGAATAAGATATATAAAAGGTCTATAATATTGTGATAGGCAGCCCCTAATGTGGCCCCCTCTTACCCCTACCACCTGGTATTCACTCCTTCTCTAGTCCCTTTCTCTGAGGGGAGGATGCATCTAGTTAGTAGCTTCTAATAAATAGAATATACCAAAAGTGATGGGATATCATTTCTGAGATTGGGTGACAAGAAGTCTGACTTCCATTTTGTGAATGCCTTCTCCCACTCTCTTATTCACTAGCTCTAAGAGAAGCTTGTGGTCATGCTGTGAACTGCCCTGTAGAAAGGCCCACATGACAAAGAACTGAGATAATACTCAGTAGAGAGTTATGGTCTTTTATTCAACAACCTGCAAGGAACAGAATCCTGCCAACAGCCCCATGAGCGAGCTTGGTAGTGAATCCTCCCTAACTGAGCCTTCTGATGAGACCACATCTCTGTGCAACACTTTGATTGCAGTCTCATAAGAAACTTTGAAGCAGATGACACAGCAAGCTGACCAATAGAAGCTATGACATTATAAGCATTGTTTTGTCTTACCAAGTGTTAGTAATTTGTTATACAGTAATAGATAACTAATTTAAACATAGTAGAATAAATGATTTTTTCTCTCTTCTTCTCCTCATCCATTCTATGACAATCATAATGATGATAACTATGATGATGATGATGATGATGATGATGATGATGCCTTCCCTAACTATCTGAGTCTCAGATGAAGCTGTGCCATGAGTCTTCTGCCCCTCAGTCTAGCAGGGGCAATCCTATACTGACCATATTTTCACGATTCTCTCAAGCCCTGAGTCCTAATATGGCCTGTCTTTCCCAATCATAATTACAACAAGATTAAAATTCTCATTATGAAACGATTAGGGATCAAATGTGGATTATGTCACATTGCTTATGCAGTTCATGTTTGATGTCAATCTCAGGGGCAAAAACCCAAAAGAATCCTGAATGCAGAATTTAATTAGGGCATCTCAAAGCAACCAAGTCTTTCCTATACTCATATCTCATCCTGAAACCCAGTTTAATATTAAAATAAAAATACCACCTTCCTCAAAAGATTCTTTTGATAAATTAAATGACATAAATACACAAAGTTTCCTAACTTTACTCCTGTGATGTAGTAAGTGTGCAACAAATATTAAGGGTTTTTTTTGTTATTTTAATTTCTTCCTCTTCCAACCCCTCAGTTTTCTAATCCTCTTATGGGTGTTTAATTCCATTTCTAGGCTTTTTCAATTTCTGCCAAGTTCCTATTCTAAAAATACTAAGGAATTCATAGAACCAATTAGTTATTTTTTTCACCTTAAAGTTTGAAAATGATCCACTTACTACTTGTTGCCCTTAGATAAAAATAAGGCCAAATGATAAAATGAAATTAAAGATCCATTGCTTATGACCAGCCCATAAACAAATTAAATAACTTTCCTTTTCCTTTACCTAGAATATTGTCTAGTTGATTAAAAATTAATGGCCCAAAAATTCAGAAGCTGAATCACAGCTTTTTTTAAATAAATGCTATCAAAAAGACAAATTGATTAATACATATTCAGTTTTCTTAAAATGGGAAGAAAAGCACTTTTTCAAGTTTAAGTTTACAGTTGAAGATACTAAAGGTACCAACGTACCTAAGCTAAAAGAGATCTCCTCATTATCATTTAATCTGTCAGTATATCTAGGGTTGGGTTTCTGGAAATAAACAGGTACCAATCTATACTCTAAGTATCAGAGTATGGAGTAATTTGAAAAATATAAAATAGTTTGACCTATCTATAAAAAATACTTTTTTCACATATCTTTAGGGGTGTTTTAGCTGGATGTTGCCGGTGGGTTAAGACACTGTGATCTGCTCAAACATATATAATTTAAAAATTTTTCAATCTCTCAGCAGCTACTAATAATTTACTGTGAATTGAAGTAACCATGCCTTTAGAAAATAGGTTTCTCAGCAGCTCCATTTTGATAAAGAAGAGTGGGGAGAAAGAGTGGTACATTCAATTCTGAATGTACCACTGAGGAGAAGCCTCAGTAGCTAAAAAGAAATATGGCAGCACAAAGTAACTCAGGCAGGGAAAAAGAAAGTTTTCCTAATGCAGATTTGATGTGCTTCATGTGGATTAAACTAAAGTCGGTGTCAAGATCTTTCCCTTTCCTGAGGGGTGCTGAGTGCCTGAAGTTTCATGAGACTTGCCTAAGAGATTCTCTCAAAAATATGGAAAATAATATAGATCTCAAATAAGTTGACCAAAGTTTTAATCTTAGTAGGTGATCATTGTGCATCTTCTTGTGCTTTTAATTTCAGGTAACATACTGATAAATTAAATGCCTAATAGGGGCTTGTTTTCATGTTTTGAATTTAGAAATTACCCAAAAAGGATCTGTGAGATATTTCCAGTAATTTACTTAACCTAAAATGCCTTATGTTATGCATGTTTATGATATTTGTATTTCAGGTAGTATTGATAAGTTTTTATTTTCTTGTGATATTACATCTTGAAAGATTTACTGAATTGACTACCTACAAATCTATACACACTGTTCACATGATTAAAAAATATATTATTGAAGAAAGTTTGAAATGACAACAAAAAGTAGTTTTAGTTTCACTGTCACAAGAACAAGAAGAAATTGAAGCAGCTCTAAAATTCACTTTGTAGCCAAGAAAATGGTTTTCATAAAATCGAAAAAATGTCCCAAAGCAACAATATTATATTTCTTAAACTATTGCTGCTACTGACATATAAAGAATTCTTTCTATAATTCTTCTGTGGCCTTGGTTGGTGACAAAGTCGTTACTAGAAAAATTTTGTAAATAGTTTCTTTTTATAAGCTTCCAGGCATAGAAAATAAAAAAGAGAGAGACTCATTTGAGTGTCACTATCTTCAATTATTAAATGGGTTTAAAAATCACATGATTCAGTATATAAATCAAAATAATACACGATCTTCTACTAGCACAAATTTGCAGAAGCGCAATGTAGTGTCATCAAGTAATGCCAACAATGGTCAAAATAAACTTTTGCTTCAGTGGTTACAAATGCACGACGGCACAGTGGAAAGAACTGGGAGTAGGATACTCCATTAGTATATGGCCCCTTGATCTCTTTGGTTTCCAGTTTCCTTACCTGTATCATGAGGGAGTGCTACAAATGGTATCAAATACTCCTTCTAGTTCTATGTTTCAAAGATAAATATGAATGTCGTGGGACTAATAAAGAGGGATTCTTTCATATAAACAGATGACATTCACTGTATAAACGTGGCAATGATATTTTGTCACATATACTCCTTCAGTGTTTTTAAAATATGTTTTAATTTTTAGAGTTCTAGGTTCACAGCAGAATTGATCAGAAAGTAGAGTTCCCATATATTCCTTCCGCCATACACAAACAGCCTTGCCCACTATCAACATCTCACACCAGAGCGATACATTTGTCACAGGTGAATTTAAGCCAACACATCCATAGTTTATATTAGCATCTATCGTTAACATTAGGGTTCACTCTTGGTGTTATACATTCTGTGGATTTAGGTAAATGTATACTGACATGTTCCTTCAGTGTTTTTATTGTCTTAGCCAGATTACTATGTGATGGTGTAAAAAAATAATAAAATATTTCCTCTAGTAAGTTCCAGACAATGACATCCAAATAATGACCCTTATTCTGTGTTTATTTTTTTCTTTTAATAGAGACAGGGTCTCACTATACTGCCCAGGCTAGCCTCAAACTCCTGGCCTCAAGTGATCTTGCCACCTCTGCCTTCCAAAGTGCTAGGGTTACAGGTATGAGCCATTGCAGCTGGACCCTTGTTTATCTTCATCTTCCAAGCAACTTAGACGTGAAGTTCTAAACCTGGTAGCTATTATAGTAACCATCAGTTGTTGCATCATTGAGTTGGATGACCCAAATTTCAATAAAAGAGATAAAAGATGAAAAAAGAATGTAAGTGTGAAGTTTTACAGATGAATAATTATTCTGAGTAGAATGTCCTCTTCAAGTAGCATCCAATTGTTTCATTATTAAGGAGAAGTCATAAGTACCCCAAGGGGAGGGAGAACTGAATATTGAATAGAGCATTACTTAGTGAAGATCACTTAACTAAGTGGAGCAATGGGCTTTGCTTTGAAGGCTTTTCTCCTAACTAAAATGTATCTGTTAAAGCATCAAATGCAGTATTCATTTATCAGGAGGAATATCACCCAGCAGGCAAGGATTTTCAAAGCTCAATATGTTTTTTTCCACTGGAATGGAACTTTTCCAGTGAAGAGATAAAAATTCTTTGAACATTTTAAATCTAGCCACAGGGTCTTTTTTTCTTCTGTGGAGAGTATCCAGAATTGCTTCATCTGGTAGAAAAAACAATTTGTTCATTGTAGAAAGCTTTAATTTATTACAATCAAACCCAGAAAGATTCAGATCTGTTAATTCTTATGAAATGCACAGGTTTTGAGAATACATTCTTTCTGTAATATCATGGTAATGAAATAGTATTGATAAATTATGATACTTGTACTTTGCCAATGATTCTCTTCCACTTCATCTCCTTAGCATGACTGGGGCTGTTTGTTTAGAATAAGAGGCTAATGCTAAATGACGAGTTAATGGGTGCAGCACACCAACATGGCACATGTATACATATGTAACAAACCTGCACATTGTGCACATGTACCCTAAAACTTAAAGTATAATAACAATAAAATAAAAAAAAAGAATAAGAGGCAACTGTGCCCTTCCATTTGGTCATTTTTATCTTTGATCCTAATGTAGAGATTATGGCCCTGGGGTAAATGTCATTAATGGAAGAAGAGGAAATAAAATATCTGCAAAAGAAATTAATCAAGAAAGAACCTATAATCAGGTGAAATATGAAGGTCATGATTTAAAAAAAAAGATAAACAAGTAGAGACTGACACAACAAAAAAGGTTTCTTTTATCTCTTTCTCTGAGGAACAATCCAGGTTTTCCTTTCTCTCTCTCTCTAATTTCCCTCCAAGAAGTAACAGAGCTTGTATATCACCACTATAAAGATATTATAAATCAAGCTGCTGACACTTATTCTGATCCTAATATATTTTCATAAAACACAGTTAATAAAGGATCAGACTGTAAAGTAGATGGAAGTAACACAAGTTATGCAAAAAGGCAGTGGAAAGCTCCTGATAGCACCACCACCATCATGACCTTCATTAGGGTTTCAGTTAGTTCAGCCTAAGCACTGAATGTTAGCCTCTTAGATTTACATTTAATATTATAAATAGTTACTGATATCTAATCTTTAAGCATCAGCTCTACAGACTGATGATGATGATGATGATGATGATGTTTATCCTCAAAAGGGAGGTTTATTAACCTGTGTTTATTGCCCCAGAGTAGTGAAGAAACACCCTTTTTTCTATTCAGATAACTGAATAGAAAACATAATATCAGTTGAGAGAACAGTAAAGCCAAATCCTAGCTAATTAGAAATTTAAATGTAGCTTCCAGGGCATCTTTGTAAAATATATATATATATATATATATTATATATATATATATATATATAATATATATAACATATGATAATTTCTACAATATTTTACTTCCCACTTATTTGATATTTTTGTTACCATTCTCTGAGCACCAACATATATCAGGCACTTTATTAAACATTTGCTTACATTGATCTAAACATGCCCACACCCCAAAAAGGGAAACAGAGCCTCAGAAAAATTAGGTAACTTACCCAAGGTCACAAAGCTACTAGTGGTTGAGCTGGCATTAGAACCCAGGTTGTCTGTGGCTAAACTCTGGTTTCTTCCAACTATGTTTCACTGGCCTGTAGATCTCTAACCTTCTTTGGTTTTAAAGAAAGTTTTTCACTGCTGTATTCTGAGTAACAGTAGGGATTTTAATAGATTCTTGAACATTCTACCTACATGACTATTCTGTATGCTTGCATCCCTTTACATTTAGAAGAAGAAATAGCTTTTCTGAAAATAACTTTTTCCCAGGAAATAAAAATATGGTAGGCAAAATGTAAAGAACAAAGTTTTAACTAAAACAGGTAACTTCTCCTTAGGAAAAGTTACTTTGACATGAAATAAGTTTATGATATTAATAATTATTGGGCATTTTGAAACAGAAAGTCCTATTCTCTGCAAATAAACATATCCTCCATCATGGTACATGATATTAAACTTAACCATTTCAGGGCCAATGTAAACTTTGGAGAGTGAATTTAACTCATTCAGATGATCTATTTACCCTTAAAAAGCAAAAGATTTCCTAATGATCTTATCAAGACATTTAGATCAAATTGCTTATATTATTTTATTTTTTTTAATTATTATTTTTTTTATTATACTTTAAGTTTTAGGGTACATGTGCACATTGTGCAGGTTAGTTACATATGTATACATGTGCCATGCTAACTAATATTTTTTCCTCATGGAAATTTATCAAATATTTTCAAAAATCATTATGGAGTCTTCAAAATAATTGAATATATGCTCCAGCTAAAGCAAAGGACTATGTACCTAGTAAAAATACATGCATGTACTGTATACATAAAATCTTTTAAAAGTTCAAATTTTCTTAGTTTTGCACTTAACAAATCCTATATGATAAAATTCTAAAGAATAAAATGCAGGTACATAAGAGACAAGGTAGATTATTCATTGTAGAGGTAATTAGCCTTCCACCAATAATGAGATTTGATTAAAGTTTGATCAAAAACCACACTGAGATTTTGGCAAAATTAACATATTGCTTAATAAAATGTGTTATACTTCTTTGTATTTCCTTTTGGTAAAGGTGATTTTAAACATTTGCCTCTATCCAATTCCAAACATTTGGTGCAAAACAATCTACTTAAGAAAACTCATTTTTGAACAATTTGTGAAGATCCCCAGTAATTCATTAACTTGTAGTCCAGAGTTTTATTAATACATGATTAAACAAAATGTGTTAGAACTGTACCAGAAGCCCACATGCTGGTGCAAGATTACAATGATTCTTTTTTTTAATATTATAAATCAAATAGCTATTTGTTTTTTAACATTAGATCAAACTAAGTCTTTACACATATAAAAACACCGTGGAAATGCATTTACATGTTCAACATTAAAACATTAATTCAGAAAACATACGATTTAGCATTTATTTTGATAAGTTTAAGCCCTCAAGTTGAAGATAATAAATCTAAATGTTAATGTGAATACCAAATATTTATGCTATGTCAGAATTTAGCAATTAGCGCCAAAAAACTTGTTTACTTCAGTAAATTCAACAGTGTCTACCATTAATTCCCCATCACTTATTCATATTAGCCGCAGCAAAATGTTAGTGTCCGCTTTGCTTCCTGTTGCTTCCTTTCACTGTTTGCTAAAATATCAGAAGGTAAAGTAAAATCTGACTCCAAATGGTACATACTATATTCAACAATAATTTTCAGTGGTGTAGCATGTATAATTGTTTCTAGTATTTGGATTTCATTTGCCACCGCTTGTATTACAATAGAAAATCACATCCTGAATATATTTTAAATAAAGTTATATTTTAGTATATAATAGATCAAAATGCTTTGTATGTCCTTATATTTATAACTAGATAAAAGTAAAGTATCAAAATAAAAAAGAGAGAGAAATAAAAATAAGCAACCAAGTGCCAATGGTGGTATGTTAAGGCAATTGCAATTCAAATGCTATACTTTAGGACGATTTTACTTGATTTTTTTTTCAGACACTACACATTTAGAATAATTTATGATTGGCCTTAATATTTATCTATTTGCTGCTTTCTTATTTCTCATCTTGACTATTAAAGCACAGAGGAAAAGATTGTATTCCCATCATGTTTAATAAATCAAGTGAATATATTATGCATAAATTATGACTAAAAAGCTATTTACCTGCATGGAAATCTATTCCCACGGCAAATGAAGTTCCTGATATAGGCATCAAAGCATCCATTTTGTCACTTGGTTCAAGAGGTATTCCCCTGATTCCTTCATGAACAGAGTACATAAGAAATGATTCTATACCTAAATGCAGGGCCGGAGATAAGGGGGGGAAGGGAAGCCCAGAATGAATATTTAAAATACAAATAATTTCATTTGTATTATTTTTAACAATCTTAATTTATGTTAACAAATGTATTTCCTGGCCTTTTAAAAAAATTATTGTGTACTACACTTCCTGACTAACGAAAGGTAGGTAGATTTGTAGTTCTCAAACTTGATTATGCATATGATTTGTTAAAATAGGAATTTATTAAAATGAATTAGTGGGCCCCATCCCAGAAGCCTGATCATTTAAATATCTAAAAATCTCCCAATTGGTGATGATGATGCTGGTACGGGCCCCACACTTTCATAAGCACTGAGTTAGATGATTTGTGGAAGCCTACCTCATCTCTCAACCAAAATTTATTCCCTCTTCTTTAAAATCCAAACATCTCTTTACTTATATATGATAATAAACCTGATTTAAGATAACTGTATCACTGATACTTTTAATAGACATTTAGATTTCTTAAGAAATTTTTGAAGTTAGTCTTCATAAATCTTTGTCATACTAAGAATACATCAATAGCTTAATTAGCTATTAATATCACACTTCTCTGGCATCAAAAGCCTGTCCCCAAATAGGCACATAAATATTAAGCTAACTACCAGAAGTACACACTCTAATGCTTATGCATTTTGCCAATATATTAGAAAATATTTATATTTTTTTCTTATTAAAACTAGAATGCCTAGAATTAAATCTGTTTCCACTATTTCCTATCCATGTAACCTAAGTTGCTTAATTTCTCTGTGCCTCAGTTTCCTCATTTCTTAAATGGGGATAATAAGAGAACTACCTCATGAGGTTATGAGGATTAAGTGAATTAATACGTTTAAGGTGCTTAGAACAGTGCCATGCACATAAGTATCATATAAATATTGGATTTAAAATAAAATAAATGATAATACATATATAGATATATAGATATTTCTCAAATAAGATTGGAACATTTTTAACGATAAAAATTAACCTATGATCATTAGATATAAAAGATCATTCTAGAACCAAAGTTATTTGGGACTAATAGAACTAGAGACTGCAAAACAGGAAGATTTCTTAGGTACCAGTTCTCTTACAGTGCTTTTCTCCCTCAGTTATGCAAACCTGAGACCTCACATTCTCTCTAGTGCTTCCTCTAATATAGTCTAAAGTAAACATTACTTAGTTCAAATTCTACATTAATTCCAGCCAATCAAGTACTGCTTTTTACTATAATTTTTGCCTATTCAGGTCGAAGGTAGCTTTTACTAGATTTGGTTAAAGGTTTGATAATATACAGCAGTTGCTAAAATGACTAAAAAATTAGAATGTCTTATAAGGCAGAACAATGATATTTTAAATATTTCAAATATTAAAATCTTACACATATGAGACTAAACAGTATACCATTTCCTAATAACTAGTTAATTTTTTTCTAATGTTTAACTGACTTTGGTTGCCTAACATCTGCATGGTATGTAATGATTAGTGAAGTAAATGAACCAGAGGTAAGGTTTTTCATGAACTCATACCTTGACATGACATACGGTTCTTTTGGAGATAATATCCCACTGTACACATACAAGTCCTTGTAGTTTCAGATGTTGGTAAACAAAGTTGAGAGCATCCACCATTGTTTAGTTGGCAGGAATTGCTGCCTGCATAGAATGAAAATGAAACAAATTTCTTTAATGAAATTTTTAAAAAATAAAGTTTTATTTAACGTCAATAATTTGACAAATATGTATGCTATTGATTTCTAAATGCAGCTGTTTCATACTGGTTAAAGATTACGCTTTATTCTCTTGAATAATTTAAAGTAGTAAATTATTGTTGAATTTTCCCTTTCAAAAAAGTCAACAGACATACATGAGAAGATTAATAGTTACAGAAAAGCAAAAGGAAATTGATTTGTCATAAATATTTTCATAGACCTTTGTAATATTTTAAGATCAGAGAAACCAGCATCTTTTTCTCTTTTGATTTTTAAATTTTACTTCAACTCTACAATTACTTCCTTTGCAAGAATATTTTATCCAAATGTGTCACATAAATAGCTGTTAAATTATTACTAACCACTCAAAGATTATGCGTCTAAAAGAAAGGAGGTATGTATGTGTATATGTATTCAATTAATTTTTAAAAGCAGGGAAATAAATTTTCTCATTCATAGAAATATAATTCTCCCGAAATATATGAAAAACACAGCCATAAGAATCATCTAATTAATTGGCATATTAATTCCTCTTCTTTCTGTACAGTACCAATGACAAATATTAGTCAGGTAATCACAGATAGGCATTCTAGAATCCCTGCTGAAGATGTTCCATTGAATTTACTAGGCCCAGTGTGCTAATTAATGCTGGTAGTGGGAAGTTAAGTAATTTACAATCTTACCCAGAAAGTTCATTAAAAATCCCATTTTTACATCTTTTTTTATTATTCTAGAGCATGCAATGCCATTTACTGGATGTTCAAGCACTGATATGAAGTGTAACAAATCCAGTGAGAATTACAAAGCATGATGAAAGCTCTATATCAATAGTTCTCTGTGGAAATTTCAAAATACCAATGCAGCTCGTTATTTCTCTTCTTCTGAATTCAAGATGGTCTGATGAGATTTAATTGTTCAATCGAACCTGTCATGAGCTCTGTCATTTTTGAAGTGTGAAATACTCTCAACTTGGGAGATTTCTCATCAGGAGATGTACCACATTCGCTGCTCATGTCCTGTATCTGCCAGTTTGGCCACTGATGAAATCCATTTTATGTAGGGCCATTATATGGCCCTGAACTTTTAAAATGATTACATTTATCCTATATAAACTAATAAAAATTAACTGATTCATTCCACATTTTTCCAAGCTGATGTATAACATTAAGATGAAATTTTGTTTCTCTCATTTATCAAATAATGAAACAATTATATTTATAGATTTATAATATATATATTTGTATGTATGTATATATATATTATTTTTGAGACAGTCTCACTCTGTTGCCCATGCTGAAGTGCAGTGGTGCAATCTTGGCTTATCGCAACCTCCGCTTCCCAGGTTCAAGCAATTCTCCTGCCTCAGCCTCCTGAGTAGCTGGGATTACAGGGGTCTGCCACCATGTCTGGATAATTTTTGTATTTTTAGGAGAGATGGGATTTCACCATGTTGGCCAGGCTAGTCTTGAACCCCTGACATCCAGTGATCCATCCACCTCGGCCTCCTGAAGTGCTGGGATTACAGGATGAGTCACTGCCCCCAGCCTAGATTTATAATAGTTATATACTGACAATCTACATATTTCATTTTGTAGAAAGCATGGGTATATTAATGTAATGCCAATCTTTTAGAGAGTTGTATTGAGATGTAGATGTATTTCAACTACCAAGACTGAAAGGCTGGGGAGACATCCGCAGATGATACTTAACTATAGAGCTTGAAAGAACATTTGGAGAGAAAGAGAAATAAGGGAATTGAAGAGGCTAGGCACAGTGCTCATACCTGTAATCTCAGCATTTTGGGAGGTGAAGGCAGGCAGATCACTTGAGGTCAGGAGCTCTGAGACAAGCCTGTCTCAAAACCCCATCTCTACTGAAAAAACAAAAATTAGCCAGGTGTGGTGGCTACACCTGTAATACCAACTACTCGGGAGGCTGAGGCATGAGAATCATTGAACCCTGGAGACAGAGGCTGCAGAGATTATACCACTGCACTACAGCTCAAGTAACAGAGTGAGACTGTCTCAACAAACAAACAAACAAACAAACAAACAAAAAACAAGAAGTAAAGAGAAATAGGTTAGGAAAGACCATGTACTTGTAAAAATAAGAGAATGTGGCTAGGGGCGCGGTGGCTCACGCCTGTAATCCCAACATTTTGAGAGACTGAGGAGGGCAGATCACCTGGGGTCAAGAGTTCCGGACCAGAGCGGCCAACATGGTGAAACCCCGTCTCTGCTAAAAAATCCAAAAACAATTAGCCAGGCATGGTAGTGAGTGCCTGTAATCCCAGCTACTCGGGGGACTGAGACAGGAGAACTGCTTGAACCCAGGAGACAGAAGTTGCAGTGAGCTGACATAGTGCCACTGCACTCCAGCCTGGGTGACAGAGTGAGACTCCATCTCAAAAAATAGATAAATAAATAAGAGAATGTGAGGGGTTACATAGCCTTGATAATAGCAAAAATACGTGAAAAAAAGGACCTTCTGGGTCTGGGGCTGTATATTTTTAATATAATTGCAAAAATAGCCATATATAAGTATTATATATAATATTTCAGATAAATATTCAGATATATAGAGAGAACTATATTTTTGATAAATAATAAAATATATTTCAACAATTAATGTTAAACACTAACCATATACATTTCATATATCCTTTGTTTAGTCTCTAAGAAGAAATTAATAGTGAAGGAGAGAAAAAGTAAAAAATAATGAAATGAATTCTTAGTTACAATAAGGTTCTTTTTCTGTTAAATATAAAGTAGAAAATATAGTAAAATTGAAAGGTAATAATTTATGTAACAAATTTTTGTTTTATGTTTAAATTTATATTATCTATCAAATTATAAATACTAGCTTGGCTTAATAATTTATAATGATATTGATGTTGAAACCTCATGCCCCAAATCTCTAGTGGAGCTAGAAAGTCCACTTGATTAATAAGAATTCTCAACTCTCCAGTGATCTTTGTCAAAAATGATATATTAAGTCACTAATTGTACTTTGAAATCCAAATAGGTAGTGATGTTAACACCTTAAAGAGTCCTAAATTGGTCATATTTCATACTAATGAAGCTTTTACGCTACCTGCAGTAATTCTGTTAATGGGATTGTCTTTAATACAGATGCTTTTATCAGCATATTCTAGTAAAAATGGTATTTTCATTGCTTAAATTTTAAGTTTAGTCATATTGTACCATTGATTTCTAAGTGCTAGAGGTCCTTGTTCATTTGGCAATACTTTCACAGAGCATAGAACACCCAATTATACCTATAGAATCAAATCTTTAAAAGATGAGGAAAATCTTGTTAACAGGAGTAAAGTACACTGAGCATCATATAGTAAATGTTTCCCCCTAAAAACTTCATTGGAATTATATCTAGAAAATTTGACATGTATATTTACAGCTTAAAACAAAGCATATGTTTGTTCACAGTTTGGAAAAGTGGGTAAATATTTTTAAATGCTCTGTTTGGAAATTCTTTCTCTCTTGCACACCTTCCCTCTCTCTGTCATATTTTCTAACGTTATGTTTTCAGATACGATCTCATATGTATGCGTTATTCACTGAGATTTACAATAGTACTGTGAGTTTTTACACATAATTATATTCTATGGAAATCAGAAAATGTTTCAATGTTTTATTTACTGAGTACCAGTATTTTATTCTCAATTACGTAATCTATTTCCCATGACTTGAATGGCAGTACAATTATTTTGATACAGAAAAAGTTTCATTACTGAATTGCTAGTGAAAAATATCCTTGTTTATTATTGTGGACATGACCCCAAAAATTCAGAGAACAAACAGATAACCATTTGGGTATTATATACATTCTCAGGTTATACGTTCTCAGGTATATGTATGTATATACATTCTCTTGGGTGCACATACGTTCTGTATATGTGAATCTATGAACATTCATAAATTCTCAACAATGAACGGAATGCAATAAATACTTCAGATAAATGTTTAAAGCAATTTTTTATTCTAAAGTTATTAATTTTTTATGAATACGTAATATGTTTTCTTCTGCTTGGGGCAAGTAAAGATTCCAAACCAGCGTGACCCAATCCCTGTACAGGGAAGGCAAATCCTAATCTGATCTCCATTTTATCTCCTGATGTGCAGGCAGCGCTCTCAATTGGTATGTTCAATAAATGCTGCTTGCTTGATGGTCATTACCTATCTGCAGAAATAGCAATCCCCTTGGTTTTCTATTATTACCCCTGCTCTTCTCTGCTTTAGTCTACATACCCCAAATCCTTTAGATGAAAATCCCTATCTTAGTGTTCAAAATCATTCTGGAAAACTTTTCCTAAGAAAAGTATGTGAAGCTAAGGATTTTCATGGAAGAGACTAATGTATGAAAGTACAGTATATTTTTTTTTGGTTGATTTTTTTTTTTTTTTTTTTTTTTAGAAAGAGAATTGTGCTAATGTCATGGATTATGAAGCAAAAAGTAAGAAAGGACTAGCAGATGTGGGGCTGTACTGGCTGCCATCTCTAATCCATTTGCCATTTGGGTAGTGTGACAAGTCTACCTATGTAAACCATCTGTTATTTCTCTCACTCCATTTCACTGCACACAATTTGGACAAGCAAAAACAAAAAAGCAAAATGATTACAGCCAAACAATGTAGTGCTTTGGATATGGAATTCTTTTGTTGATGTAGTCCATTTGAAGTCCCCTAGTTCATTCAGATTCTGGGCTTAACTATGCATTGTATATATTTTGCCAGGATATATTTTCTTATTCTTGTATTTTTTTAGTCAAGAACAGGATAAGACCTCTTTGAAGACCTGACAAATTAAGACTCCTAAGGCAGGTTTGCTAATGCTTTCAAAGCTCATTATGCATCTATATTAAAGACATTTCTCCTACAGTAGTAAGCAACATTTTCCTTTTTTCTCTGTTTTTATTAGAAGCAAGAATAGAAACCTTTTATTGTTGAATTGAGGAGCTAATATAAAAAAGAGCACATTACGTATTCAAGACCTGGCACAAATTCATTAGTGTGATTTACCTTGCTGTGCTTCTTTATCATAGACTTTCATATGAACTACCCCAGAAGTCTTATTCCGTAGGATGGTGGGGTTTCTTCCGTCTCTTTTGCTGCAGGTTCCTAGCTGGGCTAAGTTTTGGTCTGCCCACCACAGTTTCTTATCTAGAAAAAGGAAAGATATTTTTTAAAGGAAAGTATAATTATCTTATTAAATAATAATAAATACTTACTAAACTATAATACTCTCTGATTTCTTTTGTTATATTTCCAAACTCTGTTTCTAAGGGAAACAGTAAAATCACTGTCACATTTAAAAATGCAGCTCGTAGTGACATTTTATTGTTCAAACTTTCCTCCTCCTCTACAGTTAGACTCTTCAATTTAACTTTTCTTTTTCTTAGAAAAGAATATATAATATTCTTATATTTTACATAACATGTAAGTATATAGATGTAAATAAAAGCGTATTTCAAATTAATATAAAATCAGCTTTTATTATTTACATACTTAAACATAATCATGTAGTTTTGTACGATACGTATTTGTAAATAAATGGCAAAATCTAACAAAATATCTAAACAACAATTATAAAATATACATTGTTCTCCCACTTTTTATTTGTTAAAAGTGTGTAAGCTTTTGATCATGTGTGCTCTCCATTACCGGTCTCTTCACAATTGTTAACCTTCTCTATTTCTTCTAGTGACCCTTTCTCCAAAATTGCATTAATTTATACCGGTACCACCTACTGAGTGTTCATTTGATATCAGAGAATCTACAGTGTGCCACAGATAAAAAAATAGAGATCTCCCCCTCTTATTGTATTATTTCAAATTGTGAAAGCAAAACTGTAAGGAAATGATTATTGTTTCATTTTATAAAGAATCTGAGACTCTATGAAGATTAAGTAACTTAATCAAATTTACATATTTCATCTCCCTATCTGAAAAACTTGTGTTCTTTCCAAGACTCCATGAGAGGCTTTAAAACATTTAAGGCAATGCAGTAATTTAAAATAAAGTTATAATGTAAAAGGATTTGAATGATTTAGACTTATCAAGAAGAATAGAATTAATGGCCACAAATTGAGACCACAAATCAATTTCTACCTAGAAGTTAAAATAAGGTTATTTAACTCTATTTGGGCAATTAAAGATATTTTTACATGTAATACCACCTCCATCTCCTTAGCCCTTTGCCCCTAGCTCACAGAGGGCTGACAGCTGATAAAAAGTGTCAAATAACTAGCCACAGCTCTTTTCTAAGATACTCAGTGAAGAGGTTTTGAATATTAAAGCTGGTGCCATGCAACACAGTTCTCTTCATTCTAGCATTCATGGGAATCAAATCCTGGCCCCCAGGTCCCTCCTGAAACTAAACCTACAAGTCACAGTGTCGAATGCCTTGCAGAACTCCCCTCAAGGAAGATACCAAGTGAAAAGACTTCTACTCTCATAAAGGTAAAAGACATCCATGAAAGATAAACAGTCCTTCTTTGTTAAACATCACAGGAAATCAAGGATCTCCAGCTCAATGGGAAATAGTAGCACAATGAAAAATAAACACTAAGATAAACATAGGTGCACAAATAATAATTTAGAAAAAATCCTTTTGTTTTAAATTATCTAATATCTAATTAACATACTCAAGAGATTCTAGTACATATACCCCTCAAGAAAGTAAAAGATGCTGTAAAAAATGAACAATTACAAAAGAAGAGTCTTTAGAGATTAAAAAATCTACCAAGAAGTATTTTTCAATAGAATGATCAGAAAATATGGTAGAGGCAACCTTCCATAATATAGAGAAAAAAGACCAAAGAAACCTCAGAAAATGGTAGGAAAAAAGTAAAAAAAAGATTAGTAGAATATTTGTTTTGAAAGCCCAGTAGCATTAAACTGTACTAGGAATCACTGAATTCACTACTGCCATGCACTCACAGGGGGAAAAAAATGCCAGTTTTACTTAAAAATTACCTTAATTGATCAATAAAAACTATTAATTTTATTAAAGCTAGGACATGACATTTTAATATTGTGTCACAAAATGAAAAGTGCATAAGGTCCTTCTGCTGCCTACCAACATACAGTTGCCTGGAGGGAATGTCTTATGAGATTGCTTGAACTGCAAAAAGAATTAGCTACTTTTTTCATAGAACATCATTTTATCTTTGAAGAATGACTGACAGACTATGGCTATTCAGAGTTCAATATTTAAAAGATGTTTACTCAAAAATGAATGGAATATAAAAACTGTCATATAAGAAAACTGAGATAATTTATTTTCAATGATAAAATTAAAGCTTTCAAATGAAGATTAGAGTGTTGGAAAACTTCTCTCAATACCGTAAGTCTGACAGCTTCCTAATACCTAAAAATTTTTCTAATGAGATTTCTGGAAATATTCATGAATGCATTTTTTTTATATGGTATAATGAAACATGTCTACACTGGGAAGATATACATAACTGAAAGAAGCAATGTTTTTCAAATGAACAACACAAGCTGAGCCAAAATCATGCATAGTAAATGATTAATTTGTAGTGAAAATTAGGCCAATACATTATATATGAGAGGAAATAAAAATTTAATGATATGCTCTTTGCTATTCACCTTTAAGAAACTAACAGGTGTTGAGTTTTGGTGTAGTTTTAAAAGAAGAATGTCTACAATCATCTGAAAAAGCTTTTAAAATAATCCTCTCTATTCTAATGCCACATATATGAACGCACACAACATCTCCTGAATCAGATATGAAAATTCAGCTATATTATATTAAGACATTCAGAAAATTTGTAAAATATAGACCATTGCCACTGTCCTAATTGTTTTAAGAAAATATAACTATTAACATTAAAAATATAATATATAAACATTAATGTTTATTTTGTAATGTTTAAGTGAATTTGTAATAAATATTTTTAAAATTTTGTCAGGTTTAATATCTAATAATATGTGGGTTATGTATAACCCACATCTAAAAAACTCTTAGGGATCTCAATAATTTTTAAGACTATAAAATGGTCCTGCAACCAAAAAGTTTGAGGACGATGGTTTCAAGTGATTCACCAGCAAAAAGAATAGAAAAAATGAATATATGCATGTAACATTTCAGAACACTGTGCTTAAAAAAAATCTTTTTTAAAAGTTTGGAGATAAGAAAAAGGTAAGTCACTTACAAAGAATTACCCAGTCCTTCTTTGCAAACTACCATGCTAGACTTCTCTTCACCATTGCTAGAAACTAGAAAACAGTGAAGCAATGCCTAGGAAATTCTTAGGGGAAATTACAATCTAGGTAGAACTCTGTAGTAAACTATGAATTAAGTGTAAGAAGTGTGGCCGGGCATGGTGGCTCACGCCTGTAATCCCAGCACTTTGGGAGGCCAAAGTGGGTGGATCACGAGGTCAGGAGTTCGAGGCCAGCCTGACCAACATGGTGAAACCCCGTCTCTACTAAAAATACAGAAATTAGCCAGGCATGGTGATGTGCGCCTGTAATCCCAGCTACTCAGGAGGCTGAGTCAGGAGAAACACTTGAACCCGGGAGTCAGAGGTTGCAGTGAGGCAAGATCGTGCCACTGCACTCGAGCCCGGGTGACAGAGCGAGACTCTGTCTCAAAAAAAAAAAAAAAAAAAAGTGTGTGTGTGTGTGTGGTGTGTCTGTCTCTCTGTGAGAGAGTGTGTGTGTGTGTGTGTGTGTGTGTGTGTAGCAGTGCAGAGGGGAGATATATATCATAAATTTACCTCCCATGAACTCTTTCTTAAACAGAAACTGAAAGTTAAGCTGGAACAAAATGAGAAAATAAGTCAAGATAATGAGAAGGAATCTAAAAAACAGGAAACTGAACAAAGCCAGATGGCAAAGGAAAGCCCCAGAATAAATGCTATGAGGCAAGCATAAAAAGCTGTCTATATTGGATCATGAGAATAGAAGACTCTGGGAGTAAGAACTCCAGGAAAAGAGAAAGAAAAAAAGGAAGGAAGAAGAAAAAAAGAAATGAAAAAAGAAAGTAAGGGAGGGAGGAAGGGAAGAAAATAGTACAACTACAACTAATAGCAGACAGCTATAAGAGATTTGTCCCTAAGAAGTAGGAGTGGCGATAGAAAGATCAGAGTAGGAGACATTGCTATTGATAATCGATGAGTCTCTTCTGTCTTATTTGTTCTGTTATTATGTGTTTATTACTTCAGAAATAAAATTTATAAAAATATTAAAGGATAAATTATGAGCAAAATCAAAAATTAACAAGAGGAATTTTCCTGAAGTGTAGAATTGAGGGCCTACTGGGCTGGCTGTCTGACTAAAGAAAAAGGCCATTGTTAAAGTCCAAATCAAAATGTGTTCCATTTCTGTCTCCTAGGCCAAAGCCCCTCACCATGGGGACATGGGTGATTGAGTGAGGCTAAGACTATAACACTGGAGCACAGGGGTGTTTTTATTTGGACCACCCCTAACTGATTGTGCCACTCAGGAAATGAAGATGTTCCCTCCTTACTCACCCTCTCGGACCCAATGGGTCTTGAGCAGAAACTACACACATTAAAGCTAAAGAGAGCCGTGGGGGTAGATGATTCTCCAAGATGTATCTCTCTGCAAATCCTCACATTTCATTCAGCCAAGTATTTTATTATGGGCCTGGGTTACATTCATTTAAAACTGAACATTTGAACACATCTCTATGGCAGGATAATAAAAAAAAGATTTTTCTGATTGCATTATTTTTATTGCTACAGGAGACTAGAAACAAAACTTAGAAAAAAATCTTTCTTCCTTGACAACTAGAAGGTAGCCAAACAGTGGGAGACACTGTGGTTGTTTACCCTACCCTTTGGCCCTGGAGAAAACTAATTTCCACAGGCAACATATAAAATGCCAACCTCACCCTTTTGTGGCTCCCTAGACAGTAGAGATATCTATGAAACTCAGTTCTGGATCATAGTTTTGGGTGGGTAGGGCTTCTAAGAGTAGCACAAAACCACACTCTGTTCACACATAAAGTTTCTGAGCGTGATCAATTGGATTCTGATGGCATGGTACAGGGTCAGTAAATAAATGGGTAAAGGAGCAGATACAAAGAACCACGGCCTTGAAGACCATGACCAAAGGAGCTTGTGCTCATCAAGGACCATTAGGACTCAGACAACAGGCATCTCAAGAATGACCAGTGTGAATCTAAGACCCCAACTGTCCTGGAAAAATTATTCTAGGTTGTTGCAGTCATCTAAAAGCTTATCTTTCATCATGCATAATTCTTGCTTAAGATTCTTCAAAGCCTCCTCATTATATACAGCTTCAAATTTTAAATTCTCTTATCAGATTGTTAAAGCCCTACAAATCAAATTTATTCCACCTACTAAGACTCCTTTCTAATTCCAGTCTTATCATCTTACAATATTCATTAATCCATTTATTCAATTAATATTGACATCTATTATTTGTAAAGTATGATTGCAGATGATGGAAAAATGACAGGAGACAAGAGTAGTAAGGTCTCTGCCATTATAGACCTAATATTCTAGTAATAGAGACAGACATAGATAAATAACCAAATAGAAAAGAAATAAGTGAAGACTGCTATTAGTGCTATGAAGAAAATAGTCACGGTTCAATTCTTATTTATGATGGTTTCCATACATATGTCTTCACATAACTCCACTATGTTCACCTTTCAGTGCACAAGTATAACCGCATCCTCTGTAAAGTATTTCAGACTAGCACAGCCCACACTGATACTTCTTTCTCCCTCATTCTAAGGCTCCTCTACAGATAGAATGACATGATTTTGTATTTAATGGTTGCTTTTCCTTATCGTTTCATTTGTACTAATTTTGACTCCTTATCCAGGGATGAAAGCTCTTGAGAGCAAGGATCCTGTCTTGTAATTCTTTATATTCTTCACAATGTTTTGCATTCTTTTGAACTTTGTTTTTGACTGCATAATTATTACTTGGAATCATATTTGTTCATCTCACATTTTTTGTTGTTGTTGTTTCACACTGTTATTGACATGAAGATGTTCGAATCTTCAGAAATTATTGAAATTCAAACACTGCTTGCTTAAGCTGTACGTAAGCAGGGAGCTAATATAGGGTAGGGGTTAAGCTGTGTATAAGCAATGAGGAGTAAATCTACTTCATGGTTAGGGGCTAAATTGTTAACTCCCACCCAAAATTCATATGCTAAATTCTTAAGTCCCAGTACTTCAGACTGAGACTGTATTTAGAGAAAGAGTCTTTAAAGAGATATTTAATAATTAAGTCTAAACGAGGCCCCATTAGGACGGATCTTAATCCAGTGTGACTGGTTTTCTTATAGGAAGAGGACATTGGGACACAGATATGCACTGAGGAAAGGCCATGTGAAACCACAGGGAGAAGACCGTCATCTACAAATAAGGAGAGTGACCTTAGAAGAATCCTGCCCTGCCAACACCTTGATCTCAGACCTCTCGCCTCCAGAACTACCAGAAAACCAACTTCTGTCAAGCCATCCAGTCTGTGGGACTTTGTTATGGAAGCTCTAGCAAAATAATACATTCACTAACAGAGATATTACAGGAATTAATGGATTATTTTAATATTCATATGTTAAATATGTTAATATTGATAATTAACATAAATATAAATTGATCCTACCATACAGTCTCCAAAATCTTCTCCAAAAGAGAGAGAGAGAGAAGGAAAATAATATTTACCAAGCACTTACTAAGTTCCAGGCCCTTTGCAAGTCTCTAAATTGAGTAAATACAATTGTCTTATTTCATTGTCATAAAAGCGATATGATGTGTTAACACACACACTGTTAAAAATAAGCAAATGGAAAAGTGAAAGGTGGCCTTCCTGAAGGTCACACAGCAGGAGTATGGCATTAACTCCCAGTCAGCACTACTTGAATTTCAATGCTTTTTCCACTACACTGCCCTATTCGAAAATAGTCTCCCATTGGACCTAATAACACTATACTACTCAGTGCAAACATAACTTGAGTAATATAAATTGAATTAAAGTTTCAATCCAAATTAAAGGCTGTTGCAATACATATTTCAATTATATTTTAGAATTATAATTATTACATTTTTTATAATGCTTTACCTCTTAAGATGTATCATTAAAACTAATAACTTATTTTTGAAATATTCAGAGTATGTATTTTTACTGCACTATGCCAGAATTGTTGAGATCCATGACTTAAAATTAGATTTTTCTAAAAAATCAGCCCTTCATGTCTAAAATAGAAAATATACCTAGTTACATTTGAATTCCAGATAAATAAAGAGTAGTTTACTAGGATATACAAAAAAAAGTCTTGTTATTTATTTGGAATTAAATTTTAACTGGGTGTCTTGTATTTTATCTGACCAATTTTATCTCTTCTCTCTCCTGGCAAACCAAAATTTATAAGAAAACAATAAAAAATTCATAAGGCTACACAGATGAAGAATAGGAGAGAAGACCATGGCAATAAAAAACAGAAGTGGATTGAAAGTAGATTATACCTGGTCATGAGTTAATAGATAAAATGAAAATCTAGACCTGCAATAGGAGGAGGTCAGATGCAAGTTAATTTGTACTGCAGAAGCTCAGACTAGATTAGAAATTGTGGGCCTTAAAATGTCTAAAAATAGGGAGATTGATGCAATTGAAAATAGGAGGATTGCTTTAGTCTATTAAAAAAGTGGTTAGAATCCAGAGTACACTGCCAAGGGAGTGTCTTTCCTCAAGCCTGGTGAAAGATTAGAAATTCACCCAAAAGGATTACCCCCCAGGACACTGAGAAGAAGGATTACGTGATAATCTACATTAGAAGTTCTCAAATTTCAGCATGAATTAGAATTACCTGGAGAACTACTTAAACAGTAGATTGTTGGGCTCCACCCCAGACTGTATGATCCAGTAGTTCAAGGGTGGGGCCCAACAATTTGCATTTATGAAAAGTTCTCAGGTGATGCAGATGTGCTGATGCTGCTGGCCCAGTGGGTCTTCACCTGAGACAAACATTAGAATCACCTGGAAGACCTTTTTAAAAATGTCTGGGTGCCACCCCTAGAGATTGTCACTGAATTGTTTTGGCCTATGTCACGAACATAAGACTTTTTCAAATCTCCCACCATAATGTTCAAATAGGGTTAAGAACCACAGACCTAACTGCTAAATTAGACCTCAGTCCCCTACCCTGACTTTTGGGGAGGCTGACATCCAGGTTTCTATGCCCCATGTGAGATATTAAAAGGTTTCCCTATTGGGGGAAACTGTCTAGACCAATGCTCCGAAGAAAGAGATAATTGGAGGATTCTGCCTCCACACACACACACACACACACACACACACACACACACACACACACAAAAGGCTCAGTGCAGCTATTTTTAAAGATGTTTATCATTACTTAAGGTCTCCTGCTTGAACTCAGAATTTCTGATGATCTCTTTAGGAAAATGAAGACACAGCCCGGAAACACCAGATAATTAAAGAATGACTACACCATGAGCAAGAAATCAAATTAAGTAAACAGAAAAGAAAAACTCAGAAGAAACAGAAGCAGCAGCAAAAATAGAAAACAATACAGAATAAAATGAAAACAAATAAATATCCTCAGAGAGATTACAGAAATGATATACATGAAGCTAGAGGAGGTTATAATGAAGAAAAGGTAAAAAAAAAAATTGAACTCTGAGAAATTAAAAGGAGTATAGCTGAATTTAAAATGCTGATAGAAAGTTTAAAGTTGAAAAAATCCTCAAGGAAATTTTTTTTAAGGAAGGAAATAAACAGAAAATGAAAGTTCACCCTCTAAGTTATACGATCTTAAGAGATAGTTGTAAAACAAATAAAAGAAACATTTAAAAAATAATTTGACATTATTTTTCAGAACTGAAGGACATCAGTTTTTAGATTGAAACTGCCAAATAAGTTCCCAGCAAAACAGACACATGTTGTCATGAAATGCCAGAATAAAGAGAGAAAAAAAAGATTCTACAAGTTTCTAGAGTGAAGGAGTAATGATCAAAAGACATTATAGTATAATAGCATTGGACTTCTCAACTCCAACTTATTATTGAGAAGACAAGAATGTCTGAAAAGATTTGATACCAAATTATTTCCAATCTGGATTTCCATACTCAATTAATGAAATGTAAACATAAAAGACAGCATTGTCTTGATAAATCTGCTTCACAAGCACCTTTCTCAGAAAGCTGCTGGAAGCTGTACTTCACTACATCAAAGGAGTAAACTGGAAAAGAGTATATGATATATAGGAAATTGAGAGAGAGGCAAAAGAGAACCTTCCTGCGTGACAATGATTAGAGATCCAGGCAGGACAGCAGCAAATCTAGAGAGCAAGCTGGCATTTGGAAGCAAGAAATCAGAGAACTTCAAGAAAAATACAAGTTAAGGGGACAGCCATATTTTGAGATTCCATAGTATCAAGTCAAATAATATCTACAACTTTTAAAAAATCAACATATTTTTTAGAATATCAAAATCAATATCACCAATATCAAAAGACACCCTAGGAATTTGGGAAGGGTGGGAAGTATTCTCACTTACGACTTCGCTAACTACCCCCTATACCGCCCCAACAGCTCCCAAATCTCAATGTTATCCCTAAATATCCTCCTGATGTATTTAACTGTACAGTAGGTATTTCTACCTAAATACAACAAAGCCACCTCAACTTTACATTACCAAAATAAAATTTAATTTATTTTTCCCAATTATGAGTCTTTCCCAGCAGACTTTTCTCAGCAAATGGTACCCACTCAGTCATCAGAGGCGAGGCCAGACGGTCACTGTTTTTTCCCTCTCCACCTCGATTGCTTCTCCTAGACCCCAGTCTAAATTGCCCACTTAACTATTTGTCCTCATTGTCTCAGGAAAGCTTTACTTCCTCATCTTCCCCGTAGAAACTGCTTAGCTCAGGGTCTCATCACTTCTCATTCTCCTGACTGCCATTGCTAAGTGAACACTGGAGTAATCATTCTAAAATGCAAATGTGAGCATGTCCCTCTGCTGTTTAAAACTCTCCAATGGCTTCCCCCTGCCAAAGGCATGGCACAAAGGCCATCCATGATTAGATGCCTGCTTAATTTTCCATCTCCAGATCTGTGACTGCCCAAAGTGCTCTGTGTTCCAGGAATATTGAATTGCAGTCAACTTTCAATTTTCCAGGGATAGATTAACCATGTTATGTCAAAACATGGAAGAAAATAACTAAAGGCAGCATATTTGTAAGGGAAAATAATTAAAACTATTTGGAATGAGAGAAATATCTATATATGAGAGTGAATTTACTATTTATAATTATGTTGGAGCCATTACATTTTTACACTGTACCTACTGCAAATCAGGAACGCCCCTCCACCTGGACAATCAGAGGTGGATATGTTTGCTTACAGCAGTCTGTTAGTCTATTAGCTTCTCTTCTGTGTGGGAGCAGCTCTCTGCAGTTTGTCTGAAGCTCTCTGGAAAAATCTCTTTCTTGTGGCAGTGACAGAATAGAAGTCTCTTTTCTATGCCTTTTCCTAAGATTTTTTTTTCTTAAGCAGAGAATTTGGAGGACAATGAAGGTAAGATGGAGAGCATTGAAGAACAAAGCCCAGAATTTGCTTTCAAGCCTTTGTGACCTTGAACTGACAGATATGGCCCTAAACTCTTTCCATTCATTGTTATATTGAGAGACTTGTGTCATGGAGAGCTGAAGGGGCAGTCTAGGGTTACACAGAGAAGAACTGGAGAATGGCAGGTAATTTAATTCCCAAGCTGATGGCTTGACTGTTGCCAGCGAACTAGTTTTGTGCAATGTGAAGGGGAGAATGACAGTGAGAGCGAGGAGTTAGCTGACAGAAACAAGGCAGCTCTGAATGACTGCTTGCTGGGATATTTAGAAAATAAAATGTAGAGTTCATTCAATGAAAACTGATGTTACCTACAATTATTTTCATTAGAAAAAGGAAGAAGAGGAAGAGCAGGATGGGGAAGAAGAAGGAAAGAACTACTCAGCTAACAGAGCAAACTATTTAAACATTTTAATTTAATACATTTATATTAAATATCCATCTTAAATCACAAACTGGGATTAAGTGGGTCTGAACCACATTTTATCCTTGCTCGCCTCCTATTTTCCACTACCCAGGTAATGGGTTAATATAGAGTTGATAGTATTTCTGGTTTCCAAAAGGATAAATCCCAAACATCTCTGTGCCATTTTGTGCTGGCCTCAATTTACTTCTTCTATCTGGAATATTTCCCTCCACTGCTATTCCCTCCACTCACTTCTACTCCCATTATCTGAATAATAGACACATATTTCCAGATTCAGCTCAAATGGTATCTTTATTTGCAAAGTTTACTAGTCCCCAAGAGGTAGGATTCACCTGATCCCTTATGGGTTTGTGGTCTGTGTAGAATCATATCATAGCATTCATAGTCTTAAAGGACTTTATTTATTTACATGCCTATCTTCCTGTTTAAAACAGAAGATTTTTTTTTTTTTTTTTTTTTTTTTTTTTTGAGACAGGTTCTCATTCTGTCATTCAGGCCAGAATGAAGTAGTCCAATCAGGGCTCACTGTAGCCTCCACCTCCTGAGATCAGGCAATCCTCCTAGCTCAGCCTCCTGAAGAGCAAGGACTACAGGCATGCACCACCATGCCCAGTTAATTTCTTTTTTATTTTTCTGTGGGGTCAGGGTCTCATTATATTGCCCAGGCTTGTTTAGAACTCCTGGCCTCAAGTGATCTTCCTGCCTTGGCCTCTCAAAAAGCTGCGATTACAGGTGTGGAGCCACCACACTTGACCTAAAACATAAGATTCTTCAGGGCAGGAGATATGCCTTTATTAATTATTTTATCTTCCACTCATACTCCAAAACCAGGCACATGGGTGATTTTCAAGGTTGGTTGAAAGTTACATTAGGTAAGGTAATGCAGTTTGGAAGCACACAAACTTGGTGTGATAATTGGCTGTGACACTTACTCTCTGGATGATCATGAGTAAGTTACTTGGACTTTAATATTAGTCCTCTAATATGTAAAATGAGAAACATTCCACCATATTAATTTAATATGTAAATTATTTAGTCAAATGGCTCAAATGGTAAGGACAATAATTGGTAGCTATATGGAATAAACAAATGAATGAGTCAACAACAACAACAACAAAAAACTAAAACTTACATATGACTATACTGATTCTGCTACATAAATAACTCGGAAAAATATTTCCACCCACTATCAATAAGAATGTGTGTGGAATTATTTATCAGTATCATGGATGGATTTGCACAACTTTTCTATAATTTTACACTACTTCTCTTGTGTCTAGGGACATACATTTTCATGGAGGCTGGTTGAGATTAACAGTGTAATTACTGTTGGTGGCAAAAAAATAATATATATTACCTATAGTAATCACTTGCAAAGTCTCATGGCCATCCTTGTAATGCAGTGGTCTCCAGTAAAATGATATTAGAGTAGGGGCAATACAATATTAGAACCTCTCTATTTGTATAACAACCGACATTAAGAATGTTAAAAAAATTAATCTTTATTTGACATTTACATATGCTCAGTTTAGGAAAGTAATGAATCATTTCTCTCTTTGCTAAGAAGACTCTGCTTAAGCAAAGTCTAAAGAGGGTTAGTTTAGGTGATAACCCTCCCTGTTAAAGACTTTATTGCATCCCCACAAAATGTATATGTTGAAGCTCTATCCTCAGTGTGACTGTATTTGGAGATTGAGTCTTAAAAGAGATAATTAAGTTGAATGAGGTCATATGGGTGGATCCTAATCCAACAGGAAAGATATCCTTCTAAGAAAAAGAGACCATAGTGATGTACACACAGAAAAGACTGTGAGGACACAACAAAAAGGTGCCCATCTGCTAGCCATGGAGACCTCAGAAGAAACCAAACCTACTAACACCTTGATTTCGGATTTCTAAGCCTCCAGAGCTGTGAAAAATAATGTCTATTGTTTAAGATACCCAGCTTGTGGTATTCTGTTATGGGCCCTAGGAGACTAATATACTCCCCCATATCAACTTACTTATTCAGGGCAGGATAAAGTACTGTAGAAAATATTAACAAGAGTCTGAGACATTTTTGAGGTCCAGTCTGAGAAGCAAAACGGGAGCCACTGAGAGAAAATTCACCTTACATTGAAGCAGGAGTGTGAATATTACCTTAACAATACATTCCAATTACCTACCTCCAAATTACTTACCTGGGTCTTGGTGCCTTCCATTACCCCTGCTACCACACTAGTCCAAGCTATCATAGTCTCTCCCATGAACTCCTAAAGTTCTCCCCAACAGAGCAATTGGCACACAGTGCTGAATACTCCTTTTAAAATCTAAACTAGGTTCTATAACTCCTCTGTTTAACCCTTCAACTGGCTATGAAAGTGAAGTACTAAGGTTTTACTATAGTGGGTACATTGTTCAGGACCTTTCTCCCTTGATCCTCCTCTTTTCTGAATGAAGCTCCTGTCACTCTAGCTATACCAGCTGAGGCATGCCAAGCACGATCTAGCTTTAAGGACTTTTTTTTTTTTTTTTTTTTTTTTTTTTTTGAGACGGAGTCTCGCTCTGTCGCCCAGGCTGGAGTGCAGTGGCGGGATCTCGGCTCACTGCAAGCTCCGCCTCCCGGGTTCACGCCATTCTCCTGCCTCAGCCTCCCAAGTAGCTGGGACTACAGGCGCCCGCCACTACGCCCGGCTAATTTTTTGTATTTTTAGTAGAGACGGGGTTTCACCGTTTTAGCCGGGATGGTCTCGATCTCCTGACCTCGCGATCCGCCCGCCTCGGCCTCCCAAAGTGCTGGGATTACAGGCGTGAGCCACCGCGCCCGGCCAAGGACTTTTTATTTGCTATTTCATCTGCTTGGTAAGCTCTTCCTTAGAAATTTTCACACGGCTGATCTTTCTTGTCATCCAGATCTATGCTCAAATAGCATCTTCTCAGGAAAAGCCTCTGGGAAGCTCTCTTATTTTATTTCACACCATTTTTCTCTGTCTGACATTTTTGTATATATTTATGCATTTACTATCTTCCTCAACCAAATGCAACCTCCATGAAGGCGGGGATTAGAGTGGCCTTTTTCACCTCTATCTTCAGCTCCCTGCAAAAGTATAACATAGATATATAATGATGAATTACTGCTCAATATTCTGGTGGAAATTCTGGTCTGGAAAAAATTGGGGCTAATACTGAATACGCCCCATATTTAGTCACTCTGGTGCCCAGGGCATGCTTTGGGCAAAAACAGCTATGTGTAAATGACAGAGAGAGAAAAAATTGAAAAGCTGACCACTTAGAATTATTATCCGCCAGAGCCTGGGCAGCTGTTTCATGGATTTTTCTCTTTAGTTTCATTTTTATATCCTTAAGTAAGTGTGACGCTGGAGAACAGAACTTCCTCACTTTTTCCTCAAGTACCAATAGCACTTTGAGCTGCTGACATTGAGTTTCAGCAGTAAACCTGGAGCAGACTTGTACTGCTCCTTCTATGTCAGCCTTGGTAAATGGGGACATTTCTGAGTTTGGGTGCAAGCCTTCTACTAGGTAGTGAGGCCCGTCTGGAAGAGGGAGCACCTGAAGGTCAGAGATTAAGATTTCCTTCAGGATGTAGCCTTGGTTTCCTCTTGGAGATTGTAAACAATGGGAAGATCAATTTTAAATCAAAGTAAGCAATTTTAATCACCCTGCAAAATCTCTGAGGCAAGTTACCTTAAGAAAAGATTGGGCCAAGGCAATGGCTCACACCTGTAATCCCAGAACTTTGGGAGGCCAAGGCAGGAGGATCACTTGAGCCCATAAGTTTGAGACCAGCCTAGGCAAAATAGCAAGACACTGTCTCTACAAATTTTTTTTTTTTTTTTTTTAATTATCTGGGCTTGGTCAGGCATGGTGGCTCATGCCTGTAATCCCAGGACTTTGGGAGGCCGAGGAGGGTGGATCCTGAGGTCAAGAGATCGAGACCATCCTGGCCAACATGGTGAAACCCTATCTCTACTAAAAATACAAAAATTAGCTTGGCATAGTGGTGCACGCCTGTAGTCCCAGCTACTCGGGAGGCTGAGACAGGAGAATCGTTTGAACCCAGGAGGCAGAGGTTGCAGTGAGCCAAGATTGCACCGCTGCACTCCAGCCTGGTGACAGATCGAGACTCCATCTAAAAGCAAAACAAAACAAAACAAAAAAACCAGCTGGGCTTGGTGGTGTACCCCTGTAATCTAAGCTACTCAGGAGACTGAGGTGGGAGAATCACCTGAGCCCAGGGTGTTGAGGTTGCAGTGAGCCATGATCTCACAACTGCACTCTAGCCTGGGTGACAGAGTGAGACCCTGTCTCTAAAAAAATTAAAAATTAAATTAAATTAAAAAGAAAAGAGAAGATTGGACTTTCCGGCATTCTAGGCAGGTTGTGACTTGGAATCAAAGTAATGTGAATATTAATGAATATGATGTTATTTTGTCCTGATAGAATGGCAATCTCTGCACTCTCTGGTTATACCTCTTTAAATTCAACCAAGTGCTATGTCTATATTTTTTAGTAATTTTTTAATAACTTCTAGCCATTTCCAAAGGGGCCAGAAGGAGCCATAATAGACAATGAGTCAGTCAGAACCAACTATTCATAATTTTTTACTGCTAAGTTTCTGAGAGCTGCCTTGTACCAGATTGCCTTGTATCAGACCTTCCAGGTCTCTCTCTATGAACATAGCCATTGAAGGGAATCAGGATATCCTCCCAAAACATGCCACTTTGGTAAAAGAATTATTTTGAGCTGAAGGCAATTGAGAATCAGCAAATGAAGGAAGAATTCTTTGCCTTCCTTTTTTCTACCTGAAAGTAGGGCGTAAATTTCCCTTTCTGAAGGTGATATAAATTTCCCTTGTGTAGGTGTTCTCTCTCCCATACCAGGAAAAGGAGAATGACTCATTCCCTGACAGTAGGCACTGAGATGAGTGTGCATAAACAAACTTTACTAAAATAACCCTTATCTTCCATTAATTCCCCCCATATATTTCCCACTCGCTTTCCCACAGTGGTCATCCTTTCAAGCCCAAACCCCCTTCCCTTTGTTAAAATGGTATTTAAGCCACAAGTCTCACTACTTCTTTGATATTTCCTTCTTTTCTGTGAATTCTATACACATAAAATATTAATAAATATCGTATGCCTTTTCTCCTGTCAATCTATCCTTTGTTAGTTTAATTCATAAGCCACCAGACATTGAACCTAAGAGGGTAGAGGAAAAGTTTTCCCTCCCTGACACCATTCTGTAATTTCCCATCTTAGATTTTGTTGACAATCCTGTTTTATCTTCGGGTCATATGTATTTTTATACAAGACACTTTTGCTCATTATTTGAGATAACCAGAATAAGACACACTGCTCCTGGTAACTAAATTCCATATATAATCGTGCCTAGGAAATATTAACTTCAGTAGACCTTGTTCTAAATATGTCTTTATTATTGTGTTCAGATTTTGGTTTTCAGTTCTTGGAGGAATCTAAAAAATGAGAAACGGTCTTAGAAGATGGCAGTCATGATGGAGAAGTTTCTGAAAATCATAACATGCTGAATTTAAAAAGAAAAAAATAAGGAAAAAGAACCAGATGTTTCTCTAGATATTTCAAGTCTAACCAGGTATTTCAAGTGGAGAGAGAGTAAGGAGGAATAGTAGTGCTTTCATTAAATGACAGAATATGTATAGTAACCCAGAGAGCAAAAGAGGATTGATGTAAAGCCTTAAAAATGTGTAAAATATTTGACCTAGAAATGCTACATCTATCATTGTATCCAAGCTCTGAAAATAACTAGTTTTATGAAAGATAATTACAATATCTATAATTTCCAAAATAAAGGAAAATAAATGTGTACATATAGGTAATTATTTAAATAAAATATCTATAAGCATACAGTATAGTAGTACGTAAACATTAAAATGATATTGTAGAAATGTTCACTGACCTGAAAACCAATGATTATAACAAATTAAAAGTGAAAGGCAGTTTATATATATTTTTTAAATGACATAAATTTTAGCCATTTTAAGTAAGGCTTTAAACTTTTTTTATTGTAGAATCATAAGTCTACAATAAAAGTTTCTGATATCTTTAAATGTTGGTATTTTGCCATTTTTTATAATTTACTACATTAGCATTAATGTTATATGACTTCGACTTTGATTTTGATTAATCTAAATCCTTTTACAGTGTGCTTCTTAAACAACTTTTTAAATATCAGATGAGAATATACAAACTAGCACTTTAATCTGGTTTGAGCACACTATATATTATCGCAATATTTTAAAAACTACTTCAAATGGCTGCTCTTATCTTAGATAATTTACTATTCTGTCCTTATTATTAAAATATGAACATTTTGCTGTCACTACTACCCAACTCCTGACACTCCCAAATAAATAATACTGTAAAATTTACTGACTAGAAATATATATGTGGGTGTAAATATAAATATATTACTAAGAAAAAGGTTAAAGTATGAATATTGTCACAAATGAATGATCTTTAGTGTTCTCATTTGCCATGTCCCTATCTTTCACAAATAATTTGATATGATATATTCACTTAAAAATAAAAACATGTAAAACCTCCACATTATAGCTTATTTCATGGGAAAAAGTTGCCTATTTCAATAATCATTTACCAAAATATTATGTCATAGCAACTCAGCACTTTAAATTGGACAGGAAACCTGCTAGCTAGAAGCGTACTCTTGAATCAGAAAATGAAAAAAAAATGTAGTTTATAAAGTGAGTATCGTCCTATAATTTTTTATTTTATAGTTTATTTCACCATGAATGTTATGTTTTATACGTAAATTATAAAATAAACAAAAACATACCTGGCCATTTTTTAAAAACTCTGAAAGAACGTTATGTTATCATTTCATTGAACCCTTATGCTTATACCTGGAAATCTACTAGTTGTGTTCTCAGTACATTAGAAATAAATCACAATATAATGTTTCTGAATAGGAAATATAATTCTGAATTTGAAGATACATACGGTCCTCATTGTATTTGGAATTTAAAGATAAATAGTCATCTTAACGATTTAAAAATTGTTTTAAAGATAGGGCAGTAAATTATTTGGAAATATCATTTTGGTTATATGGATAATCACAATATATATAATTTCCAAGAAAAGGAAAATAATTTAAATGTGAATACATAGGTAATTACCTAGCTAAAATATCAGACAGGCACACAGTGAAATACACCAAGTATTCTTCAACTTTCACTAGATCTCTCATAAACGGAATTCTTCATAAAACATCTTGATGGTAAAATAAAATATGAGAAAAAAATAAATGAAATGACAATATTTAATTTGCATAGAAATGACTTGGAGGCATATTAGCTATTTAAAACACACACACACACACACACACACACACACACACACACACATATTTCAAGGGAGCTGTCCAGATGAATTTCCAAAGCATAGAATATGGTTAAATAACATTGAAATTTTACTCACATGGTATTTGTTATATAGCCACTTTCTTTTTTTTTTTTGAGACAGAGTTTCGCTCTTGTTGCCCAGGCTGGAGTGCAATGGTACAATCTCGGCTCACCACAACCCCCGCCTCCTGGGTTCAAGCGCTTCTCCTGCCTCAGCCTCCCAAGTAGCTGGTATTACAGGCATGAGCCACTACGCCCAGCTAATTTTGTATTTTTAGTAGAGACGGGGTTTCTCCATGTTGGTCAGGCTGGTCTCAAACTCCCAACCTAAGGTGATCCACCCACCTCGGCCTCCCAAAGCACTGGGATTACAGGCATGAGCAACCGCACCCAGCCGGCCACTTTCTATAACTATGGAGCTTTTATATATTCTACTGTTCCTCTAATGGAACTATAAGAAATAGTTTTCAATTTTTAAAAGTCTTATATATTTCTCAATTAAAGACAATACTAGAGATAATGAGATCAAATACATCCTTAAGAGAAAAAATGATTTTTTTAAATCTAATTTCTTAGCGGTCCTCACCAAGCCACAAGTATTATTTGTCTTACTATTATACTAACTAAAGAGCCTTCTTGTAAAGGTTCTGTGTCACCTACCTGTCTTTCTAAATCTCATCACATAGCTTTAGACAATGCACTTATCTCTATGGTAAGATAACAGAATCTTTTTTTCCTCTCATCTATAATCTTATTAGGAGTCAACTCAGCACAAAATAATCTCATCATTGGCCTTCTGAGTACTGTTCATTTTTGATATATCTATATAAAAACTACGAACAATAACACCCACAATTAAAAACCTTAAAGCATAGTATTTTTAAAATGTGCACATAGTTATGAGCTCTTCTTTTATCCTAGACTACTCAGAATATTTCCTGAATGGCTATAGTTTAAATATGGAACAATATTAATCAGAATTAAATTGATACAGATGTCTATTTCAAAGTTGTAATGTTTAATACTTTTCTTACACCATATCAGATAACGCTGATACTGATTATGAAAAGAGAGAAAAACAAGTCTAAACACAATGATATTCAGGCACTCATTATTTTTAAAATATATCTAAATCTAGGTATATATAGCCCCCAAAATTTCTATAACAAGAGGCCATCTACCTAAGTCTAGATTGGGCTGAATAAAATTGCTGAGTAAAAAGGGCTTCTATCTGATTAAGTTCAGTTTAAGACAATTAAACTCGCCAGATGAGGACACAATTCCAAGATATCCACTACATTCCAACATGAGATAATACCTGGAGTATATGAGCAGACTTCAGGAGTAATCTCTTCAGTTATCTTGATTTATTCTTATATTCTTACTCTAATTAAAATGCTGTTGTGATTATATTAACTCAAACATCTTTTATTAATATAAAACACTCTGTTATTTTCCACTCTAAACACTGTACTACTTCTTTTTTAAATAAAGAAGAGACATAGGGGCAATATGTAACAATTATGTCCCTGCTCTATATCTATCTATCTATCTATCTATGTCTATCTTTCTATGTACATACACACATTTTCAAATTCGTTCATTTTTAAATAATATAAATAGTGAACAATGTATTTTTCCCTGAAAATGATTCCAGATAAAGTTAAAATTTAGCAGTTTACAAAGAAGAAACAATCACTATTTAATGCTTTTAAGTATGAAATAGCTGGTATGGTTTAATTATTCCATTTATGTTAATAAGACCATCTTCTGATCATCAATTATAATCTGGTTACAAAAATAGTAGTATGATATACTTTGAGATTGTTGTATTTATCCATTGTGCTAAGTAATTAGCATTAAGAGGAGCAATCTGTTGGAACATAGTATTTTAAAGTGACAAAAATTGCTGGACGAGTATCACATATAGTCCTTTGGAGATTTCACATAGTACTTTTCATGTAAATTTTGATAGGCAATTACTTTTCATTAATGGTGGTTTGAGTACTTAGAGAAGACAACTATGTACTGTACTTAGTGCTGGGCAAATTGCCTGGATATACTTCATATATTGCTGTTACTTTAATGAATAGTGTTATGGCAATTAGAAGACTGATGGCTTAGAACATTTAGGTAGATGTATTTGAAGGTCCTTGAACTAAGTGACATTGCTCAGTGCGCACTGCAAAGTAACTTATCTCTTTTGAAAAGTATGATTTGAAAGCAGAATCACCTAAGATATTTAGCATAATTATAGTGCATTTAAAATAACCTGGATTGTATATATCAAATTACAGATGAAAGTGCAATACAAGTGTAACAATTAATCGCTAGATCTTTCACTGAAAAGTGGTTGTAAACACAATATTTAAGTAAATAGAATACCATTAAATCTTTTAAAATGATATGTTATTTGTCATGCTTCTCTTTATTTGTATTATCTTAAGTAGGACATTCTCACAAAAGTCAGGTATAAATATTATAATAATTATATGAATACCTAATATAATTGTACTGATGATTATTCATTTATCTAAGAAAATTAATGTTTCAATCCCTGAGACAGGCAGCAGCTGGGATTATTTTTCTAAATTATTTTAAAGATTTAATTAAGAGAACTATTCTCAAGCATTATAGTCCATATTCCGTGAATGCTTTCTACTGAGTAATATTTCATAAATATATGATCTCAGAAAACTGGTGTCTAGAGATAATTCTTCCCCCCAAAACCCAATCTTCTTTTAAAGAAGGTAAGTTACCAATTTCTCCACAGCTAGATAATTTTAACTGCTATATTCCATAAACATAAATAATTCACGCTTTAATTTTAGAATATTTGAAATTGAAACAACAAACTTCTTCAAAGCTAAGTTTGTTCTAAGTAACTATAATTATTTTATTTATATGACTAGTTTATAGTTTATTATTTCTATAAACATTAACTATAACAGCTTGAAATATTTACTAGAAATTTCTCTTATTAAAATGCATAATAATAGTAACGTTGGGTATAATAAATTGGAAATAAAGCAAAACACATGAAGCAGAACTAATTCCTTCATCATTAATAATCTTATACACATGAAAGATACAAGCTTTCAATAAATGTTATAGATCACTATTTTTTGCTCATTGTAAATATATGCATAAATTAATTATGTAATCTATTTCAGTATAATACTTTAATGGCAGCAATGAAACCATATGAAACATAAGCTATTTTTTAACTAGAATAAAGGTTCTGTAGAGAGGGAAATAAGTTCTATACCTAAGGCACTTAAAAAAGAAAAAAATAAGCCTCTCCTTCTAAATGCAAAGGTGTTTAAAAATATGACAAAATAGTCAGTTTGCATTTCCTGTTTTCGCTTCCTTATGTGTTCTTCCCGCAGGTACCTGAATGACTCACTCCGGACTTCCTTCAGATTTTTGCTCAACTGTCACGTCTCAGTGAAAACTGCCATATCTTCTCTACTTAAAATTCTAATTTTTCAGGCTCCTTCCTCCTAACCCAACTCTACACTCCCTAATCATATGCCCTGCTTGAATCTTCTCCATTAGTATCTTTCACCATCTGATAAACTTGATTTGTTTATTTGCTTATATGCTATTTTCCCCCACTGGGAATATAAGCTACCTAAGGACAGGGAATTGTTACCTGTTTTATACTCTGCTGTTTTCCTAGAACCTAAGTAGTGACTGGCTCATGATAGTCACTTGATAAATTGTTGAATCAGTAAACAAATCAAAATTAGAGCAAATAAATAAGTTATCAGTATTATAACAGTACATAAATATAAAAATGAAGAAAATCCTGACTCTTGATTAAATTACATTTAAAAGAAAAAAATAAACAGAAAAGAAGGATATTCTCTTCCTACCCTTCTCTGCCCACTTTACAAGAAACTTTTATACCATCAGGTTTTATAAACACCAAATGCTCTCTTTCATTTATTTTTTAAGGGTTTTTTTGTTAACCAAAATTTGTAATGATGGGCCCAGAGTCACAGTTTCAGGCCTCATAGAGGCAATTGGCTATGAAGGTTAGAAGGGGTATTTTTTGTACAGTGCAGGTTTCTCAACCCCAGCACTATTGGCATTTTACCCCAAATAGTTCCTTGTTATGGGGGCTGTCCTGTCCCTGTGCCTTGTAGGATATTTACCAGCATCATATTGTCAACCTGCTAGATGACAGTAGCAACCCCCTTTTCCCTGCACAGTTAGTATTGTTTAAAATGTCTTCAGACATTGCCAAATGTCTCCTGGTGAGCAAAATCTCCTGGAGCTGAGCATCACTGGTGTATTGGGAAGAACTCTGGCTTTGGAAATAGACAGACTTATGTTAGAGACCCAGTTTTGACCGTGATCAATCCAGTTTTCAGAGGTAATACAGTCGCATTATCTCCATCACACAGTTACTATGTCTATTAGCACTAATGTGTGTAAGTTATCCGGAACAAAGTAGATGCTCTGTAAATAACAGTTACTGATATAAATTCTGCATCACAGTGGTTAAAAAATATATAATTAATTTATACATATTAAAGTTTTTTTAAATAAACGCATATATATGATAAAAGCTGGAGCAGTCTATACAGACTTTTAAAACATATTTGCAATTAAAATACATTTTAAAAGTAACACAAATTAATATACAGTCTTACTTCTGCTATGAACTGAATTATGTCCCCCTTCCCAACCCAATTCACATGTTGAAGCCCTAAGGAGATGGGGCCTTTGGAAGGTAATTAGTTTTAGATGAGGTCATGAGTATGAGGCCATCATGATGGGATTAGTAGAGACACCAGAATGCTTGCTTTCCTTCTCCTTCTTGATGTGTAAGAACCCGTCAAGAAGGCTATAAAGCAGGAAGAGAGCCCTCACCAGGAACCAAATTCACCTGCACCTTGACTTTGGACTTTCCAGCCTCCAGAGCTCGAAAAAATACATTTCTGTTGTTTAATCTACCCAGTTTATGGTACTTCGTTAAGGCAGCCCAAGCTGTCTAACACAATTCCATTTTTAATTCCTGCATAATATTTCACTGTTACAGATATTCTATGATTCATTTGGCTAGTCCTTTATAATGCAGATGTAGATTTTTCCCCAGACTTATGCAATTACAAATACCACTGCAAAGGACAATGTTTGCATATATCTCAGTGCATATATAACTTAGTATATCTATAGGACAGATTCCTAGAAGAAATGCAGGCTTTCAAATCTAAACATCATGGATTAAAAAGTTTGCTGCGGACGAAGAGGTTCCAAGATGGCCAAATAGGAACAGCTCGAGTCTACAGCTCCCAGCCTGAGTGATGCAGAAGACGGGTGATTTCTGCATTTCCAACTGAGGTACCAGGTTCATCTCACTGGGGCTTGTCGGACAGTGGGTGCAGGACAGTGGGTGCAGCCCACCGAGCATGAGCTGAAGCAGGGTGAGGCATTGCCTCAGCCAGGAAACTCAAGGAGTCAGGGAATTCCCAAATGTCCATCAATGATAGACTAGATTAAGAAAATGTGGCACATATACACCATGGAATACTATATTGCCATAAAAAAGGATGAGTTCATGTCCTTTGTAGGGACATGGATGAAGCTGAAAACCATCATTCTCAGCAAACTATCGCAGGGACAAAATACCAAACACCGCATGTTCTCACTCATAGGTGGGAATTGAACAGTGAGAACACTTGGACACAGGAAGGGGAACATCACACACTGGGGCCTGTCATAGGGGAGGAGGAGCGGGGAGGGAAAGCATTAGGAAATATACCTAATGTAAATGACGAGTAAATGGGTACAGCACACCAACATGGCACATGTATATATACGTAACAAGCCTGCACATTGTGCACATGTACCCTAGAACTTAAAAGTATAATAATTAAAAAAAAGTTTGCTGCACTATTTATTAACTATGTAACTGAGCAGTTAATTTAGGCTAGCTGAGCCTCAGCTGAGATTTCTAGAATAAGCAATGTTAAGGGTACGTCTCTTAGGGGATTGCTGCGAGAATTACACAAGTATAGAATTGTAAATTAAATACTAGAATGTTTTTTAAAAATTTAGACTAACAATTATTACTGTTAAAAATAATAATGTTGTTCGGCCTGGTTATGAGACTACCTTTAAGAACCCAATACTCTCTACAAAGTTTTTGTTTTGTTTAACTCTTTTACTCTTGGTGTGAGTTTAAATTTTTGTTTTTGTTTTCCTTCCATTAAGCTATTTATTTTCTATGAAAACAGACACAATCCAATACATTCCTTCTTTCCTTGCATTTCTATATACATATGTACATGTAGTACATGCCAGAAATGATTGGCTATATTTTATACATCTTTCCTCTTACTCATTTTCTCCCCATTTCAATTCAAATCCTAATATCTTAACTTTTTATTTTAATATGTGTTTCAATAAATACTTAAATTCTACAATATATTTATGGCCATGGTCATTTTACATAAAATGGCCATTTTACATAAACATTTGTCTGCTTGTGCTGAAAATATATTTTGGTCACAGTGGCAGGTGTTTGTGTGTGTGGCCATTATTCTATTTATTCATATATTTTACTATTATTGAGATGTACTAAATATAAAGTGTCTTGCTGTGTGTTATGAGTGAAACATATATGAATAAAGTGTGGTCCCAAATTATGGAGAAGCGAGACCTGTTCGTACATGATTATTTTAGGAGACAAAAATACTCCACTGTATTAGGAAAATACGAATGCATTCAGAGAAGAGAAAGATCGCCAATCACACTGGGGTAAGCAGACATAGCCTTGAAACGTGGATGGTGTTTCACCCATTAGGGCAGCTAATGAACAGGGAACACACTCAAGGAACAACAAGGCAAAGAGAAATAAGTAGGGCATAATTACATAAAGAAGGAACAGTTTACCCGGATGTAGTGCACATGACTGAAGTAGGGATAGAGGAGAACAAAATGAGAGGAAGAGTTACGGGAGCAAGGCTCTTCCTTATGGTAAAACAGTACTTGACTTGAGTCACAATCCCAGAGCGTTCATCTTACAGGACAGGGTTTTAACAAATCTTACTAATTTTTTTTTTTTTTTTGTCTATAATGTGAGACTAATAATGCTAATAATGCTTTGGATTTTAACAAATCTTATTGATTCTAAGTTTCTTTATAAGGTGAAACTAATAATGCTGTGATAACAAGATTTAGTAAATGAAAATGAAAGAAAATGAGCATTTCTGAGTAACGCTCATTTATTTCAGCCTTTGAAAGTGGCTAAGTAGGTAATGCCACAGCAGGTCCTAATACAGCAGATTTTGAAAGTTTGCAGATTGGAGATAGAGAGAATGAGAGGAAGGTAAGAGGCAACTGCTGTAGCTCCGACAAGAAGTTAAGTTCCTAACCAGAGTGTGAAAGGAAAACAAACGACAACAACAGTAATGAAACAAACAAAAAGACAGGGCTATCAAATACAAAAATAAAGTTAGCCATACAAATACATTTGAGGATCAAGGAAAAAAACTGGCCCCAGTTCCCTCTGAGCTTAAGGCAAACACTTGGGAGAAACTATAGAACCGCTATAGAAAAAAAATAATCACGAGAGGAGCTGCTTTAGAAGTGACAATTCAATTTCATTCTACTCAACAAGCAATTTTCCAGTGGTTGTCAATGGAAGGTTTCCATTCTCTTGGGGGAATTAAGGAAATTTGTAAGGTCATTTTTGGCTATCAAAATCACTAGGGACTATTACTGACATTTAGTGGAGAAGGAGTCAAGGATGATAAATATCTTACAAAGCACTGAAAATAAAAATTGTCCTATTTCCTATGTCATCATTGAATACCCCAGTGGACATTTATATTGATGAAAAATCTTGTTTACAGGTATCTGAACCCAGAATGTAACTCTATTTTATATCTAAAGACAAAGCATTTTCTACATGGGTTTAAGAAATACTAAATTATCCACGAATATAATTGTTCTTTATATTGTTCAAAATGTTACCAAAAATTGTTCACCACTTCAGAAAAATCAAGCCATCAACATCAATTCCACTTGTTATTTTAGAGCTAACAGCACAGCATACCTGCATCAGTCTGCATTTTTAGCTATTTCACTTCTAGTGATGCTTTATATGAGAAAAAGCAGCTATTTCTTCAGATATAGTATGCCCAAAGCATTTGTAAATTGAATTGATTTTTTTTATTTTAAATTACTTTGCTGTTATTTCTCATTTTATTACAGTCAGGGCATTACATTTTATTTGTTACTTAAAAAAGGGAGGCATTGACCAGAGCCAATCCTATAAATTCAAGACCATTTTTAAAAACCCTCAAAGGTGCAGTTTTCAACGAGTCACTTTTTTAGCAGAATGGAAAGAGAGGTGCATATGTGAATTCTTAGTTAAGTAGATTCAATCTAGTCAAGCTGTCCTTATAAGGGACCATCCCTGACTCTTACATTCACGTGCTTACAAACACTGCTGTCTCTCCTCTAGGTCTCTTCCCATTCTAGCCTTCATCCAGGGCCAATTTCAATCCTACATGCCTCATGAAGTCCCCCTCTGAAGACATTTGGAAGTCTTACTTGCATTTTTATACAATGATTTGCACGGATCAGTTTTATATGTATCAATCTGTTTTCCCCTTTCATCAGCATTTCTAATGCCATGGCATTATCTTACAACTCTCTTCTGTCCTTCATAATACTTAAGCACTTAAGCCCTGAATAAAAGTGGTCAGTATTAGTCCTATTGAAAGTTTTTTTTTTTTTTTTTTTTTTTTTTTTTTCCGAGATGGAGTCTCCCTCTGTCTCCCAGGCTGGAGTGCAGTGGCGCGCGATCTTGGCTCACTGCAACCTCCACCTCCCGGGTTCAAGAGATTCTCCTACCTCAGCGTCCTGAGTAGCTGGGACTACAGGCACATGCCACCATGCCCGGCTATTTTTATTTATTTTATTATTTATTTATTTATTTTTTTAGTAGAGACAGGGTTTCACTGTGTTAGCCAGGATGGTCTCCATCTCCTGATCTCGTGATCCACTCGCCTTGGCCTCCCAAAGTGCTGGGATTACAGGCATGAGCCACCACACCTGGCTGGAACTTTTATTTTAGACAAAACATAATGCAAAACCTCTCACAGTAACCCCCAGTCCTCAAAACATCAACAATAAACACAGACCTGCACTGATTGTGGTATTCTGGGTATTTCTATAACATTTCTAGGTTTCTGTAGATCATAGTTTACAAATTGTAGAAGTAAAGGACATTTCAGAATCTGATTGACTCAAATTACTTTCAGAAAATAAAAATATAGAAATTGAAAGTTTGTTTTCTCTCATAAAGGAAAGAAATAAACCCCTCCCCCACCCCCCCAACCCCCCCAAAAAAAAGAAAGAAAGAAAGATATGACAAAAGCAATGGAGAGCCTAGGGCAGACAGAGTGGGGTAAATGAGAGAAGAAAAGGTAGGGAGGGAAGGAAGGAAGGTCTTCTGAAAAGCAAAGATTCCTTTGAAACTTGAAGTTTCAGCTGCTTTTTACATTCAGGGGAAGAGAGATTTAGTAAGCTTTGAAAAAAAAAAATCTGCACTTGACAACATGTAAAGCGGACTTGCATTGTAGGAAACAGAAGAGACTCCTTAAGGTGAACTATAAGAGGTAAGGAATTTTCAAATTATCAGACTCCCCACCTTGTTATAATAAGACAGCATATAGACTCCTTTCAAATCAGATTTCAGTGTAAATCTGCGAGTGTTCAGTTTCAGGATAACAAGATTAAATGCATCAATCCCAGAACCTGTCATTTGCCATCATTTATAATGTTCCATAGATTCCATGATAACTAGCCATAATAATTTATCTTAAGAAGTAGAAAAAAGGCTTTTGATGATGTCTGTATGCTAATTTTACTGTTTTTTATTGTATGTATTTTTTAAATTTTTCTCTTATTTAAGTGTATCATATTAAGTATATCTTAGAAAATTCATAAAAAGTGTGCAAGTTGAGCACTTAGATTTTTACTTTTAAAGTTCTAAAATTATTTATTATACCAAGTGATATTTTGCTGAGAAGAAATAAACATACATTTTAAAAGCTTATCATTGAGAATTCAGCTGAAAAAGCTTAAGAGTTAGTGTAGGTAAAAACTAATTTTTTTTTTTTTTTTTTTTTTTTTTTTGCCATTAGCTGTAACTCACATTTTTTTCAGTTATCGGAGAGGTTAAACAATTGTAAATACTTTATCATACAATGTCTAGAGGGAACATTTGAAACCTTTAATCCCCAAAAATATGAACACTGTATTCATTCTTGAGCAACTGAACATGACATTCTCTGACATGCAGATGGTGTCTGAAAGTATTTTAATCTGACAGCCTTGACTTTCCCATGGGTAAACTACCCATGTGCCTTGAATCTCCATAGCAGCTATTGTGATAACTTCAAGTTTGTGAGGTGAGCCCACAGAAAGTATGAACAAATGTCCTTAAGGGTTATGTTTGCTAAAGCCTTTCAAGGGCTCCCTAAAAGACAAATGATGAGCTCATTTGGTTCACATTGATTGAAAACAAATGTTGTGTGCATAACCAGATCAACAGAGCCAATGTTTTTCTGATTATTAGACTGTGACATGAGTCTGCAAATACACACAGGACCCACCTTTTTTGACTGATCCCCATAGTAGCCAAAATTTAATCTCTTTTTAATGTTTACTTATTAATCCCATCCTGGAAAATTGCCACTTGAAACAGGTCAATAGTATAATATATTAAAATTGTGATAAATAGAAAAATTTAGCAGAGAGCTTAAATATCTATGGAAATTGTGTAATTAAAGGCTGGTGGTTTTTTTGCCTTTACCTGTGACTCAAAGTTTCTTTCAGTTCATAGTGAGGATAGCCAATTGCAAGTGATTCTAAGATTTGATGGTTGTTGGAGATAGCTACTCAGATATTTATAGGAAGCACAAACCTATTCTAAGACAAATTAAGCAGTTTTATGTTGTAAACTCCCACCAAATTCTTAACTAAAAGTTGAAATACTTTTGCCTAACTTATGAAACAGATTAAAATGAACTCTGATTAGCATAACTTCACAAATGAACTTTTTTATTTGTAATTTTTATGTTCTTTTGTATTGCTTTAACCAATATAATCATTTATTTAAAACTAAATCCTATTTTATTTAAAACTAATAGTTTGATCACTAATGGATGGATCAACACATTAGTGATAAAAATCATGCAAGGTTAAAACTTTAATGGCAAAATAACAATTACTTTTGCACCAACATATAGAGAAATAGATAAAGAGATATATATAATGGATAGATAAGAATTATATATGTGCTTGTGTACGTATGTGTGTGCATATATATATGGATGCATACATACACACACACATATAATAGACTGAATATTTGTGTCCCTCAAAAATTCATATGTTGAAATCCTAATCCCCAATTTGATGGAATTGAAGAGTGGGATCTTTGGAAGGTAATTTGGTCATGAGGGTAAAGACCTCATGAATGAAATTAGTGAACTTATAAAAGGATCCCCAGAGAGCTCTTTCTCTCTCTCTTTTCTCTCTCTCATTTGTTTCCATGAGAAGATATAAAAAGTAAGCAATCTATAATCTGGAAATGGGCCCTCACCAGAACCCAACCATCCTGGCACCCTGATCTCAGACTTCCAGCCTCCAGAACTGTGAGAAATAAATTTCTGATGTTTTTAAAGCCTCTCAGCCTATGTTAATTTGCTATAGCAGCCCAAGGTAAGACATACAAATATATAAATAAAAATATATATATGCATACACCTTGACACTCAAGTAGTATATGTCATGATAATTTTAGATTCCTTACCTACAAATATCATGGCAAATACAACTTCCAAAGATCATTTAGCGCCATAAAACAACACAACAACAAAAAGCATATACGGAATGATATATAAATGAGAGCAACTGTGCATATAGTAGAATAGCAGAGAATAATGAATAAATAGCTCATAGGTGTGAGTGAAGGGTGGAGGGTAAATTCAAACTCATACCCCTTATAGGGCCCAGGGCTCAAACTCTTGACCTTGACAAATTACTACATGACTCATTTTCATAAACAATGTCAAGAGCATCTGTGATTAAATGATATGCTGACCATTAAGTACATAATTGTCAGTGATTCTCTATTTAGACATACTGACTTCAAGTTTCCTTAAATATTATTCATACCCTCAGTTCTATTTTAAAGCTATGATCCATTTACACCAGCTCTTTCATGCCCCACTAAAAAAGTACAAAATACAGATAAGCTATCATCCTTCTATTTCGTGAATTCCGTCATAATTTTCAACAAGAAATAAGACTATTGTTTCTGTGACAATATTTGTTTTACATGTGTATTTTCTCTTATCTCCATGAATTGATTTGTTCAACTTTCTCTTCAGTGTAAATACAATATATGCAGTCTGCTCTCAAACTGCATATGCAGAAGGGAAAGAAATATGTTAAATAAAATCCATAAATAACCCAGAAAGCCTAATTTTAGTCAATAGTTTTAAAGTCCTGCTCCTCATAAAGGCACTAAAAACTGAACAGTGACTTGATTAACTTGAGTTCGCCTCACTGTCTCCTGCAGGCATTAGTGACCAGGAAAATGTCAAAAGTTGTGAGGAAAAAGATAAATAAAAATTAAAAATCCCTGTAACTGAATACTAGGTAATCAATAGTAAAACATTACATAGCTGACTGTATACTATTTTATAGCACAAATCGTTTAAAATAATGTAGGAAACTGTTTTTACCATATCATTATCTCATAAAACAGAAGTTTTTTTAAATTTGTGTTTATTTATTTACTTTTTTTTTAGACAGAGTCTCACTCTATCACCCAGGCTGGAATGCAGTGGCACAATCTTGGCTCACTGCAACCTCTGCAGCCCGGGTTCAAGCGATTCTCCTGCCTCAGCCTACTGAGTAGCTGGGATTACAGGCACCCGCCACCACGCCTTGCTAATTTTTTTTTTTTTTTTTGTATTTTTAGTAGAGATGGGGTTTCACCATCTTGGCCAGGCTGGTCTTGAACTCCTGATCTCGTGATCCACCTGCCTCGAGCTCACAAAGTGCTGGGATTACAGATGTGAGTCACTGCTCCTGGTCAAACAGAAGTATTTTTATAAAAGAAAATTCCATAAAAAAAATTTGCAAAATACTTAGAAAAAATATCTAAGAGAAAAGGTTGTCAATATAATTTTAGAGCAACTAGTTATTACTGTATATTAGAAAGCAGAAACTTTTGTATTTGCCAGCTCTGACAGTTAGGAAAACTGACAAGATCATCTTTAAAAATGGAGAAGATGGGAGGCCAAGGTGGGTGGATCACCTGTGGTCAGGAGTTCAAGACCAGCCTAGCCAACATGGTGAAACCCCGTCTCTACTGAAAATACAAAAATTAACCGGGTGTAATGGCGCATGCCTGTAATCCCAGCTACTGGGGAGGCTGAGGCACAAGAATCATTTGAACCTGGGAGGTGGAGGTTGCAGTGAGCCAAGATTACGCCACTGCATTCCAGCCTAGGTGACAGAGTGAGACTCCATCTCCAAATTAAAATAAAATAAAATAAAAATAAAAATGGAGAAGAATTTGATGTTCAGAGCTATAGGTTGGTCAGCTTTTATCTAGCAACTTGAAAGGTGTTAACAGTCCTCATTAAACAGTCATTGCACTGTCACTGGAGAATAGGAGAAGCACAGGCAATACACTATTTGAGCCATGACAATGTTAGAGGATTTCTATCTTGGAAAATTAACCTTATCACCTGGGAAGATTTATTTTAATGTAATTATGTTTTATATTTTTTTAAAAAACAAAACATTTAAAAAATAATATAAAAACTGTAAAATCAGCAAAATGTTAAGCAGTTGTTAGTTCACACAGCATTCCTTCAATCTTCTCTCACTGTCTCTTCAGATCTTTACTCAGAAGTCACTGTCTTGGCAAACTCTTGGCTACTCAGCCTCAAATTTCACCCCATAAACTTCCTTATCTATTTTCCCTGATCTGCTATTTTTTCCCTTAATATTCAACTATCATACTATACGTTTTACTCATTTATCTGCTTTATGGTCTGTCTTCCATGTTACTATGCAAGCTGGGATTCTTGCCACCATGTATATCAGCAGCTGGCACATAGTGAGCACTGATAAATGCTTGCTGAAAGAATGAAAGAATGAATGGCAATAGATATTTATTGCTGTTAGGGGTGCAAGTTCTACAACAAGTAGTTACATTGCCTTGTTAGGAGTTTAACTCAAATAATAGTTACACCTGACATTAGTATGTCCTTAATTTTTATTTACCCCAGGCAGAATACAAGCTCTGTTCAAACACCACTAGAAAACCTTCGTAGAAAATCCTGTATCCTGTTCTCCACAGAAGGGGCTTATTCTCCTCTGTATACTATACCAGCTCTACCAGGTGACTTTTTTTTTTCTACTAAAGTCCCCTCTAGTGGTACAGTTGGGTGTTGGCTGCCTTAATTCCATCCTTTTCTCTCAGTAACTCAATGTCACCAGTATAAATGATGACCAAACCAGAGGTGACACCTGCTGCCCTCTGTGCTGAAGCAACAACAGAAGGTTATTGTAGAGATTTTTGTTGTTGTTTTTTTGTAGAGTGTTTGGCTTTTATAGTGTTAGCCTTCACAGCTTTCATAGCTAGCCTATATAGTAGGTTAGTTTGCATGGTATTTTTTTAAAAAAAAATTTTAAAAAAGATTACTTGCTAATAATTAAAAATTGTGAGATTTTAAATAAATATCTGTATTTCTTCCTTCTCCTCAAAAATAAAAGATATGTCACAAATGGTTAATATTCCTTATGGCAAAAATAAGTGGAGCTGAGAGGTGTTCTACCATAAGTGGGACTTTCATTTTTCCCACTCCATCATAATTCCTGCCACTCCCAAGCTAGTTCAGATATTGCAGCCTAGACTCAGATCCTACTTAACATTTATGTTAGAGCTATTTGGTTTTATCACCCCTGACATACTTTACTCATTCATAACCTGCTTAACTCTATTAAGATTTGAACTTCTAAGTCTATTCATAAATAAATGACTGCCCTGTGGGTAAACATATGAATTAATATCTATAGCAGTGCAAAAAGTGACTACAAAACTTAGCACCATAAAACATTTATTGTCTCACATGGTTTCTGTGGGTCTAGAATCTGGGAGCAGCCATGTGGGTGGTTCTGGTTTGGAGTATCCCTTGAGGTTACTTTATAGCTGTTGGCTTGTGCTAAAATCTTGACTGCCTTTCTTCCCACGTGTACTTCTTCACTGGGCTGCTTGAGTGTCCTCATAACATGTCAGCTGGCTTTGCCTAAGGACAGTGATCCAAGAGAGGGCAAAGAAGCTCATGCTTTTTATGACTTTGTCCCCAAAGCCACATATCATCACTTCCGCCTTATACTCTTAATTAAAAATGAGACAGTACCCACACTCAAAGGAAAGAAAGCTAAGCTCTACTTATTAAAAGGAGAAATAGCAAAGTGTTTATGAAACATATCTTGGTTTACAGGTCTTGACTGAGTCATCAAATAATTGCTTTATTTTGATCTGGGTACTATTCTAATTAAAACTAAGAGTCTCGAGCGGTTCCAATTTATAATCCTTGAGGTTTAAAAACTTGTGCAAAGTGTTCAAAGAGATTTTTTTTAACATAGCTTTAGTATAAACTACTCTTAAATTTTTTAGTGAAAGACAAACTTTCAGTTACTTATCATTCAGCACCTATGTAGCCTCTTTGGGGAACTATCATACATTTGTATATACTAATCACTTCATAGTACAATGACTTGTTTTCTGGGTGTGTAATTTCAGGATCCCTGTAGACAAATTTCTTTTTAAACATTTGTAACTGCAGTCTTCAGTAATCCCCTGGATATTGGTGAGGTTCCTGTGTTTTACTTTTTCATTGTTTTTTTTTATATGACTATAGTATTCAGCCTCAGCAGCAAGTAGGCCATCACATTTTTTTTTCTCTTCTCAAATAGAAGGGGTGGAGGTTTTGAAAGAAGGAGAACCCTGAGGAGAAGAGTAAGTTTAAAGCCAAACCAGAAAATGTTATAGAGACTCTTCCCCTGATTCTCTTTGGTAATGTACTTTAAATTTTAAATCCTCAGACTGCTAGGTGTATTTTGGTATGTCCAGTTAACATATTGCCAGTAAAGGCATTACGAGGTTTTTTGTTGTTTGTTTTGAAGCTGAGTCTTGCACTGTTGCCCAGGCTAGAGTGCAATGGTGCAATCTCGGCTCACTGCAACCTCCACCTCCCAGGTTCAAGCGATTCTCCTGCCTCACCTCCCAAGTAGCTGGGATTACAGGCACCCGCTACCATGACTGGCTAATTTTTTGTATTTTTAGTAGAGACAGGGTTTCACTATGTTGACCACGCTGGTCTTGAACTCCTGACCTCATGATCTGCCTGGCCCAGCCTCACAAAGTGCTGGGATTACAGGCGTAAGCCACTGTGCCCGGCCAAGAGGTTTTTTTTTGTTTTTGTTTTTTGTTTTTTTATTTATTCTTTATGTTTCAGAGCTACTCAAATTACAGTGGCAAAAAGGGGTATACTTACACAGCAATTTACTTGTTAAGAGAATTTTAATTTCTGCAAGGCGGGGTTCCTCTACAAAGCTGATGTCATAACAGATTCACAGCATTGACACAATATGGGCATTACGATCTCATTCAAATTTTCTCCTTCTTCCATTTATCAGTCAACAAACCTAACATCTTTATTTTTTGCTAAGATAGATACCTGCTCCATTTTTTGATACTATATTTACAGCATTGAGCTCTGTTAGTTTAGTATTCATTTTCTACTCAAAACACGGTCAGCAGCAATATTAGCAGAAATAAACCTTCATAAAGCCTTAAATATTTCTACAAGGTAACAATTTTATTATATTTTTTTCCCTTAAAAGTCACCGACTTTCCTTGAAATATTATTCAAGATTTTTAACACCTTTCCTCTAATTTACTGAGTTCCTTAGTTATGCTATTTGATAGTTTGGGTTTCATAAAGTACATTGGAAATAAGTTTTTGAAAACATAATGTGGGTGATGATTTAGAGACTGTTACAGCTTACTCAACTACTTTCAGAATTTAAACTCTGCTTATTTTTATTTAAAATACGTACAAAGACATAAGACAAAATATTATTGTTCATTTTCTAATACTAAGTAATATATTCTGTTTTTTAAAAAAAGTCATCTTATAGACACTATGAAACAATTGTCAATAAATTCCTACTGTAAAATAACCTATTTGTCAAGTACAACCCTTTTGTTTTATATATATGTAACTTCTGGATATATACAATGAAAAGAATGTCAATATAATGCTCTATAAATAGCACAGAAATTGCCCAAAGACTCAAAAGAAAATTGGAGACTTAAATACAAGATGATTTCTCTTTTACACATTTAAATTTCTCATCTGAAGAAAAACTATTTAAAAAAACCTGATTCTAAGAAATAATTTAGAAAAAATATATAAGTAAAAGGTATAGCAGAAGGACAGTAGTTTAGGAATAAGCTTAAGCAAATGAAAACCACTAAACATCTGATGAAGTATTCTATCACATATCTGGAAATTCCCAACTAGGGAAACGTAGAGAGTGCTTTAAGGACCAAATTAATAGGCATCAGATGCCAACTTTGACATTTCCATAGAACTCTACTTTTCAAAAAGTACATTCATTTAGAACTTCAAGTGATTCTCACAACTTTGTGATATAGGCAGATATTTTAATGTCTATATTTCCCTATAATAAAAATTGAAATAGAGATCATCTTAACACTTAAGGTTTGTTAAAACAATCTCTTTCCTTCACAAGAGAGAGGAAGACTCATTCTTAAATAAAATTTGCAATATTTAAACCTTGTTCACCTTCATCTAGATATTTTTAATTTAATTGAAAATCAAAGATGATAAAAATATTTTTTATCTAGAAAATGAATTTCCAAATCTGTCTCAATTAACAACTGTTTACTTATTAACATATACTCATGAAAATTCATTACCAAAAAAATAATAAAACAACAACAACATCAAAAAAAAACCTCACAAACCTGAGAAATAGTAAAATGGCTAAAAGATTTAGAATATAGAATTAAAAGGCATAAATTTTTACCTATATAAATAAAGGTAAAAATGTATTCAAATGGGCTTTTCATAAATTGTATAAGTTTTTAAAAATTATTCTGAATATATCACAATATTCAGAATTATAAATATTAAATAATTTTCTGAGTATCATCCTGTAACCGCAAATGCAATTACTGAAATTCTTTGTAGATTAGCCAATCCTCACACCCCTCACCTACCACAAACTTCAGCTTAGAGCCAGCCATTCACTAAATCAATATTCAGCCATCCTCAACAAAGAGTTCTTTTTTATGCAACCACTCTTAACATCTTTTGAAAAATTCAAACTATCTTTTTAAACTGAAACTTACATTTCAAAAATTAGCTTCTAATACCAATATAGTAGAGGTTAATTATTTGCTCCATGGAAGCCATACCTCCCTTTTAGCTTCCTAATCATTTTACTTACCTAGCACCTTTTTTTCCCTAGAAGATTGAATCAAAGAATGGAAATAACACTCAAATAAGTAAAATCTCTACTCACTCCAAAATACTGAAAAGAATTATTCAATGGGAAATTATTTCAATCATTGGTCAAATGGACCCTGTTGTCTTGTCTTTTGAATTCTACCTATGGATCAAGCTATTCTTTATTAAATGGAGATAAGCCAGGTTTGACTTTATTGTGACAAATGCACTAGGCCCTTAGACTTTAGAGGACTGGAGTAGAACACAGAAAATAACAATTGTAAAATAATACAAGTCATAGTAAGCCAAGAATCAGTAACAGTAAAGTTAGTATTGCTAACACTAAGTTTCTGATCTGGATAATCTTATAAGTCTGTTTGCTAAAGAGGAAAAGAAGGAAGAGAAGAAAACCTCATAGAAGTGTTCAATTTGAATATAGTTCTGGTGTTAGTGGAGCAGTAACTTTCCTAAGCTTTTAACAGGTCATAATAAATCAACCCCCAATCAATACAAAGCAACCAAGCTATAGAATAATTTCACTTACCCATGATGGTTAGGGCTGTAGCTTTTGTTAATTCTTCTTTCATTGACTCGATTACTTCTAAATTACCACCATCCAGGTTGCATCTATTTATGGTTCCATTCCCTGAACTGATCCAATAAAGCTTGTTTTCCACATAGTCTATCGATAGACCTGTAATTAAATTTTACAACTTAAACATAATGATAGCCACTTAAATTGTAATATCCACCTAGCACCACTGGATTTGAGGGGAAAAAAATAAGTTGAAAGTTCAGATTTTTGTCTTTACAAATAAGATCTGGCTAATAGGGAAATACACATATGGTGTTTTGGGTTTTTTATTTTGTTAATTTTTTAGAGACAGGGTCTCACTCTGTCATTTATACTGGAGTGCAGTGGTGCAATTATAGCTCACTGCAGCCTCAGACTCCCAGGCTCATGCAATCCTCCCATCTCAGCCTCCTGCTGAGCTAGGACTACAAATGTGCACCACTATGCCCAGCTAATTTTTATTTTTATTTTTTTAATAAAAGGGGCTCACTATTTTGCTCAGGCTGGTCTTGAACTCCTGGGCTCAAGCGATCCTGTCACCTTGGCCTCCCAAACTGCTGAGATAACAGGCATGAGCCATGGCACCCAGCCAACATAAACAGTTTCAACCGACAGAGAAACGTTATACTTTTATAGGCACTTAACAGGTATCTCTATGGATTACCAACATAATCTGTGCCACCAAGAAATGACAGCTCCATTTTACAGATACAAAAAATAGTACCTAGAGTAGATAAGAAATCTGTGTTCATAGCTAGTTAGTGGACATTCCAGATATTTTTGAAAGTTTCTGTTTCCAAATTGAGTGCCTGCCCTCTTCATTATGCCACTTTGCCTCAGAAAGTTTTAATGTGTAATGACTCATTTGGGATACTAATTTAACTGATGAAATTTATAATTACTCATCTATTTTCCATAAAATTTACTTAGGCAGTTACAGATTTAAATTGGTGATTTCATCCCTCTTCAAGTAAATCCAAAAATGGAAGATTTTCAGCAAATAGTAATTTTACCAAAGTACAGAATTAAATTGAGCTCATTTGGTGGTTGATATGGGGGAGATAAACCATTTGGCAAGTGAGTGAATCAAGCCAATGACTTAAGACCCTAATCTCGACCTGGCACAGTGTGTCACGGAGGTAAGGCTAGGCTTTATTATATTTTATGGGCAACTTCACATATTACAGTGGTGGCCATCATTGTCAGAGGTCTCAGGGTAGGTACTTTTTGTTTGCTAAAGGTCCTTGGCACACATCTACTTAACTACTGGCATGCTCAGCAGAATCAGTATCCACATTTTAACAATAACTCTGTAGAACCATGTTGACCTTCTGTGATCCATAACTACTCACGGAAAAGTACATGTGGGCATATACTCAAGCACACAATGCAACCAACTGTTCCTGGGATCTCTCTCAGAGAATAAAGTGAACAAATCACAAATAATTCCTTCCCTTAAAAAAAAAAAAAGATGAAAAGAAGGAAGGGCAGATGATTGAAGAGACACACAGATTCAAGTGCACTGAGAAAAGGTCAAATATAGCCTAATAATTCTCAACTACAGGGATTCCCAGGACAAAGAATGTGAATCATTAAATGCATTTATCTCTATGGATTAGACCCTCTTTTTTTTTCCTGAGAGTTGGGGTCTCACTCTGTTGCCCGGCTAGAATGCAGTGGCACAATCATAGCTCACTGCAGCTTTGAAATCCTGGGCTCAAGCAATCCTCCCACCTCAACCTCCTGAGCTGCTGGAATTATAGGTGTGAGCCACCTCGCCTAGTTCTATTTTTTTTTCTTTTTCTTTTAGTGAGTGCAGATTCTATAGGAACAAGGTAAAGCTAGCTTATGCTCAGAGTCAGGACATGTGTGGAATGTAAGGTAGTGACTGGCCACAGGGCTACTGTGTTTCTAACTAAATTCTGTGTCTTGATCTGGGCACTGGTTATATAGGCAAGCTCATTTAATCAACATTTGTCAAGCCATATATTTAGGATGGTTTACTTTTCCATATGTACGTGATTCTACAATATAAAGTTTACATCTAAAATGAGGGAAGAAGCTAGGGAGTATATGGGAAGTTTAAGCAAAATAAAACAAAACCTCCTAAATCAATGCAATACACAATGCCAAGCAATTTAGTTAAGAGGGGGCTTCACAGAGGGAAGAATGTTGTCTCTCTTTTTTTTTTTTTTTTGGATCTGAGTTCACCAGAGTCTATTATTCAACTTCTTTGCTTCTAGACTGTGCCTAGAGGAAAGAGGCTTTGTCATAGTCATCTTATTTTGCTGTCTAGCATGATGACTAGAATTGACAAGAAAATTAATAAACATCAAATAAATGGCAGACTATTTAGTTAATTCCATCTTGAAACTATAGCTTGTTTTCAAAGAGTTCTGCCTAGAAAAGTTTAGTTATCTTCTCAACTGAATTTTTTTTTTTCTTTTTTTCAGACAGAGTATCACTGTGTCACGAGGCTGGAGTGAACTGGCATGATCTCGGCTCACTACAACCTCCACCTCCTGTGTTCAAGCAATTCTCCTGCCTCAGCCTCCCAAGTGGCTGGGACTATAGGCACGTGCCACCACACCCAGCTAATTTTTGTATTTTTAGTAGAGATGGGGTTTCACCATGTTGGCCAGGATGGTCTCGATCTCTTGACCTCATGATCCACCTGCCTCGGCCTCCCAAACTGCTGGGATTACAGGCATGAACCACAGCACCTGGCCCCAACTGAATTTTTTAATGTACTACTTATACCCAGATACTGTAACAAGTATAGAGGAAGAGCAATGATTCAACATCTCTACTTAGTATGACTTAAATATTTAAATTAATTTTAATATTGAATAGCTTCAAATTAATATTTTTAAGATTCACAAAAACAATATTTAAAGTTTCTATATTAATCTCTCTATATATATGTATGCATATGATGCATATCACATAACTCCCTCCATATATCTTCTTTCCTGTTAAGTATGTTAGCTTAACCCTTAAATGTTCTTGGGTGCATTTATTCTCAGGTTCATAAAATAGAATTGCAAAGCTTTACAAATCCTATTGTGAATTTTAAAAACTGGTGACATATGCTTTATATTCATAATATAGATATATATAGAAGTATAATACATATCTCTGAAGTTTATTAATGCAAATGTTTTTGCATCATAAGATTTTTCATTTTGTTATTATCATTCACTAAAGTCCCAACAACACTAAATGATTAATTGGTATACATGATGCTGGAATAATTTCTGAATCAGTTCTCTGTTGTGCTAATATTTAAAAAAATGAATCACTAGGCAGTGAACAAATAATTGTTTAATGCAATTAAAACTACTCAGTGATGTCAGAATGCTAAATCAATACCCATGAGAAAACAGTCAAATGTGAGCATATTTATAAAACTGTCCTGGAACTTATGCAAAGAAATATAATTATGTCTGTATGAAAGGATCCTCAGAATGGGTGACTTAAATTTGAAAATCTTCAAAGGCTATAGAATCTGTCTGAAGAATGTATCAATTGTAATACAGTCTCATTTTTATAAGACATATTTAACTAATTTTTGAAATCATCTGAATCTGGCTATCAAAAGAGGAAATCTAGATCCAATAACATAATAAGTATACGAAAAAAATAAGTCACTATTTAAATTAAGAAAAAAATATATGAAAAGAAAAATTTATCTTTTTACTTATCTTTTCTATTTTTATAAAAATACAGCTAATCCATATGCTTTAATTCTAACATTCCTTATTATCAGTCCCGAATTTTCCTTTATATATTACTTTATTTGAACATTTTGATTTAAATAGGCCAGTTTAATTGTTACTGAGACAATGAAAATTGCAAAAATTATGTAATTTCTCTCATAATAGAAATATTCTACATATTAATGTAAGAAACTAAATATTTTTAAAATAATGTAATTTACCTACATACAGTATTTCATATATTACTGAAAAAATTAAGTTTGTTAAGTTTTAAGTGTTGTTACAATTAAGACTAGGCAGTTCATTTTATGTGTCTCATTTGTTTTCTAAGTGGCTCAAAATTAAATAAATATACTATGCAGTATGGAGTTAAAAAATTGCAAAAGTATAAAAAAGGAATTTAAAAAATTAAGAATTAAGGCTTCCAATAGATATTTTTAATACATTTCCATCACTTAGCAAATTTAACTTCAAAATTCTTATCCCTAGCTGAGAATTTTAATTATCTGGAAAGTTATTTTAAAATATTGATCCCAGAGCCCCAGTCCACAAAATTTCAGTTTAATTGGTTTGGGCTGGTCCTGGGCCTCAGTATTTTTAAAATATCTCTGCAGGTAATTTTGTGATATACAATTTAAAAAAAATTGTGTTAAACATTGCATATTTTTATAAGCTTTCAAATGTAATATTTTAGTAAATTCAACTGGGCCTTTTAAATTTTGCTGGAAAGAGTATCACAATGGTGAAACTTTTGGAGACAGGGGAATGGTAGAGATGTAGATATGGGAAATAGACACACTATGAATATTAAAATGTAGAGGATTAACTTCCAGGCCTCTACACAGGTATAATAAATATAATCAAAATCTTCTAAATATTCTTTTTCTGGCACTAACTTCAGACAGTAGAAAACAACTCCTTCTACTTCTGGGACTGTGAAAGTTCTAGAAACTGACCATTGTAAACACAGAAAACATAGAGAAATACCAATAAGTTACATCACATGCTATATCTGTAGAAGAATTATAATATTCTAAATACCCCAAAATGAACATTTTTTCAGGCTTCATCAGAAATGGCATCACTATTCCTATTCCTGGGGCAGAACTGTTTTGGAAACATTAAAACTTTAGCTCTGATGGAGGCTAGTTATTACATGGAGAAGGATTCACTATTAGGCTATCTCAAGAAATGCTTTATCCATCCTGAGAATATTTGGGTTTTGCTGGGTAAAGAATGGATGTGCTGGCTGGGCACTGTGGCTCATGCCTGTAATCCCAGCACTTTGGGAGGCCAAGACGGGTGGATTACTTTCAGTTAAGAGGTCGAGACCAGCCTGGCCAACATGGCAAAACTCCATCTCTACTAAAAACACAAAAAAATTATCCAGGTGTGGTGTCACACGCCTGTAGTTGTAGCTACTCGGGAGGCTGAGGCAGGAGAATCGCTTGAACCCAGGAGGTAGAGGTTGCAGTGAGCTGAAATCATGCCACTGCACTCCAGCCTGGGCAACAGAGCGAGACTCTGTCTCAAAAAAAAAAAAAAAAAAAAAAAAGAGAATGTGCTGAGGAAACCCAAGCACTTTGTCTTTGTCTGTTCCATCCCTGGCTTCTCTGTGAAGTGAACACAAATCTAAGGTGTTAGCCTTCAGTCGCCTTGTCTAAGTATTTCTGGCAGCCTTGCCCTTGCTGCTCCACCATTGTGAGGTGGTAATGATAAGAATAATGCCTCATACAGTTGTGTCTGACACATGGAAAGCATGAAATAAATGTTAGCTATATTTATGAGTGGTATAAATGTTTATATTTCCCTTTCAAGCTAAGGCTCTATTCTAAAGCTTGCAACCATCTCTCTGGTAATCTCACAACTGATAATTTGGAGATAATCTAATTACTAAAAATGTTGAGATTATGTACTTCATTCATAATCACAATATTCTTTCAATTATAAAACAAGCACATCAAAATTAGAAACTTTTGGTCTGTGAAAAGTAATAAAAGACATGATTTAGTCTGGGAGTAAATATTTGCAATCCATGCATCCAACAAAAGGTAAGTATCAACAAAAGAACTTTCAAAACTCAATAGTTAAAAAAATGCAATTGAAAAATGGGCAAAAGAGATGGAGCATGATGACTAAAACAGAGAAGAAAACTTCACAGAAAAGAGAACAGAGAAGAACAGAGAAGAAATATTTCACAGAATAATATATACAAATGGCAAATAAACACATAAAAAGATGTTCAATATCATAGGAAAATGCAAATTAAAATGAAAATTGTTATAAACAACCTAAAGTCTAGAAGAAATAAAAGTGTTTTTAAGTGACAATAGGATACACTATATGTCTATTACAATAGCTAAAATAAAAAAGCAGTGAGAACACTAAATGCCAACAAGGATACAGAGAACTGGATAACTGATACACATTGTTAGTGGTAATGTAAAATGGTAAAACCACTCTAGGAAACAATTTGACATTTTCTTATAAAATTCAGCACACTAATGCAATATGACCCAGTATTGCATTCCTGGGAATTTAACTCAGAGAAGTAAAAACTAATCTTCACACAATAATGTCCATATAAACCTTTAAATTACTATTATTTTTTCAAGACAGAGTCTCGCTCTGTCGCCCAGGCTGGAGTGCAGTGGCATGACCTCAGCTGACTGCAACCTCTGCCTCCCGGGCTCAAGAGATTCTCTTGCTTCAGCCTCCCATACCGCCCTGCTAATTTTTTGTATTAAATATTTTTTGTAGAGACAGGCTTTGCCACATTGGCCAGGCTAGTCTTGAACTCCTGGCCTAAAGTGATCCACCTGGCTCAGCCTCTCAAAGTACTGGAATTACAGGCATCAGCCACCACACCTGGCCTACATTAATTTTTTTAAAAGCACATTATTCAACAACTAGTTGAGTATACTGCCTTTATCTTAACATGATCTAAATCCTTCCTGGAAATTACCCTTTTCATTTCACCCTGTCAGTTACAGGGCTAAAGTAGTCAACTGATCCCTTACTACTTATCCTATTCAAGGTAAGATTTCAACATTTCCTCCGTCCTTCCTAACATAACTCATTTTGCCTCAGACAGTTTATCCATATCCCGAGCCCTTGATGAGTAGCAAATCTTATGTGCCTTGTGAAAATAACACACACAGAAATAGAGGAAAAACCAGAATCAACGAAATTATTTTTTAAGTGTTTTCTTTTAAAAGCATTTTAAAAGCTTTAATACCTATAGTTTTATAATTTTCCAAAACTATATTTTATAGCTTGATAAGTAAAATAGAACAAAATATTTTTAAAGCACTGGATTGTGTCACTTAAATATTTTTAAACTGTAGTTCCTGACAACACAATGCTAAATATTTCCTTATGTTAGATTTGCTACGCATATAGAAAAATTCAGTTTTGTACACATATCATCCTCTTTTATGCCTTTTATGCCTGCTTTTCTTTTCTGCTGATACTAAGGAAAGCCCCTCCTCTTTCTGTTGCTTCTTTAAAAAAAAAAAAAAAGTATTTTTTTTCAAGATCCTGTAGCAATTTCAAAATATTATCAATTTGGTTACAATTCTTTTTTCTAATTTTCCTCCCTGCAAAATATTAGTTGTTTATTTTCAGTGTCTACTTAACTGTATGATGAGCATAGTACTCATGAAAAACATTGAGTGTTTTTGTTTTGTTTAACTCTACTAAAAATCTCATTCAAATGGCTTTTAATTATCAGTGATTTTTTTCCTTCACTGAACTACGTCCTCCTGGAGGATGGTACCAGGTTTTGTTTTTAGGGTCTAGTACCTAGTGTACACTTCATAACCTTTTTAAAAAATTACCTCCCCCGCACCCCCAATTTAATAACATTTGAATTAAATGAGTAAATGAATAATCAGATGAAAATGTAATATATTTAAATTATTTGTGTGTGTTAGCATGTGTAATTATAATCTTAGTTTGTCACCTCCTCCGGCTTCTTTGTAACCTGTTTGTAACATTTCTTTTGAGATGTGCAGTCTTAAATGGAATGTGCTTCCTACATAATAAAAGTGATTGTGCTGAGTAATAAGTATATATCAATAACAGAAATGCATAATATTGAACAAGGAAACATATCCAAGACTTTTTTAAAAAATTTACTTCTAAAAACTGAGGTTCCTTATTTTATTTTGATGTGGGAAAAAGTGCTTAAGAATGTTATCTATGAATATAATTCACACTCTACTTCATACAGTGTATGAGTTGGAATAAAGTAATAGAAAATGCCTGGTAGATTTCAAGAAGATGTACTGCAAGTTTAAGTAAACAAATAACTTTCAATTGGGATTACATTGAAAATAAAGGGGAGGCCGGGCGCCATGGCTCACGCCTATAATCCCAGCACTTTGTGAGGCTGAGGCGGGTAGATCACGAGGTCAGGAGTTCAAGACCAGCCTGGCCAATATGGTGAAACCCCATCGCTACAAAAAATACAAAATTAGCCACTCAGGAGGCTAAGGCAGGAGAATTGCTTGAATCTGGGAGGCAGAAGTTGCAGTGAGACAAGTTGTGCCACTGCACTCCAGCCTGGGCGACAGAGTGAGACTCCGTCTCAAAAAAAAAAGAAAAAAAAAGAATAAAGGGGAAACATCAAAGAAATAAAAATATATAGTACACAAGATTCCTAAGAATATCCATGAAGGGTAATGTTGATTGACAAGCCAAGTTCCTTTATATGAGGCTTAAGGGATAAAATTCATAATATAAGGGCATTTTAACCATAGAAATCACTGTCATCAGTAAAGTAAAATCTTCTGATATGTAAACTGCTCTAAGCATTTAATATATCCAAGACTGAGCAATACATCTTAATTGAGAATATTTAGCTCAACAATGGATAACTGGAATGCTGATGTTGATTTGTATTGAACAGAAACAAAGTTATTCAGCCTAAATTGCCTGAAGGCTGCAATTACTCAGTCTTTAGTGACACATACTCATAAAATGCCAAGTTGAGCATTTTCATATGATTATGATACACTTCTATTTTAAGTATGTCACATGTGGATTTAACAGCAAACAAGCAAGCGAAGTCAGTGAATTACAACATAAAAACAATTCCTCAAACTAGAAAGTCTAGTGTATCAGTGGCATTGCCATTTCAAAGCAATTAAAGATTCAGAAATAATTAATTGTGAGGCACAATTGGCTAAGAGGTGAAATTGGTTCTTGGATACTCCTGGCTGCTTAGAAAAGTCAACTGCTGTGTCCTAACTGGGTCCACATTTCTTAGGAGTAAGCCAGTTCTGGATTTTTCCCTTTCCCACATTCCATGCTTGAAAAGTATCAGCTTTATTCCATTATCTTTGCTGAGGTTAAGTAATTACTATATGAAATCAGCCTCTCTGGGCACAGCATAATGGTTAAGATTTCATATGGTTTTAGAAGCAAATAAACTTGGATTTTAAAGCCAGCTTTCATCATAGACTACCTTCTTTCGACAAGACTCAGTTTCTGAATCTATAAAGGAAGGAAAAGAACTTCTTCCAGAAATAATTGTTATGAGATGATTAATGCAAAGCATTTTGAAAGTGGCTGACATATTGCAAGTGCTTAAAAAGTAGTCACTATGATTATATTATTTTTGTTGCCAGAGTGATCATGGTTCTACCATATGAAACCATATGAAAGATCTCAATAAGTGCATGCAGACACAAAGGTGTGGCCTCATGATGAGAATACAGGTACTATAAAGGGTGTTAAGTAGTAATTGCTATGAGCTAATTGATGCTGCTCCATTTTTACCAGGCAGAATATAGTGTTTTCTCCTCACATTCTGGAAAAAAAAATAAAATGTATAATCTGACAACAATATGCACGAGAAGAAATTCAATTGAACAGTGGCTCTTCTTAATTGTTTAATTTTCTTCACTGAAATTTAAGGAATACTGTAGGCAGTTTGAGCCAGAGCTCACACAGACTCATCATTAAATAATAATTACAATAATTGCTTGCAATAAGTAAATGAAATTACAATGAGTAAATAATGCAGTGATTAATGCCCTATGTATTTAAGTATTTCATGGTGTAATGATCATGTATGCCAGCAACAATAGGTTTGTATTTATTTTTTCACACATTCATATATCCATTCACTGTACTGTAAAATTCCATTTTAGAAATCACTCAGTGGAACAGTTCTGAAGGAATCTTTTAAAGTGGTGTTACAATGACATGGACTACTTAGAGTATTTCAAATATCCTATGTCAAGTGTTTCCTTATGAAACAACTTTGATTCTATATTAAATATAGTTTATATATATAGTTTAAATATAGTTTATATATAAAACACAGAAATATTTTATCCAATTATTTGCATAGCAGTTTTAAATTATTCAGAAAGACAGAAAAAAAAGTAAAATATTATCCTTAGCAAACTACTACAGGAACAGAAAACCAAATAACACATGTTCTCACTTATAAGTGAAAGCTGAATGATGTGAACTCATGACCACAAAGAAGGGAACAACAGACACTGGATTCTACTTGAGGGTGGAAGGTGGGAAGAGGGTAGGAGAGGAGCAGAAAAAAATAGCTATTAAGTACTAGGTTTAATACCTGGGTGATGAAATGATCTGAACAACAAACCTCAATGACATGAGTTTACCTATGTAACAAACCTTCACATGTACCTCTGAACCTAAAACAAAAGTTAAAAAAATAGCAAAAGGAATTTAAAAAAATAAAAAAAAATAGAAAACACAATAATCTGAAATTCTTTAGTATTTTCTCTTAATTAGTAAGAAACATAAGCTATTAAATATATTTTAAGAAAATGGTTGAGGCACGCACAGTGAAAATACTCTTTTTTTTAAAAAAGTTACTATGCACTGTACTTTTAATCTGGTTTAATCTATATGAGGCCTTTTGGGATAGATCAAAAATTACAATTAATAGGGTTGAAATAAATGAGGGATTACTGTAAAAATTTTTTGATTTCATCTTTATTCCCTGTGCTAAGAAGATTTGTCAATAAGTAGATGACTATATTTATTTTTGCCTGTTCTTTAATTTTATGAGAAATCTGTCATTGAGGTGCTAATGAGAGCCCAGTGGCCACAGGGTTAGACAGGATAAGCTAGAGAAAAAGCAAGAGGAATAAGTGGAGAAGAAAATTTAGAAGTGTAACATTTCCAACTTTTTCTTCCTAGCTAGTCATGTACTTACATAGCAACCCAGGTGCATATACATAATATTTGTACCCTATATTTGAGAAAATAATGGTATAAATATAAATCTGGGAGCACTTTAATATGTTTTTTATTCCTTGGATACATCAAATGAAATGCAACATGAATCCATATCCAGGTCACCAAGTACGCACTTCCAGTGGAAATATTCTTTCTAAATATCACACATTCAAAAATTAATCTTATTCAACTGAGACATATCAATAAATCTTAGGTTTAGTCAATCCTGTAGAGACTCTTGCTATAGGACAGGAAACAGTATTCACTCAACAAATATTTATTGAAAATCTACTTATGTGCCAAAATTGTGCTATACGTTGAGGATATAATAGTAAATAAAGCAGATACGGTCCCTAGCTTTGTGGTGCTTCTCTTTTAGTTGATGAGGCAGTAGGTAATCATATATTCAACAAACAAATTAAAAATTTAAATGATAACAGAGCTAAAAAGTAAAATACAGTCCTAAAAGTGTCTGTTTTAGAAGAATTCAGCCTGGTCACAGAGGTCAGGGAAGGGTTCTTGGAAAACAACACTTGGCTTATTAGATAGGAGTGAGTGAACTAAACTAAGAAGAGATAGGAGACATTTCTGGGCAAAGAAATAACTTGTTAAAATGTAATATTAGTGAAAAGAGCCTAAAAATTGGGAGAATATCAAAGAAGGGAAATACAGCTGGAGTGGGAAGTTTCGGTCACACTGCACTTCCTTTTAGATTCTAAACTCCTTGAAGAAACTGTTCATATCACTTTTGGTCATGTTGTCTCCCAGTAACTGGCACATTATAGGAAGTCCTTTTTTTTTTTAGTTTTTTCTTCAAGACTCCCACATGCATACAAACCAACATGTGGATCTTCACCATGTTCCTTATGTTTTGTTTTGGTTTCTTCCCATCGGGATGTAAACATTGCAAAGCCAGTATTACATAAAGTCCTCTGTATCATCCATAGTGCCCAACATAATGCATTTAACGCATTAAGCTAGTAGCTGTGTATAATATTAGTCGTAACATAATCATAATTCATGTATTTTGATGAATTTAGATTTTAAAAAGAAGGATCAATTGTGGAATTTTTTTTTTCTTTAACAGAGCTCGTATTTAGATTATAGGTAAACAATTATGGAAATCAACATTTGAACCAACATAAACACAACTACTACACTTGCAAGGATATACAGCAGTGGATAAACTACAGAAAGGTTTGTGTTCAAAACATGTAATGCTTACTTTCATGTGTCAACATGGCTAGGCTGTGATACCCAGTCATTCAATCAAATACTGTCTTGGGTGTTGCTGTGGAAGTATTTTGCTGATGTGATAACTATCTGCAATCAGTTGACTTTAAGTAAGGGAGATTATACTCAAAAATCTGGATGGTCCTGATTCAATCAGTTGAAAGGCCTTATGAACAGAATTGAGGTTTCCCTGACAAAGAAACTCATTTTGTCGTCTTCAGCTTCAGCTCCTGCCTGAGAGTGTCAAGCATGTCTTTAGTGATAGCCTGCCTAAGGGCTAGCCAGTTTTCAGGATCTCATAAGTCAAAATTTTGCAACAAATAACATATATGTAGGTATACATATACATCAGGTCCTTGAATAACATTTTGGTATAACATTGACAAGGGAAAAAAATGATTCCCACCTGGGGCCACTATCTGTATGGAGTTTGCCTGTTCTCCCCATGTCTGTGTGGGTTTTCTCTGAGTGCTCTGGTTTCATCCCACATCCCAAAAATATGCATGTTAGGTTAATTGGCATGTTTAAATTGCCCCAGTTGAAGAGACTGACACCATCAAAATTGCAGAAGAGAAGCCAGATGGCTTCACTCTCCCCAAGAGAAAACCAAAAATAATTATCCAGTGCCAAGATGATCACCAGCAACATCCAGGAACTCAAGTCTGAGACTGAGATGATCCCTGAAGCCATAGAGAAGTGAAAAACTCTGAACAGACAGTAAGAGAAATGGGCCTTTCGATTCATAATGCCCCTCCCCCAATCTGCCAGGCACCATGCATGAATGATTCCTCCTAGACTCATGGTTTCTGCACTGGAAAAAGTGAGATCAAGGCAGAGCCAGCTTCCCTAGCATCTTGGATCCCCTTTTAAGAAAACTATTACTGTCTGGACCCACAGGAAGAATCATGAGGGCCTGTAGGGAGAAAACCCCTGAGGGCAGCTAGAGACACAAAGGGGAGGTGGGATTAGAAACCTCAGCCTGTGAAACACTGTTCTTTATCTCAGCCAAGGGGACACCAAATAAAAGTAGCTATTTAGCAGCAACACACCATAGGAGGCAATCTCAATGAGTATTCTGAGCATGAAGACCCAGCCAGTCTCCTACAGAGCCAAGGTATCCTCGTTAGGAACCCCACTCCAATTCAGGACCAGAAGTGTTCTGAACACCTGTGAGAGCCAAGGTAAATTTGGGATTAATATGCCATCTAATGCCCCCCAAAAAAGCCATCAATCTAGGATTAAGTTGATTTACAAGTGACTGCAAAGAAACTCTAAGCAAACATACCCTAGAAAACCAACACAAGCCAGACACAAGTAAAGGCCTTCAATGAAAAGCTATAGACATACATCCATAAGAAACTACAGCAAACAGGGAACCAAGACCTCCTCAAATGGACAAAACAAAGAGCCAGTGACTAACCCTAGTGAGACAGCAATTTGTGAGCTCTCAGATCAAGAATTCAAAATGGTAGTTCTGAAGAAACTCACTGAACTCCCAGGTAACATGGAAAATCAATTCAGAAACTTATCAGAGAAAGTAACAAATAATAAAATAATAATTTTTAAAAATCAAACAGAAATCTTAGAAGTGAGAAACAAGTTTCCTGAACTAAAAAATGTACTAGAGGCAACAGCAGAATGGATCAAGCAGAAGAAAATAAGTAAGCTTAAAGAGAGGCTATCAGAAAACATACAGTAAAAGGATAAAAAAGAAAAATAATAAAAAGAAATGAAGAACACCTGCAAGATATAGGGAATAACCTCAAAAGTGTAAATCTAAGAGTTATTAGCATATAAGGGAGTTGAGAAAGAGCAAGGGGGTAGAAAACTTACTCAAAGAAATAATAACAGAAAACATACCAAACCTAAAGATAAAAATATCTAGTTATAGGAAGATCAGAGATCACCAAACAGATTCAACCCAAATAAGACTATCCCAAAGCATATAATAATCAAGTTCTGAAAGGTTAAAGACAAAGCAAGGATCCTAAAAGCATCAAGAGATAAGAAGCAAATAACACATAAAGGAGCTCCAATTCACTTGGCAATAGACTTCTCAATGGAAACCATATAGGCCTGGAGAGAGTGGGGTGACATAGTTAAATTACTGAAAGAAAAAAGCTGCTGAGCAAGAATACTGTACCCAGAAAGCTTTCCTTCAAACATGAAAGAGAAATACAGTCTTTCCCACACAAACAAAAGCTGAGGGAACTCGCAATCACTAGATCCATCCTACAAAAAAAAACTCTAAAGGGAATTCTTCAATATGCAAAAAAAAGATGCTAATATACAAAAAGAAAACAATTGAAGGTCTAAAACTCATTGCTAAAAGTAAGTATAAAGACAAATTCATAATACTCCAAAAATAAGTAACAAAATGGCAGTAGTAAGTCCTTACTTATCAAAAATAACATTGAATGTAAATAGATTAAATTCTCCAATTTTTAAAAGACACAAAGGGCCGGGCGCGGTGGCTCACGCCTGTAATCCCAGCACTTTGGGAGGCCGAGGCAGGCGGATCACGAGGTCAGGAGATCGAGACCATCCTGGCTAACACGGTGAAACCCCGTCTCTACTAAAAATACAAAAAATTAGCCGGGCGTGGTAGCGGGCGCCTGTAGTCCCAGCTACTCGGGAGGCTGAGGCAGGAGAATGGCGTGAACCTGGGAGGCGGAGCTTGCAGTGAGCCGAGATCGCGCCACTGCACTCCAGCCTGGGCGACAGAGCGAGACTCCGTCTCAAAAAAAAAAAAAAAAAAAAAAATACAAAAAATTAGCCGGGCGTGGTAGCGGGCGCCTGTAGTCCCAGCTACTCAGGAGGCTGAGGCAGGAGAATGGCGTGAACCCGGGAGGCGGAGCTTGCAGTGAACCGAGATCGCGCCACTGCACTCCAGCCTGGGCGACAGAGCGAGACTCCGTCTCAAAAAAAAAAAAAAAAAAAAAAAAAGACACAAAGCAGCTGAATAATTTTTTTATTCAGGCTTTTTTATTTAGGCTATATGCTACTTGTAAGAAACTCATTTCACCTACAAAAAGACACACATCGGCTGAAAGTAAAGAGATGGAAGAAGATAGCCCATGTAAATAAAAATCAAAAGCAGAGCAAGAGTAACTATTCTTATAGTAGATAAAACAGACTTTAAATCAAACTTAAAAGGAGACAAAGAAGGTCAACATATAATAAAAAAGAGATTAATTCAGTAGTAGGATTTAACAATTGTAAATATATATGCATCCAACACCAAGGCACCGAAATATATAAAGCAAATATTAATAAATCTAAAGGGAGAGAGAGAGACTGTAACACAATAATAATGGAGGAATTTAACACCTCACTCTCAGTAATTGACAGATCATTGAGATGGAAAATCAACCAAGAAACAGTGATGTTAAACTACACTCTAGACCAAATGAATCAAACTGACATTTACAGAGTATTTTGTCCAACAGCTACACAATGCACATTCTTCTCATCAGCACATGGAACATTTTCCAGAATAGGATCTATGTGAGGCCACAAAATAAGTCTCAACAAATTCAAAAAAGTCAAAATTGTATCAAGTTTCTCTCTGACCACAATGGAATAAAACTAGAATTCAATAATAAGAGAAACTTAGAAACAATACAAACACATGACAATTAAACAACATGCTCCTGAATAATCAATGGGTCAATGAAGAAATGAAGAAGGAAATTTTGAAAATTTCATGAAACAAATAAAATTAGAAAAACATAACATACCAAAACTATGCTATAAAGCAAAATCAGGGAAGTTTACAGCAATGAACACCTACATCAAAAAGTTAAAAGATTTTAAATGAACATCCCAATGAGGCACTCAAGGAACTAGACAAGCAAGAATAAACCAATCCCAAAAGTAGTAGAAGAAAAATAATGATAAGGATCCAAACAGAAATAAATACAATTGAGAATAAAAAATAATATAAAAGATAAATGACATAAAAAGCTATTTTTTAAAAGACAAAATTGACAAACCTTTAGCTAGACTAATTAAGGAAAAGAAAGAAAAGACAAAATCAGAAACAAAAAAAGGAGACATAACAGCTGATACCACATAAATACAAATAATCATTAGGGACTATTACGAACAACTAAACACTAACAAATTGGAAAACCTACAATAAACGGATAAATTTCTGAATACATACAACCTACAAAGACTGAACCATGAAGAAATAGAAAAGCCAAACAGACCAGTAATGAGTAATGAGATTAAATGAGAATAAAAAATACTCCATCAAAAAAAACCCCAGGACCTACCTGATGACTTCACTAGCAAATTATACCACACATTTAAATAAGAACTAATGCCAATTCTACTCAAAGTATTTATAAAACTCGAAGTGGAGGGAATACTTCCAAACTCATTCTAAGAGGCCAGCATTTCCCTGATGTTAAAACCAAAGACATGACAAAAACTAGGAAAACTATATCCCTAATAAACATAGATGCAAAAATCTTCAACAAAATACTAACAAACCAAATTCGACAACATATTGAAAAGATTATTCACCACAATCAAGTGGGAATTATTCCAGTGATACAAGGATGGTCCAACCTATGCAAATTAATAAATATGATAAATCACATTAACAGAATGAAGGACAAAAGACATATAATCATTTCCTTAGATGAAAAAGCATTTTAAAAAATTCAACATCCCTTTATGATAAAAAGTACTTCTCAGCAAACTGGGTATAGAAGAATCAGACCTCAAAACAATGAAGGCCATATATAATAAATCCAAAGCTAACTTCATACTGAGTGGAGAAAAAATGAGAGCTTTTCCTCTAAGTTCTGGAACAAGACAAGGATGTTTCTATTACTACTTATTTTCAACATAGTACTGGACGTCCTAGCAAACTAGAAAGGAAGAAGGCAAATTATTTTTGTTTTAAGATGCATGATATTATACTTAGGAAAACCAAAAGTCCCCACCAAAAATCTATTAGAACTGATAAACAAATTCAATAATGTTGCCGGATTTATCACACAATAATCAGTGGCATTTATATCAGCCAATGGTGAGCAAACTGAAAAAGAGATTAAGAAACAATCCCATATGCAATTGCTACAAAAAATATAAAATGCCTAGAAATAAATTTAACCAAAGAAATAAAAGATCCCTACAAAGAAAACAATAAACTACTGATGAAAGAAATTGAAGAACACACACAAATAAGCAAAGATATTCCATGCTCATGGAGTAGAACAATTAGAATTGGTAAAATGTCAACACTACCCAAAGCTACCCACAGATTATATGCAATCTCTATCAAGAAACCAATGATGTTACAGAGCCACAAAAGACCCCAAATAGCCAAAACAATCCTAAGCAAATAAATAAATAAAGACAGAGACATCACATTACTTGACTTCAAAATGTAGTACAAAGACATAGTAAACAAAACGGCATGGTGCGATATAAAAACAGACATAGAGAACAGTGGAACACGCTAGAGAACTCAGAAATAAATCCATACACTTACAGCCAATACATTTTTGACAAAGGCACCATGAACATACATGGTAGAAAGGACAATATCTTCAATAAATAGTGCTGGGAAAACTAGATATCCCTATGCAGAAGAATGAGACTAGATTCCTATCTCTTGCCAAATATAAAAGTCAAATCAAAATGAATCAAAGCTTGAATCTAAGATGTAAAACTATTAAACTACTGAAAGAAAACATTTGGGCAACACTTCAGGACATGGGTCTGGGCAATGATTCCTTGGCTAAACTTTCAAAAGCACAGGCAACAAAAGCAAAAATAGCAAATGGGATTATATGAAACAAAAAGGTTTCTGCACAGCAAAGGAAACAATCAACAAAGAGAAGAACAAATCTACAGAATGGAAGAAAATATTTACAAACTATCCATCTGACAAGATATCAATAACCAAAATATATAAGGAACTCAATTCAATAGCAAAATAACTAATAATGTGATTTTAAAATGGGCAAAAGATCTGAGTAGGCATGTCTCAAAAAAAGACACACAATTGGCCAACAGATATATGAAAAAATGTTTAACATCACTAACCATCAGGGTAATGTCACACAAAACTACAATGGGATATCACCTCACCCCAGTTGGAATGGTTATTATCAAAAAGACAAGAAGTAACAGTAGCTAGTGAGGAGGTACAGACATGGGAACACTCCTATGTTGTTGGTGGGAAAGTAATTTAATACAGTTGACCTTCAATCGACAATGGTTTGAACTGCATGGGTTCACTTATATATGATTTTTTTTTCAAAGAAGGACAGATTGAAAATACAGGGTATTCACAGGATGCAAAACCCACATATTTGGAGGGCCAACTTTTTGTGTACCCACTCCTTCAGGGTGGACTCCACAATCTGAGTATGTGTGGATTTTGGTATATGTGGGTGGTCCTGGAACCAATCCCCCATGTATACTGAGGGACTGTACAGCCACTATGGAAAACAGTATGAAGATTCTCCAAAAGACTAAAAATAGAGCTACCATACGATCCAGCAATCTCACTGCTGAGTATATATTCAAAAGTAAGAAATGTAGTATATAAAGAGATACCTGCACTAGCATGTCTATTGCAACACTATTTACAATAATCATAAGTGTCTATCATTAGCTGGATGGATAAACAAAATGAGGTACATATACACAATGGAATATTATTCAGCCATAAAAAAGAATGAAATTCTGTCATTGGCAACATGCATGGAGTGTCAGGTCATTATGTTAAGAGAAATTGGCGAGGCACAGAAGGACAAATACCACATGTTCTCCCACATATATGGAAGCTAAAAAAGTAGATCTCTTGTGGGTAGAGAGTTGATTGGTGGTTGCAAGAGGCTGGAGAAGGAACAAAGGAGTAGGGGGATGAAGAAAATTTGGACAATCGGTACAAAAGTACAGTTAGAAAGAATAAGATCTAGTGTTTGATAGCACAGTAGAATGACTACAGTTAACAATAATGTATTGTCTAGTTCAAAATAGCTAGAAGAGATGTTCCCAATGTAAAGAAAAGTTACAGATTTGAGGCAATGGATATCTCAATTTCCTTGATTTAATCTTTACATATTATATGCATGTATCAAAATATCACAGGCATTCCACACCATGCATTATCATTATATATCAGTTAGAAAAAGATTGTCCCAATATAAGTGAGGGTATGTGTGTGCATGAGTGTGCCCTGTGATGAAATAGTGTCCTTTCCAGTGTTGGTTCCCACCTTGTACTCTGAGCTGTCAGGATAAGCTTCAGTAATCCTGTGACCTTAAACTGGAATAAATGGGTTAGAGAATGAATGAATGAATGAATACAAATTATTGTCAAATAAAAGTTTGTAAAGTACACAATAATCACACAAATCCACAACAATCAATGATGTGGTATGAAAGTACTCAGCAAGCCTGCCATATTTGTTATTGTTTGGTTTTAAACTATGTGGCAGTAGGAGGCGTTCTTTACCATTGTCACTTGGCAAACATTTATTTCTTGGCTTAGCCCACCACAACTATGACCACCATCACTCACTGATTCACCAAAAATTGGTTAAAATCTTACGTGTTTTTATTAGTGTTTCTTAAATGTATGTATGCCTCACATTTATTTCAATGCTTAATATTACAAGTGTTTTGGGTCTTTATTTAGAAATTTATTAATGTTTTTGTTGCCAGATACATGCTCTAGAAACAGCTCTTGTTTATATTACTGAGCCTATGGTGAAATTGTTTTCTTTATATGTCCTTTGGCTTTAAAGTCACAGTTTCCAAGAACATGTTGATGATGTTAAGTGGTGACTTACTGTATATACATATATACACACCCATAATTGGCTTTCTTTCTCTGGTAGAACTCTGACTATTGTGGGTCTGTTTTTCAGAGTCAGCTGGTGAACGAACATGTTAGTGTACAAATTTTTTACAAAGGTTATGTTTAATATGTTTTAAAGGGGTTAAAAAAATCCCTGAAACAAAGGCTTAATTTTATAAATGAGAATCAAAACCATAAGCACAGTTTATTGTCTACACTAACATGACTTTACTATTTTACTGTTTTTAATAACATAACATTACTAGCCCAAGAAATTATTGCCCAGGAAGATAAAAGTTGCCGATACTATTGTTTATTTCAAGATCTTCCTGAGAGACTCATCAACTCTTCAGCAAGAAAAGCATAAAACAACATTTTATAACTTAAGGCTCTTCAAACAACTTCCCCTCAGAATCTTTTTGCTGTTCTAACCAGTCTGAAATTTTTATATAATGATCCTTACTCAATCCTAACCATACCTTCATTTGAAAGACCTACCTTAAACCAGACTTTAAAATCTCAATTGCCATCTGTTTTTTATTTTTATTATTATTTTTTGAGACGGAGTCGCTCACTCTGTCATCAGGCTGGAGTACAGTGGCACGATCTCGGCTCATTGCAACCTCTGCCTGCTGAGTTCAAGCGATCCTCCTGCCTCAGCCTCTCGAGTAGCTGGGACTACAGGCGCATGCCATCATTCCCAGCTAATTTTTGTATTTTCAGTAGAGACGAGGTTTCACCATTTTAGCCAGGATGATCTGGATCTCATGACCTCGTGATCTGCACACCTTGGCCTCCCAAAGTGCTGGGATTACAAGCGTGAGCCCCCGCGCCTGGCCATAAATCTAAATTACAATTTCGGCTTTGCTCTTTCCTCTCTTAGATACTACTAAGACTTGGCCAGTTAGTGTTCTCTTTTACCACTGTCAAGAAGAAAGTCAGCTGTGTCTAAACAGCGGGTCGTTTTGGTAACACTTGGAGGAGCCAGAACCAACAGAGGAAAGAAGATGAAAATAAACTCATGAGTTCACCATCCAGAATTGAAACTACTAACATTTCATTATACCTAATTTGAATACTTTTATTAAATATAAACTAAATTTAACTCATACTGTTAAAATTACCTTTGATAAAGAAGAAAGTTCTCTTTCAGATGTCATTATTGACTCTTCCCTAAATCAAATGCTATTATAAAATTGGTGTGTAAATTTCCAGTTCACTTTTTTTCTATAGTTTTAAAATAAGCATATCTGGGAGCAACGTATATTAATATTTTATGTTTCATTTTGAAATTATACAAATGGTATCATACTATAAGTATGTAAGTAACATTCTGCTAATAACTTTTCTCAATGGTTTTGAAATGTATGTGAAGGAAATGAAAATATGCCACGCCAAAATATACTTCTTTGGTCTATTTTGAGATGACTACTCAGAGGGGCGGCAGACACAGGAATAGTTCTGAAAAGCTCTCCTTAGTAGGGAAGACTTGCATCTGTTGAGAAAATCTACGTTAGTGAAGTAAAACACAGACGTAAGAGCTTCATCTGAGGTCTTCTTATCTGCATTATCTGGAGACAGGAAAAACTTAACTCACAGGAAAAGGAAACTAAACGTCTGACATTATTACAGATATGACAGAGAAACTTTTACCACAGGCTCCCATCTATTCTTTTTGAGGGCTGCCACCTGTGAGGCTTCACCTGCATAAAGACAACCTTCACTTGCCACGTCTTTTCTCCCCTTTCCCTCCCATAACCTGCCGCCAGGCTCCAAGTCACTATTCCTTTCTATATAGTATAAAAACTTCAGTCACATTGCTCTTTTTATTTTATTTTTATTTATTTATTTATTTTGAGATGAAGTTTCGCTCTTGTTGCACAGGCTGGAGTGCAATGGCACGACTTTGGCTTACTGCAACCTCCGCCTCCCAGGTTCAAATGATTCTCCTGCCTCAGCCTCCCAAGTAACTGGGATTACAGGCGCTCGCCACCACGTCTGGCTAATGTTTTGTATTTTCAGTAGAGATGGGTTTTCACCATGTTGGCAAGGCTGGTCTCAAACTCCTGACCCCAGGTGATCCACCTGCCTCAGCCTCCCAAAATGCTGGGATTACAGGCGTGAACCACCGCACCTGGCCACATGCCTATTTTTAGAGTTTTATATTTGCAGGACTCCTGCGTCCATGTGCACGTTAATACAGTTGAATACCTTTTTTGTCCTGTTAATCTGCCTATTGTTAATTTACTTCAGCAGACTTAGACTCAAACTTCCAAAGGGAAAGTTTGAACTTCCCTACATATATACGTATGTAAGTAGACACACACACATCTGTATGTACATATCATACTTTAGCAATGAAAATGTTGCATTTATTTACTCATTCCTCTTTTAATGAAGATGTAGGCTCTTCTAAATTTTTTTAATATTATGATTTAATGTACTTTCTTGAACACATATATAGGAACTCTTTAGAGTATATAAGTATGGAATTGCTAGAACATGAGATATTGCATATGGGCCTTTAATTCTAAAAATAACCACAAAAGTTATATACTATTATCTCCATTGTATAGATATGCAACTGTGCCTTAGAAAAGGTAAGAGATTTGTTTAAAGTCACAGAGTTAATAAGCATCAAAGCAGTGATTCATACTCAGATTTGTTCGGTTCCTCAAATAACATTTTTTTCCCAACCATGTTGTCCCTGAAACACGACAAAAAGAATGTTTTATGTGTATGTGAAAATTGCTATACATTGTCCCTAATTTCTAGATTTCTGAATTTTCTTTTTCTTCTTGTACTTAGACTTTGAACAATTTAATTCACTTAATTTGGATTGGCAAATCCAAATGGTGAATGCTACCAAAGGAGATGTTAGTGATCTACGAACATTGCTCATGGTAGGGAGATGGGAGACAATAGAGGCAAGGGAGACTTCATCTGCTCACTTTCTTCTTGTGGGTGTCTAAAATAAGGATTTCTGGGGCAGACAGAGATGTGACAGTATATAGCAAGCTGGGGAATTGCTGAGGAGCATCCATATTTTGGAAGTATTTAAAAAAAAAGTATTGCATTTATATATGGACAACACAGCTTTTCATTACGCATTGGGGAGACTATCAATCTTGGCACCTGCTTAACAGGAATTGCAAGCTAAAGTGGAAAGTTACTGGAAGGTGCTTAACCTTAAACTTGTTTGCCCCTTAGCATGAGCAGCAAAGCAGTACAGAGTTAAATCCCCACATTTGTATAAACATTTGGTCATTTCAGAGGCCCACTTGGTTACATATATTTCCTCTACTACATTGCTACGGAATCTATTCTGTTTATTTTCACTAAACTCACTTAGAGTCTTAATACTACAATCATATGATTTGAATTCCAGTCTATTGGACCTAATGTACATACTACCGCTATTACTGACAGTTTCTATTATTAAGGGCCAGATGTCTTGCTTCATAAATTTTTCTCATTCAGTTCTCATGAGATCTTTATAAAAGAAGAGATTTTGTCTTGATTATATGAGTAAGGAAACCAAGGACACCAAGCTAACAGTAACTTGCTCAAGGGCACTGAGTTAAATTTATTTAATGGAGTCTAAAATAATTTAGGTTCCTGTGCCCCTTAAGGAAAAGGACAGTGTCAAATTTTTATCAACAGGCCTAGTGCAAAATCCGATACTCAATAAAAATCTATTTATTGAATAAATGAATGTTTGACTCACAGCCATATTCAATGCTGATTTAAGGTATAGTCAGTTATGCTAAAATAGTATGTCTTGTACAAATTAAAACTTTTAAAAAGTGTCATTTTGAAAATCTATTTTTTAAAAATTTTCAAATATAATTACTGACATAAAGTAGACATGTATTATTGAATGTTCAATCATCATCCTTATGCAGTTAAAAATATACTTGGTGAGTTCATGACCTTTGTAGGGACATGGATGAAGCTGGAAACCATCATTCTCAGCAAACTATCACCAAGGACAAAAAACCAAACACCGCATATTCTCACTCATAGGTGGGAATTGAACAATGAGAACACATGGACACAGGAAGGGGAACATCACACACCACCGGGGACTGTTGTGGGGTGGGGGGAGGGGGGAAGGATAACATTTGGAGATATACCTAATGCTAAATGATGAGTTACTGGGTGCAGCACACCAACATGGCACGTGTATACACATGTAACTAACCTGCACGTTGTGCACATGTACCTGAAAACTTAAAGTATAATTAAAAAAAAATATATCACTTGGTGAACAACATCTGAGGGGCCAGCTATAAATTGTGAATAGGTAACATGAGTACCTCTCTTATAAACTTTTTTTTTTTATTATAAGCTGTTAGGCCTTTTATTAAAAAAATTCTGAATAGGAAACTGGATATTTAGTATTAGAAAAGATAAGGTTTTCACCATTATGGAAATAAGCATATAAATTAACATTTTGGTATAAACTATGATTGCCAAATTACAATGTAAGGACTTGATTTGCTTATGCTATTTCTATCATACTCATTTTTCAATGTTACATATTCTGAACAATTCCAGATAAGTACCAACTGAATTGCCTTAGTTCAAATTAAGTCCTTTGTATGGGTCCTAATCTTGTAGAACCCCTTGTTTCTTTTGTTCTATCATTTTCCACATAGAAGTATTAGCGTTTCAATTTGCCTTTAATTTCTAATACAACCCTGACTTTCAATTATGTAAAAATCTTAGAACAAACTGTCTAAAGAAGAAAATAGCTGTTAACAGTATCATTTTATATGAGAGGTTTATTCTATAGACCACATGAAAAGAATTATTTATTGCAAATCTTAGTGATACTACACCTTTATTGAATCATCACTATGAAAAATGTGCTACTTCAAGTAGCCCTAAATTTCTAAAACTAAGAAAAAATCGACAAGCTTCATGATATATTGATTCTTTTCCCAGATTCAAAAAATGTATAGTATTCAATTGAAACAAAATAATGAATTTTCTATTGTATATCCCATCATTTGCATCTTTATGATAATAATATCAAAATTGAGGCTTACTAAATTTTTAAAAGGTATTCTGAAATGACAAATAGGCCCTGTAACAATTTTTGCTTCTCAAAGGTATGAAAGAAAACATGAGGAAAAAGTGATTAAGGTTCGAAACAGTATTATAATATAGACATCTACATGCATATGGGTAAAATATTATATTCTAAGAGAATTTTTATACTTAATATTTTCAAAGATGTTTCTTGGGAACAAGTCAAGGTTCCCTGTCAGTGCCATCACGTTATAGCTGATGATTTGCAATGGTTGGCAAAGGTAGAATAAGAAACTAAATGAACAGAGTGAATAAAGACTAAATACTAAATACCAAAACCCAAAACCTTGTAATTATCAATAATGACACAATAATGATGATCAGGAAAAGACTCAGTAGTTATACTGCCACTGTAGCATTGTATCAGATATTTCACCAGTGAAAATAAGAGATTGATTAATTAAATTAAATTAATGTAACTTCATTATTTAATACATTGCAAAAATTATCATGTTAAAAAATTAATCTTCCTATTCAGATAAAGAATGTTTCCTCCTTGCCTAATATGATGGTTAATATTGAGTGTCAACTTGTTTGGATTGCAGGATGCAAAGTATTGTTCCTCGGTGTGTCTGTGAAGCTGTTGCCAAAGGAGATTAACATTTGAGTCAGTGCACTGGAAGAAGCAGACCCACCCTCAATCTGGGTGGGCACCACCTAATCAGCTGCTAGCGTAAAAGCAGGCAGAGAAACAGCAGACTTGGTGAGTCTTCTGGCCTCCATCTTTATCCCATGCTGGATACTTCCTGCCCTCAAACGTCACACTTCAAGTTCTTCAGCTTTTAGACTCTTGGACTTAACCAGTGATTTGCAAGGGGCTCTCAGGCCTTTGGCTACAGACTGAAGACTGCGCTGTCGGCTTTCCTACTTTTGAGGTTTTAGGACTCGGACTAGTTTGCAGCTCCTCAATTTGCAGATGGCCTATTGTGGGACTTCACCTTGTGATCCTGTGAGTCAATTCTCCTAATAACTCCCACTTTGTATGTTCATTTATCCTATTAGTTCTGTCCCTTTAGAGAACCTTGACTAATAAACCTAACAGAAACCCAATGGATTCAATGAAATTGGTCAGTTCCTGAATTTACTTATTTTACTAATCTTTAATATTTTCTTTCAGGATCTAGATCAAAGGTATATTGTACAAGTACAGGTTTGTCACATTGAAAACTTGGTGACTATTAAAAAAAATACTTACCAACTGGCTCCTTCTGATTCTGAAACAGAATCTTGCTATTACTGCCATCCATATTTGCCATGTTAATTGTGTTTCCATCGGTCCAGTAGAGTTTTCTTAATTCAAAAGACATATGGATTGAAAATATTAGATGTAGACCTACTCACTGAGAAGAAATATACACTAAAAAACAAAGTAAACATCAAAATATATTCTTGACTCAGGATTAATTCTTTTCAGAAAACTCCAAAATTGTCCAGCCATTTGCCAGCAATAACCTACATATTTGCCTGAAAAGAAAGCACCACTCTTGCTTTTTCCTGTTAGTGAAGAAAAAATATCTCACTTCCTTTTTCCTCCTACATACAAGACTGAATATTTAGCTAAGACTATAGTAAATTATTTTCTTTGTTAAGTAATTCATCAAGATTGAATCCTCTTGGCTGTGAAGAAATCAGATGCCATAGAGGGTAACAAACTCATTTCTTCCATTGCTGTTGAAAGCACTAGGGAGAAAAACATCTCTTTTAGCTCTATGCAAGCTCCCTTAAGGGTACAAGGTGACTATCCAAATGATTGAAGAATCTGATCTACAAAGCAGTGACCATGATACCAACATGTAGCACATGCATTTTTAACCACTGGCTTTCAAAATGAAAGCAACCACTTTCTCCTACATCTCTTTTTATTCAGAACTGTCACTTCTTAGAAATATAAATTAATGAGATCTTACATATGTCACAGATATATGTTGGTGTAGGATATATATAATCTACAGATAATAAAACTCTAACCAGGAATCTCTTTTACAGTTTCCATATTTACTTTTTTTTTAACTCTTATGGCTGTTATATATATATCCTCTGAATTAAGCAATGTTTTTATATAAAATCAGGGCAAAAGTCTATGAAATTTTGGAAAAACTTTAAAAAAAAAATCATACTTTACCCCCTGACTGGGTGAGCTGCAAGACACTGTGGCTTATCGATTCCATGGATAATTGAGGTTTTCAAAGAGCCATCTAGCCTTGCCACATTAATTTGCGTTTCATCAAATTCTGAGCTAATCCAGTATAAATTACGTGACACCCAATCCACTGCTAGCCCTCTGATACTCTGAATATCTATAAAACAGGAAAGAGAAGATTTAAAGGTGAATGAAGTTTTTCATTGTACTGGCTCTGCAAGTAGTTATTTTCTATCTAAGGGAAAATTTAATTTATACTTTAATTTGTTAGCTAAAATCGCACAAGATTGTAATCTCATTCCCTTATCAGCCCTTCTTAAGGCATGAATAATCATTAATGTCTTACTGCTGAGCTATTTGAAAACCTGAAGCAACAATTAGCATTGAAATTACACTAACCGTCAATGATTCACTAATAAACACTTAGGAGCAAACACAGGCAGCAGTCTTATGAGCCAAGGTAACCAAAATTCAAATTAGAGTAATAGCTTCTCCAGTTGATAGCACATCTTTCTAGTTACGAGAAAGTACTTGTGGGCCATCAACAAATGGGCTATTTTATGTTTTAAGTGCCAATTTGTTACTAAAATGAAATAAAACAATTCAACTTTCCTAAAAGAATCACCAGAGTTGAATATATTTCAAAATAGATAATTAAGAGGAATTGACTGAGAAGAGAAAATCCACTAAAATTATTTTAACATCCCTTCAACGTGGATTCTGCAGAAAATTCTGAAATCGAATTAAGTTTGGATTTGTTACAGCCAATATAAATATTTTGGTTGTTATTCATTTATTATTGAATTAGACATCTTTTAAAACAATTATGGAATTTAGGCTTAAATATAATTGCACATTGCAACTTCCACTTAAAAACTGCACCTTTTCAAGAAAAAAAATGAGGTGTTATAAAGGATAAATGCAGAAAATCTTTTAAGAAATATTAACATATAAAGTAGGCCAGTTTAGTGCCCAATTTATAGCATTTGATTACCTTGATTTTGGTTTTACTTTAAAAAATTTTAGTATTTTCTAGCATTCTGTACTTATAGAGTTCTCTAGACTACTATTTCTCAAACTTACAAGACACCTGGAAACTGTTAAAATAAAGATTCTAATTCAGTAGTTCTGGGGAGAGGCCCAAGATTCTGTTACTGCTCAAGGTTGGTGATTCCAATCAAAACTTCTGAGCAGCTGCTACCTACCTCTAGTCGAATTGCTATAACTTCCCTTTTTATTCTTTTCAAAAGAAGCCAGAAAGCTAGATTTTTTAATGTGAAAGTGGAAACTCCAGATCTGTAAAGTATGCCAACTAGTTCAAAATGTAAGACAGCAAAACAAGATGTGGGGGCCTGGCAGTTCTGAGTCAGCCTTAAAGTGCAGTATTTGAATGGTAGGCTTCCAGCTTACATTTCCATGCCAGAATCTCAAGGGAGCCTACCTTGCTGCTCAAAAATCCTTTTAGTATTTCTAAGTAACTAATAATCACAGTTGCCTTAGAAGATACTACTCGTGGTTCCAGTTCTCTTCAAATCAAGAACCCTCTCACTCTGCAAATTACTTTTCGTGATTAATTTACAGGTGAGTTGGTGAATTTCAAATGTAAACTTGTTTCTCAATCTTAAACTTCACATTTCTTCTTATTTTTAGTTATCCTCAACCAATTTCATCTTTTTTTTTTTAGACAAAAGTAATATACCACCTCCTTAAAGTTAAACCTGCCACGTCTTATACATATTTATTTCCCTCACTCAGAATCTTTATTCCTTCTTCCCCTTCTTTCATTCTCTGGAGTTAATTGGTTGCTGAGAGGCTGTATTGATGTAATAAGAATATTTGGGTTGATGTTCAGGTTGACTGCCTATTTTTGTCATTAATCAAGTCACTTAAATGTCTTTTAGTCTTTTTTCTTACCTGTGAAATGGGCTATAGATAACACAGAGGATTGTTATGAATATTATAATACATTAGATAATGTGTATTTATGCAGCCTGATATGGGGCTGAAGAATATTTTGTCAGTCTAAGAACTTAATCTTTTCTGCATTTTACCTTGGATTTCTTGGTATTGGCAAAAATAATAAGTTTCTATTTACCCTAAAATACATGTTCTCCAAAGTGGTTTTTTTTTTGTTTTTTTTTTTTTGTTTGTTTTTTTTTTTTTTGTTTTTTTTTTGGTGGTGGGGGGTGAGGGGTAAGCATTGTCTCTGCTGCTCGAAATCCTTTTATTCATTTCTGATAGACTCTTAATAATATGGCCTGGAGAATATATTCCACTCCTAAATTGTAAAGCATAGCCAAATGAAAGCTATAAATATCTATCTAGTCTTTGTCAATTCTATAGTTCATGCTCTCTCAAATCTCTTTCCAGCTTTAATATTACAATAGTATCCAGCATTTCCTCCTCTAAGCAATTGATTTATTTGCTGCCAGGTTATTTTTCTGACTACAGAGCTTTGAATCATGACCTTCACTTGCCCCAAGGTATTCAACAGCTTCTAGCCACCCAGAATGTGATGTCTAAATTTCTTAGCCTGCTTTTCCATATAGCGTGACTATAGCTACAGTTCTTTCCCAGTCTTATTTCTCACTATTTTTAACCAAATACTTTACACTTTAACCATATTAATATGTTTTCAGATTTCCAGATATTACCTGATCTTTCCACACTATAGGGAAACTATTTAGATTTCATAACCTACCCCCATCTCCACTTGCCTGAATTTTATTCATAATAGGCTAGCTGATCAACAACATCATCCCTTCAACCACAAAAACCTAATCATGTCTCTTGTGTATCTCAGCTGGAAAGAGTTTCTCCACCTGCCTAATTCAATAGAACCGTACCTGGTCAATCTCTTTTTACCTAATGTAGTCATTACTTTGCTAATATATAACTACTTTCACATATGTGTTTTGAGGGCAGGCTCCTTGCTAATGTGTCTTTTTGGCCCCTCTCCCCAGTTGCATACAACATTGCCTTCAACGTAAATATTTTTAATGAATTAATGAATTCATGAACTATAAAATCTAAAATTTTAAGAGTATGTGAACTGAGCTAAAATAAGTCAAATATGTCTATGTTGAGGAGTATGTATTTAAATACGTACTCAAGCAATCTTAATTCTAACTTTTTTTTTTTTTGAGATGAAGTTTCACTCTTGTTGCCCAGGCTGGAGTGCAATGGCAAGATCTCGCCTCACCACAACCTCTGCCTCCTGAGTTCAAGCAATTCTCCTGCCTCAGCCTCCCGAGTAGCTGGGATTACAGGCATGCGCCACCACGCCCAGCTAATTTTTTTGTATTTTTAGTAGAGGTTGGGTTTCTCCATGTTGATCAGGCTGGTCCCAAAGTCCTGACCTCAGGTGATCCACCCACCTCGGCCTCCCAAAGTGCTGGGATTACAGGCATGAGCCTAATTAGGCGCCCAGCCTAATTCTAATTTTTTATGCTTAACATTTTTCTCCCACCAGATTGAACTTTCTAATTATCATCTTTATGTCTAAAAGAATACTCTTCTTTTTGACTATCAATCACTAATTCCCACATCTGGTTGTTGCAGAGTGCTCTGGTAAACTCATCATAAGCATATGGGGGTGGGGGTGGAATAAAAATCGTTATATATTTAATAATATTTTTCTTTTTGATAAAATATTGAAATAATAAATTCTAGGTTTTAACTTTTGTTTTTAAGTAAATCAGAACAAGATCTCTGAGTAAGTTTCTCAGGAAGTTTAATTTTCCAGTTCTGGGGTCTCTCATTTCTTGAACTAAGACTAATCATGAAGTATAATCTGAAAAGTCCTTTATTGCCACAACACTGATGCATGAAAAATTGTAATTTTCAAATGCATTGTCGAGCTCATAAGACAGGAAAAACTCAACATGCTAACACACACTCACACATTAGCTAAAACTATCAAGGAAAACAAAATGGGATTATAGAAGTGGGTGCAATTATAGAGACAAATACTTGTGCTGAGAATTGAGAGCTTCATGGAGTATGAATTGCTCAGTGTAAAAGGGTTCAATCCTTAAACTTACAAAGAATGGGTGAGCTAAGTAAGAGTGATCTTCTGGGTATAGACACACCCTAGTGAAAGATGAGTGAGAGAAAAAAGATACCTGCTTATAAAGGAGAACAATTAAAAAATAAAAACAAAACTTTTTTTCTGTCCTTTCACTGGCAAAAAACAAACAAACAAACAAACAAAAACACACAAACACAAACACCTGAATTCCTAAGAACAGGTCTCTACTGTGCTACTAGAAACTACTAGCTTATATATGAGAAATCCACTGTGCTAGTAAAGATTAGTAGCCATAAGAAATCCACTGGTGATTTCTGGGTCAGCTATTATTTTATTGAATGAGTCTTCATTGAGAACCTACTATTTGTCCTAACTGCAAAACCAAAGAAAGGGAAAAATAAAGTTAAACTGATTCCTGGTTTATAGTGTCTACTTTTCTCTCCATCAATAAAAAATTCAAGTCTTCTGTAAAAGAAAAAATTTATTCAACCCAAGACTCACACTTCCCATTAAGTTCATCCTCGTAACAGAACAAAAAAAATTAAAACACACACAAAGAAATGAGATATACGAGAACAGTTAAAAGAAAAAAAAACAAAAGGTCCAATCCTCCAAAATCTACATATTCATAAATTATTATATGTAGGATAAAGACAAGGTGGAATATCTTAATGGAATAAATGATGCTTTGAATAATAATAAGCACAATGATTCCTTTTAAAAGATTCTTTTGGAAGCATGAGAACCAAAAATATCTTGTGATATTAAAAAATATAATATAAAAAAGTAATTTTTGAATGTGTAAAATAGCAGTTTAGGCACAGTTCAACTAGTGAACTACAAAACAAATTGAAAGAAGTTAACAGAGTTAGCACAGAGAAACAAAGAAATTAAGCGAGTTGGAAGGCAGAATGAATAGTCCAACACATTTATTAAAGTCCAACACATAAATTAGAGTTTACAAATTATAGAGTACAAAGACTGAGTTAGAGAAAACAGAGGATTTTGAGGATTTCTTTCCCCTGGATTGATGAAAGACAGGGCCCCATGGAAGATACAACTCTAGGTAGCAAAATATAGATATTATAATGAGGAAAAAGCAAAGATGTTACAAGTAGCTAGAGAGCAAAGAGACATCACCAAAAGAATGACAATTAGAAAAACAAGTGGATTCTCAATAGCAATAGGGGAAGTCAAAAGATAGTGGGATACTATCTACAAAGGAATGATAGAAAATAGCTCTCAACTTGGAGTTTTGTACTGAAGAAAATTATTTTGAAACTATTTGCTCCAAGCTACTTACAGCAAATAGCTCATGTGAGCAATATATACATTAAGAACAGCTTGGTGTTTCAGGACATGTAGAATGAAAAGGCTGGCAAACTATTTCTACCTCCCCTCACGAAAGCCTGAACCAAGGAGCTAGTGTTTGTCTCAGAAAATTAGCTGGGCATGGTGGCGGGTGCCTGTAATCCCAGCTACTCGGGAGGCTGAGGAAGGAAAATCACTTGAACCCAGGAGGAGGAGTTTGCAGTGAGCCCAGATTGTGCCACTACACTCCAGCCTGGGAAATAAGAGCAAAACTACTTCTAAAATAAAAAAGAAAGAAAGAAAATGGCCCACTTGAGAAGAAAATAATGGGAGATGATAGGCACAGTGAATTTATTTGGGGCCCAATTTTTGAAGCTGACCCCACATTATATTTAGACTAAGGAAGGTAAGAAAATAAAGTCTCTCAAGAAGAAGCCCAATAGAGAGACGAGAGCTAAGTGAGAAAATACAGAGACCCACAGTGCAAGAAGAGAAAGGTTTCCACAGAGTCATTCATGGAATTTCTAAAAGATGAAAGGATAAAACAAAGTACAATTACTGGTGGAATTTGAGATCCTTTGATGAGTTCAGATGCTAAACTGTCAAAAGTTTATCTCAAGTTTTTCTGCTAATGGAAAGATATATCCATCTTTAACAAAGTTTCATTCTGGAAAAAATTGAAAGGCAACATTATTCAGCCTGTGGAGTAAGTCAGAAATGGAATCATCCTTGACAATGCCTATTCCTCAAACTTTATGTCCAATTGATTGTTAAGTTCCTTTATGTTCTTACTCTTTGATATCTCTATAATTTGTGCATGTTCCTCCATCTGTGTTTTCCCCAGCCTAGTCTAGGCTTCTGATATCTCTTACTAGAGCCACTGTAACAGCCAACTAATCTGTCTCTCAGAGTTCACTGCTCATCTACTCCCAACCCATAGAACTCTCTACTAAACACAGTAGCTAAAGTGGCCTCTTCCAAAGGCAAAGCTCTTCATGTTGTCATACCCTCCCTGAAGCACTTCCTTAATTCCCATTATTTTCAGAATTAACATAAACATTAAAAACTTATCTTATAAAGGTTGACATAATTTGGCGTCTATTTCATTAGATCTTTCAGCTTGTACAGATACATCCCTCTCATTCTGTGCTCCATACCATTCAGTCTGTCTTGGCTCTCCTTAAGTTTCTTACTATATAGAAAATGTTCAGGCTGGGCGCAGTGGTTCACGCCTGTAATCCCAGCACTTTGGGAGACAGAGGTGGGTGGATCATGTGGTCAGGAGTTTGAGACCAGCCTGGCCAATGTGGTGAAACCCCATCTCTACTAAAAACACAAAAATTAGCCAGGCATGGTGGTGTGCACCTATAATCCCAGCTACTCAGGAGGCTGAGGTAGGAGAATAGCTTGAACCCTGGAGGCAGAGTTTGCAGTAAGCCAAGATAGCACCACTGCACTCCAGCCTGGGACAGAGTGAGACTGCATCTAAAAAAAAAAAAAGAAGAAAGAAAAGAAAATGTTCCAATATTTTTCAAAATGACTGAATCTGTAATTATTGCTCCTAATGAGTATATGTATTAATTATTAGTGAGAAAACATTTTTGCTCAAATTTTGGTTGATAATTGTGAATAGAGTCTGCTAAATAGAAGTAAGTCTTGATGATTTTCTCAAAGATAAACTCACCAAATTACTACCAGATACCAGTTCATAATTAAAGACAGAAAATTGTCTCCTATTTTTTTTTAAGATATAACATCTTTTGCTCTTTATAATTCACAGAGCCTTTTGGATAATATTAAATATTTATAATAAAGTACTTGAACATTTTTCTGTCAGACTTTGGTGAATTTCTTGAGGGAAGACCACCTAACTGATTGTCAATCTTCAGAGACACCTAATGTCCTTTACTTGGTCTTTCAAGGAATTTAATGACATTTCATCAGTCATTATTGTTCTTTTTAATCCAGTCTAACAATGCTTATCCAACCACATTTGCCCCTGCCCTTGTAAAAAAATTCTGAACAAAGAGGAAATCTTTGCATTTGCTTTTTTATAAAAATTCTTGTTTTTCAGCAAGTTCGAAATAAATATTTGAACAAGCTTATAGCCAAACCATTCAATAAATTTTTTTAAACAGTGCTAACCTGAGATCAGAAAAGAGCTAGCTTAAATACAACTGTATTTCAGTGGTCAAATACTCTCAGATCTATTAATGGTACTCAAGCTAGCCTTCTAGTATTGAAAAGGATAGTGAATAAAATCTACACTTCCTATTGCCTTCATTATGACATTTACCATTGCTCAAATATGTCTGACTTTAAATTTTCAATAGACTTGAAAGCATAGGTGTTTGATGCATTTATATGGATTACTGATTACTCTTTTCTCCATTCCCCTCCAAATCCTTCTACCAAATTTAGGTTGAAGAGAAACTGCGTCTTTGGATATTCAGTCATGGCAAATAGTAAGTGCTCAATAAAGACACATTCAATAAAATAATAACTGACCCTGAAATCACAATGTGCCAAACTTTAAGCAAATATTAGGATAATTCAATGCTAAAAATTTAGAACTCCACCATGACATGTACATGTATGTCTCACTTCATATATGTTCTCAGTGTTGGGACAAGTTACTCCTATTTTTGTAATGGTTAGTTGTACAGCATTCTCTTAGAACCTATAATTCAACCTGCTGGATCAGGAAATAGGAACAGTTTTCCTGTTTTATATGTTAGTCTAGGTCTGTAAAAATATGTGCAAAGGGAAGTTGCTTATAAGCTTAAGTAGGGGAGGGAGGCCGGGCATGGTGGCTCACAGCTGTAATCCCAGCACTTTGGGAGGCCAAGGCGGGTGGATTGCGAGGTCAGGAGTTCAAGACTAGCCTGGCCAAGATGCTGAAACCCTGTATCTACTAAAAATACAAAAAAAAAAAAAAAAAAAAAAAATAGCCAGGTGTGGTGGTGGGTGCCTGTAATCCCAGCTACTCAAGAGGCTGAGGCAGAGAATTGCTTGAACCTGGTAGATGGAGGTTGCAGTGAGCCGAGATCGTGCCACTGCGCTGCAGCCTGGGTGACAGAATGAGACTCTGTCTCAAAAAAAAAACAAAAAACAAAAAACAAAAAACAAAATCCAAAAAAAAAAAAACAGGGAAGCCAGTCCTTCCTAATATCCTATATTTTCTCTATGCAAATGTAACTATTCCTCCATCAGAAAAAAAGACACTTTAAGTCTATTTATTTAGACATGTAAATTTTTTTTTAATTTTTATTTTTTTGGAGAGATGGAGTTTTGCTCTTCTTGCCCATGCTGGAGCACAATGACATGATCTTGGTTCACTGCAACCTCCGCCTGCCAGGTTCAAGTGATTTTCCTGCCTCAGTCTCCCAAGTAGCTGGGATTACATGTGTGCACCACCACATTTGGCTAATTTTGTATTTTTAGTAGAGACAGGGTTTCACCGTGTTGGTTCAGGCTGGTCTCGAACTCCTGACCTCAAGTGATCCACCCGCCTCGGCCTCCCAAAGTGCCGGGATTACCGCTGTGAGCCACCGTGCCCAGCCGAGAAATCTAAATTTTAAGGTGATCTGTCCTGAAGTTTTTCTTCACATGAATGTAAATTTCTAATTATCAGTCTGCTCTGTGCAATTTAATTATACCATTCTACAATAGTAAGGATGTAGCATATTATTAAATCTCTAATCAATTCTAACTTTCAATTAACAGCATAAAGTTGAATAAAAGAGAAAGAATATAAAAGATTTGTGATTATTACAAACTGAATAACAAACACTTTTAAAGTTGTAACATGTACGAATCTTTTACCTCTTGAAATAACAGTTTCTAACCCAGTTCCGTTAATAAAAGCTCGTTTAATGGTTTGTGTTTTAATATCTGTCCAGTATAAACGTTCCTCAGATGCATCGAAGTCTATCACAGTAACGTCATCAATATCAGGGACTGTAAATGCCGTGATGAAGTTAAAGTATGGATTGTCAATATCCACTCCTCTGATTTCAGAACGTCTTGCATAAAGAAGAAATTTTTTCATTTCTAAAAAAGAAATAGAAATTCTTTTCTCTTATGAAGTTGGCAAGCTTGAAAGTCTAGAAATTCTAAAATATTACTTGATTTAATACATGTTAACTCCCAAAAATCACAATCAATATTTGATGGAAACAATGCAGTAACAATTTATCTATTTTAAATTAAGGTATTTAATAGAAACAAATATGAAATGAGTTAGAAGCCTTACATCATCATTTTTCTTTAGCTAGAAACACCCAAACATTCTCAGTAATCAATTCTCACTGACCTTAGAATTTCGAAGTTGCTAAACTACATAAACTACGAGTGTCGGATACCATATTTGTACTTTGTACGTAATTACTACAATATTGTATTGCATTACAAGATTTTGAGGGAATCTAACAACTTTTTTCTATACTGTCTTTGAATAAGATAAAATTAAACACGCTATTAGAAATCTTGTATATATTTTTCCTATAAAAATTAGGGTTCAAATAATTTAAAGCGTGCTTTTAGTGTATTTTTTTTGTAAATTTGTAGTAACTAACATTGTGAGGCGTTATATCACTTTACTTCCTTGCACTACATTTGTAAAATATCAGAGCCAATAGAAATAGTAGTTACAGATATTCTATTTTGTTGTTGTTGTCTTTCAGGTTATTGGTGTTGAGATATGTTATTATGGTGTAAATTAAAGCTACATGTACCTAAACTCCTGACTTTTAAATTTTGGTGAGTACTTTTTTTCTGTCCTTAAAATTAAGTAATATTTTGCAAATAAATAAAATTATTAATAGAAAGCAAAAAATTTTATTCACAAAATTTATCTTTTTTAGTTCAAATGCATTGTTTAAATGTGTGGAGTTTTTTTTACAAATCTTTCCAAGTTATATATTTTATTTCACTTTTCCCCCTTTCAAGTTGATAATCCTGTACCAAATGATGCTAGAGTGACTTTAGAAGAGCAGATTAAAGCTGTTAAGCGCCTCTTTGTTATGCAGGTTACCTACATCATCATTTTCTGATAATGCACTTTCACTTAAAAATCTTCCTGTTTTGCAGAGATAAACTCTGCTAACGTACCAAATAAGAAAGTAGCAGGAAAAAAAATCAATAAGGTAACAAATAACAAAGTACAACATATCACATATTTAAAGAATTTGTCAGTCTTCCCCAGAGCAGATGAATCATCAATAGTGGATGGAAATAGCACCACCACCTAAAATATTTTTGAAAACAGAAAAAAAAACTTCCTCTGCTTTAATATGAGTAAAATCTGAATGCTAATATAATTTGAGAGAATTCAATTTTGTTTTTATTTTCGATTAGAACTGTAAGAAATTTACCATAGCAGGTCTTCTTGTCTGAAGAAAGCTTCATCAAGTGGGGGCACGCACAGGCAGCACTCCTATTGTGATTGATTAGACACATGTGAGAGCAGGGGCCTTTGCCATCATTAGCTGCACAAGGATTGGGAGCTGTAATTACACAGTGAAATATGAACAGTGAAGAAGGAAGAATGTATTAGGGAAGCTCTGAGGTTGACAGGGGTTATTCACCTAATGATTCAAAGTAAAGTTTCCTACATAGAACCCATTAGTAGGGTGATTAATATGACAATAATAGACAATCATACACAGCAATTACATTAATAAAAAAACATTATTTCAAAGATAACTAAGAAAACTCCATCAATTCTCTCTTAGACAAATGGCATGCATCCTATTGCTTCGAGGTAGTGGCCGGATGTGGTTGCTCACGCCTGTCATCCCAGCACTTTGGGAGGCCAAGGCAGGCAGATCACGAGGTCAGGAGATTGGGACCATCCTGGCTAACACCATGAAACCCCATCTCTACTAAAAATACAAAAAATTTGCCGAGCGTGGTGACACACACCTCTAGTCCCAGCTAGTCAGGAGGCTGAGGCAGGAGAATCACTTGAACCCGGGAGGCGGAGGTTGCAGTTAGCCAAGACTGCGCCACCACACTCCAACCTGGGTGACAGAGTGAGACTCCATCTCAAAAAGAAACAAACAAAAAAAGACGTCAAGACTTTTTAAGGAGTTAGTTTGAGGAGCAACCAGGAATAATTAGTGAATTTAATATAAAATAAACTAAGATAGACTATAACCCAGACATTGGAAGTTGCAATAGATGTTGTTATTTTCTTAACCAACCATGAAGGTTCCCTTCTTGCCTTGGCACACCACTTTTAGAGGCTTCCCTAGGAAACTACTGGTACATATATACCTTTCCTTCAAACACGTGCTCTTCTTCAAATGAGGCCTATGTGAAGAAATGTCTGTCTGCCTTCATGATTAAGTCATCTACTTCTTTGTTACTTTTTCTGTATTAACTAATTCCATGGCTAAGGATTGCTCCACATGTACATACTTACTCAATTCCCTTGTATAAATGACTTATGATTTTTCAAATTGAGAACAGAATATTAAATTTTGCAGCTCAATGTCATTCTGTGACAGCACTGAATGTCTTGGGACATTTTGAATTTTATGTTCCTTGTTCTGTCATCATGTCTTTTGGATAAGATTTTAATTTATCTAGTATCTTTAATCTTATTTTTATAGAACCTATCTAGTAGAAAAAAGTCACTAGAACTAGGCTACGAAATTGAAGGCAAAAAAGCGTTATTCTTGTAGCCCCATCAAGAAAATGTTAGCTTTCAACTCATGAGTGGTATCTTCCAACCATGTCCCCTTGCTCAAAGTAGTGATAGGGTTGAGACATGCCCAATATGCCACCTTTGCCCATTAGAAAATGACAGAAGCAGGAAGGTCTCTGTGACCTTCCCTCCACCCCTCTTTCCTGAAACAGGTCATGAAAGCTAGAAAGGATTTTCTGACCTCCCCTGAAGCAGGTCACAAACTCTCATGTAGAGGTGCCCTTCCTAAGCCCTGAGGAAAGGAATATCCTTGTCTCTGAAGACACAGGGACACAGAAAAGAATCTGAACAACAGGCCTTGCTAAGTTTCCCCAGTTTATTACCATTAGATCATACCTCCTAGCATAAAACTACCGAGATTTTAACCATTTCTTCAGGTCTTTATTTCCTCAGAAGGCTCCTATGTCATATAATACTTGTATTAAGTTTGTGTACTTTTTTGGGTAATCTGTCTTTCGTTACAGACCTCAGCCATGAACCTGAGATGGGTAGAGAAAAGGTATTTCCTCCCTCTTACAGAAGTAAATAGCAGTCCTGTGGTGTTTTAAAACACAAAGAATAAAAAAGAGATAATAAAAAGGTAGAGGATATGAGAAATGAACTGAATTTGATAAATATTCAATGCAGCTTTTGGCAATTTTTAACATTCCTTACATCAAGATGATAAAAGTAATAGTGTCTTTGTATTTGTTAAAAACAATAAATAAATAAAGGAGAATAAGAGACTCACAAAAAACTCATTCTCCTAAGAAAATTAAGAACAAAAGATAATAGAAAAGAGTAGAAGCTTTTGTTCCAGAGATTCCTTTCTACTGCACTTCTTTTGTCACACAGAGTAAGTAGTTCTTATTTTGTTCTTTGTTATCTTTTGATTTTGTCTGTTATAATAATTGAAGTCCCTAAGGAATCGCAAGTTAGAGAAGCAAGAAAGTAGGTGGGAAGGGAAGGCAGAAAGGTGTTGCAGGACAGGAGGAGGAGTGAGTAAGAGGCAGTGTTAAGTGTCATATATCAAGTCAAGTTTACCTAGTCAGGTAGATAGAAAGAGAAAACTCAAATTCCCCCATATCTGAATAAAAAAAAAAAAAAAAGAAGAAAATGAAGGAGAAAAGAAAAAAGAGAGGAGTAAAAGGGAAGACAAGAAGGAAAAAAAAGTTTGTTCAAAAACACTAGCATAGGAAATGCTATTTCTCAGGAAAATTAAAAGCATAATCCATAACAGTCTAATGGTAGGTACTTGAATTTCACTTTGAACATCATTATTTTTAGGCCAGAATCATACCAACCCTTAACACCCTACAATTATGAAAAAATATATATTTTTGAAGGCAGAGATATTAAGTTTCTATGTACATACTAAAATTAAAAATTGCATTGACTTTGTAGCCCAATATCTTATCAATGATAACACTGTAATGTATAATTCACAATATTTTGTGCTTCATAGATTGAAAAATCCACAAAGAATTCTTACTTTTCATTTTCATCTCTTCTCACTTTCAAGGATTTAACAATATTATTTCAAAGTTTCTTTCCAAACAAGTGCTTGAACACAGCTACCTATTCTATTCCAATTACCAAATTTAAAAATACTGTTCATAATACTCACATTTTTATAGAAAGCAGGGATTAGCAGACACGAACCCATGAGACAAATCTGGTCCACTGACTGTTTTTGTAAATAAAGTTTTATTGAAACATAACCACGTGCATTGGTTTACATATTAGCCATGGCTGTTATCATACTGCAATAGTAGAATTGAACAGCTTCAATAAAAACCACATGGCCCACAAAGCCTTATAATATGTACCTATTATAATTAGATAGTAAGTAGCTATTTTATAAGAGACACTACTGCAAAATCCAGTATGATTACAGAGGCTATAAACTTCTACCAAAGCCAAGCCTATTCCATGTATTTGTATTCAAAAGATGGGAAAGCCATTGATCAATGGAGTGCTATAATAAATCTTAACAGATGAAATATAAATACAGCTGGGCAGACTGGGTTCACTGATAGCTCATATTGTCTAAACTCAAACTGATGAAATATAGAACCTTAGAGATATACCTGTAATAACCCCCACCTTTTATTTATGCATTAAATAAAACATTATGAAGTATCTAGTTGTTTAAAACACTGTGAAAAAAAGCTGAGATACAATAGTGGACGAGTTCTTACCCCAAGGTGCTTAAGGTTCTATACACTAACCTGGTACTCAACTCTCTTCAATTCTATGGTCACTGGCTCAATTTAGGTTTTCTCCATTTCCTGCATGGATTGTTGCGCTAAACTCCTAACTAATCTTTGATATCTAGTATCCCTGCATTACATACAGTTGTTGTCTTTGTAGAACACATACTTGATTATATCTGGTTTCTTTAAAAATTTGGGGCCAGGCACGCCAATAATCCCAGCACTTTGGGAGGCTGAAGTGGGAGGATTGCTTAAGCCCAGTAGCTAGAGACCAGCCTAGGCAAGACAGGTAGGTCCCATCTCTACTGGGAAAAAAAAAAAATTTGAATGGCTTCCCACAGTCTACCTCACAAAGTGTCGGCTTTATCTCCTACTATTAATGTTTCCCCCAAGAATCCTCAGCACTAGTCAGACTGGTTTCCCTGCTACTACCATTTACCCTCCAGCTCTTTATTCTGATCCACTCTCTTGTTTATTTTTGTTAAAGAAGTTATCAAGGCCAGGTATGGTGGCTCACATCTGTAATCCCAGGGCTTTGGGAGGCCAAGATAAGAGGATCCCTTGAGCCCAGGATTTTGAAGTTGCAGTGAGCTATGATCATACCACTGCACTCCAGCCTGGCCCACAGAGCGAGACTGTCTCTAAAAGCAGGTAAACAAAAAACAAAACAGAAATCATAAACCTTCCAAAAACACAAAATTTTTACTCCAAAGCATTTTTTTATTTCATTTTCACTGCCAAATTTAATCCTTTCTCAAGTATTGTACAGATTTTCTCTAATACGTGTTTCCTTTCTTTTTACCTCTACTCCTCCAACATGTTTCCAAATTCATTTCCTCACCTTTGAATGATTGCTATGGCTATGTATCTGGTACATTGTGATACTGTCCCAAATATACCCACCTCTCTTTCAAAAACACAAATCTATCTTCCAAGCCTCATCTACCACTTTCCTTCTACATACACATTGTGTACACACTAAAATGTATTCGTCACTATTCCCTAAATATCTATATTCTTTTCCACCTCCACATGATGTACTTTTCTTCCCCTAGAATTTCATCATCAGTATCTTTACATTAACCTTCCTTCATGTCTCAGCTCAATTCATCTTTCTGCCGTAAAACATTTTCTAATGAAGCCAGCTAATGCTGATTTCTTTCATCACGAAATATTGGTTATAATTATTGCTTTTACACAGCAATTAGACAATTTATTGCTTGCTGTCCTATTTTCTAATTAGTGACATTTGTTCATATATTTTGTATTAGTATGTGTTGGTCTTTCTAGCTAAACCAGTGGTTGGCAAGCTTTTTCTATTAAAGGCCAGATGGTAGATATTTGGACTTTTGCAGGCTTTATGTTCTCCATAGTAATTATTCAACTCTGCTACTATAACACAAAAGCAGCCACAAAACAATACGTGAATGAAGAGGTGTGACTGTGTGAAAATAAAACTTTATTTACAAGACAGAGGGCTGAATTTAGCCTGAGGGTTGTACTTTGTCACTCTCTGAGCTAGACAGGTGATACGCTGGCGGGAACTAAGAGAGATACACACACACACACACACACACACACACACACACACACACACATTGTTTTTTCCTAAAATTTCTATGGTATCTATTATTGTGTTAGAGGTAGGGACATTTGGATTCATATGCATGTACGTAAATGTATGTGGGTATATATTCTAAAATTGCAGCAATCTAAAAATCTAGAAAGTTAATTTTCTAAAGCACATCATAGCTTCAGGTGAAAAGATTAAATAATGCATAACTACAATACTTCATAGGAGAAATGTGTTAATTGTGCAATCACACAAGACTGATGTGTGCTCTGGGAAGAAAAATAATATCATTAAATATAATTTCACATTTGATTCAAACTGTATTTAATTATAGTCCGTTTCTCACCAGGGAAAAGAAAAAAACACTTTAAATCCAAACAACCAGTTTTTCCAATAAATTCAAATAAAATACACATAAATGTTCATGCAATATAAAATATGTATATTTGTTTACCTAATAAAATCATGCTCAAAGCAGAATGCCAGGATCCAATTTGTTAGGTAGAGAAAGATTTTTCTCCCTCCCATGTAGTCATTTTTGATAGTAACTAATATTCATCCTGTTAATGAACCTTATTTGTATGAGAACAATTACTCTTGTAATAAAATAATGTTTATTAGTAATTTTCCTTTAGGAAAGGACTTATTAGTTTTAAAGAAAGGAATTTTCAGAAGTACTTTGCAATTAACCACTAATCTGAAATCCTATTTTCCCTATGACAGACATCTTCAAGTGATAAGTTTAACATTTCACATTGAAGAACTTGAGTGAATTCCTTATTTAAAATATATACACCTAAAATATGTGCAAGTAAAGCATGCTTTACTTTCACCAGATTCTAACAGTATTATTTATGAGGGAGCAATGTTCCTCAAATTATGTCATACTTTATGAATTAATTTTATACTGTACTGTATAAAGTAGAATATAACATGTCTAAAAATTTCATCTGATCTTTTACAGGTATCTCTACAGAGAGAGTTTTTAAAAACCACAAAAAACATTTCTATCTGTATGCAGCTTTTGGTGTAAAAGGATGAAAATATATATGCAATATAATGTTACATTTATAGGGGAAATGTGTCTTAAAATACCAACTAACTTTCAGTCGTTCTAAAGAGATGACATGTCTATCTGGTATCTTAATTTATTCTCTGTTAATGTCACTTGTTACATGCTTTGAAAGAAAAAAAAACATATCAGGGAAGTTTCTATTTTTACAATGATTCTATATTCACAATATTTTAAAAAACCATCTAGGACAGTGGTTCTCAATCCTTGGAGATGGTGGTGATTTTGCCTCCCAAGAAACATTTGGGAATAAATTGAGACATTTTTGGTTGTTATGACTTGGAGTACTGTTGGCATCTTAGTGAACAGAGGTGAAGGATCTAATAAACATTGTACAATTCACAGGAAGTGTAGCTGAGAACTATCTAGCCCACAACTAGCAAAGAATTATCTGGCCCAAAATATGTAATGTGCAGACACTGAGAAGCCCTGATTTTGGAGTAGAACTAGGGATTCTGCATTTTAAAATAGGATACATGTTAGATCACATAAATCTCATACCGATAGTATATAAATATATGAAATAAAGAGATGCTAGATACGAGTTAACAGTGAGGAGAACAATACAATGTATTATGTATGTATGTATGTATGTACGTGTATAACCTCTATCCTACATTATCAACTCTGCTAAAAAAATTATTTTATATATAATATATATTTTATATATATGGAGAGAGAGAGAGAGAGAGAGAGAGAGAAAGGAAAGAGAAAGAGAAATTTAATTTATATGACAAGTAGTTAGATCTTTCTTTTTCTTTTTAAGTTCCAGGGTACATGTGTAGGATGTGCAGGTTTGTTACATAGGTAAACATGTGCCATGGTGGTTTGCTGCACAGATCAACCCATCACCTAGGTTTTAAACCTAGTATCCATTAGCGATTTTTCCTGATGCTCTCTCTCCCCTATCCCCACCCCTCGACAGGCCCCAGTGTGTGTTGTTCCCCACCATGTGTCCATGTGTTCTCAATGTTCAGCTCCCACTTATAAGTGCGAATATGTGGTGTTTAGTTTTCTGTTCCTGCTTTAGTTTGCTGAGAATAATGGCTTCCAGCTCCATCCATGTCCCTGCAGAGAGCATAATCTCATTCCTTTTTATGGCTGCATAGTATTCCATGGTGTATATGTACCACATTATCTTTATCCAGCCTAGTTAGATTTTCTTTTTTTCTGAAAATACAGGGTTTCACCATGTTGCCCAGGCTGCTCTTGAACTTGTGAGCTCAAGTGATTTGCCTGCTTCGGCCTCCCAAAGTGCTGGGTTTACCAGTGTCAGCCATCGGGACTGGCCTAGATCTTAATATAGTAAATTGTGGAAGCAAATAATTTAAGCAACCTGCAAGTATTTGAGATTCACCTCCACCATGCTGCAACATGTTTTTGAGGGTATTTCTTTTTGACAAAAAAGAAAAAAAAAACCTTTTATTAATCATGTGAAAAGTATTCCCCATAATTCTAATTGAAAATATTAATAGTCCTATATGAAATCCCTCATCCTTCAGGTTTTGTAAGTGATACTTTGTCCTCTAAGGAGTGAATTAGTGAGGGAGTATCAATAATATTCTTAAAATATAACATTTTTTATTGTGAAATAAGCTTATCCTGTTTTCTTATAGATGTTGTCAAGAAAAGTTTAATTTTCTATAGACATATTTTTCTGATGCAATTGGAGGCACTTAAATCATTTCGATGTTAAACTACTTTTTGAGAAACAGCTTGCAATTTTCCTATAATGGACAGTGGGATTTTAAAAAAAATGATTTTAAAAGTTAAAGAAATAATTTATTTTATTATATTATGCTAGAAAATGTGCCAAGTGTTTTATAAGCATTATTTTATTTATTCCTCTTAATGGTAACCTTTGTTTATGAAAATAAATTGCCTGGCCGTGTGCGGTGGCTCCCGACTGTAATCCTAGCACTTTGGGAGGCCGAGGTGGGCGGATCATGAGGTCAGGAGATCGAGACCATCCTGGCTAACACGGTGAAACCCCATCTCTACTAAAAATACAAAAAAATTAGCCGAGTGTGGCGGCGGACACCTGTAGTCCCAGCTACTCGGGAGGCTGAGGCAGGAGAATGGTGTGAACCCGGGAGGCGGAGCTTGCAGTGAGCGGAGATCGCACCCCTGCACTCCAGCCTGGGTGAAAGAGCGAGACTCCATCTCAAAAAATAAATAATAAATAAAAATTAAAAAAAAATTGCCTTCATTTTGCAAAGGCTAAACTTAACTTTGAGAAGGTAAAAAAGACTCAGTCAAGATCACACAAGTATTAAAAGGAGAACAGAAAGATTCAGGTTCCAGAGTCCAGGTTTTAACTACTACAGTACACAACCTCTCTATGTGAAGCAATTCATTCTGATTTATTCACTCGTTCATTCATGGGCCAATTGATGGATGTCTTATAAAACAGGGATGTGAAATGGAGACTGAGTTAGAGTATAACTGGTATGATTACATTTGATCTAATTATTGTTGTAACTGTGGAGAAACCTCTCAATGTCTTACTCATTCTCTCTTTTTCTGGGTTTTGATTCTTTTTTAAAAGGAAGTCATATTATTATCTAAAACAGTTTGTATATTTACTAGTTGCTATGTTTTCAAAATAAAATTTAAAAGGAGCAGTTGAGTCAGTAGCCTGACTTTGAAAGTAAACTAAAATGTTCCTGCAAAAATAGTACTATTTTTATCAACAAACATTTAAGACCCCTTTAAACCAAGTTCTGTTTACATGAAAAATAAGTTTCTACAAAAAGAGAAAAACATAATTGGTGAAAATCTAACAGATAAAGGGTTTGCAGCACTCTGTAATTAAAATAACAATCACATTCTTGAAAGATTTTTTTTTTTTAATTCCAATTAGAGCAGCTAAGGAAAGAAACACAAAAGAAAACAGAAAAACCCAGGGTGGTAGATTCTTGCTGGGTTTATGAGAAAATTTAACCCTGCACCTGGAGTGGTGATGAAGAAAACACCTTTGGGCTGAGTGAGGACACAGAGAAAAATGACATGGTAGATGGGTGGTAGAGAAGAAGCATACAAAAGAAGAGTTAGATTTCACTTTCTCCATGGTTACAGACAACTCCCTTACAGGGTGGGGGAGGAGAGTTTGGCGGCAATGTGTAAAACGAAGTAAGAGAATTGTGCATCTATCTATCTATCTATCTATCTATCTATCTATCTATCTATCTATCTATCTAATTTATCTAATTTATCTATTTAAGTTATTTAACAAACACTTTTAAAGTGCTTAGTACTTGCCAGGTATCTTCTAACTGCCTAAAAGAGACTAATGTGGCCGGGCGCAGTGGCTCACGCCTGTAATCCCAGAACTTTGGGAAGCCGAGGAGGGCAGATCACCTGAGGTCAGGAGATCAATATCAGCCTAGCCAACATGGGGAAACCTCATCTCTACTAAAATTACAAAAATTAGCTGGACAAGGTGGCACGTGACTGTAATCCAAGCTACTTGGGAGGCAGAGGCTGGAGAATCGCTTGAACCTGGGAGGCGGAGGTTGCAGTGAGCCAAGATCGTGCCACTGCACTCCAGCCTGAGAGACAGAGTGAGATTCCATCTCAAAAAACAAAGAGAAAGACTGATGTATTTAATCTTTATAACAATTCCATTTTACAGATTTACAAACAAGCAAACAAACAAATACTAATGTAGAGAAACAAACTAATACTAATGCACAAGAAGTCAGGATTTGACAAATTTGGAATTTGAACCCAAGCAATCTGGCTCTAGACTAAGCTGATTGCTATGAAGGTATTTTTTTTGGAATTTACTGTTTGACTGAACAATCTAGTTCTATTTAGTAAATTATATTTTGTAGTAAAAAGAGTTGAAAGTTATACTAATAGCTAATGTCAGACCTATTTAGGATCACGAGGACATATGCAAACAAACCCACTGAAATTGCTCTCACTAAAATTATCACTGACCTTTTTCCAGGTTGCCAAATCCAATGAATGCATTTATGTCTTTATTTTTATTGGCTTTTCTACAAAAGCAAATACTGTTGGCTAGTGTTAGCTTGAAACTGTTCCTTTTGTGTGTGTGTGTGCGCATGCACACGCTTTCTCTTTTTGTCCTGAAATCTGTTGGTGCCCTTTTTCTGAGCATTCTTCTTTGCCTTCCTTTTTAGTGTTGCAGTTTCCAAGGCTCTATCATTGCCCTTTTTCATTTTCTGTAATACTCTTAAGAAATCTTATCTACATTTTGCCTTCAATCTACAATTGAATAACTATGAAAGTTCTAGTTTTAGACCAAAGCTTCCTTCCTTTTTAGCCTTAAATATTCAACTGTATCCCAGAAGTATCTCAAATTCAGCACATTTCAAAGTTTAATTTTTCAGATAATCCTTTAAGTGAAGTGTCTGCAAATGATGGCCTAAAGGCTAATACTGGCCGGTGAGCAACTTGTTTGTACGGTTGGAAAAAAAAACCAAATGAAGAATACTATTTCATGGCACATAAAACTTGTATGAAATTCAAATTTCAGTGTCCAGAAATTAAGTTTTATTGGCACACAGCCACACTTATTCATTTCCCATATGACTGCTTTCACATTACAACTGCAGCAGAGTAACTGCAACAGAGAACACATGGCCCACAAGTCCTCAAATATTCATTATTATTATTTGGCCTTTCACAGAATACATTTGCTGACCCTCTCTCTTAAAGCCATCCCATATTCTTCCTCCTTTCCCCAGGTTTCCCACTCAAATCTCTATCACCACTTTTTAATGATTTCAACTCTAAGTATATCTCATCAGAGACCATTTCACCTACAAGCATCTCCCAGATTTTGGCATCAGCCACCTCCTGATCTACTGAAGTAGCTTCCTGTAATGGTTATCTTTATATGTAAATTTGACTAGTCTAGAGAATGTCTAGATAGCTGGTAAAATGTTATTTCTGGGTGTGTTTCTGGAAGAGATGAGTATATGAATTAGTATACTGGGTTAGAAGTTTCCTGCCCTTGCCATTACAGGGAAGCATCATCCAATCTGTTGAAGGCCGAAATAGAATAAAAAGGTAGAGGAAAGGCAAGTTTGTTTCCTGTTTGAGCTACGACATATATCTTATCCTACACTCCATAATTGGCACTCCTGGTTCCTGGGCCTGTGAACTCCTGGACCTGGACTTATGCCATTATCCACCTACCCTTCCTGGTTTTTAGGCCTTCAGATTTGGATTGAGTTACACCACTGGTTTTCCTGGTTCTCCTGTTTGCCTACAGTAGGTTGTGGAACTTCTTGGCCTCCATAAGCATATGAGTTACTTTCTAAAATCAATCTCTCTATCTCTGTGTGTCTGTGTGTGTGTATATATATATATGTGTTACACACACACACATATATATTCTATACATACATACACACACATATACACTTCAATCCTGTCTCTCCAATCAATCCTTTACAAATTTCTATCATGCAAATCTGTTCTTTTTACTCCTTTGACCATTTTTTAAAAAATTGTTTCTCTCCTTTTCTTAGAGGAATGGTTCTGAAGGCAGCATCATATCCCCTGGGAATTTGTTAAAGATGCAAAATGTCAAACCCCACCTAAGACCTACTGAATCAGAATCTCTGGGTAACGCCCCCCAATATGTGTTTTAATAAGCCCTCCATTAATTTTAATGCACACTTATGTTTAACATCATTGGAACCATTTATCCCAGAGGAAAAAACTGTGTATTTCTTTGTGGGGATATTATTTGAGTGTGAGCATGATCTGACCCCTGCCCAATCTTGTCTCTGATTTATTCTTTCCTCACTTGCTGCTTCGATCTGCAAATGTGAAAATGCAACCCCTCCAAGTTAGTAATTTGCCTCAGGTAACATGGCTAGTGACTGACATGAGGGAAGAATTAAACTTAGCTAATCCCAAGGTTTGTTTCGTTTTTAGTACCACACCCTGCTACTTTTAAATTTCATTTACTATACTCTTACATTCAAAATCCATCTATCATAACAATGATTGTATCTATCCTAATTGTTAATTTAGTCTGTTCCTCCTCTTAGACTATAAACTCCAGGAAGGTAAGGAAGTTTGTCCAAGGAGAATGTCAAGAAAACATGACTCTCTACTGCCATCTGGTGATATGATGCAACAATTCCAAGAGGAATATATGTGCATTTAATGTCTTCTGCTTGCAGAATGCAGTGAGTAAAACAAAAGCTTGGCTTCAGACTTCTGTTCAGATAACAGAACGATTATCCCCTGGCTGTTAGACCTTGAGCAATTTACTTAGTATTTCTCTGTCTTAGGTTCCTCATCTGTGAAACTGGATGGCTAACAATTTTTCTCACGGAAATGCAATGATAATCAAGTTAGCTGCTATTATAATTATCGATATTGTTATCAAGGACTTAGCTAGACTCTATAGTTGACACAAAGAAATAAATGAAACACTGTTCCTTAAATATTTTATAATCTAGGCGAGTAGGTAAGACAGAGTTAGGAAATGATTAATGAATAAATAAATAAATAACCATACAAGCTTTAAATGCTGAGTCCTTATGGTGTTAACTATGAATGTAGAGGAGGTAAAATTTGAGCTAGTATAAGAATTTATAATTGGTATGTGTGAGAAGGAGTCTTAGATGGAGAATTGTTCCTGCAAGTCTTTGCACACATTGAGACTAACAACTGTAAAGTACTAATAAAAATGATATAAGTGCACATTTATATTACAAAGTCATAATCACAAAACCATTTTTATTTAATGCTTCATTATATAATCCCAGATCTCATTATCCAAAGAAAAACTAACACATGACCCAAAAAGTGTTTATTGTAAATGAGTGTTATTGTTGCTATTATTTTTTAATATACCTGAAACTTAATTAATAGTTGTATTTTACTGATAAAAATATAGTTAGATTAGATGGCTTCGTGAATTATATATTTTTAACTTAAAGAAAAACCTACATTGTGTTAAATGGTGATTAAACTCAACGTTTACAAGATCCTATGATTTAGATACATTATCTCCAGTTTGAAAAAGCAGATACAGAGAAGTTAAATAACTTGCCAATAATGTCCAATAACACATTAATAGCTGAGACTCATGAATCTGAAATAAAACTATGCTAATGATGAAGGGTACATCACGCAATTAATAAATCATATGTTTAGGATTTGAACCCAGGCCATGCCATTAATTCTAAGCTTGGCTCCCTCATGCTGTAAATTTTTCTAATTAATATTTAAAATACCCACTACTGCTCCTTCATATTGCATATGTTTAAGCTGTGGTTTGTTTCTTCCTAATCCCATATAACAACAACATTAAAAACCAAAGAGATCTAAAATATATTTCTAAAATATTCTGCTTAAATATCCAATAACCAATTTGGAACTTTGTGTGCATAATGAATGCTTACTTGTAAGAAAACTGGTGCTGAAACTTTTATTAATTTCCTACTTGGAGGATTAGATAATGGCAAATAGTATTTGTAACCTTTATTTCTTTAATTTGTGAAAGATATATTTCAATTTTATAGTACTGAATGTCATGTATTTTTTAAATTTATTATTTGTTTCATGAACATCATGTTATTATTCACCAGAATACGGGCTATTATTATTGTATTTGTGTTAATGCTGAGCCTTTGTCACCATTTTCATTTTAATTCTATCCTCGGTAATAAAATAGTCGATATGTTCCTGCATCTTTTTTCCCTAGCAGTGGAAGTGTTACTTCACTGAAGCAGATAAACAGGACAGATAATGATTATTATATGCTCAGTGATCCTTATAATGGGGAAAGGTAGAATGTTCTCTGATCACTCTCAAAATTGCAAACTGACTGAATTTCATTTAGGAAATAGCAAGTTCTTTTCATAGGTGATATTCTCTAAATGTATTTAAAGACTAGAATATTTGCCCTGAATCCTGGGAAAATATGTTAAATTACATCCACATAGTAAAATCTTGCTTATTTTATGTAAAGAGGAAAAATCATATATAAATCATATTTTGAGTTAAGGAAAGATGTCAAGGATGCCTCCCCCCACCAAAAAATGACAATGAATGTCTCGTTTCTTTCCTATATATGCATAAATATCAGGAAAGCTTGAGAGTATCGTGGTTCTTCCTGTTCTATGAATTTACTAAGGGTCATGCCAATGCAGGCGAATTAGACAGTGCAGTTAGTAAATGAAGGAGAAGGACATTGATCCTATTTTGGGTGAGGAGGAATGATGCAATACATAGATGATGCAATACATAGATGAAGGCCATTTTTCATGGTCCAGTTCATTTAGATTGCACTGAACATACAAATTATTATTACTACAAAATGCCAAACAATCTGAGGGACAAAAATACAGTTGTGTAAATAATTTTGCACTTGAAATAATCAAAACCATTCATATCTTATAAGTGCTTGTCATCTACAGTGTTTGCTTACAGCTAAGCATTCCTCTGTTGAAGGAAATTCTAGAGAAGCGTATTTTTTCATTATACTAGTGGCACATTGCTGGTCAGAATAATAACTTCTTGCCTTATTTAAATTTAATCAAATTCAATATATCTACTAAATCATTATTAAATGCAAAAATGACTAATCTATATACTTTTTTCTATAATGTCCTCATGCTTTTTAGCTTATAAGGTGAAAGAAGTCAAGAGTAGAAGAAAAAAATTAAAGTTATTGCTCACCTATGTAAGCAGTAGATATAGAAACCATATGTATAGAAACTCCCATGTAGCAAAGAAGGATCAATTATGTAAGAAAATAGAAACTGAGAAATTGAGAGTATCTGGGAAAATAACTAGATTCAATCAGATTGTCAGAGAAAGGACACAGAAAATTTTGCAGATGAGATTTTGGTAGAATAAATAGTATCAAGGGAGAATGAACGCAACACACTGAAGAAAGACAAAGGAGAGCCATGTGATATTGTCAACCAGAGAGGTAATTGGTTTTAGTCAAGTCTAAAAGATACTATAATACAAATTTTAAAAATAAGGCTCGATGTGTGGAACAAATGCCCTACATGCCAATGAGTTAGAAGGTCTGCTTATTCCACACTGAAAAAGAAAGAGAAGGAGAAGATGCAAGAGAGAGCTTGTCATCTAAGAATCATGAATCTAAAATGAAAACATGCTAATAAAGGGGTCATTGTTTGCATTCAAATGAGATTTCCAAGGGTTATATCACATATAATGAGGAAAAAGTATAAAAGGATGAGCTGACGTTACACCAAATGGGATACCTCATGGTATCCCAGTGGGGCAAAAAGTGAGAATTAGGATAGGAACACTTGGCAAACATTGAGTGGAGGAAACACAATCACAAAACCAAGATGGGGTTCACTGTTGAACCAAAAGGTGAAATACGGAATACATGGGGAGAGGTAGCACATATGGGCCTGTGAACTCACTTCTCCTAAAATAGAGGAACTCAGGCAAATGGTTCACCCTTTCTCATGTACCACCCCCTCTCTTCCCAATATGCTACATGGTAATAATCTAAAAATTAGGGGATTTAGTTTAAAATAAATATACAGGGGCATCTTAGGAATTAAGATGCCCCTAAATATTTATATGTAAATAAAATAAAAAGGGAAAGAGAAAAAAATTCTAAACCAGTTAAAATAAAGGTTGAAACCACTTCCCTCATAGAGTATGCGTAAAATGTCAATAACTTTTAACTTATAGAAGTTATTTTATACTTCAAATATTATATGATTAAGATGATAATACTTTCTGGGTGGTTAATCCATAAGTGAACAAGCACTTACCCTGTGGCTGGCGACTGGGATGGTATATCTGAAGGTCAAATGGCTGTGCACTGGTTTTCTGAATCACACTGACATTCTGCCCTGTCCACTTATTGGCTTTGGACAATGTGTTGGTCCTCCAGTCTGTCCAGTAGACTTCACTCCCATATAGAGACACAGCAAAGGGATGGGAAAGGTATTCATGACCTCGGATGATTTCTATCATGTTTGTTCCATCATAGAGGGCTGAATAAATAGCATCTGACCTACAGAAAGATAAATACATGAGTAGTTTGTCAAAACTCATTCAACTAGTCCAGAGACATAATCATGTAACTCAGCTAAATGACAAAAAAGGTATTTTATAAATATTTTTATGGGTCTGTATCTGATTTGGGGCAAGCAAAAAAAAAATACACCTCCAATTTTAATATATGTATACATGATACTGACATGTTAGGACACTTTCCAATGTTGTAAATATTATCTAAGTAAAAAAAAAAATACAGAAAAGAGATGATTTTTTAAACCTGGCGTCTGTCCACACTATCCTTTTCTCAAAGTGGTCCACAGTTAGTCCATTAGGCCAAGCCCCAGTTTTCATGTCTTTATAGATGGTTTTTCTCCCAGCACCACTCATAGAGGCAGATTCAATGCGAGGAAAATTTGCATCCCAGTCTGTCCAGAAAAGAATTCTAAAAAAAAAAAAAAAAAAAGAAATAATACTATTGTTTCAGTCATTCATTTCACAGATATTTATTGAGTGCCTACCATATGCTAGGCACTGGATAGGTGATAAGTCACAAGAGAAACAGATGTATTATCTATCCTCGTGGGGCTTATGGTCCAGTGGAGGAGCCAGACTAAATAAGTGCATAAATATATAATTATGACTCATAAAATATTTTGAAAAAAATTGCTATGAGAGAGAATAGCAGGTGACTGACCTACTTAGAGAAGGTGATCAGAAAAAAGCACTTTGAGGAGTGATATTTATACTAAAACTGAAGAATGAGGAGAGCAGTATAAAGAGCATGGCAAGTAGAATAAACAACATATGCTAAGGCCCTAACAGGGAAAAGAATGTGGGCTATTTGAGGAACAGAAATAAGGCCAATGTATTAGAAGCATAGTGAGTGAGGAAGAGAGGGGAGGAATAGGATGACAAATAGGTGATCTTATGGGTCTTGTAGGGTAAGAGAATTATTCTGGATTTTATATTAAGGGAATAAGAAGTGCATAGGCCTTTGGTGGCTTTTAAGTAGAGGAGAAATGTTATTCTCTATGTATAGTAAATATATACAGACATAGTGACAGCGACAGGAGACAGACAAATTCCCAAGCAGCCAGAAATGGGTCCCCGGTAAAACTGAACCTTCAAGCCAGGGCAGTCTAAAGCCTGAAAACCAGGCTACCAGTTCTGGGTCGAATCCATGAACCAGAGTAAGAACTTCCATCCATGTCTTACCCACTCTCTCTTAATTGGTTATTTCTGAATGATGCCTTTAACCTATTGAATGATTCCTTTTCCAAGCCCACCCATAAACCAATCAGCAAGAATTCCCCCATTTGAAGCCCATAAAAACCCCAGACTCAGCCTCAGAGAAGGCTACCCACTTTCAAATCCCCTCTTGCTGTTGAGAGCTTTTCATTCATTCAATAAATTTTACTCCGCCTTACTCCCTCTCTAGTATGCATGTACTTTATTCCTTTTGGTCATGGGACAAGAGCCTGGAGTTCGCTGAACTGCAGGAGTGAAAGAGCTGTAATGCTCCTGCTTGCCAAGCTACATGCGGCAGGAGGAAAAGAGCTGTAACACTCCTGCCTGCCAAATTAGGGGAATAAAAAACCCACAACAATAGTGATGAGACAGTATATCTGTCTAATCAGTATATACACAGGATATACTGTACCAGATAAAACAGATATACTGTCTAATCACTGTGGCTATTATACAGAGAATAGATAATAGTGAGGCAAGAGTACAAGCATGTTAAGTGGTTATATAAAAGACCAGAAAAGATGATAGTGGTCTAGAGTATGGTGGTGGCAATAAAGGAGAGAAGTGAATTGATTCAAAATATAATTTGAAGGTAGAATTGTCAGGACTAGCTGATGGACTGGGTGTAAAAAATGAGATAAAAAACAGAATCTCAGGAGACCATCAGTTTCTTGTTTCAGCAATCTCAGATTGAGGGAAGGATATTGTGTATAGGGGTTCCACTAAGTGAAAGGGAAAAATGGAAAAGGAACAAATTTCAGGAGCTTAAAATTTAACGTTGATGGGTGTAGACAATGTTGGGGCTCAGAGAATAATATGCCAAAGTATGGTACTTTGGCATGCTAAGCACTTTTTTGAATTAAAGGAAATTGCAAGTTCATGGAAGCTGCCTTTCAAGAACATTCTAACCTTCTCTTGTTTCTCTCTTCTTTGCCCCAAACACAAGGGAGGGACTCTCTTTCTGGAAGTACCCTTATTTGACTGAAGAAAACTTCTTTCAAAAGAAATGCAACTGTCTGAAAACCCCTCCCTTGGAATCTCAATAAATATCCAGGAATGATTAAACAACAAAGACAAAAAAAGACTCATCACCACACCCAGACAGACTTTTCATCTATTGTTCTGAAGGAAGCTCTGAGAGATTTTCTGAGAGGCTTTATTTGCATAAGGCAATGTTTGTTGACTGTGAGGTTCTGCCCTTCACCTTTCTGGAAATTATAGCCACCCCACTCAGAGGTCAGAGGAACATTGGCCCAGGACGTTGTCTATTGTTTGAGCTCATTCAATTCCCCTGAAAATTATATACCACTCCTCAAAATGCCTTACATTCCCCATTTCCCTCTCCCATATGAAGAGGGTATATAAGCCTCAACCATCTGGTCCTCTGATTCTTTATTTTATATGGCTCCCATGTACACTTGCATGTTAGTAATCCTGTATGCCTTTTCTTCTGCTAATTTGCTGCCAGTTTATTTCAGGACACTTGAACCTTCAGAGAGGGAGTGAAAAATTCCCTTTGCTCTTACAGTAGTAATCAAAAAGAGAAAGTAATGTTGCAGTACATTTTTCTATCAGGTCTGACAATATTTTGTTGATAAATGGTAAAATTATGAAATGGTAAAAAAATAAATTTTCTCTTCATTTAATTATATATAGTTTTATTATTTTTGACTTCTATTATTCTGTATAATCCTTGAAAATAGCAATTTGCTAAATTACCTTGTAAAATGAAACAATCCTTTACAAAATTTAAAATTCAATTAATCCACTTCCTTTTAAAAAAAATTTATGTCTATTTAAGAAAATGTGAAATGATATATTCACCATGACTTCTATTTTTGAAAAGAATATAGTCTGTTACAGAAAACAGAAATTACAAATATGAAATGATTAGAGGACAGTTCAAAACATTATGTTTATAAACATAGTAATTACATATGCTAAAAGAGTATGGCAAAAAGGGAAGAAAGATGAGAGTGGAACTTCCTATATAAATTAAAACACTGACATTTGGTAAGTGTTATTAGATAACTGTGTCAATATTAAATAGTGGTAGTGTGTGCTTTTGTGTAAAACAAACTTGGATCAAAGTTGGAATTTCTCAATTACTTCTGCATACTTAATCTCAAACCCCATTTTCTCATCTGAAAATAAAAACTATTATAGTACACATTTGTTGGGAACATTAGGTGAGAAAATGGATGTAAACAATTTAGCACACAGAATGATTAGCACAGAGAAAAGATTTGTGTTTGTACATGCATGCTCACACACATATTGATAGAGAATAAATATTTTTTAAAGGAAAATTTTCACAGTCTTGCTAACTGTTAAGGAAACAGAGAAAGGGAGAGAAAAAGGGATAGAGAAAATACTAATATCTATGTTTAAATGCTACAACAGTGTCTATGTGAAAGTAGATTAATTTTATGAAGCAAACGTGAATCAAAGCCATGAAAATATGATTCAGGGCAAGAGATCATAGGAGTAGATTCATCTCATAGAATTTCTTTCAAACAATTGGTTTCTATTAGTTATTTTTTAAAATAATTTCAGTTTCATGGAGATGTGAAAGGAAAATACATTTTGGAGATTTTTTATTTTGACTACTATAGGGGCTTTATTTACATAACAAGGCCAACATTTTGCCAGCCAGGCCAAACTGAAAGAGCAATGGCTGTCACCCCATGCTGCAGTTTGATAGCTAAGGGTCTGCCTTCTTTTTTTTCCACCATGACAGCCTGGGTTTTGTTCCTATATCAAGCCTTTTCTTGTTTGATACTTGGTACTTCTGAAATAGCAGCAATTTATCCTAGCTGAAATATGGTAATGACATTTTAAAAGATTTTTTAAGGAGCTCAATGGTTAGAAGCCAGCTGAATTAAAAGCTAACATCCAAGAGGTGTGTGTGTTTGTATGTGTATGTGTCTATGTGTGTCTATTTGTGTGTGTGTGTGTGTTTGTATTTAAAAGTCCTTCATGTTTTTTTTTTTTTCTCTCCTAGGACCTTGTATTTTTTTTTTTTTTTTGAGCAAAAGTTTTTTTATTCTCAGTTTACTGAATTCTGTTTTCTTTATTTACTTCTGCTGTCTTTCCCTTCTCTTTCACCCCCTGCTGCATGAGGGACCTAAAATAGTTTATAATAGTCTGGAGTTCCTCAAAGAAAACAGAGAAGGCACCAGGCTCCCTTTCGGGGAAAACCGTCTGTTTTTCCTTACAGAATCTCAAGAGTGTGAACAGACAAGTTCATCTCAGCTCTTAAGCTGCTTGCTTTTGTATTGTGTCACCTGATTTTTTTTTTTTTTTTTTTTTTTTTTTTACTAAAGTAGCTATTGCAACAGAGGCTACTCTTGGTTTTGTAAGGAAGAGTGTAGTTTAGACACTTAGAAATGTCTTTATTTATTTATTTTTGTAATGAACTGTAAGCACATCACATGGTTTAACCTTTTAATAATTTTCCCCTTTTGGAGACCCAGGATTCAGTGTGGTCTCTACCCAGAGTTCAAAGGTCCAGTTAAAGATAGATAGTCTCTATCTAAATAAATGTGGTCTCCTTATATAACCCTATGATAGATTTGTTTAATTTTATGTTTGATTTGGCATCCATCTCTAATCTTCCTCTAGCACCACCAGACTTTTTCTCTCTGTACCTTATGATGTAAATTTTGCTATTTGATTTTCACCTTAGTTGTTTCCTTTAATATGAAAAATTAAGGCTATTTAGCTGACAACTGCCTAGGGTTGTGAAACAAGTTATCATGAATCTGAAAGTCTAAGACAAGAAAAAAAAAAGGTCTTTATGAATCTATAAGATATATTTCTATCAGCAAGCATAATATGTTTATGTATTTATGTGCATGTACACAATGTTTCACCACTAAAAATATATACAAGAGCTCTAATTAATTGGTTTAAGAAAATAAAAGTACTTAAATCAAATACTTTATCAGGAAAAAAAGACTAGTCAAATATTTTTTCCAGTTTACATAACAAGTAAAATCTTTAATAAATAAGCTAGCTTTAAAATTTTTGGTAAAGTAGTTAAGACTTTAGAAATGTGTTAAGAATTGCCAGAATACATTTTTGTTTGCATTTATTAATCAAGCAATTTCTTACTTATCCCTGCCGAATATTATAAGGTGTCAAAATTTGCCATAGGGGTTACAAAAGTATAAACCCAGCCCAAGACGGAATGATCTTTGCTTGCATGATCTTTAATAAATAAGACATTAATATTATTTTAATAAAAACAGCTGCATCTTAAATTTAGTAAGATTACCATAACTTCTAATCTTGCGGCTTTAGGCAGTCTAGTCCACAGGCAGTAAGGTTTGTTTTGGGAAGGGAATGTAATTGTCTTTGTTTCAAAGCTAAATTATAAACTATAAACTATAAACTAAGTAATACAAATACAAAGTTAGTTTGGTCTACACCCAGAAATGAACAAGGACAGCTTGGAGGTTAGAAACAGGATGGAGCCAGTTAGTTCAGATATTTTTCACTGTCTCAGTTATAATTTTGCAATGGTAGTTCCATAATTTTAAATGATGACTAGCACAGTTTTTATAAATAATGCAGGTAAATGATTAAAATAAAATAATTAGGTAAATGTAATGGGATAAATACTTGTAAACAAACTCATCATAATTTAGATCCTAAAGTTATATTAAATAATATATATTTCATTATTTAGGTATTTTTCAATAAAAGTATATTGGTAGGAAAACATTCTTTCAAAAAAAGTATGTCCTTTTTAAACAGGTGAAAAATTTTTCTCTAATTCAAAGCTTATTTAAAGGTTATGTATAAAAAAGATAAAAGGAATGGGGAAATAAGAGAAATGTAAAGAAAGTTATAAAAATAAAGAGGTTTTTTTTTGGTAAGAAAGCTTAAAGAGAAATAATTTTTATATGAGAAAGAGTCTTGTATAGTAGATTTAGTCCTAGAACAAAATGACTGGTTGTTTAAGAAACACAGATGTTCAGAACAAACCAGAAAGTCCAAGCATGACATGAATGATCTGTGTAAGTCAAAATAAGAATTTATTTTTAAAAAAACAACTTTTATATGATCAAGCTGTCTATAATTAAAGAGAAACTATAATGGTCTTTCTATAGATTGGGGCTTGATATTAAAAAACACACAATAAATAATTGGTTAGAACAGTGACATTTACTTAAGGGATTGATTTATTCTTAGTAAATTGTAACAGATTTTTTTTTAACACAAAGTTCAAATGTATTGCATCTCACTGTTTTTGATTTTCTCTCCCCTTTTAAAGGGAGCAAGATAGTAATGCTCTCCTTCAACTCATTTTCAGCTCATATAAGTTTTTTTCATTAACTTTTGTTTGTTGTGGCCTGATGGTAACAATGTTTTCTTAAAGGTCTAAAGGAAATGTTTTCTTCCAAAATAATATTCTGTGCAGTGCAGAAGGTCTTTTCTTTTGCCTTTGGTAACCAGTCTAACAGATTTTTATGGTTTATCAAAACAACTCCTATGTCATTATTATTAAGTTTTGGTTTGCTTAGGAAAAAAACTAAGATTAATTTTTCTTTTTTTTTTAAATTAAGGTTACTACATCCGTTTATCTTTCTGTACGTGCTTTTAAAGTACTTGTGATATTAAATTACAGGGCTTGGACTCCTGGGTCTAAAAAGGACACCAGGCTGGGCGTGGTGGCTCATGCCTGTAATCCCAGCACTTTGGGAGGCTGAGGTGGATGGATCAACTGAGGTCAGGAGTTCAAGGCCAGCCTGACCAACATGGTGAAATCTCATCTCTACTAAAAATAAAAAAAATAGCGGGGCGTGGTGGCAGGCACCTGTAATCCCAGCTACTCAGGAGGCTGAGGCGGGAGAATTGCTTGAACCCAGGAGCAGAGGTTGCAGTGAGCTGAGATCGTGCCATTGCCCTATACCCTGTGCAACAAAAGCAAAACTCTGTCTCAATAAAAAAAAAAAAAAGGACACCAAGTCCTGCTAAATCTTAAATGGTGACAGCAATTAAAGCCTCATATTTTGTCCTGGGAGAAGATGACAATAAAAATAAATTGCATTCCTGAAACCCAGGGACAGAAATTAAAACTATTCAACTCCTCAAAGCCCAGGAACTATCACAGAAGAGGTGGGCCTGTGATATTGTAAAGGCAGATTTTGAGAGATAAAGTAAGTCCAGTTTCTCTATAAATTAATCACTAAAGTCAAAGGCATACTAATGCAAGACCAGTATATGGGCCCTTGTGTCAGATTAACAGGGTTTTCTTGAAGCATTAGTTAACTACTTAATAAAGGTTATAAAAGGCTTATGGAAGTTATATCTTATGGTCAAGATTAAAATTTTATAGATTGCTTATAAGATTTTGAAAAACAAATTTAATTAGCTTCCTGCTTTTATTTGGGCTTATTGTTTTTAAAATTAAGTCTCCTCTCTCAAATAATGAAGGCCTTCACCTCTTTTTTGAAATCCTTGAGTTATCACTTTGGTCAAATGAATGACTAATTTTCAAAGACCTGCAATTATCAAGTGTTTTAATATGTGTTTTGGTATTTGACACTTTTAAAAATCAAATTAGAAAGTATGTCTTTTCTGACCTAATTAATCCTTTAAGGTGTTAGTTTCCCTAAAGTCCAAAAATGACATAATTTGGCTTATTTGTTATAAAAATTATACAGGAAGCATTGTCAATTGTGAAATGGTGTTCAGTTTTCTTTGGGCTGTATTTGTATATGTTATTGGTATGTGTTCAAAAATTATGGGAAACTCCTATAATTCTAATATGACTTTGTGTACATTATCAGTAATAATTATAATTGTTATATTAAATTATTGTGTGCCACAGAGGTAACAAATTTCCTTGTCAATGGTGTCTTTGACTATGACTGCCCTAAAATTTTTGTCTTCCACGGACAGTTATTTTGTTTTGGTTCTCTTTAGAAGGTGGTTTTATAATCAGCTATAAAACTCTAACAGATGCTCTTGAATCCAGTTTTCTGATAACTTTGGAGGTTGCGATATCAGAATAGAGGAAAAGCTTTCAGAACTCATGGAGAGCTGAAATGTTTATGAGTATCAAGCAGAACAGAAATTAACTGCATGGACTGAATTAATAGAAGATTGAAGTAATCCTTTTGACTTTTTGCTTGAAACATTGCTAATCCTTTTTTTCTTTTCAGAGTCAGAGAAACTTTGCTTTGAGCTATTGACAGCTTTTAACAACTTGGTATATACTCCTATGAACACAATTTGGAGCATGTTTGTTTCTCTCTACCTGATTTCTACAGAATTTTGAAACTATTTGTGAGTATTGTTAGCTTATGGCAATACAGTTATTTGCATAAGTGCAATAAAAATTTGTTTTCATTTGTAATAGGACACAATTGGAGAAACTGGTTATTTTATCAAGGCTTTGACTGCAGTGGTGTGCTTTCCTCTAAGGAATCAGACTTGACTTATGAAGTCAATAAAAGCCCCTTGCAAAAACTGACCTCATACCTTGTCTATACCATCCCTGTACAGGGTTCCTGACCTGGGGTGAGTAAAGAACATCATTTTTATAACAGGCCCAGGAGCTCCAAGTTTATCTTGGAACCTCAAGAGAAAAGGAATCCACCCAACTCATAGGTATTTGATAGTACAAATCCATGGCTGGGCTCAACTTTAAAATAGTCTTATCTGAGATTCCTTCTATGGAACAAAATTCCATCAAAGCCAATTTAAAAGCCTATGTGAAAAATATTTTTTTTTCTTGCTGCACTGTATACAAATAATCAGGCCAAGTATAATAAAGCAAATCAGTCCTACGAGGATTTGTCTTTAGTGAAAATGGGAAACTGGAGAAAGAATAATAATGTTTCAAAAACTATAGTACACCTGTTGTTAGATTCTAATCTTGCCTAATGTTTTTCTTTTTTTATTGTTTTCTACCATTTGGACCAAATTCTATTTTTTCTTGGTTACAAGTGGGCAAAATAATGCTTTCATTTTTTTTCCTTTTTCCTTTTTTCTCCATTTTTTTCTAATTTGGAGTCATCAAAAACTAAGCTGTGCTTTTGTAAAGCCCTCTGAACTGAAGATAGACAACTTAAACTTCAGAAGAATATAACAGCAACCTATTTAAAGCCACATATATAAACGACTTTCGAAGCTGCCTACTGATGCATGGACTTCAGAGTAATGTGGCCTATACTGATTTTCCAGGATTATTCTTTTGTTTGTTGTTGTTTCTCTCCCTTCTTCCCCTTATTTTCTTGTCACAGGACATGAGACTTCACAACCTGCTAAAAATGAGCTTTCCTAATAAATCAAGACTTAGCCACCTAGGAATAAAACATCATAGCCATAAGAGATCAGATAAAACCTGAAACCAGAGACTCATGTTCTTCTAAAATGCTTTCTCTGAAAGATTTTAAAAAGAAAAGGCGGGAAATGTGAAAGAAAAATAAATATTGAGGCCCCCAAATCACTAAGCTAAAGGGAAAATTCAAGCTGGGACCTGCTTAGGGCCAACCTGCCTCCCATCAGTTCAAAGTCACCCCTCTGCTCACTGAGATCAATGCATTTGCCTTCTTTACAGAGGCTAATCAGAAACTCAGAAGCAGGCAACCATTTGTGTCTTATCTACCTTGACCTGGAGGCCCCCTCACTCCATTTCAAATCTTCCCACCTTTGCTTCGAGTTGTCCCACCAATGTTCATCTTACATATGTGGATTGATGTCTCATGTCTCACTAAAATGTACAAAATCAAACTGTCCTCCGACCACCTTTGGCACATGTCATCAGGACCTCCTGAAGCTGTGTCATGGGCACATATCCTCAACCTTGGCCAAATAAACTTTCTAGATTAACTGAGACCTGTCTCAGGTTTATGGGGTTCACAGACAGCTTTAGTTCTATGTATATGGCTTTAATTTTAGTTTCAAGGCTTTCACAGCTATGGTTGTGGAAGCATATTCAGAAAAACAATATCCAAATTGTTTATTGTTCGATAATGAAATATGTGAATAAGACCATTGGGAAAGGATAAAAATGAACATTCATATACCAGAGGACAATGTACTGATAATTGTTTAAGCTAGATAATGGGTACAAGAGAGTTTATTACACAATCCCTACTAGTTTGTGTACTTTAATATTTCTGTAATAAAAGTTCAAAAGTGTAAACAACTCAAATAAATAGGTACAAATTTTTAAAAATGTACCAGAGGACATTTATAAAATTTCAATATTGGGGCCTATTTTCCCAAAAAATTTATGTTTAAAGATAAGATTGTTTTGTATAAAAATATTAATTATCTGAAAATATTAGCACGAAATTATTTATAAACAAAATTAATCACAAAATAATACAATATGTTGCCAGTTAAATAGAAAATGGAACAAAGGTTAATATAAAGCTGATAGGCTATTTAAATAGTAAAATGCCTTTCTTAAAAATAATGAATATGAAATAAATTAAATCTCACTTCAATTTAATTTTGAGTGCACAGATCTTTCATAGACAACAGGTTGTTATTTGTCAGTTGCTTTTAAACTTAGCATTAAAAACAAAAATATTTAAATAGAAAGAACACGAAGATAGCATCAATCTAATTTGTAGTGTTATCTCCACAAACAAGGGCCAGTAGAGAGATTTGCAAGCTTAAAAAAATAAGAGGCCAGGTGTGGTGGCTCATGCTTGTAATCCTAGCATTTTGGGAGGTTGAGGCAGATGGATCATGCGAGGTCAGGAGTTTGAGACCAGCCTGGCCAACATGGTGAAACCCTGTCTCTACTAAAAATAGAAACATTGGCTGGGCGTGGTGGCACGCATCTGTAATCCCAACTACAGAATTGCTTGAACCCGGGAGGCAGAGTTTGCAGTGAGCTGAGATCATGCCACTGTACTGCAGCCTGGGTGACAGAGCAAAACTCTGTTTCCAAAAAAAAAAAAAAAAGAAAAAGAAAAGAAAAAATAATCCCTGAAAACAAACTATGAATTTGGAAGTTATAGGCAGTCTCTGAGTATTTGTGGATAAGCCACCAATAGATGTAGATAAGGCTGTACTTCCCACTCTGCAATGATAACACAAAGACTTCTGATGCATCATCTTTTGCCTGTATAACAATTGGGAAATTGGTGTCTACCTTGTAACTTTCTATCCAGTTATACTTTGAATAGTTGTGGAGAGTCCAACTATCCATCAGTGACACTGTAATTCTGTATTCTCTATATTTATATTTACCAGAAATAGGCACTGTGAACTCTGAAACGTTTTTCTAGTGGGGGAAAAATATGGCTTGGGACACTTTGATTCACTAAAATAAGTGATCCCTTCATTTCTTCATTAAACCTAGCAGTGTTAGTATACTTCTATGGTGATCACTATGAGACTAAAATTTTGTCGATTTAAGTGAGAAATTCCAACACTTTTTATAAATAACATGTTATAGAATTAGTCACCCTAGAAGTGTTCTTAACCTTGCCATAACATAGTTCAAAACAATCTTAAGAGCTGATTTCAATGATCATCGTTTCATAACATTCTAGGTACTCCTTCATATACTTGATAATGTGCTATTTTAACAGAATCATTTTTTTCCTATTACTTTCTCTTTAGATGGTTAAAATGCATTAGCATTTCAATAATTGCATTATATCCTCAAGTATACAAAGACTTAATATGTCTCCTTATAGGATGTATGGAAATGTTCAGTCACAATAACTTTTAAAAAAAGAAACTACAGTCTACAGATGCTGCAGTTCCTCCATTCATGGATTAGTAAGTGTCTGGATTAAACTGGGTCAAAAGACATGAACAACTTGTAGCATTATAGGCATAAAAAGGCTGTTATCACCTATCAGATCAAGCAGCAGAAGGTAAAAATAAATGATCCTGGTTAAAAAAAAAAAAAAGAGGTTACTTATCTGTAATATTCAGTTCTAAAACCAACAAAACCTTTATTAGTTCCATTTAAGAATATTCCTAGATAGGATTAAAATATTATTTAGATGTCTCACTAATCTTCACAATTACTACTTCTACTTTCACCAACGAAATTTTTATGGCAGTTAAAAATTTAGTTTAACTAAATTCAGTTTTAGTTAAAAGCTGAATTTTTAGTTCAGTTATTATGACAAAGGAAAACTAAATACTAGCTTTAGCAATAGATCAGGAAGATGCCATGCAGTAGCGTAAAAATAAAGGCAATGAAAGTTCAAGAACTGAAGTGAGTACCTTGTAGATTCTGCACACCCTGGTGCTTGTTACTCTCTAATAATAAGCTTAATGTTTAAAACGGGATTCATGGTCTCTTTCAGGTCACCTTAGCAATAAGTGTATTACCTTAAAATGGAATGAAAGAAAAATAGCTCCTCCCTAAGACTCTCAATTTACCATCTTGGAATAGTTTGTCACCTGGGAGATCAGGTCAAAATCCAGAAGACTGAAGGAATATGGCATGATGACAGATATGTTTTATAACCCAAAGTGAATGTTGGTGGATTTTATGCTGGGGAAGCAAAGTCGTCAATTAAAAACACTTCACATTGGCATCTGTAAAAAAAAAGGTCACAAAGACCTTGATTGCTGTAGAAACCTCACATGAAGTAAATGTGTTTTGTGAGGCTAGTGTTAGGGCCTGTTTGTTTTCTCAGCTGTGTTAAGGGAGAAAAGTGGCTAGTTGCAAACCTTTCTTTTCATTTGTTATTGTAAACAAAGTTCATAGTTTTCCCATTAGCTGTCTGTCCTTTACTGTATACTTCCCATTTTAAATATATCCTTGAGTTCCTGTAAGTTACATATAAACAAATTCCATTTCTATGCATGCATTCATTTGTTTAACATTTACTTAGCACAAGTATATATTCAAAGAGGCTTAGAAGGATTTTACAGACTGAAAACAACTTCCCTTGCCACCAAAAAGCTTAAGATTTAGTAGAAAATATAACAGTATTTATATAAATCATATTTCTCAATAATTAGTGAATTTTATCTAAAATTAAAAATTTCAAAAGAAGTTTAAATTACTTTGAAGCTCATATCAATGCTGATTCTCAGCTTCCTTATATATTTTATTAATAGTTTGAGAAATTGGGGAAAATCTTATGTTTATATTGTACATAGCACTAAGATAGTAAGCTGAGTTTAAATAAAATTATATTTCAATGTTGCTTTTCTTGTGCTTGGCTTGGCTTTGCTGTAAGTGTGTGTGTGTGTGTGTGTGTGCGTGTGTGTCTGCTTATTGTTGCTATGTTTTAAGCCTACCTTGTGAAAGGTCCAATATATTAAACTAACCTCAGAACTGTTTATCAAAATAGCCAATAAACTTGAAAATATTTTAATATTCACATTACATTATTAAATCTAAAAATGTATATTTTAAAATGTGCTTTATGATGTTTATATAAACTTTATATCTTAATCATATTAACCTCTATAAAATAACTTTTAACAATAAAAGCCTATCAAATCATGACACAAAAATCTGTCAACCTTCCAGTTAACACTTAGAGTTTAATGAATTAGTAGTTATCCAAACTCTAGTCATTTATTCTAGAAATGATTGTATAAGCATTATTTTGTTACCCTATTTTAAAAAAAAGTATTATTTTATTATCAATGTAATTATCTTAATTAGCCTCACTGTTTCATAGCAGCAATTAGTGATGGAAGGTATCAACTCCCCCAGAAGCATTTTTGACTTTCCCCTACTTTCAGGCTAGCTTTCTGTATTAACTTTCAACTCTTCGAGGATATTTCACACTGAAATCATATTTGGTATTTTCACTTAAATAGTACTTGTAGATTGTATGTCCTTTGTGTTTTTGTTTTCTTTCTTTACTCTCAGGTTGGATATTTACAAAACTGAGATAAATAAGTTGATCCTAGCATTGTCAATACAATATCAGTGGAAAAGGAAGCATCAACTGCAAAATCTATCTTGTTTGGAGAGACCATTTTTAAACTTTCATACACCTGGTTTTTTGTTTGTTTTCTGTGTCATTTATAATTTTGGAATTATTCATGTTTTTCTTCTCATGTTGGTATACATGCTAGGACTACAATCTTTTCCAAAATATTACTTTTCTTTTATTCAGAAAGTTTCCCTTGCTGACACAACTTAGGTCTGATAGGTAAAACCCTTACATCAGTAGTTGTTGGTACTGGAGATAAGGCCCTAGCTGATAATGAGCTAGCAACTTTGTGGGAAGTGTAGGGTCAGTATCAGCAATCTACTTGTACCTCAGGAATAAAATATTGAAAAATAAAGGTAAGTCTTATTAAACATAGCAGGCTTTTTCATGATCAATTGTTATTACAGGAAGTAATGGGTGAAATAGGTAAAACGTAGACTACATAAACTAGAGAATATACTTCCAGGCTAAGAGAAACAGCTACTACTCAGCTAGTTGTTACCAAATCTCCCTATTTTACAAAAGAAGGCAGAAATCCAGGGTCTTATGTAAAATCTCTCAATATTTTAAATTTTGACAACTAATTCAAGTAAATTTAAAACACTGTGGAAAATAAAGCAAACACATAAATGAGGGTGGCCAATTTGGAATCCTTGCTCTAGATAAATGGTTTCTGCCCCTTTCATTTCTGAGTCAAAATTGAGGAAAAGAGACACAAACATACTTCCCAATCTATTGACTTCTGAGTCTTAGGCATAGACAAGAGTAAAAGTCAGAAGGTGTGGCCAGGAGGCCGACTTAGACATCGCCTGGCTTTTCTCTCTTATCTCGTTGAACTCCCTTTTGGCTCACTCCCTGCTCATTGGAGCTCCTCTCTCATTGAAGCACTCATTGGTGCTCCCTGGACTTGATATTACCTAAAGGTACAAACCTCCTAAAGAATTCCTTTCTGCTAGCCTTTAGGCTTGACAATGACCTTTGATTTACAAAACAATTACAAAGGTCAAAATCAACAGGAATAACAAAGCATTCTCACCTATCAGTTGCATATTATCTCCCATGTATATCATCTCCTTAAAAACAACTGAAGGAGGAAGATGTTATTATCCCCAATTCATAGAATAGAAACCTGAAATCTAAGGGAAAAAGATACACTTGATACACCCAGAGTATAAGTGACTGGGCAGGAACGGGAACCCATATGTTCTGGCTGGAAATCCAGTGCCTCTCTTCTGCTCCTTCACAACGGAACACAAAAGGGAAGAGGGCAGTAACCTGAGTTACTCAACATTGAACCTTGTTTTCCAGAATCATATGCTTTGTCTTTCAAACCTCCTAACAGTCAATATCTCACCACTGGACTCCTTCAAGCTTATTTAAATTTTCTTTTAAACTGACTCCAAGAACATAAAAAATAAATAAAGGGTGAAGTGGCTAACATCTGTGACTATTTAGAACAAAGACTGGCCCTGTAGTTTCCAACCATTAGAAACAATTACAACATCTCTTTGGCAGGGCAAAGAGAAATTCATTAAATTACTGTTTTGAAAAAGAGTTGCAATAGCTTCCAATAGGGCCTAATGCCCACATTTAGAAAAAAAAAAAAAGACATTTTGAGCCTCTAAAAGTACCTATGTAAGCAATCCTATCACCAAACTTGTGGTAATAAACTAGTTGCTGTATGTACAACTCACATACCTACCCCCACCTCCCCGCCCCCGCCACACACACACATACATGGGCACAAAATAACCACTTTGACTCATAATTGATGAGATAATTAAATTCAATGTTAAATTGAAAGACTATTTTTTATGCCAAAATCAATCTATAAAAGGCAAACTTCTTTACCCATATCTTGGGTCCAAAGCAATGGCCCTGGGGTGTTCCATGGCTCCTGCTATTAGTGTAGTTCTTAGGGAGCCATCTAGTTTGGCCACTTCGATTTGGTCCAGATTGCTGTCTATCCAGTATATGTTTCCTGCTATCCAGTCGACTGTCAGGCCTTCTGGAGTAGCCAGGCCATGCTCCACAACCACTTCAATGGCACTGACACCTACAAAAGAAGGAAAACCAACATGTGCACCCATTCAAGGATTGTGTTAAGCACAAAGGAAAAGGCCTTTGTGCCTGTGATCAGCAGTACAAATTATTTCAATGTGATTTCAACTTTGAGAGATTGCAAAAGTGCTACCTAGCACAGGTAAAACCAAGTAGACTCAAATTTAGCATTACCGATCTTCCTTGCCAGAAATCTTTAATCTAGTAAATCCTTTTGGTATCAGTGGAATAAAGTTTTTAAGCAGCTCTGAGGCTAATAACAACGTTGAGGTTGCAAAAAAAAAGTTATTTCTTGTTCCTGACTTTTTTATACAGAGCAAAGGATTTTGGAAACAATAATGATATTCTGGTTAAAATCAGTGCAACTTAACTCAAATGTTGATCTTCAAGAGTAGAATAAAATCAAAAGAAAAAGCCCACCAGAGCTAAGATGCATTCTGGCTAATCAGCACTCACTCTTTTTCTCTTTTTAGAAGGATAACAGATAATAGCTACTACTATATTTAACCTTAACAAAGATCAACCCCAGATGACCCTCTTCCCCACCTGGGACCCTAAGACTTGCAAGATGTAACAAAAATGTAAATAAGAGAAAAAGGTCTGAATAAAAATAAGCATTTCAGTGATGCCTACCAATATTCTTATTTATCCACTATTGAATTTCTTTCACAATTTAAAAAAAAATCTTTTTTTCTACTTTTTGAGACAGGGTCTCACTTTGGTTTGCCCAGGCTGGAATGCAATGGTGTGATCACGGCTCATTGCAGCCTCAACTTCCAGGGCTCAGATGATTCTCCTACTTCAGCCTCCTGAGTAGCAAGGACTACAGGTGCACACAACCACACCCAGCTAATTCTTTGTATTTTTGGTAGAGATGGGGTTTTGCCATGTTGTCCAGGCTGGTCTCAAACTCATGGGCTTAAACATCTGTCTGTCTCAGCCTCCCAAAGTGCTGGGGTTACAAGCATGAGCCACTGTGCTGGCCAGCCAAAACTTTCATTTTTAAATACCTTTTCTGATATGATAAATCCTTGTAGTTTGTAACATTGCTACCACAGCAGTGCTTTTTGTTAGACATATTAACAATGTGTTTTATGAAGTAGCTAACCAATTAATCCTATGAATCTAAATCCATCATTTTAAATCAGTATATGACATAGGATATAAGTTTACATATCATAATTATATTATGTGCTTAAATATGACCATTTTTCAAAATTGCAAAGGTGATTTACAATGGAATTAACAATTTGACAGAGATACCTTGTCCTTGGAATGGTACATGGGTGCAACATTTCAAAAGAAATATATATTTATGTCAACGGCTTCCTTTTTTTTTTTTTTTGAGATAAAGTATTCTGTTGCCCAGGCTGGAGTACAATGAAATGATCTAGGCTCACTGCAACCTCCGCCTCCCAGGTTCACGCAATTCTCCTACCTCAGCCTCCCGAGCAGCTGGGAATACAGGCATGCACCACCACGTCCAGCTATTTTTTGTATTTATAGTAGAGATGGGGTTTCATCATATGGGCCAGGCTGGTCTGGATCTCCTGACCTCACGTGATCTGCCTGCCTCGGCCTCCCAATGTGCTGGGATTATAGGTGTGAGCCACCACACCCGGCTATTTATATCAAAGACTTTCTACTTAAGAAAGGGTTAGCTTAGCCAAAAGAGATAAGTCAAATTATGGCAAAAATATTTAGCTCATATTAGTCATCTTTGTAATACTTTCTTCATTTTTTTGAATTATGTTGAAAGATGGTAGCAAAATTAAAAAAAAAAAAAAAACAAGTTATTGTAACTCCTAAAAATGTGACTAATGGTATGTAACAACCAGTCTTTTTTTTTTTCTTGTAAATGCATTTCTTTGCCATCAGTCCATGGAAAAGTCCACAGTGGCAAATGGTGTGAACAGCACGAGCGTCACCACTTCCTGCCCCCAACAGGTGCTCACACAGATGCTCAATATCCCTGATTTTACATATATGAGGGAGGGGATAAAGGACCAAAGGTCAAAGAATAATCAAAATTTCTTCTAGTTATAACGTGTTCTTTGAATTTTCACTTAAAAAAGTAATCTAAACATTAAGAAAAATTATAATATATGTACCTCCACTTTCAGAAAGCTTTCCCCGGTATATTCTGTCTTCTACAACATCTGTCCAATAAAGTAAACTTTGATTGAAGTGAAAATCAAGTGCTATTGTGTTTCTCAATCCAGGAACAAGTAGACTATAGTCTCTTTTGTGAAGATCAATCCTTCTGATCTCATGACGAATAGAAAAGATGATGAATGCTTCAAAAGGATCTGAAATTAAATTTATTTTTAATAGGCTTATGAAAATGTAAACTCTGGTAATGAAATGCTTGGGATCAAAATATATTATTTAAAAGTATAATTTATTACATAATTCTCTGTCTTAAAACAGCAATTTCTTTTAATCCAAAATTTAACAGAAACTTGCAAAACTTAGGTTTATGTGTATTCACTAGAATAGGTATTAGGGAGTTTTTATTCCTTGGATTTACATATACCTGATACTGATTAAAGAATAGAAGAATTATTGCCACGCAAAGACAAAATGGAGGATTTTCTGTTTTTTTTTTTAGAATTTCAGCTGACAACTTAATGCTCAGAAAAGTCACCATAGAAATTGCTAAGATTTGGCTAAAACTAACTTTGCTACACTCTTAACTAACTATCCCATACTAACAGATCCATAGAGGAGAACTATCCAACAACAAAGAAAAAGAGATCTGTGAAGAAGTTGTTGGACTTATAGTTAGGGAGTGCTTCCATTAAGAGACAAGATGGCGGCTTCCTGCAGAGTCCAAAAAAATCATAACTATATCATTCCTCACTTGGTGTTTTTTAGCCTGAAACAGGCCTGGGTAGGGAGAAAGGAAAGAAGCTTTGAAAACGGATATGAGATTAAAGTTTCTTTTAGTATTATTTTTTGTGCTTAAAAGAATGTTTCAGTATCTGAAAGTTACTAAAATTATGTTATTTCAAAAATGTATCAACCCTAAACTAATTACTGTGAGACATACTGATGTATATTGTTGTGATCACTTAGATATTGCAGTTATTTATTGCACAGTATTGTTTTTGCTGTATGACATTATTGTGACAAGAGCTAACTGAAACAATATATCAAAAACAGGTACAGAATAGTTCCAAATAGCTCCCAATAAAACAAATACTCTTAAAATTTAATATCCAGGATTTAGCATTTTTAAAATAAAGAAAATGTTTGTGTTGGATGCACAGTTGTTTAAAAGAAAAATTACCTAATTTTGGATTAGCTCTTATGTTAGGTCTTTGATACAATTTGAATTAATTTTTGCATATGGTATGAGATAGGTTCAGATATCATTCAATTGCATGTGAAAATCTAGTCCTCCCAGAGCATTATTTCTTGGAAAGATGATTTTTCCTCCACTCATATTCAAACTTATTTCATACCATAGACAAAAACTAACTCAAACTGTATTATAGACTTAAATGTAAGAGCAGCAAAAATTCCAGTTCTAGTTGAACACCCCAGATAATTAAAAATGCATGTTCACACAAAAACTGGTGCATATTCATGGCAGCATTATTCATAATAACCAAAAATGGATATAATTCATATGCTCATCAACTGATGAATAAAAAAATGCTGTCTATCCACATGATAGATATATTATTCATCAATACAAAGAAAAGAATTACTTGTGTATGCTAAAACAAATGAAAACATTACACCAAGTGAAAGAAGCTAGTCATAAAACACATATTGCATGATTACATTTATATGAAATGTCCAGAATAGGCAAATCTTTAGTGGTAGAAAATAGATCAGTGGTTTCTAGGGCCGAGGGTAGGTATTAACAGGAAGTGATTGCAAATGGGCATGGGGTTTGTTTTGGGGTGATTAAAGTGCTCAAAATTAAATAGTTGTAATAGTTAAACTGAATTGTGCACTTTAAAAGAGTGAATCTTATGGTATGTAAATTATATCTCAATACATCTGTTATTTAAAAAATGTGGTAATGACTGTAAGAACTTGTAAAGGGCATAAAACTGTACAAATACTACCTTTAGCTCACTGTTAACAGTCCAGGTTCCATATATCATTAATTTTTTACTCATTTAGAGTCATTCCTATAACCCTCCTCAGATCTGAAAAATTTTCTATCTACATAAAGAAAACAAAGAATGCCAACAATTTAGTTCTGTTTCTTTTCTGTGCATTTGAGTTAGTTGAATAGAGAAACTATTATTAGAAAAATTAATGGAATAATATTTCAACTCAAAGAATTCAGAAAATAAAAATGAATTAACTCAAATTTGAAAATAATAACAAATATAACTACAGAAATTGATAAAATACAACAAAAGATATTACTAGCAAACCCAAAGCCATTTGTTTAAAAGAATAACAAAATATAGATAGATGACCTATGGCAGACTTGATTTTATATATATATACTTATACATATAAATATACATACATATATAAATTAACAACAGGAAGAGTAAAAATAGAAAATATAGAAAATAAAAAACAGATGAGTAAGATATGCATTTTAATAATACACTTGAAAATATGTAAAATAAGTCAATTCTTAGAGAAATGTGTTAGCAAAATTGACTTAAAAAGAAATAGAAGGACAGGTGCGGTGGCTCGTGCCTGTAATCCCAGCACTTTGGGAAGCCAAGGCTCGTGGATCACCTGAGGTCAGGAGTTTGAGACCAGCCTGGCCAACATGGTGAAACCCCGTCTCTACTAAAAATACAAAATTATCCAGACATGGTGGCATGTGCCTGTAATCCCAGCTACTCAGGAGGCTGAGGCAGGAGAATCACTTGAACCTGGGAGGCAGAGGTTGCAGTGAGCCTAGATCATGCCACTGCACTCCAGCCTGCGCAATAAAGTGAGTCTGTCTCAAAAAAAAAAAAAAAAAAAACTTGAAATGATATATAAGCATTACAAACATTGATTTAATAGTAAAATTATACCTTCCGATCTAATGTGAAAAAAAGTAAAACCTACAAGACTAAAAGTAATTTAACAAAGTGGTACTCAAGTTATCTACATAGACTGCTGCCAGTCCACAGACTTTGTTACTAGTCCATAGTGAAGTCACATAGTAATTGAGAATATTAAGAAAAGTTTACACCAATTAAAACAGCAAGACCACACCCATTTTATGGGGCATAATTGGAAGTCCAAGAATTATCAAAACATCACACATGGAGTGCTTCCTATATACTGTAATTATTCTTAAACTTTTCTTTTTGAGACAGAGTCTCACTCTGTTGCCCAGGCTGGAGTACAGTGGCATGATCTTGACTCATTGAAACCTCTGCCTCCCAGCCTTAAGAAATTCTCATGCCTCAGCCACCTGAATAGCTGTGATTACAGGCATGTGCTACCATACCCAGTTAATTTTTGTATTTTTAGTAGAGACAGGGTTTCTCCATGTTGGCCAGGATGGTCTTGAACTCCTGCCCCTCAAGTGATTCACCTGCCTTGGCCTCCTAAAGTGCTGGGATTACAGACGTAAGCCACCTGGCCCAGCCATTCTTAAACATTTATAAATCCCAATTTACACAGTCCTCACAAAGCCTTATGAGGTGGGTGATGTTGTTACCCCCATTTTACACAGGAAGAAACAGAGGTACAGAGAAATTATATAACCACCATGCCAAAGTCACACAGCTCGTAAGTGGAGGAGAAGCAATTTGACCCATGATGGTAGCTAGTGTTAGCAATGATTTGGAGACTGAGGCACTTTCATAAAGTGTCAATGGTAGTTTGTATTTCTACAACTATTTTGGAGACATATTTGGCTATAATAGACTTGAACACGTGTAAATGAAGATGTGCATACACTTGAATATGTAGTTCAACTTGTGTACATTTTCATATGTAGACATCATAAGGCCATTTACTACAACATAGTTTGATATAGCAAACTCCTAGAAAGAACCTTAAAGGCCACAAACAGAGGAATGACAAACTGTAATCTTTCTATGGAGTAGAATGTTATAGAGCAGTTAAATCTCAAAATCATATTTATTAGTTAAAAAAAAAAAACCCTAGTTCCAGATGGGTACATAATGTATATAACTTGTGTATATATAAAAGCACAGTGTTAAATGTTGCTTAAAAACACAAACTGTAAGGATAGAACAGATACACCAGGCTCTCAAAAGGGGCTGTCTCTGGAGATGGAGAAATGCATACACAGAGGGCTTCAAAGTTATCTAATGTTTTATTACTTTCAGAAAATCATTTAAATTGTGAATGACTTATTCTAAATATTTAAAAATATTGGCTGTTGAATACATTATTCCCACTATTTTCAAACATGTTTGAGTTTATAAAATGAAAAGTAATTAAAAGCACATGTTTTCTTTGAACAATGACCTTTACATTGAGTATCTTATTAAAACTGCTCACAATCTTTTCATGTTCTTGTATTCTTTATAGTCATTTTATGTTGAGAAAACATTTGTTTGATAAATATTTACTGAATTATGCTTGACTGAAATAAAATAAACAAACAAAATAAACTAGTTTACCAAAGATCAAAAATCAAAGTATAAATTTTCAAATGATTTTCTATTTGAACTCTTAATCTAGATATCTCCCTCAAGTGCCTCTAAAGATCTATGTTGACTTATTAGATTATTATTTCCCCTCTGAGAAAATAAAGTTGTAATGAATAGTCCAATGTGTTATTTCATAAACCAGTGGGAAATCATGAAGATAGAATTTTAAAATCCCATCTTACAATGGTTTTTACTTTAATTAAATGAAACCTTGTAAAAAAGTATTTGGAGATAAAATAAATGAAGAATTTTCTAGTTTGTTTTAATCTTGACATAACTATATTAACATCTTTTGTGGCAACTCAATTTAGAATGAATATAAATAATATGTGAAGTAGCCATCCATTTTTACTGTTTTCTAACAATTCTTCCAGTATACTAGCTTCTATCTCATAAACGACTGAATTTAACAGCTCAAATCAGCATACTATCCTCTTAATAGAGAAGTGGCCTGAAATCTTTCTCCTTTAGCATATTATAAGAGATGAGATATGTACAAAATAAAGGAGGTCACAATTTATACTTTTTGTAAGTGACAAATTTCATTTTTATAAATCTAGTGCTTTACAAGAAGCTTTTAGAAAACACTCAGAAGACTGTTATCTCCTATGTACAATTATCTTCTTTGTTTTTCTTTTAGTCCCACTACAGATTTGCAGAATGATTTTTATCAGACAGACTATGAAAGCAGCAGATGAGTTGCCTAGGAAAAAGAGTCCTTCTTCAGATCCTTTCAGGGTAAACTGCTATTACAACCATACAACTAGCAATTCTATGTGAAATCCCCTGATTCTTTACCATATATATGATATAATCAAACAAAAAGTGATATTACTGTTACAATGTTTTCTCTCCTGCTACTTCGGAGTTTTTACTGTATTTTATGTTCTTACATTTAGGAATTTATTTGAACTTTTCTGTCCCATCATCAGATACATTTATTTTACACAGTAGCAACTTATGAAGTGGTAAATGGTATATTATTTATCTGGCCCAATATATATCATGACTTGCTTCCCTCCATTTCTCCAGCTATAGGCATATTGGGAATGAATGATGGTTAAATATTTCTGAAGTATAATATACAGGTAGGCAGAGGGAATAGAATCAATAGAATGAAGGCCAGGGTGAACTTTCAAGTATTGTTCAAACTTGTACATATACATGATGATGTCATCAGCTGTCTCTTGACATTTTTTTAAGAACCAATTTTTTGTTTCTCTCTTAGTAATCACTTTCCCAAGTATTTCTGGATTTTTAAAATATATCTGCTTTGTATGTCAAGTTCGTGATTTGCTTAACTCACCAATTCTTTTCATTAACAAGTTGTAAGAATCCTCCTTTGGGGTGTGTGTGTGTGAGAGGCAGAGTGAGAGAGAAGAGCACTCACTCAGGTGAGAGGTGGAACAACAACAAAACCTGCATTTCTAGGATACAGTCCAGTGTCTTTTACTAGATTGTATTTAAGAAATATTTTTGATTGCATAAATGAATAAATAATTATAAAAATCAATGAATGAATAACAAGCCTAGAAGACCCTAAATATGATGAAAATGATTATGGGAGGAAGAAGAAATATGCAAAGAAATGAATCAAACAAAGGAGTAAGTGACAGAAGCAGACAAACAGGACTTGTTCAACAGAGGTCACCGTGGATGAAGTTCATAGATGGGTGACTGAACGGAGGCAGTATCGGAAATGTCTAAAGTTTAGAACATAGTGTTGATTTCTACAAATTAATAAGAAAAGGCAGTAATCTTAATAGGAGAATGACCAAAGGAAATTAAGGCTAGTGAGTATATGGAGAGGTGCTCAAACTCATGAGAAATAAAACAAACGCAAACAAAAGCAATGATATATCATGTTACTCCTACATATTAGGGAGAAAATGACAGAGTGGATAATTTTGAGAGCTGCGAAGGATGCGGGAACTTAGTGAACTGTTGGTATAGATGTAGACAGTGCAACCACTCTGAAGAGGAACTGGTTCTACTTAGTCATTGTAAGTAGAAGTACATTCCATGATTGTTACTGGTCCTAAAGGAATTTTTATCCACATCTATAAGAATGCCGGTAAATGTATGTCTATGGAATTATCATTTGTACAGAAAGTTAGGGGCAACTTGAGTGTATTGATATGGTAGAATGGAAAAGCATAAAAGATGTGTGCATGCTCTACGACACTATCTAGTGATTAGAAGTAACAGAGTAGGTGCACAGTTCATAAAGACAGTGCTGACTAAAAAAGGTAAATGACAGACTGTAATATGTATAATACCAATTACATAATTAAAAATGTATGCAAAGAAACATAGATTTTTATAAGAGAATATATGAACTACATTGAAATGACTTCCTCTAGAGACAGAGGAAAGGAAGAGGGGTAGGCTTTCGAAATAAAAGTAAAGAAAGAAAGAGAGACCCAAGGGAGGGCATGAGGAAAATAAAAAGCCTTACCTAGATCCAATTATAATGCTGTGCCAGGAAGTGAGGAGTGTAATCAACTCAACACTTCCTGCCTGACCTTCAAAAGATAAAGAGAGGAAGAGAGATCATAAATATGAGAGTAATTGAAGAAAAGAGAAAGGGTCCAACTACTTAAAACAGAGAAAGCTCTTACATTCAATAATCATTTGCTGCAAAATGTTCATATGTTTCATAAGGGATATAAAATATTTTGATTCAATCTCAACTTTTATGAAAGTGGATGCAAGTAACAAAAGTAAGGTCATGAAAATGTTGACTATTCAAAGGCATCATAGGAATGTGTGGGCTCACAGCACAGATAAACTGCCTGGGTCTTTGCAGTATTATGTAAATGCTCCTGCTTTGAGGTCAGGAAGAATAAAGTTCAAAACCTTTGCCCTAACATCTCTTAGCCACAACCTCTCACCCTGAGCAAATCAAGTAACCTTTCTGGGTCTTCATTTCCGTAGGTATAAAATCAGAGTTTTAAGACTATTTATCTGGTTTCTTGGGAGTAATAAATACATGATCGTATTTTAGGTGTTGGGTAAATGGTAGCTATTAATAACATTATAATAATTAACTTGAAGAAATTCCTTGTAGATAAGGGAGTTTTGAAGAGTGTAAAGGATTCAAATTTCCAGGGAGAATGTGAAAGATATTGTTATTAAGTCATAGATGATAGTGAACGGAATATGTGAAGAAGATGACTAAATGAAGCGACATATGTGAAAGTGCTTTACACATTCTTAGTCATGCATATACTATCATTACTCATGATGAAAATAGCAATAATGTGCCTAAAGTCGAAACCCACAGTGGATGATGATGAAACATCAGGGTGGAGAGGGAAAATGAGCAAAAATGAAGAAGGCTCTGAATAGCAGACAGAAAGGTTTGAGGTTAATTTCACAGAAAATAGAGAGATACTATTAAAATCCGGATGGAAACTGATATGTAAATGTGTCATTTTTTAAAGAGAAATAAAAGAATGGATGACTGGATTTTAAGTCCCCCATAGCTTCATTCCCCTGGTGGCTTCACCTTTATCACTCACTACTCCCCAAGGCAGCAAATCTGCTTATCACTTTATTTTTTATCTTGACCCCTTTCTATTAATTTTCATCTTCCTGGATCTGGATTTTCCTCCCTCTGTCAGTAAAAATACTATGTTTTTTTCCAGTTTCAGTATCCTCCTCCTCAAAAACTGGAGAAACAAGAAGATAAAAACAAATTTGCTGGAGAGAAGATTGCCATTATCATTAGAACATATGTATCTCTTGGCCTGTGCTGTGGTGCAGATGCTGCTTAATTGTAGAAAGAGATCTGAATCCAAGAAACACTGTGAAGAAAAAAAATTAAGACATGGAGAGAGAAGGCAGCAAGGAACTGAAAAAATCAAAGATAAGTTGAGGTTGTGAGCCCTGAAGACCAAAAAAAAAATACTGCAGCTATTGACAGAATTACAGATAATTGAGGGAGAAGAGAAAGGGTACATTTAGCCAACTAATCTTGAGGTGACCTGATGATATCCGGGGAAGTAGAATTAGATAGTAAGAAAAATGATAGGCCGGGCACGGACGCTTACACCTGTAATCCCAGCACTTTGGGAAGCCGAGACAGGAGGATCACCTGAGATCAGGAGTTTGAGAACAGCCTGGCCAACATGGTGAAACCCCGTCTCTACAAAAATACAAAAATTAGCTGGGCATGGTGGCGCCTGCCTGTAAGCTACTCAGGAGGCTGAAGGACGAGAATCACTTGAACCTGGGAGGCAGAGGTTGTAGTGAGACAAAATCGTGCCACTGCACTCCAGCCTGGGTGCCAGAATGAGACTCTGCCTCAAAAAAAAAAAAAAAATTGATACAGTTGGAGATGTAAATGCCACAGTAATCAGATCTGGGGTGAAAAGGGAAGGTTCAGAGTGGAAAGGAGTTGTCCAAGGAAATACACATAGAGGAATGTGAAAATTAAACTTTGGGTAGTGGACACAGTATACCAAAACACAGCCATTATATTTATGCATTTTTGTGCTTATATTCACAATCTCTTTCCTAGAAATGATTTTAATTAAAAAATAATTTCAAAGGCCTAATAATGAAAAAAATAGAGAATAAGAACAAAAAAATGTGAAAATACAATCTGATTCAGGCTGAGATAAAAAAATTATATAATGTTATTTGCAATGTTACTATAAATATGCTGCAAATTTGCCAGTGGGCTGCCGAACAAACAGCAATGGAGCCAGAAGAAAATGCAATTGAAACAGGAAATTTTCCCTGACCCCTTCACAGGACTTGGGAAGGGGGTGGCTCGTTTACTCAGCCTGCGGCTCTCAACCCCTCGTGGGAAGGGGAGAAGGCAGGTGAGTGCTCGCAGGGGCCAGAAGGAATGCTTCAGGTCACCTCACCGGCAGGAGCAGAACTCCGTGTGGCCCCTAGAGCCTCAGAAGGCATGTTACCGTGCGCTCTTTTACTTTGCTGTCCCTGGGTGGCTTAAGTGTTTAACAGCTCAGTGTGACAACCCCCTGTAACCTGAGCTCTTACTGGGTGTCAGGAAGAATCAGGTCACACAACGAACTGAAGATGGTAAATGCAGGGGATTTTATTGCTGATGAAAATGGCTCTCAGTGGGATGGAGAGCTGAAAAGGGGATGGAGCAGGAAGGTGGTCTTCCCCTGGAGTTCTGCTGTCCCAGGCCAAACTCTTCTCCAAGGTCCCACCGTCAAGCCATCCCTCTGAAGTCAAGCTGCTTCTCAACAACGCCAAGCTGTTTTTTTCTCTTCTTCTCTGCTGCTCTGCTGCCCGTGGAGCCTGGGGTTTTCATGAGTACAGGATGGAGGTGGGGGGCAGGGTGGGCCAAGGTGGTTTTGGAAAAGGCAACATTTGAGCAAGAAAACAGGGATGTAAAGTTCTCACTTTGGGCCACGGGTCCAAGCTTGAGGGTGGGGACCTCACGGGGAACCTATCTGTTCTACCCAGTATTTCCCTGCCTCCTGTCCATATCACAATCAGTATCATATTTTAGGTGGTCCTAAAAGAAATCAATACTTCAGAGAAGGGTGATTAATAATTGAATTATAATTATTAATAAATGAATTAATAAATGAATTAAAGAGGGAAAATGTAACTGAATATTGAGATATGAGAAAACTGAGATTTGAGATATATTAAATAGAAAATAAAAATTATAAAAGTAGCATTTATGAAATATCATTTTATATAATAAGATATTAGGAGTGAACTTAGAGAAAACAGAATCAGTTCTGCAATTCAGCAAAAGCCAGATTGTAAAGAATCAGAGAAGGGAAGAGTGTAGAGAAATAAAAAAAAGATGAGAGAACTACGGAGGAAAACTCAAGAGAAAAAAGGAATGGAACAATCATGGCTATAATTTGAAAAAACAAAAATAGTTTTTCAAATGCTCAGGCTGAAGTGCAGTGGCATAGTCATGGCTCACTGCAGTCTCAATCTCCTGGGCTCAGCCAATGCTCCTGCCTCAGTCACCTGAGTAGCTGGGACCACAGACATGCACCACCATGACTGGCTAATTTTTAAATTATTTGTAGGTAGGGGGTATCCTTATGTTGACCAGGCTGTCTTGAATGCCTGGGCTCAATAGATCCTCCTGTCTCAGCCCTCCAAAGTGTTGAGATTACAGGTGTGAGCCACCATGCCCAGCCAAAAGCCTGCTATCATCATTTTTTTTTCTTTTTAATGTCAAGAGGGATAAGGACAGGTATTGCATTCAATAGAAAGAAAACATTTTAAAAGGGAGAATCAACAGAAGATGATGGAAAACAGAAAATGAGCAAGAAAGAAGAAATTTCTATTTTTAAAGTCCAGTAGTAACTAGTCAATTCATTTTTATTGGACTGTGAATTTGCTGCTTTTCTAAAAGGGGTGAACAAAATACAGAATAAAGCCTTTTTTCTTCAGATGCACAAAGTGCACTATACATTTCAGGAAGAGATTAATTACCAGAAGATTAAATTATCCACTTAAAAATGTTTCATTGTAACTTTAAAAGATGAAATATACTTTTACTTTTCTATAAAATTATGAACAAAACCAGATGGAAAATATAGCAATCTTAACAGTGAGAAATCATATGGTACTGCTAGAGTTTTGTTGGGGCTCAGAAAACAGCACCACAAAGTGAAGCCCTAAGAAGCTACCTCAGAAGCAAAGTCTCTCCCTGACCCTCTCCTACCTTCCTGTTTTTCATGCCTCATTCTCTCCTTAGGCAAGCCACAGTAACCATAACCTGTCTTTCCCAGAGCGAGTCATAGACACTAGCAGCCCCTTTCCCCAAAGCCAGCCATAAAGCCTAAAAATATTATTCTAACCTTCCCAGACTGTAATAGTTAATATTGAGGATCAACTTAATTGGACTGAAGGATGCAAAGTATTGTTCCGGGGTGTGTCTGTGAGGCTGTTGCCAAAGGAGATTAACATTTGAGTCAGTGGACTGGGAGAGGCAGACCAACCTTTAATCTGGATGGGTACCATCTAATCAGTTGCCAGCACAGCTAGGATAAAAGCAGGCAGAGGAATGTGGAAAGACTAGATTTGCTAAGTCTTCTGGCCTCTATCTTTCTCTCATGCTGGATGCTTCCTGCCCTCAAACATCAGACTTCTAGTTCTTCAGCTTTTGAACTCTTGTACCTACACCAGTGATTTGCCAGGGGCTCTCGCACCTTCAGTCACAGACTGAAGGCTGCGCTATCGGCTTCCCTACTTTTGAGGTTTTGGGACTCAGACTGGTTTCCGGGCTCCTCAGCTTGCAGACAGCCTATTGTGGGACTTCACCCTATGATTGTGTGAGTCTGTTCTCCTAATAAACCCCACTTCATGTATTCATCTATCCTATTAGTTCTGTCCTTTTAGAGAACCCTGATGAAGACACCAACTTTTCGGTTTAGGAGCTGGCCATAAAGAAATTGAAGATGCTCATTCCAGAAAGGGTCTGCCCCATAACCTGGGGGAAGCAATGCTGCCCAGAGAAGTTCAGAAGAATCAGAGCAGACAGGCTGTGCTGGTTCCCCACAACCATCTATAAGCATTAGATCATACACTTTTTGTCCAATCATATTTCTACATGTCTGTCCATACTTCATTGAGCCTAAGTATTAAAAATGGACAGCTTTTCCTGGGTCTTTGGGTCTTCATTCTGAAGGTTTCTGTGTCACATAAAACTATCACCAGGTTCCTATCCAGGACTAAGTCTGGGGAACACAACCTAGTTAGTGTGGGTCCTGGGGCTTCCCCTGCTGAACCATCTGGCAGCTGAGCCATAGCAGGGATGTAGACTGAAGCACTAAAATAGGAAATGGTGCCCTCGGTACTCAAGTGGAATGGGCACACTAAACTGGTGTCTCCCAGTTTAAGGACCGTGGGCTGACCAAGTTCTCCTTAGAATTGTAGACACTAATGAGCAATCCCAGGACCATCGATTTGTCCAACAACAAGATGGACAACCTACCACTTTTGCTGATACAAAAGTTCACTCTGTTGAAGAACCTCCCCCTGAACAACATAAACTGGTCTGCCTAATGAGATTATGCAATCCTAAAAAAATTCTAGAGATGCTACGCCTAAATGGCAGTCACCTGAGAGAGCTGCCATCTACCTTTGGGCAACTCTCTACCCTCAAGACCCTGAGCCTCTCTGGGAACCAACTGGGAGCGCTATCACCCAACTTTGTAGCCTAGGCCACCGGATGTGGTGGATCTTTCCAAGAACCAGATCTGAAGTATACCTGACATAGTAGGAGAGCTGCAGGTCATCAAACTCATCCTCAACTGGAAGAAGATATCTCAGGTCTCAATAAAGATATCTGGCTGTCCTTGCCTTAAAATTCTTCACCTGGAAGAGAACTGTCTTGAGCTCAGCATGCTTTCACAGAGCATCTGCAGTGATTGCCAGATCTGTCCACTTGATATGGAAGGTAATCTTTTTAAAATAAACTTCAATAAGTACATGGAGAGGTTCATGGCCACCAAGAAGTTGCATGAAGTTCTCCAGGTCTATGGGAACCTTGCAGCATACTGACTTGGGACCTGTTGGAGTGCTGCTGATTCAAAGGCTCCTGTTGTTGTCAAGGGTATCTGCAATGAGAAGATGATACTCCAGGACATTATGTTTTACTCAATGATCCTTTTTCTTTTCCTTTTCAGGGCTCTTCTCAACTAAGCTAAAAGAAAGGAAACCAGGAGACAGGAAAAGTTCTCCATTTGAGTCATGGGTATGACAATGAGCAAGGTTGGTCTTCAAAATCATCATTAGTTTGGCATTAAGAAACCAGTAGCTAGCTGCTATTTTTATGGTGAGGGAGTGCTGCCTGGTAACAGAATAACTCCATACCACAGCTTGAGATTTCATTCAGTTTCAATGTGTGAGCTTTCAAAAAGTCAGTTGCCATTTCATTTCTATGTTAACACTTCATATTTGTATGAAATTCAAGTAATTTGTGAGAGGCTGGTATGGTTAATCTAAGGATTTATTATTTTGTTCCAGTCCGTCAGTTCAATTGCAGTGTTTATACTTGGAATTTAGGACTTACATAAATATGGGACTGTTTGTCTTGAATAAAAGTATGCTTTGTCAGAGAAGCACCAATACAACACTAAAAAATGTTCCCCAAGGCTGCAGTAGCAAATTCTTTACTATTTCAGGCAACTTATCGATAGAGGGCTCTGAAGAGCTAAAACTGTGTATGCAACACTTATAAGATAAAAGTCATTTTAATAATCAATATTTTCTTGAAGATTTGTTAGAAATAATGTCTTCTTTCTGGTAATCTTTCCTCCTTTTTGTATTTATAACTCTACTAATCAAATTACCTATCAATAAACTATTGCTATAATATTTTAAAACAAGAAAAAAAAACAAAAAACTATGATCAAATAAATTTGCTATGATTTTCTCTTGTTAACTGGTCTTTGTTATAGGACAGTCATCTATGACCCTTATTATGGGGAGGAAAGGGAACACCTCCTTTCTGCCCCTACAGTTCCATTCTGAGCTGAGAGCAGAGGAGTCAATTCCATTAGGAGAGTTATCTCTGTCCCTGGTCACCTGTATTTAAATGTTGAATTATTCTAACATTAAACATAAGTTGTTATTTATTTCATATGGTATATAACCACTCTAAGACACTGAATCATTTTGTTATCTGTATCCAAAACAAACATCTGGAGCCAATTCTCATGTGAAATATGATCACAAATGTGTCTGAGGTCAATATTTGATCTATTGCTTTTTCATTCAAAACACATAGGTGAATGAAATGACTATTACCATTACAACAAATTGCTGTTTTTCAGCCTCTCAAGCCAATTACTTTGTGTGAGAATATTGAAGAAGAAATATAGAATAAATGTCTGCTAAACTTATGCTCTGGGACTCAAATTTTAATGGTCAGAAGAAAACTACTACAAAAATAATCACAAAACAAAAGAAAATTTAAAGTAAAAGATTAAAATAATACAATAATATCTGAAAGAATATAGTATCTATTAACTGCATATTATTTTCCCAGAAGTGGGCTGGATATTATGTAAAACACAAGAGAAAAGTCTGTAACCTGAATTCTAACTTCAAAGTTTGTATTATTTTATTGTAAAGAAATAAGAAGATATCTAAGAATATAAAACAGCCATTTAAAAATGTGATCACATATATTCAAGAACAATATGTCCTAGACATAAAAAGAAAAAATAAATGGAAAGCAAGGATATTTGGAAGAAGATTTAATTGATGAAAAAAGACTTGAGCCAGCACGTCTCAAAGAATATCCAGGATTTCTGGAGATGAAGTGAGGAAAGTATAGTCTAAGTGAAAGAAACAAAATGAATAGAGGTTCATAATATATGGGTTCTTATCAGTCTGATGAAGCATGTGGACTCCTCAGAAAGTCGTGCTTTTTTTAAAATAATTTTTAATTTTTATTTTTGTGAGTACATAGTAGGGGTTATAGTAGTAGTATATTTATAGGTTATGTGGAGGCCTGATAGATAAGTAAGCAACAATGTGGAAGGGGCTCCAGGTGGGGGAGGGCTCCAAGTGGGGAAGAACAATGAACAATCGATTGGACAGGTGGCTAATCTCATCATAAACAACGACCTCCTTGTCCTGTGGACACAATGACCTCAATCTGCAAGTAGCTCCCTCCAGCACCACCATATAAACTGTCCTTCCAGCCCCTGCCTCTTTGCAGACAGCCCTGTCTCTGCTGTGCTGCCTGTTGCAACCTTGCAATGTATTTTCATACTTCCTCTAACAAATCTGCCTTTCATTACCTACAACTGTCTTGGTAAATTCTTTTACCCCCTGTGCCAATGGCCCCAGTTAGTTGCTACCTATGACAGGTTACATGAAATATTTTGATACAGGCATGTGATGCAGAATAATCACATCAGGGTAAATGGGATATCCATCACCTCAAGCATTTATCCTTGTGTTACAAACAATCCAATTATACTCTTAGTTATTTTAAAATGTACAATTACATTATTTTTGACTACAGTCACCCTGTTGTGCTAGATTAGAAAATTTTTTTAAAGTGCAAAAACAATAAGAATAAAGTGTTTCAAAAAGTATAGATGAGAAAACATATTGAAGTGCACTTATTGAAATTAAATAATTTTTGAATATGATCATAAATGTATTTATTATATATTTATTTTGATGTCATGAAATTCAAACTTTATTTGATAGCATATTTTAATTCCTATTCTAATTCCTTTTTGTCTTGGAAAAAGTTGAAGAGATATTCCCCCACAGAGAGGATTTTATTAGTGTATTCAATAATAAGATCCAGCAGTGGGTCTAATGGATCCCATTATTGAATTAGTAGCGGGTTTCCAAGCCTGAACATGTGATATTTTGAGATATGTGCGGCAACTATAATGTGATATGAATATATCTATTACTTCTATCAGCAAATTCATAGTTGCTGCTAATGACTTTGGTGGTCTGTGCCATACATTCACAATGGAAAGATATGCTAACTTTCAGTTAGAAGTTAAAATAATGCTATAATATTTTCCCAAACAAAGTTCCTGAATCTCTTCAATTCTATCCATAGACTTCTAAGTTTCCTGTGGACTCAGACTAAGAATCTAGAAAAGTGGATGGGAAGCGATACTTCTTTAAACACCCAATGGATGTGCGGCACAGTAACAAGTCTTTCACGCTACTCTTACAACATGCTATAAGCAAGAAATGGTTAAAATGGGCAACATTACTTGAAAAATGAGAAAACTGAAGCTCCACAGTGTTATGTAACCTGCCTAGGGTCACATAAAGAATGAATGTAAGTTACACAATTAGAGTTGAAATATCATAATCTAAAGCCCTTGTTTGCCTTTCCCACTGTGAAAAACCACCTAGAGAATCCGCAGAATGTTTTAGATAAGTGGTTAGAAGATGAACACAGCCAGAGCAAGAAATTGTTTTCAAGAGCATTAGAAATAACAATTGGGAATGTGGGGCAGGACCCCCTAAAAAAGCATACACAGAGAAACAAAGCAACTGCTTTTGCCTATGCAAAAACGAGCCCATCCGGGATATGATAATAAAATCAATGTTTCGGGAAAAAGAATAATCTGATGGTAACAATTCAATGGATAGCAAAAGTAAGGATTATTATATTTTCTCTCTAGAAATTTTATAGTAGGTCTAAAATAACACATTATAGTTAAATGCTTTATCTAAAATGAGTTGAATCCTTTCATTAATTTTCTGAAGCAGTTTTGGGATTTGTTTCTTTCAAGATCTATTCTTAAATATAGCAACACACACAAAATAGTTACTTACCAACACTTGTACAACTTTCACCGTCTACATCCAGCTTCCAACCTTCATAACATGAGCACTTGACTGTGTGCTTGTGCTGCTCACATACTTGGCTGCACTTTAGATGATTGCTACAATAATCCACAATTTCACATGTTTTATTGTCTTTGTTGAGTTGAAGTCCTTCAGGGCAGGAACAGACAATTCCTCTTCCAGGAACAACAGAACAGTGGTTGCTACAGCCTCCATTGTTCAGCGAACACTCATCTATAAAAAGGGGGGAACAGATTATAGGTCTTATCAATTGCTTTCCTCAGTTAAATACTAATCATTGAACTCAATTCTCTAAGCCTACAATTAGCCAGGATACTACAAATGAATATAAGAAAGCCCTCTTTGGCTTATTTTTGCTTCAGGGGTTGGTATAGAAATGATGATAGGATTTAACCAAAGGTCAAATTTAATTCTATATTATAGAAATTGTAAATGGAAGATTTTCATTTCTATAAAACTTGGGAGTATAGTTTGCTTTGCCCCACAGATGTAAAGTGAGCTCAATGTTTCTATTATGACTGGAAAGATTATGCTGAGCCTTTTAGCAGTGGTGCAAAATAATTTGTAGAGGTCTTCCAAAAAAGATGTACATACCATGATGATCTTAATATTAGACATATCTTGATGTTAATAAATTAACAAGTATATCCATATACACATATGTGAATATATGTGTCTATATATCTTTTGCAACACTTGTACAGTCCATTTTGGAGTTAAAATGCAGAATGGATTACTTTATCCTTTACCAGCTGTAGGCATTTATTTTTAAGTTAGGTGAATTATACATTGTGCCTCATATATTGGTTATTATGATTCATTCAATGACGCCATGGAAACATCATAAGCAAAACACTAAAAAAAAAAAAAAAAGTTGTCCTGGTATTTTGTCTGAAATAATGAGCAATAGTATTGATTACATAGATAATCGATTACATATATAATTACATGATTACATATGATTACATATATAATGTGATTACACATATGATTACATATATAATGTGATTAGCTTGTAAAAAAGATTAGCTTTTTAAATAGCATTTAAATATACAGCTGTCCTTTAAATATATTTATTTATTATTCTACTTCATTACCAAATTGTAAGCTCCATGAGGGTACAGAAAATATCTCTTCTGTTTACCAGTGTATACCTAACATTGAGTAACAAGTTAAAAATATTTGATGAATTTTTTAAAGTAGAAAAATTGTATAAAAGCACACATTGTCCTAAAATTTACTCAGAATTGTCTACTTGAGAAAATTTCAATATGACATGCTTACAACCTTGAAGAAAATGGCAGATAATTGTCTTTGAAACCACATCATTATCTACCACTGTGTACCATTAGGTACATAGAAATAAGGCTGAAAGAAGCTTTGTCTTTCTTGGCTTTAAAAATATTTTCAAGTGGATTTCAAACCCTATTTAATTGTGTATGTTTTGAGATGTGCTAAAAAGACTATTGTCTAATAATCAGTAAATTGAAGCAATATTTATATAATGCAAATATTTCTGGTTGTCTATGAAAATGTATCCAGTATGAAAATTGGCCTGAAATGTAAGGCTTTTAAAAACATTTCTACATTTTTAAAAGCTTTATATGGGTCAACTCTTCTTCATATAATTTGTCACCATCAAAGAAGCTACAGTAATAAGAAAAGGAAAATGATTGTATGAACTGTTTTCTCTAACAATTCAATTCAAGTTTGGTATTATTTTGAAGAAAAAAAATAGATTCAGCTCTTGGTTCCTCCAAATATGTTTGTTCACCCATAATCATAAGCATCTTAAAACAGCAGTCATTTCAAAGTATTTGCCCCATTTTAGTTCAACTGACATTCTTTTTCCAGAGAATTACTGTAAAGAAATGTCATTGTGCCCAGGAGGTAAAGAAAAAAAAATTGTTACAATGCTTTTAGCTTATTTCAAGTGTCACGGTTTTCTCAGTACTGAAGTGTCTCTTTCTAATCCTATCTGTGGAATGAAGTCACAGATTTTAGGTTAAATGAAATTCACATTGAAATCTGAAATTGAATATATAATGCCAATATTTGCATGATTAGAACCTGTTGATTCTTAGCCCTAAACCTGTCATTAATCCTGCAACTTCTTTTAAAACTTTTTATTACCTGACAAAGACTCTGTCCTTGACCAAACACTAGTCAGGATCCTCTAAGTCCTCTTCTGACTAGACTTCAGCCTTGGCCAATAAAAACTGCAGACTCTCAGCACAAATGATTTCATCCTGCTGCCCTCACCTCCACCGCCCCCCTCCCCAAGCCCCTGGGCCACAAATACATACTAACAGACTTGAACAATCCCTAGCACATTGTCCAACAGCTTAAGTCTACGTCCCTTGAATGACCCCAGCTCCCACATTAAATTGTCTGCCTGAGAACGCTCATGATGATAGGCAGATAGGCCCTGAACCTCCTCTTAGAGTAGTTGCTTTAGAAAGCTTGCAATTATAAATCCTTTCTGTGCCTTTTTGAGGTGTAAATCTTCTACTACCCAGAACTACCTTCTAAGGAGCTGAGAGCGTTCTCTTTGAAGTGCAAACACCTGGGAAGGGAACTCTGCCTCTCATTCTCCCTCCCAGCCCAGTGGGGGTCTTACTCTTACTTGCTGCCACTGCCTCTTGTCACAAAGATAAGAGAAGCCTGTTTTCCCCTCCTGTTAAGCACCAGTTATCTAACCCAGGTGGCGTAATCTTGTGGAGCAGCCCCTTTAACCCCCTTAGTGCCTTTTCCTTAGCACACCCCGACCTTCAAAGTTTCCAGTTTTTAGTTTCATGAAGTTGAGCTCAGTTCACAGTGGACTATCACAAGAGTTACTAATGAGTAAAATCTTTACTTACTGTTTTACTAGTTAGCATCTGGCTTTGACATATTATTGTAACAAGGATCACTATAACTCCATTTTAGAGTAATTAAAATCTATTTTCGTTTGTTTCTTAAGTGCAAATCCGTTTCTTTTGAAATTATTTAAAAATTTCCCTAAAAAAAAATCTCTTCACTAGAATCAGTAGATTCACATTCTTGGGTTCTCCTTTTCCTTATATACATTGCTATAACCATAGAAAAGGCAATCTAATCCTTTGGCCAGTATTTGCTTTCTGTTTTCATTGTTCTAAGTCTTCATGACTTCACCTCTGAAAGAGTGCGGTGTGTAGTTCAATATGCCACAATGCTGCAATCATGACAAAATTGTCTTTTTATTTTCTCTGGTACTTCCACACCAGATTCCTCCTTATAATCTATTTCAGTCTCTATAATTTTTTGAAATGTTTGGGCAAAGCTCTTTAAGTAATGACCATATGGCTAGATAAGAAGTGCTTTTCAATTCTGAAGTAGACAAAGAAATGAATTAAGAAGAAATTCTCTCATTACTCTTTTACTTTTCCAATTTGGGAAGTGAAGAATAGGAAAATGAGGTTGTTTTTTCTTATCATTTTCTTCATTTTTCTCAATGGGTGTACTTTCTGTCTTTTGCCTTTTATTTATTTCATTTAACTTGAAAGATGGGGAAGAGGGAGAAAAGTACTAATATTTTTCAATAACTGCAGGGCATCAGGCATTATTACCATGATTACCTGATAGATACCATTGCCTCTATTTTAATTATAAGAAAACCAAGATTTTAAGAAATTAAATCACCTAAAGACTTAATTGAAGAAAAGAATTTAAGCTTGTTGAAGTCTAGTTTTTCCATAATTACATTCTTTAAGAGTATTAATAATTTCTTTTAGAATTGTATTTACAACCTTCATGAGCAAACCTCTCACCAACCTACTCCACTACAAAGAATAAGCTGGGCAAGAAAGAAATGAATACAGAAGAATGAAGTTTATCATCTTTTATTTATAACCTTTTTGTTGCTCAACTTAAGTTCTTTTATTTGTTCTTAATTTTTTTGTGTGTAATTTTAGCCTCATCGAATGAAGACTGTTGCATTCACTGTTTCAAGGTTATTTTATAAAATCATGACTTAAAAAAAGACATTTTACCACATATGGTAAAAAAAAAAAAAACTTCCTTTTTTATATCATTCAGTATGCTATTAATGCTCATTTGAGGTCAAAATATAACTTTGGGCTTCAATGTAGTTGTCTTTCCTACTTTCAATCAGTCAGCTTCATTATTTCCTAAAGTCATTTTCTCACAGCCTCAAGTCATCTCATTATTGTTCTTATCATTCTGTAAACTGTTCTTCATTATCTATTGATGTCACCTTCAGTATTATCTAGAAAACACTTTTAAAAAATCTCTTTACTAAATCTCTGATCTCCCGGAAGAGAAGGAAATGTAATTTTCTTTTGTATGTGCTGGTTGGTAAGAAAGATTGCTAGTCAACGTGATTTCAAAGCTCATTGAAATCATCATTTTAACTAGATAAGGCATACTAAAGAAAGCTGTTGTATGAGGACTAAAAATTTGAAGGAAAATTATGTTAAATTGGGTCATATTCAATTGGCTTTATTATCCAGTCTCTTTCCCTTCCTAAAAATCAGTTTCTATTGTAATGATTAGAAGGCTTATCAAAATATATAGGGTGGTGGTGAGTTCCATCCGTAGATGAGGAACAACAAGTTTTCCTTGTTCTGAGGGATCAACAAATAATCAGTTCAACTGCGGGAACATCACTGGCCATCCAGAGATCTAAATGATGAACACAGCTCTATAATTAAGTAACTTCGATATAGGCTAGCTTTTCCTATCTTATTTTCAGAAATTTCTGATCACATTGAAGACTTTTACTGTAGCCTTAGAGTGTCTGAGAAATGTAGACAAGGTTCAATGCTAAAAGCTACATTTAAAGGGAATGAATGAAAGGAATGAATGCTACTATATTAAGTAACAGCAACTGAACTAAAAGGTTGTAGTTTTCATGGAGAAGTCAGTACAATTAAACATGCAATACCACAGAGATAGCCTTCATCAGAGCCATCAGGACAATCCTTTTTCCCATTGCAGAGTTTCTCTGGCTGCAGGCAGACTGAGGTGTCATTAGCACAAGGATGCTTGGGTGGTCCACACAAGAAACTGTCACAGTCATCTTCATCTGACTGATCTTCGCAATCAATATCTCCATCACACACCCATGCTTTGTTGATGCATCTCCCTTAAGAAAACAGAAATAGTGTCAGTTTGATTTTTGTGATTAGGTCATTATGATAATGAGTGGCCATTATTGTCTTCAGTCACAGGCAGAATTACTTGTCTTTAGCAAAAGAAAACAAAATCTATTTGCTTATTATTTGACAGTTTATTTTCATGACAGCATTTGAATATTTCTTGCCCTGGTCTTAAAGTGCTCTTATTGTTTGAGCTTTGATATTTTCTTTAGATTCAAGTCATTGCTCTGCTCTCTCTCTCTCTATATATATATACATATATTTATATTTATATAATATATATATATATATATATATATATAAAAAGAAGGTTTCTGTGACTAATTGAAAGTTTAATTGCAAAACTGTTAAAAGCAAACTTTAAAGATACATTTGTATATTAGTGCCTTTTAGATCCCTAAATTTAGGTGAATGCTATCGGTGCCTGTCAGAAACTCAAATTCAGGTAAATGCCTCATTTTAGCAAGAGAGGTTGTCCTTCTATTTACATTTATAACATCAACACCCCAACTCCCCACTCCAGACATATGTACATGCCCTTTCATAAGAGAATATCAAATGATATCAAACATTTTGGCGACTAACATGTATAGACGGAATTTATAGAATTTTTTTATTGTTTCTAGAAGAAAAAAATAATTATTGTTTAGCCAGCATGATTCAACAGTAACAGTGAGAAACACAAAGAGATCAATGTTCATTGTTATTTTTGTTTTGTTTTGTTTTGTGATGGAGTTGCACTCTTGTTGCCCAGGCTGGAGTGCAATGGTGCAATCTCCATTCACTACAACCTCCGCCTCCCAGGTTCAAGCAATTCTCCTGCCTCAGCCTCCCAAGTAACTGGGATTACAGGCATGTGCCACTATGCCCAGCTAATTTTGTATTTTTAGTAGAGATGGGGTTTCACCATGTTGGTCAGGCTGGTCTCAAACTCTTGACCTCAGGTGATCCACTGCCTCAACCTCCCAAAGTACTGGGATTACAGGCATGAGCCACCATGACTGGCATTGTCGTCTATGTAAATGTTTCACTGCAAATTATTCCTCCTTTCGAAACAGTCTTTCACTGACTTCTTATTAATTATCTTTTCCAGATTATGCAATGTTCAGGTGTAATATACATTTTTTAAATGTACCTAAAGATAATACTAGTTATTGACTGACTACATACCAGCATCTTATAAAAATAAGTGGGGCAAATACAAGGGAAATGGAAAATATTACATTGTATATATCCAAAAGTCATTAGGTATTTAAATGTCTTCTTAAGTCTTATAAGTAAATTTTAAAATAATTAAAATATAGGTGCAAAAATGTTTTATTTATAAAAATATATCAATAATTCTTCACACTATTATGTCAAATAAAATATAATCAGTTCCATAGTTAACTAAAATACATTTGATATTCAACATTGATAAAAATACTCTTAAAATAAGAATTGACATACTTCATTAGATTTGATATAAATAGAGAAACATTATAAACTTTTGCATTAACATCATAAATAAAACCAATAATGTTGTTCTGTAAATACTACCTAGGACAATTAGGTAATAGAAAGAAATGAGGTATAATATTAGAAATGAGGAATAACATTAGAAAAGAGTGTCATTACACGTTGTTAATATAATCATATAATTATAAAATCAATTAAAATTACATAAACTAAGAATTCAAAAAATAGGTAGCTAGTTTCAAAATTAACAGAAAAACAGATTTCATATCTATAGAGAGCATATACTAGAAGAAAAGGCCAATTAAAATTTTATCATAAAAAATGTATTTTGGGTTAAAATGTACAAGAACTATACAACACTTATACAAATCCAAAATTCTACAAAAAATCTGAAAAAAAGCCTTGAATATAGATATTATTTGGTCTTGGATTAGTACAGATAATAATTTTCTCTTAAACAATCCTTTCAAAATAGTAACATCAATGCAACCCTAAAAGCTTATTTTAAGTTAAAAAATAAAACCAGAAAAATCATTCAGAATCTTACCAAAACAAAAAACAAAACAGAGGAATCTTAATGAGTAGAAACTGTATATATTCCAACTATTTAGAAGTAATTTAATGTAATAGTAGTTAAAATACTTTTTATAAATATCAATAAAGATATTAATAATTAAAGAGCACAGAGACATTAGGAATAGGTCTATTTATGTATATGGATTTTATATATGAAACAGTTGGCAATCTAAATAGCAGAGAACAAAATTAATGATGCAGTATCACCTCATTTGCCAATCTGGAGGATAAACAATAAAGCTGAATCTCTACTTGGCTTCTTATGCTATAATATATTCCAGACATATCAAAGAGGTAATCATTTTAAAATAAGGATGATAAAAATACAAACATGAAGCTGAATTTTATAAACATATTTTATTCCATATTGCAACAATAAACTCCATAGACAAAGTCACTGGACAGTCAATAAGCCAGAAAAAAACATTTAATCATATTTTCAAAAATATTTCATTATATGACAAAAAGCATATTTTTAAAAAATACAAGGGTTCTTTTAAATCAATAAGATAACAATCAATCCAAGTGCAAGATTCATAAAGAAATTGTAATGGTTCAGAAACATAAGATATTCAATATCCCTTTCAATTAAAAAAGGTAAACTAAAATAACTAGTTGACATCCTTCCTACTCTATTAGATAAAGATCAAAAAGTTGGATAGTACAAAACTAGATTTGACAATAATGTAAGAAACAGCACAAATGTTGAAAATTGTGATAACCTCTCTCTAGGGCAATGTCAAGAAATCCAGCAAATGAAACATGTGTCAACTCTTCACCACAGTAATTCTAATTTTAGAAAATGTTTTCATAAATATCTTTGCACAAGTGCACAAAGATACTAGGATATCTACTGCTGTTTTGTATATATTAGGGAAAGGAAAGTAACAATTTAAATAATTACTGCAAGCCTGGTGACATCAATTACAATGCATCCATACATTAAAGGTATATGCTTGAGTGAAGAAGAATGTGTCAATCTACATAAGTGAATGAAAACTAATTTTCAAGCTTAATTAATTTAAAAAAGGCATAGAACTCAGTGTATGTAGGCTTTTGATGTGTTGAAAGGGAGTTAGCTATTTATAAATATCTATGATTATATTTCCATACATTTATCAATATCAGTACATGGATAGACTTGTCTCTATTTGAATTCTTTCTGGAGGGATACACAAGAAATAGTTCAAATTGGTTGCCTCTGGAAAGAATTAGTTACTGGAAACCCATTGTAGGAGGAAGAGATACTTTTCATTGAATACTCTTGTGCTGCTTTATTTTTCTTCTACCGTATACTTCGGTAACTTTTCCAAAATATATTAGCTTATTTTAAAAAAATGATTATGTACACACATATGCAGTGAAGCCTAACAGATTCAACAGCCTTCTTGTAAAAAATTATATGTTGAATTTACTCTGTGCCTTACCCTTTCCTAAGGGCTTTCAGAAATATAAGCAAGCATAAAGCCTGATCCTTGTCACCAAGGGGCTTATAATCTAGTTAGAAAGAAAAGATCAATGCATAATATATCATTGTAGTCTAAAATATGACATTCTATACTTAAGCATTAAATTGTATGAAGTCATTTGCAAGAGTTCAAGAATATACAAATTCCCATTTTTAGTTTGGTTTATCAAAATGCAACTTCCTTTTTTTGTTTGTTTTTTCCCAGACACATCACCAATCCATGATGGCATTCCCAACCACTGACTCCAAAATGACCTTAGAATTGTTTCAACAGATATATCTATAAATCAATATCAATCTTTTAGAGTCAGAATAGCAGTAAGGCTATTTGCCATCCCTGACATAAATACTGCTTGGAAAAGGTAAACAAAAATAATATTCAGATGACTGTAAAACTTTAAAACAAATAATGTCACCAGAGATATGAATAAATATGAATACATAGATTAAATGAATTGTATAAGCTTAAATAGCCCCCCTCTTCCTATTGATTTTTTAGGGGCTGTTTGAAGCTTAATTGCTTCTCTCTATTTGTGTTTGGTTTTAGTTCTTACCAAAATGTAGATAAGAAGGCGAACCAAGTATGATAAGTTTAATGAATGTCTAACTCATGCACATGAATTAGGTAAAACCCAAAAGCAAATGGCCTCAGTAAAAATACTTTAAACATATTGATTTTTACTTGATTCATATCAAGATAAATCCTCACCTAATCAAGTACCTAATCAAGTCATTGGACATAAAATCTTGAATGAACAAATATCACAGATTTCTTTGCTTAAACTCCCTTCTTTATATATAAGAAATAAGTAGTTATTAATAATAGTAAAACATATTATAGACATTATAACTATCCAATAGATAGAATATCCAAAAATCTTTAAAATAAAGTTTTTTAAATGTGCATGAGTAATTCAAGTAACCAAGTAAATCATTTTGTGTTTACTAATTCTTTTTTAGAAGATGCCGAAAACCATATTAGATAATTAGTATGAAGTTGAGCTCTACAAAATATTTTCTCATTTATTTATAATGATGTTTTCAACTTGATAACTACATGTCAAAGACTCTATTTTGGTAACTGTGGTTTTGTCCTTTGAGAAAAGAAAATAAGAATAGATAAGTAACAACAATAACAGCAAATTTTTTAAAAAAAATCCCCAAAACCCAGAAATTTGGTTAAACACAACTACAAAGTCAACAGGTATAGAAAAACTTAAGTTTGTATGACTGTAGAAAACATGCTAGCTTCCCAAAATAAATTGATACAATCTCTTCTAGAGTTTCTCTTTTCTGTGTTAAACTCTTGACCATGTTCTGAAATAGATCTACCTTTTTGTAAACGGACTTGTTTTTAGTTTAATAAAAAGATAACAAATGTTGTAATGGGATAATTTCTGTTCTGGGATATGACTGGCAGTTTATATTAAGAATAATAATATTAATATGAAGTAAATCTTTGAGAAAGTCTAAATGGATTTACTTGAAACTATATTATTATAATGCCTTTTTGAACACTGGTCTATAATATTTTATAAAATGTTTATACTACTAACCTTTAGTGTTACCTACATATTTATTTCTCTAACAGTGTTTGGTTTCAATTCAATTTGACAAATGTTTTTTGAGTATTATATGCTTGGTTTTCTACTGAAGAGTGTAGAAAGATGGGGAAGACAAATTCCTGACCTTGTGGAGCAATAACTCTAGTAATGACAAATGTTCTAATATTGAACATATAAAGTAGAATAAGATGAAAGCCATATAACCATCAGAGAGTGCTATGGATTTTCAAGGAGGTGGAAAATATGTATGATTGGAAGGATGAGAAACAAGCTTTACCAAACTATTCTTTTGAACAGCGTTTTGAAGGATGGTAGAAAATTTTACGTAAGGAAAAAAGCATTTAATATAGACAGCTGCCTTATGCGTATAGTCTTAACATTCGAATATATACCCCATGTAAAATCAAAAAGCAAGTAAATGGAACAGGTGAAAGAAATAAAAATTTAATAGCATAGTGACTACTCTTGCTACTCAATAGGAATGTGTTAGGGCATAGATAGTAGAAGAGAATCAGTTCTTTCTTATGCTGATCTTTGTTCCATCTCTAAGTGAATTCATTATAAAATTCTAATTTTTATATTTGCTTTTTATTTTATGCTAAGCATTACCTTGTTTATAATAGAGTTATAGGTACAAATTATCCTGAGCTATATACATAGAACCATGTATATTAAGTTTAATGTGTGATTTTTGGGAGGTAATTTTGAACATAACGCAGTTTTACATGCTGAATATTCAACCTTATTTGTTTAATCGAATTCACACAAAAGATGAAACTGTTATCTAAAGGTATAAAAGCAGGAAAGAATGGGACCTGTTCAAAAAGCAATAATGAAGCAGTTTGGGGCCCCTAATTCAAGAAGCGTTTCTTAATCTGATTATGGTTAAGAAAATTGAGACACTTTTTGAATTAGCAATGGAGATTGTCTATAAGATTCAGCAAATTTGAACGACTGAAAGATTTTTTTAAAGTATGTGTTCAGGTCACATCTTGAGGTAAGAGGAAGCCAAAACTGTGGATAGAGTGGATTGAAGCTAATGACTGTCAGAGGAAAACACAGTTGGCCACACAAGGATCTGAGTGAGAGATAATGAAAGCTTAACCTTAGGTTATGAGATGTGAGTAGAGAATGGAATGGGTTATGTTGGAGATATTGCATAAGTAACCTCAGTAGGACTAGGACTTGGAAAATGATTTCAAGTTAGAAGTGTCAAAGGGTGCTTTCTGCTTTAAATCTGAGCATACAGGGGATTACATATTCTAACAGAAATGATATATTCTTACTCCTTTCTGACTTTGAAGAGAAAGTAGAATGTTCAGCAATGCATCGGGAAAAAATGGGTTGGAAGTGGGAAGTAAATGTCAGTGGCGGAAATTTTGGAGTCCTAGAGGTGATGGTTAAAACTGGGGACAGAATAGATTGCTATGAAGACTTTGCAGAAAGATGAGAAGGAGCAAAAAAATTAAGAGAAGAATATCTACAATGCTGGACACATATTACGTGCTCAACAATTATATTTTAAAATTAAATATGAGGGACAGGTAGAGGAAAATGGGCAAGGGAAAGTGAAATAAAAAGAGGACTCTAAATGCCATGTGGCTAAAGAGAACAATCCAATGTGAGAATTCATAAGAAAATATTAAAAGGAGAGGAAATGCAGCAGGGTTAAGTGTTGCAGAGAAAGAAGCCGAGGTGCAGTACTAGTAGTGAAAAGTGTCATTCATTAAGCTTCTACTGTGTTCTAGGCACTCTTTGTACATTCTACCAGTTATTACTATCATATCTATTCTACAGATCAGAAAGCGATAATGTAGAGAGGTTTAGTAACTTATCTGCACTCATGCAGTTACTGAATGGCAGAGTAGGACTCAAAACACAGAAGAGCATAAACTAAGAAATCTTTCCTGGTGACCATCGAAACAGCCATTTCCATCAAGGGAAGCCATTGGATGTTAGATTGCAAGGGGTGGAGGAATTAGTGAGACATAAGACATCGAGGTACTTATATAAGGTGATTTAATGAAATGAAGAAGGAAGACAGGGAAAAGGTAATAAAATCAAAGAAGTGTTTTTCAGGTTATTGGACTAAATATAGTTATATAGAGAAAGAAAAATTAGTGTGGAGAAAGAAATAGAAGACCAAACAAGAAAAGTGACTAAGCTCCCACAAGGATTAGGAGGCCACAGGATCAATATCTAAAGAAGGGTTTGGGGGCGCTGGCTCACACCTCTAATCCCAGCACTTTGGGAAGCCGAGGTGGGTGAATCACTTGAAGTAAGGAGTTCGAGAACAGCCTGGCCAACATGGTGAAAACGCATCTCTACTAAAAAGAAAAAAAAAAATTTAGTCAGGTGTGGTGATGCATGCCTATAATCCCAGCTACTCAGGAGGCTGAGGCAGATATTGCTTGAACCTGGGGGTTGGAGGTTGCAGTGAGCTGAGGTCGCACCACTGCACTCCTACCTGGGCAACAGAGCAAGACTTTGTCTCAAAAATAAATAAATAAATAAATAAATAAATAAATAAAATAAATCTAAAAAAGGGCCCTCCTGGACAAAAAGGAGAATTGTTTATTCTTCTTTATAGACAGGACTGAAGGGAAACAACTAGAGTAGGCATACAACAAAAGGTTTAAAACTGTCAGCTCACGAGGTCAGGAGATCGAGACCATCCTGGGGAACATGGTGAAACCCCGTCTCTACTGAAAATACAAAAAATTAGCCGGGTGAGGGGGCAGGCGCCTGTACTCCCAGCTACTTGGGAGGCTGAGGCAAGAGAATGGTGTGAACCCAGGAGACAGAGTTTGCAGTGAGCCGAGATCTCGCCACTGCACTCCAGCCCGGGTGACAGAGCGAGACTCTGTCTCAAGAAAAAAAACAAACAAAAAAAGTCACTGGGAGGAATCAAGGAAAAATATAGGAGGCTCATAAAAAGAAAAATGCAAAATATTTTATTAGCTTTCTGGCACATAAACAATGAACAGCTTGCCATATTATTTTCATCAGAAATAATCAGAAGTATTCCATAGGGCTGGTTCCAGAAAGAAAAAAAGGGATGTGTTCAGAAATATTTCATATATAACCCATCATATAATTCTAACAAAATCACTGTACCATTATAGGATATTTTTGGTTCTAATAATCCAGATTGGTTTTCCACAATGATTAAATTCATCATTTTATTCTGTATTCACTGATACAACAATAGGGGAAAGAAAACAAAACAATCCAAAAATAGACAAGAATAATGTTTTGCCATTCACAGAAGCCCATAGAGAATTTTCATTACATAGCAGATCAGAACAGAGTATGATGCCACTGTTAAAGTTAAATCCACATGTGTGCCAGTCAGTTCTCTATGCCAGTCAGTTCTGTTACATTCTTCTGCTAAAAGATCACTTGTCATTAACTAATAACACTACTCTGGAACTTGATTTCAAAATGTATGTTGCTTATTCCAATGGAATCTAGAGGGGAAGGTAGATGAGTCAGCACCAAACTATCACAACTCTTAGAAAGGTAGTCAAAGAAAGGTAGTCAATTAAAAAAGGACACAGTAAAAGTTGTGATACCTTCTCAGTCATTCTTCCTAGCCACTTTTCCCCATACTTAGAGACAAACAATGACAATAGTTTCTTGTGAATGAAAACAGAAATGTTTTTATTATAGAAAGAATATACTTTTATTTTCTTTTCACCACTTAAACAATATTACATGCTATGCCCACTCTTGCACTCCTGCACTTTTCACTCAACATGTAATCACAGAGAAGTGTACATGTCAGTGCATTATAATGACTTCCAAATCTGCAAGGCATTCTACTATACAGAAATATCATGTTTGCACCTAAGTGTCCTATTCTGGCCTATTTAGGTTGTTTGGGACCTTTAACTATTAAAAGCAATTTAATGGCAAATGAACATTTGAAAATATACTCAAAATAATATGTCATTAGGAAAATGCAAATTAAAACAATAATGAGATACAACTGTATACCTATCAGAATGATGAAAATCTGGAACAGTAACAACACTAAAGGTGTTCAAGGATATAGAGCAGCAGAAATTTTCATTCATCTCAAGTGAATGAATACAAAATGGTACAGCCACTTTGAAAGACAGTGCAGCCATTGCTTACAAATACTGAACATACTCTGACCCTACTATCCTGTAAATGGACTCCCTGGTCTTTACCCAAATGAATTGACAACTTATGTCCACCCAAAAGCCTGCATGTAGATATTTACAACAGCTTTATTCATAATTGCCAGAACTTGGAAACAACAAAGATGTCCTTCAGTGGGTAAACAGATTAAAAAATTGTGGCACAATGGAATATTATTCAAAGCTTAAAGATTTCAACTACCAACCCGTGAAAAGGCATGAAGGAAACTCAAATGCATATTACAAGGTGAAAGAAGTCAATATGGCAAGTCTACATATGATGTGATTTCAGTGACATGACACTCTGGAAAAGGCAAAACCATAGAGACAGTAAAAAGATCAGTAGCTTCCAGGAGCTAAGGGGGAGGGAAGAATAAACAGGCAGGGTACGAAAGATTTTTAGAGCAGTGAAATTATTCTCCTTGATACTATAATGATGGATACATGTCATCATATATTTGTCAAGACCCATAGAATATACAACATCTAAATAAAGTAAACCGTCATGTAAACCATAGACTTTGGATGAGAAAGATGTGTCACTATAGGTGCATTGATTATAACAAATGTACCACTTTGGTGCAGTATATTGACAGTAAAGAAAGCTGTGCATGTGAGGGCGGTGGGAGTATACAGGAAGTCTCTGTACTTTCTGCTTAATTTTGCTGTGAACCTAAAATTTGTCTAAAATATAAAGTCTATTTTTTTAGAAGTCATAAACATTTTGATATATATTACCCATTTTATTCAGTTCTAAATATTTAAATATATGTATGATTTCTTAGTTAATCCAGATTATTTTGAAGTATGATCCTAGTTTCCAAATACATTTTTAAAAATCATTCTGCTGTAGATTTCTATTTTGTGTGTGTGTGTGTGTGTGTGTGTGTGTGTGTAGAGAATGCTTTTTGTAAATTGCCAATTATTTGAAATACTTTTAAGACTTCTTTGGAACCTAACATATGGTCAAATTTGAAAGAGTTTTCTATAACTTTGGTGTACATGGAAGAGTATATATGTATTGGTTTAAGTTTATTAAACACATTTAATAAAGCTTTAAATAAATATCTTTGTACATCTCACTCCTCAAATGCATGAATATATCTGTGTGATAAATTCCTAGAGGTGGAATTGTGGGTAAAATTGGAGACACATTGTAAACATTGAAATATATTGCTTTCCATAGAGGTTCACCAATCTCCCTGAAAGCAAAGTGTCTGCTTCCTGTACTCTCACCAGCATGGGTATTACTGGGCTTGTTTATTATCAATCAACTGATGTCGAAAGAATGCAATCCCACTGTGGTTTTGAACCACATTTTTCTTATAGGTGTTATAGACCGAATGTTTGTGTCCAGACCAAATTCATGTTGAAATCCTAATCCCCAGTGTGATGGTATTGGGAGGTTTGGGAGGTAATCAGTTACGAGAGTAGAGTTGGCATATCATAAGAAGATTGCCATCTGCAAACCAGGAAGAGTGCCTCAGACACACACCAGGTTTCCCAGTTCTTGATCTTGGACTTCTCAGTCTCTAGAACTGTGAGAAATAAATGTTTGTTGTTTAAACAACCCAGTTTATGATAATTTGTTACAGCAGCCTGAACTAAGATAGTCTCATTTTCCACCTTTTCCTATTGCAACTATTCTGCTTGTCATATCTGTGCTGAATTCTTAGTCATTTTGGGAGTAATATTTTTTCTTTTTCTTTTCGAGGGTCTCAACATACTTATTGTAAACTTATTTTTCAGACATATAGCTTATTTTCATTTAGTCATGAATAATTTATTTTGTAATGACTGATTTTGATGAGAAAGTTTTCTTCACATATGTTAAAATTCTGGTTTGTAATCTCATCTTGGATCACAACCTTCATTTTCCTCTCTGACTTTATGAGTTTACTTGTGCCTATCTACAAGCATTGCTGCTTGGACTTTGGCCCACTCCATTATTTCCAGCAATCTTGGTTCAGAAATACAACTTATATTTTTTGTGTGAGATTCTATCCTAAAACAATATTGGATTTTATCAGATTCAATCTCCAAGCCAGACAGAAGTTCAGCTCAATTGCAGTGCCTGTGTCCTCCCATCTCTTTAGGCACATGACTTCATTCAAGTAACTACCACTGGCAGCAACTAGCAGTGATATGTATAGTTTTTCAACTCTCCTTTCAAAAGCAAATGGAATTTCTTTCCAGGTTCTGATTTCCAGTAATGCCTGCCTCCAGATCCCAGCTTCATGTGGGACAGCTTTATTTCTATTGACCCTAAGATCTGAGCACCCATTCATTTCTGCTAGCCTACATACCCAACTCAGTAAGGTACTCAGCTTTAGCTCAGCACACCACTTGATACTGTGCTATATTTCTGTTACTCAGAGATACATATTTTTTGTTCATCAGGCAGTATCTCCTTTATTTTATCCTGTTATATTTTATCATCACTTCTGTGTGTTGAGAAGTGAAAACAGAGAAGCAGAAACTTCAGAGTGTAAACTTGAAGTCTCACCTTCACATGAATTCCTTTTTTATTGTTTTAATGACATTAGAATACTTGCGTGAATACACAACCATTTATTACCATCCCTATTGATAAGCAATATATTGTTTCTAATTTTTTACTATTAAAAATAAAATGACTCATTGAATATATTTGTGCATATATAACCTTATACAATCCTACTTTTCTTTACACGAATTTCTACAAGTAGGACAGAAGGATTAAATTTACATTCCTACAAGTAGCTGGAGGGCCTATTTTCCCGGTACCTTGCGATCACTATGAAGAAAGGCATTTCTGAGTTTCTTTTCCACGACAGAGTGACTGAAAATTCACTTCCCTTTTCCCCACTTATAATACAACTGCTATTTGTTAGTCTGGAGTGTAAGAGAACAGATGCGGCACAATGCACTTCTTGGTCAAAAATAGGTCCTTTGAGATTAGAAGTTCTTAAGTCCTGACTGTTATATTGTACTTGAAGTTAGCTCTCATTCTCATATAATAGGAATTTAAAAACCTACTGTGCCTACGTTTTGAACACCAATAGATGACAATTTATGTATAAGAAAGCTATTCTAATTACCATATATAAATTAATTAGCCTGAAACTTTTCAATGTTCAGCTAACATTTTAAAAAACTTTGAAAATAATCATGAACTTTGGATTAAACATTGTGGGTAGTTTAAAGGTCTTATAGCTTGTAAAACTGAGAATTTAAAGTAAATGAAAAAATATCAAAAGGTTTGTAGATGAATACATATTTTAAATCATTGCTTATATTTGTGGTTCATTTTAATGACTGCAATGTTCATTGAAGTCTGTCATAAATGTGACTTTGTAATTGTGCAACTCTTCTGAAGTTGAATAAATTGTGGTTTACTATATCCAAAACACAGATCAGATTAGAAGCAGATGGATAAATTATTACCTTTCACTTTTTCCTTTTAAAGTGAAACATATGTTTTATCACAGATTTTTTTTACATTAATCTTTTGCTTACCTAAAAACTATTTGGTAGAAACATCGGATGTTTAATTAAAAGCATTATTAAATCGATAATCCAAATCTCAAGTCAACACATATAAAAGTGTTCCAGAAAATTCAGTTCTCTAAAGATAGCCAGCTTTCCTCATCATACTTCAGATTTATTTTGATGTTGAACCATATTCACAGGAAGTTGTTTTATAAGTGTTCATTGCAAAATATCAATACACATTTTAAAATAAATTACAAGCACTTAGAATATTCTGTTAAATTTACTTAATCGTACTATTTATTATTTACATGCTTTGTCTGCAAATTTTTTTTCTCAACTGAAAGTTCAAACTAGTTTTTATTAATACATAGCTTTGAGAATTTACATTACTGTGAATCTCCTTATAATTTATTTCTGTATAGAGAAATTGCAGCCTGGTTTTATGTTTCGCATCTCAATTTGCTTTAACAGCATATTCAAGTAATTGAAACTCAGGATTTTCCATATTGGTTTATATTTTGTTTTAACCAAGCTTTGCCAGTTTCTTTTTCATATATGTTTTAAAAACTGTTACCTGCTGTATTTTAAGTTAATACAATCAGGAAAATGCCAGAAGTTATATGGAGAAAATATACACAATATATGCTTTGAAGTATGTTAACTCGAGTCAAATAATTGGCTCTTTGGCATTAGAATTCCCCTATTAAATGAAATCTATTTATGCCATCAATAATTCATTCATTTTACAATAATTCGTCTGCTAATTTTCAATTAATACATGTTCCAAAAAGACCATTTCTAAACTTAAAATCACATTTTTCTAACAAATAACCCTAAAATTATGACTCTTTATGTAACAATTGAAGAGAGTCACATAATTGTGAAAAATATTGTTGGAAAAAAATGTTTTGGAAACACAATTTCCTTGCTAGGAAAAGGCTTCAGGAGTATGTATTTATCTATACCTATGTTAGCTTGCATTTATTTTTCTTTTTTCTTATTGGAATATTTAACTGTAACCAAGAGGCATGTTTAAGAAAAGAAAGACAGTGCTTTTTTATACCTTTAAATGTACATCAGCCCCCGTGGCTTTCACAGTGTTTTCTTACACCTTTTACAACTTCTTATTTGTACTTTTTGTTAGAATATGTAATTATAGGGAGCAAAAGAAATCACTAAGAGCTCATGATTAAGCAATTGAAAAACAATTTCACATCAAAGAGAGATTGCAGAGATGTTATCATGACATCTACAGAAAATTATTTCCATGGATTATTGGGAGGATGATACCAACCATTTCACAAATTAAACCACAATAGCTCATCGTAATCTACTTTTCTCTAAACTTCAACACATCATCTGGCATAAAGCGGGAAGAAAATAAGTTTATCATTTCAACTGGTACCCAGTATATGTAATAAAATATAGTAGAATATAAGACATTCTATTACTATAACTTTTCCATTTTGGTTTCCTATTTGTATACACACACACACACACGCACACACGCACACACACGCACACACACGAAACCAAAATGGAACAGTCATAGTAATAGGGTATATTTATATAACACAATAACAGCCCCAATGACCCTCAAATCAAAGCTTTAAATGGCAGTCAGCATCCTCCTCATAATAGAAATAAGCAATAGTACAGTAACATTTAGGAAATTAGTTGAAAATAAATACATATAATTCTATCTTTCTTTTCTAAGTCATCTTCATTTAAATTTTAGGGTGAGGCCTTATCTACGGAAAGAGAAATGCTGCCAGCTGGTTTGGCATGCTTATCTCTCTCGATTCTGAATTTCCAGATTCTGTATTCCAGATTGCCTGGTTTAAAAATCCCAAATCTCAGAAATAAATAAACAAATAAATTAATTAATTAATTAAATTAAATCCTAAGTCTGACATGTTGGCTCTGTGAGCGTAAGCAAGTTAAAAACTTCTCCTTGCCTCATGAATCCAATGCGGAGAACATTCATAGAATTATGCTAGCCCCATTGATAGTTCTCCCTAAATGTTAACTACTATTATTATACATGAGCACATCTGCCAAAAATATAAGATTACTTTTTACAAAGGTGAGATACAGATTCAGCCTGAGCCAAAAGGACTCCACACTCAGGGAGACCCAATAGAAGCCAAAAGCAATGTTCACTTACCTGTACTCCAACAGGAAAACTTGGTTTTGTGGTCACACAATCGTATGGTACCATTGCAACCTTTTTCATCACTACCATCTTCACAGTCTTTTTCTCCATCACAGCGCCACAAATCAGGAACGCAATTACCATCAGGGTGGCACTGAAATTCATTTCCGTTACAACCAGCAGGAGAATGAATCTCTTAATTTGAAATGAGGAAGAGAGAAGCAGAGGGGGGCAAGACAGGAGAGAAATTATGATTTTACTTGTTGGTAGTTTTTATTTCACATTTTTTTCTTTCTTCAGGCATTATTATAATGCTAGAGAGAATACATTTTTACTTTAGATGGTTAATAAGTATAAATATACTCTAGTATTTTCTAATTCATTTAAATAACATTAATAGTCCGATAAAATGATGTTTCTTGCCTCCCCTAAAATTTCTGAAAGTACTATGTACATTAGAAAAGAAGAAGTAAGATAATTTGCGGATATTCTGTTGTGGTTTGTACTCATGCCTAAAGGATGAAATCTTTAAAGGCTTTTCTCTAAGACACATAAATTAGGTTATACATTCTAATCTTAATGATAAGACCTTGACTTATTCTCTTATCTTTCTCTGGGTAATTTCTTTCAAATTATTAAGAAGCAAATAACCAAAAACTAGTAAGTACTTTCTAACAAAATCTTTGAAGAATAGCATTCAAAAATTTGAGAAATAGATACAAAAAAACAGGTAATAAATGTAACTTCTGGACAAAGGATTTCAATTCTAGAATCAGAATAGACACTTAAATATAAGAATTGAAATACTAGACATTCAAATTTATCAATTAATAATTCATAACAATGACCAGGTAACATTATTGCCCCAAATCTGATGATTAAAAATATAGGATAAATTCTGCAGGTAAACATAAATAAAAGTAAGAAAATATAAATGTTGGGATACAGATGTTTGGCAGTTTAACAATTGAATTACATGACTAATCTGCAGCTTATTAAAATTTGTTTTAAGATCTAATGAGATATATTAATCTGTATTTCCAAATATTACAGTAAATAGATATTTTAGTAGATATTTTTAGACCAAAGTTTTAATGTAACAAATTTATTGTGTATCTTGCATAGCTCTATCTAGCAATTAATGTATAAGCTACCTATAGCAGCAATTGATATATATAATTATGATTAATTTGAAGCAGGTTCAAGTGAATTTCTCATTATTTATTACACTGGTTTGGTAGATATCTATGGTTATAAATTAAGGTTAATCTAATGTCAAAGTTCCTAATAACAGTGATATCACCAAAGCAGTCACTTACTCTTTTGAGACCTCTATTTGTTCAGTGAGAATGCATCAACAGGGTTGATGTGAGAATTAAATTAGATATCTATAAAGGATTAATTCAACTACAAAGTTTTGTTGCTGTTATTTTCTATAATATAAATGGTTTAGTTCTTTATTTTTTCTTTATTTAAAGACGTTCAGCAATTATAATCTGTCAGGTGATACAATATTATAAAGATGTTCAAGATGGACTTGACCATACATCCTAAATATTGCTTGTGCAGTAATGCTGAACTAATAAATAACCAAGGAGAAACAACCCTGTGGAAGCAAGGGTAAAGAAGTTCCATTGGTCAAAAACATGAATTGTAATAGAAAACCACTAGGACTAATTTTCAAAAGTGACCACTGCTAAGAACACATGCAATAATAAAGCATTGAGTTTTGGCTTTCTTTAAATCCCCTCCAAAATCAAAAACTTTATTTTTCTAGTATTCTAGCTATCTAATTCATTCTCACTTTGAACATACCATCTTTATGGTTAGATAAAATACTTGGTTTGCACACACACAATCAATCACACACAATTAATAAAGATGGTAAAGTCTGTGCACAAGGGGGAGATATATATAAAATGTGATATAGCAATTTCCCACCATATTTATTTAGTGTCTGCAGAGTGCTCTATATAGAAATATATTCAATGATTCAAACAAATGTATTTAGAAAATATCTGGAAAAAGAAAACAAGAAATAGGAATGCAACAATAAAAAGAAAAATCAGTCAACAATATAGTATAACTATATCATATTTACATTGTATTAGGTATTATACATAATACAGAGATGATTTAAAGTATATTATGGGAGGATGTGCATAGGTTATATGCAAGCACTACATCATTTCATATAAGAAACTTGAGCATTCTTGAATTTTGATATCTTCAGGGTCCTGAAACCAATCCCCAGTGTATATGGAGGAATGACTGTATGACATAGCTACTACAGTTGTAAAGAATTATTTTGGGACTGGTTTCATAAACAAGATATTGTGAAGTCTTTAAGCCTAGGCTATAACTTGAAACTCCTACATTAGTTCAATATTCAGGAAGAAGAAAAGAGACAACTCAGATAGACCTCCAAGGCCCAATCAGCTCTGTGCATCACTCTATGGTGAAGAGCCCAGCTTCCATGCAGCAATGAAAGGGCTTTTTTTCTTCTTTCCTTCTACTTAACTTTCGTTGAAAACAAAACAAAACATACCTTGGCTCATCTGACTTTTATAGCCTGTAGTATGAGCTCAACCAATAACATTTAAAAATCGTATTTCAGGTAATTGTCAGAGATTTCAAATATTTAATAAAGAATGGAAGGTGTAATCTATTGATTTTTCCACATTCTCCAAAATAAGAATCAAAGACTGGCAGCTCATATATTGAAACTGTTCCTCAGTATGTTTGACGAACACACTATTGGTCTTTTAAAAATCTGAGAATTTCCAATAAAAACCTAGATTCTCTAGTACTTTGAAAATTAGGGAGCGTCTTGGGCTGGCATCCTTGCAAAGTTGACAGCTACTACCTGCTTTATATGGGGCCAAACTCAATTACATTAGCACCTTCCTTTTATAAAGATCAAAGCAGAATCTTTGAGGAGAGAGAGTATACTGTTATTGTCTAAGGTTTTTTCCATTTGCTTTGTTTGCTATTGTTTATTTATTTGTGTTTCATAAGTGAATCCACTCATTTGTTTTCTTATTCTAAATAAATATTTACCTTATAAATTTAAATACAAATGTTATATTTACCTGGAGATTTTCTTTTTTTTTTTTTTTTTCTTCTTAAGCTACCCATGTCTGAACCTCTGTATGCTGGCATAACATCTACTAAGGGTCACCATAAACAACTGCATTATAATAACATAAAACAAGAGTATAGTCCGAAGAAGAAAATATAATATTGTGAACTTTCAAACCTAAAGAGGATAACGATTCTCTAATAATGCACATACACATCATTAATGTGTAACTCCTTGTCTTGGTTATATATTCTCCCCAGCCTGGATTGCCCTCTTGTCTTCAGAATGTCACCTATTAATGTCCATGATTTTTGCTGTTGTTTTTGAGACAGGGTCTTGCTCTGTCACCCAGGCTGTAGTACAGTGGTACAATCATGGCTCATTGCAGCCTCAACCTCCTGGACTCATACAGTTCTCCCACCTCAGCCTCTCAAGTAGCTGGGACCACAGGTGTGTGCCACTGCACCCAGCTAATTAAAAAAAAAATCTGTACATACAGGGTCTTACTTTGTTGCCTAGACTGGTCTTGAACTCCTGGCCTCAAGAGATTCTCCCGCCTCAGTCTCCCAAAGTTCTGGGATTCCAGGCATGAGCCTTTGCACCCAGCTAATGTCCATGATTTTTAGGACTCATTTGACTTTAAAAAAATACCTAGGATTGGGTCTATATATTCGGGAACTTCATGAGTAGATTTTAGGGGATTTATAAAAGCTCAGAAATTATACATGATGCTTTTTATTGATGTGCGTTTTTTTCCCTGTGTCAGAAAGTTAGAGGTTTTCTTGACTCTCAAGGTGGTCTTCAAGAGGAATGCCAAGACCTCACATTTCTCTGAGTGTTTCTTTATCTCCCATCCTGTGTAACTTGCATTGATATGGTAGCTTAGATGGCACTCCATTTTGCTTATGCTTTATATTCATTACATCAGATTGAACCCAGTGGAAAAAGGAACAACCATCAGCTCCTTTTGATTAAAAAATAAATAAATAGGTCAGGCGCAGTGGCTCACACCTGTACTTCCAGCACTTTGGGAGGCCAAGGCAGGCAGATCACCTGAAGTCAGAGTTCGAGACCAGCCTGGCTAACATGGTGAAGCCCCATCTCTACTAAATATACAAAAATTAGCTAGGTGTGGTGGCTCATGCCTGTGATCCCAGCTACTTGGGAGGCTGAGGCACGAGAATCACTTGAACCCAGGAGGCAGAGATTGCAATGAGCCAAGATGGTGCTACTGCACTCCAGCCTGGGGGACAGAGGGAGACTCTGTCTCACACAAATAAATGGAATTTGCCTATTGAAAGCATCTCATGTTACAGAAATGATTAATTTTCCTGCAGTTACGCACATGATAAGTAGCAGAGATGAGATTCAAACCCACATAATTAAACTTTGGAGTCTGCTCAGTTTTATGATTGTACCATTTTTAACTTCTTGTATGGTTTTTCTCATATAAAAACTCAAGAAGAAAAATAGAATTCATTCATATAATAATCAAAAAGCATTTATAAAGTCATTAATTTTTATATTTAAATCATTGCTGTTCAGCCTGTTTGTTTTCTAATAAAATTTATCATTTATTTTATGCTATTATAAGATCATGATAAAATTTGTTCTTTTATGAAAAGTTCAATACATTACCAGTTGTGTGAGGCAGATTAGTATTACGAGGAAGGCTTTTTTTTTTTTTTTTTGAGATGGAATCTCACTTGTTGTCCAGGCTGGAGTGCAATAGTGCAATCTTGGCTCACTGCAACCTCTGCCTCCCGGGTTCAAGTGATTCTCCTGTCTCAGCCTCCCCAGAAGCTGGGACTACAGGCACCCGCCATCATGCCCGGCTATTCATTTATTTTTATTTTTATTTTTTATTTTATTTATTTATTTTTTGTATTTTTGTAGAGGCGAGGTTTCACCATGTTGTCCAGGCAGGTCTCGAACTCCTGACCTCAGTTGATCTGCCCACCTTGGCCTCTCAAAGTTCTGGGATTACAGGCAAGAGTCACTGTGCCCAGTCAGCAGGCATTTTTTAGGCACTGGGCTAGAGCAAGGAATAAGACAGAGACTTATTCTCAGAGTCTAGAGTGTTCACCATTACACCATGGAACCATGTGTTCAGAGACTTATTCTCATAAAACTTGAACATGAGCAGAGAAGGGAGCATATAGGCTTTCAATAAATAATTATACAAGAAATCAACTAAATTAGTTAAGAAAGTCATAAGTGCTGTGAAGAAAACGGATCAGAGTAATATTATAGATAGTATAACAGATAATAACAGACTGGTTATGCTGTGATAACAGACCAATACAAAATCGCTGCATCTTACACACATATACAACTTAATTATGGCTCATTTTACATATCTATTGTGGATCAGTAGGTGGGCTATCCCTGTGGTGGTCATTCAAAGACCCAAGCTGATGAATAAGAGACCAACTTGAATGTTTGCAGTTGGCAGGCGAGAGGGAAATGAGGGTTCTGGATGGCCTCATATCTGATGCAAAAGGAAGATACATCATTTCTGATCACAATTCATTGACCAAACCTCATCATATAGCATAGGGCCCCATCTTATTGGTCCCAGTCAACCACAAATGTCCCAGGAAGTACAACCTTACCATGGGCCCAGAAAAGAGAATAACTAGAAATACATTGTCAATATCATTGATGACTGCCATCAGGAATGACTTGGTTATAGGAAAAATATTAAAAAGGGTGATTACAGAAGGTGACACTTGAGTGAGACCAAAATGACGAGAAAGAGCTAGCCATGAAGATGTTAGGACAAAGAACACACAGAAGGAATAGCAATTGCAAAGACCTAAAAGCAGGAAAGAGCTTAATTTTTACAGAAAAAGAAAAATATATATAATGGTAGTGAGTGAGTAAAAGGAGACCTGAGAGGTAGGTAGGGGTGACTCTTGTAGAGATTTATCAAAAATTGTGCTAAGATAAGATAAGCACAATAGGTATCTATTAGAGATTTTGAAGCAGAGAAGTGACGGTGATATAATTTAATTTACATTGCTTAAAGTTTTTGCGAGCTGTTGTGTGAAAACGGATTTTACAAGACTTGAGTAGAAGTAGAAAAAACAGATAAATGGGTTTCAGTGGAGTCCAGATGCAAAATGGGAGGCATATTTTTTGCATTTGAAAAGATTTCAGAATAGTGATTATTCAAATAAGTAGGCTATGTAGGCAGTTACAAACAATGTCTTAAATGCTCTGATAAGAGAGAATGCCAGGAGAACACACAGAGTGGAAGACTGTCCTGGACTTGGGGATTTCATACTAGGCATTTCTATGACAGAAAATTAATCAGAGTGTTCTGGGTCAGAATTAAGAGTCAGGCAGAGGAAAAAATTAAATGGAACAAAAGATTTTCTGCACAAAGCCAGCAGTATTAATAAAATTTTGTGTAATGTGTGAGCAGAAGAGGGGAGAAAGAGAAAGCTAGGTTGGTGGGCAAGGCCTAGATCTTGAAAGATCTTGTGTGTTGTGCTGAATGTCTTGGATATAACCTTATAGGCATTTGGGAACCACAGAAAGACTACAGCTAGATTCTGATGTAATCAGACTTGCAGTTTATGTAGATCACTTTGCGACTATTTAAACAATAAATAGAATAAAATCTCCAAGAACCTTCACATTTATAAGGGTTTTATGTATATGCATCTATTTTATCTGCTTGGACACTTAAAGTTTATACCACAGTCATATAGACTCACACACACACACACACACACACACACACACACACACACAGTTTTACTTCCCACTTCTCATTCTACTTCCTTACTATAAATTAAAAATATCTCAAACCCATTTCTCAATATCTGTTAGGTTTGGGTGGGTGTTGATGTTTAGGAATGCTGTCATCTTCTGCCAGAAAACAGAAAAAAGTCATGAGGTTTTATTATCTCTTGACCTTCTCGCCAAATTTGAAATCCGCTTCTGTTAACTGTTGTTGATTTTCCTCCGGATGGAGAGCTACATCCCTCTGAAGAACCTATGATGACCATTCCAGCTTGAGTTCCAAGCCGGTATGGTTCCCCAGAGTCCCAGTTTCTTAAGCTTCAGGGCTTGGCACACAATCTATCTTTGTAATAGATAGCCGTTGGACTTGTCCCAACAGACTGTTAAAATGATGACAATTTATATGTATATGTGCATGCTGTTTTGCTGTTATGTTTTCATGTTGCTGATGCCAGTTATATTTTTAACTAATACAATTTTATTGTATTTTTGCCCCGAAGCTATTTAAACCAAGCATACAATTTGGGGACTCTGATAAATAAGTAAATACAGAGCCCTGAAGGAAATATGGCAACTGCTAGTAGAATTTATTCCAATATTTAAATGAATTCACTGTGACTAAATATTTATAGTTAGAAGACTAGCAACTGTACAGTGACAGAAAAAAAACTGTTTTCCTAATGTTAAAAAAATGAAAATTAGTATTGCAAAAATCATACATATGATATAAATATTTTTATTCAGAATATACTTTTTGGTATATAAAAATTGTTAAAGCCCCCTTAGAAAACAGTCAAGAATGTTGCTGCAAATACAATGGAATATTTAAATTGTGAGGCCAGTCTGAGGGAGAAGTCTTTTTCTTTTTCGATTATTTTAATGGAGTTTACACCTTTAACTTGTCATTCATTGTAAAGTGCTTTGAAAATTAAAAAGCACTGTATATTGGATGTGCACAGAGCTCCCCATTATAATCACCATGTGTCAGTCCTTGCTCTGTTCTTAGCTTTTCTGTGAATCACTATGTATTAATAATTCCTGCACTTAAGGCAGCCTTTTGCTTCAGATTTCTTCTCCAGCCCTGACACTACTTAGAAGCTGGTCTGGCAGCACATCCATAGCCTCATTCTGTTAACCAACACAATGTGGACATACCTTTGTCTGTTCCTGTCTGAGGAGAACCTTAATATACCCCTAAGGAGTTTAGCCTGCCCTCAGTTTCTAGAGATCCTCAGCAGACAGATGCTTATTAAAAGCCACCTCCCAGACTTTGGGCTAACTGGTTTGTGTTGGGATTGGTGATTGTCCTGCTCTTTTCTATGTAATGTGGGATAAACTCCCTAGGGGATGCTGCCTACCTAATGTAGTATGATCTCTGCTGTGAACTAACAATGCAGTCAAGCCTAAGTCTTTCTTCTTAAATCAACTAGTCCTTATCCCATTGGACCTTCATGACTGCCTATAGGTCATCTGGATTTGCCATATTTCTTGGTTTATTATTCACATGTCACTTCCCTACCTTTAACCTCACACACACGTCCAGAACGTGGCTTTTGTGTTTTCCCTTTAATTTCAACAAACTCCTTTTACCTCCTTATATGTAGTCACCACTCTGAGATTATCCTGATAAGATATTGGATGAAACCATCAAAATTCGTCATGAGTACATAGACTTTAGGACTTAATGATAAGTGAAAAAAAAAATACAAGATTTCAAGACTTTATATAGGTTTACTGTTTGAGTCAGTTAGAAAAGTTTAATAGAAGGGAATGGAAAATAATGTGTGGATAACTAGGCAGAAGTTAAATTATCTTTAGTGTTCAAAACAGACATTCAAAGAGTAAGTCGAAACGGAAGTTTCAATGTAGAGTTCTAAGTATCACCCAAGTTAAAGTACTATCGAAGCAAAATCTACATAAAACATTGATTTAGTTAATTAAAATTTTATGTTTTGACATCTAGAACACCATGAACATTTCATTTAAAATATAAGTATCAGAAGAATGATGAACTCTTACATTATCTAAATATAAGTGGATAGATGTATTAATCCGCTGAATTGGCTATGTAAAGTAATTGAGAAATCAAGTTTCCCATTCACTGTTTGTATTAACCAATCAACTTAACAGATATGTTAGTTATCAAATATTAAGTAAAAGAAATTGCAATGTGGATAGGCTACATTTGGAAATTACTGTTTGGTTTACCAGTGTGCTTAGTGGTAGCAAATATTTTCTAGGAAAAAACTGAACAAAAGATATTATTTAATTTGAACTTTAAAAATGATGTCAAACATTTTGTGGAAAGAATGTGCATAAGCACATACTTATGAGATATCTCTGTGAGGGAGGGATGGAGAATATAATTTAAAAATTATTAATAATTTATTTATTCTTACTTCATCCCTTTCTTCTCCCTTTTGCCTTTGTCCAATGAATTTGATATTCTATAATATATGGGTGTAGGATTATTCAAGATTACAGATCTTTATAATATGTCTGTCTCCTTGTGTTCTAAATGAGGGGTCAGCAAGCTGCAACCTGCAAACTAATTCCAGTCTACCACCTGTTTGTGTAAATAAAGTTTTATTGGAACCCTGACACACTCATTTGTTGACATATTGTCTAGGGTTGCTTCCATGCTACAACAGCAGCTTTGAGTAGTTGCAACAGGCAAAGCCTAAAATATTTACTGTCTAATCCTTTACAGAATAGGTTTGCCCACCCTTGTTCTAAACTATTCTAAATATTGTTTGTGATTCACAGAACATGATAATCAAGTATATACATATCAACAATAACAACCCAGGCACAGTGGCTAATTCCTTTAATTACAGTGCTTTGGGAGGCTGAAGTAGGAGGATCACTTGAAGTCAGGAGTTTGAGACCAGCCTAGGCAATATGGTGAGACTCTGTCTCTATAATTTTTTTTTTTTTCTTAACTAGCAGGGCATGGTGGCATGCACCTGTAGTCCCAGCTACTCAGGAGGCTGAGAGGGGAGGATTGCTTGAGTTCAGTTTTAGGTTTCAGTGAGCTGTGATTGTGCCAGTACACTCAATCCTGGGTGAAAGAGTGAGACACTCTCTCTCTCTCCCTATACACACACACACACACACACACACACACACATATATATGTGTATATATATACACATATACACATATACATATACACATATATATGTATATATATTCTGATGCCAGAATGTTCCAGAGTATTAAATGCACAGAATATTGTATTAATTTATATGGATGCTTTTAGGCATCAAAGTTATTCATAAAAAGGTTTTGGATGTACATTATGGCGATACATTTTCCTTAGGTAGCCATGCATGCACAAATGCCCACCTAGACTTCAAATAAATATCCTAACAAAAAGTGAATGATCTGTTCAGTATAGTGCAGGAATATAATATCTAAATGCAAATTCAGTTGAAGCTTCATATAAATAAGAAAACAAATGCTGACAGGTCAAATAGGTTCTAAAGGAAGCTAAATACCAACTACTTCTCAAAGAAAAGGCAGCACTTTATCCCATTGCTTATTTCTTTATTATCACAAAAGCAGGGACATGTCTCATTACTGAGGAATGAAGTCATTATTTTTTAGGTTATTCATGTTTTTTGTCTCCATGTTGTTTATTTTTTGCTGAATGCCTGAAATCCTACAGTTTAATAGTCATTAATCATAACTTGAGAATAGGGAACCAGAATTTAAAGACTAAGGAAATTAATTGACTTTTGTCATTTTTAAAGCTCTGCTAAAAAAGCAGGACAACAGGGTGAGGTTCTTCATTAAAATTAGGTCTTTATGCTATTAATTATATCTTTAACAAAACAAGGGATGTTACTCTGATGTCAAAGTGCATAATAATTGTCTTACTAAAAAAGCTAAATTTATCCAGAAATACAGGTGAACCCAATACCAATTTTCTGCATAGTAAAAATAAAGATAATTGGCTTCTTTCCTTCTATTCTTATGAACCATGTTCTAATATTTTATTTTTTAAATTACAGTTACTGGTTTTAATTTTCATGATAAGCACATTGTTAGAAATAGGCTTTGTTATTAAGTGATTCAAAAGCCTTGAGTTGTCTTTACTTTTGATGTAAAGACATCAGTTGGTTTCAGTATTAAGGTTAAAGTGACCTTTAAAGCGTTATTTTGTCTTGGAAAACAAAAAGAGGTTTCCTATGGATAAAATCCATTAATAATTAACATTGTTTATATGTCTCAGTGGTATTATATTCTAAGGAAAATAAATCAATCTGTGAGAGAATAAAGTTGAGCCAGACAGTTTGTATTTCATTGAAAATAGATATTATACTTCTCTAAAATTAGAACTTAAGTTTTACTTTAATTGTATTTTATGAGAAAATAATGCATAGTTTTATTAAAAGTAAATAGTCAAAAAAAAATCAGGACAGAAGAACATATGATTTTGCTGAGTCTATAACACATAATTTGGGAATTCCCCTAAATTCAAAGCCAGTGCTTTACTCTCAATAAAATTTAGTTACTGAAAAATAACAGCAGTTGTTTTTGCACTATGTGTTTGTCTTGGTAAATATGAATTGAATGAGGATTATAGAAAGACAGCAGAATAGAAAGCAACAGGAATACATCTCTCCACCCAGACAACAATTGCACTAGCAGGATCTTTCTAATGCAAACTATCTTGGAACTGAAGTCTACTGAACCCTTGCAACTTCCAGGGTAAGCCTTAGATGGTAAATTGTAGTTAATTTAGGTCAGTTTCAGCTCTTAGCACAGTCACACCTATGAATCCCTCAGACCCCCGTTCTATGGCAAACAATCAGGCCTGTATTCCTGGAGCAGCTTGCACACAGCTTGTGTGATCCAGAGTAGACAGACAGGATCTGCCCTCCAAATTCTGGGATCCGTGCTTTGATTACTGACTGTTGTCACTGACCGCAAAGGTGCAAAGAGGTGGTGGCCATTGTCATTGCACCTCTCTCCATCGTTACAAGTCCCTCCATTTCTAGCTGAAGTGGCTTCCAGGGAATTTTAAGAGCCAGTGCCCTCTTACTTTCATTTCATTTTACTCAGTTCCCCTTTTGGGAGCTAGATATAAAAGACTAGGATGTTCAAACACAACCACTTATACAAATGAAATTAGAAAGTTACTGTGTATACCAAGGGAAAGTCACAGGCTAAGAAAGACCTGAAAAGACCTTAAGTTTATACCCCAGGGTAATCTGTGGCACAGAGATAACCTACAGCAATTTAAGGGGAAGAATCTGATTTCCAGAGTTATCACATTATTAGATTCAAATTTCTAGTTTTCAACAAAAACAAAAATCACAAGGCATGCAAAGAAGAGTATATTATTCAAAGACCCATTCAAAGAAAACAAAATAAACCAATGAAAAGTATCTCTGACAGAGATCTAATGGTAGATGGACTAGACAAAGAATTTAAAACAACTGGCTTAAAGATGCATAAAAAAGTCAAAGAAAATGTGGATAAAGTCAAGAAACAACGGATGAACAAATGAAATACCAAAAGATATTTTGATATCTTTAAAGAGCTAAGCCTAAAAAGAAAATGAAAAGCCTTTGGAGATGAAAAGTACAATAACTAAAATGAAAAATTCACTAAAGAGATTCAAAGGCAGATTTGAGCTGGAAGAAGAAAAAACAGGCAAATTTGAAGATAGGACAATGGGACTTATTGATCTGAGGAAAAGAGGGAAAAAAATCAAAGAAAACTGAACACAGTATAAGAGACTTGCAGGGCACCATGAAGAAGAGCAATATATAAATTTTCCAGAAGGAGGAGGAAGGGAGCGAGAATATCTAAAGAAAACTTTAAAGTTTGATGAAATACATGAATATATACATCCAAGAAGCTCAACCATCCCCAAGTGGGATAAATTCAAAGAAGTCTACACCAACACACATTATAAGCAAACTATCTAAAGAAAAAGAGAAAATCTTGAAAGCGGCAAGTGAGAAGATACTCATCACATATGAGAGATCCTCAGTATGATTATCAACAGATTTTTCATTGGAAGCTTGGATGGCAGTGTGGGCTGATATGTATATCCAAGTTTCTGGTGAGAAATCTGCTGATACACACACACACATATATATGTATATATATGTGTGATATGTTAAGTGTATATATACACACACACATATACATACATATACCTATATATATGCATATCAGCTTAGACTGATTCTGTGTGTATATGTGTGTGTGTGTGTGTGTAAATTCAAAGTGTCAAAAGAAAAAAAAAAACTTGCCTGGGCATGGTGGCTCATGCCTGCAATCCTGGCACTTTGAGAGGCAGTGATGGGCAGATCACTTGAGGTCAAGGGTTCGAGACCAGCCTGATCAACGTGGTAAAACCCCATCTCTACTAAAAATACAAAATTTAGCCAGGTATGGTGGCATACATTTGTAATCTCAGCTACTTTGGAGGCTGAGGCAGGCAGATTGCTTGAACCTGGGAGGTGGAGGTTGCAGTGAGCTGAGATTGTGCCACTGCACTCCAGCCTGGTTGACAGAGGGAGACTCCGTCTCAAAAAAAAAAAAAAAAAAAAAAAGAAAGGAAAAAAGAAAAGAAAAGGAAGAAAATAAACAAAATCCTGTCATCCAAGAATCCTGTATTTGGCAAAACTGCCCTTCAAAATTGAAGGTGAAATTAAGACCTTCCCAGATGAACAGATGAACAAAAGCTTAGGGAGTTCCTTACCACTAGACCTTCCCTGCAAGAAATACTCAAGGGAGTTCTCTGGTGAAATGAAAGGAAAATAGAGAGTAACCTTAAGGTGTATAAAGGAATAAAAATCACAAGAAAGGTAAATATGTGGGCAATTACAAAGTCTAGTCTTATTTTAACAGTGACTTGTACTATACTTCTTGTTTCCTACATGATTTAAAAGACTAACTTTGAAAAAAATATTATTCTAAAAGCTAGTATTATTGTACCTTTTGTTTGCAAATCACATTTTGTTTTCTACACAATTTAAAAGATTAATGTGTTTTTAAAAAAATTATTAGTTTATGTTTCAGACATACAATGTATTAGGTTGGTACAAAAGTAATTGTGTTTTCTGGCATTAAAAGTAATGGTAAAAACCTCCAATTACTTTTGCACCAACCTAATATAAGGCTGTGATTTTGTGACATCAATAACTGAAAGGAGTGGAGACAGGGATATAAAGAAGCAGAGTTTTTGTAAGTTATTGAAGTTAAACTGCTATAAATATAAATTAGAGTGTTATAACTTTAGGATGTTAAATGTAATCCCATGATAACCACAAAGATAATAAGCTATAGAATATACACAAAAACAAATGAGAAATAAATTTAAACATTTCATCACAAAATGCCAACTAAACATAAAAGGGCAGTAATGCAGGAATTGAGGAACAAAAAGTACTAAAGGGCACATAGGAAACAAATGGTAAAATGACAGAAGCCCCTCCTGATCATTCAAGACTTAATAAAGGAAGGAAATACGGACATATGCTACAGTATGGAAGAAACTTGGTGACATTGTGCTGAGTAAAATAAATCAGTTACAAACAAAAACAAATACTGTAGGATTCCACTTATATTAGATACTTAGAGTTATAAAAAGCATAGACACAAAAAGTAGAATGGTGGTTTCTGGGAGCTAGAGATAAGGAAGAATAGGTAATTATTGTTTAATGGGTAGAGTTACAGTTTTGCGAGATGACAAGATTTCTAGGTATGAAGGAGTGTTGATGCTTGTACAACAATATGAATGTACTTAATACCACTGAAATGTGCACTTAAAATCTTTAAGATGGTAAATTTTGTGCTATGAGTATTTTAGAACAATTAAAACAATGTTCTCATGAAAGAAACAGAAGAGGTGACTGAGTCAGTATTTGTATTTATGTACAGTATTTATTGGTATCTTGTTTTCTATGTGATAAGGATTCAAGTATGCTGCTAAAGATGGTGGGTTAGCTGAGATAGGGTATGATATAGATTAGAAGTCAAAATATATTGGTTTTAATTTCCTCTCTCTCTATGCTTAAATATGTAATCTCAGTTTTCCATTACAAATCAAGTTTTGATAGCCTCACTGCTTTGAGTGGATTCAACCTCCGTTGGTAGGACATTTTTTTTTTTTGGTACATAATATTGTCAGAACTACCTTGATTTTCCACAAAGAACATAGCATGATTGTTTGAAACCAGAATCTCCCCGAGAAATGTCCTTATGGTTCAAAAGTCGCTGTCTCAATCAACATCTCTAACACAGGATGCAATCAGCTCCTTCCAGGAAGCAGCATAAATGTTCTTGTTACCATTATATACTTATAAGGATAAGATTTTAGCTTGCTGAGACCTTTTCCTCATCTACACAATAAAATAACTGAACTAAATGATCTTAATTTTCTTCCAGCTTCCTATTTTTTTTAATGTATGAGATAAAACTTTTATGAAAGACAAATATGGTCTTTGTGTGAACTGAATAGTGTGAGAATGTCCAAACTATCACAATGAAAAAGTCCTAGAATCTATTTTATCAAGGTGAATTATGAAAAGTAAAAGAGAATAAAAACAAAAAAGACAGAGACAGACAGACTTATTGTAACTATTTAATATAAGGGCCTAGATCTCTTCCAGTGCTCTTTGTGAAATTTCATTACAGTGATCTGTAGTAAGTAGAAATGCCTTTCTTTTGTCATCTTTAATTGAAATTGAGTATGCAATTGAGAGCAAGGTAGCAGTTACTGGGGGTTCATTTAAATGTTAGTTCACAGAAAGTTAGGGGAAAAAGGAGATTATATTCTATAGCTGCAGAGACAGGTGACTGGATATAGGAATAAAGAGCAGTCAGTCTTTGGAACTTCAGCTGCATAATCTTGGGAAAATATCTAAACATCCCTGAATAGTAGTACTTACTGTGAGGATTAAATGAAGTAACAAATATAAAATGTCGGACAATTAGTGGGTCACTAACATACATTAACTCCCTTTTCTTCCCCTATATTATCAACAGTGTCTTCTCACGGGCATTTATTGCTAAATGATATATACAGAAAAATTTAAAATTTTTCTATCTTTCGGAAATTCACTATTTATTGGGCAAAGAGGACATAAGCAAAAGAAATAAACAATAACAAAAGATATGGAAGACAGCCTGTCAGTTTTATTTTATTGAATCCTGACTGAAATTTCCAGTATTTATTGAATAAATGAAAATGATTACATTGTACTAAGAAAATGTACAAACTCGATTGATATGATTAGTCTTGTATATTATGATAACACTAAACTCTGTGATCTGGGGGTAAGATAAAGAAAGAGAAAAAAAGTACTACAAGGGATGGATTCTGAGAGTCTAATCAAATTTTCTGTCCAAGAAATACTCTTTTATTCAACATTTACTATGCATTCCCAGTATCAAATATCATGCTTAACTGTAAAAGTACAAACACAAGATAAACTTAATTTAGTTTTCTTCTTAGATCTGAGAACAAGAAATTAGTGAGGAAAATGAATGAATGCATGAATGAGTAAATGAAGAAAAAGCCAAAGGAGAAGTTTCCAAAGCAGAAGCAAAGATAAACAGTTAAAACAGAAGAATAAGAGCATGTGTGAGTATGTATATTAATCATATTACACAATTAGTTGCCTAATGGATTTGGAAACTTGTTAAAGATTTATAACATTTATAAATATATTATAATAAATTTATAATATAAAATTATATTATAAATATATATTTATAATAAATTTAAATTGTAGGTCAATACATGCTTACTTTTATATTTGCATTTAAACTGTATTTACTATGTAAATAAGATATCACATATGACCCAGCATTACTCTGAGTGTTCACTTAATACAGCAGGCAATAAATATTCCCTTTTCAGATAGCCTAAAAGAAGGTATTAAAGAACAATGACAATAAACCAGAACAATGACAATAAACCAGGGTCAGATGTCCCCTCAACATGAAAATCCAAACATTTAAGGAATATTTGAGTTACTTTTAGTTGCAATTAGAAAATACAGGTAAAATTTTTTTTAGGAAAAACATGTTTCTTTCTTTATCAAGGACATGCTGAATTATTTGGTGTAATTTTTTTTTTTTTTTTTTGAGACAGTGTCTCAATCTGTCACCCAGGCTGGAGTGCAGTGGTGCAATTTCAGTTCACTGCAACCTCCACCTCCCAGGTTCAAACGATTCTCATGCCTCAGCCTCCAGAGTAGCTGAGACTACAGCTGTGCCACCATAGCTAGCTAATTTTTGTATTTTTTGGTAGAGACAGGATTTCACCATGTTGGCCATGCTGGTCTCTAACTCCTGACCTCAAGTGATCCGTCTGCTTCAGCTTCCCAAAATGCCGTGATTACAGGGGTGAGCCACCACGCCCAGCCTATTTGGTGTAAATTGTTACAAACATTTCTGAATAGAAACTTACCTGCGGAAATAGCTATCTAAAGATACTGAACAATTTTTTATATGTTTATTTCAAAAATGGCTTATTCCAGGGGTGAAATATAGTTGAGATTTCCCTAAAAAAGTGTAGTGAAAGTTTACATAATTCAGATGAATTAAACTGTCAACAATGAGATGAGATTAATTTTATATTTGATATTTAATAGATGTGATGTATATCCAGACTCTCCTTATTTTACTATTCTGGCCAGAGAGTTAATGACTTATAAGAAAAGACTGAAGTTTCATGATAACTTTATTCTTCATGTCCTTATAGGTAAATCCACCTTTTCACAAGAACCTTGCAATACATAAATATAAATGGTCAGACCTGGGCTTTAGAGGAAGTTCCCTCATACCAAATTCTGTAGGGACCCAGCCTTACTTATTTTTCCATTGAGACAGACTGTTCGCCAAGTCTATCACTGATGGGCATTTGAATTGATTCCATGTCTTGCTATTGTGAACAGTGCTGCAATGAACATACATGTGCATGTATCATTATAATAGAATGATTTATAATCCTTTGGGTATATACTCAGTATTGGGATTGCAGGGTCAAATGGTATTTCTGGTTCTAGGTCTTTGAGTAATCGCCACAGTGTCTTCCACAATGTTTGAACTAATTTACATTCCCATCAACAGTCTAAAAGTGTTCCTATTTCTCCATAGCCTTGCTAGCATCTGTTTCTTGACTTTTTAAGTGATCACCATTCCGACTGGCGTGAGATGGTATCTCATTGTGGTTTTGATTTGTATTTCTCTAATGATCAGTGATGTCAACATTTTTTTCAAATTATTTGAAACATAGTGTTTTCTGAAGACACATCTTCCTTGTCTATAAGAAGTTTGGAAATGAGAAAAAGAAACAGCATGACATTAAGAGAAAAAAAGCGGGTATAAATTAATCTAGGAGAAACTATTCATTTATACTTTCCCATGTATTAACCATATTGATGATGAAAAATGGATCATCACTATAGAACTCCTTTTTGAAGAAAATGGTAAAGAGGAGAACAAGACATCTGACTAGACCCAGCCAAGATACTCTTCTTCCATGGAGAGGAAACAAAATATTGAGTAAACTATCACACTTCAAAGAGATCTCTTGAGAGAAAACACTGAAAGTCAATACGGGCAACACAGGTACCATGGGTGAAGAAGGAGGACATTGGAAGGCCTGTTCAAAGTTGCAGGATGTGAGGACTGGTCCCCAGAAACCAAACCAGACCTAAGCAAGGGAGCATAACTGTGTACACATTGAAATACGAAAGACATGAGAGCACCTATGTAAAAGCCTACCTGCCAGCCCTTATTCTTACATACCATCTACTGGATTGAGCCTGAATTATCCCACAAAACAAAAACATACTGCTTCAACATGCAATACCAGTGAAACCTACCATGGGAACCTATCTACAACCAAGTAACTCATACAGAACCTTGGCCCTCTGAAAGCACCTGCAAATGAAGCCAATTGACTATACACAACATACATGTAAGTTAAACCTTTGAGGGAAAAGAGAATATAAAAACAAAGAAGTCCCATCCAAATGACAGCAAATTCATGAAGAAAAAGAAGCACCAGCTCCATCAGATAATGAGGAATCAGTTCAAGAACTCTAGCAATTCAAAGAGACAGAGTGTTTCATCATCTCCAAAGGAACACACTAGCTTTCTAGCAATGAACACTAACCAAATGACAATGTCTAAAATGACAGACATAGAATTCAGAAACTGGATGGCAAGGAAACTCAATGAGATCCAAAACAATGTTAAAATCCAATCCAGTGAAACAAGAATAATGATTCAAGATTTGAAAGATGACAAAGCTATATTAAGAAAGAACCAAACTGAACTTTTATAAATTGAAAAATGTATGACAGGAATTTCAAAATATAATTGGAAGCCTTAACAACAGACTAGACCAAGAAGAGGAAAGAATTTCGAAGCTCAATGGCCAATTTTTTCAATCAACGCAGTCACGCAAAAATAAAGAAAAATAATTAAAATAAAATGAATAAAGCCTCTGAGAAATATGGGATTATGCAAAGTGATCAAACACACAGCTCACTGGCATTCCAGGGAGACAGGAAGATTAAGCAACTTGGAAAACATATTTGAGGATATAGTCCATGAAAATTTCCCCAATCTTACAAGAGAGGTCAACATACAGATACAAGAAATTCAGGGAATTCCTGCAAGATACATACAAGATGATCATCTTCAAAACACATAGTCATCAGATTTTCCAAGGTCGGCATGAAAGAAAACATTTTAAAGGCAGCTAGAGACAAAAGTCATATCACCTTCAAAGTGAATCCTATCAGACAAATGTCAGACTCCTCTGCAGAAACCTTTCAAGCCAGAAGAGATCGTGAGCCTATTTTTAGTATTCTTATAAGAAACACCAAGCCAGAATTTCATATCCTGCCAAACTAAGCTTCATAAATGAAGGAGAAATAAATTTTTTTTCCAGAGTAACAATAGCTAAGGGAATTCACTACCACTGGACTGGTCTTATAACAGATGTTTAAGGGAGTTCTAAACATGAAAATAAAAGAATAATACTTGCCACTACAAAAAGACATGTATATAGCCCACAGGCCCTATGAAGCAACTACATAATCAAGAGTACAAAGCAAACTGCTAATAGCACCATGATAGAACGAAAATCTCTTATATCAATATTAACCTTGAATGTAAATAGTCTAAATGCTTCACTTAAAAGACAGAGTGACTAATTGGGTTTAAAACAAAACAAGAACCAACTTTCTGTTGCTTTCAACAGACCATCTCCCATGTAATGAGACACATAGGTTCAAAGTGAAGGGATGGAAAAAGATCTATCACACAAATGGAAAACGAAAAACAGCAGGGATTGCTATTCTTGTATCAAGTAAAATAGACTTTAAACCAGCAACAGTAAAAAAGGGCAAAGAAGGGCATTACATAATGATAAAGGGTTCAAGTCAACAAAAATACTAACTTTCCTAAATATACATGCACCCAACATTAGGGCACCCAATTACTTCTAGATGTAGGAAAAGACTTAGACAGCTACACAATAATAGTGGGGGACTTCAATACCCCACTGACAGCATTAGACAGACTGTGAAGGCAGAAAATTAACAAATGAATTCTGTTACTCAATTAAATGCAGCACTCAACCCATTAGATTTAATAGACATCTACAGAATACTCCACTCAACAACCAGAATATATACTCTTCTCATCTGCAGTCAAACATAATCTAAGATCAACCACAAGCTCAGTCGCAAGTCTCAATAAATTTTTAAAAAATCAAAATCATACCAAGCATCTTCTAAAACTATAGTGAAATAGAAATAGAAATCAATAGCCAGAGGAACTCTCAAAACCACCCAATTACATGGAAACTAAACAACTTGCTTCTAAATGACTAGTGTGTAAACAACAAAGTGAAGGCAGATATTTAAAAACTTCTTTGAAACAGATGAAAAATAGAGATACAGCATACTAAAACCTCTGGGATTTGACAAAAGTAGTCTTAAGAGGAAAGTTTATAGCACTAAACATCTACATCAGGAAGACAGAAAGATCTCAAATTAACAATCTAATATGACACATAAGGAACTAGAAAATCAAGAACAAATCAATCCAAAGGCTAGCAGAAGAAAAGAAATAACTAAAAATCAGAGCAGAACTAAAAGAAATTTAGACTCCCAAAATACCATACAAAGGATCAGTGAAAGGAAATGTTGGTTCCTTGAAAGAATAAACAAGATCAATAGGCTACTAAACTAATGAAGAACAAAAGAGAGAAGATCCAAATAAGCACAACCCCAGAGGACAATGGTGACATTACAACTGATCCCATAGAAATGCAAAAGACTCTCAGGGACTATTATGAACACCTCTGTGTGTACAAACTAGAAAATCTAGAGGAAATGGATAAATTCTTGGAAACACACAACTTCCTAGATTAAATCAGAAAGAATTTGAAACCTTGAACAGACCAGTAACCAGTTCTGAAGCTGAATCAATAATAAATACCTTACCAGGCAAAAGAGTCCCAGACCAGATGGATTCACAGTCAAATTCCACCTGACCTACAAAGAAGAACAGGTACCAATCCTACTGAAGCTATTCCAAAAAACTGCAGAGGAGGGACTCCTTTGTAATTGATTCTACAAAAGCAGTATCATCCTGATACCAAAAATCAGATGCAATGAAAAAAGAAAATTACAGCATAATATTCCTAATGAACACAGACACAAAAGTCCTCAACAAATTACTAGCAAACTGAGTCTAGTAGCACATTAAAATGTTAATCCATCGTGATCAGTAGGCTTTATTCCTGGGATGCAAGTTTGGTTCAACATACTCAAATCAATAAATGTGAACCACCACATAAACAGAATTAAAATAGAAACCATATGATCATCTCAATAGATGCAGAAAAAGCCTTTGATAAAATCCAACATCCTTTCATGATAAAACCTTCAACATACTAAGCAACAAAGGAATATTTGTGAAAATAATAAGAGCTGTCTATGACAAACCCACAGTCAACATCATACTGAACAGGCAAAACCTGCAAGCATTTCCCCTAAGGATTGGAACAGGATGAGGATTTCTAATCTCACCACTTCTATTTAACATCGTACTGGAATCCCCAGAGAGAGCAATCAGTTAATAGAATGAAATAAAAGGCATCCAAATAGGAAATGAAACAGTCAAATTATCTGTCTTAACTGATGATATGATTTTATCTAGAACCCCTAAGCCAAAAGGCAACTAGCCCAGATAAGTGACTTCAGTAAAATTTCAGGATACAAAGGCAACATACAAACATTAGTAGCATTTTTATACACTAATAGCATTCAAGCTGAGAGATAAATCAAGAATACAATCCTATTTACAATAGCTACAAAAATAAAATATCTAGGAATACATCTAACCAAGAAGATGCTGAAAGAAATTAGAGATGACACAAACAAATAAAAAATCATTTCATGCTCATGGATTGCAATAATCAATATTATTAAAATGTTCATACTGCACATAGCAATCCACAGATTCAACACCATTCCTATCAAAACACCAGCATCAATTTTCACAGAATTAGAAAGCCATTCTAAAATTCATATAGAAAATAATTCCAAATAGCCAAAGCAACCCTAAGCAAAAAGAATATAGCTAGAGGCATCAGATTATCCAACTTCAAACTATACTACAAGGCTACAGTAGCCCAAACAGCATGATAATGGTACAAAAATAGACACACAGATCAACGGAACAGAATAAAGAGCTCAGAAATAAAGCTGCACACCTACAGCTGACTGATCTTCAACAAAGTCAACAAAAATAAGCAATGAGGAAAGGACTCCGTATTCAATAAATGGCGTTGGGAGCATTGGCTAACCATATGCAGAAGAATGAAATTGTAGCCCTATTACTATATACAAAAAAAAATAAAAACTCAAGACAGCTTAGAGACTTAAATGTAAAACTTTAAACTATAAAAATCCTAGAAGAAAACCTAGGAAGTACTCTTCTAGATATTGGCATAGGCAAAGAATTTATGACTAAGTCCTCTAAAGCAATTGCAACAAAAGATATTTATAAGTGAGACCTAATTAAACTAAAGACCATTTGTCAAGCAAAATAAACTGCCAACAGAGTAAACAGACAACCTGCAGAATGGGGGCAAGTCTTTGCAAACTACACATCTGACAAGGAACTAATAGCCAGAATTTATAAAGAACTGAAAGAAATCAATAAGAAAAAAACAAGTTCATCAGAAAGTAGGCCAAAGACATGAACAGACACTTCTCAGAAAGAAGACATGCAAGTGGCCAGGAAACATATGAAAAAATGCTCCACTAATAATCAGAGAAATGCAAATCAAAACCACAATGAAATAACATCTCACACCAATCAGAATGGCTATTATTAAAAAGTCAAAAAATAACAGATGTTGGTGAGACTGTGGAGAAAAGGGAACACACAGACACTGTTGGTAGAAATGTAAATTAGTTCAGCCCCTGTGGAAAGAAATTTGGACATTTTTCAAAGGAGTAAAAACAGGTTCAGGGGCAGTGGCTCACATCTGTAATCTCAGCACTTTGAGAGGCTGAGGTGGATGGATCACCTGAAGTCAGGAGTTTGAGACCAGCCTGGCCAACATGGTGAAAACCCATCTCTATTAAATATATGAAAATTAGCTGGGTATGGTGGCTCACACCTGTAGTCCCAAGCTACTTGGGAGGCTGAGGCATGAGAGTTGCGTGAACCCAGGAGGTGGAGGTTGCAGTGAGCTGAGATCATGCCACTGCACTCCAGCTTGGGCAACAGAGTGATACTCAGTCTCAAACAAGAACAACAACAACAACAACAAAAACAACAACAACAGAACTATCATTTGACCCAGCAATCTCATTACTCGGTATATACCAAAAGGAAAATAAATCTTTCTACCAAAAAGACACCCATACTTGTATGTTTATCACTGCACTACTCACAGTGGCAGACATGGAATCAACTTAGGTTGATTCAGTGGTGAACTGGATAAAGGAAATGTGATACATGTATACCATGGAATACTATGCAACCATAAAAAGGAACAAATTATGTCATTTACAGCGACATGAATGCATCTGGAGGCCATAATCCTAAGTGAATTAACACAGAAACAGAAAACCATATATTAGATGTTCTTACTTGTAAGTGGGAGCTAAACCTTTGGTACACGTGAACATAAAGATGGGAACAATAGAGTCTCCAAAATGGAGAGAAGGAATGTGAGCAAGGGCTGAAACACTGCCTATTGGGTGCTATGTTCACTATCTGGGTGACAGAATTAATAGAAGTCCAAACCTCAGCATCATGCAAAATACTCTTAACAATAAACCTGCAAAAGTACCCCCCGAATCTATTATAAAAATAAAATTTAACAAAAATAAATTTTTGAAAGTGATTTTAGAGAGAATACATATTGAACTTAAATTTAGAAATTTTCTGAAACGAAGATTATATATGGAATGTTCCATTTCCCAGTTTCTCCTCCTCCTTTACTATTAAAAGTCAATTTAAGTGTATTTCTACCCTTTTGAAAACAATTTGAGTTGAGAGAAATTGCACCATATGCTCTGCTTATCCATGCAGTGTAAAGCAAAGTGCTGAGCAATTATATGGTGGATTTGATCAGTTTTGACAGCCAGTCTTGAAACTCAAGCCAGAATCCCCTGCTCTTTCTTCCACAGCAGGTTTGGGGACTGAATTATATGACTAATCAAAGCGAATTTCTGCTTTACTTCGGCAATGGCTCACAAATTCTGCACGTGCAAATGACTTTGCTGATCAGCTTTAACAATCTGTGTCATTTTACAACTTCTATACCAGAATATACAATCAAAAGAATAATGAATAGAAATATTTAAGTTCCACTTGAAATCCTTTGAATTGTCTTTTACCAAAGTCATCCTGGAATGTTAACTTTTCACAATTCCTCCACCTTGTATTCACCACGTAGAATATTTGATTAGGGAATCCTAGTAAAATGTATAATCTGATCAATACAAATTAGTTCAAGAACTCTCTTCATTCTTTGCTTGAAACATGTCAAGGAGTCATGTGGACTAACTGGATCATTTCCATAATTATACAAGAGATATATGCCATTCACATTGACAGTATACCCATACAGTAATCTACTAGTGAAAATGAGGTGCTCTAAATAAGGCCATTAACATTAAATAGCCACTGCTTCTACAATAGTGAAACCTGAGTTACTATCTACAGAGCCTACAAAGAGGTGTGCCACTAACTTTGGACACTCATGAGGGAAAAGCAATCTTTTAAAAATTTCATAATATGTAATGATCGTTTAAACTTAGTGATAAATGCACATGCAAGAGAAGGATGTGAGCTCACATCTGAGATGACAATAAATTAACTTTAGGGCAATTTAGATTTCATAGCACATTATGGAGTAGTGTCAGCAGACCACAGACGCACACCCCACGAGGAGCCTTAAAAGACATCTGTGAGGAAGGAAAAATACTGTTTACATTTAAAATGTTATATAATGATGAAATGTCGACCACTCTTAGATGAATGTTTCAAATATTGGCAAAAAAAGAAAAACTTTACATATACTTTTTCTTTTTTCACTCAATATTAATGATAGGCAAAAAGTTCTAGCTCATATATACTCATGCAACAACTAAATAGAGAAATGGACACAATAATGAGCTAGAGGTAAAGAGAGAAGAGTGAGGTCTTGAACTTATTACATAATGGAGAATGAGAGATAATATTAAATGGTAGCTTTATTGATAATGCATTCTTCTGATTTTGAAGCAAAATTGAATTCAAATATGCTTATGTTAAATCTTATAGGATGTCACAAATAATTTCTTCGTTTCTGTTTTTATTATAATTTCTACGATGTCCATTGCCAGAGAATGACAGGAATCATGTCAAGACCATCAACCATGAGAACTTGTGTTTCACTGCCTCAGGGCCTATAGGCCATTGTTTAGCCATATTTGGATCTTTACTATGACTCTTATAATCCAAGTTCTCCAGGTAAATTAAAAAATCACACAATATGTATTTTAATACATCACTCAGGGAATCCGCAGAACAGCTGGGCTTTTTAAAAACCTAGTATTGTAGATAATTTAATAACCACTGTTTTAAGAAGTTACAGTTTAAAGAGAAAGAGGGGAAACAAAAGACAAAAGGAATCTATGTGGGAGAAAACAATTTAGACACTGTCTATCTTATAGGTTGACAAATATTGCAGAAGACAAACATATCTGTGTAAAACACTTTGAAAATGCTTTCTTTTGCTCATGGAGTATATGATTCCCCTACCCCTCCACACTAAATAAATTACTTTGTTGCTTGTTTGTTTACGCTGATATTTAAACTGAGCAGATGCCATATGTTTTCATCCTTTTATTTATTCTTTAGTCCTCAATAAATATTTGTGAGATAAATGAAATAAATAACATCTTTCAGTCTCTTAGCAGAAAAAATTCTGTTAAAATAGTACTAATTGTATGATTGCTTGACAGTCTAATGATTTTTTTCTGTAAGATTTCCAACATGACTTTTAAATTATTAATATGCTCTATGACTGATCATATTTTGCAAAGTAAGCCAGGCGAATGACAGGGTTATCATCCCCATGGATATGTTGAGAGCCATGGTCATAATCTCCTTCCTTTCTTAGCTTGTACTCTAGAAAGTCAGTCAGTTGGAAATACATCCTCATTTAATCAGGGATTATTTCAAACCTCATGTAAACAAATGTTGTATGGAAATAAAAGTAAAATTATTCCTTTCTTTTTTTTTTATATATTTTCTTTTTCACTGTTGAAATAGTTTTAGGGTTTGGATGAGAATAAAGAGAGTAAGTATGCCGGGCGCGGTGGCTCACACCTGTAATCCCAGCATGTTGGAAGGCCGAGGCAGGCAGATCACGAAGTCAGGAGATCGAGACCATCCTGGCTAACATGGTGAAACCCCGTCCCTACTAAAAATACAAAAAATTAGCCGGGCATGGTGGCAGGTGCCTGTAGTCCCAGCTACTTGGAGGATGAGGCAGGAGAATGACGTAAACCCGGGAGGCGGAGCTTGCAGTGAGCCGAGATGGCGCCACTGCACTCCAGCCTGGGTGACAGAGTGAGACTCCGTCTCAAAAAAAAAAAAAAAAAAAAAAAAAAGAAAAAAAGCAGTAAGTAAAGCATTGAGTAAATGTAGGAAACAAAGACCACAGAAGGCATAAAGGAATAAGGAGGTATTGAGAGGAGAAACCAAAGGGAAAAAGCAAAGAGGGAAAGGAAAGAGATAGCAAATGATTTTACACAGTTCCACATGTATATTCTTGCCTAATAAGCAATTTCTTTTTATACAATATTCTCTCTGTAATACCCTAAGTATTATTATGCATCAACTTTTAAAATGAGATTTCATTAATTTATAAAATTACTAACCTTCTTTAGTACAATTGATCTGGGCTTCATCACTGAAGTCCCCACAGTCATTGTCACCATCACAGGCCCAGTGGCCTGGGATGCATCTGCCACTGGAACATCTGAACTGATTATCAAAGCAAGAGTGAACACAGCCCACCTCATCACTCCCGTCCCCACAGTCGTCATCTGGAAAGAAACATCAACATGAGGCAGTGAAATCTGAACCATGAAGAAATTTTTTCTTATGAAATATCTAACTGGTTTCTGTTGTTGTTGTTGTTTTTTGAGACAGAGTCTTGCTCTGTCACCCAACCTGTAGTGCAGTGGCACTATCTCGGCTCACTGCAACTTTCACCTCCTGGGGCTCAAATGATACTCCCACTCCAGCCTCCCAAGTAAGTGGGACCACAGATGTATGTCACCACACCCAGCTAATTTGTTTTGTATTTCTTTAGTAAAGATGGGGTTTCGCCATGTGTTGGCCAGGCTGGTATCAAACTCTTGGCCTCAAGCAATCCACCCTCCTCGGCCTCCCAAAATACTGGGGTTATAGACGTGAGCCACTGTGCCCGGCCCTTTGATTTATTTATTTATTTCCTATATAAAGTTGTTTTTTTTTTTTGAAAAATGAATGATAATTGAATCAGTGGAACAACATTGCTGATAAACAGTGGAAGAATTATTTTCATCTTCATATTGCTTCTCCTTTGATTTAATATCAACTGCTAAACTGAGAGAAAAAAATCCTTGACTTTGGATTTTGAAGCTTAATTTCTGTTCCACACAGAAATAACTAACCACTGACTGAATTCATCTATGCACCACGAAACAAGGAGGCAATGGTGACTGTAGGAATTTCATGAAATGATACAACCAATAATATAATTATTGTGGAAGATTATTACTTAAACCTATAGTTCTCATGTCCCATAGTTTATAATTCTATCTTCAATATCCTCCCTTTTTCCCCATTCTCCAACATGAGAACCCACTCTTTACCCCTCCTCCTTGGCTCCTCTGTATATATTTGTACTTGGAAACTGTTGTACAGTATCATTAGAAATGATTTATATTCTTTATTAACAACCATTTCGGGAGGGAGGGGAGAGAGCTGTGAAGGAAAATTAGATCAAATTAAAATAAATGGCTGGGAATGCATTGATTCCTATATAATTAATTTACCTGTATTTGGCATAATTTAGCATAGTAATACAATTGAATATGAGAATAAAATACCATTTGAACATAAGAGGAAACTGACAGAGTTGAGACTATCTGGGTAATTTCATAGCAATGTATAAGCTTCTCCTCCTGAGGTTACACGCATGTTTTATGGAACCCGAGATGTCCAGGTTATTTTCTCAATTGTCCACTTTACTACATGTTTGTAGAATTAGACTATGTCCAACATAACATTTGAAAACAAATCTCTATCACACACCCATGGGGCAAATATTGAGTTCCATTATCTTTAATGCTAATTCCCACTGATGTGCTGCTAGCTGCCCGCTCACCACTTGTTTTAGCCGTTTTTCTTGGCTCTGCAAGATTCCCCTACAAAGTACCTCTGAAGAAAGCCAGGCAGTCCAGACCGCCAAGCCCCCGATCAAATTAGTGCTATACAGTGAGCATTTGGTACTTGCCAGAGTCGCAGTGCCATTTGCTGCTAATGCATCTTCCACTTTTGCATACGAATTGGGTTAGTGGCTCACAAGTTGGGAATTCTGTGAAAGATATAAAAATGTCCAAAAGGTAACATGTTATTGACTGTGCATGACATAATTCGTATCATCTGATAATGTGATCAGAACTCCTTCCCTGTTCTCTACAAAGGCACAGAGGAAATGGCAGATAAACAAATACAGTGACTATAACTTCTTGAGGACATAGGACACACATACTTTTAATATACTTTAAATGAGTGCTTTCCAGTGACTGAAAGCCTAGGAGAATTATTTTATGAAGGATCATTTGGATTCATTATACTGCTAGAAAAATGAATAGATGTCAACTCCATGCACCAAGGGACTCAACATTCACTCAGTGGATAACAGCTATTGGAGCTGTACACTCTGGAGCTGCAAAGTAATGTGTTTATGCTTTAATAGTGGAAGGCCTTTTCTGAATACAGAGAGCCAAAGATGAAAAGTCAGATCTCACTCTGCGTCTGAAAGATGTTAACATTATATGGTGAAAGTTAAAAAAAAAATAAACACAATAAAATCATTTAGGTAAGCCAGTATCACCTAGTTACAAAGAAAAGTATGAAATCTTAGTCTACGAAAAAGAACAAAACAACAACAACAAAAAAAACAAAAAACCGAAAAAAAAATAGCAAAGAATTAGATTTCAAGATGAATTTTACATAATTAAATCAAGAGACCTCCTTACTAACCTTTAGATAATTACAACAGAAAGGCATATAATTAGCATAGAAAAAGAGTTTGAAAAAGAGATAATTAGCCAATTTGAATATCAATAAATCTAAAAGACAACACTGTCATAATAAAATCTGATAATCAAGGTGAATAGCCAAAAAAGAGGGGTAACAGTAGTCAGAGAAAAATATAATTGCTGAACACTTTATCCAAGGAATTTAGAATTGCTTACTAATATGTCCCAGGAGAAAGTTTTATTTTCTCTAATTCATACATGGTGAAAGTTATTCACCTAGAGTTTATTTAAGTTGCTCAATATCAGACCTTTAAGCTCAGGAGAATATGGATAGCATTACAAATCTTCACACACAAGAGCTCCTTTAAAAGATATTTAAAGAAGAAAAATAAGAAATAAGAAACTCTATCAGTTTAATTACATAAAGATAGAAAAAACTGATATACTGAAATAGACCTATGGTCCATATTCTTTTTGTTTGTTTGTTTGTTTGTTTTTGATATGGAGTCTCACTCTGTGGCTCAGGCTGGAGTGCAGTGGCGAGATCCAGACTAATTGAAACCTCTGCCTCCTGGGTTCAAGCGATTCTCCTGCCTCAGCTTCCCAAGTAGCTGGGACTATAGGTGCGCACCACCATGCAGGCTAATTTTTTGTATTTTTAGTAGAGACGGTGTTTCACCATGTTAGCCAGGATGGTCTCGATCTCCTGACCTTGTGATCCACATGCCTCAGTCTCTCAAAGTGCTGGGATTACAGGCGTGAGCCACTGCGCCTGGCCCATATTCTTTAATTGTTCTTGTGACAGCGGAAGCCAATGACATTTTGTGACTAATATTTGTTTTTCCATTTAAGACCACTGACACAGAATCATAGAATATATTTGAGGGAAGACAACGCAGAGAATATTTGTAAAATATTTGTAAATATTTTCAAATTGTATTCTCTGCATTGTCTCAGGGCTGTCAAGAACAACTGATGGCTGAACAGGCTTGACTTTGGCTATTCAAACTTCTCCAGCCAAATCTATTCACATGTTACTCATCAATCAATCAGTCATTTCAATTTTGTAGTTTTGAGCACTATTTTATTTTGGAGAAAAATATATGAATAACAAAAATATATTTCTCTGCTTAAAAAATGGACTAATTATGTCCAATCATTTTAGCTATAAGGCAACTGAAACTGAGAGAAATTAGACTTGCCTAATGATACATGTATCTCCTTAAGGAAAAACAGGTCTTAGAATTCATTTCATGAAGCTCCCCATCCAGCACTCTTTGTACTACACTCTATTACCAATTTCCTATCTCACTTTCCCTTACCATCCATGAATGTACCTAAACCGTTATTTTAATCTCCTCATATTGTTAGCATATATTCAGCATAAGGTTTAAACATTTCTCATACATTGTTTCATTTTGCAAAGGAGTACTTTCTTGTGTTTATCAGAAATGTGTCTCTAAATATTTCCACTATTTTAGGATTCAGTTAACAAGATTTTGTTCATGTCAGCCACTCCTTCGTAAGTTTCTTCTCTTTGTTGCCTAACAAGATAGTGAGAACTCACATTTATGTTTCAAGAATCAGCACGAACGTTGTCCGAAATATGCTTTTGTCCTTAGATAGATAATAACTGTTTAGTGGATGTACTGCAGTGTAGAAGATGTACTGTAGACAAGAATCAAGGCATTTAAACAGAGAATCAACTCAAGTTTTGGTTCAAATGAGTAAACAATAAAATGGGGACTCAGATATGATGAGATCTAATCTTTAAAAATAACATTACATCTTTTTTGACTCTATAATAAGCTAATTTAAATTTTATCTCTCTTCTATAAACTTAGGAGCATATTAATCAATATTCTAAGTTTTGCTAAGAAAAAAATAAATCATCCTAAGCATCTGAAAACTTTTGAAACTGATGATACTTCATCGGTTGGGAAATTTTCCATGTAAATTTTAAAATTATTTCCAACTGTTAGATTTTAACACTAAAAAACAGTCAAAAAATAAAGTGGAAATTAGCTCTGAATATATAAAAAAAGTTATCAAACTAAATTTAAAAATCTAATATTCAGTACATTCAACCTCTAAGAAAATGAGACATTAACCTTCTGCCCACACTGAATAAAACATAAACACATATAATGTAAACGTGTGCTTTAACAATTATATATCATATGTGATTAATTTTTTAATGATAGTTACATCATGTCTCTTGTTGTTAACCTTATAGTCCAACTTAGCTTATGGAGAAAAATTACTGTAGAGAAAAACATTGGGAACTAGAATAAGGCTGAAGGGAAATCACTGAAGAGAGTAATTATTTAAAGAGAGACATGTACAGGAGGAAAGTTATTAATGTTTCATTTCTGTTTCATTCTCAAAGTACTATGACTGAGTAAATCACTCAGCTTCTCTGGTTTCAGACTTCTGGTTTATAATCTTATCTCTTGGGTCCTATAAGTCCTAGAGATCAAGAAGTCAGAAGAGATATCATCTAGAAATGCATAATACCCTGAAAGCATTTAATGTAGCAAAAAGTAGGATTCACCACTTGAATAACTCCCGGGGTTTTCACAGCATTATAATAAATTACCATAATTGATTATTGTGTTTTAAAAACCTCTTAAAATAAATTTAACATTTTTCCTGTTCTTTCATATTAGTGTTAATTTAAAAGTTGAAAATAGCATCTGAATATATGGGTTTATTTCTGGATACCTGCTCTGTTAAAATGTCATTACGAATTCTTATATTTGACAAAGATTTAAATATTACACACAATTTTTTATTTCTTGACTTTGCATAAAAATTCTTTGACTTTGGATACAAATTGCAGGACACTTGCAAGAATTACCTGATTAACTCTGAAAAAGAGAAAAATTATGAACAAAAATGGCTTACATGTCATCAAGTTACAATTATAGAAAGGAAAAGAAAACTATATTTTATCTTGGTAGTTACTTAAACCTCATAGAATATTTAATATGGATTAATGGACTGTTAAAAATCTTCTATTATTACAGGTAGTATGCTCAATTTACCTATTATATGTTTCACTTAAAATTTATTGTCAGGTTATAGGTAAGCTATTATATAAATGGCTACAATTGTCTTTCTCTCAAGGGTAATCGTGATTGGTATGGTACTTATATTTAACCAGTATACAAAGCTTAGAGGAATGTCTCCCAGGAAGGTAGATTTCAAATCTAATTCAGGCTTCTTTCCTGTCTCTGACCTAGGAATTTTCCTTATTCCTCCTCCTTGCCCCCCAAAATAATATTTTTAAGTAATTTGTTAATAAAGTCTCAAAACCTATGCCATAGGTATGTTTGAGATCATGTAACACATGAGCTATATAGATAAATTTATCCTTCAAAATTATGTATGTGGAAATTGCATAGAAGATTCAAGTTAAAATTAATGACAAGATAAGAATATTGTACGAGTCCAGATTTAGGAAAGTATTATCTTCACCTGAAAAAGACAATAATAAACACATTACCTATTATTTATTGAATATATGATACTAGGCTAGCTGTAGATATATTACCAATACACTGATACTCTTGACAATATCCCTGCAATTGTTAACACTAACACCAATTTGCAGAAGAAAACAGTATATCCTGCCTAAGGACATATCACATAAATAGCAAGTGGCAGTAAAGTTTGAATACAACACTCTGATCAATGCCAAAATACATTATTTTTTTCACTATACCATGCTGATTATACTAATACTTTTGAAAGAGTATTTATAGCTTAGAAAGATTTGGGAAGGAATTAAAAATTTAATTCTTCATTCTGTAGTTTACATCTAACATTTAAACTTCAATTCTAATTTTTACCTACCTTATGGTACATAATTAAATATTCTTATGAAAAGTGGTGCTTTTAAAGATTACACATTCACTAGATTCACTGAGAAAATACATTACATTTCTAGATATTGACACTAGTTGTGGCTCCCAAGAATTGGTACTTATATAGGACAGACTTCAAATGATCCAATAGAGTAAATGCATTTTGGAGAAAACGATATGAGAGTAGTGTACCACAAATTGTCATCGTTTTGCCACTCTTTCCTTGCTGTCACATAACAATCTCATTTTATATACCAAGTATAATGCCACATACAAAAAACAAGGCTTTGCGGGCAGGTAAATGTGGGTTCAAATCCTGACTGTATTGCCAATTAATGTGTGATATTGGGTAGTTACCTAACATCTCTGAACAGAGGTCTGTGATTTGCAAAATGGAAGAAAATATCACTGAAATATTTTATTGGTTCAAGATATTTAACTGAGAATTTTATATCAGATAGAGTTCTAGGCCTTAGAAATATACCACCCAGAGTGAATGAATGAGTGAGTGAATGAAAGAGTGCTAGGCACTAGGAATACAATATTGAGTATTCTCATTTTTCAGAGTGCTTACAATCTACTAGGGAAGACATTTGGAATACAATTAAGTGATTTTAATAAATATCTGATAGATGTTATTTTATAGGCAATGTAATGTGTTATTATAGTACACAGCAGAAGTAGCCAAACTAATCTCGGCTATTTATGTATTGCTTCCCAGAGAAAGGGATATAAAACTGATATGAATAATATGTTTGAATTAAGGCACATGAACAAGAGGAGAAGGAGTGCTTCTACAATGTTCCAAAGAAAGAGACAGATTCATGACGGCCCGGAAGTGAGGGTATATACAATGTTTGAGAAAATGAAAGAATTTTAGAAAGGTTGCAATAAGGTATAAGATAGAAGTAGTGAAATAGGCTTGCAAGACAGAGTTGGAAATGATCACTATTTAAATGACAAAGTATTAGAAAGTCAAAGAGAACACCTAGGAAGTACATATACAATGAGACTAAAAGAAGTGCAAGGAAAAAATATTGAATAGTTCTGACAATATGGCAGACAATCAGGAATGTTAGGTAAAATAACAGCCAAATATTTCAATATATAGGTAAATGTATACAAAGAATATAAATTTTCAGAGTCCAGAAATAAAAGGGGTCCTAAAAACTAGAATTGTGAGTGAATGATATATAAAAACGTTGCCTGTGCATGCATGTGTAGTTTTGCCTCCAAAGGCAGTAAAAGAAAGCTGGTTCTGTAATCTATCTAGATGCCTGGGTTTTAATGTCAATCTGGGACAGGAGAGAATTCTCTAGTTCTACAAAAGATGCCAACATAAGCTAGGACCTTCAAAGTCTAAACTCTAAGTACAAGGGTGAGTTAGATAATATCTCCTCCTAGTAGAAAGAGATATCTCAGCCTAGACTGTGAGAGGGGAAAAAAGTCCCCTTGAAAATAGATGATCACAAGGCTATAATCAGTCACGAGCTCTACTTCCTGTAATTCAGAAATCTTAAGTTGAAAAATTCAAATAAAAATTAATCCAGGCCATGTAATAATATTTCAGAACAGTGACAGGGTGCTCAGGAAAGACATCACCCAAGAAAGTCTTCCTAAAATTTCCACATGGGACAAAAAAAATTAAACTTACCAATAATAATAATTATAAAATAATTAAAATCTGGTGACTAAAATTCAGCAGACCTAACAAACAACAGGATTAGATCCAGAATATCTTTAGATATTTTTAAAAAATCTATCTGTAGAGGCTATAGATTGAAATCTGATAGGGAATATAAAATAGGTAAGTCAAAATGTATTTAAAAGGTAAGGACAAAAATAAAAACCATGTAAAAAGACACACAGATAAAATAGGCAGATTTGAAAAGCAACCAAATAGGACATTCAGAAATGAAAACTGTAGTTTTGGAATTACAAACCGCATGAACAAGTTAAATTACAAATTAGTACACTTGAAGAGAGAATTACTAAACTGGAAGATCTGAAGAAATCACCATAGTTGCAGCTCAGAGTTTAAGAACAATATAAAAGAGAAATCATGAAGGACAGAATCTAACAAACTAATAGTTGTTAAAACAGGAAGGAGAGAAAATCAGGATAGCAAGCAATATTTAAGAAGACAATTTCTTAAAATGTCCCAGAATTTAAGGAGACATGACTTTAGATTCAGGAAGCAAAATCTATTTTGAAATAAGTAAAAATAAATTCACATAAACACCGTAGTGAAACATCAGGATCTCAAGAACACATGTATAAAACCTGAATTAACCTGCAACAATTTTAAATGTTAAACCTGGAGTGAGAAATTTACCCACCACCCCCACTGAAAAAATAAAAAGTGAGAACATTTTAGAAAATAATTTACCCACCCTCTCAAAGAAAACAGTGAACGTATATATGAGGGTTAGGTAGAGACAGAGGAACCAGAAAAATATAAGAGGGAAATCAAGAAATATCAGTCACTAAAGGCAAGAGAAGTGTTTGAAGGAGAAGGACAGCAGTGTTCAGCGCTGCTCAGATAAGTTAGATACAAACTTGAAGTGTGCTGCTCAGATTTTTTTTTTTTTTTGTAAGTCTATTGAGCTTGTCAAAGACAGTTTTGGTGGAATGGTTTAAGGGGAAAATAAATTTCCAGTATTAGTAGACTGAGTGGAAGATGGATACATAAAGTTTTATGCAACTTTTCCAGGAAATCTGAATGTGAAGAATGTAAGAATTAATGTGATCCTTAACGAGAGATACAGGATTAGAAGAGAGTTATATTGGTGGTAATCTTTCTTTAAGAGGGAAAATGTTGAACATACATACATAAATATTGATAGGAAGAAACTAGTTGACTGAAAAACTGAATAGGAGATTCAAGTTGCATTTTCTGTTTTTTTAATACATTTTAGCACAACAGAAAAATCTTCCAAGTCAAAGAATAAACTCATATCTAACAATGATAATTCTCCCTGGCAATTAAAATAATTACTACTAAAATGAATGTAGGTTTAATGTAGTCCTAAAGTTAATAATTAAACAATGAATTTAGATTTTTTATCCCAAGAAGTAATTAAGAAAATAATAAATTTGATAACTTAGAAATGCCAAATAACATGTGACAGATAAAATCAACAATGATTAATTTATCTATAATTTATATTAAAACTCAAAATACATGTGAAGTATCTCAAGTAAATTAATTTGGTTATATATTTTAAGACTTTACTTCAGGAAATTTCAGCCTTTTATTTTTAGTGTGCCTACAACACTACAACTTCCAAGAGAAAAGGAGTAAGACAAATTATATTTCACAGTGACAACCTTTTAAAACTACAGAAATTTCAAAAATGCATCATTATGTTATGTGGCATTTCATTGTTTTTCTCTCATTCAAATTCATACACTGCAATTATTCACTATAGCAGTATATAAGCACAAGGAATAGACACTTCAGGGCCCTGAAGTAGTAGTGAGGTTGCCTGGGGTACTTTTCGTTCAGTTTCATTTTTGCTACTTTTAAAAGTAGCATATTATTAAAATGAGTAATTTTTTTATCAATTTGCTTATACACATTGACTTTCCACTGAAAATAATACACCTTGAGATTCCTTGTTCCTAGCTCTGTGGTTGATGTCCATTTATAATTCTGATATCTTGACTCTGCTCAGGCTACCCAGGCAATTGCCTTTTATTTTTCATAAAAGGAAAGCAAAGCACTCAGGGAAAGAGAAGCAAATGACACTTCAAATGGATCAGACTTAACTTTGATAATACCCAAAATAGACAGCTTTGGTTATTACATCAATACTGGATCAAGATACGATTATAAATGGTTTCTAAGAATTCACTCTTATTTATTCTAGTTATAGATCTTTCTCCCAACATGTAAAAAACAACATAAAATTTCCCAAGAAATCAAATTATCAGTGAGCTTCACACTGCCAGATCCTGATTGCAAATGAGAAATCACAGTGTCATTAAGTGTGAAGCGTTAGATGTCACTAAAACTAGCACATTTTAAAAACGTTTCCTGACACAGGAAACATAAAAATCACTAAATAGAAAGAACGTTAAAAAAAGAAGCATGCACTCAATGAAAGGGGACCTACGAGAATTATCAGGGTTAAATGCAAGTGTAAGGCAGTATTACTAAACCTAGTCATGCCTGATAGCTCACACATGTTTACCAGTGTACATTTATAGTTAAAAGTACTTTGTCCTTATTTGTGAGCACTCACCTCTAAAAGTAAGATGTCCTAATATTTTATTGAACTCCAATATATGATTATTTACATATGAAATTATACACATCTGATACTATGGTCAATATTCAAAGATCTATTTAAAACATCTAGCAAGATTCAGAATTGAAAATCATTGTAAATTATTTAATGTGAAATTACATGACATGTAAACCAATATTTTAAATGATCTTACAGAATAAGATCAGCCTGACATTAACCTATTAATGGAATTAAAGAACAAAGGAGAGGGTAGTACTACTAACTAATAAAGAAGTTGTAGTTAATACAATTAACTACTCAAACACTGTATTTGGTGGTTTTGTGTTCTCTATTTAATCCTCATGCCAACAATATGAGATAGATTTTATGTTTGCCAATTTACATATAAACAAGTAAATACATTTCAGGAAAACTACCTTATGTTTTTACATTATCCTTAAGCAGGCAAAATATCAATAAGGATACATAGGATAGTAACAACAAAATTAATAGGCTTGATCAATATCACCTATCAATCCATCAATCTATCCTTCTATTTGTCAAAAGAAATTTACCACTATCAAATTTTAAAATATATACATTTTTCTTGTGTTCACAAAGGAATTCCATAAAAGCAATCATTTCCTAGGTCACAAAGCAGTCGCAATAGCTTCCAAAGAAAGAATATCACACAGACTTTTTCTCCTACCACAATGAAATAAAATCAAAATCACCCTTTATCTGAACATAAGGAAAACACAAATGATTGACATATATTCTTCCACACACAAATATTTAAAAAGAAAGAGTTACTAAAACACAAGCAATATTTTCATAAATAATTTTTGTTGTATATCACTTCCTAATGTCTTTATTAAAAATTAGAAATTTGACTATTTTTTGGTACTCCACACAATTTTTTTTCCATTTTCTCAATATAGTGTCACAGCTTTTAATTATACCATGAGGTAAGCATGTTTACATTATTGTTATCACAATATAATATTATTTTCTATAAAGCTGTGTAGTACATTTCTTTACTTGTACTTTTAATTTAAAGCTTTTAAAACTTTAAAACTTATAACTTAAATTATGTTCTAGTCAAGAGGAAGTCAAGAGAGGAGTATAATTTTCAGAAACCAAGAAATGGCACTTAAACATACTACCTTATATGCAAGTAGAGGTAATAACCAGGAAACTTGGCTAAGAGTTAAAAATACTTGCCACTGGCAATTATACAAAAGGTGTAGAATGATTACTATCTACTATTGTACTATTATACTATCTACTATTTTTTGTTGTTGTAAGCACCTATGTATTATCCGACTTTCTTTAGCTAAATGTATCTACATCAGTTTTAAAAATAGCAATAGAAATTGAATAGAGAATGGGTATGCACTGAACCTAGAATTTCAGAACCTGTAAGGATTCAGTGCTACTGTATAAGAATTTACATATACAAAAGCAGAGGAAAAGTATAAATTATTCACTTAAAAGAATGTAGCGATCTTCAGAAAATTCACATATAAGCACATCATGTAGAATTGTCATCTCCTTATTGAGGTTTTGCACACCACAACCACTATCCCCCATGCAACCTTCTAGAGCAGAAACTTTGCCTTTTTCCCCTGAGACCCAGTATCTAGAACACAGTGGCTAAAAACACCAGAGCAGGTCTAATGTGGACTCATATGAAAATAACATTGTAAAAAATATTTAGAGAATACATCAATAAAACACGATAGTGTTTTAAAACTTTAGAAGTTTTTAGTGTTTGATAGTGTTTTAAAACTTTAAACCCTATAGTGTTTAAGCTACGGTGTTCTGTAGCTTCTTCTCTGAAGAGGAGGTTGGCTCCAGACAACTCACAGAAGTTACACCACGACTGCCTTCCTGGCAGGGTACAGAAGGTCCTGATTTCACTCACCTCAGGCCTGCTCAAATTCTAGAAAGATTTCATCAAAGCAATGAGCAGCCACCAGTGATTCAAATATGGACATCTTCTCTACTGTGCGGGATATCAAACTACACAATGCTGTGCTTCTGGGATGTGCAGCAGTGGAAAGGTGTTTTTGTGTTGTTATTTATTTCATTTCGTTTTGTTTTTTGGTAGTTAGATGTGGTCATATTGCCAATGACTGAAAGGAACAAGAGAGAGAAAATGCTGCTATGGCTACACAGCAAATTTTAGCTCATGTCTGAGACTCTGCATCCAAGCAGAGGAGTCACTGTTGTAGGAAAACTGGACCCTTTAAAAAAACGCTGCAGGGAAATACAGAGGTAGGTTTAGACCTTACATATGCTGTAATGAAATATTTTGACATCAATGACAAAATGTTACAGTGGCAGAAATTATTTACTGACGTATTGGTTACATCTTAGGCAAAGATGCATATAGCTTCTGTTTTTAAAACCCCAACTTGGCATGATAGAAATGTTTCCTGGATCAATATAGGACTTCAACTGAACACCTTTCAAAATAATAAATTTAATATTAACCAATAAAGGATTTCAGAAATGTTGCTGTTTTCTGAAATAATTTCAATTGAAAAAAAAAACATATATTCCCACTTGAGAAAAGAAGATTATTTGGAAGGAAGAAGAAAGAAGAAAGGAAAAGAACATAAATCTACAGTTAAACCACTATGTGCCATCCACGACCTAGATTTTTACATAATTATTTCCTTTGACCCTGATTTTTACGTGTGTGTGTGTGCATGTACATGCATATTTATATATATATATATATTTTTAACCAATGGAGATATTAATGCTGCTGAAGTCTCTAAATAATTCATGTTTACTCTTGATAAAAACTGAAACAACAAAATATCTGTCAGCATCATAAAGACAGTTAAAATAATCACTGGCCAGTAACCGGTGAGGCAGCTCCAGTTAGCTCCTTCCTACCAGAAATAATCTGCTGAATTACTTGAAAAAAACACACTAGAAAAGCAAAAGCAGGCTGGGCATTGTGGCTCACACCTGTAATCCCGGCACTTTGGGAGGCTGAGGTGGGCAGATCCCGTAAGGTCAGGAGTTCAAGACCAGTCTGGCCAATAAGGTAAAAACTCGTCTCTATTAAAAATACAAAAATTAGCTGGGCGTGGTGGCACATGCCTGTAATTCCAGTTACCTGTGTAGGGACCAGCCCCACAGGGTCGGTGGGTCTCTCCCTGTGTGCGGCGACGAGAGAGTGTAGAAATAAAGACACAAGATAAACAGATAAGAGAAAAGGCAGCTGGGCCCAGGGGACCACTACCACCAATGCGCGGAGACCGGTAGTGGCCCCGAATGTCGGGCTGCACTGTTATTTATTGGATACAAGGCAGAAGGGGCAGGGTAAAGAATGTGAGTCACCTCCAATGATAGGTAAGGTCACATGTCCACTGGACAGGGGGCCCTTCCCTGCCTGGCAGCCGAGGCAGAGAGGGAGAGGAGACAAAGAGAAAGACAGCTTACGCCATTATTTCTGCATATCAGGGACTATTAGTATTTTCACTAATTTACTACTGCTATCTGGAAGGCAGAGCCAGGTGTACAGGATGGAACATGAAGGTGGACTAGGAGCGTGACCACTGAAGCACAGCATCACAGGGAGACAGGCCTCCGGATAACTGCGGGCGAGCCTGACTGATGTCAGGCCCTCCACAAGAGGTGGAGGAGCAGAGTCTTCTCTAAACTCCCCCAGGGAAAGGGAGACCTCCCCTTTCCCGGTCTGCTAAGTAGCGGGTGTTGTTTCTTGACACATTTTGCTACGGCTGGACCATGATCCGCTTGGTGACGGGCGTCTTCCCAGACGCTGATGTCACCGCTAGACCAAGGAGCCCTCTGGTGGCCCTGTCCAGGCATAACAGAAGGCTCGCACTCTTGTCTTCTGGTCACTTCTATGTCCCCTCAGCTCCTATCTCTGTATGGCCTGGTTTTTCCTAGGCTATGATTATTGAGTGAGGATTATCATAATATTGGAATAAAAAGTAATTGCTACCAACTAATGATTAATGATACTCATATATAATCATATCTAAGATCTATATCTGGTATAACAATTCTTGTTTTATATTTTATTATACTGGAACAGCTCGTGTCCTCTGTCTCTTGCCTCGGTGCCTGGGTGGCTTGCCACCCACAACCTGGGAGGCTGAGGCAGGAGAATCACTTGAACCCAGGAGGCGGAAGTCAAAGCGAGCTGAGACTGCGTCATTGCACTCCAGCCTGGGTGAAAGAGCAAGACTCCAACTCGGGAGGGAAGGCAAAGAAAAGCAACTGAGGTTTGGAGGGATATAATAGAGAGATATTGAAAGAAGTTCAATGGAGTGGCAGAGACTCAATAACCATCAGGATAAGGTTGCACATGAGAATCACGTGAACAGGTTTTAAAAATTACCCATGCCTGAGCCTCCATTATAATTTAATTGGCAATATAGGGCATATTAAAGTTCCCCTGGGGTAGTGGGCTGAATTGTTAGGTATCAAAAAGGTACATCGAATTCTAACCCCCAGGACCTGTGGATGTGACTTTCTTTAGAAATAGAGTCTTTGTCAATACTTAAGTATTTCTTGTGGTTCTGCTTTGTCATTGTAACTATGCACAGATCTACAGAAGACTTTGCTTTTTGTTATTTTAACTTTCAAGGTTAAAATACCTTTTTTTTTTTCTACTTGAAAAATGATACCTCCACATGGAGGATGAGCAAAATAGTACAGAAAATCTAAAAGAAGAAAGTCAAAGTCAGCGGAAATTCAGCATTATAGATATATTGGTGAGCATGATTCAGAGTATCTATACATGTAAATAATAGTTATATAAAATTTTATGTACACTATTTTCTAAATTGATTTTCTTTTAATTTTTTTATTAGACTTTAAGTTCTAGGGTACATTTGCACAACGTGCAGATTTGCTTCATATGTATACTTGTGCCATGTTGGTGTGCTGCACCCATTAACTCGTCATTTACATTAGGTATATCTCCTAATGCTTTCCCTCCCCACTCCCCTCTACCCCACGACAGGACCCAGTGTGCGATGTTCCCTGTCCTGTGTCCAAGTGTTCTCATTGTTCAATTCCCACCTGAGTGAGAACATGCAGTGTTTTTTTTTTTTTCCCTGCAATAGTTTGCTGAGAATGATGGTTTCTAGCTTCATCCACGTCCCTACAAAGGACATGAACTCATCCTTTTTTTATGGCTGCATAGTATTCCATGGTGTATATGTGCCACATTCTCTTAATCCAGTCTATCACTGATGGACATTTGGGTTGGTTCCAAGTCTTTGCTATTGTGAATAGTGCCACAATAAACTATGTGTGCATGTGTCTTTATAGAAGCATGATTTATAATCCATTGGGTATATACCCAGTAATGGGATGGCTGGGTCAAATGGTATTTCTAGTTCTAGATCCTTGAGGAATCACCACACCGTCTTCTACAATGGTTGAACTAGTTTACAGTCCCACCAACAGTGTAAAAGTGTTCCTATTTCTCCACATCCTCTCCAGCACCTGTTGTTTCCTGACTTTTTAATGATTGCCATTCTAACTGGTGTGAGATGGTATCTCATTGTGGTTTTGATTTGCATTTCTCTGATGGCCAGTGATGAGCATTTTTTCACATGTCTGTGGGCTGCATAAATGTCTTCTTTTGAGAAGTGTCTGTTCATATCCTTCACCCACTTTTTGATAGGGTTGTTTTTTTCTTGTAAATTTGTTTGAGTTCTTTGTAGATTCTGGATATTAGCCCTTTGTCAGATGAGTAGATTGCAAAAATTTTCTCCCATTCTGTAGGTTGCCTGTTCACTCTGATGGAAGTTTCTTTTGCTGTGCAGAAGCTCTTTAATTAGATCCCATTTGTCAATTTTGTCTTTTGTTGCCATTGCTTTTGGTGTTTAGACATAAAGTCCTTGCCCATGCCTATGTCCTAAATGGTATTGCCTAGCTTTTCTTCTAGAGTTTTTATGGTTTTAAGTCTAAGATTTAAGTCTTTAACCCCTCTTGAATTAATTTTTTTATAAGGTGTAAGGAAGGGATCCCGTTTCAGCTTTCCACATATGGCTAGCCAATTTTCCCAGCACCATTTATTAAATATGGAATCCTTTCCCCGTTTCTTGTTTTTGTCAGGTCTGTCAAAGATCAGATGGTTGTAGATGTGTGGTATTATTTCTGAGGGCTTTGTTCTGTTCCATTGGTCTGTATCTCTGTTTTGGTACCAGTACTATGCTGTTTTGGTTACTGTAGACTTGTAGTATAGTTTGAAGTCAGGTAGAGTGATGCCTCCAGCTTTGTTCTTTTGCCTTAGGATTGTCTTGGCAATGAGGGCTCTTTTTTGGTTCCATATGAACTTTAAAGTAGTTTTTTCCAGTTCTATGAAGAAACTCATTGGTAGCTTGATGGGGATGGCATTAAATCTATAAATTACCTCAGGCAGTATGGCCATTTTCATGACATTGATTCTTCCTATCCATGAGCATGGAATGTTCTTCCATTTGTTTGTATCCTCTTTTATTTCACTGAACAGCGGTTTGTAGTTCTCCTCAAAGGGGTTCTTCACATCCCTTGTAAGTTGGTTTCCTAGGTATTTTATTCTCTTTGAAGCAACTGTGAATGGGAGTTCACTCACGATTTGGCTCTCTGTCTGTTATTGGTGTATAAGAATGCTTGTGATTTTTGTACATTGATTTTGTATCCTGAGACTTTGCTGAAGTTGCTTATCAGCTTAAGGAGATTTTGGGCTGAGATCACGGGGTTTTCTAAATATACAATCATGTCATCTGCAAACAGGGATAATTTGACTCCCTCTTTTCCTAAATGAATGCCCTTTATTTCTTTCTCCTGCCTGATTGCCCTGGCCAGAACTTCCAACACTATGTTGAATAGGAGTGGTGAGAGAGGGCATCCCTGTCTTGTGCCAGTTTTCAAAGGGAATGCTTCCAGTTTTTGCCCATTCAGTATGATATTGGCTGTGGGTTTGTCATAAATAGCTCTTATTATTTTGAGATATGTCCCATCAATACCTAATTTATTGAGAGTTTTTAGCATGAAGTGCTGTTGAATTTTGTCAAAGGCCTTTTCTGCATCTATTGAAATAATCATGTGTTTTTTTGTCTTTGGTTCTGTTTATATGCTGGATTATGTTTATTGATTTGCATATGTTGAACAAGCCTTGCATCCCAGGGATGAAGCCCACTTGATCATGGTGGATAAGCTTTTTGATGTGCTGCTGGATTCAGTTTGCCAGTATTTTATTGAGGATTTTTGCATCAATGTTCATCAAGGATATTGGTCTAAAATTCTCTTTTTTTGCCAGGCTTTGGTATCAAGATGATGCTGGCCTCATAAAATGAGTTAGGGAGGATTCCCTCTTTTTCTATTGATTGGAATAGTTTCAGAAGGAATGGTACCAGCTCCTCCTTGTAACTCTGGTAGAATTCGGCTGTGAATCCGTCTGGTCCTGGACTTTTTTTGGTTGGTAAACTATTAATTATTGCCTCAATTTCAGAGCCTGTTATTGGTCTATTCAGGGATTCAACTTCTTCCTGGTTTAGTCTTGGGAGGGTGTATATGTCCAGGAATTTATCCATTTCTTCTAGATTTTCTAGTTTATTTGCACAGAGGTGTTTATAGTATTCTCTGAGGGTAGCTTGTATTTCTGTGGTATTGGTGGTGATATCCGTTTTATCATTTTTTATTGTGTCTATTTGATTCTTCTCTCTTTTCTTATTAGTCTTGCTAGTGGTCTATCAATTTTGTTGATCTTTTTAAAAAAACAACTCCTGGATTGATTGATTTTTTGCAGTTTTTTTTTTTGTGTCTCTATCTCCTTCAATTCTGCTCTGATCTTAGTTATTTCTTGCCTTCTGCTAGCTTTTGAATGTGTTTGCTCTTGCTTCTCTAGTTCTTTCAATTGTGATGTTAAGGCGTCAATTTTGGATCTTTCCTGATTTCTCTTGTGGGCCTTTAGTGCTATAAATTTCCCTCTACACACTGCTTTGAATGTATCCCAGAGATTCTGGTATGTTGTGTCTTTGTTCTCATTGGTTTCAAAGAACATCTTTATTTCTGCCTTCATTTCGTTATGTACCTAGTAGTCATTTAGGAGCAGATTGTTCAGTTTCCATGTAGTTGAGCGGTTTTGAGTGAGTTTCTTAATCCTGAGTTCTACTTTGATTGCACTGTGGTCTGAGAGACAGTTTGTTATAATTTCTGTTCTTTTACATTTGCTGAAGAGTGCTTTACTTCCAACTATGTGGTCAGTTTTGGAATAAGTGTGATGTGGTGCTGAGAAAAATGTATGTTCTGTTGATTTGGGGTGGAGAGTTCTGTAGATGTCTATTAGGTCCACTTGGTGCAGAGTTGAGTTCAATTCCTGGATATCCTTGTTAACTTTCTGTCTCGTTGATCTGTCTAATGTTAACAGTGGTGTGTTAAAGTCTCCCATTATTATTCTGTGGGAGTCTAAGTCTCTTTGTAGGTCTCTAAGGACTTGCTTTATGAATCTGGGTGCTCCTGTATTGGGTGCATATATATTTAAGATAGTTAGCTCTTCTTGTTGAATTGATCCCTTTACCATTATGTAATGGCCTTCGTCTCTTTTGATCTTTGTTGGTTTAAAGTCTGTTTTATCAGAGACTAGGATTGCAACCCTTGCCTTTTTTTGTTTTCCATTTGCTTGGTAGATCTTCCTCCATCCCTTTATTTTGAGCCTATGTGTGACTCTGCATGTGAGATGGGTCTCCTGAATACAGCACACTGATGGGTCTTGACTCTTTAAATTTGCCAGTCTGTGTCTTTAATTGGAGCATTTAGCCCATTTACATTTAAGGTTAATATTGTTATGTGTGAATTTGACCCCGTCATTATAACGTTAGCTGGTTAATTTGCTCGTCAGTTGATGCAGTTTCTTCCTAGCATCGATGGTCTTTACAATTTGGCATGTTTTTTGCAGTGTCTGGTACCGGTGATTCTGTTCCATGTTTAGTGCTTCCTTCAGGAGCTCTTGTAGTGCGGGCCTAGTGGTGACAAAATCTCTCAGCATTTGCTTGTCTGTAAAGGATTTTATTTCTCCTTCACTTATGAAGCTTAGTTTGGCTGGATATGAAATCCTGGGTTGAAAATTCTTTTAAGAATGTTGAATATTGGCCCCCACTCTCTTCTGGCTTGTAGAGTTTCTGCCGAGAGATCAGCTGTTAGTCTGATGGACTTCCCTTTGTGGGTAAAACCCGACCTTTCTCTCTGGCCGCCCTTAACATTTTTTCCTTCATTTCAACTTTGGTGAATCTGATAATTATGTGTCTTGGAGTTGCTCTTCTCAAGGACCATCTTTGGGGCATTCTCTGTATTTCCTGAATTTGAATGTTGGCTGGCCTTGCTAGGTTGGGGAAGTTCTCCTGGATAGTGTCCTGCAGAGTGTTTTCCAACCTGGTTCCATTCTCCCTGTCACTTTCAGGTACACCAGTCAGACATAGATTTGGTCTTTTCACACAGTCCCATATTTCTTGGAAGCTTTGTTCATTTCTTTTTACTCTTTTTTCTCTAAACTTCTCTTTTCACTTCATTTCATTGATTTGATCTTCAATCACTGACACCCTTTCTTCCAGTTGATCGAATCGGCTACTGACACTTGTGCATTTGTCATGTAGTTCTCATGCCATGGTTTTCAGCTCCATCAGGTCATTTCAGGACTTCTCTACACTTGTTATTCTAGTTAGCCACTCGTCTAATCTTTTTTCAAGGTTTTTAGCTTCTTTGGGATGGGTTTGAACTTCCTCCTTTAGCTCAGAGGAGTTTGATCATCTGAAGCCTTCTTTTCTCAACTCGTCAGTCATTCTCCATCCAGCTTTGTTCTGTTGCTGGCGAGGAGCTACGTTCCTCAGTTGGAAATGCAGAAATCACCTGTTTTCTGCATCACTCATGCTGGGAGCTGCAGACTGGAGCTGTTCCTATTTGGCCATCTTGGAACTGCCCCAGGATCACCCAAGTTTTCTGATTTTCTTTTAATTTTTTAACCTTTTTTTTTTTTTTTTTTTTTTTTTTTTTTTTTTTTTTTTTTTTGAGAGAGGGTCTTGCTCTGTTGCCCAAGCTGCAGTGTAATGGAACACTCCTGGCTCACTGCAGCCTGGACGTCCTGGGTTCAGGTGATCCTCCCATCTCACCCTCCCTAGTAGCGGGGACTACAGGCATATACCACCACACCCTGCTAATTTTTTGTTTTTGTTTAGAGACAGGGTTTTGCCTCGTTGCCCAGGCTGGCCTCAAACTCCTGGGCTCAAGGGATCTGCCAGCTTTGGTCTCCCAATGCCTCAGCAACATTACAGGCATGAGCCACCGTGCTCAGCCTCTAAAATGATTGGTCGCTTATTGAAACAATGATGACATTTTTTGTGCTAATAACCTTAACCAACATCCTTCAAAAGAAAAAAGAAATGTAGTCTTTGCAGACGTAAAGTTAAGGATCTCAGTATGAGATCATCCTGGATTAAAGGTGGGCTTTAAAACACTGGTGTCTTTCTAAGAGAAAGGAGAGGATGCTGTGACAGAGACATGGGGAAGAAGGTCACAAAGATGGAGGGAGAGGTTGAAGTTATGTTGCCCCAAGCCAAGAAACGCCGATAGCCACCAGAAGCTGAAAAAAGCAAGCAAGGACTTTTTCCTAGAGCTTTTGGAGGAAGCCCTGTTGACACCTTGATTTTGGACTTTTGGCCTCCAGAACTGTGCAAGAATAAATTTCTGTTGTTTTAAGCCACCACATTTGCAACAATTTCTTGTGGTAGCCCTAAAAAATTCTAATTGGTAGAAAATGTTAAAACCACAGTTTACATTCTCTGATCTTCTTTTAAGATAAGAATCAAGGCCAGGTGCGGTGTCTCATGCCTGTAATCCCAGCACTTTGGGAGATGGGCAGATCACGACAAGGTCAGGAGATCGAGACCATCCTGGCTAACACGGTGAAACCCTTTCTCTACTAACAATACAAAAAATTAGCCGGGCATGGTGGCGGGCGCCTGTAGTCCCAGCTACTCAGGAGGCTGAGGCAGGAGAATGGTGTGAACCCAAGAGGTGGAGTTTGCAGTGAGCCGAGATGGCGCCACTGCGCTCTAGCCTGGGTGACAGAGAGAGACTCCGTCTCAAAAAAAAATTAGAATCACATGAGATTATTTTTCCGAAAATACAGATTCCTGGACTCCATCCAAGACCTACTGAATGAAAATCTTTGAGGGAGGCAGGTAGGAGCCTTGGAATCTTTATCAGCAACAAGCACTGCAAGCAACTCATATCCTCAAGCAAGAAATTGGGGAAATGCTGAGTTAGAACAAGAAACTACAAGCCGTTTTTAATAATTTCTGCCTATGGCTTTGAAAATATCCCTCGAGGCTTTAACCTCCCACTTTTCTGCAGACTGGGCTTTGTTAGTCAGGTATTTACAAAACAGGAAACTGCAAAGAAAGAAAGATGCGAAATAATGCCACATGCATGTAAGAATAACAAGAAGACAACTTAGCAGAAGCTTGCATACCACTTCTAAATTAAAAATTAAGTAAGCTAAAATATAAAAGTATGGAACAAGGAAATAAACAGAATAAGGAAGTCTGGGATGCAATGAATAAATCTACAGGACATAAGCACGAAAAAGAGCTTCTCAGTTTCTTCAGTATCTACCTTTCAAATAAAAAATAATTATCAACAGAAGGGAAAGTAGAGAGCAAATAGGTTTGAAAGAAAATTAAAACTCCAAACCAGAGAATGGAGAAAAATAGAGTGTCTAATTGCTAAAATATGAGTTTATCTTCCTATGGAGACAAATTATCAAAGAAGTAATGAAACATCAAGCATCTTTGATGTTCTCAGAATATTGACAGTAATTGTGGAATTAATGGGAGTTAGGAAACATGGGAAAAATGGGAAAAAATGCAAATAATATTGTACCAACTCCAAAACTGAGAGAAAACTTGAAAATTATGGGGAGTGAAGTTTATGTAAGTTTCTGACAATTTTAAGATAAACTTGTTAAAACAATAGTTTGTCAGTATTTATAATGATAATATTTGATCATGACTCCGAAACTGAGAGAAAATTTGGAAACTAGAGAGAGGTGAAGTTTATGTAAATTTCTGACAATAATTCTAAGATTAACTTGTTAGAACAATAGTTTGTCAGTATTTATAATGACACTATTTGGTCATAAATGAAATAAAAATATAGTATGCAAGAATAAATTTTTTGCTGATGCAGCTTTTTGATATATATATATATATACATATAATACATATATGTAAATACATATATATTTACATATGTAACATGTTTAGGGCATTTTCATATATGCTTTCATTAAATATATTTCATTTTATATATATATATATATATATATATATATTTCTAAACACAGTACTCCTGTATTTTTTGCAACATTTTTGAGAAATTCTTTCACAATAAATGAAAATATCATACACTCAATATAATAGCAAATTAGGTAGAAGAGTAGTTGATTCATAACTATAGCTACAGAATTCTAATTATTAGGTCAGCTTTTCCCAGAAGAATGTTTTTAATTGCTCTCCAAAAAGCTCATGCCTTTGTTACTATGATTTGGTTAAAGCTTCAAAAGTTAGGCTTATCCAATCTTTGAATTTACACAAAACTAGAAGACATCAGTACTATGATGGATGATGGATTCAAAACTGCAAAATTACAAAAAAGTTAAGAATTGTAGGAGGATGGGGGGGTAGAGAGGACCTCACTCATGTACATATTTTGAAATGTGTGGATAAGGGAGAATCAGAAGACTATCAAAATAAAACCTAAGAGAACTTTTGAAATGTAAACATTGGAAATATCCCTAAAAAGCCAACTTGTTTATAAGAAAAGCTTAGGCAGCATGTTAATTGACTGAAAACTCAACATGTCAGTTACATGATAAGGCTGTCGTCCAAGATTACTTTAAGAGAAACCTAGAAGCTAAATAACTAAAGGTAAAAAGCCCAGTATGATCTGTTGTAAAAAATACCAAATTTCTACCACATGAACTTTTTACATTTTAAAACTTGTGATAAAAATACATAACATAAAATTTACCATATTAACCATTTTAAGTATAGAGTTCAGTAACATGAACTATATTCATATATTTCTGCAGAAGATCTCCAAAAATTTTTCATCTTGCATATTTGAAATTCTATACACATTGAATATTAATCTCTCATTTTAGGCTATTAATTTTAATAAGATTATTAAAATTCAAGTGAATGAATAGCAGGGCAATTGGTAAGAAAAGCCCCTACAAACATAGTCATGTAAGAAAAAAGCTGAAAGAAGTGGTGTGTTTAACCTGTAAATCAGAAGAGTTGCTTGGACATGATGGTGTCTTTAGTTATCTCAAGAGCCAGATTGTGGACAAAGTTATTGATTCCATGTAGCTTCAGATGACAGCACAAATATCAGTGGGTAGAATACTTAGGAAGGCAGATCTTAGCTCCATGAAGAAAGAATCTTCTGACATTGCTTACTGCCCAACAGTGGAATTAATTACCCTCTGAAATGTTGAGTTATTTCTGAAAATATTTAAACAATCAGTAGGTAAGCACTTCTGGGAACAGTTTTAGAAGAATTCCTATATTGGAAAAGAGATTAAGTTACAAAGCATTTTATTCAACTACAACAGTCTCTAATTCTGTGAGAATAAGCAACTATGAGTGAATGGGACTGATATCCAACTGAAATCTACTAACACATTCTGCAACTTTGCACACACAATTTTCAGTGCTTCCGTCTCCTTATTTATACTGTGAAAACTAAAATAACTTTTATTATTCTTTCTAAATGTTCATATATTGAATAAACATGTATATGTTTGTACTAGTAGGTGTGTACAAACCTGCTTTAATAGGAGATTAGAAGGGAGAAAGGAAGAAGGAAAAGAAGAGAGACAGAGAAACAAAATGAGTCAGTTAAAAAACAAAAGCATGTAATAGTGAGATTCTTTCTTTCGCCATGGCCCTGGCCCACTTAGATCCAATACTAAGGACAAGGAGACACCAAGTATCCCCACGTTCTACAGAGAGAAACCGATATTTGGAACCATTTCATATAATAGGGGAGTACTGCACAAGTCAACCTTCTGGAGAGACCAGTGGACCAACCTGTGGAGAGATCCCCAAATGCAAGAGAAGGACAGACTCCATGAGAATCATTCATGAAATTGTGTGGTTCCTGAGAAGGCACTGATGAGATGTTTTTTCTGCAAGTGTTCTGGCCCTTTTACCTGTATCTAGAGAAGAACAAAGAACTGGAGAGTGATCGCAGGCCCAAGGGATAGGCCATTAAGAGAGCAGCCTGCTCACAACATTTGGGGAAAAAAATTAAAAAAAGTGGACTTAGCAAAGACAGCAAACCTTCTCTTGTTACGTCAGTAATGCAACCAAAAGGGCAGCCCACCAAGCAAGGGGATTCTAGCAACTTAAGGCTATGAGATATACATCCTGTGGTGAGAATGAGAAGTTATGGGGAATAAAAGAAACCTAGATCTAGATATGCAGGGAACCCTGAAGAAGGGAAAAGAAGAGAGAAGAAATGAAAAGGAGGAAGTTCAGGGAATCCTAAAGAGGGATGAGACTCAAACCTCTCTGAAGATCTCACACAGAAGCCTCTCAATAGAGTTGCATTTCTCATGTGTCAGAGGATTGTGAAATTTACAGCAGCAGAAAGGAAGTTTCCTCTAGACCTGCTTGAAAAGATGTTACTCATTTCCTCCATGTCTCCTCTCTGCCTGAAGAGCTAAAGTTATATAAGCAGGACATAGTTTCCCCCCATTCTTAGAACCTGAAGTCTGGCCAGCAATGAGGGAGGAGAAAGCTTTGACTAAGATATAATATTGGTGTTTCAAAATGGGTTGGAACAAGTTATAGAAACTAAAAGTCACCAGACTCATTGTGTGGTGCAAAGATATTATTAAGGAATGGCAAAGGAGTTGAAAGCAGTGCTGGACAATAATTATATTTCATGTCAATATTCCACTGGATTACTACTCCTCATTATATGGTTACACACATATGCAGGTTTTTTCTTAGAAAATAAAAAATATTATACTTAATCAGGAACTTTGCTTTTCTAATAATCTTGTGTAAACTATCTTTGATACAACTTACCACTGATTTAACTGGGTAAAAATTCCATTTTGATAGCTGAAACTCTTCCTTATTTCTCTATTTTTCTTTCTATTTACTTATGTATTATTTTTTTGAGGCTGGGTCTCACTCAGGTTGTCCCAGGCTGGAATGCATCATGGCTCACTGCAGCCTCAACCTCCTGGGCTCAAGTGATCATACCACCTTAGCCTCCCAAGTAACTGGGACTACAGGTACCCATCACCACCCCTGGCTAATTTTTTTGTATTTTTTGTAGAGATGGGATCTGGCCATGTTTCTCAGGCTGGTCTGGAACTTCTGGGCTCAAGTGATCCACCTACATCAGCCTGCCAAAATGCTGAGATAACAGGCATGAGCCACCATGCCCGCCTACTCTTCTCTTCCTCTCTTCTTCTCTCTTCTCCTCTCCTGTCCTGTCCTTTCCTCTCCTCTCCCTACCCCCTCCTCTACTGTCCTCTCTTTTCTCTTTTCTTGTAATTTTGTAAGATAACAAGATTACAAGAGCATTTACAAGTAAGACTACAAGTACAAGAGACAAAATCCTACTATCTACATGGTTATAAAAGATCAATATCCATAAAAATGAGTAATGTTAACTTTGCAAACTTCAGTAGATTTTTATTTCTACTCCATTGAACTATCTTTTTTTTTTTCCTTTTTTTTTTTTTTTTTTTTTGAGATGGAGTCTCACTCTTGTTGCCCAGGCTGGAGTGCAGTGGCGCGATCTCGGCTCATTGCAACCTCCACCTCCCGGGTTCAAGCTATTCTCCTGCCTCAGCCTCCTGAGTAGCTGGGATTACAGGCATGCATTACCACGCCCCACTAATTTTTTTGCTGTTTTTAGTAGAGATGGGGTTTCACCATGTTTGCCAGGTTGGTCTCAAACTCCTGACCTCAAGTGGTTCACCTACCTCAGCTTCCCAAAGTACTGGGATTACAGGTGTGAGCCACCACACCCAGCCTGAACTACCTTTCAATCTGCTAACAAACTTTAGGTAATTTCCAAAGTTGAAGGCTTCTAATGAATTAGGTACTACCAACTTACATTAAGGTACATTTATTAAAACATAATAAATATAAACTATAATGAGATACTTGGAAGACAGAACAAGCCAAAGATTGTTAAAGTTTAAAAAGAACAATCATACTTGACTATAAATTGTCTAAAGGACAAAACATGTCATTGTTTGAAACATTATCATGTTTAATCATGAAATGCCCTTATATTTAATATAGTAATTTGAGGATGGTGATATGGCTTGGCTCGTCCCCACCCAAGTCACATCTTGAATTCCCACGTGTTGTGAAAGGGACCCAGTGGGAGGTAATTGAAACATGGGGGCAGGTCTTTGCCGTGCTGTTCTCATTATAACGAATAAGTCTCATGAGATCTGAGGGTATCATTAGGGGGAGTTTCCCTGCCCAATCTCTCTGTCTCATACCACCCACCTAAGATATGACTTGCTCCTCCTTGCCTTCCATCATGATTGTGAGGCTTCTATAAATCCAGTTAAACCTCTTTCTTTTGTAAATTGTCCAGTCTACGGTATGTCTTCACCAGCAGCGTGAAAATGGACTAATACATATGGGAAGGAAATTTGTAAGGATAATTGCTTCCAACTTAAATTAATTTTGCATATATAGACATTCTTACGTTACATAGTGCACAGATGATAAAATCAAATACACATGGTACAAGGATCAGCATTAATTGAGAATTTCTTATTAGGGTGGTGCAACAGTAATTGCGTTTTTTTTTGTTGTTGTTCTCCATACTGGTAAAAACTGTAATTACTTTTGCACTGACCTAATAGAAATATAAATTCTTGGGCCCCACCTGAGACTGACTGGATCAGAGACTCTGGAAATGGGGCCCAGCACTCTGTTTTTTAACAAGCTCCTCAAAAGACTGTATGTATGTCTTGAGTTTTCAAATTTGATCACACATTTCATCATTAGGGAAGCATTAAAAATACTAATTATTGGGTCCCACTCCTAGAGATTCTATTTAATTACTCTGGAGTGAGGTATGGGCAGGTGATTTTAAAGTTCCCCTGGTAATTATTTTATTGACAACTTAAGTTGAGAACCAACGTTAGTCTTATCCTTGAAATTAAATTGACCATCCAATTCCTTGACACAAGGTCCACTTTCAACACAGGCTTCACAATTTGAATATGTCTTCTCTTGTCTGCATCACCAATTTACAAATTCTTCTTTCCACATGTGAAGACTACTAAAAAAGTTAAACAACTGCTTAAAGATTAAAGCTGAATCCTCAGAGGGCCTTCCCAATTAATGTAAACGTGCACCCACATATAATCTCAACCTAAAATGTGCAATTAACTCGTAAAGGCAAATGCAAGTAAAATAAATTAGGTTTGAAAATAGATGCTAGTAAATTCCAGTGAAAACCTGACCCTCAGTTGTAGCACCTTCAACTCCTAATTACCAGCAGAAACATTTCTAATCATAGGCTTTGCATGTTTTTAAATCCAAATTTTAATATTATTTTTAATGTGTAACAGTAGCCATAACCCTAACAGAGATTGTTCATGAAGCTGAAATGTAAAAACAAAAAAAATGATTGCAGCATCTTCTGGTAGGATGAAACCTTTGGGAATCTGGGCTATTCCAATGACAAAAGCAAAATATGGCCAGTATGAATTTTGTAATAAAACTAGAAATGAGTTGAATCTATATTTATTTATAGTATATTGTCAAATAGGGTGAGTGCTTTTTAAAAAATTGCACTCCTTGTCGTTTTGTATGCAGTGCAGGAATAATTTCTCTTGCAGAGATCTGTGCCATTCTTTCTTATAATAACTTTAACAGTGAAATTGTGCCTACTAGACTTTGTCAGCTTCTCTTCTGATGTAAATTTTGATTTTAAATAACAATCTGAAAGGTAAATGTGTGTTACTGAAGAGAGAAACATGTCTGAGGTAAAACATGTTTCCTTGGTTGTAAAGAAGAAATGGTACTGATACTAACCCATGCCGCTAGTTTACCGATACTCTGTAAAATCTGGCTATATTTCAGAACCAAACTGTCTAGCTGCTAAATCATTACAATGTGTTCATATCCAGTTGTGTGCTGCAGGCCTCTTGTACCAGCTTTTGAGAGCTTATTTTTATTTTATTTTTTTGAGATAGAGTCTCACTCTGCCACCCAGGCTGGAGTGGAGTGGCACAATCTCAGCTCACTGCAATCTCTGCCTCCCAGATTCAAGCAAATCCTCCCACCTCAGCCTCTCGAGTAGCTGGGATTACAGGCATGTGCCATCACACCGGCTTATTTTTGTATATTTAGTAGAGATGGGGTTCTACCATGTTAGCCAGGCTAGTCTCCAACTCTTGGCCTCAAGCGATCTGCTCATCTTGGTCTCCCAAAGCGCTGGAATTACAGGCATGAACCACCACACCTGGTCGTGAGAGCCTATTTGTAAATTTTCACTGATTCTATTTGCCAGCTGTAAAGCAAGTGGCATTATTTTTTAAAAAAATAATTTTTATGAATTTACAATTAAACATATAATGTTTAAAACAAAGGTAATATATACCTGAGACTTCTAATTTCCTGATAATTTTACTACATTGCTCTTGAAGTTATTTGTGTCAGCTGTATCTGAATAGTGGAAATAATACATACTAGTGTGTTACTGCATATCATCCTAATTCCACATTCAGAGAATCATGTTGGCAACTTGATATTGGCCAGGGTGGGAGTATTTACAGCACACAAATAGGCAAACAATACATCAGGGTTCCTCCCCACCAGGAAATGTTAAAACATTTACCAACACAACAAGGAATGAAACCTACTATAACTATATGTGCATTTAAATCAGATAGTCATTGAAGTATAATGGCATTATCTGCACCCCATGCAAGGATCACAAAACAAAGTCAGCCTAAAATGGTTGGATTCTAGTTGTAAGCATGCCTGGATTAATAGTCTGGTCCCACTATTTATTAGCTTTGTGTTCTCAAGCAGGTTTCTAAAAGTCTCTAAGTTTCAATTCCTTTACCTGGGCCATAAAATGTTCTTCATAGATTTGTTATTAAAAAAATTTAATAGAAAGATACGTGTCTGGCAGCCCTCCCAACCCTTCTTCGCCTCACCTCATAAAAGATATACAAGTTTGCTGGTATAGTTATTAGATTATTATATAAAATTTTCGGTATTTTCCTCCTTTGATTCAAGTAAATTGTTATTAAAATAAAGAAACAGGTCTTGCCCTAGGCCTATTAAAAAAAAAGAAAAAAAGAGAAAATCAGATCAAAGACCTAATAGAAGTTCTTTAATGAGCTCATACTTTATTTTCCTAATTGTTTTCATGACATTTCTTATCTGAATTGAGACTCTGATTCCAGGGCCTCTCTGTATTTAATGTTATTAGATTGCTTATTACCTTTTTGGTATTCTCTGAATGAGTATGCTCACTGTGGAAAGGAATCAAGTTCTCTAAAATACAGAGCAACTAAGCAGCAGACACAGCCAGATATAGGACCACACAATTAGTCTGGATAGTGGAAAAGAGAGAGAATACACTGCTCAACCCACTTTATTGGTCAGGCTCCAGATATTCTATTATATACGTAAAATATTCTATTGTCTATTGTGTGGTTCTCTAGTGCTTTCTTCCATACCACTGCTGTTGCCTTCTTTACTATGTCAATTACCACCACTTACTTTATCTATACTTTATTCAGAGGTTATATACTCAGATGTTTACAGGGACATAATAGTCTAGCACAAGAAAATTTTAGGTAAGCATCCTCCAAATACAGGCATTTAAATTGAGAGGTTACCACCATGGAAAACAATACAGAGATTCCTCAAAGAACTAAAAGTAGAACTACCATTTGATCCAGCAATCCCAGTACTGGGTATCTACCCAAAGGAACAGAAGCCATTATATGAAAAAGACACATGCACACACATGTTTAGAGCAGCACAATTTGCAATTGCAAAGATACTGAACCAACCTTAGTGCCCATCCAACCAACGCCTGGATAAAGAAAATGTAGTATATATACACCATGGAATACTACTCAGCCATAAAAAGGAATAAAATTATGTCTTTTTCAGCAACTTGGATGGAGCTGGAGGCCATTATATTAAGTGGAGTAACTCAGGAATGGAAAACCAAATATTGTTTTCTTATCACTTACACCTGGGAGTTAACCTATGAGGACGCAAATGCATAAGAATGATGTAATAGACTGTGGGGACTTGGTGGGGGGAAAGCTGTAAAGGGGGTAGAGGATAAAAGACTACATATTGAGTACAGTGTACTCTGCTCGGGTGATGAGTGCGCTAAAATCTTAGAAATCACCATTAAATAACTTACCCATATAACCAAAAACCACCTGTACCTCCAAAACTATTGGAATTTTAAAAAAGAAAAATATAATAAACAGAAGGGTTAAAAAAACCTATTTTTCTACTATTAAAAGTATAACAGTGTTAAATTATTAAAATGTATACTTATTGTATTATATTTTAATAAATATGCTATACATGTCTAAATTATGGGTAAAGTTTTCCCATAGAAATTTTAAAAAATCTATTGCCATGACTTAAATAAAGCACAAGTCTTAGAAAGCCTGGCTCATTCTGTTACTGTGTTTCAGTAGACATTATTGAGACAAATGGTAACGAAACATACTGATGCATGAGTACAATGAGAGTAGTTAAATTTGCAACTTCATGTGACAATACATTTTTACTATTTTCAAAAGTAAGAGAATCTATTGAAAGTGGGAATTTTGCCATCAACAAAAATATTATCTTAAACTAATATTGAGTTTGTCAGTCAGAATCATACGACTCTACGGAAATGAAAACAATGATTTACCAATTATGTAATCTCAGTCTGAATCATTTATTCTTCCCAGAAGATAACATATACATGCCAATAAGAAACATGTCCTCCTCCCTTACCCCAAATGTTACTCCATGAACTATTCTCTTTGACAAGTTTAATCACTACAGACCTAAGATTAATAATGAACATTTGAGAGTGTCCTGTTAGCCGCGTAATAACCACTTCCTAATAAAATCTGCAATGTTTAAATCCATTTATTTTAGCTGAGAATATTGTTTCTGCCTCACAAATAGGAATTATTCAGAAGTTATCATTAAAGCGCACAATCAGGTCCAAAAGTTTGTAACAAAAATGCCATATCTTCTGCCTCTTTTACCTGTACTCATAAAGAAATAAATAGCCCTTTAAGGAGGGTGTAGTGGTAGGGTATCCTATCTGACACAATCTGTAATAATAACATGTCTCACTCACAACTTACCACAAGATGCCATTTCATCTGTCTGGTCACCACAGTCGTCTTCCCTGTCACACAGCCATGCTCTGGGAATGCAACGCCCATTTCCGCAAGAAAACTGGTCTACCTGGCATGTTCTGGCTATGATGATCAATTAATAAACAAAAAATCAATTTAGAGGCATTTTGAACATCAAGGATATAATTAAGCATGCAATATTCCTTTCATACATAAGATAGTATGTTTCTCTATTAAAATAAAATATTTTAAAAGTCCATTTTTATTTAAGGCTTCTGAATACCAGCTTGCTTGTCTTCTCTAAAGTTCACATGCTTTGCCCTTCAATTATCAATGACTGCTAAATGACAAGATAGTCAGTAACCCTCACACAATTCCATAAATGAAGCTATGAATTCATTATTTTAAACTTTTGCCCAGCACATGCTTATGAATATAAGGTTGAATTAAGTTTCATCCAACTCTTAATTAACAAAAAAAGAATTGTGGATAGCATTTGCTAATAAACCAAGAAAACTTTTTTTGTAGTATTGTAGAAGGCATTATTTGGAGACGATCTCAGGATATCTAGTTTCTAATCATGGGGTCGAATTGTCCTATTCCTCTAACATTTTTAATGCATTTATTTCTTGATCTCTAAATGATCTGCTGTATGCAGTGAGAGTGCAGAGAATATTTTCTAAAACATACATTTGGCCTTAAGGTGTTTTTTTTTTTAACTCACTTTTCAGCACAATTATTTTAAAAAGTATGACTTTTTAATCAAGGTATATTAATGAACTTTGCTTTGGGCTCTCTTAAGGATTTCAATGAACACAAACATGGAATCTTCCTTTCTGTGTTAGCCGGAGGCAGTGGTTTATTCAGAAAAGGGGTTATGTTCAAGAGGAAATTTGATAATCCTTTTCTAGTATAATCAGGGCAACTTTTAAAAAGCATGAAAGCTTAAATAGCTTCCCTGCCTCTTCCCCCAGGCCTTTGGTAGTGACATGCTTAGTTGTTTTTATCCTCTGATTTTCATTTCTTTTTTTCTTCTGTCCCTCTGAACTACGAATATGTCTTTATGAGTCTCGATATCCCCTCTACCCTTTCCTTTCATTGGACTAGAGAAAAAAATGAGATATATTGGGAAAGGGATACTCAGTCCTGTGAAAATTGTGGATAGGTGAGGCTTGAACAGATAGTGAATAATTGGGGTCGAAGTATCAGTGGCTACAATAAGGGAATCTTGCTGAGTTTATAGACTTCCTTTTTCCTAGGTTTCAGAACCATTGTTTGTCTCATCAACACACTTTGTGAACTTGGGTACTAATGGTTGATATAAGAAAGAGTGGAGCAAAGCCAACTCAATCAAATGCACTAAAATGGGTTCCATGAATTAGGGCTTCAGAAATCATTGAAAATAATTTCTTAAAAGATATATACATTGTTCTATCCTTTTAAGAAAAGTGCACTTGCAGTGTTAAGATGTATATTCATTATTTGTGAATATTTTAAAGATTATCCAAGAAAAACAAATGAAAAATTTACTGGCTTGGTTTGATACATTAGATTGTTCCTAGTCTTAGTGTCTAAAATTAGAAATATCAGGAAAATTATTGTAGTATGTATTTTGCTTTGCTTATGTGATAAGGTTCCTACATCTAAAATATTTTATGCACTATCTGATTTTTTACATTTTACAAATTCATCATTTATTTTAAATTAACAGATTTTAAATATTCCAGCAAACATGTATGCTTCTGAAGTTTTTAATGTTAAAATTACAAGTAAAATTAAATAATTCTATATTGTCTCATTTAATTCCACATATTTTCTGGTAAATTATTCTGTCATCTATACGAAAATGAATAAAGTTCTTAGATAATTGTTATAAAATTATTTCTGCTGAGAAAAAAACTATATATGTATTTGTATTAACCTAGAGAAGGATATAGAAATATACACAAAATCTAATGTCATTAGTTTACTTGACAGGAAGGGGTAAAAATAGAAGTGTGAGAGAGATTAATAATTTTTCCCTTACATATCTCTGTTTCACTGGTTACAATAAATACCTTTTTATCTTTTAAGAGAAATTTAATAACAGAATTTTTTTCAATTCTTGTTTACTTCCTTTCACCCTAACTGGCCTCTTTGTTTTCCCTTATTTTTTCTCTTTTCTTTTTCTTTTCCATACCTTTCTTCCTCCTTCATTCTTTAACTATTTCATTCCTTCAGTCTTTTCTATATTCTTGCTTTATATAAATAGACATTATCACATATTTCTATCTAAAATTCTAATTGGCCTGTAATAAGAATATATTAAATTTATCAAAACCAATGTTCTTTTATTTGACATTCTTATGTCACTGTATTCTTGCCTAATAATTCAGGTTTAATTCTAGCAAAGTTTTATCAGATTGTTTTGTTTCATTAGGAAAGCTATGGTGATTAGAGAGGAAAATGAGAAAGAACTTCTATGAACCTGTCTCATATTGTGTATGACCCATCTCACGTTGTGATGGTGTGGGAATTTGTGTTACCTCATTAACTCTGAAGCTGGAGGAACTGTTATGACCTATTATTCCAAAGAGTATTCACTGGATTATTATAGAGTGGAAAGTATGCCCTGAAGATATATGAATTCATTGTCTGTTCTAATCATGGAGAAAATTATTCACTTAGTCTACCAGGCAATTTTAACTGATTTCAGATGAGAAAGATGCTTTATTCCACAAACCCCCAAGGACTGTTTATCTATATGATATAATCAAGTTGACTAAATTATCACTTTCTAATCAATGAATTTTTCTGAAAACAAACTCACAACATTCACTTTTTCATCTCTTGTCTCCATCAGATCTAAGTTAGTTTGGAGGCAAGATTAGCAGAGCAGCCCCATAGGACTCTAATTTTGTGGCAAATGCTTCTCTAAGGAGGAAGAAATTTACACCTCCTTCAAGAGAATTGTTTATCTAGCTGCTGAATCAGAGATTTGCTGTAATCATGCTTCTCCTATAGCCATGTAACAGTGAGAATTCTCACAAGGCACACCAACCATACAGCCAAGAGGAGACTAGAGCATAGCACTATTCCTAAACTTCACTTTTCCTGTATTTTAATCAAAGCATTCTACTTAGTTTTATTTAATGTCATATCAAAATGCACTATTATTTTGTAAAGAAAAGTCTAATTTTTAAATACATTAGGGTTTTTTAAAATCAATTATACTTATCTAGTATGAATTGAGTTATAATTGGTAGAGGATGTGAGAAGAGCAAATATTATGTAATCTAACCAGAGCGCTATGGTGGGGAGAAATGTTGATATGAAACTGTCTAGGCTTGAATATAAGGAATGATCATGTTACTACGAGGAAACATAATTTCAAATCTAACTACTTTTCATCTTCAGTCTCTGGGTCTCCCTCAGAAGTAGACAACAATATTCTGGATGTTGACAGAGAACGGCTACCAACACCCTGACTGTGTCCACTTGCTCCAGCCCACTGTGTATGTGCTGTTTCCTCTTCTGGGCAAATTCTCCAACCCTTTCTCTTATTATTCACTTCGCCGCATCCTGGACAATCTATTCTGGTCAATTGTTCTTTTTTTTTTCCCAGTGAAATATTTCTACCATCTAGAAAGGTATAGGAAATAATATCATTAACATCAGTTTACTGTTATATAGCTATATCAAATCTTATTTTTTTCTATATTTGTTACAGATTTTTATTTTTGTTTTATCTAAGAAAAAAATGTATGTACTTACATTTGAAATTTCCTACATAATCTTTCTCAATCACATTTCCCTCCCTCTCTTTCCAGAGGTAACTACTTTTAATTTGTTTTTATTTTTTTAATTTCTGGACATATTATAATACTATTCCTATTTATGAATTCATAAACACTATATAAAATTATTTTATATTTTATACTTCATATAAATAGTACTGTTTATTTTCTTCAATTTAGTGGTTTTTTTTTCCTTGGATGAGAGTATCTCATGTAATTTAACTTTATTTTTAAATTCATTTTTGTTGATATTTGAGTTCTCGTTCAGTTATTTTAATTATGAATAGCATTTCTTTCATGAATAGAACACGATATATCTATCCATTCTTCTGTTAATGGACATTTCAATTGTTTCAGTTTTTCACTATTATAGCACAAGACAATGAAAATTTTTATTCACATCTCTCTCTTCGTGCACAGGTATTAGATTATCAACATAGAAATAGAATTACAAAGTTGAAGGTATGCACATCTTCACATTTATTGAATTTGGCCAAATCACCTTCCAAGATAGAAAATCAATTCACATACCCAGCAAGAGTGTATGACAATTCCTTCTTCCCACAGTATTGCCAATGCTGAGTTTTACCAGATTATTTTACTTTTTCTAATTGAATGGCTGGAACTGTCACTTAGGAATTTTTCTTAAGCTTTTTATAAGGCTTAGCTTAGACAGTGCTTCCTTTAAGAAGTCCTCCCAGATAGCTGAAGACCAAATTCCTTACTCTTCCCATGTGCTTCCATGTGGATCAACTTAGCAATTTGAATATTGCATTAGAATAGCCTGCTTATACTTCTTTCTCCCAGTCTTCACTCTTAGCTTCTTGAGGAAAGGCATTGTGTATTTTCTTTCATTCTATCACCAGTGCTTTGGTAGATATTTAATGAAGTAAACAAATTCACGAAGTAGAAATTTTAGAAAAAATAGGAAATTGGCTTATTGTGGACAAGGGTTTTCTTTTAGATATAAAATAATCACAATGCAAACAGCTACAGGATGGCGGATTCAATAACAAAGTAACTTCCCATTGGAAAGTCTTTTTATCTAGCATATATGTCCATGTATTCACTTATATCTAGCAATGGATTGAAATCCAGAAAGAAATATGGTCTACATAAATATGCCATTTTTTTCCAGTATGGTAAGCTATGTGACCTATTTATATATTTTGATGAAGTGAAATGGAGGTACTTTGTAACTTGACTATGTACTTCATTGCTTACAAAGCAAAAGGCATGTTTATTTTTCTTTGTTCTTTTTATTCGAGTTCTTAAGGTATCCAGTGACTATAATAGCTGTCATAAATATACTGACGAAAAGATCTAGTAGTGAGCAGCAGACTTCATCTGGCAGCTCTTAAGGTGGCATTTAAGTAAGTTATGTTCTATTTCCTAGTAGACCACAGGACTTGAATATTTTAGATATCTTATTATTAGGTTGGTGCAAAAGTAATTGTGGTTTGGCCATTGAAAATAATGGCAAAAGCAACAATTATTTTTGCACCAACTAACAATTAAAACTGTTTTATTTGCTCTTATACATAAACGTTTTTACTTTTACTACTATAAATAGCTAGCCAATCACAAATGCTTCTTTAAAAACCATGTAGAAACCAGCAGATTTTAAAAATCTAATAGTAATGAAGTAAACATGGTGTTATAAATTGAGCCAGCAATGCCTTCTATTTTAAGGTGAAAACAGATGATGTTTGTTTAGGATGTTATAAAGCATAATCTGTGAATTGAATCTTAACCTCAAAAGAATAATAATTGGGCTTGGCATGGTGGCTCACACCTGCAATCCAAGCACTTTGAGAGGCCTAAGTGGGCACATCACTTGCAGCCAGGAGTTTGAGACTAGCCTGGCCAACATGGTGAATCCCTGTTCTCTACTAAAAATAAGAAAAAGCCAGGCATGGTGGTGTGTGCCTGTAGTCCTAGCTACTCTGGTAGCTGAGGCATGAGAATTGCTTGCACCTGGGAGGCGAAAGTTGCAGTGAGCTGAGATCATGCCACTGTACTCTAACTTGGGAGACAGAGCAAGACTGTCGAAAAAAAAGAAGAAGAATTGCACTCATTTAGAAAGATGTCTCATTATGAATTATAATCATATGGCAAGAGCAACTTGAGCTAAGTTGAACTGACCATACCTAAAATTCTAGCTAATATGCAGGATAATATCATTTGGGATAAAGAGAAATGACCTTGGAGACAAAACTCTTGGATCAAGTTTCCCCTGATCTTTTACCAATGATGTTAAGTTTAGGCAAGTTCCCTCTGCCATGCCCATCTATAAGATGGATAGCTTGGAGGGTAGGGACTTAGGACTGGATGGTCTCTGGAGGTCCTTTTCTCTTAGAAAGTCTTTTGTAAAACAAAAGATTTGCTATGAGACAAAAAGATCTTGCAAAACATTCATTTACTTTAAAATGTCAGATCAGATTTTTAATCAGGGGACAAGAGAATAACTGGCCCATGGATCCTCAGCAAATTTGTCACTATGGAAAAAATCTGAATAGAAGACATAGACTAGGACTCTGGAATGATGGCTGTTTTGCTCTTGCCAGTGTTGTTTTGTACATAGGGAAAATCTGGAAACAATTTATAGTTAATACTCTTACCGTGCTGGAAAAAAAAGCTCAAGGAAATCAAAAGTGCAGAGAGGTATGTCTTTCCAAGAAAAAAGCTGGTGGTGACCAAGAATGGAAACCAGTCTTCTCAACCCCTGGGTCTTCTCTCTAGAGGTTGCCCTGTATTTTTCACTGGTAATTTATAACACTTGTTATTGAGTAAGGCTTATTTTGGCAAAGACAGAAAGAGTTGATGGGGTGATTAATATGTTTTGATGTTGCTCTATATAATGGTTTAAAAAATCAGTTTTTATGAATCATATCAATATGAGTCATCAAATGAACTATTTTTTTCTTTATCATTTAAAAAGAAGCACTAGGCTGCTGCTAGTCAGTATCATTTTTCAACATTTATCTGATTAATAATGACCTTTCTGGCACTCCATTGTAAACTATACCACAAGCTGTGTATTTCCATTCAATGAGAATCTGGCTAGGGATTCAAAGATCTATTACAATAGAGTAGATTATATGGAAATATAAATAGGCTAGTGGTCTTGAGATTTCATGGGGAAAAAAACCTACTTCACATAAATAATGTGCATGAATAGAAAACTATTCACAGAGGTATTCTATAGTAGACTAAATAAAATTTATAAATTATTTTCTCAAGGTTAAAAAAAAAATCCTCCTTGTGAGATGGCCTATATCACAGCATGCTAGCAAACATCAACCTCCACTGCCAAGTAGGATTTAGTAGGGACAAGTCTTGTACAAGTAGTGTGTCGACAGTCAACCCATATGGATAGATGAAGTGCCAAATTAGTCTGGAAAGCAGAGTAGTGTCCAAAGATTAAGTAAAAGATAATTTGTATTCTAGCCTTTGTGGCATCAAACTCTGAATTCATTTACTACTGCAATAATCAGATCATCAGCACTAGGAAAGTTCAGCTTAGTTCAAAGCATTTACTTGCATTTTTATTAAGACTAACTTTGGAGGAGATTTACGTGTATATCCAAGCAAACCTTTACCTGTGCAAGTTTGATTGGATTCATCTTCATTGCTCCCACAGTCATTAGCTCCATCACAAAGCCATCTCTTGGGGATGCAGCGATTATTCTGGCATTTAAACTGATCATCAGGACAGCTATGATTGACTGGGAGGGAGGGGGAAGCAAGATTAATTATTTAAAATTGGATAAAGTTGTGAATATTTTGAATGATAGTTACAGAAAAGTTACAGTAATAATATTATAGTACAATAAATGTCATAGAGTCTGTCATTCATTGCCTTATATTTAATAGCAAATACTAATATTCACTTTGTTAAAATGTAATGCTTTTATAAAAAACATCAAGTAATTACATCTTAAATAAAAGGAAATGTATTCTTTTTTTATGTCTCCATTAAAACCAACTGTATGGCCAGGCGTGGTGGCTCACGCCTGTAATCCCAGCATTTTGGGAGGCTGAGGTGGGTGGATCACCTGGGGTCAGGAGTTTGAGACCAGTCTGGCCAACTTGGTGAAACCCTGTTTCTACTAAAAATACAAAAAATTAGCCAGGCATGGTGGCGCATGCCTGTAATCCCAGCTACTTGGGAGGCTGAGGCAGGAGAATCGCTTGAACCCAAGAGGCGGAGGTTGCAGTGAGCTGAGATTGATCGCTGTGGACAACAAAAGCGAAACTCCATCTCAAAAAAAATAAATAAATAAAACCAACTGTATCACTAAGTTTGTTTTCTCATTCCTTAAACCAACTGGAGACTTCACTTAAAAATTTTTTACCAAGAACATTTAAAATTAACCTCAAATCTTAATGTTAAACATAACAAGTATGTATTGAAAATAATTTAGTCATATATATTAAAAATATTTTTTAAACCACATAAACATTCAAATATTTCTTAACATATTAACTAAGCCTACTTTTATTACTCTCTGTCCAGTGTTTCTTGGGAATGGAAGGAGGAACACAGAAAAGAAAATGAAAACACAGAAAAGAAAAATGCATCACTTGTGACCTAGAGTTGATGTTAACTATGAGATTCTGTATTACTTAAAAAAAAAAAATCATCATGAGTTTTCTTCCCTAGTACAAACAAACATGCAACCACAGAAAATACTTAGGAGGTGACCAATCCTCATCTGGGAAGCTGTGCACAGCTAAGGATTAAACTTCCAATATCCAAGCACAACAGGAGGGCCATCTTAATGTTAACCTTCTATGATTATTTTTCCTCCATTCCAGAGGCTAAATTCCTAACTGAATTGGCATGCTCTTCAATATGTGTTTCACAATTTCAACGCTGTTTTTAAGGGTAATTTTCTTTATGCCCAGTAGTTACACTTCGTATGATAAAAACAAATGTTTATATTTGTTTTACTGAGAATTTGAAAAATTGTTGTTTTATCATGCTTGTTGAGTAGCAAATGCGTGCATTTCCAGTTAGTTTCTATAAAACAGTTTTTCTTTAAAGTAGCTTTGTTGATACGTGGTTTTATCACTTTTTAGAAAGTTTTTATTGATGTATAGTAAAAAAACAAAACAAAACAAAAAAATAGGGAGAAAAGCTTTATATTCTCTGGTATTTGAGCATGATTTACATTTTCTACTCACTTCAGGGACTTTAGCAAGAATAAATGCCGAGAGAAATATAAGTCATCTGATGTATTAGAGAGCCAACAATTTAAAGTACCAATATTATACATATGCACTTCAGTGAGGCTTAATCAAGGACTTTTGCAATTTTCAACAATAAAGTAATAAACAGGAATTCAAACACCTTTTGGTATGGAGCCAAAACACTGAAGGAATAGAAAGTAGAATAACAAAATTCAAGGTTGCAGATTATGGGTGTTTAATATTTAAAATAATCCTCTGAAATTACCTATGTAGTATTAGAATATTAACCATGAGATCTCAGAAATAAAATGTTGCTCAGAATCACTGCAATGCTTAGGGAAGATGACATAGTGCTGGAAGGTGGTCAGAGGTGTGTAACTGCTTATTGCCTCACTTATCTAATCACCCACTCATCCATGTGCCAGGCACTGTGCTAGACCGAGAGACTACGTAACACTACAACATAAGGTGTCTTCTCATGAAAATATTAATCTATTAGATGTACCAAATAAGTAAGCAAATAATTTCAATTTGGTTTGGCAACTACTGTAATAAAGAATTGTACAGCAGATGAATGTTTAACTCCAAATGGCTGTATTGAGAGTCAAAAAAAGATTTTCCTAAGAAGGTAATGGTAAGCTATGTTGAATTCCTTAGACAGAAAACAGTCAGTGCAGTATTGCAGAGGAGAAAAACAGGACATGTTTTGGAGATTTATAGTTCAAGTTGATAAAAATAAAAAGGGTAAATGGATGCATAATAGACTAAAGACTAAAAATGTAAATACAAGACAGAGCAGGAAGTATTGTATATGTGAGTCAACAGATTTTAGAATTTATTTTGTTGGTTGTGCAGTTATTGAAATTAAAAGAATGGATTTTATTCTATAAATATCGCTCTGAAAATAGTGTGGAAAGTGGGCTAAAGTTAAGGGAGGAATAGTGGCAGGCATAATAGAAAGCCATTTTCTGAGTCAATCTAAGGTGAAGGCCTAATTTAGCCAATGAAAATTGACAGGAAGTAAACATAAAAAATTAATTATTTAGGAAGTAGAAAAAATAGGATTTATTTAAAAAATTGAGTGTGGACTATAAGTAAAAGAGTTCTCCAGGGGAAAAAAAACACAAAAAAACCATGGCTTGGGTGATGGATTGAAGAGTGATGATAATAAGATAAAATGACTGATTAGAAATTTTAACATTCTAATTAGCAGTACAAATGCAATGCTTCTTCTACCCATAGAGGAGGTCAGTTTTCTTGTTAATTTGCTAGAAGATACAAGTCACACTGATGAAAACGTGGACCTAAGGAACCAATACATGAATATTGTGATGCAGTATTTGCACTCTGCTCAGGCATTTAAAGTTGACTACAGAGGAAGCTGATATATAGGGAGCATTCATCACAACCACAAATAGGCTGGCCCAAAGGTAATGAGTTAACTCAACTGACTCTTCACACTTAGTTACAAATCAAACTCCTTGTTCTACTCCTTCCTTCTTTTTAATTATTGCACTTGACTGATTAGTCTTAAAAGTAATAATAAATAAATAACAGTTCTGATTGTGAGTCAAGAAGTGAGACAATTAATCACTAAATAATACTCATTTATGTAAATTAGGACAAAAATACCCTTTACCCTCAGACGAAAGGTTCCTCTCCAAAAATCTTGACTAATTATAGCAATTTAGTATTTAAATTTTTTTTGTGGGTTCAAACTTTGCAGGACAGATATTAATGGGTCTGAAAATAAGAAGTACATAATGTTGAAGTCAGGGCCTGAATTTGGAAATCAAGAGAAAATGCAGTCCTATATTTACGCATTTATTATAATTTATGTGTTATGTATTAATATACAATTTGAAAATATTTTTTAAAGTTCATATTCTTGAGATTTTTGTCCTGAAGCATCGATGTTTGAATAAAATGGATGCCCAGACTAACTTTGCCCATTCTTAAAAAAGATCTTTAAAACTTCATTTGTATATTAATTTTTAAAAAAGGGAAATGAAGGACTGTCAATTAACTCTCATTAGTTCAGACCTAAAAAAGGACATTTATAGAAAGAAAAAAAATTAAAAACAATGTTCTTAGGTCAGATAAAAAGATCAAGGATAAATTTGTTCAACACATGCCTTCTTTTCATATAAAATATTTTATATCTCTCAAAATCACTTAGCCAGTGACTCTAATCAAATATATTCTCAAAACATTATTTAATGTACTTCCCCAAATGTTTTCCTAACACATATGTGAGAAATTTTATTTTGCCTACTAGCAACATGAAACTATTCCTATCCCAGCAGATGATAAATAATTAAATAGAAGCCAAAGAGGGGAAAGTCAAACATTGATTTCTGAGTGCCCATATGTGTTTTCTACCATGTCCTGAGACAGTGAAGCTATATAGTAACATGTTCCAAACCCATGTCTGTTTCCTTGGATCTTCTTCAAGGCTCTGTTGCCAAAGAGCAGTGGAGTGGATCGTGACCTTCTGTACCAATAATTTTGTCTTGAGGGAATTTAAATTGATTTTCCACATCTTTAAATTCAAAAATCCAAAGAATTTCCCTACAGCAACCTCTGACAGTGGCATGGTGGCGCTGATATCATGGAATGTAAAAGGAGAAATTCTTAGAGCAACTAAAATGATAATATGAAGGATGGAAAAGGATGAGAAAAACTGCTTTGAAACTATGCAAAGGAGGCAATCTATGGTCTACTCTTTATGCAAAAGGATGACTGAAAAATTAAACTAGGTTCAATCTGCATCAAAGGTATTTTCAGATTGTCACAAACTGCCTTGATAATTCACACACTCAAAGACTCAGGAAAATACAATTTTTAGGTGACTTGGAAGAGAACATACAGCAGTTTACTGAATCCTCATCGCTTCCGTCTAGGCAGTCATCGTCGCCATCACATTTCCACCGAGCTTGGATACAGTGTCTGTTTTTGCAGCGAAACTCTCCAGCTTTACATATGTGAGGTAGTGCTTCTCCAGGATTAACTAGAGTTAAAAAAACCCAAGGTATATGAATAATGCTAGCTACAGTCAGTCCATTAAAATTTAAATCTTGTAGAGTTTTTTGTTTGTTTTAGATTCTACATATCAGTGGGATGAGGTATTTGTCCTTCTCTGTCTACCTTATTTTACTGAGCACAATGTCATCCAGGTTCATCCAAGTTGTTGCAATTGACAGAATTTCCTTTTTCTAAAGGCCGAGTAATATTCCATTATATATGTAGGTTGGTAGGTAAGGATGTGTGTGTGTGTGTGTGTGTGTGTGTGTGTATCACAATTTCTAAGTCGAATACATAGAGAATAAAGTGGTAATGGAGAGGAGAAGAGGAGATGTAGGTCAAAGAGCGCAAAGTGGCAGATAGGTAGGATGAATAAGTCTACAAATCCAACATACAATACAAAGACTATAGTTACAATATTGTGTTAAAATATGCATTGGAAATTTGCTGAGAGTAGATTGCAGGTGTTCTTACCACATACACTAAAGAGTGACTATAAGAGATGATGGATATATTAATTAGACTATAGTAACCATTTCACTATGTATATTAAAACATTATGTTGTACACCTTAAATACATACAATAAAAATAATGTCCTAAAATTTTACATACTTTAAATTCAAAAATATGTGATACTCATAAAGTTTACTATAATCAAACATACACAGAAATAAATTTTGCTACAATAACAAAATGTTGTCTCATTTAACTTAATTGAAACTATAAAACATTGTGGTGACAGCCATCTTTGAGAAAAAGAAAATTTTCAATTTTTCTGGCAACAAGTATTCTACTGGGTGAAAGTTGACATGTAAATTGGGTTATTCTTGCTGTATACAACTAAAACACTACTGAGAAGTGAAGGGGAAAAAGCACTCAGGGCACATATCATGCTGGAGGAATGTAATTCTCTGCAAGCCTGGATGCTGGAACTGCCTGTTTTAACCTGAAACCAGTTTTATTGAATAGCTACTGAAACAATCTGCTGCAGCTCTAAAACTAGTTTTACTCACTTCTGTCACTCACCAATCAGAGTTTGTGAGCTCCCCAAAACTTTAAGGTGCCAATAAGCTTTCTTGCAAAACAACATGCAACATTTCTGCTTTTTAGAAAACTTCCAACCTTCTCTTTGTTTTTCGGCCATACAGAAGATCATCTAGTCTGTGGGTATGCCCCAAACTGCAATTATTACTTCCCAAATAAAACATTTTAAGTAGGGAGATGTATCTTTGCAAGATGTATTTGATTTGACTTTTAACAACTAAGAACTTCGAAGATTTATTTTAAACAACACTGATCAAAGTAACAACAACATTAACAACAATAACACAATACCACTTTATATTTATGCTGGGTGTGTAGTTTTGCTTTTCAAAGAGCTTTTATTCATAGTCTTAATTGATCATTATGATAACCTATAAGGCATATATGGCAAAGAATTTTACTACCTCCATCTTATAAATAAGTACACTGAGAATTAAAATAAAAAGACAATGCAATAGCACACAGCTTTGATGGCTATAATCACTTTGCTGTTCTGCAAATAGGAGAAAAACTCAGGCCTACTTAAGGGTTCTAGAAGGATTATGTTAATCAAAACTATCTTTTTATGTTTTGGGATTCTATGCAGTGTTTTTTCTCTGCATGTTCCAGGTTCTCTAAACAAATGTTAGGAATTTGGTTAAGTGGGATTTATTCACAAATTGGGTCTTACTATTCTCCTGTATCTAAGTGAATTAAATAGTTTAGAAAGAGAAGAGAATATGTGGCAATCAAGGGTTAAAGTAAAGAATTTGTGTTTCATGGACTGTAAAAGGGTAGAGGGGGGCATGTCAAGGAGAACCAACGTAAACATGAATGTTATGTGGCCTGCTGTGGCATGAGGGATAAAATCCTTTGTGTCTAATCCAGGAATCGTGTGTCTTCTACCGGAATCCATGAATCTGAGGCTAACATGCTAGCTTGCAATCAGGGTAAAATCTTAGATTCTTCATTGTTCTTGACATAAGAATTTTTCTTTTTATTCTTAGCTCTGATTTCCAAATTCTCCCAAGGCGTAAGGCATCATTAATTGTAATAATTCTATCCCTGCCCAAGCCTTCCAGATGTAATCAGTAGTTATATCACAAAGAAACCACATTATCAATGCAGACTATCAGTTTTCTTTAGGTTCATGATAATAGGCTAGCTAGCAATATCTATTATAAAGAAAACATTTAATGTGCCAAGTCGTAATCCAGATAAGACAGCAGCTTAGAAGTTCAAAATGCATGGTCTTTTCCCCGGCATTAAACAAGGTCTCTACAAAGCATTTGTTTTATAATTAATTTTTACAAATTATGGTGTCTCCACTTGAGGAGCTTCTTGAATGTAGAAAGAATAATTTCACATACAGAAAGGAACAATACCTAGAACAGAATAGGGTGTAGAGTTTATGCTCAAAATTATTTGTTGACTGGTTACTGGAATTAACAGAGATTGGCATTATTGCAGTGAGAGATTCTATTTGTGGGGGCTGTATAAATCCTTCAGGAAAACCACATCCTTTCAACTGGCTAAGCAGCTAATTCTCTTCTTTGATCACCCAAGGACATGGATAAAGTTGCAAAAGACAAAAAGATAAAAGACAAAGACAAAAAGATAAAAGATAAAGACAAAGGGATATGTAGACAGAACGAAGAGAGTCAAAGTTCCACCTACACTCAAAAGAGTGAATATATAAAGACCTATATATATTATTCTGTTCCAGTGCATAATGTGACTGAATCTACATAGCACTTGGGTGTTTGAGCACAGCCAAAAATTGCTTTTAGTATATTAACAAGTGATGGAATTGGACACTTTACTTCAGAGTTGTGCTTTGAACTATGTATTTGAAAACTGATACAAAACCTGTAATTCTACTGCCAGAACCATTTCTAGCAAAAATTCTACAGTATGATCTCACCAATAAAAAATTGACAAAGTAATAAATAATCCTATAATTTAACCAGGATCAAAAGTAAAATAACATGAATCATGGTATGCTTGTCATGGAACTATTAATTTTTACACATACTGTGGTACCTGCTGTGAGAACAATGAAATCAGAAGGCCTATGCATGAATCTCCAAGGCACTACAAAAGAAAATATGCATTCCAGAATTATTTTTCTTTGGCAAAAACTGGCTGGAGTTAATGTCCAGGTCATAATGTTGGGAAGTAGGAAATGCTGCTAATAAACTTTTTTTTTTTTAATTTATTTTAGTTTGAATTATCTCAGATTGGGAACTCAGCTCAGCTTCTGGACTCAAGACATATTCCTGACCTCAGTTTAATAACCTGTGGTGTGCATGAAGAAGTTCTGATGTTTCTGACTTTGCTTTTTCTCTTTTCAAACCCAGTGTGGTGATCTATTCTAAATTAATTTTTCCCTCAATTGATGCTTTGCTGTCAACTGCATCAGAATTATAACTTAGTCATAATAGCATTTGTCCTGGAACAAAAAAAATAAAATAAAATGTCTTTCTATTATTTCTGCTTATCTAATATTGAGAAATATTTGTTTGTTTATTTCTTCATTTTGGGCATCCAGATTCTCTTATTGCCTCTTTATTTGAGCAGGGAGAGAGAAAAGAACCAAAAAGAAAACATGAAGTTGTGGTTTGCTGGATCTCTTTATATAAGCTCGCCTATACCGGAAGACTGTGTGAAAAATGCTGCGATAGGTTTTGATTTTTCTCCTTTAGATCATAGCAGGATGACCTTTCATTACATAAAGTGGTCTTCTGAGCAGCCAACCTAAGTGGTACATAATCTTCTGTGAGTTCCTATGCACAGAGGGCCATAAATATTCATCTGGATGGGCTTCTAAACTTTTTACTGCCTTAAACTTTTTACTACACATTAGATTGCATATATCCTAGAACATAAGGCTTGTCACAGCCAAGCAGATAAATGGTTCACCATAGTGAAGTCCTGTTTCTTGACAGAGGAATATATCTGGGGCTCCAGAAGGTGATAAAGATCACAGAGTACCATTGACACATAATTGTGCAATGCTGTCCCTTGGATAACCAATGTTTTTGCAATGTTCAAGTTGCTCTCCTGGGAGTAAGGCACATTGAAAAATTCTGTCTTATTTTTAGGCCACTAAAGAAGAATTAAAAGAATTACTGTTTCTTTAGACAAAATAATCTTGCTGGAGTTTTTGAAGTTGTTGTTAATAGTGACTCACTGTCTTTGGAATCTAACTTACTTTTTGGGATTGTTCATGTCTTCATTTATTAATATTCTATATTGTGTTTTTTTCCCACAAACATGTTGAGAGAAATATAAAGTTTGCTTGGTAATTGATCACCTAGCTTTACACATGCTTCTCAGGGGTAGTAAGTTCCAAGTTACTATGCTACAACTGACATCATTTCTAGTTGTGAGAGGATTTGACCATGACGGACAAGATTCAAAAAGACAAAGAGTCCAGCCTACTCTCATTCTTGATTCCTTCCAAGCATGGCATTAGAATTCATCCTTAATCAATCATGTAGCATGTCAATATTTTTCTGCTGGGTACATGCCTTTGCTGGCATAGCCTTATGTTGCAAGTTCATTGAGAAACAGTCATTGGTGTTTAGCCCAGCTTGAACATTTGCCAGTGGATTTTTGTTCATTTGATGTCAATTTAACAAGGATGGCTGAAACCAGGAAGATCATGTCACAATGGCTGCAACTTTGTTTTGCTTGTTTGACTCAGATTGCACAGTTAATCCAGCTAATTCCAGTTCACATGACTATAATCTAGACTGAACTAAATCAGACATCCAGAAGAATCAACAGTAATGAGAGGTTAGTGGCATACTGATATTTCCTATGCACTACTCTACTCAGCAACCATGAATTCCATTTGTAGTTGTCTGCAGTTTATTTTTTTCATCTGCAAACTAAGGCTAACATATCTTTGAAAAACCTTTACAATTAAATAAAAAGGAACTGAAATAATTTCTATAAACATACTTTGTGTTCTTTCTTTGCATGAAATGAGTTACTATATTATTCCCCTTAATATTTCCTAATATATTTGAAAGGAAGCTAGGCAAGTTGCAGGCTATATTAGAAGATATAGCAGAATTTTTAACAGCCAAATGCAACTACAAATTCTCAAATAAGCACTTATTTGTGTTGATTTAACATTGTCTAGTGCAATGAGTATAGACAAAATCCTCTTTCTTTTCCCTTTTATTGCATTGGGGTTACCTCATGCATGAATTATAGATATTAGAAAGAGACCAACAGTCTCAGAAAAAAATTTCTCTACTTTCACCAGGTGTAAAATCACATGTGTACCACCATGATAACAGATTTTCTAACATCAGCTTGGTAAACAACATTGTATATAGTATTTCCTTACAAGCCAAAGTCATTTAAATTTTATTTACACAGAGATATGCAGTGATAGCCTGGGTTATTTAGAAATAAATACTCTTCTCTTTCTGTTGTTTTTTTCCATAGTTAAGCATCAATCTGAATCATTTCACGTGCTACTGAAGCGTGTGCTTAGCTAGAGTTCCTATTAAGATATTTGTATCTGTGGCTTCCAAGAAACTACTGAACATGTTTTGTTGTTTTTGGTTTGGCAATTAGGGCAAAGAAGAAACTACATAAGGCAGAGTAAGGATGAAAGGTTGGAGATACAAAAAAGGAGGGAATGGTAGTCACTGCTGAGGAAAACCAATACTGAAAACCCATTCGTGCATCTGGAGAAGGTGACAGGACTATTTACTTATGTATTTATTTATTTTTGAGATGGGGTCTTGCTCTGTCACCTAGGCTGGAGAGCAGTGGCACATACAATCACATTTCACTGCAGCCTCAACCTCCTAGGCTCAAGAGAGCCCCTGACTCATCCTCCTGAGTACTTGGGTCTACAAGCGTGCACCACCATGCCTGGCTCATTTTTTATTTTCTTTTTTCAAGACACAAGATCTCACTATGTTCCCCAAGCTGGTCTTGAACGCCTGGATTCAAGCAATCTTCCCACTTCAGGCTCTCAAAGTGTTGGGATTACAGCTGTGAGCCACCACACTTGGCCAGACAGGGCCATTTCTAATAGAGTACAGTACCCAAGCAAATATCTCTGTGTGTCCTCTCCCACCATGATATTTAAACACAGGTGAGCTTTGTTAAAATAAACATAAAGGACAAGCTTGATCAAAAGGTACGATGTAACTATGAGGTGTAATAGTCAGTAAAGTATAAAAGTGAGCAATTAAGACAATTTTTCAGTCTCAGGTTCTTAAGTGGATGTGAGGAGAAGCATCTGCCATTGACTTGGTGATACCCAGAATATGGTATAGGAGGGCTTTAGATGTGTCTATTACAAGTACAGGTGGAGATGCCACAGGCTTCTCTCCTCAGGGACTACAGACTAGGTTAAGGGTCAGTGTATACCCCAGTGAGCCTTTCTTCCTACATTCCACTTGCACTGTGGGCGAAAGGAGCAAGCTTTAAACTCGCAGAGGACTGATTCGTAACTCATCTTTCATTTTCTTTTGAGCCACAGAATGTACATGGAAATAGGAAATTGATATATATAACAATTCATTTAAGTCATGATAAAGGCTTTGTAGGATTTTACTTCCTAAGTTTTTTTAGTGATAATTCTTTTTGTTTTTACTTCTGCTTATCCCAGCTCACTTTCATATTGATAGTGTTTTTCCTCTCATCTTTTCCCTGTAGTCTACAATGTTGATTTTTTCATTTATTTATCAATCTGTCAATATCTTTCCTATATCAATATAGATATGTTCACCTAAAAGCAACCCATACATTTTTAATGGAGCATAAGAATGAAAGAAATAGGAAATATAATTTGAAGGCCAATGATCCACTAATTATGATCCACATAACCGAAATTAAAAAACCAAGTAGAAAATTTTAACCTCAAAATACTATTCAAATGTTAGTACATGATGAATGCAAGTCCCCTCCCCCTGTAACTTCCTACAATGATAAAGAACAAACATAAAAACTTATCAGATCTCTGAGAGTTTGGCCTCTTGATCATTGTGTTGACATTATCATAAGGGAATTTTCACTTTTTGCAAGGCCAATAAAACTAGATTTAAAAATTCATTCATAAGTCCTTCTAAGTTATGCCACTGGAAATTGAATAAGCCTGTAAGCTGTCCATCTTTTTTTTTTGTTTTTATACTTTAAGTTCTAGGGTACATGTGCACAACGTGCAGGTTTGTTACATATGTATACAAGTGCCATGTTGCTGTGCTGCACCCGTTAACTTGTTATTTACATTAGGTATATCTCCTAATGCTATCCCTCCTCCGTCCCCCACCTCACAACAGGCGCCAGTGTGTGATGTTCCCCACCCTGTGTCCAAGTGTTCTCATTGTTCAATTCCCACCTATGAGTGAGAACACGTGGTGCTTGGTTTTCTGTCCTTGCGATAGTTAAAGCCTGTCCATCTTTAGGTAAGCAGGGAGATCCTTTGCTCCTGCGGCACAGACTATAAGGTCTGTAACTACCAAAATAAGAGCACTTTTTGTGCTACCTCCCATCTTTAAGAGGAAGTTTATGGGTAGAGCAAAGGCATGATGAGACCAGGCAGAAGTCCCTGAAAGCTACTCTGTGTGTGCGTGTGCGTGCGCACGCATATGCATGTGCATGTACTTTTCATCTTTTCAAAATGTCAGAGTCATTCAATTGGGCTAGCAGGAATTTCATTTTATGCCAGGAAAACAACTTTAAAAGACTCCTTGGTAGAAACTGAAAAATTAAACTAGCAAATGTACACATAAAGCATATCTTTTCTCCCAGTAACTAAGATAAGATTCAGCCTAGCAGCCAACTTGGCAGACTTTAAGTTGTTCAAAGTCATGCTTAATCCCTGCCTGTTGGCAAACTGTGGATCTTGATAGGTTTCTTTCATTTCTGATGATAAACAATAAAATAAGAATTAAAAAATAATACCACAGAATAAAGAAACGGAAACAATCACCTGGTGACTCAGAGAAAGTTTACCTCTGAGAACTATCTTCCACAGAAATCAACTTACTGGCAATTTACAAATTTCCATTACTAAAGAAAAAAAAACCTTACTAGAAAGGTAAAATTCATATTTGTGTTCTGAAGTATGTAATTACAGAATAGAATAGGTACAAATTTGTAGAATTTTAAAGGGAGATTTTGTTCAGCCAAGAATTAATATGCAGAAGAAATGCTGTTTACATAAAAAAGTACAGGAGGCATATTTGGAGCTCAGCAATATATACAGTCATCCCTCGATATCCAGGGGGGATTGATTCCAGGATCCCTTATAAATGCCAAAATCCATGGATACTCACATCCTTTATATAAAATAGTGCAGTATTTGCATATAACCTACACATATCCTTTCATATACTTTAAATCATTTCTAGATGACTTATAATACCTAATACAAGGCAAATACTATGTAAATAGTTTCCATACTATATTGCTTAGGAAATAATTACAAGAAAGAAAGTGTAAGTGTTCAGTACAGAGGGTCCACTGTATTCTACATAGTCTTCTTGAAGAAGTTATTTCAAGATATATTCCATCTATCCTACACACCAGTGAAATGAATAAATGAACAATGGAGTGCTAAAAGTTTAAGTACTAAGCAATACAAGTAGTGAAACAGTGATCTAGGCCTAAAAATATTGTAAAATTAACAAACTAAATATAAATGTCAAACATATTTTTATTAAAAAAGGACTTATTTTTGGTAATTCAAAGTCATATTCTTGGTCAGATATGCTAATTTTATAATAAGTGAAATTGAAGAAGATGAGAAAAGTAGTAGAAAAGAAACCAAAGTTCTCATGTCCGGTAGTTGGAACTTAAAATAATAATAAAATAATTTAAAACTGAGGGTATTATTCCAAATACCTAAAGAAGATGTAACAATGTCCAATTGTTATGTCTAATAGACATAAACTACATGGTAAAACACATAAAAGGTCATAAATGGTAACAGAAACAGACAATTACCTATAACAATGCATCATAAATAATCCCAAATATCAACTAAAAAGAAAATAAATGGTTTGAAAGGCAGTCATTAAAAATTATGTTTACAAAGATATTTGGTTACATGATAAGATGCTTATGCTCATATTAAGTAAAAATGACAGAATTTGGGGTCTAAATTCCAAATGTTCTACTTACTAATTATGTGAACTTGCAAAGTAATTAGCTTAAAAGTCTAAATTGTAAATTGTAAAATGAGATGGTGATACGGTTTGGCTGTGTCCCCACCCAAATCTTGAATTGTAACTCCCACAATTCCCACATGTCATAGGAGGAATCCAGTGGGAGGTAACTGAATTATGGGGACAAGTCTTTCTCATGTTGTTCTCATGATAATGAATAAGACTCATGAGATCTGATTATTTTAAAAACAGGGATTTCCCTGCACAAGCTCTCTTCTCTTGCCTGCCACCATCCATGTAAGATGTGACTTGCTCCTCCCTGCCTTCCATCATGCTTGTGAGGCCTCCTGAACTATGTAAGCCCATTAAACCTCTTTCTTTTGTAAATTGCCAGTCTTGGGTATGTCTTTATCAGCAGTGTAAAAATGGACTAATGCAGATAGTAATAGTACCTTCCTTACACAGTTTTTGTAAAGACTAATACAAATCACAAACTGTATTACAAAATGCCACATCCATACCAGTGTAAGCATTCACTCAATCTTACCTACAATTATTATCACTGGTAGTAAAAATAAATGCCAATGATATATCATTATAAGAAACTCTATTAAGATTTCTTAGCGGTTTATTTCTGAATAGTGGCATTGTAAGTGGATTTTTTCTGTTTAAGGTATTTTCTCATATGTCTTAAATCTTAAATATCTTTTGAAAAATGCATCTTTTCTTCATCAGAAGAGATAAGATGTTATTGATAAATTGAAGTTCTTTTTATTACACTTATCCCTCCTCTCTCACAAGAGACAATCATTATAAGTGATAAAATAAATACACGAAATGTTTATTCAGCAATTTGTGATGGTTAATTTTATATGCCAACTTGACTGGTACATGGGGTGCTCAGATGTTTGGTCACACATTATCCTAGGACTATCTGTTAGAGTGCTGTGGATGAGATTAACATTTGAATTAGTAAAGTGAGTGAAGTAGACTGCCCTCAGTCGTGTAGATGAACTTGCTCCAATCAGTTGGCCAGAGTGGAACAAAAAGGCTGAACCTGTCACAGGCAAAATAAACGTCAACTGCCTGATTATTTGAACTGTGACATTGGTTTCTTCCTGTCTTTGGACATAAACTGAACCATCAGCACTTCCTGGGTCTGTCTGAAGCCTGCTGACATTTGGACCAGATGTACACCATGGACTCTCATGGATTTCCAGCTTGCCACCTGCAGATCTTAAGACTCATCAGTTTTTATAATTTATAATTACACAAGGCAATTCCTTATAATAAATCTTCTCTCTATGTATTATATACATCCTATTAGTTCTGTTTTTCTGAAGAACTCTAACACACAATTCAAGATTAAACCTTTCTAAAAGTGTTATATAGTTCTCAATACATAGATAGCATTGTTGGTGTTATTGTGCTGAAGGGGCACCACATGGGGTAGAAGGAATCAGTTTCAAAAGTCATAACAGAATAATAAGATGCAGTAAATTGAGAAATGTCAGCAAAAGTTAATAAAATTGCCTTTAATCCAGATCAATCAATCCAGTTAATTCACTATTTGGATAGTCTGTAAATTCTTTACAAGTCTTTTTCCCTCCCTCCTTGCTCTTCACCACTTAATACAGACAACTGAGTCAGGAAGCCATTTAAAGTCATTGTAGGCCTATGTTGTGCGTCAACTTACCATCTATCTAATCAACAACAATGCATTTTTAGTTGCCACTGCTTATAGTGAAGTTCTCTTATGCTTCTGTGGCATATACTTATTTAATTTTTTTACTAAATCACCCATAGCAGTGAACTCCATGAAACACCATCATTGTCAATATTCATCTATATATTCAAAATTAATCAGTTAATAATTTATAGTCTAAAAAGAATTATATCTAAATAATTATCTGAATTTCTCTTTCCAAGTGTCATTTTAATTCCTTTAGTTTCTTCTGCTTCTAGTCTTCAGAAAGAGCCCGATAAACAAATAAGGGTAACTTGAAAAGAACTTACATGTGCAAGTTGTCCCATTTTCATCCAAAAGTTGATTATCGGCACAAGCACACACCCGGCCTCCTGGGATAGCCAAGCAAAGTGTACTACAGCCCCCATTATTTACTCGGCACATATTGTCACCTGCAAGAGGAAGAAAGCAAATGTGTCAGAGAACTCTGATTCACGTTCTTTCTAGGAGGTGAACATAGATGTAATTACATACACTTATATATGCTATGTATATTATATATTTAGTAATATAGTGAAGATTTCTGTTGAATCATAACTAAATTCAATAATGTTTGAAAATAGGTGGTGCATTGGTAGATAAGGAGAATTTTCTCATTAATTGGAGGAGATAGAGGTCTGAGTGAAGTTAGGTTCTAGGTGAGAGAAGAGAAAGAACAGAATGGTATCTGTCTTCGATAGTTTTCCAGATTAGGCCTATTGTATTCAAGTCTGAGTTCTTTGGAAAGTAGACCACTGGCTCTCAGAATGTGGCTTTGGATTCCCAGGGAACAGAAAGCAAGTGAGGGTTGGGAGCAAGGGTAGGGTATTCTTTTCTCTTGTGCAGTATACACCGGAAAGGCAGTGTATTGAGGACTCCAGGAATCATAGGACATCTGTGAAGACCCAAAAATGAGCAGGCTTGCTGGTATAAGGTGAATGTACAGTTCACCAGGGCGAAAGTGTTCTCCCAGTGGATCTAAAAAGCAGAGGCACTAACGAGGTATACAACAGACATAAATTAAGCAGGCATGAGAGGAAATTTATGAATAACATACATTATTCATGAACGTATGTGAGGCACCCTTGCAGACTCTCAGATAAAATCGAGTAATTATTTTTAAATCGACAAGTAACAATTGTTCATAGTCATAGTGATGTTTCAGTAAACGTAATGTATAGTAATCAGATCAGGGTAATTGGCATATCCATAATCTCAAACATTTATTATTTCTTTATGTTGGGAACATTCAATATCCACCTTCCAGATATTTGAAACTATATATCATCGTTAACTATAATCATCCCACAGTGGTATAGAACGTTGGAACTTACTCCTCCTATCTAGCTGTAACGTTGTATCCTTTAACAATTGTAAAGGTGTCGGTATGAATAAATACAATTTAGATTGCCAATTAGTCTTACAGGTTGGAAAGGAAAGGAAGAAAGTGTATTTACACTTGCGCATCACTTAATGATGGGCATACATACTAAGAAATGTGTAATCACATCATTGTGCGAACATCATAAAGCATCCTTACACAAACCGAGATAGTAGAGCCTGCTGTGCACCTAAACTATACGGTGCTAAAAAATTTTAGCTAGAAAAATATTTTCTGTAAAAATATCCTCTTTAAAACATGTTTAAGTGACCACTTTTCAAACACAGTGCTAAAAAATTTTATACCTATATATCATATATTTCTTCTAGGCTACAAACCTGTACATAGCATGCTACGGTACTGAATACTGTAAACAATTATAACACAATGATAATAGCATTTCTGTATCTAAACATATAAAAGTTACAGTAAAAATACATTATTATTACCTTATAGGACCATCACCATACATGCAGTCCATCATTGACTGAACCATCTCTATGCCACGTATGACTCTACTTATCTATAAATGTGTCAAACTTTAAAAAGAACTCAACACTAGCAATACAATAGGTAATGTAATTGTAGGGTCATATTACTCTATGTTGCAGCTTGTTGAAAGCATCAATAAATAACATTTTTTATATCAGAATATTTTACTGAAACATTAAAAATAAAGAGCTTTTAATTACTTAGAGCCATACGATAAGAGAATAAAATGATTAAAGTGCAAATACCAGAAACGTGATTAAAGTGACAGACTAGGTTATTATACTGAGGCTCAGAGGTTGGATGTGCTATACGGAGGATAATAAGAAGTAAGAAAAAAACTCTAAAATGCTCCTCTATACAAATAAATATTCAACACATTACCACAGGTTATCATTGAGTGCCCGTAGATCAGAACAAATGACCTAAAGTATATTATCATTTCATTATCTTGAAAAATAAATTTAATTCACTATGTTTATAACAAATTAAAAAATACATATGAAAGCCAAGAAAGCTAATAATGCATGCTACAGTATCAATTTCTGAATTCAGAGGGTAATTAAGCCTAATACAGGGTTTTTTTAATAGGAAATGCATAAATGCTTTAAGCAGCTTCCAGATAACGTCATGTTTATTCCATGGCCATGGAATAAAAATGCAATGCTTCATAGGATGCACTGTTATTCTATGTTGTACACATTCTGTACAGGATGAAATTGTATATTTAATATTTTAGTAGCATTCAGATTCTGGAAAATTAGAATTAATTCAACATATTTTGAGAAATATATAAAGAATTTAAACAGTCAGAAATAAGGAATTACTGACATTTTGAAACGTTGAAATTATATGCTAAATATCATACTCCTTAATTCAGTGGTATGCCTCATACCATTCTAAATGAATATGAAATTTAAGTATTTAAAAATAAATTGGCATTATTCAAACTTTGAAATATATTTCTTTTCTGTGAATACTACATATTAAGAGAGAGGAATTGGTTATTTGTTCTGTCATAATAGAAATCCAAAATCTAAATTAATTTGAATAATTCCATATCTCTCCTCAGAAGGGCTTAGATCTTTATTTTAATAGTGACCCAACGTATTTTTGAATTTCATTAATATGTTCCAGATAGATCTCATATGATAGTATTTTTTGAAGTTCTGAGAACTAGAAAAATATTTTATGTAAAAATATCCTCTTTAAAACATGTTTAAGTAACTACAAATATGGTGCTAAAAATTTTTATACCTATATATCAATTAAAAGGTCATTAACATATTAATAGCTGCTGTTAATGAAAACTTATAAGCAATCCCACAGCTAGTTACTTTACATATACATTATATTTTATTCAATTTTTTTAAAATAAAATTACAAGGAAGGTTTTATCTCATTTGCAAGTAGGAATACTGAATATGTGATCGTCTAAATGACCCTTCCAATATGTAGAAATAGGAAATAATTCTTATTAAATTATCATTTATTTCTAATCATTATAATTATTTATAAATAATTAGAAATAAGATTTTCTTACTCCAAAATTGTGCTCTCAAACACTAACTTATTTATATATAAAATAAAATTAGATCGAAAAAGACATACTAAATATACCAAAACCAACAAAAGTCTATTACTTTCAGGAAGCAGATAGTTTTTAAAAATCAAATATGTAAGGAAAGCAAATGAAGAATAGCTTTCATTATCTAGTTGAAGAAGGCCTTCTGGCTTCATCAAAAACTTTGTCTTTCTTTTTCCCAATCTTGTATCTTCCAGAAGCAAAATTATATTCTACACCTTGCAAATAGTGCCCAGCATAGAGTGTGTTTGATAAATATTAGTTAAATAAGTAAGTGGTGAATGCAACTTTTAGTTAGCAGTTTGAATGACAAGAACAATCATTTGGAGTGCAGGCACAGGTACAAGTTTGTGGATAGATACAACTTCCAAAGAATGGGAGTAAAGACACAAATAATATGTGAAAACATTTCACAAGCCTATATTAACATCTCAATGTTTTTAGACCTTAGCAGTTTAACTTTTGTTAATAAAGTATCTTTTTTTGAGCAAATGAGAGAATACAGAAATCAGCGCAAAAGAATTCCATTGTTTCAGTCTTTCCTTAATCTGAATTTTCTTCAAAATGGTGGAACAAAGAAACCTCCTTTTCTATATGTGTCCTGGACTCTTGACTTCTCAGTGTCTTATCACAGGCAAAGTGAGAATTCTCTGCAGTTAATATAAAATATGTGAAACTATGGGGATTCTCTTTTTTTTTTTTCTAACTAACATAGAGATACTCGAGCTTGTAGTTTAGAAGAGGCAGCAGATACCCCATTTATTCCAAAAGTTAGATAAAGGCTGAGAGAGTGAGATCCTGAGGCCAGATGAATTATGCATTTAATCTAGCATAATTTCAGAAGAATTGACTTTGAACGATGTCAGTCAATCTGAAGAAAGGATAAAATGCTTCTTACTTTTTTTCTCTTTCAGAATCAGATGCTCCTTGAAGACTGTGTTTATATTTGACATGCTTTGAAGCCACTTATGTAAGTGTGTGTGTGTAACTATATTAAGATACTCCTTTGTTTTGGCGGGGAGGTTTGGTGATTATCTCAAAAATGGGAAATATAAAAAGAAAGAAAAATGTAGTTATGATGGTCCTACCACCAAACCTAAAGCTTATTAAACCTATAAAATAATGTGATTAATAAATATGTCATACATTAAATAAAAACTGCTATGTCTGTTATACTAGTCCTGTGTAATCTAAAATCTCTAAATCCTGGATTCTATAAAAGTAGTCAAGGGGAACTTTATATTAAAAATATATATTTGAATGCAAAATTTATCAGTGATAAAATTACAATGACCAAAAAAGATTCACATTCTTTTTCTTCTATCTAAAAGTATAGTAGATATAAAATTTTGAGAAATTAAATTGGCCACACAAATTAAACATAGAAAAATACTTTCTGGTCAAACAGATCTGAATCTGAATCTTAGTTTTATCCCTGGCTTACTGTGTTTCTTGAGGGCCAATGGCTATGTCTGTCTGATCCTTGGCTTTCTCATATGTAAAATATAAATCAATAGTACCTATTTTAAATATATGTTGTGAAAATTAAATAACAATGCTTAGTCCACTTCCCTGTAGTTTTAACAATTACAGCTAGTTCTTAGTTAATAAATGTCTTCTATTTGTCATAAAATAATAGGATACATTTAATCAACCCTTATTAAAATATTACTTAGTTTTGATTATCTCATTCCCCAAAATGTGCAAAAAATCAAAGTGTGCTTTTGAACCTAGAAAATAAAAAGGAAAGTCTGTTATTTTACACAATTGCTGCTCTTTATATGAGGAGGAGAAGAAAAAAGCTTTAAAACTTGTTCTAGATATCTAATGTTAATGAAAAAGGAAAGCTTATACATTTTACCAAAAGAAATCACAGTAATATATGAGAAAAATATCTTTACACTAAATCCCCAAGAATTACTTAAGAATTCTTTCCTAGAGGTAGCTTTCTGTTTAATATGTTATCTATTTATATCTACCTTCCTGAAATTCACTGGTATATTCCAAGTAATTTGACAAGTCTCTTTTTTTTTTAGACAGAGTTTTGCTCTGTAACTCAGGCTGGAGTGCAGTGGAACATTCTCGGCTCACTGCAACCTCCACCTCCCAAGTTTAAGTGATTCTCCTGCCTCAGCCTCCCGAGTAGCTAGGATTACAGTCTCCTGCCACCACCCCTGGCTAATTTTTGTATTTTTAGTAGTGACAGGGGTTTCACCATACTGGCCAGGCTGGTCTCGAACTCCTGACCTCAGGTAACCCACCCACCTCAGCCTGCCGAAGTGCTGGGATTACAGGCATTAGCCTCTGTGCCTGGCTATTGACAAGTCTCTTCTAATATGAGGAGTAAGGGGAGATCTGATTAGTTGACTAATTTTCTGACACTGAGTCTAAAATATTTATAAATTACATTATTAGCATTCCTGAATATTTTTCATGGTGGTCTTGTCAGATGGTGTGTGTGTGTGTGTGTGTGTGTGTGTGTATTAATACTATCTATCCATATGTATAAAAAATATAAATAAATATAGTTTTTATATATATATAAATAACATCATATAATTTGTATTCTCTCAGAGAGAGAGAGAGAGAGAGAGAGAGACTGTATGGTTATATAAGATTAGTTTATTTTATTCCATTAGGCAAAGGAGATATGTACTACTTAGAGATTTGATTTTCTCTTCAATTGCTATATTTTATCCATAGGGAAAAAAAAAAACAGTCTAACAGGACAATATGAAACCATTTATAGGACACAGATCATCTACTTTCAAATATGTATTAATGTCTGAGATTCAAAAGATGCAAAGAGTAACACCATTGAGAGAAAATTATAATAATTAAGACAAACTGCTCACAACTGAACATCGGAATGCATTTTGCTTTACAATTCAGCTGCTTTGATCAATGTAGTAAAAGATACTAAAAATTTAGAACTCAATTAGATTATCTAATATCAATGTCTCTTGACTGAGAAAAAATGGTATTAACCAGGAATTTAATTTCTATATTGTATTGCTTGATCAAACATATAGTTAAGTACTAGGTAATTCTTAGCTACATGAAGAAGTGGTAGAAAACACAAATCAATTTATTAATTCACCTAAGTTAATAAAAATTATCAATCAGTTATTCTCAATACATTCACTCAGTAAACAAAACATTATGGTTTCTACAATAAAAGTTGAAAAAGAATTTAGTAATCAGAGCTCAGTTTTTATTTTAATGTCCCTTCAATTAAAATGGGGAAAAGCACTTTTAAAAGATCATTGTCCATCTAAGGAATAACATTGCACTATTATACATCAATGGCACCTTTCAGAACACCAAAAATATTCTCTATCAGAGTTATGTACTTCATTGTATATTATTATGATACATTATTCCATCGAATATTTATTTAAAATGCCTATATGTAGGGTAACCTTAAAAACAAATACCTCCTATTAGAGAAATTGTAGGGGTAAGTTACCTACCATAATTTGTTTGTCAGGCACAGTGCTATGTAAGTTCTGCTTTTAAATAACACATAGCTATTTAACCATCATGGAAATGTTATGAGGAAAGTATTTCTTATTTTTTTAAATCTTTCATGATGAGTCCAAAGTTTTAAAAGGAGATGTCAGGACCCAGATCTAAGCCCGGGGCATTTTTCACTACACACGTTGCATTTAGTTAAACAACTCACTAAAGCAACTGGAAGCTTAAAAACTCTGAAGATGGTAAAAATGTTATGGACTTTGGCAACAGAAATTCAGCAATAACATTCAAGAGGAACAATTCTAAAGAGAAGGGAAATGGAAAATGTGATCGTATATTGATTGGATTGTGAAGTTAGAGAGAACTACAATCCTGAAAAGCAGATCTTTCAGAATATGAAAAGGACTGTTTCTATTCATAGCCTGGGCTCTTGCTCAGTATAGGCAAACTATGGTAGTGTGGTAGGGGTGCAGGGTTTATATGAATATAATAAAATATTACCTTTTAATCTATCCAGGCAATTATCTCTATTCCTCATTTCTTGTCCATAGCTATGGCTTGTGCCATCCAAATAATTTAAGTTTTATTCTTCTAAAAGATAATTTTATCTTTTATCAGCTATTGATATTTCTCATGTACACATTTCCATTATTTTATAAAATTACATTTGTATTCCATTGAAGCAATTTTAATATAGTGGGAAAAAACTGAAGCTTTTGAATGAGATAGTTTGCTTTAGGATCGTTGTTTTAGCTGAAATATCTTCAAAAACTCTGTTGCTAGATAATTTCCAATCGATAGCATACGTGTTAGGAAATTCATAATATAATTTATTCATCTTAAATGTATTGAACTACATACTCATTAAATTTTTACAATGATATGTCTATTAAAAAAAGGAACAATGACTATTTAGACTCATAAAAAACCTACCACATAATTTACTAAACTGTTTTCTTCATTCAATACCTAAATTCTGAGTAATGCTATGTGTAGATGTCCTAATGAGTATTAATAACTTATGCAAGTAAAACATAAAATAATATTATCTGATTTTAAGAAGACATGAATATTGTTATAGACGGTTTTACTTTTGTGTCATCTAAAATAATTACATGTTCCTTAAATATACATTGAAACTAATTATAAACTTACTAAGATACTTTTAAAAAATAACATTTTTCTTGTATAATGCATCTTCAATTTTCAGTAGTTTTCTTTTCAAACTAAGGAAGTTCTAACATTTAACAATACTTACGCTTTGAAAACATTAAGAGAATTGTTTTTCTTTAAATAACTAATAGCCTTCTTCAATGAAAATCACATGAAGAGAAGGAAATACTTGGAGAAAACCTTAAACCTCACTCATATGGAATTCCCAGGGATAATCACTCAGGATATTTAGAACAACAAAAAGTAAATTTCTATGATAACAAAATCTGATTTGATTGACTTTGGAGGGAATTTGACATCTTTTATCATAAAACTTTAGCAACACTGTCAAGATAAATCTTTTATAACTTCTGTGAAGTATTATTATATGTGAATCTCAGAAGCATTTTAATTTGTTTTTTAATACCTTGTTGCTTTCGTGGATCATAAATCTGAAGCCCAAATAGGGGTGGTCTTTCATGCCTCAGCAATGTCACCTCACTTGTTATCAAATCTAGTTGAAAAATGGAACCATTCATATAATCAGTCCAGAACACATAATTTCCATGATGCGACAGTCCGAAAGGGTGGTTCAACTCTCTCCCACTGTAAACAATCTGTAAAATATAAACACATTGTGAAAAATCAGAACTGACCTTTAGAAACATAACTAGATATTTAGAGAAAGTGATATTCAATAAGTATAACAGATAATAATCTCATATCTTAACTCATTTTCTCTGATAGATTTAAAAAATGGATTTCACAATGTGAGCATATTTTTTGTTTTAGGGCATGCTATTTGAAGGAAACCATCTATTTTATCTAAACCATTTATTATTTATTATTAAACCATCTATTTTATCAATGTAAATTCTTTCATCTATGGCACGAAAAATACGGTTAAGAATGCAAATACTAAAATGAATTTTCCCTACTCTCATTCCTGTTCCTTTTGCTTATGATATTTCAGTATCATATCCTGGGATAGAAATCAGTCTGAATAATCATGTGTATTACAAAATTGCTCTTCCAATAACCAACAAATAGAACATGTTCAAACAGCATTGGGAGTCAAAAGGATCCTCCTACTTTAATTGAGCCAATGCAAATTGAAGAAATCTTGGATCTGGCAGAAAAGATGGTAAAGATTTTAATTTAAACACAGACACATTTATTATTAGTAAATAGATAAAAACTCACTGGCAAGTTAAATTCTGATTATGTTAATATATTCATTTACATTCTAGTTATATTGTTTTGTTGTTCCTTAAATGGAGGAATCATGTGATAAAAGTTTAAGTCCAGTTTCACATGTAGGATTTTAGAAGGGGAATAAATTATACCTCAATAATGAGAATACTTTTTCACCTTTTACCATAAATAAAAACATACTGAATACAAGATGAAAAAGATTTTGTATTCACTTCATTTAATATTAGAGAATTGAGAAAATTATCTAAATAATTTAGGGTCATAAATTTAAATTTTGCTCCTTTTAACTGAATTCTTCTCACCAAATTATCATACATTGAATAATTGACATGGTTTCTTAATTTTTTTCTCACCTTTATGTAGGCCAAAATGTGCTGGCCATGAAAGTATTATGTTTATTGTTTACATACCAACATCTTCTAAGGAAGCATAAAGATTTATCTAGCACCTGTTAAGTGTGTGACATTAGGTTCAATGCCAACCAATTGTACTTATTTGGAGAAAATATTTACAGTATTGTTAGCATCAATCAACAACAGAGCAGTCTTAACTGATTAGTGTAGTATTTCTTTCTAAAACAGAATCCATAATGAGTAGGCTTAGCCAAATGTGCAGGTTTTCTTTCCAAAAAGAAAAGAAATGTAACTTAAAGGAAGCATTTTGGTCATTTCTAACATCCCCTTTTTCTATTGTTCGACTCACAGTTAAAGTCAGTTATTGGTGTTATTTGTAATTAGATTACTAAAACATGAAATATAGAGGTTTTGTTTTGTCAACTATGCCTCTGTCTCACAGCCAACTGCATCATCCTCAATTTTACCTAAGAATTTCAAAATCATTTTGCAGTTACTCTAGCAAAAAAAGCAAGAGGAAACTGATACCTCTTCATACCAATAAGCTGGAAGTTCAGCTCATTCCTACTATGTGTTTAAGTTTCAATGTCACCAAGTTACTTACTCAACTAAATACAATGTAATTACTTCCTCGTAATACATAATGTTAAACTTCAGCTCAAAATATTGAACATATTTTAATAGAGTGGGGTTGCTTGGTTATAGAAAACTCATCAATAATGTAGAAAAACTGCATTTTAAAACAGCTCTGATATCCTGAGAGCTGCTTTTAGAAATCCCACAAATCCTGGCATACCACAGTGAGCTGGGCCTGGTCTCCCAGAGGCAAGTGCCAGCTGCACTACTTAATGCTCAGCCTGCTTCAGCCACCCCATGGAGACTATTGGCAGCCACCTCAGAGGAGTAAAAATAAACTTGAAAGTATTTTTAACACAACACAACAAGGCTCTGTGAAAAAAAGAAGCCTGTGGGTTAAAAACAGCAGCATTTGTCTTTTACCTTCCTGTGAGTCCCATTCAAAAATACTTTTTCAATATGATCGTAATAGGCATCACACCAGTATAATGTGTTGGTGTGAAAGTCCAGAGTTAAACCGTTTGGCCACAGCATCTTTGAAGTCACAAAAATCTGCCGATTGAATCCATCCATCCAGGCCTTCTCAATCCTTCCCACGCTGTCATCTATTTCATCTTCCTCCCAGTCTGTCCAATACATCCAACTAAGACATTAAAAAAACAACAAAAATGCATACATGTTATTACAACCAGCCACAGTATAGACACTTCCTCAGATTTGGCAGTTCCATAAATTCTAGTTTCATTCTGATTTGTCCTCCTATCTAAGTGCTTATCTGTCAAAGAGGGGGGAGCTGTGAAGTTTTAAAGAAAGCAAAGATTTGTTTGGTAGAACTGTGCATTTACACTTATTACAGAAAAGCCAACTACCACCACTATCGCACTTACTGGCTTCATGCATTAATGAACCTGACAGTAAGTGCCAAATATCTATTTTTGGGGGCTGTTGATACCAAGTAAAGGAAATGATTTTCTGGGTCATTACTATTTTAAATGTTGTCCACTTCAAAAAGTATATAATCAATTATGTGATTAAAAAGCAGATTGACTGACATGAGAACCCACGGCACAGTTAATGATCTACTCCAGACTTTATTTAATCTCAGATGAATTATGATTCTTTAAGACAGGTAATTGGACTGACTTTGTTCTAAAGGGCACTGTCATATTGGGTTTGTTTGGCTAGGTCTAATTTGTCTTCCTGATGCAAATCATCTATGTTTTATTGCTGCTTATTATTACCCCAAAATCTACAGAAGATGATTTAGCTGCACGTAAGTTTAGTAATAGCAAGTTGACTGACCTTGAGATTTTGAGCTTTAATGTCTATCTCAAACAAAAGCATCTGCCTTTAAAAACAAATCTTTTGTAAAGCTCTAACAGTAGGAGAGGGGGTCTTGAACTAATGTTCCATTTGCCTCATGAATGAGGTTAAAACCCACCACATGTGTTGTTTTAGGGTCATGTGAAAGTTCCTGAGTTTATTAATTAAAGTGTAGGTTTAATCCAGTCATCTCATATACAACTTTATAAAGTCTCAAATCTTTGCTAAGCTGCTGACCCTTGAAATACCCTTATTAGATCCCCTGCCTCCCCCATTTTGTAGACCCTAAGAATTTCTAAGTGCATTTGGAAAAAGTCTGTCACCATGACGAAAAATCCTACTGTGATCTAAGCTGGCAGACTTGGGAAAACTGAGGATGAACACACTACCCATTATTTCATACCAATTAAGCTCTTTTTAAATTCTCTTAACGGTTTCCAGTTATGTTGATATGCCCTTTTTAGACCCAAGGAACTATATTGAGACTGTTGAATTGTATTAATCCTAGAAATAAACATGGAAATATTTCTATATTGTATCTTGTAATTCCTTAAAGTGATTTTTTAATTGGGACAACTTAGTAACAAAAAGGATAGTCATTCTATTTGCTGTAATTCTATGTAGTTAGGTATAACTACTTGACATCAGCTATATAAATTAACTATATAAAAGTGAAATATGCAATCTTTTCATCTCTATTGATATTTTCCTGAAATTTTCTTATATACAGTTAATCAATACGGTTTTATTTTTGTTCATTTATAACATTAATATTGCAGTTATCTTACCCTATAGCTTCTCCTTTTGATCATGGCAACATGTTTTTTTTTTCTGTGACTCAAATCACACATACATGTGCCTGTGTATACAGAAACACACACACGCACACACGAGACAGAGATAAATCTGGATATTCTAAATATACTGCATATTTTACTATTTGAGAAAAGGAATTGTTCGCCAACTGATCCAGCACCTAAAATTATTTTTATTTAAACAAAATATAAGAAAGTTATTTTTCTAAGTAATGCCAATCTGAGAGAGGTTACATATATATATATGTATATATGTATATGCACACACACACATATATATATATGCTTAAATATATATTGTGGGCCAGGCACCATGGCTCATGCCTGTAATCCCAGCACTTTGGGAGGCTGAGGCAAGCGAATTGCTTGAGCCCAGGAGTTTGAGACCAGCCTGAGCAACATGGCAAAACCCCATCTCTACAAAAAAAATACAAAAAGTAGCCAGGCACGGTGGCCTGTGCCTGTAATTCCAGCTAGTCTCAAAGCTGAGGTGGGAGAATCGATCACTTGAGTCCAGGCTATCGAGGCTGTCGTGAGCCAAGATCATACCACTGCACTCCAGCCTGGGTAACAGAGTAAGATCCTGTCTAAAAAAAAAAAAAAAAATTATGAAAGCTTTACAATCAATACCAGTACCAAACAATGAGAATTCTTAAACACACAGAATAGAAATATAACCTATTAAATAAGCAGGAACTAATACAAGTATTTTTTCTAGGTGGGACTCCGTGTATTCTTCACATAAAACATAGGTTAATCTGGCCTTCTGCTAATATAGCAAGAAAAATTCTACCCTTTATTTCAAGGCCTGTTTGAATGTAATTATCTGATGAAGTCTATCCCCAGCCTTTCTGGAGATGAGTCAAAATAAGCTCTTTCCTCTGTTTCTTAGTAACACTGTCTAGTTTTAAATAATATGTATTGCACTTATTCCTTGTATATAGGGACAGTTGGTAGGAAGACATGACAGGGATGCAGATATTGTCTCAATGAAAAAAATATTCTATTAATCAGAATTGCCTTCAAAGAGCTTGAACTATGTAGATGCTATAGGTTTCTAATATAATCTGGATACCTACAAACTTGGGAGACGTTGAAGAGGATTTCTAAATTTGATGAGAGAGATGGAACTAGTGGGCTCTGAATTTTCTTCTAAATTATATGTTTCTATGAATTCCACATTTATGTCATCTCTTGGGCACAACAAAGACTCTTTAGCTCTATCAGAAAACATTTTCTCTAACAACAGTGAGAAAGAAGATGCTGTTTTAAGATAGATTTGAAATTTCTTTCTTCAGATAGATTTGGACAGTGTGGAACAAATACTCTCTTCAAAAACTAAGGCTGGTTTACCAGATGATTATATAATCCAAACATAAAATCACCAAAATTACTTTATAATTATGCCCTATGAAACACTTACAATGAGTTCACTCACTGCCTAGGAACCCTGGTTGTATTTGGAGCTACTCTTAACACAAACAATTCTAGGAACCGCAATTTGGTAATCTCGGTTTATAAGGGATTCACATGCCTCCTATACAATATGTATTTTTTGTATGTGTGCAGTAAAGTGTAAAGAAAATCTATTTTTTGATGTCTTGAAACAATAATATGTAAGCCATGGAAGGAAAAACACTCCAAAAAACTATACATGTAAAACATTCAATAAAATAACATTTTTAAGTTATAAAATACTATGAAAATTTCCATCTTTGATATTTCTATAAGTACAGTTTTGCATTCAGGTAATAGCGCTGATTAAAAATCAAAAGAAAACATATTACCAAGAATTGGACAAAATATTTCATTCTAAAACAAGTAATACATACTATAAAATGATGTCCCTATATGGAAATTACGGTGGTATCTAAAATTATGTGGTTGTCACCCTAGACTAATAAAAAGTAGTGAAGTTTAGTGGCTAAGAGTAAAGTCATATAGACAGGCTTCCTGGGAATAAATGTAGACCCAGTCTTTTACTAATTGAATAGTGATTGGCAAGACAGTTATCATTTTCAACTTTATAAAGCAGGGATAAGAATAGCAACGAATTCAGAGGATTATTGTAAGGGTTACAAAATAGGGTCAGAGTAACCCATTTAATAAAACGTCTGACCTCTAGGAAATGTATAAAACTTTTGCTATTTTTTTGAATACACTAAATTTCAATAGCCTTTAAAATATAAAATGGATTGATTCTCTGGTTGAATTGATTATTTATCTTGGTGTCAGGCTGCTTAAAGTACAGAATTATAGTGCTAATTTTGAATAAATCAAGTAATACATCTTTGCGCAGTAATCTAATTCAGGTCAATGTATTCTGACATGTTTCTTTAGTACATTCTCTAGTACAGAAAAACCCTTAAATGTGTAACTTTACCCACTAAGACCATTTGTGTGGAAAATCAGCTATACATATGGATTTAAATAAAACTATTATTAACTATGTAAGAAACAAATTTATCTATTATCATTTTTCTTATATAAAGCTAGTCAAATATTGCATACCCATTAACTGGATCCACCACAATTCCTCTGGGATGAGACATTTCACCCTCTAAAAGAGTCTTCCGACTCTGAGAAGCTTTTTCCAGCCTGGCCACATTAATGGTTTTCCTATGGCCATCATTGGTCCAGTAAAGATTATTTCCAATCCAGTCCACAGCAATGCCCTCTACATTATCCAGATCTATAAAAAAAGCAAAAACAAGAAAGAAATTGCTTTTACAACTATAGTAAAATTAGTGTTCACTACTAATAGCTACCTAATAAAAACTTTAGTTCAAAAAGGAAAGAACTCTGATCCATGAAATCTTTATGGTGTAATTTTTGCAAATGTCACTATTCTATAGAATATTTTTCAATTTTATTTTGAATGCCTTTTTATGTGAATAATAGGCCCTCTCTCAATTGTACACAGTGTTAACAAATTAATCATGGTCATTAACTCAGATTTTAATTGAACTTCAATTTATTGTAATTCAGTGATCTGCAGAAAAATGGGAACATACAAGTGATAGGAGCGAAAAAGCTTGAATATAAGTGACAAATTCAGCAATGTAGACTGTTCTGAAGAAAAATCTACTAGTACTGTGTCAGCATGTTCAAACTTGTAATATGTAATCTGAGTAATCGAAATAATATGAATGTCCTCTTGCCCAAGGATGAACAGTTTCAGCAGGGGCACAAGTATGAAAGCCCAGGACAGGCTTTCATCCCAGAACTGCATCAACAGTCAATCTCAAGGAATCGCCAAAATACTTCTCTTTGTTTTAGACTTACCTTGCAAAGAATCCTATTACAGGATTATATGAGATACAGGCAGTGATAATTCAAATGTAATAGACAAATAATAATCCTTGGAGTTCACCTAATTCAAACCCTTTATTTTATAAAGGGGGGGTAACTAAAACTTCAAAGTGAAGGCAGTTACTTATGGTCTATTATCATTCACGAAGCAGTAGCAATTGGATAAATATCCAAGCCTTATGACCCACAGTGTGGAAACCCTCAAAACTGCACGGTTCCTAGGGTGAGTTTCTGTAGCATCCTGTCTTCATCCACACTTCAGCCTACAACATTACAACTACGATTCCATTCTTCTGTTGCATGAAAAATGGCTGTGAACTCCTTCTTTTCTCTCAAAACCAAGGTAGAGTACATAGACTTCCTCTTTTCCTTTTTGGCATGAGTTACAGAACTGGAATTTACTGGACAAAGGCAATAGGTAGTATATATTAGAGAGGGAGCTCTGTATTCACACACTACAAGGAAATCTAGATCACATTTCCCTGTATGCAGACACAATGGATATTTACTATTATCATGTTGTTTAATCATGGTCTTTCTGGCTCAGGAAAAACAGTAAAATTTTCCCTTGTAACCCTTGTTGCTAATCAACATGTGTTGTGATTCAGAATGACTGGTACAAAATGTGATCTGATCTAACTGAAAATTCCATTACAGTGAATCAGATATGTTCCCAATTTCGCTGAGCTATCTGCTTCATTACCATCCAATATAAGTAATTTTCATAGGTTAATTGTGCCTATGCTTAGAAAAAGAAGTTTAATTTTGCCTTCACTTATTGACACTTAATTTTCCTGAGCACTTTCCTATTCTGGTATAATGGAATGAGAGTAGTTATTTACCCTTTTCTATTTATTATAGTCTATAGCTGGTTTTTGTTAGTTGGTTTTCAAAAATTGAATTACATGTGAAATCTGCCCCAGTACAAAAAGTCTTCATGCTGGATAACCCTCTTATTTTTGAAACTTTTCCTTTTAACATATGACTTGAGACTTATTTTTTTCATATGAAGCAGTTACAATGCTGTATGGATGAAACTTTTGTTTCTGACACTTGGGTAAGCAAATTCAGTGACGCATCAGGAAAGTGAAGATTATCATAGCACCTATCTCATAGGATGATTACAAAGGGCAAGCTATTAATAGCTACTGCATGTAAACATTTAGCATATTTCCTGGAATACAGTAACTTCTCAGTTCATGTTAGTTTTTATTAATTTATCAGGATTAAAAAATATTTTATATCTCTTCTGTCTCTTTTCTTTAAGGGTACTACTTGATAGGATTGTATCTTTTGTTTTTCACCTTTAAAATGCTTTTTCTATAATATTTTCTTGCATTTTTACCAGTGACTAACTTTAACTAAAAATAGTATATAAATAAATATATGTGATGTTCTTAATGGTTGGCATATACTAAATAATATATAATGATTATTATTATTCCTGTAATAATATCATTTTAATTTCTGTATAATCTTTCCTTAGGCTAGGTATCTAGTCTATTAAGACAGTAATAAAGGAATTAGCCTAGATTATTTTTTAAGGTTGTTTTCTGTTTGTGCTTTGATTTTTTTTTCTGTTATAGGGAGAATGATAATGAATAAAAATTTAAAAATAAGAAAATGTATAAAAAGATCTATGAGCAAATTGGGAATCTTTTTAGGTTATCTTTAATGGGGCAGGGAGGAATTTCTCTCTTGCAGAACACAGCTTGAACAATCAATTAATTCCTTTCTCCACAAATATACATTGATAAGGGAAGCATTCTGCTTCCACATTATTTGGTCTCTGCTTTAAATTAACTTATAAATTAGATGGAACAGTTAGACATATAGAACATCAGTCTTATGTACGTTTGATATTTTATTCAAAGGGGTCTGGTTGGGTCCTGCCTGAGACTGACTAATAATGACTCTATGAACAAAAGCCCTTTAAACAGATCAGGGACACATGAAGGTTGTGGCATTCAAAGGCCAAACAAACATCAGTGACTACAGAGAGTCTAATTATTAGCTTGAGGAAACACATGATATTAAAATGCAAGGAAGATGTTTGATAAAGAAAAACTTGGTAGAGTAGATTTCTTTGTATACTTTGGGATAGAGTTCAAGTATTCTACATTATAAAATTCATATTTTCTACTATTTATTATTATTATTGCATAACTAATAGCAAACAAGAGCATGGCTATTTTAAACATCTGGTCAAAATCTCCCTTAGCTTTCACAAAATACCCATTTTCATGCATCAATAGGCAAGGAGTTAACATGTTTGTACTTCTTAAGAAAAAAAAATTCCAGTAGATAATTATTTCTTGTAAACTTTGTTTAGATTAATATTATGTCTGTATTTTTCATGCTAAGTGAAGATATTGCACATTTACTCATACTCAGAAAATAAACAGCCTTTTCTTGCATTCTGAAAACTTAAGAATATTATTTTTCTCAAATTATTATAATTTCTACAACATGTTATCTTTGTTCTAGTAATTTCAAAATAACTTATATGAATGGAGTAATATATAAATAGTGCATTAAACACCCACACACTCACATATCTCATTCAAATTTAGGATTAATAATGAAGTGCGTGGTTTACTTAAGTGAAAAATTCCTGATGTTAACAATATTACTTCCTATAAGAGACACCTACCACTAAGGAAATGAGGATAAATAACATATAATAAAATTTATGTAAATTTTAAAAGAATAATGATGTGGATTTAAAAAGAATAAATAGGACTGTTCTTCAAATGAATGTAATACTTTAGACTAGACCAAATAAACATTTTTAAAGAGAGTGGTTTTGGGAGAAAAACATATTTCTAAAATGAAAACTTCATTACAGGTCTGATTTTTAGATATTATACATTCATGGAACAGAAGACTAAAGTTTTATATACTTAAAATATAATTGCCTCTTTTTAAAATGGGTCCATGATTTTTAAAAGAAAGGATGTGAGCAGTGGCCTTATTTTTGTTATGGCACATGAGCTGGACCTCCAGAAATGATCCATAGATCTTGATGCTTTACAACAGAATTTGAGGCATATAATAAGAAACTGACTAAAAATTATACCCAAAAATGGCCATTATAAAACCATAGTTTCTACATTTTTCTACCTTATACAAGTTTATCCAGTGTTATCTATCCTTAGCATGAACATTATTTTTCTGAGTTGGAACGGAAGTGTCTACGTGAGTACAGAGTATGGTAAAGTGCTTTAAATAATTAAGTCTGCATCATGCATGTAGACATGCCTAAGGCCAGCGATGCCTTACCTCACCCTAGAGTCAGCACTTGGACAACTTTCCTGTCTCCTATTCTTGTAGTTCAATTAATACATATTCTCTTTGTACATTTCAATATGGTCTGAGGCCATAAATAGCTCATATGTATCTGACATGAGGGAATGACATTGATTTAATTAATAGTGTAGCAGTAAAATTTGCTTGCTGAATAAGCTGTCTCATGGGGTTTCAAGGGTCTCTGGTCACAGACTAAAGATACCACCTGTCCCTAATGGCCAGCTGAGGCTGATATTTCTCAACCTCATTTTCATTCCAGATTTCTCCTTAGCTGTTAGGTCAAGGAGGGTGAATACACAAGCCATTCTCACTCAGAACAAAATACCTTGATGTTGTATTCAAAGAGATATGTAGAGTGCATATAAGGGTCTTATTTTCCAGAATAAACAGAATATATTAAAACATAGTGGTTTCCTTCCATTATCCAATGCAAACTGTCACTCTCAATGGGTCAGGGGATACAGATCATCACTCTATGACATTCAGTTATTTTATCTTTGATACAATGAAGACATGGACAAGTAAAGATAGTGTCATAGTATGCATCATAGTTACCAATAATCTAAAATGATGAATAAAATGAAAGATCAAGAATGGTTAAGGACTGAGATTTTTATCATACTTTCAAGCTTACAAGTTTGCCTGTTTTTGTTCCATGAATTCTGGTAGAAGACACAAGACTTGTGGATCAGATATAAAAGATTTTATTACTCATGGCACAACAAGCAGGATGGTCATCAGCAGATTGGTGTCAGTTCCCTTTACTTCGAAGTCCGCAGGAGCAACTGGGAGGGGTCCATATGGATGCTTTCATATACTGTGGGTGGCATTACAGGAGAAGAATTCTGAGTTTAGAAAATCCAAGCCTATTATAATGGGCAGTAAGAAGGCCTGCTGTTTTCACTGGCAAGTGACTGTCTCTTTCTCTCAATACTCTTTGCTATACAAGCATCTTTGAAAAGATACTTCTGAAGAAAAAACAGTAAGTGTCTTACTTTGAGACATGCAGAAATGTGAGAGATCCATGGAGAAATGTCTCACAATAAAAGGTCCTGAAAAGTCATAATCTGGTAGTCACTAATATATGCAGATAGATAGAGCAAACAAATTGGTGAGTGTATATGAGCACAAATAATAATGTCTGCATTCCAGGCTATTACTCTTATGGGAATTCTGCACTGATTTACACAACCACACCTAAAGCAATAAATGCAGATAGATAGAGCAAACAAATTGATGAGTGGATATGAACACAAATAATAATTTCTGGATTCCAAGCTATTGTTCTTATGGGAATTCTGCATTGATTTACACAACCATATCTAAAGCATATTGTGTAGCTAACTATGTGTGATGGTTAATTGTATGAGTCAATTTGGCTAGCCCATGGTACACAAATAATTGGTCATCAGTCTGGATGTTGCTGTAAAGGTATGTTTTAGATTATATGAACATCAGTAGAATTTGAGTAATAAGCAGGTTACTCTCTATAATGTGGGTTCGCCTCATCCAATCAGTTGAAGGCCTTAAGAATAGATTGGGATCCCCTGAGAAGGATGAAATTCTTCCTCCAGACTGTCTTTGAACTCAAGCAGCAACATCAGCTCTTTTTGGGTCTCCAGCCTGCTGATGTACTCTGCAAATTTTGGACTTTCCAGTTCCCATAATTGTGTGACCTAATTCCTTAATAAATCTTTTTTTCTCTGTCTCTCTATATATACATTCTGTTTGTTCTGTTTCTCTAGAGAATCCTAACTAGTACACAATGACCATGACTGTGATCTGAAAATGATTTTGCTGAATGGGCTGGGAAGAAGAAGGTCATTCTTCACATTCATCCTTTTCCGATAAAACACTGAAAAGTATATATTTCAGAGGACAAAATAGCTTTCAATTAAAGAAGCCCTAGAGATACGCAAGGGGCATATAGATCATTGTACAATATTCCACTAAAATTCTTTGGATAATATTAGAGTCTTCATTGTGAATGGGGAGAAAGTCATTTCCATTAACACCATTTTACTACCTAACTCTGCCTATCAAGAGAAAACAAAGCTAAAACTGCTTCCATTTTTGGAACACAATATATCACACCTATTCTCGAATATTCATTTTAGAACTGTGAAGTTTATAATTTATAAAAGTAAAACACTTTTGGTACCGATTTCATCAATAGTAAATTATTCAATCTCTTTCATATTATATGAAAAGTCTACCCTATTAGTAGTCACTTGGACAATTTAATTTCACAGAAGTTGACTTTTTATTAGCTATATTTTCTAATAGGTTTCATGTTTTTGCACTTGGTCCCTTAAACATTCAAAAAGTTGCATCAACTGATAATGTTTACTGAACTTTAAAAAAGACAAGGTATCATATACATGCTTAGAAATCATGTTTAGTGAAAAATACTGATCACTAAATTCCAAGTTGAGCTTAAAAGTTAGAGAATGTAAATCTTTATTATATTTACAATTACCATGGCATAGAACAAATGTGTTATCTCATGTGACCATACTCCTGGAGATAACCAGGCTAAATCAACCAAAACTATACTTGTTTCAGATCCACATAAATACGCAGAGAAAAAGGCTAGACAAATGCCTGTGTGGACTCTAGGTAAATGTGGTAAAGGAGGCCAAGTTCTTAATAATAATTTATCTAATAACATCTTTCCATAAATATCTAAGAAAACACACACAGTCATAACCCTCCTGGGTACATAGGTACTCTTACAAAACTGAAACAGTACATTGGGGCAAAGTCATAATAAAATTAGGCAGCAGCCTTGTTGTGAATTCAGTATGCTAGGAATAAAAGAAGCTACAAAACCATGAAGTTTAACTTGTACATCTACAAATAATGAAACAAAGACCCAGAAAAGTAAGTTGACTCACAAGGACCTATGATTAGTTAGTAGTCACTATAGCAAGTCTTGAAATTTAACTCATGTTCTAATGTGCCTACCCTGCTTTGTATTCAAATTTGACCTCTAGAATTGTAAAGAAAAAAAATGATAAATAGAGGAAGGAGTTGAAGAAAGTTTAACCTAGGCAAAGTTTCCTTGGAAGAAGGAAAAGTGGGGCATGGAAGAAGGGAGGGGAATAAAGCTAGAATAAGGTTACTACAGTAGAGGATGCTTTTGGTACAAACTTTCCAATCACAAAGACCGTATATAGTGAAAGTCTGCAAATTTTTTCAGATTTCTCCACTTTGATAACCTTTGGCAAATTGCCTACCCTTTGATACATGGCTTAAACTGGAACTTCAGCTTTTGCAAATGAAAATATGAATAATAATCAGTTCTCTCCATATTAGGATTAAAGGAGAGAATAAGAAGCAGAACAATGCCTGGCACATAATCAAATTCTCAATAAATGATACCTCTCATTTCTTACTAAAATACATCTGATGACTAACAATGTAGAGATTTAACAAATGTCCATATGAAGGGAAGTGAAATATTAAAAGAAAACATGAGGAAAACCTGGGGCACTGTTATAAGCTACATGAGAAGGACAAGACATAACTAAACTCATTATGAAAAAACGGCTGATATTTGAATAAAGTCTTTGATTAACAATATTGCATCAACATTAATTTTTCTAGTTTTGATAACTGCAGTGCAGTTTTGCAAGATGTTAGAAAAAGCTGTGTGAGGGCGCAATGGACTAAATGTTTGTGTCCTCCTAATTCACATGGTGAAATCCTCATTCTAATGTGAAAATATTTGGGGGTAATTAGTTAATGAGGGTGGTGCCCTCGTAAATGAAGTTAGTGCCCTTATAAGAAGAGACCAGAGAGCTCTCTAATCCTTTTTCCTTCATGTGAGGATACAGTGAGAAGTCATCATCAGTCTGCAACCTGGAAGAGGTCCCTCACCAGAACCTGACCATGCTCGCACCCTGATCTCAGACTTCTATGCTCCAGAATTGAGAGAAACAAATTTCTGTTGTGTATAAGTCACCCAGTCTATGGTACTTTTTTATGGAAGCCTGAATCAATTAAGACAGAGAAATATACAGAAATTCTCTGTACTATTTTGCAAATTCTTGACTAAAGTTACTTCAAAATTTATTTTTAAAAATATAATAAATTGCTTTGTAAATGCATTGTTTTTATATAATAGAAGATATCAAGGCTAGATGTAGCATTACCTGTAAAAATTAGTTTAAATGATATTAATAATATATTTTATAACAATTGTGGTATAATAAGATAAATAAATACTTATGATTCCACAGTAAAAGTATAAGAGGTATTAGTGAATAATAACTTATTCATATAAGTATATAGTATAAAATTATTCAAGGTAGATATGTATCTCTTAAAGAAAAAGAATCTAAAGCTGTGCAAAAAAAAATGAGATGTTGATTCAGAAAGACTAGGAAAGTGTGTTAAGACGGGTGTATTATGTGTAATCTAAAAATTGTAATCTAAAATTTTTTATTAAAACGTTACAGAAGTTTAAATAAATCAATAAAAATATGTAAGGTTTTACAAGATTCAACTGAAAATTCCTGAAAAATCATCCAAGGATGATTATTATAAGAGGAATTTCAGTAAAAACCAAAATGACTTTTCGAATGATCAAAAAATGATAAATTGATCTTAATTGTTTCTTATATTAGAACAAAAATCATCATTCTTTAATGATTCTTAGATCTTTTTAATCAGTTTAATTACTGTTTTTAAAGTAATGACAACTAAATTAAAGTACCCATTCATCCATCTAATGAATGTTTGCTCTATAGTTAATATGAGCCATGAACTGTTCTAGGCCCTAAGGATCTACCACTGAGCAAAACAAAGAAAATCTCTTACCTATTGAAGCTTACATTCTTGCAGCAAGGCAACAACCAAGTGAAACATACGCAGAATAATCACAAAAGAGAAAAAGGCAGGAAAGGGAAGAGAGCTGGGTTGGGTGTGGTGGCTGTAAGTAATTTTATTGGGCTGGCCAGAAGGGCTGACTGAGGAGGTGGTCTGCAGGCAAAGACGTCTAGGACTTACAGAAGAGAGGCATGGGGGCATCTGATGGAAGAACGTTCCAGACACAGAAACATGTGCAAAAGCCCTGAGTTGGGACCATGTCTAGGGTGTTCAGGGGATGAAAAGAGGATATTGGAGAAGAGTTACAGGGCTATTATAGGTTAAATAGCAGAAAAACAACTTAAATAGCCTTTTCCCCCTGTGAACTTAAAAGTCATTGCGTGGAACCCTTATGAGGTGATCATACCTAAAATTTTCATGAACAGCAGTGATAAGGTGGTCCCTTACTGTGACTTGTACTTATTTTCAAGGGTTTATTTATGGGTATTGGGAGAGGCAGTCCCCTGTGGGCCTTGAGTGTCCCTGTACATTCTTGCTGAGTTTGCCAGATTGTAAGGCTTATTTCTCTTTTGATACTGAACAATTTATCTTGCTACTCACATAGGCAGCTAAGTAAGTCAAGGGGACCACAGGGTGACTGCTGTGTAACTGCTAGCTCCACAGGGGAGGCAAACTACAGATCTTGCTGTTTGCATAATGCCGGCTGCTTTCTCAGAAAGTGCTGATCTCTAGGCCCTGGGATCCGCAGCTGTGGCACAACTCCCTGCTTGCTCAGCATTCATCCAGGCCTATCATGTCGCTCCCTGAGACTCCCGGGCAGGGTAACCAGTGCAACCATGCTGATACTCATGTGGTGAGCAATAAACTTCCTAAGTCTCAATGTCTCATTTTCTACTTTTGGCACCAATGCAGTGGCGGCAGGTTTATTCCCCACCATCCTTTATGATAGGGTTTCTCAGCTGTGGCATTACTGACATTTGGGAACTGAAGATCCTTTGTTGTGGAGAACTGTCCTGTGTATTGCACAATGTTTAGCAGCACATACCTCTATCTACTAGATTCCAGTAGCAACACCCTCTCCAGTTGAACCCAAAATAATTCTAGATAATATCAAATGTCCCATGGAAGACAAAATTATCCGTGTTCTATGAGGTTGGGGTTCTACCTTAAAAGTGAATGATATTTCTCAGACTCTTTGGTTCATTTTGATTCCTCTAAATGAGTTTTCTTATCTTGAAATGAAAAGTTACTTGCCATATATTTTTGGCAAAACTGCATAAGAATATTCAGTTATGTTTCTGTGGCTAGTACAGTAGTAAATACAAATTACTTTTTTCAAATATGCAGTCTCAGAATGGGTTCAGTTTCATTGAAATTCCACATATATAAAATACTTTGAAAAGAAAAATGTTAAACATGGCATGAATAGTTACACTGACAAACATTTTGAAAATGTTTGTCTCAGAATGATATTTTATGTATATCTCTATATCTTTTTTATCTTGAAAAAGGGTACTTTTTGTTTTTTACCTGAAATAATAGCGAGTTAAACCTTGCAATTTGAAATTCCTCTATTTAAGACAAATTACAAATAACTTAATAGCTAAAATATCAAGGTAATTTGTTTTGACAGAAAATATGCACATTCTTCTATGATTAACAATAAAGATTTATGAAAGCTCATTTTTATAACAAAGATAAAAGTGTCAATGCTGGGGATAGGAGTGCATTGCTATCCAGTGCAGGCAGATTTGTATTAACCAAAGAAAGGAACAGATGTGTATCAAAATATTTTATATGGTTATCAGACCATCACCACACATTAAATGTCCTAATATCATTACAATATATTTCTTCAAGTTATCTAAATATAGCATACTATACTACAGTAGATGCATATTTTGATGAGAACTCTGATTCTTTCCAATTGCATAGGAATAATAAAGAAAAAATAAAAGTTAATGAATAAAGAGAAAAGAGAATTGATAGGTGTTTAAGGAAGATCTGAGGTAGTCATCACTCATTTTTTTGAGGGAGGCAAAAAGTATGAGGATACACAATATTGTTTTTCTTAGTCTATGACCGAGTCTAAAATAAACCTGGTCTGAGTTATAAGAGAACATTTCTTAATTCCTATAAGCTCTAGGTCCCTAACATGAGCAAAAACCACAAACCTCCTACATATTCAGAATAATTGATATGAAATGTCTGGTAAATACTAGGAACTTCACAAATGCTACTGTTATACAGCAACAGATATTTTGTCAATAAAATATGATTTACATTAGCTTAAAATACAATTTTAAGTGCTGAGACCATCAGACCATGGAGTGTGTAAAAATCATGATTTTTCTGGAGGAGCTATATATAATGGCATATATACATATCACACACACACACACACACACACACACACATACATACATATATATATAAAGAGAGAGAGAGAGGAAATAAAAATGCACTAAAACTTATATCAGAATTGAAGAGTATTACTTAGTTACCTCAGATGGATATTCTATTATATTAATGATCTACCTAATCTTTAAACTTTTTAAGTCAATATTTTACCTTTAAAATGAAACAAGAAGGCCAATGATTAGATAAAATTTGATATTTCTCTTTTGCTTCATCTGAATTTTATAATCTTCTGGGTAGTTTCAAATCAAAATGCTATATAGGCGACTTGCCAAAATAATTAAATATGTATAGATTACAAAAAATAGTTCTGAAGCTATTTTTTAATAGCTGGTTAAGTAATGACTGTTAGTAGATAGATGTTTATGGATCCAGAAGAGACAACTTGTAGCACACTAGCCCCAAATAAGACACCATTTTATTCACGAAGAAAACAACAACACTTGATGTAAGTATAAAAGGAAGAGATTCAAGTGTATAAAGATTTTGAGGAAAGGGCTTAGCAGACAAAAGACAAACTAAAATAAAACAACACCCATTTAGAACATAAGATGAAAATGTAGATTTTTTTTAAGCAATCATCCATGTTTGAAGTAACCAACTTACAACTTATATTAATGTGACTAAAAACTAGATGCACCAAAAAAAAAACTTGTATTTACACGGTTACCTATAATCACATTTCTTTGTTATTTTCTTTGTAATTCTTACTCAAGCTAAGAATGTATATCATGTTGTACAAATTTTAAAAGACAGTCAGATGCAGGTGCAAAAATTCATATGGCCCTCCAGAGAAGTAATCACTATAAACAGTTTATTGATCCTTCCAAAAACTTTTGGATATACTTGCAAAAATAGGATCATTCTGCAAAAATATCTTTTAACTCACTTTGTCTATTTATGGGTTTTGTTGATTTAAGTATATATAGCTCTACCTCATTCATTTTAACGGCTACTTAATATTATTGCTAACATAAATGCATCATGCCTCATCTGATGGACTTTATATTGTTTCCAATTTATGATTACAAATAATGTGTCTTTTTGAACATGTGTATACGTCTATAGAATAGGTAACTAATTGTGGAATTGGTTTGAATCTTATGTACCATTTAAATTGACAGCTATTACTAAATAATTCTTCAATACCAATATAACAACTTACATTCTCCCCAGTAGTGTGGGAAATATTTTCTTATGTTCTAATATTACATATTATCAATCTTTCATTCTTTAATCTGATGAATTTGGTGAAAACTATTCTGTTGATTTACATTTTTGTGATTAGTATGATGTTGAGTTCCTTTCCATATTCCTATTCAGAAAATTTGTATTTCTTCTTCTGTGAACTGCCTCAATAAGTCCTTTTTAATTTTTCTGATATTGTCTTTATTTCATAATCATTGTTTTCTGTTATATGAATTGTGAACATTTTTGCTTAGATTATCTTTCATGTTTTCACTTGCTCATAATGCCTTTTTCATAGAAATGTGTTTTCTAAAATTTTAACGCAGGTATATGTGTGTGTGTATATATATACATACATATATATATATATGCAGGCATATGTGTGTGTGTGTTTTGCGTTGCATTGCTTAGAAAATGTTTGCATCCCAGAACCATTAAAAAATACATATTTCCCCATACGCACACAGGCATGCACATCCCCTACATGGGTGCCCCAACAAAAGATGCATCACAGCAAGGGGCCAGGCAGCAACAGGGGATGGGGCTGCTGGAGAGACAGTACTGAGGAAAACTTCCCAGGGAGGTAACATTTGGAGTGAGCCTTGAAGGGAATGATTGAGTCCAGGGGTAGGCATGTACAGGACAGAAAACAGCACGTGGTAAAGGCCCTGAGGTGGCAAGAGGGTTGGTGTGCTGGGGTAACTGTGAGAAAAGAGTGTGCACGAACAGTGGTGGAAGGGAGGGAGGGAAGGTGGCTAGGCAGAGAGAGCAAGGGAGGGGAGGAACAGTGGAAAATGAGAACAGAGAAGCAGTCAGATGCCAGATCATTCTCAGCCTTCCAGGACGTGGTGAGCGCTAAGAACTTATTTTGAGTGACAGGAAGTCATTGGAAAGTTGTAAGTAGATTAACCAGACTAGATTTAAAATTTAAAAAACTACTCAGGCTGTTGTGCTGAGAATAAGCTATAGGGGAGTATATTAGTTGTCCATTGATGTGTAACAATTGCCCCCAAATTTATTGCTTAAAGTGACAGTAAACATCTGCTATGGACTGAATGTTCCTGTCCCTCAAAAAAAAAAAAATCATATGTTGAAGCCCTAATTAGCTCCCAATGGTCTGGTACTAGAAGGTGAGGCCTTTGGGAGGTAATTAGGCTTAGATGAGGTCATGAGAGTAACTGCCATGATGGAATTAGTGTCCTTCTAAGAGGAAGAGGCCAGAGCTCTTTCTTTCCACCCCATGGGAACACTGTGAGAAGGAGGCTGTCTGCAAACCTGAAAGAGAGCCCTCACCAGACACTGAATCTGCTGGCACCTTGTTGAAGTACCTCCTACCTCTAGAACTGTGAACAATAAATGTTTTCATTTAACCCAAACAAAATCCCCATATTTCTAAATTTTATATTTTTTGTGTTCTTGAAGCTTTATTTTTGTATGATTTTTGAGACAAAACTTTAACTTCCTCCCAAGTGAATAGACAGTTATTTCAATTCCATTCTTTGAGTATGCTTCTAGGGGTATACTTAAAGTAGCTGGGATGGATTGAACTGGACTCATTATTTTAAGTGCAGTTAATTATTAACTTTCTTTAAAGAGTGCCTTAAGGCCTTTAAAAAAATCTCTTTTAGTTTTTATTAGGATCATGGTGTTCCTCTTTCTCAACTCTTATATTTCAAGTTTACACCTATGGTATCTTAAGCTATGGTTTCTGGTGATCTTGTTAGTCAGTCTGGTTCAATCTGTATTCCAATTAGGAAATTCCCATTATTTCTGATCGCTGATGGTATATTTTTCAGTTTCCCAGGACTGTTATCAATTTATTTTGTTAAAAATATCTTCATGTCTAAAACACCAAAAGCAATGGCAACAAAAGACAAAATTGACAAATGGGATCTAATTAAACTAAAGAGCTTCTGCACAGCAAAAGAAACTACCATCAGAGTGAACAGGCAACCTACAAAATGGGAGAAAATTTTCACAACCTATTCATCTGACAAAGGGCTAATACCCAGAATCTACAATCAACTCAAACAAATTTACAAGAAAAAAACAAACCCCATCAAAAAGTGGGCGAAGGATATGAACAGACACTTCTTAAAAGAGGACATTTATGCAGCCAAAAAACACATGAAAAAATGCTCATCATCACTGGCCATCAGAGAAATGCAAATCAAAACCACAATGAGATACCATCTCACACCAGTTAGAATGGCAATCATTAAAAAGTCAGGAAACAACAGGTGCTGGAGAGGATGTGGAGAAATAGGAACACTTTTACACTGTTGGTGGGACTGTAAACTAGTTCAACCATTGTGGAAGTCAGTGTGGCGATTCCTCAGGGATCTAGAAGTAGAAACACCATTTGACCCAGCCATCCCATTACTGGGTATATACCCAAAGGACTATGATTCATGCTGCTATAAAGACACATGCACATGTATGTTTATTGCGGCACTATTCACAATAGCAAAGACTTGGAACCAACCCAAATGTCCAACAATGATAGACTGGATTAAGAAAATGTGGCACATATATGCCATGGAATACTATGCAGCCATAAAAAATGATGAGTTCATGTCCTTTGTAGGGACATGGATGAAATTGGAAATCATCATTCTCAGCAAACTATCGCAAGGACAAAATCAAACACCGCATGTTCTCACTCATAGATGGGAATTGAACAATGAGAACACATGGACACAGGAAGGGGAACATCACACTCTGGTGACTGTTGTGGGGTGGGGGAAGGGGGGAGGGATAGCATTAGGAGATATAACTAATGCTAAATGACGAGTTAATGGGTGCAGCACACCAGCATGGCACATGTATACATATGTAACTAACCTGCACATTGTGCACATGTACCCTAAAACTTGAAGTACAATAATAATAATAATAATAATAAAAAAATCTTTTCAGTATTGTTATAGAGTGCAAAGTAAAGTTGAATTATTTGCTTAGCCTTATATTTAGTCCCTCGTTTCATTTATTATTTGGCAGATGCATCCAATAAGAATATAAACTCTTTGAGAACAACCACTTGATATTTTCAGATAAACACTTTGCCTTCTATCTGACAGATATTTGGCAATTATATGATATTTTTGTAGATAAATAGAAATCTTTATAAAAAAATAAGGATCAGATTTATAGATTACCTTTAATCATATCATCCTGTACCATCTCTTTAAATAAAAGATTTTTTCTGATAATATAACACATAAACCAATTTTTCTTTTTATACAGTGAAAACTCCCACTGCTACTTTTATTTTTTTGTTAAAAAAATACAAAATGAGCTTATTGAAAGTAGAAAACACTTAAATCTTTTTGCATCAAGTAAAATGCCTTTATGTGTAAACTGTGGATATTTAAAGCATCACAAGGGATTCACATATATTCACGGAAGTGCTCAACTATGTTTTAATTGATTCTAACTCTAAGGAAAAGGGAAAGAAAACAGTTTTAAAAACTATTTCCATCTTGTTCCTCAAATTCCTATTTGCACTCATGAACTATAAACATTCAGAGCTCGGCTTTGCTTAAGATGCAATGCAGAAAGCCACAAAAGAATAACAATAAGCGTAAACCCAATAATCTACAAGATCACAAATTTACTTGAATCCAAACAAAAGCTTAGGTCTCAAGACAGCAAAATACATTGAAATGCAAAGGGTGACAGACCTTTTCCAGGAGAAACAGAACACATAAAGTATTACTCTTTGTCAGAGCATGGGAAGAAGAGGCGACTACCATAATAGCAGATTAAAAAAAAAGCTATAATAATAAAATATTCTTAAAACTGAGTGTGGTTTAATGTGATAATTTAGAATCCCTGGGAATACCCAACACAAAGAATTTCTTTCACTGAATTTACAAGAGAAAGATGGAAGGCAAAACTGGAAACCTGAGAGAGATCCCTGAGTGTCTCACAAACATGAAACCCCATCCAATCCTGACTCTTCTCTGATACAAAGGAAAACTCCTAAACCACTGGGGAAGAGAAAGAAGACCTTCCACCTCCCTGAAGCAAGACAACGGTCCTGTGAAAGAGGTACAAACAAATAATCTGCCTCTAGAAAAGGAGCAGGGAACCCTTTTTCCTCCAAAGGCAAAGTAAGCTGCAAAGACAAGTTGTCATTGAAGCAGAAGTAAAAGGCAAAGCCATATGTCCCTGAGGGAGGGGTAAGAAACCCCCTGGTCCCACTACAAACTTGTTAGTCATAGCAAGCAATGCTAGTGTATTGCTTGGAAATGGGTAAGAAATTCTGTTGCCACTGGTCCCAGACAAAGGTACAGCAACACTCAGGGAAGAATAGGAGCGAAAGCTGTCTAACCCTGGAAAAGGGGCACAAAAATTGCCCGGACACAAAATTGTATATTGATATTAAAAAAAAAGACAATTGCTGCCCTGGGGATGGGGCAGAAAATTATCTCCTGCCCAAAACTCCCCTAGATATAAGGCAGAGTTTCACTGCCACAGGAGGAGAAGGGCCCACCTTCAAAACCCAGACACGCAGGACCTAAGACCAAGACTGGCACAAGAGAAAAGAGAACCTTTTTTTGCATCCACCATGAATCTTCCACTTAGTAACAGGTCACAGCATTCTACCATTGAGAGAAGGATAAGAGTGTGGAGAGAGACCTTCCAGTAAGGCTGACATGCAGGAAATATTGAAAACTGAGGGATGAAAAGACATATTCCAGGTCCCACGCTAAGCACAAAGTAGCATCTGTCCACCAAGGGAGGGATCTGAAAGCTTTGGCTCCGTAAAGGTAATTATAACAAAAACAAAACCCAAATCCAGCCTATTTGATTGGCCAAATCCTTCACACTAATAAACTGACAATAAATATGCTTTTTCTCCAGATATAAATTTTACTTATGTGAACCTCTAAAATAGGAAGGAGAGGATGGAGGGATACTTTTCACCTCAACTCTAGTGATGGAGCTTCTGTGGTGCCTCTATGAGGACTTTGAACTTAGCTCTCTTCAGTTGATTTTTTTTCCATGCATGAAACTCACGTCTCAGAATGTCTCACTTCTGGCTCACACTTGAGAAAGCTAAACACATTCTATAGGATAGTAGGCAGGATAGTGTTGGCTGATTTGCACTATGGCTGCACTCCCAGAGTATATTGGGGCAAAAGGCTCACAGTAATTCTGCAGACCAAAGGCAGACCACACAGGATAGAATTCTGGCAGATAAATATCTTTGATCTAGTGCAACAAGGTTGTCCAGCTGGATACAGGGATTCAAACAATAAGAGAATGGACATTCGGGGATGCAAAGTAACAAGCAAAAACTTCATGTCCTTTGGCCAAAGGAAATGAAATTAGAAAGATCCAGCAGAAGGAAGACTTCCAAAAACCTTGCAAGCACAGACACACACAGACACATGCGCACGTGCATGTACACACACACTCACATACAAACACACACACACACATCCATACCCCTCAAGAGAGTCTATTTTAAAAGATCTACCAGGCTCACAAAGAGGCTAAAGTATAATGGGACTAGTTCAAATAAGATTTTTTAAATCTCCTTACCTCTCTTTACCACTGTTACCTCTTCCAATCAATGTTGAGAGGTGAGTGGGCATCAGAAGCTAACTAGCAGGGACATATAGATATTCAGCCCAGAAAAGTAAAAACTAAAAATAATTAAAAAAAAAATCTAGCAAGCTGGGAGGGGTGGGAAAATAAATGCAGGGCAGAGAAACAGAGAATGCAACAAATACGCCCTCCAGTCCTTCTCCGGGCCAGAGGCAGCACAAAAGTGGGAAACAAGTAAGATTTGATGACACAATGAATTTAGAATTTTGATTTGTGTGTATATATGGTGGACTATGCATTCTAATGACCAAATTGAGATTTCATTTCTGACTTAAAATGACTGACAGTTCTGTCTACTACTACCTAGTGTAAGCTGAAAGGATTGGGATTTGACCAAGTTTTGATGTGGAGTAAGAAAGATTACTGAGTACATTTTAAAGGTCAGTGGGAGGTAAAAATAAAGTTATGCCTTAGATATGTCAGAGTCACATTTTTAAACATACTGGTTACACAATGACTATTACTACTCCCTAAAATGTTCTCATAATAGCTAGTGTCGTGGGAGTTTTCTCAGCATGTATTATGGATATTGTTCAGTCTCACAATTTGAGGTAGTGCTTCCTACTTTGGTATCCCTAAAGTCAAGTCAATCTAGACTAACTATATTGTATTGAGAAATTCGTATTAACTAACCTAAGCAATAGTTTAATTGTAGTTAAAGTTCATAATAGTATTCCTAAGTAAATGAAGAATTCCTAAAGGACTTCTGAAGTAGTAACTAAGAATTCCATAATGCTAAGTATGATAAAGTAACTGAGTTGAATGTATTTCTTTATTTTAATTCATGCTGAATATTGGTAATTTATTTAAGTGTGTAAGAAAATTACCAATCAGAATATTTATTAATGTAACAATTATATATATAATAATACAACAGTCTTAACCATGGTTTCACCTTCCGTGGTTTCAGTTACTCTTTGTCAGCCACAGTCTGAAAATACTAAATGGAAAATTCCAGAAGTAAACAACTCATAAGTTTTAAATTGTCTGCTGTTCTGAGTAACATTTTGAAACCTTGCACTGTCATTTCACTCAGTCCTGCTTAGCACGGGAATCATTCCTTCATCCTGCATATCCACACTCTATGTTACCTATCTGTTATTCACTTACTGGCCACCCAGGTTGTAAGATTGACAGACCACAAGAAGAGTGAGTACAGTACAGTAAGGTATTTTGAGAGACAGAGACTACATGCACATAACATTTATTATAGCATGTTGTTATAATTGTTCTATTTTATTATCATTATTGTTGTGAGTCTCTTACTATGCCCATTTATAAATTAAATTTTATCACAGGTATGTGTGCATAAGAAAAAACATGGTGTATATATAGAGTTCAACACTATCCATGGTTTCAGGTATCCACTGAGGGTTTTTGAACTTATTTACCTCCGATAAAGGGGGCTACTGTAGCTCTATGGGACTTTAGAGATTACCATGTATTTTCACCTTCTCTCTTTTGACCTTCCCAGCAATCTAACATCTATAATAGACTTCTTTACAGAAGTTTCTAGAGCTCTTTTGAGCTCACATGTGTATATACATATGGGTATATTTTGTGTTTGTCATTACGGATGCATATGTACACATGCTTATTTTGGGTGGAAATAAAGGAAAGGATGTCTTCTCCTCTGTGTTTACTAGAACCCTCTAGCCACCATAGCCAATTCCATCTTTTCATCATTTGATAGGTTTTATAACCCATATTTTAATCTTCTCGTATGCATGTCTACTTTTCAGACAAAAATACATATATTGGTTCAAATTACTTTTCAAACATCTCATCTAGTTCTGGAGAAATAATATGAGAAATATATATTTACAGACTAAATGTGAAACTGAACACTGTTTTCAAGAATCAAATCTCAAGTAAATTCTATGAAAATGTCTTATTCACTGTCAACAGGAGTCAGTATGTGCAAACAGGCTATATTCTTGACACTCAGTGTGATAACAATATTCATTGATCTCAAGAGTTGCAAATGTTGACAAATATCTCCTTTACAATTTTATTTAGACTATATGGCATGACTGACAAATGTACTCATTATTTCCTTTAATAGTTGGTCAGAGTATATATCTTAGAGTCTTAAAGCTTTTCTTCAAGAGAAAAAGTTCAGAGTTAAAGGCAGAAAAATAAGATTGATATTTACCTGAAATCCAATAATGAAGAGTAAAGGCTTGTTCTTAATTTAAAATGTTTTATAAGACATTATCACACTTTAAATTTCATAAGAACACTCTAATGTAATTCATTAGTGTTATCTCAGCATGTTTGCTTCATTACTACGAAACTCAATCTTTATGAGAAATCCTGCCAAAGTTATACAATGCTGAAGATCATTGAAATCCAAGGGTAAGAGGTGATTTAAAGGTGCAGAAAATGATAATCCTACTATAAGGTCAGTGTCATTCAGGTACAGATTACATCCTGTAATCTGCTGTATGTGCCTGTCCTAGGGTTATTTAGAATAGAGGCTAACCTATTTCTGGAGTTCTGAAGTGGGTCTTAAGCTGGTGATTGTGTGTGTGTGTGCGCACATGTGTATGTGTGTGTCTGTGTGTCAGTAGTAGGATTTCTAAGTAATCGAATGATAAATCAGAGAATAATTGATGGGCTACACATTTCAACACACAATTGGAGGGACAGCTGATTATAAAATCCACAGGGCAATTCTGAAGATGCTGGGGACAGGACTGAGCTGAAGAGTAGGGCTTGGCCCTTCAATTGCCAAATAAGCAATCACATGAATATAGCACTGTCCTTTCATAGTATGTGAACAGATTAAACACATCTTTCGGAGAATATATTTGACAGAAAGAGACTGCTTCTCATTCTTCCTGGCTATTCTTCTCTTCATAATGTCATAAAAGAGAAACCTACCTTGGATCATGTCAAACTTATTCATTACTCTTTAACTTTATAGCTCCTAAAAAGTACCTTCATTTAAAGGAAGACCTCGGTTTTCCAGGTATTTACAGGAGCTATGAAATTAAAGAGTAATGTATAATTTTGAACGAGATCCAAGTCAACTTCTCTTCTGATATTATCAGGTGGAAGCATGTGCACCTACTCCTTATGTCAATCAAATAGAACACACCTTCATACGTAAAGTCAGTATATCAGTATAGCAAGGGGGTAGGAGCACAGACTCTGCCAGTTTCCTATTGTTGCTGTAACAAATTGTCACAAACTTGGTGGCTTAAAACAACATAAATTTATTCTTTGACAGTTCTGAAGGTCAATATCCAGGACTGGTTTCACCGGGCTAAAGTCTAGGTGCAAGCAGAGCTGATCCCTTCTGGGGAGTCTCAGGAAGAGTCCATTTCTTTGCCTTTTCCAGCTTCTGGAAGCCACCTGCCTTTCTTGGCTCAGGGCCTTGTATTATGCCATCCTCTTGCTTCCATAGTCATGACCCCTACTTCCTCCTTTGTCCTGGCCTCCCCCTTATAAATTTCCTTGTGATTACATTTAGAGTACCTCCAGATAAGTCAAGATAATTTCCTATCTCAAGATCCTCAACACATGCATAGTTACAGCTATATGGGAGGAACAAGTTCTAGTGTTCTCTAGCACTGCAAGGAGTGAATATGGTTAACACTAATTTGGTGTACGTTTTCAAAACATTACAAAGAAGATTCTGAATGGTCACAACATTAAGAAATGATAAATGTTTGTGGTGATGAATAGGCTAATTTCCTTGATTTGATCATTACATGTTATATCATGTATGTATGTACAAATATGACTTTGTACCCTATAAATATGTACAATTATTATGTGTCAACAAATTTTTTTTAAAAAGTAGCATCTTCCTCCCATCAAAAATCCTTTCACTTAATCACACTGGCAAGTCCCCTTTTCCATACGAGGTAAGAATCAAAGGTTCTGGGGATGAGGACCTAGATATTATTTGGAGGGCATTGTTCAGCATACCACAGACTCCAAAATCAGATCACAGTAACTTGCATATCAGTATTGCTGAGACAATGTTCCAAGGTTCTCTCACATTTCTGTCCACCTTGGGAAAAGAGAAGCCAAGTGCCTTAGACTCTATTTTCAAGGATGTTAATAAGGTAAATGTCCTTGGAAGATAGAGATTACATCTCTCTCTGAAGCAAAAGGCAGGTTTGCTTATAGGCTTAGAACATGGAGAAAGTAACTTTTTCTGGAGCAATCAACAGGCATGCTTATTGTTAAGAGAAAAAAAAATGGGCGTTCCCTAAGCTCCAGATTCGTCTCTTGTAACATGTGCCATGGTATGTGCAGGTGTCACCTTTGGGTTACCCTGTGGGGAGTACAGATCAGGATCCTGAAACAAAATTACAGATACTCTGGCTATTGTTATTGATCTTAGTAATAAACTGTACTTTGTCTCTGAAGTTTCATGTCTCCTGCCAGCATCCATGAACGTGTAGCAGGCTAATGTTTTAGTTTACAAACATAATAAAATCTCAGTGCTTTCACAGTTCTTGACAAGTGGTATCACTTACTAGCTATGTAACTTTGAGAAAAGACTTCACCTGTCTGAGTCTCAATTTCCAATCTATAAAATGGAGCTAATAATAATGCTGACCTCGGGGAGCTGTTGAGTGGATTGTATGGGACAATGAACATAACGTGAGCAATCTTGATACAGAGTAAGTACTCATTAAATGTTCACTATTATTGCTGTCATTGATTTTATTATCACAAAATAAGGTGGTATAGTCTAAAATTAAAAGGATACATCTAGAGGACATAATGTTCTGCCAAACTTGCATCTAATTATAATAGAGGTCAAATTTTGTACTCTTGGGCCCATACTTTACGTAAAATTATAAAAATCACCGTTGGGGACTGTAATCCCAGCACTTTGTGGGGCTCAGGCAAGTGGATCACTTGAGCCCAGGAGTTTGCAACCAGCTGGGGCAACATGGTGAAAGGCTGTCACTACAAAAAATACAAAAAAAAAAAAAAAATTAGCTGAGCATGGTGGCACACACCTGTGTTCCTAGCCACTTGAGGGGCTGAGGAGGGAAGATCACTTGAGTGCAGGAGGAGGAGGATGCAGTGAGTCGTGATCACACCACTGCACTCCAGCCTGGATGACAGAGTAAGACTCTGTCTCAAAAAAAATAAAATAAAATAAATTAAAATAAATAAACAAATAAATAAATAAATAAAATAAAAAGAAAAAGAAAAGAAAAGAATCACAGTTGGGAAGAACTGTACATATAAATCTTATGTTTGCATTGTTTTACTTGCAGTATGACTTACGACTTGAAGTAGATGAATTGAATCTTCATCAATGCCACAACAAAAGAAGCGGCAAAATTATCACCCTTTTCAACCCACATTATCCCTATATGTCTATTATGAAAAAAGTTTGGTAAAGAAAGCCTTTGTATTATGTAAAACAGTGACCTCAAGTCCCCAGTTTAATTATAGGATCTATGGAAACTACAGTTTTTCTGTTAAAGCTGCAAGCATTAATATTCAAATCTAGGTAAAAATGCTTTGAATTCTTTTTAATACTTTAAAAATATGAAATGATATGAAAGGTTATTTTAACATTTCTTCTATTTAAATATCTGCATTTGAGTAGAATGAAGGCATACAGTTTAAAAACAAGTACTGCACTAGTGGAATACATGTAACAATAAATTGAATAGTAAATTATCATTTTTATATTATTTCCTTCCTGGTAAAATTATAATTCATATTACAATGAAAAATAAATCTTGGAAAGGATATTCAAGAAGATAAAAATGAATTCAGTCTTAAGATTCAATGCCATCCCCATCAAGCTACCAACGCCTTTCTTCACAGAATTGGAAAAAACTACTTTAAAGTTCATATGGAACCAAAAAAGAGCTCGCATCACCAAGTCCATCCTAAGCCAAAGGAACAAAGGTGGAGGCATCACACTACCTGACTTCAAACTATACTACAAGGCTACAGTAACCAAAACAGCATGGTACTGGTACCAAAACAGAGATATAGATCAATGGAACAGAACAGAGCCCTCAGAAATAACGCCGCATATCTACAGCTATCTGATCTTTGACAAACCTGAGAAAAACAAGCAATGGGGAAAGGATTCCCTATTTAATAAATGGTGCTGGGAAAACTGGCTAGCCGTATGTAGAAAGCTGAAACTGGATCCCTTCCTTACACCTTATACAAAAATCAATTCAAGGTGGATTAAAGACTTAAACGTTAGACCTAAAACCATAAAAACCCTAGAAAAAAACCTAGGCATTACCATTCAGGACATAGGCATGGGCAAGGACTTCATGTCTAAAACACCAAAAGCAATGGCAACAAAAGACAAAATTGACAAAAGGGATCTAATTAAACTAAAGAGCTTCTGCACAGCAAAAGAAACTACCATCAGAGTGAACAGGCAACCTACAAAATGGGAGAAAATTTTCACAACCTACTCATCTGACAAAGGGCTAATATCCAGAATCTACAATGAACTCAAACAAATTTACAAGAAAAAAACAAACAACCCCATCAAAAAGTGGGCAAAGGACATGAACAGACACTTCTCAAAAGAAGACATTTATGCACCAAAAGACACATGAAAAAATGCTCATCATCACTGGCCATCAGAGAAATGCAAATCAAAACCACAATGAGATACCATCTCACACCAGTTAGAATGGCAATCATTAAAAAGTCAGGAAACAACAGGTGCTGGAGAGGATGTGGAGAAATAGGAACACTTTTACACTGTTGGTGGGACTGTAAACTAGTTCAACCATTGTGGAAGTCAGTGTGGCGATTCCTCAGTGATCTGGAACTGGAAATACCATTTGACCCAGCCATCCCATTACTGGGTATATACCCAAAGGACTATAAATCATGCTGCTATAAAGACACAGGCACACGTATGTTTATTGCAGCATTATTCATGATAGCAAAGACTTGGAACCAACCCAAATGTCCAACAATGATAGACTGGATTAAGAAAACGTGGCACATATACACCACGGAATACTATGCAGCCATAAAAAATGATGAGTTCATGTCCTTTGTGGGGACATGGATGAAATTGGAAATCATCATTCTCAGTAAACTATCGCAAGAACAAAAAACCAAACACCGCATATTCTCACTCATAGGTGGGAATTAAACAATGAGATCACATGGACACAGGAAGGGGAATATCACACTCTGGGGACTGTTGTGGGGTGGGGGGAGGGGGGAGGGATAGCACTGGGAGATATACCTAATGCTAGATGACGAGATAGTGGGTGCAGCGCACCAGCATGGCACATGTATACATATGTAACTAACCTGCACAATGTGCACATGTACCCTAAAACTTAAAGTGTAATAATAAAAATAAATAAATTAATTAATTAATTAAAAAAAAAAGAAAGAGCATCTATCTTGTTCTGTTAGAGAAAGTAACAATTACACCTGGCAAGAATGGCTAATTTAAATTCTCTAACCATTTAATCTAACTTTGCCTCCTGTTGATACCCCTTTTATTTTCTAGCACAGTACCCTACTTTAGTTTCTTTATAGCAGTTATCATTATCTTATTCATTTATGTGTTTACTGGCTTATTATTCCCTTTCTGCTGTTGGATATATGCTAAATATGAAGCTTTATCCTCTTTACTGAAGCATTCCTATCACCTAGAACAGCACCTGGCCCCGATACGGCATTCACTTTTTATTGACTGAAAAATAATAAATCAAGTAATTAATTTTTAAAAAAGGAATAGTATGAATTTTACAAAAATTTTGACAAAGATTCCAGGTGGGTGAAAAAATACACATAGTAAATATCTCGTCTTTATGGAAGTTTATCTTTAATAAATCAGTAATATGTTTTCACTTAGCAGATGAAATGAGATACATGTAAATATAACAATGGACAATTTCCTTTCTCATTGATTTGATTGCTGTTTTCACCCATGAGATTCCTCAAAGCCAACAGTATATGCAACATTTAGGGGGTTTTCAATAAACCTCTAGGAGAAAAAAAATCAAATAATGAATAAAGATGGATTTTTTTGGAAATGTTGTTGTTTTTATTTCTTAAGAGGGAGAATCTGAGCTTACATAAAAGATGTCCAAGATATTTATGTTTATTTACAAACAGCAAACTCTTTATACCCTTGTACTTCAAACTACGTAAATTTATCAATGTCTCAGAATTTCTATCAAGCTTCCAAATCATGTGTCAAACTAAGCATTGCCTCGCAGTCTTCAGGTTGAAAGGTAGACACTCTACCTAAATAAGTGAATACACATAGAATTTAATTTTTCTGATGCCAAGAATGACAAGTTGTCATTTGCCAAATCTAAGTCTCTGCTTTGACACGTTAATCTCATATTGTAATGTGTATCATTATTCTCTTTAATGGAAAGAAAAAAGATAAACTAATAAAAGATATTAAGCTGTTCCTTGTGTAGAAAGACAAAAATGTTAAATATATTTCAGGTGTGAAAATTTGCAAAATGTTCTCATAACCTTCATACTGTCAAAGCAGTACTGGACAGATATGCCTGGCGGTCATTGTGGCTATTAGAGTCGATCTCTGTTGTGATAGGTGGAATGCAAAGAACCACCAATGTCCTTGATATTATTCTCAAAGTTAAGATTATTAGCAGGAACATCCAGTCATAGTACAGGAGCTGACACAGTTTAAAAGGAAACCAAGAACTCTCTATGTTGCATTTTGGTCCTTGAAAGTGTCTGTGTTGGCCAGGCATGGTGGCTCATGCCTGTAATCCCAGCTCTTTGGGAAGCTGAGGCAGGCAGATCACCTGAGGTCAGGAGTTTGAGACCAACCTGGCCAACATGGTGAAACCCCGTCTCTAGTAAAAATACAAAAATTAGTCAGGCATGATGGTGCACACCTGCAATCCCAGCTCCTCAGGAGGCTGAGGCAAGGGAATCACTTAAACTTCGGAGGCGGAGGTTGCAGTGAGCCAAGATTGCAGCACTGCACAAAAATTAATAATAATAATAATAATAATAATAATAATAAATGCAAGTGTCTGGGTCAAAAACAAAACAACGTAAATTTTATCTACTTAGACAGAATGTGCAATTTCTTTGTCCATCTAAAACTGTCAGGACCCTATCATCTGCTATCACATTAAGAGAAAAGTAGGCAGACAGCCTCTGTCACATCCAATTTAAAGTGAAAATCTTAAATTAGATACTCCTTTGGAATTTTAAATTATGCAGGATTTACGTTGCCTTAATCCGTAAATTATATTAAAGACAAAAACAGGTACGTTTTTATTTTAGCATAGAAAGTATACTTTTTATCAGGTTTGATTTAAAGTAAAGTTGTGTTGAATGAAGAATATTCTCATGCTCTCATTTCCTCTAAAAGATTGGAGAGACCACCATTTACACCATCCATGCTGTAAATAATTTTAGTCTATCTCTCTGCTTTTATTTTCTCATCTTTTCTCATCTCAATAAAGTTCTGATTCATTCTGCACCAAACAACGTGATCGATCCTCCTAAAATATCACTTTGTTCACATTATTCTTTGACTCAAAAGCATTTCTTTTTATTCCTTTGGGATTTTTTCCAAACTCCTTCACTTACCTTCAAGGCCCTTTATTTTAGCGCATTTTAGTGCCTTTCACTTTCGACTCTCTTGTGCCATTATTATCTGTAAAGGAACCTCCAGCAGCTTTCCATTTAGGTCCCCCACACCCTCTTTCTAGAGATTGTGCTTTTCTTTTTTTATCATGGAATTTCTGGTTGCAGAAACATCCTCCTCTCCCTCTTTAATGTTTCTCCATTAAGATCTAGTCCAAACACCATCTCCTGCCGAAGGAGTTATCTGAGTATACCCACATAAAGATATCTCTTGCTTCCTGTGAATATCCATTACATAGGCATTCTCTATTAATCATATATTTCTTCAAGACAGCTTTGAACTTATTAATTAAATGCTGCAGTGTCTTGAAACTTTTTGTGTGCTTATATCATCTCCAAAGGTAGATTATGAACCCCTTGAAGGCAGAAGTCATTCCCTAAAATTCCTTTTATCTCCTGCGATATAGCTATCGTGATGTCCTTCATACAATAAGCACACAATTAATGTTCCTCAAATTATGTATTTCTAAAATATTCAAGAAGTAAGCAGACTTTATACATGAGGAAACAGGTCCAGAATCATTAGTTAACATGCCTAAAAATGACTGGCAGCCAGTGAAGATCTGGTTTGATTTATTATTTGCAATCTTTTCTACTGATACCAAAGTTAACATTCTTTTGTTACTAGATTACTTGTTCCTAAGCCAAATAATTTATAATATACATTGGTTTTATTAAAATATATCTCTATCTGTTTTTATGTATATGACTTCATATATGTACCTATAAATAAAAATAGATATAAATGTTTTAAGTTTCTCTGGAGATACTGATATTCCAAGGGCAACTCTAGAAAACTTCATTTCAGTGATGTGTAAAGTAAAAAATAAAATGCAAGAATTGTGATGACAATGTGGACATTGATATTTTTCATGCATTTTGAGTGACATGATCAATAGTCTAATGAAAACCAACTATTACAAGTCTCTGAAATCCTATTAAATTTCATCTTCTACCATACAGCACTGTAAACATATCAGTATAAATTGACATTTCCCAGAAGATGGATAATAGTTCAGTTTTAATTCCGATAATATTTAGAATATAGTAGACAACACCAAGTCCCATTTTATAATGAAGGCTTTAATACACTGGTATATGAAAACAGAGAAACAATGTTAATGAAGAAATAACATTAAAAAATATTTTTGAACCAACCAGAAGAACTTGAGTTCTGGTTAAAGCTAGTCTGACACACACTGGATTTATCCTTTTAAAGTGCTTCATCTCTGGGTAGTTTGATGTTAATGTCACAGTGTCACTTACCATCTTTCAGGATGGTTTCTCTCTCTGTGCCATCTATCTTCTGCCGGCCAATTAGGAAACTGGTGGTGTCAGCAAAGTAGATGTAATTGGTTTCTGCGTGAAAGTCTAAAGCACGAGGGTTTACCAGATTTTCTATGGGGATCATGTATTCATCAGCTATCTTGGTATTCAAGTCCATTCCTCTAACAATTCCTGGGCGTCCTTTCCCATAAAAGAGGAACAACTCATTCTTTGGTCCTGCAGAGGAAAGATTACAAACACAAACAACTGATGCTGCTTAATCTTCTTTACACTGCATAATGCCACCGTTTAACTGGCACAATTAGCGTTTTTTAAATTCAATGCTAAAAATTAAACTCTAAAATATGCCAAATGTATCTTGATGCAAGAAGGCCAGCTAATTGCATTACTTTAATTAAAACAGAAATTACTTCCGCAAATGGGTTATATGTAGTTAATTATCCCTTTGTCTGTAACTGTCTGGATAGCAAAAACATGACAGATCATTAGATAACTTGTAACTTGTAAAACCGGCATTTATTAAAACATCGGGCACATTTAATTTTATAATGTATTATAATCTATCTAACATTTTCTGTCGATACTAACTGTACCATTCATTATATTTGACAATGCTAAAAACTTCAGAAAATTTAAGACACACCAACCCCAAGTTTGCATCTACAAATTGTCAGAGGCAAACAAAGAATCATATAGTATCACTAACTTGCATGTGAATATATTACAGTTGCCCAAACATGTGACTTATTCTTTTTAGAAATAAAATTAAATACCAGTTATAGCATCCCTTTATCTTCAAATTTTAATTAGAATGTTAGAGGCTGATGCTGTCTGACAGTAACTCTGATGTACAACACAGGCCTTATCAAAAACAAAACGAAAATGAAAACCCCAAGCAAAAAACTGTCTCCTGAGTTTAAAATGTCAGCATCAAGGTAGCTCTTTCTATAAAATGAATTCCTTATTTTAGACTTCTATATAAAAATATATACAAGATTCTCCAATTATCGGAGCATCTTATACTTGGTTAACTGTGTATAATTTTAAAGGAAATAGTTTTTATATACAAGGAAAAACATACTGAGCTTTATTAATAAAACTGAAGATACAAAAGACTCAGCTGTATTTGGATAACAACACAATAATTGATATTCATAGTAAAGTAAAATAATATATTATTAAAATTTGGAAAATAATAAAATAAAAAATAAGCAATTATTTATAAACCTAACAATACAAAGTATATTAACATTTATATTTCTTTTCTTGTGTTTTTTAAATTAGGGTAATTGAATATTAAATATATATAAAAGAATATTGGTAATTTTTTTAAAAATTTTACTTTAAGTTCTGGGTACATATGCAGAGTGTGCAGGTTTGTTACATAGATAGCATACATGCACCATGGTGGTTTGCTGCACCTATCAACCGGTCATCTAGGTTTTAAGCCCCACATGCATTTGGTATTTGTCCTAATGCTGTCCCTCCCCTTGCCCTTCATCCCTGACAGGCCCCGTTGTGTGTTGTTCCCCTCCCTGTGTCCATGTGTTCACATTGTTCAACTCCAACTTATGAGTGAAAACATGCAGGGTTTGGTTACACCTTACACCTTATACAAAAATTAACTCAAGATGGATTAAAGACTTAAATGTAAACCAAAACCATAAAAATCCTAGAATAAAACCTAGGGAATACCATTCAGGACACAGGCATGGGGAACGACTTCATGACTGAAACACCAACAGCAATTGCAACAAAAGCCAAAGTTGGCAAATGGGATCTAATTAAACCAAAGAGCTTCTGCACAGCAAAAGATACTAGCATCAGAGTGAATGGGCAACCTACAGAATGGGAGAACATTTTCGCAATCTACCCATTTGACAAAGGACTAGTATCCAGAATCTACAAGGAACTTAAACACATTTACAAGAAAAAACCAAAAACATCAAAAAGTGGGCAAAGGATATGAACAGACACTTCTCAAAAGAAGACATTTATGCAGCCAACAAACACGAATAAAAGCTCAACATCACCTGTCATTAGAGAAATGCAAATCAAAACCACAATGAGATACTATCTCGCACCAGTCAAAATGGCAATTATTAAAAAGTCAGGAAACAATAGATGCTGGCAAGGTTGTGGAGAAATAGAAACGCTTTTACATTGTTGGTGGGAGTGTAAATTAGTTCAACCATTCTGGAAGACAGTGTGGCGATCCCTCAAGCATATACAATCAGAAATACTATTTTACTCAGCAGTCCCATTACTGGCTATATACCCAAAGGATTATAAATCATTCTACTATAAAGATACATGCACATGTATGCTTACTGCAGCATTATTTAAATAGCAAAGACCTGGAACCAACCCAAATGCCCATCAATGAAAGACTGGATAAAGAAAATGTGGAACATATACGCCGTGGAATACTATGCAGCCATAAAAAAGAATGAGATCATGTCCTTTGCAGGGATACAGATGAAGCTAGAAGCAATCATTCTCAGCAAATTAGCACACAAACTGATAACATATTTTAATATATAAAGAATAAAAATAAAACAAATCCCAGGTACCTAGCAAAAATGTGAAGAATATTTCCAGTACACTGGAAGACATAAATGTGCCCCAAACCCATTCTCCTCCAACTGAGAAAGAGCCGATATCTTGATTGTTGTGTTTATTTTAAATTTTTAAAAGAGTTTTAACACATATGTAGTGTATTTCCCAGCAGCAGATTGTTTAATTTTGCATGTTTGAATTGCATGTGTGAATTTTGTGATTAATATTATTTTTATTATATCCTTGATATTCATCCATTCTTCTTGTAGTCATACTTCACTCATTTTCATTGCTGTATAGCATTCCTTTGTATGACTGCTTCATATTTAATGTATGTAGGTATTTTTTCAATGTATATTTACTTATATCAAAATAGATACTCAATTTTATACTCTGCTCTTATTGTTTAATTTTAGAATCAAGATTATTGTCTATGTTGAACCATTATCTTAAGCCTTGTTTCTATTTGATATATAATAATTTACCAAGTCATTTTCCAAATGGTTTTCTGTTTTCATCATTATAATAATACTGAGATAAGCATAATTTTTTCAATTTAGCATTTCACACATTTTCTTAGACGAAATTACAGAATAAAGTACCTTAACATCCTTGTCTTCATTGCCCTCATAGCCTCTCAGTGTCTACCTGATGTCAAGGGCATTTCTTTTAAAATAATACTTTATATTATTTTAAAGTATATTGATACATTTGAAAATCATTAACATTTCTAGAGTATTTTCTATCAACATTAGATACTTACATACTTTTATATTTTTCAAAAATTGGGATCTTGTATATAAATTCTTTTTACTGTAATGACTTTTTGTCAAGCCATTAAAAAGTCTTCAAAAACTTTCCTTTCAATGGCAGCATAATATTTCCTACTAGAGAAGCAACATAATATAGTCGGCTGCTTACCTATTGTTGGATAGCTATATTGTTTCTGAGTTGCTATTATTACAAATACATTTAATTTCCTTAATCAAAAGTAAAGTAGGATAACTTGTGAAATGATGTTGTCAGTTTTATGATCATTATATTTATTAGCAAATGTCTTACGAACTGTGACATCGATTTCTAATTATATTAGCAATACATGGGAATCCTGGTTTTACAGCACCCATTTTGCTAATATCTCAGCTTATTGCAACCTCTGCCACCTGGGCTCAAGCTATCCTCCTACTTCAGCCTCCCAAGTAGCTGGGTCTACAGGAGTGTGCCACCATGCCTGTCTAATTTTTGTAGCTTTTTTAGAGACTAGGTTTTGCAATGTTGCCCAGGCTCTTATTGAAATCCTGGGCTCAAGTGATCCACCTGCCTCAGCCTCCCAAAGTGCTGAAATCACAGGCCTGAGCCACAACACTCGCCCTTGTTGTTACTTCTAATGGATGTCTTAATTGGTAATTGATAAACCTAGTACTTCATTGATGTAATATGTGTGATTGTTTGTTTGTGTATGTAGGTATGTATGTTTTAAATAAGAATGGCAATGATTTTCCCCATTATTTTCTTTGGTCATTTCCTAGGTATTCTTTAATACCTACTTAAGTTTCTCTAGTGTGTCTTCTTGTACTACAGACAATTGAATAGTAAAAAATACATTTCACAGACACTCATATAGCCAAGGGTAGTGGATTTCATTTGACTACCTAAAATCAGATATGCTAGCTCAAGTTTAGAATATGGAAGTGAGGCAAAGGTCCCCTTTTTGCCGCTTCTGCTGGTATCAATCTAATGGAGACACTGAATTTTTCCACAGCAGTCTTCCTCCATTCTATATCAAGAGGTGAGGAACAGGGTGTCTCTCCTCTCCTCCTCTTCTTTATTTTTTGCCAGTTAGGGACTATCAGATGAGACTTAACTCTACATCTGATAGTTGTGGGGCAAGCTTTCTAATCCCTGGATCTCAGCTAAATGGTATGTTTTTAAAGTTAACATTTTCATTTGTGGCTCCCTGATGCTCTAGCTTCTGAGTATGGTAGATGTTCCAGCTTTCAGCCAGGTTGGTTTAATGGTGTTTGGTGGAATGTTCCAAAGACCCAGTCTAGAAGCTACTGGTCCAGGTTTTTAAATGATTTTGTAGGCACCTATTTACATTAAATCTCTTGTTGCTTCAAATAGCTGGAGTTGTTTCTGATGACTTTCAATGTACTCCAGGTGATGTACTACATTAGGGACAATTGAATAATAGGCAATTCTGATCTTATGTTTTTCCTCCAATGTGTGTATGTATGTATGCACATATGCATGTGTGTATATATGTGTGTGTGTGTGTGTGTGATTATATTTCCCAAGTGCCATCCAGATCAATTTTTAAATCACACACTACATAGACACACATGTACCCACACACAAAACTTCTTTTATCATGAGGCTTCAAACTCAGTACCCTCAATTATCCAGAAGGCCTAGAAACATGAGACCTGTTACCTTCACATTCCCAGCATTTAATACAAAATCAGGAATACAAATAAAAAATGTAAACAAAGTACAAAAATGCATACATTTTAACATAGTTTGGACTCTTTGATTCTTCACTTTAAACTATATATTCTATTAGTAGCTCTAACCATTCAGACTTCAAATTCTAACACATTTAGTGATCTAATTTCACAGTCCTTAGTAAGCACATGACCAGAGGGTGGAAGAGATGACAGGATTGTGACCAGAGAGAAAGGACTGACAGAAATAAAAAGCTGTCACTATGACAAAGGTAAAGACAAACTGGACACTGTAAAAAGCAGTCATCATAAAATTAAAAATAATGGTGTTTGGGGAACATTTAAAGACCAACAGTCCCCACTAGGATCATTTCAATCAGGGCCGTTCTACTATACCTGATTATCAAGACCCCAGGAAAAGACCTTAACTAATTATTGTGCAAAATATTAAGTTATGAAAGTCATTTTTAAAATCCTTTTTACCATATTTAAATTAAAATAAATTATTCAGGCCTATTTTTAAAATAAAACAAAGATATATCTAAGAGATTAGAAAACTTTTTGATAAAATCGTTAAAACTTTTTGATAAAATCATTAAATGTTTGATCTCTAATTAGGTATAGCTTCAGCTATCTGAAAAATTGAATCATGACAAATTAAATCATGGAGTGAATTCACTCCCCAGTGATGCTGGATAAAATGAAGCCTGACTATACATGGATTTCTGTCGAAACAAGCAACATGCCTATTATGAGGAGTAGCATATTGGTTCAAATAAGAGGAAATCTGATCAACTAATCATTCCAACTTATTAGCTCAAATACATTCTTTAGGGAATTAAGGGAAGCATCTTTCTAAAAATCTTCCTCAACATATGTTTCCCTAAAATCAATAAATTTAGTGACTCCAGAGCCTGGTTAGTTTCTCATTCATATTATCACAAAAGAAAAATACTTATTTTGAGAAAAATGGACAGTATATATTTGCAGGCAAACTTCACCTGTTGAAGTCTCATGTTATGACTGATGTTGATGCTGCTAATTAATACTTAAAATCCTATTCTAAAGGGGTAGCTGCTGGCAAATGTTTTATTTTAACAACATACTTTTGCATGACCTGCCATCACTTCCCAAGTTGAAGCCAGTCCTGCAGCGACAAGTCCGAGTTTTGTAACTGCTGCTGAGTAGACAGATGTGTGAACAGCCCCCTGGCATTCCATATGGATCGACTTCACATGCATGGCTTCTGACTACAACAAATAAAAAACAGCATGCGTGAAATTCAAGTTCAAAGATAAGATAACTATGTGCATCAGTATGTCAAAATTTCTATAGTGTAAAAACAGGGAATCTTAGCAAAATTTTGTATACTCAACTATTTAGCACCATAATCGAATGCAAAAGAGTGTAAACCCCATAGAAGAGGAGACAGGGATTTGACAAAATCCTCCTAAGTGAGCATTTAAAAAAAATTCTAAGAAATAAAATGTGTTTATATTAATTTAAACTCTTCACCGGTGAGCAAAATAAAAGTAACATAACTTTTTTTTGTACTTGCTTCTCATCCTTTTTAAAAATACCAATTTCTAAAATGAATACAAAGATCCACAAAAATAATCCCAGGTTAGGTAGTTAAGCAGAGAAAGGATTTCCTTTGAAATGATTCATCATATGGGCAACCAAACTAGAGGAAATGTGATTCAGTGATTATATATACACTGTTGAGAAGTGCTGAGGCAAAATATTTTTTAAATTTTTAAGTCTATTGTCATTTTGAGACTCTTACCACAAAATGTGTGTGTGTGTGTGTGTGTGTGTGTGTGTGTGTAGTTGTCAAATGGTGGAGGCTGAGTATATGTATAGAAATTGAGGCGTAGAAGAATATTTTGTGAGCATAAAAGCTACTAAAGAAAAAAGGTAAGAAAAGTACTATATGGAGAGGATGAGAAAAGAAAGATGGATCAAAGTGAAAAGAAATAATAGGAATAATATAAGTAAGATTTTACATATTATTGTAATTATGTTTCTTTTAGATCACCCACTTGTTTGAAATGGTGATGAATATCATGGCAGTGTTCTCTTCATAATAAAACTAATATGCTTTTAAAAATTATGCCTATTATCTTTGTATTCTTCATTCTCCAAGTCAGAAGATGAGTGAAATGCAATTTTTACTAATTTTTTCCTGCCAAGAGTGTTATTGTTATTTTCCAACCTGACTCCACTTATACAATAGATCGCATCTCCTCTCAACTAATCAACAACTCTCCACTTTCTAAATCTTATCATCACTTTTGCTTTTTCCATTGGATCATGTCCATCAACATGCAAATATACCATTATTTCTACATCTAATCAAAAATCTTTTAACCCAAATTCCCACAACAATCCTTCCTTCAACTAGCTCTCCATTTCTCTGCCCTAGCTTACATCCACACTGTGCAAAGCTACCAATGATCATTTTCTACAATTCTTTTCCTTCTTCTCTCTCTCAAACCCATTCTACTCATATATTCACTTAATTCTGAAACTGCCCTTGTCAGATCCCAGTGAGCTTCATGCTGCTAAATCCTATGGTCAATTGGATTTAAGAAGCTTCATCTCAGTCTCTTCTTTTGGTTTTTCCTATTCTTTTCAGCTTATTGCTGGAGCATACCAGTGTCCATTATTTGGAATGCTTATTTCTCCATTTGTGATTACTGCCTTGGTGTTCACATCCATAGTCATGGCTTTAAATGTGACCTGTCTGTCAATGACTCCCAAATTGGTATCTCAAGCTTGGACTTCCCCCTTCAACTCCAGAGTTGTATATTTAAATATACCCTTGATATTTTCACTTTAATTTGTAATAAACATTTAAAGTAACTCATGAAAATTAAATTTGCTATCTTTGTCCTAAACTCACTCCATGCTTAGTTTCCCCATCTAAAAAGTAACTAAATTATTCCAACTCCTCTAGCTAGACCACTGTCTGATTTATACTCCACCTCTAATGTATCAGAAAATCCTATCGGCTCTATATTTGCCTATATTCTGAATTTCACTACTTCTTACCACTTTCACTGCTGGATCTTGATCCAATCCACCATCCTCTGTAACCTTCCAACCTTCTCCTCCCTACTACCTATTATCAACAGAGTAGCCATATTGGTTCTTTAAAAATGTCAGTCATACCGTGAGATTTTTCTGTTTAATGCTTTCTAAGGACTTCCCATCTCACTAAAAGTATAAGCAAAAGTTTTTTATAATAGTCTACAGAGCCCTACTTGTTATGGTCCTCCTTTGTTTCTCCAGCCTTATTTCCTACTTCTCTTTTCCTTGTTCGTTCTGCTTTAGACACACAGGTATTCTTGCCACTCCTTGAACAGTCTAGACATGTTCTCTCCTCATGGCTTTTGTGCTTGTTCATCCCACCACCTGCAATGTTGTTGCCCAGATATCTCTGATATGGTTTGTCTGTATCCCCACCCAAATCTCATCTTGAATTCCCACGTGTTGTTGGGGGGGACCCAGTAGGAGGTAATTGAATCATGGGGGCAGGTCTTTCCCATGCTGTTCTTGTGATAGCAAATAAGTCTCATGAGATCTGATGGTTTTAAAAAGGGGGGTTTTCCTGCACAAGCTCTCTGTCTGTGGCTATCCACATAAGATGTGACTTGCTCCTCCTTGCCTTCTGCTGTGATTGTGAGGTTTCCCCAGCCATGTGGAACTGTAAGTCCAATTAAACCTCTTTCTTTTGTAAATTGCCCAGTCTTGGGTACGTCTTTATCAGCAGTGTGAAAACCGATTAATACAATCCCCATGCCTTTCTCCTTCAAATACCTCAAGTCATTATTCAATGTCATCTTTTCCATGGAACTTCTTCTGACTCTTCCATATAAAATTGAAGACTGCTCCCATTTCTGACATCTTTATCCACCTTACTTTCTTGATTTTCTCTATAGCACTTATTACCTTCTAATATAATACATAATTTACTTAGTTATTTTGTATCATAGCTTCTCCACTGGAGTGTAAACTCATAAAGGCAAGACTATTTTGTCTGTTTTATTCACTGCTCTATTCACAGTATACATAGAATAGTTCCTGGAACATAGTAGATTGTCCATGAAAAATTAATGAATGAATAAATCCTAATATTAAACTCTAATAAGGCCATCTACAGAATTTTAAATTTGAGTCTGTTGTAAACATATTTGTGACAATGTACAGCCGTGATTAGATATATGTTAATGCTTAGATAATTCTAGGCTAGTTTTAATTTGAAATACAAGTATAAAATACAGTAAAAATTTTTGCTGGTGGCTTTTTATATTCTCTTTTTTTATGTATGATTGAACCTAAATTGTATTGATGAACAGCATCACTAATCTCCTGTAGAAACAACTGGTTTGTTTTTCTGAGAAAAACTGCAGCCTTCTCATTGAAAATTACTTTTTAATGAATATGTGTTAAAGAACAATTGCAATGTTAAGTTAGGAGAGCCCAATGACTATAATAAACACTGGACAGATACTTCAAGGCAGTCACCTGATTTTAAATTTGTCTACCAAAATGATATTTAAAAGGAAAAAATAATAACTTTAGCATCTGGGTTTCCTGTCTACATTCATCACGACTGAAAGCCCCTTCCTGAATCTAAATCTAGCTATCATTTCAATTCTATCATAGAAACGATTCACTAGAAACTGAACAATCTGTCATTTAGACTTGTGACGGGAGCTCTATTCCATTTAACAAGCAGACATGCCTACTTTTGCTGTCAAAGCAGAGAATTTATGACTCACTCACTTCAACACCATACAAAAGCACAAGGACTATATCCCCATTCAATCTACCATTAGGAAGGTAATAAAGAAGCTTTCCCACTTACCTGTTGGTTGAGTTCTTTTTTGATAAATTCGGATTCCCCAAGCATTCTCAATTTTAATTAATGAGTGAATATCAGTCCCATTAAATCGGTTTATCCTTACGATATTGTAGTTATCAGAATTGGTTGCATACAAATAATCTTCAAACACAGTTATACCATAAAGATGTCTAACCTATAAAGAGGGCAAAACATAACTATGATTTTTAATTATGTAGCTTGCAATTTGAAAGAAAAGCTGATTGCTATTTACTAGTATGGAAAATGGCCACAGCAGAAGAACCGCAAGGATGTTATTTACTTTTTCTCAAGGAGTTCAACATTTCCCTGATTAAAACTTTTTTTTCTGGAGAAGAAAACATTATGCAGTAGTGTTTAAAACAGTTCCAAATGTAGGGACAGAATTGTATTCATATGACATTAAGAGAGCATATTTAGTAGTTATTTTTCAAAGGCTTGTGAGAGCAAGACTTTCAAGCATATTCAATAATATGCCTGTGACACTGTTATACATAATTTGAGATATTTTAAGGGCTACTTGTTTATATAATAATGGATATTTAGAAGCTGCAAAAACATAGCTCTCCCTGTGAAAAGACTAATGAGAAAGCACCTCCGAAGATTTGTTTTATAAATTCAAAATCCAACTTTTTGGTCCCAATCTATGTTTAGACTACCACTTGCTCCAGCACAGAAAGTAATATATAAAGAAATCACATATTTGCAATCATTGTAAATAAATGTCAACATTTCACTCAGAAATTTCATTATTTCTAAAGCCAATTTATCATAGGAAATAGAACAGTTTCTTTTGAGAATTATGATGTTTATTGCTATCCATATACTTAGTTAACAGTCCAGCTCTTCTCTTTGGCAAAGGTCTTAGAGTTTGTGGGGAGGAATGGATATCTTGAACTTAGAAAGTTTTCCCCTGGAGCAAAAAGAAGAATACATGTGCTGATTTTCTGAATAAAAGGCACATGCTAGGCACCTTGCCTTTGGCTACTCATTTACTTAATTTAAATGGTTCTGTTCCAGGGTAAAGTGAAGTTGCCACTTGATTTGCTGTAGAGATTTTGTTGAAAAAGCATCTGTCACTACTTTCGGCATTATATTGCACACTTTTAATACACAGATTTGCAGTTAAAGAGAATTTGAAAAAGTATGTGCGGTTTGATTATAAAAATACTTATAGAACAAAATCACAAAATTTTCTATTTTAACCAGAAAATCTTGCCAGTTCTATAGTTTAAACAAAAACATTTGATTTATCTTTTTAGCATATATGACTCATTACTTCTATTTCTGGTCTTCTTGTATGAGACACGACTAAAAAAAGACTGGCTTTACATGTCGTTTTTGGGTTTTATCTCATTTCTTCATGCTTAGGTCGGACATAAAATATAAGAATGACTAGGGAGAACTATTCCATGTTATAGCCCGAATAGTTTTTTTGTATGTACATGTTACTCCACAGTATGGACATGTGTTGTATTTATGTGTGGGTCCAGGCATATGTGTATTTACTAATATCATTTTCCACCTAGCTGACATCAAATTTACTAAAAATATCTATGGTCCAATTTTGACTTGGGTAATACTTTTGTCCTACAAAAATTATAAGCAAGCTCAAGACTCTTCCTTTGCCATTAGTCTCGTGCATGTTTTGCTCAAAGTTTGGGGCCATCAACCAAGGAACCTGTGGTGATGGGATATCAACATTGTTGTCACATGACTGCCAATTCATAACCCAGGAGAAAAAGCCTGCTACATAAGAGGCAATTGGTCAAGGTAGAAAACATGTTCACCCAGTAAAGATAAAATTCACTCACTACCTCCCTATCTTCCTTCAGAAAAGACTGTTTCCCCTAAAACAGGCACCTCTGCTAATTACACCCTAGGCAGAGGTAGGAGAAGCCTGGAGCAGTAGGTAAACCATTTTGCCTTCAGCCCCAGTACTTCAAAAACTGTATCTATGTTGGATTATTTAGTGGCAGACTTAGCATATGTTTAAGGAACAAGCAAAATACAGGCAATAGACATGGGGAAAAAAGAATAAACACTTCAGGCTTTCAAAACTTTTTAAAGTAGTCATGAAAAAATTTATTTGAACTCCCTATCTTCATAACAAGGTTTAATTTTTTAATTGCAAATAAGTAAAGAGAAGGGCCATGATAATCATCTCAGAGATCAGGTCCTCTAAGGTTGTAACTAAGAGCTTTGAAAGGAATCAAGATTTTTGGGGCAGTTGAAGGTGAGAGAGAAAGCACTGGCCCACCTTTAACATTGAACAGGTTCCCCCACTCCAACCCCACCCCAGACAGATTAGTGCATCTCTTTATCTGTCAAGGAAGGAGAAAGGATTTCATTTTAAAAGCTGATTAGAAAGTAAAAGTAACTTTAGAGGATAATCACAGAATGTACCTGTCTTGCATTGCAAAAGAATCCAAAGAGATTCACATATTTCAGCTCCATAGACTAAGAATCTCACATAAAATAAGTGCCATTAGTGAGATAAAATCAGATTTTTAAATATATTATAGTAAATAAGGCTGATTTCTACTTAGAGATCTCTTTTAGGCATTCACTGACTGTTGTTTGCAAAACGTTGTAATTCAGCAAAGTAAAAAGTAACACATTTAGGAAGAATTTTGACCTCCGTGACTTTCACAGAATTCTCTTTTTAGGAAGTACTTGAATACATCAGAAGTCAAAATTTAATCGAACTTGTTATAATAAAGGTACTTTTGTGAACAGCCATTTGCTTTTGTTAGCAAAATATCTCCAACGCCACATGGGACAGATGATAGTCCAGCTCCTCATGAATGAACTACTTAAATTAGTTTTTAGTAAATAGGCCATAACATCTGACCTATTTTAATACTTTTCTTTCTTGCGAATATAGCATTTTTGTCTTTGTTGTTTTGTTTTTTGTTTACTTGTTTTCTCTGTTTTTAATAGAAGGGAGAAAGAGCAAGAGAGGCATCTCCAATTTTGTGGAAATATCACAATATCACTGTGAAAAGAACATTCTCCAATATAGGAAATATACTGTAATTTTTATGACTCATTGCAGCTCGACTTTACAAGAAATTTTCAGTATTGCAAATTTTGGTATTATTCCTTTCTTTTTATTACCCTAGGAGCGTTGTCTAACAAAATTGTACTTACTTGTCTGCCTTGAATGACAGTGTGTCTATTTTTTCCTTGATAGTCCACTACTCCCACATAGTCCAAGTAAAGATCTACCCAGTAAACCAATTTGTTGACTAGGTCTAGTGCCAGTGCAGCTGGCTGCTCTGTCTTTGAATCAATTATCCTTGTTCGGTTCATCCCATCCATGTCACATCTCTCCACTTTGGCGACATTCCCGTAGTCAGTAAAGAAAAGTTTTCTGTTGAAAGAAAACTAAATGTTAAAGTGGAGGGTGGGGGAGGGAAGCACGTTTGATGGAGCCATCTGTAAAAAACAGAACTTTTTCTTCTAATTTATTTCAGTGATTACATCTGTTGGCTTCATATAACCATTTCCTTATAATATCACTCATAAACAGAGAAATCTGCTAATGAATATTGCAGGGCATAAGGGAGCAGGTTAACCAACAACTGTAAAATTTCCCCAAAATGAATGATTATAGTGGGTTTATTTTTGTATTAGCAGAAATGTTTCTTTAAGCCTCATGGAGCTGAAGCACATCAACCACATTCAGTGTAAGCTTCAGAAGTGAGCCAAGTCACCAGGCCAGGGCATGTGAGCTATCAGCCTTTATCTTCAACCTGCCTTTCAAATTGCCTGGTAATGTTTGTGTCTTATAAAACTTATCATGTGGAGCTCAATGACGCTATGAGTGGTGGAGAATAGCAAACCTGGAATGGAATTAAGCAGACAGAAAAGCAAATGTGCTGTTTGTAGCAACAGAAATAAAACATAAATAATCAATTCCCCACCAAAACTTATCCCAAATTCTCCCAAATATTCCCAAATCACAAAATTGTATTTAAAAAGTATAGGTCATTTCTTCTTGTTTTTTCTTAATATTTATTTTGGAGAAAAGGCTGAAGAGTAATGTTGACCTCTGAGACAACAAATTCTTTCATACTGTGCTAATGGTGTCTGTCAAAGTTTAAAATGTAACTCCAACACTTCAGTATCTAATATTTGATTAGTATTCACTATGTTTAGTAAACACAAATCAATTTTAATTAACCTGACAATATTTAACAAGATTACCCACTCATGAGACTAAATTACATTTGTAAATAGAAGACCATCTTGCCTTGACTTAAATACAATCTCAAGAATAATCCAATTTACAGTGACTGAGCAATATTAAGATTACCTAGAGTATAAAATATTTGATTTTACAAACTTGGTGAATTAGTTTTTAGTTACTTTTCTCAACATACTTACATTATCTAACAGTATGGGGTATCTTTAAAGCTTAAACACATTATTTAAACTTTAATTTTAATTTAGTTCTCTCTGCTGTAGGAGACATTGACTAATTTTTAAACATTAGTGCATACTATTTGTAATAGTACAAGCTAGATTTTATTATAAGTATATATTTCACCAAATGTTCTTGAAAGATCAGTTTATCATAAGTTAAAAATGATTTTTTCAAGTGATATTTATTTAGGTGAAGATCTTTCTAGTCTAGTGAAGAATAAATAAAGGGCACACCCTGCATTCTCATTGTCATGCTAAACGATCAAATCACTGCTTGGTATGCACGCGTTCCCTCTCCCCCTCCGTCTCTCTCTCTCTTCCTGCTTCCATCCTGCATCTCTGTTTTCCTCACTTATAAATCAATTTGTTCATAGCTATTCTGTTTCTATAAGGACTACCCAGTTTCACTCTTTCTTACTATAGAACAGTCTTCACTATTCTTGCTACATGAAACTTTTTCTCACAATGCCTCTTCTTTTATATTTTTCTTTTCTCACTGGTTCATTTCACAGAGGTGAAGAGGAGTTGGTGTGCAGGTGGTTTGACTTTGGCCATGGAGAAATGAAGGTTCTGGCTATCATGTGATGTGTAGAGACTACGTTTAGATAGCATTATGAAGCAGGCAATTGCAACTGTTTACATGGTACTTAAGGAGAGAGGTGAGTCTGAAGATGAAGCCTTCTCTAAAGTCATCCTCAGATGACTTAATTGAATGAGATCCCCTGACCCCTGACAAAAAAAGAGGCGTCTCAAGACAAGAACCTTGGAGGCATGCTGTTAGAGAAATAAGAGTAAAGGAGGTCAGAAGTTAGCAGTAACACAGATGTTCACAGACATCTAAAACAGAGAATTTTCAGAATAAAAAATCGAGTGGCTGACTGGGTCAATCACTTTACAAAGCAAAAAAAAGAAGGATATAGATTAAGAAAATGTCACTGAATCTGATATTCAGTAAAATACTAGTAATTTTTGCCACTTGTGTTTGGGAAGTTTAGTTATGGAGGAAGAGTATAAACCAGGTGATGATGAAGGTTTCAGAAAATTTAAGTTATTCATTCAAGAAATTTTTCATTCTTTTTGACCTTCTATTACAAGACTGATGCAACTGATTCTCATATTTTTTTCTAAATCATAAAACGGATTGAGATAACTCTCTAAGTTTCTGCTAAGCATGAAAAAAAGCACATGTAAATATATAACTGATCAAAATTGAACCTTCTCAGACTTCAGATTCCTGACTGTGATGAGCTCTGTTCACTTTTGATTGAAATGCAAAAAATCAAAGAGTCCTAAGGAATAATAGCAATATGACCATAAAGTTGCAGCTATTGAGTGCCTATAGTCACATGATGATATAAATGTTTATTTGTGTGCTTGTTTTTAGTGGTGTTTAATTTTACCCTAAAATTTCCTGTTACAGAGAAAAGTTTCATTCCTAGGGCATTCTTTAGTGGAGGCATAGCTGTATTACAATTGGTAAACACAAGCTAACATTTTTAAATATTTAAAATTCAACTATGTCATTTGTAATATAAATGTTGTTGGGTTAAAAATCACTCTCTTCTTTTCTATAACATATTTTTCCAAATCATAAACAAGTAAATGGTGCTCTGCAAACTCCACGATCCTGTGGATCCTTATGATTTCCCTGAGAGACAAAAGTACCAGATAATTTGTATTTTACAGATGAAATAGTTTCAAAGCCCTTATCCTTAGTCTTTGCCGGAGCCATAAATGTCACAGCTTTTTGAAAAACTTGTTATTTGGAATTTCAAACTCACACAAAATTTTTAATTTTTAAGAATAGTAGAATGGATGCCTATACCCGTCACCTAGATTCACCAGTTGTTTACATTTCGTTCCGTTGGCTATTTTATATACTCATTGAGCCACTTCAGAGTAAACTGCTGACATCATCACTCTATTCCTAAACACTTCAGCATCCATCTCTTAAGAAGGTTAGGAAAGACAAGGACATTCTCTTGCATAACCACAGTATATCTCTCATAATCAATTCCTTTAACAATGTGTGCAATGTATAGTCATTCAAAATTTGCCTTTTGACAGATAATGTTCTTTATAGAAAAAATTTCTGATTCAGAATCTAATTGAACATGATACATTGTGTTTAATCGTCTTTTCTTGCTCAACTCCTTTAATCTTGAGCAGTTCTTCAGCTTTCCTTTGTTGTTCATGATGTTAATATTTCCAAAGAGTAGATAAGGGTTGTTTTGAAGAATGTTCCAACTTGAGATCTGTCTGATTTTTGTCATAATGTTATAATTAGATTATGTTATGCCTTTTGAACTGAAATGCAATGATTTTGCACTTTATTGTTACCACCCCTAGGGCTTAGAAACAGTGGGAAAGCCTATGATCTACCCCCAAAATTACACAAAAAGGAATTTCAATGGTGGTTTGGAATCCCATTCATTCCACCATATTTGATGTTTTCTGAACACTTAACTCTCTTAACTTCCAGGGTCCTAGTCTCTTTTTCAGCATCTCCCCGCACCAGGAACCAAGGGCCCCCAGGTTAGCACTCTCCCTGGAAAACTCATGGTAGATTGTGGAGACCAGTCCCAATTCAGCCCTATGCCCCATTCCCTTAGGATTGCAATACTAATACTTTTTAAAAATCTTTCTTTGTTCTCACCTGTGTTATCAACTATTTTTTGTTATGCAGCAAAAAGGGGCATTGCTGTTCTCTTGTTCTACATTTATTTTTAAATGTCATTCTAGTTTCCACTAACAAAAATTAATATTAAAAGACACCCAAATCCAACAACTGTCTCTATTTCTAAGATGTTTAACTATTAGCTCACAAAAGAAAACATTTCTTTCAAATTTTTAATTATTCATCCTGTTCTTTATTTTCATAATGCAGCTTCTCTAGTAAACAGGGTTTTATTGTTTTGACATCATTATCCCGTCAGATATGGGAAACTGTTTTTGTCTGACATCTTTGTGATTATATGAGCAGCCCCGTTTCACTACAGTCATATAAGTTTTATACAGTTGAGGATAGTAAGAAACTTCGAGTATTATTGGTAAACTTGCCTAACATAAATCATAAGTCACAAAGGGAGCGCTCATGGACAGTGACAGAGCACTGTGCTTACAGAGTTATGGCACCAATCATTTCTATACTTTAAAGGAAAGCAATTGTTATACATACTGACATCTTAAAGCATGCATTTTTTTTAGCTGATAAAAATAAGAATTGCTTTTGCCAGTGATATCCATTTTAAATAATGCTTCTGTACTTTAACTCAAAAAAACATAAGGGAATTTAAATACATCAAAGTTCTGTCCATGTCCTTTAACTGCATGGTCAGTCCCCGTCCTTAACTCTTAAATGTTAGTTATAACTTACTGACGGAATTTAGAAATTTTCAAAAGGTTCTGAAAATGAAATGACTTATCATTCATTTTAACTTTTTAGAAAGTTAGGTTACACGACAAGATTTTTTTGAAGTGAAGTTAAAAAAACAAGGTATTTTACGTAACAAGATACAAAATGGGGACTAGCTAAGAGGGGAGTAAGACATAAGAGTAGGGAGCCATATATTGCCAGATTTCAAAAATCATTGCTATGTTTAGGGTCTGGCAAACCCTCCATGTTTATTAATTTATCTTAATGAAGACAACTGCTTTCCTTTTTATTTCAGGAAAATGATACGTATTTTCCTCAGAAAGGTTTGCATTAGGAACTTTATTTTTTTCTTGTTTTTATAGTAACTTAGTGTTATCCAAATAGCATCAATAGTAACATAACCTCATTTTTTATGCCATTGTACCTTGTACAAAACTTGAACAAGAAAGTAATTTTCCACATTATATAGAGTAATTGAGGTATATTTAGAAATAAAGTAGGAATATTAAATATTTAGCATTGTAATTCTAAAATGCAATTACAAATCTGAAAAAGTAATGAGTCTTTGAAATAAAAGGTTTAAATTCAAATTCTATTAGTTTCTGCCACTTAAAGCATGTGGATAATAAACAATTAAGCTATTTTGTCTGTCTGGCCAAGACTATTCAAGACAGTTATTTATTGATCTTTACTTGTTTGGGGATTTCACTTTTGTTGTTTGAAAAATCTCTCTTGTACTTGGTTTTCAGTTTATACATAAACACACAGAAATTAAACTTGACATATGGACTCCCACTGTCGGCTGGCTATTCTATATTCTGGAAACATTCCCACTAGTGATTCCTCCAAAAGTGTACGTGTATTGGATATGTCAGGCAATGTGGCTGACTCGTTGAACGTCCTTATTTACCTAAACCTGCCCCATTTAGTGTTTCTGAGAGAGGCAGCCCTATGCGCAGTAGCATAATACCATTTATCTCCTCTCTCTTCACAGATAATTAGACCAAGAAGGAATATGGGATTCAAGTGAAACCAAATCATAGACTGAGAGGAGTCACTAGGACCCTTTCTCTCAATAATCTCAACTGCAAAGTATGCGGTCCACCTGGTGCACAGCTGCTGTAAAATAGGTAAGGTGATCTGGTAGCATGGGAGGGTGTGAGAGAAGAAATACTGGAGCCTGCATATCAAAGTAAAGGGGCTATGAGAGACAAGATGAAAGAAGACATGTCTCCCTTGAGTGAGGGATTCTCCAGGCCCCAGGAAGTCCATCTTTGCTTCCTGTCCTTAGGTCTGTGAATACAGGAGATTATTTGATTCCTCTCAGAAAAGAAATCTCTATTTATTTGAGCTAACTTTGGTAGGTTTCTATACTTGGAAGCCCAAATGCCATGACTAACCGCCCATATTATTTAACGTTCTATTTTAAGATTCAGAAAAATTGTGTTCTAAAGATTTTGAACAAGCAAACATTGAAGCGGTGTCCTTGTCTAGGGTAAATACCCGGGGTTCATAGTCTCACACCAAGGGAATAGAGGACGCAGACATACAAGTGGGTTTAGGAGTGGAGGTTTACTAGGCAAAGAAAGAGAAAGGAAAATAGTTCTCTCTCCTGTGAGAAAGAGGGGTGCTCGTATGGGACTTCTGGCCCACAACAGAGTGCACAGCATTTTATAGACAGGCTTGAGGAGGCGGTGTCTGATTTACATAGGGCCCAAAGATTGGTCGGACCAGGTGTGATGTTTGCATAGTGCAAGAGAAAGCCGGCCACCTCACCCTAATCTTATTATGCAAATTGGGTCTTTGCCTGGCCAGGGCCATGTTGTCTCCTCCTGACTGCACATGTGGTTGGCAAAAAAAAAAAAAAAAAAAAGGAAAGATGGTGTTGCCATTTTGAACATGCCTAGTGCCAGGTAGTTTTTCCTATTGGCACAGTTGCCAGCATTCACCCATGCAAGTTTACAGTTTGCTTGTCTGTGTCTGCAGCTTGATTTTACAGGCTGCTCATTGTTAGAAAAGAAAATGATTTGGGGCTGCTTTTCATTAAAGGGAAAAAACCTTACCGAGGACTTCCTTACCCTCACTATCTGCCTAAATAATTTCTTTTTCATTCCTATATATCATTCTACTTTAGGGAATATTTCATATTAAAATTTTAACTCTAAATTAAGGACTCATTTTGTAATTTTCACAAGTAAATCTCATAACCCATTTTGGCACTGAATCAAAACGATATTTATGAAGAAATATTATTTTGGCCTAAATTGAAAACATCTTAAATCTTTTCAGTAGTCTCTAGAGAAAATATAAGGAAGAAGAACATTAATAATGAGCAGCAATTTAGAAAAATTATTTTTATCTCTTTTAAATTCAATATATTACTCAAACCACGGATTTTCAAACGTCATTCCCTAATCAAGCCTGCTGAACTCTGGCAAGTACAAATGCAGTCCATCCTTATCCCCACTTCACCCCAGTACTACCTCTCATTCACCTTTTTATTATGAAAGCAAATTCGCTTTTTAGGCCTTTCTTTCAACTTGCCTTTCATTTTCCATAATCTGAGAGCCAGGAGTTAACTCGGCAAGTAAGAAACCTGACACTGTGAAAGTGGAGCACTAAAAATGTGGAGAAATAGAAAGATTTGTACATTTTTATTATTGATTTATTTTTTCTTTTTATCCATGTCACACAGATATTTCATCAATGTCTAATGTAGTTTGAAACATGGTGGGAAAAATGCTTAATCATCTCCTCTCCCTAGATTGTCATTGTCTGAGGTGGAGTCTAGGCCCTATCAGCAAGAGAAAGGCTGGTACAACTTGATTTGTTTATGATCCATCACTACTTCCCCTTCCTTACTCCACGTCCCTATTCTCTAAGAAAAGAACCACTTGGTTTATGCCCACTTGCTCATTTCTGTCACCCGTGGCTACACTTTACTGCAGCTGCCAAATCTAACTGCCTAAAAGGTAACGACACACTGACCTAACATTTTGACTGTGAGGCATCCCTCATTCTTAGGCTGTAATTGAAACTCTATAAACCCACCTCTGTCTTAGATAATATCAGAACTAAATCTTGCAACTTTCTCACCCTTCTTTTATTATTATTATACTTTAAGTTTTAGGGTACATGTGCACAATGTGCAGGTTAGTTACATATGTATACATGTGCCATGCTGGTGTGCTGTACCCATTAACTTGTCATTTAGCATTAGGTATATCTCCTAAAGCTATACCTCCCCCCTCCCCCCACCCCACAACAGTCCCCAGAGTGTGATGTTCCCCTTCCTGTGTCCATGTGTTCGCATTGTTCAATTCCCACCTATGAGTGAGAATATGCGGTGTTTGGTTTTTTGTTCTTGCGATAGTTTACTGAGAATGATGATTTCCAATTTCATCCATGTCCCCACAAAGGACATGAACTCATCATTTTTTATGGCTGCATAGTATTCCATGGTGTATATGTGCCACATTTTCTTAATCCAGAAACTCACTCAAAACCGCTCAACTACATGGAAACTGAACAACCTGCTCCTGAATGACTACTGGGTACATAACGAAATGAAGGCAGAAATAAAGATATTCTTTGAAACCAACGAGAACAAAGACACAACATACCAGAATCTCTGGGACACATTCAAAGCAGTGTGTAGAGGGAAATTTATAGCACTAAATGCCCACAAGAGAAAGCAGGAAAGATCCAAAATTGACACCCTAACATCACTATTAAAAGAACTAGAAAAGCAAGAGCAAACACATTCAAAAGCTAGCAGAAGGCAAGAAATAACTAAAATCAGAACAGAACTGAAGGAAATAGAGACACAAACAACCCTTCAAAAAATTAATGAATCCAGGAGCTGGTTTTTTGAAAGGATCAACAAAATTGATAGACCACTAGCAAGATCAATAAAGAAGAAAAGAGAGAAGAATCAAATAGACGCAATAAAAAATGATAAAGGGGATATCACCACCGATCCCACAGAACTACAAACTACCATCAGAGAATACTACAAACACCTCTACGCAAATAAACTAGAAAATCTAGAAGAAATGGATAAATTCCTCAACACATACACCCTCCCAAGACTAAACCAGGAAAAAGTTGAATCTCTGAATAGACCAATAACAGGCTCTGAAATTGTGGCAATAATCAATAGCTTACCAACCAAAAAGAGTCCAGGACCAGATGGATTCACAGCCGAATTCTACCAGAGGTACAAGGAGAAACTGGTACCATTCCTTCTGAAACTATTCCAATCCATAGAAAAAGAGGGAATCCTCCCTAACTCATTTTATGAGGCCAGCATCGTCCTGATACCAAAGCCGGGCAGAGACACAACCAAAAAAGAGAATTTTAGACCAATATCCTTGATGAACATTGATGCAAAAATCCTCAATAAAATACTGGCACACCAAATCCAGCAGCACATCAAAAAGCTTATCCACCATGATCAAGTGGGCTTCATCCCTGGGATGCAAGGCTGGTTCAATATACGCAAATCAATAAATGTAATCCAGCATATAAACAGAACCAAAGACAAAAACCACATGATTATCTCAATAGATGCAGAAAAGGCCTTTGACAAAATTCAACAACGCTTCATGCTAAAAACTCTCAATAAATTAGGTATTGATGGGACGTATCTCAAAATAATAAGAGCTATCTATGACAAACCCACAGCCAATATCATACTGAATGGGCAAAAACTGGAAGCATTCCCTTTGAAAACAGGCACAAGACAGGGATGCCCTCTCTCACCACTCCTATTCAACAGTGTTGGAAGTTCTGGCCAGGGCAATTAGGCAGGAGAAGGAAATAAAGGGTATTCAATTAGGGAAAGAGGAAGTCAAATTGTCCCTGTTTGCAGATGACATGACTGTGTATCTAGAAAACCCCATTGTTTCAGCCCAAAATCTCCTTAAGCTGACAAGAAACTTCAGCAAAGTCTCAGGATACAAAATCAATGTACAAAAAGCACAAGCATTCTTATACACCAATAACAGACAAACAGAGAGCCAAATCATGAGTGAGCTCCCATTCACAATTGCTTCAAAGAGAATAAAATACCTAGGAATCTAACCTACAAGGGACGCGAAGGACCTCTTCAAGGAGAACTACAAACCACTGCTCGATGAAATAAAAGAGTATACAAACAAATGGAAGAACATTCCATGCTCATGGGTAGGAAGAATCAATATTGTGAAAATGGCCATACTGCCCAAGGTAATTTATAGATTCAATGCCATTCCCATCAAGCTACCAATGACTTTCTTCACAGAATTGGAAAAACTACTTTAAAGTTCATATGGCATCTCACCCTTCTTTACACAAGTCTCTGCTTAAAGCATAAGACAGGCTAACATTTTGTCCACTGATACAAACCAACCTCCCCTCTTCCTACCCCAACCCTTCTGATCTGCATTCTGAAACCTTCACTCCATGATCAAGCTCCATAATATCATAAGATTATACTTTGAATGTTCCAGAATATTATGCTCAAATGGTAAAATCCACTGCTTTGAGAGGGTCTCACAAACTGGTTGTATCACTGACAGCACCCATCCTTGAAGAATCATCTACAATCTTCTGATTCTTGTATGTCATTATTTTTATTTCGGTACCCAGGTTTCTGTCTTTTTGACCACTCTAAATCAAGGAAGTCAGTATCCCATAGATATTGAAATGTCTACAGGATAATTAATCCAAAACTTTATTCTTTGTTTCCTTGGCCTCCTCTGTGCCTATGACCTTTTATTTCCAGTACACTGCCACCACCACAGATTCCCATGATGATAAATAGTATGCTCTTTGTCTTCACCAGAAATTACCTGTCTTCCCAACCACACACAGAATCTCACTCTTCCACTTGACTGTCTGTTTACTATCAGTCTCAGGTACTCCCTCTGCAACACTTTTGGACTTCATTGAGACTCTGTCCCCATTGACTCTCTCAACTTTCTCACCAGCCTTCAACTTTTCTTTCTCATTCCTTCTCCATTGTCCTAACCCTTTGATTCACTTCACCTCACATCTCTCAACTCCAGAAGGATAGTCTTGCCTCTTTCTGTCTGCAGAAATTAGAGCATACAGAAAGGCAAATCCTTTGTTTTCTTATAGCCCCAGCTAAAATATCTATTTCTAGATCAATTATTTTTTCCTCTCCTCTTGTAAGACAGAAGCAAGCATCCTCTCTTTTTGTTTAGTCCAATGCAGGGGAGAAATATACACTCAGTCCGTCTTTTTCTCTAAGACCTGACTTCAGCAACTATTTCCCTTTCTTCTGCATCTTCAACTTCTCCTTTTCTACTAAATGTCATATTCAGCACACGAATTTGCTTTACTATTTATCATTCTAAAACCAATAAAAATTTTCTCTTAACCTTAAACCACCTTCCATTTATAGTCCTTTTTCTCCATGCTGCATTTACATCCAAACTTTGCTACAGAATTTTTCATACACTTTATTCTTCCCCTTACGCACACTTCCTGACACAATGATACATCATCCAAATTTACCATTCAAATTTTTTTTCTTACAGAAGTTACCAAGTATTTTCATATGGTTAAAACAATGGACTTTTCCCAGTCTCCTTTTATGACCTCTCTGTGGCATCAGGCCAAATTCATCACTTTCTCCTTTTTGGCATTTTTTTTCTCTTAGCACTCTCTTGGTTTTCTTCCTACCTGGCTTGTTTTTCCTCAGTTACTTTCTCCACCTCTTCTCTCTACATCAGGTCCAGAATTCTACTAATGGAGTACTTCAGGTTCAGTCTTGTAATCTTAGAACTCTCTCATAGACAATCTTGAATGTTCCCATGACTTTCATTAATGTTACAATAACTCACTAATATTCTAGCCTGTCATCCAAACTTCTAACTCATAAACACAGTTGTTTTGTTGATACTTTTGCTGAGATTCTTTTGGATATCTCATATATAACATACCTAGTATTAAATTCCTGCTCTTTCTTTCCAAATCTGTTCTTTCACTTTTCTCCACTTTGGCAAAAAGCGCTTCCTTCTATCCAATGGTTTATTCCAGAAACGAAGGCATTCATCCTTCATACCTTCTACTGTATCCTCTATGTCCAACTTATCACCACATCCTGCCAGTTACATCTTCAATGTATATCTTGAATCTGTATATTTATCTCTTTCTCTGCTCCTCTTTCCTAAACCAAGTAACAGTCATCTGTTACTTGGCAATTTACACTGTATCTCAGTTTCTTAAGCCATTTTTCTTATCGTAGCCAAAGACAGCACATTAACATGAAAAGTAGATTATGTGTTATAAACCTTCCTATAGCTGCTGAGAGAAATAGGAATCAAATCTTACATTCCTAACATTACCAACAATGGCGAACATGAGCTGGTTTCTGCCTCTCTCTCCAGTTTCACCTAGCAGTATCTTTCCTCACTCCTAACACCTTGGACATCCAGTGATGCTCTTCTCTATTTCTAGTACCTTGGCTGTCTTTCTGTTCCTTAAAAAAATCCAAGTATTTTCTCCCTTTCTGCACTTCATATACACTTTCCCTTAGCCTTGAAGTTAATGTCTGCTATGCTTTTCCAACCTTGGCTTTAGTTTTCAACTTAGATGTCAGTTCCTGTGAAAGATCTTTTCTGTTTTTCCAATATCAATTAGATCTACCTGACATAATTTCATGGCATTCTGTACTTCTATAACACTGTTTCTTATTTTACTTGCATAAAATAGATACAAACACATATAAAGTTGTTTAAAATCTATGAAGCAGACTACAACCTCCAAGAGGCCATATTTGCTTGACTCAGTGTTATATGCTTAGAACTTAGCCATATGTCTGCACATACTAAGTTCTTTCTCTTTCTGTCTCTCTGTCTCTCTCTCTCTCTCTCTCTATATATATATATATATGTTTTTTATATATATATAAAACACATATATTACATATATAATTTTTTTCATCTGGCCTTTGACAGGCTCTTTATAAATTTCCTCATATGGGAATCATAAGATATAAGACTCAGACTTGAAGTTAGGTTAAAGGGTAAAAAATAAAGATAAGGCCATTCTGGCATAGAAAAATACATTTTCCAGATTATACAGCATAGCTCACTGGAATTATATTTCAGGCCTAAATTACTAATCATAAATTATTACTTTGTTCAGTTCGTTTTCATTGTCCTTTTTGCATACAGTTCCCTTGGAGAACTTGTAAGGAGTAGTGATTAGTTCAGGGTTAGATTTGAGTATTCCTGTATCTAGCCAATTTTCATCTTTAATGACATTTCTTCAATATTCACTTGATTTTACCTATGATATCAGACTATAACAGAACTCGGATGTATTCCGAAAAGGGTTAGATTGGCTCTCAAATCTAGCACAAGTTTTGCTCCTTTGTTTACTTTATGTAAGCAACCTGAATTTTAAGAATATAATACTGTCCCCTGGGAGGAGGATGGATTAAAAGTGTTGGGTGACGGATAGGGAGATACCAGTTTGGTAGTTATGCACTAATGTAGAAAGTAGAAATGGAAAAGAGAAGAGAGATTCAAAAAATAATTTGGAGTCTGAGTCAGTAGGACTTCCTAATTAAAACTGAATAGAGATAAAGAGTTCAATTGAGTAAAAACAGCATTCCAATATAATATTAATTTTCACATACTATATTTTAACTTAGTGTTCTTTCATATTTTTCCCAATAAGTCTACCTGTTTTATAAGATCTCAAGGTGTCATTCCATTTAATACAAAGAATGGAGTTTATGTTTTGGCATATTTTCATGACCAAGGGCAGTGCTATTTTAGCATTCCTTCAGGAATCAGTTTTCAGGATACCAGTACTGAAAAGCTCATGCTCAATATACGTGATTCATGTGGAACAGTAAAGTATTTGATGTAATATATTAGAATTCAAAAGTTGCTCTTTGAGATATACAGAGGTGGGTAACCTGATTCTGCACTTAAGGAAGTCCTATTGGCTTGTAAGGGCATTGTTCTGAGCTGAAATAACACAGATGGCTGTCTCAAAAGTGACTAAGGTAAGTATCCACGAAGTTGTGGACTGCTGAACAAACCTGGTTCACTGCTATGCTAATTACCAGTTAGCTGAACTGTCCATTTCTATTTCAAATTCCTACTAAATGGAGGAAAACAGTGTTGAAAAATGAAACTTTAACTACAGCACAGCTTTCTTTTACAGTATTCATTGTTTATACTTGTGTACACATCTCATTTTGATGTTGGAACACATTGTGCAATAATATTGCAGTGATGATAAAATCATAGGATTATACAGATTAAATCCATTGTAGAAAGATCAAGATTTCTTTGTTCAGTGCTCACTGTCCTTGCTGTGAGGGGCAGATGTACTTAGAAAAAAGTAAGGCAAAAGTTCTGTAAAGCAATACTTTCTTTATGATGGTTTTATCTAAATTTGTTGGTTTAGTTTTAGGCAGGAATGCAGTATCAACCTCAAGTTAAGTGTTTAAGACTAAAAAGGCCAAATGAAGCTGGTGAAGGGAAACAACTGTCCTCACTCCACTGGCAAAACATGCATTTTGATAATTGCAGATGCTTCTAGGCCAGGGTTTCTTGACCAGGATGAGCTTCAGGGGTTCCATCAACAACCAGTTGTGTAGGGCTGTGTTGGCAGGTATGCCAGCAATTATATATTCCTACACGGGCATTTTTCTGGCAAGAGGATTAATACTTGAAAAGGTAAATGTCCATGCTCTAAAATAGTGATTCTTAAACTTTATTGTGTATAATAATCACCAGGGGAGCTTGCTGACATCTCCAATTCCTATAATCACTGTGGTGGGAAATTTGGCAGTATCTAACAATATAAAATATTCATTTACTATTTGATCCAGCAATTCTTGTTTCTAAAATTCAACCTGAGGATGCATCTTAACAAATAAGAAACAGCACATACACTAAGTTATTTACTGTAACCTTATGAATAATAGCAAAATATTAGAAACATTTTTTAACCAGCCCTCTCTTCCCTGGCTGTTTATTAATTTCTTTCCAGAAAACTAGACCCTAGGTTCTGAGACTACAACAGGGAATTCTAAAGCACCTGGCCTCCACCTCTAGAGAAAATACAAAACAAGATCATTGAGGATAAAGATGCTTTTGAATTTATGAATACTCAGGGATGACTGAGATGAGTAGCTCTGCATATTGTTAATTGATTGATAGGTGGATGCAATGTCTGGTAACAAGCTCTTGTTAGTCTCATAATCAAAGAATTTAAAATAGTAGGCTAGGCTGGGTGTGGTGGCTCAAGCCTGTAATCCCAGCACTTTGGGAGGCCGAGGTGGGCAGATCACGAGGCCAGGAGTTCGAGACCAGCCTGGCCAATATGGTGAAACCCCGGCTTTACTAAAAATATTTTAAAAATTAGCCAGGCGTGGCAGCGTGTGCCTCTAGTCGCAGCTACTCGGGAGGCTGAGGCAGAAGAATCACTAGAACCCAGGAAGTGGAGGTTGCAGTGAGCTGAGATTGTGCCACTGCACTCCAGCCTGGGCCACTGAGTGAGACTCCAACTAAAAAACAAACAAAAACAAAAACAAACAAACAAACAAAAAGTAGGCTATGCAATACTGGTATTTTGTCCCAATTTTTGCAATTTATTACATATAGGCCAATTAGTTTTTCAAAGAAAACAGATTGTTTCGATCACACTTGGATTAGAATTCTTCCTGTAAAGGTCTTAGATTATTGTTTGCTGCTCAGTCTTCATGTCTTTATTTTTTCTAATATCAGGTTCTATGATATTCAGTTTATGTGTTAATTTGGCAAGGTGTGGTCCACAGTTACTCAAACACTAATCTAGGTGCTGTTTTGAGGGTACTTCGTGTCTATAGTCGGCTGCCTTTAAGTAAAGATGATTATCTTCAATACTTTGGTGGACCTGATTTAATCAATTAAAAGAATTTAAGAGCAGAACTGTGATTTCCCCCGAGGAAGAAGTTCCACCTGTGGATTACCGCATCAGCTCTTGCCTGAGAGTTCCAGCCTTCCCTTCCGGATTGCCTGCCCTACAGATTTCAATCTAACTAGCCAGACTCACAAGTGCCTAAGGCAATTTCTTAAAAGAAATCTCTCTATATTTATATATCTTACTGGCTCTGTTTCCCTGATAGAATTTTGACTAATACAGTATCCAAAATTCTTTTGGAGACCACTTCTCTGCCAGTTTCTGTCTACTTGATTTGGGTAAAACTCCAATCTGAGTCTATCTCAGAACTTGAGAGCTTCAGGTAGGAATTTTTTTTTTTTTTTTAACTATTGGACCCAAATGAAATTTGAGCCATTAAATTTCCTTTTTTTTAAAGCTTATTTGGGTGAAGTTTTCTAACACAACTAAAAACTACTCATTTTATAAATATTCATGGTTGAGGCAAATGGTAACTGGAACACCTACCATCACTACAAGAAAAACAGAAGTCAAATGTTCTACTGTCAATAAGTGTATTGAGGCCATTCTAAATAAATTGTATTATCTGTCATGAACCTAGTAAGCAGTGTCTAACATTGGCATTATTTGTAAAATGGAAAATGCTATGGTTTGAAATTTCAGTTTAGAATATCTGTCCAGTTCATTTTTTTTTTCCTTAAGAAAAAAGCCCTTCTTTCTCCCACAGAATTTCAGTCCTGCAGTCCAGCTTCGTTGACATGGCAGAACCTTCCACCCCTGCCTCCTTCTCCTAGCTAATTAGACCAGTGGTGAATGGCTTGCCCTGTGGCATCTAATACATTAGTTGGACTGAGTCAATCAGCTTATTTGACTTAGGTTTTTAAAACTGTGACACAGAAAGCTGGAAGTGGTTGATGGCTTGAACAGACATATAAAGCAAGGGCATCGGTCACTGTATCTGAGGTATGTGTAAGTGCAACAGAAAAAGCCTGCCAAGAGGGAGAGAGAAAGAGAAAGAGAAATGAAGCAAGCATGAAGAAAGAAGTGTTCTCCTTCTCCTTGCTCATATATAACCTTTGAGTTGTCCCAGGCAATGTGTTAAGGCTGCTTTTAAGTATTATATCAATAGTGGGTCTACTAACCAGAATTTACAAATGGTAAACAAAGACTGCAAACAATGCTGTCAATTAAAAAAAAGAACTCAAATTGTAGTGCTAATTGTAGCAAATGAAAATAAACTCTGAGTTAATGTTGCCCTCTATATTACCATGATAAATTCTCTTTTCTCCATCTTGGATAGTGAGATTATTAAAGTATAATAGAGACCTAGGGAGATAAAGTGCTTTGCCCAGGATCATGCTGATAAGTAATTACAGGGTTTGGTTTAAAACTCCAGGTCTCTTAATGTATGAAAATGTACTATACTCAATTTCCTCCCAATATTTTTCTGTTCTGTATAGTATCATGTACTTATAAACCCACACTTTCTTATAGTTCTATCTTTACACTGAATTTTGACCATCATTTGCAAGTATAAAAAACAAAACAAAACAAACAAACAAACAAAAACAGTATTCAGACTTCCTGTCTTTCTTTTCCAGTTAGAAGGTAAGAGCTCCGGGAAAAGGAGTCAGTTGTCTCTATAGCACACAAAACATTTTCTGTATCTAATAAACACAAATGACAGCAATAACAACACTGCACTTTTGAGTTTCTACTGAAGTACTGGGACCACTGAAGTAACTGTAGGCAGAGCTCTAATGTGCTGAGAGACTGTGAAAGGTTAATTGATGCATGTGCATTATTCATCAGTTTTCCTACATATGTAAATAAGGATAATAGCACACCCAAGTAAAGTGCTACAAAATTGCTAACTGAAAGTGAGCACAACAGACTCACAAGCCTTTTATATTTGAGCACACTATAATAATCCTGCAAGCAATAATGCTCTGAAAAGCCTTAATCTTTAGTTTCCTTCCTTCCCTTCCTTCTCTCTTTTCATCAACAGATATGATCAAATTTTCAAAGACAGCACTATTTCAGTTAGAACTTACACTAGTCTGTATACAAATTTTCATAATCATTAATAAATAATGTTAGTGCACTGGATTCAGGAAAATTAATTTTATGAAGACTATGTAAAAACTTCGTCAAAGATGATCTCATTGATCATGAGGTATACTATTAGGTTGGTGCAAAAGTAATTGTGGTTTTGCCATTGAAAGTAAATCGTTTTGAATCCAGCATTAGATTCTAAGCAATTTGAGAGCAAGGACTATAATCTTTGTGGAATAATCCTAGATATAAATCATGTCCAATTTTTAAAGGACTCGTTCAATATCAGTATGTCTAAATTTTTATGCCAATATGCTCCACGAATACGTGTCTAGTGTCAAAAGGAAATAGTTTGACAAAAATCGTTTATTTCAATATAAGCTATATGCTAAATAGAGCTCACTCTTTTGGAATCATGATCAGCTCACATTCAGGATATAAAGCCCTATTGGAAAGCAAATAGATTGGGCACATAGAAATTGATCAAGAAGCCCTTAATGGTGGGAGGATATGGCAAGCAGACTTTTGGGGATCCTAGGTTTATCCCTCTCTGGCAGGCATTTGCTGTTCATGCCTTGATTTGTTTGCTCATGCTTTGGTGTTTTCTCTGAAATTCCAAGTTCTGCTGTCTGGTATTCCTAACTTTATGTAGTTAGCAAAATCTTACTGATTTTGCTTCTTAGTGGCTGGTTCTGTTTTTTCTGCATCCTCATAGTTTTGGTTCCAGCCCTGTGAGCCTATCTTTAGCTCCTTAATATTATTTTGTTTCATAACCTGCTTTTCCTGTCTTAAAAGTAAATAATATTTTATTTCTGATTAACCTTGACATTACGACTTAACTCCTTGAACAAACGTGGTAGCATATGCAAAAGTAGTGTAAAAAACTTCAGAGACAGCTATTTATTTTTTCATTCATCAAATACTTATTGAGCATCCATTTTGTTAGGCACTGTACATGTCAGGCTTGGTAAACGATGGTGCATACAAAAGACACCGTCAGATTGACCTGCGTTTTAATTTCAACTCTGTCTCTATTTCATTCTGAGGAAGCTACAGTAGTACGCCCATATCCTTGATTTCACTTTTGGAGATTTCAGTTACCTATGGTCAACTGCAGTCCACAGATATTAAACAGAAAATTATAGAAATAAACTTCATAAGTTTTAAACTGCAGACCATTGTTAGCAGTGTGATAACCATCCTGCTCTTACCTGCCTGGGATGTGAAGCTTCCCTTTCTCCAGCATACCCACCTTGTATAGGCTGCCCACCCCTTAGTCCTCTCAGGTAGCTAGAACCACAGGCACACACCATCATGCCAGACAAATTTTTGTAATTTTTGTAGTGATGGGGTTTTGCCATGTTTCCCAGGCCAGTTGTGAACTCTGGAGCTCAAGCACTCCTCCTGTCTTGGCCTCCCAAAATGCTGGGACTATAGGCATGAACCACTGCACCCAGCAGAGCATTTGCTTTGAATATCGTGTTGATGCTTAAAATGTTTGGGATTCTGGAACAGTTCAGGTCTCAGATTTTTGTATTAGAAATACACAATTTGAATATACAGGGTTTGATACTATCTGTGATTTTAAGGCATCCTCTGGGGGTCCTGGGCTGTATCCCCTGTGGATGAGGAGTAACTGCTACACTTCACTTCTGAGCCCCAGATTTTTTATTCATAAAATTTAAAAAAGAATAATGCCTAAGAATGAGGTTGAATGAATTAAATGAGATGCAGTGTTTAGCATGTAGAAGACACCCAGTGTGAACATGTTTCCCTCCTTCCTCTCTTACGCACTTCGTGTTTCATAGGGTGCTCTTTCTTGCAAGACTTTCTAAGTAACAGTTGGGGGTGATGATAGGCAATAAAGGTAATTTTATATATACAGGTTTCAAGGGATAAATGTCAGTTTACTGGAGGAATAAGAACTTGCCTCAAAAAGATTGATTCCTACGGTGGGTGGTAGGTAGGGAAAAATAGCTTGGTGAGTATCATTTCCATATTAAATTAGCCAATAAACTCTATTAATAGAAAAATTAGGCTACAGAAGAAAAAGTGAGATACTGCTAAGAGGCACAGTAGAACTTTAATGGAACTGAGCTGTCTCTAGTAACACACAAGCCCATTGCTGGGTACTGATGATAAAAGCTGAGAAACGTCCAACTCTGTGCCACCAAGATTCTCAGAATTTTTCACAGATTTGCCAGACAATACCTATAAACTGAATCTGTGGAGAGCTCTTTGAGAAAATACAAACGGATTTTCCAAATAAAAGGTTACCAATAGATACAGTATTGTCAATGTTTTTTATAAAGATTTTAATGAAATTCTATATTAAAATTACCTTTTTGTCTCAATAAAAATATGATCTAGTCATGACAAAGGAAAAAAGATAAAGGAACAGTTCTCTGTGTGAAATGAAAAAGAGAAAGTCTCTATAGCTCCATTCCAAGACAATTCTTATTTTAATTTTTGAATAAATAATTGAAAAGAAATAGCACACTGAGAATCTCCAAGTTATGCAAAGATACTAAGCTTTTACTAAAAGAGTAGTGAAATGCCAAGTCAATGTGCATAAACTGTAGGAAAATCTCAAGAGGCCATAGCTTGGCAGACAAATGTCATGTGAGGTTCAAATGAGCAAGTTTAAGGTAATGCATTTAGGGAACGAACTCCAATGATTTGGATAAAAGCTGGGCTCTTCTCTTATTACTTACTCAGTTGGTCCACACAGGTGATCTCATCTTACTATCTTTATTCTACCTGGTTTGTGAAGACTATGATCAGAATACATGACTCTCTGAGGACATCAGCCTAATGTGCTGCAGTGGCCAAAACAGCTAGGGAATAATTAACAGGAGTATTAGAACAAAATGGAAAATATTATCTTACCCATGTAACTCTTATCGTGGAGAATTTGTTAAGTGGAGTGCTATGTTTACTTCTAGTTATAGAGCTTTTAGAAAGCTGTAATAAACCTCACTGAAGGCTTTACCATAATCCATGATCAGGTGTGGCAGTAAGGGTAGAATATAGGGTATTACTGGGGTAGACAGGTGTGTTTTTCTTATAGAAATGCAATCCAATGTTTGTGATTCTGAACATGTAGGGACAAAGGTTAAAAAATGGCTATGAATAAAAGCAATAAAACCATTGCATTTTAATAGACACTACCAGGCACAACTCATTGTGACCATCTTCACCCTGTAATGAGCATGGGCCAAAGTGGCCATATTTTATGTTATGTGATCCCATTCTGATTCTCCCCAACCACCACCTTTGATCACAAGCAACCAATCAAGAATATGCACCTGACCCAAGAGTAACAAATATATGCCCTATGCATTAACTAATGATCCAAGCTAATCAAATTATTTCTTTGGAGATTTTGAATCAAGAAGTCTCCAATTGTTCAAAATGGGAGAAAGGTGGAAGAATATTCTTATAAAAATATTTGAATAGCAAAAACCATTTCTATTAATAGCTTTAGTCTCCATGAATCTTTCATCTATTTAAACTCTTGGTTATACATTTCCTATATCTAAAAATATAATAAAATTTGTATTACTGTTGTTTGAGAAGTAGTATTCTAGCAATTAAACAAGTCTAAAGAAAACATGGAGAAGGCATAAAAATGTTAGCTAAAACTTAACATATTTAATATTCAGACTGTGGTAAAATGAATGGAGGTAAAATGAAGAAGGAACAGGGATGATTAAAAAAAAAAAAAAAGAACTTTGCTCAGTGAATAGCACAGTACTAAATAAGATAAAGTTTTTACTTTACCCTAAGAGATGCAGCATAGCATAATGGTTAAATTTACGGGCTTAAGGCAAAAACTACTGTCATGGTTTGAATATTTGTCCCCTCTGAAACTCATGTTAAAAACTTAATTACCAATGTGGCGATGTTAAAAGGTGATGCCTTTGAGAGGTGATTGGGTCATAAGAGCTCTGCTTTCGTAAGTGGATTAATCCATTTATGGATTAACGGATTAATAGGTTAATGGATTAATGGGTTATCACAGGAGTGGGACTGGTGACTTTATTAGAAGAGAAAAAGAGACCAGAGTTAGTGTTCAGCCCCCTTACCATCTGATGCCCTGTGCCACCTCAGGACTCTGCAGCGAGTCCTCATTGGCAAGAGGGCCCTCACCAGATTCACCCCCCGACCTTGGACTTCACAGTTTTCATTCAGAACTGTAAGAAATACATTTTGTTTCTTTATAACCAGTTTCAGGAATTCTATTAAAAGCAACAGAAAATGAACTAAGATAACTATTTTTATTAAAAACCTGGTTCTAACATGTATCAGCTGGGAATAAGTTACTTAACCTTTCTGTGGTTCTATTACCTTATCTGCAAAATAGAGAAAATAACAATACTTTTATACGGTTGGTGTGAGGATTAAACAAGTAAATAGATAAGCAGTTCTTAGTAGAGTACCTGGCATTTGAATAAAAATCTTAGCATTGAAAAAATGTTTTTATTATTATTAAAAGCTGGAAAATTAAATAGATCTGTTCATGGATACCTGATTCATAAATATCACAAGAAAAATTGGTGTCTAACTTTAAAAACATGTTTTTATGGAAAATGATTGTACCTTTTGATACAGAATTGGTTAGAGGGTACAGAAGTTTCACCCAGTGTGCGCATTCCCATTATCTTATGAGGAGTCTAGATATGCCAAATGAATTTCAGAACAAGCAAAAATGTTAAGGAACATTATTTAAAAGCATTTTTATTGCACTGACAATGTATGTTAAATTGAAAGTGTAAGTAATAAACCATAGAGAAATGGCAAACTTCTACCAATTATATTTTGTTGTTGCATGTTATAGTACAATTTATACTTTGTTGTGGTCTCAGATTCAGAAGGAGAGTAAATAAAAAGATTCCTTTTGTGGGGGTAAAATGTACCTATCTTTATTTCATCGTTTATCATTTTGTGTGAGTCTTGTCCATAGATACTTCTGTTTCTTTTTTTTTTTTTTTCAGACGGAGTCTCGCTCTGTCCCCCAGACTGGAGTGCAGTGGTGCGATCTCGGCTCACTGCAAGCTCCGCTTCCCGGGTTCACGCCATTCTCCTGCCTCAGCCTCCTGAGTAGCTGGGACTACAGGTGCCCATCACCACGCCCGGCTAATTTTTTGTATTTTTAGTAGAGACGGGGTTTCACCGTGTTAGCCAGGATGGTCTCGATCTCCTGACCTCGTGATCCGCCCGCCTCGGCCTCCCAAAGTGCTGGGATTACAGGCGTGAGCCACCGCGCCCGGCCTCTCTTTCTTAAATAAAAGCTTGTTATGGAGTAGAGCCATGTTTTATGTTTCTTGCATTTTCCCCCCAATTTATTATACTGAAAGTTTTCAAACCTTAAATTCAAGGAACACCTTTTTTCTAGACTCACCAATTGTTAAAATGTTGCCCTAAGAGAGAAGGTAGGGAGAGGTAAAGAGGAGAGAAAGAGAAATGGGGTGGGGGAAGGGAGAAAAACTGTGTTTGTGTTTATTATACACATATATAGACAAACATTTTTTTCCTGTTGAACCTTTTAAAATAAATTGCAAACTTCATACTTCACCTCATGTGTCTGCTAAAGAACAGAAGAGTTTTATAATGTAACCTCTTATAGACTGAACTTTGTCTCTCCAAAATTTGTGTGTTGAAACCTTAACTGTTTGTACCTCAGAATGTGACTGTATTTGAAAATAGGACTTTAAAGAGGAAATAGTTAAAATGAGGACATTAGTCTGCACACCAATCTAATTAGACTGATGTCCTTGTGAGAAGAGGAAATGAGGACCCACAGACAGGCATCAGGAATGCACACACCGAGGAAAGACCACGTGAGGACATGGCGAGAAGGTGATCATCTGCCAGCCAAAGAAAGAGAGAGGCCTCAAGAAACCAAACCTGCTAACATCTTGATCTGAGACCAGCAGCCTTCAGAACCGTGACAAAACGAATTTCTGTTGTTTAAGCCACCAAGTCTGTGGTATTCTGTTATGGCAGACCTAGCAAACTAATACATAACCGTGTTACCATTATGACAACCAATAATCTTAATATGGATACAATAGCATTGCCTAATATACAGTCTATGCTCAAATTTGTCTTTTATTGTAGTTTTTAATTCAAGTTTTAATGAAGAATCACTCATCGCAGTTGTTTTTCATCTCTTTCACCTATTTTAATCTAGAATAGTTTCCCTACCATTCCTTGCAGACATTGACCTTTGAAGAATTCCAGGCTAGATAAAATGCCCAAGGATATAGAATTGTCTTTTTGTTTCATCGTGGTTAGATTTGGGTTACATATTTGGTGATACTACACAGGCAATATTGGTAGTTTTCATGCATGCCAGAGGAAGCATCAGGTCTGCTTGTTCTCTAATTGGTGACGTTAATTTTGATCACTTGCTTAACTGACTATTATCCAGATTTGCCTCTGTAAAGGTAACTTTCCCTTATATTAGTTAATAAGCCATCTGTGGAGTGATATTTTGCGACTATATGAACGTTCTCTATTTTTTAGAACATGTCACCCATTGATTTCAGCATGTATTAGTGTTTCTTGACTGGATCAAAAGCATATATATTGACAATTGGAAGTAATGATTTTCTACATCTAAATTTCTTAGAAATTTATTGAAAGCATTATTTCCTAAAGAAGAGCTTTTCCTTGTGATTTGCCTATTTCTTTAATTACATTAATTTCACTTCTACTCAATGAGTCTCTTTCTATTAATGTGTCATAACCCATTACTATCATTATCCTTTTTGATGTGTAAATTGTTCAAAATTGGATCAGTTAGAGTTCCTGGACCTTTTAAGTTTTGGTTACATAACACAAGGCCCAATACAATAAGCATATATTTAAAAGGTAAAAATAAAAACATTTAACTGAATTGAACTAATGAGGATATTTTAAGGAGGTTAGTATAATATTTGTGTGTGTGTGTGTGTGTGTGTGTGTGTGTGTGTGTGTGTCAGTCAAGAACAAAAGAAAAGCAATACAAAGAAAAAGTCTGCACAAATAGGTCATATGAGGATCACCACATTGCTCAGTGGTCCTGCAAGGGAAACCAACGATGAACCAGCCCATTTGATTCAATCCATCTCTTCATGCACAGACACCCTCAGAAGCCAGCCAATGGAAGTTCCTTCAGCACAAAGCAGGATGGTATCAAACATACCAATCACCAGAAGATTGCTTATTGCTCTGCACACCAATGGTTCCATTGCTGCCAACAATACATAATACTTGTGGAAATGAGAAGGAACATATTGGTGGTTGTTGAAATGGGCTAGAAAAAAAGTGTTTGCAGAAAGTAGGCATCCCACTTACATAGCACTGATGGTAAATATAGGCCTGTGGCGGCAGCAATGTAGATTCATCAATCTGAGTTTCAGAGAAATAGAATGTGGACTAGAGTTGATGAAACCAGTTGATTGTCTCCAAACTTTCATTCCTTGTAAATAAAGTAGACTGAAGTCTATTCATTCAGAAATACTAGTGAGTATTATGCTGGTACCCAGGACATACTGTACTAGGATGATGTTCATTCCTTCTGATTTGTGGTCCGTCTTGTGCTCCCTTTCTTCCCATCTCCAAGTCAGCCTATCGGACCTGGAGCAGAAAGCAGCAAGGGAATACATGGCGGTCCTACCAAGACTTTCTGTCAGGAGGGAACATCTCTCCATACAGGTTAGAACCCCTAAAACAGATGTATCCCACCTATGTAATGGTTACTTTCAATATCTTAGTGCAAAATTTACAAGCATTTTTACGCAGATGGGGGCATATTCACCTACTTCAGGTTAATCCAACCTCCAAATATTCACACAGCACCTACTAGGAGACAGCAATGTACAATAAGCAAAAGCTAGACAGGTGAAAACAACACACAGTTCTGCCAGCAAGGAGGTCAGACAGTATTAAGAGATCATTCATTCAAACAAACAATTAGTACTCAAGATGAACATGGCTCTAAACGGGAGATTCCTAACATCTGCTAGAGGAAATCAAGGAAAACTTTACAGCATGATGCTCGAGTGGAAACTTGAAGGGCAAGTAGGAGTTTGCCGGATCAATTTAGAATGAGCTAGAGGTGTCTGCGAAATGCAGAGAATGACTGACCATGCAGAACTTCAGACACTAGTTTACAGAGCTACTACTGTGGATGAGATGCTGAAGCCTTTTCACATATGCCTCATTTGTTGTCTCAAGCTTTTTATAAGTTAGACATTATAATTCTTAAGAAAAGTGAAGCTAGAAGAAATTAAGTGATTTGTCCAAAATGAAATAATATGGAATAGAGCACAACTTAAATGTGGTTTTCTATTCTAAATCCAGTTATTTTTCTATTCCAAAAACTGCTTTCCTGGTAGGGGGAAGAAGGGTACAAAAAGACATTCTTTTTTTTTGAACATGTTTACATAGATGGGAATTTGGCTTTAGGTAGCAGTGTTTGAATTTTGTTAGTTATGTACAATAGAAATCCTAATATAATCCAGTAAGAAGTATTGGAAGGGACTCTTATTGCACGAAGTAATGATTTTTTACATCTAAATTTCTTAGAAATTTATTGAAAGCATTATTTCCTAAAGAAGAGCTTTCCCTTGTGATTTGCCTATTTCTTTAATTACATCAATTTCACTTCTACTCAATGAGTCTCTTTCTTTATAGAAGCAGGTTTATTGAACCTTTTCAAACCCTAAAAAGTGAAATAAAAACTTAAGGAAAATGTACTGTTCTAACGTCACATTTTTTTCAAAGTCCTGCTTGAAAATGACGGCTTGAGACCAGGAGATTTACCAGAGAAACACACCTGAAACGTGGCTGTGGCAGCTAAAAATCTTTTGTGTGTTCGGGGCCACAGGCAGATATTTATGATACGGGTGAGGCACTTATATTTCCTCCAAGAGGTCATATGCCATAGGATGACTACTATCATTTGCCTTTGTCAGTTGGCAACATTTATTGAGTGCCTACTCTGTGGAAAACACTATAATAGGTGCTGCTGGAAACTGCAAGGTAAATCGAAACCATGGTTTCTGACCTTGTCTCAGGCACTGTCAGAAAGAGAAAACAGCACTAGGGTGCTTCAAATGGGAAAATAAACTTATTGGTCCTTTAAATCGATGTCAAAATGGCTCAGGATATTATGTTTTGCCTTTGCAACTTATGCTAGAAGATAACACCCAAGGGCTGTGAGCAGCTTGATGCATAGCCCTCTGAGATAACATAAAAGGGGTTTTTCTGGACCTTAAAAAAATAAAAACAAACAAAAAGTCATACATGTTATATCTTTATCAGTATTATAAAGCTTTTTCATGACTTTTATAGATAGTCTCAGAGAAAATGGAGTAACATAAAAGACTTCCAACATTTTAAGTGACTACCTGGAAATATTCTTTCAACATCTGGGTATCCTTAGAATGTTACGCAGCCATGTGTAGCCTCAAATCCATTATAGTTTGAATAGAAGACTAATAGCAGCAACAATATACACAGCCACCCTTCAGGCACAGCGGGCTCTTATTTCTGGAGGCTAAAGTCTTCGTATTGTTTTTTATGATTTCAATTCTTCTCTCTCAGTGCATGAGTTCACCTCATTTTACTATCAAATTCCATTCCTTTTCCACCAGGCAAAATTTGTGTAATTGTTAGGACCAATTCTGAATTTCCCAATGCCAATATTTGGCAGATATATTCTTTTGTTATCTAGATCTGTATCGGAGAGTAATTAAAAACTTAGCAATGAAAATATACTATTTTGGATAGTATCTGAGAAAATGTAACATAAAGCTGTTCATGTAAATCATTCTGAATCCAGAAAAATGAAAATTGTGTTTAACAGGAAAATTATAAGCTTCCCATTCTGTAAGTATTATATTAGTTTTATATTCTGAATTGGATCTAGGTTTAGCATGCTACCACTGTGCATAACTGGGGTGCATCCCACTGGGGAAACTTTAGGAATCTGGGTAAAAAACACACCTCAGAATTATCTCAGTTAAAGAATGAGGGAGTTGGGATATTTATATACTACCTCCCATCGAACCAGTAAAGGGAAGCTCTTAGGGTTAATTGTCTACCATATCTGGGCTGCCACAGGGCAGCAAAGGAGTCTACAGCTGTAAGAGACAGTGCTTCGCCAAAGAAGAATAGGTGCTGGCAGTTGGAAGTTGGGTCAATGTTCACCAAAGAAGTGATAACAGCAAAGGGACATTTTTGAAACACCTGTAGTGCCTCCAAGAATATGATAGTGAAAAGGGTTATATTCTTCTAATCAGGATATCCTAAGGAAGAATTCAGAATAGGGATACAAATTAGGTGCCCAAGTGTAATCAACTGGGAGTGCACTCCTCCCCATTAGGGTCCTGTGTGGAAAGGCTCTTGGGACCTTCTTCAGGGCCAGCAGGACATACTTGATTTGTAATGTTGGCCAAGAACCCAACAGGGGGTTAGTGTTGATTGATTTGCATATACGTTTCATCCTTTTTCAGAAAATCTCCTAAATTCATATGTGGTTAGTTTATCAAGAATAATAATCTATCAATTTAATGATTATAGAAAAATAGTAAAAATAAAAGCAAAAAGATTACTATGACTAAGTGGCTATAAATACTGGATGAAAGCTAAAATCATGAACAGATCTGGAAATTTCTGTCCTTTCTTGTATTGAAAAACTTCTGTAAGCAGAATAAGTTTTGTAAAGGTATAAAATTGAACTTCTTATAAAACCTACAGGCAATGAACTATTTTCTTGCTCTAAATTGTAGTTTATTATTACCAAAGAGCTAGAACCGTGACAAGATGCTAGCTTTTTGAAAAATATCTTTAGCATAGAAATGTCAGAAGTCTTTATCCAACAGTTTCAACATTCTACATTTCTCTTATGCAGATTTTATAGATTTGATGATTCCTGGCATGAAAGTAAGTTGAAATTCAACTTCTATTTTATGTCAGGTTAGAACTCATTAAATGCAAAGTGATCTACATGTCCATGAGAAGGAACTTCATCTACTTTAATGAAGTTCTTACTTTACTAAAACATTAAATGAAATGTTTTGAAGCTGCTTCTCAGTCACTTTTTTTAAAGGTTCATTCAGTTTTTATTAGTATCTAGGGGTAGGAGGTGGAGTGAGTGTAGGCTGAATTATTCATGCCATCATGACACATATTTGACATATGAACTACTTGTACTGATAAGAAGATTTGACTGCAAATATCAAAGATGAAATGTAGGAAGAAATGATAAAAGGTTGTATTTCTAGTGTTTTCAATTGTATTATTTCTAGTTTCTGATAACATTAATTTTTAAAGTAAAAAAAGGCAAGTCAATTATGTCTGGAGGACAGTAGTTAACTAGAGTTGCTGGATACATGAAGTTTGGTCAATTATCATTTTCTTCTCAAATCAGGAATCTCAATTTGTTTGTGTTTCCCACACAATGAAGATGGAATAGAAGAGTATAAAAAAAGATCAGATAAAGAGAGAGAGAGAGAGCAAAGCCAGTAATGGAGGGATTTGTAGGCCATTTGAAGGACTTTGGCTTTTGCTCTGAATGAAAACAGAGAGCTATTGGAAGGTTTTGAGTAGAGAAGTGACAAACAGAAGTGATTTACTTACGTTTCAAAAGGATCAAGGGTGGTGTTAGGGAGACAAGAGGCTATCAAAATATTAATAATATTATTCAGTGTCATTTTGTTAAAATAATGATAAAAAACAAAAACAACAACAACAACAAAAAACATTGCTTCCCGGCTGGGGCCACTGACTGTGTGGAGTTTTCACATCCTCTCCACGTGCACAGTGATTTTCTCCAGGGACTCGTTTCCTCCCACATTCCAAAGTTGTGCACGTGAGGTGACTTGGCATGTCTAAATTACCCAAGTCTGAGTGACTGTGGGTGTGTCTGAGTGCATCCTGTGAGGGGATGGCAACCTGTCCAGGTTTGGGTCCTGCCTTGGGCCCTGAGCTGCTGGGATAGGCTCCAGCCACCTGAAACACTGAGCTGGAATAAGGAAGTTGGAAAATGAATGAAGGAATACAAATTATTATAAAATAAACATCTGAAAAGTCTATGATAATCATACAAATGTCAGACAATAAACAATGAGAAGCAAAAGTACACAGCAAGGCCACCATATTTGTGACTGTTGTTGGGCTCTGTGGTGGTAGGAGGTACTTCTTACAGTTTTCACTTTGCAAATATTTATTCTTTGATTTAACCCATCACCACTATGACTGCTGCCACTCACTGAATCACCAAAAATTGGGTAAATATCTTTTTATTAACTTTTCATAAATGTATGTATAGCTCACATTTATTTCAATGTTTAATATGAGAAGTATTTGGAATCTTTATTTAGAAGTTTGTTGATATTTTTGTAACCAGAAATATGCTATGCTAACTCTTGTTTATATCAATCAGCTTATGACAAAATTTGTTTTGTTATATGTTGCTGTTTGGCTTAAAGTCTTAGTTTCCAAAAACCAGTTGACAATAGTAAGTGCTGATTTACTGCTGGCAAAAAGATAATGATGGCTTCAACCAAAGAGTTATAGGTAATGAGGGTAGCCCATTGGACACTGTATATTTTGAAGTTATGGTGAGCATAATTTGCTGATTTATTGGATGTAAGAAAGAGAGGAATCAAGGGTTTTGGCTGACATCATGACAATGAGTTACTGTTACTGAGCAGGGGAGTTCCAATTTGGACTTATTAAGTTTGTTATGCCTGTTAAATATCCAAATAGAAATGTTGACTATATGTTTGGATGTACACATCTGAAAGTCAGGGAAGAGGTCCAGGTATAAGATAAAAGTAGGAAGTAATCACCTATAGCTGTTATTTAAAGCCATAAGACTAGATGGGTTCACCTAAAGATGAATAGTAGACAGAATAGTGTTAATGAAGGATGAACCTAAAATATTTCACAGTTTGCCAGTGATGGATGTAATAAAAGAAAATAAAACCACACAGGAAGCTGTGATGGTACAGCTAATGAGATAGAAACAGGGCCAGGATCAAGTGGGGTCCCTGAAGTCAAGTGAAGGAAGTGTTTCAAGGAGGAGAGAGAGTGATCAACTGTGACAAATGTTCATGAGAGTTCAAGCGTTCGAGATGTGAAATGAAAATGGATTATTGTATTTAGACATACTCAGCTTATTGTTAACCTCGATAAGAGTAGTTGCATTGGAGAATCAGGGGAGGAAAATAATGATTTCAGTGGTTTAGGAGAGAACTGGATAGGAGAAATTGGCATTGAGTATAGATAGTCTGTGTAATGAATATTTCTGTGACACAAAGAAGGAAAAAACAAAGAGGCTGGAGAGGAAGGGAATATGGAGTCAAGACTTTTTTGTTGTTTTTTTTTTGTTAACACATTAGGGGAAATTATGGCACGATAGTCATCTATGGGAATGATAAATAGAGAAAGGAACAAATAATGCAGTAAAAAAAGATAATTATATTTTTAAGTAGCCAGAGAGAGTAGAAGGAAACTCATGGATAAAGGAAGAAACTGGCTTTAGATAGGAGCCTGGAGAGTGCACTCAAGGTAACAGGAATGAAAGCAAAATATTTTATGTTCAATTGAGGTGGTTGCACATGGAAGTCCTCGTCTGTTGCACGTATTTTCTCACTGAAATAATAGGGGCAGGTCATCAAAGGAGAATAAAATGTGTCAAGGAGGTGAAGGATTGAGAAGGAATGGTGTAAAATAGTATAGCGTAGAAGGAATAACAGATTGGAATAAAATATATAGTAGAATTTCTGGGCTATAATATTGTCCACTTGGAGAATAAAGTTTAGCAATTTAAAATGAGAACAGTGAAACACTGTTGTGTTTTGCTTGCTGTTTGTTTGTGTGTTCCTTCCTCTGTTGGAAATTAACTGCCTGCTGTGCAAACACAGAGCTGTGGAGAGTTAGATTTAACCAAGTTTGTTGTTGTCTGAACAGAATAGAATAAAGAAAAAGATGAGTAAGAGAGCTGAGGGTGTGAGTAAAATAGATAAATCTGTGACTGAAAAAAAAAACAACAATTTTTTTTTGACAGAGTTGCTTTGTCGTCCAGGCTGGAGTGCAGTGACGCAATCTCTGCTCACTGCAACCTCCACCCCCCGGGTTCAATCAATTCTCCTGTCTCAGCCTCCCAAGTAGCTGGGATTACAGTTGCCCACCACCATGCCTGGCTAATTTTTTTGTATTTTTAGTAGAGACAGCGTTTCACCACATTAGCCAGGCTGGTTTCCAATGCCTGACCTCAAGTGATCCGCCCGCCTTAGCCTCCCAAAATGCTGGGATTACAGATATGAGCCACCATGCCCAGCCAATTTATTATTAATATTTCAAAAGTTTCATTACGATATATTTCTAGAGAAAAAGATACAGATAGTAAGAATTGAACTTAACAAGATCCTCAAAGGAAAAAGTAATAAAGAGAAGGCAATAAGGTGCATTATAAAGGTCTATGGCTATTTACACACATTCTCATACCTATGTGATGGATCAGGAGACTTCTAAGTACTAAATATTCTTTAAACAAGTTTTAAATTGACATTTTGTTTATTCTAAAAATCTAAAATATTAAATGGCACTAAATATAAACATAGTATTTTAACCTTAAAATTTGAAAACAATTTTCTTACCCAAACCTTATAACTATATTATTTAAAAATATGTTTATTAAATAAAATGTTTAAACTTTCAGCTTTAAACCATCTAATTTTAGTGTTTAAGGGGGTCTTAGAGCAAAACTGTATTCCCATCCGGCTTCCAAATTTTTGAAATGAGGTAGGGCACAAAGGATTTTAAGTGACATACTTAAAGCTACACGAGCAGGAGACCAGCAGCTAGATCTTCGGCATATGTTACTGACCTGTGTTCATAATAACAAAATAAGTAATTAAAACCATTCAACCTTTCCCACTGACCTTTCTGGGCTAAAGAATATTCTTCTCTAAGATGTGGCATTGCTAAATTATGCATCACACCTCTCTCTCTGTTGTTCTGATCTAAGCTGAGGAAGAACTTCATTACAATAGGGTCAGCCTCTCAGGCCATACAGCTGTTGTCTAGAAACTCAAGGAAGAATTTTAAGTTTAAAAGGATAGAAGCATTCGCTAAGGATAAAGTTAAGCTCAGATTCAAGCCATTCAATGAAATCGGAAACAATTGCAAAACAACTATGGTGAAGAATGACTGACAACCCCTGTTACGGTTTGAATGTGTCCCCCCAAAAACATGTGTTGAAAGTTTGATCCCCAGTGCAACAGTGTTGAGAGAGTGGGGCCTAGTGAGAGGTGACTAGGCCAAGAGGGTAAAGTGAATGAATGAATGCCATTATTGCAAAAGTGAATTGATTGTGAAAGGCAGAATTTAGCCCCCTTTTACAATTGCTCTCTCTGTGCTTTTTATCTCATGATGACACAGCAAGAAGCACCTCACTAGACGATGGCCCTTCAATCTTGGATTTTTCAGCCTCCAGAGCTGTGAGAAGTAAATTTCTATTTATTAAAAATTACCCAGTCCCAGGTTATCTGTTATAGCAGCACAAAATGCACAGACTCCCACCATAAGAGAAAGAGGCAGTTTTTTGGAGGAAAAGCTTTGAGCAGATCTTATAAGATGTCAGCCCTAAAAGTAAGCCATGTGATAGGTTCTCTTTAGAGAAACAATGTGAGTTACCAAAAAGCAAGCTTTTTGCAAAGGGTAGTAATCGTAATGAAGTTTATAATGAAGATATTGTCATATTTGGACATGATAGAAAAAATATACAACATACATTAAGTTCCCCTAGAATTTAATTTTTTTTTTTCTAGAGGAAACTCAAGGAATTCTGCTTGTGGTATGCTTTCACTAGTGTCTTTCATTTCTATCTTATCTTTACTCTCTTGATTATATTTAGTTCTGTTCAATTTCAATTCTTAACCTAAAGTACATAGAGTTATTATTATTATTTTTTTATATATATCCTAGTTGTACTATGGTACAATTAAGAACTCTCTTTGACAGGTTTTCAAGTGGCAACAAGAGCACCTGTTCTCAACATGAATGTGATTTGCCTGTGCCATCCAGCTGCCCTTTGGTCTTGCTTGTTTCAGCAGGTGTTGCTGGCTAGGCAGGTGTCTGCGTATTGGTTCCCTCCTCCATCTGATATTCATGTGCACTGCTCATGAGAAGGCCTGCAAACATCAGTACATTCTTCCCAGATGGAGGAGGACTATTTGGTCAATAAGAGATATCAAACAATTGTATCTTTTACATTCCCCAAACTATTCTACTATACCGTATTCTCATTTTTTTCATGATTTATATATTAATATATATTCATATATATCATAAATGTCAGTAACTGCTAGACATTTATTTACTGATCATTTTCTGTGCTATTTGAAGATGAGAATTCAATTTAGACTTGGATCTTGAACGCTAAATATTTCTTTCCTATTATACTTCCCCATGCCAAATATGTTATAATAAATTAGGTTAGGATAAAGGTTATTAAACTTTGTATAAGAACAAAGGCATTACAAACACCAAATCAGAGAGTGTATTTACACAAAAGAGTGTGCTTCTTCTTTTTCCCTTTCAAAAACCTTTTATTAACTGTAAATCCTCGGCCAGGCGCAGTGGCTCACTCCTGTAATCCCAGCACTTCGGGAGGCTGAAGCAGGAGGATCACTGGCGGTCAGGAGTTCAAGACCAGCCTGGCCAACATGGTGAAACCCCGTCTCTACAAAAAATACAAAAATTATCCCGGGATGATGATGCATGCCTGTAATCCCAGCTACTGGGGAGGCTGAGGCAGGAGAATCGCTTGAATTGCTAAATTATGTAACACACCTATCTGTGATTATGCATCACACCTGGGAGGCGGAGGTTGCAGTGAGCCGAGAACATGCCACTGCACCCTAGCCTGAATGACAAAGACGGGGAGAGGGGGAGAGAGAGAGAGAGAGAGAGAGAGAGAGAGAGAGAGAGAGAGAGAGAGAGAGAGAGAGAGAAAATAAATAAATACATCTTCAGGAACAAGATTAGTTGTATGGTCAAGTAACATTTTAAATGTAAAAAAAATTAGGCTTTGTTTTTGATAACATACTACCATATCTTTAGATCAATATGTACTTTGTCTTATGAAATAAGACCTGTAAAAAGAAATACACTTCCGGAGGCCTGTAGAAAGTGTGTAGTTAATGACAGGTCACATGAAGTAAGGTCAGAAAGAGATTAAAGTTGGTCCTGCATTGCCAACAGTCCAACAGAAAATTTCTGTAGATTAAACACATATTCCTTAAAGAGGCGAGCCGTTCCTTGCTAGTCGCTTTTTGAGGATAGGCACATTGGTAAAGTATTAAAATCCTGAATCTCCTAGCATAGCAGCTGACACACTGTGGCTCTTAATAAATGTCTGTAGAGTAATTAAGAGCTATTTGTTTCTGTATATAATACATGTTTCTTGATTTTTTAATTTTACATGATTACAGAGTTAATCATTGAATTCTGCTCAAAGTTGACATTTTAACAACAAATGGAGAATCTATGGTAATTTATGCTCACTCAGAAGACTATGTTCTTTCATGAAATTTTTAAAACAAACAAAAATCTCTGTGCACTGACAAAATAATAATTTTCAAATGCTGAAACTTTTGAAGTTTCTCTAATACCTATCATTTTCTCTACCAATTACCAAAAGCTTCTATTAAGCAAGTATCTGTGAACGGATGCCACTTCAAAGAGGGGGAGTAAGAAAAAGAGAAAAAGGAGTAGAAACAGGAAAAACGGGAAGACAAAGAACAAAGTTGGGGTAAAGAAAATGGAAAAAAGAAAACAAAACTAAATTTACTGAATTGGAATGTTAATTTTAGAAATGTTTTATAGCCATTTTCATTTATCTTGTCTACCTTCTACAAACTTAAATTTAAAATAGTGGAAGCAACTTGCCTTTTTAAAATAAAATTTTAACATTGTTAAAAATTAGAGATTTTTCCTCCATTCACATAATAGTGTGAAATGTCAATTTTCTTGAAAACTACAGAACATAAAATGGATATGTTTTCATGTTTCTTCATTACAAATAGATTGGCTTATATCATACAAATTATTACAGTTCTCAAACTCTTTTCTAATTCATAAATGAAAAAGATAAAATGTATTATATGAGGAATGTTGTGATTGTTAATTAGGTTAACAAATTAAGTGAGCCTAGAACTATGTTTGTAAAATAATTGTCAATGAATGGTAGTTGCCATCTGCTAAATATTTTTATTTTAAAAATCTATGGTGAACAATGGTAATAATTCACTTCATGGCCTCAAGCAGACAATACAGCTTTGTTAAGCCTTCCTTTCTCCAACCTTGAAATGATCATAATAAAAAGTGCTTCACACTTCATATGATTCTTGTGAAAATCAAGTGAGATAAATATGAAAGCCTTTTGAGAATTATAAATCTATATTAAAATGTAGCAGGACATCAGAAACTAAAATGTGTCTCTACTTTCTATGGTCCTGATTCAAACTATATGGTATCTTTTAAATTGGTTGTAAAAATACTGGTATAACAGGAAAATAAAATATCATATATGAATTTGAACAGAAAAAAATGGTTATTATTCAAATATCTACAGCATATTCAATTATACCCTGCAATCATCTTTGTAAATACTAAAGTGCTTCTTTGAAATCAGCTAATGTGAATTTCTATTTGGATAATTATTGTATAATGTGAAATGTCACTGTTTTTATTATGTAAAAGTAAGTAATGGTAGTAGAACATTAAAGATATTCAAGAATACCCTTAGCACCACTGTTTCCCTATAACTGACCCTCAGACCTCTCAATTGTTTTTCTTCAGGCTGTGAACTCCCAGTCTGGCATCTTAGCTTACATGAGGACCTCAGAGTTCAGTGGTCTATGATGATTAAAGGGGGAAAAATTCATATATTTAGTATCATGTTCTCTTTATCTGTAGATTGACTGATTGATTTGGAGACGGAGTTTCACTCTTGTTGCCCAGGCTGGGGTGCGATGGCACGATCTTGGCTCACTGAAACCTCTGCCTCCCAGGTTCAAGTGATTCTCCTGCCTCAGCCTCCGAAGTAGCTGGGATTACAGGCATGTGCCACCACACCCAGCTGATTTTGTATTTTTAGTAGATATGGAGTTTCTCCATGTTGGTCAGGCTGGTCTTGAACTCCCGATCTCAGGTAATCCGCCCGCCTCAGCCTCTCAAAGTGCTCGGATTACAATTAATATTTTTAATAGCCATTAAAATGTCTCATTAAGGCTTTTTAGCTTCCTTAGTTCCAAAACATTCAAAGGCCACAGAAAAAATTAAGGATTATTTGACTGCAGGTAAAAGCATAAGTCTAGGGGACATGGAAAATTATAATCTCCAAACATGCCACAATTGTAAAAATATTAATATTCTAAAACCCACTTTTAAAGATTTAATGCCAAAGGACTTGTCTAAATACAGCACTAAACACAGTGTCTCACCCATAATTGGCTTTCAGTAAATATTTGTAAATTTTTCTCTGCCTGAAAAAAACTCTTAAAATAGCCTTTTTTCCTTACAGGAGTAACTCTAAAATGCAAGTAAAGCTTATGAATAGATCAAGCAATTTAGACCACCACGTTAATTTCTTTCTAGTGAAATATTTTTAAATCTTTGGTTTAAAAGTGATAAACAGTAATTTAATTGTGGATATGACAAGAAGTGGACAGGACTTCCTCTAATATCTCAACTCCCAAAGCACAGAGACTAGATGGACGTCAATCTTTCAGTTCTCATAGGGCAATGAGGATAGATTTTACAACTTTTTGCCAAAGCATGTATGAGTGCATACACACACAAATGTGCACACGTGTGTTTGGACATGCACATCTCTGCACACTTGCACACATGTCTGCACACATAGACATCTACATGCACATATACACATTCACACAACTCTTCTTCCTAGGATTAGCTTACCTAAACTGTTGCTAGTAAAAACCCAACAACAAATGAAAACTAAGATCTTTACAACCAGATAGAACCCTGGAAACTATTCCACATGTGTAGTAAAAGAGGGCTGTCAACTAAATATAGGAAATCTGGTGTATTGATATGTTTTGAGTTCCACCCATATTTTTGAGTTTTCTTTCAGGCCCATTTGTATTTTCTATAGTTTTTAATAGTATTAGTTGACACTTTTTTGAAACCTGAATATTACATTGATTATCTAATTATCACATTCTGAACCCTGAATGGGTAATACTATTATTCTATTTTACCAACAAAATATATTAACTCCCACTTAAATGACATTGTCTGAATAATGACCTCTATTTTTCCTTTCTATCCTAGTGGGAAGCATCTACTCTGGGAGTCTGTTTCAAGATCTCTTATCCTGGATTTTATATCTCTTATTGCTGAACTCCCCAAAATGAAGCCAAATGACAAGATGTGAAACCTAATATACCAGACTTTAATAGCTCACAGGGGGAAATACAAAGAAATCCTTAGTACTAACACTTCTGAGTTCAGAGTAAACTCTGCCATGGCAAGCACAGTGCCTAGCACATTGTATAATAAATACTCAATAATCTCAGGTAACAGAATGTTGAATGGAGCTTTTCTTTGACCTTGAAATTAGAAAATGGAGCTCACAGCAAATTCTAAAAAGAGCAAGAAACGGTTGGGGCAGACCTCTAACTGAGGACATCCTACAAGGATTGCAAATAAGCCTTATTTCCCTCAAACACCTTTTCCCTGTCTCCATCATAAAGAGGGCTAGAAAGTGTTAAGAAGGGGTCAGTAGAAATCACTGGGATCACCATGTTGATGGAAGAAGTTATTCTTTCTTACCCACTGGCAAGAACAGGGAGTATGTCCCTTTCCTTTTAAAGACAAGTGAGGTAGAGATATCTCAACAGAATCACTTATAAGATGTGGGGTACCTAGAAGAAAGGAAACCTGGCCTTTTATTCCTTGGATGAATGTTTGTTGAACTGGAAACCTGTAGGTCCACTGAGGGTTTGCTGTTGGAATAGTGTGGAGCATGGTGAAAGATTCTTACGGAGCTGGAAGTGTTGCCCCTGATGCTTGGGAGTAGACATGAAAACAGATTTGTACTTGTGTCTCCACTAAGATAGCTAAGACAGAAGGCCTGCTAAGGCTTCCATGATATAGTATGCCTGGAAAAACAACATGGAGAACCCCCCATCTAAAATCCCCTAGTAAAGTTGTTCATAAAAATTTTTTCCAAGAGTACAGAAAGGGTTTCTTAAAGTTGTGAGATTCCTTACAAAGAGAATTGGAGGTAAGAGGGGGTAGACAAAAGCCTTGGACATACCATGCAAGGCCGTGAGTGTCAAACCCCCATGAGACGAAGCAATGATGTTATTCCTCTCTAGAGGAATGCTCACTGACTTGGAAGATGCCAGGAAGACTCAAAAATCACCAGAAGAAAATAAAGCACCTTTGCAGAGATCATGACATTGTCGGAGACAACTACCCAATGTGAAACCAGATCAAGACAGAGCAGGACCAGGGAAGACTCCATGCCATCAAGGGATGACTAGCTCTGTAAGAACCATGCTTTCCTTGTCTCCCCACATAATACTTCCTTTACAAGGTACTAGTGTAGGAAAAGAAGTGAATTTGTGGACTATGCCCATCTCTATCTCACCACTCTAAAGCCACATGAGTCTATTATACTGAATAAAGGGAAAAGAAAGAAGTTTAAATATAACATGAAACTGTAGTTTTAGTTTAATAACATAGGGTAACTGAGAAAAGCATAGGATCTTCCTAATACATTAATAAGAGAATAAAAGGGCATATTTGACATCACATGGTTGAATTTAGGAATCAAAAAATAATAAAACCGATTTATATTTATATCTTACTCAGGTGATACTGCTTAATAAATTGTGTATTTGAATGAATGAGTGAAATATGAGTGCACAGATATGTTGGTAAGTAAATGGCAACATGAAAGAAAGATTTTTTTCTTATATTAGCCTTTTTCAGGATCTTCATTTTAGAAGTTGCTAGGGAGCAATAATGTTAGTTATTACTTTTCTGTAAACCCACGGCATTAATAAATGCTGTTCTGTTATCTAAACCAGACTGAATTTAATTTATCCCAGATTCCCCATTTGCCTTGGTATCTCTTCAATAGGGAGAAGCATGCTTTCACATAGTGAAAATGGTACAGCATATCAGTTTCACAAGGTTAAAAGTTTCTGTAGTCATGACTTTAAATGCATTTCACTGAATTAGATGAGATGACACACAACAGATATAACGGAGATTAAGTTCAGAATCACAAAGCTATGAACTTATTTGGTTATCCAGTATTATACAATTTATGGGGAAAGAATGTATATAGAAATCAAAGCTACATTTTAACGGTAGAAATGCCAAAGTTTATGGTTGCTTATACAGAGCTGGATCAGGGATCCAAGCCTCTCCACTCCCAAGTGTGCCTGTATTCTTCACCCTTAGTGGTAGTAGAACCTTATGAATTAGAATTAGCCAAATAGGATATATATCATTAGTTACTTTGTAAATCTCATATAATGATAATCATGACCATAGAGCAACACAGGCGATATACCTCTAACATAAACTTGTATTTAGACTCCTCTGTTTATATTGTACAGGTCATACTATGAGCCTAATCCTGAAAAGTTTTTTCGAGGTTAACCCTCATTGTACATCACTTCTGTCACTGGGAACAGAGCAAATTAGGGAGGAAAGGGATTATTGCAGCGACAAACATAACCGTGCTCATATCTATCCACCTATATCGGGTTTCTTGCCACCATAACCATGATAGAATGAGCTCAGAAATCTTATCAGATTCTCCCTGTTGTCCACAACTGGTGCAAATACGGCCAAATGAAAGAAATTATACATGGCTGGTACTCATTTGTTGAGAAAAATATTTAAAAAGGCACACCAACTCAGGTCTCAATAATATAGGAAGATAGAAAAAAAAGGTACAACTATAACATAAACATCAGTTAATCCAAGAATGCTTTTATGTTGATAGGCCATAAGTGAGTTCTACCAAGATGATCTAAAATTACTATTTTATATACTTGAACCATTTAAATGGTTACAGTTACCCAGTTCAGTTTTTCTTGAGGATTACATTGAAAATATGATAATAAAAATTCTTTATTTATGAATTAGTAGTGAAACCCAAGTGAAATGTTTACTTCTTAAACATCAGCACCAATTGTGAATGCCAGCTATATTCTGATCCATTTCTGTTAATAACAAGATAATCTTTTCATCCTTATCCTATAATAAAGCAAACCAGAGGCAATTCTATTTTTATCATTTTATTTCAGTATTTATTGAAATCAAATTTTTGAAATATTTCTTACCTTGGTATTTTATGATCTATGCTGAAGTACATGTCAACAGTGGCTGTATTTGAGAGCCTGCTTCATCCATTTGATGCCAAAAAAAAAAGGTAACTCTAAATATCTTTTTAAGGATTATATGATTCACTTATATGACTGGAAAATTTCAAAACAACTTAGGATTTGTGAACATCATCCAGAGTGCAGTAGCATTCTTAAAAATAAATAAATAAAGCCTCTTTTTCTTTACAATAAAGGCAATAAACATAATTGGTTGTCAATAAAAGGGGAATTATTTAAAAGACTTGTTTTACGCAGTGTCACTGCTTGGCTGCTCACTCAGTGTGGTTCATTATATTGGCTTGTCTCACTTGTGGCAGCAACAGAATTCAATCTTGGCTTCATTTACAGATTGACTAATTAAATTGGGATATAAGTACATTTGCAGAAGCTGGGCCATAGCACACACATTCTCTCTCTCTCTTAAAAAGTTCAGCTGGTGATTGAAAACAAGAGGTAAAATTTTTCCATAAAGAAATGTGCACCTATTTACCAGTAGCTATGTTTTCTTTGCCAATAGACAACATTTTTGAATCACCAAGCTAATTCAATTCTTGCCAATACAACTGTGAAAAAAAAAGAAAATTAAGGCTGAAGTTTTTTTTTTTTAGAAGAAACCCCCTTTTTTAATAAAAATATTTACCAATACAAAAGGCCTATATAAGCAATATATAATAGATATATTATAAACACTGTTTTTAAAGTGCACAAAAATGCTGTTGGTTTCTGGTGGTTTTGGTTTTAGCAAAGTCTTTTTTCAAAGAGGTATTCTGAGGAGCAAATTATTTTGTACCAACCACATTTGGCATTGACACAAAGGCGTCAATTCTATTGAGAGCCATTTCTCCATGTTTTTCACGTTCGACATAATTTTTATTTTTTGTTTAGTTTCTTGCGGTAGTTTAAGGATTATAATGTTTTAATATATTGTTTGAGCTTATACGTCAACACTCTTTTGTCCTGGAATGTTAAAAATAGCTGCTTTTTAACTGGGTCAAACTTTTCTTAAAAAATAACATAGCATGCTGATATCCATGTGTGCTAAATGTTTAGCTCCCACTTCTATGTGAGAACATGTGGTATTTGGTTTCCTATTCCTGTGTTAATTTATTTAGGATTATGGCATATGTATCCCCTGTATCTAAAATAAAATTTGAATTTAAAATAATAGTAACATAGCAAAAAGTTGGGTAGGGGGACTTGTTTGAGATAAGACAATACAACTAAAAAAAACTCACAAAATTGTATGTAAATTTCTTAGAAAGACTTTGGAGTATGTCAACCAGACAACACTAAGAATCGTGACTGGTGGAACTATCAGTGCAATAAAGAAGATGACCTAGCTCTGTCATTTTACTGCTAAAACAGCAATAGTTTTAAAAATGACTTAATGCCTGTTGACTTATTTGAACATGAAATGAATGGAATAGTCTCTCTTATTGTGTTTCCTCTTCTCCGCTAGATTCAGTCTATAGTTCAGGTTTTATTTGGTCTATAGTTATTCTTAATTGGTTGCTGAAATTTAAAAATTGAACAGCAATGTAAAAATCCAGATTCATACTTTATCTTTAAAATTTCTAGAAAGCAAGGGTCTGAATTATTCCCAAAACAATAATCAGCTGAAATTAAGTTGCTGCTCCACCCTTCTGAATGAGAATGGTACTCCAGATTTGATATATTCTCCCCTTTCTGGATTTTCTACAGCTAATTTATCTCACTCATTAAAAACACCTGCCTGTCGTTAATATGATTATTGAGTCTATGATCTTTTCTACTGGCAGCAAAATGTATTATTAAGAGATCAATTCATGGAATAAGATCATGGACTCGAACCACTCTAAACCTCAGTTTACTCATTTATAAAGTGGTGGTATAGTAATAGCACTTGATTCATAAGGCTCTTATAATAAATAAATAATAAATAAATAAAATTGGCTTAGCATGATGACTGTATTATAGTAATATCCAATAAGTACTACATAATAATTGCTAACCATCAAAGTCTGCATTTATCATTTTGGAATTGTATTTCATATAGCTGGGATGAAGACAATCAGTTTTTGTAGATATCTCATGTCTCTATGGCCCTCTTCAAAATGTGGGGAAAAACTGACAGACCTCTTCAAATTATATGGATTTTATATATCCAGTTAATGTCTGATTTCAATCAACTTAGATACATGAATTTTTGGTGCTTTGGAGAAAACATGTATTACTTCAATGTAATTTTTTTTTTAGTTTTATACTTTTTTCTAGAAATCCAGACACTTTAAACCTGTGTGCTGTGTTTACTCTTACCATTTGTGAGTTATTGACTGACTTTTTAAAGAACTAATTTTTCTAGGCCCTATAGTTCAAAATAATACTGCAGCTTTCAGACTTGGTCTGCAGAACTTGAGTTGCGTTTCTGTTATAAGACGGAGAAAGCTTAACCTGAGCTATGTCAACATGTTCAAAAAAGCTGAGGAAGAAAATGCAGAGTATCTTGCTCTGGTTTCAATAATAGTAAACAGAATTTTATTGACCACCTGTCAAACTCTTTGGAAAAGTCATTGGATTCTTTATTCTCTGAAACAATTGTTTAGAGAATGCTATTAAATAACATAAATTGATGGACCTGGCTTTTCAAAAAATGTATACCTGTTTTGAATAAGAAATTTATAAAACTTACATTGGAATTAAAGTGATTTTCAAAATGTATTTTTTTGGTCATATGATAGCTATTGTTTTACTGGCATTTGTATATAAGTATTCAGAACTACAACAGCTAGCAAGGAGATCTCCAGAGGGACCACAATCATCCTCTTAAAAAAAAAGCTGGTCACCTTGAGAGCAGTGAAAGTTAAAAGTTGGGAGGAAATGGGAATCCACAGGGGGCCAAACTCTGCCAGCTGCTCTCTTCCTGTCCAGAATAGAAAGTTGCTTGAACACCAAGTAAGTTTCTAAATGGGTATTTCACCACTTTTAAAAAAATAAAACTCATGATTTGGTACTTCATCTCACTTTACTTAGAAACAATATAATTTAAAGGCTCAGTCTCATATGTGTAAAGCTGACAAAAATCCAAGGCCTTATCTTCTAACCAATTTTTCTGAAATTAAATATTTATGTCATCGACACTTCATTTTGTATTCTAAATAGTTTAGGGAATAGAACAAAAGCAATGATAGAAAATATTTCACTTTCGTTTTTTGGCTCCTAAAATGCCCCCCAAAAAACACTGAGCTAAGTAAGGAAAACACCTAGGTGCTTAAAACCAGATATTTTTAAATCATTTTCTAACTTTTGATCATGTAAGCATTCATGTACAGATTTAAAAATAAATAAATAAAAGTTATAACAAATTTCAGCAGAGTGAAGATCACCTGGTGACCATCAAGCAGGCCATCCAGAGACAAAACTCCTTATCTGAAGAATTCAGAAGTAAATAGACATGTCTGGAATGCATGCATATCCAAACTCAATTATGCAAACCTTGCTTACATTAAGACATCAAAATGTCTACAAATGTAATAGTTTATCATGACCTGTGCAGCTAATAGGTCCAAACTACTCATAAGCTCTGACTTTAGGGTCTGTAAATACCCCTAAGGAAAAATCCACCACAGGGCACTCACTCCTCTCTTACTAAGGAGCCCCGCTGAACTATTCTGTAGCGTTCTCTCTTTCCAATAAAACTTTCTTTTTCAAACATATACTGTCGTTGGTAAATTCTTACCAATCCACGAGTCAACCACTTTCGATGCCAGGGCTCTGACAAGTTGCTCAGTGATATTTATTACATGAGAAAGAATATTCCTAAAAATAATTTTATCATTTTCAAGAATGAGAGTTGTTTTGTGAATTGTGATATATGCAAGATAAACTAATTGTTTTTTTTTTCTTTGCATTGGTATTATGCTATCCTCTACTGAACCAATATATATATTCAGTGATTCTACTTTTTCTTTTAAATTGTATTCAATCACTTTTCACTGGACTTTGGAAATAATTCCCTAATAGTCTTCCTTATGTGATTTATAAAAAAAATAAAGAATAGGCAAAAAAGTAAAGGGTTCTATTCAGACTTTGGAAGACTTAGTAAATAATAGCATATCATTAAATTTTTTATGTGGTGTTTTAAATTATGGAGATAAAAATAAACTGCAGTTATATTTATAGGGTGATTTATGCACTATATAATTTTCAAAACAGAAAAATTTTAGTATCCATCTTTGAAAGATAAATTAAAAAAAACTTGGAAGACTATATTTAGGCTGGGCACGGTAGCTCATGCCTGTAATCCCAGCGCTTTGGGAGGCTGAGGCGGGTGGATCACAAGGTCAAGAGATCAAGACCATCCTGGCCAACATGGTGAAACCCTTTTTCTACTAAAAATACAAAAATTAGCTGGACATGGTGGTGTGTACCTGTAGTCCCAGCTACTTGGGAGGCTGAAGCAGGAGAATTGCTTGAACCCAGAAGGTGGAGGTTGCAGTGAGCTGAGATCGCGCCACTGCACTCCAGCCTGGCAACAGAGCAAGACTCCGTGTCAAAGAAAAAACAAGAAAGAAAGACTATATTTAAATTCCATTTGATTAAAGAGCACTAAAGCTGCAAGATTTTATAAGAAAATATACATTTTATGTGATTTTATTAAAAGTATTTCTTGAAAGATTGGTGGGAATTGAACAACTTCTGCTTGTGGCTGTAACTGATTATGATATGATCACAGTTTTATTTAACAATTCTTATCATTAGAATAGCAAAACACTATTATTTCTCAACGTGTATGTAACTAAGTGAAGTTTGCTATTTAAAATTGGTAAATCACACATTTTTAATACACAGTTGGAAAAAAAGTATGGTGCTACCAAGTACTCATTATATCAGCTTGAAAAGTGACAAATGTTCATTTTATTTTGTTTAAACAGAAAAATAGTCAATTAAAATAATACTAGGGGGCACTGGATTTTACTGACTATGCCTCAGAAAGCTAGCATTGATATTTAAGTCAACACTAAAGGAGGAATTGTAATCTGCATTCCTCCCAAGAAGTCCGTGTCATTAAATGTGTTTCCTTTAGAACTTCTTATATCAGAACTACAAAACTGGAAATAACAACAACAATCCAGAATCTCCAATAACCAGGAAAACTCTTTAAACAAGTAATGGTACAAGGTACAAGTTTAATAGCAAAGATATTTTAATCATTCAGACAAAAATATGTTTATAATCTGTTTCTTTTTTTTTTTTTTTTTTTTTTTTTTTTTTTGAGACAGAGTTTCACTCTTGTTGCCCAGGCTGGAGTGCAATGGCACAATCTCGGCTCACTGCAACCTCCTCCTCCCAGGTTCAAGCGATTCTCCTGCTTCAGCTTCCCGAGTAGCTGGGATTACAGGTGCCTGCCACCATGCCCAGCTAATTTTTTGTATTTTTAGTAGAGACACAGTTTCACCATGTTGGCCAGGCTGGTCTTGAACTCCTGACCTCAGGTCATCCACCCACCTCAGCCTCCCAAAGTGCTGGGATTGCAGGTATGAGCCACCGTGCCCGGCCAAAAATGTGTTTATAATCTAAACATATTTAGACATAAGTGACAAACCTAGGTCAGTCTAATACCATTGAATGAATAAATGTTAGAAAAATACTAAAAAAGTCTTCAGTATGAAGATAGATGTTTTGTAACCCTAAAATTCCATGACCTGACAAGATGTCCTTTATGTGGAAAGGTATGTGGGCCAAGCTTCCTTTGGGATATATTTAGTTGATAGTTTAAATGATAATAGCCCTTCTCTGAACTAACCCCCTTTTGTAAAACTAATGAAATACCACCAGGTTAGGAGTATGATGGGAACCTGAATTGTGCTAAGGTATAGGTGGAGTTATATGATTGTCAGCCATTATTCTGAGGTTGCAAGATTTGCAACTTCCACAATAATTCCTGTAAATAACACCACTATTGTAGAACCTAAGATTGGTCTTGTAAGATGTCTTTCTAGACTTCTGTGTTTCTGGCCACCTGATGGCCCCACCCAGAAGTGGACTCAGAAAACAAGGACCATTTTCCACACTTCTGTGACTGCATCCCCAACAAATCAGCAGCACCTATACCCTATGCCCCTGCCCACCAAGCTATGTTTGCAAAATTCAAGCCTCCAAATTTTGGGGGAGGCCAATTTGATTAATAATAAAACTTTGGTCTCTCATTAGCTACACTGTGTGAATTAAACTCTTTATTGCAATTCCCCTTTCTTAATAAATAGGCTCCATCTGGGAAGTAAGCAAGATGAACCCACTGGCAGTTACACTTCCCCAGTCTTTTAAAAAACATCTAAGAAATCAAGCAAAAATTAGATTGTTATACCAGGAGACAAAAGCCAAAAAGATTCATTTTTAGTTCTTTCACTTCAAAATAGGAATTAAGCAAAAATTCCTAGAGAAGCCTCAAAAGGAGGACTCAAACATAGTATAACAAAGTATGGAAAGACTAGTAGGAAAGAAGGAAGATCCTGCAACCCTGAGATGAGAGTTACTTGCCTAAGTGTAGGGAGGAGAAAGGGACTACAACCTTGCAAAAAAAAAAAAAAATACTTTGGAGGATAAGATCAAAAGATCAGAAAAAAAGGAAAGTGAAGACTGTCATGGCCAAAGCAGGAAGCTAAGCAGAAGGCTAAGGGAAGCCTATCCTTCTGTTACCTTTAGAGGGAGCACTCAGAATCACATTAAAAATGCAAATAAACCCTGTCAGCTTTGATAGTGGCTGAGGGCCTTCAATCAACAGCTGATTGCATATTGCTCAAGGCTTATCTGGTAGGATGAGTAAAGGTGCCCTGTGTGGACAGCTCAATAGCCCACTTAAGCCCAAACTGAGCCAGGGGCTGCAATGATGATATGAAAGGGAAAACTCCATACAGGAGTCAGAGAGTGGGGAAAACTACTTACATGAAAATAAAACATTCTTCAAACTTTCTGAACAAAATAGCATAGTTACCTAAGACAGCTAAAACTTAAAAAAAACAAGAAAGTAGCTAAATAAGTAAAATTACAAAAACCTCTCAGGCCTTAACACAATGCACATTCCAAATAATTTAGGGTATAGGGACATAGGCATTTCATGTGGGTGGGTCTACACATAAAGCCAAAGGATATAAATTTAATTTTATATCTTTCTAATTAATGTTAATATCCATAGAATATTCACAAAAATAGATTTATATTAAGCCAAAAAAATGCATAATATATTATCACAAACTAATACTGGGAAGGGAAAACTTTTCCTCTTCCTATTTAGGTTTAGTACCTAGGAGCTTGTGAATTAAACTGCCAAAGGACAGATTAACAAGAGAAGGAAAAGTTTGCTCATATGCGTATGAGGTCTACAAAGGAAGTGGTCCATTCAAGGGCTAATGTTAGGAGCTTATATATCTAATTTAATAGGGAAAAGCGAAGGTGGAGAAAAACCTTTATGGGAAGAACAGGAGAGTTTCCATAGGAAAGACAAATGGCTTTGTGGGAAAACAAAGACAAGAAAGTTTGTAATCATGATTTTTTTTTTTAACACAGGTGCAAGTGGTCTTTTCCATCTTGTTCATGGCCCTAAAACTACCCTAGAGAGGGAATGTACGATAGTTTCACTTTTGATTTCCTTTCTGGGAGTCAAACCACACCTAAGAGGGGATTTATAGCAGAACATTCCCAGAATTTTCTGCCTTTAGTCAAATAAGGGAAATTCTGAGAAGGCTTATTTTGATGTCTGTTGAATCTTAAAATTTTCAACTTAAAACAATCATTATACCAACTCTAGGCTTTAAGTGGGTCCCCACACTAAATATATAGCCACATTTTAAAAGTTTACATATCAAAACAAAATAGCCACCTGGGGAAAATAGCCTCTTCCATTCAACAGTCTACTTTGGAAAGAAGTGAATGAAATGGCAAGGCGAAGAGCCAGCCAGTCACCCCATGAAATAAGCTAAATCAGTCCTTGTGATCGTGGGATAAGATACCACAGTCAAAACACCTCCGTATTTAAGAGACTGTATTGTTTGACCATAATGCAATAAAAATAAAATAAAAATATCAAAAATGTCAGAAAAAAATTAAAAGCAAATAAACTGGAATAAAAGCATGTAACAAACATGACAGAGTTTATATACTTAATGTATACTGTGCCTGTACAAATAAAAATTCTAAAATCCCAATAGAAAAACCAAGACAGAGGAAAGCTGAAAAAAAATGCAAATAGCAAACAAGTACAGTTAATCCTCATTATTCAGATTTCATATTTGCAAATTTGTTTACTTGCTTATATTTATTTTAAAATTTTTCACCTTTAATCAACAGTCAATATGAAAGGAGTTAGCCAGCTTGCTTTAGGTGGACAGTAAGGAAAGAGTCCCCAGAGAACCTCCCTCCTGTGTTTTGTGCACTTAAGGGACCTTGTACTACGGGGCTTGCCTAAACATGGCCACAGTGGACTAAGGACCCACATGCATACTAGGGGAATACGGTGGAGCCACCAGTAATTCACACCTTATACAAATATAAAATCCAGCCCTATCAGCTTGTATGTAAAAGCCCTTGGATTCAACTGTGAAGGCAGCAACTAGGAACCTGCTCTCAAGACCCCTCTCTTTGCTGAGAGCCTTCCCCTTTCACTTAACAAATTCTACTCCAGCCGGTAGTGGTGGCTCACGCCTGTAATCCCAGCACTTTGGGAGGCCGAAGCAGGCGGATCACAAGGAGATCGAGACCATCCTGGCTAACATGGTGAAACCCCGTCTCTACCAAAAATATAAAAAAATTAGCCCAGTATGGTGGTATGCACCTGTAGTCCCAGCTGCTGGGGGTGCTGAGGCAGGAGAATGGCGTGAACTCGGGAGGCAGAGCTTGTAGTGAGACAAGAACGAGCCACTGCACTCCAGCCTGGGCAACAGAGTGAGACCCTGCCTCAAAAATAAATAAATAAATAAATAAATAATAAATAAATAAATAAATAAATAAATTCTACTCCACTCACTCTCTGAGTGTCTGTGTGCCTAATTTTTCCTGGTCATGAGACAAGAACCCAGACCTAGCTGAGCTAAGAAGAAAAAAAGAAATTCTGCATCAAATAGCAGTGTCTTTTGTGGTCATTCATGAACATGCTCAGAAATCAAAAATTTGAGTTGCCTGCTGCCCATTTTCCCTGCTGAGGTCAAGCAGGACAATGTTCTGCCTTCTTTGCTTCAGCTTTCATACTGTGAATGTTTCCTTTTCACAGTCTTTTAATACCACATTTTTCTAATTCTTTGCTTTTGGTTGGTAATTTTGCTATTTAAAATGGCCCCCAAGTGTAGTGCTGAGGTGCTGTCTAATGTTCCTAAACGTAAGACCAGTGTGATGTGCCTTACAGGGAAAAAAATACGTTAAAATAAGCTTTGTTCAAGCACGAGTTATAATGCTATCTGTACATATTTTGAAACAAAATAATGCTATTTGTGAGTTCAATGTCAATATTTAAACAATTTATAATAAATACAATGTCCTTCAACAGAGGCACATGTAAAAGATTATATTATGGATCGGTTGATGAAAATAAAATGTTGTGACCAGAAGCCTGCAAGAACCTAACCTTGTACATCCCCTAGGAGTAATGATTTAGTATTCACTAATTCAATTGTCTAGGTAACTTTACTGAATGGAACTACTGCAAATAATGAAAATCAACTGTATTTGAAAAAGGCAAATTGATTAATAATCCCAGAAATCTAAATCCAACAACATTAAGCTGCATTTTTTTAAACCTATCAGATTTGGAAAAATATTTTTTTAAAAAAGTTCATCAGTGTTAAGGAGAGAATTGTTAAATTAAGCCTGTGATAAAATTATAGGCTGATACAGACTTTTGAAAAGGCAAATTGATAATATGCATATTACAAAATTCTTTACAAATTTGTACTAATACTATGGAAATCACTAGCTCTGTGGACAAACCTTCTCTCTATAAAGTTGTTAATTATACTTTTATTCCTAAAAGAAACAAACACATAAAACTAACTTTTAATTTTCTCCATTTCACATTTAAGTGAAGGCAGAACACTGGTCTTTTCAAAAATAGGAAGCAAGAAATTGCTGGCAAGAAAAAAATCTCTATCAAAGCACACAGTGAACCAAAGAGATTTACTGCTTTCAGAGCAACTAAAAAGCTCAGTTAAAACAAACCAACAAAAAGACTATGGGTGTTTCTTAAATAAAGATCCACTAAAAAGCTTTCTTAAATAAGCAATAAAAAAAATGAGGGTGACTTGCCTTAAAACAAGAACTCACATGAAGTATTTAGCCAACACAATGCTGAATAAAGGTTCTTTTAAATAACAATTGATTCATTTGGTCCCTTTAAAAACAATTTTAAAATCTTTTCTTAAAGTTTGTACAACTGCTTAGTTTTAATGGTCTAGCATTTTAATTCTATACTGTATGAGGTTTGCAATTCATTTTTTTTTAAGTTCTAGTTCTTTGAAAGGGTTTTATTATTATGCAGAACCAACACTGGTACCTCACCTCTGGAAATAGATGCTAAAATGTATGGAAAGATGGTGTTTAAAAATGTAAATATTTTACTCTTAAATTCATGGCAGAAAAATTATTTTAATGTTAATTTATATTAATTTTAAATGCAAAAAGCTATTAATATTTCCCCAACTTGAAAGAAGTCATGATAATTATATTGTCATTTCTCTTTCCTCACATACTTATACTACTTATTGGTAGCAGTCACTATTAGGACACTCAGATACAAAGATACAGTAATATAAATGAAACTAGTCTAAGTTCAGCTGTTAGAAAACTCATGCAATTTTAAAGCAACATTATCTATTCCCCGAAATTCTAAATAGCATTTATTTAACAGGTCATTCTATGTATGGAGCTATCATGAAATATGAAAAACAATTCAATTTTAAAATGTCACGAATTATGGTGAAGCAGGAGAATTCACTGACCCCCTCACAGGACTTGCCACAGGGGTGTGGCTCGTTTGCTCGGCTGCCATGTGCTCAAACCCCTTATGGGAGAGGGGGCACACAGGCAGGCAGGTGCAGGAGCCAGGGCAACCTCTTTTGGGCTCTGGCCCCATGGTAGCGTCTAAGGGTGTGCTACAATTAATGCTCTTTTAACAGTTGCCTCCGTGGACAGCTAAGTGTTAAATCAGCTTAGCGAAAAGTCAGGGTGACAGTCTTTTACACCCTGCTCTCTTGGTACCCAGGTCCTTGTCTGGTGGCCAGGAAGAATCAGGTCACTCAGACTTAGATGATGAATTCAGGGATTTTACTGAGTGATGGAGGTGGCTGTCAGTGGGGTGGAAGGGAAGCTGGAAAGGGGATGGAGTGTGAAGACGATCTTCCCCTGGAATTTGGCCTTTCATGGCTGATCTCCTGACTGTCTGTAGCAAAACTCCTCTTGATATTCAGATGCCCCTTCTCTTCTCTCCTCTGTCATACCAATCTGCCGATCTGCCAGTGGAAGTTGGGGTTTATATGAACAAAGGATAGGGGTGTGGTGGGTCAGAGTAGTCTTGGAAAAGGCAATATTAGAGTGTGAAAACAGGAATGCCTCTTCCCATTTAGGGCCATGGGTTTCCAGGCTTGAAGGTGGGGCCTTTCCTGGGGAACTGCCCTCTTCTACCCAGCATTTCCCTGCCTCCTGTTTGTATAAATTGTCAGAGGAAAATTCGTAATTAAGTGTGTGGGTGCGTCCATATGTGCACATACACACATACATGTCATGAAAACAGGCATACTAATGCAAAAAAAAAAATTTATTTTTAAATCAGGGGCATGCCAAAGCTCTCCTTGATTCTATTAAAACCGCACCCTTGAGGGTAGTTATCTCTCTAACACACTTGTAGTAACGTACACTCCTTTCCGAAGGAAACAAAACAAACATGACGGAAAGTAAAACCAATGAAGCAAAAATACAATGTAGGAGTGTCCATTTTCTAGAACTTGCACATATTTTGAAACAAAATTATAGTATGGTCATAGTGGATAATGTTCTTTGGTCTTTATATTCTTTTTCTGAAAGAAAAAAAAAAGCATGTGGACTTTCAAGGATTATAGTTACTCGAAGCCATATCTTAAACATGGCCTTGTGATTTGACTCCTCTCCTTCATCATTCCAGACTGTTCTTACTACATAGTCCAAGAGTAGGCTAAAGATCAGCACACACACAACATGTGATAGGAATAGACAAGGATTCAATAAACCCAGATAATACCCTGGACACTACTGCTACTAATTTTCTGAGGTTGCAGGCTCATCCCATTCCAAGAACATTCCAATTCACTTAAATAGGACTTTGCAAAATGAATAGGTTTTTGTTTTTGTTTTTTTTTTTTTTTTGAGATGGATTCTGGCTCTGTCACCCAGACTGGAGTGCAATGTCGTGATCTTGGCTCATTGCAAGCTCCGCCTCCCGAGTTCACGCCATTCTCCTGCCTCAGCCTACCGAGTAGCTGGGACTACAGGCTCCCGCCACCATGCCCGGCTAATTTGTGTGTGTGTGTGTGTGTGTGTGTGTGTGTGTTTTTTAGTAGAGACGGGTTTTTGCCGTGTTAGCCAGGACGGTCTCGATCTCCTGACCTCATGATCCGCCCCTCTCGGACTCCCAAAGTGCTGGAATTACAGGCGTGAGCCACCGCGCCCCACCTGACTAGCATTTTTAAAGGCAGAGATGGGGTGTGGTTGGAAGGCTTATGAGCCAGAAAAAAACTAAAGAATTTTCATTTTGCTTTCACACACCCTAATTAAATGGGTTGATTCACAGTCTTCTTACATCCTAAAACAACATGAAAGCATCGTAAGAGAATGATTAAATAGAATGTATATGTATTCCCCATGTATTGCCTGCATTAGGGTACTAATTCTGATCATGACACCAAAAAGCAATTTCATTATAAATAAAAATAATGGAGAGTTTTCTTTTTTCCTGTGAAACTTATTTAAAGAATGAGTTCTTTAAATAGCAGTATGTTTATTTTGACAATGTGAAATTAAATGTGACAGTCATTTTAGATTCCTAAAGTAAAAAAACTGTATAATACATTCATATACTCTAGCCTATTACAGTGATTTGTTATTATATTAAAATCTGTAACAATTATGAGAGGAAACGTTTTCATTTTAAAATAAAGATACTAAGTGCATAACTTATTAAATGATGGAAAATGAATTAAAATTTGTAACTGTATGTTCACAAAGAAGTAAAGCAAATACTCAGTGTTGTTTTTTGTTCTTTTAAAAATCGTTTCTGATAATATTCCTAGGCAATTTAGGTAAATCCAATATGGAAGTCAAGTAATCCAGATAATTGTTCTTATTCCCCTTCTAATAGCCATATAATCATCTTTAACTTAAATTTTAATGAGGCTTATCCAGTCATGTGCTACATGTTTTAAGTTTCCCAGTTTTAATTACTAACTTAGTAGGCTCGCCATCCCCATGATAGTGCCCAAAAACCTTTACCAAATCCCAGGGGCTCCTTAGAAGGTAGTATGGAAACCAGTATCATCTTTATTTTTATAATAGAAAAAATTGACGTCTGAAGTATGTATTTGATTTCCTTGAAGTAATACAGGCAGGAACAGATCTGAATGATTTTTTTTTTTCTATAAACTCTGCCTTTTCTAATCTCACCTTGACAAAAACCATTTTGTCCAACAAAGACTGGAAAGTATATTTTACTCTTATTTCTACGAGATGACTTTCCATAGTCTTACCACACATTGATTGTATATTGGATTTTCCTTGGATTGCATATTTTATGTGATAGTGTGTTTTCAGTATTGCAGCTCATTTTGCAACACCCTGACCACTTGTATAACTTTGTTAGTTCGTGGGTAACATTATCTGTCCATTCAGTTTACATCTCTCAGTTTTATAAGATATTTTATTAAAATCTTCCTTAATCATTTTTTCTAGATGTATTAATAACGATTACAAGCAAATTCAGGAATGCCCCAAGTATCTTTTCATTTATCATTGACTTTTGTCACTAACACTTTTCTATCTCCATATCAATATAACTGAAGTGATTTCTTCTATTTTATAAATAGAAAGATAATATTGCCTCTGTAGGATAAGAATTACATGTTTGGCTACTTCATTTTTTTTTTTTTTTTTTAACAATTCAAAAGAATCATTTTAAGTGTGGTTGAGTTTAAATACTACTGTTCTTAGAGATAATTCTTGGTGTTTTGTGTCACTTTTAGTGGAGTTTCTTTTAAAACACTAGTACTGTAGTCTTTAAACATGCTTTTAAATCAGGTTGAATCAGATATCAAGGGACAGATGGCAAGTAGTTTTAATCAGAATGATTTAATAGAAAGTGGAGAAAATGAAAAATAAGAAAGCAATTACACAAAAATTAGAAGGTTTAAAAAAATCACAGATAGACCCTATCACAATAGTTTAAATTTATTAGACTACCTCACCACTTTCTGTCTCCAATTACACAGTGATTTTTAACTTCGTGGTTAAGGAATGTTGAGCTGATAATTGGGGTAAATAATACAACATTTTAAAATCTGAGTATTTGTAGACAAATAATTTCAAGAGGTAAAATTGAAGAGCAATGCTTTAGTGTGGTTCCAAGTAAGCAATGGAGTTAGCAGCATTTTTAACCAAATCCTTCAAATCATGCAAGTTTGAAAAATATCGAGGCAATGGGTCATTCCCTGGCATGAGTATGCTCTTAAGATATATTATTTGTTTCTAAGTCTGTTAAAACTCACTAAATCTTAAAAATAAGCATTTGGTTTGTCCTTACAAAAATACATTTAGACTTCCCTTGGATGTCTCTTTCATATAACTCATCATCATATATGTCTTCCTTGCTCCAATAAGTTACTTGAGTGCAGGAACTAAACTGTCTTTGTTCAGTGCTTAACTCCCAACATCAAGGAAAAAGCCTGGTACATTATTCTTGATTAAAACTTTGTACCAAACAAATGCATTAATTACTATACATGGAAACTGTGTATAGGATGGAATATTTTAATGCATTCAGAGATAAAAGGTAAAGTTTTGATGCTTCAAAAATATTCAATGTTCAGTTTGCACTAATTTTTTTAAACCTAGAAATGGCTGCCAATTATTTTATAGATAAAGGAAAAAAACAGCAGAAACAAAAACTCTTCTTGATTTTTGTTTCAGGCAGTTATATTTATCACATCTTATTACAAAACTTTGATTATCCCTTGTAGATGCACCTCCAAAAAAATTATAGTTTATTTCCTACCAGGTATACCACTTGTTTCCTTTCTGAGATTAGTTAACTTTTCAACTTTCTTTTTAACAAAACACATCATTCTATTTCTAATAATTGGTCAAGAGCTGACTTTTTTGTAAACTAGTTCTTGTTTTTCAAGCTCTCTATGGACCATATGAAATGTAATGGATAGAAATTGCCTACATATCTCATTTTCTGAGAGCGAAGAGATTGAAATAAGTAGTACATTTCACTGAATCAAATTCAATGGCCTAATAAGAACAATTTTAAAAGGATATCAAATGCACACTCTGGACCACACTGTATTCTAAACATTTATTCCACACATTATTTAGTTTTTAACTGTCACAATAATCTAGTGAGATAGTTATTATCTTCAATTAAGAGATGAGGTATCTAAGCATTTTATTTCCCTTTTTTTCTTTTGAATTCCTATAAAGGAATTTATAAAGATTATAATCATAATAATATTAAGGTTAATAAATTCTCAAAGCTCAAAACAGACATACAAACATGTCCTTTAAGTTCAAAGCAGCGTTAAGAAATACAGCAATGTCATTCAAGAATTCTGGAATTCTACATAGATATAGTTAAAACAAAGAAAAAAGTCTGCCTTCTCAGCAGATAGCTAAGATTTCCATATTGCAGGCTAACTGCTCAGGCGGTTAATTTGCACTAATCAGCTGGAGACAAGAAGAGAGAAAATTACAGTAACTTGATGAGTTAATTTTGTGTTTTACACTCATTGTCTTCCTGGTTGCTAAATGCTCCATCTTTAACACAATTTTGAGATAATATAGACGCCCTTGTTCAAAACCAGGAAACATATTTGTGACCTGTTAAAATCATCCGTAAGTTTTTTTCACTCAATTGTCCTAAAAGAGAGAATAAAGCCTTCTAAACTGAAAAGGAATAAGAAAAGAAAGGTCTTAGGGCTTTTCCAAATCCCCACAACGTTGTACTGTATAACATTTTCCCTCTACAGACTCTCCAAATTTTATTTAGGGGTCTCTATGCATTCTCTTTCAAAACATTTGCTAGATATTCTAAAAGTTTTCAATTAAAAATGAGGCAGCAAGCATATTTGTCTCATACTAAAGTGAGAGAGGGAGGAATACAATTTCACACTCACTTGGGATATGACTACATCTTCTTCCCAAAGGATTGAATCACGTATGCCATTGTCATGCATGTACTCTATCATGGTCTCAAGATTACTGGATCAAAGTACTTTAGTGACAAAGGAAAAGCACATTGTCCTGAAGAAATCCAAAGCACTAAATCAAAAATAACTAATGCATGTCTTGATAACATTTTAAAGACAAAAACATCCTTCGATGTTAAACCCAAGAGGTTGTGTGTGTGTGTGTGTGTGTCTGTGTGTGTGTGTTAATTCAACTCAACTCAGAAAATCCATTAAGTATCTGTTATGTATAAAGAACTGTGCTCACAGAGCAGGGGATAAAGAGATGTGTAAGGCACAGACTTGGCCTAAGAAGGGTCTTTCATGTGATTTTCAACAAGCAAATGAGTCATCTATCACCCTGAAGATCCATAATAATCATATGTTGTATTCTAGCAAATGATTATCAAAAATACTTTTCAGGATTTAGAGGAAAAAAAGTTTTATTTTGTTTTATTTTTAAATAAAAGCTGGTAGGAAATGCTCAATAATTTAGAAATAAGCTGCAGTATGGGTACCTTCCACTTATTACAACTCTTCATTGAGTGACAGAGGTTCTAGGAGGAAGAGCAGACATTTAACCCACTGACAGGCAAGGAATTTCAGATTTGAAATTATCTTTTTAAACAAATCAAGGCATGGACAAAAGCAATTTACTTTATATGAAATACTTGCTCTTTGTAATGTACTCAAACCCTCAATGAAGGATATTCATTTCTAGTTTATTTTTTGTTGTTGAGAATTTAATAGAAAAGGCTTTGATGATGTGACTTTTGTCTATTAATTTTGCAAATGAATTTGGTGGCCATATATTAGTAATAAGGGTTTTTTAAAATTATTTTTTATGCCTGGGTTTACTCCTCTCTAAAATGGGTATCATTATGTTGAAGAATACAAAATTGACAATATTTGACTATTTTAACCTACACATAAGGCAATTTCAATGCAAAAATTCTATCTCAGATATATTATGATTATATCAAATAGAAAATCTTTTGTGAAAGTGTTTTGTAAACTCTAAATAGCTATCTGATATAAATAAGGTAATAAGATCGAACATTGACAAATTCATTTTCAGATTTATAATGAATCTGAAGTTTCTGGTAGTTTTACTTTTAACTTTAAAGTTTTATAATTTTATTTTTCTAAAGTAGGTCTAACATTTTGCTCTAAAAGAAGAATATGTGAAACCAAGGCAATCCATTCTTCAGAGAGCTGTTTGTTTTACTTTACTCATTTAGCTATATAGGCCAAGTTATTGTGAGACTCCTGATAGGAATTTGAAACAAGTGGTTACAGTCAGAAAATATGAGGTATTAAGTAAGATGCTTCTCAATTCAACTGCACATTGCAGAGTCCACCATGCATTGCACACTGCAACTCTGCCCTAATAGCTTCTGACAATGATAAAAAAAATAACATTAATTACTTTATTGGGAACAATTTGAGGGTTGGTTAGCTTCTGGGCTAAGCAATTTATATATTTTAGAATGCACAGGCCCTTAAAAGAGGAAGTTGGTTTGGATTCAAATCTAAGCGGTGCATTTACCACCTATGCGACACTGGCAAGTAATTAATCTGTGTAAATCTCAGTTTCCTCATCCATGAAATGAAAAAATTAAGAGTAAAGCCTCATGGAGTTATTGTCAGATTTAAATGCAATAATCCATGTGAGTGTTAAACTCCGCCTGTTTAGAAGCGTCTATAAATCCTATCATGAATCTGATATTTCAGAAATAACACAGTAGACTATGTATGAGGATTTTATAACATCATCCCATCCAACCTTCATCTCAGAAAGGAGTATATCATTTAATCACTTATGGTTAGGGCACAGACATAGAAAGTAAATATCTTACAAGACCAATGCTCTAACCCCTGAGCTATAGGGCCATTCTTATACACCAATAACAGACAAACAGAGAGCCAAATCATGAGTGAACTCCCATTCACAACTGCTTCAAAGAGAATAAAATACCTAGGAATCCAACTTACAAGGGATGTGAAGGACCTCTTCAAGGAGAACTACAAACCACTGCTCAAGGAAATAAAAGAGGATACAAACAAATGGAAGAACATTCCATGCTCATGGGTAGGAAGAATCAATATCGTGAAAATGGCCATACTGCCCAAGGTAATTTATAGATTCAATGCCATCCCCATCAAGCTATCAATGACCTTCTTCACAGAATTGGGAAAAAAACTACTTTAAAGTTCATATGGAACCAAAAAAGAGCCCTCATTGCCAAGACAATCCTACAGCAAAAGAACAAAGCTGGAGACATCACGCTACCTGACTTCATGCTATACTACAAGGCTACAGTAACCAAAACAGCATGGTACTGGTACTAAAACAGAGATATAGGCCAATGGAACAGAGCAGAGCCCTCAGAAATAATACCACACATCTATAACCATCTGATCTTTGACAAACCTGACAAAAACAAGAAATGGGGAAAGGATTCCCTATTTAATAAATGGTCTGGGAAGACTGGCTAGCCGTATGTAGAAAGCTGAAACTGGATCCCTTCCTTACACCTTATACAAAAATTAATTCAAGATGGATTAAAGACTTAAATGTTAGACCTAAAACCATAAAAACCCTAGACGAAAACCTAGGCAATAGCATTCAGGACATAGGCATGGGCAAGGACTTCATGTCTAAAACACAAAAAGCAATGGCAACAAAAGCCAAAATTGACAAGTGGGATCTAATTAAACTAAAGAGCTTCTGCACAGCAAAAGAAACTACCATCAGAGTGAACAGGCAACCTACAGAATGGGAGAAAATTTTTGCAATCTACTCATCTGACAAAGGGCTAATATCCAGAATCTACAAATAACTCAAACAAACTTACAAGAAAAAAAAAAAAAAACATCAAAAAGTGGGCAAAGGATATGAACAGACACTTCTCAAAAGAAGACATTTATGCAGCCAACAGACACATGAAAAAATGCTCATCATCACTGGCCATCAGAGAAATGCAAATCAAAACCACAATGAGATACCATCTCACACCAGTTAGAATGGCGATCATTAAAAAGTCAGGAAACAACAGGTGCTGGGGAGGATGTGGAGAAATAGGAACACTTTTATACTGTTGGTGGGACTGTAAACTAGTTCAACCATTGTGGAAGACAGTGTGGCGATTCCTCAAGGATCTAGAACTAGAAATACCATTTGACCCAGCCATCCCATTACTGGGCATATACCTAAAGGTTTATAAATCATGCTGCTATAAAGACACATGCACATGTATGTTTATAGCGGCACTATTCACAATAGCAAAGACTTGGAACCAACCCAAATGTCCAACAATGATAGACTGGATTAAGAAAATGTGGCACATATACACCATGGAATACTATGCAGCCATAAAAAGGATAAGTTCATGTCCTTTGTAGGGACATGGATGAAGCTGGAAACCATCATTCTCAGTAAACTATTGCAAGGACAGAAAACCAAACACCGCATGTTCTCACTCATAGGTGGGAATTGAACAGTGAGAACACTTGGACACAGGAAGGGGAACATCACACACCAGGGCCTGTCATGGGGTGGGGAGAGGGATAGCATTAGGAGATATACCTAATGTAAATGACAAGTTAATGGGTGCAGCACACCAACATGGCATACGTATACATATGTAACAAATCTGCACATTGTACACATGTACCCTAGAACTTAAAGTATAATAAAAAAAAATAAATAAATAAATAAAAAAAAGAAAGTAAATCCTTAAAACAACAGTTTCTTTGCTTTGGCACCAGATGGTGATTGTGTCTTTTTTAGTAACTTTTACAATACTAGATTTGGCCTCTTTTAAGAAGTAAAATGTTAAATATGCATATTTAATTGATAGTGTCTTTTCTTCACTATTTCAAATGATTTATTAATCTGGTATCTGGTTAATTTTAGTTAGATAATTAATAAATATTTTAAAAGCATCTATGTTTTGAAAACTGATATTCTACACAAATTTTAAACTAGCTACTATTCTGTAAATATGCTCTCTACTATTATGCAGAATTATAACATATAATGATTAAGAGTTATATTTTGTTTGGGAGCTATTGAATTTGCACACATCTGCCTAAATAACATAACTTAAAACTACCTTCTTCACAAAAATGGCTCATTAGCCAGTTAAATATTCCAATCCAACAGTTCATTTTCATAATTAAAATTCTCACGTTTTTGACATAGCCAACTACTTCTCTTTACTCACGATTTCCTAGTTTCAATTCATTAAACTGTCCTTTGCTCTTTCCCTAGTCTCTTAAGCACTTTGCTATTTGAAATCATAAAGTATAAAAATTTAAAGTATAAAATAAATGCATTTCCTAAAAATTTGGCAAACTTACTGTGGCACATCTCAGCTGGGATTAGTTCTATAAGTGATAGAGTAAATTGTTAGTTATTTTTTGGAAGAAGAAATGAATATGTCTAATTTTTTAGGAAGAGTGAATAAGAGGGAGAGAGAATATGAGAGAAGTGAGAAAAGAAAAGTAAATAAAACACATTTCTTTATTTGCTAATTTATTTTTCCATTTAAAGTCTGACTACTTAGATAACAAAATAAAACTTTCATAAAATATGAAACAAAAGCATAAAAGTGGTGGCCAAGAGAGGCCCAGAATTGATAGTGAAATAAAGTAGGTGATCTCACCAAATTTAGGAAATTGTTTGCATAGTTTATGTGTTTGACTCCCAAGGCCACTGAACAGAGTTTAAAAATGACTTTCTTATTTCTTTTCTCCTCCTTTACCTTCCTTCCTCTTTTGTATTGTTGCATCGCTCACAAGAGCTATGATAGTTAGAATGCTTTTAAGAAGCTCAAAAAATATAGAATATGTTCTTGCTCTTTCATTTTTGGTACATAGCCATATTAATTTCGCTTGCAAAGCAATTCCATGACATTCTACTTCTTGTCATTTTTCTACTGTTTTATGGTTCCAAAGTTCTCCTTTTTCATTGTGCTAAGACCTTAATTCCATGATCTCACTTACCTAATTTTACCCTTTTGAACTAACCTAACTTTTCCAGCTTACCTTTTACAATGTTTAAACTGGGATAAAGAAATTCTGTGTACATCATTGAAGAGATGGAGTGACAAATGAAAAAAAAAAAAAAAAGAAAAAAATACTTTAAAGAGCCCATTAAAAGGTACAAAACAATCTCATTGAATCTCAAATTCAGCCAATTTTTCATATTTTGAAAAACATTTAAAAGCAGCTTTGTTAAATTAATAGATAGGGAAAAGACTCAGTTCTTTTTTCTATTTTTATTGATGTATATGCATATCTTGAGAGAGCTGGAAGAGATGGATTGTATGCATATATACAGAAAGATTACAGAGTCAGCCGTGTCTGTTTTCTGGACCACTAACCTTCCACCTTTCCCTTTGTGGTGTGTCAGTCTAGTGAACCAGAAAATCAAACCCTGTTTGTCACAATCAATACCTAGGTGCTTTAGAAAATAATAAAACAAAAGATATGGAAATGAAAAGGGAAAACTATCATTTAAAGAATTAACTGGCTTAAAACAATAGAACTTAAACCAAAAATATCTAGAGAATAAGGAACCATATATAACATTTGGATACCCAAGACAAGTATCTTCTTTGGAAAAAATAAAGGGAATCATTTTGAAGAAACAGGATTAAAAACCTTCTGCAATTTATATTTTATGCAAACTTGCTATGTTGACCCCTTCAAACCAGCAGGTTGCTAGCGACATCTGTTCAGAGTTTAAAAGATCCATGGCTCATTTCTTCTTTCCCATTTTTTGAAAATGTCATGGATAGAAGATAGAATGCAGGGACAGTTACAGCAGTGAGCCCATGCATGCACAAGATATTCTAGAATGTTGGAAAAATTTTGAGACAGAAAGAATGCAGAGAAAGAAGATAGGAAGTGCATTTTAATAATCATGGCTGATGATGCTAGCATTCTCTTAGTTTATTTCTAATTTTTTGACTTTCTTTTACCAGGTAGCCAGAACAATCCTTTAGAGGTTCTATTTACTTCTCCACTGACACGCCCTTGCACAGTGAAGGCACACACTATCTTTGCTGATATGCTCTAGCTAAGAACTAGCTGCAGTGTAGCAATCCAGTAGTACTGTGTCTCACAATGGGAGAAACGGCTCCCAGCACATAAATATCTTCTCTCTGTGTACTTTATCCTTATTTAGGTCAGGCATTTAGGAGAAGTTTAAGAATCATGGGCTCAGGCTCTATACCTATAAGGTTTTACCCATCCCATTTTTTAATCTTGTCTGTAACTCCTTTCAAATGCAAAAAAAAAAAAAAAAACAAAAAACCTCCACTAAGCCTTTTAAAATTAATTTCTGTCATCAGCAAAATTCTGTGATTGTTAACCTCTTCTTAACATGCTTTTCAGCTCTTCTGCTTTCCCTTAAACCTGGCTCACCCTTGAGGACATGGGCTTGGCTGAGCCCTCTCAATTGATAGCTACTTTCTTCCTTTTATTTTTTTTTTTTTGAGGCAGAGTCTGGCTCTGTCGCCAGGCTGGAGTGCAATGGCAAGATCTCAGCTCACTGCAACCTCTGCCTCCCAGATTCAAGTGATTCTCTTGCCTCAGCCTCCTGAGTAGCTGGGATTACAGGTGCCTGTCACCACGCCTGACTAATTTTTTTGTATTTTTAGTAGAGACGGGGTTTTGCCATATTGGCCAGGCTGGTCTCAAACTCCTCACCTCAGGTGATGCACCCGCCTCGGACTCCCAAAGTGCTGGTATTACAGGCATGAGCCATCGCTCCTGCCCTTTAATAGCTATTTTCCAACCATACCGCTACTCTTCTTCCTCGCCATTCGATTCTAGAGGAGGGCACTCAGTAGAAACTCATTGCAACTTCCAGATTATTTTCCTTCCCTTGTCTGGAAAATTCCCTGCTCTTCTATTTCAGGTCCTCTAAGGACATCTATTATCCCTCCTTGTTGCAGTCATTTCTTGACTCTCAAGCCTGGAACTTCATTGAAGTTTTTTTTCTTCCTTACTCAGTCCCCAAAACTTTTTCTGCTTCATTCTTCATGATGTTACTGCATCTGAAGACACTTTTTCAACACAATAGCCTCTTGGTCCTTTACCTTTTCTTCACCCAAGATCATATCCAATCAGCCACTCTTATGGTTACAATCAAAATTCTGTCATTACCAAAATATGTGCTCTCTCCAAACATTAAATTTAAAGAATCCCATTCTATGAACACAGCTTCCCTTTTTACTAGCTCAGGTTCCCTAGTACCTCAATCCAACAAGCCTCCAACCCCTAATATGATGATTAATTCATTTTTCTTCTTTTCTTTTAAATTATACTTTAAGTTCTAGGATACACATGCAGAACATACAGGTTACATAGGTATACATGTGCCATGGTGGTTTGCTGCACCCATCAACCTGCCATCTACATTAGGTATTTCTCCTAATGCTATCCCTCCCCCACCCCTCACCCCACAATAGGCCCCAGTGTGTGATGTTCCCCTCCCTGTGTCCATGTGTTCTCATTGTTCAGCTCTCACTTATGAGTGAGAACACGCGGTGTTTGGTTTTCTATGCCTGTGTTAGCTTGCTGAGAATGATGGCCAGTCATTAGAGAAATGCAAATTAAAACCACAATGAGATACCATCTTACACCAGTTAGAATGGTGATAATTAAAAAGTCGGGAAACAATAGATGCTGGAGAGGATGTGGACAGATAGGAACGCTTTTACATTGTTGGTGGGAGTGTAAATTAGTCCAACCATTATGGAAGACAGTGTAGTGACTCCTCAAGGATCTAGAACCAGAAATACCATTTGACCCAGCAATCTCATTACTGTGTATATACCCAAAGGATTAGAAATCATTCTACTATAAAGACAGATGCACACGTATGTTTATTGCAGCACTATTCACAATAGTAAAGACTTGGAACCAACCCAAATGCCCATCAGTAATAGACTGGATAAGGGAAATGTGGCACATATACACCATGGAATACTATGCAGCCATAAAAAAGGATGAGTTCATGTCTTTGCAGGGACATGGATTAATTCATTTTCAGCTGTCCTACATCTCCTCCTCTGCACACTTAATTCTCTTCAATGGAGTTTAAGTTTCATGTCCAATCATTTGGTTACTATATTAAATACATCCTCAACTTCTCTCTCTCTTTATGGTTCAATTACCTGGCTCTGTAAATTTACCTACAAAGGTAAACTGGTTTAAAAAAAATCACGCTAAGAGTCTCATTTTACTTTTATGATCACTATCTTAGTAGTCACATCAATTACACTCTATTTTCCTGGTTTACTCTCTCTAGCTCTCTGAGATAGTCCTATTCAAAGCATGTCCCTTGACTTACATGAGTCCACGAACTGTGAGCTACCAGATACAATAAGATATGTGGTGAAATTATGAGAAATCATTTGAAATTTTTAAATTATTTATTATTTTTTAGAGACATGTTTTTGCTATATTGCCTAGGCTAGAAGCAATCACAGCTCATTGTAACCTCAAACACCTGAGCTCAAGAGATCCTCCTGCCTCAGGCTCCCAAAGGATGTTAAGATTCCAGCCATGAGCCACAATGCCTGGCCTTCATTTGAATAATTTTATAGCAACATAACAGAGTAATTTATGTTTGGATTTGTATTATGTATGTCTTTTTAGATTTTTATTTTTTGAATAATTAATTTACGGAAGTTTCAATCCTTCACTAGTTGGAAACCAAGTAACAGAACAAAACAACAACAACAAAAGGTTTTGGATCTTCACTACAGATAGTTCGAGACACACTGTTTTAGATCAAGTATTTCAATTTATGGTTAACAATTTCTCTCCTCTGATTCATCCTGTACTGATGTCACCCCAGTCAGGTCCTACATAATCTGTTCCCTAGATTTATTTCTCTGATCTTCTGTTCACTCCCTCACTTACTCCACTCTAGTCATGCTGTTCTCCCTTACTGTTCTTCCAACGCACCAAGTTTCTTCCAGCAGCTCTTTGAGAATAATAAAAAACAAGTAAAGTAAAGCAGGACTAGAAAGAAACTACCTTAACATAATGAAGTTTCTTTTTTAGTTTTTGTAAGACAGCGTTTTGCCTTGTTGCCCAGGCTGGAGTGCGATGGCGTGATCTTGGCTCACCACAACCTCCACCTCCTGGGTTCAAGCAGTTCTCCTACCTCAGCCTCCCGAGTAGCTGGGATTACAGGCATGCGCCACCATGCTCAGCTAATATAATGAAGATTGTTTAACAAAATTGTAAACATTACATTTGAAGAACAAAATGTATTCCTATTAATATTAGAAATTCAACAGAAATGCCTGTTATCACCACATAAGTTATATCATCCTACTAATTCTAATTACCTAAGTGCCTAAAGATATTGCAAATATTGAAACAAAAGAAAAATACTTTTATATGAGATTATAAAAAGATATTTGAAATAAACGATTTGGTAAGGTGTCCAAGAATATGATAAATGTACTAAGTTAATATTTTTCCTAATATACCATTAAAGTAACCAGAAATGGAAATTTTAAAAAATGAAATAAGGCAACTTTAATAAAGATTTACTTGCATGAAAAACAAAATTAGCCACAATCAAAAACACACACATACAAATCCTACAGTTTTGAATAACTTAAAATAATTTCTGAACAAATGGAGAAACAATCATGGAAAAGACGACTTAATATCTTAAAATCGTAAGGTATAAATATTTTACAAATTAATATACGTATTTAATGCACTAGCCTCTTGAGACTTAAAAGGGAGATTTGATTGGGAACCGAATGACCCTTTCAAGCTCAGAAAGATAAACAGATATGTAAAAAAATTATAAAAATCTTTTGAAAAGTTTACTGAGGAAGAACTTGTCCAGTCAGATATTAACATTTACTATGAAGACTATACACAAAAGTGCAGAGTAGGAGCAATCCATTATACTGCAAGCATTCATATTAAACTAAGATAAAAGCTGGCTACCATCATTACTGTTATTTAACAGTAGTGTGTGTGGGGGGAGGGGCGGGGGGTGAAAGTCAAATCAATTCACAAAGAGAAAATAGCAGGCATAAATTGGATATAAATCTGTAAAATTACTATATTCATTGGTTTCATTTTATATCTAAAAAACCCAAGAGATTCAACAAAAATATTTTATAAGCAGGAAGATAATTGAATAAAATAGGAACAAAATTCATATACTAACAGCAATATCCATTTAATAAACAAATAGAGTTAGAAAATTTACTATATGTAAATATGAAAATGATTTTTAAAAGTGTTCTTCATTTAAAGGTAAAAAAACTGATTGTACTGTTCACATGGAAAAATAAGCTGTAATCAACAGAGAAATTTTATAAACAGTTTTTGGAAAAGAAGACAAAGTTATCATGGACTAGACGTAATAATTTTAATATTTATTTTAAAGGAATAGTGACAAAGCAAATGGATACAGAATTTAACCATACAAAAAAGCCATTAAAGTACTTCAAAAAATGTAAAAAATAATGTTGGCATGGGAGAGGTTTTATTTTTATTTTAAAACAAGGTAGAGTGGCCATTAAAAAATATTTAAATTTATCTACTTTAAAAATAAATCTTCAGGGAAAAGAAAAATTACAATAAACATAGCCAAAAGAAAAACTGACAAACATTCATAACACATATAACAAATAGCTAATTCATTTAACACACACTGACAGGGTAAATGTTAAAAAATAAAATAGAAAAACAGGCAAATACAAGTTACTGCTAACCTTATGAAATGTTGCTTACCCTCATTCAAAACAGGAAAAAGACAAATTAAAATTATATTTCATACTATTTATTTAGTAAATCCATAAAGATTAAAAAGTTAACACAGACATTTGACATGAGTATAGATAATGTTTGTAATGTGTTACATACCATGTAATTTTTGTAATGTGCTAATTGTTCCATCTTTTATAGAGCACTATTTGGAAATATATATTAAAATTTAAAAGATGTGTAAATTTTACCCCATTATTTCCACATCTAAAAATGTACATGACAGAGTTGTACCCGTGTGAGATAATGTTTGTAAAAAGGTATTTGTGGAGCACTGATTATAATAGAAAAAGAAAAGATATAATTTAAAAATTCATCAGTAGAAGATTAATAAATAGTAGTACACAATGGTTGAACTAATTTACACTCCCACCTTTTTACAATAGCAAAGACTTGGAACCAACTGAAATATCTATCAGTGAAAGACTGGATCAAGAAAATGTGGCACATATACACCATGGGATACTATGCAGCCATAAAAAAGAATGAGTTCATGTCTTTTGCAGGGACATGGATGAAGCTGGAAGCCATCATTCTCAGCAAACTAACACAGGAACAGAAAACCAAACACCACATGTTCTCATTCATAAGTGGGAGTTGAATAATGAGAACACATGGACACAGGGAGGGGAACATCACACAGGGCATATACCTAACACATGTGGAACTTAAAACCTAGATGACGGGTTCATAGGTGCAGCAAACCACCATGGCACAAGTATACCTGTGTAACAAACATGTTCTGCACTTGTATCCCAGAACTTAAAATACAATTAAATAATAATAATAGTACAGATAGTCTCCACTTACAGTGGTGTAACCTATTTTTCCATTTCAGGACATAACTCCATTGTAAGTCAAAAACATTGGTATATCTATTCAATAAAAATTTTATGCTGCTATTAAAATGTAAAATCTTTGTACATACAAAACGGACTGATCTTTAAGATACATTCTACACAACAATTTAAAAAAGTAAGGTTTGAGAATACAAATACTATGCTATTAAATATGGTTACAAAATTATAATGCATAAAGTTATATATATATATATATATATATTTGCTCTTAGAATTCCCTGTTTTTGTCTCCTTTGATAATGTTGACATTTCATTTCAATTTGAATTGAAAATGGGTTTAATAAATGATACTCTCTTTTTTCCAATGGGAAGAAAATAAATTCAAACCATTATTTTACATTCTATACAAAAAATATTCCAAATGAATTAAAGATCTGAACAAAAGAAATTAATTATGGAAAGAATTTAACTATCTCTGAGGTGGGCTGCTATTCTGGGAATCCATAAAAAAAAAGAGACAGATTTACATATATGTCTCCTCACTGACAGAGGGAAATGCAAATTAAATCATCATGAGCTGTCATCAAATCAGTTTAAAAAGTCTTTGATAGTGTACTATGGTAACATGAATATTATGAATTCTCTCATACTGTTGTCCCCAAACAGCATTTTTTTTTAATTTCCATAGATTTTTGGGAAATAGTTGTTATTTGGTTACATGAGTAAGTTCTTTAGTGGTGATTTATGAGATTTTGGTGTACCCATCACCCGAGCAGTATACGTTGAACCCAATTTGTAGCCTTTTATCCTTCACCCCCTTCCCACTCTTGCCCCAGAGCCTCCAGAGTTCATTGGATCATTCTCATGCCTTTGTATCCTCATGGCTTAACTCCCACTTATGATTGAGAACATATGATGCCCAAACATAACATTTTTAACTTCTGTAAATAATATTCATAATAATACAGTTTCTATGGTTTGGGTAGAGTTTGTTTGCCTCCATCAAAACTCATGATGAAATTTAATCCCCAGTGTGGCAGTGTTGAGGGATGGGGCCTGATGTGAGGTATTTGGATTATGGGGGCGGAACCCTCATGAATGGCTTGGTCTTGTTCTTGCCATAGTTGTGTTATTGCTCTCACAAGACTGACTTGGTTCTCAGGGGAATGGATTAGTTCCTCTGACAGTGAGTTTTTATAAAGCCAGGATGCCCCTTAGATTTTCCTCTTTAAATGTATTTACTTCCCCTTTGACTTTCTCTGCCATGTTGTGACACAGCACAAAAGCCCTAACTGCATGCTCTTGAACTTCTCAGCCTACAAAACTGAGATCTAAAAAAAACCCTCTTCTCTTTATAAAATACCCAGTCTCAGATATTCTTTTATGGCAACAAAACAGACTAGGACATCAATACTATTAAAATCTAATATAATCTCACTCCAAGCTATATAAACTACAGAACAAAATCGCCAGTATATAATAGTTAAACAACTAAAACTAACTGATTTTTCTATTTTAGTATTTACATAGGGAGAATACTATCCAACTTAAAAAAAAGTCTTAACTCTATATATGTATTGATCAAGTTGGACATGGACATGCTGTGTATATATATATTTGGGAGCATGTGTGTGATACACAAATATAAAAAAGTATAGCTTTTTATATTTTTTAAACCTCCTAGAAAAATAAAGAACATATCTTACAGAACTTTGAAAATTTAAATGTACTATTCAAATATAAGGTATTATTTCTCTTGCACAATCAAAAATGATTCCATATTGAATAATAAAAGTCACTCCATATGTTTTAAGAGATGAAAAGTACACCCTGATGTGATTTTATTCCACTAACATTTTTCAACAGCATGCATCTATGACTTAAGTTACTTGTTTTTGCTATTGTTGCTTTATGTATCACCAACTTTGAACCCGACTGAGAATGTCTAGCCAGAACAAATTGATGCTTGAAAGTCAGTTAGCACCACAGGAAAAAATGCAAAAAGCTCGAGACAGAAAAACCTATTTTTTCAAATTATTCTATTCAGAATCTCCTACATCTTATTTCCAAATTAAATATTTTTAATGATAGTAGCAATTATCATAGCTACCTGTAACGTCTCTTTTTTTTTTTTTTCCACAATACTGTATGCCATTTGATATATTAGCATTTTCTTTTAATTTTCCCTCCTCTACAAAACTCTGTTAAGGGAATATTCTAATAATAAGATCCTAACTTGCAACGGACATTAAGATTCGGAGACTTATTGGATGGATAACATTAAGTAAATTCCTCAACTGCTCTTTTCCTCAGTTTCCATTTCTGTAAAATGAGAATAGGACCTACTTCATAAGTTTATTGTGAAGATTAAAGGAACAATAGCTATAAAGCAGGCAGAACTCTGCCTGGCACAGCATAAGCACCCTGTAAATATTCACTGTTATTATTTTTTTAAAGGAAGGAATAGCTTTTGCTTCTCTGTAAATGCTTACAAAGCCATTAATAACTTATTCTGTACTCCCCTTAGCCCAATGACAGGCAAGCATTTTTATATGTATGTTGCAACTAATGCAACATTTTTATATGTATGTTGCATTAGTGGTTAAAGAATGGATAGATGAATAATTTCACCAGATCCCATGGCTTCAACTACTCATGATTGCCCCTGATTTTTAAATCTTAAGTCCAGCTATCTCTCCGAAGGTCCAGATCCTATTCCTAATTCCCTACTGATCAACTCCACCTAGATGTCTCAGGTATCTCAAGATCTATGGTTTATAATAGAATGCATAGTATCCTCCCAAACACACATAGAACAATACATGCATACCCAGAGAGAGGGACTTGATCTCTTACTCTTTTATTTCCTTTCTCAGTGACTAGTACCACCATGCACTCAGTCACTCACACAAGAAATTCCCCTACCCGCCACCGCCCACCCTCCAACATATATCCAGTCATCTTGCTCTACTCATGCACTGCCTTAATATATTTCAGTGATCCTCTGCTTGGCTCCTCATCTACCATGACCTCTGTATCGTATCTATTTTGCAATATAGCCACGGATTCTAGTAAGGTCTCCCTCCTTCAGGCCTTTGCTCCTCCATTCCATTCTCCACATTCCATTATAGTCATATTTTAAAATGAAATCTAGTTATGTATTTTCCCATCTAAAAGTCTTTGATTACATCTCCCACAAGATAAAACCCAATCTCCTACTTGGTATAAAACACCCTTTTGAGCCTACGTGTTGTTAACCAGCCGCTTTTCTCTCATTTCTGTGCATTTGCATTTAACATCCCCTATGGGTACACTCCTCTTCCAACTGTCTTATGTGTAATTTACTTAAGACAGTTCTTTGTAGCTCAGATTAAATATAACCTTCTCTTTGGAGCCTTATCTGTCCCTTAATGGGTTTACCAAGCCCAGCCTGAATTCATTAAATGGAAAAAAAAAGTTTCTAAATAAAGTACATAGTACATTGCCAACAGAAAAAAGTAAAGTACAGATCATTACTTACCTTTAGGAAAATAGGAGTCATTATATCAATAACTACCAAAAAAAAAAAATGAAACAAGGGTGGGAGAAATAATTATTGTAAATATATCATGGATAAGCTTCTGTGGTACATGATTTCATAGTCACATTTTATATTATTATTTTTCATTTTCTAATTATTTCTTGGCTACATAGGTTATTACCACTGATGCAAAGTGAAGTTAAATAAACCATACTTCATAAATTCAAGGTATTTATATATATATATATTTGCCCCTGTAGTGGTTTCAGGGGTAAGATTAGGAATTTTAACATTAAAATACAAGTATTGTCACTACATGCATTCAATATGCATGTGATGCTTCAAATCGAAGTGAGTGAAGATTGGATTTCAAATACTCTTCTAATATAGGAAAGTGTGTGCCTGTGTGAGTGTGGGTATCTGTGTGAGAGAGATTTCTAAGAGAGAATAGTGAAAGAATAATATACAAATAATTAAATACTTTTAGTAAAAAATTCTTATTAATATTCATTCGTATGATCAAAACTGTCTCCTTTTAAAAAATGTAATGGAAATATGTACTTGTCAGCACACAGAATGGAAATCTTTTCTGTAGAACACAATTACATTTTATCTGCGTAGCACAATGTCCTTAGAATCTATTTCCTTCTGGCATCTGAAATCTAAAGAACAATGAGAGTTGAGTGCTGCAGGTGGCATTTTATATATAATTCCTAGGAAATAATGTGTTCTTAGCTACAACTGAAAACAATGAAGCAAAAGAAATCAACAAAACCAACACATATTGTCATAGGGACAAACAAATTAACGTTTGAAGCAACACATGCACACGCGTGCACACATGCCCATGATAGAACTACAAATAAACTGAACTTCCATTTGCTCTCAAGTTTCCTCATTGAGCGATCTAGTTTAATGAATTTCCTTTATAAAACTGGTACTGTGGGACCAGACTGAGTTAAACTAGAAATATATGCAGTTATTTTTGAAAGACATGATTTGATCACCAAGTCTCAATAATAATCCAGACAATATTGGACCCCTTTGAATTTTCCCAGGTCATTTACAAGTACTGAGTATATACATGTGGTTCAGTTACAATATTTTAAATCATTTTCCCAGAATACTTCAGGGCTGTACTTTCCCCCACTGTCAGTTGATGTGTGCTCAGGGAATGCAAACTAATTACCCCAAGCAAAATATAATTAAGGCAAGAAACTTACTCTGAAAACATCACATACTACTTCTCACATACAAATAGAAATGATTTCTGAATTATGTTTGCATGATTCAATTTTACTGCATACAATTTGTGCAGATAATGGAGAGTGGACTATATTAATTGTTACTGATAAATAGAAAGTTAAGACCAGATGAAACTATGAAGTATACCAACAAATTCAATTAGAACATATTAAAGCATTTTTTTAAATATAAAAGGACATAGGCTATATATTTAAGTTTGTACAAAGCTGCATGCGTATGAATAGACATTCTGTGCACTTATAGAGTGTCTGTGTGCAGAGTGTGCTGCTGAGAGTTTCACAGAGGGTTAACTGGAAAATAGAACAAAATAGATCATAGGTAAAAAGTCACCCTGAAGGAACTTAGCACCTCTTGATTATACTGATTCTGAATCTTCACTGTTCACTTTCATAATATGAATTGCAAAGTTTGCATATGAAAATCAGATTCCTAAGTTGCACAGTAATATGAATGTCAACAAATTATAAATTAATCTATACAAACAAACTTTTCTATTCTCAATTCCCACATTTTTAAAAGACAGTTTTATTTATCTAAAGGCAAGGGACTTTAAATTTTATTTCCTTTCCTGCTTTAATATCTATCTAGTATAATTCATTATTCGAAACAATTTAATAAGTTTCTACTATGTACCAGGCAATATACATAGTGGAACACAGGATATAAAGTGATGAGCAAAAAAAAAAAAAAAATACTCTGATCTGATGGTAAATTAATTAGGAAAAAGGTACCTATTATATTTGTAAGTATCTACCAAGTAATTAGCTACATAAATTGCTATTAATGCCCTGAAACTGCCAATTAGGGAGGAGAAAGATATATGGGTTGAAGCGTGAATTTGACTTAGATTTTCGGTGTAGCAGAACTTCTATCACAGGTATATCAGGAGAGAAGTACATGACATGAAGATGAAACAGTTTGTATAAACCTATGAGTTAAAAGAAAGTAGAAAATGCATTTATATCTGGTATTCAGTTCTATAGATACTATTTTCCCTCCAGCTGAAAGCAGAGATTAAATTATGAAATCCATACACTGTCAAAATAATGATTCTAACAAAATGTGCAGTCTTTCATTATTCGAAAAAAAGTCTATTATGAATATCACATAAGGCCAGTTTTTAAATCACATGAAATGAGAATTGAAAAAGATTTTGTAGGTAATACTCTAATTTCTGGTATGGAATATTTTTCCATTGTTATAATTTTTAAATGCTTTGTCAAATTCAGTTTTAAAGACTCAAGCAAAGGGTCTAAGGAACATCGGCCTAATAGACTTAGCATTAGGAAATTAGGTTATATGTTAGTTACAGAGGGGAGAAAAGTGCCCACATATCTGTAGGTTCTCAGAACTGCTGCATATATGTCATCATTCCTGGAACACTAGCCAGAGACCGGCACTTCCTGGACTTTAAAGACCCAAACAGTTTACCAGAATTTCTGATCTCTTGATAAGATTCAAAGCTGTGCTTCTTGCAGGCGAGATGTAAAGGTTTCCAGGAACTGCTTGCCTTAATATTGAAAGATTGAAGTTAAAGGAAAGAAAAGGCTACAAAATGATGTTTTGAAGCATGTATACACTGTGAAATGCCTAACCTGAGCTAGTTAACATATGCATTATCTCACGTACTTATTATATTTTGATAAATATATACAATTGTATTGTGAATAATATTGCAATAAAGCTGAGGGAAAAGGCTAAATGTCTTGGTCCTCCAGCATTTAAAAATATATGTCACACATGCAATAATGATATTTTATTCATCAACAAATAAATAGGGGCAATGTTGGTATTTGAACCCAAGTTTCAAGTTAAGAGCCTAGGTTTTTACCCAATACACCTGGAAAACATTCAATGGGATATTTTATTAGGTAGATATTGTTACAACACTGTTTCACTTGTAATAGTTCCTTTGCCATGTTATGGATTTTTTTTTTTTAATTTGAAAGGTGTAGTACCAAGGAAAGTACTTCCAACTTATTCTCCGAGGTCATCACTACCACGACTCCAAAATCAGACAAAAGTGTTATAAAAATGGACAACCACAGATCTACCTCCCACAAAATTTAGATCCAAGATTTCGAACTAAAATTTAACGAATTAAATCCTATGATATATTAAAAGGATACTATGTCATTAATAAGCGGTGGTGTTTATTCCAATCATGCAGGGTTGTTTTGTATTAGAATATCAATGTAATTAATCATATTTACAAATTAAATCATCTCAATAGACAAAAAAATCGTTTGACAAAATCTAACATCCATTACTGACAAAAATTCTCAACAAACTAGGATTAGAAGTGAACTTCTTCAAATAGATAACGGGATTTTATAAAAGAAACTTACGGGTAGTATACTTACTGGTGAAAGACTGAAAGCTTTCCCACTAAGAACAGGAACAAGACAAGACAGGGATCTGCTCTTATCACTTCTATTCAATACAGTACTTGAAACTCTGGTTAGTGCCCTCAGGCAAGAAAAAGAATTAAAAGACAACCATGTTTAGAAAAGAAGTGATTTTCAGATGCCATGATTGTCTATATAGAAAATTGAATGGAATCTACTAAAAAGATACTAGAATTAGTAAATTTAGCAAGATTTAAGAATGCAATATAAATGTCATTTTTTTTTTTACTGGCAAATAACAATTGGAAACTAAAATTTTTTTAAAGTACCATTGAACATAGCATTGAAATATGAATTTATTGTTTGAAATATATGAAAGACCTGGACATATGGACATAACAACAATAAACATTGTGACAGACATTAAATAATGAAAGATAGGCCTTGTTTATGGGGTAGAAGGCATAATATTGTCAAGATGTCTGTTCTCTCCAAACTTATCAGTTCAATGAAATATCCTCTAAAGTCGGTCACACTTTCTGTAAATATTGGGAAAATGATTTAAAAATTCACATAGAAATTTGAAAGACCTAGAATAGCCAATAACAGCTTTGGATAAACAACAAAATTGGATAGATAAGAGTGCCTAATTTTAAGAATTGAGATAAAGTCAAAATAGTGTGATATTTATGAAATAGATAAATCAATAGGACAGAATAAATATTTTAGAAATAAATCTATAGCTAAATGAATAGCTTATTTGTGGCAAAGATATGAAGGCACTATAGTAGAGAAACAATAGTTTTTTCAACAAATGGTGCTGGAAAAATTAGACATCTATATGCAAAATATTCTTAGATTCATGCCTTATACCATACACAACAATTAACTCGATATGAATCCTCTAAAAAAAGATGAATCATAAAATGAAATGTAAAGTCCTGAACTATAAAACTCCTAGAAGAAAACATAAAACAAAATCTTTATAACATTTGGTTAAGCAAAGATTAAATTTAACACCAACATCACAGTCTATAAAAAAAATGATAAACTTCATCAAATATTAAACTTTCATTTTTCTAAAGACACTGTTAGGAGAATAAAAAGATAAGTCACAGATTGGGAAAAAAATCTTTATAAGGCTTTTATCTGATAAAATATTGGTGTATACTATATATAAAGAACACTCAAAACCCTCCAATAAGAAAAAAAAATTATCCTACACAAAAAGGGCAAAGGCCAAAAAGGGCAAAGGGAATATATGAATGGCAAATAAGGACATGAAAAAAAATTCAATATCATTAGTAACTGCAGACAAATATAAAGTAAAATGATAATGCAATACAATTACATATCTATTAGAATAGCTAGAATTTAAAAAAGACCGACTAGACCAAGTGTTGGCAAAGATGTAGGGAAACTGAAATTCTTATATATTACTGGTAGAAATGTAAAAAAAGTACAGCCACATTGGAAAAATGTGTGTGTGTGTGTGTGTGTGTGTGTGTGTGTGTGTGTATCACATAACCTATCCCTTCTACTCACATTTACCAAGAAAAAAGGAAGTTTATTTTCATGCTAATACTTGTACACAAATGATTATAGCATCTTTATTATAATAGAAAAAAACTTGAAGCTAAATGTCCATCAACAGGTGTATGAATAAACAAACTGTGGTATATATGTAAAATGAAATACTACTCAGCAAAAAAAAAGAGATTAATTATTGATAAATGCAACATGATGAATCTCAAAATAACTATGCTGGGTGAAAGAAGCCAGGCGAAAGAGTGTGTGCTGTATAATTCCATTTATATAAAACTGTAGAAAATCCAAATTAATCTGTAGTAACAGAAAGCAGATCACTTCTTTCTTAAGGGGGAGGAAAAACTACATAGAGCACAAGGGAACGTTTAGGAGAGATGTACAGGATCATTATTTTGATTGTAGTAATGTTTCCACTGACATATATATTTCATCACGTCTTTCAACCGTGTCGCTTATTGAACGTCAATTATATAATAATAAAAATTTTTTAAATCAGAATAAAAGAAATCTATTAATAAGGTTCTTAAAAAGATTAAATGATATACATTGGGTGCTGTTATGGACTGAATTGTGTTATCCCAAAATTTGAATATTGAAGCCCTAGTCTGAAATAAGACTGTATTTGGAGATAGGTCCTTTAATATAGAAGTAATTAGGGTTAAATGAGGTCCTAAGGGTAGGGCTCTAATACAATAGAGCTGGTGTCCTAACAAGGAGAAAACATACCAGAAATGCATACACACAGAGAAAAGGCTATGTGAGGACACAGCAAGATGGCAGCCATCTGCAAGCTAAGGACAGACGTCTTAGGGGAAACCAAACCTGCTGACACCTTGACCTTGGACTTCCACCCTTCAGAACTGTGAGAAAATTAATTTCTGTTGTTTAAGCCACCAGCCTTTGGTATTGTGTTATAGCAGACTAGCAAACTAATACAAGTGTTTTTAAAAATGCGAAAAAACCGCTAATCTGATTGACTTACTGAGATAAGCATGTAAATATACAATTATATATAATATACATAATTATAAATAAGCACTTATATAAATTTAATACAGGATTCAAAGATTTCCTCTGAATGAAGAAATTGTATTTTTAATGTTTAACTGTGCTGGTCCTTCGAGGTAGAGGGTGGAGAGCAATCAATCTCTCTCTCACAGTAACTTCCAATTTAGCTGTGTGGGCAATGACTAATTGCTAGATAAGAAATTAAGAAATAGAAATGGGCATTAAGTTAGTAAAATATAATTGTAAAAATGCATTAATTAAAACGTCTGAAACATTTTGTTATTTGGTTAACGAATACAGAAGATTTATAAGAACCTCAGTTTATATAGTAAACTTTGTTATGGTTAATCGTCGGACAAATCAGATCGGATTAATAGTTTTTAAAGTAATGCCATCTTTTTTTTCTTGATCTTAGAGAAGACTGAAAGATTACACAACTATATTTTATCTGTTTAAAATTATTCATTTTTATGAAGCATTTATTTTGATTGTCCTAAAATGGTTTTATGTGTCAAATCAATTGTTTCCGTAATATATTTAAGATACTAAGAATGCAAACACAGGTTTAACCAAACGGAATTATGATAACTTACTTCTTTTTAAAGGATTTATTCATTTGAACTTTAGATAATGCTACAAATCTTTGGACTCACTTACTTTACTGACAAGATAGGTAAATTTTTAAATCTTTCCTTTTGCCAAAGTTTTATCATCAACGATGATTGTGTAACTCTGTAATGTCAACTTAAATTTAATTACCACATCCTTAATAAACTTATGGACCTTGTATGAATATTAAATTTAGCTAATTAGGAAGTAATCTTTGCTTATAAGACAATTTCTAAGGACATTAAAACATGTAAAGAGAGAAAATGAAACAGTCACCAAGAATAGTTTTTATTTACACATTTTTGTCAATGAAGACATATTTGCTGCTTTAGTCTTCCAATAATGAGAAGAAGAAAATGGCAATCTGTATGTGAAAAAATAGTTTATATAATTTAAGCCACTTTATCTTTCAGTAATGCAATAATTCACTATTTTGTGCATTGGTTAGATACTTGTTTCAATGTATGTAAGAATATATCAACAAAAAGGCTAATAAATGTTATATTGTGGGCCACAATACAAAACGATAGGGTTTTTTTTTTTCTAAAATGTAGTAGAAACACCTACAGTTATTGATTCTCCTAAGGCATTGTTTATAAAGGCATCAACAATCTGGTATAACAAAAAAAAAAATCTATTCTTTAAAATACCCTAATTATCTTCCAAACTCCTTTAACTGCCATGTCCTGATTTCCACATTTGAGACGTGAAAGAACCTTGACACCTTCTCACCAGATGCTGTCTCATTACAGGCCTCTGAATGTTGAGAAGAGGTTGCCGTGTTGACAGCTGTTCTAGACTCTTAGACAAAACACTAATGATTGGGCTTATTCTAGCAGTTCAATTTCTAACTTGTTTGCAAACATCGGCTTCAGTTTTAGTTCTTGAGCCCCTATAGCCACTTACAGACAAAAACTTCCTAGTTGCTACCATTGTGAAAGGTCCTTTCTTCCCTAAGCTTCAGCATAAATAACTCATTAATTGATATTACCACCTTTAACAAGGACTCTTTACATTTTATAGTACTAATACCAGAAAATTATGGTATCTGCCTATGATGTTGTTAAGATATAAAGTAGATGACAACAGAACATGATTGAAAGCAATGATTAGAAAAAATAGTTTTTTTATATTAATATTCCAATGAGTTGAGGCTTCAATGAACCTGTTCTCATCTACTATCTCATCTTCAAATCTACCTTGTGAAATAGTCAAGACAGGGATTAATCATAGCATTTAGAAGTGAAAAAGTGAAAATAATCATAATAGGAATGTGCTCATAACATTCCTGCTTCTCCTACATTTTACTTATAAATAAACTGTTGAACAGAGGGAGATTAGTGACTGATAAAGCCAAGAACAGAACTAATCAATACATTCATCAATGTTGCACCTCGAGGCTCCCCAAGTTTGAATGAGTGAACTGGCAACAGATTAACAAATTGTCTGATTACTTTTTTTTTTTTTTTTTTTTTTGAGACAGAGTCTTGTTCTGTCGTCGCCCAGGCTGGAGTTCAATGGCGCGATCTCGGCTCACTGCAACCTCCGCCTTCCAGGTTCAAACGATTCTCCTGCCTCAGCCTCCCGAGTAACTGGGATTACAGGCGCGTGCTACCACGCCTGGCTAATTTTTTTGTATTTTTAGTAAAGACGGGGTTTCACCGCGTTAGCCAGGATGGTCTCAATCTCCTGACCTCGTGATCCACCCCACTCGGCCTCCCAAAGTGTTGGGATTACAGGCGTGAGCCACCGCACCCAGAGATCATCTGATTCTTTATCTCTAGCCCTTAAGTGGGCCTTTTCTCTATATCTTTGCATGACTGAGTTCGTCCTGTTTATGTAGGGATAGCATTAAGTGTCATGACTTTAAAGAGGCCTCTCTGGACCATAGATTTACCTCCTCCCTGTAGGTGTAATCTTATTATCCCCTACCCAGTTTGATTTCTCTTTGCCTAGTACATCATTCTCTGAAATAATCTGGTTAATTTATTTAATTATTTATTGGCTTTTTCTCTTAATACCCCATGAAGACAGAGATGTTATTGGAGTTGTATACTGCTAAATTCCTAGGATCTTATTGGAGTTGTATACTGATAAATTCCTAGTATCTTGAGCAGCGCCTGGAACATCCTATTTTTCAAACAAATAGTTTCTAAGCAAGTGTCCTGAGGTTTGGTGCCATCCCATTGCCTTCTCATTCATCAGAACTGCCTTTTCTCACTTGATACACAGGGTCAAATAAACCACTAGAGCAGAAAATTCAACTCTCAACCTCTTGAGCTCTATCTCCCCCCAGTCTTCCCACATTGTCTCATTTCCCCATGACAGAGGTGACATCAGAATTTATCTGTCAAGAGCTTTCCTAATCTTTTTTTTTTTTTCCAGGGGATCAAAATAAAACTCAGAAGTTAAATGACTTGGTTTGGGGTTACACAGTTAGTAATTGCAGGAGTCTAAACAGAACCAGGTCTTTTGCCTTCTCTTTCTAACAGATTACACTGACTTAATGCCATGAGGGAAAAGCATTCCTAGTGAGTGTTTGGGTAGGATATAAACCTCTAAAAATTGAGGGTTTTATATTGCTCTCTGCTATCACACAGGTCTTCATTATTCTGACACTCCTAAGTAAGATATTCAGATCCAGCTAAAAGGAAATTTTTGACCTGTCTACTCTCATTTTTATGAAGGAGAAAAGAAAGAAAGAAATTCAACCTTACCTTAGAGTTAATAGTATTTTAGACTTGTCTCTAGATATTTAGATGAAAGATTTCATTTCAATTTTACAGATAAGTAAATCAAGATGCAATGTATTTAAGTAACTAACTTATCCTACATCACATAGCCAATAAGTTGTCACCAGAATTTGAACCAAGTTAGTGTTGAAATATGAAAAATATAACTCTTAGATGTGAAATGAAACTGACATATCCACAAAATAAGAGTAAACTTGATCATTTCATGCAGATGAGCACTTTCTATCCTTAAGAAAAATTTTAGCATCTCTCATTGTTCCTTTCATTCAATACCTTTTATTATCAGGAAGTTCTAAGTTATATCTAAGTTAAATCTCTCTAGTTACAGTTAAAAATCTACTACTTCTCATATGAATGAGTAACAGCTGGTCACTTTATAACCATACACTTCATGACCCTTCATACGCTAGAAGATCATTATTAAGTCACCCTTCAGCTTTCTATGATGGAACAGGCCCTATAAAAGTACCATCAGGCACAAAAATTATTAGAAGCACCGCAAGGCACCATCATTAAAGTCACCATCTGGCATAACTGGAAATGTCAGCAAATAGGAAGTGCATATTGATGGGCATACTACTGTTTATGCCTTTTAACTGGTCAGTAATGTCAATTATAATTACATCTTCATTGTAGGATTTTATAGCTTGTATGGATAAATGAACATGCACTCGATTAACTAACTACAGACTAAATGGAAAATGGTTCTCAGGCTAATGTTTCCAAAAGCTATTAGTACTCTTTTTGTTGACTAATATCTCCAAAATCATTAAGTGCTGAGCAAACAGACAAATTGGCTCTATCTCGAAAGAGAACCCAAGCTCTTTTCTAACTTATACAAGTGATTTCTTTAACAGTTAAAAATTTAAGAAACTTTTTTTGCTTTCAGAATTTTTCTCTATTTTAATGTGGACAATATTAGATTCGCATAAACTAATGAATGTTAATAATGCCTGTCAATCACTATTAGTTTAGTCTAAAAAGTTTTGCTATTAAAATTATAATTACTTATAAGCAAATAATATTTAATAACTGAAAATATATCGCTTTTAAATTTAGCTTAGTTCTACGTGTGCTAATTATATCACAGAACTTGAGTTATACTGTATATAAGTGTACACTGTACACTTCTCTGAAAAGTTTATCACAGAAATGATATTCTTATATTTCATTCGTATAGATTACATTGCATATACTATGTAATAAACTACTTTTAAAGACACATAAAGCTCTGTGGAGTAAATTTAACAGTGTTGGTGTGCTAGCATACCTGTCATAAAATACTGTTTTTCTAAGTTTTATTTTTTAATTAAACTTTTTTTTTTTTTTAGAGACAGAGTTTTGCTCTTGTTGCCCAGGCTGGAGTACAATGGTGCAATCTCAGCTCACTGCAACCTCTGCCTCCCGGGTTCAAGTGATTCTCCTGCCTCGGCTTCCCAAGTAGCTGGGATTATAGGCACGCACCACCACGCCTGGCTAATTTTGTATTTTTAGTAGAGACCGGGTTTCATCGTGTTGGTCAGGCTGGTCTCATACTCCTGACCTCGGGTGATCCGCACACCTCTGCCTCCCAAAGTGCTGGGACTACAGGCATGAGCCACTGCGCCCAGATGGAATTGGTTCTTAGGTTCTATGATATTCAAAATATGTCTTTTACAAGGTTTTAGTGTTATTTCACGTTTTTCTTTTCTTTCTTTCTTTCTTTTTTTTTTTTTTTTTTTTGAGATGGAGTCTTGCTCTGTTGCCCAGGCTGGAGTGTAGTGGTGCAATCTCAGCTCACCGCAACCTTCACCTCCTAAGTTCAAGCGATTCTCCTGCCTCAGCCTCCAGAGTAGCTGGGCTTACAGGTGTATGCCACCATGCCCGGCTAATTTTTGTATTGTTAGTAGAGACAGGATTTTGCCATATTGGCCAGGCTGGTCTTGAACTCCTGACCTCAAGTGATCTGCTCATCTCAGCTCCCAAAGTGCTGGGATTACAGGCATAAGCCATGTTATTTCATCTTCTTAGTTCACTCTTACCACCTATTAGTCTTCATGTTTCCTCCCATGCCGGGTTCACTCTCCTTCCTTGGCAGTATTCAAAGATTTTATTTACATTCACATTATTTCACCTTTCTTTCTAATATGTTTGGAGGGAAATCTGTTTTCTTAAATACAGTGAAAGCACATTATATTGAAATAATTAGTGGAAAGCAGTTTTTAATACAAACCTATATTACCATGTCGTGTGCTCTATTTACAAAGATTAACTGGCAATTTTTCAGTTCTCCACAAAAATGTTAAAAGTTAGCAAGCTATAAATGAGATTCTCTATTTCTTACTTCACAAATGTATCAAGGGAGTGATTAGGCACATGTAGAATATCCCTGCTTTATTAAAGGGTAAGTGATAACTATAGATAAGAGAATATAAACACACACATATATGGTTGTCTATACATATGACACGTACATGTGCTTGATTTCAGGCCATTTTTGTCCTCCACTCTCTTGGCAGCAATATGATATTAACGCATAGAAGATACTTTTCCCATCAACTATAGATGGCTGTTCTTCTCCGTTTTCCTGCTATTTTTTACTTTAAGAGGACTGGGATTACTATGATCCACTTGAAGATGAAAACAGTAACAAGTAAAAAGACGAGCTGTGCTGGTTTCTCTCTATTTTCCAGCCTCTACTCCCACCACCACCACTGTTACAAGAAAGATCCTTTGTTCTGTTCTGTTCTTTGCCCCAGGAAGCTGATCCCTGTGGATTACACACCTGAGCATCCTCCTACTAGCTTCTGGTTAAATTCAGCCAGTGAAGATCAAGAGTGATCAGAGGACTGAAAGAAAGAGACTTAGGTTTTTCTTCTCCCCTCCTTTTCTGCTCTGGGTCATATTTTCTGGAACATGCTGCATTCCCCCAGGATTATAGCACTTTTTAGGTTGTTCCATGTCTCACTGGGCTCTGGTAGAGAAATTTTCTCCTCTTGCCCTTTAGGCTTAGGAGTGGCAAGGGCTTCCTGTGGTTTCTAGGCTCTTCAGTGCCTCAACATCCTTTACTGGCTCCTCTAAATTCTCTCACCCCTTTGAAAGCAGTCTATCAAATTCTTAAACCATGTGAGGTTCCTATGAGGACCCTGATACAAGAGCTGATTTTAGAGGGATAAAAATTGTTATTTTCTTGTCCTTTATAGTCCAACAATAGAGTTGTAGGAAACCCTGTGTTACATAATTTGTTTATATTCATGTTCACAGTTTTACGTATTAAAATTATGCAAAAGTAAAATATGTATTAACAGAGAGCATTTTTTTTAATAAATAAAAAAGTCTCAGGAACTTAATGTCAGGCACTCCTGCTAATTTCAGCTGACTTAGGGGATTTCTAGCCCAGTGTTTTCCATTTACTTTAAAAAATCAATTATGTGTCTATCCATAGTTGCAAGTACATTTTATTGAGATTTTGATTTGAGGCACATTTTTATAGCCTGCTATTAGAAAAGGCATTTGCCTTGCTATGTCAAATAATGTCAAATGAGCAAATGGAGATAATATTTTGAAGTACGGTCACATACCACATAATAACATTTTAGCCAATGATAAACTGCATACACAACAGTGGTCCCATAAGTTTATAATACCGTATTTTTCCTTTTCTTTTACCTTTTCTATGTTTAGATACACAAATGCTTCTCGTTGTGTTATAACTGTCTACAGCATTCAATACAGTAACATGCTGTGCAAGTTTATATCCTAAAAGCAGTAAGTTATGTCATATAGCCTAGCTATGAAATAGGCTACACCACTAAGTTAGTGTAAGTACACTCTATGATGCTCACAGAAGGACAAACTCATCTAACAATGAGTTTCTTAGAATGTATCCCTGTCATTAAGCATGCGTGACTGTAGTTGCTTTCTTGGCAATATCCATTCAGGAATAGTCTCAATTCTAGTAACAGTTGTGAATTGGGCCTTGTGGTTTCAGAGATATACTCCAGAGTAACATCTGTCTATGTACTAGGATATAATCTGGTGTCCAATGAGGTCAGTCTAATTCAGATACATGCTGATCTTTATGCCTGAGGTTCCTAAACTTGTCACCTTTAATAATCAAAAATAACTTGAAAATCCAAAGTAGCTGTGTAGATAGGCAATAATCAATTTGTGCAGATGAATCTCCAAAGAATCCTGGGGAATTAATCTACAGGAGGAAAGACGTTTTGTTGGTGGAAAGCAGCCCTGGCCTTAGGAGAAGCCACGTGGAGAGAATATATACTGTTTCTTCTGTTCTGGGGCTGGGAGTGGCAGCATGCTGGTAATCCACTTGGCTCCCAGTATTGAACTGAAAGGTAGCCTGAGGCAATCCATTCCACATACCAGTTGAAGGAATCTGTCATCTTTGGAAAGTCTGGTATTCATGACGATAAAGAGGTATCTATAACGCCAACAAGAGGAAAAGTATCCCTGTGCATGAAATACCATTATCTTAGATTCAAGTGATGGATGTTCTCAGTGGAACAATAATAGAAATGACTATACATAAGTTCCAAAGCAGAGAAGAAAAGTAGAGTGACTCTTATAGAAATAATACAAGGAGGCCGGGCATGGTGGTTCACGCCTGTAATCCCAACACTGTGGGAGGCCGAGGCAGGCGGATCACTTGAGGTTGGGAGTTTAAGACCAGCCTGGCCAACATAGTGAAACCCAGTCTCTACTAAAAATACAAAAAAGTTAGCTGGGCATGGTGGTGGCACATGCCTGTACTCCCAGCTACTCGGGAGGCTGAGGCAGGAAGATCACTTAACCCTGGGAAGCAGAGGTTGCAGTGAGCCGAGATCTCTGTCCCCCAGGTGGAGTGCAGTGGTGCGATCTCTCAAAAAAAAAAGTGAGGAATTCCTGAGGGGTGGAAAGAATGTTCAAGAGAAATGTAACTTGCTTGGAATACAGCATTTTTTGTTGCTAGGTCTCAGAATAAAAAGGGTTTTTTTTGTTTTGTTTTGTTTTGTTTTTTTGGTGGTGGTGGTGTTTTGTTTTACTATTGTTAGGCTATGGTATTCATACTACTAGTTTTCCTTCCTCTGACCACTATGGCCTGAGAAACCACCATTACCTATGAGATCTAAATTTCTCTAGACTCTGGTAGCCAGTTGACATTAAGAATATTACGTGAATAGTTGTAATTAACATTTTGCTAGCCTAATAACCTTTGCACCCACCTGCATAAAGCAGAACTTAATCTTCTCAATGGTTTACCTTTATTTCAAGTGAGAGAAGACGGTAGAGTGTAAGGGACATCTTATAGCATAAACAGCTTTCTCTTGTATTTCTATTCTACAACTCCTTTATAGCACTACCTTGATCCACTTGAGACTGCTTATGTCCTCCTTGAAAATGGCAAACCCCTGCCCAAGGGACTACTCTTGATGTTCCCCAAACTACCAAGGAAGAAGGAGGCCTGAGGCACTGCGTCGGCTTCAGTCTTTGCTTCCCAAGACAATTCAGAATTAGTTACAACATGATGAGAATTCTATACTTCAGGAAAGAACAGGTTCGCAGCAGGCCTGCAACCTCCAGGAAAGAACAAAGGAAAGTGACCCTCTTAAAAAAAGAGTTGGGATTTAAAAGCAATCAGTCAAACAAAGTAGTATCTGTGCTATGTATAGACAAGATTCTCCAACACAGAATTTCTCCTTTCCTTCTGCAAATAAATCCCTGGAGGCCAACTGAAATAAATTGGTAGACTAGTGTCTCTCACAAATCTATTTAGAGAGGTTTTTTGAATAGTTGGAAGATGCTTGCAAAGAATAGAATGGGCACCAGGAACTTGAGGACTGAATGGGTGTGAGGTTGTGAGGGTGGGAGGGAGGAGCAGTGGTGGTTATGAAGTGGGCCATGTCACCCAGGTCCACTGAACAGGCATCAGGCAGGAGCTTAAGGATCTACTGAACTGTTTTCCTAAGGGACACAGACAGTGACACCAATACGTGGATGAGAACAAACAAAACAATGAATTGTCAAATTACAGACACACTTGTCAGTGCTCTTAACCAGTATCAAAGTTTACTAGTAAGTTCAAAGATACATTGTTTATTCTGATCTGCTCCCTTAGTATTTGTTGAGAGAATAACTATATTTCAGCAGGAAAAAGAAATCTGAGCAGGTTTCTGCTGTATTTCCTCAGATCACAAAACTTTCTCTATATTTTGTTTCTTTTTCCCATTTCTATTTCTAATACTCAAAGTGTTTCCCTTCACTCTATTTGGTCATTAATCAACTTTGTCCATCTATGCATGTCAGAATTGTCTGGATTTTTGGATTGGAGAAAGTACTCAGCAATTTATAAGTCCAATTCATATTTCTTTGCTACGAGAAAGTTACACAGCTTGAATCACATGAAGTACAACTAAATTCCTAATGCAGCATTTTTCATGTGAAAAAAAGTAATGAATTATTTCACGTCCAAAATCCCTGTTGCTAGTCTTGTGATTGCCAAAAGCCTTAAGTGACTTCACTAATGGAAGTCTCAAGGCGCTTCTTCCTGCTCCTTAGCTCAATTAGTGTTATCCTTTGCCTTCCAACAGTGAAATACATTTATTTCTGGTCCACACATTATGTAAATAACTTCTCTTCATTTGCAGATGGCCTTCATATTGTCATGCTGGTTTGTGTGTGTGTGTGTGTGTGTGTGTGTGTGTGTGTGTGTGTGTGTTTGCCATGCTATTTTAACTTTTATAATCAAAGAGGGTAACAAATATTTATATGTCATCAGTCATTAAGTCATTCACAGATTTGATATTTAGGTACTATTTTAGTAGTAGAGATATAGTGGTAAAGTACAATTCACACTATCAAGGAATTTACAACATGCGTATCAGACAGAATAGGCAGATTTATGTTGCAGTAACAAAGAACTTCAAATTATCCATGCCTTAAAATAATGGTTTATTTCTAGCCAATGCTATGTGGAGGACCCGAAGATCTCATTGTAGTAATTTAGGATCTTATGGAGATGGATGTTCTGTTTCAATGCATGCTTTCATGATCATTTAGATAGGAAAAAGGAATGCAGTAAATCATACACTGGCTCTAGAATCCTCTGCCTACAAGTGATACAGGTTACTACTTCTCATACTTCATTGGCCAAAAAAAGCCATGCAGGCATATCTAATACCCAAGAAAGCAGGACTTCCTAATGAACATAGGAATACAACATTATATTCATCAATATCAGATTTTTGACCACCTATATCATACTATCAAAACATCAGCTGATACTACATCTATAATATAGTAGTCTATTTAAATGTCTTGTTCATAGATTATGAAGATGGCTAAGACACAATTGCTTATTTTATTTTCTTTACTTTTTTGGAGCTATACATTGCCCAGTTCACACAATTTTGTTCTCTCTTTTTCAGTTCTGTGATTCAATCACTCAATAACAACAAATTATAATCCTGCATATATGCTGGGGATCCCAGTCTCGAGCTAGTATTAGATCAATATCTTTTTTATCCTTTTTCCTGGTAATACAACCAAGCTTGATGTCTAGACTCAGCATTTCTGTAGACAACTAAGTTGTTTCCATTTCTAACTTTTGCCATCAGGGCAAAATCCAGATAGTGTTCTTGCTCAAACAATCATTAAGCCAAACTAAACATGGAGAAAAATCATTTTGGCTGTTTGTGGAAGTTTATAACTATGGCAAGATGTCACTTTAATACTGACACAAATATAAGAAAAATAGTAATTTAATATTTAATAATATTTAATATCTTGCTTTTTCAGTTCATAATTATGCACTGGAGAAAGATAAGAATAAATGTTGATCTGTCTGAATGTATAACACAGTAAGAAAGGATCTAACTGGGTCATAATGAAGCCGTTTGCTCACTTCTGTAAATTATTTCTTCTCTTTTTTTTAAGAAGCAGCACAGTATAGGAGGAGAAGCCTGGATTAATGAAATAGACACACCAATTACTAGCCATGCAAACTATTTGAGATTCAAGTTTCCTCGTCTTTAGAGTACAAATAATAATAGGTAACTCATAGAATTGTAGTGAGAATGTTTGTAAAACACTTTGCACAGCATTTCGGGACAATAACTAGGTTTCCAAAATTCTTATTCTTTCATTTTCTCTAAACCGAACTAACTATGAAGTTTTGAGGACAGCTAATAAGTAATGTATCTGGAAATAGAAAAAAAATACACTCAGGAAAAAATTATTCCAAATGAACAACTCCACCTTCTTCCCTAACAAATGACAAATATTCTGGGTGAGGAATGTAAACATGCCAGTAAATAGAAAACAGGAACAGAATGAAAGACATCTTGCTAGACTCCCAATAACTGTCCATGAGAATGTATACACCCTGGCTCAGACAGGAAATATAAACACCAGGGATTTCGCAGATGAGCCAGTCTGAGGTTTTATCAATTTCTTTGCTAAAGAATAATATATGGTATTACACATAATAATAGCATATATTATTATATAATACCAATAGATATTACTATTCCAATAGTTTCCTTCTCAAATATTTTATTATCACATTATCTTTAATGAATGAATCGGTTAAATTCTTTGTTGTGTATGGGCAAAGTACATTTTTACATGTCTTTTGTATACTAATACCAACACCTACACTTTCCAAAATTTTATTATTATTTTTAGTATTGTCCTTGTCATATTAAAATTTAATATATTCTTTGTAGAATCTAAAACTCAGGAAGCGAAGGTACACTTAGTTTACTCTTAGACAGTACTTTTCTAGTTTTTACCCAAATCTTAAGATTTTTGATCTACAAAAGATGATCATATGAAATCTTAACCATTCTTTAAGAACCACCTTAAATATTATCATGAAACTGACTACAATTTAAATGGTGGCAAAAGATCCACACTTATTTAAATTTGTAGATTTCTTCCATTTAACTTATACTACCAAACATTTCAGTGATTTCTTTGTATATTTGTTTCCTACCAGGATGTAAATTTTTAGAAGGCACATATATATATTATATATATAATTTGTATATATAATTTATATATATTTATAATAATATATATAAGCTATATATATTTATATATAATATATTATATATATTAGCTATATATATTTATATAATAATATATTATATATTAGCTATATATATTTATATATAATAATATATATAAGCTATATATTTATATATATTATATATTAGCTATATATATTTATATATAATATATTATATATTAGCTATATATTTATATATAATAAATAATATATATATTAGCTATATATATTTATATATAATAATATATATAAGCTATATATTTATATATAATATATTATATATTAGCTATATATATTTATATATAATAATATATTATATATTAGCTATATATATTTATATATAATATATTATATATCAGCTATATATATATATTTATATAGCTTTACATATCTATTTCTCACATAGCGCAGTAAACTACCCTGTACATTTTTGTTAAATGAGTAAAATCTTGAACACGTGGGAGCTAGGAAATATCTTCAAGATGCTGTTTGTATTGTCTTAATCCTAGGATTTGAGACTAATTGGTAAACAGAAGAAATAAGGATTCCTGTTTAAATATATAGGGAAGACAGGATGGGAAACAATAAGGAAGTAAAAAGAACCAGAAACTTCTTTAGGGTGGATAATCAAGGAAAGGAGGAGATCTGCCACTCATTTTAATGATTAACTATTGTTATTTGTTGGTCCCATCAGTCTTCCTCTCTGAGAATAGCAAAACAGTAAAGGTAGAAATAAATACAATTATGTTGCAGAGACAAGCTAGAATGGAAATGAGGAGAGAGGTCTGCTATGTTAGATATGAGATGCCCTGGGCATATAAACTGATGGTATTATTTATTTTCTCTTTTGTTCACTTGTTCAGTTCAATAGATTACAAGCTAATACGACTGAAAAGACTATAGTTTAAAGAATGAAGTTGAATGTGTTTCTAACTCTGTTACTGACACACCCTAGAATTTCTCATGCAAGTCAACAATAAACATCTCACATCTTGAATTTTGAACCAGAAATCATCTTTTGAAATTGGTAAATGTTTATGTAAGACTGAAGTGGAACACACTTTTAAATATTACTTTTGATTAAATCCCTTATTCTTATTTTATTCATCCAATAGTTTTCACAATTTCTCCCTGTAATTATTGAGACTATCCTAAAAAATTAAAATGCAGTTTATTATATTTTCCCTTAGAGAAGAAATCACGATGTCACAGCTTCAAATTTTTCATCTCTCTATGGGCTAATTTCTCCTTAGTTTTCTCTTCAAGCAATCAGAAATTAAAGACATTTGAGAATACTCTTTAGGGAGAATAATGGCTGTACTGCTTATTATATACCTTTAAAAGCTTATTTTATCAGAATGTTTTCTAGATTTTTTTTTCATTTATGCATTTGGATGCTCAACAATAAAGTTCAACACTCCATTATTATCTGATAATCCAAGCCAGAATCATCCTCTAATTCTGAATTTTCACTAATTCTTATCTGTTACTACTTCTACATGTCTCTAAAAAGTCATTTCACTTTGTCCCTACAGCTACTGCTTTAGGTCAGTATTGCATAAAATCTTTCTTGTGTTATTTTAGTTGCCTTCTAACTGGTTTCCAGTTTTCTGTGTTTTCTCCTTTCAATAATCAGGGAAAGAGTTCAGTATAGCCAGTGAAAAATATTTTCTAGGGCTCCCAGAATTAAATAATATTCCTATCCTATTATAATAAATGTTCTGTACATTACTTTGCCTGTAGCAGTAAAAATAAAACAAAAGTAGTTTACAGAGTATTACTAAAGAGTATAAAAATTCATAGGAAAATGAAATTCATTGCCAGATTCTTAGACATACAGGAAATAATATAATCTGACCACTTGTTAGAGTGGAAACATAATTTTTGGCCTCTAATTAAAGACAAAATTTTTCCCCCTAAGTCTCTGAGAAACAAATATCTTACTTAATAACCTTCTTTGGAAAATATATACATTAGTAATAAAAATAAATTTAATGTTCAGAAAGTTTTAATTTTTACTGGAAGTTTACCCTTTTTAAATAATTCACACAATAATGCTTTATATTTATATATGGTTTTGCATACTTACATTTTCTTATGTGATCATCAAAATAGCTTTATTGGTAAGTACATGAAATATACTATTTTTCTGGAAATGGCTGAACAAGGGGGTACACTTCTAATTTCCATTTTTATTTTATTTTTTTCTTTTTATTATTATTTTTTTTTATTTTAAGTTCTGGGATACATGTACAGAACGTGCAGGTTTGTTACATAGGTATATATGTGCCATGGTGGTTTGCTGCACCTATCAACCAAAACACATATCCTTCTATACTTTTGATTTTTTATACATCAATAACTCACATTTTCTGAAACCCTAAGGAAAAATTGGATTTGCAGCTGCAAAGACAAATTTATTACTGAGTTACCCCTTATGTATTAAAATTGTATGCCACCTTGCTGACAGAATTTTACTGAAGTCTTCTAATTTTACTAAGTTAACATTATGTGATACAATTTTAAAAATTACATTTACTAGTATTTCCAAAGCTAACAAATAATTTAACAATATTAAATTAATATTCATTTTATGTGTAGCTGAAGATATTTTTTCAAAATCAACTTGTGTAAAGTAATTAAAAGTTGATGTCAAACCTTAAGATGATGTCAGGATAATGTTCCTTGACTCCTTTCTTCCATAATTCCTACAGGAACATAAAAGGACTCCAACTCCATCACCATCAGACATTCAAACACTCAACTACTTTCTAGAATCCAGGAAGAAATTAAAATTACCATAGCTGATAAAACTGTAGTGAGAAACACAATGGACTAACCTACATATCTCACCAGAACTAAAACAAAAGCACTAACCATAGAAAAAGGGTAAACACATATTCTCTCTCTCTACCTAACTGCCTCCTGGCTCAGTAACCCAGGGTCTATGCCAACAGAAAACCAAGAAGTAGGCTCTTCAAGGTATAGGAGCTGGATTTTGAAGCACTTAGTGTGCCGATCCCTCTCAAGTGTCAGTCCTCCCTGTTCTGTCAATACATTCCCTCCCAAATCAATTCACTGGCCAGGCGCATTAGCTCTTGCCTGTAATCTCAACACAGGGAGGCTGAGACAGGTGGATCACCTGAAGTCAGGAGTTCAAGACCAGCCTGGCCAACACGGTGAAAACCCATCTCTACAAAAAATTCAAAAACTTAGACAGGCATGGTGGTGGGTGCCTGTAATCCCAGCTACTTGGGAGGCTGAGGCAGGAGAACTGCTTGAACCTGGGAGGTGGGGGTTGCCGTGAGCCGAGATCACATCATTGCACTCCATCCCGGGCGACAGGGCTATCTCAGAAAAAAAAAAAAAATCAATTCACAAACTTCAACTCTGAGCAGGAAATAGGAGTGTAGAAATGGCATGTTACATGCTGAGAGAGAGTTCTCTCATAGATATATATAAAAGCAAGAATGAGCATAGGAAACCCAATGGCATATGTGCAATGTAGGAATTTGAATCTTGAGGGTAATTTTTATTTCCTGTTTAAAAAGTCAAAGTCTGGAAACAAAGTAAAGTAATGGCAAAATCTTAAAGCAGAGTCACAATGAATTAATGTTTGCTAGAAAAACCCCAACATTAGTTATAATTTTGGGGTGGTAAAAATTTCAGAATACTCAGCAGAACACCATTCCTTTAGCCCAGAGGACTCTTGTTCTAGATCTCAACTTCTACCCTTCAGAGATATCTGCAAATGGAAAGATAGTTATATTATCAAACTTCATTGGATAGGTTATTGTATTATGTATCTATTAAAAAAACGAAGATGTTTTATGTCACCTATCATTTGCTTTTAAATTTATAAAAAATATGGATATAAAAAGTATGTGTAACAGGATATCAATTTTTATTTGCTCTCAAGTTTTATAAAACATAGGAATATAAAAGTTTATGTGACTTTATAAATGCTTCCATATAAATCCATGTGATAGATATTAATAACATATGAACAGGTTTTTCTGGATGATAAAATAAAGTTTCATTATTACTTCATATATATAAAATATACGTATTTTCCAAATTGTGATATTTACATAGTATATATAGAAAACATGAATATTTAAGCTAAAAGGCACTTTGGAGAAGAACAGTCTTGCTTTCTTCTTCAGGGTTGAGAAAACAAAACAGATGGCAGAAAGAAGAACCAAAGTCACATGCATAGTATCTGCAGAGTCAGAAATGAAACAATGGCCCATCTATCATTTTTATATTGTTTCGTACAATATAAAAAATTTAAATGACATAAACATGTAGATTTTCCTACAGTTCGATTCATTCAAATAGTAATATCCTATCATGGATAGGATCTTAGTCAACAGGGAGCTGACAAATCTTTGTGCATATTCTCGTCATTAATTACACAAAAATTGTGCTGTAAAAAAGTTTACTATTCAATAGACAGTCTAGTTATCATTTGTTTAACATCGCTGAGAAAAGAATATAGGTAAAAGCTTATGTAGGAACTTTTTCCATGAACTTAAGAATGAGTTAACAAAAATCACTAAGCTATTTTACCTTTAAAACCCTCATTGGTGTAATTTGTGATTGTGATTGGTTAGGCAGAGTTCAGCAACCATAATAGTTATTGAAGTCTGCACAAAAAATGTTGCTCTAATATGTGCATGTATTTTGCTTGTTTAGTGTATCTACAAATACACCAGTTGTCATAACTAATCAATCAGTTTATCTATTAAAAGGTTTTTTAATGTGTTTATTTATGGCTAGTTCTGTCAAGTGTTTGAAATACTGGAAATCAGATCTTCTCACTGAATATAGGAAGGATTGCAGTTTGAATATAATCATTAAATGACTGAAATCACATAAATCACATTAATATATTTTTTTCTCTTTTTAACCAGTTGAATTAAGCCTCTTTTATCATGTATGTTTCTTTACCCCGCTGCTATTAAACAAGGCAATCCTTTTATCTCTTAAATAATTATGGAATTTCAGTGCAGCACTGTGTAATTTGAAGTCAAGAGCAGCTGAACTCAAATCATATAATAAAAAGCAAAATATATAAATTATGCCATTTAGCAATTATTCAGTGTCCTTATGTCTCATTTTTTAAGTGCATAGAAAAGGTGAAATTTGTTCTTTTATAGACAAATCAGTGAAGCAGAGAAAGCTTGTGATAGAAAGCAGCACTACTGGCACCAACCAGGTCTCTCCTGAGTCTATGCTCACCTCACTCCAAGATACTTGTCTTTTCAATTTTGTTCTCTCTGTGGCCCATCTTGAGACACTAAGATATCACTTATTCTGAGCCTCTTTTAAGTATATACAAAGGTAATCCAATGTCGTGGTGTAAGTTATATCTCTTTTCTTTTTTCTTAGATGTAGTACTAAGCAGCTACAGTATACATTTCCCTTTAGGCCTCTTTGCACAGTCGGAATCCTTCTGTCTGCAAACTGTAAGAATATTCCTCTGATTTCCAGTCTCGGAGAACATTACAAGTAGCATTGAATACAGATAATTTTGAGTGCCAGCTCCTCATTTAGAGATTATAAAATAACAACAACAACAAAATCAAGACCTAAATTGGTGAACTGTAACTCAGCTGGAAGCATCAATCTGGAGTTTTTATAGTCCAGAGTGGTTGCTGTTTATTTTAAATTACTTCTTATAGCCAGTTTTCACTCCATGTTCGTCATAAGATTCTAGAAGTATACAACTATTCTACATATTGGTATTCTTCACAGTGCTTTATAATAAAATCAGTGCTTAGTAGTCTTCACTAAGTGAAGGAAAGAAAAGGAAATGAATAAAAGACAAAATGTATGAAGTTATCTCTCTTCCACAGAAGGTGCCTAAATATGTATCACATTTAGATTAGTCGTTATAAAACAACATATTTCTCACATATCACCTTAGCAAAATCTCATGTTAGTAAACTCAGAGTGATCTTCTTCATTTACTTTTTGTAAATGTCTAACATAATTTTACAGTTGATTAGCCTGGAGGAGGAAAGAATTGGAAGGAAAATAATTTAATTAGGGCAGTATATGCTCATTAATTGATACTAAAGCAATTTAAATCAGGAAAGTCATTAATAAGTTTTTATTTTTGTTTTTTTGTTTGTTTGTTTTTAGAGATGGGGTCTCACTATGTTGCCCAGGCTGGACGTGAAGCCCTGGGCTCAAGCAATCTTCCTGCCTTAGCCTCCTGAGTATCTGGGACTACAGGTGCACACAACTGCACCCAGCTCAGGGCCGTAGTTGATGAGACACATGAGAGATCCGAGGGTAATTCTTAAAAAGCAAAGGTAATTAATCGAAAGACAATTGGAAAAATTAAGTGTTGCCTTTTGTTATCATCACTTTTTGGGGCTATTAACATGCTTAAAAAGTACAAGTTCTTCATAAAATGACAAAACTAAACATAGCCTCTGAAAATGACAGGAAATCAAGAAGGCAAAAGATGTATTGTTCAACATTTTAGCATTTTGCTAGAACAAAACAAATTTAGTTAAAAATATATGGCAATAATAAAAAGGAATGAGATCATGTCCTTCGCAGGGACATGGATGAACCTGGAAGCCATCATCCTCAGCAAACTAACACAGGAACAGAAAACCAAACACTGCATGTTCTCACTTATAAGTGGGAACTGAACATTGAGAACACATGGACACAGAGAGGGTAACAACACACACCAGGGCCTGTTGAGGGGTGGGAGGTGAGGGGAGAGAACTTAGAGGGCAGGTCAATAGGTGCAGCAAACCACCATCAGTATACCTGTGTAACAAACCTGCATGTTCTGCACATGTATCCCATTTCTTATTTTTTTTTAGAAGAAATAAAGAATTTTAAAAATACATGGCAATATAAGCACATGAGGTTTAACATTGTTAGCCATTGGGACATGAAAATTAAAACTATAATAACATTCTACTATGTGCCTATTTGAATTGCTAAAGTAAAAATTACTGACAATGTCAAGTGCTGGAGAATATGTCTGAACAACTAGATCTCTCATATATTGCTGGTGAAACTGTACAGCCTCACTCATAAAGTTGGTCATTTTAAAATAAAGTTAAACATGAATTTACCATAGTTACAACAATCACACTCCTAGGTATTTATCCTAGAAAAATTAAAATTTATGCTCACACACAAAAACCTATAGACAGATTTTCATAGCAGGTTTGTAACAGCCCCAACTAAAAATGATCGAAATTTTCTTCTAGAGGTGAAGGAATAAATATCATCTGGTACAGCCCCACAGTGGGATACTACTCAGCAATAAAAAGGAATACACCACTGATGTACACAAAAATGTGAATGGATCTCACGGGCCTTATGCTGACTTGGAAAAAAAAAGCCAATTTCAAAAAGTTTTTAACCATAAAACTATACTTATTAAATACTCTTAAAGTAAAAAAATACAGTGAAAAAGAACAGATCAGCAGTTGCCAGAAGTTAGAGTCTTGGGAAAGTATGACTCTAACGGGAAATATGAGAATTTTTTTGTGGTAATGGACATGTTCAATATCTTTATTTTGGTGATGGCAAAATTAATCTATATATATATATATAAAATAAGGTTCCAAAGGGCTATATACCAAAAAAGGGTGCATGTGAATCTGAATAGTGGTTACAATTAAGAGTATTGAGCCAATAAAAATTTCCTCGTTTTAATAATTTACTATGGCTTTGTAAAATGTTATCATTAGGGAAAGCAGAATGAGTGGTACAAGAGGAACTTTCTATTAATTTTGCAACTTTTGAGAAATCCTAAATATTTCCAAATAAACGGATTAAGTACAATAAAATAGGAGATTTTCTTTCTTCTATCCATCATCTAAAATAGAAGAAAATTAGTGCAAAATTTTTTAAAAAGTTTTCTCCATTACTTTTATTTTCCAATTTAACTGTTAACCGTTTTTACATATACCTCATGAAACAAACATGGGATCCTTTCAGTACTGCTCATAGTATACAGAAGGCTCATTTTCCTAGTTACTACAGCAGTGAACAGTCTTTCTGGGAAGACATGACACACAAACAAAAAACGATGAGCAAAAAGTAAATTTGTCAAATATCCATCTTCAATTTCTTGCACAATTAATACTTTATTTGTAGGTTAATCTGAGGCTACATTATTTTAAAAGAGCTGACAGGAAGGGATAGATAATATCAGAAATAATGAAGTCATTTTTGACGAAAAGACTAGAATTCTATCACCAAAATAAATGAAATATTGTGAGACAATTCTCTATTGGGTCTCACACTTCCACACCTTTGTAAAGCAAAGGCATTGGCAACTTGCGTTTTGTACTATCTTTTCAAGGATTGTTGTATAGCAAATAGCTTGGGAAGATAGAGATAATTTCTCCCTTCAGAGCAGAAGGCAGATTTATTGTCCAACCAGAATAATAAAGATAATGCTTCCCTTTAGGGCAAAGTTGTGCTTGTTGCTAACTGTGGCATTAGGAGATGGGTGATTCTTAAACTCAGGATGCTCAGCTATGACACAAGCTCACTATATGCACAGCACCCACCTGTGTCTACCCCTACGTTGTCCCTTGGGATATGAGAGCAGGGGGAAGTGATTTGCATATATGATAAGTTCTTGCTGGGAGCTGTATGCTTCGATGAAAGAAGCCATTTGTCTCTGTCCTAACAGACTACAAAACCCTGACAACTTGGCTTAAAAATAGGATGAAATCTCAGATGAAAGGGGTGTGAAGATTATATGGAATTATATAGACTTACTTTGAAATTTCAAGATTCCTTTCTGTTCCTAGGCATATTATGTCTCTCCCTTATAACAGTAACCTCAGGCCAGTCTAATCCCCAGGTTGCCACTGGTCCAGAATGAGGATGAGAGGATTACAACTTAAAATGTTTATGAAATATTTTATAAATATGCTTTTGTCTCTCTTATATCTGACTCTTTCAGACAAAAGGTCTGGATGTGTCATTGCAGAGCAGGAATAAAGTTATAGCTACCCCAGATTTTGTGGAGGTGGAACGAAAGCAAAAATCCAGAATTTGAAGGAGGGGTAACATTACCCTGGAAGGTATGGGGACGAAAGGAGTATTCACGATCTTTTGTCTTTTAGAACAGTCCCTGGAGTCTTCCTCCAGAATGCAAACAACCTGGTGCTGCTGTTTATCTTTTCAATGATGTCTGAAAACAAGGGAACCAATGTGAGCCTGCATCTCATACTGCCTGCGGTACTATGAGTCATAAAGTACTCTATCTTTGACCCAAGTGTATCATATCTTCTTCCAAGATCTAGGAAACTCTGGCAGGCAAGGAAGTTAGCTTGCAAATAGGATAAAATCTCCAAGTTTTCCCAGTGTTTGATATAAACACAAAATAACTAAAGAGACTTCAGTTTAATTATATTCTGGCTTTCCAAATTGGAAATTGAAAATATAGGAATAAAAACAATAATATTGGCATCTAGATGTTTTGTAAACAGTGCTTTCATAGATAGTTTATCAGTGAAGTTCACAAAATATATTAACAATGTATATAATATCCCTCCATGCATCCTCTTGGCACTTAATTCATGTAGAATCTGTGGTGGACAGTTAAATATGGGTTTTGATTTTCCAGATGCTTATAGTATCTCACTTTGAGCAAACTAAATCTTGTTCATCAGACATGCAGAAGAAGCCAAGACATTAATCTATCAAGGCACTTCTCAACCAATGGAGGAAAGAGGTTTGTCATCGTCAATCCACAGATACATCACTGTGACAAGCATCCTTTATGCTCAGAAAGTTCCAGGGAGAATCAAGCCTAAGTTTAGTACAGTTGCCTCAGTAATACTACTTTTCCTTCTTCCTTTGCTCCTCTTCATCCCTCATTCCTGCTTTCTGGTATTACCACACAAATAGACTACCTAAACACAAGTAGTTTTCTCAAGCTCTTCTTTTGGAAACTACCTAATTTAAAACAAAGGAAACAGCTCATTCACAACAAATATGCTTGGGGTATATATTTATAAACTTTTTTTCTGTCAAACAATTGCATATATTTCCAAGAACTAAATAAAGGGTTTACACTATAAGATATAATTTGAGTTAATGGCAATAACGTCATTTTACAGTACAAGATGATTCTACTGACTGATGATCATTTAGACATATGATAATTTGGGAATTTACACTGGATTGCATAAGGAAGATGCCCGGAAAAAGTCAGGATTACAATCTTGGTCTGGTACTGATAGGGTTTGGCTGTGTCCTCACCCAAATCTCATCTTGAATTGTAGCTCCCATAATTCCCATGTGTTGTGGGAGGGACTTGGTGGGAGATACTGAATCATGGGGGTGGTTCTCCCATACTGTTCTTATGGTAGTGAATATATCTCATGAGATCTGATTTTATAAAGGGTTTCCCCTTTTATTTGGCTCGCATTCTCTCGTCTGCTGCCATGTAAGATGTGCCTTCTGCCATAGTTGTGAGGCCTCCCCAGCCATGTGAACTGTGAGTCCACTAAGCCTCTTTTTCTTTATAAATCACCCAGTCTCAGGTATATTTTTATCTGCAGCATGAAAATGAACTAATACAGGTATCAATCCAAAATTTATATCCTGCATGGGTAAACTATACCTCGGACCTATTTAATGTTAAATATTTGGATATATTCTTTAAGACCTTCAAAATTTGACATTATATTACTATTTCTGTGGGTAAATTACATTAGACCTAATAAACAAAATAAGACTTTGAAAAGCATTAACTTACATTGTATTAATAAAATATTGAATTCAATTCTGGTTGTTACATAAATTGGATGACAGAGAATTTAAATATGGGTAAGATAATTATTGCTCTACAAAGAAGCAGAGGTGGAAATGAAAGTTAGAGAGAAGCAAGTCAAAATCTTTCAAAGAAATTAATGATCCCATAATAAATAATCTATTGAAGAGCCGTAAGAACTAAGCGTTCTGTGGAATTTTTTTTTCTTAATTAGTGTCAGGTATAGGGATACAACTTAATCATTATTTGACTCTACGGTAATAAAAAGTTGACTAACATTGGTAAAGGAATTCCCCAATTTTCATCAATGTCCATCAATGGTCACACTAAATAGCCTAAACTGATGAATAAAAAACTAGCAAACATATGCATAACATTCCTTAAATAACAAAGCAATTTCATATGTTACTGTCTATAATTCTCATGACTTCATAAGGAGAATAAATGAATAGATAAAATTGCTTACATTTTACAAATGCTGCTTTTGAATGTTAGAGAAGTGATTTTTCTTACAGTTTCATAAAACAACTAGCAGGGTATCAAATTAGATTCAACCCAAAGTACTCTAACACAAATTCCATTCTTTTTCTCTGTAGTCTTTATGATGATGTCTGTTTTGGGGTGATATTTCTATCTGTGATAGTAACAAACAGATCCTGCTGAAATCCAAATGTGGGGAAGCAGTTTTAAATCCCCCATAGTTCCATTGGACAGAAAATAAACTCTAAAATTTAGAAGATACAGAGTCATTCTAAGAAGGGGTAAGGCAATCAGAAATATAGTAGCAGCTGGTCCAGAATTCCTCTGCTGATTGAAAATTTCTTCTATGTTTTCCTACCTAACTACTAAAGTTACTAACCCTTATTTTTTAATTTATGTTTCACCAACTGTCTTAATGGCCAGGTTTTTAATCATCTTATTCCTCTCTCTAGCTTGCCAAACTGCCTTTGACTTTTCCATCTTAAGAATCCAGCTTCTCAATAAAGCCTAAAAACAGTAATAGGCAATGAAATATCTTCATTGATAGATAGCTCTCGTTTAAAACAAATGTCATTAGGCAGAGAGACTGTGAAATGAACATAAACACCTAGATTAAAAGTAGCCAGAGAGCTCTAGTTGCCAGTATGTTTCAAAAATAATCACAAAATCGGGGAGTTGAAAGAAACTTCAGAAATCATCAGCCAAGAATTAACCAAAGTTACTCAACCACAGAACTGAAAGCCAAATTTTTTGACACAGTCCAGGCCCTTCCCAATATACTAGGTTGCACTTCTAGTTTACCAACTGTCTTATTTTTGTTTATTTATTTATTGGATATATCTGTAAACTCTTTAGAGGTGAAATATTAATAGCAATCATTAAATAACCATATGTATTACAAATACAATAAGGTTACCAATCCCCATGGCATATCAGGATTGCAAGCTAAATTAGCTAATAATTTTACATCATTTATTAGATTTATATTTGTCTCTTAAAAGCTCATGATATCAATAATTTACAAGTGAATTATTCACTTATTATTCTGCTCATTTAGGGAATGCATCATCATCCTCATCCTTATCATCATTCTCAACCATATAATATGAAATTGTGTTACTAATCAGTTAAAGTATAATTGAACCATTAAGGAAATTGGAATAACAATAGCAAAGAGGAAAACAAGCAATTAAAAGTTCTGTGTAATTTTTAGTGTATGAATATGTATGATTAAATTCATACTCAATGAAAAATATACAATTATTTTAGTTGGAAATCCTGGTTAACTCAATGCTAGCTATAACAAGGTTGCAATATTTTCTTAAATGTGAAATGCGCTATTGTAGCTATTAGAATGTTTCCAGTTCAAGTCTTAAGCCATAGCTATTTCCAATAAAGTAAATCTCTTCTATACCTTTTATGTTCACAAGCTCCTTATAATGATGTCCCTTCCATTTACACAGGTAATACCCTAGTGCAAGCAACCTCTACCCATCCTACACTATTGAAAGAGGCTCCCCACTAATCTCCCCATTTCCATTCCTACTTTTGCTTCCTTACCCCACATACGCTATGTTTTACCATAACACCCCTTTCTATCTTTCGAAACTGTAAATCTACCTGAAAAACTCCTCTGTTTAACCCAACCATACCAATGTTCTTCCAGCTTCTCAGATATGCCCTCTCTTTCCTTAAGGTGACAGACTTGCTCCCTCTCCATGCTTCTGCTCTCTACGTTCTCACTTTCCTTCCCATCGTTTTATTGTCTTTTCCTTTAGATAACATCTTAAATGTCCTCTTCTCAGTGAGGCTTTTTCTGACTAACATCTTCTCTCTCATTCTTTTTTTTTTTTTTTTTACATTTTAATATTTACAGGAGCATAATAGGTGTATATATTTAATGGGGTACTTGAGATATTTTGATATAGGCATATAATGCATAACAATCATATCAGAGTAAATGGGGTATCCATCACTTCAAGCATTTATCATTTCTTTATGTTACAAACATTCCATTTATACTCTTAGTTATTTTAAAATATACAATAAGTCATTGTTGACTGTAATCACCCTGGTGTGCTATCAAATACTAGATCCTATGCATTCTATTAAACTATATTTTTATACCCATTAACCATCCCCACTTCCCCCTCCCCACTCTATCATTCTTGACGATAACATATTGTTTATATTCACAGAGCATTGTCATAATTTGTATGTGCAGTTGTCTTCATCTATGAAAATATTTACTGGTTGCAACAGAGTAAAGGATAAATAGCATTCTTTTAATAATTTGTATAAGATGTCTCAATTAAACTCTTTTGATTTAATAACTGGAAAACAATTTTAGAAAAATGTTTTGTTTTTCTGAAATACATTTTTTCTAACAGTGCAGAGTATTAGCAAATTCAATTATAACATAATATATTCATAGAACATGGAACCTCTATACTTCAGAAACACTAATTCTGTAGGTACACACTGAAATCTAGTTGAAACACGTTTACTTAGGAAACTGGTTGTTACTTATTTTTTATTTTTTTATTTTCTAACAGTTGATTAACTTTTAAACTTTTATTACAGTCTTAAATATAAGTTATATAATACAAAAAGCTCCCATAAACCTCTCAATCAAAATCCTCATTTGATATCATTTTACCACTCTTTACTACACTTGTTTTATCATTTCACGCTCAAACACACATAAAATGCAATTTTAATAAAAATATTTAATGTATGGGATGCCTCACAAATATCATCTTTATGCAGGAGACAGAAGAATCTTCTTTGTATCATTCCAGTTTTAGTATATATGTGGCTGAAGTGGCAATTAACATTTTTAATTTTATACAAATATAGTTCCCATTATATTTTCCAATAATCGTGTCTATATAGATTAACCCAAAGAGGAATTGAGAAGATATTCATTAATTGCACATAATAAATAATAACAAAAGTTCTTCATTTCTTCTTTCCAGGCGTGGTATTAAAGTACTTATTAATCAATATAAGATAGTCATCAACTAACCTAACAGGTACTATCTATATATGACCAATGTATAATCATATAGGTGATATATATATCATAAAAGTGATTTACAGGTGATTATAATATATACAATATAATCATCTAGGTGTTAATTCATCTTTACTTTTTAAAAATCTATTTATGTCAGGGATTTTCATCATAGTTTATTTGATGTCTCATATTCGAGAAGTAAAATTAATAGTACTTAAAATCATAATCATTTCAGAAGCTTTAATTCATTTGACTTTTTACAGTGACCATTGATAGAACTATTATGAAGTGAGAAAACTTGGTTTTCAGTGATTAATATATATTTACAATATAGTCAATAAGTGGCTATGCTGGGATTCAAATCTAGGTCTGCTGGCTTTGGAGTACATGCCTATAACTTTGATACAACTACTCTGTGCTAGATGATTCTTGACAAATAATAGAAATAAAAATGAAGATGTATCTATTAAAATGGAAAGTATAGTATAATAGTTTTCAGACAACAAACAAGTTGCTAAAACAGAAGCGATGGGAATCAGGGTATATTAAGAAAACTAAAACAGAAATCTCAAATGGAAAATGACAAAGACTACTTCAGCACATTTTATCCATAAAGTCAAGTGATATGGCATATTTTCATCTGGGTGGGCTAGTCTATGTTTCAGCAATTGCCATTAAAAATAAATGTCTGATTCAGCATCCTATTTTACCAGAAGTTTTCTGACAGCCTGTATCTATTGTAAATGACGTGCATTAAACAGGACTGTTCTCCATCTGCCTGAAAGTGAAGCAGTGGTGTCTATTATAACTAGGTTTTGGGAGAAAATGAGTCTGTTACTTAGAGCAGTGAAGTGCACTGTGCAAGACAGTAAACTATTAAATAATCACACTCAGTCACTACTTGCACTGTGCAAGACAGTAAACTATTAAATAATCACACTCAATCACTACCGAAATTTAAAATCCTGAACCACAAACTTAGAGAGAAAATTTTGCAATTCAGTCTGTCAAAAAAGAAAAGACCATGAAAGAAAAATAATTACAACAACAGTAATAATAATTTCAAGGATGTTTTGCTCCAAAATAGCAACTTACATTTGTATATTTTTATTTTAATTAAATTGCTCCTGTCCAGAAATCTACAATTCTAATCAGGAACCCTAGAGAGAGGTTTTCTGGGTTCAAACCCTGACCTCATTTACTTGGTGAAATGTGTGACATGTAGCAAGTACTTTACTCTTCCCCACTTCAGTCTCCTGTTCTGTAAAATGGGTACAATAAATACCTATCTCATAGGCTTTTGTGAAGATTAGATCAATAATACAAGCAAAGAGCTTACAAAATAACACAGCAGATGGAGTAAATGCAAGCAATAAGGACAAATGTGGTACTCAAGGGTGTTTTTTTTGTCATAAACATTTATTCCTAAGAGCAAAGTTGGTTAGAAGAGATGGGACTGGCCAGGCGCGGTGGCTCAGGCCTATAATCCCAGCATTTTGGGAGGCCAATGTGGGTGAATCACCTGAGGTCAGGAGTTTGAGACCAGCCCAACCGACATGGTGAAACCCTGTCTCTACAAAAAATACAAAAATTAGCTGGGTATAGTGGTGGGCCCCTATAGTCCCAGCTACTTGGGAGGCTGAGGTAGGACAATCACTGGAACCTGGGAGGTGAAGGTTGCAGTGAGCCGAGATCATACCATTGCATTCCAGCCTGGGTGACAAAGCAAGACTCTGTCTCAAAAATAAATAAATAAATAAATAAATAAATAAATAAATAAATAAATAAATAAAGAAGAGATGGGACGTATGTAAGGAATAAGAAAAAACTTCTTCCAATTAGCAACAAGTTTTGGAATTTTGTGTTATCCCCCTAATGTAAAATTACTAGAGGTGTCCCAAAATTCCACCAATGACTTATATCAGAATGTTTTCCATGACAGGTACAGGTAATTGAAGTGAGGAGAATTACACTGTCTGTCATGGATCCTGCACTGCACGATACAGTGACATGAGATACAGAAATTATGAGGGCAATAGCGACAGAATTAAAGTTCCCGTGTAGTAGGGAAGAAAATCTGTCCTTTGTTAAAACAAAAGTTTGAGACTTCATCACTTAATGTATCAAAATGGACAACTGGAAGCAACCAGCCCAATGTCAGTAAGATTTAAACATGGAAATGGAGACAAGATATGAGAACGGGTATACAAAGCAAAAGATATGGCTCTCTCCAGTGCACCTCCCACACCTTAACCAAAAAAAAAAAAAAAAAAAAAGAATAGAATTAAAATCTGCTACTTTTGCTCATGATGTTATTGATAGCTTATTCATGAGGATTTTGTTACCAATTATGCAAATTCTTAATTATAAAGTACCAATATACAGTTTGTAAATATGCCCACATCCTCTCATAGCTGCCACATTGTATACAGCAATGTAATCTCATGGTGTGGGGTTAAATCTTCTCTTCCATAATTGTGCTTTTGAAAATCTCCTATGTTCTTATAAAAAGGCATGAGGACTAAGTTAACCCAATGATCCTGAAGTGACAGGAAATGATAGATATGATAACAAACTCACATAAGTCACTTTTTAATAGACACCTGTCCTTTTTGGGGCAACCAAGCCACCAGTCCTAGAAATGAAAACTGAAGAAGCATTTTGTATTGTGCGAGAGAGTCAGCTAGTCCTTACTTTTGGCTAAAACGTGGCTCTCATGGCTCTACTTTCTCTAATAATCCCCTCGTTGTTTGATTTCTCTCATTCTGGTCTTGTTGCTAGCAAGGTCTCACACGGAACTTTAGCTCTGTGGAGAAAGCATGGTTATGGGGATACTGGTACTTTCTAAAACTATTTCCTTCTTACACTGTGACTTCAGTAGTGAGAAAAAGTGCAGGCAAATAAATCCACTTTTCACTCCGAAAGAAATGGCAATATTTACCCACTTCCTTTTACTTAGCCATTAGAAGCTGTTTTGTATTAAAAATTGAGAGTCAGTATGCCTCTCAAATGCCAGTTTATTAACAAGGGCTGACTAGGCATGGGAAAATAGAAACCCTTCATTACAACAATGGTAAGAAATGCATGGGGAGACTTCTTTCTTCTATCCTTTTAAGGTATGCATTCAGGGAAACCACTCAAACACCCTTGAATTATATCCCTGTGGCCTTAAAGAGTTAAGATTACTTTCTAAAGGTGTTGCATTTTCTATTTAGGGAGTGGCTGAGGCAAGAAAGAAACAGGCTCACCTAGAATTCATAGCTCAGTGATTACACAGAGAGCAGAATAAATGTATTTGTGAAATTGGATTGTAACTGAGTGAGAATGTGGAATTTCTGGATGTCACTATAAAGCAGAAAAGATAGTTTTATTCTGAAATTAGTCATCTGTTTCCTGATTGATCCACAATTATAGTCGTGTGCTCCCTCAGTTTCTTTTTTCCCTTCCTTAAAAAATAAATAAATAAAACTAGTAGGCTTTATTTTTTATGGCAGTTTTATGTTTATGGGAAATTGAGTAGATGATATAGGGAATTCCCATATACCTCCTGTCTTCCTCACTGGCAGTTTCTCCTATCATTAAAATCTTGCCTTGGTGTGTTAACACTTGTTACAATTACTGAACCAATGTTGATGCATTATTGTTAACTAAAGTCCATAGATTACATTGCTTCACTCTTTGTGTTGTATAGTTCTGTGGGTTTTGATAAATGCATAGGACATGTACACATCATTGCAGTATCACAGAGAATAGTTTCAGTGCCCTAAAAATTCTCAGTACTCCACCTATTCATCCCTTCCCTCTTCCCCACCCCAGTCCCTGGTAACTGCTAAGTTTTTACTTTCTCTGTAGTTTTCCCTGTCCCAAAATGTCATATATTTAGTTCCTTTAAATTTTTCAGCACCAAATTCTATGTGTCATTTCTATTCATCTTCATGGAGCTGATACAAACTTAGAGCTGTCTCATGTTAAGTTATAAAATTCTCACTTTGCATATTGTCAAGTGCCATTTACCACAGGCTGATACACAGTCTTCTGGATGAATGCTGGAATACTGCAAAACTTCCAAACATCTCATCAGAAAACCTCCCAGCTTCAAGCCGACTCATCGTGGCTGTGGTGTAGCAGCGTAAGAGTGTAGGCTGTGGAGTGACATGGCTTGAGTCTGAATCCTGACTGAAACATTTACTAGCTTTTTTACCATGGGTAGGTAATTGCACCTCTCCAAGCCTCATCTTTAAAAGGGAATGATACTACTCCATACCTCACAAGAAACACTGTGAAGATTGCGTGGATCAATGTGGAAGAAATTCTCTGGATAATGATTGGTCTAAAGTAAACAGTCAGTAACATTGCTCTTCAGATTATTCTCCTCCTTTCTCTCTGGCTGTCTCTTAAAGAAAATGGACCCCATCAGAACTATAAATTCACATTCTGATGCAGCACAAAGTGAAAAGAAAAAAGATAGGTAATGCAAAACTATTTCATTGACTCTACTACTCCAAACACAAAACACTTCGTGTTTAGATAAATGATGGTAGCGTGAAAAGCTGTTCTAGGTTACTTGATATCACATATGAGAAGATGCTCAATGAAATAACTTTTATCATGAAATAGTTCACAAAGCACAGATGAGCTTCCCATGCACTTCATGGGAAGTATTCACCATCAGTTCATCCAGGGCAGGAGGCAGGCCAGGATGCTCCATGTAGTATTGCATTATAACATGGTCTCAGCTGGCCTGTGTGTACTTCTACAACATGAACCGTCAGAATAATCCTTATGACAAAGACATAATGCAATGTTCTTCCCATTTTAAACCTTTAATAAGACCACTTTCCAGAAAATGCTGCAGCTCAGTTACGTTATGAAAAATGCTATTAATTACAGGTATCTGAGGCAAGGAACCGTGATCCTTTATATTTACTCATAATCTTACTGACTAAAATGAATATTCTTATTTCATTTGGGAAAAAAGAGAATTTGCTTTTAATCACAATCATACTTTAGCCTTCAATCCCATAGATTACCGAACAAGTTTTATGAGCTGTTGATATTCACTATCAACAGCTTATTCACTATTTTTATCTTAATGTAATTAATTGTAGTAAAATACACAAAATCTTTCTTTAAATCATGCAATATTCAATTGGCTGATAAATAGAATCTGATATATATATAAGTCTGTGGAAAAATAGACATTATAAAACCAGGAATGACTTAAAATAGATTTTCTCTACTAAGCAACCTGGAATTTATCTATTATGCTCCTTATCCTCTGTGAGTAGTTACCTTTGAATAACAGAAATATACACAGATCCAAAAAGTAAGAGGATCTAAAGAAGGCAGAACTTTCATCCAGTAGTTCTATTTTCTAACTAAAATTTCCCTTATTTCCAATTATCCAAGCCTATGTCTTATTTATTGGGATGTGACTAATGATTCCTAAAGTATTATTCCCTCTGGAATAAATTACAGATTTCTCTTTAAATGTAGTATGCTTTAAAATTAAAAAAAAAAAAACCCACACACTTTATATCCATAGCTTCAATTACTGCTTTGTTGAGGTAAGCATCACCTTCACTGATACTGATGTAGTTGTCACTGCCATCTTTGTCATCATCATCATCACTGCCATTACCATTCTTATCTAGCATTTGCAGGGCTTTGATAAAAAACCTCAAAATATCCATTAGGAAGAATGTAATTTTGTTCTCAAGCAGTGCACATCCCACAGCAAACATTTTCATGACATTAATTCCATACATTTCTCTTCCATCCTCACATAAACCATCTCAGTTTTGCTTTTTCCAACTATTTTTCCTAACATAAACTTGACTATGTTCAGATAGCCATTATTTCCCTCCACAACAAAAGCATACATGACTCAGGAGAAATGGAACCCACCTCCAGATTGTGGGATGAACTCTGATTAATCCAACCCATGCTACACATGGCATTCCCTCAGCAACTATCAGTGCTCTAGGGATGACAAAGCAAACTTATTTAGCTCTTTCAGACTTAAGTGATATAGATTAATAGTCTATATTGTGGGGCTAAGTTTCTCACTTGTTCCTCCTGCATGTCAATAAGGAAACAATTGTCTTCACTTGGTGTGGGTAGGAATCTTATGACCATGAATTAAAAGGGTCATAAGGTTGGGTAAGATAATTAGGATGTAGCTGAGGATAGAACAGAAAAACAGAAAAAAAATGTGGCTCTCTGATGATGTCACTGAAGCACCAACTCAATCAATCTTGACTGCAATTAAGTTTGCTCTTCTCTGTTCTTCCTGCTATGTGAGACAAATTTACTTACCTCTTAAGCCAGTTAAAGATGAGATTCATGTTAGTGTCCAAAGTATTCTAAAATATACTATATTATACTATGTTTACACTATTTCAACTGACTTCTCCTTCTTTTTATTTTAGATAGCATTCTATCTAGAGATAGAATACTTTTCTTTCTCTTCTCTGTCCTCCACTCTCAGATTTATATTATGCAAGCACTACATTTATTCAGAGTATGCTCCAAAAGAAAAAAAAAGATAAATGATAAGCTAATGTGTATTTAAAGTCCAAGACTCCAAATCTGGAAAACAAGATATTCTACGGAATGAGGTGGTAGTAAGATCTTATGAAGCATAAACAAAAGAATAATCATTTGAAAATGAACTTCCTCATGGTGTTTCTAGTCCATCCAGAGAAGAGAGGGCTTATGTTCTAAAAATTATTTGCAGAAATTGCCCCAAGGTAGAGTTGCCTATTATTCCACTCTTTGGACAGCATATAATTTACTTGTGATATGGTTTGGCTCTGTGTCTCCACCCAAATCTCACATGGAATTGCAATCCCTACATGTCAGGGGAGGGGCCTGGTGGAAGGTGATTGGATCATGTGGGCAGATTTCTCCTTTGTTATTCTCATGAAAGTAAGTTTTCATGAGATCTGATGACACTTTCCCCGTTTTTCTCTCTTGCCACCATGTGAAGAAGGTTCTTGCTTTCTCTTCACCTTCTACTATGATTGTAAGTTTCCTGAGGCCTCTCAGACATGACTTCTGTTAAGTCGGAGGAACTATGAGTCAATTAAACCTCTTTGCTTTATCAATTATCCAGGCTTAGGTAGTTCCTCATAGCAGTGTGAGAGTGGACTAACATTAGGATATTGGTACAGGGGCACTGCTACAAAGATATATGAAAATGTGAAAGCAACTTTGAAACTGGGTAACAGTCAGAGGTTGAAACAGTTTAGAGGGCTCAGAGGAATACAGGAAGATGTGGGAAAGACTGGAACTTCCTAGAGACTTATTGAATGGTTTTGAAAGAAAAATGCTTATAACAAAATGGACAATGAACCCCAGGCAGAGGTGGTTTTAGATTGAGATTAGGAACTTACTGGGAACTAGAGTAAAGATCACTCTTGCTATTCTTTAGCAAAGAGACTGGCAGCATTTTGGCCCTGCCCTGGAGATTTGTGGAACTTTAAACTTGAGGGAGATGATTTAGGATATCTGGTGGAAGAAATTTCTAAGCAGCAAAGCATTCAAGATGTGACCTGGCTGTTTCTAAAAGTGTGAGTTTGTATGTGTGAACAATGAGATGATCTGAAAATGGAACTTATATTTAAAAGGGAAACAGAACATAGAAGTTTGAAAAATTTACAGCCTGGGCATGTGATAGAAAAGAAAAATCCATTTTCTGGGGAGAAATGCAAGGCAGCTACAAAACTTTGCATAAGTAAAGAGGAGCTGAATATTAATAACCAAGACAATGAAGAAAACCCACCACAGGCCTTGAGGCCTATGAGAGAAAAGTGGTTCCACCCAGAGCCCTGCTGCTCTATGCAGCCTTGGGACTTGATGACCTGCATAGCAGCTGCTCCAGCTCCAGCTGTGGCTAAAAGGGGCAAAGGTAAAGTTCACATCATTGCATCAGAGGGTACAAGCCCCAAGCTTCAGTGGCTTCCAGGTTGTGTTGAACCTGCATTCACAGAAGGCAAGAGTTTGGGATCCTCCACTTAGATTTCAGTGGATGTATGAAAACGTTTGGATGTCCAGGCAGAAGTCTGCTGCAGGACTGGAGCCCTCATGGAGAACCTCTACTAGGTCAGGGCAGTGGGAGAATGTGGGGTTGGAGCTCCCACACAGAGTCCCCACTGGGGCACTCCCTAGTGGAGCTATGAGAAGATTACCACCATCCTCCAGACGCCAGAATGGAAGATCTACCAACAGCTTGCACCATGCACCTGGAAAAGGCATAGGCATTCAACAACAACCCATGAAAGCAACTGTGGGGCTGTACCATGAAGAGCCACAAGGGCAGAGCTGCCCAAGGCTGTAGGAGCCCACCCCTTGTATCAGCATGCCCTAGATGCAAGACATGGAGTCAAAGGAAATCATTTCAGAATTTTAGGATTAAGTGACTGCCCTGTGGGGTTTCTAACTCGTATGGGGCCTGTAACCCCATTGTTTTTGGCCAATTTCTCTCTTTTGGAGTGGTGGCATTTACCCAATGCCTGTACCTCCATTGTATCTTGGATATAACGAATTTGTTTTTATTTTATAGGCTTATAAGCAGAAGGGACTTTCCTTGTCTCAGATAAGACTTTGGACTTGGACTTTTGAGTCAATGCTGGAATGAGTTAAGACTTTGGGAGACTGGTGGGAAGCATTATTGGTTTTGAAATGTGAGAATGACATGAGATTTGGGAGGGGCAGTGGTGCAATGAGGTGGTTTGACTGTGTCCCCACCCAAATCTCATGTCCCATTGTAATCCCCACATTGCACAGGAGGGTTCTGGTGAGAGGTGACTGGATCATGAGGGAAGATTTCCCCTTTTCTGTTCTCATGATAGTGAGTAAGTTCTCATGAGATCTAATGGTTTAAAAGTGTGTGGCATTTTCTCCCCTTGGTCTCTCTCTCACCACCATGTGAAGAAGGTCACATGATGACCTTCCCCTGTGCCTACTGCCATGATTGTAAGTTTCCTGAGGCCAAGCTTCCTGTTAAGCCTGCAGAACTGTGAGTCAATTAAACCTCTTTTCTTCATAAATTACCCAGACTCAGATAGTTCTTTATAGTAGTGTGAGAACAGATTAATACAACTTGTTTCTCTGATTATGTTTTCAAAACAAACTTTTAATAGATGATTTGGATTCCTAAGTATCTCAAGAGAAAAAAAAAATGAATCTAATAAAAATGACTCACTCTAAGTAAAATAATAAAACTGAATTTTGACTATAAAGAGGATTTTGAAAAAGATGACTCCACCCAATTTGAGATATCTTTTAAAATAGAGGCCTTTGAGATGTTAACCTGTTCTTCATTTAATGTTATTACAAAAAAATAAAATAAAATTACATAGTGGTTTCAGTTACAGAGACAGACATCTGTCAATCAGAAACTAATGTCCTCCTTCTGCTTTTTCCAAAATGTGTATTGGTTGGCTATTTGTAAGACAGAGACCACATTTTCTAGTCTCTTGGCTCAATATATGACTCAGTGACTAGATATAACTACTGAAATGTAGCAGAACTGATGTATGGCACCACTGAGCTGAATTATTATTATTTGTTTTAATCAGGCATCTTTTTACCTCTGGTCAAAATCAGAGAATTCTTAAATCAAACACATAGGAGTCACAAGAAGGAAGGAGGCTCCATCTCTCAATGACTACCTGGAGAAAAGCTGCCTGATAATGAGGAATATGTGCATTGGGCTCTAATTTTAGGTAGAAAAAAATAAATATTTCAATCCACTAGAATTTCTGGAAGCTAGTGTTACCTTAACTAATGCTGTAGTTGCTACCACAAGTACAATACCGCTTTAATAAAAAACTAAACCATCTAACATTCCATTAATAGTAAGGTGGCAAGCAATTGGGTAACTATAAATGGAAAATGGAAATATTCATCAACATTAAAATATTTGGTTAAAAAATCTTTGGTTAAATAATATCATTTGCAATATCTTGGAAGGAAAAAGAAATGTGTATTGAACCTGCAGATTTAAAGAAATAAGTTTAAAAGCACAATATTAATAGTTGTATTAGTTACTATGTGATTGCTTGGGCAAGATATTACAAAAGAAATGAGTGAAGGGAAGAATTGGCTGGTTAAAGCAAAAAATGAAAGTGAAAAGAACAAGTCCAAAACTGGGGACTCCCAGGTTCAGACTTTTCTAATAGTTCCAATATTAGAACTTCTAATATTAGAAACTTCTACTTTCTAATACTTCTAATACCTGAACAGTAAGAGAAAATATTGAAAATGGTTTAAGCAAGAAAAGTTCAATTAGGACTTCTCAATTAAATAGAGTTAGCCTTCAGACAAAGGTATTTGTTTTACTCTGAAACATTGTTTTAGATGACCTCAAAGCAGCCACCTATAAATAAGTAGAAAGAGAAAGCCAAGGGAGTGAAGTGCAAAGAAACAAATTGAGCTTGATCATTATTTCTAGAATATAACTTTAAATATGGTTATTGGTATGTAGAAGTAATGGGAAACAAATCAAAATTCTACTAATTTGCAAACAAAACCAGGAGTGTAGCTTACAGAATCTTTGTCTCTTCATATCTTAAAACCGGAAAAGGCAATAAACAGTTTATGAAATACACAGAGCCCCAGGGGCAGGATATTCCCCATTGCCAACTTCAGGTGTAGTGTGGAGCACAACAGACTAGAAAGAGCCTCCTATTGGAAGCACAGCTTAAGGAGAACAAAGACAACGGGGAATCTCACAGAGAAAAAAATAAGGCTAACAAGTGACTTCTCGATCGCCAGAGCAGTAGGTCTTCACCTTCATTGCCTGGCTCTGGACCAATGGCCACTGTGAGTTTCCCAGTCTTCCACTTTCTAAATGAGAGTCTTTTGATAGTTTAGATACACAGGACAGTGGATTCAGATATCTTTGAGCCTTTTGGTTCTTAGGTTGCTGTACAAAAGGAACTATAAAATGATATGATGGAGAGGACTGCAAGTCAGCTGGAGATCCTGTATTTTGACCTAAATGTAGCATATCCTATGTATGAGGGAAAAGATATTTAAATATTTGGTAGCCAGAAGAGAAGATTTTGCAGAGATGAACAACTGTTCCTTGGAAATGCATGCTTCCACTTCCATAGTATGATGCTGTCATGGGCAAGGAACTGCCTAACCAGATGACAAATTTTCCTCATTGACTTGCATCCAGTTATGTCAATATATCTTCAGTATTTTTCTCCTTCTGCTAGTTGGGAGCAGAGTATTCCAAGGCCCTATGAGATTCTACAGCTATAAAATGAAAGGAACCTTGATTCTTGAATAACTCCTTGATAGGCAGGAGAAAAGCTGCCCATCAGCATATAACACTCTTGCTGGACTCATGTATGAATGTTAAATATAATTTAATTGTATTAAGTCAAAATTCTAGACTTTATAAAAGCAACTATCATTAGCCTACTAAATACCGTTGTTATAAGAAGATTGTTCTATTGATATTCAGGCAAAGCTTAGTGTGTAGACTGTATAAATTATAATTGTTTTATGCAATTAATAAATTTATATGGATATATTTGAAACTTTTATCAAATTAAATAATACAATAATTAAAAAAACAGAAAATTTTTGTTTTTGCAGAAAATGAATCAGAAACCTTATCAATTTGGAGGCTTTTTGATCATTGTAGAGCTCCAAACACTTTAGACAGGTCCCAGATTGAATTTATGAGACTAATTATTTAGGTATGTGTTGAAATTAGATTCCCAATGCTACATTTGGAAAACTAGCTTGAAAACTTTCAGAAGGCAGGAATATTTTCTTTGTATGTTTCTTTTTAATCTCATTTTATTCCTCACTAAGCCAGATTTAGGAAGTATAAAGATTTCCTAGTTTGGTTGTGGACAACATTACCATGGCTATATTCAATCATTATGAAGATCAATCGCAATGGCAAAAATAGTTTTGTTTTTACCAAAAGGCACTGCATTATTTTAACATTCCACTGGGGTACATTTTATCTGTAGTTAATGGGTTTACCTCTGCACAATTTTTACCTCCATTCTTACAAAGACAATTATATCACTAAAGTCAAAAGAAGACCAAATACCTTCAACATTTGCCTTTTCCTTTTCTATGACAAAACAACCACCACCACCAACACCACGACCACCATTATCATCTGGAGAAGAAACCAACTTACATCAGAAAACATCCCCTTAATCCTAAAGTCAGGCCAAATTCTTGCAAGTCAAACCACTAAGAGTCTGGGGCTCAAGGGAAAAATATCAATTTTGGTTCAATATCCTGCAAGGCTCAGCAGTCAAGCAGAATGAATCATAACAACACAAAAGCTGAATGTTGGTTTTTCCTTTTTTTTTTTTTTTTTTGGTTGAATGCGATTATATAGCCTACAGTAAAATCTCAAATTTATGTTATATATTACAGAGTGGTAATGTATAAGCAGAACAATGTCAAGTATTTTTATTGTTTTTAATTTTTGTTCTTTGTGGTGTTTGCAAACCAAGATTCTTCCAGTTTTTGAAAATAACATTTTGTGCCTGATCCATTATTTAACTCAGAATTTTGAATAAATCACTGCTTAGCATTTTGTTTGTTGTTTGGAATGTTCTGGGTTCTTTGTAAACTAGAATAACCATATCTTCTCATTGCAATATTTAATATTTCTTACATAACTCCAAGAGTTCATGTTATTTACCCTTGATGCCCTGATCACAACCTGAGTGATACAAGAATGTTGTCCATGTACAGTCCTTTCAAATACAGGACTACTGGCTCATATCTGCTTGTTTTCATAGAACTCCATAAAAAAAAAAACAACTAGAAATAATTTTAAACTACTTGAAAATATAAAATTATTCTTTTATGCTATTTGCACAAACACTTCAAATATGTAAGCTATTCTCTGGCAGAAAGTAAGAAAGCTTTCAAGGTCACTTGAGACTCACTTTATAAGTGAAACAATAACTTACTGAATATTACCCAAGTGGTTTGGAAATGTTCATATAGCTTCCAAAAGTGCTGGAGAATATAACAGAATAAAACCTGCTATCAGTTTCCTAAACTATGTCTTTACAAATAAAAACAGGGATATGAGTGTGTTATCCAGGATGCTCCCACCCCAGCCTCTTATCAGTATTTTATAAAATGTTGCCAAAAATTAAAAAACCCAAAAAACAAAACAAAAACCCTATCATTTTTCTTGAAAAGAGATAAGAAAAATATTCCTCAGAAGTTCAAACAACCTTGGCTAAAAGGAAATGGAGGAGATTTCTTAGAAGAGGGAACGAGATTTGGAACAAATAATATTTGTTCACATTTTGAGCAGGCTCATCTAAGTGAAAAGAGACCCTTCACTGCCTGGGAAGAACAAAGAAAAGATAAGGCGTAGCAGATAACAAAGGACTGCCATGGGACAGTGGTGGTAATGGATGTTGTTAGACCATAACTGATTTTTCTTTCTTAACATTAGCCTGGCCCCAACTTCATGCTCATGTCTCTCTGTTTTTCATTTGTTAATGGTAAAAATTGTCTAATTCCATGTGGTTGTCTTATTTAGGTGGGCATGTACTCCAGTTCTGACCAAGAAGATATGAGAGAATGTCTGATTTGGGAGCTCTTGTACACTTAACAAACAGTACTGTTTTTCAACTGAATATCATGTTTCCACACAGGATCCCTGGAACTTCAATAGATACCTTATGACCGTAGAGGAATTATCCTGGAAAGAATACACTAAAGATCACATTACAGAGCAAAGAAATAGAAAAAAAGGAACCCATGTCCTCAATGATATTGTTAATCTACCAAAGTAACCGAACTATATGTAGTTGTTTTTCTGTTACTTTACCTATTTGAGTGGACAGCATTAACTAGTGGTAATTCAGAGAAGAAATCCTTATAGGTAGTGACTAGAAGATGGGAAAGACATTGAATACTAGAAACAGAGTTGTGCACTCAGTAATTGAGAGGGAGGTTTAACAGACTTTGAAAATTTATAGAGTAAAAAAGAAAGAAACAAAAAAATGGCAAAGGGAGCAAGTAGAAATGTGGAACGTTTTTGCATTGTGTTGACTTTATGAATAATATGAGTCAAAGAGCGCAATGAGAGTCAAATCAATTTGCCTTCCATTTCCACTAAAGTATTCACTGCATATAAACCACTCCAAGTTTCCCTGTTGTATTCCCAGGCTAAGCACATTGTAATAGAGATATAATTTATAACTAAAAGAGACACTAACCAAAAGTAATACTATGCATGAACTGCCACTTGAAGAAAGGTCCAGAGAAGAATTTGGAAAGAAGTTGAACCTTAACAAAAAATTTAATTAATGAGAAGAATGTGAGTCCTATATAAAACAGCTGACATGAATTTATACCTTTGAATGAGCCTTTGAACCGCTAAGTTCAGTCAAAATTAGTGCAGACCAGGAAACACATACTTTCTCACCCATGTGGTCTTGCCTATTCACATCAGCAAATCCTGAAAGGAACTTGAATTTGGGAAGTGACAAGGGATTACTTTCTTGGGGCTCTTAGTAAATTGGTCTAAGATAGGCAGATAGCTGCTGCATACTTAATTCTCCATGAACTTAACTACCACCAGAAGTGTTACTCATCCAAAAAAAGATAGTAGGAGAGTCAAATAAGGAATTGGGATACATAAAAAATATTTAGATATTTAATAGGCTCTAGACAGATGAAAGAAACAAAATGTTACATAATACCACCCACTGAATCTGTGGGCTATAGATAAAAAAGCATTGGTAGGTTTTAGAATAATTAATACAAATTTATAAGCCTAGCGATGTTGTCATTATGTTGCATCAATACCCACTGATTAAAAGAAGTGGGCAAATAACCCCTTGATACTTTCCATCCTACAGGTGAATGCTGAGGTCAGCTAATCTGAGTACTGCTTCTGTGTGAGAACCTAGGTTGTTTCAAATATACACTGATAAACCAAAATACACTTTTACCAATTCATTTTATTAGTTTTTTTTTTCCAAAGAAACTTTAAGTCCCAGATACCTGGGAGAGAAGCTGCAACATTTCAATACATAAACTCAGGAGAATGATTATTGGAGCTATTGGAATATCTTAATTTTTCTGATTTTCCTCCTAAAGAAAAGAAATACACAAGAAAATTTGGAGGGAAACTAAGTTTATAGAAAGATATCTTTCCTTGAACAATGGGGATGTGCATCTGATTGTGGATAGCTAAGTCACATTGCTGGTTGGAAGTAGTTAAGAAGTTAGGAAATCAACTTTTGTTACGGGGGGGAGTTGGTTGTAGGTATGTGTAGGGGGCTGTTTATCCTTAAAAAGCTAGGACTCACAATTTGCAACCTGTCAAAATGTAAATAAGCATTTTAAAAGTTTAAGGCAGTCATGAATCACAGATGAGGACCCTACCTTCCAAGATGGGTATATTTATGGGGAGAAAAAAGTACAAAGGGTCGTATGTTTAAATGTTTTATGATGTTCAAACCCCCTACAGCTTTAGAACCGTCTCAGTCCTCAAAGTGATACATAGTGGTTGGGGGTGGGGGAGCAATCTCTGTATTTAATTTGTCCAAACATAGTCTGAGGCATTTAATAGCCAAATGTCTGTAACATTTTCACTTATGTCCTACTGCAAGTGCATTAGTTAGTGACAGTATCAGCTTGGAACCTGTGCCTGCTCAGGGAGCCACCTAACAGAAGTAGAAAACCTGCTAACTACTCCAAAGATCTCATTACAAAACCTTTTACGTGTGTAGGCAAACCCGCTTCATTTGCTATCTTCCCAACTTCACATAACAACCCAGATTAGAATTTCATTAGTCAGTCCTGCTCCCGATAGCTGTTAACTTTGATTCAATCTTTAATTTCTCAGTCATTATTAGCTTCAACAGGTGGGTGATGGGAAAGGGTTTTTTAAACTCTTCAATACTGTCAATCATTCTTGTGTGAATTTAACTTGAGATGAGCTTCACTCTCCTGTCTCCTGGCAGATGGCCTGCTCTTGTACAGAACAAAGACAACACACTTTTCCCTTATTATTGGCATGAGGTGATGGGTTCACAAATAAATCCTACAGATCACTCTGCTATTCACTGTCTGCAAGTCAAAAGATTCATCCCACACAGAAATAAGGGTATATGTTGTCCTTGGAAAATATTTAATTTCTGTTATTTTACTTAACATAGGAGATCTTCCCCCTCCCTCAATTTAGCCAAATCACATAATTCTTTTGAACCTGGGTTTTATCAATGGTACCCCAAGTTCCCCAAAATATATTTTCTCAAAATTTTAACTCCAACTTTGGTACCTTGACTAAAATATCTATTTACTTTTACTCTAATATTCTAATAATTATCACACCTAGAATTAATTATCTCCTCTTGTTGAATACTTTTGCAACAAGTTCACACTCATAGTGAAATGCACTCTGTCTCAAGTATAGTGTGATGATTTTACTTTAATAGAAAACTGAGGGCCACAGCTTAGGAACAAAATTGTAGACTAGCTCCACCCCTGACCTCAGTTACAATCCTCATTAGACCCCAATACTAAATAGTTTGATATTGAAGCAGTGTCATGTTCAAAAATGCAGTTCCACAGACAAAAGTAACTACAATAGAATTTTATTCTTTACTCTTGTCTTTTGAAAGACCTTGAAAGTAATCCAAATATATCTTGCATAACAGCAATTGTTAGAATAAGGTTGTTCCTCTGTTACATCTTCCCTTATGGTGTCCTCAGAGGACATGCTAACCCAAAATCTGGCACCTTGGCAGTTGAGAAAACAGCAGAAGCAGATGTCCCTTCTCCCCTGATGCAGGCCATCAAAAAAATCATCTGACCTTTCTCTGAAGTAGATCATAAGAACCTCATGTGAGAGGTGCCCACTCTATACCCGGAGGAAAGGAGCTTCCATATCTCTGAAAACTTGGGGACACAGAGAAGAAACTGAACGCACAGGCCTCACTAAGTTTCCCCCAGTTGATTATCATTAGATTATACCCCTTTTTTTCAATCGTGCTTCTCCACAGCTATCCACTTCATCAAATGTTACATTAAAAAAAAAAAACAGGGTTTTCCATTACTTCAGATGTTCATTTCTAATAGCTCCTATGTCACGTCAAACTTGTAAGTACCTTTGTATGCTTTTCTCTTATCAATATGTCTTTTATTATAGGTGCCTCAGCCAAAGTGCAGCGATGGGTAAGAAAAAAGGTTCCCCTCCATGCCCACCGAGCCATACTCAGAGGTACCCTATACTTTTCTCCTCCTACACCTTACATACCCTTCATCTTTATTTCTTCCCTAGGCTACACTTCATTTTTTTTCTTATTTTCTCTCCTCTTTTTCTCAACACTTTATTATATAATAGATTTAATCTGTATGAAATAGACCTTTTTAGAAGGATTTGTAGTAGAAAGAGAACAAGGTTGAAAAGAAAAAGGTCATCTTTGATGGGGTAGAATATTGGTCTCATTATTCTATTCGTAATGGTATCACAAGTGTTGAAAATATTAGCAATTATCATTGAGGCGAAATGAAGAAGAAACTTCACATATTCCACAACTCAGAAAATGTTAAGGTTCTTTATGTATTTGACCTTATTTAATTCTTTCAACAGCCCTGCAGGGCAGCACTATCATAATTCACATTTTTATGACAATAAAACAAAGGCAGAAGAAATATCCAAAGTCACACAGCTAGTAACTGGTGGAGCCAGGATTTGATCTCAGTAAGACTGACTCCAGCATCAAGTTCATAACCATTAAAGAAGCAGAGACCTACTAACCATCTGACAGAAATGCTGTTTTTGATGTTGGTTGGAATATGATCTCTATGCTACCTGCCAACTCTAATGACTATAGAGAAATAATTTCGGAAAGTTTTCCAAGGAACTATTGAAAGGAAATGTTGCTAAAAACTTTTGAAAGGAAGAAGAAAATCTCTAGAAGCATCTCTGGGAAATAGTCTGAATTAATGAGTCAATGTCCACATCTAAAAATCTAAAATTAAAAACAAGGTTGATTTAAAAATCTCTTCTTGGAAGACTGGGACTGGAGCTTGGCTCAAGTCATAATGGGAGTCCAGAGAAAGTTAGTAATCTATATTTAAACCATGGAGAACTGAAAAACAAACAAACAAAAAAAAACAAAAAAAAAAACAAGAACCAAAAAATTATATTTCTTCAATAGTCCTTAGCAACAAAAGAATAGGAGGTTGAGAAAAATGAAGTTACAAATATGCTTAAGTGCCAGGTGCAGAGGCTCACACCTGTAATCCCAGTACTTTGGGAGGCCGAGGTGGGAGGATCACAAGAGGTCAGCAGTTTGAGACCAACCTAGCCAATGTGGTGAAACCCCATCTCTACTAAAAATACAAAAATTAGCCAGGCTTGGTGGTAGGCAACTGTCATCCCAGCTACTCAGGAGGCTGAGGCAGGAGAATCGCTTGAACCCTGGAGGCAGAGGTTGCAGTGAGAGGAGATTGTGCCACTGTACTCCAGCTTGAGCGATAGAACGAGACTCTGTCTCAAAAAAAAAAAAAAAAAAAAACCAGTATGCTTAAGTAACAGGTACTTTCTCCAGGCATCCTTTTGGGGGGTAAGGCAAATTTTTCTCCATTTTAAAATCTATGAAGGTCAAGCTCTAGGAGTTAGGTCAGATTATTAATACATTCTGATATTTTCTGAACAGAAGTTATAATAGTCAAGGCCAAATACATATCATCCTGTAAAATTAGGAAAACCTAGGAGGAATTTTAGGCGCAGAACATTTCCCCTTTAGTAGGTCATGTGCAGTTTTTCTAACCAAAAAACTATTCAAATTATTCTAGAGCAGGCCCAAATGTAGAAGATAAAGGAAAAATCTCCTGTTCCGTTCTTAGATAGAATCACATCAATCCTAACTAAATTTCTGATATTAAGAGAAAAATAGAATGTATTTTAAAGTGTTCTGTGGCAACCAGGCCTGTATTTATAAAAGAGTTGAGCATTTCCTTCTCTGATATCTATGATTCATGATTAAAAACAGTGCTATAGAGACAGAACTAACTCAAACAAAAATTCCAAAGAACCTATTCTGATAAATGATACATGACAAAATTACATTTAAACAGTTATGAGGCTTGAAGGAATCCAGCAGAGAATAAGAGCAAATGATGTGGGGGTTTTCTACTCTTAATTCCTGTGACAAAAATGATAAAATATGGTTCTTTCATACAATGACAGGGAGAAACAGGAAACCTGAGAACAGAAAGTATATTGTTGTTCAGAAAGAGAGATGGTGTTCCCATATATTTCAGATTGGCAGTTTTATTTGAAAAGGGCCTCTGGATCTTTGTTTTTAAGAATGGGGAAGGATAAGAGCAGTAGAAAAAGGGGAAAAACACAATAGTTTTATAGTTTCACCTCTTAACATTTGACAGACACTGCTGTCTAAAGGCTAATCTGAAATTCAGTTATCACATCCAGGGAAAAACATGCAAGCAATATATTTCTCAACAGGATGCCAAAAGAATGTTGTTAGTGCGTTTGTAAATTTCCAATTCTTTCTTACTGCCCTTATCCAACAACCCAAACAAATCAGTCTAAATACGACTTCTTTTCCTAATGTCTTTTGAAGCATCACTGCAGTCAGATTGAGTCAAGTAACCATCTGCTGCAAATACAAATAGAGCTACATTCAAGAATTATATTACACAGCCTTCCCAGCAAAGTTCTTACGTGCAAGCTGTTCTTGTCAAAATCAGAACCATTGTGATGATGCGTCTTAATATTCAATCAGACTTTAAGTAAAGAGTGACGAAAGTCCACATATGGATGACAGCTGTTTCTTCAGTAAATATTTTCCCATTTATTGAATGGAGGCTTATGGCAGTTTAGGATATGTTCCATCAGACATTTCAGCCTGAACTGCCTGAGGACTATTAAAACAATAACAAGGATAGAATTTCAGTTTTCAAATCTTTGCTACAATTTACATCTTAAAAAATAACAGCTCCTTCAAATAAGGTGGTACACTATGTGGTTAATTTGAAAGTATCCTTGCCCAGTAGTGACTGCTGAAAGAACTGAGTTTTCCTCCTGGCCCTCTAATAATACCACCATATTTGTAAAATAAAAGCATAATTCCTGTATTGATTTTCTAATCATATGAACAAAGATGATGGGAATTTAAACATTTTATGACTATATTTTTATAAATTATGAAATATGGTAAAAAGATTAATGAGTCTATTAGCTAAAGAATGTCAGAAGGTCTCTATTTAACCAATAAAGTAGCTTGCAAAATTGGGAAGTTAAAAAAAAAAGAAGATGAATTCTGATGAGGAATTCACTAACACCATAATAATATTTGGGTTTACATATCAACAGTCATCGAACGTAAGAGTCTGAACAAAGATATTTTTAATGTTTTACTAGTATCTGGGTAAACATATGTTGTGCCCCTTTTGTAAATCCTAAACGTTATGCTGGATATAAGTATGTCAACAGTACATCCTTCAAGTAGCATTCTGGAGGTTTGCTAACGAAAAAGTCCACTGTTAAGCATTAAAAAGTTTCCTCTCTTTAACCTAAAAATATGCTGAGGCTTTTCTCTGATGACCCTGATGCAATTCTTGGGAAGGTGGAAGGGAAGATGGAAGGTTATTTGTGTCTTACATTAGACCTGCAATATTCATACACTAATAACTCACCAGCTTCTGCCTGGTGAGTTATAGCCTTTTTTCCTTCCTGCGACACAGTTGTTAAAATCAACATTTCTAAAAAGTTTGAGTCTGTAGTCTTATTTTCCACAACAACACTTGTCATACTTCAATCTTTTCTTTTTAAACGCAAACTTTTTTAGACCAAACACTATAAAGAATTTCTTACCCTGCTATTGGATCTACTGCTATTGCTTTAGGATTGTGAAGCTCCAGATCAATCAGGGTGACACATACAGAACCGTTGGAATTACAAACAAAGATCCGGTCACCGACATGGTCCACAAAATAGAGATTTCGAGTGAGCCAGTCAATCGCCATTTGTTGCACATCTGAAAAACACATACACAAAATCATTGAATCACAGGTGCAATCTAGCATCATGATCCAAAAATAACATAAGTGTTTCCAAACCATCATAGAGGACATTTCAAAAGTATAGACATTTTTATGAAAAGAAACTGCAAAGTCTCTTGCTATGCCAAAATGTGACTTAATAATTATGTAAAATAATTATCTTGGTGCCTTTCTTCTTGCTATCTGAAGACTGAAGACGACCTAGATACATGCATAAAGAGTTTCCACGTTTTAAAATATAGGTATTTAGAATGTAATCTCTTACTTTTTGCATTTGTCCAAAATAGTTCATTCGATGGAATGAACAGAACTGATTCAATAGCACAGCTAAACTCTGTAGTAGTGAGGAATAAATACCTTTTCTGAGTGTAAGGCAAATCCTTGTTTTCAGATTCCCTTTTATTAAAAGAAGGAAAGGGTGGAGAAGATGGAAAAGGAGATCTATAAGATTCCTTTGTTTGAAAAAATATCCAAAACTTGGAAATAAAGCAAATGGAGGGGTGATAATTTCTTTCAATGGCATACTTAGGAATTGTAAAAAAGGCTTGCTCAAGGACTGATTAATTAATTCTCTAGAAGAGTGCTGCCCAACAGCACTTTCTACAGTGATGGTGAGAAAAGAAAAATAGCTAAGAGCAGTCTGAGCTATGTGAGGTATGCAAAATTAATCAGGCTCAGAGAGACTTGAGTATGGGATTTCAGCTATACCTTCCACACCTGAGCCCAGGGGCAGCTGTTTAAAGACATTTCAGTTCTGACTAGCTGTCTCACTCATTATCTTCATGTTCCTGGAACTTGTGATACAAAGAACAATGTATAGCCAATCAATAACTTATGTTACTTTAATGTAAATTCTTAGTAAACAAGTTAGGAAGGGTCTCTTCTTTCCCTTTAAAAACCTACTTGTAACTGCTGCTAATAGGAGTATACATTCAGAGCAAACTGAATCTGTACTACTGGGTTGCAATCCTCAAGCTTGGTCCCAATAAACTCTCTACTTAGATTAATTTGGCCTCAGCTTCTTCCTTTTAGGTCAACAATAAAAAAATTCCATATTTATGCTGTCCCATAAAGTAACCACTAGCCAAATTTAACAAGTGACTACTATGACTGGAAAATTGAATTTTTATCATATCTAATTTTAATTAACTGGAATTTAAATTTAAATGACATAGGTAGCTAGTGACTACTGTTGCGGCTTAGAAAAAGGTATCCCAAAATATATGCCGCTTTGAACTTCAGACTGCAAAGTACCTGGGGAGCAGCCAATGCAGGGATGGGTTTTCTCTGAAGTTCCCTTATCTGACAAAGTGAAGTTCCTTTAGAAGAAAGAAAGAAAGAAAAGGAAGAAAAGAAAGAAAGAAAGCATCTGTAATAAACCCACTACCTATAATCTCATCAGACCAGAAAGATTAAGTCAGAAGAAAAGAGGCTGAAGGTCAACACACCACGTCTTTTGCTGAGGACTGCTGCCTGAGAGAACCTGCATATCAAGACAACCTTTGTTCTCCATGCATTTCCTCCCCTCAACCTCCTATAACCTGTCACCACCTGAAACCCACACCTTTATTGTTTTCTGTAGCTCAGGATACTATACTATCTTCAGCCATCTGGTCTTTTTTGGAGTCGTATACTCTGTGGAACCCCAGTGAGTATGCATGTAATAAATTGGCATCCCTTTTCTCCTCTTAATATGTCTGCTGTCAAGTTTATTCCAGAGACTGAAATTACAGAATCTTCACAGGGTAGAAGCAAAGTTCTTTTTGCCCCTACGCTATTCTCAATGCTGCAGCTTTAGAAGAGCTTATCTGTCTTGACTTGAGTATTTTTTGATCAGCCATACACTGAAATTGCATGTTAATTTGTAGATACTTCTCTGATAAAAATGATAAATTCAAAGGTTATGGTTTTATTGCCCTGTGAGGTATTAAACATTTATATGCCTAACCTATGAATCTCATTTAAACATTATTTTTCATTAAAATACCTATAAATACCCAATTCCTCTAATGAGGTTAGACCAGCAATACTGGTCTGTTTCCCTCAATAATGCCATAAGTAATTTTCTGATCTATGTTCATTCTAGATTTTTATTATAGTCACATTTTTAACTTTTGAAAATTATACTTTGATACTTCCTTTCTCGAACTTAGAATGAATCTATGATTCACTGACTAAACAGAGTGACAAGCTTATGAACAGTCTACTCCACAATATGGCACTTTGGCATATTGAAGGAATTTGAGAAATAGCAGGTTGAAGAAGGGCTCCCTAACTTTCTCCTTTCCTCTGAAGGAGGTCATAGAAACAGCAAATACTGCAAAAACTCTCTAACCTTATCCTTCTCCCCTGGAGTAGGTCATAAGATCCTCAAGTGAGAGGTGACCTCCCTACCTCCAGAGGAAAGAAACATCCTTATTTCCAAAGATGGTGGGAAACAGAGAAATCTGAACAGGTGATGCTAAATGCCCCATTTACTATTCTTAGCTCTTAACCATGCCCTATCATGTTCTCTCCATAACTTTCTACTCTTCATCATACTTAGTATGAAAATACTCAGGCTCAACCATCTCTTTGGGTCTTCATTTCCTTATGAATGCTTCTGTGTCACATAAAATTTATATTAAATAAATGTGTGTATTTTTCTCTTGTTAATCTTTTGTTAGTCTAATTGGCATGGTCCCAGCTGGAGAACTTAAAACAGGTCAAAATTATATTTTTTCCTCCCCTAAAAGAGTTTCCTTCTGCAATCTGAGCCTAAACTTTCCTCCTATCCTATGCCTCAAAATACTTCCTCAGTAACATGCTGCTTCTATTGATGTTCTCTTAATAGTAAGACTAACATAGACATATGTGTCAGCATTACCATTTGTAAGGGTATATTGTCAAAACAAGGTAGAGAAGGCAGAAACTTTGTGGGAATGTCTATCACCTCCTACAAGGATAAGCAGAAAGAAGATACTGCAATTAATTGGATAGAGATTTTCAGGCTATTGATACTAGTTTTATTCCTAAATTATACAGTCTTTATAAAATCATAAATATTTAAATTTTTCCCAAACAAAAATAAGCTTTTTTTTTTTCAACCAGTCCATTAACCAGGGCTTTAAAAGTGTGAATTATTTATCTGTCTTGAGAAATCTGGAATGTATGGTTTGCTTTGTTTTTGAGTCTTTTTGTATTATTATATCAGCTAGAGCTCAGAACTCACTGTTACAAATGTCGTTTCAAATATCTTGGGTTCAGATAAAGTATGTGCCAGAGTCCATTCAATGACCCATCCCTCAAGCTGGGCATGCAGTTGCTTTAGTTTATACAATTGTAATTTCAGACAAAAGAGCTGTTTGACAGCATTCATACCTTCTCTCAACTCTTTATCATTTCAGAAAGATTTTCTGCCACTGAAACAATAGATACTGTTACCAGTCATGCAACTTTGAAGCATTGAGATCTCACTACAGAACTTAATAATAAGCCAAACACTTAGTAACTATGGGGAATTGGCTTTGTTCCTCATTTTATAGTTGAAGTGTCTGCTTTTAATTTAATTTGTATTAGAATTAAAGAGTTGAGGCAATTAGACAAAGAGTTCAAGCAAGTAAGCCAATACATAAATGCATTAGATGGATGAACGGATAAATTTGACCAAATTTAATAAGCATTTAAAGGTTTTCCAAATTACAGGAAGCTTTTTTCAACCAGCCTGGAAACTAGAATTTTTAAAAGTCTAAATTATATACCTGTCTTCAGAAATCAGAAAATGATTTGAACATTTTTAGGAGCGAAGTGAATTTCCTAAAGTATTGAGTATTTTACCTTAATTTTGCTGAAATATAACAAAGTTCATAGGAGATGAATGAAAATAACCATAATCATTTTATGACATTACTAAAATATCTCAAAATGTAAGTCCCTTATTGCTTTACTGTTACTGGAACAAAATTTTAAATATTTTCTTCTTACCATATTTTTTTAGTTGCTACTTATTCTTTTTTTCAACCAAAAGTCACCTGGATTTTGCTCTCATTGTTCCTTTGAAGTGGCTCTTATTTTGATTACTTAACATTCCTTAATTGTCAAAAGTTAGTGAGAAATTTTCTGCTCTATATCAATATCATCTGAAAGTACTGACCACTCATCTTCTGAAATATCGATAACTCTAAATATCAACATTGGCAAAAGTAGAAGAAAAAAAGAATAAAAATATTTTGAAACTTGTAAAGTAGTATATAAATACAAGCAACTATGTTTTTAAAACTTGTTATTTGTTAGATTTAAAAACTTAAATTTGCACCGAGTAATAATTAATGAGAATGAAACATTCAGAAAAGAGTTTAAAAAATGAATAGTTGTAGTGATAACTCATAATTGGCTATAAAATGACACATCAATTTTTTTGTTATATTATGAGGCAAGTAATGAATTACCAGAATTGGTGAACATAGAACTGAAACATTTTAAAGTCAAAAAATAACAGATGCTGGCAAGGTTGCAGAGAAAAGGGAACACTTACACATTGTCGATGGGATCGTAAATTAGTTCAACCATTGTAGAAAGCAGTATGGCAATTCCTCAAAGAGCTAAAAGCAGAACTACCATTTAACCCAGCAATCCCATTACTGTGTATATACCCAGAGGAATATAAATCATTCTATGATAAAGACACAAGCACTTGAATGTTTAACACAGCACTATAAGCACCATTCACAATAGCAAAGACATGGAATCAACCTAAATGCTCATCGTGACTGATTGGATAAAGAAAACATGGTGCATATATATACCATGGAATACTATGCAGCAATAAAAAGGAATGAGATTATGTTGTTTGCAGGAATATGAATGGAGCTGGAGGTTATTAGCAAACTAAGACAGAAACAGAAATCAAAATACTTCATGTTCTCATGTATTAGTAGGAGCTGAATGATGAGAACTCATGAACACAAAGAAGGGAACAATAGACACTGGAGTCTACTTGAGGGTGGAGGATGGGAGGAGGGAGAGGAGTAGAAAAGACAACTTTTGGGGACTTGGCAATGAAATAATCTGTACAACAAACCCCCATAACACAAGTTTACCTATGTAACAAACCTGCCCTTGTACCCCGAACCTAAAATAAAAGTTAGAAAAAAAAACCCACAAAATTGAGAAAGTCAAATCTTGCTTAAAAAAAAAAATAAAAATAAAAGGAATTGTTGTTTGTCTTTTTTATGTCATTCTGAACCATTGTCTAACAAGGCCATCCAAGGATTACTTCATTCTCCTGGGGAATATACCTTTGTTTGACTTATAATTTCAAGCAAATATTGCTTAGGTCCCCTTCTCTATGGATTTAATTTGTTTAAATCCATGTTTAGATTGATGCATTAAAAATACTTTTTCTCCAATAGAGATGCAAATGATTTCCATCAGGTAGAAAAGATAACTGCAAAGTTTACACTTTCATTGTCCAGTACAATATTGACTAGTTTTATCTGTAATTTTGCAATCTTATATCAGTACTTTTTCTTTCATCGACTGTAAATATTTCAACCTCTTCCATTCTACTTTGAAACAGTTTTGCCATCCTGCTGGTTCTCTTGTTAATGAGCTAAATGTCTGCTTGACATATGCTCTCTATATATTTACATAAGTCATGTTTTTAACGTTTTGAAAATTATACACTGGCAATTGTCAGTACTTGATTTCTTCTTTATTTTCTATATTGATTTTCTACCAACCAGAAATGGCAAATTTAAATGTCTACAAGGATCAGAATGAGAACATAAATAGGCTAAATTTATTAATCAGGACTGTGGCAAATCTAGATGATGGCCAGAAAGTATACACCTACCTAAAAAAGGCAGCCTCAACTTCAGCACTTGTTTTGATCTAGAGACGCTTTGTTGCTTCAAAGAACTTCAAAACATGATTTCCACATTTCAGTTGAAATCTCTCAATTTTTTAATGTTATAAACTAATTTTTAAAATTTACAAAGCATTTTGTGTGTTCAGCCAAACCTATCTGCAACCATATTGGACCAAGGGCCACTAGTGTGATGACACCACAGCAAAGAAAACACTGTATATCATTCGGTTCAGCCTAGCCCTCTAATTAAACATGTTTTTGAAAAGGTTACTAACATCAATGAGAGTAACTGTCCTTATATTAAATAAACAAAATACCAAGACTCCAAAATGGTGAGGCGATTAAATCAGGTAACAAATATTAAAAATCCAGGATAGTGACATCCAGTAGATTTTTCAAAAATATTAGTTATCTCCCAGAGGGAACAAAAAGACTGCCCTTTAATTTATATCTTTTTGACTGCTTGTGATGTGCATGTACTAGAGAATATTTTAGTACCAAAACAATAAATTAATAAGATATACAGTAGTTGTGATAATTTAAAAATATGCCCACAAATTCTTTGATACTCCTCCTTTTAAGAGATGAAGCTTAATTCTCCTCCTGAAGGTGGGCTGTTCTTTGTTCTTCTACTGAACAGAATGTGGAAGAGATGATGGAGTATGATTTCTGAGGGTAAGTCACAAAAGGCATTGTAACTTCCATTCGGTTCTCTCTCTCTTTGGATCACTCACTCTGGTGGAAGCCACCTGCCATGCTATGAGGGCACTCAAGCAGCCCTATGTGGTCTACATTGCAAGGAACTGAGGCTTCCTGCCAGCAGCCACAAGAGTGAGCCTGGAAGCCAGTCTTTTAGCTCCAGTTAAGATGCCAGATGCCTGCAGTCCTGGCTAACATCTTGATTGCAACCTCATGAGAGTCTCTATAACAGAACCACCTCACTAAGCCACTCCTGAATTTCTGACCCATAGAAACTGTAAGATAATAATCTTTGCTGTTTTTAAAGTCAGCAAGCCTTGGCATAATCTTTTATGCAGCAAAAGATAACTCAGTAGTCAAATCCCTGCAACTTTTAAAGATGAATTTTGTTGGCTTCCCAGCTCTTGGCTATCATTTTCTGACCAACCTGTAAACAAGACTGCCTACGCCAATAACTGTTTTGGATTCCTGAAATTATCCATCATGCAGCTCTAATGCTGAAAACACAGAGGATAATCCGTAAATGCTCATAAATGAACCCTGAGAAATTTAAAGACACACTCTCTTGAAAATGTCTGCTCTATTTTATCAAAGTGTCATTCTGTGCATTGGGACACAACCAAGGCCTGGATCCCTTGCATTGTCCCATCCTCAAGAAGGGCAGCATCAGATAGGACTAGTGTTATGAAGAAAACAAGACGGAAAAATGGCAGAGAGTGGCTGTTTAGGGAAGCCATCCTGAGAAGGATGGTATGTGAACTGAGCTCTGACAAGAAGATGCTAGCCATGTGGAATTTGGGCAGTAAGGCCTACCAAGAAGAACTGAGCTTGGCATTTTCTGAAAATGAGAAGCAGGGGTAAAGGGGCTATTTTGTAGCTAAAATAAGAAAGAATGAGAAAATATGAGGTAGCAAAGATAGGCAGGGATATGTAAACTATGGTCAGGGGATGGATTTTGGATTGTAAAACCAAGGAATTCCTTTGTTTTCAATGCAATTTTTATTTCTATCATACAGTAAATGTGCATGATTTAAAAAGTCAAACACTCCATCAAGGCTTATGGTAAAAAATAGCAGTGTCCACTCCACTCCTCTCCATTCTCTTCCAATTGTTTTGGCTACGTCAAGTGCATTTACTTTCGTAATTCTCTATAAGACGTTTCTATTAGTATTTTTAAAATTTAAAGCTTATATATAACTTAACGACTTTCTGCTATATAAGACTAGAAATTCATTCTTTACACCCCTCCATACTCATGGACGCATACACACATATATATTCACACTTTCTCTCCCCTCATCCTCCCACAATCTAATTTTCAGTTAAATTAATATTCAGTCTTTATATAATTATGACTATATACATTTTTGTTGATAGGTGAGAAAGTAGTTTAGTATTACTACACTTCCTTCCTTGAACAAGTTTTGGGTTATTTTTAGAGTTAGAGTTAATTGCTTTGTGTTTCAGCTTTTCTTTTTCTTTCTTAGAATTTATTATTGCATAATTCTACAAAAGAACTACAAAACTCCTCCCCAAATGGAAAATCAGTATTCTAGTCAGTTTTTTATTGTTGCTGTTGTTTACTTTTGACATCATTCCTGTTGCCTACCATCTTCCTGTTCCAAACTGCAACGGTTTACTCCTTCGCCATGGTTTGGGGGCTTCCTTTTATTAGTCCTGAGACTTACTGCTTATGAAATTAAATTCCCTGTTTTCTGCCAAAGTAGTTGATATGCCTTGGCTGTATCCCCACCCCACCTTACAATGCAAGGTATCTCACCTTGAACTGTTCTTGTGGTAGAGAATAAGTTTCATGAGATCTGATGGATTTATAAATGGGAGTTCCCCTGCACAAACCTCTTGCCTGCCACCATGTAAGACATGATTTTGATCCTCATTTGCCTTCTACAATGATTGTGAGGCCTTCCCAGCTATGTGAAACTTTGAATCAATTAAGCCTCTTTCCTTTATAAATTATCCAGTCTCAGGTATATCTTTATTAGCAGGGTGAGATCAGACTATAGTAGTGGATAAGAAATTGCCTGTCTGTTGGGGTTGTATTAGGGAACCTAGAGGCCTAGCTATTTTCAAAACAGGCTCTAAGCTAATCCTCTTATTCTCAGCCCCACTGGAAAAACCCTACCTTCATTGGTGCCTGAAGTCTCTAAATGTTTAGCCTTGCTGGGGTTCTTATCTTAGATTTTTACTTACACTCACTTAAAGCAGGAAAATATGAAATCTTATTTATTATTTAATTATCTGCTCCTTATTGTCCGAAATTGTCTCACATAATTTGTCTCTTCTCTTTGGTATTTTTGGGTTAATACATTCAAAAGCATTTTTTACTGTACTTAGAGTAGACTTTCAAAAAAGAACATATATGATATAAATACTTGTTTCATCTGCAGTGTTTCATGGAAGGTCACCAGAACTATTTCAAGCAGGGCAAGGAGATGTCTATTCAGTATTTGAAAAAGATCATTCTGGTTGCTGTATAGATAAAGGGGAAAAGTCTGAAAACAAGTGACCAGTTAGGAACATACTGCAGTTTCCAGGAGGGAAATATGGTAACTTCAAAGAGTATCAAAGCAGTAGTGAAGTTATGTAACAGAAACTCACCACCTTTCTTTAGTCAATATTAAATATGTAATCATATTTAATGGGATACATTTAAGTTGTCTTCTAGCTTTGGTGTAGGAGCCAAAAATGATGGCAGAAATTTTGAAGACATCACAGAAAATCAGAAAAATTCCAAATCCAGATTTGTTTCTATTCACGTTTCTGTTCTTGTATATTATGAATATTTTAACATTTTTATTTCTACTCAATTATTGCCCCATAAGTTGTGATGTTAAAGGAAAAGGTAAGATTATGAAGAAACCTATTCCATTTTCCTCGATTTATGTATCTCTTGAATGGTTTAAGTGGGAAATTAACATTTAGGTTTTATACCACATTTCTTTGCAGGAACGTTTGAAAATGCCTACTGAATAAGATGATATAATTGCATTTATTTTTACTTTTATATGTCACCATAATCTTTACCAAGAAGCATGTACTCACTTTATCCCTGGAAGGAATTAAGCAAACTGAGTTGAACAAACAAAGGCTCTGTCAGGTTGGTACAGTAATTAAAATGGTATTATGGAAGTTCAATGAGCAGGCACATCCTAAATCAGAGAAGGCTCTGTGCCACATTACAGAGCCTTTCCTTATTCCTTTAATGAAAGACTGTCCCCATCTATGCTCCGATCCTGTTTCTTAAACAGATAAAATGAATTCAAATATCTAGGACACTTCTGAATGCTAGCAGTCACAAAGCTCTACATAGAACCTGTGCATGTCTTTCTTGGAAAAAGACAAGGAAAGGGCTCCTGTCATTTGGTGGCAGGTCAATATCAGGTATCTGTGCGGGGTCTTGGATATTCTTATGCTTTTTGTTTGGGGGAGGAGGCACAGGTGACTGGGCTTTTGTACCTCCTTCCACTCACTTTTACACCATTTCCCCAATTCCTTCTTCTAGCACAGGCCACAAGCCAATTTTATCTACTATGGTAGATGCACTTAGAAAAGACTCCAGGTTATCCCTTCCCTACAGCAGAAAACATAGTTTACACAGAGGTGTCTTTTTCCCAGTAGGCAAACATTATATTCTTACTCGATCCACAAATCAAAAGTATTCATCCATTCCATTTTTATCTTTCCCCAATTCACCACATATTCAATCTATCAATAAATCTTAAAGCCTCCTCTTGAAACTATCCACTTCTTTCTATATCTGCTATTACGCTCCTTGTTTAGACACTATCTTATCTCTTCTGGATGGCTACAATAGTTTCTATAACTGCTCTCTCTGCTTCCTTTCTAGACCCACTGTAAAGTTCCTCACAGAGAACCCAGAGTGATCATTGCAAAACATAAATTATACCATGACACCATAGAAGAAATCAGTGCTCCTTGTGATCAGGGTTCTGTTTCAGTAGATTGCAGTGAAGAAAAGTCTTAAACTGATAGACTCTTAAGATTTACTGTCCCGCACAAATGCTTTCAGAAATACATCATCAATATCTTTACCAACATCTCAGCTTACTAGACTTTAGCTCAATTTTATGTTAAAACACCTTAGAGTATTTCTCTTATAACATTTTACCATGAAGGCCACTCAGGAACTGAGGCTCAGTGGGCTTTTATTTGTGTATTTTTTTCTTCTACATAGTTTTAATCAACGGCAGGTTTTACTCTAAATCTTCAGTCTGCACTTTTTTCCCCAAAATATTGCTCCTTTACTTAAAAATCTCCAATGGCTTTCCACCATGATCAGGAGAGAATTTAAAGTCTTTAATATGAACTACAAGGCTCCTAAACTCCCTGTTCTAATATTGTCTTTGCTCACTCTACTGCAGTCACACTTGTCTGCTTTTCTTTGAACCTGCAGAGAAAGCTCCTTAAGTCTTGATTCTTGAAAAAAGGCAAAGACACTTATTGATTTTTATAATTTATGTCTTCAAGAACTTGTGCCATTTTATTACCATTATGTAATTAATTTTGACAAATCAAGTAAGTTCAATATCTAAAATGTTTGTCCAACCCCATTAAAAAGTGGGCAAAGAACATGAACAGACATTTCTCAAAAGAAGACATACATCTGGCCAACAAACATGAAAAAGAGCTCAACATCACTGACCACTGGAGAAATGCAAATCAAAACCACAATGAGATACCATCTCACATCAATCAGAATGACTATTATTAAAAAGACAAAAAATAACATATGCTTCCAAGGCTTCAGATAAAAAAGGAACACTCACACCCTGTTGGTGGGAGTGTTAACTAGTTCAACCATTGTGGAAAGCAATGTGGCAATTCCTCAAAGAGCTAAAAGTAGAACTACCATTGGACCCAGCAATCCCATTACTGGGCATATACCCAGAAGAATATAAATCATTCTACCATAAAGACACATGCACGTATATGTTAATTGCCGAACTATTCACAATAGCAAAGACGTGGAATCAACCTTAATGCTCATCACTGGTAGACTAGATAAAGGAAATATAGTACATATACACCAAAGAAAACTATGTAGCCACAAAAAAACAAAACAAAAAACCAAGATCATATCCTTTGCAGTAACATGAATGGAGCTGGAGTTCTCAGTCACAAGTGGGAGCTGAATGATGAGAACACATGGACACATGAGGTGGAGGGAACAATGCACTGAGGCCTGCCGGGGGTGGGTGTGGGGGAGAGCAACAGGAAAAATAGCTAATGGATTCTGGGCTTAATACCTAGGTGATGAAATCATCTTTCAGACATTACTTAGCCCTCAAGACAAAATAATATCTGATATAGTCATGGCTTATGCTCTCTCTTCATTCAAGTATCTGCTCAAATGTCAGTTTTTCAGAAAGGACTCCATTGACCAGTAGATATTAAGAAGACCACTTATCCCCCTATATGTACACACACATACATACACGCATACACACGCGGTGACTCATCCCCATCAATGTATACCATTGCCCTAATTTTATTTTTCTTGTAGTTTTCATCACTGAGAAGTTAACTAGTGACTTATCAGTGCACTGTCTCCCCACATTAGAATATAAGCCCCATATGAGCAAAGGTCCTATATGTGTAATTCACTGCCGTTATTTCCAAAACCCAGAACTGTGTATAGCCCATAGTAAGTGTTCCGTGAATATTTAGAAATACATACTTGTATTTTTGCAATAGCCTTTGCTCAAAAAATTCCTGCCTAAAATCCATGTTCTCACCTCTTCAGTCAGTTTAAGCAGCATCTGAAGTCATAGCTTTTTCATTCCTTAATCAGCTGCAATATTTTCTTTGCTTTTACCATGAGCTCAAATATAATAAGTCACTTTACCTGAGAAATAAGTGTAGAAGGACCTATATTATTTAACATAGATGAGTAATTTTATGAAAGGACAATTAGGCAGACAGCAATTTGCAGGAATGAGTACCCAGGGTGAGTAACAATAGTATGAGGGATGATAACACCATAACACGGTGCGAAATAATAGTGACAACTGGTGAGTCTGAATGAGTAAAAATGGCTAAGAAAGCAAAGATCAAAATAATGTTCTGACAAAATGTCGTACTAAGGATGAAATACTACCACATCCACTTATGCGTTAAAACTGCCACATCTTTTTACAGCCTTGCTGCTTGTGATTATCTGGAGTGCTATCTAGAGTGCTTTCTTATCTATCCCCTACCAAGAAACATTTTCTGACTCACAGTCATGGAAGTTTATGGCTCTTGTTCCTATCCTCTAGGAAAGAATTTACTGACACCTAGTCCACGGTTTTATTTGAGACTACCAATTACCTTGACAACTTCTGTTTGCATATATTAGATTACTTTAGATTACGTTTTGATTTGTGTCCCTAAAAATACATATTTTAAGTTATTATTATATTCATATAATTATTACATATGTTTTTATACAAATAACATTATTGTACTTTTTTAATTATTCATTTTTGTCATATTTCTTAACCTAACCAAGTTGTAGACTCCGAATCTAAATCACAACAAATAGAAAATAGAAATGGTGCATGTTTCCCCAAAGTATTAGCTCTAATATACAATTAGAGAAGAAGATTCTGGACTGAATACTTTTAGTGGACTGATTCTGTAAATAAAAGGAGATCCTGTTAGATCAATGTTATCAGTTTCATTCAGTCTGTTAAAAGAAATTGCAACCAAGAAACCCAGTGACCAAATATTTGTGAGATGCTTCTTCATCCATGTTTCCATTGACAAACATTTTATATTTATTTTTTCAAGTTTTAAGTTCAGTGGTACATATGGAGGATGTGCAGGTTTGTTACACAGGTAAACATATGCCATGATGGTTTGCCACACAGATCATTCCATCACCTAGATATTAAGCCCAGCATCCACTAGCTATTCTTCCTGATGCTCTCCCCCACACCCATCCCTGACAGGCCTCAGTGTGTTGTTGCCCCCACCTCATGCGTCCATGTGTTATCATTCAGCTCCCACTTGTGACTGAGAACTCCAGCTCCATCCATGTTACTGCAAAGGATATGATCTTGGTTTTTTGTTTTGTTTTTGTGGCTGCATAGTTTTCTTTGGTGATATGTACTATATTTTCCGTATCTAGTCTACAATTGATAAGCATTAAGGTTGATTCCACATCTTTGCTATTGTGAATAGTTCTGCAATTAACATACACGTGCATGTGTCTTTATGGTAGAATGATTTATATTCTTCTGGGTATATACCCAGTAACGGGATTGCTGGGTCGAATGGTAGTTCTGCTTTTAGCTCTTTGAGGAATTGCCACATTGCTTTCCACAATGGTTGAACTAATTAACACTCCCACCAACAGTGTATGAGTGTTCCTTTTTTTCTCTGCAACCTCGCCAGCGTATGTTATTTTTTGTCTTTTTAATAATAGCCATTCTGACTGATGTGAGATGGTATCTTATTGGGGTTTTGATTTGCATTTCTCTGGTGGTCAGTGATGTTGAACTCTTTCATGTTTGTTGGCCACACGTTACATCTTTTTTGAGAAATGTCTGTTCATGTTTTTGCCCAATTTTTTTATTACATTTTCCATTCTGGGGTACATATGCAGAACGTGCAGTTTTATTACATAGGTATACATGTTTGCTGCACCCATCAACCCGTCACCTACATCAGGTATTTTTCCTAACGTTATTGCTCCCCTAACCCCCACCCCCCGACAGGCCCTGGTGTGTGATGCTCCCCTCCCTATGACCATGTGTTGTCAGTGTTCAACTCCCAATTATGAGTGAGAACATGCGATACTTGGTTTTCTATTCTGTTTTGTCACCACCAGACCTGCCTTACAAGAGTTCCTGAAGGAAGCACTAAACATGGAAAGGAACAACTGGTACCAGCCGCTGCAAAAACATAGCAAATTGTAAAGAACATCAACACTATGAAGAAACTACATCAACTAAGGAGGAAAACAACTAGATAGCATCATAATGACAGGATCAAATTCACACATAACAATATTAACCTTAAATGTAAACAGGTTATATGCCCCAATTAAAAGACACAGAGTGGCAAATTGGAAAAAGAGTCAAGACCCATTGGTGTGCCGTATTCAGGAGACCCATCTCACATGCAAAGACACACATAGGCTCAAAGTAAAGGGATGGAAGAATATTTACCAAGTGAATGGAAAGGAAAAAAAAAAAGAGTTGCAATCCTAATCTGTGATAAAACAGACTTTAAAGCAATAAAGATCAAAGAGATAAAGGGCATTACATAATGGTAAAGGGATCAATGCAGCAAGAAGAGCTAACTATCCTAAATATATATGCACCCAATACAGGAGCACCCAGAATCATAAAGCAAGTTTTTAGAGACCTACAAAGAGACTTAGACTCCCACACAATAATGGGGGGGGAGGACTTTAACACCCCACTGTCAATGTTAGATTGAGACAGAAAATTAACAAATACATTCAGGACTTGAACTCAGCTCTGGACCAAGTGGACCTAATAGACATCTATGGAACTCTCCACCCCAAATCAACAGAATATACATTCTTCTCAGCACCTCATCACACTTATTCTGAAATTGACCACATAATTGGAAGTAACACACTCCTCAGCAAATGCAAAAGAACGGAAATCATAACAAATGGTCTCTCAGACCACAGTGCAATCAAATTAGAACTCAGCATTAAGAAACTCACTCAAAACCACACAACTACATGGAAACTGAAAAACCTGTTCCTGAATGACTACTGGGTAAATAACGAAATGAAGGCAGAAATAAAGATATTCTTTGAAACCAATGAGAATGAATACACAATGTACCAGAATCTCTGGGACACATTTAAAGCAGAGTGTAGAGGGAAATATATAGCATTAAATGCCCACAAGAGAAAGCAGGAAAGATTTAAAATTGACACCCTAACGTCTTTGCCCAATTTTAATGAGGTTGGACAAACATTTTAGATATTAAACTCACTTGATTTGTCAAAATTAATTACATAATGGTCATAAAATGGCACAAGTTCTTGGAGACATAAATTATAAAAATCAATAAGTGCCTTTGATTGCTGTTTTTTCAAGAATCAAGTCCAACAATCAAAACCAATCACCAAATGACTTGTTTAATTTGTTTGACATGGGTAGAAATTACTTCCAGGAATAACACTGAGGCATCCTGAAAGTTGTTAGAACATCTGTGAATTGGGGAATGATATGAGAGAAATCCGGATTTGGGATGGTCCTGCAATGGCCAGTTTATGGTCCTCCACCTCAGATACTTCACTTCCAAAGGTAGCCTAGGACTAGTCCAAATAGAAATTGGGGTGTTATTTTCCTGAGAGATTTACCCCATAGCACTTCAGATGTGTATACCAAGAAAGAAATGTACTTACATGTTTGAGATGAGGAAAGGAGAACTATAAAATATGTACTCATATTGAAATTTATACATAATAATTGCCAACAGTAAGTTCTGAAAATAATTCATATTTATAAGAATGTAAGAGATGACACTTTGGGAGGCCAAGGTGGGTGGATCACAAGGTCAGGAGTTCGAGACCAGCTGGCCAAGATGGTGAAACCCCGTCTCTACTAAAAATACAAAAATTAGCCAGGTGCGGTGGCAGGTGCCTGTAATCCCAACTATTTGGGAGGCTGAGGCAGGAGAATCTCTTGAACCCAAGAGGTGGGGTTTGCAGTGAGCCAAGATCATGGCACTGCACCCTAGCCTGGGTGACAGAGCAAGACTCTGTCTCAGATAAAAAAAAAGGAAAAAGAAAAAAAGAATTTTAGAAATGTATATGAGGCATATACATTACATAATAGCTCAATGCCTATCTTAGGTATAATCTTAGATTGAAAATCACCTAGTTTTAAAAACATTGGTTTACATATGGTAATACACTTGATCTCTGACCAAGACAAAATATCAATATTATTAAAGTAATGTTTCTTGTAAAAGTTCCAACACAAAGCTCTAATAAATTTAGATGTTTGTTATATATCTGGCTAGAATCACCTCCCATTATTTTCTAACTTTATATGATGATTAAAATTAAATTAAGTGCTACATTCAATATGAGTTCAAAAAAGAATTGATAACTTGTATAATTCGAGAGGGAAAAAATTGAGATGATTGAACTTGAGTTTATCAGAATAATTACCTTGACTCTCCATGTAATTCTGTGTGCATATCATCCCATGGACATAGGATAGATAACAATGAGAGTCCCAAAATAGAAGCTCAGGCTCTCCACATGGAATGGGGTGGAACATTGAAAGGATTATTTGCATAATTTATATATTAAATAATTTTGCCTCTATTATCTGTATTTTATCAATAAAATTTTTTTCACAAATTATGTAAGTACATGATGTAATTCCCCATGGCATTTTGCAGGAGTAATCGCAAACTTAATGCACTCCTTTAAGTCCAAAATCTTTGTGGAGAGAACTACGATAGTTCTAATTTACTCAATTGTATATTCTTCTTGCAAATCAAATACTCAAGCTGTAAAACAGTAAAACTTGCATCTGATAGAGAAAAGCCTTATTTTTCAAATGTCTTTGAAAAAAATTTAACTAGAAATGGTTTCTGTTCAGAAATTTGGAGACAACTAAATATCTCCCTTTGAGATAATAAAAGACAAACAAGAAAAAGATCATTTATTTTAAAAACCTGCATTTGTATGTCAGCAGAATTCAATGATGCCATCTTTCTTCCTGCCAGATGTGACCCGTTCTTTGATAGCCATGAAAGAAGATGAAATACTTGAGGAGTTTCTGAAATCACTTGAGAGGAGCAAACCATAGACTGGGCCTAATGAGGCACCTTGGAGAAAATATGGGAGTCTTTTAAGTGAATTGGTGATGCCAAGGAAAGATATGAAATTGTCAAAACCATACTATGACATAACTGTGAATAAAAATAATGTGAGGAAGTGTACTATTCACACACACACACACACACACACACACGCACAACCAGGAAGCCAGATCACCAAGAAAACTGTTTTTAAGATTCCCAAAAGACGACAAAACATAGTAACAACCATTTCCTATGCTGGTTTTACTGTCCTCATAAGTACCTAGGGTAAGGAACTTCTATTAAGAACGAATTGCCGGGCGCGGTGGCTCACGCCTGTAATCCCAGCACTTTGGAAGGCCGAGGCGGGCAGATCATGAGGTCAGCAGATCGAGACCATCCTGGCTAACACGGTGAAACCCCGTCTCTACTAAAAATGCAAAAAAAAAATTAGCCAGGCGTGGTGGCGGGCGCCTGTAGTCCCAGCTACTCGGGAGGCTGAGGCAGGGGAGAACGGCGTAAATACAGGAGGCGGAGCTTGCAGTGAGCCGAGATCGTGCCACTGCACTCCAGCCTGGGCGACAGAGCAAGACTCCGTCTCAAAAAAAAAATAAAGAATCGCCACTATTTCTAAACAAAGAACACCAAAAACAATTGTAGTGGGCACCCTGGATTGGCTCTTTCAGCCTCATTCCATCCTCTGTCCATTTGAGGTGATTGGAAAGCTTAAAACTATCTTTTCCACACAAACTTGTAACTAAGGTTCTGCATGCTAATCAAAGTGCATTCAGAAATTGGCAAGCAGAAGTGAGAGTGAGGCTATCTTCCTGCTAATTTTAACTTTTTCAACTGGCAAGCATGATTGTTGGTAGTAAGACATTTACTTGGAGTTGTGTTTCAGAGTCCATCATCCAGCTTCCTGGGTGACAAGAAGTAGTGTGTGTCATAACAATAATGGCATGGCTTCAGCACAAGCCCTTCTAATTCTTGGATTGCAGCTGTGGGTGCACAATTTCAAGTTTCCAGCGTATTCAGAGTCAACTGAAGCAGTAGTAGTGGGTTCTTGATTTAAGCACAATTTTGATAAAGACCACAGAAATAGGAGTCCTTAAATTTTATGTCGTTCTGGGTGTCATTTCCAAAGGCACATTCTAAAATTCTTTCCCTTATCTCATTTAACAATTTTAAGAGCATGCTATATTAAACCACTTCCTGATTTAAGTGGTGAGGTTTCTGTTCCTTGTACACAACCTAGACTGACATATCGACATTAGAAAAATTATTCTCTCAGACACTATGAATATTCTATAAAGATAAATTACAGACTTTAAAATAATTTTGATTTTGTCTACCTCTCACAACTCCAAACAAATAATCCATATATTTTCAAACAATATAAAATACCAAACTAAGTCTTAAGGCCAAGTGAGGTATTTCATATGGTAATGAATTATTCTTACTGGTTCATATAAGCTGAAATATTCTATCAAGTCACAATGGAATTCTATAAAGGTTTCTTTGTTGCTGTTATTGTTTTCAGTAAGCAAAATGGTATTTACCAACAACATAAAAATCTAAAATAGAAGCTTCTTTAGTTATGGAAATAATATTTTGTGTGTGTGAAGCATTTAAGACTAACAATTAATATTCTCTAGCACATGTGGGGAGCATGTTTTTGTTTTTGTTTTTGTTTTTGTTTTTGTTTTTGAGATGAAGTTTCACTCTTGTTGCCCAGACTGGAGCGCAATGGTGCAATCTCAGCTCACTGCAACCTCTGCCTCCCCGGTTCAAGCAATTCTCCTGCCTCAGCCTCCCGAGTAGCTGGGATTACAGGCACCCGCCACCACGCCTGGCTTATTTTTGTATATTTAGTAAAGATGGGGTTTTACCATTTTGACCAGGCTGATCTTGAACTTCTGACCTCAGATGATCCACCCACCTCAGTCTCCCAAAGTGCTAGGATTACAGGCGTGAGCCGCCGTGTCCGCCTTGGGAAGCATGATTTAAAACAGATTTATTTAAAGGTTAGAAAATTAGACTCATAGTTGGGCAGTAGTATATATAGGGCTTTCTCTACCATTCAGTTCTGGAAATATATCAGCTACCAGCAGTATCTGGTCATACTGACTGAGAATGTCTTTTATCTTCTTGAAAGCTTTATCCATATATTTCTGGTAATGGGACACCAGGGATTTGGAGATGGACTGATGGATAACATAAAACTGGGCCTCATGACCACCATCCTTCACCCAGACAGGATGTCCACACCTGCAAACTGCTCCTGGCCCAGAAGCAGAACAGGTTCCAGTAGCTTGTGTTGCAGGGTACATGAGTCAATCACTTCCGGCGCCATCCATTCACCTCGATGAGACCATTGCAGCATTTGCAGTGCCAACGACTATCGCCATCTTTTAGCATCAAAAGACCTGCATGGACTGCAGCAGGCTCTTGAATCGCTTGGCTACTGGCATAGAGAGTACTCCTTGTCACACTGCGCCACAACCAGAAAAGCTAGATTAAGGTTCCATATCTCCTTGCATATGCAGGCCTTATAGGTTTAGCCACAGATGCAGTAAATATATTAAAAAGGGATGGGAGTGGCTGGGCGCGGGGGGCTCACGCCTGTAATCCCAGAACTCTGGGAGGCGGAGGCAGGTAGATCACGAGGTCAGGAGATGGAGACCATCCTGGCTAACACAGTGCAACCCCGTCTCTATTAAAAAAATACAAAAAATTAGCTGGGCGTAGTGGCAGGCGCCTGTAGTCCCAGCTACTGGGGAGGCTGAGGCAGGAGCATGGCGTGAACCTGGGAGGCGGAGCTTACAGTGAGCTGAGATCACGCCGCTGCACTCCAACCTGGGCAATAAAGCGAGATTCTGAGATTCCGTCTCAAAAAAAAAAAAAAAAAAAAAAAAAAAAAAAAAAAAAAAAAAGGGATGGGAGAATCCAATCTGAAGGCCTTCTCCCTGAGGCCTTTAAAACAATATTATCAAAATAGCACAAAACACCAAATATTTGGGATGCTAATATGTATTAGATATATACACTCATATTACATCCTTAGAAACAAGCACCTACACAGAAACACAGTCACAGACACAGCACTACAATAACAAGAAAGTATTCAGTACTCAAATAAAATAAGGAAATCTAGAACTGATACTGTTTGGTTCTGTGTCCCCACCCAAATCTCACCTTGAATTGTAGTTCCCATAATCCCCACCCGTCGTGGGAGGGACCTGGTGGGAGGTAGTCGAATCATGAGGGTGTTTATCCTCATGCTGTTCTCATGAGAGTAAGTTCTCAGGAGATCTGATGGTTTCATAAAGGGCTTTCTCCCCTTTTGCTGGGCACTTCTCCTTGCTGCTAACATGTGAAGAAAGATGTGTTTGCTTCCCCTTCTGCTGTGATTGTAAGTTTTCAGAAGCCTCCCCAGCTATGCCGAGCTGTGAGTCAATTAAATCTCTTTCCTTTATAAATTACCCAGTCTCAGGTATCTTCTTATCAGCAGTGTGAGAACGGACTAATCCAAGAGCTTAACAATGTTTAATAGGTATTTTATGGAAGGAATTCTCACAATTTTCAACATGCTAATAGCATTATAATCTACAATAAGGTTATATAACATGCAAAATTTCACAAACTCATTTGCCCATGAAATCCTTTTTCCAAGAATGTCTTTCAGAAATGGTGTCCCCCAAGGAACACAAGGAAATGGCAGTATAAAAGGATGAAGGTACATCTACTGTAAGCAGTTAAGAGGAAGGAAAAAGAAAAGGAGAAAGTTAAGGGAAGAGACAAATATTGCCCTCAAACTCACAGACACAGACACGGATGGAGGGAGGTAGACCATAAATTATAAGGAAAGCAAGTACAAGGGAACTGAGGGGAAAGTATGTTTAGAGCTGAGATTCTAGCAATTATGCAAAAAAGTGTTTTTGTTTTAAAGTGAGTTGTATGAAGTTACACAGCTAGTTAATGACAGAACTAGAACCATTATCAACTCACTCCCAAATACTGTGGTAGGGGAAATACAAAGCCCAATGTTAAAATAAACCTATAAGTCACAAGATGTTACAGCCTGAAAAAAAAAAAGACAACAAGAATCTTAATCAAAAACTGAAATGCGGCGTGCATTTTATGACCTTGCTTAATTAGGTTCCTATTGCTCACTGTCTTTAGTTTCAATGATAAGTTTCCAATATCCCAGTATCTCGTAAACATCGCTACAAGATTAAAAACTTACGGAGGTCAGGAAATATAAGAAAAAAAAATGCCCATGTTACCTGACAAAAATCCATTAGGAAAGTCCAAAATAAAAATTTTAAAATGACAATAATTATACTTAAAGAGAAAAAATACATCAAAGAAGCATTAACTCAGAAATTATTAGGCTACTTGCCACAAAAGTAATAATTTCTCTCTTTTCTTTGTTCACTTTTCTATCTTTACTTCCTTCTTTCTTCCATAAAGACAAAATCTATTATCAGAAACATCAGTTTCATAATTAAACATTATGGGTTTCAAATATATTTCATGACTTATGATAAAAAGAGCATCATACCTTCCAAGTTTCTGATTGGTAGATAAAATGAACCTGATAAATTTCATGTTGTACCAAGTATATGGCACAGTGATGGTATCATCAAGAAATTCCTACTTAAAATATTAAAATCCATTAATGAAACAAGCAAACATAAGATTCCAGACAGAAAATACTAACTTTGAGAATAATGATTTAAAAGTTTGATATGGCATCAAGCACAATTTGGAAGGGAATATGTTTGTGTCTAGTGTAAAATCTATTTTAACAAGTGCATAGAATAAACAAACACAAGCAGTAGAAGCCTAGTACATCTCTAATTTCTACTTTGGCAAGTTTCAAACTTATTGATAAATGACAATAAAAAATAGGAATAGTCTTTGCAGCCTAACAGCTAAACTAACAATAAAGACAAATTTATAGCACAGTAGAGTGCTAAGAGGTTTATTTTTTCATTTTTCCTATTATTTGTTTATTGAGAGGCAGTCTCGCTCCGTCACCCAGGCTGGAGTACATTGGCATGATCTCAGCTCACTGCAACCTCTGCCTTCCAGGTTCAAGCGATTCTCCTGCTACAGCTTCCCGAGTAGCTGGGATTACAGGCACCCACTACCATGCTCAGCTAATTTTGGTATTTTTAGTAGAGACGGGGTTTCACCACGTTGGCCAGGCTGGTCTCAAACTCCTGCACTCAGGTGATCCGCCTACCTCAGCCTCCCAGAGTGCTGGGATTATAAGCATGAGACACCATGCCCAGCCCATTTTTCTTTTTTTTTAAAAAAAAAAAACAAAACAAAAACTAAGCATTCAGGGCCGGGCACGGTGCCTCATGCCTGTAATCCCAGCACTTTGGGAGACCAAGGCAGGTGGATCACGAGGTCAGGAGTTTGAGACCAGCCTGGCCAACATGGTGAAAACCCACCTCTACTAAAAACACAAATACTAGCCGGCCCTGGTGGTGCGTGCCTGTAATCCCAGCTACTTGGGAGGCTGAGGCAGAATTGCTTGAACCCGGGAGGCAGAGGTTGCAGTGAGCCGAGATCCGGCCATTGCACTCTAGCCTGGGAGACAGAGCGAGACTCCATCTCAGAAAAATAAAATAAAATAAAAACTAAGCATTCAGGAAGGCTTTTTATGGCTATGTACGGATCATAAATCAGAACAGGTTACTTCAAAATAAATTCATCTAATGTTAATGTAAAACTTAAGGAATAATTTAATGCTAATACCTTCAACATTAAGCATATGGTATCAGGAAGGGAATTCTGAAAATTCTCTGGAAACACGTCCTCAGATCAACATATTTGATAATTGTAACTGTCCTTTTTTGACTCTCAATGGATGGCCTGATCTCCTCACTGAAATTCCAGTTACCAACAGGGAAGTAATTTTATTAATCAACTTCACAGCCACATGCACACAAACACAAGACTATGACTCAGAAAAAAGCCACTTTTATGTTTCTATATAAATGTGCTAAATAGAAGATAAGAAGCTTTTAAGTATAAAGAGTTTAATAAAACATGTATTTGCTTATAAAATTGCAATTAATTAAAAAAGTAAAGTATTTTGAGAATAAGGAGTTATAATATCCTTATAGAAGATGTGCTTAGAATTCTTCACAGAGTTTCTTAGGGAATAATATAAAATCAGTTACTGCAGCAAAAATTCTTGTATAAAATTTACTTTTCCCCCAAGATATATTGATCAAAAAGTCTAGATTTTTTTTTTTTTTTTTTTTTTTTTTTTTTTTTTTTTTTTTTTTTTTGTGACTGAGCCTCACACTGTCGCCCAGGCTGGAGTGCAGTGGCACCATCTCGGCTCACTGCAAGCTCCGCCTCCTGGGTTCACGCCATTCTCCTGCCTCAGCCTCCCAAGTAGCTGGGACTACAGGCTTCCACCACCACGCCCGGATAATTTTTTTTTTTTTGTATTTTAGTAGGGACAGAGTTTCACTGTGTTAGCCAGGGTGGTCTTGATCTCCTGACCTCGTGATCTGCCCACCTCGGCCTCCCAGAGTGCTAGGATTACACACGTGAGCGACCATGCCGGCCAAAAAGTCTAGATTCTAAATAGCAAAAAAACAAAACAAAACAGAAATAACCCACTTTTGCTGGGGAAAGATGTAGGTGATGTAGATCAAAAAGAAAATATAGTTCTCTAGGTATATGCAAGGAATTGATTCCAAGACCCACCCCTCAACTGAAAATACCAAACTCTGAGGAAGGTCAAGTACCTTATATAAAATGGTGTAGTACAGGAAGTCATCATTTAATGTAATTGATTCGTTCTTGGAAACTACAACTTTAAGCCAAATGTTGACGTATAATGAAACCATTTTTACCATAGAGTAATTGATATAAACAAGAGTTATGTTGCTATGGCATATTTCTGGTCACGAAAACATCACCAAACTTCTAAATACAGACCCAAAACACTTCTATTCTTTTTGCTTTTTGAGATAATCTCACTCTGTCTTTTAAGCTGGAGTACAGTGGTTCAATCATGGCTCACTGCAGCCTCAACATCCCTGGCTCTGGTGTTCCTCCCACCTCAGCCTCCTGAGCACCATCATCCTCAGCTAATTAATTTTTTTTTTTTTTTGTAAAGATGAGGTCTTGCTATGTTGCCCGGGTTGGTCTTGAACCCCCAGGCTGATGTGATTTTCTTGCCTCACTTTCCACAGTGCTGGGATTACAGACATGAGCCCCCATGCCCAGCCAAAACACTTCTAATGTTAAACATTGAAATAAATATGAGCGATACATACATTTAATAAAGATTAATAAAAACAAGTAAGATAATTATTTATCAAAGTAACGTAATTATTCAGGTTCTGGTGGCAGCCAGAACCTATCCCAGCAGCTCGGGGCATCAGTCAGGAACCAGCCCTGGACAGGCCACCATTTCATCACAAGATGTACTCGCACACACCCCCACAGGCACACTGGGAACATTTAGACACACTTGTTAACTAGTGGCACAGCTTTGGGACATGGGAAGAAACCAAAGTCCCTGAAGAAAACCCACACAGACATGAGAGAATGTACAAACTCCACACAGACAGTGGCCCCAGCCTGGATTCAATTTATTTTTCTCATCAACACTATAATGAAACATTGTTGAATGACACCACATTATCTGAGGACCTTCTGTTTGTGTATAACCTATGCACATGCTTCTGTATATTTTAAGTCATCTCTAGATCAATTGTAATACCAAATACAAAGTAAATACTATAAAAATAGTTTCTATACTGTATTGGTTTTTACTTGCATTATTTTTTACTGGTTTTTTTTTCCTAAATATTTTTGACCGATGGTTGGCTGAAACATGTTGAATGATACCACATCCTTTGAGGACCTGCTGTGTTTGCATATAACCTATGCACATCCTCCTATATATTTTAAGTCATCTCTAGGTTACTTATACTACCAAATACAATGTAAATACTATAAAAATAGTTGCTATACTGTATTAGTTTTTACTTGTATTATTTTTTACTGTTTTGTTTTTTTCCTAAATATTTTTGATCGATGGTTGGCTTAATCCATCGTTGGTTTAATTAGAGGACATGGAGCCCAAAGATGCTGAAGGCTGACTGTATTCTTTTTACAAAATCTCATTAATTTACAAGATTAAGGATGGTCATCATCATAACTTCAATTCTCCCAAGCTAGGAGGTGGTCAATTCTTAAACTCTTTCTAACAGAATCCTGGAACCAGAACTAATCAATTGTTTAACATAATTTATCTGTGGTGAAGAATGAAAATCACACATTTCTAGGTTTGAGGTAGCTGACAGTTTCTCAAAGGCTGAGAGATACCACAGACACCCGAGCCTGTCCTTTAACTGTTACTCTAAAAGACATCAGTTTTAATAATAATAAAACATATAGTATTGGGATTGCAAATGTATCTCCTAATGCACACATCATTTTATGCATCTAAACACCTATATATAAAATAGCAGAGCTTCCTTCACTGGAAAATGTCTACTCAGCCTAAGTGGAATAAAGGGTTAAAAGTCTGCACCATTTTGAGTGATCCTGTACTAACATTAATTTACCTTTATTTTAAATGCCTTGGCTCTAATCTTGTTTAATTATAACTGCATTGGTGTGGGTAGGAAGGTAGGGGAGACTCAAAAAAGATTTGCATTAAGCTGTTCCTATGTTCATTGGTGTTACGTCCCAAAATAAATTTATAGGTGCATATCATGGGAAGTCAGAGACCAAGCCTGAATAAAAGCCGGTAGTCACTAAGAAGACCCAGTGTCTCAGAAACACTGAAATTAGCTCTTACACTTTATCCAGACACAGACCATATCTTACTGATGATGCAGATAAGTTTTCTGAATGTCTAAGGTCATGATTTGGCATGGTCACTCAGCCACCCTTCCTTGTTTATGCTAAATTTATTCTAAAAACAGATAGGCACTTTGCTAAAATGGGATATAGAGCTTATATAGTTTGAATATATGTCTCCACCAAATCTCATGTTAAATTGTAATCCCCGATGTTGGAGGTGGGGACTGGTGGGTGATGTTTGGGTTATGGGGGTAGATCCCTTATGGCTTGGTGCTGTCCTCACAATAGTGAGTGAGTTCCCTTGAGATCTGGTTATTTGAAAGTGTGTAGCACCTCTCCCCATTCTCTTGCTCCAGCTTTACCATGTGAGACACCTGCTCCTCCTTCAACTACAGCCATGATTGCAACCTTCCTGAGACCTCCCCAGAAGCAGATGCTCGCATTATGCTTCCTGTACAGCCTGCAGAACCATGAGCAAATTAAACCTCTTTTCTTTATAAATTACCGAATCTCTGGTATTTCTTTGTAGCAACGCGAGAACAGCCTAATACAGATAATTGGTACAGAGGAGTGGGGTCTTGCTATAAAGATACCAGAAAATGTGAAAGTGACTTTGGAACTGGGTAACAGGAAGAGATTGGAAGAGTTTAGAGGGCTCAGAAGAAGACAAGAAGATGAGAGATGGCTTGAAATTTCTTAGGGACTGGGTATATGGTTGTGACCAAATGCTGATACTAATATGGACAGTGAAGTTCAAGCTGAGGAGGTCTCAGATTTAAATGAACTTATTGGGAACTGGAGCAAAGTTCACATGTTTTATGCCTTAGCAAAGAAGTTGGCTGCATTCTCTTCAGGCTCTATGGATCTATGGAAGTTTGAGCTTGAGAGTGATAGCCTAGGGTATCTGGCAGAAAAAACTTCTAAGCAGCAAAGCATTCAAGATGTGTCCTGGCTGCTTCTGACAACCAATACTCAGAAGTGGGAGCAAAGAAATGAGTTAACGTTGGAATTTGTATTTAAACAGGAAGCAGAGTATAAAAGTTTGGAAAGTTTGCAGCTTGGCCATGTGACAGAGAAAGAAGCTTTTTCTAGAGCAGAATTCAAGCAGGCTGCTGAGCAAATACTTGCTACAGAAATTTGCATAACTAAAAAGGAGCCAAGTGTTAATAGCCAAGACAAGGTGAAAAATGTCTCAAAGGCACTTCAGAGGCTTTTGTGGTGGCCCCTTTCATCACATGCCTAGAGACATAGGAGGGAAGAATGGTTCCAGGGACCAGGACCAAGGCTCTGCTGCTCTGCACAGCCTCAGGGCACTGCTTCTCACATCTCAGCCACTACAGCACCAGCCAGGGTTCAAAGGGTCCAGATATACCTCGAACCGCCACTTTCGTCCAGATACACCTCGAACTGCCACTTTGGAGAATGCAAGTCATAAACCTTGGCAGCTTCCATGTGGTGTTATGCCCACACTTGCAGAGAGTATAAGAGTGGTGAAGGCTTGTCAGCCTCTGCCTAGGTTTCAGAGGATGTATGGGAAAGCGTGGTTGCCCATGCAGAAGCCTGATGCAGAAGTGGAGGCTGCACAGAGAACTTCAACTAGGTAAGTGCAGAGGGGAAATGTGGGGTTGGAGCCTCCACTCAGAGTTCCCAGTGGGGCATTACCTAGTGAAGCTGTGGGAAGGGGGCCATTATCCTTCATACCCCAGAATGAGAGAGCCACTGGCAGCTTTCACACTATGACTGGAAAAGCCACAGGCACTCAATCTCTGAGAGTAGCCACAGTAGATGTACCCTACAAAGCTACAGAGGCAGAGCTGTGCAAGGCTTTGGGAGCTTACTCCTTGTACCAGTGTGCCCTAGGTATAAGACATGGAGTCAAAAAAAGATTATTTTAGAGCTTTAATATTTAATAATTTCCCTGTTGGATTTCAAGCTTACAGGGACACGTAGCCCTTTCTTTTGGTCAGTTTCTGTTTTACAGAATGGGAATGTTTACTCATCCTGATTCCATTATAGGTACAATGCATATACCTCCATTGTATCTTGGAAGGAAATAACTTGCTTGATTTTACAGGCTTATAAGTGGAAGGAACTTGCCTTGTCTCAGATGAGACTTTAGACTTGGGACTTTTAATTGATCTGATGCTGGAATGAGGTCAGACTTTGGGGGATTGTTGGGAAGGCATAATCGTATTTTGCAATGTGAGAAGAACGTGAGATTTGAGAGACCAGGAGAGGAATGATGTAGTTCAAATATATGTCCCTACCAAATCTCATGTTAAATTGTAATCTCCAACGTTGGAGGTGGGTCCTAGTGGGAGGCGTTTGGGTCATGGGGGTAGATCTCTCAAGGCTTAGTGCTGTCCTCAGAATAGTGAGTGAGTTCTCTCAAGATCTAGTGATCTAAAGATGCATGGCAACTCCCTCCACTTTCTTGCTCCTAGTTTTGTAGGTTCATTTTCTCATCTATAAACTGATAATTATATATAGTATACATGTGTTATAATTGGGTGTGATGGTAATGAAGTAAATATGTAGATTGCCTAATGCACAATATAAACATTCAATACACATTCCAAAATACTGTGTAATTATTAGACAGTTGCTAACTCAACGGAAAAAGGTGAGCTTGATAGAAGACAGAGGTGAACTATCAGCCCTACTCAATAAATGGTGCTGAGAAAACCAGCTAACCATATGGAAAAAAATGAAATTTGACCTCTACCTCTCACCATTTACAAAAATTAACTCAAGATGGATTAAAAATTTAAATGTAATACCTCAAACTAAAAATCCCAGAAGAAAACATAGGAAATACTTTTCTGAACATTGACCTATGCAAAGAATTTTTGACTAAGTCCTCAAAAACAAATGCAACAAAAACAAAAATTAACAATGAATCCTAATTAAACTAAAGAGCTTCTGCTTAGCAAAGAAACTATAAAGTAAACAGACAACTTACAGAGTGGGAGAAGATATTTTCAAACTATGCATCTGATGAAAGACTGATGTCCAAAATCTTTAAGGAACTTTAAGGAACTTAAATAAATGAATAAATAAAAACTCCATTAAAAAGTGAGCAAAGGACATGAACAGACACTTCAAAAGAAGATATACAAGTGGCCCAAAAACATGAAAAAATACTCAACATCACTAATAATCAGACAAATGCAAATCAAAACCACAATGAGATACCATCTCAAACCAATCAGAATGGCTACTATTAACAAGTCAAAATAACAGATGTTGGTGAGATTGAAGAAAAAAAAGGAAACACTCATACACTGTTGGTGGGATTGTAAATTAGTTCTCGATTGCAGAAAAAAAGGAAACACACACTGCTGGTGGGATTGTAAATTCGTTCAGCCACTGTTAAAAACAGTTTTGAGATTTCTCAAATAACTAAAAACAGAATTACTATTCAACCTAGTGATCCCATTACTAGGTATATACACAAAGGAAAACAAATCATTCCACCAAAAAGACACATGCATGTGTACATACATCACAGCACTATTCACAACCACAAAGACATAGAGTCAACCTAGGTGCCCATCAATTGTGGATTGGATAAAGAAAATATGGTATGTATACCCAATAGAACACTATGTAGCCATAAAAGGATGAAATCATGTCCTTTGCAGCGACATGTATGCAGCTGGAAGCCATTATCCTAAGTGAGTTACTTCAGAAACAGAAAACCAAACACTATATATTCTCACTTATAAGTGGGAGCTGAACAGTGGGTACACAAAGACATAAGTATGGCAACAAGAGGACTTCAAAAGAAGGGAAGGGGTAAAGGGAAAAGATTGAAAAACTACCTATTGGATACTACATTCACTATTTGGGTGACAGATTCAGTTGATGTCCAAACTTTAACATCATGCAATATACCCACATAATAAACCTGTACATGTACCCCTGAATCTACAATAAAAAAACAGAGGGGAGAGGAGCCAAGATGGCCAGTTAGAAGCAGCTCCAGTCTGCAGTTCCCACTGAGAAGAACAAAAACAGTAAGTGAATCCTGCTCTATCAACTGAGGTATCCAGGTTCTCTCACTGGGACTGACTAGGCAGTTAGTGTGACCCACACAGAGTGAGGAAAAGCAGGGTGGTGCAATGACCAAGGTGCCACACAGGATAAGGGGAACTCTCACACCCAGACAAGGGAGGCAGTGAGTAACTGTGCTGCCCTGCCTGGGAAACCGCATTCTTTCTTCAGATCTGTACATCCTGTGGATCAGGAGATCTCCTTGTGAGTCCACCCCACCAGGGCCTTGGGTCCCAAACTGAGAGCTGTGCAATCCAATCGGGTTGAGGCCAGTGGCTTCAGGCTGGACACTGCCTAAGACAACTGAGTTCCTTGGGGGAGAGGCAGCCACCATCACTGAGGCTGTCATCAGCCATTTTCCACTGCTGGTGTTGGGGAGATCGGGCAGTTTAAACTGAGAGGAATTCCCCCACAGCGAAGCACAGCAGCTGTGGCAGATCACGGCAAGATTGCTCCTTTAGCTGGGACCAGATCCATCCTTTCTCATTGGGCAGGGCCTCCCTGCAGGAATTGCTGCAACTATAGCCAGGGTTTTATGGATAAAACTCTGATATTCCTGGGAAGGAGACCCTGGGGGAAGGTGTGACCGTGATCTTGAATTTAGTGGACCTAGTCTTTCCTGTCTGCTGGCAGTCCAGATGAGGGGGATTCTCCCCAGTGCAGCCAAACCTGCTCAGACAAGGGGCAGCCAAGCTGTTTTGTTACACAGGCTTCTGATCACATGCCTCCTGACTGTTTGAGACATCCCAACAAGGGCCATGAGACACCTCATACCAGAGTGTTTTGGCTGGTATTAGCTTGGTGCCCCTCTGAGATGGAGCTCCCAGAGGAAGGAACAGGAAGCCATCTTTGCTGTTCTGTAGCCTCCACTGGTGATACCTCTAGTTGCAGGAGGGACCCAGGTGAATTGGGTCTGCAGTTGTCCCCCAGTAAGCCCCAGCAGCCCTACAGAAGATGGGCCTGATTGCCAAAAGAAAAACAAACAGAAAGCAACAACAACATCGACAAAAAAGACCCCATAAAAACCCCATCAGCAGCTTCAAAATATTGAAGGTAGAAAAACCCACCAAGATGAGAAAGAATTAATGCCAAAATGCTGAAAACTCAAAAAGCCAGAGTGCCTCTTCTCCTCCAAATGATCACAACACCTCTCCAGCAAGGACACTGAACTAGGCTTGGGCCAAGATGAATGACCTGACAGAATTAGGCTTCAGAAGGTGCGTAATAATGAACTTCGCTGAGCTAAAGGAGTTCTAAACCAACGCAAGAAGATAAGAACCATGATAAAACATTACAGGAGATGTTAACCAGAATAACCAGTTTAGACAGGAACATAAATGACCTGAAGGAGCTGAAAACACAACATGAGAACTTCACAATGCAACCACAAGTATCAACAGCCAAATAGACCAAGGTGGAGGAAAGGATATCAGAGCATGAAGACTATATTGATGAAATAAGACAGGCAGACAAGGTTAGAGAAAAAATAAAAAGGAACAAACAAAACATGAGAACTATGGGGTTATGTAAAAGGATAGGACCTATGACTGATGCGGTACCTGAAAGAGACAGGGAGAATGGAACTAAGTTGGAAAACATACTTCACGACATCCAGGAGAACTTCCCCAACCTAGCAAGACAGGCCAACATTCAAATCCAGAGAACCCCAGTAAGAGACTCCATGAGAAGATCAGCTCCAAGACACATAATCAGATTCTCCAAGGTTGGAAAAAAAAAAAAAAAGAAAAAATGTTAACGACAGACAGAGAGAAAGGCCAGGTCACCTACAAAGAGAAGCCCATCGGATTAACAGCAGACCTCTCAGTGGAAACCCTACAAGCTGGAAGAGATTGGGGGCCAATATTCAACATTCTTAAAAAAAAAAAAAAAAAGAATTTCCAACCAAAAATTTCATTATCAGCCATACTAAGCTTCATAAGGAAAGGGGAAACAAAATCCTTTTCAGATAAGCAAATACTGAGGGAATTCATTACCACCAGGCCTGCCTTGAAGACCTCCTGAAGAAAGAACTAAATATGGAAAGAAAAGTTCATTACCAGCCACTAAAAAGTACACAGACCAATGACACTATGAAGCAACTACATTAACAAGTCTGCAGAATAACCAGTTAGCATCATGATGACAGAATCAAATTCACACATAACCTTAAAAGTAAATGGGCCAAATGCCCCAATTAAAAGATACAGAATGGCAAGCTGGATAAAAAGAAAAGACCCATTGATGTGCTGTATTCAAGAGACCCATCTCACATGCAAAGCCACACATAGGCTCAAAATAAAGGGATGGAGGAAAATTTATCAAGCAAATGGAAAGCAGAAAAAAGCAAGGGTTGCAATCCTAGTTTCTGACAAAGCAGACTAAGCCAACAAAGATAAAAAAAAAAAAAAAAAAAACCAAAGGGCATTACATAATGGGAAAGGGTTGAATTCAACAAGAAGAGCTAACTTTCTGAAATATATATGCATCCAATACAGGAGCACCCAGTTTCATAAAACAAGTTCTTAGAGACGTACATAGTCTTTTACTCCCACACAATGATAGTGGGAGACTTTAACACCCCACTGTCAATATTATACAGATTGAGATAAAACAAAAATATTAGACAGATTGAGATAAAACAAAGACATTCATGACATGAACTCAGCTTTTGAACAAGTGTACTTGATAGATATCTACAGAACTCTCCAACCCAAAACATCAGAATATACATTCTTCTCAGCACCACATGGCACTTGCTCTAAAATGGATCATATAATTGGGAGTAAAACACTCCTCAACTAATACAAAATAACTGAAATCATTACCAACTGTATCTTAGACCATAGCACAATCAAATTAGAATGCAAGATTAAGAAACTCACTGAAAATCACAAAACCACATAGAAATTAAACAACCTGCTCCTGAATGACTCCTGGGTAAATAATGAAATTAAGGCAGAAATCAAGAATTTCTTTGAAACCAATGAGAACAAAGAGACAACATACCAGAATCTCTGGGATGCAGCTAAAGCAGTGTTAAGAGGGAAATTTATAGCACTAAGTGCCCACATCAAAAAGCTAGAAAGATCTCAAACTAACACCCTAACATCACAATTAGAAGAACTAGGGAATCAAGAGCAAACAAACCCCAAAGCTAGCAAAAGACAAGAAATAACCCAGATCAGAGTGGAACTCAAGGAAATGGACATGAAAAACCCTTGGGGGCAAAAATCAATAAAATAGATAGCTAACTAGACTAATAAGGAAGAAAAGAGAATATTCAAATAGACAATATGAAATGATAAAGGAGATATAACCACTGATCTTACAGAAATACAAACAACCATCAGTGAATACTATCAACACCTCTATGCAATAAACTAGACAATCTAGAAGAAATGGATAAATTCCTGGACACATACACCCACCCAAGACTGAACCAGAAAGAAGTTGAATCCCTGAATAATGAATTCTGAAACTGAGACACTAATAAATAGCCTACCAACCAAAAAACTGCAGGACCAGATGGATTTACAGCTGAATTCTACCAGAGGTACAAAGCGGAGCTGGTACCATTTCTTCTGAAACTATTCCAAGCAACTGAAAAGATGGGACTCCTCCCTAACTCATTTTATGTGGCTAGCATTATCCAGATACCAAAACCTGACAGAGCTATTACAAAAAAAGGAAACTTTAGTCCAATATCCCCAATGAACATCAATGCAAAAAAATCCTCAATAAAATACCAGCAAACCAAATCCAGCAGCACATCCAAAAGTTTATCTACCACAATCAAGTTGGCTTCATTACTGCAAGCCAACTTGCAAGGCTGGTTGAACATATGCAAATCAATGAACATAATTCATCACATAAACAGAACCGAAGGCAAAAACCACATGATTATCTCAATAGATGCAGAAAAGGCCTTTGACAAAATTCAGCATTCCTTCATGTTACAAACTCTGAATAAACTAGGAATTGAAGGAACATACCTCAAAATAATGAGCCATATGTGACAAACCCATAGCCAATATCAAACTGAATGTGCAAAAGCTGGAAGCATTCCCCTTGAAAACCAGCACAAGACAAGGATGCCCCCTCTCACCACTCCTATTCAACATAGAATTAGAAGTTCTGGCCAGGGCAATCAGGCAAGAGAAAGAAATAAAGGGGATTCAAATAGGAAGAGAGGAAGTTGAGTTGTCTTTGTTTGCAGATGACACGATCCTATATCTAGAAAACCCCATTGTCTCATCCCAAAAGCTTCTAAAGCTGATAAGCAATTCCAGCAAAGTCTCAGGATACAAAATCCATGTGCAAAAATCGCTAGTTTCCTATACACCAACAATATGCAAGCAGAGAGCCAAGTCATGAATCAACTCCCATTCACAATTGCTACAGAAAGAATAAAACACCTAGGAATACAGCTAACAAGGGAAGTGTAGGGCCTCTTCAAGGAGAATTGCAAACAACTGATCAAAGAAAGAAAGAGAGGACATAAACAGAAAAACATTTTGTGCTCATGGATAGAAGAATCAATATTATGAAAATGGCCATACTGCCCAAAGCAGTTTATAGATTCCATGCTATTCCCATTAAACTACCATTGACATTCTTCAGTGAATTAGAAAAAACTATTTTAAAATTCATATGACATCAAAAAAGAGCCTGTATAACTAAGCCAATCCCAAGAAAAAGAACAAAGCTGGAGGCATCACACTACCTGACTTCAAACTATACTACAAGGCTACAGTAACCAAAACTGGTACATGGTACTGGTACAAAAACAGACACAGACCAGTGGAACAGAATAGAGAACTCAGATTTAAGACCACACATCTACAACCATTAGATCTTTGACAAACCTGACAGAAACAAGCAATGGGGAAATGATTCCCTATTTAATAAATGGTGCTGGGCAAACTGGCTAGCCATATGCAGAAAATTGAAACTGGACTCCTTCCTTACACCTTATACAAAAATTAACTCAAGATGGATTAAAGATTTAAATGTAAAACTCAAAACTATAAAAACCCTGGAAGAAAATCCAGATAATACCACTCAGGACATAGGCACGGGCAAAGATTTCCTGACAAAATTGCTGAAAACAATTGCAACAAAAGCAAAAATTGACGAATGAGATCTAATTAAACTAAAGAGCTTCTGCACAGTAAAAGAAACTATCATTAGAGCAAACAGACATCCTACAGAATGGAAGACAATTTTTGCAATCTACAAGGAACTTAAACAAATTGACACACACACACACACAAACATTAAAAAGTGAGCAAAGGACATGAACAAACACCTCAAAAGATGACATGTATATGGCCAGCAAACATGTGGAAAATAGCTCAACATCACTGATTAGAGAAATCCAAATCAAAACCGTGATGAGATACCATCTCACGCCAGTCAGAATAGTGATTATCAAAAGTCAAGAAACAACAGAGGCTGCCAAGAGGTAAGAATGCTTTTACATGTTAGTGGAAATGTAAATTAGTTCAACCATTGTGAAAGACAGAGTGGCAATTCCTCAAAGACCTAGAACCAGAAATACCATTTGACCCGGCAATCCCATTACTGGGTATATACAGCCAAAAATATAAATCATTCTATTGTAAAGATAGATGCACGTGTATGTTCATTTCAGCACTATTCGACATGGAATCAACCCGAATGCCCATCAATGGTAGACTGGATAAAGGAAATGGTACATATATATCATGGAATACTATGCGGCCATAAAAAAGACAGATTATTTTCTTTGCAGGGACATGGATGGAGCTGGAAGCCATTATCCTTAGCAAACTAACACAGGAACAGAAAACCAAGAGAACCATGTTCTCACGTTCAAGTGGGAGCTGAACAATGAGAACACATGGATACAAGGAGGGGAACAACACACACTGAGACTGTCATGGGGGTGGGGTGGGGAAGGGAGGGCATCAGGAGACATAGTTAATGAATGTTGGGCTTAATACTTAGATGATGGGTTGATGGGTGCAGCAAACCACCGCAGTACATGTTTTCCTATGTAACAAACCTGCACATCCTGCACATGTATCCCAGAACTTGAAATTAAATTAAAAATAAAAGATAAAAAATTGTCAGAATTCAATAATTATGCAATAAGGACGTAATTTAGTAGCTCTAGTTAGAGGTTCAAATAGAACGTAATTTAAAGTTGACATTAAAACAAGCTAAGGAAAAAGATAAAAGCCTGTGAATGGGGTTAATTCAGAAGCTAAATCCATGAAGAATAAGCAGTTATTTTATTTTTAGCTAGGTATACTCTACTGGATTGGAGTTGAGCCCATGAGTGGCTCAACAGAAGCTGGCTAAATCCATGTTAAAATCTTAAATGTGATCCTTGAGTTTTTCAGAGTATTGAAGAATTCACCCATAAAAAGACAATGAAAGTGTTTACTGTGCAGCTGGGGGATGACAATATGGTTCTGAATCATTTTCCTTAATAAGAGATTAAGTCAGAAAATATTCTTATCTCAATCATCTCTATGCACTTTGTCCCGAGGAAACAGATGGAATTCACCACTTTTGTAAATCCCATAATTTTTGTTATTTTGGGTATCTGTGTCCTTACCACAGTATTCTCCAAGAAAAATTTTGGGAAACAATCAGCTGCTACAAATGTGCTTTGTATGAATACTTTTTTAAAAAACAAGTTTTGCTTAGAAAACACCTAACTCCAAAATTATCCCCAAAGTCTGCAACTTTCAAGCTAAAATGCTAAATAATAAATATCAGTTATCGTTATAAAAAAGAATAAAATTCAGTAAGAAATTTAATGTCTATCATTTCCCCCCAAGGTTCATTAATACACTTTATTAAGCATATTATTATCATTCATCTTGATTCTCTCACAATATTGTTTAGGAATGATGTACAATGTTAAATGTAGGACTTTGAAGGAGGCCACATCAGAATCATTGGGTGGGCCTTTTCAGTGCTATAAACTTCTACAACCCACTTTTTCCACCTCCCTTCCAAGATTCGTATAACTGTCTCCCACTTAGAGGGCCTGTCTTTGTAAGCCAACATTACTAATATTCGTAGACCTAATCATTTTTGCTTTGCTAACATGAAAAAGTTGAGACCTACGGGCAGAGCGGTATTTAGAAAAAGCTATAAAGTCTGACCCAAATGCAAACCTACCTAATTATGCTGTGTACAATTATCTAACTGCTCAGAGTCTCAATTTTCCCCCCCAAAAAAAACCAAAAGAATAATATCTCCCTGTTGCAGATAGTCTTTCAGCATATTCAATAAAGTTAAAATATATCATTGAAGGTAGATTTGCTTTTCTAGTGTAAAAGAAAAAAACAGGGCTTAGATGTCCCACTTCTGCATTCTTTTTAGCCATCCAGCTTTACCTAATACATCTGAACTTTGAGTAAAAATGCCATCTATTATAAAACAGGAAGGGCATATCTCTCCTGCTTGCTACCCAGAGATGCAGTGGGTATCCAGTGAGATGAGACGTGCAATTTTTTTAAAATATTGCAATAAAATATTTACTATTATATTATTATGGAAGTGTTAACTGCAAGTCAGTTTGACCTGCAATGTTTTTCTTCTCATAGCAATCCTTTGAAAACTAAAATGTTTATATTTTCTCAAAAAAGCATGTTCTCTTCAGGTAAGAGAAAAGCACCTAAATATAATGGGGGTGGGAGGAACTAAAGAGAATCTCTGAAACAGTGGATAGTGACAGGTATTCAGGCTGACTTCCATCAGTTCATTATTTTTGCTTATATGGTATGACAAAGATTTTATGTAATTATAGATGCAAAGAATATTCAAACTTCATTATCATCTCACAAACTGTCATAGTGAACACAGAGCCCATCGTATTCAATGGCAGCTCTTCTGTGACATGTTGATAAAATGCATGGCTTACAAGCAATGACAGAGAAGCCCAGCCCTGCTCACACCCCTGCCCCACTCCCATCATCAAATTACTTCCACATATTTAATCACTTTTTTCTAAAGTGACTATGTAATTGCATGCTTAAACCTAACCTCATCACAAATTATTTACTCAGATTAAAATATTTCCAGTGAACTTATTTTTTATTATTCAAAATGAATATTCTATTCAGCATTTCAGTGAATTCCCTAACAACAACAACAACAACAAAATATATGTTTCTAGGTTTGCTGAATTGCTTAATAAATCAAATTTAATCTAAGTTATACTTATTTTCTACCAACAGTCAATATGCAATTGCTTAACCTTCCTTAGATTTATTTTAACAAATAGCTGTTTTTAAAACATATATTAAAGAAGAGAAGACACCATTATTAGGGCATATTAAGTGTAGATAAAAAGTTCTTAAGTACGCTCAGAAAATAATTCTACTGCGCAACTTAGTGAATATTTTAGCTATTTGACTATTCAGTATTCCATTTGCTGGGAAAAATACATTTGGATTAGTTGAGGTAATCACTAATGTAGCAAGGACTGTGGCCTTGTGTTCAGTTTCTAGCTGCTGCCTAAGCCAATGTCTGAAATACTTATATCAGAAGGCAAATAATCCTTATTACTTACATAATAAATCACATAAATTACATAATAAGGATTATCTGCCTTGTGCCATCCTTTATTATTATTTAATATGAATGACCATTTCTCCATAGAATTCTTGAAATATCCACCGCTTTCATTATAATTTTTGGTCTATTTTCACAATAAATAACTTTATCAATTGTTTCATTAAGAGGATCTTCAAAATGTTCGACAATATTTGTTAAACACTTTGTTCATTTAAGTATATAAAATTATACCTGTATGTCCTATTTTTCACAATTTGCCTTTGACTCATTTAATCTAATTACAATGATCAAACATTACATAGTATTATTTCTTTACATAAGGGTTAATACCCAGTTCATGTATATGAAAAGCTTTAATTATTGAAACGAGATCAAATATTCTAAATTTGAAAATCACATTTATTCTATCACAGCATTCTTCTTTTCCGCTTGATTGTACACATGTCTCTTCATTTCTCTTCTCTTTCTTTTTAAGACAGAGTTTTGCTCTTGTCACCCAGGTTGGAGTGCAATGTCACAATCTCGGCTCACTGGAACCTCCACCTCCTGGGTTCAAGCGATTCTTCTGGCTCAACCTCCCAAGTAGCTGGGATTAAAGGCGTGCACCAGCATGCCTGGCTAATTTTTTATTTTTGGTAGAGATGGGGTTTGGCCAGGCTGGTTTTGAACCCCTAACCTCAGATGATCCACCCACCTTGGCCTCCCAAAGTGCTGGGAGCCACCGCACCCGGCTTCTCTTAATTTTTCTACAGATTTTTATTTTAGCCGAATTTGTAAGAAACACTTTCTGTAAATCATAAATTAAATGGATGCATGTTAAAATTATCATTCTTATGGTTTCCCCAAGCATACACAAAGCAATTTTTGTACTCCCATGTGGAAGCAGGGAGAGAGAAGGAGAGAGAGAATATGTGTGCATCTCTGGGTGTGTGTGTGTATGAGTGTGTGTGTGTACTCCCATGTGGAAGCAGGGAGAGAGAAGGAGAGAGAGAATATGTGTGCATCTCTGGGTGTGTGTGTGTATGAGTGTGTGTGTGTACTCCCATGTGGAAGCAGGGAGAGAGAAGGAGAGAGAGAATATGTGTGCATCCCTGGGTGTCTGTGTGTATGAGTGTGTGTGTGTGTGTGTGTGTGTGTGTATGTGTGACAATGAGATTTCAGTTTATGGTAATATGCAGGAAGAGAAGGACAGTCTGTCAAGTTTCTGACATGAGAAGTCAGAGTGAATCACAAATCACAAGTTTTTTGGAAGAGGATGTATAAAAATTAATTTCCTTTAAAGAGAGTTAACACAGGTAGTTACTCCCCATTAGCATAAACCTAATTATTTAAGGTATTTTTAACTACAGTCAATGCACTTATAATTATCAACTCTGTCTGCTTTTTTTAAATCCCACCTTCACTATCACATTGTGAATTACCACTCAGTGGAATAAAAAAATCAATTCCCAGTCAGGTGACACTGTAAAAAGCCTTAAAGAAATAATTACAATTAACTCTGCAATTTATGACTTATTTAAATAGAGAAAGTTTATGTGTATGTGTTTGTATATGCAAAACATGTAGTGAATACAGTAATTCAAGTTCATTGTATTTGCACATACAGCTTTCCAACAGCCATGAGCTATGCTAGAAATTTGAGAATCCAGCCTACGGGTCTGTAAATGAAATCAGTAAAGGGTGGCATATAATATTTAATTGAAACACTTACTGTGGAAGGATTGAAGAATATTGATTGTCCATTCATCTGTTAATCCTCCTGCTTTTGTTATCTGGATACATTTGAGTTGATTTGAAGATTCTCTTGATTCAATCCAACAAATCATATCTTCATTATAAATAAAATCCAGAGTATGAATTTCATTTCCATTGACTGAGCTTAGAGTTGCCATTTTACTTCCATTAAGATAGAAAACCTCAATTGTTTCAAAATTTGCAATTAATAGTATAGGTGGTCTATCTGTAGGTTCTGGAATAAAATAGAAAAAGAGAAGTAAATTCAGTAAGAGTCAAGATTATTTTACAGTTTTGCCCTAGTTATTGAAAGCTATTTTCTATACTTTTAATAAATTCATAACAAAAATTTTCTTATAAAAAAACTTTCTATAAGTCATATGTATACTTCACTGTTTTAGTGTACTTCTCTGAAAAAAAAATTCTGCAGCACATTTGTATTCCTTATTTCCTTAGTCATAATGTGTTGTCTAAATGTGAGGACATGTCATTTACTTTTATTGCTAGTAAGTAAAGGAAGTGGTGTGAATTGTTTTTCTAGAAATGATGATGGATCTAGACTGACCTCTCCATACAGTTTTGCAGGTTACCCTCACGAGCAAGGTAATGTTTTTTTGAGTCGAATGTATGAGATCAGAAATAGATTCTCCGGAGCAGAAAATGCAAAGCTCATAAGCTTAAACAAAGAGTGCACCTGTGACTTTGGCCTCACTGGCTCCTTGACCAACCCCAAGAGCCAAACAATCACACATTCTTTTAGTGACTAGATAGTGATTACTGAGCCAGTTCCTTCCACATCTACTTTCTACAGTCAGGAAAACAAGATTCTAGGTATAAAATAAACTTCAATACCATTTTTTTGAACAATGCAGCTTTGCTGGTATTAGGACTGAGTTTTTGATGAACATATACAAATTTCCCAGAGTTTCAACAGCATATTTAAACGTAACAGTAAAATCTGATAGAAAATTCGTGTTGATAGAGTTTAGCTATACAATCATATTCAGAGTAACTTTTCTGCTAATTAAGAAATAGGAAATATGTGGAAATCTTTAATTCATCTGTATCTAATGCATCAATAAATCACTTTGACCATGAGGTCAAAACTATCAGACATCCTACCACTTCTCAGTAATGACTGCTACTATCCTGCCATGATCACTCATCTAGATTATTTCAAAGTTTTCTGCCTGGTTTCCCTTTTTCCATCTATGCCCTTCTCACCTTTACAATATCCCAACACAACAGCCAGAGTTATACCATTAAAATGCTAAGGCAGATAAGGTCAGTTCTTCACTCAGTCCCTCAAAGGGCTCCTATTTTAACCAGAGCAAAATTCAAAGTCCTTATAATGATCTATTAAACTCTACCTGATCTGTATATTAATTACTTCTTTAACCTCATTTCCTTCATCTCCTTACTACTCTTACTCTTGTTCGTCTCACTCCAGACACACTGCACTTCTTACTGTTCCTTGAACAAGCCAGGGAAGCTGCCACCTCAGAGGGGCTTCCCACTTCCTGGAATAATCATTTATCAATTACCAGAATGGCTTACTTGCTCACCTCTTTTAGGTCATTATGCAAATGTCATTTTACTGGTGAGGAGTCTCCTAGCACTTTATCGTCTAAAAATCTTAAGCCCCTATACTTTCTATACACCTTCATAGTTCTTTCTTATTCACCATAGTATGTTTTATATATTTTTCTGATTATTTACTTCTATCTCTAGCATCTAGAGAAAAAGCGTAGAACTTAGTGATCATTCAATACCGATTTTCTGAATAAATAAAAAGGACACATGGAATTCTCACACCAGAAGACTTTAGAAACATTTCATGAAACGCAACAAAAATAATTTATTTAACCTATGAAGGGAATTCAGAGTATGACTAGCTATTCAGAAAATTTCATAAATATCATTTGACCATTCTATAAGAAACTGAAGCTGAGCACTGTAAAGGTAGGACAAAAACCAGAGCATATACTATAACTAATGGAAGTAACTAAGTCTCAAGTTTTGAAGCAGTATTATTTAGTGGCCTTTCTTTTGTTTCTGGCATGGGCCAGGATATCAGGCACCTGTGTTTGTCTCAGATAGAAGAGCCCTCCAGTGAATATGATTTGGGGCCTCCCCTCACAGGCTTAAAACAATCCTATAATTCATGCATTGGCATTTTTATCCCCATCATGCTAGACCCCTATTAATTTCAATAGGGGTGGTGCCAGGTTCAAGAGGCCAAAGAAGAGACCCAGAGGTAGCAAAAAAAAGACACAGGGTTTTATTTAGGGAAACTTACACACAGAGATGGTCCAGTGGCTGCAGCCTGGAGAATCACTACCACTTGGGAAAAGCATGCAGCTTATATAGCACGTAGCACGTTCCCTTAGCACATTCCCCCCACCCCCACCCCTGCCCCGCCCCGCCACCCACAACCTCCACGTGGCAACCTTCCTTTCTTAAATTGTTATTGCTATCGTGTGCACCTGCCATACAAGGTATGCTTAAGTTACATTATTGTTGTCAAATGTATCTGCCATAAACCTCTCCTCCCCCAGGAAATTCTCTCAAGTCATAGGATTCCTGTCTGCCTTTAACAAGACATTAAATATTTTTTATACATAATAACAACAAAACAGTAAAACAAAAATAACCCAAAAAAGCCTCAATGAGATTATAAAACTAAGTAGCACAACAGTTTCTTCCCAATGGAGAAAATAGTCTTATCCAGGACTGCCTGAGTATAAACCCACAACAAAAATATTCTTAAAAATGCTAAGATCATTTCCACAAAAACAAAGTCCTCTCAGAAGCATCAGTAGAATTGTGAATCATCTCTGCTTAACATAACCTTGTCAATTGACCACATCTGAGCCTGGTTAGCTAGTCAGTTTCTCTCCTAACCTCTTAAATCTATCTTTAACTGTGTTTCACTTGCCCTTGTCATTCCTTAATTTGGGGATCTAGATTTAGTCTCCCCTCTACTCCTACTTTTGTCATTTTACTGTTGACCTTGGCACTCTTGAAACCTGTTGGATCATAGATTTCTCAGGTGATAGTAAAATCTTAGATGGGTGTGTTATCAGGTAAACAAAGATAGACTGACAATGTCAGTCCTTAGTGTCTTCATTTGACAACTGAAATGACCTTTAGTGAAACTACTTTCACTCAAAATGACCCACTATTGAAAGCATCCTTGCTGCAAAGTTTTATGCAAAGTCCAGATTTAGACAGCCATTTTTTGGCTAGCTACTAGTCAGTAAACTTAATGTAGGGCATAAACATTCTTTGAAGAGAGGCCGGAATATAAAGGAGCGCTGAGATTCCCCTGAGAAACTGAGATGCAAATGGGTTCATGGTTAACACAGGCAATGCTTATTTGACAGAATTAGTCAACTTACTTGGTTTTTGTAGCTGCTTGATGAGTGAATCAGTTAATTGTTTTAGTGAAAAACATATCGACCACTAATTCTAAAGTCAGGTGCTTCATAATCTAACAGGGTTTGATTTAATAATGGTGACTTCAAAAGATCAAAGGACATACTGGAGGAAGGATACCTACATAAGTTGTGAATGCTTTACTGAAGTAATCTTCATGGGTCTCTGCTAATTACTAACTGTGGTTTACCTCTTTAGACAGAAGGTCAAATATGGAGGAAGGAAGCCACTGAAACACGAGAAACCACAAAAATCCTCAAGGTCTAAGGATCCAATTCTTTCAGTGTATTTCAAGTTGAAACTGGCATAGCCCTGGCAAAAATGTAATCTATCTCTACCTGCACCACATCTAATGTCTGTTGTGCATCGTTACCACATGCCAATTGAAGAGCACCAGCTTGGGTAAGGTGGATATAAGACTGACCAGAATAAATGTGATGATCTTATTGGTTGTCATCCTTAGTCAATGGACAGTTTTCCCAAAAGAACACTTGAAAAGCACATTAGATGACTTCAGTCAAAGGGATACCTGTGTCAACACTTAGTGAGAGGTAATGAACATTAACCTTCCACATAGAAGATACTGAAGCACAAACAAGCACACAGGTGACATTTTAACTTAGAGAACCAAGACTTTGGTTGGGTAAACACCTACAGCAGGCTGTCAACTGATTCATGATAGAAGAGAAAAATTGTCCTCATACTCCTCACCACTCCTTGTATGTTGACAGACCTAAAAACATTTCTCTCTCCTGTGATGGAGAATAGTATTTGTGCTCTGTATGATCATAAATGATTTGATTTTTCCTGTAATGTATGTTGTATTCATTAGTGTCACAACCTTTGAAGACTGATTCTAAAATTGTGAATTGAAAAGAGAAACTTGGAAAGGCTTATTTGACCAGGTTCATAAAAATACCTATTTAAATTCAAAGCCACCATAACTGTGTCCTTGCAAGCCTATCTTTATCTTCTCACAGTCAAAAATATACTAAAAGTGGATTTATTTACTTATAATAATATGATTTTGATATATATGTTGTGCTAAATAAATGTTTTCAGGGTGTATAAAAACTTGTCATTTTTAAGGTTTCATTTAAACCTCCAGTTCTTGTATTCAATTATAAGAATATTAATTTGGCTAGTTTCCTTCTAAGTGATTGAAGTAATGAATTCATATACTTACAAATAATTATGTAACTAACAAACATATGTATATAATAAATGTATATATATATGTATATCATCTAGTTGTTCTATATTCTAATTTTCCTTAATTAAACCTGTAATTGTATTTGTAAGCAATTATCTCCACTAAATGAAGCTCCCAGCATGTGCACATCAATATTTCTGAAGTCATAGATGAAAAAAATCCCAGTTTTAACTGCATAAAACGTTGAATAATGACTTGCATATAAAGTACATAAAATGGAGAGTCAGACTAATATGGTGATAAAACAGAAAGTTGTAATCTATACAACACAAAGAATCGGTTTTAAGCCAGTAATGAACTTCAAAGATTGAAAGAGGTTTTTTTTTCAGATTTACTCTTATTTTATCATATACAAATTATATAAAGGCTGTAAAAATAAGGAAAATGGGTTTGCAGTTAGAAATGAGAAGACTAAGAACTTCTAATCAAAATTGTTAACACTTATGTAAGAAGTGAATTACTAATATATGAAACAAAATGCATGAAATCTGTAAAAGGGCAATTATTTATTTTTTATTTTTTATTTTTTTATTTTTTTGAGACAGAGTCTTGCTCTGTCATACAGGCTAGAGTGCAGTGGCGTGACCTCAGCTCACTGCAACTTCTGCCTCCTGGGCTCAAGCGATTCTCCTGCTTCAGTCTCCTGAGTAGCTGGGACTACACACTTGCACCACCATGCCCGATTAATTTTTGTATTTTTAGTAGAGACTGGGTTTCACCATGTTGGCCAGGCTGGTCTTGAACTCCTGACCTCAGGTGATCTGCCCGCCTCGGCCTCCTCAAGTGCTGGGATTACAGGCATGAGCCACTGTACTCAGCCAAAAGGGCTAATTTTCTAAAAAACTTCTAAAATGATGCAAAAAACAGAAAAAGTTAAATATGTAATATTAACAGAAAATTATGTAGTTTAAAAAGGAGAGATACAGAATCATGGTGTGGAGAAAAAATAAAAAAGAAAGAGAAAGTATTACAGTATTCAAATATATAATAAATTGTAGATGAAAGTCAACCAAACCAAACTGAAAATGTGAATCAAGTTAATATCATATAAGTGAAAAAAATATAGCATTGAAATATTTTCTTTTTCAAAACATAATGGTCACATTGATTTCTCCCTGTTTTCATTCCTTAACTATTTTTTAACAAAAAAGCTCTTTACCAAAATGAATAATATTCAGAATAATGACATACTGTCATATATCAGAAGAAACTGTTCTATCACATTTTATTATAGAAATAATATATAAATCAAATTAGGAAAACGAAAAGGCATTAAAAACTGTATTGGACTGAGCAAGAAAATGAATATTGCTACAATTTATCTTAGCACTACCTTTTATCATCAATCACAATATATTTATGCTGAAGTATTCTTTGGGTAAATATTTTAATTAATTAATTAATTTATCTAGTATTTATACATCTAAGCATTAACTGGGATCTGAAAGAGATCAGTAAGACAGTCCGCCTTCAAGAACGATACAATCAAGTAGAAAGTTTAAGTTATCTACAAAGAACTATGTTTTTATAATCAGGTATGATATCTTTCATAAAAGACGTATCATCTCATTGAGTTTCAAAGAATGGTTAGATATGTCTGCTTAGTGGAGGCACAAGTTTCCTGATGGTGTTGGTATTCGGTCTCAGCCTTGCCTTAATGGAAGAACAAGAATTCAATATGCAGAGATGGATAAAAGAAAGTCAAGCAAAAGAAACAGCTTTGACAAAAGTACAGATGTGTGAAAGATTTGAATATATTGAGGAGAGATTGACCTCAGTTTTTCAGTTTTCTGCAGGGTACAACACGCATAACTGGTGGAGTATTTCACTAATAATAGTTAATGTTTTCCGAGCATATTTTAGGAGCCAGACACTGTAATACATGGTTCACATTTATTAGTTCACTGTATATGCAGAACATCCCTTTGATTCGGCTAATATTTACCACATTTTAAGATTAATACTCACTTAAGTTAATATAGCTATTAAGTGAAAATAACTGAGTTCAAATTTATAGAGTTTTGTAGTAGCTGACAAAACAGGTTAAGGACAAATTGTACAGGCTATTGAATGTCAAGATGATGAACTTATTTTTAATTTTGGCTGCAATGGGAAGCCAGTGTTAATTTTAGAAATACAGTATAATGTGATCAAAACTATGCTTTAAGAAGATCAAGTCAAAAATAATATGTAAGATATTGTGTGGGTGGGTAAAATATAGTGAGAAAGATAAGTAGAATACAGTAGGAAGTATAAATTTCCCACTCAACTTTCCAGATTTTATGTTTTTGCTTTTATTTGGGGGGATTATTTATTTAAATTGACATAAATTGATATGTCTTTATAGTGCACAACATGATGTTTTGAAGTATACATACATTGTGGAATAGTTAAACCTAGGTAATTGACATATGCATTACCTCACATAGTTACCATTTTTGTAGTGGGAACATTTAATATCCCTTCTCTTAGCATTATGTTAAGTGAAATAAGCCAGTCATAGAAAGACAAGTAAACATATCTCACTCATGTAGAATCTAAAAGAGATGATCTCATAGAAATAGAGAGTAGAATGTTTGTTGCCAGAAGCTAAGGCATTTGGGGGATCAGGTTGGGGAGATGTTAGACAAAGTATGCAAAATCACAGGCAGGAGTAATTAGTTAAATAGATCTGTTTTCCAGCATGGTAACTATAGTTAATGATAACATGTTGGATTATTTAAAAATGTTCTTGCTTTTACTTTATAAATGGTAGAGTATAATTTTACTTTTTAGTTGGTAGAGTATAATTCATGTCAGAAGTATAATTCATGTGTACGTTGAGGTAAAATGGAAACGTCTTACACACTGCCTTCAAATCTAGAGTAAAGTTGGAAAGGAGTTAAGAGAATGGAAAAGATACCTTTTTCCTGTTTAGATTCACGCAGTGCAGAAATGAAGAATGGCCATATGTGGCAATGTTCTTACTGGAAGCAGAGGTCATTGGGAAAAATGTAAGCCCCAGATAATTCTCAGAGATTTCCCTAAGAAAACCTCTTCTATGGTCCTCCAAACTAGATTCTACATGTCACATAGAGAATGGCATTAATTTCATTTGTTTTTATGAAGAAAGTAACCCAAAATTATGAAAAACTTGTGGACACAGGTATCAGATATCTGAATTACTGAACACAGAAATGCCATTTTAATTTCTCAGAAACAAGGTGATAAGAACCTAAAGTAGGAGGTGTTGAAATCTTAAGTAGAAATGGGTTGATGTAATAAAGCAGAAGTTCAAAATTGCAGTTATTGTTGTATTGTGGACAACGAGTGACATGAAGTCAAGGATTATTTGGAAATTGTAGATGTGGGTCATGGGGATAAAGGGTATCATTAAAAGAAACAGTAAGAGAAGAAAGTAGAATCAGTTTTTAGAGAAGATGATGATTTCAGTGTTGGCACATTAGTCCAATGGCTAAAGCTGTGTTTTTTATCTTGTTTTGTTTTGTGTTCTAGTGTTTTTTTTTTTTTTTTTTAATTCTGATTTCTATATAGAGACGGGGTCTCACTATGTTACCCAGGCTGGTCTCAAACTCCTGGTCTCAAGCAATCCTCCTTCCTTGGCCTCCCAAAGTGCCAGGACTATAGGCATGAGCCACTGTGCCAAACCTGTGCTTTTTAATCTTATCTTTGGCATTGTAAAAACTCACTCAGGTAAACTACTGATAAACCTGAATTAAGCATAAACCTTAAAATAATTTAGTCACTTTGCTATTTAGACTTTACTAGTGAAATACCGGTACCTTCATTCACAGCATATTTCAACTTGAAATGTGATAATTGAGAAGCAATTCAGTATATTGTTTTTCTGGAAGAAGATCCATTTTATAAGCACGACAAAAGACAATAACATCATGCCCTCCCCAGCACAAACATATCTTTTCATTTTGCAAACTGGCGGCTCTCACAATTTCCCTGTTTTGCAGAGAGCTGGTCCAACCAAACCAAGGAGGCATTTCCCCTGTTATCTGAAAGCCTTACTTAGCACGTGGCAAGTGTTTAGTACATGAATGAAATATGGGGGACTGTTTGAATATGAACTCCTCAATGTTTTTTAAAGAGACTTTACTGAATTAACACATTGTAAAATAATAAGGTATTTCAATAAGTACAATGAAATAAATAATGCAGTTATTTTAATCAGAAAAAATGAAAGATATGTAATTGATAACCATTGAAGATTTATAAGTAAATCACAAAATTTCAGAATATAATTCATTCAAATTTTAGATTATTACATGATTATTAGAACTAGCAGACAGTCCAGTGATGGTCAGTTTATATTAGTTACTGAGAAGTGGCTAATGGCTGCTTTAAAAATCTCCTAGTGACCTTTCTAATTGTAGCCAGTGGAAAATACTTTAGCTACAGAAAAATATTTTCTCTACTCAGACATCTTTCTCTATGTTATAGATTAGTAATATTTGAGTTTAAAATGTAATGGGTATTGACTCATTTGAAAATTGCTTCTAAGTAACTCCTATTTATAAAGTAATTTCAGTTTGAAAACACGGGTCCTTAGAAGAGCCACATTTAATATGGCTCCTAAAAGGGAAATACTGCCTCAGTATTTGAATATTTATTATCCATTCAACAAATACTTATTGAGCCTGGCTAGCTTCTGCCAGGGTCTAGATGCTAGCAATACAACAGTGAACAAAACTAACAAAATCTTTGCTTTTATAGAACTTAAATTTTAGTACATAAAAAAGATAATAAGCAAGTAAACAAATATGAATATTGTTTGGCAGTGATAAATTCTATGAAAGTGAGTAACGTATAGGAGTAATGAGGATGAGGGCTTATCTTTAGAGAGAGTAATCTAATTCAGAATGTATTTACAAAGTTATAAACAAAGGGTTTGAGAAAAAGAGTGCAGTGAAGGATGAATCCAATGTTTTGGCTTAAACAATTAGGTGAATTTGGAAACCTTGCCAAGATGGAAAACTGAAGAAAGAGCATTATTAAGATAGAAAATCAAAAGTTCATAGAGTTTGATATTTCTGTTAAATATCCAAATGGAGATATTGAATATATAATTGGATCTGTGAGTCTAGAGCCGTCATAACTGGTGATAAAAACTGGGGAGTCTCAGTCTCTTTATATTTTTTAATGCCATGGCAGAGGGTAAGTTTTTAAGGCCATGATACAGGATGAAACATCCTAGGAAATCAATAAAAAGATGTCTAAAGGACTGAACGCTGAATCATGCCAAAAGTATTGGCAAAATGAAGATAATAAAGCAAAGTAAACTGAGAAAAAATGCCCAGTAAGGCAAGAGCAAAATTTCAAGATTGTGCTGCTTTAAAAGGTAAAGCCTTCAAGGAGACAGTTGTCAGTTGTGTGCTTAAGACCGATAGTCAACTAATTAGGCAATGGGAGGTCACTGAAGCCCTTGGCAATAGATGTGACTGATAAGAATAATGTAAGATTCATTGAAGGCGATTAAAGAGCAGAGCAAAGGAAAGTGGAAAAGGAACAACACTCTGAGTTTTTCTATGCAGGAAAAAGAAAAATGGAGAAGTAGCTGGACAGGAAAATAGGTTTAAAGGAAGTTGTTTTGCATCATCTTTACAACTTGCTTGTATGCTGATGTGAATGACCTAAGAGAAAAGAAAATACCAGTGATTAAAGAAATAAAGAAGACAATTATATGAGTCTAATCCTCGAACAGGTGAGAGAAGATAGGATCTGTATATATTTGCAGGATTGGCCTTTGATAGGAGAAAAGTTAGTTTTCTAATTCAAATAAGAGGAAGATGGAGCGATTAGTTCTAGATTCAAATAGACTAGTAGAGGTAATGGAGTTTGGGTGAGAAAATTCTCTTTTAATTGCTTCTATTTTCTCAAGGAAATATGAAATAAGATCGTCACCTCACAATAAGGAGAAGGGAGGTAGATATATGAAACTCATTATCTAGTGATGGGAAAAAGTAAAGGTCATTTAATATATTTCACTGTTGTCTGACAAGGATTTAAATATAAAATTTATAAGTAAGATCACAAATTTCTACTTTGCTATTATAAAGAGAGATTAAGTACTCTAAGTACTCAATCATTCTGATGTATCAAACTTCTAGCTACTTTATCAGCTATGTTCTTTGTAACTTGATGTTCTAAATATCCAAAGAGTACTAAGATATAATTTAATAATTTGGTGGGGATTATCTTTTGTGGGAGTCATCGACAGAGGCTGTGTGAGTCCTAAAAGAAATACACACATTTAAAAATGAAATCAATGCAACAGGTTTTCTCTTCTCAAGACTAAAATGATTTTAGGCATCCTGATTAGGGGAAATATGTGGAATATTAGTTATCTCTGTCAAAGGCAATTATGCTCTCCAGGGGAAGGAGTGCCCAAAGGGCATTCTCTAACTGCTTTTATTACCCCAGATTTTTTTTTCAGTCCCTGTTGATTGCAATTGATACAGAGGATGCCTTGAAGTCTCTGAAAAATCAATTTTTTTTTCTTAAAAAATGTCAAAATTATTCTGTCTACTCGGATTTTAAGGTTTTTTCCCTCCGAGGATTTCAATAGTGATATACTTTTATATTTTTCCCAGGTAAAGCAACAGAAAAATTATATACCTATGTACATTCTTGCCTCATCTATTTAACCATTTGTAATTTTTATAAATTTAAATGTGCTCCCTTTCTTTTTATTTTCATTAAAATATCCAATTTTAAGATAGAAAAAGAGTTAATTGTAGAGGGTGATATAATTTCTCTCACATTCTAAATTGAGGATTTAATCAATAATTTGATAGCTAGTCTACACAAAGTTATTAAAAAAACATGATAGAAATTTCTGCCTATCTGTTGTGCCATTTATAAAAGCAAAGTTTATTGACTGTCACACCTAGAGCCCATAAATATGGCCACGTAATTTTTCATACTCAAACACGGAAGTTCTCAGCCAGATTGCAATAAAAATATGTTATGAAGAAAATGGAAGACATGCTTTTTTTCCATGTCTCATATTTTCTTAGACTAAGGGTAAATGAAAGGTGTCATGACACATAAAACACCATGGTTATGTCTCTGCTATCAATCTTGCAACTCTGTTTCTGGAAAGAAGATTAAAAATGTCAAAAACGGTGCTAGACTGTGAAGATGATATCCCCTAGCATAAAAACAAAAACCAAAACCAACATAGAATATTCATGAGGAGATTTTGTACCCCAGCACTGACATACTCATTAACAGTGTTTGGAGAGGGAAAAAAAGTGTGTTGTATCATTTGGATAGTAAAAATTCCATCAGAAATCCTTGCCCTGTCCTGCCATGAAATGTGATTTCTAACTGAATGATTGGCCAGAAAAGATGTAGAGTAAAAATACTCCATAAAATAAAGAAATATTTTAATGGCCAGGCTACCGGTCCGGGATTCCAAAGGCAGGCTGGGAAGCTTTAGAATTTCTGTAGTACAGAGGCTTATTCAGTATAGTGTGATTGCAGATAGGGAAGCTTGTTCTCCAGCTGTATTTTCACAGCAAGCACACAGCTTTTACTAGGATTGTATGTTTATTTGAGAGGGGAGTGGTCCTTGGTGGAGAGGACACACTTATGTAGATCATACAGTGCTTCTCAAACTACTGTTTGATGCCAATACTATACCAAAGCTAGAGTCAGCCCGGAGTAACAGGACAAAACTGGCCAAATATTCTATTCACCTTTGAATCTCTTGCAGTCTTCTGACTCCTTTTATTGATCCCCAACATCCCAGTACCCTCATTTCGCTTCCTGAATGTTCTAGAAATTGCTAAAGCATCCGGCAAACATTTGTCAAGCACATACTCTGCTTCAGGCATTGAGCTACTTTTTTGCTACTTTCTCTTTACCACAGTGTTCCTAATTTCATGCACGCATACGTGATAGTAAAGCACAATAAATCTGTCATTACTATGCTGGTGCTGGTGACTAGGCTCACTCCTAGCCAATAGGTCTCACGCACTATCATGTCATCAAGTGCTATTTGAAGTTACGGCTCAATGAAATAATAACTTATGCAGGAATTAGAATTTTTGACTATCTAAAAAATAATGTAAAAAAAAAAACCCTAAATGGTGAATCTTCATACATCAGTCATTCTACAAGAAGCCATTCTTAGCCACTGGTATACTGAAACAGATCTTATCCACTAGTCTCATAAGTTGTTAAAATTATTAAGACTTAATATGTTACCCTTCCTAAGAATAGATCTTAATATGAGATGCTTTAATAAAAGGCCAGGGAATAGTATTTTAATAGCTGAATTTCAGGCATTACTCAGTGGCTGATAAGAAGGTGATACTATGTGGCAGAGAATTCTTCCCCCACTACACAGACACCTGCCAATTCTCCCACAGGCAGAATCAGCCCTAGCAGCAAACCATGGGTAAATTCTCCGCCTCCCAAAAGAAAATTTTAAACTTATGTTAGTAGATGTTAAATCCCCCTAGAGTTTTAAAGTAAGAGCCATAGGAAGTTACATTTTGTTTATTTTTTTCTCTCTCTCTCTTTTCAAGAATCATAGCAGAGGAAACAGCAAATGATATGAAAACGTTCCCTGACCCCAACACTGTCTAGAAACATGCTTCCTTCAATTATACAGGGACTACAATTCCTGTTCTTACAACTAAGAGTCTCATTGCCTCAATAGTCTTCTGTTTGTTTTTTTCTCTAAATCAATGAACTGCAAATATAAGCTGTAATAGAATCCTGAAGTTTTTTAATAGGCTCTCTACTCTCACTGCTCCAATTACTCCGCGGCAAAGAGGTACACTCTCAAAGGGCACCATTCGATGCACTGACAATAGAGTGATGATCATAAAATTAGTGTTTTTTATTTTACTATTGCTTCAGTGCAATCAGTAGAGCCCTAGGGGTTCAGGAGAATTTGTATGCTGGGATAAGTGCCTGCCTTCAGTGAGTGGTTAGGACACTGAAAAGTACAGTCCAATGAGTCTGAATTTATTAGGAGTAAAATTGCCAACAATTTGTAAGTTAAACACCATTGACTATTATTTTTACTGTCACAAGTTCTACATGAGCCTGCTTTCAGCCCCAAGTTTTCACATTCAATACATATTTTTATATCAAATTCAATAAAATCAATTAAAAGAAAGTCAAATTTTAAAAATGTTTTTATTTTCATATTTGACAAGTCATTACTACAACTCTACTCTCAAAAAATATATCAAAATGTGCAAGAAGTTTTACTGGGTACCTATACATGGTTATTTTTTATTTTTATTTATTATTATTTTTATTTTTTTTTTCATATGACAAGTTCTAACATTTAATTAGAAAAATAGCTAGCTTTTGTGTAGGTGTCGTGGCTCACATATGTGATCTCAGCACTTTGGTAGGGTATGGCAGGAGGATTGTTTGAGGCCAGGAGTTCAAGACCAGCCTGGGCAACAGAGAGAGATCCTGTGTGTACAAAAAATTTTTAAATTAGCTGGGCATGGTGGTTCGTGCCTGTGGTCTCAGATACTCAAAGGCTGAGGTAGAAAAATGGCTTAAGCCTAGAAGTTTGCGGCTGCAGTGAGCTATGATCATGCTACTGTACTCCAGCCTGAGCAATAGTGTGAGACTACATCTCTTAAAGAAAATAAATAAATAAATAAACATTAATTACTAGCTTTTAATGTGTGTTCTATCATAAAGTAACAAATGCTCTCATAAAAATTTGTAGTCTTGTATGTCTCCTATAAAAAACTATTCAACTATGCATACTTAAATTAAAATTACTTTAAAAAATATGTTTCAGACTTTTCTTTTGGAAATTACTTTTTTGAAGATAAAAAACACATAGTATCAAGTATTAAATTGCACTAGATTACCATTGAAGTTCCTCCCAACTCTGAAACAATGTATTCTTTATTTCATTAGTCAGAGACAATCTTACTAAGCGTAGAAAGGAGAAAATTTGTCTGCATTACATGAATTAATAGGAATGAAAAGGCCTCCTGTCTAACATTAATCTCTTCCCCCATCTGCTGTAGTGTCTAAAATCTCCTCCCTTCAATACAATTATTTCTTAAAGATGCTCTTAAGGCTTATGAATTTTACTCGGGTTCAGGTATTATATTACAAAGGAGGAATAATCAATTAACTTAGATTAATTTACCTAATTGCTATCTATTGTCTTGAAAATAAGACCCCACTGGCAAGCTTTGGGGTGAATAGTAGGGAAGAGATCATGATACTGTTCTATGTTGCACTAGTTCAGCACCTTTAGAGGCAGCTTCCCAGCTGATTAACTCTGCCTCTCTCTGCCGTCACATAAAGGGCTATTTCTCAGGAACTTTTAATTCATCTATCATCTTGTACTGTCTTTGCAAAATCATATTCTTGGTCTAGTTCTAGCTTTCCATTGCATCACTTTGGCTTGATATTTTTATAGTATCCTTTCTTTCTAAAGCCTGGAGATCTTTTCCACATATCCATTGTCTTGGGCTAGGCCATTCGGGCCTTCCCTTGTTTTCCACACTACCCAGCTGCTGAGAGCCCTGGAACTCTGGCTTGTCGTGGAGGGAAAGTTAGGTTCTGGAGTCCAGTAGGGTAGAATTGTAAGGAAAAGAAGAGAAAAGAGAGGCCAATCTCAGCAGCCAGGCAACTGAAAGAAGGACTGGCAGAGACTTAAGATGAACCTGGCTCAATTTATAATGCTTGTTTCTAGCACTTGTCAGATATAGCCACATTACTGTATAACAAAACTACCTTAAAAATTTTAAACCTGATTGCACTAACTGGAATTACATATAACTGAAGCCAAAAGTATCCTCTGGTTCACTTCCCATAAATATGAGAAAACTAAAGCTAAACAGGCAGTTTTTCTCTTAAATTGTACAAATACATTGGTTCAAATATCCATGTGACCTTTAGAACTTGCCAGTGTTTGTTATAGACTTATGCTCATTCTAGCAACTCATTTTCCTTAAACTATAAACCACAACAACATTCCCATGGTAACTGCATATTTTTCAAATTTTGTAAGCTCACAATGTCATCAAGCAAAAGACCTAGAGGTGAAGAGATTTATGTATTCCATTATCAATTCTAGAGTCATCAAACTTCCTTGATGTAGTAGGACATTATCATGTTCCATCTTTTTCTGGTTGCATTCTATTATTGTAAGATAACCTACCTATGTAGAAAAAGAGGACGTGCTTCCTTTATAGGGTCTATTAGATTACACTCTCTGTGTAGCACTAGTGTGTGGCTCAATAGAAACAGCAAATAACAAGCCTTCCACTTCTATAGTTCATCAATATTTTACATCAGAACTCTGAGTGGTGGCAAAAAGGAAAACATAACCTGACCTAATTTTTCTCAAGGATTGCCTTATTTCAAATAGGACTTCATAAATCAAGTCAGTAATTCAAAGAAGTAAACTAAGAAGTAAAAGAGTGTTTAGCTGTTGTTGATATTTTGTAGATACATATGTTTTCTAAATAATTAACCACACTATCTCTGGGAAATCATTGAAATCATAACATGAGGTCATGTGTAAAGAGAAACAACTGAAGCTTGCTTAGCTAGTCTAGTCTTTTGCCCAGTGTGGTTTCAGAGAAGAAATTTCATGCTTAATTTACCACTTTCTCATAAGGGAGGGTGAGGGCACCCATTAATTCATCAATACATCATAATTTGAAAATGCCTGATATGAAACTACCTTTGGAGGAAGTTAGAAGAAGCCAGATGGAATATTCTGTATAGTATTTCCTTATGTTATTTTCAAGCTAATTCACTCCACAAAATAATTAGCATTATCTTATTGTGACTAGTGAATCTCAAAGCTATTTCATTAGCCAATCAACAATACTTACTGATTGTTTTCTTACTCAGTAGGCTGAAAACTGTGTAGAAACTACAGGGTTTATTTGCAGGTTAGCAGTAAAAGGCAGTTTTGAAACATGAAATGCAAGCACTTAAGAGTGGAGCACTCATTTTAGTAATTTTAATTAGCAAGACAAGTTTATTCTCTCTTTCCTTTTCCTTTTTTCCATCCTGCCCTCCTTTCTTCCTTCTTCCTCTTTTTTCCACAAATATTTATTGAGAACCTATATGTTCTAGGCAATGATCAGTACTGAGTAAATAACAGTAAACAAATCCAACAAGTTCTGTACCGTCATAATGCTTATATTATTCTGGAGAAATCCTGTGATAAATATATATAAATGAATTAATTTCAAATGGCAATGCTATAAAGAAAATAAAACTGGGAAATTATATAGTGATAGAGTAGGTATGCATAAATAACACTGGAAAATAACTTGGTGATGTAGAGGGTATATACCATGAAATAGAATGGATTGGGAAGGTCACTCTGAATATTGACATTTTAGCTGAGACTCAAGTGATAAGAAGGCTACATTAATGTGAATATCACAGGAAAAATCATTAGAGGCAGATAAAAAGGCAACATGGTTGAAGAAGGACAAGGACACAAGTGTGCTGGCATTGATGATGAAACAAGAGCAGTGGAAGATCAGACACTGGAAAGGGAAATGATACCAGGCCATTAGGCCCTTAGAGATCCTGTGAGGAGTTTAGATTTTATTTTCAAGGTAGGTGAAAGTTATTGGGAGATTTGAAGCAAAAGAACAACACGATTTGGTTTATGTTTTAGTAGTAAATCACTTTATTATATAAATAATTAATTTTGGAGGTGAAGCAGAAGCTCACAGAACCCAGTTAGGAAACTATCATAGTAGTCCAGGAGAGAGGATAGGTAATTCAAATCAATTAATCCATATCTTTTGAACAGATTTTTGCTAATTAGAAACTTCCTGCAATAGGCTGGGCACTGCGGCTCATGCCTATAATCCCAGCACTTTGGGAGGCCTTGGTGGGTGAATCGCCTGAGGCCAGGAGTTTGAGACCAGCCTGGCCAACATGGTGAGACCCTGTCTCTACTAAAAATGCAAAAATTAGCCAGGTATGGTGGTGTGTGCCTGTAGTCCCAGCTACTTGGGAGGCTGAGGCAGGAGAATTGCCTGAACCTGGGAGGCAGAGGTTGAAGTGAGCTGAGATTGTGCCATTGCACTCCAGCTCCAGACTGGGTGACAGAGTGAGACTCCATCTCAAAGAAAAAAAAGAAAGGAAGGAAGGAAGGAAGGAATTTCATTTTTGGAAGGAGTAATGGAAGGAGTTTTATAATGATTAGTGACAACTGAAAGAATTGCTCTGGATTCCTAACTATAGAGAAGTGTATTAAAATGAAAGCAAATCTCTCTCTTCAAAGTCCATATTTCTGCTATACCACATCTCTAATGAAAAAGAATTGTAAAAAGGAAACAAGTAATTCTGGAAAGACAAAAAATAAATGGTCATAACTTACCAATTTTAGCCTTGCAAGATCTGTTGTCTGGCTGCATTAGGTAGCCTTCCACACAACTGCAAGTGTAGGATCCATGTGTGTTTCTGCAGGTCTGGCTGCATGTACCATAAACAGCACATTCATCTTGATCTAAAAAGGAAAATTGGCATCATTTCTAAGCAGCTTTATCTTGGGCACTTTTTTTTCTCCTTGAAGAAAATATTATTTTTGAACTTCGGAAATAGACTATTAAGGAAAAGCCAATTCCAATAAGTCTTTTCAAAACCACACTAACTAAAAATTAAAATTATTGCTGCCTTAATATTTACAGAGATAAAACATCAAACAATATCAAATCATGTATTTTAAAAGAAGATTATTTGCATTTGTGATAGTCAGGCTAGAAGTCTTTGGATATTTTTGCAAAGGTACAAAATGCACTCCAATTAATATTTGTTGAATATTTCCAGTGTTTATGACACTGACTTTTTCACTGTTTTAACAAAGAATTCGACTAGTAACATGGTTTTCAATCAACAGATTAAATAAGAGTTCTGAGCCACACTATGCAAATCACACTCACTACTTTAAAGAGAGGAAACTATTAAGCACACCTATTGAAAAATAAAGATTTTGTCTTAAATAAATTTCATTTTAATATCTGTAGTCCTCTACAGATATTAAATTAAATTAGATTGCTAATTAGAAACTTCCTGTAATAGGCTGGGCACTGCGGCTCATGCCTGTAATCCCAGCACTTTGGGAGGCCTTGGTGGGTGAATCACCTGAGGCCAGGAGTTTGAGACCAGCCTGGCCAACATGGTGAGACCCTGTCTCTACTAAAAATGCAAAAATTAGCCAGGCACAATGGTGTGTGCCTGTACCCCTTCATTCTATTCCTCTACCCCTTCATTCTGTTTTCTCTATATACTTCCTTCCTCTGGTATCCAGTTCAAATCTTTATGAACAACAGATACTCAATGATTCTTAACTGACCAAACAAAAAGGCATCCTGTCAGTAGTTAGTTATTTAGACAAAGGTATATTCAGCCTGTTTTATGTACGAAGCACTGTACTGATCCCTGCAGAAGACAAAATCAATAAAATATGGTCCCTACCCCTGAGTAAGACGAGTCTAGAGAAATATAATTATGATACTATACATTTCCTTATAATAGGGGTATACTCGAGTTATGATAGAAACAGGGAAGTCAAACTGCTTAGGATTAGAAGGGGAATCTTAAGTGAAGACTTCGTATTAAACAGTGTGAAGCGTGATCTGGCTTTCCTCAGACTAAGCAGAAAGGGACATTTCAGTTCATCAAAATGGCATGCGAACGGTATTGGGATGGCATCATGGGGATTTCAAAGAAGAAGCATAAGGAGTCAAATGAAGCAAGGGTGTGTGAAGGAAAGCGGCAGAAGAGATGAAACTGGGAAAGTACTTTGGGAGCCAGATAATGAAGATATTTGTATGCTGAACTAAAAGACTGTACATTACACATTGGCATTGGGAAAGCATTAATTAGATGGGCTACATGGTCAGCTTTGCATTTTAAAACTAAAAACACTCATATGAAATAAAGGCTTTGGTAAATGTGGAGAAAGGATCCTAGAAAATTAGATATGTGCTAATTTTATCCAAGAAATTGTCTTTTGAAGTTATATTTTGAACTAAGTCAGTGGCAGTGGAAATGAAGAGGAAATAGACTCAAATGTGTAAGAAGTAGAATAGACAACATTTGAAAAATGATTGGATGTGACAGAAGTGAAAATTGATTGAATTTTGAAATAGAGGATGTAAGAAGTATAGATTTGAATGGCTCTATCATGGGAGGAGATAACGAATTTGATTTCACTGTGTTAAATTTGAGGTGTCTGTAGGGCAGCCTTGAGTAAATGTGTAATGATAAGCAATTGAAAAATGGAACTGTTAATATAGGGTGAGATCTGTTCTAGAGTATATGGAAGTCAATAGCATATATATAATAGATTTTAAAAATAGGAGAGGGATATTTCTCACAGAGGAAGAGGAGATGAAAAAAATTTAGCTAGTGCAAAATACTCTAGGATACCAAAGTGGAAAGGGCAGTCAAGAAAGAGGAATCAGGGTGGGACGCAGTGGCTCAGGCCTGTATTCCTAGCACTTTGGTAGGCCAAGGCGGGCAGATTACTTGAGGCCAGAAGTTTGCGATCAGCATGGCCAACATGGCGAAGCCCTTTCTCCACTAAAAATACAAAAATTAGCCAGGCATGGTGGTGTACACTTGTTGTCCCAGCTACTCAGGCAGCTGAGGCATGAGAATTGCTTGAACCTAGGAGGTGGAGGTTGCAGTGAGTCGAGATTGCACACTGCACTCCAGCCTGGGTGATAAGGCTCTGTCTCAAAATAAAATAAAAATAATAATAATAAAACAGAAAGAAAGAAAGAAAGAGGAGTCCTACAGTCGCCTGTGAAGGAAAATTCATGACTACTGTAAGAAAAAAATAAGAAATGAGAGCTCTTCTGGGATATCAGAATGTTCAAAAGGGTTATATGCAATGCATGAATCCAATAAGATAAAGATTAAAATTCCCATTTAGATTCAGTAATTAGGACATTATTGTACTGATGTTGATGTAATGTAGGGAAAGAAGGGGACATAGTCACAAATGGAAGACTGATCTTAAATGGAACTTGCTTTTTACTGAGTCCTTAAATGGGATAAAATACACAAACTTAGACCTATTAACAGAGTTTTGTCCTCATGACTTGGGAATGATGACTGAAGATAATTTGGGACTCCTGTAAATAATTCTGGAGAAAGGGGGTGAGAAAAAAAGAAACAGAAAAATGAAGAGGGGAGCAAAAGATAACAGGATGGATTGAAGCTGTGGTATTAAGTGGGTTAAACTGATGTGACATAATTAAAATATATCTTTGGCCTTTGTTCACAGTGCTTGGCACAGAGCTCCTAAAATACTTGGAATTTTTTGAGTAATAGGATTGTCTTTTGGTGTTCATAAAGAGCTCCTCTAGAATACACCTGAGCCTATGCTAATGAGGTGACTCAGGGTGGGGCCCCTAGGTAGTCTCAGACTGGGGGCTGGTCATGAAAATACCAAACAGTGGATTAGAGTGTGGAAACTTTCAGCCCCATCTCCTGACCTCCAGTGAGAAGAAAGGGGACTGGGGGTTGGGCTAAAAAATAACTCTTGAACAAACAGGCTTGGAGAGCTTCCATTTTGGTGAAGACATTGAGCCCCTGGGAGGATAAGGTGCCTAGAGAGGGCATAGAAGCTTCCCTCTCCCACCTTCCCGTTCCTTGCCCTATGCATCACTTCCATTTGGCTGTTGCATCCTTTATAATAAACTAACAAACATAAGGAAAATATTTCCTTGAGTTCTGTGAGTGGTTATAGTGAATGACTACATCTGAGGAGAGGGCTGTAGGAATGCTCACATTTATAACTGGTTGGTTCAGAGGTATAGGTGAGTCCTGGAACTTGCATCTGGTACCTGAGTCTTGCAGTACTAGGTCCTTAACCCATGCAGTCTACGCTACCTCTGGATAATGTCAGAATTGGGTTGAATTGAACTGTTGGACACCCAGTTAGTATTAGAGAATTAGATAATTTATGTGGAAAAATACCACCCAATTGTTATCAGAGTGATATGACAATAAAGAAACCTCAACTGGCATGTTAAAAAATCCCCAGCGGAGGGGTAACATAAGGGTTTCAATATAGGGATGTCTAAAATTACATTTGAAATTATTTGTGTGTTGTGATATAAAACATTTTCCTACTAAGTCTTCAGTAAAACTTACTACATATACAAATTGTCTTGTTTGCATGGATTTTATAATTGTGGAAACTCTAGGAAAAGAGCTGAGTTTTACTTCTGGGTTGAGGGGTATGGGGTGGAGAAAATCCATATATAATCTCAAAATGATACATAAATAGGAAGATGGAGTTTGGAGTCAAGATCATAAAGAATATAGAAGCTCTGAAAAACTGCAGATATGCTGAGAAGCCTCTAACAGTCCTTTGAAAATAAAAGTGAGTGTTTTAACCAGTCTTAACTAGACTTTAAGGGAAAAGAGATATTTAAAGTTCTTTATGAAAATTATAGGATGAGAAACCAGATAGCAGTAAATGGAGGAATGAAGTGAAAATAAGATAATTGGGAAAGTAAATGTAGTTGATTGTTAAAGTTTGTGGATAATAAAGGAGGAGGGGATGGGAATGATGGCTATAGGAAGAGATAGGATATAAAGTGGATATTTGTTGTGAGTATTTCTAGTTTTGTTTTTGTTTTCTTTCAGCATAAAACAAATGTGAGAATATTTATTGACTACGGTGATAGCCAGTGGAAATGTAGTGCTTAAAGGTATATAAGAAAGAGGTAGAAATTGATAGACCAATGGACCAAGTTGAGACAAAAGTTTGGGTGAGTGGGACTTTAAATATGTATGAAAAAAGACTAGAAGAAGTAAAGTTCTTCTGAAATGACAGCAAAACAAGCATGGGTGGATATACAAGTAAATAGTGAGAAGAGAAAGAGTAATTTGAGGAAGTAACACAAGATGGCACCCAGAAAATAAAGGCAGTGACTACAACAAAAGAGAATAGATTAAGAAAACATATTTTGAGAGAATAAAGAAGAAATTGAAAGGAATGGTCAAGGGCACTGTAGCAGAAGCTGTCTGCTCATATCCCTCAGAGTGTTCATGTGATTCTACAATCATAGGGATCTTTATCTGTGCCTGAGCATACTTCCAAACCCTTCTTCCTCTCCCACCAGTTTCCAGGAGGGTAAAGTCATCTCCAACACAAAAACAAAAACAAATTTGCTCTTCAGAAATGGGTGTATAAATGCCTGAGTTCCCTTGTCTCTCATGCTAGAGAGCTGTGCCACACACTTAAGCTTCAGTCACCCTTTGTTGTAGCTGGCTTAATTGCTCCAACTATGGGGTTGCCTTTCTCCTGTATCCTCTCACCCCCACCACCCCCCACCCCCTAAAAAAAAAAAGGAAAGAAAAGAAAAAGAGAAAGCTACAATGGCAAATAAAGGAAAACATTCAGTGAATCCTTGTTTCAGAGTTGACTTCTGCGAATATCCAAACTAAGAAAAGAGCTTACCATGAGAAAGCAAAAATATTGCTGAGTAGCATAAGACAATTTAAATTGTGAAACTCTGCATTTGTAAGGCATTCATAAACTCAGGTTTCTTCAGAGTCACATAACAGCCAGCAATCATGGATGGCTCATTTGAAGTAAATGCTTTTGGTGATAGAAAAAATACAGCGTTTGGAGCTAAGTCTACAGTAATACTGAATGAAATTAAGGCTTGCATTTGGTAAAGTCTGTCCCTGATGGCAGTAATAATTCTTATCTATTTTCACAGATTTTTCAACTTTAATATTATTGGTTTCTATTTCAGTTTTTTGGATATGATTATGCTGTTCAGGAGAGCAATATGATCGATTATCTCTTTTCTTCTTTCTACTTAGCCAGAATGCACTGAGGTGGAACTCCACAACATTGACTACAAAGGAATAGGCATACCATCACTTGCAATGCTGCCTTCTTTTCTCCTTTAAAGACAGAGGGCTACCTGGAAATACAGTTTTGAGAAAGCCTAATGATGCTCAGACTTGGCTCTCAAGGAGTATAGAGAAAGTACAAAGATCTCCTCTCCCACTGTGACTTCTAAAATGATTGCTGTGCAATTCTTCACTAATGTTCCACAGAAGAAATTAATTACTGTTGTGTTTGTTTTTACGTGCTTAATTAAACACATAAAAGCAATTAATTAACACTCAGGAATCTACGTATTTAACTCAGCTGCACCCTTGCAAAAGGAACTGCAGAGCTTGATTACTACAGGAGTCAGGTGTAGTAAATGAGTGAGAAGAATGCAGAATAGGTATCTAAGCCAAACACGTACGAATGGCAAGGGCTGTTTGGAAGTGGAAAGAGCACGAATGTTCAATGGCATCATCCATGTCTGGCACCATTTTTATCTGGCTGATTTCTGTGATTATGAGGCATCTACCGTTGCCCTTATTTTCCAGAACATCTGAACTTTTGTGTGCAATTTTCTGATTTTCAAATGTTGTCTTAAAATGACATAATGACATGAGTCAAATAAATATGAGAGTTTGGCCTCCCTGTGGTCAGATTATGCAGTCTCTGGGTCTGATAAACACTTGATAATAAATGTTTTTTTATAAAATTGGTATTATACACAAAGCAAACAACAAACTAAAATTCAATTCCCAAATGTAACTGAAAAGTCAATGAGCCTCTTCAGGATAAGACTAAGTGGGCTCTGCAGACATGAGTTTCAGTCCCAATTCTATTACTAAGAAGATGTGTGGACTTAAGTCAATGAACTATCAGGATCTCATTTTTGTCATTAAGATTTTAAACAATTATCTCATGAATTTTTTCAAATTTAAGATTCTAAGGTAAAAGTGATAATATTGGAGCAAAGATTTGAAGTAATCAGCAAAGCACTAATTTCTTTGGAAACTATTCTATTTATTAGTGGCTCTGGCAATGCAGCAATCCCCTGAATACACACACACACACTCACACACGCGGAAGGAAAGAGAGAGGCAGAGAGAGAGAGACGTGCTATATTATAGATTAGAAATATTATATGTAGATATAGATAGATTCTAAGTATCATACAAAGCAATGCATTTAACTTTGTGGATATGTTATATATACATATTAATATATGTATAATTGGAATCAAGTGAATGGAAAGGTAACCTAAAATTCTTCAGAATTCATGAAGGGAGTCATTTTGGAGGATAAATATTTGCTATAAAGCATTCACAAAAGCAAGAATCCAGACATTTAAAATAAATCAATATTTATGTTCATTATTACATTATTATTGCTATGGTTAAAATGCCAGCTGCCAGAATAACCAATGCAAAAATTATAAAGAACATTACATGATTAGCAATTATTAACCTAACGTAGTTAATAACACATGTCTACTAGACTGCAGCTATATAACAGCCATACAACATATAGGAAGTTAAAATAATTAGATCAATGTGTTAGTGGTTAACCCAAACATTTCCGATTGTTGACATTTCCCAAGTTTGAAATTACTGCAAAAAAATTGAAATTTGAGAGTCATAAACTTATAATAATGTTTATGTTTTTGTTGGGGGGGCAACTTTTAAATCTCAAGAAAGAAAAGTTAACATAAACACTGTAGAGCACATGGTAGGTGCTCAAAGATGTCTGCTTACATTTCTGTTAACTAAGCCTCTATAAACAAAATTTGATGGCGTTATATGTTTTACTTACCTTTACAGCTTCTCCCATCTTCTGTTATTTCGAATCCATCCTCACAGTAACATCTTGTACTATTTCTGACCATTGTACATTTATACTGACAATTCAGCTGTTGGCAATTGGATAACAGTTCTGTAGAGAAAAAACAAATATATTCTCTATATTTAACTGTATATGTAAATAGTTTGTATTTCTCAGTGTACAATCCTTACACTATAGTCTTGATTGTTCTCCCAGAAAGTTTATATGATTGGTCTAGAAAAAAATATTTACCTAAAATATGTTAGTTTACATTTGCTTGAATTATTGTAAATAAAATTCGAGATCAATCTGTTTGGTCTCCCGCTTTTTAGCTTATTACTGTGTTCATAGTCACAAAACCTTTCAAATTTGGTAAATTAAATTATTTCAAGAGGAAAGATGTCAACTCAGCGGTTGATTTTGCCATCTATGTCTTTCCTATCTGACACATCAATTGATTTTCTAGCTTTTGAGAGCTTGTTTTGATTTACTAATCCATGTGTAACCTTCATAGCAATCAATGTGAATATATCTCATCTCAATATTTTATTTTTCTTTGGTAGAAAAATATTAGAGAAATACTGAATGTAATATATTTCATTATATCTGAACTATTTGAGAAAAGACATGATTAAAGCAAAAGTTAGCAAACCTTCAGAGCAAATTAGGATTGAATATGATAAAAGCATGAAATAGAGATGAAGTGACAGGAGCACATTTATTGCACAAACAATCGCTAACAGAAATAAGATTCGCTAAACTAGATAAATATTGGATAGAAGCATGACTGTCTGAAAATAGGGGTATAAATAGATTGCTATGATACTGTTGTTTTTACTCTTTTCCCCAGAAAGGCAAATAAGGGTTTTGAAGATCAAAGTTAAATGATTCAAAATACATTGATATTTGCCAAGAGTTTAGCTGGTGCTACAGAAATAAAATCAAATTATAATTAAAAAATAAAAGCCCAATATGTAAAAGAACACCTGAAACATTCCAAACTGAACATTGGGTATTGTATTATAAATGTAGTTATCTATAGTATATCCTTAGTTCAATTACTGTTCAGCATTCTCATACAATTATTTCACACATCTTCACTTCTTAAAACTGCAAACCTCTTTCCTAATATTCTGTCATATATGATGATCCTGCTTCTTACTTCTTTGAGAAAACTGAAGCAATCAGAAGAGATTTTCCAGATTTATACTCCATTTCTATCCACATCTGCGTATACTGCTTCTCCTTGGATTTCACAGTTAGTTGAATTCGTAATCAAAGCTCCAACCCAACATCATATGTAAAAATCCCATCCCCTCTCACCTAGTCAAGGATATCACTTCAGCAGTGCTACACTTTATGTTCATAGAATCAGTTCAAAATTGGCTTGAGTCTATAAGCTATTGTAATGTGATATTTATTGAGCACATAGTCAATGCTAATCACGCTGCTACAGTTCCACAGATGCAAAATTCATTAAAAAAATTACAATATGAGTGTGGAAGTGAGTGGTATTAAGTGGACAGAACAACAATATAAAACAATGTTTATAAATCATAGTAGCAAAACACATATGCTAAATAAAAGTACAAGTGGTAGGATGTAGAAAGATTCATCTAGAAGCTGAATATGCAGGAAGATATCTGAGAAACAGTTGTAGAAGAAGTTGAATTTGAGTTGGGACTTAAAAGTATGAGAGTTTGGATAGACAAAATTAATGAGAATGTAGCCTAGGTAAAGAGGACAATATGAGAAAGTAAATAGAAAGACCTGAAAGCATGCAAGAAACACAGGCAACAATAACGAACGCTGCATTGCTAACCTATAATGCTTGATGTAGTTAAAAAAAAAAATGAGAGCGAGACTGGAATTGCTGTTTGGAGCCAGGTCAAGGTGAATTAATTCACGGATTAAGTAGAATTTTCTGTTTAGGCAACAGGAGACATAGCTGGTTATTGAGGACAGTAGTGATACATTCTGACTTGTATTGTTCAAAAGTACCTAACAGTAGAGAGAAAGATAGTAAAGGAAGAAAAGCTATCTAAGTGACTAGGAATGGCAAAATGCTAAATGAAGACTATGAATCTTTGCCTAGAAAGATGGCCAAACACTTGGTGAAAGCATAATGACACTAAATGAGTAGTACTAATAAAATGAATTAAGTACAACAGAAGTACTACGAGTTTGGGAAGAAAATATTGTTTGTCTTTGATTATGTTTAGCTTAAAATATTGACAACATAATAGCCAGGGAGAAAGTGAGAATTTGGGTCTATCTTTGAAGAGAAGTCTGTAGTGGAGATATCAATTTGGAAGTCACAAGCATAAAGTCGGTCATTGAAACCTAAAAAGTAAAGAAGCATTCCCTTAAGAAGAATACTTGGGTTACAAATAAAAACACCCGTAGAACCTCTTCATGTGAAAATCAAAGAGAAGAGGTATCAGCGATAAGAACTACCACCAAGAAAAACTGCAAAATAATAAAGTACATAAGTGAAGAACCTAGAAAGTCTCACAAAACCTAAGGAAGAAGAGTAGTCTATAGAGGCAAGCAGGGAAATCAATGTTAAATTCATTGAGAAATAAACATGGATGAAGCCTGTAAAGTGCACTAGGCTTCCTAATAGGATCGATTGAGGGTGTTAAAAAGCATTAGAGTGGAGCAGTGAAGACAAAGGTGAATGTAATTAGGGGTTGGAACAGAAAGAGGAAGCAGGAAAGGTTTCTCACAGAAAATAGATTCAGTTATACTATGAAAAGAATGAGGGTAGAGATTTGATCTAATTCATGTAGTCTCTACCTTAATGCAGGTGTATTCACTCAGTGAGTCAAATTTATTATTTTTCCATGTAATCCCTGGAGCCCAGCTGCACCTTTTCACTGTGTCAATCCAAAGTAGAAAATCCAAATACTATGGATCCCATCTTTCTACTCTCTCTACTTGACGTTTCTGGAAGATGGAGAGTGAACACTGAAAAGAGGGGGTTAGTGATATGGAAAGTTGAGGAGAAATACAAAATGCGGGAAAAATTAATCTGAAAGACCAGACCTCAAACATGGTTCTGAGTGTTAGGAGGAGATCTGTTAGTTGAAAATAGCAAAATATAGAAGGTCAAGTTAGCTTTTAGTTTATTAGACTTATCCTGCGTGAGGATTTGTATATGTGCAGAGTGATGACACGAGATGATTAAACAGTTTAGGATATTAGGTGAAATGGTAAATATTGATTCTGCTAACAGATCGTGAAGAACCATGAAGAACTAACAATATGAATACTAAAATTTAAAATTTGGCAGACTGTGAAAGCAATACTAATTATTAGAGTTATCTATTTGAACTGCTTAGCATTTATGCTTAGTTGCATGCAATGCTATAATGACTATAAATATAGTTAAAAGCATATCAGATTAATTTTGTTAGAAAACTTATTTGAGTACAACAAAAAATTTTGTACTTGAATCATTAGTCTTCACCCAGTGACTTTCGTCAAGCATAGCCATTGGCTTATGTAACATTATCATTGGTTTGGAACTTAGACTGAAGTAGGAAGACCACTTGTATCTCAGGGAAGCAAATATGCAAGTGAGAACACAGACATGTAAACACGGTGTCTGATCCATATTCCTCACCATTATAAAATAAAACTATCCTTTTGATTAGAAGAGAGAAGCTGTCGCTGGAAGTGGTGGCTCACACTTATAATCCTAGCACTTTGGGAGGCCAAGGCAGGTGGATCACAAGGTCAAGAGATGGAGACCATTCTGCCCAACATGGTGAATCCCCATCTCTACTAAAAACACAAAAAAGTTAGCTGGGCGTGGTGGTGTGTGCCTGTAGTCCCAGCTACTCGGGAGGTTGAGGCAGGAGAATCGCTTGAACCCAGGAGGCAGAGGATAGTGCCACTGCACTCCAACCTGGCAACAGTTGAGACTCCGCCTCAAAAATAAATAAATAAATAAAAAGAGAGAAGATATCATTTCACAAATCAAATCTAATCCAATTCGTGAAGATTCCCCTGACACAGATCCACTTTGTTCTGTTTTTAAGGTATCTTTTTATGACCTTGATATGATTTGGCTCTGTGTTCCCACCCAAATCTCATGTTGAATTGTAATCCCCAATGTTGGGGTAGAAACCTGGAGGGAGGTGATTGGACTTGGGGGCAGGTTTTTCTCTTGCTGTTCTCATGATAATAAGTGAGTTCTCATGAGATCTGATTGTTTGAAAGTGTGTAGAACTTGCCCCTTCACTCTCTCTTCCTCCTGCTCTGGCCATGTAAGACGTGCCTCCTTTCTTTTTGGCTTCCACCACGATTGTAAGTTTCCTGAGGCCCCCTCAGCCATTCTTCCTGTACAGCCTGCAGAACTGTGAGCCAATTCAACCTTTTTCTTTATAAATTACCCAGTCTCAGGTAGTTCTTTATTGCAATGTGAGAATGGACTAATACAGCCCTTAGCACAGTTGTAAAGGAGGAAAAGTTGCAAAAGAGAGTATTATTAAACTATGAATACACCTTCTCTATCAAATTCAAGGTAACAGTTTACAAGTAATGGGTAGCTTTGAGACATCAAGACTTCTAGGCCATTTGATTTAGAAATAGTCAAAAAATAGATATCTTTGTATTATTAATAAATAGTAAGAGGGAGTCTAAAAGGATAAAAATTAATTCAGAGTAAAACTGAAATTTCTTTCACCACTTATCTTGTTTTCTGAATGGTGGTAGAGTATTGTGTTGAGGCCTTTGTCTCTGCAACAAGAGTGCTTTACCTCCAACTGTTTCAGTAATTTCAGGCTATATGAGTGTGGCAGAGAATATTTAAGTGTGCATCAATCTTGTTTCCTCTTTCTAGGGAAATAAAAAGATGACATTCCCCAGTTGTCTTCCAGTTAGATTGGAACCGTATTTTTGTCTTCTAGCCAATATAACGTAGAGAGTAATTGGTGTGTGCCACTCCTTGACCTGATGCTTACAGCATCCTGACAATCTTCTCCTCTCTGTACACTTGTCAGCCATCTGGGTGCAGGGAATCCAGCAGACTTCTCACCCTTTGGGATGGCACAAGCCCACAATGGAAAGAGCCTGAAACAGCACCTGGGAAGTCAACCACTGATAACCCAACTGGACTGTGATATCAGCGAAAAATTGGATTATTGTTGTATTGAGTCCTTGAGATATCAAGGTTATTTGTTACATATGAGTGATGATGGGTACATGACTAAAGCTCTCATTACATGCTTTGCCTCATCTCTAAAATGGGGATAATAATAGAAACTACCTCATAAGCTTGTTGGGAGTCTTAAATGAGGTAAGTGATACAAAGTTCTTAAAATATTGCTGACACATAGTAACTATTTTTATTATCATAATCATTTTTTATCAGTTTATCATTTAAGCTGAATCATCCATTTAGTATAACAGAATTTCTATTGTTATCCTGCCATATCGTATATACACTATAAGCAATTTGGTGCTGTTTATTTTTACATTAGAAGCGTTTTCTCTTTTATGCTTTTATTTTTGGGTGTGACATGACTCGGTTGTAGTTTTGTCATCTCTTGATGTCTCCTGGAGAAGTTTTTCATTTGTTTGTTTGGTAAGTTCTCTCAAATTTTTCACCTGAAAGCAAAATCTCCAACAGATAGTGAAACACTAATCATAAGAAATAAGGATTTTCTACATTGATCTCTTTGTATCTATAAAATACAAATATCACCCTCGGAAGCAATGTACATCCACATTGAATTTGCTACATAACCATGGGCCAATTTACAATTTAGACAAATAATTTTTATGAAATATACTAATTTGCATAGCTTTTAGGGGCTGTTTTGCTTTGTAACATCATTGGGATTTAGGACACCTTTTCACAAATGTATGCGAGTATATGATTTAGGAAACACATGTAAATAAATCATGCTGACCTTCCTTAGAGTGAAAACAGGACAATAGAGAAAGGTGATTAGAAGTTGGCAGTTTCCAAACATTACGAGTTATTACCAATAGAGGTCTTTTTTCCTCATTAGTTTTGTTTACATAAATAGCTCTAAGCCAAACAACCACTGTTTGCTATCTTTTGTGTATAGCTATCGGATCAACCATTGTATAGTCAATAGCATTATGCTGCTGCCTTTGTGACCTATAGTCAAATAACTCACATTGATCATGTATTGGATTTAGCAAGACAGTGAGAACATGGCTGAGCTATTTTATTTGTATGCTTCCAGGTTATGTTTTGGAGAGTAAATTAGAACTTTTAGAAATTCTTTGGAAATACAGAATGGTATAAGCACCTTTCCATATACATAAATTATCTGCGATATCATTTTACAAAATGGGATGATATTTCATTCTCAATTTTAGTAATAAAATTGCTTCTTAAATTAGGTGTGTGCAAAAATGCCTTTTATCCAACAACTAGAACCATAGTAATGAGGAAAAAATTATTCTTTCCCTATGTGGCACATTAAAAAAACAAGTACCTCACTGTTTTTTATGCTTGAAGATTGAAAAGCTGACACAGCTACTTACCATGCCAGACAGCTCCTCTTGTCAGCAGGACATATGCTTGACATATTTAGAATGGTGATAATTTGTGTCACATCATTCATCCTCTTACCCCTGTTTCTTTGGCCTAGTAAAATGCAGTGTGAGCTGGTTTGCAGAGATCAGGCCGTTGCTTATGACTGCTTACATGAATTTCTTCAGAATTTCCTTGTCTTAGTGCTAGACTACTTACTGGCCTCAAAGTTTCAGTGTGTTCTCTTACAAGAAGATAGAGCAGCGAGGCAATGCTTTTTTATTGCATTTTTTTCTATTTTTGGTATTTTAATGAAGTCCATATTTTAAATTCAGCAAAATTCATTCTTTCTCACGTACAATGCTGCAAGTTTTGATAAATGTGTATTGTTGTCTAACCAATACCATTCATAAGATACAGAACAGGATCATTACCCCAAAATACCCCCTTTGCACCTCTACAGTCAACCCATTGCCCTGCTGACAATTTTGGTGATCACTGATTGGTTTTTATCTCAATGGTTTTGTCTTTTCCAGTATGTCATATAAATGAAATCATCTAGTATTTAGTATTTTGAGTCTGACATCTTTTACTTAGCATAATGTATTTGAGATTCATCTATATTATTGTTAGTATTAGGTAGTTCATCTATATTATTGTTAGTATTAGGTAGTTCTCCCTTTTTGGTTACTGAGTAATAATCCATGGTATAAACATACCTCACTTTGTTCATTCATTTCACAAGTAACACACATTTGAGTTGTTTCCAGTTTGGAGTTACTATGCATTAAGTCTCTATAAATATTTACATACAGATTTTGTGTAAATATAGGTTATTATTTTATTTGGGTAAATATGGGATTTCTGGGTTATGTGGTAAGTGGATGTTTTACTTTATAATAAATTACCAAACTATTTTTCAAAATGGCTGCATTCTTTTATAATCCTACCACCAATATATCAATCTTCCAGCTACTCTACCTTCTTCCCAGCAGTTGGTATTTTCAGCTTTTAATTTAATTTTATTTTTTAGTCATTTGAGTATATATGTAGTGGTAGCTATTGTACAATTATTTTGATTTGCATTTTCTAATTATTATTGATTTTTTCATTGTGCTTATTAGCTAGTCATATATGTTATCTGCAGAGAAATTCTGTTCAATCTTCTGCCGACTGTTATTAGGTTGTTTTCTTATTATTGAGCTCTGAAAGAGAGAGAGCGAGACGGAGTGTGTGTGTGTGTGTGCGTGCATGTGTGAGCGTGTATATGTATTCTGGATACAAGTTTGTTACGAGATATATGATTTGTATATCGTTTCTCCTAGCCTATAGTTTCTCTTTGCATTCTCTTATTACTGCTTTTCAAATAACACAATTTCAAAGAAAAAAATCTTACATTTCATAAAATCAAATCTCAATATATTCTGTCATAAATCCTGCTTCGGGAGTTCTAAGAAATCCATTACTGACTCAATTTAGCCTATACTTCTTCTAGAAATTTTAAGTTTTAGATTTGTAGTTTATTTTTGTTTAATTTCCATAAATGGTAAAATCTATGACTGAAGGTTCATCATTTTGTACACAAATGTTAAATTGTTCCAGTACCATTTAGTGAGATTACTAACATTTCTCTGTTGAATTATCTTTGTACCTTTGTCAAAAATGAATTGACCAAGTATCCATGGGTATATTTTTGTACCCTTATGTTTCGTTAATCTGTATGTCTGTCCTTTCTATAAATTATGCTATTTTGATGACAGCAAATCTTGAAATCTGGTAGCATAAATTTTTATGCCTTGTTCTTTTATATTTTTAGATTCCTTTAGATTCTAGGTCCTTTATATTTCCATGTAAATTTTAGAAATAGCTTTTCAGTTCCTAAAGAATCCTACTAGGATATTAATTGGAATTATGTTAAATTTATAGATTGGGGGATATTGACATCTTAACACTACTGAGCCTTCTAATTAAAAAATATGGTAGGTATATATGCATTTATTTTTAATTTTTTAAATTTTTCATGAGTTCCCTGCATATAGCTCTTCTACATATGTTGTTCAATTTATATCTGTCTCATAGTTTTGATTCTATTTTACATGGTATTATTCACTGTAATTTTCTATTGTCCATTGCTAGCAATCAATCAAATATGATGAATTTATATATATTGAACTTGTATCATGTGACCTTGCTAAACAGAACAAAGAAAACTAAAAAGAAACACATTACAAATATCAAATTAGAAATCTAATGAATTATAAACATCAGCAAGGCAGCAGAAGATATCACTACAGACCCTATAGATTTAAAGGATAATAAAAGAAAACTATGAACAACTCTAGGCCCATATTGACAACTTAGAGGAAATAGAGAAGTTTCTTCAAAGTTACAAACTGCCAAAGCTCATTCAAGAAGAAACATATAATCTGAATATCCCTATATATATAGAAGAATTGAATTTGTGATTTAAAAACTTTCCCACACAAAAATGCTAGGCCTAGGTAGCTTCCCTGAAGATTCTACCAAATGTTTAAGGAAGAAATAAAACTAATTCTGCATAAGCCCTTCTAGAAAACAGAAAGAAAGAAAACATTTTCCAACTAATTTATGAGGCTGGAATTACCCCAATCCACAAATCATATAAATGCATTAAAGAAAAAATATAGAACAACATTCCTTATGAATATAGATGTGAAATTCTTCAAAATTACTAACCACTAAAATCCAGCAATATATAAAAGGATAATATGTCATGGTGATGCCAGGCTGGTTTTGCATTTGAGAATCAATTAATCCAGATCACCCTATCAATCAGTACAGTAAGGGAAAAAAACCCTATCATTTCAATAGATGCCCAAAAAGCGTTTAATAAAAAACAATACCCATTCATTATTTAAAATACAACCCTTGGCAATGTAGTAATAGAGGGGAATTTCTTCAACCTAATGAATGATTTTGCCCTTGAAACACGAACATGTCACAACAGAAGTAGGATAACTTCTCTTACCATTTATATTCAGTAATATATTGAAGTTTGTAACCAGTGCATTAAGGGGCTTTAACAAAGTTTAGGAACACAAATTAGAAAGAATGAAATAAGTAAAACGGTTTCTGTTTGTAAGCAACAGAAACAACAAATGTCTACATACAAAATTGTTTTTAAAACCATCAAAAACCCACCAGAACTAGTAAGCAATTATATTGAAAGTTTATTTAATAAACGTGACTGACAACATTGTCACTTGATAATTTTCATTTTGCATGTTAATATTTCATAAGATTTTACAACTATTTCAAAAAGAAAAAGCAAAATTTTCTATAATTTAGCTGTAATAAGGTGGAAGCTGTGGACCAACCATGTGGTCTGAGAAAATATTCCATGGACTGAGTTGGCGGTATTTAGTTATTCATTATTTTATTTTATTGAGACAGAGTCTTACTCTTGTCATCCAGGCTGGAGTGCAATGGAACCATCTCCCCTCACTGCAACCTTGTCTCCCGGCTTCAAGCAATTCTCCTGCCTCAGCCTCCTGAGTTTCTGGGACCACAAGTGCCCGCCATCACACCCGGATAAATTTTGTATTTTTAGTAGAGATGGGGTTTCACCATGTTGGCCAGGCTGGTGTCGAACTGCTGACCTCAAGTGATCCACCTGCCTTGGCCTCCCGAAGAGCTGGTATTACAGGCATGAGCCACTGCACCCTGCCAAGTGGAGCCTGGAATTTATAAAAGATTGTATATGTTTTTTGGGTTTTGTTTTGTTTTTTAAAGTAATGAGGCCATTTGCTTTTTTCCTAGACTAACTACGTGGCTGTGCCTGGTCAAGCCTTGGGAGGCTGAGGCTATAGAGTTTCATCCATCAACCTTGGAAGAGCTGTCTTGGAGGCAGGCAGGGCCGGAGCCCCAGATATCACTGGACCTGAACCTAGAGCAAGCCTAGGACAGGGCACTGGATAACTTCCCTGTGCTGAGCCGCTGCTCCTGCTAATGCACCTCCATCGGGCACCGAGCCCTTCCCGGAGATGAGAGGGGCCACAAACTCTCTCGAGACTCCCATGTCCAGGAGTCAATGGCTGAAACCACAAACAGGCTCCAGTCACCTCAAGAAGACGCAGATGCTACCAATGGAGGGGTCCAAAGCAGCCTGAGCCAGCGTTAGAGATACCAGCGGCTGCAGAGGTGGAAGGACACACACCCAGGGTGCCCTCTATGTTGCAGGGCACCCTCTACAGTTCAGGCCGCCCAGGAAGATGCTGAAATCCCAGGATTCCATCAGGAAGCAACCAGAAAGGAGAGTAACCCCAGCCTGTCTCCTGGACTGCAGCGCGACCCCCTTCAACTGCTGCCCTGGAAGGAGCCCAAGGCACCCCAGTGGAGGCCCTCATGCTGTCCCTGAGGATTCTGCGCTAGAACTGTACCCTGCATGCATAAGAGCCTTGAGGTCTATGCTGTGGAGATCATTCCTTAATTTGTTCTTTCTACTGAACGTCCTGAACATTTTTCATTTAGAAAAACTCTTCATGTAATGAATAATATGCAATGTGCTAAGGAACTCTTCCTTTAGATCTACTCAAAATTGCTATGTTTCTTCCACTGAAACTGTACACATTCAATAAAGCCTTTCCCTTATTCTCAAAACAAAAAAGTAATGAGATAGATGTGTGTGTGTGTGTACTCGATACATGTATATCTCCCCATCCTTTTTAATAGCTGCATATTGTTCCATTTTATGAATGATGAGTAATTTAATTAACCAATTCTTTGCTGAAACACATTCAGTTTGTATGGTAAATACAGCTATCTGTTAAAAAATATTTGTGCTCTCCCTTGCATACTGCAGAATTGTTTCTGAGAAGTGACTATCCAGCCAGAGACTCTACGTCCTACCTCTCCTTTAGTCGGGTTAGAGCCATAGAACAGGTTCTCACCAATAGAACATGAGTGGAAGTGATATGCATAACTTCTGTGTCAGGGAGAGTAGGAATATGCATGTCTGGCCAGGCGCGGTGGCTCACGCCTGTAATCCCAGCACTTTGGGAGGCCGAGGCAGGCAGATCACAAGGTCAGGAGATCGAGACCATCCTGGCTAACACAGTGAAACCTGGTCCCTACCAAAAATACAAACAATTTGCCGGGGGTGATGGCAGGCGCCTGTAAAACCAGCTATTCAAGAGGCTGAGACAGAAGAATGGCGTGAACCCGGGAGGCAGAGCTTGCAGTGAGCAGAGATTGCGCCACTGTACTCCAGCCTGAGTGATGGAGCGAGACTCTGTTTCAAAAAAAAAAAAAAAAAAAAGAATATGCATATATGCATATTTTCTCCATGCTCATGTTCCCTTCTTCTTGTCTGGAAATTTCAATTTACTTTTATGATTTTCATGCTGTTTTCTCATATATTTCTCTGTAATACAATTCTGATGTATGCCACTAGGTATGCTTTGAAATGTATAAATTAAACAAAAAACCAAAGTAACAATTTTTTTTAAAAAATCTGAGAGTGTACCACATCAATGCTAAGAGAATTTCTCATTTTGTGTTATGCCTGCAAGTTAAGAAATCACTCAGAGAAAGAGCCCCAACCACCTCAACTCATTGGTGAATACTGGATTTAAACAACTGCTTATTTTGAATCTCCATATATAATCATTTTTAGCAACTTAGCAACTTTAGATTCTGATTTATTTAGAAACATTTTATTGTAGATTTTATTACACAGATAATTAAAATATAGCTACAAGGCCATAATCAAATCTGAAGAGAGATTAATTTATTTTACAAATTATAAATAAAATGACTGGTTTATTCATTGACACAATTTGCTAAAAAATAAATGTATAATCTTTAGGTATAAGTTATTACTGGGAATATTGTATGAGGAAAAATGTTTACTTTAGCATAATCTATAAAAAGATATGAGAAGATAACGTAAAGCAAAATATGTTTGTGTGAGGTTCTCTTTTCAGACTAATTATATGAGGACAATGACATTTCATAGACATGGTGTGAGATTTAAACACAGTAATTCAGTAGAAGTACTTAGCTTGGCACATTATAAACACCTTCTGTGGGTTGGCAATTGTATTATTATCATTATAGTCACAACCAAAGGAATTCAGTGATTTTAATTTCCATGTTTTCTTTGAATCAGAGAATAAACTAAGACACAATGGTAGCTCAAAGTGTGCTCCAGACCCTAAAGTAAAAGATATAGTTCTACTTGTGCTATCTCTTACCACAGATATAACTATGGGTGAGTTTCTTAAACTATCTGAGCTTCAGATTCTGATCTAGCAAATATCTTGATATGTTTATATGAATATTAAAAAATATAAGGAGTGAAAATATACTCTATAATTTCTAGAGCATCTCATAAATGCTGAGATATGAGCCAGTACAGAGAAAGATAGGAGAGAAAAAGGTGAGAGTACAAGGTGCATTGGACTGGCAAAGCCAGGGTGTTTGGGATATTACATACCTTGTAGTAGAGTTTTGCATTTGATTTTGCAGTAAGGGTGACATACTAGAGTTATTAATAATAAAATAACCAATATCAGATCTTTGCCTGATTCAATGTATTTAGTTGCTACCAGAGAGAAACTATGCGTGAGGAAAAAATGCAACCAAATTTACCAGAGGGACCTGAGAAAAATACAATTGCCAGTAGAAACTGTGTATACCCAATAAGGGAATTTCTCTGTGCCTTGAGGTAGGAGTGTAAGAAAATGCATATATAATTGAAGAAGGATTATACACATATAACTTCTATGTTACCTAGCTTTTGTGAGAGGAATATAATAGGATGGAGGTAGTAGTAGCAGTTGGGTTAGCGGAGGTTTGGCAACATGAATAATGTAACCTCCTTTGTAAAAGGGGATCCATATTGCTAGCAAAATTTTGATTTTTTCATATTTAGTAAATTAGAAGTACTTGTGACTAAATCTACTTTAAAAGTGAAAAGTCATTTTTCCCCTCATGGGACACATAAATCCCCATATTAGACTCAGACATAGGAGGCAATAACAGCTTTGAGAAGGTATCTCTATGTTCAACATCATGAGATGAACAAAGACAAATGCAAAGCTCCAACACCACGCCTGGCATACATCAGGTCAAAAAATGCCAACTGTGTGTTAAATGTAACAACTGAACATATTCTTCACTTATGCACTTTGCCTAAATCCCAATAAAATTTTAATAAAAATACAAGGTAGAAATCCATAAGGATAAAGAGACTAGGCAGGAAGCTAGAGTAGACAAATGATATCAACAAAAATTTAGAAGCAAAAAAGCAGTACATTAGTGTTAGCTAACTTAGCTACTTAGCTCTTTACATTTCTAATGCAGTAAAATCTAAGCCAGAGGTTGAAGATAATGAGAGAGATGATGGTCAGGGCAGCTATATTCCAACCACAAAGACTGTGCACTAACAACTCCAGGGGACAGTATTAAAATAAATTTTGATATGAATGTCACTCAATGAAATCGTGCAACATGGAGGCTCTTGGAGAAAGGCCAAGAAGGAAATCAATACAAAACCAAAATAATGGAAAGCCTCAGGAATTACAGGTACTTAACACCCCTGAGAATAGTGGAAATGGGAGTGGAATGCGGTGGGAACATAAACTGGAGTATTGGTTGAAATGGGAAGTTACACCTCCTAGATTTTCTCTTTTAACATTTGCAGCAGAATACTGAAGAATTACTCTCTGAAGAGACTGAACTAGATAATTCTAACCAAAAAACAACAGACACAGCCAAAACCCAGGAATATCAAATTACAAATTGGAGAAATACACTCATAGGGTAGAAGCTCTATCCCAGGAACAGATCAAGAATGTACTGGGGTCCAGTTACTCTCATCCAGATCCTTCATAGGGCAGTGATTCCAAGCCAAAAGAGGCAAGCCAAGAAGACCAAAGTCAACCACTCATACTCAGCATGACACTTGTAAAGCAGAGGTATAACTCTAAGAAGAGTGAAGCACTGTCCCAGTCCCCAGCTCCAGAGCCATGATGCAGATGTTTTGCTGAGGGAAATGCAGGGCTTAACAAACAGAGCTAGGTAGCTCACCTTAAGAATATTAACTTTATTGGTAACAGAGCATGGGAAAGCTCAAGCCTAAAGGAACTGTCAAAAACAATGAATATTTTGGTGGTGATCAGTTAGCACAAAGATGGTAGCTTCACAGAAATAGCAAGGTAAAATTCAGGACAGATAAAACCAGACAGAAAAAAATAGCTAAGAGGAACCACTGTGGGTTTAGAACAAAGCTCTAAATCTCCTGAAAAGTAGCAAAGATTTTATTGCATAAGACTATTTTAGAGCAATTTATGCAAAAAAGCATTTTTTTAAACTAATAGAACAATCAGCTGACCGTGCAAGCTATCTGCTAAGTGTAATACCAATAAAGACACACAGCTTAATAATAGAAAGATCAGATAAACAGATAGTCAAAGAGAATCATGTTAAGCCCACTGTCAACACAGGGTAATTGTGAACATGCTCAAGGTTATACCCTCTAAGGGGTACATCAGGGACTGCATACTATGGGGAAATAGATGTCACTGAAAAAGCCAAGCCCAGATAATAAACAATTAAATATGCAAACAAAAATAAACCCCACTGTGGAAGGAAAGGTTTTCAGAGTTGCTAAAATACATTACATAAAATTCTTTTTTCAACTAAATATTATGAGACTTACAAAGAAATAGCAATGTGCGACCCATATACAAGAAAAAAAGTTAGTAAAAGACTCTGCCTTTCAGAAGCCCCAGATGTTGAAATTAGCAGACAAAGACTTCAAATCAGCTATTATAAATACATTTAAAAAACTTTTGAAAACATGCTTAAATAAGTAAAGGAATGATATGACAACAGCACATAGACAACAAAAGAAAAAAATACATTTAAACTCAAAAATTCCAAACATGTGTAAGTGGGACATGATCAGAATGAAAAAGCAACCCATAGAATGACAGACAATATTTGCAAATCATACACAATAAGGAATTAATATTTATAACATAAAAAGAACTCCTGCAAGTCAACAACAAAAGAGCACCTAGTTTAAAAATGGGCGAAGACTTCACATTTCTCCAAAGATACGCAAATTGCCAATAATCATATGTAAAAATAGTATCACCAATCATTAAGGAAATAAAAATAAAAACCACAATGAAATATCACTTCACACTCATTAAGACAGCTATTATTAAACAAAACTAAACACACAAACAAACACAAATGGAAAATAACCAGTTTTGGTGATGATGTGGAAAAATTAGAATCCTTTTGCATTGGTGGTAGAGAGGTAAAATGGTGCAGCCACTATGGAAAACAAATTAAAGATAAAATTATGATATGATACACTATTCCACTTCTGGGCATTACTCAAAAGAATTCAAACTATGGTCTCAAAGAGATATTTGTACAACCATGCCCATAGCAGTGTTATTCACAATAAAAAAGTGGAACAAATTCACCACCCAAATGTCTACTGACAGATGAATGAATTAACATAATATAGCATTTGCATAAAGTGGGACATTATGCAGGCTTAACAAAAAAGAAAATTCTGACATATGCTGCATCATGGATACACCTAAAAGTCATTACCATTAATGAAATAAGCTGTCCACAGAAGAACACATATTGTATGATTCTATTTATATGAGTTACTTAGGGTAGTAAAATTCATAGAGACAAAGTAGAATGGTGGGTGCCAGAGGGTAGGGGAAACAAGAAACAAGAATCCATTACTTAATGGATTACTTAATGGAGAGTTTCAGTATGAGAAGATAAAAAATTTCTGAAGATAGATGGTTGCACAACAGTATAAATGTACTTAATACCACTGAACTATATAATTTAAATTGGCTATAATGGCAAGTTTTATATTATATGTGTGTTACCACAATAAAAGTAGTAAAAAGAAAATTAAAAAGAAGTAAATGAAGCTATAAAGGGAATGAATGCCCCATCAACAGAAGTATGCAAATGAGAAGATAGAAATTACTAAAATGAACTAAATAGGAATTCTTGGTTTGAAAAGAAAAATAACCAAAATGAAAATTTTATTTGAGGGGTTTCATAGTACATTTTAACTAACAGAAGGAAGAAATGATAAACTTGAAGTCATATTATATAATCGGAATAATGCAGGGAACAAAAGCTATGGAAAAATAAACAGAGCTTGAGATAAATGTGGGACATCAGTAAGTATGCCAACATACACATAATGAGAGTAGCAAAATAATAAGAAGAAAAGAAGGGAACAGAACAACAACATTAAAAAAAAAACACAAAAACTTTCTATATTTGATTTTAAAAAAATCAACACAACCAAGAATCAACAATGTCCAAGTAGGATAAACACAAAGGCATTCACAATATAGTAAAAATGTTGAAGGACAGAGACAAAGAAAAAAATTTGAAAGCAGAAAGAGAAAAAAATATTTATACAAAGAAGTCCCAATATGAATAACAGCAGACTCGTTATTGGAACCTATGGAGGTCAAAAGGCAGTTGGATAATATATTCAAAGTGCTGAAAGAGAAAAAAATGCCAACCAAGAATCTTATTTCCAGCGAAGCTCTCTTTACAAAATTAGAATTCAAAATAAACTGAAAGAACATATTGTTAGTAAACCTAGCTTATAAGAAATACTAAAGGAAATTCTTTAGACACAGAACAATTGACTGCAGATAGTAAGTAGAAACCATATGAAAAAAAAAAAAACCCAGGATTGATAATGATATAGCTAAGTATAAAAGATGTTACAAGTACATAATGTCTCATTTCATAGTTGATTTATAAAGCAATTATGTAAAAATTATGTACATAATTGTATCAGGCTTATAACATATAGAAATGTAATAGATTTGCCAATAATAGCACAAAGGAGAAAAACAAAAGCAATGCTCTCTTGGAGTAAGAACATGACATCAGATTGTAATCCACAGAAACAATGAAGAGAATCAGAACTGCTAAAAAGAAGGTTAATACAAAAATCTTTCCTAACCTGTCTTCTCTCAGCCTCTATAAAAGACATAAAATTATACAAAGTAACAATTATAGCTATGTATTATTGGGTTTATAACACAATGACTTAATATGTATAACAATAATAGCAATCATACAAGAAGAGAGAATAGAGTTATTTATATATGAGTAACATTTCTATATCTAAAAGTAGTATAAATCTGAAGTCAATTATGATAAACTGAGATATATCTTGTATTACTTAGGACAACTATTAAGAAAACAACTCAAACCTAATGAAATAAACTATTAAAATAATTGAAATATTACACTACAAAATATTCACTTAAGGAAGAGAAACATTAAAAAAGAAATAGAAATCCAAAAATGACATGTGATAAGGAAAACAAAAGGTAAAATACCAAACATAAATTGGACTCTATCAATAATGACATTAAATGTAAATGGATTAAACACGAAATCCAAAGTCAGAACTATCAACAGCATAAAAACTTCAGATCAGACTATATGCCATCTACAAGAGACATACTTGAGATCCAAAGATACAAATAGGTGGAAAGAAAATGGATGGGAAAAAAATGTAGCATGCAAATAGCAACCATAAGAAAGTTGGAGTGGCTATATAATTATTTGACAAAACAGACTTTAAAAATAAAAATATAGAAACAAATAAAGACATTTTACAACAATGAAAGGGTGAATCCATCAGAAAAAAATACAACAATTATAAACATAAAAGCACCAAAAAAATAGACTCACAAAATATATGAAGCAAAAGCTGACAGAATTGCAGGGAAATATAGAGAATTCAAGAAAAATAGTTGAAGACCTCAATGTTCCACTTTTAATAATGGCAAGAACAATTAAGCAGTAGATCAACAAAGAATAGAATACTTGAGCAACATTATAAACAACTAGACCTAGTTGACATCTACAACATCTTGTCCAACAATAGCAGAATACCTATTGCAACACTTATGCCAGGCGGGGTGGCTCACGCCTGTAATCCCAGCACTTTTGGAGTCCAAGATGGGTGGATCACCTGAGGTCAGAAGTTCGAGACCAGCCTGGCCAATTTGGTGAAACCCCATCTCTATGAAAAATACAAAAGTTAACTGGGCATAGTGGCTCATGCCTGTACTCCCAGCTACTTGGGAGGCTGAGGCAAAATAATCACTTGTACCCAGGAGGTAGGGGTTGCAGTGAACCGAGATCATACCACTGCACTCCAGCCTGGGCCACACAGTGAGACTCCATCTCAAAAAAAAAAAGGAAGAAAAACGTACTACAAATCTATAATCATCAAGACAGGGTGGTACTGGCATAAAGATGCACACATAGATAAATGTAACAGAATTGAGAATCCAGAAATAAACTCTCACATCTATGGTCAATTACTTTTTGCAGGGTGCCAAGAAAGTTCAATGGGGAGGAATTAATTTTTCCAACAAATTGTACTAGGTCAACTGGAAATCCACATGCAAAAAAAATAAAGTTGGAAACTTCCTATGCCACATACAAAAATTAACTCAGAATGGACTGCTGGCCTCAGTAAAAGAGTTACAACGAGAAAACTCTTAGAAGAAAAAATGTGAGTAAATCCTTGTTTCCTTGGGTTAGAAAAAAGGCTTGTTTGGTATGATATAAAATGCACAAGTGACAAAGGAAAAAATACATGCATTGGACTTAACAAAAGTATTTATGCTTCAAATAACACCATCAAAAAAGTGAATAAACAATTCATACAATGCGAGAAAACATTTTCAGATCCAATCTGGTGAGAGACTTGTATTCAGAATATACAAATAACTCTTATAATTCAGTAATAAAAAGGAAACCCAATATAAAAACAAAGGATCTGCAGATATTTCTGTAAAGAAGTTACACAAATGTCCAATAAACACATAAATGGATATTCAACGTCTGTAATCATTATGCAAATGTAAATCAAAACCACAACAAAATACTACCTCACACCTGTTAGGGTGGTTATAATCATAGTGACAGACAATAACAAGTGTTGGTGAGGATATAGAGAAATGGAATCCTCCTACACTCTTGATGGACATATAAATGATCCAGCTACTTTGGAACCCATGTTGGCAGTTCTTCAAAAAGTTATAAGTAGAGTCACTGTATGTCCCAACAATTCTACTCTTAGATATATACTCAAAAGAAATTAGAACACACAAAAACTTGTATATGAATATTCATAGCAGAGTTACTTACAGTAGCCAAAACTGGAAACAATTCAAGAATCTTTCAATGGATAAATAGGTAAACAAAAAGAGGTATATCCATATAATGGAATATCATTTGGCAATAAAAAAGAATAAAGTATGATACAAGCTACAACATGAGTAAAACTTGAAATCATTATGCTAGTGAAAGTAGTCAGTCACAGAAGACTACATATTGTATAATTTCATTTATGTGAATTATCCAGGATAGACAAAGCAGTAGAGAAAAAGTAGAATGGTTGTTCCTAGTACTGGGGGATATTGTGGGAAAATGAGGAGTGACTGCTAATGGATGCATGGCTATTTTTGGCATAATGAAAATGTTCTATAATTTATTGCAGTGATGGTTGCACAACTATAAATATATTAAAAATCTTTAGATTTTCATACTTCAGTTGGGTAAATTGTATGGTATGTAAATAATACCATTATAAAGCCATTATTTTTAAATCACATACAAAAAAACTAGACATTACAATGGCACTGAAAACTTCAGTAGCAGAAGTGGAATTTAGAAAGCAGTTAAGTACTACCTTAAATTCTAATATATAATGATTTTCAACTTCTACTTCTATGCATAGTCAAACTATCAGTTAAGAGAACAGAATAAAGACGTTTTTGGACATATAAGTCAACCAAAAATTTATTACCCAAGCAACTTTTCTCAGGAAGCTTATACAGAAGCAACAATACAGAAACATTTTTGTCCTCCACCAAAAAAGAGAAAACCAAGTTGGAAAAAGGCGAATGATCCAGAAGACAGAAGAGCCTACACATGAGAAAGCAAAGCTACTTCCCAGGAGGCTGGTAAAAGGAAATCCTGATAACACCCATGCAACCAGTCTAAACTACAACAAATACACAAGGGGTTTCAGAAGTTGTATCACCAATAATTTTTTTTAAAATAGTAAAGTAAATAAATGTATTCATAGCATACTATGTGGTTCAGCTCTCTAGATAATATACAAGGAGGTGAAAACAGTGAATATTGGTTTAAACAATACTGTGATATAATATTGGAAACATCTGTGTGGTAGGCAGAGTATGGGGGAGAATTCTAAGCAAACAAAATATTCATCTTTCAGTAGGGAGGGAGTTGATGGTACCTAAACTGGAAAAGTCAGGAAATACCAGTAATGGTCGGGTGTGGTGGCTCATGCCTGCAATCCCAGCACTTTGGGCGGCCAAGGCGAGTGAATTGCTTGAGCCCAGGAGTTTGAGATCAGCCTGGGCAACATGGCAAAACCCCATCTGTACAAAAAAATACAAAAATCAGCTGGGCATGGTGGTGCATGTCTGTAGTCTTGACTACTATTTGGGAGGCTGAGGTGGGAGGATAACTTAAGCCCAGAAGGTTGACGCTGCAGTAAGCCATAATTGCGCCACTGCACTCTAGGATGGATGACAGAGTGAGACCCTTTTTCAAAAAATAAAAGAAAAGAAATATCAGTATAAGCATGTTATTTTTTAAATATGCAGACTAAAACACATTCAAAGAAAAGCTAAAAGTGGGGTGTCTTTGGAGAACAGAAATTAGAAATGGCGTAGTGTGAAGTAGATAACCACTCATCTGTATGTTAAGCTTTACAGAACAATTTGAATTTTAAGCCATGTAATGTACATATATATATATATACACATACACATATATAAAACTTTTATTTCAAAACTGATTAAGTTAAAAATATAAACCAGATGGCCTCTCTATAAGTTTTCACATATAATCAGTGCAAACATGTTTACACTTTTGGGTGCTTTCTGAGGGATTTCATCAAACAAAAGTATTCATTTTAATGGATCATATTTTTTTGGTGAAGGCTATCTTAGCTGTTTTCACTCATTGCTTTCCAAAAGTATTTTATTTTTTATTTCCACTTTCCAAAACACTTGTAATATTTAATTCTCTCAACCTGTTTGTGGTTTCACATAACTATCTTCACTTCCTTCGCAGCACTTACCACAGTCTGTAAATTATTTCAATTATTCTTTGGCTTGATAATTTTTACTTTTTTTTTTAGCTTTTAGTTTTAGGGGTACATGTGCAGGTTTGCTATATAGGTAAGTTGTGTGTCACTGGGGTTTGGTGTATAGATTATTTTGTCACTGAGGTAATAAGCACAGTATCTAACAGGTAGTTTTTCCATCTTGACTCTCCTCCCACCTCCCAGCCTCAAGTAGGCCCCAGTGTCTTTTGTTCCCTTCTTTGTGTCCATATGTACTCAATGTTTAACTCCCATTTACTAGTGAGAACACATGGGGTTTGTTTTTCTGTTCCTGCATTAGTTTGCTTAGGATAATGGCCTCCAGCTCCATCCATGTTGATGCAAAGGATATAATCTCATTCTATTTTTTTCTTTCTTTCTTTCTTTCTTTTTTTTTTTTTTTTGAGACAGAGTGTTGCTCTGTCGCCCAGGCTGGAGTGCAGTGGCAAGATCTTGGCTCACTGCAAGCTCCGCCTCCCCGGTTCACGCCATTCTCCTGCCTCAGCCTCCCGAGTAGCTGGGACTACAAGCGGCCGCCACCACGCCCAGCTAACTTTTTGTATTTTTAGTAGAGATGGGGTTTCACCCTGTTAGCCAGGATGGTCTTGATCTCCTGACCTCGTGATCTGCCCGCCTCGGCCTCCCAGAGTGCTGGGATTACAGGCGCGAGACACCGCTCCCGGCCCCCATCTCATTCTATTTTTATGGATATGTATACATAGTATTCCATGGTGTACATGTGTCAAATTTTCTTTATCTGGTCTACTGTTCATGGGCATCTAGGTTGATTCCATGTCTTTGCTATTATGAATAGTGCTGTAATAAACATGCAAGTGCATACGTCTTTATGGTAGAACAATTTATTTTCCTTTGGGTGTATATTTAATAATGGGATTCCTGGGTCAAACGATAGTTCTGTTTCAAGCTATTTGAGAAATCGCCAACCTACTTTCCACAGTGGTTGAACAAATTTACATTCCCACCAGCAGTGTATAAGCATTCCCTTTTCACCACAGTCTTGCCAGAATCTGTTATTTTTAGGCTTTTTAATAATAGCCATTCTAACTGATGTGAGATGGTATCTGACTGTGGTTTCGATTTGCATTTCTCTAATGATTAGTGATGTTGAACATTTTTTCATATGTTTGTTGGCCACGTGTATGTCTTCTTTTGAAAAGTTCCACAGGTAGTTTAATTGCTTTCACTTTTTCTTGCCTTCAGTGTTAACTGTGAATACTGTTGAGATATCATTTAATAACATAGCTTCAGGCTGATTAACTGAACAGCAAAGCCATGATTAAAACTTTAACTTTTGGGAATAAAAGATAGCAGATTATATAATCAGAAAATATATGGATGGGAGTATATATTTTTTGTTGTTGTTGTTTTTCATCCTTTTTTTTTTTTTTTCTGTTGGTGCATATATGTCAGATTGGAAAAAGCTAGCCTATGACACCCAGGGAAAGAATGTGAGGTGAATGTTCTCACCCAAAAAGAAGATCACACAATCCAATTATTATTTAGAAGTGGTGCAGATACAAGATAATTTAAAAAGAGAGTAGTATATTAATCACAAGTGCTACCCAAAGGGGCAGATTATATGTATTTGCACATTGGAAAGGCAAACAAAATAAAACCCTCAAAAATCCCAAAATAAAATACAATAACCTTATGGGATATTGCAATGACACGTAAGAATAATAATATCCATACTTCTTGAAAATAATAAGAAAACATTAAGTAAATATAAGAGCTCAAGCTTATCTTCCCAATATTTCAACAAGCAAATTTATTTTGATTCGTGAGCATGAGTCAAACTCATCAAAATCCTAAGTTGTCTCAAATTTCCTTTCTTAGACTCATTATATGTACTCTACAAAGGTAAAGGAAAAAAATATAATAAAGTTTCTGAAGGAGAGGTATTAATGCTTCAGGAGAAATTGGCTGGGGCTCAGAGAATTGCTCAGTCCCAGGAAGAGTCACCTTGAGATTATCCAAATTTTCTGTTACATTCTAGGTAGAACCCAGTACTCCAGGCTTCTATCCTTGCTTCGGGCCTGGCAAAGATAGGCTTCCTAGTATAAATAGTATATAATAGTATATTCCTAGTATAAATAGGTCAGCTGCAGAAGAAGGCTTTGGATCTTGTTTGTACTATGCCACGTTAGAAACCTGTTCACTTTGGCCTTTAATTTTAAAATTAATTAATCTATTATTTAATTAACTACATGTACTGGGTCACGTTGCTGACTAAGTAAAGCAGAGTGAATTTCCTAAGGCTATAATCCGACTCTTAGGAAGAAAGATTAGTGTAACACTATGGCTAAAATGATGAGGGTGATCTTTTCCCTTAGCTTATTTTTATTTCACCTAGGGAATACTTTGCATAGAAGGAGCAAAGGGACCCATGAGGCCTGCTTTGTTGAAGCTTAAAATAATGTAGGCTTCACAATTCCATACATTCAAGTCTGGAAGACCAACAGACTGACTTCTGCCTAAACTGGTCTTCTGTTTATCTTTTGGGGGTAAAATATCCAGGGAAGGCTGAGTTGATACCCTTTCCTTAATTTTACTTCTTGCCCTTTCCTATTATCTGTCTCTGGCCAATACTGAGATTTCTTCAATTACTCTTAATTGCACAGGCAGAATACACAGCCTGAGAGTGGAGCTAGAAGAAAACACTTGGTTCCGTTTTATTGGAGGGGATGGACATACCTATTTACCTATGCAAAAATTATTTAAATTAGCCAACAGATAAATTATTCAAGGATTATCATTAATTTATGTGAAGAATAATTATTCTCTCATACTTTATAACATCTCTGATTTTGTAAATAAATAGGACATTTTAAATTAACAGTTTTTTGGGGGATAGTAGGTATCTTATACAAACCATACAGAAACGAAGCAAAAAAAAAGGTTGAAAAGATTAAATGAATTGATTATGCACCTAATTTTTTAAATGTTTATAGTAATTCTTATAATGTTAAATATTGAGTATTTTGGGGAAGGAATCAAGGCATATACTCAGGAGAATTCATTTTAGAAATCCATGATGCAGGTTGCAAAATTATCCTAACACCAAGTCTTACAGTAAATCCTTTTGGTTCTATGGATTTTTGATACTTGGAAAAGTACCAAAAGATTGGTACTGTAGAAGTGATTACTCAAAGAGTTAATTGCCTTCTAGAACAATTTAATCAGTCCTTAGGGTAATAGAAAGTGGTTTGCTTGGCATGTCACAAATTAGAAAACAATTGCTTGAAAGCATTGCAAGAAAAAGTACTGGATTTCTCCAGTACCCCCAGGGCCTTAGGAGTGTCTGACACATGAAATATGTCAGTAAACATGTGCTGAATGAAAACTACATGTCTGTCATATTTCATTTCTTCTTTTGGAGCCTGGAACAAGCTATCCTCTCAACGAAGATGTGATTCATTCGTTTGCCTCTTAATATAGGCAAGCTCTGACTTACGATTTGTCAATCTGAGCAGCACTAATTTTTGGAGGGGAGGGATAATACAATAGGTTGTTTTCAAACATGTTGGTGAAGATAAGGGATAATACAATAGGTTGTTTTCAAACATGTTGGTGAAGATAAAGTTAATGTCTCAAGGCAAGCTAGTCACTGTCAATAGAAAATCAGTTTCCATTAGCAATTTACTTTTATTTTGTGGATGCAAACTTATAGACTGTGGGTCCCTTATCTCTTCTTCTACCAGCAGATTTGTGCTTCTACAGAATTTAGTAGCAAAAGCCCAAGTAAACAAGTTGAATCCCTTTAAGTAAAGGAAAACCATAATTATGGTCAATTTTAGAGTTTTTAAAAGTAATGTTAGGAATCTGAGCCACCTCTTACTACGTTGCGTGAATTTTTCAAATTGTGAATGGGTTTCAAGAGAGATACATGCACATGCTCTGAATTACATTGCCTTTCCCCAAAGTGACCACATAGTCCCAAGAGACAGGACTGTAATTACATGAGTGCAAACAGTCCAGCTTCCATATGACGAGTTATTTGGTTTCATGTACACACATAAGACACAAGGTGAAAATTGATATTTCTCACACTTCATAGTTTTAAATGTGTCTTTTGATGTCCCTAACATTTATCTCTGCAAATATGATTTAACACATATAATAGACTACGTTAGAAACTAAACAAGTAAATAAAAAATTACAAGAAACAACATATAAGCTATTAAGTTGGTGCAAAATAATTGTGGTTTTTGCCATGAAAAGCAATGGCAAAAACCTCAATTACTTTTGCAACAACTTAATAATAAATAATTTTCTATTCTAGATTTATATAGTCTTATTTAGGATGCAGAACGCTTAATATTGGCTTGTTTAAAGTCCCAGTAATAAAAGTGTTAGCAAGGATTTACTCTGAAAATAACTGCTACCTAGCAAATTTTATTTTTGTACATTCCTAAATTTTCTAAATTTTGATAATAAACATATAGTACTTAATAATAGAAAGTAAATTTTATTAAGAAAACAAAGTGGTTTTATTAAATCCACAATAAAACTAGACTGAAAAGAATCAGTGATTTTCATAGTAGGCATTATAAAGTAATTAGCTGATTAGAGAGTTTGCCAAATAAAGGTGCAGCCCATATTTGTATTCAGGCCTTAAAATGACAGTGCCACAGATTTTTGCTCTCTCTCATTGATTTATATTTTCATAAATTTGCCTGATCTTATCATAATATTATTCATTTCCATTTTATTATTCAATATTCATACTCAAAATACCAATGTCTAGACAGGCCTTATCAAATACTGTTTGCTTTTCCTGGTTCATAGTCCCAATTTTAGAAATACATTTATTTTATAGATTGAGCTTTTTACTTTAATTTACCCTAAGCCTTATTTTCCTCCACATAAAACCTTCTTGCTTTCTTTTCTGGCAGCAAAGGGTACCTTGATTGATAGAATTCAATCACTGGATTGAAATAATGCAGCTGGCTTTTATCTTACATTAGTATGTCTTTTTATTAGTTTTACTTATTACATGAAAAAGACTGTGACAAAAATGTAATGATTGTAGGTATCCCACCTGGGCCTATAACTCTGTCTAGATTATAAAATAGAGACTTTGCAGAAAAAAAATCTGAAAATTCTGGGTAAGAGTTACAAGAGAGACATTGGTAAAAGTATAAAATGAGTCTTATATAAATATGCCAATCACTAATTCTAAAACAAGATAGATTTGCCAGGAAGGCATGTGCTTGAACACATATGCTTAATGAAATATTAAAAGATGTTAATATTTTTACTTATGTCTTTAAATTTGATAAAATTGTAGTATCTCAAGCAGGTTTTTCAAATAGTAGAGAGTCAGTATATTGTTAAACTAGTTATCTAGAACCCAGTCAGTAAATTTACATAACTGTATTCTGCTCACATTAATATTCTATGCCATAACACAACAATAAAGAGATATTAAACAAACTGAGAGGTACAAAACTAAAGAGTTAAGTAAGAGTTAACAAGGCAGTATGGTATAGTAGTTAGAAACATAAGCTTGATGACAGACTGTTTCACATCCAGTCTTCTACTTACTAGCTATGTGAGCTACCCTGAAGAGATCACTTGATCCTTCCAAGTCTTAAGTTTCTAAACCGTAAAGTGATCATAAGAACATTAACTTTACAAATCTTCTGGGAAGAAAAAGAAAAGATAATGCTGGCCAAATACCAAGCCAACTCTGATCTTGGTAAATAGTAGCTACTTTTCTAAAAATATATATTTTCTTAAATGTGTAGGATTTATTTTTCTAAAGTATGTCATAGTGCCTGTACAAATTTCTTTTGGATGACCTTGAAAAAGTAACTGAACCAATTTTGGACCTCATTGCTTTCAAAGGTAATAGAGTTACCAGCTGTGCCTGCTTCATGGGATTACAGGGGAGACTAAAGGGCAAAGTGTATATAAAGCACGTAATATAATTCTTGGGACATGTAAAAGCTAGTTAATAATATAAATAAAACACTAGTCTTCAACTTTTTAAGATAAATGAGCTTTATATTTTGTAGAGACAATCTGGACAATAGATAATGAATCCAAAAGATTCAGCAGAGCAGAAATAGGACTGATGGCATAATTCATAATTTTTTAAAAAAATCAATTATGATAAAAGTTCTATGAGCAAGATACTTTTCTATTTCCTATTGGGCCTCTCGGGGGTTTTATATGTATATGTATATGTATATGTATATGTATATGTATATGTATATGTATATCTATATAGGTTCAAAGGAAGGAGAGAATATACATATACAGGTATATAATAGGTTAGTCTTCCAGGAGATTTCAATATAAAATGTGATGTAATTATATATATGTATAAATAATTAATCAAGCCTTTATCATGATTATCATATGAATGGTAGTACTAGAATTACTATTAAAGTGCAGAGGAAGGAGAGAATCTCATGGTCTATAGTAAGTTGAGCAAATTTCATTAATGTTGTTTATGATTGTAGAAGTGTCCATGGTTTCCAGAAAGATTCAGAAGCATGAGCAAAACATGTAAAGAAAAAGTATAAGACTTCTTCAAATGGTAAGTAGTAGAAATGTCTTACGGGTGTAGAGGTTTAAAGAATGTAAGCAGTTGGAGGCTAAGTTGAAAGGGAAATGGGGCCAGGCACCATAGTGTAGTATTTAATATCTTAATATTATCATTTGTGGTTCATTTGTCTCCTCTCCTAGATTGTAAAGTCCTTGATAACAGAGAGTCTGCCTTTCATCTAGTCCAGATGCCTAGCATGGTGCCTTGCTTCCTTAACCACCTACTGTTCAATTATTCAAGTTTATACACAAGATACCTGAACTAATGGCATTTTCAGACTTAAGAGATAAAAACAAGTAAGTAAGTAATTACAATATAAAATGGCATGTCTTATGATAAGGGAGATACTGGGTGAAGTGCTAAAAAAATATGAGGGGTGTTTTGGAAGATTCCCTGAAGTAAATTGCATGTAAGTTGAGGCCTACATGCTAAGTAGAAATGTATCAGGCTGAGAGGAATAAAGATTTATCTAAAAGGAAGAATAGCATGTGAGAGAAGTCCAAAACTGAGAAAGTACATGGTATAATCAGGAAACTAGAAGTTTGGGATGACAAGAACATCGATTTTAAGGAAGGCGGGGGAGGTGGGGAGGTGGTGAGGTGGGAAAGGCTACAGAAGCTCATAAACTATGTTAAGGAGTTTAGAAATTACCATGAGTAATAAGGAATCACTGAAGGATTAGGAAACTGACATAGATTAGACATGTAGGGGAAACGAGAATGGAAACAGCAAAGTCCTTGAGGATGTGAGAGCACAGACAAAGAGACCCACTTTTTTTTTTTTTTTTTTTTGAGACGCAGTGTAGTGGCGCGGTCTCGGCTCACTGCAACCTCCACCACCCAGGTTCAAGTGATTCTCCTGCCTCAGCCTCCAGACTAGCTGGGACTACAGGTGTGCCCCACCACATCCGGCTAATTTTTGTATTTTTAGTAGAGACGTGGTTTCACCATCTTGGTCAAGGTGGGAGAGACACTTTAAAAGAAAAAAAAAAAGAATGACACTTGTCATAAAAAGGAAGGGAATAATATAGGTATTTTATAATTGTGGACAACTTTATCATTTTAGATAATAAAAAATTATCTGAGCTTTTGCTGTTTGCTTATACTTTTTCTTGGAAGAGTAGATGAGGTCACACGCTGAGAATTAAGCAGGAGGTGGCACAGTCAGAGTTTTACAGAGTGCAATGTTAGAAATAACCCTTGTGGAGAACACAAATGACAGCTGAGTCAGGAAACCTTGAAGTATTTCTGGGAAGTTTGAAAATAAAAATGCACAGTGGTCTCAATTTCCACATTTGTATGATATTTTTTCTCCAGCAGTGCAATAAAAAAGAAGGGACTAGCTCACAGATGGATTAATCAAGGACTGGGGAACTCAATAATTGTTTGAAAGAATAAAGGAATAAAGGAATAAATGAAGCAATAAAGTGTATGAGACATTGGGCTTTAGTGAAAAATAATGATCTGTAGAAAATGAGATACCACTGAAAATTATAATGACTTGAATAAAACAACAGTTTAGAAAGATATGTCTGGTGGCAGTGTGAAAGAAAGATTGGAAATACGTATAGGATGTACAGGGATTAGTTAGGTGGTTATTGAATAGTTCTTATGTGAAATAAGAAATTTCTGAAGGTACTACTAGGAATGGAAAAAGAAAGATAGCTCTATTTTTATTCCCAAATTTTTGTTAGGAAAATTCCCACGCACAAAGCGTAGTTAAAAGATTTCCTCTAAAAGCTTTACGATTTTAGCTTTTATGATTAGAACTATGATCTAACTCAAATTATTTTTGTGTGTAGTATAAACAGAAGTAGAGTTACATGTATTATTTTCCATGAGATATTCAGTTATTATGTCAACATTTGTGAAAAGACTTTTTTCCACCTTGGCTTGTTTTGGAACACTTGTCAAAAATCAAAATGATTGATTAAGTGTTTATTTCTAGTCTTGCTGTTTCATTGATCTACATGTGAATCCTTGTGCCAGTACCACACTTTTAATTATTAAAGTTTTAAAATAAGTCTTGAAATCAAGCAGTGTAAAATTATCCGGCTCTATCCTTTTTAAAGATTGCTTCGATGAGTCTAGGTCCTTTGCATTTCCAAAAAAATTTAAAACCAACATGTCAATTTCTACAAAAAATTATACATTTAACATTGTATTCAGGGACTTCACTAAATTCACATATTAGTTTTAGCAGTAGTTTTTCTTTACATTCTTCAGAATTTCCTATATAAACCCATATTTCATTTTTTTTTTTTTTTTTGAGACGGAGTCTTGCACTGTCGCCCAGACTGGAGTGCAGTGGTGCAATCTTGGCTCACTGCACCCTCCGCCTCCCAGGTTCAAGCGACTCTCCTGCCTCAGCCTCTTGAGTAGGTGGCAAGCGCCACATGCCCGGCTAATTTTTTTTATTTTTAGTAGAGACAGGGTTTCACTATGTTGGCCAGGCTGGTCTCGAACTCCTGACCTCGTTTTCCACCCGCCTCGGCCTCCCAAAGTGCTGGGATTACAGGCGTGAGCTACCACGCCTGGCCTCTTTTCCTTCTTTTATTACAATGAGCAGTACAATATGGAATAGAAAAGGTGAGAATAATTTTTTTTTCTTTTTTTTTTTTTTTTTTGAGATGGAGTGTTGTTCTGTCGCCCAGGGTGGAGTGCAATGGCTTGGCATCAGCTCACTGCAACCTCCGCCTCCCAGGTTCAAGCGATTCTCCTGCCTCAGCCTCCCACGTAGCTGGAATTACAGGTGCCCGCCACCAAGGCCGGCTGATTTTTTTATTTTTAGTAGAGACGGGGATTCACCATGATGGCCAGGCTGGTTTCAATCCCCTTACCTCAGGTAATCCGCCCACCTCGGCCTCCCAAAGTGCTGGGATTACAGGTGTGAGCCACCGAGCCCGGCCAAGAATAATAATATTTTTAAAAATGTTCAGGCCGGGCGCGGTGGCTCACGCCTGTAATCCCAGCACTTTGGGAGGCCGAGGCGGGCGGATCACGAGGTCAGGAGATCGAGACCATCCCGGCTACAACGGTGAAACCCCGTCTCTACTAAAAATACAAAAAAATTAGCCGGGCGTAGTGGCGGGCGCCTGTAGTCCCAGCTACTTGGGAGGCTGAGGCAGGAGAATGGCGTGAACCCGGGAGGCGGAGCTTGCAGTGAGCCAAGATCCCGCCACTGCACTCCAGCCTGGGTGACAGAGCGAGACTCCGTCTCAAAAAAAAAAAAAAAAAAAAAATGTTCAATACCTTATAGTAGGCATGTTGATAGTGATAGGAAAAGAAAATTCTATTCTTGGATTGCTGAAATATTAATCATCATGTGTTAAATTTTGTCAAGTTCTTTTTCTATGTGCCTTTTGAAATGTTCATATACTTTTAAAACTCTTAATAGAGTTAAGTATATTGTATAATAATTTTCACATTTAAAGTCAACCTTGCTTTCCTAAGCTAAACTTTTTTTTATTATAATGTGTTACCTTCCTCTGTATTAAAAGATTTGGCTTGCTAATGTTGTGTAAAAATTTTATGTCTATGTTTATAAAGGCTATTTGCCATTGTTACTATTATTAAAATTATTTGCAATGTCTCTGTCAGATCTTGGTATTAGGGTTATACTGGCCTCATAAAATGAATTGGGATATATTTTCTTCCTCCCTTTTTTCTGATAGAGTTTGTGTAAGATTTTAATGTCTTCCTTAAATGTTTAATAAAATTAGCCAATTAAGTCATTTTGCTCAGAGTTTTCTTTTTGGGAAGATCTGAAATAACAAATTTAACATCTTTAATCGATACAAGAGAGATAACATCTTTAAAAGATACAAGAATATTCAGATTTTATTTCATCTGGAGTTAGTTTTGCTAAATCATATTATTCAATGAATTTGTACATTGAATTTGTACATTGTACATTTGTACTTGTACATTGTACAAGTGTATAAACTTGTTTACAACACTCTCCTATTTTCCTTTTAATGGGCAATGCTGCCCAATTGAACTTTCTGTAATAATGGAAATATTCTACATCGGCATTGCCCAATCTGGTAACTAATAGCCATATGTGGCTACTGAGGACTTGAAATGAGACTGTGACTAAGAAACTGAATTTTGTTTAATTTTAGTTAATTTAAATAGCCGTATGTAGTTGGGGCAAACCATGATGGGTAGTAAAGATTTGTAAGTTTCTAGGGATAACTCCCCTTTTATTCCTGGGGCTAAAAATCTATGTTCCCTCTATCTTTGTCTTCATTAACTTAGTTAGGAGTTTATTCATTTTATTAGTTTCAAAAAAACAAATGTTGGATTTGTTAACATTCTCTATTACTTGTTTTCAATTTTATTAATTTCTGTTGTTATGTTCATTATTTCAGTTCTTCTCATTCTGCCATTCTCATTCTCATTCTCCTCTTCTCTTTATAATAGCCTAAGGGAGAATATAGGGCATTAATTTTTGACTATTTTTGCTTTCTTTATTTTTCTTTTTTTTTTTTTGAGACAGAGTCTCACTCTGTCGCCCAGGCTGGAGTGCAGTGGCACAATCTCGGCTCACTGCAAGCTCCGCCTCCTGGGTTCACGCCATTCTCCTGCCTCAGACTCCCGAGTAGCTGGGACTACAGGTGCCCACCACCATGCCCTATTTTTGCTTTCTAATATAAATATTTAAAGCACTAAATTTCTCTCTAAGCAATACTTTATCTACATCCATCAAATTATACCTTTTTCCATTTAAAATATTTCTGATTTGCCTTATGGTTTCTTCTTTGATCAATACACCATTTAGAATTGTTGTTTAATTGGCAAATATTGAAGTTGTCATTGATTTCTTATCGTTATGCTTTAAAACTTTTCCATTGTGGTGAGAGACTATTTCCTGCATGATATAAAGTGTTTTAAATATATGAAGACATTTTTATGACCCAGTATATAATTTATATGTGTGATTGTGAATTATGCAACTGTCGCATGTTTTTGGTCTACTTTTTCTACCAACTGATAAGAAATGGGAATTAAAATCTTAACCTATGATTACATAATTGTTTATTTCTACCTTTAATTCTTCCTGCCTCCTTTTAAATTATATGAAACTTTTAAAATTCCATCTCACATATGTATATATAAAACTGTGTTTATATGTATGTGTGGTGTGATGGCACCAGTGATTACAATATACATAGTATCTACTATCCCAACTCCTTCTCCCACTCCAATATACATACTATCTACTATCCCAACACTTTCTTCCAATCCAATTGTCTATCTTATATTTGCCAGATATATTACATCTCTATATATTATACAGCTTGTAGAAAAATGTTATAAATTTTGTTTTCTCTTTTCTATCTTTATAGATTATCTTATTGTAGACATCTCATATAAATGGAATAATAACAAAAAAAAAAATTTGTTTTCAACTGTCCTTTGTATTTTATGGAAACTAAAAAAAAAAAATCTTTTATATTTACCCAGATATTAAGGCTGGAAGAAAGAAGTTAACATTAATCATAATTAACAGCCTTAAATAGAGCCATTTTTTTCCTCCACAATGCAGTGAAAATGCATATTTCCATCTATTAAAATTCCAAATAAGTAAAGTGAGACAAGAAAACACAAGAGAAAAAATAACCTAAGTAACTTAGAAATGCACTCTTATTTTTATTTTTGTTAATATTATAGATCAAGATACTACAATAGGTACTTTCAGGGACATGAAGATTAAGCCAAACTTCTGTAAACAAGGAGCTGACAGCCTACTAGTTCCTTATTTTGCCTGAAACTGATTATCTTAAATGATCTAAACTGTCCAGACACATTTTAATTTTTTTCTTACTTTACATATTTACTTACAGCTAATAAGATGCTTATAATTATCATATTTTTACATAATATACCTAAAACTCTTTTCTTCCCTAGAAGAATTTACTTCACTGAAACAGAAGAATAAGAGGCGTTTGTATTCTTATGGTCTGCCTCTGAAACTTCCCTTCATATTTCCTCACCACAGCTGACCTAGAGAATAGCGATCCCTACTGTGGTGCAGTTCTAAGCTTTATTCCCACTAGAAAGTGCAGACATCACTTTCAATATCATGAAATCCAAACTACTTGTACCTTGTGTGTTTGTACATGTACTTTGGAAATTAAATGGCTACTTTTTTCTTCTCTTCACTTGGAGAATGGTTTTTACAATAACACGCTTAAGAAATATAAAGCAAGATAAATAAGTAGTTGTAGATCTCTTAAAGAATGCAAATGCGGCCGGGCGCGGTGGCTTAACTCCTGTAATCCCAGAATTTTGGGAGGCTGAGGCGGGTGGATCACGAGGTCAGGAGACTGAGACCATGCTGGCTAACACAGTGAAACTCCGTCTCTACTAAAAATACAAAAAAAATTAGCCGGGGTGTCGGGTGCCTGCAGTCCCAGCTACTGGGGAGGCTGAGGCAGGAGAATGGCGTGAACCCAGGAGGCGGAGCTTGCAGTGAGCTGAGATCCCGCCACTGCACTCCAGCCTGGGTGACAGAGCGAGACTCCATCTCAAAAAAAAAAAAAAAAAAAAAAAAAGGAATGCAAATGCATAAAAAGGCATCTGGGTATATTATAATAATCTCACATAAATTACAAAATGGTACTGGAATATATAATACTACCACTGTCATTATTTACATTTATTTCAACCTCTCACTGTGTTTACTTTTAAATTTCATATTTAATATTGAGGCATATATATATTCACACAGTTTCAGATATATGATCACAGGAGCAAAGGGAAAAGGCTCTACTTTAGGAAAAATAGACAACCTTAGAATACTCTCTTTCTTACATGTACATAGTGCATTTGTATATTTCTTTATGCTTTAAAGATTCTAAAAGAAGCTTTAAAATACGCAAAGATGGGATAGGAAAACACGAAACAGTAACAATGTGTTTATAGTTTGGGGGACATAGAAATATCTAAGAATCTCTCTGGAGCCTGTAGAAAATCCGAATATTTGAGTTTTTGATTGTTTCTTCCTACTTCTACCTTATATATGTGTTACTGCTAGTGATAAAGATATGTCAAATATTGTTCATTACATGTGTGTTTATTTTAACATTCACTGTGAATCTATAAAGTGACTTGGTTTTTTTTCTATCATTTATGAATGAAGAACTTGAGGCTCAGTCAATTTATAAATTTGTACTAGTTCTCAAACTTCACAAGTAAAGGAATCAGAATTCAGGCCAAGGGCTATAAACTTTCACAGTCTTTGCTCATGAACATTCAATACACCTCTCCCTCCTGCTTCATGAAAGAAACACAGAAGAGAAAGGATATTTAAACACCCTTTTATGGAAAATCTCCTCTATATTTAAAGAGCAATAGCTCTACTTCATGGAGGAAATATCAACAGATATGGAGGATTTAACAAATTAGATGATTGTAATAGAAAGAATGATAAGATTCAATATCGCCCACTAAGTGTTTTAAAATACTACCAGAAAATGCTAGTATTTCTTTTTTATATTTAATTTAAAAAATATGTATGTTTTGGGTAGAAGACAATTATTCATTTAATATTGGGTTGTTTATATGGTACATACCTTTAGTAAAAATTATGACCATTGTTCCCTGACTTTATTCAATGTTGTATTTATTGTAAAGTAGGAGGCTATTGATATAACAATAAATTCTACAGCCTTGTCAAGCAGTGCGTAAAGTTAAATACAAGTCTGAGGAAGCAGTTTTATGTGGCTGTATGAATTCATCTGATGTTGGCCAAAGTTCCTAATACCTGACTTAATTTTAAATATTTAGACCTTTTCCTGCAAATATTAAGCATGTATCAATGGTTCAGTAGGAAACAAACAAACAAACAAACAAACACAAATTAGAACTAGTTTCCTGGGATTTATGAGACATGGAGATTTGTAATTTTTATTTTGGGAATAAATAAAAACTTCATGATAAAGTGGATTTTTTACTATGTAGCTGGTGATTAATTTCTAAGTTCACATAAGAATAACCTAAATATTGTCCTCAAGATGAGCCTACCTTCAAACAAACACAAAATGCCATGTTTCAAGCCAAATGAAACAGAACATCTGAGGAAATGTATCTCTATTCAAGTGTATAAGATATGTTATTTTTAGCCTATAGATTTCTTATATCAAGGCAATGTCACCACTCTCATTTCTAAGGGAAAAAAAGGTAAAAAAAATTTCTTCAAAATCTAATTTTGTAATCAAAAATAGAAATAAAAGAAAGGAGAAACATTATTGATAGGTTTATAAACAACTTTTAGATTAGATATTTCTTGCCTCAGCCAGTAATATTACAGGAAATTTCCACTCTATATTAAGATGCATATTTCAGGATTAATTTTATTAGTGTAACTAAAATATCTTACTTTTGTGAGAAAATTGTTTAGAATAATATCAAGATATTTTGCTTTTACTAATATTTTCACGAGTTTTTATAGAACATTTTATCTTTATAAAAATCCTTCACTTCCACTTTGACAAGAACGACTCAACTTTTTTATATATGTAATTTGTGTAAAATTTTTTGAACAAATTATTTCATTGCTTTAAAATTTAGAAAATTTCTGCTTGCTACCAATGTTCTCTAGCTTTTGTAAATATGTGAAAACCACAGTCACATATTTTAAGGGCATGTCTCAATTTTACGGCAAAATCTATTTGAAGATACCATCTATTATGCCATATTTGCTCATTAAAACTTGTTTGGAGGCCGGGCGCGGTGGCTCACGCCTGTAATCCCAGCACTTTGGGAGGCCGAGGCAGGCGGATCACGAGGTCAGGATATCGAGACCATCCTGGCTAACACGGTGAAACCCCGTCTCTACTGAAAATACAAAAAATTAGCCGGGAGTGGTGGCGGGCACCTGTAATCCCAGCTACTTGGGAGGCTGAGGCAGGAGAATGGCGTGAACCCGGGAGGCGGAGCTTGCAGTGAGCAGAGATCGCGCCACTGCACTCCAGCCTGGGCGAAAGAGCGAGACTCTGTCTCAAAAAAAAAAAAAAAAAAAAAAAAAAAAAAAAAAACTTGTTTGGGGTTACAAAATTTGACTTATTGTAAAAAGATCCCTTTATTCAACAAATATTTAACTGTATATCCCCTATACCAGGGGTCCCCAACCCCAATGCGATGAACTACTACCAGTCCGTGGCCTGTTAGGAACGAGGCTGCGCAGCAGCAGGTGAGCATGGGTGAGGTAGCATTACTGTCTGAGCTCCACCTCCTGTCAGATCAGAGGCCACATTAGATTCTCATAGGAGCACAAACCCTATTGTGACCTGTGCATGCGAGGGATCTAGGTTGTGCGCTCCTTATGAGAATCTAATGCCTGATGATCTGAGGTGGAACAGCTTCATCCTAAAACCATCTCCCCCATCCCGGTCTGTGGAAAAATTATCTTCCATGAAACTGGTCCCAGGTACCAAAAATGTTGGGGACCACTGTTCCATACAGCACACTCCGTGATAGGCATCTAGGGTGCAGAGATAACCAGAATGCTCCCTCTATCAACTCATAGTTCAGTATAAAAAGAAAATGAAAGAAAATCATTGCCCCCTCCTGGATGAGCAATAATAATGGTAGCTGGGGAATAAAGAGAAGAGCTCACCAAATCTAAAAAACAGAATAGAAAAGCAAGGAAAAGAAAGGAACTTTACAGGAGAGGAACTTGACAAATATACCTCAGCCGGGTGATTAAAGTCTATATCGAAAATCATAAATCATGTTGATGGTAGGTACCTCTAATATGATATGGGAAAATGGCACTTTCCCTCTGTAGTATTCCTCCCGATAACCTATAATGTAAAAATTATCATGAGAAAATCATCAGACAATTTTCAGTAGTGGGACAACCTACTAAACATCTGAGTAGTAGACCTCAAAACTGTCAAACTCATCAAAGGCTGAGATACTGCCACAGCTAACATGAATCGAAATAAACTTGACAACCAAATGCAATGTGAAATCCTACATGAGATCCTGGAACAGATAAAGGATACTAGGTAAAAACTAAGGAAATCTGAATAATGCATGAACTTTAGTTAATAATAATATACCCTATTAGTTTATCATAAAAATTGTACCATATGAATATAAGATGTCAATAGTAGGGGAAAGTGGGAATGGAATATATGGATATTCTACGTACTATCTTCTCAATTTTCCTCCTTTATGCTATTCTAAAAAAATCTAACATTCTTCTAAAAATTTAAGTCTACTTTTTTAAAAGGATGTCTCTAATTTCGAATGTAGAATTTTAAGTGGTGAGATGTCAAATGAAGGAGGAGAACATAAGTCTTTCTGGTATGAAGAAACATGTCCAGAAAGAAGAAACAGCTGTAAATTCACAATAGAAAAGGAGAATGACTGTTCAGAGAAATAACAAGTAGGTTGATATGACTCAAATATCATACATAGCAATGCACATCTGTAGCCTTACAGTTTTCTCACTTTGGGATCAAAAATCTTTTGTTTTCCTGGTCCTACCACTCAATAATTATGTGGTTTAGGGTATGCCATTTGCCCTCTCTCAGAGTCTGAATGCTATGAACATCCATGAAACTGAAGTAACAATTCCTGTCTTGAAGAGCTGCTATAAGAATCAGACATCTTCCATAAAACACAGCATAGCTGTTGTATAGCTCATCAATGGCAATGTATAGTTATCATGCATACACTGAAATTGTGCTGCTCAAGAAATTGAAAAAGTATCATGGCAACCACTTTTGTAAATTTAATTTGATGCCAAAGATCACTACATTCTTTTTTTTTTTTTTCTGTCTTGGGAATTTTACTTTTTTTCTTTTAGATTGGTATATATGTTATTTAAATATCCAAACCCAGAATACATTTAAGTAAAAAGGGGGAAAATATTTTTCAAAACTGAATTACTTGCCCTGTGACTAAGTAATCATCAATCTAAGAATTTTTCTATGAAAATAAATATAAAATATGGAACATGTGTATTTCTTATAGACACATTCATGTTACTCATATCAAAAATTTCAAAACCAAGTATTAACGTTCAAAAATAGAACAATTGGAAAGCACATTACTACATATATATTCTATATGCATATATGTGTATGCATGTAGGTACACATCTATTACAGTCCTGATTTCAAATATACGTAGCAATTTGAAAGTATCTTTAACTTAAAATTTAAAGCATAACATCAAATTGTAGGTATTCCAAAATTATGTTATATTTAGAAGTATACAGGGAAAAAAGAGACTAAACAGGTAAAGACCAAGGAAGACACTAGAAATTATGAGAGTAGAGGTGACAAAAATATCTTTTTATTTTTTCATATGTTTCTAATGTGATTGTATTGCTTTTATGACTAGAAATTCAAGTTCTTAAAGTGCAGAGTGCATGTTAAATGATCACAGAATCCTGATGGCACCATTTAAGAGTCAGAAAAAATATACTTTGGATTAGTATTAATATAAACATATTATGACTTAAGAAAAGTCAAGATTAAATTTTTAAACAAACTCAGTAAAATGTTTTAATTTAATAATAGAACTTATCATGAAATATCTTAAGTAACTAAACTATTATGAAACCTAAAACAGGTTGGGTGCTGTGGCTCATGCCTGTAATCCTATCACTCTGGGAGGCCATGGTGGGAGGATTGCTCCAGGCCAGGAGTTCCAGACCAGCTTGGGCAACATAACAAGACCCTGACTCTACAAAAAAAAAAATAAAGTAAAATAAAATAAAATTAGCTGGATGCCATGGCATGTGCCTGTAGTCCCAGTTATTTAAAAGGCTGAGGTGGGGGGATGGCTGGAGCCCAGGAGTTCAAGGATACGGTGCACCATGGCCACACCACTGCATGCCAGCCTGGTTGACAGAATGAGATTCTGTCTCAAAAAAAAAAAAAATAGAAACCTAAAACAAAAATTGATTTTTCCAAAATGAAAATATATTATGCTATTTTTCAGAAATTCAATTTGCAGTCAAATAAGATTTATTTCTATTTTCCATAATTTTTGTTCTCAATGAGATTATTTAATTTTAAATTATATTTGTTAAAAAATTGCTTGTTATTTATTTAAAAAGGTAATAATAATTTGTCAAATAAATCACATTTAAGTGATTTCCACACTTTTCTATTGCTTTAATCATTTTACAAAGATATTTTTCAAAGTAGCAAAAATATTTTTTATTAGTATAACATCTACCTTCATGAATCTTTGTATGATATTTCTAGATTATGAAACTTCACTGAAATATAATGTTATTTATATTTCTTGCTTAGAGTTTCAAAATCTGCCAATTACATAATTAATGTTATTTATATATTTCAACTGATGCACTTTACCAAGAATCTTACCTTGGGGATATCCCCTTATATTATCATAAATTTAATTCCCATTTCATTTTATTTCAAGTTGATATATCTTTAAGATTTTGATCAATTCTAAAAATGCTCAGTTTTGGGTTTACAAAAGAGATACTTTTGTTTTCATGTTTTCTTATTTTGATTATACCCTGTCCATTTCATCAGTTTTCTTTCAAACCGTAAGTCTTCTTTACATCACACTGACTATCTAAAGTTTGACCTAGGTTTTAATGAATCTCAATTTAGGGAGGAAAAAAAATTGTCAATGGTCTGAACTAATTTTATTGGATCAGTAGCAGTCAGTAAAGCAATTGCTTAGTGTCTCCTTGACATCTCTTTAGCATTTGTTTCCTCTGATCACTAACTCTACCTTGATCTGTTGAAGTGAGGCATGAGATTCAGTAGGACACTGGTAAATTAGCTTTTACTTTATCTTTATAGGAAAGCAATTTATAGATGTCTTTTTCCCTAGTCATCTCCTGTCAAGAGGGAAATGCCAAACAACTACTCCAACTTTACTATGAGGAGAGAAACACACACACACACACACACACACACACACACACACACACACACATAACAGTGGGGCATCTAGCCTCTAATTCTTGCCAAGCTTAATTTTCTGTTGCTGACTTCAGAAGACCTCTTTCAAAGTATGGCTTTCCAGCAGCATCTTAATGAATTGTGTTACTCCACAAAAACTTATCACCTGAGTCTGTAGTCTCGGTTAATTTCCGCTTAGGCAAAATGGTTACCTCCATCATAGCAGACATGAAAATTCTGGCTAAGGAATAACTTTCAGTTTTCAATCAACATAATAAAAAACAAGTATAAGGTAGTAATTACTTTGTCCCAGGTTCTTCCCAAAATTATGTACAAAGGAGCAAAGTCTGGCCTTTAGGAGCCCATCTATGGTCATAAAAAAATCATGGAATATTTTTTAAGGAATTTAGTGATAAGCTATCCTAACTCCTTATTTTCAAATGAGGAAACTGAGGCCATGAAATTTGAAGCATTCCGTAAGTCAGTAAAAAAGCAAAAGCTATATCAAAATGCATTCAGTATTTAAATAATACCAGACTAGCTTATTCAATATCTGTTTTAGTCTTCACAGCTGCTCAAGAGATAAGTATTTTCATGATTTACATTTCACATATAAGGGAATTTAAGCACAGACAAATTAAATTATGTACATAGGTCACAGACATTTTGTAGTAGAACTGGTACTAAATAGGCAGTCTAACCCAGGATTTTGCATTCTAAGCCACTATTCTATAACTGCCTTCAGAGTTGAAATTCAGTTATTTAAATATCTAGGCTGTTAGCTACATGAAGATGGAGATTTTATTCTATTTTTGTTTTCACTGCTGGTTATTTACTCAATGCCTAGAATAGGTTTATGATAGATGCTCAACACATGGTTATTTATTGCACTGACATAAGTATGTAAAATAGCATACATTGCATTAAGTATGTGCTGTTGACACCCTTTTAGAAAATAATTTTAACTTTTATTTTAGATTCATGGAGTATATGTGCAGGTTTTTTACATGGGTATATCGCATGATGCTGAGGTCTGGGATACAAATGTTCCCATTACCCAGGTACTGAGCATAGTAGCAGTTTTGAGCCCTTACTCTCCTCCCTCTCTCCCTGCTCTAGTAGTCCCTAGTGTATTGTTCCCATCTTAATGACTACTGTACCCAATTGTTAGCTCCCACTTATAGGTGAGAACATGCAATATTTGATTTTACGTTCCAGCATTAATTTCCTTAGAATAATGGACTCCAGCTGCATCCATGTTGCGGCAAAGGATATGATTTCATTCTTATTTATGGCTGTGTAGTATTTCATGGTGAATATGTACCATATTTTCTTATGCAGTCCACTGTTGTTGGGCACCTAGGTTGATTCCATGTATTTGCTATTGTGAGTAGTGCTGCTGTCAACATATGAGTGCATGTGTCTTTTCGGTAGAACAATTTATTTTCCTTTGGGTATATACCTAGTAAGGGGATGCTGGGTTGAATAGTATAGTGAGATATCATCTCACACAAGTCAGAATGGCTATTACTAAAAAGTCAAAAACTAATAGATGCTGGCGAGACTGCAGAGAAAAGGGAATGCCTATGCACTGTTGGTGGGAATTTAAATTAGTTCAGCCACTATGGAGAGCAGTTTAGTGATTTCTCTAAGAAGTAAGAGTTGAAGTGCTTTTTAATTTTTGTCTTCAGGGAGGTACTTGGGACAATTTTTTTTAAGTAAAATCTTAAAGGTTAACTATTCAGAAAAATCTGAACATAGTCTATAGTCAACATTACTGAAACTGATTTTGATTTAGCCAGCTGCAGGCTACTAGACACTAGTTCACATGTTTCTTTCTTCATAAGGCCTTCCTTAAGTCCTGTGTCTATATAAAATCCTGACCTTTTTCAGTTACAAAACCCTACACTTTACTTCATCTATCTTAATAATTACTTTACTTATATTTGTACATTGCAAAACAATGTTTCTGTCAATGAAGGACCCCATATACAACGGTGCTCCCTAAGATGATAGTACTGGATTTTTCCTGTACTTTTTATATGTCTAAATTTGTTTAGATACACAAACACTTACCATTGTGTTACAATTATGTACAGTATCCAGTATAATAATATGCTGTATAGGTTTGTCACCTAGTAGCAATAGTCTATACTATATAGCCTAGTTATATAGCAGACTATACCATCTAGGTCTGTGTAAGTACACTCTGTAATGTTCACACAATAACAAAATTGCCTAACAATGCATTTCTCAGAATGTGTCTTCATCACTAAACAAAGCATGACTATATGGTGATTTATGTGACTTTATGATGCTCCCTCAATAATTTCATAAGGGTGTATCATTTTTCTTCATTGATTTTCAGCACCTGGCAAAATGTCTCTCAGAGTAGCTATTAACTGAATAATAATTCTTGAAGAAATGAATGACCAGAAACAAATGACTATAGAAAGTGTTTGGAGGTGTGTAGTAAAAATGTGGCCTTGCCCAAAGAAAATTTTTGCCCTTGCCCATGGCTTTTGGGAGGTACTATATGTCATGCCTGATAGGAATGTCTATTTAAGGCAGGGGCTGGCCACTCTAGAAAAACTAATCATGTAATTTAAGGTGGAAACTTTGGATCTTGTGGTATCAGTGGACCTGGAGATTGAGTTCCAGAATGTGGACAATTTGTCATGACTCTGTAACAAAGTCACACAAAAAATTAGGACACTAAAGCTCATCATAAGCTCAGGCGAGCTTCCTTGATTGGCAATACTCTACATACTGACACACATTGATGCTGGGAGGCTCAGCATCATAGGGGAGGACAACAGAAGCTTCTAATTTGGAGCCCTCCCAGACATTCCTGTGCATCTTTTCCTTTGCTGGATTTTAATCTGTAGCCTTTCTCTGTAATAAACTGTAAGTGAGGCCAGGCGTGGTGGCTCACGCCTGTAATACCAGCACTTTGGGAGGCCGAGGTGGGTGGATCACCTGAGGTCAGGAGTTCAAGACCAGCCTGGCCAACATGGTGAAACCCTGTCTCTACTAAAAACACAAAAATTATCCAGGTGTGGTGGTGGTGCCTGTAATCCCAGCTACTTGGGAGGCTGAAGCAGGAGAATCTCTTGAACCTGACAGGCAGAGGTTGCAGTGAGCCAAGATCATGCCATTCCACTCCAGCCTGGGTGACAAGAGCAAAACTCCATCTTAAAAAAAAAAAAAAAAAACCCACAAAAACAAAACAAGCCTGTAACCATGAGTATAATACCTTGCAGTATGTTCTGTCAGTCCATATAGTAAATTATTGACATGGGAACTGCTTTGGAAAACTACCCCCAAACTTGCAGCTAGTGTCAGAAGTGAAGATGGTCTTATGGAGAACAGTGTCCTCGAACTTCAGTATGGCTAACTCTAGATAAGAGGCCTAAATGATTCTTGCAGTGTAATGAGCCGAGCAGATAGTATCACATTCTTAGGATGTGATAAGGCCTTCAGACAAATATATGTTTTACCTCTGGGAAAGTAACTTAACCTCTCAGGTTTCAATTTCACTATCTGCAATTTTATAATAACAATTGAGGACCTCATTTCTTTTGAAGAATATATGTTAAGAATTTTTGATTGTTGTAATGGTAACATATCTAGGTACTATATGATAAGAAACACAATGATACTACTTATTTTAAATGTGTGACCATCTCTAAGAACTGGTACTTGATATTAAATGATTTTATTCACTTTTACATAGCTTTGTATTATAATTTAGATAGTTTCTTCTGTGGTCAGAGCAAAATTTCCATTTAGTCATGAATTTAGTCAATTTAAATATTGCAGAGTCATAAGTCATTGAAATATCACCATCTTCCTTTCTTCTAGCAGTAATTGTACACGGACTGTCTCAGAAAAGGATGAATTCTATTTTTAAATATTCACAAATAAATTCAATTCTAAAACTTACTTCAAAAAACTCATTCTAAAATTAATCACACTTTAACATCCTTTTGTATGTTACCTAATTAGTAAAATGAAAATAAGAATAATACTTATATCAAGTGGCTGAATCAGAATGTTTAATTGATGGGCCCAGGACTTCAATATTTTTTTAAAAGCTCACAGGTAATCTTAGTGTGTAGCATTGTTGTTATGGATGGAATGTTTGTGTCCAGCCAAATTTCATATGTTGAAATCCTAACCTCCAATATGATGGCATTAGGACATGAGTCCTTTGGGGGATAATTTATGTCTTGAGGGTGAAGCTCCCATAAATGGGATTAATTCCCTTGTAAAAGAGACCCCAGAGAGCTCTCTTTATCCGTCTTTCTGACACATGAAGATACAACAAGAAGTCAGCAGTCTACAGTCCAGAAGGGGCCCCACACAATAATCCAATTATGCTAGCACTCTGATCTTCGACTTCCAGGCTTCAGAACTAAGCAAAATAAATATCTGTTGAATATGAGCTATGCAGTCTATGGTACTCTGTGATATCAGCTAAAACTGACTAAGACAACTGCTTTGGAGGTACACAAAGATTGAGGGAATCCCAAAGTCATTTGAGCACCATTATATAAATTTTAAAATTTTAACCCTCGATTCATAGTCAATTGAGGTTAAGTTTTGGGTTGAGCATTGGATATAAGTACAGAAAAGCACCCCTGAGAGCACTTGTTATGGAAAACAGTAGGCCTGGAAAGTTAAATATGGAAATGGATTATAACTAGGTAAACCTAAACTAATCTGAAATGGTTTGGATCAGTGTCCTCAACCAAATCTTAGGTCAAATTGATAGCCTCAATGTTGAAGGTGAGCTTCGTGGCTGATTATATCATTGGGGTGGTTTCTCATGGTTTAACAACATCCCCCTTGGTGCTATCATCCCTAAAGTAAGTTCTTATGAGATTTGCTTGTTTCAGAGTATGCAGCATTCCCCCGCCCCTCTCGCTCTTGCTCTGGCTGTGTAGGACGTGCATGCTTCACCTTTGCTTCCACCATGATTGTGAGTTTCCTGAGGCCTCCTCAGAATCAGAAGCCGCTATGCTTTCTGTACAGCCTGCAGAATCGTGAGCCAATTAAACCTCTTTTCTGTATAAATTACCCAGCTTCAGATGTTTCTTTATAGCAGTGTTGTTTCTTTATAGAGTCCTCAGGTGTTGAGAGAATGAACAGTGTTATATGATGTCTGGAAAAAGAATATTCTACTGGGAGGAAGAATAATAAATATAAAATAAGAATATTAGAGAGAATAATAAAAAGAAGTCAGAGAGGAAGAATGTTTCAATATTTATTATTGTCCAAATGAAAAAGATAATGGGTCTGGGAAACATTGGTAGAAGCAGGAGATATATTATGTTGTGGGGTATGGAGTTTTACATGACTTGGAAGATATTTTCCTTAAAATTTTTCATACTTTACCTATTAGTCCACATTCTCTAGGGTAATTTTATCATTTATTTGACTTCCCAGAAATTCTAACATTACTCCATGTGTGTGAGAGATGCATGAGTATTCGGGACATTGGGAATAAATATTTTATCTAAATAATGAAGTGGCTTCTAGTTTTATATCTTGATCTCTTACAAGTTATGGCTATGGTAATACAGTGAATATGTTGTTTTAAACCTGAGGGCTATACTCAGAGTGCTGATGATATCAAGATATTATAATGTCAATATATTCTATTGTTTAGTGTGGAAAACTAGCCTTAGCCTCCCAAACCTCTCAGATCACATACAATAAGAGAAAACTAGCTGAAATCTAATTCTATTCCATAGTAAATAGAGTGTCTCAATGTGTCTCCAAGTCTATATAGCATCCCTATGAGGTACACTTTCTTATTCTCATTTTCCAAATAGAAAAGCTGAGACCTACAGAAATTAAATGACTTGCCACTACCAGAATATAAGTGGCCAATTTGGACCTGTAATAGCTCATTTCCTGAACAGTGCTATTGCCCCAGGAGTATATACTGGGTATCCATCACATACATACGTTGACATGGATGCTTGATTGTGTCAACATATCTTACAGTTTGCAGACATGGAAGGAGCCGGCAGCATTTTCACTAACATCCACCCTCCTCAGTGGCTTAATCATTAGGCCTCTGGTTAAAGAATAAATCAGTAGCCTAAAAAAACAGACCATTGTGGGTGAAAAATTATTAAGATATTATGTGCTTGAGGACTGATATATTGACATTAGTCCCTTAGCTTGTGCTAATTCACTTGGCTGAGTATAAAAGGGAGAAAACAATAACAACAATTAAACAAAACAAAAAATTATATATACATATATACAATAAAAACAAACAAGTAAGCCACAAGGTATTTCTGGAAAAAATTCAAGAGCTTGAAAATAAATAAAGGCATAAATATCTCCCAGGAAAATTAACTGTAGCATTCTCTTACAGATAGGAGAGAAAACAATGTTTACCAGTTGCAGTTTTGTCATTCTGTTAAATATCTGGTATTTGAAATAGAATAAATATATAAATAATAGCAATACAAAAGACTAGTTAACTCAAAAGGAAACTTTATTTATAAAGTTTAATGCAACTAGAACATTTGGCCAGGTGTGCAAAGCCAGTACATTATGCTAAATATTTTATTTTCTCAAGTCTACCCAAACAGTATTCCTTGTTCTTCAGATTATGTAATTAATATCCTCCAGAGTTATAACTCTTTTGTTCCTAACTGCTCACTTCAGTTACAGAAGATGCACCATTCTTAACTATATTGAAAATATAGAACAGCCCTATTGTTATTGGATAGCAGTCTCCTTCCTTTTTAATTTCTCATGTTGACCTATGCCATTTGTTTCATAAAAACAAAATAATACAAGCAAAACCTGTAAAGCTAACTAACTGTACTATACATTCTTAATTGTATTGAAAATATAGAACAGCCCTATTGTTACAAGATGGCAGTCTTCTTCCTTTTTCTCATGTTGATCTATGCAATTTGTTTCATAAAAAACAAATAATACAAGTGAAATCTGTAAAGCTAATTGTACCATATATCAATGTCAAATCTATTTGGATAGATTATATTTCTTAGATGATCATGTTATACATGATTTAAGTACTTCAGACAAAATAGCTTTAGCCCTATCTAGAAAACGACTAGTTTATTAATTAATAAAGAAATCCTTGTGCAATATCAATAATTAAATTTTTACCACTCACTTTTTATTGAAGAAGGATAAAGAGGAGATTGACATATAATGAATACTAGCAATTACGTGAATGGTCTTAAGTACCTGGTAATGAAAATGCCACCAACAGATGTTTGTGAAAGACAAACAAGCTTTAACATGTTCCATATTCAATTTAATACCCATATGCTAATTGGAGATCTATCTTTTTAAGAACAAATGACTCAAAAGCAGATTTATATATGTATATTTAATTTTAATTGATAATATGTGTACATATTTATGGAGTATTGTGATATTTTGTTACATGCATAGAATGGTTAATGATGAAGTCAGGCTATTTAGCGTATCCATCACCTTGAGTACCTATCATTTCTATGTGTTGAGAACATTTCAAGTCCTCTCTTCTAGTTATTTTGAAATACACAATACATTGTTGTAAACTGTATTCACTCTACTCTGCTGCCAAATATTAGAACTACTCCTACATATCTGTACAGTTGTATCCATTAGTCAATGTCTCTTCATGGTAATCACCAACCCCACACACCTTTCCTTACCAGTCTCTGGTATCTATAATTCTACTTTCTGCCTCCATGAAATAAAAATTTTTAGCTTTCACATATGAGTGAACCTATGCAATATTTTTATTTCAGTGCCAGGTTTATTTTACTTAACATAATGATCTCCAATTCTATCTATGTTGTAGCAAATGACAGGATTTCATTTTTTATGGCCAAAGATACACCCCATTTTCTTTATCCATTCATCCAATGATAGACACTTAAGTTGATTACACAGCCTTGCTATTGTTAATAGTACTGCAGTAAATACAGAGATGCAGGTATCCCTTTGATGTATTGATTTCTTTTCCTTTGGATAACCAAGAGTGGATTGCTGAATTGTATGGTAGTTCTAGTTTTAGTTTTTAAGCAAATCTCCATACTGTTTTCCATACTGGCTGTACTAATTTACATTTCCACCAACAATGTATGAGTTTTCTTTTCTCCACATGCTTACCAACATCTTTTATTATTTGTCTTTTTAATAATAACCATTCTAATTGGGGGAAAGATGACATCTCATTGTGGCTTTGATTTGCATTTCCCTGATGATTAGTGATGTTGAGCATTTTAAAAATATGTCTATTGGTCATTTCTATGTATTCTTTTGAGAAATATTTACTCATTTCCTTTACCTACTTTTTAATGGGATTATTTGTTTCTTCACTCTTGAGTTGTTTGAGTTCCTTGTATATTCTGGATATTAGTCCCTTGTTGGATGAATACTTCTCAAGTATTTTCTCCCATTGAACAGACTGTCATTTTACTCTGATGATTGTTTCCTTTACTGCACAGAAGCTTTTTCATTTAATATGTCCTGTGTACCTATTTTTATTTTTGTTACCTGTGATTTTGAGGTCTTAGTCATAAAATATTTGCCTAGATCAACGTATTGAAGTCTTACCGTTAAATTTTCTTCTAGTGATTTTATAATTTTAGGTCTTTTATAGTTTCATGTCTCTAAGACATATTGAATTGCTTTTTGTATATTGAGAAAGTAGGAGTCCAGTTTCATTCATTTTTTTTTTTTTTTTTTTTTTGAGATGGAGTCTCGTTCTGCCACCCAGGCTCAAGTACAGTGGCGTGATCTTGGCTCACTGCAACCTCCACCTCCTGGGTTCAAGCAATTATCCTGCCTCAGCCTACTGAGCAGCTGGTATTACAGGCATGCACCACCACACCCAGCTATTGTTTTTTTCTATATATATATATTTTTTATTTTTAGTAGAGATGGGGTTTCACCATGTTGGCCAGTCTGGTCTCGAACTCCTGACCTCAAGTGATCCACCCGCCTCAGCCTCCCAAAGTTCTGGGATGACAGGCATGAGGCACCACACCCAGTCCAGTTTCATTCTTTTGAATATGAATACTCAGTTTTCCCAGCACTATTTATTCAAAAGGGTATCTTTCCTTGATGTTTCTTCTTAGCACCTTTGTCAAAAATCAGTTAGCTGTAAATACATTAATTTATTTCTGGGTTCTCTATTCTGTTCCATTGGTCTATGTGTTTTCGTACCAATATTACGCTATGTTAATTACTATATTTTGAAGACAGGTAATGTGATGCCTACATTTTTGTTCTTTTTGCTTAGGATTGCTTTGTATTTTGTTGTTATTGTTGTTCTATACAAATTTTATAATTGCTTTTTCTATTTTTGTGAAAAATGACATTGGCATTTTGATAGGGATTACAATGAATCTGTAGACTGCTTTGGGTAGAATGGTCATTTTAAAAATATTAATTCTTCCAATCCATGAAAGTGGGATATTTTTGCATTTCTTTTATCCTCCCCAATTACTTTCATCAACGTTTTGTAGTTTTCCTTGTAGAGGTCTCTCACCTCCCTGGTTAAAGGTATTCCTAGGTGTTTTATTTTATTTTATTTTTGTAGCTATTGTAAATGGGATTGCCTTCTTGATTCCTTTATCATCTAGTTCATTATTGGAATACAGAATTGTTATTGATTTTTTATGTTGATTTTATATCCTATGAATTTACTGGATTTGTTTGTCAGTTATAAGATAGTTTTTGGTGGAATCTTTAGTTTTTGTCTAGACATAAGATCATACCATCAGCAAAGAGGGAGAATTTGAATTCCCGTTTTTCCAGTTTGGATGCCTTTTCTTTCTCTTGCCCTATTGCCCTTGCTAGGACTTCCAGTAGTATGTCGAATAACAGTGGTGAACGTGGACATATTTGTCTGGCTTCAGTTTTTAAAGGAAAGGCTTTAAACTTTTCCACATTCAGTCTGACGTTAGCTCTGGGTTTGTTATACACAGTCTCTATTATGTTGATGTATGTTCCTTCTATGCCTAGCTTGTTGAGAGTGTTTATCATGAAGAAATCTTGAATTTTATCAATTTCTTCCTGCATCTATTTAGATAATCACATAGTTTTTGCCCTTCATTCTGAGAATGTGATGTATGACATTTCTTGATTTGCATATGTTGAACCATCCTTGCATAATTGAGATAAATCCCACTTGATCATAGTGATCAACATCTTTTTGATATACTTTTGAATGTGATTTGCTAGTATTTAGTAGAGGAATTTTGTGTCTATGTTTTTTAGGAATTGGCCTGTAGTTTTCTTTCCTTGTTGTATCTTTGTCTGGTTTTGGTATCAGGGTAGTGCTAGCTTCGAAAAATAAGTTATGGAAAATTACCTACTCTTCAATTATTTAGAATAGTTTGAGGAAAATCAGTGTGAACTATTAAAATTACCTACTCTTCAATTATTTAGAATAGTTTGAGGAAAATTGGTACTCATTCTTCTTTATATGTCTGGCAGAATTTGGCAAGTGAGGCCATTGAGTAATGGACTTTTTTTAATTACTGTTTCAATTTTATCACTCATTATTGGGTTCTTCAGGTTTTCTCTTTCTTCTTAATTTAATCTTGGTAGATTGATATATCCAGGAATTTATCAATATTCTTTAGGTTTTCCAATTTGGTAGTATGTCATTGTTTATAATAGTTTTTGATGATCTTTTGTATTTCTGTGATATCAGTTGTAATGTTTCCTCTTTGATATCTGATTTTGTTAATTTGGGTCTTCCCTCTTTTTCTTCATTAGACTAGTTAGCAGTTTATCAATTTTGCTGATCTTTTCAAATAACTAACCTTTCACTTTGTAGACAGTTTGCATTTTCTTAGTTTTTATTTCATTCTGTTCTGCTCCAGTCTTTTTTCTTCTAATTTTGGGTTTGGCTTGCTCTTGCTTTTCTTTTTCCTTGAAGTCCATTTTTACATAATTTATTTGAAATCTTTCTTTTCTGATGTAGGCATTTATTGCTATAAACTTCTCTATTCACAATACTTTTGCTATATTCCATAGGTTCTGGTATTATGTATCAATTTTCATTTAAGAAATTTTTTTATTTTCTCCTTAATTTTGCCTTTGACCCAGGGGTCACTCAGAAGCATGTTGTTTAATTTCAATATATTTGTTCAGTTTCCAAAGTTCCACTTGTTAATTTCTAGTTTTACTCCATTTTGGTCAGAGAAGATACTTGACATCATTTATATTTTTATAAATTTGTTGAGACTTCTTTTGTGTTTCAAAATATGGTCTATCTGGAGAATGTTCCACATGCTGACGGGGAAAATGTATATTTTGTAGCTGTTGGATAAAAATGTTCTATAAATATCTGCTAGGTCCATTTGGTCTAATGTGCAGTTTAAATCCTTTTTTTTTTCTGTTGGTTAATTTTAATCTAGATGATCTGTCTCATGCTGAGAGTAGGGTGTTGAAATCCCCAAATATTATTGTACTGGAGTTTATCTCTGCCTTTAGATTTAATAATATTTGCTTTATATATCTGGGTACTCCAGTGTTGGGTGCATATAGGTTTAGAATATTTATATATTTTTGCTGAATTGATCCATTTATCATTATATAATGAGCTTCTTTGTCTCTTTTTACTGTTTTGGACTCAAAGTCTGTATTATCTGGTATGTGTAGCTATTCCTGCTTGGTTTTGGTTTCTATTTACATGGAATATCCTTTTTTTATCCGTTTACTTTCAGTCTGTATAACTTTACAGATGAGATGAGTCTCTTATAGGCAGCATAAAGTTGAGTCATGTTTTTTTATTTTTCATTCATTCAGCTAGTCTATTTCTTTTCAGTGGAAAGTTTAACCTGTTTACATCCAAGGTTAGGATGCAGTTGTTAGTGGAGGCTGTTGTGAAGTTTTTCTGGGGTAGGAATGCATGCCAGGTGGGTCACTCCTTGGGCCCCAGTGATGACAGTGGTGGGCTGAGCATGCTTGTGCTTGAGAGCCAGAGCAGCATATGGTGGCACTGGTGTTATTATGTCCATATGGGAAGATTCTTGGGCCTTCAGATAGGTTGTCGAGGTGCTGGCATTGGCAGCAGTGGGCCAAGTGTGTGGGCAGGTTCTTACGGTCTTGGACAGCAGGTGTGGCACGGGTGATGGCAGTACCAGTGGCAGGCCCACTCTCTGGCTCCCAAGTGCTTTGTAATGGTGTTGGTGGTGGCTGTGATGGGCTGGGTAAGCCAGTCTTCAGGCCTGAAGGTGGCATGTGCAGGTGAGTTGCAGCAGGTTGGATGTGCTACCTTATGGTCTTCAGAAGAAGTGCTTATGTGCCAACACTGGTGGAAGAGATTGAGTGATCTCCAGGCCCCTGCATGGCATGTTCAGGCACTGGTTCAGGAATCAGTATATAACCCCACCAGAGTTAATGAGATGCAAATGTAAGTCACTGCAAAATAGGACTTTCACCTGAGAAGACTTGAAATTTGGGCTACTGGTGACTGAGAATAAAGCCAATATAGAAACAAATAAACAACAACAACAAAACCTCAGAGATAAATTGGGTCTTGATGGCATCTTTTGAGTTCAAACCCATCCCTGGATTTATTATAATGTAAGCCAAAAATTTATCTTTCATGCTCATAACAGTTTGAATTGTGTTTTCTTACAAACAAGTCATTTCTAGCTGATAACAAAAGTTATCAGAAAAACTATAGGTATATCATGAATTTTCAACTCACAAACTGTCCTGAGCATTTATCTTTGTCAACATCTACTATAATTTTTCATTTTCAGTAAACACAATGGATTCAGGGATTTTATACTTTAAATGTTCAGACTACCTAGTACTGCCTATTATAAAAATCAAAATATTTTTCTGAGCAGTTAATTGCGTTACCATGTTTTGTTGATATTATATTAATAAAAAAATAGATTTGGCACACAAAGTGTACAGTTTTTAGATATGTAGAGTATCCTTCTATTTTCACACACAGCTTCATAAACATACAACATGTTGGATATCAAAATGATTGTTGCTTTTTAATAATTACCATCATCCCATATATTTCCTTCACTTAGGTCCATACACTAACATGTTACCAAATAGCCTTTTTGTCCCATAAAAAACTAAAATAAATTTTATTTATTACATAGTATTTGCAAGAAACTTTCACATCTCATATAATTTAAATTTAAAGATAATATTTGATATTATAATTTGATGATATCAAATAATAAGGATTAAAAAGAGCAGGTGTTAACAACTGAAATATAAATCCAGGTAATCCAGCTTCAAATTGAGGATTTGTTTTGTAGCACATTGAATTTTAGCACATGGTTTGGCAAATCTTGTAAAATCTTGGTTGGAACCACATGTGAGATACTGCCAGGATTCTCTGTTTATTTTCATTGCCTCTGCCTTGTTGGCTTGCTTATTTTCAACTATAGATCAGATTGAAAATTTGTTTTGTAGCACAATGAATTTTAGTACAAGTTTTGGCAAATCTTGAAATTTTAGTTGGAAATAAAGACATCAATAACTTGTCTTTGTTCCACTTTTAAAAATTCTACAAAAGAATTCTTATGGGCTTGGTTTTGATAATTTTCTGTCTTCTCCTTCCGTGAACGGAAAAGAGATTGAAGTGGATATGTTTGATGCTATGGTCTGAATACTGACATTGACCAAAAATTCATATGTTGAAACCTAATACCCAATGTAATAGTGTTAAGAGGTAAGGCCCTAGGGAAGATATTAAGCCATGAGGATTCCACTCTCATGAATGGGATTAGTGGCCTTATGAAGAGACTTATTCTCTTGCCCCATTTTGCTATGTGAGGAGGCAGAAAGAAGACCTTAACTATGAAAGATGATAGTTCTAGAAAACCAAACACCTCATATTCTCACTCATAAGTAGGAGTTGAACATTGAGAACACATGGACACAGAGAGGGGAGCAACATACACCAGGGCCAGTTCGGGGGTAGAGGGTGAGGGGAGGGAACTTGGGAGGATGGGTCAATAGGTGCGGCAAACCACCAAGGCACAGGTATAACTATGTAACAAACCTGCACGTTCTGCACATGGATCCCACCCCACCCCACTTTTTTTTATAAGAAATTCAAAAAAGACATCAATTGCAAAATGAGAGAGAGAGAAAAAAGAAAGATAAGTGTTCCTTAAATGTCAAATCTGCTGTCACTTGAATCTGAGATTTCCCAGCTTCCAAAAATGTGAGCAATAAATTTCTGTCATTTATAAATTACCCAGTCTAAGACATTTTGTTAAGGCAGCCTTGAGGGACTAAGGCAATTGGTAGAGAGAGTACCTTTCCAAAAGAAAGGGGATAATGGAAACTTTTTAAAGAATATTGTATGTATAGGTAGACAAACAACTAAGTACTATAGTCAGTTTACTACAACATAAAAGATTGTACAGAAGAAATGAGACCTCAAGAAAGAAAACCCAAGCATTTCACTCTATTTTCATGTCTTATTTTAGCAATTTTAGTAGAGAAATTAAGTTCTATTATAAACTCAATCTTTGGTTTAAACCTTGGTTTAAGTAGAGTTTTATTAAAACTGTGTGATCTTATACAAAGTCCTTGACATCTCTGGGCTTCATTTTGTCCCCTTGCAAAATAAAAATAATATTAGTGCATACCTCGTAGGGTTATTATAATGATGAACTACAATAATCTGTTTAAAACATCTAACATAGTACCTAGCACAGAGTGATATATACCTTCCATTCATCATTTTATGTGATGATTGGAGAGATCAAGTTCTAACAAGTGACACCTAGAGATCATAACCTAATTAAAAATGAAGATGAGAAACCAGTATATAACACACTTTCTCTCTTTTCTCTCTCTCTCTCAGACACAAATACACATATGCACATACACGGACACACACAAAGAAGACTGAAGGAAGAATAAAGAATAGGCTTTTAAATTTCATGAACAGAACCAATACACTTTGTTAAAGTGGCTTAAATAAAATAAGACGATGCAAATTAGAAAGAGATATATCAAAGATTCGTGAAATACATTGATGCCCATGATTGTGTAAAAGACACAGACAAGTTTGAAATTTGGAAGCAAAAGAAAGTAAAATCTTATTACTACTTCCAGCCTTTTCTCTATCTAATCCTTTTATTTTCACCTCCTTTGGGATGAAAACATAATGTTGCTCTCCATTTTGTTACTTACTAGAAAATGTGACATCATTAAGAAGCATAAATGAGACTTGGTCATCCTTTTTCTGATTCACAGCCCTAAAGTTAAAGTTATTTTATTTTTATCCTTCTATCTTGCCAGCATTTCTCCTCCAAAAAGCATTGACCTGCATATAGGAATTCTTGGCTCTAATCATATTGTTTAAGTCCATCTTCTAAGTGGGCCATGTGTTTATACATACAAAATGAAAGATCTTGACTAATTTGTCTCTAATAGAGAACTCTAGTAGATGTATATTTTTGGTACCTCTGTGGCACAGAGAGGCCACACATTTTGCTTTTCTTTGTTGTAATCTTTTTTCTCTAGAATGTAACCTTGAATGATGCCAACCTGAATTCTACACCTTCAAATGAATCCCCTCTAAAGATTACTATCCCTCTCCTTCCACTATCTTACAGTTATTGAAGATACAGTAGGATACTGGGGAAACTGGGTTCTTTGGTGGTTTTACCAACATTTTATTAGTGAGCTGGGTTTTTTTCAAGGCTCCACTATAGGCTGAATAGTTGTTGCTGTGGTTTAAATGGGTCCTCCAAACTTCACATACTGGAAACTTAATCATATGCAATTAGACCTCAATTTCATATGCTGTCAGTAGGTGGGGTATTTGAGAGGTAATAGAGGTAGGTTGTCATCAGGGTAGGTCCCCCATGATGGGACTGTTGGCTTTGTAAGAAGAGGAAGAGAGATCTGAGTTGACAGGCATCATCTTGCCCTCTTGTCATGTGATACCTTCCACTATTATGATACAGCAAGGCCTTCACCAGATGTCAGTGCTATGCTCATGAACTTCCCAGACTCCAGAATTGTAAGAATAAATTTATTTTCTTTATAATTACTCAGTATATGGTATTCAGTTATAGCAACAGAAAACAGATTTATGCAGGCAATTGGTACTGAGAATTGGAGCTGTTGCTATGGGAAATACCCCAAAATGTGGAAGCTCCTTTGGGACAGGGTAATGGGCAGAGGCTGGAAAAGTTTGGAGGAGCAGGCTAGATGAAGCTTGCTTTGCCATGAATGGAGCATTATGGGAGATTTTGGTGAAAAGAGGAGAAATGTAGGGAAAATCTGAATCTTCTTAGAGATTACAGTTGACCCTTGAATAATACTGGTTTGAAATGCATGGGTTTACCATACAAAGATTTTGTTTTCGATAAAAGTTACACAAAGTGTGCCTGGCTGTCCTGCTGCTTCCTTTTCTACCTCCTCCACCTCCTTTACTTCCTCTACCTCTATTTCCCCCAAGACGGTAAGGCCGACCCCTCATTTTCCTCCTCTTCTTCAACCTACTCAATGTGAAGATGACAAGGATGAAAAACTTTATGATGATCCACTTCTACTTAATAATGTTAAACATATTTTTTCTTAATTATGATTTTTAATAACATTTTCTTTATCTTACTTTATTGTAAGAATACAGTATATGACACATATAACATACGAAATATGTGTTAATTTACTGTTTATGTGATTGGTATGGTTTCTGGGCAACAATAGGCTGTTAACAGTTAAGTTTTGGGGGAGCTCAAAGTTATACATGGATTTTTTACTGTGTGGAGATGGTTAAAAGGTCAACGGTACTTAAGTGGTTGTGACAAGAATACTTGTCTATGGTATTCTGTTATAGCAACAAAAAATTGACTAAGTTGCATTAGTAAGTATTTTTCTGAATGTAATCCATTTATTTATGTGTAGAATTTTGAAGATTATTGATAATTCTTTTTTTTTTTGTGATGAAGTCTTGCTCTGCCTCCCAGTCTGGAGTACAGTGGCACAATCTCCACTCACTGCAGCCTCTGCCTCCCAGGTTCAAGAGATTCTCTTGCCTCAGCCTCCTGAGTAGCTGAGATTACAGGTGCCTGCCTGGATAATTTTTGTATTTTTAGTAGAGACGGGGTTTCACCATGTTGGTCAGGCTGGTCTCGAACTCCTGACCTCAGTTGATCCACCCACCTCGACCTCCCAAAGTGCTGGGATTATAGGCATGAGCCACCACACCTGGACTGCTAATTCTTTTATTTAAAAACTTTCTGCTCTAGGTAACAGCTAAGTGAAGACATCTTTTTATAAGGTATGTGTGCATATAAACACACACATCCTCCCCACCCCGACACACAGTAGAGTTTAATCATTAAAATAGATTAAAATCCAAGAAGCTTACACTATTTCTTTTTTAAATTAAAGACTTGGCCTCATTCTTTATGATTAACCAAGATAGAAGCACTTCTATTATTGTAGAGCAGTAATACTAGATGAATCTCTCACTGTGACATTGTTTTCCTCTTGATGGTGTAATTCCTTTGAATCTAAAATGTGACACATTTAAGAGTTCTGCCACATGCATACTCCTTAGAAATTTTTAGTTCCTCAAATTTTGTAAAAAAAGAAAAAAAAACACTTGAAGGAAAAATAATTTAAAATATATCAAAAACAATGAAAGCTTTTTATGTGAGGGGTGCAAAATAAAATGGAGACATTTTTAGAATCATCAAAAAACAGTTTTCTGTTTTGTATCTTTGAAGGTAGGCAGTGCTTACTTGTCTGAGGGAATTTAAGCCAAAACCAAAAAAGCCAACATACAGTCTTTTTTTCCCTCTCTTTTACTCTTTCCTGGATTCTGAATAATATTGGAATGAGAAAACATCAGAACTTAAAATTAACTGGCAGCTTAAACTTCCAAAGGTGGTACTTAAGGGAGAATTCACTCCTAGTAAATACATTAGTGATCACTGCAAGTGGGTGATTATTTTGGAAACAGAAATGTATATAAAAATAACTTGGGGAACTGAGGTTTTAGGGACACTATTTGAGCAACTTCCCTGAATCTCTCCTGCCTTTACATTTCTCCATCACTAGTTTCAGTGTCTTCCTTAATCCACAGATTTCACTCTTTTTTTTTTTTCAAACACATCTATTCTTTTCTCACCATGCTTTTTTCCTCTTTATTGTCTCTCCAATTCTTTATGTGTCAGTTCTAAATTAATTCTGCTTTTAACTTTCTATTAGGACATTTAGTTAGATTCTTGGAAAATTTTTACTTCTTTTTTGGGCGGGCATTAGAAAAAAACACACACTGATACTTTTCTCAACATTTTTATGTTTTTATCTTGGCCTTAGTTGAAAACAAAAGCTTCTGGACAGTGATGATGATCTATTCTGTATCGACATTCCAAATAAAAATATACTCGCATGCCTCGTCAGCAAATTAGGGTTTAAAGATATGTCAGAGGCTACCTGGTATAGCTCTGTCTTCAGGTAAGACTTTCCCTAAGACTTTTGTCCTTTGAATATAAGATATTGTTTTTATAGATCTCTAAAGGGATACATTCCCTCTTAAACATAAATGCAATTACATAATTTCATAGTCACCACTCTTCCATATAATTTTAAATGAATTACATTTTGTTTAAGATGTGTAATTTAGAAATATTTTTGAGTCTCCTAGGGAATGTATAGTTAAAAGAAAATTGAAGATTTGGTTTTTCTTATAAAGCAACTAAACTGAGATTAAACGGGCTTAAAAATTGACCTACGGCCGGGCGCGGTGGCTCACGCCTGTAATCCCAGCACTCTGGGAGGTGGAGGTGGGCGGGTCACCAGGTCAGGAGATCGAGACCATCTTGGCTAACATGATGAAACCCCGTTTCTACTAAAAATAGAAAAAATTAGCCGGGCGTGGTGGCGGGCACTGGTAGTCCCACCTAATCGGGAGGCTGAGGCAGGAGAATGGCGTGAACCCGGGAGACAGAGTTTGCAGTGAGCCGAGATGGCGCCACTGCACTCCAGCCTGGGCGACAGAGTGAGACCCCGTCTCAAAAGAAAAAAAAAAAAATTTATATATATATATATATGTGTATATATATATATACACATATATATACATATATATACATATATACATACATATATACATATATACATATATATATATATACACATATATATATGTATAGGCCTACAAGAAATCTTCAATAAATTTAAGCCTCTCCCCGCAAGAGCCTAAGAATTAAACATTACATATTCTCGAATGAAAAAGAAGTGGTGAAAAATGTTACCCATCTCCTTACAGTATCTAACCAAACAGGTAGGGACTATTACGGTACTCTCACAAAGAGCTTTGAACTTAAAACTGAAGGAACACAAATCTAGTCTTAACTGTGACATTTACTTGATCAGAGATAGAAACTTTTTGAATGTTGAATTATACAAATATGAAAAATGAACATAATAAAGTCTACCAATCAAGATTGTTGTGAGAATTAAAGAATGATTGTAATTTTTTTTTTTTTTTTTTTTTTTTTGAGACTGAGTCTTGCTCTGTCGCCCAGGGTGGAGTGCAGTGGCGCGATCTTGGCTCACTGCAAGCTCTGCCTCTCGGGTTCATCCCATTCTCCTGCCTCAGCCTCCCAAGTAGCTGGGACTACAAACGCCTGCCACCATGCCTGGCTAATTTTTTGTATTTTTAGTAGAGACAGGGTTTCACCGTGTTAGCCAGGATGGTCTCTGTCTCCTGACCTCGTGATCCACCTGCCTTAGCCTCCCAAAGTGCTGGGATTACAGGTGTGAGCCACCACGCCCGGCCGAATGATTGTATTTTATAAATGTATTTTTATGTATAAATTGTTATTATTATATATAATTAGCTATAAGTTCAATTGTTAGAAATGCTCTTTTAATTATTTCATCCAAAAGGAAATGATGTGATGAACTAACAGAAGATTCTCTGACTTTGATGATCATTCACATCTGATCAGAAGCTGAGTTCACTGGCCTGATACTTATCCTGCAGGAGACCTTTCAGAATTTTTTTTTGTTTTGTTTTAATTGCCTCTGGGATTACCTGATACTGCAAAACTCAGAAAATACCTCTGTAAAATGCAGAAAATCCTCTATCTTTAGTCTGGTCTTTTTTTTTTTTTTTTTTTTTTTTTTTTTTTTTTTAACATCTCTACATTAGTATCCACAGGCTTTATGGCTTTGTATTTTTTTCTATTTGTGACCAACATCTAATATCTATAAAGAGTTTTACTATAGGGCTCAATGTAACAAATTCTAAACGTATTCTACCATTTTTGTTTCTTTTCAGGGAATTTGAACAAGAGATCAGATTCATGGCAGAAGAATCACCTCCCAGGTTTTATTCTGCTTGAACCCCGTGGAAAGCTAATGATTTTGACATGAATCTTCTCCTGTCTTGGATAGCCTTATAAGATTCTTTTCCTTTTAAAGTAAAGTGCTTTTGATTACAGATGCCACGTATCCCACAGTACTAGCAATACATTTGTCTTTTCAAATTAAAAATGAAGCTTGAGGGCTTGATTGCCCTGTCATTTAACAACGTTATTGCAATGAGAAAGTTCCTCCTTTCACTATATACCATTTTCTGTCATGCTGAAACAAGAAAGCAATACACTTTTCTGCTCAGAGTTTTCAATATCCTTTTCATTTCCATTGTATCACTTTAAAAGAGAACAGCACCTTTGAAGAAATATTGTGTAAATAAAAGCATTTAAAAATGTAGCACCAAGAAAACAAAACAGAAAAGCCAAGGGCACAAAGGAGGTAGGGAAACTACCTCTTAGGGGCAATGATGACCAGTTTCTGTTTTATAAATCTCTTACTAGTCACTCAGTTGAGGAAAAAGTGCCACATATATGTCAAAAGAAGTTCTGAGCATTGAAGGGTACATAAAGAAAGAGAGGGAAATGAGCAAATGGGAAAAGATAATATATCCTCAGTAAGCAGAATCTGCACGCTGACTCGCATTAAGTTGACCATCTTTTGATGTGGCTTTCCCGCCATGGGGGGTGAGGTGGATAAGCACAGCCCCATAGTGTTACAGCTTCATAAATCTCTACTCATTTGCAATTCATTGCATTCCTAGGAAAACAGAGTTCACAGTTAAGTACTAGCCAGTTTTGCTTTGGGGATTAGCAGTATTTGTATTTGGCAAGGTACAATGATAACAAGTTTTATTAAACTATAATCTAGAAAGGTGATGCCACAAAAGGGAATTGTAGAGTTTATAAAGAGATGCCAAACTGGGAGCCTCCAAAGCTTTTCCTCTTGCACTGGGCATAATGTGGCAGGACATAGTAAGTATACAATCAATGTGTCTTGATTTGACACAATTGAATGAGGTTGCCACACTAAGCACTGAGACATTGTATCTTTAAATCATTTCATAAGCTCTAGACCTAAGAATTATTGCTATATTGGATAAACTTTGATTTTTAATAGTGTTTCTGTGTTAGTTGCCATAACAAAATACCACACACTGGGTATCTTAAAAAACAGAAATTTATTTTCTTACAGTTCCAGGTGTTGAAAGTTCAAGATCAATCAATGTGTCCGCTGGGTTGGCTTCTCCCAAGGTCTTGTCTTCCTTGGCTTGCAGATGGCTACCTTCAAGCTGTACCCTCTGTGTACACAACATTCTACCATCTCTTTGTTTTTTTGTAAGGATATCAGCCATATTGAATTAGGGTCCCACCCTTATAATCTCATTTAACCTTCATTACCACTTTGAAGACCCTAACTCCAAGTAGAGTCACATTAGGAGTTAGGACTTCAACATATGCTTTGGGGTTGAGGTGGGAGACACAATTTAGTGTATACCTATCTCCTTTGAATATAATCCATTCCAGATTTCCAAGAAGAATGATATATTGGAAAGAGGATTTACTTAGATGTCAGACAGAACAGGGTGTGGATTCTTGGTGCTCATTGATTATTTAGCTTGACCTTGGACCAGGTAACTTAAATCCATCTCTGTAAAAATTGGGTTATTAATAATTGTACAGAAAGTTTGTTGTGAAAATTTGGGAAGATCAAGAGTGAAAAATAACCCAGCACAGAGCTTGGTAGATGATAGTTGCAAAATTTTCCTTCTGAAGTTTATCTTTGAGGTCATGGGTTCTCAGCATTAACTCAAAGGCCCAGAGTGCCATTCTTGGTGGCATGAGTCTTGAACTGCTAAAAATTAACATTTTAATCAGTCTGAGCCATTCTTGCACTGTCAGTCCCTCATGCAGTCAAAACAACAAAACAAAACAAAACAACAAAAAAACAAAAACACCACTAAGGGTTAACTTCTGATGTCTTGTAAATGGAATCCTTGGCTCCTAAAATAGGATTTATGTTGAACAACTGGATTCATTCATTTTACTCTTGAAACATTCACTTGACAAACATTAGATTTGCTATGTGTTAGTCACCATACCAGGTACTACACTAACACAAAGATTTGTAACTTGTGCTGTTTCTGTCTCAATCAAGCTTTGCTCTGAAAATGTGCTATGGATACAAACATACACAAGAAACAAGAGAAGAAATTTTAAGGGTACAATATAGGGGTTAGAGATAAGAATTAGCTTATTTGTATGGATTAAAGAAGGATCAATTTTAGCTATATGAATTTGGGGTTGTTTTCCTAAAGAAGTCAAATTTAAAATAACTCTTTAAGTATGGAAATTTTTTAATAGAAAGTGGAGGAGAGGCTACTAAAAGAAGTAATAATTCTTCACTTTATCTCCTTTTAAAATATGTACAGAAATCTTCAGTTATCTCTCATGTGTCTCTTTCAGACTGGCTTTCTCACCTAGGTTTCAGGAAATGGAGATCATAATAATGGCTTGGAAGAGGAAAAGCAAAATGGCTGGAGGGGAAGTCTGCAGATGAAAATATGAATGTCACTTCAAAGGTTAGTTTAAGTAGACAAGAGCTCCTTTGAGGGAGGAACCCTGGGCTTGCCGAAATATTCTAAATTAACCATGAAGTCTCACCATCTTTATCTGCTGAGATTAGGTAACTTATTTTGCAAATATTTTATTTAAAAATCTACTGATAAAAGCCTACACTTTTAGACTTTATCAACTATACTAAAAGAGATGCCTATAGATTTTCACTCATTTAAAAACTAGATCACTGGGATAAATTTATATTCATTAGAATCCCGAGAGAACAGCTTTTCAATTTTACTATAGCCTTCTTCATAATGCAAAAACAGTTCAGCAAAATTAAATTCCTATAGTTTTCCTTGTTACCACAACAAGTCTTCCAATTGTAAGAGACCTAAAGTTGCTTTATGCCTTCCCCTAGATCAAATAATATTGGCACATATTTCAACAGAATGTTCTTAATTCTAGCAAATAAGGACTATATTGTGTATTTGAGTAAAGCAAACACATATTTGTAATATCGTCAACAAATACAGTTATTACTATTTTTTATTGTTTTTCATGAACTTGTCCTAAAATATCTTTACCCTTTGACCATTAATATTGCTATTTCAGGCACATAATGTAGTCTCTAAAAAGCAGTGTTTTTTTGTTGTTTTTTTTTTTTTTCCTACTCTTACTTGAAATGTTCCTCAGGACATGTCCAAGCAGCATCTGTAATTGTAAATTATTTCAGGTCAAGTGAGGCAAATCTGAATAAGCTGATATTTTGAGACAATTTTTTTTAAGCATTAACATATAGTATATCACATACACTGAAGTTGAGGTGAGGGTTGTATATTAGGGTGAGAAAATGCATGCTGCACAGCTATAATGTCAGACTGGGATTTCTCATGGAGGCTGCTTAGTAAGCAAAAGAAAATTCTTCCAAATTAATTTGACCTTGAATAAGAAAGCATATTTTTATCAATCAACTGTAACCAACATTGACTTTGGGGATTAGCCAAATTGTAGCATGCATATTCAGGTAGATAATACAGTTGTCAGAATAGTGTTCTTGATCCATAGTCTGTCACTGTGTATTGAATCGCAAGTTGCAGTGCTTTTCTCGTTTCAATTTTATAGAGCAACATGTAATACATGAGTCAAGTCTGTCTTGCTGGGTTACAAGAAAAGGAGAAGAACTGGAATACAAATTATACTGTAAATTAGAAAACCTAAATCCTAAGCAACCAGATTTTTAACCTTAATATGAAATAATATCTTTAAATCCAATGATATTCTGATATAGAGCAGTGCTTCTCAAACCTTAATGCTCATAAAAATTACCTGGGGATCTTGGGAAAAGATTGATTCTGATTCAGTAGATTTGGCATGGAGCCTGAAATACTACATTATTAGTAATTTCTCAGATGATGCCAATGTTTCTAGACTATGGAACACACCTTGAATAGCAAGGTTCTACAGCATAATTGTGTACAATATATTATGAGATTTCATAATTACCTTTATTATCCAAAGAAGTATAATGCCCCAAAATAGCCACAATAGTGTCTACTCATTTATTTTAAATTACTTTTATAATAATTATGCAAACCTTTCTTACTTCATTGTGATTAGTCTTATAATTAGATTTTCTCCTAGAATCCTTTTTCTTCATGAGTGCGCAGTAAGGAAATAAAATAACATCAAAGTGTACGATTACAAAAATTCCTGTAGATAACACAGAATATTTAGGGAATGTTTAGAATATTTTAAATTCCTCATTCTCAATCTTACGGAGTACGGGCGGTGAGGGGAGAAAAGAAAGCGTGCTGTAAAATTAGTGATGCTATGTACTATGCCTAGACACTGATGCGGAGGACCACTCCTACTTAATTTGGATTCTCCTCTTTCTGGGAGCTAGTGCATGCAATGATTGACAGTACATCTCACCTACAAAAACCTGCAGCCTGAAACTGCCCAAGAAATTGTATGTCGGCAGTTTGTTAAGATATTTTACGAGAATAGGTGTCACCAAGTAATGGGTTACTTAGTACTTTCATTTGCAGCAGAGAAAGTTAAGATGTGCTTCCTCATTCTCTTGACATTCTACTTACAGGATTCGCAGTTTCACGTAAAATTAAAGAAAACTTACACATCCCCAACTACACCCACTCCTTCATTGTGTATTATTAAATGATTCTATGTAATGACATGTGAGAGTTTTGTTCCACGTGGGTAAGAAATAACAAAGGCTTTATATACTGTTCTTCTGAGGATTTATAATAAGAATTGTGTTTAAGAATACTCTGTCTAAAGAACTTCATTTCTAAAGGGTTATAAGATATAACAAAATATTTTTAATCATAGCTTCCTCTTTATCTTCTTTAAACTTTGTTCTTTATCAAAAACTGTTAATTCAATAAACAAATCTTCATTAAGTAATTAAACAGCCATGTAACATGAAAACATATAATGTGGCAGGCTAGCATTAAGAGCTGAGAATAAAGGGCATAAAGAGCAGTTCCTGATGACCTCAGTACTCTTGAAGCTTTTTTGAAGTCAGTTTCCATCTAGTTACCCAAATTGTTTCAGCAATTTTTAGGTATACTAGTTAATAGTAAATAAATTATTAAAAACAAACAAACAAACATTGGCTTGTAAAACTAAAAAGTAAAGAAATCAGGCACAGCTTTAATCAAGAGCTAAAACAATGTTATCAGAGCTCAGCTTTTCTACATTTTATAGTTTTGAATTTTGCTATACTGACTTAATGGTCATACTCCATAAAAATTTTCCAGCAGCTCTGTTTAGGTTGTCTCAAGAAAGAATATGAGGTCCTTTTTTAACAGTATGAAAAATAGTTAATTGTTTCTCTTTGGTTATAACCCGCTCATATTCCTATTACTGAGTCAACATCTAGGGCCTTTGGAAATACAATGCCCTGATTGTATGTGTCTGATCCATGTGTCCACCCTAGAGCCAGCAATGAAGTAAAATCCAGCAATAGATTACTGAGAGGTGTGACAGTCATGGAAGTGCATGGCACCAATCCTTTTTTAGCTCTGAAGGATATAGATGAATAAACAGTAACTTGTTTTCCACTGGTCTTTTATGATCCAGATAATATAAAAGTGAAATACAAAAACTTATATTTTAAATTTGTAGTTTACAAAACAATCTGACTTCCATCATCTACCCACAATGTTGGTAAAATAGCTGTTTTAGTATATTTGATAAGGAAGGATATTAAATAGAGAAAAGTTAAGTGACTTGTTCAAAGCCAAGCAACCGGCCCAATAGTATGCACTAGAGCTTTCTAGTCTTGTAAATGAAGCCAATTTACCTCTTCTCATGGGGTCCCATTTTATGAACTCACAGGAGGCAATGGCCCCTTCTTCAGTGATCCCCTTGTTAACAGTGACATTGATTATTGATGCTTGAAAATTGTTGAAATTATTGTTAATGTTTGAAAATATTAACCCAGTGCATTGTCTCCCTACTTAAATCTTATTCCCAGCAGCTTTCCACTTTGAGGCTGAGCCCTGAGTTTTATCAATCCATGACAAGAGAGGACAGACGTACTCCTCTTTAAGCAAGACAATGGGCTTAAGGAATGGGCAAGGGAAAAGATTTTCTAATACAGAGTACTATAGCAAATACTAAGTCAAAGGTGGGCTTCCCTGTAAAAGAATACATTTTTAATATAAGAGGAGCAATAGAAAATCTCTACCTGATACCGGGGTATCTTGGGGAACAGAAGAGAGACAGGGTGACATTACAGCCTGAGCTTTAGGTATGTCCGAGTCCTGGTGGGATATTCGAATTGTTGAGGGAAAAACTGAAAGCAGAGAAGATAGGATTACATTCCCTTTTTGAAATCTAGGAAGAGGAAGCTGTGTAGGGTGATTCTTGAATCAATATGGACCATCCTTTGCACAATTAAGAATCTCTCTCTTTGCTGTGAGACTTGAGAGATGACGTATTTTCCAATACCCTAAATATCACCATTTAGGGATACATAGGAAAAAGAGTAAAAACTAAGCATTTCTGCCCACGATCTGGGTAAATTTACAACCTCCCCTACATATCACAATTCTACATGTTCCCCTTCTTATGTCTTTATTTCTAAACCACAAATATAGAATTAAAGGCATCTTAAATTTAAATCAGCTATTGAAGAGATGTAGCATCCCATTCAAAATTATTGATTTTGCAAATCAGCATGCTCAGTAGAGCAGGAGTTTTGAGATACGAATATCCAAGATTAAAATTGCAGTCCTATAACTTACATATTATCTGAGCTTGAAGATTTTTCTGCATATTTGTTTACTCATTGCAAAATGAAGACAACAATACCTTCATCAGCAAGTCATAAAGAAGATTAAATAAGATATTACATATAAAATGCTTAGGAAAAGGAGTGTTATTCTGGAAATTACTATTACTACTGCTGCTGCTGCTGCTGCTACTACTAATGTCTTCACTATTTTTGCATGAGATGTGCCAGCTAGCTAGGACAAAATATGAACCATTGATACAGAAGAAAACTGAAGTATTCTCCTGCCTATATTTTTCCACCTTAAAACTGATAAATTTACGTAGTTCCATAGTACCTTCAATCTCATTCCTCAAAACAAAAATAGACAATAAAAGTAGTAGGAACACAAGTACAAATATCCAATACAGCATATTTCACAAACTCCGAAAGTCAGGTATAAAATAAATGTTTGTGTGTTTTTAATGATCCAACGATCTACTTTCAAATGGCTTAAGCAAGTTATTCAAAAATATATAAAATATCAAACACAATCCTTAAATTTGAACCCAAATTCTTGTCATGTAAGATTAATTTTTTCCATTCTTTTTTTCATTTAAATGCTCCCTAAACTTCTGTATTCTGACCTAATGGCTCTTCTCAAAGATTTCCATTCTCTCTGGATGCAGGAAATCCTGAAAACCTTGTCAAAATCCTTTTTTATCACTAAATTCACGGGTCATTTATGTAGACTCAAGAGGTTTTTCCTAGTCCTAATAAACATCAAGACTCACAGATGTTACTCCAACTTGGCTGTACCTCTAGACCTCTTGGAGTTTCCACTCATCACTAGTTTTCTGGTCCAGTGGAGCATTACATAACTTCTTCCCAACCTTTCCACAAACTCAGAACTCAGCTTAAAAGTGAAAAATAGATGCCATGGTAGTGCAAAGGAAAACACACACACACATACACACATACCTGAACAAGGAAACCACACACACACACACACCTGAACGAGGAAACCACACACACACACACACATCTGAACAAGGAAACCACACACACATACATGTACTCACATACCTGAGCAAGGAAATCACACACACACACACACACCTGAACAAGGAAACCACACACACACACACACACACACACACACACCTGAACAAGGAAACCACACACATATACATGTACTCACATACCTGAACAAAGAAATCACACACACACACACACATACACACCTGAACAAGGAAACCACACACACACAGATGAACAAGGAAACCACACACACACATACACACATACCTGAACAAGACCCTCTCCCAAACAGCAGCATAAACAATAATAGAGTAGTCCTGACCATAAAGAAACTCTAAAAAATAAATACTCTTTCCTTTATATAATGAATTATAAGGAAAAGAAAATAAGAAAGAGCATCTCCTAATAAGTACACCCATGCGAACACTGGTTTTCTTCATGGTTTTGTTGTGGTTATGGCAAATACTTTTTGCTCCTGTCATGTTATTCCAGATTCTGATTTCCCAGATAATTAACCGTTTGTCTCCTTTCTATCTTTCCCTTGATAATTCAATTTTTAAATATCAGTTATATCAAGGATTCTGAAAATGACATATATTTAGATCAGATTAAGAGGATGGGAGAGGAAGATGGATTTCAGTTAGGGTATTGTTTGTGCTCCTCAATTACTTTTCATAAAGGCTGTACGTGTTTGATATTGTCCAATCTGTCTAATAAATGCTACTAAATTACTGATTCGAGGCAAGGACATGAAGCCTGATTTTTGAGGATATCTTACTTTCTTGTATTAAGAAAGTCTGTATAAGGAAATCTTATTTTATTATATTTTAAAATTGGAATAATAAATGTGATGCCAACAATCAAGAACACAATAACTTGCTTCTCTAGATATACATTAATAAATGCTTATCAATATTCCAAAAGCCATGGAAAATACAAAATAGCACAGTAAGTTCTCTTTTGTTTAAATTTTTCATATATACGGTTCAAAAGTAAAATATTTTATTCAGGATGGTATTGTTTCTCCTTTTCCAATGAATAATCCATTGTAAACACAGAGACCTCCATCTAACACAGAGAATAGGAAACTGGATTAGAAAGGACTCTTCTTGCAAATAAAATATTTGTAATAACATAACTGTTGAAAAAGAAATCATGCCATTAAATTTAGATAAAATGTTAAAGGCTTTTTTTTTGGCAAATTACTGGATTACAGTAATAATTTCATTTTTGCTGTTTTAGGGCTAATACCACAATCTGATGAAATAGATTTTCAAATTATCCACAAGGAAGACTAATAAACGTGGACTTTGGGCAGATATCACTTGGAAGATGGGTCAACATTCATGGTCATTTATTTTTCTTGCACTCTATGATAATCAAGGGCTGCAGAAAATCAAATTATTTTTCTGATTATTAAATGTTTCAAGAGTTAAATATATTTTTAAATAATTTTTGCTAGAAAACTTTTATGAAACAAGATTATTTCCATAATTTCTCAAATAAAGTTATATGCAACATATATCTCTTGAGAAATAAGGTCATTGCAAACAGTCACAGACTATACTAGGTAACATAGTTCTGTTTGTTGTTTAGATGATTTTCCTCTCACCCATATTTTTAGGTTGATTGTCCTTAGCTGGTCTTTGTATTCCATTTTCCTTCTAATCTAGGTAAAAGTGAAATAAACCAAGTTTCTTTAGAGTTTTCTAATCAAAGGGAGAAAATAGGCATAGTTTTCTTACGATGGAAAAAAATGACATGAACTAGAACATCTGGAGAAGCCTTCATGGAGGAAGCGGAATTGAGTTGGCCTTTAAGGATTAGAATAATTTATAGAGGTGAAGAGATTAGAGACCCAAAAAGAAGAAATTGTGAAGGACTAAAGTTGGAAAGCAGCAAAGATTGAACAGATAACAATGAAAAGATGAGTCTCACTGGATTGATAGTCTGTGTGGCTAAAAGGTGAGCTATATGTTTATAATATTTTATCTAAAATTTCAGAATTTGAAATACTCTGAAAACCCAAACTTTTTAAAACCTAATATAAATAATCCTATTGCAAGGTTTAAGAAATGCATAAAAACACAATTAACATTAAACTTGTGATGATTATGTAAAAGATATTAAAAATAGTGCTTTACCTTAATGATTTCCTTTATTCTTATAAGATGAATATTCATTTACACAGAGAGACATCTACTGAGCTTGTCATCTGTGGCAAGGCATTGGGAGTACAAACCAAGTAAGACATGTGCTTGTCAAGAATGGATAGTATGATACAGATAAGTTAATTTTTTAACAAGATGCGATGTAAGTGATTTGATAAAAGTATTTTCAGAATTTATCTAGATCGACAATAGGAAATGCTTCCAAGGAGAAAACATTGCCTGAGGTGAGATTTTAAGTTAATAAGTATAAGTTAACTCGATAAAGGAAAGGACATTATAATCTAAAATAATATTATATTATAAAGCAGAACTGTGGAAAAGCATGGCCACGGAAAGAAAGTGGAAATGATTAGGATGGACAGAATGAAAGATTTATTATATAGAGAGGAAAACTATGAAATGGGGTGTGTATTTTTGTGGGGAAATGAAAATGCAGTAGGCAAATCAGGTAAACCAGTGGTTCCCAACCGATGAAGACTTTGTCCCCCAGAAACATTTGTCAATGTCAGGGCACATTTTGTGGGTTGCTACAATGGGCAGGGAATACTCCTCTCATGTAGTAGATGAAGGCCAGAGATAGTGCTAAACATCCTACAACGTACAAGGAAGTCCCCCACAACAAGGAATTATCTGGCCCAAAATGTCAGTAGTGCCAAGTTTGTGAATCCTTGATGTAGACCTGTTTGTGCAAACCCAGAGAGTTGGAGCTTTATCTGGAAAGCCCTGATAAATCATTGAAGGGCTTTAGGCCCTACAATAACATATAATTTTCATTTACAAACATCATTCTGGCAGCAATTTTGGGGCTGGATGAGAGAAGTCAGGGGAAATATCACGGCAGCAGGACCTGTTTTTAACCTATTGCATCAATCTAGCAAAAAAGTGATGGTAGCAGCAAAGGGGAAAAAAGGAAGGAGCTAACAATGAGAGATAAATGAGATGAAATTCACAGGGCTTAGTGACTGTATGTGGCTATAAAAAGAAAGAACTTAAAATGACTCGCAGACTTCTGGATCCAGTAACTGGAATAAAAGTAATGTTATTCAAGCAGGCAACACAGGGAAGAGAGCAGTGTTAAAGAGCAAAGATAATGAGTTTGATTTTAGATCTTTTAAATTGAGTTACCTGAAGGACATATGGAGTTTACCAAATATTTACATGCATGAAGTTGAGCAAAGTAAAATGTAAGGAGCCACTAATTGCAGTGAGGAAATTGCAAGAACAATTTTAGTGTAATCGTGCCAATGGTGATAGTCACAGTCGTGGATGGGTGAAATCTGGGGGCACTGACAAATAAACAGGGATAAAATAGTATTTACTGCTCAAAAGAGCTCTTTGTGTGGATAAGCAAACTGAGTCTCGGTAAACCTTAATAAATTTTCCAAGAACACAGGAATAGTTAGATTCAAATCCACATCTATATTTTTCAGAAAACAAATTTTTCTTTCTACTACATCATGTTATGCCTATTCCACCAAGTTATTTCTCCATATATCCCTTTGCTGCCTTCTCCTAAAAAGAAGGGAATTAAAATAATAGATCACATTTCAAGACATTAGTTGGACCATGTTTACAAATGTACATGGTCAATGAATGTTGAAAGTATAGTCTGCCTTTTCCTCTTTTCTATATTGCTGGACAGAGCAATATAGATAAATTTCTTAGGCTGTAGTTTGGAAGCATGTTAATTAACTAATTTGTTTCCAATCATCTTCTTCTCTAGATGGAGCGATTGAAAGACAGATGGGTAGGTAGATAGATAAAGAGTGAGAGAGAGAGAGAGAGAGAGAGAGACAGACCGACCGACCTAGTATATAGGTGTGCACACATCTATATAATGTGATAATTTAAAAATGTTTATTTATATTCAGGTTAATGCTTAGGATAAGGATACCAGAAGTCTGACTTCCAGATAAGTAAGATATCATGAATCTAAATAAAAAAAAGAAAAATTGTCATCCAGATACATGGTTAGGTTATTCTGTATACATATATACATGCCTCTATATACTAGGTCCATCTATCTATCTGTAATCTATCTACCTACACACATATATATGCACTCATGCATGTACATTCACATACATAGACAGCCAGTTTAATGCAGTGGGTAAGAACACTGGCTCCATGATCTTAACTTTCTCAGCTGTAACCTGTGACAGAATACTCAATCTCTATACCTCACTTTTATCATCTGTAAAATCCAAAAGAAGGAAGCCTATCTTAATGAGTTGTTGTAATTATTAAATGAGACTATCTATAGAACATTTAGAACCATGCTTATCATCTGGTAAAATGCACAAGAAACATTAGCTAATTTTTTCCTTCTCCTCCTCTCTCCTCATGCTCAATCCTTCCACAGGATCATATGTGTAAATTAGTGGTTTTAGGTTCCTATAGTCTGTGCTAGACCCAAGATATAACTTCAGGGAAGAGTGGCAGTTTCCAGTTAGGACTCAATATTTAAGCCCTCTAATCTGATTTGCAAGAGAGCTCTACTTCAAGGTATTCTGCTCCTGCAAAGCTAATAATTACGTGGTATTCATATCTCACTCAGTTACTGTTCTGGGAGTATTTCTCCTCATGAACCTTAGAGCATACACAGTGCAAATGGAAGGATAAGATGTTGCCAGTCATTTGTCAGTGGCCATTACTACATCATGAATGCTGGGCTCAGGCAAATCTGTCTAATGCAGGAAGAGTTCTGAGGAGAAGCAATCAGATTTAAAGCACCTGAGGGGGTGGGAGGTGGTTGTGAGTGTGTTTCTAGACAAAGAAGCAGAGAGTTGACCTAAATTCTGTTACTATCTCCATTACATATTAACTGGTGATCTTCTTTAAATGACTACCTTTTTGAGTTCTAGCTTCTTTATTAGCAATACAAAAGGGTCATGTCAGCAATCTCTGAAATTTTCAACTCTAATTGCAATGACCATATCATAAAAATATAAAACTTTAGTTTTGGTGGTTTTGTAATAGTTTTAAAATGTTTGAGGCTGACCAGGCACAGTGGCTTATGCCTGTAATCACAACACTTTGGGAGGCCGAGGTGGGTGGATCACCTGAGGTCAGGAGTTCGAGACCAGCCTGGCCAACATGGTGAAACCCTGTCTCCACTAAAATTACAAAAATTAGCTGGGTATGGTGGCAGGCTCCTGTAATCTCAGCTACTGGAGAGGCTGAGGCAGAAGAATCACTGAAAACCGGGAAGAGGAGGTCAAAGTGAGCTGAGATTGCACCATTGTAATCCAGCCTGGGGGACAAGAGCAAAACTCCGTCAAAAAAAAAAAAAAAAGGGAGGCCGAGGCTGGTGGATCCCGAGGTCAGGAGATCGAGACCATCCTGGCCAACACAGTGAAACCCTGTCTCTACTAAAAATACGAAAAATTAGCCGGGTGTGGTGGCGGGCACCTGTAGTCCCAGCTACTCAGGAGGCTGAGGCAGGAGAATGGCGTGAACCTGGGAGGCGGAGCTTGCAGTGAGCCAAGATTGCGCCACTGCGCTCCAGCCTGGGTGACAGAGCGAGACTCTGTCTCAAAAAAAAAAAAAAAAAAAAAACTATCTCTCTCTCTATCTATCTGTTCGAGGCTTAGGGTAAGGATACCAGAAGTCTGACTTCCAGATAAGTGAGGTATCATGAATCGGGATGGAGAAGGAACAAATATCATCTGGATATATGGTTATTCTGAGAGTTCTTGCTTGTTTAAAGTATTTTATTAGAAAAGACAAGATCATGCTGAATCAACTAATATACTGACAAAATATGCTGAATAGAGAAACAGGAGGTTCTCTCTGAATTTGTGTCTACCTACTCTACGCTCAACGCATTTGATTCCTCTCATGGTATTGCACCTGGATTCTATTAATATTTTTCTACAAACTGACTATTATAGATAAAAAAAAAAAGCTTAGCTAAGTGAGGTTATTCTCTATTTTGAATAGTGAGCAAAATGACTAATCATCAACTCTTAAACTCAGGGTTGTGGGCATTATTATGTTACTAAAACATCCATAAATATTTGAAGATTAAACAATGTTTGTTCCAGAATTGCACAAATTTGAACTTAGTACTATAAATAACCAGCATACCTTCACACTGATGTAATCAAATCAAATATGTCAACAGAACTATATGTCCCAATTACATTTTTAAAAATATAAAACTGGACTAATGGGGTTTATACAATTTTCAGTAAGTCATCTTAGAACAAAACAAAACAAATCTGACAATCGATCTCACATGTTAACAACTCATTAACCAGAATGAGGTCATCATAGTATTCTATATGTGTTTCACATGAAAAACTGATACTTTTTATTGAATATAATTTGAAACATTAAAGGAATTCAACATCAACTTTTAGAATAGACATATTGCGTGTTAAAATTTCAAAACTCTGTAATTGATTTATTAGTACACAATAAAACCAGAACAATATCTTGTTCTTTTCCTAACTCCAGATAACATATTTTTGAAAGCTCCTCAAGTCTCCACTCAACTTGTTTGCAAAGCAATGTAATTGTAAGATTCAGTTTTATCAACAAGGATCTGACAATATTAGCCGGTTTCCTGGCAAGGCCAAGAAGGTCTGTAGACCACTTAAAGATAATCAGGGATTCTACTTTTTTGGCTAACAAACTTTTTTTTTTTTTTTTTTTTTTTGAGACAGAGTCTCGCTCCGTCGCCCAGGCTGGAGTGCAGTGGTGCCATCTCGGCTCACTGCAAGCTCCGCCTCCCAGGCTTAGGCCATTCTCCTGCCTCAGTCTCCCAAGTAGCTGGGACTACAGCTGCCGCCCACCACGCCGGGCTAATTTTTTTGGTTGTTATTTTTAGTAGAGACGGAGTTTCACCGTGTTAGCCAAGATGGTCTCGATCTCCTGACCTCGTGATCCGTCCGCCTCGGCCTCCCAAAGTGCTGGGATTACAGGCGTGACAAACCCTATAGTAAGTTCAGGGTTCTACCTAACTATATTCGTGGGTAGCTAAAAGCCAACTTTGCTTTGGCATTGGTGTGAGAGGTGCATTGATGGCTGGTTTAACGTGTAGCCTCTTACCTTCTCTCCTGCCTATCCCTGATCCTTACCTACTGTCAGTCAAGTAGTCAAGTAGTTTCTAAGCAGCAGTATGATGGTAACTGCTAATCTGACTCATCACACTTCCTTAGATCAGGCTGGTAAGGAGACAATGAGCTCAAATGAATTTTAAAAAAGTATTAGTCATAGCACAGGAGACAGCATGAGCTTCTTGCTCAATTCAATTCTCCTTTCCCCTCAAGTCCCATTGGGTTGATATGGAGATGGGAATTGGCAGATGTACATACAGTGTGTCTGTCACAGCTGAGGAGCCATGAGCTCAGGAAACTCTTAATCTTTGTTTCTTTTCTTTCTTTCTTTCCTTCTTTCTTTCTTTCTTTCTCTTTCTTTCTTTCTTTCTTTCTTTCTTTCTTATTTGGGAGGGAGGGGGAATTTCTAATCTTATAAAGAGACTGCAAAAAAATTAAAATTTAAAATTTAAAAAACACTGATCATTCTCCCTTCTGGAGAGAAATATTGTCTTAATAGGAATGTAAACAAATCTTCTCCAGGGAGGATAGGGAGCATTCTTTGTACTGTACTGTAATGTCTTTGGAAAGGGAGATATTAGCCTTTAATATTGAAGAATATAAATAAATCTGAGCAAATTGTCTGTTAAGATTGAGATATGAAGAAATGTGCAAAGTTTATGGAGAATTGTCTCCAAACATCTGTCCCCTTCCCAGACTAATTACCCTTGTTCTACCCCACATCTGCTACTTGTAGCTTCCTAGAATTATTTCATATTGTGATTTCACTTCATCTAGCAAACTTTTATTTATATTTTAAAAATTATCTTAGAGGTCATCCTACTCTGTGAACTCTTCCTAGACAAGCTACTCAGATCTACTTGTTCCACTTCTATATGCTTTTAGCATTTTGCCTATATGCTGATCTTGGCAACTATGGAGCTATTCTGTAATTGTTGATTTTTTTTTTTGTCTTCTCCACTACACTGCAGACTCCTTAAGGACAAATATAACTTCACAGATGCAACTATGTCTACCTATTTCCTAACACAAATCCTGATGACTTGTTACATTAATTAATTTACTTTTCTGAATCTGAGTTTATCTTCTGCAAAATGAGCCTATAACCACCTAGCCTATCATGAAACGTATTTTGTAAAATTTGAATGCAGTCTCATCTTGGAATCTCACTTCTCTTCTCTTGGCTGTATTGGTAATGCTTACTCAATGACCAATTTGCTATGGACATTTTCACCAGTATGTCTCACTGACAGGGATTGCTTCTCCCATATCTAACTGAAAAAAAAAAAAAGCATGAATTTTATATGCATCATCTAAGGCCCCTGACTTTTTTAAAAAATAAAGCATTGTATAAAGTTCATTACCTAGTAGTTTTCAGCTAATATCTGTGTTCTGAAAATGATCAGGAGAATGTTCTCACTGTTCTGGGTTCTGTCTGTTCACAGCATTCTTTTTTTTCTTGAAAATGGATGGGTCAAAGTCATTGCTACTTCTGATGAGTATTTCTTAATCAGGTCACGGTGGCCTTTTTGTTTTTGTTTTGCCTTATTTTTTTATATATATATATATAAAGGAAACTGTTACAGTTACTGCATGTTCCCCTTGAAAGTCTTTTTGTATTCCATATCTGTCTTTTAAAAATGCAAAAAAAAAAAGATTATGTTTCAGGGTACTATAATCACCAAGTCACAGTAAAGTCAGAGATTTACTTCAGATTTTCTCTTTCCATTGCATTCTTTTTGATTCATTAGAAGGCAAATCACCTTGATTTTCATATTGCTTAGCAGCATAATTTGTTTTTCAGCTCTTGGAGTATCTGTGTTTTCCCATAATCTTCACTTTTTTAAAATCTTTTTTTAACATTTTCAAAGTCAACAAAAGCCCACAAATATAACATTTTATTTCTATTTCAGGTTTGTAATGGTATACCCATGAAGACTAATTTTTTACAGTATAAGCATTCATCCTTGAAAACATAACATTCCCAAACACACAAATGACTTTAAGAGCAGCATTTTTCTACAACTGACATTCAGCTTGAGAATCATGGTAGTTACTCAATAGGGGATAAACGCCATGGCACTAAGATAGAAATATTTTATCCTTCTAACTTTGTGGATTAGGATATTTCTAATTTAATGGTAGAATCATTTACCTCATCTAGGCAATCGGAGATTATGATCCCATGATTTACCATATTTCAGCTCCCTTTTTTCTTTTATTAATTGAAAGAACATGGACGCTACTATTGGTAGCCAATAGATGCATCTTTCACTATGTCTTCTTATCATAGTTTTCAAATATTCACAACACAAAATTATTATTAAATAAATAAAAATCATACTGTCCAAGTCCTGATAACAGTAAAAATGGTAGCTCATAATAGTATACTATTTTGTAGTTTACAAATTATGTTTGCTCTTTCAATTTAGGATTCACAGCAGCTATGTAGGTGGGTATCACCACCTCCATCTGAAAATTTTAAAGTGAAACTAAAATAGTTAGATAAATATTTAAAGTCATACAACTATAATTTACTAGGACCAACTTATAAATCCAGATCTTCTGAGTCCAACTGTAGCATTTATTTTATCAACTGCTTTCCTGTGGAGGTTTTGTCTTGTGTTTTATTTTTTGTCATCTAAGAGAATTTTTTATGTATATTCTTTCACATTTTTGCAGAAGTGTCTCAGAGTGTGCATATGTGTATGATATGAGTGTATCAGTGTGTGAATATGTATGCAGGGGATTAAAATGATGACATTCCTGATCTCCTTTTTAAAACCATGGCCTCCATCAGAAATTTATTTTATGTTTTCTTTTTTTCCAAAACTAGGGTCTTAAAGAGGATTTATTATGAAAAGAAAAGTTTGCTGCTAAAATAAAAATTTTAAAGCTCTAATCTAAAAACAATATATTTCTGTCTATCTGTAGCTTCTCTTTTGACATCCCACAGAATGAATGAACATACATGATTACTGAATGATATGGTTTGGCTCTGTGTCCCTAGCCAAATCTCCTGTCCAACTGTAATCCTCAGTGTTGGACGTGGGGCCTGTTGGGAAGTGACTGGATCATGTGGGCAGTTTCTAATGGTTTAAAACCATCCCACCGGGTGCTTTTCTGAAGATATTGAGTTCCCACAAGATACGGTTGTATACACCTGTGTGGCACCTTCCCCACTTCCTCCTGCTCTAGCAATGTAAAGACGTCCACTCCTGCTTTGACTTCTGCCATGAGCTAAAGCTCCCTGCGGCCTTACAGCCATGCTTCCTGTACAGCCTGTAGAACTGTGAGTCACCTGAACCTCTTTTCTTTATAAATTATCCACTTTCAGGTATTTCCTTATAGTAGTGCAAGAACAGACTAATACATTGAACTTCCTAGAAACAGTGATATAGTCCAGACTCTTGCTTTGTCACCCAGGCTGGAGTGTAGTGGCACCATCTTGGCTCACTGCAACCTCCACCTCCCAGGATCAAGTGATTCTCCTGCTTCAGCCTCCCAAGTAGCTGGGATTAAAGGCACCCACCACTATGCCAGGCTAATTTTTGTATTTTTAGTAGAGACAGGGTTTCGCCATATTAGCTAGGCTGGTCTTGAACTCCTGACCTCAGATGATCTGCCCGCCTCAGCCTCCCAAAGTGCTGGGATTACAGGCATGACCCACCATGCCCGGCCCAGTACATAATATTTTTTTAAAAAGACAGAAAGAAATCAAGCTTACTGAGTAAGGCTACTTGTTAAAGAGGTTGAATTTGAACTCAAATTTATATCTCCATGAGAGATTCAATAGCTTTCTATCATATCTTATACTTTTTTCAGTTAACTCATTGTTGATTAAGACACTGAATAAGACACATTGATAGGCATGGGAAGAAAAGCATTAATTCATTTCCTTATTCAAAACTATTTACTTTGTATCCTTTTTAACATAGCAGTGAAATAGCTACAAATACTACAACTTCAAAGACGAGTTAAAGCCAGTTCCTACTACAAGTTCACAATATGATGGGGAAAAGACACACAAAGGCAAAAGCACAGTACAAGATGATAAATGGTTATCCCAAGATGAGGTGGAAGCCATGGAAGCCAGAAGATGGAACAATACTGTTACATGAGAAAAAAGAGTTCAGTTATTCTGAACAGAAGTTCATTAGGAAAGAGAGACATAAACAACACACACAAATATCAGGAACATGAAAATCATAAATTGTTTTAAAAAGACCACTAATTTGGCATAATTGGTGTTTATTATGGCAGAGAAGGCTGAAATAGAGTAGTTTAGGGTCACGCTAAGGACCTTGTCTGCCATCAAAGATATTTGGAATTTATCATTCAAGAACTGGAGATCTGCTGAAGAATTTTAAGCAAAATAAGATATAAGCATAGTCAGATATGACATAAGCATAATTCTTATTCTTGGGGTCTTAAAATCCACTAGAGACAGTGAAATAATATATAAATACATAAAAATAAACTAATAAAAACTAGATTACAAATACTTTCAGACAACTAGCACAGACGAGAGGTATTACATGACTTCAGAGAAAGAGGAAGGCAACATGAACAGTGTGGAATTTCTATGAACTTTTTAGGAAGGGAGGGACACAGAGATGGAAAAAAAGAGAGATAAACATGCGTGTGTGTTGTGTGTATACACCTGTGTATTAAATAAAATACATCCATATATACAGACCTAAATCAAAACAGTGTTGGCAAGGACACAAAATTGTTAGTGCATTTGTTATTGATTGACTTCGTTAAAATAATATGAAGCATACTAACACATATGTTTTTACTTGTCCTTTGTGACTTCTTTGTCTGGGATTGTGGTTTAGGCTCGATGTTATCTCAGATAGTTCAAATCTATCATTTAAATGATGAAAGCCTCAGAAGACCTTTAAGTAAAGGAGTATATAATGAAATATCCCAGACCTGTCCAAAAAAAAAAAAAAAAAGCAAATAAAAACAGGAGCAGAAATAGTCTGGATGTGTGAGAGTGGAAATGGTAGGGTGACTCTGCAGTCACTTCCTTGGCTCCTGGCTTCTTCCTGTCTCTTAAATGGTGATGTTCCCCAGAATTATAAGTTTACTGCACCTCCTAGGCTACAAGCTGTCTTGCTCTCCTTTTATAACTTTTACTATTGTCCTGTATGTATAATGGATACCTCAAACTCCATACATTCAAAACTGAATTATTTCCCCACAAAATCTGTTCCTCTTTCTGTATTATGAGGTCACTACTTTTTGCTTAATCACCTAAGTCAGAATCATTGAAGTCTTCATAAATCCCTTTTCCCTTACTGTCTTACTTTTATGAATCTAAAAAGCATATTTGTTAATTTTGCTTACAATTTTTAACTGTTATAGTTTAATTTTTTCTCATTTTTGTTTTTTAAATTATATTGAAAGTTATGTTTTGCTATGTAGTTCTATTAATTTTAATACACGTATAGATTGATGTAACCATCATTATAATCAGGATAGAGAATAATTACATCACTCCAAAAATTCCTTTGTGCTATATCTTTCTAGTCATAATTTCTCCCTAATCCTAATCACTATCAACCCCTGATTTGATTTCTTGCTCACTATAATTCTTTGAAAATGTCATATAAACAGAAAGTATGCAGTATAAAACTTTTAAGACTGACCTTTATGATACAGCATGCCTTCAGGAGCACCACGTTATGTCTATCAACAGTTTATTACTTTTATTTGTTGAGTAGAATTCTATTACATGGATGTGCCACTATTGGTTTATCCATTGAAGGGCATTTGGCTTATGTCCAGTTTATGTTAGTTATGAGTACAGTTACTGTAAACATTCATGTACAGGTTTCTGGGTAAACAAAAGTTTTATTTTTCTAGGGTAAATGTCCAGGTCTGGAATTGCTAGGACACATGATAGCTGTGTATTTAAATGTCTAAAAAAAACTGCCAAACTGTTTTCCAGAGTGGCTGTACCATTTCCCATTCCTACCAACAAAAGATGAGTTTCAATTGCTCTGCATCTTTTCCACCATTTGATGTTATCAGATATTTTTTCTTACCTTAGCAAGCCTAATTGATTTATAGTGGTATGTCATCCTGTTTTTATTTATATTTCCATAATAGTTGACAATGTTGAATATCTTTTCATGTGCTATTTAGCATTCTAATATTGTCTTTGATTATGTTTCTGTGCAAGTCATATCATAGCATCCCCTTTTAATAACATTTTAGTGATTTATTATCTTACTGTTGAATTCTGAGATGTCTTTATATATTCTGAAAGTAAGTTCTTTATGAGATGCGGGATTTGCAATATTTTGTCTCAGTCTGTAGCTGATTATTTTTTATACTGTTAACAGTCTAACCAGTGTCTTTTGCAAAACAATCATTTTAAATTTTGGCAAAATTCAATGTATTTAGTTTTTTCTTTAATAGATCGACTATTTATGTCATGCCTCTGAATATTTTGCCCAGGTTATAATTCTTTCCTCTGTCAACTTCATTTTGCTATTAAACCCAACCAGTAAGTTGTTAATATGGTTTTGGCATTATTGTTTTAAAATTTCCATTTGTTATTTCTTTTTATCTTCTAATTATGTGGTAAGAGTTTCTAGCTTTCTATTCACTTCAAGAATGTTTATAATTTATTGCTAAATATTTTTGAAAAACCATCTAAAGTCTTTGACAAATAATGACAACATGTTACAGGTGTGTCAAATGAATTGAGATATTCTTGGTTCTTTGTATGCTAAATCATCTTGAATTGGGCCTGGTATATTTTCCGAATGATGTTATGAAGTGCTGGGTCTTATTTTAAGTTCTATGGAGGATGCTGATATTTTAATGCTAGCAGGCAATCAACCTGGTTCAGGCCACACGTTCCAATTCGCCTTCTGTTGACTGTGGTTGTAATGTCACTTTGAAGCCTTTGAAATGCTGTTCAGACCTGTTCTGCATGTGTACTACCCAGTGACCAGTCAGAACTGGTTGATATTGTATTAGCTCGATTCTCAAAATATAACCCAACCTCTTGGGACCTAAGGTCCCTCAGAGTTTTGGTTTCTGTGGGACCCCATTACCACTGAAGCCACTGCCACCATAAGCTCAATTGGGAGCCAAGACACAGATAATAGAGAAAAGAGGAAGCAGAAGAAAGCAGGAGATTTCTGCCCTTTGAGACTCAGGAGTACCCTTTCCCGCTTCTCTAGCATGAACTAGAGGTTTCTTCTGGAGCTCTTTCTGACTGCATCATATGGCTCTGTGCTGCATTGAGGTCAGGTCAGGGGTTGCTGGAAGGAAAAAGTGGTCAACTACAAACTGATTCATTAGCACTTTGATTTACGGTCTTCCACTTGAATACATCTACTCCTACATATGTATCAGAGTTCTAATTAGCTATTCTATTCTTTCTGTCCAGATTTTACACCTGCATTCAGAAAGAATAAGTGAAGGAAGTGTCCGTATTCTATTCAACCCAGAGTCAGAACTAGTCACTTTAGTTTTTATCTTCCTCATTTCTTATCTAGACTGTTTCCAAAGCCTTCTAAATTATCTGTGGGGTCAGTTTTGCCCTCTTCAAATCTATGCTCTAATTTACTACTACAGTGATCTATATAAAATGAAAATCTTACTCTGTCACGTCTCCATTTAAAGAACCCAAAGCTCTTCCTTGATCTAGCAGGTAACATTAAAGCTTATTTTCATGGTGTAAAAGACCTTTCATGACTCTCCTTGTTCTTGTTTCTATATCCAGTTTCTTTTCTCATGCCTTCTCCCTAATGTTGACCAGCCTGCCATTCATAGGATATGACAGGCGTTCATGACTCTTGTTGCTTGCTTGCATTTTCTCTCGGTGAGAATGTGTTTCTCCTCCCTACTTCACTTGGCCAACTTCCTTTTATTCTTCAGAACTGACAGGAATCATGCTACTTTCCAGAATATTTTCCCTGAACTCCAGGCTAAGACTTAACATGCTTCCTCTGGTGTTTTTTTATATGACTTTTTTCAAAAAAGATATTGTTTTACTCTACATTTTATGTCTATAAATTTTTTCCCTAATTAGATTATAAGTGATTCAAGGGCAGGAATCTTGCTTCTTTATGTTTGTCATCTCACTACTGCTTGGGGTAACGCAAAAAAAAAAAAAAGCATTCAAAACTACTGAATTTAATTGAACATATAATGAACTTTCTAAAGTCAATACTCTGGACCTTTGATGGAATAGAGATTAAGTCTTGAGACAATTTTAGGCTTTTCTTTTACTACATATTGGGCTTAAAACTTGGCTTTACCATATGCTAGATGTATGCCAGTCAGCAAGTTAAACATCCCTCATTACCTCAGTTTTCTCATCTGAAAAAGAGAGCTGGTAATAGTACTTCTCTCAAAAAGCTGCAGAGCCTTGCAGAAATAATCATAAGCAGAGAGCAAAAGGAATGGTTAGTGATACAAGTCAGCACTCCTTGTATATTCTCTAACCACTGGCGAAACCAGTCTCAGTTTGAATGTGGCGTGGTTTCAACATGAAGTCAATCATATTAAAAGATTTTCTTTCAAATAATTTGGCCCAGAGAAGAGTCATGGTTTATTTATTTTTCTCTTTTATTTATTTATTTATTTATTTATTTTACAGCTTTAGAGGGCAGCAGTGCAGGTCTGTTACATGGACATATTGTGTGGTGGTAAAGGCTGGGTGTTTAGTGCACTCATCACCAGATCAGTGAACATTGTGCCAAATAGGTAATTTTTCAGCTTTCACCCCCCTCCAAACCTCCCCACCACTGGAGTCTCCAGGTGTCTCTCATTCTCCTCTATATGTCTATGTGTACCCACTGTTTAGCTCCCACTTAGAAGTGAGAGAGACATAGTTTAACGGCAAGAAATAACTCCAATATAAAGCTTCTCACACCTCTAGCCATCTTCTTTAATCACCCATCTCATTTATAGTTTTGTGAGTAACTAAATTCTGTGCTATTTATGTAGGTTTGACCGAAGAAAAATCCCCTTCAACTTTTGAATAGTTTGGAATATGCCTGTTAAAGTGGAAAGAACAATCAAGTCTATTTCTTCTGATTACTTGCAATTTGGTAGCCAATTTTATTACAAGCCTCATGTGAGAAGCACCAGGCAGCACTGTTTGCTGACTATATCAATTCTTTTTCAAATTGTTCAACACATTTCAAAGTCTCAGCATACAATTTCCTTGCTTTTCTTCACATCAGAGTGAGAAAAGGGTACATAAATCTTTAGAAAATGAGGCCTCTGAAGCAGCAAGAATAATGCTATTGTCAATATACTAAAAGCTGTTTTAACTCTTCTATACAATTCTTATAAAAGCAAAAATGCCTTTAATAAATGCAGTGACCCTGATAAAAATAAAAGATTACTATATACATACCATTACAAATGTTCTAAAAGGTTTCATGTAGTACTTCACTAATTTAAGTGATCTCTGTAATGAGGGACTCCAAGCTATTTCATTATCATAATTTTATTGCTGACCCACCAAAGAAAAGGTAATATAATCTTCAAATTATCCTAGCTCTCTAGTATTCATCAAGGAAGGGAATTTAAACAGTCAATACCCCTTGAAAAGTAGTCTTCTTTCAGTAATACTTATTTTAAGTTGCCATGACTTAAATAGTTTTGCCTCTGGTCTAGATGTCATTTCAAACAGGAAGAAACAGAACAACAAAAAACAATCAGGAACTTTAAAAAATTACTGAAGAAACATTTCAAACTCAAGAGGAGAGTTTGGGCACAGATACGCAGATAAGTATGTATTATTGCTAAGTTTTGATCGCACAGACAAAACCAAGCCCAGGTGCTCAAAATAATCCAGTGATGAAAATGATCTAGATTTTCAATTCTAAGATGATACATCATGGCAAATATAGGAAAAAGATAGCATTTATGGATGAGTTACTTATATTAATCCATAGCTGTCACTATGCATTAAGTATGATTGATATCTCCCTTGTACATTTTAGGAAGCAAGCACAGGCTAATCTGCAGATGAAGTAGTGTTTAGCATGTACCTGGATAGAAATGAGCAGCTTTCAACAGTGCCTAATTTGAGCCATTCTGAGCATCTGAATACTGAATGTCATACCCATGTATGGAATTCTCACTTCAGTTATCTCTAATAATTCCTACAGGGATTTTTTTTATCTTGAACTGTTTAAAAACAAAGTTATGAAAATTTTACGCATACACACATTTCTCAGATCAGTTTCCAGTTCCTCCTCATTAAAGAAATAGAGATTGGCTTAGATCTAAATGTCTTCTCTCCCTCTTTCCCTCCCTCTCTCTATGATGTATGACTCACTATTTTTACGTCTCACAATGCTTTATTTTCAATTTAATACACTTCTCTTCATGTTTCAGTGACACAGTGGAAACTGGCCAGATGTTAAATAATAACATTCTCTTTTCCTAGTTACATAGCAGCACTACAGTTTTTAGCTTTCCTTGTACTTAAGTAGGGACCATATAACTCATCCCCAAAGAATGCGGATGGAAATAATGTGAGCTTCTTCCAGGCCTTGCCACAAAAACCATTCATGAGATTATCCACACATCTTTCCTCTTCTACTGCCATTTTTAAAAGATGTCAGCATCATAAGATGGAAAGATCTTGGCCCTGAGTCATTATTTAAAGCAGGAACTGCCTGAACTGCATAGATATAAACTTTGTGTAAAACCAATATTTGGAGGGGTGTTTATGATAGCAGTCAGCATCATTATCCTGCATAATCAAAATGTTAAGGTCATTGAAAGATATCATAACCCAGGCGGCCGGGCGCAGTAGCTCACACCTGTAATCCCAGCACTTTGGGAGGCCGAGGCGGGCGGATCACGAGGTCAGGAGATCAAGACCATTCTGGCTAACACAATGAAACCCCGTCTCCACTAAAAATACAAAAAATTAGCCAGGAGTGGTGGTGGGCGCCTGTAGTCCTAGCTACTTGGGAGGCTGAGGCAGGAGAATGGCGTGAACTTGGGAGGTGGAGGTTGCAGTGAGCCGAGATCGTGCCACCGCACTCCAGCCAGGGTGACAGAGTGAGACTCCATCTCAAAAAAAAAAAAAATAAAATAAATAAAAATAAAATAAATAAATAAATAAATAAATAAAAGGTATCATAACCCAATATCATTCTGTCACTGGCCTACAATGGATGTCTGAATTTTCTATAACTACTCACAACTTTGGTTGCAATCTTCAGAATCAGTGTCAATACATTATGGCCAAAAGGTAATTCACTAAATGATTAATATCTTACCAGTATGTGACAGAAATAACACCAACTTAAACTCACAAGGTCTGAGCTATAGAATAACCCATTTAGAGAAGAACATGAATGACCTGATTGAACTGAAAAACACAGCACAAGAACTTCATGAAGCATACACAAGTATCGATAGCCGAACTGAGCAAGCAGAAGAAAGGATATCAGAGATCGAAGAACAACTTAATGAAATAAAGTGTGAAGACAAGATTAGAGCAAAAAGAATGAAAAGGAACAAACAAAGCCTTCAAGAAATATGGGACTATGTGAAAAGACCAAACCTACATTGGAATGGTGTACCTGAAAGTGACAGGGAGAATGAAACCAAATTGCAAAACACCCTTCAGGATATTATCCAGGAGAACTTCCTCAACCTAGCAAGACAGGCCAACATTCAAATTCAGGAAATACAGAGAACACCACAAAGATATTCCTTGAGAAGAGCAACCCCAAGACACGTAATCGTCAGATTCACCAAGGTTGACATGAAGGAAAAAAATGTTAAGGGCAGCCAGAGAGAAAGGTCGGGTTACCCACAAAGGGAAGCCCATCCGACTAACAGAGGGTCTCTCTGCAGAAACCCTACAAGCCAGAAGAGAGTGGGGGCCAATATTCAACATTCTTAATGATTCATACTTTTTAAGTCACATTTTCTCTGTTTAATTTTGAATTTCTATTACTACATCTTTAAATTTACTAATCTTCTATTCCAAATGTATAATCGTCCATTATTCCCATGTAGTGGAGTTTTCATTTCAGCATTGTAGTTTTCATCACTAGAAGTTCTATTTAGGTCTTTGCATAATTTCTTTATCTCTACTTAACATACCCAGTCTTTCCTGTAGCTTCTTGAACTTATGGAATACAGTTACAAGAATTATTCTAATAGCCTTGTCTACTACTTCTATCATCTGTATCATTTTCAACAGATTTTTAGTCCTAAGTATGAATCAAATTTTCTTGCTTTTTTGATTGGCTGTCAATTTTTGATTGAACACAAGATAATGTGATTCACGCTTTTGTGTGCTAGATATTTTTGTGGGCCTGTAATTATTTTTGAGCTTTGTTTTGTGAAGCAGTTATTTAGAAATGGGGTGAATCTTTCTGGTCTTTATGTTAAGCTTTGTTTGATAGAGCCAGAACAGCATTTCAGGCTAGATCTAATTTTTCCACATTAATGATGCAAAGCACTTCTGATAAGCTTACTTTATGATGTGTGAATCACTCTGGCTGATGGGAAGAGGCACTATGTCCAGTCTGCTTTGAGCTCTGTAAATTTTCCCCTCTAATCCTTACAGGTTGCTTTTTACCTAGCCTTGTATAGTTTTCTTATAAGCATGTGCTCATTAGTGTTCTCATGTGAATAATAGAAGAAAATGTTCTGCAGATCTCCAAAGTTCTTTTTGGTTCCTTCCTCTTGAGATTCGTTCCCTGGGAATTCTAGCCACCTTGACCTCACAGAATTCCCAGCTCTCTCTCTCTTTGGCTCAGGAAGACATCTGTGGTCTGCCTAGAGGAACCTCCCCATGCCACAGTCTGGAAGATTTTTTCAGACAATATCTGAGGCGATCAAGTGCCCACCTCATTTGTTTCCTATCTTTCAGGAAACATTGCCCTTTATTACCCAGTGCCCATGTCTTGAAAACCATTGTTTCATGCATTTTGTGTTTTGACGTTGTTTCCTTGTTTTAGGTCAAAGGGTAAATCTCATCTCTGTCATGTCCCCTTGGCTGGAATAGAAAGCCTGATTGAAATTTAAATAAAATTATGTCCCTCCTTTCCTTAAAAATCTTCTCTTCACATCTCACTTAGTAACAGCTAAAGTCCTTACACAGGTCTACAGGGTCCTACATAACAAGGTCCTGTTATCATTCTGAACTCATCTGCTACTCCACTTTTATTCACTTATCTGCTCTAGCCACAATGTCCCCCTTGCCTTTTGTTAACTAAGTAAGCTAGGCATGCTCTCCTCTCTTGGCCTTTGGCGTAGGTGTTTTCTCTGTTTCAAATGTTCTTTCCCTAGATAATCACCTGGTTGGCTCTTCAAATATTGGGTTTTCATTGAGGAACCCTGTGGTCACTCTATGTAAATTCTACAACCCAAATCTGACATTCTTTATTCTTCTTTCTTCCTTTATTTTTTCTTCTCAGCACGTATTCTCATATATGTTATGTATTTAACTTTTTATCTATTTATTTTCTGTCTCTCCTCCATTGAAATATAAGCTCCATAAGGGCAGACTCTAATGTTTTTCCCACTGTATTCATAGTGTCTTCAATGTGACACATTATATAGATATTTATGAAATAAGTGAATTATGAATGAATACATGATTATTAATCATTTGTGAGAGACTAGTATTTTTCTAATTGGGAGCTTGAAGGATATTGCAGTGGACAGAATAATGCCCTTCCCCCTCAAGATGCCCACATCTTAGTCCCTGGGACCTAGAAATCTGTTATGTTACAAGGCAAGGGGAAATTACAGTTGCAGATGGAGCTAACATTGCTAAATAGCTGACATTGAGATGAAGAGATGATTTAGATTATCCAAATGGGCCCAATGTAATCACAAGGGTCCTTACAAGTGAAAGGAGAAGTACGTTACAAAGTTAGAATGATGCAATGTGAGGAACACTTGACTGGCCATTGCTGGCTTGAATGATGGAAGAGGCCATAGTTAAGGATAGCAGGTAGATTTTAGAAGCCAGGAAAAAAAAAAAAACCCACAAGAAAATGGATTCCCCCTTAGACTTTCCACAAAGCAACACACCAATACTGCCCACTTGATTTTGGCCTAATGAGATACATTTCAGAAATCCAACTTCCATAATGATAAGATAAAAAATTTGTGTTCTTTTAAACCATTAAGTTGTGGTAATCTGTTATAGCAGCAAAAGTAAACTAATAAGGACTTTTTTTTTCTCTCCAGTGTTTTTAAATTTCTGATAAAATTATTTGACACAATTCTATTTTCATTCCTCATGCTAGGCCTGAGACAACAACCTTTTCTTCTCCTTCTTCTTCTTTTTTTGTTTTGCTTTGTTTAGAGAGACTGGGTCTTGGTCTATACATCTAGGCTAGAGTAGAGCAGCATGAACATAGCTCACTGCAGACTCTAACACCTAGGCTCAAGGGATCCTTCCACTTCAGCCTCCCAGGTAGCTAGGACTACGAGTGTGTGCCACCATACCTGGCTAATTTTTTTTTTTTTTTTTTTTTTACTTTTTATAAAAACAGGGTTTTCCTATTTTGCCCAGGCTGGTCTTGAACCACTGGCCTCAAGTGATCCTCTCACCTTGGCCTCCCAAAACCCTGGGATTACAGGTATGAGTCACTGCACATGGCCCTGAATTTTCTCTGTTCATTCTGGAACACCTATAGATTTAGAAAATGGACCTCCTAGGTTAACCTCTAATTTTCTTTGTTTTTTTCCCATCCCTTCTTGAATTGTTTTCTCTACTGTCTGAGAGATTCCCTTAATTTTGCTTTCCAACCCCCAGTTTGAATATTTTAGTTATATGATAGTTTTCATTTCCAAGGGCTCTTTTTTGTTTTCTAAATATTCCACTTTAAAAAGTAGCCTCTTTTTGTTTCAGGATAGTAATATATAGTCTCTCTAAAGTTAAAATAATAGTTTTTTTAAGTTTTATTTTCCACCAATTGTCTTTTTCTTCCATGTTTTGTTTGTTTTTATTTTCTGTTTTGTTTGGGCCTTAAGCTTTTCACATTGATAGACTTTTCTCAAATAGATGATCCTAGTGATTTTGCTTATATTTAAGAGTGAGAAACAAATTTTGTTTCAAAACAAAATACTGTTTTTTTAAAAAAAGCAACCCGTTGGGTGTTGGTATGTGCCAGTTCTGGGATTCATTATAGGGAGATCTTTACAAGGGGGTGATCTGACTGAACACTTCACTGAGAGAAATCTAACCTCAGTCACTTTAGATCCTCTCCTGGGCAGTGCAGGTTTTCCAGAGATTGCTTTTCCCTTCTCTTTCCTGGAGGTAAGTCATAGTTATTAACGTTCTCCTGGAACTGAATAGGGAAACTAAGCTAGAGATGTGGGGTCTTAGCTTCCAGGATTCAGGTGTCTTACTCTCCCTGTTTCAACATGAATGAACTGTGTGAGGTATACCCTGAACGAAACCTGTTTTTTCCTTGTCACAGAATATGACCCTTGACGGTTGGGGCAACTGAGGAGCAATTCAAACAGTTCTCAGCTGATCTTTCTTATTTAAAAAGTACTCCTTCTTCATCTCTATATTGAGAAGCATCTTGTGCCATCCAATTCTTAGGCTTTTAAGGCTTTTTTAAAATAGATGTTGGATTAATTTCTTACATTTCCTCATTATCAATTTAGAATTCAGCTTTAATACAGGTAACATATATCCATCTGCTTTCTAGCTTCCAATGTTTTTATTCTTTTGTAATTCATTATCTAGTTCTCCACATTCTTGTGGTTTTACTTCTTGAAAACTTCCTTTAATGTTTTGTGAGAATTATTGAATGCATATAAAATTCACCATCTTTAACCGGAATAAAAATTTTCACATCAACATTAAAAAGAGCCAAAAGCAATTTAAGCAAATTATTAATATAAAAAGAAACATATCCTGTTTTTTAAAAGTTAACACAGTTTGTCTTTATTAAAACAGTACTGATAAATAAGTTTTGTATAAGTTACTTTTTGGGTTTTTTAACTTCACATGGACATTTTCTAAACATCTTATTATATCAGATATACTTGTGGCTTGCCTTTTACACATGCTACTTTCTGAGTCAGGTATAAAAATTTTCCAGTTTATTTGTATTCTGATAATGTTATAAGAATTTAAGTGGTAATTGTAATAACAAAAAAAATCAATAGAAATCAAACTTTAATAGAATGCAATCTCAGTTCTTTCAAAAACAGAGCGGGTACTTCATCCAGTAGGTTAAAGAGTTTTGATTATTTTACCCATTGAAACTTAAAAGTATGTGTTAAATTAACCATACAGTAACCTCTTACAATTCTCTGAATAACAACAGGGAACTATAAGAAAAATAATTTAAAATTTAATATAAAAATATTGAGCTTTACAACAAACTATTCCCTTGCTTACAGAAAGACATACCTGCTTGCAGGTGCCCATGTAAATCAGATTTGAGTATTTTAAAATTTTAATAAAACCAATTCATTTTCAGAAACTAAGGTGGCATTCAATTTACTTTTCAGACAGATCAAAAAAAGTAGCAGTACCCTAGAATATCATAACTACAGTGTATTTCTGATGAAGAGTAGTTATTCAGCTACTAATATTTTCATCAAGTCTACTTGTATTTTTGGTTGTAATCAGGATCTAGCAACATTTTTGTCATTATAACAAAGTATGTATTATTAAAAACTAAAGTCATGAGATGAAAAATTTCAAATTATTACCCTGAAACCTTAATCTTTCAAAAGTTGAATGGAAATAATATTTAAAATATGTCTAAAACATTTCTTGAGAAAGTGACATAGCTCTTCAGAAAACAGAATGGGCCTGTTAAATCAGACCAGGTACTGAACATCAATCTATTTCAATGTAGTCTTTTATACCACAACAGACTGGATTATAGATAACTAAAATGGTCACATACATCTTATAGTGCTCTTCACACTTAGTGTCATTTGTAAATGCAAATAAAAATTTCAATCTAACATTTATGCACTAACTGCTATGTCTGAATCAGCTTTTCCCGTTGTGTGGGTAAAAGGGAAATTTAGTGACAAATATGTACCTGTAAGATTTGAAAAAGCAACAAACCGCCAGTTAGGTGAAGAGAGGGTGGAAGAAGGGGAACTTAGAAGAAAGTACAAACAGATTTTGAAATATGTACTGAAAATAGGGATGAATTATTTCACAGTTTTAAAATGTCTGATTTTCTAAGCACAAAATGATGATAACTTCTACTTAATAAATAAGATTTCAAAGCAAATGAGTGCAAGATAATATAATGGTCAAATATTAATAGGTATTAATCAACATTTATTATTAATAATTAGTATTATTAATATCATTTGGGCATTAGTTTAATGGCCAAATAATTAGATGGTTAAATAACTATAACTAAAATATCATTATACGTATATATGCAAATCACATTACATTTCCCTATCTTGTTTATGTAGTAATATTAATAATTTGGATGATTCACCAGAGTGTTTCTTTAAAACAGTATTACTCATAGAGCACAATTGATTCCAGGTGGCCAGACTTAGTGGTAATCCATGAAGATTTTGCTAGTCAGCATGTTCAAATAACCTGTTGATATGGTTTGGTTGTGTCCCCAGCCAAATGTCATTTTGAATTCCCAAGTGCTGTGGGAGGGACCTGGTGGGAAGTAAATGAATCATGGGGGGCAGGTCTTTCCCATGCTCTTCTCATGATAGTAAATAAGTCTCACGAGAACTGATGATTCTATAAGGGGAAATTTCCCTGCACAAGCTCTCTCTTCACCTGCTGCCATCCATGTATGATGTGACTTGTTTCTCCTTGCCTTCCACCATGATTGTGAGGCTTCCCCAGCCACATGGAACTCTAAGTCCATTAAACCCTTTTTCTTGTATAAATTACCCAGTTTCAGGTATGTCTTTATCAACAGTGTGAAAACGGACTAATACATCTATTGTAAGTAAATCAAACTACAGGATACTTCCAAGGATCCAGATCCTCTTATAATAAAACTCCCACATTTCAAGTATTTCCTCACTAATATTGATTGTAAATAACTAATCAATAAATATGGCCACATCATCATCTTTTATCCCTCCTTTAATGTAACGCAAAAATGAAAATGTGTGAAACATGAACACACACACACCCTATGCCAGGGCCTACTGTGTCACTCTCTCAAAGGTCTGTGTTTAAAACTCAGCTTTGTCAATTAGAGTGTCTGTGGTTTTTAAAGTAAATGAGGAGAAAAAAATCAATACGAAGGACCAGTTTTGGAAAGAGATTGTTTTACAATGGAATAGGGGCTCTCAATCTTGGGACAGTGAGAAAGGTAAACCTCAAACCTCTGTAGTTTACTAAAACCCTATTGATAATTTTGAGACAAACTCTCTCTTCCCCTAAATCGAAACAACTACCTTCAGAAAAATGTCTTATAGACATATTCTCATGCAAGACAAGTCTATGTAAATGGTTGAACTGATATCAAAGTGTCTTCTCTAACATTCTATATCTGTTTCTGAAAATCAACTTGTTAGATATTTCTCTAAGTATAAATTATATGCATACTCTATTCAAAATATAACATTCTGGGACAGGAGTTGGCTGTGGAGGAAGGAGTTAAGATATGTACGTCCTTAAAACATGCTCTGAGTTTTCTTTCAATTTCATCTTAATAACTATCAAAGAGTATAATAGTCAAGATACAGGAAATATAATGGTTGTTGTATTAGTCTGTTCTCATGCTGATGATAAAGACACACCCAAGACTGGACAATTTACAAAAGAAAGAGGTTTAATGGACTTACAGTTCCACGTGGCTGGGGAGGCCACACAATCATGCCAGAAGGTGAAAACCACATCTCACATGGTGGCAGACAAGAGAAGAGAGTTTGTGCAGGGAAACTCCCGTTTTTAAAACCATCAGATTTCATGAGACCCCCTCACTGTCACAAGAGCAGCATAGGGAAGACTCACCCCCGTGATTCAATTACCTCCCACTGAGTGCCTCCCACAACATGTGGGAAATCAAGATGAGATTTGGGTGGGGACACAGAGCCAAACCATATCAGCTGTGTAAAGAAAGTAAAGTTGTTTTGGAATATGAAAACCATTTCAATGGGGCAAATGTACAAGTAGCAAAGGCCAGGGTTACCAAAATGAAGAAATGTGATGTTTAGTGTGTTGTCAGGGCAGTGAAAAGATGGCGAGGGGAGACTGAAGAGAAAGTAACTAGGAACCAGAAAGTTTACTCAAAGGGAAGGTTTGAAAGAAAATTTGGCCTATTCCAAAACTTGCCAATGTTCATATTTGTTCAGACTGGACTGAAACATTTTTCTTTGAATTCTAGAGGTTCACTTACCATAGCATCCTAAGGCATCCTAATCTTTTCAACTGTCTTGGAATCAGAAATCAGAGAAAAAATCATTTTGGTAAAATAAACTCAAAACCTACAATTTAAACATTAAATCTGGAATATTTTGTAACCATCGTATCACTCACACTTTGGAAGTAAATTGAGGCTTTCATAACTTCATCAAAGTTTAGCCAGCTTGAAAATCTTTTTATAACATAAAGCAGGTAATCATGGAAAAGCCAAGTCCCTGTTTAACAACTTTGCACTTGCCTGATCAAGTCATTTCATGTAATTTCCTTCCTCAAAACATTCATGAGATGAGCCATAGATTTTGGCCGCCATTGGAATAAGTTATAGATGAGCAATGTGGCATAACTTTAATGATGGTTTTACCTACTTTATGAGAAATATAGATTGATTCATTGTGCACTATTAAACCAGAGGTGATTATATGTAACTCTTCACTGTATAATGACAAGAATTTAAAAAAATTTCAATACATATCCACTTTGGCAATAATCTAATCATTATAACGGGTACACTTACTTGTTTGAGATCCATTTTTATGGCTACTTTCAGATATCGCCACACCAACATGCACATTTCATTATAGCTAATCTGACCCTACATCAACTTGGCATGATGGATATAAGCACTGGATTAAGAATCAAGAAAATCAAAGGAATCAAGAATCAACATTTTTCCATTCTACCAATAACTTCTCATATGTTTTAAGAAGTCACTGAGTATTTCTGAATTGAATTTTTCTTATATATAAATTACAGTGTCTAAGATTTCTTCCAACCCTAGAATGTATTATTGTATGAAACTACTCTTCAACACCTTCTATTGTACCTTCCACATTCATTTTCCATTATTTCTTTGTTACTTTCGTTTTTCTCTTTAAATTCTCAAAGGAACATCCATTAGCTTCAGAGCTTCTGACCAGGCTGTTCTATATACAAATAGTGATAGTATCCTCCCCAAACCTTAATTCAGTACAAGGCCTATTTCTCTCAGGAAGTTTTCCCTGACGACCAGAATCCATTGTGTAACCCTCAATTATTCAGTCATTCATGTATCAAATGTATAATAAGGCCCACTATGTATCACTATCAATACAACAACCACTATCAATACAATTCAGACCCCTTTTTAGCATGGAGCTCCAACTCTAGTGGGGAAGTCAAACACATAATCAATACTCTAATAACATGAAATTACATGCTTGAGGGAGATTAAAGAGGAGCATCTAATCTCATTTTGGAATGGTTAAAAAGAGGATAGGGATGATTAGAAGATGTGATGTGGAAACTCAGGCCAAATGACTTACAGCTAGAAGAAAAATGAAGATGGGCAAGAGGCAGTAGATAGGCTATATAGTGACAGTAGGAAGAGAAAGGATCACAGATGGAGGGTTGAGGAATCAGTAAAAACAAAAACATCCTAGAGACATGAGGGAGTATGAGGTATCTGAGGCACTGAAAGTGTAAAGTGTTTATTACCATGGAGAAAAGACTTTTGAAGAAAATGATAATGAGAAGATGACTGGAGAGGTAAACAGAAAGATGGTCATGAATAATCTAATAATTTTGCACTTTAGTAAGATTAGTTTGGATGCTGTGTGAAAGATTGATTAGAATTAGAAAAATCAAGTTAGGGAGATTAGAGAGTAGACCTTTGATCCACTTTTGTATTAATTAGTTTTCTTTTTCAGTTTGCAATACGTGTTTACTAGACTCACAAAATTAAACAAAAAATGTAACCACTGATATACTGCTGTGTTCTATAGGTAGTCAATAAATATTTATCCATAGAAATGTGGCATGAAATTTATTTAAAATCATGGGGTTATGCTATAAGTGCCTTTTTAAAATTTTTTTTATTTTGGAATAATTTTAGATTTATAAAAAAGTTGCAATGATAGTACAGAGTTTTCATATGTCCCTAAGTCACTTTCCCCTAATGTCAACATCTTATATAACCATAGAGTAAGCACCTTTTGGTTCTCAGAAAAGATGCTGGTCTATCTAACTGATGGCTTTTATTTCCTTATCTTTAGTTGGAACAGACCTTTGGTTAATTGATAAAAAATGATAAAATTTTTAAACAGATGCTTACCCAAAAAAGTGATAGAAATTTGTATATTACTATTGAGTTGGAATATATTATCCTATAAGATAATGATTGTTACAATTTACACTAGGACAATATTAACAAATGTTTATTTAAAGTGGAAGTATTACAGCCTTGGTCATATGAAATGCCAGCTAGTAAATCATGATCTATAATTATTTTAGAAAATTTGGTTTCCCAATAACCACAATGTCTGATGCAGTCTCAGTTGGAGTAGACAAGAAGCAGAACTGCAACAGATTTTGAAATTAAATAGTTTATATATTTATATTCAAAATGATTAAAATTATATGATGTTTTTCATAGTTTTAGCTATCTTCAAACATCAGAGGTACTATCTTATATTTTTCTAGGTCAGTCTTCATTCTATTGACTACAGAAGACTGGTTATAGGTTATAGAGAAATAATTTTGATTTTTAAAGTCAAACTGTGAGTCATGTCATAAGTCAAAACACGACTTCATTTTCTTTTTCTTGTGGACACAGAAAGATCATATTTCCCAACATCCCTTGTAATCAGGTTGGGGTCATAGGACTGGGTTTTAGTCAATGGGATGTGGGCAGAAGTGATATGCAGTATTTCCAAGGATAGTTGTTAACCTCATTGCATCATTGTCTTACTCTTGTCATTCTTTCATGACCTAAAATACCAAGTATTTATTATGAGAGATACCTGGGTCATCTCTAAGTTAGAACCTAGAGGGGAGCCACCAGCCACCCAGCTTACATAAGACTATAAAATAAGAGAGAATTAAACTGTTCTATCAAACTCTGAAATTCTGGAAGTATTGCCTGATACACTTTTGTATCCCCAAACTCCATATTTCATTAAGAGAAACATCTTATTTTGTAAATTTCTTTAAAAACTTTTTTAACATTAGCCAAGATTCTCAATCAATTTTGCAAATACGTTTTGATCTATTATTTTAAGCATTGGGAACTGTGAATAAACAAAATATGCTCATAGACAAGCTTATGGATGAGAAGTTCATGTCTAAGTTACCATAAAACAGTATAGAAGAAAAATTCCTTGGACATACAAGTTTTTGTTTAAGTCCTAGATATAACAATTATTAATTGTGACTTTTGGTGTATCTTTCTTATACTTACTCTTCAAGGGCTCAATAAATGCTCTTTTTAATCTACCTTTGTTTCTTCTTCTCCTTATAGTGCCCTTTCTTATCATCATTCATTGATTCACTATCCTAAACATTGAGAATTCTAAATCTGAATATTAAGAAAATTTTCAGCGTAGCTACTTTCTTATCTTGACCCTTAGTTAAGGTTCTTCTTCATGCTATGTCATACTGATTTCTGAAGACAGTATAATTTAAAAGGGAAAAAATAACAAACTTCAAGAAGTATTGGTAATTGAAGGCATTAGAGAAGGGAACAGTAGACACTGAGGCCTACTTAAAAGTGGAGTATGGGAGAAGACTGAGGATCAAAAACCTACCTCTCGGGTACTATGCTTATCACCTGGATGATGAAATAATCTGTACACCAAACCCCCACGACAAACAGTTTACCTATATAACGAATGTGCACATGTACCCATAAAACTAAAAGTTAAAAAAGAAATGCAAATCAGGTCACATCAAAATAGTTTTTGGAGAGTATGTCCAGGAGACCTTCAGAGATATCACTAAACCAGAACCAAGATGTAGTTATCTAGAAGAAGGTCAGCAGAACCCATCACTCACATAATTCAGACAATACATAAATAAGTGTACTGCCCAAACCTATATCCTTTACATAGAACATAAAAGTATTATTAACTATTTATACCAAAAGCTTTATTTTATGCAAAGAATGAAGAGTAAAAGAATTGTTTAGGGACTTTCAAAGAGAACCATTAATTAAAGCAACACATTCACAAAACTTAACACCTCAATGTACTGGAATATAAATATTCTTACAGAACTAAGAAATGTGTTTTTGCAAGTGTTGCTTTGTAGGCATTATTTCCTAAAACGACCGAGGAGGAAAAAAGTCTGTTAATATTGGAGCATAGAGAAGTGGAAATACGTGTACCTCGGGGCATGAGAAAATATTGTTAAACACAGTGGCTATAGCCACTAACTCAGTAGAAACAGCTTCTACTCAAGTAAAGTGCAATCAACCCTGCAATTATAAAAAAAAAACTGAAAAAAATTTAAGTGGAGAGGGAATCTATAACTATAGTCTTAAAAAAACTTGTCATTTCTAATATTAATTCTAAAGCAGAAATGTTTAATGAGAGTACTAGAAATTAAATTGGCAGAGTCTAGCCAAGTTCTACATTTAGTTTATCACTAGTAGCAAAATAGAAAAATGTAACAGTTTGTATAACTCATTTTCCTTTTATTATTGGAATGTTTTCTGGGGATATTTCATACTTTTCACCAGTCCCATTGGAGACTTAGGTATTGGTAAGGATAATTAATAATGTGTGGTAAGAATTTTTATTTCATATTTGTATGTCATGTTAGAGTATTGATATATTTAGACAAAATATCACCATGTACTAAGTGAATTGAACAGAAAAAAAATCAGTTTTGTCATCATCTGTCTACTAATTTGTCATCTATATGAACTAATGTCTTTTCTTTCATATCAGCACATTATTTTCAAATGTAACAGTCCTTTTTTAAGTCACTAATGTTTTAATAATATTTTCATTGAGAAATAATTCACATACCTTAATATCCACCCTTATAAAGTGTACAATTCCCTGGTTTTGAGTATACCTATAAAGTTGTACAGCCATCACCACCAACTAATTTGAGAACATTTTCGACATGCCCCCAAAAACCTACTATACATAACCAGTCAATCCCCACCTCCACCACACCCCCATCCCCTGGCAACCACTAATCTACTTTCCACAGTGGCAAACAAAGACCCAATGTAACAGTCTTATTAAGAACTGTCAAATTTATAATCATGCTTCATGGATGAATGTTAGGATAATGATAGTAAGGCAACCAACTTCAATTTAAGTTTGTAGCCTTCTTTTGTACACTCAAGATAAATTAAAAATTAAAACTCCAAACATCAGACCAAAAGTCAAATTAATGAACGAAGGAAAATATAAATCCCAGTAACTAGTATTATAAGAGATAATCTATCTCCTAGAATTTTACCTGAATTGGTAATTATATGGATTTTAGAGGGTATAGTAATAATATTATTGATCTTGCATACTGCTACCTTTTCCTAATTCCTATTCATGTCTTTTATTCACATTATTTTCTCATGCACACTATAGTACATATTTGTCATGCTTTTTGACTGTTCATATTTTGAACACTTTTTCTCTGTCCAGGAATTACCTAAATTACCAAATTATCAGGGCCTTCCTCAGTCTACACAGCCTGGAAATTCCAACTATTCACTTGACCAACCTCTCTTATAGTAGAACAGAAGCATATAACCTGAGTATTGCTCATTAGGTATACCCACCTCAAACTGGATCAGAAGCTAGTTTTGCAAAAAATTAGGAAGAACAAGGACTCCATTTTTGTAATGCTGCTGCTATCAAAGAGAGATACTTCTATTTTCCAAAGACACCAATAGTAGCAGCCTGAATGGCAGAAACCAGAAACCAGTTATTTACTGTTGGTGATTCAAGCTGTGTGTCTGTACTCAGTGGCAGCAATGATAATGTCTTCCCTGGAAGCCCTGATAGTTTGTATTCTGCTATAAGAAAGGTTGGGCAAGTGCACAGTTGGAATTTTCGGGCTGTATAGTCTGAGGGTTGTTCCCAATAATATGATAACTCAGGTAATTTCTGAATAGAGGAAAAGTGTTCAAAATATGGACAGTCAAAAAAGTATGGCAAATACACACTACAGAGTATGAGGAAATGATCTAAAGGAGAGATGATTTGAGCATCGTTCTAGGCTATATGATCTCCAAGTATGATTCTATGGTTCCTTTTGAGATGATAAGAGGTAACATGTATGTTTTTAAGAAGACATTTTTCTGTGGAAATTACCTAGAATTCTTGTAGATAGTTTTCAAATAAATACCTTGGCTAATATTAAAGTTGACATGACATTTTTGGTTTCTCTCACTTTGAGAAGAAGACAAATATGTTTTATATAACTGTGAGGAGTTGTGTTGTATATTTGCAGGAAAAGTCTATGCATGAATATTGCATAGCCAAAGGTATAGGCAGTGTCAGATACTTGTGATTGTAAGCCATACCCTTATGTCCTTGTTCTAAATACCACTCAAAGCTTTTTTCTTATTATCGCAACCTATCACCAACTGTAGAGGTTAAAACGCCAATTATTTGTTTCACCAGCCTCCCTTTCATTTCTGTCATGATATGAAATGATCATTTGGCCCAATCAACAACAAATAGTCATGATGGAAATATGTGTTCACTTTTTAAATTTTTTTATTTTATTTTATTTTTATTTTATTTTATTTATTTTATTTTTGAGACAGAGTTTTGCTCTGTTACCTAGTCTGGAGTGCAGTGGTGCGATCTTGGCTCACTGCAACCTCCACCTCCCGGGTTCAAGGGATTCTCTTGCCTCAGCCTCCCGAGTAGCTGGGACTACAGGCGTGCACCACCACGCCCAGCTAATCTTTCTATTTTTAGTAGAGGTGGGTTTTCACCGTGTTAGCCAGGGTGGTCTGGATCTCCTGACCTTGTGATCCACCTGCCTCCGCTTCCAATGTGTTCACTTTTTGATGAAGGTTTTTCCATCATAATAAAAAGAGAGCTTTGATAAGAAATACCTGTTTTCTTTTCCTGATTATTTTTGTTTCAAAATGTGATTCCTGAAACTGTAACCACTATTTTGTAACTATGAGGAGTCAAACCTAAAATGCAAACTATTATATCAAAGAAGTTAAGAGCTGAGCCACTGAATAAACCCTGAAAACGCGCTGAATTTATAATTATGATATCAAGAAATAATAATCTAATTGTTTAATAGAGTTTTAACTGGGTATCCTCTTACTTGTAGCTGAAAACAATGTTGGGTTTAATAGATATTAACTGAGTATCCTTTTACTTATAACTGAAAACAATGTTAAATGATATCCCACAGACAATGAATGAGTAAACTGCTAAGCAATAGAGGGTAAATTAATGGGGATTTATGGAATATTTGTCACTGAAATGTAATAAGCACATAGACTATGAATATGGAAATATATTTTTTGGTTCATTAATGAAATTAATTAGTAGAAAATATTTTTTCAACTGAACAAGAAAATGAATAATTTTCTTTAACAGTATACATTATAATTCTGGACTGTTGTGCAAAATTCAAAGAAAGTCCCATGTCATTCTTTGCTAATTACAAAATGTATGACTGTTGAGGAAAAACAACCCTCTTCCAGGAACCTTCTTCAAAGACACAATTATATAGAGAATACTTCAGTGATTTCTCCTATTCAGAATGTATTGTTTTATACTTCTGAATAGGGTATCAACTCCTCTTGACAAAGCAAATTTATGTCACTTAAAATGAATATTAAGTTAGAGAAATGGCAAATAAATTTATCTCCTACTCCAAAATATGCAGAGTTAGAATATTGAGTGTTTGTTTAATACAGAGAATTACTTTCAAAGATGTTAGACAAGCTGAAATCACAATCAGGAAAGGTGAAGCTACCTCAAAATTTGGAACAATATAGGAAGCCACTATCACCCTGAAGGTTAGGCAGATAAATAGAGAAAGCAGTAACAATGAAACCAATGAGCTGAGGCCTTCTGGCAAAAGTGCAAACCTTGATGGACTTCATGGTCAGGTTTGACTGTGAAGGGTCAGTTATCTGCTGTCCAGAGCCATGGAGAAAAATGTGGCTGCTGCCAGAGTGGCCACCTGATTTATCAGGTGAGATACCCTGAAAGGAGAATGGAGAAATACCCTGACTTCTTTCTTCCTCTTACCCTCCAATCTTCCTACTTCTCTCTATTCTGCCTTTCCATTGGCCTAATCTAATCAGAAACCGGCTGCCAAGTTAATTTCTATGTTTCTAGTAGATTGTTAGTTCTACGAAATTGTTTTCATTACTGTTTTATCCTTTAGGACTTGGACAGTGACTAGCACATGGCACTCAGGAAGTATTTCTTGAAAGAATAGATAGCAACACAGTTTTCTATAGAATTTCATAATCTCCATCATGCTTTGATAGAGATGATAGGCCAAAATAATACGACATAATTGGAGGTTCGCATAAATGGATACATATAAAACATTGTATTCTACAAATATATAATATAGTATGATTTCAAGTATTTGTAAAACACTTATAAAAACTGATAAAAATTACTTACAAAGGAAATATTTACATTCTAAAATATCAAATTGTATACAAGATAATTTGATTCAATTATTTATTAATTGGAATTTTTCAAAAGCTGAATTTTAACTTTTAAAAATGTACATACTATGAAAAACAAATCTATGATTACAATCATAAAATAAGAAAATAAGAATAGCAGCTTATGTACCATGTGATTAAAATTGTATTTTGAGGCAAAAATATAGCATAAAGTAATTTCAAGATTTAAAAAATGATTAAAAAGTTTAACCAAGTCAAGAAATTACAAACATAACCAAACAAACCCAGAAAAGCAGAAGAAATAAAATAATAAAGACAAGGACAAAATAAATGAAAAAAAAAAAAACCACAGAATTGCTAAATAAATACAAATGCTATTAAAAAATACACACTGGAAGTTTTATTTAAAAAATAGGCAAACATTAGAATGAGAAAGTACATACAGGAGAAGAGAGAAAATATTACATTATAAATGCTATGCACAAAATAAATGACTTACGAGGAAAAGCGTCAAATTAAGTTTAATAAAAATACATAACTTGGCCGGGAGTGGTGGCTCACATCTGTAATCCCAGCACTTTGGGAGGCCAAGGCAGGTGCATCACGAGGTCAGGAATTCAAGACCAGCCTGGGCAAGATGGTGAAACCCCATCTTTACTAAAAATACAAAAATTAGCGGGGTGCAGTGGCAGGCACCTGTAATCCCAGCTACTTGGGAGGCTGAGGCAGGAGAATCGCTTGAACCCGGGCAGCAGATGTGACAGTGGGCCAAGATCGTGCCACCGCACTCCAGCCTGGGCTATAGAGTGAGAATTCGGCCCCCGCGCCCCGCCCCGCCCCGCCCCGCCCCCCAAAAAGTACATAACTTAAATATATCAATATCTATGAGAAAGTATTAAAAATTAGCTAATCACTTTCAAATTAGCCAGAGACATTAAGCAGTGAATACTGGTAGCCAAGTATGCACAGAGAAGTAACTTAAGTTTAAGACAGTAAGGTTTGGAAGTATAGAAAGACACAGATACACAAAACTGTAGAAATATAGAAAGGTTAGAAACAGGGAAGATAGATACACAAAACCAAATCAGTAATAAGTGTGTAGAAAATAATTTGACTTTGGGTAATGTTACTTGTAATTCTATAAAACACAGATTTATCTACTTCAAAAACACAAGCAATAAGGACTTCCAGTGAAGACCTGTATGGACTAAATTTTAAGCAGCCGTAATAGGCAAGGATTTAGTGATTATTAGTATTTCATCTCTGATGTGGAAAAGCAATCGTTGTAAGCCAGAATGATATGGATTAATATGGGGCACAAAAAATACCTATGTCAATGGAAGAGGACAAATATCCAAGTCAGGACCAAAAGTGACACACTTTGTCTCCAAGCTAAGTAAGACCTTCGTTTATTCAGTATTAAAAGTTATTGCCAGAATTATCTTGCAGGAATACTTGTATATTATATGTGAATTGATACTTTTGTATAAACATGTACCTATGAAAATATACAGAATGGATATGTATGTGACTGTCACCAAATTGATATCTAATTTTTCATCAATGTGTGTTTATTGATCCTGTCTTTACTTTTGTTCTTTCTTTTTAAAGAAACCCCAAGTCAAAAAGAAAGACATATACTCCAGGTAATGTAAAGGTGGTGTAACTGAACCACTGTACTACCTCAATTTCAGAGTGTTTTGCCAGTATATCAAAGCTGAGGCTGGGGCAGGAAGGAAAGCATCAGAATGGTGCTTAAACAAGGACAATTCCCCGGCAGGAGGACCTGCAGCTGTCTGCAATGTCTACATACACTGTAGTATGCACATTTAAATATCACTTTCATTCGCTATATAGGAAGGAAAGGCTAGGATAATTATTGAAAGAAGATAAAACATCAGGTAAACCCAAATACACAAGCATATAAATATATAGCACATTATTTAAATTTGTTCACTTAGCAAATGAAGTGATGTGAAAGTATTAAATTGAAATATCTAGTCTTTTCTTTCACCTTGCCATTTTAGAAGTCATTTTATAAGTACCTCCCCAAATAAATAGATTGAATAAATAAAGCATGCAATGTAATTGATATTAACATAATTAATGAAACTAGTTTCATTAGGTAATGGATGCTAAAAGGTAAGCCACACATAACTTAATCTCATTTTTATTTTGAATTTTAAAATCAGACACCAAACTATATGAAAGTTTCATTACTAGTATTTATTAGAAATATGGGACCAAAATCAATGACAACTTTAGCTACAGTGAGGATATTTTGAGATCTGTTTGACATAAGGAAGTATAGTTAATACCCTTCCCATATTCATGAATCTTATCTTTTATTCACATTTAAAAACAATTTTAAAATAATTGTTTTCTTAGCCCTTTTAAAAACTGATATCCATTTCTACTCTTTCTCTCAGAATAGGTTCCTTATTGTTTCTTGCTTGTCTAAATGTTTTAAATTATATTCATATATTTAAAGGAGATATGCTGTTATACAAATTCTACTCATTCAATCTGCATTTCTCAGCAGTGATCTCCTTAGGAAAAAAATATGTTGTGTGAAACAATTTAAAATATTTTAAAAACCCTAAAGATTAGAAATACTCGACAGTAAAACATATCTCGATGTGTCTCAGTATTGGAAATCATACTTTTTTCTTTAGCATTGTTTATAATTTCTTTTAACTGATTAGTTCAGTGCTCAAACTACTTGCTAGTTGTAGGTGGGGAGTCTTTCCTCTTTCAAGCTTTCAAGGTATCTTTTAATACCCTGCAATGTAAATAATGTGAAGTTATCTGAAGAAGAACGCTGTTCAGTCCTTCAGAAAAGTCTATTTGAGAAGTCTTTCCAGACCCTTGTTAAAACAATACTTACTTTAAGAAAAAAATATCTATCATTCATTCCACTGCATTGTTCATTTGTCACTTTTAGTTTAGTTAGAGCAAATCCAGAACCCTAGTACACTATCCTTTCACTCATTCTTCCATCTCAACGCCCCCTCTCAAGTATATAACATATGGAAGGATTGTTTTCTGATACCTTTAACCATTCTGCCAAACAGGAATATATTACAAGGAATATTTAATAGCTTCAAGAAGCCAAATATATTTCCTATTACTTGTGTAGAGTATTTAGAGAGCTATTTAGTATCTAAGATCAAAGACAGTCTTTTAAATTTAATATGCATCTTCTCTGCCTTTTCATCAGTTATTTCTTGAGCATTTTACAGACACTGTGCTACCACTTCTCTAAGAAAATGGTTTATATGACTTGCTTGATTAACATTTAAACTTGTTTTGGTCCTATTAATAGGAAAAACCTTTCTATCCTTTTCCAAAGAGATGATTATGTATATTTAATTTACACTTTGGTTGGTAATGATGACATGCATTGCATTTTGGGAAGAACGGTCTTAACAGGTGCATGGGGCAATAGGAGGGCATCTGCAAGTAGCCAGCAGATGGGCATGGCAGTGGGAGAGGACCACCAGGTAATCAGCAGATGGACAGCGCAGAAGAAAGGAAACTCCGTGTGAGCAGCGAATGGCTAGACCAGCAGTAAAACTTTGCCACTTGGCATATGGTACAATGCTTATTGCATCAGCTGGAATTTGTACTACTACATTTTTGGCCAAGTCAGGAAGAGAGATTTCTAAAATATGCATATGACATTTCTTTCAAAATTCAGCAATATTTTCACAGACAAAATTGCAAATTCTTCCTTAACAAGTTGTATTACTCTTCTTTTTGGTTCACAAAAGAATTTGGTATTTTGTGCCCACAAAATAATTCTGAAACTGGGATCAAATCCATCCACCTCACCAGAAGAAAGAAAGCTTCTAAAAAGTAAAAGCATTCACTTGCATTAATTAAAAAAAAAAAAAAAACTTAACGTAATGATGTGTTTCATCTTGGTATGTATTTAATGGAATAGTTCATTCATTCATTTATTAATTCATTCCAAAAGCTTGGTAAAAATATTAGTGCTTTATTAGATACACCACCTGCAGCTTAATCTTCCTATATCACAACATTGATTATTTCAGTCTCCAGCTTAAATATCTTTATTTTTTATTGCCCAATCATAAAAAGTTCAAATTATGTAGAGTGAATGTAGGTCCCTCCACAATCTGGTGTCAAAGCATCTCAGAGTCATAACCCAAAATGCTTTGTACATCTTCTATAATTGTTTCTTTTTCTGATATATGACATACTTCTTTGTCTGTTTTTGTCCACCAGGTCTCACCACCCATTTCTGTCCAATCTTAACCATTCTTCAAAACCCATTCAAGTATTTAAATGAATAGATCTTGATTATATTATCTTGAATGGAAGTGTTTGGCAAAGAAACAACTTTCTAAGCTGAGCTTTAGAATATTTTATTAGAACATATTTCTTTCTCTATTGAGGGCTGTTAGGCCACGTAACTACAAATTTTTAAGGAACTGGAGATTGTGTGTTTATATTTCTTAATGACACTTAGAACATTCTGTTCCTGTGTTTTTCAAAAATGTCTCTTATTTTCGTTACTAAATTGAACTCCTTCAGGAATTACTAACCTAGATCTACCATGTTGTCTTAACCATAGTAAATATTCAATGAATATTTGACAACAAAAATATTTAGAGTAACAGATAATTATTCAAAAGGAAATATCATTTAATATTTTATATTTAATCAAAAACTTGAATGTATCACACTATCAGAAGTCTTTTAGATACTTCTCAAGACTTATTTGGTATTTTACATGTACTTTTTTGTAGGTGGTGATTAAAAATGTTGGAATATACTTAAGACATTTTCTACTTAAATGCTGAAAAAATTCCCCAATTATATTTTGTTAAAATGTATAGTTATTCTATAAATATGTTTTCTAAACAAAGATATATTCAGCATAAATTCTTTTCAAATTGCACAATTTCCCCAATTATAATTTGTTAAAACGTATATTTATTCTACAAATAAATACTTTCTAAACAAAGATAAGTTCAGCATAAATTATTTTCAAATTATAATAAGCTCCAAGTAAACAGAATCAAATTTCTAGGGTTTTATGGATTTGGTTTGATTTTCTCCTCCATATCATACTTCTATCTCATCCAGCATTCAGTCCTTATCTTGATACAAACTCAAGGGCAAGTACTCTTCTGTATGTTATAATCAGCATTCCTGTGAAGATTTCATACCTCGATCAATTACATTTGAAAATATCCTAGAAAAATATCAGTGTCATGGGAAGAGGATTTCTCTACTCACTTTTGTAAAGAACTGGGCAAGGCATAGCAAAGGAAATAATAGAATGAAGATATAACCTGGAGGAAATAACACACACACACACACACACACACGCAAACACACACACAGTTGAATGATTAAATCACATACACAGTGGAATAATTAAATCACGCACACACACGTAGTGGAATGATCAGATCATGCACACACAGTGGAATTATTAAATCATAACACACACACACACACATATATATATTTGTGAAAACATCTCATTGTACCCCATAAATATGTACAATTATTATTTGTCAATTAATATAAAGGAACTGGAGTAAGGAATCAGAATCCAAGAAGTGACAAGTCAGCTTCTTCCACTTATCTAAGTAACATATAGAAGGCACATAACATAGATTTATACACATGCATCTTTCAATCTGGCAGCTGAAAGGTAGATGTTTTACTTTATAAATTCTATATCCCAAAGTACTTCAAAATAAAATATAGTAATATCTACTTTGATATTTCCAGATAGCACCTTTTATCATAGCATTTTCGTGCTCCTAAATTATAGCACAGAATGTGAAAATGTGAAATTTGAATCTGAAAATTTCTAAGAGTTTAAGTAAACGTATTATATGTTCTAACTTCAAATAAAATAACTAAACTTTGTAATTATATGTATGCTTCCGAGTATAAAAATAAAAATGAACACAATTTCCAGTTACTTAAAAATTTGTAGTTACTTGGACTAATAGGGCCCACTACAGAAAGAAACATGTTCTAATAAAGTATTCTAAAGCTCAGCTTAGAAAGCTGTTTCTTTGCCAAACACTTGCAATTCACTGAGAGAAAACAGCTTATGATGAATCTTTTAGAAAGCAGGCTTATAGTTGCTTTTTATAGCTGCATATGTAAACCCATGTAATATGAACCAATGGAGAAAGAAACATGTTCTAATAGATTTTCAGTTTGCTTACAAAGTTGCTTCTCTGTGAAACTCTTCCATTCACTGAAAGAAAAAAAATTATGATGCATCTTTTTTGTTTGTTTGTTTGTTTGTTTGTTTGTAGAGCTAGGGTATCTATGTGTTTCCCAGGCTGTCTTGTATTCCAAGCCTCAAGTGATCCTCCCACTTCGGCCTCCCAAAGTGCTTGAGCCACTGCATCCGGCTTTATCATGCATCTTAAGAAAGAAAGCATGCTTGCATTTATTTTTATTGCTGAATTTTGCTACTTGGAATGTTAGAGTCCCATAAAGAATGAAACATGTTCTAATAATATATTCTAAAGGCTAGCTTAGAAGTGTTTTTTTTTTTTTTTGTCAAACACTTCCATTCACTGAAAGAAAACAGCACATGATCAATCTTTAAGAAAGCATGCTTACATTTACCTTTTATAGCTTCATATGTAAACCCATGTAATATAAACCAGTAAAGAAAAAACATGTTCTAATTTTTGTTTTGGTTTGTTTTTGTTGCTTTTTTTTTTTTTTTGAGACAGAGTCTCGCTCTGTTGCCCGGGCTGGAGTGCAGTGGCCCAGGCTGGAGTGCAGTGGCACAATCTCGGCTACCTGCAAGATCCGCCTCCCGGGTTCACACCATTCTCCTGCCTCAGCCTCCTGAGTAGCTGGGACTACAGGCACCCGCCACTACGCCCAGCTAATTTTTTGGTATTTTTAGTAGAGACGGGGTTTCACCGTGTTAGCCAGGATGGTCTTGATCTCCTGACCTTGTGACCCGCCCACCTCAGCCTCCCAAAGTGCCAGGATTACAGGCATGCGCCACCGCACCCGGCCAACAAGTTCTAATTTTAAAAATATATACTAGTTAGCCCTCTTGTTAATCTTAACAAATTTAAATAATCATTATTTTAAGTTGATGAATATAAAACAACTGGTTCTTATTTTTCTGCTCTTATTTCTTTGTGTTTTTCACACTGCTGCAACAAATCTACTCTACAGATATATCTCAAAATTACAGATTATTTGGTCATTTTGATGGTCCTCAATTTTCCAAGATGGTTAGAGATACAGAAATAATTTTTCAACATTACAAGTGCAAGAGGTTACTTGTGTTTATCAACATCTGAATCTTCCCTTTTGGACAACTGGTGGGAGGTATATGACTTATACAAAAACACAACTCATTCTTGTGATCTGAAATCTTTAGTTACATAGTTGAAATAAACACAATAACTAAGCTTTCATGTATAAATGTTCACCAATTTCTTCTGAAGTTCCCTTCAGTTTAAGGAATAAAATACGTCTATTGTTTTTTGTAATCCTCAAAATAGCTTCAATGTTCAGTCTATCTCAAAATGATATTACCTAATTGGGAACTAGCCATTAATTTCAGATATTGCATTTCCTGTTTGCATTTTCATGCAATATTTTATTAACTAAAAAGGCAAAAACACTTCTATTTAACCCTTCCTCAGTTTTTAGCCTTTTATTTCAAAATCGGCCATATTGGAGTTTCTTTCAGAAAATCATGACAAATTTAGCCATTCTTAAGTAAAGGAGATTCAAGATGAAGAACAAAAGCTTTACTTTTTTCTCAAATGTCTTATTTTCTTTGTTGCCCATCAATTTAGAAAACAGTGAATCCTCACTATGGTGAAGGGATGGATCCTAGTTCACTAGGTGAAAACGCTGGGTCACTTTTCTCAATCTCTGTCAAAAATTTAGTTAGACTCGATCTTTGGTATCCCATTACAACACACATTCAGTTCGTTTACCTTTTAACTCACTTGAAATTACTCCATCTTGAAGATGACACGGGAAGGGAAGAACTGATGAGTTCTAAAGGTAACAGTAGAGATGATTGGCTTTTTTGTTGTTATGTGATTATGGACTTGCCTGAACCTTCATAAAATGTCCAGCTACTAAATATAGTGGGCAACAGAGCTAAAAACTATTGCTGCTTTTCTTAGCCTTTGATAAAATATATAAGAGAAGGCTACTATTGGGGACAAATTTTAATTTCATATAGTACAACTTCCTTATTTATAGTTAACATTAAGTGAGCTTCACATAATTACACAGCTTGTTAGTAACAAAAATAAGAATAAACAGTATGTACCTAGTTAAATATTTTTTCATTATGTCTTCTCTCCATTGTATACTTTAAATCCTATAATTTGTATATGCATTAAAAATAAGAACTTAAATTAGACACAGAAAGTTCCCATAATAAGAAGCCACACTTGAAATAGTCAGATTTCCTACTTTAAATGGATAACAAAGCGTTCTAATTTTTGAAACGTATTTTGGATTGGTTTAGACATTTGAAATGCTTTTTTTTTTTTTTTTTTTTTTTTTTTTTGAGATGAAGTCTTGCTCTGTCACCCAGGCTGGAGGGCAGTGGCAGGATCTCGGCTCATTGCAAGCTCCGCCTCCCCAGTTCTCACCATTCTCCTTCCCCAGCCTCCCAAGTAGCTGGGACTACAGGTGCCCGCCACCATGCCCGGCTAATTTTTTATACTTTTAGTAGAGACAGAGTTTCATCTTGTTAGCCAGGATGGTCTCGATCTCCTGTCCTCATGATCCACCCGCCTCAGCCTCCCAAAGTGCTGTGCTAGGATTACAAGCATGAGCCACCGTGCCCAGCCTGGAATGAATTATTTAACCATCAATGCCTATTTATAAGGTTCATTAAATATAAATATGAAATGATTAGAAAATGCAAGACCATATTTAGCAAAGTAACAGAACTCTTGTCAAAATAGATCATCATAAAACAAACAAAATTTTAATAACAACCCTAGAAAAATTTTGTGCCAACACATGTGAAAAAGCTTCACTACAATACAGCTAATCTAAAAGTGTATACCTCACCATGCCATTAAATATTGACTTTTTATCTATTTTTAGATTTTTCCGTTTGCTACTAAATTATTAGCACTTCAAATTTTTAAAAATTCAGGTTTTTGTAACTGGTAAAATGTAAGATTAAGATGATTACCTTAGGATATTTAATGTAATATAAAATTCAGTGGAGAAGTCAGTTAATCAAAGTATGAATTGTGGAATGTCTTAAGCTACTATCAAGGTCTCCTGTTTATAGTCTGCATATCTGGGAATAATTTGTGAATGTCTGAGATGTGGGAATTTATATGTGATTTTGGAGATGAGGCCTTCCTGGAAGTGTAGTATGACATTTGCTGGGAGAAAAAAACAAGAATGCAAAGCACTGAAAACTAATTTGCAGAAGAGGAGGATGCATAAAGAGGGTAAGCATTTATCAAACATGTTATACTACAGAGGGGAAAAGTTCCTTGTTGATGGAGAAGTTCCTTAGCTTTCGTACTACACATCCATCATATGAGGACAGAAAATATCACAGATAAATATTGCATTGTATAATATAGTATTCTGAATACAAATAAGGAAGAGATTCTAAATGTCAATGCATAATGGATACCTCACATGTGGCTTTTATTCTAATTTGTTTTGCTGATTTTACGCTTGGGAATGATACCCAGGCTGTTAGTTACTGAAATGATAATGCTTTATCACAGTTGTGATTTCTTATAAAAATTTAATTCAGACCTACCAGCTCTAAACTATAAAACCATAGATATCAATTTAGAAAGCTATTATGTAAGAATAGGTGAATCTTAACTGACAATAAGTTCGATTGAGATACACTTCATTATTTAACACACAGGTGCATAGTATTAATAATATTGCTACTTAAAGAAAAGTTTTTTTTCTCTAAAGCTTACAAAATTACATATTTCAGCTATAGTTAATTCATATTAATCTGCTGGAAATGAAATTATTTTTCTTCAAGTAATATAGGGAAACATGCTGATCTTAAACAGAATTGTACACAAAGTGCTTGGTAATATAAAAAGCATTATGTTGCCAATTTGCCCTTGCAGAATATAATAATATCAAGTAGTATCATTTAGGAAGCATAAACTAAAATAAACATCAGGACCAAGCCCCACAACTAACCAAAATAAAACAAATTTTAAAAAGCCCATCTAAATAGGAACAAAGATTATTTAAAATATATTTAAGATCTTAAGTAAAATGGATTTAATTGTATATTAAATTGATTTCCTTTAAGTTTTCTAATCAAAACAGTGAGAAAATTTGCTCTGAAAACCTACCACCTAATTTTCAAACATTTACATCAAGAGATAGGTAACATAGGTGAAAGAATTTTTAAGAATAAGACTGAAATTCAAGATTCATGTTGTCTTCATGAAGTTGAAAATTCATTTTGTCAGTTTCAGAAACAATGAATTCAAGGGCCCCAAAAATATCAATGTTGAAGCCAATGTCAACATTTTAAAAAGTTACATTTAATTTTGTCTCAATTTTTAAACCCTCCCATGAATCACACAAGATTCATGCTTTGTTTTCAGTCAATTTATAAAATATTAGATTTCCATTACCATTATTATCATCATGATCAGTTTTTACAATTCCAAGATAGAGTATAAGCAATCTACAATCTGTTTTTATTTTTATTTTCAAAATATTTGTATATATTCATGGGGTACAAGTGCAATTTTTCTATATTGATATATTGCATTGTGGTGAACTCAGGGCATTCAATGTATTCATCACTGAAGCAATGCACATTGTACCCCCGGAGCAAGCTCCCATGATTTACCCTTCCAAGTCACCATTGTCCATCATTCCATACTCTGCTTCCATGTATACACATTATTTAGCTCCCACTTAAAAAAGAACATGCAGTATTTGACTTGCTGTGTCTGAGTTATTTCACTTAAGACAATGTCCTTCAGTTCCATTCATGTTGCTGCAAAAGACATGGTTTCATTCTTTTTTTATGCCTGAAGAGTACTCCATTATGTACATATGCCACCTTTTCTTTATCCATTCCTCCATTGATAAGACACTTAGCTTGATTGCCTATCTTTGCTATTGTGAATGGTGCTGCAATAAACATATGAGTGCAGGTATCTTTTTGATGTAATTATTTCTTTTCCTTGAGTATCTACTGGGTAGATACTCAGTAGTGGGACTGCTGCATCCTCTAGTAGTTCTATTTCTTTGAGAAATCTCCAAACTGTTTTCCATAGAGGTCGTACTAATTTACATTCCCACCAACAGTATATAAGATCTCCCTTTTCTCTACATCCCTTCCAACATCTGTTAATTTTTTGTCTTTTTAATAATACTAATTCCGATTGGTATAGGATGATATCTCATTGTGGTTTTAGTTCACATTTCCCTGGTGATTAATGATGTTCAATGTTTTTTCATAGACTTCTTGGCCATTTGTTTGTCTTCTTTTGAGAAATGTTTATTCATGTCAGCCTACTTTTCAATGGGATTATTTGGGGTTGTTTTTTGTTGAGTTGTTTGGGTTCTTCGTAAATCCTGGATATGAGTCCCCTGTTGAATGTATACTTTACAAATATTTTCTCCCATTCTGCAAGTTGTTGTTTCACTCCTTTGTTATTTCTTTTGCTGTGCAGAAGCTTTTTTGTTTAAATCCCATTTGTCTATTTTTTGTTTTTGTTTCCTGTGCTTTTGAAGTCTTATTCGTGAATTCTTTGCCTAGACCAGTGTCTAGAAGAGTATTCCCCAGGTTTTTTCTAATATGTTTACGGTTTCAGGTCTCATATTCAAGTCTGTAATCCATCTTGAGTTGATTTTTATATATGATGAGATATATGGATCCAGTTTCATTCTCCTGCATACGGCAGTCCATTTTTCCCAGCACCATTTATTGAAAACTGTATCCTTTCCTCAGTATATAGTATTTCCAAGTTTGGCAAAAATCAGTAGCCTTTGATTATATGGCTGTATTTCTGAGTTCTCTTTTCTTTTCTTTCTTTTGAGATGGAGTTTCGCTCTCGTGGCCCAGGCTGGAGTGCAGTGGCGTGATCTCGGCTCACTGCAACCGCTGCCTTCTGGGTTCAAGTGATTCTCCTACCTCAGCCTCCTGAGTAGCTGGGATTACAGGCATGCACCACCACGCCAGGTACATTTTTGTATTTTTAGTAGAGACCATGTTCATGTTCGCCAGGCTGGTCCTGAACTTAGTTCTCTATTCTATTCCATTGATATATGTGTCTATTTTTATACCAGTAACATGTTCTTTCAGTTACTATGGCATTTTAGTATTATCTGAAGTCAGACAATGTAATGCTTCTAGCTTTGTTCATTTTGATTAGGGTTGTTTGGCTATTTGGGCTTTTTATTGGTTCCAAATGTATTTTAGAATTGTTTTTTCTAAATCTGTGAAAAATGACATTGGTAGTTTGATAAAGATTACATTGAACCTGTAGATTGCTTTGAGCAATATGGTTATTTTAACAATATTAATTCTTCCAATCCATGACCACGGGATGTTATTCCACTTCTTTGTGTCATCTACTCTTTCTTTCTTCAGGGTTTTGTAGTTGTCTTTGTAGAGATCTTTTATATCTTTAGTTATATATATTACAAGGTAATTTTTTAATATTGTAAATGAGATTGCCTTCTTGATTTGGTCCTTGGCTAGATCATTATTAGTATATAGAAATGTTCCTGATTTCTATACATTGACTTTTCTATCCTGAAATCTTACTGTATTCACTTATCACATCTAAGATTTTTTTTGGTGGAGTCTTTAGGTTTTTCTAGATATAAGATCACACCATAAGTGAACAGAGATAATTTGACTTTCCCTTTTCCAATTTTGATATTTTTATTTTTTTTCTCTTGCCCAATTGCCCTGGTGAGAATTTCCAGTACTATCTTGCACAAGACTGATAAAAGTGGGCATTCTTGTCATGTTTCAATTCTGACAGGGAATGCTTTCACCTTTTCCCCACTTAGTATGATGTTGGCTGTGGGTTTGTCATATATGGCCTTTATGTTGAGTTATGTTTCTTCTGTCCCTAATTTGAAGATTTTTATTATGAAAAGATACTGAATTTTATCAAATGCTTTTTCTGCATCTATTCAGATGATCATATAGTTTTTTTCATGTGATTTTGAACAGATTAACATGTTTCTGTTCATGTGATGTATCAAATTTATTAATTTATATATATTGAATCATCCTTGCATCTCTAAGATAAATCCCACCTGATTATGGTACAGTATCTTTTCATTGTGTTATTGGATTCAAGTTACTAGCACATTGTTGAGGACTTTTGTGCCTATGTTCATCGGAGATATTGGTCTATGATTTTCTTATTTTGTTATATCTTTGTTTGGGTTTCATATCAGGGTGATACTTGCTTCATAAAATGAGTTAGGGAGAACTCCCTCCTTAATTTTTTGGAATGGTTTCAGGATTACTGGTATTGGTTCATTTTTGTATGTTTGGTAGAATTTGGCTGTGCATCCAACTGGTCCTGGCGTTTTTTAGGGGTTAAGGGGAGGATTTTTTTTTATTACTTATTCAATCCCACTACTCATTATTGATCTGCTCAGGGGTTCTTCTTGGTTCAATCTCAGGAGCTTGCAGTTTTCCAGGAATTTATTTCCTCTATCTTTTCTAGTTTGTGAGCATACAGATGTTCATAGCAGTCTCTCATGATATTTTTAATTTCTATGGTATCAGTTGTAATATCTCCTTTTTCATTGCTGTTTATTTACATCTTCTCTCTTCTTGGTTAGTCTAGCTAGTGGTTTATTATTTTTGCTTCTCTTTTCAAAGAACCAACTTCTTATTTTGTTGATCATTTCTATTTTGGGGGTGCCTCTCTTTAATTCTCCTCTGACGTTTGTCATTTATTTTCCTTAGCTAACTTTGGATTTGGTTCGTTCTTGTTTTTTCCAGTTAATTGAGGTGCAACATTAGCTTGCTATTTTGTGATTTTTCTACTTTATTGATGTATGCATTTATTGCTATAAACTTAGCACTAGGTTTTAGTATGTTGTGTTTTCATTTTCATTTGTTCCAAAATTTTTAAAAAATTTCTGTCTTAATTTCTTAGTTGACCCAGTTATCATTCAAGAGCATGATGTTTAATTTCCATGTATTTGTATAGTTAATAAGTTTCCACTTAGAACTGACATCTAGTTTTAATCCACTGTGGTCTGGAAGGTGAAATCACTTGATGTGATTTCAATTTTTACAAATTTTTAAAAATTTTTTGTGGCCTAAACTCTAGTCTATTTTGGAGAATGTTCCACGTGCTAACGAAAACGATGAATATTCTATAGTTGGTGCATAGACTGTTCTGTAAATGTTTAAGTCCATTCTATCTAAAATCCAATTTAAATCCAATGTTTATGTTAAATCTCTTTCTCAATGATCTGTCTAGTGCTATGGGTAGGGTGTTGGAGTCCCTACCTATTATTGTATTGCTGTCTATCTCTTTTTTAAAGTCTAGTATTATTTGTTTTGTGAATCTGGGGACTCCAGTGTTGGGTGCATATATATTTAGAGTTGTTGTATCCTTTTAATAAATTGATCCCTTTATCATTACATAATCACCTTTTTTTTAACTGTGTTTGATTTTAAAAGTCTGTTTTAGCTGACATAAATATTGCTACTCCTGCTTGCTTTTGGTTTCCATTTGTGTGGAAGATCCTTTTCTTTATGTCCAGTCTATATGTGTCTTTATGAGTATCTTTCAAGTGTAGCATTAAACCATTGACATACAAGGTTAATATTGATATATGAGCCTTTGTTACTGTCATATTATTGTTTTCAAGGTGTTTTATCATTTCTTTGTTTCCTTCCTTTTCTCTTTGTTTTATTTTGGTATTTATGATTTGATGAGATTCTGTCATGTTGCCATTTGATTCATTTTTCTTCCTCTTTTGTGAGATTGTTTTATAAAACCTGCGAGTTTTATATTTTCACATGTTTTTGTGATGGTGAATTTTGACCTTTCATTTACATGTTTAAGATCCTTTTGAACATTTCCTGTAGGTTCAGTCTAGTGGTTACAAATTCTGTCAGCATTTACTTGTATGAGAAGACTTTATTTCTTCTTCATTTTTGCAGCTTCAGGCAGGGTATGTTTATAGAGAAATATACAGAAAAACACTGTATTTCCTTTAGTGTTTTTCTTTCAGCACTTTGAATATGCCATCCCATTCTCTAATCACCTGTAAGGTTTCTGCTGAAAAGTTTACTGTTAGTCTAATGGGATTTCCTGTATAGGTGACTAGATACTTTTCTCTTGCTAATTTTAATATTACTTCTTTCACTTTAACTTTTGACATTCTGACTATAATATGTTTGGTGAAGTCATTTTTGCAATGTCTTTGCCTGGGGGTCACCGGGTCTCCTATATCTGAATGTCTAAATCTCTTGCTAGAGTTGGGAAGATATTATTGATTATTCCCTTAAATAGCTTTTCTAAACTTTTTAATCTCTCTTGCTGCCGGGAATACCAATAATTCCTAAGTCCAGTCACTTTATGTGGTTTCTGGTGTCTTGAAGGCTTCATTCATTCTATTTTATCCTTTTTTCCTTATTTTTATCTGACGGATTATTTAAAAGGACACATCTTCAAGTTATGAAATTTTGTTTTCTGCTTGATCTAGTCCATCATTGAAGCTTTCAAATGTATTTTGCAATTCCTTCAGTGATATTTTAGTCCCATAATTTTTAAAGCTTTCTTATCTCCTTGGTAAACTTTTCATTCATATCCTGAATTGATTTTCTGATTTCTTTGTATTGGTTTTCAGATTTTTCTTATATCACATTGAGCGTCTTTAAAGATCAATACTTTGACTTCTTGATATGGTGTTTCAATAAATTATTTTTTATTAGAATCAGTTGCTGGACCATTGTTGTGGTCCTTTGGTGGTGCCACACTTCCCTGCTTTTACACATTTCCTGTGTCCTTGTGTTGACATCTGCACATCTGGTGTAGCAGTCATTTGTTCCTATTTTTTGATATTGCTTTGTAGGGGAAAATTTTTTCTCCTGAAGATGTATGTATGTTGTTGGTTAAGTAGGATCTGTTGGCTTTGATTTTGGGTGCCTGTGGTAGCATAATCTTTGTATGGCTTCTTTAGCAATACACATAGGTCAGTAGTGTCTGTGATTTTCTCAGTGGCTTAGGGTATATTTATTAGTTGAGGTAGTGGTGAAGTTTTTCTGAGGACTTGGATGCCAAATGAAGTAGTCTTAAGGCTCCAATGGTGGCAGCATTTGGCTGAGTGTGCCTGTTTTTAGACCTCAGAGCAGCTTACACTGTTTCAAGTGTTAGTGGGTCCTAGAGGTCTAATTCTTGGGTCACCAGATGGCATGTTTGGAAGCTAGCAGTGGGAGTGGTGGGCTGGGTGTGTGGGTGAATTCTCAAGTCCCTGAGCAGCTAGTGTGTTGTGGGTGATGGCAGTAGCAGTGGTGGAGCAACCCACTGAGACCCAAGCAGTCCATGTTGGTTTTGCTGGTATCTGTGATGTCTTGGGCGGGCTACTCTCCAGTCCCACAGCTCCAGTCCCAGGGCTGCTGGTATTGTCCTAAGTGTGCTGAGGAGAGCTTGGTCTCCATGTCCCTCTCACAGCTGGGTGGGAGCTGCAACTGTGTCATTTCAAACTTAGCCTGAGGGAAGGGAACAACCTAGCATTAAATTCCCAATATTGCACTTTGGTCCTGGGACCAGATAAGATAGGGCCCCTTCCAGGCAAACAGCATAGGCAAGAAGCCGTGGGTGGTGCTTTCTACTCATATCTCAGTCTCACAGCAGACCACTGTGGGGCAGTGAGTACTGCCCTAGATATGTGTAAGAGAGCATGGTTTCCCTGTCCTACCTTGGCTGATCAGTGACTGCAGCCCCTTCAGCCCAAACTCAACTCATAATTAAACTCTCAAAATGGCGCCTTGCTTGTCCTTCCCAGGCAAGCAGTGTGGGCAAGAAGCTGTCGGGAGAGCAGCCCACTCACATTTCAGTCTCAAAAGCAGTCCATAGTAGGGCAGTAAGGACCCTCCCAGGATTGCAGAGGAGTGCCATGTCTCCCTTCTCCCTCCTTGGAGCAGTGTAGCAGCAGCCGCCATGTCTGTAGATCCCTGGTATCTAGGCTTTCAAAATAGCACTCAGCTCAAGCTGCTCTAGGATCAAATGACTGTGGGATTCCATATGGGTTCTCTTTTTGCAGCAACATCTCTGTGCAATCTTTAGGTATCTCCATATATCAAGCCTGAGCCCCCAGTGAGTCTAGGGTGTCTCCTATAGCGAAGATCATAAAAGCCCATTTCAAAATGTGGAGCTCTGGGAGTTTCTCTCTTACTGTTTCCCCACATCCAGGAGGATCGCCTGACTGTCAGCCAGTCTCTGGCCAGGCAAACTGCCACAAATCCTCTCCTTACTTCTGGTGCTTCCCATCACTTCTCTGGTGTATCATATTATTCTCTCCTAGACAATCTCTTCAAAATGTGAGCATCTACTTACTATTCGCATTCTTCTCCGTGGAGGAGGCACATTCTACCTGCATCTAGTAAGTCATCTTGATCTGATCTCTTGCAATCTGTTTTTAGATGCAGAAATGTTTTAAAATATGCATGAAAATTTTTTAACAATTAGATTTCTAGATATTTGAAGTCCAACATAGAAAATTTAAAATGAGTGGCTAAAATAAACAAATAATTTAAATGTAGAAAAACCTGCACATACTTTCAAAAGAAAGAAATAACACATTATTTTTATGTTGATAGTCATGTTAGTAATATTAAATTTTATAAAATTATCAGACTATAAAAACATTTAAAATCTTACAAATGCTCTTTCCCACTTTCTATTTCAATCAGAGTAGATAATAAAAATTTTCTGTATTCTTAAATTCTGATATGTAATCTCAATGTAAGGCAGTAAAAATGAAAAATAAAGTACCTCAACCGCTTTATTTACATTAGATATTCTAAAGAAGTATTTTACAGATTATCTTGTTTTGTCCTGGGCTCATACTAAGTTGTGAACTCTCAAAAAAAGGAAGGCGGGTGTTTCTATCTGTCTTTCTTTCAACACATGTCTATAAATCTAAATGCAAAACATTTTGGGGATATGAGCAGTGCATGGGAAAAGTAATGTATCTGTTTTCATGGAGTTTACATTCTATATCTTCTTCATGTTTCATTCCAAATTTGTTTCCCGATCAAATATATTTTCGAAATATATTCATCCAAAAAATATCTAATTTTCTAAAGAAATTATAGAATGTGTGTATATTTTACAAATATGAAATAAACAAGTCTTTTTGATCAACACCTGCAAAAATACATAGTAACTTCCAATGAATTGTGTTTTTTCTTTTTTTACGTAAACAAGTCCTTCATTTTTACTTTGAATATGCTTTCTTTCTTTTCATTCATGGATTGTCATGTTGAACAGTAGTTTAAAGACAGGTTCTAATTTATTTTTCTAAACAAAGATTTGAAAAGTGTAATTTCCTCCCCAATTTTTTAGTTATCCTCAGATCTCTCTTAAACTACCTAGAGACATCTTCTTAACTAGTTCAAAAATTCACTGTTGGATATGCAACATATAGAAAAATGCACAATTGAATTTCAAATCATAGTTTGAATTTTGAAAGATTTGTTAACTCATTATCCACTACAAATATTTTATGTGAGGCCTAATAATATCTTTAATTATTATATATAGAAAAATATATTACATTTCTTTTAAATTAATTTCACAAAATACCACAGCCCCTATATTTATCTTTAGAGTGAATTGCATTTTAGTATTACCAACTGGCTTGTAAGAGAGGCATTTTAAAAAATGTCTTCATAGGAGTTTTGAGGAGAACATTGTCTATGCTATCACTAAATGCCTCCTATATAAAGACAGCACCAAATGAAAAATGTTTTTAAGATATAAGGACAATCTGTGCTTTTAATAAATGCTGGCTTTGTTGCTTTGTTTTTTCTTTCTCCTCCTTTGTTTAGCTAATAATGAACAACATGTGACTGATCATTCCTGCTTTTGACTTTTATGCTGAAATTTCTAACCAACTCTGAAGCTGCACTATAACAAACAGCTACAAGCCATAGCAAGCAACAAAAGAAAACCTTGAAGAAAGGAAATAATCTGATTTCCAGAGTTACCATATTATAATATTCAATATATCCACATTTCAAAGAAATAATTTTGAAGCCTGTGAAGAAACAAAAGAATATGGCTCATTCACAGGAGTTAACAGAGCTGCCTGAAGAACATTGAACATTTTAGACAAAGATTTTAAAGCAAAATTCTCAAATATACTAAAAGAGGTAAAGGCAACCACGAGTAAAACTACAGGAAAACTAGAAAATATCAATAAAGAGAAATTATAAAAAGAACTTAAAAAGAAATTCTATAATTAAAGAGCACATGGTAGGCTGTGGTGGAATGAACTCTTGAGGCCAGGAGTTCAAGACCAGCATAGGAAACATAGTGAGAAACCATCTCTAAACAAGTTATCTAGGCATGGTAGCTCATGCCTGTTGTACCAGCTACTCAGGAAGCTGAGGCAGGATAATTGCTTCAGCCCAGGAGTTTGAGGCTACAGTGAGCTAAGATAATGCCACTACACTCTAACCTGGGCAACTCTGTGAAACTCCATCTCTTAAAAAAGAAGTACATCAACTGACAAAGAGAACTCATTATTTTGAATAGCAGATTTGAATATCAGAAGAAAGAATAGCAGGTTTGAACAGCAGATTTGAGCAGGCAGAAGAAAGAATACATGAACTTTAAGGCCAGTTAACTGAAATTATTCAGTCTGAAGAGCTGAAAGCCCAAATATGAAGAAGAATGAACAGACACTAAGAAACCTGTGAGATGCCACCGAGCAGACAACCACTCATATAACGGAAATCCCAGAAAGAAAGGAGACGAACAGGGAAGTGAGAATATTTGAATACATTATAGTTGAAAACTTCTAAAATTTGATAAAGTATACACATTCAAGAAACCCAACAAATCTCAAGGGAACAAACACAAAAAGATCCATCCAACCTACATTATAATCAAATTGTCAATAGCCAGAAAGAAAGAGGAGATCCTAAAAGCAGTAAAGAAGCAGCAATTCACCATGTATAAAGGATCTCAATGAGATGAACAGCAGATTTTTCATCAGAACACGTGAAGACTGGAATAGAGTGGCATAACTATTTTAAAGTGCTAAAATTTAAAAATCTGCAAACAGGAATTGCATATCTGGCAAAACTACCCCACAAGAATTGAGAAATTAAAACATCCCAAATAGACAAAGGCTAAGTTTATTAATGAAACAAGTTCATTAATAGTAGATCTGCCCTAGAAGAAATGTTAAAGGGAGAGAGTGATGCCAATCATGTGCCAGAATATGAAGCTACAGACTCTTCCATTACCCATGAATGCACCAAATACAGAGCTACACGTAGTTCAATTTCCTGTGCAAGAATTCAGAATCTAGTTGAGAGATGCCTGCACAACAGGCAACTGAGAAAATACCCATATTGAAACAGGCAGGAAAAGCTGATCATAAACCTCACCCTCAGCAAAGCCACATAATTGGGAAGTAACTGAACTCCCAGCTTCTCCCTGAAAAATGAAGGGCTTGAACCACTTATCTAGCACCCCAACTTTTATGGCTGCTACTTATGGGACTGGATTCTAACTCCCCTATCTCTATGAGTTGATAGGACCCAGCATTTACTAGTTCCCTGGAACCATAGAGAATAAAAAGACAGTTTTAAACAGGCACATGAGTACCTGCCACAGCTTTTCCCCCTAGGCAAGCACAGAATGAGCAAGCAATAAAGCCAAGCTCCTAGATTCTCCATGAAAGGGATTAGACTGAGGATCCAATTCTCAGCTTTTTCAGCTACTGCCTAAAGGTCTGCCTAAAATGGGTGGGTGAGCATTTTGCAAAGCCCTTCCTCAGCCTGCTCCTGAAGAAACTAAATAAATAAAAACAAAATAAACACTTCCAGTTTCTCCTTGAAAAGAATTCAACTACACTAATGTAGAGTCTGATTTTTCGTGCTACTGTTTGAGGGTCCAGCTTTTAACTTGCTTGTCTCTTGGAGCTGTTGAGATCCAGCACTCACTAGTCCCCCAGAGTCTACAGAGAACAAAGCGGCAGTTTTGAGCAGTCATGTGAGCTCCTCCTGGGGCTCTTCCTCTTGGTTTGCTCCAGGAGAAAAAAAAAAAAAAGCAAGCTCTAAGCTTTTCCCTGGAAGGGGTTTGGCTACACATCTAATATTGCATCTTTTCCAGCTGCTGTCCAAGAGTCTGGCTTCTAACTCACTTGTGCCTGAGAGTTAATGGACCAGACAGTCGCTACCCAACTAATAGTCTGAACAAGCATGTAGGCACTTGCCACTGCTCACTCTAGTGATAAAATCTCCCCAGCTCACTCCAGTGATAAAATCAAGCCTTCAACTTCTCCTAAGATGTTGGATTATACATCTGCCTCCTGCCCCCAACTTTTCTGACTGTTACTTGGGGAACTGGCTTTTGTAACAGCTGTTCTGAGAGCTGACAGGGCTTGGAATTCATTAGGCCTCTAGGTGCAAAAAGAGCAAAGAGATGATTTCAAGAGCATTCTAAACACATGTGCATGTATTTCCCACAGCTTCTCTCCTCAGCTCAGTGCAGAGGAAGTGGGTGATAAAATCTAGGTCCCAGCTTTTTCCCCGAGGAGAGAAGGAGCTGGACCACACATGTAGCACCTCAAGTTTTCTGGCTGTTACTCAATGGACTGGTTTCTCTTTCACATGTCTTGAGGCGTTAATGGGACTTGTCATACTTTAGTCTCTTGAGGACAAGTAAGATTGCAGATGGTGGTTAGGATAAGCTCAAAGGTGGGAGGCATCTAGAATCTCTGGCCAGGCTGTTTGATGAGGTTCCTGTCTTATATAAACCAATATGTGAAGACCGGGCGAGGTGATTTTTAAAATATAATGTGTAGAAACTAACAGAGTTAGTTAGTCAAGAAAAGTGAAGAAAACATATGAATATGTTTCATGTAAAAGAAAAAAGATAATCTCCAGAAGCTGACCCTGATGAAATGAAGATACATGATTTGTCCTATAGATAACAAAAAATAATGGTCATAAAAATGCTCGCTGAGTTCAGGAAAGCAATGCAGGAACAAAGTGAATATTTCAATAAAGCCATGGAAAATATTAAAAAGTACCAAACAGAAATCACAAAACTGAAGAATGAAATCACTGAACTAAAAACTATAAGTGGTTCAAGAGCAGACTCGATCAAGCAGGAGAAAGGATCAGTTAACTTAAAGATAGGTCATCAGAAATCATCCATCCAGTCAAAAGAGAAAAAAAAAAACAGAATGAAAAAGAGTGAAGATAGCTTAAAGGACTTACGAGATGGCAATGTAAGCATTATGGAAATTCCAGAAGGAGAAAAGAGAAAGGGACAGAAGGCTTACTTGAAAATTAATGGCTAAAAGTTTCCCAAACTTGGGGAACAGAATGAACATTCAGATCCAGGAATCCTAAAGGATACCAAATAATACAAATACAAAAGAACCCATACTGAGACACATCAAATTGTCACAAGTTAAAAAGAAAAAAAAAATAGAAAGCAATAAGTGAAGAGTGATTTACATACAAGAGAAGCTTAATAAAGACAGTCAAGAAATTTTTCAGCAGAAACCTTCTTGGCCTGAAGGGAGTAGGATAATATACTCAGAGTCCTGGAAAACAAAACAAAACAAAACAAAAAACCTGCCAGCATGGGAAATCTGTCCTTCAAAAGGAAAAGGAGCTTAGACATCAGGAAGATGGCTGAATAGGGCACCTGCTTATATCCTTCCAAAACAAGAATTCTGCACCCACCAACAGACTAAAGTCTCTTTGTGGGATCCTCAGAATTTAGGTACAAGATTGGAAATTTGGTGGAGCCCAGGATCTAGGAAGGTCATTTTAAGTGTGTAGACAGACACACAGTTAGTAAACATGCTAATCACACTCCCAGCTTCAAGTCCAGAAATGGCCCCATTCCCTGAAAGGCTTGGCTACCACCTAATTTTGTCTTCAGCCTGCAAGCTCAACCATCTGCCAAAAGGTCCAGGAAGATTTTCTCACACTAGTGTCTTGGCATAGCGGCTCATCTGCTCACTGACATCATTTCTCAGCAGTGAACCTGAAAATTGCCATGTGGAGTGACTCCAGCCCCCTTCAACTGAGGTCCCAGTTTAGAACTATTCACATGAGGTACCAGAGGGAAACTTGCCCATAATTCATAGCCCAGTAGTCTAAGACTCTGTGATGGGCTTGCCAGCCTCTGTGCCACAGCAGATACTGAAAGGACTCAGTCTCAGGTTCAGCTTCTCCTGCTACACTCAGAGAACTGCCTGTGCAGAGACTTACTAGAAGATATGTGCTTATTTGAGCCAACAGACAGTCTCACTAGCCTTTGTTTGACAGCAGATCCCAAAGGGTCCCAGTCTCAGCTCTAGTCTCTCTTACTGAAGTCGGGGACATAACCTGCCAGCGCAGAGGCCTGCTGAGAGACATGGCTTGTCAAAACCAACAAGATAGGTTTGCTGGCCTTCATCTCACAGCAGGTCCTGAGAGGATCCCAGGATCAGCTCTAGCCTCTCTTTTTGCAGTTGGGAACATAGATGCAAAAGTCTTCAATGACATACTAGCAAAACAAATGCAACAACGCATTAAAAAGATAATTTTCCTTGAGCAAGTTGAATTTATTTCTGGGTTGCCAGGTGGTTGTTTGGAGAAAGCTCTTTGACATTGGTCTCAGCAGTGATTTTTTGATATGACATCCACAGTATAAGCAAAGAAAGCAAAAGTAAACAAGTGGGACTACCTGAAACTAAAAAGCTTTTTGCCTAGCAAAGGAAAAAGTCAACAGAGTGAAAAGGCAACTTAAAGAATGAGAAAAAAAAATATTTGCAAACCTTGCTTCCGATAGAGGATCAATATCCAAAATACAGTAGTAACTCATAAAATAATAGCAAGAAAACAATCTGATTTTAAAATAGGCAAAGAATATGAATATACATTTTCCAAAGAAGACATACAAATGACCAATAAGTATATGAAAAGGTGCACAACATCATTTGCCATCAGAGAAATGTGAATCAAAACCACAATGAGACATCACATCACACCTGCTGGGAAGGCTATCAGAAAGTCAAAAGATGATAAGTGTTAATGGAGAAAAATAAACCCTCCTATACTGTTGGTGAGAATGTAAATTGGCACAACTATAATGGAAAACAGTATAGAGGCTCCTCAAAAAATAAAAAATAAAACTACCATATATAATCCAGCAATCCCACTTCTGTGTATATATCCAAAGGAAAAAAATAAATGTGTCAAAGAGATATCAACAATTTCACATTCATTGTAACCTTATTCACAATGGCCAGGTTATGGAAATAACGTAATTTTTCATCAATGGTTGAATGGATAAAAAATATATGGTATACAGATGCTCCTCAATTTATGATGTGATTATGTCCTGAAGAAACCATTGTAAGTAGAAAATATTATGTCAAAAATGTATTTAATGCCTCAGTATACCCAAAACAAAGTCAAAGAACTGTAAGTCAAAAGTTGTGAACCATCTGTATATATGCAGTAAAGTAGTATTCAGGCTTTAAAAGGCAGGAAACACTTCCATTTGCAATAACATAGATGAACCTATAGGACATTATGGTAAGTAAAATATGTCCAGATGCAGAGAAAATGTTGCATAATCTTATTCATGTGTGGAATATAAAATAGTCAAACTCATAGAAGCAGAGAGTAGAACGGTATTTAACAAGGGTTGGAGGATACAAGAAATGGAGAGACATTGGTCAAATGGTACAAAAGTTTCAGTTATATAGGATAAGTAAGTTCTAGACATCAATTTTACAGCATAGTGATTATAATTAATGACATTCTATACGTAAAATATGCTGAGGGATGATCTTAAGTGTTCTTACCACACTCACACACAAAAAAGCTACCATAACTATGGCTATGTTAATTAGTTTGATGTAGTAATCCTTTTACGATGTCATCATACTGTATACCTTAAATATATACATTTTTTATTTTTTAAAAGGTGAAAGGTCAAATTCTGCTCTAGTTACATGCCAAAGCTAAGGAGCTGACATGGAAAACACATTGCAATTTCAAAGACGTTAAAAAGTGAAAACAGGAAAAAAAAATGTTAAAAGGAGTACTTTAGGCTAAAATGAAAGGATACTAGAAAGGAACTTGGAGCCATATAAAGAAATAAATAACTCTGCTAAAATAAAGGTAACTACATAGCTAAATTTAAAATCTAGTATTATTGCATTTTTAGTTTATGAGTCTTCTTTTAATTTTCCTGCATTATTGGAAAGACAAATATATTTAAGAAATTGGAAATCTATATTAATAGGTGTGAAATGTATTGAGATATAATTTTTTAAATAACATAAAAGAAACAGCTACGTAGTGTGGGAAAAAGAATTTCTGGGGTGCCAGATGAGTTGGTCTCCCCTGTGTGAGACACCCATGGGAAGCCATGGGTGGCCTCTGAGGAGAAAAGTCTCTTTATTGCCTTCATGTCTTTATGCCCCTAGAGCATAATAGCTCAGCAGCATGCCACAGGTTGCTCGGGGAAATAACACTCCCTTGAAGCAGTGGAGTATAATCAAACATCTTGGCCCCTCCTGAAACCCACTCCCATCCATTTCTGTTAAAGACTGTTAAAGATCTTAAGCAGTTTAGACACATGCCTTTGCTTGAGGAAATTCACAGAAACCACCACTGCTATGTATCTTATTGAATGACTCACCAGTTCTCCTTCACTGATTAATCCTTTTCCTCATCCCTTCCTACCTCTCCCATCTGCCCTAAGAACAAAGAGCTTGTAAACCAATAAATTGGGTGGAGGCTCCAAGTGGTGAGCAAGCCTCCAACGCTCTGGTCCCCTGGACCCGCCTTTTAAACCCTTATCCTGTGTCTTTCTAATACCTTTGTCTCTGCTGGACTCGGGGTACCCGCTGGGTGGTGTGGGGCTGGTTTTCCCAACACTTAGGAGCTGAATTTTTGTACGCCACTGCAGCTAAATTGTATTAATGCAAGTTAGTTTTATATAAATGTTATAGATGTTAATTGTAAGCCCAATGTTAACCACTAATAAAATACCTGAAAATACACACAATACAAATGAGAAGAGAATCAAGAGTACACTACAAAATATTAAGTACAAAAGAAAACAGTAATTGAAGAAAAAAGAGGAAAAATATATACAGTTTGAGTATTCTTGACCTAAAAATCTAAAATCTGCAATGATCAACAATCCACAAGTTTTGGGCATGGATATGATGCCACCAGTGGAAAATTCCCTATCTCTGGTCCCAATCATTTTGGATAAGGTACACTTAACTTGCAATAGTGGCAATGAAACTCGTGTTGCTTATACTGCAGAAAAAGTGCCTATAGACAACATGATGAAAATATGTAATGGGTTTATTGCAGAACAAGAGCAGCATGCATTCATGACAGAACAAAAAATCATGTTAGTTTATAAAACCAAAAGGTGACTTCTAAGATAAAAAAAAAAAATTGTTAATGAGGCAGATGACTCTAGAAGACATATTTTTAAAAACCATTCAGTAGAATGCCTCCTCATTCCTAGAGGACTCACTTCCTATTCCCTCAACTGCTTCTGATTATTCTTTTCATCTAAAAAGGAATACAGTGTACAGAAACCTTTTAATCAAAACACAGCATTGTAGGTGGAGATTGAAAACCTGTCATCGTTTGCTGTTGCTATTGTGTAACAGTTGATGCAGGTCATACTGGTGCTACTAGGATGCTGCTTAGTTTCTCTAAATACATTATTTTTTCAATGTATTAATGGCATGTCATTTTTTTACTGTTAAGTAATTATGTGTGAATAAATGTAATAAAATGATTGCTTATCAGTAGCCTACAAATTCAGAGTCACAAATGATGGTGATTAAAACAACCACAGATTATCTACATGGATGGCTAAGATAGTGACAGCTTTGTTTTCTGATGGTTCAATGTATACAACTTTTGTTTCATGCACAAAATTATGAAAAATATTGTATAAAAATACTTTCAGGTTATGTGTGTAAGGTGTGTATGAAACAAAAATTTTATGTTTAGACTTGGGTCCCATCTCCAAGATATCTCATTATGCACATGCAAATACTTTAAAATCCCCCCCAAAAATCCAAAATCCAAAACACTTATGGTTTCAAACATTTTGGATAAGGAATATTCAATCTGTAATACATACAGAAAACAAGTTATAAAGTGGCAGAATTAATTCCTTACTCATCAAAAATTACTTTAAATGAAATGGATGAAACTCTCCAATTAAAACACAAAGATAGGCAGAATATGCTTTTTAAAAAAGCATGATCCAACCTATATACTGTCCATAGAAGAGTCACTTTATATGCAAAGACACACATAGCTTGAAGTGAAATGATGGGAAAAGATATTCCATGCAAATAGCACCAAAAGAAAGACCTGAGATAGTTACATTAACATCAAACGAATTAGACTTATGTAAAAAAACTATTACCAGAGAGACAAAGAAAAATACGATATATTTAAAAAGAGGTAAATTCATCTAAGCACATATAACAATTATAAAAATATATGTGCTAAACAACAAAGGCCCAAGAAATATGAAGCAAACATGCACAGATTTGAGAAAAAGATAGTTCTACAATAATAGTTGGAGACTTCAATATACTACTTTCAATAATAATTAGTACATCTAACAGGAGATCAATAAGAAAATCAGGGACTGGATAAACACTATAAATTGAATATATAGAATATTCCACCAGCATCCACAGAATACACATTCTTTTCAAGTGCACAAGGAACATTCTCCAGTATAGATAGTATGTAATGCCAAAAAGCAAATTTTCATAAATTCTAAAACAACTGATATTATACAGAATATCTTCTCAAACCACAATGGAATAAAGTTAGAAATTAATAAAAGATAAACTAGAAAACTGCCAAATATGTAGAAATTTAAAAAGACTTTAACAACCAATGAGTCAATGAAGAAATCACAAGGGAAATTAGAAAATACCTAAAAGACAAATGAAAACAAAAGCACACATACTAAATTATGTTCATAAGGAAAGTTGTAGCCATAAACAACTATATTTAAAAATAGAGAAGAAACTCAAATAAATACGCCATATTTATAATTTAAGGAACTATGAAAAAAGTGCACACTAAACCCAAAGCTAGCAGAAGAAAGGAAGTTATAAAGATTAGAGCACAGATAAATGACAGAACATATAGGAAAATAAGGAAAACCAATGAAATCAAAATTTGCTTCTTTAAAAGACAAATAATTGGCAACCCTTTAGCTGTACAACAAGGGGAAAAAAAGAGAAAATAGAATAACTAAAATCAAAGTATAGACATTACTTCCAAACTTTTAGAAATAAGAGTATTATAAGAAAATGATATGAACAATTGCACATGAACAAATTAGATAGCTTAGATAAAGTGAACAAATTCCTAGGCACACAAATTACCAAAGGTGACTGAATAATATATTTTTAAAATCTTAACAGATGTATAAGAAGTAAAGAGATAGAATCAATAATTTAAAAATCTGCCAACATTGAAAAGGTCAAGAACAGAGGGCTTCACTGGTGAATTCTACCAAATATTTAAACAATTAACATCAAAACTTCTTAGACTCTTCTGAAATATAAAAGAGGAAGGAACATTATCTAATTCATTCAATGAGATATGTATTTCCTAACACCAAAGGGAAGAAACTGCAAGAAAAGAAAACTGCATACCAATATCCCTTACGGATAGAAACCAAAAACAATCAAACAAACAGAAAAACAAAAACAAAACACCTTAACAAACTAAATCCAACAACGTATTAAAAAGATTATATGCAATGACCATGTGGGATTTACTATACAAATGCAAGATTGGTTCAATGTAAGAAAATCAATGAAATATGTTTTATTAATATATATTACTAATAAAATGAAGGGAAGAAACACATAATCATTTCAACTGATTGAGGAAAAGCACTTGTCAAAATCACTCTTTCATTAAAATAATACTCAATGGCCGGGCGCAGTGGCTCACACCTGTAATCTCAGCACTTTGGGAGGCCAAGACAGGCAGATCACCTGAGGTCAGGAGTTTGAGACCAGCCTGGCCAACAAGATGAAACCCCACCTCTACTAAAAATACAAATATTAGCTGGGTATGGTGGTGGGTGCCTGTAATCCCAGCTACTTGGGAGGCTGAGGCAAGAGAATCGCTTGAACCCGTGAGGCAGAGGTTGCGGTGAGCCAAGATGGCGCCACTGCACTCAAGCCTGGGCGACAGTGCGAGACTTCTGTCTCAAAAATAAATAAATTAATTAAATAAATAAATTAAATAATACTCAGAAACTAAGATTAGATGGAAACTACTTCAATATAATAAAGGACATTTTTTTTAAACCCACAGCTAACATAACTAACTCAATGGTGGAAGTTTGAAAGTTTTCACCCTAAGATCAGGATAAAACAACAATGCTCACTTTTAACACTTCTGCTGAATGTTGTACTGAAAAGTCTAGTTAGAGCAATTCAGCAATAGTAGGAAATAAAAGCCCTCAAGTTTGGAAAAGAAGAAGCATAACTATCTCTATTATCAGATGATATGAACCAATATGTAGCAAAATCTCAAAGAATTCACAAAAAATTACTAGAGCTATTTAAAAATTCAGCAAATTTGCCGGGCACATGATTGACACACAAAAATTGATTATGTTCCTCACACTAGCAATAAACAAAAATAATTGAAAAAACTACATTTATAACATCATCCAAAAGAAAAAAATAACTAGGAATAAGTTTAGCCAAGGAGATGAAAGACTTGTGTACTGAAAATTACAAAACATTGCTAAAATGTAAGACCTAAATAAATGGAATCATATCCGTGTTCATAGATTTGAAACTTAATATATTAAGATGCCACTACTACTCACACTAGATTCAGTGTTAGCCTATTAAAATTCCAACAAGCTTTTTTACAGAAATAGAAAAGCCAATCCTCAAATTCTTATGGAATTACAAGGGTCTCTGAGTAGCCGAAAGAACCTAGAATAAGAACAAATTGGAGGACTCATGTCCTGATTTCAACACTTACAATAAAGCTACAATAATCAAAACAATGTGTTATAGGCATAATGGCATACATGTAGATCAATGGAATAGAATTAAGAGTATAAAATATATATATCTAGGGGCACTTGATTTTGGACAAAAGGTGCTGAGACCAGTCAATGGGGGATAAATAGTCTCTTCAACAAATGGTGCTGGGATAACCAGATATCCACATGCAAAAGAATGAAGTTAGGCTCCTATTTCACACCATACGCAAAAATTAACTCAAAGTGAACCAAAGAGTTAAACATAGGGAGAGCTAAAATCAAAACTCTTTTTAAAATCATGAACGAATATTCATTAATTTAGCATTGGCAATGAATTCTTAGATACGAGAACAAACGCACGAGGAGCAACAACAACAACAACAACAACAAAACAGATAAACTGGACTTCATCAAAATTAAAACCCTTTGGTGCATAAAAGGACATTACCAAGAAAGCGAAAAAGCAATCTACAGAAGGAGAGAAAATATTTTCAAATAATATATCCGATAAGGCTCTAGTATACAAAATATATATAATACTCTTACAACTCAACAAAAAGGCAAACATCCCAGTTAAAAAGTGGGCAAACAACATTGATGGACATTTCTTTAAAGTAGATGAACACAGCCTTGGTGAGGTGGCTCATGCCTATAATCCCAGCACTTTGGGAGGCTGAGGCAGGTGGATCACCAGAGGTCGGGAGTTTGAGACCAGCCTGGCCAACATGGTGAAGCCGTCTCTACTAAAAATATGAAAATTGGCCAGGAGTGATGGCATGTGCCTGTAATCCCAGCTACTCAGGGGGCTGAGGCAAGAGAATCGCTTGAACCTGGGAGGTGGAGCTTGCAGTGAGCCGAGATCACGCCATTGCACTCCAGCCTGGGGAACAAGAGCGAAACTCCATTTCTAAATAAATAAATAAAAAGTAGATGAACAAAGCACCAATGAGCACAGGAAAAGATGCTCAACATCATTCATCATAAGAAAAATGCAAATCAAAACTACAATAAGGTGGAAAGCCACTCCTCCTACAAAGGCTATATTAATATTTTTAATAAAGAAAAAAAAAGCGTTGATGAGAATGTAGAGAAATTGGAAATCTTGTACACTGCTGGTAGGAGACTAAAATGTTTCACCTGGAGTAAAAAACGTTTGGCACTCCCTCAAAAACATAAACATAGAATTGCCAAATGAACCAGCAAATCCTACGTACATATCCAAAATAGTTTAAAACAAGTACTCAAACAAATACAATTACAGTATCAGCATTGTTGGCATTATGCAAAAGATTTTAAAAAGTCTGGATGTTCTTCAATGGATGAATGATAAACTGTAGTCTATACATACAATGTAATATTATTCAGACATAAATAGGAATGAAGTACTGATACATTCTACAACATGGACAAATCTCAAAAACATTATGCTAAGTGAAAGAAGCCAGACACAAAGGTCACATATTATATTAGCCCATTTATATGAAATATTCAGAAGAGGTAAAGTCAGAGAGAGAGAAGGTGGACTGGTAGTTTTTAGGGGCTGGAGTGAGGGGAGAATGAAGAACAAGTGCGCAATGCGCTCAAATGTTTTGGAACTAGACAGAAGTGGTGGTTGCACAACATTGCTAATGTACTAATTGCCATTGAATGGATCAGTTTAAAATAATTTTACGTTATGTAAATTCTCTCACAATTAAAAAAAGAAATATGACATCACATCTGAGCAGAATAGAGCAAATCATATCCTTCACACTTACTTCTCTGTGGTCAGAAGGAGAAATCCTTAAGGAAATGGCATTTAAATTGATACAATGAGTAAGAACATTTCAATGAATGAAGGGCGGTTGAGGGGAGGGAATAAATCTTTAGGCTTTTGCAGAAATGAATGTTTAAGATGGTATTATTTTAACTTGGATAGTCGTTATACAATGCAGAGGAAAGGACTTACAGCAATTTTAGCAGAGTGAATTTGTGCTATAAATTCTATGATTTTAGTGACTGTCTTGGTCACCATAGCCTAGTACCTTCTACAGTGCCTTACTTATAGCCGGTGTTGAATAAATATTGGTTAAACAAATGAGTGAATGAAAAAATGAGGAACTAAATGGAGAAGTAATACGTAACCGGAGATTTAAACTTATCTACAGAATGTCAGGTTAAGGTAGTGAAGGACAGTATTACAAGAAGGGAGCACAAACATGTGACACACAGTGCAGGCTTACAGGCAACAGAGATGGTGGCGTGTTTGAGAAGCTGACAAAACTTCAATAAGGTTGGAAAAAAAATTGTGAAAGGAAAGGGTAAATGAAGAGCCTCATACACCATGGTAATTGATTTGGGCCTAGTCTTTAAATCCATGATAAGCCATTGAACAGTTTTATACAAAAAAAAATATGAGATGATCAGATTTGTTTTGAAAAGATGACTGTCTACAGCATCAAAAATCAGGATTAGAGGAAAGAGAAACTAGATGAAAGGAGAAAGGCTGCTGCAGTTGTTGGGAAAGCAGATAAAGGTAGTCTGGGATCGAACAAGGGAATAGAAGTAGAAGACAAACAGATTTTAGGAGAAAGAATGGATAAGATCAAATGCCAGAATAAAAAACCTTTGTAAATTGTCTGATTATTCTAGAGGCTGGTATCAGTATGCTCCTGTTAGCTCTTTCCATCTGTTTGCATGAATTTTACCCCTATGATGTACCCACTACTATGTATAAGTAAAAATACCCTCTCAGGTTTATGCCTCAGGTAAGATGCATGTATATCCAAAGCATGAGGAGGGGATGGAGCATATGTTTAGCTGATGAGTGGACCATGGTGTTTGATGCTATGTAAAAATTATGACCTCTGGATTGACTGGTTAAGCTGATGAAGCAAGGAAACTCAGGAGCATGGGTTACTAATGACAGCCCTCTTTGTTCAATGTGTTTAAATAGTCTATATTACTTATTTCATTATGTTTAAGTTCTCTATATTATTTTACAGATATGCCTAAGTAGTTTACCATAGATACTCCCCATGTAATTTTAGATAAGTTATTTGTACCTTAAGGAGTGGGGCTGCATTTTAGTATATAAAAGTCCTGAAGAGTAAAGTGCTATTTTGAATGAATTTTAGGCTTGTTGGAACCCATGGAACAGGTGAGTAAATGCATGTGGTAAAAAAACAAATCATCCTGCCTAACTTGCAAGTCCTGCCAGTATGTTTCCATCATCAGCATTGTCCTCTCTTAAAAAAAAAAAAAAAAAAAAAGAGAGACTGTCACTCACTAAAACAGAATGCATGGGGCAGGAAAAAGGGGGAGATCAGATGACCCAATAAGTCTGGTGATGTGTAACTTCTGTGATTCTTAGTTAATGACACGAAGAATGTAGAATCTGCTGGAAGCCAAGTGGAGCAGGAAACAGATATGAGAAGGCCCAAAATGGGGATTTATTTTGAGACTGTCTTTAATCTCACTGGTATTTTTTGAGTCATAATGTCAACATAAGAAGACTGATAACAAATTCTCCCTCTCAGAGGGACTTAGTGAGATCAGACTACAATTCTGGGAAGAGGATCTTTCAATCTGTCGAGTCATGTATCCTATATGAATGCCCAGCACTTAGGAATTGGGCTGTGGAACACAGTGCCAGCTCCAGAGAAATCCCAAACGTTCTCCACAAACAGATGAGCATCAGTCAAACAATTTCTCAGTTTCACAAGAAGCACTGTAGTCCCGCTGAAACAGACTTAGGTTCAGATCTTTCAGCGCACTGTGAGCCTTGGCTTATCATAATTGAAAATCTTTCTATCTAGTTATGACTCCAAAGCTCCAGCATAGTACCTTTCAAGGATTCTGTGGAGCACCCATATTGGATGGCCAAACACTAGACAAGATTATATTGGGCAGAAGCTGTGAGGTCAGTAAGATCCTTAAAACAAAGCATATAAGACTAAGTTTCTATAGTAAGTTCCCAAAACCTGAACACCATTCTATCAAAACACATAAACATACACACACACACACACAAACACACAACTTTCTGGAAGAGATGTTTAGAAGCAGTTAATGAGGAGCTTATAAAACTCTAACAGCACCGCAATGTGAGTCCATGAGTCACCGGAAAGTATGTCAACCCTACCTTATTTACAATTATCAGATAAGCATAGAACTTTCTCTTAGCTTCCCCTGCTTAAAACTTATTCTTTGTTATTTCCCAGGCCCAATTAGCATTTCTGCCCAGTGAAAATTTCCCATACACTGTGCTTTCTGACTGTGAGTTACATAAAATAAACATGCATCTCTATTTCTCACCTTTTAAAAAATAATTATTCCCTCATCAAGCATTCGTCTTCATCCTTTCCCTGCTGTAAGTATATTTAGCCATTCAATCAAAAAACGACAATTACAACAAAAAGTCAGTGAGCTCAGGCTTGGACTGGGTCGGCTAAGAAATAAAAACAAATTTAACAGTATAATGTATACTGTAGTTTGGAAGACAAGTTGTACAGAAAAGCAACAACAGAATAACAAAGATACAAAGATTATATGATGACATCAAAAAGCCCTCAAAAAGCAGAGTTATACAAAGCAAAAATAGAAAAATAGAAAATAAAGATGTGCTTTATACGTGTGTGTTATGTATTTTTGACGAATATTTCATAGTCTTGTTTTCACAAAAATAGAGGAACATTAGTATTGTATTCACTTTTAGAGATATGGACTAGTAATTTTATCTTATTTGATATACCTAATCTGTATCTATTATATGATGCTCATTGTTTGTCTTAATTATTAGATTTGCAAAAAGTAATGTAACATGCCTTAGGTTGGGTATACTATGTCCCTGACTTAATTTCTAAATTAAAGTTACTACATTTAAAAATCAGATAGTAAATAAAATATAAATCTCAACTATCAGTAAATTCCACACGTTGCTCAAAATGTTCTCTATTTGTTAACTGCATAATAAGAAATCATCTCATATAAAGTTCAATTTTTACTTTAAAATTGCATCCAGTAAAACTTTTAAAAACACATGTTTAAATAATTGTGTAAACTTTCAGGACTTTTCTGGTAAAATAAGACCATTTTAGTCTTAAGAGATTATGAAAAATGGGTTCACCTTTGTTTTAAATAAATTTTCTTTGCTATTGGCAAGTTGTTGTAATTTAAACCTGCTTCGATAGTAAACCCTATAAATCAGGCCCATAATAGAAATTCTGGCAGTCTTTTTATCATTTCAACTGTTGAAATATGTTAAAAAAAATCTTTTGAAATCTTGAAATTTTCCCCAGGGCATCCATTTCCCTTTGCATAGCCAACAGGGGTAGAATCACCCAGCTTCAAAGTGTCTACAATGCAATAGTATGGTCATTAGAATGCCTATGATTTGAATACTAAATGGTGTATCAATGTCAGCACATGTGAAAGGAATTTTGGGACCCAGATAATTGGTCTTAGAGGTACAAATGTATATTCTTTTTTAGTTGACTAAGTTTTAAATTTTGAACTTTAAAAATAAAAAAAAATTCAGTTGGAACTTTAAAACTTAGAAAACTGAAAAACTTGCACACGGATTCTTCCTAGTGTTTTAGAATAATAGCATTTACATGCCAATCTACAAAACTAGTCATGTGACTCTAAAACTCTCTGTTTATGATAAACTAAATTAATTCAACAGAAGATGCAATCTCCACAGTCAAGAAACTTGAATGTTGCCTAGGGATCTGGAAAGAGAAACTGTTCTTTCCAACGTAATTAAGTAAATATGGTCATGCTCTGCATAATGAGATTTTAGTCAATGATGGACTGCATATACAAATTGTGGTCCCATGAGATTATAACAAAGCTGAAAATGTCCTACCACCTAGTAATGTCATAGCTGTTGTAACCTCATTTTACTTATTTTTAAAAATAAATTGAATGTAGTGTAAGTGTACAGTGTTTATATAAAGTATACTGTATTATGTAATAATGTTCAAGGACCTCACATTAACTCACCACTCACTCAGTGATTTACCCAGAGCAACTTTCAGTCCTGCCAGCTCCATTCATGATAAATGCCCTATACAGGTATACCATTTTTTTATCTGTTATACTATAATTTTATTGTACTTTTTCTAAGTTTATATATGTCTTGATACACAAGTTCTTATTATTTTGTTACATTTGCTTACAGCATTTGGTAAAGTAATATGTTATACAGTTTTATAGCCTACAGCAATAAGTTATACCAGACAGATATACCAGATAACTGTATCATGTAGATTTATGTAAGTACTCTCTATGATGTTCACACAATGATGAAATTGATTAACAATGCATTACTCTGAAGGTATACCTGTCTTTACTTTATATATTCATATAAAAATTTCTTTGACACGATGAGGATCCCAACAGAATGTCATTAATTGTGTAGTGTGGGGCATTTTTTGATGTAGATTCTTAAAACCCAATTACAAATTTTCTAAGCAGAAAAGGTAAGGAGAGAAAAGAAAACTCTGGAGTATTAAGAAAACATGAAAAACAGAGGCAGAGAAACAAAAATAAAAAGATACTGCATTCAAGAAGCACAAGTATTTCAGAAGCCTGATGCATAAGCATGAAGGAAACAGGGGAGAGATAATGAGAAATAAACCAGATCCCAAAGCGATAACGTTTGTAGAGGAAAGTCTCCCCTAAGATTTAGTTGCTAGATAAAGTTGTGTACTTGAGCAAGTCATTTAACTGTTGCATACATCAACATTTAATTGAGAGAATGATCCAGGTGACCTCTATGGCACTCATGAATGATACAATTATTTTGGAAGCTGACAAGACTAAAGCCATTATTTTTTATGATTATTTGGTAAGTTTATAGATTCACAAAAGAATATCTGCATTTGCACACATTTTTACATCCTTACATTTGTTCCATAATAAGTTTAAGGCAGCTGTCAAAAAAAATACAATGAAATCAGAATAAAATGTAACTCAATATATGAAGTTAGGGCCAATGAAAAACAAAACACATACAAGCAGATTCACAAAATTTATACAATCGATCTTCAAGTTTAGTGTTGATTTTCTTTTTAGCTATATGAAAAAGAATACATTGTTGTTTTTTAATTCTCATTATCAAAAAAATAAAAAGAATATCAGGACCTAAGCAAGGCTTTATTTAAAATTACATCTTAAATTCAGTTTCTCACATTGTTAATGGGACTACCAAATGATGAGCTGGGCGATATTTTGCAGTAATTGCTACAATTAATGAAACATTACTTTTAGTGGCTATAGATAAAGCCAATGATAAAAATTTTACTCATATCAATTTGATGGCATTTCACTGAAAGACTAAGCTAAAATAGATTACCTTTGCTATGCCCTGACGTTCTGACACTTTTTTTCAAGAACAAAATTTCAGGAATAAAATTGTAGATGTATCTTTGCTCTTTCATAAATAAATGCTCTCAGCTGGCATCTGATAAATTCTGGATAGGGGAAAAACTAGGCATATTATATTTGTAGTAAAAATTAATACACATAAACATTATCTTAACAGGCACATTTCTATTAGACAAAACGATCCCTAGAAAAAATGTAGAAGATACACAGACCAGACATACAAATAAAAGAGGATGCGTGGCCGGGCACAACGGCTCATGCCTGTAATCCCAGCACTTTGGGAGGTGGATCAACTGAGGTCGGGAGTTTGAGACCAGCCTGACCAACTTGGAGAAACCCCATCGCTACTAAAACTACAAAAATTAGCCAGGTGTGGTGACGCATGCCTGTAATCCCAACTACTCGGGAGGCTTAGGGAAGAGAATCGCTTGAACCTGGGGGACAAAGGTTGTGGTGAACCAAGATCCCACCATTGCACTCTAGCCTGGGCAACAAGAAGGAAACTTTGTCTCAAAAAAAAAAAAAAAAAAAAAAGGATGTGGTTTCTACCCTTTAGAAACTAGAAAGAGAAGTTTAGAGATGGTACTTTGTGTTTCGTCTTAGCATGACATAGATATCCTTTAAGTAAAATTCTACAGTAGGTATAATAGGAAGAAAAATCCAATAAAATTGAACTTTTCTTCCTTCTTTCGTAGATATTTCCCTCAGTTAAAATTATTATATAGTACTGTGTATAGTATTTCATTACCTATATTTCCATTCTATTTGGTTCCATTTTACTAACATATCTATGTATCCACCCTTAATACCAAAAATTACAATGCACAACTCATAGTATTTCTAGTAGGATATGAAAAAAAAAGTAAAAATTCAGGAAAAAAACACAATATTATTTTTTCTATACAGTATTATATTAATACACAATATTGGAATAACGCATTAAAGGAAACTGACTTAATAGGACAATTTGAGATAAAAAGGCAACTATTATATTCAGCCAAGGCACACCTGGATTTTTTATTGCTATATTTTAAAATAATGTTAATAAGTGGATCTTTATAGGTAGGCTTTCTGAAATACTTGGCATATTCTCACGTGGTAGTGATAAAAAGTACAGTTCAAACATTTATGTCTCTAAAGTCCCAGACATTGTGCTGAAGGCTGGTGGTAAAAATTTATATGTATATATACATTTTTATATACAATTATATATACATATATATTTACATTACATATGCCTATACATTTTATATATATACATTTATATATGCACATTTTTACTATCAGCCTCTCTATATATACACACACATATATGCATATGTATATATATTTTTAAACATCAGAGAGTTTAATGTCTAGATGGGAAAGTATATACATAGACCTATACTTTCACTTCAGATAACACTGTATGACTTGAAGAATAGGAAGATACTCTTCATCGTATCACCTTTTCTTATGTGAACTTAATCACAGAAGCTGATCAATAATATATGTGAAATAAATTCACAAATAAACATATGCATCCAGAGAGAGCCCAGAGAAGAAGCATTTACTTAAAAGTATAATCTTAAGAGTGACAAATGACTTCTTAGAGGGATAAAAAGAATGCAAATCAACTCAGCAAATAATATTTGGCCATTCAGCAGTTTAAATGATCTGATGTCAGTTGTAAAAGAACTGTCAAATATTTTCAAAAACTGGTTCATATTGATGCTTACCATGAAAAAAAGACCAAAAAATATTTAAAGTATGCTCAAAAGGTGGCCAAAAGAACTAATGTAACTGTAACCTAAAAATATATGGAAATATTTATCTATTGCAAACAAGCAAGCGGGTATAGCAGGAAGGTCTAAAATGATGTTATTAATAGCCATACAGAGTGGTGAAAGCCATTTTCTTTTCCGATCCCCAGGTCATTCTGTGAAGAAGACACTACTATTGTTCTCATTTTAATGTCATCATTGTACCCCCGGCTGACAGGCAAGATGGACTCTCTGTGGCTAACATGAGACTCTGGAGAGAAAATTAAGTAGCCATGGCAGATAAAAGGGGCTGTTCACATATCTCTAACATTACTAAATACCATATGGTTTCTTAACTGCCATAATGTTTTCCCGCTATTAGGCAGAAACCGGTTTGAGAGAAACACTGTCCAAATGACCCTGGTGGACAACCTTACAACAGCTGACTGAAACACCCCCTCCTTGAGGGTCCGGCCAACAGCTCCAGTTGGATAGGAGACTGGCCTTACAAACATTCTTTGTTGATGAGAAGTTACAGACACTAAGCCAGTTCCAGCTGGCTTACAGAGGCTGCACATAAAATGTCTTTGTGCCCTATAGTTCACCTTTTGATGTAAAAAGCCAAATTCCGACTGGGCGCAGTGGCTTATGCCTGTAATCCCAGCACTTTAGGAGGCAGAGGTGGGCAGATCACTTGAGATCAGGAGTTTGAGACCAGTCTGTCCAACATGGTGAAACCCCATCTCTACTAAAAATACAAAAATTAGCTGGGCGTGGTGGCGCACTCCTGTAATCCCAGCTACTCAAGAGGCTAAGGCTCGAGAATCCCTTGAACTCAGGAGGCAGAGGTTGCCGTGAGCCAAGATCGTGCCACCGTGCTCCGGCCTGGGAGACAGAGCGGGACTCTGTCTCGAAATAAATAAATAAAGCCAAATTCCATCTCATTTTAATGTTAAAATCCCACCCCAAAGTAAATATGAGATGTACCTTACATGTATGTTAACTAACTGCACATGCACTAGACTTGTATACTTGTAGACATTCCCCAAACCTGGCAAATATACATGAAAACAAACCCTGGAAGGTTTAAAAGTCACTGTTTCCTCCCTTTCTGCAGAGCATGTGCTTATGGTTCCCCCAGCGGCTACATCCCCAAACTGCAGATCTTTAAACTAAAGTTTTCTTCTTTTTCCTTCCTCTGTAAATCTCATGGTTACTTTATTAACAGAACTAATATAACTATAACCCCCAAACCTATAGAAACACTTACCTATTGCAAGCAAGTAAGCAAGAAAGGCTGAAGCAATATTACTAATAGCCATGCAAAGTGCTTAAAGACGTTCTCATTGAACCCCCCGTTCAATTCTGAGAAGTAGACACTGTCATTGTCCTCGTTTGTGACTTATTTAAAGGACATAGCTATCAGTTTGGCGAGATAGAAATAGAAACCAAATTTGTCAAATTCCAGAATCTACAATGTTCTACTGTCTACAGACAAATGATATGCCAAGAGCAAGAACTCCTACATGTTTGTAGTAATAAATAGTAAGGAGAAAGCTGTCATTTATTTACTGAATGCCTGCCATGTGTGAGAGACTGTTACACATTTCATCTACATTATCTTTTTTGTTGTTTTGGTTTGGTTTGGTTTGATTTTTTTGAGACAGGGTCTCATTTTGTCACCCTGTCTGGAGCGCAGTGGGGTGATCACGTCTCCCGGCAGCTTCAATCTCCCAGAGTCAAATGATTCTCCCACCTCAGGCTCCCAGCTGCATGCTGGGCGCATGCCACCACAACTGGCTAGTTAAAAAAAAATTGTAGAAACAGGGTCTATGTTGTTCATCAAGCTGGTCTCAAATTCCTGGGCTGAAGCAATCCTTCTGCCTCAGCCTCCCAAAGTGCTGGCGTTACAGGCCCCAGCCACTGTGCCTGGCCTTCACTAGCTTTATAAATCCTCACATCAATCTTATCATTTAAGGATTGTTTTCACAAATTAAATAACAAGAAAAGAAAGCCTTGGAGTTAGCCTATACGACTTGTTTAAGGTTATAAAATTAGTAAATTACAGAGCTGTATTCAATGTAGACATTTTTGAAAACTAAAGTCTGTTCTCTATGTAAACTGCTGTGCTGTCCAAGGAATTATAGTAGTGGCTATTGAAATTAAGAAAAAATTCTCCATAGTTTTAGAAGCAAAAGATGACATTATCCTAGATACACCTAACATTTGAGTCAACTATTAGCTCTAAATACTGCCGTGGATCATTACAGTAGCGTCAAGAGCCTTCAGACACTTCACTTTCTCTAGACTATGCCAAATTCCTTAATATGGTCCATTTATTTTTTTAAAAAATCAGTATCTTTTTAATTTCAATATAATGGTCTCAATATCTCCATGATTTCAGTAAAACCTTTCACCAAGCACATCAAATATTTAATTTCACCTTCCCTTTACACACAAATTATTGCAATGGCTTCCTTTGCCTCTATGGTATCAAACCAAATTCTATAGCCTGGCATCTATGCCTTCCATAATGTGGTCCGTGTTTAATTATCAATCAAGCCTTACATACCACAATTCCAATATAGATGCATCATTCCATTTTTAATACTCTCCTTTTCCAATACTTAACTTTCTTTTATTTCTGTAACTTTGTTCATCTTATTTCAATTTAGACAAGGTGCTTTGCTAGAACCACCTTTTTAAAAGCTGGCAATTAAACTTAAAAATTCACAGTGTTTTGTAGCATCTTGTGACCTACCTGGCAAGTCCATAAAAAGTGGCAAAATATTCCCTTACTGACATTAAAATACTGATTTATAATTACCCTTTTAGTTTTCTTCTGAGATGCTTTTAGATACTACTTTTGAGAGTTGTTTCCATTATCTCCTTACAATTGTTATGTGACTAGCTATTATGTAACACACACAAAAGAAAAACTATCACAAGAATGGAATGCTAGTCACCAATATTATTATTACTCTTTTACAAACATGGTTATGAAGTAGAACAAATCTTCTAAATAGAATATTAGGGTATTGGAGAATACAATTTTTTAAATACATCACTAACTGCCTCTCTTTTACTGGGTTTCTTATAATACTGAAAAATTACATGTATCTATCACCAGACCTGATCATCTTTTGGTGGTCTGTGTTGAGCAGATGGTCAATGTCTATAGCCAGTGTGCCTGTCCATGTTACATTGCATTTGCTTCTGCTAGCAATGCATGCATCACCAGATCATATTCCACATTTCAGAGACTGAAAACCATTTCACACTGTCATCATTATTTTCTTCTATTTTCTGACAAAAAAGACAATCATGGATTTCTAAAATGTGTATTTGTTTAATTAAGAATCAGTTTGGCAACACCCTTGGCTTTGGAGGTGTTTTTTGGAAGTCATAATCAATTTCTTTATCACATTTTCATACAGTGGGGGGAAAAATACCTGGCACTACCATATGTTACAAGGACTGCAGCCTTAATTTTTCAAGTTCTCTATGCTTTGCTGGAAAATTTCCTATTCTAGATCCTATAGTGAGCTCTCAAATGACCATCAATAAGTTTTTCTGGTTTAAGCAGTTTTTCAAATTTTTAAGCATGTAAACTATATTTGAACGCATCCTTCTTTTTGTATTTTAGTTTTTAGGGAAGCCATAGGAAATCAATTATCTTGCCACTAAAGGGTGAGAAGCTGTGCATGATAAATTATTGTTATGAGATATTTTACCCTTCTGTTACATGGTTCTTTGAACCTGAGGGTATCTGTATGTTGGATTGAATCAGAACCAGAAATTTTCATTTTTTTTCTAGCTTTAAATCAAATAAGGTTGGCCTCATGTATTTTAGCATAGATCATATTTTGCTTTCTGTTTTGAACTAGGAGTTGTAGTTTTCCCCTCCCATTTTCAGAATGGTCAAAGTTTTTACTAATATTAGAATGATCCCACATGCAAGAATGGAATGCTAGTCACCAATATTTGGCTGTTCAAATCAAATCTATATAATGAACAGGAAAGTGACTCTCAAACTACATACAAAAATGTATTTGGACCAAAATATTTCTCAAGAGTGGAAATAATTAAATATAACATGGAATGAGACCAGTCAACCAAAAAGTATTAGTTTCCAAGCCTTCTCAATAAGCTTTCAAAACATTATTTTTAATAGTGTTTGAGGTAAAAAAAAATCTCAAAGTAACACTATAGAAATAAATATTTTACAATGAAACTAAAAACAAATGAAGACCAAAGTTGTATCTTCATGTATACTTTTATTATTTCCTGCACACTGGTGATTTTGTTATATTCTTATAGATACAATCAAAAAACTTGCAAACTATGTAACATTGTAAAAGTGTTATTATGTTTGTGATTGTTTAAGAGAGATTGTTCACAGATCTTTCTGGGTGGGTTATTAGCTTAAGTTTGGAGAATTTATTGAGATATTTCAAAATTATCTATTCCAGTACAGAAAATCAAAATTTTTGGAATGATGCTTTTATACATATCAAACTACTGAAAAGATGAATTTTTATGACATTTGGATGAGAACTCCTCCTTCTTCACTTATATCCAACCATTTCTTCCCCATTTGACTTATAGTCATCTAAATTTTGAGTATGAGATGGAGAGGAAAGGGGCAAAATATCAACTTTTTCTTGGTATGAAGACATTGAGAAGCAGGTGTCTTTATTTCCTGAAATTTTAGACAACAGTGATATAAAATAACACATTTCTGAGCCATGCAAGATTGAATATCAAGTAAAAAGTTTCAAGGCCCACTATGAAGAACCTGTGTTAAAACTCAAAAAATAAGCTACTGTCACCTATGTAGTTGGGGAAAAAAATATCCACTAAACTAATGTGAGCCTAAGAGTGTTTATTTCTTAAATGTTTTAGCAGACTCAGTGGCTTAAAATAGTTTAGGATAAAATTATCAGTTTCTATTTTGTACGTTTTAATAGGAACATCTAAATATTTCAAAACTATTAAAAAAAACCCTGCAATTCATTTTCCTCTCTATTTAATTCAACCCTTTAAGTTTACAAAAAACTCAATAAAGGTATGTAATATTAACTGTTTTAGGAATGTGAACTTTCTAACCATTCATCTATGTGAGGTTGAAGTTCAGATGAAAGCTAAAATCAGCTTCCATCTTTCTCAGTAGCTTTATTCATATGTAGATGGAGTTTGTGATTTTAGCTAAGTTTCAAAACAATTGCTTAATGGTTCATGAAACATGGGGATAAGCTGAAGTTTACTTCAACTTAGGTAACAGTTATATTTTGACCTTAAAACTTGTCAGGAGGTGCTAATCTGTTATGATAATGACTTTGGATTATTTGAAAATTACTAATTCCAGTAATTTTTACAAAAACATATTTTAAGTATGAAACGCTCAAGTACAATTTTTATAATATAGCGAATTCAGGTAATTCCAAGCTCATTTTTTAGTGTGGCTTTGTATTATCTCACATGTATGTATAGACAGACTTCAAGGCAGAGGCCAGTCGCTCCCCTGAGGTTATCACAGTTACACTGCCCTACTTCTGATTCCATCTTAAAGGTCACTCACATCATCTGGAAATACAATTCGTTTCATAATCCTTCCAAAGAATGAGAAGGCATTCTTTCTCTTTGGCATTCTTCTTTCTGGATCTCCAAATCTATGAGGTACTCTACACAGTGGGGATATTGGATACAAGAAACTCAAAAGGTTCCAGATGTGTCTAAATCATTAAGTCATAAAAAGTTAAGATAAAAATATGGTAAATTACTTGTTAATACAATCCTATTTCATCCCAAACATATAGATGATTCATTATTCAAAGCCCCAACCAATAGCATGCAATACTGTAGGCCTATGTCTAGTTTTCACAATAAAATATCTGGTTAGAAATTTCAACAATCATTTATAATTTTCTTTGATGTGATGAAGATCGTAGTAGTTACTTTAAGAAAAATCAGTTTTCTTTTTTTTGCTTCTGAATCACCATGCATACTTCAAGGTATTTTACAGAAGTTACATTAATTCTCAGAATAACAATCTTAAAAAAGAAAGTAGCCAGGAAGGGAAGTAAAATATGTAAGAGGAAAAAGAATAATAACAAGTTCTAAGCATCTAACATATGCATTTGTTATGCTTTTAGCTTTGGAGTGGTGTTTTATGTGCCAGAGCTGCTTTTTATTATTCTGCAATTATAAATCTGAGTGTAGAAATGTAATAATAAGTCAGCACAGATATCCTAATAGAAAAATACATTTGGTTCAATATATTCTAGGTTATCATCCAATGGAAATAATGCTGAATGTATAGTGGCATAATTTGACTCAGAATTAAATACGTGATCAGTTCCTATCGTTATACTGGTACTGCCATAGCAAGCTTTTTAGGATGGGATTCTTATGAGTCTTCTTTGAATCCTTCTAAGATGAGTAAAATGCAAGACATTGGGTTAACATAAAACCTGTGAGAAATGGAAGCACCTATTTCTAATTTTCATTTTGGGCAGAAGCCTTGATTAAAATAGAGAATATGTTTTTTTTTTTTACCATAGATATTTTTAATGACCATTAAAAAACACGAAGAATAGTTAGCTGGGTGTAGTGGTGGGCACCTGTAGTCCCAGCTACTCGGGAGGCTGAGGCAGGAGAATGGGGTGAACTCGGGGCGGCAGAGCTTGAAGTGAGCAGAGATCGCACTACTGCACTCCAGCCTGGGCGACAAGAGCGAGACTCCGTCTCAAAAAAACAAAACAAAAACAAAAACAAAACCATGAAGAACAGAAAGACTTTATTTTGTATTTATCAGACCATATTTATTATAAAGCCATATTTATTATAGTAGTAAAAATTATACAGTGGGTTTTTCTTGTTTGGACCTACCAAAATGATTGCTTTCAGAATTTTGGTAAATCATACATTTTAGAAGTTAGAATCTTATAGGGAATATCATTTAGCAAATAGTACATTTTAAAAAAACTATTTAGGAATCAGATATTAATCAGATATTAAGGAAGCTCCACAGTGTTAGAATGATTGGTATTATTATAGAACTACATTAATTTAGTCATAATCACATAATTTATAACACATTAAGTCAAAGAGTAATATAAAAGGAAATAATAATTTAGTTGGTTGCTAGAATACCTTTAGTAGTCAAATTAGACACACACTATGCTTTTTGTAGTCTGGGTACAAATTAAAGAGGATTTTTGTTTGAGGAGGAGCCAAAATTATCAACAAAATGTGACTTGGTCATTTATGTAAGAAGACAACAGAGATACTTATTTTAAAAAATGATTAATCTCATTATTATTTTGCTGGTACAATACTGCTAATGGGTATGGGACAGAATATAAGAAGCCTAAAAGTATAGAATATAAGTATATATCTTGTTATTTTTGGTTATTTTATCAAACATATGATAAAAATTTGGCATTTTGGATAAAACCAGTTTTTAATTTCCCTGCTGCAAATGAATACAACATGATAGTAAAACATAACTGTGTCAAAAGTATTTAGTATGGCTGATGTTAATATTAGTTTTTATAATTTTCACATCCTCTACAATATAGCTCTTTCTTATATAGTACAGTAGCATTTGTATGTATTTTATTGTCAAAAATGACCTCTTAGAAGTTATGCCAAGTATGATGTATGGTTAACAAAATAGAGAGCGAAGAAATAGGCTTAATTCTGTTTATTAGCCTTCTTATAAGTAGATCTTTGTAACAAACTAATTTGATCCCTAAAACAAACAATAAGGGAGATATTATTTTTTCCCATTGACAAATGAGAAAATTGAGACACAAAGCTTTTATTCCTAATCACTGTGCAAAACGTCTTTTATCAAAATAAAACATAAGCCTTTCTTATTTGCCTACAAGAGAAGTTATTTTTATAATTTGGCAGTATGTGAATATACAAAAAATGATAATATGGAGTATAAATAGGATGTTCATATAATTAATCATCCAAATCAGGACACTTCTGAGAATGAAAGAAGGTTCTTAAAATCTGGTTGGGATAACATAAACTGGGCCTATCTCAGGCAAGGAACATAAGGTCAGACTAGGCATAATAAAGGCAAAATATGAAGAATTTTTTAATACTTCCATGTAAGAAATTTAGAGCAGTTAATTTAATAAAAGTGAATGTACACAATTCCAAATACAGGTGTAGAGTATCTATCTATCATCTATCTATCTATCTATCTATCTATCTATCTATCTATCTATCTATCATCTATCTTACATATTATATGTGTTTATTTAAATTTATTTAAATTATAATCGTTTCCAAAGTATTATAAGTAGCAAAAATTAGTTGCAGTCGTGTCAGGCATGTTGTATTAAATTATTTGCTTGGAATCAGCTACTCCTCCACCATAGGAGGAGATTTAATGATCATGTCTATACCATATTTTAGGGGTGACTTATAAGTAACCCTGGTAAATAAGTACAATAACTTGTATTAAATATTTGTTCAGATATTTATATGTGCTGTAAGCTTTTAACATCAACTTATCCTATGATGGATCTTCTCAGAGAAAGCTATTATACAAAATCTTTGCATTTGAAATATACAGACTAGAATCAAGTCATGACTAGATAAAGCATTTTAAGGGCATTTTAGAGAAATCTTTTTCAAAAAGGATCACATCTACAATATTTCTGTACCACAAAGTCCAACAAAATTGATTATATAGAGATAATTTGAGGTGAGATTTTCTGCTCTAGCTTTTCCCAGAAGAAGCACATACTTTTTGGGCTGTCAATAAATAGAAACTTTTTTTGGTGAGGGATGCTACTCTTGGTTCTAAATATATTCTATACATTTTGAGATTGAAATGCTCCCCATTACTTTACCAGCCCATTACTTTACCAGTTTCATAATTCTCAATAAAATAATAGAAATGTTAAGATGTATTTAATTCAACTCAGTGAAGTACATGGAAAATGTTTCTTGCCTTTCCACATGTGATCCTCATAGTAAACAAACAAGCAAAAAAAACATAAAAAGGCAAGCCAAAATCAAGACCGTTATTCAAAATCAAACTGATACAGTTTGAAGGTATGACCCTGCCAAATCTCAGATTGAATTGTAATCCCCAGTGTTGGAGGTGGGGCCTAGTGGGAGGTGTTTGGATCATACAGGCGGATCCCTCATGAATGGCTTGGGCAATTCCCTTGGTGGTAAGTGAGCACTCTCTCTGAGCTCACATGAGATCTGGTGGTTTAAAAATTTGTGGCACCTTCCCCACCACTCTCTCTCACTTGCTCCTGCTTTCACCATGTGGCATGCTTGTTCTCCCTTCACCTTCTACCATAATTGAAAGCTCCCTGAGGCTTCACCAGAAACCAAGCAGATGCCAGCACCATGTTTCCTATAAGGCTTGAAGAACTTTGAACCAATAAACCTCTTTTCTTTATAAATCACTCAGCCTCAGATATTTCTTTTTAACGATGTAAGAACAACCTAATATATAAACACTAAAGTTGTTCCCACTTAATATCCAGAGAAACTTTATATTACAAAATTCAGAAAGCCACCTTCATTATTGAAAGCATATCACAGGAAAGTTTCTAAGTGAAATTCAGAGTAATGGCAGAATATAACATCCATATAACTAGTCACACATTCTAGCATCCAGAAAGAGGCTCAGCCTGGTTTTCAGGAGAAATCTTCATACCTGGTTTTACTTCTTTACATCTGCACAACCTTAAGCAATTTCATTTAAACTACCTAGGTCATATGCTTTTAATTAAAAATGCAAGGAATTTGGTTCAATTTTTTTTTTTTTTTTTTTGAGATGGAGTCTCATACTATCACCCAGGCTGGAGTGCAGTGGCATGATCTCGGCTCACTGCAAGCTCTGCCTCCCAGGTTCAGGCCATTCTCCTGCCTCAGCCTCCCAAGTAGCTGGGGCTACAGGTACCCGCCACCACGCGCAGCTAATTTTTTTTGTATTTTTAGTAGAGATGGCGTTTCACCATGTTAGCCAGGATGGTCTCGATCTCCTGACCTCGTGATCTGACCGCCTCGGCCTCCCAAAGTGCTGGGATTACAGGCGTGAGCCACCACACCTGGCCAGGTTTCATAAGGTTTTTAAGATTTCTTAGATAGGTATAGGTCCAGGAATAGCTTCTTGAGAAGTAGTCAGAAACTACATAAGTAAGGTCCTTATTTAGCAAAAAAACTAAAAATATTTCTCTAGAAATAGTCAACAAGGTAACAAAAACAGAGTGTAAAAAAAAATAAATCTATGGTTTTTCATACTTATCAAGTAGTTTTTTATTGATAAATTTGTTCTCACAATAAATTTAGTTATTTTAGTTTATCTCTAATGGGTTACTCTATTAAACACTGATTTATTTCACTCTGAATATTAGTTGCTATATTCATGCCATCTCCTCCATGTCTTTCTCTTTCACGTTGTCATTTTACTTATAAATAATATATCAAAATATATTTATTCTTCCCTATCACCTTCACTTATCACAATTTTATATATTTCCATGAGATTTATGTGTGTAATAAAAAAGGTATTTGATCACAAACATTGACTTTCTCTTCTTCCGCATATATAGCAATATAAATGAAGCTGGATTGCAGCAAGTTCTATTACATTTCTCTACATTGGCTTCTGTGTAATATTGAGTTTTGAAGTCAGACTGATCAAAGTCAGACTTTCATTTGCTAGGCTTATGGCATTGAATGAGTTAGTAATTGCTCAAAGAAATAGTTACCTCAACACAAATATGGTATACTAATATCTATCATTTAAGTGATTCAGAGTACCAAATTAAATGGGATAATATTAATATATGCAATAGTCTTGACACACGTTAAGTTATATAAACTCATCTCTAATAAAATATATGTTTATTCGGTGACAGTATGCACAGCGGAAAAACTGCAGACTTTTCATACAAGCTTATTTGGGTTTAATCTTGGCTCTGTTACTTCCCAGCTGTGTATCCATGGGCATTTATATAATATTTTGAGCTTTCTATTTGTTCATTAGCAAAATGAGAAACAGAAAACCAGTATCAGAGAATTATTATGAGATTCAGATGAGGCAGTGTATATAAAGCTCTAGTACATACATAAGAGACGTTCAATACGAATCAGTTCCCTTCTCCTCTCCTTCCACAGAGTATAAAACCCTGGCCCGTAACACACTCCTGAAAATTATTCATTCATCCAAGAAATATTTTAATATGTCTACTATGTGGAAAATATGTACATCTGTATCCTGTATCTATGGATACAGTAGTGCCAAAGAAAGACAATGTTCCTACTGTTATGGAACTTACATCCTACAAGTCAAACCAACAATGCAAACAAATAAATGAATAAAATAATTTTAGATAGTAATAAGGCCATAAAAAATCTCAATTATATGATTAAAAATAATTATGCGAGGGGAGATGTAATTATTAAATTGGGTGGCCAAGGATAGTGTATCTGAGGAGGTGATATTTTAGCAGAATAAAAGAAGGATTAAGCCACACAATAACTTGAGAAGAGAGAATGCTTGGCAAGAAAAAACAAAGTATACATAGTTGGATATTATGATTAGAGATTAGATAGATGCACTGAGTTCACTGTAGAGGAATTTGAGTTATGTAGAAAAAGAAAAGGTAGATGGACTAGAGAAAATGTGGAGAGTCAAAGTGAAAAATATATTCTAGGAGAGAGAAAAAACGTATAAGCAGGCTTTTAGATCATTTAAAACCAACCTATCATACTATAGATGCTTCATTGCAGACTTCAAAATGAAGACATATGGCTTCCGACACCCAAGAACATTCCTTAGCTTATCCCAAACTGTTATGTGTTAAGCTAAATTTACTATTACACGTCTTTTTAATACCATCCCCATTGTAGGGCACAATCCTATAGAAAACATTAAAGGAGTGGTTAATAATGTATTTTCATGGATTTTCCTTGTAACACTAATAAAAGAAAACAAAACCACCAAAGTATTCAGCAATAGAAAATATGCTGATTAAACTGTGGTTCTCTCATACAAGGAAATTTTATACAGTGTTTTAAAAAGATGATATAGGTCCATATTAAGATGATAATGTCATCAACAAATTGAATAAAATATTAGGTTATATAACATCAGGTACAGTTTAAGGCAATTTTTGTAAAATTATCCCCTTCTATTTAGAAACCATCGCGTGTGTCTGTGTGTGCACATGCATGCACGAAATGATGGCTATATATCTATTTCTACAAATGGAAAAATATTCAGTAACATAATCATTATATGTATCTTCAAGGAATGGTGTTTTTTACTGAGTTCTTACTTTAAAAATTTGTCCTATATTGTGATTTCCTTTATAATAAGATTATATGTGGCCCAAACAGAATATTTTCCATGTTTAAAATAGAAGACACCAATAATATAAACATTTTGGCCTCTATTTCTCAAATTAGGTCATCATAGTTTTTAGAAATACTTCTTAGGGTTTTACCTCCTATATCAGCTTTCTATTACTTTAAGCTGTAACACAATGATAATATATTTCAATTTGGGTATGGTGCTCCTATTCTTGCTATTCTAAGTATTTAAAAATGCACTTTATTTTTTTTTAAACTCTCCTAGCTATACACATTTTTCTGCTTAAAGAATATTTAAGTATTAACAATTTGCTGAAATTTTTACTTTGAGTTTTACAGGTTTATAGTTTTAGTGTCCATTCCTAAGAAGATGGACTTATTTTAATACTCTTATAAATCATTGAACCTTAGATAAGGAAACAGAAGATGAAATTCAGAAGATACAGACACCAAGGGAATCATATTTAATCCTCATAGTTCAAATAAGGAATGATAGGTTAGGTCTTGGCATTGTTAGCCTATCATATAACTGAAACATAATGAAGCCACAGAAAACCTAAGGTAATCTAAAAATTCAACAAAGGAAACAAAACTTCTGTTTAGACATGGGGAAAAGATTGATGTCAGGTGTAAATACCTCCAATGTTTGTTCTTTATATTTCATATAAACTTGGAAAGCATGGGAAGACACCTTTCAGAGAGAAAAACAGAAAAAGTTCTCCTTAAGAGAAACTTAAAATAACTCTACCTATTCATCCCTCTGAAACAGGTATGACATTGCATCATAATATATGAGAATTAGTGTGAAACCAGAATTTAAACTGATATGTTTGCCAGTGTCAGACTTGCTTGGATAGATGAAAAATGAAACTTCAGCTACTTTTAAACATTTACAGATGTTCTGATGGTTTATGTGCATGAAAATGTGCGTGCGTGTGTGTCTGTGTATTCTGTCCTGCTAATGCAGTTGAAACAACAAATTCACTTGGCTTTCATCTGACTTCCTCTGACTTCCAGTGTCAAAAATTGATTATTATCAGAGACAAGGAAAATAATGGAATATAAAGCATTGCTGATAAAAATATTATTCTAAATATGTCAAGACAAAAAATACAAGCTGAGGAAAACAGTGCTAGAATGTATTGATTTGTTAAAAGTATAAACAGAATGTGTGATAAGAATTTTTTAAATCCTTATTTCTGAAGGAGAATTTGATTTTGAATCAGAATATAAATAGAACAAAGTCTTGACTATGTTTTCTGTAAAATACTGCACCTCATACTAGATTGTCTTGAAATATAAAAAGGAACTATTACATTATTTTAAAATTTACATTGCATTGTGCTAAATTAACAGCCCCAAATCACCTACTGCTAATCAGCAAACACCAGGCAGTTTTGCCACAACAGGCAACTATTTAGAAACTGTAAAACTATCAGCTTTGGCTAACAGAGTTAAATAAATACTTGGAGTTCTTATCCAGCCCAAGATTATGACTTTTAATTCCAGGGAAAACTGACCTCTTCATCTGAAAGAACCTTTATAGCTTAAAGCCCTGCTGAAGTCATTTTCTTAAGTTAATCAGATTTCCACACTGGGGTTCCACAGTAGGAAAGAGAATTCATACAAATGAGCTCTTTTCCCACCTGCAGTTTCTCTTTAGTTCATAAGAGCCTTATGCGATAATTTATTTTATATAAGAATTATTCTTGATAAATCCAAAGGTAACTTTTTAAGGAGAAGCACATACTCATCCAGGTATTCCAAATAATCAAGACAGAAGTTGAGTGCTTCCTCTCAACTATATAATAGTCATAATCAAGTATTATATTTTATTAAGACTTTGTGTATGTACTGTACTCAACACAGCTAGAAAAGTGAACAAGAAAAGTTTCTACTTGTACTTTTGTGTAATTTTTTTAAGTACACTTTTTATAACGTACAATGCAACATATTTCCAAAAACATTTTATTCATTCTACCTTACTGGAGTTTTCCTAAATATTTTATGGGGGAAAACAAAAATAATTAAAAAGAGAGTAACCAAAGAGAAAAATTCACACAGATAGAAATGATAAATCCTGAATCCCCCAAAATTACACAACTCCAATTATAAGATAGGGTCTGTGGTAGACAAAATAATGACTCCCCAAGGATATTCATGCCCGAATCCTGAAATATATAAATAAGTTACCTTATATGACAAAGAAGACTCTGAACATGTGATTAAGAACCTGGAGGCCAGTCTTGGTGGCTCATGCATGTAATTCCAGTGCTTTGCAAGGCCAGAGCAAGGGGAAGACTTAAGGCTAGGAGTTCAGTAACAGCCTGGACAGCACAGTGAGACCCCATCTCTACAAAAATGTTTAAAATTAGCCAGACATGGTGGTGCACACCCATAGGACTAGCTACTTGGGAGGCTGAGACCGGAGGATTGCTTGAGCCCGGGAGTTCAAGGCTGCAGGGAGCTACAGTTGCAACACTGCACTCCATCTGGGCAACAGAGTGAGACACTGTCTCTGGAAAAAAGAAAGATTAAGGACTTTGAGATGGGGAGATTGCCCTGGATTATCCAGATTGGGCTTTACAAGTCCTTAAACATGGAGAACATTACCTAGCTGTGGTCAGAGGCAGATGTGACTATGGGATAATGGTCAGAGAGATGTGACATTGATGACTTTGAAGATGAAGGAATGAGGCCATGAGCCAAGCAATGTGGGAGGCCTCTAGAAGCTGAAAAAGGCAAGGAAACAGATTCCACTGTAGGGCCTCCAGAAAGGAATGCAGCCCGGCCAACACCATCATAATCCTGGGAGACTTTGTTTGATTTGCGAATTACAGAACATCAAGATAATAAATTTGTATTGTTCTAAACCATTAAGTTTGTGGTATTTTGTTATAGGCAATAGAAAACATGCAGGATTGGTTGCATGCAGTGACTCCCACCTGTAATCCCAGCACTTTGGGAGGGAGAGGCAGGCAAACTCCCAGCTGGGTTTTTGTATTATTGTACAAAAAATGCAAAAAAATTAGCTAGGCATGGTGGTGCATGCCTGTTGTCACAGCTACTTGGGAGGCTGAGGATAACCTGAGCACAGGGAGGTTGAGGCTGCAGTGAGCTGTTATTGTGCCACTGCTCTCCCAACCTGGGTGACACAGTGAGGAGAGAGAGAGAGAGAGAGAGAGACCATGAGAGAAAGGAGAAGAGAAGAGAACAGAAGAGAAGAGAAAAAGAGAGAAAGAGGCTGGGCGCAGTGGCTCACGCCTGTAATCCCAGCACTTTGGGAGGCTGAGGTGGGCGCATCACGAGGTCAGAGGTCAGGAGATGGAGACCATCCTAGCTAAGACGGTGAAAACCTGTCTCTACTAAAAATACAAAAAATTAGCCGGGTGTGGTGGCGGGTGCCTGTAGTCCCAGCTACTCGGGAGACTGAGGCAGGAGAATGGCGTGAACCCGGGAGGCGGAGCTTGCAGTGAGCGGAGATAGCGCCACTGCACTCCAGCCTGGGCGACAAGAGTGAGACTCTATCTCAAAAAAAAAAAAAAAAGAAAAAGGAAGGAAGGAGGGAGGGAGGGGGAGAGGGAGGCAGGGGAAAAGAAAAGAAAAAAGAAAGAGATAAAGAGAGAAAGAGAGAGAGAGAGGAAGGGAGGGAGGAAGAGCGGAAAGGAGGGAGGGAGGGAGGAAGAAAGGAAGACAACTAAAGCTTCCCCCCTCATACTGTGCCTCTTACTGTGATCTTACAAAAGAAGAGGCAAGTGTGTTAGCACACTATTTGAAGACTTCATTTCTACAGTGAAAGACATTGCAAAGTGGCATTTAATTTTTGATTTCCCCAGCATCCTCTCCAACAGCCCTTGCCCATAGTGCAGGCATGATATCAAAGCCAAGCCAAGTAAATAGGATTCCCTGTCAAGGGGCTCTTTAATTCTTGATCAGTGAAAAGAAGGAAAACAATTGGGAAAGTATTTTCTGCAGTCTAGATGCCAATGTCAGTAACTACTTTGCTTTCAATCCTGTTTCTGATTCTTAATATGCAATTTTTCTCAGTAACAATCATATTCCTCCAAATAACCGTCTTCTTGTCGTTGTTGTAGTTTATAACCAAAACTGGTCTCTCTGGTTTGCAACCAAAGAACCCTAAATGTTCAACAGAACATTTAAATCAATGTGCATGCACATATCTGGGCCTCCCAGGAGTTTGACAAATCTGATAAAATTGAAGTATATTTCCCTATATTTTTCTTGCTTGCAATTCCTCCTTAGCTGAACAGCCTCTCACAGCTACACTCATTTCTAATGTACTTTTGTTTTGTTTTGTTTTGTTTTGAGACGGAGTCTTGCTCTGTCACCCAGGCTGAAGTGCAGTGGCGCTATCTTGGCTCACTGCAAACTCCGCCTCCCGGGTTCACGCCATTCTCCTGGCTCAGCCTCCCCAGTAGCTGGGACTACAGGCTCCCGCCACCACGCCCAGCTAATTTTTGTATTTTTAGTAGAGACGGGGTTTCACCGTATTAGACAGGATGGTCTGGATCTCTTGACCTTGTGATCCGCCTGCCTCGGCCTCCCAAAGTGCTGGGATTACAGGCGTGAGCCACCACGCCCGGCCTCTAATCTATTTTTTTTTCCATTTGACTTTTCTCACATGCCCCTTATTTTTCACCAAAAATGACTTTTCTATCATCTGTGTTCCTACAAGAGAATAGCTAATCTAAAACTCTCCATTGAGAGATATTAATGGTTGTCCTAAATGTATATACTATTGTGCCCAGACTGCCCCAAATAAAATATATTTTTTACAGATCTATAATGGTGGTATTAATAACAATTGATTATCTGTCAGAGCATGATGGATTATTTTAAAATAAAATTTAGATTTATTTTATTTTTCCTCCTCGACTTACTCCACTTGCTTAGAGAAGTTAGTCTTTGATTCTCTTCTTAAGTATTACAAAAAGCGCCATTTATAAGTAAGCATCAGAGGTGGCCAAATAGTTGCAGATGAAATTTAATATGTATGCATTTCAGTTCTTTTTTTTTAAATATTACTTGTAAATAATTATCTCCCCTCAATCACTTTTTTCTTATTTCAGAAAATGAAGTATGTGATTGCAAAGAATGAGGAAATGTAATAAAGAAAGTTCTCAAGGTGCTAAAACTATTAACATCTTAGAAATCTGTACATTAAATTCAGAGGTTATTGATTTTTACTAACATCACGGAAGCAGGGAAGATTGAGAACTCCTTAAGAATACATAAAAAGTTAGAGTTTAAATTAATCGCCAGACTACTGCCCATCTTTTGAATAAGTTCTCTCTAATAGTAGAGTGATGATAATGACCTAACATTAGACAAACTTTAAATGAAATGTTTGTGTTTTCAAGAGAAACATGAAAAATTGGCAATTATCCAATCCATTTGATCAATATATGCAGTGAAAATGTACCTTTCAGTACAGAAAATTCCATGTGGAGCTTTACTCACCAGGTGAGGCTTTCTCCTAGCGACAGAGTAGAGCAGTTAAGGCTCTAGATTACATGAGGTTGCCTGAGGTAAGATTTTGGTTCTGCCATTCATGAGGTAAGTGACCTTGGCTAATTACTTAATAATTGTTTTTCATCTATAAAATGACAAAAATAATAATATCTCTTTCATAAGACTATTGTGAGGATTAATTTAGGCAAGACATAAGCTGCTTAGCACAACTCCTAGCCCACAGTAAATTCTTAATATTTGACAGCCATTTTTTTTTTTTTTTTTTTTTTTGAGACAGGATCTCTCACTCTGTCGCCCAGACTGGAGTGCAGTGATGCAATCTCGGCTCACCACAACCTCTGCCTCCCAGGCTCAAGCAATTCTCCTGCCTCTACCTCCTGAGTAGCTAGGATTACAGACTCACACCATTACCACCAGTCTAATTTTTGTTATTTTTAGAGAGATGGGTTTTCACCATGTTGGCCAGGCTGGTCTTGAACTCCTGACCTCAAATGATCCACTCACCTTGGCCTCCCAAAGTAGACAGCTATTATTTTTTTCATTGTTGTGTTTACATCTCCATCAGGAGTTCTTAAACAGTGCTCTGTGGAATCTTTGGGGCAAGGAAAGAAGAAAAGGCCTTCTGCATGCAGCCTTGACCCTCTCCCTAGCCCTGTCTTTCAAGGATAGGAACACTACTTAAATTTGTCTTTCAAATTGAAATTCTCTGTAGAGGGAGAATTTGGAAAGATTCCACTGGGGAACAAGTTGGAAAACCACTATAGAATAATTACCAGAATTCTATCTATCATTCTAACTTTTTTTACAAAGAATAACACTAAATTTTATAGTCATATATAAGTTCACCTATTTTTTCGTTCTCAAATACACTCTACTTGATATATTGTTTCCTATCTTTACTTTGAAGTCTTATTAAACGTAAGGAGAAATTCACATATTTTACACTGTACTATGATTTATTTGTATATTGAAAGATCTTTATGCAGGCATATTTGCCAATTTAAAAATGATCTCAAGATTTTTAATTATTGTGGTTAAAAAAACTCATGAGACCTATTGTTTTAACAAATTGTTAAATGTATAGTCCAGGTTTGTGAACTATAATCACAATGTTGTACAGCAGATCTCTAAAACTGTTTCTTCTGGCATGATTATTTCTGTATCCACTCAATAGCAACTTCCTATTTCTCTGTCCTCCCATCCCCTGGCAACCACCTTTCTACTTTCTGTTTCAATGAGACAACAGCATTAGATACCCCATATAAGTAGAATCATGCAAAAATTTTTCTTCTGTGACTGGCTTAACATTCTTTCACTTAGCATAACATCCTTTAGGTGCATCTATGACAGAATTTCTTTCTTTTTAGCTGATTAATATTGCATCATATGTATAAACCACATTTTCTTTCTATGTTCACCATCGAGGGACATTTAAGTTATTTCCACCTCTTGGTTATGCTGCAGTGAACATGGGAGTGCAAATATCTCTTGAAGATCCTGATTTAAATTCTTTTGAAGAAGTACCCAAAGAAGTATTGCTGCATCATATGGTAGTTCTATTTTTTTTTTTTTTTTTTTACAAATCTCCATACTGTTTTAGATAGGAGCTGAGAGAGTTTACATATCTACCAACAGCACACAAGGCTCTCAATTTCTCTACATCCTTGCCAGCACATCATTTTAAAGTTTTATTTGCTGTCATTTTATTGACAATGGCCTTCCTTATAGCTATGAGGTAATACATCATTGTGGTTTTGATTTGTATTTTCTTGATGATGAATGATATTGTACATCTTTTCATAACTCTATTAGTCATTTGTATGTCTTCACTGGACAAAGATGAAGAAATGCCTATGCAAGTCCTTTGCCCATTTTTTAAAATCAGGTTTTTAGTTGTTGTTTGCTATTGAGTTGTATGAGTTTCTTATATATTTTGGACATTAACCCTTTATCAGATATATGGTTTTCAAATATTTTCTCCCACTGTTTAGGTTTCACTCTGTTGATTGTTTCCTTGGTTGAAAAGCAGATTTTTAGTTTGATGTAATCTCACTTGTCTATTTTTGCTTTTGTTGCCTGTGCTTTTGGTATTATATTCAAAAAATCATGAATATCAATGTTATAACCCTTTTGCCCTACATTCTTTTCTTTAAATTTTACATTTCAGAGCTTACATTTAAGTCTTTCATCCATTTGGAGTTGATTTTTGTGTAGTGTAAAACAGAGCACAATATTTTTTTTTTTTTTTGCATGTGGATACCCAGTTACTCAACATCATTTGTTGAAGAGGCTACCCTTTCCTCATTGTCCAGTTTGGGCACTCTTGTCAAAGATCATTTGAGTATGTGTGGGTTTATTTCTGGGCTCTGTGTTCTGTTCCATTGAAGTAATGGCTGCCTTCATAGCAGTACTACACAGCTTTGATTTCTGTAGCTCTGTAATTAATGTGTTTTAAAAAGAGGAAATGAAAGTACTCCATCTTTGTCCATCTTCCCCAAGGTGATTTAGGCTCTTTGGGATCCACTGGGGTTCCATATGAATTTTAGAATTTTTTTTTTCTATTTCTGTAAAAAATGCCATTAGGATTTTGAGAGGAATTCCACTGAATCTGTAGATCACTTTGAATAGTATGGACATTTTCACAGTATCAAGTCTTCTGATCCATGAACATAGGAGGTCTTTCCATTATTTTTTAATTTTTTGCAGCAATGTTTTCTGCTTTGCCTCATTGATTAAGTTTATTCCTAAGTATTATATTATTTTTAATGCTATTATAAATGGGATTCTTTTCTCAATTTTCTTATTGAATATTACTTTTTTTGAGTCTTCAGAATTCTCTACATTTAAGACCATGCCATATAATTTTACTGATTTCCAATTTGAATGTCTTTTATTTATTTTCTTTTCTAATTGCTCTGGCTAGGACTTTCAGTACTGTATTTAATAGAAGAATAACAGTGGGCATCCTCTTAATGTGCCATTGAATTCACTTTGCTGATACTTTCTTAAGGATTTTTGGATCTTATTTATTAAGGATATTGACCTGTATTTTCTTTTCTTGTGATGCCTTTTCCTGTCTTCAGTATCAGGGTCATGCTGGCCTCATAAAATGAGTTTGAAAGTTTTGCTGTGGAATCATTTGAGAAGGATCCATGTTTATTCTTCTTTATAATATTTAGTAGAATTCATCAGTGAAGCTATCTGGTTCTGAGATTTTCTTTGTTGGCAGATTTTTTGATTACTGATTAAATCTTACTGGTCATAGATCTGTTCAGACTTTCTATTTCTTCTCAATTCAATCTTGGTAGGTAGTAGGCTAATAGGAATTTATCCAGCTTTTCTAAGATACCCAATTTGTTGTTGCATAATTGCTCATAGTCTCTTATAAACTTTTCCATTTCTGTAACAATCTGTAATGTCTCCTTTTTCATTTCTGATTTTATGAGTCTTCTCTCTTTTTTCTTAATCTAGCTAAAGATTTGTCAATTTCGGTGATCTGTAAAAATAACTTCTAGATTTATTTTTTCTATTGTTTCTATATTTCTATCTCATTTATTTCTGCTCTAATCTTCATAATTTTCTTACTACTTTGGGCTTAGTTTTTCTTTTTCTACTTCTTTGAGGTATAGATTATTTATTTGAGATCTTTATTTCATTTCATTTCATTCAGAAAACATGCTTGTTATAATTTCAACCTTCTTAAATATGTTAATACTTATTTTGTGACCTAACATATGACCTATACTGAAGAATGTTCTGTGTACTTGAGAAAAGTGTGTATTCTGCTGCTGTTGGGTGGATTGTTCTGTGTATGTTTGTCAGGTACATTTTATCTATAGGGCTATTAAAGCCCTCTGCTTCCTTATTGATCTCCTGTCTGGATGTTCTATTCAATAATGAAAGTGGGGTATAAAAATGCCTTACTATTATTGTGTTACTATTTCTCCTTTCAGTTATGCCATTGTACACTTCAAATATTTGGGTGCTCTGATGTTGGACACATACACATTTATAATTGTTATATTTTGCTGATGAGTTGACCATTTTATAATTATATAACGTCCTTATCTATGAGACGGTGTTTGACTCATGTGTCTTATAATATTGTGTTGGGATATAAACATTTGAAAATGCAGCCACGTATCCCAGTCTTTATGACTGACCTTGTACAGGGAAAGACCTTCACCGTCAGCCCAGCTAGAGATTCTGGAAGCCTCTGAAATCTTTTGGAGAAATAATACTTTTCTGGACCTGTGAATGCAATTCTTCAGTTAGAAAGAATTGGCAGCTACTTTACCAAAAGCTCGTAAGTTTTTGCTCTCCCTGATGTCAGTCTGTGTCAGCAAGCCACTCTGCTCTTCCTTGTTCTTGTCAGCCGTGAAACATCTGAAGTATGCCAACACATTGTCAGTGTACCAAGGCAGGTAAGACATATTCTGGTCACTTGCACAGCCCTCTAAGAAGATAGAACATTACATCCATACTCCACTCCCTCCTTTCCTTCTAAAGGAGAATTCTCAAGTTGTGCTCATTAGCTGGATTTTGCCCAGCCATGTTGGCCATACCAAGCTTCCAGCTACTCTTCTTGTTTCTAAGTGGCCCCCAGAAATACACACTATACTTGTTTCATCAGTGCTCATGGGGTGAAACAGAAACTAGTCCCTCAGGTAGTCCTCAGAAAAACCAGAATGTTGGGTGCTTGGTGCACTCTTCTTTTTCCCTTGAAAGATAGTAAATTGGAGTGTTCTACCCTGATGTTGGGTTGTGCCAGCTTGAAGGAAGGGCCAACATGGGTAAAATTAAACCACTCTTCTTATGCCTTTCAACGTAGCTGTTCTTGGCTTTGTGCTCTCCTGGAATACCACAACCTCATAACTGGATTTTAGCATTTCGTAATGGTACTTTGGTTCATACACTGTTGTTAAAGTGATGTTTTTGTGGAGGAACAAGGGCTGCAACTTCCTATTTTGCCATCTTGCTGATATCGCTTCTGGAGTTTTAATTTTTTAACACTCAAAGAAATACACTTTAAAAATTTACCTCTTTCGGCCGGGCGCGGTGGCTCACGCCTGTAATCCCAGCACTTTGGGAGCCCGAGGTGGGCGGATCACGAGGTCAGGAGATCGAGACCATCCCGGCTAAAACGGTGAAACCCCGTCTCTACTAAAAATACAAAAAAATTAGCCGGGCGTAGTGGCGGGCGCCTGTAGTCCCAGCTACTTGGGAGGCTGAGGCAGGAGAATGGCGTGAACCCGGGAGGCGGAGCTTGCAGTGAGCCGAGATCCCGCCACTGCACTCCAGCCTGGGCGACAGAGCGAGACTCTGTCTCAAAAAAAAAAAAAAAAATTTACCTCTTTCATATGTATTAAAATAAATTTTAGTTCAATTAAATAGGTCTTTTGAAAATGACATTTAACCTACTCAAAAAGGGCTAACAATAATACAGAACAGACATATCTTACTATTAGAATCTTTCAAACTTTATCTCATACTTCTTGTCATTGATTCTAAGCTTAAGATTAAGTGTCTTTTGCTAGAGAGGGCCTTATGCACTTTTATGCCATGTCTGCTATTGCTTATAATATTCTCTCTCCCAGGCAGACTCTTTCTCTATCTCTGAACGTACCAATGATCTCATTTTTAAGATCCACATTAAATACCATTCTCTTCTGAAGACTTTCCTCAGTTTTTCCCAATTGAATGTAATGTCTTTCATCTTTGAGTCTCTCTCTTGGTTGTTGAGGATAGACGTCATGCTACCAGAATGTAACATTTCTGAAGACAGGGATTTTGTTTTGTTTATGACTATATTAAACAGTGCCTAAATAAGGCCTGACACATAGATGGTCAGGAAACAGTTTTTTATGAATGAATGACTTTTGCAAAGTGATACAATCTTACTGTGACTCAGTGACCCAACTTTTTCATCTACAAAATAAAGATAACAAGAGTACCTGTCAGATACAGTTATAACAAAAGGCAAATGAGTTGGGCATACACCACTCATTAAATGTTATCTTTGATTATTATAATTACCTTTCCATGTATGAATCCACCATAGTACTAACCTTAAGGTAAATTTGGAAAATGGTTGAATTTCAGAAAAATTTACTGAATAAAGAAGAGGAGATGTAAAGAATAAAATAAGACAACCACAAACCAAAACCATAAGTCAATAGATCTTCACTTCAAAATTTTTAAGAATGTTGTCTTGGATGTTTTTCTGTCTTTAAATCTATTGTAGATTTAAGTTTAAGCCACTAACATATTTTAGAAAACTTAGAAATATACTTTTAAGTACAGATACATTTTTTGTTTAACAAATAGTTATAAGAAGACTGATGAAAAATGAAGTTTCACAAAAAATTATACACACATGCACACACACATATGCATTCTCCATTTTTGGTCATCTTTTATCTATAACTTTTAAGTTCATCCTTACCTTTACGTACATGTCTTTTCTCAACAGATCAAACATGACATTTATGGCTATATACTTGTTGATAATGATATCATCTTCTCTTCCTGACTCTCCATCTGTCTCTTTTTTCTTGCTGTGTTTCATGTTTGAAAAACTCTTTATGTCTCAGTATGCCAAGCTATTTTTCTATCTTTCAAGGGATTCTTGATATTATAGAAAGTCTGTGAAGAGATTCAGGTGGAAGCATTCCCCCAATTCCTCAACATCAAGGCTTAATAGTCAAGATATGAAGTAAGAGGGAATTATTGTACTTGATAATTGAATTAAATCTGTTAGAGGAAAAAAGTCAGTTGAAAGTCAGATGAAAATGATATTATTCTTCTAGATTACCTTTTTTTATGACAGGAAATACGAAAGTGGGAAATAGGAAGAAGAAAACAGGGTGTTGTAAAAGGCGAAGAGGAGAAGAGGTATGTTTTAATTTTTCTATTTCATTAATTTGTTCTCTTTAATGATCTTCTCCCTAACCTCTACCTCCTGGCAGACAATTGTCTCTGTGGTAGTTCACTATGCACATGTATTGCATTGGCTGATGTACATGACTATACTATACCTATCTGAAATGCAGCTGTTTATAACTGCCCTCTCACTAGGCAACAGCCAGAGCTTTTTTTTTTTTTTTTTTTTTTTTTTAAGGGCAAATATTTCCCACACTTGATGCACAGATGGAGAGAGCAGTTAACTGGCAACAATAATAATCATTCTTCACAGCAGGCTCAGGCTGGAACCAAAGCCACTGGGAAAAGACATGAAACTAAGCTGCTGCATCAAGATTATAAACATCAAACTTAATAAGATCCAAACTAGCCACTCCTACCCACCCCACAAAATATTCTAGCTTGTCTTTTCCAGTGAAGGAAGCCTACTCACCTTAGCTGCCATAGATGAAAGTTTTTTGGATAACTAAGCAGCTATTGAATGAAAGACCAGGCTTTCATTGGTAAAGTGGTAACAATAAAACGCTCTCCTGCCTTTGCATGCACCCCCAGAACTCACTGTGCCTGTAGTAGATTAAAACTTTCAGAATGTGTGGATTCTTACTTTGTGGATTAATCTATGCTTTAAAACAAACATTAATTATGTATCTATAAATTACATTTAATATACTACTGTTTTCATTATTATCTTTTTCCCTGTCTATTAAAAAAAAAAACCCTACATTTACACACATAGTTTAGTTATAAATATATAAATGATTTTGGCTCTTTGAGGAAAGAATATTAAATATAATAAAGTTCATTTACATTTACTTGCTGTGTGTCTCAGTATCAATAACTTAAACATATCACCTCTATTTTGAAATTTAAAACATATGATTCAGTTAAAAGAGATGACATCTGCAGAAAGCTATTAGCACAATTTCTGTCCAATGGATTGATAATCATTCAAGTTTTATAGTTTTATGGAGTTAACTATTACAAGCCTTCATCTTTTTTTTTTTTTTTTTGAGATGGGGTGTCACTCTTGTTGCCTGGGCTGGAGGGCAAAGGCGCAATCTTGGCTCACCTCAACCTCTGCCTCTTGGGTTCAAGCAATTCTCCTGCCGCAGCCTCCAGAGTAGCTGGGATTACAGGCATGCGCCACCACGCCCAGCTAATTTTGTACTTTTAGTAGAGACGGGGTTTCTCTATGTTGGTCAGGCTGGTCTCAAATTTTCGACCTCAGGTGATCCACTGCCACAGCCTCCCAAAGTGCTGGGATTACAGGCATGAGCCACCGCACCCGGCCTCATCTTCTTAAATAACTACTTCCATGACATGTAACTTTGGAAGCACTTTTAACCTCTAGGACATTGCAATGTGACTCATAACTCTTAAGGAACTAGGCTTCCTGAATCTTCATTACTCTTACCCATTCACATTTGAAAGGCACTTTGAATAAATACAATTAAAAATAATTGCAATATGCTTTATGTATTAATTACTTTGTAATTTTAAGTGATATGATGTATTTAAATGCTCCCATATTTTTCATTTCTTTAATTCTAGCACTATATTAATCTCATTAACACCAAGTTTGACTGATTTTTGTTATTGCAGTGTTCTACAGACCTGGGTTCAGTATAAAGCCAGATGTATCAGAAACATATTGAAATAATATGTACATCTCTCAGTAATTTACTCAATGCACATTCCTATGGCACTAGCCTTTGGGATAACCTTGTAGTGAGGTTTCAATGAACCTGAATTACTTTGAAAATCAAAGGAATGCAAAATTGTGCTGCTGATTTTTCTTTATTATTATTATTATTATACTTTAAGTTTTAGGGTACATGTGCACAATGTGCAGGTTTGTTACATATGTATACATGTGCCATGCTGGTGTGCTGCACCCATTAACTCGTCATTTAGCATTAGGTATATCTCCTAATGCTATCCCTCCCCCGTCCCCCAACCCCACAACAGGCCACAGAGTGTGATGTTCCCCTTCCTGTGTCCATGTGTTCTCATCGTTCAGTTCCCATCTATGAGTGAGAACATGCGGTATTTGGTTTTCTGTCCTTGCGATAGTTTACTGAGAATGATGATTTCCAATTTCATCCATGTCCCTACAAAGGACATGAAGTCATCATTTTTTATGGCTGCATAGTATTCCATGGTGTATATGTGCCACATTTTCTTAATCCAGTCTATCATTGTTGGACATTTGGGTTGGTTCCAAGTCTTTGCTATTGTGAATAGTGCTGCAATAAACATATGTGTGCATGTGTCTTTATAGCAGCATGACTTATATTCCTTTGGGTATATACCCAGTAATGGGATGGCTGGGTCAAATGGTATTTCCAGTTCTAGATCACTGAGGAATCGCCACACTGACTTCCACAATGGTTGAACTAGTTTACAGTCCCACCAACAGTGTAAAAGTGTTCCTATTTCTCCACATCCTCTCCAGCACCTGTTGTTTCCTGACTTTTTAATGATTGCCATTCTAACTGGTGTGAGATGGTATCTCACTGTGGTTTTGATTTGCATTTCTCTGATGGCCAGTGATGATGAGCATTTTTTCATGTGCCTTTTGGCTGCATAAATGTCTTCTTTTGAGAAGTGTCTGTTCATTTCCTTTGCCCACTTTTTGATGGAGTTGTTTGTTTTTTTCTTGTAAATTTGTTTGAGTTCATTGTAGATTCTGGATATTAGCCCTTTGTCAGATGAGTAGGTTGCAAAATTTTTCTCCCATTTTGTAGGTTGCCTGTTCACTCTGATGGTAGTTTCTTTTGCTGTGCAGAAGCTCTTTAGTTTAATTAGATCCCATTTGTCAATTTTGGCTTTTGTTGCCATTGCTTTTGGTGTTTTAGACATGAAGTCCTTGCCCATGCCTATGTCCTGAATGGTAATGCCTAGGTTTTCTTCTAGGGTTTTTATGGTTTTAGGTCTAACGTTTAAGGCTTTAATCCATCTTGAATTAATTTTTGTATAAGGTGTAAGGAAGGGATCCAGTTTCAGCTTTCTACATATGGCTAGCCAGTTTTCCCAGCACCATTTATTAAATAGGTAATCCTTTCCTCATTGCTTGTTTTTCTCAGGTTTGTCAAAGATCAGATAGTTGTAGATATGCGGCGTTATTTTTGAGGGCTCTGTTCTGTTCCATTGATCTATATCTCTGTTTTGGTACCAGTACCATGCTGTTTTATTTACTGTAGCCTTATAGTATAGTTTGAAGTCAGGTAGCGTGATGCCTCCAGCTTTGTTCTTGATTTTTCAAATAAAATAAGTATAAAAATTTTAACTGAAATGCAGGTTTTAGAAAAATGACATTCAATTTGAGTATTCTGAAGTATATGAAATAATCAAGTCCTGATTTGGGCCCATATCCTCATTCTAGTCTCTTAAAAAATATAATACCAAAGCTTCTTTGAAATGACAAAGAAAGAATAGATCCACCTGAATATTTGATAAAAATTCAGTTTAGAAATAATAAACTGAGGCTGGAAAGGAGCAGCTAGAAAGTGATTCTTCTTTGGCTTTGTTTTCTTCTAACCATCACTGTAACATTTCATTTCAAAGGTGAAGTACTTTCATATAATGCTTTTTTATTTGTTATTTATTTAGGTAGTTAATTATTTTTTAGGCTGTATTTCCCAGTGGATCAGAAAGAGTGAGGGTTAAAACAAAGACAAGTAATCTGGTTTACACAGAACTTTTCCAATATTTTATTTTCTTATTAGATTTTATGAAAACAATCTTCATTAGTGCATAAACTTTTTTATTATACTTTAAGTTCTGGGATACATGTGCAGAATGTGCAGGTTTGTTACATAGGTATACACGTGCCATGGTGGTTTGCTGCACCCATCAACCTGTCATCTACATTAGGTATTTCTCCTAGTGCTATCCCACCCCTAGCCCTCCACCCCTGACAGGCCCTGGTGTGTGATGTTCCCCTCCCTGTGTCCATGAGTTCTCATTGTTCAACTCCCACTTATGAGTGCGAACAATTAGTGCATAAATTTTTATTCAATATTCTTTACTCTCAACCAAAAGCAACTTAGGCATTAAAATCTTACAAAATATAATCTGACTTGATTTTTAACTTTGGGAATGTGAATATCATATATTTATGTGTGAACCTGTATGAAATATGTAATGTATTATAGTACAATAATTTAATACATAAGGGTATTATACAATAATGAGAAACAGCAAGTCAGCAGTTCATTTTAGCAAATAAATTTTAAAAAGTTCAGACTAGAAAAACAAGGCAAAATGGCCAATATGGCTTGACAAGAATAGAAGAATATGATGCTTATAATTATGGATTTGATCATGCTGTCAGAGGACTTCAAAGTTTACAGCAAAATTGCTGTCTTGATTTAATTATCAATATTTAACAATCTCTTATAGTTACTGTAATATAGCAAAAAGTGGAAATGCAGGGATACTCTCCAGCACCTGTCAGCAAATGCTGAATATAATTGTTTCATATATATGTATGTCTATTGACATATAAAATATGTTTACTTAATATTTTCATTTTCAAGTACTGGGTTTTTTGTTTTGTTTTGTTTTTGTGGACTTTGGTTGGTTGGTTAATTGTTTCTCAAATTAGCCATAATTAAAAATAATTACCATATTCAAAATTGGTTTTTCTTTAAAATAAATGGCTGAAATAAGAGAAACACTTACTGCTATCATTAATACTGTCCCCTCAATATAAAGCTATAAAATGCTTTCTTAGTATTGCACTGATAGTGCACAATAGTGAGTCAAGATGGAAGCCGTCATGTGGATACAAAAGGGGAAAGACTGAGCACTTTTTTATAAATCTAAGAGTACTTTTCACTACTAGAAATGTTATATTTCAGAGAAGCTATAAAATACCTCCCCACCAAAACAACAACAGAAGCCCTCTGGATGTTATCCCTTAAATAACATTATTTGCATCTTCCTTTTTTAATGCACTGCTTTTTCACATTAGAATCTGATATCACTACCATTTTTTTATGGTTTTGTTTTCTTGTGATAATCATCAAAGTGGTTTTCTGTTTCAGCATGTATTAAATAAATTAAGTAGGTTACAGGTTGAATCCATTTCCTTTATAGCTTTCTGATTGAATTGTGATGAGTGATTCCTGCAGTATGACTGATGCATTTGCAGTTTCACCAAGTCAATGCTATTGTTCACCTCCTGAGATCAACTTTTCCCTTGACAAATCAAAACATGAAAAGTGACAGAACTTCTTTTAAGATCTAATGCTCCCATGCACACATGTACCCTAGAACTTTAAGTATATTTAAAAAAAAATCTAATGCTAAGCTAAAAACTTATTAATAGGGGCTCACTGTTAAATTTCTGGGTCTTCCTAAGTCATATGTGACAGTTAAGTGATGTACATCTTTCACCCCATCACATGTATGGGACTTTTAATAATGTCATCTGCTTCCATCTGTCCTAACACCTCTTCAATTGTCTAATATGTTTTCTGCTCCTCAGAGGTTCAGCTTAGGTCCTGAGATGCTTTGGCTTTCCTGAGTCAACATCCCTCTCTGTTCTATATAAAGAGACAAAACCATTGATGTGACACTCTGCCAGAAGGCTATGGATCTGACCTTCTCTCATGGTGTTTGCCAGTCTCTAACAAGTATCTTGTATATTACATCTCAATTCCTTTGATTATTAGAAAGGTTCTTAGAACTGCCTCCAACCACAACTTTTAATCATCTGTATAAGTCTCTACCCTCTTATAGAACTCATATACGAATACCTGCCTGGATTAGATTGGAGATTACTTCATGCTCCTTGAATTAATAGTTTGGTATTTATATTACTGATTCATTTCCTAAACCATAATCTCTGGGCTGATCAGGAATCTCTCGGCAGGTCCCACTGATGCACTGGTGCCATTTATGTCACACTTGATTCACATTCACTCTTACCATACAGAAGAAAAATTACTATAGAGGTATTTGAGAATAATTATTGGGTATTCCAAGTAAGTTGGGTATAATGATAAACAGCCAGACTGTTGAACTGGCAGCAACTCTGTTGTTTCTGCCCAGTGATTTCCACCTCCTGAAACATTTAAAACAATTAGACCCTTACAAATTTAATTTCCATTAAAAAATAATACTTCACTATTTTTCACTTATAATTAAGAGACATTTACCCTTTTTAATATACACATAGTATTTTCTAATGGCACTCCCAAGTAATAAAGTCAATAAATTTTTTAATGTGTAACTAAATATCAAGTAACTTTGAATGACACAATTAGAGAATGCATTTGACCAGAAGTTACCAAATTCCAGGTTGATTACTTTTGGGGGAAAATTTTGTCTTGGTTAAGGAAAACTGTTTTTATTTTTTTCCAGCTTTTAAGTTCAGGGATACATGTGCAAGATGTGCAGGTTTGTTACATAGGAAATGTATGCCATGGTGGTTTGCTGTAAAGATCATCCCATCACTTAGGTATTAAGCCCAGCATCCATGAACTATTCTTCCTGATGCTCTCCTTCCTCCCACCTCCCGCCCTCCAACAGGCCCCAGTGTGTGTTGTTCCTCCCATTGTGTCCATGTGTTCTCATCATGCAGCTCCCACTTATAAGAGAGAATATGCGGTATTTGGTTTTCCATTCCTGTGTTAGTTTGCTGAGGATAATGGCCTCCTGCTCCATCCATGTCCCTGCAAAGGACATGATTGGTTAAGGTCTTCTTAGGTGAATGAGACAGAAAAAGAAAAAAGCCTTAGAGAAAGAAGCCTATTGACAATGGATTAAGTAAAATTGTGGAATTATTAAAGGAACATAAGAATATCAATGAAAATGGCCATAAATGTAGACAACCACTCTAACAGTCTGTCTGAGGGCCTTTGGTCTTTTACTTATATTTCTCTCTTCACATTTGCATCATTCTTTTCTCCACAGATGAGGTTCTTCTGTGTATAAGTCAACTCTCACTAACTAGCCTAAAAAGTAAATATCCAAGTTCAAGATAAGAAATGTGAAAAGTATACAAAGAAGGAAAATAAAAGGAAATTTTACTGTCTGAGCAGTGTCTATTACAGATTTCTCAAAAGTCACTGGAACTGTGACATCTTGCTAAGTACTACCCTAGAGCTTGTTAAGCAAAGCATCTTAATGAATAACCTCACTCTTACGTTTCTATCTGCATAAAAGGCTCAATTTTTAATTAATGTTCAATATCTCTTGTGATATTAAACAGTAGCTCATAAGACATGTTCTCATCAATAATTAAAATAAAGCAACAATAAAAATAAAATGTAATAGATCTAATTTTAAAATAATTAATGGGCTGCAACAAAATCTAAGGTAATTAATTATCAAAAGCTAGTCAGAACAATTAGGGATATTACTGTATATTTGGCAGGATCTTACAAAATGACTGACATACATGTGCAGTATAAATTGGACAATCTGGAAATATGTACAAATTTCAGTCTTCCAAATAATAAGGTAATAGTTTAGTGATTCAATTTTTATTTTTTTTTAATGATCTACTTCTTTTAAAAAAGATTTTGAGGTCACATTATTGGCATTAATATTTTAGCAGTCAGAAAAAATAAAATATGGGAGGCAGAATATTAAAGCTATTCCCTAAAAAGCCCTTGCCTTTTGGTTATACAATCAAATGCCAATCTAGGTGCTGTTGTGAAGGGATTTTGCAGAGACAATTAAGGTTCCTAATCTGACTTTAAAATAGAGAAATTGGCTGGGTGTGACGGCTCATGCCTGTAATCCCAGCACTTTGGGAGGCTGAGGGAAGAGGACTGCTTGAACCCAGGAGTTCAAGACCAGCCTGGTCAACATAGTGAGATCTGGTCTCTACAAAATAAAAATTAAAAGAAAATTAGCCAGGCATGGTGCCGTGTGCCTATAGTTTTGGCTTTTGGGAGGCTAAGGTAGGAGTACTGCTTGAGCCCAGGAGGTTGAGGCTGCAGTGAGCTGTGATCATGCCACTGCATGCTAGCCTGAGCAAGAGAGTGACTCTGTCTCAAAAAATCAAAATAAATAAATAAATAAATAAATGAAATAGATTACCATAGATTATCCTGGTGAGCTAATGTAATCATATCAGCCCTCAAAAGTTCAAGAGAAAGTCAGAGAGATGTAGCAGAAGAGGAGGCAGAATAGATGTGATGGCATGGGAGTCTACACAACATTGCTGATTCTGAGATGTAATAGGCTACACATACGGACTGAGAAAGACTTCCAGAAGTGCAAGGTGGCCTCCAGATGACAGCCAGCAAGGAAATGGGATCTCAATCTTACAGCCACACAGGAATAATTTTGCCAACAACCTGAACGATCTTAGCAGCAGATTCTCCCCTACAGTCCTTGCAACTGTATAAACATTTTTATCATCTGCTGGTTAATTTTTGCAGAAAGCTGACTGAGATTTTGATAGGAATTGAATTGCAGCTATAGATCAATTGGAAATATTGCCATTTAAACAATAGGAAGTCTGTTATCCATGAACCTGGAAAGTCCCATTTCTCTAAGTTTTCTTTAGTTTCTTAGAATGGTGTGTTTTTAGGATATATGTTTCTCATATCTTTTATTAAGTTAATTCAAGAAAATATCTGATTTTTAAAATATTATACATTTTAAATTTCATTTTAAAAATGCTCATTGCTATTGTGTACAGAAATATAATTGATTTTTGTATGCTAATCTTGGGTCCTACAAGCTGTCTGAACTCATCTGTAAGTTCAAGTAGTTTGTGGATTTCTTAAGATTTACTATACATAAGGTCATGTCATATACAAGGAGAGATATTTTTACTTTTTTAAATCTGTATGCTTTTTATTTATTTATTTATTTTACCTAACTGACCTAGCTAGAACCTCTAGTACAAGGTTAACTGCAAGTGATGAGAGCAGATATCCTTCTCTTGATCCTGATTTTAGGGGAAAAGCATTCAGTCTTTCACTACCAAGTATGTTGTCACCTGTAGGTTTTGTTACCCTTTATTAGGATGATAAAGTTCTCTTTCACTCCAAGTTTACTGAGGAATTTTCATAAGGAAAGGGTATTGAAATTTTTCAAATGCTTTTTCTGTATCTTTTGAAATTATCATATTTTACCCTTTATTCTATTAATATTAACACTAATTTTCAAATCTTAAACCAGCTTTGCATTTCTCGAATCCCATTTGGTCCTGGTATATAATCTATGTTATATGTCGTTAGCTTTGGTTTGCTAGTATTTTGTTGAGATTTTTGCCTCTATATTCATAAGGGATATTGGTCTGTTGCATTCTTTTCTTGTAATGTTTTTATCTGGTTTTGAAATCAGGGTAATTCTTGCCTAATAGAATGAATTAGGCAGTGTTCTCTCCTTGTTTTTAAAATAGTTTGCAAACAGCTGGTATTAATTCTTCTTTAAGTGTTTAGTAGAATTAACCTTGAAGCTATCTGGGCCTTTCTTTGTGGAAAATTTAAAATTAGTAATTCAACCTCTTTAGTCTATTCAGATGTTTTATTTTGTTTTCTTGAGTCAGTTTTGGTAACCTCTGTCTATTAATTTGTATATTTCATCTAATTTGTTGGCATATAGTTGTTCATGATGGTTCTTATAATTCTTTTTGTTTCTGTAAGATTGAGTAATGATGTCCCCTCCTTTACTCTTGATTTTAGTAATTTGAGTATTTTGCTTTTTTTTCTTGGTCAAGTTAAACTTGCTGATTGCAATTTATTTCAAACTTCCGATTTCATGTATTTGCTCCATTGATCTTCTCTCTCTTTTTCATTAATTTCCACTCTAGTCTGTAGGATTCCCTTCCTACTGCTAACTTTAAGTTTAGTTTGCTACCATTTTCTGGTGTCTTTAGGTAGAAGTGTAAGTTATCTATGTGAGACTTCTCTTCTTTCTTAATATTGTATAGGTATATACAACTATTCTCTCTGAGCACTGCATTAGCTGCATAAATTTTGGTGTTTATGTTTTCATTTTCATTCATCTCAAAGTATTTTCTAACTTTACTTGTGATATCTTCCTGATGCATTGGTTATTCAGGAGTGTATTTAATTTCTACTATTATATTTGCATATTTTCCAAATTTCCTTCTGTTATTGATTTCTAATTTAATTTCCTTGTATTTAAAGAATATGCTTTGTATTATTTCATTCCTTTTAAATGTACCAAGGCTTATTTCATGAACTAGCATATAGTTCATAGTCCTATCCTAGAAAGTGGTCCGTGTGTGCTTAAGAAGAGCGTGTATTCTGCTACTGTTGGTTGAAGTGTTCTATAGATAATTGTTAGTGGGTTTATCATGTTGTTCATATCTTTTATTTTCTTACGGATCTTCTGCCTAGTTGTTCTGTCATTCTTGAGAATTGTTGTACTAAGTTCTCTAACTTTTATTGTTTGATTGTCTATCTGTCCCTTTTGTCAGTTTTTGCTAAGTTGTTTGTTGATAGATTGTCTGAATTTTCAGTACTTTGAACATGTCATTTCACTATCTAATGGTCTCTATTCTAATAAGTCAGCTGATAGTTTTGTTGGGGTTCTCTTTTACTTGATGAGTTGTTTCCACCTTACTGCTTTCAAGATTTTCTATCTTTGGCTTTCAACTTTATGACTATATGTCTGAGCGTGGTTCTCTTTGCATTTTTCCTACATGGAGTTTGTTGCATTTCTTGGATGTATGTTAATGTTTTCCATAAAATTAGGGAAGCTTTCAGGTACTATGTTTTTGAATATTTTTTCTGTCCCTTTCTCTTTTTCCTCACCTTCTGCTATTCTCAGTACTTCTGCTATTTTCAGTACTTTGAACATGTCATTTCACTATCTAATGGTCTCTATTCTAACAAGTCAGCTGATAGTTTTGTTGGGGTTCTCTTTTACTTGATGAGTTGTTTCCACCTTACTGCTTTCAAGATTTTCTATCTTTGGCTTTCAACATCATGACTGTATGTCTGAGTGTGGTTCTCTTTGCATTTTTCCTACATGGAGTTTGTTGCATTTCTTGGATGTATGTTAATGTTCTCCATAAAATTAGGGAAGCTTTCAGGTATTATATCTTTGAATATTTTTTCTGTCCCTTTCTCTTTTGCCTCACCTTCTGCTATTCTATTATGGGTATGTTGGTGCAGTAAATGGTGTCTGACATTTCTCTGGGGCCTTATTCATTTTAACTTTTTTCCTCTTGTTCTTCAAGTTACATATTCTATCTTTATGTACATCCAGTTTGTTGATTCTTTTTTTCTGCCAGCTCAAATCTACTGTTGAGCTCCTCTAGTGAATTTTCATTTTGGTGTTTGCACTTTTCAACTGCAGATTTTCCACTTGGTTCTTTTGAAATAGTTTCTCTTTCTTATGTTTTTTTTATTTGAGGAAGTATTGTCAGTGTCTTCCTTTGATTCTTTAAAGATTGTTTCCTTTAAGTCTCCAAACGTATTTTTAAGAGCTGCCTTGAAGTCTGTTTCTAAATGTACCATTTGGGGTCTGTCAATGGCAGTTTTTGTTGCCTGATAATTTTTCCTTGTATTTGTGTCACACATTTATGTTTGTTGTATGCCTCATAATTTATATTTTTGGCTGAAAACTGGACATTTTAGATATTGTAGCAAATCTTCATACGAATCCTAGCTGGTGGTATTGATAGGTCAGTTGTTATTTGCTTGTTAATCAGTTTGTTTGTTTAGTGACTCAGCTAAAATAATTCTGAAAACTCTATTCCCCCAGTGGTACAACTTCTGATATCCCTACTCAGATTTCTCTCCGCATTTTTTCTTTTAATCTGGCTACCTTTAGGTCATCCCTGGGCCAGCACAAACCACTTATTTGTCCAATGTTGTGCTTTAGTCCCCTTAAATTTGACCCTTTGTCATTGTATACGTAGTAGCTTAAAGCTGTACCATAGATCAGGGAGTGTTTTCCCCCTCATATTCAATCAGGGACTAATAGTTTAATACTTTGATCACTTCTGAAAGGATCCAGACTTGAGAATGCTCATGATCTTACAAATTGAGAAGGATGATTGTGGTTTTATTTTTAAGCCTGGCTTGCCAGGAGAGTCAACCCTGGGTCAAAGTAGCTTATTGTTTATATATTTTGTTTTTTGGTCAGAGGTTGTATTTAAGTCTCTTATGGCAGGTGCCCACTCCGTGTTGATGGATCCAAGTGTGGCTTTGAAAATGCTGTCAAATCCTGCTCTGATTGCTCCTGAGTGTAACCTAATGCATATGCACAATCTTCCCACCCCAAGAGTTGGCTGTTATCATGGCTATCTCTATTAAACTTTTGGCTGCTCTATTTTACTTGTGTCTTGGAGCTACCAACTTCCTTTTAATTGCTCTCCACCAAGATCTCCATTGTTCTTGACAAAGTCCTAAGGCATGGAGTTCCCCATAATCTGTCCCAAATAAAGTCAGTGTCCTCAGGTAAAGCTGTAGACCTCCTTATCTTATAACTTACCTTTCCCCTCAGGCATAACCACCACACCCTGCACTGGTGCAGGAGGCAGGGATTTGCTGTTTACTGAGTGTCACTCCCACTCTGGTGCACACTGGATACAGGGTGGGTAGCTTACCCTGGTCTTTTTGGCTTGCCTGTCTCATTGTGGCACTTCTATCCTATGAACAGGCTGAACCAGGGAGATCAGGCTCCCAATATTCTTGGCACACTGTGCCTGAAGCAGAGCTTCTGTACTATGAGTGTGGGTGAGTGGAGAAGAAGAACCAGTCCTCTTGGTCATATCTGTCTAAAATAGAACTTCTGCAACATGGGCCTGGGTGGGAGGAGAAACACTGGCATTCTACCCTCCTGGGTGAAACTGTGGCCCCCAGACTGGAAGCTGGAAGAAGAATTAGCTCCCAAATTCTTGACTGCATATGACCATAGTATAATTTCCATAACATGGAGCTGAAAGGGTAGGGAAAATAGTGTCTAAGAATTGGGTCACAGTGTAAATGCCACAGACTCTTTCTGTTCTTTCAAAAATTTAGTAAAATGTCTATTTATTTATCCAGCTTTATTTAGGCATAATTGGCAAAAATTGTATACATTCAAGGTGTACATGATGATTTAACATATGTACATATGTATACATTATGAAATGATTACCACAATGAAATTAACTAACATATCCATCACCATATGTAGTTACCATTGTTTCTGATGTGTGGTGAAGACACTTAAGATCTATTAGCAAGTGAAATAAGCCAGACATAGAAAGACAAGTACTACATAATCTCAATTATATATGGAATCTAAAAGCATTGAACTCATAGAAACAGAGAATAGAATGGTGGTTGCCAGGGGTTGAGAGATGGGAAAAATGGGAGAGATGTTGATCAAAGGGTACAAAACATTCATTCAGTAGGTTTCCTTGAATAAATATCTCTATTTGCTTAATGTCCTTAGGACAATTTCTAGAGACCTTTCCGTGACTGGGTTTTAAAAAAATTGTTTTCACCAGTTAAATTACTGTTTTCTCTCTTCTGTAAATCTGACCTTTCTTAGGTGATATATATGTATTTTTTAATCCACTGCACTTTAATAAAATTGTATTATTTTCCTTGGATTCTGAACCTACCTTGAAAATTACTAGTAGATATTGTCTGGGATAAATTTCCAATTAGATTCTTGTAGATAAATTGTTTTAGTTTCTCTGAGGAACAGTTTAGGTTCAAAATAGAGGAGGTGGGAGGGAAGTAAACCATTTATACTGGCAGCATTTCATATTGAATAATTTACATTAGTAAGTAAAGCTACACATATAGTTCTTAACAGAACATGGCATCTGTCTCTTCAGACAATGAAAAGCACCTTTTGGATGAGAATAATATATTGTGCTGCATCACTGGCTTTCCCATCTTGGCACCACTGTAAATTTAATTATGAGATATATGCAGCAGTTGCTAACTCCCATTAATGGAAATGGATGCATGAATGACCCACATTTTACTGAGTCTAAATAAACTAATACTCTATCACTAAAGCACACCCAGGCTATTTAAACCTTTCTCCCCTGGCTAAGCATAAGAAGAGTAAATTATCATAAATCAAAGCTCACTGATGTATATATGACAATAGAAGAAAATTATTAATATATGAATATTCCTGTTCTTTCCCCTTCTGTGTCTGCTAAGAAAAGCTTGTAAAAGGGTTTCTGTTAGAAGATTTTGTAATTGAGAATCAGGAGGATAATTTTGACTGGTGGACAAATAAAAGTACCGAAGGAAGGAAAATATTTTTTATTATAATTTTGAAGAGATTAATAAGGGACTAGCTGTTTGAATAGGAGAAAGGAAATGGACAGAAAAGATGAATTAAAAATGTTTCTATGACTTGAAATTCTTCTTTGTGATATAAGAACCGTATGTAAAGAAACTCAACTATTTTGAAATTTCTCTTTGGTCACCAGCCTGTATTTATTGAAATACAAATACAAAGTATATAAAATTATGCACTTTGGTCATTTCTTTTAATTAACTTCCAACTACCTTAAGAATAATATGAGCTTAATTTTTGTATTATCATTCTGGGGGAAAAAAATCTCAGGGGTATAGTATTTTTCAAACTGCATTGGTATTGAGAATCGTCATGAGAGACAAAAGCAGCATTGTCTTTTCAGCATCCTAGCTCAATGTAGGCTGTCTTTTCTAGTCACAAGTATTCAAGCAGAAGGGGAGAAAAAATAATATGCCCATTCCAAGCATATTCAAAATCCTAAACAATTATTTTACAGATTTTTATATGTAAACTATTGGAACTAAGACCTTCTGCAAGGTTGCCTACTTGGAGTTTACATGTGTCCTTAATGAGTTTGCATTTAAAATTCAAGTAATTGTTTACATATTATATTATATGAGTTTTACAAATTGTACATAAAATTCTTCTCATTATGGGGATTCTGGGTAGCAGGAGTGCATTGACTATATAACATTTGGAAGTGAGGCATCTAAATTAAACTATTTCCCACTGCATGTAGATATTTCTAAATTAACATTTAAATGTAAATTTTTAATAATGAGCTAGGCATCTTCTTTTCCTGCATAGGATAACGACTGTAGAGAGTTTAAACATATCAGGATAGTCGATGCTTAAGTTGATTACGGAGTCTGTTCATCTATGACTTCATATCACTTTTTGTGTATCTGTTTTACTTCAGTACACTTTTCTTGGTGTGTGTATGTGTGTGCATGTGTGTAATGTGTGTGTGTTTGAAACACAATAACCCATTCATTCATTCACTCACTCACTCATTCATTCATTCATATGTAATGTAATGAATACCTGGAAAATTCTAACTAGGATTGTGTCCCATTTATCCGCAGATCCATGGGTAGAATACACGCATTTTTCATTTCTAATTACACATATGCCTGCCACTTGTTAGAGTGGCTTCCATGCCTCCTATTTCCTTCAGTCTTTCTTTTAAGACTGTTCCTAGAAAGCAGCTACATAGGGAAATACAGCTAAAAGGGATGGCATCTCTTACGTTGGGAACAGGTGCAATATTTAGTACTGAATAAGGATTTAGAGTTCATCCAGGAACAAGGGTACACCTATAATAAGGCATAAGATTTATTCTGGGATGAGAACCAAAAGAAACAGCCAGATCACCATGATGAATCAGTAGTGCCCACAATGAAAGCCAAGGAGTTAAACTGAGCTGAGAAAAGGAAGAGTCAGAGAAACAGGAACTAGTTCTAGATTGAAGAACAATTAAAAATGGGAGCTACTATCTTAATTGTGCAGGCAAGTAAAGGACCTAGTGGAGAACTGTTAGACATATGTTTACTATCTTTGAGAGAACATATTTTAGGATAAAAGATGGGATTTAACAGAGCCTTCCTAAATTTATGCTAATAGCATTTCAATCTTTATGTTGGGTGGTATGATCAAAATTGTATAATTTTGATCCAATTTGAAAAATTGGAATTTACAATTTCAACCATTTTATATAATGTTCATAAAATTCTATAAACCTGAAAAACAACCCATACAGCAAAACAACTTAATGTTTAAAAATGTTAAGATTTCTAATTGTTTTGCCTTAAGAGCGAAGTGAATTTCTTCCTACATCAGCTTCCCTATATTATGGGCTGTGAAATCATTTATTATGTACTACACGGGAACATATTAAATGTGAGAAGTTCGTATGCTTTAGCACAAACTTTCCACAGTATAATTTTTTAATGGTTTTCTTGCAGTGTTCACGGAAGGTAACAAGCAAGAAGTTTGAAATTCATTTGTTTCTGAAGTGAAATGAATTTTTTTACAATTATGTCAGATATCCCTTATTATTCCACTTTAGAACTAGAATCAATAACTATAATATAATTGAAGAAAATTAATAATTTTTTAAAAATCTTATTTATAATAATTTTATATAGAATTATAAGTAATAACACATAAAACTGCAGCTATTGCTCTGTATAATTATACATTTTTCTCTAATTATACAGCTAGCTACATGGCTCAGTCTTAAATCAATGCCATGGCACAATAGGTCAATAGAAATGATGCTTCAACACAGATCACAATGTAGGTAGAGTTAATCAGTATAAGGAGTTACCAGCTAATTAAGTCCCTTTTCTGTGTTCAGTCTTTTGTAAAAAATCAAGGAATGTATGACTCAGAGGAAAACACACACACTCACACACAACCTTGATGAGCAGTACTGATTATTGAAAATAATCCACATAGTAATTAAAGATGTTTTTTTAAAAAGAAAGTCTGAGTGACCATAGAAGTTTAATAACAAACCTTAATTTCTTGCTTCAATTCAAATGTGTCCACATAGTGTCCAAAAATCTTTCTAAGAAAAGTTTTGTTTTTATTAAACAAATGTGTTAACAACTAAAGCTTGTTTTATGACGACCTAAATCAAGTTTCTCCACACGAAACTCATGCTAGGCACGCACTATTTTGGTCGACAACACATAACAGCAACAACAACGTGAATTCCTTCCAGGGCACGTTGAAAATGACAGATCGTATCACGTATATTATTTGCCCCCGAGTCCCCTCCCTGTGGCATGGGAATCTCTGGCACCATTTTACAAAGGAGCAGAGCTGGACTAAGTGGTTTGAGCAAAGGCGAGGAGTGACATAGGCAGGATTTGCGCCCAGCCCGGCCCTCCTGCTCCAGGGACTTAAACGTTTTCTTATTGAGACGACTGGCTATTTAGAGGACTTAGTCTGCAATACTTCACTTCTCCTGGAACCTCTGGAAGCCCCTGACCTGCCAGCGCTCATGTGGACTTCCTCCACACTGAACTCCTAGTTGAAAATGGCCACGCCCTGCCCTGCCCTGCGGACCGCAGAGGAGCCATTTCCACTGCTGGGGCCAGAGGGCGGCTCCAAGGGGACCCAGCTCCTGCAGCAGCAACCAGGGTATCCGGGCAGGAAGAACAACATGCGAGGGCTGGGCATGACCTGTCTAAAATGGACTGCAAAGGGGTTAACGCTCTGATCTTCTCTTTCAACCTAACATTGCTGTAACATTTACTTCTACTGTACAGTAGCTTTCCCTGCCTGCATTCTGATGGGCCTGTTTCTATACTTTTAACAGTGGAACTAAATCTCCAACTGGGTTAACTGGAGCATTGTGCTTTCCCATTTTCTCTCATCACAAATCTGTAACGATGAAGAGAGTCATTTAAAGAATGCACTGGGTCTCTAAATATTCCGATTTTGTGAAAAGTTATGTTTGATTTTAACAAGTTGCAGCGGTGGTTCTCAAAAGGGGCAACTTTAATCCCATCCCTCCACCACACACACGTGGCAGTGTTGGAAGACAATTTCTGGTTGTCACACTGAAGGAACAGCAGTGCCACAGGGATGCTACTAAACATTGTACAAGCACAGGATAGCCACTCCCGCCCACCCTCAGACCCTGCCCCACAACAAAAAATTATCTAGCTCAAAATGTCAATAGTGTGAGGCTGAGAAGCCCTGATTTTTTTTTTATTTTTTATTTTTTATTTTATTTTTTTCTGGGTCGGAGTCTTGCTCTGTTGCCTAGGCTATAGTGCAATGGTACGATCTTGGTTCACTGCAACCTCCACCTCCCGGGTTCAAGTGATTCTCCTGCTTCAGCCTCCCAAGTAGCTGGGATTACAGGTGCCTGCCACCATGCCTGGCTAATTTTTGTATTTTTTAGTGGAGAGGGGTTTTCACCAAATTGGTCAGGCTAGTCTTGAACGCCTGACTGCAGATGATCCACCCATCTCGGCCTCCCAAAGTGCTGGGACTACAGGCGTGAGCCACCACACCTGGCCAGCCCTGGGTTTTATTATGGGAATACCTGCTTGGCATTACTGTTTTCCACTGATCCCTAAGGAATCTCAGTAACTTAGAAGCACACTTAAACCATAAATACTTGTAGACCAACTAATCAGAGTCCTAATTTTATTAAAACTATTTTTTTGTTTTATACTTTAAGAGAATAAGACAAATGGTTTGTGTGTTTTCTTTTTTAAAAAGCTCACATCAGGAATTTCTGTTTAAAAATGTAAACAAATAACTAATCATGCCTAGCTTTTACACATTATACATCTGTAATATTCTATACAGGAGCTGATGCATAGAATAATTACCCAGGAACACTTCAAGAGAATCAGTTAACAAGGAGAGAGTCACTGTTAGCAGTGTAGTCTCATTATGAAACCAGGAACATTGAACGCTACAGTCTTGAAAGATTTTCAATAATGCAAGTTGAACTGAGACTTCTTCAGGTAACAACAGTGTGTTGACCAGAGAAATCAATTTGTCAGGACATTCAAATCTGGTAATCAAGGTTCTCAACTTGTTTCTATGACATTCAATCTATAAATTTTATTCTGCATAAGTAAAAATGATAGTGTCAAAAGAGCTCTTAAAACATCACCCAGGAGCAATTACCCTATATTTGCAGATACATGTGACTCTACCCAAATTTTGAATCTTTGGAAAAAGACATTACGAAAATTGTCTATACTGTTACGGTTTCTAATAATAAATTTCATGAAAAGACTGGAAATGCTTTTCCTTTTCCATTTCCAAATTGTGCACTTTACAAAATAGAGAATGAGTAGCTGATTGCAACCATCTCTGTAACAAGATGCTTTAAATAAAAGTATATGTGGAAAAGTCTGTATTTCATAAATACAACAAATAGCAACATACACTTATGAGAAAATAAAAGTTAAGGCTTTTGATATATCTTACTTTTTACAAAAGATTTACTTTTATAGTATAATAGATAAATAACAAAAATTCATGTAAAAAACAGTGGACAATATACTACTGTTTTCTGAAAGGTCTGTATGTTTTAATCTTCACACATTCTTTTTTTTTTTTTTTTAATTATACTTTAAGTTCTGGGATACATGTGCAGAACATGTAGGTTTGTTACATAGTTATACAAGTGCCATGGTGGTTTGCTGCACCCATCAACCCATCATCTACATTAGGTATTTCTCCTAATGCTATCCCTCCCTCAGCCCCCAACCTGCAAACATGCCCCAGTGTGTGATGTTCCCCTCCCTGTGTCCTTGTGTTCTCATTGTTCAACTCCTACTTATGAGTGAGAACACGCGGTGTTTGATTTTCTGTTACTATGTTAGTTTACTGAGAATGATGGTTTCCAGCTTCGTCCATGTCCCTGCAAAGTACATGAACACATCCTTCTTTATGGCTACATCGTATTCCATGGTGTATATGTGCCACCTTTTCTTTATTCAGTATAAAATTGACGGGCATTTGGGTTTGTTCCAAGTCTTTGCTATTGTGAATACTGCTGCAATAAACATATATATGCATGTGTCTTCATAGTAGAATGATTTATAATCTTTAGGTATATATCCAGTAATGGGATTGCTGGGTCAAATGGTATTTCTGGTTTTAGATCCTTGAGGAATTGACACGCTGTCTCTTCCACAATGTTTGAACTAATTTACACCCCACCAACCGTGTAAAAGTGTTCCTATCTCTCCACATCCTCTCCAGCATCTGTTGCTTCCCCACATTTTAATGATCACCATTCTAACTGGCATGAGATGGTATCTCATTGTGGTTTTGATTTGCATTTCTCTAATGACCAGTGATGATGAGCTTTTTTTCATATGTTTGTTGGCTGCATAAATGTCTTCTTTTGAGAAGTGTCTGTTCATATCCTTCACCCACTTTTTGATGAGGCTGTTTGTTTTTTTCTTGTAAATTTGTTTAAGTTTCTTATAGATTCTGTATATTAGCACTTTGTCAGATGGATAGGTTGCAAAATTTGTCTCCCATTCTGCAGGTTGCCTGTTCACTGTGATGATAGCTTCTTTTGCTGTGCAGGAGCTCTTTAGTTGAATTAGATCTGATTTGTCAATTTTGGCTTTTGTTGCCATTGCTTTTGGTGTTTTAGTCATGAAGTCTTTGCCCATTCCTGTCCTGAATGGTATTGCCTAGGTTGTCTTCTAGGGTTTTTATGGTTTTAGGTCTTATGTTTAAGTCTTTGATCCATCTTGAGTTAATTTTTGTATAAGGTGTAAGGAAGGGGTACAATTTCAGTTCTCTGCATATGTCTAGCCAGTTTTCTCAACACCATTTATTAAACAGGGAATCCTTTCCCCATTGCTTGTTTTTGTCAGGTTTGTCAGAGATCAGATGGTTGTAGATGTGTGGCATTATTTCTGAGGCCACTGCTGTGTTCCATTGGTCTGTATATATGTTTTGGTACTACTACCATGCTGTTTTGATTAATGTAGCCTTGCAGTATAGTTTGAAGTCAGGTAACGTGATGCCTCCAGCTTTGTTCTTTTTGCTTAGGATTGTCTTGGATATACAGGCTCTTTTTTGGTTCCCTATAAAATTTAAAGTAGTTTTTTTTTCTAATTCTGTGAAGAAAGGCAATGGTAGCTTGATGGGTATAGCACTGAATCTATAAATTACTTTGGGCAGTATGGCCATTTTCATGATATTGATTCTTCCTATCCATGAGCATGGAATGTTTTTCCATTTGTTTGGTCCTCTCTTATTTCCTTGAGCAGTGGTTTGTTTTTTCCTTGAAGAAGTCCTTCACATCCCTTGTAACTTGTATTCCTGGGGTATTTTATTCTTTTTGTAGCAACTCTGGATGGGAGTTCACTCATGATTTGGCTCTCTGTTTGTCTATTATTGGTGTATTGAAATGCTTGTGATTTTTGCACATTGATTTTGTATCCTGAGAGTTTGCTGAAGTTGCTTATCAGCTTAAGGAGATTTGGGGCTGAGACAATGGGGTTTTCTAAATATACAATCATGTCATCTCAAATAGAGATAATTTGACTTCCTCTCTTCCTATTTGAATACGCTTTCTTTCACTTGCCTGATTGTCTTGGCCAGAACTTCCAATACTATGTAGAATAGGAGTGGTGAAAGAGGGCATCCTTGTCTTGTGCTGGTTTTTAAAGGGAATGCTTCCAGCTTTTGCCCATTCAGTATCATATTGTCTGGGGGTTTGTCATAAATAGTTCTTATTATTTTGAGATATGTTCCATCAGTGCTTAGTTTATTGAGAGTTTTTAGTATGAAGGTGTGTTGAATTTTATCAAAGGCCTTTTCTGCATCTATTGAGATAATCATGTAGTTTTTGTCATTGGTTCTGTTTATGTGGTAAATTATGTTTATTGATTTCCACATGTTAAACCAACCTTGCATCCCAGAAATGAAGCTGACTTGATCATGGTGGATATGCTTTTTGATGTGCTGCTGGATTCGGTTTGCCAGTATTTTATTGAGGATTTTCTCATGGATGTTCATCAGGGATATTGGCCTGAACTTTTCTTTTTCTGTTGTGTCTCTGTCAGGTTCTGGTATCAGGGTGATGCTGGCCTCATAAAATGAGTTAGGGAGGAGTCCCTCTTTTTCTATTGTTTGCAATAGTTTCAGAAGGAATGGTATCAGCTCCTCTCTGTACCTCTGGTAGAATTTGGCTGTGAATCTGTCTGGTCCTGGACTTGTTTTGGTTGGTAGGCTATTAATTACTGCCTCAATTTCAGAATTTGGTATTGGTCTATTCAGGGATTTGACTTCTTCCTGGTTTAGTATTGGGAGGGTGTATGTGTCCAAGAATTTATCCATTTCTTTTAGATATTCTAGTTTATTTGCATAGAGTTGTTTACAATATTCTCTGATGGTAGTTTCTATTTCTGTGGGATCAGTGGTGTTATCCCCTTTATCATTTTTTATTGTGTCTATTTGATTCTTCTCTCTTTTCTTCTTTATTAGTTTGGCTAGTGGTCTATTTTGTTCATCTTTTCAAAAACCAGCTCCTGCATTCATTGAATTTTTGAAGGGTTTTTTGTGTCTCTATCTCCTTCAGTTCTGCTCTGATCTTAGTTATTTCTTGTCTTCTGATAACTTTTGAATTTGTTTGCTCTTGCTTCTCTAGTTCTTTTAATTGTGATGTAAGGGTGTCAATTTTAGATCTTTCCTGCTTTCTCCTGTGGACATTTAGTGCTATAAATTTCCCTCTAAACACTGTGTTAGCTGTGTCCCAGCAATTCTGGTATGTTGTGTCTTTGTTCTCATTGGTTTCAAATAACTTATTTATTTCTGCCTTAATTTTGTTATTTACTCAGCAGTCATGCAGGAGCAGGTTGTTCAGTTTCCATGTAGTTATGCGTTTTGATTGAGCTTCTAAATCCTGAATTCTAATTTGATTGCACTGTGGTCTGAGAGACTGTTATAATTTCTGTTCTTTCTCATTTGCTGAGGAGTATTTTACTTGCAATTATGTGGTGAATTTTAGAATAAGTGCAACGTGGTGCTGAGAAGAATATATATTCTGTTGATTTGGTGTGGAGAATTCTGTAGATGTCTATTAGGTCCACTTCGTCTGGAGCTGAGTTCAAGTCCTGAATATACTTGTTAATTTTCTGTCTTGTTGATCTATCTAATTTTGACAGTGGGATATCAAAATCTCCCATTATTATTGTGTGGGAGTGTAAGTCTCTTTGTAGGTCTCTAAGGACTTGCTTTATGAATCTGGGTGCTCCTGTATTGTGTGCATATATATTTAGGATAGTTAGCTCTTCTTGTTGAATTGATCCCTTTACCATTATGTAATGCCTTTTTTGATCTTTGTTGGTTTAAAGTCTGTTTTATCAGAGACTAGGATTGCAACCCCTGCTCTTTTTTTTGCTTTTGATTTGTTTGGTAAATATTCCTCCATTCCTTTATTTTGAGTCTATGTGTGTCTTTATATGTGAGATGGGTCTCTGAATACAGTCCATCGATGGGTCTTGACTCTTTATCCAATTTGCCAGTCTGTGTCTTTTAATTGGGGCATTTAGCCTGTTAACATTTAAGGTTAATATTGTTACGTGTGAATTTGATCCTGTCATTATGATGCTAGCTGGTTATTTGGCCCATTAGTTGATGCAGTTTCTTCATAGAGTCAATGGACTTTACAATTTGGTATGTTTTTGCCATGTCTGGTACCTGTTTTTCTTTTCCATATTTAGTGCTTCCTTCAGGAGCTCTTGTAAGGCAGGCCTGGTGGTGACAAAATCTCTCAGCATTTGCTTGTCTGTGAAGGATTTTATTTCTCATTTGCTTATGAAGCTTAGCTTGGCTGGATATGATATTCTGGGTTGAAAATTCTTTTCTTTAAGAATGTTGAATATTGGCCCCCACTCTCTGCTGGTTTGCAGGGTTTCTGCGGAGAGAGACCCACTCTTAGTCTGATGGGATTTCCTTTGTGGGTAACGCAACCTTTCTCACTGGCTGCCTTTAATGTTTTTTCCTTCATTTCAATCTTGGTGAATCTGACAGTTATGTGTCTTGGGGTTGCTCTTCTCAAGGAGTCTCTTTGTGGTGTTCTCTATATTTCCTGAATTTGAATGTTGGCATGACATGCTAGGTTGGGGAAGTTCTCCTGAATAATATCCTGAAGAGTGTTTTCCAACTTGGTTCCGTTCTTCCATCACTTTCAGGTATGCCAATCAAATGTAGGTTTGGTCTTTTCACATAGTCCCATATTTCTTGGGGGCTTTGTTTGTTCCTTTTCATTCTTTTTTCTCTAATCTTGTCTTCACACTTTATTTCATTAAGTTGATCTTCAATCTCTGATATCCTTTCTTCTGCTTGATCGATTTGGCTATTGATACTTGTGTATGCTTCACGAAGTACTCGTGCTGAGTTTTTCAGCTCCATCAGTTCATTTATGTTCTTCTCTAAACTGGTTATTCTAGTTAGCAACTCCTCTGGCCTTTTTTCAAAGTTCTTAGCTTCCTTGCATTGGGTTAGAACATGCTCCTTTAGCTTGGAGGAGTTTGTTACTACCCACCTTCTGAAGCCTACTTCTGTCAATTTGTCAAACTCATTCTCCATCTAGTTTTGTGCCCTTGCTGGTGAGGAGTTGTGATCCTTTGGAGAAGAGGCGTTCCAGTTTTTGGAATTTTCAGCCTTTTTGCACTGGTGTTTCCTCATGTTCATGGATTTATCTACCTTTGGTCTTTGATGTTGGTGACCTTCGAATGGGTTTTTTGAGTGGATGTCCTTTTTGTTGATGTTGATGCTATTCCTTTCTGTTTGTTAGTTTTCCTTCTAACAGCCAGGCCCCTCTGCTGCAGGTCTGCTGGAGTTTGCTGGAGGTCCACTCCAGACCCTGTTTGCCTGGTTATCACCAGCAGAGGCTACAGGACAGCAAAGATTGCTGCCTGTTCCTTCCTCTGGAAGCTTTGTCCCAGAAGGCCAACTGCCAGGGTGCCAGCCAGGGCTCTCCTGTATGAGGTGTCTGTTGACCCCTGCTGGGAGGTGTCTCCCCATCAGGAGTCATGGGAGTCAGGGACCCACTTGAGGAGGCAGTCTGTCCCTTAGCAGAGCTTGAGCACTGTGCTGGGAGATCCGCTGCTGTCTTCAGAGCTGGTAGGCAGGAACATTTAAGTTGGCTGAAGCTGCATCCACAGCTGCCCCTTGCCCAAGGTGCTCTGTCCCAGGGAGATGGGAGTTTTATCTATAAGATCCTGACTGGGGCTGCTGCCTTTCTTTCAGAGATGCCATGCCCAGAGAGGAGGAATCTAGAGTGCCAGACTGGCTACAGCAGCTTTGCTGAGCTGTGGTGGGCTCCACCCAGTCTGCACTTCCCAGGGACTTTGTTTACACTGTGAGGGGAAAACCATCTACTCAAGCCTCAGTAATGTTGGATGCCCCTCCCCCAACCAAGCTCAAGCATCCCAGGTTGACTTCAGACTGCTGTGCTGGTAGTGAGAATTTCAAACCACTAGGTCTTAGCTTGCTGGGCTCTGTGGGGTGGGATCTGCTGAGCAAGACCACTTGGCTTCCTGGCTTCAGCTCCCATACCAGGGGAGTGAACGATTCTGTCTTGCTGGCATTCCAGACAGCACTGGGATATGAAAAACAAACTCGTGTAGCTAGCTTGGTGTCTGCCTAAAAGGCTGCCCAGGTTTGTGCTTGAAACCCAGGGCCTTGGTGGTGTAGGTCTGTGGGTTGCGAAGACCATGGCAAAAGCGTAGTATCTGGGCCGGATTGCACCATTCCTTGGGACACAGTCCCTTCACGGCTTCCCCTGGCTAGGGGAGGGAGTTCCCCAACCTCGTGAACTTCCCAGGTGAAGCGACACCCCACCCTGCTTCGGCTCGCCCTCCACGGGCTAAACCCACTGTCTAACCACTCCCAGTGAGATCAGCCAGGTATCTCAGTTGGAAATGCAGAAATCACCCACCTTCTGCGTTCATCTTGCTGGGAGCTGCAGACTAGAGCTCTTCCTATTTGGCCATCTTGCCATCCACCCAATCCTCACACATTCTTAAGAAGTTTCCATCTTCAGAGTTCAAGAAGCATTTAGGCCTTTTAAGCTGCTTTGAAATTTGAAACTATTCAATTTGTTAAACAAGGCCGCTAAACTTTGCTTAGAGCAATATGCTTTAAGAATCTTTGTTAATCATTTGTAGATTTAAATGTCATATCATAGGTAACATTTACATGGTAATTAACAAAACTATGTGAAATCTTCCTTTCCTTAACTTAACTGCCATTACCTTTTTTGTTAAATCAAGTAGCATATTACTTGGCAAGATATTCCCTTTTATTCTAGTTGGAAAGATAAACAGAAATGTATTAAGACTAATCTGCGCTATAAATCCTAAATTTTTGCTTAATCTTGTGAAGCCCACCATTGCATAGCACATTTATGACATCTTCCAGCATGTAATTTCAATTACAATGTTATGACTCTTGAAATTGGCATTTGGGAAGTTGCATGCAAATGTGAATAATTTTTGGAGTACACAAATATATTTAAATATTTTACTGTAAGAAAAAAATTTCTTTGGAATTGATGTTTGATTAATCCTAAATGACCCCCACCAAACCTTACATTTTTTATATTTCAGATTTTTTACATTTTTTATATTGCAGATTCCATTGGCATTTAGTTTCTCTTTCTTCTCAATATCTTCCTAACTCTACTTTGCCGTCCCTACATATTCTAATTGTGTTGACTACAAGGGTCAGAGGAAGCAGTGATGTTTTTGACTAAGATATATGTGCAAGAAAAAAACCACAGGGTTAATTTAAATAAATAGATCTGCATTAATTATGAAATATCACATACATAGAATCATTTTTGGTCAAAAACATATTTTGTTTCAAGTTAAGTAGAATAATAACAGTTGCAGTGAGGATTTGGACAAATGTAAACTTTTTTGTGGAAATTATGTGATAGCTTTCTTAATTTAAACAAGTATTTCTCAAATCTACTACTGATATTTGATACCAGATAATTACCTGTTGTTGGAGTTGCCCTGTGCATTGTAGGATGTTTAGCGGCATTCCTCACTTCTACCCTCTAGATGTCAGTTTCATCTCCCCAGATATGACAATCAAAAATATCTCTAGACATTGTCAAATGTTCTTTGAGTTGCAAAGTCACTCCCAGTTGAGAACCACTGGTTTCAACAACTATATCCATATGCAAATGCATTTATTATTTTAAACGTTGAGGAGGGAAGAAAGGATAAAGGAAGAGAAGGAGGGTTGGAAGGAAGGAGATACAGAGAAGAAGAGAGGGAGGGAGAAAGAGATAGGGAGATAGAAAGATGTTACCAACAAAGCATTGCACACTTTCTATCTACTGCCTTTGTTTTTATTAGTTCTTGCCAAACACACATTTCATTAGTTCTGATATACAAGCTAATAGTGAATAAGAGCACAGGTTCCAGAGTCTGGCCAAATATCAAATTCCAGTTCCAGCATATGCCAGCTTTGCAATTCTTTGATCTTGGGAAGGATATTTAACATCTTTAATCCTCAGTTTCTTCATTTGTGAGCATGAGATTATAATAGTTTGGTATATGGAGTTGTGGTTACAAATGAGTTGATGTGTATAAAGTACTTAGGAAGGTGCAGAGTAAACTCAAGACCATTTCTTATACATAACATCATCAACTTCATCATCACTGATGAGACAGAATCCTATTTTTAAAAAAATAAAGATGCCATATTTTAAAAAAAAATATATATATATAATTAGGAAGAACATAAAAATGATTCAATATTAATGTTTTCCATGTATCACTAAAATAAAAATTATTTAGCTCTAACAGGCCAATACTTTTAAATGTATTAATGCACATAAATAAATCTTCATTTATTTGAATTGATTTTGTGGGAGGCAGTGTGGAATCTTAAGTGGGTCTACTTGGTAAAAGATAACTTTCAGTGCTAAAATAGATATTTTTCTTGTCATATACAATATATTTATTAACTCTAAAAGTTCAGCACTCAGAATTATTTGAGCAGTGACAATTATGCCCTAGGGTCGAAGTATTTTAAGTGTTTATAAACTATTTCATATCCAACAAAACATGCTCCTAATAATAGACATCAGCTTAAAATCACTATAACACAATTGTTTGCCTGACCCTCACAATCTGTGTGATTGCATTTCTAAATTAAAATATCTAATGACTATAATTCCAAGACAAGCTCAGGAATGAGCATCTTCCAAGTCTTGATACAAGTAATGTGATACTGGGACGACTGAGGCTAATGCTGAATATTGGTAATACCTGATAAGAGACATTAGGAGTGTAGGACCCAGGAGTGTTTGCTTGCAGCCAAGACCCTGAGTGTGTGCATGCTTGAAACACTAACCCATCTGTGTATGACTTCAACAGAATACAACTTACAAAATATCAAGTTCAATAATTTGTATCCATCCAATGTTTTAAGTGTGTACTCTTAGTGAACTGGTAGTGTCAATTTAAAAGCTCAGTATTGAAAAAGACTGTTTTCACTTAGAACAGAGACTGATTATTTAAATTACAAAATAATACACTATAATAATTGTAAATGTAAAGCAACCTAGTTACATTGACATCAAAATACAAATTAACTAATTCAGAAAACAGATGTTGAATGCCTATTACTCCTCAGTACTGTAGGCACCTGTGGATAATTCATTGAAGAACAAAATTGTCCTTGCAGAATTCACCTATATAATTGTACCTGTTGGGTGAATTATCTATTTTCTTGTTCTCATAGAAGTTATACGTTATAAAAAAAACTGGCCACAAACAGAAGGGCTTCTTTTTATACAAAACATTTCTTTGAGAATTTCAATCCTTTTCTACTCTCTTATTGTATCTTAATTTCAAAGACATATTTTTAAAAAATTACTTAATTATCCATCTTGGACCTTTTGTCAATAGAAGTTATTCAGCTTAAACTATTTTGCCAATACTAGCTTTGAAACTACACATAAATAAGTTCCCAAATTCAAAGCAATCTCAAATAAGGTTTTTGCAGAGATGACAGGAACACAAAGAAAAACAATACATTCAGTTTTCCTTAGTGACCCTGTTGGATATGTTAACCAAGCTAAATTGAATTATTTACATTTCATTTATCCCTTCAACAAATATTTATTAAATGCCTCCTCTTTTGTGACTATTTTAAATAGCAGCCATGAGAAAAAGAAGAATGAATTTGTCCTTAACTATCTACCTTATTACCATAATTTAAGGCTGTATAAAACTTTATAAAAAGAATTCACTTGGAGTTTGTGAGATAACTGTACAAAATTATTCCCACAATTTGAACTAAGGAGGCTGGAAAAAAAAAGAGATAAGAGGTGTAGAGCATCACTGGGTAGGTCTCCAAATCAGCCAGTGTGTGATGAAAAATGCCTGTAATTCTAAGGCAAGCCCAGGAATGAGCATCTTCCAAGTCTTGCTATAAATAATGTGACACTGGTATGACTGATACAATGCTGAATATTGGTAATGCCTGATGAGACTTTTTTTTGATGATGGAAATTATTGTATTTCTTGAAGAGAGAATAGAATATATGTTTGCTACTGACAAGTCCATAATTGCATAAATTCAATATTCTGTTAACTTAAACCAGTTCCTCAATGCTGAATTCTATACTGTTTTCTGTAAACTCTACTGCAAATGTAGTATATCTTTTCATTAGCATGATTTTCTCAAAAAAGCTAGCATCGATTACACATGGCAAGCATGAGATCTTGGAAAGAAGCCAAAATATCTCTAATCTTTCCCAGTAAAGAAGTTTCCCAGGTACCTGCAATGTTGTCCATTATAGTTGTCACTACTCTAGAATCAACTAGTTTGCTTGTTTGTAGCTATTCCTCAGTCACCCCTGGATGATAAACCAAGGTCAGTCCTTGCTGAACACTTGTTGGTTCTCCCAGGAGGTATTTCCTTTCTTAGAGGGTAACCTACTTTTCTTACCCCTCTTGTACCTCCTGGATGTAACTACTCTTTTACCATGGCTGTACTTCCTGGAGGTTATTGGATGACTATATTATTTCACCAAAGGCCTGTTTTATATAAGTCTTTATTCAAAATAGCACAATGTGGCCACCCACGGTAGCTCACACCTGTAATCCCAGCACTCTGGGAGGCTGAGGTCGGCAGATCACTTGAGGTCAGGAGTTCGAGACCAGGTTGGCCAACATGGTGAATACCCGTCTCTACTAAAATATACAAAAATTAGCCAGATGTGGTGGTACATGCCTGTAGTCCCAGCTACTCAGGAGGCTAAGGAAGGAGAATTGCTTGAACCCAGGAGACAGAGTTTGCAGTGAGCTGAGATTGCCCCACTACACTCCAGCCTGGGTGACAAAGTGAGACTCCATCTCAAAATAAAAAAAAATACACAAAATAACAATGTCTGAGGATTTCAATAAAAATAATACATATTTAGATATTCTTTCCTGTTTCTCTGATTTTGTTAACACTATTCCATTCACCTTGAATGCTTTTTCTTTCCTTTTCTCCCATTGTTCAAAAACATTCCAATTTCCACTTCTCAACTAAAATTAGTTTCCATGAGTCTTCCATAGTTATCCAATTTCCACAGTGACTTTTATCTGAACTCTAATAATAGTTTGTGTACCTGCCATGCAACAAATGCCTATTCAGGTAATGTTACTAGGTTCTGTGTCAGGTGTTACATCTCATATTTGACAATGTTATACCGTCTTATGAAAATGCTTCCATAATTATTTTGAAATGCATATATTGAAAGTTCTACTGTTAGCTGGGCTCAGCGGCCCACACCTGTAATCCCAGCACTTTGGGAAGCCGAGGCAGGTGGATGTCCTGAGGTCGGGAGTTTGAGACCAGCCTGGCCAAAATGACAAAACCCTGTCTCTACTGAGAATACAAAAATTAGCCGGGTGTGGTGACACCTGCAGTTCCAGCTACTCAGGAGGCTGAGGCAGGAGAATTGCTTGAACCCAGAGTGGGATGTTTCAGTGAGCTGAGATCCCAACATTGCACTCAAGCCTGGGCAACAAAGTGAGACTCTGTCTCAAAAAAAAAAAAAGAAAAAAAAAAGTTCTAGTGTTTATTTATTCTTTCTGGTATCTATCACCTCATCCATTATCTAAAGTTAATTTCTTTGAATGTTAGAGTCATGTACTATATTTCATTGCATTTCCCCATAACATCTTATGCCAACCTTGCCCCCAAATATGTATTTAACATGCTTATATAAAAATATTGAATAGAGTGAAAATTTGGCATTTAATTTTTGTCTTATGTAGAAAAACACAAAACTTTAGAATTAAAAGTACACAGACTGTCTCTAAGTTAAGAGACTATAATTTTGTACACCACTTGGTCAATTTAAAATGACCTGTTGATAATGAGTTAGACATCCCAATTCTGTTCCCAATAATGTTCTTTTTCATTACAGTTTCTGATTTGATATTAAAGAATAGAAATTGCACAAAGTTTCCCTCCTGAGTGAGTGAAAGTATACTTATCAGGTAACAGCAAGACAAGAGAAGTGCTGGCAAGAACTCCCTACCTCTCATTAAGACCTAGTCCTTCCCTGCGTGCACTGCCCTACTCAGCTACTATGGGCCCACTTACATGGTCTGTGCAGACCAACCACAGAACCTACCATGACATACATTAATATTTAATATTTTCTGTCAGTCCAGTTCTTTTAACCGAACAAATGAAACATCATTAATATTTAATACACCATTACTTTAGATTTACCTACATATTTACTAATATCTTTGCTCACTATTCCTCTTGCATGTCAGGAAAGCTAGTTGACATCATTCTCCTTCCACCTGAAGTACAGCCTTTATACTTTTTCTTTCGTGAAGGTCAGTTCATGACAACTTTTCCTAGTTTGAGTTTGAATGCAAATATCTTTACCCTGTAAACATCGCAGAGAGGAGAGGAATAGTGCTACTCTGAGAAATATACGAAGCTAGATCAATTTCACTTGATAGGAGGTCTTTCTCCTTATCATTACTGAGGAATACTCTCCAAGACGAAGAGAGCTAGGAAAATTCTCTTCTGGCATCTCTTTTATATACAATATCCAATAATGTTGGCCAAAGCTTTGTAAATGTATTTTTTTTCTTTTAAACTGCTGTCACCAGATTTGCATTCAAAATGCAATAGAAAATGACTATCTACCAGTGACCAGTTAATCTGATATTATGGTATTGTAATTGCCAAGAACTTTTGCAAACATGAATTTAAACTGTCTCTTATTTTAGGGGAGAAAATGCCTATGTGCTACATAAATGTAGGCCTGGTCAAAAACCTTTGAAAAGACTGATGTATTTAATCAATTATGGAATGAATCTGATGTCTACCTATCTGAATAACCATCTTAATCATTAAAAAAAAAAAAGGAACAAAGAAAAATTAACTTGTCCTAATCAATTTACATATCTCCCTACAAGTTGATTTGCAAGTTTTTCTTCTCCTGTTTAATGGATGAATGCATCACACCCAGAGGGCACAGAATTCTCTTTGCTGCTTGCTCAGCGATCTGTATCTTCTCAGTGTTCAGTTGAAGTGTCCGAGTCAGGAAAACTCGAGCCTGTGCAGGAATAGCAGACACCGCAGAAGATTTTAATTCATAATGACGTTCATTTTTTTTTTCTTTTGGTTTTTGAGTGAAGCCAGTAAGAAACTACAAAAAGATGGAGATGGGGACAGGGGTAGGAGCAAGTGTTCTCCCATCAAGAAATCTAAATAGACCCCACTGAATCATGAGGCAAGAATGCATTGCGTATCCTTAGCAACTCAGTAACCACCTAAAGATGTACGTTTTGTGGAATAAATGAACAAATACATTAATAACTTTTATGAGTAATTATTCAGTACTCTGCTAGGCATCAGAAGCACAAAGGAAGAGACAGACCAATAAATACCAACTTTTGAAATGCTTTTGCCATTTAAACTTGAAAATGTGAAATTTCATCAAGATATTATCTATCATTCAAAGAATAATGAGATTTCCCAGTGCACTACAAGCTATTTTATCTACATTACCACTAATTATCACACTAGTTCATCAAGGTAGTATTACTGCCCATGTGATAAGTGAGAAAATCAAGGTTTGAGGCTCCTCTATCCATGGGCTTCTGGCTGAGTACAAACAGCAGGAAGCAGTGACTGGAAAGAAGACATGCAATTTTTTCTTCTTCATTCCTACCATTGTCAGCACCTCTGGCCACTGCTGCATCCATGGCTTTAGCTGTCAGAGGACAAACTGGCCACCAGTACTATAGCGTTTTCCCTTTTTGTCTCCAGCCTGGAGGTGAATGGCTTTCCATTGTCAGTAAATGAAGTTTTGCAAATGTATTTTTTTTTCTTTTAAACTGCTGTCACCAGATCGATGTTACTTCACCATCTATTATTTACTTTTAAGTTTTTCCACCAACAGTGTAAAAATGTCCTGCCTTGATTTCCATCTATTTAAATACTCAGAGTGGTTACTGTTATTTTGCATGAATCCTGACTAAAACACCTATAGTCTTTATATCACATCATACTATTTCAAATATAACCTTACAAACTGTTGATATTACTTTGTTATTTTTTGTTTCCAGGACTGTTTTCTCCTCAACTATGAACATCTTGAGATTAGAGACAATATATTTTCATTTCTGAATTCCTCACACCTATTACATGGGCAAATACATTATAGATATTCATTAAATACTTGTTGAAGAAATAAAATAATACATGAGTGAGTGAATGTAATGCTGCAATAAGATATGAAATGAAAATATTAAAAAGTCAACTTAGTTCAAAGAAATCTTCCTAGAGTTAAAATGCCTGGGCTGAGCTTCAAAAGGTAAGTAAGCATTTTTCTGGTGGATGGGAATAAGATCTCATAGCAAAAGTATTTCAAGTAGTGGGAACAAGATATATGAAACTGAAGAGCCATTGAATGATTGACACTGATCCAGGAAGTCTTGATTCAGCTAAAATCTAGGGTTCATAAGAAGAAAGGCTGGAAGATGAGGTTGGTGAAATAGGGAACTTATGCTGTCTTTCTAAGGAACTTGTAATTCATAAGATAAGTTTAAGCAAGGGACTGAATATTCAATTTGCACTTTATTAGTAAGATGGCTTTTCTGACTGAATGGATTATAGATTGGAATGAGTTAGATCAGGTGACGAAAAACAACTTGTGTGATTATTACCTTACCTTACTGAAGTTTTATTATAGGCAGAACTAAGTCAGGAGGAGTTTGGATGGACAGAAGTAGGTGAATTCTGGAAGTAGTTAAGGGTTAAGAATAATTTGAACTTGGTGACATGTTTTGGGTCAGGGAAGGGAAAGGAAATATTCTTGTGTGGTTTCAGGAGGCTAGCCTAGTTTAGGTTACTATATGGAAGGTGACATAATTAAACAAGACAGACTGAAGGAATAATAGATTAGGGTAAAATATGATAAGCTCATAACAGGAACAGACGACCAAACACCACATATTCTCACTTATAAGTGGGAGCTGAGCAATGAAAAGACGTGGAGACAGGGAGGGCAACAACACACACTGGGGCGTGCCAGTGGGTGGGGTGAGGGGAGAGAGAGCATTAGGAAAAATAGCTAATACATGCTGGATTTAATACCTAGGTGATGGGTTGATAGATGCAGCAAATCATCATGGCACATGTTTACCTATGTAACAAACCTGCACATCCTACACGTGTACCCTGGAACTTAAAAATAAAAATTAAAAAAATGTGATGAGTTCAGATTTGGTTCATGAATTTGACATGTCTGTGGGGGCACCTATGTGAAATACATAGGAAATAGTCAGAAATACATAGCTGGATCTCAGGAGAGAAAGAAAGGTAGCAGCAAGTGTCGGGGGCAAGGAGGTGGTAACTGCAGTGGAGAGGAGGGCATAGAAAGATAGTAAAATAAGAAAAGCAAGGCAGAAAATGGAAGCCCAGGGAAGAAGAAGCACTTCCTGTTTCTTGGGGGCTTCTGGGGTACAAAGACAGAGAAAAGTTGATGAAGCAGAATTTGCAGGTGGCAATAAGGCTCAAGGTAATTCAGGAGACACTGTAGTATGGTCAAAGGGAATCAGTAGTTAAAATGCTCTAGATTGGACAAATAAGATGAGTAATAAGCTTTCATTGTAAATACAAAATAAAAGTACTGTTTGTAAGTGGTTTTTGTTTGTTTTGTTTTGTTTTTTTCTTCCTTCAGGAAACTTCTGTGAAAGAAATGAAAGCCATGTCAATCCCTAAAGGGTAAAAATCTTCTTATTTTAAAGAAATGACAATAGTGGGTCCCTCCCTTATTTAGCCGAGGCTTCTATAATAAAAATAATTGAGAACAAATAATTGTGAGAAAATGTGCAAGACAATATGTGTTTTGAAGTGTTTCTACTTTTCTCCTTGAACTGACATCAGAATTCCCAATGTAGTCTAGGAAAAGTACTTAGGACTGTTTGGGTCATCATCGCCTGGGCAGGGACAGAGCATTCAAAATCAAGGTGAATGAGCTCTGAAAAGCGACTGCTTTTGCCAATTCATTGTCTGCATTTTGGCAACGTATTTAGCCTAGTGTCATTCTCTCTAGGGCGTGAAATGGAGAAACTAATCTAAATTGGTAGAAAAGCAAGACACAACATTAATCCTGCCACAATAAGTGAATACGGTACCTATCCAAAGCAAATATGATTTATTTTTTTTAGGCTGACTCAGTGCTGTTTTCCGTACTTATAAAAGGAGAAAGTATCTAATAGCATTTCGGATCCCTATCTCATTTTTTTTTTAAATCGTAAAACCAAAAGAAAATCAACTTTTAGCCAACAGTGCTTCTATGACTCACTTATAGACCAAGTTACCTTAACATTCAGACACACTAAGCTAATTATTTATTTAAAAGAACTTTTCCTTGATCATGGAAAACAGTAATTCTACAACATCAGTCCTATTTCATAAAGTTCCTCCTCAAAATCTTTACCATGTCATTCCCAGGTTCATGTATAAATGGATATAAATGGTTGAATGTCTCAGACTGAAAAATAACTTATTTCCCATTTTTATGCACAGTAATATGTAGAAAGGAAATTGGCCTCATGCTATAGTTAGTTGCCAGTGCACAACTGCTGTCCAGGTTTCTAAAACAGACAAAATGGCAGTCCAGAAACACCCTGATTCACCGTGTCAGTTTCTGATCAATTAAATTGAGCTAAAGTTAGACTTAGAGAGCTGAACAGGACAGTATGTTCAATACTTACCTAGCTGAAAAAGCTCCCAGCGAACCTGGCAATTAGTTTCCACAGGTGGTAGTATATGTTGAATGGATTACACAAGTGTCTTCAACTTAGGCTATAGAGGTATAAATCAAACACACACACGTGTATGTATATGTGTGTGACCTTTACAAGGTCATTTAAATGATCTTGTGAAGAAATATCTTGACCCATCTCCTAAATAAATTGAAAGATCTTACTACAGGGCTTGTGTCATGTGTAGCTATGCTTCCTCACGGATCCTGCTATGACATAATTCAAAACAGAGAGCTAGTAAATGTCTGAGGCTGAATTGTGGGTGCAGGCATATGTTCCTGAGTCTAACCATGAAGTTCACTGCAATTTCTTTAGAGTTGGAGAAGGAAGCAAGGTGATATGGTTTGGCTTTGTCCCCCGCTAAATCTCATCTTGAATTGTAGATCCCGTAATTCCCGAGTGTTGTGGGAGGAACTCGGTGGGAAATAACTGAGTCAGGAGGGTGGGTCTTTTCCATGCTATTCTGGTGACAGTGACTAAGTCTCACGAGATCTGATGGTATAAAGGAAAGTTTTCCTGCACAAGTTCCCTTCTGTTTTTTGCCACCATGTGAGATGTGACTTTCATCTTCTGCCATGGTTGTGAGGCCTCCCCCGCCACATGGAACTGTGAGTCCATGAAACCTCTTTCTTTTGTAAATTGCCCAGTCTTGGGTATGTCTTTATCAGCAGCATGAAAATGGACTAATCCAGAAGGCATGGATATGCAAACTTTCACTTTTGTTCTTTACTTGAGTGTCAGGAAAATATGATGTTGTGGATGGATAGAAGACAAGAGAGATGAAGATTTGTGTCACCATAGTAAAAATTCTAGAAGGCTATGGTGTCTCATATTGGTCTCAGAATTCTAAATCAAATAAAGCACTAAAACAAATGTATTAAACACTCAGAAACCTAAATTTTAGCTGCTTCCTAAGATTGTGAACAGTGTTTTCTCATGATCTTCCTGAAAGCAATTGACAATGCGTTACATTCAACTTGAAGAAATAAGTATTTTCTTCCCTTAAAAAATTTACCAATTTAATTATCATCCAAGGTAATCAATTTTCCACTACTACAATCATCCATTAGCTCTTCAGCTCTTTCTTATTACAATCATTCTCAATGAATCCAACATTCATAACAACACTCTTTGTTTCCCTATTTAGGGAACAGTTCATGCCAAAAATGTAAGGTAGAAGTATCCCTGATATAATTAAAAAATAACAAGGCCAACATACTTGGAAGAATTGGCAATTATGGGGCTGAGAAACAGTAATTGGAGATGAGGTCAGACAAATAAGTAGCAAGGTTATACAGGGTTTCAACTGTCATTGGAGGAGTTTACGTTTCATTTTGAATGTAATGTGCAGCCCATGGGTAAGTTTTAAATAAAGTAATGCTATGTCCTGATATAATCTGATTCAAGTTTTTAAAGGACTACTTGGATACTGTATTGAGAAGATAATATATTTATAACAATATTTGGAATAAGAGAAATCAATTATATGGTTATTACAGTTATTCAAGTACAAGATAATTGTGGTTTCAACCTAGATAGTAGCAGTTGGGCTAGTGAAAAGTGATAAGAATTTGGGTATTTTTAAAAGGTATAGCTAATAATATATCCTGAAGAATTCAATACGGTGAATTTTTTTAAAGTCAGGGATCTCTGTAATGTTTTTAGTGTGAGAAACTAAAAGAGCTGCCCCCAACTGAGAAGGAAAAAGCTATAATAGTTCTCAGGGGTGGGGAAGATCTTGGGTTTGTTGAATTAGAACTTGGGTCTGTTGAGTTGGAGATATCTATTAGACATCCAAGTGGAGATGGCACTTGGGTACACATAGCCAACTCTCTTTGCAGTTAAAGAGTGAGCTAGACTGGAAAAAAAAAAATGAGAGTCATTGGCACATAGATGATCTTTAAAGCCATGAGAGTAAATGAGATCACTAAGCAAGTAAATTAAATAGAGAAGAGAACTCAGCTAAGGACAGAGCCTGCATAAGGGGAAATGGGAAAAGTGAAGGAGACTCAAAAGGCACAATGGTGAACTAGGAAGAAAACCAAGAGACTGTGGTGGTTTCCCGAAAGGCAAGTGAAGGAGGAGGAACTGATCAACTTTGTCAAAAACTATTGATAGAAAAATTAAAAGGACATTTTAAAATTGACCAATGGTTATACCAATACAGATACTACTGATGAACTTGACAAGGCGGCTTCAGTGGAATGATAGAAATGAAAGCTTGACTGCAGTATGCTTAATAGAGATGAAAAGTAGTAGAAATGGAGACAATGAATGAAAGTGAAGAAATAGCATAGTAGGGAAATGAAAGTCTATATATACACATATGTTTAAAATTATCTCTAATAAGTGGTATCTATACAATAATGAGAACCCCTATTGGTAGGAAACATTTGGATATCCCCAGAACAAGGACTGGTCTATGTTGACTGTATTTCAACAAATATTTATCCAGACAGGTAAATAAAATATAAACAAAGCAACCATACTTTTGAAGACTGAATCTACGAAGAACATGAAAGTAGCATAAATGTACAATTCTGAAGAAAATAAGTCTCTGAGACACTTCAATATCCCCCTCTGTTGGAAGACAACCTTCCTTTTCCATACATGATTTAGCTCCCATTAATTTAAGACACAGTTTTCATCATCTAACCACAAATGTGGCATGAGGATGTTGAAGTGAATAATTACTTTGTCATCGTACAAAGTAGCTAACATTGAGTCAACTCTGAAAATTATCTTCTCTCAAACTATTTTTCCTTACCTAGGCCAGATTAATCCCTGCATTCAAAGCACAAAAATGTAATGTTCATCTTATACCATTTTCCTGCCTTTTGGCTGTTAACTTCACTGCAACTTCAGTCTCCAGAACCAATTTGTCAGGTTTCAAAAATATTTTAATAAAGTTGGTATAAATCAATTTTCCTCCTGAAAGCCTTCTCTCAGACATACAATGTGTTGTCTTTTATTTGCTGGATCATCCATCCATATATATTTCATTTGTAGTTCCTTGTCTAGCCCATCAATTGTGATTACATTAATGGCACCAAGTCAGCTCTATATTGCTAGGCCTCCACAGAGGTACTTTTAAAATAATTCTAAGTTAATTCCAACAGTACCTAAAGCTGAGCATTTATTTGATCTTTAACACATCAGTTCAATTATAGCTTCATATCTAATCTTAGTTCAAATACATTCTCCTCCTATTGTACAATAAGAACAGGTCAAATTCTGCATATTCTCATTCATAAGTGGGAGTTGAACAGTGAAAACACATGGACACAGGGAGGGGGACATCACACACCAGGGCCTGTTGGGGGGTGGGGGTCAAGGGGAGGGAGAGCATTAGGACAAATACCTAATGCATAAAGAGCTTAAAACCTAGATGACAGATTGATAGACATAGCAAACAACCATGGCACATGTATACCTATGTAATAAATCTGCACGTTTTGCACATGTATCTCAGAACTCAAAAAAATAAAAAAATTAATAAATAACAGGTGAAATTACCCCATCCTCTCCTTATCTTTCTACAATAAAATAAAGCTTAACTTACAGACAAAGAAAGTTTAAGTTTCTATACGCTGTCTTATTGTTACTATACTAGTAGTAACCCGCTGCCCAAAGCCAACAATAAAATATTTTAATTGAAAAATAAGTAAATAAGTAATAAAATTTAAAATTTTAAGTATGAATGGCTATTATATCATAAAACATGATCATAAACAATAGCAATTCACAACTATGATATCAGTATATTTTGTAATTTTTTAAAAGAGGAAAACTTCTGACAATTTTTCACAACTGAATACAATTGACTATTGAGCTATATTGGGTCAGTGCTAAGGAAATAACATTTCTGTGACCTCACAAAGACAGTTGGATGACCCTTTGTTTAATATTCTGCATTAGTAAACTGTCACTGAGAATCCTGAGGCAGTTCTTGTTTAGATTAGTATTGGTCCATTGTGGACAAGTAGTACTTTGGTTGAATGCAGTAAGAATAAAACAAAGCTTGAAAGAGTTGGAACATCCCAAGTCACTGAACTAAGTGCTAATTGCCTCTTCAAAAGAATGATTATATATTCCATCTGTATCTGAATAGCAAAGAATTGTTGTAATTTTAGACATTGGAAATATTTATGTTTGCTTTGGGAAGTATTTCTCACTGAAACTATTACATGCCACAAATCATAAATGACAAATGAAAATAGAAAAAGCTATTGAAGAAAAAGGGAGAAATACATTGTGTACCAAATAACCTTTGGGAGAAAAATTCAGCAGTCAAATAGCAAAAGCCTAGATTTCAAAAAGAATACTTTGACCAGGAAAGAAACAAATATTATATAAAATTATATATTATATATAATTATATATAATATATATTATATATTATATATAATTATATATAATATATATTATATATTATATATAATTATGTATTATATATTATTATATATTATATATTATATATAATTATATATATTAAAATTATTTGCTAATAAGTGGTATCTATACAATAATGAGAACCCCCTATTGGTAGGAAACATTTGGATATCCTCAGAACAAGGACTGGCCTATGTTGATTGTATTTCAACAAATATTTATCCTATATTTAAACTATATATAAAATTTATCCAAATTATATATATAATTGGATAATATTACATATAATATATAATTATATATAATATATATCATTTTATATATAGATATATCTCAAATTTTTTCTGATTTTGGGGGGCCATAAAATCCTGTGCTATGTATAAACTAAAAATGCAGCCATTCAAGTTTGGCAGATATTGCTAACGGCAGTTCAGCCACATTTGTCTCAGTTCCAGGCTCCTAAAAGATATGAGTTGTTAATACTAGAAAAAGTATGCTGTCCTGGCTGGCGAATCCACACAGGTCTTCCTAACACTGACTGGTTAGGTGAAGACATCATTAGCCTCATCCCAAGAGTTTCTCCACTTTCTTACCTGCCCACTCAAAAAAGAAGCATAACACCACACTGCTGTGAGTTTACCCTTGCTAAAAACGAGAGAAAAATGTATGAGTGAGCAATATACATAGGGAATTTGGTACAATCTCTAACATTTTTCTAACTTTGATTCCTCTAAGCACTTTGAATTCTTCCATCTTTATCTTCTCTTACTTAGACATCAAGGATTTTTAGAACAAATTGGAATGTGTATTGGATATACTATGCATTCTATCTGATATGTTGTTTTTGCTGTGACTTTTTTTTTTTGAGACGGAGTCTCGCTCTGTACCCCAGGCTGGAGTGCAGTGGCATGATCTCGGCTCACTGCAAGCTCTGCCTCCCGGGTTCACGCCATTCTCCTGCCTCAGCCTCCTGAGTAGCTGGGACTACAGTCGCCCGCCACCACGCCTGGCTAATTTTGTATATATATATATATATATATATTTTTTTAGTAGAGATGGGGTTTCACCGTGTTAGCCAGGATGGTCTCTATCTCCTGACCTAGTGATCCACCCGGCTCGGCCTCCCAAAGTGCTGGGATTACAGGCACGAGCCCCTGCGCCCGTCCCTTTGCTGTGACTTTTTATTAAGATCTGGTCCAGTGCCTATATAATGCCTATTTACTCTCTAAAACCATGTGGTAAGAATGGCTTTCTTAATTGAGATCTCACTGATAGGGATTTATTTGGGGGTGTAAAAAGTGTTAGAAGTAATCACCTGATGGAATTTGAAATTAAAAGGAAAACTAAAACTCCTTCAAAATAAAACAAAAATCAATAGCAATAAAAAAAAGGTTTTGGGTTTATTTGTGCAAATATCAGTGGGCTAAGGAAAGGAAACAAAAAAAAGATAGGAAATTTACCATCAGAAGGAGAATAAGTACAATTTAACATGGCTTGACTTATTTAATGTAGCTTGGCAGTCTCAATATATTAAATAAAACAGAAAGAAAGTATACACATTGACAAAACACAGTTAAAATCAATGTTAAAGTAGGGTTGGCTGACCAGAAATGTGAAATAATTGCTGACTTTGAAATTCAGACAAGTTTTTAAAAAAAGGCTCAAGTGTAAGCTTGTATTTGAAGGCATAAAACTGAGAAAATAAAGACTGAAAAAGTGTGGGATATGCAGTGGCTAGGGAGTGTGAGGGGAGAGAAAAAGGGAAAGAAATGGGGAAAAAATGGAAAAAAAAATAAGGAAGAAACTGGGCAGGAGGGACAGAAAGAGATGGCTACATCAGTATCTTCTTTTCTTCCCTTAAACTCCATTAATCTGGCTTTCCTCAGGCCGCAGGTAGCCCTCACTGGCTCCCCAGGAGCTATCCTTTATGGACATTTATCTAGGTATTTGCCAGTTTTTTGCTACAGCACAGCATGACTTTTTTTTTTTTTTTTGAGACAAGGTGACAAAGTCTGGCTCTATCGCCCAGGCTGGAGTGCAGTGGCACAATCTGGGCTCACTGCAACCTCCACCTCCCAGGCTCAAGCCATCCTCCCACCTCAGCCCCCCAAGTAGCTAGGACTACAGGCAAGCACCACCACTCCTGGCTAAATTTTGTATTTTTTGTAGAGACAGGTTTTTTCCATGTTTTCCAGGTCTCGAACTCATGAACTCAAGCCATCTGCTCGCCTCAGCCTCCCAAAGTGCTGGGATTACAGGTGTGAGCCACTGTGCCTGGCCTATAGCATGACTTTTATACCTCTCAGGTATGTTTTTTTTTATTACTATTTTTATTTTTTTTGAGACAGAGTTTCACTCTTTCACCCAGGCTGGAGTGCAATGGCACGATCTTGGCTCACTGCAACCTCTGTCCCCCAGGTTCAAGAGATTCTTCTGCCTCAGCCTCCCGAGTAGCTGGGATTACAGGTGCCTGCTACTGCACCCAGCTAATTTTTGTATTTTTGGTAGAGATGGGGTTTCACCATCTTGACCAGGCTGGTCTTGAACTCCTGACCTCATGATCCACCTGCCTCAGCCTCCCAAAGTGCTGGGATTACAGGCATGAGCCACTGCGCCCGGCCTAAATATTTTTGTTTATATAATTTTATATCTTGAAGGAGTCAGTGATACTGTCCAAACCTATTCTTTTACTGGTAATCAAAGCCACAGAGTTAATTAATGACCAGCTCTCTTTCTTTCCTTTAGAGTCCTCTCATAGAGTTTATCAAGCATAGTAGGACTACAGCAGCTACCTAGTGAGTAACTAACTGCTCTATTAAAACATGTATAGCATGAAATGTTAGTTGTTATCAAATATCCATTATCTTCTTCTTCCAAATCTGATTTTATTGAAGCAGTGTTTACCCTCTTGAAAAGATACATCTCCCAGTCTTTCTTGCAAATAAGGGTGGCTGTGTGTTAGTTAAAATCCTGATCAATGGGATAAAGGTAGATACTGTGTTTAATCAGGCTTCTGGAAAGCTCCTTAAGAAGAAAATAAGTTGCTTGGTAGGGATAATTTGGTCTTCTTCCTTCCTCCTGGAATGTGGATGTGATATTTAGGGCTGCAGTGGCCATTTTTTGGCCATTTTGCTACCTTGAGGATGAAAGCCAAGTGACAAGGATTGCAGAACAGAAATAAGGGAGTCTGGGACCCGAGTCACATACGGAATTGCCTTACCTTCAATGGAATGTCTATCTATAACCTTTTTTTAATATGAAAGAAAATGTAAAATTCTGTAAAACTACTTTTTTTTTTAATCCAGTCTTTTAAAGATCTCAGTTATTCCCAGCCAAACACAATTCCTGACTGATATGGCATAAGTGAAAAGGAAGTGCTCAGGGGATATATATATATATATATATATCCCTAACTGGCTCCCCAGGAACTATCCTTTATGGACATTTATCTAGGTATTTGCCAGTTTTTTGCTACATATGTAGCCCTCACTGGCTCCCCAGGATATATATATACACACACACACACATATATATGTGTATATATATATATATATATATCTATATATATATATATATATATATATATCCTCTCAGGTGTATTAAATATCTACCTGAGAGAGAGAGCGCGGGGGGAATTATAGCAGTCAGAAACTATGACAGCCAATTACGTGGGTAATAGACAGTCAATAAACTGTGTCTGGGTTAGTAAGTACCGATGGTTTATAACTTCGGAGGTTTGGAAACTTTAAAACTATTTGGAGAAGTGAAAGAAAAGCATGATGAAGTTACAGGAGTATAGAATCTGTTAGAAGGAACAGGCTAAAAACTAAGAGGGCTTAGAAAATATTATGATACAAAATGCAAGTATTTGCACATAGTACAAATTGCTAAGCATTGACCATGTAACTAAAAATGGTTATTAGAATTTCTTTCCCTGAAGGCATAAGGTAGATGGCAATCTGTCTAGGTGAGTTTGGTTTCAGTCCAGCCTGAAGGCAGATAGACGAACTGATGACCTCTGAAAGTCCCTTCTGGCCCTATTATCCAACAAGTCTATTTTGCACTGAGAGAAAGTTATTGCTGCTTCTCTATTTGTAGTTATAGTCATCAAGGAGACCTGTACTTCCCTTCTGCACATTGCAGATATTTCTGGTAAATAAGAAACAAAACTGAAAGGAGCAAATCATTTTAGGTGAAATGCAGGCATAAATATTCCTGACAAAAAGCACACTGCTTTTTGTTTGTTTGTTTGTTTGTTTGTTTGTTTGCGGACCGGGGGGGGGGGAATTCCAGCATACAGTGTAGCACATACTATCCCTAGAAGTTGTTCTGCAAAGCAATCCCTACACCTTTACACTCTATCACTCCCTCATGGTTCCCCGTATGTTTGTCATCTCTGCCCAGTTTGATGGGTCTTTCCAGTCAAGTGACTGGATAGAAGTAAACTATGTTTCTTTAGATGTTTCCAATCTAGTAGGGGTATGAAACTTATACATGGGAAGAAAAGACAAATTAAACCAAGGCACATTTGCATGAAAAGCTCACATCAAAATGTAAGTTATATTGTGTTAGGCAACATTAGAATTTTATCCCAAACATATTCCTCTTGGTTCTGCACATTCTGTTTTGCATAATTAATTTAGATGGGTGGAATACAACCCTGACTTACTGAAATGGAACTGAAGTCATTGGCGGAAAGGAGGACACAGGAGTCAAAGCAAGAGCATGACTAGTGCAAACCTCATCTTACACTGGTTTTGAAAATGGGAACAAATGAAACAAACCCAGTTGAAGAGTATAAAAGGATAAGTTATTTTTAATTCTCTAAATAATCATTTTATCTGGATATCCAATAGACACAGGCTAGGAAAATTTGATAGAGTGCACATATATTTCTATACACACAGTCTATATACACACATATATTTCTGTATACATTTATATAAAACAAATTGTATATTTAATTCTACATATAATAAATATTTGGGGATCATTTTACATATACCATTTAGAATAAAGAGAATTTATACCTATTAATATTTCTCTCCAAACTTCTTTGAGACCACTAAAGTAATATTTAATTAACCTAACTAAAAATCAGACAATTCAAGTTCTTAGAGCTACTGCTCTGAGAATATTGGAGAATTCTCAGAGTCATTTATTGAACTGTATAGATTTTTTCTTGGCACTTTCTGGTTTTGTACCTGTACTGTACTCTAAATAAGAACACACCACACATTTCAGCTAATGGGAGTAAAAATTGCTCTTTAGGGCTTGTCCTTCCCATTCTCCTTGTATCCGACACTCAAGCCTTGGCTCGCAAGCACAATGACCTAATCCAGAAGAAGCTCGTTAAGCAGAGCAGATTGATCTCTCTTTGGTCTGCCGCTTCATGGTTTTTTACAACCACAGTGGGTTGTTGGACCGGTTCTACAATCCCTTGTGGCATAAAGAGATCAATCATTTGGTTTCAAGATTTTTCTTAATCGCAAGCCTAATGGAAAGCTAGAACACAAATTCTCAGCTAATGCAAATAAATCTGGGTGATTTACTTTCACTAAAATATTAGTCACTAATGAAGAATTTCTTGCATCTAAATTCAAATATGCAAATGTATGCCAAAAGTTTGGAAATGTATAATATACGTGCATATGTCTCTGTATCTCCACAAGAGTGAAAAAGAAATAATTGTTTGATCTGATTCTGAAAAGACTGACTACGGTGAGCTCAGAAGTAACCAGTCTCATAGCTGTTTCATTTTTCAGAATATTACTTAATGTATTGCAATATTCTGTTATTTTAGTTCATTTGTGCTGTTATAACAAAATACCAGAGGCTTGGTAGCTTAAACAAAGGCAGCTTATTTCTTAGTTCTAGAGGCTAGAAAGTCCAAGATCAAGGTACCAGCAGATTCCATTTTCCATGAGGGCCCATTTTATTATGGCTCATGGAATAAGGTCTTCCAGCTGTGTCTGGATTCCTTCCATGCGATTCCATGGAATAGGGTTTACTGTATAAGTGAAAATAATGGATTATTTAAAAAGCCACAAAAATAGTATTTTTTACAATTATGAAAATATTAGAAATTCAGAAATGAAAACACTGGCTGAAAATCTCTTATGAGCTTTCTCTATAGAATTTGTAAGATTTACTAGAATGACAGATTAGGCTCAACAGATCTCAAGTCTTCTAAATATTTATGGTTAATTCTCATTGGAATGTCCTTTCTTATTCAATGTTTCACTTTCCAGGGTTTGACGGGCTGAGGTTTGAGTTAGCCATAGTCAACTGTCATCTGAAAATAGGTAAATATAGTACAATAAGGTATTTTGAGAGAGAAAAAGAGACCACGTTTATAAAACATTTGTGACAGTAAATTGTTATTGTTCTATTTTATGATTATTGATGTTAATGTCTTACTGAGCCTAATTTATAAATTAAACTTTATCATAGGTATGCATGTATAGAAAAAACATAGTCTGTATAAGATTGGGTACCATCCACAGTTTCAGGCCTTCACATGGGATCTTGGAATGTATCCCCCGTGGGAATACATTATTCAAAATTTAAACTTTCTCTATTGAATGACTTTGAGAAATCTCTCTTTATTTCTTCCAGATTCCATCATGAAAGTTGAAATTTCTAAAGTTTTTTAACTTCTTATTGTTACTGGTGCAGATCTACTTCAAAGAGTCAAAATGAACAGTTCCCTTCCACATTCTTCACCAAATGAAAGCACTAATTTTTCTCAAAGGGATAAGCTACTAGTAAGATTTAGACATTGAATACTTCAAGCTAGTTACATAGTTGTTCAGCCTGTTGTTTGCTCAGCACATTTTTTTCCTTTTCAATCAATTAATAAACCTGACAGGGAATATATAGTTAGCTGAAAAATGTCTTCAGTTGAAATTCTACAAGCCATCTTGCTGCTTTGAGAATGGGTCAGGAGGATGCTGAAGCATCATAATGTTATGCACTTCTCTGGGTTGATATGTTAAGGCCCAGTAGTCAAAATTGGTGAAGGAAAACTCAAGGTCACAGGGTTTAACGCTTGCTTTCCAGCTGATTTCCAGTGTGACTCTTGGGGATGCCATTCAACTTCAGCTTCCTGCTTTAATTCCTTGCTTTTTAAATATCAAGCTGCTGTGTCAAAAAACCAAATAATGAATCATACGGGATTTGGCCTCACAGTTGAGGTCGAGTAGAGAGCTGAGTGACAGTTTGTTATAATTCATACTTTTGAATAATATTAAAACAATGATATATTTTTCAAAGTTAAAGGACAAGAGGACAAAATTTAGGCATGTTATAACAAGGTAGTATTTTAGTAGCTTGCTAATGGTGAAATTATGGTTGCTTAAAATAGTAAACATACCTTCCAAATTTCTAAATGTTATTTGAAAAGGATTTTGCTTAATATGGCTCCTCATGTTGTCGATTTTGACTTTCATTTACACAAACTACATCCAAGTGACACATTAAAGAACAACATGTAATGTGCATCCATTCTGGAGTTGATCAATGTGAGGTAAGGATTACTGTTTATCTCCAAGTTTTATAATTACAGTAATGCACATATATATTTTCTAAGAATAAACTATGCAACCTGCTACACATATGCAACAATTCTAGCTACTATATGCTTAATATTAAAACAATTTCATATAACACCCTTAAAATACTATTGAGAATATACCCTGGTATTTTTTTTTTTTTTTTTTTTTTTTTTACTCTCTTGCTTTTTGTGGTTCTATGAAATGCATTTTAGATAAGTCATACTGTATACCTATTCTAATGTAACTCCTCTTGGTCTATTCCTGAGTATTTTTTCAGGTTCAAACTCCTCTCACTACACTCAAGTATGTATGCTTCAACCTTACCCAATAACTTAGAGATCTTGAACATACAATACTTTATCCTGCACTTATGCCTCTGTATATGTAGTTCCCTAGTTTTGTAATGTTCTTCCTTTCCTCATTTGCCTACCCAATGCTTAGAGTGAGATGCCTGTCAACCATCAGCTCACTTGGGATATCTTCTTGCATCTTCTCATGTAGAATTAGATGTTTCTCGTCTTATTCTTCCTCTTTAATTTTTACCTACCTCAATTACTACATGTGAATTCCATGAAGGCAGAAAATATGTCTTTCTGAATCCCTGGTATTTAGCTAAATATCTGGAATATTGTCACTGCAAACAAAATTTTATTGAAGTTGATTAATCAATTGAATTTTGGAAAAGTCCTTACTGTATTTCTATTGGCACATTTTAAAAAGTCTTTTTGGCCTCATACTCATTATATTTTCTACATTCTTTGTTTTCCACTATCAAGATGAGAAAGATGAAGGAAATATCTAGATAAACACAGGCTACCAGGGCCTATAAATATTCATATAAATTAACACTATCAAGAGTTGTAGAACATTAATATGTCTCTTCAACTGGGGAGAGATTACTTGTCCGAAGGAAGTTGAGTTTTCTGGCTTTTTGTGATTTCACACAAGACTTCCAGCTAAGAGGCTAGTACGTTTGAGAAACAGGTAGAAATAATAGGAGTTGTTTGCACCAAGGGGTAAATCTCCATATCAAAGCAGTTGCTATTTCTTCTACTACAGATACCAGGTATACACACAGAATAAATATTTTATTGGGGTGGGAGCAATGGATACATGTTGTTGACTTACACCTATTTAAAATTGGCCGGACACAGTGGCTCATGCCTGTAATCCTAGCACTTTGGGAGGCCAAGGCGGGTGGATCACCTGAGGTCAGGAGTTCGAGACCAGCCTGACAGTGAAATCCCGTCTGTACTAAAAATACAAAAATTAGCCAAACGTGGTACTGGATGCCTGTAATTCCAACTATTTGGGAGGCTGAGGCAGGAGAATCACTTGAACCCCGGAGGTGGAGGTTGCAATGAGCTGAAATTGTACCAGTGCACTCCAGCCTGGGTGACAAGAGCAAGACTCCATCTCAAAAAAAATTAAAATCAAATCAAATCAAAATTAACTGAAAATAGAGTATATTGCAGCAACAAATGAAGATCCATAATGCACCAGGAATCTCACTACAGAAAAGCTGTGATAAAAAATTATAGAAGTAATGTAACTTCATTTGAAACCACTATTGTCTAAGAAGAGGGACAGATACAGAATCTGAAATGATGTTTTAATGAAGAATACCTCCTTTTAACTTAAAGCCTTCTGTGATCATTTCTAAACTACTAGTAGGCAGTTTACACCATTTGTAAAAATTTACAATTTTTTTTTGTTTCCATAGTTATTCTTAAAAAATAATTCTGTTTGGAGGAAGAGAACATGTTTTTAATATAATATTAACATTCATCAAAGATGTAAATCTATGACAAAGGAATTAACTTCCAATCAACAATTAACTATTTTAGACTACCTTTTGAATTCTCAGCTACAACGTAGGGTCAAATTACTTAGTCATCCTTTCCCCAGAGGTATTTACTTAGTTAGCTAGCTGCCCCTTCTGTCAACATATTCGAACATTTTTAAACTTGAATTCTAAGTCTCTTTAGCAGTATTAATTTAGCAATTATGCCTTATAAATCAGTGTTAAGAAGTCAGATGTCTGCAAAAAAAGCATATTTCTAATTAAACAGAATTTATAAAACTAAGTCCCTGAAAAAATGAACATACATACATACATATGTGCAAATATGCATGTGTATATACGTTTATATATACACACATATACACATATATATTTAGAGCAGTCCTCCATAAGTGCACAATCCTAATTTCATGTAGGTGTCATTTGTCAATATAAACAATAGTGGTATAGGTCTTTCAAAAGGATGAAACACCTATAGAAGTTCTATTCTTTCTAGAAATTGTTGCTTTGCTTCTGGGAAGCTTTAAGCTTGGCCCTGAAATCAGGTAGTGTTAAGGGTCATAGCCTTTCACTAAACTAACTCAGTTACTTAAACTAATCTCTTTGAGTGGAAATCCTTACACCTGAGATAGGCTTGAGACTATCTGATCACCTTAGCACAGCTCAACACAGAGAAAATACAGCAGAATCTACTCTTAACTTGTAAGAGCTTTACTAATCAAAAGTGTTCTGAGCTCACAAACCTAGGTCTTCCTGGGTAATTCCACTTCTTTGTTTCTTAGCTGTAGACTTATTGATGTTTCAAGTCACTTGAGCACAGGTTTCCCTCCCTGTGCTTTAAGCTCAGTGTTGATGACAGATACACTTACTATAACATTGCAAGTGTTATGCAACTATATACCTCTTCTCCATACCTTTGTTTTGGAATTCTGCATGCTGAAATTCCACTCTATAGTATGATTTTATATTTTAATGAAATTTTTAAAATGAGGCTATGACAAGATTAATTAAGTAAAATTAAAAACAACAATAAAGAGCTGCAAATTCATTTTTCTTCTTCAGTAGCTTTACTAAATTCCTTCCTTCCTTCCTTCCTTCCTTCCTTCCTTCCTTCCTTCCTTTCCTTCCTTCCTCCCTCCCTCCCTTCCTTTCCTCCCTCCCTTCCTTTCCTCCGTCCCTTCCTTTCCTCTCTCCCTTCCTTTCCTCCTTTCTTCTTTTCCTTTTTCCATAGTAGTAGCTGGAATAGGATTTTTAACAAAATAACAGCACAGATAAATTTTTCCTTTCTGGAAAATAAAAAAAAAATGGAGTTCTGTAAAACCTCTAGGTTAATTTCTTTTTAGAAAATTTGGAATACATATAAGATTAAGTAAGAAGTTTAAAGAATTACTAATTTTCCCATGGTGAATCATTACAGAAAATAAAGGCTACCATTTAGCTTGGTCCATTTTGAGAATGCCTCTAAGTTCTAAATCACCCCCAGGATTTTTTTTAGCACTTTTCATAAGAGTTTCGTTTTATGGATAGAAATATAAAAGTAAAAAACCAGCTACATAAATTTTTAATTAACAGAAGTTATCATCTAAATTAAATACATTAGAATTATTGACAATAGATTATGAGTGGATTAAGAAAAAATGCAATTGCATATATTAGGAAAGTTATTTTCCAACTGGAAAGTAAAGTAAAATAATCAAATGTAATTTAAAAGTCTGAATATGCATTATTTTAAGGAGTTGGTTGTTATATAAGGGGATCTTTTTCTTTTTTAGTTTACTGATCAAATATGCCAATTAATTATGTCATATACTAATAATCATACAGGAAAATGTTCAGAATAGAAAAACAAAATATAAGAAAAGATGAGTATGTGTGTATGTATTTGTATGTTTTGGGGGTGAGCTTTTCATATGTCAGAGTTTTTTTTCTCCAATCAGTTTTAGTAAAATCTTCACACATGTTATTCTCTTAGATTTAAAAGGACTTCAGAATGTTTGCTAGAAAACAATTACATAGATTGAATAGTCACTTTTGCTAGTGATATAAAAGGTAGAATTCCTCTTTTCACTGACCTCTGAACTTTCTATATTCTTTTAACAGGATAAGGGCAGATGCTGCCACAGAGACTGTCATTCCCACAGACATTTAAATATATTAGCACTTGGGGGCCAGGTGTGGTGGCTCACGCCTGTAATCCAAGCACTGTGGGAGGCAACGCAGGTGGATCACTTTATGTCAGGAGTTTGTGACCAGCTTGGCCAACATGGTGAAACCCCCTCTATACTAAAAATACAAAAATTAGCTGTTGGCACAGGCCTGTAATCCCAGCTACTTGGGACACTGAGGCAGGAGAATCATTTAAACCTGGGAGGGGGAGGTTGCCATAAGCTGAGATCATGCCACTGCACTCCAGCCTGGGCAACAGAGCAAGATTCTGTCTAAATAAATAAATAACTTACCACTTGGCACTACAAATGTAATCTAACAGGGATGTGAATAAAAACAAGGCTTCTCTTGCTTATACCCACTTTAAATGTTAATAATACTGACAGGAGGGAGGGAAATCCTGGGTAGAAGAGAGCAGTTCCCCAGCAAAGGCCCCATCCTCAAGCCTGGAAACCCACGGCCCTAAATGGGAACAGGCATTCCTGTCTTCACACCCAGATGTTGACCTTTGGCCTGCCACACCCCCCTATCCTGTACCCATATAAACCCCAAACCTCGGGCTCCACAAAGAGAAGAATAAAAATGCAGAAAAGCAGCAGAGCAACAGAGTGGTGAGGCAGAGAAGGAGAGAAGCGACGGAGCATCTGAATGTCGAGAGAAGTTCGGTTGGGGATGGTCAGAGAGGAGATCAGCCGCAGGACAGCCGAACTCCAAGGGAAGATCATCTCCCCACACCATCCCTTTTCCAGCTTCTCATCCATTCCATTGAGAACCACCTCCGTCCAACAATAAAATCTCCTTCATTTACCATCCTTCAATTTCCCTGTGTGACCTGATTCTTCCTGGACACCAGACAAGAACCTGGGTACTAAGAGGGCACCCAGCTGGTTAACACTTAAGCCATCTGCAGATGGCAGAGCTAAAAGAGCACTATAACATGCCAACTGGGGCTTTGGGAGTTGCAGGCACCGAACCGTAAATGCTACCTTGGGGCCAGAGCCCAAAAGTGCTGGCCCCAGCTCCTGCACCTGTGTGTCTGCGTGCTCCCCTTCCTGGAAGGGGTTTGAGCCCATGGCGGCCCAACAGATGAGCCACAACTCTGTCGCACATTCTGGGAGGGGAGTCAGGGAACTCTCCTGTTTCATTAACATAATAAATTATCTTAAGAATGTCAAATTTTAAAACAGCATTTTGATACATCTTAGTCCATCTTGTTTCTATTTGTCAAAGTTTTTCACTTCTTCCATCATTCTTTATATGGTTGTGTGCATTTCTGTGGAAATTTTCTGGATTGAGAGGCCTTGTATTTTACAGGATGCATTTTCATTGCTCATGCAATTAGACAAGGTGATATTACCACCAATATGAAGTACTGTGTAGAAAGAGATTAACTTTTCAAAAATATGTGATTTTGAAAGTTTTTACTGTAAAACTTTTATAAGCATATTTCTACATGCAAGTACCCCCATATACAAAAATCCATTATTCTTTCTTCAGATGGAGTCCAATTATGGAGATGAAAATATCAGTGTTATAGAAAATCATTAATAATAGATATCTTTTCATTATCTTTACTAGAAAGATATTGACTTTTCTAGGAAATATTCACAAAGCAATTCAGTTGATACAAAAACATTCCCAGGACCAGAACATCACCCCCAAAATTTTAATTTTTTCCCTTATTAGTTTTATAAAGGATATAAATATACCACCAAATATATTTTGGATCCTCTTCTGAAAAAAAGAAAACAGCTGGGCACGGTGGCTCACACCTGTAATTCAAGCACTTTGTGATGCTGAGGCGGGTGGATCACCTGAGGTTGGGAGTTTGAGACCAGCCTGACCAACATGGAGAAACTCCATTTCTACCAAAAGTACAAAATTAGCCAGGTGTGTTGGCGCATGCCTGTAATCCCAGCTACTTGGAAGGCTGAGGCAGGAGAATCGCTTGAACCTGGGAGGCAGAGGTCATGGTGAGCCGAGATAGCGCCATTGCACTCCAGCCTGGGCAAAAGAGCGAAACTCCGTCTCAAAAAACAAACAAACAAACAAAAAAAACCCCAAAAAACAAACAAACAAAAAAACCACATCCATTTTTTAATCATATCTTAGGCTTTAGGTATAATTACTTAAATTATAGTCTATGCTTAGAATGCAACAAAAAGGATGCAATGTAAAAATAACCGAGTTAGACAGAATTGTTCTGGAAAAAAAAAAAAAAGAAAGAATTTCCAAAAAGAAAGGTAACGTTTGAATTAATCTGGTTTCTTGATTTATTTTCTGTCTATAGTGGATAAGAAAGTTCCTTACAGACTTGATGGGGCTGGTTCCTAATTAACTCTCCAGGAAACAATGTTTCATCAGGTGTGACCACAAATTAGGAGGAAGGCTGAGGGTGAGAAAGTAGACTGAGTTCCTACAATGTACCTTTGCTTATAGGCAGTCACCTTTTCACATTTAAACACAAACTATATAAACGTTGCAAATCTAATGTTGCCCAGTGATTTGGTTTTTGTCCATGTGGTGAGGAAACTTTACAAGACCAAGCAGGTAAACTCATTTCTGAGTTTATTTTCTCAATGCAGAAAGATTTTTTTAAATCATTGATTCTAGGATGACTATATCTCTTTAGTCACCTTGTTCTTACGATGCTATGTAGTGTGCAAGGCCAGAAAAGAAGGTGAAAAACCCTCCACTGAGGTTAAATAGCAAGTAGAAATCCAAATATATTTATTATTTCTAAGTCTACCATAGGTCATAATGAATGGTTGCTTAGGTCTTTTAAAACACTTTATTTGGTTAAATGTAAAAATATTTAAAAGTCCAAAATGGTACAATCAACCTCCCACTGCAAACTAAACCTCCTACTGGCAAAAAAAAAAAAGTTGTCACATGTGATAAAAGAAAGAAAACTTGAAACACTTAAATAACTGAATTAGAACAGAAAAAAAAGAATGGAGCATAAACAACTACATACTAGAAATTTGTCCTAATCCAATATATATGTCAATCTTTTCAAGGATCAAAATAAAATTAAAAGTATTTTATTTTTGTTCAAATACTTTGTTTTTATTTGAATCCCCTTTTATGCTATTAACATATGCCCTCATATATTAGATCAAAAATCTAAATGTTATCAGAAAACTCAGATATATTTTCATACGATCCTTGGCACAGAAGTATGTTTATGATATTCAAATGTGTGTAATCATCTCTGATGAAATATTTGGAAAGGTGATGGTTTTGTTCTTTTAAAAGCTTAGTCATACATATCTATCTGAAAATTCAAAAACAATATAACAAAAAGCCTGAATTATAACTGAGTTGAATAAAATTAGGATCTAGAAAATATAATATCCAAAAAGAAAATTAAACTCTTTAATGCCTATCATTTAAAAATCCTTCTTTCCTTCTTTCCCTCCCTCCCTTCCTCCCTCCCTCCCTCTCTCTCTCATTCTCTCTTTCTTTCTTTGATGAAGTTTTACTCAGTCACCCAGGCTGGAGTGCAATGACATAATCTTGGCTCACTGCAACCTCTGCCTCCTGGGTTCAAGAAATTCTCCTGCCTCAGCCTCCCAAGTAGCTGGGAATACAGGCCCCTGCCACCACAGCCGGCTAATTTTTTGTTTTTTTAATAGAGACAGGGTTTCATCACGTTGGCCATGCTGGTCTCGAACTCCTGACGTCAGGTGATCTGCCTGCTTGGGCCTCCCAAAGTGCTGGGATTACAGGAGTGAGCCACTGCACCCGGCCTACTTTCTTTTCATATCACTTTTTCATATACAATTACATAAAAGATGTCACAAAGCCTTTACATAAAAATAAAATCTCTCATTCATTATTATTACATATGTATTCATACCTGCAACTATGAATCTGCTGATTTTTTATGTAATTTTAATGCTAAGAAAGGAAACTCAGGCCAAAGAAGAAAGCTTCTGAAGATCTTTAAATTCCCAGTCAGAATTTATCCACAGAGTCAGCGTAATTGGACCTTCCTTTAGAAAGAGGGAAAAGACCTAGTGACCAGTTGATTTCCACAGCCTACCTGTAGTCTCTCAACACTCTTACATCTTCAGGTTATTGTTCTAAGATTTATGCTTTTTCTAATATATTTCTCCATTTATGGTCTTGAATTCAGCTTACTTCACCCCAGACCTGGAAAACTGTCAGCCAACAAGACCTGTCAGGCCCCCAGACAGGTTTTGTTTGGGCATATTATTGACTATACAATGTTTTAAAAAATAGCATCTGACTTTGAGCACTTTAAACGTATACATATTTGGAGCTCCTCCCGAACAACTGGAATTTCTGGTGACCTGGGACCTCTTCCCCCATGACAGCAATTAGTTTGTGTGAAGCTACCCAGAAACCAGATATGTTATCTCCAGTTTCCTCTCCTTTCTTCTATTCTTTGTTGTCTTACTGACCCCCAAACGAAGGACAGGTTCTTATTGAAATCTTAGCTTCAATACCCTTTGTGTTACACTCAGTCTATGAGAATCTGAGTTAAAGACTTCCAGTACAGTTGTTTCTTTCCCAGCTCCATCCTGCAGCCTGATTCACTTGACTGATACCTTGATTCTGCTTCCAAATCTGGGTCCTTACCTGGATCCTTGACTGTTTTCTTCTGCTCTTATTTCTCTTCATCTCATGTTTCATTCTCCCCACTCCACCCCGCACTAGAAAGTGCCAGTAGCATTTAACTTTTTATTAATTTTTAGATTTTAATTATTATCCCTCATATCATTAATATCTAGGTAATATTGTACCATTGTAGAATTTAGATGTTGATTTTTAAAAAGACAAAATTACAAGAAAGTTAACAGTCTAATATCATGGAAAGATTATGAAGGAAAAATTTTCCTTCATACTTCTTACTGAAATACTTGTTTGACGAAGCATTCCTTCAAATTCTTTGTTTAAGCAGAGGTTCAGAGAAACAAGCTTATAACACGATGTGATATCAATCTGCTGTGACAAAGACTTCTCATTTGTCTTTTGCTCAAAAGCACTTTTTTATATGAAACATATAATTGTTTAAGAGCCCAACTTCAAAGTCTAAATTTGTGTGTGTGTGTGTGTGTGTGTGTGTGTGTGTGTTGTCTAATGGTGTTTTTTTGCTCAAACATAATACTTGCAGCTTTGAAATGCATATTAAAATGTCTGGCAGTAAAATTCATGCTTTCTTAATAACTGATATGCTTGTAGTTGAAAGAAAAGGCAGGTTATAGGTTTTCTTTGAACTTTCATTACTATGTAAAATTTAATATTTCAGTTGCATTGTTCCACAAATGGACTCACCCTGACAATGTACTCCTTCGTCATACCCATCTGGGCAGTCCAAGACACCATTGCACAGCTGGGATAAATGAACACATTTGTTGGTACCAAGGCAAGCAATGTGATTCAAGGGGCACTTGATTTCTACCTCCTCGGGACCTGAAAAGATGTAAAAAAGAACAGAATTATGTGTTAGCTTTTCTAAATGGTAAAACTGTTAAGCACAAGAAATTACTAGCATTGTTTTACAAAACAAAACTATAGAAAATACTGTAAGAGTGCTGCTCTTGTTCTCAGAGACATTGAAGTTAGCCTATGTGATTAAACACCTAATTTTTAAAGCTGCATAGGAAAGGAAATATGTATTTTTTCAAATAACGCATTAAAAACATAAATATTCTTTTCAACCATTAAAATAGTATGGATTTAAAATCTGAGGGTTGATTGAGTCATTGTTTCATCTCATATCCCTAGATAAGTTGGGCAGGGTACTTAAACTCCTTGAATCTCAATTTCCTCAGCTGTAAACTATGGATAATGGTTCTCCGCAGATCTCTTGTTAGAATTACATCAGGTAACAGGAACAAAAATGTTTCAGTGGCATTTACTTGAAGTTATGTCAATCTAAAGGTTATATTTAGTCTGTTCTTTAAGAATATGAAGAACATTTAGTTATAAATGTATTTATGTATGACTTCTATTGTTTAAAAATCTTTTACTGAGCAACTACAATAGAATAAAATTTGCTAAAGAACAGGAAGTGAAAGAAAGGGCATACTCATTGTTTTTACACACCAGTGATAACTACTTTGTATAATCACCATTTGTGTTTTTAAGATAAGCTTAAATCAGAACATAGGGTCTTTTCTCAAAGTTTACCCATTCCAAATCTTTATCAAGCATCCAAATTGCATGTTATTTTATCTGAATTTCAGGCTGTCAATTCCCAAATCCTATCTACACTTCTATAAGCACTTTCCAAATCCCCATATGATTCTTAGTCTTATCCAGCTCTTCCAAATCTAAAATGTAGTAATTCCAATATGACTACTATCATGTATTAATCTGACATAGATTATTGCAACAGCCTTGATTCTATAGTCCGACACACTTAGGTTTTAATCAGAACTCTGCCGAATCCATGCGACATTAATTGATTTAATCAAATAATTATTAGTTTTCTCATGTATAAAATGAAACTATCAAATAAGCCTACCTCGTAGGGTTGTTGTGAATGTCAACAGTTATTGACTACAAAGCGCTGAGCACTGCGATGTAGGCTGAGTAGGAATTCAACATGCATTAGTTACATAAATAAATGTAGCATAGCAGAGTGCTTAACAGACTGCAGAGCCAGATTCCTGGGTCCAAATGCTGGCCCCAGTATTCATAAGCTGAGTGGCTTGAGCAAGCTATATATCAAGTCTCTATTTCACAGGGTTGTGGTGAGGATTCTATCAAAAGCTCTTAGAATACTGTCTGGCAGACACTTAATAAATGTTTGGTGTTATCATAGTTAAGTAAAAAATGTTCTCAGAAGGTAAGTTGCTTTTTGGTAAATACTTGTATCTCAAACTGTCTTTTCTGTTGTAAACCCCTTTCCTCCTCCTGAAAAAGAAAGCTCAAAAATTTCATGTTTTACCTTCCCTACTTAGTTGAGGTAAAATAATAATAATAATTAAAAGGCCAATCTAACATATTTTAGGATATGCAAAATTGTGAGAATTGCAGAAGTTTGCAATGTGATAAAATTAGAAAACAAATAAAAGAAAACAAAAATATCATACAAGCAAAAAAACGAACTAGAGTTGCCAAAAGTTAAATATAATTTTGAAATACTTTATCAAATAGGAATTATAGGTGTAAATTATTTTGTTGGATGCTAAAACAGCTTTCTCTCAATGTTTTGTGTTTTGGGGGATATAAACAAATTTTTATGCTGTAGCTTCACTAGCTGAATTGTTTAACAGATTTCTCTGTAAATTTCATGTGTATTTATGTAATTACTACTGTACAAGGCTATTAAATGTCAAACACCTGTCACCCCAAATGCACAACTCATTTTCTGTAACATGCTTCTGTAACTTGAGTATCAATATTTCTAAAAATATATCTTTATTTCCATATATATATGTGTGTGTGCATATATATTAATAATTTGTATAAATATACAAATTTGAATACAAATTACAGGAGTAAAAGTAAGTGAAAGGGTTTTCACTGAGTGCCTCTAACTATTTAATCTTATGTTTATAATATTAACATAAATTCATTTAAAAATGAAGTTTAAAGACACATACATTAATATTAAAAAGCTATAAACTTCTATGACCAACATCATAAAGTAGCTTTTTAAAATTACTTGGCTGATTCACAAAAATTTAAAAACATGCATCCTTGCATAAATGTCCAAGAAATGTTTAGGCCAGTTATATTTAGACCTTTCTGTAAAAGTTCTAAAAGTTACCCTCAGAGAAAACACTTCATAAACCTGAGAAACTTCAGAAATGTTATAGTCAGAAAACAAAAAAATGACTCAGCAGTTCTCACAAGCAGCAAGATTTTTTGTTTTGTTTTGTTTTTTTATTTTATTTTATTATTATTATACTTTAAGTTTTAGGGTACGTGTGCACAACGTGCAGGCCCGTTACATATGTATACATGTGTCATGTTGGTGTTCTGCACCCATTAACTTGTCATTTAGCATTAGGTGTATCTCCTAATGCTATCCCTCCCCCTCCCCCCACCCCACAACAGTCCCTGGAGTGTGATGTTCCCCTTCCTGTGTCCATGTGTTCTCATTGTTCAATTCCCACCTATGAGTGAGAACATGCGGTGTTTGGTTTTTTGTCCTTGCGATAGTTTGCTGAGAATGATGGTTTCCAGTTTCATCCATGTCCCTACAAAGGACATGAACTCATCATTTTTTATGGCTGCATAGTATTCCATGGTGTATATGTGCCACATTTGCTTAATCCAGTCTATCCTTGTTGGACATTTAGGTTGGTTCCAAGTCTTTGCTATTGTGAATAGTGCCACTATAAACATACCTGTGCATGTGTCTTTGTAGCAGCATGATTTATAATCCTTTGGGTATATAGCCAGTAATGGGATGGCTGGTTCAAATGGTATTTCTAGTTCTAGATCCCTGAGGAATCACCACACTGACTTCCACAATGGTTGAACTACTTTACGGTCCCACCAACAGTGTAAAAGTGTTCCTATTTCTCCACATCCTCTCCAGCACCTGTTGTTTCCTGACTTTTCAATGATTGCCATTCTAACTGGTGTGAGATGGTATCTCATTGTGGTTCTGATTTGCATTTCTCTGATGGCCAGTGATGATGAGCGTTTTTTCATGTGTTTTTTGGCTGCATAAATGTCTTCTTTTGAGAAGTGTCTGTTCATATCCTTTGCCCACTTTTTGATGGGGTTGTTTGTTTTTTTCTTGTAAATTTGTTTGAGTTCATTGTAGATTCTGGATATTAGCCCTTTGTCAGATGAGTAGGTTGCAAAAATTTTCTCCCATTCTGTAGGTTGCCTGTTCACTCTGATGGTAGTTTCTTTTGCTGTGCAGAAGCTCTTTAGTTTAATTAGATCCCACTTGTCAATTTTGGCTTTTGTTGCCATTGCTTTTGGTGTTGTAGACATGAAGTCCTTGCCCATGTCTATGTCCTGAACGGTATTGCCTAGGTTTTCTTCTAGGGTTTTTATGGTTTTAGGTCTATCATTAAGTCTTTAATCCATCTTGAATTAATTTTTGTATAAGGTGTAAGTAAGGGATCCAGTTTCAGCTTTCTACATATGGCTAGCCAGTTTTCCCAGCACCATTTATTAAATAGGGAATCCTTTCCCCATTGCTTGTTTTTGTCAGGTTTGTCAAAGATCAGATAGTTGTAGATATGTGGCATTATTTCTGAGGGCTCTGTTCTGTTCCATTGGTCTATATCTCCATTTTGGTACCAGTACCATGCTGTTTTGGTTACTGTAGCCTTGTAGTATAGTTTGAAGTCAGGTAGCATGATGCCTCCAGCTTTGTTCTTTTGGCTTAGGATTGACTTGGTGATGTGGGTTCTTTTTTGGTTCCATATGAACTTTAAAGTAGTTTTTTCCAATTCTGTGAAGAAAGTCATTGGTAACTTGATGGGGATGGCATTGAATCTATAAATTACCTTGGGCAGTATGGCCATTTTCACGATATTGATTCTTCTTACCCATGAGCATGGAATGTTCTTCCATTTGTTTGTATCCTCTTTTATTTCATTGAGCAGTGGTTTGTAGTTCTCCTTGAAGAGGTCCTTCACATCCCATGTAAGTTGGATTCCTAGGTATTTTATTCTCTTTGAAGCAATTGTGAATGGGAGTTCACTCATGATTTGGCTCTCTGTTTGTCTGTTATTGGTGTATAAGAATGGTTGTGATTTTTGTACGTTGATTTTGTATCCTGAGACTTTGCTGAAGTTGCTTATCAGCTTAAGGAGATTTTGGGCTGAGACGATGGGGTTTTCTAAATATACAATCATGCAAGATTTTTTTAAAAGTGATTCATGTGTTGGCTCAAATCAAAGTTTGATTTTTCACTGTTAAGATTGCCAGGTAACTGAGGAACATGATAGCAGGAGTAAAATACCCATCTGGTGGCCAGAAGAGAGGCTCAGCTACTTATAAATTTTGAGAAAACAGAAAAATATGTGTTTATTTTGCAAAGACAACATATAGAATTATTAGATTATTCCTAGTGGTAAAGTTTAGGGACAAGAGAGAAATTAGTCTGGGAGAACTAAAGAGTTAGTTGGTTTCTTTAGACTAGCCACTACAGTCTTTATCATCTTTGATATACTCTTGTCTTGGTTGCCAGGACTACTGGGTAACTCATGAGACAGCTGGATCATGGCTGGATGAACTGTACCATAACCAGTCCTTCCCAAATTTTCATATCAATATACATTAAGACAATTATAATATTTGCAAGCTACACTGGAGTAAATAGCAAATAATATTTTTAGAGGTGGCCCCAGGCCCCGGTAATTAGCCTCACAGTTGAGGGAATAAATATTTCAGACCTCTTTGACCAGTGCTAGGATATTTCAGTTGGAAAACTGCTTAAATCAGTATTTTGTTGTTCTTTCTGGAAAATGGGGAGGCAGACAGGGCAGTTTGAGAAATAGCAATGCCTGCCTCAGACAAAATTCTCTCAAAAGCCAGGCAATATAGATATTTCATATACTGTTGCTTTGGGGATTACTCTATCCTAATTCCCAATGATCATTTGTGCAGTGAAAATATTTGTATCCCATGAAGCTCCTTACAGATTCTGTCCATCCTGTAAATGGACAGAAGAGCCACTCTGATTACTGCTTCTACCCATCCACCAGGGTGAGAAGCATGGGATAATGGGGGCTTCATGAATTCCTGAGAATATGGCAACGTTGCCTTAAATTAAATGATTAATCTCATGAAGACTTTCAGGCATTTGAACATTTCACAGCCAGAGATTATAAATGAGGCACAAAAAGGAACATGGTTGGAGGCTCTCTGGTAAACCTGGCATTACCTCTGTAGTGACTGAATCATGAGGAGTTGGGAGGGACCTGGGACAGGGGCGAGGTGACCAGGTAGTGTAGGACAAATTTCAAAATTGTACCAAGACACTAAACATTTTTAGCAAGTATGGTAGTCCTCATGAGAATGTCACCTCACCTTTCAGCAATGTGCACATTCAGAAAACATTTCCAGTCCTTTAAATCTAAATGTAGGTGACCTAAGCAAGATAGCAAAATTGAAAATGTAATAACTTAAAAAGAAAAACTCCATCATTGGGTGACCCAAATTATATCAACATATGAGGCTAGTATTTATACTTTTAAATTATGTATAAGTCTTGACCAATTAGTCAAAATAGATTTCACTTCTTACACTAAATCTTATTTTACAAATAATGCTCCCAGGATAATGCAAGGATAATGGGATTCATCTGTATACTTCTGAATGTTTAAATTATTTTTAAGTATAGAGTAAATATTTTACTGTGTACATTAATAGGGGATAATAAAGGACATAAGTTCCATCAAATATCTCTTCTGATTAAAGAAAATTGAGATAGCATGTTTTGTGGAGAGGGAAATTTTTCTTCTACTCTAATGGCAGACACAGGCAAATAACTGCACTTGTCACAACATCGTCATATCTTAGCGGAAACAGCATGACTTCTCCTTCCCCGCAGCTAACCTCTCTACCTTACACGGTATTATATCCCACCTTTTGGGTCTTGTCCTATCTAGAATTGCCTCTTGGTTTTATTTCCCATCTATTTTCCCAATATTTCAAAGTCCTGTACCTGCAACCTCACTCAATTTTCTGAACTTATGCCCAAGAATAAAGTTGCTTTTGCTCTTTAAACTTTCCTTCAAGCAGTATCCCTTTTTGCCTACTGAAAAAATTTACTTTTAAACTTCTTCAAAACATAGACTGCACCTGCTGCATGCCTATTCCCATGTCACGCTAGCCTCTGCTTCTAACTTTCTGCCGAACTTCTCTCCAGGGCCTCTGTGGTCCCGGCCACAGTGAAGCCAGAGACATGCGAAGTCCTCCAAAGACTGATCAGAATACCTCTCTCTTAGAACATTTTCCACCATTCTTTCTCAGGCCTCTTATATTCTATTCACACCATTATTTTTGTTATTCCTCACAGCGTTCCATGGACATGCTTGGACACATTTCACACATGCTTTTTCATAAAATCCCCTCCACCTTTTGCCTGGGAAACACATGATTATCCTTTAACTATATACTGTCATTTCTTTTCCTGCAACTTTTCTGACTTCTCCAAATTCTGTGGCAGATTATAAATTTGCTCATGATTATTATTTCTAAGTATTTTTCTTCAAAATAAGACTATGAGATATCTGATGTCATTGATTATTTCTCATCCATCTCACCAATGCAAACACCTGGCAGGTTTCTTGACACGGAATTGGTGCTTGGCATACCATTGTTGAAGGAATACACACTGCATTTTAACTCCTGGCTAATTTCTACTTCCTCTGACATGTTAGAAGTTACTCTTTTCCACCATTAATGCATTCTTTGAACAGATTCTACAAATGCTACTTTCATCTCACGAATACTCTCAAAATTATAATGGTTCTCAATTGCTGGTCACAACAAAACCAAACTCCTTAGCCTGATCCCATCATCTAATTGAAGCTTCATTAACATTATTTACAATCAATTTTAAGTATTTATACACTACTTCATTCACTGTCATCTTTCACCCTCCCAAAATACACCAAATATATTCCCACTCCTGGATCTTTCTTTATGCAATTCCATCATCTAGACAGGAAACCTCTTTTTTATTTGCCTAAGAAAATCCTTCAAGGTTAGGCTCAAACCCTAGTCTCTCCATAAAGTTTTCTTTGTGAAAAACAGCATAATACAGTGAAAAGCATGTTAAGGTTTAGAGATCAAAGACTTGAATCTGAGTTTCAACAGCCATTTGCTTGTCTAAACTCGCATAAAGTACTTAACCTCACCAAGACTCTTCTTTCACATTTGAAAAATAGGGATTAATAATACTTTCTGCCTGACACTATTGTGATAGGAACAAATAAAATCATGGTTGGGACACACTAGGCAAAGGGGAGTTTTTTGTGGATGTCATTGCTCTCATTTTGTTCAATGAACTTGTGCAGACATTGTCTATATCACACTTTTTTTGGTACAGGCCTCATTGTATAGTTTATGAAATGTATCATATATGCATGGTTGCATATATCTCTTGAGGCCCAAGGACTTACATTTATTTGTTTTTTTCCCACTCTATTTTACAATATTGGGTAGCATAATGTAGCAATAAAAACATATTGATTCCTAGTTGATATAAAATCAAGTAAAAAATACTTTGCTATGTAAAGCTATCACCAAATTTGATATGTAAAGCATAAGATGTCCGTGAAATTCAGAAAATTAAAATTATGCAGTTTTGCACTTCCTCTGATTATCGCTACCTAGTTACTTTAAAAACAGAGTTTTGATTGTATTTTTTAAATTACTTGAAAATTTTAGTAAAGCCTGCTACTAACTCCAAAACACTGAGGGGTATGAGGATTACTTCTACTGAAGTAATTGATTACTTCTTTTGGCACGAAAACAGATCACTGCAGCCTTGACCTCCCTGGCTCAAGGTAACCTCTCAGCTCAGCTTCCCAAGTACCTAGGACTACAGGCTTGTGTCACCAAACCTGGCTAATTCTTTTATTTTTTTTGTACAGACAGGGTCTCACCATGTTGCCCAGGCTGGTCTCAAACTCCTAGGCTTCAGCAGTCCTCCTGTCAGCCTGTCAGTGCTGGGAATTACAAGCATGAGCCCCCATACCTAGCATCTTTTAAATATTTATTCCTGTGAAATCTTTCTCCTTATTAAATTGAAGATCCTATGATTTCTAAGAATTTGTAACAAGTGCCTTAAAAATTAACTTTCCTGGAATTATTTAAAAACAAATGTTTAGTGTCATTATAACTAAGTTATACATGAAGATTTCTAACGTACCATTAACCTGATTTTAAGTGTGTTCTTTTACATGGGTTTGTTTTTTTTTGTTTGTTTGTTTGTTTTTTTGAGACGGGGTCTTGTTCTATTGCCCAGGCTGGAGTGCAGTGGCATGATTGTGGCTCCTGCAGCCTTCACCTTCTGGGCTGAAGCAAACCTCCCACCTCAGCCTCCCATGATGCTTGGCTTTTTTTTTTTTTTTTTTTTTTTTTTTTGTGAGTGGGGACTGGGTGGGGGGCAGATTCAAAGACAGAATTTTGCCACATTGCTCAGACTGGTCTCAAACTCTGGAGCTCAAGCAATCTGCTTGGCTTCACCTCCCAAAACACTGGAATTACAGGCATGAGCCACTACACCTTGGCCTCTTTTATTAAGAATGCTTTTCACACACAGTTAGATCCATTTTCTTGGATGTATTACAGACAAACTATCATCTTTAGTATTTTAAGGTGGAAAGGTAATTTTTATGTAGTTATTATAAGAGTATGAAAAAATTGCATTATAATATCTGTAATTACCATAGCTGAGAATTCAAAACAGTTACAGCAATCTAGACCACTTACAAGACTATCAAGAATGTGAACAACATCATTTACTCAATGTTATTTGGGAAAATTAGTATATAATATAAAGATAGTTAATATCATACTTATTATTAAACATAATATCGAATCACATAATATCTTTACAGAAGCAATACAACTTTCCCAGAACAGTGTTTATTTCATAAGATCTTGTTCTTATTTTCAAATACAAATTACTTTTACGTCTGAGCTACTTCACCTGACAAACTTATATGTAAGTGCATTAAATAAAACAAATTTATAGTATTTCAAATAAAATTAAAATTGGATTTATGAGTTTCAACTTCCAAGTAAAACAATATTAATTGAATCATTTGTTAATCTGTATGATTACACTTGAGGATGCAAGAATACAAATAAGAACCTCTAAAGATTCATATGCACTCAATACTAATAGTAACTCACTCAAATCAAGTAATTTATCTGTAAAATAGGTTCCAGTAATGGTTTTTGTGTTTACATATTTCAAATGGATGTTGTGAAGATTCACAAACTGCAAGAGATGTAAAGGTGATTGATTTTGTCCAGCTGCAGTACCCTTTAGCCATCTCTGACATCTAATTTTTAAAGCCCTGGGAAAGGAGTTATTGTAGCTTTGATAATTTGTTTTAGGATTTAAATATCCTTTCTCTTTTGAAGACTCAGTTTAGGAAATTTTGTTTGCATCTAACATATAGAGCTTTATTTATGTATTTAATATGTGAAAAACATGCCTGATCACCTAAAAAGAGAACATCTGCTATGACCAAAGTACCGATGGTATGTATTATTATGAATATAAACAATGGATGTCTAGTTAACATCCTTTTACTGAAGGGTTTTAGATCACGTCAGAAAATATTGTCATGTTAAAATAGCCTCGTGTGTGTGTGTGTGTGTGTGTGTGTGTGTTTTCTGCTAACTTTAGAATATATCAAGTGATTTTTATCAGTTTAACTGCAAGTTGGCACCTGAATCCAAAAAGTATAGGTTAAGTCATAACATTTTCCTGCACTGCAACTATAAACACTTAGAATATAGACAAAGTTGGCAAATAAAAAATATTGTGTGGACATAGCCAAAAATTATTGTCATTAGTTATAGCCTTAGAAATAAGAAATATATTAGGCATATTGAGTGTGTTGCTTTCTGACCTTTCATTACAAAAGCAAATAGATAAGAAAATAAATGAAATCACTGTTTTATAAGTAATTGACATTGCAGCATTACCTCTCATCAAACCCCATATTAATAGAAGGAACTCAGCCTGGATGATTAAAAATCAGTGCTCTTTTAGGTGTTTTAAATGCTCCTTTATTCTTCTCCATGCATTCTTCATATTTCTGAATTGCTGGATTACCCTCACACTCTCCTTGTTAAAAGCTCCAGAAATTTATTTTCTCCTTCGTCCCCCTCCCTCCACTTCCACCTAGGTTAAAATGTTTTTTTTTTTTTTTTTTTTTTTAATCTCTTACAGCCCTGTTCTTTGCTAGCCAAGTTGATATACTAGGTTCTTTCATGGGTGATACATGTGCATTAAACAGGATTCTTATGAAAACAATGAATCAGTCCTAGAGACTGAAATTACAAGCCCTCTGTGAAAATAATAAAAGTACTTTTGTTTGAGGGAAGGACAATTGTTGATTGATTCTCATATCACATTTCTTGGGTGGCAATTTGCTGACTTGTAAAGTTGGCTCTCTGACTTTTTAAGTGAATAAACACATATTTAATCAATGAATCAGAAAGAAGATGCTCTTCAATTTTCAATTTTTAGAAATCCTATTGAGTCCTTAAGATATAAAACACATGTTCCAGTCATAATTTAAAATTTCTCTGTAAGGAAAGGATTTACTCAATTTGCTGATTTAAGAAAAACTTAGGAAGCCAAAGATGAAATGTTTCACTTGTATCTTTTTTCAGAAATACAGAATAGAAGATAAGTATTTCATCTCTAAAAGCAAAGCTTTTTCCTCTTGTTCTTTGGGACTACTTTACCTGTTCTAACTGGGTGATAGCTCCTAACTGCAATTTTGAAGTTCAGGGCAGCTTGGAGAGCCTACCCAATTAGAAGCAGGGATAACTCCCTGGGAGGAGGCATGTTAAAAGACTAATGTCTGACAGGAAAAGACAAGCCAAAATCAGAGAGTTCCACACAACTCTCAGAGGAAAGGGGTCTTACTGCTAGAAAGGGACATTGAATGGGAGCAGCCAACTGGCTCATCCACTTGTCAGACAGCTGAGTCATTTGATCTTTGATTCCACAAATGTGTTAGAGATTGCCTCTGAGCCAAACTGTGCACACAGAGATATTGCTATTGGCCACTCTTAAGAGGCATTTGTTTTTTTCTTTTTAAGATACCTGTAAAAGAAAGAGGATTCTTTGTCCATCTTCTTCCTCTATAGGCTAAAATAATAAAAAGTTAGATGCAGGTCCCCAGTTAAGGCTTAAAAACCAAAGGCATGCTAATGTCAGCTGGTTAGTGGAAGAAAGGGTTTTGGTGGTGTGATGGCCAAGTGATAATCGTTAAAGGAATTATCAATATATAAATCATTATCAAAGTCCTTGAAAGTCACTATTTAGCTTTCTGAAAAAAAAAAAACACTAAGAAAACCAACATTTGATGACTAAGTATAAAAGAAACCCAAACTAGTAAACACAATGTCTCTGTCCTTTCTTGTTCTCAGATTAAGAAACAATGAGAGTAAGGATACTTTTGAATCCACAGAAAGTATTATTTCTGGTCAAATGAGCTCATTTCTATAATTTAAAAAAGAGTAAATCAACTCCACAAAAACTGGAAAACAAGCATTTTTATTTTATAGATCTCCCTTAAGACAACATTAAATTATATGTACTGGCCTAAAAACAAAACAAAACAAAACAAAACAAAAAATATCTTTCTGATTCAGGGAGAAGTTTGCTCTGTGACTGTTGGTCAAATGACACAGATTCACTGCAGTATATGCAGACAATGTGTAGAAAGATCTGGCATATTTATCAAAACAAAAGAAGTTGTTCATTGGTTATTTTACTTGGAAAAATAATTCTGATATTTTCCTGGATTGAGTGGATGAGGACAAAATAGAGATGAGAGAAGACACAATAAATAAGGGAGAGACCTGATTAGCATAAAAGTAGTATTATAGTGAGAGGATCAGTTAGAGCACGTATAGTTAATCGTCTTTCACTGGAAGAATCATAGTGCGAGACACGGTGATTTTTATATAAGCCAATTTACACTTGAGAGGAAGAAAGAATGTTAAACAGCTCAATTTAAAAGTCATAGGATGATACAAACATTTAAATATACCAGTCCTGAATCATTGGTAAAGTATATGCATTTTATGTTTCAGACCCAAAGTGAATGTTGTTGATGACAAATATTCTTCAAAATTTAATTTCTTATGGCATTCGAAATGACATTAACTCTGAAAACGATTTTATGATACACTTTTAATGAAAACAAACTGTCCTTTATTGCATTCTGTAAAAGTAGCATTAATAGGATAATTGCTGTTTATTGAGTACTTCCTATGTTCCAGGCTCTGTGGTGAGCACATAATGTCCATTATCTTATTAAATCTTCACAATAACATCATGAGTTAGGTATTATAATTGCTATTATAGAGAGGAGGAAATGGAAGATTGCAGAGGTTGAATACTTTCTTCAAGGTCACAGAGTTGTAACGCTATTATTTGAATTTAGATCTCCTCTGTCTTCAAAACCTGGTTTCTTTATTACTGTACTACATTGTGCTGCAATCTCAGACAAAGCAATGAAGTCTAATTATGTATCTTTTTCTGTCTCAATCTGCCTTTTTTGTGTAGTAGACTATGGAAGAATCTTGAGGAAAAGGGAAGAAAATCACTTGAGATGTCAAGATTTTGAAGCCATGCTATGCCAGTACTAAAACAGCTCTTACAGTCAGGGTGATACCCAAATATTTAACAACAGATGAAATATACTGTACAGGTCATAGCTTTTACCAACAGCCATAAATAGGCAACTTGAGGGGAATCTTGGCCATTTGTAGGTGATCCATGAACTCTGGCTGTGGGAGAAAGGGAGAAAGGGATGGGGTCAAGAGCTGGCAAATGAGAGACATCACAGGCAGGCTGACAGGCAAATAGGTGGAGTCATCTCAGGGTAGCCTCTCGCTCTGCCCACCTGTGTCTGAGCCAGCAGGAGATTATTTGAGGGGTCCTGTGATGGTACTGGGTAGCAGCCGTTTAAAATCAGAAGTGTTTTCATATTTTATTAACCGTTATGGCTGTATCATGAACACCAGTTAAACTGCATAGAGGAACTGTATTTGTCTGTTTTCAGTAAATCCTAACTATGGGCATGATCTCACATGCTTTGCCTTGATGACAGAATACTTATTCACTTGACCCTAGGTTGTCCTTAGTGAATACAAGTAAGTTTTTCAATAGTGTGTATTGCTAAGGTAAAGCCCAATTCTTACAATAATCAGCTAACTGACCCTTACCACAAAACCCTTCCTTTAAGCATTTAATCAGTCTATCACCATGTGCTTATTTTCTCTTTGGTGGGCCATCTTCTGAGATCAAGCAGACCAGCTACATGACAGTTGCTACGTCTTCCTGGTGAAGACCTGCTAGTTCTGCCACTTGGCACAGCCTCAAGGCCTGGTTAGCTCAGCAGGTTGAAGCCCAGCATGAAGGATGTCAACATCACAGGTCCAAATACCATATGGTACAAGGATCTGTCTTTCCATTTTTCAGCCTCAGATCTTACCTCCTAACATCTGCCACCCATATATCCTCTTTGTGCTAGAACTGACACTGGGCAAGTTAGTACCTTTGAAGCAACACAAAACCCTAATAGGAAGGATGGATACCACCTGGTAATCAATTGCATATTAAAAATGACAAAGCCTTAACTGGGCTTGAGTTGAAGTTCAACTTGCCAACACTAAACACTCAGCCAGATTATCCCTAGGAAATGCTGCAAGGAATCACTACAGGGCCTTTGAGTGAGTTCATATGACTGCCTCAGTGCGCTAAATATTAGGCTGGTGTAAAAGTAATTGCTGTTTTTGCCACTGAAACTAATAGCACCTTGATTTTCTTGTTTTAAACAGAGCTGAATGTCTTCAATTTATTTGAACCATTAAACAACTGCTAAATACACAGTATTTGGTGACTAGCGAATCAGCAAAAGGCTTCTCTTTCCTCATAGACCTCATCTACTGGCAATAGTAATTTTGCTCTACATTTTATAAAGCAATTACACCTTTCACAGCATACTAGATATGGAGGTTTATTTAGAGTAAAAGAAGAACACAGAAAACAATGAGATTCAGATTGAAACACACACACACAAACACACACACACACAGAGTTGTAGCATTACTAATAGCGGTAATGACACTAAACTACTAAATAGCTTCTGAATGGCCTGCAAAAATGTATCAACTAAAGATATCTGTTATTGAGATACTACAGAAGAATTCCTTACATTTATGGACAATTCTAATGATTTATATAATTGCAATACCCCTTTGGGAAAATGTCTTGGCTCAGGAAAAAATACAAAACTGTAACAATAGAAAGATTTTTCCGGTTATCTATGTTGTAGGCTATAAAAAAGGTAGAAACATAAATGAAACTCATATCAAGCAAATACACTAGGTAAACATTTCCCTCATCACTCTATCCTGTTTGAGGGACTCCAAAGCTGGTCAGCTTTACAATGAATTCTGCTCTACGATAAATACTGTTGTAGCAAGATTCCAGTGAGTCTTGTCTCCTCCATCAAATCTTCTTTCAGATATATTTGCAAAGAAAGTCATTGATTTATTTTTGTTTCATCTGCCCTTTCTGACCACTCATACCCATGGTAATGAGCAGGAAAATGGTCAACGGGATCTGAAACAAGAAGGTTAAGAAAAAGCAAAGGTCAACAGAAATGTACAGAATGGAAAATCAGGCACTGGGCAACAGACATGACCCAGTTTCAATCTGGCCTTAAATTCATAACATGACTCTTGAAAAGGTTCTTTTCTACAGAAGTTTGAACAGGTATATGCAAATAAAAATTCCAAAAAAGTAGAACACATTTTTACTTTTAAGTTTAATGTTTATTTTATTTATTCTGTAAGAGAATGCTGAAGAAGGTATTTGTCAATTCAATACCTTTACTACATGGAATCTGATTGAAACCTCGTTGAAGACTGACCTTTAAAGATTTGAGTATGTGAGTGCATGCACACACACACATACACGAACAATAATTTGGTAAAATAAAAAATAATGCTCTCCTATAAGCAACAAATATATAAATATACACATATATATCTGTCACTTCTAGAAAATATACAAATTCTTCTCTGCAACATTTTTCTTGTAGCTTCACCTATGTTCTCATTATGATATTATCTAATGAAGTTGATTAATGACAGCAATGGTAGAATAGCACAGTATTTAACACAGAAAGAGTAATCCAGGGAATTTCTTTAAGGATGCTTATTTATATGTAAAACTATCATGGAAACACTGTTATATTATTTTATTACAACTAAGATACACCTCAAAGCTTCTTCAAATATGACAGCTTAAAATTATTCTAGAATAATGTCGATATTTTGATATTTTATGCTGGAGTTCATCAAGGGTTTCGTCTTCCTTGATATTATTAAACAATTTCACCATTTTGCTACTCTGATCTGATTTTCATGGATTATGTCTCTCCTGAATTTGTATGTATGTGTCATAATAAACATTTGGTAAATGCCACATTCAGAGCCATACTATGCACTCTAAAAAAAAAATGCCAAACTTTAATGTACATCTGAATCACCTAGAGGTCTTAAAGTGCCGATTATGATTCAGTAGATATTTGTTGGAATTAAAATTCTGCATTTCTAGAGGTTCCCAGGCAATGTCGGTGCTGCTTCTACACAGACTACTCTTTAATTAAAGTGTAACGTTCTAATGCCTCCTAAAAGTAGACTTAAAACTCAGTGCCCATTTTCTGGAAATACGTTCATTGAAATCGAGCTCCTAAACAGAGCATCTCATTTCATTCAACCACGAATTAAACACGATGTCGCTTACAGAAGAACATGCACACTTAGTTTTCATCTTTTTATGAATATTAATATATTGGCACATCCTGGAAATGCTGACCTGTCACAGATTCTTATGAATGAGTCTGTCTTTGGAAGAGCATATGCATTCATAGTCAGGTAAAAATCTTCTAAACACTACATAGGAATTTGCTTGTATCATCAAAGAAGAAATAAGAAAAATGTCATGGGTTATGAAGAAGAAAAGAATAGAAAAGAAGAACCAGATATAAAATGTGAGAAATTATGAAAAAAGAAGAAGAACCAGATATAAAATGCGAGAAATTATGAAAAAAGTCTGTTTTCTGTGGTTTGTTTTTAGAAACAGAATTGATAGCATGAAAGTACAAATGATCTGATCATATGATGTCATATCTGACAGCTCGGTTCAAATTTTATCAGTCACTTCTCAATTTACTGCACATTATCATACATCAAGGATCAGCAGCCTCAGTAGCTATGAGTCAGAACTTGTGACATAAGAAAAACAAAGGCAGAAGACCAACTTCCACTTTATTTGCAATTTCTCATATATTATAAATATATTAGAAGTAGAAATATATAAATGCACACACAGACATCCCCCAATTTATTTTTCTTCTTACTTTCATTTGTTTCCTTATTTTCTCAAAATTTACTTCTGGAAAAGTGAGGTGGAGAGTTTATGTATCTGGGAAACTGGCATGAAGGACATTTCAAAATACTTTTTTTAGAGGCAACTATTTTCTCTCCTCTGCTACCTGCAATTACTCACACCTCTACCACTGCATGTACTAACCATGCTTTCTTCAATTTTTAATTATGTTGTTAACAGAGATCCTAATCTGGGTCTACTTGAAAACAAACAAAAAACACCTCTGGTAGCAACTTGGCGTCCTAGTTTACAGCTATAAAATAACCTAGAATAACTGAATAAGGAAGTACCGGGTTTTTTCTCCTACACCACATTTGTGTGAAGTGAGAACAGGAAGGAAGGTCCAGGATAAAGAAATCAGGCGATGATAGAAAAATAAGCAAATAAGCACTGCAGGATGTTTGCTGTTTGGCCAAACTTCTCTTTAATTTTCCCTACGATTGAAAAGCTATAAAAATGCTTAAAGAGTTGAATAGGTGTCCACTAGGCCTGAACTTTAGCGCAAATCTACTGAACAAACTATGATGATAAATTACAAAATCCTGAAGAAAAAGTTGATAAATGCAGAGTTTTTTAAATGGGCAATGAAAAATTACATTTATTTTATCATAAAGACATTTAACCTGACTTTTAACTTTTATGAAAATAAGAGAATAAAAAAATTATATTTAGGATATAAATTAATTTTGAATCTTTTAAGACATGTTTCTAAAAGTAAAAATAACCTAACACAGTCATACGAAAAAAATGCAGAACCACTAAAACTTAACGTTAGTATCTAAATATTGTGACTTTTCAAAAGTACATCTCTAAATACTTGAAATTTTTGGTTTTATAACATTAAAAACTTGAGTATCTCAGGAGCAAATGTACCTATATAACATTAGTATTTGATGCTAAGATACTATAAAGTATAGAAAACTAATTTATGACCCTAATAAAATATAGGCATGAAATTGTTTAGTTGCTGAAAAGGACTAGTGGAGTAATACACATTTTTAAACAAAACCAAACAAACAAAAAACAGGAAGACTTTGGTGGTCTGAAATGAACTCCTTCATCTACAACACTCTAACACCTTGTACTATGTACAAAGTTCTACTGAGGAGTAAAAGTCCCAGACAACATCTTTAAAATCCTTTTTTTTTTTTTTCTTTTTTGGCTAAGGTTCTGAGCAATATAGTTCCATAGGCTACAATTCTGGACCTGTTCTCTTCAAGACATTTTTTTTAAATGTGAGTTTTAGGACACTGTCATTTTGAAATATAAATCCTCTTGCAAGTTTCCTACCTGGTAAAATAACTTTTCGCAATGGTACCCTTTTATAATGTTCACGATCTATTATGGCATCAGTAAAACTGCTGGAAAAATACATTTTTACCAGAAATCCAGTCCCTTAAAAAAGTATCTAAATCATCCCCACTCCCCCAGCCCCCATCCTGCAAAGGAGCTGCTTCTTGGCTAGCATTTGGAACAACTGCATAATGGCTCATATCTTTTCAGTCATTCCAGGGAAACTATGATGGAAAGAAACTACCTCTGCACACTTCCATATTTGTGTGGTGAATCTCTGCCACAGACATTCTCTGCATGCTTTCTATCTTTGAGTAGGAAATCTATTGTATGTGTTTCTGTTGTGAATATCTCTAAAATTCAGTGAGGGCTTCTACAAAGTCATCCTTGCTTAGATAGGCAAATAACGACACCCAATCTGTTCCATCCAGGGTATCATTTCCTCAGAATAAGGTGGTCAGTACATAAATAGATTTCATTTTCAGCAATGTCTTCTCTCATGAATTAATGTCTCTACTCTGATCTGAGAAACTACAGAAGAGAATTCATTGTTAAATTCAGAAGAAAGGCCTTCCCTTGTTAATAATGTGGTTAACATGTATTTAATAATGCCCATATATCAGGCTGTGTTCTAAGCTTTTTTAGGCTTATTAACTAACTCAGTCTTCTGACCAATCTTAAGAGTCACACTTGTTATTTTCATTTTACAGGTGCAGAAATAGAGACCCAGAGATAACTGTCTTGTGCAATGTCACAGCGGTTATTTTGGGAAGTCAGAATCTAAACTTAGGATTTTTATCTTCAGGGTCCACACAGTTATTCACAACGATCCACTGCCCATGTAACTATATGACAGAGTAACATCGCTTCCTTCCGGTAATACCTACGCCTCTTACTTGTTCACATTGGCCCTGTCTGGTTCTTTTCGCTTTGTATCCTGTGTATGATCTCTCAAATCCTGCTTGGATATATTTGTTTTGCTTTGAGTTTTAGTTTGTTTGTTTGTTTTAACTCTTTCCACATCCTCTTTGGAAGGTTCTTTATGTTCCTATAGAGAGAGACAGGACTGGGTTCTGTGCAACATGTCATAATCATCAGTTATTTAAATGAAGACTCAGATGTCACATTTTAAAAATTTCCAAGTGAATGAAGATTGAAAACATAGTTAATATATGGAATATTAAAGTATGACATTTTTAAGCTGACATGATTGGCAAATAAAAAAGAAAATTAACAAAGAATAATGTAAAGTTTTAATTTGAAATAAAAAAATAAAATATATAGGATTTGTGTTAGTATTCGGCATCAGGTTTCCTTAATAGATGCAAATTTGTATATCAAATCTTGAATTTGTTTATTACCAAGGAAAATGAAGTTACTTCTTTTTTTTAGAACACATTTAGAGTTGAAGGGGATCAGAATATTCTACCCCCAAAGATGCCACTTTGACATAAGGATTACTTTGAGCTAAAGGCAATTAAGGAACAGCAGATATGGGAGGAACTATCTTCCTTCCCTTTTTCTGCCTAAAAGCAGAGCATACATTTTTCTTTGTGAAGGTGTTTCTGCTCTTTTCTCCTGTATTAGGAAGAGGGGGATGTCTTACTGAAGACAGTGCATCACTGGAGAGGGAGCCTATTTGAGTCTGAATAACAAATGTTAGTAAAATAACCCTTGTCTTCCATTAGCTTTCCCCATATATTTACCTTCCCACAATTTACCATCCCTGTAAGCCCAAATCCCTTTGCTTTGTCTTGTCACATCTCCACAATTTATCAGCCTTTGTTAAAATGATATGTAAGCTCTCAAACCTAGCCACTACTTTGGACTTTCACTTCTTTTCTGTGAAGCTCCTGTGTGCATACGAAAATAAACCTTTCTCCTGTTGATCTGTGTTTTGTCACTTTAATTTGCAGGCCCCGGTTACTAAGCTAAAGAGCGCAGAACAGGTTTTTCTTACCTACATAGTACTAGGTACCATATGTTTAAAAAATCAACAAAGGTTTCTCATTCTATAAAAGGGAAATAAAATGGATGGAGTCTGGGAATTATATGGTAAGTCAATGATTTAAAAATTCAGAAATATTTGTCTCAGGAAGATAAACTATAGAAGGAATATTATGGCAAATTAAAGTATATGAAAGTTTCACAATGAAAGAGGGATTCGGTCAGTGGTTCCTCTTGGATTTCAAAAGAAAGCAGTTTTTTCATCCATATAGATAACACTTGCTGAGAACTAGGTGTATATAACAAGGACATAGTCTCATGAATTTACTGTTTACAGATAAATTCTAGCAAAGGGTGTCTGATCCTTTGGGATGATCTAGAGGCAACTCCTCTATTGCTTTAGAAATAAACAAGATCATTGCCACAGTTATTTCTGACAACAGGATTCTGAGTACTTCTATTTTCTTCATGTATCCTTTGATTTTTTTCATTGTTTGCCCTTCTCTTGGTCATTTTTCCCATTTCTTTTAGATGATATACTTATGTAAAACAATTTAATCATTCACTCTAAAGCAGACCATCATTTTCAAACAACAAAAACATATATATCTTGAAAAATCTTCTAAATATAATAGGACTTCTTGCAAAGTTGAACAATAATGATAATTCACTTTGTGCCTTTATTTATAGAGAAGTATTCCTTTCTCACTTAAGAAACTTTCATCTTCTTTGACTTTGATGAATTATGTAAATTTCACAAATTTTATTTTATGTATACTTTATTTTGAATTATAATACACTAATAAATTCAAGCTAGAAAATAGGTGTATGTGGTATACCTCAAGAACATAAGTATCATAAAATGGCTCCATGAGTCCCATAATATGAGATTCTGGAGAATTAAAGTTCAAAAACATCTTCTTTTTATGAATTCCAAGTGCCTAAAAGGAGAAATCATAGTATACTACATGAAAAGAAAATACAGCAGCCTGTAAATAGCTTCCAGTGTCCAATCAAGAAGTTGTCACTGATTCTGGCTTATACTACAGTATAATTAAGTCATTTTAGACTTTGAAGTTAATTACAAAATAATTAGAGGAGGGAAGTTACAACATTTTGTTATTGTTGTTGAAGTTGCAGTGGTGATAACTTGGTTTTCTGCAAAGTTAGCCTTGAGATCAGTGGTAAGCTGCTCTATACAAATGAAGCTATATACTGTAATTAACAACCATATGGGATGTATTCATGATGTAGTTGTAGCAAAGATCTAAAAGAAACATGCATTGTAGAGATTGACATAGAAAGTTACAATTTTTGGAAAAATTTGGCTGTAGCTACAGCATATTATTTGGTTGGTAGATTAAGAGAAATTGCTATAGAACTGATGTCAGATGCTCAGGCTTGAGTCTGGCATTCTCTAACAGTATGACTGAGAAAGTGACTGAAACAACTATGGCTTTTTTTTTTCCTGTCTGTCAAATGTTGAAAAGAAGGCACTGTGGAGGGAGGCACCAGCCTAACCTCATGATCTAACCTCAAAGTCTAACCCAGCTGTGAGCATAAAATGTAACAACAGATGGGAAATACTTTTAAATATCTGAACACTCCCCCCAAACAAATATAAGATTGAGTTGTGTTTAAATCTTGTCTAGTAGTGCAACTGCCTAGCTGGGGAGTCCATTTCGAAATACTCATTAACTTTATGAAATGAAACAACAGTTTCAGGATTTTTCATTCAAATATTCTGTAAGAATCAATATCCTTCTGAAGTAATGAAATGTGGGGACAAGAGAATATTTTTAGGATTTTCCCCAAGGGGAAGACAAATAGTTTAGCTATATTTGATATAACAAGGCTGATAATCTAATATCCTGGTCACCTTGAACTAAATGGTGAAATCCATTAAGGTTGAGGAATTTGTTTGCTCATGAATATTTGTATTTAACCTTCATTTTTTTAATCAAAAGATTCCAGCATACTTGAGACCTAACAAAATTACTTGATTTAAAATAAAAGGTTACGATCTCATGGGAATAGATAGATAGTTGAAGAAACACTCAAGAAAAAAATTTAGCCTATGGGAAACTGTTTCAGTATCATTGTTTAAAAACTAGGACAGCTGGCTGGGCGCAGTGGCTCATGCCTGTAATCCCAGCACTTTGGGAGGCTGAGGTGGGCGGATCACGAGGTGAAGAGATCGAGACCATCCTGGCCAACATGGTGAAACCCCGTCTCTACTAAAAACACAAAAATTAGCTGGGCATGGTGCCACGTTCCTGTAGTCCCAGCTACTCAGGAGGCTGAGGCAGGAGAATTGGTTGAACCCGGGAGGCGGAGGTTGTAGTGAGCCAAGATTGTGCCACTGTACTGCAGCCTGGTGGCAGAGGGAGACCCCGTCTCAAAAAATAAAAAATAAATAAAAATAAAAATTAAAAATAAGACAGCTAGGATATATAAGTTTTAAAGTCATGAAGGTTGTAATTATATTCAAGTTAAGTTTTAAATCAATTTTTAAATCTCTAAGGCTATTTTGCACATTAAAGGTTGTAATGTAAAAATGGACTGACCACACCAATGATTTGCTTGAATCCAAATTATTAGATACATATAAATAGAAGAATTTCAATTGTCACTTTTATCTCAAAGAAAATATGAGTTTACTTTATTAGGACTATATAAAAAATAATATATAATTATATATGAGTAATACATGAATAATATAATAAAGTAAACATGAATTTACTTTATTATGACTATATATAAGATATACAATATACAATACAATATATAATATAATATATAATAATATATAATACCATAATATACAATTATTTTTATATATATATTAGAGTAGAGGAAATATATATATTTCCAGGAAACCTGGACCCAGTTGATAAAGTTTTCCCTAACTACTTCTGATATTCCACTTATTTCCAACAGTTTCCAACCGTTGGTGATATAAGAATAAGAAATCTGAGAGTCAAATATCAATTGCCAAGTCTAAATTAAAATCTGTTACATTATACGTAGCCAAAATAATAATACTGCAGTTATGTATGACCATTCTACCTGTACATAGAATGTAGAAGTAATGCAAGTAAAATACTGGCTGTATTCATAATTATGTCCTCCTTCTATCTGTATAATTTGCAGTGTGCCAGAAAAACCCTCCCTCTCTCCCAATTCCTACTCATGCTTCTTCTAAAATATCACATCCTGGAACTCATTAACATCATAATATGAATACATCTTTTAATTCACTTTTCTTCTTCATACTAATACACAAAACTGGAGAACTAGGTATGTCAAAAGATTGTAAGGGGTGAGAGAGAGAATATGTTAAGGCACTCTTGTTTAAATATAATTAAGGCAAACTTTGCCATGTTGAAAACTTTGAAAAGAGAAACAACTAATAAACACAACAGAGCACTCCTTAATATATTTAAGCATTCAGGCAGATCTTAACACTAAGTATTTTACTCCATGTGTACACAGGAATAAATTAGAATTTTAATTATTTTACAAGGCTAACTCCGAAAGCTACCTTGGAAACGATTTAGGCTATTGGATTTCTGCCACCTCCAAATACTATCTAATACATTAATAATGGTTGTGGTTACTCACATGTCCAAAGGAGGGATATTGTGTGATAAATAATTTCTGCTTGCTGACACACTCGTATTTTTTGTAGATGAATTCTCCAGAGGTTTCATATTAATTAAGCCTGCTTTCGAAGATGAATTGGCTTATTTATAGTGCTGTGGCACTTAAAGACTGTAAGTTCTCCAAGGGCAGGATGATGTCTTAATAATTTTGGATTACTAGTGGCTAGTATAGGGATGAAAAATATTAAGTAATCATTAAATATTCACAAATTAATTCAGTAAGGCCTTATTTACTATGTAATTGATTTACAACTTCGGCTTGTAGATAGATCCCAGGAAAGCAGAGGATGAGAGAAATGACTCCACTTAAAAAAATGCCCATATGCTAATTGATGAAATCATTTATGTTCAGAAATAACTCATACTAAGTGATAGTTTGAAAATGGGAATTCCAACCAAGGAACAAACCTATAATAAGTTTAAGTCAGTAAATAAGCTAACTGTAACTTGTCTGCAGAAACAACACATTACCAGATGGAAGATAGCAAGAAATCTACAATGTGGGTGCCCAAGGAGCAATAATCTGTCCAGGTTGTAATCACCAAAGGATCAAGAACACTCTGGAACTCAAGGGATTGAGTTCTTACAATGGAGGTGGATGTCTTAAACCTGTGTAAGGGCTAGATTTGGTAGCTGCTAGTCACATATGGCTAAATTAAAATTCATATTAATTGCATTAGATTTTAATTAATTCAAATGAGTGTAAATTAAAATTAAGTAAGTGAAATTCAAATGAGTGAAATAAAATTAAAGACTTAGTTCTTCAGTCTCACTAGCCACATTTCTAGTGATCAATAGTTGAATGTGCCTAATGGCTAACATATTTGAAAGATAGGACATTTCCATCCTCACAGAAAGTTTTACTGGACAGTGTTACATTAGATCAAAGGTTTAAACTTACTTGTATTAGTATCACAATTTTGAATAATACATTTATTATTGCTTTGTTTGAGAAGAATAAATCCCTCCTCTCTCTCTCTATCTCTCTCTCTCCCCCTCTCTCTCTTCCCCTCCCCTCAATAATTTAGGTAAAGTCATTTCTATTATACTGATACAGTATAACAGCACTTCTCAGAGTCTATAAAAGCTCCAATGGTTATCACATATTCTTTGATCTCCTGCTCCCTGTAACCATTTCTTCATATATTCAGAGGCAAATATTTGTAAGTCTCAGCAAATCTTTTGTTGCAACTCGGATATCATACCAGGCCTCTAGGGCCTCGTCTTTCTCAGAGTAAATAGCACATTTTAAGTCCTGTTCAACACACACATACTTCTGGCATCCATTGCTGTAACAGTATGTATACTCACTTGTTATAATATGCAAGAAAACTATATTACACATATGGGCCAAAGTTGATACTGTACCTGTGAAATTTTCACAATGAAGCTGTGGACTGAAATCTATGAATTGAAAAATATTGCAATAGACCTCTTCTCTTTATAAGAGACTGTTAAAATTATTCAACATATACCTGTTACTATAATTTTGTCCTCACTAACTAAAATTTTAATTGTCTTTTAGTTACCTAGTTATAAAGTAAGCTTTTGAAATGGACAAAATATTCTAATCAGATGAAGCAAATAATATAGTTTGTATTTGTTTTCTGAGACTTAGTAACACATTCTGCTTGGTAGGCCAATCTCCATTAAGATTGCTTTAGGGTTGATTCCTAATTAACTCTTGTAAATTATCTGAATGTTCTAACTATGTCAAAGTGGTATAGTCTCAAGAAGCCTTTTCTGGACATCTTATCAGCTTCAGAATATACTGATACAATTTATTGACCATTCTTTATGCACCAACCACTGTCATTAGTTAAAAGAGAATAGTAATTTCCAGACTTCTAGAACATTTCCCTGTCCGGGAAAGACTGCCTCGTAACCCAGCTGTTGAGAAGTGTGACAACCCTGTTAGGGATAGAAATTCCTAATCATTTGTCATTAGACAAACGAGAGGAGAAAACTCCCTTAGTCTGCAGAAAAGCCTCAAAATGTTAACATTCTTTCCATTGGAAAGACAGACATAACAGCTTTGTTAATGGATTTCTTTGTGATTTAATACAACATATTAAAAGCAACACTTGTGACTCTTGAATAAAGAAGTGAATATTGTTTCGTGAAAATGGTCATTCATCATTAGTTATAAGAAGTCTGTTTGTAATTTGAAGTTTTAATTTAATTAGTGTCACATACTTGAAGGCTGCCTTGTGTCAACTGTTATAATGACATGCTATCTGTTCCTTCTACAGAGTAGGTTGCTAACAAGCATTTCAACTGGAACAAAATGATAATGAGAAAAACAACAGAAGTGTTAATTACCTATGCAATTAGAGTGGCTTATACGTGCACTAGTGTAACATTCTACTGTATTTACATCTTTAATGACTGTTAATCTTCACATGAAAGTGTCTACTAGCATTATTTATCACTCCACTGTTACATTACGGGAAGAGTTAATGACAGGCTGTATAGGATGTGGGCACCTAGCTTCAATCTAGCCAGACAATTTTTATAAAGTAGTCTACTCTTTCGGGCTCTTTGTATTAGTATGTTATAATATAGATATGTTATACACTATACAAATTGCACTTTTGGACGGCTATATACAACAGAAAAAAAAAATTTACTTCTCAAAATATCCTTTAAAGTCTAAATATTTCTTGTGTTTTTTATGTTATTAAAAAGTGCCCTTGGGAAAAAAATATTATAAATTTTTAAGTATAGTATGCTTTAAAAATTGAAACATAGTTCTAATTGCCTTTGGAATATATTATGTGTAAATGATGATTCTATGTTCCTTGAGATCAATTCCTCCTTCCTTTTCCTCTTTTGCCAATTCTAATGACATGGACTATACAAAGGTGATGCTTATTAAATGCTAGCTAACTAAAGTGACTTCTACAGAAGGTGTTTGATTCATCTCAAATGGTTGTATGTTCATCGGAAGGGTTATTGCTGTTGAGATCAGATTATTACTTTTGAAAAATACAGTAAGTAAAATAATTTATTCATGCAGAAATTTTGCAGCATCTTGCCTAAAATGTTTAACAATGAATTTTGAAAATAAGATAGGACTCTGAAGACCTTTAAATTTTAAACATACATTACAGAAATATAAATACAGCTTACTATGGGAAAGATATACAAAAATGACTAACCCAGATTTTTGTTGTTGTCATTACTTGTTTAGCACAAAGATTTTATTATTAAACCAAAAATTAATGTATGCTAAATGATTAAAATGAATTCAGTGTAATAACTTTGCAGCCAATAGTTTTAAAAAATGATATAGATATTTTCCAATTACAAAATTATTCAAGCAAAATTATTCATATCTGTGTGAGGAAAGGATATCTAATATAAATTCCTTTCCATTAAAACTAAATGCTAGATTTTTGCTTTTCTATGCAGTCACGCAGTAAAGCTTTCAGTGAATTCTCTTCAGGAGAGTACATATTTAGCATTCCAAAATTATGGGCCAGATTCATCATGGCATACATTAAAGTGCATTAGAAATATGGTACTCATATAAATATATTTAGATTGTATTATTTTGAAATGTTAGCTGTAGCTTTAAAAAAATATTATATAGTTTTTGAGTACCTACTATGTAACATTCAGTGCCCTTAGGAAAAAATATTATGTTTTTAAATATAATATGCTTAAAAAATTAAAACAGTCTGGGTGTGGTGGCTCACATCTGTCATCCCAGCGCTTTGGGAGTCCGAGGTGGATGGATCACCTGAGGTCAGGAGTTCAAGTCCAGCCTGACCAATATGGTGAAACCCCATCTGTCTACTAAAAATACTAAAATTAGCTGGGTGTGGTGGCATGCACCTATAGTCCCAGATACTTGGGAGGCTGACAGGAGAATTGCTTGAACCTGGGAGGTGGAGGTGGCAGTGAGCTGAGACCATGCCACTGCATTCCAGTCTGGATGAAAGAGGGAGACTCCATCCCCCCCCCAAAAAAAAAGAAAGAAAAGAAAAAAATTAAAACATAGCTCTAATTGTCTTTGGAATGTATGATGTCTAAATGATGATTCTAGGTTCCTTGAGACCAAATTCCCCTTTCTTTCCTCCTTTTGCAAGTTTTAATGGTATGGGCTGTACAAAGCTGGTTCTCTTTAAATGCTGGCTTACTAAAGTGACTTTTACAGAAGGTATTTGACTCATCTCAAATGGCTGTATGTTCATCAGAAGGGTAACAGCCACTGAGATTAGGCTATCACTTTTGAAAAATATAGTCCATTATTCACACAGAAATTTTGTAGCATCTTGCCTAAATGGTTGACACTTTTCCAGAACTTGTTTAATTCATTTATCAGAAGTTAGCTTCCATTCTTTCCAGTGTATAAAGAGAAAACTTACACTTAGCCTAGCTAGGGAAGAAAAAGCTGCTTCAAATCTACATAGCTAGTGAATGACACACTCAGATTTTTATACTCCAAGTTTACTTTAGGCTCCTGGAATTCTGGTATAGTTGTCTCTTGGTCTAAAAGACAATTATCCTGACACATCTCTGTTTTTTTTTTTTAAAGAACAGTTAAATACTTTTTGAAAATTATCAATAATTACTAGGAAGAGGCAAGTGTTTTCTTTTCAAAGAGTAAAAGATAACTGAACACCTTGTTATTTTTAGAGCTCAAGTAGATTTTGTATATTAGGAAGGCGGAATGCATCTTCCTAACCATTACGATTGGTCACTTCCCCCTTAAATTGTATTTCTCATAGTCAATGGAGGTTATGGAAAGATAATTTGTCCTGATATAAAGTGCTTTCTCCAACAATTAGAGAAATATAAAATGGAATCAACTTCCCCCTGAGATTCCAATTTGCAGTCAGTGAGACACAGAGCATATTTACTGACAAGTCGTAGGGTTGGCATTTGCTAGGGCTATAAAGGGCATTTATTTGTACAGGAAAGGGATAATAATCTGGAATGACTTTGCAACTCCGGGTATCCATGTTTCCAATTTAGGGCGCTTTCAAAAATCATAACAGAGAAAGAAAGAAAGAAAGATACTTCCTCAAGCAAGAAATACAGCCCACTTGTATTGCATGGAAACTGGAGATATGCAAACTTGAAACAGCCCAAGATAAATATAACATTAATATTTCACTTAAAGCAGAAAATGAACAGATATTCATCAAAACTGATTTATTTAACATTGGGGTTGGGCAGGCTAGAGAACTGTCAAGGATGTTTGTGTCACTGTCATATGGCTGTGCTACTGAGCCTGTCTGGTAAACAGTAATCCCTGCCATTTGGCCAGCAACACGGAAACAATAGGGTGGTTGTCTGCCACCAGAGCTTCTTTGAGTGATGCTTATGACTACTGTGATATTTTAGTTCCCACTGTTATTGTAAGTTTAAATCTTCTTTTAAAAATCTGAATGATTCAATATCTAAGTAGCCCTAAATGGTGGTACTAGAGCTCAAACAAACAAACAAACAAACAAAATGCCTTCCAAGTCAAACTTTGGAAGACGTGTTAAAAGTGAGAAAGCACCATCAAAATGTTGAAACAACTGGACATTTAATTCAAGAGCAAATACACTGAGAAATATAAGTAACAGGGCTATAAAATAACAACATAGAATAAAGCAAAAGTGTACTGTAATGGTTGTAGAATTAAATATTTTAAGAATATTACCCATTCTTTATATTCATTCTTATAGGAAAATTATCCATAAGTAACACAAATTTTGATTTACACAAGGTGTTAAAGAACAGATCTTGGAACTGCACTGTATTAGACTAATATTTTTAGGACAACTAAAGGACTTCATGAAGCAATAAATGGTATAACTTAGGATCAGTTTCACAAACTATTTCAACCTTTTGTCCTCTATCATTTAGAAAACTCAGTAGAAGAGATAAGGAGAAAAGCCAAATTCAAGAACTATTTGGGGACCAAAAAATGACAATTCAGAAAAAAAAGTACTCTTTCTCATTTCTATTAACTTCTTAATCTGAAATCTCAACCATAAAGCAAAAGATAATGAATTCATGTTAGAAAATTGCTTCATTAAAAACATAGTCCTAGGTTATGAGTTCGGCAATACAGACACACACACACACACACACACACACACACACACACACACCCCCCACAGTCATTTGATGATATTTCTATATATATACACATATACGTATGTGCAGAAATACATACGAAATTTAATAACTCCATGCATTACTATTCCTAAAACCCTTTTTTACACAAAAATGCCGTCTCTCTCAAAAGAAAGAATTTCCATTTGAGCATTTATATCTTCCAGTTCCAATCTCAGCAAAACAATGATTTTTTAAAATCCTAAGTTCCTTGGATTTAGGCTGTATTTTATGTTTACAAATATTATCGCACACCTTTTTCCTTTTACCAGCAGGTGTGTTGGGTAGGTAAAACATACTTTTCATTTTATGAAAGAGGAAAATAAGCCTTGAGTAAAATCTAAAGTCCTTCCCCTATTCATGAAATCCTTCTTCCAGAACTCTTATCCCTGATGCATTAAAGATTCTGAAGCTCACTGAATACAGCACTCTCTGTGCTCAAAAGCAACCTTTTCAGAGAGGCCTTCTAGAACCACCTTATCTAAAATAACATTTCCATCATGTTGCCTGCTCAGTTACTGATTTCTTCCATTATCCTGACTTATTTCTTTTTAGTATTTTCACCATCCTTACATTATACATTTACTTGTATTTCTATTATCCCATCTTTCCCCTTGCAACATACCTTCCTTGTCTAAACACACACACACACACACACACACACACACACCCCACACAAACATACACACAAGCTCCATAGAATAAGAACTTTTTAAATTTAAGATAGAGAGTGGAGAATAGAGTCTAGTACTCATTAGACCCTCAGTTAATGATTCAATGATCTGTCTTTCTTAAGGTAATAAGGTTAGAGTAGCTAGAGCTTTAAACTCAGTTTCTTGACCCCAAGGTTCAAGGTTTCCTCTACTACACAGCATAGAGCTGTCGTGCCCTCAAGGGATTGGACTGGCAAGAGTATGAAAATATGTGGTGCAGTTATAAAAGTATATGAAATCTTTTCTTATTGACTTAATTATAATTTATATGTCTCTAATATGTACTTTGTGGCTGACTAATTAGGGATACAATCTTTTGTCTTCAATCAAAACAGAAATTTCACAATTTTATGAGCACAAACACCTGGCTTATCTACCATAATCCATCTTCCTCACAGACAACATCCTAACCGGTGAAGGATTTTCACTTAATCACAATGCAAGGTATATATTTTTTTAGATTCATGTTTGAAATCAGTAGCAGCTGTCCACTTCAATATTTTAGGGAGGATTCCACTTAAATGTTTCTCTATTTTAAAATTAAAAACTCAAATATCTGTCAAGATAGTTTCAGGATGCAGAAGACTTCTTTCTAACCTCTGTTTTGTTGTAAAATATGTTGTGTTGGTAAAACATTCGAAATTTAAATGATGAATTTTCACTGCCAGAATAAGTTACAGCTTTTATTTAGTCAGCTTGCTATTCCAAAACCTTGTGTGCTTGCTCAGTGCGTAAACTACTCGCAGACTCTCCACTGTGGCCTAACAATATTTTTGGTGAGTCCTATATGAATATTCTAGCAAATAAAAAAGGCTTTCTTTCAGTCAAAAGAATGGCTTTAACTCTATTTGTGTTTCAATTTTTAGTCCTATGAGAGGCAGAAGTAGTTTTATACTTTCCAGTTGACTTTGAGCTAATGGATTATTTCCCTGTGAACACTACAAATAAATTTTCTTATAAGAGGCATTTTTCCTAGTAAGTCATAAATTAATGGATCAGACATTTAGAGAATTTCCAGTCAACTGGGCACACTTAAACATTTTAGTTAACAAATACATAGGTAAAATAATAATCACATACAGAAAAAAGAAATGCAAAAGATGCACAATTTCCCCTCTTTACTACAGAAGAGTACATTAATTTACTCCATACGGAATGGATATTTTCATCAACATATACCCTACCCTCTCTGTGTACCTTAATAACAACAATCATGACAAATAGGTAAAATTTATCATGTTTATTAAGCCTTCGCCATGTATTATGAACTGCACTAAGTACTTCATACAACAGTTCGGGGGAGGTGAGTATTGTCATACTAATATGGAAGATTGCTGATTGCCTTAGGTGTGTTCTCTCCTCCCTCCAGGGCACACAGCCATTCACATTTTCTTCTCCCTTTTGCAGCCCTATGTGGCCATGATGCTAAGTTCCCAAAAGCGTGAGCAGACCTTATACACATAACTTCTCAGGCATCTTCTAAAAATATTTACTCCAGACTCACTGTTCCTTTCTGTCTCAGTGTCAAAAAATGGAAATGATTGGAGTGACCTGAGGTATCATATTGAGAATGGCAGAGCTCCCTCCAGCTTAGTTCCTGAATGACTTCATGGAGCTGAGCACACCTGTCAGACACAAACTGTTATGTAAAAGGGAAATTTATATTTCATGTGAACTCCTGTATTTTAGGATTTGCTCATTACAGCAGTTTAGCTTTTAGCTTAGTGAATACACTTGATAATACACCTGAAGGTGAGAAAAGCACTGTTACTTGCTCAAGATTATACAGAGTATCCTACACATAGTACATCTTCAGTTAAAAAAAAAATCCACAAAACTTTGAGTAATTGACCAAGGACAGATCAAAAGTAGACCTGGCTGAATGTAATATGGATTTTAACATTCAAATCTTTAAAATCAATCCCATACTGTGTCTTTCTAAGTACTCTAGGACAGCAAATAGCCAAATAAACTAGATCATCTTGATCTATACATTACCGCATTAAAGAAAGCCAGGAACTCCTAAAACCATCAAAATAATTAATATTTGGGATAACATAAATTTTATTCCTATATCTGTCCTACAATGTGTCTACCTCCATTATAATTCTCTTAGCTCCTTAGCCTCAGCAGTTAGAACTGAAACTGATAGACAGGTTATCCTTGATAAATGTGTTTTCTTTTAAAAAGAATGTTAATATCTCTAGATAGCTAAGGTTCAGTATATAAATTTTAAAAACCAAAGAAGGCTAACTTTGAATAGAAAAGTAGGGTTATAATAGCTTTAATTTGATTATAATTATCTAACTTTTTTCCAGAATTTTTTAAAGTTATGACTTAATAACCATCATCTTGGCTTTTATAGAAATTAATTCCTTAATTTTAAGTTATTTTAATTTCAATTTTTTTCTAAATGAATGACTGTGAAAGATAAAATGTTAAATGACTTTAAAAATGTATAATATTATGAACATTGACTTGCTTAAACTCTTGTAAGATTTATATTCATAGTAAAAATAAAATCTAAATTCTATTGACTTTTAGATGTATTATCTAGCCAGGACAATATTATACTACTTATCAAAACTAGCTTTATTCTTTGGTATTAAAATTAGCATTGAGTTTTATTTAATATCTGCATTTTTATGACAGATAACTAGTTATGCAAGTAGGTAATTAAAGAAGTAGACACCATGATTCTCAAAGATTTAACTCTAGACCATTATTTATTTATTTTTTGTTTTTTAAAGGACAAACTTAAAGTCTCTTGTGCTTAAAAATAAAATAAAATAAAATAAAATAAAATCACACTCCAGATAGGGCCTTTCAGGGAAGGATCTCAGTTCACAAAGTAAAGGCTCTTCTAATTTAGACCTTCTAAATGGAGGCTGGAACCTTCTGGACTGGTCGTGGAGGAAGTCCATTTTACATCTCCCCAAAAAATGGTCATCAGTTGTTAAACTGTAGGAAGTATCCACTGAATTCTTATAATTGTTGCCTTGGCATCCATTTTAAAGTTAAGTTCAACAGTCATACCAGAAGCAGGGCTTAGTCACCTATGTATAGTTTCTGAGACTCTGCCTCCTCTCAGTTCCTCAGTGTGGTCATTCTGGATATCCACATTATAAACTGCCCCCTGGTGACAACCTTACCTATGGGACAGCTATATATAACCTACTTGACTTGCTCCACTGACCCCCTCAACCCTCATGGACTACACTGATCATGCCATTTTGACGACCTCTCAGTCACCCTGTGACCCCATAGAGCTGGAGCCTGCTTGCTCTAAACCTACCAGTTGGAACTCCCCAAGGGAAATCTGGTTATGTAATGCCCCAGACTTCAATAAAGGCTTAGCCCCTTGGATTTCTCCCTCTCTATCTTGCTCTCCATCCACGGGATCTTGTTGAACATGCATGTTCTAGTTGGGCCCCCCTTTCTCGTTGGCCCTGCAAGGTGTGCTCTGCTCACGTCTCTGGGATGCTTCTGTTATTGCATGTGTTTTGTTGTGTTGTCTCCTCTGTGTCTCACCTGAGTGGCCAAACCTAACTTCTTCTTATATCAGGGTTCTCCTAGAGAGTGGCTATCGTGGTAGATATAAGCTGGGCACAGGTCAGAAAAGAGCCATAACGGTACATGCAAGTACAGATGTTCCGAAAATTATGATAAGGTTATATCCCAATAAAACCATCATAAGTTGAAAATATTATAAGTCAAAATTGCATTTAATACACCTAACCTACTGAACAGCATAGCTTAACTTAGCCTCCTTTAAACATGTTATGAACACTTACGTTAGCCTACAGTTGGGCAAAATTATCTGAAACAAATCTATTTTATAATAAGGTGTTTCATATCTCATCTAATTAACTGGATACTATCCTGAAAGTAAAAAACACAGAATGATTGTTTGGTTATTTGAAGTACAGTTTCTACTGAATGAATATTGCTTTTGCACCATCAGTAAGTCAGGGGCCATCTGTATAAACAAGTTTCTTTTGAGAGGAAACCTGGTCATGGGTCAGACACTTAGGCGTTAGGCCACCCACCAGGATAAAGAAATATTCCAGCTGGGCATGGTGGCTCACGCCTGTAATCCCAGCACTTTGGGAGGCTGACGCAGGCAGATCACCTGAGGTCAGGAGTTTGAGACCAGATTGACCAACATGGAGAAACCCCGTCTCTACTAAAAATACAAAATTAGCCCAATGTGGTGGTGCATGCCTGTAATCCCAGCTACTCAGGAGGCTGAGGCAGGAGAATCGCTTGAACCTGGGAGGTGGAGGTTGCGGTGAGCCGAGATCGCACCACTGCACTCCAGCCTGGGCAACAAGAGTGGAACTCCGTCAAAAGAAAAAAAAAAAAGAAGTATCCCATGTCCCATGAAGGACATACTGTAAACATTCATGACCAAATCTCCTGCAGTCCCATCAGAGCAGAGTTAAAGTTTACATCCACTCTCCATAGAAAAATATCAAGACCAAATTAGAAAGCAAATAATTCAATAAGGTGATTTTGCATTTTTATTTGCTGGAAAACATTGGTAATAAAATATCAACAATTGTTACTTAAAATTGCAAAATACTAGATACTTAACAAATATTTATTTGCCAATAAGAAAATTGACATTTCTCATCTGACCACTTACTCTAGGAAACATTTCACTTTAAAAATTCTGACAGTAAATTTTTACTGGGGCTTTACATTCTGAATAGTAAGACTACTCATAAAGATATGTATGTATTTCTTAAGCTTCTGAAGGCTAGTGTACAAGGGGAAATGATATGATATGATACACAACTAGTTTGACATTTATAAGAATAAAAAGTTTATTATGGCTAACTAAACAAATTGTTAATGAGTGAGAAGTAACATTAATATGAACGCCCAAGTGAACTGTACTTAAGAATGTTCTCATGCATAGAACGGTGGGTTTACATCTATCAGAATGTGAAAAGAGAGAAAAACTTACATTCAGCTTTTGGTAAGACTCATATTTGGTAGAAATAGAATACTTTAAAAAACATATATTGTCTGTGATGATTAAATCAAGGCTTTGTTAATACAGACAGAAGACAATTCAGGGCCAGCACCTCTTGGTTAATATTTTTTTTGGAGTAATGTGATGCTTCAATTATCATTACAGAGATTTCATCTAAAATCTAGGCCAAACCACATCCATTTCTCAGGAAACTGTTTCTGGCCACATTTCTATGATTTGGCTTCAGGAATTTCTCAAAGGTTACAAGAGCCTTCAGGGACATTTGCTTTGTACATTTCTCTTTCTATAACACTCAGAAGCATTTCAAAGATGTTGATTTCTATCTCCAAATCCCCATAGTAAGCTGAAATATAAAATATTGATTATGCTCAAATCTCCTCTTTATATACCTGATAATGAACTGTTCTGATTATCTAACCAAACCATCATTGATATTCTAAATACTAATCATAATGTTAGATCACACAAGATTTTCGACTTAGATTTAAATGTTACAGATCTAAACTATTATTTTCCTGGGCTACCTTTTGTTGAGAAAATGTATTTATTCTAATAAAAATGGAAAAGTAATGGGCTCAATCCAATATGATTTGTTTTCACTAAACCTTGTTAAAAAATTTTACCCAGGAGTTTGAGGCTGCAGGGAGCCATGATTGCACCACTGTACCCCAGCCTGGGCAATGGAGTACAATGAAGTATTCCACCGGAGTAAGGAGCAAGACCCTGTCTCTCTCTCTCTTTTTTTTTTTTTTTTTTCTTTTTCCGAGAGTCTTGCTCTTGTTGCCCAGGCTGGAGTGCAATGATGTGAACTAGGCTCACTGCAACCTCCGCCTCCCAGGCTCAAGTGATTCTCTTGCCTCAGCCTCCCAAGTAGCTAGGATTGCAGGCACATGCCACCATGCCTGGCTAATTTTTGAATTTTTGGAGAGATGGAGTTTCAGCACGTTGGCCAGGCTGGTCTCGAACTCCTGACCTCAGGTGATCCGCCTGCCTCGGTCTCCCAAATTGCTGGGATTACAGGTGTGATCCACCATGTCTGGCCCGTCTCTTAAAAAAAAAAAAAAAAAAAAAAAAAAAAGTAAATCAATGAAATAATTTAATTATTATTTTCTTAAGTAGAAGTCAAATTCTCTTTCTCCAACCTTGTATGGCTACAGCATAAATATGTCTACCCTTTTATGTTCTGTTTACATGAGTTACTATTTTCATTGTAATTTTTAAGTTAGCAAAACAAAACGTGCATTTAATAGATGTTCTTTTCTTTTTGTGGCCTTTAGATTGACCATGTCTTAGAAGGACAAGAATACGCACACACACAGACACACACACACACACCTTAAAATGGTGTTGAGAAAGATAGCTGGATTTCGATCTCAGACCTCTGGGTTCTGATGCTAATCTTTCCCCCAAGGCAAACTCCTGGTTTAACCCCTCAGCCTTACTGCTGCTCAGTGCCTCACTGTTAGAAGTGTTGATGGTGTATTCTCACAGAGCGGGGATTCTGTCTGTGGAAATCACTAGGTATGCAATACATGGGAATATTCTACATGCAATACTGGACCTGATTATAGAAGATCTTTGATTAACAGGAATCCCATCTTCTGAAAACCTCAATTAAATTTTAATTATGTCTGAGTTTCTCTTTAACATTAGGCAAAATGCAAAAAATAAAAAAATAAATAACATTGTAACTGGTGTATTTGTTTAAAAGAAAAGTCCAGACCATCTTCTTCAATGTTTACCCACCAAGAAGTTAGTCAACATAGGGAATCGTGATCACAAGGAACTACCAGGCTTTTACCAAAGATGTTTCATTTATATCTAGAAAAGCTTACTTCCTAAGATATGACAGGAACTATTATAATAAAGAAAATTTCATTTAAAGGATGTGGGAAAGCTTTTGTAAAATCAAAAAGTAATTATAAACTCCTTTCTTTTGAAGCAAACTTTATACTGGTAAAAATTCTTTTTGATGGCTCTCATGTATTCACTCAACAAATATTTACTGAGCTCAAAACTATGTGTCATCACTAGAAATGAGGAGATAAGCTAAAGAAGACCTGGCATGTTCCCTGACATTATGACATTTACAAAACTGTGGGAAAGGTAGACATTAATCAAATAATCTGGTAGATAATGTAGGTTAAAAATTGAGCAAGGTTATCTTTAAAAAAAAAAAAGTCTTTAAATTGCAGGCATGGGTCTGAAGCTGAAAACTGTAACCATGATGAAGGCAAAGGAAAGAGCAGAGAGCTCGGTAGACAGAGGAAGGAGCCTGTCCTCAGACAGGCCCAAAAGTGAGTGTGTGTGGGAGTTTGTGCTAATGTTCAGTAGGTGGAAGCTCAGGGATTTCCACTGTATTCTTAAGGTGAAGTCAGAGATTTGGTGAGTAAAAATGGTTAATAAATTATATATATATTTATATAATCATTCTTAACGATTTCTTAGTGATTAAAATTGTTTTGAATATAGGCTACTTTATTTCTCACAGCAAATATTAGTGACAATTTCAAGTGAAGAAATTTCACTTTGGGTGTTTTCCCCAAGCAAAAATGTGTTGCTACAGAGAACTCACATAAAACTTAAAGCAGAGGCTAAAAAATTGATCTTGTTGTTTTTAAAGTGTTTGGATTTTTTCCCATGATATTTTAGTGTCCTCAGAGAGCTATCACTTCCAACGTGAGTGGTGATAGAATAAAAGAGGGAGAGAGAGGCCGGGCATGGTGGCTCACGCCTGTAATCCCAACACTTTGGGACGCCGAGGTGGGCGGATCACCTGAGGTCAGAAGTTCAAGACCAGCCTGGCCAACATGGTGAAACCCTGTCACTACTAAAAATTCAAAAAATTAGCCAGGTGTGGTGGCGGGCGCCTGTAATCCCAGCTACTTGGGAGGCTGAGGCAGGAGATTTGCTTGAACCTGGGAGGCGGAGGCTGCAGTGAGCTGAGATCGTGCCATTGCACTCCAGCCTGGACAACAAGAGTGAAACTCCTTCTCAAAAAAATAAAAATAAAATAGGAGAGAGAAAGAGGATGTGGGGAGAGAGAGACATTTCCATTGCAAACAAGACTCTGAGAACTTGAGAAAATCGCTTTAACTCTCCCTGTCATGAAGTGATGGGCTTTTCATAAGTTTACTATTTAAAAGTGTCTTTGTCTGCTGTGAGAGAAAACCAAAGAGGAAACGGTGCTGTCAAGACTATTTCTTTTACATTAGCTAAAAGGATTCATTCAAAATATTTAAATAAGCCAGTCAGCCAAATAAAACTTAACTAATAGTTACTGGTTTTCAGTGGATACCTATCAATCAGGATGTGCCCAGATTCACAGCTCCTCAATGTTAAATATCATGGCCATGATAGAAAAAAGTGGAAAAATATTCCACCATGTGTGGGGCTTAAGTCAATGATATATATATATATATATATATATATATATATATATATATATGAAATGCAATATTTATTGAATTTAGTTTTTAAGCAAAGCTTGCCTACTTCTAACCTGAAGTGTTTTCAAAGAACAAATAATATTGATTTCTGAATTCTCAGTTGAAGTATGCCATGTCAAGATAGCATTTTAGGTATGACAGGCAACTCTTCAGTGGAAGAATTCAATTATATTTCACTCTTATTGACTTGAGATGTGAAAATCAAGAGAAACCTACTAGAACTCGAATTTAGATATATTCTCCACATGCTGGAAAATCTTGAAAGCCAATGGCAAATTTGGCTACAGATTTCTATATATATATGCGTATATATGTAGACCTGTACTCAATGTGTTGGCTGTAAGGAAAACAGAAATTCAGACTGAGTAGGAAAAAAAGCGTTCTTTCTTGCCAGTAGCCTCATCTATAGGGCATCCTAAGGAAAGAAATAGGATCAGCAGTGGAATATGCTTGGCCTTTTTACACTGGATGATCGTGTTGACTCAAAAGCTCCTTTGAGGACCAGACAGTAGCCTTACATTTCCTCTGGTATGAAAGCCCGACAATAGGGGAAGAATAAGTAAAATATAAGTGTATAATAGTTGTGTTATGCTGAAACAGAATGTATTTTCTCTTTGATTTTCAGAGAGAGGATACCCACTTGAACCATACAGCTGCCATTTTGGGCTGCAACAACGAGGCCAGTGTAGAAGGAGAATAAAGAAACTGGTGCATTTGGAGTCAGACAAAAAGTTCATTCATGGCTCTTTCAGTCTGGAAGATTCTGAAACTTTGGTAACATAGTAATTCCTAAATAAGAATAAGGCAAGTGGATTTTAATAAAGGGCAATACCAGTGATTTCAAAGAAAGAGAAATACTGCAAGGTGCTGCATCATGAAAAGCAGTCCCATGAAGAAAAAGATTCTGTCAGAGCATCCTTATCAAAACCAGTCGTAATTGCCATTTCCTTGTAAAACAAAAGGCCCTGACTAAAGCCACTTAAAACAGATGGATTTCAACAGAGCTCGCTTAACTCTCCCTGTCATGAAGTCATGGGGGGAAAGGATAATATTTTTTAAAATCATCCCTGTTTTTTTTTTCCTTTATATTCATTCTCCATTGTGATTTTTAGCCCAGTCATTAAACAAAACTCAAATCCTGGGTTTGGTTCCAGAAAGGATCTCAAGGCTATTCCCTTTCTGATCTCTGACTGACTGCCTCAACTGTGACGGCGATGGTAAACGGGTCGGGAGAGGACTTGAAAGGGTAAATTCACCTCTGTTTCATGTTTTCAAAAGCTTTTTGCTCTCCTTGTTGATAGAGCTTATAAACTGCCAAACACACAAAAAAAAGTGGAAGTATCTGTAACTCCTTACAATAACACACCTTCAAGAGGGCTGTTTTGAGGCTCCCTTCTTTTTCTTTTAATTTTTTCCCTTTCTTTTTGCTATTGTCGCCCAGCTGCTTTTATAAGAAAAAAGCAGGTCAGTGTGCTGGTTGCCAGGCTTCCCTCCTCTGTCCCTTCATCTGATTCCCTTGGTGATGGTGACTTTTCTCCTTACTTTTTTTGGTCGGTGATAGAAGAAGGAGGGGTACTTAAAGTGCTAAAACTTAAGCGAACAATTCATGCTCAGCATCTCTCTCCTCCACCCTGTCACTAGGCTTGCTCTAGGCATACAATCAACCTTAATAGAAAAATACATATATCAGTGAAAAAAAATAAGCATCATTTCTGTGCTGAAAACAAGTCAGGGTTGGGGATATTATCAGAATTTTGCCTTAAGAATGGCAGTTTCAGGTTCTTGGGTCTGACCCTTTATAAAACCCTTTCACATTTAAACCCTGTGCTACACATAAAATTTTAATGAAAAGGCTTTCAGAAATCTCAAATTATCAATATCAGCAACAATCATGGAAACTTTTTATCCACATTTTCAAGTATATACAATCAATATATAAATTACAGTGTGAGGTTTCCAGTTTGTTCCTTCCTACCTTTCTTCCTCCCTCTTTTCCTTCCTTTCCTTCCTTCTTTCTTCCTTTCTTTTTTCTCCCTGTTAATTTTTAGACACTAGGATCCATAGTGTAAAAAACTAAGAAAATTGGAGAAATTTTCATCTTTACTTGGAAGTAATTTTTTTTATTTCTAATGATTAAATAGAGTATTGATCCTGCCAGTTGCATAATTTAGATTTGCTTTCAGATTGAGATATATATATATAAAACAATCATATATAGTTATATATGTAATTGATTCTATTCTCCTTCTATTGCCTTTCTACTTACTATTTATATTGTGTCAAATCACATATTCAATCCAAGTAAGAAAATTAACATTTAGTGAAATAAATTAAGAAAATTAATAATATCTTTATTTGTTAGATATTTAATTTTAACCTATGCTTTCCAAGTCTGGATTCTATTAAGGACAAATTAATCTAAGTCCAGGAATAGTGATTTAATTACAGTTAAATTTGTACTAATTTTACCAATCTTAATACAGTTTTAACAAATATATACTGAGTAGTTATACGTGTACAGCATCATGCTAGGTTATATAGGCATTCAATTGCCTATATACATGATCCACTAAATTCTTTTTCTTGCTTAAACCAGTTTGGATTGGGTTTCTGTTATCTGACTATTAAGTAGGAAAACAGGGCAACAGCATACATTACTCTAAATCAGAGGTCCACAAAGTGTGGCTCATAGATTACAGCAGCAGTAGCATCACCTAGGAACTTGCTAGAAATGCAAATTTTCAGGCCCCATCCCAGATCCACTGAACCAGAAACTTTTGGACAGTGGCCGAACAATCTGTTTTAACATGACCTCTTGTTTTGCACACTCAAGTCTGAGAACCATGTTCTGACTCATTTGTATCTAGAAAAATGAATATAAAGCTAGACTAGATTCTTCTTTTCCATTGATGTTTCAGTCGCATTATGTAAACATCTTCAGTTGAAAATCTAGATAAGATTCAGAACAGACATCAGATTTGAATAGCCAATGAAAGGAGAGCCTGAATGTGGCAGGAAGAAGGGAAACGTTGCCAATACATCAGTTTCCCGGACATTTACAAAGTAAAATGGAATAATTCATTTATGAAGGTGCATCTTGAAGATCAGATCGTATCTATATCTTGGCCTGGAAGTATTTTACTTGTCTCTTCAGTTAGAGAAACTGCTGACATTCAGAAAAGCAATTGTGAGCTAAGAAAGAGTCAGACTCGGGGAGATCTTTTAAAAGTGAATAGAATCAATAGGAGAAGCCAAGGGTTCAAATATTGGAAACATAAAATATGTCACCATGAGGCCATGTGTGGGTGGCTTAATGGAGGTAAAGCCAAGAATCAGGACTGAATCAATGAAAAATTGCTTTTAAAAAAGGTCCACGTTTGGCAGGTTCTTTTGCCCTCTGCAAGCTGCTATTTGCAGTCTGAGAGAGCTTTTATCTTATCTGTGAGCAATACCACTTGAGCAACTGACATCTGTTTCCATCCAGCCAGAGAACCTCTTGTCATCAATGAACTAATGACATAGACAGATCCAAATGACTGTCAGATCTGCCAGGAATCAGTATTTTTCAGGCTTCAGTGATCTCCTCTGTCCTGGAGAACAATTCCTGTATATTATGAGGACTCTGACATCTTCTCTGACCACCAGTTTATTTTCTTCTCTTAATACAGAATCAACTGCATTAAGGTCATGGTAGAAACCAAAGCTAAAACAGTTATTTTAAAACATCATGATGTAAGTGCTGTAAACCTTCTTAGAATTTAAACATGCTCAGGGCATGAAAGAGAAATGATTATAACATTAAACACTATTCCAAATGAGATTAGTACATTTTAATATGATCTAGGGACCCAGGACATATAAATATTTTAAATTGAGTCTTGAGTTTTTGAAATGATAATGCAAAGTCATTAAGAACTTGGGTTTTCTGTTAGAGTCATGCTGCTTGAGATCACATCTCAAATCCTTACTTTCTAGTTATGACAGGTAACCTCTCAAACCCCAGTTTCTTTGTCTACAAAATCCTAATAATGAAAGTAATTGCCAAGAGTCACAATGAATCAGTGAATTAACATAAACAAGCACCTTACATGTGGTCCAACACTTCATAAGAAATAATAAATTATTAACAATAAAAATGTGTATGGTTATTTATGCTGTTTCATCCTTTAGACAAACTGCACCAAGATAAAAACCAAGAGGTCACAAGTTACAAATAATTTCAAAATTCCCCTTCCTTTTTCTTTAACGTAAATTATTACATACTTAAAAATAGAAAAGAACAGGTTGAGAGGACTCTAAATAATCATCCAGAGCAGTTTTATACATTTTAGTGGCTGCCCAGAAAAGCAGAAGGACACTTTGTTAGTGTCAGGCAAAAATGAATTACATGTTCTCCCTGCTACCATCATAGCCGAGTAAGGTCCATTACTGTCTTACGATTCATGGATTCTTTTCGAAATTTAGCACATGCTAATTGAACACCCACTATGTGCTGTCACTGCACAGGCTCTAAAACTAAACCAATGATTGTCACTTGTAATTGTCTTCAGCTAAAGTCGCAATAAGATCATTTGTCTGATAGAAGAGATTAAGTATCAACTATATTTCTGTATAAATTTTTCATTGCAGTGTCAAGTATTTTAAATGTGATCTCTGACTCCCCAAAGCACAATTTAAGGGCACTTAAAGTATCTTATAGCTTTTAGTGAACTTAACTTTCCTCCACTATACTGTACCTGAATCAAGTATAATGTCTGTGTTTTTTATATTCCCTGAAACTAGCTCAAAGCCTGTGCACAGTGGGTGCTCAATAAAACTTCTATTCCATTGAAATCTGCCTGTGAAAGCTATAAGCAAAGAATATATATATATATATAAAACTCAATGCCTAAGAACATGTTATGTTGCCTTTCTTAAGTGAGCAACTTAGTGGCCTACTTATCAACTATTCCTTCTTCTGCTGTTGCAATGGAGTCTGGATAGAGAGAACATTTAGGAAATGATCTAGAGTTCACTAAGACTCGGTTTAATTGTTGGGTCTATCTAGGTCAAGCTTGTCTGCAAGCCATGGCTCTGTAGGCCACATGCGGCCCAGGACAGCTCTTGAATGCAGCCCAACACATATTCATAAACTTTCTTAAAACATTGTAAGTTTTTTTTTGTTTGTTTTTTAGCTCATCAGCTGTCATTAGTGTTGGTGTATTTTAAGTGTGGCCCAAGATAATTCTTCCTCCAATGTGGCCCAGGGTAGCCAAAAGATTGGGCAGCCCTCATCTATGTAATTACCATTAAATTACTTTCTATGCTATAATTTCACTATGCAGAGACTTGAAATTACCCCATCAACTCTTATGAAAAAGAAAGAGAGAGAGAGACAGAGAGAGAAAGAGAGAGACAGAGCCAAAGAGAGACAGAAAGGCAGAAATTATGGCTATGCAAAAAAAAAAATTATTTGAAAGAATTTTTAAAAGAAAAAACAGTGCAACCTGATGCAGGATATTATTATTTTGTTTTATAAAGAAAGAATCTAGTAATGAGCTAGATGTTTGCACCATGTCTTATCACGTGACACAAAATCATACAAGCAGGTCATTTGGCCTGAAACACCTTCTTGCTTTTCATTAATATCGACTCTTGTTTTTTTGTTTTCTTTTTTTTGACTCTGAAATACATTGCATGTTTAAGTGTTTCTTACATAATTACAAACCCTGGACAAACAACAGTTTCATCCCGAATCAGTCATCAGTTAACTCTATAAGCAATCTTTTAACACCTGGCACATGAGTGGGTTTTAGGTGATGCTCGGCTGAGAGAAAGATATGGAAGTCTTCCTAATAAAGGGAAAACCTGGAGAGAAGATAGAGGATTTGAAGGAAAGGAGAAGGAAACCTTAGTTATTGTCACTTGTATCTAATGGACAATTGACATTGTATTTGAAAGTATCTAGGAATTATACCTGGGTAGACAACTGGAATAGGCTACTGCTTGGGGTTTTTTTCATCCTTCTTCACTGCTTTAGCTGTGTAATCAATTTTGTAGAAGATCTCATTATCACTATCATCATTACCAACAGAAAGCAACTTTTGAGGGGCTTTTAGTGCTAAAATTTATCTTCCTATAAAATTATTTTTGTAAGACACTCAGGGAACTTAAAAACAGTTTATTAAATAATTATGCTTTCAACTGGTCACTCATAGCACTTTTTAGAGCAAATATATGTAAGAACAATTACACTGGACTGGTCCTGGAAGAAGCAATTAAAAGAAAAGGAACTGATATGCCATACTAAGTCATTTCACTGGTCATAGGAGAAAATACATACATAATATTGACAAAGTAACACAACTTTACATATATTTAGTAGGGCTCCCAATTAAAATACAGGAAGCCCAGTTAAATTTGGATTTCTGATAAACAACTCAGGGTATTTTAGTATAACTATGTCTCATATAAGTATAATTATCACTTACACAAAAAATATCGTTTATTTGAAATTCAAATTTAGCTGGGTGTTCTTTGTTTTATTATTTTTTAGTTTTGCTGAATCTGCCAGCCCTAATACTAAGTCATTTAATCTTCATATAATTCAATGAGGTGAATAATATTATCTTCCAGTTCTTTATAAGTTATTTGAGACATAGAGAATGAATATTTATTCTAAAGTCATACAGTTAGTGTGTGGTAAAGTTAGACAGTTTGGTTCTAAAGCCTTGTATTAACTGCTATGCATACTGTCTCCTTAGGTTACAGAAACGTTGTTTTACCTATGACAATAGTTAGACATTTTCACAAGTGTAAATGAGAATGACTTGAGAAAAGCCATATTCAATCAATGTTTCTCTTTAGTAGCACATAAAGTTTCTTTTTAGCAGACGGTGAGTTATGGTCAGACCCAACTTGAAAGACAAAAATAATTAGGCAAGGACAGTCCTAATTTTCCAGGTCTCAAGCAGTAAAGGCAAAAATCCATAAGTCTGTTTAATCTACATTGCAGATTTGGAAACTTTTTCAAATTCTTGACCGATAAATGTTGATTGTCAGTGAAGCAACATTAATATTAATTACTCTTTGATTCCACGTTGAAAAGAGAATAATTACACTATTCTCCTATATTCAATTTTTCCATTTTATTCTTCCTCTAGAGTGGGTGGAATTTGAAGTTTGTCACACAAAAGCAAAGAAATCAAGTGACTATTATAACCTTACTGACACTGCCTTCCACTTGCTCTCCTGCTTAATGTTTTAATTGTAATGTAGACCCCACCAGCATAAACCTACTAGGAGTATTTTTTTCAAGGACCTGGAACAGAGTAGGTGTCTGGTAAAAGGGTATTGTAAGAATAAATCACCACTACACTTAATGCTTTGCCCAAGCTTCCCAGAACAGTACTGCTAGTCTCTATTTTTCCTGTTTTTCTTTGAATGCATAAAAATAAACAAGAGTAAAGAGTATATGAACCATTTAGATAAATTAAAATTGTGTTGCCATGTGTATGTGTACATTTTTGGTTTTTGAAAGGTTTTAGAATCCGGATTACAGGAAAATCTTGCAATCTCAGCATTTCAGATTCTGCAGTATCAAGACTGACAGTGAATTATAGACAGAAACATACGAATACATTTTCATATGTTTCAAGTGACCATTCAAAACTGTACCTAGTCATGGGGTGGACACCAAGTATGGGAGGGCTTTTTATTTCTGTTTTGTTTTGTTTTGTTGCTCTTTATATTATTTTATTTAGTTTTTAGGCAGAAGCTCATTGCTTTTTTCCAGGACAAGACTAATTAATGCTTCCTTCACCACCTATGACACCGATGAAGATAGCTGTATCTTTTGTTAAAAATACCAACATAATTCTTTTCTGGTCTTCTTACAAGGAATATAACAAGGCAGGTTTTGTTATTTAGCTTAGTTTTTGTCTAAGTTTCTTCCATGTAAAGACATGATGTATAAAAAAAACATTGTTTCTGAACTTCTTACTGGCAAACAGAAAAATACAGGCATTTTACAAAAAAAAAAATCACCAATTCTAGTCACAACCAGGGAGGAAATTTAGTAACTCTTCATTACTTGCCATCATTATAGATTTATTATATCAAGCCATCTATATCTGCTGATAGATAACTATTTTTCACCTATACAAATGGAATTCCATCAGATTCAATTTAGTAATTAAGCAAACAAACATTATTGAAGACCTACATTCTAGACCTCCTATTGATTACTGTCTATACCAAAATGAATGAATGGTGTGTTTTTACTTATCAAAGTAAAAAGAATGAAAATATGCTATGCTATACACTAATACTAGTTCTAGAAAACAGAATTTCCAGGTAATTGAAATGGATTCTTACAAGGACCAAACTTAAAAATGTGTACCTATTTTGCTGTAAATATTTCTAAAATATACTACAGAGCTTTTCCAGGCTTCTTAGAGTATGTTGTTGAATAACAGTTAATCCAATCTTGATGACTCAGGGCTATGATTTAACTCTTCTCATAGTTGTATGTAATTTATATAATACGCCTCCTACATGTTTTCCTCTGTGGTCTTTATGATAAACTCAGAGGCTCAGATGAGGTCTACTAAAACAGTCATCTGCCCCTCTTCTAAAACAGACACTTGTGAAAGTTCTCTTGTTGGCCTCTGATATTTGACTCTGCCGGCTCAGTCATGACCTCTCACTATTTACTCCCCTAGATGTCTCCACGCTCCCTCTTCCAGTGGCTTCTGCTTGGCCTGCTTTGACTTAGAGATGAAACATCCAAGTGTGTTCGTTTGGATATAAGCTGGAATTAAATGGATCTTGAGTGACAACCTATGGGGTTCTCTCATAACGGGTTAAGTATATCTTATAATACCCGTTGTAGTTGTCCAGAAAAATTTGTGATAAATTCCTGATACGGTAACTGGTTATGAGATCTTTGGACAAGTTGTGTTACTAAAAAGCATATCACTACATTGCTATTCATAGAATATCACCAAAATGTCACAATATAATAGAAGTCAGATATGTCTATATATGTTTAAATGTATACTTAAAATAGATATAAGAAAGCCAAAGTTTGTCTAGATAGCTTCCCCTGCAATGGAGCAGTCATCAACCTTTGAAGGTTTTTACATAAACCCACCCATTTCAAATAAAGATATAAACATGCATATGAAAATATATACACATATATAGTACACACAAATATTTCAATATATGACAGATATGTGATTTGAGTATACACAATTTGGAAACTTCCTAATTTTCTTCACCATAGGACTTTATCATCTGAATTAAATTAGAACTAGGGTAAAAATCTAATGTGACTCTGCCCCTGGAAATGTTAAGTACATCTAGAAGCCCTGGTTGAGCTACTGCTGAAGCTAGAACAAGACTCACGACTCAGTTTTATAAGAAAAACTCAATTGTTTATAGGGTAAGAGAATATATTTCTAAACTTAAGTACTGTTTACCTTTTATTCACAACCACATATAAAGATCTTCTATTTAATAATAAATAACAATTCTAACTGCATTTTGTTTTTAGTGTGCACAATTCTTAGTCTTAGATGTTTATCTAAAGAACAAAATGTCTTAGATCTTAACGTAGTATAATGTTTTACATTCTGTGAAAGGGCCTCAGCCTGCATGATGATTATTAGTGTCCGACACTTTTTACCTGAAACATGTTTGGCAACATTGACCGTGAAGCCTGGCCTGTGGCCTGGCCTTGTGTGCAGCTGGCTGCAAGTGTCTTACCTAAGTACTGTGATAGAGACCATTAAAGATACAAAGACTTAAAGAAACTTTCCGACTCTGGTTTTGTGATTAGTCTAAGCAAGTGTGTTTGTGCTTTCTAAATATAGAAAATGGTTTCAAGAAAGTCTGTTCCATTTTTAGTTAGCTGACGTGTATATTTCTTCAAAACCTAATAGATATTTGATGTGAAAGATATGGTCTTTGCCCTTGAGGCACTCACTTTCTCTTGAAGAAAGGAAAAAGATTAAGAAGAGAGAACAGCAGAAAGTAGCAAACAGAGATATCAATAAACATTTTGGGATATTGAAACTAACTTATTTTAGATTATTATATGTTACACATATACATATATATCTTTAGGATTCACCTTGAACAACCTTAGAAATGAGATAATTCTTATTCTATCCTTCAGATATTCCTGAATAATCAAACTGACTTGGATTCAAGTATAGAATCTGACTTTCTCAATACTTGAATTTTTCTGTAAATTTTCTATTTACATTCTATTTTACATTGCAAATGAACCCTGAAAAAATACCACTATTAATCATACCAACCTTTATCATTATTCAGCAACACATACTGTTTGGGAAAAAAACTTCTCTACATAAAGGATCTTGGTAGTGAGAGATAAAATACTACTGTCATTTTTTAACAGCTGGTGTTAGTGTGTAGCACTGACAGCTTGCTGAATATAAACAAGAAAAATGATCTACTGTACAAACCACATACTGTTTATGTGGTTGTATATAGTGGTGACAACAAGCAGTAATTTCAAAACTACTGCATAAGATCTCATGCAATTTTCTGTGAAAAATAATGATATACAGCAAGGACATCATTTAAACTATCACTGAATAAAAGGGAGTTATTGTGAACGATTAAGGTGAAATCTCATAAAGCATTGTCATTCTAATAATAGCAATCTGATTACTTGGATTTGTAATTACTTAAGAGGAAACCAAAGTCATTGTCATAATACTCCAGGATTATTGATTTTTCTAGCAGAAAGCACTATTTTATAAGTAATACAGTGGTGGCTGCTGGTATAGGTAATGCCTATAACTGTTTTCTAAATAAGGTTCATTCATTAATAAAGTTATGGGTTAGATTATTTCTCTTCTCTGGAGGATGAGAAGATGTGGAATAGAGAATTAGGTTTTTACCAAAAGGTCAATATCACCAAAGTGCATTTATTGCAGAGAGGTGACAGAACAGGAGGGAACTGTTCTTTTCACCTACCACTGATTCTATCTCTGATCCCTGGGTAATAGTCTTGTCAATTGCTTACTTGAATATGTATTCATTCTTCATTTATTTATTATACCAATAAATGGTTATTGAATATTTCTCATGGGGACTATTCTAGCTGCTAAGGATAGAACAGTGAATAAGTCAATGTACCTATTCTCATGAGAAAATAAACAAGCAGAACAGCCAATAAATTCAGATAACGCAAAGTGCAATCGAAAAATAAAACAAAGAATAACATAGAGATTAAGAGGGTAGGGAAGGGAAAAGTATTAGATAAGATTATCAGAAAATGATCTGCCTTAGGAGATCATCTGAATTGATGCCCAAAAGATGGGTGGTGTCAGCTACAGGTAGCTGTGAAGAGGAACATTCCAGGCCTAGAGAATAGCAAATACAATGTCAATAAGACCAAAATTAACATAATAAGTTTGAGGAATAAAGAAAGTTCAGTACGCTTGGGGCACAGGAAATAAAGGGGAGAAAAGTCAGGAGAGGCAGACAGAGGCTAAATGGATCAGGTAGTACCTTACAGGTATCAAGATGTTTGGATTTTTTTTTTTTTCTGAGTAAAGTGGGAGGCTATTAGTAAATTTTAAGCAAAGAAAGAACATAATAAGATTTATATTTTTAAAATAATAATTTAGTTAAGCATTTCTACTTAGACGTGCCAGAAAAAAATAAAAAGAAACATGGGGCAAGAAGGTAGTGAATGTATCTGCATTGGATAGATGTAGCTATAGAATGCCGCTCTGTACCTGGGAGAGTTACTCTACAAATAATTAACACGTTAGGCAGATGGTAGCAAACCTACTTCTCAAACCAAGTCATTTCCTAGTGCAAAAAGGACTTGATATTTACTATATTATCACGTTAATATTTCCTCATATAGTTCTGACTCTTTAATTTAACCTCCAAACCTGAAAGCCGTATGTCTATTTCCAGGGAGCTCCTGACATATTGAGCTTTTTCAGATAACGTATTAACATAACTTGGTCAATATCTCCTTTTCAAATTATATTACTACAGGCTAAATAGCACCAATATGAATGTTTACGGCTTCATAAAATCGACTGTGTCATGTACAATGGAAGCTATGGTTGCCTGCATATTGTAATATTATTGCGTTACAGGAAGGTAATTGATTTGTTTAAAATGTTTCAACAATAAACCATTTCTCAGAAAAGATTGCTGCTTAACCAAGAGCACACCAAAGTCAATACTGAAAGACAATTCAAAGAAATTAAATTTTGATCTGTTTTGCAAAACAAACTCATCATGTTACATAAGGATGGATTAGACAATGTAAATGATTCAGTATGGTCAAACAATTATGAACCATTTCTGTTCTGACAGATTAGGGTTTGTAATTAAAATCAAAGCCAAAGAGAATAAAAACTGTTGAATATACAGATGTCAAAATTTTTTGTAGGGGCATCCCACAAGTGTGTGGGGTGGAGGCATTATAGATCTTACATTGACATTCCACTATACTTCATTATATTTCTTCTGTTGAAAATTGGAATTATAAGTGCTAGCCCCTGATTAGAGTGTAACAAACTAGAAAAGTCACTGTTTGTGCTGCCTATTTTATCCTGAGACTTTTACCAGTACAGTATATTGACTAACAGATGAATCAGCTTGGGAAGAATAAATTCATAATGTTTGAAATACCTGTATTATTTCCTGTGTGAACACATAAGTATCTGTAGAGAGCTCAACTAATTGTATTGTTGGCATCTGAACATCCATTAAACAGATAATCACATCAATATCATTGGTTTTACATTTAAATAAGAACATCTGTTCAGAAATGAAAAACAGTTTGAAAAGTTCAAGACGTAGGTATGAGTAGGATTCATTTTCTGGTGTTTTTTGGGCTCTTTCCTGCCTATCTAGTATTACATTGTATGAACTTAAATAAATTCTGTTGCTCTTAAGCACAATCAGGCCATATTCATCAATGATTTATTACTGAACAAACATGTCCTCAGTCTAGAAAATATCAAGAACTATCTACACGTTTGAAAGACATCTTTTCTTTATTATCTCTGAGTTAGAAGTTAGAAGAGTGATTATAACGACTCACTCAAAGTCATTTTTATTTTTTTTTTCAGCATGGACAGAATTGGTATTTCAGGAAGTATCAGAACATATATAAACAGTATTGTCATCCTCCGGTACAAGGATGGGTTGTTCATATGCAAAAATGAGTGTGCTGCTTTACTGTCATTAATTTTCAGAATAGCTATTTGGGATTAAAAGAGAGACTCACAGTGTACAGTCAAAAAACATTATAGGCTGGGTGCAGTGGCTCACACCTGTAATCCCAGCACTTTGGGAGGTCAAGGCAGGCAGATCACCTGAGGTCAGGAGGTTGAGAACAGCCTGGCCAAAATAGTGAAACCCCGTCTCTACTAAAAATACAAAAATTAGCCGGGTATGGTGGTGCATGCCGGTAATCCCAGCTACTTGGGAGGCTGAGGCAGGAGAATCGCTTGAACTCCGGAGGCAGAGGTTGCAGTGAGCTGAGATTGGGCCACTGCACTCCAACCTAGGCAACAGAACAAGACTCCATCTCAAAAAGAAAATAAAAAAGCAAGAACATTATAAAGGTGTGGTATATCCAAAGATAGGTCATATTACGTTCACCTCAATGCCTGAACCAATTGAGCTTCCTCTCCTCCATCAGAGTCAAAGCTTGACTTATCCTCGGTCCTTTGTCTAAGACGGTAAATGTAGATTAACAAAAATTAAAATAAGAATCCAAAGCTTAATAACTGGCTAACACTTTCAATGAAAACAAAATCCAAAATAATAATTCTGTAATATGATTCTACTTTTGGAAGGTGTTGATAATTCATTAGCGTATGAAATGAATTCATTAGTTCAATAATTAATTAGTGCGTGAAAGACAACAAATTTTTATAGAGAGAAAGCAAGCATCAGCCTTCTCCGTGTTCTTTTATAATTATATGTAGTAATATTCCAACTGCTCACATCTTTTCATGAGAACTAAATGTGGAAAGGAAGCAATCTCCATTTGGCACACAGGTGCATTTAGGTAAGTATACATTTATACATGTACTTGGTAAGCCAATTACGGATAAATGCTATTTACAAGTTTCCTAAACTGAATCAACTGAGCCCCATAGATAAGTTTACTCTCACCTGAAATTCTAAATTTTAAACAACCTAATATCGGAATCTCCTACTAAAATGAGGACACCATTAACTTATACTGTCACAAATGGCTACCGCTAAATGACTGTCTTAACACTTGAAATCTCTCCTGCTCAATATGGGGTCCATGTGGGCCATCGTCCCTGTTTCTTTTTGTTACAATGCACAGGTCTAAGGGTTTCAGTGCCTAATCACCTGCATTCCTTCATCATCAACTTACTCCATGGTTGTTAATGGCATCCCTATCTTCACTTACCATTTGCCAAGTAAACAGATTTGATGTTTATTTCCTACCCAGATTTATGATCTAAGAGCTTCAAATGTATGTAAATATTTTTCTTCCTAAATTTTCTCATTTAACACATTATACCTGAAGGTTATAGAAACAAACAATGTTTCAAGAGTGGTTAATGATTCTCTCTCTCTCTCATACACACACGAGAGAGAAGGAAAAAGAGAAAGAGAGTGTGAGAGAGAGAGAGGGGAGAAGGTTCTAAAACATTTTCTAAATCAGAGGACATAGGGTTAAAAGGAAATTGCAGAGGTAGTCCATCAAGAGGATATCCTCTGAATGCATGGGCCATATTTGTTCTTTAAATATTCGTGGGTAATGGATGCAGTGAGAGAGTGTTCAGATGAGGACTGACAGCCAACCAGAGGCTACGAAATGAAAATAAAATTGTGCTCATTTATGAGGGGCATTAGCTACATTGAAAATTATTTTAAAGCATATGGAAGTTTTTTGTAGGTTCCCATTTCCATTGGAAGATTCATATCGTTCCCTTGCGTATCCAAATATCAAAACATTACCAAGCCTTTTGACAGATCATTTTTACTCTTTTAAAGGCCTTTTAAGAAACTAACCCCATGATAGAAGCATTTGGAAGTTTTTCCGTGGTACTTAAATCTCTCTTGTCGTGAGTGTATTAATTCCAAACTCTAAGACAACCTACATCATCACTCCTGAGGTCTAAATAAGCCACTGTCTTTCCAGCTCAACACACACAGAACAGGGAAACAAATTTGTATATATATAAAAGTTGCAGTCAAGGTCTCATTTGTACTTGCTGCCTATTTCGTACCAGAATTATATGCCCTGAGATAGGGAGCTTTTTACTGGTAGTTGGCAGTTGCCCAGAGGCTGCAAACTAAAAACAGAAGAGGAAATGTTGTACTGCATTTTAATTCCCTTCAGACTTCAAATAGGGCATTTTCCTTTTGGTCCTAAACTCAGTACACTTCAGGGCATGGGGCTGAGAAAGAAAATCTATGACCTCAGGGAGAGAATGTACTTTCAAATGTGTCTGTTTCCCCCCACTACTTCCTTTTTGTCTCCTGGTGGTTTGGTATATCTTTTTTGAACACCAACACTTTCTTTTTGTTTCTAAAATTGGTTTCTAGCGTTATGACTTCCTTTTTAAGGCCTGGGTTGTTTTTAACTTTTACACAGCCATCAATTCCTGTGGAGGCTCTCTCACATGGCTGTGCACTTCCCAATCACTTTTGTGAGTCCATCTTCTAACAATTATCTGACTGCTCTATTTTCTCATGCATCACTCTCCTTAGCGTCTGCTGGTAACACTTTAAATACTCAGGCTTGACTGAGCAGACCTCTCTGTGACCTGCAGTCCTTCCTCAAATGGGTTCATGTTTTCTAATACACATCTTCTGGAAGCAATCTATTTTCCCAGTAGCTGCGGAATACTTCCCTTTCAACTTTTTATGCACGTAAAGTCTAGCAAAACTTATTATCTATAAACTCTGCAGTATGGTATTAGTTCATGGCTAAAATAAAAGGTAGCACAGAGGAAATAATAGGATAATACTTAGACTATTACTGTTGTGTAAACATGTTAGAGCTCAGGGAGAGAAGATTCAAGATTTCTCCTATGAGCTTTTTCTACCCAAGAGAACTGCCATTTCTAGTATTCTCGAAATTGAAGCAATGGTATAAAAAAAAAAAAGAAGTAAATTGGACTGAGATGTAGCCTTAAGACTTTTTCAATGCTTTAGTGAAAAACTAAAGCAAGTTAACAGAAATGAAAATGAAATGAAGGATCTTTCCTGGCAAATAAACCACTCCTCAGGCAAAAGTTTGGTACTTTTATACAAGAAAGCAACTTTCCATTAGGGGCAATTTAAGAAATCACCATCTTGAAATTCTTCATGATGGTCCCATGGCCTATGAAGGTTAATGACCCTTCAAAAGCATCTATTTTAGCACGTCATCAAATCACATTTGGATGATATTTAAGAAACCCCCTTTACCTGTAAAACCATTTAAGCAGTTCTGAAATATGCTTCTATATCTGCAATTATTATTTACTTTATCAACATTGACAACTGCATAGCCTAAGTTTATATCTCTTACTTATAGAAAATCTACCCACTTGTCATAACCTCACAATAACACAACACATACAAAAATAGAATGCTCAATGTACATGCAAGATTGTTTAAAATTCAGTGTAATCAGACTTCTTTATAAACAGTAAATGTTGAAAACAGAATTTGTCTTATTGTCCTATATTTGATCCAAAAGCGCAACACTTTAAAATGTTTATTTAAACCATTATTCCATAAATAAGAAAGACTATTTCATAAACAACTAGTTTAATTAATTTTAGCATTTCATCATTCATTGTATAACCTGAGCATTGACTTACATTTTCCCACATTTTTATCTAATGGTTAGAATTTTAGATGTAAAATTTGGTAGTTTATGTTTTTCTGAAATTAATTCAGTAGCTTTTCCATTAATAGTAGTTTTTAACTTGTTGTTATTAAATTGACCCTCCTTTCTCTCTAGAGAACATTATAAGCTTGCATGATGAAATTATTTTAAAATGTTTTGTGAATGCTATACCCATCCTAATATAGAATCAATTATTAGGGAAGCAGAAGTAATGAGACACAGATGTTAAACAGCCATATGGCAGAAGTGAAGACAATGGAGGTTATCAATAAAATAATACATTGTTTGCTAGAAATTCATGAGAGGGTCAAGTTTCACATTCAATAATGCCCTAGCACAGCTTTTCTAAATAAATTGCAAAGAAAGCTGACTAGAAGCTCCTCTAGAACTAGAGAAGCTTATTTTGAGACTCATATTAAACAGAGACTTCTTTGACCAACACTATAACAAAATTGATTGTTGATTTAAGAGATAAATTGAAGGAAACATAATATCAATTTTTTTCTTGTGTCATAGAAGAGGAAAGAATGTGAGTAAATTATGAGTCTGATATTTAATTAGAATCAATGAAAATGCACAATTAAAATATCTGTGCCAGAGACCAGGAAATTAAACTGTCAGGAGGACACACATTTTTGAAATAGAAAATCTTCTCACCAATTCTCCCCATACCTATCCTCTTGCAATAATCAATAATTGAGGAAATGATAAATGAGAAAAGAATAGGAAAAAGGAAAAAAAAAATCCCTGCTTTTCAAAGGAAACTAGTAAATGATTGTTCCAAGAGTAAGAATTACAAATTGAAATAACTAAGAGCACATGCCTCTTTGTTTAAAACATTTCTTTATCAAATAACTATTAAAGATTAACTTCTTTGAGTACAGCATGGATTCTTTTGGATGTAATTTGACTTATCAAAATGCTGGAAGTACATATTAGTGAAATGTAATAAAGGAAAATATATGCATTAAGAAAAACTACATATAAAAATTCTGGATAAATCTCAATGGTTTATATGAATTTAAAATAAATAACAAAACAGCAGGGTGTGGAATCATTTATTTGAAGCTATGCAAGTAATTTATTTTTAATACTCAATATCATGAGTAAAGAAAATGAAATAGATTTTATTGGCTTTTGATCCTCTCCATGTGGACAGATACGAATCAAGACTTTAAAAAGGAAAAATGGTACTGACTGTTTAATCATTGTTTTATAATGCAAAGAACATTAGTCTAAAGAAAATTAACCTGAATATCAATTTCACATAAAACTGTGTAACTTTAGGTAAATCACTTCATCTATTTGAATTTCTATTTCCTCAATTGTAAAGTATAAATATGTATTGCCATTCTGTGTATTTCACCGGCTTTCAGTGAATTTAAAATCAGATTGTATAGTCACAAGTATTTTCAGAATTATCACATTATGTGAATGTATGATGCTAATTTACTGTTGCTATGAAAAAGAATCAAGCTAAGAGAGAAGAGGTTTTCTGATATATGGAAATATTCCAGGACCTCATTTATCTAGAGTGGGGAGCGGGATTGTGCTAATAGATAAGACAGGCTTCATTCTATAAATATATACCTTTTCAGACTCCATAACAATCCTCTTGTGGAATTCCACCCATAACACTGTGTCTCATCCACATGAGGGATCCGCTCCCAACCACAAAAACCTGTAGGATAAAAGTTTTCTCCGAACATTGTATCCTGGGTCCTGAAATCTACTCTTAGTGTTTTATTTTTCTCTCTTGGTCTTTTGTTAAATTTTAATGAGTTATTGCAAAATGTAAATTTGTTTCTATGTCTACCAGACACACATCTGTGCATATATGCGTACATTCATAGGATCCTGATGTCTTTGTGCAAAAAGTCCACACAACCGCCATTTGCTTGATATTCTGAGCAAGATTTTTGCAGGCTCCAGTCTTTCAGAGAATTCCAAAGATGTTTAGTATCAAACAGCACAAAGAGGAGAAAATGTATGATATAATAATTTGATATGTCAATCTATCTTTATTATTACTATGTGAGCTTTAGTTCAAAATCTTCCCTCTCTCGCTTCTATAGTAAATGACAAGAATACGATGGTAAAGTGCAAAGCTTTAACTGCTCTTTCCTGGAATCACCACTAAAAAGCCTTTTTAGCTTTTTTAATTCTACCAAATCATCACTCATTATTCTAGCAATCTATTACAACTGAGTTATAGATCATTCAGACTTTGAAAATATGGTTCATTTTAAACCCTGAATACAGATGGGCCAGTGATTAATCCACATCTACTCACAAAGAGTGTATTTCATCCCTTAGTCTCATAGGTTAGAGAAAAAGACACCCTGAAAAAAACTTCTTTTTTTTTTTTTTTTGAGACACAGTCTCGCTCTGTCACCCAGGCTGGAGTGCAGCAGCACAATGATCTTGGCTCACTTTAACCTCCACCTCCCGATTCAAGCAATTCTTGTGCTTTAGCCTCCCAAGTAGCTGGGATTATAAGCATGTGCTACCACACCTGGCTAATTTTTGTATTTTGAATACAGACAAGGTTTCCTCATGTTGGCCAGGCTGGTCTTGAACTCATAACCTCAGGTGATCCCCCGGCACTGGCCTCCCAAAATGCTGGGATTACAGGTGTGAGCCACTGTCCCTGGCCGAAAGAAACATTTTATGGGGACAATTGCTCTGGAAATAAGATTTCAGTGTGCACACATGTATATATTCAATAAGCTACATGCTCTTGGCACTCAAAGTTAAATTATAGAAATAATACACTTGAATAGTTATAAACCTGCAAAAATTTCATCAAATCAGCTGACAAATTATCAATGATTTATGTGGTACCAACATTCCTGAATTGAACACAAACTGTGCATGAATACAAGGAATTTGGTGTACAGAAATAGTGATGACCCAGGAAGTTATTATCATAGATTTAAGGATGTATATAGTACTACAGTGGTGCCGGCTGTTTTTCCAGCATTTAGAGAAACAGGCAACAGAGTTATGATTCAGCTCTTCCTCTGGTCATTTTAATGTGCTTTTAAAAACAGGCATTTTTCTAAGCAATTGATTACATGAGTCATATCATGTTCATGATCCCACCACTACTTTTGCTATTTCTTGGTTTCTCAATCAAATTCTATGAAAAATTTTATTGTTCCCATTTTGTAATTCCGTAGGTATTTCTAAGTTTTCCAAAGATGACAAGGAAGTTTGTGCTCCTATTTTCTAATTCTTCAGATATTTATGACTCTTTTTAAATCCAAGCCTATCAAAATATTTTCTATTTCCAGCTCATAATTCAAGGATGTACAACAGTTGATGGTTGCAGGATTAGACCAGGAGTTTGCACAACTTCCTTGAAAGATTCAGATAGCAAATATTTTAGGCTTTGAAGACCTAAATGTTCTCTGTTATAACTATTGAATGCTACCATGATAGTGTAAAAGTAGCCATAGATTATAGAAAAGTAAATAAGCAAGGTATTGTTCCAATAAAACTGTATTTGTGAATAATAAAATCTAAATTTTATATAATATCGTGTGTAACAAATCTTTTGACCTTTTTCAAGCACTTAAAAATGTAAGAGCATGGGACCTACAAAAGTAAGCCACAGGCCAAATTTAGTTTTCCACGTCCTAGGTTAGGCAAATGCGTTATTGAAATAGAAAGAGCCTTTCACCCAGACAATGTATGTTACTATAATCAAAAGCATCCTGGGAAAATAGGTGTTTCCAATAGCTCCTAACTTGAACTAAGCTGCTCAAGTCATGATAATGCCACTTAAATCTTGTTCTGTGCTTAATAGACCATCAATTACCATCAACAATTTATCACATATATTATTTCACTTAATTCCCTTTTCCTATAGATGGAGAATTTGAGATTGAAAATCATTAAGTAATATGCCTAAAGTCACACAATTAAAACCTACTTCACACCTTAAAGAACAAAGAAGCCAATGTGAAAATTTAACACATTAGGGAGTATGCAAGTCATTTTTGTTAAAAAACAAAAAAAAAAGCATAAAAACATCACACCCTCATATTGACCGACAGATACAATATTGGTGACTTTCAAATATTGTCATCATTAATAGATGCATTTATAAGTGCATTGGAGTGTGTGTTCTAATTTGAGTTTTAAAGAGTAATTCATATATGTTCAATATTTAGCCAATTTAAATTTTTGAATTTTGAAGAGCATAATTTTAATGACAGTTGAATTAGTGAAGAAAAGTGCTTCAAGACTCATAGAAAGCCAGAGACTTTCGTTTTTGAGATGCTCTTGACTTTTTTGAAGGGCAACGTGATTGTAAAATGGTGCTTGGCTTCTGATTTAATTAGTAGTAATTTGGAATTTCTAAACTGTATAACAAATGATTTAGTTAAGGTCTTTAAAAAATGAGACTAAACATTATTACAATAAATACCACATTGTTATGATGAACTTGTGCTATTTTAGGATCACTGAAATATAGTTACCTGGATTCCTTATACCTTTTCCAGATTTCCTGTGTTAACATCTCCTGTGCTCATAAACTGCCAGTACTACTCTTATGAAAGCAATATTAAAATGCCATGTCAATAGTGGTGAATCATGCTCTACATTTTTAGTTCGCACAAATAAATATTAAAGAAAACCCTGTTGACAAAATGAAAATATATGCAAGACATACTATATAGCTGCTAAAAAATATAACATCAAAAAAACAACAACAACATCCAAAATAGCACTTTCATATTCCAAAAGATATCATTCAAGTTAAAATCTTCCCTCCAAACAAGGAGCTTTTTTATAACAAAACATGAATAACAAGTCTACTTACTCCTTAATTATTAAAAGAAAGTCAATAGGTTATGGAGGAATTATTAAAATTCAAACAATGTCAATTTCTTCAACAAACATTTCCAATAGAGGTTCCAGGTGTTTTACTGTATTTGAATACAGGCATAATCAAGAAAGTGGACTCTGCCATCCAGAAATTCATCTTTTGTTGAGACAGACATGAGATCAGATTTATGTTTTAGTTTTAAACATGCTTTGGAAGAATAAGACAGATGAAATTATTCTGCCTGTAGCTGTCAAGTAAGATGACATTTGAGCTAAGTCTTAAAAACAGTAATTTGGAAAGCTCTGTTTAATCTAAACTCTTCATATTCATAGTTAACTACCACCAAATCCAATGTCCAGCGTGTTCATGAAGTGTTTGTCGTTTGGTGAAAATATCATGTCAAATTTCATCTCTTTTGTCCCCTTTTGCTATGAACATTCACACATACAGATTGAGCACAATCCTTATAGCTCAATTTTAATTCTCAGTCCCATGTATTCAATAATACACATGTTGTGAGTGTTAGAATTCAAACAAGATCAAGTTGTTATTCTTTGCAATCTATAAACTAGAGTTAACTTGGAGTACGTCTCTGGCTAAAATAAATAAATGTAAACAATATTTTTAAAAAATGTAATCTAATAGAATACATAAATAGATACTTAGAAATGGTCAAATGTAAGTTCATTCTATTCTCCATTATTATTTTTTAATGTGTTTTAAAGCATTTCAAAGAAGTTCTCATGTGAGGAAAGCTAGAAATCTGTAAATTGCTAAATATATATTACATAATATCTGCTGTAGGAGGAAAAGTCTCTGGAAATTTTCTAGAAGTTATGGCAGGCATCATGGCAAATTTCTAATAGCTTTGCTTTTTTGGCATTGAGTCAACCCTAAAAGATTATTCCTGCAATATTTCACTTCAAATTATGTAATGTTCTATTCTTTTTGCGATAAACAAATATGAAATGATGGTGAATAAATCAGACAGAAAGCATATGATTTATGACTAGGTGAACCTTACACCTTTGCAGATTTGAACAATTGCAAGCTTTGCAGATTGAACAAGTTACTTAACATCTCTCCATCAGTATCTTTATATGTATAATAAATATACTAATACCAGCTTTCTAACTTTATTTTTAAGATTAAATAAAGTAATTTAACTAAAAGAATTAGGGCAGATTTTTGGCACATTATAAGCTTTCTATGATTTTTAATGTCAACATTCCCATCCTATTAAAATTCACATTTGGAAAGAATATTAAAGATATCTATTCAAATATTTTATTATATTTAACATGAGATTGTATGGCTAAAAATATGCAGCTTTACTTCTTCTCATATAATGTTTAAGCAAATTAATACCATGACTTCCTGAAATATTATATTTATCTTTATAGTAATGGATATCTACCATACTTCTGATATAGAAGGTTGTATGCTTTGATTTTTCATCTGAACTTTTTCCTAAATAAAAAGACATTACAAAAATTAGAGCCTCCAAGTATTGCAGGATAATGTGGAATATAATACTGTTAATCATGTAAAGGTCTGGTATTAAAACAGAATTAGCAGCAGATTAGGAAGAGGTAGAACATTTTCAAACTCTGCTCTCTTTGTCTCATTTTTAAGGTAGGCAAGTGTGGATGACCTTTTTTTCTATTCCTTCCTACTAATAGAGTTAGAATAGTTCTGTTAAACTAGCTTTAATTTCTTTTAGTGCCTATTTGCAGTCCTATTGAAAATAAGAACTTACATAGAAAAGGTTAAAAGTTACATATGGTATTCAGGTATTAAAAAAGATTAAGGTAGTTTTTTATGTACTGATAGCAGAAGATTCCCAAACTATCTCATTAAGTGAAAAGAGTAAGGTATAGAACAACGTGACAGTTTGCTACTATTTGAGTAAAAACTAAATATATTTATTATCCATATACCCTAAATATACCCGTGAATGATAGAAATCCATTACTATGAAGATAAGCAAATATAAGAACTTGGTAAAATTGGTTGTCTCTTGGAGAGGAATCTGTGTAGTCAGGAAGAATTTGCAGATAATCTTAGTTTCACTGCATACCCTCTTGAACATTTAAATATTATACAAGGCCAATCATGGTGGCCCAGGCCTGTAGTCCCAGCACATTGGGAGGCCAAGGCTGGAGATCATTTGAGCCCAGAAGTTTGAGGCCAACCTAGCCAACATCCTGAAACCCTGTCTCTACAAAAAATACAAAAAAAAAAAATTATTCAGGCATGACAGTATGCACCTGTAGTCCCAGCTTCTCAAGAGGCTGAGGCAGGGGGATTGCTTCAGCCCGGGAGGCTGAAGTTGAGGTTGCAGTGAGCTGAGGTTGTGTCACTGCACTCCAGCCTGGGTAAGAAAGCGACCCTGTCTCAAAAAAAAAAAAAAAAAAAAGTTACACCATATAATTTTCTTTCCTTAAAAACAAACACAAGCTGGGTATGGTTGCACACATCTGTAGTCCTAGCTACTGAAAAGGCTGAAGCAGGAGGATTGCTTGAGCCCAGGGATTCAAGGTTACAGTGAACTACAATCACACCACCGCACTTCACCCTGGGTGAAAGAGCAAGATCCTGTCTCTAAAAGAAAAAAGAAAAAAAAAACAAATACACAGATAAACAAAAACTTATTGAACATGGAGCACAATAATTTTGAGTGTTTATCATGGGCAAGAAGTCATGGCCTTCCAGGAATACTGAGATGAGGAAGTCCATGGTGCAAGGTCTCATGGGACATAGGGTAATGAGGCAAAATACACTGATTCTCCTCACAGCTCTTTTCCTTTCTCCCATCCTCCCCAATCCCAACACCATGGAGATAAAGGAGATGAATTGGAAGAGTTCCTTGAGAGTTACTAAAATTTTGGAGTTGATAACATTTTTCTAAAAATCTCTACTGGAATCATGTTTGAACCAGAGCATTGTTAATTTTTTCGTGGTCTTACCCCACATTTCCATTGATTCTCTAGAAATATTATCAGTGCAGTTGTTGTCTTAGTTTAGGCTATTTCAAGATAATGGAAGATCTAGCAGGAAGATCCTGTTTAGGGTATTAAATAGGTCTAGTCATCATAATTTCAATTATGAAGGCTATAATTTAAATTATCACTTTAAATCAGTTTAAAGAAAGTCTTCTCTTAAGAAATTTACCACTCTTCTTCTTCTTCTTCTTCTTCTTCTTCTTCTTCTTCTTCTTCTTCTTCTTCTTCTTCTTCTTCTTCTTCTTCTTCTTCTTCTTCTCCTCCTCCTCCTCCTCCTCCTCCTCCTCCTTCTCCTCCTTCTCCTCCTTCTCCTCCTTCTCCTCCTCCTTCTTTTTTTAGAGGAGGTGTGTCTCACTATGTTGTGCAATCAGGTCTTGAACGCCTGGCCTCAAGTGATCCTCCCACCTTGGCCTCCCAAACTGTTAGGATTATAGGTGTGAGCCGCTGCATGCAGAGAGAAGTTTACCGCTCTTATAAACACAGACTTCTCCACACACTTTCACCTTCCTGTGGGATCCAGCACCACTCAGTTTTCTTATTTTTTTATTTCTTATTTTTTGGGACAGGGTCTCACGTTGTCACTGAGGCTGGAGTGCAGTGGGATGATCATAGCTCACTGCAGTTTTGACCTCCTGGGCTCAAGCAATCCTCCCACCTCAGCCTCCAGGGTAGCTGGGACTACAAATGTGCACCACCACTCCCAGCTAATTTTTGTATTTTTGGTAGAAGTGGTGTTTCACCATGTTTTCTAGGCTGGTCTCAAACTCCTGGGCTCAAGATATCCTTCTGGCTTGGCCTCCCAAAGTGCTGGGATTTTTAGTGTGAGCCAGCATACAGAGCCAAACCATATCATTCCCCGTTAAGTGTTTAAATTTATTATCTCCCTTAATTTGCACAACACTAATATGAGGTTTGTACTAGTATCCTCTTTCTACAAGTGAGGACACAAAGCATCAGAGAGATCAAATAACTTGTCCAGATTCACACAGCTAAGAAGAAGCATGTTTGCATTAAGAATCAAAAGCTATAATCCTACACATCAAAATGTATTGCCTTCTTCAACCACAGTGATTAGAAATTCTTCTAGTGGCAGTCTTCCTATAGCCCATCTCATATATTTACTCATGGTCAAATGAATCTTCTCTGTCTCATGACTAGGGCCTCTAGTTTCTAAGCACTTCCACACTGTTGTTTTCTATTATGTTTTATTAGGCTTGTCTACTTCCTTACACAGTTTGGCCCATGGTTTGCATGGTAGGCAAAATAATGGGCCTTCAAAGATGTCCATGTCTTAATGCCCAGAACCTGTGAATATGTTACCTTGGCAAAAGGAACCTTACAGATGAGAGTAAAGCTAAGAACCTTGAGATGAAAAGATAATTCTGGATTATCCACGTGGGCCCAGTTCAATCACATGAGTCCTTTCAAGCAAAGAAGCAGCCAGGCATGGAGGCTCATGAATGTAATCACAGCGCTTCAGGAGGCCAAAGTGGGAGAATTGCTTGAGCCCAGCAGTTTGAGACAAGCCTGGAAACATAGTGAGAGCCAATCTCTAAATAATAATAGTAATAATAAATAAAGTGAAGAACCTCTCCCAGTTGTGATCATAAAGAGACATGGCAACGGAAGAATTTTAGAGAGATGTGGCATTGATGACTTTGAAGACAAAAAGGCCATGAGAGAAGGAATGAGAGCAGCTTCCAAAAGCTAGAATAGGAAAGGAAACAGATTTCCCCCACATATTCCATAAAGAAACACAGCCCTGCTAGCACCTTGATTTTAGACTAGTGGAACACGTGTTGAACTTCTGACTTAGCAAAGAGTAAAATTACATATTTGTGTGATATAAGCCATTAAATTTCTGATAATTTGTACCAGTAGCAACAGAAAATGAATACAGTTTATCCGCATGGATCTTGGTGATGCTTCCCTTCACCTCCTCCTAGATCTACCACTCCAGCCCCCAAACCTAGGTAAGTTCTACTCCACACTGACCTTGACACAATTAAACCAGAATCTGCCAAGTTCACACTTCTTATTATGAACATGCTACTATCATCAAGTTTTTGATCACTTGCAGCTGAACCCACTCACGATAGACTCACTCAGTTAACCTCACCTTGGCAACCCTCTGCTGGGGGAGGCATGTAGGCACCATTTTACAGATGAGGTAACTCATGCTCAGATAGTTGGAATAATTTGCTCATGGTCAAAAAGCTAGTAAGCGGGCAAGCAGAATTGAAACCCTGGGTATCTAACTGCTGATCCTAAGCACAGTGCCTCCCCTTAGAAGTATTTTTTCCTCTTTTCTACTTACCTGCTCTAGCTACATCATGGGTCCCATCTTCTCGTCTCCTCTATTCATCTATTGTTCCACCAATTTCTTCCTCTTCTAAGGATCTTTTGTCGGCTACTCTTATTCAGTGTCTTCAAACCAAATTTATTCAGCCAACCTAAACACGTATTGAGTACCAACTTGTGTGAGGAATTACATATCATTTACCAGACATATCAATAATGAATGAGGAAGGAGAAAAGATTCCCTTTCTTAAGCTTGCATTTTACTTTTGAAAATGAGCATTGAGGCCTGCAGCACAAAATTTAACAGCCCTCTTTTAATCTTTATCCTCCTTAAATCATCTTCAGCATCTGACACTGCTGACATCCAGGCTAGTTAGAAACTGCCTGCTCCTTCAACATATCCAACACTGTTCTCTTCAGATTCTCTTACTTCTCCAATTATTCTGTTTCTTTCACTGGCTTGTTTCTTTCCTCCTAATACTTAAACAAAGCATTATTTCATATTGGGTTGTAGATCCTGCTTTCTTCTTTACTTAGTATTGCTCATTGATGTCCAAAGTTCCAGCATCCCTTTTCCTAATGGTTCCCAAATGGAAACCTTCAGTTTTAACATCTTTTGTTGTCTAAGCTGGAATTTCCAGTATTGTCGTAGGTAAACATTCATGGTTGTCCAACAAACAGCGTAAACCAAACGCATCTAAAACTGTACTCTACCTCTCAAACTGGTTCTTCTCTCAATGTTTTTAATTAGTAGTCTCATTTTCCAGCATGGGCCAAGATATCGCAGAGACATATAAATGCATTCCTCTCCCTACACATGCTTTCACCTCTAATGTCTGTCAGATCAATATCATCCTTACATCCTAATTTCCAATGCTTTGGTGCCAGTTCTCTGCTTCTATTTTTAAAAGCTCTTGCAGCAGCCTGATAATTGGCCTCCCAATTTGCGTTAATTCGTTCTTTCCACACTGCAAGCAGAGGTAGTCTTTTAAAAACAATTATCTGGACATGTTTTTTCCCAGTAAAAACTCTTTGACAGTCCTGTTGCCAACCCAGTGATGTCCTAATTCTTTAGCCTGACATGTAAACTCCTTTACAAGCTGGTCTAAGGTACTTCTCTAGCTGTAACTGTTAGCATTCCCACTTTCACCAGTCCACTTTTCACTCCAATCATCAAAAACTACTGAGCATTTTTCAAGGACAATAGACTCTTACGTCTCTGTGCTTTGGTTCATGTGTCCCGTGCAGCAGGCATGCTTTTTCTCATCTCCTACCTCACCTTCCATGTAGCTGTACTTTCATAATCTCCTCAATGATCCCTTCTTTTTAATATCTCCTTTTATTCCTTTGGTCTAATTAATCCTGAATCAATTATCTATTTAATTTATTATAGTAAGTGTGGATACAAAGATAAAAGGTGGGCCTTATTGTCTAGTAGAAAGAAAATAAATGGAATGTTGTATCTTCATATATATTTTTCAAAATCGGTATGTATGAGGAACTGTGAGCACAAAGAGGGGAGGACGACCTAGCTCTGTTGGGTGACAGTGGCAGAGACTTTGAGAAAGGAACAAGGAAGACTACAGAGAAGATGATATTTGCTGTATGTCTTGAATATACACAAAAGAGCAAGAGTTTCAAAGTTACCCAGGGGAGGCCTGTATCTAAAATCTAGCTGTGGCACTTATTAGCTATGTAGCTTTAGATAAAGTTATTTTACCTTTCCTAATGTCAATTTCCTCATCTATACAACAGATAGAATAAATAATATGCAACTTGAAGGGTATTATGAGATTTCAATGACATGTTCCTTTGAAAGCATCTCAATCAGTGCTCAAAAATGTTAGTTTGCTGTCATTATTGTTGTAGTCTTTGTCATCCTTATCATTTTGTCACTGTAACTGGAGGATGACTGTGAACTAAATAGGTAGATAAAATGAAGGGGGCTATGTTTCCAGAAGCATGTGCAAAGGCACTTAGGCATAGTGGTGAATTAGATGTGGATTACATAGGGTCATGCTTTGGAGCCATTTATCTGGCTTCGGAAATGCTTACTTGCTTGCTAGCTACCCAAAAGACATGCTGACCTTTGAGGTTTTTTGCCCTTTGTTCATTGTTACTGTTCTGCTGAGATAACAAAATTCAGTGAAAACTTTCAGCTCAGTATTTCCAATAAAGATCTTTGACCTTGGGTAGGATTTTTTTTGGTACATGACCCAAGACTTGCTCTGCTTGATTGTTAATCCATATTACTGTGCTGATTTAGCAAATCATTTTGTTTAGGCACCAGCAAAGAGCCTTTATTAGATGGGTGTATGTATAAATCCTGCTTAATGACAGTGCATATGGTATGGCTGAATAATAAGACATCCAGTATTTATGTGGTTGCTTGTGTCAACAAAGAGCTAACATTTTCTCATTGCATGTCCTAAGATCTTAGAATCTGCTACCCAGACTTTAAAACAATGCAACATAATCCCCTGAAGTATGAAATATCTGGTGTCTTTTTAAACGTTGCTGGTTAAAAAAAAAATGACAGCATACAGTTGGAAAGATATACAGTTATCTACTACAGCAGTAGACCAGATGTCATGATGAGTTTTTGAACCATGTACTTGAGAAAGATATAATGCCACACATTCAATGGAAAATTACGTTATATAAAATTAGCTGTTTCATTGAGAAGACATATAGTAATGTGGTTAAGAGCACAAATTTTGGAGTTAGACAACAAAGTTTCAATCTTAATTCTATGAATTGGAAGGTATAAGATCTGGGGCAGCAACTCTCAGTATCCACATCCCAAAAATGGAGATGATAAATGTAAACCTCATGACGTTATCGTGAGGAAAAAATAAGACATTGCACATAAGGCCTTTAGGATAGAAGCTGGCACAAAGTGAGCCCTCACTGTTAGCTAATTTTCAGATTGAGGCAACATATAGGGGAATAGAGTGTAATCATATTACCATGATACATTTAAGAGAAGGCAGTAATTACAATTATTAAAGTTTACTTTGGAAGAATTCCCAAGAAAATAATGTTTGTTCAGCCCCAAAAGACTGGTATTTTCTGATACCAGTCTCTCTTTTTAGTTACTTCCTCAGCCTTAGCAAGAGAATCTTTTGTCGGCCTTTCTCTTTTTTATATGTTTTTATTCCCTTGTTTTCTTTAATCTTAAAAACAGCCTTAGTAGCCAGTGTTTGCGAATTACAAAACAGAGAGGATATGTCATTATTTTTAAAGCAAAAACAAGTTTCTTTCCTGTAATATATAAAACTGCATTCAGGGCCAGGAGCGGTGGCTCACACCTGTTATCCCAGCACTTTGGGAGGCCGAGGCAGGTGGATCATGAGGTCAAGAGTTCGAGACCAGACTGGCCAACATGGTGAAACCCCATCTCTACTAAGAATACAAAAATTAGATGGGCGTGGTGGTGCATGCCCATAATCCCAGCTACTCAGGAGGCTGAGGCAGGAGAATTGCTTGAACCTAGGAGGCGGAGGTTGCAGTAAGCCAAGGTTGCGCCACTGCGCTCCAGACTGGGTGACAGAGCAAGACCCTGTCTCGGAAAAAGAAAAAGAAACACTGCGTTCAAATGTAGAAATTTAAGTTAGAACTTACACAAAACAATCCTCATACGTATATTTTGTCATTGACTACATGCATTTTATGTTTGGCTTCAATTGAAACTTCTCATTCATCCCTGACTCTCAAATTCATGACTAATTTATCTCCAAGTAGCGAGATTACAGGCAGTTTTAACTTATTAGTTTTGGCTTACCGATGTTTTACAACTTTTTTCAATAGCCATATGTTACCTTTATAAGAAGAAAAAGCACAAAGAAGGTGAATTTTATAAACCTGTCCTTTTTAAATTTCCTAAAATCCTATTTGGAAGTGAACTTTTCTCACTTCAGCTCCTGGAATAAGCTCTTTGTATAGATTTTTAAATTTTTCTCATTCTACAATACGTAGAACTATTGCCATTTGTAAACAGATTTTTAGCTCCTTCAGGAAAAAAAGTGTCCAATGCAAATTGATTTTTGAATGTCTCACAATAACTTATAGAGAGTGCTTCTCAAAAAGTACTATAACGTAAAGTAAAATGAACCTAGAATTAGAATTATTGGCTCTGCGTTATCCAAAGGCTTCAAATTACCCTTCAATATACATGTCTTTGGATATTCGTTCAACCTCTTCATCTCCCTAATTTTCTTAATAGACATCCCACCTCTCTCCTACTTTTTCTAGATTGCTTTCTAATTTTTTTCTAAGCCTCTTAATACTTAAAAAGAAGCAAATTTAATTTAAATAATTGCTTATACCAGTAAAATAAGAATGTACAATCTACCTTCCCCAATGTTTTCCTGTATTCATCCATTCCTTCAAATTCCAGAACAAGTCCTCATCTACTTTTCCCACTTAAAGTGCTTTGAAAGGATGATGTGTCATATGCCATATATTATTAATTTATCTTCTTGGAATGTAATTTTACCAAGAGAAAACATCATTTATTTACATATAATCTGAGTAGATACAATAAAAATTTACATCCTATCAGTATGAAACACAAATACTGAATAAGTACATTTTACTAAGAAGCATATTACAAGATATTTTTATATTATTTTAAAGCTTCTGTGCTAGAAATAGGAAATAAGTTATTATGGTCTGCAACCTTAGTAACTCTGTGCAAAGATTATATAAATATTACATAGATGTGTATTTCTTGTTAATAAGGGTGTAGTTGGACACTGTAGCTAATAATTGTGATAATTGAAATAAAATAATTGTGATAAATGAAATAAAAATAAATGTATATATAACACATATTAATAGAACTTTTTAGTTTGTTTGCTTTTTTTTAATGTATTTTACAATAGTCCAAGGTTATTCATTAAACATTTAAAAAAGAGCTTCTTCAAGCCCTCTATTTCTAAAACTTATCAGGGAACGTTGTTATTATGAACTAGATTTAGCTCTTGATTCACCATTATAGAAATTAATAAATGCCATCCAAGGTTACACCAAAACTCTCATTCAGTTAAATGAATTTTTTTATTGACCTCTTTATTAGGAGTTTTTATCAATAGCCCCCAATCAGCAAAATTAAAACTTACTGGTCGAACAATTTTGGCAAAATGACAAAGCAAAGAGTCTGTATTACCTTCCTTGGAATATATTCAAACCTAAACTGGACCATTCTTATAATTGGCTACATAGCATGCAAATGTGTGGAAAGGAGTGGCTTTTACATTAAAGCAACTCTTGCACCCCACATTGGCTCTCCAAATTTGGCCCTATGAAAAATACTAAAGTGAAAATGACAGTCCTGCGGAAGACACCAGTTATTTTATCTGTGGATTGATGGATCATAATGCTCTCATTTAATAAAAATAATAAACACCCCATTATTTTCCACAGCCAATTTGGTGTTCAGGAATATTCCTCAGTTTCTTTTTATTATGGAATTTGTGCATTGTAAATAGTTAACAACTACTTAAAATTAAGATGCCTCTACCCCCTAAATAGCCTATTATTTGACTGTTAGCACCAACTGGGGTTCCAGTGTATTTTGTAATAATTGTGAGAATAATCACAGTGTGATATTTAATACAAAATCTTTTTTAAATGCAAAGTCTTTCTTTTTTTATATGAATATCAGTAATTCATTAGAAACCTATTATGCCAGGATAGCTATGTTCCTATCATTTGTTTCTTTCAGAGAAATGCAGTATCATTGGTATCAAGGAAACTAATTAGACTCAAGGACAAAATTATTTTTTATTTCTCCAAATTGTACTTAAAAGCTATATTGGTGTCATGAGATTATTTCTAGTGAAAAATGTCAATTACTTCCTTCCCAAGCGTTTTAATTTTTGGAACTCAAAGGTCTAGTACTCCAGCACCACTGAGTGACACAATAATGAACTCTCATTGTGAGTATTAAAACAGAGCAATTTTGTATGAATCTACTATAGCTTGGTAATATGCTTAAAACAAATCATAGACTCCAAATTTCATTTTAAGTAATAGTAAAATTATAGTAGATATGACCATAAAGAGAATTAAAGGTTATCTATTTGGACTAATTACCAGCTACATGAGATTCTTCCACAGCTTACCTAGTATCTGGTGCATATCCTTGCTTTAGCACTGCTAGTGATAGGAGGCTCACAGCCTCATAACATAGCAAATGTATGATTATTATTTATAGAAGTTTCTAAATTCCCTTTGTATTAAAAAAATGTTCTTGAGAAAATTCAGGTAGTTAATTGGCTTGGCGGAAAAATGTATGGTGGGATTATGAAGAAAATGTGGTCTAGGATTCCTAATGTGTATTAAACCAATAAAAAAAATTCTACTGGGATTATTGGGGAGCATCACTATTTGGAAAAAAATAAGAAAGCTTCTGTTTCCATGGCACCATCTCTTAAAAGAACACTGATATGTTGGAACATATAAGAATACTTGGATAATAAGGGGATTCAAAAACTACGTTATATGAGAAACATTGAAAGAAGACCAGAGTAAGTTAAGTATGTAGAAGAAACAATATGGAGAGGTAGTGGGAGAAGGGGAAAGAGGAAAGGGATGATAACTTTCCTTGGAAAGTGTCAGGCTTTTCCTGTCTAGTGCTAGATTCTAGTGTCAATGAATGCACTTTATAGGATGAGGACACTTAATGTAGACTAATTCCCAAAGACAATGGCTGTCTACTTTCCAGTGGAGACTGCTGCCTATAACTGATAACATCCAAGCTCATGCAGAATAAGAGATAAGGAAGAGGGCGTTTTCTAAGATCAATTTCAATTTTAAGAAACATAATGTTGGTTTATAAGTGGTCAAGTTGCAAGCAAAGGGTTATGAATAAAACCTTGAGACTGGCTGCTTTTGTGAGAAATTAAGTATTAAAATATCAGTATCAAAGGCAAGAGGTGTGCAGAAGGAAAGGAAATAAAGAGAATAGTCTCCTGGGTATCTTCATGAACTCTCTTTTAAATATACAGGAATAGTTAGCCACATGTGCATACTGGACAAATTATCCCAAATTTTTTCTCGGTCAACAGGCAAACATCTGCATAAACAGGACAGTATAGTTGAGGAAACATTCATGCTGCTATTTTAACATTGCTTCACCATGTTGATTTTGGAGCAGGTTACTATGTTTACCTTTAAAAAACTATCTTTAAAAACAATTGTGTATATTACATATATAATATATAATTTTATATATAACATATAGATATATATCATATAGAATATATATTATATAGATCTATATTTTTATATATCTATATAATATATTATATATAAAATATATAATATATTATATATGTTTATATTATATATAAATATATAGAAATATATATTATAGATCTATATTAATAGATATAGGTATATAATATATCTATATTAATATAGTTATATAATATATCTATAATAATATAGTTATATAATATATCTATATTAATATAGTTATATAATATATCTATATTAATATAGTTATATATCTATATTAATAGATATAGATTATATATCTACATTAATAGACATAGATATAGATTATATATATCTATATTAATAGACAAGATATAGATTATATATCTATATTAATAGACATAGATATAGATTATATATCTATATGAATAGACATATAGATTATATATATCTATATTAATAGACAAGATATAGATTATATATCTATATGAATAGACATAGATATAGATTATATATATCTATATGAATAGACCTAGATATGGGTTATATATATCTATAGGAATAGACCTAGATATAGATTATATATATCTATAGGAATAGACCTAGATATAGATTATATATATCTATAGGAATAGACATAGATATAGATTATATATATCTATAGGAATAGACATAGATATAGATTATATGTATCTATAGGAATAGACATAGATATAGATTATATATCTATAGGAATAGATATACATTATATATCTATAGGAATAGATATAGATACATATATCTGCATATAACACTTCTGTAAAAAGTAAGAAACTGTTAACAATTGTTTTCTTGAAGAATGAAATGCAGGATTAGAGAGTACATTTTTACTATAACTTTATACCACTCATATATGAAAGGAAAGACATACTTGGATTAAGACAAATAATGTGGATAATAGCAGGAACACTGTAAATCAAAGAAATCTCAAAATACCTTACTTATGGATTTTACATTTTTTAATGATATGTTTCTATGACCTATAATCTTTCTAAGAAGCCAATATGTATAAATATTCTCACATATACCTACCTAGATTTAATTTAGTTCAAAAAATGACTGCCTTGAATAGTCTTTTGTTCCTTTAAAATTAGTGGTCTACATTAGTGCTAACAAATTGTGGTCCACAGACCTGCAGCACCTGCATCACTGTGCTTGTTAGGAATGCAAATTCTTGAGTCCCTCCCAAATTACTGAATCAGAATCTTTAGAGGTAAGACCAAAGACTCTGTGGTGTATCAAGTTCTTCAGGTGATGTTAATGCACAGAAGAGCTTCGTTCTTGGGAACTGCGTAACCTAATAGCACCATCTGTTGGTAGTGACTGTCCCAGAATGAAGACATAAAGTCCCAAAGGGGAAGATGCCCAGACGTTCAACTTCCACTAGCTGTGATGCACTCTATGAAGGACTGGAAATGGACAGAATGCCTGATGTAGAGATATACACATACAGATGCACACATTTTCTCTGCTAAAGGAAATATATGTAAACAAATAAACAAACACCACTACAAATTTCTTCTTAAGTACAAACAAGGAGCTGGTGAGGCACAGAAACTGTAGCAATCAGATTGATCAGAGGAAGTCATGAAATGCTCAGAAGGAGTGGTGACATTGAAACCAAGTACTGTCAAATTACTTAGCCACAATTATATGTGTAACTAAGTAAATAAAAATAAAACAATTTTTAAAATCTAACCAATATTTACTGAGCTCTTACTATGTACCAAGCACTGTTTCTGAGGTCCTGTCTCTGAGACTAAAGATTCAAGTCCTGGACAAAGCAGAGTGGCAGGCACACAGCAGGCATGCAATCAATCTCTGGTTAAATAAATGAGTAAACATGAAAATACTATACGTTTGGCTAAATTCTTCATAAAAGAAGATTTTTAAAATGTCATCTTGCCTAAAATTTCTGCAGTGAAAAGGAACAAGCTCGTCATTATCTGAATTATTTGTGTTTTTTGAAAAATTGCCTTCATGCTTTGTAAAATTTTGAATAAATGTTAAAAACCCTTATTACAACCTCCTACACAGCTTTCTAGTAAGCCACGTTGATGAGGTACCTGGTGAGTGTAGAGCACTGTATTTTATATATATTCTACATCTTTATACAGATTAAAAGAGTCTTTGAAAAGGTATTCAGCATTCCAAATCACAGGCACTTTCAAAAGCACTTTCTATACCAGGATACTAACGTGAGGAAAAGGGTAAGTAAGCCAGTTTTAAATCTTTTATTTCTGCAGGGTTTTGTTTTGTTTTGTTTTGTTTTGTTTAAAGTGAAGACTTTCCGTTTTCTGTTTGTTTATGGCCGCTACACACATTCTAGAGTTTTATAGCCTAATCCATGTATTTATCTAAACTAATGTTTATCATAATAATCATGATGGGTGATGACCCGTGAGCCTGCATAATCTCAATGTTTTCCTGTTATCCATTAATATTAAATCTTGTGGTTCACTAGGGACTACCACAAATAGGTTTATGTGTTCACTGCCAGGGTTACATTAGGTAAAAATGGAGACAATTAGCTGTACTTCCTTGTAAGAATGTACGGGCATTGAAGCACTGACACTGAACTATTTGCCAGAAACTACCCAAGGAGAAGCACAAAACTAATTCATAGGAATGCCAGTTTGGCAAGTGTCTTTTGTGAAATCACTCATTTTCCAGGCAGAATTTAGAAACAGAGCTTCCACTGTTAGTGAAATTTAATCACTGTCAATGTCCTGATTGTTGGGATTTGAAAAATAGGGAATCCCTCCAAAAGTGGTACATTCACCATCTGCATGATACTGAATAAATCTTCATAGAGACTTGGTTACATCTTCACAAATTCCAGACATTATCTAAGTGATTTGATTGGGGGTACTTATTAACAGCTGTATGTAAAATCTACTAGGAACTCCTTTATTAGATACAAATAGATCCTTATATATTTATTAAACAAATATCACTTCCAAGAAAACTTCTAGAGGTTAGTATGGGTTAAGAACATGAGAGTTTAAATCAGGTAAAAGTAGGATCAGTTTTCAGTTCTGTACTTTCTTGGCTGAATATACGGAGGCTCATTTCTACCCAACAGTTGAAAATATTGAACAGGTGTCAGGAAGTAATCAATAGTATCTCTGTTTTAGAGATAAGAAAAGGCTGAGAGAAGTTAAGTAATTTGCTCCAGGTCCCATAGCAAGTAAGCCAGAAAAGTTCTAAGCTTCAGATCTACTCTATACAACTCCTACATATTTCTTCTTATAATATCACTCCTTTCTCTGTTTTCTTCCATTCCTCTTCCCAGAGGATTGGATGTAAATAATATTTACATTGATAGTCACTCTATTCTCTGCTGATGTTGCTGAACAAAAAGCATAGTTTAAATATAATTTAAATAATAGTAAATACACACGGTAAAAGGGGAATATGTAGAGAAAGTTTCATAGACTTACTGATTCCTGTACAGTAGAGAGGTTTTATTCTGTTCTCAACAAAATGTCTGAAATGGCTAAAAACAAGCAAAACAAACAAAAAAACTCTACCACAAAGACACACAGGAAACAAACAAACAACAACGAAACGAAGAGAGTGCACAGAAAGAAAAGTAAGCAAATAATTAATTCTTGACTAACAGTCCATATTTTATGGAGATAATGCAAGAAAGAAAATAAACCACCATTTCAGTGTGGCATGGATTACCATAGTAACATACTGGGAAAACCTTGGGTGGTGAAATGCAAGAATTTTTTCTTAAGTGCATGTGAATAACCGCAGAGAGAAACTACACTTCCCTATCTTCTTGGCAGCTGCATGTGGCAATATGTCTAAGTTCTCATGAATGGGATGTGAGTAAAGGTGATTCACACAACTACCACATCCGTTCCTGAAAAGAAGATCCATGTCCTTCACTGCCTTTCTCATTCATTCATGGGCTGGAACACTGATGTGGTGCACAGCAGATCCAGACATCCTTAGAAATAGTGAGCCACGAGAAAGAAGAAACCTGGAGAAACCTTGTGGAATAAACCTTCCTATTCCCGCAGAGGGCCACCCTGCCTCTAGACTCTAGACTAAGAGTGTATAACACATTTTTATTTTGTTTGAGTCACTGAATTTTTGGATCTTATTATGGTAGCTGTGTCTATACCATAACTAATATGTAAATAGGGACCTACATGTGGGTACCATAACCAAAACTTAGCAGTTGGGCTGTGGGCAGTGAGGAAACAGATGGTCCTTATTCAGCCACAGCCACCTACACAGTTGTTTTTGGCCAGAATACACTTGCTCTAAAAAATGCTCTCTGCCCATGGCCTGCAACCTAAATTACCCAGGAATCTGGAAATTTGAGGCTTTGCAGGTCTGCAATGATAACTGCAATCTCAGGGGCAATTAATGACTTGTTGCTCATGGAAACTCCTCACTTTCCTGAGTCAATTGCTCTTTGGAATTGAAGTGGTTGATTTCTAATCAGCATTCTATTAGGCACTTAGTCTTTAGAGTACTTTTAAAGGTGAGCAATAGATGTGAACTAGTAGGTCACCAAGGAGACACCTAAACTTAGGGTGTTAATTTACTTTGCCAGAAACCTATGCTGGAGTAAAGTTATGTTAGGAAAGGCTGCTGGTGGGCATCTCCTCATCATTCGTCAGGCCTTATGAGAAAAAAGAGGTAGATATTTTTTTTCCCTTGGCAAGTTAAAAGAGATCAGCTACACAGTACCTAAAGAGTTCCTAATTGGAGTATCATGACCCTAGAAAATCAAATCACATTCAGTACCTTCTCTCTTCTTCACATAAAATGGGATTCTCTATACATTCTTAACAACAATAACAAATTCATAGCAAAATTATGACTATGTCTTGGGTAGCCCTACAGAGCATATTAATATACAGTTTAAATTAACCTTGAGTTTTTAAGTCCAAGATACTTTGTCCTGTTGTATCATGACTCAACAGCCAAAATTAAAGCATGGATATAACAGTAATACAAGTAAGAAGTAATTCAGCTAAGATCAATCTTAGCTGTAGACTATGTTTACGCACTAATGGATTCTGGCAATCTCTAATCAGTATCTTCAAGACCTAAGTAGGTCAACAGCCTGAAAAATAGGAAATCATCTTCAGCGTAAGATCACAATAACAAAAATCAATATGCTGCTCAGTTGTTATATTTTAAAACAGCGCTATGAATCTATTCAAGGCCATAAGGAATAAAAATATCAAGAACTGATAAATAGAGGTACCTCATTTTTGTCCCAAGTCTACAGACCAGAGTATCTTTTTGTCAATAGTCTTGCTCCTAACTTTAGCCTTAGGTTATTAATATTATCTAGTATTGGTTTTAAGAAACTCAAGAAAAAACGATTGCTAAAATTTTAATGTAAAATTTTAAATTGTTTTGGTACACTATTTTGATGCATCATAATTAAATATTAATACTTGAAGTTTGGCCATTTTTTTAAAGATTTAAAAATATTATTCTCCATCACTATTATGTTTCTTTCATTTCTTAAATTTAAAATTTTTTACTTGTTTTAGGAATGGTGAATATTTTTCCAGAAATTTGTTAAATGATTATTCTCAGAGAAAAATACTAGTTCTATCAAAGGTCTATGATTGATTTCTGTCAGCAGTGCAACTGACAACTTCCTTATTATTTAGTTCGGTGGTGAATAAGAATACTAACCATATGCCCATGATCACAATTGAGAGAACATATCTAAGCCAAATGAAATTGATGCTGATAAAATGAGGTGTCACTTTATATCAGATTAGATTATGTCTGTTCTTGTTATCACATCCCATTAAAAATGATATCATTCATCCAATTAGATGTATCATTATTTTTAAGAAGTGCTTTCTTTATGGTTAAAAGTCAGTATTAATTTGGGTAGTAGATATCTGTTGTAATTTTAAGAAATGGGTATGCATTGGTGTGATAAAGTAAATTTGTTTTAAATAGGGAATAGTTTTATCATTGCCAGCACCATGCATTGAATATTGTAGGTGCATGGTAAATGACAGCTTTTATTGATCATGAGGATGAAAAAGTAATTGAAAATTGAGGCACAATTGGCCTAAACTGCATTCTAGAAATCTGTGATAAATTCATTTGAAAAATACATTTTCCTACTTACCTATATAATATTGTATAATATAAATAATTGTTTTTAGTCTTACAGAATTTAGGATATTGTAAAATTTGTAAAGTTCGAGGTAGAAACAAATCGTTTCATCCAAGTTCCTTATTTTGCATCCAAAAAAACAGAAACTCTGAGAATTTAAATGGATTTTCCATGATCCAAAACCTTGAACTGTACCCTTAACTTCAGACTAAGGCTAAGTTCTTCTGGTTATACCACCTGCCTTCTTAATTGCTTTGGGCTTTGTGCTTACTCTTTTGACCCCTGAGACATGCAAAAAGAAAAGAAAATGGTTAAGAAAAATAACAGAAGCTGCATGCACTATCTAAAACCATTCACGATATACTAAATTAGCTACCTAACTATTCCATCCACTTTAAGATATTTAATGCATCCAGCATTATAGTGCACTTATGTCAAAGGAACATTAACTTCATTCTCCTTTCCCCAAGGCAACCTGAATAGGAAAGAAACAAAAGTATACTGGGAAGAGGGTGTGATACTTTTTAAAAGCAATCTTATCTCTGCATTAGTACTTAAATAGCTAAACCGCTGGATTGCTTTTCCAATTTACTAGGCTTGTAGGTTTTTTACAACTCTCATGGAGAGTATATATCCTGTAGACGTTGCATTTTATTCAACTTTTCCAAAGGGAATTTATGTAATAATTCAACTGATCCTTTCTCTGGCTCACTTAGCTAGTTGGATCAGTGGATTACAGGGAATTTAGGCCTAAGTCTAGATGAAATTCTGAAATTCTGTTTATGTTTTAGCACACTGATGATAAATTATTCTCTAGGGAGAAAGGAAAGGAGAAAAATTTTTGTAGCAGAGGCAATCAATACAAATTTGATAAATTGTGGACATTAAAGAAATTATATGTTCTTTAAAAATAAAGTACTTTTTTTTAGGAGGTTTTATAGAAAACTCCAACTAGTTTCAGGTCAGAAGATTTAGTAATAATCAAGCATAATTAAGTATACTTAGTAGATCTGAATATGAGAGAGGAAATTGTGTCAGGAAATATAACCTCTATTTTCCCCATAATCATTAACTGCTGGATTACAGCAAGGTCTTTGTAGTACTCGTGGAACATGCAAGATTCCTATTTACTTTTCTTTCTACTATTGATAAATATGCTACTTATAACTAAGACTCCCAGAAAAAGGTGGGCATTTGCAATGCAGATTGAGTAATCAAACTATGAATTAACTAGTCTACCTTGTGGGTTTTAAGCAGGGTAGAACTTGGTTAAAGATTATGAGCTTTTTGAAATGAGGGAAATTATATTTTAAAATATTCCTAACACCACAATGCATAGCAGAAAATAAAGGTTAAATGTAATTCTTACTGGATGATATCACAGGATTATTTACTATGATATAGGTTTAGATATGCTATATGCCATTATGTTCCTAAAATGAAACTCCATATAAAATAAAATCTACTAACATTGAAATTAAATATTCCAGAACTTAAGCCAACTTCTATAAATCCTAAACATTTTCTCCAATAGATTAATATTACAGAGAAAGGTCTGGGCCTATTTTATCTCTATTTGTTGGTTTATCTGTGTTCAAAATAAATTTAAAAGTTAAACAGGAAACTAGGACAACTAATGCCTCAGGGCTAGAAGACAGCAAAGATGGGAATCTTGGAAATTTAAACATCCTGTCTCTGTGAATATCCCCATTTATTACCTTTCTGCATTACCAATTTCACCTCTTTACAATGACCTGGCCATTTTCATTTCCCACAACATGTGCACTAAATTCTTTCAGAAAGGCTAAATGTCTTTGTTTAAACATGACATAGCCTAGTCTAAGATTGAAATCAGAGATTGTCAATTTTCTTCACTTTTCACAAATCTTCCTCTCCTTCTAATCTGTAATTAAAGTGATAATGGTTACATGTTATAGTACAAAGACAACCTCTTTCTACTATACTCTAATATAAAGACAAAATGTGTTTGTCTTATCTAGAATTTTAGGCAAAAAAATAAGTGAATTCTTCACAATCTATATACTGTAAGTCTTAACATTACCACGATAGCTTATTTTTAAAAAATATTTTATTATTTCCAGAACAGATTGCCAATAGAAGTTAACCATCTCCTATGTTTTACTTACAAATTCACTTAACAAATGTTTAGTAGTGCCTGTCAACTTTGCAACAAGGGTTATACAGAATAGAAATGAGGATATAAATGTAAGTAAAACAAAGCTCCCAGCCTCCAGGAATCTACAATTTAAATGGAGAGATGTGTTATACACAGAAACACTTTTAACATTGGGTCAAAAATAATAGGTAAGTTATATAAAAGAGGAAAAAGGATGTATAATGGAGGCTGAGAAGTCGATTCAATCTAAGCTGACCTAGAGAATTCAGGGAAGGATTTATGAGCACGGTGTCACACGAACTATGTCAGAGGCTAAGAGGTACCTTTCTTTTAGGAAACCTAAGATAACATTTCAGTCATTTGGATAAAGCTTTTTGGAATGGACCCAGAGATTTCTTTTCCATATCCAATAGCTATCCACTTATCTAAAACTCAGAGAGGCAATGGACTGAGTTTTTCTTACTCCCTCAGTATAGTACTAATTAATTTACTATTACTCCCCACTACTGACCTCTACTACACGTTCATGATTCTGTTTTGCAGATTACTCACTAAACCTGATGTCTGCATTTGCATACTTAATATTATCTCTGGCAATCTCTACATAGCTCCATAATAAGGGCCAGAGAATACAGACTTTGAAGTGTAGATCAGATCTTCACAGGCACCTGCAAGGGTATTCCAGGCAGAGAAAGTTGCACAACCGCTGGCTTCACTCCGTAAAACAAAGTAAGAAGTGTTTAAAAGAAAGTTGCTTGTTTAAATGGCTAGATGTATGAGCGTGCTTAAGAACCTAGGTCATAAGGAAAATGAATTTCAAATATTCGAGTACCTTGAATACAGGGCAAGGAAATTAGACTCCATTCTGTAGACAACTGGTAATAATTGCATATTTTTTGAGGAAGGAAATTTCCTCACTAGAAATATGGAAACAAAGATTTTATCTCAAAGCACCCTGGAATATTAGAGAATTAATTAATATGAACAATAAGACCAATTAAGAAACTATGATAATACCATAATATGAGACAATAAAGGTAGAGGTAGCAGAAATGGAAATTGGGCTTGGAAAGGGATGTGAAAACTTCTGAAATCTTGAGCAAACAGAACTGGATATATGAAGTGGAGAGAAGCTAAAGATGGTGTTAAATAAGCCTGGGTATTAGGTGATTGTTAGAACCTTAATAAAACCAGTGTCATTTACAGGATAGGCATGGCAGACAGAGTAGTTCAGGGTTTAGATTATTAATTCAGCTCTAAACACATTGTGGTTAAACTACGGTAGCCGACATCCAGATGGAGATGTTCAACATTTTGTTAGAAATGTTGATCCAGATTTGGAAGAAGTAAGCACTAGAGCTTTTGAAATGGGAAATATCTACATAGAAGTGAGATTGGAAATAAATAAATTGCCAAAGAAAAGAGTGTAGAGAGAAAATAAAAGTCAGGCAGAACCTCCAAGTACACTCCTCTTTAAGAAAACAGGATGAAGGAAATATATCCATGATGAAAACAGAGAAACATTAATTAGGGAAGCTAGAAGAAAATGAATGAAATACAACAGAATGTCAGTAAGGAGAGGATAAAAGAAGAGGGCTACTGACATTTTAAAATGCAAAAGATTCAAGGAGTAAGAAGTTTGAGAGAAGTTGTAAAACTATGTAGTATCTATAGAACAGGTTGAGAAGAACCTAAATTTAAAAAGTGTAAAAATAGGTAAGGAATAAAATGAAGTAGAAAACGTATGGTGTAAGAAAGAACGAGATCATGTCCTTTGCAGCAACATGGTTGCAGCTGGAGGCCATTATCCTAAGAGAATTACACAGGAACAGAAAACCAAATACAGTATGTTCTCACTTATAAATGGAAGCTAAACACTGAGTACTTACGGATATAAAGATGGCAACAATAGTCACTGGGGACTCATGGAGAGGAGAGGGAGGGAGACGGGGAAAGCTAACCGTTGGGTACTATGCTAACTATCTAGGTGAAGGGATCATTCACATCCCAAACCTCGGCAACACACAACATATCCACGTAACAAACCTGAAAATGTACCCCTAAATCTACAATAAAAGTTGAAATTATTTTACAAAAAGGAAAAATTAAAAACTATACTGCAATTTATAGGATTCAGGAAATAAAAGATATATTAGATTTCCAAACTTAGAAGATTGAGTGAAGATTTTGTTTGAGAAATGAAGGACTTATTTGTGTTAACAGTTTTTGAAAAAGATTCTAGTACATAATCAGAACCTTTAAATGTGGACTATAAGAGAGATAATGTGGAACACATTTTCTAAGGCAATAATGGCAGAAGACATGGGACAAAGAATGAGGGTTAAGGAGTTAAACTTGGAGAGGCAAACTGGTGTTTTTATCTCTGAAACAGGAGAAAAAGAAGAATCTGTGAAAATAGCAAAGCAGATGTTCATTGGAGAGTAAGCACGTTGAAGGACTGAATTTAGGATATTCTTGATCTTAAAGAAATAACTAGTGAGGCTAGTAGTGCAACATGGACAAAGAGAGAATAAGAGTTGGGCTGGGGCATAAGGAGAGTAGAAATTATTCGAATTTGAATCAAGGTGATGTGACTTCTCTGATAGACTTTTGAGGCTACATAATGGTCATTTTATTCATGTAAATTCTCCTGTTATGATCCCCGAAGTTTGGTTATGTGTCAAAGGGATACGTTCAGCATGTATTTGAAAGAAAAATGGGACATCAGTACTAGAAGCTCCTAAAAGCATGTGTCAGACACAAAGGACAAGAGAAATGATATAAACTGAAGGGAAAGATGGAGCTTCATCGAACAGAGAACAATGTAAAAGTAGTACACTCTAATGATTTATACTGTGGCAAAAGGTCAAAAAATAAGCATGAGTTTATTTTTCTAAGTAACTAAGAACAGTGCATTATATCTGGTAATAAGGGTTTTTAAAAATAAAACCTAGCAATAAAGATGTAATAATAATGATAATCATAATCACATTAATAATGAATAAAAGAACTTGAAGGAATAAGACATTTTAAATGAAGAATTTATTTATATTCAATAATGTTTTGGGCAACCTGAAAAAGAATTTGTGTGCTGAGCAAAGTTGGTAACCTTGATACTGCTATAATTAGCTCTGTTGTCTTGGTCCACTATTAGAGCCACCTAAATAATTGTTATTTACATTTGTGAATTAAGAGTCCATTGTGTTTCAGAGTTGTAGGCCAAATACACCCAATGCTGCATACTGTGAATTCAAGAATTCACTGCTCTAAGAATGAATGAGAACATTTTTTATGTTTCTGGCTTAGTGTCTCCGGGTTGCTTATATCTACAGTGTGTTCCACAGGGCTTAGCTTATTTACCCCACCCTGGGAGACACGATTCAAATGAAATTAGAATACATTTTTTCATTACATTTTTATTTTCTGTCCTTTCATCTGAAGCCTAAGGAACTTGACATTATAAGTGGAAAGGAGCAAAAAGATGATCAATCAAGGCTTTTAAGAGCTGCAGAGAAAGAGTCTGCAATACCTTTTTTCTTTATATCCAACATAAGCAAAATACAGCAGGTAATGATGTGGGATGCAATAAAGATTTTATTATCATTTTATTGGGATGAACATCCTATCTTACTCATATTTCTACCTATGTAGTTCATTTATCCCAAACTTTTAGTAGTAAAGTTAATGGCATTCCACACTTCCTAACATTCCTGCACTATTTTGTGCTTTACGCATACGCGTATATGAAATGGCAAAATATATCAGTTCAAGGATAAACAGAACCCAAGATTAAACTAAGTTACATAATGGTAAGTTAAGAGGTACACTGTTTGTATATTTAATCAGGAAATGAAATCTTAATCACTGTTGACTTTCATCTCACATCTTCTTGCTGTGCTTCTGGAAATACCAGTTTCTTAAGGTCAATCATAATTGAAAATATAACTAACATTATTGAGCACCATTTTTTTTTGCCAGGCACTCTGCCTGGCACTTTACATTTCTTTATTTTACCAAGTCATGAGCTGCTTTTCTTATTTTATAAGAGAGGTTGTAACTTGCCTAAAGGTGCAAGGAATGACCTTATATGGATTCAAATATAGGTATTTCTGGCTGCAAATCACCTTCCACTAATAATATGCCTGGCAGAAAATGTTATTAAAATACTTTAACAACTACTGTTCTTTGTCAACCCACTAAGCCACATTTCAGGAAAAAAAAAAAGAAAAAAGAACTAGCAAGGTGATCCCTCCAATATCCTCCTGAATCTGCAGAAACAACAACAAAAAAGGGCAGACTGGGAAATTAAAACTCTGCCAAAAACAAACCCAAGCTGTCAAAGAGAAGAAATAATTAAAGAAACGATGTAACTTTCACTTATAGTAAATGAAATTATATAAAATCAGACATGTTGAGAATTACGTAAAGTAGAAATAGTGACTTTATGCACAAAAACATAATTATGAGCATTCCCATAAAATTTAAAAATTAATAAGAATTGTATAATTTTCCATATGGAAGACAGAATGATGGTGAACTGTATATCTTCTATCAGTGTAACTGGCATGCAAATGTATCCACCATTCTTTATTGGTATTTGTTTTCCATTATGTGTGGTCTTCCAGTATGAGTAACTTCATGTGAAACGTGACTATCTAATAAATATAAAATCTCCAACCTCTCTTTGTTTTAATTTTCTCATCTAAGAAATGGAAATACCACATCCCCTTTCTCATTAAGTATTCTTACTGATTATAAATAAACTCCTGGATGGGTGCAATGTCATGCACCTGTTGTTCCAGTTACCCTGGAGGCTGAGATGGGAGGATCACTTGAGCCCAGGTGTTTGAGGCTGCAGTGAGGTATGATCATGCCACTGCACTCCAGCTTGGACAAGAGACTGAGACTCCCATCTCTTAAAAAAAATTAAAAATAAAACTAAAGTAAATTCCTAGAAATAAAGGCACTTTGAACAGAATTTGCTTAAAGAAATTGTATCATTGTTAATAATTATAGTTCACTAAGGGTTATCTTAATTTGCTTCAATCAACCTGGCCAGCAACAGCTAGCATTCTTACATAGGAAGATCATGAAAAAAGATTAGAAAATTAGAAAAAAGAGGAAATCATTTTAGTATAATTCAGTTATAATTCTATTGTGTTTGTTGTTATAAATAAAACTTTTTAAAAGGGCAAGTTTGATTGAACAAAACTCCCAAATTCCTTGACTATGCAATGGCATCAGATGTCTAAGGAAAGGAAACTTATAAGACCATGTTTCTAATTACTTTAGGATTCACAAATTGCGATCATTTTTTTTTCCTACTGAAGACAACATTATCCAAGAAGAATTGCAATAATTATATATAAAATTGTTAAGGAAAGAAAACATTTACCTAAAAATAACTACTTCATTCATAGGCTAAGGATTTTGTTATTTGTTTCAAAGAACAAAAACCAATAGATATGAAAATATTTGTTAGTAAATCATTTTCAGGACACCTAGTTGCCATATTTCTGTTTCCAATTCTTTTTACGTAGGTTTCCTAATGACATCTTAAAGCATTCAACCTATAATTTACATTAATTTTTAGATTTGACCAAGGAAAAGTATTTGCTGTGAAGTCATTGAGTTCTCCTAACTTTTACATGTTAAATAATAAGAAAAGATGAGAAATTAGGTGATGACTATTATATGTTAAAAGAGACTCTCTAAGTGTTTAGAATATGCTCTGAAATTACATTAGGTATGTGGGAAATCTGCTTATGAACTCTTTCATTATTTTACCTGGGAAACTAAACAGACCTTAAATCTGGACTACTAAAGATTCACCTTGATTAGAATTTCTTAGGGTTAAATGTGGAAGGGCCCCTAGGAAACCAATTTCCTAATACAGGCTTAGCCTGGATTTATATTGGAAACAGTAAAGAAGGCAGAACTTTGCCTCTCTTCTTCTGTTGTAGATTTTGCCAAAGGGAGCTATAGGGGAGCAAACGGTGATTGTCCAAATTTGTGCCTGATATTATTGGTTCAGTTGTTTATCACTGAATAGCTTCCATGTTATTCAGGCTTTCAACAAACATTTACTAAAAGCATAGAACTGTCCAGAGTCATGCTAAGCAATAAAGACAAATATTTAAGACTTGCTTGCTGCTCCTTAAGGATCTTACTTTCTATTATATGTAGAAACAAAAACATAACTAACCAAGGAAAGAAGCTTGGACATAAGTGCGGGATAAAGTTAGAGCATTAAGGATGGGCTGGCTAACAAAATCACAATGTCATAGGACTTAAGAATGTCAAAATAATTTTACATACATTTTCTCATGAGATTTATATACAGTTTTCAAAATTAAAAAAATCACTATGCATATGACTATTTAAAAAGGAAGGTTAGAGCCAACTGTAAAAGAGATGTAGGATTCTATTTTTACCTGAGTGCCTCAAGAAGTAAAGGTAAAATGAGTTGAAGTATTTCTTGAACATGAGAAATAGGTTGAATATAAGAAAGAAGTTCTTTGCCACAAAGACAACCACCCAAAAAATGAAGACTCTGATAGTATATCCATCAGAATTCGGCATTTGATCATGAGTTAAGGAAACAAGGATTCAACATTGCTAACAAAATAAGCTTTTAAGTAGTTTCATCTACAGATCTTTGATATCCATGATATGGAATAGGCTGAGAAATATATAAATACTTGGACAAACTAACTATATACTTTTATTAAGCAAAACGTAATATAAAGTAATTTTTCTATATGTTAATTTGTTCATTTAGTCAGTCATCAAACATTTATTTCATATTCATTAGTTTAGTTAGTTTTTGAGATGGAGTCTTGCCCTGTCACCCAGACTGGAGTGCAGTGGCACGATCTCAGCTCACTGCAACCTCCACCTCCTGGGTTCAAGCAATTTTCCTGCCTCAGCCTCCTGAGCATCTGGGATCACAGGTGTGTGCCACCATGCCCAGTTAATTTTTTTTTTTTTGTATTTATATTTGTAGTAGAGACAGGGTTTCACCATGTTGGCCAGGCTGGTCTCAAACTCCTGACCTCAGGTGATCTGCCTGCCTTAGCCTCCCAGAATTCTGGGATTATAGGTGTGAGCCACCGTGCCCGGCCATCACATTTATTTGGTACCAAATGTATGTAAGGCACTATGCTATCTAATTGGAGAAAGGAAAGTAAATCAGATACAGATTCTAACAAATCTCACCTCAATAGGAGATCATTTGAAAACAACTCAGGAAATGGTAAATATCATATAAGAGGTAGAGAAAAATCGCTACAATGTCTCAAAAAGGGGAACATATTTCTAGCTTGTGTTAAGAGATGGGGGTTAGGAAAAACTTCACTGAAGAGGAGGATTTTAAGCAGGCCCTAGAAATATAAAAAAAAGGGCATTTTCAGAAAAGTGAAAGGCATTCCAGTTGAGAAAAAAAAGAATGTAGATTATCATGAACATTTGAAAAACAGAAGTTATTTCATGAAAACTCAAAACATCTCTGAAATATCAGGAGAGGTTTATCTGGGTCTGGAGAGGGAGGAACTAGTCATATAGATAATGATTTTTCAAAAGTAGGCCAAAATGTTAGATTCTGTAATGTCTCAACTGTATTATTTGATGTAACAATGCCCTGTGTACAGAATAATAGAAATGTTTTAAGCAACATTAAAATACTATAGAAGTTGGACTCAGACTCCCTTTTTAATGGTGAAGTTATTTGGATTGATTCATAATCCAAAGCATTTTTAAAGTTGGCTGGCTGGAAAATGCCAAATTAACAAGTGTTAACTAGTCTGATCTGAACTTTATTTCTTCTTGCTTGATGTTATCATTAAAAAAATAAATAATTCAGTCAAGGGCTACTTTGAAGGACATGTGAGATGAAGGCACATCTAAGAAAGCAAGTGAGAAAAATTGAGAACACAGTTTTTTATATTTAATTTTTCACATATGTCCTTACAGATGGCATTTTAAGATATTTGTAAGATATTTTAAAAGGGCCAGATGCAGTGGCTCATGCCTGTAATCTCAGCACTTTGTGGGCCACAGACAGGAGAAATGCTTGAGCCCAAGAGTTTGAAACCAATCAGTGCAATATAGCAAGACCCTGTCTCTAGAAAATATTTAAGGGGGTGGGGCCGAGATGACTGACTAGAAGCAGAGGCATTTGGAGGCTCCCATGGGAAAACAAAACAAAACAAAACAAAACATAATAAGTGTGTGAATCCTTCACCCCCAACGAAGGCCTCTGGGTTGGTGGATCATCAAAATTGACTCTCTCATCAAAATTTACTAGAAGCCTGGTGTGACCCATGGAGAGAAGGAAGAACAGTGTAGTGTGACGGCCCACCTGAGAGCCACACGGGGCAGGGGAACCCACTCCCCTAGCCAAGGGAGGCAGTGAGTGAGCGTGCTACCCAGCCAGAGAAACTGTGCTTTTTCCACAGATGTGTGGAACCCAAGATTGAAAGATCCCACTTGCGAATCTACACCACCAGGGCCTAGTGTCCCAACCTTGGATGGCACAGATTATTTTACAGCCTCTCAGCTGGAATCTGCTTAAGCCTACTGATCTCCCAGGGGGAGGGGTGACCAGCACTGGCTGGAGCTGTGGCTGCCTGCTATCTAAACAGTTTGACCTCGGAAGAGGGTGAGGGGTAGCAGCCAGCACTGGAACTGGCAACTGCCTAACAAGCTAAGCTCCCCGGTTGGGGGAAGGGCGGCATCCATCTCTATAGCTTCAGGCTGTGCTTTTCCCCCTGCTGAAGCCAAGGAGGCTGGACGGCTCTGTATCAAGACTTCTCCCCACAGCCCAACACACCAGCTGTGGTAATCTGCAGCCAGAGTGCCTCTTCAGGCCTGACCCGGACCCATCCTTCCTCACTGGGCGGGGCTTCTCTGCAGGAACTCCAATAACTCCCAGCCAGAGGCTCAGGGACAGAATCTGGATCTCCCTGGGCCTGAGCCCCAAGGGGGAGGGGTGCCTGCAGTCTCTGTGGACCAGCTGACTTAGCCTCTCCTCCTGGTAGTTCTGAGACATCCAGGCAGCCCAGACGAGTGGGTTTCCCTCCAGCTTGGAGACACACCCCGTCCACCAAGGGACAAAGTTCCCTGTTAAACGGGTCCTGTGCCCTGTGCCACCCAACTGGGTGAGACGCTCCAACAGGGGTTGTCAGACACCCTATACAGGAGTGATCCTATTGGCATCAGGTTATAGCCCCTTGAGATCAGAGGTCCCAGAAGAAGGAGCAGTCACCCACATTTGCTGTTCTCCAGCCCGCTTGAGTGACATCTCCAGGCACAGGAGTGAATCAGATGAATAGGGCCTGAAGTGAACCCCCAGCAAACTGCAGCAGCCCTACAGAAGAGGAGGCCTAACTATTGAAAGAAAAACAAACAAGCAGAAACCAACAACAACAGCATCAACAACAACAACAAAAAATGCCCCAACGAAAACCTCATCCAAGGGTCAGCATGGCCTCAAAGACCGAAACTAGACAAACTCACAAAGATAAGAAAAAAAAATCAAAGAAAAAATGCTGAAAACTCAAAAAGCTAGAGTGCCTCTTCCCCTTCAAATGATCATAATGTCTCTCCATCAAGGGTCCAGAACTGGATGGAGGATCAAATCGGCGAATTAACAGAAGAAGGCTTCAGAATATGGGTAATCAAAAACTATGTTGAGCCAAAGGAAATGTTCTAACCCAATGCAAAGAAGCTCAGAACCTTGACAAAAGGTTAGAGGAATTGCCACTAGAACAACCAGTTTAGAGAGGAACATAAACGACCTGATGGTGCTGAGAAACACAATACAAGATCTTCGTAAATTATACACAGGTATCAACAGCCAAATCAACCAAGCAGAAAAAAAGATATCATAGCCTGAAGACCACCTTGCTGAAATAAGACATGCAGAGAAGAAAAGGGAAAAAAGAATGACAAGGAATGAACAAAGCCTCCAAGAAATATGGGACTTCATAAGAAGACTGAACCGACGATTGATTTGAGTACCAGAAGGAGATAGGGAGAATGGAAACAAGCTGGAAAACACATGTCAGGATATTATCCAGGAGAATTTCCCCAATCTAGCAAGACAGGCCAACATACAACTTCAGGAAATGCAGAGAACACCATTAAGATACTCCACGAGAAGATCAACCCCAAGAAACATAATCATCAGATTCTCCAAGGTCAAAATGAAGGAAAAACTCTTGAGGGCAGCCAGAGAGAAATGTCAGGTCACCTACAAAGGGAAGCCCATCAGACTAACAGTGGACCTATCAGCAGAAACTCTACAAGCCAGAAGAGATTGGGGGTCAATATACAACATTCTTAAAGAAAAAAATTTCAACCCAAAATTTCATATCCAGCCAAACTAAGCTTTATAAGCGAAGGAGAAATAAAATCATTTCCAGACAAACAAAAGCTGAGGGATTTTGTTGCCACCAGGCCTGCCCTGCAAGAGATCCTGAAAGAAGCACTAAATATGGAAAGGAAAATCTACTACCAGCCACCGCAAAAACACACCAAAATATAAAAGATCAATGACACTATGAAGAAACTGCATCAACTAGTATGCAAAACAACCAAATAGCAGCATAATGACAGGATCAAGTTCACACATAACAACAATAATCTGAAATATAAATGGCTAAATACTCCAGTTAAAAGACACAGACTGGCAAATTGTAAAAGGAGTCAAGACCCATTGGTGTGCTGTATTGAGGAAACCCATCTTATGTGCAAAGACATACATAGGCTCAAAATAAAGGAATGGAGGAAAATTTACCAAGCAAATGGAAAGCAAAACAAACAAACAAACAAAAAAAGCAGGGGTTGCAATCCTAGTCTCTGACAAAACTGACTTTAAACCAATAAAGATCAAAAGAGACAAAAAAGGGAATTACATAATGGTAAAGGGAATAATTCAACAAGAAGAGCTAAGTATTCTAAATATCTATGCCCTATGCCCTAATACAGGAGCACCCAGATTCATAAAACAAGTTCTTAGAGACCTACAAAGAGACATAGACCACAATAATATTGGGATACTTTAACACCCACCTGTCAGTATTAGACAGATCAATGAGACAGAAAATTAACAAGGATATTCAAGACTTAAACTCAGCTCTAGACCAAGTGGACCTAGTAAACATCTACAGAACCCTCTACCCCAAATCAATAGACTATACATTCTTCTTAGTGCCACATGGCACTTATTCTGAAATTGACCACATAATTGGGAGTAAAACACTCCTCAGCAAATGCAAAATAACTGAAATCATAACAGTCTCTCAGACCACAGTGCAATCTAATTCAAATTCAGAATTAATAAAGTCACTCAAAACCACACAGTTACATGGAAATTGAACAACCTGCTCCTGAATGACTCCTGGGTAAATAATGAAATTAAGGCAAAAATCAAGAAGTTCCTTGAAACCAATGAGCATAAAGAGACAATGTACCAGAATTTCTGGTACACAGCTAAAGCAGTGTTAGGAGGGAAATTTATAGCACTAAATGCTCACATCAGAAAGCTAGAAAAATCTCAAATTGACACCCTAACATCACAATTAAAGGAGCAAGAGAAGTAAGAACAAGCTAATCCAAAAGCTAGCAGAAGACAAGAAAAAAACTAAGATCAGAGAAGAACTGAAGGATATAGATGCACGAAAAACCCTCCAAAAAAAAAAAAAATCAATGAATCCAAGGGCTGGGTTTTGAAAAAAATCAAAAAAATAGACCACTAGCTAGACTCATAAAGAAGAAGAGAGAGAATAAAATAGACACAATAAAAAATGATAAAAGGGATATCACCACTGATCCCACAGAAATACAAACCACCATCGGGGAATACTATAAACACCTCTATGCAAAAAAATTAGAAAACCTAGAAGAAATGGATGAATTGCTGGACAAATACACTCTACCATGACTAAACTGGAAGAAATTGAATCCCTGAATAGACCAAAAACAAGTTCTGAAATTGAGGCAGTAATTAATAGGCTACCAACAAAAAAAACCCAGGACTAGATAGAGTTACAGCTGAATTCTACCAGAAGTACAAAGAGGAGCTGGTACCATTCCTACTAAAACTATTCCAAACAATTGAAAAGGGGGGACTCCTCCCTAACTCATTTTATGAAGCCAGCATCATCCTGATACCAAAACCAGGAAGAGACACAACAAAAAAAGAGAACTTCAGGCCAATATCTCTGAAGAACATCAATGCGAAAATCCTCAATAAAACACTGCAAACCGAATCCAGGAGCACATCAAAAAACTTATCCACCACGATCAAATCAGCTTCATCCCTGGGATGCAAGGCTGGTTCAACATATGCAAATCAATACATGTAATCCATCATGCAAACAGAAGCAAAGACAAAAACCACATGATTATCTCAATACATGCAGAAAAGGCCTTTGATAAAATCCAACATCCCTTCATGTTAAAAACTCTTAATAAACTAGGTACTGATGGAACATATCTCAAAATAATAAGGGCTATTTATGACAAACCCACAGCGTCAGTATCATTCAGTATCATATTGAATGGGCAAAAGCTGGAAGCATTGCCTTTGAAAACTGGTATAAGACAAGGATGCCTCTCTCACCACTCCTATTCAACATAGTATTGGAAATTCTGGCCAGGGCAATCAGGCAAGAGAAAGAAATAAAGATTATTCACACAGGAAGAAAGGAAATCAAATCATCTCTGTTTCCACATGACATTATTTTATATTAAGAAAACCCCAACATCTCAGCCTAAAAACTCCTTGAACTGATAAGCATCTTCAGCAAGTCTCAGGATACAAAATCAATGTGTGAAAATCACAAGCATTCTTTTACACTAACAATAGGCAAGCAGAGGGCCAAATCATGAATGAACTTCCATTCAAAATCATTACAAAGAGAATAGAATACCTAGGAATACAGCTAACAAGGGATGTGAAGGGCCTCTTCAAGGAGAACTACAAACCACTGCTCAAGGAAATAAGAGAGGATCCAAACAAATGGAAAAACATTCCATTCTCACGGACAGGAAGAATCAATATTGTGAAAATGGCCATACTGCCCAAAGCAGTTTATAGATTCAATGCTATTCCCGTCAAACTACCATTGACATTCTTCACAGAATTTGGAAAAAAAAAACTATTTTAAATTTTATATGGAATCAAAGAAGACCCTGTATAGCCAAGACAATCCTAAGCAAAAAGAACAAAGTTGGAAGCATCACGCTACCTGACTGCAAACTATACTACAAGGCTACAGTAACCAAAACAGCATGGTATTGGTACCAAAACAGACATATAGACCAATGGAGCAGGACAGACACCTTAGAAATAATGCCACACATCTGTAACCATCTGATCTTCGACAAACCCGACAAAAACAAACAATGGGCAAAGGAACTCCTATTTAGTGAATGATGCTGGGAAAACCGGCAAGCCATATGCAGAAAACTGCAACTGGACCCCTTCCTTACACCTTATACTTAAGATGGATTAAAGACTTAAATGTAAAACCCCAAACCATAAAAACCCTAGAAGAAAAACTAGGCAATATCATTCAGGACACAGGCATGGGCAAAGACTTCATGACAAAAATGCCAAAAGCAATTGCAACAAAAGCCAAAATTTACAAATGGGATCTAATTAAACTAAAGAACTTCTGCACAGCAAAAGAAACTATCATCAGAGTGAACAGACAATCTACAGAATGAGAGAAAACTTTTGCAATCTACTGATCTAAGGTCTAATATCCTGAATTTATAATGAACTTAAACAATATTTACAATTAAAAAAAAAAAACAACTCCGTCAAAAAGTGGCCAAAGATATGAACAGACACTTCTCAAAAGAAGATATTTATGTGGGCAACATGTGAAAAAAAGCTCAACATCACTGATCATTAGAGAAATGCAAATCAAAGCCAAAATGAGATACCATCTCATGCCAGTCATAATGGCAATTAGTCAGGAAATAATAGATGCTGGCGAGGCTGTGGAGAAATAGGAATGCTTTTACACTGTTGGTGGGAATGTAAATTCGTTCAACCATTGTGGAAGACATTGTGGAAGGCAATTCCTCAAGGATCCAGAACCAGAATTACCATTTGACCCAGCAACCCCATTACTGGGTGTATACCCAAAGGAATATAAGTTATTCTACTATAAAGACACATGCACACATACCTTTATCACAGTACTATTTAGCAAAGACCAACCCAAATACCTAATGATAGACTGGATAAATAAAATGTGGTACATATATGCCATGGAATACTATCCAGCCATAAAAAGGAATGAGATCATGTCCTTTGCAGTGACATAGATGAAGCTGGTAGCTATCATACTCAGCAAACTAACACATAAGTAACACATAAGTTTCTGTGAACAGAAAACCAAACACTGCGTGTTCTCACTCATAAGTGGGTGTTGAACATTGAGAACACATGGACACAGAGAGGGGAACAACATACACCAGGGCCTGTTGGGGAGCGGGGGATGAGGGGAGGGAACTTAGAGGACGGGTCAATAGGTGCAGCAGATCACCATGACACATGTATATCTATGTAGTAAACCTACACGTTCTGTACATGTATCCCTCTTTTTTTTTAGAAGAAGAAGAAATTTAAAAAAATTTTAAACATTAGCCAGGTTTAGTTGTACATGCCTATGGTTCCAGTTAGTTGAGAGGCTGAGGAGAGAGAAAACCTTGAGTGTAGGAAATCAAGGCTGCAGTGAGGTATAATCCTGCTACTGCATGCCAGCCTAGGCAGCAGAGTGAGCCCCTGTCTCAAAAAAAAAAAAAAAAAAGCTTCAGTCTGACCCTGAAGCATACATTAATACTCAGGTCTTTTCTTTTTTTTTTTTAAATTTTTTTGTAGAGATGGAGTCTTGCTGTTTTGCCCAGGTTGTTTTCGAACTCCTGACCTCAAGCAATCCTCCTGTCTCTGCCTCCCAGAGTGCTGGGATAACAAACATAAGCCACCATGCCCAGCCAATCCTCAGTTATTTTCTAATACTAGATAATCTAATTGCTCACTTATTACATTATTTTTCCAATTAAAGGTGTAAGATTTAGACATTAAATTTAAGTTATAAGTGTTTCCTTGAACACCTAATTGTAACTGCAACTAGAACAGTGATCATTGGTGACTATTGAAAGTTCAGTGATTTTTAAATATATTTTCAATCTGTAAAGTAGTAGCATAGCCCAGATTGCATAGGATGAAAAATGGAAGATCACCTAAATCTTTTCAAATCCTTGGATGAAAACATCCTAGAAGAATGACTTGGTTTTTGTCTGTGTGTTGTTTCTTTTGCTGTATGATTTGGGGGATTATCACCACAATAGGGGTGACCTACACTACCAGGGAAAATATTCTGCCAAATCAAGGGTGATTTCTGTATTAATTCACTACTCTTCTTCGTTTAGCCCAGTTCCTGGAATACGGTCAGTTTTAAATAAATATCTCATAAATTAATAGATGGGAAATTGAATTACATAAGGAAAATTATTCCAACAATTAGAACAGTCTGGAAGTGGATTGAGCTGCGCTGGGGAGTAATGATCACCGTACCATGACACAAGTAACTTCTCATGGCTGGATGTGATGGAGGATATCCAAGCACCTGGCAGGCATTTGTAGAGATCCCCGCTAAAGCCCCCTTCAGCTATAGGATTCTATGATTCTTTTCCTGTGAAAATTTGGAACACGTGATAGTGTATTACCTCTCGCAGATCATAGGGGCACCATTTAATAACTTACTACATTAATGTATTAAATTGTACTTTTGTGACTTCAATAAATTCAGTGCTTCTAAAGCATGATTACTGTATTCTCCTGGCAGGACACAAGTTGTTTCTTAGTCAGTCTTCATAAACTATTATATCACTGTCATGCTTACTTTAGAAGTAGCAAAATCAAGGCAGGAAGGAATGCAGAGCTTCTTACACCTCAGCCTTAGACATAATGATTTCCAGAATTTCAAAGAATATTCCACAGAGCCCAGATATCGTAAATAAAGTGTCTGTCCAATTGTAAAGCCCATATTATTGAGTATAGTTACAATTTTCCTGGTGATAATTGCATACATAAACGGGGGAAAAAATAGATCATCTACTTAAAAAGTGTTTAGCCAAAAGAAATCAGTCAGCTGGGCGCAGTGCCTCATGCCTGTAATCCGAGCACTTTGGGAGGCTGAGGCAGATGGATCATGAGGTCAAGAGCTTGAGACCAACCTGAACAACATGGTGAAATCCTGCCTCTACTAAAAATACAAAAAAATTAGCTGGGCGTGGTGGCACATGCCTGTTAATCCCTGTTACTCAGGAGGCTGAGGCAGGAAAATCACTTGAACCCAGGAGGCAGAGGTTGCAGTGAGCCAATATCGTGCCATTGCACTCCAGCCTGGGTGACAGGGCGAGAGTCCTTCTCAAAAAAAAAAAAAAAGAAAAAAAGAAAAAAAAAATCAGTCACTGCCCACCATCTTTGCTTGAAGAAAATCTCCCAGAGCACAGTGAATGCTAGATGAGAAGTGACTGTGTATTCCATTAGGCCTTATGTATGTATATACCCAAAGGCCTAGTCATTGGTATTTAGTAGTGAGTTCATCAATGAAATATTAGAAATGTTCCCAATTTATACATACTTAAAAGCTAGGATAGAAAAATGAAAACTTCCAAAACTAAAATATTTCATTTTGAACTCAAATTCATTTACTTCAATGCCCTGTTGACTGATGCAATTTTAGATTATAACAGCAAGAACCAAGTGTACGCTGCCTGAAGAAGTAATAAGTAAGGAACATTTTGAAGGAAGCCCTAGAGACAGGAAGGAACTTAGGTAAAGGTTTCTGCGTATGTGCAAAATTACCCATAAGTAAAATGAACCAGTGTGTCAAAATGTAATTCTATAATTCCCAGGGCAACATCTAAAGGAACTGAGTTGTAAGCAATACATTTGCAATACATGACGATTTGAGTTTCCAGAAAACTCAGATCAGTCCCAGGAGATCCTCTTTACGGTGTATTCATGAAACAATACAGATTATTAATTATGAGGATACGCTTTTTCTTTAACCAGTGACATTCTAAATATTAACGAGAAACAAACAAAACTATATTGGATATACCTATACATAGGTCGGCTTTTTCTTTTCCATGGATGCCAATTTATTTACTCTTCTTCTTTCTAAATGCAGCTGTAAACGATCTCTGCACAAACTATCCCGGTACAAGCAGAACAGATTCAGTGAATAATAACTCATTGAAATTGAGGCAGTTACAGTCACATTTGCACTCCTCGAAGCTGGCAGTTTCATTCTCTAGAGACAGGTGCATTTATCACATTCACAACCATAGTAAAATGAAATCATCAACTAAAGGGACTTTAGCTCATTCATTTTCCTCCAGGAGAGCCACTGAACATTTTAAATATTTAAAAAGAAGATCTCCAGCCTCTATTTTTTTTGAAAGAAAGAAGAAAGCCCAGAGAAGTCAACGGGGAGTGTCAAGATATTCCATGGTACAGTCAGAGACAAGGACATTATGAGTACTGAACGATTGCATTAATATGGCATGTATGAACTAATAATAAATCAGAATCTGGGGGTGGAAGGTGAGCAGAATAGACTAGCATAAAATTTGAATGTTGAATTCAAATTAATAAAATTTGGTGTTGAATTTAGTCATTTTCTTTCTCTATAAATTGTTCTTTGCTTAAGTGTACTCTTAATTTCATAAGGAAAACATATCAGGTTTCACTTTTTTTTTTTTTTTTTTGAGACGGAGTGCAGTGGCGTGATCTCGGCTCACTGAAAGCTCCGACTCCTGGGTTCATGCCATTCTCCTGCCTCAGCCTCCCAAGTAGCTGGGACTACAGGCACCCACCACCACACCCGGCTAACTTTTTTGTATTTTTAGTAGAGACAGGGTTTCACCGCATTAGCCAGGATGGTCTCTGTCTCCTGACCTCGTAATCCACCCGTCTGGGCCTCCCAAAGTTCTGGGATTACAGGCGTGAGCCACCGCGCCCAGCCTGGATTTTACTTCTTTCTCTTTACTGTTTTGATTTCGGGAATAAGAAACATTTGACCTTGTCACCAAGTTCTTCTGGCTTTGAGCACTGGTATTCAAGATACTTTGACTAGGAATCCTTACTTTCTATAATCTCAGTTAGAAATGTGGACATTAAAAAATTATCATTTTAGGCACTAATTTAGATCTACAAAATGAGTCTTCTATGTACATAAATAGTTTTTTTAAGTAAAATAAATTACATCACATGGATGGAGTAAAGAAAGACATGAATATTTCTCCTGGATTACATGATAAAGATTACAAACTCATTGATGAATTAATTACAATGGCAACTTCTTGGACGTAACTAAACCCCAATTTTGCAGAGCACTATCAACCTGCTTTTAAGACACATACAAATACATGATCTCTAAATAATTTGATCAACTTAATAAGCATTTTTGTCCTTGTTACCACAGTTTAGGGAATTCTGGTGTGGACTGAGAAATATCAGTGTTTTGAAATTAATTTGATGGCTAAGCATAATGCTCCAAATATGTGAGGACAAACCTTAGAGTCTTCCTACTTCCTCATATTCCCTAGATGGTGCCAACATATCCTTAGATCCTTTGAAAGACCATATAAAAATAATAGAAATATGAAGAGCAGTAGGCATACTACTTAACAAAAATCATTTCTTCTGTTACAGGTTTCCCGAACATAAAGTTAACCTAAACACAACAGACTGCACAAAGCACAAAACTTCACGGCAAACACCTTCGAGTTTTGAAAATGAGACATTTGTTGTTTATACTAAAGTCACTGAAGTTTCACAGATAAAGAGAAAGAATTGCTCTCAAGATCTCAATGATGCTTATCCAAATGGGAGAAGGCAGTAATTACACATTGAAATGTAAACAGATTAGCCTTTGGGCTTCCAGAGCACAGATAAACTCATCAGATCTGACTGTTTATATTAGTTATTGGAATACTTCTGCTTAAATACTTAACACCTCTCATCTAAATGTACCAGGTATCCTGATAAGTGTATACATGTCCCATGAAAGTGTTTGAAAACTGATGATGATCATGGATTGTATGCTGTTCACTGTCTCTAGTAGCATCATATGCAAATAAGGCTTTTTGTTTTCCAGGTTGAAGCACTCTCTATGAACTTTCACAGACTTGCATTTTCTTCTCTCCACTAAAACCTCTCAGTTATCTCTCTGACACTGCTCCCGATAATGGAAAAGATTTCTGCTTATTAGGATAATCTCCAATCCCTAGCTCATCTACTTCCATGTGAGAATTGTTTAAAAACGATTTTGCCCTAGGTAATACACTTTAAGCTCCCCAATGACTTTTCCCATCTCACTTCTTGACTAGTAGTTTCTTTTTCTGATACATACAGATATTGATTACATCTTTTATTTTTTTGGTATCAAAACACCTATCTAGGTAGGTGGGAGGATGGGAGGGTAAAATCTTTAAAGTAATGACCAGGTAAAAATATCTTCATGGGAGAAAGAAAACCTATAGCTATATTTTCAAGTTCAGCCACCACACAGCAAATAGTCTAAAATAGCTTTCCCTAAAACATGAATATTTCTTTAAAAATAATCTATCCATGAAAAAAATTGGGTCTGAAAATCTTCTTTAACACTGAGTTATAGATAATTACGATGCTTCAACCCTTCAAGGAGTCTCAAGCCTTTAATTCATATGCTTGCCATATCATGTCTTTATAATGACATTCAGAGACACTAGGTTCAGCAGTTTTTCCCTTTCCTTTGTCATTCATTACATTCCAAACATTTGTGTCCTACAATATATGTAGGGCAACTGGCTTTATAACTATTCTTAGCTCTATAAAGCCAGATATAACTATTCCATAGCAATTGCTGTTTTACTTTTTAAATATTTCATCACTTTATTTGCTAGCTAAAATTTTACCACAAGGATGGCTCAAGTTTTAAAAATGGTATGGAAAATACATATAAAATTAATTGTTACAAGTTTCTAATTCAAAAGAGTAATGTCAAATATATGAACGACCTTCATTCCTCAATTTTTCTTTCCCTAAGGGAATCTCTAAAAATTAAAATATGTTCACTGGCTTGAAAATTCAGATTTCCTCATAAATTTATCTCAGGAGTTGTCATAATAGGTTTTTATTTTTTATTTTTAAAAAGGGCTTTTCTCTAAGAAGTAAGGCTATATTCCTGTCTTAGTCTATTTCATGTTCCACGCCTCAGTGTACTGACCAAACAGGGCATTGATAGTTAATTAGTTCAGAAATGTAAGCTGTATCATTCAAGAATTAAAGCAAACTGAAGAAAACAAGGAATTCATGAGACGCACAAGTTGTTCCTGCTGCTGTTTGTGTTGTTATTGCAGGTAGTGTTGTGTGGTTGCTAGGGTAGCAGTGTGTGTATTACTGATAGGCATAGTATTATTTGGCCACAGTCTTTCTCATGAGTAGATAGTGTCTGTAGATTGATCGTTGACACTAGCAAAGAGAGGCACTAGTTTTACCAGAGAGAAAATGAGAAATAAATAATTCTCCACAAGAAAGCAGTTAGTTATATTTGTGTGGCTCTGAAATCTTGTCAGCCTGAACACAGTATTTGAAGATTTTTTTTTTTTTCTGTGAACTTTACCCTGGGAAGGTGTAAAGATAAAATATACCATATGTGTTACAGTATTGTGAAAATTGTTGAAGTAAAATCCAGTTGCTCAGAAAGGGAATACGAAATTTATCAAACATCTATTGAAGCATTTTAAAAAAATTAGTTTGAGGATTCTGACCAAAAGCAATACCTGAAATCTTGATAATAACCTATTAAACTTTTTTTTTTTTTTTTTTTTTTTTTTGAGACGGAGTTTTGCTCTGTCACCCAGGCTAGAGTGCAGTGGCCTGATCTCGGCTCACTGCAACCTCCGCCTCCTGGGTTCACGCCATTCTCCTGCCTCAGCCTCCTGAGTAACTGGGACTACAGGCACCCGCCACCATGCCTGGCTAATTTTTTTGTATTTTTAGTAGAGAGGGGGTTTCACCGTGTTAGCCAGGATGGTCTGGATTGCCTGACCTCGTGATCCGCCCCCTTTGGCCTCCCAAAGTGCTGGGATTACAGGCGTGAGCCACCACGCCCGGCCAACAATAATCATTTTTATAAATTCAAGTCAAGTGAACTTCTAATGTCAAACAGTTTGGAGAAAGGAAGACTTATTTCGCAACTGAAAAATTGTATGGAAATCTGGAATGAGTAGCAAGCTGAATATAAATGAATAAAGCAAATAAAAATAAAGCCTAGTAAATGTTTCAGATACCTCTAAGGAGAGAAAGAAGTCATAGTGATTGATCCAAAGGTTACAAACAGAGATACTAAACACAGAATAAGATGGTACTTGGGAAAATACAAGAAGTTTTGCTTATGGCAAAACAAATGAAATACCGATCATCAAGTGGTAGAACAAGCAGGAAATGAAAAAATAACAGATCTAAGAGGACCAACCCTCCAAAAATCAGTTGAGAGTTTGAAAAATAAGACAGAAATAAGAATACTGTTATCAATGAAGTTGACTCTGATAAATTCTTACCTAAAAACACTATGTTTTCTTTTATATTACAAATAAAAGTATGTATAATTATATACAATATAAAATAATTATATATATAAACTATGAAATGATATGTATTCACTCAATATATCATTGAAACAGTTTCAGTGAAATTGTTTTGAAGGTAAATATAAGAATATTTTATTTATTTATTCTTTGAGACTTAGTCTTGCTCCGTCGCCAGGCTGGAGTGCCGTGGCACTATCTCGGCTCACTGCAACTTCTGCCCCCCAGGTTCAAGTGATTCTCCTGCCTCAGCCTCCCAGGTAGCTGGGACTACAGCCATGCACCACCATGCCCGGCTAATTTTTTTTTTTTTAGTAGCGATGGGGTTTCACTGTGTTAGCCAGGATGGTCTTGATCTCCTGATCTCATTGAACAGGCTGAGTCGCAGCAGAAAATTTTTGTGGCAGCCGGCAAATAACTTGAGCCTAGGAATTTGAGACTAGCTGGGCTACATGGTAAAGCCCTGTCTCTACAAATTTCCCCCCAACGTTAGCCAGGCATGGTGGCACATACCTGTAGTCTCAGCTACTCAGGAGGCTGAGGAGGGAGGATCACTGGAGCCCGGGAGACAAAGGTTGCAGTGAGCTGTGATAGTGCCACTGCCCTCCAGTCTGGGTGACAGAGTGAGACCTTGTCTCAAAAAAGAAAAAAAAAAAGAAGATAATTTTTTCAACTACCATCTAGGAAAGAGCTGAGATGGAATGGTCAAGTGATTAGACAAAAGAGAAGTGAGATGAGAGAGCCTTTCCTTGATGTCTCTTATAGAATAGAAAGGAGCCAGATTTGGTAAGAGATCCAATTGTGGCAAAGGACCAACGATGTTAAGAATCGACCATACTAATTTATGCAGACGGAACACAGCCTATTCCTATTTTAGCCACAAGAAATATTTCATAATTTAAAGGGGGAAATGTCTGTCAAATATTTACAACTTTTAATATTTATGATATGTATATATTTTTATTAATGAACAGTTGTATAATCCAAATTACCTATAGCTAAATGTACAACATACACACACATGCATGCACACCTTCAAACACACACACAACTATCATGAAGTGATTAACAACATTTAAGTCAAGTGAGATGATTTAGGTATAGGTAATGTTAACATGAGGCAAAATTCTGCAACATGGATGACTCTTGAGGACGTTATGTTAAGTGAAATAAGCCAGTCACAAATAATTATAAAAATGATGTATAATTCCATTTATATGAGATACCTACAGTAATCAAATTCATAGAGACAGACAGTAGAATGGTGGTTGCCAGGGGCTGGATGTGGGGAGGGAGAGATGCGGAGTTGTTGTTCAATGGGTACAGAGTTTCAGTTTTGCAAGATGAAAAGGTTCTGGAGAGCTGACTCACAAAAAATGTGAATATATTTAACACTACTGAACTATACACCTAAAAATGGCTAAAATGGTAAATTTTATGTCATGTGTTTTTTAATAAAATTTAAAAATTAGGAAAAACTTGTGAAATTAGAGAAAAACGGTCTTTTCTCTTTCCCTCGCACAACCTGTTATCCCTTGTAATATTTCCGATGTTCTTATTCTTTGCCACAGTCTACTCACCTTGAGTACAATTCTCTTGTAAACTGATAATCCACTCATCTACTATATTTCCTAAGATATTTCCAAGATATTTTTCTATGCTATTTATCCTAAGATAAATTATAAGTATGTTGCCCTTTAATTGAATAAGCCTGTCATGAAGGATCCTTGTAAAAGAAAACCCTTATTCAATGCAAAATACTCATGTTAGTAGGCAACAAATGTAAAGAAGTGCTTGTGAGTGTCCTGAAATAATCGTGTGTGTGTGTGTGTGTGTGTGTGTGTGTGTGTGTGTGTGTGTGTGATGGGGTGGGGCTGAGGAAGAATGGCCACTTTATTTGGAGAATAGGTTTTAAGTTAGACACCCTATTTCTGAAACATTAGGAGTTGAAGGCATGCTTGCCATATACGAGTTTACCTTCTAAATATGCCTGTGTGTGTGCCTATTTCATGTCCCTGATTGGCAACTGAGAAGTAACACTGTTAATAATTTGAAGTGAAGATAAAATAATTTAACTGGAATGTCAGGAACTTCATTCAAATCAAGCAGATAATTATCAAGACATTTTAAGAGAAATGTTACCCACTCCAATATTTAGAACAAATAACTTAAATAAATTTTCTTGAGAGATGGGTGCCTTACTCTGTCATAGCTCACTGCAGCTTAGAACTCCTAGGCTAGGAATCCTCCCACTTCAGTAGCTGGGACTACAGGTGCACTTTTTTTTTTTTTTTAAGACGAGGGTCTCGCTATCTTGCTCAAGCTTGTCGCGAACTCCTGGACTCAAGCCATCCTCCTGCTTCAGTCTGCCAAGTTGCTGGGATTACAGATGTGAACCACAATGCCTGGCTAGAAGAAATAACTTTAAAATGGGCTTTGATGCAACATAAAATGCATCTTAGGAAGTAATCTTATCCTGGAAGTAGAATAGTCTGGTGAAATCATTAAACCTTTTCAATTCACGTCTCTTTTCTTTTCTTTTAAATGAGATGTTGGATATGAATAGAAATGCTTGACAGGTATTTTTAATTTTCCAAATCCCTTATTTTCATAGTGCAAACATATATAAATTATACAGGATAAAATATAAAAAGCCTTTAAAACCAATACCTGCTAATCACTTTGGATAGATTCTTAGCATCAACTCTAGTCTTACTGAGATTTTCATTTTTTTTCCTTTCAGTACTACTTAGCTTTTTTTATTTTGTAGAAATATAAAGGGATTATGAAAATAAAATGAAAGGCTGGACTCTATTAGATTAGAGATAGCTTTGGTCCAGTACAAGCTGTGCCTTGAAATACATCTAAGGCATTTTATGGTTAAAACAGCAAGAAGGCAGTTTAATTTCCCATTAAATCACAGTTTAATGCACTCTAGAACAAATGAAGTGATTGAAAATTTTGGATATATGATGATGTTTATATTTGTACTCCACAAACACCACACTCAAATGCCATTGACAAATTCCAAGTATGCATTAAAGAGAGAAAGGGGGCCGGGCGCGGTGGCTCACGCCTGTAATCCCAGCACTTTGGGAGGCCGAGGCGGGTGGATCACAAGGTCAGGAGATCGAGACCATCCTGGCTAAGACGGTGAAACCCCGTCTCTACTAAAAACACAAAAAATTAGCCGGGCATGGTGGCGGGCGCCTGTAGTCCCAGCTACTTGGGAGGCTGAGGCAGGAGAATGGCGTGAACTCGGGAGGTGGAGCTTGCAGTGAGCCGAGATCGTGCCACTGCACTCCAGCCTGGGCGACAGAGTGAGACTCCATCTCAAAAAAAAAAGAAAAAAAAAAAAAGAAGAGAGAGAGAAAGGGAGAGGAAATACTCATATATGACACCTGCATGTAAAACATTATCCATTTGCAAAAATGGCACGTAAACAAACTGACTCTGCAACATACACCTATAAAATGTTTGCATATTGGAAAAAAGTAATGAGAAATTTATAACTAGCAACAAATATGCAAAAAACTAGGACTGTAAAGCAAAGAAAATACCTGATTATTTTTTGTCTTATCAGCAAAAAAGTATATATGTGTCATCTAACCCCTTTCTCTATATCTACCAGATGTATAGATAGTGAAGAATTTAAATTGTGCTAATAAATAGTCAACCACATAGGACAATTAACAATAAAAGCCAAGGAACAGCATCATATAGTTGAAAAAGCACTTGCTTTGGGAGCTGACCTGGCATTATAGAAATAGGTGTGCTACTTTCTATAAATAGTGCTTCTGTAACTTTTTCTTAAAGGGAGATAATGCCTAGTTCAAAGAAATGTTATGATGAAAACATTAAATAGCAACTAGAACTAACTATACACCAAATAGAGAGTGACTGGTGTACATTATTTTCTCAATAAATATCAATATCCTTTCCCTCTTCAATTAGGTTGTTCTGTGAATAATATGCAAAATTCCTCCCCTTTTGAGACAACACACAGCAATACACACTAAAATGCCTCCACATTCTTCTCCTTTCAGGGTAATTTATTTCTGAAAACCTATGAGAAATTATTGGAATTTAAAAACATAATTACCTTTGAGATTAATGGTACATAATTACTTCAGTAGTTAACAAAACACACGTGAAATACTTAATGCTCATGTAATTAACATGTATAACAAAACAAGAAAAAACAGTGAAGAAAGAAGAAATAAAAAACAATACAAGTAATGCACTAACATTACTATTATAAACTAGCCAACCAATAGTATTCGATAAGAAAATTTAAAACAAAATACACGTATACACCAAGGTTACTTTTCTTTCTCTACACTTAGTTGTTTATCAGATGTAGAAAATCCAGATCGGTCTTCTAAATGCTAATACCTTATTAATCAAAATATGTATATGAAATTAAACTCTTTCTCAAGTTGGGCTTATCTTGGAGTTTTGCCATGTAAGTATTTGCTAACTCTCTTTTTCTTAACATACTTTTGTTTATGGAGAACCAAAAATATAAGTTATCTTGAGATATATACTCTTGTCCAAACACTGCAATGTGTCCACAATATCTCAAGGAACAAAGTTGTTAAAATTTGTCTTCATTAATCCCCAACTTAGGACTGGCAGCTTTTTTTTTTATCATAAGAGTGTGTTGGCTCCTTGGCAGAGGTAGTTGAAGGCTCCTCTTCATTTTTTTTTAATGAGCATACCACAGCCTAGAAAACATAATACTGGCCTAAAATCACAGAAGCTACTTAGAGAAGGGACTGAAACTGTGACTCTGTCATTTTGCCCTGTTTATTACAATGACTAAGTCATTAAATGAGTTGAATGGGGCACAGAGTACCATATGAAACTCAATCAAACTAATGTGTACCATAATGTTAACAACTAGCAAACATTTACAGGGATTGTTTTAGCCCCTCTCCAGCAGCAAGCTAAAGGAAATGAGAATATTCCACATTCCATACAAGTTCCCTCCATGGGCTTCCGTTTCTTTAAAAATTGGCTCTCCAAATTCGTTGCAAGATAATGTGACACTAGCACTGGGCCTGCCACAAGAAGTTGTATGTTCTGAGCTAGCTCTTCTCCTTCCCTCTCTACATTACGGATATGAAATAAGAACCCGGTGAATGAATGGATTTTTATTATTTAAGATGCTGTTGTAAAATATGTAGATAATCAGATGTTACTCTAGTAATTATGTGGTTATTTTTCTGAAAGTGGAAATAAATTTTATGTGTTATATGCCATTTAGGGGGATAAACAGGGGTCAAGACAAAAAATAAGACAACAGGTCCACATGGAGAATTTAACCTGCAATCTTAATCATGCCAGAAAAATGTTGTAATATATTTAGCCACAAGTAGACATGTTGAAAACATTCCCTGGCTTTATTTTAAAGGATGATTTTGAAACTGGGTATATATTAAATGAGCTTGGACATCCTTATTACCCAACAACTATATTATATTTTTATACTAGTTGTTTAATTTTGTAAGTAAAGCTCACTTGCAGTATTGAGTTATGAGTTAGTCAAGATGAACAAAAACAACATAACAGCTAAAGTTTAACCTTTTAAACCTCTCTTTAAAAAAAGAGATGAGCGTTTTGGATGAAAATCTAAGTCAGTTATGTACTCTGTTTGTTTTCTTAAAACTGATCAAACTATGGAACTTAAAATAACACTTCCATAGCGACCTCTGACCATCATTAGGTGTACCAATTATAGTATAGCAGTAACATCAGGGATTATAAAAGTTTGTAGGTCTGTTTGCCTTTATTGTGTTTACCTTTATAGCTCGGTTCTTGTGATTTTTGAGTTCCTTTGTACGCTTTTTATAGATTTTCTTCGACTTTCTTGCTGACACATTTAACTACTATCATTGCGCAAGTCTTCACAGCCCCATCCCCTTTTTCGTTTCCTGCTTCCTAATAGGCAGTGGGTTTGGTAACCAAATAACACACTTGTTAAAATTGTCAGTAAAATAAGATTTTGTCAGTTCTAAGGAAACACTTATAAGAGAAAAAGGCACTTGCTTAGTTGCATGGACTTTGTGGTTGCAATTTGATTGTGCCTCGAGTTTTATTGTTTAAATCCTGCTTCTCAGCTCTGTCAACAATCATGAGGTTGTCATATGGCTAAATCCTGGGAGGTGGGATGTTGCTGTTTATTGAGTAGGCAAACTACCACATCCTCTTTGGGTATGTTATGGAAACAAATTAAGTTATGTCTGGAAGAGTTAGGGTGCACATCTGGAGAAAGGCAATAAAGTTATTCAAAGTTCAACAATATTATTAAAATGAATAATATTTTTTGAAATTTGATTTAAGAAGCCACTAAACTGCACAAGTTCTTCGACTTGAAAAGTATTGCCATTTTTCATGTTATTCTAACTTCATCAAAATGTCTGTTTTGAAATGCAATGGGTTGTACTGGAGGCTTATTCATTACAACCTATCCTGTTTGCAAATGCAGAAAAAAAAATGGTTATTTTTACTTGATTCTACCCAGGCAGGAAAGTACCCTACCACTTCACAGCCTAAAACAAACAATTATTGGTGATGGTCTCATTATAAATTGCTTTTCACTGACATAATGAGTTGTTCTTTCTTTTTTAAAAAGAGACTTAGATAACATGAAACATATGAACTAAATTGTGTTTGCCTGACATAAGCTGAATTTAAAACTCTTGCTGAGATTACCACCCTTTTAATACTTTCGCCTATTCCTTTGTGAGACAAAGGCTGAATTTTAAAAACTTTCGTACAGCAAAAGCAATTTATACATATAAAAATACTTGGAGTGCCCTAGGGGTTGTCGGTGTTGCAGAGAGACGGAAGACAAGTTTGATTTTAAGCTTAAGCTTCAAACATTTATGGCCTAAATGGGGATGTCATTCTGAATTAAGCCTCAAACAGTTTTTTTTATAGGCAAGAAAGGGTATCATTTCTAAGATGAGCTATAAAAGAGTGAAACAAGGCCCCAGTTCCTCGCACTCATCAGAAAGATTTTTCTCCCCACAAGAGCAGGGATTTCAATTGACAATCCCTGTCTCCTCCCAATTTGGGCACTTGTGCTCCTCTTCCATGAATTCTCTAACAGTTTCAATCAGAGGAGGTATTTTATTTTTCCCTCCTGCTGCTACCAGATATGCCGGGCTGCTGACGTAAAATCATTGCCACATGACAGTGACTGCTCATGTCCCAACTCATCAGTCCCAATTCACCAGTCAAGGACACCAACCCAGCGTTACAGAAGTCCTTTCCGTTGTTCCTGTGTGCCTTGTCTCTCCCTTCACAGCCTGTCCTGACACAAACATATCTTTTTTAAAAGTCTTTGACAAGTTTTCCTCTTTCTTTGCCTCCTTGGCTGTTTTTGAAGCCCGAGCCATGGTAAATAGCCTACGGTTTGACTCATTTCTTTCTACCTCTGCCCTCCTGACTGTAATTATGAGATAATTTAGCGGTGATACTCTCAGGCCAAGGCGATTAGCGAATTAACCTGAGGCAGCTCCAAGAAGTACGTCTGTAGTATCTCCTGATGCACTTTGCCCATTTTCACTTCCCTCTCTCATACTTCCTAATTACTCCAGAGCTTCATGTAGCTTCTTGCACTCCCCATGTCCCTAAGAACAGCATTCTACCCAGGCTTCTCTCATTAGGAAAGATCCAGATGCCTTAAATTATCCCTTCTAGCAAAGACTTGGTTTTAGTACTGGTTTTTTTTTGTTGTTGTTTGTTTGTTTTTTTTTTTTTCCCAGGCCTCTGATCTGGGCCAAGTGCTGACCAGGCCATAGGAAAAAAAAAATCGATTAAAATGTTAAAAAAGCTAATATGTGTTTGTGTCCCCACTCCCAGGTGATACAGTTGTGCTTATAGCAGAGGTCAATTAGAAACATATTTTAATTGAAGTTTTCCTCGGGCAGAAAATTGTAAGATCACTGAAGACAACTGCAGAGTGGTGTGTGTGTGTGTGTGTGTGTGTGTGTCTGTGTGTCTCCATGTGTGTTTATGTATGAGGCAGTTGATATGAAGCAATTTGGGCAGACAGACCTAAATTTAGTTCTCAATTTATGCCACACAAATGTCGACAGGCTTTAATTTTAAAGGTGGACCATGGTTTTATGTGTATGATTAAGCCTATAAAAAATACTGACTATGTAGTTTGTATTTTCCTTTTGGTAATTTTTCTATAGGAGCATTTGGGACACAATAGCCAGCTGTTATTTAGCCAGCTCTACACCAGTTCCAGTACTGACAGGGAAAAAAGATGTTTGAAAATAAATACATAGTCCAAAATCTTCTCGTGGCCCAATTGTTCAGAATCTATGCAGGATTATGAAAGTCTTACTTTCAAATCACGTGACCTGGAATTCCATCCCTCAGTAACAATTTGGTTGCAACTTTCTCAACTTTCTCCTGAAAGACTTCTTTGATGCCCCACCACTCCCCTCAACCCCACATCCTCATCCTCTGCACCAACATTGACTGTGTTGCTCTCTTTCTCCCAACCACTCGTTGACTCCATTTTTCCATACTTATTGTTTATATGGCTTTCCTGCATTTCATTTGGAAATTTTCCAAGGGCAGGGACTTGTCTTAGTCTGTTCAGGCTGCTAGAACAAAATACTATCAACTAGATAGCTTATACGTGACAGAAATTTATTTCTCACAGTTCTGGAGACTGGGAAGTCCAAGATCAAGATACCAACAGATTTGATGTCTGGTAAGGACCTGCATTTTGGTTTCATAGGTGGCACTGTCTTGGTGTGTCTTCACATGGTATAAGGGGTTAGCTCTGGGTTCTCTTTTATGAGGGCACTAATCCCATTCATGAAGGCACCACCCTTATGACTTTATTATCTCCCTGTGACCCCATATGATGATGGTATCTTGGTGATTAGGTTTCAATATATGAAGTTGGGGGACACAGACATTCCGAAAATAGCCAGACTCTCATTTATCTAAAATGATCACCGGACACAGAAGATATGAAAGTATATATCTACATATCTTGTGACTTAGGACTTCCCTGGTATGAGTTGTGGAGAAAAGACTCATTAAAAATGAGGCAAGAGATACCATACTTTTAATGGCACCTTGTGAAATTCCTTTATTCCTCCCATGGAGGCCCACTTTTGAGATTCTATTCTAGGTTTTACTCACATAATTAGCAACTGTTGTTACAAATAGAAAGAATCCTTGGTACTCTGGAGTGTATTCAAGCATTGAAGGAAAAACTTTTTAAATAAAGCAACTTGTCTGATGGGCAAGGTCATTTTATTTTCACAATGTATAATAGGAAAATCCTTTGAAATCCTAGTAATAGAGTCTCCCTTATTTCTACAAATGGAAAGTTGGTAGTATGTAGAAATGTACAATGTCAATTCAGGACAAGTTTTCTGAAGTTAACTTCTGCCAAAATTTGGGAAATAAGAAAATTTGGCTATTGTACAAACAAAACTCTAGAGAAGAGACAACATAACAGGACTAGATAATGATATTTCTGCAAATGGATAATTAGGGATTTCAGAGGGTGAAGAATATTTACATTCCAGGGAAGGCATGAAACCTTTAAGGGCTTTTACAAAAACAAACAAAGCATAGAAAAAACCTGGACCCATGAAAGATAAACAGCTTCAGTGTATTTCTACCAGGAAAACATTTCATTTCATTACTCAAAAGTACCCCCTCGACATATATATGTATGAATGAATGATACTACTTTGTTGTTGTTAGCAAGAAATGTGTTTATTCTTCTAGTTTTTATATCTGTCACAAGTGAGGTATACTGAATACTTTTTTTCTTAAGAAGGGGCCGGGCGCGGTGGCTCACGCCTGTAATCCCAGCACTTTGGGAGGCCGAGGCGGGTGGATCATGAGGTCAGGAGATTGAGACCATCCTGGCTAACAAGGTGAAACCCCGTCTCTACTAAAAATACAAAAAATTAGCCGGGCGCAGTGGCGGGCGCCTGTAGTCCCAGCTACTCGGGAGGCTGAGGCAGGAGAATGGCGTGAACCCGGGAAGCGGAGCTTGCAGTGAGCCGAGATTGCGCCACTGCAGTCCGCAGTCTGGCCTGGGCGACAGAGCGAGACTCCGTCTCAAAAAAAAAAAAAAAAAAAAAAAAAAAAAAAAGAAACATTTCTGATTTTCTTAAATGTGGAAATAGAAGAAAACAGTCACTTGGTGAGAGCAGCAGGAGGCAGCTAAATGTCTAGGCAGATAGGGACGTGTCCCTAGTGAAACCCTACCTCCAAAGCCTGTCATCAGCTGTCATTAGCTTGAAAGCCAAGCTAAAAGTTACGTCCTTGGACCAGATTGAGAACTCATCTTCCTGCTTGGCATGCTTTCCCCTGATTGATCCCCACCCTTCACCTTTTTTATATTTATATACCCTTTCCTAATTGGTCTTCTACTCTGTCATGCCCACCTTTGAGTGGTGTCTTTGCTTTGACCCTTTTTGCCTACTCACAAGCCAATCAGCATGCACTCTGAGTCCATAAGAGGCCCCAGACCTAGCCAGATGGGGGACTTTCTCACCATCGAGTAGGGGACCCTGTGCCCCAGTTTCCTTCTTTGCTGAGAGCTTTCCTTTTGCTTCATAAATTCTCAACTCACTCTCTGGTGTGTGTGTGCCTAATTCTTCCTGGTTGTGAGACAAGAACTTGGACCTAGCTAAGCTAAGGTGCAGAAAGACCACAACACTGGGAAGGCAGATGGTGAAAGAGATAAGAATAGGTCCTAATAATTCCACAGAGAGAGTAATCTGCTTGGTAAATCAAAAGAACTGAGCAAAATATTTAGAATACACACGTTTTTGTAGATATAGAATTGAAGCTTCCAGAGTGTTCCAAAGATTTCTCATTCACTAATCTAAAACTTAGAGTGCTAGTCAGAAGAGGAATCTTACTTTTCTCCTTTGTGTCTAAGCAACATGGACAAATCAGACTAACCTGAGTTAGAAACAACCAATTTAAAGAATGCAAATATAAAGTGATAATTGGGAGAGAGAGGTGGTTATTAATTTATCAAAATTGTCATTTGGTTGACTACATTGATCAGATAGCCAGTCAAATAAATTTCTTCCTTTAGATATTTAAATAAAAGCATTCTCATTTTCCTTGGATATAAGCCAAAAAGAAAAAGAAGATAATTTTTTGAGTTAATATTTAGATTGTTTATGATATTGATATATAGGCCACACACACTCTTAAATATGAACAAAGATAAAAGTATGCCATCTTATTGTCAAGAATATTTCTAGCTTTGAACAGCCTGTAATTTCTAGTTTTCCTAAATTATAGAAGTTTATGAACTATGAGAGACCTTCTTTTTAACTTGTAACAATTACCTTTGCATTAAAAATTGTTAGATGCTTTGTGTCCCCTTTTTATATTAAGTATTTTAAAAATCCTAATTCATGAAAGACGGAATAGTACAAACAGAATATTTAACCAAAATATGGAAAACTGACAAAGGAACATATATTTACCTATTAATTTGATTAAATTTTATGCAGTACTGGATTACAAATATTAATTTTTAAATTAGAAGATGAAATATAAGAATGCATTAGTGAAGTTAAATGTTGCTTTGTGAAGGTTTTCTTACAGTTTATCAGGATCTAGGGAAAATATAGAAATGTATTTACTGGGTCATGATGTGAAATATATTTCTTGCTGAGAGTCACAGTCAAAGTTTAAGAGTCAATGTAATTGTGTTACAATGTAACATACTCTGAAGATGCTGGTTTCTAGGCTTGTTGTACATAAAATTCTATAATGAGATGGGAAAATAACCAAATCAGCCTCTTATATCAGACATTTGTAAACAGTGAGACAACACCTCATCAGATTTTTTATTGAAGTGTTAATAGCCTTTGGCAGAAAAAAGATACTATACTAAGCAGAAAAATATGACAGAGTTTTGAAGTGTATAATTTATTTTGTTACTCATACGCTATCATTCTTTTATGTAATGTTTTGACAAATTAGAAAAAATAATTTAGAAAAATTCTGCAGATAATATGACTCACATCTTTCATCAATTTCTCCAAGCATCTGCTACTTAAGAGCCATATGGTTAAACAGAAGTCACAGGTTCCCGTTGCCATCACAAGCATTGGAGGAACTTCAAATCCATGAAAATGTTATTTAAATGCCCTACATAGATTAGAAACCTCAGCTCATGTCAGAAGAATATCCAGTGTTGCATGATGTGCTCTATCATACTTGAAAATTTAACTAGTCGCTGAAAGTTAATTGGAATTTATCTGCATCCATTTAAAAGATACATTAATTAGAGTGATGAATGATAAATTATAATTCAGATATTGAATCCAATTATGGAGGATCTATAGTTATTGAAATAGTGATCTGAAACATACACAGAGACACAGTACATATACCATTATAAAATTTACAGGGCTATATTAATTATTTTTATGTGGACATTGATATTTGGATACCAACAGATATAGCGAACCATGGCAAACCTTTTGTTTATATTTTCTAAATTTAGATACTACCCTAGCTACTCCGATCCTTACCCAGGGTATACATCTTTGACTCAATTTTGCCTATGAGAAAATAAAGCAAAATATGTTACAAATTATTAATATAATTAAGAATGAAAAAAATGTTTGGAGCTGGAATGAGACTCAACATCTAAAATTGAGTTTCTGAAATAAATTACTTGACAAAAAAATCAGAACTTATGAAGGATATGGGAAAATACTGCTTTTTCTAAGTTACTGTAAAATAGATTTTTGTTTTGAAAGCCCAAGTAAAACTGATCTGATCAAAAGTCAAGTGATGAGAGAAATTTGGACAGATGAGTAGATGGATGTAGGTATGCGTTAATAATAGCCTTCTTTTTCTATTAGGTAACACACATAATTAATAATAATAATGACAGAATACATTCCTAAAGCACATTCAACATAACCACAAATGCACTCACTATTGATCTAAAGTAATTGTGATGAACTTAATTACATTCTAGATTTAAAAGACTTGCTAACAAATTTCATCACTTGAAAAGGATTCTAACCCCTTTGGAGAATTTCAACTTCCTTTCACTTAAGAGACTTCAGTGCAAAGCACAGAAAATGAAATGTTAAACCAAGATATAGTACATAGACATAAAAAAGGCAGGAGCAATACCAAATGTGATGTTCATAATAAGGTAACAGGAATGTGCCATATGCCATTAAGAAATAAACACTTGAAACATAACTTAATCCATGTTTTAAATGAATCCTAGGTAAAGGGGAGATTTTTTATGATGAATGGTTATTTTATGAACATTACCAAGGTTTAGTAGTTACTACCTATGTATATATTCAAACATATATATGTAAAAAAAAGTCAGAACTGACGTGTGTGTGTGCATATATATACATACACGCACAAACACATAAGTTCTGACATTTTACACACACACACACACACACACACACACATCTGCATTCATCCAAATAATTGTGTGCCATTACTGTAGAAACTTTAGTTGACCCAAAGTGATTCTGACACAGACTTTTTCCTACTGCCCATGTCAACCACCAGTTTGAAGCAAAATTCACACACGATAATATTTCTTGGGTTTTCTCTCTACTTTCTTGTTTCCAATATCACTCTCCCAATTCCAACTTGCTTTATCTCCATCCTAGTCTAGCTCAATCTACTTCTGTCTCAAGTTTTTCTCTTCCCTACTCCCTATGAGAATTTAGACAATTAGTACCTAGATTTAAGCCGTAACTAAGGCATTGTCTTCATAAGACCCTTCAGTGGCCTTCCCAGTTAAGCACAACCCCTTCTCGCTAATAACATGTTCAATTTGCCCTTCACCTTCACATCCTAATGGTCAACTCATATTCTAAACTTCCATCAGTATAGAATGTTTACAGTTCATTTTGAACAGATTTTAAATTTGTTGCAAGTTGTGTGTTTTTGCCCAGACTGCATGTTCTTATATTGGAAGGTCCTTAGTTTGTCAAAATTAAATCTGATTTTAAAATCTCAAATACAGTTTGCTTTATGAAGTTTCTTTCTGGATCCTTTATTGGAAGATTAGCTTTTCTTTTTTTCTCTAAATCTCACAGCCTCTTATTTTTACTTCTTTTAAGGTACTTATGTAGTTTTTCAATACAGTGGAGATTCATCATACAATATATTTAAATGATGAACAGTCACTTAAACGTATCAGACATTAACAACAGGAATGAGGCTTTGTGGCTTTTTTCAATTCAATTTTTATTTTGTGTTTCGTCTTGTTGTTTGTTTCTTTTTGGGATAAAAAGACTCTGTAAACAAGCCAACAACCTCATCTGGGATTCACCCAAAGGAACAGTATTATGCCCAAAAGAAAATGGCCTACACTGAACTAAGAGACAGTGTAACACACACAGAGCCGTGTATACAGAAGCTCACGGGAAATTTACAAAATTTTAAAAGGTGCTTTTTTATGATATATAATTTTTTTATTATATATAATTTTTACATGAATCACTAATCCTAGAACCTAACTCTGGATGAGGGTTTCTTTTATACATTAAAGGGCAGTATAATCATAAAGGTAGACTATGAATATTATTCATCTTGAATACCACAGTGTCCTTAGTAGCACTGTGGACACACTTGGCACTTACCTATTTTTGTTACTTGAAATAAAAAGCAATAAGGCTGTCTAAAAAGCTATAAAACCAAACAGCAAAGTGGAAAACAACCATAGAAATAAAATGACATTAATTTTTTAAAAAAGTAAAAATAGGTTGATTATTTTAGAGCTTGATTAAAAAACTTACAGGTCTTTGAAAAGCTTATATAGTTTAAAGAGCTCTTCACCTCTTCCTTACTTTGTCTTCTAAATGGAAAATTCCTTAAGGACAGAAATGATATTATTTATTTTGGTATTCATTGAATACAATTCAGTGTTTAGTACGTCTTCCATCTAATCTTTCAAAGAATAACTCAGCTATCTCTATGGTATGCTTTCAAAATAATCTCAACAATTGAGATTTTAGCAGAAAATTGCAGAAATAATTGACTAATGAACTTATATTTCTTTACAACCTGAGCCTACTACCGAGGTCTGATACATGTGCAAACAGTGAGTTCAATATAAATATGGTTGATTGATGGAAATACAGATGAAATGAGACTCTGTGCCATACAGGAGTGTACAGAACCCAGAGAAAGCTCCATGACACAATTTCTTTTAAGTAGGAACAACACCACAAAGAAGGTGAAAAGCGGTGGCAAATCCAGAAGTAGAAACTCAGCTAAAAGACTGCTGATCAGACAACATCAAATATGATAGCCACACCAGAAATAGCCCTTCTGACTGTGGCCCTCTCAAATACAAAAGGAAGCCAAGTCTATAAAAAAATTGAAAAAAATTGACTTGCTTTTATTTTGTTCAACTCCCCCCCGCCCCCCCCCCCCCCCCCCCCCGCTTTAACTCTCCTGTCAAGTGCTCTAATTTTGGAAAGTTGCTATTTCAGATCAACTCCACAAAGGGCTGCATTTTGTCTCTTTGCAATCAGCAACTCAAGCAGTCATATCACTTTTGTTCATAGCTACTGTGTTACTGCCAAATTGGTCTGGGAAATTGAAAAACAGCATTAGAGGTAGTGCTCATGAAAAAAAATTCTATTTCTCCATTTGGCTTTTTTAATTTCCCTATTCAACATTTTGATTATCTATCTCATTTCAGATATATAGCTTCTTTTGCTTCAGAAAGGGATTTTCCTACTGGTTATCTTGATAACGCAGATTTTAGGATGTCCAGATCCAAAAACTTCCTTCTGTGTAATAAAATCTAACCCCCCGCCACTGCAGGAAGTGTGAAACTTGAACATTAAATTTTATTTAAAATTAACTATCATATAAAACTTTAGGGTAACCATGGCTGGAACTTGCAACTATTACTATCAGAATGCATGGATCGATTGAAGTTTTTTAATACTTTATTTGAACCTTCTATTTTTCGATATGTACAATTTGATCCAGAGAAAAATGTAACAATGATATAAAGGGCATAAAGATGAACTACATTATGTCTCCATGTCAGATCTGTGCCTTATTTAAAGAAACAAGACTATCAAAAACACTCGAATAGCAATTTAATTTTTTCTTGTTTTCTCAAAAACAACTAAGAAAAATTCCATTTATAAAACAAAGTTAACCCTCTTGAAACCTGACTTTCTAATCTCCCTTTAACCCATATGCCTACACATGTCCCCACACTGTCTCTGTTCTATCTAAGCTTTTCCTTTCTCACTTGGGCCACTTGGGTGATGCTATTTTCTGCCTCCACTCACTCCCTGCCCGCTCCACACACACCCACACCTTTCACTGTATTTATTATTGCTCCTTAGTGGCAGTTTTCTCATTCAAATATAAATCAATCTCCCTTTTCTATCATCTCTAATTTCCTACACCATTCAGTACGCTGATCAACATCACAAATAAGTGAAAGCGAGTAGGTAGAAGATAGAGGTGGTGAAAAAGGTATAAATAGTGATCAATTCCCTTTCTAACCACAATACTCCTCCTACCTCCATTTAAGTGCTTTGGTTAGAGCGGTCTTACTTGTGCCTTGAAATCACCTGGAGAGCTTTTTTTAAAAAAATGCAATACCCAAGTCCCTCTCCAGACCAATCATGCCTGTCTCTGAAGTGGGAACCAGATAATTTTAAAAACCTTCCCAAGTGAATCTAATACACAATACATAAAGTTGAGAAACATTGGTCAGAGATTTATTGTATTCCACGAACTAGAGCACAAAACACTTTTTCTAAAGGATTGGGTCCTAGAGTAATGGTGGTGGTAGAACTGGGAAGAGGAGGGGATGGTGAGTTGTGAGTGATGATGCAGGTGAGTATCTGTTGGCATCAGGGTTTAAAGTGAATGGGTGAACTAGAAGCTGTAGTCTGAATGAACTGCAAACGTAACCACCATTAGATCCAGAGCCAACCCTCATGTTTCTGACTTTGCTGAGCAGGAAAAGTCAATGTCTGCTACCTACCACAGCACCTAATAGCAGGGTCTCTGCCCATAAAATAAGAAAAATTTCTTTATTCATTGGATTCTTTTCCTCATGGATTCAGGGTGCAACTAGATGGCCCTTTACAAACACAGAACTCTGTCCACCCCTGTTTTGTACCTGTGCCTACAAGATTCTGAGACACAGGAGTCCAGGCAGTTATACCAGTCCCTCTTGTGTTCAGTGCTGTCACAAGGAAGTGGTTTAGTTGGCATCCGAACAGAACCTGGGGTCAGCTGCTGGCATCTCCTGATTAGGGTTGAGCTGTCCATATATCCACATTAATCAGGATCTGTTTTGTAAGTAACCCAAGATTAAGAGACAAGCACACCTATATCTATACCGGCACTTGGAGTCTATCCTCCTTCCTTAAATATGAGCTCTGTAATTTAGTCTTAGTTTTATTTCCAAAGTACTACAATGTTGTCCCCATTTTCTGGCTCAACATTGATCAGCTTCACAATACTGCAAAAACTCAGGAAGCTTTTAAGTTTAAAATAGATCCTAAACATATAGTATCTGTCTGTCTGTCAGTATCTATCTATCTATCTATCTATCTATCTATCTATCTATCTTAATAACAGCACATGAAATGCCTCTAACCACATCACATGTTTCTACAAACTGTGCTACATCTTCTCCTGGCAGATTGCCACTGTTGAAATCTCTCCATGCTGTACCTATAAGTACCATATCTTGTTGATGTGCAATTATGGATTCAACATATGAATGCAGACAAATCACTTGCCGTCTACAGTTTCTAGGCCAGTGAAGCATGTTGTAATACAAACAAAAATCAGGTGACTTTTAGACCACAAACAATACTAACGTTAACTGTAGGCCTTCACCTTGATGTATTTTTCTACCTTTTAATACTTGCCACTTCTAGACTATATTAGTAGCGTGATTTAACCTGTATTGTAGCACTCCTTTCCTTCCTTCCTTCCTTCCTTCCTTCCTTCCTTCCTTCCTTCCTTTTTTTTTCCTTCCTTCCTGACAGATTCCCACTCTGTCACCCAGTCTGGAGTGCAATAAAGCGATCTTGTCTCACTGCCAACTCTGCCTCCCAGATTTAAGCCATTCTTGTGCCTCAACCTCTAACTTTTGTATTTTTAGTAGAGACAGGGTTTCACCATGTTGGCCAGGCTGGTTTTGAACTAATGATCTCAAGTGATGCGCCCACTCAGCTTCCCAGAGTGCTGGGATTATGGGCATGAGCCACCGCGTCCGGCCTTAGCATTATTTTCTTAAGCCTCCATGAGAAACTGCACCCACATTTCTCAAGTTTCTAATAGCAAATAACTGGTGTCAGCAGTTCTACTCAGAGTAACAGCCAAATTCCCAGGGAAATCTCTGTCACTGGAGCAGAGCAAATGACTTGAATTAGCCTAAACATAGCTACCATGCCGTCTATCATCCACCAAGAGCTCCAATTTAAGAATGCCTGTATCCGTGGAAGTTGAATTAGAAACAACTTTCTAGTTTTCAATTTCATAAGGAACCCTATTAGGTCTCTGAATAGTCTTCAGTGCTTCTCTCTGCAATAGTATTCTGAGAAACATAAACATTTTGTAGGGTAAATCTTTACTCTTTGCACCATAAATCTGGTGAGGTTGTAACCAGCATGAAAATATGTTTTCGGGGTATTGATTTTTGTCTGAAGTACAGCTGAGTACTGAAACTTAAAGGCAGGCTGTCAAAGTGTAATCCACATATAGTTAATTAGTCAAAGATCCTTACAGTCCTATGTTGGCTCAACTCAAACAGGCAAAGATATTTAGAAAGTAATTTAAACAATATTTAGAAAGTAATTTAAACATTTCATAATCCTCTCAAAATATTATAAAGAGGGATCCTATTCACTATGTATTGCTAAGTTCCTGAAATCTGTTTCTTCATCTCTTTTAAAGCAGCTGTTCTCAAAATATATCTCTTTCACTCTAAACTCCCTAAAAAATCCTTCTTCAGACAATCCTTTGGGCTCTGTACCTGTTCAGTTCTCCTCTGCTTGCCAGGATACATTGCTTTCTCCTAATATCCCCAAGTTCAAAGGAATAATGGGCAGGGCCTAAACCTATAAATAGTCCCACATGAACTGTTTTTACTTTAAAAGATAATTTTTGCATCCAATCTACAGGTGACAACACAAACAATTAGAGATTAACATGAGGTTGGGCAGTCCTCATAACTAACTGGTTGATGTTAATCTTACCTGTTTTTGTGTATAAAATGCCAGTAAATGTTTCTTGAGAAACTTGTATGTAACAAGTATTGAATACAGATTATCTCATTGATTTTAACGTATTTTAAAATGCATTGTTAAATTGAGATTTACCTAATTGTGTCAAATATTCCAGAAAAGTAATGTTTCTTTTCCTCATAAAAGACACAAAATAAACTAGATTGAATGTGATGACTTATGATTGGCCTGAATTAAATTTAAGCATAGCTGTGTCACTCTTAGATTCCTGGAAGCAACATCAGTATCTGACTCAAGCAAGTAAATTCAGTGAATACAATCCAAGGATATTATTTACAACTTTCACATTGGAAGGCAAGAAATGAACAAGTGGTCTCCTATAGGTGCCAATCATTTCATAGAAAACCTGTGTCAATAATTTTTTTTGAATTATAATAGTAACAGTAGGCTCAGTTGAATATGTATGTGTGTATGCATGCGTTTGTGTAAAAGCTCAAGTAGTTACTAATCCTTCAGTGAATCCTACTTTCTACATGAAAAGTGCTTGTTCTCCTTGGAGATTTATGTTCTTGGGGCAGTTCATATTTCCATAATACAGCTTGCCCATGTCTTGTATCAGGGGATACAGATAATAGGGAATTTTTCTGTCTCAAAAAGTTATAGTGGGATCATTCAGAATTTAGCACATTTATATCTTTTACAGGACTGATATATTTAGTAGCTAATATATAAATGTTGCAATATCATAAGTGATCAGCAGGTAATGCATTCTACTTTAAAAGTTCATATTTGAGGCTTTTAAGTAAAATACTGTGAATCAACACCTTACCATATTATTTCTTTAAGTCCGTAATTGTGTATACCATAGTTACTTAAAAAGATAGATCTTTCATCAGGTACTCTTCAGGTAAGTTTCTTCTCTCAAAACTCATCTAGAGGAGCAATCATATAACATATTCTGAAGAAAACTTCTTGAGGATACTACTATAATTAAAAATATTTTCTTTAGGAAAAGGCCTAACATTGAAGTTCTGATGAACAATTGTCATAGATTCTAAGACCCAGTTTTGTAAGGAGATTGCCTTAGGAGTCTGGCTAGATTCCAGGGATGCAATTGCATTAAATCTTCCTAATTCTTCACAGAAGATTCAAATGAATACAGTTTTGTACCCTGTACTTAAGTATGAAAAGCTACCAAAAACAAAACAAACAATTAAGAAACAACTTCTGTGTATGAAATGTATATCGATGGATGGTCGATAGATGGTCCATGGAAATGTCATTTTTTATAACAGGGAACACCATTTACTAAAGCAGCAAATCTTTACATAATGAAACTATTATATAAATTTTATATAAATTATACAAAATGGTTGGTCAGATAAGACAGATAATCTAATATCAAAACTTGTGAAATGTTATGCCATGTTATAACAGAGCGTTCTCTAATTGGGTCTCCTCATGAAGCAAGCTCTGTGTACAGAGGACATAATTTAAGATAAGCACGGTAAAATAAGGGATTAAAAATACTACTATTGATAGAGGCAGGAGACAGACAAATCCTAGGCAGAGAGGGGTGGGTCTCCAGTGAAACCCAACCTCCAAGCCAAAGACAGTTTAAAGCCTGAAAACCAAGCTACAAGTCACATCCATGGACTGGCTTAAGAAACTGTCTTCCCATTTGGTACATTTTCTTCTGATTGATCCTCAACCTTCACCTATTTTACAAATACCTACCTTTCCCTAACTGGTGTTTTAAACTGTCATGCCCACTTTTGAGTGGTGCCTTCGTTTTAGCCTTTTTTGAATATTCAAAAACCAATCAGTACACACTCCCCTATTCTGAGCCCACAAAAGCCCTGGACTCAGCCACACTGAGAGAGAATCCACCTGACTTCAGGTGGGGGATCATGCCCGCATCCCTTCTCCACTGAAAGCTGTTCTGTCACTCAGTAAAATTCTTCCCCATCCTCCTCAGCCTTCAATTGTCAGCCTATCCTTTTTCTACTTGGATGCGAGACAAGAACTTGGGAACCCTGGAACACGGGTACAAGCTATAACACAGGTGGGCTGGGGTACACCCAGCCCAGTTGTGACCTGAGCTGGTGCACAAGCCAGGTACAGCCAAGGCAGGCAGAGTGGGCCAGTAGTCTCTTGCGGCACGTAAGGTGGCCCGGGTGGGAACGTTGCCAGCCAGAGGTTCCTGGCTGGCAAAGTGACCAAGAAAAATCCTGCGTCACTATGGAGCACATTCGATTTGCTATATATATTTGTGCAAATTGGCAAACAAAAGAGGACTATGGCCCACAAGCAAATCCAGTCTGCAGCCTGTTTTGTATGACACTTGAGATAACAATGGTTTTGTATTTTTAAAGGGTATAAAAAACAAAAGGAAGAAAACAAAGAAGAATATTGATTGGGGACATATGTGGCCCACAAATCCTAAAATATTTATCATCTAGCCTTGTACAAAAAAAAATGCTGACACCTAATTTAAGTTTTATTTTTATTTTATTTTTTTTGAAAAAGGTCCTATTTGAGTGGATTCATCATGGTTAATATGGGGCAGAATTATGTAAGTCCTGTTTGAATCTTCTCTATATTCTCAGGTTTATGGGATCATTAAAGGGCTGATACCTCTATAGCTAAGTCAGGTAAAATCACCTGGAACTCCAGGCCTCAAGCCAGGTCCCTTTAAGCAGAATGGCCTAGAGCTGGGCTGGAACTGGCAGCCTAATACTCAGCCCATTACATGATCCACTGGGCTCTGCCACCATAAACACACAGGTAAAGGCCAAGCACATTTTCTGCTGCTGTTACTGCTAAATAGGAAAATACACTTTCCATATGCCAAGAAAGACTTTGGAAAGGTCACCTCAGCCACAAAGTTAGAAGTGGTATTTTGTTTTCCTTGAGTATCAAACAGTATATATGGCCTGTCCTTTCTAGCCTCATAGTCAATGTCAAAAGATTGTCTGTTACATATGTTTTTCTTTCCGTCTTTCTCTCCTTTAAGCCATTCTATCATTCAGCTGCTTTCATTTTTATTATAAAGTCCAATTAAGTATGATAAAATGCAAAAGAAAAAAAAAAACATTGAGCCTAAATAAATCACCTTCAGGCCTGATATTACTTAATCGAAAGTCTATGAATGGCTCTTTGTACATGTTTGAAGCAATTTATGTCTTTCATACACGTCCGTGCTAGACAAGAGATGCTTTTCTCATCTCAGCTCTTTTAAGCACACCATGATGCTCTTCCATGGGAAATAAAATTGGCCACATTATTTCTAACTTCAAGAACCCCTGAGCAACATCAAGAATCTTAAAAAGGTCATATGAATTTTCAATAAATATTGATAAATGTTGTGTTATTATTTATCAGATTGAACACTGAAAATAATTTATGGGTCCAAATGAAGTAACAGGTAAAAATGTATGCAGGTAATAATATTTATTTAAGTTTTATATTAGTGTTTGCAAAGCTTTGTTGGGATAGTAAATTATTTAATATAAAACATTAAGCTAAAAACCAATGTTTAAAAGTTTCATGTCAACTATGCAGTGAAAAATAGCATGGAAACTTAAATGGAAAAAATATTATGGATTTAATTGTATTCCCCCAAAATTCCTGTGTTAAAGTCCTAAACTCAGTACCTTAGTATGTGACTGTGCTTAGAGATAAGGTCTTTAAAATTGTGATTAAGTCTAAATGAGGCCTTTAGCATGGGCCTTAATACAATCTGACTGGTGTCCTTATAAGAAAAGGAAATTTGAGCAAAGAGACATCAAGGGTATGCAAACAGGAAAAACCATGTGAAGACACAGCAAGTAGCCAGCTGAATACAAGCCAAGGAGAGAGGCGTCAGGTGAAACCAACCCTGCCAACACCTTGATCTTGGACTTCTAGCCTCCAGAACTGTGAGCAAATAAACTTCTGTTGTTTAAGCCACCCAGTCTCTGGTATTCTATTACGGCAGTCCTAGCAAACTATACGAGGAATATATTAAAAATACAGTATTGCCATTATTACATTTTATTGGTGAGATTATGTCTGAGTTTTATGCCTTTACAGTTACGCTATATAATGCATTATTTTCCCTTATCCCTTTCCTCCCTCCCTCCCTTCCTTCCTTTCTTGTTTTTCTTCCAACAAATATGTTTTCAGTACCTTCTGTGTGGCCAGCTTTTTGAATACCTAAGCACTAGGTATTCAGTGGAAAGCATAAATTTGATTCATACCCTTACAAAATTTAATATAGTGAATTTTAACTACACATTACTTTGACAAAAAAAAAAAAACAATTAATAGAAAATCGTTCTCAACATTTCTCAAAACAGACATAAGTGAGTGCATACCCACCTCTGGATTAGGAGTGATACAAAAACATGTTGCAAATTACTCCTACTAAAACAAACAACAGCCAATGCCTTTCACTTTGGTAAAAGCTATTTGTGTCAAAGTCATCTCTAACCAAAGCAAATAGTCTCAGGCTGCTTCCTGACACATCCTTAAGCTTTCAGTAACCTAACAATAATTAAAGAGAAGCCACTGATCTCTAGTAGATAGTAGTCATGCACTATCTCTAGAGATGCATTCCTATTTTCTTAGTGATCAGTCTCCACCCTACCCCATCCCCTCATCTTATTTTCACTGTAAGTTGGCTCTCCCTTCCCATCCCTCTAAAACATTTGCACTAGTGTCAACATATTGCCCCAAAGTTGCAGTTAAGAAGAGACAAAGTGATCAATTAAAAATAAATTGTTTAGGCCCAGCATGGTGGCTCACACCTGTAATTCCAGCACTTTGGGAGTCTGAGGCAGGAGGATTGATTGTTTGAGTTCAGGAGTTCGAGATCAGCCTGGACAACATAGTGAGACCTCATCCGTACTAAAAATAAAAAATACATAGTTGGGCATGGTTGCACATCTGTCGTCCCAGCTACACAGGAGGCTGAGGAGGGGGGATCGCTTGAGCTTGGGAGATCAAGGCTGCAGAGAACTGTAATCATGCCACTGCCCTTCAGCCTGGGTGACAGAATGAGATACTGTCTTAAATAAATAAATAAGAAATAGGCCTGGTGCAGTGGCTCATACCTGTAATTCCAGCACTTTGGGAGGCCAAGGTGGGCGGATCACCTGAGGTAGGGAGTTTGAGACCAGACTGACCAACATGGAGGAACCCTGTCTCTGCTAAAAATACAAAATTAGCTGGGTGTGGTGGTGCATGCCTGTAATCCCAGCTGCTTGTGAGGCTGAGGCAGGAGAATCGCTTGAACCCGGGAGGTGGAGGTTGCAGTGAGCCGAGATCAGGCCATTTCACTCCAGCCTGGGCAATAAGAGCAAAACTCCGTCTCAAAAGAAAAAAGAAAAGAAATAATTTGTTTAATAAAATTCAATGCCATATACTGCATGGTTTTTGGCAAATTTTCCCTAGAGAAGCATTTCAAAAACTAGAGCATATATGTCTGCTCCAAATAGCACAAAAGACACGATTGGTGGTAATGGGAGCAACAGTATACAAGGTCACATTAAATGAATAATTCATCTTCCAGAGCTTATCACATGAACAGCTTCTCCAATATCTGCTACGGTGAGCAGAGTATTGAGAGATCCAGGTCACCATTGTCCAATGACATTAACTTAAAACACTAAATACTGAGTATGTTCACAGGAATTATATGGGAAATAACCCTCACACAAAGGCCAAATGTGGGCAAAATTGTAAAATAGATGACTTACTTTTTTTTAATTGTTACTCACTGGTGTTCCAGTGAATGTTTCACAACAAACTTTATGGAAAAAATATATAGGCACTTAATTTATTATAAGTATTACTGATATAAAGGATATATGGCCCATTAACAACAAATAGTAATCCTATATATAGGACACTTTATTGTAAATTCCCTATAGTCAGTTGATTCTCACAAAATGCTTCAGTTGATTTTGCTAAACTCATATTTGTAGCTAATTTATTTATGTAATTGATGAAGGTGGATGGGTTCAAAATAAACGTTGGCTGATAATTTTATTTTACCAAAATGTAATAATGAATCTATTTTAGATTTCACCTGTTTGTCAATGACCTGAGAGATTTATTTGCTAAGTTGGATAGCACTTCTTTAATGCTGGAAGACTATTTTCTCAATTTTTTGTGCTACTCACAATGTAGCATCTAGAGAAATGATATCATTTTAAATTCAATATATATTTCTAACATTTTTAAAAATCCACTAATATCTTACGTCAACAATGGACCATCAACAAAACAATAAATAAAACCCAGATTTATTATTTGCTAATTTTTATGGTATAAATATTCCTAATATGGCCAAATTCAAGTTACCAACATAATTGGCATGAGATGTATAGGAGAACACTATTACGTAGTGTTTCCACATATTACTCTCTACTTTTAAGACAGTAATGTGAGGACTGCTCTCCAAAGAAAACATGGGTCATGGCCTCTAAAGAAAATAAGAATCCATCCCTAGACATAGTGTACTGTTGCTGTCTACTAATTATCAGTAACTTTATTTTATTGCTAACATAATATTTTCATGTTAGTCATTCACACTAATGTGCAATTACAACAGTCTTAAATAACTCCATCAGCAAAGATAATAAGTCAATGAAATAATTAGAAAGTAATGATCTTTGAGTGTTTGTTTTTAATATAACTCACTTAATTGTATGCTTATATTATTTCTTTTTAAATCATGACTGTATTTAACAATCAGCACTCACAATTCATAAAAATTTAACAATTGATTGTCATGAGTGGTTCAAAAACGAGCTCTGGCACTCTAGTGCTTTTGTCAGCTAACGCTTTATCTTTCAGACTCCTTTTTTCCTCTAATGGTGATTTTCTTCCAGGTGCCCACACAACTCTGCCTTTCCCTTGAGCAATTCCCCTAACATGTCCTCTACCTAAATATTCCTCTCTGCCTGCTTTTATTAGTCTTTCCACAATCTAATCCCTAATGTTAGAAAGAGTATATGTTAAAAGTAATTCACACTCAATGATATGTTCAAATATAGCTAATGTATGTCCTGTTCAATAACAGTACAGTACTAAAATGCCAAATAAATCAATACCTAATGGTGAAATTTTTATTTGTACACCAGGGATATTTTGGGACAGATCATTCGAATTCTATCATGTAGCTGATATGAAGGTATTTGTAATTATTGTGTTCTTGGCTAATTAATGCAACTATTTGCAGCTCTCTCTTAACTTTGAAATTGACAATCCAAAAAAGTAATGAACCTCTTCTTCGATACAGTCTATCAAGAAACCCTATTTCGTGGGGGGAGGGATAGCATTAGGAGATATACCTAATGCTAAATGACGAGTTAATGGGTGCGGCACACCAGCATGACACATGTATACATATGTAACTAACCTGCACACTGTGCACATGTATTATTATACTTTAAAACTTAAAGTATAATAATAATAATAATAATAATAAAAAGAAACCCTATTTCCATTACTTTTTGCTCACTGTGATCTAGGCATTGTAAACAGTGTTTCCCTCAGAATACCATGCTTTTCTAAGCTGCCACGTGTTTGCTCAAATTGCTCTCTCCACCTACAGCCCCCTTGCCACTCTCTGACCTCTTTTCCTGAGCTTAGCTTTAGATCTTTCTATGTCAGGTCAGCCAGTACTTTCCCTGAGAACCTCCCCTGCCCTTTCTACCATAAGGTACCCCTCATGGGTACCTCATTGCATCCTGCGCGTAACCTCGTGGTAACTCTTACTTGATTGTAAATGCCTAGTCATTTCTACACCATTTGGCTGGGAATTCCACAAAGTCAGGCAGCAAGTCTGCCTTTTTCATCATGATTTTCTGACATTCAGAATGATGACAGGTATGTTGTTGGCATTTGGCAAATGCTGGTTGAATGCAAAGCTGATGATTAGGAAAAGGAAAAACCGGAGCATTGAGATAAGGAACACGCTGCCTATTTAATTCACCCTCAGACTATAACTGTATTATTTTGAAGTTCTTTTAAAGATATATTGTACTGGATTGAATTTGATTGGAGGAGCAACTGGTTAGCAGTAAGCTGCAGCATTAGCACCAGCTTACTGGAACACCACCTCCTATGTTCCTGAAAGCCCCCTGAGAGATGCAGAAAGTTGTTTAAAAGCCATGCCTAATTATACAAGTGAGCAAGGAAGGATCTCTAGCTGCTAGAATCAATTGCACATTTGCCTGTTTTATTCCATCAGCTTGAGAAATTCACACAGTCCACATAGAATAATGACAGAAATCTTTTAACCGTGGTTTCCCATAGTTAAAGGAGCTACATCTCCTCTGTAGTAAGAGTGAGCCAAATGTGAAAGTAAACAAAACCTTGACAAAACTTCCTGACTTTCCAACCCAATATACTTATTTTGCAGATAAGGAAAAGTTATGACACATTACATCATCTGTCAGACAAGCTGCTTAATTTGAGTCTCAATTCCAGTAATCATCATGAGAAAGGAGAAAAATGATGCTTTTGATAAAAGCAAGTCAAGAAAGGTTGTGTCCTCCTCCTCACATTTTTTTTGGAAAGCAGTCCTATTCAAATTTAAAATTGAAGCCACTTCCTCTCTTCCCAACAGTATTGAAACCTGAGAAGAAAAGAGCGCAGCCTTAAATGCTATTACTCTGCAGCTAGTACAAAAGGAGAGGGATTTGCATTAGAACAAGTGCTAAGAGTTGTGCTTCAGGCAAGGTAAGATCATTATTTATAACAAGCTGATCTGCTTCTATATGATTAACAGAAAAACAGTGAATTAATGTTGTTATCTTAATATTGTTTAAATGGCCTCTAGATGTGGTGCGGAGCCATGCCAGGCAGAATGGTTAACACAAAATAAATGTCAATGCAAGAGAGCGTTCTGGGAAACGTTTTCACCTGGAGTAGAATATGCTTAATTAATGACCTCGAAATGAAAAGGTCTGATAAGCCTCTGGTGTATGGTCTCATTTTATTTGAGGAAACAGGACACAGCCCGATTTAATGGGAATTTCTTCAGAGACTGGTAAAACTGGTAAGCTTCTGGATAATTATCAGCCATTTTAATGATTCCTTCTTTCAAAATGTAGTTCATAGCCTAGGTTACCCTGGAAAGTGGATGAGGAAAGTATGGAACTACAATGGGTAGCGTTTTATTACCTGTAACTGTATGCTTGCACAGAAAGCTGGATTTTCAAGACACAAACAACAAACCTTGTAATATCCCCCAAATAAAGCTTCATTAAATGACTGCTTCAGAATTAGTCATCCAGGATGTGAGCCACTGGTGTAATGGATAAACAAGTCTGACTATGGATCAGAAGATTCCAAAGTTTGTCTTTCATAATAGGAAAACTCAGTGTTCAAGTAAGCTTAGTTGGGAACATTATACCAATTGTCCTGAGACTTGAAGTGTCTTCATCAAGTGGGCTAAGCAGTGGCCTATATTTCAGGGATCTTATTTCTGCCTTTAGAGTAGGCTTCAAGTTTGAGGAATCCCTATTAGAGATGTCACTGGATGCTTTTCTTTCTATCTTTTAAAAATTAAACTACATAGGGTAGAGTTGTGGGCACAAGACAAGCTGAAGGCAGAGAGCTGTGCAGGGTAAATATTTATAATAACACTTGATATTTAAACTCAGAAGAATTATATTGCAAAGCAGTTGGGATGTTTGTAAATAATACCAGAGACACCTGGACTAATTTGTAGAAATACACCCAAAGTTACCAGAGGCTTCACGGTAATGTGTGATATGTAAAAGAAAGAGTGTTCCATTTTCTGAAAGATTCTTCACATTAATGCCATAGGCAACCACTGGAGAGTACTATAGGTTCAACCCAGTAAATTCCCTTTCGCCTTCGCATCACTCAGTTTTTCCAAGGCAATAGTGAGAAGGTTATAAAGTATCTTCACCTTGTATTAAGTATATATACAGAGAGACAGTCTCGCTCTGTCACCCAGGCTGGAGTGCAGTGGTGCAATCTCAGCTCACTGCAAGCTCTCCCTCCCTGGTTCATGCCATTTTCCCGCCTCAGCCTCCCGAGTAGCTGGGACTACAGGTGTGTGCCACCACACCCAGCTAATTTTTTTTTTTTTGTATTTTCAGTAGAGATGGGGTTTCACCGTGTTAGCCAGGATGGTCTCGATCTCCTGACCTCGTGATCCACCTGCTCAGCCTCCCAAAGTGCTGGGATTATAGGCATGAGCCACCGCACCTGGCCTGTTTTTGTTTTTTAGGGAAGTCTACTGCCTTCCTGTCCTCATCCTCCCTTTTTGTGACAATTGCCTGTTAAATTTCTTGGCTTTTTTGTTTCTGCCTACCTGCTTATTCTCCTTTCTCTCTGGTAAGTACTTCCTTGAATGTAGGAGCACACTATAGCTGTTTTAGGTCCTGTAGTCATTGACACTACAGCAGCCAGTATTACTGGGACCTCTAGAAAGTGACCACGAAATGACCCAAAAGTTGCATGACCGTTTATTTAAAAAATCCGTATAAGAAACCTGCACTTCCTCCTAATGAGCCTGTATTTTCACACCGCCACATGAACTTTCACATTTTTATTGCTTGTTTATTAAATTTTAATAATTAATCCGTATGGATTTGAGATATAGATTTTGATAATTCTGGACTCCACTCTGGTAGCTCTACAGTGGCATATACCTGTACTCTTATTGAACACCTATCAATAATAAGAAATCAACTTGGACACTTTACATTGGAGTCAATTCTGCTTTCCATTTTGGCTAACCTTCGCAAACGTGTCTCAGAACCAGTGAGGAGGAGGAAATCTATGATTTTGTTGCAGGGTTTCATTAAGTGTTTTCCAAGTAATACACTAGTTTTGAAGAAAGTGTTAAGATTAAAAGAATACTACGGTCAAATTCCTTTAGAAAATGTTTACTTTGCCGGGTATGGCAGCTCATGCATGTAATCCCAGCACTTTGGGAGGCCAAGGCAGGTGGATCACCTTAAGTCGGGAGTTCAAGACCAGCCTGGCCAAAATGGTGAAACCTGATCTCTACTAAAAATACAAAAATCAGCCAGGTGTAGTGGCAGGCGCCTATAATCCCAGCTACTCGGGAGGCTGAGGCAGGAGAATTGATTAAAACCAGGAGGCGGAGATTGTCATGAGCTGAGATCCAGCCATTGCACTCCACACTCCAGCCTGGGCGATAAGAGCAAAACTCAGCCTCAAAAAAAAAAAAAAAAAAAAAGAAAGAAAATGTTTACTTTTTTCTGAATTCTCAGAATCCTGAATGGGTTAGTAGACACTGTGAAGCACAGAGAGGAGGTAAATGCTGCATAAAACAAATCTACTGATTATGGAATCTTTTTCTCACACAAAATTTTGTCAGACCATTGCTGCACAGAACACACTTTGAAAAATTCCATTTCACTGCAAGTTTTCCTGTAAAATGAGAATAACCTCAGTCTAATGTGGAGGGGAAAATATAGTGTGTATATACTCATCACCATCTATAATATGCCATACATTTTATTAATTTAGTCATGTGATGAACTGAGTAGTGTTTCTGAAGAAGATATGCTGAATTCCTAATCCTGCCTGGTACCTGTGCATGTGACTTTATTTGGAAATATCATCTTTGCATATGTAATCAAGTTAAGAATGAGGTCATTAGGGTGGACCTTAATACCAATGTGACTGGTAGAAGAAGGAGATTGAGACACAAAGGCAAATGCACACAAAGAAAACACAACATAGAGACACACAGGTAGAATGCCATGTGTAGACCGGGACAGAAATTGGAGTGATAGATCTACAAATGAAGGAATGCCAAAGATTGTTTGCCTTCACCAAAAGCTAAAGAAGAGGCATAGAATAGATTGACTCTGAGAGCTCTCAGAAGGAATCTAAGCAACTGACACTCTGATTTCAGACTTCCAACCTCCAGAACTGTGAGAGAATAAATTTCACTTGTTTTAAGCCACCCAGTTTGTGGTACTTTGTAATGGCTGCCCTAGCAAACTAATATAAATTTTTATACCAGAATGTGGGGTTCTGGAACACACTGCATCCTGGTATAATAACGTGGAAGTGGCTTTGGAATTGGGTAATGGGTAGAGGCTGGAAGAGATTTGAGTCATTTAATAGGAAGAGCCTAGATTGCTTTGAAAAGACTGTTGATAGAAACATGTATGTTAGAGGACCTTCTAGTGAGGTCTCTGATGAAAATGAGAACATGTATTGGAAACTGGAGGATAGGCCATCTTTGTCACAAAGTAGCAGAGAACTTGGCTGAATTATTTCTACTTTGGAGAGGAAGGTAAATCGGTTAGTGATAAACTTAGATATTTAGTTGAGGATATTTCTAAGCAAAGTGTGCAAAGTACAGCCTAATTTCTCTTTGCTGCTTATAGTAAATGAAAGAGACAAGAAATAAATTAAAGTAGTTCTGCTTCAAGACTGTAACAGTTTAATACATGATATTCATCATTTATTGTATATGTCCTTCTCTCTACTAGAATGTAACCACACAAGGGCAGGAATATTAGTCTGTTCTGTTCACTGACATTTCCCAAATGCCCTGACACTCATAGATGATCAATATGAGTTAAGAAATGAAGGAAACTAATGCATTAGGCTGAAATTCCTACATTTAGCCCACCAATTTTTATGCCTAAATTTTCCAAATGATTTATAAAATTTTATATTTAATATAATTCTTGAAATTACAAAAATAATTTTTAGTCTCTAAAAACAATTTACATGACTGTAAGTATATTGTGTTTACAATAGATAAACTAATATAAAATAAGAAATTAAAATTGAACTAGTTATGGTACTTGAAACAGAAACTCTCACTTAACTTCCCTGAAGAACATTTAAAAGTTTCAGAAAAAGAAAGAACAGGGAGATACAAATTTGAGGCCACATATGAAATTGGTTCTCAAGTAAGGTCTTAGCATTTATTCCTAGGATAAGATTTGGTAATAGCTGGGTTGACTTTAACGGCATAAATCCTATAAACAGTAATAGCAAATGAAGATCCAAGCTTCCGCAGAATATATTAAGGTCGTAAAAAATAATGATGACTGTCTTTATTCTTAAGTTAATCAAACTGCCACCCAAATCCTCGTTGTAAAAAAAATGCTGGCTGGGCATGGTGGCTCACGCCTGTAATCCCAGCACTTTGGGAGGCCGAGATGGGCGGACCACGAGGTCAGGAGTTTGAGACCATCCTGGCCAACATGTTGAAACCCTGTATCTACTAAAAATACAAACATTAGCTGGGTGTGGTGGCGTGTGCCTGTAGTCCTAGCTACTGGGGAGGCTGAGGCAGGAGAATCACTTGAACCCAGGAGACGGAGGTTGCAGTGAGCTGAGATTGCACCACTGCACTCCAGCCTGACCACAGGGTGAGACTCTGTCTCAAGAAAATAAAAAAAAAAAAAGAAAAAAAAGCTATATAAAATGACATAAACTTTATATGAACAATTCAATATGTTAGGCAATGAAAACAATAATCATATTGACTCTCCCACCCCCATTATCTCCTCAGTAACTTTCATACGTGGCTATACCTACTCTTTTAAGAATTACTGACACTCTGCTATCAATTAGTTTAAAATTCTCTCTTCTTGTAATATTTGCATATACCTGACTTTCTTTCAAGAGAGATCTTTAATTTACACTAGTCATTCAATAGAAAGATATTTTATAGATATGCAAAGGCTAACAATTATTACTTTAATTCATGTGAAAATATGTATATCTAGGAAATATTTATTTACATTCCTCAGATTTATAAGTACAGTTCTTTTTAAAAAATTGTTTTGGAAATCCCAGGGAACACCTTAATGCTTACTGCACACAAAAGATTTCAAACATCCATCTGTGGCTTCTAGTTTCGTATGTTACTAAGACTTTCAAATTAATCACTTTCTATATCTCTGGTGTACAATCACTCTTTACTGTTTTTCTGCCTTATTCAGTACCACTTATAAGTACTGTTTTGTTAAAGCTCTTCAATTGTAACTCTCTAATTTTTCTGCCTTCTTTCCCCTCCTCTTCAGTACCTACAAATCATCATTCAAAGAGCAGTCCTCTCCCCAGATCTCTGCTTGGGCAATCAGACTTACTCTTCAGGTTCTTGCATAAACATTAATCCATCTGCCATGCCTTCACCAACTCCTGAAGTTAGTATTATTCAGTCCCTCTTTTTATTTCATTTTATTTTATCATCGGGGTATATCTCTATAAAATAGCTTACTGTATTTTGATTACATTCGGGTGTCTGCCTTCCCAGTGGAATGTGTGCTCGTAAAGGCAAGAACTGTGTATTTTTTACACACCTATCTCCAGTGATTGAACAAAACCTTACACAACTTCAGATCTTCAATAAATATTAAACAAATATACAAACACAAGAAGTTTAGGGAGAAGAAAAATCAAGTCAATTGCTATGTGTACTGTTGCTATGTAAGTCAAAGTGTTATGGAAAATAAACAGACTAACTTATGTGAGCATTTTTATTTCTACGGGTACAATTTCAGGGGTCTACTTTAATATGGTGAGGTATCATTGGCTGGACTGCAGGACAGAATGGAGCATGCTAGCCTTTAAAGTAATTTTCAGAGATCAATGTGGTGATTTTTATTTCTATAAAATTTTCTCTGGATTTCTCATATCTATCAATGCTTTCCTTACTTAGCCAATATTTTCTTAGTCTTTTCTCATAAGATTGTGGTAAGAGAATATGCATTTTTCTCTTCAGATAATACAAAATGAGTTATCCAGTAATAAGTGTTCAAAGCAAATCTTTCTACAATACTGACAGATTCACAAGATAGGGCAAATAGAAGGAATTTTAGGCTTTTAAAAAATGTAATTAATACCAAGTTTACTTTTTGTCACTTTTTATTTTACTTTTCCAATGTAAAATTTTAAACACTCTAAAAAGTAGAGAGTGGTATAAAAACTCCCATGTATACAAGTAATTAACTTTAATAGTCATCAGTATTTTCTCTATCCTAATTATTTTATTTTAAGGCTTAAAACAAAATAAAACAAGAACCTACAAGCTATTTATTAGCAGTTTAATAGGACATCTAGGCTATTTTTCAAGAAGGAAAGTGAAGACATGCTGTGGCCCCTACTGCAATGAGAATCAGAAAACCAGTGCTTGCAAAAGGTCCAAATCAAAGTCCTGAGTGTTTGCTATATGTGAGTCAATATTCATGCTCTTATGGGCATGTATGTATTTTGAGGTCTGAGGGGACGGAGAAAGAACTTGCCCTTAAACAGAAAATTATTGTCCTTTCTCTGGTGTGCTTTTATTTTTTTTTTCCTCGCTAGTAATTTATGGTCATCCTTTTACAAATTGGTGGTGACAGTGATTACAGCAAAAGGCAACTGAGAATCCTAGTTCCTTCCACAGATTCCTATAGAAGTTGGATATTCCTCTGCCTTGGGTTCATTAACTAATGAAAGTTCTATTTATTTCAACTTCAAACAAATGTTTTATGACGTTTAGGTGCAAGACAAGGTCAATCATTTTTTATTACTCAATTATTCACTTATTCTTTCATTTATTGAACATTCATTGAACATACAGGGAAACATAGTTTCTCCCATGTTTCCCTAATTATAGACAGAGTTATAAATAAGCATTACTTTGAGAAAAATAAAAACTAAGTGCCATGAGAACATCTATAAAAATACGTGGTCATTTACATGACCACCTGTTTTTGATCTGTCTCTCTATCCAGAAAGTAAGTCAGGATGCCACTACAATAGTCTATCAGTAAGAATGAAACTATAGAAACAGCAGTGAAAGTGGCAAGGATATTGTGCCGGATATGTTTTGGTGTGTTGAGCTTACCTGATCCTCCTGTCCTTAGTCTCTGCTGCTGAATATATGGACCTAGATGGCTAAATGTCACCCTTCTGCACCTCATGTGATAGGATTAAAGTGGGTAACTGAATTAAGGGAGTCCATCTGGAGGCTGAGCCTTGACCATCAGTTATTTTTTCATCTTACATAATTTGAACTAAGATAAAGAGGAAAATACATTATATATTGGTAGCAAGACAGAAACAAACTTACGGAGTTCAAGTGAATTGCATTAAAGTAAAACTTTATAGGGAAGTTTCAAGGATTTTATCTGCTATGATCTCCCAAGGCTGTCTTGAACAGAGTAACTCACCTATTAGAGCCCTATTGATTTCTACTGAGTTAGTGCTTCCTATCCTGTTTGATTTCTCTATTCGGTTATTTAAAACCTTTATGCCACTCCCCACCTCAACCTGCTTTTCTTGAGCCTTTTTAGGGAATTTCTGCTTTTTATAATCATAGGGCCTGATCTTGAGTAGGCATTATTTGCTGAAACACTGTCCTACCTCTATTACCGTACTTAGCACTTTCATTCATTTTCATGTTTTACATAGTAATCTACGAACTCTTTAACAACAGGAGGAGCTAATACTTCGTATTTTATTCCTACATCCAGCTTATACCTTGGGACATTATTGGGCTTGATAAATGTTTGTTAAAATAATAAATGAACAATGCATATGAGCGGAACTGAAGAGGTAGGATCTGGAGGAAATGATATTTGATTGGATGAAGGGAAGAGAAGAAAAGCTAAAGGTGATTCTGCAATTCAATTAATTTGCATTGTAATCCGCCTGTCTGATTAGTTTCATTTAAATATGTACTAGGAAATTTTCTCTCTTAAAAATATATAATAATCAACCACATATTAAAAATGAGTTATTAAGAATCTGTGAGTTTGCAAATTAATGAATTCAAATTATCTGGAGCTTAGTTCAACAAGAGTAGCAAAACAGCAACGTCTCTTTAGAAACACAAGATAAGATTAGAGGATAGATGATTGGATTCTTTTGAGACATGAGATGAAATTGGCAGAACACAGAGGTACAGCTTTTATTTATCTCTTAAGGAAGCAATACCTTCTGATAGAACTGTAAGTTGAGAACATGATCCACCCACTCTAAAACCATCCTACGAGCAGATTAAAAGGGGCTAATGTTGATGATTGTCTGACATAATTATTTCATGCTACTTATAATTGGCTATTTTAAAATTTATTATTATTTTTAGAGACAAGGTCTCACTCTGTCACCCAGGCTGGAGAGCGTGGTGCAATCATAGCTCACTGTAACCTGGAACTCCTGGGCTCAAGCAATCCTCCCACCTTGGCCTCCTGAGTAGCTGGAATTACAGGCAGATGCCACCATGCCCAGCTATTTAAAAAAGAAAATATAGAGATGGGATCTTGCTGTGTTACTCAGGCTGGTTTTGAACTCATGGCCTCAAGCAATCTTCTCACTTCAGCCTGTTACAGGCATGAGTCACCATGCCCAGCCATAACTGGCAAGATTTTAAAGTCAGTATACTTTGTATATTCATAAAAGGGTTGTGAAGAAGATTAGCAGATAGGCAATTTGTGACATACACTGTCCCTCTCTTTGAACAGCTTTTAACAAAACCATTACATAGCTTTGATTATTCTAACAAGTTAATTGTAAAAGGCATGACTGGCTGCATCTCTCAAAAAATAATCATTTTAATTTCCTTAAACCATGAATTAAATAGAAATGGCATGTAGAAGAGGCAATACAGGTTTTATTCTCTCTCTAGAATTTCATTACAGACATATTGGATATGAGAAGGAAATGACAGTGTATACTTTTTTCTGTTATTTTAGTGAGTCAAAATAATTTTCTGACTTTTCATAAATATGTTGAATATGTTAATACATATTTTAAAGAAATATTTTCTGTTCAAATCACTCATGGTGGAATAACAAACACAAAATTTAAATATTCTTAACCACTGAAATCCTTTCTCTGACTCTGTTTTTACCACTGTTTTGTTTTTTTCTTTTTTTTACTCATTTAAATGAAGACACCTTTTCAGAACCCATTTGGTTGAAGTCTTAGTTATAGTATTGATTTTTTTAAGTGGCTTGTATCATTCAGGTTAGTTGGACATACTGGGAAAGTTTCCAGACATTGGCAGAAACCCAAACTGAATTTTCTTCCAAAAAGTCATGAAGAATTTCATTAACCTTTTAATAAAAAAAAAAGGTATATTTCTCATTTGTTCAACTCTAAGGCTATGTATTCCCAGGAGAACAAAAACAGCTAAACCAGAGCATGATGCTTTTTATTTACATCAGCATTTGTACTTGAGAAAGTAAAATGTTAAGATTGTCTCTATAGTCAGTAATACAGGCCTGGTGAGCTCCAACCCTCATATGTTTTACATACATTGAATGCATATAAAATTATATATGCCTATAATACTTTATAATGATCATCAATGCTCATATTGTTACTGAGTACAATGTTTTAAAATTCTTTCTCAATTGGCAAATAAAAATTACGTGGAAAGGGGAAAACTAATATTTATGAGTTTAAAACAATTTTCATTATTTCATTTCATAAAATTAACATGAATAATGATGAATTCTGACCATTGCCTATTGTAATTAAGATAAATGACTTGATAAGACAGAAAATACCAGAGAAGTAAAGTTAGAATTAAATACAGAGATGAATTCAGGCAAACTTTTATCATCAGTGTTACATAAGGCTTGATTCATTAAGTGAATTTTCTAGATGTGAATGAAATTACGATATATTCCCTTAAACTACACGTAAGATTAAACTAATCATGGAACTGCTTCAGGAATGTCAAAATTAAGGGTTTTGGATAATAATTGATACATCTCAGTATTTTCCTAAACTCATCAAAACCTTAATACATTTAAATATTTAGATTTAGTCAGAAATTTATGCAGGAGGGGAGGCAGAAAATGAAATAGTCTCTCCCGCAATTTTGTCAGAGATATTTCTTTCACAATTTTGAGTTTTTGGGTTTGATGTGAAAATAAAAGAATGGGGAAAAGATTTTAGAGGAATAAGAAAAGAAGAAAAGAAGATGGGGGAGGAAAAGTCGATCCAAAAATATAGATGAAATATTATTCATTACTATCTCTCTTTTTTGTTTGTTTGTTTGTTTCTTTGTTTTTGAGATGTTGCTTTGATCTTGTTGCCCAGGCTGGAGTGCAATGGAATCATCTCGGCTCATGGCAACCTCTGCCTCCCAGGTTCAAGTAATTCTCCTGCCTCAGCCTCCCGAGTAGCTGGGGTTACAGGCATGCATCACCACACCCAGCTAATTTTGTATTTTTAGTAGAGACGAGGTTTCTCCATGTTGGTCAGGCAGGTCTTGAACTCCCGACCGCAGGTGATCTGCCAGCCTTGGCCTCCCAAAGTACTGGGATTATAGATGTGAGCCACCGCGCCTGGCTCATTACTCTCATTTTATAGCAAGGGATTTAACTAATTAATGGATAATATTTAGTATTTATTTCTAAATTTTAAAAAATGAGAATTCAAAAATTCTACATTATACAATTAAATTGCTCATCTATGAATATCACAGCATGCTTCCAATTTTTAAATTTCTTTATAGACCTTAGAATGGTACATTTAAAAAATGTTGAATAAAGAGAAAGTGGATTCTTTTTGATTTATGTGACTTTCATGTCAATTACTGTACTCAACTTCCTTGTTAGAACTTGCACATCAGCAGGTAGTATGGGTTTCTGCTACATACCTTTCAATATATCTACTTAGAAACTGCCCTTTGAACCTCAACTTCTTGCTATCACATCAGTAAAGTGATTCACAATACAAATGGTTGCATTAACTATTCCAGGACTATGTAAGAATCCATTTTTATTGACATGCTATGTATCCACACAGTCTCTCTGGAAAGTAAAGTGGAAGAGTTCATTGTCTCTGCAAATAATATCAGCCAAATAATTCAAAGGGTTGCTAGTAACTATCCTATTTTTTGCGTGCTGCTGGGATGACATTGTGAACCTCTGATGTTCTCTAGGTAGCTGTCCTGCTGCTCATTCCAAATTTGTCAGGTTATTTGGCACCTGATCTGACCTTAATGTCTAGGATGAACTGCAGAGCTATGAAGTGTTCTGATTTTTTGGATGCTTTGCCAAATTCCTCCCCCAACCCCTGCCACCTTTAAAATAACAAGGTCAATCACACAAAAGATAGATGGCAGAGTTTCAGTTCCAATGATGCTGATTATCAGCATAACACATATGGTTCAGCATGACATCAACTTGTCCTTGAAGACTACGGCAAGTCCAGCTGGAATTGGCTAAGATAAAGCAATTATGAATGAAAGTGCCCATTTTCTAAAGATACTTTACCAACCCATCTAAGAAGGCACATTTTAAAATCTGTCTTCAAAGCTGTGATCACTTAATTTAAAAAAAAATCACTTTTAAAGAAAACATTCATGTTAACTCGCATTGTCCATATCCAAATAAATTCTGAATTAATGAAACCACATTCTTCAAAATCAATCAAATAAATTGCAGAGTTTTGCCATTTATTTGTTATGAATCAGTTGTAAAGATGGTAAAAATAAGCAACTATTTGTGGACAATGGTATATAATGTTCCACACCCTAAGGATTCCTTTCTTACTATTTTGACCAAGCGGAATTCCAAAGAAGTGCTTTCTTATGAAATAATTTACACCTTTGTCTTTTTCTCATTTCTTAAACGCTGCCTTTATCTTTTCTAATTTCTTGATAGCAATCCCCACTGTTCTCAAGATATAGGTTTTATAATTTGGTCTTATATACACCCACTGAAAATACCCTCAATATTACCTGAACAGATCATGGTTTCACCTTAGACTTCACCCACTTTGGTGTAGAGTAACAAGCAAGCAAAATGATACCACAAAGTTCTGATCCCCTCTTCACCGGGGCAACATAGAGACATGTTATGACCTCTAATGCATACAGAAAAAAGATTAGGGCCAAGCGGGGTGGCTCAAGCCTGTAATCCCAGCATTTTGGGAAGCCGAGATGGGTGGATCATGAGGTCAGGAGTTTGAGACCAGCCTGGCTAAGATGGTGAAACTCCGTCTCTGCTAAAAATACAAAAATTAGCCGGGCACGGTGGCAGGTTCGTGTAATCCCAGCTACTCGGGAGGCTGAGGCAGGATAATTGCTTGAACCCAGGAGGCAGAGGTTGCAGTGAGCCGAGATCGCACCACCGCACTCTAGTTCTGGGCAACAGAGCAGAACTCCAACTCAAAAAAAAAAAAAAATTAAACAAAAAAAAAAAGAAAAGAAAAAAAACAAGATTAGTACATAATATATACATGGCATGCAAGGAATAAAATTAGTAAAGGGTATATGTATATAGTCTACACTAAGTTATCCACATAGTAAGTAAATCTTCATTTGAGAACTTTTAAAGGCAGCTAGTAGGGTACAAGTTGTTTTTTATTCACCCAAACAAAATTTTTATTGCAAGCCAGTCATAGGCATAATATTATACAACCTGAGTAAGTATATTAATAGAACTTTAAAGTAAAACAAATGTTAACCATCAGCTAACATTTTATACACGGTGAGAATGATGCCCAGAGAGGTTAAGTAAAACATCTAAAAGTATCAACAGCTAGTTGAATAAAAGAGGACTAGAATGTTGATATTATTCTTTCCACAAAACTGTGGTTTATCTTTGTTTGGAATAGCTAATATATACTTTTTAAATATCTATTTAGAAGATTATTGCCTTGGGAAAAAAGAATATTAAAAATACAGCTGGCAAATACATTTCCCTGTTTATAAGTTTTATCTGTGTATCTACCTATGTATCTATCTCTATCTATAAATAGATAGATATAGGCCCAAATATGCCAACAGATTAGCAGATTTACAATTTAAATATAGTTACCATTTTCAAAACCAAACTTTATGTTAGCATTATTCATTTTTCCTATCTCATTTTTACAAATGTAACTCATGAAAGGGTTGAAATTTATTTATGTATTTATTTATTTTTTATTTTTATTTTTTGAGATGGGGTCTCGCGCTGTCACCCATGCTGGAGTGCAGTGGCGCGATCTCGGCTCACTGCAAGCTCCGCCTCCCAGGTTCATTCCATTCTCCTGCCTCAGCCTCCCAAGTAGCTGGGACTACAGGCGCCCGCCACCACGCCCGGCTAATTTTTTGTATTTTAGTAGAGTCGGGGTTTCACTGTGTTAGCCAGGATGGTCTCGATCTCCTGACCTCGTGATCCGCCCGCCTCAGCCTCCCAAAGTGCTGGGATTACAGGCGTGAGCCACCGCACCTGGCAGGGTTGAAATTTAAAACAAAGATAATGTCTCCTCCTCCTAGTAGCAAATTTATTCTACAGTAATTAAAGGTAGAGTAATTGGAATTAATATGTTGTTTGTGGATCTTTTCTTCGCACTTTTTAAGTCACAGAATTTATTCAGCTGATGAAGTCTTCAATAAGACACCAATACAATGCCAACATGATTCAGCAAAAATGTATGTAATTATTCAAACATGGAATGGTACCTTGAGTGAGGTAATTAATATTATACTCAATGATAGGGTATTTCAATTGCCTGAGATAATGGATTTTTAAAAAAATGTGTTGAATCATATATCCATTCTAATTAGGACAAAGAAAGTCAGATGAAAAACATACTAAGGATATTATGAAAACATTATCTACTCCGTACATTTTTTTCTAATGTTTCTAAACAATCTTCCTTTGGTGCTTCTATTTTGCCCACTTATTTTAACCTTTTATTTGTTACTGAAAGAATGTAATCTTCTTGAGGGTAGAGACTCTTATTTACCTTTCTATTCCCAGGCATAGTACGTGATCGACTTAGAGCTCAGTGCATATATGCTACATAAGTGAATGAATAAATGAAATAAATATATTATGCATTTACATGTGATGTTAGATATTTTAAACTTGTAGTTACTTTTTATAGACATCAGTGTTACCTAAACTTCACTGAGCATATAAATCACCTAGGATTTTTATTAAGAACACAGTTTCCCAGGACTCTTTCTTGAAGAGTTTTGGGTTTTGACTGGGAACCTATAAGATTAAAACTGCCTCAAGGAAGTTTTATGATCAGATAGTTTGAAATAATCTAGATAATTCTATATTTAGATTGCATATTTCAAGAGCATTAAAAATATATTTAACTTAACCTTATATTGTTTATATTTTATGTGGAATAATTAATTATTCTCCCTAATTTTATGAGAAGATTTCATACAGAAAATCTGTACCCAGTCCCTATTTAGGGGTTATAGACATACAGGGGTTTAAACACATACTACACTGCTTTACAAAACTCACAGCACATGAAGAAACAAACATTCAAAAATAAATTATAAGAGATCCCAGAAGTAAATCCACATAAATACAATGAATTGACTTTTGACAAAGGAGCAAAGGCAATACAATAGAGAAAAGATAGTTTTTCAACAACTGATGCTGGAACAATTGGAATCCATATGTTAAAATATAAATCTAGACCCAGACCTAACAGCCATCACAAAAGTTAACTTGAAATAGATCACAGAGCTAAATGTAAAATGCAAAACTATGAAACTCCTAGAAGATAACATAGAAGAAAATCTAAGTGACCTAGGGTTTGAAGGTAACTTTTGAGATACAGCACTAAAGACACCAACTATGAATGTAATAATTGATAAGCTGGACTTCATTAAAATTAGAATCTGCTTCTCTGTGAAAGACAATGTCAAGAGAATGAGAAGCCATCGACCGGGAGAAAACATTTACGAAAGACATATCTGCTAAAGGACTATTTTACAAAATATACAAAAAACTCTTGAAACTCAACAGTAAGAAAATGAACAACCTGATTCAAAAATGGGCAAAGGATCTAAACAGACACCTCACCAAAGAAGATGGCAAATAGTATACGAAAAGATGCTCAACATCATGTATCATCAGGGAACTGCAAATTAAAACAGTAATAAGTTGCTACTAAACATCTATTAGAATGACCAAAATCCAGAAGATTGACAACATTAAATGCAGACAGGAATGCGGAGCAATGATTGAGAATTCATTGTTGGTGAGAATGCAAAAGGATATAGCCACTTTGGAAGACAGTTTGCCAGATTTTTTAAAAAGTAAACACATTCATACCGTATGATTCAACATTTCTGCTCCTTGAAGGTTACACAAATAGCTGAAAACTTATGTGCACACAAAAGCCTAAACAAAAATGTTTATCTCAGTTTTATTTACAACTGCCAAAATATAGAAGCAATCAAGATGTTCTTCAGAGGTGACTGGATAAGTAAATTGAGGTATATCCAGGCATTGCAATCTTTTTTGGTGCTAAAAAGAAGCAGCTATCAAGTCATTGAAAGACATGGAAGAAACTTAAGTGCATAATACTAAATGGGGGAAGCAAATCTGAAAAGGCTACATACTGTTGATTCCAGCTATGACATGCTGTGAAAAGCAAAACTATGAAGACAGTAAAAAGATCATTGGTTTCCAGGAGTTAAGGGGAAGGGAGGAATAAGTAGGCAGAGCACAGAGGATTTTAGGTAGTGAAGCTACTCTATAATATCACAGTGGAAGATAATATCATTTTACATCTGTCAACACCTATACAATGTATAGTATGTGTCGCCAGCCCCCTGGCAGTAGACTAGTACTCCTCTGTGGCCTGTTAGGAAGTGGGCCGCACAGCAGGAGATGAGCTGCAGGCCAACCAGCATCACTGCCTGAGTTCCACCTCCTGTCAGATCAGCTGCTGCATTAGATTCTCATAGGAGTGCAAACCGTACTGTGAACTGCATATGCTAAGGATCTAGGTTGCATACTCCTTATGAGAATCTGATGATAAATATAATGCGTTTGGATCATCCTGAAACCATTCTCCTCCACCCCTGGTCCATGGAAACACTGTCGTCCACGAAACTGGTTCCTGGTGCCAAAAAGGTTAGGGACTGTTGATGTACAACACCAAGAATGAATCCAAAGGTAAACTGTGAACCTTGGATAATTACGCGATACCAACATAGTTTCATTGATTATAACAAATGCATCACCCTGGTGCAGGATGTTGATAGTAGGGGAGGCTGTCGGGAGTCGGGGAGGTCAGAAAGTAGAGAGTTAAGAACTCATTGATTTGATGGATCAATGGAGATGAAGCTCAATTTTGCTGTAAACCTAAAACTGCTCTAAAAATAAATTCTATTAACAAATAAATTTTAATACTATGTGGAAAAATTTGACATACTTTGAAGATTCAAAGATAATCCACAGTTAGGTGGCTGGGTAAAAGAGCAAACAGGGTCTCTGATCACAGAGTAGGACCCTGGGACCCTGTGATTTGCTGTACTTACAAATCTTCACCTAAACTTGACATTACAGAGTAACACCACCAACAACCAAATGCTACTTTTCTAATATTTCTTGTGACATTGGTAAGAATAGATGATGAAAATCAAATTGTGAGTACAATTTCCTTTTGTGCTTGATTTGATGGATTAATAGAGATGAAGGTAAACATTGTATTGGATTCAGAAAGAAGGTAGGTCTCAGAAAATTCATTAGTAGTCTTCTTTTCCTAAGTTTATTTCTGTCTCCTTATTGGTCAGTCATTACAAAAGCAAACTGTACTCACTTTCTTAATGTTGGGTAAACAATGAATAGGATGTAAAAAAAAAAATTCTTGATGGAAGAGCTGATGCTTTTAACAAAATTATGCTGCAGAGTGACCTATGAAATTTTAAGAAACAGGATTTTAAGAATGGTAAACATGATGAACAAGGTAAGATAAATGTCTGTCAGTCTTCAAGCAAGGTTGCCTACAGTGGAGGGAGATGGGCAGAAGCTATAATAAGTTTCTGTTATAAACAAGTTTCTAATTTTTTTTTGAAATAGGGTCTCACTCTGTCACCCAGGCTGGAGTACAGTGGCACAATCTCAGCTCACCACAGTCTCTACCTCTGGGCTCAAGCAATCCTCCCACCAAAGCCTCCTGAGTAGCTGGGACTACAGGTACTTGCCACCACACCCAGCTAATTTTGTTTACTTTTTGAAAAGATGAGGTCTCATCATTTTGCCCCAGGCTGGTCTTGAACCCCTGAGCTCAAGTGATCCTCCTGCCTCAGCCTTCCAAAGTGCAGAAATACAGCTGTGAGCCACTGCACCCAGGCTGAACAAGTGTTGTATGAGGATGTAGATACATTACTGCCTTTAATTTGTACAACCAATCTGTATAAGCATTATCTCCACGTATACATGAGAATCATAATGTCCAAAGATCACACTCCATATGAGACAAAGCCAGATCTCTAAGGGCTATTTTTTTTCCAAACTTACTATGACTAATGACTCTTAATATGCCTTTGGGTCTTTGGAAAAGCAAGGTTTACAGTTTGCTAATATTTTAAATGCCCAGTGGCATTTTTACCATCCACTTACTATAGTAGTCATTTCTAAAGGGGAAAAAGAAAGGAGGGGTACAAGGAAGATGGTGAGAAACCATCAAATCAAAATACACTAAGCTACTTGAAATTCTACCATCTCCATATTTCCCTGTTTAAACATTGCTTTTTAATAAAGAGCTAAACCCCCCTACACTAAATTAGTTGTGTGCACTTCTTTATAACACGTCAAATGAGCTGTTTGGTTGTCTCATTTCTTAAGTATTAAACTCTTGAGGTAAGGGTCACTTGTATCCTGACCCTTGCACAAATCTACCACCACAGCTGTATTTCTAGTGCCTAGGATACTTTATAAATACATGTTGAATACAATAAAAAGATATAAAATTTTATGAGCAGTGTTGCTTTTTTAAATATCCATTCTGAGTGATACTTGCCCTGAAAACAGTTTCCAAATATACTGCCTTCACCCTTTCCACCTTTCACTAATTGTATGAGGTTGGTATTTCCAGCATTTAACTCAAAATGTAACTTTGGGTTGTTTAACCAACCATTTTGGGAATTGGACTTCACACTGAGAGGACTGAATCTAAGGTTAATATATCAAACTGAGGCTGTAGCAGAATCCTCTTTCTTCTTATAGACAATCCATATTCTTCTTATGACCCTAGCAGAGAATAGATACCCAGCCAACTATTTGATTAAATCCTCTGTTCCCACCAAGAGTGAAGTCACTAACAAGCTGAGAGATCAGGCATGAGAGAAGAGCAGTCCCACCCCATGTCAAGGCATTTATAAGTTGGATCAATACAATCTTCAAAAGCACCCACAAAAATAAAAATAATGTTCTAACTTCATCCAAGGTCCCTCACCCCCTATAGCTAACAAAAGGCAATATTCTACCACCCACAGAAGTAGCTTAATGTTCCCTGCCACTGTGGAAAATGTTTTATTGGACAAATAGGCCACACCAGCTATCGGATTAAGTAGTATCTACAGAATCTCAAACCATCACACACAGGAAACTACAGGTATTGGGCACAGAACAGAGAGTGCCTACTATATTGATTTCTACAGTGCTCAAGGCAAAGGTAAAAAGAATGAAACAGCTGGAAAAAACAATACTAAGTCACTAGCATAAAGGAACAGGAAATCTCTTAAGCAAAGCTGCAGGGATAAAATCAAACTCCCAGACAAAAGTCCTCACAGGGAATTCTTTAACTGGCTTTAACTGTCACGTTCAGAACTTCTTTACATCTTGAACTACCAGTTTTTATTTCAATTCCAACTCAGTCTTTCATGAAGGTTTTTAAAATTTGTTTCATTCTGATATAGCAAAGATTTCCCCCTTCCCCTTTCCCAGGCTGATCAAATAGAATACAATTTAAAAGCTATAGTGAGTCATGCTGTAACAGAAAAAGCAGAAAAAGTCACGACAGATGGTCCCTGACTTTCGATGGTTTGACTTCTCAAATTTTCAGCTTCACAGTGAGTTTATCAAAATGTAATCCCATCCTAAATAGAGGAGCATCTGTAGCTGGTTAGAAATTTCCTTGCAAGAATATGCACAGGGGGTGTTGAAATCAATGTCTTAAGTCATGTTTGAATCACTCATCTTTTCTTTATCCAACTATCAATTGTGCATATTGCATTATCCTTTTGGGATGCTCTTGAGCTTCTTAATTTTTTTCTAATTATGTCTTACTTTCCTCCACCTTTACAGTTTATTTTTCATTCTTTAAGAAACATATTACAGTACTCTCCTTTTCACTGATGCTCACTAGTATATTGTAATCATCTCCTATTGCATTAGTCTGTTCTCATGCTGCTATAAACGACTGCCTGAGACTGGGTAATTTACAAAGGAAAGAGGTTTAATTGACTCACAGTTCTCCAAGGCTAGGGAGGCCTCAGGAAACTTACAATCATGGCAGAAGAGGAAGCAAACACATCCTTCTTTACATGATGGGAGGAAGGAGAAATGCCCAGCAAAAAGGGGAAAAGCCCCTTATAACCCCATCAGATCTTGTGAGAACTCACTCACTCACTATCATGAGAACAGCATGAGGGTAACTGCCCCTATGCTTCAATTACCTCCCACTGGGTCTCTTCCATGACATGTGGGGATTATGGGAACTACAGTTCAAGATGAGATTTGGGTGGGGACACAGCCAAACCATATCATACCTATCATATGACAGTTTTTATATTATCTATATTATATGAAAATTATAGGAGATCATTGTGTGAACTGAGCTCATGCACTAGGTCCAACAGACCAGACTGGACAAACTAGAATGCAGTAACTTGTGCTAGGTTCCATGTAATCAAAATGAACTTTAAAATGAACCAGTTTTCCAAAAAAAAAAAAAAAAAAAAGGGGAAATTCACAGCAATCAATCAGAAGGGGCCTGGTTTACCTGAGCCAGCTGGTAAAACAGAGGAAGTTCCTCTTTTTTAACCCTGTAAGGAAAGTTACTTTGTAAGGACCAATCCGTGTTTTTGTTCCTTGTTTCTGCTTCTTCAGCCCTTTTCTGCCTATAAAGCCCAACTTCTTTGCTCTGCTTATTAAAGCAGCTTTTCTACATCTTTGATGGGATGCTGCCTGATTCATAGATCACCAGTAAAGCCAATTAGATCTTTAAACTAAATTTGTTGAAATTTTTTTAACATTTAGAAAGGCTATAATTATCAAGATATAATGTAAGTTTTAGGAAATTTTACCGATTTTTCATTTCTTTTTTTTTAGACAGGGTTTCAGTCTGTAACCCAGATAGACTGGAAAGCAGGGGCACAATCATGGCTCACTGCAAGCTCACTGCAGCTTGAGCCTGGGATCAAGCAATCCTCCCACCTCAGCTTCCTCAGTAGTTGGGTGGGACCACAGGTATACATAACCATACCCAGATAATTTTTGTATTTTTTGTAGAGATGGGGTTTTGCCATGTTGCTCAGGCTGGGCTTAAACTTTTGGACTCAAGCAATCCACCCACCTCGGCCTCCCAAAGTGCTGGGGTAACAGGCATGATTGTATACATTTTAAAATGCGTATTAAAAAAACTCATATAATAATTTATCTAATGTTTATAAAGATTCTTAGCACTTAAAACTCTTAATATTAGCAAATTGATATTTCCAATTCCCTACCCAACCTAGAAATCTGGCTTGTGTCATTATTTTCTTTAGTTCTTAATGAAATGCATAGATGCTAGACAGAGAGTAACAGAATGCATTTTAATCTGTCAGTGAAGTATTATCTGGCAAAACGTAGTCTATTACATTGTTTCTATATCCTGAATATTTCCGGGAGGCATTTCGACAGACGAGAGAAAAGTCAGTGCTATACTATTCTATTTTTCACACAAAATACAAATTTTAGTTTGCAGTTATCCTCTGAGTCTGGTTTAAAACACACACTTTCTAACTACAAATAAGCTGCATGTGATAGAGAAAGTTTTTAAATATATTTTTAAATTTTTTTGTTTTATAATTCAACATAATACCAAATGGGGTTGGCATATAATGTAGAATGAAGGACTGAATGGAGCCAGAGAGTCAGTGGTCAACCATGACATAAAAATTGATCAAAGTCATTCAAAGTAGTCTAGAACTGTGCCAATTAGTCTGAATCATGAAATATTTACACACAGACTACTATGAGAATGTATTGTGTTAAGTGCTACAAGAACCAAAAAAAAAAAAAAAAAAAGTATAAAACTCATTCTCTGGGGCAGGACCATTATTTTTTCCATGCCATAATGTAGGATTATAGCCTAAACTATTAACTTCCAAATATGTTCTGGATTTAATGAAGATCAAATCTGTTTATGATTTTGACATTTTCCCCAATATCAAACTGACATTCATTGTCAAATTCGGAAATTTCCACCTGAATGGTATTTTGGATATTTCTCTGTATCCCTTCTTTGATATTGCCTTTGCCCACCCTGAGAATAAGATGATAATTAGCCTCTTGTAAACACAGAAAAACTGCATAATACATAATAACTCAAAGGAGAAAGCTTTTCAAATCTGTGGGGATGGGAGCTCTCTCTCTGACTTAGTCTGTTCTTGCTTTAGCAACTGTAATTGTGTATTCCATTCACATCCATGTCATCAAAATGACAGAGGTGAATATTCTGGTTATAAGGAAAGAACTATAAACATGTATATGGATATGGAATTAAGGTCATCACACCCTTGAGACAGAGATTTTACTTTCAAATCATTATTACAGCAGACTTGCTTGGGGATAGGTTACACATCTAGCATTCAGCATAGAAAAAGTTAGCCTCAAGTTACAGTGTGAAATGTTTTCTGATTATTTCTTATTTCTTTCCCAGGAAAGTGTTTGCCTCTGAATCTACCAATACGACTTCAGAAATAATTAATTTAATAGCCTTTCTATGCTTATTTTTTATTGTGATTAAAATATACATAAAATTTACCATTGTAACCATTTTAAGTATACTATTCAGTAGCATTAAGTACATTCGCAGTGTTGTGCAACTATCACCAACATCCATTTCCAGAACTTTTCATGATCACAAACAGAAACTCTGTACTCATTAAACATATACTTATTTTTATGAATATTCACATGCACACTCAAACTACATTAAAGGACTGTTGAAGGTAAAACTATAAAAATTAAGCAATCCAAAGTAAGATTAACCACATGTGCTAATGTTCTTGGATTAGCATAGTACAAAGTGGTATAAAATTCTTGTTATGTTCCATTTAGGAAAAGAACACCAAGAATTTAAGCCCTTTGATCTTGATTCTACGGAGATTAACTATAGGGCTTTGGCTAAAATCACTATACGTGAGTAATTATTTCCCACACAGCAATGCTTTCTTTTTTTTTTCAATTTTAACTTAGTCTCAGCTTGAAGAGTATTTAGAAAACAAAAAAGCCCATTGGGAAAATTAGCTCTGAGAGACACTAAAATACACTAGCAAACACAGGCAGTCACCATTTCTAATATAATGTGCTCATATAAATTCTATCAAAAAAGGCTCATCTTAAAACATATTGTTCTCTTTCCATAGAAATAATGTTGTAATTGGGGAACTGTATTCCTGAGCAGGACTTGAAATTGAATAAATCACAAATATGACCAACAAAATGTTATAAAACCAAAGCTATAAAAACTATAAACCTTCATAATCATTTAAAATAGAAAAATTATACTATTTTATAGAAATTAGCAGCTAGAAGGGATTTTAGAATATTGCCAAGTTCAAGCCCATTGTTTTGTAGATGAAAAAAACAGATGTCTAGAAAAGATGAGTGACATTTCTTTTAATTTACCAAAGTAGCCTGTGGCAATAGGCACTAAAACTAAAGACTTCTTAATCTTAATCTATTGTTCTACCCACATATTTCAATGCTTCTCTTATAAAATTTTAGAAAATGTGACTGTGCTTTATCTCACATTTATTATAAATATTGTAAAGCATATATCCACTATATAAAAATGTAGTTATCATATAACATATACAAAAGAGGTATATAGCTAATATTTTTTATATATTTGTATGAAATTCTTAAACTGGTTATTTACCTTTTTAGACTATTGACAGGATTTTAGTGGTGTAATTGTGGTGACCCATTTCAGCTACGAGAGTTATCCAGAAACATTTGACTGGACCATTGATTTTTCCTGTCAATAAAATTTCTCATTGACAGTAGAGATATTCTAAAACATTTAATTAGTTAATTATTATTAGAGTGGTGGTTATTATGATTGTAAAATGACCATTTTATTATACTGACAGTTGAAGGTATCCCTAAGGATTTAAAGAGGAATTAAAAAAAGTGAATTTGGATTTGACCGCATAACATATAGTCAGAACTATAGTGAAACACACACACACACACACACCAAGTAAGCTTTTAGAGAAAGACTTACTCCCATTCATTCCCAAAGCACCTCAACCCTGCAAAAAAGAAAAGAAAAGAAAGAAAAGAAAATGAGCTGTTTTAGGATTATACGTACAGAATGAGTGAAAGACAGTTTTCCCCACTACCTGCATGATAATACTGATTAAAAATTAACTCGAGGCTTTTAAAATATTATTTAGAGAAAACCATATTCTTCCAAATCACAAACCATACATCCTTAACTAGAGATGGAACACAACGGGTGTTACCTAAGAGTGTGGCAAGTAAGTGAATAAAAGCATTCAGAAATGAAACATATATGTTAATTGGGAGTGAGAGAAATGGAGAAATACAAAAAAAAGTCTGCTGTATTTTGCTTGAATTGTGAATATATCCTTTCTTCCTAAGAAAACTAGCACCTCTGTTCACTTAAAAATGTTTACATCTACAAGCAAAATCTGCATAATTCCATGTGCTTATAAATATGTATGTGGAAGAGATTTTTATTAAATAAAGGCTGAATTAAAAATAAACTATGGAACACAAGTGATTTGACAAATGAAATATGTCTAAATGTTTTAGTTGGCTTTTGCATATAGCCTTGTAGAGTAACATTTAGGACATAACTTCAAGACAGAAGCCTTTGAATATATTTTGGCTTAAGCCAACTTTCCACGTGGATTTTCATGGAAAGAGCTAAATAAGTTAGTGAAGATAAACAATATAAACATATCACTTGATGAATGAATATGTATAATAACAAACTCAGAAGTGAATGACTGAACAGAGGAAAATGAGTGGTCGCATCTCAGGGTATACAGGTCTCTTTCATCTTCTGGTTTTATACCTTCAGGATTGATAACTGATCTGAGAAGCCAAAGCTGACTTTGTCACTCCTGGCCTTGAGCCTTGAGACTGGAGCCAGCAACACATTCCTGCTGATCCTTGTCTTAATTTTGCAGTTGTAGTCTCCCTCCTCAATTGACAATCAATATTAAGTGCCTATTTATTGAGACTATTCTGGGTACTGGGGACAGTAAAAAAAAGATATGAAAGAAGAACCCTGAACTAATGGAGGAGCTTAATATCCACTTATAAAAAGAAGATACATAAAAATAAGCAACAGGTATATACTACTTAACGTTGGGAGTCACCAATAAATTAGTGGTATACAAAAAGGATTACTATCTGGAATATGTAAATTGTTTTATTAAACTGATAAACAAGTCAACAAAAAAAGCATGAACATAATGTATTATCAGGGAATTCTTAACGTAATAAATTAGATGTCCAAAAACAAATGAAAAGAACTCAACCTTAGAAACAATAAGCAAAATGCACATGAAAATGAGATAAATGTTCATTCACAAGGTTGGAAAAATAATTACTAATATATCAAATGTTGAAACTGGTGATTGGTGTGTAAATTGGTAAAGTCTACTTGGAAGATAATGTGCAATATGTATCAAAATTAGAATTATGTAATTTTTTTGGCACAGTAATTCTAACTGTAAAAATTTAATCTTGAGAAATCATCACACGTAATATCAACATATGCTGACAAGGATGCTCACTGCTTTGCCATTTAAGTGGTAAAACATGTGAACTCAACTAAAGGTCCTACAGTAGGAGAGTGGCTAAATGTATGGTTTCTCTGTATTATGGAATACTTTGAGAATGTTAAAAAGGAAAAAAAAAACATAAGGTAGAAATGTATGTATTATCATATAATCACCTATCAGACATATGGCTAAATGAATAAAGTACATCACAGAACAATACATATGGTTATGTAAATTAATGTATCTGTAGCTTCCATACTGCATACATATGTATATATGTAAATATATAGAAGGATGCCTGGAAAAATATATTCCAAACTATTGAAAATGGTTAGTCCTGGGAAGAGACTGAGTTGGAAAGAAAGTAAAGAGAGGCTTAAATGTTTTGTTTTGTATAATTCTGCACTGTCTGGAATTTTTTCTCGAGAATATATTCATGTAAACACGTCTTTTTTTAAGGCAAGCATGTGAACTATGACAGAAAACGCACAGAGTTAATAAAGCATCATCATCACAGTATTGGGGCAAGAATGAAAGACAGCTTGATGGATTGTTCAGCATGAGGAAAAACACAAACTTACCACAGTAATTAGAAATTATGTATATGCCAGGCATTTTTGAGAATGAAGTTAAAGTAACCGAGGAATATCAAGAAATGCACACCTTCTTTGCATTAAATTATGTAAGCCACTACTGGATACTGGGTTCTTGGGGGCATAAAACAGATATTGCAATTAAAATTAACTATTTAGAGAATACTTATTATTCTAGGGGAAGAAACCCAAGTGGATGAAAAAGGCTGAAGACATCAGGCCAGCAAAGGGTCTAGTTCAGCTCTTGTGCAAAGCACATTTTCCTGGGTCTGAGAAACTCTGCTATTTATATTTTGAAAATTAAGGATGCAAACAAATGACTGATAACTAGGGATGGTGAATAAGCTCTCACTTCATGTTTGTCAGGTATCTTCTCCTGGTTTGCACTGCCTTGAATCACAATGTAAGGCAGTATCAATGTTTATCTATTCCTTTGGTGCTCAGCAACCAGTGGGCATTAAGCGGATTGAAAGAGAAATCATGAGATTCTAATACCAGGTACATGCTTACGCTGTGGCATCTGATGTTTGGATGTTTGCCCTCTCTGAATATCACACTGAAATGTAATCCCCAATATTGGAGGTGGGACCTAGTGGGAGATATGAATCATGGGGGCAGATCCCTTATGAATAGCTTAGCAGCATCTCCTTGGTGATAAGTGAGTTTTTGCTCAATTGGTTCACAAGAGATCTGGTTGTTTAAAAGAACTTTAAATATATCTGTAATCCCAACTCTTTAAAAGGCAGGGGCAGGTGGATCACTTGAGTACAGGAGTTCAAGACCAGCCTGGGCATCATGGCAAAATCCCATCTCTACAAAAAATACAAAAAATTAGCTTGGTGTGGTGCTCATCTGTAGTCCCAGATACTTGGAAGGCTGAGGTAGAGGGATCTCCCAGGAGGCTGCAATGAGCCGAGGTCCACCCACTGCACTACAGCCTGGGCAACAGAGCAAGACCTTGTCTCAAAGAAAAAAAACTAAAAAAGAATCTAGGACTTCCCTCTACTCTGTGTGGCTCCCTCTCTTGCCATGTGATGTGCTGGCTCCCCTTTTGCCTTCCATCATGATTGGAAGCTTCTTGGAAGCCCTCATGGGAAGCCGATTCCACCATTTTGCTTTGTGTATAGCCCGCAGAACTGTGAGACAAAACTAAATCTCTTTTTTTGTTGTTGTTTTTTAATGAATTGCCTAGCCTCTGGTGTTTCTCTATAGCAATGCAAGAATGGGCCAATACAGTATCCATCAATGGCACTGGTTGTAACATCTGTCTAGGAGCAGTGAGGGGCAAGCCATTGTCAGTCGAGGCCACAAAAGAAAGTTACCAACTAGTTCACCAAATGGAGCTTCGGGAAACACACTGGAGGCCGAGACCAGGCAAAGCAGTGGTCTTTGCGTGGTCTCTTCACACAAAGCACAGAGCACCACGCAGACTGAGAAAGTAGATTCATTCCTGGACCCAGGAGTACGCATCATCAAGCAATTTGAAGGCTTATGTGACATAGTTAATAAAAAGAAATATGAGCCATATTTAAAACAAAGTTTAGTTAAGAATGGCATGGTATTAGTACTGGGTACATGAAAGCATCAGTGGAAGAAGGGCAATGCCATCCTGGATCAAAATTGAGACTGTAAGGTAGCCATATATATATATATATATATATGTGTGTGTATGTGCGTGTGTGTGTGTGTGTGTATACATACACACATATACATACACACACGCACATACACACACATATATATATATGGCTACCTTAGAGTCTCAAAAAAAAATATATATATATATATATTGCCTAGCCTCTGGTGTTTCTTTATAGCAATGCAAGAATGGGCCAATACAGTATCCATAAGTGGCACTGGTTGTAACATCTGTCTAGGAGCAGTGAGGGGCAAGCCATTGTCAGTCGAGGCCACAAAAAAAAGTTACCAAATAGTTCACCAAATGGAGCTTCGGGAAACACACTGGAGGCCGACACCAGGCAAAGCAGTGGTCTTTGCATGGTCTCTTCACGCAAAGCACAGAGCACCACGCAGACTGAGAAAGTAGATTCATTGCTGGACCCAGGAGTACGCATCATGTGTGTATATATATATATATATATATATATATATATATATATATATATATACACACACACACACATATATATATATACACATATATATATACACATATATATATATGTGTATATATATATATATTTTTTTTTGAGACAGAGTCTCACTCTGTCACCCAGGCTAGAGTGCAGCAGTGGCATGATCTTGGCTCACTGCAACCTCTGTATAGCCATATTTAAAGCAAGTTTTTTTTGCATGTTCACCAGGAGCTGGAAGTTAATATCAGAATGCTATTGAACATTCTCCTGTACCTTGTGCATCTATTTTTCCTTTTTAAATATAATAACAATGTATACATTTTAAATTTTATCTCACTGGATTGTCTGGGTTGTCATTCTCCAATAATTATTTTGTTTTCTTCATTAGCTTTCCAATGAAAGAATCCATCAGGATTATTACAGTGAGGCATCCTCTTCCTGACTATTCTAGTGAAGATCGAAGCAAATAAACAGTAAAATTCTTAAGAGGCAGGATTTTTTTTACACATGTGTTTTACGATATTTCTGCAACCCCCACAACCTTCTTGTTACAAATGACATTGCTACAACCTTACACCCTAAGGCCTGCCTTGGTAAACTCACAGGAAGATATGTGCAATGAGGAAAAGAAAACGCAATGGTAGCTCCCAAGCCTGGAACTCATGTTAAAGTATTCCCTTGGAAATGATGATTCAGCAATAGAAGCTTGAACCCAACTGAATTGTAAGCTAATAATTGTCATCACCTATAATAACTTATTTGGCCTTCAACTACATCAATAACGAAAAACAGCAAACCAAAGAAAAATTAATGCCTCAGTACACACATTCTCTTCTGCTGAAGTGAGAACCAAGATTCTTATAGGATTCATTTGTTTCCCTGAGTTGCTACAGATCATGATAATTACTCGTAAAACTATCAAGTGTTGCAAATTCCTAGATCTTGCACTAAAATGATTACTTTTATTTTGAATACACTGAACATACTTTTATATTCTCATTTGACAAAAAAAGAGCTAATACCCTGATGGGTAAAAAACTAAACTTGCATAAACTTTAGGATGCCCAAATCTAATTTTCTTTCCATGCTTTTCTGAGATTTGTTCTTCTTGATAATCCTTTAGCTTTTATCACATGACACTTTCTTCCCTCTGATACCTCAAGTCACTTTTAATACAGTCAGAAAGAGGCTGGGCACGGTGACTAGGCTGGGAGCAGTGACTCAAACCTGTAATCCCAGCACTTTAGAAGACCAAGGGTGGGCGGATCACTTGAGGTCAAGAGTTTGAGACCAGCCTGGCCAACATGGTGAAACCCACCTACAAAAAGTAGCCGGGCATGATGGCATGGGCCTGTAATCCCAGATACTCAGGAGGCTGAGGAGTGAGAATTTCTTGAACCCGGGAGGTGGAGGTTGCAGTGAGCTGAGATCATGCCACTGTGCTCCAGCCTGGGTGACAGAGTGAGACTCTGTCTCAGCAAATAAAAATAAGAAAAAAAAAAATACAGTAAGAAAGAGTCCTTGTACTCTATTGGTTCTTCCCCAATAATTTTTCACATAACTCCTTCTTTACACAGAGCAATTGCATCAGAATGAGAGTGTTTTTGTGGTGGTGAGCAGCTGATTTGTCTTTGTATCCTTGGGGCCTGCCACGTACTAGTATATGCCCAACGTCTGTTAAATTGTTAAAATGAAAGCTGAAGTTAGTTTACTCAATATCCATTGAGAGAAACAATCGTTATAAACATTATACATGGAGGTATATTTTCTATTCCTCATTAATTTTCAATTATCTTTCCCCCTCTGTACTGAGAGAAATAAAGATCTCTGTAATATTTAAAAGTCCACTTATTTAAAGTGCCGGTAGTATAGCTGGGTAGCTCAGTTGGTTACAGTGTGGTGCTAATAAAGTGCCAGCAATGATAATTGCATCATTAAATGTATTTACTGAGATCTAACCTATCTCATTTTTAAACATATGCATTCAAACATCAGGCATTAGACCATATTATATGATCTTCCAGTTGTCCCCAACATTGATATAAAGAAAAAGGGAGTTGAAAAGGGGTGACTATACAATAATTAACTTAAAAAAAATTAAACACTATACTGAATATTCATTTTATTTTCATTATAGGCTATATAGTTTGTGTTTTAGATTAGTGGACTGTAGAATCTATTTTAAAACATATAAAGTTGACTTTGAATTAAGGGAGCTTCCAAAACATTTTAAAATATACATTCAACCCTTAAATGCAATGCTATAACTCTAGCAACCAATAGCAGTTAACTGTCTTCCAGTGAAGCTGCCCCATAAAATGGCATTATGAAAGCTTACATTCCATAGACATTTGTCATGTACATGCTACAGCCTCTAATATTACCAGACTGCAAAAGATCCTATACCTGGGTAAAAAATGGTAAGATAAAAGCAGACTATTGTCTTGAGTCCTGAATGACTCTGCAGAGGACCTGGGACTCATGATTAATAACATTGTTTAATGATTTTTCTCTTTTAGTTTTGCATACTATTATTGAAAAGTTATATTATATATTGAAATACAGGATTGTTTTACTTTGATATGAAGCCAGGTTTCAATGTCTGCTTGCAATTCAACATGGAAAATCATTTTGGTCAGCAATATTTGTTGATATAGCATGCAAAACAAACAAACAAACAAACAAACAAAACCCCCCCCCAAAAAACAAGTCTAGATTTGAAGTCACACCAGAATTTCCGCTCTGCCATTTACTTGTTATATGACCGTAGATTTAACGAAGCTCATTTTTAAAAATATGCATCCAAATATCATGCATTAGAGTTTATGCTATGACCTTCCAGTTGTCCCGAGTATTGATATACACAAATAGGGAGTCTTAAAAATGTGACTATCCAGTAATTAACTTCACAAAATTAAACATTTAAAAATTAAAAGTAACAATTCATTTACCTCTCTGAATCTGTTTCCTCATTTAAATATGAGGGTAGCAGCCCATTCTTGTCATCCTGGAAGTGTTGTAAAGGGAATTACATATGTTAAAGTAAGTGGAAGTATTTTCCAAACTGGAAGAAACTACACAAATTTCCTATCATATGAGCTGGAGTGTGCAGGCTTTATAGGAAAAAGTAAAACATAAAGGCAAGGGGGAGTACTTTTCTGATTACCTACATAACAATTTTCCACATAAAAAAATTACTGCAATTCTAATAGAAATGTTACAGAAAGAATATATAGACCTTCTTAAATCACTTGGAAATGGATATTTTCTTGGTAGCACAATCCTGGGAAAGCTATTTATTATAGAAAGGAGAAATCAGGGAGGATATGAAGAAGAAGATGGATGGCATGAGAAAAGCTTGAAGGAAAAATACAGAATGTGAGCTAGAGCACCATCGTTCATGCCTCATATGGGAGGGATGAGAAAAGCCCCTTTGAACACAAAATAACGTTTTTGGTGGCACTAACCACAAAATGAAATGGCAGATAATAAAACTGTTCTTAGAGAGATTAAAATGACAAGGTCCATTTTGTAGCGAGTCTTTTTTACCTAAACTGAGTCAACTCTGGTTTATGCCAAATACAAGCTAAATAAATCATGCAGTGAAAGCACTGGTTGCCAATACAATTAAAGGGTGGGTCGAGACCAATGTGAACTCTACAGTTAAAAGACAAACTTAAGGGTCATGCTATTGAAAAAGACATGAAAAATGTGATGAAAGAATACTGTTAAGGGGGACAAAATGTCGATATGAAATGTACAGGAAATTAAAAAGTAGACATCTGAGAATTATTAATTCGCTAAGCAAAAGCAGCAGTCTATTTCTAATGTCTACCACATTGTTTGAGGTGTAATTGCAGCACCACTAATCTGGTACTCTGCAATGGCATGCCTAGAAGACTGGTCTTCTTTAAATTACTTTGATTTACTGGCAATGCAATAATTAAGGTAACAGAAGCACCCTCCTCAGTCTACAGACTCCAGAAAATTGTATTTCGCCAGGATGTGTCTTATGGGTTGATTCAGGAAAAGGAATTAAGTGGTAAAGGGTATTCTATTCACATCTATAAACCAGGGAATATACATATTTAAGATAATGAAGAGTAGCCTACATATATATTTAAAGTTAGACGGAGAGGAATATGGAAATTGTATTATTAAATATTTTCAGAAATGTAGGTTTGTGGGAAAATCTGTCTCAATATCACACCTTGTTCATTCTTTCATGTAGGACTCCAGCTATCTGCATACACATAAGTACAAACTAGTTGAAACGATTGTGAATTGGTCTAATGGGGAAAGAGGAGTTTCCAGTATTTTGTCCCACAAAAGTAGAAAATTGAGCTAAAAAGGATCAAAGAGGAGTGCATTAGTCATTGAATTCATATTTCTAATTTTACAAGAGTATCTCTGGTGGTTTCTTTGATGTAGTGGAATGAGTTTTGGATAGAGGACGATGCTGTGACCCCCTGTCTTCAACATATACTAGTCATGTGACATTGGGAAAAGTATCTAACTTCTCTAATTCTTAGCAGCATTGTGTGCAAAATGAGAACAGTAATATTAATAACAGCGACCTTATAGGGCTGCTGCAAGGATTAGAATAGGTTTAGAACATCAAATATATTTTTCCCCAGAAAAACTCATGGCACATGATAGGTGCACAATAAATGTTTAGGGAGAATGTGGAGAGTGTGTGTGTGTGTGTGTGTGTGTGTGTGTGTGTGTGTGTGTATGTGAGTAAAATCTTCCTCAAAATTATATGTCCAGGCTACAACCTTGTTCTTTCAATTCCAAAACCCTTTTCCCCCACACAATGATAGTTTTCCTCTCTATTAGTGATGTGGTTTGGCTGTGTCCCCACCCAAATCTCATCTTGAATTGTAACTCTCACAATTCCCATGTGTCATGGGAGGAACCCGGTGGGAGGTAATTGAAGCATGGGGCAGGTCTTCCCAGTGCTGTTCTTATGATAGTGAATAAGTCCCATGAAGTCTGATGGCTTTAAAAATAGGAGTTTCCTCGCATAAGATCTCTCTCTTGCTGCCCCATGTAAGAAGTGCCTTTTGCCTTCCGCCATGATAGTGAGGGCGCCCAGCCACGTGAAACTGTAAGTCCATCAAACCTCTTTCTTTTGTAAATTGTCCAGTCTTGGGTATGTCTTTATCAGCAGTGTGAAAACGGACTGATACAATCAGCAATTACTTTTTGTTTCTTAACAACATGACTAGTTAAATTAAAATTATTAGATAAATTGTGACATACAATGCTTTAATACATAACAATATGGTATTTGGTAGTCATTAAAAATATAATGTCCACATGGGCCATTTTGCTTTTCATAGAAAAGGCATTGCTTCCTTGACCAGAGTCAGTAGAATATGGTCAGTTGTCTGATAAGCAGTCATTGATCACACACACACACACACACACACACACACACACGCATACACATGCACACACACACAACACACACACACACAGGAAAACTCATGGAAAAAATAGACTTGGAACTCATTCCTCCTGATCCATCTATCAGCATCAGCACTGCACTCAGCATCTTCACCCAGCACAATTATTTAGCAATAGTATTAATTATAACAAAGTGCAGAACCTTGGCTGGAAGGAAAGAAAACTAATTTTAGGGAAACATAGCCTTTGAGGAGACATCAAAGAAATAAAGTATATTCTGTCTAGAGGAGACAATATTCAAGCTGATGATATAATGACTACTTTTCTAATAAATATGTGGTCTTTTGAAATATAAATAAACACTATGGATTTATATTAGGGTAGGAGTATTGGGGGTAAGTTATAAAGAAAGTGAGGTCTGCCCAAATTTGCAGTAGGTTGCCAAGGAAGGGCATTTCATTTTCTTGGAAGACAATAAGATTAGGATAAATTCTCTCCTTTCAGTGGGAATTTATTGTTGGGAATGGAGAAAGTAGATAGCTATGAACTAGATGACCTTCAAAGTCCCCCAAACTTTTTGATTGGACTCCACACCATGCCTCATATGAAGAAATCTATTCTGGCAGCATAGGATGCCCTAGACCTCAGCCTCATGGTGACTTAATTTGTCTGTTGATGGGAAAAGAAAAGCAGTCAGTAGCAGACATGGGATCATTGGCACTCTCCAAAGAAGACAAGGCTTTTTTTTTTTTTTTTTTTTTTTGGGTGGTTTTGACTTTGTTTATTTTATTATCATTACTCTTTCCATTTCTCCAAAGGTAGGCTTACTGTTTTAAGAATCTCATATTTAAAACAACTAATCTTTCAGGAACCAAACATTTAATCCTAGAAAAGTCAGCATCAACATGTTTTTTTTTCCAATTCTGATTAGAAAATTATTTGATCAACTGAGTATACTATGTATGGGTTTCATAGATAAGTCCTTAGAGACTGGGTCTTAAATGGCCTCACCATGTGGTTTCAAGGACACCACTCTCCAAAGAGTGAGTAGTTTTTCAAACAACGTCAAGGATAAATACAAAACATGTATTTTTTGAGAATACAGGCACACACATCCATATAAATAAATAACTACAAGCCAGCTTTTTACTTGCTAAGATTTAGTGCATTTTGATTTAAAAAAAGTAATGAATTTCAGTCTAAGAAAATTGCCTGGAATTATAAGTTCTTATCAATTTTTATAAGAGACGCAACCCCACAGGATTTAAACTCAGAAACTTTCTGCCAGCATTCTACATACTTCATGTCATGTACCCTGATTTAAGTTTTGTTTGTGCTGATATCTTACACAATTGCCTAAATATTGTCAACTAAGATTCCCCAAATTTCTTCTCCCAGTTCCTATTTGCATATAATTAGAAAGGAAAATCAGGGTAGAGTTTCCAACAGTTACATCTTAGCTTTTATATTCATTTTGTCAAATTTAAAAGAGAATTCCATGTTTGTATTGAAATGTATGTATGTATATGTGTGCATTTGAAAACCAAATGTATATAGTGTAGAGAGATATAATTCATTACAAGTAAACTTAATTTATGAAATAAAATTTATCATAAAATTTGTTTAAGAGCCAACTTATACATCTCCTCCCATGGGTAATGTTTCATCTCGAATTTAAGAGAGGAATCAATCTGCAAATGCTCATTGAGGGCCTGTGATACACAGTGCTGTGCTATGTGATATGAAAAGAATAATACATGTAAAACGATGAGTTAATCAATTCATTTAATTAATACGTTGGGAGCATCTTCTACATACCAGACACTTTGCTGCTCATTGGGTGTATAGCAACAACTAGGACTAGTTACAACCCACCAAGAAGTTTATAATTCAGTTATTTAGAAAACTCATGGAAATGCAGGGAACCGTATAAATAGTAATTACACAGTAAAAAGCTCAAGTAGTACTCAGGAGAATAGGGAATGTAGTTCTTCTTCAGCTCTAAAATTCTGGGGAGGCTTCACTAATCAGAGAAACGTAAGCAAGGCTTTAAAATGGGTTGATTTGTTCATGAGGCAAAAGAAGAACCATCTCTATAAGATAATTTCAAGTCATTAGGTATACACTAGTGAATGATCATGCCGTGGAGACTAGAGTCAGTCAAGGGGGGAACAAGCTCCAGCTTTGCCAGGATGGTAGCAGTGGGTATAGAGAGAAGAGCAATGAGGATTCTGATTTTAATATAGCTGTTTCTTCTTCCTCTTCTTCCTCCTTGATTCCTCCCCTTGCTATGGCTGGTAAGACTTCAAAGGGGTTATGGCGGTCAGGTAATAATGAATTCAAGTTGTGGGTGGGGGAAGAAGGTCCTGAGTAGAAGAAGAAGGGAATATGAGAAAATTACTGATTTTGTATCCTTGTCAAAGTAATGCTTTAGCCAGGGAATGCTATGTGTTCACTACTTCTTCTTTCCACATTCCTTTGCAGCTAGATTGGAACCATAAAATGGCATTCTAGTCAATCTACTGGGTAAAAGTTAGCAGAGTAAAATGTCCAAGGAAACTTCTAGCCCTCTCTGGTCTGCCTTAGCAACCTTGGAAGCCAAGTGTTCCTGATTAAATAAGATAGAGGAAGCGTTTTCCACCAGGAGAAATTGTCTATTGTTTAAGTCACTGAGTGTTGGGGGTTAATTTGTTTCCACAGTTTAAGGGCTTCCTTGACTAAGAGCAACATTGCTTCTATGGTGAATTTGTTTACAAACTTCAGACGATTTTCACAAAGCTTGATTATCGTGGTTGAGAATAGACATGCTTCATCATTTATGCTAATGCAGCATAAAAACTATGACCCTCAACTTCTATCTTCTAAGCTTTTACTTTATATTTGTTTTATTTATTGTTCTGTTTACTTCTAAATAAGCATATTAATTCATGACTACATTTCTCTGAGAAGTTTAGAACAGGGAATAACCTTCTAGTTTTTTTTTTTTTAAATAAGAGAGACAAGTAGCTTAATAGTAGTTTTTAATAGTCATTGACTGGTTTTAACAGTCTAATATTTTTGTTCAGGGAAAAAGTTTGAATTCTGCAATAAAATTAAGAAAATTTTAATTGAAATAATAAAACCATCTCAGTTTATTATTTGGAGTATGCCAAGAAAAGCCCAGGGAATAAATAGAGGCAGGTGTAGAGAACCAAAAAATAAGAAAAAAAATTTTTTAATCTACATAAAACAGAAATATTAAACAAATGATTAAAAAGTGCCTAAATACAGAAATGTGGGGAATTCTGGCAGAGTATCCTGTGAGACTTCTTATGTTGTCTCTCACTTGGAAGATGTTATGGTGAGACGAATCATGTGATTCAGGAAAAAAAAAATTGTGGAGCAGGAGCTTCTAAATTAAACATAATCATCTTGAGTTTTGTGCTGTGAAGAAACATTCATATTGGGATAGTACAAAGAGGCTGGACCTGCAATGAGGATGCCTGAATTCTTGACTGAACTCCACCATTAATTAAGCTAACAACATTCATTGAGTCCAATAATCACAAAGTATCAGACTATTTCACTTCTTTCATTGATTAGAAAAAACATAAAATTATTGCCTTATTGGTTTTATAGCACTATCTATAGTAATCCTTCATTCCCATCTCTCTACCAGCAGCAGACTACCTGTCTTTCAAGTACAAGTATCATCTCTCCCATGAATCCTTTTCTAATTCCCCTCCTTTTCCCAGGAGAAATGGACTTTTCTCTCTTTTCTATTCCTACACTCTACTGTTCAGACATTTATCACAGCAATACAAATTGGCATCTTATTTCTTTGTATATTTGTTTCCTATTTCATTCTGTGAGTTTCTTGAGGTCAGGGATCATATCTAGCTATTTTTGTATTACCAATGCCTAGTATAATCCATAGCACATAGAATATGTTCAGTAAATGTTTGTCAGGTGAAATCATGAATGAATGTGTTTATGAAGATATTAGGAGTGAACAGGTAGGTGTGAAAGACAGAGATTAATCTGTTAGTGGGAGCTGAATGGAGGAGAAACTTTCAGATACAGCTAAAATTGCCAAAGCCTTCGAGGACACCCTTCTCGGATGTGTTCTGGCTCTTTGAATCCATTCTGGTCATGCCTGAATTGAAGTCAGGGACTGGATCTGCCTGAAATTGTTTCTTACTCTACACAATTCTGCTTATAGCATTTAATTAGTTTCTTCATAATTTTAATAGTTATTTGACAAAGGAAATCTGACCACTATGAAGCAACACAGGGAACTTAGTTTAGGCAGATGAAGCCTCCAGATGTGATAATTAATAGAGAAGACAGGGTAGGCTAAAATTCTAATTCATTCCTCAAGGAGGGTTGTGTTCAGCTGGGACACATTCCTAGGTTAATTCATGACACAAACTGCAGGTCACTGATAGCTTTCCAAATTGAAATGAGGACTAAGTTTGCAGGGTTATCTTTTGGACACATGGGAGCCTGGTAAGATAAGGACAGGCTGTGAGGGAGGTTGAGAGTATTCTGAGCGGGGGATTTCTGAAGATGAAGCAGCAGAAGGCATCATGGTGTCTTTCATCATGGTATAGGACCAAACTTTGAAAATCCCATTGTTCTTAGCAAATTCAAAACCAAGAAGTAAAGTGTGAAATGGCAATATTCTCTTCTTACCATAAAAATAACCCATTTACCATACCTTATTATCCCTTTCTTAGATGCTTAAACTTTATTAAGAAAAATGCTCAAGCTATCTTAAGTTTTATTAAGAAAAATGCTCAAGATATCTTAAGTTGAAAAATGCTCAAGATGTCTTAAGTTGTATTGATGTCTCTTTACCTGAAATTGTGTGTATAAGACTATTTCTCCATTCTACTTCCATAGCTAGCTCAGTGGAACAGGCGTAAACATGCCTATGTAATTCCAATACCTCTAATTGTGATAAGAAACCTTATTTCATTAATTTTGTTTACATTTTAACCTTCATATTCATCACTTTACTTTTAAAAATGATACCCTATTGTCAAACTATTGCCTGACAAACTCTTTGCCAGAAAGTTGACCAGAAAATTTAACCTGAATTGAAGAACAGTCCAAGAAAATGAATATTAAAGTAAGTAGGAGACAAAATAACTAGGTAACCAATCTAAGCTTTAAAAACCAGTTGGGGCCAGGAGCAGTGGCTAGTGCCTGTGATTCCAGCTTTTTGGGAGGCCGAAGCAGATGGATCATCTGAGGTCAGGAGTTTGAGACCAGCCTGGGCAACATGGTGAAACCCTGTCTCTACTAAAAATATAAAAGTTAGCGCGGCATGGTGGCATGTGCCTGTAATCCCAGCTAGTTGGGGGGCTGAGGCAGGAGAATTGCCTGAATCCAGGAGGCGGAGGTTGCAGTCAGCCAAGATTGTGCCAATGCACTCCAGCCTGGGTGACAGAGCAAAGAGGAATGTCAATATGAAAGATATAGTGTCAGGGTAAAAGAGGAAGAATCATGTATATAACCCTGTCCCTTTCACTCTAAGTTGAGGTTCTATAGTTAATCTAAAACAGATGTGGGGAATTGATATGATTTAGCCTACTTCTTTGTGAGTATGGTTTTTCTAGAGAGTTAGAGTGGAACATGGAGTGGAGGGGAAGGAGAAATGGGAGAGGTATGGCTGAGGAATCAAGAGAGGCAGCAGAGCCAGTTGAGTTGAGGTATGTTAAACCTTTCCATTTCAGCCTAAGAACAAAGGAAAGCTTTGAGGGGCTTTTAAGAAATACACTGACCTGATTACATTTGAGTTTTTCAAACATTACCATGGCTGCCACTCAAAATGGATTAGGATAGGGAAGAGGCAAGGGTGAAAGCCAGAAAAACAGATTTTTATTTCAATTGCAGGAGCCCTTTACATTCCTCTGACTCGGAAATTAATGAGAACGTAGTGCAAAAAGAACATTTGATGTTAGAACATATTTGAAGAATACAATGAAGTTGTGGGAAGCACACCGAAATGAAGAAAAACATCTAGTGAATCAGTTTGAAAAAAAGCCCATTTGAAAACCAGGCTATAGAATATAACCCTCAATATCTTTTAGATTTGTGCTGTTTTCCCACTAATCCCGAATTTATCTTAAATATCTCTCATTCTACTTAATTTATAGTTTAAGAGACTATTTCTTGATATGTTTGTTCATTTTTCCTCCACATTCCAACTACACGGATGTCTATTGCTGTCATCATTAGTCTGAACATTGTTTAAGAGGTAGGCACCTTCAACAGCCATTGAGTATACATTTAAATAATATTAATCGTTCAAATCTTATCCATGCCGGACTTTACAATGGAGAAAGGAAGCTAAAGTGAGATTGGTCAACCTTGTAAAACATTATTTCCAACAATTTCTCTTGTCAAAACCAAAGTATCTTTGTTTATTTAATTTATTGGGTTTTATTCCAATGTATATGGTTCTATTTCTCAATATTATGTCTACTGTAACTAGTGTCCAAACTAATGCATAACTCCACAGGTTTATATATATCTATAAAAGTAAAATGAAAAAAGTCTGTAAACATGTAGCAAGGATTGCCAGACAAAATAACAGAACACTTAGTTAAATATGAATCTCAGATAAATAATGAATCATTTTTAGCATAAAAGTATTTTAAAAATGGGCCAGGCACGGTGGTTTACGCCTGTAATCCCAGGACTTTGGGAGGCGGAGGCAGGCAGATCACTTGAGGTCGGTAGTCCAAGATCAGCCTGGCCGACATGGTGAAACCCCATCTCTACTAAAAATACAAAAATTGGCCAGGTGTTGGTGGTGCATGCCTGTAATACCAACTACTCAGGAGGCTGAGGCACAAGAATTGCTTGAGCCCGGGAGGTGGAGGTTGCAGTGAGCAGAGATCGTGCCATTGCACTCCAGCCTGGGTGACAGAGGGAGATTCTGTCATTAAAAAATAATAATGATAATAAATGCATGAGACATATTAAACTTTCTTTATTGCTTATCTGAAATTCAAATCTAACTGGGTATCTTGAATTTTTATTTGCTAAATATGATAATCTTAACGTAACTGAAGTGTTTAACTGAGGTTTACTTTATAGTACAGGATTATATAATTTTTCGTAATGGACATCTCCTTGGAAATTGGTTAATTAAACATTTTAAATATATTTGAGCACCTAAAGTATATATCTCAGTTGAAAATATTTTTACATGTTTTAAGATCAATATGTAATATTTAGAAACTAGTTTAAATAATAGACCAGCATTAAAATGGTCTCTGTTCTCATTTATATTTTAGCCAAAGTTTTATTCTCAATATATACTAAATACAGGTGGATCTGATCATAACACACAACTTCCCTCAATTTTACCAGATACAGGTCCCAAGGAGACATCTCTCCTCCTATTCAATTTAAGCTCTATTTAGCATTATAGTGACATTATAAAGCTTTTGACTACTCCCTCCTTGGGGAATTTTCTTTTACGCTTTCTCATTGAGAGGATTCTCTCCCATTTCTTAAGAGAAATATTGAAACAGAAATTTGGTTCCAGAAAAAATATCCAATTCAGAAGCTATTTCTTATAGAAATATATACATAGATTAAGTTAGATAATTTTATGATGGAGCTGCTAACAGAGAAAGTAGTTATTTATCCCAGGCCTTGTTTTGATAATGTGATTTATTAGAACAATGTTGTATATGACTGGATAAATGGAAATCAAGACATAGTATGAGTAAACATTTTGAATGTTTTCTGTATGTCTTTTTAGCAACATTGACAGGCTTTCTTGAGTCTCAGTCAGACTGATGGGTAGGCTTCATACTAAGACAGAGCCTGCAGAGTGTAGAGAGGATAACAAGAGTTACAGAGCTGTTAATGTTTTTCTATCTGTCATTCTGATTCATTCACAGGACATTAGAAGGAAAGAAACCTTTAAAGCCATCAAGTTCAATTATTTCCTTTAAAAAATAACCAGTTTAAATACAGAGAAATACTTGATTTTTTTGAAATCATAACATAGGCAGGCAGAATCCAAACTTTCCAATCCCCAATCTACCACTTCCCCACTACTTCATGAATCTCATGGCCTCCTTCTAATCTGTAATGAAATATACACCAAGAGAAGAATGTCTACCTCTTGTCATATATAAGGCTTACTTGACAGTTGGCTTCCTGTGATTCCTTCATATGCTAAGGACCACTGCACCCAGAATACCAGGGGTGTTTGTAGGTGGGATAATAATTATTTTGGGTTGTGAGGATGAGTGTTGCTTCTATATTTTAATTTTCATAATACTTTATATAATAAAACTTGGAAGGCTTTAATCAGAAGTGTACCATGTTATAACATGATCTCTCAACATCCGTGCCTCAGGTAAGGATAAGGCATTTGATGAATCTGTAAGGTTACTGGAAGTTCACATCACAGCAGCACTATTAGTTATTGTTCTGAGAGTTACATTCCACCAATTGAATTCAAAGCTTGGTGAGGACATGGCTGCTGATTTTTCAGAGCTATGCCATTTTTCTCAATGCTGTAGTTTAGAGGATTCATTAGCAGGCATGTTGCAAGATCATCGTGTGGAGAGTTCATGATGAAGCTTTTCAATGGGAACTAGAGACTGAACCAAACTGACAATTTATAATGGCTCAAGAAAAGCCCAGGCCAGAGAGATTGCATCAGTACGTGTCATAGAAAAGAAAGCAACAACTCTAATATGAATTCTGCACAAAACACAGGCAGAGTGCTCCTGGCATCAAGGCCAATAGAACACTGTAAATGTGTGTCCTATAATATCTACAGATCCAGTTAGATGTATCAATTCTTAGTTAAATTTTGGAAGCTCCACTAACATATTCTAGTATACAGGTGTTGCAAAGGAATGAACCACTGAGACTACACTGTGAATCAGAATAAAGTTCAAGCTATACGAGGTGGTTTTCATAGCATCAGGTAATCTTGATTCTGTGGCTGTGTATTACACTCAGATGGCGGTGCCTAAGCAACCTGAGTATATTAATGTGTTTGATGGAGGCTTAGATCAATCAATCAATGAGGACTAAAAATTCAACAAATGTGAAGCATAGAGAAGCAGGTGCACATTTACAGAAGTTGTGGTTTACAGTATTTTCTTTTTTTTCTTTTATAAAAATGGTACATTCTACAACACTGTCACACTTTCTCTTAAGAATCTTTGCTACAATTGTTTGGGCCACCATGTATTCTTGAAGCTTACAATAATTACAGAGTTGTTTTTGGATATTGAATACTTATTGTGACTGTTTCTCAGAGAAGGTTCTAAGCATGAGAAAGTAAGCCAAAATTCTCATGGGCAGGAATAGAAACACTACTAAGAATTAGAGCCATTTAATGACAGGAACTTGTATTCAAAACCCTGTGATTATTTTATGAAAGATGAAGCTAGAGTGGGTCCAGGAAATTGGAATTAGACCTTAAATTGCAAAGGAGAAAAGGTAAATACGTCGAAATATTTGATCACATGAGATTTTCTCAAACTGATTATGTATTTGTATTGCAATATAAACCATCAGACCCTTTGTAAAGTGTTTTACAAGAAGTTGAAAATTTGGGGAGGCTATAGAATCACTGTAATTTCAAGGGAGTACTGTCTTGACAAATATGACCTGAGTTAGGGCTCCTTTGGTTGAATGGTAACTGAAACCTTGCTTGAACTGCCTGAAGCTAACAGGGAAATTTATTGGGAAGACACTGTGAACAGGTGTGTTCCTGGGCCTCTGGAGCAGACTCAGGGTCTGGAGGAGTCTGGCAATCCTGAGAAATTCTCTCTCCATCTGTCACATGTGCTTCCCCTGCTCATCTGCTTGCTTCTTCCTTCTCACTTGCTTTTCTCCACAGACATTTAGTAGAGAAGAACCTCCATTTCTAGCTGTATCTAGCTCTTCTCTCGATCCACAGGGCCAAGGAAGATGCTGTTACTTCAGCCCAGGACCAAAATGCACCCAAATTTGAAGTACTCCTAGGGGTCCTTAAGTGTCACAACTTTTTCTAAGATGCACATGTACAATATCTTTTACAATTCTCTTTTAAGAATAGAAGTACTACTTTAATTCTGTTCCCATCTACACACAGCCAGAAGAGTTTAATCAAGTGTCTCAGTCTGCGAGCGATATTTATGATAAGTTGTCTTGGTGTTATAACAGTCGGGATAGAAATAAGACAGTAATGTTAGGGAGGTGTACAATGCTGAAATGCTGAGGATTTTATTACTCTGTAGTTTTTGCAATTTATCAGTACAGAAGCTAGATTGGAGCTAACCTAGAATAGTTTTACAGAAATATAGAAGTGTTTTGTGGAAATACTCTATTCTTGCTTTACCATCTTTTGTATCAATAAACTGGGGAGGAGGAAGAGGGACGGACTGAGGAGCGTAAGTATTGACTTGAGGAAAGTTGACTTATTTAGGAACTTCAATACATTATCAAAATTTGATCTCCTTGGTCACTATTTTATTTTGAATGGATTTATATTCATGCTTTTCATACTAAATAATAAAATAAAACCTGACTTTCACAAGGCTTAATGTCCTTTCTTCATTTTAAGTGTGGTAGAATAATAAGGAAGGAGGAGAGTCATATTTACAGCTAAGACAAATTTGTATTTGAGTTATAGAGCCCTCCCTGATGTTATTAGACTAAATAAAAAACTTCCAATTTGCATAACTAGAAAAACAATCCAAAACAACACATAGTTGAGCAGAGTTTTACACCTAATTAATTCATGCAATAGGTGTCCCTATCCATGTAAATTACAATATAAGAAAATAAAGATACATGAGAATATGCATTTAATATTTTTGATAATTTATTATTTATCAAGTACCATAATGATTTATTTATGTGTTTTAATATTAATGGGGTTATTGCTACCATAAAGATATTCTGCTTGAATATAGCAAAATAAACCTATGGAATCATAGGCTTTTTCTTTTTTAATACAGAAGGTACTTGAGAAATCATGTAGAATAACTTTGCCATTTAATTGCTGGAGATAAGGCAGTTCAAGACTGTTAACTGACTTTCTCCAGGTTATACAGTCTTTGCTCTTAGGTTTCAGTTATTACTTTGCCAAGTAGGAAATATATTTATAAATTACTTTGCACACAAATGTACCACTCTGAGGATGAAACTGGGTCTTATTTACACTAATATAGCATTAAAAAAACATTTTTTGATGAAACACTTCCATGGAACTTACTGAGTGTCAGATACTGTCCTAAGCGATTTATACAGGTGAACTCATTTAGTCATTATAGAAAGCTTATGAGATAGGTATAATTATTATACCCATTTTGTTAATGGAGAAACTGAGACACAAAGTGGTTATGTGACTTGCTAAAGTCGCATTGCTAGTACAGAACTGAGCCAGGAACTGAAGTCAGGCATTCTAACTTCAGAAACCAGGCTCTTCAACACAATACCATGTTGCCTCCCTTAAAATTAAACGGTACTTCTTAACTATGATATGTGGTTGTCATACAATAATGCCACTCAGATACAACCATCTTTCCTAAAACTATCATAGGTTCATCAAGTTGGAAGACATTGAGGTGTCCTTAATTTTCTCTCATATGAAGGAATCCCTTATAAGACATTAAAGATAAATGTTTCATCTATCTCTGGTCTACTTTCTAAAAGTATTGTAAAAAATCAATAAAATTCTTTCTGGGCAGTGTTTAAACATCTGTATCTTAATATTGAAACTTGAATATCAGGTTATGATATTATAAATAATCAAAGGATGTGTTTCAAACCAAAGAACATTTTTATTTCTATACCTGGTATTGATTTAAACGTTGCTAATTAAATGATAGTTTTATTCTCTCAGTAATTTTCAAATTGCATTGTGTGCAAAGCAGTACAATTGTCTGATATTGGGTTTAAATATGAATGTTTGCTTTTAAATGATATTTCAAAATTGTTCATATTGCATTGACAATCTCAGTGATTAAAGTTTACATGAGCTGAGAACTTTGAACATTTCATATATATGTATGTAAAGTATGTATGAAATAGCCATTCCATTTAGACAATCCTCTTTTAAGTATCTAGCATGTGTCTGGCCCTATGTTGCATAATCATATAGATCCACTTTTAGCTACATAGTTTTAATACATACAAAGATATGCTAATAGAAGGTGGGCTTAGAAGCAAATACAATTTAGCACGAGTATAAAGTAGGACAATGTAAGAGAAGCCAGTTTACACAAATATTACACATTTTAATGCCAAATCAGGATTTCTAAGCTCTTTTGGAACAACAAACTTAAAGCTTAGAATCCTTCACATAAAACTACAGCTTGAAGGAGAATTTACAAAGCAGTTTTTTTTAGTTCTACTGATTTTAGGAGACAGTTCTTTGAGACCCAAAATTATTATGTGTACATAATTAACTGAAAGGAAACAGATATTGTATTTAGTTAACAATGCAAAATGTTTGTATTTAAGTTACTAGAAATTACAGAGTGTAGTAAATGACCAAAAGAAATGTATAGTTACACACAACAAGATAATGAATTCAATCTTGAATGGTGATTCATAATTCATTTTCTAATGTAGATTTCTCAAGACTGAACATTTAATTCTTGATGAAGTCTTTCTTACGGATCAAATAAATTTTATTCTTGGCTATAAATGTAGTTTAACTCAAATATCCAATTTTCATAAAGAGTCCCTATTATGAATAGCAATTGCCATTAAATGAATTATATTCTATAGGTATGATGATCTATTAGAATTTAAATTAACTGAATTTCAAGGGCCTCTGTTGAGTTCACACTATTGTAAGTGAAAGCCTGTCATCATTGTTTCAATTATACATTTCTCTTTTTTGTAATTTCTAACTAATTGATTTGAGATGCAATAAAGGCCAAATTTTAAAGACATATCTGAGTCCAACTTGGATATCCTTGCAGGCTGTCCAACAGTAGTGTTATTTTTGGTGAATGTAGGAATTATCTGGGATGTGTGTATCTGTGTGATTGTGTTTATGTTGTCATTGACAGTTGATCAATCTATAGTTTTATAGGTACTGTAACTTTCTATGTATTGCCTTTCTGAAATAATCTTTTGTTAAGTAAAACATCCTCCTTTATTCAAATCAGCATTCCACATACGCTGAAACATACATTCATTTTGCCTTCTGCTCCCATCCTTTCTATTAATTGAAAAAGGTTTAAACGAAGTTCTAGAATGTTCCATCATCCACAAACCCACCTAGCAACTGCCTTAAATACAGTACCACAAATGAAAATGTATCCTTGCCAAATGCTAATTTATTTCCTCTGGTGTGATTCTATTTTTACATCAGACTCAAGCAGATAGTCAAATTATCTCATTTCATAGGGAAGAAATTGTAATAGGTATCATTTAAAGGAAAAAAATTATTGAGGGGGATGAGAGGAAAAGGTAAAAGAAAAAAACTTTCAAGGAGATCAACAAGTAGCTTTCAGCTAGAAGTTCTGATATCCTATACACACCACATAGAGACAATAATAAACTGGTACAGGAATTGTATCTGACAGCATTTCAACATTAGAGAATATGTTAATGTTAATATCTCCACAGGAGTTAGTTTATTTCAAACCACAAATGAAATTTACACATTTCAGGGCTTGCTAATTCCAGTGCTTACAAGAGCTAAGTAGGTAACATAATGGAACAAGGATAAAGTTGGGAGTTGGGGAGCTAAGAAAGGCATGTGTTCCCTAAAAGGCAGCCCAGGTCTCCTTGTTGTCCCTGAGAGACACTAGCCTTGAGGATGGGGACCCAGCCATCCCAACATCCCAGCTGAACTATTTTTCATCTTACCTGTCGGGTGAATGCAGCTATACAACTCCCGCTGCATGAGAATAGCACAAGAACTGCCCAGTCAATCCACAAAGTCACTAAATTTTAGAGTATTTTGTTATGCAGCAATGCATAAATAATACTGGGATTCACATTTTTCATCTGGGCCATTTACATTCATCAAAATCTTATCATTGTTTGTTTTTAAAAGGGGGCTATAACATGGCAAAGATTGAGTTTTGCAACTATAAATGGTGGTGGATATAAAAGATGAATTGGAACCTGGGTGAAGGGACACTGAGAGACAAAAATAAGGCATCACTACATGGGTCCAAAGAAGAGATTAAGATTTTTATTTTTATATTTTATTTTAGGCAGGGTCTCGCTCTGTTGCTCAGGCTGGAATGCAGCTGTGTGATCATGGCTCACTGCATCCTTGACCTCCAGGGCCCAAGCAATCCTCCTACCTCAGCATACTGAGTAGCTGGGACTATAGGCAGGCACCACTATACCCGACTAATTTTGTTTGTTTTTTGAGAGATGGGGTCTCCCTGTGTTGCCCAGGCTTGTCTCGAACTTCCGAGCTCAAACAGTCCTTTCACCTCGGCCTCCCAAAGTGCTAAAATTACAGCATAAGCCACTGTACCAGGCCATATGACTATTTATGCGAGAGCAGGCATCGGCAAAATTTTTTCTGCAAATAGCGAATCAGTAAATATTTTAGGTTTTTCTGGTCATAAGGTCTCTGTTGCAAACAGTCAGCTCTGCCATTGTATCATGAAAACAGCCACAGAAAATATGTAAATGAGTGAGTACAGCTATTTTCCAATAAAACTTTATTTATAAAACAGTCATGGGGTTGTGTCTTTATTGGCACAAAAGCAGTGGGAATAAAAATAGAAGACAACATTTTGCAGTTAGACTCAATGTACTGTAGTCAGTGAAGAAAAGGAAACAATCAACAATGACTTATGCTGCATATGACCAAGCAGATGATACTGGTGGTTACTGAGGCAAGAAATACAGAGTCAAAGCAGGTTTTGGGTGGGTCTGGTTTGGGGAGCTTGAGTCTGAAGTGGACGACCTGGGAGAATGGCATACTCCTTCCTTGGATATGTAACTGTGGCCGACTAGATCTATGAGGCATATATTTGAGAGTCATTATCATGCAGGTAGAAATTAAAGCCAAGAATAGAAGGGATCAATTTACCTTTCTGAGTTTCTTTTGCTTATTACAGTATCTCTCATACAGGAAGCACTCAAAACACTATAACAAAAATCATAAAAGTCAGCCATAATTCTGGTTTCAGTTGTATTATCACTAAGGGAGAGTGATAAATGAGAAAATAAAAGCATTGAAAACAGGTCCCAGGAGGAAATTAATATTTAAGGGGTAAAGGCATAGAAGATAAATTAGCAGAAGAGACCAGAAGGGATTGACAAAGGAGAAAATCCCATTAAGAATGTTTCCCTGGCAGAGAGGGGCCAAAAGGGCCAACGAGAGACAGCTGCAGTCGGAGTCTCCCACCAAGAAGAAGGGAGAATGGAGAGTGAATCCTACACCAGCAACTGAGGTATCCAGGTTCTCTTGCTGGGATTGACTAAGTGGTTGGCGTGACCCACAGAGAGTGAGGAAAAGCAGGGTGGAGCGACAGCCCACCTGGGAGCCGGAACAAGGGGAGCTCCCACCCCCAGCCAAGGGAGGCGGTGAGTGACCATGCTACCCTGCCCGGGAAGCCATGCTTTTTCCATGGATTTGTGCAACCCGTGGAGCAGATCTCCTCATGAGCCCATGCCACTAGGACCTTGGGTTCCAAGCACAGAGCTGTGTAGATTCTCAGTGGCCGCCTGGCTGGAGACTGCACAAGACTACTGAGTTCTCAGGGAGTGGGGCGGCAGCCATCACTACAGCTCCAGTCTGGCAGTTCCCCCCCGCTGGTGCCGCGGAAACTGGGCAGTTTGGACCCAGGAAGAATTCCCCAGGGTGTACCACAGCAGCTGTGGCAGATTGTGGCCAGACTACCTCTTTAGTCTGGACCTGGATCCATCCCTTCTCACTGGGAAGGGCCTCCCTGCAAGAATTTCAGCAACTCCAGCCAGAGTTTTATGGACAGAACTCTGATCTCTCTGGGACGGAGTCCCTGTGGAAATGGGCTGCCGTGGTCTCCACGGATCAGCAGACTTAGTCTTTCCCCTGCTGGCTCTGAAAAATCCGGGCCGTCCAGATAAGTAGAAATCCCTGCAGCGCAGTGCACACCTTCCACCAATGAGCACCCAGCGCGTTTTGTTAAGTGGGTCCCTGATCTCGTGCCTCCTGACTGGGTGAGACCCCCAATCACCAGACACCTTGTACAGGAGTGTTCCCATCGGCATCAGGTCGGTACCTCTCTGGTACAAGCTCCCAGAGGAAGAATCAGGCAGCCATCTTTGCTGTTCTGCAGCCTCCACTGGTGACACCTCCAGGTGCAGGAGGGAACCAGGAAAATAGGATCTGGAGTCGGGGACCACCAGCAAACTGCAGCAGCCCGATGGAAGAGGGACCTGACTGTTAAAAGAAACAAACAAACAGAAAGCAACAACAACAGCATCAACAAAATGTTCCCACAAAAACCCCATCCAAAGGTCAGCAGCCTCAAAGATCGAAGCTAGATAAACTCAAGAAGACGAAAAGGAATCCACGAAAAAAATGCTGAAAACTCAAAAAGCCAGAGTGCCTCTTCTCCTCCAAATGATCACAACACCTCTCCAGCAATGGCACCGGATTGGGCTGAGGCTGAGATGGATAAATTTGCAGAAGTAGCCTTCAGAAGGTAGGTAATACCGAACTTCACTGAGCTAAAGGAGCATGCTCTAACCCAATGCAAAGAAGGTAAGAACCATGATAAAACATTACAGGAGCTGTTAACCAGAATAGCCAGTTTAGAAAGAAACATAAATGACCTGATGGACTTGAAAAACACAACACGAGAACTTCACAATGCAACCACAAGTATCAAGAGCTGAAAAGACCAAATGGAGGAAAGAATTTCAGAGCTTGAAGATTGTCTTGCTGAAATAAGACAAGCAGACAAGATTACAGAAAAAAGAATGAAAGGGAAAGAACAAAACCTGCAAGAACTATGGAGTTATGTAAAAAGACAGAGCCTACAGTTGACTGGGGTACCTGAACGAGATGGGGAGAATGAAACCAAGTTGGAAAACTTACTTCAGGATATCACCCAGGAGATCTTCCCCAATCTAGCAAGACAGGCCAACATTCAAATTCAGAAAATCCAGAGAACCCCAGTAAGAAACTCCATGAGAAGAGCAACTCCAAGACACATAATCATCAATTTCTCCAAGATTGAAATGAAGGAAAAAATGTTAAGGGCAGCCAGAGAGAAAGGCCAGGTCACGTACAAAGGAAAGTCTGTCAGAATAACAGTGGAGCTCTCAGCAGAAACCCTACAAGGCAGAAGAGATTAGGGGCCAATTTTAGACATTCTTAAAGAAAGGAATTTCCAATCGAGAAATTCATATCTGGCCAAACTAAGCTTCATAAGCAAAGGAGAAATTAAATACTTTTCAGACAAGCAAATGCTGAAGGAATTCATCACCACCAGGCCTACCTTGCAAGAACTCCTGAAGGAAGCACTAAATATGAAAAGGAAAGCATGTTACCAGCCACTATAAAAACACACTGAAGTACAAAGACCAATAACACTATGAAGCAACTACATCAACAAGTCTGCAAAATAACTAGCTAATGTCATGATGACAGGATCAAATTACACATGACAATATTAACCTTAAATGTAAATGGGCTAAATGCTCCAATTAAAAGACACAGAATGACAAGCTGCATAAAGAGTCAAGACCCATCAAAGTGCTGTGTCCAAGAGACCCAGCTCATGGGCAAAGACAAACAGAGGGTCAAAATAAAGGGATGGAGGAAAATGTATCAAGCAAATGGAAAGCAGAAAAAAGCACAAGCTGCAATCCTAGTTTCTGACAAAACAAACTTTAAACCAACAGAGATCAAAAAAGACAAAAAGGGCATTACCTAACAGTAAAGGGCTCAATTCAACAGGAAGAGCTAACTATCCTACATATATATTCACCCCATACAGGAGCACCGAGATTCATAAAATGAGTTCTTAGAGACCTATAAAGAGACTTAGACTCCCACACAATAATAGTGAGAGACTTTAACACCCCACTGTCAATATTAGACAGATTATTGAGACAAAATTAACAAAGATATTCAGGACTTGAACTCACCTCTCGATCAAGTGGACCTAATAGATATATACAGAACTCTTCACCCCAAAACAACAGAATATACATTGTTCTTGGTGCCGCATGACACTTACTCCAAAATTGTTCACATCATTGGAAGTAAAACACTCTTCAGCAAATGCAAAAAAAATAAATAAAAAAAAAGAAATAATAACAGTCTCTTAGACCACAGTGCAATCAAATTAAAACTCAGGATTAAGACACTTACTCAAAACCACACAACTACATGGAAATTGAACAACCTGCTCCTGAATGACTCCTGGGTAAATAACGAAATTAAGGCAGAAATCAAGTTGTTCTTTGAAACCAATGAGAACAAAGAGACAACATACCAGAATATCTGGGATGCAGCTAAAGCAGTGTTAAGAGGGAAATTTATGGCATTAATGCCCCCATCAAAATGCTAGAAAGATCTCAAGTAAACATCCTAACATTACAACTAAAAGAATTAGAGAACCAAGAGCAAACAAGCCGCAAAGCTAGAAGAAGACAAGAAATAACCAAGATCAGAACAGAACTAAAGGAGATAGAGACACAGAAAACCCTTAAAAAAAAATCAATGAATCCAGGAGCTGGTTTTGTAAAAAAAAAAATTAACAAAATAGACCACTAGCTAGACTAATAAAGAAGAAAATGGAGAAGAATCCGATAGACACAATCAGAAGTGATAACGAGAATATCACCACTGACCCCACATAAATATAAACAACCGTCAGAGAATACTATAAACACCTCTATGCACATCAACTAGAAAATCTAGAAGAAATGGATACATTTCTGGACAATGCGCCCTCCCACGACAGAACCAGGAAGAAGTTGAATCCCTGAATAGATCAATTACAAGTTCTGAAATTGAGGCAGTAAGAAATAGCCTACTAAACAAGAAAAGCCCAGGACTAGATACATTTTCAGATGAATTCTACCAGAGGTACATAGAGGAGTTGGTACCATTTCTTCTGAAACTATTCAAACCAACTGAAAAGAAGGGACTCCTCCCTAATTCATTTCATGGGTAAATAATGAAATTAAGACAGATATCATCTGCTTTAATTAAGGTATCATCCTAATACCAAAACCTTGCAGAGATACATCAAAAAAAAAAAAAAAACAAAAACACAAAACTTCAGGCTATTATCCCTGATGAACATCGATGCAAAAATCGTCCATAAAATACTGGCAAACCAAATCCAGCAGCACATCAAAAAGCTTCCCTGCTCGATCAAGTCAGCATCAAGGGATGCAAGGCTGGTTCAACATACACAAATCAATAAAAGTAATTCATCACGTAAACAGAACTCAAGACTAAAACCACGTAATTATCTCATTAGACCCAGAAAAGGCCTTTGATAAAATTCAATGTCCCTTCATGTTAAAAACTCGCAATAAACTAGGTATTGATGGAACATAACTCAAAATAATAAGATTTATAACAGGCAAAAGCTGGAAGCATTCCCCTTGAAAACCAGCAGAACACAAGGATGCCCTCTCTGACCACTCTTATTCAACATAGTATTAGAAGTTCCGGCCAGGGCAATCAGACAAGAGAAAGAAATAAAGGGTACTCAAATAGGAAGAGAGGAATTCAGCCTGTGTCTGTTTGCAGATGACATGATCCTATATCTAGAAAATCCCATCATCTCAGTCCAAGAGCTTCTTTAGCTGATTAGCAACTTCAGCAAAGTCTCAGGATACAAAATCAATGTGCAAAAGTCACAAGCATTCCAATACACCAACAATAGACAGGCAGAGAACCAAACCATAAATGAACTATTCACAATTGCTGCAAAGAGAATAAAATACCTAGGAATACAGCTAACAAAGGAAGCGAAGGACTTCTTCAAGAAGAACCACAAACCAGTGCTCAAGGAAATCAGATAGGAAAAAAAACATGGAAAAACACTCCATGCTCATGGATAGGACAAATCAATGTTGTGAAAATGGCCACACTGCTCAAAGTGATTTACAGATTCAATGCTATTTCCATTAAACTACCATTGACATCCTCACAGAATTGGACAAAAAAAGTACTTTAAAATTGATATGGAACCAAAAAAGAGCCTGTCTGCCCAAGAAATCCTAAGCCAAAAGAACAAAGCTGGAGGTATCACACTACCCAACTTCAAAATATACTACAAGTCTACAATAACCAAAACAGCATGGTACTGGTACAAAAACAGACATATAAGCCAATGGAACAGAACAGAGAACACAGAAATAAGACTGCACATCTACAACCATCTAATCTTTAACAAACCTGACAGAAACAAGCAATGGGGAAAGGATTCCCTATTTAATAAATGGTGCAGGGAGAACTGGCTAGCCACATGCAGAAAACTGAAACTAGACCACTTTCCTACTGACAAAGGTCTAATATTCAGAACCTACAAGGAATTTAAGCAAATTCATAAGAAAAAAAAACACCCTATTAAAATGTGGTCAAAGGACATGAACAGACAAATCTCAAAAGAAGACATACATGCAGCCAATAAACATGAAATAAAGCTCAACATCACTGATAATTAGAGAAATGCAAATCAAAACCACAATGAGATCCCATCTCGTGCCAGTCATAATGGCTATTGTTACAAAGTCAAGAAATAATAGATGCTGGTGAGTCTGTGGAGAAGTTGGAACACTTTTACACTGTTGGGAATGTAAATTAATTCAATCATTGTGGAAGACAGTGTGGCGGTTCCCCAAAGACCTGGAACCAGAAATACCATTTGACCCAGCAATCCCATTGCTGATTTATATGCCCAAAGGAATATAAATCATTCTGTTTTAAAGATACATGCATTCATATGTTCATTGTAGCACTATTCACGATAGCAAAGACATGGAATCAACGCAAATGCGCATCAATGATAGACTGGATTAAAAAATGTGGTACATATATACCATGGAATACTATGCAGACATAAAAAGGAATGAGATCATATCCTTTTCAGGGACATAAATGGAGCTAGAAGCCATTATCCTCAGCAAACAAACTAGGTACAGAAAACCAAACACTTGATTTTCTGCCATTTCTACATGTGACTAGCCAGCATGTTCTCACTTATAAGTGGGAGCTAAACAATGAGAACGACACATGGACATAGGGAGGGGAACAACACACATGGGGGCCTGTTGGGGGCAGGGGTGGTGGCAGTGGGAGAAAGAGCATTAGCATAAATAGCTAATGCATGCTGGGCTTAATACCTAGGTGATGGGCTAATAGATGCAGCAAACCACCATGGCACACATTTACATATGTAACAAACCTGCACATTCTGCACATGTACCCCAGAACTTATAAAATAAAATAATAAAATATTGTTTCCCTGGACTAAGGAGTGTATTTCATAAAAGAGGAGACAATTGGTGTCCAATTCTGTGGAAAGTTCAAATAGACTGACTTCTTAGACAAGCTCATTGTAGGCAACAATGTTATCTTGTATCACCTGAAGAAAATCAGTGTGAGAAGCAGGGTGGGGCTAGATTACAATACAAGCAGGTAAATGTAAAGCCTTATCTCATGGTGGCAATCAAATCCCATTTTTTGCCTGGCTGTTCCATGTTTGTTTGTTTGTTTAAGAGACAGGTCTGGTTATGTTGCCAGGCTGGACTCAAACAATTGAGTTCAAGGAATTCTCCCTCCTCAGCTTCCTAGGTACATCCTTTCAAGTTTACTTTACATACTGATTTCTCCACATTACCTCTTCTTTTAATCTACCAATATACCTCCATTACCTTCTACTAAAGTCTTTCATCTTGCCTATGCTATGGATGATTCAGGCTGAGAAAAATCTATCCCTGGTCTCAGGGAATGGTCCAGATACAAGTCTGTAACCCAACCAGATCCTTGCTGGAGATGTTTTTCTGAAACCAGTGGAGAGAGCTCTACTGCCCCTTTTACTTCCTCTACTCATAGTCAGGTTTCTGTCTCTTGAACTGATCTAGCTGTTATGTATACGTCTCCAGCAGGACAAACTCTAGGAGAAACATGTTAATGTGCCACATGATACAATTGAGGGTAAACATGGAAACCATTTAACCTTGGTACAGTTTTCTTCATTAAACACAAGAGCATTACTGGATGTTTTTCTTATTGCTTGATGTCATTTGAAGTTTTGCACTGCTGCCCTCAGCTCATTTGCTTTATTTCTAGATTTTTTTTTTTAACTGAGTGTTTCCTAGCTAGATTCATGACTATGGATAAGGTTCAAACTATTAGAGAGGCAAAGTTCCTGAGGGAAAGAGCCGGCTTCTCATTGTTCTTCATTATTTACATATTCTCCTGTATGTTTCTGAAGCACTTAACCCAATTTACATTTTAATGAGCTACCGTACTGTACTTACCAAATGCTTAGTGGGTCAATACTAGAGGTTCCATTTTAGGAATCTGGAACAAGTAATAATCAGAATGAAAATAACAAGAGCATCTGCAGAACTGGCATAACCAGAAAAAAACCTTCAAATTTCAATTAGGATTTCCCCCATACCCACTGTATTCTTGCATTGTTGTTTATTAGGTATGTTTCTCTAAATCAGACCACTATGCTTGCTTAAATATACGTATATTTAAAAGAAAATATACCACTTCCATAAATGGAAAACAATATCACTTGACAAAAAATAGACATTAAATTGAATACATCCATCTTTAAAAACAAGCTTTGTCCTGTACTCCCCAAAGATACTCCTGGACCTTCAGAAGAAAGCACTCCACTTTTTGAAAAACATTGCTTGTGGTAACTGGGGTAGCACAGCATTATAAAAGGAAATAAAGCTTTAGACCAGGAAACCAGCTTTAGACCATATATGTTCTAATATCAGTTTTACTCTTACTTGGATTCACTCTTCTCTTTCTATGCACAGAAAACTCTACTACCTCTTCATTACACATCACATTTTGGTAAGTTAGTTATTTAATATCAGGTTTTTGCTCTAGAGTCTAAGCTCTCTGAGGATAGGGTATACCTATGTTTCCCTCCCTAATCACCAGCATCTAGTACCTGCACATGGGAGGCATCTAGTGAATATTTATAGAAAGAATGGATGGATGAATAGGTAAATTAACATGTGAATAAGATAACCCATCTGAGCCTTCATTTCCTCCTTTAATTAAGAAGAAAGTAATACATGCTTTTACATAATAATACATAACCAAGAGTTATTATATTAGAGATTACATGTGTATGTCAAGTCCCTAGTATAGAATGTGGTTGAAATTGTAGCTATGAAGCATGGCACCCATTTCCAATAAGCAATCAGACTCAAAGGCTCTTATGGAAAAGACAACTTAGCTCCATTTCTAGGTTCCATCAGCCTTCAATACTCAGCATTTCTAAATATACAAACCATTTCATTTCCCTTACCTTTGCACAGTCTGTGACACCTCTTGGAATGTCCTCACCCCTCTTCTAGCTTTTAATTTTATATTTATATTGATACGGACAGGAGACAGGGAAATACTGGGTAGAGGATGGTGGTTCTCCAGCAAAGGCCCCACCCTCAAGCCTGGAATGGGAACAGGTCCTAAATGGGAACAGGCATTCCTGTTTTTGTGGCCAAATGTTGCCTTTTGGCCCACCACACCCCCCTATCCTATATCCATATAAACTTCAAATCCCAGGATCCATGGCAGATGAGCAGAAGAGAAGAGGAACAGAAAGTCAGCGTGGCAGAGAGGAGTGAAGAGAAGGAATGTCTGAACATCGAGAGGAGTGTGACTGTGGACAGTCCAATGGCTGTGGGATGGCCAAACTCCAGAGGAAGATCATCTTCCCACTCTATCCTCTTTCCAGCTCCCTGTCCATCTCACTGAGAGCCTTCTCCACCACTCACAAAACCCCTGCATTCACCATCCTTCAAGTCCATGTATAATCTGATTCTTCCTGGAAGATGGACAAGGTCAGGTACCAAGAAGGCACTGAGCTGGTTAACACTTAACTCATCTGTGGACAGCAGAGCTAAAGGAACACTGTAACAAGCCTACTGGGGCTTTGGGAGTTGCAGGCATCCACCTGTAGATGCTACCATTGGGCCAGAGTCCAAAAGTGCTTGTCCTGGCTCCTACACCTGCCCGTCTGCATGCTCCCCATCTCATAAGGGGTTTGAGCATGCAGCAACCAAACAGATGAGCAATACCCCTGTGGCACGTCACAATACCCTTGTGATGGGGGTCAAGGAACTCTGCTGTTTTAATATCATAAATGTTCTGAGTTAGTTTGTGTTCTCCCAAAATTCATATATTCAAGTTCTAACCCCAAGAACCTCAGAATATGACTATATTTGGAGATGGGGGCTTTGAAGAACCTCAGAATATGACTATATTTGGAGATAGGGGCTTTGAAGAGGTCATTAAAATTAAATGGGGTCACTAGGTTGTGCCCTAATTCAATATGACTGGTGTCTATAAAAGAGATTAGTAAACAGATACACAGAGGGAACACCATGTGAAGACAAAGCGAAGACAAAGCAAAGACTGCCACCTATATACCAAAGAGAAAGGCCTCAGAAGAAACCAACCCTGACAACACCTTAGTCTCTGATATCTAGCCCCCAGAAATCCTAGAAAATAAATTTCTATTGTTTAAGCCACCCAGACTATGGTGCTTTGTTATGGCTTCCCTACAAAACTCATGCACTGCAAGTCCCAGATCAAAACCTTCCTCTGGGAAGCCTGCCTCTAGGCAGGGAAGGTGTTCTACTGTCTTTTGGTCTTCGGTGCACTCTATTTCTGCCCACCCTGTAAGACTTGCTACCTTTCATTGCAATTATTTATTTGCACAGTGACAGTCAGGCCAAACTTAACAATAAAGCCTGAGAACAAATTCCCAGAGGAAGGAGGGTAAGCTATTTCAAGTTTGCTACTTCTGCATTATATCCTACATACTTCTATTGTATTAAAAAATGTCATGTTTTCATTGCCTTTTTTGGCGGGGGCGGGTGGGTGGGGGCATACAGAGTCTCACTCTGTCTTCCAGGCTGGAGTGCAATGGTGCGATCTTGGCTCACTGCAACCTCTGTCTCCCAGACTCAAGCGATTCTCTTGCCTCAGCCTCCTGAGTAGCTGGGATTACAGGCACGTGCCACCATGCCTGGCTAATTTTTGTATTTTTAGTACAGACGGGGTTTCACCATGTTGGTCAGGCTGGTCTCGAACTCCTGACCTCATGATCTGCCCACCTAGGCATCCCAAAGTGCTGGGATTACAGGCATGAGCCACTGCGCCCAGCCATCATTCTTTTGTTGAGCAGCATTAATAAACGAAGTGAAAAAACCTCAATGTATTTATTTTCAATGAATAAATAACAGACCTGTAGACTGCACACATTTTTATTTTTTTCTGATTTAGGCTTTGTGTTTTTTATACCCCTCAGCCTCTTCATTAGAATTTGAGCTCCTTGAGGGCTTTAGTGTCTAATTCATCTCTTTAGCCCACCACATAGCACAATCCCTGGAACCAAGTAGGTGCTCAAAGAATATTTGTTATCGAATCTATCAATAAATGAGCAAATGATGCTTTAATATCACATATTAACTGTGTATAAAAATAACACTTTATTTTTAAAAATGTATAAACTTCTTTATAATTAGGAAGAAAATTAGGTAAGTGGATTGAAGGAAGAATTTTATAAAATTCCATGCCACAGACAGGATCATTTTCACTTGACTTAGGCTATGGGCAAGGGGATGACTGTAGGGGTTTGAGGAGGGCCAGATATGTTGGATCAGAAGCATATGATGTACGGAATGTTAATATCTAGTCTAACAATGTGACAGGCTGGTATGAATTTCACATTTTGGGTGAAGAACAGACTTATCTGGTAAAATCAGTGGTTGTTGTAGACATATTAAAACAATAAATATTTTCCAATGGAAAGTACAGCTTATCTGTGCAGTGAAATAAAAAATAAATCCTTAACTTTGGAACTTTTGGCACTTAGTTCTCAACTGAGAATAATTGTGAAGTTTGTCAGTTCAGTCCTAATGAGTTATTTATTATTGTCACAGATTTACAAATTTGCCATATTCTGCTTAAAACTCTGTCTGAGAACATCTGGAGTGGTACAATTTCATATTTCTTCAAAATTATTACTTTCCAAATCTATTCATAATTGGACTCATAAAAGGTATCTGAATTAGATAAAAACTAATATATAATGGTATCATGTGCTGTGGTTAGTTCAGCCTTTGTTCCCAGAAAAGATTGACATCTTTTCATTTCAGAGAAGATGAATTTTGGTAGACTCTAATCTAATTTTGCAAAGACTAGTGCATATAGAAATATTTGGGATTTAAAGGGATTAAATTACAATTAGTGAGGTAAGGATTTCAAAGGTGAATCTAGTTCTTGAATTAAAATAATCCTTGAGAAGCAAAGATTTTATTCATAACTGCTGATTCCAGAGCAACTGAGAACAGAATAGTAAGATATTGCAAATACGGCTAGAAAAAGATAATCTAAGGTCAGATTCTCTAGAAGCAAATCATGAGATGGGAGTTCATGTGCGAATGTTTAATTGAGGAAGTTTTCCCTTAGGTGGCAGCCAGGGAGTGAAGGAGGCAAAGTAGGGAAGGGGAAAACGCCAAGCAAGGATGGAACTCAGGTGGAGTCTGCAGAGGGTGGGGCCAGCCTGATTCCGCAGGGGAACTCTGAAATGTAAGTTAAGCCTGGAGTTATCCTTATCCAAGGCAAGAATACTGGGGTGTGTTTATACCTGACAATGGCTAAGGGTGGGGATTGGGTGTTGGTAGTGTGAGAGTTGGAGAAAGGGCAATAAGGTACAACTAATTAACATCAACATACCATTGCATTCTTCTAGATTTTTTTCTGATGCTAACTCTGACCTTAAACCATCACTCAGAGTAGGTGGAAGCAAAGACTTACTCAATTTTGTGAACCTATCATCTAGTACATTATCTGGCAGAAAATAGGTAATCAAAAAACATATACATAAATGAATGCTATCAGCAAACATACAAATCCTTTCTTAACCCATCAAACTTTTTTTTTTTTTCACAAACAAAATGCTATTTATTCATTCAGTAAATACTCACTGAAGATCTCCTGTATCTCTTATATGCCAGGCACTGGAATATGTCTTGGAGGTTTAGCACTGAACCAGACCAACAGGGTGTCTGTCTCCACAAAACACTCTCTATATCCAGGGAGGCAGATATTAGGAAAATATGTTGATATAAACAATTAATGAAATCTAGCAGTGATTAAGTGCTAAAAAAGAAAAGTATAGGGTGGGAGGATATACTGAGCAAGGACCTAACCTCATCTGGAAGGGTAGGAGGCTTTTAGAAAATACTAATAGATTAACTCCCAATTTTCAAGGTTCCAAGTGTTTCAAGATCTCAGGCAGCTTCTACTACAGACAACTAGATAATAATGGCTAGAGTTTCCTTGAAGAAAGGAAAGAGACAACAAGGCACTTCATTTGAGGAAGAGTTGCGCTCCTCATCACAGTAAGCACCCAGTAGCATTTTTGATTTAGTGGGAGAGCTTGAGGGTCCCAGGGCATTGTGCAGTAATCCAGAGTGTTCACAAAGGGAAGAAGGTCATCAGGAGATAGATGGAGGTACTTCTAGTTCAAATTTAGTCTATTCTATGCTATTTCTAGTCTTCAGAGCTCCTTCCTGAAACGGAGGTTACAAAGTCACACAAAACAAATCCTTTGTGATTGCAGGACTGAACTTATAATGTTTGGGTGTCATGAAAAGTTTGCTATACCTAGATTTATGTAATCTGGTTTGCAAAAACATTGTGAGTCAGCACATCAATTCTATTTTTTCTAAATCTGGGAAGCCTGCACAATGTTCTACAGAGAAGCTTAACCTGTGGAATGACTAGGGAAAAATGCATAAAAACAACACACATGATGCCTGAAATGTGAAAGTAAATTAAATCGCAACTTTCTTTTTGTTCCTGTTATCCTATGATGCACTGTAAAAAATTACAAAACATCTAATACTTATCTAATGAGAGATGAATAGAACTTTAAACCAATGCAACCGGAGACATGACAGTGGAATAATTTGTGTTCATCATGAAGGTTTCCAGTCTCTGAATTCCTTTTCTCATTCAGGTTGAGGACAGTCCTACTGTGCCACTCTACCAAGCCCTGGTTTTACAGACTTGTACTCAGAAGTCTCCTATGGGTATCATTAACACATTCCCCTACCCTAAAAACAGTCGCCTATATCACTGTAAGTTAAAGTTCCTTAAAACACAGATAAGTGTTAGAGTAAGTCTGACCTGGAAGTCTTCTGCCTTCAAGATTGGCATTCTTTCCATTTTACCATTTTCCTTTTCTAAAAAGAAATCTTAGAAGTAATTTAATCCATTCTTCCCTATAAACAGAGTCTCTTCCACAATCCTGAAAGCAGTTGTCCTACTGTTTACTTAAGTACTTCTAGCTATGAGGATTTTAATACTAAAAAACCTTTACTGCAATGTTGAATACCTCTAAATGTGAGAAAGTCTGTTCTGAAATGAATTTCACCTCCTTGCAGCTCTCAGCTGCCCTCTAAGCTAGGTATAGCAATTTTGTCTCCTACTCTACAAGAAAAATCTTCAAATGTTTGAATAGACTTGTGTCTTCCCTCAATTTCCCTTTTGCTAGGGAAACATTCCTAGCTCCTCCAACTCTCAAATCTGTATCATTTTCATACATCCTCTGGACATATTTCAATACATCAAGTTTCTCTTAAAATGTGCTGTCCAAAGTAGAATGTAATAATCAAACACTGTAAAGAGCCATACACTGGTAAAACAATGTGAGAACATTTTTTCACGGTTGTATAACAATTTGGGGCCATATTATTGTCTATAATAATAGTTTTTTAGATGAACTTCTATAATTGTGCAATTTATATTTTGAACTTTAAGCAATTTACAAAAAGTTCTCTTTGTTAAATAATATTTTGTTGATTCTAATGTAGTGCCATAGATCATTTCAAATCTATATTACATCATCTACCTAAATTGTCCACTGCAATGATTTTTTTTAAAATTTTTAATCACTATGAGTACAGAGTAGGTGTATATATTTATGGGGTATATGGGACGACTGAAGCAATTTTGTGAGAGCTGCAAATTTAAAAATAATACCCTTAATCCCTCCTCTAACTGTGATGAAAATATGAAGCAGAATGTAGCAAATGCAGAAGCTTTGGTCAATCCAAAGCACATTTCATTCAGGTTGGCATTCAAACTAACTGCCATAAGTTTAAATCCATTCCCTCCATTGTTAATAGCACATCTGAGTCTCCATAGCACACAATTACCTAATCATATTCCATAATCTTATACATTAACATGGGACATGTTATATGGTTCTCTAAAATAAAATATACAATGTTTTAAAATATCAACCCATTTTTCATTTAGAGAGAAGATTTGACTTTTTCTTTATGAATTTGAATTGGTCTCTGATGTTTATTGAATTTTTCTAAAGCATTAAATATATCTGTTAATAATCATTTTAAGACTTGCCTGTTGACCAATACTGATTTTCTGAATCTTCACCCATTGCATATGTGACATTAGTCACACAGAGCAACGTTTTCCCATCTCTTGTCTTCTTAAGACCAATTTATTTGCCACAATTGTACAAAGATAATTGCAGTGATTCCAAGATTGTATTCAATACTATAAGTTATTAGAATATAATAAACATTCTCATAAAGCTATTCCTTCACACTGGAAACATATCTATGTTATAATTAATAATAATCATACTATTTAATGTTTATCAACTCCTAAAATGTGCTAATTGCTTCACGTGCATGGTTTCATTTAATCTACAGAATAACCCTGTGAAGCCATTTTCCTATTGCTATCTTGTTTTCAAATGAGTAATTTCAGCCTTATAAAAGTGAAGAACTTCAAGGGTACACATATAAAAATGGAATCGCAGGGAATTGTATCCAGATATTTCTGAAACCAAAGTTCTTAATCACTGCATTGCAACGGGTAGATTTCTAGAAAAGAATTTGCTTTATCAAAGGACATGTACATTAGACATTTTGACAGATACTAGAAATTGCTTTTTTTTGAAAGCATGGGGCAATTTATAAACACATGAATAATCTATGTTAGTGTCCTCAAAAACGCTGGCTACTATTAACATTTTGTTTCTGTTGGTAACTTTTTGTTTTGATTTGTATTTTCACTCACTTATGACTGAGCATACTTAAATATGTTTAGAAACTTTTGTTTTTATTTTTCATGAATTGTTGTTCTTATATTTTGCCCTATTATTTTCTTAAAGAAATTTGTGTTCTTATTGATTTGTGGAAACTCTTTGTATATTAATAATATTAAGACATTGTACACTAAATGCACTGCAAACATTTCTTTCCATTCTTAAATTTTTGTTTTATTATATTTAAAGTACCTTTCCTAATAAAATACTTGTTAAAAGTTTTTGGAAATCACATCTTTAAACTTTTATTTTGTAGCTTGGCTTCTTGCTTTAGAGAGTTTTCTTTTTTCCCAGCTTAAAGTTACAAAAATAATTCTCACATACTATTGCTAAGATTGTATCTTTAACCCAATCTTTGTAAAATTTCAATACAATTTTATATAGGCCATAGAACATAGTAGTAAGAGGTCATGTTCATAGTCCAGAGGCATCAGGTTTTAATTTTAATAATCTTGATCACCTTGGGAAAACTACTTAATGTCTCAGTGCCTTAGTATTTTGCATTTAAAATGAGGATAATGACAGTACCTACCCTATAGGGATTTTGTAAGGTTTAAATGAGTTAATACATGTAGTATACTTAAAAATTCCTGACTCATAGTAAGTATTCAAATCCTAGCTTCTAATTATTTTAAATTTATTTGGTATATATATATATATATGTATATGCACTGTTTTAGTAGAAGTTAGGAATCTGAGTATTTTTTCAAGAATGAGAAAGCAATTCTTACATCCTTGATTAAATTTTAAACAATTTCTTCACTGATTCACTTTAATTATATTCTGAGATTCCATTTGTATAGTGATCTGTTTCCAACGTTTGTAATTTTATGTCTCTAATCTTTACACCAATTTTTTATTTTAGTTTTGAACATATAAAGAAACTGAGGCTTGGAGAGCTTCTATCAAAAGATAAAGTTAGCAAGATTATTAATGATTTGAAGTTTACACCCACATCTCCCAAAAATGGCTACATTCTTAGAGGTGGTCTTGCTTCTTCAAAGGATATGTACGTTAAAGATGATGTTTCCACCATATAAAACTTCCTTTTATTATAAAATACTTATGAATGGATTGTATTTTTAGTTGTTATATCTTTTCTTCTTTGACACATTGTTTTTGTAATGTGATATTATATTATTCATTTTTTTGGACTGCCACCCCACTATTTTGAGGGACACAGAGGCAGGAATCATGTCTGATTCATGTTTGTATCCCCAGTGCCAAGCAGTGACCATTACGTAGTCAAAAATCAATACATGTTTATAGAAAATAATTTCATTTTAAAAATAATGCACAGTCATGTTGACCATTGTTCCAAATCCTACAATGTCTTGTGGCCTCTAATCAATTCCAAACCCTTGTCCTCTTTTATAGGTGCCTTCGAGAATAGCTCCATGTAAATCATCTCTCCCACTAAAATCCAAAATAGTCCTTCACTTCAGGCATCTGGTTGATCTCACCATCTCAGAATACCTATGTTAATTTCCATTTCTTCCCCATTAATTATAGCTTTTATCATCAAAAGTTTCTTCATGAAATTTTCCTTCAGTTCTTGGAGCACATTGATTTTTCTTTCTTCCTGAGCCAGCAGTTAGAATTGTTTAATTTTAGAGGTGCAAATGATCTTGGACTTGATCTAGGTTAAACCCTTCATTTAATAATGAGGAAATGGATGGCTAGCGAGGTTATGAAACTTTCCCTTAGAGTATTCTTAATGACTGTGGCTCACATTTTAGTTTTCAATTTTGTATTTCTCTTTAATTCTGTACCGATGGGATTAAAAGCTCCTGTGAAGATAGAACTTGCAGTAGATTCAGCAATTTACTGAATAAATATTAATTAAGTGCCAACTATGGGCCAAGCAATATTCTAGAATTTAGAGATGCAAAACTACTAGAGATATGAGTTCTGTTTTTATATAACTATAGTCTGTGGATGATGCAGATATTAACTAAAATAATTGCAAAATAACTATAGATTATTATATAATTACAATTGTGATAACTCTTATGAAGGAAACCAAATAATGTTATAGAAATAGACTCTAGACTATTTAGTCCCGGCTGGAAGAGAAAGAAATAATTTCTTAAAGAAGTAACATTTCAACTGATACCTGAAGAACGAATACAAATTCCACAGGAAAATGGGAGAAAATTTCTTCATGAACAATGAAATTTGTTTCAAAAAATTGAGCCTGAAAGTCATTTGGAATTTTACAGAAAAAGAGGAACCCAGGGTGGTTAGAGAAATGAAGTGAAGGGAAACAGAGGCAGGAAACTGATTAGGCAAGAAAATTATGTTAAACCATATTGTGCAAAGTTTGTCATTGAAATTCTATCACTGAAGATTGAAAATCTTATTCAAAGTACTATAGAAATCTTTGGGAACATTATTACAGGGGAGTTATGCCATTATTTTTACATTAAAAACACTTGATGTGAGTTTTATATGTATATATATATTTTTTTTTGAGATGGAATTTCGCTCTGTTGCCCATGCTGGACTGCAATGGCACAATCTCGTTTCACCGCAAACTCCACCTCTTGGGTTCAAGCGATTCTCCTGCCTCAGCCTCCCTAGTAGCTGGGATTACAGGCATGCGCCACCATGCCCCGTTAATTTTGTATTTTTAGTAGAGAAGGGGTTTCTCCATGTTGTTCAGGCTGGTCTCAAACTCCTGACCTCGGGTGATCCGCCCGCCTTGGCCTCCCAAAGTGCTGGCATTACAGGCATGAGCCACTGCACCTAGCCATATTTTTCTTTTTCTTAAAAGCATTAGGAAACATAAGCAAAATGGAAATGGGATACCATAACCTAGCCTTGGGGAAAGAAGCAGATAGCTTGGCTAAGCTGACAGCTGTAGAGACAGAGAGGTATATATGAATGCAAGAGGTTTGAGTAGATGGTATATATAGGACTTGATATTTATAGGGACAAGGGGATGTAATAGATATTTCCTAGTTTTCCAATATTACCACTGGATGAGAGAAGATGGTATCTGTGACCTTCAGACAACTGAGGAATAAGGATATTCAAAATTTCAGACTTAGGCCCATAAAGTTTGAGAGGTTTGTGAGAAATCCAAGTGAACACATTATGTATTAATAGAAGATTGGTGATACAGTTGAAGGAATATAAACCTGAGTATTATTGGCATCATAATCAATGTTTATCTATGAAAACAAACAAAATCAGTAGGAAAAGAATATCAGCTATAATCTTAATGAATATAGACATTTTGAGGTGAAGTAGAGGTAGAAATACCAACTAAAGAGTCTGTCAAATAGCCATAATATAAGGGAAAAACCAATATACGATACTGTCAGGAAAGAAAGAAACAAATAGTATATCTGACATAGAGTTGAAACAAAAAAAATGTATGTTTTAATGATGAATGAAACTATTCATCTATATTGAATGTTGCCAACAAGTCAATTAAGATGGGCTCGAAAAGCATTCATCGAATTTGACAATATGAAAATCAATGATGACCTAACAGGAGTGGTTTTGTCAATGCGGATAGAAGAAATGGGAGAGAAAGTATATCAAATTCAAGTTGGCTGAAGAATGAATGGGCTCCAACTTATAAAACTAACAAAAATTAGTATTCAGAACACTCAAAGAATATCTACATATTAAGAATAAAACAAACATTATTCAACAGAAAAGTAGAAAAATATCAATAGGTAATTAATTCATAAAACAGGAATCTTAATGCTAAAAACATATGAAAAGATGTCCAATTAATAGTTAGAAAAATGTGACAGTGATACAATGAAATACATTGGTAGGCAGCTTCTAAGATGGCTTTAGATGATACCCACTCCCTGGTATTCATGCTCCTATGAAACTCCAGCCCCTTGTATGTGGATGGACCTAGTAACTTGCTGCTAATGAATAAAATATAAAAAACAGTATTGAGACATCTTTTTCTGAGGTAAGGTTACCAAAAGGCTGTGACTATTCTCTTGCTCATGCTTTCTAACTCTCTTGCTTGCTTTGAATGAAACCAACTGCCATATTGTCAGCTGCCCTATAGAATGGTGCTTGTGGCAAAGAACTGAGGGAGGCCCCTTTCCAATAGCCAATGAGAATCTGAGACCCTCGGTATAACAGGCATTAGAGACTGAATCCTGGTAATAACACACGAGTAAGCCTGGGTGAATCTCCCCCAACAGAACCTTCAGACAAGAGCCTAGCCCCAGCTAACACCTTAATTGCAGTGTATGAAAGAACCTGAGGCAGACATATGTATTTAGGCCAAGCCTGGAATCGTAATCCACAGAAACTGTAAGATAAATGTTTCGTTTTAAGTCATTACATTTTGGGAAAATTTGTTATGCCGTAATAAATAACAAATCTAGGAACCATTTTATACTCTTCAAATAAACAAAAATCTAAAAGTCTGATTATAACGAGTATTATTTAAGTATATGGAAAATAAAAACATATCCATGTTCTGATGATAGGAGTTTAAATTGGTTTAACTTCTTTGAAAACCAATTTGACTATCTCTAGTAAAGGTGAAGATGCTGTACCCTCAGGCTACCAATCCCTCTTCTAAAGAAACACTTTTATGTGAGCAAAGAAATATAAATAAGCATGCACATTGAGGGTTGCTTATAAGAATGAAAAGCTGGACAAACTAAATATACATCAACATGTGAATGGATAAATAAATTTTGATATATTCATGTTTTAGAACACTAATGGTAACATAAGCAAAGTAGATCTGCATGTATTAACATAAAGCACAAAAGTATACTAATACTTTGATATAATTTATGTAGACATAATAAAAGATATAAATTATACTTTTATATAGATATGAGATATAAAAAATACTATATATTATTTATGAATAGATACAAATATTATAAACTATAAATATTAGGGTGGAAAGTTTATATATCTATCTTAAGATAATAGTCAACTCTGGAATGAAAGAATGAAATTAAATGAGATGGGCTTTAGCCATATGGGTAATAAAGTATTTCTTTGGGAGAAAAGAGCCTAAGAAAATTTCACAAAATATCAACATTAGTTAAACCTGGGGAGGGTGGGCATATAGCTATGTGTTATATTATTCTCTTTGCTTTTCAATATATTAAAGATATTTCATAATATTTTAAACTTTGCGAATTTCGAATCAAAATCAGGTAAAGACAGTGTTTGTAGCAAACACTTTCAAGAAGTTTGATGGTGAAAAACAGGAAAATATTACAGATAGCTGAAGAATTGTGAAGTCAAGAAAGAAGTCATTGCTTTATTTTTTATTACGTTTTAAATAGAAAAAACTAGAATATGTCTGGATGATAATGAGAATAATTTGTGCTAACATAGACAAAGAAAGTTGAGCAAATAAATGGGAAAAATAAGCGGGAAACTTCTTCCCAAAAAGAAGTCCTTGGGAACATAGGAAGAAATGGAATTCTTCCCAATGTGAGTTCTGAAATGAAATGTAAAATTACAGTCATTACCAGGGCATACATTTCTCCCACTATAATGCAACATGAAAAGATAAGATTGGTACAGATGCAGAAAAAATATTTTCAACTTAGGACTCTGTGACAAAATGAAAGTATGAGGCACATCCACAAAAATAGAGGGAACAGAAGGGACAGTTTGCAGTCTGAGGATGGGAGAGAAGCTATGAAATAATATTTGCAGAAAAGAGACTGAGAGCTCAATAAAGTTGCAAAATTTCTAGGAAGTGTTGCAGAGACATTTGAATCTATGGTGTTATCAATCTGCCTAATTATTTATGAAAGAAATGCTGGTAGCAGTAACTATTTTATTATTAAAAATATAATCTAGTAGTTTGAGAAGATTGGGATAGTATTTTTGCTTAATGTGCTTTTATTGAAGTATTTAAATGCTGAGCCTAACTGTAAGAAAATGGTGCGTTGCATTTTGCCACAAACTCAGTTATCTAAGACAAATAGAAACTTTCATAATCCTAAAAATATTATTGGCCCAGCTCAGTGGCTCATGCTTGTAATTCAGCACTTTGAGAGGCTGAGGTGGGTAGATTGCTTGAGCTCAGGAGTTCAAGACCAGCCTGTGCAACATAAGGAAACCCTGTCTCAACAAAAAATACAAAAAGTTATCCAGGTGTGGTGGCATTCGCCTATAGTCCCAGCTCCTTGGAGGCTGAGGTGGGAGGATTTTTTTGTGCCAAGGAGGTTGAGGCTGCTGTGAGCCATGATCGCACTACTGCACTCCAGCCTGGGTGACGGAGCAAGAGCTCGTCTCAAAAAATAGATATACTCTATTGATTAAATGTATTGTGAATTTTCTTGGTAAATAAAAAAAAAATTCAAGGTAAGTCTCAGAAAGTCTAAGTAATATGAGAACCTGGCTAACACAACAGCAACAAACCAATCCTAGAGTTTTCCAAATTATCTAGGATAAAAAAAGTCAATTTTCATAATTCATCATTTTATCATTCAATAATTTATTTTTTTCCTGTTACTTTATGTGTGTTTTATGATTAGAGTATTAAGATTTGTCACTAAATACATTCTGTTGATCTATGTGATATTTGGATTTCCTGAAGGTAAGATTTAGGAAATAAATCATCTAAGATAGCAAGGTGAAAAGTCAGAACAAAGTTAATTTTATTCTTAACTTGACTAAGGATATAAGATGCAGCCGAAAGAATACTTGATAGAGTCACTAAGCTCAAATTCTAGTCCTGGCACTATCTATCGTGGGCAAGTCCCTGAGTTCCTCTGGATATCCTTGTCACAAAAGTAGTGAATTCAGTTAAATTATCTCCCACGTCTTACTGTTTCTAAATTTCCTACTCTTCAGTTCAATAGAATTTGAGAAAGAAGAGTTCCAATAGACTTAGCTATTTCCAGTTTTCTACTGCACAAAGAGAAATATCCTCAATGCAGCCAGACTGTGTGGAGGATTAACATCTCTTTGATATCACTGTCTTTGTACTCTCAATTCTTGCTTTAACTATGTTGCTTTTTTTCAGGTTCAGAGACAGAAAGAATTTCGAAGCAAAAGTGAATAGAAGTAAAATAAGAGAAAAGTAAGGGGGGAACATATGTGTATGTTCAATTGGGTGTCTTGATAGCACTGGATGTCCCTTTGAGTTTAGGGATATAGAAAATGGAGATGGTCATAGACTAGAAAGCTAGAGATCGGATAGAGATGAAAAAGAAAATGCAATAGTATTTGCAATGCTTAGCCCAAATTTTTGTTAACTAGCATTACATATATGCACTATTTAATTTATTAGAACAATTTAAAAAATCAGAGGAGAGGATGTCAGGAAAATTATAAGTAGATGGCAAAAAAAAAAAAGGATTTTTAGGAGAGCACTAAGCAATTGGTTTTATAATTACCCCATTAATATGTAATACTAACAATTGGCCTGACAGTCAGGAATTAAATGAAGTATGAGAAAAAGAATATTCTATGAATACAGTAGTTCTATTTTGGTTCAGCTCTAATAATATTCCCTTTACAAAATATACCTCTGCTGAAAAAGTGGAAAACTTTCCCTCAACTTTCATATAACTAGGCTCCATTCCCATGTTGGAAAAAGACTGAATGATTAGGAAACTTTTCGAGTACATGTGTACTTTTAAAATGATAAATATAATTGAATACAACCTACTTAGGCATTTGGGGATAGAAGGGTTTTCTTACATAACTTAGTTGATTGGATAACATATTTAGTGGAATATGGAACAAAAGAACTGCTTATCTGTGTCTTAGCATAATGTTAGACTCTTTGAAATACAAAGAATATTGAGAGACTTTTTGTATCTAGAAATCTCTTCCTTGTTTAAGATTCATAATGTGAATAACAATAAACTTGACTTTACCATGCTCCTCTGTTATATTTTGCAAATAGATTCAGTGTTTGGTGCATAGCATCTACTTATAATTATTTCTAAATGTGGAGGGGAAGCTCTTGCTGGTCTTTGCATCCTGCATGTGTGATGTGAACATAAGCCCAGGAATGCTGGCAGGCTCTAGAAGCTGAAAAGGACGAGGTGAAATGTCTCTTCTGGAGCCTCCAGAAGGCACAGTTCCACTGATACTTTGAGTGTAAGCCCCAGCAACAGGAACCTAATACAGATTTTGGTACTGGAAGTGGGGTGCTGCTGTCACAAATACTAAACCTGTAGAAGCTGCTTTAGAATTTGGTAATGGGAAAAAGGTGAACAAATTTTGAAGAACAGGATTTTAAAAGCCTCCATTTCTTTGAACAGGCTGTTAGTAGAAATCTGAATGTTAAAGGCACTGCTTGAGAGGGCTTACAAGAAACTGAGGAGCATGGTACAGGAAACTTACATCATCTTACAGAAAACCTAAATTATCATAAACAGAATGTTGGTGAAAATATAGATTTTAAATATGCTGCTGCTGAGAGCTCAGAAGGAAATTAGGGACATGTTATTTAAAACTAGGGGATAATGGACCCTTGTTACACAGCGGCAGGAAACAGCTGAATTGTGCCCTATGGTTATAAGCGGTAACAAAACTTGTCAGCAGTGAACTTGGGTATTTAGCTGAGGAGATTTTCAAGCAAAGGGTTAAAGGTGGGCCTGGCTTCCTCTTGTTGCCTATTGTAAAATGCAAAAGGAAAGAAATAAATTTAGGGAAGAACTGTTTATTAACAAGGAACCAATACTTTATGATCTGTTAAATTATCAGCTTGTCTTGATTGTAAAAGATGCTAAAATTGGGAGATACATTGGCAGGAGGATGTGCTTTAGACTAGAAAGCCAAAGATGTGGTTCCACAACCTTTGCTAGCGGCTTAAAAGGATTAAAACTGCCCCAGAGTATTCAAGAACAGAGAAATGCAAATCAAAGCCACAATGACATACCATCTCATGCTAGTTAGAATGGCAATCATTAAAAAATCAGGAAACAACAGATGTTGGAGAAGATATGGAGAAATAGGAACACTTTTACATGGTTGGTGGTAGTGTAAATTAGTTCAACCATTGTGGAACTGATTGTGGAAGACAGTGTGGAAATTCCTCAAGGATCTAGTACCGGAAATACCATTTGACCCAGCAATCCCATTACTGGGTATATACCCAAAGGATTATAAATCATTCTACTATAAAGACACATGCACATGTATGTTTATTGCAGCACTGTTCACTATAGCAAAGACTTGGAACCAACCCAAATGCCTGTCAATTATAGAATGGATAAAGAAAATGTGGCACATATACACCGTGGAATACTATGCAGCCATAAAAAAGGATGAGTTCATGCCCATTGCAGGGACATGGATGAAGATGGAAACCATCATTCTCAGCAAACTAACACAGGAACAGAAAACCAAACACTGCATGTTCTCTCTCATAAGTGGAAGTTGAACAATGAGAACACATAGACACAGGGATGGGGAACATCACAAACCAGGGCCTGCCGGGGGGTGGGGGACTAGAGGAAGGATAGCATTAGGAGAAATATGTAATATAGATGATGGGTTGATGGGTGCAGCAAACCACCATGGCATGTGTATACCTATGTAACAAACCTGCACATTCTACACATGTATCCCAGAACTTAAAGTAAAAAAAAAGAAAAAAAAATTGAACAGCGAGAACTCTGTGAAGAGATTAGGCAAGTAGCTGATGAATTCCTTAGCCATCTCAGCAAAACTCAGGAAGAAAGATGGGATTATTTAGGAAAGCTCTTTGGAGGGGCCTCTTGACTAATGGAGCAAATCTTTGTGATATACATGGGAGATCCAAGAGATTCTTAAGCATGTTTTATCACCAGGAACACTGCCAGCTTGAATTGAAAGAGACAGAGATAGGACAGAATGAAAGAAGGCTGCCAGACTCCCAAAATTATACAGGGATGGAAAAGCCTAACACAACTGCTCAGGTACAAGCATACCTATCTTTCAAGAAAAAGGGGAGAATGACTCTCAGGGCAGAGCTGCACTCCCAGGTGAGGTAGGCGAGAGCCACGCAGGATTATTCCAAGGTCTTGAGGCTTAATGGAGTTTTATTTGTATTTCTACAAAGTAATATAGCTAAATTTGCTTGGGACCAATAACTCCTTTTTCTTTTTCCTTTTGTTTTCTTCCTCCTTTTCTTCTTTTTAAAATAGGAATATCTCTAACTTACATATCATTCCTGTCACACCATTCATTGTATTTTGAGTGCAGACAAATTGTTTTCTAGTTTCATCAGTCTACAGATGGAGCAAAATTTTGTCCCAGGATAGATCATGCAAGATTCTCAATTATACTTGAATTATATGATTTAGATGATTATATTTGGGACTTTTGATCTGACAAAATTTAGATGAGATTTTGGACTTTAAATTGATGATGTCGTAATTGGATTGAGATTTTTGCAAATGTTGGGATGGTTTTAATATATTTTGCATGTGGATAGATGTAAATCCTTGGAGGCCAGAGGGTGGACCATACTAAACTGAGTAATGCCCACCCTCAAATAAGTACACATCTTAATTTCTAGAGCCTGTGAATGTTACCTTAATGGTAAAGGAATTTTACAAATGAGATTAAGTTAAAGATTTTATTATAAGAAGATTATCCTGGATTATCTAGGTGAGCCCAGTGTAATCATAAACATTCTTACAACAGGGATGTAGAAAGGTCAGGCAAAGAGAAGCAATGTGATGACAGAAGGAGAGATTGAAGTGATGTGGCACAAGCCAAGGAATGCTGGCAGCCTCTAGAAACTGGAAAACACAAGGAATAGATTCTTTCCTGCAGCCTCCAGAAGAAATAAGTTAGCAGGCTGATTTCAGTCCCCAGAAATAGAAAACTAATACAATATCTTCTTTCTTGGTCCATAAATTCCTTAGAGATTATTTTCATATATAAAAAAAAATATGACATGTAGCAAGTTTCCAGTTGGAACAGCATTGTAAAACATTCAAGTACATACACTGCATTTATCCAAACAATTTCTCAGGTAACATCACATGTTTTCATATGGAAAACAAATGTAGAATAATTCAGTTATACCTAGAGGCAAGTAAAAATTACCAGCATATGTACTTTCAATGTTCATATTAAATTTTGACCCACTGAACTGTCATTTGAGGAATTTTTCATGTAATTATATATTTTCTTAATAATCTCTCATAGATGCAATGCTCTACATCCAATTTTCAGACCCTAAACTATGTTAACCACTACTTTAAAATAAAGGTTCATAAAGCTCAAAAACTCATTATAACTTACTTTCATTGATAGCATAAATATATGTCATGTGTCATGTTGTAATGGGCTTATTATATGAGATATAAAGGAAGTAATAATAAAATATAAATGTTTGGGTCAGTCTAATGTTAATAATTATGATTAGACATGTTGAAGACTACCCCTATGTCCCTGAGATTGCTGTGTGCTATATATACATACCTTAGCTAGTTCTAATAATGGTTTACAGTACATATATTATTATAATTGTTTTATAGGAAATTTTATTAATAGTCTAATGGTATTATAGATGACTATGGTAGTTGTCATCAATGGGCTACTATCATCAAAGCTCACAGTTGATCTACTATGCCATATTGTTTCCTTCTGAATCTGGAGGGAAAAGAACTTCTGCTTTACTCTCAGACAAATCATTCATATATTCCCAATCTTATGGTTTGAAGGTCTCCTTCAAAACTCATGTTGAAACTTCATCCCCAATGTGGCAGAGGTGAAGCCTTTCAGAGGTGATTGGATCATGAGGGCTCTGCCTTAATAAAAAGATTAATCCATCAGTAGATTAAAGGGTTAATGGGTTATCATGGGAGGGGAACTGGTGGCTTTATAGGAAGAGGAAGACAGACCTGAGCTGGCAGGTTAGCATGCTCAGCCCCCTAGCCATGTGATGCTCTAAACTGTCTTAAGACTCTTCAGAAAGTTTCCACCAGCAAGAAGGCTCTCACCTAATGTGGCCCCTGAACATGGGACTTCTCAGCCTTCATAACTGCAAGAAATAAATTATATCCTTTATAAATTATATACTTTCAGGTATTCTGTTAGAAGCAACAGAAAGACTAAGAAAGATAAGAAGTGTAATTCTAAAAGTATAAAAACTCAGACTCTACCTTTGATTAAATGCAATAATAACTCTAATTGTCCTAACGTTCATTTTGAGCAAATGGGTAAAAACACTCTACAAAACTCAGTCATAAACTTTTATGTTATTTTGTCATAATCAGAGATGCCACAGTTTGGACAATACAGTTCACCAAATTGAAAACAACCTAGATAACATTAATAGGTTATTTACTCTTAGTGAAAATCTGACTTTATAATCATTACCCAATTACATTTTATAACAAGTTTGTGAGACGAGTAAGCCAAATATTCTGACTTTAAAGATGAATGAATGGTTCCAAAATTTATAATAAATTAATTAGCTACATTATTATTGAATTTGCTACTTAGCCATGTTTTCATCTTATAGTTTGCACCAGAAAAAAATACTAAATTATTTTACACTTTAGCAATTTATTGATATTTCATAGCTGTTGGTTCTTGACCACATAGAGTCAGTTGAATAAAAGTTTTGTTTTGGTTTTTATTAAGATAGAGGAGTAAAGCATTAATGGGTTAATAGAAACTTCTCCTGTTCCATGTTTGCATTTCATCTCTTAAAATATAATTTCATTTTTACCCTTGTGATTATGATATAGATCAAGAAATTTCTTTTTCCACGTGAAGGCTTTTTAGCAGTTCTGCAGGCTAGAAGATAGTCTGAAATAATCAATTCTACCAATTAAACTTCCATAGTAAGTCCTCTGGTTGAGAACTGACCTGGCATATTTATAGTTTATGGTTCACAGAATTAAAGCATAGTTAGTAAATGATTCAGGAATTTGGACATTTTTAAATAGAGGGTCTGCTGGTTTGGGCAAGTTCTCTATAAAAACATTTGCTCAAATGTAATTTTGCAATTCCAATTTTTTAATCTTTATTTATTAATAAATTATGATTTTTGAAAAAAAAAAACTCTTAAAATGTTCTGCGTACATGTTAATGTAGGTTAGGCCATCCAAAAGATAAAGCCAAGCATCAACATTAAGTCATGGGCTAGGATTATACAAATTAGAACAAATACAAGCTATTCCAATTTTTTTCCCTGTCAATTTTCTTTCTGTCACACGTTTTAGTTCAAATTTGTACATATAAATATACACACACACACACACACCCCTATTCTCACATGTATATTACACAGACATAGGCTATGTTCTCTTCATGTGTTTACGTTAATAATAGCTAACCGCTATTGTGCACAAAATATATGCCAAACACTGGTCTAAGTACCCTATATGGACTTACACATGTGATCCTTACAACAACCCTAAAATCCATGTTCTATTACTATTTATTCATACTAATTATTAATATCACATATTTTTAAAAACCTGAGGTATAGATGTTAAGTAACTTTTGTGAAATCAAATAACAAGTAAATAGTGCTACAGAAATATGAAGTCAAGCAAGTTGGGGCCAGAAAGTGTCATTTAAATCTCATAATAATGATGAAAGTGAAAGCAAATACCTCATTTTATAACTAAAGAAACTGAGGCCCAGAGAGGTTATATGATTTACGGAAAGTCAAACAATTGGTAAGTAGTTGAGAATTTCAACCCATGCAATCTCGTTCCAGAAACAAGTCTTGTCCACTTCGATATACTGCCACTTTAAGATATCTGCCTTTCTAGCACAGTTAAAGTCATTACGTCTATGTATCAAAAACCGTTTCAATTGAGAAGTCATGGAAAGAAACAGGGCTATCAAATACCTCTCCTTTCTTTACCTAGGATGGATGGGTAATAATGAAACACTCATCAACTAAGTGATAGAGAAATTATTATTCTGCCACCTTTCTTATCCCAGTTCATATGCAGTTCAAGATCATATCTGGCTTTTGACTATTTCCAATTCCTTGTCCTTTAACTGTCAGTTTTCACAATAAAATGACAAAAATCAGAATCTACTGCAGATGCTATCAATTAAAGTGCTGTCTCTCCCTCTTTGCAACCTAACTTTTCCCTAAGGAATTTCCTGGCTGAATCACAGGTGTTGCAAATACTGACTTCTGTTATCATTTTTACCATCGTTTTCCCTTTGTCTTTGAAGTCATATTAGCATGTCTTGTACAAATAAAATTAATTTGTGTTAATCACTGTTCTGGGCATTTTGCATATATCATTACTATTCTTCATAAGAGGAATTAAGGAAAATGCAAAAAGATTGGTAATTTATCCAAGGTAGACTAGCTAATAAGAGGCAGATTCAGGATTCTAATTCAGGTCACTCTGCCTCAAAACACTATCCTGTGTCCACTAATGGCATGGCTACACAAAACACAAACAAACTCCATTCTGCATATGTAGATAAGGAGAAAAACAATCTATAATAAGGAGAAAAACAATCTATACACATCAATTATAAACACATACATGATTTATATCCTTTAGAGTGTAGCTATCACTTTGTAGCAAATATGTATTGCTATTGCTTTATTGTATATTGTATATATAAGGGAAATTGTTTAGAGAAACAAAACTCATAATAAACAGCTCAAGATCTTTAAAAGCCAAATTTAATCTGAGATAATAGATCATTTTCTTCTCTTTTATCAATGACTAATTAGTGATGGAAATTTTGTTTTTCTCATCATAACTTAGAAAACTTCCTTGATAAAGGTTGTTTAATTTAGTACACATTTAAATTTTAAGCCAGCAGGGTTTTCTGCCTCATAAATATCTATTTTAGGATAGAATAAACACCAGTCAGCTGACTTATTTTTAAACAAGCTATGAAAATTTATTATGAAAATATTATTTCCTCCAGTATAAAAAGACTGATTGAAATGTAAATTTTCTATAGGATTTCTGATAGCTGAATAAACATAAAATATGGAGATATTAAAAGCATTATCTACTCTTGTAAATACTTGGAAGACTTTAATTTTGAAAAGGTTACAAGTCTTTCACAAGGTAAACATAGTAATGCAAGAGAAAAACTCTTCCATTATTATTTAGCTATATTCCTTCCTACTTTATAAGTTTGATTTATGCTTTTACAAGAATTGCTGTATCAATGAATTTCAATACATAGCTTGAAGGCAAAAGTTTGACTTCCAACTGCTTTTTCAGTCATCTTCATCTTTCAAATATTTAGAACATAAATTAGGCTAAAATTATATTGAATTTTATTATGCTTTACAAGCATGCTGCTTCTTGGTATTCCAATTAATTATGTTCCTTTGAATTTTTAGTACATGCTGTGGTACAGGTGTCCCATATGTTCAAGTTAATTGTAATTTTACAAGGAAAAATACACCAAATCCAGAAAAGGGATTACATCTATAAATATATATATATATATATATATATATATATATATATATATATATAATTACAAATATAAATACATTAGTCATGGAGGACTCTTTCTTGCTTGAAATTAGTTTGTATTTCAGTTTTACAACCTGGTTCATATAGAAGATGATCAGTTACAGTTGGGGTCAACTGCAAATAAACTAAGAAATATAATGTTAGATAATAGTGGTATACATTTGGTAGCTGACATCAATAACTAGGGATTCTGCTCTTATCTTTGCTAATCCCATAATTATTTTTGAGCCTAAAACTGGCACTCTGATACCAAACTCTGGTATCAGAGTTTGTGTCAAATTGTGATATAAAATATTAATTTCTAGAGGCAAGTTTTAGCCATCAATTAAGAATAAATACACCCTTCCTGGCAGTTTGATTCTGAGCTAATTTGCATTCAGCTGCAGTCCATCATATAAAAAGGAATGGTGTATGCTTTATTTCCTCCTCTTTCAGGGAGTCTCCCCTCTATTACAGTGAGTTTTTTAATGAGGTACAGCATCAGGACCACATGAGACATACGGGGGACGAAAGATACATTCTAAGAGCAAATGTAATTTAATTTAATTTCTTCGGGGGAAGCCAACAATTTATTGATGTTCTGGCATTTCTAAGAATGGAGTACTAGACAGACTTGAAGAAATGACTTCCTAAATAAAAGACAGGAAAACGAATGGGTCAAGAAAGAGAGTGAGTTAGTAATTACTGTAAGGACTTTGTTACTGTTGACTTTACCTAATAGATGGCCTGAGCAGGTTTTCATTAACCTGGTCCATTTATATTCCTATTAGATGTCAGCTGAAAAATACTAAGCAGCTAGGAATGACTCCTCTATTTTGACAAAGAAATGTATTTCTATAATGAATATTCAGTACAGGAGCATAAGGGAACTTGAAATATTATTTTCTAGTGTTCTTCTGATTTAGACCCAGAATTTATGGTGCTGTACTGTAGGCTGAACTGTCCCAGTGACCAGATGGAAACAGAATTTTTCTTCTGAGTAAGAAGAAAAGGAAAAAAAAAAAGTTGGCCAGGTAATCAGCCAACACACACACACACACACACGTTGCAAGGCATTTTGTCAGATACCTTAAGGTCTGCCATAGAATAACAGGCATGATCCCAGCCCTGAAGGATCCCATACTTTCAGTATGTCAAAGCAAATGCGGGGGTCAATTAATTTCTATACTGCATGATAATAACTCCAGGAGCTGCATCTAGACTTCTTTGCAGTATTTGCCATTATTAATTTTTCTATTCTTTGGAACACCTGTATGTATGATTTCAGTTGCTTCCAATTTTTGTTTATTTGTTTCTAGGCAACCTGGGCAAACTACTCAATTCATATGGCTTCTATTTCCTCCCCAAACTCCATCTTCAACCTAAACGTCTTCTGCACTCCACAATCCTTTATCCATCTGCCCCTGTACCTCTCCATGTGAACATCATATAGACAACTTGAATTCAGTATTTCTAACATGAAACTTATATTTTTTTGCATAAGTCTGTCACTTGTCTTATAGTTGATATCTCAGCAAACATCATGAATATCCTTTCTTTTTTCCAAATGACAATATAGTCATTATGCCTGACTCCTCATCCCTTCCTTCAGAAATCCTGTCAACCAGCACATTGTCTGAATTCTATAACTCCTCTGGCAGATTTTGGTTCAAGTCATCTTTCCTTGTTTAGATTAATGGAAATACAATTCAACTACTCCCTCCATTGATTTTTCTACAGAGTAACTAAGAGTAACTTTTCTAAAACTGACATTTGATAAATTCACTCCTCTACATAAAATCATTCAATGATTTCAATCCTCTCAGGATAGAATAAGTATCTATATGAAGAACTGCATGATGTTCTATGATCTGGGCCCTTTTCCATCTCTTACTTATCTATAAGTTTTACTCTAAAATTCAAGTACGCTAAACTACTGTGAATTCCCTATGTTTTTGCTCTCCACAAGGACTTTGAATCAACTGTTTCCTCATCCTGTAACTCCTTTTGTCCTATTCTTTGTTCCACTTAACCAATTCCTACTCATCTTTTCAGCATGAGTTTGTCATTGTTTCCCAGGAGAAGCTTTTTCTGGCATTCAGCTTCATCCAGGGACTGGCTTACCTTTTTAGCCTAAGGGCTTCCATTGCCCCTGTTCTTAACCTACCGCAGTAGTTTTCAGAGTACTCAGGACCCATTAGAGTCATGAGTCCCTCCAAGAAGGGTATATGTTCTGAGAAACGTGTGCTTAGGTCATTTTGCCATTGTGCAAACGTCATAGAATGTACTTACCAAACATAGATGGTGCAGCCTACTACACACCTAGGCTATATGGTGCAGCCTGATGCTCCTAAGCCACAAACCTGTACATTATGTTACTGTACTTAACACTCTCAGCAACTGTAATACAATGGAAAGTATTTGTGTATCTAACCATAGAAAAATACAGTAAAAATATGATATTATAATCTTATGAAACCACAGTCATATATGCAGTCTGTCATTATGCAGCACATGGCTGTACATAATTTGTGAGGCTCAGTGCCAAGGGAAAATGAGAGATCCATTGTTCAAAAATTATCAAGAATTTCAAGAGGGTGCTAGAAGAGCACTTAACCAAGTAAAGAGCTCTTCTAAGTACAGGGAACTTTGCCACTATGCAGGTCACGCATTTACCAGACTAAGCATGCATCTTGCTGCTTTTTCTGTCTTTATTGCTCACTAAATTGTAAGCTTCTTGAAAGTAGAGTCTTTTTGTCCTATGCCCCCATTACTTTTTCAGCAATTAGCATTTTTTTCTTGCCCGTAATTATTACTCAGAAAATATCTGTGAGTTCAATTCTCCATTCTGAGAAAAATAAATCACAAAGTGGGCATCAGTTATCTGGCAACAACCGCAAAATGAGAGGATTTGTCAACATGCTGTAATTGGGCATCTCCGGGAGTAAGATTAAATTGTAGCTTATTTTAATCTATAACCATTCCCAAATTTATTAAAGATATTAGTTAATGTTATGCATTATAAAATCTAAAAATATTTTAGTAAGAATTATTAAAACATAAATATATAATGTATTTATCAACTATAGATTTACATGAATTTGAATAATAATAGTAATTCAAATTCTTCCCAGTATTTCAGTGGAATGTAGATACTGCTGTGTTGGTTACTGAGATGCAATGGCCTCCAGTAGCACAGTGCTTTGTGCACACTGTGTGCAAATTTTCAAGGAGTACTAGATTTAGCCTTATACAGACAGATCATTTGTTTATTTCTTATTTAGTCCTTCCCTATTTTGTTTTTTACTTAAATAACTCATGTCTAAGGGATTCTTATCAATGCCCCTTCTCAGTCCCCTTGGGGTTTTAGATTCACTCTGCTTTTCCCACATTCTCTTGAATTTGCTGCCCCAAATACCTATCCAAACTCTGTAGATGGATAAAGCCTTCTAGAGTACAGAAGACATTCAGGTTGTAGATGGAGTCTGGGGAGGAAATAGAAGCCACATGAATTGAGAAGTTTGTCTAGGTTGCCTAAAAACACAAACAAAGTGGACTAGGAATTGGAGTGCAAATACCTGTCCAAACTCTGCAGTTTGACAAAAAGAGGGGAACTTTGAGAATGTTGAGTGTAGCACAAGATCGCGGAATGTAAATTCCTAAGCTAAGTGGTCCACGGTCTGCCATTTCTCTCCCTTTCTCCTCCCTCCTCCTCTCCCTCTACCTCTACCTCTCTAAGCCTTGGTTTCTTCACCCACAAAATGACATATTGGGATTCTACAACTTTGATGTTCTTTCCAGCTTTACCACTGCATCATGTGCCTTTCAGAATAGAAAAGGCTGGGCCTTGGGAGAGAAGCAGAAGTCAGATAAATGAAAGTGAAAAGGGAGGGAGGGCACTGAGGAAGACCTGGCCTAAGAGAGTCCTCGGCACATAGGTGACTGTGAGTGAGCCTGCCCTAGTGACCCAGCCTTAGTGCCACAAACATGGCCTGAGTGCATAATGTGCCAAGCTCTGTTCTGAGAACTTCTTGTGTACCAATAATTTACTCATCCCAACAATCACTCTTATTTTATCGATAGGGAAATTAAATCCCATGGCTAGTTAGTGATTGATTCAGTATTTTAAAATCATTCAGTTTGACCTTATTCCTGTGTCCCCATGATTAGGAAATCTCTAAAATCACATTTGGAAGAATTTGGGCTCATGATCATTCGATTGTTTCAAAAAAAAAAAAAGCACAATTTTCTCTTTTAGACATCACTTGGGAACAAATGGTGCTCTTTAGAAAGCACAATGAACATAAAGATATAATTCTTACAAAAATTAACAGGAAAGGAGCTACCAAATGGCAATGGATGAGAAAGGCATCTTGTTGCTTATTTTCTAGACCTCTTATTCCAGCAGATGATTACATTCCATTTCTGTCTTTTATTTCTCTTGCTGCATGATTTTTCACAGGCTTTGTTCTACACACTCATCATCTTTGGTATTCCTTTAGATAGTTTTTTCTTTTTTAATTCCCTATGTCTCTTTTCAGCAGATTGAATAAGCAAGGTAACATTCCTCTAAGTTCTCCATTCAATAATACTTTAAAAATGATGCTGGATTATTTCATGCCAGCATTGCCACATTGTGGAATGATTGTTCACATTGAACTTTTTAATTTGCACCATGCAGACTATCCCTCTCTTTCATGCCATTTATTTTTTCCCATACTTATCTTTATTAACTATAATTGTCTACAGCTGCTGTATTTACCGTTTTTCCTGCCTCAGATTTAAATTCAATCCTGTCACTTGAGGAGGTGCATAATATATACAAGGCAATTTGACATATTCTGATGCCTCCTGGGGCAAATTTACTGCATTTATATAAAAACATGAAAAGATAAGTTTTATTCTGTCCTCTTGTAAACTTCCTGGTAACCTAACATGGAAATATGCCTGACCTACTTTAAAAGGGTCATTGCAAAATTGCCTAATAGTGATAATAATGTCATAAGGTGCTGTAACAAGTTCTTCATGGAGACTAAATTACTTGATCTTCACAATAAATTTATAAAGCAAGTATTGTTATCCCCACTTTGAAGATGAGGAAGGCTTAGAAGTTATGTAACTTGGCATTTTCATGCTCTTGATATGTGATAAAGCTGATTTGAACCTGGTTTTCCTGACTTCATCCCAATGTTGCTATAAATAAAAGCAGCATAGCCTAAACAATGACTATGTCCTTAATTATCCTCACCACAAAAACACATATATCCCCTTAATAATTTAATGCCACTGTATTGTTAAAAAAAACCCAAAAACCAGATGAGGTCCTAAATAACATCGTATTCAAAAGCCCAGGGCCAAGTTTGGCTGAAAACATTGTAAAAATAGTTGATTCAATGTTACTGTCAAATTCTACCAGAAAACTAGCTGTGGCCTATATATTCTTTTACTTATTTTGTACTATAAGCACAATATCTTCCATTTTATGGATGAAAATTCTGTTTATGGATTGAAATAACAAATAAGATAGAATGAATTTAGTTCTCCTTGAACTACCTGTATTTCTACCTTGTGAAAAAAAATCTTGTATATCAAAACCTTGCTTTATACAAATCTATAATTCACAAATACCCTTTAATGTAATCTGTTTTCCTTAATCAGATAACTCAACTCATGGTTTACTTGCAAGAGTGTTCTAGATACAACTTCACTAATTTATTCTTCCTCTATCATTTTGCATTTTTAGCAGACTCAGTACCACCACAAGAAAAGATAAATTGCTACTAAAAGTAGGCTTAGAGTAGGAAGTACTACACTGTTGAAATAAATCTAAAATCAAACATAGGGTGCTTATTTTGACATTTAAAATACAAATATAAATGACCAATAAAATACTCATGTAACAGAATCACATGAAATCATCAAATAATCATGCTGAAAAGCAGAAATTATATGTTACTTTTAATATTGAATAAAATAAATAAATAATTCTGCAACCATATACAAAATATACCTTGTGATTTTGCTTTAAACTTATATTTACATTGCCTTTGATTAATAATTTAATCTCCACATTATTAATTCTGGTTTACCGTTCTGGACAATTTAAATTATTAACAGGGGTGCAACTGAAGACTTAGAACAACTCTGAATACCAGATGCTTCTCCAAAATATACAGCTATAAGCAGTCATGCTACAACATTCTATTTTGAAATTTTAGGAGTAAGAAAATTAAGATATAATACATCAATTTTCCCACATAATTTCTCAGCAGACAATGGGGAAGAACCACTATAGTGATTAAATAGATGGAGAGATTCAATTTTGAGGGAAGATTAAGAAACTAAATATGTAGAAGTTGGCTTGGTGACCACTAACTGAGAGGGGATATGAGTGACTGTTTTTATATTTGAATGACACCTTCAAAGACGGACATTAATAGTTTGCCACCTGGCAATGAGCAATAGTCAAAAGAAATGGGCGATGTTAAAAGAAACATACAGAAAAATCTATAATAATAATACGGTAATGTAATAATAATCTTTTGTGTATCATAGAACTGTCCTTATAAAAAATAAGATAGGTCAGTTTTCTTAATTTTAAGGGCAGTCATTTTTATAAATAAGCATATCACGTTCTTTTTTTATTTTTGCTAGCCAGACATGTTTAAACATAACACATATCATTTTACCATTTTTAAGTCATATTAAAATATATTTTACATGGCATTCTTTCAAAATTAGAAATTTGTAGTTGATAAAACAGCCGTTTCTTCTCTACATTATTTTAGTAATTAAAAAATAAACAGTAATCAGCATAAAATTTGTCACCCCATGCATTTTAACTTAAAAATGAATGTGTACTAGCTGGACTATTAGCTAATGGTTTATAAAATAAGGATCATAAAACATAGTAAGTCACCGAATCAGTACAGCATTCCCATCTCATAGGTAGAGGGTTGCTGTTAGGCTCAATCTCATTTACTCTCCTTGTTAATGTCCTGAAAGAGGCAGTAAATATGACATTTGTTACTTTCATATTACATTGAAACGTGCATCGGGAATACAATTTATTTCAGAAGCAAATATTAGACTACCTGAAGAAGCACTGGAAAGTAAATATAGATAGTTAAATGTAAAGATAACAATCAATTAGGATGTTTTCCAGAAAAGATGGTAGCGAAATGGGTAATGTCATATGGAACTTGTATACCAGGATAGATCCCATAAGCCTCTTTGGTAATGCTGCATGTAGTGCTACTCAGCCACCTGAACATCAAACATGCTTGAAACGAATTAAGAGTCATCAATAGACTACAGAACTACAGATTTTCTTCTATAAGAAACAATTGGCTCCATTTCTGTGAAAGTGGCTACAAATAGCATTCAAAACTAGAAGAAGACTAGGTGGTAAAACCCACAGTACATCAGCAGGAGGAAGGTACAGCACTCAGCACTGTTGTACACTTTAATATGATGATTACTATCATGATGCTAATGCTAGCTTTAGCTTACGGTGCTTCTACCCTCATTATGTTTAGCACCAACATTCTCTGTTTCTGAGCTGTACAGTATTAAATACGGTGAGGAGGTAGCAGAGTAGGAGCTAGAGGTGCTAAAAGTCATCTCTTGGAAGGACAGTTGCTGCTTTTTCAGAGAAAAGCTTAAAGGTCAGTGACTGCATGAAAGCATTCTTACTTTGTGCTTACATTCCCAAGCACATTTAAACTTTTTTTGGCGGTGGAGGGTGGCGAGGTAGGGGGCACTTAAAAGTCACTCAGTGATTGCTTCTGTGGAGTATAGAACCTCTAGGTGCTGGAAAAACAGTTGTGAGCAAGGCAAAAGAAAATCCTGCTCTCGCACATCTTCCTACCGAGTAGAAAGTTTAGACAATTATACAGAGGATAACAATAAAGAATGGTGAGTGCTGTACAGGATGCTCAGAAAACCAACAGCAGGTTGGCCTAATGGACCCAAGAATCAGGGAAAGTGTTCCTGAGAAAATATCAGTGAAACCTAAAGGGCTCACTTGTTCTCTAAGTGAGATCCAGACATTGCAAAATCTGTTGTACACTTAAAAAAAAAAAAAAAGAGTTTGACTATTTTTTGCTTTTGACAGATTGAAACAGTTAGGTCAATCAAAATAGTAAATGGGTTTTGAAATCCACCTATCTTCAAGCTATGTTCAATAGCTAGATTTCCATAGTCTATTAAACCCCTTCTTGAATTTCTCTGATTATCTGACTGAGCTGTAGCATATTCCAAATAGAAATTACTCAATAGCAACTGCAGTATGTTTGTGAAGAAATTTCAGAACGGAAAAAAAAAAAGAGCTTAGGGCATTAACTTAGAGCAGTGATTTTCAAATTTTGAGTACATGAAGTTCTTTACGGTGCTTAGTAAAAATTTGGATTTCTGCCCCTGCCCCACTCCTAATGAAATTATTATGAAGGTCTGTGGCTGGGCTCAATATGTTGTAGTTTCAGCCAGGACCCAGAGTTATTTTGATGCAGGCATTGCAAAGCCACACCTTGAGAAACATGGAATTGGAGGATGTGTTAACAGAGTTAGCTACTCTTATTTGAAGACAGCAGAGATAATTTATTCTCTTCTCTCATTCTCTCTGTCTTTCCTTCATCAGAATCCTATTTAACCCACAGGAATTGGGAAGAGGTTTCTCTGTAAATAGCCTAAATCCTATTCATAAGCACGAAGAGAGAAATTTAAAAAACCCAATATTTCCCAGCCTGGCTTCACATTAGAATCATCTGGGGAGCTTGAAAAAATTACTGATACCTGGTCTCTCTTCCTAGAGACACTGATTGGGTCCCCAGTAGTGTTTTAAGTTCCCCAGGTGATTATAATGCACATCAGGGTTGCTAACCACAGGCAACCAGGAAAGACAAACTATTTATTTAGCATTCTCTGTGTTACAGTTCCTTTGTTAGATGCTATAGATGTCTATACACAGATACGTTTTCTTTAATAGTCACATCATTTGTAAATGTTGATAGTGAACCCAATGACTAATCACTCCAAGGGCACAAAAGGAGAGTCAGGATTACAATTTTGAGCCGCTTAATTTAATGCCTGTGTTTATTTTTAATTAGTTGATTTTCACTCTTACCCTCAATACAAAGTGTTTGTTATTTTTTATATTTAACCTGTACCCTGTTACAACCCTGGATCACCTCTCCGGTGCCAAAATATGCTTCTGTATGGTGGCATAGCCTTCCAGCCAAAAGTTCTATTTTAGAGATATTATAATTCTCCAGTGTGCAGTATTTGGCATATAGTATGTACACAATAGTGTCAGGTTTTGAAATGGCCTTTCCAGTAGTATTGTACAAGCATGTGAATATTTGCCGTATTTTGAACTTTGTTGCCTTCTAAAAGTATGACAAATGGAAAATGAAACCGTTGACACTAGAAATGGTAAAAGCAAAACTGGCATTACGAGATAGCCCAAATGAAATATATTCTTAGCCTCCAGGGCACATTCCTTTGTCATCTGCTGATTTACTCTGTGTTAAGAAAAAGATTCAACCAAAGAATATACATAATGTCATGGAACTCTACCTTTGAAACTCATATGTAAATATGAGGTTTAGTGTGAGAACTAAAGAGAACTTTAGATATTGCTTTATGCATCAGTACATTTTCCTGCCATCTAAGGGTAAACTTCTGTTCATTAGGCTTCTGGTAAGTACACAGCTTCTTAGAGAAAAATTAATCAAGCAAAATAGTGTGGTTATTAAATTTCTATTGACATTTTTAAAACTCTGGTAAGATACCTTCGACATTATTGTAACGTTCTACTCAAATCCCATGTAAAAGCTGGTATTTGTTTATTCCCCGCTGGCAGACTGTAAACTCCATGAGAGCAGGTGCCTTGTCTATTTTTTTACTTCTGTATTCCCAGTGCTTGGAATAGCATCGATTTATCAAAATAATAAAGGAAAACACAAGAAGAAGCCTCATCCTTAATGTTAAAATTAGTTTCTTTATTCTAAAATTGTAATCTCATATGACCTAAGAGAATAATATATTGAGCTAACGTTTTTCATTAGAAATGTTTCCTAATTTTTACATGTAACCCATAAATTATTATGTGCACACCTCTGGGCCTCAGAAAACAATAGCCCAAAGTGAAGGCCTCAGAAGCAAAAGGTTTTCTCTTACCTTCTCCTGCGCTATTTCTCAGTGCCATTCTCCCCGAAGGCTAGCCATAGAAACTAGAATCCCTCTTCCCCAAGGTGAGTCATAGAAACCAGAATCCCTTTTCCCAAAATCCAGCCATAAAACCTAAAAATATTACACGAACTTTCCATCCTCCTTTAAGGAGAACTTGTGCTTGATGCCAAAATGAACTGGAAATTTCTCAGGGAATTAGAGGATCAATGTGAGCTACCACATAATAAAGGAAAAAACATTCTGATAAGGTACCTAAGATGTATTTACAAAGTCTACTCTCAATATCTTACTGCTTCAAATTTCCTTCTGATGTCCCCATATTTATTAAGGGCATCAGCAGCTAGGTTTGAGATTTTGATATCATATCTCCTCAAGTTTCTTCTCAAATTTCTTAGAATCTAATTCTCCTCTTTGTTTCCTGATTGGCATCTAAATTTACTGCTCTTGGCTAAAGCTGTGTCACTGTGATTGGACTACTGCCTTCCCTGGATTGCCTGGCCCCAAAACTTCATCCAAACCATTGTAGAAGTTAATCTCACTAAAATGGATCTGAACACATTACAGCTTTGCTTATAAACTTTTGATGTTTTCTACTGTCCACAGGAAAATGTCCAAATTCCTTAGTATTTCTTACTTCATTCTGCCACATCTGGTCCTCTAACCACACTTAGCTGCTCACTGATCCCTGAACACATCACTCACTTTCTGCCCACTGTCTTTAATCATATTGTTCTCACTAATCCTGGTGTGGCATGCTTTACCCTTGTCTGTATGATGGACTCCTAAGCATCACAAGAACAACTCAGCATGCCACCCCTTCTAGGAAATCATTCCAGATTCACAGACAGAATTATTCCTTCTATTCTTATGTCCCTTGACTCAGCATATCTGGGTTCACATCTTGACGCCATTACTTATAATCTAGATGTCCTTGGGAAAGCACAAGAAACAAGGTTACTGCTACCCCCAAGAACCTGCCTCAAAGAATGGTTGTGAGGATTATGTGGGCTAATTGAGGACATCATTTAAAATAGTGCCTGGAAGATAAGTATTTAATAAATGATATTAATTTTATTTTCAAAACGAATCTACAGGCTTTTGAATGTTACATTGCCCTAAGACAGTCTTCTCATGCTAAACTATAAACTAACACGGGAAGTTGACTAAAAGTCAGTGTTCTGTTTGCATTCGGGTTTCTAGTGCCAAAAGCAGTATCTGGAATAACTCAATTTTCAATATTTATTTAGTCCTCATTGTTTATACAATTTGATGCTACAGCCAGATTTACAAAGAGACAAATGTGATTGTCCCAATCCTCTAGTAGTTTATAATGTATTTTTGGAAGTGAATAATATATAGACTGCAAGAAATTATGCTATTTATTTTCAAACCAAATGCCAAACAACCACAGAGTTCTTCAGACCAAGGCAGGCACAATCCCTGATGATAGAAGGAACTGGGGAATATCCTTGAAACAGAAGAACTTAGAAGGGTAAAATGATGATATATCCTAAACAAGGTATTTTAAGTGGGCGACACTGGGTGAAAATGGCATGGAGGTAGGAATGACCATGGTTAGATCAATTGGCTTAGGTAGAAGTTTTTGTAGTATCGTAGTACACAACAGAGGTTACCAACTACAATGCTTATAGGCAGGTGAAGAAAATGAGGGAAACAGGTGAAGTATAAGGCAATAAGAATTTCTGGCAAACTAGAGGGATGATCCCAGAAGCAAGGAGGCAGCTTCCCCTCAGCTATAATGTAACCGTTGTCCCCTGGGGATAGGTCCCAAGGTAGCTAGGGCACATGCTTTTAAAAATGAGATCTCTTCTGATTTTTAAACAGGAGTAACTACTTTCAACATTTTATAAAACACTCTGTAAATCCAACAAATTATCCTTACCAAAAACTGCTGGCTGCCAGTTAATAGACCTTTGGAAAAGTTTGAGGTGGCCACCTGTAGGTCTAGTTCCCAGTGGGGACATTGATAAAAAATTCACAGGTTAGTAGGGAGCTAGTGAAGGTTTTTGAACTGTTTTGAAATGCTCAGAAATGTTTTAAGCATATTTTTCCAGGAAATTGTTTGCAAGATGGATTATTGAAAAAAAAGTCAAGATGCAAAATGTCCAGTGTGGAAATTATTGTCCTAACCCAGGTGTGAGGTATTAAGGCCCAAACAGTTGTGGGACTATAAACGGAGTGATGTAAGGTTGAAAGTAAACTACTTGAGCTTCTTTCTAATTTTAGCTGATTCAAATTAGGTTTTTGTCTGCCCAAGTTGTGCTAATTGCTCCCATTTCTCTTATTTCTCCTTTAATCAAGGGATTTACATAAGTGAGCTCATTAAAAGAAAGTCATGCCTCACCAAATGAACCTTGCCATTCTGTGTAATAATTATAGCACAAAAGGAAAGGTTAATCTGATTATATATAATAGGATAAACAGAACATTTTCAACATCTGTGCTGAGTTGTCCTGAATGTTTCTTCTATGTCCCCTAACAAGTACAATCATATATGATTTTCAGTAAAAGTCATTTTTGCATTCATGGTTTTAAATATTAGAAAAGTGTATGAATAAGCAGTTATTTCTAACCTAAGGAAAGAATATCATATTTTAAAATACAGGTGTTATAAGGAACCTCTTGGCTAAAGATTTTGCATACTGTTACAAAGACAACCAAGAAAGACAAACCTGTGCTTACTGTTTGGTGATAAAGCATAATTACCTGAATTTTCCTCTCCAGGGTGTTAAATTAAAAGGCAATGGTTAATCTATGGCTCATGTTAGCCTGTTTTTATGTATTAATAACACAACGATTACGGGTAATTCTCTTTCTTATGAAATTAAAAGCTTTCACAAGAACATCATTCATCTCAGTGATGATTTGCATTACTTCCAGTACAGAGAGAAAACCATTATGGATGTGTGCCAAGGCACTTTGGATTGTCGGCTCATTCTTTGAGTTTTAGAGGGATAGTATTTTTAATTTTGAAGTCCTTTCATTCAACTCCCACATACCAATCCCTGTCTTGAGCTTTCTGAAATGAATCCTGCAGCTAGCAATATCAACTAGAGTCATTTAATCCCTAAATCACACATCCTGAGTTTAGCACCTCCCACAGTGATATTGCTGAGGATGCATATAACAGAAACCCTGGTGCAAAAACAGAAACTCTGGCAGGGGGTTACATCGGCCTAACTAGCTTTGTTCATTTGCCAATGAGCTGGCTATATCAGTTTAGATAGTAACTCGATTTTCTAAACCATACTGATATACTGTGATGTAAGAAAAATCTCTCATTACAAAGGATGCCTGAAGTTGCCACTCCCATTCTGCCACTTTTTTAACATTTTCTTCTCAATATTTTGCTGATTTCTTGCCACCTCCCAGGTCTCCAGTGATTCTGATGAGAGATTTTATGTATAGTTTAATGGCAGAAACTCAGGCTCAATTAAAGATAAGCCAAGTAAGTAGTCCATTTTAATGAGAAAAATGAAAAATGAGGAACTCAAAGGATTGTTAAGTAATATAATGTTCTTGGTGAATGACTTCTTTGCATTAATGCTTAGATCAGGAATATTTTTGAAAGTACATTCAGTGTCACGATGCACGGGGATTTTATTCCATTGCACTTCTTTTCCGTTTCATTTACTAACCTTTTTCTTATTCAAAATGGTATCAGTTAAAATGCTTTATTAAGCAGAACTTCTCTACTTCTCATGTAAGGGTGGTTTAAAAGATCAACTTGAAACACAACATGATATTTTGAAGTGCCTTCTCAATCATCAAAGAAGTACGTACACTTTTATTATCTAATTCATTTTATTCAACGTAACATATAAAACCCTCCATGTTCTTGAATTTGAAATTTAAGATTTCAACTTTCCTTAAGACCCTTAGAGAACCACATAAGTTCAATTGCTTCTTGCTCCCCACTGCTCCCCCAGTGCAGCCCCACGTCTTCTTCCCCTAGGTGTTGTGTAACATGCATAATGCATATTGAGTTTGTACTTTATCTCCCTTGTTAAAAATAAGCTTAGCAGTCATCTCAGACTAGATGCCTGAAAGCATCTGATTCATATTTTCTTCCTCATATCTTTGGTGTCCTGGCAGTAGTCTCTTCTAACCACATGCTTTCTCTCCAAGGATCCGCCCATATCTTCCCATGTCATCAACCATTATCTGGTATAATTGACTATATCTCTATTTCAGGCTGTTCATATGAGCTCCAAATCCCTAGTTTTAGTGGCTTATTGGACATTTTCCTTTGGTAATCATCTGATTCAAACTCAAAGGACATAAAATTGAGTCCCTTATATCCTCTTTTCTCAAAGCTGTATCTTATAGGTTACTGGTTATATAGTAAAAGGTTAATACTTTTTTTGAGACAAAACATCTGCTCCTTGGGGAGTTTACCATGTACCACGTACTAATCTAAACTCCTTACAAACACCACCTCACTTAATTCTTATAAAAACTATGAGAAAACACATTATTAACCTCATTTACTGGGAAAACTGAGGCATAAACACATATAGTTTAAACCCAGGTAGTTTGACTCTGGAACCACTGTATTTATACACTTTAACTGCCTATCTATGATCAGAAAAAAATGTAGGCTTGAATATCAATTTCTGCTATGTCATTTTGAGCAAGTAACCTTATTTTTTTGAACGTCAATTTCTCCTTCTATGGAATGGATCACCACATTTCCTCATAGGATTTATGTGGGGAAAGCCCTTTATATAGGGTGATCAATCCATCCCAGTTTACCAGAGCCTTTCTCAGCTTCAGCAATAAATGTTCCATGTCCCAGAATCTCCTGAGTACTGGGAAAATCATGAAGGTAGGTCACTCTACCTTTAAATGTAGGTAGTGCTTAATGATTGCTTTTTCTAACTCAAACCTGTTTACTAACACATTGTGCTAATGCTAGTGCTGTAAACATTATTCTACGAATTCCTTTCATTTCCATGGTTACTCTTCCACAAAGAATAAACTAAAAATTGTAACTACCATTTAGTCAGTGCTTACTGTGTTCTGGATACTATTCACGAACTCAGACTTTATTTTCATTTCACAGATGAGCTGCAAAGGCCTAAGGAATTGAAGTGTCTCTTGCTAGTATTCCAATGATACTGGTAGGTAGGGGAGCAAGTATTGAAATGCAGGTCTATTTAACTCCAAACAGATGCCAAGGTTTTAAATATCCCTCATATTTATGATAGTTCCCCTGAGCTAATCATGACTTTTCTGTTCCTAAATAGTTATTCCATAGCATGCCATTCAATGATTATCATATTCTGCCCCCAACCCACATTTCCAGATTTATTTTTCTTTTAATTAGTATAATAGATTCGACTTCACCATTCGACAAAAATTTGTTTCTGTTTAAATAGAACACGACTAAGTATAATCAGGAAACATTCATGCTTCCATTCCTATAAACCTATATGGAAATTTAGGTAAGCTCGCATGAATAAAGCCCAAAATCTTCAGGATGACTCTGGAGACCCTTCATGCTATCATGCTTCCCTCCAATGCAATCTTTTCTAATGTATGCCATCTTTCATTCTCAGTGGAACACTTACTTTACCTCAACGCTGAGGAATAAATTAGGACACTTTCAAGTGTTTATGACCTTGCTCATGCTGTGCCTTTTGATTGGATTGTCTTCTCCGCCATGTAAATTGCTTACATTCTTCAAGAAGGCAGACAACGAGGCACAGAAGAGAGACTGTGTCTCATTCATCTTTATGTTTTCAGAACCTAACACTACATAAGGTGTGTAGGAAATCCTCAGTAAACATTTTTGTGTTCAATCAAATGCATTGACTGTAGTTACTAAGCAGTGACAGAACTGGACTAAATTCTACAACTCAACTCTCAGTGTGGTGAGTATCCTGTTACACCAACCTGCTTCCAAGTCCTCTGGCAGACTGAAGAAAATCAATTAAATCATGTTTTCCTCCATTTCTTACTGAAAATAATTAGAGCTGATCCTTGGCATTGCTATACAGAAGGAAAGTATTCAAAGGCAGAAAGCAATGTGATCTTCAGAACACACAAATGTGATATTTTAATTCTTCGATATTCTCTCTTAATATCTCGTTAGGCCAAAAAAGTATGGATTATGTAAAATTTTCATAGCCTCACAAAATTAAGAAACATATATTTTTAATCACTTCAAAATTCATTACATCTACAAATTAATACTAATATTTAGTTCTAATTACTACTTAAAAACTAGTAATATTTGATTCTACTCTACTGATAATTTCTAATTTCTATCTTAGGCAAAAAGCCATGTTATCACCAGAACTTTTATCAGCCAAGGTATATACTGTACATTATTTCAATTTATTCCTCTATCTCCTTATCAATAGACAATCAAATTACCTAATACAGGCCACAAAAGAAATACAGAGGCTGAGCAAACATGAAGAAGTAATAAGTTTTAGGTCTCTGAATGTCTACCGGCATTAGGAAAATCAGTGTAATTTAAGTGCATTCACATTAATGACCATAGGTATATGGACTATGACTTTACCTTCTGGAATGTGTGACGGTTTTGTTTCTTGTTCACTATCCCTTATATACGCCATTACCAGATTCACCCAGGCTAAATCTCACAGCAGCAGTGAGAGAGGCAAATGTCACGATTTGCCAGGGATCTCTCTTTTCTATTCCTCATCCTGAATACCCAATAACTATGAACAAAAGGTCCTACTGTTCTCAGCATCCTTGATTCAGCCATAAAAATCCATTCCTAGGAAGGATCTGATACCAATTCTCCATACTGTATTGTGAATTTGTAGTATTATCACTCCTGGGAACATTTGGCCCTTGAGATTCACCTCAGATGAATATTAGAAATCCTCTATTTAAGGGATTTGGGGCATCAGAGAAATGTTGTGGCAAGTTTCTAGAGGCACTCCTGCAATTACTGCACACACAGGGCTGTGAAATGCTAGTTGTGTCTGCACCACTGTTGAAAATACATGTTCTTTATGTTCTTTGGTCAAAACAAATTTATTCAGTGTCTGCCACGTGTCAAGCACTTTGTTATATCCTGCAGAGGCAGAAATAAACTGACTGTGCAGTCTAGTTAGAGTGACAAATGTAAGAACACGTGATTATCATGCCAACAATGACTGCAATAAAAGAGGCAGGTGTAAAACACCGTGGGAGCAGGAGACAGCCTGCCAGATTCACTCAGCAACAGGTATCTATTAAGACCCAACAACTTGATAGGCATTGTTCTAGGTGTTACATTTGTGTACTAAGAATTTTTTTAAATTAGAAACTGGAAATCTTCTAACGTTTGCCACAGATTCTTTTTACATTTATAGCATCTTTGTGTTGCTTCAATCAGCAGTTTTGAAATATCAAAGAAAAGTGCCTTCTAAGTGGCACATTAGTTTAGGCAACTTTCAAAACTCTGATGTTAAGAAAATGATGGGGAGTAAAGGACAAAAGAAAATATAATTATTTCCCACTTGCTCTGCTGATATTTCCTAGAACTATCCCCATTCCAAATTAATGGCACACGTTTACCTATGTAACAAACCTGCACGTCCGCACATGTATCCCAGGACTTAATATAAAATAAATTAAAAAAAAAACAAAATTAAATCTATTTATGTAAAATGTATTCACCCCTAGATAGTGTAATGATATCAAAGGGGTGATAGAACAACACAGATGTCTTCTGGATGCCAGACAGCACCTCCTTCTTGCAGGCTACTTTTAACAGGGGTCAAATGAGCAGCAGACAGAGTTGGTTTTTCCCTTTAGGAATAGGAGGTCTTGAGAGCAGGACAGGAGAAAAGGGACTCACCTATGATGGTGCAAGCACACACATACCGACACATGCTTACAATCTATTTTTAAATAATTAATACAAATAATAAAAGATGCAGTTTTTGGACCACTTTCCCCAAACTTCCAACAATTCCTCCTGCTGATATTTTAAATATTCTATACTGCTTTTTCTAATGACTCTTCATTATAGTCTTAATGACCACCTGTGATGAACTGAATTGTGTCTCCCCAAAATTTGTATTTTTATGCATCAGAATGTAACTGTTGTTGGACATAGGGTCTTTAAAGAGGTGACCAAATTCAAATGAAGCCTTTAGGGTGGGCTCTAATCTAATCCGACCGTGTTGTTATAAGAAGAAATTTGGATCAGAGATGCATGCACAAAGAAAAGGCTACATGTGAGGCCACAGCAAGCAGCAGCCATCTGCAAGCCAAGGAGAGAGGCCTCAGAAGAAAACAAACCTGCTAATACCTTGATCTTGGACTTCCAGCCCCTAGACTTGTGAGAGAATAAATTTCTGTTGCTTGGTACCCAGTCTGTGGCATATCATTATGGCAGCCTTAGCAAATTAATACATTATCCTATCAACATATAACTTTTATAGTCTTTTAAAAAATGACCCCTTTTGGGGACAGGTGTGGTGGCTCGTGCTTGTAATCACAGTACTTTGGGAGGCCGACGCAGGCAGATCACAAGGTCAGGAGTTCAAGACCAGCCTGAGCAATATGGTGAAACCCCGTCTCTACAAAAAATACAAAAATTAGCCAGTTGTGGTGGCATGTGCCTGTAGTCCCAGCTACTCAGGAGGCTGAGGCAGGAGAATTGCCTGAACCTGGGAGGCAGAAGTTGCAGTGAGCCAAGACTGCACCATTGCACTCCAGCCTGGGCAACAGAGTGAGATTCCATCTCAAAAAATAAAAGAAAATAAATAAAATAAAATAAAATAAAATAAAATAACCCCTTTTGGAGAATGTGCTCTGGGCCAGACTGTCCTCATCCCAACTATGGCTCTGATTAAAAATGGGCAGCGATGCATTTTGTAAAGATACCGAGGAAGTACTAATGATGCCTTAAAGAATTTATTAGACTCCAAGTTTTGAATTTCTTTGTTTGGTTTTAGAGTTTGCTGTTTATTGAAATGTATTGAGATAGAAAAAGTATTAAGACGTATGAGTAAGTTAGAAATGTGTACATCAGATTATCAGAATCTTTTCTGAGAGTAGATTGATAAAATAAGGACACAAAGCCATCACTATACGTGGTGTGTGGGCAAAGGGGCTCCAAGGGAAAAAGAGATGGCTAAGGGCTAGAAGGTGAATTCTGACAACCAGATGGGTTTTAATAAGATCGGTGTCTTAGTTTCTTTGTGTTGCTATGGAATACCAGAGATTGGCTGGCTTATAAGTAACAGAAAGTTATTTCTCACAGATCTGGAGGCTGGAAGTGCAAGATCAAGATACTGGCAGAGTCAGTGTCTTGTGAGGGCCTGTTTCCTGATTCATTGACAGCTGTGTTTTCTTGGTGTCCTCACATGGTTGAAGTACAAGGGAGTTCTTTGGGGTCAATTTTATACGGGTATTAATCCCATTATAAGGGCTCCACTCTCATGACCCAGTCACCTCCCAAAGGCCCCCAAATCTAAATACCATTACACTGGGGGATTAAGCTTCAACATATGAATTTTAGGAGTACACATTTAGTCTATAGCAACCAGCATTGCCTTTGTATGACTACTATTTCTAAAATTTAAATTGAATACTATTCTTTTTTACTATCACAACCCTCCTTTACCTATTGTGTATTTTCCTATTCTTTACTCTCAAAATGTCAGGTTTTAAAAAAATTTTCCTTCTACATTGTCTTTTAAATATATTCAGGAGGATGAATACTGATTTTTTTTTGTTGGGAAAAGCTAGCAGGAACTATACTATCAGCAATTATTAACATTATCATTATTTATCTTGACAAAACACCTTCAATAATTAAAGAGTAAAGAGCAGCTACCCTGTGATTGTCACAGTAAATTACAGAATTTCAGTGGGCTTTTGAGCATGGAAATGTGATACATTTCAGGATTAGGTTCTTCCACTCAAGTGCATCACCTGTTGCTCTATCTATAGGGGTTGAAATAATAGCCAGGACAAGAGCCATTCTGGATACTGCAAAAAGATCTGTTTCATAGAGGAAGTACTAATGATTTCCGAAATAAAGCTTCACTTGAAACTACTGAAATTCAGAGATTCAGATATAAAAGGAAAAGTAAAATACAGTGAAAAGATTCTCCAACTAAGATTTAGAACCACAAATACAGGTCATGGAGGATGTGGAATTCACCTGAAAGTGACCTTTGGTTATTGCTACAAACAGGTCATCTCGACATTCATTAACTTGAGAGCTTAGCCAAGGTAACACTGACCTGATTTAATGATCACTGTCACTTGTTTTGTATCAATAAAGTATCATCGAAGTTAGAATACATCCTTTCCTACATTAGATTGATTTTGTATCATTATTTTCTTCTTTTATTTGTTCCAGGAGTAACCTGGGAAAATATATTTCTAGCCTTATGTATGCCTTGTTAATTCCATTGCTTCTGCCAGTGTTCTAGAAATTATTCTCCCCCTTTCATCCCTGGTCTTTAGGACAATTACAGTGTCTGTCAGTTCCCCTAATTTTACTTTCTCTTATTTAGTCCTGTGATTTGGTCAGGACATTAACCCTAATGCAAAACCATACTTGAAACTCCTTATGGGTGGTCCCTGGTACCACCCATGTATGGTGTGCCAACCCAACCAGAGCTGACTTGGCAGGTAGCATACATCTGACTCTAGCTATCCAACCACATTCTCTCCAGGGAATATTGGAATTCGAACCAGGAGAAGTCAAGTAGTTCAACTAGACCAATAATGAAATCTGTAGTTAGATTAGTTTGGCTATCAAATGTGCAGAAGCAGAGAAAAGGAACTGAAGAGTACAAAGGATGAAGCTGAATTGCAGAGAAAGGCATAGAGGAGATACCATGTAGAGACATTAGAAGAGAGCTAGAGAGTGAGCATGAGACAGCAAGAGCCATGGAGAAAGTAGCTGCCTCAGCAAATGACAGTTCCCTAGTTGCTGGTTTGAGGCTATCAAAAAATGCATCTGTTCTTTCTTGCATTTCTAGCAATACCCCTGATGCTTTAAAATAAAATTCCCTTTAATATAGATGTTAAACTTACATAAAATATAAAATTCACAAAAGTCCTTAGTTACATTCACAGGCTCCCTTACTCTCAGGCACTAAAGTCCTACTCACAGTTTTCTGATTTCCCTTTGGATCTTCCTACCCTGATAGGGACATATGGTTCAGTTCAACTTTCCTCCAGTTACAACACACTCCATCCACAGACACATACAGCTTCATGTGACTTTCAGCTAACTAGATCCGTCTCAAGGGCATTTGCTTTTTAACTGGAGTTTTTCTGTCTCTCCCTCTTCTTTTTCTCTCTCTGTCATAAATATGAACACACACAGACACACACACACACACACACACAACTTCATACACTTTGAGAACTGTGGGGAAAATGAGCCCTAATTAGCTCCCTTGAGTTCATGCAATATGATATACGAAGTTGCTTACCCCACCCACACAAAAAGGGAGGACAGCCAAATTCACTTGAAAATCAAATGTATATAAATAGTGTTTATTTTCAATGTGTTCTAATTAATATGACAATTAACTTTCCCAATTTGGGAACATTAATGTTTAATGTAATGCCAATTGGAACTCAGAAAATTTGTAACAGAAAAATTTATGATCATTGGGACTCATCTAGGTGGGTTACTACCTTAAAATAGTGCCTTTTTAGTTTAATAAAATGTTACTTTAAAAATGCCACAGAACCAGTATCACGTCAACTGTACTCCAGCCTGGGTGACAGAACTGAGACCCTGTCTAAAAAAAAACAAAAAAAGCCACAGACCTAGTTATTAATTATATAATGTATGATTATTCCAAGTATAGGTCATGTTATCTTTAGCCCAAAGGAGTGGCCGTGGGATCCTGAGCAAGCCACCATTGATCTCCCTTTATATCTCAGTGCTCTGACTTATAAAATGGGCAAAACAATGATATCTATCTCATTGTGATATAATATAGATTAAATCAGACAATGTAAAGTCACAAAACAGAGTTGTTTTCACATACTGAGTGCTCAGTAAACATTAACTATTATTATTATCTGTCCTTTTTTTTCTTTTGTTTTGAGACGGAGTTTCACTCTTGTTGCCCCGGCTAGAGTACAGTGGTGTGATCTTGGCTCACTGCAACCTCCGCCTCCTGGATTCAACTGAATCTCCTGCCTCAGCCTCCCTAGTAGCTAGAATTACAGGTGCCTGCCACCATGCCCAGCTAATTTTTTTTTTTTTTTTTTTTTTTAGTAGAGATGGGGTGTCACCATGTTGGCCAGGCTGGTCTCTAACTCCTGACCTCATGACCTGCCTGCCTCAGCCTCCCAAAGATCTGGGATTACAGGTGTGAGCCACGACGTCCAGCCAATTATTATATATCTTCAAGTATACAAGTACATTAGACAGATATTATCCTAACCTCCATTGAACATGTACAAATAAGTCCTACTGCAAATGTTATTTTAAAATAATTTCATTTTTTTTTTTTTTGAGACAGGGTCTCACTCTGTCAGTGGTCTACCCACCTTGGCCTCCCAAAGTGCTGGGATTAGGGGTGTGAGCCACCATGCCTGGACTTCATTGTGAATTTTTTAAAGGCCTTTCTAAACATCACATAAGATAGAGAAATGAAGGAGTCCTAAAAAGAGGGAGATCTTAATCCAGCTTTTAATTGCTTCTGAATCTTAAGTCCAAAGGCCATTTTGCAAAATAGCCACATCGTCCTTAAGTTTATATGTATTTTAAAATGTAGTTTTAATTCAGTGACAAAGCTATTAATGAAATAAACATGCATTTTATCCAAATGAACACTCCTTTAAATACTTTTCCAAAGTGCATTTGAGGAAACGGTGAGGCTAATGCACAGGCAATGAATATAATATAACATGATAAATGCGGTATCTGTTAAATAGCAATGTAATGCCAGACCAGGTTCAAATTCAATAAAACTTAACTCTAATATACAAAGCTTTTTGTGAGCACTTATTAGTTAAAATGAATTCTTTTATTACCCTAGTAAATTGCCAAATTGTTAGAATAAAGCCACCCAAATAACATTCAAATTTAAATTGAACAATTGAACAGAATGAGATGTCATAATATAAAAACAGAATTAATATATATTTAAAATGCATTATGTATTTTTCTCATATGAGTCATATTATTATGAATCTTTGGAAAATATTTGTAATTACCTCAAGTATTTGTTTCATTCCCTGCTTGAAGATCAGTCAAGTGATCAATTAATGGATCATTCTCAATCACACACCGCGTCTTTTTCCCATCTTAGCATCATAAGCTATAGAGCAATGTTGGCACCCAGATCTGCCAAATGTATTCAGTAATAGTGATTTCCTACCTGATTTGCTGTCTTTTACACTGAGCAGTGATACTTATCAGCTGAGTGCTACAGTCTATTTCCAGTCATTACTTTATGTTTATTCCAGTATCTTTCCTTCTTTTTTTCATCTGCAACTGCCTGTGAACTCATAACATCACCAAAGATTGGAATAAAGTTAGTGGAAAGGGGGTTAAGAAGTAGACTGAAAGCAGCTCACTCTTTAATATGAAAAACTTCAAGTATGTGATTTTGGTTTTCTGGATCTATGTTTAACTCATTATACTTGGAAGCACTAAATGAAATAACATGTGAGAAACTGTTCTTAACAAGCATCTGTCAAATGACTAGATGAGTGGATGTATCAATGAATGCTATTGCTGCTAACCACAACACTCAAAACAAAATGTGTGATGCTGTTTAATTTGCTTCAGCTGTGAATGATGTTTTTTGGTTTTCTCAAAAAAAGTTAACCTTGAAGCAACTTGTCTCTGTAGGCTCTTTTTTTTTTTTCCTATATTTTAAGTATTTTTTTTTTTTTTTTAGGTTTTGGAAGTTCATATTAAAAGGTTCAAATGGCTTTTCCTTTGCAGATTCCTCACTTCCTTTTGATCTGAATGTACCTATTGATTTATAATTTTCTCTCTTCAAAGAAATTTCCAAGTTGTTGCTTCAGGCCTCAGACAAGTTGCTGTAGGCAGAGACTGTTAGAAACGCATGACCTGGCAGGAAGCTGCATTCTGAGCAGGGTTCAGAGTTGGAACAGAGGAAACTTAAGACAACTTTCAGACAGGCCAAGTAGGACAGGGTCCAAATCATCTAGAATGTCAACAAAGAGAGAAAAGCAGGTTTGCTTTTTTCTAAATCAGAATAAGATTAGAAAGATGCAGAATAATGGGATGGGTTCAGATGTACATGGAGAGGGCTGATAAGTTTTGTCTTGTTTTGTTTTATTTAGAGAAACAGCTAGAAGCTCCAACAAGCTTGAATAGAAAAAAAGATAAAGATGTTTTATTATTGTAATGATATGATTATGATTTTTGCTTTATACTAATTTTTTCCAGGCATTCGTTCACCAAAAGCTTCATTGAGATCAATGATATTGGACTAGAATGACCCAAGTTTGGTTCTGAAATCACACTCTCTTTGTAATAGAAACCAAACAAAGTGTACAGGTAGAGTGTTTCAGAGGTATTATTCCTGCTTGACTCAAAATGAACATTAAAGTTAGCAATTTTGCCGGGCGTGGTGACTCATACCTGTAATCCCAGCCCTTTGGGAAGCCAAGGTGGGAAGATCACTTGAGCCCAGGAGTTCGACACCAGCCTGGGCAATATAGTGAGACCCTATCTCTTCAAACAAAAGTCAAAAAATCAGCCTGATGTGGGGGTATGTGCCTGTTGTTCCAGCTACTCAGGAGGCCAAGGTGAGAGGATCACTAGAGCCAGGGAAGTCAAGGCTGCAGTGAGCCCTGATTGTGCCACTGCACTCCAGTCCAGGTGACAGAGCAAGACCCTATCTCAAAATAAATATATTAATAAAGTTAGCAATTTCTGTGGTTTCTTCATTTATAAGAAAACAGCCGGCCAGTTGTGGTGGCTCACACCTGTAATCCCAGCGCTTTGGGAGGCTGAGGCAGCCGGATCACCTGAGGCCAGGAGTTTGAGACCAGCCTGACCAACATGGTGAAACCCCAACTCTACTAAAAATACAAAAATTAGCTGGGCATTGTGGTGGGTGCCTATAATCCCAGCTACTCAGGAGGCTGAGGCAGGAGAATCACTTGAACCTGGGAGGCAGAGGTTGTAGTGAGCCAAGATCGCGTCATTGCACTCCAGCCTGGGTGACAAGAGTGAAACTCCGTCTCAGAAACTAACAAACAAACAAACAAAAATAGCCTACCTCAGTGCAGAAACAAACAAAAACCTAGTAATTGTTTCAAAGACTGTGGTTGCTAAAATAGCATTATGAAAATGTGACAAGTTTACCTTTTTGTATGGGAATATAGGGCTAACTAGGGACTATTTGTTGATAGTCAAAGTCAAGGGACTGGAATTCAGATAGAACACCATATCTTGCCTTTAGCAATGGGGATTTCAGCTAGAATTATATATGGACCCCTCAACCAATGCAGGTAAAGTGTACATCTCTTTCAGGTAGGACACAGCATAATAAAAGATGAGGTTCACAAAGCTCTCTATAACCTTGCAAAAGCCAACTAGCACTTTTTAACACTTCTAACATCACTCTGTCACCAGAGAACAGTGTTTCTGCATTCAGCACAGAAGCTATAAAGGGCATTAGAAACACTCCTTAAAATGTTCAACAGCCACAGCAGCAAAATTGTAGTGCTCAAGTCCTGTAATTTGGAGAATGGGTCTTTTTATACCTTAGCAAGCATTATACTTTATTTCACTTTTGAGAGTCACGGATGCTAGTGTTTTAATGAAAAATTCTTTTGCAAAAGTGACAATATGTATATATATTTTTTTCAGAGGAATGACTCTTTTTTTAGTGCTAGAACTCTAGCATAAATATGATACTTGGTGAGAAATACATCATTTAAAGTAATGACAGAGAAATTTAGGAGGGATAAAGAAGAAAATAAACCATTTAAGTAGCAAAGTTTTAAGTTGCAATTTAAGGTGATCAGCTCACCAAACATGCTCAAAGAAGGCCACTGCTCTGCATATGTTTTTGTCACTTGCAAAAGCTAAAAAAATAAATAAATCTGCTAAAGCCAACAGCTTTGGCGGCCTGCAATCTTTCTATAGCATGCTGTGCTCAGTTATGTTCAGTGACTAAAAGCAATAACGTGTTGATTCTAGACTAATATGTCTAGCTCTGCAATTGATTGTAAGCCACTTTATGAGACACTCTGAAATCTTTCCTGTGTCTACTAGTCTTGATGAGCTCCTTAGCAAAATAAATTAGCAATTTTGAACCTTTTTTTCCATACTTGCCTACTGCCAAGACTTTCTAAATAAACCCTCTGTATTTTCTCCCCCAGCATGATCCACAGGGGGGGGTCGCAATTCAGAGTTGCTCCTGTTTAATTTGGGTTTAGGTGTTGAGGTGCTCATGCAGTTCTCAGCAATATCTTCTCATTTGTACTTGCTTGACCTGATTTGATTCCACTTTTATTTTTCTAAAGCTCAGAGGTATGATATAAATGTCAGTAAAAATTAATCTCTTGCCCAGCACTAACCCAAAAGGACCTTCTCTATTTTAATAGTCCAGAAAGCAATTTTCTCTCAGCAACTAATTTTTAACTATTTATTAACTACATATTAATATGATTCTGTACCAAGACAGCCCTTTTTAATTTGAGTTGCTGAAAAAGTCAAATGTGATGGGTAATACTAGTTTACCTGCATGATTGCTATTATGTCAAATAACTGCTCTTTATACTTGAAAATATGTTTTTCCTCTTAATGCACTTCAAGTTGACCAGTGGTGCTAAATTGACTGATTCAGTGGCAGAACTCCAGTGTTTTCCAAATATCAGGTGCCACACTTAGTGGCAGCATCAGTTCTTGCCACCTTGGCTTGCCAATATAACTCAATGCATCTTTAATGGAAACAACAGTTAAAGCTGATTCAATCTAGGGCTGTTCTTCTGAGACTGTCAATAAAGGAATCTGCTGGTGCTAAATGTCACCTTGGTTTAGGAATAAAGACAGATTTTTCTCTCTGAAAGGAAAAGCAGATCAACGCACTTACCCCAGTCATGGGACATTTGTTCAGTTTGATTTTCTTCTGACCTATCTGTATATCATTAATTAATAAGCAAAAGAATACAGTCTACTGCTGCTATTGAGAATGATACTTTAAATTTTGGAATAAGTAAAGATTTCAAGGACAAGATACAATCATTACTAATGTTAAAACAATAGTGTAAATGATCTTATCTTGCTCCTTCTATGAGACAGAGTAATTTTAGCCACATTAAACAACTATCCAAGTGTAGCTGAGAGTAGAGAAGATGAAAATAAGACAAATAAATGAGGATGAAGGAGGATACACTGACATTTGTAGCCCTCCCAGGGCTTTGCATAGAGAATGGCCACTGTGGCCATGGCTAAAATGTTGCAAAGGAGTTGGTCTGTGCAATTATCAGATCTTGCAAGTCACAAATCCAGCTATGCATTTTTTTCTGGACAGGAGGCAGGGCTTGCCAGAGGAGAGAAAGACTCTTTGCACACAGCTGGAGCTTTTCAGGGTGAAAGCAGAAACATGCTCCATTGACAGCAAACTTATAAACTGTCATGGGGTAGTTTTCTCTCTCTTTCCTCCCTCGACCTCAGACTGATTGGCATTTTTTTCATGACCTACCTGGCTATTCTTTCCCCTTGCCTCACTGCCGTTGGCAATAGCTTAAACCATGTTTGTTAGGTATAAGATCCTCAATCTAATGTGCTCAGCATTGTTCATGGCACTAAATATACATTTTAAAAAGGATGCTTTTGTTTCTCTACCTCCAAACTCATAAAGTCCCCTGGTCCTGGGTTTTGGAATCCATCTAGGAATGACCCTACATGCCTGTAATATTTAAAAAACAAGTGAAGATTTTATTGGTACTCTCAGGTACTTAATGGCATTTATTGAAATATTTTTTGTTCGTCTTCATAGTGAGGGCCAAAACATCTGTATCAACAGTATGAATCATGGACATATGATGTCCAAAATGCTATCATTATGTTTTACGTACTACAGCAATGGTATGAAAGGTTGAGAAATAAAATAAAGAACATCCCGTTAAGCATTTAAAACGTTAGTCTGTGTACACTTAATTTCTAGTAAAGGAACAGAAGACTGGAGTGTGATAAGAACTGAAGAAATATTTCACATCCTGTCAATTAGTTCTAGGAACAGGAATTCAATAATTTGCCTACCTTCGTCAGAAGAAAGTGAGGATAAAAGCAAAAACCAAAAACCAAAAGTTAAAAGGTTAATCTTGTCAATGACTGAAGAGCAAATATTTCTATTATAATGAAAATTCTAAAAATAAGTACTGGGTATTTTGCCTGGGGTTTTAAAGAAATCAAAGCAAATTTAATGCAAGTTTCAAAGTGAGTGTAATAATAAACAGAAATTCTGACTTTCCCCCCCACCAAGATTTTCTTGAGTTTTTATGAGCAGTCTTGTCAGTGAGAAAAATAGACTTGCTGAATATTACCTCAGACAGGCATTACTATCATCTCTAATATTAAATCTAGTGATACAAGGTGTAATTGGAAGAGTTGTATAGTTTTGAAGTCAGTTTAGAAGGAGCACTTTCAACAGTTAACAATCTCAATGCAATCCCATCTATTTATTGCTGTTTCTTGGCATGTTATTCAATAACTTTTAGTTTTAGTTTCTTGAAAGTTCATTTAGCCTTACTGGTTAGTTACTATTTATATCAAGACCAAGACAGAATTGCAATGTAATAGGAAGCTCAGGTAGGTCAGTAAATATGTAATAGGGTTCCAACTCAACAACTAGCTGATTATTAAGTTTTAGATAAGTCATTTTGCTTCTATAAGCTTCATTTTGCCCACTCATAAAAGGTTAATGAGAACTATAACAATATTTGTCAAGCATTTTTATTAATAAATCTCTAATGGTGTAGGAGACTCAAAATGATTTTGGAGGGGAGGAGAAGGGTAAAGACTAGACATAAATAGATAGAATGTATCCACCAACAATGCATTGGATAAAGAAAATGTGGTACATATACCCCATGGAATACTACACAGCTGTAAAAAATGAAGCCATGTCTTTTGTAGCCACATGGATGCACCTGGAGATGATTATAAAATAATTAACACAGGAACAGAAAACCAAATACTGCATATTTTCACTTATGCAAAGGATAACAATTTTCACTTATGCAAAGAGGGTAACCATAGATACTGGGGACTACTAGAGTTGGGGAAAGGTTGAGAAATTAACCATTGAGTAATATGCTCACTACCTAGGTGATGGGATCAATCATACCCCAATCCTCAGCATCATGAAATATACCCATGCAACAAACCTGGACATGTATCCTTGCATCTAAAATAAAAGTTGAAATTGTTTTAAAAGGTATTCATTAAAGAAGCATAAAGAGAGAGATCAATAAATATGCTTTGATATCTTCAAACAAAATTTACATTTTTCTCCATTCACAATATGTTGGTGTATAAAAACAATGTTTGGCATTACCTCTATTAAAAGGAATTGTCATCTATCTGTGCTGAACAGGTCAATTTTAGCAAACCCTGCTGGATTAAAGAAAGCTGTTACTGAAGACTAGAGTGAAGGTCTAGATAATTTCTCTGCTTCTTTTTATAGTTCTTCTAGAACTTTGGTTTACATAAATACATGGATGTAAGTGGCAACAATGTATCTTTTAAAACTTTGTAACATATGTCACTGAGTAGAGATGACCTGAATATATGGTAAAATGAATGGTATAACATTTTCAATATTACTTTTGCTGGCAATTTTAAGTAGTTTATTACTAAGAAATGAGGTTGCTGCTATCCTCATATAGTAGACAGAAAATGTCTCTAATCCATCATCTTGCACCTTTTACAGCTTCAGGAAGTATTTCATCAGAAGACTCTTCAGTATGAAGAGATGACTAACTTTATGTTTTTCCTTATTTTAACATCGTCATTAATTCTAATCACATGTAAATAATAGTGTGATATGATTCATAAAATCCGTGACCTCTTCACCCAGCTCTCAAGCTGCATTTTCATTACAGTCTTTTCATCATCAGAATTTTGGCTTCAAGTTGTTGATTTAGTTGTGATTGTCTTGAAAAGAAAGGTCTACTAAATGAGTCAACTTTTATCACGAACTATAAATGTATTTATTTATCCAACTTTTAAATACAAACAATCCTTTCCCACTAGGAAAGTACTAAATCAACCATGAGTTGGAAGAGTATTTCCAATGCATTTCTACTGGTTGGTAATGCATATCTGTGAACTTAATACTTTAATTATTGCATTAAGATCATTGAAAGATAATCAAGAGGATGTTCTTTTTGACACTTTCCTTCTAGGAGGATGCTTTGGTTGTTCAATCATTCAAGGTATGCACTGGCTGCCATTCATAGAATTTCCCTCTGATAAAACTGTAACAAACCTATTCAATAATACATATGGCATTGAGATATACCCAATAGTCACTCATCCTTCACAAGCAAAGGGGATGCTGAAACTGACTATAAACAAACCTTCATGGGGTAAGTTTCTTGTTGATGTTTTCTATATCATGTTCCTTTATTTAATTCCAATTTGCAAAGTTTTTATTCAAAAGTGTGCTTGACTGGTTTTTGAAATATCCTTAAAAAATCATTTGATGGTGTTATTGCTCTTATATTTTCTTCTTAAAGAAGCATTTGAGTACTCTTATTTCTAGATAAACTGTTGTTGCTTGTATTAATTTGCTAATAGTGGTTGAATTCGTACTATCGACCTCTTACCTGTCAAGCAGATTGTAAAAAGCCCCTGGAAGAAGGTTGTCAAGATATTAGGTTTTTTTGTACTCTACACAATATGTTGCATATTTTCATTGATTTCTACCTAATTTTTAAAAACTTCATAATAGTTTTTAATTCAGATTAATGTATTCCATTTACAATGAAAGTAATTTTTCATCTAAAATAACAAAATTTAGAGAAAAATCTTTAAAACATGACTTTTTGCTATTTTTCTAAGATTAGAGAACTTTGTTCTTCAGGAAGATTAAGCAAAACGATATACTTGTTAAAAATAAATTATGTGGCAAAACTGTTGTGCAAACACTGAACTGATCTGAGATTACCAAGTTTTTCTGGTGCAGAAAATTGTGAAAAATTATTCGTATGGTAGCAAAATACCCTGAACCACCAAAATGTATATGGCCATCTCCTGTATCAACTGCATCCTTTATCCAGACCATTAAAACGACCAAACCAGACCTTTTATTCCCTGATCCAGCAGACCAGAAACAGACCCTAGTAGGTTAAAACCCCATAGAATCTGTTTCTGTGGTTTTACTTGCATTTAAAAATAGTTTCCTCCTCTAATCTTTAGGTAAAACCCAAGTTACTAGAGGATGCTCAAATGTCTTCTGTAGTTTTCCACAAATGCTGGAACATCATGCTTTCTTTAAAAATGGTCTGAGGGCGGGCATGGTGGCTCATGCCTCTAATCTCAGCACTTTGGTAGGCCTAGACAGGTGGACCACCTGATGTCAGGAGTTCGAGGCCAACCTGGCCAACATGGTGAAACCCCATCTCTATTAAAAATACAAAAATTAGGTGGGCATGGTGGTGGGCACCTGTAATCACGGCTGCTCAGGACGCTAAGGCACGAGAATCGCTTGAACCTGGGAGGTGGAGGTTGCAGTGAGCCAAGATGGCGCCACTGCACTACAGCTTGGTTGACAGAGTGAGACTCCATCTTGGGGGGAAAAAATGGTCTGAAGAGTCTCAGTCCCTTCATGCAGAAGGGCCCTGCGGTTAGATATCTTTGGTGCATAATTTAGAGCACATTAGTACAACTAATTTACACTAAGCTGATTGTTATGTGTCTGTGTTAATTTATTGGTGATCTTTCCTATTTTCTATGTAGAATAATAAATGTTTGCTGTAACTGATAAAACTATGTAAATAATGTATTAAGCAAAACTTATTAATTTCCCTCACCTGTCCCTCTCCCATTGCCCACTGTCACATGGCGTCTCTCAAGTTAACCTTTTATTTTTTCACATATTTCTCTCTCTACATATAAGACAGATAGACAGGCAGATAGATACATAGATAGATAGATAGATAGATAGATAGATAGATAGATAGATAGATAGATCAATCTATCACCTGTACAGGAATATGGTTCTGTATTGGTTTTGGTATTATTGGCTTGTTTCTTGTTTAAGTTTTACATCATGGGCTTATTCATCCAAGTAAGCGTATGTGGACCCAATTCCTTTAGTAGCTGTAGCCATGATGCAGATTACCATATTCGTCCAGTCTTACATTGATGAATATTTTGGTGGCTTGCGTGTTTTTGCCAGTATGAATAGTACTGTAATAAACATGGTACATTTATTATTGCCTACTTGCATTTTATTTATATAATAGAGCTGTCACAGTATTGGTCAGAGATTTCACATATTTACAGTTTTATAAGCATTGCCAGCATGCTTTTCAAAATCGTTGTTGACCTTGGCCCTCAGTGCTCTCCCAGTCTGATTTTGAGGGAAAAAAGATTTCATTATTGTTTTAGTTCATATTCCCCTGACAAGGTTGACAGTATCTTTTCATAGGCTTTCTCATATTGTTTCTTTTGTTTTTTTCACTGTGAACTCCCATTAATATTATTTTCTGCTGTTTTATTGAGGTATTTATATCTTAAAAATTCAGTTTATGAGGCTTTAATATAATTTAATATATATTAATTTAATATAGTTGAAAGAAAAGAAAAATTATAGTTGCCTCACATGTTGTACAGATGCAAATTTACTTAATTCTTTGGGTTCATTAGGGTATAGCTATAGAACTGCATAAATAACATTCTTCAGAAAAATATATAAATATTGTTACAACTAAAATGAAGTATTTATTCATAAGCATCAGAGAATGAAGAGAAAAGGCAGGGCATTTATATTTTGAGGTAACTGTATATGTTGCTATCTTTTATATTAAGGGTGACCTTGCCTTTGTTTATTATTTTAAAGATCTTTGTTTCTTAAAAGTATTATTATTTAAATGGCTTGCAGAAAGAGATATTGATAAAAATTGATATAACTCTTCAATTCTTCTGTAGATAAAACTGCATTTTTAAAAATAATTATATTTCATGACCTAGTGTCTCTTCTCAAATTATCATCACCAGGCCATTTCAGAAATGTCGTAAAATATAAGTGAACACTAAAATCAAAAGGAAAAATATATATATATATATTCTTACTCAATCCACTTAAAATTCACCAAAAATGTCAACACTAATCAGGCCAAGTGATGCAATAAGTTTATCTTACTTTGTAATGTTTCCAGTTATGGCTAATCCTCATTTTTCCCAGAAAGGGAAAACGATAAAGTTAAATGATTACTGGAAAGATTTAGTATTGATAAGACCTGTACCAGATAAGAAAGAAAATAAATAGTCTGTACCTTGATGACTCAATCAGATTTTGCAAATTGACTTAAACTTCAAATTACTCCCCAGTAGCATCATTCATGAGATTTGTTTATGAAATTAGTGTATATTTTCAAATGTTTTTTCTTAGCTCATAGATATATACAAGCAGAAAACAAACTACATATAAGGATTCATGTAAGTTGGTGATAAAATTACCTCATCTTATTTGGAAACAGAATCTCTTCTAATTAAATTATTTTCTGCAAGGTTTGATTTGGTGTAATTCCTACCACCATGTAGCTGCTGGTAAAAGAGGGCAAACAAAAATTCATGAATTGAATTTTTAAGTATGAAAGGGATGTGGAACTTAGAACACCAAAAATCAAAATAAATGAAAGTCTTCATTTCTTCGTAATGCTATATTTCTTCAACATTTATCTAGTGCCTGTTCTGTGCCAGGGGAGACCAATTATTACAATACAGATGATATCTAAAACTCATAGAGATACTCTACGCCAGGCAAATTTTAACCAAAGTTAAATCTGACCTTTAAGACTAATAACATAAGGCTGATGCTCTTTGCTCTGCAGCTGTGGGAAAATTGACTATCAGTGTTTTTGTTTGTTTTGTTTTCATTTAAACCATTAAATGGTGACAAGGTGGGGAGAAGGAAAGTAAAAATGATAACGAGAAGGAAAGAATTCCAGTTATTCTACATTGACTATTTTGTGTTCATCAGAACAATAATCTTATCTGCAAAATAATCTGTTTTGAAAATTATGCATTTGTATTCCACATTCTGAAGTGCCCTTATTTTCAATTAAAATTACATTAAGTTACATTAAAATCTAAAACTTACTAAGTAATTTTAAATTAATTATATTTCTAACCAATATTGGTGAATAATTCACAGGTATAGAAACTGCCCTTCCCAATCCCGCCTTTTATGTCTCCTGGTCATTAGGTATAGCAATTAAAATTAAGTTAAATTTAGTGTAAGAAAAATATAATTATAAGGGCAATATGGCACAAGTATCACATAGTTCATTCCTAAGTTAAATATATGTAATTGGGAATTTTTGAACTTTGTAAGGTGTATTTTACTTGCATTAGTATAGATATGTGAGTTGAGACTGCTCATCAAAACAAAAAGCTCAAATTCCATGATATTCTATCTTACCACATTTTTTATGAGATTAAATGTAATTTTTAAAGTAAACTATAAATAAACCTTTCAAAAATAAACTCGACTTCTTCAAATTTGAGGAGAAATCTTGTGAATTTCCAGGTCATTGTATCAATAATTTGTCCAAGTAGTAATCAAGTGTTATCAAGTGTGAAATGCTCACTGATTAAAAGGTCATCAGAGATCAAAATGGTAGATGTTTCAGAAGTGTCATTGATCAAGAGAAAGTTTTCATCAAATGTTGTTAAAATGTAGTGACTTATTAAAGTTGCAACAAGTAATAATAATAAAATATTTTGAATTTTATTAGTCGTTGTGGGTATTTTGCAATTTGGGAAGGATTTTTTAAAAATCAGTCTTTTGAATACATATAGGAATACATAAATAAATTAAAATTTTAAAAAGAATACAAGTAGTCTTTTTGGTTGGCACAATATAGCAAATGATTTAGAATGGATTTTCTCTTTGAAATCGTTATTTTACTTTGAAGAATTTAGTCTACGGGCTAAGAGGATGTAGCTGAGAGAACACAGGGCTTTGCATCAGTGTACCTGGTTCTGAATTCTAACTACTCTAGTTTTTAGATATTTGGCATTGATAATTTTGAAAAAAAAAATCTGTTTTTAAAAATCTGTAATATGTTTCCACCCTGTAATAAGAAGGCAATAATTTCTACTTTGCAAATTGAGAAACATATGTAAAATAAGGTATTTGTATGTCAATTGGCTGGCATATAACAGATGCTCAATAAAAACAACTCATTACTCTTTTGTATACGGATTAAGATTCCTTTAAAATTTATTATAAAAAATGTGATTTTTTTAAAAGAAAAAATTAGAAAATACAAATTATTTAAGTATGACTTCTGTACAATAGAATATTATATAGGCATTAAAAGTCATGTAATAATAAATGGCATGAAAATATATTCATAATATATTTTTAGGTAAATAATTATATAAAATATATGTATAGTACAATCCCATCATCATAAAAAATTTATAAACATATACATATACTTGACAAGATTTGAACCAAAAAATGTTAATTATTATAATCTCTGGGTAAGAGGTAATTTTAAAAAAAAATTATTTTGATTTTCCAAATTATAATTTAAACATATATAATTTTTTCTAACAAGAAAACATAATAAATTTTATTCTTTCTAAAATCGGGCTTCTGAAATGTCATTTCCTACAATGTGCATTCTAGGGGGCATAACAGTTGGTTAATTTGGAAATACTATTTATTATTCTTGAAGTTATAGTGAATTGGGGTAACATGTGAAGCCAAACATTGTAATCCATTTTAAAGATTATTAAAAGAGCAAGACTGGAAATTACTCCCCAGTAACATCAATCCTTGGTATATTAATATAAGTTAGACAGAAGAATTTGTAACTATCCAGAGAGTACTGGAATCAAAAGCAATAAAGTCTGGTGGCTTATAAAAAATAAACCCAACCAGTCAAATTCAATAGATTATTTCCCCCAGTGGAATAACAGTATTATCAGATTACAAGAACAATGTTAAACAAAGCATGTGATGGGATAACTTATAAAGTTTGTTCATAGAATTGATTCAAAGTTGAAGTGGATGCAATCTGCTGCCTGACAAATTGAAGATGAAGAGTAATAATCCTTGAAAGGATTTTGAAGGATGAGCAGGTATTTGGTAAAACTAGCATGTATTCTAATTTAGAATACTCTGATTTTACATCTGGTTTGTGATCTAGAATTGGGTAATAACTAGTTCATTTTAAAAAGAAAAAAGTATACTAATTTGAAAATCCTTATAACTGACACAGGAAAAAAAAATTACCCATGCAAAGCCACTAATGTAAGGAGATTATTTAATGGGCTAAAATTTGTTATTTTGAAGAAGAAACAAGGAAAAGAGATCTTGAGGGGAAAAAATCTTAGCTATTCTTTAGAGAAAAGTAATAGCAGATAATAGGTTAAGTACCTTAAGAACCACACCTATATGGGCCCATCAATCCTCAGAGAGGCCCTGTGGGTTATATCTCTCCATTTCACAGATGACGACCTTGGAGAACAGAAACATATTAAATAATTGCCCCAAGGTCACGCATTAAGAGGCAGAGCCAAAATCTGGTTTACCTGGAATGCTTTCCTTACATCAGATTTCTATAACTTTTCACACTGTGCTGCAGCAATATGACACAGGTTGGCAGTCTGACTCACTATCCAACCTGCCCACTACTTCTCCAGTACAATTTAGAAGCCAAATTGATTGGGACAGCATGATTTAAGGAGTCTGACATTGAATTTGGATTTCAATCCTGGTTATCCCACATTCAAGATATGTGACCTTGGTCTAGCCATTTAATTGAAATCTGGTCTTAGTTATCATGTCCTTAAAATAAAGAGAATGGAATAAATTCTACTATTCTTTCCAAGTCTAATAGATGACCCTTGCCTCACAGCCAATATTCATATATCTTTAAGCAGCTTTTGAAATGTGTCATGAGAGTTCTGGGAAAGGTTTAAAAAGCAACATATATATTTTATATGTGTGTATATATATAAAATCTATCTATATATCAATCTCTCTATATATATATACACACACATATATATATCTCACAGAGTATCTCCTCAAGTTGTGCAAAAACTTCCAAGTTACCATAGTAAGAGAGGACCAAAGAGGAGGAGGATTCTGTTGTGTTTTGTTTTTGTTGTTCTTTTGTTTTTGGTAAGCGCTTTCTTATTCTGAAACATCTACTATGTGATTTTTTTCCCCAAAGGACAGTACTTTTAGCGCTATAATGAGGGGGAAAGAGAAGCCCGTATTTCAGAGAGTAGCAGTATTTTTCATGAGGTGTAACAGCTACTGAGGGTGAAATGTTCCGCTGGAGAGAAAATAAGGAAGAGGAACTTGCAAAGAAGAGTGTAGAGAGAAAGGAGAGAAGAACTTGCAAAGCAAAGGTCACCTCAGTTCTCTAGCACCTCTCTGCATAGTATTCTGTTCAAGTTTAAGATTCTCACTCATTCTTCAAAAGGGCTTGAGTATGAGGCGTAGCTGACATAAATGCCTGGCCCTCTTTCTTTGTTGTGAGGAGTGACAATCCCAGAGCAGCCGTGCCTCCCTTGGGCATGATCTCGCCCTCCAACTGTGAGCCCTGACTTCAATCAGGGGCCTCCACAAGCTCCTAATAAAGGAAGAGAGAGTCTAGGGAATGATTCCTTTCTATTTTACTTTTTTTTAATGCAAGTACAAATCCAGGGCTTTGAGGAAGAATAAAATGCAAGTTAAGCTAATTGTTCCTGTTGCTGTAAAGTTACAAAAAACTGTAGACTGAATCACCACGGGAATAAGTCAGAGAGATCCACAGACTTATTCCTGAAATTTGACTTTTGCATCCACTGGCTATTCGGAAGCTCATTTGACTGTAGCAATGTAATACTTTGGGCCTCCTAGTAGCATCACTATTAAAAAGCCATTCCTGGTCAGCACACTAAATTCACATTTCAAATATTATAGACATGCTGATAAGTGTTGCTTCCCTTTATTCTGGAAAGACTCATACTCCCATATGCTGTGACGAAAACAACATCATTGATTGACTCTATCCGCTCTCACACGTGATGTTTGGCTTAACAAATGTTTTTCTTGCATCTATTCCTTTAAGAAATCAGTTCTCTTCCTGTCTCCCTTCTGTCTGAATTTGCTAGGTGGAGAGGGGGGTGCCAGGAGTGCTGTGTCTGCCAACAGGTGGCCAGACACTAGATCAGTCTCTCTCAATCAGCAAGTCCCCATCTGCTAGTTGGAGTCTCCATGTGTTCATTCCGCTTATTACAGCAGCTGAGCCTCAAACTGGGTTCTTTGTGGGCTTCAGGCAGATGCTTAACAAGGTGAGCCAAAGGGAGCCTGGCCATTAGGAGCTGTGTTAAGACTGCCTCAGCTGGAACCTGTTTTTACCATGTTTTTCAAGTGCTTACCTACAGCTTCCCCTGACAGCTTTACCACAGGACTTCCTTGGGGGCATCAGCCAGACACAGTGATACTTGAAACTTCAAACAAAAATGCTTATGCTATGCTATTCTTTTTTTTTAGTCTTTGGACGTTATTTTGAATTCAAAAATGTTTTAGTAATTATCAACATCCTGGCTTAGGTATTACTGGTTTTGAAGAAGGGTCTTAGCAGGCAGACTTTAAAGATTATCACATTTTACCAAGGAGAGCCAATTTAAGTTCTGTGAGCTATTGTATGAAGAGCTAAAATCAGAAATTATACATCAGGGGGTTAGACTGTACATTAGTGGAAGTACAACCCAGGATGTGCTACATATTGGCTAACAATATCATTTTCAAGGAAGTCTGATGGACAAGACGGTTTAAGGAAGAGAAATCCACATTTTGTAAAGGGCTTGGTGCAGGCTAGCCTGTGCCAACCAATAAAATAATGATCTAAATTGCTTTCATCTTTTATCTCAGGTTCAGACATTTTCCTAAAATGGATTTACATTTTTAAAATGCTCTTTGAACATATTTTATTGCTTTCATTTTCTATTCCTATTCTGTTCACATTTGAGTAGTACTGTAGGTGGAGTAAAACAGTGGGGTGAAGAACCCATTTCTATAGAAAATAATCCTTAGAAATTCTTTACATGGGATCTGATAGAGCAAGAGTCTGATAACCTGCAAAGAGCTGAATGGGCCCAAGTTGTGTTATTTCACAGAATAAGCAGAAAGGTCTGGTTGAGAGTGTGCATTAAATCAAAGCATTTTTATTTATTTGAGGTTGGAAGTCTGTTGAAGCCCCCCAACAGACACAAAGGCAAAACTGTCTCACGGAACTGTGGGCGAGCATTTGAAAAACATGTGAAGATCAATTTCCAGCTGAGTCAATTTTTGTCAAACATCATGTGGCTTAGCCAGTTTTGGCTTTCGTAGTAGAAGCTGAAGCCCACAGAGTCCAGCCTCAGTCTCAGCCACCATACTGTGCAAGAGACGGAGAAGAGGGAGTCTGGTCTCCAAATGGAACAGTCTTTTAATTGGCTGAGTGTGGACCAGGGTTTGGGCACAGAATGTCAGGCACATCCTCGCTGTCATCATCATTACTGATTCAAACTGCATTGAGGAGTACTGAGGAGCTGCCAAGAGAAGAAGCTGAGACGTCCACAGATTTGAATCACATCTGAACACCAGGGAGAAAAAGGAAAAAAAGAGCTTTGCTTGATAAACTACTGGAAAATGCTACTTTAACCCATTGAATGCCATGATACGTGCTTACTTGTCTACATTTGAAGGCTACCCCTTTTTGAATTTCTTGTCCAAGTCAGATGTTTCTGGCATTCTTGTTGTCCCTCCATCTCCAGCTACCTATTATACTAGTTGAAAATCAGTTTTTATGGGCACAATTTATGCCTGAAAATGATATTACTAATTGTAGTATTTATGAGTCAGAGGAAACGTTTGTTTCATTATTAAGGGTGATAAAAAAAGCTTGCCTAAATTATGCAGTTTTTTGATTCAGAAGGTTATCCTCAGAAATCATTGTACTCATAGATGGCTGCCTACACCCTGTGATCTAAGCTGAAATCCATACTCCCCACCCTGAATACTAAGCTTCATATTCTTCACTGGACAGAAGTGGTTTATTTGGGGAACCCCACAGTTTCCTGTGTATAAAGACTCCTTTTTGGCATGTAAATACTCCTAAAGGGGCCAGTCTTTACGTTATCATCTAATAGCCAATCCGGAATTACGAAACAATAACTTCAAGGCAAGAACCAGGTATAGTGTGGTGACTCCCAACGGGGGGTGTGGGGAGAAATGTGGTTGGGAACAGGAGATTATGGCACAGATTGGAAAAGTGGGAGGCTGCCCCAAACAAAGACCATTTGCTAAGGGTCCTCCTTTATTTTCATAATACAGAACATGGTATCATTGGGTTATGTATGCAGTGGTTTTTAAACAAGAGAGGACTTCAATGTTACCTGGAGCATGGCCCCCAAATTAAAATTTCCCGGGCCCTATCCCACACTGACTCGGAATTTCCAGGCACAGTGTCTGGGCCTGCTTGAATCTTTTGAAAATGCCTTCAGAAGGCTCAGAGACACATTTGCGGGTAAGGATAAGGGTTACAGCTGCTGGCTTAGGCCCTGTCTGAGAATCTCCTATGTCCTCCGTGGCTCTCCATGATTCCTGTTCCACTTGTCTTTTAATTAGATGTAAAAATTGAAGATGCAGGTAAAAGTTACCTCCATTTATTGCTCCATTGTTTGCCTTCATATTTTTCCGAGTCAGCGTATAAAGCCACATATTTTTTTCCTAAAGCTCAGAGGAAAAGAGAAGCTTTGTCTTACACTTTCACAGCAGCCAGGCCCATTACTTCTTTGTTCGGAAGCACATGCTATTTCACAGCCTTTCCAGCATTACATTCTGGTTTCCAGCCTCTCGAGCTAGACTATCCAGTTCAAAGCCAGACTCCACCATCTACCAACTTCATGACCTTGGAGAAAATTACTTAACTCTTCTGTATCTTGCTTTCCTTATCTATGAAATGTGGACACTAACCTCATTAGGTTGTTGTAGGGAAGGGTTATTACACACATAAAGATCTTAAGTTGGTGTCTGCCCACACTACTGTTTTTCTCACTGCACTCTTCAATGTAGATGGTGACTTTCCTATGGCATTTGAGAAGGTTGTCTATTTCCCTTTTGAAGGATTCTCTATTCCTCTAATTCATATGACACCACTCTATCCCAGCTCATCTCCCATCTTTCTCAGTATCTATTCCCAATGTTTTTGGAGGGAAGGGTTCTCCGCCTCCATTCACCCATCCAATATGGTATTTTTCAAGGTAACCTCATCAACTACCTAAATGGTAATGACCTTCTCATATCACCTGAATTTCAGAGGCAACTATCCATCTTACTAAGGAACGTCTGAAATTTTTATTCTTTCTGCTAACCCTGCTTCTATCCTGTATTTCAGTAAATAGTTGGTAGCTACAACGTTGGGGAATTACTACGAAATTATGATTTAAAAAAATCTGTAACTGTTCCCTCTGGAGTAGATAGTAGGACATAGAAATCACCCAGATTCCTAAAATATAATATATCTGCATTTATGAAAATAGTTTTTTTCCATTTTTTTTTAAATGTGGGAGAGACATGCTTCTAGTTCATTTAACACAGTAACAAGTCCATTACATGATGCTAAAATTACGGTGGACAAATTTTCATCTGATTCATCAAAAGTCTGGTTTCACCAACCCTTCGTCTTTCTGTAGGCTGGAGTATTTTTGGACAAATGCTGTTTAAACATCATCAACTGAGGTTTTATATTTAGTTCAAGTAGCTTACCCCTATAACTAATTTCTGCTTGCAGTCGATCCGCAGAAATATCAGTAAGAAACACACACACAGATTTCACCAGAAAATGATCGTGAGTAGCTTGGTAGAATTTGAAGAGGAAGGAAGAAAGATAGCCATAGAATTTTCCTCAGAAATTTTAAAATAAGGCACCCATTATTATGAGGCAGAAAATATTATACCCCTTGTAGCAGAAATGTATAAAATCATCTTAAACCGCATAGACTATAAGTTTAGTTGTAACTTGATTGACTACGGAAGTAACTAAAGAAAATAATTTGTCAATTATAAAATAGATTGAGAAGCAAAGGAAGCAGAGGAAAAATGGAAAAATGTCAAAGTGAGGAATCTTGGCATCACTGATCACATACTATTCAAAAAAGCAGAGCCTCAGCAGGCAGCCTAGAATATTTTATATTCTAGTTCCAATGGCAAAGCTGTGCCTAATGTGAGGATCAATGGTGGGGTTCTAGCCAAGGGCTTTAAGTATTCTGATACCTTTGGCAAGACCAACCCTATCAAAGATGGTTGTATCAGGCTATGTTTGCCTGAAGCTATTAAACATTCTATTATTTTAGTTCCACTTATTCTAATTCCAGATCAATAGTCTGATTTTCATTTGTGTTTTCTTCTATGGCAAGAGAATGATTTGGTCATGATACCACAAGGTTCCAGTTGCCTGAATTAAATCTTTTGTTTTGAATTAATGTTTGAATTACGATTGGTCTTCCTGTAAGTGTGTGCCCACAGAGAAATGCACCAATCCTGTAGACTTTCATTATGCATCACAAAACTATCACTCTGATACACTGGATAAACTTCGCTCGGGTTTAGCATCTCTCACCTGACTATTATAGCCTTCCAGCTTCTTGTCTGTGGTCTTACATCCTTTAATCCATCATCCACAATGCTTTCAGATGACCTTCATATGCAAATCTTGTCATTTTATGTACTTGCTTAAATTCCTTTAATGTCTCCCCGCTGCCTACAGAATAAAGTTTAAATTGCTTAGCTGGGCTCAAGGCTCTTCCTGATCCATCTATTGCTTACGTTTTCAGTTTTATCTATTGAGATAATGCCCACATCATCATAGTTGTCTTACATGGAGGTCCTCAAATAGATTCTGCTTTTCACAACTCCATGCTTTGAGAGTACGGTTCCTACTGCTAGAATTGGCCTTCCTTCTTTTCTGCCTGCCTAAAATCAAATCAGTGTTCTAGTCTTATTGTGATAGTTCAGACTACTATCAAGTGTTTCTTGAATATACCACTATAAGAATATTAGTTTTTCCACTTCTGTGATGTATGTACATAATTATTATAGAACCTATAATGTTTAATTGCACTTATTACTGTATATACCTGCCTTTATTAGACTATAATCTCACTGAGTTTAGTGACTATGTCTTCTTCATCTTTATAGTCTCATACCTATCATAATATTTGGTCTATGATAGGCACTTAGTATTTGTTGACTGATTAAATAACTAAGGTGGTTGGCAATTAGATCTTGAAATTAAAAAAAATTAACCTTTATTAAGTGCTTACTATAAGCCAAGGGCAACACTGAATCCATTGTAATTAATTGACGAATTAATCTCTAGATTATCTTGGAGGAGAATAGAGGGGGAAAATAAGTGCAGTGAATAAAAATTCTAATAATATAATCAACTTTGGAAATCTAGTAAACTGAAATAAACACTAACAAGAATAGCAATAAATTTAATTAAGTGAAATCAATGTTTAAGCTATATAAATTGTTCAGATTCATGATTCTGTAATTAGCAGTTATGTTTATCTTATCACCACTAAAGAATCTCTTTCCATATAAATAATATTTAAAACATTCTATGAAAAACACACAGGGAGAGATAGAGAGAGAGAGTGAGAGAGAGAATGAGAGAGTGAGAGCAAAACAAAAAGATGTTTAAGAAAAACCATTAAAAGTGAATTTCTTTTGTCAATATGCTCTAGCCTGGCAATTATTTTTAATAAAATCATAATTTTTTAAATGACATTAAGTTTTCTTTTGGTTTCTGCGCATTTGTATGTAAGTTTCAGTTCTCCTATTTTTTAAAATAATTTTTAAGGGCCTCTCTGCCTGTCTCCTTGGCATTATGAATGCTCCTGAGAGCACTTTGGATGATAAGAAGTGCTGCAAACTGCAGGTGAATGGGCCTTAGAATTGCACAAACAGCAAATGAAAGCATTTTATAATAACAAAGATAGAGACCAGGGAGTCCTTATGAATATGTTATTAAGCACCTGCACTCTAGTTCTTCAACTGGAGCCGTTTGAAAAGAAAGGATGCTAACTTTTGGCCAGAACTGAAGTCTGTAGAGACATTGTGTTTGTTTGTTTTTGTAAAATTGAATTAATTTAAATTATAACCATTGAAATATGGTGCTTTCCCTCAACAGCCATTTGAATATTGAAAATCTTATAGTATAGCTAATCCTACTCCAGCTATATACCATTGTAAGTAGGAAGAGTTTGTCCTTGGAGAAGCTTTAAAAATCATTTTCTCCCCTATGCTTGGAGGGTTTTGTTTCATTTTGTTTTTTGTTTGTTTGTTTGTTTGTTTGTTTGTTTGAAAATGATACATCTGAAAGACAAAGCCAGACACAAAAATAGAAAGACAGATCTGTTGGGATGTAATATTCAGAAGAAGGGGTGTGGAAAGGAAATATAGATGGCATGGCATAAGAGATGAATAAGTAAAACAGTTAGAGGTCAGCATGGAGAAATCACTGAGGGAAGACCCTAAAGGGGGACTTGCCCGGTCTCATTAGGCCCACAAGGAAAGCCCGGGTAAGAGATTACGAAGAGTTTTGTCAACAGGATTCACACATTTTCCAATAGAAGATGGAACTATAAGCAAATCAAGGCAAAGATTTGAGTAAGATCAGCAGCAAACATGTTTTTTTTTTGGGAGGGGGGAGGGATAGGCTGTTTCAAAGCTTAAGAACTGCAATTTATAGAGAACATTGACTGAGAGCCCTCCATTACTGCCCAGTGGAAGATAGAAGTAAAATGTGATCACTGTTACTAATCTATTTAGAATTTCATATAGCAAGGTATTCAGTGAGGTAGAACTTTTTTCTCTTCTGCAGAGCTTTATTTATGGTGGGGTGGGTACATGTGGATATTATATTTAGAAATCTTAATTTCCATTCTTCCGAACATCCAAGAATTTTAGAAACCTAGCAAGAGCAGCATGTCAGCTTGATCTAGACTTAGCTGCTGACTCAGAAGGCCAAGATGGTGCTTAAACATAGGAGCTGTTTGAAAAAAAGGTATGCTAACTTTTGGCTGGAATCAAGGTCAGTAGAGAAACTCTGTTTGTTCTTTGTAAAATTAACTTGCATTAAATTATGTGATGGTTGAAACAGATGATAGTTATACATGAGCTTCTTTCTCAAGTCAAAGACTGAAAGGGAACAGGGCAACTGGGTTTGTGATGCTGGAGACACTGGGAACAATTCTCACCCACTCTCTCTAGGGGCAGGTTGTTCCCAGAAAGAATAGAGGCTAAGTGACTTAAACGGCAGACCCTTGGAAACCCAGACTAAATTGGTGTGGATTTCTCAGGCTGAGAATAAAATTGCCACTTTCTCTTCATAATGGCTCTGGATGGGCTTGTAATATGCATCTGTGGCCACAGAAGTGAATGAAGCTCCTGGATGCTATCATGGGTTGAACTGTGTCCCTCCAACAAGACATGTTGAAGTCTGAAGAAGCCCTGGTACTTGTGAATATAACCTTATTTAAAAATAGTGTTATTGCAGATGTAATTAAGATGAGGTCATTCGAGTTGACCCTAATTCAGTATGACCAGTGCCCTTATAAGAAGAGAGAAATTTGGACACAGAGACACATAAATATGAGAACATCATGTGAAGACACAGAGACAGGTGGAAGATGGCCACATGAAGCTAGTGGCCGAGACTCAAAGTATGCTGTCACAAGCCAAGGTGTGCTTGGGGCTACCAGAACAGTGAGACAGTACATTCTGTTAAGCCACCCAATGTGTAGTGGCTTAAACAGCAGCTCTAGAAAAGCAACGCAGATGCCAACCTCATCACAGTGCCAACAGCAAGTCACTACAGTGGCAGCAGAGATAAGCAGATGATCATCTTTGAACTTTGAACTTCCCAGGAGTCATTTGCATCACCTTTTCTCAGGTTGGTAGCAGTTAAGGCATCTCCCTTCTTCAAAGGGGACTCATAAATTCCAGTGACTTCAGGGGATATCTTGCAATTATCATAAGAAGGGATGACCCCCAAACAGGAGAGAAACATTCTTTCTAATGAAGACTTATGAGACGCAGAATAGTAAGTGCAGCTTAGAAAGGGAACTTAGATTTCCTCTGGCCTCTCAGAGTGATGAAGTCTGCAATAAAATCATACCAAAGGCCAGTCTTCTCTTAGGTAGGAAGAAAACCATGTTCTCCCTTTGGTGGGTAGACTTTTCTAAATGTGGAAGTCGGGCCAGGCACGGTGGTTCACACCTGTAATCCCAACACTTTGGGAGGCTTAGGCAGGTGGATCATGAGGTGAGGAATTTGAGACCAGCCTGGCCAACATGGTGAAACCCTGTCTCTACTAAAAACACAAAAATTAGCTAGGCATGGTGGCACATGCCTGTAATCCCAGCTACTTGGGAGGCCAAGGCAGGAGAATTGCTTGAACCTGGGAAGTGGAGGTTGCAGTGAGCCAAGATCACGCCACTGCACTCCAGGCTGGACAACAGAGCAAAACTCTGTCTCAGAAAAAGCAAACAAACAACAAAAAAGCGGAAGTTGCCTACAGCCCAGTGCTGACTTACAAAAGACTTGGTGCTTACTAGCATACAGAGCTTCTTAAACAAGAGCTGCAGAGAAATCCTCATCAGGAGACTGGAGGAGGCATTCTTAAAATACAAAACAGTTTTCAAGTTCAAGAAATATAATAAATTATTGCCTTCAGGGAAAAAAACTGCATTGTAATTGCATATAATTATGTCAGCTCAGATTGATCTTGTTTACCCCATCATGTTAGAGATAGGAAAACTAAGGGGCATGGGATTACACAATTTTTTGGCAACCTGAGATTTTGCCTCTTGCTTTCTCACACTCACAGAATAGTGGATTGCTTGTAAATCATGTTAGGTAGAGCTCTTCTGGCTGATGCAAGTGTTGCTCCAGTTATTGATATTGGTGCATATTAAGCATCCTCAGAAATGCTTTTTTCTTCCAGTGTTTCACTAAGACTTCTTAGTAGGGAACACCTATCTTAAAATCTCATTTCTTTTTAGTTTCCATAGAAGCCCTACTGTTTTGAGTCATCATGATAGAGTATTTGCTGTCCTATCAATATATCTGAACTAGCCACGTCTTTAATCTAGTTTTAAAATTCAGTTAGAAGAACTGTTGTAATTGCTCCATTTTACTCGTTGATCCTCTCTTGCTGAGCCACATGCAATCTCCAGGAAAAAAAAAAATTGTGCTGTGCACAATATTATCCACAGATCAGTACTACCTATCATAGTATGCTTCAGGAAATAGAAAGCTACACTCTGTACATATGAGAACATTACAGATTTCTATAATATTAGCCCATATATTTAATAGTTATAAAAATTAAAGAAAAAAATTACATCATGCCTAAGCCCGACTCTTATACAAATGGACTATTTTTATTTCTGTATCTCCTTCTCTCCCAATAGAGAAATACTTTCAACTTTCACAAAAATCTAAATGCTGTAATCATCAGGTAACATCAGAAAACTTATTTGTAAGACACACACATACACAATGCAGTGCTCCATGTACAGCTGCACAGTTGAACAGGTTATACACTGTACAATTCCAGAATTATGTCATTCTCATTAGAGTCCCTGAAAATGGTATCGCTTTCTGTTGAACAGCATGCGACAAGTAAGTAGGATACATTGGCCCCGTGATATACATATATGAACAAAAAAGGAGAAAACACAGATGAATCTTATCTTTGTTTAGAATTGACACAAATTCATGATACACCTTTGAAGTTAGTTTAAGTTAGTTTAAATATCAGTTTTCATGGTTAAAGTTAGATTTAATTAGAAAATCCATTCCCAACCAGGATAAGTAGACTTGATCGTTTTGTGTTTTGTCGCTTGATAAGCAGTCTCTTTCGTATAAAACTGCTAAATGGCTACAGCTGTAAAGATGTCTAAAGAAAAATATTGACCTTCTCACCTCAGTTATATTCAATCTTATTCAAATTGCATGTGATTAGGAAATGCCCACATTTGTAAAAAAGCAAGAATAAAATATGTAAAAGGCAACAGGGTCTGCTTTAATATTTTTTCAGTTTGAAATAAACAATTACAACATAGGATTGTTATTACACATATATCCACACAGACACATTGCAAAATATTTTATTCAACACTAACGTATGTACACTCACATAAAGCAGGAATGTAAATGAACATTTACTTCCTACTCAGAGTTCTAAGGAGCAACAAAAGCAAAAAGCTAAAATATGTTACCCTGATGCAAAATGGAGAAAATAAAAACCTTAGGGGAAGATTAAATTAACCTTAAAAATATTAATGGTGTTTGAAGGTAACAATAAAGTTTTAAAGTTTGTTTTTTATTCTGTTATCCTCTTTTTCTTTAAGTGCTAATCAGATCAATAATCTCCTGGGAGGTTGGCAGTACAGTGCTTACTCTACTTTGCTAAACATTTCATTAAACAAAACCTCAAGAAGTACTGAAAAACCAAACAATACTTAAACCCAAAATAAATAAATGAATAAATAAGCACACAAAGATACATCTCTACAAGAAGAAAAATGGGGATTCGTGATCTTATTTCAGAAGACGAACACCTGGATATTGTTTTGTAAAAAAAGACAGTGTCGTGCAGGGAGTCAGAAGTGGTTTTCAATTCTGTTTCTTGTCTCTACTACCACTTTGACTCCCAGCAAATAGCTTAGTCTACCTCTACTTCCATTTCTTCATCTGAAAAATGAGGTCAAATATTGTCTTCACTTGCGAAGTTGTTTAAAGAACTAAACTAATAATAGAAAGAAAGTTGTTAGCATAATTAGATATTATCTACTGGTTGTTTTTTTTTTTTTGCCACCATTAATATAAAAGCTTTGATCAATACCAATGAATAAAAGATATGCAACAGTTTCTTTAAAATAAGGTATTCACCCACATGCATGGACTCAGCCAAATCCATATTGTTCACCCTGAAATATCTTTTTCTGACTGCTGAGCAAACCATATGCCTTTTCCTCCTCAAAGCATAGTTCAAGACTTATTTTCTTTATGATATCTGTCCAGATTAAATACTATATATCAAATCATTATGACAACATTCCTAGAAGTTACATGATGAGATAACTTTTAAAATGTACCACAAATCAATGTTGAAAAGAGGTAAGATAGAATAATAAAGAAAAAATAAAACAAAAATTAATAAGAGGTTTGCGAATCCTTGGAAGAGGGAATTTTAGCTACTCAAAACCATCATTGTTTCATTAAGTGATAATAGATCAATCTAATGCTATCTCCATTTTGATAGCATAATTGCACCTCTAGATCATAGACGTGACAAATTTTGTTATATTTTTATTTCAATAAGATATTCAATAAATTCTCCTGTGTAATCTTTATCACAAGGTTAATAAACATTGGCTAGCAGCTTACAATGGCAGGGGGCCTCCCAAGTAGGTGCACTTAATGGTTTTACACTTTAGTCTAATCAGTGTAATATACTTATTAATAACATGGTTGGGAATATAGAAAATATGCTAATCAAATGTGCAAATAACACTGGGGCAAAAGCCAGTGTACTTAATAATATAATTGTAACTTTTAACATTATTTTTAATTTTTGTGGGTACATAGTAGGTATATATTTTGTCAGTTACAAGAGATATTTTGATATAGGCATGCAATGTGTAATAATCACGAGGGTAAACAGGGCATCCATTACCTCAAGAATTCATCCTTTGTGTTACAAACTGTCCAATTATACTCTTTCAGTTATTTAAAAATATACACATAAATTATTTTTTACTATAGTCGCCCTGTTCTGCTACCAAATACGAGGTCTTATTCATTCTTTCTAGCAATTGCTAAGTGACAGAATTGTGGCTGTGGACTCTGAAGGCATTGGAGACGTTCTGTTAACATAGATACCATGCCACCAGCTAGAGCACTGGCCTCGGAAGCCTCTGGCTCTTAATCCACAAGTCTGCATGGAGCAAATCAGATTGAAAATGTGGAGGATGTCCATGTTTTTTTCCTTTTTTGTACCCATTAACCATCCTCATCCCCCTACCCCCCAACCCACTACTCTCTCTAGTTTCTGGTAAACCAGCCTTCTACTTTCTACCTCCGTGAGTTCAATTGTTAAAATGTTTAGGTCCCAGAAATATGTGAGAAAATGTGAAGCTTGTCTTTTTGCGCCTGCCTTATTTCACTTAACCTAATAATTGCCAGTTCCATCCATGCTGCAAATGACAGGATCTCATTCTCTCTTTATGGCTGAATAGTACTCCATGGTGTATAAGTGCCACATGTTCTTTATCAACTCATCTGTTGATGGACACTGAGGTTGCTTCCAAATCTTGGCCATTTTAAATAGTGTTGTAATAAACACAGGCGTGCAGTTATCTCTTCAGTATACTGATTTCCTTTTTTTTTTTTTTTTTTTTTTTTTTTTTTAGTATATATCTAGGAGTAGGATTACTAGACATTACTGGAGAATATGGTAGCTCTAATTTTAGTTTTTTTGAGGAGCCTCCAAACTGTTCTATAAAGTGGTTCTACAAATTTACATTCCTACCAATAGTGTACAAGCATTCCCTTTTCTCCACTTCCTTGCCAGCATTTGTTATTGCCTGTCTTTTGCATAAAATGCATTTTAACTGGTGAGATATCTTATTGTAGTTTTGATTTGCATTTCTCTGATGATCAGTGGTATTGAGCACCTTTTCATATTCCTGTTTGCCATTTGTATGTCTTCTTTTGAGAAGTGTCTATACAGATCTTTTGCCCATTTTTAAATCAGATTATTAGTTTATTTTATTTAGTTGTTTGAGTTCCTTACATATTCTGGTTATTAATCTCGTCAGATGGGTAGTTTGCCAATAATTTCTCCCATTCTGTAGTTTACCTCTTCACTTTGTTAATTATTTCCTTTGCTCTGCAGAAGCTTTTTAACTTGATATGATCTTCTTTGTCCATTTTTGCTTTGGTCTCCTGTGCTTGTGGGATATTGCGCAAGAAATCTTTGACAACTCCAATATCCTGGGGAGTTTCTCCATTGCTTTCTTTCAGTAGTCTCATGGTTTGAGATCTTAGATTTAAGTCTTTAATACATTTTGATTTGATTTTGTATATGGCAAATGATAGGCGTCTAGCTTCATTCTTCTGCATATGAATATCCAGTTTTCCCTGCAACATTGATTGAAGAGACTGTCCTTTCCCTAATGTATGTTCTTGACACCTTTGTCAAAAATGAGTTCACTGTAGATGTCTGGATTTATTTATGTTTTCTATATTCTGTTCCACTGGTCTATGTGTCTGTTTTTATGCCAGTACCATGCCATCGTAGTTACTATAGCTCTGTAGTATAACTTGAAGTCAGGTAATGTGATTCCTCCAGTTTTTTTTTTCTTTCTTTCTTTTTTTTTTTTTTGAGAAGGAGTCTTGCTCTGTTGCCTAGGCTGGAGTGTAGTGGTGCAATCTCGACTCACTGACACGGCCGCCTCCCAGGTTAAAGCAATTCTCCTGCCTCAGCCTCTCGAGTAGCTGGGATTACAGGCACATGACACCATGCCCCGCTAATTTTTTTGTCTTTTTAGTAGAGGCAGGGTATCATCATTTTGGCCAGGCTGGTCTCGAACTCCTGACCTCAGGTGATTCACCCACCTCAGCCTCCCAAAGTGCTGGGATTAGAGGTATGAGCCACCACGCCTGGCCTCCAGTTCTGTCCTTAGCATTTGCTCAGTAAAGCTTTAGCTATTTTGAGTCTTTTGTGATTCCATATACATTTTAGGATTTTTTTTTGATTTCTGTGAAGAATGTCATTGGTATTTTGCTGGGAATTGATTGAATCTGTAGATTGCTTTGGGTAGTATGGACATTTTAACAATATTGTTTCTTCAAATCCATGACATGGAATATCTTCCCACTTTTTGGTGTCCTCTTCAGTTTCTAGAATGATATTTGATAGTTTTCATTGTACAAGCTTTCATTTCTCTGGTTAAACTAATTCTAGTTATTTTATTTGCAGCTATTATAAAGGGATTAATTTCTTGATTTCTTTTTCAAATTATTCATTGTTGGCATATAGAAATGTTACTGATTTTTGTATGTTGATTTTGTATCCTGCAACTTTACTGAATTTAACAGTTCTAACAGTTTTTCGGTGGTCCTTAGGTCTTTCCAAATATAAGATCATATCATCTGCAAACAAAGATAATTTGACTTCTTCCATTCAACTGTGGATGCCCCTTATTTCTTTTGCTTGGATGATTGTTATAGCTATGTGGGAGGATTGTTATCATGAAGGGATGTTGAATTTTATCAAATGCTGTTTCAACATTAATTGAAATAATCATATGGTGTTTGTCCTTCATTCTGTTGACATGATTATCACACCGATTAATTTACAAATGTTGAATCACCCTTGTATCCTTGGGATAAACCCACTTGGCCATGATGAATTATCTTTGTAATGTGTTGTTGAATTAGATTTGTTAGGATTTTGTTGAGGATTTTTGCATGAATATTCATCAGAAATATTGGTCTGTAGTTTTCTCTTTAATGTGTCTTTGTCTGCTTTTGGTATCAGGGTAACACTGGCCTCCTAGAATGAGTTTGGAAGTAAGTATTCTCTCCTCTGCTTTTTTCTTTTTTTTTTTTTTCTTTTTTTTTTTTTTTTGATTAGTTTGAGTAGAGTTGCTACTGGTTTTGCTTTAAATGTTTGGTAGAATTCAGCAATGATGCCACTGGGTCCCAGGCTTTTCTTTGCTGGAAAACTTTTTATTGTGGGTTTAATGTTATTACTTGTTACTGGTCTGTTCAATAGCAAGCAACAACACTAAAGCCGTAATAAAATGTTCTGGTTTTGGAGTTTCTCATGGCTCAATCTTGGTATGTTGCACGTGTCTAGGAATTTCTGCATTTTTTCTAGATTTCTCCAATTTGTTGGCATAAAGTTGATCATAGTGCCCACTAAGGATCCTTTTAGTTTCTGTGGTGTCAGTTGTAATGCCTCTTTTTTCATCTTTTAATTTATTTATTTAGGTTTTGTCTCTTTTTTTCTTAGTCTGGCTAAAGCTTTGTCAGTTTTGTTTATTTTTCCAATAAACCAACTTTTTGTTTGATTCTTTATATTGTTTTATTTCAATTTCATTTATTTCTACTCTGATCTTTATTATTTCTTTTCTTCTATTTATTTTCAGTTTAGTTTGCTCTGGCTTTTCTAGTTTTTTAAGATGCCTCATTATTTATTTGGAGTTTTTCTTCTGTCCTGATTTAGGCACCATAGCCATAAACTTCTTTTTTAGTACTGCTTTCAGTGTATCCCATAGATTTTAGTATGTTGTGCTTTCATTGTCATTTGTTTCAAGAAATTTTTCAGTTTTTTTCTTTTTTCATTGATCTACTTGTCATTCAGGAGCATACTGTTTAACTTCCATGTGTTTGTATAGTTTCCAAAATTCCTATTATTCCTCTAGTTATATTCCACTGTGATCAGAGAAAATGCTTGCTATTATTTTATTTTTATTTTTTGGAATGTTTTATGACTTGTTGTGTGGCCTAACATATGGTCTATTCTTGAGAATGATCCATGTGCTGAGGTAAAGAATGTGTATTCTGCAGTCATTGGATAAAATGCTTTGTAAATATCTATTAGGTCCATTTGGTCTACAGTGCAGATTACACCCAATGTTTCTTTGCTGATTTTCTCTCTGGAAAAATCTATCTGTCCAATGCTGAAAGTGGGGTGAAGTCACAAGCTATTATCTCTCTCTCTAGCTCTAATAATATTTGCTATTTTGAATTTTCTGTCTAAAAGGTCATACATCTCTGTCTCTCCGGGATTGGACTCTAGTGCCTTATTTAGTTCGTTTGGTGAGGTCATGTTTTCCTGGATGGTCTTGATGCTTGTGCATGTTCATTGTTGTTTGGGCATTGAAGAGTTAGGTATTTATTGTAGTCTTCACAGTCTGGGCTTGTTTGTACCCATCCTTCTTGGGAAGGCTTTTCAGGTATTCAAAAGCACTTGGGTATTGTGATCTAAGCCGTATTTGCATTAAAGCACATCTTAAGCCCAGTAATACTGTAGTTGTTGTTGACTCGTAGAGGTACTACTTGGTGATCTTGGAAAATATCTACAAGAATTCTGTGGATTACCAGGCAGAGACCCTAGTTCTTTTCTCTTACTTTCTCCCAAACAAATGGAGCCTCTTTGTCTGTGCTAAGCTGCCTGGAGCCAGGGATGGGATGACATAAACACCCCTGTGACCACCACTAATGAGACTGCTCTGAGTCTGACCTGAAGCCAGTATAGCACTGGGTCTCACCCAAGGCCCACTATAACCACTACCTGGCTACCACCTATGTTCAAGACCCCAGGGCTCTACAATCAGCAAGTGGCAAAGTCAGCTAGACTCCTGTCTTTCCCTTTATGGCAGTGAATTCCCCCATGCCCCAAGTGGGTCTTTCCAGGAGCCAGGGACTGAAGTGAAAAATATTAGAAATCTACCGGCATGCTCTATTTTACTGCATCTGAGCTGGAACTTAAACTACAAGATGCAGTCCTTCCTACTCTTCCCTCCCCCTTCCACTGGCAGAGGAGCCTCACCCTATGGCCACCACCACCACAGGTCCATAAGGAATACTGCCAGACTACCACTGATGTTCACTTCAGGCCCAGGGCCTCTTTAGTCAGTTTGTGGTGAATGCTGCCAGGCCTGGAACTCTCCATTCAGGGCAGTGAGCTTCCTTCTGGCCCAGGGCAAGTCCAGAAATGCCATCCAAGAGTCAAGGCCTGGAACTGGGTACTCCAAGATCCTGCTTGGTGCCCTCCCCAACTGTGGTTAATTTAGTAGCTAAGGTACAAGGCAAATACTGCTTTATTTTTCCTTCAGCTTTTCTCAAGCAGAAGAAGTCTCTCACTATAGCCACCACAGCTGGCAATATGCTGGGTCTCACCTGGAGCCAGAAAGTCTCAGAGTCTCACCCAAGGCCCATGGTATACTACTTGGATATTGCTGCTGGTTATTCAAGGCCCAAGGGATCTTTAGTCAGCAGGTGACGTATTCCGCAAGGACTGGGTCCTTTCCTTCATGGCAGCAGGTTCCCTTCTGGCCCAGGGTGTTTCTAAAAATGGTTTCTGGGAGCTAGGAATCCCCACTCATCAAAGAGGACTTCAATGCAAGACAAAGTCCTCTTTACTCTTCTCCCTCCTCTCCCCAAGAGGAAGGAAGGGTCTCTTTTGGAGTCAGGAGCTGCGTTCCCTGGGGTTGGGGAAGGGGTAGTACAAGCACTCCCTTAGCCACCTCCATTTGTGTCTCAGTAGGTAGCGTGCCCCCAAGTCCACTGGCTCCAAGCCCAGCTCAGCACTAGGACATGTCTAGGGGTTGTAGTCTTTATGGCCTAGACTGCCTTTCAAGTTTATTTAAGGTCTTGGAGCAATTTAGCCCACAGTGACGGGGCTTGCTGGAACTCATATTCAGACTGCTGGGATGGGCGATTCCTCTCTGGCTAGAGCTCATCTAAATGCTCCCTGTGTGGATGGGTGCTGGCTGAGTTCAGCCCAGTTTTGCTTTCAGCTGTGACAGGGCAGCACTGAGTTCAAAGCAGTATCTCACAATCACTGTGCTGTCCCTCTCCCTAGCACACAGATTCTCTCCATGCCACGTGGCTGCTGCTGGGAGATGGGAGAGGGGTGGCATCCTCAGATCAAGATGGTCTTTTCTAACCTCTTCAGTGCTGCTTTCAGACACATGAAGTTAAAACCAGGTACTGTGAGTGCACACCTGATTTTTGGTTTCTATGCAGAAAAAAAAAACACCTTCACAAGATATAGATAGTTGTTAAATTTGGTGTTCCTGTCCAGGGGCATGGGATAGGCCATCTTGCTCCACCCCCATTTTGAATTATAACTTTAAAAAATGCCAATAAACTAAACTTAAAAGCCCAAAATAAGATTAAATGTCATATTAATACCCTTATGGTATTAGGTGATATTACCTATGTGGTATTAATATCCTTAAGGTGTGGCCGCTAAAATACATATAGATGCAAGTGATATTCCCTCAATGCTTGCAAATAACAATGACTCTAACGGCATCAGAGTTTGCTTAAAAGCATCGAAAATAATTTTGATGAGCGTCCTTCATGTTAAAAAAAATCTGAAAAGCCAAAGATTTGTAAAAGTCTATCCCAAGGAAGGGAAACCTCTTCCCCTTATTTGTCCTTGGCACAGCTGAGTCAGGCTAGAATATTACAAACGATTTTATTAAATAATAAGTGGAACCAAAATTGACTGGAGAGAATATTCTTTTAAAAACCACACAAACAGAATCCTTAAGATCAATTACCACAAGTTGATATGGGGTCAAAGAAAACTACATCCTAAATCCAGAAACCACTTGCACAAAGCTTTTGAGCTGCATTACATATTACACTGAAATGTTAAAACCGGTCTAAAAGCCCAGCTCCACAAATTCAGCAAAAATGTTTTATTCAATTTAATATTTTGTGGTAGATAAAATGAATGTTTTGGAAGATTATGTAAGAAAATGAAAAATGCTCAGGTAGTAATATCAATTTGGGTAGTAAACTGTACATGTGACTATGATTACAACTCTGCAAATATGTGATCTTTTAAAAGAAGCTTGCTAGCTTGACATGGTGGCATGCACCTGTAGTCCTAGCTACTCAGGAGGCTGAGGCAGGAGGACTGCTTGGGCCCAGGACTTTGAAGCTGCAGTGTGCTATGATATCCCGACTGTACTGGGTGACAGAGCGAGACTCTAAATAAATAAATAAATCTAATTAGATTAAATAAGCCTTCTAAAATCACTTTAAAGGTAATATTACAAGACCTTGATAACATTGTGTTTGGGTAATAGGCAAGGAATGATTTATTTCTTCATTTGCTTTTATGAATTTTCTAAATTCTCCTTAATAATTAGATAATAACAACTCAAATTTATTAATGACTATCACATGTATGGTATTTGTTGTTCTTCTTGCATTATCTCACCTAATTCAAGGCAAAGAGATTGTGAAGCAGTTAGTCCTATTATCCATTTTTATAGATGAAGATAAGGAGAGGCATGAAACAATCTAGATTAATGACTCTGAGAATTCACTAGTAGTACCCAGTTGGGGCCTATGATTCAAAATGTGGCAGTTTACTTATAAGGTCCAAACTCTTAATCATCCTAAACTATGAAAGGATGCACAACATAGTCCAGTTTACAAATTATAAAATTTGATTACACCAAAGCTAATTTATAATCTTAATGTCCATATGCCCTACATTTTATAGGCTGAGATAACTAGCAACTTATTGCCAAGGTACTAGTACAATTCTAGCAGTGTGACCTTGGGTAAATTATGTAATATCAATGAGTAGTAATTCCTCATCTAAAAGTAAAAATAACATGTATTTTATAGAATTTTTGTGATGATTAGAAATCATATATATAAAAGGCCTAGATTAATGACTATAAGCATTCATCATTATTGTTGTTGTTAAGTTGTATGGGAAAAATATTTTATCTCTAACCCTAAATATATTTTCTAGCACAAGTTTCCCAATTTAATTGTTTCTCTATTATAGGACACGGATGGAAGATAATAAGTGTAGCTTCTTCCTCTGGGCAAGCGCTCATTATCAAGTGCCTCTGGGCAAGGCACTACATCTGAACACAGCCAGATATAGATGGTCTGTGACAGAAGAAACCTGATGGTCTTACTGAACTCACCCCAGGTACTGTGCTTTTGATATTATTCTATAGTGTAGTCTTTATAATTTGGTTTTCTGTAGCATCCCTGGAACAAGTTCATATGTGCTGGTGTGAGTTTCATTTTGCATGTGCTGCTTTATCATGAACATGGAAGATATACTAGGTTTCTGTGGTAGAAACACTCTGGCCTCTTCCAAAGCAGAAGGCTCTGGGCTGTAGACCTTCAAATAGACGCAAACATGCAAAGCTTTTAAAAGCTCTGACTTCTGGGAATGGAACAAATTGCTGAAATCACTTCTGCCTTGATCCAACAATTCATTATCTCCCAGAAACAGTGGCTTTTATAGCTGCTAAGGGGCTGCTATACTCTTCTAGAAAGAAGGAATAGTCTCAATACAGACATGAATTTTCAAGCCCTTTATTAAAATCTTCAGACTTAATTTTATTTGTCTAAATCTGTAATCAATCTAAGAATGGGATGGAGATATTTTTATAAAACGAATTTAGAAAATAACTAATTTTATTTTACATGAAACAAAATTGGCCCTTTATAATAAACTCCCCAAATATTCCAGAGAAAGAATTATATTTTTATTCCCTCATTATACAGATGGGAAATTATCAAAATGAATATTAAAATCTTGATTCCTATTCATGCTTGATATGGAAAACAAGACCTTGTAAACTTTTAATATTTTCTAATAGACAAGTGTGTAATAATTTACTAAGGGCACCCTATTGTCCTAGATTTATTTTGAGTCTCTTTATTGACGTAATCAGATTAATTTAAGAATGAAAATTAACCCCAACTTTAGAGACAGAAACAACACAAGTCAAGAGTGCTGTCTGATTTGCCTGAGGCCTGTTTTCACCCAGGAAAGAAATGGCACTATTGGTGATTATTTAGTAGGTAAATAACTATAGGTCATGTCTGAATCTAATGATAGGAATACTTTCATCAAACCTAAACTTGAATGATACCATTACACAAAAATGGGGACCAGGAAAAGAGTTCAGTATCTTGATTTTTAAGACATGTTTATATATCTTCAATTAGTGTCTACACAGGGCAATTTTATTTAGATTAGTTAGGTAAGGGGAGAAGGCATGAGAGGATACTAAGGAGAATAGAACTGAGTCAGATTAAAGAAGAATGGAGTCTATGAAGAGAGCTCTGGTCCATATACATATGTATGTAACAGGGAAATGGTTAACTAAATGAGGCTCTAAATTATGAACCTCCTGTGAGGTATGGCTTTACTTGCTGTAAAATATCCTGGGGATTGAAGGTGATAATAATGCCTGGATGCTTGAAACACCCATCACTATCTGAACCAGGAAGTAGTTAGGTGATACTTTTCACTGCTATAAAGATATGAAATGGAGCTTCCCTGCAACAGCAGGATCTTGAACTAGTAACCGGAAGGAAGCTAAGCATTGGCAAACTAAAGACCAGTTTAGCAAATCAATAGCCAGTGAGTGCTCAGTGAGGGGATGATAATGTCTTTATGGTTTTTACTGATTCTGAGGAGCAGCTATACATGTCTGGTATATTTCTCAGTAGAGATATATAGTGTTAATTACCAATTTCCAGAGCGAAGCACCATCTCCTTTCATGGAATCCCCAAATGTATAACAACTTGAGGAGGTCTTCATTGGGAACTTCTTTTCTCTAACTTTGATGTTCACACTCAGGCCAAGGGAAAGATACCCCAGATCCACCTGTGATAATTGCCCTTCTATTTCTAGAAAGATGCTTTTGATTAAAAGTAAGTTTCAGGTGACATCAGCAATCTCTGTACTTTCAAGCTATTTCTTATTCTCTGACTGAAGCTGGATATTAATTCCCAGTCCAATTTACATAGCTTCTTCCCTCTGAAACCAAAAGGAAAAGAAAAGAAAAAAAAGCTTCTCATCTCTTCTTGTCCTTGGACTCCACCGCTAGTCCTTTCTTCAAGCCTTTCAAGCATTAGTCAGTATTTTATTACTGTATTCACACCTCAAAAGAAAAAACAAAAAGAAAACCTGCATGCATTCTCAAAACACCATAAATTTCCTCTTCTTCTATTTGATTATAATGAATAAAGCAATGGGTCTGTCAGATAAACATGATTATATTAGTTTTTTTATTGAAACAGTGAAGCTTTTAAAATTATGTTGTATGATGGTACCCAAAATGAGAATAATGTTAGGAATTTTAGGATTCTCCTTTTATCTATATTCTTTATAGAAAATGTAAAAGAAAAATCAGTGTCATTGAAAAAGATTCATTAGAAAGACAGAATTCATGGATCAAAATAAAAATAGATTTATTGAGCTGAAAAGAGTAGGCAGCATTTTCAAACTTTTTGAATGAATTTCATGATAAAACCTTTACAGTATGTATCTCCTTGCTCCAGGAATTATTACATTTTAGTATACTCATTAATCTCAAGATTATTCACCAGTTATTAAAATTTTAAACATTTAAGTATATATATAAAAAGGATACTATTTTTAACTCTCCCTTTCTGCAGAGAAAAAAAAGCTTTATTTATTTTTGTATTTCTATTCAAAAGAATAGAAGATATACTGGAGGAAAAAGTTAACAAATAAAACACATCAGGAAATAAACTCAATATACTGTCTTTGGGTTCCTTTATTTAGAAATTAAATCAATAAAGGTATTGGTGAATGTATTACACAGTTACTGTTTGAATTTGTAGAATTTAAAAATTTCAGAAAAAAAGCCAATTCTGGAAAATACAACTGAATAACTATGTTTAAAATATTAAAAATGAAATTTAAAAAGAATGCTATGAATTCATCTTTACTGTAGTTTTTTTAAAATCTTAAGATATTTTTGGATCAGTGAAGTCAGAATATGTTGTATGCCAAAATAAATGTGTTGTGATAAAAAATTTACCAACTTCAGGAAGGCATATAGAATATCTCCAAGGCCTGGAGGTTATGAGTGACAACTGTGCTGATTGGAAGTCTGCTTCATAAACTAGTAAGCAGAGCAAACTAGTCATGGCAGAACTTAAATCTAACTATATCACAAGAAGGATTCTCTGTCTTTGTCCCCACCTCACTCCAAAGCATTTTCATGGTCAATTACTCCTGAACAGACTATCCAGAAGAGGAAAATACATAAACAACCTATTTATTCAAAGCTCATCTCAAAAACAAACATAAATAATTTAAGAAGAGAAAAAGGATTTAAATGTGTGCTAGAAAGCATCTAAGCATGGTATTTTCATAGCCTTGAAAATTAAGAATATAATAGTTTCATATTTTCATATCTAGTATGACTGATTTTTTTTTATTTTAAGAGCAGTTTCTTGTGTGTGCTTTTAAATTGTTTCAAATTAACTTTTATATTTAGAACATGGTCATCTCTGTTCCAACATTTTCAAACACCACAATAAACAGCAATCTTTGTAACGGATTAAAACGGGCTTTATAAATTTAGAAAAATCTAAATTACAGATTATGACTTTTCCCAATATACATTAATCACAGTGAAAATGAAATTTAGCTGGTATTTTATATGTAATAGAGGACTATAATTTGTTTTTATACTAGTACTAGTCTTGACCTAAGTATTTACAAATCAATACTAATTTTATATTTAATGGCATCTATAAATGTCTTTATGCAGGAAGTTTAATTTTCTGTGCTGTAGTTACAAATGCATTTTTAAGTACACGGAGAATTTTAAATGGGCAGAAGAGAATTTAAAGGTGCTATTTACATAAATGTAAAAGCCCCTAAAGTGGAGAAATCTCTCATAAGGAATTTCAAACATTTGCTTGACTCTGGAGGCCTGGCATACTAAGGAATTAGGATTCCTCCTAAGAATTACACATCTGAAGGCTGTCCTGAAAGACTTTCCATACTCGATGATGCTCTTTTGGGTACCACTACCTAGATGCACATTTAGCTTATTTTCTTCCTCACTATCCACTAACTCCTGTGGTCTGCTTAGGGCTCTGCCAAAACCGGTGGTTCTCAAAGGTAGCCATGGATTGGAATGACCTGGGTAGCTTTTAAGAACTCACTGTTCAGATCACACTTCAAACCAAATAAATCAAAATCTTGGGTGGTGTGTGTGTGTGTGTGTGTTTATAGTTGTGGTGATGGTAAGGAGGGTGGGGAGGCGAGGTGGGTCAGCCATCAGTATTTAAAAAAATATCCAGCCTGGGCAACATGGAGAAACCCTGTCTCCACAAAAGCACAAAAAATTAGCTGGTTTTGGTGGTGCATGCCTGTGGTCCCTGCGACTTGCTTGGGAGGCTGAGATGGGAGGATCACTTGAGCCCGGGAGGTTGAGCCTACAATGAGTCGTGATCATGCCACTGAACTCCAGCCTGGGTGACAGACTGAGACCCTGTCTCAGAAAAAAAAAAAAAAAATTATGCTGGGTGCGGTGGCTCGAACACCTGTAATCCCAGCACATTGGGAGGCCGAGGCAGGTGGATCACCTGAGGTCAGGAGTTCAAGACCAGCCTAACCAACATGGAAAAATGCCTTCTGTATTAAAAATATAAAATTAGCTGGGCATGGTGGCATATGCCTGTAATCCCAGCTACTCGGGAGGCTGAGGCAGGAGAATCGCTTGAACCTGGGAGGGGGAGGTTGCGGTGAGCCCAGATTGCACCATTGCACTCCAGCCTGGGCAACAAGAGCCAAACACACACACTCTCTCTCTCTCTCCATATATATATATATATATATCCCAGATGATTCCCATGTGCAGCCAAACTTCAGTATCACAGCCATAGACGTTTTATTTTCCTTTGTTTTTATTTCTCCTGTTCCAGTTGTATTCTCCACCAAATCTATAACCTGCTTCATGTTCTCATCTGTAGCCACAATGGGCCCACCAGTTTGTACCTAAATGCTCACGCTGTCCACTCCCGAGGGTGTGCGTATTAGACTTGGCTGGCCATTGCTTATTAGGCCCATAAGAACAGCTGACTTCCTTCTCACTGGATTTATTTTCTTTGTACGAATGGAATGCTATAGCCTGGTAGCTTGCCTTTCTTTCACTATTTCCCTCTCTAGCCATTTCCCACACAGTAGCCTGATTCACATTTTTATATGAAAACAACATCAAGTCACTTCGTTATTGAAACCTCTCCAATGACTTTCCACCAAGATCTCAATTCGACAGCACTGCATAGGATACTTTCTCCGATCTACTGGCTAAAGTTGCCCCTCAGTGCAATTACACTATATAAAATCACCCTATTTTCTTCATAGTACTTTTCCTTAAATAAATATTTTTTACTCACTTTGCTTGGGTTTTTTTGGTCTCATCAATAGAATTTCAGGTACCGTGTCCAGCTCATTTATCTTGTAACCCTAATACCCAGGAGTGTACATGCACACAGTAGATATTTTAACTGATATTTGCCAAATGGAAGAAGTCACTCTGATTTCAGACTTCCCCATACCAGGTCATAGCTATCTAGTTGTAGCTGCACTAGCATGCCCTGTACTATTGAAAACATAGTTATCTGTTGGTCATCAGAGAATATGTCCAGAATTCTTCTGCTTCTCATTCTTATCCATGCATGCAAAATAAGAAACTTAATTCATAAGGCATATCCCTAGAGTCTTCCTGAGAATCTCATTTCTTGCAGACTGTCCTCAGGCTCTCTCATTTTTGACCTCTAACATTTCTACGGCAATGAAAAAAAAAATCCTTGGACAGATTGCTTTCCATTAGCATGGATAATTGAGAGTTAACAAGGCACTATTATTTTTCCAGGTGAGCAAGTTACTCACTTTAAGTAATTTTAAAAATATTACAGATTTGGAAATGCATGGATTATTTTAGTCAGCAGTGTATAATTCAAGAAATCAATATTTCAGGGAATGGATTGATATCTAGACAAGTAGAAGACATTTATGTATTTCTTAAAATACCTACTTACCAATGCATAATAATACCATATTTAGTGTAAGTTTAGAACGCCATTCAGTGGCAACCAACATATAGGTATGTGTATGCAAATTGGTTTCAGTATAAAACTCCCTCCTTGTCCTTTAAACATATTCCTGTTGACGCAGTTTACCAAAGTTTCTCCAGAGATATGGAGCCAAAATAACTGTCCCTCCCTTTAGTGGTGCTAAATATGACCTCTTAACCCAATAGCTGTGACCAAATTGGACTAGACGAAAATGTCAGTAACTCAACCATGCAATTGCCTTTTTTCCTCCTAGCTATTCAGATTTAATAGGGATGAAACTTAAACTAATAAATTATGAAATCATATATCTTGACAGATGATATGATAAATATTCTAGGAGGTGTTTGATTCCAATTTTAAGGCTAGTAGGATTTCCTCCAAAATATCTAATTTCCAGGAATAAATGAATAGTTCCTAAAGAAGATTTGGATTATTTTGATATAAGATAACCCATACCAAACTCTGCTATCCTCTTATATATATATAAAAGGAAAAACAGCAGAGGGTAGGTAAACTGTCCCTCATTTCAAATTAGTGCAATGGTTGCAATAGGATCATTCCTCATATTGGGAATTATAATTTCTCATTTCTGAAAGGAAACTTTTAGAGGAAAGCAACCATAGTGAAGAAGATTCTGAGAGTTTAATTCATGTAGTTTTAAAATATCACATGGTAAAACACCATAAATTGCTTTAAAAGGCAAATGATAAACAGGCAAAATATTATTAGAGACTGTCTAAAAGATATGGAAGTTAGAATCCCTAATGTACAATAGGTTCTTATAAACCAATATCATAATATTCCAATTTACATACCCCAATTGAAAATCATCAAAAACCTTAAATCAAAAGAAATACACATAGACCACATACCTATGAGGAAAAAAATTAGCTTAAACTAATAATCAAAAAAGGCAAATTAATACAACCATATGTTACTAGTTCAAATATCATAATGGCAAAAATGAAAATAAATACTTTAATATTACTACTCAGTCTTGGCAAGGCTATAGAGAAAAATCATGTTTACTGCTAAAGAGGTCACGAGGTAAAAACCTTTTGGAGGGCAACAAGTCAGCAATATGTTTAATAATGTTAAAATGCTATAATTTTTAAACTACAAATGTTATTAAGATTTTATTTTAAGGTAATATGGAAGTATATACAAAAGGATGTTGTACAAGAATGTTAACTTCAGAACTTTTCATAATAATAAAAATTGCAACAAATTGGAATATCCAGATATATGTAACTGGCTGAATAACCCCTACTCTACCTATAGGGTAGAATCCAGAGTGCAAGCTGAAGTGTAGATTTATATATTTACTGACTCTTTAGTAATTTAACAATCTGGGAAATCACATAGGTCTAAACTTTAAAAAAGGTAAATACAGCATATACTCTACCATTATTTTTAAAATATATAAAATAGTGTTGTTCACACAAATAGGTTTGCACAGAAAAAAGATAAAGTAAACAAAAGTAGACGTATATGACATTTAAATTTTTATTCATGACTTTTCTCCATGTTATTTATAATTGGAACAAATAGCTATTAGTCAACAAAACCTATCACCTCCCAAATTCCCTATTAATTATTGTCTCCCTCTTACCTTCTTCTGCATCCCTTTTGCCAGAAACTTCAAGATTATTAATGTTTCCACAAATGTCAAGTGTTTTAATCAGTATGTTGATATTTGAAAACAAGTTTAGCTGAATTATTAAATTGTGGCCGTTTAAGTTATGTTCTGTTTTCCTAACAACCCAACCAGCCAGCTTTCCCCAATAGAAGGGTTCTTGACTTTAATGAGTTCAAATTAAATGATTTGACCAGCACCATGCAATTGAAAAATATATTGAATTCAACAGGAATTAAGTCCAATTTCCCAAAAACATTCATCCAGGACTTATTATTTGAGGGTTAAGTTTCAATTTATTTAACTAAATCAAGTTGCAATAAGAAAGGTTATAAGCTTAAAATATTTTATTAACTCTTAAATCATGATTAAATCTCTCAAATTACACACACACACACACACACACACACACACACACACACAATCTTATGCCAAATAACATTTGAAACATTGTTGGAAAACATAGAGAATGGAGGTCCCATAAGATTAGAATACTGCATTTTTACTGTATCTTTTTATATTTAGACATGTTCCCATACACAAATACTTACATTGTGTTACAGCTGCCTACAGTGTTCAGTACAGTAACATGCTGTCTAGGTTCATACCCTAGGAGCAATAGGCTATACCATATAGCCTAGGTATGTAGTGGGGTATACCATCTAGGTTTGTGTAAGCGTACTCTATGATGTTTCCACAGTGATGAAATCAACACATTTCTCACAACATATTCTTGTTATTGAGTGACACATAACTGTATATACATATATAAAAATATATATCTATACACACATACACATATGCAAATACACACAAATATGTAGTCATTTCTCAGTGTGAATGGAATAAGAAAACTATTATTTTTGCCTTTAGAAGCATTATCTTTAAATGCTTCTAAAGGTTTAATATTTGTACATTTTCTAGCCTTGATTTTATAAATACAAACCTGTAAGTTATGTCACATAACCTTCATACTCATTAAATGATAGATGAAAAGCAGCAACAATTAGCAGTAGAAATTTTTTTAAGTCCACTTAATTTAAAAAATAATTTTTGAATACTCTTCTTATCGATTTCAAATAAAAATCACTTACAAGTCATTGGTAATTTGATGCCACATTTCACATGACCTAGAACCTTGCTATTCTGACTGGTTCCCTTATTAGTACCATTCCTAGCTCCTGGGAGCTTGTGTGAGAGATGCACAATCTCAGGCCTCATCTCTTTCCTACTGAATCAGAATCTGCATTTTATAAGATCCTTAGAAGAATTATATGCACACTAATGTTTGAGTAATACAAAATGAGAGGAAGAAATAATGATGATAATAAATAAAATTTAAGATCCATAAGTGCATAAGCTTTTGTGCATTTATTGGTTGAGGAGTAATCAAACTATAACTAATTTTTTTTGAGACAATCTTGCTCTGTCACCCAGGATGGAATGCAGTGGTATGATCATAGTTCACTGCAACCTCAAACTCCTGCCTCAATCTCCCAAATAGCCGGGACTACAGGTGCATGCCAATATGTCCAGCTAATTTTTAATTTTTTTTTATAGAGATGGGGGTCTCACTACATTGCCCAGGCTGATCTCATACTCCTGGGCTCAAGTGATCCTCCCACACTGGCCTCTCAAAATGCTGGGATCACTGGTGTGAGCCACTACACCTAGCCTCTTTAACTAATTCTAACTCAGTTTTTCTTCCTAAACAGAGCCCCATAGCTTATTAATTCAGCGTTTTTCCAGCCTTTGCAAGATACAGCAGAAATAACAATGGTGAATGCAAAAAACTTAATAGGAAAAATTCAAGAAGATAAATTTTGAGGTGGACTTAACCTTGTCTAGAACCAGAAAACAGACAAAACAGGTTATGCGTAGCTGCATTTACAAATTATGCAAATTCGACAGCTGTAGTTTATGCAAATCATATGTAGGCCCCTTAAGTGTATCATTAACCTACATGAGTTGCTTGGGAATTCCATACACAGAGAGGAGCAAAATTTATCTTTTCTCTTCCCCCCACTCCAAATATCATAGGAGTATTAAATTTGTAACAACTTAATATGCTTTATTGTATTTTTTCAGATAAAAACATCACATACTGCTTTGTATAATCCAATTTATTAATTCATGCTATTTTGGCCTCAGTAATTCTTATCATTTCAGTATTGCATATAAAAATCTCACAGTTGGGTAGAACATTCAATGTTGAATGTCAAAATGTATTTTTTATTTAACTAAATCTTAAGTTCTGCATGAGTCCATTCTAAACGTCATTTATGTGTCAATAAATAAAATATATACATATATATGTACTGAATAGCTAACATGCTCAAAGTATTATGAATAATACATAAAGAATGGGATAAAACATAGGAAATTAATAGGTAATCACTAAACAAAATCTTGAACAAAACTCAATAATGATTTAACAAGGTATGTATTTACTTAGAGTATTGATTGCTTGTTACAATCTAGATAACTCTACTAGGCACAGGATATATAAAAATGGGACAAAAAGGAAAACTCTTGCCATTAGGAAATTTATACTCTAGTGCAAAGTAAATTTTTGTTTTATTTGATGTTTAACTTTTGTTTTTATTCAGTTATACTTTCCTTTTATTTCTATGTGATCATTAAAAAGTGTCTCATTTAAAATATTTTGAAGAAAAGTACTAAATACTCCTTAGTTAATTAATTGTAAAGGAGTGCTGATAAAATTATTCTGTCCTTCAAATTTCAATCTAGAAAACCAAAGTATATTTTCATGAATCAAATGTTCAAATAGTAAGATTTAAGACAATCCTCTGTTGTGGAAAGCCAAATCATGATTTTTAAACACGTTGATAAAAATAAAAGGAGAAGGCTTTGGGAAAAAAATGCAAAAGTCATTCAAAGAAATGTATCATCACTCTAAAAAATGACAAAAAATAAAGTCCTCTGAAAAATGTTTTCAATCCCCAGTAGAATGAAAGAATCTATAGACTATAGACTTTTGGACCACAGAAAGCCATGACATAAAAAGAGACTGAGATAAAAAGTTCATATGAACAGATGGAAAGTAGTAAGAATAAAATTACAAAGAATACAAGGAAGCTCTAAACTCATTTGCAGAATGATAGAACTCATTTGCCCTGATAGAAGGGCAACATTTATTATATTGCATAATGACAAAATAACGATACAAAGGAAAACCTTGAGATGTGCTATTAGAATGCAGAGTCAAGAGTGGTAAGATGAAAAATAAATTGAGGAAGTAGATGATAGATGACAGCTATGAAATATAGGGATAGGGAATGCAACTTGTGGATCATTAGCATTTTTAAAGAAATGATTAAGCATATTAGAAAGTGGAAATATTCAAAGATATAATAGAAGAATATTTATCAAAACTTTACCAAAATAAATCTGTGATTAAAAGAGCCTAACATGTTATACGCTAAATCATTGAACAGATAACCAGTCTTAGACGTACCATGGGAAGTATCAGGAGAAAGAAAACTGTTTATCTCTAGATAGAAAAAATAAACAAGCAAATCAACAAGGTGGAAGAAAATATAATGGATGGTCTTTTAAAATATTATTGAGACTACAATTGAGAAAGATGTTTAGATCTTTGAGGGGGAGACATTGTCTGAGAACTTTAGAGGCAGCCACATTACATGTCAAAAGCAATGGAAAAATATACTTGAATATTGGCGAGGCACCTGTAATCCCAGCACTTTGGTAGGCCGAGGCGGGTAGATCACCTGAGGTCAGGAGTTTGAGAGCAGCCTGGCCAACATGGCGTAACCTGTCTCTACTAAAATACAAAAATTAGCCGGGCGTGGTTGCGTGCGTCTATAATCCCAGCTACTCGGGAGGCTGAGGCAGGAGAACCACTGCCTCAATGTCAAGTTGGCAACATCTATCACTACTTGTGGAAATTTACTTCCGTTTGATGTAGTAGTTCTACTTTTCAGAATTGTTTCAAAAACTATCATGTGTTAATGCAAAAATACATCTCTTGTAATGTTCATTATGAAATTGATAACCAAAACTGGAAAGAAACCCAGTCTTCATCCATAAGTTGTGAGTAAAATAAGTGATGGTACAACCATTTGATGGAATACTAAGACGATATGAAAAATGATGTGAAATGCTCATAAGTCATTGTTAAGTAAAAAAACACATCTTCATTAGGATTCATCTTATGTTTGTGTGAAAATGTCATAATAGATGTATTCATAAGTTATTAATGTTAATTTACAGATGGGTGATTACGAGTGACCTTTATTTTCTCAAACAAAAACATATTTGTTCAAAATATTTAAAGAAATTTATTATTTTATGGTATGTAAAACAAGCTGCTCAACAAAATGTTATTTTAAAAGAGCATTGAGACAGCATATATTTAGTGCAACTTATATACAACAATAAAGATGTATATTTTACTGGACTATACACTTAACAAAAGAAAGCAAAATCTTTTTAAGGTTGGGTCATGGATTGTTACAGAGTTTTCAATTTCAGAAATATTTTGTATTCATTGTTTCATACAAGAACACTACGTGATGGATTTATATTGGAAGCAAAAATAAGGACACTCAAAGAAAATCAACACAGTGCACAAAACTGTGAAGATTCTTACAGACGATGGCTAACATATTAGAGTCACTTGTAACATGGTGCTTTCATGGCCTTTACACACCATTTATCACATAAGAAAGATTATCCCAACTTTTAGAAAATTATTACTCTCCCCACTTTACTTTAGCAAAACATCTTTCAATTACCCTAAAAATGTTTAAGTTAGCTATATTTGTGGGCACATTTTCTGTTTAGCACCTCTGTTCTTTTATTATTTTATTTACGGAGTATGGGGTTGACAGACTGAGTGATCCTGAAATCTGTAACATGAGCATGTACGTTTTATAATGCTGAAATATTGCATAGGAATACAAGATGGTTAACCTCATTGTTAGGAAACACTCTTCATTAAGTTCAGTGATATTTGTGTTTCTGTAAAAAGAGATTGCTTATCTATTATCAGTTGATCCAATTTCTGGCACCTGAGTGAAAACTATTTTTTTTCCATTAAATCTGGTCAGTGTGTTTGGGAAGAAATTGCAGTACATTGCCCAGAGGTTCCAAAACTCTTTGTTCATATATCCTTTATTTAATGCCTCAGGAATTTTCCCTCAGCAATCCTAAGTCAAAAAAAAAAAATACATTGAAGTCTAGTTTATTATGTAGAAGTACAAATAACTTAATAAATATTTATATCAAGCAACATAGAAATCATTTGAAAAATAACACAAATACACTATAAGAAAAAAATTTTAATTTCTTCCACAATTAAAAATTTGCTTAAAAATAATGACAAAATAATGATACAAAGGAAAAGCTTGAGATGTGCTATTAGAAATTTAGAGGCAGCCACCAATACTTAAAAATTTATTTTACTTTTAAATTTTATTTTTATTTGCATACCTGTTGGACACTGAACAGCATCTCAATCCTTGGAATCTGACTGAATGCATCACTTTATTCCTAAGCCACATTTTCAGGCAGCCTGTGCTTTTTGTCATAAAAAAATGCCAAAAACCCAGCTTCAAAAAGATAAGATATCATCAAAAGGAATATGCAGGCCAATCTAATATTGAAACTGTGAACTACCTCAAGCTAGTAGTTTGCACTGTGTATGACATCTGTCTAGTATTGCTATGTTTTCCTTCAACATTTAAAATATCCCAGAGTATCTCATGAGTTTGCTCAGTGCTCCAGGATTCCATGGTACACAGACTGGAAATCATGGCTATCATCTGTATTCTAAGGTCATAAAATCAAACTCTCTGAAAAGAAGATTTTCACAGCAATCTTTTCTTCATGTCTAAAATGCTTTAATCAAGGTGTTTTCTTTATGGTTATTGTCTTTTTTTTTTCTTTTATATTTAGTTAAAAATAATTTGGTTATCCACTGATTGGGTGAAGCTGACACTATGAGAGAAAAAAGTAGGAAAAATAAATGACATTTTCTCTGTGAGATGATGTATTTTAGCAGCCTTTCAATTCCAATAAATTGGCCACTGTTGAGTATTTCAATAAGCAAAGACCATAGGGAGCAGGGAAAAAAAATGAATGATGCATAATGGATGATGCCACGGGAGAAGATGAAGATGAGGGAAAAGAAGAAAGTCCCTGTCCCCTCAAAAAGGGAGGGGTAAGCAAAAGATGAATTCATTTCTAGAGTTCTGCAGATACTTCCCATAGGAATGGTGACCAATTTTGTAGATGCTTTACATAGCATATTTAAAATGATAGATAAAATATAAAACATTAATCTGATAGTATAAAAATATGAAATAGTATAAAATATATGGAGGTTATATATATAATATATAGAAATTGTATATTTTTTTACTCCGTATAGTGTGAAAATGAGAAACAAGGCAGGAAGGATGTTGTAAGGGAGATAATGCAGCATGATAAGGTTTCAACACAAGTCTGAGGACGTCTCTCAGGTGAGATTGTATGTATACTGTTTGTCCTTGTGCATATATGCTGGGGGTTGAGGATAAGAAGGGTCATTACTTGCGTGACTATAGTGTTTTTCTTTAAGTTCTCTTCTCTAGAAATTCAGCTAATGGGACATATATAGAGAAAAATATTTAAAAGTTAGTAAATGGATTTATTTGTAACTGAGATAGGCTTCACAGGAATTTAGTTACCAGGTCACATCCCAATCTCTCTTTCTATATGAGGTTTGAAAATGTGAACTGCTATGCATAGCTTGGGCATTAGCCCCAAATTGCTATGACAATTAATGAACCAGCTACGTGTACTGACATCTTAGGTGCAAGTTGTAAAGCAAATTATCTGTGTATTCTGCTTGGCTAAATGTATATTTGTAGCCCTTTCATGCAATAGAATTCATGTTGTTGTGTATAAGAGAAGAACAAAACCGATAATAGGAGAAAATTGCCTTTCTGGATAGAAATATAGAATAGCCATGCTTATGATTATCACAAATAAAGAATTCAATTCTTTACATGATTGAGTGAGAGTATGTATAACCTGGTGGTGGGTGAGTTCAGAGTACCTTTAAACCTAGTATGCCCAACTTGATTTAATGTTACAATACAATATTTAACTTAAAAATTTGATTTAAATGTTGATGTTGAAAGCTCAAACCTATACTAAGAAATTTTCTGAAAGAGATTATTGGGCTTAAAATAAAAATATATATTTTTAAAAGTTAGTAAATATAGATTACATTAAAAAGAAGCTCTCAGGCTGAATGCTCCCCCGACAGTATAAAACTTTCAAAGAAGAAACAAAACAAAATCCTCAAAAAACAGAACACAAGTATCTCTATCTCAATTAAATTAATGTAGCCTTAATGACGGTCAGTGATGGTAAGTTTTTTGTTAATGTTTTGTTTGTTATGAAACTACGACATGATGGCCAGGTTTCAGTATGGTGTACAATTTTATATATTGCTGGTGTAAGAAAAATAGTGTTTTTATAATTTTGAGCAACCAATTTCAGAATATATCTTAAAGAAATAGTCAGATGCAGAAGATGTTCATTACAACACCAAATATAATTGCAAAAGTAACATTTTAAAAGCCAGAAGTTTAATATTAAAGATAAGAATATATAATGGTAAAACCATAGGAAGGAATATCTACATTTAGGCAAAATGATTTCAAGTATATAAAAAGTGAATATGCTTGATAATCCTGAAGGAAGAGAATAATATATCAACAATGGTAACCTCTGGGTGATGGTAATACAGATTATTGCAATTTGCTAATTCACACTTTTTCAGAAGTTTTGAAATTTTCCATGGCTAGCATGTATTACTTTTATAATAAGATAAAAGTTCTTAAATTAGTGTTCTGGACTGAATATGTCATCCGAAAATTCGGATGTTGAAGCCCTAACCTCTAATATGACAGTAATTAAGGACAGGACCTTTAAAGAGGTAATTAAGGTTAAATGAAGTCATAGGAATGGGGCTCTGTCTGACAAGATGGTGTCTTTTTTTTTTGAGACAGAGTTTTGCTCTCACGCCCAGGCTGGAGTGCAGTGGGGCGATCTCGGCTCACTGCAAGCTCCGCCTCCCGGGTTCACGCCATTCTCCTGCCTCAGCCTTCCAAGTAGCTGGGACTACAGGCGCCCGCCACCACATCCAGCTAATTTTTGTATTTTGTTTAGTAGAGACGGTGTTTCACCATGTTAGTCAGGATGGTCTTGATCTCCTGACCTCGTGATCCACCTGCCTCGGCCTCCCAAAGTGCTGGGATTACAGGCGTGAGCCACCGCGCCAGGCACAAGACAGTGTCTTTTTAAGAAGAGGAAGAAACACCAAAGATCTCTCCCATGTGCTCACAGAGAAAAGGTCACATGAGGACACAGCAAGAACACAGCCCTCTACAAGCCAAAAAGAGAGGCCTTGGTGGAACCCAACCCTGCTGACACCCTGATCTTGGATTTCCAGCTTCTAAAACTGTGAGACAATACATTTAGGACACTCAGTCTATGGAATTTTTTTTTATGGGAGCCTGAGCTTAATAATACAGTTTGTTTAACCAAAATGTTTATAACTATGATAGACAACGAAACCTTATAATGAACTTAAGTGAAAAAAAATTCACACACAAAATAGTGTGCATACTTATAACGCAACAAGATCAAGAGCACAAATATATAACAGAAAATATTTTATCAGATCAGTTTCCTATTTTTTCTGTTTTCCCATACTGTTTGTTTTATCTATAATATTATTTTTTAAATTGGTGCCAGAGGATAACTAATATTATTGAAGCTGGCTGCAAGCTGTCCAAATCCTATTGACGATGATAAAATGAGTTTCTTGGGAAAGCTCTTTAGTAATAAGACATGAGTCCTGCCTGAAAGAATGAGGCCAAGGCTGCCATTTCATACAAACAAACAAACAAACAAACAGGGAAAGAATTCGCAAGTAGGTTTTTCTTCACAAGTGGCAAAAATAATTTAGTATAACCTGAGAGAAGCAGAGATCCGTAAACAGTGTAAATGGTTAATAATCAGCCTGACAAGAACAAGACAATACATTTAAGATATTTTAAAATAAATCATCCAAGTTTTAAAAACAATAGAGCTAAAAGCAGAATTATAATCTTCTGAATATTTTATGTTCTCAGGTATTAACATTGTTTTAGATAAAAGGTTTTTCATTCATAAATAGCTAGCTTAGTTTTTTTTTCACTTATAGGTATTGTCTCAAACTTTCTCAGTTTAATTCAGAAACAATTTATCAAGCTTAATTGAGGCCAGATTGCTCAATCTTGGCTTCCAAAGCACCTGGAACCTGCTGACAGCAAGTAGTAGCAATACCAACAGAGACCAGGTAAAATTCTAAGTGATATCTGGAAAAAAAATTAGCTAAATTTCATAACACATCCCTGAAACTAATTAAAAGTGAAATAATGGATATATCTGACATTTTGGCAGAAGAGTTGCCATTTTGCCCGGAAAGAAACTTCTACACACATAAACCCTTTTTCAGCACCATCCAAGCTGTTCAGTTTCAAAGGGAGCAAAGGTCGCTTATAGAGCATCTTGTCTTCAGGTGGAATTTATAACTGATGATTCCTTTTTCTCCTTATTTCAGTGATTCTCAGCAATAGCATCTCCTCAGAACTTGTTACAAATACAAATTATTGAACTCTACCTCTGACTTCGAAACTCAAAAACTCTGGGGTTAGGGTCCAGCACTTTCCAGATGATTCTGCTGTACATTCAAGTTTATGATGTACCGAGTTAATGTCATTTTCAGGGAGCCAAATATCTACTGTAAAAGGAGCACGTGAAAAAAATCACCCCATTGCTTTTGTTTCCTCTCCATTTCTATACCATGCCCTCAGTTGCTTATTGATTTCTTTTTTACATTTATAAGCACAAAATTAAACTATGGGTAATTAGCTGGAGCTGTTTTTTAAGAATAGAAAGGATTGTCAAGAAATAATAAGAAAATATTAGAGAAGTATAGATTTTCAGGCAGCTTAAACATGGTCAGACTACTTGAAGATAAGAAAAATAGGAAAAACCTAGGATAAGCAGCAGATTTGGGTGAAATTGATTGTACAAATTTCAATGGATAGGATACAAAAACGTGTCATCTGTGTGTTCCAGATTGTGTGAAATCTCCAATGATTCTCTGGTCACACAACAAGCTGCTCTGTAACAGACGCTACCTTTCAATGGGTGCAGCTGCATTTTCAAGGCTAGTATCTTATTACAGCTAATGTCCTCATCACTAAAAGTCATTTGAAGTGGTTAGCTTAGAAGGATCTGAGCAGAAAGCAGGAACTAGCTTTCTAGAGCACTTTATTTAAAACTCATCTTCATGGCAAAAATGATAGCAGTCTTTCAGTTTCTCTTCAAGAGTCCTCAAGAGCAGAGACACTTCTCTCCAACAGAAAATGGAGAGAGGCAAATCAAAACTAATGCACAATAGGATGGAGGAAAGTGCCTTTATGAAGACCTGCTTGGATGATTACAAGAGGCTTCAATCATGGCACAGAAAATCCTTTTGGCTCTGTGTGAATGTCTTTCCCATCTTTCTGTCTTTCTTTTCTCCAATAGTAGGAAAGTCATTATCCGTCTCTTCTACAATTTCTTTTAACCATATAGCAACTACCATGACAACAGGAAGGCTTATAGCCTTGTACATATGCTATGTTTGATCCTCCTGTCCAACCTATCCCAATTGTTTGAACCTCATAGAGAGGGGAAGAAAATAAACCCCTCTAATACAGTTTGATTAATAATTTACCTCTTTGCACAAATCTTATACAAAAGGAGAGAACATAACAATTTTTTATTATTCTTAGTTGGACTTTACCTAAAAGAAAATAATGGACAGAAAATCTCCTAGAGATAGGCTATAGAAATAATAAAGCTTTCAGGCAAAAAGCCGTGATAGAACAAAGAATGTCATGCACCCAACAGTAAACAACCCACCAGCTTTTGACTCAGGGAGAAAACTGACCACAGGAATCTGGGGGAATCCATGTCTTCATCCTTTAGTATCTGGCTAGATGGTGAAGGAAAGCTATGCAAGGAAAGTATAAGGAGCTAAAGTATTAAGCAAAGTTGCATGAGTCACCATTTTTATTTTAAGAGATAGCTTACATAAGCACTTCCATTCAAAAACCTGTGGATTCTGTCTGCAGCCACTTCTTAACCAAGCAGGAGAAAGCATGTAATTACTAAAGTTATTGGATAGGTTCAGGTCAAATTATCTATGTCGCTTAACTCTCCTCAAGTGAATTCATATTTTTATCTTCTCTTAGGACTTATACATTTGTCAGATTTGATGAATAGACCGTTCATTTCTTTCCCTCAGGAGTTGCAGTACTTTCTATCCTGCTCTTAATTTTATAGCTTTATTCTATCACTCACTCTTTCCCTCAGGTTGCTAAATATAAAATAAAGAGTTGTATGCTGAGATTCTGAGAATGGTCTGTTTGGATAACAGTGTGAGTTCAATATATGGACAGGCAAGTCTGACATTAAACTCATAGCCTGTGGGAGCCAGAGAATTGAGAAAACATATTTTCCCCTATTTCAAGTTCAATCCACAGGAGCAAGAAAATTAAACAGAAATTTCACTCTCTGGGTGCAAATACCTCACATTTTTCTGTTCCATGGCAATTTGCATTGAATCAAAAGAAGCTAATTTGTTAAACTTCTGTGGGGCCCAAACTGGCACATGTTCAGTAATCATTTGCATGGCTGGTTATTCTGTTCACAAAATCAAAAGAAGACAATAACCCACAAGCCGGGAAACCATGAAAAAGAAGAATCTGGGGGACAATATAACTTTCTGATCTTCTTGAGATGCTTATCCCAGTATATTATGAAAGCTAGTTGTAAATAATCCAATAAATATCAAATTAAATATCCTCAGGATGTAAGGAGCCTCAAAATAAGATCGTGTGCATTGTGTCAATGACAAGTTTCACAACTTCCTACATAATGAAGAATATTAATATTCTTTCCATGCACTTTAGCCTTCAATGGCTTATCATACAGATCTGTTTTGTTGTTATTGTTTTGTTCTAGAAATTATTCCTTAGTATTTATACTTGGATCTAAATGAGAGATTTTTCAGGCAGCTCTTTTCGTTCTTGAGCCTTTTTCTGAATTCTCAATATTATATCTCATTATCTCTTATTAATTACTGACATATGCAACTTAGAATTTCATTTGTTTTTCATTCATTTATTTTAAAAGTGGCATTTCCAGTATAAGTTTTAAAGGGTTTTTTAATTTCATTACTTTGTATTAGGTCATATTTTTATTAGTTGATTTCCCAGTGGTTGGGAAATAAGGAGAATTTAAATTATTGCTCTCTGTTAAAGAATGGTTACCATTTTGCATCCACTGAAAACTATCCATGGCTAATCATGAGTATGCTCAAACAGTTGGCTTTGTCTGCCCAGAGGAAAAATCAAATTGAGTACTTCAAGAGGAAAGCCTTGAAGTCAAGTACTTCATAGAGGAAAGCCTCCTTCATAATATTTGATTTTAATTGAAAATTAATTCTAACATTTCTAGTCTATATATTTGGCTGCAGTAAGAATTATATTATACTAATAACTAGGGTTATAGTTATATAGTTATTATATTAATACCTAGGGTTATAGTAGGTATCACTGTATTAAGAGATACAGATATGTGTGTGTGTGTGTGCATGTGTGGTCATTTAATATATATGTATATATGTACCTATCTATTTATCTTTCTATTTATCTATCTATGTCATTTAATTCTCTCCCAAATCCTAAGTGGTAGAGACAATTATTATTCCCATTTTGCAGATGAGGAAACCATGAAATATTATACAGATGAGAGATGACAACTATCTGTAATTCAAAGTCACATGACTCTTATAGGTGAAGATGAGATTCCAAACCCAGAGCACCTTATTCTAGTGTCCACATTTTATCCATTTTGTTTCTGCTGGGTAATGCAAGTCTCATGTGGTAAGAATTACACCTAACATAAAATATAAACAGAGTGGGTGATCATTTAAACTTCATGAATTGAAGGGCAATAGAGGGGTATCAGTCTGCTCCACTGTGCAAACAATTTCTGCATTATTCTGTAATGCTAATCACAATTCCCACCATTAATGCCACTGTAATCCCTTGCAGTTAAGACAGACTTTAAAAGCCCTTTATAAAAATTAGCATATGTTTTCTCAGAGAAGGAAAAAAGTCAACAGATATTTGCTTCTAAGATTCTGTAGTTCTTACCAGACAGAGAACAGTGCTCCAAAGAAATGGTACAGGTGTGGTGTTGGTTCGAATCAGAGGAAAGATTTAGGGCAATAGGGAACTTGGCACATTACACGGGACATCAGGTCCCAGGTGGAATACAACAACAGGTGGTTCTGGATGGTTAGGGCAAATGGACTCTGAACTGATGTTAGAAATGATGCTGGAACAACCATGATCACTGTCAACTTCTACACCGAATCTTAGAAAGGTAAAGTAGATATGTTTTCATAGCTGCATAATTGGCATTTCCTACTAATGACCTTTCCATTGGAACTGCATTTTGAACTTTCTGAGATGCTGTCTTTCAGCCTCTCAATTCTTACTATACGCTGGGGTTACTGAGACAGGGACTGTTAGAGCTAGATGGAACCTTGAAAATTACCTAGTCTCATTCCTTTCATGGCCCAGCTCTGAAGTTAATGCTAAGAGAGGTTAAGTGAAGAGTCTCAAGTTACCCAGAGACTTATTGGCAAAATGCCTTAGAGTACCTGTATCCAATTCCTCTCTGTTGAAGACCACTTACAAAGAGTTAGTATGACCTATTAAAGGACGGCATGAGAGCGGGGACAAAAAGGAAATTCGGTCCTAAAACATCATACTGATTCAATTGATTTCTGATTGGTTCTGGCTCCCTCCTACTCCAATTTCAACTTTATTTACCAGAAATGCTGGCTACTTTTCTTTTTTTTTTTCACAATAGCTCTGTGCATATAGACATGTGCCTTTTTTGCATTTTGCATCTATGCTTTCTCTTATGCACTTCCCTTATTTATGGATCTTCTTAATCTGATTTTAAATCCTCATTTCTAAAAATCTGTCAGATCATTACACAATAAATATCATTATTCTCACTTTAATGGTTAATCTAAGAGAATTGGACATTATATCACATCAAAGCTGAGACATGAGAATATTTCTTGTATTTGACAAATGTCATGCTCCCCATGAGTATTTAATAATTGTGAACTAATTTTGATCTACTGAAGGTCATACCCTGAGTCATTTCACTAATACCTAGACTGCTGGCTACAAACAGCGTCATAACTGACTGCCACAGCTATAAATATAGAGAAGCGTTCTCTTTTTTATTGCCAGAAATGCATTTTGTCTTTCTCTGAACATGTTCTCTTTCCAAAAGGATTTGAAAGCTTTTAGTATTGTGCTATTATTTCAACAACCATCACCCTCCCCCAGCCTCTTGAAAGTAGATTGCAATGCCCAGTAGAGAGTGCAGTGAGGCGCCACCTCCCTACAGGCGCTGTCTTTAAAGAGTTAGAAGAGGTCGGTGAGGGAGATTGAACTTGGAACCCCTATTGATATGTATTCAAGTGTGGAAATGAGTTGCCTGTTAATAAGGTGGACACGTTATTTATCTTAACGTTTTTCAATCTTCACAGATTATAATTGCAAAAATAGCCCTCAGCTTCTCCAGCTGGTTGTTAACAGCTAAGGAAGACTAACCTGAAGGTCACTGTTGCTTAATTATAAACAGAATGAAATTCTGAAAAATGGATTGAACCACTGGACTGACTTCTCGTGTTTTATTATCCTAATATACTTTGTTTAAATAATTCAATTGTTATCCCCTCAAAAGACCATATATAGTCTTAGTCCTTTTAATTATCATTTTTTAAACAATTGTATTACCAATTATAACTAGATGTTCTAAGTGTTATTGACTGATCAGGAAATATATTGGATTTAGGAGCAAATAAGAAGTAACTCTCAACTGGTCATTCATCCTTTAAAACCTTAAGTGTTTTGATTATTATTACTTAATTAGCCAAAAAAAACTAGTTGGATATGAACAAGGCAGGTACCTAACTGCCCCAAAGTGTCAGGGCTTGACTGGAAAATGATGATATTCTTAGAATTTTACATGAATCTAATTGGCTTTTACATGTATTAAATCCACCCAAGTCACTTGGTCTGTTAATCTGTTAACAGTCTTTTCCAGTGGGGATTTTAACCATGCATAAAACTCTTATTCCTAAGTATAAGAGAAGTCTAACCCATTTAGACAGTGAACTAAAATTGCATTGGAAAAATCAGAAAACAATCTGGAAATATAAACATTGTTTACTTTAGAAGGAGGTTGCATAATTCTAGGACCTTTTTTTAAGAAATTGATTTTATTCCCTATTGCTATGAACTGAATGTTTGTGTCCCCTCAACAGTCATATGTTGAAGTCCTAATCCCCAACGTAATGGTATTTGAAAGTGGGGACTATAGAAGATAAGTATGTGATAAGTGTGGAGCTCTTACAAAAGGAATTGGTGTTCTTATATTGAGAGACATAAGAAAGATGATCTCTTGCTTTTTTGTTGTTTGTTTGTTTTTGTTGTTGTTGTTTTTGCGATGAAGTTTTGCTCTTGTTGCCCAGGCTGGAGTGCAGTGGTGCGTTCTCGGCTCACTGTAATCTCTGCCTTCCTATTTCAAGCAATTCTCCTGCCTCAGCCTCCCGAGTAGCTGGGATTATAGGTGCCTGCCACCACGCCTGGCTAATTTTTGTATTTGTAGTAGAGACGGGGTTTCACCATGTTGGCGAGGTTGTCTCAAACTCCTGACCTCGTGATCCACCTGACTGGGACTCCCAAAGTGCTGGGATTACCACCATGCCCGGCCGATGATCTCTCTTTCTACCATGTGAGGATACAATGAAGACAGCTGTCAGCAAACCGGGAAGAGGGCTTTCACTCAACACTGAATCTGCCTGCACCCCGATCTTGGACATCTCAGCTTCCAAAACTGTGAGAAATATATTTCTTTTGTTTAAGCCACCCAACCTATGGTATCCTGTTATAGCATCCCAAACTGACTAGGAAAACTATTAATCTTAATTTGTTCCTATTTCTCCACCAAAACAAATATACTTTCACCAACTTGTGTCTCAGAATATACAAAATTCTAGGCTTGTACTAGAATAAAATATTTGATAAAATGAGAGTATTCCCAAAGTGTGGCATTCCCTGATCCACAGCATCAGCATCACATAGAATTTGTTAAAAATGCAAATTCCCAGGCGCTTCCCAAGACCCAGTGAATCAGTAACTCTGGGATAGGGTCCGGCGCTGGTGGATTCACAAGACCTCCAGTTGATTACACCGCATGCTAAAGTTTGAGAATCACTGCTTCAGAGGGATTTTTGTCTTTTAAATTTGCAGAGCACGAACAAGCTACTCATATAAAATGTTTGAATAATCCCCAGTCTCTCAATCTGGAATACTCATAGCCCTGGGGTTCAGAGCAGAGTGATAAGATACCTAGGAATGTTTGGTGGGATTCTGCTGCTTCACACTGGGTTCCTGGAAGCCCTGGGCATATTCATCCACTCCTTTTCTGCCCCTGCATGTTCTTAGGCGTGAAACTTCAAGAAGGCTTCTCAGTTCTTTCTACCCGTCAGGGCTGGCCTTACTAGCTTGACTTAAGGGAGCCCACAGTTCTCCTGTCTCCTTGTGTTACCCTTCCTCCTCTTTTGTTAAAAGACATCTCTGATGTAAATGCCTTGAAAAGCAGCTATTGATATACAAACTCTAACTGGGTGGGGGTAATATATTAAACTAGAGTAAATTAAGAAATAGTTAAGATTTTTCCCCAGATAAATTTGTATTTAATTTAAAAGACTAACTATCTTCAGTTATTTTCTAGTTGTGAAGTTAGATGACTTCTTCTTCTATGTGTTTAACTGTCCTTCATATTATGACATTATGGAGATTGCATGATTTAGGGCTGATTTTAAGTCCTAATTTGACACAATTAAAAGTAGACAATCCTTTCTATCTGTACCAAAGTTTCTTTTAATTTTTTAAAAATTTAACTTGTTAATGAAATTTAAAATTCTGGGGAATACATCATTAAACCCTTACTGCCCTAGATTTACTTAGCCTATCAAAAGGTAGCCAATTGCAATGCCAAATGCTGCAGGAGCAGAAGCAAGGTCAAGTACGGTTTCCTGCAAGAAAAGTCAAGAATCTTAAAGCTTCAGGGGACCCCAAATGAGGAAGATTATTTATCACTACAAAGTAGCAAAGGATCAGAGGACAAGGTGAATACCTAAGGACATCTGTGGAATGAGAAAGGCTAGCACAAGCTGGTGTAAACTCAAGACATGGCACCTCTTTTAGAAGGTTTCTTGGCATTGCCCTTAGGCTTCTGCCTCTGCTAACTCCCAAAAGCACAGGTCTGCTCAAGTTATCAGCCAGAGAGTGTTTAATTGGAAGACTTTAAACTCTTCTTTGGACTGAAGTCTTGAGGAAAACAAAACAAAACAAAACAACCTACATCTATAGAGGAAAAGGTTTTTGCCAAGTACTTGAAATACAAAAGCATGATGGTGGGTTATGCGTGTGCAATCAAGTAGAAACAAAGAATATTGAAAAACAAAACAAATCAGGTGGAAGTAGCTTAAACTTTGCTGCCTTAAATCAAAAGTGAAAAATAAAAACGCAGGTATCAGTGTTTATGTCCAGAACTCTATGCCTTTTGCTTTTCTCAAAAATGTACCAGAAACACAGGAGTTAAAACAACAACAACAACTCGTGATGGCTGACATATCAATTTTATCATGCATCTCTTTTTTCCAAGAACTTACAACATTTTCACCACTTTGGCAGAAATCACAATTAAAATCACATTTTAAGAGTTTAATATAAATCTTTGCTCATGAGGATGAAAGGGCTAATTTTGAGTACAAAAAGATAGCTGGATGTTTCAGGCTGTTTTTGATTGCTATAAATAAATACCTGAGGCTGGGTAATTTACAAGGACAAAAGGTTTATTTTGGCTCATGTTTCTGCAGGCTATATAGGAAGTGTGGTGTTGGCATCTACTTCTGGTGAGGCCCTCCAGAAACTTAGAATCATGATAGAAGGTGAAGAGGAACTAGCATATTACATGGCGAGAGAGAGGGGAGGTCCCAGACCCTTTTAAATGGCCAGATCTTGTGTGCACTAATGAGACCTCACTCAATCACCGCGGGGATGGTGCTGGGCCATTCATGAGGGATCTGCTCCCATGATTCCATCACCTCCTACCATACTCCACCTCCAACACTGGGAATTACATTACAACATGAGATTTGAAGGAAACCAATATGCAAACAATACATAATAAATATAGTATAGTCATATATATTAAACCACACATTTTTCTTCTGGATAACTGGAAAGTACTCAACTGTTTACAGTACAGAACTTTTGGAAACACCGTCCCTTCAAATGCTACCTTACTTAAAATATGTAGACATTAGTCCATCCAACCTCTGCTACCAGGCAGTAACCTTTCATAGATCTTCCAAAGAAAATGTTCTTGATAAAACCAGAAGAATCTTCTCAGAGAGACCCAGGGGAGTGATCTGACCCTCACTGCTATCTTGACTTAGTTTTAGCTGCAGCCATGGCGACTCAAGTACATTGATTCTCTTCCATTCTCTTTCATTCATACTACATCTTTAAGATACATATTCTTTTCCAATTCTTTATCTCTCAAAAATAAACCTGATTCTAATGGAAAAAAAGTGTTCAGAAGCAAACCTCATTTTGGTTTGTGCTAGCTTTATGACACCTGAATGACAGTCTTAATATCTGTGCTATGTTGAAAATCACATAACATGTAGGAGTCCTTCCCCATCACTCCTGCAGAAGATAAATGCAAATACATTGCAATGGACTGAAAGAAGATTCCTGAGTATTGTGCCTAGCACATACTCGTGGGTTATCTCAACTTTTCATTGTCTTGGAGCTATTTCACAGCTCTGTAAATTGTAGAAAATTAATAATAATGCAAATGATCCTTGTTCACAGACATGCAAATTAGCTGTGTGGAAAGCAATTGATTTTTGCCCTGTAGAAAGGCTTATTTTGCATACATTTGTAAATTTACTTCAGCTTTCCTTATTTTCATATATATGTGTGGTTCTTTGAATTTCCCCTGAACCAGTTGTAACTTCTTACTGGTAGCTCAGTAACTAATTAGTTAAATAAAATCTTTGACATGTATTCATTGTTCATCAGTACAAGAGTCATGATTATATCTTTGTAAAGAAATATTTAACACTCCTTTTGCTAAATACCAGCTAACACAGAAATCATTGCCTCACAGATTGAAATATAGGTGCACTTGAGGGTTATTACCTGGTGGCAGAGTGGAGTGAACTCATGTCAACAAATGGTACTAGCATTAAAGATAGACAGGATGTGTTAGAAAAATAAAGGAATCTCAAAAAGACTTACTGTTATTTTTCTTAATTACATAATTGTCCTTTTAATTATTCTAAAAACTCTTCTCTAAAAACTGTACAAATATTTTAATATAGAATTGAGATACTGAAATATGTATTTATGGATGTACTCATCAGGTTTTCCTTTTTTTTTTTTTTTTCTGAGACGGAGTCTTGCTCTGTCACCCAGGCTGGAGTGCAGTGGCGCAATCTTGGCTCACTGCAAGCTCCGCCTCCTGGGTTCACACCATTCTCCTGCCTCAGCCTCCCAAGTAGCTGGGACTACAGGTGCCCGTCATCACGCCAGGTTAATTTTTTTTTTGTATTTTTAGTAGAGACGGGGTTTCACCATGTTAGCCAGGATGGTCTCGATCTCCTGACCTCATGATCTGCCTGCCTTGGCCTCCCAAAGTGCTGGGATTACAGGCATGAGCCACCAGCCCCGCCAAGTTTTCCTATATTTTTGCCTCATTTGCTATCTAAGGCTTGCCGTCTTGATTCCAAAATTTTTAGTTCTCAGGTAACGAAAGTGTTAATGTTATATGTCAGTGTTGTTTTCTTCCAAAGAGTTGTTGACTGAAAGAACTCTGGAAAGGAAAAATATGAAGATGGGCAATTAACTTGTTTTTCTCCCTTAAGTCCATATTGCATGAGGCATTTTGGCGAGAGCCACTCCATATATTCTTGCTAAGTGCTGCGACACTCAGAGTCCATATCATAGATGCTTCACATCACGCAGAGCTTATATTAATATGATATTGTTTTGTGGATGTTATTCCATGGCCTCATTAAGCTCTATGTTCCTGAACAGTAGAGGAAATATCACCCTTTTTTAAACTGGATTACACAACATGGAAGGTGATCAGTAATACCAGTTTGATTGACTCATTAGTGGTATCAGTATTGCCATAGTGATGATGGCTTCATAAAAAAGAGCACTGTTTGAACTTTGGGCATCAGGATGATCATGTTCAAAATTTGACACTTACTAGCTATGTGATTTAAGCATCATCTCTTTAAACAGTATCTAGAGGGATGGTAAGAAGATTAAATGAGATGCTATACTTGAAGTGCCTGATTAAATGAAATGCATATATGAAATATCTGGAGAACAATAAGACCTAATCAATGATAACTAATAATAGATTATAACAGCTTCCATTTACTGGCTATTTACTTTGTGCCAGAGACCACCACATATTTTTTTAAATTATGTATTATCAGTATGATTATTTGGGGTTCTGTTAAGAATCTAACTACATTGTTTTTGCATGGGTTATTGAACACAATTTTTGTCATCTCTAAAACCAAGAGTGGAGTTCAAAATATTCAGAGAAGTTTAACTTTTCTGATAAATAAAGTGGAGGTGGGGGTTAGGACTGCTAGGACAACAAGAGTGAAAGCTGACAAAAAGACTTTGGAGTAGCAGAGGCTATAAGACATGATTGCCATTTATTTAATCACAAACAGTACAGATATGGTGAACATGGATTTGTTCATTAAATCCTGAACTAGTAGGATGAGGGGCACCTTTTGACATGTGGGCAAAGTAATTTTAAAATGAATAAAGAAAATCCAACTTCAAATAGCAGATAGAGAAGCTATGAAATATGTTATGCCAAAATATGATGAAGTAGGAAATTAGAGTAGAACAAAAAGAGTTTGGTCCAATTTATAAAAGGTGAATCTGCAAATGACTTTTATTTATTTTTAAATGTATTTCTTTATTTTTTTTTGAGATGGAGTCTCACTCTCTCGCCCAGGCTGGAGTATGGTGGCGCAGTCTCGGCTCACTGCAGCCTCCGCCTCCCGGGTTCAAGAGATTCTCCTGTCTCAGCCTCCCAAGTAGATGGGATTACAGGTGTGGGCCACCACACCCGGCTTATTTTGTATTTTTAGTAGAGACGGAGTTTCACCATGTTGGCCAGGCTAGTCTCAAACTCCTGACCTCAGGTGATCCACCCATCTCGGCCTCCCAAATTGCTGGGATTACAGTCGTGAGCCACCGCGCCCAGCCAAAATGACTTTTAAAAACAGGTAAGCATGAGTTCTGAAGGGCAATTAGAACCTTCCATAATCTTACTGGGCTATTCTTGAAACACAGCGCTTGACTATTGAGGCTAAAGACTTGATATTCAAAAATGGAAGTTCGTTTACTTTTATGATGTAATTGTTTTTTTTAATAAATATCCAAAATTTCCAGTGAACAAAATTTAAATCTATTCATAGAGCATACATGAAAAATAAAATGTATGCAAATCTATGTATTCTATTTGTATAGATATAGCATAACACATTCAACTACACAGTTACATGCAATGATAAGTAAGCTGAATACAAATCAGTTGTGGTAGAGTCAGAAGAAGTGAGATCATTTTGGAAAACCAAATAGCATTGGGAGAGTTGGGAACTATTATGTTTTCATTCTGTATTTAAGTTTGCTGTTATTAATATTAATATTGTTGATATATTCTAAAGAGACTATTAGGCAGAAATCCCACTAGGATGAATAAGAATAGGTGATTAGACTGCATCTGATTCGCCTGCATCCATTTTCCATACATTAGATTAAATGTGATTCCTGAATTCTTAGACATATGATCTCTGCATGTTCATGAACTATCTTAGAAATTTTGAGGATTTTCAGAGATTTTGAAGGGTCAGGCAAGCAGCAGATATGCTTTTGAAATCTTTGCACTCAAAATAGTCCTATTTATGGTAGACTCTCCTCCTTCTAGACAGCGTATCTGCTCTCTCACTAAACTGCCTGCAGCTCAGAGATAGGCAGACAGCTGTTGAATTGCTGGGAGTAGTGCTTCACAGGCAAAGTGGAAACTAACTGTATTTATTCAGAACTTTGTGGTAAGTCACAGCCATTTCCTATCTCAGAACACCAAAGAGCTGACTGCATTTTCCACCATGGTGTGTGTAATACGTTTCAAAACAAATGTATGGTATGACCATGAACTACAAAATGTAATGGGGCAGAAAATGCAGACACACATTATTTTGCCTCCTACACACTTGGAACTTCTCTTCCTTGCTCTAGCAGCCTTTGAGATAGTGAAGACAGACACTTTTTTTTCTTTCCTTGCAGCATAGAAAAGCAATACACAGAGAGATAGGAGCTATATTTATATAGCAACCACATCATCATTTATAAGAATGCTTTCGCTGTTTAATGCTTTAGAAGTAAATTACTAAGCAGAAGTCCAGGATGTATAGAATCACTAAGAGTGGGTGGACAGGTAGGGAAAAAGATTTCATAGCCATTATGTCTTACTATACCTCAGTACGCCAGGTTCTCAGGGCTGTGGTCTACTTAACCATTTATATTATCTCATTTAATCTGAGAAATAAGCCAGTGCTGTGGGATTTATTCCCACTTTTACTAAAGAGAAAATTGAATTCAGAGAGGTTATATAACACGTTGAAAGCCAAATCACTTAACCTAGATTTGTATTTATGTGGATTAATTCCTTAACTTCCTGGGTCTTCAGATGTCAAATGATTGGATTAGTTGTTTTCTAAGAATCCTGGTTCTAAAATTCCCTGTCTCCATGAAATGCTTTCCTATTATGTGTCAGTCTCTGAGCCAGATGGTGTTGTTGCTTCAGATTAACTACCTTCAAATGATTTCCCTCTAGAAAGACTTTTAAAAAAGATATACTGCATTATCAAAATGTAATGTGATTATAGACAAATATGTTCAAAATAAAAACTTTTTTTTTTTTTTTTTTGAGACAGGGTTTCGCTTTTCTGTCCAGGCTGGCATGAAGTGGAGCAATCTCAGCTCACTGCAACCTCTGCCCAGGTTCAAGCGATTCTGCTGCCTCAGCCTCCCAAGTAGCTGGAATTATAGGCGCCCACCACCACGCCCAGCTAATTTTTGTATTTTTAGTAAAGATGGGGTTTCGCCTCTTTTAAAACTTTTAAAATGGTTATTCCATTATTACATGCCAATACTACATACTTTTCATATATCCTTTTATTTTGTCCTAGAAACAACCTACTGTTCTAGGTATTGTTTCCATTGTATAGATAGGAAATTGAACCTCAGGGAGGTTAAAAAACTTGATTACAATCACACAGCTAGTATATAAAGATATTTGTTTTTCAACCCAGATGTCTCTGATTCCAAAGGTCACTGATATTTTCACTATGCTACATTGCTACCACTTGTTACAGTCTATTATTTACCTAAATTGATTATTTTATACTATTCCTACTTCTATCATTTAAAACTTCTATTATGTCCCTCCTGGTATTTCTTTTCCCAAGTCACTGTCTTTGGTCATGCTTCACAATATTTCTAGAAATTAAAGATTATAAACCTAGAATTAATCTCTCTTCCCCATACTAGATAATTTGCATATAAACAAAAGAACAAGTGGATTTCCAAATGCAATGTAATGAAAACATATTAATAAATAAATATTAATAAATCATATAAATACTAACACTATGAGACAATATAAAAAAAAGAAGAATGTTTTAAAAGTCATTTATCCAAATGTGTCAATTATAGGAAAATGTCAAACAATGGGGATAGGGAATCACTTTTCAGAGATGTTAAAAAGTAGTAGTTTTAAACATTTTTTTTGGCAGTATGATTCTTTTTTAAAATGAAATTTTGTGTAGAAATAAAATGTTTTTGGATGGGTGGGAGAGCTATTTCCCTTTGGGATTTTATGACACTCTGATTCTTCACCAGTACTACAATACTCCCCCAACAATATAAAAATGTATTCTATTATTTAATTCAATCAGTGATGTCCTGATAAATGCTTATCAACCAATTGTCCAGGAAAAAAATCAGCGATTTTTAGCATTTCTGAATCTTGATGGTGTAAATTCTCCCACCACGGGCTATTTTAAGCTATCGCGTGGCATCACTGAACTGGACTTGGAAGAGCTACACACAGCCCTCTTTCCCAAGCCATTATGAGCCGGGTCCAGCCACCTACTACATTCACCCTGGGGAAGCAACAGCATTCTTTAGATGAACCTTATAATGCAATTGTTTTATCATTCTGTGAACTATATTAGAGATTCATTTGAATTAGCAAAGAACAATAGCACTGCAAATGAAATATCCCTAGACTTTATTTACCTTCATTAGTCATTTTACCTTACCATGGATTACTTTTTCAGACACTCAAGTCATTTTGTTTAACATTAGTAGGATATTTATTTAGGTAATAGGTATTTTGAATTGAGAAGATGAGATAGGTAGCAATTCAAATTTATTATTTTCGATTGCAAGTCTCTGTGGAAGGGCAGGCTAGAATGAGGAAATGGGATGTAGGCATGAGGGTAGGATGTGGAGAACATAAGAGAATAGAGACCCAGAGAGGAGAATGCGGCACTTGTAGAGAGGAAAGCAGATAGTATTAAAAATCTATTTCTGCCTATTTCTCCATTTTTCCTAGAACTCAAATTCCAATGCTCAGGTCTTCATCCACAAGCCATTGGGAGGTAAGCCCTGCACCCAGTGAGCACTATATTTTTAAATGATCCTTATTTTTGAGACAAGGTATGGTAACTAGATGCACAGGGATTAAAACAAAACTGTAAAATAGGCCAATTAGGCATGATGTTATAGTTAAAATGATGTCAAAATTATTAAACCCTAGTCGTGCAAAAAACAAATTTGAAGAAATTCCATCAAATATGTTTCTTCACTATATACTTAGTTAACTACTTTTGCTTTTTACTAAGCCAGCTGGATTTTCTGTGGCAGTCTCTATGAGTTAGCATCTTCTGTGGCCAAAATTGAAACCCAATGCAAAAATAAAGGAGCACTCTAGCTGCTAGTGAAAGTCACACAATTTTTTCACTCTCTTCCCAGGTTTGGTCAACAAAACTCCATTAAAAATCAGAAAACAAAAATGGAAAGCAGCATTTGTTTGAACTTCGGCAGAGGAGTATGTCATTTGATTTTAATAAATTATTTAATTTAAATTTCCCTTCTTGCAGATTACAAATAGCACTAGCTGGCTTTATTCCAAATTTAGGAAGACTCTTTGGAGTTACACAGACATAGATAAAAGACATGTATGCACATTTTCCAAGATAAAAATTTTCTGAGAGAGCTAGGGAAACCATTCTTTCCAACAAGTAAGTTGCTTTCAGTGGGATCATGAGAACAAAGATGATGATGATGATGAAGAAGATGTTAATGACCTTTTTCTTCATCTGATTTCTTAAAGCGTTTTCCCACAAATCTCATAAAATAAAATGTTCTCTTTTTAGCTCTCTGAGCGACTATTTTCTTTCACTTTCATAATTTTGTTCTTTGGAAGTTGGTCTCTGACCTATTTTACCATACAAAAAACACCTCAAGACTGAGGAATATTGCCTAATTGTAGTTTTTGGCTTGTCTTGTGATACTTAAATATTAAATTATTCAGCTAGAAAAATGCTGCAGTGAGTTACAGCACCAGTACGCCATTCCCACTGGGTTCTTTACCAACATGATGTACTTGCCAGACATGATTGAAAGATGCTTTTAATGCCATAGGTACAGATTGTTTTTTTGAAGTATATCTCTTAAAAGTGTCTTCAAATTTTCTAGAGGATAGAATTTTAGACTGAATTCTCTCATCTTCTAAGTAATAGTAATGGATTTTACCACAGATTCATTCCCAATTAATAAAACTTTGCCCCCTTCCCGCTTATGCATGTTTTTGACAAAATTACATTGTCTTCTACTCATTTAACCTCCATTATCTAAGACTAGAATTTAATCATTTTTATGCTTGCAAAGTTCAATTGTTTTGGTTTGTAACACATTTCTTTGCATGTTCTATTTTCCTTTTTTTTTTTTTTTTTTTGGTAGCATAATGCTCTAAATGATATTCAGCTCTGTAACTGGGGTAACTAACACTCATTAAAAAAAGACAAAGAGGAAGAACTAGAGTGTTTTAGACACTGATCATATAGGGTTTGTGTGAAACTCACCATCGTGCAATAGTTAGCAAGTAAAATTACTAAAAACAAACATAACATATGTTCATGATCATTGAGCATATGGTCAATGAGGAATGTGTGATCTAGGTAAAGTAATTGCACTGTCAGCTTTTCACAGAAGCTTTTTTTCCCCCACATTTCAATTCAGATCAATAAATTTTATTGTATGTTTACTCTGTGTAAGGCACTGTGTTAGAAAAGCCTTTCTGAGAAGAGCTGGGGATGCTTTTTCTTTTAGGGAGGATGTAAACAGGAGAAGATGAAAACTAGGTAAGAGTAAATGTTCAGAAGTCAGTGTTCTTTCTCAAACAATCATAGAATCAGAGAATGTTAAGCCTGTGGAGAAATGGAGATGTAGCTTAGTTCATGTCTTCATCCATTCATTCATTCACTTAGATATTCAACAAATATTCATTGGGCATTGCTTATGTGTTAGGATTTGTGCAAAGCAAAACATGGTATGGTAGCAAATGGCTGAGAGATACAGTCAGCCCATACTGCACAGATAATTTACCGTATCCCCAGCCACCCATTAGCACTCTCCTGCTCTTAGGTGCACAAAGTATGAGTACATTTTCTTTAAATTAGGCAACTCTGTGACTTGAAATATTACTCAAATAGAAGATCAGAGAGAGAGGAGTTCATTTATGGGCTTGCTGGGTAGAACCAAGGTAAAAAGAAGAAATAATTCAATAGTAATATAATCTTAATCAAAGATCTTACTTATCCAAAGACCTTACAGTCAAAATACATGAACGTAGTCTCTCTCATCACATTGAAAATTTCCTTGACTGCATATTTGGAACAACAAGTTTCACATGCTGAATCTCTTCCTAATACACCCAGCTCTATTCCTAACATAACTACAACTACTGCTTGTATCTCATTATTTTTCTCATCTCAAAATTTATTTATTTAGTGTTATCTCTTTATGATTTTACCTAGTCAAGGAATATTGTGTTATTTGAAACTTTCAGCAGCATATTAAGTAATATAAATTCTCCAGCATCCCTAAGAAAATATTTCATTTTTCATATTGAAATAATGTGATAAATTTGATTAAATATTATATTATTATATAGCAGATAATGTTGATATTCCCTCAGGATTAGATTTGGTACTAAAATGAAAAACATTCAATTACTAATAACATATCAATTACCAATAAGATGGTAATTACAAATATATTGATTAAAGATTTGTAAATTATCTTCAGTGTTATTTTTCTGAGGATATATTAGACAAGTATTTACTCTTTTGGCATTTCATTAATGGGCTTGTTTAAAAAGTCAATCTCTTGAAAATTAGCTACTAAGACTCTCTAATATAGGGTCAACACAATTACTGTGATAAAATCAATCTCTTTATTCAGTTCTAGTTTACTTTTTTAAGTGATCGCATTTGTTGGTACTTTAAAAGTGATTATGTGTGGTTTTACATGTAAGAAATTACAAAAACTATCCTTGACAGATATACAAGGTAAAATGAAACTGCAACAAATAACAATATAACTAATTTTATCTGCTACCTTTTTTCCCCCAAAGTGGAAATAATTACATATACTGGTGGTAGAAAGAAGACTTTCAGATAAATATGGGCAAGACATTTAGTATTTATATAGTAATCAGGTCAAACCTATATATGGTATGCATATATACTTTTAAGTTTTCTTTGCGTAGGATATATGAGAAAAATCACATTTCTGTACACTGTGGAATAGATATTTTACTGAAAATTTGTGTGAACATATAGGTCTCGGCTCTACAACGCTAGTTATAAATTATTTAACCTAGTTATTCCAATAAGAGTATTATATATACAAGCATAACCAATAACATTTCCATATAAGAAGTGGGGTTTTTGAAACTGTTATCTTTGACTGATCTTCAAAAGCCTGTATCTAACCACTCTAGAATCTAGTCTGACTTGTAGAGACAACAAAAGCCAGAAATATGTTTTCCTTACCCCAGGGAACTGAATCCCTGATTGTTCAATTTGTCACCCCTTTCCCTTCCTCAACTTAAGTAATGAAGACATGTGCATTATATAATAAGCAATTTCCCCTCCCGTCTCTTAAATAGAACATGGTAATTTATAATATGTGTATTAATAACATGACACTCCAAAATGGTCTCTTATACCACTTTTTGTTTGGCACCGATAACAGTCAATGTTTTCTTAATTCTTGCCCAATTTCTTTTACGGACTGTGTACTACCTTTGGTTTTCCTCAAGTCCTACATATGAATTTGGAGATACATGCAGATAGTCAAGTTACCGATAGGTGGATAGATATGGCAGTGGTAACCCCTTAAGAGATCAAATAGGTGAGGAGTTCTCTGGCATACTAGAGACTTCTAGTCATCATCCATTTCTGATTTCCTTCTCCCTCCTAACTTCACAGGAAAAAAACCTTTCTCAGCACCTTTGCTTTTCAGCAGAGACACATGACTAGTCTGCCAAATGACACATATCACTTCTGGCTCAAAATGATCAGTCTGCCATTTCCATATTCCTTTTTTCCCCTACAGTGATGACCTTGGAAACCATATGCAGAGATGGCAATATCATGAAACAGAGTCATCAGATGGAGAAGGTTGTCAGCTAAGAGTCATCAGACTTCATGTCAGCAAGAAATAACTAAGTTGCTCAGTCTCAGAGTTTATCTGTTGCAGCACTTAGTAATTGCATATCCTGGCTGACACATCTGTGACCATCTGTGAGAAATGTGTGATAGCAAGAAGCCGAACTTAACATACAGTTGTATGATCACTGCATTGGCTCTGGAAAGGAAACTGTTAAAAGATTTTAGGTGACTCTTTTCCATGTGTCAAAATGTGGTTCATAATCACAACTATGTATAAGAGATGTGAAAGGACTAAACAAGCCCTTAAGATGAAGTATCACTCCATCCTAATGATGGCAGTAGTAAAGATGGTCAGAGTGTTAGCATGTCCAAAAAACGGAAAAGATATATTTTCCTTCACATCTAGTGTGCTTATGTGCCTTTAGGAGAGACGGAGCAGAAATTACTTGGCCTTCTCCGTATATAGTTCTTTCTATTCTTGGAACTGATAGAGTCCAAGGTCCATATATGATAATCAACATAATGTTTGCCTTTGGGAAAAGGGCAGATAAAGATTTCACACTGTGGAATCAGTTTTGACTCTACCTAATAGTCCATTCATATTAAAATATGAATTCCAAGGAGAAAGAAAGAACAGAATTTTGAGGTGGCTTCAGAGACTTAAAGAAGATTAAATTTATATGACAACTACAGTAAATGCAATTCACTAATATTTGCAAATTAAAAATTCTAAGTGAGCCACCACATTATTGTTTTGGAGATGATGGAGTGAGATGCATGGCATTTTCTCATAACCTCTATAAAGGGGATAGCTAAAATTTGCCTTTCATCTGGCAATGAAAGTATTCTAAGAATTATTCCGATACTTTTCCACTGTATAATCACTCAATTATATTCATGTGAAAGAAGAAAACAAATGGTATAAATAAGTGGCACTTATGATGGCAACTTTTAATTAAACACATCTTATTTTTTCTACAATAAAAGGAAAGTGGAAGCCTTCAGTATTAACTACTGGATTATAACTGACATATTTGAGTATCCTCAACTGTGTCTTTGTGCTTCTGCTATGGGGATTATAGAGAAAGGAGAACTGTGGAAAGAGTAAAAGTCTAAGAACCAGATATATTCTGTACTTGTTTGTTCCAATAGAGAAGGCTAGTATGGTTTTGAAAGCCGAAAACCAATTTGAATATGAAAATGAGATTGATTTTTGTATATTGTTCTTGTATCTTATAGCCTTCCTAAATTCACTTACAAGTACTGCTAGCTTTTTTCTGTGTAATATATTTGATGATTTTTCTACCTATAATATCAAGCTACCAGAAAACACAGATAATTGTGTTTCTTTCTTTCCAACATGTCTGCCTTTGATTTCCTTTGCTTGTCTTATTGGACTGGCTAGGACCACTGGTATGAGATTGAACTGGAGTAGGGAGAGCAGACATCCTTGTCTTGTTCTTGATCAACCAAAAAAAGCACGGAACCTCTCACCATTAATGATGATATTGGCTGTAGGACTTTTAAAAATGTCTTTTTACATGCTGAGGAAATTTCCTTTAATTTCTATCTTTCTTAGAGTTCTTCATCATTAATACATGTTGAATTTTGCCAAATGCCTTCGCTGCATACATTGAGATGACTATATAGTTTTTCTCCTTTAGTATTTTGATATGGTGAATTATATTGAGTGATTTTTAATATTGAAACAATCCAATATTTCCAGTATCAACATCACTTGGTCATGTTACAATGTTATGCATTTTATATCCTTTTGTATTAAATTCACTAATATTTGGTTGATGATTTCTAGGTCTCTTTCATTAGGGATAATATCAAGTGCTGGTAAAGATGCAAAACAACTGGAACTCTCACACATTGCTAGTAGGAATACAAAATGGTACAGCTATTTTAGAAAACTGTATGGAAGTTTCTCATAAATTTATGTATTTTCTTACATGACCTATAAATTCCACTCCTAGAAGTTCAATCAAGAGAAAAGCAAACTTATGTTAACACAAAATCTGTTCATGAAATTATATAGCAGCTGTATTCATAGTCGCACCAAACTGGAAACAACCCAAATGCTTTTCAACCAGTGAATGTATCAGAAAACTGTGATACAGCTACACAATAGAATACAATTCATCAATACAAAGAATTAGCTACTGATATATGCAATCACATAGATTAATCTCAAATGCATTATGCTGTGTGAAAGAAGCCAGACACCAAAGGCTACCCATTGTATGAATCCACTTAGTGTCATACTAGAAAAAATAAAATAATAAGGACAAAATACAGATCAGTGTCAGGGATCAAAGGTCGAGGAAGGAGTTGACTACAAATAGAAAAAAAAACAACTTCTTGGGATAAAGAGAATTTTCTAACTCTTGATTTACTTGATGTTCCACAATAGTAGGCATTTATCAAACCTTTATACTAAAAGTTTTTTTACTGTACATAAATTATACCTCAATAAAATTAACTTCTTAAAAAAAAAACCACTGATTTTCCAAATGATGTGAGTACTATACTTGGCTACATATACTTACAATGTTGCTCATCTTTAAACTACTAATTTCTAATGAAAATATAGTAGCCTTTCTCATTAAAATCTTTTTCTCCATATGTCTCTTTTTACTTTTCCATAAGTTTATTTATGGCTAACATTCTAACCAATTTTATCATCATATATTGATGGAACACTCTCAAAAATGTATAAAGGAATAGAATTCTGTCCTAACTCTGTGCTATTGAAGACTTATTATTTGGTTAGTTTTTCATAACTGGTAGGAAGTACCTAATCTCTGAGATAGAAGTAAGCTTTCCTTAGACAAACACTCTTCAGTATAACACATCTGCCTCTACAAGATTTATGTGACAGGCCCATATTTATAAATCTCCAAAGAAAGATAAAACTAGTAGCTTTTTGTTGCTTGCAACAAACCTAGGATTTGAGCTACACACCGTCTGAAATCATTTTATGAAAACCTTCTTGGAATTGTTGAGCTCCCTAAAACTGAAGTGATGATTCCTAACCTGGGAAGATTTTGTGAGCTATTCTATTGCATGTTTCTGCTAGAGTCCCATAAACTGGATTGTTTGAAAGCAGGAATTACAGAAACACTGCTGATGTCTTGTATTTACCATATATGAACAATTCTATGATATTATTAGAAGCTGTGTAAAATATTGCAATAACATCTGGAACTTAGCACTCATTGAATGGTTGCTCCTAATTGTACTATTATTCTTTTTTATTCATTTCTAATTAAATTTTATTTTTATTATACTTTAAGTTTTAGGGTACATGTGCACAATGTGCAGGTTAGTTACATATGTATACATGTGCCATGTTGGTGTGCTGCACCTGTTAACTCATCATTTAACATTTGGTATATCTCCTAATGCTATCCCTTCCCCTTCCCCCCACCCCCACCCCACAACAGGCTCTGGTGTGTGATGTTCCCCTTCCTGTGTCCATGTGTTCTCACTGTTCAATTCCCACCTATGAGCGAGAACATGCGGTGTTTGTTTTTTTGCCCTTGCGACAGTTTGCTAAGAATGATGGTTTCCAGCTTCATCCATGTCCCTACAAAGGACATGAACTTATCATTTTTTATGGCTGCATAGTATTCCATGGTGTATATGTGCCACATTTTCTTAATCCAGTCTATCATTGTTGGACATTTGGTTCCAAGTCTTTGCTATTGTGAATAGTGCCACAATAAACATATGTGTGCATGTGTCTTTATAGCAGCATGATTTATAATCCTTTGGGTATATACCCAGTAATGGGATGCCTGGGTCAAATGGTGTTTCTAGTTCTAGATCCCTGAGGAATCGCCACACTGACTTCCACAATGGTTGAACTAGTTTACAGTCCCACCAACAGTGTATTATTCTTTAGAAAAATTTAATATACGGCTTCTGGATAAGGATTGAAGAAAACTAGATGTTTTATAGGAGGGGGGTGTCCAGTTTTCTAATTGAAACTCTCCTAATACTTACAGCATTGTTACAAAATGATAAAACATTTTAGTATCACTCTTAGTACCATATCTTCACATGACGAGAACTCAAGAAATTTTAGCTATAAATAAAAATAATACTATCAACCACAACGCCAACAGCAAAAACAGCCCACATACCACTTGTCAAGAAAAATAAGAGAAGTAGTTTTGTTGTTGTTTTATTGACCATATTAACAACATGTAAGCTTGTTAGTGATTGCAAACCTTAAGTTTAGGTTTCAGGTTCCAAAGAAACCACCAAGATGATCTGATACAATCATGCCTTGGATTAGTAAGAAACACACCAACTTTCCTTTATGTTTTTCTTTTCATTAAAAAAATTCATATGGAACAGAAATTGCTTTTATAAGGATGTCAGTGTTTTGGCTGCTAGAGAGCTGTTTATACTTTCCAGTTTCATTTAGTGGGAAGAAGAAAGAATGTAAGAATAGCTCATGTGGTAGTATTGGTAAGGTGAGTAGGGCCAAGGAAACCTGTGTCAATTTTGCAATGAGGTGGTCTAATAATTTTCTAAATATTTTCAAAGTTATGCAGTTTCCCTCCGATCTTCCTCAAATAAGTGTCTTCTACTTAGAGGAGACTAAAAGGACTCCAAATGTCCTTCATTTTTCCCTTTTATTGATGACTTAACCAGCGTCGATATGTTACATTATAGCTTCAAGCACTCTATAGTCCCTGAAGTTGAATGGCTAAGGTCCATTAGAGGATTCAAGTTAGGAATAAAGAAAGAGTTTAAGCCTAGTAGTTTTCCACATTAACAACGTCCTCCTACTGCTTGTTCAGATTCATTTTTCAGGTGTTAATGCCTTGGACACACACCGTTTGAATCATTACCTCATTGTTATTGATGCATAGTTTGTCCCTGGAGATAAACTTTGCAATTTATCTTCAAGTATGTTTTATCATGAAAAATTACCAGTCTTTACTCCAGTAGAGGTTCAGTTACTTAATTAAAATAAATGTATTCTTTTAATGGATAGAAATAACCCTACAATATACATTCTTAGATTTCATTTGTATTTAAGCATTTTAGAAAAAAAAAACTCCACAAATAATTAATTATATTATATATAATTTTTCTGATCTCAGATATACTTCAGAGCAGTTGTTTCAAGCTGTGTTCTATTGTGCCCTGGGAATTCTGAAAAGGTTCCCTGGAGGCTGCTGTGGGGTGGAGGGTAGGTAGGTGGCAACTGTTCAGGTGCCCTCATTTCTACCCAGCTTGAACAACAGTAGTCAGGATTTTATCTAATTTATGTAGTGGGAATCACCATTAAAAAGTGAAAAATGTTTCTTGGCTTAAATAATATTTTGGAAGTTGAGTCTCCAGCAGCACCATCCTACATTCTCCCTCATTAACTGCCTTTTGTAATAAAAAATCTATCTTACAAACTATGGTAATGAGTTCCATGGTAACAAACCAGTCCATATTTTTTTGTTGTTGTATAGAAAAATGATTCTAGAAATTTTAAGGCTACTAATGTTATATGCATTACAAATAGACGTTAAAGTTAAAAAGAACACAGAAATTGGTGGTAATGAGTTCCTTGGTAACAAAGCATTTCATATTTTTTTGTTGTATAGAAATACAATTCTAGAAGATTTAAGGCTACTAATGTTATATGCATTACAAATAGATGTTAAAGTTAAAAAGAATACAGAAGTTGGTGCTACAGTAAACTTGACATACATCAGTAAATTTTCTGAACCCCATCTTTTTAAATGGTATAAAATTGCTAGTAAGTGAAGTTCTGTTTTTTTAAAAAGTAATCTTTTAATTATTTTTGATATTTTTATCTCTATCAAGAATATAATTTTTACTAAAGCAATTCTGAAGCATTTTGGCTAAAAAATTCCTGACACCACAAGCAATAAAGTGTCTTAAACAAAAAACTTACATGAAAAATAGTAAAAAGAGAGAATTGCATTCACAAAGAAATTTAGAAAATTATGAAATTGTACTAAAACATATACATATATAGATGAGTACAGTATTTGTTCACCTTTATAAATGCCAAAGACAAAAACTGAAAAACCACTTTTTTCCAACTTTTTCAGTGCTCTATTTATATGGATTGAGCTATATACACACACACACAACCTGGGAATGTATTTCAAAAGAGTAGATAAGTATTTAAAAACTTTTTCTTACTATTTTGTTCATAATAAACATCATGTACATTTCAAATTAAATATATCTTTTAACATTTTTGCTGGATTGTTAACTTATTAACCAAACAATTAGAGATCAGACTTTAGTAGTGCCTAATATTTGCAATTGTTCCTTTATCTTCATTTTAATTTGGCACATTTAGGAAAATTCCAAATTGACATTGAGGTTGCAACACCTCTTTCTTCACTCTGTGGGTGATTTTCGAAATGATTAACAACTAGTGTGGAATGAGAACCAATGAGACAGGACACACAGAGCAGACGTACAACACTCACAACAATTTGCAACAGCCACAGCATGCTAGCCAGTAAGCAGTCCTGCCCTCTTGAGTTTTCAAATTGTAATGGTTAATTAATTAATTATGTTATGTTCCATGCTGGTTATGTCCACTTACAAAAGATCATCCAGCTAGTCAGTAGATCATGGCTAAGGTAGCACATTCCTGATTTCCAGTGCTTTCCTAGAGAGTACATAGATTCCCATGAATCAAAATGCCATTAACTTCGGTAAGTGCACGTTTGGCAGTTGCATTTTGTTGAAGCAGTTTTTCATAATAATTAATATTCCATTCATTTTTCAAGTCTTTTTTTTTGGTATCAGTGCCGAATCCCAAGACTTAAAAAAATTCCACCTCCTCATAAATGCCATTTTCATCACTAGTATTCACTTTGTTTATATTGTACAAATTTAATACAACATAAATGCAACATAGGGAATGCAATGTAGGGAAGGCTTCTGTCAATAACTAAGCAAGGCAGAATAAGAAAGGATAAACTAAGAACAATAAAAAAGAAAAGTAAATATGAGTACAGAGCCATTGATCTCAGACCCATACTTTTGACATTCAAAACTCAGAATCTTGTCTATTGAAATAATAATTTATGAATCCATAATTTCATTCCCTTAAAAAAGAAAGTGCAGATGTTTGGTGACAGAAAGGAACCTCTTGTGGACCCTGCATTTATGTTAATATATGTTTCATCATGAAAAATTACCAGTGAAAGACTCCATCAGAGAGTCAGTTATTTAATTAAAATGAATCACGTGTTGTATAGTATAGTTTGACTGCAGACATACATGATGTGCTGGGGCAATATTAATAGACTGAGTTAGCTACTTTCCTAATCGCTAACAAGTTTCCTAATGCTTCATAAAGACTATGCCCTAAAAGATAAAATAAATAGCACTTATTCCTAGTTATTGTAAAACTGGACACTTCATTTCTATTTCTATGAGGTCCATCCTATGACACACAAATCAGAACCACAGGGAACCAACGTGGTCTCAGACCACAGGGAACGAATAGTGTAATGACATTCCACTTAGCTAAATTTAGATCTGGTTATGTCATAATATCAATGAAAAGGGAAAATAAATAGTTCAAGACAAATAGATCATCAATTATTCCAAAGATTAAGAAAAATATCTTGAAAAAGAAAACATTCTTATAATATGTCTTTCATAGGCAGTCCATTGATAATAATAAAAATTTTTGAATAAGGTTTTTAAGAGATCATTTACTTGTCTACCATTTTAGATGCTATCAGCTGCCTTGTTAAAAAGGATAAATTACATTTTGGTTGACTCCTCTGCTTGTTACAGCAAGTTATTCTTTTATTTCATGGTTGTACATTACACATTGTGAAAAAAACATTCCTTTTTTCTCTATTCATAGTCAAGTATCTTTTTGCTGATTAAAATAGCTTCATGTTGCATGCTTAATGAAATCGCTAAATACTTGTTTTAAATCACAATTTTGCTTTTTTAAAATAGTGTTATGTTCTTCATTCTAAAAGACCATCTGCTTTCAAATGACAATGGGTTTTATGAGTAACGCTAAGGAGAAACAGTTATTACACTTAAACACATTTTTGCTGGAATAAAGGGTAACAGTCTACTACTACTTAAACACATTGAACACTTTTGTATAGTGCCTAAAGGCTAAACATGTCATTACTAGAATGAGAGTTTCTATAACAGATTTATCTGGTCCCAGGTTCCAAGGTTAAGTGGCATAAGCCCAACACTTTAAAAAAGAAGGGTAATAGATTATAATTTAAAAATCACTCAAAGTTATCAGAATTATTTTTATACAAAAATTAATGCTGCCAAATTTCCAAATTGTACTATCATTTGCTTTTTCATTAGAGCGAATAGCATATGAAAACTCTTTCCAATATATAATTACTATTTTTATGGCAAATAAACAACTTATTAAAATATCGCTATTGATATTAAAAATATTTCATCATTTATTTTAAGAAACTTTAAATTCTTCACTTTATATTTGTTTTAACGTGTATCAGTTAAAATTAAGTTAGAATCTGAGGCACTTCTTTGGAATCTAAATGCATTTCCCTTCTTTTTTCTCTTCATTTTCTTTTTTATCTGTACATAGAGAGGAGTTTTTATCCTTACTTATTCCAATTAAGTCGGAATATTATCGAAACTGAACTTGTTAACTAAGTAGTTTTGGTTTCCTTTTTATAAGTAATGGATCTAATTGTGGGAGTTAAAAGTTAAGACAAAATAACACAATAAATTTAAAAACAATAAAATGCATTGAAAGCAAGCATATTATTAATACTATTGGAATTAGGTCATCTAATCATCAGCCTTTTTTAAATTCCCATCCTTAGAAGGAATATTTTAGTCTAGAAAGAAAGTAACTTTTCCCCCCACATCTTGAATGTGGGCATGACACTCATGAATGAATGGGTTTTGACTTTGATAGAAGTCTCTATGAGAGGACATGGCTAATGAAAACTCTTCCCCTTTGCATCTTCACATTTTTGCAGTAAGTAAACAGGAAATTATTGATTATTTTTGATATCAGGAGAGGCTTATTATTATATCAAGACAAATGCCTCACATTTTGTAAAACCTAAATCCCTCTTACAAATCACCTTATTACAAATCTCAAGCTAAATAAAATACCAGGTGAAGCTCTTTTGCTGTCAGACCTGATTAAAATCTGTTCAGATTGAAGGGCTCTAGTTCCTGGCAAAATCTACCTGAAGCAACTCTTCAGGTATGAGTTTCTACAAATGAGCATAAATAATAAAAGAAAAATAACTGATATACTATTTCTTAAAAATTACAGATAAGTACTTTGATCACCATATGTGATATATATAAGAACATGTATATTTTATGATACATAAGATATTTAGGGTATGGTACTAATGACAGCCTTCTATTCTCCACACATAACAGACTTTTTTTACACCTTTCCAGTAACTTCAAAAATATTTTAATAAAGTATATAATTGATGTCTTATAGTTCCACAGTACCAACGAAATAAAGTCCTATGACCAAAGTCAAAAGAATAATTCTTAAAACTGTCCTCAGGAAATTATATGTCAAAAATGTCATCAGATTGTTTTTAAAGTGTAAGGAACATTGCATTTTGGGACAGGTACACACAACTATATTGGGTTAGTATTATTTTTATCAGAGCTTGGAAATATTCTCTTTAAGGTCCATCAGTATTTCTATCACAGATTTGCCTCGTGGTGAAAATAATGGAGTTGTAAAAGTATTGAAAATGAGACCTTGAGTTAAATGTAAATTGTATTAATTGATTTTCAAGAGATTATTTTTTAGGTTGTTGAGAAGTAAAAGAAAAGCTAATTGATCAACAGTGTTTTCTTGAGTGTTGTTTATAAGTTTAAAAGAGTCTGAAAGACTATTTGGCAAGCACCGTAGTACGATCTAATGGTTTTATGCCCAGTTATTTATCCCTTATATTAGGATATCTTTCTGTAAGTTAAGCAAGGTGAGTACCATTTATACTTTTTTTTATGCTGATCATAATCTCCTAGTCTCCATGCTGTCACATGAAAAATCCACACATATATCAAGTAACCAGATAATTTTCTTTATAAAAAAATATTATGTTGTGTGTACATGCATGTGTGTGTTTGCACATGCGTGAGTGTGCACAGCAGCCCTTGAGGGAAGATGGAAGCAAAGGCCAAAGTTAGTGTAGGGATACACATCTACATTAATTTTAAGTTTAGAAATTTAGTTACAAATTATTATTTCAGAGTCCACGTTTGTGGTGATTCCATTGTTATTATTTTGATAAATAATGACAGGCAGTCAGTACAAAAAAGGTTTAAAACTATATTACTGGGTGGCACATGTACAAATTGGAAAGAACAGAAAAGAAGATGTAAGCCAAGGGGATGTCAATTCCAGTCACGGTTCTGATGTTTATTAACTATGTGTCCTTAAGCCTGTTGCTTTACCTTACTGCACTAGTATTTTATTTTTATTTTTTCTTCTGGCATGTATGCAGGCTGAACCAGTTTTAATTCATTGCATCTAAAAGTGCCCAGTAAATCAACTTTTCACTATCAAGAAATAGAGAATGAAAACCAGGAGCAATATATATATATATATATATATATATATATATATATATATATAATCTTTAAGCAAAATTTAACATGAACCTGGCCATCTGAATCTTGATCACAAAGGATGCAACTCACAGTGGGTTGCAGAGGTTCAGTTTATTCATGGGTTAAATCTTAAACACAAGCCAATCTCAGCTACTTAATAGTATATTATTGATAGCCAATCCAATTACTGTGATTCCTTGAGCCTAGAACACATATCTAATTTGTTAAATCAGTTTTTGAGGAATAACAAATTCTCTCACTCTGTCAAATATCAGTCAATACCCAAAAGTTTAAAACAAATGCCAAACTTACTATATACTTTTATTTCTATTTATCAATGAAAGAAATACTTAAAGATTACTAGAAAAATAGTTGTGGTAATGCCAACCCAATTACATGGTTCCAATCGGAGTGCAGAAATTCAACATTCATACCTTCAAGAATCCACTTACCTTGAAGGTAAACTATTTGCACACACATATCCATCACTACAGCAATGAAGGTATCATTAATATCTTGTTAAATTTATAAACTGCTTTCTGGTTTAGGATTGTAAGAATGTATCTAATCTGCCTTGCCTCAATTTGGATGCTATTATAGGCAGGCTCTTTTAAAAAAAACTAGGACCAGTATGGATTTCTTTTTTCTTTCTTTTATTCTTTACCTTCAATTTCAATCTGAACATAGAGATAGCATTTTATTCTTTTTTTTTTTTTTTTTGGCTTTGTATGACATGTGAAAAGATTCCAGTAGGAATGCAGAGTCATCAATACTCAATTTGGCTGAAATCCTGACAGTTGTCAACATAACAGAGACAGCTATATTATAGGTTCCTCAACTTGCAAACATTTTCTCTTGCATTTGCAGTTGTAAAGCAGATTCAAATATTTTCTTTCACTACCATCAAAGAGTAGGGCCTTACATAACAACCATCTTTGGGAGGAATTTTTTTTTGTGTGTGAAATGAAACCTTCTTCAGGGTCTACTTTCCCTTTTGAAATACTACATTCAATTGTTTCATTGCTGAACCAATTAAATATATACACAAAAAACTTGTTGACAGTAGTAAAAGAAAGATTGGATGAAAAAATTCTAAAAGGTAGACTGTCCGTGTCTCGAGGAGTTTTTTCCTATTTATGTGAAGAAAGTTCACAAAACAATTGTGTAAATTTCTTAAAGTATGTTGGATATAATTCTGTGACTCATGAATTCTATAAAGAAGGTACCTAGTCAAATAAACTTCCAGTTAAAGTTTAACTTTGAAAATAATCATATATATATATATATATATATATATATATATATATATATAACTATATATATCTTCAGGGAATTCAAGTGCTCTGCATCATATCTGAAACTGCCTATGGACTTATTTTTTAAATCTCAGGCAAAAAAAAATGTATAGTCTGCTCACTGTATGCAGAACAATGGATGGAGACACAAAGAGAGGAAAAGATTGCTGTCCTTAAGGATTCTAACAGTGTCATGAGGGAAACAGAGTATTTGTTCCTTGAAACAGAAGTAACAGTTATTCTGTGTGTCATATTTAGCTAGACTAGGAAAATCCAATATAAGGTTTTGGGCATTGGAAAGGGAGGGTGAGTGACACAATTCAAAAAGTGCAAAGTTCAAATTTATCAGCCCCATTCTTCTTTTGGTATATATTTTCAAATTCACATAACATAAGGATATGCTCGATTCTAAGGTCTTAAGTTTTATTGTTTTCTAAGTCCTTTTCCTAATGGAAGAGTTAGAACCATACAAGACTCCTTCTATCTTGAACTACTTAGCTATAAGGTTTACAGCTATGCCTTATGTTCTGAAAAAATTTTGTTGTAATTTAATGTTGGTTACGAAGCTATTAAGCAGCATCAAACCAACCTATCTTTTGATTAAACACAATGAGGAAAGTGTACCATAACTTACGGCATATTATTGGGAAAATATTTACCTGGTCAGAAAACAGCCAGAAAAACCTTGATTGTGTGATATTCTATAGGTAAACATCAATATCATAATAAACAAGAGAAACGGGAAAATATTCTGGATTAAAGAAGACTAGAAACCTATGACAATTATAGGCAATGCATTATCCTTGGTTGGATCCTGGATTCGGTAAAATAATTACAAATAATACTCTGGGGACAGTTGGAGAAGTTTGAATGGGAATTAGATATTATACAATATTATACCTATGTAAGGGTTATATAAGAATATGTATTGTTCCTAGAAAGATTTAGGTGTAAACACATCATGTCTGCATGTATTAAAATGGTTTGGCAAAAAACATGTATAAACATACAAATGTATGCGTGATGTGAACATGACAAATATGTATTAGAGACAGATGAAGAAAAAATGCAACAAAATGTAATGATTGATAAATCCAGTGTATACAGGTGTTTATCATACTATTCTTCTGATTTTTCTGTCAGCTTAAAGTTCACAATGAAAAGCAGAGGGAGCAAATTCAACTTTTAAAACAAGTAACAAGTAATCTTTATGAGATAAGCTGGTGACTAAAGACGTCTTAGAATATATTTTAAAGGTCAGGCACGGTGGCTCACGCCTATAATCCCAGCACTTCTGGGGGGCCGAGGCAGGTGGATCAGGCAGTCAAGAGATTGAGACCATCCTGGCCAACATGATGAAACCCCGTCTCTACTAAAAATACAAAAATTAGCTGGGCGTGGTGGTGGGTGCCTGTAGTCCCAGCTACTCGGGAGGCTGAGGCAGGAGGATCACTTGAACACGGGAGGTAGACATTGCAGGGAGCCGAGATGGTGCCACTGCACTCCAGCCTGGCAACAGAGTAAGACTCTGTCTCAAAAAAAAAAAAAAAAAAAAAAAAGAATATATTTTAAAAAGCAAAATTATCTTGTGTGTTATGGGCTGAATTGGTCCTCCCAAAATTCATATGTGGAAGTCCTAAACTTCAGTACCTCAGAATGTGGCTGTATTTCAAGATAGGGTTTTAAGGAGGTAATTAAGGTAAAATGAGGTTTTATGGGTGGGCCCTAATCCAATATGACTGGTGCCCTTGTGAGAAGATGAGACTAGGACACAGATACACTCAGAGGGATAACCCTGTGAAGACACTAGATGAAGACAGCCACCTGCAAGCCAAGGAGAAAGGCCAAAGAATGAAACCAACCCTACCGAGACCTTGATTTCAGAATTCCAGCCTCCAGAACTACGAGGATATAAATGAGTTTTGTGTAAGCCACCCAGTGTGTGGTGTTTTTTTAAGGCAGCCCGCGCAGACGAATACGCTATGTTAGTTGGAATTCTAATGTCTCCCAATGACCCTCACCCTTGTCTAACCCTCTCTCTTTTGAATGTGGGTAGAAGCTGTGAGCATAATGTGATATCATTCTTAAGATTATATCACATTCCGTGACAAAAGGGAGATAGCTAAGTGTTCTAGTCACATGATGTCTTTAAAGACAGAGTGTTTTCCCCATTTGGCCACAGAAGCGGAAGCCAGGGATTTGAATCATGAAACGTGAGGGGGTTTTGACACACCACTGCTTGGTTTGAAAATGGAGGGGTTGCACGCCAAGACATGTAGATTGCTTTTAATTGTTGAGCGTGGCTGCAGCTGACAACCAGAAAGAAAATGTGCCCTTGGTCCTAAAACCACAAGAAACTGAATTCAGCCAAGACCCTAAATAAACTTGGAGGCTGATTCTTCCTCACACCCTCTCGATAAGTCCCCAGCCTGAGGGAGTCCTTGATCTCAGCCTTGTGAGGCCTTATGGATCCTCACTTCTGAACCCTCCTCACTTCCGAACCACAAAACTGAGAAATAATAAATGGGTTTCAACATGTTAAATTTGTGGTAATTTATTACACAAAAATAAAAAAACTGATTCAAAAATCCAGAAACTTCACTGTTACGTTTAACAATCTGTTTTTAAAGAGTGTGTCTGTGTGTGTGTGTGTGTGTGTGTATGACAGAGAGAGAGGCTAAGATAATGTTATACTTATTTTTTCCAGATTAATTTGTTTATATACACACAAACTTCATGTGCATATGTATATAAATATTAACCTATATAAATTATACATTTATTACCACAGTAACATATATACTCTTATGATCATATCCTTTCTAATTGGAAAATAAACAATTTAAATCTTCTCTCCAATTATTACTACATCTCTCTTTCGTCTTTGGCATATTTATCTTATTATTCCCAATATCAACCACAGGCCCTGTCATATAGTAGTCACTCAATTAAAATCTGTTGTGTCTAAAATGAATGGCTGAACATACATACATCTGGATAGCATATATACATGAGGTTGTATGGCATCATGGAAAGCAGGTTGACTTGAGTGCAATGTGACACAGGCATGAATGACAATCTTGCTCCACTAAGCATCAAGATGTTGACCTTGGTAATCCCTTGAACTCCAGGCTGTATAGCATGCTGCAGTGTTCACTGGTAGCTCTATCACTTAATTACTTTAAGTAAATTTCCTTTTGCTTTATTTCTATCCCCTGTAAAAGGGGACCATGAATACTATCATAAGTAGGGCCACAAATCTCCTATTGCATCTTCATGCAAATTAGAAAATATTGCCTCCTCTTCAAGATAATTTATTTCCATTTGTGAGAAAATATATACACCCATGCTATGTGCAATATTTATGTCACTCCAGTACCTTGGATAACCTGAGCAACTGTACCTGACACTCTGCTCAGGGTTTTTGTCAGGATCAAAGGAGATAATCCATGTAACCTTCACAGCACAGTATCTGGCACATATGAATCATTCATTCATGTCAGTAATCATCATGAATCTTTATCATAAACATCATCTTCTTTATCATGGAAAGAATAGCATTTAACCAGAATAGATAAAGTGAGAAAAAAACTAGCATAGGTTAAAGCTATGGCACATGAAAAGGTATGGAATAAATTGTTGCTTTTATGTGCTCAGAAGCACCTTGATGCAGTAGTCCCCCAACAAATAGCTGCTGATTGATTGAATGGTTTCTAGTTTTTGTAAATAAAAAGCATTTATATATTACGAGAAATGTAGTTCAATGACAAAATATTTTTCACCATTTAAGTGAAAATGAATAATGTATCATTTATTTCAAAATTGAATTGCCTAACGTGCACATTTGAAAGCAAAATGTAACAAAATTCTGCAAAAGCCCTTGTGGAGAAAGAAACATTTCTTTTTACTGTCAAATTACATAGGCTTTATTGCCTAACCCAATGATCGATTCAGAATTGAAAATTACAATAATCTAATACAGATTATAACCTAATATAGTATATTAATTATATGCATGTTTGGACGTATGCATCTGTTATACATTTCTACTGTTTTCCTCAGAAAATAATGGTACTTAGGTCAAGTATACAAGTTTGTTTATATATGCATGCATGTGTGTGTTTCTATATATTTTAGAGACAAGATCTTGCTCTATCACCCAGGCTGGAGGGCAGTGGCTCAATCATGGCTCACTGCAGCCTTGAGTTCTTGGGTTCAAGTAATCCTCTTGCCTTGGCTTCCTTAAACACTGGGATTACAGGGTTGAACCACTGCACCTGGCCTGTTTTTTGTGTTGTAACGAGATAGCTTTGCAAAGATAGCCGTTATTTGCACTTCCATCTGCATGTGCTAGATCACCAGGAGGACAGGTCTCAGACAAACCTACTTTTGAAAAGTTTGGAGCAACCCATCATCTATCAATACTTGAAAAAGACATATATTTGCAGTACAGAATTTTTCAGTGGATTTTCAATGAGAAGTGCTTTTTCATTTGCATAGTAACTCTGTATAATTACATTAGGTGTTCTTAAAGGTTTGTAACTACCTTTACCCCACCAGAAACTGGTGATTTCATTTCACATTTCTTTAACAGGCTTATAATGTCTATAACATTAGTACTCTAGAATTTAGTAATATTTAGTATATATCTTCAAGAAAAATTTAAGAAATTTTTAATTGCTGGATTTTTCTTACACTGGTATTAAAATACATCAACTTTTAATAGATATATAGTAAGATGTGGAATTTGTCTGGTAGGGCTGCCATAACAAAATACCATACACTAGATGGCTTAAGCAACAGAAATTTATTTTCCTACAGTTCTGGGGGCCATAAGTCCAAGATCAAGAAATCTACAAGGTTGGTTTCCTCTGAGGCCTCTTTTGTTTGCTTGTAAATGGCCACCTGCTTGCTAAATTCATGCTGAATTCTAAGATGAGTATTTTGTGTTAACAATTACTTTTCTGTTGGCAACTCAGTCAGAGGTGTTGGGAAGTGTTTTTGCTTTCTTCTTTGCTGCTGGGTACCGAGGAAAATGTGTCTCAGTTTGAGGGATTCTCCTCTCTTGTATCTGATCTTTCAGGGTTGACCAGTGAACAGTATGAGCATACTCTTTCCCTCCCAAGGTATCTTTCTTCAGTACAAAAATAGAAACTATGAGGTTTGGATCCCTCCTACCCAACCCCTTCTTCACCTATCTTTGCCTGAACTTCTCTCCTTTGAGAGCAATTTCTGCCATCCTGAAAATCAGAAAAGCTAATGTTATGAAGTTTTTAGAAAAACAAACAAACAAACAAACAAACAAAACCCAAAGTCAGTTATATTGCCTGAACTTCAACAGGGCCAATATAGCAATTAATAAACTGATGAGATGCTTTGTCCTACTGAAAATTCCATAGGCAGAGAGTAGAGGTATTTCAGGGTAGAATGATGGAAGACATGGGGAGAGGGAGAGAGAAAAAAAGGCATCACCATTAAAAATAAGTTCTTAGAACACGACATCCTTTAGTGCTTCATTTAGCAAAATATGTCATTTTAGAAGCACTTCTGAGTGAAAGTCAAATGTAAATTTTATACACTGACTATAAAGAATAAAGCGTCCTCCGGGAAGAAATGTGCTCACACATGAAAGGTAAGAAGCCTTCATCCACAACCCCAAATGCTAGATTAGTTGTAGATAAATGATGGATTGAATAGTTTCTGGGAAGACTCCTTGCTCAGTCTTCAGCTTTGTCCCTGTAGAGTCCTGCAAGATCGTTTGTTTACAGTACATCGTCTTTTAAGCCAAGGAGATTTCACCAGTTGTTTCCAGAATTCCTGTATTTCATTTCACCCCTGCTATTTTACCTCATTTCAAAGTTTTCATTCCCCATAGTTTATAGCCCCGCCTGAGGGACATGTGTCCCCTTTTATTCTGTGACCTGTGGTCTTGGATCAGGAGACCGAAAAGCACTGACTTCTTGAGTGAAAAGGTGAGACTTTTGTCATTGCTGAGCTCGTATGCCTGTGTGAATTGTACTTCCATCACCTATGCCTGCAATCGACCTTTTTTTTTTTTTAATTGTAGAGGCAGACTCTCAGAGACCCATTAGTGCATTGTGAGAGCAGAATGAGGAGTAATGTCACCCCCTACTCTGACCCCACTGTACTGGGCAAATGTACCAGTGTTAGGCCCTTTCAATTCACAATTACACTGATCCCCACCTTCCTATCCCCCCTGCATATCAACTCTTAAGTGGGAGTCTTTTTATTATTAAAGAAGGGTCAATGCTTTTTGGCCTCTCTACTGCTGAAGAGAGGAGTCTCAGAATAAAATGAAGAACAAAACAAAAAGAATTGAAAGAGACATAAACTGTCCTCATGGGTCTCATATGCTTTCCCTTTAATCTGTAAGATCATTTCAGCTTTTCTACCTAACGAAAAGCTTAGCTTTGTGACTCTCATATATTAGCTCATTGCAAAGTGACCTCTAAATCACCATTACTTAGAAACACGGACCATACTTCTATCTGTTTTATAGTTTCTATAGTCTACTTTCAGTGCCTTATTCTACTATATAATTTTAAAGGGCAGTATCTGTTTGCTAATAACCTCCCACCTGAATTCTATTTTATTTCTCTGACCTATGTCAAAGATAGAAAGTTCAGAAGGAAATTATAAAAGGATTTCTATCTTATATCCAAGGGGAAAGGTCAGTGTATGAATATAAGAAGTTCATTAAAATCCTACTACCTAAATAAAGTTTAAAATTTCACAACAACGGAAACATAATAGAATCATTGGTCAATTCATGCAGATTCACATCTCACCTAATGACTTATAGACATTTTCATTTTTCATAGATGCTTCTCTTCCTAGTACCCAAGAGACTTGTTCTTTTTATTGCATTGTTCAATTAGAAGTGATCACTCCCAAAGCCAGTGTGAAACAATCCTTTTGGGATGGCCTTCCATAATTTTCAAATGACAATGTATTTTTAAATTAGGTAGCCTGAAGGATTCTTTTAGGAATTGGATCCTGCTTTATCTCAGTATTTCAAAAAAGGAGGGCAAATTCAAAGAAATGTATACTCTGCTTTCCCTAACAAGAGCTAACATAGAAGGGGAGAGAAGGATTATAAACTCAACTTCTTTATTTTTTAAAAATGAGATATTATCTACATTTCAGGACTTCAGTGTCAATTAATATTTTTGACTATTGTATTTTTAATACATGTATTTCAAATTTAGTCAATTATTCAACATCAAGGTTTTTGGAAGAGTTCCTAGAAAAAGTCACCTGCCCCCAAATAATTTCTATACCAAATGTATCCCAGTGTTTGAATTTAATATATCTGATCATTAAAAATTATTTATAACTTAACTTGAATTAGCATATGTAGATTAAACCTCTTCCCAGCCATGTCCTTAGGGAACAGAACTGACTTTCAGTTAGGTTTTGAGAAAGAATGAGAGAGGATCGACCGAGAGGGGGCAGTTAGATTGTGTATCAAAAGAACCTCAAGGTAAGATGCATCATTGGTGCTCTGGGCATCTGGAAGGCAGATGGGGTATAGAGTGGAGAAGGAATGTTACTATGGAATAGGCACTTATTCTGAGCACTTTACTGTGAGGCAGGTACTACCATTTCCATTGTACAGATGGGATAATGAAGGCACAATATGGTTAAATTAGTTGTCCAAGAGCAAAGATATTCGTGGAAAAACTGAGCCTTGGAGCCAAGCAGTTGCTGTGATCATGCACTGTGCATACCATCTCCTATGCAGCAGAAGCCAAGGAGGAGAGTGAAGGGACACTGTGGTACATACTACCAAGTTCCTTTGCCTGCCCAATATCTCTTCTCCCCTTTTCTTTACTAGCAGAACCCCAAATATTGTTTTGGAAAGCAAAAGGTCTTGTTGACAATACTCATTGCCCCATGCCCCATATAACCCATTCTGGTGAAAGAGATCGACTGCATTTGCTTTCTGTGCAATTTATCCTTTTCCTAACAGAGAGGCTCAACTGGCATTTGCCTTTTCCCTTTACTCTTTTCCTTCTGGTTTTCCAAAATGAGGTTATCTACTAGGAGAGAAGCAGCCATACTGTGGATATGGGACTGAGTAAGGAAAGATAGAAGAAGCCTGTTGTCATTCTGAATCTGTCATAGCAGTTCTGAATTATCCACTTTTGCAACTTTTTATGAAGAAAGAAAACCCCTATTCAGTTAAGTCACTGTTTCTATAACATGCAGTCAAATGCAATCCTAACCAATAAGGAAGTATGAAAAAATAGAAGGAAACAAAACCCAGCATATGTAGACTACACCATATTGCATCAGTCTGGCACCATGACTGGTAGATGCAAACAAAACTCTGTGCTTCGTGCATTCATTGTGTGAGGTTATGCTGTTCCATGGAGCAGCAGTGCCTGAGCACAGACCTGCCTCAACTGTATAGCAGATATATTTCAGCTACGCTACTACAACAAAGATTTGGCAAATTATATAGCCTGCTGGCCAAATCTGACCTGTGGCCTATTACCGTACAGACTGTAAGCTGAGAGATTTTGTTTTCTTCCTCCCTTTTAAAGGTTTTCAAAACAAACTGAAAAACAAATAAAAACAAAGAATATGCAGCAGAGATCGTATGGGCCTTTAAAGCCTAAATATTTACTATCTGCTTTTTACAGAAAAAGCATGCTGACCCTTGTAGGACAGGACAGAGAAGAGTCCAGCTTGCAAATATTGCTTAGGACATTTTTATTCTCCTTTGTTGGTCAATGAGTCATTATGCCCAAAACATGATCTGTGACTGAAGAACTCACTCAATGATTCTGTGAAGGGGAATGGGCAGGAAGTAGGGAAGAAGTTTGAATAGCATGGCTAATACCTTCCTTTCTTAAAAAGAAATAATCTAGTTTTAAGTATAATGATGTCAGATTTCTGGAAAATATCATACATCAGCTGGAGCCAAGTGTTGAAAAGGAAGTATCATTAAGCATTCCACAGAAAATTCTAGAAGGAATTAAATCTTGAATACCTCAGAATAAAAGTGCCTTTCAAGAAGACGTTCCTGCTACAGGTGGTACCAAGCTTTCATTCTCTAAATAAACACTTTCACTATTTATTTTCATTCTCATCACATGCTATGCTAACAACATTGGGTTGAAAGCTATGAGTAGAAAGATGGTGATTTCCCTGATTTTCTATTCTCATTGCCTCATAGAGCCTAAAACTGGTGTTAGTCTTTATTTAGACACTTGAAAAATTATTTTAAATAATATGCAGAAATAAAGGCTTTCATTTTTATGACTAAAAGTCCTTACCATATACAATGGTAAGATTATAAATTATTAAAATTTTCCAATTGTGTATTTTAGATAATTCTTCCCAACATGAAATCAGCTTATTTGTAAGTCAACCTCACACAACAGTTTTCTATGTGTATTGGTATCACTAAATTTTAACTCCTGCTTCATGAATACTAGAGAATACCCTAGATCCTGGGCACAAACACACACAGAAGAGAAGGAAAATATGGACTCGATAAACTTTCAGATTTCTAAGTATCTAAATTTTATTTAGTTTCCAGGATTTCTTATTGTTCTGTACATATGTTTTCCTTCTAAAGCATTTTATAAGTAAGGCTTTTCTTCTTCCCAAACAATATCCATTTAATTCCTGTTAGAATTTTGTCACTTCAGAGATTTCACAATGTCACAATAAATTCTATGCTAGAGTGGTCTTTCTATCATTTTAAAGCTAAGTGGATTTCAGAAAAAAATAACTATTGCATCGGCTGTTTTTATCTAATATTTTGTAGATACAACATACTTTGTCTTCAAAGCAAAGATGTTAACATACTTTTGTTCATATACTGAGCACAAATTATCCTTCCTAAGAATCAGTCTCCAAGGTTTTCCGTTGTTAATATTTATCTTTCATATCGAATGTATACATTCATATAAAATTATGCAATTATTTTATGTAGATTAGTGATGACTGCATGTGAATATCATAAAACAACACATTACAAAGTACTGTGATTACAGAAAATGATAATGGTGAACATCTGGATTGAGAAATTTAAATTTGGCAAAGACTGATATTTTCATAACGCTTTTTTTTTCTATGCATGTCCAAATTTCAATTGGTATTGATGGAAACCATTTATAGGGAACAAGCCAATTAAATATAAATCTAAATATCTTGAACAGATTAAATGAATAAAACAGGTACAAAAAATAGTTATTTCTCTGTCTTTGTTATGTGGCTGATTAATAAAGAGCAGTTTCAGTGTTGCCTTTAAGGATATTCAGCAATTTTAATGTTAGAGGATAAAATATGAATGGCCAAAGTGAAGAAACATTTTAATTTTGGATCCATCAAATGTTATTGGAGAGGAAAGGACTGTATATTTAAACAACTGCCAAGAATATCTTGAGCAGGTATGAATTTTATTTTACAAACTAAGTAAGCAGAATATCAATCTCTATTTTTAATTAACTGACACGCAATTTCCAATTTGAGGCCTCCATCTGCTAAAAGCCCCTAAACTCTGTGAACTGAAGGACCACCTTTTTACACAAATTCAAGGTGGTATGTACATTATGGGCAGGGTGGCTATTCAAATATTTAACAGCATTGCAGTGGAGATTTTGACCATTTTGAGTAGATGCCTAATCAATCAGGGTGAATACTGGTCGGTGCATACAGGCCTGGTACACTGGTGTGGGCCTTCTGGGTATCTGCCATGTTTCTAGAGACATGGAGTGGACATAGGAGGATGGCAGAATATTTGTCATCACCTACTTCGACATGCATTGAGAGGTCTCTTTTCTCTCTGGACTTTACCTACTGACTACACAGGTTACTAGTGCCCCATTTAGACACAAAATCTCTCCAGTCTGTTTCTCCACTGAGCTCCCTCTTGAGCACAAAGGGAACATCCTTGTTCATCATTCTTCACCGGCATGAAGGAGACTCCAACCTAGATGTGCCATGCCACCATTTCTTCTCAACTACTATTGCATTGTGCCAGTCACACAGTTCTATGGTGTTTCCCCTCCACCCTGGCTTTCCTGCATATGAATTCTGCAAATCTGTGTCATGTCCTTGTTATTTTCTCCATCACAGAATTCACAGGAGGATCAGGGCAGAATGCAAGACCCTATACCAAAATTAAAGAACCTGACTCTTACTCTGATTATGCTATGGAAGTCTTTCCTTGTAGCTAAAGAGGAGAGAATTTCTAGATACCACTTGAAAAGGAGAGGGCTAAAGCTTAAAAAGAGTTGGGATGTTGAAATACGGTCTCACTACTTGTATAATGTAGGGCCAAAGCATTTATTATTGTTGTTTTTCCACATTCCTATATTTCTTCATCCATATGCACAATATTGAGATTTATCTTCCCTTTTCAAACACATTTAAGATATAATTCACATGACATAATTCACCCATTTAAAATGTACATTCCCATGTTTAAAACATATCAACAGAGTTGTACAAGCATCATCATAATCTAATTTAAGAATATTTTTATAAACCCCCAAAAGACCGTATATTCAATAACAGTCATTCCTCATTCCCTTGCCTGTGTCCCACCCTACCTAGCCCCTGGCAACCCCTCTCCCACTTTCTGTCTCTATAGATTTGCCTATTTTGCATCTTGTATAATATGAAGGGAATCGTAAAACATGTGATCTTTTTTGATGAGCTTCTTCCCCTTAGCGTGTTTTCCAGGTTCATCCATGTTGTAGCATGTAGGAGTACTTCATTCCTTTTCATTACCAAATAATATTCCTCTATATGGGTTTATCACAATTTATCCATTAGAATTTTTCCTATGAACCTTTTATCTTTAACTTATCTGCTGAGAACCTTGTCTATGCTATAAGGAATCTAGTAAAGAGTTTTGAAAGGTTTTTGGGAGTTAACTAGTGAAACTGGTGAAAATTAGAAATGCAGCAGTAAATGACTATAAACTCTTCCTGTGGAAAAAGTGATCGGCTCAAAATAAAGCGAAGCAATTCCTGCAAATATTCAGGTATTCACCTTTTGAGAAACCTTAAAAGGACGTCAAACATAAAGGAAATTAATAAGCATTTGCCTCTAACAGCAAGGTTTTCTTCAAAACTGTCTGCAAGACTTGTAAATGGAAAGATGAAAATGGAAAATGAAACCAATAATTGTTATTTCTACAATATCAAGTAATGAAGACGGATTTTTTTTTCACATTAGCTTCATACAACTATGTGGTTACTCTGGGGATGATATTGACATGTCAGCATACCTGGTTGCCTGAAGAGCACAGGTTGATATGAGAAATTCTAGAAATATCACTATCAATATTCAGGGGACTGTTCATACCCCTTATGGTAAGTGGGTATTAAAAAAAGTGGGCCATATTTAGCTATGGTCATATTATTATTTATAATTTGTTATAGTGGTATGTGTAATATGGAAAAAGCCTTCGGTGGATTCCAAGTTATAGTAGTACAACTATGATTAGGATTCATGTATACTAAGGGTTTCTGAATCTGATATTATAAAGACAAAGATCCTAACTCTATGAATGGATAAAGTTTCTATCTATCTTTCAGTCTCAAAGGAAAATATGTTCAATTATTTGTGTACTGCCCTGAGATATTAATATAAATAACATGGGAACTAAAGCTTGATTTCTTCAATATTCCTTCTGTCTCAAAATGTGTGAGATAATTTATTGGGGAAGGTCTTTTCCCTTTTAGCGCTATATTTTAAATTTTCTCAAGTCATTTTTTTCTAGTGTTAACACAATCACATTGAAATAATTAACCTCACATTTTCTTCCTTTCATAAGTTAATTCACACTCCAAAACTGCATTTTATGCTCTCCTTCACATACTCATATTTAAAAAAAAACACAAACAAAAGGTTTCAAGTTTCTTAGGCTATTTGGAAAAAAGAAAGAAAGAAAGAAAAAGAAAGAAAGAAAGAAAGAAAGAAAGAAAGAAAGAAAGAAAGAAAGAAAGAAGGAAAGAAAGAAAGAAAGAATCATCTAGAACAGCAGTCATCTGTGAAAACAACTGACATTTAGTTTCACATGTAAGGTAAATCCGAATGGCATGAGAACCTTTCTACTCACAGGTATCTAAAGACTCGTCTGAATCATCAGGGCAGTCAGGGTCCCCATCACACAGCCAGCTCTGGGAGACACAAGTCACGTGATCGTGGCAAAGAAATTCACCAGGATCACACAACTGCTGATCTGAAAATGAAAATGTTTCGAAATAAAATATGAATGATCTGAACATGGGCAGAACGAGCAGTACAAACATGAAATGTGAAAAAGCAATACATAAAAGGTACATGAATATGATCCACATTTTCTGTTCGGCAGCAAAGACAAACCAATTATTTTTCTTAATTTTAACCACTCAGCTGAAACACACAATTTTAATACACTTGACTTTGTTATAGGTTCACACTATCTGTTCTGGAAATAGTTAAAAATTCTGTTCCTGTTCATGACTAGGGGCTTTATCGGATCAAAGATGGAATATAGATATTCCAGCAAGTTAGTTTTATATAAGATGTTGAATCAAAGCAGAGGCTCTTGAGCATAGAAATTTTAGTTTCTTTCTCAGCTCTGAGAGAAAGAAAAAATTAGTTGAGTTAAATATTAATATTATAGTTAAAAATCCATTTCTGAGTATTCAGTTCTTAACCATCCATCCTGATACTGGGGCTTCACGTCTCTACGTGAGTTGGATACCCAATATCACAGTATTTTCTTTTTTTTTTCCATGACTTCCAAGGTGACAACTTCTGCTACTAGATGGCAGAAGTGATAGTAAACTTCCATAAAGGTTTTTTTTCTAACTCAAATTTTCTACAGTTGTTTGTGACTAAAACGTCTGCTATTTTCCTTCCTTTGTTTCAGGATATTTGAAATCTGCAGCCTTTCCTCAAGTCCTCGCAAACTCATCAGATGTTTGTTTTCCACAGCATATTTGCTTTTATCACGTGAATCCCTTTACAAACTAATTATTCTTTACATCTTAATATGTCTGAAATAGGAATGTTTCTTACAGTCATGGTCTCTGAATGTGAAGAAGTGTTGGGAATACCTTAGCCATTATATTTCACTGGTAATTTTGTTGTATGTATATAAAAATAACTCAAGATTTTAAAAATCCAACATTAAATAGGTCTCGGTGAGCTCTTTCAATAAATATCAAATAAAAATTCTAAGTGATATGAAAGCATTAGGCCATAACTTAATTGACAGTTTTGCCCGAGCAATATGGAAAATAATACTATATCTTACACTCAATGGTATCCTAGATTTGATTTAATATGGTACATATTTCCTTACTCTCCCTCAACTTCCCTCCGCCTGATACCAGCAGCATAAATTTCAGTAAATATGCATTGCAAACACATATATCTTTAAAATCTACAGATGTAGGGTATAAGAGTAGTCTTTTCCATACTCAAACTATAGCTATTTCGTGACAACTCATTTTATTTTATCCTATTATATTTTTATTAAGTTAACCACCAACAGCATGCTCATCACCATCACTGTCATAATTATTTTTCACATTAAGTTGCTTGAGCATACTTTGTATTTGGCCTCAGACTTGGTGCTGTAGAATCAACGATGTAGAAGCCAGTCTTTGTCTTAAAGGATCCAATAGACTAGTTGTGTCTACAGATCTCACTCTCCAAAAAATGGTAAAAGAAGAAACCACAGGAAGAGACAGGCTGAGACAAATAAAAAAATAGTTTTGGGATGTCTGTATTCCTCTAAAGATGGGTGGGCTTTGGATAAGTGGAATATAGGACATTTCAGGTAAGATTTAGAGTAAATGGTTGCTAAGGTAATAATTATTGCAGTGCATTTGAGAAAAAATACATTTTCTACTGAAATGGAAATGGCATTCAGGTTATAAGACCTGGGTTTTCCCCATCAAACAGTGGTGTGTGATATTTATAAGTATGCTTGAATGCTAGAGGAGGAGGGCTTACATTTTGCTTTAGGCTGTCACATAACTTTTGAAGTTAATGTAGAGAAAGAGCATGGAATAAAATTCAAATTATTTTGCTTATAGATAAAGAGACCATATAATTTATCACCAAGCTGAGAGAGTTCTGAGACTGAAAGTAGGTTTATTAGTAATTATTAGTAATTATTAGTAATTACACTGGGACAACAGGTATAAACCAAGTTTATCCCAGAAAAGTCAGAATGGATGTTCATTTTATCTATAGCTACTTTGCGTTTGATCTACGGTCTTGAAATGCTAGATTTTATCTCCCTTCCTCCCAAACCATATCAAATTGTTATGTGGAGAGGGGAAATGTCATTCCATAGTGTGTGACTCAGTGAATAATTGATAAGTACTTGTTGAAAATATAAAGGAGTAAAGAAGACCATAAAAATGATTTATGGTGTTGGAATAGAGCATCTTAAAAACATAGGATCAGTTATGAAGGAACTTGATTGCCATTAGAAGTATTTTGCCTATAATTTGAAGCCATGGAAAATACTTAAGAAAAGGTAATTAATAATAAAACATGCTACAAAGCCATCTCCTAGGAGACTCTTGCAATTCTCTAGAGAAGATTTCAAGATGATTTGACTAAGGTAATGGGGAATTAGATGAAGACTCTGATCCAAGTGATGTGACATATGAGTTAAGAATTGGTGACTAAATATTTGAAAGGCTCCAATATGTCTTCAAGTATATAGACTTAAACAATGGATGGCATCATAAAACTTATGATATATAGATAGAAAAAAAAAAGACTGGGTTCATGTGTACATGTGTCTGTGAGCCTGCTCATGGTGGGGAGTGGAATAATAGTAGAAATAACAGACGAATAAATAGTGAATGTTTTACAGTTTTACAGAATGTTTTACAAAAAGCACCACCTCACATCAATGTGTTCATTTATCTATGCAACACATATTATTGAACTTCTACTGTGTTCTAGGCACTAGGGATACGATAATGAAAATAAATAAATAAAAATAGGCCAGAATTCCTGTTATCATGGATCTTACATTATAATGGGAGGATAGAAACAAAAACAAAACCGATGAACCAATTGTATAGCATGTTAAAAGATAAACCTTATTGAGAAAAATAGAACAGAGATGGGGACTGACGGTTAGAGTATGGAGGCAGGTACATTTTAAATAGGTGGTCAGAGTATATGTCACAGAGAATATGACATTTGAATAAAAGCTGAAGTAAGGTGAGAGTGACACCCATTTGAATTAAAGGTCAAGGGCTAAGGATTTGAGGCAGGAGGGTGCTCAGCAAATTTAAGGAACACTAAAGAGGTCAACGTGGCTGCAGAAAAAGATAAATTAGGAAAAGATGTGGTCAGGGAATATGGGATTCCAGAGATCAGATAAAGGTTTTTTTTTTTTACTAAAAACAAACAAACAAACAAACAAAAAACAGGATGGAGGACCACTAAAAAATTCTGAGGAGTGTAACAGTGTTGCAACTTTTTCACTCCTGTAGTTCTGCAAGTGACAGGGAGTATTACAGCTCATTGACTCCTGCAGCCAGCAGCTCAGTGGGTGGGAGCGTTACAGCTCTTTGCTTCTGCCATTCAGAGAGTTCTGGATTCTTGTCCCACAACCAAGAATAAGGCACACAGACTGGAGAGGGCTAAGGCAGAGATTTATTAAGTGACAGAAAAGGTGTCAGCAGCAAGAGGGGGTCTAAAAGAGGGTTGCCGGCTGTGGGGCTAGGTTTGGGGTTTTTATGGACTGAGAATGAGGAGGAGTGGGTTGACTGGTCTATGAGCCATTTTTGAAACCACAAGTCTCAGGAAGACACAGGACAGTGTAAAGAACCAATTGGAGGCAGAAGTGAAGGCTTGGCCCGCAACCAATTGAGAGCTTTAGTGACATTTCACTTTATGCAAATTAAGACTTTGCCTGTGGCCAATCACAGAAAGATAGGTATATGTAAAACAGATGAAAGGTATGAGATAATCAGGAAGAAGAGTACAAAACGGGACAAAGGCACCAAAAGGAGAGAAATGTGCCCAGAAAAGTAGTCAATTTTCTTCATCTGGGCTCACAGAGTGGGTGTTTCCATATAGGGATGTGGGCTTTTTCTTATCTGGGGCCTACAGCTTGATTTTCAGGCTGTTCTTGGTTTGAAGGAGTTCTACCGAGGACCTGCCCTAACTGCCTGACTGAGTGGTTTCTTCCTTCCTCCTCTCTCATCAGGATCTGGCTTACTTTTGGAAAGAATCATTTTGGCTACTATGTTGAGAATATATACTGCAGTGAAGTGAAGGTGGAAGCAGGGAGATCAGCTAGAATGTTATTGCAATCATCTAGGTGAGAGGAGATGGTACTGTGGAAAAACATGTTGGTTGAATGGAATTTCAAGACTGTATTTAAAGAGGAAACTGCAGTCAAATATTATGTTCACCATCTAATAAATGCCAGCATCTTAAATTCAGATATTTGAACCCAAATCTATGACTTTCTAACCATTTAAAAAATATACTGATTATGGGATGGTTTGGAGACATCCAAGAAGAAATATCTAATAGTGAAATATTTAAGTCTGTAATTCAGGAGACTGGGTAAAACTGGAAACAAAAGAGAACTGGGGCTAAAAGAAGTTAGTGAAAAACTATAGGAATAGAAATAGGTGTAGATTAAATTAAAGTGAGAAGAGGGTGGGGCATGAACAGGTGGTCAAAAGGAAGAGGCAAAGAGGTAAGAGCAGGTCAGGCAGTGAGGCAGAGGAAACAAAGTTCAGCCACAGATACAGGATGAGGATGCAAGGGGAAAGGAGATTTACTAAAGTTATGTGAAATTCTGATAACTGAATCACTCATGATAAAGTTCAAGTACAGTGAGTTCTAAAAATCTGGAGTAGACTCATAGGCTGAGGGAAACATACCACTAGAGGAAGAGAGACTAGAGGCCCAAGAAGAAGGTGAAAGTAGAGCTATGTGCCCAAGAAAAACTTGTAGAGATGGAATAAGAACTGAAACAATAGTAGAAACACTTGCCCTGAAGAAAAAGGATGGAAAAATGAAATAGATTGATTTTTAGCTGGTAGGGAAGAAAGTTAACATAGTCTTAGTCGGTTGTGTTTTCTCAAGGAACTGAGAAGCAGGATTAGTTTTAGAAATTTGAAGAAGGTAGTGAGAGGTGAAGCCAGCTGGGTCGAGTGAGGACTTGGAGAACTTTTCTGTCGTACAAGAGGACTGTAAAATGCACCAATCAGCACTCTGTAGCTAGGATTATAAAATTCACCAATCAGTGCTCTGTAGCTTGCAAGAGGATTGTAAAATGCACCAATCAGCACTCTGTAGCTAGCAAGGGATTGTAAAATGCACCAATCAGCACTCTATAAAATGCACCAATCAGTGCTCTGTAAAATGCACCAATCAGCACTCTGTAAAATGCACCAATCAGCAGGATCCTAAAAGTAGCCACTTGGAGGGAGGATTAAAAAAAGGGCACTCTGATAGGACAAAAACGGAACATGGGAGGGGACAAATAAGGGAATAAAAGCTGGCCACCCCAGCCAGCAGCAGCAACCTCCTTGGATCCCGTTCCACGCTGTGGAAGCTTTGTGCTTTCACTCTTAACAATAAACCTTGCTACCACTCACTCTTTGGGTCCATGCCATCTTTAAGAGCTGTAACACTCACTATTAAGGTCCGTAGCTTCATGCTTGAAGTCAGCGAGACCGTGAACCCACCGGAAGGAACCAACTCTGGACACAGTAGAACAGTAAAGGGTGGTAAAGGTTTAGAATGATTGCTGTAGCGTTAGGAAAGGAATCAACTAAGAATTTGTGCAAGAATAACTTTCTAATAGCAATGAGGATCCAGCTAAGGTTAAAAAGTGTGCAGTTGACAGTTGGATGTTTTCTTCATTTTATTTTGTTTTAATGTCCAAATGTTCACCTATAGGGAGGGATAGATACAGAATAATTCTTTGGGAAAATCTCAGAAGAAAATCCCTTGGGAAAATATGCAAACCAACTGTGATGGCTAATACTGTCAACTTGATTGCATTGAAGGATGCAAAGTATTGTTCCTGGGTGTGTCTGTGAGGGGGTTGCCAAAGGAGATTAACATTTGAGTCAGTGGATTGGGAGAGGCAGACCCACCCTCAGTCTAGGTGGGCACCATCTAATCTGCTGTCAGCGTGGCTAGAATAAAAGCAGGCAGAAGAAGGTGGAAGAACTAGACTGGCTGAGTCTTCTGGCCTGCATCTTTCTCCTGTGCTAGATGCTTTCTGCCTTCAAACATCAGACTCCAAGTTCTGCAGCTTTTGGGCTTTTGGACTTACACCAGTGATTTGCCAGGGACTCTCAGGCCGTCAGCCACAGACGAAAGGCTACACTATCAGCTTCCCTACTTTTGAGGTTTGTGGACTCAGAATGGCTTTCTGGCTCCTCAGCTTCCAAACGGCCTATTGTGGGACTGCACCTTGTGATTGTGTGAATCAAATCTCCTAATAAACTCCCCTTTATATATACATGTATCCTACTAGTTCTGTCCCTTTAGAGAAACCTGACAAATACACCACCCATCCTCAATACTCACATGTATATAGAGATATACACAAATCCATCATGATTCAAAAATGACATTTTTTTTTTTCAGGAATAAGATAGACTTAATGGGATTTACCTAACGAGCCTATGTTATCAGCTCGCTAAAGCAAGTTTCAACCTTTAAAGACAATTTATATTGTTACCGTTTTGGGGACAGTTTTATATTATCCCTCTAGGAAATCTCAGTTAAAAATAGCCTGCTATATAAACCACCTATGTATTTTTCAACCAGATATTCCATTTCAAATTCAGTTTTTAAAAACATTAGTTATAGGAGTCAAATGAAAAAAAATTTCAGTATTTCAAGATGATTACTTAAAAATATATCCACTTTATTGAGTTCCTTGAATCAGAAGCTAAACATGTTGTATATATGTGTGTTTTTCATTTATCCTATTTAATGCTTCATCCCACACTTCTGAGATAGTCAGATTAATCTTATTTTAAATGTTTTCCTATTATATGAAACATAGTGTTTTACACTGTAATTAAAACAAGGAGCTTATGGAAATGTGAAGGCGGTTTCACTTACATGCCTAAGGAAGAAGATCAAAGCTAGTACCATGTATATCTTTTTATAATAATAGATTCTTGCAATCAAAAAACATGAAAAGATTAGGACAAGCATAGCCTACACAGTTTACTCAGTTTGGATTCACCCTGGCATGAGAAAAGCTTAGTATAATTACCCTTCTGCACTTACATGAAAACATCTAATTATGTATTTTAATAAAAATTTATAATAAATATTTTTGAAAGTTTGATATAGCCATAGCTGAAAAAAATGTATATATATGAGCTGTCACAGACTAGCTAATTTATATTTTCTCATTTTAAAATCAAGATGAACTGCTAATTTTGATCTTTTCAGAAAACAGAAACTATGTCAAATACTAAAACTATCATCAATAGGGGTCTACTGCACAACTATGTAGCCCCCAGCTCTTTGAATATTTTACCATGATTAATTTACAAAAATTTTATGCCATTTTTCCTAAAAGTTCACTTGTTATACTAATGTTGTACATACTAATATTACCTTAATAAATTGCCTATTGAATGTATAAAAGGACACTATAGAAAAACTTTAAGGAAATATAAATGATTCATTCTGATAGCTAATTACAAATTAAATGTAAAGGAGGGATAGCTTGCATTAAACAGCAATATCCCCAGGGACTCAGATAATAAGGTTTAAAAATACTTTTAAAGAATAGGTAAATTAAAGGATAGATACAATCTTCTGAACAGCTAAGTATTAGGGAAACACTGTGACTTATGTTTTCAGAGTTTAGTTAACATCAAATATTTATTTATTGTCTCTACATCTCATTGCTAATTTAAACATAGGATGATTCATACCACAACACTCATAACTGCTAAAAGAGAAATATGGTTATATTTTCTTTTGTCTCATATAGCAGACAATGAATTCATTACCAGGAGAACAGAATTCTTGTAGAGGCCTACAGAAAGTATTACAAATGCAACTTCAAATTTTGATAAAACTCATGTAATGTAACAAGAACAATGTTAGTTATAAAATATCAAGAAGTACCTTAATCCCCTTCCTTTACATTCACCTGCCTCAGAAAAATGTACATATGTAGATAAAGAATAAATTGCTCAGAATTCCATTTAAATTGTTTTTCATAACATGGTTAGAGGTCTTCTTTCTAAATACTTTCTTCTACTGTCATTTTACCAATTCAACATGCACTTTTAACTCTCCTTAATATTCTATTCACTTTCCCTAAATATAACATTTCTGTATCTTTTTTTTTTTTTTTTTTTTTTTGAGATGGAGTCTTGCTCTGTCACCCAGGCTGTAGTGCAGTGGTGCGATCTTGGCTCAATGCAACCTCTGCCTCCCAGGTTCACTCCATTCTCCTGCCTCAGCCTCCCGAGTAGCTAGGACTACAGGCGCCTGCCACCACACCTGGCTAATTTTTTGTATTTTTAGTAGAGACGGGGTTTCACCGTGTTAGCCAGGATGGTCTCGATCTCCTGACCTCGTGATCTGCCCGCCTTGGCCTCCCAGAGTACTGGGACTACAGGCGTGAGCTACCGCACCTGGATAACATTTCTGTATCTTTACTGTTATATTCCTTTGCTTGGGATGCCCTTTCCTATCTAACACATTTCTAATCAATCATTCACTCAAGTCTAATGGCATTTTAGATCCTTTAATAAAAACTTTCTGGCCAGGTGCGGTGGCTCACGCCTGTAATCCCAGCACTTTGGGAGGCTGAGGCGGGTGGATCACAAGGTCAGGAGTTCGAGACCAGCCTGACCAACATGGTGAAACCCCACCTCTACTAAAAATTCAAAAATTAACCAGGAGTGGTGGTGCACACCTGTATCCCAGCTACTCAGGAGGCAGAGGGAGGAGAATCACTTGAACCCGGGAGGCGGAGGTTGCAGTGAGCTGAGATCACGCCATTGTACTCCAGCCTAGGCACAGAGTGAGACTCCATCTCAAACAAACAAACAAACAAACAAAAAAAAAAACAAAAAACTTTCCCAGTGAACTTTTTCTTTCTCTATCACTGGATCCACAACCGTCTACTCAAAACACCGAAAAGCTTCTATTTTACTTTGCTGTATGAATTGTACCTACTGTGTGATGAGCTTCTAGAGGGCAAGGGGTTCTGTCTTAAGACTTCACGTTTGCAATAACGTAACACTTCAGGGCTACAGGACACTATGTTACTTGAGATAAGCCAGGAAAAGAAAGTTAAACATCTTAAACATCGCATGTTCTCATTCATATGTGGAAGCTACAAAAGTTTATCTTATAGAAGTAAAAAGTGGAACAGAGGATACTAGGGGCTGGAAAGGATAGTGGGACAGGAGGGATAGGAAGAAATTTGTTATAGGATACAAAATAACATCTAGATAGGAGAAATAATTTCTAGTGTTCTGTATCACTGTAGAATTACTATGATTAACAATAATATAATTTCAAATAGTAAGAAGGAGGATATTGGACGTTCCCAACACCAATAAATGATAAATGTTTGAAATGATGGATATGCTAATTACCCTGATCTCATCACTGTACAATATATATCTATCTATGGAAACATCATTAACTATCTGAATATATGCAATTATTATATGTCAAAAATATAACAAAGGCTTCAGTGAAAAACACCAAATTTTCTGCCAATAATTACACATTATTTTTGCAAAAACAGGGGCTAAAAGAAAAACCAAAGCAATACTAGTATTCTGTTTTATTTTCAGGATGATAAATAGCTTTTTTAGTTAATCAGTAAGATAAAATTAAGTTCTCCCATGGTTAAAATGAAATACCTCAATAGTAAGGATTATACTATATAAAATTATAACAACCATGAAAACTGAAAGGCAAACTTGAGATTCAGTGTTACCCTCCAGAGTCTCTTAAAGACTGCTGAAAATCAGACTTTTACAATAGCTGGCATGCAATTGTAACTTAGCCAAATATGTTATAGTTTTTTGCAAAAGATAATTCCTTTAGGGATATCACATCTGTAAGCACAGGATAAAATGTACTATCTTAAGTCTATAATTAATAGAAATAGAAAAATATATTTAGATTATGTACATTTTAGGGGCTAGGGGTTAAGGAAAGGTAGACCAAAAATGCTTGAACTAGGACAGTTCCGTTTTGCAAAGAAAATAGATATTCTTTACAAAATGGGTGGCTTATTGAAAAATAAACCCTATTAGACACTCTAAGATTACAATTCATGGTATCACTCATCTATGATAAACCCATCCTGAAAAAATCAGCAGAGGCTTGAATTAGACGGGCATTGAGGAATGAAAAGAATTTATATTTCAATAGTATAACATGATTTTTAATCAATAATTTTTGTTGTCATGCTGAGACAGTAGTAATAATTAGAAACTTACTCTACAGACATATGTGTATGTACACCCACAAAATATGTACACAAGTTTGCATGTTTTAAGATTGGTGTACAATTCTAGCTGGAGCTCATTCATCCTTGAAACTAAGATGGATCGAGAGACAAGCCAAATAAGAATAAAATTTGAAATTGACTAAAATTGAATAAGAGCCCCATGGCAGGCTGAATAATGGGACCCCAAAGAAGATCACATCCTAATTCCTGGAATCTGTGAATATGTCACCTTACATAGTAAAATGGACTTTGCAGATGTGATTAAGTGAAGGATCCTGAGGTGGGAGATTATCCTAGATTATCCTAGTGGGCCCAATATCATCACAAGGGTGCTTGCCAGGGGGAGATCAGAGAGCAAAGAAGTAGATGAGCCAGGAAAGAAGAAGCTGTAATCTGAGAAGGGAGCCAAGCATCAAGGAATGTAGGCTAACTCTAACAGCTGGGAAGGACAGGGAAATGGATCATCACCTAGAGCCTCCAAAAGAACTCAGCCCATTGAGCACTCTTCAGGCTTCTGACTCCCACGCTGTAAGACAGAAATTTGTATTGCTTCGATTCCCTCAATTTGTGGTAATTTGTTACGATAGCAAAGAGAGACTAAAACAATTTCCCAGTTTCATGTCACAGCCAAGACATCACAGGTGTAAGCCTCATCTAATGAGTAAGAAACAAGCATGTTGCAAGCTAGTGTACCATTAAAGGCCTTTTTCTCCTTAGTCGCTTTCTTTTAGTTTCAACATGATCTACTTTTACATAAATTGGCTTTTCTTCTCCTTGATGTCAAATGTCAGTCCCAATACACTGGCACAGGATGAAGGCCAGCAATAATGACTAGAAGCACATGACAGAATTTTATGAAAAACCTTATAAATTGCTAATAATTTGTAAGTAGCTGGTATCTGAGAAATGTATGAATTGGGAAGTATATATTTTTGTGTACAAGTGTGTATACATGTTTTTATTCTTGGGAGATGGAAAAATACAAAAATATGATAATGTCCTTCACCAAAAAAATTATAAGTAATAGTATATTTTTATGCTTTCTATTGGATGCTACCAAATGTGTAATCATTCTATGCCTTATTAAGCACCAAGTGTTTTTGGAGCTGCAGATGGCAATTTGTACTCACAAAAACATCTTATATAAAACCGAGACAAAATTGAAAACTTGAAGAAGTACATTATCCCCAGGAAGAAGCTTTGCCCATTTATCATTTCTATCATAATGAACAAATGAAAAGTACCTCTGTAAACATTTCAAATCCAATTTGACATTTAATTTTCAGGGAGAATGTAGGGATTTTGTTCCTTAATCATTGAAACACTGGTAGGTTTCTTGTGTTTTTTTAGACAGTGATATAGGAAATTACAAAGCATTCAACACAGACCTATTTGGAACTGCTTCTTCACCAAAAAATACATACACACACACACACACACACACACACACACACACACACAGAGAGAGAGAGAGAGAGAGAGAGAGATAATAGTAAAAACCCTGTCTTTTATTTAGCAAGAGACAAAGGATATATATTCAGTGGAATAAAGCTGACACATTCAACACGGTTGACTGGAGTTTTTATTATCATTGGATTAATGCTTTGCAGTTGTGTGTTCTTTTCTGAAATTTCAGTAGAAATGATCTATTTCCTTTTAACCTGCCCTTTTTCAAAAGCCCATTCAAATGAATCAGCAAAAGTTATTTCATATACTACCATGTTAAGGAAGGAGAAAAGTTTGACATCTCCCTCGTAAATGCAAAAGAAAAAGCCTAAATTATTGACACTTCCTTGCAGGCTCTATTTTCTAAATCCTACACGATCCTTCTCCAATCTCCCATGGGATACCAAAATTCACATATTTTTTTCTCATCTCTAGACACAGTGAGATATGAAGCAGATGGTTAGACTTTGGCTCTTTCAGGGATGATGTGAAATCTCCTATCTATTATGCTGTGTTTTAACCATTAAAGGCCCTTCAAAGACTACAATTGTTTTTTATCTCCTTATTATTTTAATCTTAAAATATATTTTAAATCATAATTCCTTGTTCCCTATTTTAAAAGGTCCTAAACTGACTCATTTATTTAATACTCATTTACTGTGAACCAAAGTAGGCACTAAGAATATAATGATGAAGACAACAGGGGTCTCCACCTACAAGCTGCGGATGGTTTAGTAAAGCGGTGGGCAAAAATAGAAATACTTACAATAACGTGAGGTAGGTGCTAATATAGGTGCATCTGGAGTGCTGCTGGAAGAGCAATGAAAATAGATTAACACATTCCGTGAACAGAGCTGAAGTTGGGAGTTCAGATAAGGAGAAGATGTGCAGAGTGTATTGTTCATTGCCTACCCAGCAGCAGTTTTCACCATTTTGAAAAATACCACTTTCCACTATGGAAACAGGGAAGGCTGTATGCTTGCTTTCCCCATCTCTCTTGCTTTCCCCATCTCTCTTACAGATAGGGCATGGACATGTGGCCAGTGCTGAGGAATGACAACTGAGATAAAGAGTTATCTAGGATTCTCCTGGGAAGTGGTTTCCTTTCTACTAAAAAGAAAAAAGAAAAAAAAAGCTTGTGAAGAGAAGCTCTCCTGCATTGCTCTAGATTGTGAGCACTTCAGGTCTGGGGCAGCCATAGCCATCTTGGGAGCATGATTCTATGCCAGAACATGAAGGCCAGCACAGTGAGGATGAGGAGGTGGAAAGTGCTCAACATCTGGGTCTTGGGTGATATTAATGATATCATTATTGTTTAGTCACTGTGTGTTGGGTGATTATACTAACAATCAGAAGTAACTGACAGAGTCATCAGAGAAGCATCCCCGAAAAGGTCTTTCTTTAGCATTTTAATAAAAGAATACAAGATTGTCAAGCTGATTAGGTGGAGGATAGCATACCGAACAAAAGGGAAATCACAAAGGGAAACATGGCATGTTAAGAGAATATTAAATAATAGTTCATATTATACTAAGTTTAGGCTGAACTAAGATTTTGCTGTTGTTATTATTTTGAGACAGAGTCTCATTCTAGCCTAGGCTGGAGTGTGGTGGCAAGATCATAGTTCACTGCAGCCTTGATCTCCAGGCTCAAGCAATCCTTCCGTGTCAGCCTCTGGAGCAGCTAGGACTACAGGTGTCCACCACCATGTCAGGATATTTATTTATTTATTTTTTAAGTAGAGATGGGATCTCCCTATGTTGCCCAGGTTGGTCTCAAACTCCTGAGTTCAAGTGATCTGCTTGCCTTGGCCTTCCAAAATGCTGTGATTACAGGTGTGAGCCACTGAGCTGGCCTGGACTAAATTTAAATTTAAACTTACACTAAGTATAGTTAGAAATTAGTTTAGAAATAAGGTTAAATACTCCCTTTGTTTTGCTTGAATATAGGAAATATTTTAATGTCCTTTTTGTAACCATTCAGTTAGGCTTTTTACTTTTCATTATTTTAAGTTGGTAGATTTTGAAAATAACTTTTTGTGGGAGATAAATAACAGCTATTGAATGTTCATTATGTGCCACATGCTAAATTAAACAATTTGTATATTTTATTCAATGCTTACAAAAATGTATTATTTGCATCTAACAAATCAGGTAAAACTGTTTAGAGAGTTAAATGACTTTTTCAATGCCACTCAACTAGCAAGATCAGGATATAAAAACACATCTGTCAAAAAGCCTGTTCTCATAACCCTTCATGGAATTTTTCTCAAGCTGGGTTTTACCCAGGCTGGAATGCAGTGGCGCGATCTCGGCTCACTGCAAGCTCCGCCTCCCAGGTTCACGCCATTCTCCTGCCTCAGCCTCCCGAGTAGAGTAGCTGGGACTACAGGCGCCCGCCACCGTGCCTGGCTAATTTTTTGTCTTTTTTAGTAGAGACGGGGTTTCACCGTGGTCTCGATCTCCTGACCTCGTGATCCTCCCGCCTTGGCCTTCCAAAGTGCTGGGATTACAGGCGTGAGCCACCGCGTCCGGCATAAACATTGTTAATACTTACCTTGCATAAAGCTATTAATATGTGGCACAAACCTTACATTTTCTAAACAGGCCTCAATGCTTTGTACTTTTCAAATCTTTCCCACCTGCTCACTGATACTTAAAAATCCATGTATGTGAGTTTCAGCTCTACAAAGGTGATATGGTTTGGCTGTGTCCCCACCCTAATCTCATCTCGAATTGTAATCCCAATGTGTCGAGGGAGGGACCTGCTGGGAGATGGTTGTATCATGGGAATGGTTTCCCTCTTGCTGTTCTCTAGATAGTGAGGGAGTTCTCACAAGATCCGATGGTTTTTAAAGTGGTAGTTTACCCTGTGCGGTCTCTCTCCTGCCACCTTGTGAAGAAGGTATTTTCTTCCCCTTTGCCTTTTGCCATGATTTTAAGTTTCCTGAGGCCGCCCCAAACATGCGGAACTGTGAGTCAATTAAAGCTCTTTTGTTTATAAATTACCCAGTCTCAGGGAGCTCTTTGTAGCAGTGTGAAAACAGACCAGTACAAAAGGTAACAACTAGCTCTGAAAAAAAGTAAACCTTTTTCTATTATTTATTTACAGCTTTGTGAATAATAGATCAAAGGAAGGGATTTACGGAGATGGGGGCAATCATGAAGGTGTAGCACAGATAAAAAGACTGAATAGTAAAAATAAAGGAGTTTGGAGTACTAGAGGCCCACCCTTTATGATTTTGTCAAGAATCTCCTTCCCTAGTATTCTCCAGAATCAAAGCCATGGAGTAAATGAACTTCATCTCCTTTTATTTCAACTGTATCATCAAATAAGTCTCTAAAATGGATGAAAGTCCTCTAGAAAATAAAAAGATAGTGAGACAGTGATTTTCCTAGGCTGGTTACTTTTTTTGTAGATGTATATCAAAACCCTAAATTATCAATTGAGAAGAGCTTCTTTATTAGTTTATGTGATGGGGGACAGAGGTCTTAGGTAGGTGGACCTGTGTTATTTCAATAGCTATGAAATATGACGAAAAGTTCAATGGGTTTCCCAAACATAACCATAAGAAACACAGATAATTAAGTTCTTCTCTACAGTAGACACCTCATGAGAATTTAAGTGAAATCTCATCAAAGTAATTATTAGTTTATTAAAAAGAAGAGGCCTAATGTAACATTTTAATATTAACAGAAAATTAGAAGAGGTAACCATAAGGACCCAAAGGAATATAAATTAAACCTCATGTTTTCAGAAGCGACATAAATGCACATATTTTCCCACATTATACCAATGCTTGTTCATTTTTCCATAATAAAGAAATTACTGAGAAACAGTGTAATTTAACAACGCACATATTAATTTTAAGTCACATTACCAGGCTATGAATTAGAGTGTTATGATCAAATTTTGTGGGTACTTTAATTACTATGTTATATTTAGTTAAAATAAGAACATAGAAGACAATCAAAAAGAAAAAAAATCAAATCTTCTGAAATTGACCACTTCTAGGTAATAGCTGCTATCGCATTTTCATATGTTCTTGCAGACTATTCTATATAGAAAAAATATATATAAATTATCAGGGATTTTAAAAATAATATATATTGTTCTGTATATTCCCATTTTACTTAAATATTTTAAATTTACCTTCATATTGGTAAATACAGTTCTATATAATACATTTAATAAGGATATGATAGACCATTATATGACTTTTCCATACTTTTCAGAAGTTTTTTTTTTTTTTTTTTTTTTTGAGACGGAGTCTCGCTCTGTCCCCCAGGCTGGAGTGCAGTGGCGCCATCTCGGCTCACTGCAAGCTCCGCCTCCTGGGTTCACGCCATTCTCCTGCCTCAGCCTCCGGAGTAGCTGGGACTACAGGTGCCCGCCACCATGCCCGGCTAACTTTTTGTATTTTCAGTAGAGACAGTGTTTCACCATGTTAGCCAGGATGGTCTCCATCTCCTGACCTCGTGATCCGCCCACCTCAGCCTCCCAAAGTGCTGGGATTACAGGCAAGAGCCACCACGCCCGACCAGAAGTTTTAAAAAATAGGTAATAGGTAAAATTAAAAGTTATAATAACTCTGAAAGTAATCTTCAGTCAGTTGTCTCACTTTAAAAATAAATTACTAATTGAGTAAAAGTGAGATTTTTCAAAAGAATTTATTTATAGAATGTTTATGCACTTAGACAAATTGCCCTCCAAATATAGAGTCAAAATTTACCTTGCATCATTACTTTTATCTCAAACCTACATTTATTTTTTAAAATCTTTATCAGTCCAAGAGATTCTGTCATTTTAAATATCCGCGTTTCTGTCAACCTGAAACATTTTCGTCTTGCTTTGTGATCATTTTTAAGGACAGGCAAATTTTGAGAGATCCAATTGATGAGAGATGCTAGGAAAAATTCTATGAGACCCAACCATCCTTGTGCCTGTCATATAAATAATCTTTTGTTTTTGAGAAAATTTAGATTTTAAATAAGATGTCACCTCATTCTTAAAGTGTATTCTTAAAATACAGTATACTTCTCAGAAAGATAGCTTCAGAGCTGCCCTGAGGCAGCTACATATGCAATTTCATAGACAGAAGTTCTTTTGTTGAATTATCCTCCTAAATGCTCTTTTAATGTGTGGCTGGCTAATTTTTAGAAATATCTTTGCCCTTTTACTTCTGAAATAAATGTCTAATAGAGTTTTACAAAATGTTTGAATGTGAATTTTTTTATGAGTAACATACTCTATCCTGTAAACCTTTATGTTTTTTAAATAGGAGGGGAAGTCAAAATACTTCCTCTGTTTGGGGGCATCCCAGCCCTAGTTCTGTCTGCCCAGCCTTCATTATGAGGCCACTTATAAGACCTTAGGTATGATCTTTCTCCTGTGACTAATGTCAAGCAGGAGAAATTCTACATGAGGAATCCAGAGAGTTGACATCAGACTACTCCTTCAACAGATGGTGGAACATTATATAGCCAGTATTTAGATATTGTTTGAGCATCAACTTTGATGGGAAATGAGTGTTTTCTCCATTTGACACTTTGAAATTTCCACTGCATCAAAATTAATCTATTTAAGTTTAATCTAATTTAGGTACAGGAGGCACAGCAAATTTTGGCATATCCTAAAGATAGAATTCATTTTATATTCATCATACTTTCTTTAAAAATCCACATACACAAATACACAGTAAATATTGCTATAAAGTATATATATACTTTATCTACATATCTATATATACACCTATGTCTTTACGTATAATATTTAGACATATATTTATATACCCTTCTCATATGACTAATGCCACACAGAAGAAATTCTACATGAGGAATCCAGAGAATTGACAACAGAAGACTGCCACTTCAACAGGCAGTGCAACATTATATAGCCAGTATTTAGATATTGTTTGAGCATCAACTTTGATGGGAAATGAAAGGAGTGTTTTCTTCATTTGACACTTTGAAATTTCCACTGCATCAAAATTAATCTATTTAAGCATAATCTAATTCATTATATGCATTTTTTTTGTTTCTTAAGGATATTTAATGTTTATTTGATCTGGAACGATAAACATAATTATGTTAATATTATTGTGTATCTTAGACATCTTCAATACACATTTTTTTATTAATTATGGTAAAATTATGAAAAGCTACCAAGGAAACACATTTCTCTATCATTATTTAAATGACAGCAGTGTGGTAATTCAATTTAAACATTCAAATATTTAAATAAAGTAATTTTAAATTTTTTGATGGGCAGGTAGAATATAACAAATAATAGGAAGTTCAACCTAACTGTAAAATTTCACTCAATATTAAAAAATACAGAAACTAAAGGGATGGAGGATAGATGTTACGAGAATAGATATTTCTATAAAGAACGGAGAAAAGATGAATAAGTAATATTCTCAAGCGAGCTGACTCAGGGTGCTTCCTAAAATCATCATATCCTTTGCAGGAGTTTCTATCTTTTCTGTCGTTTAAGTGGGTTTTTCATAAGTTACCTCGTGCTGGTTTCACAAGATGCCTTCAATCTAGTCAAAGCTGATTGGATCAGGGATAGGCACATGACCCAAGGCAGCCAATGATGTGGTCTAATACAAAAACTCTGCCCCATAGGGATGACAGTAAATCATCAGTAGGATCTGGTACTCTTCCCTGTTATGGGAAGTTAACTGGTTAATCGGAATAATAAAAAGGGACTTTAAAAATCAATAACTGGGATAAAAGCTATGAAATTAAAAAAAAATTATAGGGTAGATTTGGAATCAAATGGTAAGAGCGTTGATTCAGTTATTTGCTAATTGTATCACCTCGGTCCAGCCACTGAACTTTGCTCCCTTCCAGTTGCCTAACTGGGAACTGGGGAAATAACAGTTACTAGCACATATAATTTTTGCAAAAACTGTAGAATAAGATATATAAAGGACCTAATATTACTATCAAGCGAGAGTAAGACATCGTTATATGTTAGCTATTTATATTATTACTAAAATTTATATTAGTACTAGATATCTAGCGAGTTTTTGTCCTCAATTTCTAGTCTCTGAGTTAACAAGACAGTTTGAACACTTCTGTGTTTCCACCAAATGTACTTTTATAATTGTTCCTGGATACTTGTAAGGCCTAGCTGCAAAATAAGATTTTTATTTCTCTCACTTCCACATGAACTTGAGCTAACTCAAGTGAGTAAAAAACTCTTTCTTGTTCTAAAGAGCGTATAACTAACGCAAATATGAATTACAGGAAAAAATATTTAAGGATGAGATTTTCCAAAAAAAAATTCTGCTGCTCCTATTCTGATTCTCTGACAAGGGACAAATTTGTGTCTAGCAGCATATTTTGTTCCTTTGCTTCTGATTTGAAGATGGAAGTTGACTCAGAGATATTTAAAGTTTTTCTTAGCATGCTGATATTTGAAGATGAAAAATCTGGTGGATAATTGTCTTCAGTGTTTTACTTTTGTAATGGATAAGTGGCAAGTTTGAGATTTCTGGACTCTAAAACAAGAAGGAACAGAGGGAAAGTCTGAACACCTCGTATTTTTTTTCAGTGGCTTTATCTGTTATATGTTCTCCACCTCCCCCAATAGGATTTGGATCATATACATGTCCCGTTTTGAATCTTCTTTTTTACTTAGCTGAAACTATCTTCAACGAAGTCTTAAATACCTTTTATAAGATTATGTTCAGTGCATGAATATCCTTTATTATGCCTCAACTAAATATTCAAGATTTCCACCCAGTTTGATTGCAGACATTTTCTGTAGCTTCAAAGATTTAGAATAAAGGCATGAGGAAAAGTGTATAATTTTAGATGGTTTGGGGGTTTTGTCAAATGTTGGGAAGTGTGTGGAAATGCCCCTAACAAAAAAGAATGAAAATGACACCACTGACAAAAGCAGCAAAATATTAGGTAATTATGTGCAGAGAAGACTAAAAGTAAACAGTTTTAAATAAAATCTATTTTACTTATATCTCATTCATTAAAATCATATTATATGCTTAATTGATATCATAGTAAGTGCTCCTTCTCTAATAAAAACTGTAACCTTAGAAATTTCTCCTTAAGCAGACTACTTATAGAAGAAAATAGAATAAAAATACAGCATTTGGTAACAGGACTCACTCCCAGTGGCTATCTAACATTTCTGGCAGCCTGCATTATATATGCCTTGCCTGATTTCTACAGTTTCTAACCTCATCACCTCCCACCTTTCTTATTTACTATACGAAGCAATTTTTAGCATTTGAGAAACCTAAAAGTAAATTGAATGTATGAAATAATATCTAAACCCTGGAATAGATAAATCATCTCCCCTTCTCTCAGCATATCACTCAACACAGAACACATTCCAAGATTCCTTATAAATACATATAGAAATAAAGTATTTTTATCATCTATTTAAAAATATTTATTTCAGCAACTTGCAGTGACAAATAAAACTAAGTGTTTCTTTTACCTTACTCCTACCAGTGCCTGAAATAGCTCTTTCAGTGGGACAGTCTATAATTTAAGTCTAGCTAACACCTGCACTAGTGATTCATTAGTTTAAATAAGGAAAAAAAATGTAAACTCAGTGGATTTTTATATTTACATAAATTTTAAAATCAAGAATTTAATACATTTGACCTCCTGAAAGTTTGGTGTAACTGAAAACCAAAAGGAAAACTGTAAGAGGACAAGACACTGGGTCCCAAACTGATCTCTGATGCTTTCTCCTGAACAAGTGACTCCAAGAATTTGGTCCTGATTTACATCATCTAGAAAACTAAGCATAGCTAAGTGCATCTTAAAAATTCTCCTGGTGCTCATGTAGTTTGAATACTGTGCTATTGAATACTGTGCTATGTAGACATATACATGGAATGAATATTAAAAGTTTGACACTTTTCTTATGAAATTCCCTTTAGTGAAAATTTACTAGATTAGCTTTATTTAAATGCATTAATTTCATTACTTAATAGCCTTATCTTGCCTTTGAGCAACTTACTTTCACCTACTTCATTTATCCATCTTTGCTCTCCAAGTAATTGTTGTTAATTTCTAAAAAAAATAATTTTCACATCCAAGGACTAAAAGTAGTCACTTTATATATATAAAATAATATGAATATACATTATACTTCAGCAAATTTAACTTTAAAATAAGATGACAAAAGTTCTTAACTTGATTTTCAGATCTTTGTTGTAGACATAGATTCTGTACCTTCTGTTTAGATCATTCTTCTCTCATTTTCTTATACCAAATCTATGTTATGTCTCCATTTAAAAGTCAGTTCTGGGAGATCTGACTTTGTGTTTTTCAATAGCTCTCTGTATTTCTGTTCTCACAATTCAAATCATGGTTTACTCTCACACATTTTTCAATTGTCTACCTTTTTTCCTAGAACATAAGCCTAAATGAAGGTAGGAACTATGTCTTTTTCATCATTCTATACTGAATATATAAAACTCATTAAGTTTTGGAATAAAGAAGCTGAAATAATAATTAAAACATTGGAATCAGACATTTGGGGCATTTTTATGGCTCCAGTAAATTATTTAAATTTTCCAAATATCAGTTTTTGTCAGGTATAAAATAGGAATAGCATGCTTTGTTGTTGTGTTGAGAAAATCATATAGTATTATATACAAATTATTATAGTCTGTGGCATGCACAGTGGGGGCGCTCAAAAAATATTATTATTTCAGAACAAAAAATTGGGCTTTCTCTTCAGTTCTTTAAATCATATTAACTTTGATTAGCTAAAAACAGCACCAGTGGTTTCATTGCTCAAGCCTCACTGTTCAAGGAATCCTAACTTTTCTCGTTTTTTTCTCTAGTTCAATGCCTTTCTACATTGGAAATTCTGGTCAATGGTCACTCTAATAGTACTGGAGCCTTGACCAATGGTAAATACCTAGTCTACATTTACACTGTAATATTCTTTTCTCATTCTCATATGTCTTTCTAGTCTTGACCAGGATTTTCATTTTCACATTCTTTATACAAGAAATAATAGCCTTTGCTGAGAATACAGTTGGAATGACTATCACTCAATTTTTAAAAAATCTTTCTTCTCTGGTTCATTTATTTTTTTTTTCTTAAGAACTGATCCATTTGTACAATTACGGTTTCTTCAATCAAATTCAGACATTAGAATTGACCTTGAAAATTGGTCTACTTGGTGGGCAATAATTATCCTATCTCTTTCTCTCTCACACACACACACACACACACACACACACACACACACAATTTGTTAAGTGAACAGAACAAATGAACAAAGAAGTAGGCAGAAATAGTAGTATATAAATTGAGGTAAATGAACTACAATATCATCTTTCACAAACATACCTATTTTCTCTGGTTCAAACTGTCTTTAGGCGAGCTCGAAAAATTTGTACTATTAACAAAGTTGAAATTATTCTGATGAACATTTTGACTATGCATTCAAATAGTTCAGTCATTCTGTGGCCACCAGCTTCCTAAGCAGAATCACAGTCACAGAGGCATTCTAATGCTGTGGAAAAGAATCCTCAGTCTAATTTTCAAAAACTTATTGGATGTAAATAATAATTAAGATATAAGTTATACATCAGCTACCAAGAATTGTTTTTTGTTCTAACTCCATGAAACCAAGTCAACCTTGTCAAATATTTACAAGTCAAGCATTTACAGTTAAGATTGTAGAAATGAAGTCTCAATTATTTGTTCAAACTAAAACTCTATTTGTTTCACAAAATGAAGCAGGTATATTCTAAAAGTTGTATCTTTTATTTAACTACTCACAGAACAAAATACCACATTATTTTTTCATTATTTCAAAGTTCTACCTCAAATTCTACATATTTTATTTTTGTTACTAACACTATTTTTCATTTCAATTGCCTGTCTTTATATACAGGCAGCAATTTTCTCCCTAAGAGGAAAATATGATATTTGGAAATAAAAGCAAGGAATATTGTACTAAGATACCTAGTATTACAGTTTTTAGAATGAGATTTCTTATTATTTCTCATGTAATTGCAGTTAAATCAACTGAATTAATTTCACTAAAATAAATTTTAAAATAATTTAATAAATAGCTAATTTCTTAGTAGATTCTACAACATAAAGTATATAATTTCTTCCTCTCTAAACGTATTAAATGTTTTGATAAACTATAAGAGACATCAGGCTGGAAATTAATCCCACCATTTAAACTTGGTAAGAAAAAAGATTTGTCTGACTTAGAGTGTATTATTAATTTCACATCTATTCTTTGTCATTGTATTCTCATCAATAACACAGGAATATTAGGACTTGAATGTACTTGGGGCTCATGAGGAATTAATTCCAAATGCAATATGAATATTGCAGGGAAAAGATTTCAAAAATATTTCAGAGTAAAACAGTGACAGAGTGACAGGAATAGTATATTCATTAATTAATAAACATTTGTAGAGCTTCTTGAAGTCCTGCCCCAAGTTCATCCAAACATGAGTAACCTCAAGACAATAACAATTTAGCAATGAGATTAAGCATAAATTAAAATTACAATGCACATTGCCAAGAGCGAGTCATTAGCCTAGAAATGATGCTGTCATATCTCCAGCTCCTAACTCACAAAAAACATTCAATAAGTAGCCAACGGAAAAAAAAATAAATTGATGGTTGTTTTATTAGAAGTATGTACAAAAGGCTAAAGGAATAGAGATGAGGGCACCCTTCCTTTCTTTCAAGGGTAGAAAAAGGCAAAATGAGAAAAGGAAAGGCCTAAGAAAGAACATCTTTGAGTGGGGTTTGAAGGATGAAGATGGATTTCCTAGGGATAGGAGGGAATGATGGAAGAGGCAAAACTTACCACTTGAAGAGGATTAGGAAAAGTAAAGGGCATTGCAGAAAGAAGAAACAGTATACACAAAGGCACTTAGAGAAAAACTGAGCAATCTCTCCAGTGAGTATTTCAAAACTACGTGATTATAGGCGTGCCTGGTAGGGAGTTCAAAACTGAGGATGGACACTGATGGTACTGTTATGTTTTGAAGGGCTGCATTTGGTATGCTCACGTTTTCGACTTTATTTCACCAGTTGAAGGAAGACACTGAATATTTTAAAATGGGTTTAAAACAATGTTTTAAAGAAGCAGCATCTGGCTATGCTGCAGAACTTAATGAACACTTCGGAGAATGATGCAGAAATAGAAAATATTGACAAAAACAGGCAGACTAATTAAGAAGGTATTACAATACCTTCTCAGCCATATAACGAAGAGACCCTAAACTCAAACTGTGAAAAGAAAGGAGAGATAGAAACAAAGTGGCTATTTCAGAGGTAAAACTGATGGGACCAGATAAAGCAGTAAAAAAACTTTGCAGGAAATGAAGCTGTTTCTGGTGCAGGTGTTTTTCTGAGTGGAGGTACCATTAAATAAGGTAGGTAGGGTAAATAAAATTTCAGTTGGAAAGCTAACGAGTTCTGTTTTGAGCATATGTTATTGAAGGCAATGATATGAGATTCTGAGATTGATGTCCAAAAGCAGCTAGAAATGTGGTTCCAGGACAAAGGCAGGTGGACAGGGCCACTATGGTGCTATCAAGTGTCCAGTTTCACAGAGTGGGTAAGAAGGATTGGGATCAGAAGTTGCACAGTTGGAAAGGAAATAACTGGAAAACTTTTCAGTGACTACGATGAAGAAAAAAGAAAAACTTTACAGTACGCTGAGAAAGTGAACTCAAGAAGCAATGTAGAATGATAGTTCCATAATCAAGCAAAAAAGTGCAGAGTGAATAAGACAGGTGGAAGGTGAAAGGGATGTATTTACTTGTGATATTTGTGGATTTTTGCAGAAGATACACAAGAAAAAAGACCTTAGACTTAGGATATAAAGTCAAGGATGTATAAAGATCAATTGATATTGTATAGAGGAATCTCATAAGAGAGTGAATAAATAGAAACAATGTTACCACATTATTTCTTTAATCAGTTCATAAAAAATGTTTCTGATTATCTACATGATGAGTCAAAGCAATGTACACATTAAGTGGGGTCAGCAAAATATATTAACTTTGGAATAACATTTGTATATTAACTGAACTTGTGGGACACAAAATTATTGATTTTCCAGGGTTGGTTGACCTGTACTGATCTAAATCACTCATCTTTTATAGGTCCAGGATGGAAATACTTGTGTGAGAGTCAGCCAGGCAGTAAACACAGAGCAGTGTTATCACTGGTAAATCACATCATCTAGCCCGAATCAGTTCCACTATCACCCTGTCAACTCCAGTGTGGACAAAGGGCTTTCCAAATATTCTGCATAATATTCTCATGGATTTGCATAGAGATTCTTCACCCAAATGAAAGACACTCAATCATATTAATGACTGTCAGAAGGTGGTGGTGGGGGGAGGGGAGGGAAGGTGGCATTTAATATATAATTGAAAAAAAATTGCCTAGAAAGCAAGAAAAAGATATAAATAGAAGAGAGGTTGAATAAGTGAAGCAGTATAACATAATTTATGGTATAGGGATTAAAGTCTGTTACTTCAGTTCTATAGCTAAGCATTTTATTTACCTCATCTTTTGCAGTCATATTTTACAGAAGCTTATTTTTTAAAACAAATTTAGGACATTACTGAAAGAAAGCTGAGATTTATTAATTCAAAAACAAAATGTATTACATGGCTATAAAGTGGTAAGTAGTGAGGTATACACACACACACACACAGACATATATATTTAAAAACAAATTTGGTCATAACATATATAATATGAATATACATGTACATATAGATCTAAATGTATGATGATTCCTCAGTTGATAAATTATTGTCTAAATGATTACATTTTAAGGAAAAAACTATAAACATTTTAATATCTGATATGTAATGATTACAAAACAGAAATAGAAGGAATGAATAATTTGCTTGATATGGATTCTTCAGGACACATATAAACAAAATGGAACAAATCCTACACATGTGCTGCCAAATCTGTGCCTAACAGATGTGTATGTCTTGTGAAAAGAGAACCCTCTATTTTAATTTACCTGTTTGGGAAATTAGAATGTCTTAAAACTGATGGCAACTTCAATTCAAATATTTGTGAGGATTAGTCAAAATATTACAGCCACTATTGTGCAAACTCACAGTAATATAATTTATAATTTATTAGGATGATTAAATGTAGCATTAAAAATTCAAGTGTCAACCTATTTGGAGATACTTACATAGATTAATTGTTATTTTTTCTGATTAAAAGTATTTTGCTTTTCCACCATATAAAAATATGGATATGATACATCTATGATAAATACATTTCTAAAAACTTATTTCCTCTGACTATCCTATTTTTTTTCTCTTTTATTCCTAAGACTGCCCAGTGTTTTATTTTTTCAAATCCTTCCTCTAAGCAGAATCAAACAGCTGCTAGAGATAAAAAGAGCATCACCGGCAAATATTAAAACTGTCACTTGATGGAAGCTGGGGATCACCATTAGGCCTTCAAGCAATAACCTGCAGTGTAATTTTGTAACACATATATCAATTAATTTTGTATTACTGTCACACACTCTAACTGCTAACAGTATTTCTTTATGCTGCTATCTTAATTGCAATATATTTGTGCGGAACATGAATATCTCAAGATCAAAATACATCTTGTTAGAAAAATATCTAAGCCGTTTGGTGAAATTTATTAAAAATGTATAAATCTAACAGTAGGTAATTTTTGGTCTTATTTAAAAATAATCTTAAAAATTAGCAATGCAGATTTTCCATATCTTTAGATCCTATGACAAAGTAATTTTTTTTCTAATTGGAACATTTAAGGATATAATTTGTACTTTGTGATTTTCTTTAAAACAATTAAGTTTATATGTGTAAATACAAAAATAAAAGATATGGTGCTTGGGTTTTCAACAACTCCTTATTTTGGTGAGATGGAGGTGTTAGAGGGTTAATCCAGAAAAATGGGATTATAACTGAGTCTATTATTATTCAGTCCAGCAGGTATGCAGGGCTAGGAAAGGCAACTGACATTAGAATGAGTAGAACATTTGGGGAACATCATAAGGATATAGACTATCAGGGAAAGATAGTACAGTTCTGCCAGTTCTAAGACCACTAAGAAATAGTAAGGAGAGAGTCATCAAAGGGGTTTTTATAAAAGTTGCCATCGAAGGGTAAGACATTAAAATTCACAGTGATGGCCTTTAAGAAGATGCTTTTTCTTTTCTGAATGTCACTTTTTTAACCTTTATTAATATATGGGTTTACACCAAATTAGAGGATTTTTCTTATCCTCGAACTCATTCCATTTTTCTATAAATCCTGGGAAGCATGATGCAAATTTTGTGCCTGTACAATGAGAAGTTATGATGAAAAAATCTTCAGCTTTCATTGTAATCTTAAGGGTATCCTTGACCTTATAAAAGGCTAGAAGCACTAATTGATTATCTTTACATTTCACCCATATATTCTATAATAATATGGCTTTTGTAGTCATAAACTGAATAAGCCTGCAAGACTGAAAGTTCTTTGGAGAAACTGGATTTACCTGCTTCATCTCAGTATCTACCAAAGCATCTAATGCCATGTGTAGTACATAGTAAAGGAAATCTAATGAATGCTGCTTGAATCAATCAATGAATAAATAAATGAATGGAAATAAAGGACTAGGTAGATGAATAGATATTTTTGTGTGTAGTATAGACTATTAAACTTCACCAACACATTAACCTAAATGTTCTTCATTTAAAATGCAGCTAAGAAATAAGTTATTTTCCATCAAACTCCCAGAGAAATATCTACAGTGTTTATGTAATTGATATGGTGAAAAAATGTATGTCATGTTGTTGCAAATACAGTCAAGGAAAACTAGAACAGAGAGTATACACTAGGAGAATAGGAGTAAACGTGGAGCCGGGTAGGGTCCCGTGGGTTTAGCAAAACACAGAGTAGCTTGTTAACCCACAATCTCTTATCTCATATTTATTCACTAAACACATTTATTGGGTACCTACTGTCTGCCAAATAGATCTTAAGCTAGAAGTGGGGGATGCAGAAATACAAAGCTATAATAATCTATAACGTAAGCTATCTCACAGTCTCATGAAGACATAGACATGACAACCAACAAATAAAATTAACAAGGAAGGTTTGAACAAAATGCAGTGTGAATAAAGTAGCACCAAAACGACCAGAACTGACTCCTGGCCTATAGAGCCACTCCACTGCATTAACCTGGTGAATTGATGGAAGTCATGATTGATGTCATTGATTTCCTTCTCAAACTCTTCCTGTACTAACTTTTGCATCTCTCAGCTATTTAGTGACTGTTTGAGTCCTCCCTCCCATCATTCAACTGAACTATGATAACTAGGATTTCTTTTTGCATTTGGGAGGACAAAATTAGGTAATAAGTGATGAGCACATTATTAAATACATCTCCACTTTATAGTCAACATATTTAGACATTTAACTTCTCATATGATCCTTGTATAGAGGACATTTTTCTGTATTTTGGTTGAATGCTTCAGCATGCCTCAGTGACTTGATAATTAAGCATTGATATACAAATTGCAACCTTTCAGGATGAATTTCACTTATTTGCTCTTAGTAGAGAAAGTATATTTCTAGGACGTAAAATAATTTACATGTTCGCTGGATTGAAAACTCTTCAAAAGCATATAAAAGAGAATTTTTAAATGAAGTGAATGGGAAAATTGATTATGAGATTTGGAATTCAGATTAGTATTTGCTTTTTCCCTTCTCTGTTATAGTACTATGATGTAGCTTCCTATTACAGGTTAAGGTCAAGTTAAGAAGCTGAGTAACCTGGCCAGCAGTCTGCTTCAGGAGAACTGTTGAACCATTAATTAGAGCTGTGACTCCTGAGTTTGGAAAAGGAGAGGACATTGATGGTTTTCATTTGTTTGTTTTTAATTTATATGCTTACATTGATAGGTACAGTATATATTATACTTTAACAAAGATGTCTTAAATCTTAAAGAGTGCTTCATGTTCTTCTTACTGGATTTAAAAGGTGTTCTGGCAGAACAAGGTAGGTTATTGTCATCCAAAATTGTGTTTCCTATATCTGAACCATTTGATTACATGGGAGAAGAGGCTATAGAGAACCAAATGGTGAGGTGTTACTGCTACACATGTACCTTACATAGTGGAAATACTAGCCAAACAAAGACAATAAACTAATGCTTTTATCAAGCCAGAATTACAAGTTTCCCAACACATGCATCTTACTTTTCATATGTATATACACAAACATGCACCATTGAGCATGCTTACATATTTTAAATGCTACCCAAACACTGAGACAAGAAGGATTCCCATCAGATGTCATTCCAAATTAATTTAGATTAAAATTAAAAACAAAACAAAACTTTGGATTCATATGGGAATCTTCTCTTGTGGCTAGTCACTATAAATTGGTAAACAAGGCTTGTACATTTGTGCCCTCGGTTAGGCTGTAACAGTGGTTAGGCTTAAGCGGTGGTTCCTTTTCTTGACTATACTGAGACACTTGAAGTGCTGAAGGTTGTATTTCAACTTTAGCAAGACCTATGAAAGTAAAGAAAATCTATCTGATACTGCTGAAAGAGAAATGAACCTGAATGAGACTCTATAGATACTAAGTAATGAAAAATAATTACACTGCTTCATCCTACTCAGCAAACAGCCTAATTTACTGAACAAGAAATCACAATAGATTTACCCTAATAAAAAACACAGATCAATTGTTTACTTGCAAACCACAACTAATAAAATGTATCTTAATGAAAGGCATTAATAATTTAGTATTACAATAATCCACAAACATGTGTCTTCCCAGCATTTGTTAAAGAAAAATAAAATAAAATTAATAGCCCTGGAATGAGTTTTTAATGCCCTCTAGCAAGAACTCCTCATTTTTATATTGTGCCATGTTTTCCTTTAGTCCTCTCAGGTAGAGTTGGCCAAAGATTTTTATTTAATGAGTGAATACTTTTCATACAAATTAATCATGTAGAAATATGAACGAGTTATTAAGGTAGATTTGAAAACTGAAACAACTATATACCAATTTGTATAATTGAGGTTATATTTGAAAAAGAAAACCCATAGAAACCCTAGGTCATTAGGTCATCGTATTAGAACAAATTTCCTTTTTTTTTTTTTTTTTTTTTTTTGAGACGGAATCTCGCTCTGTCGCCCACGCTGGAGTGCAGTGGCGCCATCTCGGCTCACTGCAACTTCCGCCTCCCGGGTTCACGCCATTCTCCTGCCTCAGCTTCCCAAGTAGCTGGGACTGCAGGCACCCGCCACTACGCCCAGCTAATTTTTTGTACTTTTAGTAGAGACTCTGCGTGTTAGCCAGGATGGTCTCTGTCTCCTGACCTCGTGATCCGCCCGCCTCGGCCTCCCAAAGTGCTGGGATTACAGGTGAGAGCCACCACGCCCGGCATTATTAGAACAAATTTCATCCTTGGAGTGCTTATTGAGCATCCGCTTCCAGCCCAGTACTGTTTTAGACACTTGACAAGCTATGCAACTAGAGATCAATGGTCTCATGGGAGAAAAGAAATACAAAATAACATAAGTGAATTCTATAATAGGTTAGAAGGTGGTAAATTAGCACTGCCAGACAAAATACAGGAGAAAGATGGCCAGTGATTTACTGGATATATACCTCTCAGCGGAGGTAACGAAATGTTTCAGAATAATTGTTATACCCAGTCACTACTACAATCCAAATATGGACTTCCTTTACAGAATCATATTTCATAATAAGTACCTAAATTCATTATTTTAAAGAAAATGCTAATTCCATGCATCTAGGGAAAAAAAAAAAAACCGTGGTGGTGCTTTGTTTTTAAGAGATAAATTGGCTTTTCAACCACAAGTGAAGTATTTCTACCAGTTATGAGGTATATGGCCTCAGAGTCAATACTTTCTGGAACAAAGTAGCTTAGCAGTCTCTCAGCAATTGAATCTGGGTTAATGTAGGTTTGTTAAAAATTAGCTCTTTATTTAAATTTTTTAATCTTCAAAATAGTTCTACTTGAACCAAGGATAAGTAATGATGTAATTGCATGCCTAAATTAAAATTGGAGAGGGCTTATTGAGTGTTACTCTTGTGAGCATATGTAAATTATCATAATTTCCATAATAAAATAACATGAATTTATTTAATTGGTGGATATAGAAAAAGTGACTGCCTTATTTTTAAAAACATAACTTTCTAAATGACACATAAGTAATTTAGCCCTCACCAGATTCTCGTTTGTTACATAATGGATGTATTTACATTTGCAAAATTGAGTGTTAAAATGGAAAAAAGTATATATTTTTCCTTCATAATGCTTACATATTAGAAGAGCTTGTTGCCTGAGTTTACTGGATCTGAATAAATGTCCTCCCTCCCCAACTCCTCCCTGATGTTTTATTCTCTGTGTGTAATCGTAGCTTCATTGCTATCAATGCCTTTCCAGATACTGTTTGTTTTGTATTCTTTGGCTTGAAAGCAGGGTTGATGAACATTTTTACATGGCACGAAGTGAGAGAGAGTTAAGCAACAACCAAAACTTCAGCCTTCAGTGTAAGCCAGTGAGTGATTATCAAACTGTTCAGCTAGTAGGTGATGTCTAGAAGTAATGGTTTAACAATATGGGTTATTGACAGGTCCTCATATAATGGTAGCAAGAGGGTTACCTGCTGAAAATATTACATCATATAATAACTACACTGTGTTAAGATAAAAAGCCACAATAATAAAGATATGTTTGTGAAACAACCAATGTAAGTACAATTAATGATTTGCATTTCAATATTAATATATGCTCATTTTTGACAGGACATATTTTACAAGCTAGAGTAAGTATTAAAGAGTGAGAAAAAAAGTCAGGGTAGAAAATCTAAATCTAAGACATTTGTATCCCTTAAGAAAAAGAGATCTGAAAATTGTGATTTATTTTTAATGCCATGTGTAAGAGTTGGTTGCTAACTGGACGACTGTCATTTTTTGGTGGAAGAGAATCCTTGCCAAATGAGATCATACTTTCTGAAACAAATTTCTGACTTTGGTTTTTGTATCCTTTCCATCCTTCTAGAAATTGCTTATGATAGATGTAATTACAGTGAACCCTAATTATCAACTTACATATTTGTGTTTCTTATTAGGTTAATTTAAAAGGTAATATAATTTAGGTAAAATTTGAGATTTGTCTACCACAGAGAAAGAAGAGCCTAAAGATTAGGAATGTTCTTAGTCAGTGTTTTGCTAGATAGTAATCTTAACCTCTTTTCAACTAGACGATTTGAACCTTACTTTTCAAATAGGTAAATCTAAATAAGTCATTTTATGTCTCTTTCCCTTGGTTCCTCACCTAAAAATGGGGATAATTATAATGCCTGCTTTACATGGTAATTTTGGATTTAATGTATTATACAAAAAATGATTTTAAAAGTTCCTGACACAAAATAGTGTTAAATGTGTCAATTATGATTATTAGCTACTTGTTCATCTTCATAAAATGTGTCACACTGTAAGTGGTTAATAAATATTTTATCACACAGCAAATCAATAATAAATAACACATGGATGAATGAATGGATGGATAATGAAACAATCGGAAAGAGCAGTACTTTTTATTAAAGATCAAATATTTTACAAAGTAATGTTGCCTGTTTAGTTTCATACATATCTGATTTTAATGACCTGTCAAATACATTTAGAATTCAGAGTCCTGGTGCACAACTAATTCTGATCAGTCGTATTGATCACATTTTGCTAGAGGGTTACAATATCTCACAATAAATGCTTCAAATAAATACTTCAAGTAAAATCCCAGAAATATTTCATATCTAATGAAAATCATTTAAAAAACTAATACTGTGGCTTACCAGCAACAAATATTAAAACTATTTATTTTTTTAAACTGAGAGGGAAAATGAAACCTAGAGACCTTTTAGTAGTTTTAGTCCAATTGAAGATATAGCTAGAAATCTCTTGAAAAAGCTCCTTAAACCAGTGGGTTTCTTCTGTTCTTTTTTGTTTCTCTAATGAATATTTTTGCACATATTTTGGCTATATTTATAAATGTACTTGAAATATCATTGATAGTAACCTTTGTGGCAAAGCTGGAGCAGTAATATTTATATAGGACAATGTTCTGGAATGAAGCAAGCATTTAACACATTGGGAAGTTAGGGGTTGGTTACATATAATCCATCATTATTATAGAATGGTGCTGTCCTGAATTTCATCCATTTAAACAGGTCACTCTGTAATTCCGATAAAGCTTTTAGAAATTGTTTAACCAGACTGTACACAAGATAATGCCAAGGCTAATTTCTACATTTTAATTAAATGCATGATCACAATCTAAGTTGTGCCCCGAGTGAGAATATAACATGAGGGCACAGCTCATCCATGTTCTACTTGATTGCAAACCTTTTATTTGAATGACTAAAAATAACCTACAGATAAAAACGTATGCCTAGCTCAATAATACAATTAGAAAATATTTCCTCTATGGACTACTCCTCTTTTTATAATTATTAACTTAAAATGCATTTCAGAGATGGTATAGAGACAGCCTGGACCAGGTATTATTTCCCAATATAACAGTTTAACAAGACGGCAAAGCATATTCCATTGTGCTACAAATTATTGCACAGGGCCTTCTCAGGGTTGGAAGCAGCAAATTTCTACATCCTTTTAATCACTGGCCTCCTTGCTGAGGCAGTCAGTATGAGTGGAGAGACCACAGGCAATGGTGTATGCTCTTCACCTCATTTACCCAGCAAATGCTTTACCCAGGGAACCATAACATCAGCCGGCAGGAATGACAATTTAAACCTACCAATACAAATGGGGATCCTAAGGCTTTCATTCACTCCTTCATTGCAGACTGCCTTAGATCCTATGTAATTGCACCTTCCCTTCTCACACTGCACTATGAGCAATGAAGAACTGGAACTAGGAAGAAAAGAAAAAGGATGGCCTCCTTTAGATTTGGGCCTCATTCTATACATCAGTTAGGGGTATGGATAAGGAGAGTCAGAAAACTAGTTTATCTTTCTATCTGCCCCCTAGCCAAACATCTACTTACCTTCTACTCATTCAGGCACAGGTTAAATTTTGCTTTTTCAGGGAAGCATTCTCTGCCTACCCAGAGTGGGTAAATTTATTTCATTGCTAATCCCATATGTTTTTACAGAACTCTTTATCATTTTTGCTACTATGAAAATGGAAATTAAATCACTCACAGTATTAGTAACTTTGTTACCTAGCTATGTTCCATAACTTTGTTACATAACTATGTTAGATAACTTTGTTGCATAACTATCTTACATAACTTTGTTAACCTATGATGCTAGTGACAGAGTGGCAGTTTTTGTTTTTTCATTGATATTAACCCAGCACTTAGAACAATGTCAGTATATGGTAAATAGGCAACACGCATTTTCAGATAAATAAACGAGCAAACTTGTTTATGTCTAGCTTAAAAACAATTCTAATTTTACTTACCAAATTACAATGGGCATGATAAAAAGAAGACTCACATCCACTGAAACCTCTTTGTCTTAGAACATTTTGTGTTCAAATATATCAGTTCAGATATCATAGGAGAAAATTATTGTGTCAAACTACTATAAAGTTATATAGTTAAATTTGAAACATCATGATTTAAGGTGCTAAATATTGACATAATTCAATTATTTTCTTATTAGACAATTTCAATCATATTCCCAAAACAGCATTGTCTAAAAGCATTTGAGATGCTATGATTATATAGACTTCTATATTCTTATTCCAATGAGATTAGAATTTTCAAAATTTCTTCATGTTTGCCTTATACCTATTTGGTACTTTCTCAACTTCTTGAACTTTTCTCTTGTCAAAAACTTAATCTCTTTTATTCAATTTAAATATATTTAAATATATTTTATCACCTGAAAATTAGCTAATCTTAATAGGTGGCAAATGATTCCTGTAAATAATTCAGTACTGTTATGGTCTTCATTTTCAGGAAAAAAAAAATTCACTAACAGGTATTTTAAGAATCTTTCAGCTTCAAGGTTATTTTTTAGATAGAAAACAATGACTGAATTTATCAAAGTAATATCACAGTCTTTTTTCCCATAAAGACCTCTGCAGTAATTTTTAATAAACCAGTTATATTAGTTTAAAAACAAAAAGCAAATGGGATCAGGTTTAAATAAGAATAAAAAACTGCTTGGAGGTAAAAATGGAAGAATTCATAGAAAAAAAATGCTGGTTTTTGGAAATATCAAATACGTTTCCAGTTTATTTAGGCAAATGCATTAAATTTAATAATTTTCCGCAAGATAATAGCTATTCCTCTCTTCAGGTAGATTCATATATATGAAAATATCAGCTTAAAATTGTGAAGCCTCCTAGAGGGAGGGAAGCAGACAGAAGTTTAGGGGGACTGCAGTGTCTGAGGCATTCTTCCTTTAGGCCACCCATTCTTACCTTAAGTCATATGGAAGGGATAAAAATGACTCTAGTCTTTTGTACCTCTCTGAGGGTAGACATTTCTAGCCAAAGCTGAGACATTAAATGCAAAAAGTGGGAGATACTAGAGAAATGCAAACACTGAAAATGAAAGACAATATCATTACTTATAACAGCAGAAGCAGAGCTAACATAGAAAAATAACAAGAATATAAAAGAAACATTATAAACATTGTCAGAAGAATATAGGAGAACTGGAAAATACTGAAAAGAAAACAATTACTTTTTAAAAAGAGAAAGGATATAAAATATCATGACAAATAAAAATGTCACTGTATATGTTGAACAGCAGAACAGATTAATCTGAAGGAAAAAATAATGAGCTGAAACTTCAGGCCATAGAACTCTCTCAGAAGGTACCAAAAGGAAATTTAAAGAGAGAGAGAGAGAGAACAGTTGAGAGATGTGAAAAATAGGAGAAAATAGGAGAAGACAATAACGGTAAAAGTTAATGATGTAAAGAGTAAAAATGGACAGAAATAATTAACAAAACCACAAGCTTTGCAAAGACAGATTTCTGCAAACAAGGAAAAAAGATGAGTAGACTAAAAAATACAGAAAGGAAAATAGGAAATTTTATAGATGTTGTAAAAATTTTATTTAATAAAAGAATAACCAAGTAGGCATTATTACATTTAAATATGTAGCTAAAATTGATAACTTTCTGGGAAAATATATATGATAAATTAAAAAGAAGAAATTGGGAATGTAAATAAACCATTAATCATGAAAGACTTTGAAATGGCAATGAAAGCACTATCCCAGATACTTCACAAAATTCCCAAGATTGTATAGATATGTTTTACCGACATTTTTGGAACAGGTTATCTTTATATTAAATAAATTGTTCTAAAAAATAAAAAAATGTGGGGAGCTATTATTCCCTCAATCTAAACCATGTAAACCTTGAACTGGAAAATGATTATAATTTAGTTTTATAACTAACTATAAAACATATTTATACAAATCCTTAGCATAATATTAAGTAATCCAATAGCGTTTTAAAACCAATATAGTGTGAGTAAATACAATTTACTTCAAGAATTATTTAATGTCTGAAAAATCCATCAATATAAAATATTAATGACCTAAAGTATCCATCACATTCTCACCCGGAATGACACAAAAAACATAGGATCGTGAACGATATCTTTTAATAAAAAAAATAAAAGCTTTAGAAATCTAAAACCAGCATTTTTCTTACTAGAAAAATGTTTTTTAAAAAATTCTATAGGAAATGCTACATTTGGAGAAAAATTTTCTGATGCGTTTCTTTGAAGGTTGAGAATAAGACAAAGATGATTGATGAACATCAATGTTCCTATGCTACTCAAGAGTTCTCTCTTACTAAATAAGGTAAAGAAAAGAAAGAGGAGGCCTAAATGCTAAGCAGAAAGAGGTATGACTGTTCTTTGTTTCATTTCATTTTGTAAATTATATGTTCACTTACATAGAAAATCTAAGGGAACAAATTTTAAAATCATTAGAACTAATAAGAGAACTCAGCAAGTTTGCAAGATTACAAAATAAAATCACACCCGAAACCAATTAGAAGATGTAATAGAAAATAAGATTCCATTTACTATAACAACAAAATATATGTTATCTAGGAATTAATCGAACAATAACTGCATAAGGCCATCATAAATGAACTTAAAAGAAGTGCTGAATAAGTAGAAAGATATACATTGTTCATGGATGATATGGCTACATACTGTAAAGATGTAAATTCTCATCAAATCAATTTATAAATCCAATTCAACTCCATTTAAAATCCTTGCAGAGTTTTTTGTATCTAGACAACTGATTTTTTTTAAAAGACATGAAAGCAGCTAGGTCTATAATTGGCTGAAACAACTTTGGAAAATAACAAAAATTGATTATTTTTTTCCTAACAGATATTATAACACCAAGTCATTGTATAATATTTACAAATATGTGCAACAAATGCAGAAAAACATACAGTATAGTGCAATGGAATAAAAAGCCTTAAGACCAACTTCTACATATAAGGCAACTTGATGTAGGGATGATATTAAAAATCTAAATGCATTATTATGTAAATGTTAATTTACTAAATGATGTCAAGTAATAAATGACTCAGTACAGAGAGGAAATTCTCTAATACTGTTACAAAAAGAGGCTCCAAATTTCCACCTATGTGTGAAGGTTTGAAACCTTAAAAAATGATGCAAATGTTTTTGTGGCAATAGGGTAAAGTAACTGATAATATTTAAGTTAAGGATTTTGAATATAATGACATCAATGACAAATTGGGAAAGATATTTGTGATATTTTAAATCTAACAGAGGGCTGATTTTTATATATAATATTTACAAAATAGAAAAATAAAGACTTTAAGTTAATAAGGAAATGTGCATACACAACCAATACATGAAAGGAGAAGCTACAATGAGTAAGGAGAATATAGAGAGATGATCTACTTCACTAGTAAGAATAAAATGCAACTTACAATGTCAATCAAATATTTCTATTAGAAAGTAAATGACACATAAATACCAATTGTTTATGATAATTAGGTAAAAAGGAACCCAAGATAAACCTGAAAACCTATTCTGAAACGCAGTATTTTTTATGTATATACTATAGGTGTGTAATTCCAACCATTGGTATAAACTCCAGAGAAGTCCCTTGGAAATTCTGAGAGACTGAGTGAGAGTGAAGGGAGGACATGAAATATTATGCTGGGACACAGGCATAAACCAAGTATGTCTTAGGTGAACAAAACAGACCATCTGGGCATGCTATATATAGAAAACTACTCATCATAACAGAGTTAATGTTAGAATATGTTGGATTCAGCTTAGGTGTCTGTCACTAGGAGACTCTATAAATAATATGTGGTATATGCATAGACATATAATGGAATGTTATCCAGGAGAAGTGCAGCCAAAACTATACATCTTAAAAATAAAATACAGAATGAAAAATATAAGAAAGATAATTATCTTTATAACAATACCATTTGGTTACATTAACACCAAATGTATATAGATGAACTCTGTGCATGGTTTCAAAAACATTATATTTATATATACACAAGCAATTTATGAGAGATATATGAAAAGAATTTTCAGTATAGAAATTAGAATGGATACCCATGCAGGGAGGGCAATGTGATTGAGATTTAAAAAACAAGAGGAAATAACGGAACAAAATTAAACATCAGAAGGGCTTTGCATAAGCAGTTAATGAAATTACAAGGACAGAGTCTTTTGAGGATTATTTTTATTGATGCCATTCAGATGTCCAGGGGAGTGCCTGGCACATAGTAAATGTTCATTAATATGAGTGAATGAAGATTATCATCAGATAAATTCTGTGTGTCCAAGATCCTACAAAAGGATAATTAAAAAGAAATAATTTGGTTTTCCTTATTTTACTCATGTTAATTTTTAATGCAAGCTAATACAAAATCAACATGCTAAACACGTATTTGGGGGATTAATATAATGATCAGACTATCCATTTTTGTGCTACTATCAATTGTTTTAATTATTCAGGCTTACAATGTCTTGCATCTAATGCTTAACTAAATTTTCTCATTAATTCCAAAAGTTTTTAAGCAGATTCTCTTGGGTTTTCTTGGTGTATAATCACATTGTCTACAAATAATGAAAATTTTGTCTCTTCATAATCATTTCATGTCTTGTTGCATTGTCAGAATATTAATTGTGACAGCATTTTCTTTCTTTTGTTGTTCATAATCGAATTATCACTAGTTTTTCACATCTTAATTATGGCGTTGACTTCGGCTTAATAGAGATCTTAAGCACGCCAAAGAAATACATTATGCCCAAATATCTAAAGTTTTACATTTTAAAAAATTAGAAAGTTGTTCCATTTTTTAACTTTCAAATCTACTGTCTCATAATACCTTTATGAGAAAATACGTGTTCATAATTTAAAACTCTTCTTGACAATATGAGACATGTTATCAAATGACAAACAGGAAATGAGGACTTTTACATAGAAAAATAATGTTGCTGTGCAAAAGTTATAGCTTATGTTAAATATGGCCTTTAAATACTTTAAATGAATGAAATGAAAGGTTCTATACATATGTAGAGCTAATACATACCGTAAAATTTCTATTTTGTATTAACCTGTCAAATTTATTGATTCCCTAGCCACATCACAACTTTATAATTAGATCTTAATATTTCAAAATTCCATCTAGGATGTATATACCATTTATGAGATTTCTCTTTAAATCTCCGATTCTAAGAAAACAGAGACAATTGATGGCCAAGAAACTACCTGTGGATGGAGTAAGTTTGGCATAAGTTAATGTTTCACATGCTTTTTAGAAGAAACCATTTGTTAAGATCATCTCCAAAGTTGAATCAGGCAAAATCTGCATTCCCAATAGCAAAAACCATCAGTAGATCAAGAATTTAGTTTATGTTTACCACCTGGGTTTACCTGACACCCAAACTGAATGATTCATTCGATTTTGTTAAAAAGTCACTCATCTTAGTGATAATTTTTCATTATTAAACCCTTTGCTGTCTGTAGCAAGGATTAATTATCAATCCAACTTCATCTTTCCCTGCAGAAGTCATTTTTATGCTTTTTTTCCCCCATGGTCCCTAATAAAAAGAATTTAAAATAGTGGTACTTAGCAAAACAATCTGATTAGATCCTGGTTGATTTAAAGCTTGTCAGAGTAAAGAACATGTTTCAAAATTCTTTTGTGATCTTTGCTTTGTGACATAGATAGTATTCTTTAGAGATTTTATTTTTAGTAGAATAATTATAGAAACACCCATCATCCACATTCCACAACTTTCAACATTATGAGTTTTTAACTAAAAATGGTCATTTTATTTTTAATTCATGATTTCTAGATAATATACTCTAGGATCTGTAGCATATATATACATTCCTATATATATATATGTGTGTGTGTGTATATGTGTGTATGTATATATATATATATATAGTTCTGCCCTAGCATAAACTCTGTGTGTGTGTGTGTGTGTGTGTGTGTGTGTGTGAGCATGTACACAAAAGTAGTCCTCAAAATTCTCATTCCTGGCACAATTCAATAGGTGGAGGAAAATAGGTTAACCAGCAAAGCACTAAGAGGCATCCATTGCATACCTGTCCCTCTGGTCCCCAAGCATTCACCCAGACTAATAAGAATTTCCTGAAGCATGTACAGTTATTCTTATTTGATGAGTCTGGAATGCTTTATTTTTTTCCTCCTTAAAAATCAAAGGAATCCTACAGATGCTGACATTAAACATACTGATGGGAATTATGATCATATGTCAGAAAAATATATAACTCCTTTGGGCTCTGTAAGAAGCTGACAGCCTTCCCATAAAATATTAACCGCTCACAATAAAATCCCTTCACAAGGAGTGAGAGGTTAGTAGAAAGAATCTGGAAGCCCTCAACAATGAATTTCGATTAACTGGGTGACTTGAATTCCCTTGTTCTAGTTGTTTTCAGTCTTTATTATAAAGTTGGATAAAAATGCATAGAAATCACTGGCGTATATTCATTTGGCAAATGTTTGAAAGACATAAAAATGTGAATGCCCTCATCTCAAAGGAATATATGAATAATAAATTGGTCATATTACATTTGGCAGAAATGGAGAAGGTGAAGCAATATTGTTCCATTAACTCCAAGAAAGGTCAAGAGGTTGTCACCTTGGTGACCATCCCCTAGGTATGTACAACACAACCCTCCCTTTCTCTAAATTCAGTTGGTGGCTCTTTCATAAATGCTATTTCCTATTCTGCTATACACTGAAATATACTGTACTCAGGAATATTTTTATTAGGCTTTATTCTATAGTTATTCATGTAAATAAGAAATTTAGATAGCTGTGTGAAAATTTGCCAGTGTGAAAAATCGAAACACAGCTTGGAATAAAATGCATTAGCAATGCAAACATAAAATTAGATTTCCCAGGAAATACTCATACCAAATAAAGTAATGAAAACATCAGATGGGCATTGAGTACCTTACCTATATATCTTAAAAAACAGTAAATTAGTTCCAAATTGGACAGGAGTTTGTTATTGTTTTAGTTTTACAATTAAGTCCCCGAGAGTAATAACAATAAGGAATTGCTGTTTCCTTAAGTGCTTTCCGCCACATGGACAAGGTCAGTCCAAATATATCCAAATAGACATACCTATCAGGAAAGCCACTTTTTCTTGCAAATGGACCCTAAATTAGGCTAGACTTTTCTGATAATAATTCCCTGCTCTCAAGAGAGTGAGAATTGCTTTCTTGAGTAGAGTTTTCAGAATTTGATATAATCTACAAAGTTCAATTTTAAAGCGGTGGCCCAAAACCTCATTGTTTCCAATCCTAATACACTTGAGGAATTAGCCATAATCCTATCAAATAAAGTTGGGATGTCCCCCAAATCCTAATTTTTATCCCCCTACTATAAGAATCAATAAATTCATCTTTTAAAAACGGTGTTCTAGAATAGGTAGTTGTGATTAATAAAGGGGTTAACGGTATGGTCAGTTGCAGTGATTTGCACTGAATTCATCTTTAAAATCTAATGACACTGCTATTTTTATTAGATGGGGTCTTATATTAGCACAAGAGTTTTGTCTTTTGGTAATGACAAAATACCTGTCTTTACATCTTGGCTTGGAAATTTATTGACTTGACCTTCCTTCAAAATGAATATTATTCAAATATATAGTCAACATTTATTGGGTGGTTAGCAGGATAAAGTGATCTTTCTAATAGTAAAAATTATATATACAAACATGCATATATGATAGGCTTCTAAAATATGTGTTCACATAAGGCAGGCAAACAGGTAAGAGTAGTTAAAATAACTCTGCAATGAAAATAGCAATGTGGTGCCTGACAACATAAGAGTTATTAAAATGTAATACAAGAAATAATAATCACAGAAATATTGAAATATAAGTAAATAATTTTAGCAATGAAGAAAGAGACCAATAGGTCAATAGAACAGAGCAAAAGTGAGAAGAGATTCAAGTACATATGGAAATTAACATATAATAAAACAGCATTTCGAGTAATTTGGGAAAACACAATTTTGTTTTGTTGATCCAGCTAGCTAGCAAGCCATGAAGTAAAAATTAAATAAAGCTGAACCTATAAAATAAACTACAAATGGGTCAAAGTTTTGTAAAAAAATACAAAAAATTAAAAATGCCAAAAGAAAACCAGTACATATTGTTTTTAAAAAATCTAACAGGAGAGAAGAACATTCTAAGTATAGTTAAAAAAAAAAGAAATGAAAAAAACTTTGGAGGCCAGAATAAATTGTGAATACATCATTATCATATGGTGCATCTCAGTTCCATTACAAATATATACATTAAAAAAATGGAAATAAAGAAAAACAATATCTATAGGCTGCTTCCCATGGAAATTACATGCATATATGATTCTCTTTATTATATTGATATTAAAAGCTCTGGTGGTTGTTAGCTACCCATCCAAAAATTAATAAAATGAAAACAAATAAACTCATGGATTTAATATCTACAGATTCTACAAAGCTGTTTTATTTCTTTGGATCCTGGTAATAAGGACTGTGAATGTTAAGGGAGGATCATTTATTGACGTATCTGGGATGCCTGGATTGTAAGTGCCTTGCAAACAACCTGTTCTTAAAAAGCTGCCCACCATCACCATTTAAGTTATAACGGTTATGAAGAATCACGCAATAGAAAAAATAATGATATGTACTTTAATTGTGAAATACTCAATCTCAATTGTGCCTATTCTATTTATGTTAATGTTTCTCCACGTTCTACAGATGAATGTTTTGTATATTTTCAAGTACTGCACTCTACAAAGAGAAGTTTTATTTTTTTGCTATTAGTCAAAATTTTGAAGTGTATATGTATGTTGTCTCGGTATTGTTATGAAGCAAAACAAAAACTCTTTAAAGCTAAATATCAATACAAATTATATGTAACTATCATAATTAAGGGTGCCAATGCGGTTCATATTTAAGCTTAAGTTTTTGCCTTATTTGAAAATCAATGTGGACTTACATCATTGTCAAATGAACTGATAAAAAAAATAATGAGGCTACTATAAAGTGACATCTCTAGAAATGTAAATACAAAAGTTTGGTAGTGAACACAATAAAAAGAGAACATTATCCAACAAACATAAAGTATGCATTTCTGAGAAAAGAGTTTGAAAACTATACATATACATTTGAGTATTGGCACATTTATGTGGCTCAAGTCACATATTGATATTTTATGATATATTTGTTGTGACTTGAGCCAGATAAATATTCCAATTATTAAATCCATGAAGCAATACATGTTTGCAAGGTTAAGACAGCTACTATGATTACCTTAATTAAAAAATTTCCAGGTTATTTATGGGATAATACAAGAAAATTAAATTTATTATTCTGTAAAGTATGCAACAAACCATTAAACATTGCAATAAAATCAGTTGGTGCAAAAAGAAATGCAATTATGTTGCATTCATGTAAACCCTTTCATGAAGTAATTTCCAAATATCAATCATGACTGACATTTATAATATAAACATGGAAGCGGCACTTACATTTTTAAAAAGCATGAGCAAGTTCCCACTATCTCACAAAGAGGAAAATGTTAAATCAGAACATCGTCATAATTGTGGCTGATAATTTCTAATCATTCAAATCTCAGAGCTCAATTTTGTGTAACAAAAGCAAGGGGGGAAAAAGCAATTGCCATTTCATCAGAAAGGGATATTTTATCATCTCTTTAAAATGTGACAATTTATTCTTAATTAACAACTCAATAAACGGCATTGCAAAGTTTTTCTAACACCATACATGAATAACTCGTAAGCAATCAAGACATTAGATGAAAACTAAACGCAGGCACATCATAAAGTTTTGATGCTTTCCACCTGCATTACACATCTGTTGAAGTTGAATTTGTAGGAACTATAAACTAGTCCATTGTCCATCATTTTGGAAAAAATAAAATATTCCCTTAATCCTTGATGTTTTAAAAATGTGGATGCCATAAAATTGTAAGTAGGAATATTGAACAACAATGGCATAAAGGGGAAAAATATTTATTAAAAACCTAGAAATGGATTGTGTATAAATACAATGAATAATAAACATTACTAATGTAAACTCATTTTCTTCTATAGAACAGTTTTTAGAAGTTAGCATAGAAAACATATTATCTGTACCTATTATTTTCTTTATTCTGATATGTATGGGATTCTTTTGATAGACAGATAAAAAGTCCTAAAAAAAATAGGCCTAGGCTTTGTAATTGCTGGGGAAGACAAACCTCTTCAAGTGAATATGCCTAAATTTATATAAGCATGAAGTATGTAGTAAGTAATATAACAGATTAAGGATGGATTTCAGTTCAGTGGCAGAAGAAAAAAATGAACGAAATTTTGTTTTCTTTCTTTCAAAGGCAAGGTGTTGGGGTGCTAGGAAGAAGGTGGAGGCTGACCAATTCCCTCATCTGACAGGTTGTGTGAACATAAGGATTGGCTCTCAAGATGAAGCAGCCATTTGAAGCTTCCAAAGACCACTCGAGCATGACCATTCATTAAGAATTTCAATTTTGACAGAAGCAGATGTAACAGGTTTCTTTTTATCTCTGTTGTTCATAAAAAAAAACTGCCTAAAGAAGGGTGAATCTTCTCTGTTAGCCCCTTAACGGGATAAGACATTCGAATTAAGAAAATGAAATTGAAGAGGGATGATCTGCTTGGCATAAGACAAGAAGGAGAGCTGAGTACTCTGAAGTGTAATCTTGCATGGGATTTGAGCAGAGGCTAGTGAGAAGAAAAGCAAAAGTAAATGGTATTGTGATCCCGGAAATGTTCAATGTAATCTGCCAAGCTCATACATGCTTTAGGTGAGTGATTTTCAGTGGTGAAAATTCTAAAAACAATAGTTTATATCAGATATTTTGTGATGTGAACTGAAGCAACATTCCAATAATAAGCCTATGCCACAATTCCTGTTCTCCACTTGGGACTGGTAGAGACTGTTAGAGGTTTAGGGGTTACCCTGGCCACAGTATTGAGGGGTTCAAGGCAAAACCACATGGATATCAAGAAGCAGATGACTCTCCTCCTCCCTTACGCCACATCCAAACAAGTGAAGTCTGGATTTTAAAAATACATTCATTTGTAATATTATTTCTTGGAATAAAACAACTATTTCATACTTGTTGAATTAATGACTAAAGAAAATACAAAAAGACTTTGCACTCACAACCTGTATTAATTAATTCATCTTGAAAATAAAACTACTAATGGTAATCATATTTTAATGTAAAATAAAATCAGTTTAAACAAAACAAGACACCAATATTAATAGCATGAAATATCCAGTTGTCTTAACTGAGTGTGCTATGTAAATGCAATTACCTTAAGTGCTTTCCCTTTTCATCCAAAAGAGAATTTGTTTATACTATGTAGAGGCAAATACCATATATAAAAAATGTCTTCTGGTGATAAATGTTTTTCATTTTATGCAACCTTCTTGAATTGCATTTTGTGTGTTTACAAATATATACCAAGCCTCCCAGATATTGGCAAAAGAAAAGTATAACCTATCCAAAAATCTTCCGTTTATATAAAATATACAAATTGCTGCTAAGAAATGACATAACTTTATTCTATCAATTCTATAGTCTAAGCGTTTTAAAGTATAGCTGGAAGGGATCTCAAAAGGATCATCTAATCCAGTATTAAGGCAAGAGCTTGTCTAAGCTATGCTAGACAGTAGGAGGCCCATTTCTTTTTTTATATTTTTGCTTCCTCAGACATGGGAAACCACTGTTCATACAAATTTCACCTAGCAACCATCAAAGGGTTTGAAAACAATTAATAGATCACTCCCCAGCTGCTACTTCTGAAAGCTAAACACAAATTCTTTAGCCATTTCCTGAGAAAACCCAGTTATCCAGACTTCAACTATTTTTGTGACTATTCAGAACTGAGGTTTCTTTTCTTGCATTTTTAAAAATGTGAAAACCCAGAGGTATACAAAACAAGGCAAAAAGAGCAAGGTGATGCACATTAGAAGAGAGAATGTATCTTATTACACAATGGATTTGGCTTCTTTCACAGCAGCACCATAATGCAGACTTAGGCACATCTCAGGGCTCATGCTGAAAATCAGATCTCGCTCCCCGTTTCAACGATCTCCAGTTAGTTCTTCCTGAACTTGGCATTTTATTCAAGTTTAAACTTGTATTATTTTTATTAAGAGTGGTAAAATAATTAGTTTACTATTACAGGAAAAAAAAAAAAAAGTTTGAAGTCAGTGGCCTGGATCGGAATCTCTGCTGGTTGTGTGGCCTGGACTGTAATGTCCTCAACTCTAAAATGTGAAAATTATTCTCTACATTCTAGATTAGATAATTTGTGGGACTGTCTTAGAAGCCATATATAAATCACTACCACAGGGCCTGTTGTATAATAGCCATTCCACTAGAGTTAACTTTCTACCCCAAATTGCTTCTTCCTGAAATATTTGCTGCCTGGTCACTTAAGTTAGAGGTATAAAGTCAACCTTCATTATTTCTTCTTTTTTAGCTTCCACTTCCAGTTATTTTTTTTTCCTTTCATCCCTAAGATATTATTTCAAGCCTTCATTATCATACAATTAGAAGGTTGCAGTTGATTCCTAGCTTTCATTCCTCCACTCTTTTCCCTCTCCATTTTATTTTATTTATTTATGTTTTGAGACAGGGTCTTGCTCTGTCACCCAGGGTGAAGGGCAGTGGCATAATCATGGCTCAATGCAGCCTCAACCTCCCAGACTCAAGTGATCCTCCCACCTCAGCCTCCCGAGTAGTTGGGACTATAGGTGTATGCCCAGCTAAATTAAAAAAAAAATTTTTGTAGACATGGGGTCTCAACATGTTGCCCAGGTTGGTCTTGAACTCCTGAGCTCAAGCTATCCTCCCGCCTCAACCTCCTAAAGTGCCAGGATTACAGGCATGAGCCACAGCACCCGACCCCTCTCCATTTTAGAAAACTGGAAATATTTCATCACCTCTAGTCTTTAAAAGCAAAATGAAATAAAATCTTGCAATGAAGTCTTGCTTTTACCAAATAAAGTTCAAGTTCAACATTACATAAGGCTTTCACAAGGTAGTTAACCTTCTTCCTCTCCTAACTGACACAGCACTGGTCCCTTCTTCCCCTTTCACAGAACAGCCTTCACCTGTACTGCAGATATTTAAAGCCTACCTTAAATGTCACCTTAGCCCTTTTCCTGGCCCTAGGAGAAAATAAACCATTTCCCACTTGATACTATCTGTACTATTACATTTAAAACTAAATGATTACCTGTACCTGGATTATTTGTACTAAAGATGCTAGAATAGAAATCTTTTGACATCCAATTATGATATAAAGTTAAAAATGATCCAAGTAGGTACCCTAATTCAAACCCTCCAATTTTTGCTGTACCTTATCATTTCAGGGTACCTTGTATTTAGGATCTTCAGGAAAAAAAAATACCTGCGTTAAATTTTGACTGCCAAGTTTTGTGTGCTTGAATCAAACTCATTTCTTTTGGGTAGCTTTTACTAATTGCCATTTACTCCCATATTCATGTAGAGTTGACCATTTTTCTGCTATCCACACTGTAAGTTCTTTAGATTTTCATCTTATAAATGTCCATATTTTATAGAACCTATTTATTAACACAGTTATTTCCTCATTCTACATTGTAAATACCTTAAGGTTACAAACCATCTTTCATTCGCATCTTCAATAATTAGCACTCTGCCTGACACAGAAAATTTAGACAATTCTTTTTGAATGAATGAATTCACAGTAATAGTTTAGATACATAAAAATAGATCCAGATCCAGATATAGAGTTGGATGAAAATGTACAAAGAGATGCAGCTAACGACATAGACTTAAGGAAAAATTATACATCTCTTTTTCCTCAGAGAGCTTAGTGATAAGGACTATTACTGTTATTTTTTTAATTTGGATATTGACTTAGTGTTCTGTTTAACAATAAGAATAAGAACAACAATACTAAATACACAATGATTTGCAAACACTTAATGAATTATGCACCAGTAAACACACCAGGCAACATACTGTGTGCTTTGCATGCTGCTATCAACAAGGCTATGCAACAGTCTGTTATCTACGTTTGTGGATAAGGAATCTGATGCTCTAAGAGGTTAAAAGATTTTCTTAAGATGACATAACTGTAAGAAATGAAGGAAATTATTATTATCAATTAAAACAAGACAGTAGGAGTAGACGAAACAACCAGACTGTGGTAGGCAGAGGAAGTCCAAGTGGAAGAGGAGGAGAGAACATCAGGAAAAGCCCCTGGAATACTTTCTAGCAAGGCCATCAGTCATTTAAGGTTGTCCTCTCTTTCCCCCTCTAGGGCTAATTTAAATCCATCTTGCTGTGATTTAAGTCTTTCTTTTGGTTTTCAACCCTCTCATAACCTTGAGCTTACTAAAAACAAAACAAAATAAAATCTTCCTGAAATACATTGCTTCCTTTTCCCTCATACAATTGTTTTGTCCCTTAAATATTCCTAATATCTATCATGTTGTATTTTCTTCTGTTTTTCTTGTTCATATTAATTATCTGTAAAATGCTACACACTACCTGGGATAAGATAGGAAATAGTAACGTCAGCATCACTCCCTTTGTCTTTGCATCTCGACCTGAAATAGTCTATGAGTTTATAAAAGGCATTGGGCCATCCTCTCAGCATTGCAGGGCCACAGACAAGTCAAGTTTAAATATTTACATTTAAACAGATTTCAGGAATTGGGACTTCATGATTTTCCATTAAACATGACCAATATCAGTAACTTAGGAATGGAAACACAAATTTTTTCATCAAATAGTTTGCCATGTTAATTTATAAATTGTGGTATGTGGATAGTGAAAGATTTAAAAAGTATGTTTCCTGTTTAAAAATAGGGAAACTATAGCTAACAATAATGCACTGTATATTTCAAATGGCTAGAAGAAAGAATTTTGACTGCTCTCACAACAAATAAATTATAAACATTTAGGTGGTGAATATAATAATTACTATGATTTGATCATTACACAGTATACATGTAGCAAAACATCACATTGTATCACATAAGTATGTACAATTATGTGTCCAAAAGTATATTTTCAGTATTTATGACTGCTAAAAAACAGTGGTGAGAAAAGGAAGTTGACAGGTATTTTGTGTGATTTCTTTTCTACATACCTCTTGCTTGCAATGTGCACTATTTCATCACCCTTTTCATTTTAGTATACAAATCTCATGTTCAACAATGTTAGAATTTATATCCAAATGGCAAGCAGGCTTGTGTTTCCCATTTATATGTTCATTTTCATAAAAAACAAACAGAAAATGTTATTTTCACACATCGTACACCTCTTGAAACTAGCACTCTTTCTCGGCCATAATGCTGTATTCCCATCTTTTGGGGCATTACTCAATTTATCCTGCCTACTGATGGCTCCTAAGAGTTTTTGTGACAAATTCCCATGTGTCTGTGGGAGTCGGAAAGAAAATTGTAAAACAACAACAAAAAGATGATCTTTTGAAAATAAGATATACATTCTTGTAATTGTGCACCAAATGTTAGCACTGTCCCAGAAGTTAGCAATTTCTTCAGTAACGCTATATCACTGTACTTTTATATTTTATATTTGGTTCATGCCAAATTCTTATATAATCCTACCATATTGATGGAATTACTCATCTTGGCTGTAAAAATTCAAAGTAATTAAATTATTTAATTCTTTAAGCTTTCTAGAAAGTCTGAATTAAATCTTTCAAACTGGCAAGGAAAAGCAATTTACCTTTACTAGTTCTTCCTCCTTCTCCTTGCAAATTATCTGTATTTTGAACCTCAACCACTTTTCTAGTTAATGAAGTTAATGACTTCATCATGCTATGTAATTCACTGTGTACAATCTATATAATAAAAGCAGAAGATGATATAGAATATTCTTGACGTTCATGAATATTAAATGTTGAAAAGTAATTAGATGGTAAAAATAGAAATATAAATAAAAATAATGAAACACTAAGGGAAATGTTTGCATGGTAATATATCAACTTTAAGAAGCTTGCTTAGAGAGAATTGTAGCAAATATTTCTACAGTAATGACGATTTTCTAGAGCATTTTGATATGTATCATTACACTTCATCTTCACAGCAACCTGAGATAAAAAATCTTTACATTCTACAGAAATAAATTACTGTAAGTTAAGGCTGAGCTAGGATCGGTCTCTATAGTGTGTATTTCCTTGGCAAATTCTTTGCTTTTCTTTTCCACACTAAGATAATTTCTGCCCCTTTGAAAGCAAATTCGTATATTGCACAATTCTCTCTACATTCCTCTAGATAAACAGGTTTTACTTTGTACTCTAACAATGTATACGATAAATTTTAAAATAAATTTTTACTTTTAAAGTTCTAGAGTAGTAAAAATTATAAACTAGAAACTTTTTTCTCCTTCAAATTCCTAAATGTAGTTTTCATTAAAGTTTTGCCTTTGGCCCTATTTGACAAGTTCATCCATGGCCACAACTTCAACTGCCTTCTCTTCACAAATGTCCCCTCAATCCTCTCTTCCTAAATCCTCATTACTCTCCCCCTTGAGGACTAGACCAATAGGACTCTGTCTGGAAATCTATTAGGACCCTACATTCAATATTCACCAAATGGAACTGATTAACAACTTCTACAATATGTGACTTCCATATTTTGGCTGATGTTCCAACCATTCCAGCAGTACCCAGAACTGGAAATCACTCCAGGCCAAGCAACCAAGACTAGTGACAATGTCTGCCTAGCTGTCTTTTCCCCATTCTCTTTGTTACTGCCATTATCAGAGCTTTGGTCACCAACATGTAGGCACTCAAAAATTGCCAAGAAAATGAAGAAGCACCACCTTAGACTTGCCTGCCATTATTTCTCAAATGTTATAAATGTATAAACTCTTTCCATAGAGAAAACAAAATTACAGGCTGGGCACAGTGGCTCACACCTGTAAATCCAGCACTTTGGGAGGCCGTAGCGGGTGGATGACCTGAGGTCAGGGGTTTGAGAACAGCCTGGCCAACATGGTGAATCTCCATCTCTACTAAAAATACAAAAATTAGCCGGGCATGATGGCAGGTGCCTATAGTCCCAGTCACGCTGGAGGCTGAGGCAGGAGAATTGCTTGAACTCGGGAGGTGGAGGTTACAGTGAGCCAAGATAGTGCCACTGCACTTTAGCCTGGGCAACAGAGTGAGACTCCATCTCAAAAAAAAAAGAAAAAAAGAAAAACAAAATTACAGACCCCTTATGTTGACCTGAATTATGCTTTCATATTGTTACTTAGTCATAAATGCACAAACCTATATATAAAATTCCTATTTTGATAGCTATGTAGTCATAAACCAATTTTTCAAATGAAATACAAACTACAAAATAAACCTTTTATAATGACTCTAATTTAATATGTTAAATGATAGTGTGTTGCTGAAACTAAACCTTACCTTAATATGAGAATACAAATTAGCTACTATAATATAAATTCACTTTACTTTGTAAGCCTACACCACCATATGTCCCTCTAATTTCTCCACAGAAACTTATCTGAAACCTCATTTGGTCTTTGTATAGCTAATATGCATTATTTATACATTAACTCTACCACTGTGGTTTTCTCATTCTTCTACAACATTAAATTACTAGAATTGGATCCGCATATTGCCATAAACACCAATAAAATATCAGCCACTGAAATTACGTGAAAAAAAATATATATGCATATTGCCCAGAGCTGGAGTATAATGTTGTACAAATCTCGGCTCACGGCAACCTCCGCCTCCCAGTTCAAGCAATTATCCTACCTCAGCCTCCCTAGTAGCTGGGATTATAGGCATGCACCACTATGCCTGGCTAATTTTTGTGTTTTTAGTAGAGACGGGGTTTCAACATATTGGCCAGGCTGCTTTCGAACTCCCGACCTCGTGATCCACCTGCATTGGCCTCCCAAAGTGCTGGGATTACAGGCATAAGCCACCTTGCCCAGCATGGACAGGTGTAAGCACCATGCCCAGCTGAAAATAATTGTTTATATCATAGCCATACAGATAATTTTGAACAAACTCAGGTTAATTTTGAGATTATAAAAGAAATGAAAGTGGAAGCATTCTCTTAGAGAATACACCCACAAATTTCCCAATAGTCTTCAGGGCAAAGTTGGAGAAACACAAGCCTATATATCTGGAATAGCACACTGGCATTTATCATTATCACCATAATAAGCTCTATCTAATAGATGGTTCAGTGTTGGCTGAATAGACCTTCTTATTGCTGAGCTCTCTCTTATGCATTAAGCTGTCATTCCTTGAAACTTGCTTATGGTGGTAAGCTTAATTTCTTTGTGTTTCATTTATTTGCTTCACTTGTCCTATTGCCCACTGGATGAAAAGCTACTTTGGGCTATTATTTAAATGGTTATATACTTAGTTTAAATATTCATATTTAAACTTCTATAGCACCAAACACAGTGCTTCCCATCGGTTAGGCACTCCACTGTGTTCATTTATTTAATACTCATTTATTGAGCTTCTACAATCTGCCCAGCAGCTGCAAGGACTGAGCATAGTGGTAGACAAATTACAGTCTTTGCCCTTAAAGAGTTTATATTGTGGTGGCGAACCAATAATAAAACAAGTATATGACATCATTTCTGATTAAGTGATCAGGCAAAAATAAAGTCTGGTCGGGAGAATGCCAAAGGAAATTCTTTACCTAGAGTAGTCAGGAAAAGCTGTACCAAAGAGAAACTAAGTGAGCTGAGATCAGCTGAATCTAGATTCAGCTTCATATTTTATTAATAATATCCATTTGTCAGTTATAGCTTCCAATAGACTAGTAATTGCAGATAAATTGTTCTGCTTATTTTTTGTGACAGGAGATCAACAAATTTTTATTTTGGCATCTATTGTATCATCAAATCACCATAAAAACAGCATGACTATGTACCACTTCCCCCTATTTAATGGATGATGAAACCAAGTCTTAGAAAAGTATCCAAAGCACTTATTCCAAAGTTTGAAGTAATTGCTACTTGTTGAGCTATAAATCAAACTTAAACCTATTTGATTCATTGTCTTTTCATTATACTACACCAACTTCTAGTATATTAAAAGTTCCAATAATGTTTTCATGGTGGTCGCATAACCCTAGTAATTAACAATGAATGAACTTATAAGACAGGAAGACTATGGCTATCAAAATATTCTAACACAATATATTGCCTATGTCTAAAATGACAAGGTAGTTGATGTAATCTGATGTAAGCATACAATTTTAGTTTAGATGACTTTCAGACTTTCAAAATGAAGACAGCTGTAAACAAGGAAACAGTTACAACATGTTGATGCTTTGGTTAAACAGCAACTACAACAACAACAAAAATTATGTTTGGGGTAAGCAATACAGCATAAAAAAAATCTGTCTAACCAGTCCTGAGTATAAATGATGAGTCATGTAATTATTGTGAATAACTAATGAGGTTAGCAGGGCTGTTTGTGCTGAAGAATCAAATTACATTTTAATTCATTTAAAATAGGTTTTTGAGATTAAAGCTAATAAATACAAAAGTTCATGCAACAATGGAAACTACTTTTAATTTCCTTGGATTAGAAATGTGTATCTTGTTTATTATAAAATACTTCTGCTTTGATAAAAGATGTTCATCATTATCACAACACCAATATTTCTATTGCCGTCTCATTTAATTCCTTGGAGATCTGAGACAAGGCCCCAAACAAGCTAAAAAGAAGTCTGCAATGTGCACTCAGCAACAGTGTTCAAACATTATTAAAATAAGGATGCATTCTTCCTTCTACCCAACTTTATTTTGCATTAAAATCTTGAGGGAAAAAAAAAAAAAAAACTTATGAAACTGGAGGAATGCGCCAGGCGCAGTGGCTCACGCCTGTAATCCCAGCACTTTGGGAGGCTGAGGCAGGCAGATCACGAGGTCAGGAGATCAAGACCATCCTGGCCAACATGGTGAAACCCCGTCTCTACTAAAAAAATACAAAAAATATCTGGGCGTGGTGGCACACACCTGTAGTCCCAGCTACTCAGGAGGCTGAGGCAGGAGAATCACTTGAATCCAGGAGGCGGAGGCTGCAGTGAGCCGAGATCACGCCACTGCACTCCAGCCTGGGTGACAGAGTGAGACTCTGTCTCAAAAAACAAACAAACAAACAAACAAACAAACAGAATGGAGAAATGTGGTGTTGTATTGTTAATAAAGCTCATGTCAAAACAAAGAATTTCCTCATTTCTCTATATTTGCAGTGTTTATAGGTCACTTTCTTTTTGCTAATGAAATTCTGGATTATTAGAACAGTGCAGAAATCTCCATTTTACATATTAAATGCTACCCTTCCACCAGAGTAAATAAGCTGAAGAAACCCTAGCAAAAGAAGCAATATTTATCTTTCTTGTTCTCAAGATCTTGTCTCGCATTTTTGTTTGTTTTTCTCTGCATTGTGGTTGTATCTCTCCTCCTTCCCCACTCTACTTTGTGACTAATTATATTTAGAAGTATGTCTTCTAAGGGATTTATAAAAGGACTCATGAAAAATATCAAAAGCATATCATCAAGACAGAAATGGCCGGGCGCGGTGGCTCACGCCTGTAATCCCAGCACTTTGGGAGGCCGAGGCGGGCGGATCACGAGGTCAGGAGATCGAGACCATCCCGGCTAAAACGGTGAAACCCCGTCTCTACTAAAAATACAAAAAATTAGCCGGGCGTAGTGGCGGGCGCCTGTAGTCCCAGCTACTTGGGAGGCTGAGGCAGGAGAATGGCGTGAACCCGGGAGGCGGAGCTTGCAGCGAGCCGAGATCCCGCCACTGCACTCCAGCCTGGGCGACAGAGCGAGACTCCGTCTCAAAAAAAAAAAAAAAAGAAAAAAAAAAAGAAAAAAAGACAGAAATTTTGATCCAAACAAGAGGGTAGAAGAAAGTGACGTGAGAACTACATAGTTGGAGGTATGTGCTTTGCTAATCATTTTACATATAAACTCTTCCATTTCATTTCAAACTTATCCCAAGGGAAAGATATTTTAATTTCTCAGATGATGACTGGATACTCAGAGAGGTTAAATGGGTTTACACAAGGTCATGCTGGAAGGATGTGGTAGAGCTGGCATGTGAGCTCACATCTTGGAACTCAGTGTTTCTTCCACTCTAGGTTGTCTCCCAACAAAACATGTTGTGTTCTTAAACGGACTTAACCAAAATCTTCTGGAGCAGTAGGTGTAAATGCAAAACTTTCCCATTTTAGCTACAGCATTGCTGTGGACAAAGTATGATGCTTTATTCGATTTCACTGAGCAGAGCTGGAGAATAGGGATGGATATGTAGGTGTGTCCTTGAGGATTTTAGTGACCCCCCAGGGAAGAGGGACATAGGCTATGTTTTTATCTACAGAGACAGATCCATCAAGAAGCTCCAGATATGCTTACTTTTATTTATGAATAGAAATCCCTTTCTCTCAGCAATTATGTAGAATACTGTGCTGTCTTTCAACCCTTAAGTCATCTGCAGAGAAAAATTGAAAAATTGTGAAGACTCCACTTGTGGGTTGCTAATGTCTCTCTCTAGTCTACAGCTTCTTCATTATTTTCTAGTTAATATGGTCATAACCACAAAAATGTTGTAATGAATTTGTAAAGAACAAAACATTTAAAAAGTAAAAATTACTAACAAATTTTATTGATTCTAAGATGTATCAGTTAATGTCAATGTTATGAGATCATAGTCTTCATATACATTTACCTATATGAAAACTCAGAGAGAGGATATATCATTTATTCAAGAAAGCTAGAAAATGGCTGCACAGTAATTTCAGTGCCTGAGCTTACTACTTTATTAGTACTATTTGATCCACAGTTATTTCACCAATAAAAATCCCTAAGACTGTTAATTCCATAGGAACCGAGAACATGTTTTTACTTTTTCATATTTTAGAACCTAACACAGCTCTATTTGGTATTTAATATATGGGAAAGAGGTGGAAGAGAGGGAAAGAAAAGAAAGAAGGAGAGGAAACAAAACTGGAAGAGGAGAAAAGGGGACAGGATATGAGGTAAGAGAAGGGGAGAGGAGGAGAGAGGAGAGAAAATAGAAGGAGAGAGGAAAGGAAATAGAAGGAGAGAAAAAAGGAAAGAAATGAAGGGAAGGAATGGAAGTTTGAAATAAGGGGGAAAAAAAGGAAGGAAAGAAGATTTGACCCAAACTCAGAGTTTTTGCCATGTCAGTATCTGTGGAGTGGATGACGTATCTGGAAGTAGGTTTCTTTGGACCTTCCATTAGTCTATTTAGGTCAACAAAAGCAGCCCTTTCGTATATACTAGTTATAGAGAAAAAGCAGTATATAAAACACTAGGAAATGAAAGATTCTTAAAGGAAATAATAAAGAATGTTTCAGAATTAGAAGAGATAAAATCGAATAAAAAACATCTGGCAAAGATAAAGATGTAGTAAGACCCAGTGCCTGCAATACTGAACTCCAATTTGATGAAAATGTGGTGAAACTTATTTCGCATCTTTGAACACTGCCTTTCTATTCTGAAATGATGGGTCTATCTAGGGTGCTCAGTCAGGGTAACTTCTAGTTTCAAAAAGCTATCTTGACTACACTAGACCAGAATTAATTTTTCTAATCATATTTTCTCTCATTTAAAAGAAGACAATAGATACCAAAATGACTACTCCCATGAATATATGTTTTCAAATAAATAAATTATAAACTGAGTTAAAGCTTAAGATTCCTGTATCTTTCAGAAGCACTCTTTGAGATCTTACAAGTCCGAGAGGACTAGAAGGAAAGTAAGATGACTTAGGTAGAAAATAAGATGACTAAGGTATGTCTTATTCAGTATTAAAGTGTTGGCATTTACATTTTTATCAGCGTTATGCTTACAATAAGGTTTAGGATGCATTGCCTCTTAGTTATCTTATGATATTATTGATACAACAATAACTATTATTTTTCAATAATAGAAAGGTAAGACTTTTTCCAGTAACAATATACTCTTCTCACATTTCAGAGAGGCATGAAATGTAACACGGTATATTGCCTCTATTTGTATTCCGGAATCTAACTTATATCCTATTGTATGTATAAATTCAGTTAGACAATTTTAAAAGGGGGAATAAGTTATACAAATTGAGAGTTAATTCACCATGTAAAGGGCAAGAAAGCAAGGATGAACTATTTGGACATCCTTGGGCTTGCTTATGAAGTAGCAGCTAATTTGGGAAATAACTGAAACATTAACCCATAGATGTTCCATTACCATCATCTCCAAGTGGCAGTCATTTAATGTAGTCCTTCCTAGGCTTGTGAATCACCTGCTTCTAACATCTATTCTGACTGCCAAATCCTAAAGGAGTACATAGAAATGCCTTCAAATACTTCAATTTATATATCCCTTTTTGTTCTTTATGACCAGACGCAGAAGTTTTGGTAACTACCGCAAAAGTGTTGCTTGGGAAATCTCTGAACGTTATTAAATAGCCAAACCTCTAGTGCTACTCGTTCCAGTACATACCACAGAGAGATGCCCCGGTGAGAAGCAACTGGATTGCCAATCCCACTTCTGTAATTTCAACCATCTGTACTTGTGACTTTTGATTTACATTTCAAATTTGAAACAGCTATTTGTTGTCTCTGTTCAAAGCATCAAAATTCATACAGCATGTCTCTCCAGAATTAGTATTCATATGGGCCTTTTGTTGCACCTCAGTTCCAGCTGTTGCAAATTTGGTAAAATCCACCCTGTCATTTTTGCCCATTGCGGTAACAGACAACAGAAACTTAATGATTTATTCACAACGTTACAGAATAAAGATGAAGATGTTGTACACTGTTGATAAACAGAATAGTAGTTGGGGGAAAGTGCTGACCTGATCTTTATCTGTTTTTGCTATTGAATGGAAGACTTGGAAATATGTTTTTGCTACATTAAAACTGGATTTGTTAAGCCTAGCAAATTATGGACTTGTATTTTTCCCCCTTATTTCTTAAAGCTAATGGTGAAGATTCTAACTTCCAAGTACTAAATGCCTATAGTAAATTGATGAAAATGGCAGTCACCTTTAGATGTGTACAAAGGAACAAAATGTCAAGAAAGGTATCATCTTTTACTGCCTAATAACTGAGGCTCATTTACAAAGTAATCACTGACTGACATAAAACTTTTACCTAGAAATAGTAGAAACTTATAGCCTAACTTTAAATGTAAAGACTGCATACTAAACATACAATCAAGTCTTAATTAGCAGTACCCATCAATTGGATTTTGTTTTATTGCCCTTGAAGGAGGCAAGAAAATAAGAAATTAAGTTTGCTCGGAGAGTTAATCAAATATAGATGAAAAAAATCATTCAGTGTTTGGACCACAATTGCTATTTATCCAATCCTAATATTCTAGACCAGTGCCATCCGATAGAATGTGCAATGATGAAAATGTTCTTTATCTGTAGCTGCTGACAGTAGCCACAAGTCATGTGTAGCTATTGAGCAGCTGAAATATGGTTACTGCAATGAAAAAATATTTTTTAATTTTAATTGTTTTTAATTTAAATAACCCCATGTGGCTAGTGGCTACTACATTGGATGGTACAGTTTTATACCTTCTATATCTGCTGTTCTCTACAATAAATATTCAACTTCAGAATAAGGATGATAATATTATATATTCTCAAAGTTCAAAGAAAAACTACATTATTAACCAAAATTATATTATTAAAATTAAATCGATACTAATATGTTTTTTAACAAGATTTTCAATAGCATAGATTCGAACCTAGGAAAGCTGCCTAGGTGATTTGTGATATGTACCTTACCATAAAAAGGTAGTTTAACAGAAAACATATGGGTCTGTAGAATCAGTTCTATGTTCCAATTCTCACCCAAATGTTTCCATGCTATGTGCCTTCAGGCACGCTACCAGTTATTCTAAGGTTCATTTTCATTGTCTTTGAAAGTTTGAAATAACTGTAACATAACAACAATGTTAAAAGGATTAAATGAGATAATCTGCAAATACAAGGTACCTGGCAGAATGCCAGGGATAAAATATGTGTTAGATAAATTTCCCAATTCTCAAATTCCCAAAGTATATTAGCTATGCAAGGTTTAATCACACACACAAAGATCCTCCTCCCCCAGCAACAAAACATAAAACCCAAGAAAGTTTAAATAAATTTTAATGAAAAAATGAGGAAGAGAAGTTTTATACAATGTATTTTTTCCTTTTATTTACTGTAAGCTAAAGGATCACAATTTTTTTCCTGCTTTGTTAATTATCAAATTCAAATGTTTAGAAAAGTGGCTGCTATATACTAGTCATTCCATAACATTTGTTAAATGAGGAAGGCACAAGCAAATATGTAGTCACACTCCTTTAAGTTCTTTAGATTTCATGATTTCACAGTTATAATAATTTGAAGTTCAGACAGCATTAAGTTATTAGTCCTCTTCCCTCAGACTCAGTCTCTCTGTCTTGTTACTTTTTCAAAATGACTCTTATTTTTATTCTTCCTCTCTACTATGAATGCCATTTCTCTACTCTGATGACTTCAGCCTGATGAGTATATTAACTGTCTAGCTACCAGCCTCAATTCTAGAGCTGCATCATTGATTCTAGCCTTTATACCAGCAAACCACACTCTGGGGTTTCAATAAGTTCAATGGTTAAGGAAACACTAGTCATCATTACTAGGAAGGAGCCAATGTTTCCAAATAATTTAAACACCCACATGAATGCATATTTTTGAAAATTATTCATATCTGAAGGCAAGTAGATAAAAGTTATGCTTTTGCTCCATCTTTAAGTCTAAATGCTATATTTTTAAAATATATGAATGTAGAATAGAGACTATATTACAAATTCACTCTTGCTTGCATTTACATTTTCCCTCAAGAATAAGGGGAACCAAGTTACTGCCAGAGCAGCAGGAATTAAGCACAAATCCAACTTTTCTTATATTTGCTGTAGGAGTCATAGGATGGGATATGTCACTCTTAGAAAACTTCTCTGTCATAGAAAAGTCATCGTGGTGAAAAAAAATTATATCAGAATTGTTGCTGTAAAATACCTTCAGTCATTTCTTCCTAATAAATTGCTTTTCATTATAGCATTCCCCAGATTAGGAACTAAATATTTTCTATTTCTCACTGTATTAACTTGAAATATCTCACTTTTGCCTTCAAGGTTGTGAGTGCACTAGTCCCCCCTGGACCTTAGCAGCCTTGCTTTCTAAAACCCTCACAAAACTCATCATTCATATTAGCTAAACCCATCATTGTGTATAGTGAACACCCACTGATCATTCTGGATGTTAAGACTTGAATAAAATGTTTCTGGTCACCTCACTTGTATTTCTTTAACAATTTAAATCCTAACAAACACAATCCTTCTACCACCTTAAAGTTTGACATTCACCAATCCCTCAACTTGACCTCCTCTGAGGTTTACTGAACATGTGATTAGCTTCTTGCACTGTTCACTCCTGTTCCATGTGTTTCAATTTTGACACCTTTATTTAATGGAAGAGTGGTTGATGTCTATAATCTTAAAATTATGCTTTTTAAAAACTCTTCCTTTTTCCAGTTTGTTACACTTGCCCAGATTGTAATATAATAAAGATTAATCTAATTTCTTGCATTGCATTATTTACTAAGTGAACATGACTGAGTTTCTTTACTGTTTTTAAATCTAATAGGCAAAAACTGTTTTCCCAATAGTAATTATTGTGGGGATGAATAAGGTTATCTTAAAACATTTTACAAACATAATAAATGCATCTACCAAAAAAGGAGAATACCAACTCTTGATACTAGACTAAGAATTATACCTATCAAAAGGCTTCAAATAATCTAGTGAGATGAAACAATCCCTGTGTTTGGCACATAAGTGGTTCTCAGTACATGAGTGTTGAATGCTAAATTGTATAAGACTATTTATAATACATTAGTATGCATATATAAAGATAATAACTCAAAATAGATGAATGCACAATTTAATGTTAAAAAGGTGTTTAGTTTATGCAGGGCAATAGAGGCCACATAGATCTGAATCTCTCCACTCACACTTCAAAGTCATACAGATGAAAAGAAGAGGAAATAAGACCACCCTCAACCTATAGTTACAAATAAGTAGGAGACTGAAAATACTAAACACTTCAAATGATGTGTAACAAGGAGGAAATATACCCTAACTGAAAGAGTCAGCTTAAGTCCATGCTAAAACAGATCACAGTGGGAAAGAGAAGAGGCGATGAGAACCTAGCAGCTGGAACACAGAACTGTTCTTCAAGAGAGATTCTCAGAATAAGACATGTCTCAAACTTAGTAGATGAGAGATTTAGCTACCCTTCAGCCTAAAGAGAGAGCTTGGAAGGACACAAGACTAGAAGTCTTGAGGCATTCCTTCTAGGGGAAAAAATAGGTAACTGTGGAAATAGAGGTATCCCTGACAGTCACGAAGGTAAAGAATAAATATTCATGTATGTGTGTATGTGCATTTCCTTGAATGTGAAATTCAGACTATCAGAACTGAAATGAAATATTTTTTGGGAAAAAAAGGAAATTGTGATATAAACGTTGACTGGATTCAGAAGGAAACTAACAAAAGAAATCTCAAGAGATGAAGAGTAAATCCAAAGTTCCCAAAGGAGGACAGATTTGACTTAAATAATAATAAAGAGCATTTAGCAACACAATAGACACAACAAAGAGAGCAAAAAGCATATGAAAGAGAGCTACAAAATGGTTCAACATATGTAAAATTGGTTTCCTTAAAGAAAACAAAAGATAGAATTAATATTTAAAATCATAATCTAAAAAATATTTCTGGAAAAACAGAAAGCCCTAATTTAACATTTTTAAAAACATTCAGTTTTAAGTAGTTTACTATGTAACATGAAAAAATGATCCAGAAAGGCCATCTCAGGTCATATCCCAATAAAACAATTATATTGTAAAAATAAAGAAAAAAAATCTGTGCTACTTGGCAAAATAAGCAAATCATTTACAAAAAAAATGGATATCATCTATCATGTTGGTATCATACTTCTCAACAGGAACATACAAAGCAAGATACTACTTAAATTAATTAATTAAAACATTTAAAAAATTTAAAGAATGAATGAGCAAAGTCCTTATTATCCAACCAATGTTTCCTTTAAGTATCAAGGCTACACGAAAACACATTTAAGCGTGCAAGAATTCAGGGAATACTGAAGTTCAAGTCCTTCCTGAGGAATCTGCTAGAAAAAATGTTTTATATGTTCAATAGACCATTGGGAAGAACTTAGCAAATGAATAATGGTGAGTGTTTATTGTATTAATTTCAGATTTATGACCAAAGCAAAGGTGGGGACAAATGGAAAGAATGGCACATAAATATGCTATTACATGTTTTGACAGGATAGAATCATCTTAATTAAAATAATGACAAAGGGCTGGGCACAGTGGCTTACACCTGTAATCCTAACACTTTGGAAGGCTGAGGCAGGAGACTTGCTTGAGTCAAGGAGTTTGAGACCAGATTGGGCAACATGGCAAAACCCCATGTCTAAAAATAAAATACAAAAAAATTAGTGGGGTATGATAGCATGTGCCTGTAGTCCCAGATACTTGATTTTGGTTGTAGTACTGGTGAAATAACTCAACCTATTTTTTGCATATTGTAGAAAAAGCCAAATGAGGTAAAAGCATTGCTTTGTTGGGAATCAGAGTTCTCATCATGGGAGAAGAGAAATAGAAATGAGATGGGGAAAGTAACGAAAACTGCAATGTTTAACTTGAGTCAGAGCTATTAGTATGACTTCATAATTAGAAAAAAATAATTTATGTGTCTGTGTTCCACTACTCTCTATCCACTGAAAGACTCTGGAAATAAGAATACTATAATAGCAAGAAGCACACTTAGTGCCTGTGTATTGCCTTTTAAAAAGAACCAAGGCTCCTTGAAGAAATGCTGGTTTCAGGTCTGGAGTAGAAAAAGTACAAACTGAAAATTAAATACATTTGGGGGCAAGAAAATCAAAGACCTGCTTAGTGGCTGGTAGGAACATGGGATGAGGTTAAAAAAAAAAAGATTTTCACTATTGAGCAAATTTGGACCACTTTTTTATGTAAAATATACCAATGAAAAAGTACAAGTTTAATGAGAGTATAGCCTAGTGAATTTTCACGACTAGAACACTCTCTTTTAACAAGAAGCCAGATCAAGACATACAATAATATTTGAAGCAATATTTATACACCATCAAGAGGTATGCATAGAGAGACAAAAAGGAATATATAAAACACAGACTGAAATTTGCATCTAAAATTCCACATAGTAAAACAATACAATGAACTAACAATTTTTTTTTTTTTTTTTTTTTTTTTTTTTTTTACTTTTCACAGAGTAGGTATTTAATCCGGAATGTTTATCTGATTTCTGAATTTCAGTTCTAATGTTAATTGGTTGACCAGCTGGCATACATTTCACTGAAAAATATATAAAAATCCAATGAGTTTTTGCATTAGTTAAAATAATCCTAAATTTTTACTGTTGATCACAATTTTACTACTTCTGGATCACAAGCTTGTAAAGCATGGTTATTGATGGAAAATATGGTCTGGGCACATAGTGCTTTCAAAATATTATTTTGTTTGAATTTTGGTTGAATGACAAACCAAATAAGATGGTATATACAATTAAATGACAAACAACTTTGGACTTATATTTTATTAGTTCTACTCAAATATGACTAATTATGATATCAGCCATTGCTTGCCAAGGAAATATAACCTGTTTTATAAAAACAATTCCCTCTCTGCCAAAACAATCCCTGGAATTGATTTTGAAAAAGAGAAATAAATGTTTTGAGAATTCCTAATTGGATCATGGTTTTAGTAAATAAACTGTTTTTGAGAAAAAGTAAAAAAGCATCTCAAAAGTACTATATAACTTTAAATGATAGAAAATACAATTCATATTTCTCATGTGACCAGCAACAAACTGTGTGTAACTTAAGGAAAAAAAATAAAAAATAAAATGCTGTAGTTAATTCCTGCTTTTTATTTCCCATGGGATTAAAAAGACACTTTTAAGCTAATCTTCAGGAGCCTTATGGCCAATGGATTGTTTGAAATTTAGTATGTGGACACTAAGAACTTTATACATTTAACTGTGCACCTTTGCTCTTAAAGGCAAGTAAAAATTTAATTAAACCCCTGTGTAGATTTTATAAGAGATATTATATTCTTAAATCCCAGTAAAAATGGTGTTATTGCAAATGTAAGCATCAAATATTTGAATAAACACCATTATTACTGCTCATGGTAGAAAATATTTATAATATGTCATTTTATATATCATATATATTGTGATGTATATATTATACACAGTGTAATGTATACATCACATTATATCCATATATATTTATACATAAAATGATGATATATATGACACATATAATATATATAAGAGATGGGGCCTTTCCATGTTGCCCAGGCGGGTCTCAAACTCCTGGGCTGAAGTGATTCTCCTTCCTTGGCCTCCCAGTGTTGGGATAATAGGCATGAACCTGTTATCAGGCCACACACAGCCAATATTTATCATATATATTTTTGACAAAGCTTGTTTTTCTAAGTCACATATAGACTTGCTGCCAGCATTAACCTACAGGCAAACACTATTTTCTGTTTTTCTTGTAAAATATTTACTTGAAAATACAATTGATACTGATGATTCTGTATTTATTTTCTATTATTAAGAATTTATCCTATATAATATACATCTTACAGTATTTCTGAAAGTCAGAGACAAGAAAGATTCCTTTAGGTCTTAAGCAATATTTTCATTACATTAATAATAGTTTGACAATTATTCAATTTCATAAAGTTTAGATTAAATTATTCTCAGTCAGTAGTCTTTCTCCTCTGAGAATGAAAGCGATTACTTATTTGGCTTATTCATTTAAGGTAAGTTCCCCCACAAGGGTAGTCTATATTTGAGTTCATGGAGAAGTCTGGACTGGTTAATTCATTTCTAAAAACTAAGATTGTGTGTCTGTGTGATATCAAGGTTCATGTATCTCTAATATGTATATGTGTATGTATGCGTATGTGTAGCGAGGGTAATATATGTATACTTATATATGTTTTTTCCAATATGAAGAGTCAAATGCATTTTTTACCTGTGAGAATTCATGAAATTAATTCTAAAGCTAATTTAAGAGTTGTCTAAAAATTTTAAGAATTTTACTTAAGATTTGTGTATAAAACAATAATACAGGAAGAAGTATACTTTAGTATTTATTAAGTTTATAATTTACTGATTTTCTTTGGAAGAACAGGTGAATAAAATAAGTCTTAAAAAATTTCCATTTTTAACTGTCAGGAATAACTCCTTTTTGGAAAATCTGATATGATGAGTAATTCTCTGAAAGACCAATTATTTGGACATTAAAATCTTATGCAATATTTTGCTTAGCTAGAAAGTTTGAGCTCCAAATGGAAATGTTTGTCTTTATTATAGGTCATTTCCAAATATCCATACCATTTTCTTGACCTTAAAAATCAGTTGTTTATATTTTTTGCTTTGGGACCAAAAGGGCAAATATCTTTAGAGGCAGTGGTAGTGGAAAATAAAAACAGTAAATAAGACCAGGTAATTAGTCTAGGACTGGAGGAGGGTGAAGCCAAAGAAGCTACTGTCCAAATCAGAGAAAGGAAATACATAGTAATCAAGAGAGACATAAGCTGTCCTCCATATCAATTTACTCTTTCTGCATCAGGAGAAAAGATATATTATAGATTATGTAGTTATTCTCTATCACTTCAGAAGTTCAGTTCAAAAATTCTATTAGTTCTAGACACTCTTTACTTTTCTAGTCTTCTTAACCTGGAATATTACCACTCATTTTTTTATAGTAGTAGTTGACACTATGACTTAATTACAGCATGCTGAGTGTTAGGAGAATATGATAAATGAACAATAAGGTTGTTAGTGTGATATATAAGCAAGTTTCTTACGTTGGCTTTCCATATGCATTTGTCATTATCGAGGGTAATTAGAAAGCTGTGAGAAATAACCCCCAACCCCCGACACACAAATTACAAATGTCTATACCTGAAAACACGACTTGAAGATTCGATTAAAGTCTTGAGTACTTTATCAACTACAGGTTCTACCATAGACTTTGGCATTGAATCAATCTAAAGAACCCAGTATGCCATTAGATATTTAAACTTTTCTTTTTGCAGTTATATGAATTACAAATTAAAACAAGAAGGAAAAGGCAAGAAATATTTTCATCTTTTAATGAAGACTTTTAAAATAAATTTATAATTTTAGTATTATTTAATGTTGCACAAGCATTAAAGTTTCATCCTACGACCCAAGCTTGCTCACTATCTAACATGTAATCAAAGTTGAAATAAATTGATGTGAAGTTGTATTTAACATGTTATAGAGTGTTAAACATTAGTTTTTTTTCCTATAAAGAATTTCCTGAACTTGATGATAAACAGCATTTGTTTTCATTACCTGGGGTAGCAAAGACAATTAACTGCCCACAGGATTTCTGTTCCCTAGTCACTGGGTGCAATTGTTGGGAAGTAGCAGTCTAGCAAGGGATTTCATTTCCCAACCATGACTGCATCTATAATAGGACCATTTGATGAGTTTTTATATCTGGGAAATGGGTAAAGGTCATATGTGTTACCCACTTGTAGGTCAAATTAAGAAGCAAATATGTCTTCTATGTTGCCTCTTCTCCCATCTGCAGGCTGACACAGAAAGTTCTGAGACTCAAAGCAATGTCAAAACTACAAGAAGGAAGGTGATATTGTCACTGAATCACTATGTGGAGCATATCTACCAGCTGTCCAGCAACATCCACATTTTACTTTCGCAAATTTAATTTCTAATTTGTAAACTCCCTGAAATTGAGGGTCTTGTTTGTTACAGCAGTCGGTAATACTCAAACTGATGTATATGGTGTTCAACAGGATGCAGAAGGTAGAGTGTTGAATCAGAAGCTTTTTCTGATATCTAAGCAAAGTGGTATTCCCATAGAAAAATAAGTTAATTTGGAACTGTCCATAAAAGGGTAATGTTGAGGCAATTGCAGTATTTTAGAGCTCACCAAGATTGATCAGTTACCACTAAAATAGATGTTTAAAGCTGAATTCGTGCACCTGGGCTTATAGTACAATTTATTTAGAGACACTTTTAACTAAGAAAAAATAAGAGAAAGAAAATAGGCTCATACTTCTTGGCATATGTCAAAATTTGTTTTGACATTCCCTAAAATGTTTGCATTCTTAAATTTTCCAGTAAACAACTCAGTTTTGGAACACTGGTGAAGTTAAAAAAAAAATCCCCTCTTAAAGGACTTCACAAATTTACTTCTTAAAACATAGAAAGACTTTTTTTTTCCTTTTCCTCACATCTCTTCAGAATATTCCTGTAGGCTAGAGCTATAGAGCACAAGATGGCCACCAGCCAGAATCCTCACCACAGCTGGTGAGTGGGTTCAGAAGACACCAGAGAGCTGAGATGCAAAGGAATTTAAACAGTCTATTTCTGGGTAAACAACTGTAAAGAGCTTTACTCTCAAACAGTGAGCTGATTCTAAGGTACCGGCAAAAAATAACAACAACAACAAAAAAAACAAAACACATGCACACACACAAACTCAAGAGCAATTGATGAAATTTGTAAAAAAAAAAGTGTATAGGACAATATTTTAACAGGACCACATTAAATTAATCAAAGAGTTGATAGGCAATAAACAAATAGAATGGAGAATAGAAGAAATAAAGGAAGAAAGACAGAAAAGAGTTTAACCAGTTTGGTATATTTCAAAAGAAAGATAGTAATATTTCCCCTTTTGAGGTGTTGATAAAGTCATATATTAAAAGTAAATAAATTAATGTGTATATTAACTTTCCTAGTACCTTCCTTATTAATGAACAATTTAAATAAATAACTGTTTAATGGTAGGGAAAAGTCACTTAAGTTCTAAATTTCAAGTAATGAACAGTCCAATTACATTTATCCATATGAATAGTACTCTATCTTACAATCTATTTGGAATTTTTTTTTATTTATGGGACAGAAGGGCAGTTATCACTCCTTGAAGGGTTATTTCTTCCTCCAACTCCAGCCACTCCTAATTGTCCTAAGGTGTCATTAATAACAAGCTTCCCAATAGCACCACTAGTACCTCCACCATCACCATTTATAAACCTTACTATTTTTGAGAGGGGAATATTTACATAAATATACGTAACTAAGATATTTGTTTCTGAATTAGCTTTAAAGAAAATTATAAAAGAATTCTAAAGACACATTCAGTTCTTTCAATATAATTATGATAAATCAAAATATATTTATTTACATGCATAAAATATAGGAATCTTTATAGAAAATATATTATTACTTGTAAGTATTCCTTATATTAATAAGCAGAGATGTAGGTATCATATTGTAAAAATATTTCATTAAATATTGATTTTTAAAAAATGTTACAGCCTATAACACATATGATTCTGATATCTAAAAATATACTTGGGTAAATAAGGAATTTCTCAACAATGTCATACGAGGGATAAGTTAGAATGTGAAAAACAAAGACTTGATATACATATTTATAAAACAAATGCACTAGGAAAATATGAGCCTAATACAGACAAAAATACATTAATTTTCCATAGTGCTTAAAAATGTTAACAAAATCAGTTTTTTAAAAATAGTAAATTCAAAATAATACATCTTTATTTTAAACTTTGGATAAGGCATGTAAAATTTGAGTCACTTCTGCTCTTCTATCCAGGGTTTTTTTTTGTCACAGAAACTTTCAATAGATATAATCACTAATTGGGAGAGTGAAAATGTAGAATCATCACTGTCTTTCATTCCTACACCTAGGAAGGCCATGACTTCAGATACAGTAATTTAGCTTTATTTTCAAGTTTCCAAAATTAAAGAAAAATAGAGTCATCTGGGATAAAACAGACAAACAAAAAACTTGTCTTGCCAATCATGTTGTTTAGTACATGGAACGTCTCATAATTATAATTAGCAGAGATAAAGGAAACAACTTAAAATGAATATTTTTAAAAATTACTTTATACTCCATTCTGCTTTCTTATCCCTAGATTATCACTATTTGTAGCTTGTTGATGCACACTTTGTATGCATTTTCCTATGTGTTAACCTGGACATATACATATGAACACATTTCTTTTAAGAGACTACATTTGTTAATTTCTTCTATTGCCTTAAAATTCTATACCCTCCCATACTTCAGCTAATAACCTCACTTCACACTTTAGAAATTAGAATTAGACCAGAAGGTCTCTCAAATTCCAAATATGAAATCTGCAACTTCTCCATATTCTCTCCATTCTCTCTCTGACACAATGAGAAGAATATCTACGATCCATCAAGGGCCAAGTCTTCTTTTGAGCTCTGAATGTTCACCTCATTCAGATTCTGAGGAAGGGAACTTGTCTGTCTTAGTCATTGTTGTACTGTTGGCTCCTCACAGCTTTGGGCAAAGAAAATGCACCTAATATTTGGCTAGTGCAAAAGTAATTGCAGCTTTTGTCATTAGCTTTAATGGCAAAAATCACAATTACTTTTGCACCAATTTAAAATAATATGTGAAATTATAAATATGTGATACATATGTGAACCAGTAAATGAATAAAAACTATATATAAATGATTATGTCACATATATTATCATACAACGAAAAAGAAACCTACAAGCAACAAAAAACTAATAATAATGTAAAAACATCTTCAATTTTAATAAAAAAAGGAAATAAAAATTAGACAATAGTGAAATGATTTTTTTGGTGCCTATTCAATATAGAAAAAATGAGAAATTGATAGATGTCAATATTGGTGCTTTTAAATAAATAGCTACTCTCATGCACTGCTTATTGAAGTATGAAATGTTATGTCATTTTCACCTGGAAATTTGGAAAAAAGTATCAATAATTTAAATGTGCATACTGTATGACCCAACAGTAAGAGAGCTAGTGATGTCTTCTACAGCTAAGCTTGGTTGTGAGTAAAAGGTAAACATTCATGGTGAATACATCATCGTGAATTCACACTGTGAATACAATACAAAAATTATGATAACTTATTCTTATTTTGATTCAGGTCAGTCTGAACAGACTGAAGTGAAATATAATTTCAGAGCAAATAAAGCTTTAAAAACTTAGGAATATTAAATTTCTATGCTAGGTTGCTCCTTTGAATGGTACAGTGGGCATGACGTTGTATCTGAAAGAAAGGAAATAAAAACCGAGCATTCTTCTTGGCTTTAAATTGACAATATTCACATCTTCACAAGAAGGTAAAAAGGTTTAAAGAATATCAATCTAAAGATGAAGCATAGAAAATTAAATATGGTATGGCTCCAAAAAAGAAAATAAATATAATTACCCTTGATGGTATAAAAGCAAAGGTATTGCTGAAATTGCGTGAGAGAAGGGGAAGAAAAGTAGAGATGCCTCTCTGAAGTATGCAGCAAATAAATGTGGGTTTAATGTATTATTTAAAGTTTCAAAGTAACTGATGGAAGACTTAAAATATAATTTTACAACAAACAATTGTGAGGAGGAAAGAGGAGTAAGAAAGCCAAATCTTGGCATCTTAGATAAGGATTTGACTTGGAGATACATTTGCATAGGAGCATTATTCAGAACCATGATGGTATCTACCACAAAAATTAAACTGAAAAATCGTTGTGAATGTTTGCCTCTGGGGAGTAGGCATGGAGTTTGGGAAAAATACAGTTGCTTTTTATTATCAATCTATTTGAGCTATTAATTTTTAAAAATCATCGGCAGATATTCTTTGATTAAAAACCAAGAGTGAGGTAAACTGTCCTTGATAAGATGTAAAATTTTAAAAAATATATTATTAGGTGAAAAAAAAACATTGCAGGTTTAGAAAAACTACCTACCTTTGAAATCCCCATATAAGCTTTCTTGTAGGTCCTACAAAAAATATACTCTAAACCTACAATTAATTGCAAAGTTCACTGATGGTGAATTATCGAAGAGTCAAATCACCTAGAAATCAGTTTACTAACAGAGTAAGAATGTCAATATTGAATATCAAAAGGTTAATGTAATAAAGAATATAATTTATGTGGGGAACTCTAGGAAGATATTAAATATGATTCAAGGAACTTTTTTTCTTAAGAGACTCTTCTTACTATGTTGCCCAGGCTAGTCTGGAGCATCTGTGCTCAAGTGATCCTCCTGCCTTAGATTTTCAAAATGCTGGGATTATAGGTGTGAGCCATGGTGTAGGGCCTCAAGAGATGTTTTTAATTCCTAAAATTGCATTACAAAAGTAATACACCCTGCCCATCTCATGTGGACAGGTGATCCCTAAGGAATTGTAACTTCTGCATGAGAATATGTTTGATATAGAGGTGGGTGAGAAATTCCCACTGGGTCAGCCACCCCCAAAGCCCACGGGTTGGAGAGCAGGCAGGCAAGAACCTAGTGGTAGATGATATTGAATGTGAGCCTAGGTACATATTCCATTACCCCACTATACTTCACTTGCAAAACAAAGTTTGTGAATAAAATCATAAAAAATTTGAAGATTACGACAACAGAACATTAAACCCTAATATGGGGTCCCTGTGAACACAGGGCTACATTAGTCCCAAATCCATGAAGCCTGCTCTGCTTATAGATTGTTTGCAGCCCTCCTGGGTTTGTTGTATCAGAGTCCCAGAATTAAGATCACATTTGTTGGAAAATATTTTAATAATAAACTAAGTTTTTAAATGTTCAAACAACTCATGGTTATACCAAGCACCCAATAAGCGTCAAATCTCATTAGCTGCCAGAGAATGAGTTAATTAAGCAAAATGCTTATGATCATGGGCAGTAAACTGACTCTGAAGTAGTTTCCATTAATAGATAGGTTTAGCTTTTGTTGCTGAATAAAAAACAGAATATCAAGAACATAATAGTTAGGTCTTGCTCTGTCACCCAAACTGGAGTGCAGTTGCACAATCACAGCTCACTGTAACCTCAAACTCCTGGGCTCCTGTCATCCTACCACCTCAGCCTCTCAAAGTGCAGGGGTTATAGGCACACATTCTGTTTTTTTTATCTTGAGGTAAGAGTCAACCAGCTGATGAGTCAAATGTGCTTTAGAAGTTTGAGTGACAAAGGTGGCAAACGTATGTTGGCTGTTCAGTAGCAGTCTCACCAAAGGCATTGCGGCTAAAGTACGCAGCTATTCATCTTCCTTATGGTTAAATTAGTTGGAAAATAGATGATATATTTCCAAAATAGTGTTATGGTCTGCCTCCTATCTGTGGGCCAAATAGACAGTGACATATTACTAGATTTATGATACTCACTTAGTCCAACAGTGCCACAAAGTGTTAAATGACCATCCCAGCCATTTTCAAATGGAACAAGCCAACAAGGAGAAATATTTTTCTTTAGATTTTTTAGAAAAACGTATTTTCATGTCAACAGCATGCAATTATTTGCTCCCATACACTTTGTACTTATAATAGCACTACAAGCAAAGCAAGAAGGAGCTGAAAGGAGAAATAACAATAAGTGTTCTTGATGTATTTTAATTAGTTGGGAGAAAAAAGATTTAAAGTAAAAGATGAAATTTCACTAGTTTGGTAGAGTTGAAGACACTATTAGGCAATGATTCAAAATTACCTTTTAAAAAGGAAATATTCAATTTTGCCTTCCAGAGATTGTATTTGGGCAATTCTAGGAAGATGCTAAATATTAAATGTGATGAGCCAACGTAGCAAGACCCTGTCTCTACAGAAAACAACAACAAAAAATAGTCAGGTGTAGTGGCTCATCCCTGTAGCCTCAGCTACAGTGAAGGCTGAGGTAGGAGGATCTCTTGAGCCTAGGAGATCAAGACTGCAGTCAGCCATGACTGTGCTGCTGCACTTTAGCTTGGGTGACAGAATGAGACCCATCTCAAAAAAACAAAATGAATTAAATTTAAAAAGTATGATGATGATATGATGAAACAAAAAGATTGAATTATTTTTAATCTCAACATTCTCCAAGCCAGTAGTTACTTGGGGCTGTTTAAAAGAAAACAACAACAACAACAACAAAATACCAGCACCCATGAAGAATGTATTTTCCTACCAAATCCAAGTTGATACTTTTTATCTTATGTATATGAACATGTAATTGTCATGAAAGGAAGAAAACTGACCACTTGCAATTTCAAGCAACCAAATTGTTTTTCATTTACAAATTTTATACTTAAACATTTATATTTTGCATTTGTAATACCAGGAACCCTATCTGAGTCTTTATCAACTTTAAAAATGTATAATGGGCTGGGTGTGGTTGCTCACACTTGAAATCTCAGCACTTTGGGTGGCCCAGGTGGGAGGATCCCTTGAGGCCAGGGGTTTGAGACCAGCCTGGACAACAGAGATAGATTCTGTCTCTACAAAAAAATAAAAATAATAGCCAGGCATGGTAGCATGTGCCTGTAGTCCCAGCTACTTGCAAGGCTGAGGCGGTAGGATTGCTTGAGCCCAGAAGTCGAGACTGTAGTGAGCCTTGATCGTACCACTGCACTTCAGCCTGGGTGATAGAGAAAGATCCTGTGTCTAAAAAGAAAAAAAGAAAAATACAATGATATCAAGGTAATTTTTCTGGATCTAAGAAATGTTAAAGATCTAAAGAGCCCATGATAGGACATATTAGGAAGTATTTACCAAACGAAATATGTGCTACAGTGACATTGTAATCGCCTTGCCACATTGTAATTTTATTATCCCTTTTGTCCTTTCTTACCAACCTGCCATACATTATATTAGAAAGTAGACTTTCTCTGTACTTCATCGACTTTATCTCAGAATAATCTTTTAAACATACTCATGTTAAAATGTTGTCAGTTGACAATGTCTGAACATATTTAACATTTGTCTGGAATGTCATAGCTAAAAGTCACTATGAATGGGCCGATGTGGATAGTCTTCCTCAAATTGCCCTCACAGAAGAGATTATTGCCCCTACATTCTGTTTGCAGCCTCATGCTGCATAAAGTATCTTAATGTTTATAAGATAAAGCAAACTATCTTTGAGGTCACACTAACCCGGTGAATAGGAAATCAGCTGAAAAATGATTCATCAGAAAACAAAATTTACCTGTAAATGTATTTGGATGGATTGATTGGCTCAGAGGAGGCAGTTGATGTATTTTACAAGGTCAATGTGTTATGCTATGGTAGATATCTCATTATCAATTCAGGTTGATGTGAAGTATTCATATTAAATATTCAAATTGTTATGTGCTTATGAATTGATATTAAGGTTTCATATTAAATATTTAAATTGTGATGTGCTTATGAAATATAATTTTATGAACTATATCAGAATATTGCTTTTAAATTGACAATAATAGCAGCCTGGTTCATTTTGGTGTAAGTGAAATTTCTCATACAGTATGAAAGAGAGTAGATAACAGAAAATTACAAAGCAGATTCATAAAGAATGATGGCAGGCTTTTTTCTTCTTACTAGAGATGAGCTGCTGATGTAGGAATTGCTATGGGCACTGGGGTGTGACTGATACAGAGTCTATTGCTGAAATTAAGAAGTGTTTAAATGGGGATAAGAGTACGTACATGATACAAAGAATGTAAAGACAGAAAAAGTGACATAAGCTCTTCGTTTTCACCTTGTAAGCAACTGATGGAGTCTTCTTTTTGTAAAACAAACAAACAAACAAACAAACAAAAAACGCTGTGGAATGAGCAGACCTTGAAGAGGTGCTGGCATGGTGGTGGTGCACTTTTGGCAGAGAAAGTATTGCCAGTAAATGAGAGTGTCTAAGGGAGAATCCTGCAGCGTGAATGATCAAGCATGATTACAGTCAAGTGACAGGTCTGCAACCAAGTGAACACATATAGGTACAGTGAGTGACTTTCAATTTGAGATCAAATTTGAAAACCTAGGGGACAGGAGAACATTTTCTCAATGTATTCTACTTTCCCAGTTCATTGGTACACTTATTTAGATTAAAGAATGTAGAACCAATCCAGGCCAAGGGAAAAACTGAAAGCTTGTGGTAAATAAAAGTAAGGATATGGCTACATGTTCCATGGTGTCATAGTAAAGAAGAGTAACGGTTGCAAGAAACTGCCATTGATGAATATATGTGCTCTGGTTTCTAGGTTAATGAGTTTCAGTCATGAGCAATACACTTCTGTGGATCAGCAAATAAGGGAAAAGTTGATCTAACAGGAGAAGAGAAAGAGACTGAAAGCTTTATCCCAATTAAAGATGTGAAGAAAACCTCTAAAACCTCACTGGAAAATTTATGTGAGGACATCAGGCCAGATACTTAGAAGGTCACTGGAATATGCAGGCTGGTAATCACTATTACCTAAGCATTGGATAATATCTGAATGTTCCTACATTCATGCCTGTAATGACAGGAATGTAAAGGTTAAGTGGGTAGGACTACGACTTTATTTTTTCAGTTGTTAGTATTTTTCGCCTTGGGAAGGACATTTCCATTATATTTTTCTGCAGAAAAAAAAGCCAAACATGTTAACGGCCTACAAAATGTTTACACTTTTAAAAATTATACTCATGATTTTCTGAGATGCAACACTGAAAATGAATGAGTTAAATTCATTTTGACCTGAGAAAGAAATCCATCTCTTGTAGCCGTGTGTAATAGGAGACACTCCCTATATATTTCATCTTCATAAATACCTTAGCTCTGATAAGACTTTATTCCATGGACCTTGAAGGCTGAATGCATTATAGTAAAGCTACTTTTGGGATAGAAATCTCTTGGTATCTAAATACACTGTCCTTGGAATTCAGGCCAATTAGGGATAGCTCCCAGTACATCTGCCAAATATATATATCTGAACATAGTGAAAAAGTAACATTTAAAATCAGTCAAATTATTTTTAAAATTCCTTTGCTTAATAGCCATTACTTACTCACCTTTTGTTTTTGTTTTTTCCTTCAACTACTAGAGTACTGTACTTTTGCTTTCATTCCTTCTATACATTCTGCCTTCATCCTTAAATTGTTCAACTCGATAGTGCTAATATTGGTAGATAATCTACGCTAGCTGCTGTTTCTTGTACAGAAGTTGGTTGATATCGCTGATTCACTTTTTATTATTTATTTTCTGTGTGTGTGTATGTGTGTGAGGGGATGGTTGATTTTTCTTTTTCTTTTTTTTTTTTTTTGGGTTTTTTGTTTGTTTGTTTTGTTTGTTTTTCTTTGATGGAGTCTTGCTCTGTCACCCAACCTGGAGTGCAGTGATGGAATCTTGGCTCACTGCAACCTCCACCTGCCAGGTTCAAGTGATTCTCCTGCTTCAGCCTCCCTAGTAGCTGGGATTACAGGCATGTGCCACCATGCCTTGCTAATTTTTGTATTTTTAGTAGAAAGGGGGTTTCACAATGTTGGCCAGGCTGGTCTCGAACTCCTGACCTCAAATGATCCGCCAGCCTTGGGCTCCCGAAGTGCTGGGATTTCAGGCATGTGCCCCCGTGCCCAGCCCGGAATGGTTGATTTTTGTCTATGTAAAAATTATATCTCTGGTTGGAATGAACAGGAATGGCATTCCACGGTCAGACTTAGGAATGCCATAATTTGTAGACCTCCCTTTGCTTATCATGTGCTATTCTTGTGTCTCAGGGCTTTTCCTGTGACACTGTGTTGTCTTCACCCTTTACTGCTCTCAGTGCATAATCATTGTTGACAACTACATTTATCATTTTTTGAAAAAAATGAGTCTTTCAGATGCCAGGAACACACATGTATGAAACAATTAAATTGAAGGCAGGACACCGGATGAATGACAGGGCTGTTACATACTAGAAGACATAGTTATATTTAGTTTTACCAGCTGTCTGAGGTACTTCTAAATGAGATGCACTTCCAATAGGAATGTTAAACTGTAGCTTTGCCTAGAGTTGAGTGATTTCACTAAGAATTCTTGTCCACAAATATCGATCATCACCTATTCTCACAAAGTCATCTTCACAATTAGTTATACTTGCCATGGGAATTAGTTGAAGCTACCAAAACCCTGATTGTGGATTGTTCTTTCATGAGCACACTACTTTCTCAAACAGAACAAAACCAAAAACTATGAAAGAATAATAATGTAAGCTTGATTTATAGCAACAGCAAAGAACTCTGGTAAAATACCTGTCAAAAACTAAAGATGATTTCCCTCTTACCACCTTCCTATCTCTGCATCATTGGCTTTAAAGATTTTATTAATATCATAAATTGCAAATTTAGTCCACTCTGAAATGATGACTTTTTAAATTCAAAGTGTCCTCCTTCCATGAGGGTGGAATGACTCTCATCAGGAATTATATGGACTTTGCCTAAAGTGGTCAAAATGTTCACCTAATTTACTCTCATCAAGTATACAGGTAAGAAGCTTCCTCAGGAACAGCAGAATATGGTTTACATTATGTTTCAAAAGAGTATTGTATTGCTATTTCCCAGTTATACATTGAACATTCTTGGTTTTATTTTCTGAGAACTCTGTGCCAGCTTCCAGTTCAATATGTGACCTGAGAAGTGTGAAGAGGAAGGTAAAAGTTGATAGAAAATATTGAGGTTCTTCAGTCCGGAAAAAGCCTTAAGCAGCACATCAGCACAAATACCATGCAGCAGTTTTCAACTCCATCTGCTTTGCTGGGAGAGACCTGAATCAATGTCCCTGGATTTTCACCAGGGCTAAATCTACTGTACTTCTGTTTCTGAGAAGATGTAATCTTTAAATGAGAATCAAGAAAAGCAAAATCAAAAACTATAGGCTGATAATAGGGGAAAATATGGATGAAATACCTTCCACAGACAAGAAAATTCCACAACATTCTAAAAGATGAAAAGCATATTCAAGAATATGGAGAGATGAAACCAAGTGAAGAAAGGTGAGACGAAAGCCTAAGGAGAGGGGATTAGAGCAGAGAGAGTTTGCTGACCTGACGGAATGACAGTGCTCGGGAAGTTAGAAGCTGGAAGTAGGTTGGAGGACAGGAGTGAAAAATGAGGTTGGAAATCAGGTAATGTGTTGAAGGATGACTATTTTACCCTTCAATTCCACTTTCGTATATTGTATACATGCAGAGCTATTGACGGCCAACCAGCCAGGGATATTTTCTTCAGGGAGCTGGGGAGAACTTAAGCATTTAACTGGAAGGAAATTTAAAAATTTATAATAATTGAATAACCTGAAAAGCACTACAAAAACCAGTGTGTTTGGGGTACCCCAGAATAGAGCCTCTCTCAGCATAGGATTTCCAGAGATTATGCTGGAAATAATGCTTATTTCCCTGTTAAAGCCTTCCAATTTATGCCCGTGTTCACAGACACCAAAAGTCCCTGCAACTCTGTTTTCCACTCTACATAATAATGCTTAAGTAAGCATTATTAATATTTTTTAAAAAAACTGTAGCATAAATAAGAAAAAATGGAAGAAACCAACAGGAAAATTTACCTCAGAGGAGATAAATATTATTCCCAGAATCATGCAAGAAGACATTGTATTGATAAGAATGCTGTTTCTAAACTCAGTTCTGAAATTATGATAAAGAATATCAGCATTCAAATTATTTGCAAACTCATCATGTTTCTCCTTCTGAATTTATGTGATTTTCTAGAGAATGAACATAAATGGATGGAAAGGACTTAAAGTAAAACTGAGACTCAGGAGATAGAACAAGGGTACAGCTCTTCTAATTTTAAGTATACCTACAATGATTTGTTTGGAAATGTTTGCAAGTATTAAAGAATAGGGCAGATTATGCCTCTATATATTGTGTAGTTTGTAAGTTACTAAAGAGCATAGACCATGTCTAATATCGTCTTATCTCCAGGGTTTCACACAGTGACTGTCACACTTTGCATAATCATTAGTAGTCCCATGAACATTAATTATTTGCCATTATGTTGTAAAGAAGGCATGCCAAACTTAAATTACTCTAGCCTAATAATCAAAATGTAAACAATCCCTAAATAATAATGGAAGCAGGACACTGTGCTTGTCCTTGAAAAAGTAAAAAAGTATAAATCAGAACTCAAGAAATTGACCATTTAGTAAGAAATCTGCTGAATTTTGTAGCAGATTTCTTTGTTTCATCTCTTTAGCCTGTCATGCACTCTTTAGTTAGTGACACTGTACCACACTGTGACAATGCCATTATCTTTCCTTCCCCCTCACCCACCCCATATGTGAACAATAGAATGCCTCTACTGGGCGCTTTATTCCTTGCAGTTTTTCATTCTCCACCCATCTCTAATTCTAGCTAGTCTCTGTCCCCTTAATCTGGCTAATTCCAAGTCATCATTTATATCTATCTTATTTTAGATGTTAACTTTCTTTGAAAACTTCCTATAGTCTAGATGGTCATACATAATTCATGGCATTTACAGTTTCAATTGCTTTTTCCTGAAAACATTACTCCACTGCTCTGCAAGCTCCCAGTTATCAGCATTGTTGTCTACGTTGCTTATGCTGTACCCTGAGCACTTAGCACAGTGGCTGTCACAGGTAAGGGCACAATACATATATATATATATATATATATATATATGTATTGTGCATATATATATATAGTGTGTATACATATATAGTGTATATATATATATATACTGAATTGAAATTAAATGTTCTCATTGGATCTCACATACTAACAAAAAAATGTCCTATTGAATAATCACACGTCTGCAAGTATATATCATTGACAAAATATGTTGGTGAATGGAAGTAAGCATAATGCTTTTTACTCAGCTATTTATTGCATGAACCATACAATTGTCAACTCAACCATGACTCTTTTTCATGAATATACACATAAGAACACCAGGGCCCCGACAGTCAATTATTTATGTGGTCCCGACTATCAATACAGTTTGCTAATGCTAAATTTATTATGTAATAACCTGCAATGATAAATAGGAAAAACATCATATTGACCTTCTAAGTATCTGATTCTATCATATCCTTACCTTTTGCTTGTACTTTAATGGATATTTATGAAACTTATGGGAATCCGTTCAAAAAATACCACACCAAGTTTTCCATGAAGCCACTGGTTATTATTTAGCAATGAAGATTATTGTTTATGCATTATTACAAAATGCTGGCTATGGGATTTTCTCTGCAAGCAACCCCATAACCTTGCACCTATTCTTTCAATCATCTAGCTTTAGATCAGGCTAAAAAGCCAGGGTCTAAGCAGCCATTTAAAAGGAATAATGACCTACTTTTTATTTGAGTATCTCAAGGCAAAGATTACCTCTCTTGAGATCTAACCTTCTCCACTTTACAGCATGCCACTGGATGAAATATTCAGAGAAACTCTCCCTCTTGTTTTCTTTTCCTTTTTTTTAAACAACTTTTGCCAGATAAAAAAGAAAATAGAAGGCATAACCATCAAGAAGTGTTGGGTGGAGATGCATTGGAAAAAGCAGAGAGAGAGAAGGAAAGGTTTCAAAGATAAATGAACTTCCCTATGTCAACTATTTGGCTGTAAACATTTTAGGCAGCTGGTTGTGTAAGAATAATGTGCATTAAGCAAGGGGTGTATGTAAGAAAAATATGCTCCTTATCTAATAATTTACAAATACAGAATGTCAACAGCATTCCCTTATCTCCAAATTTTTGTTCTTCACTCATACATTCCTCCATTTGTCACATGTGCCTACATATTAACCTTAAGCAAAGGTTATATATGCATACCCACGAATTAATAAAAGCAATGAAACAAGGTAAGATTTTATGCATACTCCGCATAGAATACTACCAATTAAAATAAAACAAAATCCTTATCTGTACTTTGTCAATAAATCTACAAAGATTTCTTAATGTTAGAATGTTGTATTATAAAGTATGATAAATAATGTTGATATTAGTGTTGTTTAGTAGAAAGCCCAAAGCATTTTATGCATCTAAGCAATTTATATTTTGCAAACATTTCTCCCTCTGTCTGTACTTAGATATACATCTGCTATTCCTTCATATTAATAAGCATTAGGGTAAAAAGGTCTCAGTGGATCAAACGGAAAACTTTCAGTTTCTTATCCCTTTTCACCTCATAATACTTTAATATTTTTTTCTGTGTTATTCTACAGACAGATCAAGACATAATTTCTAAATAGGTGACCTTAGGTACAGTGTGTTTTTGTATACGGCTGATCTTAAGAAATAAAACAACATTCATTTGTCTCTAAGTTTATCATTCTAAAAAATGTTAACATTCATATAAAAATCATCAGTCTCGGAAAGGTATGTGTTAAGCATAACTATCTAAGAAAGATCATCAAAACAAATGATTACTAGGACATGCTAAGTTCTCTAACAACTGTATTTCAGATATATAAATTATTCCACTGGAAATAAATGTAATGAAGAATGAGGGATCAAATACAAAACAAGATGAAAGAAGCCAAGAAAAAAAATATAGACTCACCAAGAAAGTATTTTTAATAAAGGTTAAATATATTAAAAATTATATTAAATGCATATTTGGGATCCAATATTTCATCCAAGAAATTGGAGTGACGATTTAACTTGCTTGAAATAAGATATGAATAAAAATATACGGATAGACCCTTTTTTCTCCACATTAAGTGGAAATTTTTTTAAAAAAACATGGAACTCTAGCATTAAGAAATTAAATCTATATGGAGTGTTATATATGATCATGTGATATGCACATTCATCTTTTACACAATAATGCATTGAAGCTTCTATGTCTAATCCCTATAAAGGAATAGCTGTGAAAAGAGGTTAACGTGGAAATTTAATAATAATATTTCCTATATATTTATACATTCTACAAGTTAGACTTCACTTTTATACTCATTAATTAATTTAACATTCATACTAACCCTGGAGGGAAGCTTTTATGATACCAATTTTACAGATGAATAAACAAGTTGAGGAAAAAAGTAACTTGTAGATTACAGAGGTCAAAATGGTGAAGAGTCTTTCTCTTGACTCATCGTTCAGCATTCTCTATTTCCCAGACGCTAAAAAGTTTAATAAAAATGAGAATTTTACAGTTATGTTAAAGTTTTGAGAAATTCACATATGTGTGAAATTTGCATGTAAATTGAGAAATTTACCACCACTTTGACATGACAATCTGAGCTTCACCATTATGTGATAATTTGAGCTATAGGTTTTCTGGTTCATTTGCTTTAGTGATTGGAAGAAATGTTTTAATCTTAATTTATATTTTTTTCTTAATTTTATTGTTGAAAATACTGTACTGGACACAATCTCATATAAACCTTTTTGTCATGTTCAACTGGGTCTATTTAAACCCTTCTGACTCATTTTCTGTAATTCCTAGTTAGGAAATTTTGAAAATAATTTTTTATTTTAAATAAAAACTATGTCATCTATTAGATGTGCAACTCACTAGGGTGTCAGTTTGGACAGGTGATTTTTTTGAGAAAGAGTTTCACTCTTGTGGCCTAGTCTGGAGTGGAAGGGCACGATCTCGGCTCACTGCAACCTCCACCTCCCGGATTCAGGTGATTCTCCTGCCTCAACCTCCCAAGTAGTTGGGATTACAGGCGTGTGCCACCGCACCTGGCTAATTTTTGTATTTTTAGTAGAGCCGGAGTTTTACCATGTTGGTCAGGCAGGTCTTGAACCCCTGACCTTAGGTGATCCACCCACCTTGGCCTCCCAAACTGCTGGGATTACAAGCATGAGCCACCACTGATTTTTTACATACTTCCTTATTATTTTATAATTTGTAGACCAAATTTTTTTGAAAATTTCAAACTTTGAGAAATAGAAAATGCCTGAGCTAAGAAGGCACTCTTTTCTAGCTATTGCCAAATGGATGAAGTCATAAAATCCAGGAAGCAGGTAAGCCATGGAGTATTCACTTGTAGGTTTTTCCACGGGACAAAAATCTTTTTGAGATGGTTGGTGCTAAAACTACTCCGTTTACCTTGTATGTAGATTTCAAAATACACACAACCATTTAAAGTATATTTGATACTCTGTTTACTTTGAATGAACCAATAAGTACCAATGAAAATAAAACATGACTTAGAAGCCCAGAGCCAAAATAACTTGGCTATCTGTATTATAATGAAAGATTTAAAAATCCCGCCTTTCTCTTCGTTTCTTCCTCTTTTTTCTTTTTTCTTTTCTTTTCTTTCTCTCTCTTTCTCTCTCACTCTTTTTCTTTTTGTTTTAATGGACTTCTCAAGAAGTACTTATCAATGAATGCTTGTGTTACCAGTCTACCCTTCAGCAGTTATAATTAGACTTTTATACCTTCATGAAAAATCTTTGTATTGGAATCTGAATAACATATATCATTACCTTTACAAATTATGTTGGCTGTAACTCAGAAATAAAATGCATCTTGATTAAAGAAGCCCATGTGATTTAACAAAAGTGCCACATTCATGAAGGCAATTCGTTAACAGATATTAGGATTTATGCCTGTATTTGTATTTCCCGAACAATTACTTACATGAAAAAAAATACATACAAGAATTGTCCAAGTCTCAAAACTGCCTCTAAATCATAAAAATTTTCCCTCCCTCCCTCCTTCCCTCCCTTTCTTCCTGCCTGCCCTACCCCCTCCCTCCTTCCATTCCTTCCTGTGACAGAGTGGGCTACCAGGTGATCCCACACTAAGACACCTTGCAGGGCTTTTCAAATAAATATTGCTTTATTTAATTGTCACAAACCAGCTGTAAGACATTACTAAGACTACCTCACAGTGATATACTCATAGTTGTACATATGTATAGCTTAGGAAGCAGTAAAACCATGAAGGAAGCTATGCTGGTAACCATGAGGAACACAGAAATCAACAAGAGGATATTCTAAATAGAATATTTAGATCTAGATCTAGATCTAGATCTAGATCTAGATCTAGATCTAGATCTAGATCGAATTTAGGTGGTCAAGGATGCTAACAATCATAAACTTTATAACCACCTATATATACCCATTAAGAAAGCCTAATTTATGCTGGGCACAGTGGCTCATGCCTGTAATCCCAGCACCTTGGGAGGCTGAGGCAGACAGATCACTTTAAGTTGGGAGTTCGAGACCAGCCTGACCAATATGGAGAAACCCTGTCTCTACTAAAAATTAAAATTAGCTGGGCATGGTGGTGCATGCCTGTAATCCCAGCTACTTGGGTGGCTGAGGCAAGAGAATCGCCTGAACCCAAGAGGCGGAGGTTGCAGTGAGTTGAGTTCGTGCCATTGCACTCCAGCCTTGGCAACAAGAATGAAACTCCATCTCAAAAAAAAAAAAAAAAAAGAAAAGAAAAACAAGAAAGCCTAACTTATATATAATTTTGATCTAACTAATTTGAACAAACACATACAGACAAGGCTCATTAAAAATAAATGAAATGAAGTAAACATTTAGCAAGAAAATATAGGTCTTTGGATATTATTTGGTAATAAAAATACCCTGATTGGATAGTAGTTGGAGCCAATGTGAGGTGTGTGCAAAGGCTGAGTCTATGAGGTATTTGGCTCCATGACATAGCAGTCAGGCAGAAAATATTCTCTCAGAGAAGTGAGACCATAGCCATAGACACAAAACCCCTGTTGCCATTGAAGCTGTGTATCAACTTGGGATAGAAAGAAAATACATATGTAGATATATATTTCATTAAGAAGACTTACTATCTTTTGATTTGGTTTACTTATTTGTGAATTTCTTATTTAATATTTGGAGAAAATATGACTGTGGGTCAAATTCACAATGTGTTCCTGAATAGCAGAACATTAGTGAGGACTGGAGGAAAGGAAATTGTTATTCCAATTAAGCAAAGGGCTCACCATTTTTTTCCACCCATGAGACTTGGTTATTTTACTTTGAGGAAAATACAGAATGTAAAAATAAATTTATGAAACTAGATTTATTTCTCTTTACAAACAATGATTTATGCTATATAGAAATCGTTGTCCTTACATGTGCAAAATAATGTCATTGTTTACTACAATACTGAGCATGTTAGCTTTTTACATCATGACACATTTTATGCTGTTGAGAAAGAATCTTTGGTTTTTTTCTTTCTTTCCGACCTGCCCTGTGCCCTCCAACCTCTTCATTTGGGCTTTTTCAACTTAGGGGCATTGCTTTTTATTTTTTGAGTTAGTAAGGATGGCCGGGACAGCCACCTCCTCTTTTTTAATTTTTAGAAAATATTTAAGTATTTTGGATTGGATAACAACAAACAGAATATTGCCTATTATGTTTTCATCAGTGCTAACAGAAAAGTTTCCAACATTATTTTCCCATAGAAACAGTGTTCCAAATAGTTCTTAGAGCTTTAGCATAGTCCTCAAATGCCTACTTACGCCAAAATATATTTGAAGTATCTTACCATTTAAATGTCATCTAGAACAGTTTTTCTCAAATGTGAATAATATATAGAAAGTCTCAAAGAAAAGCAAAGTTTTTCAAACTCACCGGGTTCAGCTACAATATTTCTTAGTCACCTTTTACTTAACCATCTATAAATATAAAACTAGGATTAATTTTAACATAGTATATAGTGCTTACAAAATCAAAAATAACAGATTAAATAAAAACAAATCAACAATGACAACTAAATCTAAACTAACTCTAACTTAAAGTGACAAATGATGCTGTTTACATGAAACCATACTGCCCTTCTGACATAAATATGGTGCTATATAACTCTATACATGTTTATGTACTAAATGACCCAATTGCCCCATATGTCATTTTTCTGAACATTTCAAATTATTATTGATAAAGCACATTTTGAAATTCTTTTCCTTCATTTGATATGGATGGAACATGATAAGTCCACATCGATTAAGATGCAATGTATGGTACCAGAACAATCACAAATGCAAACAAAAATGTAGGCATCATAATTAGCTGCCCATATTTTAATGTAATATATTTAGATTTTTGTTGACATAAATACAAACATAAAATAAAAATTATCATAGTGAATTTTTAAGCTCAAAATGTCTAGATCAGTTTTGAAAATGCTGATTTAAAACACCATTGTGTGTGAAAATGCATTCCAAATCTAAAAATAGATGATCGAAATTGATTTGCCCCACATTGGTATCTCAGGGATGGAACTGGGCATAGTCCCAGTGATGGACCCTGTCTCTTGATAAGTTGATACCTGTCAAACTTAAATGTCCTCTATACCCAATCTTTCCCAATTGATACCACCACATGTTAGGGTACGGCTTCCAGATCCAAGCTATATCATTGCCTGATTTCCTGAGGAGTTGGCTCATAAATTACATGTTCATAGGACATGTATTCCTGTTCTGGAATCAAATAATTATAAAGACTTAGAAGATTGATTTTAAAGTATAATCTTAGTCCTCTGAGTTTAGGTCAGAAAAAGTCCAAAACATTCAGTCTAAGTAGCTGTCTATTCTCACCAAAAAAAGACACACTGTAAAGGTCATTCAGGGAAAAGATAATGGAAAAGAAAAAATGTAAAATAAAGTTGAAAGGCAAAATAAGAAAAAATAAAATAAAACCAACAGGTAGCTGATGCTAGCACTCAATTGTTCAGATGTCTAGGCTTGTCAATTGACTGTTCACACAAAAATCAGCATGAAGGATGTTACTTAGGGCTGATATTGCCTCATCAAGTAGTACCAGGTCAGCAATATCTAATTTTTGCACCACATGAGACAGTCAGAATAATGTGTGAGCTGAATATTTTACAGAAGCTTAATATGAGTCTAAATGGAGGTATACAACCTAAGGAGTTCCACTCCCTCCCTCCAGTGACAGCTCTGTATTAGCCCACAAAGGCCTGCCCATGTACAAAGATATGATTTTTTTCCAGTTCCATTTTGTCTATGCCACATCAGAAATGGCATACATATCAAAGTGCCATTAGGAAGTTTGACTGACTGCTTTTTGGTGTGGAAAACTGTTTAATATAAAGAAACTAACCATCTGCTCAAAATACTCAGTTTTTTTAGCCAATATAATTTAGCTCAGCTTGTCCAGCAGTCACCAGAATATTCAAAACAAACCTGCATAAATTTCACAACTTCTCCCAAAACACGGTTATAAATTTTTCCATTAGCTACATGTGCAAAAAGGATTGTGCATACACACACACGTGCACACACTTACATGCATATGTATATATACATGAACGACAGTCTGACAGTGACCATACAGAATTTCATAGATGATATCTGAATCAAGTGGTCATCTTATTGGGCCCAAATATCTCACAGTCTATCCCATCTCAAATTAACTCAATGAAAACCCACAGTCTTTACAGGCATTTGGGGTTAAGTTTTAGCCTGATTTGTTTGCTTTCTCTCTTTCATTTCCACATGACACAAGTAGGATTTGTTCCCTTCTGTGATTTGCTGATCAAACTCTGGCTTTTGTCTGGTTCAAACAAAACCTTGATATGCTGTCTCTGTCCTCCATCGCCTCCACCATTTCTCTGTGCCTCCCTCAAAGGCTGCCGGAAAGTCATGGAGCCAGGCCTCAGGCACTATTCCTCCTCTGGAAGGATATCCAGAGCTACAAAGGGCTCCCATGTGTGGTTAAAACAGAACACAGAGTCACTTTAATACCATAAAAATATTTCCGTGGTCTTTAGATTGGCTTAAACTTATTGAAGTCAAGTCTTTGACTCATGGGCTCAAAAATCAGTTTTAATCTTGTTTTAAGGTGGTAAATTATCCTGATTAAAAATCAGTGATTGATCTGACACATTGTTAATTGTAGAAGATTAATTATACCAGGAATAAGAAAAGGAGAATGAAACCAATCCAAATTCACATATGATAGATGATGTATTCTTCACATTAAAAGTACTTCACAGGATGGATTATCTTCGACCACCTGTCAGACCATATATGAAAGCCTCTGGCATCTAAGGGCAATGAGAAAAACGGCAGGCAACATCATATAAAAAATGCCAGCAGGAAGTAAATTTGTTGTGGCAGCAAGTGTTACATCCTTATTATCAGGAGATATTACCTACAAGTCATCACTATAAAGCCCTTTCCATTTGCCATAATTTGTTATAGAATAAAGGGGTTTGTGATAACCACAACCAGGTGAGGCACAGCATGGAAGATGTGCAACCCTGTCATTCTAAAATGAAAATAATTTATTGCCTTAGTGTAGTCGATTCAAATAATGGTTGAAACCCACTGTCCGACTGCATTATTATCAGGCCACAGCCTTTTGCACAGATATACGTCTGCCAAATTGTTCTCTATCACTAAAATGTGTGTTTATGATTTATGAGAGCTGAATGAAATACTCAAAAAGAATTACCTTCTCAACAATATTGATGCTAAGTTGAAACTGAAATTACTTAATGCTATTATATGTGAGGGTGGCAGTGGAAAGATACTATTTCTCTGAAATCTAAAGAGACAAGCTAATAAAAAGCTTTCATCCAGCTTTAATTGAGACTGCTTGTACGCTGATGGAATCTGCTAGTTAAATCACAGCTCTAATGAAGATTTAGTTCCCAAAGTCTGTCTTCTCGCAACATAAGATTTTCTAAAAATTCAAAAGTGCCCTGTCATGTGGCATATGCTGTGGTAAATACTTTTTATTATACTCAACAGAAAAGTAAATAGACTATTTAAATAAACTCCAGGCAGTTGGAATCATACACCTGTCTCTTTGCCTACTTTTCTGTTAAAAGAAATTGCCAAGTTTATAAATGAGAGCAGAGCATGCGGCACTCTCTATAAACACAGTGTGCCTCTGGGATTCAGGTGAGAGCTAGCTTTTGAAACATTTCCAATTATAACACTCCTTTACAGGTATAAATTGGACTTGTCTTCATACCTCTGGAAAATACAGGCAAATAGTCTACTTTGTAGACCTAAGCTTCATTAAGTTTCTTTTCTTTACCCTTTCTTGTTTTCACATTCTTAAGTTTTTGTCTTTGGAAAATCACAAGTAAATGAAACAGAAGGGAAGAGCTCCTTTTGATAATAAATGAAAAATAATATCAAAATGTGACACTGCACCTCAGAAATGGATTTCATTTCCAAGAACGCTTCAGCTTTGCCCTAATACACTGTTGTATCTGGCCACCCCCTGAGTTTTCATTGACAACTCCCTGCATTTGAAGTGAAATCTCTACCCCCTGCTTGGCAAGTACTGTACTGACTGTGCACTCAAATGTCTTACTGAGCTGAGAGGTACAAAGTGCAACCTGGAATACCTCCGTGATAATACTTGAGCAGATGAACACGCTCTCTGGAATTACATGGGGCAATTTGTGTGACATATAGTTTCCTGTCTCAAGTGCCAGATTATTTTTTGTGACACATTTGTGATTGACTGATTTAATTCAGTCCCAATCGATATGGAGAATTATATACATTGTTAAAATAGTGCTTCAAATTCTTGTCCTTTTAAATAAGAATAAGTAGCCAGTATGTTGCATGTATTATCCACAAGCCAAGTAAATAAAATTAATTTGAAACAAAGGATATGATTATTTAACAAAAATAATGAAAATAATCCCTGAAAAACTGCTATGTTTCAAACATTATCTAACTTCTAAGCATGGATATGACACTGTTTGCAGATATGCAAAAGAAAATTAGCTAGCTGGTTATACCTATGTATGTCAATGTATGTTCCTCAAGAGTTGTATGTGAATTAATATTTTTTGAAATATATCTTTACCCCTTAAATACCTGTAATAATATTCCACATTCTTACCTTTTAAATACTAGTAATAATATGGTACATTCTCACCTTAACCTTGAATTTAAAACATTCAGTTTCCAATGAATTTCATACACAGATGACCTCATTTACTCATTGCCATGCCTGTGAGGTTCAGAAATGATCATTTCTATTCTTTTAAAGAAACTCTTTGCTAAACCATTTCCCGAAATCCAAAATCACTTAGCAAATTAAAGATTCTTCAATTTATATTTTTTACATATAAATATATTGAAAACATATAATTCTTATAATAAATATAACCAAAGTACACTTGAATAATTGCATTAACGTGTACATTTTCAAATAATTCCTTTGTCAATAGTCCCTTTATAAAAACCTTCTCAAATTATCTAAATTTGAGCACTCCATCTGTTTCTTGCTGGGAACCTGACAGGTCCAAAAACTATTCCTTAAGGTAGATTGAGGTGAGAAAAGAGAAGGGAGCGGACTTGCAGGGACATGCTTTTGGCAGCTTCTTGACTTGGTGTATTCATCCTAGATTACATCCTGAGAAAGTGTAAAGGTGGTCAGAAAAATAGTGAGCAAGGCAACCAATACGGTTCTTCTTAAAACACATTATCTTGGCTATATTCATTTATCCAGTCCACAAATATTCACTGAGCTCTTTCTCTCTAACAGGCTTACAGGACAAATGCACTAAGGAGTTTTCTTTCTCTTTTTTCCCTCATGCAACAGAAACATGTATAATAGATTCTACCAACACATAGGCAGAAGCTGAAACAAAATATTAGAGAGCCACTCAATCTCCCAGCAATGAGTAAGAATGGAGGAAACTAACCGTTTGAAAACAGAGAAGGCTGTGTATTTTCCCCCTATGTTAGTGGGATGAGAAAAGGAGAATTGAATTTTACAGTTTGCTGCAAAATTAGATGGTGTCACCTAATCAAACAAGTAGATAAGAATGTCCCTTGAAGGATAACTAACTTTAGGTGTCAGTATAAAAAGCATGAACAATTTCTCATGGATAATTTCTAGTATTTACGGGACTTATTTGCTGCTTATATTTATTCTTAAATAATAATTTGATCATCACTTTTTCTTTATACATAATACATTTATGTGCAGCAAATTTCAGAACTGAAAAATGATCTGATCAGATGAAGTCTCAACACTTCAAGATTTTTGCCATTTTAATAAAAAAACTATTGACAATTAAAACAGGAAATATAGTATGTGAGAAATTCATGAAACCATTATTTGGATGATTAAAATTAGTATTCATTATGTTTATAATGCAGCAAGAAGAAATGGAAGTAGGCCCCACTTCTACAGACATGCTTTTATTCTAATATGTTGAACAGTGCAACATAATAATTAATCATAATTATTTGAATGATGTCAACTTTTTTCTATAGACATGAAAACTAAAAATCTGGCCATGATCAAGAACAAATATGTGTATGTGATTGGAAATGTTTTAAAGAAAGAGTGATTGTATCTTTCTTCATACCTAGAATAATGGATGTGAAAAATGGGTCATATTTTACATCACTTCTCTGTGCAACAAAATTATTTTTAGTGATAATCATGAAAAAAGAAATAACAAAAAATTATAGTTAAAATTTCTTACTAAAATGTTTTATATAATCAAATCAGTACAAAAAGTAATAATTGACACTATTACTATTAATTTTTTACAGGGAATATACATATTAATAATAATAATAATAAAAACTAAAAATAGCATTAGTTTCTTTCTTCCAGCCATAATTTCCACAAATTTGTCAATAACTTCATATATTCACATCCTACTAAAAGATGATTAGAATTTTCCATCTATATTCACTGTTAAATTTTTATTAATTTCTAAAAGTTTCTTTCTCCTGAAGTAGCATGTATATAAGTGGTTAGAAAAAGTCCTTAATATACATATAACTATGGCAGAGATTAGTTAAAATCCATTTGACAATAATCAGAAATTACCATGCTATTCTTGATTTAGCTTCTTCAAAGCCTATTCCGGGGGCTTCAAAATTTTAAACACGAAATCTTCAAGTGGTCACAGAGAAGAGTAGAATAGAAGAAACCCACATTCTTTCCTTCATCTCGACAATTTCTGTGCCAGTATTGCTTGCTTCATACCTACTGTCTAATGAAGGAACATATAGCACATTCAAGCTGCGCTTGAAGGAAGCTAGAATGATTCAGAGCCAATATGAACTTACTCTTGAAATGAACAAATGTAGTTGTGTCTTATTGAGTGACTGAGAGTTCTCCATGTTAACTTCCATAGAGATTACAATATTTATTAAAGGAAAAGGCATAAAATTGGATCATTAGAAGCCTACACTTACATTATTAAAACTCTGCAGTAACTATAGCAATTGTTTAGAACTCCAAAAAGAAAAAAATATATTTTTAATGGAAGCATATTTTGTCATTGACATTGCTTATAATTGCTAGCATAGAAAATAAAAAGTAGGCTAACTTTTAGCCAGTTTTCTTACTGTTCGTAATGGATTTTAATTGTCTGTAGGCTGTGCCTTTCCTTCTTGCATGCATCTGCTGACTCTTCCCAACTCCCTGCCCTTAGTATGCCAGTGGTGTTCATTATTCTTCAATATTGACAATGTTAACTAGCTGATAAAAGATGAAAAAAAGTTCCTAATTATAGTAATGTCTAAATCTTTTTTTTTTACTACTTTAATGATACATTTTAAAGTCAAGTCAAAGAATCTTATAGATACTCTTTAATTAATTCTCAAACATCCCTATCTGTATAGTTGGGACTTGACTAATACTGAATCTATATATTAAAGAAGAAACTGTTATAAGAAGGTAAATCAACTTCTCCATGCTGTGCAACAAGCCATTGTTAAATCTGGATTGGATTCTGGGCTTCCAGCTCTGAGGTCCATGTCTAACTAGAGCTTTCACTCCATCTCATGAAATTCTACTATCTTAAAAAATCTAACTCTGCCACTAAACTGACCCTCCCATGAATAATATATTCATAAAAACAAATTTTTGGAGCCTCTTTGGTATAGGAAAAATTAGAAAATACCAGCAAGAAAAGACAGTTAATATTTTAACATCTGTTAAGTTGTGAATGAGATGGAATTTTTAATTAAAAAAATACTGAGAATAATTAATCTATTTTGCTCTAGTCGGTCAAGCAATTAAATTTATTGAGCATTTTCTACATGCTAGGCAGTACACTAGGCATTGGTGAAACGTTTAAAGAATAAATAGTTTTCTTGCCTACAAAGAGTTTACAGATTTGGGGTTGGGAGTTAGGAGCCATAAACACACCAAAAATGTGATAACAAATAACTTTACTAAACAGTATTATAAAGAAACAAGTAATGTGGTAGTTACGTGGTAGATGTAACTGATGGACCAGTTACTTGTTTAGGGTAATCAGAGGATAATGTTCAAGTTTCATCATGGAAGATGAATGGAGAAGCCACGAAAACATCTGGGGAATGAACATCATGAGAAGAAGCAAGATCAATGTCAGGGGCCTTGGGAGAAATAAACACCAGAGAGCACGAAGGGTAATGGAAAGATATGATAGTGGAGCCACAGGCAAAAACGCATAGAATCATATGTCAAGTTTGGATTTTATGCCAAGTGAAATAAAACACAATTACAAGATTTTAAGCAGAGAAACAAAATTATGTGATAGATAATTCAGAAAGACCAGTGGTAGCAATATGGACCATGAGCTGTAGGAAGTGAGGAGAGAAGACAGGGAGAACAGTTGGGAGGCTGTTTATGTAGTCCAGGCTGGGTACAATGATGGTGTAGCTTTCAATTTTAGCTTTGGAAATGCTGAAACGTGGTCAGCTCAGGGTGGATTTGTAGAGATTCAGCCACCAGCACTTACTGATAGCAAGGGTGTGAGGCAAGAGGGTAGGGAAGAATCAAGGATATATCTTAGGCCTTATCCTGTAAAGGTGGTGTGTGGTTGTCCCATTTGCTAAAATGAGGAGGGCTTCTGGAGGGCATACGATTTGGAGCTTGGATGTCTAAGTGCTTTCTGGAACTGTTAGGTTTGGAAGTCTATTCTTTATACAAGTGAAGACCTTGGTGAGGCAGTGGATATTCAGTCTGATTTTAAGAGATGGGGTCCAGACTCCACATCTAAATTTGAGGAATTCAATGTGACATGCAGTGACATGAACTAAATGGTATCGCCTATGGAAAGAATGAAGCAAGAGAGAGGATAGCTAGGAGGAAACAAGCTCAGGTAATTGAAAATTATGAAATATTTTGGTCAAGGCAACCTAGCAAAGGTTAGAGAAACTAGAGGGACACAGACAACAGGACAGACTAATGTCATGTCATGGAAGTTTAAACAAGAAAACATTTCAAGAAACAAGGAAATGTACGCTGTTTTAATTGCGGCTGACAAGTCTAATAAGACAGGGACAGAGACCTGACCACCTACTTGGGTAAACTCTGGACTGTTTTCATTAACTAGAAAAATGATGGGAGCTAGAGCCTAATTAGACTGAATTAAGGAGACAATGGGCAGTGACCAAGAACATTCATATAGTATAGACAATATTTTTAAAAATACGGCTAATTCGGAGATCAGAATAATGGGAGTCCAGAGGTAAAGGGTGCATTGTTTTTCTTTAAGATGGATGATATTAAGGTAGTTTTGTGCATTGAAATGAAAAACTCCGCAGAGTTAGGAATTGGTGCTTAGAGGGTAATTGCTGGATTCAAATACTTGAGAGAAGAGAAAATATAATGTCTAGGACAAAGGGCAGGGCTGGCTCCAAAGGCATCTTCTTTAGCTGTAATGGTGGGAAGGCTGAGGAGTTGAATGGAGATAACGAAGTAAGCTAGAGAACAGAGTTAACATAAAGAGTGCAAAGGTGAATTTATTAAAAAGTACAATCATGGGAATACTTGGCAGTATTGAGGGCTCAGTTGAGATCTGTGATGATAAATTTTGAAGTGAGTCCAATCAACGAGGTTTTGTACTTTTTTTTTCAAGTTATAACTAGTCAGCTGCTTTGGTGCAGGCAAAATTTAAGACAATTGTCTTAAATTGTCAAGTGATGGTTCTAACAAACGGAGAAATTGGAGATAAACTTAAGCATGATTGGAAGTGAGTATGGATACTGATCAAGAAAGGAATCTAGGGCTGAATGAGGAGGAAAGGAGGATGCAAAGGGGAACCATGGTCAGCATGGTAATACTTAAGTAGAATGCTTCCATGTGTGAGAATCAAGCCACCTTCATTCATATAACCATCTTACAGGGAGAAAATGGATCTGGTTTGAATAGATGTGTGTGTGTGTGTGTGTGTGTGTGTGTGTGTGTGTGTGGCTAGGTGTGTATAAACATCTCTAAGAGGACTAGCCAAGATATTTGTGTGTGTCTCTGTGTATATACATCTCTAAGAGGACAAGAGATGCTTGTGTGTCTGTGTGTATACACATCTCTAAGAGGACTAGATAAGAAATTTGTGTGTGTCTCTGTGTATATACATCTCTAAGAGGACTAGACAAGAGATGTGTGTGTGTGTGTGTGTGTGTGTGTGTGTGTCTGTGTGTATATACATCTCTAAAAGGACTAGACAAGTGGGAGGGGGAAGAAAATGAGGGATGGAGGGAGAGAGGGAATTTAAAATAGAACTGTATTTATTTGAGGCAGGGATCTATCACCAAACAAAAGAGCAGTAATGAAACATACAGAGCACTTTTAGGTCTGTACACTAAAATAATTTTTTTAAAAAGTTCTCAAACACTGTACCTCATATTCTTATTGAAAAACAAAACAGAACAAAAAAAAACAAAAACAATGCATGATATAGACACGACACAAATTATGGAGTGTCCATGGTGAGAATCTACTTCATTCTTCTTTTTTCGTATATGCAATTCACCATACTGGATTATGTATAAAACAAAGCAAACTACTCTTTTCACATAAATTGCATTCAAATATTTATATTTTTCGAAGAAAGTTTTGATAACCTGGTGTCAGTGATTACCTGTGAGTCAGTGTACAGCAAACAAGTTTTTTTATCTTAATTGTTACAATACTGAATCTGCAAATTTTAATACCTCTGAAGAAGAAACTAAATAGAAATCTACCTCAGAAGATACTGATGTGACTTTTATGTTGCTCATCTTCCTGTTGATAGTATATTGATTATTGCATTAACATCACATAAACAGCAAAGCATTATAATAAAATAATTTTCTCCTTAAGTGAAACAGTTGATGTAAAAGCTTCATTGTGTGTGTTTTGGTGTGTGCATGCATATTTGTGTAAGTGTGTTTGTGTGTTAACTTTCTTTGTGGTTACAAAGTAGACAAAGACTCAGAATACTTGTAATCTTGTAAAACTAGATACAGCATGTTAAATGTTTATCGTTAGAACATGCCCAGTGGCAGATGGTGGCATGCCATTTTAGAGCCACCTAGAGGCACAAAAATCGTCCCATGTTTCCCATTTTGGCAGAGACACATGCCACTTTGGCAAACTTTAGAAAATAACTAAAAGACTTACACCTTCAAAACAGATTGTATTTATAGAGGGATGTGTGCAGTTCAACAGGGGTGGTGCTGTAGAGGAATTTCAGAATCAATACAATCAAATGTATAGTTCAGTTGGCATAAAACTTGGGATATGAAATTAGCTAAACTGCTTTACTGTGTATCTGCTCTACTTATAGCATTGTAATGAATCCCAAGCAATTATTTTTGGAGAAGTATTTAAATAAATTTCCATGAATTTATGTATTCAAAATAATTTATTTTAAATGTAAATGAAAGGTCAAATTTCATAGAGAACTCAATTCTCGGTGATGGCACTGCTTTTCAATCATTCATATGTTTTACTTTCATACATTGATACTTAGAGAATTTAATAACCACTCCATTTTAAATCTAAATGTGAATATAATTTTTAAAAGTCAGTACAGTCATCAGATTTCTATATCGCTTTCTAAATTTATACCTCCCCTTTCCACATTTTTGAAAGCAATATCTTCATGTGACTTATCTGTATCTTTTTTCTAGCTCTCTTATTTTTAATTAGAGTAAGAAACTAAATATTTACTTAAGAGCAACACTTTGAAACTTTTGGAATTGGCACGACCTTTAATGTCACCTAAGAGAAGCAGGGAGAGGCTACATTTGGTTAACAAATATTATCTAATGAGTCAAAAAATTCAGACGTCTTATCTAAGGAAAATGCAAACTTTAAAGGATCAGATAGTCAATATTTTAGGTTTTGGGGATAACACAGTATCTATGGCAATTACTCAACTCACCATTATTGTAGTGCAAAAATGGACACAAATAACACATAAGTGAATGGGCCTGGCTCTGTGATTTCCTGCTCCCTTTTTGCTTCTTGGATCCATAAATGGCTTTCCTTCCCCCAAGCCTGGCTTTTCCAGGTAGGCACTAGATTTTCCTGACCCCTATTTAAAACTCACTACTTCTCTGACTTCTTCCTTCTACACCTGTTAGGTACCTAATTGGCTAAATGGTGAGCTTAGATGAGGAAGGAGTAAGAGAAAAGCTTAAAAACTGTAAACTGAATTTTAATCACTTTCTATTATAAAAGTAATAAAATATGCTGCAGTAAATCTAGGCATTATGGAAACACGTAAAGGGGAAAATAAAGATAGGCATAACTATTGCTATCATTTATGGAAAATTTGCAAAATAAGTTTTCAATTTTGATCCCATAGCACTTGATATATATATGTTATTTGTTCATTTGTCATCATATGGTCTGCCTTCTCGTGTTCTTAAATGCCTGTTCACATAATGAACATAATGTTCATAAGCACTAAGTTTACACTTAAATGCTTAATAAGTGTTTACATATTTCTGTCTTTGTTAAATAATTAAACCCACTGTATATTTTACTAAGCAGCAGTCTCTGTTCTGGACATTGAGGACACAGCAACAGATAAGACAGGTAAGATTCTTTTCTTCATGGATCTCACACTGTAATTGTGGAAAAAAAAACAGAGAAAAACCATATGATAAGATAAACTTGGCTTATCAATGTGCTGTGCTCATAGTAAAACTGGCTAACATGACAATGACTAAAAGATGTGAAAGGGTGTCTATTTGTCTATTATTTTGCTTTTAATATCTTATAATTTTAAAAATTGCTTATATAACATGTAATAAAGACCTCATTACATAAATATATATGAATACTTCTAATAATATCCTCTAAGTAAATTCCTGGTGATGGAATGGCTAGGTCAAAACATATGCTTATTTTTAAAGACAATAGATGTTATCAAATATCAACTGAAAGAGTCGTAATGATTTAAGCTTTCACTAACAGATTACAAGATTGTTCACAAATCATTATCTACCAGGTAGCAGGCTATGTGCCCTCAAATACTATATGAAGTGAATTTGAGCAAGCCATTGAGGTTGGTCTTATTTTCATTTTATAAATGAAGAACATGAGATCAGGGAGGTTAAACAAAATATTCAAAGCAATATGGCAGTTACGGTAGCCATGGAGGTGTAAGAGTCGGAGTCCACCCCACTTACGTACTGTGCATTAGTATTTCTGAGGAACATCAGATTATTATGGAGACTTCACTGATCCAAAGGGTGTATTAGGGAAAAACCTGTTTAGCTTAGTGCAGAGACCAATTTCCAAAAAGTGGTGTTCAGGGATACACAAACCTTACAGAAGAAGGACTTGTTCCATATGTAGATGTGCTAAAAGCCAGCAGTAAATGAATGTTCTGTTTCTATATTGCTTAAAGTTGAGCCTGGACATTCAGAAATAAATGAAAGGAACATTTTCACAATACAGGTAACTCTTATAAGACAATCAATTATGGGAAACAAAGTAAACTTCGAGACCTAGAAAAAATAATGAAATTTTTATTTACTTTTGGATGATGCTTAATTGTTAGATTCCTCACTATAATTTACTCATTCCCATCAAGTGTAGGATCTAATTTACCTAAAACTACCACAATAATCTCATTCCTTGCATGGGGTAACTGGTTCAGGCATCTGGGTTAATTTAATCAGACTAAGGTCTCAGACATTTTTTTTTTTTTTTTTTTTTTTTTTTTTTTTTTACCTCTGGAGGAGGGACATTTTGTTTAAATGAATGAATAGACCCTGGGGCAGATGGCAGTAATTTTGTGCTCACCAGTGGAGCCATACTAAAAATGACACTGAACCACAGCAGTAGCAAGACAGGGAAAAACATAATAACTACTGAATGTTTAAAATAATCTATTAGCTAGCAGAGCAAAGTAAACCTAAACTTAGGTTTTCTGTTGAATGCAACATAAGAAATTCTAACTGGTAGACCTATTGTGTACATAGCAATGTCATATACATAGTAGACACTGAAGTCATTTATAACAATCTAATTAAAAATTCTTATAATAAATGGATGACTGATTTGATTGCTAGTGCAGACTTGCCATCTCTGATGTGAGGTTTTTAATTTTAACTACACCTTTTCCATCTAGGGATTAATGTATTTCTCCTACTAATTCTACTTAAGTAGATATCAAGAAATAAAAGGAAGGTGCTATTTCATAAGAATAATTTTCTTTGGTAAGACTAAATATTTAAAATATTTGTCTGCAGTGAGCGTAGATCACGCCACTGCACTCCAGCCTGGGTGACAGAGCGAGACTCCATCTCAAAAAAAAAAAAAAAAAAATTGTCTGCATTTTCTCTTTGAAACCAAAATTGTCTGCATTTTCTCTTTGAAACCAAATTTTGCTTGGGTTGCCTTGTAAATTTCTTTTCTAGCCAGCCACACTTAGAAACTATGTATTGGTGTAAAGGGAAGGAAGGCATTAGTATTAGTTAATGTACTGCCAAACTGACAGCCATTAAGATCATTTACTCTGCTACACAGTGTTTATGTCAAATCCATGGGTGAGACTATGTCTTTTACAACCAAGGTGAGAACTATCAGATATAGAGTTTGTTATTATGAGTATCCCCAAAATATTAGGTATATTTTGTAATGTTCATGCTGAAATATACATTTTTTCTAGTATTATTAAAATTTGATGCATTTTGGTAAGATATGGATCCTACTGGCTACTTATTATACTGCATGACAATTGCTGGGAAAAAAACAACACTGGAATTGCCATGTAAATGGATAAGAAATCATATCACTGCAAATATAATTATATAGTTTATCTATGATACAGTGCATAGAGCTGTGTATTATACCTTGGGATTGCTAAGTGAGAAGTGAAACACACCAGTTTTTCTATACGATTTTAATCATAAATACACCTAAGTAGATAATCGAAAGGACTTACGTGTTGCTTTTCAATTTTTTTTAAAAAAGTAAGGAAAGTAGGAAACTTTCAGTGCTACTTTGTATCACTATCTGTAATATAACATATATGAAATGTAGAAAAGTATTAATAAGATAAATAAGCATATATTCAGGAATTTTGCTTTTAGATTTTATTCAAACAGGTGATATTACAATCAAATGTTCCAATAAATTTGGTCAACTTTTATAAAAATTCACCACACACACACGTATACAGGTACATATACACATGCAGTTCTGTATTTATACAGAACTAGGAACTGCTACTGCTGAATTTTTGACTCAAAATACAGTTTTAAGGTTTTTTTAATACCACTTAAGTATTCAAATTGTGTTTATATATTTATGCTTACTGTTCATTACAGATAGATTGGTTGGCTTAAAACCCTAAGCTATGATACAAATTAAATATGGCAACAAGAGTGACCTCAAACCGGTTTTGTATTACATTTAATGCAATCTCTCTTTAACCACTTCTATAATACTGTCAAAACAGTTCATTCCATTTGGAGAATTCCAGTTATATTTCTGCAATAAAATTATCTTTCTTGAAAATTCCCGAAGTCATATAAGTAAAAGACTCTTTAGCACTGGTATATCAATAGGCTGATAGCCTCCATATACTGACCCCTACCTAGTTTATTTCTTCACAGCAGGCTATGACCTGTTAAGCTCAAAACCCAGCCAGTTCCAAACTCAAATTCACATCCATTTTTGAAAAAATATATCCCAAATAAGCAGAATTTTAGTCAGTAGCATCCTTCTGTCTTTTCAAGAAACTACACTCAACATCTGCTACCATAGATAATAAGTCCAGGCACTATAAAGTCCCTCAGCTGCTGCTGCCCTTTGGATCCAGCTCTCTGACCCAATGACTCTCCATTGTGCTACAGAGTGACATCACTTAGATACATAAGTACACTTTCTGTTGCCAATTCCTCTCTCTGGGCATTTTCTTTACTTCCTCTTTTATGGATAGTAGCCCTGGTGCCTTAAGTCTCTGGGCAGTCTCATGCTGTGAGGGACTGGTCTCAATGCACACCTGTGGAAGAGTCTCAAATAAAATTTGTATGTGCTACTGCCACCTCGTGGTCATCAATTTTTCCTTGATTGGCTCCTAAATCTCATGAACCCCCTACAAGCATGCACCACACACAAATTTATTAGCAATTGTCAGTATTCTAATGACTGTTACCTGTACCCTGATTTAGTCTCTGAAATGTCTTTTCTTCTCTATGTAATGGACCGCCATATATTTTGGGACATAGCTATCATATTTCCTCTCTTATTTCCACAACAAGTAAGATAATGACTTCAACTCTGTCACATATGGCAGAGTTTTATGCACATCTTTTTGGCTATCATCTGTGCATAAATCTTGCTTTGTCAAAAATCCTTTTCAGAGTGCTGCCAAAGACTGAACACTTTCCCATGGTGTTGGTTTTCTGGTATGGTGAAAGCTGGGACTTTTTATGTATAATTCCACTAATCATTATGTATAATCCCAACACCAAAGTAGATACTAATATCTATGAAATATGCCATTTTATATATTTGGTCAGTATTCTTTCTTGGCATTTAGGAAATTTAGAGTTTAGATTATCAATAATGATCAACACTATCGCAGCAAAAGGGGTCGAGACCCCTTGATGAAATAAGAACGGAAAAAGGCTCGGGGCAAATCATCAAATAACCCACAGGTATGAGTGAAAAGAAGATGGAGCTAGGAAACATCAATAGAAAAACTATGAGAAACTCAGGCGATGTGGGGAGAGGACAATGGAGAGTCGTTATTTACTACATTTTAGGAGTTCAGAACATGCCACTCTGGTATATTGACTATTTTGAGAGAAAAACACCCTGATTTCGTCTTGTTTCTTAAAAGTGGAAGATGAAATTCCCATGTGAAAGATGTCCTCCCTATACTAGAAGGAAAGTTCATCTTTTTATCATCAGGGATGGAAAGTTGAGCCCAAGAACAATCTGTACAAATAAACATTGTTAGACTAACCCTTATCTTTCTGGCCCCTTCTCCACCAAATTAAGCCTCCATGTCCAAGCTCCTTTGCCTTTTCATAATTCACTACTCTTCAGCCAATTCAGCTGATACATGTTTAACTCTATGTCTTTGGGTTTTAACTTGCTTATGAAGGCTCCTGTGTCATGGAGAACTTGTATTAAATAAATTTGTATGTTTTTCTCCTCTTGATCTATCTTAATGTCAATTTAATGTTCAGGCCCAGTTGAAAAACCTGAAGAGGGTAGAGGTAATGTTTTGCCTCCCCTCTAGGGTATAAACTTTCAGTTTTGAAGGATGAAACACGTTCTGAAGATGGTGGTGATGGTTGCACAACAGTAGGAATATGTTTAATACCACTGAACCATATATTACAATGAATAACTTGATACATTTTATGTTTCGTATATTTTGCCACAATAAAAAATAAGTGAAAAGGAACTGTGAGGAACTAACAGAAATTGATTGGACCCTGGTTGAATTTTTGGAGAGACAGTGAGTTGCAGTCAAGCAGAAAAATTCACGTATGTAGAAAAGGCATTAAATAACATAAATGAATGTATGTATTTTCTTTTCTTACTCTAAAAATCTATAGGGAGATCCTTCCCACTCTCCATTACACTATGCGGCTGAAAAAATGGTGAGTTTGGGCCAGCACAGTCAGTTGGCTAATATAGGGGGATTTTGGAATACCCCATGACAGAGAACAGACAACAGTTGGTTTTGAAACTGGTCCCTGGAGTTTCTTCCTACCTCATCTTAGCAGAAGAAACTTTCTCAATTACAAGTAAGGAATACCCCACTTGGAAAGAGGAATGGCAGAAGGTGAGGTAAAGGAAGATTTCGGTGTAGGTAGGATTGTCCATTGAGAATGAACTACTAATGATGAGTGATAATGAAACCAATGGTATTCTGCTTAGAGTTAATTACCCTCCTACATTTTTTTTTTAAGATGGAGTCTCACTTTGTCACCCAGGCTGGAGTGCAGTGGCGTGATCTTGGCTGACTGCAACCTCCACCTCCCAGGTTCAAGCAATTCTCCTGCCTCAGCCTCCTGAGTAGCTGGGACTACAGGCACGTACCACCACACCCAGGTAATTTTTTGTATTTTTAGTAGAGATGGGGTTTCACTGTGTTAGCCAGGATGGTCTCGATCTCCTGACCTCATGATCTGCCCACCTTGGCCTCCCAAAGTGCTGGGATTACAGACGTGAGCCACTGTGCCTGGCCAACCCTCCTTCCTTTAACCTTACCAAGGAGGGCACAGCCTCGGCTTTAGCCCATCATACCTAGGTCCGTATTAAATTCCTAGGAATATGAGGTAACAAAGTAATATCTGAGTAAGGTAATGTTTATAAAAGGAATATACAAAATTGAAATTCCTGTACTATGCAAACCTAAATTAATAGATAAAAGGATATAAATGTTAAATAAGCATTACATATGTTTTAAAAGATAAAGTGATTGGCAACAAAAAGCTGTGGCATATAGTCATAAAGAGAACTAATTGGAAATATTGAGTATGAAAAATGCAATAGCAAAAGAAAAGGTGTTTTTAAGTAGGTTGACTAATAATATAACACAGCCAAAGAATAAATTCCTGACTTGAAGTGCCAGATATAAAGACATCAGGTGGATGCCCACTCTCACCATTCCAAATCAACATAGTACTGGAAGTCCTCGTCAGATAAATCAGGAAAGAGAAAGAAACAAAAGGCATCCAAATAGGAAAAGAAGTAGTAAAACTATTTCTCTTTGCAGATGATATGATTCCATACCTAGAAAACCCTAAAGATTATGCCAAAAGGCTCCTGGAACTGACAAATGACTTCAGTAAAGTTTCAGGATGCAAAACTCAATGTAAAAAATCAGCAGCATTTCTATACACCAGTAACATTCAAACCGAGAGCCAAATCTGGTACACAAATACATTCTCCCCCATCTCCCACCGCACACACCTAGGAATACATCTAACCAAGTAAGTGAAGATGTCTACAAGAAGAACTACAAAACACTGGTGAAAGAAATCATAGATGACACGCAAACAAATGGAAAAACATTTTATTCTCATGAATTGGAAGAATCAATATCATAAAAATGGCCATACTACCCAAAGTATCTATAGATTCAATATTATTTCTGTCAAACTACCAATATCATTTTTCATAGAATTAGATAAACTAATCTAAAATTCATATGGGACAAAAAAAGAGACCAAATAGCCAAAGCAATCCCAAGCAAAAAGAACAAAATCACAGGCATCACATTGCCTGACTTCAAACTATACTATAGAGCTACAGTAATCAAAACAGCATGGACTGGTACAAAAACAGACACTTAGACCAATGGAACAGAATACAGAACCTGGAAATAAAGCAGCGCACCTATAGCCATCTGATTTTCAACAGTCAACACAAATATGCAAAGGGGAGAGGACTCCATATTCAATCAATTGTTTTGGGATAGCTGGCTAGCCACATGAAGGAGAATGAAACTGAACCTTTCACCATATACAACAATACAGCATACAAAACACACCATACAAATACACCATACAAATGTGTCATACAAAAATTCACCATACAAAAATTGTATATGGTGAACCTTTCACCATATACAAAAATTAACTCAAGATGGATTAAAAAATTAAATGTAAGACCTCAAAGTAGAAGAAAACCTGGGAAATACCATTCTGGACTTTGGCCTTGGGAACAAATTTATGACTATTCCATCAAAAGAAATTGCAACAAAAACAAAAATTTACAAGTGAAATCTAATTAAGCTAAAGAGCTACTGCACAGCAAAAGAAACTATCAACAGAAGAAACAGACCAACTAAAGAATGAAAGAAGACATTCACAAAGAATGCATTTGACAAAGGTCTAATATCCAGAATGTGTAAAGAACTTAAACAATTCAACCAATAAAAAACAAATAACCATTCAAAAGTGGGCACAAGACATCAACAGGCACTTCTCAAGAGACAGACAAGTGGCCAACAAACATATAAAAAATGCTCAACATCACTAATTATCAGAGAAATACAAATCCAAACGTCAATGAGATATCATCTCACACCAATCAGAGTGTCTATTATTACAAATTCTAAAAATAACAGATCCTGGCAAGGCTGTGGAGAAAAGAGAATGCGTATACATTGTTGGTGGAAATGCAAATTAGTTCAGCCACTATGGAAATCTTGGATACGTGGCAAGAACTTAAAACAGAAATACCATTTGATCCAGCAAACCCATTGTTGGGCATATTTCAACAAAAATTGAATCATTTTACAAAAAAACACAAGCACTCATATGTTCACTGCAGCACTATTAACAACAGCAAAGACATAGAATCAATCTGGGTGCTGATGGCTGGTGGATTGGATAAAGAAAATGTGATACATATACACCACCGGATACTACCCAGCCATAAAAAATGAAATCATGTATTTTGCAGCACCATGGATGCACCAGAAGGCCATTATCCTAAGAGAATTAACACAGGAATAGAAAACCAAATACCACACGTTTTCACTTATTTATTTATTTATTTATTTATTTATTTATTTGAGACGGAGTCTCGCTCTGTCCCCCAGGCTGGAGTGCAGCGGCACAATCTCGGCTCACTGCAAGCTCCACCTCCTGGGTTCACGCCATCCTCCTGCCTCAGCCTCCCTAGTAGCTGGGACTGCAGGCACCCGCCACCATGCCTGGCTAATTTTTTGAACTTTTTTTTTTTTTTTTTTTTTAAGTGGAGATGGGGTTTCACTGTGTTGGCCAGGATGGTCTTGATCTCCTGACCTCGTGATCCGCCCTCCTCAGCCTCCCAAAGTGCTAGGATTACAGGCGTGAGCCACCGCGCCCGGCCCCACACCTTCTCACTTGTAAGTGGGAATTAAATATTGGGTAATCATAGACATAAAGATGGCAACGATAGACACTGGGAACTACTAGAGTGGGAAGGGAGAGAGGACGGAAAGGGTTGAAAAACCAACTGTTGGGTATTATGCTCACTGTCTGCGTGATGGGACATTCATATCCCAAACCTCAGCACCACACAATATACCCAGGTAACAAACCTACACATGTAATCCTGAATCTTAAATAAAAGTTGAAATTGTAAAAAACAGAAAACGAGGCATCATAAGGGAATAAATTTGGACAAAATGGGTATCTTTGTATGAATTTGATACATTTAAAAATTTTAAACCTTCATCTTTGCCTTTCCAAATATGAACATATGAATCACAGATAGCAATTTGTATATACAATTTATATAACACTTATACCTAACTTTATGATGAAGAGAGATAAATTGAGAAATGTACTCGAAAGAGATAAATTAAAATAAGACATATTATATAATGATAATTTGCTATGGACTGAAGAGCTAGCTTAATTCAGTTGTCAGCACAAGAGAAATAGGGTAAAGTGATGAAATTCACCTATCAGAGGCCATCACATATTATTTTATTTCTAAATCCAAGGAACGCTATTAACAACTGAGAAATGCCCCCAAACATGGATGTGGTGTATGGTGTGTGGTGTGTAGATACTACAAGTATCCTTTGATTTTGCTTTATCAATATGTATACCCACATTGAGCTACTGTAATGAGCATTTTATATTTGCTAATAAAATTTGGACATTAGTTTTTTCTGGAACATCACTCAAAGTGCAAAAGTAAATATCATGTATTTGAATACAAACTGGTAAAAAGTGAGACATACATCTCTCTATTAAGATTCTAAGTCTTTAGTTCCAGTTAAACATTTCTGTTAGTTCTAAAGGATTCTTCTCCTTAGCAATAGTCACAAAGGACAGCAAATTAGTCAAAGATCCAATTCGTTGGATGTTAGTACATTAACCACTATCTACTGCTGCAGCTTTTGAGTTTGAAAAGTTTGTAGCCATCCACATTCACTCGTCTCTACTGTCACAATTATGTAATTTACTTGCTTAACCCTTTTCTTTAAATGGTGTTCAGATAAAATTTAGCACAGCTTGCATCTTAAATAACAGTACACAATTTAGTGTACCTGAAAGTATGTGTCTTTAGTAGAATAATGTTTATTGCAATATTGTTTGAAGGCAAGACAACAAGAAACAGCTAACATGTCCATCAATGGGAGAATTGTTGAGTAAAATCCTAATTCTACCTAGGCAATATAAATCATAAACATTATATATTATGCATAAATTAATATGAAGGGATATCCATGTTATTTTATAAATGAAAATGGCAATAACTGAATTACATACAGTATGATTCCATTTTTATTTTCTTTAAAAAGGGAAAAGAAAGAGAAGAACCCTATATACTTTTTTAAAAAATACAAGACCAGAGTGAAAGATATGGTAGGATACACACCAAAATGCTTTTGGAAACTTCAGTGGAGGGAGGATAAATTATAATTATTTTCTTATATATATATACTTCTGCATTGCTCGATACGTTACAATGAACATGTGCTACCTAAAAAAAGAAAATCAACTTCATGACATAGCAAATATACTGTGCACGGTTGTATAGCATAGAAAAAAAAACTTTTCAGATGTAACAACTACTGGCACCATTGAAAAAGGAAAGCTATTTCATCCTAATCTTTTTCATGTATGTATTTGGTATCGAGTGATTTTTTTTCAGTTTTGAAAGGTAGGAGGCAAAGAAACTGGAGAAGAGAAAATTAGATAACCTTCAAATGTTTGGGAGCTGCTATGAGGGCATACTCTTTTAAAAATTCACTCTTTGTGGAATTTAATAACATCCATTTCACAAACCACAGAGTTTTCCTATCTCACAAATCAATTTCATTCTATTATATCGGTGAATTAGTTTCTTTTCGTGAATTGGTTGTTCCACTTTAACTGTTGGCCTCCTAATAAAAGGGAAAGACATGTATTAGGAATATAGAAAATAGCCAGGATAATAGCCCAGTAATACTACTTACTTATTACCTAACCTCTTCTCTTCAGATTTCCCCATGCCTCAGTGACCACAAGCATTGAATTAGCTATGACAAATCTATCCATGGCCCCTGTTCTTTCAAGAAGTGGTTTGCTTGGGGTACAATAATGATCAACTCTAATGAGACTGTCACCCATGTGCCTGTAATCTCATGCAGAGACTTGAAAATCCAAGCCAGGTATAATCACTCCTCTTACACTTAAGACATATGAAAATTGATTCTAATGGTACCTTAAATTTTTTTTCTTTTCTTACAAAATGATGATCAATATGCAGCTTTAAAAAGATAAGTCAAAAGGAAATAAATGCCCTCTGTGAATATTTGTTTGTATAATTAAAATAGAATCAAGTTTTACACTTGTGTATTGGAATACTTATATATATGTGCATACATATGTATGATCTATAGATACATACACATATACATATATAAAGAGAAATAGAGATGGCTTACAAGCATGAAATTGCTTAAACAATATTGTTTCAAAATTCAAATGCTATATTTTCACACACAGTTTGTAAATGATGATATATGTAAATTTTGGCTTCAAACAGGTCTTAGATTTCACTTCTGATACCACTATTTCATATGAATGCTACATTTCCTGCACTAATATAAGAAATGAAGCAGTGTTAGATTAATAAGTTATTCTAAATTGGAGAAAAAAGTTTATACATAGACAAAATGTTAAGAGAGTATATATACTAGCCTACTTGAACTCATGCTCCTGAAATAATTATTTTAATTCAAATTTATGTGAAACAGGTGTCAATATGCATTTATTTTATAAAAATTTAACATCAGTCATAGACAGATTAAGTCTACAAATGAATGAAAATTATGAAACAGTGTTCTCACAGCAATATTTTTTAATTAGGCATGACAGCATTAATAATGCAGTATATTATGGCTACGCATTTATTTTAGCCATGTATAGATTCAAAAGAGGTGACACATCTTTGAGTTAGAACAATACGTAACATTTGAATACCTTTTGACACCTTATGAAGTGATTTCATTTCTATCTCATTTTACTGTAAGGATATGACACTTGTTTATTCTATGTGAACTTTGATTATGAAATAGATCTTAGAAATATAACTAGTTCACAAAAAAGTTCAATAGAGAAATGTCAAAGAAAAATGCAGAATTTTTCTCTTTATCTCCCTCTCTTCTAATCTCACTAATCTCTAACTGGTATCATAGCATCTGTCAGAAACAAGCATTTCAAGAGCCTTAAGCAATCTTTCTTTCTGGAACATGTAACCTTTTCAAAGGTTCAAATTATAGCTAATATCGACCTTTGTTCTTGCCAGTACCTTATGTGTTTCCTCAGTACCAATGCACAGTCCATATTACAAATTGCTCATGCTTTCAATTGCTCTTCCGAACTCAGTCTATTAAAATTATCTATCAAAAACCTCTGCATTTGCAGCATTTGAGTCACACATTGCCAGGATGGTGATCTCTGTTTCAATTTTTTTCTTCTTTTTTTTTGGGGGGGGGTGGTAGGGATAATCATTTATTTCAAACTTTAATAACAGTCATTAATGTCAGTCATTTGGACAATTAATCACATATAACACGATGGAAAGGAAACAATCTTGGAATTTAGTTTCAGAACACAAGTCCCAAACTTTGCAGTGGCAATTAGAACAGAAAGAAGAGAAAGAAAATGAGAAATATTGAGGATAAAAATTGGAGAAAACTTGGAGGTGAACTCAATGTGCTGACAGGAGGAAAGGATGAGTTCAGGTTATTATCACTGGTAATTGGCTATTGATGGTATCAACTGAGAAGACTGAGATGAATGAACAAAGTTGAAGTTTTACATGAAAACTAATTTCCATAACATTTTAGAATATAGGCTCTTTATGTTTGTCCCTGTACTTTTTAAAGCTTTTGAAAGCTATGTATACATACCTCACAGATACTCCATAGATATTGGTTGCATTAATGTATGAATGCCAGGAAATGAACAGGGAACTTTGTCATTAATATTATGTTAATCCTGCAACTGGAATAATATGGATTCATATTTTCTAATGTATGGATTTATTCCAGTAATATAAGTTTGCACTTGTCCTCTAAACACTTGGTATTAGTCCTGTCCTTTTCTAAGAAAATTTTGCTCTTAATGTTGACATTATCAGAATGTAAGAATTGAGAAAATGTGTGAGAACTCACTCATGTTGAAATACTCCATGAACATTCCTTCATCCTACCCCTAGCAGCCCAATCACATCTTCAAACTTCAACATGTAGTATGTAACTGTAAAAAGCATTATTTTAGGAAGCTATGTTCTTTTGATAACAAATTACTTTCCTTAAGGCTACATAATCAGTTTCAAATTTAATATGACTTTACAATTTCTCATCCTTGTAAGATGGTATTTCTTAACATGTTTCAGTAAAAGAAACTGCATTTTAACGGCATGCTTTATGTACATGAATATTTTGAGTAATTCACACTTGTCTTGAATCCACAAAAAATTTAGTGAGAATCTATCCTTAAAAATTATTTTATTTCAATAATCAGCTTTCTGGTAAAACTTAAATTATTTGTGCAGAATATTGTCCATGAAAATAGATCTTTCAGAATCTGGAGATTCTGATTTTCTAAAATTATGTTTAAATAAAAGGTTCATACATGTCTGTAAAATGTGGGTGTATATATGGGTTCTATGTATGTGTTTGTGTGTGTATATATTCACATAATGAAAAAGACAATCTCTATGGAATGTTCTACTTTGATCCCCTGTATTAATGTACTTTGATTCCTCACTTCCATTTCACATATTCTAGCAATGAATTATTTTTATAAATATAAGTTCATGCTAGTATAGAGAATCACCACTATGTCTTAGAAGTATGCTTTAAATTTTTAAACATCTTTTACCCTAATGCTTCTCATCAATTATAAATAAAATAATTTGTTTTACTTGACCAAATAAATATTTCCTATTCTTTAAAACATTATATAATTCAATAGAAAGCAAATATTCCATTCAAAAATCTTGGCATCATAAAGAATAACTCTACTTTAATTTTCCAAACCTAGTAATTACAGGAAAATAAGGAAATTTCACACTTAAGGGTTTCAGAGTAGTGAAATATACACATTTTTCTTTTACATTATATTCATTCATTTCAGAATGATAATGTGGTCTTAAAGGCCATAAACCTTTCCAAAGAAAATCTAAGTCAGCTAGCATCCAAAATAATGTCATAAGAATACTTAATTATTAATCCTTAAATATTAAGAAAAAGGTATGGAAAAGAATCTAAAGAATTCAGGATCCATCCCAATAGTCTAAAGCCCACAATGTAGAGTTAAGGTCTCTTAGACCTAAACATTATACAAGAAAAATCTTGTTTGTAAAAACATATTAGGCATGCATGAAAAAGTGTTTTTCACAGATTTATTATATAACCTGGCATAAAATACGTATTGAAGTAAGCACATTGGACAAAGAACACAGAACTCGCCATGTAAGCCCTGCTTACCTGCTCTAAACCAACAACTATGACAAGCTTCATCTCATCCCCTATGTGCACTATTTACTCTAAGGACTTATATCTTTGCACATTTTGTCTTCTTTGCTTTAGCCTCCTGGCAAAAATGTATGCTACTGTTTACAGTTCAGTTAAAACGTCACCTCCTAACTTAATCTGCGTTTTATCACAATCTATATTACCATTCTAATAACACTTTAGATTACATACAGCTCATTGTGAGTATTTTCTGCTACTCATTGTTCTTCTCCTCCACCTGATCTTCACTTTTCAGCACCAGGCACTGGATGCTTACACATTTTTGTATAAAGAAGGTATTTAAACATTGAACTGAATGGAATAAATTGCCAATTTATGGAATTGAGGAGTTCCAGGTGTTTAAATCAACAGCTATAGAGGCAGTAAGGGTCATTCACTAGTGTCAAGAAATTGAGTCTAGAGTCACACATATTTCACTGAGAAGCTCAGCTATCTTAAGTGCTTCAGTTCTCTCAGCTATAAATGGGAATGATAAAAAGTAGCCAGGCGTGGTGGCTCCTGCCTGTAATTTCAGCCCTTTGGGAGGCTGAGGTAGGAGAATCACTTGAACTCAGGAGTTCAAGACCAGCCTGGGTAACATAGTGAGACCTTGTTTCTACAAAAAATAAAAAATTATCTGGGCGTAGTGGTGCATGCCTATAGTTCCTTCTACTTGAAAGGCTGAGATCAGAGGATCACTTGAGCTCAGGAAGTTGAGGCTGCAGTCAATTGTGATTGTACCACTGCACTCCAGCCTGGGTGACAGAGTGAGACACTGTCTCAAAAATAAAGATTAAAAATAAATAAATTCATCTGCCTGTGAGAACTGAAGGAGATTCCACAAAGTTTAGTGGTTAAAAAATTAGGCATGTACCACAAAACAATGAAAATAGCAGGTGAATATTATAACAGTTACGGAAAAATTTATCCACAAGGGATGATGACTTGCCACCTCTACAGATGGCCTAATATGTTATAAAAATAATTTTTTAATGGTGAGAAAGGGGACTGGTCCCTATATCAAAATAGATAAAGCTTTTAATGCCAGGTTGCTAATATAAATTTTTAATGAAATTATCTCTGTCACTATATATATATATATATATAGTGACAAAGAGATTATATATATATGTGTGTGTGTGTGTGTGTGTGTGTGTGTGTGTGTGTGTGTAGAGAGAGGGAGGGAGGGGGAGAGAGAGAGAGAGAGAAAGTAAGTATATGTCTGTATTTCAGTTTTTTCTTACCAAAGCAAATTTCCAGTTGCCCTATATGGTAATGTTACCCTGAATTTACAGTAACTTGAGAGCATACATTCTTTAAGAGTAATTACAGAATGTCTGTAATGACCTTAATTCATGAGTTAAGATCTCCCTTGATGATATCATAATTAAAAAAAAAATCCAGAACTCCAGAATTAACTCATGGTTTGCTGTTGCTCAAGCTAAGTGAAAAATATAGCTTAGGTATTTTGATACTTAAACAGTCATTTCTTTCCCTTTCCCTGGTTTTTAGCATTGGCAGCATAACCAACTTAGGAAAAGAAGGAGTGTTTCATCTGCAAGGTATTAAACTAAGGGAATGAATCAGGGCATTGCACCCAAATATTTTCTAGATTGCTAAAAAGCTTGTGATTACCTAGTCATAGGAAAAGCATGCTATTGATATGGACAGGAGACAGGGAAATACTGGGTAGAAGAGGGCAGTTCCCGTGCAAAGGCTCCAATCTCAAGTCTGGAGGCCTGCAGCCCTAAGTGGGAACAGGCATTTCTGTTTTCATGCCCAAAAAGTTGTGTTTTGGCCTGCAATGCCCCACTATCCCGTACCCATATAACCTCGAACCCCAGGCTCCAGGAGAAGACAAGGAGATGAGGAGACAAGCAGGTGAATGGCAGAACGGTGTAGCAGGGAAAGAGAGAAGAGAAGGTATGTCTGAACACCAGGAGGAGTACAGCTGGGAGTGGTCAAGGAGGAGTTTGGCTGCTTGATAGCCAAAACTTCAGGGGAAGATCATCTTCCCACTCCATCCCTTTTCCAGCTCCCTGTCCATCCTGCTGAGAGCCACCTCCACCATTCCATAAAACCTCACATTGATCCTTCAAGCCCATGTGTATCCCCATTCTTCTGGAACACTGGGCAAGAGCTAAGGATACAGAAAGCTCTCACACTGGCCCTCTGCCCATGTGAAAAGGCAGAGGGTCCATCGAGCTGGTTAACACTTAAGCCATCTGCAGACAGCAAGGTCAAAAGACTGAGGACACAGGCACCCACCCCTAGATACTACCATGAGGCTGGAGCTCAAAACACGCGCCCTGGCTCCTGCACCTGTCCATCTGCATGTTTCCCCCTTCATCAGGGGTTTGAGCAGTGGCAGCAAGCAAACAGGTGAGCCACACCCCTGTCACATGTCCTGGGAGGAGGGGGATCAGGGAACTCTCCCATTTCGTCATGTGGGAATTCCATGACACTTGTGTTAAGGCAGCTTCTTTTAAACAGTAGGGGGAAGAATCACAGGTTTTAATATGTAGTCCTATGGCAGTGGGTGGAAGTGGGGGAGGCAAATCAATAAATGACTTTGAAATGAGATTGATTTTTCTCTTTTTTTTCCTCAGAGAATGGAAGGTGTAGTTATATTAATTGGTTGGTATTTATTTTATAGCCTTTAAAAATAGGGGATAATTCATCTTGATTCTGTAATTACCAGTTATACAAACAGCATATGACAAGTCTGACAAGAAGGCTTTTTCAACAGGGAATAGATATAACAATGGCAAATGTGCTAGCCAGATTAACAAATCAAGGTTATTCCATGTGATAGTCTTTTCTTTCTCAATAGGAGATATTATCTAAATTCATACGGTAATTTGAAAAATGTCTACATTGTGCACATACCTGAATATCAAATAGGTCACTAAACTTGATTGACCAGTAAAATAAAAAGTTTCCAAAACAATCTAATAAAGAGTCAGTTGCATATGTTTTCCTGGAGAAGAGTTAGGTTTGAGTCTTGGAACAGAATATTGTGTTCTCTATTATAAGACTATAATATTACAAATGAAGAGTTTGATACATCACAGGAAGGTCATGCCTCTATGACAACATTGCTCTAGACTGACGATGGGGTTAACAAAGTATCTATCTGACTCCAACAAAACACTAACTAAGCTAAAGGAGAGGAATTCATAAATCTATTTGTGCTGAACACACAGATCAAAGAAGATTGTTACAATTTGCATCTGATTCTTACTGTCTAGGCCAGACAATGTCCTGGAAATGACCCTGGTTGAAACCAGCAGGAGACTATTATCTTTCTCCCTTTTTACACTTTAGCCTGGGGTCAGGAAGTTCTGAGCTGCTCAATATTTCTATTACATTAATGGTACAATTATCACATAGGGATCAACTCATGCTGCTAATATAGACATGCCTCTGGAAGCAATTTCTGGCTCTGCTGGGCAAGGCAATCTATTAGGTCATTTGTAAGCTCTGCAAAGCCTAGCAGAAAGACTACAGACTTTGGACTTCTTGGTTTAAATTCCAGCCCTGTATTTCTTTGTAGGATGGCCTTAGCAAAGTACTTAACATCTTCGAATCTCAACTGGGGGATAATAGCTTCCATCTGATGGGACAGTTGTGAAGATTTATGAAAAAAACACAGGGAAACAAGCTAATAGGTTTTATACATTGTAGTCATTAGGTAAGTAGAAATTATCACCATCATGTACAGTATTTTGCTCATTCCTTTTTAGTGACTGATGTCATCTTGATATACAAAATAATCAACATGTAAATAATTTCTCTTCTCAGTCACATTAAATGTTATTTCAACATGCATACAGAAAATAAATACATGAAGAGTGTTAATAAATGTAAATCATTCTGAACATTATCAAAGAAATACTACTGATCCTTGTTGCGAGAAAGCTAGATATCTATAGCTTCCAAGTGACAGAAGTAAATACAGAAGTTCCTAGTTATCTTACAAATGTCTCCACAGCTTTAGGTCTTGTGACTTACGGAGTAAATGTGTTAGTGATTATGTTCTGTTTCCTTGAGAAAGAAGGTCTGACTTTTTTCCCCTCTATTGTATCCATGAGCACAGCGCTTAGAAACTAAGTAGCCAACTGAAGCTACTTACAATATTCCAGATCTGAAAACTCTAAATAAAACAAACAAAATAATAACCCAAATTCCAAACCAGCTATATATCTTAACTGTCACCACTTCCAACCTATTAGATAGCTCACACACCCACCTTTCTACATACTTCATATAATCTTTCAGCAAGTGTCTTAAGGATTAACTTGATAGCCCATATTGGCATCTACTTTGAAGCAAAGTTCACATATTGCTGTTTATTCTACAGACAATTTGAAAATAGGTAGGTAGTGGTGAGGCCTGAATTGGAATTAATATGTATTTCCTTCAAATAGATAATATTCCTTAATTTCATCTCCTTTTGCTAAATCGATCCTGGGGATTGAGCTATATTAACCACAACGTTGTCAATACAAAGAGTGTCCTAAGATCACTTAGTGATTATCCTAACAAGGTGAACTATTTTTTTCTTCATAAACCTTTACTGTAATGATAAAGAATGTATGTACATATGATACAAAATTAGGTTCAGAATAATGGTCAAATTTTTAAAAAGACTCTCTTTAGAAAGTAGACTGCTTTGATTGTTAGTGTGATTGTTATTTACTGAATCAGAATCATACCTTTTGCCTCTTTGATTAGTTTATAAACCTCTTAAAGGTAAGGGTTCCATATGGCACCTTAAATACTATGTGGCATATACTACATAATCAATGAATATCTGTTGATTGCTTCTTAAAAGATGTTAGATTACAATACTTTTAGAAAGAAAATGATGACCCATTCCCCTAATAGATTACCATCATACATCAATTTGACTGCTGAATTATTATAAACAGTCATATACCATAAGAACTATGGGTAAATGTTGTGAATTTTGAGAACACCATTAAGAAGTAAACTTCAGAACTGTCCTCTACCTGTTTGTCTAAATTTGTCTAAAGTTTTGAATTTTTAAAAAGTAAACGATATTTTTATAAAATTTTAATTTACTTTTCTTCATCTTTTAAAAAAGAATTTGACTTTTTAGAGCAAAACATGTCCATATTTTGCTCATCAGATAATATTTTTCTTATTATATGGTAGACATTCATTGATTTTGCTACTCATGAGTGGTAAGTACCTGTAGGCATATCCTAATCAGTGCCATGCTTCTTTTGATTCCTTTTTAATCTACTTTTCCAAGCTTCCATTTTTCTATGCTATCTTTCAATACATTTCTTCTTTGTTTTAGTTAACTGGAGTAGTTTTCAGTTGTTGCAGCTAAGAACTCTGACTAATACATATGGCAGCCTGCTGATGCCATTGATGAGGCTTTTCTGCACTTGCATGAAAAGACTGATGGAAGAATCATAAATCCTTCTTGAGTTTTACTTGCTAACATTACATGTGTCTTCTGCTTTTCCCCATCTTCCCCCCAAGCTACAGCATCAATAATAGTCATCCTGTCCTTAGCAGCATTAGCCAAACTGAAACTCCAACTTGGCTTTACAAAAAAAAAAAAAAAAAGAAAGAAAGAAAGAAAAAAAAAAACAAAACACTGCCATGTTTTAAAGCTGTTGATGTTCTACCATCTACCATGCATCCTTCAGGAATTTTTCCTGTCCCTTCCTGTTTACAGCTGTCTATGTTCAGCTCACTCCAGTAGGGCTATGCTGTCATTCATTCTCCCCAAAGTGTAGTGGGACAACATTGACTACAGAAAAAAATAGCTTCCATTGCAGCAGCCCAAACATGCCCTGCAACTTGCCACAGGGCAAGTCTTGATGACCTTGTCCCCATCATATAGTTCAGGAAAGGAACAATATTTAAAGGATTTCATATGCATTTAGATTTAAGTTGAATATATTCTCCCTATCCTCAGAAATTACATTTTAATAGAGAGGTTTTTATTTATTAATTTTTGTATTGTACATTGTATGCACAGAAGTACGCAAATATTTTTAAATAATATCATGGCATTGAAACATATGAAAAATAAAACCTGTAGACCATTATTTGGGTCTGTAGGAAGTGAGAGTAATAATATAAAGGCTTTGAAACAACAACTGTCATTGGCTGAATACTGTATATTTTGTAATTTGTTAATGCTTATATTGTTCTTTCAAAGGTACATTCAAAATTTACAGACCTACTGCTATCACATGTACATCTGAAGGCAGACATTCTGAGTCAAACATATTGGTATCTGATGGCAGAACCATATCACTCAGAGCTCATATCTGCTTCTGGATTTGGCTTTGAAACTGTCTCAGAACTTGGCATGTTGGAAGCATGAAATTGGCAATTTCATGAAATCTTTCAGGCTCATATGGCAGAATTTATGTCTTGAAATAGAATCAAAAGTACAACTCAAAGACTGGAGCAGGAAAGGCAGGAGAAGATCACTGTGACAAGTAAGTCCTCTACTTTTGACCTCAGCTATTCTTGGTCAAGAGCAAAAACATGTAAGTCAGGGTGACTGTGGCTCAACTTCACTATAGACCTTTATTAGCTTGGCCTGGTACAGCCCTGAAATCTCCCTGATACCACATTGTTAACCTGATAAAAGTATCTTTGTAGGAGAGCATATTCCTGTTGAGAAATAGACAGCTGCCTTAGAGGGTCTGTGGTTTGATTCATTTTTGCCTGGATCCTGACCTAGGTGTCTGGCAAGCCACTTGTCTAGAATCATCAAAGCTACCCAGAAGTTGAAATATATAGTTAGCAGAAGATTTAAAGGTAAGGATAAACTATTTTTTCAAATGCTCCAGAGACACTCACATATGAAAAATACTGTCAGGTTTAAGACTAAATTAGGAGACCACTTCCAATGCCAAAAGCTATACAAACCTCCACTAACGTACACGACCATTCCTTCCCAGGAAATAACAACTGTAATAACACACACATAATACATGCACACAAAATGTCAACAATGCACTTCATAGGGTGTCACATACTTTAATATTCCTATCATCATATAGCTACGAATCATCAATTTGATTATTTTATTTGATGTTACAGTGGAGAAGTCAATCACATATAACAGGCATGCAAATGATTTTTTTTTCAGATTGAACCATTTTTTTTAAAAGACAGAAGCACAACCACAACATCGTAGGTATGCATTTCCTCAGTCCTTACACATGTGATTTGTCTGTTTACTCTTTCATGGGAAAATGATTGCTTCGTTCATCACGGTCTGTTGTAGTTTTAGAGAGTTAAAATTTTAAACTTTCACTATCATTTTTATTTTGGAAGTAAAATGCTATAAACTAAAAATTCCTAAATCTCAGGTATGCTCTGGCTTCCTTAAATTCTTCTTTCTTAGGACAGAACGTATGCAATTACAGTGTCATCTAAATATGTGAAAATGACATTCCTTTTGTTTGTTCCACAAATACTGGTGTTTGCATGAACTGAGCACAAGGTTAACATCTGGGTCTCAGAGATGAGTAAAATACAGTCTCTGCTTTCCAGATGCCTACAGTCAAGCCAGGAGAAACCGCGGATGGAAACAAAAAAAAAAAAAAAAAAAAAAAAAAGACAGTTAATGCAGCACAAGAATCCCAGATAGGGATGACTTTCAAAATGTCATGAGGACCCAAACCCATACAATTATTAATAAATGACCCTGGCAAATGAGGACTTAATCATTTTATCTACCAATTGCCCAAAAGAGCTTTTCAAAGACTACATGTCATTTCCAGGAACCCGTGGCACATTCTGGCACATGCAAACCACCACATCTTGGATTTTAAATGCTTTAGGAATGTAAAATGCTGAAACTCTGGCTCATGCTAGTGTCTTGGGACTTTTAAATATTAAACTAAGTAATAGTTATAACCAGTTCCTCCATAAAAGATATTAATGATTTTAAGTATTTGAGCTTCATCATTATAATGACCATATTCCCCTTAGCTTAATTTTTACATTTTTAAAAACAAAACTTGACATTTTAAGCCAGCAAGGGACACTCATTGCAGCACAGAATACATCTATCTGTCCTAAATGCCATAATTATTAGATGAGACTCTGCCAAGTGAGTTACTCCTTGGGGACTTCAAAGGTACATCACTTTCCAAGACACTCAGGGACTATTTAGTGAACTGCCACACTGATTTATGCAGTAGAATGGTCAGTAGTGATAGTTCAAATATCAGTAATTTGAGAAAATTAACCATCTTCCAAAATGTATACCAGTCACTGTGGTGGGTGAGCAGAAGGGATAAGTGGTTAATTTGGTCAGTGATTAACTCATCTTGCTGGTTTGAGATTTAGACCAATTTGGCTACACTTTAGGAAAGGTATTTGATTCTTCTTATCTGATGAATTTAAGCTCATGGTATTCTAAAAGCAAAAGACTGAATAATTTTCAAGGCCAAACTCTCACTTTAGAGATAAGAAAATTGACTTACTGAATGTTGTCATAATCATTAGATACAGACTCCAGAATCTCTTAGCCTTATATTTTCATATTTCCAACAAATTGATTTTCAAACTACTTCTCATTAAGATGTAACTGCCTATTATTAAAGGGGAAACCACTCCTTTCAGTTTCCTAGAGACTTCATGCTCTTTCACAGCTCTGAGCTGTTCAGCATGCTGATTCTTTTCCCTTGGTGCTTACATGACCAATACACATGAATAAACATGTCTGCACACCTCTGTGTTATTACATATGAGGAAATATTATGTGTTAGAATACATACACATTCTACTTTTTTCCAGAAGTCTATGAAACTCTGGTAATTGCTATGACTAATTGAAAGAATAATTTGCTATGTATCAAGTAAAATAATTATTATAGATTCTCTACAGTGAGCACACTGCAGAGCTAGGCACCTGGAAGGATATAAAGGTGATGGAGAAAGATACACATCGTAGGGTGTATGAGCCTACAATCTAATGGTGTGTATGTGAGGAGGGGTGGAGGAATTACATGACTGCAAGAGTTTGGAGAAATACAAAGCACTGTTACATTTTTTAAAAGGGGTGGCACTGAAACCAGTCCAACTGGTAGGGAGGTCAGGAAAGGTTTGAGATTAATCTCAAAGAGGAGGTAGAATTGTACTCAGAAAATAGAGAAAGAACGCTTCTAAGATTAGCATCATCAATTCCATGTGGTGCTTAAGGACAATTAAATAAAAATTTTTCTAAAGTTTTCTCTTTTGATTATTAAAATTACTTTAAATTTTCTATGGCTAAAAATGTCTTATTAATCCTTTATAAAGAAGAAATTGAGGGTTTAAAAAATTTTTCATTTATTCATTCAGTGCACATTTGGGGCCTATTTATGTGACTGGATTCTTTCATAAAAGAATGGGAATTTGATTTTAATTAAGATGAATAAATACATGTTTTAGAGAAGATGTATTCTGTGCAAAAAGAACCTGATTTCAAAATGCGTGGGATTTTGAAAGGAACTTCATGAAGATTAGTATGGAAACGGCACAGAGTATGTGACAGACAGTGATGGAGTAAACAAAACAACTAAATCTGGAGATATGGGCTGTGTCACTTCGTAATCTATAGCATTTGCTTTCTTTTTTCTATGAGCAATGAGGATTTAATAGGTGTTTGAAAAGCAAAGTGATCATACCAGCTTTGTCCTTGGAGAGATAACTGGCAGCAAAGACACAGCAGGTGGACTAGATTAGGAAGAGTCCAGTAAGGGGTAATGAGAAAAGATAAATTTACCTCATTTCTTTGAATGAGCAAAAGATAAAGTGAGCAAAAAGACAACCTCAATTTTCAGTTCAACTGTATGTTAATTCTTACACTAAGATGCAGATATATCAGTAGTACTTCATATTTCTTGAGTGTATCAGATCATCAACTCCCTTAAAAAAACTGTTACTTTTTATGCAAGCCATAGCTGTTTTTTAAACATTAAAAGTATTAAAGTATTTTAGCTTGAGAAAAGAGGAATTAAAAAATGACAGAGTACACCGTTCATTACTTTGCAATTGTAAAGCACTATATAATACAACCGAAGAATATACTCTTATTAACATGAGAAGTAAAGTGATGACTTTGGGCCTCTGAACATTTGAGTCTCCCTCCTTAATCCATGTAAGCCCTCTATTTTACATTTTTCATCAGACCTATAAAATAGACTCAGACTCATACATAAAATATTTCTTAGCAAAGCCATGTAATGCTTGTGTAAGTGCATTTCATAAGAAGAAAATAAATTTTAAATTGTATTCTAAGTATTGGTTGTTACAAAGTATTAACTACAGAACTCAAAGGTGATGTAAATTTAAATAAACTTTGATATAGATTTTTAATTCATGACTATCTTATGAATTATTATTTATGACTCAGATGCCTCAGTCATAAATTTTTAAATGACCTGTTTCTTGAAGAAAGTTTATTTTGAATAGAATATATCAATCTTCTAAAAATTAACAAGTATGTATTATGTGGTAAATCTGTATAAAATAAAAGAGAAGTATCATAAAAATGATAGTGTTTTTACATTTTCTGATTAATATAACCATCAATTATTTATTGATAAAGCAATTTCCTGTGTTTTCACTTCTAATGCATGGCATGAAAATTTAACCTTTCATTTCCTGCTTGTTTATGTAACTGTTAATTCACTATTATGTTTCCATTTTTCCATTACAAGTTAAATTTAAAAATAACACAATATAAAAAACATTTTATCAGAATATTTAATAGGAATATATTTAATCAATATATCTTTTTAAAATCTAAATAATCTACAGGTTACCTCAGATATTTTATCTATGATATCTTCATAGGGGATTCTCAAATAATTATTTCATTGTCTTATCAACTAGGTCCAAATACCTATATTTAAGTTTTAAGAAAAAAAAATTGTTGCAAAGAGATTAATCTTGCAGAAAAAAAATCACCCTACTGAAAATATGAAAAATAACAGCTGGTAAGACAGTTAAGAAATACTCTGAGGTCACAGACTAAGTAAATGCAGGAAACCAGAGGACTAAAAGGAGCACTATTTCATGCTTACATCTTGTAGATGTTGCTGAATAAGGTGAAACCGAGTTCTGTTTTGAAGGCTTTCTGGGAATGGGGTCAAGAGATAAAACCAAAGGCCTACATGAGGAAACCACTTGACTCTCCCCATGTCATGACAACACCAAAGAGCTACATCATGAGTGTAAAGTATGAACAAAAAATAAATCTCAATTGCAAGGAAACTGAGAAGAAAGTTACTGGTGAAAATTCATAATCACTAGCCTGCTCTGGCTACAGAGTTTTTAGCTTGTATATTTCTTACTGTGTAATCACTAATAAAATGATTAAAAACAAAAATTTTAAAGCAGACAAAACTACAAACAACCAAGTAAAAACTCAAGCTAACAATTTACTTTAAATTAGTTCTATGATGCAGTTACCTTGGAAGAGGTTCTACAAAGCTCTAAATGAATGCTTCTTTAGGTCATTAGCCAAGACCTCAGATAATTCCCATTTATAAATTCATGAGTAATATGATCTTATACATTAAAAAATAATCAGCCAATCAGTGAACTCATAATAACACAAGTCATCATGAGTAAGGGCCCACAAAAATAAGAGAATAAGCACTATAAAGACTTCAGATGGTAAAATTATTTAGCAAAAAATACAAAATACTATTTCATAGGCTAAAATAAACAAAAGAGAATAAAAATGACTACAAAAGCAATCAATTATAAAATAGCCAAGGATATTTGAATAAAAATGTAGTTTATTTAGATATGAAAAATATTGCTTTTTATATGTAAAATCAAGTGGCAGATTAGTGTTGATGACAGAATCAGTGAACTGGAAAATAAATCAATAGGAATCATAGAGTCTAGTAAAAAAATAGAAAAAGATGGAAAACAGAGAAAAGTTAAGAGCAATGGAGGCTGGACTGATGATGAAAAATCTAATTGAATGACAGAAGGTAAAGAAACAATGTATTAAAAGAAATGTTTTAAAAAATGACTGAGAATTTTTTATAATTGATGAAAAACATAAATCTATAGAATCAGGAATCCCAAGCAAATCTGAGGAGGATACATACAAAGAACTTTATCCTTAGGCATGTTAAACTGAAATTGTAGAATTTACTAATAAAATATATTACTTGAAAAGTTCTTTAAAAAATTCAGAGCAAAATAATTCAGATTACCCATTGATATGGTTTGGTTGTGTCCCCACCCAAATCTCATCTAGAACTCTGGCTCCCATAATCCCCACATGTTGTGGGAGGGACCAGGTGGAGATAATTATGGGGGCTGTTACCTCCATGCTGTTCTCATGATAGTGAGCAAGTTCTGACGAGATCTGATCGTTTTATAAGGGGATTTTGTCCCCTTTCGCTCTGCACTTCTTGCTGCTGCCATGTGAATAAGGACGTGTTTGCTTACCCTTCTGCCATGATTGTAAGTTTCCTGAGGCCTCCCCAGCCATGTGAAATTGTGAGTCAATTAAACTTCTTTCCTTTATAAGTTACCCAGTCTTGGGTATATCTTCATTAGCAGCATGAAAACAGACTAATACACCCATAGATAGAAAGATCACATAGTTTATTATCTAATCCAGCACTTTGAGGAGTGAAAGGGAAAGAACCAGTCATTACTTCAGGAAAACTGGCATAAACTGGAGTTGTCCTAGGAAAACTGGACTCTGGTGATCTCCTCTATAAAAAATGACAGTAAGACAGACAGTAATTTCTCCATTGTAAAAATAAAAGCAAAATAAGACAGAATTATATCTTCAGAGTATGGTGAATACATAGCTATTGGTCTAAAAGATTTTATGAACAAAAGGAAAATAAAGCATTTTAAACCAAAGAAAACTAAACATCAGCATACCCTCACTAAAGCAAAGTGAAGACCAATAAGCATTGAAAATAATTTTAGACATAAAAATGATAGTCATTAAAAGTAAGATAAAACTACCACATGTGACCAAAAAGTATAAAATATGAAACTGAGTTTATACAGTTAGTGTTTTAAGTTATTCATTATTAGAGAAGGAATTAAAAATATGGATTAAATTTTGACATCTGTCAATTAGACATTTTAAAATTTCTTAGATGGCCATTAAAGTTACAGAAATTGACAGTACAATTTTTAATCTAGCAGAACAGACCAAGGAAAATATAGAATCTTGTAAAATAAGGCATATGAAATATGACAATACAAAAAGGACAAAGTAGAATAATTAAATCTAAGCTTATTAATACTTGAAATATAGATGAAAAAATGATCTAGTTAGGTGACAAGATGATCAGAACAAATTTTAAGAAAACATCTAGCTGCTCGCTATCAATAGGAGACATTTCTAAAGCCTGAGACTAAAGACATGTTGAAAGAAAAACCATAGAACAAATATGCTAGACAGATACTTATTGCAAGTGTTTTTGTATTAATCATAGACAAAATAAACTTTAAATCCAAAAAGCACTATTTGAAAGACAGCTATCTGGGAGGCTGAAGTGGGAGGATCACTTGAGCCCAGGTGTTCAAGGCCAGCCAAAGCAACATGAGACCCTGTCTCTTAAAAAGTAATTAATATACTTTACTACATTAACACACTAAAAGAAATAAATCATGCCACTTTCAAGTGATGCACAGAAAATACTGGATACATTCAACATCTACTTTTTATGTTAATAACACTGTAGCAAAAAAAGGAGTGGAAAGGAATTTCTCTAAACAGATAAAATTACCTACAAGAAACTACAATTATTACCTTTAATGAAGAACTCTAAAAATGTATTCTGTATAAGATCAGACACAAGATATGTTTTTTCCTTCTACCAAAGGCATTTAAATTCTATTCAGAATATTTTACCTAGCACCATAAAGCAAAACCAAAAACAAAACAAAAAGAACTATTTAAGAGTATATGAAGGGAAAAAATAAGCCTGTCATTATTTGCAAATGATATGTCTATGTAGAAAATCTGAAATAAACTAGTTTAATGATCACAATAAATATGATAGTTTACCAGGATTGAGATTAAAAATATGTATACAAAAATCATATGTTTCTATAGACAAACAGCAACTATTTATAAACTATAATAATGCTAACAATGTGAGGAAAGCATGAGAATGTGCCCATCTGCAAGCCAAGGAGAGAGGCCGCCGAATAAACCAACTCTGCCTTTAGACTTTCCAGCCTCCAGAATAGTGAGAAAATAAATTCCTGGTTTTTAAGATCCTTGATCTGTAATATTTTGTTACAGCAGTTCTAACAAACTAATACGTATGGTAATTATCAAACTTTTTCTTAGGAACTGCCAAACTCTGTTCTATAGTGGCTGCAGCATTTTGTATTCCCATTGACTGACTCTTAAGGTGCAGTTTCATCATTCGTAGGATTCCTAGCATATAGTGAATATTTATTTTTAGTTCTTAATATCATTGTTCAGTGTTATTCAAGGAACATTAATTTTGGATATACATAATATGATATAGTTACATAGCCAACATTCATTATATATTTTCTCCTAGATTTTTAATAAAGCAAACACACATTAGTTTTTTTTTTTTTCACTTTCCACCATAGTATTTAACTAAAGTCATAACAACAGTATGTAAGATGGGTCTTTATTCTGAACAATGTTGTAACCATTTTGCATGTATTCACTTAATTCAAAAAGCTCTTAAAAGGTGATCAATAAAAAGTAACCTTAAAGTAAATTTGTGAAAGATATAAAAAACCTTTAAAAATATAACATGTGCCAGGCGAGGTGGCTCACGCTTGTAATCCGAGCACTTTGGGAGGCAGAGGCGGGCAGATCATGAAGTCAGGAGATTGAGACCACGGTGAAACCCCATCTCTAATAAAAATACAAAAAATTAGCCGGGTGTGGTGGTGGGCGCCTGTAGTCCCAGCTACTGGGAGAGGCTGAGGCAGGAGAATGCTGTGAAGCCAGGAGGTGGAAGGCGGAGTTTGCAGTGAGCCGAGATCGCGCCACTGCACTCCAGCCTGGGCGACAGAGCGAGACTCCATCTCAAAAAATAATAATAATAATAAAATAAAAAATAAAAATATAACATGTACTGAAGAAAATTAAAGAGGCTGTAGCAAATATGGAGAAACACTTCAAATGTATGGATTGAGACTATATATATATTATGTAAATTCTTCCCAAGATCGTCTATCATTCCAAGCAACACTACCTGAAATCCCAACAGATGTATGTGTGTGTATGTGTGTGAGTGTTTAACTTGAAAAACTGATTCTAAAATTTATATTAAAGTGCAAGGATAAAAAAAACCATGGTGCACCTAAATTAAAAAAAAAAAAGATACTTTTAGTTTGATGTAGCCCCGCTTGTTTATTTTTTCTTTGTTGCCTGAGATTTTGCTGTGATAGTCATAAAAATCATTGCCAAGGCCAAAGTCAAGAAGCTTATCCTCTATGATTTCTTCCAGGAGTTTTACAGTTTCAGAGATTACATTTAAGTCTTTCATCCACTTTGTGTTGATTTTTGTGGATTGTGTAAGATAAGGATCCAGTTTCATTCTTTTGCCTGTAGATAATCCAGTTTTCCTGAAACAATTTATTAGAGATTATCTTTTTTCTCATTGTGTATTCTTGGTGCTTTTCTCAAAGTTTAGTAGATGGTGTGTTTCTCGGGTTTTATGTCTATGATCTATATTATATTCCATTGGCCTATGTGTCTTTTTTTATGCCAGTACCATACCCTTTTGATTACTGCAGCTTTGCAACATAATTTAAAATCAGAAAAATCTTCTGCCTACCGAAGGAAACAATCAAGAAAATAAAAAAGGCAACCTACAGACTGAAAATTTATTTGCAAACCATATATCTAATAAGGGGTTAATTTCTAAAGTATACAAGGAACTCACACACTCAATAACAAAAATATCTGATTATAAAATGAGATGATTAGAAAAGGATCTGAATCAACATCTTCCAAAGAAGAAATAAAAATGGCCAACAGTTATATGAAAATGTGCTCAATATCACTAACCATCAGAGAAATGCAAATGAAAACCACAGTAAGGTTGGTTAGGATGACCATGATAAAGAAGATAAGAGATAAATGTTGGCTTTGTTGTGAAGAAAAGGGAACCTTTGTACACTGTTGGTGGGAATGTAAATTGCTACAGCCTTTATGGAGAACAGTATGGAGAGTCCTCAACAAGCTAAAAATAGAACTAACATACAATCCAGCAATCCTTTTTCTGGGTATGTATGCAAAGGAAATAAAATCAGTACCTTGCAGACACATCTGCACTCCCATGTCCATTATAGCACTATTCACAATAGCCAAAATATGGAAACAACCTAAGTGTCTGTCAACAGATGAATGGGTAAAGACATTGTTATATATATCACTAATCTCTCTCTCTCCATATATGTGTGTGTGTGTGTATATGTGTATCTATATATACATAATATATATGGAATATTCAACTTTGAAAAAGAAGGTCCTGTCATTTGTGACAACATATATGAATCTGGAGGACATTATGCTAAGTGAAATAAGCCAGACCCAGATAGAAAAATACTGAATGACCTCACTTATATGTGGAGTCTAACAAAATTAAATACACAGAAATAGAGTGTTGAACTGTGGTTATCAAGGGCTTGGAGGGGAGAGTTATGGGGAGATGTTGGTCAAAAGTAGGAAGTTGTAGTTATATAGAATGATTAAGTCTAGAGATCAATGTACAGCCTGATCATTATAGTTAATAATGTATAATGAAAATTTGCTAGGAGTGTAGATTTCAGTTGCTTATACTACAAAAAAAAACTATGTGAGGAGATGGTTATGTTAATTTGCTTGACTATAGTAATAATTTCACTATGTATATATACATCAAAATGGCATGCTTTACACTGTATATATACACACACACAATATTACAAAAAGGAAGAATAACTTGACTTACATGGCAAAGGCATAAATATGTAATAATTAAGAGTGCAGAATTAGTACAATCAAAGACACATAAGGAAATACAAAATAGAGAATCTGAACAGAGGACTGTGTATGTATGGATACTTGACATAGAACAGAGGTGTTATTGCAGAAAAACTGGAAAAGGACAAACTCCATGGTGTGTAAGAGCTGGCCTGCTCTGGCTTGTGAGAGATAATTACAAAATTTTCAGGAATGTGTAAGTCAATTATTAAACATACTAATTAAAAATTAAATTATATAAATAAGCAATAAATTATACTAAAACCAAAGTTAATAAATACTTAAAACCTAACTTTCTACTTATTTGGCTGTATTTTACTATTATATATGTTTTGATGTCATTTACTTCTCTTGTATTTGCATGGTAAAAATAATAGATAATGGTATATCACTGTTCATCATTGCTCGACTGTTTCATCGATGTCATGTTAATATATTGAAATCAGCATTGTTAGGTGGATTTACACCATTGAAATTGGCAAACACTACAATAAGGTATTTTCCCCTCTGGCAAGTCAGTTGTTAAACATTTAATAGCACAGCACTGGACAGCCCTTTTCTGTAAGTGGTGCTGAGACAAATGGACAAGCTTATGAAAATGATTAATTTGGCTCACTATCACTATGTCACATTATATGCAATATCTTTGTGGAATAAAAACCTAAAAGTAAGTGATAAACATTAAATCTCAAGTCCTCAGTATAAGGATTTATGAAACAAAACACAAGCACTGACTATAATGCAAATCTGACAGACTCAATTGCAGTGCAGTTAAAACTAGTTCACAAATACTACAATGATTAGTGACAGAGTAAGAGAAGATACTTACAAAAATCTACATGAACAAAAGAAATGACAGAGGATGGGATGAGGAAGGATCACAAAGAAGACATATTTTTAAAATATCTTGAATATTTAGAATTCAACAGCTCTCTGTGCAATGCCACTGTACAAAGGTATATATGATTAAGAGTTAATATTTTATTAAAAAAGAAATATTTTCATTAAGTCTTCTTCAATGACGTACTAACTAATGAATAAGTGTGCTTAAACCCAAAGGACTCATAAACATCTACTAAGCGGGGGAAGAAATCTAATATGCTGAAATGCTGATAACTATTCATGTAATTCACAATGTACTCTTCACAAATTAGAGAAGGGTTGCTGTGACTTCTTAATGAAATGTTACTATGTTTTAGATATCGGAAACAGACAGTTGGGGAAAAAGAGCTACGGGTAAATGTTGAATATACTTATCCTGACTTCTATTCATGATTTAACTAAATCCGGTTTCCTTAGGAGGAGAATTTGAATATATGTGTATTTTTCCCTAAATCCTTTTACTCTAGTGTAATAAAATACAAGTGTGTATGCAGATTCAGTTCATCACTGGGAATTGAAAATCTCTCATTTGCAAAGAGAGTAGGATGTGAAATGCTAGCAGTTTTCAGAGTTAAAATTCCTTAGAGAGGAACTAAGAGACAAAGAATTTAAGAACTGTAAAAGACCTTAGGGATAATCTCTTTTAATCACTCCTGTTACAGATGCCAAACCTTGTCTGCAAAGATGAAGTTACTTACCCAACGTCACCTAGCTAGCCAGTGACAATGTAATAGCCTTTGATATGAACCAGTGCATTTCAATGTTAGAGTTACAAATGAATAACTTGAATTCATGTCAGAATCTGATTCCCCAATGCAGTTTTTACATGACTGATTTCTGTAAACATGTTTTAGAACAATATTATGTCTACAGTTAAAAACAGATAAGACCAATGCAATGGCCTGAAAGAATACAGCTTCTATTCTAGTTAAGCAACATAAAAGGATTCACCATTTCAGGACTCCTCAAAATAGATGAGTTAACATTTATTCTGCTGTGAAATATTATGTCTGAGGAATTTCACCACAAAATACAAATTTAAAACATCATTGCATACAATCTGTACAAAGTATTTACAAGCCCCAGTAGCAAGTAGAATATTATGTGTCATGTGTGTACATGGGCCACTCTTTGCTTGATGGTGTATTTGCTAATTCAAATGCAAGGCTCATCACTGCCCTTAGGGAGCTCAGTGTACTGTGAGGCCACAGTCAATACTGTAATAGATGCTTACAGCAGAGCCTCCTGCTGCTGGGAAAGCTTGAGCCATAGGTCTTTCACCTATTCCTTGTTGAAGGCTGCCCTGGGGAGAGGGAAGATGAGTTGAGTTCTCTGAGAAAAAGTAGAGGTTAGCAGCTCAGCTTGGTTAGGATGGGAAAGGAAGATGCATTCCAGGCCCAGGTATCAGGAGGTTGAATGTGGCCAGAGCTCAGGGAACCTGGGAGCACGTGGAACAGTGGGAAGCTGGCACAAAAGGGCAGAGGGTAAACCATGAAGAGTCCTGTAGAGCATTTTAGATGATTCTGGTTTTTATTTCAAGAGCAAGAGGAAGTCATTAGTGTGTTTTAGATAATAAGAGTCCATGTCAAATATTCACTTAAAAATAATCACTCACAATCACTGTGAACTTGGAAAAAGTTACGTGCATCTATATCCTTGCTAATAAAATGATGAGTACCGTATAAGATTCAGAGCAAAGACTATTACATAATGCTTAATCAATAAATGTAAATATATTTCTGGAATATTCTGAAATTTTAATTTCTGAGCAATAGTTTTAAAAACATTGTATTTAATCTCTTCTCCTTCTCTATCTGTCACCCGGACTGGGTGCCTAGCACAATACTCTGTTTCTGGTGAACCTCTGAAGATGCTGCTGATTGACTATTACTCAAACAATCAGTTCATCTGGGTTAAAATTCTTCGGTTAAAATATACAGATTGGTGTGCTTTTGATGAGCATTGTTCTCTCCTCAACCAACCTCCTCACTCTCCGCCCTCGCCCCGCCCTCCACCACACATCTTTTCTCTTTTTAAAGAAGATTGACAGCTTCTTTAGGCACTGTTCTGCTCAATGAAGTAAATAGTTATATGGGTAATTCTTTGAAATGCCTGTGAAGTACAGTAGCAGTTTGAAGCCAACCTTTTTATTGGTAAATTATGCATTTACTAAATCTCTTCAAAACTGGTTCTTGGTTGCCAATAATTGCACTTCCTTTCCAGTGCTTTCAATTTCCCTGAAACACAGTGCTGTTCTGACAAGAGAACACAATTTGTAAAAAACAAAAAACAAAACAAAAAAAAAAACAAAAAACAAACCAACCAAAACAAAACCATACCCTGGTGCCTGTATTTTCTTTTACCCTGCCACCTTGTGAAAGGAACCTGAAACTGCAATTCCATCAATTCCAATTCATTTAACAGTTTGTCAATAAATTTCCTGAACAAGATATCAGATTCTCAATAACTTCTGAAATTATTTTGTGCAGCAGTTTCCAAAACAGTGTCCCTGTTTACTGTATTTACTAAGCAACAGGTCTTTAGGGGTCTTTCTATTTTACTGTGGACAACAGAGACTAGGAGCTGTAAGCAGACGAGGAGACCATATATCTCCTACAGGGGAATGCCTTGCTTCAGGGTCCTGCATATGAGGGGAACACCTTTCATACATCAAGGCTTAGGTTCAGGAACATGGGGTTTTTGGTATTGTTCTACTGAAAGATGTCTTAGAATTGCTCTTTAACCAAGAATACATTATTCGTATTTGAATTTAACAATCTAATTTTTCCTCTGAAGATATTCAGAATTAGATCTAGAAACTAATGATATAATAAGAAAATATTGAGTATAACTTTGCATAGGCATTAGATTTTAAAAGGAGAAAGTTGTGTAGCTTTGTAATGAAAATAAGTAGCTAAGAGAGTTCAGAAATTTAAATGCTGTATTAAATTTGAATCCCATTTTCTACCTTTGTTTGTCTTGGAGGCAATCATTTAAAAATAGACTTTTAAAAGATATATAGCCTCTAATTAACCTATATTTTTATTATGTGGATTCCAAGTACTTAGTTTTCAAAAATCTGTATATATTCCGAAGTGTTATAACAATGGGTCTTGGGCTTCAATTTTGTAAAATGGTTACAATTTACATCTCACTTTCAGAAAGCTTTTTAATGTTACATTTCTCCTTTCAACCCCCTGCTAAGTAAAATAAATGGATTCACATTAGGGTTCTGACCTGTTTTAAGTGTTCGCTTTCTGAAGTACTATTCTTTACATAGGCACTAATAATAGTTTTATATTTAAATTACCAAATAGTGACTATGATTTACCATTAGCCAAATGATACTCTGAGTTTGTTAGACACTCCTTCAGTGTTGCATTAACTCCTTTAGTTATTACTCATTAAACCTCCATAATGTTGAAAATCACTAGAGGAAAAACATCTATTAGAAAGTTTCTTGATCTATTTTTTTTTTTATTATTTACTATAAGCACAGGTGCAATTTTGCCACAACTGAAGTCTTAATACATGACTTGAAGTAGAATAGAAGAGTCCTTGGTAGACATTATCTCCATCTTCCTGTCCCAGCATCATAATGTAGGAAAATCCGGGTTCTTGTCACACGACCAGGAAAGATTAGGCTCGCAGACACTTTGAAGGGTGAGGGGGATGGAATTATTGGGCAAATAGGTAAAAGGAAAAACAATGCAGCAAAGCGATAGAGGGGTTCCTGTTAACAGACCCTCATCTCCCAGATTGAATCCCAGGTTCCCACAGGGGAACAGGAGGGCCAGGCTCCTCCCCTCTGCAAATGGCAGGAACTTCCATGGCTCCACCCTGTTCTCCCAGTGCGCAGATTTGTTGGAGGTTCTCCGGGGACCCGTTTATACTTGGCTGTCTCATTAATGGCACTGAAAGTGACAATGACAGATCAAAGGAGGAGGAGGTGGGGAGACGTTCATCCCAGCTGGGAGGAGTATTTATGCTGGCATTGTTTAGAATTCCTCATAGATGGTGATGATACACACTAGAGCAGCTTTTAAATGGGTTTTTATTATTGTTATTCAATACTGGACAGGAAACGCTCCGTGTTGGAATGCTACTGAAAAGATATAATACTGGTTTATAACCTCTTAAATGTGAAAGTCCCAGACCTTGACAATACTACCTTCCCTATCCTTATTCCTCTTCAAAAAGGCATAGCTTAATAAAGTGGATACCTATTGCAGTTAGTGTGTGGACCTTGCTGGAAAAATCTTGCCTTCCTACAGAAAACACGTCCCAAATGGCCAAGGAATGCTTTGAGACCCTTCATCTCTGGCTGTGTTTGGATAGCACAGTGATTTAAATTTGACTCAAACTCTGCAAATCAAATACTGCCTCCTGAGTATAAAACTGGTATAGAGAATCATCCAAAGAAAATATATATATCCAAAGATATATATCCAAAGAAAAAAGACTTAGCATCTTCTACCTACAATATGAACAGATGGAAAAGCAGAATGACCAGGACTAAAAAATGAGAATACAATAAAATAGATATTTGAAAATAAGTCACGAATACAGGTAAAGGGTAGTGGCATCTTTGTGGTTTTGAATTCTGAGATATCTACCATGCCCTTTCTTCTCCCTCTAACACACACAGGTATGTGTATATACCTTATTTAACTTATCCCTATTTGCTTTAACTGGTTTCTGTCAAGAGTAAGCGTAGTTATCAACAATAAGTGTAAATCTTTGAAAAATATGTTTTTCTTATTTTCAGATTAATTTTTATTGGATTCTATAAGGCACATTCTTGATATCCAGTAACTGCTTTTCATGTATTCTGTTTTTAGTTATATTTTTGTTGTCCTTTCTCCCAAATTTAGTTTGTTGTTAGATCAAAACATGAGTCGTTTTTGGAGCAGACAACAGTTTGTATCTTAGCCCCATAATATTTTCCTTCCTGATTACCACATTCTTTATGCTTTACATTATGTCTTAAAGCTAACATCTCTGTTTTCATAATTTTCTATCATTGCTTGCTTTATATGGTATTTTAATGAGGAATATACTAATGTCCTCATGGATAATGGACTGTAGTAGCAGTTTGTCAAACTAAATCCTGGGGCTCAGAAGATGTAATTCTCTTAAAGACATATTGTACACATAGAGAATGGTTTATTAACCACTAAAATGTTGAAGTTAACTTTTAACGGCCCCACTCTAACTTTACCTCTCTTAAGATATGTATCATTTCTTTTTGAATTTAATTTTTATAGAGTATTATCATTTTGAAACTGATATTCTTCATTTCAGTTTATATTGTATATGTATGTATATATGTATATATATATATATATCTCCACAATTGATCTAAATTATTGAAATTTATTGATAGAAAAACATGTAAAATCTACTATAAAATATTGCCTCTGTAGTTTATTCTTGATTATAATGCCCACCCAGTTTTACTCATTACTAAACAAATCATCTTAAATGCAATTATTAGATTTTTCCCATTCCCTGCCTCCCCCATTCCAAGTTGTACAGAAATCAATGCACTTCATCTGTCTCATAAATCTCAGCAAATCAGAGGCCTTGGCCTAGAGTTGAGCCATACACCATATTTTAGAAGTAAATACATTCCTAAACATATTGTTTCAGTCTGTTTTTCTTTATTCCCAGCCAATTCGAATCCTTGCTAAGGGAGAATGCGGTGATAAGAAACCAGCAGGATTTATTTATTTATTTATTTATTTATTTATTTATTTTTATCTAATTATTGTTAACAGGCACAGTAGGCAAGATCTTCCCACTGCAACCTGGAAGACAGGGGTGGAGGCAGCTCCCACTCAACGAGAGAGCACGTAGGGGTACCTATACTAGCCCACCGTTGTGGCTGAGACTTAAAACTGCCCCACAGCCTAGTATTTTCCTACCCAATTCTCTTATCACTCTCTGCTTTCACTGGTGCTCTGTCTGCACTATGATCACAAAGTTCTTCCTGCCTGCTCCTGCTCCATTCCCTTTATCTTCTGGGTGTTTCTTCCACTATAGCAGCTCTTTTGCATGACTAATATCCTGTTATCTGCTTCTGCAGGACTCAAACTGACCCACTGATTACAATAATTTAGAGAAATTTTAGTGATAAAAATGTAGTATATTAAGAAAAGTGCCTCTGTTGTTGTCTGGAGAATTCAGAATACTTCTAAAGGTGTTGAGTCTTAGGTGGAACTTTAGACGTGAATGAGATTAGGTGAAGGATGGCAAATAGAAGAAAGTCTAGGTATTAGCCACAGGGGGGAAACAGAGTGAAAAATAATGACAACTAATGATCTCTGGTGCCAAAGATACTGACTACAAGTTGGTGAACTGTAAAATTTGATAGACAAGGTGTGTGACAGGTGAAGGGGCTGCTAAACTGGTAGAAAAATGTGGATTCCTGCAATAGGTGACATTTTCAATAGTTTTGGGGCTTGTATCACATGTGACTCTCGAAAGTAAAAATTAAGCAGTGATTTATGATTTAGATAGTCTGTGAAACAATGGCCTTTTAGTCATAATATTGCATTTATTTTCATCTGTATCTCACCGACATTATTTGTTATAAGCCTAAAATAGATTTTTTAAAGTAACTTTAATCAAATCAATGATAGGAACGATATTAGCGATATGGTAAAAATTATAAGGATGAAAAGCACATTACTCAAGATCAGGATACATTTAAAAAAACCAAGAACAAAATTGTTTCTTAGGCTGCTAAGCAACATAATAGAGCTGAAATTTAAAGTGAAGAATTTTTTTTGTCCCAAATTTGCAAAGCAGGTTTGTGGTGTGAGTGACGCAAAGTAAGAGGATGTTGAGAGTCTGGATAAAAATGGTGACAGCAGTGGGAAGTAGATGAGGCGATCAATATGTGAACAATTTATATATTTTTAAAAAAGGTAAAGGAAGGCCAGGCACGGTGGCTCATGCCTATAATTCCAGCACTTTGGGAGGCTGAGGCGGGCAAATGGCCTAAATTCAGGAGTTGGAGACCAGCGTGGCCAACATGGTGAAACTGTGTCTCTACTAAAAATAAAACATAAAAATTAGCTGGGTGTGGTGGTGCATGCCTGTAGTCCCAGCTACTCGGGAGGATGAGGCAGGAGAATTGCTTAAACCCAGGAGGTGGAGGTTGCAGTGAGCAGAGATCACGCCACTGCACTCCAGCCTGGGGACACAGCGAGAGTCCATCTCAAAAAAAATAAATAAATAATAAATAAAATAAAAGGTAAAGGTGAATGAACTGTGCCCAAAACACCAAATGTCTCTTATGAGGTAGGTATAACACTAGTGCCCTGGAGATAATGGCTTATTGAAGAAAAAGACTATTTAGGAGGGAGAAAGTGAGATCACTAGGGCGTGATAGTGTTCATGATGATGCAGCCTCCAACAAATGTACATACTTAATTCTCTTTAAGTATTAGGATTCCTTCCCATTCCAGGCAAAACTTCAGTGAAAATAGAGCAACATGTAAACATAATCTGGTGAAGTGTTTATTTATTATAAATATTTAAAATACTTATCTCTAAAATTCTAAAACATCGAGGCAAGAAAAATTTTTTTTTAAATATCAGAAAAAAAAAACAACAATACTGAAAGGATGTTTCCTGCACAAAGACAGTTGAAACTCACATCTGTTGAGCTGTGGTTTTGAGACGTAGAAAGCATCAGTAGTGGAGACTCCACTGATCCATTTATTTATATGTGATCCTTGTCAAGACACTTGCTGGTACTGAGCCTCAGTTTTCTCATTTATAAAAAAGTATGATGATAGGCCAGGCACAGTGGCTCACATCTGTAATCCCAGCACTTTGTGAGGCCGCCGTGGGCAGATTACTTGAGGTCAGGAGTTGGAGACCAGCCTGGCCAACATGGTGAAACCCCCTCTCTACTGAATATACAAAAAATTAGCTGGGTGTAGTGGCGCATGCTTGTGGTCCCAGCTACTTGGGAGGCTGGAACATGAGAATTCCTTGAGCCCAGGAGGTGGAGGTTGCAGTGAGCCAAAATCATGCCACTGAACTCCAGCCTGGGAGACAGAGAAAGACTCCATTTTAAAATAAATAAATAAATAATTAATTATAATAAATGGAAATTTTTATAAGAAATATAGACAATGAGTATAAATGATTGGCATAATTCTTGGCAAATATCTGATAGCTATAAATATATTGTAAATATATTTTTGACCCAGTAACATTATGCCAGACCAAGATACTTTCCAAATCAACAGAAAGACATTCTGAGTTTCAAGAGCTTGCAAAGCATACCTTTTCTTCACACTTCTTACAAAATAGTCAATGAAGAAACACTCTATTCAGTTAATAAAATAATTACATTTAAGAGAAAATAATAGAAAAAAATGTGATAAACTCTTGATGAGCATTGAAGCCAATTAATTAATGATAGTGTTAAGTATAAAATACTAGTTATAAATATGATTATCAAGTGAAAATGACTAGTTATAAATACAGTTGTCAAGTGAAAATAAATATGGTTGTCAAGTAAAATTTACTATGAGAAAACCATTTCTAAAATATACAAAACATAAAAATAATAATTTAATAACAATAGCAGGATCTAAAAATCCAGAGTACATTTTAAAATGATGGGGAGGAAAATATTAACAGAATTTTTATACTACACAAAAAATTTAAAAGATTCAATTTAATCTTTGATATTGATAATTGGAAAAAATAAAAGTATAAATCACACACGCAAATATACACAGACATTTAATTATGTCAAAAGTAATAAGCTCTAAAAGCTAGGTATTTTCCAGGAAAATTATAGATATTCTGAAGGGAATGCTTGTGGCTATCACTGTTCCCACTCATAGTACACAATTTCTGCTAAATGATTTGTTTCATACTATAAACAATATTATTAAAAAACTTTCCTACATCAAATAGATATTGGTATCTAAGTATCCAATGACATTGCAGAAAGTCACAAGCTTGGTCAAAAGAAGTATGTAAGGGCTAGCTCTTCTAGCTCTTCCAGTCAACCCTAAAATTTGTTTTATACCATGATCTATTTCAGCATTCAGAAACTCACCGTCTATTTCAGTATTCAGAAATTCACCAAAATGTATTGTAAATTCATTGTGTAGGCATGGATTTAAAATTACTCCACTTGACCAAATAAAAATTATCCATATATATATGGAGACACGGTCTCGCTCTGTCTCCAGGCTGGAGTGCAGTGGCATGATCTCAGCTCACTGCAACCTCTGCCTCCTGGGTTCAAGCAATTCTCTGCCTCAGCTTGCCTAGTAGCTAGGATTACAGGTGCTCACCACCATGCCCAGCTAATTTTTGTATTTTTAGTAGAGACAAGGTTTCACCATGTTGGCCAGGATGGTCTGTATCTCTTGACCTGGTGACCCACCCGCCTTGGCCTCCCAAAGTGCTGGGATTATAGGCATAAGCCACCGTGCCTGGCCGAAACAAAATTCTTTAAAGAACATCTCTTACATACTATACCTCTGAAAATCTAATTCTGTCAGGTTTTAGGTTGGAAGAGTAAAAACAAACAAATGGATATCTCCATATTTTACACTTCTTTGCTCTGTTCTATCTTTCAAGTTCTCTAATAAAGATATGCATTTAACTACATTTCAGTGAAGATTTTGAGAGGATTATTTTTCAACCCTTTAAAAGACAAATTATCCTTCCTATGAACTAATCACTGTATACAATAAGATTGGAATTCAGCAAATTCAAGGTTGGTAAGCAAAACAAACTTGGCTGATAAAAGAGTTAATAGATTGCTAAGGAACTATCCGGTTTAAAATGCATACTTGTATGTTCGGCCTTGATTTAGTGGTAAGTTTGGGTAATGATTAGGTATTACATAATCTTTCAATTCGTCCACTTTTATAAAAGACTTTATAATATTTGTTTATAATTCCTTAGGATCAACATATTTTCTAGATAGGCTTTAAAATGTTAAATATTTTATCTTATTTTCCAAATTGAATTTCTGAAAATATTTTTAAATTTAATTTTAATTCTGTATGGTATTTCAAAAAAATCCATCTTATTTTTAAGCTGACTTTTTTGTAGAAATAATTTGATATTAAAGAGAGTTTTAACTTGCTAACCATTCACTCAGGACATTTAACTATAAATGGTTGTTAGGTAACTCAATCTAGTCTATGAATTTCAGCAAGTAGCTTATGTTCCATGGAATCCAGTGATTACTAGCTAAGGAAGGTATGAATTATTTCCTTTGATGAAGAAACATTTTAAATACATCTTCAATTGTTTGAATTATATAGTCTTTGAGAATGAAGACTCCTCTTGGGCATTTTAATTAAAACTTCAAATAAGCAATGAGAATGTCAATTTGATGAGCATTCATAGCATTTGGTGGAATTTTGGATAATGAAACAAATATTAAATATGCTTTTTTTTCTTAGAAACGTCATCCTTCTTCTATCATGGCTTTGAATAACCTTGTCTTCTTCAGTTCTCTTTTCATCATCTTTTTTGAATTTAAAAATATTACTTCAATTATTTTCATTAGGTAACTCGCATTTCTAAGAGAAAATGAAGCCAAAAATCTCAAAGAAGCAATGAAAGTCAACTAACTTTTGGTGTTTGTTTATATCAAGATATATTGTATGCCTAAATCTTTGATAAACAAAGAAATCAGTTGGTATCCTTCTCCACATCTGTAAAATTTGCTTGGTTGAAGTCTTGGAGGTTGAGTAAAGGCCAAATGGGAGCAGAGGTTCAATAAACCAAATATATAAATCCCAGAACTGATTTCTGTACAGTAAAATCTAAAATGTAAATAGTCAGATAGAAAGTCATCACCTCTGGAAATGTTTTTGTCCCATAGTGATAATGGCTGCGTAAATAAGAGTATGTTCATATTTTTTTCTTGTTTTTCTTTCACATTATGCTTTCTTCTATGATCATTCCTTTATATTTTTAAATCACTATTTTTTATTTCAATAGTTTTGGGGGTACATATGATTTTTGGTTACATAGTTAAGTTCTTTAGTGGTAATTTCCGAGATTTCAGTGCACCCGTTACCCGAGCAGTGTACACTGTACCGAATAGTCTCTTATCCCTCACATTCCTCCCAATCTCCCCAACTCCGAGTCCCCAAAGTCCGCTATATCATTGTTATGCCTTTGCATCCTCATAGCTCAGCTCCAACGTATAGGTGAGAAAGTACAGTATTTGGTTTTCCATTCCTATAATCACACTAATTGGAGCACCAACATTAATTTTGCCTGTCGTTGCCACAAAAGTGATTACTAAAATGTTAAAACCTGTAATTATACATTTGATTATGTTTTATACAGTTAGTATAATATATAAGAACTAAGGATGAATTAAGAGTCAAACCACAGTTTGCAAATAATTGCTGAAACATTGGGATAGTTACCATCACAACTTTCAAGTAAGAAAAAGAAAGCTAACTAAATTAGCATCATTTCACATTTCATATATAGACAATTGGATTTTATTCCATTTATATTAGCCAGAAAGTTAACTTATGTATAAATTAGGGGGTATTCAAACTTAAAAACTAGATGAGCTTTGATTAGAAACAACTGATGTAAAAGTTCAGAAGAATTTTTTTTTAATTTGCTTTTTTTAAATTAAGTTTCTAGGGTACATGTGTACAACGTGCATGTTTGTTACATATGTATACATGTGCCATGTTGGTGTGCTGCACCCATTAACTCATCATTTACATTAGGTATTTCTCTTAATGCTATCCCTCCCCCCTCCCCTCTCCCCCCACCCCACGACAGGCCCCGGTGTGTGATGTTCCCCACCCTGTGTCCAAGTGTTCTCATTGTTCAGTTCCCACCTATGAGTGAGAACATGCGGTGTTTGGTTTTCTGTCCTTGTGCTAGTTTGCTCAGAATGATGGTTTCCAGCTTCATCCATGTCCCTACAAAGGACATGAATTCATCCTTTTTTTATGGCTGCATAATATTCCATGGTGTATATGTGCCACATTTTCTTAATCCAGTCTATCATTGATGGACATTTGGGTTGGTTCCAAGTCTTTGCTATTGTGAATAGTGCCGCAATAAACATACATGTGCATGTGTCTTTATAGCAGCATGATTTATAATCCTTTGGGTATATACCCAGTAATGGGATGGCTGGGTCAAATCATTCTTTAAACAAATATGGCACATATTTCTATATAGATGCCTTGAACAGAATTACAAATTAATTTATAGTTTTACTACAGTTTGTAGTGAAACATGATGTTTCTTGTTTTCATCCCTTGGAATATTGAACATAGGTACTGCTTCTGAAAACAGTGGTGGGGAAATCACTGGGGGCTAAAGGCCTCCTTTTAAAGAGAGAGGCTTTAGGAGACACACATTGAAATGTAAGATGATGAATGGAGGTTCTGAATATGAAATGCTGAAACACGTTTCCTAAGCACAGTAGAGAATCCCAAATTGCACTCTTAAAAGGTACCACTATAAAAACAATTAAACCCTTCCTTATCTATACATGGATATGTAGCAAAGACACATTTTCTTTCAAATTATCTTTACGTTGGGTCAGTATCTGGCTTACTGTTGAAAAAATAAGTTCATTGTGTGTGGTAGTTTTTATGTTTCAATGAAAGCCTTCATGCTATAAAGTAACACTCTCAAAGAACAGCCTGTCCTCAGAGACTTGAGCTGTCTAGAAGATTTTTTACCGTGTATTCTGATGAGCCTATTCACTTGGAAATATTTAAATGATATAAACTCATTAACTCTAGAGGGTAGCAATTTCATGGAAAGAAATTCATTTTTTTAATGTATTGGAGGTATTCAACAGAGACTTTTGGTGGGTATTATCTTTGTTTTTGACTCTCTTGAGGGTGACTGGGAGTGTGTGTCTGTGTACATATCATTAGATGGTTCTTCATGAATAAGCATTTTGAGTGTGTGAGAAGCACTTGAATGAGAGTCAGATTTTGTAATATTGTAGAAAGAAATATATCCCATCCACCATTCTAAAACATATATGTCACCAGAATCCTGTCTTAATAAGTACCTGTAAATGATAATTCATTTTCCTTTCCTATTTATACAATTACTTTTATATTGAGTAGATTAAAATTCAACACGTTGATTTGAAATGAGTATCAGTTTCTTCTAAGTCCAAGTATATTTAAAACTCAACTAAGGAAAGGCTGTAAAGCTCTGGAAAAAGCAGACTACCTCTATCCATCTTCTGCAGTAGGATTTAACTAAATAACAAACACCCCTTTTTATAGATAATTATCAGAGTCTAAAGTTCTATATTTTAATTATATGCTTCTGGGTGGGATTTTTACTTTGTGAGCACTCAGGAAATGCATATTAATTTTAACATCTCATAATGATATTATTAGGAACTCCAAGAGTCGCCTAGTTTGAGAATCATACATAGGGTATTAACCAAGGAAGACTGGCAGACCAGGAAAATCTTTCAAATTTCTTTTGGAGTTCCTACATTATAACATCTTTAAAACTCCACAGTAACATACTAGCTTACTCATTCGTTTGGCTTATATATGCCATTCATTCATTCATGTATTCATGCAAGATGCAATTATTGGTTACTTGTCATATGTGCATATTGAGTGCTTGTCATATTGTAAAACACTGTGGTAATTGTTGAGACAGGACAATAATGATTTAAAGCTATAATGAATTAAACCTCACTTACCCAAATATATGGTAATAACTTGTCAATTAAAATTCCTATTACTTTAATATTTTCTCAAAACATCTGATCCTTTCCTTGCCCTATTCAAAAACTGCCAATAATTACTTCTATACCTCTCTCTCTCGGCACAAGCAATCGCTGAGAGTAGAAAGTCAAGCCTTACCTTCATAATTTGATGCCCAGCATCTATTTCCAGGCAAATGTTTTCTATTATTTTTCTTCACTTTACATTATCTAAATTAAACTGCTTATTTAGTTAATTGGTTTTGGAGTCCTATAGAAATGGCCTTACCAGTCTCATTCCATAGCCAGTGATTCTTGAGTACATTACTTGGCTTCACATGAAGCTGGATGCTACCTAACTCATAAGTTTACTGCAAAGAGCAAATAAAGAAACACATAAAGAAAAATGACTGACACAGGGCAGATGCACCATGTATCTTAATGCCAAGCACAGTATTTATTGCAGGGAAGTGTACATATTTATGAGTGTGTATTGAACTCACATAACCTGGGTCAAACTGCCTCTGCCACTTACTAGTTTTGTGAACCTGCATAAATTACTTAATAACCCCAATGCTCATTTTTAAAGTGAGAAAATTATGGTACTCATCTCAAATGTTTTCTGTGAATATTAAACATATAAATTAACATGTTTTCTGGAACACAGCACTCAAGGATGTTGTTTAAAATAACATGTATGTTATGTATTGTCTTAATCGTTGTTACTATTTCCATTTCCTCTTAATATAAACTGTGCGTTCATATCTTCAGGTCTTTCTTCCCATCATTGCTCTTCCTAGAATATACTGATATTCTTTAGCGATCTTATTCATAGCTCAAAGTTTTGAGCCTCTGAGTCTCTCAGCTACATATGAGTTATCTTTTCTAACTTCCTAAACTACTTTATCCAGAGGACCTTTCTTATGACATGTTTTAGTTCTTATATGGTTGTGTAGATATTTTCAATATTACTTATGGGATGTGTCAGACATAGAAACAGCTATAAAGAATAACAAAATGATCGTCGGTGTTCCCATTGCCCAAATAAAGAAATACAATTTCTGTCCATCAAGAGATGCTATAAGAACATAAAAGCATTGGAAAAGACAACAGACTGGTTGAAGATATTTGCAACTAACACAGCCATCTGAAGCCACTGCATATCCTTTATTCACTCAGGTTGCCATATAAAATACAGGATGCCCAGTTAAATTTGAATTTCAGGCAAAGCACTAATAATGTTTTAGTGTAAGTCTGTACTAAATACTACATTCCTCACCCTTCTCAAATGTAACCTCTCTCCTAAATTTGTCATTCATCATCTCCCTGAATTTCTTTATCCTTTTACTAAGTTCATGTATTGTCAACTACCACATAATAGTTTTATGTGTTTTAGATGACAAATGGTAACATAGTGTATGCATTTTCTGCATCTTGCTTGCTTTTCTTTCTCAGCACTTTTTGCAAGATGCTTCCAGATTTATGGGTATTTAGGTTATTTCTGTATTTTTGTCATTATTAACAGTGCTAATGTGGACATTGTATAAATGTGTACATTAAAGTTTCTCTAGGGATTATATTCAATTTTTCTCTTGTCACAACCCTACGTTGAGTCCTGGAAGTCTGACATGGACTTCACCAGGGGGCTTCCTTGTCCTGGCTGCTCACTGGCCAGTGGAAGGCAGCTTCCCAGAGATCAGGCAAGAGAATGAAGCTAGGTTATTTATTCCCTGGGTTCCTTCCCTCCTGAGTCAGCTCACATCGCTGTTTTCCCTTATTGAGAACCACAGCTACTGTTGCCCGACCTCTTTACAGCTACCATAATTTCTTCTGGTTTCAGTAGCCTGTCTCTGCATTTTCCAGTCTAGAGCTAGTAGTGATTCCTGTTGACCTTAGCCCTGGGATACTAAAATCCTATTGTATGTTGATTTCTCTTAAGCCTGCCTAAAATTTTATACATAATCCATTTATAAAGTTATCTCTAGGCCAGGTGCAGTGGTTCGCAACTGTAATCCCAATGCTTTGGGAGGCCAAGGCAAGAGGATCCCTTGAGGCCAGGAGTTTGAGAGCAACCTGGGCAACATAGTGAGACCCACATCTCTTAAAAAAAAAAATCCCTGAAGTTATCTTTAATTGTCTGGATTGAGTATCTGTTTCTAGCTGGGATACTAAGACAGGCATATGCCTAGGAATTGAATTTTTTTTGAGTATGCATGCCTTCAGCTTCAACTAGGCCAAACTTTTCTCCACAGGTATTGCACCTATTTAATTTCCACCAGGAGTATGAATGAATTCCGACAGCTTTATATTCTCTCTAATGATGGTATGATCAGATTTTTAAATTTTTGCAAAATTAATGTTTGTTGTATCTCATGGTTTTAACTCATATTTATTTGATGATTATTAAACTGGAGTAACTTTTCATGTTTTATTGGCAATCCAGTTTACACTCATTACCTGATAATATTTTTACTTTTTTTCTAATATGTGGTTGGTCTTTTTCCTACTTAATTTTGGCAGTTTTTTACATATTCTGGATTTTATCTCTATGTCAGTTATAGTCATTTAAAATATTTTCTCACATTCTGTGACTTATATTTTCACTGTAATAAAATGCTACCTTTTGATGCCCAGAATTTTAAAATATTAACGCCGTGAAATTTATCAGTCTTTTATGTTTTATGCTTTTTTTGTAGTATAGATATTTATGTATATGGCTTTTCCTCCCTAAAAGTCTTTAAATTCTGTGTGGGCAGATAAATATATAAATATCGAATTCAACTTTATGTCCCTCAAAGCACTTAGCTTCGTGCTTTGCACATAGAAGGGATAAAACATAGATAAATATTGTCCAAAGAATGAGTGAAAATAGGTCAGCCCTCTACCATATCTTTTCAGTTCTCAGCATAAAAAAATCAAAAGCAGAATTCTATTTAGAATAGAATTATTTCTCCAAATGCAGAAAGTTCTTTAGTGCCCTAAAATAGCCCCCAACTAATGACAAAACAAAAGAATATATTAAAGGAGAAAATACTTCTTCCTGTCAGCTACTTTTGATAGGGGTAGGTGTGATCACTCAAAGAAACTTTTGAAGATGTTCTTTGATTTGGAATAAGAATCTAGACTTAATACTCCTTAGTATACATAAAGGGAATGTTATTTTGTGTATAAATAAGCATACATATATTTTTGTCATTATATATTTGTATACTTTTCACTTTTTCTTGCCAACTAACTTTGGTCCTAGAGAATCAAGAAATCTGGGCTTGGTTTGAATGACGAGACAACTCATGTATCTTTGCAGGTGAACCACAGTCACAAGGCATGGGCTGGGAGATTCCCCAGTCTGGCTGAATATCAGAATCACTTGAGAAATTGCAAAAAGGATCACTAAACCCAGAAAAACAGATTAGCAAATAGTCTGGATGGTTCGTGTTTGTGTGTGTGGGGGGGGGGGGGCGGGGGGGTGTACACTCCCAGCTTTGTTTCGTGCACAGCCATGTTAAGGAACCACTTTACTAGGATTCAAATACTTGTCTTGCCTTGTCGGGAGAACTCAGTCACAGCTGAGAGGTATTAACTGGCCTGACAAGTAAACAATACATTCAGGTAAGTGTTTTGTCTTCCTCTCACTTGACAGACACATTTTGTGCTCTTTTCCTATGATTCCAAAGCTCTGGCTCTCTGTGGACATCAAAAATGAAAACCTCCAGTTCTTGTTTTTTACAGATTACTGGCCCCTCACTTTTAATTTTCTCTATTATTGGAATTAATCGACAACATGGCATTGATTTGTAGGAGGAGGATATACTGGCGAGAATATTTTTTAAGAAAGCACATGTGAAATTGTGGTGTGACAAAAGAGATAAGCTATTAGGATTTTGCCAGCACAGATCATCTTTCACATGTAGCCACAAAATAACTGTGATTATCACTCTTGTTTTAACAAGTTTTTCTTGAGGCAAAACATATTTTAAAAGACTGATTAGAGAAACCTGATAATGCTCTCTTATGTCCTCTGCCATCTAGCATAGAGTGTTAGATTCTCTGCAAGTATTCTCTGTGAGTGTTGTAATCTCAATCCTGACTCACTGAAGAGCTTGAAAATTTTTCACTCATGAGATTCAGGATTACTGCTCCTTCAGAGAGACAAGTCATTTATTTGACACTTCAGGGGTGAATTAGTAATTGAGCTAAGTAGCTTTTTAATTGTGGGCAGAATTTCTTCTTTTAGCGTCACCCTGGTAAACAAAACTACTTGCACACAGCCAAACATTGGCATGCTGACTTTGTTCAGAAGACAGTCCTGGTGCATTAGAAGAGGCAGCTGGGTGGCACAGTAAATGTGTCATTTGCTATGTAACATCTCTGTGACCTGGATTTAAATTTGCAGTGGCACAAAATGCAACCTCAGTTCTCTCAGAAGGCTATGAAGTCATTTGCAGTAAGCCTTGTGGAGAATCTAAAAGACTTTGGGTTTTTTGCCTCCCAAAACCCATTCTTGTTTGCAAAGATGGCAAAGAAGTTGATTTCTCTTAAAGGGATTGTTTAAAGGAAAAAGAGTGGACTTGACTAATCAACTAAAATGAATACATATTGTTTATAATTTTTTAAAAAATCTGTCTACTGTGCTTCAGCCAGTGTCTTAGAAAGAATATAATTGTTCTGTGATTTTTTAATCAAGCTGCTTTTCTAGAGCATGAGTTCTGTTTGTCGTCTGTAAGGCAAAATCAGAATAAAGTGAAAAGCTTTAAAATAGAGGTGTTTCTTTCCCTAAAAGCATCATTACCTACATTCTGCTGCATAATATTGTTCTTGCTGTTATATCTGAATGTCAGAATGAATTGCAGCTGTAACTATAAACTCAGACTGGTGTAAGGAAAACCCTGCTTTTCATTAAATTAATTCTAAATATACTTTTATTACAGTTTAATATTCCTTTCATATGGGGAAAATCATGCATTCTTGATTTTTCTTGAGTCAAAAATTTAATGTCTTCTTTATTCTTATTTCTTGTGCTTCCAACAAGCCATTCAAATTCATTCAATTTACACCAACAATGGATCAATGAGTAAATTAATAAGTAAATTAATCAGCCTTACCATCTAACTTTAACAGCCAAACCCTCAAGCTCATTTTCTTCCTTTTTAAAATTTCTACATTTATCTGCTTGTTTTTCTTAGGACATCAGTCTGTCTTTTGAAGCTGGCAAGAAACATCATTTACTGAAAACATAGCTCTTGTTTAGGATAGCAGACAAGGTGCTAATTGTTTCTAATGACCTCAAATGAGCTTTGTTGTTTGTTAAGAATGCTACTCAGAAAGGTGGCAGCCTTTTCTTTTTCCTTACTACTATGTCAAGCCAGGGCTGCCCAAAGCAAGGACTTTGAGTAATTGATAGAATCTACTCAAATACTAATATTGTCACATACTAATGAAATAAAGAGCTTTGCTTCCACAACTACCATTCCTGGTGACTGTTCGCTGTGTGTAGTTAATGCGTCAATCTAGTCATTTTCTAACATTTGTGCACAACAGAATTACTTGAAGATCTTTTTACAAATATGGGTTGCTGTACTGCAAAGAATTCTATTGAATCAAAATCTCTAGACCGGCACTCTCCAAAAGAAATATAATGTGAAACACATAGATAACTTTACATTTTCTGAAATTATCGTATTAACACAGGTAAAATTAACTTTAAAATGTATTTTATTTAATAAAATACATTTAAAATATTATTTCAACATACAATTAAGATTTAAATATTATTCATGAGATATTTTACATTTTTGTATTAAGTCTTTGGAATCTGGTGTGTCTTTTACAACGACAGAATATCTCAATTAGAATTAGGCAATATTTCAAATGTTTAATAGACACATGTGGCTGGTAGCTACTGCATTGGCCAGCACAGTACTGATGAGCAGAACTCTGGAATCTGCATTTGAAGTAAGTTGCTTCTAAGACAGGTAGTCATCAACTATATTCAAGGGAAATTGTGCCAAGTATTTAACACTGCATAAAATGTAGGAAAAATAGAACTTTTCCCAAGAAAGTTGTTTTGCAGTGAAGACCTATGTATACAGACACATGCATAAATAAGAATAACAAAAGTTGAAACGTGACAAATGCAGTGAGAGGGACATAGAATGTGTTGTAGGGCTTCATAAGAGAGAGAAAGTTTAGCTGTGAGAGTAGCTGTGAGAGTAGCTGTGAGAGTATGGAGATAGCTTGTAATTTGGATAAGATGTAATTTGGATAAGATGAAGACATTGGGATCCAAAGATGCTAATTGATTTTTCTGAAGTCTCACAGCTAATTGGCAGCAAAATCAAGTCTTATCCCTGTTCCTCTGACTCTTGATGCCCCCAGCCACCACACCAGAGACCTAATGATAGTAATCATTGATAGGGCAAAGACTCTCATTCCATTTTGCTTTCACTTTGCTATTTCCCACATACTCCATTTCCCGACTCAAATAGCTTTAATTCTCAGGAAGGCTATTCTCCTAACAACATATTATCGTGTATTTGCAGATTGTAATTATGGTGCTCCTTACTATTTCCGACTTTTATAGAATGTTTGGTTATCAAAGCATAAATGTTTTTCAAAGTTTCTCTCCTCTAAACTACCCATTATTTGCATCTTCTAAAATGCTTTCAAACACTTCTTAAATTTTAAGAAACCAGAAATGTTTAATTTCCCAATCTCTCTTCCTATTCATTTGATAGACATAATACAGTTAAGTGGAATTATAACATATCATTCTCCACTTTAATTTGTACTACGGACCTGGGAAATTGCATTCTGCAAAGATTATCTTTCTATACATTAAATAAAACACTGATTAATGTTTACAATAATCTAAAGATTATATACAGATTACATAAAACATTAGGGCTCAAAACCATTCAAAGAACACTATTTTAAAAGCATAATATCTTAAAGTATATTACCTCATTTAGTTAACAGTTAAATGGAATAGATCTTTTAACAATAACTTGAATCAGCTCAGCTTTTTTTATTAAATTTAAACTCAAATTTCCAATTAAAAGCTGTTCTGAAGTGAAAATATGATTAACTATAAATACTAAAGTACCATAATTTAAATTCTTAATTTAGTTACTTCATGATGTATAGCAAAATGCAGCATTTGAAGTAATTATTTATAAAATTACTTGGAGATAATTATGAGCCAACCGAGAGGTAATTTGGCCAAATTAAATTTAAATGAATTTCCTAAACTTGTAATCATTTTTCAGAGTCATTGCAACAAAGAATTTCTATGAAAATATGAACTCTTGTCTTACTATGTTGGATCCTGCTCTTTGACACTTTGTTTTTGATGTAGAGAAAACAGTCTGCTGTTTAACATACAGCCTCCACTTTGCCCCTCATTTTGATTGTTGGGAGAGAGGAGACAAGATAAAAGGTTCATGATTGGTTTAAAATTCTGAATATACTTAATTGTGTTTTTCCTTTTGAAAATGTTATAACCTAATAAGGTGAGTTTTTTAAAAAGGACAACCTGATCCTTGGTATCTCTTACACACCTTTGACGTATTTAATTGATCTGGGTCAATAGCTCAACAGAGTGTATTTCAAATTAAAACACATTATTGTCTCTTACAACAGTAAGAAAGTGAGATGCATACTATCCTGTTTTTCCAGAATTTTCCATTAACCTAAGAATGATATCCTCTATTCATTGTATGGTGGACAGCATTGAAAACTGCTAAGGAGAAAGAAATAGGAAAACTGAAAATTTTCCAGATCTTTTTACTTTACTTTCAATAATGAGATTTGAAATGGTGTAATGTATATTTGCCTTTAAAAAATTTAGATCTCTGTTGTCATTTAACAGGTGAAGCCACCAATGCCCATTGAAGGTAAGTTAACTTGGCCCAGGTTATCACATGCTAAATGGAGGTAAAGCAGATAATGAAATTTATCTGTCTAGACTGAGCTTTACTATTGTGTTTACGAATGGAAAAAGTGTTTTTAATATGAGGCATATTTCAAGATTATTTAAATTAGATTTCTCAACAAAGACTATTCAGATTATCTTTGTTATTTTGAAGATGCTTAGTAAAGGAAAGGTAACTTCCTTAGAAGCAGGTAAAAAGAAATTTCATTGCTAAAATACAGTAATTTTTAACCTACAAAAATGACAATTTCATATGGTTCAGCCTAATTGTTATCTGGATAGAAAGGCACAGATCATTTGTTGAATAAAATTAATAGTTCACTCTGAAGTAACAAGGATATTCATCTATCTTCATTCATCAATCCTTCTCACAGATGATAGTATTATCTAATAATCAGGGCCAAAATAATTTTCAGAAAGCACATGTGGGGGAAAAATAAGTCAAGATGCAGTTTAACAAAGACATCTTTCATCTAGAATATAAAAGATATCAACAGCCTTCCTCCTGACTTGTTAAAAAAGCTATGTTTATTTTTATTAATTCATCCTTTCCCACCATAGCTTTATAATTAGCCAGAAAATGTTTGAAGATATCCATATAGACCTGTTCACATTGCACTGGATTAGACTGTGCAAATATTCAACTACAACCTACAGAGGTGACCGTCCATAGCAAAGTTGCCAAGAATAAATGCTGGTCCCTATTTTAAGTTTTTTCTGAGTCTAAATGAGAAATAGGATTCAAAAGTATGATAGAAAAGCCCAATACATTTGTACTTCTATAAAAAGAGTATGGCGAGAGACTCAATTACACTAAAAAGGCCACATAAAGATTAGCTGTAAAAGTATCTAATAACACCATATAAGGTTAAACTGCAAGCTAAAAAATTACCTCAAGATAATAGCTTCATATGCTACTTGGGCATGTGAATGACATAGCCTTACACATCATCTAGCCCTCCCTCCTTCAAGTGAAATAATAGCTAAAGGGAATATGATTCGTTTTCCTTCACAATTTAGTAAGTGCCATTACATATGCATTTTTCATACTCTTTTCAGGACCTGGAATAGCATCCTGTAAGTAGTCATTTTCCAACAAGTCACTGTGCAACAAAAGGATTCATACTTTTTTTAATCTAAAATAAGATTTTTTATTCATTAGAAATGATTTCAAGCCAAAGTGACATAGAGAACACAAGAGGGTTTTTTCTATCTAAAAATCAATTATAGGCCAAAAATCTGCATAAAACTTATATATTTATCAAATGATTGCTAAATATGTTCTAAGCATTAGACATGTAAAATATAATTTGAATAGAATACTTTTCCTCCTATTTGAACTCTACTTCTTACTATGGATAACAAGAGTATAGGTACCTATTTCTTTGTTTCTACTTCTCTTTGGAGGTGTGCTGGAATATGAATACATCAATTTCAATTGTATGTTTTAATATTGCCTGAGAATAATCAACTGACCATCTGTTTGTGCTATTTTGAACATTTATAGTAAGACAAGATGTGACAGCAAGTAAGAAATTGGCTTCATCCCTGGGATGCAAGGCTGGTTCAATATATGCAAATCAATAAATGTAATCCAGCATATAAACAGAGCCAAAGACAAAAACCACATGATTATCTCAATAGATGCAGAAAAAGCCTTTGACAAAATTCAACAACCCTTCATGCTAAAAACTCTCAATAAATTAGGTATTGATGGGTCGTATTTCAAAATAATAAGAGCTATCTATGACAAACCCACAGCCAACATCATACTGAATGGGCAAAAACTGGAAGCATTCCCTTTGAAAACTGGCACAAGACAGGGATGCCCTCTCTCACCACTCCTATTCAACATAGTGTTGGAACTTCTGGCCAGGGCAATCAGGCAGGAGAAGGAAATAAAGGGTATTCAGTTAGGAAAAGAGGAAGTCAAATTGTCCCTGTTTGCAGACGACATGATTGTTTATCTAGAAAACCCCATTGTCTCAGCCCAAAATCTCCTTAAGCTGATAAGCAACTTCAGCAAAGTCTCAGGATACAAAATCAATGTACAAAAATCACAAGCATTCCTATACACCAACAACAGACAAACAGAGAGCCAAATCATGAGTGAACTCCCATTCACAATTGCTTCAAAGAGAATAAAATACCTAGGAATCCAACTTACAAGGGATGTGAAGGACCTCTTCAAGGAGAACTACAAACCACTGCTCAAGGAAATAAAAGAGGATACAAACAAATGGAAGAACATTCCATGCTCATGGGTAGGAAGAATTAATATCATGAAAATGGCCATACTGCCCAAGGTAATTTACAGATTCAATGCCATCCCCATCAAGCTACCAATGACTTTCTTCACAGAATTGGAAAAAACTACTTTAATGTTCATATGGAACCAAAAAAGAGCCTGCATCGCCAAGTCAATCCTAAGCCAAAAGAACAAAGCTGGAGGCATCACACTACCTGACTTCAAACTATACTACAAGGCTACAGTAACCAAAACAGCATGGTACTGGTACCAAAACAGAGATATAGATCAATGGAACAGAACAGAGCCCTCAGAAATAATGCCGCATACCTACAACTATCTGATCTTTGACAAACCTGAGAAAAACAAGCAATGGGGAAAGGATTCCCTATTTAATAAATGGTGCTGGGAAAACTGGCTAGCCATATGTACAAAGCTGAAACTGGATCCCTTCCTTACACCTTATACAAAAATCAATTCAAGATGGATCAAAGATTTAAACGTTAGACCTAAAACCATAAAAACCCTAGAAGAAAACCTAGGCATTACCATTCAGGACATAGGCGTGGGCAAGGACTTCATGTCCAAAACACCAAAAGCAATGGCAACCAAAGCCAAAATTGACAAATGGGATCTAATTAAACTAAAGAGCTTCTACACAGCAAAAGAAACTACCATCAGAGTGAACAGGCAACCTACAGAATGGGAGAAAATTTTTGCAACCTACTCATCTGACAAAGGGCTAATATCCAGAATCTACAATGAACTCAAACAAATTTACAAGAAAAAAACAAACAACCCCATCAAAAAGTGGGCGAGGGACATGAACAGACACTTCTCAAAAAAAGACATTTATGCAGCCAAAAAACACATGAAAAAATGCTCATCATCACTGGCCATCAGAGAAATGCAAATCAAAACCACTATGAGATATCATCTCACACCAGTTAGAATGGCAATCATTAAAAAGTCAGGAAACAACAGGTGCTGGAGAGGATGTGGAGAAATAGGAACACTTTTACACTGTTGGTGGGACTGTAAACTAGTTCAACCATTGTGGAAGTCAGTGTGGCGATTCCTCAGGGATCTAGAACTAGAAATACCATTTGACCCAGCCATCCCATTACTGGGTATATACCCAAAGGACTATAAATCATGCTGCTATAAAGACACATGCACACGTATGTTTATTGCGGCATTATTCACAATAGCAAAGACTTGGAACCAACCCAAATGTCCAACAATGATAGACTGGATTAAGAAAATGTGGCACATATACACCATGGAATACTATGCAGCCTTAAAAAATGATGAGTTCATGTCCTTTGTAGGGACATGGATGAAATTGGAAACCATCATTCTCAGTAAACTATCGCAAGAACAAAAAACCAAACACCGCATATTCTCACTCATAGGTGGGAATTGAACAATGAGATCACATGGACACAGGAAGGGGAATATCACACTCTGGGGACTGTGGTGGGGAGGGGGGAGGGGGGAGGGATAGCATTGGGAGATATACCTAATGCTAGATGACGAGTTAGTGGGTGCAGCGCACCAGCATGGCACATGTATACATATGTAACTAACCTGCACAATGTGCACATGTACCCTAAAACTTAAAGTAGAATTAAAAAAAATAATAATAATAGTAATAATAAATAAATAAATAAATATGTATCCAAAAAAAAAAAAAAAGAAAATTGTTTTTTTTTTAAGAAAATGCAAAGCCTTGGCCAACTCTCAGAAAATATTATTCTAATTGCTGAGACAAATTTTATGCTATGAGCTAATTATTGAAATATTAAGTTGCTAAAACCATTGAGTAGAGAGAAATGAATATATTGTCTCATCACTGACTAATTCCACCAACTAGCACCTTTCTTACCTAAGGCTGGTTTTAAATCAACACGCATCCAACTCCCATCTACTGAGTCTTAACTCTTTTTCAAATTAGCATGCTCAGTATTTTTTGAGGTAAAGAGAGGTATTAGATTAAGTGGAGCAAGGCTTATATTCATCATTTCACTATTTTATTCAGTGACTATTTGAGCACCTATGGCATACAGAAATAACTACAGCAGGACAAAATTCTTGTTTTCATGGAGATTATAAGAGGGAAACTAGAGAGTCGTTTTCCCTCTACTAGAAGGAAACAGATAGTGAACAAAACAGCATCTAATATTCCATGGAGTGTTAAAATGTTGTGAAGAAAAACAAAGCCTGTAATGGAAAAGGGGGTTCTCCTCTGTTTTAGACAGTGTTGTCTGTGATGTCCTCTTGGATACAGTGACACATGAGAAACACCTGGTTCAGAAAAGGCTAGTGTGCCCAGAACAGAGAGCTAGGAGTTCCACTTGCTGAGGTCAAGCAAGCAGCAGGGGCCAGCCAGCTCCTGCAGCATCTAATAGACAATGGTGCAGATTTTAACTCAGAGTGAAGTGAAAAATACTCAACATAAGATTTTTTTTTCAATTGATGACTCATCTATAAGCTACCCTACCTGTTTTGTCTCTTCATGATCCAGGAATCCATCTCGGGGGGCTGCTGGTACCCTTATTCTACCAATAAGATTCTGAAAGAGTCTTCAGTACAAATGGTTGAAGGCCCTGGAATCTACCTGACTCTACTATACTTCTGTCATACTGTCAGATAACAGCACCCTATGGATGTTCCGGTGGAGAAATCATTCTAACCCATTTCTCTCTAAGCTCGCTGGATACATTCAATTTGTATGCCCCTCTATGAATCTCTAGTATGTAGGAGTCAGACAGAGATGGACTGGATACTTCAGCCAGAGTTCAGGATGGTGCTGGCTTCCATATTCTTGCTAAATCAGTTTCCCTAAGTCAAGTCTATAACGTCCTGTGGACAATCATTCCCATTTTCTCTATTACACTGGTCTTTTCCTGCTCCTGGAAGATGACTATCTCCTTTCCCATCTCCAACTTCTTCTTATCTCTTGAAGCTGATTGGAATTGGTGCCCTGTTGTTCCACATGGAATTGATATTTGCTTAGTATTTATTTTAGAGCCCTTGTTTCTTTCCTTACTACTTCTAATTTCTCTACATTCTGTTTACTCAGAATAGACTACACACAAAAATATATGATTTAACTCTATAGGTGAACAAACTCCCAAGTTCAAGATGTTAGTTACTATTGGTCAACTCCATAAATCACAAGTGCTTTATTAAAAACAGGAATAAATTATAATGCTATAATGACATGGATTAATGGAGAGAGGTATCTGAAAATAAAAATATCACTGGTAATGCTTAAAAGTGTTTCATTTATTACAGGATTATCAAGAGGAGTTACTGGATGAAATATAGAGTATAACAGCAATTTTTAACAGAAAATCTCACCGTATTTCTTATCGAAGTGCTAGATTCTCATTCCTTTCAATCTTTTCAAATGTATACACACAGATATTTCCATATTTATCTTTTGAGAAATAAAATTCAGAAAGTATAAATTAGACAGTCAGAGAGGGAGGCACTATTTAAACTATTGGTAGGAGATGAAAACCCCTATAAAGCAATGTAAATAGTATATATGTCCTTACTTAAAAATGCAATATCAGCTGGATTTTAATAGTAATTTATAACACCTTCTGCTTAAAGAGAAGATGTGTACTTATTCATTTGCTTAACATGAACTGATTTGCTATGTATAGAAATGATATTTACTATAAGCCTGTTAACTCACACAATTGAGTTTATATCTCTTTAGTTACTATTGTTTGGTAACAAGAATTAAGAAATAAATTGCACTAGGTCTCGTTTTTAATGTGGTTAATTTTTATCATAGTATATGTTTTTGCCTTAGTCTTAAATTTTTAAAAAAAGTATTAAATCAGAAGAACAAAAATGTATTTTACCATCCAATTAACAAATACAGTTAATTACCCTGTCAGTCAGTGGATTATAATGCATCAGACATAAATCAGTGAGAAACTACTTAGGCTTGCACCCTGTAATCAGAGATACAAATTTTGGCAGCAGGTCACATAATCCAGTGCTAAATGTGCAGCATTACTTTATTCCAGTAACATATTAACAAAATGTACAACCGTTTTGACTTGGTGGATGATCTAACAACATCCCGGCAAAAAGCCTTTGTCCATTTTTTACACAAATGTCTTTCTCTTGGTGATAAATGTATTTTGCAATTTTCATGATTAATCAGTGGTAGAAATTAACAGTGCCCTTCTACTGCCTTGTAATTTTTAATCTGAGTACTTTAGAAATGCAGACTCCAAAGTAATAGGAAATAAAATATTTGTGTATTTTTTTTTCCCTAAATTCCTTCATTTTTTTTGCTTGCAATCCCCAACCCTGGCTAACTTGGCTTTCTAGAGCCCATAGGCCTCATGGCACATGTAAATATGCAAAATAAGAAATTACCTAAGACATGATTTTATGACTGCTGTACATGACTCATTTATCCTGACGTGTATTTCTATTCTAAGCACAGAGTACACATGAAAAAAAAGTGAGTTTCCAAATTGTAGAAATATTCTAAGTGAAAGTGAATGATACAGTTGCAAAGAATATTATGTAACACAAGACTGTGGTTTCAAGTAAATGAATTTCCCTTTCTGTTTTCTGTTTTTCACGTGTTACTATACATGTGCCCCCTTGCTCTGGTTTGGTGGTGTGCTACACAAGTTCACCCTTAATTGTTTGCTATGTCATTTTCAACACCACTGTTTAAACATCTTCCAGATTTGCTTAATCTCTACCGCATTATTAATCGGCTCTCAAAAATGAGATTTCAATGTTTCAAACAATCCTTACTTCCCACTCTTACAGAACTGTCATTCTATTTCTTTTTTTCTTTTTTTTAACTTTCTTTCAGTTCTCTCTGTCCTGCAGCTATTTGGGCTACATACATTCATGCATTCAATCTAAAGTTTGCCTATATTATAGCCTACAATCCCTATCCTGGCTTGGCAACCTGCAAGTTAGTCCTAAACATATTCTAGTTGTTTCTGTTTTTTTTTTTTAAAGCTATACATTGACAAATTATAGTATATATTTATGGGGTACAAAGTGATATTATGATTCATGCATACAATGTGGAATAATGAAATCAAATTAGTTAACATTTCTATCACCTCAAATATTTATTTTTTTGTAGTGAGAACATTCGAAATGTACTCTTTCCAACATTTTTAAGTACACAGTACACTATCATTTACTATATTCACCATGTTAAAAAAAATACAAAACTCATTTCTCCTGTCTGAGGCTTTGTAAGTTTTGAGCAGCATCATCTTTCCATTTCTTTCACCTGACCCCCACCTCCCGCCACCCTCTTGTAACCATTATTCTATTCTCTGGTTCTATTATTTCTATTGTTTTAGATTCCACATAAGTGAAAACACACAGCATTTGTCTTTCTGTGTCTGGCTTATTTCACTTATAATGTTCACCAATTCCATCCATTTTGTTACAAATAAAAGAATCCTTTTTAAAGGCTGAATAGTATTCCACTGTGTTTCTACACCATACTTTATCCATTCATCTGTCAATGGACATTCAAGTTAATTCCATCTCCTGGCTATTGGGAATAGTGCTACAATGAACACTGGAGTGCAAACATCTCTTCGACATACTGATTTCAAACCTTTGGGGTAAATCCTGGTAGAGGGATTTACTGTATTAAGATCCCAGTAGTGGGATTTCTGTATCATATAATTCTATTTTTGGTATTTTTAGGAACCTGCATACATTTTTCCATAATGGCTTTATTAATTTACATTCCCACTAAGGTTTGTGGAAATACAAGGGCTCTTTTTTTTTCCACACTCTTGCCAACACTTATCTTTCATCTTTTTGATAATAGCCATTGTTACATGTGTGAGCTGATATCTCATTGCAGTTTTAATTTCCATTTTCCTAAGATTAGCAATGATAAGCTTTTATTTCACATATCTGTTGACCATTTGTATGTCTTCTTTGAGGAAATTCTATTCAGGCCCCTTGCCCATTTTAAAATCAGATTATTTGTTTTCTTTCTATAGTGTTGTTTGAGATCCTTACATATTTTGCATATTAACCATTTATCAGACATCTGGCTTGCAAATATTTTTTCCCTGTCTGTGGGTAGTTGCTTTACTCTGTTATTGTTGACATTTTACATACCAATATACAAGCACATATAAAATGAAAAATACATTTTGTTTTACCAATGTATCCATTATTTTAGATCAAGAATGTGGTAAACAATATAAAGGTATTAAAATGACTACTTTCAGAAGCAAATGTTCAGTGATACGATGAATGATGATGTACAGCGTCCACTTATCTCTAATAAACACCATTTACCTGCTTATACTAAAGCTATATGGTAATTCTGTTACAGGAATATCACAATTCCTAGTAACAATTCATTTAATGAGTTACAAATAAAGTGTTAGAGGCTTTCAGATCCATAATACAGTTATTTAATATTATGAAAAGTATTCACTAATAAATGCATCTGTAACTGTAAGTATATGCCATCAGCTCAAGGCTAGAAATAAGCTGATCGAATCTGATAAAAACACCATAAAAAACCATTCCTTCATTCTAGGTTACAGGGTCCTCTCCTTTATCAACCATTAGCTTATTCCTTGTAATTCTGAAACATAATTCAGATAACTCTTCCTGTAATTTCCAAAGGATAAAGAAAGAAGAAAAAGTGAAGTTAAATCAGAGCTCTCAACCAAAAGAGTGATCAGCCCCTTATGGCAACTGCAAATTATTCTGTTTATTCATGACCACAGTCTTTTTCTGCTCTCAAAGATCTAGCTCTAGATTTAGATGATGTTTAAAGATGGCAGGATTATGGAACATCAGGTTATCTACTTAGTCATTCACATTCTAACTATTTCACTTTATAACAACTCATGCTATGGGAAAATGTCCATAGCAGTATCTGTGCTAGGATTAGCAAGCCTTAGAGAAGAGCCTAAGTTCCTGACAACCCAAACCTTAAGGTTACCAAATCCTTTTGAGCATGGAGCAATACAATGCAAGAATCAAAGAAAATGCACCATCTGTCCAATAAACTGAGCTATGTTGTGATGTCCCAAATATCAATTTTGTCTCTTACTAATATTTCACACGTGTATCTTAGAAAGAATTAGAAAGGTATGTTCCCTGGTGAATTTAAAATGAATAAAATATCCTTGAAAAAAGTATCCCCTAAAGGTTACACAGAAGAAAAGTTTCTTATATTATGGAAGCTCCCTCCCTCCTCAATAAAAGACATCATATCCTAAGGACATCCTTGTCTTCGTACACCCTTTGTTTTAGCCCATCTGTTCCAAGTTTGATAATGGCTTAGCTTGTTCAATATCAGGGCCTTTCCTAATGTGTAGGTGACCTGCTTTTATTTAATTTTGAATTTAGCTTCTATTCATTTTATGATCCTACTCTATTTTAGTAATTACGTACGGGCATCCAGAGGGATTTTGTCGATGGTAACATTAAAAATTAATAGGTGAATGAGTGGGTATGATGATTTATATTGCAGAGAGAGCCCATAAGGCATCAGTGAAAGATGTTGATAGAACCTAGCATCAAGTTACCAGTAAAAAATGGTATAACACACAGCCATAGTTATTATTGTAAATACAAATTTTTACATTTTTCCAACTCATTCTCCAGCCTTTACTTCCTCCTTCCCTTCTAAAATTTTTTTATTTATTGAACCTGGCAGAGTTCTTTTGAAACTGACAATCTGTCAGTGTTGCTCATTTTCCAGGCTAGAAATTGTAGGCACTGATCACTCTTCACCCCTTTATACCTAATCTATCATCCGTGCTATTCTCTCTGTGTAAAATCTTCACTAGTCTCTTTTCATTTTCTCTTCATTCTCATACCATCACCATAAGTAAGCAGGTTTATCAAGGTGATACAATTCAGCTGGTAAAAATATTTTCCTCATGTTTTGAATGCTGGAACATCATCATTTTGTGTGCATAACTTGATGTTTGCAACTATGTAAACAAATACATGTATATTATTTTCCAAATACAAATAATTATTGAATAGTGGTTAAGTAGTTTTATTTTAAATGCATGCGACAGTCACCATGATTCCACCAAGATGGTTGTTCTATTGAATTCAGCTTTTGTTTAAAGAATTTTTTAAAGTATATGTTAGTTGATTTAGATTGAGTATACAAATATTTAACTAACTTCTCAGATAATTGTTAAATGTTATATATGCATATTGTTTAGTGAGTAATTCAAATTAGCAGAAACATTTTCAAAGCTAGTTCTTTATACTACATACTCTTCTTTTTTTAATATAAAAAAGCAACATCTATTACTGAAGTTTCTAATATATACCAAGGAGATTTTCCTTCAATTCCACATGAAATGAAGGAGGAATTTCCAGGTGTTATTTTTAAGTTCTGTATTTTCAAAATTAGGCAACGATGACTAACTAAATCCACAAACATGTGAATGCAGGTGCAAAAAAAAAAAAAGTGCCTACAATTAACCACACCTGTGAAATATTTAGCCTATGAGACAAAAGCTGGGTTTTTTAGACGTTGGTTCTGAGCATTTTATCTCGAAGCACGATTGTTTCCTAGACCCATCTGTTTTAAACATGTTTTCAACATTTAATAGGAAATTGAATCCTAGTGATGCCCACTTTTAGTATTACAGTTTATAAAATTTAGTTCTCAAATCAACTTGAATTAAAGTATCAACATTGAAATCTGATAGAAATAATGCTTTTTATAATTTTAACAAGTTGTATTTTTTTCTAAAGGGATTAATAGACTCATAATACATACATCGAATCCCCATAGACAATAACTTAATGAATGTATCAAATAATATTTAATTATTTCTAAGATTTACCAATTTCAAATGTTTCATTATGACAAAAATATCTCATTTCAAGTACTTATAGTACTTCAGACTTCAAACTGTATTATTATGTAGTGTTTTATCAATATATTCCATTAACTTACAAACTGCTGAAATAACAAATTTATTTCCAGCTATAGTGGGAATTTACATATGAACAGAACAATTGTTAAAAGAATCTAATATTGTGCTTATTTAGTATCCTTTTCCTTTTAAATCCTCCTAGCAAGTCAAATAAAATGTATTTTAATAACTCTTTATTGATTAAAATCAACATCATGGCTAAATGAAAAATAAAGAAATTTTAGCCTCTAGAAACTTTTTTGTTTGGGTACTTTTTATTGATTTACAATTAAGAGTAATACGAAATAGGCAGCTGTACTTTTGAGATTTTTTAGGATTTGATTTTTGTCCAGATGTATATATATCATATGTATATGTATGTGTAAAACAAAAGTAAAATTTCCTGAGACCAGAAGGAAAAGAAAAGCAGTTTTTATATCTGTTTCTTCAGTGTTACATTGATTCACATTTAATCTGTGGCTGTTAATACCTTGCAATGTTTCAAGCATTGTGATAGGCACTGGGGGTACAAAGATGATGAAGACATTGATGCTTCCTTCAAGGATTTCATCTTATAGCTTGATTCTTGTAATCAGAACTACAAAATAATTAAGTATTTATTATAATTTGAGCAAAGCGGTATAATATCCCTGATTGTGGAGAGAACAATGCTTTTATAAAGTTTTTAGACAAATACTGTAATATAGCTTTCAAATATTGAAACATTATAAACAAAATCATAGATAATGACTTGTTCGATGATACACTTGTTGTAAGCATATACCTAAATCTTACCAATATTTTGAGACTCACTTTGTTCTTTATAAAACTATTTACATACCAGTGTTCTAGGCAGAAACCTTCAATGACTCTCTAAAGGCAAATGGATATAATCAAAATGTCTCACCCAGTCATTCTGGACTCAAAAATGATTGAATTTGCCTTTCCACCCCTTCTCTAGCATGTACCAAATATGCTAAGTATGAATTGATTACATCCAAGTTATGTTTTTGAGAGCCCATCCCATAGACAGTGTATGATACTGAAAAAGAGTCTCTCAGGAAAAAGCTACTTCTCCCTTTATAATTAGGAGCTTCCTTCTGAAATTAGAAAGACCTGGTTGAGAAACTCTACACCCAGAACAGGAAAGTGTTAAGTTTCTTTCTTTGCTGTGATTACAAATCATCCACCATGTCTAGGATCTGAGACCCTCTACTAGTCAGACACTCAGAATTCCATGACTGGCTGTAGCAGGAATGACAAGGGGATAGGAAAGAACGGTTAACTCCTCATACTGTCCTCAACTATGTTCAGAGATCAAGGAACTGGTTAAACATTTGGTTCAAGAAGATTTAAGGTTTTCTGCTGTGAATAATTTCAAATACAGTATGCGTCACAGACCTACAACCTTTCGAGTTTTCAGTGTTTGTCACCAGTTAAACAGTACGGGTTCTGATTGCTAAGAACATTAGTATGGTAGGAAAGGAGAAACTAGTTTGGGGCCTGAGAATGAATGTCAATACATTATTCAGGTAATATGTGTAAATGTAAACACGCGTTATGTGGAAAAACTACAGGAAAAGTACAACTTAAAAATGTTTGACTTCAAAAACTAGCCTCCCACATTATTTGGTATTTCTGTGAATAAATCAATCTGAATCAATATGAATAATGTTCAAAGGAAAAAGACAACTAGCCTGACAACTACTGTTCCAATTTTCCAACCAAAGCAATTTGAAATGACAGATATTAAGCCCTGGCTATTAATGATGGTAGCTCTGCAGAGTATCACTAGAGTGAAGATTTGAGCTGTAAATAAATTCAAATTACTTGCTTTCACAGTTTGCCCAGACTTCTCATAATTTGTTTTCCCCCTCTTTATACATGCCCACTAGTGAAAGTTATATTGCACATCCATTTTTTTATTTTATTTTGAAATAATGTATTATATTTCATCATATCTCATTATAATGTGATACAAGTGAATGTATTGTGACATTGCATCATGTGCTCTGCAATGCTCAGGTGCTATACTCCTCCACTTATCCAAATTAAATTAGAGAAGTTTGACATACATCTAGTCATATTTTACCCTACTGCTTGAATTTGACTAATACATGAACTGTTGTGTCTGATACTGGTAACTTGCTGTGAAATTTTTGACCAAAGTGACACTTTGGGCTGGTATTAACATTTAATATACTGTTAAAATGTAATTTGCCTTCTAAAGGAATAACAGTTTTGTTTGAGTGTATGTGCTTTCATGTTTTTTCTTTGTTTGCATGAACTTAGTTGATAATTCTGAGGGTGTCCTTATCTGTTGGTAAATTAGCCTCCTCCTTCATGGAAAGACAAGACATTACCTTTTAAAACTCTGCAGCTGGTCTCAATTTTCAGCAGGCGCTATCCCAGGCAAAGCCACAGAACAGACCGTATAAATGGATTGAAGGAAGAGAAAACACTGGGTGGCACACTCTAATTCTTTTTATTCCTTTCTCTCCTTTTAGTGGCTTAAGGACCCTTCAGCTGTAATGTGTTAACATAGTTAGTTGACCCATTTTCAAAGCTGTGGAGTAGGTGGCTGAATTTGTCTTTTTCTATTCATCAACACCAATTGTGTCTGATGCCTGCAAGTGACCAGGCATTAAACTGTGGTGAGTCAGGATTATCCCAAGCAGATTCAGCAATGAAGGGAATGAAGCCATATGTATTAGGCCTCTTGAAGGCATTAAACAATCTCTGAAGCATTCAACTGCTAAGTCCTTAGTCCAGGGAAACCGTAAAGTTTCTGTAGGTCAATGTTTTTGAAGGATTTTTATTCCCTTCTCAGTGAGTCAGGATATAATGCAATCAATATTCCATATAAAATCATTCATTGTTCTGTTATTTATGTACAGGGCTTTTTTTGAATGCTGAAATGCTTTCTATGTTAAATTTCAAAAATTCTAACTACTAATATAATGGACTATAAAAGTTATAGCATATTTTATAAATTCTTAATTCACTCCTATGATTTTAAAATTCTAAAATCTTTCATTTATCAAATAAGAAGCAAAATATGACTTACAATTTTTTTTCTGCTCAATAGTTCTTGTTTCTCCTACACTGTCTTTGGTTCAGATAAGTGAAAAAGGTGGAACATATAGGAATATTTTTTGATTGTCAACTTTATCATCTGAGACACCTTTTGGCAAAACTAAAGAACATCAAATTTTGCAAGATGTCAGCAGGTGTCAGAAAAAAAATTAAATGTTGGTTAAAAATCTTGCAGAATGCTAAATTACATAAATTTCTTTATTGCAGTTTTGCTTTTTTTAAATGGAGAGTTTGTAAGAATTCTATCAATATCCTTTCATTTACTCAAATTTCAATTAACGAACTTTTGCAAACCTAAGAACTCTTCTTGGCCACCTGATAGATAAGTAATCTAGGAGGATCTCTCTGCTTTAGTGGGGGGTCACAGCCCTATGAATCTTGTCTGGACAATAAAGATAATCTTAGCAGGACCAATCAATTCCCCTCAATACAAAGAGCATATATTGTAAATGTATGTTAGGTTAAGAATATAGTGATTCCCAAGTATTCACCATTTACCACTACCTCCTGTACTCCAACCAGATACAGAGTATGCATCCTGTGTCTGGGACCTGCAGGCCTAATTCAGCAATGAATTGAGGGCAATCTAGGTGGGTGGAACTGATTGGCAGTGAGAAGGGAATAGTGTTAATATTGAAAAGGAGGATGTGTAGGAGAAGCTCAAGGACCTGGGGGTACTAGTTAGCATAAATGTTTTAAGGAGTTCATAAAATAGGAAGATAAAAGAACTGTTATACTTTTAAATTATTGAATAGAAAATAAAATGGGGAAGACAATTTAAGGAAGATATGCTGAACATTATGAATGAAATCTTCTTATAATTACACTTTTTAAAAACAATTTTGAACCTTGGAATATTTCAAATTATTTTAATGTTGCATGAAGTCTAGATGGAGTCTCCGAATGACTTGGTGGTAAAAAGTTGCACGTAGTTTCCAAAAGTTCTATTATTTCCTTAATATAATTAATAAACTCAGAAATAAATCAACTTTAAACTTTTTTTTGATCTTTTGGAGAGGAATTAACAGCATTTGAAAATTTTAAATCCTATTTCTATCTTATTATCCAGTAAGCTTTGATATTCATTTATGTTTACTAGCATCTATAATCCAGATCGCTAAACCATTATACTGAAAGGCCACTGGGCACGGTGGCTCACGACTATAATCCCAGCACTTTGGGAGGCCAAGGTGGGTGGATCACCTGAGATCAGGAGTTCAAGACCAGCCTGGCCAGCATGGTGAATCCCTGTCTCTACTAAAAATGCAAAAATTATCCAGGAATGCTTGTAATCCCAGCCACTTGGGAGGCTGAGGCAGGAGAATTGCTTGAACCCAGGAGACAGAGGTTGCAGTGAGCCGAGATCATGCCTCTGCACTCCAGCCTGGGTGACAGAGCAAGACTTCATCTCAAAAAAAAGTGATTCCTACCTTTCAAAAATTACTTTTAAAAACAGAGTGTTGCTGTTCTGTTTATCTTCTGATACTTTGTTGTTGATGATGGGTTTGGACATTAGTTAAACAATCACCATGAAATATCATCTTGGGTTTAATATCCTAATATGTTTCAAAAAGTAACTGTAACTTGAATGCTGACAAGAAAAACAAAGAATAGTTTACTATAGAATGATAGAATACTGTACAGTGTGAAGTGAAAAATAGTCTTTTCTCAACTTGAATGCCATATCAGAATGCATTGTTTCTATTCTCTGTGGTTCATACAAGCCTAACTTAAAATATCCATTATTCCTATTATTCTTATTGCAACATCTACAATAAACTATATTATGTAAGAGAACTACTTACGAAGTATGACTTTTCCATATTGTAACATTGTGAGAAATACAGCATACATTTTGCATACAGACAATATCATATGAACAACTCGCAAACCACATAATTTTTTAAATGCGGTTTTGGTATATTATTATCCTGTATTAATTTATTCTCATCTCAGTTGATTATTTTCAGTATTAATAAGAACAAATTTTGCAATTGTAATATGGATAGTGAGTGAATGAACTTATCTCCTTATCTCTCTTCTAAAATTACATTTCTGAAAAACACAACGTCTATGCTTAATTGGGTCATTGGGGACTGTTGCCAATTACTAAAAAACCTAATGTGATTTTGCTCATCAATTTTCAGTAAATTATATTGGAATGTACAAGGAGAATCAAGCAGTATGTGAATTTCATTTGCATTAAAACAGCATTTTGGGGTAGAAGAATATATATATTGAAAAATTTACATTTTTCTCAAAGTACCAAATGAGGAGGTATGGTGTAGAATTAATAACTTATAGAGTTTAACAAGGTGTCTAAAAATAAGCTTATATTTCTTCAAATAATAAAGAGATATCGATAATTTAAAAATTTTATATTGTCTTCTAGTGGGCTTTCAAAAGAAAATTTTTATCCAAGGTATGAAAATACAGGGCAGGTTAATCATAGGTGTTCTTGAAGCTTCCAGAGCCATTAATAAAGGCAATAGATTTAATGTATATCTCAAAATACCCAGTGAGATGAGACTGTGTGGAATATAAATAGGTATAATGGTTGTAAAACTCTCCTGTCACCGATTAAAAAAACATCATCATTTTTTTCTTAATGCTAGCTTATTTGATCCAGAACTGTCCATTACTATAGGTTTGTTTTTACATTTGTTCTTCTAGCATTGATGTGGGATATGAATACATGTGCATATGTACGTTTTGTGTATATGTTTAACATGATTCTGACAGAAGAAATTGGGTGAAAGAAAAAAATGAAGAGAATAAGACATTTTTTTTTCTGATAAGAAAACTGACCATCTTATGACTTAACAGAATGAAATTAAACAGGTAAGTCTGGCAAACCAATGGTCTATAGTTTTTGAGAATTAAAAAAAGATGGAAAAGGCCTAAGAGAGTCATATAAAGTTATAAAGACAATTATTTCCATGAAGTAGCTATTCTTAAATCTACTTGCTATGAAATAATAAGGATGAATAAAATTAGATGTCAATAATCAATTCTACCTAAATATTTATATTTCTTTAAATCTGGACCTAAATTGTACAACTCCTCACAATTAGTAATTATAGGATATCACAATTGGAAGAAAGCAAAGAGATAGAAATGTTTATGAGAAAACTATCTCCCAAATATGAATACTTCAAACTTTCCTAACAGGCAGGAATTTCATTAGTGCTTGAACAAAAACCAGTGTAGTAAGATGACACTACCAAACATTTAACACTTATATTGATGTAAAGTCTATCTACATGTATTTGTCATCATTTTGTCGCATTTGGATGTTTGAAATTACACAGGCTAGGTAGAACCACTTTTTAATGGTAGACTCACCAACATATTAAGAATCTTATTTTATATTTTTTCAGGTTCTTCTCCCTCAAGAAAAGCACCCTTGTTCCCTTCTACTTGTCTTCATATTTACATTCAACCTTCTTTTCAGTTATCTTGCCGTCTTGTGTGTTTCCTTTTCCATTAGTCAATGTTCCCCTTTAAAATACATACTGAGAAATACAATGTTGATTTGTATTTCAGTGACAAAGTCAGGAATATTCCATTTAAATTATTTTTTCAGGCCTGGGCAAAGTATAGTTATTAGGATAATGCAATAGTTCAGACACTGCCTCAGAACTGCTTACCAAATTGGATGAGGAAAAACTGCAGGTGAAGTGCAAACCATGCATATCCAAGCCTAGAAAATGACAGTGATCATCATGCCCATTATCAGAAGAATATTAATTTTGACATGATTTTCCAGTTCTTGTAATTGGTTTTTACTCTGTCATGTCTGTTCTCACTCATTAATATGTTTTTCACAACAAGAATGATAAACGGAGAACCTCTTTATATTTGAGGTCACCTTGTATAATTGATACAATAGTCCAAATCATTGAATATCCTAAATTACTCTTTCTCTAGTATGAGTGAGAGAAACAAGAGCATCACCAATTATAAAGCCTAAGAAACAGAAGCTGAACTGCTTACTCTTGAGTTATTAGCAATGCCCTTGAGAGATCTAGGAATGTCACTCATTACCTTGGAAATCAGTAAACTGGTAAATCTGTCCTTGGCACTAGGCAACTAGAACAAAGGTGAAAAGGAATAACATGAACAGTTCCCGACTGCCTGATAGAGGGCCACCAACCTTATGATGCAGTTCCCCAATGCTACAATAAAATGTCCTAGAAAGGCTTTGCACAATTACGTGGGTTTAAGTTATTATTGTCCTATTTTATACAATGATATAAGAAAACCACAGATTTTCATCAAAATATATATTATCACAAATACAAATTATGAATAACATTTTTACTAGAGATTTACCCCTCTCCCCATCTCACCTCATCTGCTTTGTTGAAAGCCTGTATCTGACATTCAGTGGAGAAACTGGAAAGATGGTTGTAAAAATAATTAGAAAGCAAATGGGAATTATGAAATTCAAAACCAAGGATCACAAACCAGATGAGAGTATAAGACAAATCAATAGGACAGCACTATCAGATTTAATTTTCTAGAGGATTGAAATATTTCCCTGCACTGTCCAATGTGGAAGTTACTTGCCACATGTGGCTACTGGGAACCAAAATCTGCTAGTGTAACTGTTAATTAAGAATCAACTGTGAATTTTCCTGAATTTTAAATGGCCCCATATAGCTAGACACTACTGGATTGGACAGCACAACTCAAGACTATGTTCACTTTGACATTTCACTTGTCTCTGAACCTGGTATTTATTTAAAAGCTACATCCTACCTATTGTCTGTTAAGAAGCAGGTTTCCTTCTCTCTGAAAAAAAAAATACCAATTTATGCAGGCAAATATTCGGTGATTATATCTTACATTCTCCAAATATTTTATAAAATAAAAGTTGGAAATATCTATTATGGGTCTCAGCTCTGCCATTAACAACTGCGTGACCTTAAGCAAGTCAGCATGTATTTGGGGCTTAGTTTCCTCATTTGTAAAATGAGTGATGAGAAGAGACCATCTACTGCCCAGATCAGTTATACAATCTTATGGTACTATGTATCATAGGACTGACAGATACTAGTAAGAGAATCAAACAAGGCCATGGTATAGAATGGCTGGTTGGGAGCTTGCTCATTTAGTTAGGGTGGTCAGGATAAACTTCTCTTAGGATTAGGCATTGGACCTGCAACCTCAATGATAACAAGTCTAACGTGAAGATCTTCAGGAAGATCAACTAAGGCAAAAGACACAGTAATTGCATAATTCCTGGGATGGAAATGGGTCTGAAAGAAGTTAAGTGTAGCTAAAATATGAGGCACAAGAGAGAGAAGGACAGCATATCAGATCACAGAGTTAAGAGGGGTCCAGAGAATCACTCCCTTACAGTCTTGATTAGGAGTTGGCATTTTATTCTGTGTTCGAGATTATAAGCAGGGGATTTAAATAAACTGATCTGTATTTTTCAAATAACATTCTAGGTGCTGCACAGAGAATGGGCAGTAGTAGGGAGAACAAGTATGGAAGCATGGAGATCACATAGATGTTTACTCTTTTTTCTTGATGCAGATTTAGTGCCAGAAGTGGCTTCTTGGCCAAAATCTGGATTTCTAGGTTTCCTTTGCATTTAAGTGTGGCCATGTGAGTAGTCCTTATACAGAGGATATAAGCAAAAGAGATGCTTGTCTTTCTTTTCTAGTCAAGGTAATTAAAAAGGAGGTGTGTCTTTCCCCTACTTCCCTGCTCTCCCTTCTGTTTGCTGGGTATCTCCACCTTCATCCCAGGAGACAATGAAAGTCATGTCTTTGAAAATGGCAGAACCTCCATTTTCTTAGATTCCTGAAAGACAGAATGGAGCAGAGCCCTTCACCTTTCCAATCACCAGAAATACCCATGTTAGACTATCACTGACCAAGTAAAAATTTTGGGGGGATTCAGATCCTTAAATATTGCTTTTTGTTTAATAATAACTCGCATTTCCCTAATTAACATAGAACCTCTCCACAACCTATGCCTGTAGTGTAGATTATAGCTAACTCAATCCGTACAGTTCTCCGTAGGTGGGTAGGTGGAGACAATGTCTTAAGGCTCTAGTGGGCTAATGGCTGACTGATATCTAAACCCATGGTCCAAATTCTTTGGAAATCTAATTTAGAACAAGCATTCAAGAAAGTATTTTTAGTTGCCAAAGATTAGTTTAAAACATGTATTATGCAGATCTATATGGAGCCACAACAAACACAATACAGAGCTTGAAGGCTTCATGATAAAAGTAAAGCATTAGAGATTTTTTCCTGGAGGAGGAAGTCTTTAGGAGACACTTTAGAGTGACTTCAGATGATATAAGCCCTACAGTGCAAATACCACTGCCCACTGTGAAATATATTCATTCTTAATTATATTTGAACGCTAAAACCACAACTAATTTTGCTCTATCTCTGTGAACAACTCGGCTATTATGATCTTTTTACAGAATGAATTCAGTGGGAAATATTGAAGTATTATGTATTTGTAATCTAAGAAAAGGAAAACACTTGTACTTTAACCTAAAATTTGCATTAAATTGTTTGAACAATCATAAGAACTTGCACTGTCTCACCTTAGTTATTCACATAACAGGATCCTGTTTGCCTGAAAATAAAGTCATTTCTATGTATAAGACAGCGTGACTTCAAAATGTGGCCTGAAAAGTTGTATGAATAAAGTTTATATTTAGAACAATGTAGTATTTGAAAAGGAGCATCCATTTTCTTTTATGCTAAACAAGCTTTACATTTCATTTGCATTTCTGTCACATTTCAACAAGATTATATGTTCAGAGAGCTGATGTTATGACTAATTTCATTCACATTTAAGAAAAAATGTAGCCAGTTTGAAGAGAAAAAATATAAAAACACTAAATAGTGTTCTAGAACAGGAAAGAGAAAAGACAATGATTTTCTGCAGCAAAATAATGTAGAACATTTTGTAAATCACAGGAGAACCACAGGAGATGTTTTGGGTTGAGATAATACTTGAGGCATGGTATAGTAAAAATAATGGACAGAAGTAGAAAAAATATCTCACTTCAGAAAAAAATTTGGGACGTATTTTTCTATAGATACTTTGTCATTACCCTTTCCCCTTTCTCTGCTACTCACACACACAAATTGGTCCCCGCTACAGACTCTCACTCCCAAGCATTGATGTCTTATTCCTGTTGTCGTTACTATTTTTAATCCCCAATACATGATTTAATTTGACTGTTCCATCAGGGCAAAACCCTATGCATTTCACCTCTCTTTTATGCCAATGGCAGACAACACAATTGATTATAAAACTATATTTTTTTTTACTGAGCCCCTATCTCTTATTGAGAAAGGATGAACCTATCATAACACAATTTATTCTACCTATTTTGGAGTTTGGTGCCTTAGTGGCATAAAGTAGAAGTAGTTACTACAATGAATGGATAAATAAAATAAGTCATCCTCTCCAGGCATCTTTCTTTTCAAAAATAGTACATTTTTAACAGTGAAAATCTATAAAAGTTTCAAACATGCTTGTTGAAATTCATAGTCAGATATTGGGGGCAGGTGGGGATGGGGAAACCTATTGAATATACACAATGTGACAATGGCAATAAAAAAGATGATGAAAAAACCCATTTAGGCTGGGCGTGGTGGCTCACGCCTGCAATCCCAGCACTTTGCCAGACCAAGACGGGCAGATCACCTGAGGTCAGGAGTTCGACACCGGCCTGGCCAACATGATGAAACCCTGTCTCTACTAAAAATACAAAAATTAGCCGGGCATAGTGGCAGGTGCCTATAATCCCAGCTACTCAGGAAGCTGAGGCAGGAGAATCGCTTGAACCCTGGAGGTGGAGGTTGCAGTGAACCAAGATCGTACCATTGCACTCCACTCTGGGCGACAAGAGCAAAACTCCATCTCAAAAATAAATAAATAAATAAAAAGCCCATTTAGTCCAGCCTGCTGGAGTGGCAGGTGACAGATTGACAAAGAGAGGCTTGCTGAAAGAGTAATATCTGAGTTTTTTTTAAATTATACTTTAAGTTTTAGGGTACATGTGCACAACGTGCAGGTTTGTTACATGTGTATACATGTGCCATCTTGGTATGCTGCACCCATAAACTCGTCATTTAGCATTACTAGGAGTTATACAACCAACAATGACATGAATAAAAATTTGGGAAAGGGGGAAAAAAAAAGAATAAAGTTTGAGAGTACCAGGAAAATTGATGAAAGGTATGTGTTTAAGAGTTTGACAGAAACAGGATTTTGAAGAGACCAGCTCAAGATAGAAAGGTGAATTATACTATGTTGGCAAATGAGTATTGTAATTCAGGCTCAAAATAAATATATATAGAAGGTATGATTGAGGAAAAAAGCATTAAGGACCACCCCAACACAATAGCCTGATAATCATATCTTTCCTGTGTCCCTATTAGATTTTTAGATTTAGATTTTTCCCATTCATACTATGCCTACCTGGGGTACCTTGCTATACTGATATTTTAAGTCTTTCATTAAGGTTTTCTTAGTTATAAAAATACAAGTCTTAAAGCACAAACTCAAGAGAATGTAATTTTTAAAACATCGTCTTATTTTCTTATAATCCACTCTAATACACTTTACCCAAGAAATTAAAATCCAGTATTTAATTTATGGGTTTATAAGTACATTGTCAGGGGAATGTAGCCATAAAATCCTCCAAAATAGGCTACCTGCTGAGGTCTCAGCAATTAACTTCATCTCATATGGTACAAAAACTTACTAAAGCATCTTACTTGATTGTTCTGGATACATATCGATGTTTTCTTGAGAATCAGTGCCAGATTCTCTTTGGGAAAGTATTTTAAAATAGAATTTACTATTAACAAATTACCAGTTAAATGTGACTTAATATTCTCATTTTGACTCATACATTAACAAAGAACCAGAATGAATACCCATCTACTCTGAGGCCCAGAATACAATTCAAGTCTGAGATAACGGTATTACAAACTCTGGAAAGAAGTTGAGGGTCACGATGGAGAAACAAAATGCTCTTTGTTTAAAAATGCCAATATAGCATATAGTTAAATGAATTTGAAATAGCATTCTAAGGTTAATATTTAGAGGAGTAGCAAATCAGGTCAGTAGTTTGAATTTAGGCAGTGGAAAGTTGGAAAATAACCTATTTTCACTTCAAGGATGCAAAGGAGCTTGAAAACTTTGCAATTTTGTGCCAGCACATTACCATCAAAGAGGGTCACTATTTTATATTTCGGTTTAGCAATGGTAATATGATTTCAACACTTTTGTCTTCAAATTATAAAGAACAATTTCAAGGAAACAATGAAAATGTCAAATTCCTTTCAAACAGACGAGAATTTTTATTTTTTTGGGGGGGGTATCTTTTCCATATTCACATCAGTTAGACGTGATGTTATAAATAATGAAATAAAAAGCACAAATTTTCCCTTTAGCACAATTCTTTCATTTTTTTTTTCTTTAGGATAAATTAGATGAGAGAGGTAAAAATGTGATGAGAATTTTGAGTTCTTCTATGTTGATGTATTTACCTGTGTAACATTTTGTCATTATCATTCAATTCATTAGATGCTGCCAATATTTTTTAGCTCTACAGATTGAAGCAATTAAGCTTCAGTTTGAAATTGTCTAAAATACAGAACATATTATTCTGTATAGCAAATATGTTTCACCTCAATGAATCCCCAAAATGATTTGCAACTCTAATAAATTAGAATTGCTTTTTCTGAATTGAAAGGAATATAGCTTTGATATGAAGTTCCAGGAATATTTTACAATTATGAAAACAGAAAAACTAAGTAGATATTTCATTTCTTGTGTGTAAAGAATAAATGATCACATATTAAGAATATTAGAGAATGATGGAGATTATGTAGACATAAGTAATATGGGCTTCTTTCTCAGGGAAAAGTAAATGTTCATATCTAAAATTAAGAGCTAAACATCTGAGGCCCTAAATTCTTATTATGTTTTTTCATCTTTAAAAGTAGATGTTATAAAAAATTTCTGGAAATGCATAGTGATGTGTTCGTACAATATGAATATACTTACGTCACTGAATTGTACGGCTAAAAGTAGTTAAGATGGTAAATTTTATGTTATATTTTACCACAATAAAAACTTTAAAAAAGTAGATATTGGTTTATTTACATTTTATACATACATACAAATGACTAAGAAATACCTATAACTCATATCTGAATGGCCAATGTAAATACAGTTTCATCTGTCAACTTGCCATGTATTCTAAGGTATGGGTTTCAAGAGTTTCTGAGTATCAGAGACAAGAACAGTTAGCCAGTCTGCCAGGCTATTTTTTTTCTTTATATTTACCCTCATTTTTCTTTAGTTTATAATTACCTCTATTTGAATATTTACATAAAATATCATAGATTTGTGAATCTCTTGACTTCTAACATATATTTTGATCTTAGATTATGCACAGAAATTTAAAAATCAAGTTGTTTCCTCTGCCTTGTTAGAGTTAACAGATATTTCTAAATGGTGACGTATGTTGACCCTTTCCAGACCAATACAATCTCTTAACTGATGAAGATGTAAATAGGAATGGAATGGAAACGTGAGTTCTTTCTGCATCTAGTTCTACAAAATTCTCCTGAATGATCACATTGGTCAAACTGGAAATCCACTATGAGTTTGTCAAAATTATAGCTGATCTTCACAACAATACAAGCATCTCTTCCAATATCTATTTATGAGAGGCATAAAATAAAGTTGCCGTTACAGCATGGTATAGTGCTTCAAGCCTGTGTTGTACCACTTATTATCTATGACCTTGGTAAGTATTTAACCCTTTGTCTTTCTATTTCTTTACCTATAAAAATGCGGATAACAGTATTAATTACTTCATGAGTTATAGCTCCTTTAGAACAATACCAGGCACATAATTCACTTTTATCAATGTTATTTTTCATCTTTACCTTTATCTCCAGCATGAAACATCTATTAGAGCTGAAAGATAATACATTTTGGTTTGACTGTATCTATTATCTTCAAAATGAATTTGGGAGACTGAATTATAGAATTTGACTATTACACGGATCAAGTAAACAAAGAATTGCCAAGTTTTCACTTGGCTAATTGATATGTATGTAATTATTCAGGAGTTTAAAAAAATACTCAATTACATCTAGTTTCAGGATGTCTGTGTTCTCCTAATGTGGTGTTACCTTTTTTGCATCTTAAGCTCACTGAAGTAGAGAGTACCTTCTATAAGTGCAAATTTCATAAATGTTTCTCCTTTATCCCTGTTCCTTCCCACTGCATTATCTCTGACAGTGCTTCTGTCTCTGGCTGCGACACAGTGCAATTAGCAACAATTAATTAACCTTACAGAAAACCGGTTGGGATGCTGATTTAAGCTGTTTTTTTTTTTTTTCTTTCTTTTTTCTTTTTCTCTCTTTGTGTCTGTAGAGCTTAGGGTTTGGGAGGGAATGAATTCAGCCAGCAGGGATTTCTTTTTATTTTAATATACCTACCACAAATCAAATGGATGTTTTTATATGAGATTTATTTTTCTACAATTTTATAAAGCTTTTCAAAAATAATACTTTACATTTTTTATTGTTTCTACATGACATTTGATTTATGCATATTATTTCTTATTTCACTGTTAATGTATGATTAGCACTACCAGTATTTTCAGGCAAAATAAACATAGTGCCTTTCCTTTAGACCCTTCTAATCTTAGTAAACAGAAAAACAATTTGTCTGTAAAGCAATGATTTCATAGTCAAATAGTCAGTTTATATAAGTGGCGTATGCAAAGGATTATTATCAGTTTTGATCCCTTAACTTTCATTTCCTTGTTGATCATCTGCCCTAGAGTAAATCAGATCAATGTCATTGATCAATTATTTCTATGTCTAAAAAATGCTTAAGGGTATAGAATCAATAACTCATTCTGAAAATCAACTCACAGACCCTCCCACTGAAATAAAACTATTAAGAACTTGGTATCAGGCATGATATATAATGAAAATACTGGTCAAACCCTGCTGTTACAAATGAAGGACAATGAAGTCTTAAAATGTAAGGTGAATTAAAAAAATAAATCAGACCATATCTAAGAAGTTTTGCTCTGCTTTTAAATGAATTACTGGTTTCTTGTGTGTTCTCTTTATTCTCTTTATTAAATCACTGAGGTCCTTGGTTGTAGAATAGATTCAAGCAGTAGTTGGCAACTTATATTTAGCAGAGACTGTTGGCTCATAAAATGTTAAAATATACATATTATAAAAGTGAGCCCACTTATTTATATTTATGAGTAACATTTCTTAATCATCCTTATGTACATTATCCAGTGGCAATATTGAAGTTTGTAGAAATGGTCAAAGTAGTTCTAATTTAAAATATGTATGTAATTGGTTATGGGTTATGTTCCCATTTTGCCAGAGTTTTCCCATGTTCACAGTGAATCATTCCATCTTTTGGTAAGAGTTTATTTCAAAACTACTTTCACTTATCTCCCAAGAAAACACTCATCTTCCATAGATCTGAAGATATTTGCAGTGGTGCTCCTTAGTTGATGCTGCATGGTTAAAACAGCTCAGTTTTCTCTGATTATAATCATATAATTTTACCTAGGTATATTAACATAAAATAATCTCTTAAAATAACTCCATCACAAATGAGCTCTCTTAAATTCTGAGACTCTCATTTCCCACTTTAGAGCATTTTCTCATATCATTACTAATATAACAGCTTTGTAATTATCCAACATAAATAAGTGCCTACTGCATGCATATTTCTACTAGAATCCTTAAAGAGATGTGTATAAAATAGATGTGTTAAGAATTTCACCTATCAGTAATACCAAACTAATTTACTTTAAAATGATAAATTTTCATTATGATTTGTGAAACTTCTTTATCCACTCCAGTATATCAAAGCATCTTGCATTCTCTTTTGTTTTTGAACGCCCTCTTGAACATTTTGTATATGGCTAAAAATGTAACAACAACAAAAACAGAAAACTTGGCTTTTTAATTTTATTATCTGTTTTCTACCACTGTCATATAATGAGTAATTTAGAAATGGTAATGATTTGCATGAAAGACACTTGTTTAAAGTTTTTTCTAGAAAAGCAATAACTGTATGTTATTCTCATTTTAATAAGCTCCATGATTTCTTCCTCTGATGACTTTAAAAATTAGTCATAATTCAATATCAGAGAAAAAAAGAAAGTCAAGGGTCATCATTCACAAGAAAACAAAGAAAAACAAAAAAATAAAATATTGAAATCACTAAGATACAGATCTGGAAGAAAGTTTATTTTTAATATTACATTTTTATATATATGTCAGTTTTTCTATTTTATATTCTTTTAAGCTATTTGATCTTTGGTATGGTTTGGCACTGTTTGGTATGGTTTGGTATGGTTGGCCACCCAAATCACACCTTGAATTCTAATAATCACCCTGTGTGAGAGTGGGACCAGGTAGAGAAAACTGAATCATGGGCGTGGTTTCCTCCATTCTGTTCTTGTGGTAGTGAGTTCTCACGAGATCTGATGGTTTTATAATGGCTTCCCCTTTCACTCAGCACTTTCTCTCTTGCTGCCCTGTGAAGAGGTGACTTTGCTAGGATTTTAAGTTTCCTGAGGCCTCCCCAGCCATGGGGAAGTGTAAGTCAATTAAAACTATGAGTCAATTAAACCTATTTTCTTTATAAATTACCCAGTCTCAGGTATTTCTTCATAGCAGCATGAGAACAGACCAATACGGTCTTCATACGGCATTAGTTTTAGTAGACATCTCATGCTAATAACCAATTTATAGTTCATAAGCCATTTTATCTTCTTTAGCTTTACATATGGAATACACACTATTGATTAGATGTCTACAATTTCTCTTACACACTGAAATTCTATGATTCTTTAAAAACTGTGACTATCCAGTGTTTCTCAAAGCACTAAAGATTTCAGTTTCAACATGTTTTCAAGCTTTATCCTAAAATACAGATAGCATCTGATAATCTTTTACCAACTGACGTGAAACAAATTTGCCCAGCTACATTTCAGCAATTAGAAGGCTGAATAAAGTCTATAATCAGATAAACAACATATAGCCTACTTGTAAAGAAGTACTTCAAGACAATAAACTGACCAGAAACTAAAATACTCTAAAAATGAATGTTAAATACTTTAAAATTTAAAAATATTAATCATTTATGATATGAAGCATCTCTACATTGGAATTAAATCAGCTATCCATTTTTAAAATTTTAATTTATAGCAGTAATCTTGCTCAAATTGAAAATTAAATTTCCTTTGCTAGTTTATTACTTGTCTCTAAAGTTTTTATTTTTAGTGCAAAGGAATTGACAAGTTTTTTTACAACATATAAAGAAAGCAGCTGTCTTAGTGTTTAAACCCACCAAGCTAAACTTTACTCTTAGACCATTCTTGTCTATGCACAGGTAGAGCTAGGCTATTCCAAACAATGTGGCTGGAGTTACATGTTTATGGTTAAGACAACAACTATAATTACCAACAAATAAAAAAGCCATGATTTTTAATGCATACAATATTTAAGAGTGGTGTATGTGTGTATCTATATGCACACACATATTTGATATTTTTAAGTAGCTGACTTGCTGTTATACTAAGCTGACTGTCATTCTGTTAGACTCACATAATATTTAACCAAAATTTCTTTTAATAATAGCACATTTTAGACTAAGATAGCTGTAATTTTCTGTAATCAGTGTAATTGTACTTAAAGCTAAGCCAGTCAATTAAGATCTCCCAAAGCTACCTTTCCAACATCACTTGAAGATTCAGTGGTTCTTCGGGTAACTGGTACATAGGTCCCTACCCGTTTTTCATTTTGCACTTTTTCAGAGTAAATATTCTAGATGGTTCATCATATCATACTGAAGGCTACAAATTATTTGTTCATTTGTATTCAATTAATATGGTGAGGTTAACTTCATCTTCCTTAAACACTTAGTTACACATGAAATCTTTTACTGTGATATTATGTTTATAGATCTTTTGGTCATTATGTAAATGTATTTGTAACACAAACATTTGTTCTCTAAACTTTCCTAAGCAACCATCATTCTTTTGATGCTTACTTGGTCTTTCAGTGGAAAATCTCTTCTAAATTTCTCCAACAACTATTATGTCATTCACACTTATGTCCAGCATATTGTGATCACCCTTAACATAGAAAATTCCACGTTTTGTAATTATCAATAATTGGCAAAAATATTGTGCCCTGTGCCAATCCTTTCATAAGAAATTAAAATTTCCTTAACGGAGGAAAACATTTTTATAGGTCAAAATAGTTCAATGTAAGCAAGTTCAGATATTTCAACCTCATACGCACACACACACATAACTGCACATATATAAGTAACTATTTTACATGTAATATAAAATTGCACTCCTTATTTAAGGACACAGTGCTCAGTAGCCTGTATACATCAGCCTTAAAAATCAATCTCAATAAATATTCCGCTCCTCTTTTAGAGGAAACAGACTTAGTTTTTATTTCACATGACTAAACTTACATAAGGAGGAGGAATCAGGGAAGATTCAAACTCAGGCTGATTGACTGCAAAGCCTGTAGTTTTCAACATTACCTTGCTTCTATGTACATGTTAGTCATTCAACAAACACTTGTCCCTATTACTTGGTTTTTACACTGCTCATCCCAAATTTTGAGTACTATTTCTAGGAAAATGAAGAAAAACTCCCTATTGCACATGCAATAGAAGAGTGACACTCTATAGTCATTCATCAATATCCCTGGTATTCCTGTGGGACTGGCTCCAGGACTCCCTTGGATATCAAAAATCTGTGGATGCTCAAGTCCCTCGTATATTTTTATATAACCTATCCCTGATATATTTGCATACAGCCCACAGCGCATCCCTCTATATACTTTAATCTCTAGTATAATACCAAATACAATGTAATGTATATAGTCATTATACTGTATTGTTTTCATTTGTATTTTTTAATCATTTATTCCCCAAATATTTTTAATCACAGTTGGTTGATTCCACAGGTGTGGAGCCCACAGATACAGAGAACTGGGAGCATATCTACGCATTTCTTTTAATAGATTTAGCCTCTCATAATGGATGATTTTAAGGGAATATTTTGAATGGGACCATGGACTGAGTGGATGGGAAAGATGAGAACTTAATGAAGAGGAAAGCAATTATATAAGCATCAATTCTGTGCATTAATGCCCCACATTGCCCCCATTAATTGGAATAGATGGTTTTCCCAAAGGCCTGACTTTTTTACCACACAGGAAAATGTCTACTTAGGAAAAATGAGTACAGTGGCTTCTTAAGTAAAATTTTACTCCGCATTTCTGTAATTTAGTGTCTCAACTTGTTACAGAAAAATACATATAAAGACTGGAAGAAAACACCATGATTAAGAAACATCTGTGTGTGTCACATATGAACTTGTGCCATTTGGTCATAGACCTTTCTCATTGAAAACCTGCATTCTGCCCGGTGTGGGAAATTAATGTTGATTGTGGATGGTGTCCTAGTTGGGTTGAAGCTATTAATTCACTCTGTGTCAGGATTCTGGCATGATATTTTAGCTATGCCTACCTTCTCTTCATTTTCCTCCAGGACACACTATGAAATGACTGGAGTCAGTGCTCAGGGCTCCATAGATCTCTAAAGACTATAAAGTTGTTTTAATTGCTAAACAGAATTTTTGCTGACTATATCCTAAATCACTGTAATTTCAGCAAGTACCAACACTGAGATCAAACCGTATGTTTTACTTGACAGGCATTGCTGGGTGGCTGAATTTTCCAGGCAAATTAAATTTGCCTTTTTAATCAAAATAGTATTTTCATTCTAGTTTTAAAAAATCCATTGGAGTCATGCCAGGAAAATAAATCCATGGTAAAAAACCAAGCTGAAAGAGTTCTGGTACAGGGGATTGCTTGCATTTCTGTTGGAAAAGATGAAAGAGTGAAGAGAAAGGGAGAGAGCAGGGGTAGCAAGTGTTTAGAAAGGATCAGTTACCCAAAGACCAGGAATCTGCTATTGCTCGAGGACCACAAGCCAGTATCTGTTGCTAAACTGCTAATTATAGGAGCCCCCTTGCCTCAAGACTCCTGGAAACAATGGTGACCTCTGGATACAATCCAGGAGTCTTCATTCACTATGAGGATATTCAAACCACCTCACTGAGGCCTATCACCATCTCCCATTGCTTGTAATCATCTGCTGCTGCTGGGGGCTCCACTAGGAGCAGGAAATTTTTCCCCTCCACCTTCCAATCTTCTAGCATCGGCTCCCATTGGTAATGCCTATCAGGAAACTCGGAAAAGAAATCTGGGAAATGCCTTTTCCAGGTTCAGATCAGTCTGAAGCTGATATCACATGGAGCTGATAGCCAATAGACAGGATTCAGAATGGATTTATTTTATTATCCTATTTTCTTTATTTCCTTTTCTAACCATTGATTCATTGAGATAAAGTCTACAAAGTGTCTTTGGCAGTGACTGGACCATTATAAAGTTACACACTAAATGTCAGTCCTATAGGTGAAGGTCTTCCTAAAATCAGTTTATATTTCCTTGCCTTCTGTAACAAAGGCAACTGAATATAATTTAACTTTTTTTGATGACTCAAGGTTAACTTTAAAATGGCAATGTTCACATTGCCTTTCATAATTTTGAGATACAGAACGAAGCTTGACCAAATGCTCTTGTATCCACACTGCTATACTTTTAAGGTTTATGTTTTTTTTCTTTGTCCTCATCTTCTACCTTATCAACAATTACTTCATCTAATTGTCATGTTTTCCCATTTAATAGTATCCTTACTGCTCTTGACTTTGACAACTGATTTGTTATAAGTCAAGATCCAAAACACCCAAAATTTCTTTATTTTACAAGAAGGAAATCTAAATGGAACCCTGAGTGGCAGTCTTTGAGAGTTCTCTTCATGAGCAACATGCTTGAATGTGCCTGTTCAGAGATCACTTTTGTCTGTTCTCCGTTTTCTTCTATTTTCCAGAGAGTTGTAGTTGTTTGCTAAGTACCCTCCAGGTAGTTGAGCTGTTAATGTAATAGTGGCCAGCTGGCAACAACAGGCTGATTTTGTTAATGGCCTTAGGTGCATTCTGAATGATTCATCTCATAATAAAAATTATTTCATAATAGAGGGAAATAAATCCTTTCTCTTTATGAACACAATGATGGTTTCTTTTGGAAATTCACGAAAGTCGATCGTGCTTTGTAGACTATGAAAATGAGCTTAGAGAATCAGTGAATCACACAAAATATTTTCATGCATTATTTCTAGATCTTATATTAAATATATACGTATATATGTGTATTTATACTGTGTGAGTATACATGTGTGCATGTTGTGTATTTACATGTATGTATATCTATCTCTATCTCTCTATTGGAAAGGAATGGTGAGTGCAAGAGACTAAAGAAAACCGGGAAGAAAACATTTTAAATGGGAGGTAAATGTAAGGATATCATGAAAGAAACCTTGGCACTTGTCTCTGTTGCCCTACAGCAGGACATTATAAGCTAGTACAATTAATTGCCCATATATAAAATAATATTACTTTTATCTATCTCTTCTATAGTTCTGTCCACCTTACATTTTAGACCTTCTTATCTTTACCATCTTATGCCTAGTACTGAAAGAAGTAGCTCCCAGACATAAAGATTGAGATTATGCTTTCCTAATATCCTACAGCTGCCTTTTTCACGCTCCTACCTGTGAGCGGTATGAAAGCTGAAGGGGTATTAGCACATATATAGCACTGAGGCAACCCCTTGTGTCAGAGTCACATATCCCATTTGTAACAAAGTGAGGACAAAACTAGGAATCCTTATGTTTGAAAATCCTTAGAATTTTAAAAGTGGGAGGAACATAATGAAAATAATAATTTATATAATAATAATAGCATATTAGTTTTCTATTGCTGCTATTTAAAAATTGCCATAAACTTAGTGCATTCAAGCAACACGAATTTATTTACTTACAGTACAGGTAGATCAGAAGTCTGACACAAGTCTCGGTTGGCCAAAAATCAAGGTGTCTGCAGTGCTAGTTCCTCCTACGGGAAAATGTTTCCTTGCCTTTTCCAAATTCTACTAGCTGCCAACTTCTGTTTTCTTATGGCCCCTTCCTCCATCTTTGACACAAAGAATGGCTACCTGAGTCCTTCTCACTGAATATCACTCTTACCCCTGCCTTAGCTCATCTGCTTCTGACTCTGACTCTTCCGCCTCCCTCTTTTAGCGGCCCCTGTGATTACATTGGGCCCACCTGGATAATCATCTCCCTATTTTAAGGTCAGCTGATTGGCACACTAATTCCATCTGCTATCTTAATTCCCTTTTACCTTTTAATTCACATACTCACAGGCTCTAGTGATGAGAACATGGGCATTTTCAGGAGGCCATTACTCTGCCTACACTAGTCAGGAAAAACAATAATACAAATAAATGCTCCCATAGTTTCATGTACTTGTCATAAAATCCCTATCCATTAGAAAGCTTCATCTTGTGAGAGAGGAAATAATATCCTATGGGATTTTAGCTTTTATTGGTGAAAACTTTCAAGAAACGTAAATATAAAATGTTAGAATTGTTTAAGACTTTTATTCTGTGGAAGATAATTAAGTGAAATTAAAAGAAAACATTGAAATTTTCTGTTGGGGAAATTCACAAAAATGCATACAATGTGGGTTTTAAAAAAGCTTCAGTTTTGTGGAAAAGAGGGAAGAAAAAGGATACTAATGATCTTATACCCATTAAGAAGTTATAAGTAGGCAGGAAGCGGTGGCTCACGCCTGTAATCCCAGCACTTTTGAAGGCCAAGGCGGGCAGATCATGAGGTCAAGAGATCAAGACCATCCTGGCCAACATGATGAAAGTCTGTCTCTACTCAAAATACAAAAATTAGCTTGGCATGGTGGCGGGCGCCTGCAGTCCCGAACCCGGGAGGCAGATGTTGCAGTGAGCTGAGATAATGACACTGCACTCCAGCCTGGCAACAGAGCGAGACTCAAAAAAAAAAAAAAAAAACGTTATAAGTGATTGTTACTTTAAAATAGCTTTATTACCTATCTCAAATCTCTAAGACCTAAAAGTAGCCGAATGACATAGGTGTGAATGAATCAACACTGACTCTTACTTGTTGCTTAGTTTGTGTGATAATTTCATCATGTCATCCTGACCTCCCCTAATATCATTGAACCTCTACAGATCTCAGTTACCACATCAGTCAAAGATGTTAATAGTTTTTACTTTGCAAGGTAGTACTGAGGTTAAATGAGATAACGTGGGAAAACCAATAGGGACATAAGAAATGCTCAATAAACTGTAGCCATTGAGAGCCTTTATTTTCAGTTACATTATTCCCATCTGCACAGGATATGATGCTGGATTGTCTGGCTAAAAAGAAACAAGGAAGAACTATGACATAGCAGTTCTCAATTCTCAGCTCGACCATGTGGAATTTACCTTTATTTAAAATTTTAAAATATTTCCTGTATTTAAATTTTTTCTTTCCCCCCCCCTACAAACTAGTGACACAAAGTAAGAAAAAATAGTCCCTCCAAGGATTCGCTCAAATAGTGAATTCCTTTGGGGTTTTTATATACGCATTTGAAAAATAAATTACTATTTAGTAAAATGTCAGAGAGAGAAAAGTAAATCACAAGTGAATCCAACCCTTCAGCTCTTTGCTATCTTGACTCATAAATAATTGTTTTTCTTGAGGGCAGTGGCCAGCTTGTATTCAATGTATCAAATTGTATAGGTTTCTTAGAGTTTATCACCTGTAGAAGTGGGAGACAGTGATGCCCAGAGCATCACTCTGCAGATCTGTCACTGCCTGAGAGTGCACAGACCAGGGTCAAGAACCAAGTGGGCTTAGAAAACTGAGTATGAGTGCTTGTTGAAATCAAATGAAACTTCAAATGCCCGCGAGGCCAAACTGAAAGGGCAATGGCAGACACCTGACACTAGTTCAGTAGCTAAGATTTTGCACTTTTTTCACCACAACAGCCTGGGTTTAATTTCTAAATCAAGACCTTTCTGGTTTGATATTTGTGTTACGTTTCAAATATCAGCAGTTTGTTCCTGCTAAAATATGGTAGTAAGAGATTTAACAGGATTTTGTTAAAGAGCTCAATGGTTAAAATCAGCTTAATTAAAATGTAATATCCAAGATGTGTGTGTGTGTACATATATATATATAAATGTATATATGTGTGTGTGTGTGTGTGTGTGTGTATATACACACACACACACACACACACACACTGTAGAACACATTTTTATTTTTATTTTCTTGACACAGGGTATTGCTCTGTTGCCCAGACTGGAGTGTGGTGGCTCAATCTTGGTTCACTGCAGCCTCGAACTCCTGGGCTCAAGCAATTCTCCCATCTCAACCTCCCAAAGTGCTGGGATTATAGGCTTGAGCCACTGCACCCAGCCCATATATATATATATATATATAGCCTTTATGCTTTTTTTTTCTCTCTTAGGATCTTGTTAAGAAAAGAGTACTTTATTCTTCTCAGTTGACTGAGTTCTGTTTTCTCCACGTACTTCTGCCTGTCTCTCCTTTCTCTTGCCACCCTGTGCTGCATAAGGGACCTAAAATAATTTCTAATTGCCAGGGATTTCTTAAAGAAAACAGAGACAGTTACAGACCCTTTTTTGGAGGAAACTCTGTTTTTCCTTATGGAAACTCAAGAGTGTAAACAGACAAGTTCCTCTCAGATCTTCAACTGCTTGCTTTTGTATCGCATTACCTGATTTCTTTTGAATAAAATAGTTATTACTACAGGGGCTACTGTTACGTATTAAAGTAAAAAAAGGGTGCAGTTTAAACATATAGAGAAATCTCTGCAGCAAGGTGCACTGTAAAAGCACTACATGGCTTAGTCTCATGACATCTATCTCTGTTTGGAAACCCAGGATTTAGTGTGGGCTTCACCTAGAGCTCAGAGGTCCGGTTAAAAGAGACTAAATTTAAAACTATCTGAATTATAAAATCTTAGTAGATTTCTATAATTGTATGTTTAACTTGGTATTCATTTTTAATACTCCTCTAACACACCCAGATTCTCTCTCTCTCTACTTTGAAAAAAAGAGAAAAAACAAACAAACAAACAAAAAATGTCTGTGAGGACCATATGCTATTACCAGACAAAATTTGGGTTAGAGGCATGTGCTCTAGTGATACCGTACTTCTAATGTTATTTTAATCTATTATATATTTCTAAAATCATTATCAATTTAAGTTCTCCGGTTGATTAAGAATCTTAAAAGAGGCAAAAAGGTTATTTTTAAAAAGAATATATATTTTTAAACCAAAAAGTATCTTAGACAAGTCTCAATCAATTTAGAGGTTTATTTTGCCAAGGTAATGGACGTGTCTATGACATAGCCTCAGGAGGTCCTGACAACATGTGTCCATAGTGGTCAGGCTATAGGTTGGTTTTACACATTTTAGGGGAATATAAGACAATCAATACACATAAAATATACATAGATTCGGTCTGAAAGGTGGGACAACCTGAAGGTCGTAGGAGAGGACCTTCCAGGTCATAGGCAGATTCAAAGACTGAAGACCTGGAATCAATAGAAAGAAATGTCTGGGTTAAGATAGGGGGTTATGGAGACCAACGTTTTATCATACAGATGAAGCCTCCAGGTAGCAGGCTTCAGAGCTCTTATCAGACCTAAAAAGTTGACAAACTGTTAGTTAATTCCTTCCTGGATCAGAGAATGGCCTGGAAAGGAACATAAATTTTCTACAGAATGTAAATATTCCCCAGAAGAGACAGCTTTGTCGGCCATTTCAAAACATGTCAAAGAAATATATTTTGGGAGAAAATACTGTGATTTCTTTCAGGGCCTCCTATCTGTCATGTGATGTTAGCCTAGAGTCAGGATGGAATTCGATGTCTTATTGCAACAAAAAATCTGCTTCATCAGTCTTTAGATCTCCGTTTTAATCTAAATTCTGGTCAGCTGTGGCTGAATTCCAATGGGAGGAGAGTATAAGGAGGCATGTCCGACCCTCCCCTCCCCATCATGGCCTGAACTAGATTTTTGGGTTCATTTTGGAATGCTCTTGGCTGAGAGTGGGGGTCCATCAGTTGCTTGGAAGGCTTAGAATTTTAATTTTGGTTGACAGTTTACAGAAATTATTTCTATAAATACCTTATAATAATATGTAATTATTAAATAACCCATTATTTCTCCCATATTAGGAGCAATGTAAATTAAATAAGTACATAAAAGTTTGAAGATTTGAAAAATATATTACAAAAGACCGCAATGGCTTGTTTAATTTTATTGAATTTTGTTAAAGAAATAAAGATTTAAAAGTGGCTTTAAGGATAAAGCCACATACAATTAAAAGTAGAGTTTGTTAATAGGTTAAGCCATACCTTTCTATTTAATTTCATTACTTTTTTCTTTTTAACTATATGATGAGAAAGTTTATGTAGAATATGAATACTTTTTTTCTCATTAAATTAAAGCAAGAAACTCCTGATTTAATGTAGAATTCTTAGTTGATTATCATTAGAAATCATATGAAAACCAATTCTATGCTTTGCACACATGTACTATTTGTATCAACTGTAATATTTGTTTATTTTCTAATTTCACTTAAAATTACCTAGTGCTTAAGGTCAATGATACAAACTCCCTAATTTGGTAATTAAAACCGTCGACCTTGTGTCCATTTTATGCCAGTGTGAAATTCTAGAATAAGGTTATAAAAGTTTGCAAATTTTATATGCATATATTTATACTATATACATATAGAAATATATATACACATTTATTATATATACTATATAATATATGTGATATATACTTATAAAAATCAAAGTATAAGATGATAACAATAAACATACAAACATATTTAAGAACTTAAAACTATGAACTTAAGGTTATATGTTAATTGAAGGCCTTAAGGACACATATTGTATAATAACGTGGCTCCAAGAAGAGGACATTTGTGTAATGAAGGCACAAACTCATGGCAGCGTTGATGCCAAGGCACTGCTAGCTCTGTTGGCTCACCATTGAATGGACTTCCTTGCTTTCATAATTTCAGTTACACTCTGGGCCATGATATGAGGCACCTACTAAAGTGGCCTGGGGAAATCCTATTATCTGGTCTCATGTAATTGAGCCACACTGGGCCAAAGTGGTCCTAAATAATTTATACATAATTACAATCATTTCTTACAACAATAGTGAAGTGGTGATTACTGTTAACATTTAGAAGAGTACATTTTGCAAATTTCAAAGAACTATACAAATATCATGAGGATGATGAAATCAGCATACTAAGAATAAGATGACTACAGATCAGACTCAGTGTGTTAGAGTAATATGCCAAAGCTAATACAGGGAGAAGAGAATTAAAATTAGGGTCTGTGTCCCAAACCAGCTCTTTGATAGTGTTAACAATAGTATCTAAACACAGTCATAATGCTTACTTTTTGCCAGAAACAGTTTTAATCTCTACACTCTATATGTATTCATTTAATTGTTGGAAGACCATTTTGTCATAATTCTACTATTATGCCTGTTCTACATAGAGAAAACTAAGGCAGAAAAAGTGTCAAGAGCCCAGATCACCCAAATATTGAGAGAGAAAATGAGAACTGAAGCTAAATTTTGTTTAGCTCCTGATATGGTTTGGCTGTGTCCCCACCCAAATCTCATGTTGAATTGTAGCTCCCATAATTCCCATATGTTGTGGGAGGGACCCAGTGAAAAATAAGTGAATCACAGGGGTGGTTTCCCCCATACTGTTCTCATGGTAGTTAGTAAGTTTCATGAAATCTGATGGTTTTATAAAGGGTTTCCCCTTTTGCTTGGCTCTTGTTCTCTCTTGCCTGCCTACCTGTAATATGTGCTTTTCGCCTTCCACCATGATTGTGAGGCCTCCCCAACCCCGTGGAACTGCAAGTCCATTAAACCTCTTTTTCTTTATAAATTACCCAGTCTGGGGTATGTCTTTATCAGCAGCATGAGAATGGACTAATACAGTTCCAAAAGCCATGGTTTTTATTCTACCTACTGTCTCTGGTAGATACATCTGCTTAAACACAGCTCCATATCTTCATTGTGCATTGGGGCTATTGCCTGGTTGTTAGCAATTCTCTAGTTGAAAAGAAAAATGCAAAGTAGTAAATATTTACTGAGCATTAAAGCATCCAATAAAGTCTCGTGAAGTATAGGAAAGAAGGCCAGCACATTGCTTTGCTTCATAGTTCCTGCTTAGTAATTATTTGTTAATTGTTGAACATGCTACTCAATGGACTGATTGCAAAAACACACTTGAAAACGCAAAGAAAGGTAAGGATAACCTGCCACGCACATTAATGGAGACAAAAATGGTGAAATGAATTCAGATTCTTTCTCTTGAAATACAGCAAAGTTCATTGGAGACATACTGCAACCTATTTACAAGTCTCCGTTTATTAAATGTTGATGTTTTCAGGAATATATCTAAAATATGCATTGGTTTCCTATACTGCAGGCGTGTCCATAATCCAATGGTAATACCATTTAAATTTCATACCAACTTCAGATGAAAAGTATGTAAATGCATTCCAAACATACTCAAAAATTAGGAATGTAAGCCTGATTTTATCAGCTTCTGACAGTTTAATATGCTGAAAATTGTGGGGTACATTTTCAAAGCGGCATGCTCTAATTTACCCATGCAGCTTATGTTTATTTTAATGGGATTTGCACCATGAAATCAGTACAAAACACTTTGAACACTTACCCAACTGTGTCTGCCAAAAGGAAGAGAACATTAATTCAACTAAAAAAGGAAAATAATTACTTAACCTTAGCCAAAAGGATGGCCTCCAGTTTTGCTTAATTTCTACGTTCTTATGCTTTAGTAAAATATCACAAGTAGGAACCACTTTAAAAAGATTTTTTAAAATTTAATTATATATTGAGTGTGTCATGTGCCAAAAGGAGTCTATCTCGGGACATTAAGTAACCAGTATTGATCTATTAAACTATCAATCTTCCTTCTTTAACAGTCAAGAATTCTAATTAGTCATAATCATGTTAATTGCAATATCAAAAATCCAGTGGCACAAAATTGGGAGAGTTTTACTTCATCAGATGGCCTCTTTTCTCTAAAATTAACATCCTGTCACAGACAAAATATGTTAATCTACACTGGGTTTTAAAAATGGGTAGGGACACATCTCTAAACTAATGATTCATAAAATCATTTGCAGCTATTAGCCTATAAGGATAAGTGCTGCTAGCCCTTTTATTTCACTGCTTGGTGTGATACCATCAATTTAAAATCTATCTAGTATGGGAGATTTATACATATCACATAATTCATTGAGGCCTGTCAGATTTTTAAAATTTGCATAGCCATGTATAAGTGTCACAACATGAAATAACCTTCAGACAGGTACTCACTGAAACCTCCCTAAACTACCTGAGTTCAATCAAGAGTCCTATAAAAAGTGAGCGTCAATTGTGCGGCTGAAGAGTTCTGCTTTGCTATATAACTTTCACCAAATCTGGCCCTTTCAGAGAACGTAGCCACTTTGCAATTTCCAGGCTGAGCAGAAAGAAGAGAGATGTAGTGGGTGGCAGGGAACAGATGTTCTTCCAGTACATTCTTCGTCAGGAGGCAATGCGATCTCTCTTTGAATTTATCTTGACACTTAGAGAAATGATCATGTCTTTGTACTTTTGTTCCACTCTCTAATGAGGATGTGAACATGCTTATAGATTTTAATTCACAAGTCCTTACAACACCTTTCTGTTGAAAGCAAGTGATAAACGTTTTAGTTATTAAAAATTCAGATGATTAGAGAGCATATCAAAGGCTATCATGCATATTTATGCCAACAAAACTACAAACAGGTTTTATAACTCTCTGTATGGACATGTAACATGTCATTGAAAGGTTCTAGGCCTTGGCCATGGGCAATATGAATCAACGTGATTCCATAAAAATTTACTGAACACTTACCATATGCAAGGTCCTCTGCAAAGTGTTAGCATATAATTGTTTAATGCAATATATCAAATGCCTAATGCACAATAGTTGTCAATATACATTCACTGTGAGACAAGAGTCTGGCTGGGCCAATGGGTAATTTTGTGCAAATTAGAAAAATGCACTTCCTACAAGGGACCTACAGTCTTTTGGGCTGGGGATTGGGAAGAGAACAGTGCCTTTTTACCAAACAGAAAAGCCAACCACCCTTTCAGTGGACATAGCTCTATTTCAGGGAGTGTGACTTAAGATGCAGCTGTTATTCATTCCCTCTGCCAGCCCCCTCTGCACAACCAGAAGCAATGACCCTGAGTGAGATTTCAGCAGAATGAGCAGGACCACCTAAAGTAGATTAAAACTGAACTTCGGGAATGTGGCTGCGATGGCAACAATAGATAGCCATGGCAGAGTAATGAAATGCAGGCAGGGTGGAATGGAAGAACGAGGGTAGATGTACAAACTAACCCCAAACAGACATACAGTCTAAGAATGGCTACCGTGTACTCCCACAATCCGGCACTTTGCTAGGCCCCTGACAGTCTTTAAGTTACCATTTGCAGATGAGAATATTGAGGCTTAATGAAAACAGTGAGTTTTCTTATGAACATGGGCTCTGCTCTGGAGGTAGAAAGGGCTGGCCTCCAGGCCTTGCCCTGCCACATATTATGCTGCCTTCACTTTTGTGGAGCTTAGTTTCCTCTGCTGGTAAAGGAAATAGCATAACAATTGCTAGATTGCTACAAAGACTCCATGAAATAGTAAATGCAGAGGGAATAACACACTTCTCTGGCATATAATAAGGGCTCATTTAATAACAGCTATTATGTTCCAAGGTCCTATGGCTAGTAGGAGGCAGAAGGAAGATTCAAATTTTGTCCCTCAGCAATGCTGGAGACAAGAAGGTTAGGAAGAAATTTACAGGAATGAAGAACTGAGACAAATGCCATGGAACTGGAAGAAATAGGGTGAAACAGAAGCAAATGACCACAGAATTATGAGGAACTGAGAAAAACTACTAATCAAACACAGATCTATGATTTTAATTCTGGGTGCTAAGGAAAATTAGAATGTCATTGCCAAAGATGGGAACACAAGGAGAGAATGACCTGAGGTGTAAAATGACCATTGTTATGACAAAGGTAACAAGGCTAGAGTAGAGAAAGAGAAGGTAGATGTGAAACAAATGAGATAATATATACATAAAATATAAAATACAATATATACTACATATGTAATATATATAACATATACAACATATATATTCATGTATTTTTGAAATTGCTATTATAGAAAATATATATTTCTATATTATTTGAAAACACAATTGTCAGCCAGGCACAGTGGCTCACACCTGTAATCCTAGCACTTTGGGAGGCTGAGGGGGGTGGATCACCCGGGGTCAGGAGTTCAAGACCAGCCTGGCCAACATGCCAAAACCCCGTCTTTACTAAAAATATGAAAATTAGCTGGGCGTGGTAGAAGGTGCCGGTAATCCCAGCTACTCAGGAGGCTGAGGCAGGAGAATCACTGGAACCCGGGAAGAGAAGGTGAAGGCTGTAGTGAGCCATGATCGTGCCACTGCACTCCAGTCTGGGCGACAGAGCAAGACTCCATCTCAAAAAAAACAAAAAACCCCACAGTTGTCTATGTTAAGTTTTCTTGTAGAATATGCCTACCTACAGCTAATTGTACATTTTTCAACCTGCAATTTATGGCAGTGGTCTGCAACAAATACTATATATTTAGTATTATAGATACTATATATTTAGTATTATAGATATTATATATTTAGTATTATAGATATTATATATTTAGTACTATAATTATATATACTCTATATATTTAGTACTATGTAAACTATATATTTATTAGTTATTTACTATATATAACTATATAGTATATATGTACTGCATATTTAATACTACATACTATATATTTATATATATTTGGTGCCTATATATATTTAGTGCAGACCACTCGGTTCAAAAATGTACAATTAGCTATATGTAGGCACATTCAATAAGGATTAACACGGAAAATTGTGTTTTTCAAATTATATAGGAAGCTAACAAGCCCTTGGAAAACTGACACTAGCAACAGCTTCATAACATTCCGGGCATTTTCAGACCGAAAAAAATAAGATGATTAAATGGCAGACAGTTTTCTCTGAAGCCCTATGGATCCTGTTCTATTACCAGTTGATAGTTTCAACTTACTCTACTTTTATTGGCAGTATACATAATTCATTTTGAATGGGGCAGGAAGCACCCTGTTTTTAAAATGAAATGCCTGTCTGATTTTACAATATTTAATGCAAGCCAAGTTACTTTGAGAAAGAATTCATTATTAATTATTGTATTCATGTAATGATGAATAAAAGAAAAGAATTAATAAATGTGAATCTCAGCACCACTAAGTTATGATGACTGTAATGCTATATTCATTTTCTTTATTAAAAGGGTTGTTAAAAATAATTTATCAAACTTGCAAAGCTATTTCAATATGAAAAGCCTAATCTTATTTCTCTAGTTATTCACCTTTCTCAGGCTAGTTTTGGCAAGGTATATCCCAAATTCAAACCATCAAAGTAGAAAAGACACTTTAGGCTTTGGGGAGAAATGGTCTCCTCCTCTTTCTCTTTATCCTCTCATGAAAAAAAAAAAGAAAAAAAAAAGAAAAAAAACTGCATATTTACAGTATTTCAACAAATGAGTTGCCTCAAATAACTGAATAGAAAAAACAGAACAGAAAAAATGCCTAAAATTGGCAATGCTGACATTATGTTCTGAAAGCAGGGGAGAAATTTTCATTATGAAAATTGTTTGAAGTATTTGTTTTCTTTCCCTTCTCTCTTTTCCTGTCTAAATACTAACATCAACAATAAAAAAATGAATGAGAACATGATTTCTATTGCTAGAAAAACGAATCAACCATCCTTGCATGTTTTAAGTTTCTGGTTGCAATAAACCAGGATTATTCACATCCTGCTATATTATTTGTAACCCAATAAAGTTTTCCAATTTAACATTAATTTTTACACTAATTACAAATATGCAATAGAAGGGTTAATCAAAACATTCTGGAAAACAGCATCCATTAAATCTTTAAAGAAACCTGACAAGCAGTGTGTCATACTTCTGGCAAGCTTGCTAGTGATTGGCTTCTTACATATTAGGCTGTTATGAAGCTAATAGCACACTAAAAATCTTCTCTTCATGTACAAATTAATTACATTTATATGCAATTCACATCACTGTGACTTCCTTTGCATTTAAAAATTTTAGAAGCTTATTTGGAGTTAATTCACCTTCTCCGTTAACACATTCACAACTTTGATTATCCATTCTGTAACCTGAAAGCAGAAGGCTGGTCTCTGGCAGCCAACTGCCATCAACATGCAGGAAGTTGGCAAAAAGCTGAAAGGTTTGGTTAAATATACAGTTTTTGAAATTGCTTGAAAGTTTTATAGAGGGCTACTTTTTTTTTCAAAAATTTCTGTTTTAAAACATAGAAAGACTGGACCCCTTGTTATATACTGGTTTGCTTTCCAAGGGAGACATCTGGTCTTCCCACAGTGCTGATGTTTTTGATTGAGTTCTAAAGTTGGAAAGATGGGATTTTAGACTATTTTTAACATGTTTTCTCTTACCAAAAACAAATAAAGGTGGATAATCACTTTACAAAGTGTCATTAAAATTTGCTTTAGAAATATTTATTAAAGTTTAAGAATTAGAAGACCTGATTTTTTTTTCTCAGTAATTAGCTTGTCCTTGTCAAAAACAAACACAATGACAAAAATCAGAATAAAAACTGGTTTAGACCATCCCGACAAAACAAGTTTGCCTCCAGATTTCACATTTCTCTAAAATAAATATAGTAACATGTTAACTCAAGAAATCAAACCCTAAATAATTATGGTCTTTTAAACTCAGATTATTTTAACTTTTGGAGAAAAGATATGGAATTTTCTTTCCTTTGGGTTTTCAAATATCGAATTTGTTCTCTGTTCATCTTATAATTGGAAGCAAAATGCTGTAACTCCCTCTTGCAAAAGTTTCTTTTGCTAGGGATCAAATCATTAGCAATATAACATTAAAGGATATTGTGCCTTTAGCTAAAATTTAGTGTCAAAGTTTCAGATATGTTCACTTGATAATAAAATAACAAGTATTCTATGTTAATGAGCATTTGTATAGGTATACTGACATAGAGAAAAGGGCTTCCTTATCTAGTCATTAGAATTTTCCAAGCAAAAGTGGACTCACCTACAGAATACGAATGGGTTCTCAGTGTACATTACCTATCAACACTTGAAGCCAGCCAGAAGGAAAGAATCTATTTATTTTTTCTACCTCTGACAGCTGACAGCTTAAATTTGGCATGTTTACTTTCATGAAGGAAATGGTTCCAGCTAGGGACAGATCAAGATAAAATTGTCTTTAATTAACTGCTACCCTTTCTTTTCCTAATCTATCTTGAAGTCCAATTTTGGCAGCTTGTTATTCAATAAATAGACGGTAGGACTCTGTTGGAATAATACAATAGCTTTGCTATCAAACAGACAAGGGTATATTCCCCAATTTTATCACCATCTGGCTCTGTAAGTGTAAGTTATTTAACTTTACTAAGCCTGATTTCCGCATCAAGTCTACCAATTCCAGATAATGATCCCTACTTCGTTCAATTGTTAGGAGAGTTAAACGGTATTTGTATAATCCAGAGTCACCTACACCCTAGTAAGGTCACCTTTATAGTTTCCTGACAATTCAATAGATCATTTTCCTTTATGGTCCAGTTAGCCAAACCATGGTGCTCTCCTATTCCTGCATCTCTATAGAAATGTTTTAAGGGCAAAAAGAAGAAGGATTCATTCATAACTAGGGCTTTAATGCCACTACTAAAGGTCCTTGTTAGGCTACCCAAGTGGGCACATAGATTTAACCTTGGATTTGAGATCCTGTTTCACCACTAAGCTAAGATCCTCTGTCTTCTATAGCTTGACTCCCTGTGCTCTCCCTCCAACTTCTAGGGAAATGTTTTTCCTGGACAGAGTGCTCTAGCCGGTGATAACACAGAATAGTTTGAAAGAAAGGCCCTAGTGATGCAGTCAGTCAGCTTTGCCTCAGGGCCTGGACCTCTCCTTCCTAGTGTATAGAAAATGCACTGTGTGAGCACGGATTCAAATGCAGCCTTACACGGGATCCTTTCCTGATTTCTCTGGATACATGGGTCAAGGTGCAGAGTCTAGCCCATTCTGTCAGAGGTCATATTAAGACATGGTGACTTTTTTTTTTTTTTTAACTTTCTTTCAGGGGCCTGTTTTTTCCTTTCTGTCATCTGGCTTCCATTATCCCTAACCACAAACTCCAATTATGAAAAGTTTTGAGTTTCTTTTACTGAACTCTTTACTGACTGGCTGTTTCTGACTAACTGTGGGTGACTTGATTACTGCATGATTTTTTTTTTCCGAGTCCTCTCAAAGGTGAGGAGGTGCAGGAAATTGGATATGTCCCCTTCTTGATTTACCTGAATCTTAATTTTTACTCAATAGACCCCTGCCTTACATGTTATATGTAAAGCTCCTGGTATATAGTTGGTATTTCATATATTATTTTATTTATATATGCTTTTTTGTCCTCCATCCACCAGCAGGTAGAATTCCACATTCTAAATCTGTAGCTTTAGTCTTGCTCTTCATCACAGTTCAGTGATTCCACCACCCAGAACCCTGTTAGGTTGCTGAAGATCAGCAAAACCATGCACTGAAGGATTAAGAAACATTGAGCCAAGGAATATTCCCATTTTAAAGAGCATTCCTGGACACTAACTTCTTGAACTCCAAAAAGCACACATTCAAAAAAAGAAATTTTGGAAATTGTTGCAGGAATTGCTTTTGTTTGTTTGGAAAGGGTATTTTCCTCAGCATCTCTCAAGTCATGACACACAATAAGCTGTCTCTTCCACTTGCAAATAAAGCCATTGAATAAGAAGTTATCATAATGGCAGAAACATGGAAATAAGAGCAAATGAGATGATAATGTCAAACTGGAGAGTTTGAGCCAGACATTAAGAACTCCCTTTTTTCTGATTGGTTTTTGTTTCTATATACAACCGAGATGTCCTTTTTCACCCTCTCCTCATGTTGAAGTTTACTGATAAAGTAGTTGACTCTTGCCTATCTCTGAAGCACCGTCTTGCATTGATACTTCACATGCATCCTGCCCTCCTGACACACTGACATACAGCATTTCTCTATAAGGTGCTAGGCCTTCAGATTTTTGCACGTGTTGTATGGGATCCTCTCACTCAATTCTGTTGTTTCTGCAAAACTTCACTTCTAAAAAGAGTGTCCATAATAAAATCTGGAAGCACACGCCGATATATCTAATGTTGTCAAGGGCATCTTCAGTCTGTAAGACATTACAAAATATTATCTATATTTTCAGGCTATATGATTTTATGCTGCATATATGTCTAAGTTCATATATATGTGTATGCATGCATGTGTATTTTATGTGAATTGTACACATATATTGTTTATATACATGTATACTTCTCTATATATTGTATATAGAAATAATAGTGTATATGTAATTGGATATATATGTATACATGTGAATGTGTATGTACACAAGTGTATGGATATATACATATATGTACATTATATACAAATATATATAGATGCATATGTAGATGTATACATGTATGTATATACTGTTGTATAGAGATATGAGTATACATGTATGTGTATATCTCTTTATATAGATATAGGTATAGATATAGATATAATCATATAGGTTGTATAGCATTTCCAAGGCTCTTTCATAACTAGTTCTCAACTGGGAGCAATTTTGCCTCCCATGGAACATTTTGGCAATGCCCAAAGATATCTATATTTGTCACAACTGAGGGGGAGGGTTTACTAGTGACAGGTACTGAGTACAGGCCAGGGATGCTACAAATCATGCCACACTGCACAGGAAACCCCTAAAAACAAAACACTGACTACAAATGTTAATCATTTGGAGATTAAGAAATCATACCTTGGCAGGGTTCATGCCTGTAATCCTAGCACTTTGGGAGGCTGAGGAGGGTGGATCACGAGGTCAGGAGATCGAGACCATCCTGGCTAACACGGTGAAACCCCGTCTCTACTAAAAATACAAAAAATTAGCCGGGCGTGGTGGCGGGTGCCTGTAGTCTCAGCTACTCGGAGAGGCTGAGGCAGGAGAATGGCGTGAACCCGGGAGGCGGAGCTTGCAGTGAGCCGAGATCACGCTACTGCACTCCAGGCTGGGCGACAGAGCAAGATTCTGTCTCAAAAAAAAAAAAAAAAAAAAAAAAAGAAAGAAATCATGCCTTACCTCTTTCTTTGCAAGTATAACAGCCACAACAGAATACCCTCTCGTGTCTCCCAGCCACCCACAGTTAGATCAGCACGATGGTGCACATGTGGTTGTAGGCTGTATTCTGCCTACTAAGAATCACTTACATTAACCAACATAACCTTTCACAACTACTATCAGCTCAGCATCACCCAGGAATGACAATGGTTGATAATTTGTCATTAGGCCCCAACTTCTTATGCAGGGAAAGAAGGCGACATCATTTTGGTTGCTCCACGACTGAAGAGACCACCTCAGGGATACACATTAATCACCAGGAAGGTTCAATTATGCTGCTCCCTGCTTCATGTATTGTGCTATCTTAATTACGACTCCTTTCTTTTGACAATAAGGTTAAAATTATTAAGTGAGTTCACCAGAGAACATATTTATTCCTCCTTCTAGTGAGGCTTTAACAATTACTTGATTGAAGATCTGAGCTGTAGGTAGCTGTAATTTTGCAGACTTGTTATATTATTTCTGGCTTACTTAAGTGTTGACTCATTTTGTACTGTCTGAGAGCTGAAAAGAAATCTTTGGGGAAAGACTAAAAATATCTCTGAGTTTTCCTTCTATTGCTTCAATTTTATATCTCTGATATATGCTTAAAATCGTATTCTGTGCACATAAGGAATCTCAAAAATCTTTGAAAAAGTGGGAAACTTCCTCTTCTCCCTTAGTGCCCTCATACTTTGTGTCACTTGATAATATACATGAGCAGTTTTAATACTCAATCATTTCTCAAGTCTAATTTGGCTGTGGAATGGGGTTTAATTTACATGATGATACAATTTCTCACATCAGAAAGCGTAGTAACCCCTTTTCTTCTGAGGTTAATGGTGATCTAGCTTAAAGCCTAAAAGATAATTATAAGGAATGAGCTTCAGGTGACAAAGTAGTTTTGACAATCCCAGACTATTGATAGCTTTTTAATTATACCTCTTTCCACCATAGGAGACTGCATGCTTTCTGCTAAATAGTTTAAAGGCCTGATGTTGTGTTCTTAAAATTAATTTCCATTGTAATCAATACTTTTAACCTACTGATACTCCAGGCCCCTGAAACTGAACCCACCATTCTAGAATCTCTGAAATGAAATTAAACTCTGGCTTACTATTTGTCTTCATCCATGAAATGTAAGAGAGTCAACCAAGAAATACATAAATATGTATTGACTTGCTTGTCTTCTTTACTCACTTGATATTTTGTGACATTTAAAAATTTTTAGATCTCAAGTACATTTGTTTTGTTTTTAGGTGAGAGTCTGTCAGTGGAGAAGGTCATAATTCAAAAAAAGGTAAATGGTCTAGGATTTAGCAAATTGGTTAGAATTAATGGAACCCAAAAAAAGAATCAGAAGATAATAGATTTTATGAAGAATCACTTCTTATGATTACTGTGTTTTTCCTCTGCAAGTACCTGCATGTTTTGCTAAGGGATATTTGACTATAAAATAACAGGCAAAAGATGAAAAAAATGCCCAAAATATTCATTATCGTCTTCATCTCTTAGGTAAGATTAATCAAATTTTTAAAACCTTTATTTTTCCAAATTAGGTAGGACTGATTATTTATTTTCACATTTTAGTTTTGATTTTTTTATAAAGTTGATATTGTTCACACAAAGTCAAACATTCATATGGAAACTGAAAATTTTAACCACATATCCAGATGTCTGACTCTATTAAATCAAATTAATTTTTAGTTTAGATTCTCATTTTGTCAAGAAGATTATATTCTTTATCTTACAAAATCTGTGCTTAGAAATTTATTCTTCACTTAGGGCCATATTATGATCTGATAGGTGAGATGTGTTTTCTTTAGGTTTTTACAAAGAAGTTGAACTGCAATTTATTCCATGTCAACTATGGTAATGACAATCACAATATTTAGATCTTAGGGAGACTCCATAAGTGCTGCCTGTTTCAGCACCATAAGTTAGCAGAAAAGAAAACTGATGCCCCAAGACACCAAGCAGCATGTTCAAGATCACAAAATTAGTGACAAAACAGTAAAATTTACTTAGCTCTACTTAGCTGTTTGTTTTAGCATTCTACTACACTGCTTATATTTACTAAAACTGTTATTTATTTACCTTACTGCATGGTTCACAGAATTTGTAATCTACTCTTAGAAATTAAATGACCAAAATAGAATGTTCAGGTTTTACAAAAACAAGTAAAATCAGTAGAGTTTCTACTATACCAGATCTAATAGTTTCTGTGTAAGATGCGATGTGGTCATTAATCTGTCAGGTCTCTAATTCCTCTAGGCTTTAACCTCTCATCTGTCAAATAGACCTAAGTTTGGGGAGTATTATATAATATGACATTTATATTGTGATTAGCACATTCATGGAAAGGAAGGGATTAGAAAAGGCACAGAAGTGGGAAAGCACTGAGATTTAAATGGTAGGAAACAGAGTGAATAGATTTAGCTCATGATTAGTTACCTTCTATGTGTCAATCATTGTGCTTGTGTTGAGAGTAAGAATACTGAGGCTTTGAATGCTAAAATAACTTATTCAGTTCATTTAATTTATATGGGTAAAAATGGCGCTCATAATCCTTATTACTTTTTTTTCAATTAAGATAGGACTGGAATAAGACTGGAAAGACGGAAAGCGGGATGGGAAGGGTGTAATGTGGAGGCTCTTAAAGGAAGTAATGTTAAACTCTTAAAACTGTATAAGCAAAACTAAAGCAATGAGGAGCAGAGTAGTATCGGAAGGTGATTATGGAGGATGGTATCTAACCTAGAACAGGTTGGCACTTTCTTTACTGCTGACAGATGAAAAATAATAAAGTTTTGTAACAGACTAGTGTAGAGTCAGGATAAAGTGATAACTAAAGGTATCAATCAACAAGAACTATATAAGTATTAAGTATGCACAGAATAAAATATTTACAGAATCCTTCTTACACATGTAATATATCTATTCTACAGAAAAAAAAAATAAGTCACTTGCCCAGTATAACAACATGTAGCTATGAAGTGAAGAAGATTAAAGAGTTATGAGAAGTTTTGAAGAAGGATGATAAATAAAACTTGGTGAATGGAACTATTTCAGAAATTATTTTTCATGTAAATATATTATTGTACTAATATTAATTATAATTTTAAAAAAGTAGGAATATTTGGATTGTACAGTGATTAGAGATGTCAGAGGCATTAAAACCAAAGTAACTCCATCTTGAGTGAGGGATAAGAAAATGAGCCTGGGACTTGCTGGGCTGCATTCCCAGAAAGTCAGGCATTCCTGGCCTCTAGATGTTTAATGGAATGAATTAATGTTTACTAAACAGATCTAAACTTGGGAGTGCCCAGATATCCTGATATCTGCAGAACAAAGGAATTCCTATTTTTGCCTTAAAGATAATAATGTTGATTCTTGCAATATATAGTAATTAAGAAAATTAATCCTTTATCACAAACCCTTGCAGCAGAGCATATCTCCCCATATATACAAGCATTGTACCTAGAGTGGACGCATTCCTCCTCTTACTTTCAGGAATTCCCTACTCCGTCTGTGGAGTAGCTGTACTTTCACCACTTCGCTTTCTTAATAAACTTGTTTTCACTTTGCACTGTGGACTCGCCCTGAATCCTTTCTTGCACGAGATCGAAGAACCCTCTCTTGGGGTCTGAATTGGGACCCCTTTCCTGTAACAGAGAAGAGAGCTAAAAAAGACATGTTGATGAAATCTGTTTGCATTTTTTATGGCTTTAGTCTGGAATTCTAATTAACATCCATTTAGTAGCTTTTATTTGAAGAAATGGACTACTGAATCATGAATCATGAGAGGAAAGATTATGATTGAAAATACAAGCTTTAGAGTCAATTTCATAAAAAGAGTAGTTGAAACTTTGAGAGTGAGTACTGCACTGAGGGAGGAAGTATGTCAACCTAGAAACTGTTGTCAGAAACAGTAAATGCCCAATTTTATGTGAAAAGAAAGAAGAGGAACCAAAAAAAGAGCTGTCACAAAGCAGTAAAACCAGGTTAGAGCAATGTCACAAAAACCTTTTAAAGAAGTGGATAGTTGACTGTCAAGTATTGGAAGCACGTACATTAAAATAACTGACAGAGTTATTGGACTTTGCTACTGTGTGGTCATAGTTACATTGCAAGTGCCACAGAGACAAGGGAGGGCAGAAAGCAGGGATGGCAGAGAAAATACATGGTGAGGCAGGAACAAGAGGTAAATCAGCAGTCCCCAAAACCTATTCTCAGACCTTCCATTAATCTGAGGATGATATATTCACTGACCCCTGGTGAAATCTGAAAACAAAACAAAACTAAACTAAAGATAAATACAAACATAAAAATTGAAAACTAAATAAAAATCAAAAGATTCTATTAATATGTATTTCCTCTGTTGGGGGATTTAAATCCTTTTTTAAATAAAATGATAGTAATCAGAGTAACTGGGAATTACATTTAAATTGTTTCCTTATGGTAAAATGAAAAAGTTAACAACCATAAGTTGACCTGAAGTTACTTTTATAAATATTACTAGTCAACAGAATTCCAAAGATATACGAACTCAAGGAAAACATGATCTTTAAGAAAGAGTAAGTATGTCCCATTGTAACACCACACATCTACAAGCAGCTGACCTTTGACAAACCTGACAAAAATAATCAATGGAGAAAGGATTCCCTATTTAATAAATGGGGTTGGGAAATTGGCTAGCGATATGCAGAAAACTGAAACTGGACCCCTTTCTTACATCTTACACAAAAATTAACTCCAGATGGATTAAAGACTTAAACATAAGACCTAAAACCATAAAAACCCTAGAAGAAAACCTAGGCAATACCATTCAGGACATAGGCATGGGCAAAGACTTCATGTCTAAAACACCAAAAGCAATGGCAACAAAAGCCAAAGTTGACAAATGGGATCTAATTAAACGAAAGAGCTTCTGCACAACAAAAGAAACCATCATCAGAGTGAACAGGCAACCCCTACAGAATGAGAGAAAATTTTTGCAATCTACTCATCTGACAAAGGGCTAATATCCAGAATCTACAAGGAACTTAAACAAATTTACAAGAAAAAATCAACCCCATCAAAAAGTGGGTGAAGGGGCCAGGCACAGTGGCTCACGTCTGTAATCCCAGCACTTTGGGAGGCCGAGGCGGGCGGATCACGAGGTCAGGCGATCGAGACCATCCTGGCTAACACGGTGAAACCCCGTCTCTACTAAAATACAAAAAATTAGCCGGGCGTGGTGGCGGGCGCCTGTAGTCCCAGCTACTCGGGAGGCTGAGGCAGAAGAATGGCGATAGCCCGGGAGTCGGAGCTTGCAGTGAGCCGAGATCGTGCCACTGCACTCCAGCCTGGGCAACAGCGCGAGACTCCATCTCAAAAAAAAAAAAAAAAAAAAAGTGGGTGAAGGAGATGAACAGACACTTCTCAAAAGAAGACATTTATGTGGCTAACAAACATGAAAAAAAGCTCATCATCACTGGTCATTAGAGAAATGCAAATGAAAACCACAATGAGATACCATCTCATGCCAATTAGAATGGCGATCATTAAATAGTCAGGAAACAGATGCTGGAGAGGATGTGGAGAAATAGGAACGCTTTTACACTGTTGGTAGGAGCGTAAATTAGTTCAACCGTTGTGGAAGACAGTGTGGCAATTCCTCAAGGATCTAGAAATAGAAATACCATTTGACCCAGCCATCCCATTACTGGGTATGAAACTAAAGGATTATAAATCATTCTACTATAAAGGCATATGCACACGTATGTTTATTCCAGCACTATTCACAATAGCAAAGACTTGGAACCAACCCAAATGCCCATCAATAATAGACTGCATAAAGAAAATGTGGCACATATACACAATAGAATACTATGCAGCCATAAAAAAGGATGAGTTCATGACCTTTGCAGGGACATGGATGAAGCTGGAAACCATCATTCTCAATAAATTAACACAGGAACAGAAAACCAAACACCACATGTTCTCACTCATAAGTGGGAGTTGAACAATGAGAACACATGGACACAGGGAGGGGAACATCATACACTGGGGCCTGTTGGGGGGTAGGGGCTAGGGGATGGATAGCATTAGTAGAAATACCTAATGTAGATGACGTAGTGATGGGTGCAGCAAACCACCATGGCACGTGTATACCTATGTAACAAACCTGCACGTTCTGCACATTTATCCCAGAACTTAAAGTATATATATATATTTATATGTATATATGTATATATATACACACACATATATGTATATATGTGTTTATATGTATATACACACACATATATGTATATATGTATATGTATGTATATATGTATATATGTGTATATACATAATTGTATGTGTGTGTATATACATATATGTATGTGTGTGTGTATATATATATGAAAGAGTACGTGTGGATGTGAAGGGAAAGCAAGAAAGCTGCATCTGAGTGAGATGGCTTTGTTATGCTAGGATTGTGAAATAGAAAAAATAAGCAGAGAAAAATACTGATACTTGATAGATATTTAAAGAGGTAAGAAGGAGTAATATAAAGACAAAAAATTGAAATATTAGTCTTAGAAACATTGGCACTCAATCATCTGAGGCAGGAAATTGATGAAATTGATGCCATAATTGAGTATATGTCCTTGTCCTTCTGCAAGGTATTTTCCCTTTACTTTATATGCAGGCAGATATATTGAAACATGAATTGTGAATGTGTTAGTGAGAAATAAACCTTTTGTTATGAATGTATTTACGTAATATATTTTAATTATAGTGATAATTAATGATGTGGTGATAAACTATTATCTCCCAATGATATATGTTGCATTCTAGGATTACCTGATTTTAAATGTGGTAATTCCTAGCTATGTTTGTCTTTGCTTAATCTTTCAAGTTCCCACATCTTGTGAGCAGCCTGGCACATAGAAGGTGTTCAGTAAATATTGTGTTGAATTATAGAAAAATATTTGTGAGTTGTCATTCGGTCACGGAGATTCACACTGGTAATCCCAGCACTTTGGGAGGCCACAAGGGAGAAGGATCACTTGTGCCCAAGAGTTTTGAGACCAGCCCAAGAGTTTGAGATCAACACAGTGGGACCCTGTCTCTATAAAAGTTTTAAAAACTTAGCCGGGCGTGGTGGCACGTGCCTATGGTTCCACCAGGAGGCCAAGGCAGGAAGATTGCTTGAACCCAGAAGGTCAAGGGCACAGTGAGCCATGTTCTCCTACTGCACTCCAGCCTGGGCAACAGAGCGAGACCTTGTCTCAAAAAAGTTTTTGTAAATTGTTCAGTGTGAAGCAGTAATGTTTCTATTTGTGCTCATCTATCTACTGACACGCTCTTTTTTTTTTTTTTGGTGTTTCCATAATAATCTCATTTTACCTACAAACCATGAACACATGATAGCAGGCTCATGCATTTCAATTGTCTGTCATTTGTAGTATAAATAATTACGTGCTATAGGTAAGATTTTCTCTGTGTTGATGTGAAATAGTTAATGTCCTTTATGTGGCTAGAATGAGTTATCAACTAGTATTTATGTGTTTTACAACAAATTGTTTGTCACTTTCTCTGATTAAATGTGCCCATAATAACATTATTGTCATCATTCTTCTTAAGTTGCAGTTGATATTTAAATCATGCTGTCTCCTTTTCCTGGAATGGCCATGCCATTTTGTAAATAAATATCTCCCTTCAGGTGGAAATGAATAACCAAAAGTCAGCCATATTAATATATAAACACCTCAACTCTAAACTTTATAACATATGATAGAAGTGTGAATGGCAGTCAACCTACTTGTAATAACTTCCTTTACAGAATATAATGCTATTCAAAATAATAGAAAAGAGTTTATTTTACTAGGATTTTTTGGTGGTTCTTTTAATTTTATAAAATTTACTTTGCTTTTATTGTATATTTTATATTGTATTTACAATAATAAAATCCAAGCCATATTTACCATAGCTTTCTGTTTTTGCCTAATTTTATTTAATTTTCATTGAAAACAATACATAATCCTGACATAAAAAATTTTATTTGCAAAGTCTACATGAGTTAGACTTTTATCCATCTCAAAAATGTGCCCATGTCCATATAGATTAAGTCAAATATAGAACTGAATAATTGCTGAATTAGTATTTATATCTAATGAAATTCCAATCCTGACTTACGCTTTTTTTTTTTCCCCAGAAGCCAGATTTGGAGCTTTCACTAGCAAGATAAATGCCTAAATTCTCCATTTCACATCACTTTCTGGATAGATATGTCTTATACATGTATATTAATTGTCTGTAAAGATCTTGAATTTAATTAAAACGCACAGTAAAATTCAAATTAAGTTATGGTTTTAGGTTACATATTCTTGGGAATGTTATAGCTCTCATATCACTGGTTTTCACTGTTTCATAGAAAAGCTTTATTAAAAAGGCTCTAAAGTGAGATTAATTTAAGTTTAAATTGTCACTTGCAGAACTTTTTTAGCTAGCCTGAAGCAAAATTACATCTAATTCAGAATTGGAATAAAAGATTTTAGTCCTTTCAAATCTTTTAACTGGTGCTAACCTTCATTTCATTTTTAATTTTCACAATCCACAGAGAAATTAACCATATTGTGTGGACTATCAGTTAGTCTAAATTATTGAAGAGGAATGCAAGTCTATGGTGTGTGAGCCTACGTTAGTTCAGTAGTTTAGTGTTGGAAGGGAAAATAAAGTGAGTTTCCTAATTATGATACACGATAACCTTGGGATGTTCTTTGACTCCTCCTTTTCTTTCACACCATACATCTAATCTCAGAAAATTGTGTGGGCCTTATCTGCCGTTTCTGCTCAGAAACTGACCACTTCTTATCACCTTCAATGCTATTACTCACTCCATGTCACTATTGTCACTCCTTGCTTACTGTAGGAGACTCCAACTAGAGTCCACCACACTCTATTGCTTCCCACTTCTATCCTTCCCCATTGCAGTCTATCTCAATCCAGCATCCAGAGTGATGCTGTAGAAACACAACTCAGATTTTGGTGCCCTCCTGCTCAAAACTCTCCAATGACTTCAAACTTACCAGAGTAAAAACAGGGTCCTTGTATTTGCAAAGAACGCTTTCCAACATCTGACCCAGGATGACCATTGACTTCCACCTGATCCTCTTCTGGATTACTCTGCCCCAGCCACATTCCCATCTCAGGACCTCTTCCCAAGTCACTCCCTCTCCCTGGAATGTGCTTCTCCAAATCTTGAGCAAGCTTTTCAAATCCTTGCTCAGATGTCACCTTTTCAGTGAGGTATTATTTGACCACTGAATTTAAAATTACAATTTCCCTCATGGCTACAATTTCTAATTACTTCCCCCTGTTTTATTTTTTCCATTGCCATGAACTCTGTCTAAAATATAATGCCATTTATTTATTATATTTAGTACCTGTCTCATCACATTAGAATGTAATCTCCAAGAAAGAAAATATTTGTGTTGGTATGGCTCACTGAAGTATCCCCATCAAAATTGCAAAAGGGCTTAGAGTACAGGCAATCAAGGAACGGGTAGATATAATCAATCAAGATGCTCTGGTGGTTCACAGGACCAAGTCGTTCATGAGTGGTATAGGAAATGTGTCAGAAATTAGGTGACATTTCACATGGACCCTAAAGGATGATATGAAGGTCCAGATGTTGGGGAGGCCCAAAGCATGCTTTGGAATGTCTAGGTCCCTCAGACCCCGGAGTACACAGAGAAGAGTTTTGGAAGAGGACAAACATGTATTCAGAGCATTTGATGTAGGACCTTGAACACTGAGGAGCTTATATTTCTCATGCATTCCTTGTTTTATGTTTGTTCCCTTGTGATAATCTGAGACAGTATACTAACATGTACAGGCCACTAAGCTATTAATACAGTTCAGAATAAAACAGTGACCACGAAAGGAATTTCTGTCTGATTCTACCATCTCCTGAATCATTCATCATGTTTTCTGTTTTGTGTCCACTTACTGGTTAAACTTTAATTTTGTACTTCTAACCACAGAGAATGTTCAGTGAGTGGCTCAGCTAATTAGAACTTATTTCCAGCTTGTGTATGAAATAGAGTAACTAAAAAAGACTAAATAAATAAATAAAAAAAAGCCTTCCCAGTGTGTGAATTCTTGGTTCATGGTGTAAGTTTAATTAGAATTGGATTAGAATCAAGATCAAGGGTGGTCATACATCTTCTAATTAATTTCAGGATTTAGCATTTGAACTCTTCTGCAAGTTCAGGTCAATTTTACTTTCTTGCTCTCTTGATTCTTGCTAGAAAAGCAAAGCAGCTAGTAAATGTTCATTCTAGACACTAATTGCAAAGTTGCAAGATCTACTTCCATGAATGACAGTAAGTACATCTGGCCTCACAAAATAGAACCTTCTCTTTGAATTTCTACAAAAAGTCATTGAATGATAATATTATAATGCTAGCCTCATATTAAGTAAAACAAACTTCTGACAATGCAGAGAAGAAAACATATGTTCTCCCTTACAAACCTCTAATACTTGGCATTCCCATATGCACCTTGCATTCCAGAGATATAATGATTCATAAGCAATGAAAATTATAAATGAAGGATGCAATATTACTGGTGACACTACCAAATTCTCTCAAGTTATTTACTGCATACAAATTATGTTGAATAGATTTTTGAGATTTTAAAAAATCTTCCTCTGTGTGTGTATGTGCGTGTGTGTGTGTGTGTCAGAGTGGAAAGGAAAAAGGCCCACAACAATATTACTTGACTTTGTAAGTCATTATGTTAAAATTCATAGGGCTAATGAGGATTTAACAGATGAGCACAAAAGTACTAGAAGGTACCTATTTTTCACACTTGTTTTAGTATTTTAAATATTGATGCTAATAAACTGTGTATTTGTTATTTTGTGAATATCACAGAAGAAAAATGATCTCCATAAGGAAAATAAATTCAAGTTTAATATCCTACTTCAAGGAAAGCTTTTATATATTTATTTGATACTTATGATTGGTGTTAACCCTAATCAGAGTATAACTTCCCATAGAAAACCTCTAGTGATATAATTTACCCATAAAAATTAGCAGCCCTATGGAATGTTGCAATGATATTAAACAGGAAAAGTAGAATATTTTAATAACAACAAAAGTATTCTACCTTTAAAATAATAATAAAAAATTAACACAGCCTCATAAATTTCACTTTGTGGAAGATAGAACAAAAAATATAATATTTTTGCATAGGAATGAAGAACATATTTAAATATTCTCAATCAGGTGACCTTTTGTTTCACTGCATGATATTTGTCCTTGTTAAGCTCTGGTGCCAAAAGATTATTGCATTTTAAAGCCATTTCAAGGCTAAAATATTCAGAATTTCTACTTCATAAAAACGTAAATTTGCATAAAGTGATTTATACTCTTAGAACACAACGAGCATGAAACTAGATTTTTCTTATTAAAGTATGACTTGTGAATGTCAGATCAGAAGTGTATATTTTGATTATTATTTTTATAGGAATATAATGAGAGTTCACTAGGCAGTTCATATATTTAAGAATATCTGGCCAATCCTAGACCAATTAAAATCATCTTGCTTTGTTCTTCAGACATGAGCAAGAAAAAAATAATGGAAAAACAGACTTTAAAATGAGCTCTTAAAACATAATGTTGTAAAAAAAAACAACAGTGAAATACTGTTTAATTAAGAATAGATAGTATAATCTCCAAAGTGTTTATGCTTGAAAAGTTAATTGTATAAATTTGAAACACTTTATTATTATTATTATTATTTGTTTTGTTTTAAAAGGTAAGTAGTTTATATAAGAGGTACATTGTTTATTGTTGTTCATGGCACATACTGAAAAGAACTTAAACTACAGGCCTAAACTTATTGAAGGGCATGACATTCAGTGTATACTCCTTACTTGGAGATTTCTGTCACTGCAGGCTATAGCTCATTCTGTACAGTGTTTTCTCATTAAGCCATGTGAAAGGGGCTTAATGAACAAATCTCATTACTTTTATTTTAATAAACAAATCTCACTGCTTTTATTTTATTTTATTTATTTATTTATTTTTTGAGATGGAGTCTTGCTCTGTTGCCCAGGCTGGAGTGCCGTGGCACCATCTCGGCTCACTGCAACCTCCACCTCCCAGTTTCAAGCGATTCTCCTGCCTCAGCTTCCTGAGTAGCTGAGGTTACAGGTGCGTGCCATCACGCCCGGCTAATTTTTTTAAATTTTTTTTTAGTAGAGTCGGGGTTTCACCCTGTTGGCCAGGATGGTCTTAATGTCCTTTCCTCATGATCTGCCCACCTCGGCCTTCCAAAGTGCTGGGATTACAGGCGTGAGCCAACATGCCTGGCCAAATCTCACTAATTTTATAATGCTGTGTCTAGAAGACCACAGCTAAAGATCAATGGAGACCAGGTACTGCAAAGGCTCAAACAGCTAGCACATCTTATCTGAAGAATTATATCTGAATCAGTTGGGAATTGACTCTTGTTCTATACCTTTCTATCAACAACCTTACCCTTACCCCCAGTGCCAGCTTTGAAGGAGAATTTTCTATAGCTTCTGATGTGTGTGCCTACCCTTGCCCAAATTTTCTTATTCTAATGAGCTGATGCAATAAATATATTGTTGCCTTCTCTCCAGCCCATTTTCAATGCCCCACCTTGGTCTATGACTACTTTCCACATATTTTCTCATTTATTGGTATCCGCGTATTCATTTCAATGCCTTGGAGTGAGGATAACCCAGCTGTCTGGCATGAATTTGGAGGGTTCAAGTTCATATATTTTTTCTTTTTAAATAAGTTGATTTCTACTTTATGTCAAGGCTGAAGACCCCAGTAAAGTCATAAGGTTACCAAGAGCACACACAAAGCAAAACACGGTAAATGTGTTCTTTGGTCCATTCTTCGAGGTCAATACTCACACAAGGTCAATACCTAAAGTTAAAATAAACTAACTCATGCTGAAGAGGCCAATGGTTGAGAATAAAGAGAAGATATTACTTCTTCCAGAATCCTTCACATTTTAATATAAGATTTCTAGACACAAAATGCCTTGAGCCAATTAATGAATTTCTAAAAGTGAAATTCCAGGCACAATGTGAAGCTGATGGAAAGGTAGTTTGAGACTGGGATGGAGAGGTACTGGATAATTGTCACATCTTATATAAGTATAGGTATGTGTTTGCCTCCTACTGTTTTGTGCCAGTCCAGCCCTGCCTCTATGAAGCATTTCATGTGGCTATCAGATATATTTACCCACTTTTCCCTCTAGTTTTGCTTTTAATTTATATAATACTACTACTTATTTTCTCTCTCATGACTTTTATGTATGTATTTTGAGATACATTTTCAGTCTTTTAACAAAGTAGAATATGCCCACACAATTAGTTGAATATTAATTCTATTTTGGTCCACCCTATCAGGCAGCTGTTCAATAAAAAGAAAAATTGTGCATGCATGTTTGTAGCCTCCTATTGCAGCTGTGAATGAAAGGAGTTTGCCTACTAGGCAAGGCAGCTGTATGAAGAGCTTGGGTCTCATCTCAGTGTACGAGGAAGTAATTAATTATAAAATCAGATTATCATTTGTTATAACCATTAAGATGTCTGTACATCTGATCCAACTGTCCTCTCTATTCTGGCAGTTATCCTAACTCCTTTTTCAGCAAAGCTTCACGTTTCAGTTATTTTAACAGTTTAGGGCATTGTTCCTAACTTTGACCTGCATCAGAGTCACCTGGAGGACTTGTTAAAATACAGTTCTGGCCCTTGCCTTGGAGTTTCTCATTCAGTAGCTCTAGGGTGAGTTCCCTAAAAAATGATGGTTCCTATCCTTTCCCAGGTGATGCTGAGGCTGTTGGTCCAGGGATTACACTTAAGAAATAAGCAGTAAGAATTAAACTTAAGACCTAGTTTCTTGATTCTTGCTAGAACTTCTTTCTAGCAACTTCCTTCAATTTTCTGGTAGCTTGTCATGTCAATAATCAGCTGAAATGTTTTTTTTTTTTTTTGTATTTGTTTTTGCTTTCATGCTACAGAATTTTATTTAAAAAAACTAAAATCTGTGTGACATAGCCCTTTAAAATCTTAGGTTAATTGAGTTCTCTAGGCTTTTACAGCTGCTCTATAATCTGATTTCCCTCTTTGCTTTCCTATTTGACTACCTGTCATTCTTCTTCTGATATCCCTCCATAAATATATATCTGGCTCCTGAATACACATTTAGATAGTTCATTCTTCCATTTGATTATTCAAAAACTATTTTTTGAGCACCTACCCAATGGAGATAAAGAGAATACAAATAAATAGTGTTGCTGTCATAAAGGGGTTTGCGTTCTATTTGAGGACAAAGTCTAAAAAATTAGTAGTTTAATATAACATTAGGTATGTGTGGGAAAGAAAACCAAAGCAGAGGAAATTGATGTTTTTTGATATGCATATAATCATACATTTTATTTTTTTCCAAATGAATTTTTCTTATTTGCATTACTGGGTACCATGATTATCTTGTCATCTAACTCTCCTCTTTCCCTCACAACTTTCTTCCCATCCCAAACATTTCCCACACTCAATCAGTCAGCAGGTAACTTTGAATTCCACAAAACTATTTCAATCTGTAGTTGTATTACAATCATTTTAGGTCAGCTTTTAAAAAATATTTTACCAGGAACAGTTTAATATCTAACTTTAATACCACAACTTTCTGTAAGACACACTTACCGAAAACACTTTCAAGTCAGACCATGGTACTAATCCAACAACACATTTACTCAGTGAGGGAAGCACTTTTATTATTCCCATTTAGAAATAAGGAGACTAAGGTATTTTACAAAGCCAGAAATTTGAATCTAGGTATCCAGAGTCCAGAACCTGAGCTTTTGACAATAGAATGATAGTGTGGTATTAACTGTGATTGAAAGAAGGAGATATCAAGTGCTATGTCAGCAAATAACAGAACAATTAACTCTGCCCAGAGGATCTCAAAAAGCTTTATCCAAGATGGGTCACCCCGGGTGGGTATGGTGTCACCTGCAGTTTGAGCATACCTTTACATTAAAAAGTCCATAAGGGCAACTCTCTTCCTGTATATATTTTAATCCTTCTAGAGCATAAATTTCACACTGTGTGTGTGATAATTTATTAAAGAGTTGATTGATTAATTTAGTTTCAAGAATATCTAAATAGGATAAAGCTTTATGTACTATGGTGAGGAATGCGCTCCATGCATTTTAAGAGAAGGTTAGAGCAGGTTTCGAATTACAATGATAACAAGGATGAATAGATTTGACCTACTACCCAGCATCTTCCATAAATTTTCACTCTCCATTGCCTGTAAGCTCACAGAGAGTGAACAGGTAAGCCTAGCTATTACAATGGTAAGAAGAGCCAAAGAGAAAGTCAAAGCAGACATGAGCTGGGCCTGACAGTTATTTGGCCTATGAAATGCTTTAAAGAATAAAGGAATCAACATTTTAAAATCCTGTCTAAAAAAAACCCCATACTTTATTTTTGCCTGCTTTTTGGAAACTGTCAAGGCACTGCCACCTTTAAAACATGGCAACAGCTGTGCCAACTTTGATAGAGTTTGATTCACATTTTTACTCTCATTTTTAACTTAAAGAACACATCTGTTAAGATATGAGTCTTATGCCTGTGCTTCAATCAAGTTGCACCATTTTTCTCTCTCAGCTTATATGCATAACGATATGGAGACAGCTGAAAAGACACGCCAGGTGACACTTCCATTGTTTTGAAGGATCATTCCTGCGACCAGCCTCCCATGTCATAATGGTCATATTCCATGAGTGAATCTATGTGATAAATAACACCTTAGAGCTTTTCCAAATCGTCATTTCTTATGAAATATATTTGAGATATAGGTATACTTTTTTTCTATCTCAACAAACCTCTAGTGACTAAATTTAATAAATAAACCATATCCAATTAGGTAAGTTTACTGAAAGGCTAACTTAAAATCTTTTTCTAGACAGTGATGCCAGTTGGCATTTATGCTACGGCCAAACAAATAAAAAGTCTGTGAGGCAGTAAAGATGATGTTTTGGTGGGAACTGGGGGAACTTCGCTATCTATGAATGTGTATTGCCCAGACTTATCTTAAATAATGGTATTATAGGGGAGATTAAAACCTATACTTTGGCCAATTACATAAAAATATAAACATATTTTTGTTTTCAAGTATGTAACTTCCAGTGCTGTTGGGACCAGGAATGGGTTATTTTTCATATCTTCTCATGGTACATTTTGTCCTCCTCATAAGAAGAATTGCCTTTCTCCTATGACAAGGAAAGAGAAACATGAGCACTCAGCCAAAATTTCTCAAGTTGACAGCAAGTATGACTTTTATGGGTGCTACCAGAATATGATCTATTCACTTGTAGCAGCTAGAAAAGATTTTGTAATTCAACCAGATTGTGAAAGGTCACCCTTACTCAGATGAAATAGATGAGGGGAATCTGCATGCGCTTTGTGGGTGCATTGTAAGTCGCATATATCTGGCCATGTGAATACTGCTTCCCATGGAGAGTGGTCAGACTGCTGTATTCATCCATTGCTGATGCATGAATGAGGATCCCCAAATTAAAAAAACAAAAACCAACAGACTGTCTAGTCTAATCCTTTCATTTTTTTAAATAAAGAAATTCTGATTTTTAGAGGTTGTTTTTTTTTTCCAAATACTATATTAGAATTAGGTTAAGAAGTGAGTAGCAAAGCCCAGCATTTCTAATTTCTTTAAAAATCTTTCCACTATATATTCAATAATATATATTTATAGTCTATAAATATGGTAATTGGACAGTAAATAAAATGAGGAAGACATATTTTTACCTTTCTCTATCAAGAGAATGGGATAAAACGTGAATGACATATATTCTACACTGTCAAACAGGCTAACATTAGCTGAATTTTATCAAGTATTTATGTGCCAGGCCCTGTTCTAACTTCCTCACATACATTTATCCATTTATTTCTCACAATAATCCACTGAGAGAAGTAATATCATTAACATTTGTTACATTAAAAGATTAAAACACACACACACACACACACACACAGAGATAAAGTAACGTGCCCAAGACTACATAGCTTGAAAGTGATGTCCAAGATAAAAACTTCAGAGTTTTCATCTTAGTAGCTATGTAATACTCTCCTAGTGACTTTGAAATAGATACCAAGAGAGGCATTTCTTTCATTCAAAATCTGTAGCATTGCCCATTGGCTGAAGGTAGCTGTCTGTTTTAGAAGTCTCAGTTAGATTATCCATACTGGTACTTGTTTCAGTATTTTGACTTATTATTCCACTCTTGGTGAATGTTGATTGAGTGGTTAATGTCTTGTTTTATCACTACTTACAAGACAGAAGTTAACAGATTACAAATACATATTGACATTTAACATTTATTTAATCACTCATTCATTTACTACATAATTATTTACTAAGTCTTTATCATCTCTAAGGATCAGTTCTAGTCCATGAACAAAAATAGAGATTGCTCTTGTCTTAAGGAGCTGGAGAGAGGGGATATTTTGTTTGGTTTACTTTAAAAACAATTTACATAGAATAAACGCTCCCTTTTTGGTGCAAAAGTCTGTGAGTCTGACAAATGCACAGAGTTGTGTTACTATCAAGATAATTAGGTCGTGTAACAGTTCCATTACTCCCAACAATTATCTTGTGCTGTCCCTTTGCCATCAACCATTCTACTACCTCCAACCCTTGCAAACACTGACCTATTCATTCTTCCAGTTTTGCCTTTTCTAGAATGTCATACAAATAGAATTATACAGTATAGCAGCATTTTGATTCTGGCTTCTTTCACTTAGCTTAATGCATTTTATATTTGCTGTGTGTATCAGTAGACTACTCCTTTCTTTGCTGAGTAATATTCCAAACTATGGATGTACCATAGTTCATTTATCTGTTGATCAGTTGATGGACATTTGGGACATTTCCAGTTTGAGGGTATTACAAATAAAGTTGATATAAACATTCACATACAGATATTGTGGTAACACAAGTTTAATTTCTCTTAGGTAAATGCCTAGAAGTCGGGTTCAGTGGAAAGCATAATTTTGACTTTATATAAGAAAGTGTCAACTATTTTCCAAAGTGGCTGTAACATTTTGCACTCTCCTCAGCAACATATGAGTTATAATTTCTTCATGCTCTCACAAACACTTGATGTCAACATTTTCCCCCTAGCCATTATAATAAAAAGTGTAGTGGTATTTCACTGTGGTTTTAATTTGCAGTTTTTTAATGACTAACAATGTTGGAGCTTTTCATTCATATGCTTATTTTTCTATCCTTTTGCCTTCTTCAGTGAAGTGATGTTCAAATCTTTGCCTGTTTTTTACTGGATTGCTTTCTTATTGTTGACAGATCCACTTTTTCATTCCCTTACTCATCATTCTCATCACTGATAATGCCTAAGTTCTTGAATGACTCTCCCTCTTCTGTCCCTACCCTTGACCAATCCTCAAAATCACCTAGAGAACTTGTTAAACAGTTTCCAGGCCCTATAACCCAGAGTTTCTAAATCAGAATCTTAAGAGGGTAAGACCTAGAACCTAAAAATATCTCTCTATATGGAGTTACAAATTAAGACCACAATGAGATATCACTGCCCATTTGTTAGAACAGTTAAAAGAATAATTTAAAAAATAATGACAATACTTAATTCTGGTGAGAATGTGGAGCAGCTTTACTGAAAGTTGGCCAAGCATCAATACATACATGTCTAACTCTTACTGATTTTATGTATCTCAGAACTTACTGATGACTTCTGTTATATCCTATTACTAGAGTTATCTAGTCCCAGAACAATAGAAATAGAAAACATATAATACATTTACTCTCAAATTATTTCTATATACAAACAAACACACATGCTTGTATTTAGAAAGGTGAAGGGGAGAAAGTTCCAAGACACAAACAATTTACTAAAAAAGTGGGACAACAACAAACATCTGTCTCTTATTCCAGAGCTGTTCATGATTTATCCTGTAAATGTCTCTCATTTTTAAAACTCTCATCCCTCAACTTCTTTCAAGCTTGTTTGTGCCTGTAGAAAGCCCATCATATTTATCTTCAATGTTTTACCCGCACAGTATTGTTTTGTTAAAACCCTAATCCATACTTCTCTCACCCTAAATTCTTCATGGTTTCTGGAGATCTTTCTTCACTTTTTTTTCTCTTTACCTGATCTCAAAACTACCTGATGCAATTAATTTCTATTGTGACAAGATTAAAGAGGTTTAATGCATTAGAGCTTGCAATAAATATCTCATCATTACTCAAACTTGCTGAACACTGACCTTAACTTTTTTTCTATCCATTTTTCACTCTCTCCCACAACCTTTGAAAAATACTCATATTGTGTCCTTTTTAGGAAAAAAAAAAAAACTCTGCAAGTTGCTTGTATATTTGTGGTTAATATTTGCATTTTAATGCATCTATATGGTGATCATATATGCGTGTATTCTACATGTGTATATTTCTTACATGGTAAGCTCCTAGAGGGCAGTGAATGGCATGCATAATGCAGCTCCTTAAGGTATTTCACATAAAACCAGTTGCAATTATGCTTCTCATCAAAGTTATGAAGAAGGCTATAAAAGGATGAGTCATTAAAAATCAGTCAATATTTACTTCTTATGTTCATTAAGGCAAGAAATATAAATTGAATAACCACTGCTAAACATATTGATGGTTGTAATTTAAGTAAATTTATGGACTAGACTATTGGAGGGCTTATATATTTAGTAATGATTTTCATCCTTGGCTCATTATATAAAACTTTAAATGATAAATGGCCCTAGAATACTTTCACAATTAAGTTGATACTGAGAAAATGATGAAAATGAGATAGCTGATATCTGGGGGTGAAGGAATTATGAAGGAATAATTTAAAAAGAAAAATTAGCTTTACCAGTATAAGCTTTACCTGAATTACTGAATTTAAACTTCAGAGCACATATTAAAACCAGGGGCCCAGCTAGTAATGGCAGGAGATAGATTTGTGTTGGGGATGGAATGGGGTGCAAGGCAAGTAAAATAAAGTTGTCTGTGTAAGATTTTTATTAGAGATGATATGCCTGGGACTCATGACCTAGAAAGAAATCAGTCTTGATGCCAAGGGCAGCCCTTGGTTATGTTAGTTATTTTGAAATTGGGGCTGGTTGTTCTAACTGTTTAGTACCAAGCAGTGTCACTGAAGTACTTTAGCTTTTCCCAGCCACAATTTATTAGATATTTGAAATCCAAATGTTCCTCAGTCCCGTTGCAACCTATTTTTATCTCAGCTGATGTCGCAATTTTGTTCTTATAGACCTGTCAAAGACATTTTTTAAGGTTGTAGCATACTTTCAAGTTCTTCATGTTATTTCTTATACCCTTACATATTTTTACTCTGAATTATATACTTTTAAGTGTTTGTCATATGTGTGATTTTTACAAATCTTCACACAAGTCTTCTGTTTATTATGTTTCTGTGTTAACTTTCCTCATTATATAATATGATATAGCTTTCTTTCTTCTTGTGTGTGTGTAATGAGATAAATGTGCATGTGAAAGAGACAGAGATAAACAATCAAATCATTGGAATAGTTTGGATTCTCATGTTATTGCTGAACTCAATATATCTGGTAAAAACAGATATATTTAGAGAAAGGTTGATTATACTTATTTTTTTTTTTTTTTTTTATTATACTCTAAGTTTTAGGGTACATGTGCACATTGTGCAGGTTAGTTACATATGTATACATGTGCCATGCTGGTGCGCTGCACCCACTAATGTGTCATCTAGCATTAGGTATATCTCCCAATGCTATCCCTCCCCCCTCCCCCGACCCCACCACAGTCCCCAGAGTGTGATATTCCCCTTCCTGTGTCCATGTGTGATTTTACTTATTTATTGATAAGATTCTCTTAATGTATTGAAGAGAAAAAAATGACATATTGTCAACTAAAAAAAAAATGACATATTGTCATTTCTAAAAAAAAAATGACATATTGTCAACTCCTCTTCCCATTTCCCGCAGCTGCCTTTCCAAACTCTCTACGTCCATTGTTCAACATCTGATTCAGTTTGAATTGTGCCCCTGATTTTATGTGTTGAAATGCTAATCCCCAGTCTCTCAGAATCTGATCTTATTTGGAACTAGAGTTACTGAAGAAGTAGTTAGGATGAGGTCATAGTGGAGTAGAATGGGCCCCTAATCCCATATGTCTGGTGTCTTCATAAAAGAATGTGAGGAAAAGAAACAGACACATGCATAGGGAGAATGCCCCACACAGACTGGAGTCATGCTACTACAAGACAAGGAACTACCAGAAACCAGGAGGAGACTTTGAACATATCCTTCCCTAGCCCCTTCTGAGGGAGCATGGCCCTGCCAACGCCTTGATCTCAACTTCTAGCCTCCAGAACCATGAGACATTAAAGTTTCTGAAGCCACTCAGTTAGTGATACTTGGTTACAGTGGCCCTAGCAAAGGAATAGAGCATGTAACCAAGATTCCTACAGAAGTCAACAGGTAGAAACCAACTCATCTACTTCCCCTTTTCCTGGCTATAAAAACATCTATAGCTTCACCTGTTTTTTCTTCCTGTTTGAGTGTATGTGTTAATCCCTCTATCCCATGCAAACCTGTCCACCAATGCTCTTGATCCCATCTTTGCCATCATTTCTATTCCCTGCCTGTTATATAATTCTTTGAATTATATATCATCAATTTCTTAACCTGTGTTAAACCACATCCCTCGGCTCCTAACCATGCTCAAGTTTTTCCATATTTAGAAGCTGGAGAGAGTGACGAATACTTGCTGCTTCCTCTTTCTTTGCACTTAAATCTGGTTTTCATCCTTCTTACCTACGGAACTTATTACCCCAAACATTAGCTAGTACAAACCAATTTTAACCATCATCATTATTTTTAGTTTAATTTTTGGCCCCAAATAGATCTTTAGGAGCCTCTCTCTGTCTCTCATTTGTTATTATGTATTTTTACTAAAATTATCTTTAGACATACAGGGCTTTGAGCCATACTGCCTAGGGCTTCCCTTTGTAGAGAATATCGAGGCTGTTCAGTTTCAAAATTTAGGGACCATCTTGGGCTGTCTCTGTTTTCAGCTAAACATGGGTAAGACACAGGCTTCAGAGACATAGGAGGCAGACCGAAGACCAAAGATATCATTCTATCCCCTTCCCTTCCCATTCTCTCAGTTGCTAGCTGACTGATGATGTGTCCGTTACATTTTAACACTATCAGCATGTGAATCTATCATTCTCCTTCCTTGAGGAAAATCTTTTGACCTAGCTCCCACAATACCACTTGCCCAGGTTCTCTCTTCTAATGGCTACGCCACTTTAGTTTTTTTCTACGCCTCATCTGTCATGAACATTTCTAAATCTTTCTTAAGGGAGTATAAGAATCTCTCAGACTCCCCACGATGAGATTTTGTTACCGTCATCAGCCCATTGAGAATCACTAGCATCTCCAGCTGCTAAGATGTTGCTCAATTTAATTCCTATAATTAGGAATTGAATTTTTAGGACAATTTTGTATTAAGATAATTTTTTATTTTGAAATATAACGCAATACAATATTTATAGGATTGTTTAAATTACATTACCCCAGAAAATGAATATTTTCCTGACTTTCCCATTCTAGACGTCTATCTTTAAATGTTGTCAGTCCTTTTAATTCTACTCTTGAATTTCCTGTTGCTCTTAATTTTCTCGATGGACATTTTCACCTAATTGCAGACATCTACTATTACTTACATGCCTATACCTTTAGTAAAATACATCGTTTGCCTCCTGGAATCTATTCCTGACTATCCCCCCACCCTCCCACACTTCCTCTTTGCTATCAAAGCAAAGATTGATTAGGGTGTTGGCACTCACCCAAGAAGCTAAATGGTGAGAAAAGTGGACTTCATTCCAACCTCACTGATGCAGCATAAAGCAGACTGGTCATAGTTGTTTCATTCTCCTTCTATAAATGGGTTTAGGTAGGGGTATGTATCCTAGGCATTCCAATGAGATGACACTGACTCTTTGAGGACACTCAAGAAGATTTCCCACTAATAAAGTCAAATTGCAAAGTGGAGTTATAGAAAGATATGGTACTGAATTAAGGTAGGTACTCCACCTTAGGACATTGTGTTCTATAATAATAATTCTCTTTATTGTGAAAACAATGTTCTCTGTTGTATCATTACTAGTAGCCAAAAGCTACTGTTCAATAGGCTGCCTTCACCTGAGTTCCAGACCCATATTTTCAAGTACTCATTTTCAGTTTGATCCAGAGGCATCACATGAAGCTCATTGTGTTTGCATTAAAATTGTAGTCTATAATGTTCCCACATTGCCAGAAACTTGGAGTCATCTCCACCTCATTTACATTGCATTTCCCACGTGACCACTAAGTCCTGTTGATTCAACATGCAAAACATCACTCAAATCTGCCCTCTCCACTCTACCTGTAATATTTTTGTTCCCTTGCCACCTAATTGTTGCTTATCTAATCAGTTCTATGTATCATTTTCACAGTTATGCTTCCAACACACTGACAACTCTTAAAAATGTTTATAAAGAGTATAATATGATCAGATATATTTTATGGTGCATTTTCGAATAAACTATTAATATTTTAATATCTAATTTCTTTATGAGCCTTCCATTTTTGCTTTACCTCTACACATATTCACATGTATTCTAGCTATAGTTGTGTACTGATCATTCCCTAAATATGCTGTGGGAACATACATGTGTTTGCTTGCACTGTTCCCTCTGCACATAATGCCTTTTTTTTCTTACTAAACTGATAACATCCATGTTCAGTGGTACCTCTGTAAAGAGCTTTGGGACCCACCCCATTCAATTGGAAGTACTATTCTTTTGGAGAGTAGTATTTACTTCTTACTGAAAGTGTATTATGTATCATTTGCATTTTTAGTACTCAAGTGATTATTGCTTTTTGAATTGTCTTGAAGTTTTGCTGTTAACTCCTGAATAGATCCCAGAATCTCCATTGTTCAAACAAAATGTGATTGAATAAATCTTTACATTCAGAAAGCTAAGAAACCATAAGTGAACATATCACATTAATCATTAATATGCATAATGGCTAGCCACCACACTGTGGTTATCATGATCTCATAGTAACCATAAACCTAGCAGCATCTGGCAAATAGTAGCTCTTCAATAATTTTTACTGAATTAAATTTATCAGATTTCTATTTAAAATACAACACGTTTGTAAAGTTATAAAACTATAAAAATGTATTGGTGGAATTAATATGAATATTTGATATTTCTATGCAATTAAATAATCATGTATGAATAAAGATCTTATTTCATTCATTTACTAATTTAAAATGGGTAGGGTATACTGTACTATTCCTTTTTAGTGATATAATTAATATCATAAGCCATTAAAAAGTGGACAAATATTCAACATTTCTTTTTTTTAACTATTTTCTTTGGTTTGGTGTGTTTTCCAAAGAAAAAAGTCCCAATACATATTAGTCGCAAAGATGCTGATGCTGAGTTGAAAACAGCTTCTCTACAGCATGACAGGACACCCTTAAGAACTTCCTCCCACTTGTAACTGATGGTGCAGATGCTATATTAAGAAACACTATGGCGATACTCCAGCTATTTGAAGAAATTTTCCTAGCACAGGTGGTTCTCAAACTTGGATGCTTATCAAAATCACCAGTGGGGCTTTAAAGAAATACAGGTGCCTGGGCCCTAATTATCCAGGGAAGTTAATTCCAGTATTCCAGGGTAGTGGAGCACACTTATTTGTATTTTTTTTTTTAATATTCACAGACGGTTCTAATGTGTAGCTTGATTAGAGAACCACTGTAACACCCACTACAGCATGGCCTTCCTTTATAAGTTACTTTCTTTCTTATATAGTCAGAATAAGCACCGCTGCTTATGAGTTTTGTTTCCGTCCATTCCTTTTGGTGTAATTCACGGGAAGGTCTAGTTTAACAACAACTTTTTTTCTGGATTTTGTCTTTCAAATTTCCTTTCACTCCTTACTCTGAAACCCACAAACCAATCTCAACTTTGCCCAAATCAGTTCCTCCCAGATAACAGAATGTTACACCACGATATGGTTTCGCTGTGTCCTCACCGAAATCTCAACGTGAATTGTATCTCCCAGAATTCCCACGTGTGATGGGAGGAACCCAGTGGGAGGTAATTGAATCACGGGAGCCAGTCTTTTCCATGCTATTCTCGTGATAGTGAATAAGTCTCATGAGATCTGATGGGTTTATTACGGGTTTCCACTTTGCTTTTTCCTCATTTTCTCTTGTTGCCACCATGTAAGAAGTGCTTTTTACCTCCCGCCGTGATTCTGAGGCCTCCCCAGCCACATGGAAATGTAAATCCAATTAAACCTTTCTCTTCCCAGTCTTAGGTATGTCTTAATCAGCAGCATAAAAACAGACTAATACACCCCAAGAACACCACCCCAGGCCATCTCTTGCTAGTATTCCCTTTCCTACTTTAGGAACATACAAGACTTCATCATTTGTTATTTTCCTCCTCAGGAACTACTTCAGGAGACCTGTCATCAGACAGAAGCCCAGGCATTTCATAGCCATTTTAAGAATGAGAAAGTCATGTAAATCATTGACATTTGAAAAGATAATTCTCAAATAATAAGAAGAGGTCTGGTTCAGAGACCCAATTTTATCAAAAGACATTTTTGAAGAATTATATATCTGTTTTCTCTTCATCTATGAATACTTGATCTCTTAATATTAGATTTATTGATCTCTCCATTCTCACCATTTTGAATTCCTAATTATTGGTATTATTATAATGGACAGCAGGATAGTATCAAGTCTAAAATATGAAAAATACTTGTATATTCTTAAATTTTTAAAAACCAACATTATCTAAGAAAAATTTAGTTAAGTAATATTTTCTCTACAATCTTATAAATTAAAACCTGTTCCATATTTTATACATTGCATTTTTTTGACAAAAATAATAACAATTAAATTTAAAATTGGCATAGCTGCTTTCCTGAGTTAAATATAGAGCTTCTAAATCTTCACAGAAACAATTATGCATATCCAACTACCTCAGCAAAGCCTTTGACATAGCTATTGTAATCACTCAGATTCAAAAATGTTGAATTCACTAATTATTACAAAGCATCACGTTTTCCTAATAAAAGGCAAAAATAAAGATTCCTAACCCATTGTAATACCTTTATTGTATATTCTGCAATACAAATGGGCACTATACAACTCCACAGATTTTTAAAAAATTATAAGGATGCATTGATACCCAGGAACTGGGTTTGCTAATTTGGCATTGATGTTGGGTCACACAGAGGACTATGTGTAATTATGACCTGAATGACAAAAAGGCTCGTTACTGCTGATGGGCATCAGACCTTTTCTTTATTCACGTTCATAAATGCCTGAAGTGCAGAAATGGTCAAAACAAAGACAGACAAAAACCCCAAGGCTATTGTGAATTCTGAATTCCTGAGGAAAAACAACAGAAAAGAGATTTAGTTTGGATTCACTTCCATGCTGCATTCTCTCTGAGAAAGCCTAGCGTTCTGAGTTCATCTGGTGTAGTGGTTTCAGCCACTGTCATAGCCTCTAGGGAATGCTGAGAAATGAGTCACAAAGACAGAACACCATGCACATTCTGCCGTTTTTAAGTCTGGTTTAGAACTTTAGAGGGACACAGCTGCAGACACACAGCAGGTAGAGAATCACTTAAGGGATAATGAAAAGAAGCAGGATAATAAGTTTATAGGGAGAGAAAAAATTTGGAACCTGAGGTGAGAGCCTGGAGTGACAACAAAGCCTGGAAGAGTAAAAGAAACATAATACTTAAATTCTACTTTAAAATTCCCAATCTGGAAATAGCAGGATCCATAAGCTATTCCTTACAATTAAAAGATGGGACAATCTGGTTCAGGGGAAATGTACTCTCTGAGTGCAAACATCTGATTTCCAGTTCCTGCCCAGTCGCTGCATTGTTTGTGACTTTAAGAAAGTTGCTTATTCTCTTTAGGTCTCATCCTTAAAATGAAAATGGTAGACTAGAGGCTTCAATGATGTATTTTTTACAGGTCTAAACGTTTATACATTATTACCCTAAACATTTTTTTTAAGAGCTGTGCAGAGAAACAAATCAGAACATGTATAAGATAATAGCTGCAGGCTTGTAGCAGAAATGTAGAGTGGCCTCAGGGATTTCCTGTTAGCTCCTCTGAAGCTTGGTGTGAGCTCCTGGATTGTTCCAAATCAGTGATAGAAGGCGCCACCTAACGAGGCAGCTATTCCATATCTGGAGTGCTCTTATGTTTAAGGGATATTCATCTTCTAGTAGTTTCTACTAGATCCAGTTCTATTCTCAAAATAATATTAAAAAAATAAATTCCCTCTTCAATTATTTAAAGCAACACTTTTGATCTTAAGTTTCATCTTATTGAGGCTATAAATATCCTTGTCTCTTTCAGCTATTGCTCATTTACATGATGTCTGAACTTGAGAGCATAAGGACTGCAGACTTCTAAGCACGTTCAGGTTGTTGGCATCGGTTTTAAATGGTGATGCCTTGAATGCAATGATACAGTGGGTTTGGTCCCCGATGTAATTGGAGCCTTAAATTTTAAATAATTCTGTATGAATTAGGACTAAAGATGCAACAAGAAACTTTAGCTTCTAAGCTCAGCTGCTAACAAACTCAAAGTATTAATAATGAGGTGGAGCTACATAAAATTGCTGATATTTGGTACATTTAGTTCTCAAGAACTGACTGATTATACAAAAACAGTAATAGCAATAGTGAACAACTAGAGGGTCAGGCACTGTTCTAAGTGTTTTTTATTATTTATGTCACTTAACAGAAACTGACAATTTGATAAAACAGGTAAGTTTCACTTGACATGGGAGGGGTGGTTCTTAGGGGAAGCCCTTTTACTGAATGTAGGCAGATCTGCAGTTTAATTTCCTTTGGACAGCGTTTATTCCTCTACGATCTCCAGGGCTGATTTTATCACAACCATCTATTATCCTTTGTAACTTTTTCTATTAGGCAAAACCACCAAGTGATATTCTATACTTCTTATTTGTATGTATTTCCTCTCCATCTTTCACTTAAGCAAGATACAGCATTTTTATCAGTTTTGGTGTTCATCTAATCATTTTATATTGAATAGTAGAAAAGACTGGAGCGTAGTGGCCTTGTTGCTAAAACATTAAATGAAATCTAGGCCAATCATTGTATTTTCCTTGCTCATGTTTTTCTTGCTCAAGTTTTCCTTGAGCTCATGTTCTTCTTGCTCATGTTTTCCTTGCTCAAGTTTTAAGTCACAATACACCAAGAGCCCATGAAAAGAAATGATTCACACCTGAAGACTTCCATGCACCAACATTTCTGACACAGCCACATTTTCTCCCCCTTTCTTGGCACTATCCCCACAGCTCATCATGAAAAGTGAGTTTTTATTATGGCAGAGGAAAATTTAACTGGGAATAATTATGAAATGTGTAATAATTGAAATTTTTTTCATGATAAATTGCCTTGGTCAAAATATACCTCAGTGAGCCAGGCTGGAGATAGCCACAGATGGCTCCTCCCCATTGCATATTAACATTATAACGTAAGTGTAAAATAACTCATCAAATCCTGTGATCCTAGGAGCCACATTAATTTCTGCCATCTCCATATTATCTCGGGACCTTATAGAAAATACTGTGATGTATGGATGTGTCTCTGTGTGACAGATCACTGATACTGGAAACAGTATTTAGAATGTTCTGGTCCGAAAACAGAAAAAAACAGAATAGATCCTAAGAAATGATGGTCACTTTATAATGCTTAAATTAAAATAAGGCAGTAAATACAGCCCCTACCCAAACACAAACTAAACAGAATTCCTGGGGTAGATGGGAATAGTGTGTTTGTGTGATGGGGATTGTCTCATTGCATTTATTAGAGCAGTTGGATGTGGGGATGACTAGTGGGTCAGGGAAAAGTAGAAGCAACAATATAAACACGTGCTTTTATGAATCAGTGTTTAGTTCCTTTACATTTGACTTTGCTTCTGTCATTCATCATATTCACTATTTCTCATTGCTTTGTATTATCTAGAAATTTGTCAAAACATATTTTGTATTGAAGTCATTGCTAAAGTGTTGAAAATGCTTGACCAAATTGGAGCATTTCAGGACATAGATCGAGAGGATGGTGTAGATTTTCATCAATCAATTAAGCAGCACCATTTTAAGAAATACACTGTTCAATAAGTCATAAACCCCAACTAATTGTATTGTTTACCATAGTTCCTCCTTTCAGGCTATTATAATCCATTACATTAATTGCTGATATGAAGATAATGAATTGATATAGTGTGTCTTCCCAACATTTCCTCTCTTCCCCAGAGTACACTAGTACCATAAAGAATGAAATGAGATTGGATTAGAATATATTTTTAACTTGTCTATATGTTTGGTGAACATAATCTGGTTTCTAATGATTGACTTAATTTTTTTTAATGCTTGCTGCTATCCACTTAATAATCAAAATGTTTGCCTAATACTATGCTTAAAATACTTTCCATTTTTGAAAAATCAAAAAATGTCCATGTTTCCAGTCTTCTATAGCATCTGTTTGCTATCATTTTTAAAAGAGAAAAATGATTCTGAAATAATATTTGCACATTCCGGGAGGCAAATTTATCCTAGAGAGGAGGCATACAATCATTTAGAGGAACTCTGAGCTCTCATACAATCCCTTATCTCTTTTTTAGTTCAATTTCCTCATCAGTTTTAATTCTGCCTCTATCATTTGGAGACTTATTCTTCTTGATAAAGATGAAAACAAAATAGGAAAAAATAAGGTATGGGTTATCCCATGGAATGAAAAGTACACGGTTTTAAATGCAGTCTAGAAAATGCATGCTAAAAACAGTACTGAGGTTTTTTTTTTTTTTAATAGCTAGTTCAGTTTGGTCTGAAAGCAAGACAAAAAAAGTCCACAAATAATGTTTTTATTAAATAGCCTTTGTCTATGAGTGATTCATGTCTATTAAAATGCCAATCACATTTTCAAAGGAAATGGAAGACTGAACTATTTAGCCTGGCAGTCCAAATGAGGTAAACCTATTTTTTTTTTCTTTTCAAAATGGATTGACTTGCATTGTAGCTAATTGACAGCCAAGACATATAGGACAGAAGTAATGCAATTTTTAGTTGTGTAACTGCTAAGACTTAAGTCCAAAGATTTTAGGGAGTAGCTATCAACCTCAGCACTTTGGCTATTCTCTCTGGCACTATCATTTATGTTGAGTCCAGTGAAACGTTTCTAAAAACTTGAATGTTTCAGCAATTCGATTATCACTTCTACTGAGGTATTTCCTTAGCCTGGAAAAACATAATTGTAAATATTATGGAACCAGTGCCTTTTTTTTTCTTTTCTGATTTATTTCCTCCCTGGACTCATGTATTTTCATAGTTGAATTCTCATACTTTTAATTAAGGCTCCAAGTTTGAGAAGAAGATTTGTAACTTGCCTTTGGTAGTAGGTTGTAGAGACCTGTTAGTGACAAGGAAGCCATTATCATTATACAAAAGCTTCAAGGAGCACATGGTCATTCCAAGCCACAACCATAGCTGACTAGTTAGTCATGTGGAAGCTGGCACTGAATTTAGGTAAGCAAGATGACCTTTCATTAGAATTAATGTAGAAAAGAGGTGTAAAGAAAAGCAGTTATGTAGAAAGTGTATACATGAAAAACATTTTTAAAAAGGGCAATAATTTTGGCTGAGGCAATGCTTTTTGAAAACCGTATTTATGAATGAAGAAACAAACCCTAGATATGCAGAGAAAAACAACAACAAAAAAGCCTTTTTTGCTTGTTTTATGTTTTCATTTGCTTTGAAACTCAAAGAAGTTATTTTTCAAGCACATATTTTGGCTATTGACAAAGGCTAAACTCTATAGGAATTGAAGAGCTTTAAGAATTACTAGGATGAACTTTTGTTGTACTGGCTTGTATTTTAAGGATTTTAATTTTCATTAACACAGTTCACTGGGAAGTAGGAGAGACACAACCTGAAATTTAGTGATTAAGAAGACATAAAATCCAAAAGGTTACTTTTGCAAAGGTATTATGTGGATTTCATATTATGTATTTCTCAGAACTTCTCAGCACAGTTTTTAAATTTAAAATAAGCTTATTACACATGTCTTAAACTTCAGATCATGAACCTGAATTAAAAGTAGTCTACACAATTACACTGTGCCTTGTTGTAGGGGAAAAGATGATTATTTTTTATTATGGGTAAAATTAAATAAGTTTTAAATTTTGGATATGACTTCAAGGCAAATGCCACAGAGGATTTTGTATTTATGCGTTTTTTTCTGTAGTTTTGTCAATAGTTAGTTTCTCCTGCATAATGTGTGCTGTAAGCTAGCCATACGAAATAAACGACTTTGGCCTTAACTGAATGCTACTGTCTGCGGTACATTATAACCCTGGCCTGCTGATAATAAGCCTTACTTGGCAGTAATCTACATTCAGTGGCATTTGGAAAACTGCAATAATGATGATGAAATTAAAACCCCAGAATTTAAATAGCACATAGGTCAGTGTGCTGTAAAAATGTAGGTAAGAATAATGATAACCTCTAAAATGTTTGTGTTCGTTGGTGAAGGCTGAGCTAATTAGGACGGAAAGTTGAAAAACTATTTATTTTCTGAATGTTTCAAGCAGAATGACTGGAATAAGTAAAGCAAATTCAGAAGTTTTATCCTCTTAAAACAATAATGCACTCAATAATTCTGTATTTACAACTGTATACCATTTGATCTCTACTGTCCCAGGTAGTTCTGAATTATGACTTTTTTTGATTTAACTGTTTGTTATTCACAGCAATAAAAAAGGGACAATGTTTCTTCAGCAATCCTGGCAAGGCTTGCCTTAGCTATATATACTAGGTTCAAAAAGCCTTTCTCAATCTATAGCTGTAAAAACATATTGCCTGGTTAAAAATGTTGAAATGTGTTGGTCTAACCACCTGAATTCTATCCAAACCCACCATGATTTGGAATTAGTCAAGTGGGAATTTATCCAGGGATAGAAGAATCTAATTTCTTTTCCTTTTTACAGACACACAAAGAAAGGAGTTGTTATGTCTTTTATTGCTTTTATCAGATGAGATACATTAACCAAATTGAAAAATACCTTCATTCCAGGATTTCTCATTGATTTCTCTATGAATTGTGATGCTTCAAGAGGGATTTGATTTAAATTGATACATTTATATCAACTAATTTTATTACTTATCATTTTTAGTATCTCCAGGGACACCATTGTTTTATGTAACCCAATTTGTGAAACACTAACCTCGTGATATTGTTTTCTTTACCTCTACCTAATCATAATCTGTCAAAAACTATATCTTGAATTTTCCTTGATGCCCACTATTCTGGGTTAACTGGATGTAATTGAAATTCCTTAGCTACACAGTGAATAAAACTGATGGAAAAATGATTTTTCAATATCCAGATACATCATATTCTGAAACACAATCCATATAAACTTTGCATTGTTATAATGGTTGTACTGTGTTCAAATTCCTAGTGCATAGAATAATTCCCACTTTCTCAAGTCCACCATTATTAAATTAGACTCCTTATGGTATGATAGCAATGACTAGATTGTCACTGGTTACCTTTTATAACTAAATGACAAGTTGAACCTCTATTCAAAGGTGACATTTCATTTTACACAGAAAGCAGCAATAAAGCATCCCTTTTTTTTAGGATAGTAGGATAGGTCTAAAGAATTTAGAAGAGAAAAAAATAGTGTTTATATTTTGGATGTCAGCTGAACAGTTAGTAGACACCAGGTAAGTGGGAGGGAAAGTATATATCATCAGTGTATTTGGTATGATGTCAACAAAAAATTATTAACTGTTTCATTGATCAACTTTATTTTTCCTGTGCTGTGAAAATCAGCTGTCAGTCCGTTTTTCAACAGCTCAATGTCTTACAGGTGCACAGTTGTCCACTAGCTGAGATAGTTTTATTCAAATAATTAGCTTTTTCATTCTTTCAAATTCTCAACAATATTGACATTCGACTGAACAGAGTGAGTAATTTTCTAGGGTCATATTTTACCCTTCAACCATATAGAAAAGAAACAGATGTGATTTAGACCAAAAGGCCATAGAATACAATAGGTGAGACATATTTTGAATAAATTAATAATTACAAACTTTTCCATAGCCTGGACAATTTGTGAATTAACTACCTCACTAGTAGCCCTAAAATACAACCTCAAACATGTACAATTATCTGAACTATACTTTTAATCTTCAATAACATATATCTTCAATAACATATTTTATTTATGTCTATCACAATTATTTTTGCTATTAGAGAAAAAAACTTTAGACTTAATTCTTATCACAAATGTATACTTGGGTCCATTGTCTAGAACTTGACAAATGAGTAATCCTTTTTTGCTGGTACTACAAGACACAACAACCCCTTGCTTTATTTGTGCATTAAAGGAAAAAGGAATTAGATTCTTCTATCCGTGGGTGAATTTCTACTTGGAATTTCTAATTCTGAATCACTGATTAGGGAATTAGGTGATATGATTAGTCACATACCAAATGTGAGTTGACCTATGCAGTATAGTCCAAAAGTAAACTGGCTAGCTCCTGCTTGTTTTGGCAACCAATCCACCGATATAAATCAGTACAGTGATCTGTTTCAGAGGTTGAGCTGATCTTTGCATGCTCCTCCTGCAGAGCAGAAAGATGAGCGCACAGTAGGCATCTGAAAAAGGTCTGAGAATGATAAAACACTTATCTGTACTAAGACACTATAAACACATACCTGCTGGCACTTTCAACTATTTTATGTAACATAAACTCAGCTTTGACAGAGTACTTTTTTAAAAAGCAAATTTTTTTTTGTGGATTACACAATCGAAAAGCCCCAAGGATATTCATCAATTCTATTCTTTTCTCTTTATGACTATTTCCTTCTTTATCCTAAATTGTCAAAAATACATCAAGGGGCATTCTGATACAGAAGCACTCTGATACAGAAACACGCAATTAACATGAAAATTAACGGTTAACAAAAAAGGAAAGTTACAGAGGATAAAATACCTTTTAGCCTTGACCCATTTTACTTCTTTCTTGGGCATACAGATACATGCTAATATCCATACCTTGCTAAATATAAAAATACCTGAGAGTAGCTGGATGGAGCCCAATTTTGTATAGACAGCCTGTTAGTTTCTCCATCTCTATATGCATTGTCATATAAAAAGTAAGAGAAAACTAAACAAGTTCTTTTTAAATGTAACTTCCTTTTTGAAAATATGCATATAAGACTATGCATTTTAATTTTCATGAATACTGACCTTCTGTAAATGCAAATACGCATTTTCTACATTACAATATTACCCAAGGGGGAAAAAAAAAAAAAACAACAACAAAAAAGGAAATGACTGTGTAGGAGTAAGCAGGAATAGAACAGTCCCAGTATTGTACCATTCCCACAGTGCTTCAGGATTGTCTTTTAGATTTCTACTTTTAAATCACTTCTATTCCTATCACAGTTCATAAAAGTGGGTGAAAATTTGAATCGCAATTTCCTCATTTAAAAAAATTCACCTCCTTCATCGTCACCGTGCTTGCTTTTCAAGGAACGTTCTCATACCGATTGCAAATATTACGATGACACATCTTATTTGTTTTTGACAGTTTGGATGTAAATTTTCTTCTTAAATTAGCACTTATAGTCAGAGTATCTCTTTCACTTTATAGACATTGTTATATAGGAATTAGGTGATGTATGCAATTGACGACCAACTGAGTTCTGCATTTTGTTTGCTCAATATTTGGTCAACATAAGGAACAATTTTACATATTACTTATTTTGCAACTATTATAATAATCAATTTCTGACATAATATCTAATATATTTAATCGGTCATGCGTAATACATACTTTGTTTGCTATACATTCTCTCTATCTTTTAAAGAACCATGCAAATATGATCTAATTGTTCTCATTTTGCAAAAGAGTTAACAGGTTTTCCGAGAAGTTCAGTAACTTGCCCAGTGCCACATTGTCTGTAAATGTTAAGCCTGGGATTTGAGCCTCCGTCTCTTTGGCAACAAAGTCCACACTCTTGAGGACAGGAAATTAAAAGTATGGAACACATGTTGGCATTCATTATGTGAATGCTAATAGAATATGCTTCTGCTTTGAAAATATCCAAGGTGAAACATGGATAAAACAGAAGGCCACTATTTGGGGTAATGATAGAATGATTTGCATGAATTTCACAAATTAATTCTTAAGCAAACAAGGTGTAAACCAGAGCGCTAATTGATATGAATAAAAGGAGAGACCAAAAAAAGTACTAAATGACTTCTTAACCCAGTTTCTCCTGTGTCTCCTTGTCTCTTTGTTCACTGCCAAGAAGAGTTAGGATGTTAGACACTCATTGAATTTCTTACTCTTTTTCAGGGTTGGGGGGCAGTTTCTATAAGACAGTCAAATTAAGTATAGCATGTGGCCATGAATGTCCAAGTAATGACAAAGAGAAGAGTGAAAGGACTTTCTGGATGCTGGCTCATTCCAGTTCCAGCATTTGGAGCATGACAGTTGACTTCTGCAACTGTAAAGAAAACATTATAGTGCAAGAACTATGGTACACCACCAGTAAAAGTGGTATGCACTGGCAGCTAACAGAATCCACTGAGCTTTTTTTTGTCAGGGGCATCAGGCCAACAAATTAGGCTGCAGCTTGGTAATCAACACTCTTTCTCCACAGTAAATGAAACTAAGTTTGGGGTAAGAGAGGAATAAACAGCAGTAGTAATTTCTGTATATACAATTTTCTGAGTAAACAAAAATAGAACGTGTGTAAAAGTACCCTAGAAATGCCTGGCACATTATAGGCACTAAAAATGTGTTGGCCATTGAAGTGAAAGACTGATCAGTATAATATAGTATCTTTTTGTCTATATACCATGGTTGTCAGTTTCTATTAACTTAAGAGAATTCCTGATGTCCTAGCAAAATTCATATAAACGCTCCTCTGTATTCATCTTACAGAAGTAGGCAGCATCTGCAAAGTTTTGTCTTTTAGTTTTTTTCTGCCTTGTTGAGGAAAGGGATTTGGAAATGGAATTATAAATGTCCATTTATTTCTAGGCATTGTAGGTATGCCATCTTGTACATACTCACTTTTCTGGTGGAAAAAGTAAAGCTTTTGTAGGTTAACTAACTTGGCCAATATCACAGCTAATAATTGGCACAGTAGGGTTCAAAACCAAGTGTTTTACACTGAGGCAAAGGCTCTTTCCACTGTCTGCAGTACTTCAAATATCAAGCTTTGTATGGAGATGGATCCTTTTTGGTGTAAATCTTAATCGTGGAAATTGTTGTACTTAGGTCACACAGTTGTGGAGACAATGCAGGGGCCTGGCCATACTTGAGGGTGCCATTTACATGGTAGTATATGGAAATGGTCTCCTAGAGCTGCTCATGGTACAGCCAACACACACGTACATGGAGGCTTGACATTTAGGATTACCACTGTTTAAACAAACTGTCTTTGCTTGTTCCCATGTGTAGTCACATAATATGAAATCAAAATTCTACTATAGAAGGTAGCAGTCCACACACTTCAATGGAAAAAAAATATGCTAGGTTTTTCAACAGAAAAAAAGCTCATTCAGAAGGTCTGTAGTCGTTTATAGGTTTGCTTATTGATAATTTTGTTAGTGTGTTTAACTTGTATCAATTCCTTGAAGTAAAATAACCACTTTGGGATATTTTATGTTTTTTTTTTAAAGATTTAATGTCAGAAATAAACTCTAAAATATAAAGAAATGTGACAGAGACTGGTTAGATGTTCACAAACTATTTCCTATGTCTTTCTGGGCAGAAAGCTCCACTGCATCTCGCAGCTTTTCCTATTGGTAGGTGTGGCCATGTGAATGACTTCTGGCCTATGGATTGTGAGTGGACGTGATGCATAACACCTCTAAAAAAGGCCCTTAAACACATCCTGGGAGATGCTCTGTTTTGCTTCTTCCCTGGTCTGCTTCAGAGGATCCAGGACAATGCCAAGGTCATAGGGAAAGGTAGAACCAATAGAAGCTCCTGGAACTCTGAGACCTCCAGGACCAGCACTGGATTATGACTGGACAATAAATAAATAAACCTTTTTTATGCCAAACTACTGAAATTCTGGGATTTTGTGTTCCAGTAGTTTTTCTACTCTGAATAATCTAAGGCCTATGCATAAGTATGAGCGTATTACCGTCTATTACTAACATAGTGGTCAAAATCCAGACTTTCCACTGTGCCACTATTCTACTATATCATAAGTGACCATTTTTTCTGTTGTTGCTTAAATTTTCTAAGGTTTTCCAGATTTGCTGAAGCACCTCTGCATTCGTCTTACAAAAGTAGGCAGCATCTGCAAAGTTTTGTCTTTTAGTTTTTTTCTGCCTTGTTGAGGAAAGGGATTTGGAAATGGAATTATAAATGTCCATTTATTTCTAGGCATTGCAGGTATGCCATCTTGTACATACTTACTTTTCTGGTGGAAAAAGTAAAGCTTTTGGAGGTTAACTAACATGGCCAACATCACAGCTAATAATTGGCACAGTAGGGATTCCCCTCATAAGTTTTGACTTGCACATAATGGACTGATCTTTACTTAGCCTACTTTTGCAGTTTCAGCAACTGCCATCAAAAGTTATTTTCTGAACATTCTTCTTAAAAGAAAGAGTGAAACTCTTTCTACTATGGACATGAATTTCAAACACCCTAAGTATTTAGCAAATAGGCTTTTTTGTCCATTTGTAAAATATTTTGTCACAAAGATACAGAATAGAAATTTGAAGTGTTTATTTACACTTGCTACTAGTCTAAAGCTTATGTCATTGCTACTTGTAGTGTATGTAAAAATTGCATTTTATAGCAAATATTGCTATCGTGGAAAGTCTTTTATAACATTCTTCATTTCCAAGGCAAATAATGTGACACTGACATCAATGAAAGAGAACCTTATGGTCTAAGTTGAATAACTATTGGGCAATGAAAATTGCATACTTAAAAGATGAGTGTATTTACAATGGACTAATAAAGAGAAGATTCATGTCTTTATTAAAAACTTAGAAGCATAAATTATCAGGCCTGAAAAGTACTTGTTTAAAAATAAAATGTTTAATTTAACTGACTAATTCCCCTTCTACTAAAATGTAGAAATACTTTAGGATGGGAATAATTTGTTTAAATCAATAGTTTCTAAATGTCTCAAAGCATTGGACAATTTTAACTGCATTTTAACTGTTATTTGATTAAAGATCATTTTCATTAAATGTATGAAGCTACTATATTCAAGAACTCCAGAAAGAAAGTTGATTACTAAAAAAAGGCCCCTTTTTTTCTAACAAAAAGTGTTAGTACTAAGTGCATGAACAATCAATCCAGAGAAGACAGATGGTCAACAAAGCATTTCACAGAAAACCTTGTACTTTCCATATGTTGTTATATGCAATGCATGAAGTTTTCTGCTAGCACAGAGATTAAAAAATAAAAGCACACATCATATTTGTCTGAATTTTTCTTTTCTTTCCACTACTCTTATATCTTGCTTACATCCACTCAGCCTAATATAGCTTTATTGCAACTTTTATAAAGGTATGAAGAAAGCTTGATATACATCACATAAGGACATATTCAGAGTTAAGACAAAAGACAATGGCAATAAGAGTGTCAAATACTATATGAACTATATGGTATCAGATTACATTAACATGAAAGTATGTGCCAATACTGCGTTCTCCTTGAGGTATTACAGTGTTTGGCTATGTCTGTGGTAGCCCTTCTGCTGACATAGTCTTTCTTCCTTCTTTTAATTATAATGCCTCACGATTCCCATGACTGCCCAATTGTCTTTAAAAGGTTTCATCCACTGCTCTGAAGAAGCTCTCTGCCTACCCATTCAATTTACAGCAAGTATTTGAAAGAGTGGCAGATGCACAGGCAACAGCCATTTATTGAAACACTGATTCCATTTAAGATGGTCTAAAACCCATTCTATCTTCCATCAGGTATAAGTAATGGCAACTTTTCCTTATTCTTTATGAGTACAAAGATGAAAATACAGAGATAGAGGATTGTTGGATTCTTCCTCTTGTGGATAAATTACTTTACAGAGTAAAAGTAAATAAGCACTTCTATCGCATGGCCACCAATGCTAAGCTTTATGACCGAGGAAATCAGAAGCTCTAAAGGTAAAAACTTACATAGTCTGTGAGGAGTAGGTACTCTGCTTTTCAATTTGGACACTAAGCTTTCAAATTAGTTGCTTGAATAGCATGCTTATGCTTATCAATGTCCTGTTAATTTTTTCCTGTTGAATTACATAATTAAGTATTCTCTTTCTATGTGCATATATGTAATACATAGGTATACACACACAGAGAGAAATTTCATATATAGTCATATGCATATAATATACATATTTTATATGGCAATTGCCTTTAAAATTGTAATAAATGTGGCACTTCTCGCCAGTTTCAAGTAACAAAATAAATCTTAAAGCTATAACAAGTATATTATCATTTGAAACCTTAATAATTCTAATCTAGTTATACAATCTTACCTTCTAGCTTGTGTGTAAGCCATAAAAGTTACTGAAAACAATAGGAAAACATTGTTTTGACAGGTGCCATTATACAATAAATGTTCTTCTATTTTTGTACAATAGATTACAATTGCCATTCTGAATAAGTGTTAGGGTGAAATATCAAGACATCACATATCCTACAATTCAATTTTTGTTATTAAAAAATCCCTCTGTGCCAATATAAAATGATTGGTTATTTTATTTCTCTTAGTAACTTACCTTAAAGAGAATATTTAAAATGATTCATTTAGCTGAATTACTTGATACCAATTTTTATCAACTGGCAGAAAATCTATTGAACGAGTAGCTTATATGAAGTAAAACTCCCACCTATGCCCAACACAACCAATATATATTGAGGATACTACCACAAAGATTCTTCACCTTTTGCTTTGAGGTAGCCATCTCCCCATAAACTCCTTTCCCAACTAAATTTATATATAGGAAATTAGGATACCTCCAAACATTCTACCTCATTCATATTAAATATTTTTTCTCCATCATGTGTGAGTCTACCAGACAAATAAATATGTGACAAGAAAATATCACCAGGAAAAAGAGCAATATTAATATTAAAGTTACAGTCCTGAGAAATATAATGTGAAGAAAGTATCAGCAAACACATAATGGGGGTGGGAAAGAGGCAGAAAAATGTAAGATTGAGAGAAGACGTTAAGTTCAGCTTCTAAGAATAAGACCATGAAAGAGGATATGAACATTTGAAGAGAGTATGGCCAGTAAAGTAGAGGAGTGTGAGGCAGTAACTTCCAAAGAGTCCAAGTAGTGCCTTTCTAACAGGCACATTGTTGGTGAGGGGGTGGGGAAAGGACATTCACGTAGGAGGTTGCTGGAATTATAAACTGAGACAATATTTAGAGAGCTATTTGGTAAGACTTAGTACATTTTAAATGTGGAATCTCTGTAACCTAGTAATTTTAGTTTTAGGAATATAGAGTACAAAAATACACAATCAAAGGTATATCCATATACCTTTGTAGGATGTTCACCACAATCAGCTTAAAAATGGAGAATAATGGTGGAAAAAAGTAACTAATAGGGGCATAATTAAAGGTGTGTTTTTTTGTTTTTTTGTTTTTTTTTTGTTTTTGAGATGGAGTCTCGCTCTGTCACCCAGGCTGGAGTACAGTGGCGCGATCTTGGCTCATTGCAACCTCTGCCTCCTGGTTCAAGCAATTCTCCTGCCTCAGCCTCCCTAGTAGCTGGGACTATAGGCACCCACCTCCATGCCAGCTAATTTTTTGTATTTTTAGTAGAGAGGGGGTTTCACCACATTGGCCAGGCTGGTCTCGAACTCTTGACCTTGTGATCCATCCCCCTCGGCCTCCCAAAGTGCTGGGATCACAGGCATGAGCCACCGTGTTATACTTTGGAATTCCCCACCATATAGTTCTCAAAAATGCACGCTGGATTTCTGGATTTAGGACTTTAAAATTATGAAAATAAAAGTGCTTGTTAAAATCATGAGTATATCACAAACATACTGGAAGACAGTTCAACCATAATAGAACTGTGAAAATCAGTATATGTGTTCTTTACATTCTTGCATTGAAAAGAACCACCAATTGTGATAAACTTCTCATTGCCTCCCTTACGGTATTTAAATATTGGACCTATGGAATTTTGGAACCTTAGTTTATGTGAGTAATCCTTTCCTTCATTTAAAAATATTTGCAGAAAATTTTGAAAAATCAAACAACTAAAAATAGTCAAAACGTCTTTCAGAGAACCAGTTTTCTGAAAATCCTAACTTCTCATGATTATGGCAAGTTAAAAAAAAAACTCAAAAACGTCTACCTGAGTATTAAGTCTAACTGAAATAATAAACGAGTTTAGAAAACAAACTTTAAAACCCCTATAAACATTTTCCTCAAATCCCTAGAGATATGGCACATTTGAAAGAGCCTCCTGGGCCCTTTATACAAACTCTAGGGCAGGTTGGCTTAGGTCCAGAATGAAGTATAGGAAAAGCTAGGGAGAAAACCTATATGGTACCTGCTTTCATTATCCATGACTCTTGACAACCTGATGAGTCACTAACTTCTATGAATAATGATTCTCTGCGTGCATCCCAGATTATCCTCAGAGTTTCAGTTAATTGTGTGCATTACTTTTGTATCTTACTTAATATGTCATGTGTGGTCCACCCAACAACCCCTTACTTTAAGCCTTTTAGGGAAACTCAGAAAAGTTCCTCCCCCTCACGTGTAATGGCTGATGTCCAGGTGCGCTCTCAGGGTGCTGCTCTGATCCCTCACTGTTTTTCCCTACCACTCTCATCTCTGTCTTTCCCTCTCTCTAACGGTCTCCCCTGGGTTTTTCTTCATTGTTTTCAAGCTTCTTTAACATGTGTGAAGATCTCTGGCTTACACACAAGTATGGGAATTTGCATGTGCCAAAAGCTGACTCTATCAATACATTTGTTGATGAGAATTTAAAGAGGAAAAAGGTAAGAACTCCACAGGGGTAGTGCTAATTGATTTTCTTTATAAACACATAAGTAATTATACAAGTGACCATCTGCTTTGTCGGCATGAAGTTAATGAATACACAAAAGGAATCAAATTTAGAGCTTACTTAAATCTTAAATCCAACTGCCTAGATAGTTGCTTAGATCCATCATAAGGCAAAATAAAAAGTGCCCTAGTCTGCAGGAAAAAGACAAACAAAAATAAATAAGATCCTTTGTTTTTCTCAATGAGAAACAGTGCAAAAAGTGTTATGTTGGTTGCAATCTCTGAAAGCAGAGAACACAGAAACTAATACATGGAATTATTTTCAAGCATGACTTTGATATTTATTTAGCTAAACTGGGCCAAAATAATATAGAAAATAGTTAAATTCAACGTTACTATAGCAATTTAGCTATTTTACTTTAAAAATGTGTTCATTTTGTTTGGCTCAGCATTCCAGAGCACACATAGCTATTTCTTGTAGACAGTCATTAGGAATAAAAGAGCATAGCAGAAATTAATTCAAATGTTCACAGCTATAAAATACAACTCTTAGACTCCAACATTAGAAAGGAGAACTTTTCTATCATTTTTATGTTAATGGATAAACAAAGGTTATATACATATATATATATACACACATGTAAAGATTATAGATATAAATCTATAGATATGTAATAGAAAATTAAAGATTTGTAAGCACAACATTTACTTCACCAGTTCAAGCTGGAACACTGAACGTGTAGGACTGCAGATCCTCATTCTAAGATTGTTTTCATGCATGAAAGGCAGTTGGATTTATACATGGAAAATTCATAATTATGATAAGTAGTATTTCTGGAATTGTTACAAAAAGACCATTGGCCACTAATTAATTCCAAAAATAATTACTGACTTATCTTTGGCAACACATCTTATGTGAGCTGCTGGATATACTCCATCGATCAAGAGGGGTCCAGTCTCTTGACACTAAGAGTTAAGTGAGTAAGTCAGAATTTGTAAGTGCAATTACAAATGCTGCAATTATCCTAGAAGACCAGGGACAAGAGTATACATAATTGGGAGCTCTGTTGGACAGTAAGTGTGTCAGGGAAGGGAAACCCAAGGAAACAATATTTGAGCTAATAGTTGAAGGATGGCCAAGAGTTCAGGGAAGAAACCCTCGATCACACTTTAAGCTAATCGTTGGAGCACTAGGTACTCTCAATTCTATTCCATCATGCATATTTTTATAAGGGCAAATATGTCTTTTAACACGGGAGAAAACATTGAAATCTAAGTCATTATTACACAACAATATTATTTTCACAAGAATATGACATATTGGAGGATGGTAATTTAAAATCCATTTTAACACAAATGTTTAATTTGTATTTCTCCTTCAAGGAAAATGAAAAACAAAATAAAAACTATAATAGTGGGTATTGCTTAGAGTGGATAGAGTACAAGATTTAAATCTGCAGAGGAACCTTAGAGTATTGAGAATTTAAGATTCCCCTACATGTTGTCCCATCCCCACTACTAGTCTTATTTTTCAATAGCTCCCTAAAATGCCATAAATTCTAGGCAAATTATGTTACGTACTACCCCTGATCCTCTCTGACTCTTTCATCTTCATATATGCTATGTTCTTCCTTCCTTCCTGCATTTCGTACTCCACAAGGTCTATCTCATTAGTTACTTTTTCTCATACCCAAAGCCAGATGACCACATTTCTCTATATACATGTTTACGATGACACATAGTCAAATTCGGCTTGTATTACATTATTCTATATAAGTAATTGTTGGATTCCTTCAGTAGAGTGGAAGCTCCTACAGTGAGTGAACTCTGTCTTATTCATCTACTGTATACCATAGACTGCACCTTATTTAATATTTTGAATCAAAATTGATTCAATTAAGTTGAACTGAATTAGTATGCAGCCCCTCACTCTAATTCAAATTTCAGATATTGTGGCCATTTTTTTTTCTCTGAAACCACTTAAGCAAAAAGTTATAGTATGAATTTTAAGCTCAACTTCTCTTTAAAATTTGGAACATTTTACATAATCTCTTTTAAGAAACACTATGTTTCACATCAGTGAATTTTACAAGTAACTCAAATCTTGTCTTTAGAGTTAGTGAGCCATAGAGAAAAGCTCACTGTGTGAGAGAAAACATCATTCATTCCGTCTTTGCCTCACCAAATATACATTATGCTGCTTGCGTATGTCGGTAACCATTCTAAGTGATAGGGATATAATAGTGGACAAGACAGAATGTTTTTCTCCCATTATGGAGCTAAGGGTCTAGAGGCAAACAGAGGAGGAGGAATAAACAGACATATTCATAAATAGCTATACGTAATATGAAAAAAAGGAATAGAGTGTGGATATAGAGAAGAACAGACAGAGAAAACTTTGGATAAAGGTAAGAAAACATCCCTCCATGGTGGGACCACTTAAACAGGGACCTGAACAATTTTGTAATTTGAGGATAACAGGGTAATCTAATGGCATATTGAATAGTCCAACATATTATTTACTAACTTCAGAAGACTATTTGCAGAGAAGAGGTAAAGATTAAGAGAAAAGAAAAATGTAATGGGAAGAAATAAAATTAACAGAATGTACAGGAGCCCTTTGAGTTGTAATTGAAGCATAATTGTTTAATTCACCCGTATAGACATTTGAGCCTTACATACAACCCATTTATAAACATTCTTCTAGCTCCTTCACCTTATTATATACCTTATCATAGGGCCTTCAAGAACTTCCCATGTTTGTACCATTACCTCATAACCTAAGAAAATTTGTTACCATTCTCCAACTGTTGACCTTAGTGATATATTACTCACAATGTCATCCACATGTCCTTGAAGCACTGAATCTGCTCATCTCACATTTCAATACCTGCCTGTGGTTTGCTGGAAATGATGGCTCCTAATACTGCAAGGCTTTACTAAAAATTTGTATATGAGTGTCTCTTCTGGTAGACTATTTCTCTATTTTTCAGAAGTGTTCACAATACGCCGGGCACAGTGGCTCACGCCTGTAATCCTGGTACTTTGGGAGGCGGAGGTGAGTGTATCACCTGAGGTCAGGAGTTCAAGACAAGCCTGGCCAACATGGTGAAACCCTGTCTCTACTAAAAATACAAAAATTAGCTGGGCGTGGTATCGCATGCCTGTAATCCCAGCTACTAGGGAGGTTGAGGCACAAGAATCACATGAACCCAGGAGGTGGAGGTTGCAGTGAGCCGAGACTGCGCCACTGCACTCCAGCCTGACTGACAGAGTGAGACTCTGTCTCAGAAAAAATAAAAAATAAAAAGTGTTCACAGTAAAGGCAAATAGATTTTGTGGTTTTATCTCCAACAAGAAAACATCATTTGGACTTGCTGTTTTTGTTGCAAATATTATAAAAACCAACTCTCTTTCCTCTGGTATATGTAATAGGACTGGAAAAAAGATATAGTGTGCAGAAGTTTAAAGGGCAAACTAAAATTTCTCTAGGTTCTAATGATGCCAGAGAAAACAATTCTGTCCTAATTATATGGGGAGTCACAAAACACACCCATCACTACTTATGGATAAGACTTTTTATCATTAAAATTTGGAAAGAGCATGGATGGCATAATAGGAAGGGAGAGGAGTCTATTAGGAAGGGGTGGGCCAGCCTCTGAGGCTGGCTGGATGTAATACAAAGACATATAAGCTTTATTCTGGACAGGGAAGTAGTACAGTAGAAAACAAACACAAACACAAAGAGATAAATGAAACCCTCCCTAAACATCCTTTCTATAAATATCAGACAACTCTGATAGAATCAAATTTACAAATTGTTATTTTGTCCTTGCCATAGTCTTAGGGCCCATTCAGTGGGCAAAATGCATGAGATTATTATAATCAGCTGTTGTTTAATTTAATAAAAATTAATATGAGAGAAATGTAGATCTTTCTTTTGTGTATTTTCCTTCCTCCTTCTCCCATATCTTTCTTCCCCAACTATGATAATTTCAGCCCAGGCAATCTATTTTATATTTAATATCCTTTATTGCAATAAATATTTTTGTTTATACTCTGTTACCTTTTCACCTAAATTACATGCTAAATGTATTCTCAATGGAAAAAACAGACAACTCAGCACTTTCGTATCTCTGACAAACAAAGCAAATTGCATGTTTTACTTTTTATGGTTTCTTATTGCTTTTTAAATTCTGTCATCTAATGGGACTAATGTTCATGGTTTAGGAGTATATTTACCATAAATAGCTTTAGCAGTTATCAAACATCACCGCTTCATTTTGGCGTTTAACCAACCTCAACCACTATTTATTGCCTCATATACTTCTCTACTGGGAACATTGCACCTTAATTACCCCAATCCCTATCTCTAGGTATGATATAGAAAGCCTGAATGGAAATAACCATTTCTTGTTTCATTTATGTAAGAAGGCAGTACCTGTGCCTAAACGATCAGAGATCAGGGCCATGAAATCAGCAGAGTGTATCTCAGTGACCTAAAAAATCCAAGTTCTATGGCAATGGAAATGCAAACTCTCTTATGTGCAAGAAGATGGGGGTCAGGGTGAGGTTGTCAAATATCTCTTCCAAATGCTTACATCTGTATCAAAGTCTAGTGATACAGAATGCCGCTGGGGAAAAAATAGAGAACAGTGATGATCTGGAAAACTGTTGATTGGCTTTAACTAAATGAACACAACCAAGATCTTGTGCTTTAACAATCTATCTGTGTTTCACCCCTAGTACGCTCACACACTATTTTTTTCCAATGCTTTTCCATAAAAATAATACTTGGCAAGAGTATAATATTTTTCAGATTGTAGGAGATTATCTCATAAATGTGAAATTAAGAAATGGATTATGAAGTTATTACGTAGATTAAGTGTGTGTCTCTCGCCTTAAACCTTTTGCCTAAATTTTTGTTTTCTCAGTCCTTTAAGATTCAGCTCAAAGAGCTCCTTCTCTGAAAATTTTTAGCTATTCGTTCCTGTACAAATAATGGAGCTTTCCTTGGACACCCTTGTGTCTCTTCAACTTCCTGCAGTGAATGTACCAGTACTTACTCTTGAACCCTTTCTACAGGGCATCTTGACCACTTTATATTCAAAGTCAGGATTTAATGTACATTTGCTGAAGGAAAGGATGTTTGCTCTATCGACCAATAAGACAACACAAGGTGTCTCACATGCAGAAATAGGTATGAATATGTACTTTTGCTTTCACACTGCACTACTACGTCCCACTGTTATTAACGTATAGAAATAATACCTCCATTATTTTGTTAAGATGTTGAAAATATTTGGAACTACCTTCTCCACCCTCAGCAACCCCAACAGGCCAGCTGTTCTGCCCCACTGATGAAGACAAGATTTGTTAATGATGTGTCCTGCTGGGATTTGCACTTAAAGTGGTATATACCATGATATAACTTCCTCTTTGGGTTCTGAGTCTCACTGCCTCTACACTAATCCCACATTCAACAGGTCATCTGCCCTGTTCTTGCCTCCACCTTCGACCACTCCACTGATCTAGCGGGTATCCTGCTGTTCTTCCCAACTCTGTTGAGAAATACTTTAGCGCAAGCTTGTGCAACCCATGACCCAAGGGCTGCATGTGGGCCAGGATGGCTTTGAATGTGGCCTGAAACAAATTCAAAAACCTTCTCAAAACGTTATGAGGTTTTTTTTGCAATTTTTTTAGCTTATCTGCTATCGTTAGTGTGAATGTATTCTATGTGTGGCCCAAGACAATTTTTCTCCCAATATGACCCAGGGAAGCCAAATGATTGGACACCCCTGCTTTAGAGCACTTTACTCCTTCTATTTCTCTCCAATGCTTGGCACATGCTTTGCACGTACTTGGTGTTCAGCACATTTTTATTTAAATATAAACAAACTGAAGATAAATACCTCAAACCTTTAATTCTCTCCCCTCTCCCCTACCCTAATTAGTTTTAACACACAGCAGAATTAGTAAGAATATCAATCCTCTATCTACAAATTTCACTCTCTCATTATTTTCTGAGTGTGTAACTTCGAGAAAGTTATTTCATCTTTTTCTACCACAAGTTCCACATTTGTAAAATAGGAGAAATAGTAGGGCATGATTTATAGGGTTTGCCATAAGCATTATTTACATGTAAAATATGGAATTACCAGCTATTTATTCTTTGGACTACTGCTTCACTTCTCTGAATGACAATATGCACATTTTTGAAATTGGGTTATTAATACTAGGATTCACAGGGACATAAAGTAGATTCCTGCTTGCCTAAGATTGGGGTGGGAATAGGAAGTGATTGTGAATGGGCACAAGGTTTCTTTTGGGGATGATGGAAATGTTCTGAAAGTAGATTGTGGGAATGGTTACACCACTCTGTAAATATACTAAAAGTCATAATGACAATCTGAAATGAGTGAATTTTTTGGTATGGAAATTATACTTAAATATGCAAATTTAAAAGGAAATAATAATACCAGAATTCAAATCAGGTCTATCAGTTCAATGTCAATATTGTTTGTTCCTTATATCCACATCCTATAAAAATGAGTTTATGTTTAAGTGACCATACTAATTGACAAAATGGTTTTTGGGGAAGAACTTAGTATAGATGGTACGGAGGGAATCTATGAAGTTGCAACCCTTACCTAATCCTGCAAAAGAACCAGTTTTTATTGTTTTTTTAAATATAGTAGGCGATCTTTTAAAAAGTTTTTAGGGATAATTTGATTTAATAGTCATCTTCTGCCTATGGGTAAAGAAAAGATATTATCAAATTATACGTAGGTAAGAAATACATTTATCTTACCTTGCTAAGAAATGACTGCTTCTTTCTCTCCTTCCACATGACTGCCTTATTTTTATTTCTGAGACAGAGAGGCTGATATTAGTTGTTAGAGATCATTTCTCTTCATAATGCATGGACAGCATTTCAGAAGAACAAATCCCTTACAAACTAGCAGGGATTGAAATAAAAGTATTGGGATAATTTTACCTTTTTCTTGAAATCATCAAAATATTTACTTATGTGTTAAGTACATAGTTGAATAAAGTTTATTTAGAGTGTTGAATGCCTTAACCACATTTATAAAAATGTATTAACCTTTTTATATCATGTGTTTGGAAACATTTTACCTTTCCTTAGATAAATTAAAGAAAAAGGTAATGTAAGCAGAAGATGAAAACTCGGGAGCTCTTGCTAGAATAGAATTTCAGGATGCATTTAAAAGTCCTTCTAATATTTTATATTCAATATCTAAATTCAAATGCTTGAAGAAGACATTTTCTACAAAGGGATTAGGAAAGGAGAAATGATGGTTTTGGATGCATATATTTGAAATGAATGGTGTTTCTTCCTCTTTGTGATAGGAGATTCCATTCCATATCATAAGCTGTGGCCCACACTGTTAGATCTGAGAGTTTTTAAACCTGCATGCTTTTGTGAGTTACTGGGTGTCAAAGGTGCTCCATTAGGGTTGTGTTGCCTCTGAAAAGGTTAAATGCAAGAACCTCAAAGGCTTTCAAAAAGGAGAAAATCTATTGTCAGGGACACTATATCTCCCAGCTCAGGAGAGTCTGCCTCTGCTGATCCACCCTCTTACTTTGAAAGTTTGAAAATCCATAAGAGGTGGATGGGTATGTCAAAGATGTTTAAGACCTGGTATAGGTTGGATTTATTTCTGGATTATTCTGGCTTATTTTCATTGTTTAACACAGGAAAAATGGCAACATCGTTGTCTTATATATCTTTGAGGGCTAGATAATACACCGCAATGAATGGCAGTGTTTGGAAAATGTGAATTCATGTGGTTACTCCACGAAAAAGTCTCTATGTTTTAAGAGAATACATATGAAAAGACAATCATTGTCCCTCTGGCAGTAAACAATTGCAAAATAAAATGTACAACCACTTCCAATTTGTAAAATCAGCTTAAAATAAGATAATAGGTTAATAGAGCAATTAATTTGTCAATAAATAGTTATTGAGCACCAAGTTGGATGCTCTTTGAGAGATATGAGGCATGAAAGCATAACCGTGTATGTCCTAATGCACTGACAATTAGAGTTCATAGATGACCAGGGAGGTGCTGTCCTAGAGTAAGCTTTTAAGGAAACAGGAGTGAAGTTAGAACTTGAGATATAAGAGGATTTAGGTGAATGAAAGCAGGGCTACTATCAAAGGGGAGTAACAGCATGAAACAGATATGGAAAGAAATTCATTTCTTTCCAGGAATTATCATTATTAATTCCTCTTACAGATTCAATGTACTTTTCAGAGTACTTTAATTTTTAGATATGACTTTGGAAAAAATGAATAGTTCAGAATAAAGAGTAAAGCAATGCTCAGAGTGCTTGTGTGGGTAAACGGATAACAAAAATATCTGGAAACCTTGTGAAGACAATATTTAGTTTTTGGAATGAAAGAAGTCCATCAGATGAGGAATTGAACACAACACACTTGGTTTCAATCATACCTATAAAATGTGTACATTAAATAGGAGACCTTTCAAGTCTGTTCCGAAACACACTGCTCTTACAAAGAATTTATTATAACTGCAGTGAACACTTCTTTCTAGGGAATACAATAAAGTATTATGCCTACATTAAAGCATTTGTTCCATTTAATGTTCACTAAAGAATATAACACAAGGTAGTGCAGCAAACAGGGCAAAGAACATGGACAAGACTACATCTATGAAATATTAAACTAATTCATGAGAAACATTATTCAATGTATGCAGAATGTCTCAGGGTTCCCTGTGTGATATATTTTGCATTAACATAATTCAGTTAAAAACGACTAGTAGGATAGGAATCAAAATTTAATCAATTCAAAAGTTTGGCATTGATAATATATCTTCTTTAGTGTTTAGTCATATGCATTTAATGGTAGACTTCAGAACATAAAAACTTACAAAACTCATTTCATTTCGTCTGATATTTTCACCTCTTAAAAACATTCCATTCTTCCAGTGTAAGGACAGGAAATTTTAGGTTAATAAATTTGTGGAGGACATTTCTTTGAAAATTATGAAATTCCTCCCTATCTTGATCAACTTGTACCCTGGTGAATGTCTCTCCAACAGTGACTGTCAATGAGGAATCCTTAATGAGTGGGCTGCTGCTATTGCTCAGGAGTTGCTCATTAGAGGTTAGTTAAGAATCTGCTGGAGCTCTTCCCATAAATGCATAATGTCCACTCCAGAAGCTATCCTTTCACATGTAAACTTTTAACTAGCTCCTTTATACACCAGCTATGACCTTGGGCACACTTCAATGCCCCCAGCCAACTAGCATGGTAAAATAGTTGCTATTGTTTTTATATTTCTGGGTCCCTTCCACATGCTTAGAAAACAAGAAACTAAAAGGGTTATTAAAAAGATGATTTAGAAATCAGCCTAGCTGCTACTCACATACTGTCACCTCTCTGACCTCTAAAAGTTGCAGCACAAAGTTGTAGTGAGTTATTGGAGGCAGGAGCATGACCAAGGAAATAAATCTGCAAGGTCTTTGCTGACCACTGCCTATTCACATCTACCATGAAGCCTGCCAATCAAAAATATTTCATGATCCAATCCCATTCATTTCTAAAAAGATGATGAATGGGCTTACTTCAACTATAAGATGAAAGCTGAGGCAAAATTTTGATGTTGATGTCTACTAGATGGAGCAGAAATAATTAATGTTGCTTTTCGGCAGCATGATTTATCAGGGATGACACAGCATTTGGGTCCTTATGAACTAAGTGATAACAATTACTATAACAAAATTTTGACAACTAAATTTGAAGCAAACTAAGGAACTTAATGAATAAAACAAGTTTCTTGATTTATAAAATCAGACAATCAGGGCCTTTAAAGAGAGTAAGACATTATTTATCAATATTATTTTTGTGCCTTGACACTATTTACAAGGTATCAAAAACAAATATGGTTTAGAAGTATCATATGCCCAGATACTTTCAACATGAACTTTTATTCTTAAGCAATTATGGGAACTGCTCAATATATTCAAATCAAGTTTTGTCAGTCTTTTTCCAAACCTAAAGTCATTATGTTCAATAAGTATTGGAAAGTATTAGCTCTATCTAAAAGATGGAAGCATTACCTGAAAAAAAGCTGAGTTTAAAAACAAATTCAATAAATATTAGAAAGTATTAGCTCTATCTAAAAGATGGAAGCATTACCTGACCAAAAAAAAAAAAAAGCTGAGTTTAAAAACACTAACAGTACCAGATATTCCTCTAAAAAATCCATTTATTGAGAGTTTATTTGTATTATTATTATCTTCACTTCCTGGATGATAACAGATCATGAAATTAAATGTACAATTATTTCCCCCCATTTTTCAATATAAAACTAATTTAGAGTAATTAATCACCATGAATTTGCAATTGATGGAGTCGTGTTCCTCATCTTAATTGTTTTCTAGACAGATGGAAGTGGTATGAAAGCCAATAAAACTAAAAGGCAGGGACTATCAAAAAATTATATAATAGCTTTTGCATCGAAGATACTCTTAGAAAGTTAAATTCTTAACATTTGGGACTGCTAATGAGTAGCACTGAAACTGATGTGAACAATCAGTATCAAACTTTGAATTTCTTTTAAAAAGAACAAACAAAAGTTCTATTCAATCAGCAACATGTCTGCCTCTACTGGCTTTAAAAATAATTATACCAGAGACTTCTAAGTTATAACAGATCTTTTCTAATTCCACAAATTATTATGAACTAAAATAAAATAAAGCTTGCAACAAAAATTCATTTCCGCTACTTTTAATCTCTTTTAAACACTGTTTAATACCTAGAAATTTTAAACTTAACTTTGAAGGAAACCAGCATTTCTAGATAACATAAAATGAATATTAACATTCCAATACTCTAAAATTAGAGAAATACTGTTAAAATTTCAAGGATTTCAGTTCATCATAATACAAAGTAGAAATCGTCATACGAAAGTAAAGACATTTGGAATAAAACACAAGATGTAAGGTTGAATCATGTCTCCACCCTATAAGTATTTCCTGGTATCAGTACACATATACATCAATACCGTATAAATGACTATGGACCTTAGGGTACGAATAAGATTCACACATACAATGATGCTTTTTGAGGCACTCAAGGCTTTTCCATTTTTATTGAATAATATCCTTCTAGTATGTTTCTGAAAGATTTTGACAAGAATGCTTTGAAGAAAAATGTTTTCTTTCTATGTCTAGTAAATCCAAATTATTATAAACTGAAATTTTGAACAATTTGATTCATTGGAATTTTATTCTAAACAGAGAGCTCTTTGTAATATTTTGAATTATTTTTTACATTCATATAATCCTATTAGTGGCCCACCTATCTGTACTCTATTTTTCAAGATCTTAGTTACATTGGACAATGATTAATATTGCAACTCTCCTGTTTACCACCCAACCACCAAAATGGCTTTTATCAGAGTTAGAAAATTCAAGTATGGTGCTCTATCTTCACTTTCTCTGACTGGCAACACTGTGGTTGCATTCATGTGTGAAATATTTTTAAATCTAATTATTCTTACAACCAGTTAGGAGAAAGGGTCATTATTCTAGCTCATTAGCTGTTTAATTGGAAGGCATAACAGTGAATCTATGTTTTGACTCTCTAATTTTAATATCCAGCACTGCCAGGAAAAGGGGATTGTAGTAATATCATGATTCTGAGAACCATGAGTAAAATGCACACTTCTTCCTGTCTTTCCTTAAATGGTATGATATTCTGCAACTACTCTGTGCAATGTCTTACTTCTTGAGTTGAGACTCAATATTACAAATTACATGTGTATTTTTTAACATCTGCAAAAAAGCATACACTGAGTACATGTACACACTCATGAATATACACTAAAACTATCTGTATCTATCATTTTTTGTTTTCAGATCAAGAATTGACTTCAGATGATAAAATAAAAAAGAAGTATTTATTTAAAAATATTTCTGAAAGATAAGAAAGGTTGGCATAAGGGCATCATTGCTTTATTGTTCAGTTATTGTAATATGCATATATACATATCTATCTCCATGTACCTCCATGTAACAATGACAGAAGCAATAGCAGAGTTTTGGGCTTTGTCTTAATATAGAGGAGAGTGAAAAATTAAACAAAATAATAATTCATGTCACGGCACTAGCAGCAGAAAGAGTAATCCTGAAATATCTAAACAATAGGATGTTTGTTGAAAGCCATGTCTGTGGTAGAGTTTCATTACAAATTTGACTTTCATTATATAACTATCCCTTTAAGCCGGTCATTGTATAATGGTATCGAATTAGTTTCTTACCACTGCTGTATCAAATTACTACAGACTTAGTGACTTAAAACACAAAATTATTATCTTACATTTCAGAAATCTGACATGGATCTCAGAGGGCTCAGATTAAGGTATCAACAGTGTTCCTTTCTAAAGGCTCTAAGGAACAATATGTTTCTTTGCCTTTTTCAGTTTTAGAAGATCCCCCCTTTCCTTTGTTCCTGGCCCACTTTCTCTCTCTTCAAATCCAGGAATGGCTAATTGATGCCTTCCTGCTTGGCCTCATTCTGATCTTTTTCATAGATTGCCACATCTCCCTCTGACTCTCTTGTTCTGCCCCTATCTTCACTTTTAAGGACATTTGTAATTATTTTGGGCTTACCCTGACAATTCAGGAAATTTCTTTATTTTAAGATCAGCTAATTAGCAAACATAATTCCATCTTCCACCTTAATTCCCCTTTGTCATGTAGCAAAATATTTAAAGTTTCCAAGAATTAGGATGTGGAGATCTTTGTGGCAGCAGGGAGGGCATTATTCTGCCTACTACATGTTACTCGTTTGGCCTCAAACTGTTTACATTTGCCACAAATGAAAAACACCTTCACCCCATTCCAAAATTTTCCAAATTTTTAACCTATTACAGCATCGACTCAAAATCCAAAAACTTATTTAAATCTCATCAACTCAAAAGTCCCAGATCCCTTTGAAATCATTGAAAAGTCTCATTGAAATCATCTAAATTAGTACAAGTGAGAGTCTCGGTATGACTCATCCTGGATCAAATTTCTCTCCATCTGTGGGTTCATGAAATCCCTCAAAAAACAATTTGCTCCCAAAGTATAATGGTGGTACAGACACAGGATAACAATTATAGATATTCTGGTTCCAAAAAGTGTGAAATGAAAGGGAAAAAAAGAATCACCAGTCCTATGCAATTTCTAAATCTCTTCAAAGAAACTTTTTGTATGACTGAGTATTCTGACCTTTTGATATTTCTGATATACCAGTGAAAGACTGTCCAGATGCACTGTGGTTTTTCTCTAGACCATGCTTTCCTTCCAGTGAATCTCAACTTTTGCATTATGTGCCATTAAAGTAAGCCAAGAATTAGTAAAATCATTAAGTCCAGTTTTTTGTTTAACAGTTCTTTGCTTACTCTATGTCTCTCCTCTCACATTTTGCTATAAGCAGCACATAGGAAACCAGGCCACACATTCAACAGTTTACATAGAAATCTCCCCATGTACATATCCAAGTTCATCGCTTATAAGTTCTGCTCTCCTCATAATTGCAGCACACAATTCCTCTAAGTTTCTGCCATTACATAACAAGGGTACTCTCTCCCCCTCTCAAATAACATGTTCTTAATTCCTTATGATTCTTCATTAGCAACATCTTTAATGTGTGCATTTCTTCTAACAGTCTACTTACAAGGACTTAGGTATTCTCTAATGTGGTATGTTTTCCCTACCACACTCTTCATCTCCTCTGAGTTCTCACTATCAGAGCCATTGACTTCCGTATTTCTACTAATAGTCTGTTCAGCACAATCTAGTATTTTTTATCATGCTCTTCAAAAGTTTTCCAGCCTCTGTTTTTTGCCCAATTTCAAATCTACTTCCACATTTCTCAGTGCTTTGTTACAGTGGTATACCACTTCGAGGTACTAAAATTTGTATTTGTTCCCTATTTCTGCTGTTAACAAAGTACCACAAATCAGTGGTTTAAAACAACACAAACTTCTGAACTACTTTGGTACCATGGGTTTCACTTAGCTAAAATCAAGCTGTCTGCAGGGTTATGGTCCCTTCTGGAAGCTCTAGAGGACAATGCATTTTCTTGTCTTTCCTAGCTTCTAAAGGCTTCTCACATCTCTTGGCTCATAGATCTCTCCTGTCTTCAAAGCCAGCAATGGTGGGTTGATTCCTTCTCACATCTCATCATTCCAAACTCTGCTTCTGACATCAAATCTGGTTCTCTTCTTCTACCTTTCACTTACACTTTAAAGGACATTTTTTATTATATTGAACACACCCAGATAATCCAGGATAAGTCTCTCTATCTCAAAATCCTTAACTTAATAATATCTGCAAAGTCCTTCTTCCTATGTAAGGTAATATATTTATAGTTTTCTGACCCTAGGACCCAGATATCTTTGAGGGGCATTTATTCTGCCTACCATGAGCATAGACAGATAAAAAAAAAGTTTAAAAAATGTAATATATTCCATGTTGTACAGGCTAGGATTTAATCAGAAACTAAATTATCCAAATCCAAAATTTTTTCTATTTCATGTACTTATCTGTCTTTGAGAGCAGCATGTTCTTTGAAAAAAAGAGTAAAGTGTGGACTAAAAAATATGCTGTGATTCAATTCAAATCTGAAAACCCAAAGTGGAAGTCATCCCTTATTCACTGTCCATAATTTCACAAAAGCACTAACACACTGTAAAGCACAGTTTTTTCTTATTGAGATTTGAGTATCATTTCCTTTGCTCTTTTTTGGCCTGCATTTACATTATTTAGACTGAAATAATCCCAAATATGAAAAGAACAGGGTATCTCTGACTTATAACTTTTTTCCTCCTGTACAATATTGGCATCCAAACTGATTCACAAGTGAAAATCTACAGACCATAGCACCTCTTATGAGCATATAGAGCAAAAATGTTGCTGTGGCTACTTTAAACATAACACAGATCAAGTGAGCCATATGTTATTTTCCCACTAGTTCTAAAAACAGAAAAATAATTAAACTATTTGGAAATAAATGTACACTTTGATAGGTATTAGCATAATCTTTGCTCCTAATATGGTACCTCCTACAAGGAAGAGGAAAGACATGAAATACATGGACATGGAAACAATCTTCCTAGCAGTCTAGGAGCTGGTTCCTTAAAGACCCTTCAGGATAATTGTTCCCACTCTTGACCAGTAGCTTCTCGTGGGAAGATTTTTAAACATTCTGCTTCTAGTCCTTTCCCTAGAATTAATAAAACAGAATCTCCAAAATTTGGTCCCCATGTAAGTGTTATTTTATGAAATGCAGTAAAATCTGGTTTTACTTTAAGATATAACTCATTTCAAAATGGAGTTAACTGCCACTTACACTGAAAATACCATAGGTGCTTTTACATTTACTTCATATATTTTGTCTAATTGTGAATTTTATGGACTAAGGAGGATTTAATGTTCCATTAGTGGTCAGTAATTTTGCCAGCATAAAGTAACAAATAGGAGGATTATTGAATCTGGAATACAGCAGGAGAACTTGAAAGAGAAGCTTCTTCTATCAGCTTTAAATAGAATCTTTGTTATAGGCCAGGATTCCATAAATTTCCACTGGGTTATATAGATAGTGATAGGCTGCGTAGGGGTCAGCTCCTCATCTGTATTTTCCAACATTGTCTTGTCCATTCCCTTGTATTGATGATATTTTTTTTCACAATTTTCCTTAATTTAACTCCCTTCTTTGCCATCAGTGAACAGGTTTCTCAATATGTTTTATTTGCAATATCCTGAAGGACAAGGATCACACTCCACTATTCTCTGTTATAACACAGCCCAGAACAGAGCTGTTTCCATTACTGTGTTAGGCCCTCAGAAGTAATAAAATACATTGAATGATTTCATCTCTTTCTAAAAGCCTGTCTTTCCTTTTCCAAATTGAGTTAGTGGTCGGCTAATGGTAATATTTTTCTGTGATAATAATTTATTTAAATTGTTATTTCATCAAAACTGTAAGTTTATGTGTAGAAGTTCTAATTCATCCTTGCAATGCATGAATAATAGAATGTAGCTGAAGAAATGTTTGTTGAATGAATATGTTGAGAAAATGGTTCCATCTCTCTCTGTCTCTCTCTCTATGTCGCTCTCCCTCTCTCTGTCTCTCCTTCCCATCTTTTCTCCCTCCACCCTTCTCCCTTCTCTGTATTTTTAATTATTAGGTCAGTATCTTAAGACAGTGCTTAATGTGGTTCACTTAAGTGAAATTTGTGTTTGTATGCACACAGGAGTATGACTGAAATATGGCTACCAGTTATAACTCTATCTAATCTAGCCAAAATGTGCTGTAATTTAAAAGAATATTAAGTCAAAGAAGTTTGAAGAGAATTTTACCACTATAAATTCTTCCCTCTGGTAGAGCTCAAGTCATAGGGTAGCTCTCCTAATATTAGTTTAGAACTAGGATCTTCATAAATAAATCACTGATAATTAATGTGATGAAAATCACATTAATACTCTTGGGAAGACAGTTCCTCTGCCTTATACAGGAAGACCTTTGAATGATGACTTCAGAATTGGTTTGTCCAAAGAGACCTGACCAACAACAACTTCATCTCCCCCACCTCTGAACCATAGTAATCATTGCCACTTACTGAAACTGACATTCATTCACTTAATCTTTTACTCAAGGATTGACTGTGGCTTGTCTTTACAAATCTGATTTTGCAAATTCATGTTCATAAACGTTAATATATGTCTCCATTAAATACGACAAAGCATGTTTTCATAAGGACACAATAAATCTCAATTTGTACATGCGAAAAGGTTTTGCATGCGAACTTTTTTCTTTAACAAGGAGTAGGGTTACAAAAGGATAACAAGCCTGTAAGAGGTAAATAATTCTATATGATAAAATACTTGCTTATAGTTAAATTTATATATTTTAAAAGATTAGTATTTTTGCAATCATGACTACATTTTTTGCTAATCAACATGTTTGCTTTACAGAGCTTTATAAAACAATTTGTGCAGTAATTAAATGTCTAACAAGGATTTTTATGACTGTTTGCTGAACACAAACGTAGTTTAGCCTAGTAGTCTGGAGTTATTAAGTGAGCCATCATAATTTAATGTTTTAAATGAAACAAATTATAGACCTCTTCTTAGCCTTGTACGAGGCTCATATCACAATGGAATTTATTTACTTTAAATGTAACACATTCCACATTCCCAACAACCCGTTTGCAAACACATCAATAAAACTCTTCTTTTTCATTTAGGTTTGTTCTTTAAGGCAAACGGTCCAGAGCAAGTAGAAATAAAGGGCAAAATTGATTTTCTTATAAGAGAGAAGGAAAAGGGAGGAACTAATATTTATTGGGCACCTACTGCACGTCAGCCAGTCTGCTGGATATCTTATATCCTCTCATTTAAGTCACACCATAACCCACAAAGAGGCAGTTTATCCACATTTTATAGATAATGAAACTGAGGCTTAGTGAGGAGGTTAAATAACTTGTCCTAAGGTTGCTTGTCTTTGTCCAGTAAATGGCAAACTTGGGTTCTAACACAAATCATGTCTTTCCTTCTCTCCAACTGCTTCACACTTTTTCTTACATTAATGATATCTGATGTGCACAAATGCACAAATCCAACCAGCACCTGGACTCAATTCTATAATTGCCAACAGTATTCCCAAACAGGAAATTTGCAACTGTTAAGAAGCCATTGCATTCAACTGTCTTTTACAGCTCATGCACAGGTGCTCACATTATAAAAGGGAACATTTAATCCCTTTATCAACAGATACTGATATTGATATTGATATTGATATTGATTAAACCACTTCCATCTATTCTTATCTGAAACCAGGCAAACTAATCATTTCCTTATGAAGGATTAGAATTCACACAGGACATCATATTGCATGTAGTTTGGAAAGGAAAGAAAATGCTTGAACAGCATTTAAATATATTACATACATTGTACCAGATGCTTTCATATATGATATCTGCTCTAATCTTCCCCAAACTCTCAACTCATGCCTTAGCACATACACTCATGTCTTGTCATGCATCCTCTTTCATTCACCAAATTATCTTTATTTTACAGAAAAGTAAATTGAGAAAGGCGAAGTTAATGAACTGGATATTAAGAGAGCTCCAAGAAGATAACTCAGGTTTTTGCCATCTGAACTCATGTTGTGGGGGTTGGGAATGGTGGGTAGGAGGGGAAATAGAGGATGGGAAGGGATGACTTCTTTTCTTCAAGTACCTGTATTACTTTTATATTCGTAAATGAAATATACTTTCTAAAAACATCCTAAACCTCAATCATTGTTGCAAATTTTAACTGGTTGGTAGGCAGCTACTACAAAAGTCAGGGCTAATTAACTCAAAATTATATGCCATATATATTTTTTAGTTCTGTTCTGGATTTCTCTCCTACCTTTCTGAACCAATGCTTGTCATTTCCTCTTTGGATTCTCATAACCAGAGGGTGATGTCATAGGCCAGTGGTCAGCAAATTGTGACATTTGTGCCATATCTGATCTACTGCTTTTTATCTAGCCCATCAGCTAAGAATAGACCTGTACAGTTGGAAATGTTGAAAAAAATTAGAAATCAAAGGAAGAATAATATATAGTAATATGTGGAAATTACATGAAATTTAAATATCCTCATTTATAAGTACATTTGAACATATCACAGTCACACTCATTCCCTTGTGTGTTATCTGTGGCTGCTTTAGTGTCCCAACAGAGGCAAAGTTGAGTATTTGTGACAGAGACTGTACGACCTGTAAACCCTAAAATATTTTCTCTCTGGTTCCTCACACATAAAGTTAGGCAACTCTGTTCTAGGCTCCCTTCTCTTCTTTCTCTACATGATCAGAGAATAACCACTTCCACCAGGGCTATGATCACTGGGTACATAGCTGCTCCCCTTCTCTCTCCAAAACCTCAGGCCCACAGAATGCCTCCATGAGGATGGCTCAAGAGACTGTTTAAATCCAGTATGCCCAAAATGGAGATTACTAACTTCAGCCTTAAACTAGATCTTCTTCCTGTGATTCCAAGTTCAAAGAAAAGCACCATAGTCTGCTCAATCACCCAACCAGATATCTGGACATCTTTGATTCTTTCCTCTCCCTCTCTCATTCCCCATGCCCGAATAAGTACTGACAACACAAACTCCACACCCTAAGTATGCTGCAGATCTACTCTGATCTGTAACTGCACAGATCAGCACTACCTAAGCTAATGCCTATGTTAGTTCAGCGGTTGCCTAATGAAGCTTCCTGAATTCAGGCTTGTCTCATCCACTTTATTCCCCTACTGATCAGATGATCTTGAAAAGCTTTTGATCATGTCACCTAAGGTAGTACTAGGTAAGTTTTTCTTACCTTTGCTCATAATGCTCCAGGGATTCCTTATTGCCCTTTGGGTAAATTCCATACCCTGCTAACAATTTCATATATCTCAACTCCTTAATTTACACTCAGGGTTTTGAATGAGCTATGCTCTCTTAAAACTTATTTTCTCAAGGACTAAGTCTAGTCAATTGCCAAACCAGACACCAAACACATGCTCCCTAACCCCTCAAATCTTAGACCAAGTTTGTCCAACCCCCGGCCCACAGGGCACATGTGGCCCAGGAGAGATTTGAATGCAGCCCAATACAATTTCATAAACTTTCTTACAAAATTATGAGATTTTTGTGATTTTTTTTGTTTAGCTCATCAGGCATTATTAGTGTTAGTGTATTTTGTATGTGGCCCAAGACAATTCTTTCAGTGTGGCCCAGGGAAGCCAAAAGATTGAACACCCCTGACTTAAATGATTACACTATGCGCTCCAAGTGTTTATTATTCTCTTTTGTAATCTACCTCACTGGAATATATGATCCTATGAGGTCTGGCATAGTGGGTATGTATTAAATGAATATGTATTGAATATAATTGAATAGAAGTTTGATGCATCTGCCAAAATAATTGTAGTCAAAACAAATCTTTAAAAACCAAACAAAATCTCTATGCCTGTAATTATTTCCTTCAGGAAGAAAAGTTAGGGTAAAGTTATTTTGCTCTTGCATCCTGTGAAATTCTCTGCAATGTTATTCAGCAATGCAGATAAGGATAATGTTAATCACAGTCAGAAAGTGTCATTATTTCCATAGGAATTCATCTGTAAATGAGAGACATCTTCACTCTCTGCACTAATTACAATTAATTTACTATTTCTATTATTAGTCTAATACACTATCATTTTTCCATAAAATAAACATTAGTAGGACTATATTTCTATATATAAAGTATTGAGTATTAAAGAGCATCAGCCTAGGTCTTTGGAATATGAGGTATAATCTCCTCTTTACAATGATTATGTAAAATGTACATGTTCTGTTTGAATAAAGGTATACTCCTGGTAACAAGTCTTAAAAACTATAGAGACCAAATGTAAAATGTGGAATAACAAAATAATTTTTCTAAAGACCTAATACTACCTTTCATACAGTAAAGGTCCTTCAACAAAATATAAAATTACATCATTAATTGTTCACATTTATTAGTTCAAAACCAGATACTTCAATAACTAAATTTCTAATATTTTCTTCACATCCTACTACCAAATTTACTTGCCTATATGAAAAGTAGCTGCTTCTTTATTTGGGATTGTGCCTTACCCTTCCATACTCATATTCATCTCTGACCACAGCAGTCTGTTTTTATGTAAATCATTCTGGAGCAAATTTGTTATAAACAAAGTAACCCAAATGTTATGGTTTGGAAATGTGTCCCCACCCAAATCTCATGTTCAATTGTAATCCCCATTGTTGGAGATGAGGCCTGGTGGGAGGTGATTGGGTCATGGGCAGATTTTCCCATTTGGTGCTTTTCTCCTGATAGAGTTCTCATGAGATCTGGTTGTTTAAGAGTGTGTGCCACCTCCTTCCTCTCTCTCTTCCTCCTGCTCCAGCCACGTGCACTGCTGGCTTCCCCTTCACTTTGGGCCATGATTGAAAATTTCCTGAAGCCTCCCCAGAAGTCAAGCAGATGCTGCCATGCTTCCTGTACAGCTTGTGGAAGGAATCGTGAGCCAATTAAATCTCTTTTATTTTTAATTTTCCAGTCTCAGGTATTTCTTTACAGCAGTGCGAGAATGGACTAATATACCATCTCTTTTCTTCATTCTTGCCACTCTCCTGTACCTTTCCTTTACTCGCAAACTTTCAACCAGGGAGATTTCTCTTCACTGCTTGTAATTTATCACCCCTCACTCATAAATACCTTGAAATGCAATTTGTTGCCCTACCAATTCGCTGAAGTCTCTCTCCCCAAAGCCCTCAGGAAATTAATACTGGCAAGTTTTATTACCTTTCCTGGGTCCTCCAATTCTGCCTTTCCCAGTAGGCTTTGCCTAGCTCCTTGCTTTGGGGTTTCCATCTACTTCTGCCAATCCTCTGCCTCTTCTGGCTTCTCTCCACTAACTTCCTCATTTCCACTGACCCCAAGATGATGCTAATTCTCAAGGTTCCATCATTTTCCCCACATTATGTCCATTTTCTTCTTCTGGAAGATAGAAACAAATATTTTGGCTGAATAGTCTCTTTTATGGAGATGATTCCTGAATCTTCATTTCTGGCCATGCCTTCTATGAGCCATTTTCTGTTTGCCTTATACTTCTCTGTAGAACTCCTGTGGGAATATCACATTCAATATGTTTCCAGCTGGAAAACCACCCTTTTGCCTCTACTGGCTCTGCCTCTTACATTCCTCTTTTTATTTGTTGATAGCCAGTCATCTCCTACTCACCCCAGCTCAAGGCCTTAGGGTTTCCTCTTCCCTGCTCCTGAACTATCTATATATTCAGTAAGTTACCAAACAATGTTAATTCTACTTCCAAAATATGATTTGTATCTGACCCTCTCTCACCTGTCCCATAACCACTACAGTGGTTTAGGATATTATTACTTTCCTAGACCATGGAAATGACCTTCTTCATCTAATCTTTCCTCCCACATACTGTGTTATACACTACTTTCAGATTCATTTTTCTAAATCACAATTCTTGTCTTGTCGGTGTCCATTCCACAAAAACTTCTAGCTCCCTGCGATTATACCTTTAGGTAAATAACATAGCTCTTTCACCATTCCAAAAGCTTAAATTGGAGATTATATTTTATCTTTCAATCTTCATTAACAGCCAGCACATTACCTTGCATATCTTATTCAACACTTAATGTGGATCTGCTGCATTATTTGAAAATAGTCAGTTCTGCTATAGATAAAAAACACAAAAGGGTGGTTGAAAATTGTATTGAGCATAGATAATAGGAAAGGTATAGGCTTAAGAAATATAGGCAAATCTCATAGGATATGTTAACCATAGTAATCAACAAACTAATACATGAGACAAAGGCAGAATAGGGTGTATTAATAGAGTAAGTAATTTATTAAACTGTAAGACATGCCAAATAAATATATGATAGAGAAAATTTGAGGGAACAAACAAGAGTATTACTTATAAATAGAAAGGAATGGAGAATTTGATTCAAGATCCTATGACCTCTGGACTGACATTTCTGTCACATCTAATGTGATACCTGATGTGGCTCAACTTCATATAAGGTGCTTATAACCAATGACCCACACCACTCTTTTAAAGAAGCACAGGGTCACGTACATGAGGCCACAGCCATAGTTCCATCATAACTTCAGGAAGGGCGTTTATCAGTTTAAATGAGAGTCTCCTTTAGAGATATCTGACACAGACAGATACTTTCTTTTTGGGAATTCAGGAAAGTGTTAAACTCCTGTGCTCTCAATCTCTCTCTCTTTCTGTTTCCCTCCGCCTCTATTCCTCTCTCCCTGATAACTCTCCCTCCACGTTAATCAAGAAGCTTACTAAAACTGGTGATTTACCTTAGGGAAGTTCAGGGCAAAGCAGAAAACAGCTTGTCTTTTCAATCACAATCAAAACTCATGAGAATCAACTGGTAAGCCCATAGGGGCTTGACTAAGAAAATTGTCTGAATCAAATTTCAGTCTGAATCTAGCCTCTAGGTACTGCTCTGTAGGCTTCAATTAAGGGTTTAATTCTCCATTCACTGCTGTAAATCATAGCTGGTCTCAGAAAAGCATTCTTAACCACAGCCCCCTCCCACGTTATCACCCTGAAGCAATAACATTTCCCAGCTCGGACATAAAGCACTGACAGGTTTTTGCAATAAAATGTGACCTTTACTGTTAAAAAATGTTTTATGACATCTGACAAACCATTTTCTTAATAGGAAGATATATATTCAGTTGATACATTAAAATACTGTAAACAATTTAATTTTGTTGAAGATGTGGACCACAATATGTTCCAAATGAGGGACATTTGCTTTGATACCTATCTACATTTTACAAATAACAATAGATCATACTTTCTGGAGGAAAATAACTATTCACACCAACAGCATCCTCAAAAGGAACATTAGGCTTATCCATTTAGAAAGAATTTCTGTATGCCTGTAGAAACATCCATGAATTTCGAGTGCTCAAATCTTAATACTCCTTGCTAAGGGTACTTTGAGGAAAAAGCAACAAAGAGAAAGTGCCTTAAAGTAGAATCTACTTTTACACTGTTGCTTTAATTCATCCATCTCATGTTTCATGGGTCGTTCAAGTGTACATTAAAATCACAGGACACAAAGTTCCACATCAAAAGAGGATAAGAAGGAGTCCTGGAAAACTGTATAAAACTAGTTTTTAAATAGCTGCTTCTTCTTTAAAGTGGAACAAGGGAACATTCAGTAGTAAGGATTTTTGTTGGATTTCATCACATAAATGCTGATCAAAGGGGCTTAGAAATCTCCGAAGAGGAGTCTTTGGAGGTCTCTGTAATACTTTTTCTCTTAATATTTATAATCATACTCTCCAAATGCATTTCTAAAGACAAAAATAAAAATTGTCAGACCATGAAATGCAATATTTATGATTGGAATTTTCCTAAAATGTATATATATGTAAATAGTTTTTGAGCATGTTCATATGACATCATTTGAGGTGTCACCTTATGAACAGAAACACATAAGAAGATACAGTGTGTCACAGAATTAAATGTTAGAGGATTCTGATAACCGTCTACCCTACACTAACACCAAAACATTTATTAACTCTAAGATAATATATGAATGGCATCATTTCCATTTCTGCTTCAGAGTCACATGAGGTTAAGCATAAAGGCAAGTTGTAACAATAATGATAATAATAAGTTACATAATCTCTTCATCTTTACCTAAAACATGAGAGTCTGCTAAAAATTTTGGCCTGGAGTAATCACGGGAGGGATTATTTGAAATTAACTTGACCTAGGAGTGATTTATGGCAACTTTAACATATTCTTATAAAGAGTTAGAATTCAAATATTTTCTGAAAGTAAGAGAGGAGCTGAACAAATCATTCATTCATTCTTTGCATTGCTGAGCATTCTTTAGGAAGGGACTATGTCTTATTTAAATTTATATCCCTGTAATCTAGCACAACTTGGAGGCAGGATGTGTGTTCTGCAAATGAATATAATAATTTTTAAAATTTATCTTCACTTGCAACTACATATTTCACTTGTATATGCAGAGAAAAAAGTTATATTTATGAACAAAAATGTCTATTAGTAAGAATAGAGCCTCCATTCATAGTATGGGACCACCATCAATATTTTCATAAGTTTCTGTTTGGATTTATATATAAGGTAACAGTGTTATTATTCACAAATTCAAAGTTTTTTTGAAGTGCTAAGAGACAGTCAATGATAAAGCCTTCTCTGCAGGGGAGAGAGTTTGGGAGTACAGTTTCCTTGGTTCGCTGCAGGATTTCACAAATCTTTCTCTGCGAGGAATTTGTCTTCAATGATCTCTAGTCTATTACATCTGCCCAGAAGGCCTCAGAAATGCTTTGTTGCTGATGGTAGGTCATAGATTCTAGAAAAAGTGAATTAGTTTAATGGTGAAACTAAAATATGTTTGCCCAAAGCCCCTTTACAGAACCGTATTACTCGAATATTTAAATAACATAATTATCTACTGCTTTGACTAACACTTTGAATGGAAAATCACCCAGAAATGCACACAATGTTCACTGTGGCCTGAAACACCACTTTTTCTCCTCTGCTAGAGTTCCCACCTGCTAAACATTCTTTATTTTCACAACATGTAATCAAAACATACCCTGCACTTTGTTCCCTATCGCTTGCTGTGCTTATCTGCCACACGATATGCATACATCAGATTCATTACAGTTTTAGTCTGGTGCTTGGGGCTCTCTACAAACTGATTGAAATGTACATTTTCTCAACCTCCTCTGTTTGGGAAAACTGCATGATAACCAAAAAGTCTTATCCATCATTTCATGGTTAGACATTTTCTTGCCTTTGCTTATGCTATACTTCTTACCCAAGATATCCTCCTTCCCTTGCTTCAGAGAGCCTAGCTATTCTTCAAACCTCATTTCATGTCAAATATATTCAATTTAGTCTTTCCTAACAGTTGGCGACCACAATAATTTTTCTTTTCATTGATCAATTGTACAGTATGCTGTTGATACTATCATCTGTATTAGATTTGAGGTCAGAAAATTCGAGTTTAAGATTTGGGCTTGGCACTTAATAACTATTTAATGCTATTGAATTAATGTATCCTCTCTCTTCCTCAGTTTCCTGCCCTGTACAGCGGGTAAAACAATCTATGAGACAGGGCTATTGCTTACATGGAGAAAGCCTTTAGAGTAATATTAACAAATAGTAGAGTCTAAGCTCTATTCCTATTACCCTTTAAAAAATATTATTTACTTTCAGTTTTCTAGAAGTTTCTTTAGGAATCCACTGTTTTGTATAACTATAGCACCATGTGTAACACATAATAGGAATGTAATAATAGGGTTTTTTTGGTAATCTAGATAGCACATATAATAAGTAGTATACATGTATAGTGCCTAAAAAGCAATATCTATGTAGTTGTAATCTAGATGCTGTAGTCTCACATATAGTAGAGAAAATATTCTATATGGCTTATAATCTATTTAGTAAATAGTTCTAGCCTTAAATCAGTTGTAATGTTTTTCAAAAATACCTTATAGCTACTGATTGATCTAATTCCAATTTAATTCACAAATTCCATTAATGGAAATATTTTAACATGATTCAAAGTTGAAATGCCATTACATTTAATGTCCATTTAATTAATTTTTGCAAAATAGAAATTACCACTGGATGCTAGATGATATAGCCCTGAAAATGGAGTAAATTATTAGACTTCAGCACACTATTGATGCTATTTGAGACAGACAACTGTTACATGAACCATATAGGAACATAATTTTTTCACAGATATAAGCACTTTATGGATATAATAATTATTTGTTTGTGTGTTGAGTTATTTTGCCACTTTGAGATTTTTCTCAATAGCCTTATGTAATGGAAATATCTAAATACTTAAATATATGTTGGAAACATAATTTACTAATAAGGAACAATCTCTTTATCTTGAAATCTCAAATTTCAACTAAGTGCTCAGGTTTGGAAATCTTAACCAAGTATTCAAAATGTGATTTTTCATACATCCAATATTTTCTTTCTTTCTTTCTCTTTTTTTTTATTTTTTTATTTTTTCTGAGGTGAAGTCTCACTGTGTCGCCCAGGTTGGAGTGCAGTGGTGCTATCTTGGCTCACTGCAACCTCCGCCTCCCAGGTGTTCACATGATTCTCCTGCCTCAGCATCCTGAGTAGCTGAGATTACAGGCATGCACCAACATGCCCAGCTAATTTTTGTATTTTTAGAAGAGACGTGGTTTCACCATGTTGCCCAGGCTGATCTCGAAGTCCTGACCTCAGGTAATCCACTCACCTTGGCCTCCCAAAGTGCTAGGATTACAAGCATGAGCCACTGCGCCCAGCCTCTTTCTTAAAATATATGTTATAAGCAGATATCTTATGTTTTAATTTGCATTTTACACAACATAGCTCTGAACTAACAGGTTTTCAACAAGCACATGAAATAATCAGCCATCCTGTCTATAAAGGATAATCAGAATTAAGGAGTATCAGGGCATTAAGAAATCAGTTTCAATTTGATTCCTTTCCTTCCCATATTAATTTTGATTTGCTTACAAACATTGAAAAGATTTTGGGTTATTGTTAACATTTTGTACACAGCCATGTTGGGCTTAACTTTATTATGAGTGGTTAAAAAAAAAAACCCCACAAAGAACATCAAGACATAAAATTCACAACTGCATCCCCACATGTGTCAAATAAAGACTTGTTCTGGGAAAACTGCTGCTACATGTCTTCCAGATTATAGTTATGGTTTTAACTACAGTATTAAATCTGTCCTCTCATTTTTGGAAATAAAAGGTGCTATTAAGTGAATAGCCTCTTCTGAGTGTGTTAAAGTGTGTTTGGGAACACACAAGTTCACAATAAATGATCCAATAGAAAAGAAAAGATGGCTGAGTCTTAGGGTCATGGTTTTCTGTGTTTCTATGGAAACTTAGTGGAAACTGTGGGGTTTTTAAAGGGATTTTTATTCACATTTCGGTCTTTGTCTTTAAATAATCACTTTGTTACCATTCAGCATTAAGAAATGGAAGTAGCACAAGGGTTGAGTTTGTAAAAAAAATAAATAAATAAATAAATCAGTTTTTGAAGTTAAATTAAAGGTGTTGAAATAATTCAGCCCAATGTAATAAAAGCAATCACTCACCTCTAATGCTTCAAGTGTTTCCTCTGCAATAGCAATTTCCTTTCTACCTTGGAATGATCAGATTCATGAAAAACATGCCCTGATAATGCATTGTTCAGAATTCTATATTTTTGGTGGGAGATTGACTCCACCTCCTCTCCTGCTCCTTCTGGGTCTGACTTTACCCACCTGAAACTCCTGGATACTACACTTACCACAGGTAAAACAAGGAGGCTTTCCTTGTTCAAACCTAATGTATATTATACTTAAAATTTTATCATTTTTGAGCTTACTGCTAGTGCCTTTCCTAGCTTAGAGTTCTGTAGAAATAGTTCTCAAGTGGCTACTTCCAGTAGGGATTTCAGAAGAGAATGGAAGAAAGAAGGATTGATGAGAGAATGCTGGATCCAAAGTTTGAAAACATGGCTTTCCCTCTAACTGGGAAAATAATAAACCTATGCACTCTTTCCTTCCTTCAATTTCCTGACTTCCAATATTGCCCAGATTCATGAAGTATGGAGTTAAAGAGAAGTAATAAATAAAGTTGAATGGAAATAAAATGAGTTACAAAGCTTTATTTTTAGAGAGGTATTCAATAAGGCCTGAGAAATGAGTATATAAGAAGAAATAAGAACAAGAAAACCTCAAGATGGAGGAAAAAATATTTTGTGAAATACTTGAGGAATAAACCAGTAATGTAATATAAATAATAATTTAGAAATGAGGGAGTTTTTTTTTCTAATCAATATAAAACTTTATTGACCCACATTTTACCAGGATGCTTCCACTTCTTGGAGATAAAATGTGATCACAACATACCTTGTGCTCTCAAAGATTTTATAGCACACTTCGAGAATCAATCATATATACACATTAAGCCATTCACTGTGAGACAGCAACCAGAAAGGAGGTAGAAAAGAGGCGTGGATGAAACACAAAGGAGAGAACAATAAACTCTACCCTGAGAAGGAGAATTGGGGAACACTCAGATATTAGTTCAATTTGAATTTGAGGTTAACAATAACAGACTATGACCTATTTTATTTATTTATGTATTTATTATTTTAGGGACTGGTTCTCGCTATGCTGTCCAGGCTGGTCTCAAATTCCTGGGCTCAAGCGATCCTCCTGCTTCAGCATCCTGAGTAGGTAGGACTATAGGTATACACCACCATGCCCAGCTATTTTTATTTGATTTGGCATATTTGTATAGAGTTTCTTGTAAGCATGGGGTTTTTGAAACTCTCAACCCACTTAATCCTTATAACTATTTTGTGAGTTGGTAATATTATCAGCCCTATTTTACAGAGGGTAAAAAGTGGGACCTGGAAAAGGTTAAGTAACTTGCCCAAGATGGTGCAGCTACTAAGTGGTAGAACTAGATTTCAGACTTAAGCAGATTTGGCTACAGAGTTACATCATTTTGTCCATAAGTCATCAAATGCTGATGCTCATCTGGTTTAAATAAACTTTTTTTCCACCACTTGAAATAATATTATAATTTGGAAGTATAAAGTCTGAAAGTTTAGGTTTTCATATGGCCCACAGTCAATAAGCACTTTTCAAGAAATATTGAAGAAAATAAATGAGATTATTAGTACTAAAATTTCTCTACTACATCAAGAATGCCTGAATTACTTCCCATATGCCAATATGTGATACATTTTCTCACATTTGGACTCAACTCCACCCTAACAAACACAGGCAAGATGAATCAAACTTAAAAAAAATTACTTTGGCTTTTTTTTCTCATTTGGAAGGTAACTATTAGAAAAGACCACCAAATATTATACCAAGTATTATCATTGGGGAGAGAATTCTGATTTTTAAGAAGTAATAGGCATTTAGTGGCATGATTCACCAAATGCAAACCCTGGGGATCCAAGTCCAGCCCTAAGATGACAGTGAGCAGCCACACTGGCTGATTTCTTGCTGGGAAAGAAGGCCAGTGCTGCTGACTCGTGTCCCAGGTGGCGCAGCCGGAACAATTGTATCCTTGGAGTATAGTTGTTAAGAGCAGCTGCTGAGGAACACAGGAGCCTGAGCATCAGGCCTGTGACACCAGACAAGCTCAATCACTTCTCTCTCAGCTTTTCCTTATATTAAACAGAATAGTCAGGTTGTGAAAAATACAAAATGCAAAGAATCAAAATCATGGTTTTGTTAAAAAATTAAAATATGCAATAATGGGAATTATATCATCTATGCCCAAAATAAAAATATTTAGGGTGTCTTATCTAATATGTATGGGAGAAGACACTATTCCATCTTTTAAAACTTTTGGATGGGCTTTTTTTTGTGGCCAGGATGAGGACATGAGATGTCTTGTTCTTCCCCACGATTGTTATCTCTGCAAGATAAGAAGAGTGTTTTAACAAGGAATTCTAAATTTCTATGTAGAGATAAATAACAAGAATCTACAGATTCTCAGAGAAAAGATTTTGGGGTGATGAGGTGACAGTAAATGATAGAGAAACTACAAGAGGTAAAGAAAACTGGCTCAAGGTAGAGGTTCATAGGCCCATGCGGCATAATGGTAAACACAGCCCGAAGGAACAAGATGTCCAGCAAGAAGTTTCTGGGGGCACAAATGACCAAGGAGTTTATGTGTCTAAAGAAAAACATTGAGTTCCATCTTCTCTCTTCATCTCACTACTTCCAACCCTATGATCATTGTGGCACTAGTCCATTGGTTTTCCTGGCCCTTCCTCATATCCAGCTTTCCTGATTTTTCCTCAGCTTATTTCCAATTAATTTCCCTTCTTCTCACTTATCGGTCCTTCAATGTGCAGCCTCCATAATGCAGTTGTTAAAGTCAGGAATCAGAAAGAGGTATCTTCTTTTGGAGGAATGCAGAATGTTTTATTGTGCTTAATAAACATCCCATAATGCCTCTGAAAAGGCTCTTAGAGTTTATCATGTAAGTATGTGTAAACAGATAATATTTAGATATGTATTTTATGCTTGATAGAATATAATTTCTCTCTTGAGGAATTCAGATGGAGCTATAGTATATATTTAGTTCTTCTAAACTGTAATTAATTTCCTGATAGAGCAAGGAACTTGAATGAACTATCCTACAAATATATGCAGTATGAAAAATGTTTTAAAGCAGGTGTCTTTTAAATTCTAATCATTTCATTAGGAAGTTTTGCTAGACTGTACATTAAATGGAGCAAAAAATCTTTATCAAATATCATGACGGGTCTGTAGTAATCACCTTTCCAATTTAAATCTGTTCTGCAAACACAAACAAGCAAATTCAATGAAACTATGTTGAGCTATGTATTATAAAGACATTGTGAAAACTATTTGGATGAATCTTCTGAACTTCTGTGCTATATTTTATATTTTCCACTATTATTCTCATCTCTATTTTCTCTATGCCTTTTTTTTTTTTTTGAGATGGAGTCTCATTCTGTCTCCCAGGCTGGAGTGCAGTGGTGCGATCTTGGCTCGCTGCAACCTCCGCCTCCTGGATTCAAGCGATTCTTGTGCCTCAGCCTCCCAAGTAACTGGGACTACAGGTGTGTTGCCACCATGCCTGGCTAAGTTTTTGTATTTTTAGTAGAGACTGGGTTTCACCATGTTGGCCAGGCTGGTTTTGAACTCCTGACCTCAGGTGATCCGCCCACCTTGGCCTCCCAAAGTGTTGGGCTTAAAGGCATGAGCCCCTGTGCCCAGCCTCACTCTTCTTTTTCATGATTCACGCTGCCCTGTTTCCCCTCTATCCTCTCTGATCAATACTTCCTCCTCTTCCTCTCCAATCTGAACCTTCGATTTTGACATTCTTTAGACTTTCATTTTCTTGCTAGGTCTCCACTCTTAATCACGCTCTTCAAGAAGATCTCATAAACTCTCAAGATTTCACCTCTGAGTTGATGAATCTTAGTTCATTTGTTCCAATTTAGACTTCTCAAATTTTCACACCCACCTCTCCAACTTGCTGCCAGGCATTTCTGCATTTCTCATTCCTGAGTCTAACCAATCACCAAGTCCTATTAATTTTACATCTGCAATATTCCTTCGACCTGAACTCCTCACTCCCCAAACCCTCTTATCCAACTACTTTTACCAATAACATCTCCGTCCTTATCATTTATCCTAGGATTACTGTAATAGTTACCTAATTGGTCCCTTCGCCAATTTTGCCCCTCTCTGAACCATTCTCCATATAATTGCCAAAAGCTGTACTTTAAAAGAACACTATCTCTTCCTGCTTAAGATGACCTTTTACAAACGAAAGTAGTTTCAAAATTAAATACACTGACATTAATATATTTTTTATCCTATCTAAAGAATACATGTGTATAAATATATTGCCAAAATGTTCCGCCTAGAGTGCATATCTGACCTTTTTAGTCCCTGCTTACAATCTGTCAATGGTTCCTAGAGGTTTATAGAATAAAGTCCAAGCTCTTTAATCTGTTGTAAAATGAGGCCCTGAAACTTTTCAGCTTCTATTTTTGTCCACTCCACGTTAAAATTTACAACTCAGAAATTCTTATTTACTTCATTGAAGCTCCCAGTATTCAGAGGATTTCTTCTCACATCCAGCCTGTGCCTATAAACTCTCTCTCTACATCCTCCCCATCTCTTCACCTAGTTTTTCTTGGAAAAATCCACTTAAGTCAAAGTTTAACCTTCTCAGGATGTCTTCCTGGCTCCTCAAATAGGTGGATTATCTGCATCTTCTAACATCTCCCATATTAACATGTGAGATAACAATCTCTGTCATGGCACCATGTAATATTGTACTATTTGTATAACTTTCTATATCCGTCATCTCTACCGGACTCTGAACTCATTGAAGGTAGAAAATCTATCTATTCATTCAATCAATAATCATTTGCTGAGTACCTGAGTTAAATACTAAAGAAAAATGTTAACTAAGTATTTTTCCCATACATGAAGATTATTATATACAAACTTAAGGCACAAATTGAGTATATTCCATTTTCTCTGTCTTATACTATGAATTTACATATTTCCATTATTATATCTTATTATTTATACATTTTCTTATTTAAAAAGGTATCCAATAGAAATGTCCATCTTCGTGTGTGTGTATGTGTATGAGAGAAACAGTTTGCCTATATGCTTTGAGATTATATGTGGGCTATGCAATGCCCAGTTTAACTGAACTTTCATAACTCATTTAACTCATATCTTCAATCCCCCAAGTTGTATCTGAGTGTGGTTTGACTATGTAAATATAATACTATGCATATATGAAAGGTGAATTGTGATTGAACGCTTATCCAGGACAGAACTGAAGTCACTGAACTATCCCACTCTCCTCTGGAGCTCTGGGCATATATATCTAAAGCCACTTGTTTGATCCACCTCTCAGTGTATCCTGCTCATTCTCCCTTACTGTCTATAGGGTTAATTACTCTTTAACCTACTACAGGGTGATACTATTAATTAGTCTTTAACCTACTACTAGTGGTTTCAGCTCTAAAGAAATAAAAAGTTGCATTAAAGTAGGATTCCTTATATAACTAACAGGGTACTTGGTGTATCTAGAACTGTCTCAACAAGAGTGAAAATGTGTCATTTTCCAAGTGCGAAAATGTGTTGCTATTAGTCAACCTTTTCACATAACATATCTCAAAAAGAGGCAAGTTAGTCCTTAGAAATGAACCTACTTAGCATCCTTAGAAATGGATCCTCTATGGGCATTTTTCCTGTGGCTGTGGTGTTGGACAGGAAAACATTTCTAGCAGTTAGTCTCTTAAAAAACGGCTCACGCCTGTAATCCCAGCACTTGGGAGGCCGAGGTGGACGGATCACGAGGTCCAGAGATAGAGACCATCCTGGCCAACATGGTGAAACCTCCTCTGTACAAATGCAAAAATTATCTGGGCGTGGTGGCGGGCGCCTGTAGTCCCAGCTACTGTGGAGGCTGAGGCAGGAGAAACGTTTGAACCCGGGAGGCGGGAGGCAGAGGTCTCAGTGGGCCTAAGTCGCACCACTGCTCTCCAGCCTGGCGACAGAGCAAGACTCCATCTCAAAAACAAACAAACAAACAAACAAACAAACAAAAAAAAAACACAACTTGTCTCCAGCAGCTTTGCTGGACTTGAGAAGTGAAAATACGAGGCTCTCCGATAAATTTGAATTTTATATTTTTAAAAAAGTATTTGTAGTTTATTTAAAATTCAAAGTTAACTGAGTGTCCTACATATTATCTGTCAATCCTACTTCCTAGATAGTAGTTGAAAAGACTGAATACTGTATCAGAGTTAGGTAAGAAAATTAAAAATCTCATTGTCATCACGAAAGCAATATTCCTTAACTCCACTTTATATTTTCTTTTCTGCCTCTGTGAAGTATTTTTTTTTCCAATCTCTGCCCTTCCCTTTTGCCTAATCTGATTAATTTGTCCTTCTGTGATTTTTCACATTGCAGGAGAGTGTTGATCTCTCGTTAGCTGATGATAAAGGTCAGTTCCCTTGTTGGCTAATAACAACTATCTCATTTCAATAAATATAGTAAAGAATGAGAGAGTAATATGAAGCCCCTGTAGTTTTCTATTTTAGGTTTCTACTTTTCGGAATGTTATCCCCCAGTGATTATGAGAGTGTATAATAATTTTCCCATTATCCCAGACACTGTCTTCTCATGGATTTGGGGTGGAGAAAAAGAAATGTCAGGCTAGGAGGGAGAAGAGTATTCAAATAATCTTCCTATGTTGTTTTCAGTAAACTACCCTTTATTTGATCTGAGCTTCATATATATCAAGGATTTTGCAGGCTTGACATGTCTTACTTTGGCAGTAATTTTCAAAGGGGATGTAAATAGAATATTCAGGATTATTTACATGAATTACAACAAAAAGGCAAGCTATTTCAGTATGGACCTCCAAAGAGAAATTATAAGAACAAAACTCAGAGGGAGTTTTCTCCCTCTGAGTCTCTGCCACTTATTAATATGTAAGCATATTCCAGCAATCATTTTCATTTCATTATATAAATATAATGAATATAAATATTATATTGAATATTACAATGAATACAAATATAAAATATCGCCCCTTTTCAGCAAATTGGGAATAATACCATGTAATTCATTTTTGCCTAACAAAGACAAGGAACCACAGAGAAAGATAAAGTGTCTACCAAGCTAGATCTTTTGTAAATACCACTGTACTGAATATAGCAGCTTTCCTTAAGCCTAAGAACAGATAATTCTGTTTCAGGCAAGAGATAAGCTCAATTTGCACATAGATAGCAAGCTGTACTTTAAAAGAACACTATCTCTTCCTGCTTAAGATGACCTTTTACAAACGAAAGTAGTTTCAAAATTAAATACACTGACATTAATATATTTTTTATCCTATCTAAAGAATACATGTGTATAAATATATTTAAATACACAAACATCAAAATGTACAGAGCATGCAAATTAGGTAAGCAATTATTTATGTGTCAAAAGTGAATCACCAAAGGATTCACTACAGGTTTTCTTTGAATTTGACACTTAATTTTTTAATATAATTGAAAATATTTTATATCTATATATCTGTTTCCATTGAAAAATAACTGCTTCATAGAGCAAGATTCACTCATGTTCATTTTTAAATTTTGCATAAAGGATATCAGTTATACTACTTGATATTTAGAAGATAAGGATAGGGTCCCTCCATTAACTATGATTCATGAAAACATAATTACATTAAATAGTTATTTCTTTCTCAGCAATCAGTCCTACATAAATTTTCCCAGCTACATTTAATCTGAACACTATTAGTTGGTTTTAGTATATTGCGTAACTAGTGTTGAATTTTGCATTGTAAATAGTACATGAGAAATTAGAATAATTATATGATTAATATAAGCCATAGTGAGTGAAAACTCTACTAGTTAATGTGAAATATAATTGGATAATACTCATTCATGCTTAGATTTAGACAATACCTTAGCCATCAGTTATTCTAATATTCTTCCATATCAGGATACCTTCGCCTACAAAAAAGCTAGTCATGGGTGATCAAACTAGCCTTTCAATAATAATGCTTTGTTAACATTATTAAAATATCAATGTTTAATGAAACAGTCCAAGTAGCATATTTGTTCAATAGTTACTGACTTATGGCCGGGCGCAGTGGCTCACACCTGTAATCCCAGCACTTTGGGAGGCTGAGGAGGGAGGAACACGAGGTCAGGAGATCGAGACCATCCTGGCTAACACAGTGAAACCCCGTCTCTACTAAAAACACAAAAAATTAGCCGGGCTTGGTGGTGGGTGCCTGTAGTCCCAGCTACTCGGGAGGCTGAGGCAGGAGAATGGCATGAACCTGGCAGGCGGAGCTTGCAGTGAGCCGAGATCGCGCCACTGCACTCCAGCCTGGGTGACAGAGCAAGGCTCCGTCTCAAAAAAAAAAAAAAAAAAAAAAGAAAAAGAAAAAGTTACTGACTTATATACATAAACGCATTATTTTTGTCAACAAATTTTGTGTGCCTTCTATGTTCCAGACACCCTTCTAGGCACTGGAAATACATTAATAAGCAAAGCAGATAAAAGCTATTAAATTCATGGAGCTTACATTCTTTTGAAGGGACATATGGAGCCAGGAAGACCTAAATGATAGTTATTCAATCAATATTAATTTTAGTTTTTTTCTGCAACTATTTAAGAATCTACAATATCCTTTGATAGATACTGTAGAACATACAGAAAATTATAAAACACGGGCTACCCTCAAAGTATTTGTAAACTTATGCATAAGACAAACATAACTATAAGATATAAAGAAGAGTAAGGTGCATAGACCAAAACGTCTTGCAACTGAAGAGAAGCAAAAGATTATTAAATTTAGAAGGGTTGGAAAAGTCTTCTTGGAAAATATCACAATGTTCCGATGGATTTTGAAAAATTAGCATGTGGGAATAAAAGTATCCCATGCTTCAGGCACAGAACAAACACAAACAGGCCAGGTCTTACATTTAAAACACTTTGAGGGAAAGAAGAAGGGCATCCTGTCAAAGACGCATCCCATTCATGGACAAGTGTGGTCCAAGACTGGACAAAGAATGGTAGGTTGAGGGATAGTTATCATGCATCTTAAATGCAATAGCAGGAGATTAGTTGTCACTCTTTAGAAAGTAGGGAGGCAATGAAGATACTCAAGAAGGATTGTGACATGTTAATCTGATTAAGAAACCATAAATTTAAATTTAACTGGAATAATGAAAATTGCAAAGTTTAAGCCTAGTTAAGAGCTCATAACATGTTTAAGAATATATTTTGATATATTCTTGATGAGAAGAGGGCTTTCTTGTATTACTTGGCTTTTGATATTATCCAGTTTTGGTTTTATCTCTCATAGGCAGGTATGCTTTGATTGCATATCACATGAGTAGCTTCATCATATATCCAAAAATGTTTATTTTGAGTTGCTGTCAGAAAAAAAGTAAAGTGTCAGATGTGTTTGGCATCTATGTGGATAATGATAAAATATGTACATTTTAACAATTTCTCTTTTCATATTATATTAAAAACATTACAGCATGATTTTATCAGCCACTCACTCATTAAAAATATTAGTCTTTATAAGAAATGGAGCAAAGTTGAAAATATAATTTCAAATGCCTTTAAAAGGTTATTATTCATATGTAATATTTATAAACATAATTATGAGGCTTGGTTTTATCACCAGTAAACAATAATGATAATAACCAAATTTCAAGTTTATATGAGGATCAGATACATACTCTTCACCTATGTTATATCTCTCATAACAACCTTGTAATTTAGCTATTTGCACTGCCATTTTACAGATGAAAAAGTCTTCTCCATCTCAACCGCAATACTCTCTCTTCTCTATCACAATTATATTGCAGCTGTAAATCATACAAACATTGTGGGTACAGAGATGAAAATAATTATACACAGGAAAGATAATGAGAACCCAATGTTTTAAAAAATATTCAAGACTTCAATTTACAGATGTATACAACGCTGGAAACAAAAATACTCCAAATAATCTCTCACCAATTATTTCCACATTTTGAACTAAGTGTGTGAATTATTTATATGAATCATATGAAACTATGAAACAAGAATATGCAAGTTGACAGAATGAAAAATGAACTAGCAATACAAAGTACTATCCACCTGGAATTCCTGTTCCTAACTTACTCTTAGCCTCTAGGGGAAATTTCATCTTCTAAAAATTTTACCTTTCCAGAATTTTAAGTGGATATATAGTTTCCAGGCTATTATTACAGTTCAGTTATGTGCAAAATGCACTAATATGAGAAGCTAAATATCAGGATATGCTAAATGTTAATTCATTAAAAATACAATTTTTAATTTAAAATAATAATTTGTTCTACTGCAACTGGTCTTCCTTAAAGAAAATATATGATTGCAATAACTTTGTACAGAAGGCCAAAAATTCCATATGGATTTCTTTGAAAATTTCTCTCATTGGTTATGAGAGAGACTAATGATTTTTTGATTAATCACTAAGTAGATAAAATCTGCCTGAATTAGAGAAACTTCTGTAATTACCTGTTCTTTAAGCAAAAAACTGAATAAGAAGACTGCTCATCTTTAAAATGAAGTATAAATATTTCATATTTATCTACAACTTCTATTTTCAGAGACGAACTCATTTTTTAGACTTTGGCAAAAGTATTTACATGCTGCAGCTGAAGTGTTTAAAGAAAACAATGAGATTGAGATTGGAAAATACTCCATCATCATTTTGTGATGTGATAGGTGCTGTTAGTGACTCCTTTGAATCTGGACTTCTCTGTATGTCTCATATAATAAAAAATAAAATTGGCTTTTATTTTTTTAAATTTGGAAGGTAACTAAGGGCTGAAAATTATACTTCTTAGAAGTATAGCTAAAACCTGAAGAAAAACTTCCAAGCTCTCCTTCAAAACTGCTCAGGTATTATGGAAAGAACATTTGGATTTGAGTTTAAAGATGTGAGTGAAATCAGGATCCAAATATGCAATTGTTAACTATAAGAAGATGGCTAGATTTCTTTCTATATGTGAAAACCCCTATTAGTTAATTCCTTGCCCCTACAGCATGCCACTAATACTCACCATAGACACTTCTTTCTTCAAAGTAAAACTCTGTTTTTGTTCAGGTAGACAATGTGTTAAGCCCAAAAGACGTATCATAATTGGTCTAAGAAAGTCATGACTAGCATACTCACCCTTTCCAGAAATTCTCTTTTTAGCCTCTCTTGCAGCTACGGATGAGCATGTGACCCAATTTTGATCAATGGAATATTAGCAGAAAATCGATGAAAGATTTCTAGAAATTTTTCCTTCCACATAAAAGGAGAGAGCTACCCTAGACAATTTCCTTCTGGCATCCCTTCTTTCCTTTTTTCTACTTTGAGTAGAGAAGCTATCTAAACCTATGACAACCATCTTGCTGCCAGCGGGTGAAAAACAAGAGGACGAACACTCACTGACAATGGCAGAGCAAGCAAACAGAATGATTGTGGGTCACCACAGAACCCCTGTGCCATCTCCACGCTGATTTCATCCAGGTATCTTGTTTTCTATGATAACTTAATATTTTTTCTTTGCTTATGGCATGGTGAATAGGGGTTTCTGTTACATGTATCTAATATTTGGGTTTCTTAGTTCAGAGGAAGTACCTAGTGAATTGGTTGTAATTTAATAAATTCTTATAAATTGTTTGTTTAAAAATATGTACTTTCTGCCAGGTAACTAAGCCTACATTTTAAAAAAATTGCTAGTTTTTGGATTTTTTTGGCATATTAGTATTTTCATTTGTATTATGTACAGTGGTTATTTGTTGATGTGACTACTTCATGATAATTCCTCAAGAACATTTCTGAACATTGCCCTCAAGGTCCATAACTTTGTGGAAAAATAGCTCATAAGGAAATTGCTTTTTAAAATTAATAGATATGGTAGAAACAAATACAAGAAATCCAATGCTTTCTAGGTACAGCAGTGGGAACAACATAGGAGTGGATTAAAAGTATTGCGATCTGATCCATTTGAGAGTTGGGGTAAATTTGTAAGGAGATTTGTGTGTGTGTGTGTGTGTGTTTTTGTATGGGACTCTTACTACATATTATATAGGTTTTAATGGTAGGAAAATAATAGTTCAGTGAAAAAAACTCTGTGTATCCAGAGTTCTGTTTATATGAGATGGTAAAATCTGATTAAGTTTTCCACTAAAATAGATATTAACAACAATTTCTAATCTGAGTAATTCTATTTTCAGTTTTCCTTGTGAATTTCTGGATTTAAATTATTTTTCTGCAAAATCACCATCATAAGTTTTCCACGTTTTTCTTCAAAATATGTGTAACAAAATAAAGATCCTGAAATATACCATCTACAGCCTAAGAACACCAAAATCACATAGAAGAGTAAAGCCCAGGTACATAGACCCTGCGTGATCTCCCATCTACAAATCCATGCTCCACTTTTTTCAGTACCTCCAAAGTCTCCTGTCTGGTACTTTCACATTCTATAAGGCATAATTCAATTTTTTTCATCACCCAAAGTGACGATTGCTTTGAAGTCTTTCTCCATCTTGTCATCATGTCTACATTTTTCTACAGTAATTAAAACTAACATTGTGTAGAATTATATTATCCATTTTAACTTTCCTAGCGAACTATGAGTTTCCTGAGAACAAGGCCAATTTTTCCTTCTCGCCTTCCCCCAATTCCTAGTTCGCTGTTTTTTATGTTCCTTGAGGGCAGCATCACTTTTACTGACCACAAAATGTGTGAAATAATGTTTTATATAAGCTATCACAAAAAATTAACCTTTATCTTACTTTGATTTAACACTTGGGGTGCAAGGAATGGAGAGTTAGCTCCTTTCTATTTTAAGATCACCACGTTCTCTTGAAAAGGCAAAGGGAATAAACGTGATAGGCAAGATAAAATACAGTAGTGAAAATGTCCCCCTCTCCTTATAGTCCACATCACATATCCATTGAATGTGTGACCTAGTACTAGAAAACCAGAAAGGCAAGGCAGTGGACACAGAAGAAGCCATCAGAGGGAGTAAACCGGATTTCCAAGAAAGTGTGCATGTGCGTGGGTTTTAGATGCACAGAGGTGTGTGTAAAAGAGTAAACCTGTGTGACAGCTGCATTAAAGATAAAGATCTTGAGGAGTTTAGCAAAAGAAAAAAAGATAAGGTTATAGAGCAGTCATAGATGCAAGTGATCAATTTCTACTTAGAGTGTGGGAAGAATTTAAAAGTGGCTTTCAAGAAGATATGGTGCAGGCAATACACTTCTCCTTTTATAATTTTTCAAGAGACTTAGCTGCCTTAGTTTATTTGAACTGCTATAACAAAAATGCCATAAAATGGGTGGCTTATAAGCAACAGAAACTTATTTCTCACAACCTAGAGGCTGGGAATTCCAAGATCAAGGTGCCAGCAGATGTTGTCTGCTGAGAGACATCTTCCAATTCATAGATGTCATCTTCTATGTCCTCACATGTTGGAAAGGGTCATTTAGCTTTCTGTGTCCCTTTTATAAGGGCACTAATCTCATTCATGACAGCTCCACTGCCGTGACTTAATCACCTGCCAAAGGCCCACCTTTTAACACTATCATATAGGAGACTAGATTTAAATGTATGGATTCTGGGTATCACAAATATTCAGGTTATAGCACTGAGGTAATGATTTAAATTCCTTTTCAATAACTTTTGGCTGTAAGGCTGGTGTTTTTTTGATTATGACTTAATGTGTGAAGCTGGCTTTAATGTTCAACCCAGCTTTATTTGGAATCCACAAAGATAAAGTATAAGACGGTAATGGATTATGCAAGGTCAGCATTTTGAGGGGCCACTTGGCCTCATGCAGTTGTAAAATACTTCAACTGATGTATAGCTATAGCGAAGGGTTCTTGTTACAAATTTGTTAAGTGACAGCACTGCTTGCAAAAAGAATCAGTTCTATAAACATAGAAAGAAATAAGCACATCATGCTTATTTTAGGGTATAATATTATTAGTTAAATGCTGTAAAAACTAAAATGATTGTTAAATTGAATTAATAAAAGATTCAATGAAGCTTAAAAATGACTTTCTGTCCTGATTTTGACACAACCCTGTGTTCTAGAAAATAATTCACTTCTCTAGGTTTCAGTCTCTTCATCTTAACTTATATATTAAATATAACTAAATATAATAAATGAAACCAAATATATTCAAATATTTAGTAATAAATATTTAGTAATAAATTTCGTTAGCACTTAAAGTCAGTTTCCTTTCAGGGCTACAATTTTATAATTGGATAAGTGAATCGATAACTGAAAATAGGAGAAAATAGTTCAAGAGTAAAAATATTCTCTCAGATGCCATGTATCTTCCATCTTATGTATACCAAAATGCTGCTAAAGTACAATGAATATTTGTAGCATCTATGTGAATTAACCAAGTTAGCCAAACTTTAGGTACTGTGGTTAGTTAGAATATGTAAATTTCAAATAGCAAAATAAAAAAATAGTTTTCTGTTCACAGAGAGCAACAAAAAATAGGTGCGATATGCACATATAAAAAAGCTTTTTTTTTTTTAAATCAGCAGATGGACCCCTATATTTTAGAACATATCCACAATGGGATGTGTATATGTTTTTAGCAAGATGTGAAGCAATGCACAAGAGTATAAGTTACCAAATGTGTATTATACTACGGTATACTCTTTAGCACCTTCTAGTTTTTAAAAAGTCCCTTAATAAGAACCTGTGATATGCTATTACTGTAAGTAAATTGATTTCAAGGGAGTAAGTAGTTCAGTAGACTCCATAGTTTATAGTTCCCTAATAATCATTAAGTACTTAAAATATCTGGTATAGTTTACATAAACAACCATTTAACCTAAGTGTGTGCATGTGTGTATCCTTTAATTTTTTTCATTATATTTAAGAAGAAATCAATATCTAAAATGACCATACAGATGGGTCATATTTAACCAATGACTTAAATATTCTGAGAGTACCCATAGGGTTATATAGGCCTGAGTTAATTACTACCTCTGGCCTTAAACTGTACTCCAGTGGCTTCTAAGTTTATTCAGGTCCCAAATTTTCCCTTTTTGAAGTAAGAAAATACCTTTTTCAACATGTATTTTTTTGAACTGGAAAGGAGTTTAGTTAATGCTAACATTTAATGTTTAATATATGCAATGCTACATCTTCAACCATGTATAATGTGATTATTTTTACAAGGAGATTAGAAAACCCCTAGGTTTATTGCTAAATTGCTGAGGATAGCATTTTTGGATTAAAATCCAACCCCAAAAAACAAAAGACATTACTATGTCAAGATCGCTCAGGATCCGATATGAAATTAGTTTGTAGTTCCATTCAATTCCTGGTGAATAGTCCTATATGTCAACAATTGTGAAAACCAAGGTGACATTAACTGGAATTCAGTGTGGGTGCCAGGTCTTAGTCCACTTAACTATTTTTTGTGTTCCAGACTTATTCCTTCTAAACCCAAATAAATAACATTTGTATTATACTGACATCCTCTTTTGCAGAAGTTCACAGAGTTCTACAGACTTCTTTTATTTAGTTTTATGCAGAGGATATATAAATGATATTAAGGGAGAAATTTATCAGTTTTGTGGGATATTGATGGGCCAATCAAAGAATCCAGCCTCCTTGTTCTCAGTCACACTAAGACTCGGTAACAGTGTTTACCCAGATAACAATCTCTTCATTTTTACAGATGAAGGCAGAAAAGGAGTTTAAAGTAAACCAAAGCAGAAGTAGAATGTCCTGAGTACATTCATGTTAATCCAGGGAGCAAGGTAAAGCTGTCACTTTCATTATTCACATGACCACGAAAATAAATTGTATTTTTTTTTTTTTACAAATTCTATTCTTCCAATGTGATATTAATTATAACTATAGGCATTTACCTTTATGGTGAATCTATTTGTTCCACTAAATGATCCATAGGCCTCCTACTATGATGGAGACAAAAAGATCTTGAATACAAAATTCAATCTAATTATTGGCTATGAAACTAAATGTTTATATTATCTCATTTACACATAAGTTTGTCAGCTCTACATTACCTATTCCACAGAGGCCTTACAAAGTCATGGAAGATAGCAGATGTAAACTTCTATTTTATTTATTTATTAAACTTGTATTTTAAATTCAGAAGGTGCATGTGTGCATTTGTTACCTGGTATATTGCATAATGATGAAGTTTGGGGTATGCATGACCCCATCACCCAGGTACTGAGCATAGTACCTAATAGTTTTTTAACCCTTTCTCCTCTCCCTTTCTCCCCTCTAGAAGTCCCCAGTTTCTATTGTTGACATCTTCATGACCATGAGTACTTAATGTTTAGTTCCAAAATCTGATGGAGTGACTTTATAATCGCTGATCCTTATAAGTGTCTATTTGTATATTTAGACAGTCCACTGGACTATCACAGTCTACAGTTTGCTGTAATTATCATTGCAAAAAAAAAACCCCGGTTTACCAACAGTCCTGCTGTATTTATTTTGCCTGGTACACAACTGGGATTCCTAATACTTGCAACTCCTCTATTAGAATGTAAGCACTTTGAGGGATGATTCTTTATGCATAACATCAAAAATTACCTATTTCATAAGAAAACCTTCACACATATATGGTGAAAACAATAATCGTTGAAAACTGGATTTCCTTGTAAAGCCTTTCTTTCTTACTTTTAAAATAATATAGGTCCATGATTCTTTAGTCAAATGCTCTTGACCTATTTCAAATATGAGAAAGGAAATTACATGTATTTGTATTTATAAAGAAAGCATTGCATTTAATTTTATGATATAATACATGTGCAAAAAAAAGAAGCAACAGTTTACTTTTGTGTACTATTTGGAATAGCAATTAAATTTTTTAGCAATTAAAATTTTAAGGTAGATTACTTGACTTTAAAATTATTTAGAAAATCATATATGGTGCTTTTCAATTGAAAGACATGAAATGTACAGCTAAATAGATCTCCACATTTTAAAACTTAAGTGAGCTAGTATGTATTTTGAAGGACAGCAAAATGATTTAATGTCAGCATACACAGAGCTATCTACTGAAAAAATATGCTACCACAAAAATAAGAAAGTACATTTTAAAACCATGTAATTGCCATCAAACTAAGAAGTTAGAAGTTACTTGTTTAAAGTTGAATCTAGCTCGATATAAAGAGTCTATATTCCAATTCTGAAGCACTCATTTTTTTAAATATGGCATTCAGAATAAGTAAGACATGGTGTACACATGTAAATAATGTATCGACAACAGATTGAGTTTTTATAGGTCTTGGCTCCCTTTACAATCGTGTCATGAGAATAAATCACATGATGTCACTTTTGCTTCTTACAAGTCTCCTCTGAAAATGAAGCATCAAAGTCTAATATTCTTTCTTGTATAAATGCTCTCACTTTTTAATGTTTTGAAGAACAAGAATAAGCTAGAGAAAATCCAGCTGTCTTTTACAGACCTCTAATAATGCCAGGAAATGAAGAGTGTGTGGTTATTTTTCAGCCCATATTCCTCTACCACACAGCACCACACTAACAGTTACCTGCTAAAAGGTGAAGGAAGAAAGAAATTTGCTGGAGATTGGATCCAGAAAATATGTTTTCAACAAAAATTTCCAGTGCTTTGGGGGACATTATCAAGAGTGCCAAATACATTTAGACATTACTGAATCTTAAATCTTTGTTGATGCTTTTAAATAAAATAAATTCATTTATAAATATTCAAAAATGTTTACAATACTTCAAAGTGTAATGTTGCATTAAAAATATATATTTGAATTGCTAAGTCTGTGCTGTAGTTTCAGAAATTACTTAGAAGTAGATATTACTGGAAACTGTCTGCTTTGGAGATTTTTTAAATGGCTCTTTAATTCGTTTTCGAATTAGAGAACATGTTTTACTATCCATAAAAATACCCAAATGTGTACCCATTTTCAATTTTAGGACTTCATTGCAAAACAAAATATAGAATAAATAAAATCTGAATTCTACATTTTAAGAAGTCTGATTTCATTGTATGTAACAGAAACAAAGGTAATAAAATAAATGAAATTGCTCTTTACATTATTATCATTCAGAACAGTAGAGCCAGAATAAATAGATGCATAACATATTGAGATAAAATGTAAATTCAATCTTAAACTTAAAGTTAACCTTAATTGACTTGATGCCTCACGTTATTCTGAGAAATCTCAATGGACTAAGCCATGGATAAATGAGAAATCAAAGCAGAAATGTTTTCTAAGCAACACTACTGATCATTTTCAAAAGACACAATTTCAAAATTAGATAATTCACTTTTGTTAATTTGAGGAGTTGTTCCTAAATTAGAACTCAATTTTCTCCTCTGCACATACAGCATTGACTCTTGACAGTATCAATGATTCTTCAATAAATGGACAGGCAACTAACTCTCAGGCAATAACTTGGTGCATTTCTGCCTGAAAACATTATTCATATAGAATAAAAATGAGAATGGCACAAGTTGATATCCAGTACATAATGTACACTTCATCTAATCTTCTGTCATATTTCACATCTGTAATGCTGGGAAAACTCATTATTCAACAGCAATGCATGTGTAAAACCAAATTAAACGTGATTCCTTGATCTTACTGAGATATTTCAATATACATTCTTCCCTTGGTGGCCACTGTCCCAGTGGGCTTTACCTTCAAAGAGTTTATAATCTAATTGCAACAGTAGTTTAAAATGATGACCAGGAGGCAATAAATTTTCAAAAGGCTACAAACCTATTTTATACAAAGTCCTTTACGTAACATTGCAGACAGATATTATCATTACAATATTAACATGAGTTGGAGGATAAAATATTTTCCACTTAAATTTCAAACCAATTTGATAAAATTAATTGATAATTTATGATAAGAAAGGCACCTTCTCTATATTTCCTTCAGAAGCTTATTTATCCCATGTTATATAAAAATCGTTCATGCTATTTTAAGTATTCGCAATCCCAAATCGAACTAATGGTCATTTAGATTTTCTAACACTGCATCTCTATTGACAAATTGCATTTGCCAGACCAAATTCTTCTCTTGGCCTTCATTCTTAGGCTTAGACATCAAGTGGTAATAATAAACCCCTTTCTTCAATCTTCAAAATAATTAGTTTGCTCAAGTGCCTTATTTTAGATAAAAGAATAATATAGTACCCCTCAGAATTAGTTCTGTTTCTAAATAATTTTAAAATTCTAAATTTCCCATAGCATTTAAATTACCCATAGTAAAAAGTACATCAATGATTGGAAAGTTTCTATGGCAACAACCTCATTAGAACACCCCTCCTGGAATAGTAACCTGGATTCTAAGTGTTAGAAAGATGTCAATTGTAATAGAGCCTGGTTCACAATAGAATTTTCATCTTTATATCAAAGAAATTGTTGATTCTAATTTCACAAACAATGCAAATGTTGCCACAATGACTGTAAGTGGGGTTTTCTACATTTATAAACATTCATTTTCCTTGATAAGAGCATTGTATTTTTTACACTAAATTTAAGGATACTTGGTTTTGTATTACCCATCTAAAATTAGATCTACGTTTGAAACCTGGAAGGAAGTGTAGGGTTTGTTGTTTATACAAGTAAGTGGCTTCTCCGTGAGATATCAGGGGGCCCAAGGCATCACGCTGCAATGCTTGGAGAGCACCAATGCTCTATGAAGTTACCATTACTGCAGTCAAAAATCCATTAGCGTTGACACCACTCTGTCAACATTTTATTCCTTGGGGAGAAGCAACACCAACATCCAGAGTCAGTTCCTGAAGTGAATACCAGCTTTTAGAAACTAACATCTGCTGAGCCCCAGTGCTCCAGCTGCCAAGGAAAGCAGATTTTCAAAAGTAAATTCTGCCCCTTTCATTTCTTTGGGAAGTGGGCATTCAGTGACTGAAATCAATTAATGCTTATTTATGATTCATTTTAACTCTGTGATTTAGAAACTATAATTGACAGAAATAATGAATGACTACAATACATTTTGGAGGCCAGATTGCATTTTAAAACAAGTGAAGATAATTGTAAGTGAAAAATAAAAGAAAACTGCATACCTCTGTAAATGAGTCATTAACAATTCACCTTTCAAACCAGTGAAGAAATCCTGATGATAATAACCAAGCTGCTTTAAGGATTCTTTAAGATGATAATAAAATTAAACTGATAGATTGATCTGGGTTGTTTTCAAGCTATTTCAAATTTAGCTTTCTTCTTTTAAGGGCTCCTTGTCCCCACACACGTTTCCCCTTCCTTTTGCTTTGAGAACAGAGGAACTCAAAGATGAAGGGAGAGAGGGAAGGAGGAAGGGGACAAGGAAAAGAAAGAGAAAGGAAGAGAGGGAAAGAGGAGTTCTCAATCAAATAAATCATATCGCACAGGTACAATTATTTTAAAATTGTTTTTCTCCTGATTGAGCTCTCCCCACTTGCTGTTTTTGTGAGTGAACTAGAGGGAAAGGTAGAAATAAGTGTGCTAACAGGCTGCAGAGTTTGTACATAAAGGAATAAAGGATCAACTGTAGGCTGATTCATTCTCAAACAGTGGTGATTGCTCTGGTGATTTGGACCACAGCCAGGCTGGATATCCTTGGCATTGTAGGTTGGCAATTAAACACTCTCAAATGCAACTTCATAATCATTCACATAGTAAAAAAAGTTATTGCTTTGGGAAAAGTTTAGGTAACATGTGAGTTACACAGGTGATCTACATGATTTGGACTGAAGCTGGCCACACTCACACTTAATAAAAATGGAATATAAGACATGTTAGTATGTCTATCTCTCTGCATATGTTACGTATATTTTGATATAAAGCAAATGTTTGACATATTTTGCATATGTTAGACATATTCAGATATAAAACATATATTCATATATCCTGATGATATAGGATTCTAGATGACTCTTACAGTCCTAAAGACTCCAAATGAAGCTATTACTTAAGGTAGACATAGATTGGAAGTTTAATATTGTATTGATGCTATTAAGAAAACTATTTTTAACTGTTTCTTCTAGAATTACCTTTAGACACAACCTATCACTTAAAAAATCAGGCTCAAACTTTGAAAGTCAAAACCAAAATGACAAGTCTAATCACTCACTTCATTCAGAGATCTTAACTTTATATGGTTTCTGATTATTTTTAAAAATTAGGGTTATATTTTAGAAATCAAGATATGAAAGTATCACGTTTAATAGAAAATGCCGTAGGCTCTGAAGGCATTCCAAAATAAGAATTCCAAAAATGTTCTGAGAACATAAACCATTACTTGAACAAGCTTTTAGCCTCCCATTGGCTCTGAGATAGTATGGAGAGAGAAAACTTACATGGTTCTTTTAGTTCTGAGATGTTAAATAATAAAACTCTGATAGTGCTTTATCGTCATATCACTACATTTTATTAAGTATTAATGTAGTCTCTCTGGGATGCTACATTATGATAGTATAGTGAGAAAACAAAAGACGTAGACATTGCAAGATCTGAATTCTAGTCTCTCTCTGCAGTGCTTTAACACTTACTGGCTGTTGAACTGTATTTGAAAATGCATTTTAAAGTCTAAAGCAGCGTCTCAAAACATTAGCCTTATGCATGTTACAGCCACATGCATTGTGAACCAATTTGTACCCCAATCACAAATCTCCTCTAATTCCTCATTAAATGCCTGAAAATGACACAGACACACACACACACAAAAGAAAACATGACGATTCCTCTATTGAGTACTTCTTTGTATTAAACTTGAGTTTGTATCAGACAAATTCACTTAAGATCTGGCAGCCATTCCTTTGGAGACAAATGTCAGGGCTAGGTTCCTATCTCCTAGGAACCTAGGAAAGAATGAAACTGCTGATATAAGTATTTTGAAAGTATCTAAAATGAATTACACTGGGAGGCAAAGGTGAAAAAATTAAAATAAAATAAAAAAATAAAAAAGTAATTACATTCTTAAAATTACTTAAAGAAAATGTGGATTCATAATTTGGCTACTGAAAATAAAAGTTAGAATGCAAATCTTTTGCTATGAAACTCGTGCCACAAAATTGGGTCATGGAAGATCTAGAAAACAGAATCAGATACTTTACATATATAAAAAAATTGTCTCCCTAAATTTATTCTATGTGTCCAAGTCAGGTATAATGCAAAAACTCATAACCATAACAAAATAAAAATATTAGCAAAAACTAAGTGTTCACATTTTAAAAGCTAAAAATCTTACCTTTTAAAATATAATTAATGTGGACAAAAATAACTAAGAATAATTTGGTGGTTGGTTAAGCACTATTTTAATTACTCCTTGAATTTCTGGGCTTTGTCTTCTAGGTATCACTGTATAAATATAATTTTTCTTTCTTAATCATGAAGAAAGGATAAACATGATCCTCTAGTGTGAAGGTGACTTTGTATTTGGGTGAGCAGAATTTTCCTGCTAAGTCTCACTACTTTAAGATTTGTAAAAATCAAAGGGTTAAGTAATGTTTTTGCTATTTTAAATATTACATATTTTAGTATTTGAAGGATTTTGCTAACAAGTTATCCACATTATACTTTATCAACCTTAATTTTCATCTAGATTAAAATAATCATGCAAATTATTCATATTAAATTATGAGATTAATTTGTGTAAATTAATTTAGTAAATTATTTGCATAAACTTCTTTTCTTATTATGCATTAGCTTTAGTCCCTGAGAACCCATAAGACCAAACTGTTAACTCAATGTATATATACAAGTCTATCAATTGTCCTTTGAATATAAAAGCTACTGTTTATCATTTTTTTCTCTCTGTGATGAGCCTAGTTTTATAATGGGCATTCTTATAATCACTTTTTCCTTAATAAAGAAACCTAACTCTAACCTTTATGTTCTTTGGTATGTGAAAGGACACACTTTGAGTTTAAAGTGTTTATTAGTTTTTGGCAGTCACCAAGGAAGCTGACTAGTCACTTGTAATGTACAAATTTTGCAGTTAAAAAATAAAAAAGAAAGAAGTCTTGGCCAAACAATGAAATGACAAAAGGGCATTTTTGTCTTTCCCAAATACCATTTAACATTCTAATCTTGTAAAAGATGACCCAATGATTTTTCATGAATTAAATATATTCAGAATAGCAGAATATTTTAAGCTAGAATATATCACAAAATGCAATAAGGACAATATGCTAAATAAATGGCATTTCTGACCTCATACTATTGGCTGATTCTTACCTACCGTGTATAAGAAAAAGCCAAATTAAATATTGTGCCAATCCAGGATTCATTAGCAGAACGTGTCAGCTGTGTAAAACCTTCCTCACAAGTGTCTGATCAGTACTCTGGTGCATACTTGTTGAGCTTCATTTACAAGATTGTCAGAAAACTAAATGTATTTTCACAGTACCTTCCAAATCTTTAATCAAGCAACATCTAATGAAGCCAAAAGACAATTTTTCAATTCTTTTCCACTTCCTTTTTCTTCCAAGAGGATATTTATGAACGTAGAAAAAAGATGACACACACCTTAGTGGTGCGGAAGAGGGATATCTATAATCCACATATTACCAAATGAGAAGTTCAAGTGCTATTCTTCACTTCAAGGGGAACTGGAAGGAAGGATTTGTTTTATTACAGGTCTACTAATGCCAACTCTAAATCCCCATTCTTTTACGGGAGAGTTTATAAAATCCATCTTCCACTTGTGAAAAGGAAGCTCTCACAATACTGATGCATAAAATGACATTTATTGACATTAAAAGCCTCATCAGTTATTTCTCAGCAGTCTTTATTCCTTTTGCAGAGGGGTTTATTGTGCTGTTTGGCATGAAGGAAACTGGCACCCTTTGATTTAGCAAAGATTGGCCTGAAACCAATGCTCCAAATAGTTTCTTTAAAGCTGGCCATTTTCCAAATATTGGATTGAGTCCTGTGAGTGTTTATATAAGATGGAGATAAGTTTGATACAATGCAGAATCATAAAGGTATTTTTTTGACATTCTGCTTTGCACTTAACTCATTAGTACTGTGTTTGCATTGGAGCTTCTAATAGGCTGCAGTGTAGTCAAAACCTGTCTCTCTTCAGCTCACCAGAGTTACTTTACTTGGGTCTCATTCCAGGAAATAGTAACCACATATTTTCTGAAACATTTTCTCAGCCTTATACTTAACCAAGCCTTAAAAATGCGAGCAGTAAACAACTCATGTCTTCTTTATGTAAACATCTGAAGAGCTTCATATTGTCTTTACCTATCAGAAGCTCTCCAATCAATTTTCTTCAAGACCAGTTGTGAAGATCTTTGGTTACATTTATTCATCTGTCTCAAATGTCCTAACATGTTCCAGACACTACACATCAGATATAGAAATGAAATATACTCACTACCCTCAAGGAGTTCACAGTCTAAGAGAAAAAATGTCAGCACTGGACAACAATCACAGCACTTGTTGGCAAACACTGTGAGGGAAGGAGGCTCATAGGCTGATGTGCATCATTGGCTGAGGTGCAAAGGCGGGAAAGGCTACTGAACAAACCTGAATGGAGGTGAAACCAAAAAGGAGAGCAAATTATAGGTCATCACTATCCCCAGATGTCCTGCCAAGGAACGTTTCATTTTATTCTAAAAGCAACTGAAAACCATTAAAGAGTTTTAGACAGATCTCTTTGGGTTTCTAAAAAGGTCATTCTAATTTCAGGGTGCCAAATGGATTGGACATCCTAGTTCTTTTCAATTAACAAAATTGTATACATATCTACCTCTGGCTTTAACAACAATGATGTGTCATTTCTCATTGACACATCCCATTAAATAGGGCTAGATATGGCTAATATCATACTTTTCACTGTTAACTCTTACATGGCTGTATAGTTCACAAAATGTAGAATTTTGGAAAAATCACAGATTGAAATGACTATTTTCTATGGAATTTTCTGCTTATGGTTGATGAATTAGTTATCAGTCTTAAGCTGATAAACATATGGTTCACAAGGAGATCAGCTAAAATGATTTAATTGGTCCAAGCTTGCAGATTTGTAGAGAAAATTAATTAGCACTGAAGATTTGTATTTTTTAAAACAAACCAAAACTCTGTTTATATTTTGAAAACTTCTTCAGGGTCTAGATTTTAAATTAATTCCACTACCTAGCAGTGATTCTTTTTTGTTTATACTTCAATTATTAATATACGTATTTTAGTAGGAAATTTATTTTAAATAATAATGTCTAAATTTACATGTTCCTTAAGGTTGTATACTCCTCTGATAATGTAAGTCTAAATTAGATAAAATATCATTTAACCCTGTTTTCTAAAAGTACTTAGGTTTATAAACAATGAAAGTTGAAGTTTCACAGTATTTCATCTCTACTTTTCTTACGGCATTTAACACCACAAAACAATGAACTGCTGGATTACTGGTACACATACTCCCTGCTCTTCTCAAGCCCTATGTCTACCACACTTGCTTTACTCTGCAGCCTTAGCTATGATTTTTCATTATAGTGTCATTCACACATTTTTCAAAGTACAATTTTATTTAGTATATCTGTAAGAAGTGTTTTTGAAATAATGAATTTGTCCTTCAGTTAAATTTTCCTGCCATCTATAGAAGCAAGTTAAGGAAACAAGAATTAAACAAAAGAAATAAAGATTGCAAAATTGGATAATTTTTTAAAATCACAAAAGTTAAGTGACTTTGATTATTACTATTGTGGAATAATTAAGTTTTAATTCTGTAAAGTGCTGCAAAATTTGTAAAGCACTTTCATTATCTTATTCAATTTTGAAACAACCTCATGTCATAAGCTGTAATTAGTTACATTTTGCAGATACAAAATCTCAGTTTTGAAGAAATTAAGTGACTTGTTCAGAGTTTCTCCACTAGAAAATAGTAGAATAAAAAGCCTGAACACAAACCTAAATCTTTGGCTTCAGGGCCAATCTATACTCCATTATAAATTCTATGTCATTAAGATATAAAATATATCAGATTTTAAAATATTTCCTTTTTTGTCACTTGGAATATGCCATTGCCCACTGCAAACATCCTCTTGCCTCCCCACACCTCACCCAAAAATGCTGGAGCAATTTAATATGAGGTTAAGACAAAGTCTAGAGTATAATAATCAGTGGTAATAATGATGACCTTGAAAAATCTGATAACAATACAAAATTTTTAAAAGTTGAAGGTTATATTATGTCTCATATCTAGGCAATGCTATGCAACAATTATTGTATCCTGCTTTTTAAAAAATTAATGACATTTTTATGTGATCACATGTTAGCTCTCATTTAGCTAAAATAATTAATGGGACAAATATACATGAGCATAAAGGCATATGTTATAAAAATAATTATAACATTATACATATTTAATATAAAGCTTCATATTTAAGACAAAAATGTATATATAAAATTCATATGTTTTTTGCCTTAATTATAAGTGCATTTTATGAGTGAGTTCTGCTTAGTTGTTTAATTCTGTGAGATGAGAAAAAATGTTGATATATTTCACAATATAAAAATTGACATTTAAAAACAAGTTCTATTTATTACAACAGTTTCTGGGTTAAAATAAAATTATACTGCTCAAAAAGGTTGATGCTATGTTTTAAATGTGTCCCCTAAAGTTTATATATTAGAAACTTAATTCCCAATGCAATGTTGTAGAGAGGTGGAACCTTAAGAGGTGATTAGGTCATAAGGGTTCTGCCCTCGTTGATGGATTAATGTGGCTATTGTGAGAATGAGTTAGTTATCACAGGAGTGGGTTGCTGATAAAAGGATGAGTTTGGTCCCCTTCTGTCCTTTTTCTTTTGCACCTCTGCCTTCTGCTATGGGCTGACGCAGCAAAAGGGCCCCACCAGATGCTGACACCTTAATATTGGACATCCAAGCCTCCAGAAATTATCTGTTTTTTATAAGTCACCTAGTCTCAACGTTTTTGTTTCAACACCATAAAATGGGCTAAGACAGTTGTTCTTAGTCTGTCTCATATAGGCATTCAATAATGTGTCTTTTGTTTTGTTTTGTTTTGTTGTTTTGAGACAGAGTCTCGCTCTGTTTCCCAGGCTGAAGCGCAGTGGCACAATCTCGGCTCATTGCAACCTCCGCCTCCTGGGTTCAAGCGATTCTCCTGTCTCAGCCCCCTGAGTAGCTGGGATTACAGGCACCCACCACCACGCCTAGCTAATTTTTTTTTTTTTTTTTTTTTTTGTATTTTTAGTAGAGACAGGGTTTCACCGTGTTGGCTTGGCTGGTCTTGAACTCCTGACCTCAAGTGATCCGCCCACCTCGGCCTCCCAAAGTGCTGGGATTATAGACATGAACCACCATGCCCAGTGGATTCAATGAATTATATATATTTATATTATATAATTTTTCATAAGAGCTTATGTCATATATGTTCATAATTTTCTTCATTCTGCTATTATAATTTTCAGACAAAGTTCTTATAGTTTGGGTACTTAGGGCTACAGATATATCTTAATGGCTCCAAAAAGTTTCCTAACACATTTCTGAAAATCAAATATAAATCTCTTTAAAAATTATATATAATATATGAGATGACTCAAATATAAAAATGAATTTATAGGGAACTCTCCATAAATAATAAAGCAGACATGTTCTCTGAAATAAATCTTTCCTATGATTTTAGAGCTCTACCGTTATGCTAAATTATTTTTCTCAAATAAGCTTCTATATGTTTCAATTCCATGGGAAATAGCAATCCAAAATTTAAAATTAGCTTAAAAAATCTATAGGATCAGTCTTTTCGTGTTATCCACTAAGAGTGTAATTTGCAAGTAATTAATCAATAGATGTTCAATAAAAAAACCACTAAGGCATAGGTTGTCAATGTTATTGACTACTATCCTCTCTCATGGGAAAAGAAAAGTCCGTCACTGAATGACAAAGAATTTCCATTTTTAGAGTCTTTGCCTTTTTAATAATTATTTCATGGCACTATTGTTCTAATATCCTATATTTGCTTTCATGTGAAATATAGGCTTCATGAAAATCTGAAGAACTAAAGGATTAAATGATTGAATACTGACAAAGCTGACTGAGGAGGCTTGGACATTCAACAGTTTTGCTTTCACTACCAAGTGGATGGAGGATTTTTAAAATTATTTTTCAAGCGTGCTCTTTAATTTGCCATTAGTACATATTTACATAAGTTTTCTATCACTTACGATTATCTTATATAAGACACAACACAAGTAAAAAGGGACAAAAGAATCCTATAGATACTCACATTGCTCCACACACCTGAGACCTAGTTATATTTTTGTCTCCAGCCTTCAGCTAAAATTTGCTCTGTAGAATTTATTCACCAAGGTCACTAAAGTCAGATCACTTGTATATTTTGCCCAACTGACGTCAGGTAAAGACAACTGAGTATTTCAAGTGCTGGGGTGCCTTATTATTTCAGGACCATTGGTCACAGGAATTATGCTTATCCAAGAACTTTTCTAGTGAGCCTAAAGTGGTGTCTTACTTGAAAATGTATTTTTCAGAGACAAATATCTCAATTTTCATTTGACAGAATTCTGTTACATGTGAAGATCAACTTAAAGAGACTAACAACAACAAAAAGAACATGATGACCTTATAAACATTATGGACCTCAGTGGACTAGGAAAAAGGACATTTAGAGTGGACTTTGGGAGGGGAACAACGGTTTCCCAAAGATTGTTATAGCTTAATGAGTTCCGTGATCACACATCCATTATGTCAGGTAAACATGGCTCCCTGCTGGCTCCCCAAAGCCTGCTGACAATTGGTGGTTATGATGTTAACTCACTTGAACACCCTAGAAATGTTTTAATTTCTTTTTCTCCTATTTTTACAACATTAGAACAAGGCTTGAATTTACCAAGAAAATGTAAGAGCAAAAACAAAATAACATAACTTGGGTACTTCTGATAGCAGTTCTGTGTTGTTACTGTAAGCAATGCTTATTTTAAGAAATGATATTCTTCCAATTATTAAAAATAATTTTGAGAATACCTATGAATTTATCAGAAATAAAGAATTTTCAAATATCAGCACACTCTAATAAATTATGCCCCTTTAGTTAAAGGAAGGCCAAGATTAACATTGTACATATTTGTCTAAAATTACTGGTTTTAATTGCTTTGCATGAAACCAAAAGTGTAACATGTTTGGTTTTCAAAAGACAAAAGTAATAAAACATGTTGTTTTAAATTTCAGGATTATTTTATTTAAACGGGAGTTTTTCCCAATGAGGAGGAAAATAATACATGCATTAAGCATTCCTCACAGGCCCCTTACCTGAAGAGAAAATAATAGCATCAGCAAAGTACAGTGTCAACATTTAAAAGTGATGCTTGGTTTGGTTGTTTTCAAAAGCTGTATAGAATGATATGTGTAGTATTAAAAGAGACAAACCTAAGCCTTGATTTTAGTCTTCATTCTGATTTTCCGACAGAAAATCTTTAATGTAGAGACTCTGATGAGAAAGCAAACTATCCTTTATGTAAATTTATCACTTAGAAGCATTGAACATGTACTTGATGTTATACAAGCCCATCATTCTTCCTGGAATAAAAATTCCTCTTTTTTCAAGAAGTAAAGTGGTACTTATGGAGCATAAAAAGTAAAATAGATGGTCCTTTTCTCCATACCTGTTTATTTATAAGGCAAATGTAAAAGCCCTGCATGGTGAAAAGATATAATGAAAATCAGAAAAATCTTTATTTTTAACTGATAAAATTTAAAAAAAGCTATCTGAAATAATACTACCAAGATCAGAAAAGTATTCCAGATTGCCAGTAATTTAGTCTTGATATTTTCAGATTCAACATGGCGGTGGATCCTCACAGGACACGCAGCAAGAGAGCAGTCATGATTTGAGGGGCCACCAATAAGTTAATAAGTAGTGGGAGAAACCCTCAGTTCTAATGTAGCAAAAATGTCATTTTAAACTATCTGAGGAAAAAATAAATTACATTTTGAATGACTAATCTAAGGAGAAAATATGAGAATCTATACTGAAGTATTTTCTGCAACAAGGATCTTTCCTTTGATAATAAAGGAGTTCATTAATTATATTCATACAATTGTTAATGATTTCTTTTAGGAACTATTTTTAAAGCCCACCTTGGGTTCACCAGATTATAAAGGACATCTCCTACATATCTCACTCTTCAGGAGTTCATCTTATATTTACTGTATCATGATGAACAACCTATTGTAAATTGGTTCTCTTTTTCTTCACTAATTTTGTTCCTGCAATTCCCTCTGCTTAGATATCCATCTATGGCAGCAATAGTCTATATGGCACTTTTGTGCTAATTAGAAAAAGGCAACTTTGGACAAATGCAACCCTGGATTAGGGCACATAGTTTGATAAATAGAATGCAATGTGGATGTCACTCCTCCTTTCAGTTTTTATATGTAGTTCCTTTGTGCAGTGCACAGACCTTGCAGCAGCCCTGATCTCTCCTATTCTAAACTTCACTGATTTCTAAGCATTAATAACTGCCCACTGTGGGCAAAACTGGAGATCCAGAAAAGTATGTATGTAATAATAAAACTACAATAATGCTTAGTGTGTGTTAGGAAGTCACTTTGAGTTGGAGTTTTATAAATCTGTTCTATACTCACAACATCCCTTTGAGCTTTTTTGCAAAGAGGTGCGCAAAGGTTCAGGGAGATTGTGTATCATGGCCAGTGTTATACAGCTAACAAGTGATAAAGCCTGCATTTGAGGACAAGCAGACTGACTTTAAAACTTAATCTCATTACCTCAACCCTAATGTGTGTTTTGTAAATTACTGGGAACAGCTCAAGTGTAGGCTCCTGGATCCTGCGCATACATTTCTCTCCTTGCATTCAAGTATAGGAAGCAAAACATGATCATGGGGCAAAGAAACATGAGAGTCTTGAGAGAGCCTTTTGTCCATGAATAATGTTTTAACTTCTTTATTGGATTTTTATAACCTGATTCATCCTGAAAAGGATTTAAAGATGATATCCTCCATTTAAATCATACCACATGGTGGCATATTAAACAACCAAACAAGCAAACAAACAGGTAAATTCCATCTGTTACAGTGGGGATTCTGATATGAATAGCATTGCTGTTCTGTTTGTGGAATCCATGCCAGTCTTAAATATTTTCATCACACAGGACTATATGACTGACTACTACTATTATAACAAACATTATTACTAATACTGCTACTAATAAACTTCCTTTAATTGAGTGCAAAAAACAGGTATTATCTCAAAACTTCAAAAGAATAATGTATACTAGGTATCATTATCCCCATTTTATAGATAAGAAAATATAAACTTGAAGAGATAATGTAATTGATCAGAGGTCACAGTGCTATATAAGTGCAGTCTTTTCTTATACAATGATACACCATATTGCCACTGAGTATGGTAGCAAAGCAGAAGCTGCAAAGCATTACATCAAGGTGCCTTTCCATCTATGCTATGAATTCTACTAGTACATGTACCGATAACTTACATCACAGTTATTAATATACAGATGCCTAACACCACCCAGAAAACATTCCGCCCAGAAATGCTCAACCTTACTCTAGTCTAGGCGATAGATCTAATATCTAGTTTACAGAAAATATCAGTTATAGAGGACAAAGATAGATAAAATAATGAGAAAGTCAGAGCAAATTCAGAACATTGAATATTCTATAAGTGACGGAATCATTTCAAAAGGTCAAACTCATGTAAAAAATAGGGAGGGACTACAATTCATTATAAAAGGAGAATTAAGAAAAAGAACAACCAAATATAATGTGTGATCCATGATTATGTAGTAGTTAAAAGGAAAAAAATGTTTTAAAAAGCCATAAAAGATAGAGAAAATTGGAAAAATGTAAAATGAGCTATCAAATTCGGGAGGGAAATAAAGAAGATGAGTTTTACTGGAGGAATCATGGAAGATGTCATAAAATCAGAGGCATTTGTTCCATCTATTGCATGGCATTGCTCTGTGATTTTCCAGACTACATTGATTTCCTCATTGTCTAAACTAGAATCTTGACAATAACATTTTTGAATAAATATTTCTAGATGGCGTTCTCTAATTGTTTCTGGTGTTTAAGCCTCTTCTCCCCAGGATTCTATCTTCTACTCTTCGAATTGGTTCTGATGTGCTCAGTACAAGACTCTATAGTAGGTACTCAAATAGATTGAGGCATTGAATATGTATGTACACACAAGACTCTCAAAGCCTCTTGCTAGCCAATGGGTGTATTAACACAAAGCAATGTGTGTTGCAATAAAATTCCAGTGTAAAGTCATGGATTAAAGGACTCTTTGAAGTTATTTGTAATTCCATTCTCTTATTGCAAAATTTAATCTAACTAGATGCTAATAAAAATAAGTTGGTACTTAACCACCAGAAAGAAAGGAATCTTTCTTCCCCCTGGTGGTTATAGAATGCAGCCTCAACATATCTTGGTAAGGTGGGAGGCTTTATGCATTATTCTCCTGATTTTACAAGACAGGAAATAGACACAGAGAGAGGCTAAGTGACTTGCCCAAGGACAAAGAGTGAGTCAGATGCAGAGCTGGGAATCAAGCCCACTTCTCTTGGTTCCCAGTGTACAGCTTTTCTCAGCAAGCCATAATGCCTTTCAGAAGGATCATTTCCTAAAATGTATTAAGTTGTTAAAAATTCAATATGGGTGTTACATTACTTTCCAGCTAGCTCTGTTTCTCACTACCTTACTAGAGCTATTATCAGAAGTTAAACTAATTGTCAGATTAGTAATTCCATATCTATAATTTTTAAGCAATACCTCATTAAAACTGGATATATACAAATATCTAAGAAGAATCAGAGTTTTTAGAGAATGAGGTTAGGAGTAACCTTTACAGTTGCCACAAAAAAAAAAATGTAGCTTCAAAGTTAGGAGAAAGTGGAAATGATCATGTAGAACAAGGTCTCATCAGCCACCAGAAATTTTAAAACAAAAAGAACACAACAATGTTGTGTTCATGGTGAAGCAGCACTAAAAACAAAACTAACTAACTAAATAAATAAATACGTGTGTACATTGAAACAGTGGAGATCCTAGGCCTTTCAAGAAGATTCTGGACACTTGTTTTTATTCAAAGCAATGCTTGTTCCATTAGCTGGGATTTTACCAGTTAGTTCATTGGGAATTCTGGATCATGGACAGGCACCATCCTTTTCAGTGATAATTACTAGAGCCTCTTATTGTGCTAACTCAACCAGAAATGGTAACTAAGCAGGCCAGATACTCAAACTTCTATACACAGTCCTCCAGCTGTGATCACTGGAAACATCACTAACTGATAACAATGCCCTTTACCAATGAATCCAGACTCAGTATAGGATCTCTTTCTATAGAGCAGTATGAACAGCCACCACCAATTGGTCATGACTGGTCCGAAACATTAAACCCATTCACTATATCTAGCATCTACTTATCTATGCACTCCCTTCTGCAAGCCAAGATATAGAATCCTTATAGACCCAGTGTCTTACCTCCCAGTTCTGATCAAATCCTTTGCTATTGTCTTTTATATGACTTGCTTATGCTTCTTTTTAAGTCAACATACCTAACACAGATTTCCCTAAAAATGATCAATATGCAGTAGTCTGTTTTATAAAACGTATCTATATTTTTCCTCAGAAACTTTGAAAACAGTGGATTTCAAATGCCTTAAGGAGCATCATAAGAAGTAATCATAGTAATTCAGAATTTTAGTCAGCATATAATCAATTATTGCAGTGAATATTAAAATTAAAGTATTGAACAGTTCTAGTCCAGCAACCCCACTGCAGAGTATATATCTAAAAGAAAAGAAATCAGCATATCAAAGAGATATCTGTGCCACTATTTTTATTGCAGCACTATTCATAACAGCCAAGATATGAAATCAACCTAAGTATCTATCAAGATGAATGGATAAACAAAATGTGGTACATATACACAATGAAATATTATTCGGTCATGAAAAATAATACAATTCTGTCATTTACAGCAACATAGATGGAACTGGGGGGCATTAAACAAAGGGAAATAAGCCAGGCCCAAAAAGGCAAGTATCACATGTTATTACTTATATGTGGGAGTTCATGAAGGTAGAGAGTAGAGCAATAGATACTGAAGCCCGGGAAAGGTGTGCTAGGGTGGGAAATGAAGAGTAGCTGGTTAATGATTACAACATACATTTAGATAGACAGAAAAAGATCTGGTGTTTGATAGCACAATAGGGTGACTATAGTTAATAATTTATTGTACATTTCAAAGTGAAAGATTTGGAATGTTGACAACAAAAAGAAATAATAAATGTTTGAGGTGATAAAAATCCCAATTACCCAGTTTCAATCATTACACATTGTATATTTGTATCAAAATATGACGTGTCCATAAATATGTACAGCTTCTATGAATCCATAAAAATTAAAAATAGAAATACATAAGGTAATGAGCAAAATGATTTCTTTTGGAACAGTAAAACATATTAACGGAGGAATTGTTCTTGCAATTGGTTATCACCTTTAAGATAACCTTATGATACTTAAGAGAGTGCATTCAGTTAGAAGTCTGTAAAATTTCAACATCCTATGAAATGCTTTAGAGAAGTGATTGATTCCAGGCTGCAAACAGAGAAAAAAAAATACAAGATGAGCTTGGAACATCTGGCAGTGTTAGAAAATAAGAAAGCGCTCAAAAAAGGTTGAAGATATGTCAAAGGGTAGAGGAGGCAAACTGAAAGAGCTCCCAGTGGCCAAAGGTGGAACAATTTGAGTGAGAAAATAAACAGTGATAGTACTAGATTATATCACAAAAAATAAAATAAAATATCTGTGAGTCTATACCTATATATATATATTACATACATATAATATATAATTATATATAATATATATTATATATTACATATATAATATATATATTACATATGTAATATATATATTATATATGTAATATATATTATATATGTAATATATATATTATATATGTAATATATATTATATATATGTAATATATATATTATATATGTAATATATATATTATATGTAATATATATATGTAATATATATATAATATATATGTAATATATATATAATATATATGTAATATATATATAATATATATGTAATATATATATTATATATATGTAATATATATCATATATATGTAATATATATCATATATATGTAATATATATCATATATATGTAATATATATCATATATATGTAATATATATATATACATATATATATATATGGGGGAAGTGACAGCTCTTCCTTAGAGAAGCATTCCAATTAATAAACCTATAGTAGAAAGAATGCATCTGGGCACAGTAGCTTATACCTGTAATCCCAGCACTTTGGGAGGCCAAGGCGGGTGAATCATTTGAGGTCAGGAGTGTGGGAGCAGGCGGCCAACATGGTGAAATGTCTATCTCTACTAAAAATACAAAAATTATCTGGGTGCGGTTGCATATGCCTGTAGTCCCAGCTACTCAAGAGCCTGGGAGGAGGAGGTTGGAGTGAGCTGAGACCGCAACACTGAACTCCAGCCTGGGTGACAGAGCGAGAGTCTGTCTCAAAAAAAAAAAAAAAAAAAAAAAGAATGAGAAAGATATCACCTCACTCAATTGATCAAGATTAACATAACTAATAATAGGGTATATTGTCATGCATTTCCCAAGGGTATACTGAGTAGGGCACATCTCTTTGTGACAAGAATGCATAATTTCCATTTGATCATGAGAAAACATCAGACAAAGCCAAATTGTAGGACAGTTACTAAAGAACTGACCAGCAGTCCTCAAATGAGCCCAGGTTATAAAAGTAAATGAAAGACAGATACTCTCACCAACTGGATGAATCAAAGGATGCATGACAATTTAATGCAGTGAACATTGCATCCTGGATTGGATATTGGGATAGAAGGTCATTAGTGGAAAAAACTGGTAAAATATGAATAAAATCTATACCCTCATTAATAATGTTGTCTTGCCAATGCTACATTTTTGTTTTAATATTGTATTATAGTTATGTATTATGTTAGTATCTGGGGAATTGGTTGAAGGGTATATGGAAACTCTGTATTAGACTTACAAATTTTCTGTAAGTCTAAAATTATATCAAAATATAAAGTTAAAAAAATACTTCGTCAAATAATGAGTTTGGATAAACTAATTCTTATGTGAAACACATGTATGAAGTCTGAAGTCAGTGTGTGGTAATAGAGCACACAGTTGGCCCTTGTTTAGTCACAGCTTCCCAAGGAACAGAAAGATAAAATACAAACCTAAATGTGATCTCATTTGTATCTCAGTATGAGAATTTGTCTACTTATCAGAATCATATCTCTGCTGTCTTCCCTTTGCTGTGTTTTTCTTCTGCTCCCTTTTTTTCTTTTCTTTATTTCCTTCCACATTTCACTAACAATGTGTGTGTGACATTGTAATGTTGTTTCAACCACGTGCTGTTACTTCCCACACGGAATATTTTCCCCCAGGTCCCTGCAGTACTAAGGCTGAAATCTCCGCTTAGCATTTCTTCATTAGTATTAAGAGAGTTTTGTTTCTTAGAGCACTTTCAGAAACATGATCCCATGTTAAGTCACAATTGGGTCTAATATCATTAAACCTCTGCTGGGTCATTAATGATTTTCTCTGCATCCACGTTCTCTCCCCCGATTCTGCTTTACGTTTAGCAAGGGGGAGGAAGATGTGAAGACAGAAATGCAGGATTCATCCTCGTATTCTTCTTTCCGAACCCACATCCTGCCATAATGGCCCAGTCGAAATATCTAGTCATTATGCTCGGCTCTCTAGGGCCATCTTTTGCCTGCAGTGCACCAAGTAAAAACATGTTTTCATTGTGACCCAGTCCAGCCTTCTACTGATATCGGCAACTCAGGGGTTGCATAGTAAACCACAGGCTGTTAGCCTCAATGTTGAATCCAGCAACTTGCTTTATTGGTTCCCACAATGGATTTTTATTTGTGTGTGTGTGTGTTTGTGTGTGTGTGAGAGAGAGAGAGAAAGAGAGAGTCTGTGTATGTGTTTTCTGCTTTATCTTGATAGGCAATATTTAAAACTTAGGATATTTTCCATAAAAATTCAGATTCCCAGCCAGTCTTAAAGGCCTGTAACCCTGGGCCCACAATCACTCAAGGCCAGAGTCTGCTCAAGTTGAATATCAGCTGCCCTTTTGGACAGTGTGGATTTTCTCCAATTTACAAGTCACCCACATCATCTTCTGACCAGCCTGGCTGCTATATGCTTTTGTGTTTGCAAAGCTTGCCCTATATCTTGACTTTTAATCCATAAAGATCAGTCAAATATGTCTGAGTGCCATTGCTTGACATGATGAGCATAGAAATTTAAGCAGCCTTTTCCTCTGAGTCTAGGAATCTCAGAAGCCACAGTCAACCCTATTTCTCTCTGTGAAACCATAGAAGAAAAGTTGCCAATCATTTTCTTTTGCCTGCAGAAGGGAAGAAAAAGGGCAGGATTCCTACTTCGGGTTCCTTTATATGATTTTTTTTTCTTTGCTTTTTAAGGAAATGTTTTTATTCTTATTACAAATTGCACTCAACTCTCACTTACATAGTGACTCTCGGGCTTGGGTTTACAATGTCGTGATGGAGCCATTACTGTTGTATTTTGCATGGAAGAATTTTACTAATCCTCTTTGGCATTCATCTCTAAATCTTGGTAAATTCAAATAGCTTCAGCCTCTGAAAGTTTATTTTTTACTTAAGTGATTTTCACGCTATTGCTAGATTTTTCAGGTGTCTCCCCAGCTTCACAGCTATCTGAATACGCTTTGGTTACTTCCCTTGGCTCTTTACAGCAGGTTTATGGTCTGTTCCAACGGGTCAACATTTTCTGCCCAAATGACTTTAACTGTGAGTGTGCAGTCAGTAATTATCATTTTTGTGCTTTACCTAATATATAAATAACTCCCTTATATTCATTTTGAACCTGTTCCCATAGTACTTTCCTTATGAAAGAAAAAAGCCCTTCAGCAGACTTTGGTGTGATATGAGCAGAGTTCCAGTCAGGGGGCATAAATCATACCTCGTATTCACATATATACAAGTAACCCTTCCCCTTTCTGCTGTTTTTATTTACTTAGATTAATTTATTTCCAAACATTTGGCACCCCTCTGCTAAAGTACACAGCAAACAAATTTACAGTGAGTCCCAAATTAAATATTAATGCAAAATCTCCAGCTCCAAATTTCATTTGGTTCAGTCACTGTAAAATTTAATAAAATTTTGGTATGTGTTTCATATTTAACTTATTTCAAGGTATAATGTTGACTTTAGCATTGAAATTTTGGAGCCAAATTATCAAAGAGGGTTTGACAACATGAATGAAAAGTAAACTTAAAGTGACAAATTATATTTCTACACATGCATCTAGCAAATATCTACCAAACCTGCAAGTAAGCTCTTTACACAACAAATAAATTAGTTGAGATCTTTTGCTTCAATATTTTATTTAGGCATTTCTAAAATTTTAAATGCCTGAGCTTTGAATCTCTTTTCATTTTAACCTAATGCATGTTTAGTGTCTCTTCCCTTAAGTGTAAAAACATACCATGCTTGAAAACTAAGAAAGCAAGTTATTTTCTTATACATTACTTATAATGATCATGTAGCATTTCCAAGGTAATTTCTCTGGTTGAAGTAAAGTATATTCTTCCACAATGCTGCAGGTCCAGCAATATAAATTAAATAGTGTTTAAAAGGGTTGATTACTCCAAGCTGCCTTTTTGGCACTCTGTTTAGATGCTCTTCATAACCTAAAAACAAACTGAGTGAGATATTTTGGGGATTAAGCTGGTACTCTGAAATGCAGATTTGGACATCAACTTATAAACCTAAACTCTCACTTTTTCTCACAGTGGAGAATGGGAGAGAAAGCACCAAAAGAGAAAACAGAGCAATGAAAAAAATCATAGGAACAAAATCCCAAAACAATCTTCAAATACCTTAGGACCCAGGGTAATTCAATCAGCTTAACAGTAACAATATTTCCTTCAAATAGTGTATTCCTTTCTCTTTTTTTCATATATTCTCTAGGCTGTGATATTTTTCTTTCCATCATTTTTATAGTACTTTCCTCCTTTGTCTTTCTTTGCCTCTCACTCTCTCTTTCCTTTTTAGCTTCAACAAGGACTAAATAGACCCCAAACCGTTTGATCCGTATCCACAAGCAAGCTTTCCTTGACAATCCAAAGTTGTACAATTGCTAGTGTTTTTATTTTCTAGTTTTGGTTTTAATAGGGTGGTTATTTCTGCCTCCGAGTCTACAAACCACACTGAGACTGGTACATGTTAGCATGTCAGGCACTACAATGTTTATTCAATGAATGTGTAGATACATAAGAATAATCCAAGGGCTCTAATTGTCCAACAGGTAATAACCGTATATCATAAACTCTTACCTGGTAGGTTCTCCTAACCTGGCAGATCCTCACCACTCACTTCTTTACTACAGGTTTTTTTGTTTGTTTGTTTTTTGAGACAGAGTCTCAGTTGCTCAGGTTGGAGTGCTGTGGCACAATCTCTGCTCACTGCAACCTCTGCTTACCAGGCTTAAGTGATTCTCCTGCCTCAGCCTCCTGAGTAGCTGGGACTACAGGCACATGCAACTATGCCTGGCTAATTTTTGTATTTTTTGTAGAGACAGGGTTTCACCATGTTGGCCAGGTTGGTCTCAAACTCCTGCCTTCAGGTGATCTGCCCACCTCAGACTCCCAAAGTGCTGGGATTACAGGCGTGAGCCACCATGCCCGGCCTTTACTACAGTTTTCTTGGAATTTCCAGGGAGGGTGATGAATACAGCCAATAATAGCTTTGTTACAATTTCTTCCCTTTTTCCTAATTAAATATTCATCAGCAGGAACTTGAGTGTCAGTACAAACTCTTCTCAATCATGTCAAGAATTCAGGGACAATTGAAAAGGAGCTCTTTCTTTAAAACACTGCAAATTTCTTCAACAAACAAACCCAAATAAGTCTTCATAGGCCAATGCCTGTTTCTTTTGCTATTATGCTGGTTTATGTTGATAGAAATAACAGCAAAATTATTGCTTCCATACTTGTCAATGCTTAAAACATTGCTAAGTGTATCATTTTAACTAATTCCCTAAAGAATACTGTGAGTCAGACTCAATTAATTCCATTTTACAGACATGGCATAGGCAAACACAGGGTGTTAGGAAATATGGTATTAATAATTCTGAAATATAAAAGAAAAAGCAATAAGAAAGTAAACAATATTGTAGGGCCCACATATGACCATCATGTGACTTTTATTGTGAACCATGTTTTACACAAATCAATAAAAGGCACTGCAAAATGGAATGTACCCATTTAAAATAGCCTGAAATAATTTATTATCTGATTAGAATATTAACCCTTTCCCCCAAAGATTATCTTTTGCGGCTTTATTTCATGCCTATCCTCCCTAATACATAGAATGGTGCTGCATTCGTTCTTATAGAAAATCTTTCTAAACTAAAAATGCAAATCTCTGTTGTAGCTTGTCGTTATTGCCACTACTACTCCCTCATTCAAGCCATCAACATCTTTTCCAGGATGAATTTGATAATCCCTGAACTGGATTCATCATTTCCCTTCTTGTCCTTCTTTTCAGACCAAGCATGATCTCTTTAAAAAGTAAGTTGCATCATTTTCACCTCTGATTAGACAGCCAGTAGCTGCTCAAAATCAGAACCAAACCCAAATGCCTCAATTTGATCTGCATGACCCTACCTGACCTAATCTGACTTCACTGTAAATATGGCTTTCTCTACTTCTGTTCTCTCCCAAACACACACAGTTTATTTCAGACAAAGTGACCTGCTTTCTTTAAAATACCAAAATCACAACTTCCTCTCAAGGGTTGCATAGAAAATTCCTCCCTCTAGATGACTCAGAGCTTGTCCCCTCTCGTCACTTAGTTTTACCAAATATGTCACTTACTCAACAAGGCCTTCTGCGATTATAACTACGACTCCCAATTGCATTGTCCTCAGTCACATTACATTATTTTTCTTTCTTTTTAGCAAGGATGTTATTTATTTATTTGTTTGCTGTTTCTGTCTCCTCTTGCACTAAAGCCCTATCAGCCCAGTTACATTGTCTACCTTGTTCACTTGCTTCATTCCAACCACGTAAAATAGTGATTACCACTTATTTGCTCATCTTTGTCAAATGAGTGAATAAACACATGAGTGATCACCAACTATATGAGTTGCTTCAAGGATCATGTGATTCAGCAAGAAAAAAAAAATTTGAATGAAAAGCGAAGGTATGCTGAAAATGTAAAGAGCTTCTTGCTATTAGTAACTCATATTAAGCAATTAATATAATTAATAAAATAATAGGTATTTATGTAATGCAATACATGATACGATGTGTTTTCACAGACATTACACTCTGTGCACTCACAGAACGTTAGGGTCATAGCTATGTTTATCTTCTCAGAATGGGTCGGAGCAATTTTCTGTAAAACTCTGGTGGTGTTTTCATAGACACCCAGATGAAAATACACACAAGGTAAAACCCTCATGCCCTTCATTACTTTATGTTCTCCTAGCAATGAGAATAGCAAAGGAAGTCAAAATGTGCTAAGATGTTGGTTCTTTCACTGTCAAGATTAATTTCTAAATATTTGACAAGATCACTAGCAAGTGAAAATAGGAAGAAAACGTGCTAGGAGAAGGAACTGTAGAATTGAGTGTAATACAACAACGGACAAAGAAGAAGGTTTAAGTTCTGAATATCTGATATATTTAGTATATCTAAATTCAACATTTAGATTTAGATATTCTAAATGTTGATCATGTTGGATAGTCATCAAATTTTCTTGCAAATAAGATTAGTGTGCTGTTGTATTACAGGACATCAATATAGTGCTCCTGAACTGCTAGTCTTTGTGTTAGAAATGACATCAATACAAGGGCGCTCAGCAAGAGTGCCTGAATTCTGAGTTAGTAATTCCATCTACAAATCTGATGTAGTTATTATGCTTAATGAAAATCTCAAAAATATGGATGCCCAGTGGGCACAATCTGTAGTGCTTTCACCTGATGAGGCAAGAATCTCACTCACGAGGTGGTGTCATTATCACTGTACTTCCAGATCTTAGTCATGAAAAAAATGCCTTAAAAGTTAATAGAGTTGGATAAAGTGGAATATTTCAATAAAGCACACTTGCTATTCTAACATTTTTGTCCCAATAAAAATATACCATTAAAAGCTTTGGAAATGCACAAAATGTCTTAGATAATCTAAAAACTGAATCATTTTTAAATCTCTATAATATCTATTTTAGCAAAAGTTTAAGGTTCTAATTAGCTCAGCTACTTGATCTGAGCAGTAGTGGACAGAAGCTTCAATAAATTCTGACTATCAAAGTTCTCTTTCTTGGCATTGTTTTTCTTCCTTTCCTTACACATCCTAGTTTCAAAAGAAAACAGATGATTCTAAACACATTTCGGTTATCAGCATTACACCTACAGCTTTTCTTTCTCACAAATATCTTAAGATATGCTAGGAACACACAAAGCAACCATAACTAAGTTTCATTTCTCCCCAAAACTCATTGTTAGTTATCTTTTCTCATTTTAAGAAGAAAGGGCTAAGATGACAAATCGTCATTAAAGAAAAACTCAGCGGTAGAAAAATTCTTAAGGAATTATATATTCGTATTTCTAAAGTTAAGCAGTCTTGGAAATCTTGAAGGATGTCAATGCAATGTGGAAAAGTTAGGAAGGGATGTCCTATTGATTGCAAGAATAAAACAAGAGACGATAGGTGGTACCTTGATCTTACCTAAAGAAGAAACATATTCTTTTGACTAAAATGAGGTCATGTTTCAACAATACCTGTCTTTGGTCTGAAGGCTAAGCCAGTCAGGACAATGAGGTGTATGCAACTCAGGAAGAGATGTCTGACTGTTAATAAGAATGTATTGTGAGATGAAATGTAATGTCGGTATCTTAGCAAGGCAACATGATCTATCTTCTTCAAGAAGTTTTTTTTTTTTTTTGGTTATTTTTCTCTTAACAAAGTTGGAAGAAATTGTATATGAAAAGGTACTTTCTCAACTTCTGTAAAGGATATAGTTATAATATTATTCATGTTTAAATGGAAACTTTTAAATACACAAGCTTATATCTGAGAAACTTTTATATACGAGCTTATATTTGAGAAAAATAAGATTAAACAAATGGATCTGTGGTACAAATGTATTAATCAAAATTAATTTTCTTTCTTTTCTAAAGGTAAAGACACCTTTGAAAAGCGTTACGTATTTACAACTATTCTGCAATATTTAAGAAGAAATCCCAAATGTAGACAATACATCATTATTAAACAAATATGAGTAGAGTTATTGAACAACAGAAAAACATGTTTTTTTTAATTTTAATTTTAGATTTGGGGGTACATGTGAAGGTTTGTTACATAGGTAAACATGTGTAACAAGGGTTTGTTGATCATATTATCTTACCACCCAGGTGTTAAGCCCAGTGCCCAATAGTTATCCTTTCTGCTCCTCTTCTTCCTCCCACCCTCCCCCTTGAGTAGACCCCAATCATGTTGAGACATGATTATTTCCAAAATGAACATTACTCTTTTCCACTAAGGATACTTACAAATTTGAAGTAATAGGGAATAAGATCAACAAATGGGTATACTCATTTATTTATTCATGCCATTGCATTTTTAAAAATCATAATTGGGTACCTAATTGTAGACTAAAACTAAGTTAATGTGACTGCATATGAAAATTATTATAGTCATATTTAAAAGAGCATTTAATCCTGTTGTCCAATTTATGAATGATTTCCACTATATATATTCTTTATTGAGAGAAAATCTTTGAAATCACATTTTGGAATATATTTAAGTTTTTTTTAATGTTTCACAAAATGGAGAAATACAAATTCAGTTAAAAAGTAAAGACAAAAAGAAAAATAATAAATTTCCACTTTCAATATAGTAAATTCTCTTTGAGTACAAATGAATTCAGAATACTTATTTATTTTCTAATAGTGTTTTAAACTTGTATAATACCCCATTATATAAATATGTAGTTACTACCAAAAATATTTCATTTGCCTAGTATGAGAGACACAACAGCAAAAGCACATATGATTTGCTCTGCAAACTAGAAATATGTTGCATAATTCTTTCAGGGAAATATGTTGTTGTTATTGTTTCTTCATAGAATCTCAATTTAGGCTTTTCCTGCAAGACCAGTCTTACTTTTTTTTTTTACAGGATGTATGGCTATTATTTAATAGTTTTGATTTCCATTTAGTTACTAGTCAGTTTCATCAATTGGTTTAGTCAGGGAGCTCAGTCAAAATATGTGGGCTTGTATAGAGATAGCCTAAATAGAAAGGATGGAGAGAAAGAGAGATGGAGAGAGTGAGACTGACTCTACATTTTAATATCACTCAATTTAGAACAGAGCAATACATAATACATACTTTCTAACTTGGCCTTGTAATTATGCCAGGGGAAAAAGGGAGGCCATCTGATCATTTATGAAGAGGAAAATATAGATTTAAAATTGTGAGGGCAGATTATAGAAGACAAACAGAAAAAAAACAGCATATACATTTGGAAGATGTAAGCTTACTTGTTGTGCTGAATGGCAGAATCTCCTGAATCCTTCATTCTCCTTTCTCTAAAATAGAGGGTTCATATGTACTTGGTGAGATTGACATGTTATTCAAATGAGAGAGGACTGAAGAGCCAGAACAGAGATTCAATACTATTGCAAGTATAATACTTTTCAAAATTGAGTGAGTGAGGTAAAGACACTCATTCTGTGCCAGTGGAACTCACATATGGAAATTAGTCCAAAAACCAACTTTTAAAAACTCAAATTATTTTTAGAGATATTTTCATTTTTTGTCTTATTTACTGTTTAAATAATATTTTATCCCAAAAAACTAATAAGTTTTAAAAATCTCCATCCAAAATAAAATAACTGGAGAATGTTCCCAAGGCCTATAGACTATACAATTTGTGATTGCTCTGTTGCAATTTCATTTCTATGTCTCTAGACAATGGTTTGTGACACAGGTTAAATTTGGGAATAGCTATCCATGTGAAAATGTATAGCAACTCCACAGAAGAAAATAAAAAGCATCCCTTGACATTTTTCTGTTTGATTAGCTAATTTTCCCTACTCTCCCCCCTCCTCTGCCAAAACCAAAAGAAAAACCTTCTTATTTGACCTTTCTATGCATCAAGATAGTTTTGGTCATTATTCTTGGATTATATGGGGGAAGCCAGGTTTCTTGAAGAAATTTAAGAAAAGTTTTAAAACTATCTAAGGTAGACATAGATATTTTCTCATAGGAGTTTGGCTGAGCATATATTCTGATTAATTCATAATGGAACTCAGTCTTTGGCTTTATTTTCTTTAGCATTCTGCTACTAAATGTATTGCTTCAAATTATAAGCATTGGGTATACCATAATTATATTCATTTCAAAAGCAGATAATTTTGACACGTGTTTCTGCCACACAGTCAGATTCTGTTAAAACAAAATACTTGTTATATCGAAATGTATTAGAATATTATATGCTATGAGTCAAAAAATAACTTAAAATTTTTTTCATTTCACTTTTTTTTTTGTCCAGATAAATAGACATGTTTATCTGGAGTTTTCAAAAGCAAAAGTTTCATTCATAAAAACCATCACCAATTTTCAAGCCAGAGTGGTATTTTTAATGGCGTTTGTGCCAAGGAAAGCCATTTTAAAGCAGATATACAGACACACATAAACACACACAGAGAGAGATTAAAAACGGGGTTGGGGGCAATTGTATAGTTGGGTTCCACTTACTACTAACTTAGTTTGACGAATGATATCATGTTGGCACAGGCATGTTTAACTTTTAGGATTAATTCTACTTTCTTTGAATGCATCTATCTAGAATGAAGACAAGTGTTTCCTTTGTACAAGAATTGTTTTGACAGACAGCCACAGAAGATAGAGAAATCTATCAGTATGTTTGATTGGTACTTTTTACTACACAGAATTCCTATAACCAGGAAAATGCTGAAGGAAAGGGAGGGAGAGTTGCACATTTCACATTAAGATACAAAAATTAATGGCAGAAACATAAAAAACTGGATCCATATATAGAATGGAGAAAAGACATAAAGTTCCCTCAACATCATAATCCTTGTAGAAGACCAAGTCCTGTTCAGTTCAGGTGACTTTAAATGGAGCTGATTTTTATGGTATCCCCTGGGCTGAGAAAAGAAATTGACAAGGTAACTGGCAAGAAACTAATGTCCTGGATCCAATAGATTTGCAAACTAAGTATTTCTGCATACCTCCACCTTGAAAAACAAGCAGCATTTAGAAAGTGTCATCTAAGTCCTAAGAATACATTAACCATATCACTCATCTAGCACCCTTTCTAAGAAAATTTCCTTTACCTTCACTTACATTTTTAAAAAATCACTTCCATATTTGTAATTCTAGCACAGTTAATATTTAATTTTTCTGCAATATTCTCATGTCTCTCTCCATTCTTAGAGGTCTAATTATATTCAGATTCACACTGGTGGCACTTTCCTTAAATTATTTTTATACTGTAAATATTTTCATATAATGTTTTTAATAATGAGATAAAAACATTTTAAGAAATTATTTTGTCTAAAGATATTTTAACCTATTCAAGAAATACTGATTCAGATTCTGATGTATGGCAGAATCCATCCATCCATCCATCCATCCATCCATCCATCCATTCATCTTTTTCCTAAATTTATCTTCAGCTTTCTCTTAACTCCATTTTTCCTCCTGAATTCTGTTTTCTGCAATTCACATTCTTTCTTATTGTTTTAGCACATTTAAATTCTTTCTTTACCTTTTCCATTTTCTCTTTTCTCTCTCACTCAGTTTAAATTTGAGCTTGAGAAGAGAGAAAGAGAACAAATTCAAAGATTAGCAACCTCTTCAAAACAAAACTTTAATGTTATTTGTGGCATATGAAGAGACATAAATCGCAGTTCATTCTTCTTTGAGGGGAGATTAAAATTTTGATATACATTTAATTGCCATTGTTTGATGGTTTTCTATACAGATACATTAAAATGACTATAACAGCATGAACTTTAATTATTTGGAAATGTGTCTCCACATTGTATCATACTCGAGAATTTAACACAGACTAGCATTAGGCCTCTCAATCCCTTTTCAGAAAATTTGACACTTTAAGATATACTTCCTTTTAAGTTTTAATCCTTATCAAGCAATACTTTGATATGATATGACATTGTTATATGACAAATTAGTTGATTCTAAGTGAATCTGATTTATCTTCCAATTTTGGCTGTTAAGAGTTACAAAGATGTTTCCTTTTTAAGATGTGATAGAATGTAATAAAAACTTACATGTACATTAGTTTAGCTCTATATAGAATCAATATAAACTAATAAAATAAACAATAAGGAATTAAAAGACAAGTGCACGTATATGGTTTGAACATAAACATACGAGTTAGTTTCAAGCCTTGTTCTATTTAATACAATGTTTGAACTTATGAATGTATAAAGGAAAAACACAGCTAGAAGGTAATACAAACACTTCTGATATAGTTCATACAGTTTGAGAAGCTACCTATTACACAATAAGTACACGTAGAACCTAAATGTGAATTCTCATTTTTTGTCAAGCAGTTAGCTCTTGCACTACAAAACGCATCTGTATAATTCACATGCCTGTTCTGTTATTCAAGGACGATTGACATAAGCCTGTGCAGAAAGTTACATCTCATTAACCTCTTTCTTGAGTTTATATTCCCATATCTTCTGTTTCAGCATATTAGTGAGGGAAGCTTGTCATAATGCAGTAACACTTTCTTTCTTAACTTTCAACAAGATTTCTCTCTTTAAAATTCCTTTTTCCAAATGGGGCCCATCCTTTTCACTTTTGGTAACTGTGAGAATTTTAGCTCTTTGCTAACAGTTTTGAAAGTGTGTTAAATATATAATAGTGGCAAAGTGCTGGTCTACAATTATTTTTACTTGTGCTATCTGATATAGTACTTCATGTGGACGTGGTGATACAACACGACACTATTTCATTTTTTAGAAAAAAACTAGCAATCGTTTACCATGTGCTCTGCTTCTATCTTAGATGTTCCTCTCCCTCATGAAACTAAATTGGCACCAAATATAATCCTCTTAGTTATTTAATATTCTATCTCAGAAGAAAGTTGTGGGGTCTGTATTTTTTATGTTCTATACAAAATTCTCTTCAGATATTTACTCCAATCATGGTAGCAGTAGTTCTATCCTCATAAATGTATACAAAAGCATTGAGAACTCAGCTTTAGATGAAGTCAAATTTCTGGAGATTGGAGACTCAATCAGGAAGAGCCCAATAGCAGTAGTCTGCCAGTACCATTATATTTTGCTAGCATACTGGGCTGAAAATCTCCATTCTGTTCATCTGCTCTGGTCCAACTTCAAACATTTTTCCTAAGAAAGGTTGAGAGCTGATTGTTCCAGATCAAAGACATCATCATTTCAAGGCGAGCTATGTGCTTCCATTTCATCAGTATAGTTTCCAACCATTCCACACCAACTTCAAGGCAAGTTGAGCAAGTTCAGAAGCTATGGTTAGGTGGCAATGATATGCTTAAAAGATTATCACCAATAAGTGTCAGATTTCCTAAAGGAACTCAGATTAGTCCCACCACTGGTAGAGGAAATAACACGTGTAGGTATGTTACAAAGGCTAGAATCTGGCTGCCAACAGCAGGTTGAATAGAAACACTGCAGTTCATTCCCCTGTTCTTTCCTATAATGAAGCAATATTTTTTGTCAATTCATAATCTGCTTCATGTAAATACAATAACTAAATCTCCCAATGCAACATTCTGCCTATTTGCTTGGCATTGGGATCTGGGTTTCTTTCTCTCTTTCTCTCTCTCTCTCTCTCTCTCTCTCTCTCTCTCTCTCTCTCTCTCTTATTTAAACTAAAAAGCTGAACTATACCAGTCAATATAAGCTCATTTTCTGATTTTAAAAAAATCTATGATACTTCTGATTTTACTTTAACCAGTTAACCATTCCAAGGCCAGGGCCAGTGCCCCAAATATTCATCTAGTATTTTCCTCCCTTTTTCACCAGTGCATCTGTTGTCAAAGATTATTAAACTCGCACAGGGATTCTTGATTTTCCAGATGAAAAGTTTATAGAATCCCGGCTTTTTCTAATTCCTACCTCCTTTCTCCTCTGCTCCCCATATCCATTCCCTTCTAAACTTCTACCATTCACCAGCTGCTTGGAGAAAAAGGAAAAGCAAAGCGCCAGACTGGAGAGAGGCACTCCAGGGGTGGGTTAGCCCCTCAGAGCACCTGGGCTGTGTCACAGACCCTCATAATCGAAAAGTCAATTTCAAGCAGGTGCGTGCGCCCGGAATCGTCCTAAAAGCCTCTCTGCTGATGACAGGACTCTGACCCCAGTCTGCCCCCAGGAAGGGGCTATAGAAACGAAAGGGGCCTGAATCGGCGCTTTCGCCGCTCCACGGACCTCGAATGCAGCAGGTAAGGAAGTTAACCTGGGAGCTAAGTTGAGGGCGGACACGCTTAACGCGGAGAACCTGGAGCTCGCAAAAGCTCGCAGTTGAGGGCCATCGCGGAGGGAAGTCTTTCGGAAATGCGAATTCTCATTCCAACATCTGCAGCGCTTAGAATTCGCGGACAGAAGCGCACAGCCAAGTGCACACACTCCCGGAGGGGACAAAATGGGGACCGGGAAACGGCCAAAGGGAAAAGCTGTGGGGGTGCCGAGGACTCAGGCACTTGGTTCAGAAATCCCGCACCGCACCTCTCACCCCCGCACAGGGCCAGCGCACGGTGGTCACCCGGTCCCGGGGAGCGGAGCTGCAAGGACTTAAGTTTCACACTCACTTATCTGCAAGCATCGCCCAGCAGGAAAGCCAAGGAAGTCAGGGGAGGGGAGCGGGGAGGTGTTCTCCTTACCTCGGTCGGCTCCCACGGTCAGCACCCTGGCAATCGGCAATAATCCCGAGAGAGTGAGTAAGGCGAGGAGAAACTCGGACATTGTGGTCGCCCGGTAAGGAAGCCTGCGCTGGAGACTGCTCGGCGGCACCTTCGGCCCGGCGGCGGCGGCGGCGGCAGGGGCCGCTTGGAGCCTGGAATCGAGCGGCGTCATTTACAAATGTCACTGGAAATTCTTCAGCTCAATGAGTCCAGCCAGTCAGCCTTCTCCTGCCTGGAGCAGGATGTGGAAGGTGGAGGGATGCGCGCGTGCGGGAGAGAGGAGGCAGAGCGTGTGTGAGCGCGAGCGAGACGCCCGTGTGTCTTGACTTTTCAATGCAGGGTACGTCTGATCTTACATCACGCAAGAGGGGCAGTGAGAGATGCCAGCGGATGGGAATTCACTGATTAATCACCGAATCCACCACACACCCCTTCGTCGTTCACATAAATCACATCTATTACTTAATAAGAGGCATTTAACACAACAGGAAAATACCACCGCGAACGGAGAGCGCCACAAATCACAATTATTTTAATCCCCTTGAAGGGAAAGTAACTCGAAGCTGGTTCTGTGGGGATTTGGGTCTTTGGAGAAGGGAGAGACTTCTGCATTGGCCTGAGCCAGCCAGGCGCCTACAATGCTCCGCAGTTCACAGCCAGCTGAGAACCCTCAGCCGAGCACAGGGCTGCTTCTGCAGGCAAAACAAAGCTTCTCCCTTCGTTCCTCGGAAGCTTCCTTCCCGGGAAGGAAGGACAAGCCAAGGAACAGAGCTTCTCTTAGGGAAATGGTTTCCTCGGCTCTACACAGAATCCCAGTACTTCCTGAATTGCACTTTTAACTTTTATGCTGAGCAGCACCTGGGGACAAAGAGGCAAAATTTAGTGACTCAGCAGAAACAGAAAGCAAAACAACCCCCAAAGTCATTAACCGTTGCGTAAGAAGGGAAGGTTAATGGAAAAGGCTATTGAGGTCCCCAGGCAGGGAACAATAAAGCAACGAATTGGCAGCGTTTTTCTCTGGGGTTCTGTCTTTAAAAGGGTACTTCGAGCCATTTTAAACAGGCTTTGAGGGTTTTGTTGTTTTTGTTTTGTGTTTTGTTTTGTTTTCCTTTTCCATATACTACAGGGGCGGTGTAAGAACTTTCCCGAGCCATCGGAGGCATCAACGGGAATCACTGGAATAATAATATTAGTAAAGTTGTTTTTATGACCACTTAAGTTTACAACATGATCATCCCAGTCCCTAAAATTTTAGTTTGCCATTACAAAGTGGCTACGGAATTAAAACTCAGAAATCTTAATAGTTGTAGACTTACTTTCTTCCTTGTAACATCAGGAATTCTCTTCTAAGAACAAGAGTTGAAAAGGTTTTATATTTAATATTTTGAAACTGGACATGAGTGGAGAGGAAAACTATGAGAAGGGAACAGAACTAAGGAAGAGAACGATTGAAAAGTGAAGGAAGATGCTTTAAAAGCTTTATTTACTTTGCTGTTTGAGACTTATAAGTGAATGCCAGCATTACTATCTACCTATTTATGAGAGTAAAATTATCCAGAAATATCTTTAGATGCTCCTTTGAAGCCATTAAAAACTGGACTAGATGAAAGAACACAGAGATGACTTTGCAGAACATTGTCAATAATCTGTGGATTTCACCTTTTTATTCTTACTCTGTGATTATAAATGTATTTTATGTCACTTTTTCCATGTTTTAAATTATAAAGTTTACTTTCCCTTGAAAATACAACCATTTTGTGTTTGAAATATGACTCCTACATTCAAAAGTGTATGCTTAATTTTTTTTTTTTTTTTTGAGACGGAGTCTCTCTCTGTTGCCCAGGCTGGATTGCAGTGGCGCGATCTCGGCCCACTGCAAGCTCCACCTCCCGGGTTCACGCCATTCTCCTGCCTCAGCCTCCGGAGTAGCTAGGACTACAGGCGCCCACGACCATGCCCGGCTAATTTTTTTGTACTTTTAGTAGAGAAGTGTATGCTTCTTTTCTTCTAAAGTTGTTACATGTCTAATTTTTCCTAGATGTTTTTATTATTTCATAATATAGTGTACAATATAGAATAAAAAGATTTTTTTACATATTTTACTTCATACTGAAAATTCACAAACTTTGAAATGAGTGGCAGAGTTTAAAGAATATGTGTGTGTGCGCGCGTGTGTGTGTGTGTGTGAGAGAGAGAGAGAGAGAGACAGAGAGAGATTTGAATGATGTGCCAAGTAATAAATGTTTCTTTCTCGAGGGTCCACAGACCTCTGTATTGTATGACAAACTTATTCACTGGGACAACGTAGCAGGTGTCTTTCTTACATGATCCCATTCAGTCAACTAGAAGGTCAGCTATTAGGAGATCTGTATCCACTTAACTCTTGGCAAGAAAATGAGGAGTGCTTACAAACCATACTAAGGACATCCAGATTCTTCCTCTTCTGAAAGATTACCACCAATCGCCCTCCACTTCACTGCAAAGTAAAGGAAAGCAGCCAGGAACAGTATGACCCACCAAAGACTTTTACCACATACTAAAGTGCCCCAATGCTATGATTAAAAATCACTAACTCATTCACTTCTGTAGTACGTGCAGCAGCCCTAGATTCCATGGTCAGCTTGGAAAAGGGAAAAGCTAGGAAAGATCATAAGAGTAGCAAATACTCAGGAGATTTTGTATTCTAAATATACAACATTCCAAATACGTAGAGCCTCCTAATAGCCTGTTAAATGAATTAGCCAGAGTAAAAACCATATGATCTTTTTAGATCATCTGGTTGACTTTTTTATTTCATTGAGTGGAAAAAAATCAAAAATGCATTGTCTGCACATTGTGACCAGAATAATAAAGCAAAATAGAATTCTTAAGTAATCACCAATTAAGTCAGTAATCATGAATGACATAGGACTCAAAACAGTTACTATAAAATAGTGATAGTAAATATGGAAGATTAGTTACTAAAGTATAGGCTGGAGCACCAATAAAAGGTAACATGATAAGCCTAATTTCCACTGTGAATTAATCTTAATGAAGTATTATCTATAAAATAAAATTTGCAGCTTTAGGCTGGACACAGTGGCTCACACCTGTAATCCTAGCACTTTGGGAAGATGAGGTGGGAGGATCACGAGGTCAGGAGATTGAGACCAATCCTGGCCAACATGGCGAAGCCCCGTCTCTACTAAAAATACAAATATTAGCCGGGTGTAGTGGCATGCACTGGTAGTCCCAGCTACTCAGGAGGCTGAGGCAGGAGAATCGCTTGAACCTGGGAGGCGGAGGTTGCAGTGAGCCGAGATCGCGCCACTGCACTCCAGCTTAGGGGACAAAGTGAGACTCCATCTCAAAAAAAAAAAAAAAAAAAAAAATTGAAGCTTTATTTTAAGACCATGATTAATAAAGATCTAAATGGTATAAAACCTCTCTCAAAAATTTGGTGAAAGTATAGGTGCTTAGGTATGCACCAGTACTTAAGTGGACAACAACACATGAACTTAAATGCTTGTTAAGAGTTTTTAAGACTAAAATTTATACTAAGGACACTGATTCATACCAAGAAGCCAAAATATGAAATAAACAGATTAAATATTAAGCAGAAAATATATATTTGCTCCAAAACTGAAATAAAGCCGGTGTCAAAATGAAATGGGATAAAATTGTCTGTCCCACATCAAATCTCTTATATAAAGTGGTTCTTCTTCCAGATATTCTTTGAAAATGACCAGTTTATAAAAGAAGATTGGTTTCTATGAGCATCAGTGAGGTTGATAAAAGTGTAGACCAAATTTGAGCTTTAAAATTAAATAATTTGCTCCTAGGTTTTAAATGACCATTGAATGTTAATGGATCATAAATAAATGAAAAGCTTAAGTATAATTTTCTATGAAATACTTTTGTTTCCCCATAATATATGCTTTAATGAAAAAATAAATTAATAAAGTGCACTATTAGTGAAGAGGGAAAAGCTTGAGTGAGCGTTCGAATTTTGTTTGTTACTAGGCTCCATTATAATTTATTCATTCTAATCAGAGTTATTAACACTGACAAGTTAAATTAATTCATCAAACTATAGAATATTATGAAATCTCTCATTAAGATAAATTAAACAAAGTAGAACCAATCATTCTTCCTTTTTGTTTTAAAACAACACATGAATGCTAATTATCAGTCAGTGGTAATCTTACACTTCCCAATTAGAGCCACAGTTTCCATACATGTGATCAAACATCACATTTCATTTCTGCTAACTTAATTATTTTTGTGAGATTGGATTTCTTACTGTAGATAGTAACAATTTGTGCTACACATCTGAACATCGTTAAGTTAGGGAGAGGACGTGTGTCTAAACAAGCTGGAGCTGACAGTCTGTCTCATGGAAGAGATGTGTGTGAAGGAGAGTTGGCCTGAAAGTTAGGTTGCTAAGGATTTCTGCAGCTATCATTGCAAGGCCTGCTAAGTTTCTTACCCTGCCTTTTTCCAGACAGAAAAGTTGCCAGGCAGCAGCAGACACAAGATGAAAAAGAAAGGGAAGAGACTGAGAGAGACAGGGGGCGGAGGAGGTAGAGAGAGAGAGAGAAAGGATTATTAAGGAAACATCATCAGTTCTTTAACTTGAAACAGAGTTACTCTGGACAAAGCCTCTAAGAAAAATAAAAAACTTTAGATGCAAGTTATTTCTCAAACTGCAACAGATCAAGGCACATTTTTAACCGCTTTTCTTCAAAAGTGGGTTCTGTTTTTCAGCATACTGTCTCAATTAGGATACAAAGATTTGGTTGAGATAAATAAGATTTTGGTGTAACTTTAATTTTTACTATTAAGCAATTATTAGGAGGTATGCACAATTGAAAAGAAAATTAAGAGTGATGCAATTATCTAATTACATCTGGAAAGCAAAAATATTTCCAAGACAATTACATTGGTCTTCTCTTTTTATATTTTCAGCTTCTCTTTACTGTTACTATCTGTAAATGTTTTAAGACATAAATATTATGGCAAAAAGCATGACTGAGGGCAATTATAAGTTTCAGAAGACAATATAAGCTTTAAATACTGATTTGATTATTTGGATTTTTTCTGACTCTTGTTTGATAAACTTTTGACAGTAAAAATAAAAGGAGTCTACAGATTTAGACAAAGCCAGCAGAAGACTTGAAAGACTAAAGGTTATATCATTTTTTTCATTTTTTAAGGGATTGACATCCATAATAATAATATAGTCTGAAGATATAAATCCTATTTTGCTCTTTGGATATGTCAAGAGAAGGTACAATTGGTAATATTGCCATCCGTGTGTAGGTAATACAAAAATGTCAACAATTCATCAAATCCTTGTCACTCCACTCACATGGAATTAGCCCTCGGGTTTTAAGTCAGTTGCTGATTATAAGGTATGTTGCTTTGGTACTTTTAGACCCTGACATATGTGTGTTCAATACGAGCTCCACATTGCCTTCTCCAGACCCAGAATAGAATTAGTGTATCAGGTGGAGGGTTGATTGTCAGTGGACATGGTCAGGATGCACTTTGTCTGAATATGCCCTTGTGACATGTTTCTACCTATGAATATTGATCTCTGACCTTCTTTCTGGTCATCATCTTGCTGCTCCTTAATTATAATTAGAGACTTTAAGATTGTTGGAGCTGGGAGGAGCATTCAAATAATCTACTCCAATTTACCGTATTTTGCAAATGAAAAATTTTTAGAGAAAGAAAACGTGACTAGTCTGAAGTCACACATTTTATTAATATCAGAAATACACCTTGAATAAAGCTTCTTGAATGCTTCCCGTATTATGTAGTCAGCTTTGTTGGTATTCTTTTAGTTTTTGTTGTTGTTGTTGCTGTTGTTGTTTGTTTTACTTCCCAGAAGTGGTAGCTCAGAGAATATGAATTTATTCATTCACTAAATATCTATATATTATGTGACAGACACTGTATTTAGCACCATGCATATAGCAATAAGGATAATAAACATAATTCTTGCAGGAACATAGCATATAATCTAAATAAAATATTAATATCATTCTTCTGCTAAAGGACTGACTTTCCAGTATCAGCATGTAAACCATCCTCTCAGAAACCACAAGCATGACACATAAAGGCCACTAATGGGATCACCCAGTAAAATCAATGCTGCATCTTTCTTGGAAAGTGTCTTCTAGTCATAGAGAAAACCCAATTTCTATTTGAATTCAACAGTGAATAAGAAATCACAAAATATATTTAAATCACAACATACTTTGATCTAGAACTTGGTAGCAAGTACAGAAATGTTAAGAACTTTCAGAAATATCAACAGTGATACATGCCTACATGTTCATTAGATTCTACGGACTCTATTCTGTTGTGGGGTCACATAAAATCAGGACAAAAAGAGAATTATAAAAGTCATTCAACTCATTCTTTTATTTGTTTTTATTGTAGCTATTAATGAAGACCTATTTGTGACCCTTTCAAGCATCTTATCCCCTTTAAATAATAATTTCCAACTTCATATCCAATTCATATTTTTTCTTATATTTACTTTTTATGTAGCCTTTAGCATTTTATAATTTTCAACCCCCCAAAAATGTTCTTTCTATATAATACTTTCTCCTATAATAGGCACTCAACGGCAATTTGCCTTACTGTTGATTAATGGCTTTCCACTTCTTCCCTTGAACTTATTTAATATCTCTTATCTCGGCTGTTCCCTGGTCCTTCTGCCATGGAATACATCTTTATATCTGAAGTAATCAGGATACTACACCGACAAAGATAGAGGTTGGGCATGGGCCATGGACAGGGAGCTGAGAAGATGAGATGCCAGAACCCTATGACTTACACATAATATGTATGTTAATAAAATGAATGACTGTTAAAGTGTCAAAAAGTACTTAGTAGCTATATTATCTTAGGCCAAGTTTATTTCTTTTTGTTTTTTACTTTAGAGGGGGAGATTGTTTCCTTTGCTTTTTTTTTTTAAAGAAGAGTAATTATCTTTTTCTATTCTTTTATCAGAAGTGGCCCTCATATAATAAATTAGAGAAAAAAAACAGTAAAGAGAAGCAAAGAAATTTTAAAAAGGAAAGAAAGATGAGAAAAACGTACCTTTCTTCAAAGAGCATCTTGCTTAATTCACACTCAGAATTGCTTTCAGGAGGCTGTCAACAACTCCATTTGGGCACAGTGCCTGTCACAGAGTAAGTATTAAGTAAGTGTGTCATAAGTGACATTTACTTAGAGGAGGGCTTTTAGATTTTTCTAAAGTTTGTTTTAAAGAAAAACTTACAAAACTAACTTCTCTAGAACATTGTTAATTTTTTAAGTAAAAAAAAATTCTCTCAGAAAATGTGTCTTGCCCTCTAAAAGTGTTTTTCTATTATGAAAATTATACTTTTGAATCACAATAAAAATTCAAAAGCAAAAAGGTGCTTTTTAGCCCTAAATAGAATGCCTTAATTTTATGTCAAGTCTCTCTTCATAGAAAAAAAAATGGTGACATTTGGACTTAAATATATTTACCAAGATTTGTAAAAATATGTGACTTTATGGATGAATCCTAGCAAAGTTAAATTACGGTTGAAAGATTATTAAATGCTTTTATAACTTTTTATTGCTACATTCTGCAATGTAAATAGACTTTACCCAGGGTATCATTCATATCATTCTGCAAACCCTACTCTAAAACAACAACCACAAAAATGAGCGTGAAGATAAAGTTATTCTCAGGTATACAACAGAAGAGGTAGGAGAGGATGAATACCTTGAACATAGAATGACCAAGAATATATATGATTATTATTTGGAGTTTATATTTTTCCTTGTGATAAAATGCATTTACTTCTAAAAGAAATGTCAATTTTGTACTTTTAGATGTATATTAATCCTAATTTATTCTAACCTAACTTTTTCTTTTTTTTTTTCTTGGTGAAAGAAAGTGAATAGAGATGACAGGAAATAGTTTCTATGCTCTTTACTGAGCTTTGCCTGAAAACACTATAAAACGAATTGAAAAATAAAAAAGTACATGTATATATAAATATATAATCATAAATTGACTGATATTTGGATAACATGTAAAATTGGTCAAAGGATTGTTGATATTAGTTATCTAAAACTAAGGAGTTTAATCAACTTGGACATTTCCACAAAGATACATATAGCTACTGGGAAAATAGCTCAAAAAAAGTAACATATTCTGTTGATCACATACAATAATATATATATACATATATATACACATATATAACATATATATATATATATATAAAGACATCTAGTCACCAGCCTGAATTTGGCTGTGGAGTTGCCAAAACCAATCATGCTCCAAGCTGTAGGTTGCAAGTGAAAACAAGTTATAGCCTCAGGGATGTCATGGTGACAACTGCCTGTCTCTCTTTGTAGCTCTCGGGCCAGTTTCTTCTGCCCTCTACTTCCCCTTCCACACTTTTTATTTATGATAGTGACAGTTTCCAAGCCAAAATTGAACACATGGCCTAATAAATAAAATTATGGAGCCAGAAGAAGATTATTTCTAATCAAGATTGTTCTGGAAAAACTTATCTTTTTGGCCATAGTAACTACTAAATTCAAGAAGTCTGAGTTACAAGTTACCTTATTTTATTTAAAGTTTGATGCTTTTAAAGTACATCTATAATAACCTGAGATTCTTCTCAAATCATTGCTAAGAGTTGTTGACATCTAACTCAATTTTATGTAAGCAAATATTTAGATATCTTTAATCAAAATGGAAAAAAGGTTAATGTCTTACTTTATATTGTAAACAGGCTGTAGGATTCGATCGTACCGACATGCAGATGTCCCAAGTATCCATTTGACAAATGGCTCTGGAAGTGATTTCATTATTCACAACTGTGATAGTGGTGAACAAGCTAATGAAGGCAGTTAGTACTTGTATGTCCTGTTTTAAAATCAAAAGCACAAATTAAGTTCTCTTGTGTGAAGATAACAGAAATAAAACACACGTGCTCTGAGTGTGGAGCACTGTGAAGTGCTTCAAAGGGAAATTCAGTGGGAGATTGGTGTTTAAAATGCTTAATGGGATTCCTATGACTATCCTGAGGGAATTTAGAGGTTCATTTTTAAGCTGCTGTAATATGATCATATTAAAAGTAAAAAGCAACTTCTTTTAACTATGATTTCAAAGATTAAATGAAACTTCCCCCCACCACCACCACTTTAAAGAAATCACGTTTTGATTTCATTTAGGTGCTATGACAAGTTTTCATTTAGGGTTTGGTTAAAACGAACTCTTAGCTATCTAAACATAGATCAGTTGAAACAACATCTGGTACACAGGCTGCCGGAGTGAATTTTAGTTTTGTCCTCCCCTTCATCTACCCCCCCAACCTTAAAAAAGGTCCCCACCATTTATTAAAAATTCTCTGTGCAAGTGATTGACTAAGTCCTCCTTGCTATATTTCTTAAAAGTAATTTAAATATTCTCATATTATTCTTCTTTAAAACCCAAATAAAAATTAGGTACATGACTGTGCCTTTTACTGTTCTAGACAAAACAGTCTTCAGAAGAGAATGATAATTATCTTGGCATTGAGCTATAATGCAGAAGAAACCTTGTTTAGAATTTTGAAAATGCTCAACACCTCAGCTGTCTACACTATCATGCCTTTATGCTTTTAGAATAATAATTCTCCAAATGCCGTTTAATCACACCTCTTAATATACCTTTATCTTTCACTGGGGAATAGTAGAAGTGTGACAAAGAGTATTTTCATTTATTTTACTCACTTTTGTTCTTTACATAAAAGGTAATATGAAAATGTGCTCAAGGGTCTACACCTTTTCTTCCAAACAAAATATAACTAGAGGAAGCAGATGCTGTGGTTCATAGTACTTGAGTGCCCCCTATAGGATACTTTTTATATTTTTGTTCATGTAGCTATGTTAGCTTTTAAAAACTTACTGCGTTTAATTTTATTTAAAATAAAAATAAAATGATAAAAATGTGCATCTGTGAAATATAAATATGAATATTTTCTTTCCTCATATCCGCCTATCTGAAAAGCCAAAGAAAACTGTCATTTTAACACTTAGTTGTTTCTCTGTTTTTGCTAAATGTTTCCTCTAAAAGTTCTCATTGCCTGCTATTCTGTCTACATTCATAGTATCAATTACTTTATTTCAAAACATGCATTTAAAAATTTATGTCTATTATATCTAGGTATTTCTCTTAATATATCAAAAGAACAATCAACTAGCTATAAGTATTAGAAAATGAAAATGGAATATCCTTGTGCGTGAGGACAGGCAGTTGTTGATATGGTTAGAAATAGAATCTTTGAACTCTCAAGATTTCTTTAATTTCAAGTTGACATCCATGAATAATATTGAAATAGAATGAAAGAATACATATACTTACCTGTTCCTGGCAGTTTGATGGCAAGGTGTGCTATCTTAGATTTCTTGGGTTTTATGAGCCTTTTCATATTTGTACTGTAGCCTGGAATTGAAAGTGGTAGACAAAGCCAGGCACAGTGGCTCACACCTGTAACCCAGAAGTTTGAAAGGCCGAGGTGGATGGATCATTTGAGGCCAGGAGTTCAAGACCAGCCTGGCCAACATGGTGAAACCCTGTCTCTACTAAAAATACAAAAATTAGCTGGGCATGATGGCACACACCTGTAATCCCAGCTACTATGGAAACTGAGGCATGAGAATTGCTTGAACCTGGGAGGCAGAGGTGGCAGTGAGCCAAGATACCATCACTGCACTCCAGACTGGGTGACAGAGTGAGACTCTGTTTAAAAAGAAAAAAACATGGTGGACAAGAGGAGGAAGGAACATATATCTTAACCACTCTGTCATAACCACTCTATCTATATCTGGCTTAAAAACATATTGCAATAGCCTACCAAGGCTGTGATTGTTTTAATTCAGAGTGGCCCACTTAGGTGATAGGACTGTAATTAGATCCTCTCTAAAATAGACTATTGAATTTATATTCCATGTAATGTACTTGGATCCCAAAAACTGTCATTAATATCCTTATCTAGAAAAAGAATATATGCACACAGATAGTCTCCGGCTAAAACCTTTTATTTATTTATTTTTGCTTTGTATTAGTTAATTTCTAAATGCAGAACTGATATAGTGGTAATGAAGCAGTAATATAACTAGGCAATGAAAAGGAGGCCTTAATTTCCTTTCTTGCCTCTCTCCTTTCTATTCTCACTTATTTATTGTGTGCTTGTTTGAAAATCACAGTACCTAGGGATGGGATTACTCTAGTGGAAAGTCATGGCATCTGTTTTCAAGAGCTATATGTCTAATGAGAAAATGGGTCTGAAGAGACTATTAAAAAGTTTCCTGCTAAGTGCTATAAAGGAAGATATCCATAATGTACAGTGGAGGCTTTGATAAACATACATTTATTTTGCTTCCTGTGGAGCAAAAAAGGTATCACCAAGAAGGGGACACTTCAGATGACTTTTGAATATTTTGCTAGGAATAAAAGTGAGGGATGATCATTCTAGCAGATGGAACGGGATGTGTTGAGGCACACATTGCTAGAGAGTAACGTGAAAAATGATTATCTGGAATTTTGAAAAATCAAAGGTGTCAGATAATGCATTTTTAAAGGCATACTAAAGAATTTGCACTTTAAGTTGAAGGCAATAAAAATATCTTATTTGAACATATCAAGAACTAGCTAGGAACATAAAATCCATCCAATATACAGTTGTATCACCTGAAAGTCTACATTCACACTTCCATATATACCTTCTTGGATCTCATCTCTCATTTCTCCATTTCCCATGGTCGAAGCAGCCTAAATTCCAGATTCTTATCACAGGTTGTTAAAGTAATCTTTTAGCTATTAAAAAGTAACTTAAAGAATCCTACCTAGTTAATCCAGTGATCCAGGACAAAGTTTCCCTGACTGCATATTGCAATTCTGGATTCATTTCTAAATTTTGCGCTTACAATCCAAATAATTTGGTCCAATTACTTAATTTCTTCAAACCAGTATGTCCACCTGAGTGGACTAGAGATGATAACACCAGGGCCTCCAATTGGGGTGCCAATTACTGAATCTTGCTGACATCTGCTGTCACTGTGCCAGACCCATCACTTGCAGAACACTCATGGGAATTTCCCAGGCAGCCTGTTGCAACCTGACTAATCTATCTAATGATCTGATCTCTTTAATGATGCCACGCTGTCTAGCCAGATCCACTGTCCACCTAGTCATGTTCTACAAGACACACTGTTGCTCCCAAAGGAGCAGATTGATTTAGTTGGAGACACAAGATACCGACACATTAAAAGAAGGTAACCAGAGATAAAAAGCAGCATATAGGAATTACAAAGTTAAAAGTACAAAGTAAAAGATAAGTAATATAGATTTTGGAAAAAAAAATAAAACTGGTATAAAGGAAACTGTCAGAGTTAGAATTTCAGCTAAGCCTCAAAATATATCTGGTTTTTATAACAGTTACAGGTTATTTTTGATAGAATAATATAAACATTTTAAAATCATGCTTGAAAAAAGTATATCTATTTTTGGGGATAATAAAAATAATCTGGTTACACTATGTTAGAAATTTTTAACCAAAAATTATACAGAATTTTCGAAAGAAATAAAAATTTGTCAATTTCTTATTCTACAAAATGATAGGAATAGATTTTATCTTATTTCTGGTGCTGAAAAATTATAGACTTTTGAAAATGTGCTGGTAACAGGATACATATATTCCAAATTTATTGGAAAACAAAACTAGAAAAAACTTGATAACTGACAAAAAATAAAATAAACAAAAGAGAGACCAAGGAAATACATTTACAAAGGAAGACGATAGATGAAATAATAAGAACAAAGGTACCTACTGGCCACAATAAATATGAATGCATTAAATACTCTAATTAAAATACATTGATTCTCAGATTGAATTTTTAACATTTATCTGCATGTTGTTTATTTTAAATATTTTTGTTCAAAATATTTATTGAATACACTCTATGTAACAAATAATGTGTGAAAATCCGGGAATATAATGGTTAACAAGATATCTATGTATTTTTCTTTCAAAGAAAAATAAAGAAATATTTCCTTGATTAAAAAAGAGGCAAATAAAAACCTACATGTTTAAGAGGAGCAGTACTTATATCAGAAACAATTGAATTCTTCCCATAGAACATGAATTAATAAAAAGAGAATACATTATATTGATAAAAGTTAAGTAAAAGTAATTATTACCTCATATATATCTTTCAATGTAGTTTCAAATGCAAAACATATAAAGCAATGATCAAATAGGGGATATTACAACAGTTTAAACAAAGATTTGATGGCTTTGTTTGAAAGATAACTGAGGTCATATTTGCTCAGAATTTATGAAATGTGGCACAAATCATTATGATTTTGATGAAGAAAATTCATACTATGTGAATAGAAATTAAAACTTTATTTCTTCTCAATTTACCCTAAAATATAATATAATCTCAAATTAAATTCTCAGATATTTTTTTCATTTGGAACTTGACCAAATGCTAGTAACATTAAATTAGAAATAATAAATACCTAAGAATTGCTAAGAGTCATTAACAAGAATAGAAGCACAGTGGTGATATTTGCTCTAGAAAATAGTATAGGAAAATACAAGCCATACCAATTAAAGAATAAACTAATGATGTAGAAATAAGCAGAAAGACTAACTAAACAGAATAGAAATTCCAGAAGCTACTTTAAACTGAAGAATACAGTATATCATAATAGGAGCATTTCAATACATTGTGCAAAAGATGACTTGAACAATTTACAAATTATTGACAGACTTTTCATGTAAATACTAACACATTCTCTACTTTAAATAGCCACATACTAAAAATTACTTTTAAAATGCCTGTGTCCAAAAGAAATTAGCAAAGCTCACAGAGTCAAGTGCAAAAACCAACCACAATAGATAAGACTTTGCAAAATGCCTTGCAAAGAGATTCCAAAGTCAGGTTTAGGAATTTCTTAAATATTTTAAAGGCAGAGAGCAAATTCGATAATCATTTGGGATTATGTCTGGCCACTGTCCAAAAACTGCATTAAGGGGTGTAAAGAAGTCGGTAAGAAGACTAAATTAATGTCCTCTGCCTAAGTCATTATTGGGAAGGCTTTAAGAATATTCCAACTGCTGGCTAAATATGCAACCTGTAGTTTCAATTAGCTACTCAGTCCAAAATCTGGCAGATTGTAGGCATTTTATCAATTCTAAATATCCCAGAACTTGGGAACTATAGAACTGATTAATTTTGTTTTCAGTTTTGCAATTTACTAAATAGAATCTGTAAATAACTAGAGGGAAGGCAAGTATATATGAGAAACTGCTGCTCATTACTTGACTTCCATTTTTGGAAGAATAAATATATACAAAATAAGGAATTTAATGTAATTTCTTTCTCAGTGTTTTCTTCAGAAGAAATATTTTAATTCAAAGGCACTAACAATGTCATGGCAAGACTTTAAGGGGGGCTATCTTCCTCTAGAAATGGAATAGCAATGGTAAAAGTATGCATTTGATAAACAATATTGTTCTCTGAATGAAGACTTCCAGAGTCAAGCTTCCAGACTATGTATATAATTTACAAAGATGCTTTCAGATGGTAGCAAGCCCACTGTGAAAATAAACTATAAGAAGGGATCTTCAAAACTGTGAGTAGGCCGGGCTTGGTGGCTCATGCATGTAATTCCAGCACTTTGGGAGGCTGAGGTGGCAGATCACCTGAGGTCAGGAGTTCGAGACCATCCTGGCCAACATGGTGAAACCCCGTCTCTGCTAAAAATACAAAAATTAGCCAGGCATGGTGGTGGGTGCCTGTAATCCCTGCTACTTGGGAGGCTGAGGCATGAGAATCACTTGAACCCGGGAGGTAGAGGTTGTAGTGAACCAAGATCGTGCCATTGCACTCCAGCCTGGGCAATAAGAGTGAAATTCCATTTCAAAAAAATGAAACAAAACAAATAAGAAAACTGTGAGTAAGTAGCAAATGAGAGATCTATTTTATTATGAGAACAGCAAGTTCTTTGAGTGGAAGACACAAAGCAGTAGTTATAGGATAATGGGTTCCAGCCTTTCAGTCTTGACCCTGAAATTCACCTGGGAAATATCAGTGATGAAAGAGAGCACTGGGGTAGGATCCAAAAAATCTGGTTTCTGTAGATTACAAATCAATTAATATGATGTCAGACAAATGATTAAAACATTTTGACCATCAGTTTTTCACAAACTGCAGATAATAATATCGATTTCATTGAGTTGTTAGTATATTTACATGAAATAATGACAGTGAATGCACCTAGTAGAGTGCTTGGCAAATGGCTGAATTTATTTCTTGAGTCCAGTCACTAGACATGTCAAGCCATTGTACCATCCTAACTAAAAACATAAAAATAGAAGAGTCTTCAGGATTTTAGTCATAAATACGAAAAGATCATTTAGATCTCATAAAATTTATAAAAGAAAATATTATAGCTCTATCACACATTAAAAATGAAAGATACTAATAACCGTCTAGGTGGGCCATGGTTTTCAAACAAGGCTGTAAATTAGGATCACCCAGGAACTTTTAAAAAATAAAGATGCTACTGCCCTCAAAATTTCTAAAATCATCATTCCATGGTAGGCTGGGAATACTTTCTTTGGTGTTGCCTGTGTAGATCTGACATGCACCTTGGTTGAGAACACTGAATGTAGGTATAAAGATACAAACTGCAATATAGTGTGAAAAAGAAGAGGTGGCAGAATATTCATTTGGGAGAGAGACAGAAAGCTGCCAGAATTAGCCGGGCACGGTGGCTCATGCCTGTAATCCCAGCACTTTGGGAGGTCGAGGCGGGCAGATCACCTGAGGTCAGGAGTTGGAGACCAGTCTGGCCAACGTGGTGAAACCCCGTCTCTACTAAAAATACAAAAAAAATTAGCCCGGCGTGGTGGTGCATGCCTGTAATCCAACCTACTTGGGAAGCTGAGGCAGGAGAATTGCTTGAACCCTGGAGGCAGAGGTTGCGGTGAGCTGAGATCGAGCCACTGCACTCCAGCCTGGGTGCCAGAGTGAGACTCCATCCCAAGAAAGAAAAAAAAAAAGAAGAAGAAGAAAAAGAAGAAAGCTGCTAGAATTAGGATGAAGTTTGGATAATCAAGAATTTAGAAGTGAAATTTCAAGTATCTCTCTTTCGATGAAAATAATAGAAGTGGAAAGGGAAAGGAATGGGGAGCGGAGGCTCTGACTGACAGCAATGATGACTTTATAAAGTGAATTACCTGACGAATTGCTTTGGCCCAAGGAATGGTACAAAAAGAGATTCAACAGAATCTTCTATCAGCCGAGTTAAAATTAGACCAGTGTGTGTTCTAGGAAAGTTAGGTACATGCAAAGCGTCTTATTCACTATATTTTGCTTTAATGCCATAGAATAAATGAGATCTGGTAGGATAGCCTAGATGACGATCACCATTTCAACACATAAGAGTTCAAAGATGATGTCTCTGATAACAATTTCTAGTTCTGCGAAGAGGCACCAGAGACTGATTATGACGAGCCATTTTACCTCACTATATTTTATAGAGATTATCTTCTGGCTTGCAGAGGTTGCTACTGTTTACAAAGCCAGATACTAGGTGCCTCTACCCTTAGGATTCCTAGTAAGCCAGAATTTTATTTAAAAAGCTGTTTTCCCCCAATGTACCAAGCTAGAGTGTTTGCTGATGCTTTTGTCAGCATGCTCACAGCTGCTCACCTTACTTGAAGTTATACTTGAGCATTCCCCTGACGTGTTCTGTTTTGCACTTTTTGCGCACTGTTGATTCTCTTCAGTTTCACATATAAAACCTGTTCATGAAGTTGCTCAGCTACCATTTATCTCTTGCACATATCCAGTCCAAGAGAATGACATTAAAATGAGTATTATGCCAATGTTAACAGACTTGAGTGGTACCCACGATGTTTCTGGGAAGACCAGTGGGAGATCTATGTCTCATCTTTAGAGAAGGTAAGATGCAAAAGCATCTAGAGACACTGAATCATTTTAGAATGATTCTCTGGGGACATTCTCTTGCAGCTGCTTATTTTATCAAAAAGAAATATAAATATCCAGAGACTTTATGGAAATGTTCTTAAGTTTACATCGCTAGTTAGTAACAGAACTGATGCTGGATTCCAGATACTGTGCCAATATTCTAACCCAACACCACATTACTGTTATACCACATTACTTTCCTACTGGCAAATCTGTAAGAGAAAATGAAAGTAAGTTATTAAAGCAAAATGCCTTTTCTTATTAAGGATTAAAACCTGATAGCAAGGGCAATTTCCGAACACGAGTATTTAATAACAGCTTGAAGTTTTCAAGAGAACTTCTTGTGCATAAGAATGTGTGGTATGTTGACTGACAGGGTTATTACAGCACGGAGACATCCCTAACAAGAACTAGATTTAAATAGAGTATATGGCAATTATAATGTGTCAGTGGCTAATGAGGCATCCTCTATTCTAAAGAAGAATCAATTCTAGGAGTCTTTACTAACACAGATAAAGCTGCACGTTCACACCAAAACTTGATATTACTTGTTCTGCAGTTGGCGTGGTTATGCTGGTAAAATGTCTATTTTACCACATATATGGATTTAACAGTGAAATCCTAATTTGGTAAGGCTTCATTGGTCAATCTTTGGATTCATAGAGTAAATTCAGTCTTACCTGATCTGCAGGCTGCCCTGTGTAACTTCCTGGCCAAAGAAAGGTTTCAAAAATATTAGCAATAATCAATATCACCTCAAGGAAAGATAGTGACAATAATATGATTATTGTCAACATATAATTTTGATGTCAGTGTAAGGTCGTTGGTCTCAGCAGTGATAACCTCATGATCTTTCAGTTTCTCCAGAAATGTCCATAATTTTATGATCTCACATTGACTTTTCAACTTTTTAAAATCTGACTTATGTGTTACCAAACCACTAAAATTTATTTCACTGAAATCACCAGTCTTTTTAGTTTTCATGATCTAATCCAAACACATTTTCATGATCACACAAAATTTCATGATCAAATCCAAACAACACATTTCATTTAATTTCCGTGGAACATTTCGGACCTTTATTTTGAAATGCTTTTCTTCCTTGACTTCTGTAAAACTCTCTTCATTATTTTCTTAATTCAATAACAGGTTCTTTCTTCCTAGATTCTCTTCCTTCTTCTATGATTCAGTGCTCACAGAAGATCATAGTGAGACTTGTACTTTATTTTCTCTTTTTACTTTAATTTGCTCTCTAGCTTATTATTTCCACATCTGTGGGGCTTGGACATTTCCCGTTTCTATATAGCCTAAATATAGTCTAAGCATCTCTTTTCTCTCTCACTCTCTCTCTCTCTCTCTCTCTCTCTCTCTGTGTGTGTGTGTGTGTGTGTGTGTGTATGAATCTACAGATATGTATTCGTGTGTGTGTGTGTGTGTATATATATATAAATCTATTCTTATAAACACATTTAAACACCTTTTGGGCAGAGATTTTTTCCTAAACCAATTATTTTCACCTCTAGCCCACATTTCTCATTACAGGGAATGTCATTTATGCTGTCCCCAAGCCAGAAATCTAGAACCATCTTAGAGTTCTCCCTATTCTTCACTGCACATTTAGTGGATCAAATGAACATTCAAGGTTTCCTCATTCTCTGTTATAAACATAATGTGTATATGTCATTTACACTCCAAATCCACTGCTATAACCCTACTTCAAGTACTAATTGCTGCTCACCTAGACCCTAAAATAATAGACCCTAAAATAAACTCTTGTCTATTTTATTTTCCAGCTTCGTTCCTTTCTAATTGGTCTTCTACATTACTGCCAGCATAATCTTTCATTCTGTAAGAAAAAACTGAGTGAAATGTCCAGTGTCATATTTACTCACCATGTGACCTAAACAAGTCATTTACATCCTCTTGGCCCCATTTTCCTCATCTGCAAATGCAAATATTAGTATCTACTAAAATTATTGATAAATATATTCCTTGACTTCTTGAGCCAGAAGAAAAAATGTAGGCATCATCTCATTTACCAACTCAATCTATGGATAAGAAAAGACTAACGTACCCTTTGTTTGCTCAAGGTCACAGAATGATTTAATGTAAAAATAGGAATAAGTTATCAATCTCCTGGTTCTTAGTCCAGTGTTCTTTCAATTCACCTACAGGCCTTTAAATATGTATCATGCATATTATGTCATACTGTTAAAGATGTATTGAAAAGGATGTTCTCAATATCCCGTGATAAAACTTTATAAATATTGATTATTGAACAATAGCCTTAGAAGAAATTTCTTTGAATTAATCACACTAAGCTGGCAGCTACACCTTAGTCCATCATTTTGTCTTATTGTTATCTTCAGCTTTTGCTTAATGGACTCCAGAATGTTACATATATCTTTTGCTCAGTAGGCTGAGTGAAAACAAATACTAGATGAGGATTTCCGTCTAATGAGTGAAGCATGCCGGAGGCATGCACAGGAATATATATCACCCTGCCACTGGCTGTTTTAGGGTAAGATGCACTTTCTTCCTACGTTCCCAAGGTAGAACAAACAGGTCATTTGACAACGATGTTCAAGATTTATTGTATTTTATCTAGTAAAGATAATCAACATATAGAAATCAACCTCTATTGCTTTTACAAACAAGCAAAACCCACCACCAAGAGCAATCACCAGCGAATAGTTTTGGGAAAATGTGGATACAATAAATAATTCATGATGACTTTTCACATAATCTTTTTACTTTCTGAGTGGCTATGTTTCTTGATACCAAAATTCTCCCTTATGAACACACATACTTCTTATTGTATTACTTTAAGCCTAAACTGCTAGAATATACTGTTTACCTACATAGACTGAAAGAGGGAATCTAGTTTGGAAAATTGCAAAGATTATCAAAAACTGTTAAAATCCCTTCTCCTCCTCCTCATCATTATCATCATCACCCTCATCATCCTCATCATCATCACTATCATTGTTGTGTCATTTTATATGTTATTTACTGAATGCTTAGTATGTGTCTGACTCTGAGCTATGTACTTTATATGCATGTACATAAATAACCAGTTATTGTAGGCGTTATGTGGGTTCATTTTACAAATTAAAAAAAGAGAAAACTAAAGAAGGTTAAGTATCTTGTGCATGGACCCATCGTAGATGGTGGACCAAACTCAATATTATTATTATTATTATTATTATTATTATTATTATTATACTTTAAGTTCTAGGGTACATGTGCACAACGTGCAGGTTTGTTATATATGTATACACGTGCCATGCTGGTGTGCTGCACCCATTAACTCGTCTTTTACATTAGGTATATCTCCTAATGCTGACCAAACTCTTAATTCCTATGACTTAAGTGCCTCTCTCTCTCTCTATCTCCACATCCAAATACTAAAGTGTACGTCTTTTTTTTAAAGAAAAGTAATCATAACTTTTGGAGGAAATTTATCTTAAGAAAAAAATTTAATTCTATATGCAGGAAGAGGCACATTACAGCAGAATCAAAAATATAAAACATTTTTAAAGTGCAGAAAATAAATAGTTCAGTATAATATGGGCATATGAATTTTCTTAAGTAATAAGCATCATTTAGCCTTTGTGAAAATTTCCTAGCAACATGAATACACGCTTACAATAAATAGTAAATGAAAAGTTCAGAATACTTATGTCTACACTAAAAATATAATCATGAAGACCATACTGGATATTTAGATGAGTGAAGAGAACAGGGAATAGTGATATGCAGGGAACATTTTCTGACTGCTCTTCTTTGATATTATTTCTGATCCTCTTAAAATGTAGTTTTTGAAATAAATACCTTAAAAAATTTAACTGTTAACTTGATAGATTATAACAGGTGATAAACATCGTTAAAGATTTCCAAAGAAAAGTGACATTTACGAAGGAGACATTTTCTTAGCAGTACCAATTTTGTCATCTTTTTCACAGAGATAAGGAAAATTACTCTACACCTTATTTGGTTTAAGGTTAGCTATTGTTTTGTTCTAGTTTCTCTTCATTTTTAAATATTTTTGGTTCAAAAATTAAAACTCTTCACTATACTCTCCAAAGGTAATGGAATTGAAGGGGACTTCAAAATTGATAGGAGCACAGGAATTCCTAAGATAATAATATCTTACATTTTATTTTCATAAATATATCAAGGATATTGTGTGAAAAATGTTTCTCTCATACATTGATGCTTATTTTGAGAAACATTTTTCTAGCAGAGTACAACAAAAAGTGGTATGACAGATTTTATGCAAATCAATCTGTAGTTCATATCCATACATTTGAATAGTGTATCATTTGCTGAAAGTTTCTTCTAGTAAGGACCCTTTAGATATTTATAAGTGATATAACTTCCCAAATGTTCTCAATTACTCATATACACCTTCAAACTAAATTTTTTCTGTAAAAACTCAGAATAGATTTATTAGAGAGGGAGACTTAATGGAATATTATGTGTAGCAATAACAATGGATCCTGAGAAGCGGAGATCTGTGGAAGTCCTTGCCAACTGAGACTGAACCCAGATCTAAGATTTTGAATAAGTCATCTGGACTGGTACTAAAATCACTAAGTCATAAAATGTTCCTCCCAAGAACATTTGCGCTCCCATGTTCTACTACTATTTGCATTCATTCACAAATTATTGAGCCTAATACAAAACACCAAAAATCAATCAATTTGTTTTAGTTTCTGCATATGGCTTTTAAAAAGTATTAGGTAAACTTAGTCAAGGATGAAAACAATATTCAACATCCCTATTTTCTATATTTTATGAGTTTTGCCATATTCAATTTGTCTGTTTTTAAAAATTTTAATAGCAGTTTTATGAATATATAACAAATACTATGAAATTCAACCAAAATATGCAGTTCATAGTTCTTTTTCTTTCTTTCTCTCTCTCTCTCCTTCCTTCCTCCCTTCCTTCCTTCCTCCCTTCGCTTCTTCTTCTTTCTCTCTTTCTTCCTTTTTTTCTTTCTTTTCTCTTTATTTCTTTCTTCTTTCTTTCTTCTCTCTCTCTCTTTCTTCTTTCTTTTTCTTTCTTTCTTTTCTTTTCTTTTCCTTTTCTTTTCTTTTCTTTTCTTTTCTTTTCTTTTCTTTTCTTTTCTTTTCTTTTCCCCTCCCTCCCTCCCTTCCTTCCTTCCTTCCTTCCCACTCCATCGCCCAGGCTGGAGTGCAGTGGCACGATGTCTGCTCGCTGCAGCCTCGACTTTCCAGGCTCAGGTGATCCTCCCATCTCAGCCTCCCAAGTAGCTGGAACTACAGGCTGGTGCCACCATGCCCAGCTATATTTTTTCATTATTATTTTTGGTAGAGACAGAGTCTCACTATGTTGCCCAGGCTGATCTCGAACTCCTGGGCTCAAGCAGTCTGCCTACCTCAGCTTCTCGAAGAAATGGGATCACAGCTATGAGCCACTGCATCAGGCCCAGTTCACAGTTCTTGAAGTGAAGTGTGTCGTTACAGGTTTGTGCAATGATTACCATTGTCTTCCTTAAAAAATTTTCATCACCCCAAATAGAAACCCTTTACCCATTAACTGTCACTCCCCATTTTCCCCCTTCTCCTATCACTGGCAATCACTAATTGAGTGCCTGTTCCTATGAATTTGACAATTCTGGGCATTTCATATACATGGAATTATGCAATATGTGGACTTTTTTGACTGGCTCTTTAGCTGAGCATGATGTTTTCAAGGTCCATCCATGTTTTAACATCTATCGGTGCCCTCCTTCCTTTCCATTGCTTAATAAGAATAGACTTTGTGGATATCCTATGTTTTGCTTATCCCTTCAGCAGCTGATGGATATTTAGCTTTTTTTTTCACTCTTTGGCTATTATGTATAATGCTGCTGTGAACATTCACTTACAGGTTTTCGTGTGAACAAATGTTTGAAATTCTCTTGGGTATATACACTGGAGAGGAATTGCTGAATCATATAGTAACTCTATATTTGGCTTTTTAGGAAGCATCAAACTGTTTTTCAATGTTGCTGTATCATTTTACAATCCCACCAGAAGTGTATAAAATCCCAATGCCTCTGCATATTTATCAACAGTGGTTTTCTTCCTGTCTTAAAATTTTAGCCATCTGAGTGGATGTAAAGTAATACCACATTGTGGTTTTGGTTTGCATTTTTCTAATGACCAGTGACATTGAGCATATTTTCATATGCTTATTGGCCATTTATTTATTTTTTGTCTTTAAAGAAATGCCCTATTTGAATCATTTTCACATTTTCATTTGTGATGTCATTATTTTGTAGAATTGTAAGGGCTGCAAAAAATATTTGAAATACATGACCTTTATCACTTATAGTATGAATAAAAATATGCTCCCAATCTGTGGTTTGTCTCTTCACTTTCTTGATGGTATACTGTAAAGCACAAAAGGTCATAATATTGATGAAATCCGATTTATCCCTTTTTTAAATTTAGTCCCCTTTTCTTTTAGTGTCAAATCTAAGAAGCTATTGCCTAATCCAAGATCATGGATTTTTTTGTAAGAGTTTTATAGATTTTAGTTCTTACATTCAGGTTGATGACCAATTTTGATTTAATTTTTGTGTATGGAGTGAGGTAGAAGTCAAACTTCATTCCTTTCCTGTGGAAATCCAGTTGTTCCAGTACCACTATTTGAAAAGGCTTCCCCCCCCCCCAGTGAGTCATGTTGGCACCCTTGTGAAAAATTAATTGACCATAAATGTAAGAGTTTATATCTGGAAATTTCATTCCATTGATCTATATGCATATTTTTGTGCCAGTGCCACATTGTCTTTATTTATTAAAGTTTGTAGTAAGATTTGAAATCCGTATGAGTCCTCTAACTGCATTCTTTTTCAAGATTGTTCTTGCTATTCTGTGTCCCTTGCATATACATATAAATGTTTGGATGAGGTGATTCCTTTGTGCCAAAGGAAGGCTGGGTTTTTTATAAAAACTGAACTGCATTATTGTTCTATTTTGAGGAGCATTACCATCTTAACAATATTACATTTTCTGATCTATAAACGTAAGATATCTTTACGTTTATTTAAGCATTTTTTAATATTTTTCAACGTTTGTAGTTTACAGTGTACAAGTCTGCACTTCCTGTTAAATTTATTTCTAAATGTTTGGTTTTCTTCCTTTGGATGATGTTCTTTATTGCAAGTGCATAGAAATAAAATTGATTTTTATACATTATTCTTGTATCCTGCATACTTTATGAGCCAGTTTATTAGTTGTAATAGATTTCTTAGTGGATTAATTAGGATTTACCATATACAAAATAATGTCATTTGCTGAAAGGGATAGTTTCCAATCTAGGTGTCTTTTTCTTATTTTTCTTGTCATATTATTCTAGCTGGGACCTTCAGTACAATGTTGAATTAAAAATATTTGTTGTGGCCAGGTGCAGTGGCTCACACCTGTAATCCCAGCACTTTGGGAGGCAAGGCGGTCGGATCACGAGGTCAGGAGATCGAGACCATCCTGGCTAACATGGTGAAACCCTGTACCTATTAAAAATACACAAAATTAGCCGGGTGTGGTCGCGGGCACCTGTAGTCCCAACTGCTCCGGAGGCTGAGGCAGGAGAATGGCGTGAACCCGGGAGGCAGAGCTTGCAAGTGAGCTGAGATTGCGCCACTGCATTCCAGCCTGGGTGACAGAGCAAGACTCCGTCTCAAAAAAAAAACAAAAAAATTGTTAATTTTATTGAGGATCCCTTATATGTGATGAGTTGGATCTCTTCTACTGCTTTCAAAATTATCTCTGTTTTTTGAGTTTGATTGTGATGTGAGTAGGTGTGTAGTTCTTTGAATTTATACTAAATGGATTTCATTGAACTTTTTGTATGTGCAGATAAATATTATCATCAAATTTGAGAGATTTTGAACAATGAAAACACATGGACACAGGAAGGGGAACATCACACTCTGGGGACTGTTGTGGGGTTGGGGGAGGGGGGAGGGATAGCATTAGGAGATATACCTAATGCTAAATGACGAGTTAATGGGTGCAGCACACCAGCATGGCACATGTATACATATGTAACTAACCTGCATATTGTGCACATGTACCCTAAAACTTAAAGTATAATAATAAAAAAAATTTTGAGAGATTTTAAGCCATAAATTCTTCATATATTCTTTCTACCCCTTTCTTCCTTCTCCTTCTGGATATTTTATTATGGATATATTGGTATGCTTGACGGTGTCCACAGGTTTCTTAGGCTCTGTTCATTTTCTTTACTTTTTTTTTTTCCTTTCTCTTCCTCAGACTAGATAATCCCCATTGGCCTATATTCATGTTCAATTATTTCTTCTGCTTATAGCTGAAATCTATTTCTAATTCCTCTATTTTATTTTCAATTATTTTAATTTAAATCCAGAATTTCTATACGGTTTGTAAAAAATAATTTATATCTTTGTATCGATATTCTGTACTTGGTGAGGCATCATTCCATACTATAATTGTTTAGACAGTTTTCTTTTTTTTTTGGTCATATTTATAATAGCTGTTTAATGTCTGTCTTGTCTAATGAGTCTAATACCTGGGCTTTTTCAGGAACCAGTTTCTTTTGACTTTTGTTTTTGTTTTTCTGTGTATGGGTTATACTTTCCTGTTTATCATGTCTTATATATTTTTGTTGTTTTGTTTAAAAATGGGACATTTAAAATAATATAATGTTGCAACTCTGAAAATCTAAGTTCTGTGCTCTCGCATTCTATGCTTTCCTATGGGTTATTATTGTTGCTCATTGTTGTTGGTGGTGATTGTGGTTACATTTTTTTGTTTTGAGACTTTCCTCAACTAATTCTGTAAAGTCAGTCTTTTCATTTGAAGCTACTTAAGTTTCTGTTCAAGTATGTATGTTAGTGTTCAGATGACGACTGGACATAGATTTCCTTAAGTGCCTGGAACCACCTTCCAGCCTTTGCCAAGGTGTTCTATGCATTGGAGCATGCCTGCAATGCACCAGAAGACAGTATACAAGTCTGCCTTTTAGCCTTTATTTCCACTTGTGCAGAACCTCAAGTTAACCAGGGATGAGAGATTAGAGCCTTCTCAGGACTTTCCTTCTAGAGTCCCAGGAAAATGTTGGTGCTTTTCAAAGCCCTGTATGGATATCTAATTCTCTAACCTTCCTTTTTAAGTTTTTTTTTTTTTTTTTTTTTTTGTCAGATTTTTGTTAGTCTCAACTGTTATCACCACCTCAGGGATCTTTAATGTTAAATAATTTTACCTTTTGGCTTTGACAGATGTCTAGGGAAAAGAGTGTTGGCGATGCCTGAGCACTGAGTCAGGTCAAAGGAAGTCAAGCCCCTGGGTGGGGGATCTAGAGAACTGCTAGACAGGTCAAATCATCATATTATTTTGGAACGGGGCTTTTTGTGGGGCTCCATATGGGAAAAGTTATAATGGAATCCTTTCTTTACAACAACTGACATTTTGAGAATAATATTTAAAAACTCAATCAAAAATGTAGGCAATTATGTTTCAATTTTGGAAGTGGAAAGTCTTTTAAAATAAAAACAAAAAGATCTAATTCTAAATTATTGGAAACAATCTGCTGATATAAAAATTAAAAATATTTTTATCAAAACATGACTTAAAAATGAAAAGATAAGTTATAAATGGTGAACATATATTCCAAGTCACAAAATTGACAACGGATTGTATAAAGAATACCAGTCAAATTTAATGAACTAGAACAGTGTACAAAAATGAGTGTTACAAAGAGAAAATTATAATTTCCTACATATTATATACAGTAAAATGTCTTTGTAAAATGAGGATAAAGGAAATACTCCTTTATCCTCATAAGAATGTAAAGCAATATTATGATTGCATGTAACTTACAACAGAGCCTTAAAATATTTAAAGTAGATATGGTAGAAATACAAAACTGAAATAGCCAAAATATACCTACTTAGATGCTGAGAAATGAAATTAATTAAAAATGATCAAGAACACAGAAGGTGTAAACAACATTAAATAAAAGCTTTGTATGATAGACACATATGAAAACTTGTATCTATTTTTGTTAACTAATTTTTTCGTTAAACAAACATAGGTAATTTTTAAAAACTGACCAGTTCACAAAACATTTCATAATAAAGTGCATGTTCTTTGACCATGACAAAATAAAATTAACAGTTAATTCTACATAGTAGCATATGTTTAGAATCTTAAAAGAAAAAGAAAAAGCTTGTTTACAATTCTAAAAAATTAAAAATGGAATTCTAAATTATTTTTATTTGAAATATAATAAAAGCAAAAATTATCAAAATTTGTAAATATAGATAATGCAGGATATTGAAAGCATTAAGCACATTTATAAAAAATCAATAAATGAACTAAATGAACTATGCATTCAACTAAAAAACTAGAAAACAACAAAAAAATTACCCATGATGAACCAAAAGAAAAGAAATCAATAAAAGCAAAAATCAGAGGTTAGAAAACAATACAGTCCAGGTGATCAAACATAAGAGCAACATCAGAAGTTGATTCACTGAAAATATTCTATTAGAAACAAAAGTACAATTTTAAAAAATATTAGAAGCCAGAAGAAGACATAGTTACAAAGTTTGCAAAGCATTTTAAATATTTAAGAAGTCTAACTCAATAATAATACTTGAATATTTTGAACAAATGAATAATCATTCAAGGAAGGAAACATAAATCATTCAAAATTGATGCAAGGTAAAAAGTAAACTTAAATATTATAATAATAAAGTAAATTATAGTGGTAGTCAAGTATTTTACAAAAGAGGGACAATGCCTTATAAGTTTTTGTTCCCTAAGCAAGTGATGATCAATAATTCATATCTTACACACAATGTCTCAGAGAAAATAATAAATAGGAAAACGATTCGACTCATTTTATTATTCTGGTATACCATATTATAATTGAACAAAGATAATATAGGAACAAGTTATAGGTTTTTTTACTTACCGACAGTGACGAAAAAATCTTAAATACAATAAAACATTATAAATCAATGCAGCATAAGATTGGGAAAGAGGGAGAAAGGAGGGAGAGAGAGAGAGAAAGAGACACAGAGAGAGAGGTATTAATGCATAATGTATGTTGGGCAGGTAGAACTTATCCGAGAATATAACGATGGTTGGATGTTAATTAAAAACATTGATTTTTTCACAATTTAGAGGATTCTATAACCACAACATAATTGCAGATTTGATTAATTTAATGCACCCATATTTAAAAATTTCTAGCAAATTGGAAAAAGAAGGAATCTTTCTTAGCCTGGTAATATATATTATAAAAAGAAGGAAACAAAGTTCCCCTTGTTTTTGTATGATATTTTTTCCAGATATAACCAAAACAATTTTAGAACTAATAATTTTATATTATTAGAGAATTTACACATTCTAGTAAGTCAGAGATTTTGGATACAAGATAAACTAAAAATATAGAGCATTCCTATACAACAATCAATGTTCTTTTCCAAATAGCAGCAAGGACTGTAAATTTCCCACAAAAATATCTAAATGTTGGCAAAGTTGATTATATAAATATAATAAACAGTGTTATAGACTCACATAATATAATAAATGAAAATATAACTCATATCTTCTTTGAGAAGACAAACAGCATAAAGAAGTCAATTTTTCACAAATCTTAGTATGTACATTTGATAATATAAGTTGAACCATCTGATATTGCCAATATTTAACCATTTTATATGCACAAACATTATAATGTGACAAAATAATTATAAAATACTTATGAAACATTAATTTCTAACAAAAGACTACATAATTCTTCAAAAAATAGAGGAAAAAAGGAAGGGAAGCAGGAGAGGAAGGGAGGGAGGTAGAGGAGGAAGAAGGAGGGTGATGTAGAAAATTGCCCTCGCTAGTATCTAATATAAAGCCAAACAGCCAAATTATTAAAGAAAAAAGATTAATAAAATGGACTTCACCACAATTTGAAATGTTTTCTTAATCAAAGGCAAAATAAAAATCAAAATAAGTCTAGAGAATGGGAGATACATATACAATACACATAAAAGAAGAATTCTTATCAGGAATATTTCAAAATCCTGTAAATCTTTAATAACACATATAACCAAATAAAACTAGTTATATGGTCAATATGTCACTGAGCTAAATGGTCAAGAAACAGGTGAAAAGATATTCAGCCTTACTAAAACTTAAGGAAAAAACAAGAAAGCTATAAAATAATTTTCTCACCCATGATTCTGGCAAAATTTTAAAATCATGGCAATAGCAGATGTATGCGAAGTGTAAAACAAGGTATAAACATTTGGTACATTAATTTTGTCAATATTAAGTAAAATGTAAAGTGTACATGGTCTACAATTACATGGAGATTGAATAACTTGCTCCTGAATGATTTTGGGGTAAATAATAAAATCAAGGCAGAAATCAAGAAGTTCTTTGAAACTAATCGGAAAAAATGTACAATGTATGAGAATCTCTGGGACACAGCTAAGGCGGTTTTAAGAGGGGAAATTATAGCACTAAATGCCCACATCAAAAAGTTGGAAATATCTCAAGTTAACAACCTAACATCACAACTAAAAGAACTAGAGAACCAACAGCAAACAAATCCCAAAGGTAGCACAAGACAAGAAATAACCAAAATCAGAGCTGAACTGAAGGAAACAGAGACACAAGAAACCATTCAAAAGGTCAACAAATCCGGGAGTTAGTTTTTTGAAAAAATAAAATAAAATAAAATAGATGGCTAGCTAGTCTAATAAATAAAAGAGAGAAAATTCAAATAAACACAATCAGAAAGGATAACAGGGACACTACCACTGATCCCACAGAAATGCAAACAACCATCAGAGAATATTATAAACACCTCTATGCACATAAACTAGAAAATCTAGCAAAAAAATTGATAAATTGCTGGACACATACACCCTCCCAAGACTGAAACAGGAAGAAATTGAATCCTTGAGCAGACCAATAATGAGTTCTGAAATTGAGGCAGTAATACATAGCCTACCTACAAAAAAAAAAGCCCAGTACCAGACAGCTTTCACACTTGAATTCTACCAGATGTACAAAGAAGAGCTGGTACCATTACTACTGAAACTATTGCAAAAATATTGAAAAGGAGGGACTCCTCTCTAACTCATTCAATGAGACCAGCATCATCCTGATACCAAAACCTGGCAGAAATAAAACAACAACAACAACAAAACTTCAGGCCAATAGCCTTGATGAACATCGATACAAAATTGTCAACAAAAAACTGGCAAACCGAATCCAGCAGTACATCAAAAAGCTTATCCACTACGATCAAGTTGGCTTCATCTCCAGGATGCAAGGTTGGTTCACATATGCACATCAGGAAATGTGATTCATCACATAAACAGAAATAAAGACAAAAACCACACGATTATCTCAATAGATGTAGAAAAGGCTTTCAATAAAATTCAACATTCCTTCATGTTAAAAACTCTCAATATACTAGATATTGAAGGAACATACCTCAAAATGTTAAGAGCTATCTATGACAAACCCACAGGCAACATCATACTGAATGGGCAAAAGCTAGAGACATTCCCCTTGAAAACCGGCACAAGACAAGGATGCCTTTCTTACTACTCCTATTCAACATAGTACTGGACGTTCCAGCCAGAGCAATCAGGCAAGAGAAAGAAATAAAGCGCACTCAAAAAGGAAGAGAGGGAGTCAAACTATCCATGTTTGCAGGTGACATGATCCTATATCTAGAAAACCCCATCATCTTAGCCCAAAACCTTCTTAAGCTGATAAGCAACTTTAGCAAAGGCTCAGGATATAAAAATCAATATGCAAAAATCACTAGCATCCTATACACGAACAGCAGTCAAGCGAAGAGCTAAAATGAATTTCCATTCACAATTTCCATAAAAAGCATAAAATACCAAGAAGTACAGTTAACTAGGGAGTTGAAAGATCTCTACAAGAAGAGCTACAAACCACTGCTCAAAGAAATCAGAGATGACACAAACATATGGAAAATCATTCTATGTTAATGGATAGGAAGAATCAGTATCGTGAAAATGGCCATACTGCCCAAAGCAATTTATAGATTCAATGCTATTCCCACTAAACTATCATTTACATTCTTTACAGAACTGGAAAAACCTATTTTAGCATTCTTATGGAACCAAAAAAGAGCCCAAAAAAGAGCCCAAAGCATCACATTACCCAACTCCAGACCATGCTACAGGGCTACAGTAACCAAAACAGTATGGTACTGGTACAAGAACAGACATATAGACCAACGGAACAGAATACAGAACTCAGAAATAAGGCCACACACCTACAACTATCTGATCTTCAACACACCTGACAAAAACAAGCAATGGGGAAAGGATTCCCTATTTAATAAGTGGCGCTGGGATAACTGTCTAGCCATATGCAGAAGATTGAAACTGTGACCCTTCCTTACACCATATACAGCATCAACTCAAGATGGGTTAAAGACTTAAGTGTAAAACCCAGAAGTATACAAATCCTGGAAGACAACCTAGGCAATACCATTAAGGACATAGGCACGGGCAAAAGTTTTATGACTAAGACGCCAAAAGCAATTGTAACAAAAGCAAAAATTAACAAACGGGATCTATTTAAACTAAAGAGCTTCTGCACAGCAAAATAAAATATGAACAGAGTAAGCAAACAATTTACAGACTGGGAGAAAATTTTTGCAAACTATGCATCTGACTAAAGTCTAATAATCAGCATCTATAAGGAACTTAAATTTACGAAAACAAAAAAAAAACATTAAAAAGTGGGCAAATGATATGAACAGACACTTTTCAAAAGAAGACATACATGTGGCCAGCAATCAAATGAAAAAAAAAAAAAAACTCAACATCACTGATCATTAGTGAAATGCAAATTAAAACCACAATGAGGTTGGACGCAGTGGCTCACATCTGTAATCACAACACTTTGGGAAATCAAAGAGGGCAAATCAATTAAGGTTGGGAGTTCAAGACCAGCTTCGCTAACATGGCAAAATCTCATTTCTACTAAAAATACAAAAATTAGCCAGGCATGGTGGTGTGCACCTGTAATTCCAGCTACTCAGGAGGCTGAGGCACGATAATCACTTGAATCCACGTGGCAGAAGTTGCCGTGAGCAGATAGTTCCACTGCACTCCAGCCTGGGCGACAGAGAGAGACTCTGTCTCAAAAACAAACAAACAAACACTGTGAGATACCATCTAACACCAGTGAGAATGACTATTATTAAAAAGTCAAAAAATAACAGATGTTGGCAAGGTTGTAGAGAAAAAGGAATGCTCATACACTGTTGGTGGGAGTGTTAATTAGCTCAGCTATGGTGGAAGACAGTGTAGTGATTTCCCAAAGAACTAAAGACAGAAATACCATTCGATCCAGCAATCCCATTACTGTATATATATATCCAAAGGAGTATAAATCATTCTATTATAAAGACACATGCACGTATATGTTCATTGCAGCACTATTCACAATAGCAAAGACATGGATCAACCTAAATGTCCGTTAGTAATAGACTAGATAGAGAAAATATAGTACATATACACTATGGAATATTATGCAATCATAAAAAGGAATGAGATCATGTCCTTTGCAAGGACATGGATGCAGCTGGAGGCCATTATCCTTAGCAAAGTAACACAGGAACAGAAAACCAAATATCACACATTCACACTTATAAAGTGGGAACTAAATGATGAGAGCTCATGGACACATGGAGAGGAACAACACACAATGGGGACTTTTGGATGGAGATGAAAGGAGAGAGAGGAACAGGAGAAACAACTAATGGCTACTAGGTTAATACCTGGATGATGAAATAATCTGTACAACAAATCCGCACGACACAAGTCTACCTATGTAACAAATGGGCACTTATATCCCTGAGCTTAAAATAAAGTTAAAAAAATCAAAAAATTAAGTGTACATGCTTATGACAAAGTAAGACCCCTTGCCAAGAATCTCTTGAAAATCATCCCAAAGAGACACATACAAGCATTTTTTTATCACGACATTGTTTACAACATGTAAAATTTCAAAGCAATTGAAATGTCTAATAGAAGAATATGAGCAAATAAAATTAAATCTGTTCCTACAATTAAATACTATATGTTACTTGTAAGAAATAAATTACATCAATATATAACCGTAGATTTCAAAAAAGAATATTGAGAGAAACGTGATTTCTAGAAAGTATATAAAAATGACTACATTCACTAATATAAAAAACATATCAAAAATAATGGGAAAATTAAAATGTAGGCAGCAGTACTTTTAAAAGAACTAGAAGGCTATTAACTTAATATATGCCAGTGGTGACTTCAGAGAAAGACAAGGCAACTGGCTGTAGAGAATAAGAGAAATTCTAACTTTACAGTATTTATATACAAAAATTAAAGCAAATACAATAAATGAATACTGTCAATATTAGGTTTTGGTTGTATGGGTGTTTATTATAAAATCTGCATTTTGAGTTTGCTGCATTTTTTATTTGCCTGTGTTTTTTAATTAAAAAATAAAAGCATATTAACATCATCTCATTATAGGTCTATAATTTCTACCCTTTGATTGTTTTTCTTGTTGTTTTTGGTTGTTTTTTATCCTGACAAAGAAAAGTCATATATAAATGCAAGGGTCAACAGTACATCAGTTCACCTCCCTAAACCTTGAGGGATAGGATTAGATGATTTCTTAGTTCCCTCCTAGCAATATGATGCTATGAAATCCTGCAGGAAGCAGCATATTTCTTTCACTACAAGGAGAGCCTCTCTCAAACAATTAATAATAGGTTTTTTTTCCTTGTGGTAAGCTCCTTTATTTTTATTATCTTCATATAATACCTGACCTGTCTGTGTATGCCAAATACTGCTGTGAAAATGAAAAGACCCTTCTAAGTGCGTAGCATCCTTATAGGATTCATGGATGTGGAGGTGTTTAAATACTACCAGAATTGCATTGGAATAAATAATGTTCACCTTGACTGTGTTTAGAAAGTAGAATTGTTTTGTCAGCACTCTAGGTAAGTATTTGAGTGAAAGAAAGCTTAAAGTTGAGGAACAGCTCAATAAACAATGCGCAAATGAAACAAAAACAGAAAAAACAAAAACAAAAACAATCAGAATCTAAATTAACTCCTTATTCAAGAACTTGTGGGAAATGCAAAGAACCATTCTTAGGTGTAAAATGCTTGACTTAAAATGAACAGATGAATTAAATGATTGGAGTGAAGAAGAATCACATGGGAAAAAGAATGATCCAGTGTTAACATTACTTCTCGAGAGAGTATGACATGGTGCTCAAGAGAGAGATTTTTATTGCAAAGGAACATGAATGAGACTTTGAGGTGCTATGAATATTCTGTACTTGATGCAAGTATAAATTATATGGGTATTTGCCTTATAATGATTTGGTAAATTATATGATTATGAACTATCCTATATAAAATCTTTATAGATAGATATGCATATATATGTATATACAAAGTCATATATGACTTTGTCATATGTGAAAGTATATACACAGATATATCTAAAGTACATACATAGATATATCTAACTGTAGAGTGAAAATTTTAAAAAGCATGTTTCCTTCACAGGTTGTCAAATGTTAAAAAAGAAAATGAAAAATTTGATGAAGTAGAAAAACAAGGTGAATGGCCACACATTGCGGGTTAGAATATAAATTGGTATAACCAATTTGGGACAATTATTTGGCATCGTTTTAATAAAATGGAAAATGTATGTTGATTTCAACCCAGCAATTTCTCCCAGATTCTTACACTTGTGCACCCTCCCATTGTGCAGCCTCATCTCTGAGTGTCCAAAGTAAACTGCCCTTCATGTCATTGGATTTTAGTAACCTGACACTGGAGAGGAGGCAGATGGAGTAATAAGGGAAAAGTTAAAAATAACAATATCTGAGTCTCAGCTGTAGATCCATAAGTGCTTGGTTATATTTTAATGGCTAATTTACTTGCATTCATCTTCCACTTCACTGAGCCAGGAATTAGGTCTATGTAACAATCATATCTTTCATGTCTATAATATGTATAGTACATAATAAGTTTTTAGTAAATTATGTATAAAATTCTGAAAAAATATTGAGAGAAGAAGCATGAAGGAACATGGGCACAGTGTGGCTTTAACTCATTGTGGCCTCAAGGGAGCAGTGTTTCTGAGGAATTAGGACAACAGTGGTGATGGAGGTGGAGAGGGAAAGTCCCTGCCGTGAGTATCTGGCTCATGGTGAATCCCAGGAGATTGGTGATGACTTCATGTAACTTCTCAGACAGGAGAGGACTTAGCATTGATACCCTTGAGTGGCACTGGAGCAGATAAAGCACCACGGCCTTGAACTGGAGAAGCGAGCACAGGAGACAGCTGCTGGAGATATGACTGAAGGGGAACTTGCAGCTGGGTATGAGACCAGAATAGGCAGAAAATGCAAGGGCAGCAAAGAGACAGGTTATTTAAGTATAAAGGCAACGTGTGATTTTATAATGCAAAAATGCATCTAAATAATATAAAGTAATTTTCTTTAATAAACAAAGTCTGAAATAAGCCCTCACTAAAATATTTTAGAGATATATTGCTATGCTTTAACGTAATGCACTGAACATAATTTAAGCTATTTTAATAATCCAAGGAATTCATTTTAAAATATTATTTACTCTATTTTATTATTTTCATTCCCATAGTAAATATTGAAATAGTGTTACACCTTTTAAACTAAATGGCCTGAGATGACCTAGATACGTAGGCCTTTAAAATTTTTGTACTAATTTTGTCCAGTTTTATGTGCCGCTATTAACTGACAGCTACTTGTTCTTTCTTCTATCTTTGGGAACTCGCACACATTTTTTTGGTCCTCCCCCACCTCCTAATGTATATCTAATTATATTATTTAATCTTTCTAATCTCTTACAGACTATGAAATCAAATATATCATATATTTGTTATAAATTTTCAATAGTAGAAAAAATAATGATTTAAATAAGAGATAAAATGGCTCCTTTTTCAGAATCAGCAATAGTATGACAGGTATATGAAAAGGTGTTCAGTGTCTCTAATCATCAGGAAAATGCAAATCAATACCACAAAGAAGTATCACCTCACATCTGTCAAAATGCCTATTATCATAAAGGCAAAAGATAGATGTTGATGAGAGTGTGAAAAAAAGATAACCAACACTGTTGGTGGGAATATAAATTGATACGGCCATTATGGAAAACAGTATGAGGTTTCTCCAAAAATTAAAAGTAAGACTACCAGATGACTCTGTAATTCCCCTTCTGTGTAAATACCCCAAAGGAAATAAAATCAGCACCTTTGTACCAGGGGCAGGGCAATGTGGGGGAGGGAATCAGAAGATGTAGGTCAAAGATAGAAAGGTACAGTTATGTAGGATGAATAAATTTACAGACATAATTTTCAGCATAAGGAGTATGGTTAATACTATTTTATTGTATGCCGAAAATCTGCTGAGCAGAGTTCAGGTGCTCTTAATACAAAATAAAAGCATGCATGTGAGGAGACGGACACGTTAATATGTTTGACTGTAGCAATCATTTCATTGTGCATATGTTTATCAAAACATCATGTGGGTATGCCTTCAGTATATACTATATAAAATTTTAGTAAAAGTAACAGCTATGGTATTCCCCTTCCTGTGTCCATGTGATCTCATTGTTCAAGTCCCACCTATGAGTGAGAACATGCAGTGTTTGGTTTTTTGTCCTTGCGATAGTTTGCTGAGAATGATGGTTTCCAGCTTCATCCGTGTCCCTACAAAGGACATGAACTCATCATTTTTTGTGGCTGCATATATTCCATGGTGTATATGTGCCACATTTTCTTAATCCAGTCTATCATTGTTGGACATGTGGGTTGGTTCCAAGTCTTTGCTGCACTGTTGTGGGGTGGGGGGAGGGGGGAGGGATAGCATTAGGAGATATACCCAATGCTAAATGACGAGTTAATGGGTGCAGCACACCAACATGGCACATGTATACATATGTAACAAACCTTCACGTTGTGCACATATACCCTAAAACTTAAAGTATAATAATAATAAAATTTAAAAAAATAAAAAATAAAAAATAAAGAGGCATGGAAAAAAAATAACAGCTAGAATTTATTAAACACTTATTAAGTGCCAGGCACTGTTCCAAGTTTTTCATATGTGTTCTTGAACTTAATCTTCCCAATAAACCTTAGGTATTATTTCCATTCTCACTTTTCAGATAATGACACTGAAGAACCAAAAAGTGAAGTTACTAGGTCAACATTACACATATGGTAAGTGTGTTTCAAACTTGAACAGTCTTGATCCAGTGTCTTGAATGGCTTTCTTCTCTTTTATAAATAAAATATAGGAGCTGAGTACAGCATCTCCCAACTGTTCTAATTATGAGGGTTTTTTTTTCAGAATTTTTAAAAGTTTACTATGATAAGAACTGCATTTATGAATCTTTTACTAAGAAAATATGTAACTGTAATATAAAGACTCCAAGGTCATAACCAATTTACACCTCTCTGGAAACAGAAGTTACTAAGCTATAACAATGCAAATCCTCATCTTAAGATAGTCTGAAATCTTACTGTATTCCATAATTAAACTCTACATTGCCAAGGACATACACTCTCTCAGTCTTATTCTGTCTGTTTTACTGAAAGAGTGACATGCCCTCTTCTTAGTGAAGTAAGGCAGCAGGTCTGACTGGTGTACCTAAGCTGAATGATGGAATTAAAGCCGAATTTCCATCACTTGAGGTATTTTGGTTACTCTTTAACCCCTCTGTGAGCCCTGAGTTCTCTTGAGATAAAGATCTGCTTGCCATTTTAATGCCAGATGATGTCCGCACGTCCGGAAGTGATGAGTACGACTTTATAATCACTTTTTCCCACCATAGTACCATGTGACACAGCAATCTCCCTTCTGAATGTGTACCCCAAAGGAAATAAAATCAGCATGTTGTACAGATATCCGTGCTCCCATGTTCATTGCATCATTATTCATAATAGCCGAGCTATGGAAACAACCTAAGTCTCTGTCCAGAACTAGTAGATAAAGAAAGAATAAAAGAAAAATGAACGAATTTTAGAATCACATTTGACCCAGAGACGTAATATTTCCCTTTCTGTTCCCAACATCACATTCTGACTTGTTAATGTCAGAAATTAGAGCTCAAAAATCATAGGTATCAAACAGTAAGCATGAACTTCTATGACTTTGTGTACATAGATGCTTTAAAAAGACAGCAAGGCTATTGCAAGTTTTGGGTTTCTTAGGATACTAAAGATTCAATTATAAACTATAAACCGTTGAAAACAATTCATTTCCTTGGAAGTAGAATACAAAATGCAAGATTAATTTTAATTATCTAAAAAATATCTTTATTCTATAATGTCTTTCTTGTGACTATCTAAACAAGAATTTTAAAAGTACCTGGAGTACAGAGACACAAAGAAGACAATTTAATAATATCTATTGTATTCAATAGATATTATTTTGTTAACACAAAATAAGAGTTATAATTAGCTTGATCAACTCACTTAATATTCTTTTATTCCCTAATTTTATTGTAGATTTATCTTCCCACGTGCTTTCATAAAATGTGGACTATGAAAAGTATAAGAAAACCTACATATACACTTGTATTTTCAGATCTCAAAAATATTTGCTTTAGAAGTATCTCTAGCTACCGTGTCAATGAGCCTTATGTGTTACATAAACATACAATTTGAAATAATTCTGAGAAGATTTGAAAGCCCATCAACAACTGTAATACTTTTGGGTAATTTTGTTTTTAAAAGAAAAGGTCTTTAAAAACCTTTATTTGTGAAAGTAGTAATAGTCACTCCCACAGAAGAGCCATTAGCGAAGATGCCATTGAATGTACAAAATAGCTTCAATTATAGCCACCATAATATGTGACCTGGAGATACAGCATAAATGATCTTTTAAAAAGAGGAAGGAAGACTATAACAAGCACATCCCTGGCTCAGAGTTGGAGTCAATATTATGGTATTCTCATATGTAGTAAATATGGGGTCGATTGTCTGTGTATCACTCAGTAATTGAGGTTAGGTAATATCTTGCAAATAAAAAGCTCCTTTTTAACACAAATTCAGAAACAGAGTTCACACAACTCATGCTTCACAGTAATAATCAGAGGGCTGCCTTGTGGAGGTCAAGTCTGTTGCACTGAGTGGATGAAAATATCTCAGAAGTATAGCTAATTTTTGAAATAAATGTTTCAACCAATGATCAATTTAAGTAGCCAAATATATATTTCTGTATTTATAGTTGTCACAGCAAAATTCTGTTCAATGCATACAGATGTCTGTATTTTGTATTTATACGGCATATATAAGCTGAAGAGCTGAAAATGCTTGCTGTCTCTCACCTAACTTAGCCTCACAAATACGTTAAATGCAAGTATTTTGCAGTTTGGCAAACAAAATACACAGAAAAGGTAAGTTATTTCTATGAAGTCACACAATAAGACAAAGGAAGAATCAAGGCTTGTAACACAGTTAACTCTCCAAAGCACCACCTCATCCACATTTGCAACTAACACTGCAACATGCACACACACACACACACACACACCCACAAGTGCAATGGAAAACAGTGTAAATTGCCTAAAGAAGTTTAAATGTGAATATAGGTTATTCCTTAACACAGATGGTCATATTGCTTTATTAAACAATAATCTGAAGTTCACAGGTTATCATTGGATCAGCTCTTTTACCTGCCTCTCAGAATATGACCACATAATGTTAGATAAAGACAAACATTAAAGAATAGCTGCATCTCAATGGTTTCCATTTTTCCTCTACACTTATCTGATGTATATGTTTGTATATTATTTAAAGAGTATGAGGCATATTTAAACACTATGAACATTTAACAAAATTGTCCTTTCAGAAATCCGAGTTATTATTAATTCAAACCTCCATCTAAGATTACCTTTAGCAAAATTATAATAAAAGTCAAGTCCCTCTTGAAAATGAACCTTGAGAGTTTTCTAATTTATCCATTCTTTATTGTTACCAAACAATATAAAATAATGTTTATTACAACAATAGAATACAACTGCCTGTTGACTGCATTTGGCTTTGACAACTGAACATGTTGCAAGAGAATTCACAAAGTTTTTGGAACTCATTGCTCCCAATTTAATCTCATTCTGGCCACTCAGGAGAATATAACTACCCAAAGAATGAAAGTGACAGCCAGGAGTACTTCAGAATCATGGTGTCAGTGGAAATGCATCACCAGGAGCTCCACTTAGTTACCAATTGATAGCAAGGTTGGATCAGTGACACAGTGGGCACGTTGCCTAACCCGGCTGGCTACTCTAGAATAAACCTAGGTCCTCCTTGGGAAGAGAAGGGGTGGTTTGACTGCCTCCAGCAGTATCATTGGCTTAAAAGTTTTTAAACATCTATTATAGATTCTTGTTTCTAATCTTGAGCAAATTTCACCTTTAAGCTATATATTTTCTTTCATGTTTATAAGGCTAACAACTTAACTATGCCCAAATACTAATATATTCTACTTTCCTTGTTTAATTGTTCTTTAAAAACATCCTGTTTGCTATATGAAGTGATCAGAGACATAGGGTTTGTGAATAAGTAGCTAGACATCCTCCCGATTAACTTTTCTGGGCCTTAGAATGCTAAATGATAAAATGATTTATCCTCAATTTTACCTCTAGTCTATTTTTGCTCTAATATTCTTTAGTTGTGTGATCTCACCCTCTGCCCTTGCTCTTCCCCAAGTCCGCTCCAAGTCATATATGTTAGCTTTTATTCTCTTTTCTTTTCATTTTAGAAATAAACTAAAGCTGTTAATAGACCTTTGGTCCTTATTCTCAGTGCATCCAAGCAATATATATATATACACATATATATATAAACATATATATATATATATACATATACACACACACACGTATATATATATATATACACCTTTGGATACAAAGATGGTTAAAAAACTTCCTTTTCTCCTCACCATTTTTTCTCTACTCCGTTTAGGATAGTGTTTCATTATGTTTCAATCTCATTTGCAAATATGAATTTAACTAAACTCTTTATAAGAAGCATTGTGCTGGATTCTGAGAAGATTAATAACAATGAAATATAAAATACATGCTCAAAATACATTTTTGCTGTCAAGGATTTTGCAACCTATTTGGGAAAATGAAGGAGAATAAGCACGGAATGAAGTTATTAAAATAACAATATAAGACAGGCTATGTATACCATGGTTCAAAGTGAGTGGGCACTGAATAGAAAATAATAAAGGAGACTCAATATCATGGACACTGAAGGGATTCAGGAGAAGAAGATAGTAGGATAGAGGAGTCTTGAAGCATGACAAATAGAAGCAAAATAGTTGTATATATTTACCATTTTAGATACTGGCAATAGATAAGTGCTCATACTCTGCGTCCTTGTCAGCACTTGATACTATCCAATTTTTAAATTTGGGAGGGATTCAATAGGTGAGACATGGTGTCTATTATAGTCTCCATTCACATTTGTCCATTCGTTACGATGTTGAACTCATTGATCTGTTTATGAGCACTTATATAAAAATCCAAATGGTTTCTTTTGCCTGTTTTTCTGTTGATGTTCCTATAATATGTAGTACTTTCATATTATAAAGTTGAGGTATTCTCTTATGGTACATGAACTAATGGGATATTGTAAGTCAGTGAATCATCTTTCTTTGCAGTTAGCTGCATGGTCAACAGCTGAAGTGGTAGAAATGTTGTCATGGAGCATAGATCCTTCTGCATGCAGATTAAACACATTAGTTTTATATTGCAGTGCTACTTGAAATGCCAGCCCACAACAAGATCAGGAACTTGTGCCAGCATGTAAATCAAGTCACTGTTTTCTTCAACAAGAACTTCTTGCTATCAAAAAAAGTCAGCTCGGCCGGGCGCGGTGGCTCACGCCTGTAATCCCAGCACTTTGGGAGGCCGAGGCGGGCGGATCACGAGGTCAGGAGATCGAGACCATCCCGGCTAAAACGGTGAAACCCCGTCTCTACTAAAAATACAAAAAATTAGCCGGGCGTAGTGGCGGGCGCCTGTAGTCCCAGCTACTTGGGAGGCTGAGGCAGGAGAATGGCGTGAACCCGGGAGGCGGAGCTTGCAGTGAGCCGAGGTCCCGCCACTGCACTCCAGCCTGGGCGACAGAGCGAGACTCCGTCTCAAAAAAAAAAAAAAAAAAAAAAGTCAGCTCAACTAAATATCGTCCTTACTTCTATATCTGATTTACTTTTCAGCTCAAGTGCTTCATCTTACTGCAGACCAGTAACTAACAGAGAGTTCATAGCCAGCGCATGAACCACACTTTGCATAGATTGTTCTATAGGGCTCTGCATTTTTCTATGCATATTCAAGTCTCTCTCTTTCTCTCTCTCTATATATATAGTATTTATATATTTATGTGTATATGTGTATGCACACATATATGTATGTATTATGCATGCACATGTATAATACACACATGTGTGCATTATTTGTGTTTATATATGTCTACCTTGTTAATTTCATAATTCAAAATACAATCTACTGAAAAAATTAGCGCCTGTTTCATTTGCTTTGTATGACAGCTAATATTCTCCCACATATAAAAGCAATTCATAGTTGCTTTATGCATAATGGACACAATAAATAGTTGTTTTTTGACATATTATTTTATGATGATAATTATAATGATAAGTAGATTGGAGTTAATTCAGAGGATGCTTTAAGATTCAGCAAATAATCAATAGTATTTATTTGGTACTTACTAGACATTGGGTATTCTCATATGCACCGTAGGTAGTCAAATAAGATATGCCTAACTTGGATACAAGGAGTTAGATATGTGAAAAACAAGTTCAGTAAAGTGTTATGGATACCTAGAAAGATTCATTTACAGATACATTAGCAGTTCAGAAAATAAAATGATTGCTAGTAATCAGGGGAATTTGGAAAGGGCCGTGAAAAATCTTCCCAGAGGCAAAGATTTTTGGTAGATCTCAGATTTTTTTTTTGATGTGTCTTACCTTCTGTAATCACAGGAATATTGTAACTTGTACCTTAAAAATGTATTCCAGATCTTCCATATACAGATACTCCTTGACTTACTGATGATGGGGTTACGTCCCAATAAACCTATCATAAGTCAAAAGTGAACTTAATGCCCTGATAAACCCGTTGTGAAGTAGAAAAATCCTAAGTCAAAGCAACATAAATCCAGATGCTCCTCAATTTATAATGGAATTACATTTGTAAAGTTGAAACATCTTAAATTGAACCATCCTAAACCAGGGATCGTCTGCACTATTAACTCTGTATAGCAAACTGGACATCCATCTACTGGTCTCCTGGATGTAGTGTAAAAGTGTGTTATTCCCCTGATAAAGTGATAACTAAAATACCTGACCTACTTAAGTCATAGAACCCAAAAATAATTTTTAAAATTCAATAATGAAAATTTAAAGCCCAGCAGGATATAAGAATAAATTGATTCCATATTGTTTTAGTCTTGTATGTATTCCTGTTTTGTATCTGTTCACATTCTTATTCACTGGGGTTCAAGAAAAGTCGTCTGGTTTGTTTCTTTTGTTTTTATGTCTACATAACTTGACTCATCTTGAAGTCCTATCTTACCATGTCACAGAAGAATAATGAAGAACAATGATCACATACCTCTTCACAAACATGGAGAGCTCCACATTGCAGAATAATAATGTCATAATTTTGAAAATTGCTTTCTTAAAAATTCCTTTTCCTATGATTGCCTATTTCTTTTCTGACTGTGAGAGTATCTATATTTTTAATCTCTAATCAATTTCACTCTTCCTACTTTCATGGTTGTAAAGTACAAGTAAAATTCTTTAGTACATTTCACCTTTTATATTTTTTTTTCCAAAAATACTGATTACATCAGCCACCTTACTCAAAATGATTCTTTTGGGGGAACCTAATAAAATTCTAAGACCATTTCAGGCTTTCAGTCTTATATCATGTTTACTTCAGGTAAACATTTCTATGTAACCAGAAAATCCAAAGCTTTATAACAGAAGCAGTGCCTTCCACTGCTTCTGTCGTTCCTAACATTTTAGCTTTTAAGGAAAACTGGTATTTTAGAAACTGAGTTTGAAAATAGAAGCAGACTAAAGTAGAAAATTTAGACCTGTGGATCTGAAATGCCACATTCTAATAGATAATGCCAGGGCCCCAAGGATATTGCTAAAGGTTTGCTCTCCAATAATGAAAAGAAATTATATTTATATTCTAAAGCTTATTTTGCTCTTAATTTGTTTTGAAATGTTTAAAAGTTGTGTTCAATGGTCAGAGATATGTATCTTTAATTGTGGTAATCTACAAAAAGAAGATCTTTGAGTGAAACCCAAAATATTAAATTTAAATTTACACCAAATTTTGAAAAAATAATCGAAAGAAATAAAAGTTGGATTTTTGTTGGGGGGGGTGGATAAACATTATCATAATAACAGCGTGAAAAACTATTCTCTTTGGCTTACAAGCTTAATTATCACAATAATTGAGCTTCAGAAAGAAAAGTCTCAGATATCACTGATACTTTTTCAAATATAAATTACATATATTGCTATTATCTTTATGTTTAAGTTTTAAAAGGGTTTTGTGTTAAAAAAAAAGTGGAAAATTAGATGGCTCACAATTCAATGTATAGATATTTACCTGAAGCTTGAGCATTTTAGAATAGACTGCAATCAAATCCCTATGTCATTAAGACATCATCATAGTTTCTTTCAATTTCTATCAGTTACATTTCAATAAATTTATCCTAGAAACATATATGTAAATGTCAAAGACAAACTTATGAGGATACAGATACAGCACTTTTTATAATAGGAGAAACCTAGAAATATTCATCAAAAGGAAACTGATGAAAAAGCAAGTTGCAGCAAATTATAGCATTTTATTAAAAATGTTTATTATGTATCAAATGTTATAGGTATATATACTTGGGTGATTATATACCAGATTGTCATGTTGAAACATTCTTAGTAAAAAAGAATGGGAAATGCAAGGGATTTTCAGTACCTCTGAGTTTTCTTTGTACAGTTTTAATTTTACAATGCTTTTGTTTTGTGATTCTTTCAGAATCTTCCCCATCCCCAAAGCAATAAATATCATTTAAGATATTCACATAGGAGGCAGGCATGGAGCTCAAGCCTAGCCCTGTGTATGTAGGCTACAGAAGGTGGCCAAAAGGATGTCAGAGGTCTGCAGCCAGGTAATCAATTTGGAGATAGAGAAAAAATAAACACCAGAAATCAAGGTTAGGTGCTGGGTTAAATCTTGGCAGGGAGTCAAAACCGACAAGTTATCATCTGGGATGAGGTCAGAGGTTGAAAGAAGCAGACATGCAAGAGTCTGAAAGCACTGTGATATTAAATGACACTGCAATGTTATTATGGTCAAGTTTAGCAAGCAGCCAGAACCCAGATCCAATAAATCAAGGGGATGAAATTCACCTACTGATCAGAAACCATGAGACTAGAATATAAGGAAAATCAATGATTACAATATTTGGGTAAAAACTAAGAGGATAGGGTAACAGAAACCAAGATAGCCAGCTTGAGCAAAATAGGGTCAAGGAAAATAAAATGCACACTTCATTTGGCAAACAGATACCTGTAAGTGGCAGTATCTTCTTTATCTGCCAGGAAGACTTTTTCACATGTTCTAATGAAATAGAAAGGAATACGAAGGTGTGGCTAGCCTAGGATATCAAGTAAAGACAGGTATGTAAAATTGGATAGGTGATGAGCAGTTTAACTGACAAAAATGGAGACTTGTCACATTCTACTCAAAAGCAGGAACTTCTCCATATTCTTACATGCAGTGCAGTCATTTGGGAGAATGGTAAGTATTTTTAAATTACCCTCTTTGGAGGCTAATTTAACTGCACTCTCCCATTTTGGCTACCTAAAAATATAGTCCTACAACATCCCACTTTCAGTTTGTTGAGTTTTTTTTTGTTTGCTTCCCCTTACATTTTTCCGAGGATGCAATCCTTTGTGCTTTGTTGTGTTTGCACAAGCCACTTTCTCGTCTCAAGAAGGTCATTTAAATTTTCAAGTTTATTCTCCAAGGACAGTTACCCCTTCCAACTTGATGTTATCCATGAACTTAAGGATTAAGAGCTTTACTTAATCATCCCAGTCATTCATAAAGATATAGTAATGGACCTAGGACAGAATCTGAAGCATCACTCAACAGCCACCCCCATCCCTCAGGGCAGCATCAACCGATTAATAACTACTCTTTGAGTGTGACCTTCCAAGCAGTTGCAGACCCATGCTTTAATAGCAGGATCTCAACTCTGCTTTGCTGCTCCCTAATTAATGTCATATGAGAGTGAATTAGGAGTCTGACTGAAATAAAGATCTTATATCTATTGCTTTCCTCTTAACCACAGGGTCTGTCACTCTGTCACAGAGGGAATTAGATTAGTCTGATCTGATTTGTTCTTCATAAAGACACATTTTTTAAAAAATCCCCCCTGAGAGCTCCTATATGTTTGCAAATTGAGAATTGGTGAATAGAGAGCACATAGCAGGCTTTGTGCTTCAAAAATTTACACTCTGGATACAGAGGTCCCTTAGCAACCAGAAGAATTAAATGCATTGTGACTTTTATTTTTAAGTACTAAGATCAATGTACAGCCATACATTTGCTCATCATTTTCCGTGACTTTCCACACAAAAGATATGAGTAAGCTTCAGTGTTCATTTATTTGCTATTTTATTTGCCTCACACATCTTATGCAGATGTGTGTAGAGGCTTAAGATCCATCCCCAGATTTAAAAATTGGTCAAAATCTCTGAAACAAGGCTAAGAGAGGATCAAGGATATGATTTAATAATAACCCAAAGGAGTAAGAAGTACAACATCTATGACAAGTTCACTGGGGCAACTCTCTTCCTGATTATACTTGAAAAAATTCTTCTCTGTATTTTATCTTAATTTTAAGAAAATCCTGTCAGGATGATTATGCCAAAAATATACAGCACTCTGAAGATCACTCACTGTTCGACATAGTTTGGATGTGTCCCTACCCAAAATCTCATCTTGAATTGTAATCCAAATTGTAATCCTCATGTGCTGGGGAAGGAACCTCGTGGGAGGTGATTAGGTCGTGGGGTCGGTTCTCCCATGCTGTTCTCATGATAGTGAGTTCTCATGATATCTGATGGTTTTTATAAGGGGCCTTTTTTCCCCCTCATTCTGCACTTCTCTCTCCTGCTGCCCTGTGAAGAGGTGCCTTGCACCATGACTGTAAGTTTCCTGAGGCCTCCCCAGCCATGCAGAACTGTGAGTCAATTAAAGCTCTTTTCTTGATAAATTACCCAGTCTCGGGTATTTCTTCATAGCAGCATGAGAACGGACTAATACACAACTAGAATCTCTACCACAAGTAATCTAGAAGATAAATATATTTTGTAGAGTTCTTAATCTTTCACTGTGTGCAAATTGACATATGTATGTACCTAAGTTATACCAAATTATCAAAATAATGTTTTTTCTTCAACATGTTCAAGTGAATAAAATAAAAAATGTGAAATATGATCAAGAAAAATTATTTATTAATCAGTAAATACTAAATTATTTATAAGAAACACAAATAAGACAGATTTTTTTATCCTTTCAGTAAATATCTGTTGAGCACCTAATATGTGTTAGGCACTCATGTAGGCCTTGGAGATACAGGGGAAACATATCAGACAAACTTTCCTGACCTCCCAGAGACTACATTGTAAGAGGAAGAAATAGACAAGAATCACATGAATGAGAAAATAAATATATTATGTAAGTTTCAGTAACTGATGTGGTAATTTAAATACGACTAATTGAAAAGGATTCTCTGAGCAAAGAATAAAGGAGGTGAAGGTGTGAAGCATATGGTTATCTGGGGAAGAATATTTTCAGGCAGAATAAAAACAAGGACTAAATTAAGATTGTTTTTGCTTTAATTTAATACAAGTGACCTGGACACTGCAGCCTCATATGTTGAGCTGATGAGGAAAAGATAAGAGTCACTGTATATATACAGATGCCAGTTAATTTTAAAATGAGGATATTACTTTTGACTACCCAGCATAGGTCACAAATATTTGCAGTAAAACTTAACCTATAATAAATTTATATGTATAAAGATAATCTTTTACAATTGAAAATTATTAATATTTTATAGAATAAATATTTTTTCAAAAGTTTTTAATGAAATTTATACATTAGAAAAACAACTCCCTGAATAGTATGGTCTTAATTTTAATAGTTACATTTTGAGAGGTTATGAGCAGGAAACATTTTCCTTATGGGTAGGCACACACACATACATATCTCCATTCAACATACACGTATGCATACTCCTGTACCACAAAAGTAATGGAATATTAAAGTTAACACTTGAAATTCAAAAATACTAACTCATTCACCTTTTATAATCTTAGAATATGTACCAGATAGCCAAGTAAGTAATTTGAAATAATTATGCTTTATATATTAAAGGGAACACATTTGTCTTATTTAGAACAGCTTAAATTCTAAAGCCTAATGAACTGAAAAATCACTCGACTTGATTGCCAAATGTGTGCTATCCTTTTTCACCTACTCTACTTTCCCCCTCAGAATTAAGCATACAAAGTTACCATTGGCACCTGTACAAAAGAAAATCTATAACGTAGGGCACTTTTCAAGGTGTTTCAACTTTAAAGGCTTAAAAACAGTGCAATTTTATGGAAAGTGAATGGTCTTATCCTTTTTACAATTTCAACGTCTGATTGAATCAACTCAAGCATTCAATCAATCATGCTACAGGTAAGGCCAGCTATAACATGACTAAATTGTCAGGTTAACCTTCTGTGGATGTAACTGGCATAATGTATTATCCAAATTGTATGAAAGGACATTGACATAAAGTACAGTTTAGAATTCAGAAAAAGATGGCTAAGATGATGTCCTCTTAGGTCATAGGGAGAATAGGATCAGAATATCGTAAGATAAGCCTGTAATTGACAAAGGAGATAGAAATTATGACCTCCAGTTAACACAGCAGACCAGGGCAAGGGAAACAATAATGTGGTAGGGCATGCCAGGTTGCATTAGCCACAGAGTGGCTTGTTCTCACTATAAATTACAGACACAAGGGAAAGTGCTTAATACTAATGAGATGATGCTTGATGACTCAAGTGATAGCAAGAGAAAATGTCATCACTCTGTTAATGCCATTCATTTTCCTGAGTAAGAAAAAAATACATGGTTGTAAGTTTATAAAAGTTTAGGCTCATTTGCAAAGGTAGAACTGTTACAGAAAATAAAATCATTTTATGGAAAACTTTAGACTTTTTGAGACTGACATGTTCCCAGACAGCCTTTTTCCCCAAACAAACTGTTCAGATGGACCTATTTATACATAATATCAGTGTTACAGTTGGGAAGAATGTACATGTAAGGTAATTAATGACAAAGAATTAGAGGAATAAATTTTCAAGTGTCATAATAGTTTCCATAAGGCAAAACTAAAGCAAGCCAAATTGGTCAATAGTTGGCACTATTTTTCACACCATGCTTTTTAAAAATACTGAAGGTGATAGTTACTGTTATAATTCTACTCTCCAAATTTTGAATTCTTAGACACACAACAAATTTCAGCGGAATCCACCTCTTTGTGATTAAATAGGCTGTCAATAATTGCCTATAAAATATTATTGCTGTAAGTGATCAATGATTACTGTCCATCTGACAGAAAAATTATGTGACAACAAGTCTCTCCTTATTCCTCAAAATCAATCCACAGAAGCAAAAATGTAAACTGTGTTCCTGTGAAATGGAAACATTTTCCATCATCACACTGATATGGGAGGGGGGACGGGGGGCGGGTCCTTGGCGAGGGCTCCACCCGGGGACCTGTGCCCAGGGACCTAGTTGAGGACAGCCATTCTTGCCTTCGTGCCCAAATGTTGCATTTTCCAAGACCACCCTGGCCCACCACTCTCTCATCCTGTGACTATAAAAACCCCCGAGACCCTAGTGGGCAGAGACACAAGTGGCTGGATGTGGAGAGGAACACATCGGTGGAAGAAGACACAAGCAGCTGGACGTCCAGAGGAACACTCCAGCGGAAGAGCACAGTGACAGGCGCCGACAGGCGCCGGCAGGCCATCGACTGGCGGAATGACAGGGAGTTTGGCTGGGGAGGTCAGAGGACAGCCCCACCGCTGGGCAGCCGGACTCCAGGGGAAAACACCTTCCTACTCCATCCTCCTTCTGGCCTCCCCATCCACCTCGCTGAGAGCCACCACCACTCAATACAAATTCTGGCACTCATTCCAAGCCCATGTGTGATCCGATTTTTTTCCAATACACTCAGGCAAGAACCTGTGATACAAAAAGCCCTCTGTCCTTGCGATAAGGCAGAAGGTCTAACTGAGCTGATTAACACAAGCCGCCTGCAGATGGCTAAACGGAAAGAGCACACTGTAACACACGCCCACGGGGGCTTCAGCTGTAAACATTCACCCCTAGACTCTGCTTTGGAGTCAAAGCCCCACAGCCTGCCTGCCTGCCTGCATGCGCCCCCTACAGGTTCGAGCAGCAGGGCACTGAAGAAGTGAGTCATACCACAATCGCACGCCCTGCAAGGGAGACAAGGGAACTTTTCCCATTTCAATATTAAGCAGTTATACTTGGTAGCTTGGCACTGGTTATCAAATAATGCACTATGATATGCTGAAGACAGAGGAAAAAATATCTACTGAGGACAGGATAAGAGCCTGCCTTCTTTTCTCTTAGATCAGTGGTAATTTTGCAGTTAAAGAAGATGTTAAAATATTGTTTTTAGAATAATGAGTCTAGGAAACACAAGATAGCATATCTTTCTTTCTTTTTTTTTTTTTTTTGAGACGGAGTCTCACTCTATCGTCAGGCTGGAGTGCAGTGGCACAGTCTTGGCTCACTGCAACCTCTGACTCCGGGTTCAAGCGATTCTCCTGCCTCAGCCTCCTGAGTAGCTGGGATTAACAAACGCGCGCCACCAAGCCCAGCTAATGTTTGTATTTTTAGTACATATGGGGTTTCTCCATGTTGGCCAGAATGGTCTAGCTCTCTCTACCTTGTGATCTACCCCCCTTGGCCTCCCAAGCCATATCTTTCTTACAGTGTATAACTTCTGTTTTCTGTACCTAAACTTCTTGTTAGCATGAAACGTGTTATATGATTGTCTACATTTATTATTCCAGACAATATGCATATTTCATTTAAAATTAGTTTTTTGGCAAGTGTAGTGGCTCACACCTGTAATCCCAGCATTTTTGGAGGCCAAGGTGGGAGGATCATTTGAGCCTAGGAGATAGAGGCTGCAGTGGACCATATTCACACCACTTCATTCTAGCCTGGGCCACAGAGTGAGACACTGTCTCATAAGTAAATACATAAATACATACATACATAGATAAAGTTAGTTTTTCTTTTGGAAGGTAGGTGATAAGAAGTGGAGAGAAATAAGGAAGGAAGCTGCATTATTAATCTTCTTATATTAAGCTCTAAGGAATATCCACATTTTTATTCAATCATCATAAATAAATATAAAAGCACAAATAAGTGTTCTAACATACTTTAATATTGGATCTATTGTTTCAAATTCTACTTGAAAATATATAAAAATAGAAAAAAAGAAACCTATTTGATTTTATCAAATACTTTGTAATTCACATGAGTCCTGGTTAGATAACTTGCCTAGTGGATAATGCTAATATTTGACTTGAATATATCATGAATTTTGCTCCCATAAAGGTAAGTATGTATATGATTTCTATTAAAAATATTTCAGCTCCCTTCCCATACACTTGTTATAATCCTATTCAGCAGAGAGATAATGGAAATTAATTTAAATATCAGTTATTTAGTTATCCCCCATTGTGAAAATGTGTGATAGAGAAACTTGGAGATAACTTCAAAAAGGCAATATCTTGAAAAGAAAGACTTCAAATGCTGAAATGCCAAGTACAATTTTTTTGCCACACGGTAGGTTATTATTAAATTTGTCTTTATTAAGCAACAACAACAAAAAGTAAAAAATATGTAGCTATTGATATGGTTTGACAATGCATCCCCACCCACATCTCACCTCAAGTTGTAATAATCCCCACATGTCATCGGAGGGACCAGGTAGGAGGTAACTGAATCATGGGGTTGGGTTTTTCCCATGCTATTCTCATGACTGTTAATAAGTCTCACGAGATCTGATGGTTTTATAATGGGGAGTTCCCCTGCACACGCTCTCTTGCCTGCCACCATTTAAGATGTGACTTTGCTCCTCTTTCACCTCCCGCCATGATTGTAAGGCCTCCCCAGTTATGTGGAACTGTGAGTCGATTAAACTCTTTCCTTTATTAACTACTCAGTCTTAGGTATGTCTTTATTAGCAGCGTGAGGACAGATTAATACAGCTATGTACTTCATGTAATGGTACATTCCCAACCCTCCCATTCAACTAGCAGGTTACAAATAGGTGGTATACCAGTACCCTTCCCATAGAAGTTCCACCAATTCAACCAATCCTCTTTGATTTCTGGAAATGTCTGATGAATAAAGTACTGACCTATGCATGGTCTGGAATGAACCTTAATCTGAGATGAAATTCTGAAATGACCCAGGCACCTATAAAGGTAAATGTATTTACATTGCAACCAACTTAAAGTAATAGTCTGGGCTGTTGGGGGCCACAGCACCATATTGAGATGTAGTAGATCTGTTGTACTTACTTCTTTGAAGATTTATGATTTTTCCTTTTTGTAGAATATTGCTTATAATTGTCCCATGAAATTTTGCCAAAGTCTTTAAACTTCTAAGAAAAATCAGTATTTTCAGAGCTAAGTGTTTTTTATTATATGTGGGGAAGCATGGTCAAACTAAAATTTCAACATCCTTCATGGTAGGTATACAAATTACACTTGATTCAAATGCTCAGGTATAAAATTTTAGCCCATGTCAATGAATGATGACTAGATTGTTCTCATCAGCATCTGACTCAATGTTTCCCTCTTAAAATAATTATTTGTGTTACATGCCTTTCACTAGGCAGAAATCAAATACATGGATGATATTATATGCCTAGACATGTAATTTTAAAAAATCAAAATATTTCACTTATGATAAAACAAAAAAGAAAAGTAGTTTACAAGAAAACAATAGATATCTTAATATGTAATTTTTATTTTTATTTTTTGAGATGGAATCTCACTCTGTCACCCAGGCTGGAGTGCAGTGGCACTATCTCAGCTCACTGTAACCTTCACCTCCCAGATTGAAGCGATTCTCCAGCCTCAGCCTCCTGAACAGCTGGGACTACAGGCACGTGCCACCATGCCCGGCTAATTTTTTGTATTTTTAGTAAAGACGGGGTTTCACCACGTTAGCCAGGATGGTCTCCATCTCCTGACCTCGTGATCTTCCCGCCTCAGCCTCCCAAAGTGCTGAGATTATAGGTGTGAGCCACTGTGCCCGGTCTCTTAATATGTAAATTTTTAAGTGCCTGTATTAGTCCATTTCCATGCTGCTGATAAAGACATACCCAAGACTGAGCAATTAATAAAAGAAAGAGGTTTATTGGACTTACAGTTCCACATGGATGGGGAGGTCTCACAATCACGGTGGAAGGCAAGGAGGAGTAAGTCATATCTTATATGGATGGCAGCAGGCAAAGAGAGAGCTTGTGCAGGGAAACTCCCATTTTTAAAAGCATCAGATCTCCTGAGACCCATTCACTATCATGAGAACAGCATGGGAAAGACCTGCCTCCATGATTCAATAATCTCCAGGTCTCTCCTACAATACGTGGGAATTATGAGAACTACATTGTGAGATTTGGGTGGGGCCACAGACCCAAACCATATCAGTGCCTCTGTGTAGAAGTAGAAGCAATGTTCTGGCCCAGCTATCTAAAGTTACGATTAATGCAATCACTGTGGCTGCCAACTGATAGAAGCTGGCACTGACCATTCCTATGATATAAACAACATTGTCATAAGTAGCTAGGTTTTCTAAAACCATGATAAGCACTTTGACAACTTCTGAACAAAACAAGGTAGACCCTTTCCTTGATTTACAAGTTAATTTTATTCCTAAAAAATTCAGTGCATCTTAGCACTGTGAAGAAAAACCTCAGTGTGTATAAAATAATGTTCTAGACTCAGATTATAAACAAATCTTTCATCCACTTGAGTGTCTAGCTGCATAATAAATATACTGCTGTATAAAACACAGACAGGTTTTTACTGTGAAAGACCATCTTCCCCAGGACAGTTCTTATAAACTTCTGCATCCCTTTTGACTACAGGCTCCCAATCATTGTATCAACAAAATATTTTCCTTTGAATTTCTAAAATGCCTTCTAGAGCAAAGTCACAAGCCATTTTAAACCAGGGACTAGGTCCAGACCTCAGGTAGGTATTTGAAGCAGGCTCTACCCAACATATCTGTGCTATGGAACTGCAAGTCATAATTTTCATAAACTACAAACTATAATTTATAATTTTCTCTTTTTTAAAAAATATAACTCCTGTATACTGTGAGTCAACAAAGTGTCTTGGGAGCAATGTGTCCCAGGTGTTTGGAGGAGAAAGAGGTATCTCAGGCCTCTGGGTATCTTAGGCCTCTGGATAGCTTCTTTCATTATCCTAGTCTTTATTTCCTTCAACTTTAAGTTCTAACAACAATGACTGGTTTGATTAGACTCTTTTATTTCTACAGCTGGGGAAGAAGTGCTCATCAACTGAAAGCTGGTCTGGACAATTTCTGACTGTTCTAGAATGAGGTGGAGAATGGTGTCATCAGATAGAAAGAAGCCTCACTGCATAAGGAAAACCCTAGACATGGAGTCCAGGTATTTCCTGTTTGTTTAGGTGCTGCCACTAACTCACCCCGGAGTTTGTGCAAGGTCACTGGGTATTTAAGCACTTCAGTTTTCTTATCTGTAATGAGGTGGGAGTGATTGATGATCTTTAATGCCCTTTATAGCTATAAAATTACAGACTTATTATTTTTTTTTTGAGACAGAGTTTCGCTATTGTTGCCCAGGCTGGAGTGCAGTGGCATAGTCTCGGCTCACTGCAACCTCCGCCTCCCAGGTTCAAGCGATTCTCATGCCTCAATCTCCCAAGTCGCTGGGATTACAGGTGCCTGCCACCACACTCGGCTAATTTTTGTATTTTTAGTAGAGACAGGGTTTCACCATGTTGGCCAGGCTGGTCTCCAGGGAGACTAAACTTACATTATAACTTCAAAACAAGCAAGAGTGCCAGAGACCAGCAGGGGCTCCCAGCAGTTAGAGGAAACAGTAAATGATTAGTCATTTCCTCTGTTTATGATGCTGTGTCTGCTCAGCTCCATTCAGTGGAAAACAACAGTTGTACCTAGGGACTCATGGTACGTAAGGGGTCAGAAGGAAAAGTCTAGGCAACCACTCTTCACTCCAGACCTTTGAGTAAGACATCCCAAGAGAGACGGTGAAAAGAAACATGGCTCCTTTGCCCCCCAAAATAAAATTAGGCTGGTGATGCTTGATTTCTCTGGATTTATTTCTGTAAGTATCTCTCTTATGTGTTGCAATGAAACTTGTAATGTCCCCATATAGGCATTAATTAAACCATACTATAATTGCCTCTTTTTTCCAATAAGACTGAACTATGTAGGATATGATTTTGTTTTGCCTTGTCCACAATACCTAGCACAATTCTTGACTTGTGACAGGAACTGTATCTATCCTGATATATACATTTATATCTACAGATATTACATATATATTCTAAATTAATATAGATGTATATCCTAAATTGACATATATAAATAATATATATATTTCCTAAATTAGAATTTTTTTACTTTTTATTGACACATTGTAATTACATATTTATGGGGCACAATTTGATATTTTGATACACATATATGTTGTAAAATATTAAAATCAGGGTATTTAGCATGTTCATCACCTCATGCTATCATCCTTTCTTTGTGGTGAGAACATTCAAAAGCCTCTCTTCTAGCTATTTTGAAATACACAGTACCTTACTGTTAAGCATTGTCACCCTACTGTGCAATAGAACACAATAACTTATTCTTCCTATCTTATTGTGACTTTGTACTTGTTGATCAATCTCTCTCCATTTTCCCTTCCCTCCTCTTACCCAGTCTCTGATAAGCACTGTTTTATTCTCTGCTTCTATGATATTAACGTTCCCCCCTCTTTTTTTTTAAGATTTCACATATGAATGATACCATGTGGTATTTGTTTTTCTGTGCCTGGCTTATTTCACTTAACATTATATTCTCCAGATTCATCCATGTTGTTGCAAGTGACAGGATTTAATTCTTTTTTATAGCTGAATAATATTCCATTGTGTATCTAGACCACCTTTTATTTACCCGTGACTCATTGTTGGACACTTAGGTCGATTCTATACTTTGGCATTTGTGAATACCACTGCAGTAAACATGTAATAAACATTTTTAAATGATTCTGTAACCCACCTCATTAGTTGGTGATAAGTTTTCTTTTCAAATTTCCCTGAAAAGTTTTATTTTGTATATGACAAAAATCAATCCATAAAGTAAAAAACAAAACAAAACAAACAAAAACTCTTAAATTATAATTTCATGTATGCTTAATATAAATTCCAGAAAATGTTTCTGAAAGCCATCTACCAAGTAATAATCAACCCAACAACAAAGTTTAAAAAAATTCACTGAATTCTATTGAGTGTCTCTGGGTTTCTATTTAATGTAACTCAAAAACTGTTAGTTTAAAAAGAAAAGTCTGCAGTTAGAAGAGGCAAAAAGTACATTAAAAGCTGTCTCTAATTATTACCTAAGTAGATAAAACTGAGCTCCTTCTGTGATCAAATATAAACTAGGAAAGGTAAAATTAGTTGTGTTACCCTACCCAGGATTACACAACCATAAAACAAACAACCAATTAACCAATTTATCATACATCAAATCAATTACCTGTGGGAGAGAATGATTAAGTGTTTCTACAAGAAAAATGTAAAATCATGAAATTATTGACTATTAGCTCTTGGCAAGAATTTATAATCATCATATAGTCAAGTGAATATAAAAACATGTTTTAGGCTGGGCACTATGGCTCATGCCTATAATCCCAGCACTTTGGGAGGCCAAGGTGGGCAGATCACCTGAGGTCAGGAGTACAAGACCCTGCCTGGCCAACAGCGTGAAACCCCGTCTCTACTAAAAACACAAAAATTAGCCTGGCATGGTGGTGGGCACCTGTAATCCCAGCTACTCGGGAGGCTGAGGCAGGAGAATTGCTTGAACGTAGGAGGTGGATGTTGCAGTGAGCCGAGATCATGCCATTGTACTCCAGCCTGGGTGACAGAGCGAGACTCCATCTCAAAATAAAACAAAACAAAACAAACAAACAAACAAACAGAAAACAACAACAAAACAACGTTTTAACACTGAATTATTTTTTCTTTTTTAATTAAATGTTCCTGTTACTGAATGATTGTTTGGTTGACTAAAAATGCTCCAATTTTCAAATTTATTTTCTTATTTTTGTATTATTACTCAAAGGTATATTGAACTGCCAAATAGATGGGTTTTAATCCCTCTTCTATACTCCTGTATCACCTGGGACATATGTCTGCTAAAGTCCTGAAGACACTTAATAATTTTTGGTTTACTTGCGTGTTTATCCACACAAGCTTTTTGAGCAAAGCTGTGTTTTCTACATCTCTGTATTCTTAGCATCTAGGTAATCTGGCCATCTATGTGCTCAATAAAAATTGAAATTGAAAATAAAATAAAATAGATGTTAAACACAATTATAGGAGGCCATTGTCTTGGACTGAGCTCTTGCACTGCGATCTTGCACCAGACCCCATCAGACCAGATCAAACCAAAATGGAGTCACTCATGCTAAATGTCACATAAGCAAACTGCAACTTTTAGGAAGCAAATAGATCCCAAACAGCACAGTTTTTCCTGAGAACAGCAGATTCCAGTCTACATGACTCAGCATCATAAGGAAGATCCCTCTGTTTTAACCCTTACCAAAAACTAACTCAAGTAACCTAGTGTTAACCAATCAACTATTTTCCTTTGTTCTGTTTCTTTCTCACCTTACAAAATCCACTCTTCTGTGATTTCCCAGTGAGAGTTCACATTCTGTTTTGTAGGATGTAGCTGTCTTGATTCATAAATTGCAAATAAAATCCAATTCGATCCATAACTAAATTTGTTATAATTTTATCTTTTAATATGAGGTTAGCACACATAATTCACTATAATTCCAAATTAAAACAAACATAATTACCATTTTAGTAAATTTAGGCATATATATATATATATATACACACACACAAACGTACACATGATTCCACTAGACTAATAGTCCTTAAATTATGCTGTGTATGAGGATTACCCATGGAGTTGAATAAACATATAAATTTCTAGTACTTGCTAAGGTATTCTGACTTAGTAAGACCAAAGTACAGCCAAAAAAGTTGAATTTTTTAAGGAAACATCTTAAGTTATCAATATATTAACCATGTTTAGGAAATACCACAGTAGACTTCTTAATATGTTGAAGTAGCTCATAGACGCACAGTGTTACTTTCACGAGAGCGTACCCCAATTGGGAGCCACTAATCTAAGCCAACCCAGAGATAAAGCAACCAGAATGAAAAGAGTTCCTAAAAAGTAAGAGGCAGAGTCCAATTTTAAAATCTGGTAGCAACACTTGAGTTCCTAGAGGATAAACCCAAAGATGCATACAATGAGTAATTCAACTTTAAGCCTCCCATTTTAAGATTATGAGAAGATCCTTATTTATACAAAGAATAAATGTCTTAGGTTAGATGGAAGAATGTCATTGCTGTGTAGAAGATGAAATATGTGTGGAAGAATGCATGTAGTCATTGAAAAGCAAATAAATGCACTGTGGTAGATATAGGTCCAAAACTGCCTTTCCTACACCTCTGGGGCCTGATGAACTTCAGAATTCAGAGTGTTTCAGATTTTAAAAAGGTACTATAATGCAAATACCTTTAGAAGAAAATGAACGTGGAACTGGCCTACAGTTTATTCCCTCTATCATTAAGGATGGAGGATTTGGGGAAATCATCAAGACAAAAAACTGTCAAATCTTCTTGTAAACATATGAATTATGAATGTCTTTGGTAACACGCTAATGGCATTTGTTTGTGTTAGAATAATCATTTATGCAATACTTTCACTATGATGAACCTGGTTGTCTACGATTGATTATGGTACATAAATCTAGAATATATAGATTTATTGGTAAAGTTCCCTGGACGATATCACATAAGCGATTTAGCTTATTTTACATTAGACATGTTTTATAATTTAAATGTATAACTGCACACATGTTTAAAGGATATGACAACCTAGGTCCAGAATATATAAAATGGTAAGAAAAGAAGTAAGTAGCTACATTGGAGCTCCCAGACAACTCTCTGATTTTCCTTTGCCTTGCATTCCTTCTATTATTGAAGTTATTAGTAAAGATTGGTGTCAGGTAAGATGATATTGGTTAAGATTTCCAGTGCATGTAAGTCTGATTTGACAATCTGATATTTGACATTCTGATACTTGGTGTAATTTCTACTGTATAGTTCATAACACCCTCAGAGGGTCAGGTCACCTTGTATTCAAATAACTTGATATTTATGCAGAGAATCATATAAATATTCACATGTAGTAGGATAAATGAAGATAAAACACAGCCTCACAATCAGCTCAGAAAGATTTTAATATCAAATTAGTGCATATCAGTGCAATTTACAAAGTAAGTTATTTTTAAAAAATCTTTTAGATTCAGAGTTGTTTTCTTTAACATTTTGGGGCAAGGGGTAAAAGTTTAAGGAACACTACTTGGCCTAGCTCTCTCAATCTCTCTATTACACTTTCCTTTTACTTTGCCCATATTCCCTTCTAGCTAACAGTTGTATGCAAACTTTCGAGTCAGAAGCAAAGCAGTGGCCTTATTCCTGTTGGTGACTGCAGCAAAGCAATGTCAGACAGAAGAGAGGGTTGGCATGCTTACACTCTGCATGCCAATGCAAGACATCAGCTCTAGGGGTTTGAAAGCCTGTGGCAGTGATATCTAAGCCAGCAGCAGTAGAGCTTCCTGACCTCTACATCACAGCTATGGCAGTATGACCTTGAAATTAGTAGTCCGGTTGTAACTCCCCTGATTCCAACTCCTCCAGCTCCTCTGATTTTTGAAACCCTTAATCAGTAAATCTCTCCCTGCTTGAATTCCAAGAGTGCTTTCTGTTTCCTGGTCTGAATCATGACTGATACAGCATTTGGTAGCAGTGATTTGAGAAATGCAGCTTTTCAAAACATTATATCCTGAGCATATGTATTTTATGACAATTTGTGATGCAGTTTGTTTGAATCTTAAGCGTAAATAGAGGTACCACTCTCCACCCAAGGAAAGCTATTGGCAGCATAAGTAGGTACAAATGTCTTTCTTTTCCTTACAATTCATTATCTTTTAACTTACTTTCATATGTGGATCATGCTGTGGGAAACAAATACGATCATTATCAGTAACAAATAAAATCTTCTTTATGAAAGAGATTTTTTTCCTATGCCTGGCAATTTTTTCTTATTATATGCTCTTCTGCTTATATAGTTGCATTTCCTTGGATAGCTTTAAGGTTACTATAAACAGATATCTCACTGATAATGACAATGGCAGCCTTGAAATTCCAAGCCATTTCTAGCAATTCATCTTGAAGCAGCATTTTAGTTCTCTTTTCGTTGATTATCTTCATGTTATACTATTAGGTCCAGGGGCTTAGTCATTTTTTTATTACTTTGACTAGAAAATAGACACTTAGATATTTGTAAAAAGTTCTATATTGTTGAATTATGGCAAGTACACTATCCACCCAAGCAATGCAAATTACAACCATGTGCACTGTTTCTTATTTTTGCAATGTTATAGGAGAGCTGACTTATTTTTCACCTACTAATGAATGGTACCCTCAAGGATCTGGAAACAGTTAACATATTTTTTTTTAATTTTAAAATACAAAACTTGAGGAAATAATAGGTACATGGTAGAGTGTTACATTTGTTAAAATTGAAGAACGGGTATAACCTAGTATAGTGGCTGTTTTCAAACTCCCTACTACCCTCCTACTCCTGGTAGAACTAGTCTTCTGGAAACATCTTGGAGAAAAAGACATAGTATAAGAATCTGAGAGACTTACAGTAAAGGTAAGTATATTCTTAAAACTGAAATAACACCAAATATATTCATTTGTGTTTTAATTAATGTTCCATTTTCATTTTGGAATTCTTTTAGGTCATGTCTTTTTTATTGGTTGGGAGAACAAGAGTTCAGAAAATGTTAGTATTGTAAGATATTTTAACAGTTGCCATTTAATTGATATAGGAGAGTAATTACTTTTCCTCCCATAAAACATTAATGTAAAAATGAAAAAGGAAAAAGTATATATCTCAGAGAAATTAAGAACATGGGTTTTTAAAACATTTTTCCTTGAATCTTAATGTTAACTCTAAAGCTATCTTGAACATTTCAATAGTAATTTTCTCTTAAAATAAAAACATCAAGAAACTAATATCTAATTCAAGTAAAAAGACAGTTAATCAAAACTCAGAACAGGGTTGCTGTACTGACAAGCTACAGAGAGCTTTCAGATCTCAAGGTATCCCAGTAAAAATCACATTCCCATTTGATTTTTATATTTTTGGTTTGGCACACATAAAGGGAGTTTATGTCCATTGTACATGATCTACGTAGTTCATTCAAAAAGTTCTAGCAAAATAGAAGTATAAATTACCATTTGCCTTATCAATATAATAAAATAAAATTGTTATTGGATTACAGATTGTTTATAGCTGGCTATTTTATATTGTTTATAATATTTCATGGGCTAAAAATGATTAAGTGATGACTACATTCCATTTATTTTATTTTATTTTATTTTTATTTTTATTTTTTACCCAAGACTCAACAAAATAGTTCTTGGTTAAGCTTTTGGATTTTTGCCAATTGTATTGGTAAAAGATGGTATCTTGGTATAGTTTTAGTTTGCATTTTTAAAATTATAAGTGATGTCAACCATCTTTTTAAAATATTTTTAATGGCATTAGCATTTATTTTTATTTATATATATTTTTATTATACTTTAAGTTCTAGGGTACATGTGCACAACGTGCAGTTTTGCTATATATGTATACATGTGCCATGTTGGTGTGCTGCACCCATTAACTCATCATTTACATTAGGTATATATCCTAATGCTATCCCTGCCCCCTTCCTACATTCCATTTATTTTGGGAGAAAGATTTACAATATTATTAGAGTTTTTTTTTTTTTAACCCCTGCCTTTTTTTTTTAACTATTATTTGCTAGGCTGACATAAACAATTTTATACAAAGTTTACTCTCTTATATAATATTATACAGGGATTATGCATTGGCTTTAAACACTGAATTTGTGCAGAATTTTAGGGACCAACTTAATGTGATAAGCTTTCTTGAGGGGATTGACTTTGCATAATATGGTTCTTTTTTGGTCTTGCACCATTTTGTAAATTGTGGGTTCAGAAACAGGTCCAAATTAAAAGTGAAGCCTAGTAGTATATTTTAATGAGTGTGTGGACTGAATGTTATCAACTTAGGATGCAGACATTTTAGTTAGGGAGTAGTTCTATTTTACTTGATCTCTTGGCTGATAATTTCATTTTATTCAAGGACAATCTTAGGACACTATAAACAATATATAGTAGTAAATGTATGCTCCTTAATCCCTCCAATCCCTGATACTCATTATTCCTTGTCCTTGTTTGTTTTATACAGGGTGCATATGATCATCTGGCACAGTATTTTTAAATATAGTTTCTCATTTATTTTGTTATTTGTTGATTGTTGAGTGTCCAGTTGACTACAATTAGAATGCAACCTCTATGAGGACAGAGTTTCATTTGTTTTGTTAACTGCTATAACCTCAAAAAGATCTGGCTTTATAGAAGGTGCTCAATACATATTTGTTGAATTAATTGTGTCAACATAAATAAATATAATTTGGGAAAGCACATATTTCAAATCTGTTTTAGAAGTTAATATTTGTCTTCACTATAATTATATAAAGCTCTGATACAAGGATTGGCAAAGGTTTTCTTTAAAGGATAATGAGTATTTTAGATTTTGTGAGCTACCTGATCTTGTCAGAATTATTCAACTGCACAATTGTGTGTATATGAAAGCAGCTATGGATGGTATAAATATATCGATGTAGCTATGTACTAATAAAACTTTATTTAAAAAGAGGTGGCAGACCCAATTTGGCCTATAGGTCATAGTTTGTTGGCCCCTGGAATAATTAATCAAGTAGCAAGGCAATTGACGTTTTATTTCTCTTTTGGACACCAAAAAGGGAAATTTGTGTGATATCATTACAATCTTCTTTGAATGGTTTGCTCACAGGTTTGAAGCTCTTGATTTTTTTCTAGTGACATGGGAGCCACACATTAATATGCACAGGAAGCAAAAGCAGTCAAACATAATCAAACTATTGCCAGAACACACAGTGTGACAACATTTTTCCTAAACAAAGTTCAAAGTCACTCAAAGAATGCAGTTATTTATAAACAACTTGTAAAAACTTTAAACAAAAATGACAGTGTAAACTGCTTTTATTTCTTGGGTGTGGCATGAATAAAAAATTACATATGATAAGCATTACATAGCAAAGTTATATTTGTGCTATTTTGAAGTATAGGAAATGCAAAATAAAGGATGTCAGTATGGCTCTTTTAAAATGTTTCAACCAAAAACAAAACAAAAAGTGAAACATCAAATAAAGCAAAAACTTGACTTTACGTGCCTTTAGACCTTCACATTGAGGCTGTTTGTCCTTTTCTGTCTTCATTGATCCCACCGTTTAAAAAGCATAATCTACATTCAGAATCTCTATTCCCAACTTTTAATTACCCTTCAACAGATTGCAATCTGATCCATGGAAATCACCCTTTCCAAAGTGCTTGAGCAGTATATCTTTCTGAAAGCCAAATCCGACAGTCCTAATTTCATCTTCCTTTGCCTTGCTGGACATCTTTCAACCTCTTCTTAAGACTCAGTTGTTTCTTTGCATTTTTTTTTTTTTGGTTGTACACATACACCATGGAATACTATGCAGTCATAAAAAGAATAAAATCATGTTCTTTGCAGCAATATGGATGCAGCTGGAGGCTATTAAGTGAATTAATTTAGAAACAGAAACTCAGAACATATTCTCATAAGTGGGAGCAAAACAAAGGGTTCACATGGACATAAAGATGGAAACAATCGACACTGTCAATTCCCAAAGGAGGAAGGGAGGAAGGGGAGCAATGGTTGAAATCTACCTATCAGGTACTATGTTCATTATTTGGGTGATGCATTCAACAGAAACCCAAACATCAGCATTATGCAAATAGACCCATGTAGCACACCTGCACATGAACCCCCAGAATCTACTTAAAAAATCAAACTCATTGTTGGATGTCATTCCCTTTATTTTATGGCAATAGGAAACTTTGTTGTGCCTTGTTATTCCTCATTAAGCAATGACGCAATGCATTATAATTCCTTATCTATTAAATAGAATCGATTGGTAACAAGCTAAACTCCATCATTTCCCTCAGATTACTACTTGTTATTTGTTCCTGTCTCTGTGCCTTCAGATATGGTTTACTTAGGATTGCAGTTCTTCACTGACAGATCTGAGGATCACACCAACAGCATTTAACTCTGATTCCTGCCTTCTGCTATGCTGAGCTTCCTCTACACAGAAGCAACATTCTTCTCTTCAATCAAATATTGAATGATCCAGCAAACACTTTGAATATTTCATATGTATTTAATACTAATGAATAATAACCCAATGCAACATTTTTTAGCCATTTTCTTGTAGGGAGGAAAGTGATCTTAAACAGGTCACAGCAATGTAATATGATATTTACATCCAATTATTGAGGAAATGTGATGAAGGAAGAATATACGTCTATTGCACACAATTAGGGATGGCTTCTTGAACACAAATTTGAAGTGAATCTTCAAGGAAATAATGGAAAGAAACAGAATAAATGCTTTCTAAGTAGGGAAACAGCATACTAGATGAAGCTGCAGTGCATGACATCCAAAGAGGAGATGGATCTGGTTGGATAATAGTAACAAATATGTTTGAAAGTATTTTGGGCCAGACGTGGTGGATTATGCCTGTAATCCCAACAGTTTGGGAGGCAGAGGTGGGGGATCACTTGAGCCAAGGAATTCAAGACCAGCCTAGGCAATATGGCAAGACCCTGACTCTCTAAAACAAAATTGGCACGGTGTGAGCCCAGAGGTCGAGGCTGCAGTGAACCATGCAGTGTGCCACTACACTCCAGCCTGAGTGAAATAGCAAGACTATATCAAACACACAAAAAGGAAAAAATATAAGAAACAAAAAAATAAGAAAGAAAAGAAGGACATATTGAGATATTAGGGGTGGTAGAGGGGTCGTAGTGGTGGGATTTTAAAATTAGGATATTTCTGTGTTACCAGGACATTCTTTGCCATTTCTGTTTTCTACTTTCAAATTTTGCATCCAGTCTTTGTCAAATAGTAATTTTAACATGTTGCTTTATATGTATGGTAAAACTTTTTTTGCATCATTATTTGTATGTCTTGCCTTCTCTACTGATCTGAATCATTATTCAGCAAAGATTCTCATTGTCTTTATTTCCCTTAGAGAATATATTTAGCACAGTCCCTCAAGTAGGGGCTCTACAAATTTTTCCTGAATGAAGGAGTCTCCTACTGAACTCTACCAATAAAAACATCATAGCCTCTTGCCTACTGTTTATGTTCAATTCACTGACGCCCAACAAATTCATCCAACTTCTCTCTCTTTGAACTTTCCCAATCTTAGGCTAGATGCAGTGGAAAATCTGCCTTTTACTTGTCAGAATTTCAGGAGTGGCATCCTTTCCGTACAAAGCACCATCAATGAGTGTGCTCTGTGAGGAAGTACTACTATGTCACACAGCACACATAAAGACTTCGTTTTCTGATTTTAAAAAGTCTGGAAAATATGACAAACTATACTAGAATGAAATGAATGGCTTTGCTATTTTGCACCACTAGTAGAAAGCCATTATTCATCAATTTTGTTCACCCCACCAAACTGTGAAGCTTTACAACAGAAGCATTATTATGTGAGAAGAAGAGTATGACTATTATTTTAACAAAGCTTTTGTAGTTGCCATCAACATATAAACCTTGAATTTTTATCTTTCTTAACTTAGTGGCATGAAATGTAGGCCTTCTTTGCCTTCAAAGACTCTGACTTTATTTGAGATTCGGTATACACCCCATAATAATTAGGACTTCATCATGACTCTTGAGTAATGCTTTTGAAGGTTTGCCATTGAAGGAGGCTTTTTATTTCTGCTCCACACAGCACCGCACAAAATAAGCTGATGCTAGTGGTAGTTATATCTAGTGAACTAGATACTGTGCAAAAGCCAGGCTAGTCAAAGTTACATATAAATAACCTCTCTTATCTCTGCAATAGGCTATATAAGAATATAAATTTTTGATTTTACTAAATTAATTATGAAAAACTGTTTTCTATCAAAGTGAACTTTTAAGGCATTATGATAGAGATCAAAATAGTGTTTCCTTCTAGGAGAGACAATTGATTGAGAGGGTGCATGGGGGAACCTCTTGCAGTATTACTCTATATTTTGATTTGGCTTGTGGTTATACAACTGGTGGCCCATTCAGTTGGACACTTCAAATTAGAGCCCTTTGTACTTCTCATTTTCTAATATAATTTTAAAAAAATAAATCAAAAGAGAGGCACCAAGGAATCAACTATTATTTTGAAATTCTTTTATGTAAGGCAACATGTGAAATTATAATTATGTGAAAAATAGGGTTATCTAAAAACTTATAATGTAGAACATAAACTTTAAAATATTTGAATGCCAACTGAGATTTTAAGTATATTAGAAATATATGAAGACAGATTTATATGGAATTATCAGAGACAGTATTTGGAAGGCTAAAATTTTATGTGAAAGTTTCATGAGATTAGATATGAGCTTTCAGTTTGTCATAAAACCCTTGATTAAATTCATATTTTTGATATAGTAACTTCTTGCACGTATGGAAAATCAGGTCATCTGTGAGGGAGAGGTAAATGCCTTAGCCATGTACTTTTTATGTTTTTAGCCATATTCCTATTAGACTCATTAACAACAACTTTTTATTTAGACATATGTACGGGATGATAATTAAATATAAGTTCTATTTTCCTGTCTTTAACTTAAAACAGAATCATGTCTTCTACCCATGATTCTTTTCCATTGGGTGCAACATGTTTAATGAAAACAAACAAACAAACAAATCATTTATCCAAAGATCACAGTATAGTTACTTCACATTATTTATATACTAATATTCCCTTTACCTTGATTTAAGCTTACCCCCAACTTCTGTGAAGAATTATGCATTTCTTTTGTTTTCTCTCAAAAATATTGCCTAACTCTGATGGCTTGACTGTTCTCAGTCCCATCTCTTACTCATGCAGGTATATTGCTCTTTACCTACTAATTGTGGCCTCAGTGAAAGCCACAGAGCTTTTAAAGTTTAAGCATTGTACTATGTTCTTTTGGGTTTATAAAAACCAGGATAGTACAATACTTAAACTTCAAAAAAGCTGTTGAATTCTATTTGTGTCAATGTCAGGTTCTTGAAGTTAATATTATTTTAACACATTTGAGATGGGATTTTCTCATGATTACACCTCTAGGTATGTGCAAAGAGAAGTAACAGATGCTGTACAACCGAGCTGGTAAGTGTCACCACTAACCTGTGGTTTCTAGGCTCTTCTGGTCCCAGGGACAGCCAAGGAATGGCTGAATATTTCCCTTTCCCTTTCTGCTGTTCTCTCAAAGTGGTTTTTCAAAGACGACACCCTTCTCTGCAAGCTCTTTCATCCTCTCAGCAAGTGAGTTTGCTCCCTACCTCAAAGAATAAAAAGAAATCACTAAACATGAATGCTTTGATCTTCCCTCTTTTCCTATAACAGATGTATTTTAATAAAAATTCAACCATAGTCTTTCCACCCCTATGTATGGAAAAGGTTCCTCCTTCTACCAAAGTTAATCCCTCCATATTTTGTCTTTGAGGGCTTCCTCCCAGAGTTAATCTATTTTTCCAGTATCTTCAATGTCTCCTCCTTATTGATTCATAAACAAAGTTATGTCTCATCTTAAAACATAAAATGTCTCCTAGGTTCTGCTTCTGTCTTTAACTTACCACATTCCTGCTTCTACGAAAGGTAGTCTAAACCAGGGGTCAACAGTATTTCTCCTAAAGGTCAGAGAGTAAATATTTTAGACTTTGCAGGCCACAAGGTTGTGCCTACTCAGCAGTTAGTTGTAGCATGGTTTTCTGTCCTCTTCCCTTGCTCTCCACTGCCATCATGGTCCTCCTCTTTATTTTCACTTCCCAACAATGGCAGTAGTCTCCTTACCTCTTTTTATCTCTCTTCGAAAGTTTCTCAGTGCCCAACATCTCCTTCTTCACTTTTTCCTTTTTTTTTTTTTTTTTTTTTTTTTTTTTTGAGACGGAGTCTTGCTCTGTCGCCCAGGCTGGAGTGCAGTGGCGCGATCTCTGCTCACTGCAAGCTATGCCTCCCGGGTTCACGCCGTTCTCCTGCCTCAGCCTCCTGAGTAGCAGGGACTACAGGTGCCCGCCACCACGCCCGGCTAATTTTTTTGTATTTTTAGTAGAGACGGGGTTTCACCGTGTTAGCCAGGATGGTCTGGGTCTCCTGATCTCGTGATCTGCCCACCTCAGCCTCCCAAAGTGCTGGGATTACAGACGTGCAGTTTTTACTTTTTAACAGTGCCAGTGATATCCTTATAAATTGTAAACATTATATAAATCCATGCTTGTAATTAGTTAATGAGTTATTCTTGTGGATAAATAGTGATTCAGCCCTGGGAGAGAACAGGTGATACTTCTCGGTCTCTTCCCCACCTGTGTATTCTACCTTCTCTCCAGACATCCCAAACTTCCCATTCTCCAAAGTCTTGTTTAATTACTCCTGGATGCTTTCTTACTTCTGTATTCCTTTAACCATACTGTGGCGTCCTTCTACTATGTCCTTGTCTACCTGCCTGTTCATCTTTAAATTCTCTATACGGGAATGTGTAAACACTTAGGTCTTTGTAAGCTGTCAGTGTTAGAATGCTCCCTTAGGTTCTGAAACATCACTGATCATCTCATATGACATTATAAATTTCCAATGTAGTATATTACACACATGAACTTAAAGATACAGCAACAGTGATGTAAACCATGCCATGTTGCATCACAGATATTAACACATAGCCCCAACCCTCTCTCAGTATGGCACTTTGATTTGTGTGCAACTGTCCACACAGCTCCACAGCTTCTGTCACTAGATGCATCCTGTTTCTCAAGCCATAAATCTGAGTATCATCTTCAAGTTTTTTTCTCTTTGCCGTTCATCATGGTTACCCTCTCCAATCAATCATGAAGTCCCTCTGTCCAGCACTTAAATATCTCTCAACTCCATCCACTTCCATCCACCTGCACTGTCAGATGCCCAATTCAGACAATGATAATTTCTCACCTGGGTTATTGTAATTTCCCACTAACTGGTCTCTCTGATGACAATTTTATACCTCTTTACTCTCTGTGTTACAGACAGAATAATCATTCCAAAATGTACATTGATCTATGCCATTCCTCTCCAGCATTTTCGTATGTCTTATTGGGCCAATCGTTATTTGGTCCTGCTTCATCCATCTCTCAATCTCATTCCTTTATCTTTATTCCAGTTTCTGCCCTTCTACTTGCATTCTCTCAGAACCGGGGTTTTACCACCACTGAAAGACTTCTAAGTTTTACTTTCCCAACTGCCTTATGTCAGAATCTTTGTATAAACCATATACTCTGCTTACTGTGCTTCAAATATTCCTTCTTCCTTTTGTCTAATCACCCGTAACAAATGACCACATATCTGCTTTCTTTTAGCCTTACATTATATAAGCATCCTTTTGTTGTACTTCCCTTTATTCACAGCTACCCAAAGCTTCACAAATACTGCTTTTTAAATAATGAATTGAAGGTTTGTGGCAACCCTCCATTGAGCAAGTCCATTGGCACCACTCTTCTAACAGCACATGCTCATTTTGTGTCTTTGTGTCACATTCTAGTAATTCTTGCAGTATTCCAAACTTTATTATTATTATATCTGCTATGGTGATCTGTCATCAGTGATCTTTGATGTTACTATTGTAATTGTTCTGGCGCCCAACAAAACATGCCAATATAAGACAGCAAACTTAATAAATATTGTGTGTACTCTGACTGCTCCACTGACCAACCATTCCCCTTCTCTCTCCCTCTCCTGAGGTATCCCTATTTCCTACAACACAATAATATTCAAATTACACCAGTTAATAACCCTACAATGGCCTCCACTTATTCAAGTGAAAGGAAGAGTTGCATGTCTCTCACTTTAAATCAAAAGCTAGAAATTATTAAGCTTAGTGAGGAAGGCATGTCAAAAGCCAAGATAGGCAGAATAGGCTGAAAGCAAAGCCTCCTGTCCAGTTAGCTAAGGTGTGAATGCAAAGAAAAAGTCCTTTCAGAAAATTAAAAGTGCTACTCCAATGAACACATGAACAATAAGAAAGCAAAACAGCCTTATTACTGATATGGAGAGTGTGAGTGCTCTGGATAGAAGATCAAACCTGCCACAGCTTTCCCTTAAGCCAAAGCCTAATCCAAAGTGAAGCCTTAACTATCTTCAATTCTATGAAGACTGAGAGGTAAGAAAGCTGAAAAAGAAAATTTTGAAGCTAGCAGAAGTTAGTTCATGAGGTTTAATGAAAGAAGCCATCTCCATAACATGAAAGTGCAAGGTAAAGCAGCAAGAGCTGATGGGGAAGCTGCAGCAAGTTATCCAGAATGTCTAGCTGAGATAATAGATGAAGGTGGGTACACTGAACAACAAGATTTTTAATGCAGACAAAACAGCTTTATATCAGAAAAGGATGCCTTCTTGGACTTTCATATCTTGAAAGAAGAAGTCAATGCCTCGCTTCAAAGCTTCAAAAACAGGCTGACCCTCTTGTTAGGGGCTAATGCAGCTGGTGACTTTAAGTTGAAGCCAATGCTCATTTACCATTTTGAAAACCCTAGGGCCCTTCAGAATTATGCTAAATCCACTCTGCCTGAGCTCTGTAAATGGGATAACAAAGCCTGGATGACAGCACATCTGTTTACTGCATTCTTTACTAAATATTTTAAGCCCACTGGTGAGACTTATTGCTCAGAAAAAAAAAAAACAGATTTCTTTCAAAATATTACTGCTCATTGACAATGCACCTAGTCACCCTGGAGCTCTGATGGAGAGGTGCAAGATTAATGTTTTCATGCCTGCTTGCACAACATGCATTTTGCAGGCCACGGATTGAGGAGTAATTTTGACTTTCAATTCTTCTTATTAAATAAATACATTCACAAGGCTGCCATAGATAGTGATTCCTCTGACGGATCTAAGCAAAGCAAACTGAAAACCTACTGGAAAGGAATCACCATTCCAGATGCCAATAGGAACATTTGTGATTGGGGGAGGAAGTCAAAATATTAACATTAGTAGAAGAAGTTGGTTTCAACCTTCACGGATGGTTTGAGGGGTGCAAGTCTTCGGTAGAGAAAGTAAGTACAGATGTGGTGAGTAATAGAAGGAGAGCTGGAATTAGAAGTGGAGTCTGAAGATGTGACTGTTGTAATTTCGTGATAAAACATGAACAAATAAGGAACTGCTTCTTATGGATGAGCAAAGATAGTAGTTTCATGAGATGGAATCTACTCCCAGTGAAGGTGCTGCGAACATTGTTGAAATGACACAAAGGGATTTAGAATATTATATAAATTAGTTGATAAAGTAACAGCAGAGTTTGAGAGGATTGACTCCAATATTGAAATAAATTTTACTGTAAATAAAATGTTACTCAACAGCATCTCATTGCCATAGAGAAATATTTCATTAAAGGAAAAGTCACTTGATGAGACAAACCTCATTGTCTTAAGAAATTGCCCCCAGCCACCTCAGTCTTCAGCACCCACACCCTGATCAGTCAGCAACCATCAATATCCGGGGAAGACCCTCTACCAGCAAAAAGATCAAAACTTGCTCAGATAATCATTAGCATTTTTTAGCAATAAAATATTTTTCATTAAGGTATATACATTGAATTTTAGACATAATGCAATTACACACTTAATAGAATATGATGTAGTATACACATAACTTTTATATACATTGGAAAACCAGAAAATTTGTGGGACTCATTTTATTGCAATATTCACTTTATTGTGGTGGTCCAGAACCAATCCCACAATATCTCCAAGGATTTTCTTTATATCTCCTTCTTCTCATAAGCCTTCCCTGACTGGCCAAGGCACTTATATACACCTTTTATGTGTTCTTATATTATTCTTTACTTCCCTTTGTCAGTTACATTGTAAATATCTGATTATTTTTCTGTATACCTCTCTGGACAATAAGTTCCATCAGGACAGGAGTTATGTCTAGCTCCTAATTTATATCCAGGGCCTAATACATAGTAACATGATTAACATATGTATGAAATAAATGAATAAAGAAATAATTACAGTGTTGATGACGATAAATGAAAAAGGGGTAGGAGGGATAATAGTACACCATAAATATTTCAGGAAGAGGCTGCTCAAACTCTTTCTTCTCCTATCTGGTATAATAAAGGTCATGTAAATTAAATAAACAAACATACGGGTTATTTATTGAATACTGAATTATGCATAGAATTATTAACATATTTCATGCCTTTTGTGGGTTAAAATGTATTATTTAACAACATAGCCCTTTTTGGGCCAGGCGCAGTGGCACACACTTTTAATCCCAGCGCTTTGGGAGCCTGAGGTGGGTGGATTGCTTGAGACCAGGAGTTTGAGACCAGCCTGGCCAACATGGTGAAATCCCAGATCTACTAAAAATTCAAAATTAGCTGGGCATGGTGGTAGGTGCCTGTAATCCCAACTACTTGGGTGGCTGAGGCAGGAGAATCGCTTGAACCCAGGAGGGGGAGTTTGCAGTGAGGTGAGATCATGCCACTGCACTCCAGTCTGGGCGGCAGAGTGAGACTGTCTCAAAACAAAACAAAACAAAATGAAACAATATAGCCCTTTTTATTTAAAAAAAATCTTAAACTTTGTTTGAGAACCATGTTCATTATCTTCTTAATTTTCCTTATGGATTTCTCAAAATAGTTGTTTGAATTTTTCTGTGAACCATTAAATGAAGGTATCTTGACAGTTTAAAATACAGAAAAATTTCTTAGAATGCAAAGAAGACGTGAAAAGAAAAAGAAAAAGATTCAGAAAGAAGTGAAAAATTCAGAACTTGTGTAGTGCTGTGATACAGTTGAAAGGTTTAATGTCAAAATAAACAAAACTGATATTGATACAGTTTTCTATTTTTCAGTACAATTATTTGAACAAGCATAATTAGAGTAAATAAAAAATAATTAGAAAATACAGCAGTGAGGACTCTTCATATGTGGAGTAATTTTAAGATAAAATCAACAAAGCAGACATGTGTATTGATATAAAAGTTATTGTTTAAACACCATGGAAGCCAATTAAATGTTGTTAATGAAGTTAGATATAGAAACTACCACATTGATGTCTCTGAAATTTCTTCCAAAAAATGTACAAAGATAAAAAGAAGGACATAGATTCCCTGTTTGCTACACATGGATATGTTTATGTGTGTGTGTGCACATGTGTGTTCGTATAAAAAGCTTTTACTGGGCTGGGCGCGGTGGCTCACGCCTGTAATCCCAGCACTTTGGGAGGCCGAGGCGGGTGGATCACAAGGTCAGGAGTTCAAGACCAGCCTGGCCAAGATGGTGAAACCCTGTCTCTACTAAAAATACAAAAAATTTAGCCAGGTGTGGTGGTGGGTGCCTGTAATCCCAGCCACTAGGGATGCTGAGGCAGAGAATTGCTTGAACCCGGGAGGTGAAGGTTGCAGTGAGCCGAGATCGTGCCATTGCACTCCAGCCTGGGCGAGATCTGCTACCTACTTTTTTCCCATTTGGAAAATATTTTTAGTAAATCACCCTTGCTTTCTATAGACTTCAAATACTTGAAAACAAACATTCTATATTGCTTTTTGCTACTCAATTCTTTCTTTCTGTTTTCCACTCATTTTCTCCTCCTCTCTGAGATCAACAGTGCTAAATGAGAGCAGATTATAAGTAAGTCAATAAAACACACATACACAGAATAGAAAAGTGCTTGCCAACTCTATGCATGTGATTAGCTGACTAAGAGTTGCCGATTACTGGTTCAGACTCCAAAGTAGAAGGAAAAAATTCATGGGTATAGAAGAGCACTCAGAAGATCTGCATTTTCTCACCAACTCATTTAATGTTTTAGGATAAAATGGCAATGAGGAATAGCAGAAGGAAAAAAATGTAGTCTGGGGTGACATGAAAATCAGTATGCAATACACCAGGAAGCCTGTCTCAGAGACTGGCTTTCATAAGGTAGAGGAAGAAGTATATGATTATAGATATTTATGTAGTCACCCAAAAATTCAAAACCCATGAAAACAGGCACATATTACATCTAACCAGGTATCCAAGGAATTTGTAGACAAGAGAAAACAGTACTGGTTTACCGAAATTAAACCTTTACTCTCTCTTAGAGGGTATTTAATGTATTCGAATGAATTTATGCAGATTAAGATGATTCTTTTCTAGAGTCAGAGATAAGTTCTCATGTTGTGTATACCTGTAATAATGGAATGTACAATAACATGAAATATTGGAGAAATGATTGTTTAGGGAGTCTTCAGAAAAGCAAAAAATAGGACTCTGGCAAGCAGAACAACAACAACACTTAAAAAAAATTAAAATAAATTGTAAAGATAAAAACAGGAGAAGAAATAAATGCAAACAATTAATTCATATGAGAAAAATACCTGTAGCTTCTTCTCTTTCAATTATGAAAAGTCTGCCTGAGGTTGGGGGTAGTGGTATTTCTCAGTGGCATATAGCTGAATTATCAGAATAATCTTAAGAACTAACAATTTGGCCATCTGGATTACCTTCTTAGGATCTGGCTGTTTAATAAATAATCTTCCATGAACACAACAATATCCTAGAAAGGTAATCCTCATGGCCAAATATTTCATCCCCTAGTGGGAATAAATGAACTCTATGTATTTGGATGTGAGTGGCAATTTAAGCACTAATGTCCTATTAATTACGTTTATATTCAGATTTTTTTTTTTTTTTTTTTTGCCAAAAAAAGGTTTGTTCCAAATTTTAGGAATTCGTAAGTATGCTGGGGGAATGAAAACATGTCAGGAAACCTCTTACCTGAGGGATAGCTGGAAACACCTATAACACTGATGTTAATAATAGAAGATAGTTTATTCCTCAAGATAAAATGATTTTGCTTCCGTAAGAAGCACCAGTAAGAAGATTAAGAAGATTCTGAGAATTTCTAGTTTTCTTTAGAAAATCTGTCATGACTTGGGTGAACCTTCAGATAAAATTTCTGTCTATAGTCTACCTTCTGAGTGATAGTCAGATTCCATGGTACCATGACTTCCTACCACCCGGGGCATATATTAATCTCTGCAATGGTCAAGTTGAATCCCCCAGTAATGAGTCTTGAGTTTGAGCAGGTGTTGCACATCTTTCTCCCTGGATAAGGGAGTTGAGGGGATAACAATAGAGCTTTCTCTAAAGACAACCTTCTTATAGCATCTCCTCTTTCACTTTGCACTTGGAGTAATATAGTCAATGTGAAGCTAGTTTTCACATTTTCCTTGGTAAGGGAAACTTCACATTTCCTTGGTAAATTCTATAGTTTGGTCTAACATTGTGCTTTGATAATCATCATCACTTTGATATTGGATTACATTTCAATGATGAGTCATTATAAGATAATTTGGCTGGGTATGTAATTAATAGATTTGAAATAATAATCCTTGAAGATTATTAATATCCTTGAGTATATCCTTCAGAATTAAGTCCTGGAGAAGTTTGAAGACACTGTTTTCTTTCCTTTTTGTCTAACTTCTAATCTTGTCATTAGGCATTTGTCACACTCCAGGGGCAGGGTGATTGTTAGTTTTTATTTATTTATCTTTACATTTCTTATCCTGAAATCTTTTAAACTCATCTCCTTTTTAGTTCTTAAAACTAAATATTACAGTCTTTGGAATGGATTATGCTTCCTTTCATTACTTTTAGTTCTGGATAATTGAAATTATGAAATTGTATTTATCATTTTTTCCCTTACATTTGTTTTTCTACTTGGAAAAAAAAATTACTTAAATGTTAATATGCATGCTATAATTTTATTTTCTTTTTTCTTTTCTATATTCCTTCTCTTTGTTTATTGTTTCCAATTTTTAGAATATTTCTTTGCATGCATCTTCCCATATTCTAACCTTTAAATTTTTATCTTATTTTTTAAATTTCAAAAGACTTTTTCTCTAAATGTTCTTTTTTAATGAATTTATATTATTGTTCTCTCTCTACAGATGTTAATTTGTCTTTTTTCTGTTATTTGCATTTCTTGCTTCCAAAAAATTTATTTTAATTTTTTGTTTATTAGTTATGATTATTGTCTTTTACATTAAAGGTTTTCTCATCTATTTGATGACCTTTGACTGTTCATTCCTATTTAAGAGTGAAACATTTAACAATTTGTTGGAAAATCCCAGTAATGAGTGGAACTTAAACTTTACTGTTTTTTCCTGTAGGTTTACTGGGCATTTTGTTGCAGGGAATCCACTTTCATATCTGAAATCTTCAAAATCATGACAGAGAGCCAGAAGAGAGTATGTCTGATTTTAATCACTTGAAAGTCAACTTGAGAAACAGTCCTGAGAATCTCAGTCCTCAAGATGTAGATTTTTTTTCCCCCTTAATCTCCTCTTTTCAGCCCTCATTCTTATCTTTCCTATCTCCAAGTCTTGGGTGTCTCCTAATCAATTTCTCCATAGGGCATTCCTCTCATATCATGTCTGACTGTGCTAGGATAGAAGGGAAAATCTGTCCACTCTAAGTGCATATTTGAAGATTGGTTTTTAGCCAATCTTTCCTTTTTAATCCTCAATCCAACCACCTGCTTTTCATTACACACAACTTCTAAATCCCCCTGGGGTCTTCAGCCCTAAGAAGATTGCTTGTCATGATCTCCCTGCTATATAACGTAGAAACTTTCAGCTTTCTATGTTCTGCTAAATTAATTACTACTTATTTATTTGCTTTGCAACATGTAATCGTTGTCTTTCATCAGCTGTTATTCCCTTTCTCACTCTTCTTGTCCTTGAATGAACATAATTTATCCATTTAATCTGATGTTTGAGTTTAATGGAAGGTAGGGGTGGAGCAGAGATCAATGTGTGTTCTTAATCCTCCATATTTAACAAGGTGAACTCACCCGTATTAGTTTGTTAGGGCCGCCATAGGAAAATACCACAGTCTGAGTGAAATAAACAATAGACATATATTTCCTCATAGTTTTGGAGGCAAAAAGTCATAGATCAACATGTCCACAGGGTTGGTATCTTCTGAGGCCTCTTTCTTTGGTTTGCATATGGCTGTCTTCTCCTCCTTATGTCTTCACATGGTCTTCGCTCTGTGTGTGTCTGTGTCCTCATCTTTTCTTTAAGGAGTTGTACTGAAAATAGGTACAGTTACGCTGAAATAGAGCCTTCCTTAATAATCTCATTTTAACCTAATTACTGCTTTAAAAACCCCTACCTCCAAATACAGTCCATTCTGTAGTACTAGGTGCTAGGGCATCAGCATACAAATTTTGATGAACACAATTCGGCCCATAGCACCACCTATGGTGAAATTAAAAATGATTTAAAAACTGAAGGGAAGAAATCTTAACAGGATATTTAAGACTTTTGTCAGCAGATACCAATACCACAGAAAGGGAATAGGAATGTCTAGACAGGCATGTTGGACAAAGATTCAAAAGAGCATGGTCCAGCAGCACAGACCATGTGCAAGTAACTTCATGCGTGTATAAAGGACAACACTCGGAGTTCTTGAAAACCAAAAATTGGAGCCAGAGACATCTGAATGCAAATAGCCAAAAATCAATTCCATATGGAACAAACAGACAAAAAACATTACAGCAGCAATACAGGTAAATATAGAGCATCCCAGGATTTATTTTCAGGTTTATGAAACAAGGATCACTAACAGCACTGGAGAACAAAATTAGAGTAGGAGAAAGACTGACTTGATTTTGTCACGGAGGATTTAATGTATAGCTGCTTAAGTTTCCAACATTCAGTAATACTGAGTGTATAAAGAGTTTTTGGTGACTATGTGTTTAGGAGGTCATAAGGGAATGTTGTATCAGTTATTCTAAGTAGTTGATGTTCAAAACACTCTGTAATAATATTAAGCTTGCAATGGTGGCTCTCTAAATAGATATAGGTTAGGGGGCAACATATTGAATCTTCTTGAGTTTGCCATACCACCATAATCGTAACTTTTGTTAGAATATTTTTTCTCTCTTGGCTTGTCTCCGATTGATGAATCATATCATTGTTTATCCCAGGAAAACAAATGATCTATGTCTATGGTAAGTTATAATCTATTTCTATAGCAACATTTTCACCTGCATATGTCTTCAAGTCATTAAAATAATACTTAGCCAATGTAGTCTAAACTGTAATCCAATTATTCTACTTTTATAAAGTGAAAAATAACACAGAATACGTACCTTTTCTTGACTATCATTGACAATATTTTACCTCATGTTAGAAAAGAATATATCAAAGGATTATTAAAATGGATTAAAGTACTTAATGGTAGCATGGCATTTATGCCTGCATCACAGTTGACAAGCAAATATAGTGAAAGTTGCCAAAATCGGAGTTTCAATTACTTATGAAGATTTTGGTTGTCTAGCTATGAATAAACCTGTGAAATTGCACAAGGTGCCTTAGGAGACCATGGCCTGGCCTTCCATTAATCAGAAGAATGCCCAAGTCTAAATATTGACTGATGATTGCTTTCCTCTCTGGGAGCATCTCAGGAGACTGGTACTATAAAAAAAGAAAACCAAGTTCACAAAACCCAGGGCTTGAAATAAACATGAAATGAGAATACAATCCTTTCTGAGAATTAAAAATCAATCCTTGCACTAAAAATGAAATATCTGTCTCCTATATAAGTAAAATGTCAAGACATATATTTAGCTTTTTTACATATTTGCCATTAATTACTTTTATGGGATATATATACTTTGAATTCTTAGTTATTAATTCTAATTTGAAAATTAATTTTTATTAATAGTAATTCAATTCTGCTTATAAAATTTCACATATATATTACGTGGGTTTCATAACTTTAAACTATACAAAAAATTTCTATTATGAATTCTCTCATCAAATGATATTCCAATGAATAAATATTTGAAGTGTGTAAGCTTTTTGACCCACATGAAAATACATGTAAATATGCTACAATTATAAATGCTTCCTCAAGCTTATTTTAATTGGGAAGTCATAATGTAATGGGTTAAACGGTAGACTTCAATAACTGAATGTAGCTTTCATTTAACCCTTAATGTGATATTGAAAGTTTTGTTTTTTACTTTTTTATACCTTTTTTTTTTCCTGAAGAAGATTACAGTTTCCCTTCCCTTGCTCATTGAATATTCATGGTATTTGTGGAATAGAAAATATAATTTGCCATGCACTGTCAAAGAAAATCTGCTAGTTATACATTATTGCTTTAAAGCTCCTACTGATATTGAACAAATTAATATATGTTGATAGATATTCTTTTATCAGAAAGTGAATGAAAGCAAGACATTTAAAATGAGACTTTGAATTCAAAATAGCTTTGGGCCCCTGGAAAAGCCTGAGAAAATTCACCTGAAAAGGACTCTTAAACTAGAAGCAAAGACCCTGTAGTTCAAAGGAGAGTGGGGAGCTTCACCCCATTCATTCTCAGATGTAAAACACAATTATAAAATTTGTCTTCTGTGGTCTCTGTGGTATGACTCTTCTTTCATGACAATATGGTGGCATTAAAAAGTAATGATTCTAAAAGTGTAGAGAACAGATAGCTAACTAAAAATCCTGAAGTTTGGACTCTACCCTAAACATATGAAATTGACATGAAGAGTGTGTTGGGAAAGAGTGCGAGAGGCGGCAAATTCAATATATTTAACTAGGTACCTCTGAGACTCACCAACGTTTGAAAACCATTGTTTAGACATACTGGTCTTTACTCTCTCGTTTTCCATAATTTTAGATCCAGATATTACGCTAAAATGTCTCATCACTTACTACCTTCCAGAGTGCTGTTACTTTGCCTCTGTGCAGTTGATGTTTACTGTTTGTACCTCATACACTTAAGCCCAACATTACAGTTTCCTCAAATTAACAATGACCTATCTGCTAAAACGCATAAACTAGAGAACCTTCCCCCAATTCGGGTTCACTTTCTAGTCTCTTAAAATAATATTTTCTGTCCAAGGTATAACCCTAATTGTTATGCCTTTTAAAATGCAGGGGCAATTCTGACCAAGAGGAATGGGAAATAAGTTTATTTTAAAATATCAGACCATAAATTTTAGGTTTCTCAGGACACCATAGTCTATTTTAAGTTCTACTACATAAGCTTAATATTTACTCTGCCAACTATAGCTCCATCTTAATTCATAGGTGACCCTCAATTTCTCTTATGTTTAAAGAACACCTCTCAAAGAAAAATAGAAATTCCCCAGTATAAATTTGTAGAATTTAAGAAGTTTTATAAGACAAAGGGATTGATAAAATAAGGATAATTATATACCCATCTCGTGTTTTAGGGGTTAAAAGAAATTAATATAAACTTAATACCTAGGTAGACATTGTTACATTTTATGTGTCCAACAGGTTATTTTTTACAGAAATTCTCAGAGATTTTAATATGTTAATGTGCATTGTGACTATTCATGTGGAGTGTAGAGTATGCATTATTTTCCAAGTGTACTTGAGTAGATTGAGGAATTTGGACTACTATTCCAGGAAACACAGTCTAGAAAAGACCCTCCAAGATTGTCTGTCCAGCATAGATGTTGGGTACTCCAGAGAGTACAGAAAACACCTTGTGAAACAAAAGCTAAAATAATCAACTTCAGGTAAATGAGAAATGCTGCATGCTTGTCTCTTGTCCTGATTTCATTTATCATCAGTGGACATCCCAAAGCTTAATTGTTATAATGTATGTAGGGTGGTCAAATAGCATGTATACAATAGCAGTTTGGAAAATCCCTTTTCAGTATTTATTGAACTCTGTATTCCAGTGTTAAATTTTCCACAAAACAAAGAGAATTCTGTCAGCCCTATCATTGTCTACTGAAAATTCCTAATGCATATCAGATTGTTTTGTTCTCCACATTTATCAGTAATCTGATGGTTGCCGATTTAATATATCTGAAATGCTATGTGGAAAATATATATTGGTTCAGTTTATCAAATTTCTGATCCTCTTTTTCAGGGCACTTTGTAGCACGTGTTTTCCTTGTGACTTGTCTTGGCAAATGATATGTGAGCAGAAGTTATGTGTCACTTCTGGACAGAGATTTCAAGAAATGGTGCATAGGTTGTTGTGTCCCCTTCCTCGGGTGGTAGACTAACAACTTTCCAGATAGCGTAGGATCTGCAGGTCTGTTTCTCTGTATAAGGATAATAGATATGCCTTTATTGGCTAAGCCACTGAAATTTGGGGCTTGCTTTTTACATCAGCATGACAGAGACATCATCTTGAGTCATACATTTTGATATCAGAAAAGAAAAGAAAGATGTCCTTAGAAGTTGCTAAAAGTTTTGTTTTCCTATCATTGTATCATCTATCCATTAGATGAAGTGACAACATCAACTTTCTTAACTTCCAAGCTAAGAACTTTAATGCTGAAGTTAACTAAAATTCCAGCAAGTAATAGAAACCTAAGCAGTCAAACATCAGGCACTCCTGACATTTAACTAAAACATATTCTTAGGTAATGTATACCATTTTTTGATTACATATAGCCATTTGAAAATTATATATTCATTCAACATATGTTATTTTACATTTTGTACCAGCAATTGTAATGTGCTGAATCACCTAGAAGTTTTCAAGAATTTTGTTCTCGAGACCCATTTACCCTTAAACATTGTTGAGTGCTCCAAAAAAGTTTTATATGTGAGTTATTACCACAAATATATATTCAAAATTAAAACTTGGAATATTTTAAACTAACATTCATTTTGCAAAAATTATAGATTCACATGTTGTTGTAAGAAATAATACAGAAAGATCTGTGTACTCTTTCCCTATTTTTCACCATTGGTAATGACTTATAAAACTATAGTGCAATATCACACTCAGAATATGGACGCTAATACAGTCAAGATACGGAATATTTCCATCAGCACAAAGACACTCATGTGGCTCTTTTATAACCATGCCCAATTCCCACAGTCCCCATCCTTTCCTTCATCTTTGAGAATCATTAATCCACTCTCTATTTCTGTGATTTTGACACATCAAGAGTGTTATATAAATAGAAGTTATACAATATGCAAACCTCTGAGCTTGTTTTTCTTCAGTAAGCATAATATATAAATAGAAGTTATACAACATGCAAACCTTTGAGCTTGTTTTTCTTCAGTAAGCATAATTCTATGAAGATTCATTCAGACTGTGGTATATATCACATTCTATTTGTTATTTATGTTTGTTTGTGTGTTCATTGTTATTGCTAAGCTGTATGTATGTGCCACTGTTTGTTTAACCATTCACGCATTGAAGGGCATCTAATCTCATATTTTTAATTTGCATTTTCCTAACAGCTAAGATGTTTACTATATTTTTGTGTGTTTATTTGCCATCCATATCTTCTCTTTAGTGAAATATATCTTTGTCATTTTTCCATTTTTAAATCGAATTGTTTTTACTACTGATGAGTTTTGAGAGTTGGTTATATATGTTAGATACAATCATCTGTCAGACATGTAGTTTGAAATATTTTCTCTAAGTCTGTAACTTGTCTTTTCTTCCTTTTAATGAAGTATTTTGCGGAACAAAGTTTTACTTTTGATAAGGTTGAATGTTTCATTTTTTTCTGGCTTTTTTTTTTTTTTTTTTTTTTGTCTACTCCTATGTCCCAAGATTTTCTCCTAGGTTTTTTTGTTTTTGTTTTTTGTTTTTTTCTCTAAAGTTTTTATAATTTTATGTTTTACTTTTAAATACATAATCAATATGAGTTATTTTTTGGATAGAGGTGAGATTTATTTTGATATTTACATTCTTAATCTATGGATGTCCAATTGATCCAGTACTATTTGTTAGAAAGGCTATCTTTTTCCATTGAATTGCTTTTGTACCTTTGTCAAAAATCAGTTGGACATTTGTATGGGTCTCTTTCTGGGTTTCCTCCTCTTTTCCACTGGTTTATGTGCCTGCCTCTTCCCCAATATCACACAATATCATATTTTCCACCCGTACCTCTTTTTTTTTATTATTTTTCAAAATTGTCCTAGCCATTCTACTTCCTGTAACTTTCCATATAAATGTTCACATAATCTTGTCTATATATACAAAAGAATTCTGCTGAGATTTTGATAAAAATTGTGTTAAACATTTATGCCATTTGGCTAGAATAAACGTGATGACTATATTGAGTCCTCCAGTCCATGAACATGGCGTATCTCTTCATTTATTTAAATCTATGTTGTTTTTATCAACATTTTACACATGTATAAATCCTGTACATGTTTTGTCAGATTTACACCTAACTATTTCTCTCTTTTTTTTTGAGGAATTGTAATTGATCTTATATCTTCCAAATAATTTGGGGTCCATATATCTGTCATTAAAATATAGAAATACAACTTTTTTGTATTTTTATCTTATGTAACTTTGCTTAATCAATAATTCTTGGAGTTTTTAAAAATAGATCCTTTGGAATTTTTCTATATTGATAATTACGACATAAGAAAAATTATATTTCTTCTTTTTTGGCCTACATACATTTTGTTTTCCTTTCTTGCCTTATTGCACCACCAAACTCCTAGTGCTGTGTTAAATAACATTTGTAAGAATAAACATCCCTGCCTTGCTCCTAATTATAGGAGGAAAACATCCAGCTTTTTACCATTAACTACAATGATAACTATAGGCTTTACTTATTTATTATTTGAAAATGCACTTTTTTATTTATCATGCTTGGTTCCTAGTTTTCTGAGAGTTTTTTTGGGGGGAGGGGCATGAATGGGTGTTTCATTTTGTCAAATGTTTTTTCTGTATCAATTGATATGATATAATATTGATATGGTCTTTTTTTCTTTAAATTTAGCCTACTATATGGTGGATTATATTGATCGATTCTCTAACATCAAATAATCCTTGCATTTTTAAAATAAACTCCTCTTGGTAATGGTGTATAATTCTTTTCATGTATTGCTGAATTATATTTGCTAATCTTTTGTTAAAGATTTTTGAGTCTCTACCCATAAGTCATATTGGTCATTAGTTTTCTTTTTTTTGTATTGTATGTATCTTGTTGTGGTATTAGAATAACAGTAATTTTATAAAATAAATTTGTAAGTGTTCCCTTCTCTTCTGTTTTCAAGAAGAGAACGTGTAAAATAAGTTTTAGTTCTTCTTTTAATATATTGTAGAATTCTTCACAGAAAACCATCTAAGCCTGAGAATTTCTGTTTGGAGTGTTTTTTGATTGTTAATTCAGTTTCCCTAATCATTAAATGACAAGTAAAATTATATTATATTAGTTGAGTTGTAGTATTTTGTGTTTGACCAGGAATTGGTCACTTTCATCTAAGTTGACAAATTTATTTGTGTAGAGCTTTTTGGTAGTATTCTCTTATTAGAATAATTCTTACTAGAATAATAAGAGAATACTACCAAATAATAATAATAAGTGTAATATTTTGTTTCATTTCTGATGTTGGTAATTTATGTCTTTATTTTTTTCTTGTCAGTCTTGCTGGAAGGTTGCCAATTTTATTGAACAGCTTGAAGGACCAGTTATTTGTTTTATTGATTATTCTATATTGTCTCTCTATTTTCAATGTGTTAATTTCTGCTCACATTATTCTTTCTACTTGCCTTGGGCTTACATCGGTCTTTTTTTTTTTTTTTGTCTAGGATCTTGAATTGGAAAATAAGATTACTAATTTTAGGCTTTTATCTTTTGTGATTTATATTAGCACCTCAAATTTCTCTCTCAGCACTACTTAGCTATGTAGCAAAATTTTGATATGTTGTATATTAATTTTTATTCTGCACAATGTATTTTTAAATTTCTCTTAAGACTTACTTGCCAAACCATGGATTATTTAGAAAAGTGTTGTTTAGTTTCCAAATGTTTGGAGATAATACTGTTGTCACTCTGTACTGATTTTTAATTTGATTTTATTGTGGTCAGAGAACAAACTCTGTGTGATTTAAATTCTTAAATTTGTTAAGGTTTATTTTATTGTCCAGATAATTATCTGCCTAGGTATATGTTCTGTGGGTACATTAAAGAATATGTATCTTGCTGTTGTTGGGTGGAGTGTTCTACAAATATCAGTTAGATGTTGTTGGTTGATGAGGTGATTGAACTGTTCTATATTCCTCCTTATTTTATCTAGTTGTCCTACCAGTTATTGAGACAAAAGTATTGAAATCACCAGCTATTATTGTGTGTTCATCTATTTCTCCTTTCAGTTTTATCACATTTTGCTTTACATATTTGGCATCTCTGTTATTTGGTGCATACACATTTAGGATTACTATGCCTTTTTGGTGGATTGAGCCTTTTTATATTTGTGCAACATCCCTCTCTGTCTTTAATAATTTTCTTTGCTCAGAATACTACTAGTGCTTTCTTTTAATTCATACTTAAGTAATACACTTTTAAAAATATCCTTCAACTTTCAAATTGCCTACATAATTGCACTGAAGTGAGTTTCTTACAGACAAAAGTAGATGACTCATGTTTTTAAATTTATTATGCTAAATTATTTTGATAGATGTGTTTAAGCTGTTTATATTTAATGTAATTCTCTGTACTTTAGTTTTATGTCTGCCATTTTATTTTTTGTTCTTTGAAGTTTATTTTTCTTATCTCTCCATTTCCTTTTTTCTGCCTACCTGTGCATTAGTTTTCCATTTTAATTTCTCTATAGTGTTTTTGAGTGTATCTCTTTGTATAGCCTTTATAGTTACTGTTCTATGTATTATACATACATGATTTATCAGTTTTCTGGTTTTATCATTTTAGCAATTTGAATGATGTATACAATTTTTATTTCCCTGTACATTCTTTTGCCTCCCTGTTTATAGTACACTTATCTTAAATATTTCACTTACACACATTTCAAACCACAACAGTATTATGAATTTTGTTTCCACCATAAGATATAATTTAGACAACTCAAGAGGAGACTAAAAGTCTATCACATTTAACTCTCTTTTTTCCTACTGTGCACTTCTTTCTTTTTTTCAAATATTCTAATGTTTTCTTTAAATTTTTTTTCTGTTTAGATAATTTATTAGTCATTCTTTTAGAATAGACCTGCTGTTGACAAATTCTCTTAGCTTTACTTTATCTGAGAGTGTTTTTATATCCCTTTTATTTCTGAAGTATGTTTTTACTAGATCTAAGATTTTAGTTTGACAATACTTTTATTTCTGCACTTGAAAAATGCTGGGCCACATCCTCCTGGCCTGCGTGGTTTCTGATGAGAAATCACTGTCATTGAAATTATTTTTCTTCTATAGGTAAAAGATTATTTCTCTCTGGCTACTTTCAATATTTGTTCTTTTTAATTTTCACACATTTGCCTATAGTACATCTTTGTGTGGATTTCTGTGTATTTATCCTATTTGAAGACCTCTCAGCTTCTTGAATCTGTATGGTTATGCCTTTTGCAAATTTGAGAAGTTTTCATCCATTATTTCTCTGAGTACCTTTTTCAGTCACATCCTCTTTTCCTTCTTCTAATGAGACTCTGATGACTCAAATGTTCAACCTCTTGTTACAGACTCACAGTGTGCCCTGTGGCTTTGTTTAGTTTTTCTGTCTCCTTGTTCATTGATCCTTTCCTGTCTTTTCCATTTTTCTGTTGAGCTAATCTATTTGAGTTTTATTTTATTTATTGTGTTTTTCAGTTCTAAAGTTTTCATTTGGTAGTTTTTATGTCTTTTATTTCTTTTTGATAGTATTTTTTATGTGTACAAGCTGAATTCATAATTGTTTACTGAAGTATTTTTATGATGGCTGCTTTAAAATATCTGTCGGCTTATTCTAATATCTCTGTCATCTTGGTGTGTGCATCTATTGATTGTCTTTTTTAAAAATTCAGTTTGAAATCTTCCTGGTTTTTAATATTACAAGTGTCTTCCATTGAAACCTGGATATTTTCAGTATTCTGAAACTCCGGCTCTTATTTAGATCTTCTATTTCTGTTTTTAGGTTTTTTGTTTGTTTTTGACACACCTCTGGCAGGGAAAAGGGAGGTTCTGCCTGATTACTGACAGGGAGAATTTCAAATTCCCCACTCAGCCTCCACCTTCGGCAGAGATACCTTGGATGTCTGCTCATCACTGTTGGGCAAGGGTGGGAGTTTCAGCATCCTATTAGGCTCAAGTAATATCCCTCTGCCTGGGGGCTGTAAGACTGCCTCATTTCTGCTCTCTATGGGGCCTCAACTGAAAATATGAGTTAGTAGTGAGGAATGTTCTGACTCGACTAGGCATTCTCTAGCATCACCGCAGCTTAGACAGGGAGGGGCAGCTTGTTACTGTCAGGTGAGGATAAAGCCAGATTATCTCTAAGTAGTGATGAAGCTTCATTACCATCCAGTTGGGATGAAAATCTCAACTTCCTACTCAAAAGTTTCAGACACCAATCAAGTGGGGGAATTGGCATGGATGGGGGTGGGGACACAGGATTATTTTTTCTTTCATATTTAGCTGGTACATTGTTTTTAGTATGTGGACCTAGCAGCCAGCTGCCTATCTCTTGTCCCATACCTAGAGAGAACAAGTTTTGGTTACTGCTTTCTTTTTTCTATGACATTTGGCTTTTCAAGTTGCCATTTGCTTCATGTCTAATTGTGGGATTATTATAAATTTTTGAATAATCATCATTGCACTTTAAAAAATTATTTAAACATAGTTATCTTCAGTTCTTTGACCATATTTATAATGGTAGCTTTGTCATTTTTGTTGGCTAAATCCTACCTCTGGTCCCCCTCAGAGACAGTTGACAAATTCTTTTTTTCTGTCTTTGGGCCATACCTCCCATTTTTCTTACTTATCTGATAAGTTTTCTTGAAAACAAGATGATTTAAATACTATATTGTGGCAACACTGGATCCTGACATTTTCCCTTTGAGGAGTTTTGTTTTTGCTTTTGTTTTCTTGTTTTTCTTTCATCCTTATTCTATCTTTTTCCTTCTTTCTGTTTTCCTCTTTTACTTTTTTTCTTTATTTTTTTCTTTTGGTATCTTACCTCTCTGGACTAAAGCTGTGGCATCTGCAGTCCCTATCATTCTTGTGGTGTATTTGTGCTTGTATTTCTGCTTAGGTTTGTTTATTTAATTGCTTAAAAAAATTAAGCCTGTCCTCCTAGGGGCTGCTTCTGTGCTGTATAGCTAGTGAGCTGCTAATAAGACCAGGCACATGTAGATTGCTTGAGCCCCTTTTGTTCTTTCCTATGCACATGCCTAGAAGACTGCCAGGAATAGATATGTGGCCTTCATATCAAGTGTCTCTACTTCTGTTCTATTCCCATTCTCTGCTTGTTAATTTCTGGTCTGTTGATCACTCTAACAGCCATAAACTTCCCCATTTACTAACCATCAAGAATACTACTTTTCCGGAGAAAGCTGCTGAGGACCTTCTTTTTTTCTCTTTTCACTTCAAAGCCATCCAGTCTTTGTATTGGCAAAGCTGTTGGTCTTCATCTCCTGCCTCATCCAGGTAGATCTACCTTGCTAACCGAGCGGGGCGAATAAGAGCAACTGCAGTAGGAATTCTACAGATTCTCACTGTATTTACCTAAAGTTCAGCAATTCTTCCTGAATCTGTAGAATTCAACAAAAATCCTACAGATTTTCACCATATTTACCCAAGGTTCAGCAAATTAATGGAGATGTGTTTCTGAATAAACACATCTCATTTAAATTTTTTTACCTTTAGTGGATTCCCTGAGCCCTGAACTGTTTGTTTAAAAAAAATTGGCCAGTTTTATCGTTGTATTTTCTGACCTTCTCACATTACCATTACTGAAAGTTCTGCCTGTTGTACTTACATTTAAACTCATTTCTACTTTGATTGGATCGGGGACTGTCACAGTAGCAAATAACCTGCTTTATAACATGTTATATAAAGAATTGGTCATAATTTATCTAATTACATATTGCCAGCCAGCAAAACTGTTATCTTTTTCATAGTCATGACCTTAGGTAATTTGTCTTCATATTACCAGCATCTGTCATGAGGTAGGTGCCAGACAAAAGGCTGCTGACCTGAATCTAATGGAAATGAAGAAAGGATGTTTATCATTTACTGCATGATAAAACCCTTGCATTCTAAAATCAGTTCCAAAAAATAAACAAGCAAATAAACAACAAAGCCCCCTCTAAACCAGTGAGTAAAAGGACATTATCTTAAGAAAACAAACAAATAAACAAACATAAGTTTAGAAAAATTAATTCAGCTAGTCTAATTGATTGGCTTTATCTGAATAATTTATGTAGTCTTTCAATTTCCTGCATTTTTTTTTTTGGCTCAACTTTCATGCCCCATCATTTAAACTATCTTTTCAATGTATATAAGCAGATTAGTAAGTAAATTCCTTTTAGGAAAAATGGAAGATGAAAATAAATTATACCAAAAAAATCCAAAACAAACAATTAAACAAAGATTTCAAAAATGTAAGGAAAAAGTTCATAATTGTGCTACAATTTCTGAGTCCATTTAGTAAAGTAGACTGAAGAAATAGATGCTAGAGAGAAGAAGAATCTGTGCCTACAGCCAAACCTGGAAGGTGCCCGATTTGAGGCCTTTGTGGCAGGGTGTCCACTTCAGCTATGAGCACACACAGTTCTCTCTTTGGATGTTGCTGCCACGACACCTAATGTGAAGCTTGGCCTGTACTTGTAGTTAACCTCAACACTGGCAATCCTCCAGGCCTAGATTTGGAAGCAAAACTCAGATGAGCCTCTGTCACATTACGTGAAAAATGAACTCAGGAATCTCCTCAATTAGATTTGATTCACTCTAATTTGAGAAACAGATGAAATGTCAGTTTACATGTGAATTAGAATTATTAATACATGTCAAAAATTTGTCTAGCAGTGACATTGTCAGAGGAAAGGAGGCTTATATTTGTTGAAATCGAATAACAAAATAAGTATTAAATTTTTTTAAAATTGCCAAATCCTGTTTGGACTTGAAAAGTGCTACCTCTTTGGGTTTACTTTTCAAAGTGAAGAGCTTGAAGTGGCAAACTTTGGTGGATATTGCTTGCAATCTCATCAAAAGAGGAACAAAATCATTTCTGTTGGGGAAAAAATATCTCTTGAAATTTCTAAGAAGGGTCTGGCATTCATGGTTGCATAGCACATGGCAATCTTAGCAATTACTAATTTCTGGGTTTGACTGTTTTATGAGCTGAACCCTAACAGACAATGCCTGGGCAGAATTTAAACCAAGTACAAATGCTTACAGTGTTACCGTGATAGTTCTAAGTGAATTGTAATTGAACTATAACTGTGATTTAGGAAAAAGGTTTTTCTCTTATAGTCCATAAAGACAATAAATAAACGTTTATTTTTTTATGAAATCTAAGCCCTTCTCTCATTTATTTAATTTTTATTTCCCACACTTAGAAAGTTTAATGTCAAAATTACAGCTAATAATCTCTCAATTTCTAAAAAGTCAATCTAAAACTATCATTTGTTTATAGACAACTGTTACTTTCAGCACGAGGCAGTTGTTGGACATTTTAAAATAATGGTATCTTAGTGAATAATGCTACTATGTGACTTCCTATCAGAGTTGATTTAAAACATATATATTACAATAATTTTATGGAACTAGAAAGAAATAGAAATGAATGAAGTGGTAAGACTTTTGCTCTGTGCTATTTGCTTTAGAAATAGATCCATAAATTCTATGGGTGATTCTGAGAAAGAGTGGGACTTTAATAAAGGCAAATATGATTGAAACAGAAAATCTGAGAAAGCCTCCCCAGGATTTATGATAGTTTTTATCTCATAGATAATTAAAAGTTATATGTACAATTCATTATTACTATGAATATTATTTTTAAGAAAAAGTACGTAATCCAACTTAGAATTTGTGAAAAAGAAATAGATAAGGCATAACACTTCAACCTGACCCTTCACCTGACAGATTCACATTTACATTAATGGTAACTTTTTTTAAAACACAAAATTGTAACACAAATACTTTCTCACCACTTCATTAGTCAGTGATGCTAACTCTAGCTTTAGGAACAAAATCAACCCATTTAATGAAATGCTTACTTAAACACCAACACCATTATTACATATGTAACAGTTTGGAAATATTGCATTACACTTGGAAAATGCCTAGCACCAGTGAATCAATTTTCTGTCTGCTTTGTAAAAACAACTTCTGCTTTATTGCTTTTTGGAAATAGAATTGAAGCAATACTTCACAAAAGCCATTAAACACAACTCGTGACAAAATATAAGACTTCTGACTAAACTACATTATTTCTTCATTTCTTTTAAATACCTAATGGTGTAATGAAAACTGATTAGACTATTGACACATTCACATTCTCAGTTATGATATCTGATAGCCTCAAATTAAAAAGTTGAATTGTGAAATGAGATGACAGAGCAATCAACCTCATAAACAGCTTGCTGCTGAGTAATCCAAATTTTTAATTGGTCAAACAAAGTAGCACTAGTGTTGGAAAATATGGAAGACAGTCTATAATTAGAACAGTTAACATAATGATGATTCTTATATAGCAGCGACACATCAATATTTAACCACAAGGAAAGAAAACAATTTTAAACTGGTGAATGAAGGGATAATCCTTTGGGAATTCTTTAGGGTTTTTTTTTTAAATAGTTCCTTTATGACATAGTTGGCAAATATAATATTGTTAATATTGCAGAAATTAAAGCAGAGAAGATAAAGAGCAGTGTCTTTTGATTTTTGCATCGTTTTCTAAGAGAGGAAAATAAATATTGGGAAAGTACAAGTTTTTAAAAAATGTATTAGTCCAGTTGTTTTTGAAGATATTCACTGTGGTTGAAAAACTAGATTTTAACTAAAAAGAGATGCATTACATTTAAATTCTGTTATCCTGTATTGTGGTTTCTAAAACCTTGCAAATATATTGAAGATTGTGATTAGTTCTTTCAATTCCACTGGAGAAGGAGCAGAAGGACTCCAAATAAATCAGCTGTGTGAGTCTGTGAAGCATATTAAGTATAGCCATGCTGCAAGAATTAGAATTAGTGTCAGTCTTATTTAAAAGCTTCCTGTTCATCTTCAACTCCAGATTGTTGGACAAGATTAGACCATGAATCTCCTCAACACTTGTGAAATAGTTAAGCAAGGAAAAGTAGAGAAAGAATGACAAAGAGGTTAGGGGACTCTAGTTGTATTAAAGTATTAGTTTTTTTAGTATGCATTTAAATTGAATGATAAAACAAATATACAAATAAGTACCTGGATTTTTTCCCCTGTGATTATTAATAACAAGATAAATGCCAATTCTAGTCAAAAACTTTGGTTTAATGTCAATATAAATTTTAAAAATATCCATCACCACTTGGATAAAAATTAGAATTACTTTTTTCTAAATTAGAGAAATAGAGCTCCATAATGAAACACCAGGTAGAATATAAGATAATGACAAATATAAAATAATGATAAAAAAATCTCTATTAGTTGGAATCCAACCAGAAAAACAACTTTAAGAATTTGCAATGAATAAATGTAACGTAGAGGTTATGCTGAAGTTAGAAACCAAACAGAAGACATGAGGTAACCCACTGATCAACAACAGTAGGCAGACTGACCACTACAAGGTTGTAGGGAAAACAGGATGAGGCGTTTTTATTGGTGCTTAGAAGTAAGAGTCACCCAACAAAATACTCAGGTTATTCAGTTTCGTGACAACTGAAGCCATGGAGTACAGAAGGCCCTTGTTCTCTAATGCAGAGGAAGAGAGTTGAGTTCTCCCTTCCCTCCACCTCAAGCTTCTGCCAATGCTCTCTATAGATATATTTAGCCAGAAACCAGCTGTTATAGCAGCAACCTGAAAAATGTAGTATTTTTTTGTTTGTTTTGTTTTGTTTGTTGTTGTTGTTGTTTTTTGAGATGGCATTTTGCTGTTGTTGCCCAGGCTGGAGTGCGATGGCACCATCTCGGCTCACCGCAACCTCTGTCTCCCGTGTTCAAGCGATTCTCCTGCTTCAGCCTCCCGAGTAGCTGGGATTACAGGCATGTGCCACCACACCCGGCTAATTTTGTATTTTTTTAGTAGAGACAGGGTTTCTCCATGTTGGTCAGGCTGGTCTTGAACTCCTGACCTCAGGTGATCCACCCGCTTTGGCTTCCCAAAGTGCTGGGATTACAAGCATGAGCCACCGTGCCCTGACAAAAAATGTAGTTTTTTAAAATTTTGTCATTTTAATATAGACCAATGGTAGGAAAAGGTAGGAAGGACTCTCAGGGCAAACATATTCTGAACCTGGATACCTTACCATTAAGCACTATCAAGGTTAACTATGTTGCTTATGTTGAACATCTTGAGACTATCTTACTACAGGGAACAAAGTGGCATAAGCTCTACCATTTTTTCCTCTTTGATTAGTGTATAAAAGAGTAGATGTTGACCTAGCTGAGAATGTATGAGAACTGCTTACAAGTTCATATATTATGTTGCTAATATATTGGTTTTCTTTATTTATAAGATATGAGGTGCCTAATGGTTTTTTTATGTGTATATGTATGTATGTAAATTTTGTAAATTTAAAACAGCATAGCTTTTATCCTCATAGATGTGATATCTCCTATTCACTGCAATTTTTTAAAGAACAAAGTACAAATCAGCCCCTTTTGGGCTTGCTAATAATGTTATAGAAGTTTAAATCTTTAAAACCTATTGTGATTTAAATAATCTATGCATTAAACCACTCTAAAACAGAATTAGTATCATATAAAGTATTTTAATCAGAGTTTTTGAGCAAAAATCATTAACTTATACCCTAATGACCTTCCCTCAAAATTATCCTGGAATAATATAAAGAATATCTTAGGAGAACATAGAGAGGCTATACTAGTTAAATTTCTGTTAGACCCCACATGCAAGGCAGATAGATTTTACAGTTATAATCTAGGCAAGTTACTAAACAAATGAACAAAAACAGAAAAAACAATTTGAAAAAAATGCATAACCCAAAGTTACTATATTATCTGAAATGTACATTTTTCAACAACAACAAAAAATATTAAAAATCCAAATAAACATGGAAGTGCAACCTACCCCCATGGAAAAAGAATCAAAAGAAAATATCTGTGAGTTAACTCAAATTTTTGATTGAGCAGGTAGAAACTACCAGGCAGCTAACAAATATGTCCAACAAACTCAAAAGAAAAAATATTCAAAGAACTAAACAAAATTATTAGAACAATGACTGGCAATAAAGATACTCAATAAGGCTATATAAATTAAAAAAATAAAATTTCTGGAGTGAAAATTAAAAATATTAGCTTTTCGACAGCTAATTCAAGGTGGCAGAAAATCAGTTAGCTTGAAAAAAATTCCATATAAATTATCTATGTAAAGAATAGACAGGAAAAATTAGAGAAAATTAAATAGAACTTCAGAAACCTGTGAAAAAATGTTAAATGTACTAATATATATCTGATAGGCATCTCAGAAGAAGAGAAAAAAATGGGGCAAAAATCAAAAAATTAAAAACCATCCTGAATTTGATGAAAACATTAATAAATATCCAGGAAGCTCAACTAATGCTAAGTATGATACTTATAAGTAGATCCATACCTAGACATTTTATATCAGACTATTGAACACCCAAAACAAACAACAAATCCTGAACAAAGGAAGAATTCATTATGGTAAAGTAAAACATCAAAATGATTAACAGCTGACTTTTCAAATTAAAAACAAGAGTTACCAGAAGACAGTGGGATAAGATATTTCTAGGGCAGAGAGAAAAATAAAATGCCATCCCCAAATTCTATATCCAGCACAACCATTCTTTAAAAATGAAGATAAGATAAAGACTTTCTCAGATAAGCAAAAATGAGTTTTTTGCTAGCAGACTTGCTTCATAGGAAGTAAAGGATATCCTTCTGTGCTGAAAGGAAATGAAACAAGTTGCTAATTTAAATCCACAGGAAGAAATAAATAACACTGGAAATTTTAGCATGTGGGTTAATATTAGCAACTTTATAAATGTATTCTTCTCATCTCTTCTCTTAACATTTAAAAAAGAAATAGTATTGTGTCAAACAATAATTAAGCTCTTTATTTATGAGTTTATAACATATTTAAGATCTAATACACATGACAATAATAGCAAAAAGGAGGAGAGCATGGAATTATATTGGAGAAAAGTTTCTACATATATTACCAAAATTAAGTTAATATGAACTGATACATTATGATAAGTGAAAATCTATATTATAATCTCTAGAGCAGCTATAAATATATTTAAAATATCATAAAAACATTCAGCTGGGAAATTAAAATAGTACACCAAACATTTATCTAATGCAAAAGAAGATAGTCATAAACAGAGGAGTAAAAAAATGAGAATAGACATAAAAACAAATAGAAAAATTACAGATGTAAATTCAGCAATATTAACAATTGCATATGTAAATTCTGTTAATACCCAATCAAAAGGCAAGGATGATTCTACTTAATATAAGGTAAAATTTAACTATAGTCTCTATATGCTGTCTAAAAGAGACATTCCTTCAAGACATAAATAGATTAAAAGTAAAAGAATGAAAAACAAGTACATCTGTGTGTGTGTAAATATATATGTAAATATATATACACATATATGTTTGTATATGTATGTGTATATATACATGAAAAACATGTATGTATATATGTATGCATACATGTTTTTTATTCTTTTACTTTTTCTTTACATATATATTCTTTTACTTTTACTTTATATATATATATATATATATATATGTGTCTGTGTGTGTATGAACACTAATCATAGAAAAGCTGAGGTGATTATATCAGACTAAATAGACTTTAAGACAAGAAGTATAATAAATGATAAAGAAAGTCATCTTAAAATGATAAAAACAGTCATATATCAGGAAGATAAAATTGCAAAGGTCTATGGACCTAAAAACAGAGCTCCAAAATACATAAAGTAAAAGCTAGCAGAATTGAAAAAAGAAATAAATTATTGAATAAAAATAGTTGGAGAATTCAATGCCCACTCTTAACTGCTGATAAAACAACCAGAGAAAAAAAATTAACAGAGATTTAGAAGATTTTAAATAACATTATCAAGAAACTTGAGCTGACTTTATTCAACTAATCCAGAATCCTTTTTTGAGAATACCTGAAACATTCTCTAGGACAGATCATATGTCAAGTTATAAATATAGTGTAAATACACTAAGACGATTGAAATAATAAAAAGCATGTTTTTTACCCATAATTAAATTAACTTAGAAACCAACAAAAAACTGGGATATCACCAAATATTTGGAGATTAATCAGCAAATGTTAAAATAATACATTATCAAATAATAAACTTATAGGAGAAATTAGAAAATATTTCAAGTGAATTAAAATAAAAATACAACATGTTAAAATTTATGGGAAGCAGCTAAAGAAGTACGTAGAAGAAACTTACACATTTGAACCTACATAACAGAGAGTGAAAAAACTCTCAAATCAATTACCTGAGATTCTACCTTAAAAAACTAGAAAAAATGAGCAAATGAAGACCACAGAAAGCATAAAGAGTAAAAGGAATGGTACAAATTACTGCAGAAATCAATGAAACAGAAAAACAGCAAAGCAATAGAGAAAATTGTTGAAAATATAAATTGGTTCTTTGAGAAGAGCAACAAAATCAACAAAGCTTTATCTAGAAGAACAACAAAAAATAAGACACAAACTACTAAAATCAGGAACAAAGTCATTATCACTAATGACTGATTTCAGACATCAAGAGAATTAAGGAAATATTATGAGCAGCAATTAGACACAAATAAGTAGACAACTTAGATAAAATCAACAAATTCCTAGAAAGATACAAAGGACTACACTGTCTCAGGACAAAACTGGAAATCTGAATATATCTATAACAAGTTAAAAAATGAATTAATAATTACAAATTTTTCTGCAAAATAAATCCAGATTCAAGTGGTTTCTTTAGTGAATTTTGTCAAATATATCAATAATTAATACCAGTCTTTCACAGATTTGTTGAGAAAATAGAGTGAAGGATCTCTTCCCAACTCATTTATAAAACCAGTATTGCCTGATATCAAAGTTTGACAAAAACATCACAAGAAGACTAGAGACCAACATGCCTTACGAATATAAATGTAAAAATTCCTAATCAAATTGTATTAAACTGTATCTAGCAATATATAAACAGGATCCTCTACCAAGACTAAAATATGTTAATCCCAGATTGCAACTTAGTTTAACATCCAGATATTGACTAATGTAATAAACTATATTAATAGAATAAAGGACAAAAATATATACTTATCTCAGTAGCTACAGAAAAATCACCTGAAAAATTATGTGATAAAATCGAACACCAATTCATAACTCTCAACAAATGCAAAAAGAAGGGAACTTTCCAACCTTATGAAGGCCATGTACAAAATAACCAGCAGCTCATCACAGATAATGGTGGAGAACTGAATGCTTTATAGGATCAGGAAGAAGTAAGATGTGCATTTGTTACTTCTATTGAACATTTTACTTGAGCTTCTAGCTAATTATATACCCAACCACCATCATCAAATTATAAACAGTCAGATTGGAGGGAAATAAATAAAAGTATCTTTATTGCCTGATGATATGATCCTTACATGGAAAATCCAAGTGTTTTACAAAAACAAAGCAAAAACAACCAAAATCAAAACAAGAACCCCCACGAAACTACTACAAAACAAGAACCCGCGAAACAAAATTATCAAGGTACAGAATCAATATAGAAAAATCAATTGTATTTCTCTATATTGACAAGGAGAAAACCCAAAAATGAAATAAGTAAACATTTCAATTTATAGTTTTATAAAAATAAAATAAAATATATTTAATAACAGATACAAGATCTGTGCACTGAAAACTAGATAACATTGCTGAGATAAATTTAAGTAGATCTACAAAACGGAGACTTTTTTTTTCCCCAGTCATGTTTTGGAAAACTCAAGACTCAATATTTTCAGTATTACAATTACTCACAGGTTGATTTATAAATACAATACAACACAATTCCCATCAATATTCCAACAGTCTTTTCCTTTTGAAAATTGACAATCTGATTCTAAAATTTATTTGCAAATATAAAGAACTTAGAATAGCTAAAGAAATTTTGAAAAGGAAGAACAGATTTTGAGGATTAATACTACATATGTCAAAAATTGCAATAAATCCACAGTAATGAAGATATATGGAATTGCTGCAAGGATAGTTATTTGGTCAATAGAACAGAATTGAAAGTCAACAAATAAATACTTAGAGTTTGGTTCAACTGATTTTCAACAAAAGTTTTAAAACAATTCATTAAGAATGGATACACTTTTCAAAAAAATGGTGCTAAGACAATTGGACATCCTAGTGAAAAAAAAATCTACCATATACAAATATTAACTAAAAAGAGATCATAGCCCTAAATGCAAGAGCTAAAAGGATCACAAAGGAGATTACAAAAGAGAAAAGCTTGTTGGCCTTTGGTTGGGCAAAGTATACCATAGCATCACAAACATTACACACACACACACACACACAATGTATAAATATATACGTTGATAAATTGGAATTTATCAAAATTTAAACTGTATGTTGAGTGGTTTCCTAAAAAGTTAAACATAAAGTTACCCCATTAGCCACAATCCACTCCTAGGTATCAAACCAAGAGAAACAAAATATAATGTCCACATACAGACATGTACACAAATGCTCATTGAAGTATTATTAACAAAAGGCTGAAACTGGTAACTTTTAAAATATCCATGAACTGGCAAATGTGAGAAAATATGATCTATGCAATGGGATATTATTTGGCAAATGAAAAGGATAACAAATTGATGCGCTCTTGTATTTATTTTCTATTGACGCTGTAACACATGATTGGTAATATGGCTTAATAAAACACAAATTTACTCTCTTAGTTTATGGAGATCAGAAATCTAAAATGGTTACACTGGGCTAAAATTAACAGGGCTCCTGAAATCCCTTTCTGGAGGTTCTAGGGGAACCCAAAGAGGTCCTCTCTAAGGCACATTATAAGCAAAATGTTAAAAGTCAAAGACAGATACTTTTTAAAGCAGCAAGAGAAAAGCATTCAGTCACATATAAATGACTTTGATACCCACTTTTGACAGTGAATGTATTAACCAGACTAAAAACTAATATGAAAGTAATGAATTTGAATTGCACTTTTTACAAAAGAGACCTAACAGATATACACAGAACTTTCTATTCAAAAGTGGCAGATTACACATTTTGTTTATTCAGTGAGCATAAAACATTCTCCAGAATAGACCATATGGTAACTCACAAAACAAGCCTTAACCAATTTAGGAAGATTGAAATTATATCTACAATTGTTTGAATTACAAAGTTATGAAACTAGAAATCAATAACAGAAGGAATCTTGAAAAATGAAAATGAAATAACATGCTCATGAACAACTAATGTGTCACAGAAGAAATTAAACGGGAAATTTAAAAATATCTTGAGACAAATAACAAAGGAAACACAACATACCAAAGCCTATGGGATGCAGTAAAAGCAGTTCTAAGGAGAAAGTTTACAGCAATAGATGCCTACATTTAAAAAGAAGAAAGGTCCCAAAGAGATAGTCTAACATAACACTTTAAATAAGTAGAAAAAATAAAAACAACCTAAACCCCAAATTATCAGGAGGAAGGAAATAATAAAATTCAGAACATAAATAATTCAAATAGAGAACCAAAAAACCATATAATCAACAAATCTAAGAGTTACTTTTTTTGAGAAAGTAAACAAAAGTAATAATCCTTTGACCAAGGAAAAACACGTGAAAACTCAAATAGAATAAAAAGAAAGTGAATAAATTACAATAGACATCTCAGAAATTAAAAGGATCATAAGAGACTACTATTAACAATTATATGCCAACAATTATATGCCAACAAATTGGAAAACTTGAAGAAAATAGATAAATTTCTAGAAAAATACAACCTACCAATATTGAGCCAGGAAGAAATAGAAAGCATAAGCAGACCCATAAGAAACAAAAGTATTAAAAAAAAAAATCAAAACCTCCCAACAAAGAAAAATGCAGGACCAGATGATTTCACAGCTGAATTCTACAAAACTTAAAAAAAATTATACCCATATTTTTAAAAGTCTTCGAAAAAATAGAGCTAGAGGGAGTACTTCCAAACAGTTTTTATGAGGCCAGAATCACCTTGATGCCAAAACCAGACAAAGTTATCATAAGAAAATAAAGTTACATTCCAATTTCTCTGGTAAACATAGATGAAAAATTATAAATGAAATATTAGAAAACCAAATCCAATGACACATCAAAAAGATTATACATCATAACCAAGTGTGATATATCCTTGGCATGCAAGTCTGGTCTAAACTAGGAGAGTCAATCAATTTGATACATCATATTAATTCAATGAAAAATCAAATCACATGACCATCTCAATTAATGCAGAAAAAGCATTTGACAAAGACCAATATCCCTTCTTGGTAAAAGCGCTCAGCAGTTAGGTATAAACGAAAATTTTCTCAACATAATGAAGGCTGCATATAAAAAACTGACAGTGAACATTACAGTCAATGGGGGAAAGCTGAAAGCTATTCCACTAAGATTCAGTCCAAGGAAAGAATGCACACAGAGTGGCAAGAGAAAGAAAAAGAAAGTTGGAAGCATCAGACTTCCTGATTTAAAATTATTCTACAAAGCTATAGTAATCAAATCAGTATATTACTAGCATAAAACAGACAATAAACCAGTGCAACAGAATAGAAAACCCAGGAATAAATCTAAACATACACAGTCAACTAATTTTTGACAAGGGCATCAAGAAGACCCAATGGGGAAGGGATAGTCTCTTCAAAAAATGGTGCTGGCAAAACAGGATTTCCACAGGCAAAAGAATAAAACTGGACTCTTATCTTACCTATTATTTTATCCTAAACAACAATCAACTCAAAATGGATTTAAAAACCTAAATATAAGATCAGAAACTATAAAATTCTCAGAAGACAACATAGGGAAAAAGCTACTGAAGATTGGTCTTGGTTATTATTTTTTGGATATCACATTATAAGCTCAGTCCACAAAAAGAAAAACTAAATAAATGAAAATACATTAAACTAAAAACCTTCTTCACAGCAAAGGAATTGACGAAAGGAAATGGCATTCTATGGATTGGGAAAAAATATTTGCAAACCATATATCTAATAGATGATTAATATCCAAAATATATAAAGAACATGTAAAACTCAATACTGGAGAATAAAAACCCAATTAAAAAATAGGCCAAATATCTGAATAGATATTTTTCCAAAAAAGACAAAAATGACCAACAGGTACACGAAATGGTGCTCAGCATCATTAATCCTAAGTGAAATGCAAATCAGAACCACAATGACATATTACATCATACCCATTAGAATAGTAATATTGTTTGGCTCTCTGTCCCTTCCCAAATCTCATGTTGAATTGTAATCCCCAATGTTGGGTGAGGGGCCTGGTTGGAGGTGATTGGATAATGGGGTGGATTTCCCCCTTGCTGTTTTTGTGATAGTGAGTTCTCATGAGATCTGGTTGTTTGGAAGTGTGTAGCACTTCTCCCTTTGCTCTCTTTTCCTCCTGCTGCCCATGTAAGACATGCTTGCTTCCCCTTTGCCCTTTCAGCATAATTGTAAGCTTCCTGAGGCCTTCCCAGAAGCAGAAGCCTGTACAGCCCATAGGACCATGAGCCAAGAAAACCACTTTTCTTTATAAATTACCCAGTCTCAGGTATGTCTTTATAGCAGTGTGAGAATGGACTAATACAGATAGCTATTATCAAAAAGTCAAAAGTAAATGATGGTGAGGGTGTAGAGAAAAATCAACTCTTGTACACTCTTGGGAATGTAGATTGGTATAGCGATTATGGAAAATAATATGGAGGTTTTAAAGAAATTGAAAATAGAACTACCATATGGCCCAGCAATCCTTCTTCTGGGCATTTACACAGAGAAAATGAAAATTTTCACCACATAAAGATATCTACACTCCCATGTTCATTGCAATATTACTTATAATAGCCAAGATATGGAAACCATCTAAGTGTCTGAGGACAAACTAATGAATAAAGAAACTGTGGTACAATGGAATAATATTCAGTCCTAAAATGAGAATGTGATGTTGCCATTTCCCACAATGTGGATGAGTTTGGAGGACATTATGCTAAGTGAAATACATCAAACACAGAAAGAAAAATACTGCAGCATCTTATTTATATGGAAAATTGAAAAAAAATATTTCCACACAGTTACATAGCAAAAGAGTGAATACCAGGAAGGCAAGAAGAGAAAATGGAGAGACATAGGGTCAGAGAAGGCAAAGCAGCAGATATGTAGGATGAAAAGTCTCAAGATTTAATGGGCAACATGAAAATTGTAGTTAATAAAATTATACTGCATATGGGAATTCATGCTAAATGAGTAGATTTTAGCTAATCTTGCCACAAAAACAAAAATAGGTAACCATGTGAGATGATAGACATGTTAATTTGCTTCACTGTAGTAATCTTTTTACTCCCTGTATATATGCCATAATATCATGTTGATACCTCAAATACATACAGCAATTTTTCAAAAAAAATTGACATATATTAAAGAGGGCAGAAGTTTGTTTTCAGGGATTTGAATCGGACCCCCCTATAGGAAATTTATTTGTAAGAGATCAGAAAAAAAGAAAGTACATTATAAGTCAAATATATCTTAAAGTATAGTTCTCAATTTTTATACCAAATATAAGATAGAGCCAATTATCATTCATCTATATATTTTGTTGTTTATAAATGTTGAGAGAAATTTTATTGACCCATAATGAAGGAATAATATCTTGCCCTAGCTCTGAAAAGTAAATCATTTAACAAAATGAGAAAGGTTGCTTGAGAATACATTATGCCCAAAATTTCCACTTCCAGAAAATAACAATGATGACATTTAATCTTTGAATATTTATGTTGAAAAGCCTTTCAAGTATTTTAAGGAATCTGCTTCTGAAATTCTTCAATATGGATTAATAATGAGTAGGCAAATGGGAAACTCAGTACATGGTGATAGGACTAAACAAATGAATGTAAAGTATGAAAATGTTTTATTCACACATAGTTTACAATATTTAGCACCACGTACTACAAATCTCAATAGACTTTTCTGTAACTTAAATTAATTTTTCAAAAATCACTTTGATGCTACATTTCTCTCTTTTGCTTAGAAGTAAAATAAGTTGTTACCATCTTTTCAATAAAACACAGATCCCCAGACAATTGCTTAGCCCTCTGTAATTTACAACCTTTCTGAAGAACTCCAAAGCTGCAATCCATTTTGCCAAGGGGTTACTGCAGTCACAGCTACTGGCAGTTCTCCAAGCCATATAGGCGAGCACAGAGCAGAAGGCTAGATCTCCAAGGACCTGAACAATCTCCTTAAGAATTGAGTGTGTTGGCTGTACAATCCTCATCTGAAAAGTTCAGTGACCATGAAATCCCCTGGGATTTTATTCTCCATCATCACTTGCAGGACTCAAATACATTCCCACTGGCAAGGCAGGCAGTGCTCCGGTGTTCTAGTAACAAACAAAGGGAATCTGGCCTTGATTTTGGTTAGTCGCTATTTTAAGTCTTCCTTCTATTCCAAAGCATTTGAGAATCTGTAAAAAATACACACTTTTAGTGAGTGTGGAAAATAAAACATGTATGTATAATGTCTCAATATTTCGAAGGTGCTAATATTTGGAAATTTCAACCATATCATCAATGTGTGTTTACAAAGTCATGTCTTTGTTCTCTTAACAGAGAACAGTTACCTTTGAAAGTGACCCGTGACAGTGAAAATTAATCATTTAGGGGAGAATATAAAGTGCAATAATGAATTTAATAGTAGCTACTTCAAGTTGGCTCTGTTTCAAACCAAACACAAAAAAAGAATCAGTTTTCTTTTGATCTCTTGCTCTGCTTTTTTAGAAAAATAGTTAGGGAAATGGGTTTTATATTTTCATAAACACTGCTAATATTTTCTACTTTTTTATAGAAATGCATAAGGTTAAGGAACTCATTTGTTGTTACACTATTGAAATACAAAAATAAATAAATAAAATTATTCAAACTCATAGCTAATTTCAAAATGATTGCAAACTGAATGCCAAAATAAGGAGGTAACTCTTCGCATAAAAAAGGCTAATCATGGTTAATTGTTTTCCTATTTATTCTGATGATAATAGTCATTATAAACTCATTTGAAGTATGCAGATGTAATATGCAATTACCGCAAAACTCAGGTTTCCAAAACTCAAACAGAAGACTAAGACAGTATTCAGCTCTGTTTATTGGTAAGGCTGCCAACCTGTTTCATTTTCAAAGGGAAAATAAGTGTGTAGCTGTAGTTCAATCTTGTTTACATGCACGTATTTTCTCTTCATGTGTGCTGTTATGATGCCTATAGTCTAAATCAATCTGTTTATTTTTGTACAAAGCAGTGGGTGGCTGTCACTATTGTCTGGAAAATTTCAGAAAAAATGGGGTTCAAATCACAAAGCGTTTTAATTCCAGGTCATTTTTGTCTTGTAGTTGAAAAATATGATCCACTGCACATTGTAAAACACACAAAGGCATGTAGTCTTCCTATGAACAAGCTTGGGGAATTTGTTGTACATTTTGTTAAAAAGTATCACATATTAAAGAGGGCAGAGGTTTGTTTTCAGAGAGTATGTACTAAGAACTTCTTCTAATGTGAGTATGTGCTTAGATCTTTATACAAAAAGAAGTTGAGAGTCCCTCTGTTTCAGATATAAGATGAAGTTACGGAGTTGACTTTTGACCTTCACATAACTTGGCACCAAAAAAAAAAAAAAACACTGTGGCTTGACACATTCAATCTGTAGATTCTACAGCGTTTAAAATAATAGTAGGAGGATAAGTTCTTATAGAATTCTGTGAAAAGGAGTGCCAGCTCCCCCAGGGAGTAGTAAGCTTTTCATTAAGGCTTTTCTCAAAATAACAAGACAGGCCTATGCTACTATTTCTTTATATTGGAAGAACATGCTATTCAAACCTGTTCCTCTTGCCTTTGCCACTGTTACGATCAGTGTGCTTTCCCGGGCAGCCTTAACTTGTTGCCAATCACTTCAGTAATCCTTTTCTTAGCACACAAAACTTTCTCTACATAAAAATGTGTTCTAGTCTCCTTTATCCCAATAAAGAGTTTCTACCTGCCCACTTCCCTCTCAGACTTCAAGTTTTTCTGCTCTCATTCACCACTGAAATGGAAATCAATTAACTTCCAGTATCACCTCAATGAAAATTAATCCTAATTGCTTCTGATTTTGACCTTTGCTTCCAATTGCTTCCCAGGAAACACGGTATTTGTTTCTCTGAATCTTTTGAGTCAGTCAGTCCAAAATTCAGCTGATCTTCACTCTCAAATTCCTTTATGCATGTAGTTTAGCACATACTCTGTATAATGGAGCCTCGGAGGGAAATGCTGAGAAAATTGCAAAGCCTTTTTTTCTGACATTCTTGAGTTGCAGAACCAACATCAGCAACCCTCTAAGTTAATAAAAGGAAAAGAACCCCTGGAAATATACAACACTGTAGCTAAATGCTAATTGCAAGCAGCTGAACAGAACCTCTAACTACTACACTACTGATCCCCAAATTAAAAATCATTTCAAGAAATAAAACTGTTTAACACAAAGTAGATATTAAAATATTAGTAAAGTAAGACCATATCCTGCTCTACAAAATATAGGCAGTTTCTGACTTAAGATAGATAGACATATATGCGGTTTTTCAACTTTGCAATAGTATGAGAGTCATACACATTCAGTAGAAACCGTTCTTCAACGTATACAAAAATCATTCTGTTTTCACCTTTAATACAGTATTCAAGAAATTACATGAGATATTCCACAATTTATTATGAAACAGGTTTTGTGTTAGATGATGTTTCCCAACTGTAAGCTAATGTAAGTGTTCTGAGCACATTTAAGGTAGGCTAGGCTAAGCTGTAATGTTTGGTAGGCTAGGTGTATTAAAAGCATTTTCAACCTACAATATTTTCAAGTTATGATGGGTTTGTAAGGATATAATTCCATCATGAGGCAATGAGGATCTGTAGTCACTTGGCATATATTGAATTTTGTAATAACAAATTGAAAATACAAATGGAGATAACTTCTAAAAAATAAAAGCATCTTGACATTTTTCATACCATCTAAAAAAAACCAGATAGTTTATTTGCAAAATTAGGGTTATTCAAGTATTTCCTCTCTATTAAAAAACAGTTCAGTTTAATGTGATCTTTTCATTAAAAATTACTAAATATTTAAAGGTTAATTTAAAATTTAACCTCATTAATCAATGCCTTTTGTCCAAAATTCTTATACCATCAAATATCATTTGCTTATCTTCTAACTTTTCTGTGACTTAAATGTGAATGCACTTGAATGGAAAGTCCAATAAAATTTCTAAACATAATCTTTTAATTCTAAACAGTTTGCAATATGCATTTTGGTTAATGGTTTCAATATAAAACTGTCTAACAGCTCTGATGGAAGGTATGGCTGAAGAAATAGGGTAAATTATTTAGATACTAAAGTGCAGGGGAAAAAAGAGCAATGTGTGTCTCAGGCATTGAAAATAAGTTTTGTCTTTGTCATTATTTTCTCTAGAATTATAATCAATAGTGTCAGGTGAATTCATAAATCAAATCAATTAATCTATTAAATGAAAGCCATAGGACATAGAAGGGTCAAAACTATTCATCTGAGAGGTTTCTCTGCCTTATAGAACATGACTCTGAGTTGACTTACTGAGGAGAAAGTAAACTTTCATGCTTATAAACATAAATTGTAAAATTGGCCTTACCTAACCCCCAAGGAAATCACTGAATAATCACAGTAAGAAATGAAACCCACGGGAGACCATTAACAGCTTAAAACTTACAGTTTATGTGTTGAAATTCATTCTGTTTAAGAGAATAGAGTAGAAATGCTGCTATTTCAATAAAAAATTCATAATATTAAAAATGCAAAGGTGTGAATTTTATAATATACAAGTTAAGTATTACATACAAATATTAAGTATAGGGTGTGGTTATTTTGGTCAAGCTCTCCTTTAAATCAAAAATGATACTTTTCACATGACTTAACCAACAGCTTTTATCACCTCACAAATAATATAGCAAGAATATTAGAATTGACATAATTATCACATTTATAAATAATAATAAATTCACACGTTAGATTGGAAGTAGAATTAGAAAAATGTCATGAAATAGTCTGATGAAATGGTCAGCAAATTTAAACTTTCTGGATTTCTTTGGGTATAACTAAATTGATAGAAGGCATAAAGTCTTATTTTCCATTAAAGACAGCAAGAAAATTTCTAGCCATGAAAAAATGACAAATTAAATATCACTTCAATAAAGTCAGAATATGGTGAGTATATTAGTTTTGCTACAAGGGACAGAAACTCTATTTTAATGAGAATACAGAAAAATTATAAGTGTATAAAATTTAATAAAATATAACAACCACCTCAAAAATATTGTGGAATGAAAAGATATACAACTGGACTCCAGAATTAGATATCATGTTGGTGAGGATGTGATAACAAAGAACCCTGGTAAACTGTGGGAATATAGATTGGTGCAGCCATTATAAAAAACAGTGTGAACATTTCTAGTGAAATTAAAAGTGGAACTACCATATAATCCAGCAATCCCTCTTCTGGTATTTTACCCAGAGAAAATGAAATTACTACCTCAAAAAATATCTCACTCCCATATGTTTGCAGCATTACTCACATAGCCGAAATATGTAAAATAACCATTTGTCTGTCAACAGATTAATTGATAAAGAAACTGTGGTACATATATACAATAGAATATTATTCAACCCTAAAAAGAACAAGATCTTGCCATTTACCACAACATAAATGAGCATAAAGACATTATATTAAGTGAAATAAACCAAATACAGAAAGAAAAATATAGTTGTTTTTTGTATCCCTTGGTACCCACAGGGAACTGGTTCCAGGACACCCTACAAATAACAAAATCTGTAGATACTCAAGTCTCCTATCTAAAATGGCATAATATTTTCATATAACCTATGCACATCCTCTTATTTACCTTAAACCATCTCTAGATTACTTATAGAGTAAAATGTAAATGATATGTAAATAGTGTTATTGTGTTATTTTTATTTGTATTATTGTATTATTTTTCTTTTTTTTCCCAAATATTTTCAATCCATGTTTGGTTGAATCCATGGATGCAAAACCTCCAGACAGGGAGGGTTGACTGCATTGCATGATGTTACTTGTATGCAGAATCTAAAAAACATTTCAAATATAATATATAGAGACAGAGACAGAGCAAAACAGTAGTTACTAGAGTTAGTAGGGGCAGTGGGGACATGGGGAGAAAATTGGCAGATGTCAGTTAAAGGATCCCAAGCTGCAGATATGTAAGATAAACAAAGCTAGAGATATAGGGAACAACATGAGGACTATAGGTAGTAAAATTGTACCATATATGAGACTCATGCTAAAAAAGTAGATTTTAGCTTCCCTTGCCACAAAATAAACAACAAAAAAATGGGGAACTACGTGAAATGATGGATATGTTTATTTGCTTCACTATAGTAACCTTTTTACTATCTCTATGTATTTTAAAACATTATGTTGTATACAATAAACACTATAAAAATTATAATATAGAAGATTCAGATGACCCAAATAATACTAATATAGTTATGCACTGCATAATGACATCTTGGTCAACAATAGACTGCAATACAATAGTGATCCAGTAAGTTTATAATACCATATTTTTATTGTGCCTCTTCTATGTTTATATATATTGAGATATACAAATATATTTAGATACACAAATACCATTGTGTTACAGTATTCAATACGGTAATATGCTGTACAGGTTTTTAGCCTAGAGGCCATAGGCTATACCATATAGCTTAGATGTGTAGTAAGCTAGTCTATCTAGGTTAGTACAAGTATACCCTGATTCTATGATGTCCACACAAGGACAATCACCCAGTGACACACTGTTCAGAATGAATCTCATTGCTAAGAGATGCATGACTTTAATGATGAAACAGGATAATTAGAGGAGAGGCTATAGGATTTTAAAGAGTCTCTCTTTTGAGGAAGAACTAGGGTGACATTCGGAAGGTTGTGTGCCTTGCAGACTGGATGATGTCATGAAGACGAAGAATTTGAATGAGGCTCTATTTAGGAGAGAGTTTCTGGGTCTGCTAAGCTGCTAGTTCTCCCATGGCCTGTGTGTAGAAAATTGTTATGAATTGAGTTGTCTCCCCTGCAATATAAGTTGAAGCCCCAACCTTCAAGATCTCAGAATGTAACCTTTGGAAATAGGGTTTTAATCAAGATAAATGAGATCATTAGTGTGGGCCCACATCAACATGACTGGTGTCCTTGTAAATAGAAGAAGTTTGGACACAGAGACAGACATGCACACAGTCTATGTGAAGATGATGGCAGAAATCAGGGTGATGCACCTACAAGCCAAAGAACACTAAAGATTGTCAGTAAACCACCATAAGATACAAGAGAGGCATGGAACAGACTCTCCTTTATAGTCATCAGAAGGAACCAACAGTAGTGACACCTTGATCTTGAATTCCTAGCCTCGAGAACTGTGAGTCAATAAATTACTGTTAAGTCAACAGTTTGTGGCATGTTATGGCACTATAGTAAGGAAATAGAATAACAAATTATGTAATTACATTTCAGTGTTATCTTGCTTGTTTTGTGCGTTACCATCACTGCCTGGAAAAATCCATGCATGGAGAAATAGCTGATGCTCACTGTCCTGCTACCCTGTTAATATGGACTTGATTGGAGTTTGCTCTACCTTATCTTTACATCATGGATAAGTAGGGAGTCAAAATACATTTGATTTTAGTTATGTTTCTCACTAGCTCTTTAACACTGAGTAAATCTTGTAAAATTTGAGTATTGGTTTTCCTATTTATAAATTATAAATTAGGAAGATAAAAAGATGCTTAATGTAGGGGACATGTCAGGATTGTTTTGGTCACTTAAAAAATACACATACCTAGGCCTCAGCTCTAAAGAATAAAAATCAATAGTTGGAATTCAGACATCTGTATTTTTAAGAAGCGCTTACAGTTAAACATATTGACAACCCTTCAATGAAGACCATTAGATTTAATATCAAAAATTGTTCTCAGCTCCAATTTCATTGATTCTATGATTATACCGTTGTGTCGTAAGTGATATAGACAGAAGTAGGAGCGAGAGTACTCAGAAAAAGAAATTCATGTACTTATCGACAAAAAATATTTAATGTAAATAGGATTGTAAGCAGCCTTATACAGATGAACAGAGATCTGGCACAATGACCTAGAAAGCTATATTTTTAGTTTGGAGCAATAGCTAAAATTCAGAATTCTTATATTTCATAATATTTTCTTCCATAATCTTCCAGAAGGAGGATGTTTGCTGTTTTGTGGCATTGGCAATTTTAATATGGCATTGACATATTTTCTAATTACCCTAATTTCTTTTAAACAATCATATATTAAAAGCAGCAAGTTTATAAAAATCTTAGCTTGACAAATATGAGTTCTTTCCTTAAATGCTGAGGGCTGCAAAATGAAATTTAGTACATGTGAGCTCCTAGAAGCTATTTACCACTTTAACATTTAACAGCCATACATTAACATTTAAAAAGTCATAAAAAATTTACATCTATAAGTGATTTTACTTAATACGTTAGCCATATGCTTTCTATGCAATAGAAGGGGAACAGCACTAATAAAATGTATACTGAACTCAATAAAACTAATTTATACAACTAGAGCTCACTTGATGATTAGAAGGCAAATTATAGGTTATATGTGATGGTTTTATCTGTTGCTAAAAATTATTCTTGCCACATTGCCCCCAGTGATTAGGAGTGACCCTCTGACTGGAGGCAGAGGTATGGATGGGATGACCTTTCAAAGTTGCTTTGTGATGACCATTATTAATTTCAAAGCAACATTTAGTAAATGGTAGAATAAGCCACAGATCTGAGAATTTAAACCATTTCAAGTTGAAATAATTGGGGCATAGTTCTTTTTTTCATTTTTTTTAACTCAGCATGTCTTTTTATGAAATATAAGATAAACAAATCAACAATTAATTTTGTGACAACAGTATAGAGAGGAAAACAAAATCCTCAAATGAATAAAATAATGAGAATAAAATAAATCAGTCTTACACAATTTATCTACATCTTTCTCCTTTGAAATTGAAATGCACCCTGGTAAGTCATAAGAAAGCAGAATAATATGTAACTCCAAATTTCATCCATGTAGCATCCTAGTGTACAAATCCATTTTCAGTCTTTGAGAATTTTGTATCATTTCTGTGAGGACTGATTAACAAAAGAACAAAATAATTTGAAATAGAAAATGGAAGCAAAGCAGATGGCAATAAGATAGTGAGGATTGTTATAGTACAAGTTTAGGAAAGAAGAAAAAAAATGGTAAGAGGAAAGTATTCCTGAGCTTTAGCTCTGCTCTGTGATGCTGAAAGAAACAGAGCTAGGGAGACAGAAACCAACAACTGAGGAGTCGTATAAGCAGAAAGACATTAAATCCCAAGTAGAGAAACAGACACAGGGGAAAAGCTTTTTATAATGTTTAGTATCTACAATAGATACATTTTGAAGTGTTTGCTTGATATAATAGTGAATTGAGTATCAGACATAAGCTATTACAGATTGGTGAGTAGAAATCACTAGTAGAACAATTATTATTAATTTCAAATGTAAAATTTGCCCAATATGTATTAATAATTTAGAACTATTATTTTATTTTAGTATATCAAAACTACACATACTAATGGATTTTATATGTTTACTCTTAACCTGAGTTTCCAAAGTTTTTAAATAAAATATATTTATTACCTCATAGAAATAAACTGTAACTCTCACATATTGATGATGGGAGGGCAAAATGGTACTATTTCTTTGAAAAGAATTCAACAGTTTTGTAAGTAAAATTAAAGCTATACTTACCATATGATCCAGACCTTCTACTGTTAGGTATTTACCCAAGAAAAATGAAATCATTTGCTTACACAGAAACCTGTACATGACTATTTACAGTAGCTTTATTCATAATAGCCCCAAACTGGGAACAACCCAAATGTCCATCCACTAGTAAATGGATAAGCAAATTGTAACACAGCTGTACAATGGAATACTATTCAACAATAAAGGAGGATCAACTATTTATACATGCAAAAACATAAGTGAATCTCAAAAGCATTATGCAAAGCAAAAGAAACCAAATGCAAATGCAACATACTTTATGATTTCCTTTATGTGTCATTCAGGAGAAGACAAACTTTAGGAACAAAAACCTGATCAGGAGTTTCCAAGGGTTTGGGGTAAGGAGAGGGAATTGGCTACCAAAGGCACATGGGAACTTTACTGGGATGATGGAAATGTTCTATATCTCAATTGTTATGGTGGATACACAATAGTACACATTACTAAGAGCTCATTTAAGTATATACCTAAGGTTGATGAATTTTATTGCATATAAATTATAATACAATCAACTTGAATTTTTTAAGAAATATGTTACATAAATAAGAAAGTAAGGATTATCTGTTATCTCACCACTCAGAGATATTTTCTGGCAAAATATTTTTCTAGCCATTTTTTTTTGGTTTATGTACATGCAGGAACTTTGTCTAACACAAGTGGAGCCACACATTATATTCTACAATAATTCATAATTATTTCCAATTAAAAATGTATAGGCACATCTGTGGTTTTTTTAAAAAAGCAGTTTCACAGCATAATATTCTATAGATGTACTATAATTTATTTATTTAAATGATTATATCTGAATTGCTTCTAAGCTTTGGAACCATGAGTGAATATTTTCATATATACATCTTTATATGAACCATATGCAATCTTCTGGCAATTCTCTTGGAACAAATTCCTACATGTTGACTTTCAGAATACAGGTCTAGACATGTTAAAATTTTTGATACAAAGTTGAAAATTATTTTTCACAAAGGTTCTATAAAACAGGAATCCCCAACTCCCAGGCCACAGATCAGAACTGGTCCACAGCCTATTAGGAACCTGGCCACACAGCAGGAGGTGAGGGGCCAGCCAGCAAGCATTACCGCCTGAGCTCTGCCACCCGTCAGACCAGCGAGGGCATTAGATTTTCATAGGAGCACAAACCCTATTGTGAACTGTACATGAGAGGGATCTAGGCTGCATGCTCCCTTTGAGAATCTAATGCCTGATGATCTGACTTGGAGCAGTTTCATCCTAAAACCATCCCCCCACCACTACCCTGTTCATGGAAAAATTGTCTTCCACAAAACTGGTTCCTGGTGCCAAAAAGTTGGGGACTGCTGCTATAAAACTACATTCCTACTAACAATATAAAAAACTGTTTACTTTTATGCCTCCCTTACAGAATATGATTATCATTTAAAATATCTTTAAAAAGATAGGAAGTTCCCGCCGGGTGCGGTGGCTCATGCCTGTAATCCCAGCACTTTGGGAGGCCAAAGCAGGTGCATCACTTGAGGTCAGGAGTTCGAGACCAGCCTGGCAAACATGATGAAACCCTGTCTCTACTTAAAATACAAAAAATTAGCTGGGTGTGGCTGTGGGCACCTGTAATCCCAGCTATTTGGGAAGCTGAGGCAGGAGAATCGCTTGAAATCAGGAGGTGCAAGTTGCCATGAGCCAAGATCACGCCATTGCACTCCAGCCTCGGCAACAATAGTGAAACTCTGCCTCGGGGTGGGGTGAGTGTGGGGGGAAAGAAAAAAAAAACCAGGAAGTTTCTCAATCCCTATCTACATTCATGAACAAAAATATACTCATGGAAAAGGTCTAACTGAAATGTCTCAACAACTCACTCCTTATTCAACAGTAAATGCATTATTCATTTCATATCTGGATTAGATGTTTAATTTTTTTATAAATGTTTTCCTATGACCTTTTACTGAGAGATTTAAATATTTAAATGTTTCCCTCTTTCCTTGAAGTTTTGAGTCAATTGTTCTTCAGGTTCATTTTCTACACTCTTCATGAAGAGCTCTCTGAGCTTGATCACCTGGGCTCCTTACCTTCTGGCCTCCAGATGAGATTGAATAAGGGGAGATGTCATTGTCCTGAGGGAAGGAGAGGGAGACTGGGGTAACTGATCTCCCACTTTCTCAATACTAGGCCATAGCTGAGGCAAAAGATACTTCCTTCATCCATTAGCATTGCTTCCTTTGGGTGGCTTCTCTTCCAGAGCTACAGCTCTGCCTGCATTCAGGCTACTCTGTCCTCTTCAGGCATACCAGCTGTTAGTTATTGCTAGTCCCTGGGTCTCGTAACCCTGTCCACACTTCTGTAAAAGTGTTTTCATGAAAATTCACTTCATTTAATGACTTGATTTTGTTTTTCTGTTGAAACCTTACATGATACAGGAATGAAACACAGAGCAATAACTAGAGCTTAAATAACAAATTCTATGCCAGGCCATAAACAAATAGGAGAGAATTTAGTCAAAGAAATTATGTCAGATCAATAGTCAGGTTATATTTACTAGAGCCAAAGCCCTTGGAGGTATTTATGCAATAGTAAACACATAAACGGAATCATGAAAATTTATACAAACTAAATCTAATAGAAGTACACAGGATTGGATACAATAGAATTTGGAAAAGAATGAAAGAAAATTATGTAAAATGATTGAATTGAGGTAAAAAATTCTTAATAAATAGTTCTCTGTAGAAATGACAGATATAGCAAACAAAAATACAGGATGCTCAGTCAAATTTGCATTTCAGATAAACGGTGGATAATATTTTAGTATGTTTATCTGAAATGCAAATTTAACTTGGCTCTCTATATTTTATCTGGCAACCCCATTCTTGTGCATAATTTATTAACACAGTCTATCATTTTTCAAAATCTCTTATGATTTGCCTACTGAACAATCAACAAGGTGCAAATGACCCAGTGACAGATGAGGTCAAATGGATCAAGAACTAGTGTATAGGAGACTAGTGTGTAAAAGGGAGCAATTCACTCAAACAACGTGTTACAATGGCAGTGACCTGTTCACTGATGGAGAGAAAGGGAGAGAAAAGAGAGTAATTGTGCATATAGGATCACTAATATGAATTCTGGGGATAAGTGTGGTCAGTGTCGTTTCAGAACAAATTTTAACAGGAAAATGTATGAAAGTTCAATACATGACATGGAATTTAGATCAGAAAAATGAGACAATGAAAGTTATGGTCTGGGAACATAGATAAGTGTGAAATTAAAAATCTGCATTAGTCAAGACTGTGGGCACAAACAGAAGTAGTGATAAACATAAAAAGTCGTCCAAAAAGTAAAATACAAATAATAGTTGCCTGGAAGTAGGGACAACTGACTTGTACTTCTAATATGGCCTTGAGTAAACCTCAGGCTCTATTACTTTAACTACAAAATGAATAGGTAGTTAGGTAGACTTTATTTTAAATTGCAGCCTTAAAAACCTGTGATCCATAATCTAGAATTCCAAATGGAATTGAACCCAAGAGAACAATGGGCGAAGTTTTTCAGACAGTAAAGCCATGCGATTGTATTAGAATCAAGTATAACAGGTGACCTTGTTTGGATGTCTGACCCCTTCAAATCTCATGCTGAAATTTGATCTCGTAGTGTTGAAGATAGGGGCCTAGTGGGAAGTGTTTGCGTCATGGGGGCAGGTCCTTCATTAATGTCTTCGTGCTCTCTGCAAGGTAATAAGTGAGTTTTCACTCAGCTCGTTACTATGAGATCTGATTGTTAAAAAAGACTCTGGGACCATCCTCCTCTGTCTCTTGTTTCCTCTTCAGCCATATGACACCCTTGCTCCCCTCTTCACCTTCCTCCATGAGTAAAAGTTTCCAAAGGTCTCAACAAAAGCTGAGCAGATACTGGTGCCATGCTTGTACAGCGTATAAAACCATGAGCCAAATAAACCTCTTTTCTTTATAAATTACTCAGACCCAGGCATTCCTTTATACCAACACAAAATGGATTTATATAACATGGCAGGCTTGAACAATACTAAGTTAGATAAAAATTAGATGCTGATCCTGGGACACGGTTCTCAGCTGTCTGCTCTTTGCTTCTGTTCTAAGTGCTCTCCCCAGTTTGGGCAGATCACCAGTGGAAGGTTTTCCTCTCTTTGAACAAGATAGGCTTCTGACACTGCCCAAAACTTGTAATTGTGGCACAAATAGACAGATAAACCAGATGAAGATATTCTATAATTTTAACTATGTGGAAGAGAAAGACAAAACACTAACTTATAATATAATTGTTAAAACAGTAAAAAACTTTATGATTAAAAACCTTGAAGACTAAAGGCATCGCCCAATTAGAAGAAAAAGACAAGCAGAATGTTTCTGATCTCCCTTCACCCTCCTTTCTCATATGGCATTAGGTTTTGACTCATATGCCGTCTTGCTGTGTCCTTTCTCATACGCCATCATGTTTTGACTCAGACTTAAGAAGAAGGAAGGGAACCTGAGTTATACCAAAAACCAGCTGGGAAATGTGGCTTAAAGAAGATTTGAGCAAATGTTCCAGTGGATTGTGAGAAGAGTTTCAACAAGGCGAATGTGAAATTAAACCATAATAAAAATGCACTCCACTTTCTTCAAATAAATAAGTAAAGGAATTGCTTATTCCATAAAAAGGGAGGAGCAAGGCAAGTTGCAGATTGTGGCAATGACAAAAAGATGGAAATATAACAGCAAGTTAAATGAGGTTTCCCATGAGAGACCAAGTAAAAAATAGCTACTATATTCCAAAGTGACATATCACACTGTAAGGCAAAATTTTTTAAAAAATCACCCCCAAACTGCTAAATCTTCCAACACCACCAATATTTCAAAAGGATCAGGAGTCAGAGATTGAGTGGAAGGAGTTTTAAAATAAATTCATTGGCAAGAGCTTTCCCGTGAATCTCACCTTCCTCAAGAGTGAGGAGTTGGAGATTCCTCATTCTCACCATTATCCCAAGAAAGAGAATTCTAAGAAAGCCTTCTGAGACCTTAAAGTGCATCCTGTGATGTTTGGGGAATCCAGAGATCTGGTATTTGATTTACACAAAAGTCTGAAGGACAAGAGATTGAACAAAGAAATCAATGGTCACAGAGAGGACTACATTTTTTAAAGTAATAAGACTCTAGGAAATAATACATTGAAAGGATATATGGATGATTTCCATAGACTAGAATTCAGTCACACACCACAGAGAGAAATTATGGGCTTATCTTTGATTTCATTAAAGGAGGGTCATTTAAATGTGTTAATAGATTTCAGCAGGAAAATATAAGACTTATTTCTAGATGCCCACAGATTGCAGAAAGAGAAGGAAATTTCAAATCACAAGAGACAGTATCACCCTCATCAAGGAAACCACAGGCAAGAGATCCCAGAAATATGGGTGGAAGTCTCAGAAGAAGACTTAGCCCACAAAATATGACTCAACTTTAAATATTTGATATGTCCAGAGAAAGGATAAACTAGCTTATAACAGTATCAGAAAAGTAGACACCTTCATCTGGACTTTTCCTTCTTTATATCTCTGCTCTCCAAATAGGGAAGGGTCAGATGTTAGATACAGAAAGATATAGAGGAGTCTATGGGGAACAAGAGGATAAGCCTACCAAACTCCACCCCTACCTATCGACTTCCCAAGTACTGCAGAACTACACAGAGGAGGGGACTGAGATACCTTCAGTGTTAAATCAAATTTATAGTTTTGAAGTAACAAACCTCCCATTTTAATTGTTGAATTGAGAATGTTTTGCAACTTTAAATAGGATTTGTTTTTTAAGCTTAGAGTAGCTGTAAAAGTCATGGAGCCCACCCAAGTTTTCAACACGTATGAGAGAAGAACTGGCTGTTCAGAGTACATTTCAAAGAACAATAGAAAACAAAAATAGAGTTGTCTTATAATTACATCTCATAAGTCCTCTTAATCAAACTCCAAGTTATTTTACTTCTAGAGAAAAATTACTTCTGAATAAGAAATGAAATTTGTATTTTTATATTATGCTTTCATCATTCAGGATCTTAGTACCTTTTGAGATGGCATACTCAAAAATTAATTGAAAAAGTGTAATGAATAAATTACTTACAAAATTGTGAGCAGGGTTAGGTAAAATGAAGAGGACTGGTTAAGTATCCTGCAGCTAGCAACAGCAGAAAATTAAAACTACCCCGAATTAAAAGGCACAATAGAAGGAAGGAGCTACTGGAAAGAGGACATATCATTGTTGTGAGGAGACACCCCAGGAGCTGTAGTCCCTACTGAAAGAGATGCAGCCAATTCACTACAAAACAGTAGTTAATGGTAAAACATTGAACCACTTCCCTCTAATGGTGGGAAAAAGTCAAGAATGTCTGTTCCCATCTGAGCTGTTTAACATGATTAAGTTTGTATTAGCCAGTACAATTAGGCAAGAAAAATTTATTAAAGCATAAAGATGAAAAAGAAAATTCTTTATTTATAGATAATGTGTTTTTTTCTATTTACACAATGCTAAGAAATTTACAAAGCAACCACTCTGCTTCTTAAGTAAATTTAGCAAGTTTGCAGAATGAAGTCAGTGTACAAAATCAATTGAACTTCTATAGGATAGTTGCAAATAATTTGAAAATCAGTTAAAAATCTATTTATGTTAGCATCAAAAATCATGAACTACTTAGGAATGAAATCAATAAAAGTATTTAAATACCACTTCACTAAAAACCACAGGATTTTGCTGAGATCAGCTGAAGAAGACCTAAATAAATTGATAGATATACAATATTCATGAGACTCAATTTCACTAAGATGTCAGTTCTTCCAAATTGTTCCATACCTTCAACTTAATCCTAATTATAATTCCAGTAATCTTTTTCAAAATACAATTTTACAAGTTGATTTAAACATCTATTTAAAATGCCAAAAGGCAAATTAACCAAAACAATCTTGAAGACTATCAGGCTATATACTAACTGCCTTTAAGACACTATGAAACTGCAGTGATCAAGAGAGCATGACATTGGGATAAAATCAGACAAGAAGTTAGATAGAACAAAACAGAGTTCAAAAATATACCCACACATTTATGGTCAATTAATTTAAAACTTGTAAAACATTTTGTACAGTTTTAGATTTACAGAATTTTTTCAAAGATATTACCGAGAGAAATAGAAATCATATACCTTACACCCAGTTTATTATTAACACCTTTCATGGGGATGGTACATTTGTCAGAATTAACTAATATTGGTGCATTTTATTAACTTAAACCATAATTATTCAGGTTTTCTTCATATTTCCCTAATGTTCATGTTCTCTTCGAAGATTCCATATAGGATAATACATTATGTTTAGGAACACAGATAAACATTACATCAAACTTTTCTTAAAAAGCCATGAAAACAAGAAGACAGCAGAGTGAAACTTAAAGTATTGAAAGAAAAGAATCACCAACATAGAAATGTCTATCCAGTGAATTATTGTTCAAAAAAAGGAGCAAAAAGAAGACTCTCAGATAAGGAAAAATGGAGGAAATTTGTTCCCAGCAGACCTGCCTTGCAAAACATATTCAAAGAAATTCTTTCATGTGATCATGTCCTTTGCAGGGACATAATGATGCTGGTGGTAATTATCCTTAGCAAACTAACACAGGAACAGAAAACCAAATACCACATATCTTCACTTATAAGTAGGAGCTAAATGATGAGAACACATGGACATATAGAGGGGAACAACACATACTAGGACCTTTGGGAGGGTGGAGGTTGAGGGTAGGGAGATGATTAGGAAAAACCACTAATGGGTAGTAGACTTAATACATGGGTGATGAAATAATCTGTACAACAACCCCCCATGACACAAGTTTACCTATGTAACATACCTGCATTTGTACCCCTGAACTTAAAATAAAAGTTAAAAATAAGTTATTTTAAGAGAAGACAAAGAGATAGTTCAGAAACTTAGTAACTTGGATGTACATAAAGAAAGAAAGAGCATTTGAGATGTAGTGCAGTAAAATAAAATATTTCCTTTTTCTTAATTGATCCAGTAGATAACAGTGTAGTCAAAGTAATAATTGCAACAATGTATCAGGTGATAATAGCTTACAGGTAAGTGAAATGAAAGACAGCAATATTGTAAGGGACAGGGGCAAACAAATGTGAATATTCTGTTATAAAATAAAGTAGGGGCATTATCTATGAAGCACTATAACGTTATTTGAAAACGGACTTGGATTAGTTGAAAGTGTATATCAAAAACACTAGAATAACCATTTTTTAAAATTTAAAAATATATATAATTGTTATTCTAAGAGAAGAGATCAAAAAAAGAAAGAGGAAAAGAAAATTTTTCAAAAACAAAATTTAAAAAATAAACAAGAGAAACAAATAGAAAACAGTTGCAAATTGTATGCTCCCTCAAAAATTTGTATATGAATGTTCACAGTAGTTTTACTGATAATAGTTAAAAACTGGAAACAACCAAGGAGGCCTCAGCAAGAGAATGGAAACCAAATCATAGTATATTCATAAAATAGAATGCTGCTTAGCAGTCAAAAAGTACAACCTGCTAATACACTAACACATACAACAACATGGATGAATTTCAAAATACTTTTTGGATGGCAAAAAGATAGACACAAAAAGTTCATACTTTAGGGTTTCATTTATACACAATTTTAAAACTAATAAAACTAATCTACAGTGTGAGAAAGCTAAAATCCTTGGCTTTTGGGGGGATTGTCTAGAAAGTAACATAATATTACTTCTATAAGAATGATGTAGAATGATACTATATCTTGATGGGACTGTATTACATGGAATTATGCAGATATTAAAACTTATGGAATAGTATGCTTAAGGTTTATGCAACTTACATAAATTTACCTCAAGAGAGAAAATAGAACTTGAAAGAAATATTGCCTCTAGTTTGGTGGTTTCAACCAAAAAAAAAAAAAAAAAAAAAAAAAGAAGCAGCAGCAGCAGCATTTTATTGGCTCATGGGATTGAAAATACCTTCCATAGATTTTATTTTAGGAAAGGTTTTATATAGCAGTAAATACAATGCTATGAAAAATCTGGTTTCTCTCTTTCTACAGAATTCTCTACGTTCGCTTCATTTTCAGGTTCCTTGGGGTGTTCCACAGGCAATGGCAAGTTCTTTTTTTAAATCAAAATAAATGCCTTAGCTTGAGATTTTATATTTTTATTCCATTCTATCCAGAAGGAAAGGGAGCCCCTTTCAAAAGTAATCTTAGAAAACAGAAGCTTCTGTTTCATAAAAGTCCTAGGAAATACCATTTCACATCTCATCAGCTCTGATCTGTTATGCCTATCTTTAGATGTGAGAGTAAGGTCAATAATATTAAATAGAGAAAAATAAGTAAGAATAGAAAAAGTCTTGGCAGTGTTCAGTGGTGGCTTGCATCTGTAATCTCAGCACTTTGGGAGGTCAAGGTAGGAGGATTTGAGGCCAGGAGTTCAAGACCAGCCTGGGCAATATAGCAAGACCCCTGTTTCAACAACAACAACAACAAAATAGTTGGCTGTGGTGGTGTGTGCCTATAGGCCCAGCTACCAAGGAAGCTGAGGTGTAAGGATCCCTTGAGCCCAGGAGTTCAAGGTTACAGTGAGTTATGGTTGTGACACTTCACTCCAGCCTGGGTGGCAAGACCCTGTTTCTAAAAAAATCGGTTCTCAAAGAAATTCTAGGCCCTAATATCAGAAGGATGAGAAGCAGGGGCTGACAGAAGAAATGTTACTGTTGAAAACAATTTATTGCTTTTCATGGTAACTCAGAGCATTGGTTTTAAATTCCAACAAGTCTAGCATTTTAATTAACATTTGAGTGTAACTAGGATGTAATTTAAAATTCAGGTAACATTGTGACCCAATTAGGTAGTAAATAGTGGACTTTTGTTAAAGACTTACAAAGTAGGTGGGTAGCAAACAAGGAACTATTAAATTATCTTAATTGCTGTCTATGCTGGTAATGAATTAATAATATGATGATTATCAGGTCAGGTCAGGTATACTTTCCATTTTTTGAAGGAGGTACAATATAATCCTTTAATTAATTAGAGAGATTAAATCAGGTCAAAGTTAAAATGAATTTCTGAAAGTAATAATCTGTGTTATGTTTTAGATGATTTGACTATGAGAGTTATGAAACCAAGGCAGAGTCCTGCCATTTTAACATCATCATTTTGTGTCCTACACATTCAGATTACATCTACATAAATCAAATTGTACTATGATCAAATCAATACAAGTCCAATAAAATTCATTCATTTTGGTTTCTGCCATAACGTTCATCATCATAAATAATATATCCTTAACTACTTTTCCTAGGGAACTTAGAATACTGAAATAATTATTTTTGGTTATTATGATGTAAGAGGAGACCCTAGAAATGGCAAATGCCAGTCAGGATTTTCTATGACAGAATTTGAATGTCATTGTATTCCATATCATAGCGAAAGATCATATAAATTCTAAATCAGATGATGAGGCAAAAACTGGGCTGAAAAAGTGGAAGTAGAAGGAAGTGGTTAGCATGGTTTATTGGCCAGCAGTATAGAGGTATATTTACATGAACCACAAACTAAGCTATCTTAAGAAAAAAAGACATTAAAATTTCTTTAATAAAGGGAAGAGAAACCACAAGATCATAATCAACTGTTTTATAATATGACACTAATTTCCTGGTTTATTTTCAAGTCAAGCAATTAGTTTTTTAAAAAACACTAAATAGTCTCAAAATGAGTATAAATTATTTGTAATTTCCTGTCATCAGCTATTCTAATAAAAACTGAATATAACTTAGGATTCTGTAGAAAACACTGATGTCACTCAACTGTTAAACAACATTTGGCCCTCTGTAGTGTTTCCGAGTTCCTCAGCGGAAAAAAAATACACAAACGGCAGCATAAATCACCTTTGCGCCTTCTTTCAAATTCCCCTGACTCTACATGTATATTCCTTGACAGGATTCTGCCTATTCTACCATCTGCAAACTTGAATTTGATGGAAAAAAAAAAAAGGGAAAAGTCTATATATACTCTAGTGAGACATATGTAGGTTGCACCCCCAGCCTCCATTTCTGCTTCCCTCTTAGTAAGGGCCACCCACATTTCCAACTCTACAGATCACCAATCAGAGATGTAAATGTTAGGTAAGTCTTGCCAATCAGAGCCAATGGAACTTAACTCTGTGTGCAGGGGCATTTGTGATTTTGCGTGGGCGCGCGTGTGTGTGTGCGCGCGCGCTAAGTTATAAGGATTGTGAACTTCTTCCCTGTAGGATGGAAAAGCGCTACATATTTCTGTCAGACAACATGGAACTCAAAGAGAAAATTCTGAGGATGGTAACAAGCCTCAGAAATGAAGAAAATGATACTAGGTCTTTGATATATCAGTTGTGCTGTTGGGGTACCATTAAATACCTTCTTCCTTTTTTCTGCTTACACAGTTTGGGTCAGATTTCCTATTTCTTGCAACTACATGAATTTAGATACATTTGCATTCACAAACAATTGCATTCACAAAAAATACATTTAGATACATATGCATTCACAAAAAAAAAAAAAAACACATTTTTTCCCTAGAGGAATGCTTTTTTGTAAAAAAAAAAAAAAAAAAAAAAAAAAAAAAAAAAAAAAAAAAAAAAATTCAACTTTTATTTTAGATTCAGGGGGTACATGTGCAGGTTGGTTAGATGAGTATTATGCAATGCTGAGGTATGGGGAACAATTCATCCTGTCACCCAGGTAGTGAGCACAGTACCTGATAGGAAGTTTTTCAGCCCTTGTGCTTCTCCTTCTCGTAGTCACCAGTGTCTGTTGTTCCCATTTTTATTACCATGTAGACCCAATGTTTACTTCCCACTTGTAAGTGAGAACATGCAGTATTTGGTTTACCATTTCTACATTAATTGGCTTAGGAGAATGGCCTTCAGCTCCATTCATTTTGCTTCAAAGGACATGATTTTGTTCCTTTTTATGGCTGTGTGGTATTCCATGGTATATATGTACCACATTTGCTTTATCCACCCCACCATTGATGAGCACCTATGTTGATTTCATGTCTTTGCTATTGGGAATAGTGCTGCAATCAACATACAAGTACATGTATTTTGTTTTTTTTTTTGGTAGAATTATTTATTTTCTTTGCTATATATACCTAGTTGTAGGATTGCTGGGTTAAAGGGTAGTTTTATTTTTAGTTCTTTGAGAAATCTCCAAACTGCTTTCCACAGGGAATGAACAAATTTACATTCCTACCAACAGTGTGTAAGTCTTCCCTTTTCTCTGCTGCCCCACCAAACAAACGTCTGTTATTTTTTGACTTTTTAATGATAACTATTCTGACTGGAGTGACACAGTATCTAATTATGGCTTTGATTAGCATTTCTCTGATGATTTGTGATGTTGAGCATTATTTTCATAAGTTTGTTGGTTGCTTCCATGTCTTCTTTTGAGAAGTGTCTGTTAGCTGTATTACGTGTTAGATGTAGTCCCAGGTGTTTTTGTTTGTTTGTTTTGTTTTGCTTTTTGTTTTGGTGGCTATTGTAAATGGAATTCCATTCTTCATTTGGCTTTCGGCTTGATTGTTATTGGTGTGTAGAAATGCTACTGATACTGTATGTCAATTTTGTATCCTGAAACTTTACTAAAGTTGTTTATGTTACAGGAGCCTTTTGTCAGTGTCTTTTGGTATTCAAGGTACAGAATCATTTAGTCAGTGAAGAGAGAGAGTTTGACTTCTTCTTTTTCAATTTGGATACCTTTAATTTCTTTCTGTTGCCTGATTGCTCTGGTTAGGACTTCCAGGACTATATTGAATAGGAGTGGTGAGAGTAGGCATCTTTGTCTTGTTCCAGTTTTTAAGGAGAATCCTCTCAACTTTTGCCTGCTGAGTGTGATATTGGCTGTGGGTTTGTCATAGATGATTCTTATTATTTTGAGGTATTTTCCTTTAATGCTTAGTTTGTTGAGAGTTTTATGACAAAGGGATGTTGCATTACACCGAAAGCTTTTTCTGCATCTAGTGACATTATAATGTTTTTTGTTTGTCTGCTTTTAATTCTATCTATGTGGTAGAACACCTTTTTTATTTACATATGTTGAATCAATATTGCATCTTGGAAATAAAGCCTACTCGACCATGGTGAATTAAATCTTTGATGTGCTGTTGGATTTCGTTTACTAGTATTTTATTGAGGATTTTTGTGTCTATGATCCTCAGTGCTATTGGTTTATATTTTTCTGTTTTTTAATTGAGTGTCAGATTTTGTCTCAGGATGATGCTGGCTTCATAGAAAGAGAGAAGAGACAGTCATCAATTTTTTTGGAATAGCTTCAGTAGAACTGGTACCAGCTCTTCTTTGTACATATTGTAGAATTTGTTTATGAATCCATCTAATCCAGGGCTTTTTTTTATTGGGAGATTTTTTAAATTACTGATTCAATTTTGGAAGTCATTATTGGTCTGTTCAGAGATTTAATTTGTCCTGATTCAATCTTGGGAAGTTGTGTGTTTCCAGGATTCTATCAATTTCTTCTAGATTTTCTAGTTTGTATGCATAGTGGTATTAATCGGAGTCTCTGAGGATCTTTTGTATTTCTGTGGGATCAGTTGTAATGTCACCTTTGTCATTTCTGATTGTGCTTATTTGGATCTTCTCTCTCTTTCTGTTTGTTACTGTAGTAGTCTATCAATCTTATTTATTCTTTTAAATGAACGACGTTTGGTTTTGTTGATCCTTTGTATGAATTTCTGGGTCTCAATTTCATTTAGTTCTGCTCTGATTTTAGTTATTTCTTTTTTTCTGCCAGCTTTGGGGTTAGTTTGTTCTTCTTTTTCTAGTTCCTCTCAATGCAATGCTGGATTATTAATTTTATATCTTTTTAACTTCTTGATGTAGGCCTTTAGTGCTACAAACTTTCCTCTTAACACTGCTTTTGCTGCATCTCAGGGATTTTGATATGTTTTGTCTCTGTTATGCATTTCATATATGTGTGTGTGTGTGTGTGTGTGTGTGTATATATATATATATATTCTGCCTTGATTTAATTTTTTATTTGAAAGTCATTTAAGGGCAAGTTTTTTGTTTCCAAATAACTGTGTGGTTTGAGGGATCTTCTTACTATTGATTTCTATTTTTTATTCCACTCTGATCCAAGAGTATGCTTGATATAATTTCAATATTTTTGAGTTTGTTAAGGCTTGTTTTGTGGCCAAAATGTGGTTTATCTTAGAGTATGGGTCATACGCAGAGAAGAAGAATGTATATTCTGTGGTTGTTAGGTGGAGTATTCTGTAGATGTCAATGAGGTCCAATTGGTCAAGCGTCAAATTTAAGTGCATAATTTGTTTGTTTTCTGCCCTGAGGATCTGTCTAATTCTTGCAGTGGAGTGTTGAAGTCCTGCACTAATATTGTGTGACTGTCTAAGTCTTTTTGTAGGTCTAGAGGCACTTTTTTATGATCTGGGTGCTCCAGTGTTGGTTATGTATTTAGGAAAAGGTCTTCTTGCAGAATCAAACTCTTTATATAATGTCCTTCTTTCTCCTTTTTAAATGTTGTTGGTTTAAAGTCTGTTTTATCTGACATTAGAAAGTAACCCCTGCTCTTTTTTTATTTTCCATTTGCATGATGGTTCTTTCTGTGTCCCTTTACTTAGAGCCCATGGGTGTTACTACCTGTGAGATGGGTCTTTTGAAGACAGAGATGGTCGGGTCCTTTTTTTTTATTGAGCTTGTCACTCTGTGCCTTTTAAATGGGATATTTAGACCATTTACTTTCAAGGTTAATATTGATATGTGAAGTTTTGATACTATCGTGATGTTACCTGGTTGCTTTGTCATCTTGATTGTGTAGTTGCTTTATAGGGTCTGTGTGCTATGTCCTTAAGTGTGGTATTGGTCATTGTTCTTTTGTTTCCATGTTTAGAGCTCTCTTAAGGATCTCTTGTAAGGATGGTCTAGTGGAAACAACTCATCTTATGGATTGTTTGTCTGCAAAAGATTTTAATTCTACTTTGCTTATGAAGATTAATTGGTGGGATATGAAATTCTCAGTTGGAATATCTTTTCTTTAAGAATGCTGAAAATAGGGCACCAATTTATTCTGGCTTGTAAGGTATCTGCTGAGATGTCTGTTAGCCTGATGGGGTCCCCTTTGTAAGTGATCTGAACCTTTTCTGTAGCTGCCTTTAAGATTTTTTCTTTCATGTTGACCTTGGAAGGTCTGATAACTGTATGTCTTGGGGATGGTCATCTTTTATAGTATCTCATGGTTGCTGGAGAGGGGCCTGTGAATTTCTTAAACTTTCATGTCAACTTCTCTAACGAGAATGGGGAAATTTTTGTGCTCTATTCCTCAAATATGTTTTCCAAGTTGCTAGCTCTCTCTCCTCTCTCAGAAATGCCAAAGAATTGTAAATTAGTCTATATAATGCCATATTTTTGGAGTCTTTGCTCATTTTAAAAATTATTTTTTATTTATTTTTGTCTGACTGGATTGATTGGAAGAACTGGTCTTTGAGCACTGAAATTCTTTTCTCAGTGTGGTCTAGTCTTTGTTAAGGCTTCCAACTGTATTTTAAAATTCCTTTAGTTAATTTTTCAATTCCAGAAGATCAACTTCTTACATTTGCAATGTCATCTTTCAACTCTTGGATCATTTTACTGGCTTCTTTGGATTAGATTTCAACTTTCTCCTGAGTCTTGTTAGAGTTCCTTGCCATCCAGATTCTGGGTTCCGTGTCTGCCATTTCAGACATTTCGATCTAGTTAGGATCTATTGCTGGAGAGCTAGCGCAATCCTTTAGAGAAAATAAACATTCGGTCTTTTTGAATTGCCAGTCTTGTGCTGATTCCTTCTCATCTAAGGTGGCTGGTGTTTCTTTTCCTTTTATAAATTGCTGACATCTGGATTTTGTTGTTGTTGTTGTTGTTTTGTGGGGAGCGGGTGTTATATTTTTTTCCCTTGAGTGTTTGACTGTGGTGTATGTTGTGTATAGATTACTGGCTTCATTTCTGGGTGCTTTCAGAGGGCCAAAGCCCTGTATGGGCTCCATAGTTGTGGTTAGCTTCCTGCATTGGGTTTCACCAGCTAAAAAAATTTATTTTTGTTTGGTGGTGTCATTCTGACTGAAATCCAGTAGATCACATTTAAGAGTATGGACAGGCACATAGACTCGCTCTTAGTAGTGCTTCTCTTGCATTTCAGTGGATATGCAGTAGTGCTCCGGGGAGGGTGAGATGGTGGGGCATGAAGAGATGATCCTCTTACCAAGTCCATTCCTGGAAGAGCCCCCTCCAATCATTTATACCATTCCCACGTTTCCTTACCCCCAAGAGAAGCTCTGGTGGGCTGAACTCCTCCCTCCTTTAGAGGTGGCCTGAGCTGACGGTTAGGTCACCAAGAGACCTGCAACTTCATGGGGATTTCTTAGCTTGGTAGAGTCAGAGAGGGTTATGGGTATGTCTGCGCATACCCATCTGGTAATGCACTGGGCCAAAGATAGAGGAATCCTGGACAGTGTGGTGGTGCTGTGGGTGCGTAGCTGATATGGCACCCACAGTCCAAAGTTTTTAGCCCAGCAGATGGCTGTGTGGTCTACCCAGCTTGCCCAGGGTCTGGGTCCCTGGACCAGGTCTCCCTCTGGTACTGCCCCAGGAGCAAAGCCTCCCAGCAAGATTTGTCTCAAGCCTTCTGCAACCAGATTGTTGAGCTGTTCCAGGTGTCCAGGGCCTCAGGGCTCTGTTGGGCAGATGCTGTGGCTAACAGGCTGTACCTTTCCCAGACTGCTCTTGTAGAGGGAGGGATGCTCAGCTGCTGCAATGGCACAGGAACCAGCACCTTTCTCTTCTCTGTGTTCTGAGAGTGGGGGCTCCTCCCTTGCTCAAGCTCTGGCCATAGATCTCAACTTGATTCCCCTGGGCAGTGTGCTCAAAACCTGGGGGATTGGTACTGGTCCTGTGGTTTTGTCCTTTGCCTGCTGTGCTGTACTGTGCTGTGCTGTACTGTGCTGTGCTGTGCTCTGCTGGGGGTGCCAAATTGCTCCCAGAGCTCTGGCAGAACAGGTGGGGCAGTGGAAACTGTGCTGTGTGTACCTATTGCAGGAATAGCCAGGCAGCTGACCTTGGGAAAAGCTGATGGACAAGGGGTACCTAGATCAAATTCACCCCAGTCCCATGGAAAAGGCAGCCTTGCTTTTTCCTGGCTGGTAGTTAGCCGAAGCTACAGCCACTCAGAGTAAGATTGAGAGCCTTAGGGGATGGCACCTAAGGTTGCATTTTGCTGCAGCTACCTCACACTCTGCCTAACCTTCTGGGCTCTGCAGAGGCTCAAGTTCTGCTCTGACTGCTCTCCAGGCAGTTCCCCTTTCCAATTCAAATGCCTGTGGTGGTCACAGGCTTTTCTGTAGCTAGGATCTCAGAGGTCTACAGCAGGAGTGTGGTGCCCTGGAGTTCTTTCACTCACCCCTTCCTTAAGGACCTGTTCAGGACCACGAGCCAGTCCTAGGACTTGGCAACTCTGTCTGTGCTTCCCAGCTTCTTCCCTCTTCAACCTTGTTTTCTGTGCTTCCTCTTTACTGACCTTTGTTTTCTCTCAGAAGATCTACTTGAAATTCACCGTCTTACTTGATATTTTGGTTTCCCTCAGTGGGAGAGGCGCTTCCTGGCTGTGTCTAGTTGGCCATCTTGTCCCCTCTATTTTCCTTAGCCATAAAAATTCCAACATTCTGGCATTTGAAGCTTAATTGAACTGTTCAAGGTTGAGAATAAGTGAAGAATGTGTAACAGCCTTCTTACAATACTCCAGTTGAAAAGTTAAAATGTTAGAGGTGGTAGGATTCCTATGATTAACCCCATTCAAATATTTGTTTATAATGTTCATGGAGGAGGGGCTGTGAAAAATAAAGTGAATTATGCAGGATCATGAAGTTATGGAGCTAGAAACCCATGCCCCACTAACTTTGAGTAAGTGTGCAGTCCCGCCTCCAGGCTGCAAACACAGTTTACCACATTACAATGTGTCATTTTGCACGTAAATTAAGAAGGTGTTCTTTCAACTGATAGGAAACTCAAAATCAAGCTGATCTGTAATAACAGAAATTTAAGAATCTAACCATTACAATTCTAACCCATTTGTTGATGTGTAAGGAAGAAGGTTTTGAATGAGCAGATATGTTTCTTTTCTTTTCAGCGAACAGGGAGAATCCCTTTATTCATCAAAATGCCTCTTGACCTTGGATTCATTTATTATAACTTCTGCTAACAGTCCTACATTTAGACCTTTAGGCCTTTAGGTCACACCAGGATATGGTGGTGACCAGAGAAATGAATGTGAAGGATCACGAAAAACCAAATGATCAGGAGAAGGTAAGAACTGGAAACATCCAAGGATCAAGGACCAAGGTGACAGCCATCTCTTCTGAAAATATTGTCTTGCTGCCAAGCCCTAACTTTAGCTAATCTCTCCAGGCATAAGAATTTTGGTGGCTAAAATTTGGTATTAATGAGAATGATGGAAACGGACTACAAAAGTTTTTGTAATTTTGGTAGTTATAAATTCCTTTTCTAAGCCTCTCTGAGCATGCTTAACATGGACTATTATCTAGGGTTGCATTAAATTAACCTGTCTGAGAACCACAACTGGAAAAAAGGGAGGGTAGTTTGATCATTAGAATTTCCTTAGCGAAAAAGTTTGTGGGCATTTACAATATGATTTAAATGACATATTAAATTGTATTACATTTTATCAGAAATAAATCTATTATAGGGAAACAAATATTTGTATTAGAGAAATTAGTCTTTTGCACTCTTAACTACATGTATATAAAATAGTGTACATGTTTTTGAGTGACTTTAATTCATTTAATTTTGAATGACTTTAATTCGAATTTCTAACACCTCAGTTACTCATTTGCCTACTATTGAGTCTGATTAGTGTGCAATCCTAGTTCTTTTATTTCTGCACATACCCTCTTTTTATCTCTACCAAGCACAAATATTCAACAAAGACTTATGTGATGTGTCCCTAGCCATCTTAATGCCCTCATCCCCTCCCCCATTGACGTTCTGCACTAGCGCTGTTTCCTTGTTGGTCTCAAATCATCAAGGTTCAGTTTTGTTCATTGTTGGGTCCCAGAGTCTAGCATGGTAACTGGCTTATATTAGTTTCTCATAAGTATGCATCGGATAAAGGAATAAATTAAAAATAATTGAGCAAATACTTGTAAGACATTGCATTAATTTGCTAGGGCTGCCATAACAAAGTGCCACAGAATAGAATAGGCATAAACAACAGAAAGTTATCTTCTCACAGTTGGGGAGACCAGAAATCTGAATTCAAGGGGTTGGCAGATTGAGTTTCTTCTGCGGCCTTTCTCCATGCCTTGTAAATGGTGGCCTTCTCCCTGTGTCTTCACAGGTTCTTCCCTCTGTGTGTGTCTGTGTCCTAATTTTTTCTTCTTGTAAAGACACCAGTCATATTGAATTAAGACCCATCCTAATAACATAACTTTAATGTAATTAAGTCTTTTAAAGCCCTATCTCCAGGAACAGTCACACCGTAAGGTATTAGGGCATTAGGATTTCAACATATAAAGTTTGGGTAGAACATACTTCAGCCCCAAATAGAAACCTTGTGTGTTAGAATGTGCTAGCTAAATATGCCACCCCATAGCTCTTCTCAAAATACTTCTTTTCCTTTATTAACTTAACCACCCTGAATCACTTGATCACAACTCTGCAAAGAATCAGCAGTGGACAAAGAGACTCAGTAACACTATCAATACCATATTTTCGGTCGGGTGCAGTGGCTCACACCTGTAATCCCAGCATTTTGTGAGGCTGAGGTGGTCATATCACTTGAGTTCAGGAGTTCGAGATAAGCCTGGCCAACATGGTGAAACCCCATCTCTACAAAAAATACAAAAATTAGCCGGGTGTGGTGGCATGCACCTGTAATCCCAGCTACTCAGGAGGTTGAGGCAGGATAATCACTTGAACCCGGGAGGCGCAGGTTGCAGTGAACTGAGATTGTGCCACTGCACCCCAGCATGGGCAACAGAGTGAGACTCTGTCTCAAACAAACAAACATCAAACAAACAAACAAAAACCATATTCTCATAAACAGAGGTGTAAATAGATGGTTCAACAAAGCTGACTGGTGTACGTGTCACTACAATGCATCTGATGTCAGGAAGAATCCAATGAAGCTCTGGAATAAAGGAATATAATATTCCAATTTTCTGTCTTTATAAAAATTTTTCAGTGTTATTTAATGTCTATAAGAAACTTAAAAGGGCCAGAAGTTATCTATAAACATTATTTAAGGTTTTCTTGTTACAAGCATCCTTTAATGTATAAAAATAGTGTGTTTCAACGATTCATTTGTAAATTAGGTGGTATTTAGGACTCAGATTACATTTCACCATGGAAACGGTTTGCTCACTAGAGCAGTCACCCTGCCCCACCCCCTGAAACCATCAATGAAGCAAAAGGAAGTATAATAGCAGTAAAATATTACCACCATATATCCTAATTTTCAAAAGGCAAAATGTAGTCACAGTATCATTTGGAAAAACTATTTCTCTTTTATGCTTTTGAAATAATGTCCAGGATTTCCTCTTTTATTCTCCAAGGGGGCAGTAAAAACAGGGATACCCCTGCCCCGAGTTCAAGACCCTACCAAAGGATCTTACAGCTGAGGCAGATGCTCTGAGAGGAAGAAGGCATGGAGCTGTCAAGACCTAGGAATACTTCCTTCTAGAAGGACTCAAGGCTATGTCTTTGTCCCAGGCTATTTAAAATTCTAATCAAAGATGTTCCTGGAACCAGTAACATGCCAGGGAGGGAGAAGGTGTTTGGCTGAGACCAGTTCACCAGATTGTTTTGCATCTGTCATATATATGTTACATCATTTTTATTATCATTTTTAAAGTTCATTACAGACAATACACCCCCTAAATACCTGCACGAGTAAACTTTCCTCATCTCTTACTTCATACAAAGACAGACTGCCACTGCCTCAAAATCCATATAATGGAAGCTAATGTTTGGTTTTTCCAAACACTGTAATTCCTGACAGTGTCACCATTTCTAAGGGTTCCAGGCCTCTTTTTTTTGTTTTGTTTTGGTGTTTGTTTTTTAGACAGAGTCTCCCTTTGTCACCCTGGCTGGAGTGCAGTAGTGCCATCTCGGCTCACCACAACCTCCACCCCCAGGGTTCCAGCAAGTCTCCTACCTCAGCCTCCCGAGTAGCTGGGATTACAGGCGCCCACCACCAGGCCCGGCTAATTTTTTGAATTTGTAGTAGAGACGAGGTTTTGCCATGTTGGTCAGGTTGGTCTCAAACTCTTGACCTCAGGTGATCGACCCGCCTCAGCTCCCCAAAATGCTGGGATTACAGGCATGTGCCACTGTGCCTGGTAACCTGGTTTCTTTTCTTTTATCCTAAAAAGAAACATTCCTATGCCCTTCCCTTTAACTTCATTCTTCTCATTCTTTAGATAAAAATATAAAATATATAAGTATACACAATAGGATTTGAGAAATATGAGCCACTAAATTAACTTTCAATTTGACTTATTATAAACAAACCAGACTGTCAGTTGCTTTGTCTCTTCACAAAGGAAGACAATATAATACACTTGAATTCAAGAAATAAAAACATCTATTTTTGAGAGAATTACTTCTAAAGGGCTTCTGGAAGAGGAGCAAAAAAGTGAGTAAAGTAGGAATAATGTCAGTTATTCCTGAGAAAAAGTTCAAGAGAAGAAGTGTAAAGAGGGAAAGAAAATTTCAATGGAAATAATAGAAAAGGAAAAACATTTTATGTTTTTAATCATCCCCGGAATAATTACTTGTACATATGTTGGAAATATTATAGATATATCAATTAAATACTACCACATGTTTTCTAAAACATATTTTCTGAATAAATGTTGATATGAATATTCAGAATGTTATTACTTATCACTACTTTTTTAAGTATCTGTTGTCTTTGACTACTTTAAGGATACCTATTTTTTATAGGTAAGCTCAAATTTTTATTGAAACTAAATGTTTAAAATATGATCTAATTTATATCCTTGGCTATGGAATTCAAAGATAATCTTTAAAAAGTAGTCTGAGAACCAGTATTGACTTCCAATGACTCAATTTTTTTATAAATCAAGATGCAGCACAAATTCTACATTATCCTCAATAGGACTAGTTTCCTGGAACTCAATTATGACTAATATGAAGAACTCTACCAAAGTTCTTTCCACGACAAATTTTGTTAATTTAATCTTTTGGAACTTCTCTGTTCTCTTCTATTTATTTCTAATTTAATAATATAAATTGATTAAAACTCAGATTTAAAGTGAGGAAAGACTTTACTTGGGACATATCAGTAGACTCTCAATATCATAAGGCAAAAGGTGAAGGGAACTAATATTTTTGAGGTCTGCTATGTGCAAACATGGAGATTAATTTAAAAAGTAATTATGCAACACTGTGTAGGTTTTGAAGGAGATTCAGTGAGAAAAACAACACATGAAAATTCCACTTATGAAATTTCACAAGTTTCCGTTGTAAGGGAGACATCTGTTTTATATGGGTAACCAGAGAATCTATAAGTCTGCCAGGCTTCTAGAATTGCCTTTATCTTTAATATCCTTATCAATTTACCCATGAATTGTCTATGCAATGATAAGATAAGCAACATTCCCAATATTTCTAAGCATCATAGTGTAGAAGGATGGGTGCATAGCTGAGCACATCCCGATCTCACCTTTTCCTAGTCACTCTTTCTTGAAATTCCTCATCCTGCTGAATTGTAATTTAGTTTACAATTTTGTCTGACTTAGTTTACAGTTTTGCATCTCATTATCTTCTCTTCTTACTCATTTGCCATTAACTTTCAGTTATTAAAGCATGACTTATAAAAAACAAACATAACTCAAAGATTTCAAAATGCCTTTGAGTAGACATTAGACTTTACTGGAAGAGTAATTATAACTAGGAAGGATTGTAGTAACACAAGGCAAAAAGCAGCTTCCCATTCAACCTTACATCATTGTATTAACATCCCCTGATCATCTCAGCTATAGGGGATTTCTTACTGGAAGCTGTTCACTCGGTCTATACTATTGCTAGAACTTAATCTTCAACATCATTTTCTCTCCCCATTTTTCCAGACCCTTCTCTCATCGTTTCCCTTTTGTTACTTCTGAAATCCTTCACTCCAGTTGCTCTTTCAAATTTAAATACTATATCCCACTAAATATTATTTGTGTACATGATCAAGATTTTTCTCATAAATACCACTATGATATATTTCCTCTCGAAAAAAGTATGTATCCAATAGTGTCCTTATATTTTCTTAGAACGTGCAAGCAGCAGCATTATATTTTTTAATAGCCGATTTTATTTTCCTGTTACAAAATGTCTTAATTCTTTAAATCCTGATAGCCAAACTATCAAAGTAGTGTCATTATTTCATTTTCAAAGTGGGAATATTATACATCACAGAATATATACAAATTATCCAAGGTCATAAATTTATTAAGTTACAAGATATGAAATTTACACTATGTTTGTTTGATTACAGAGCCTCTGACCCTGACTGCATAGTATTCATCAATATTTGTTGTGTAAAATTCAGAAACATATCTGCATAGCTATTGTTATAACACTTTTAATATTAATATATTAAGTATTTCCAGGGAGAATAATAAGCTTTAGTGAGTAATGTGTGTAAATTGGTGTTATTTTTGAATGTTAACACTTATTTTAAAAAATGAAACCTGCTTTGATTTTATGTTAAACATTAGTAGCAAATACTCCCTAAAACTTTGATCTGATCTGACAATATAATCCTAATGATACCCAAGGAAACCCAGGATGTTTAAGGGTGTGAAAATTTGCATCTTAAGTGAAAGCTCAAAAAGTTCAAAACTCACCAACAAAAAAGAAAAACAAATAAATAAAAAGATCCTTCTTGCCCAAACACTAACTCAGCTTCCTCTTATTATTGGCTTGGACATCCTGCAGATTAAACTGCTGTTTGTGAAATTCACTGAGCCGGGGGTGAACTGAAATCTCCTCTAGTTCACACAATTCTGCTTTCAAGTTATCTTGTCAGGGAAGCTGACAGTCTCAATGATGTTACTTTATAGACTCCTTGGCAAAAATAGGATGTTGAAAATCTACCCATCAAAAACTAAACCCACAAAAATTTGCTGTCCTTGGGTCAAAGAACATAAAATGCACTTGATCTCATATTGTCTGAGGTGAGTCTGTGCATATAAACTCTTTAGAGGTAGTGAGTTAGGAACAGTAGGAAATGGAAAAAGAGTCAGGGATTCCAACTCAAAGCAGAGTTGCTTGTGCAAAAAAATCAGATAAGCTAATATATAAACAAAAAATAAAATCCCTCTGAAGCCTATTAGTTACATCTTAAATTATCATTCTCTTACTTACCAACCTGCTGCACACTGATATAATGTTTGACTTAGTGTCATTAATAAGAAAATGAAAAAAAAGAACATAAGATACCCTCAAAGTTAGATACAAATTGCTGCCAAATTTTCTAACATTAGACTGAGTTTCAGAAAGCAATATTGCAAATTTATGTGTGTGTGTAGAGAAAACATGGCATTCCTCCCAGTAGAAAAGGACTGTCATTACTAACCACTACATACTGGTTGTTTCTGACCTTTCCTTTTTTTATCTAATGCTCATGTTGTCCAACTTGCATTTAGTAGAATCTTATCTTTACATATTTTAAATTATTAATCACAATTCAGACCTAGCACTGGGTTATTCATGCTCACTGTTGAAAGCCGATTAAGCATTGTGATTGGAGATACAATTAGTAGTGTAACATCAGTACCACTGTCTTCCATTCTATTTTCTCACAAGTAAATTAAAATGATGTTTAATTATGATATTTTAAGTACTCATTTTCTGGTTTAATAAGGTTTCCTCATAGATAACTGCAGTGATTATGTGTGCATGATAAATGTTTAATAGCAGAAAATGAACCTAGTTGTAAGTACATTCTGTTTTCTTAATCTCCTCAATAAGAAACAAATGCATATTTTTCTTGTCAGTTTCCTCGTTTATATTATTTATGTATGGAGACTTTTAAAAAGTGTGGGATTTCTTAGTAATATGCTCCCTTTGATACACAGAGAAAAAATTGGATGGGAATATGTCATTTAGATATTGTGATATACATGGCCACTCTTGGTGTACATATTGTGACTGTTATTTCCAAATGTAAACAGATCCCTATATGTGCCTTTCCAGGACTTCTAGTGTAACAGGTGGTGGTCGGGAGAGGTTTGTGGTTATGCAGCATGAAAGATGGTGAACTCTAGGCCAGGTTTTGTCTGGAAACGTGAGTGGGTCCTAGTGATTATCAATTTAGCAGCAAGCATATTCCAGGAAGAGCCTCTTGACAAAAGCAGTTGAAAGGTGTGCGAACAGCAATTAATCACCCGCTACTTACCTGCTCTGAACAGAATTTAATTAAACAGAGTTCATACCTCTATACTTGCTCTTATCTTGTCTTCAGACTTTCCAAAGTGCTTGAGTTGACAACTTGCTAAACAGGAAAATTACGCTAGGAGGAAAAAAGCAAGTGGGCTTTTATTATTACAATGAGACAAAGAATCAGGAACAATAAGCAAAGTAAGTGCATTAATATTATAACATTGGGCAAGATCAGAGCCCTTTAAATTGATCTACAAAAAGTATACAAATTAGCCAGGCATGGTGGTGTGCACCTGTGGTATCAGCTACTTGGGAGGCTGAGGTGGGAGGATCACTTGAGCCTAGGAGGTCAAGGCTGGAGTGAGACATGCTCATTCCACTGCACTCCAGCCTGGGTGACAGAGCAAGACCTTGTCTCAAAAACAAAAATTGAATCTTAGGGAAATTATGCAACTCTTACAATGCTGAAAAACAGCATCTAAGGCCACCTTAAAAAGATGGAGAAAGACAATTCTTTAACACAAGTTAGATTTTTATATACAATACACTATTTGAGTGCAAGACACCATAGTTCTTAACTAAATCAATCCAATAGTCACTCCTGCTAACTTTTTCTGACTAAACCCTATACTAACTATAATAGTCTTGGGTTAATAAAGTTTATCCCAGTAAAATTACTGGACATTCTTTTTAAAATGCGGTAATTTAAATAAATTTTAGCATTTTTTTAATTTAATAAGCTCCTCCTATTTTCCCGTGTATGACTATGTCTATAGTTTTCAGATTCAATTGTTATGAGTTAAGAAATAAGATAATATACCTTTATATGTAAATGTATTTTATATTTAATAAATTATCCCTCCGCTGACCTCTTTTATTGGAAAAGTATAAACTACACTGTAGACATTTTAAAGATATTCAGTATGTTTTTGGAATCATTATTTAATTCAATACATATTCATTGAGCAAAAACTCTTTCTTCAATGCTATATTAGCTGCTAGAGCAAAGTCAAAGAAAGCACACAGTTTTTCTCTTTTAAAAAAGTAACATTTAATGTTAGGAGAATCCCTAAAACGAGCACATAATACAAAAAGCACATGAATGAGAAAGGGAGTTCAGAAAAGGAGAAGAGTAATATAGTCTAATTTTCAAACAAGAAGAGGAGACAAGTCTCTAAACCTCATTGATGGGATCAGTGTGGGCTACATAGTTTACCATACAGCCCACATATAGCCTGACTGGGAACAGAATTAGGTTAATCCTTTCAGCAAATGTGTTTTGGAAAGTGCTTAGAGATCTGCACATATGATTATGAGAGAATTAACCTCCAGCATCTATTTCTATCTGGCTTTCCTTTCATCAACTCCCACTTTTTTCAGGCATATGACAGACAGCAGACATTTTGATCCTGGACTGCTTTTTATCATCAAGAGTTCTCTCCAGTTTTCCCTGCTCTGCCATGTGTCCCTGCTAACATTTCTGGAACAGCTGCACACAGCCATCTACATGAGATCTGTGCCTTCTCGGTGGGATATGCCGAGTGGTTCACTTCTTCTCTTTACTGATCTGCATATGTGTTCCACAACACCACTTCCAAAGATTTTACATGTTATTCAAATTTCTTTAGATATTTCATCTCCTGTGGTAAAATTCCCTATAATCATTCCAAATCATCAATAAACAGGTAATATAAATATGTCTTTCTTATGTCCACTGAGACGTAACTAAGACATTCAGCCAGTTGGTCTTGTGGGTGTCCCTGGCCATCTAGCTGTTGGATTCCTTACTCTCTCCCAGTGTACCTCCCTCTTTCAAATTCTCCCATGAGAATTGTAACTCACTTTTCTGCAATTCAGAGCACCCATCCACATGTTACATTTGGATTTTCAATCTGGAACGATTTCCCAGCATATATTTATATGTAAAATGGGAAGGAAGAATAAATGATTGAGGAGAGAATTACGTAGAGAAAGAAAAAGCTTTAGCACACTATTCAGTAATTTATGTTGAAAACCTGTCACCCAGAATAATCTTTCTACCATTCTGAATTGTAGGAGTGTCAGTGACATTTATTTTTTTCAGTGATCCAACAGAGAACTCTTGACCTAAATATAAATATGCACACCCATACACACAAGTACACTTTCCCAAGGAAAATCACTGATTCTCAAAAATATTGCAGTCTAAACTCTGAAGGAGGAGCAAATATTTTCTTTTTAATTTTCTAGGCATTTATTTCCCACAGAGAAGTCATGGTTTTTATTACTACGTAGAACACACACACCTTAATTATTTCTTTGATCTTCCACTTTCTCATTAGGTTATTTATAGTTGAGTGTGGAGGGGTCATATCTTACCTGCTATTCACAAGTCTATCCAATGTCATACTCTGTTACTTTCCTCCAATACAGTCATGATTTGGGACATTTTGTTTTTCTGAAAATGTAACCCTATGTTCTTCTGAATGAAGCTCTTTTGATTGTTCTGGAAAGACATCCATGGTTTAGTTGCCTATCCAGGATTCATTTAAGGCTTATCTTCTCTCTTGCTAAAAGAACCACCCATTTCTTTAGGTGACCATGTAGAAATCTGCAGTGGTGCATCTTGATTGATTTCCCATTTTCCCAGCTTTCCCTCTAGTTAGAGTCAGAGAAATCACCCACTTCGACCAGTGAGATCTAAACAAGAGTCTATTGTAATGATTTCTGGGAACACTTGATTTCCTGACAAATAGGGCATATGTGGTTAATTTCCTTCTTCTAGTCCTTATGCTCCCACTCAACAGAATGATTTCTAGAAAATCTGTTAATCACCCTGCAATGAGAAAAAATACCACTTTGAGAGATTATTGGCAGTGTCTCATAAGAGGGAGGTTAAAGGAGGATAGTTTCAGAGCTTTCTGGCCAGAAATTGGTGTTATTAAGGTGGGCCCTGTAAGGCAGGGAAGTGATTGGTATTCAGCACAGTATCACAGCTTTCAATGGATAAATGCCTGGGGTGAGAGTCTTGAAGTAGGTCCTGACTAGCCAAAAGTTCACCTCAATAAGCAACCATATAAAGAAACATATTTCCTGAACAAATAGTTCAATAATTTTTGCCTAATTTCAGGATTATTTAGCACAGAAATGAGAATATATGATTTATCTTAGAATTGACTAGCACAAAATAAAAGGATAGCAGATTGATTCTCAGGATTGTTTAGCATGGGATAGGAATGCATGTTGACTGTGTTCTCCCTACATTAGGGATATAATGTTTGCACCTGCATCGGCGTGAAGCAACATGTAAAGAAAAGGCCACCATAATCTCAATGACGGCTGCCCCCAAAATGTTCTCCCACTGAACCAATGCCAGCATCTATTGCTGTCTGGAGTTCTTGTTTTATGAGAAAGAGAAACCCCAAATTATTTATGCCACTTGGATTAGGGTTTTCTGTTCCCCATGACTGAATATTCTTCATATTACACAGAAGACCAGGCATATGACTATTGCTTAAATATTGAGAATGTGGTTGTTTGTTATTTTAAGTAATATTTTTAAACAGTTTCCTATTTTTCAAGCACAACTTGTGCATTTCCTCGACAAAATATTTAGAAAGACTTTAAAATCTCAAACATATGCTATCTGTCATTAGACTGTTTACAAGGTAACCACATCAATGTGGGTTTAATACTTCTGTATAAAAAAGAAAGTATATAACATGTGTTGTTACAGGCTAACTCCTATGGCTGGGTTCATGGGCATAGGACCAGTGTAATGCAGTATCACAGAGCCCAGTGCTCAAAAGGGGACCTTGTGTTTGGGGTTTAATGCTATGTGGTCACTTTCTTGAAGTTCTTACAAATTTCATCTTTGAATTTGGGTTTTGCAAGTGAATTTCGATTGGACAGATGAATATATCTCATGGGGGCTGACAGCCTCATTCACATGAGATCCTGCACCCCACTAGCTCTGTACTTTCCTAGGACAAGTTCTCAGATGCCTAATTCTCAGACCCTGCCCAAAGATAGGTATTAGTTGAAAGTCCCTAGACTGGAGAACCAAAACTTCCCCAAAGAAGAACACATTTTAAAGTGCCTTTTAACTTTGAAAACCCCCTAATTATATCTTGGCTTTATTTTCCCTACCAAGTAAATCTGTTTTAATTTCTTAAATTAAATTGCATGCATTAGGGTGAGAAGATTGTGAAAATTCTCACTTGCCAGAGGCTTCCTACTTTACACGTCACAATATTTTATAGTGTCTCAGCCCCCAGAAAAAGTATGCTTTGAAGATGTTATTAATTTGAATAGATGACTGTGTATGTGTGTGACTTATAATTTTGTAAGTCAGAAGTCTTTTGTATTATTTAGAACAAAAAATGTAAAATTTCATCCATCTAAATCACCTAATATTAAGAAAAAATGTGGGTTAGTAAAAATAGTTAAGCATATGTATGAGAAAGATCATTTATCTGTGGTAATGAGTAAGAATAAGCCATTAAACCAAAAGTTCAGAGAAGAGAAGAGAGATGGCTTGACATATCATGGGAAATAGAAACCCTACCCTAGACTGATGCTGAAATTTAGCCAACGGGTGATATGATTTATTTTCTTGCTTTTTATTTTGTGTGTATCTAGTGTACAATTTTTGTTTTGAGGTTACCATGAGGCTTGCAAATACTATCTTATTACAATTATTTTAACCTGATAAGAACTTAACACTCTTTGCATAAACAAAAATAAAACAATAAAAACTCTACACCATAAGTTTGTCCCCGATTTTTAAATTTTTGTTGTTTCTATTTATATCTAATTGTACTGTGTGTCTTGAAAAGTCCTGTAGTTATTGTTTTTGATTGGTTCATCATTTAGCCTTTTTACTTAGGATAAAAGTAGTTTACAGACCACAGTTACACTGTCATAATATTCTGTGTTTTTCTGTGTACTATTGCCAGTGAGTTTTGTACCTACAGGTGATTACTTATTGCTCATGAATATCTTTGTGTTTCTGACTGAAGTACTCTCTTTAACAGTTCTTGTAGGACAGATCTGGTGCTGATGAAATCCTTCAGCTTTTGTTTGTCTGGGAGAGCTTTTATTTCTCCTTCATGTTTGAAGGATATTTTTGCCAAATAAACTAAGTAATTTTTTTTCCTTATTTTAAAAATGTCATGCCATTCCCTCCTAACCTCTAGGACTTTTCCACTGAAAAGTCTGCTGCCAGATGTATTGGAGTTCCATTGTATGTTATTTGTGTGTTTTCCTCTTGCTGCTTTTAGGATCTTTTCTTTATCCTTGATCTTTGGGAGTTCGGTTATTAAATGCCTTGAGGTAGTCTTCTTTGGGTTAATTCTGCTTGGTGTTTTATAACCTTCTTGTATTGGATATTGACATCTTTCTCAAAGTTTGGGAAGTTCTGTGTTATTATCCCTTTAAATCAACTTTCTACCTCTATAACTTCTTTACCTCCTCTTCAAGACCAATAACTCTTAGTTTTGCCCTTTTAAGGCTACTTTCTAGATCCTGTAGGTGTGTTTCATTGTTTTTTATTCTTTTTTCTTTTGTCTCCTCTGACTGTGTATTTTCAAGTAGCCTGTCTTCAAGCTCAGTAATTTCCTTCTGCTTTCTGCTTGATCAATTCTGCTATTAAAAGACTCTGATGTATTTTCAGTATGCCTATTGCATTTTTCACCTCCAGAATTTCTGCTTGATTCTTTTAAATTATTTCAGTCTCTTTGTTAAATTTATCTGATAGAATTTTGAATTCCTTTTCTGTGTTATCTTGAATTTCTCAACACAGCTATTTTGAATTCTGTCTGAAAGGTCACATATCTCTGTTTCTGAAGGATGGGCCCCTGGTGACTTATTAGTTTAATTTGCTGAGATTATGTTTTCCTGGATGGTGTTGATCCTAATAGGTGTTCTTTGGTGTCTGGGCATTGAAGAGTTAGGTATTGTAGTCTTCATTGTCTGGGCTTGTCTTTACCTATCCTTCTTGGGAAGGCTTTCCAGATATTTGAAAGGACTTGAGTGTGTAATCTAAGCTGGTTCTACTTTCGGTGGCACCTCAAGCCCAATAACGCTGTGGTTCTTGCAGACTCATAGAGGTAATATCTTGATGGTCTTGAACAGGACCCAGTAGAATTCTCTAGATTACCAGGCAGAGACTCTTGTTCTCTTTCCTTATTTTCTCCCAAATAAATGGAGTCTCTGCATTCTGTGCCACTTAAAGCTGGGGTGGAGTGACACAGGCACCCTGTGGCCACCGCCACTATGACAGCAGTGGGTCTCACCCAAGGCCTGCAGTAACCACTCCCTGGCTACTGCCTATGTTCACTCAAGTCCCTGGAGCTCTAGAGTTGCCAGATAGCAAAGCCAGCCAGGCCTGTGTCCATTCCTTCAGTGCAGCAAGTTCCCTCAGGCCCCGGGTGGGTCCAGAAGTGCCATCCAAGAGTCAGGGACCAGAGTCAAAAACCTTAGCAGTCTACCTGGTGTTCTATTGTACTGTGGCTGAGCTGGCACTCAAACCACAAGATGCAGTGCTTCCTACTCTTCCTTCCCCTTTCCAAAGGCACAGGAGCCTCACCTCACAGCCACCAACACCATAGGCCACAGGAAGTACTGCCAGACTACCACTGATACACCCTTAAGGCCCAAGCACTCTTAAGTCAGCTTGTGGTGAATGCTGCCTGGCTTGGTACTCACCCTTCAGGGCAATGGGCTCCCCTCTGGCCTAGGGCAGGTCAAGAAACACCATCCAAGAGTCAAGTCCTGGAATCAGGGACCCTAAAGAGCCTGCTTGGTGCTTTACCCCACTGTGGTTGTGCTGGTACCTAAGGGGCTTTTCTTAAGCAGAAGGAGTTTTGTCCCATAGCCACCAGAGCTGGTAATATACTGAATCTTACCTGAAGCCAGCAAGTCTCAGAGGCTCACCCTCGGCCCACGATGTAGTACTTGGGTATTGCTGCTGGTTATTCAGGACCCAAGGACTCTTCAGTTAGCAGGTGATGAATGCCGCCAGGAGTAAGTCCTTCCCTTCAAGGCAGTGAGTTCCTTTCTGGCCCGGGGTGTGTCTAGAAATATCATCCAGGAGCTAGCGCCTCACAATTCTGACCAGTGCTCTAACCTGCTGTGACTGAGCTGGTATCTGAGATGTAAGTCAATGTTCTTCCCACTCTTCCCTCTCCTCTCCTCAAGTATAATATTAATAGAAGGAAGGCGTCTCTTTTGGAGCCGTGAGCTGTGCAGCCTGGAGTTAAGGGAGGGGTTATGCCAGCACTCAGTCACCCTAGCTGGTGTCTCAATTAGTCATATGCCCCCCAGTCCACTGTCTTTGGGCCCAGTTCAGCACTAGGACTCACCAAAGAATTGCAGTCTTTGTGACCTAGGCTACCTTTCAAGTTTACTTAGAAACCTACAGCACTGTAGCCTTTGGTGGTGAGGTTTGCAGGAACTCAAGTTCTGACAGCTGGTATCGGGGATTCCGCTATGGCTAGTACTGGTTTAAATGCTGCTTAGGTGGGCAGGTGTCAGCTGAGTTTGGTCTGGTTTTCCTTTCTGCTCTAACAGGACAGCACGGAATTCAATGCATCACAAGTGATTTGAGTTTTCTGGAGTTTCAACAGCACCTGGAGCTGCTCTCTGCACCACCAGCACCTGGAGATGCTCTCTACACCACTAGCACCTGGAGATGCTCTCTACCCCACTAGCACCTGGAGATGCTCTCTACCCCACTAGCACCTGGAGATGCTCTCTGCACCATGCTGCTGCTGGGGGGGGCGGGGAAGCTGTGACGTCTGTGAGGCAAGGCTATTTTTTTCTATCTCTTCAGTGCCTCTTTCAGTGCTATGAAGTTAAAACCAGGTACTATGAGTGCTCACTTGATTTTTGTTTTTTATGAAGGTATTTTTTTCTGTGTAGAGGGTTGTTAACCTGCTGTCCTTGCAGGGGCAATGATTGGTGGACACTTCTATTCTGCCATCTTGCTCCAGCTAATATTCTGAAATTTGGAAGTCATGGTCCCAGCTTCTGGTTTTCAAATGGCAACCACACAGGTCTGAATACCAAAAAAAAAAAAAAATCTTCAGATAAGCCTTTCAAGATCACTCAATCAAGGACAATCATAAATTATGTAGACAATTATATTTGCCTAAATAAAAATGTTAAAGTTAAAACATTCTCCCACCCGGAAGAGTAGACATCCATATCCAAGTACAAAAAAAAAAAAAAAAAAAAAAAAAACAGGCCACATTTTCTCTTTTCTTTTTTTCTTTTTTTTCTAATATTAAGTTTCGAGTAGCTGGGACTACAGACACGTGCCACCAGGCATGGCTAATTTTTGTATTTTTCGTAGAGGTGGGATCTTGCTATATTGCCCAGGCTGGTCTAGTGCTCCTGGGTTCAAGCAATCTGCCTGCCTTGGCCTCCCAAAGTGTTGAAAATTACAGGCATGAGTCACCACACTTAGACTGGACTTTCTTTCTTCACCCATCTCCATCTCTTTCTTCTCAAAGTCAAAAGCGTTAGAGGAAAGAGATAGAGATAATAAAAACGAAATGCCAATATTTGTTTTCAGCTCTTTTAGCAAGCACCTCATGATAAAAATACCGTTTAAGGAGAGAAGTTACCACATACTGATTAGAACTATAAAAGTCTAACAGTCCTGCAGGTGTCACAATTTCAAATACTTATAAGGAAACTTATAGGCAAACTAAATGAATGAAGCAGGTAAGATAGAGGACTTACATCAAGTAGAACTTGCTATCTCTGTTATCTCTCTCTACTTCTGAGTTATTTTTAACTCGGAACTTTTGCTTTGGTGTTCTGCAATTTATCTACATATGGCAGGATATATATTTAGCTTTATTTATTCTGCTCAGGATCCATTGTGAATCTGAAGAGTCGTATATTTTTTGAAACTCCAGAAAACTCAAATTTAGTATCATTTTAAACATTGCTTCTCTCCAATCATATTATCTATTTCTGGAACCCCTATTATATATACATGAGACTTATTTATTGTACTTAAAATTTTTTAGCCTGGTTTTTATATTTTACATCTTTTCTCTGTGTAATGATTTTTCATCAATTTACTCAGTGCTACCTTTTATTTCCCTAATTCTCTCTTCAGCTTTATCTCATCTGCAGTTTAACCAACCATTCAATTTTTATATTTTAACAATTATAAGTTTCATTGTCAGAAATTTTAACTTCCTTTTTTAATGCTTTTTTGTCATTTTTATACCATATTTTATTTTACTTTTCTGCCCTAACTTTACCTCTTGGACCTCATATTTTACTACCCCTACTATTCCTACTCTCACTCAGACTTACTCAGCCACACAGCCTTCCTACTGTTTTCACAGTTACTACTTCAGGGCCTTTGCACGTTGGATTTTCCCTGCCTGGAATGTTCATCCTTCAGATATACAGCTGACTTACACCCTTACCTCCTTTAGCTTCAAGTATCCTTTTCTCAGTGAGGCTCTCCCTGATCTCCAAGGTATTAATAAAATTTAAATCACACTTTTACCCAGAGCTCCCTACCCACCCCTCCTGCTTTATTTCCATTCATTGCACATTTCAGTATAAAACATATTTTGCTTATTTTGCTTTATATCTGTCTCTTACAACTAGAATATAAATTTTATAAAGACAGTGAAGGGGGGATGGCAGTGGTGAATTTTTGTATTCCCAGTAACTAGAAAAATGCCTGACATAATTTGTTCCTTGAAAAATCTTAGTTAAGTAAAATAAACATGTGTCATTGAATGGTCTTCCTTATTCTTTCTTCTTTAATCCTTTAAACATAATTTCTAATCTAGTCTAATAATTCTATTATATGAAATTCTTGAAGGTCTAATGCAGCTATTTGTGTTTTAAGATGAATCTATGTGTTGTGAAATTTGGGGTTTTGCTGTTGTTGTTTTAATCTGAAGAGCTTTATATCCAGTGGGGCAGAGGGGACTTCACTCACATAATATGCATTTATGTCTTATTTTTATATTTTTTTCTACAGGAATCTTTCAAGGCCTGGGTTGAGGATCTCTTCAGAGAGGTCTAGCTATTGATCCCAGGGTGCTATCAGCCTGTGATCATTTGTTATGTTCATTTCCTAGTTTGCTGGGACACTAGTGGAATTTTAATTACACACCCAGACCATGGGAAGTTCTACGTCTATGCTTTGAAAGCCACAGGTCAGTTTTTGTTGTTGTTGTTCTTCTTCTTCTTATTTTACTTTTTCCCTGAGCTCTTGGGCAGATATAGACCAGTGTCTCTGTCTCTGTGGACTCCTTTACCAGGGGAAAGACTGTTTCTTTTCCACTTTCGACTGATGATAAAAACCTTGTTAAGGGTCAATTCTTGTTTCTTGTCTCTTGCATATTCAAAGCCTTGTCTCTTATCTGTCTGTGTCCCAGCTATGCAAAAAAAAGATGTCTTTAGAAATTTTTCAACATTAAATTAATTCTATGGAGGAATTCGGATATCTAGTCAACCATATTGTCAGAAAAGCAGTCTGGAAATTCTATCTGTGTTAGTTTCCTCCAGCTGCCAGAATAAAGTACCACAATCTGGGTTGCTTAAAACATCAGAAACATGTTCTCTCATAGTTCTAGAAGCTAGACGGCAAAAATCAATGCATTGGTAGGGCCGTGCTTTCTCCAAAACCCGAAGAGGAAGTTTCTCCCTTGCCTCTTTCAGCCTCTGGAAGCCTCATGAGTTTCCTGGCTTGTGGCTGCTTAACTCTAAGCTCTGAGTTCATTTTCACCTTGCTTTCTCCTCCCTGTGTTTCTCTTCTTCACATGGCATTCTTTTTATGAGGATACCAGTCATATTGGTTTAGGGGCCCATCTTACTCCAGTATGACTTTTTCTTAGCTAATCACGCTTTCAATGATCCTATTTCCAAATAATGTCACATGCTGAAATACTCAGGGTTAGGACTTCAACATTTTGGGGAGGGGGGTTGTTGAGGGGAGAACACAATTCAACCTGTAACACAATCAAAAGAAAGCAGCTGCTATTTAGCTCTCACCTATTGCTTTCATGTTAAGATATAGGTCCAATGTTGTCAGATTTCTGTTTATCAAGAGAATCTAGAGATTTGACTTCACATTTAAAATATTCTGATTAGTAAATATTGGCTGCCTACCAAAAATTTTAAAACATTGTCATTAATATTTTGCTGGCAAAACACAACTACTGGCTAGGTGGGTTTGTAACAGACTACTGATTTTCAATCTTTACGATAATACGAGGCACACTAGATTACTTATCCAGTGGTTCCTTTGAGTCAAACTAGAGTATTTTTAATACATTAAAGGACCATGGAGTGACTGAAAAGATATTCAGAATAGACAACACATCCGTCACAAGGTCCAAAACTAAAATGTATGTACCTTTATTCATAAAATAGTTCCTTCGGCCACGACGTAGAATTTATTCATCATTATTTTACACATATTTCTAAGAAATTGGCCAGGTTTTCCTGCTCAGAGTAGATTTAAATTAGGTTCAGTATGTGAGAAATTTGAGGGTTGTTGCTAGAGGAAAGTGCATGGATAAAAATGAGAAGTGACAGCCCTGACAGAAAGAGACAGAAAAAGAGATTTTCGAAAGCAGATTTAAGAATTCCGAAAGTCATAGCAATCTGGCATCATTTGGTGCACTTTGGAAACCCGGAGGCATTGCTATTATAACTTGCTGCAACAATTCATGTTCTAAACATCCACCTTAAACATTAGGAAAAAGTTTAAGTTATAATTTATTGAAGTGGGCAGAACAACAACAAAAAAAATTGAATGTATTGAGAAAGTCTCTCAACATTCACAAGAGATATTCAGCCAGTATGCACCAGGACAGCTGAACTGCCAGCTAAAAATACTGAAATACTTCCACATGGGTTGGTAGCTGCCGCCCTGCACACCAGATTGCCTCCACCACAGGGGGTTCCCGACTGCTCCCCCCGCCCAGTTCAGCAACTATAAGAACCATGGCTGGCCGAATCAGAGGCCGAAGGGCTTACTGTTCTAAGACTTTTGGAACTATCTGTTTTATCCCCTACTTTTTCCAACTACATTGTGTATTACTCCTACTGGTGTAAATATTTACCAAAGAAAATTTTTTCACTTTAATATCTCTATATATGACTTAGGAAATATATATATATGTGACTTAAGAAAGAACAGGAATGTTAGAGAATAAGTCAGTCTTTGAACAAGTGGCATGTTCTCTGAGCAGAGGGCATGGTGACTGAGAAAATGACTAGTTACCTCACTTAACACCACTTAGTATTCACAGTAAGAAATTACCTGTCCTTGATTTTATTTGAAGGCAAACTTTCTATTACAAATTGACTACCCTGGTGTTTTACCTACAAAAAGAATTGGTCAAAAGACTGAAGAACTCCTTAGTTACCTTGGAATTTATATTTTAGTCATAATTAGTTAATTAACTTTTGGGTTTTATGTATCTTCTCCTATGAGATTAGTAGTGGGACAAATGCTGAGAGATTTTCCGTGACTGAAATTACAAGGATTTCACAAATCAGTTTTCCAAAGTTGAGGTAAATTCACCAAGTTAATGAGATCCCATGGGGACCTGGAAATTCAGTTACCATGTCATCCCAGGGAACATCCCTCTGTGCTATTGTACAGGTTTAATTATCTGTCCTATTGGAAATTTTATATGATGATTTTCTGTAATTATAAAGAACTTCATAACACAGCCTACCTTTAAGTATTATCTAAACTAAATTCAGTGATTACAAATTTGTTGTTAAGCAGCCATGAACAAATACTGATTTATTTGCATTGCATCAATAGATTGTTTTGAAATGTCAAATTTTCTAGAAATTCAAACAAGAAACCCTAAAATATACAAAAAGCATCTTCACATGCTATTGATAATCCAGACAAGAGAAATGAATATTACATATATTTAAGTGAACACATTTTAATACAACATAGAATGCATATATTTAAATACCTTAAATATTCTTTATATATTTATTCAATCTATAAATTAGGAAAGTGTTTAATTCATAGTTCTTTGTCTAATAGATAAGCATATAATGTTTCAATGTGGAGAAGTGAGCATTGGATTGAAATCGGAATACCTGAGTTATATTTTTCACTTTCTCCCTAACACAACTGAACATTGGACAAGACGCTAAATTCCTCTGGATCTCTGTTCTTTCATCTGAAAAAAGAATTCTCCATTTGTAGACTATGGTCCATTCCATCTCCAACATTTTATGAATCCTGTGAGTCCACCTAATTCATTTTTCTGATTTAACAGATGAAAAAACTAAAACATAGAGAGATGAAATGATTTGCTTAGGGTCATATAATTAGCCAATGTCCAAACTGAAAATAAGAGCAGGTTTCTTATTCCTAGTCCAGCCTACTGTTCTACTACAGCTGATAGTTGTCAGAGGAGTTTGTGGACGGTGGTAATCCTTGCAAGAATAATTTTCAACTATTGACAAAGAAAAAAAAATTCTAGTGATTTGGGGGAAAAATGTAATTTTCTTATTTGAATGTGTCACCATTTTAAAGAGTATATTTCTACAGAGAGTTAAGTCAAAGAACTAATTATGCATTGTCTCACATTATGTAAGAGCATTATACAACTCAATTAGAACTGACAATAAAACAACTTCCAGGCAAGATCTTCTGAATTGCCCTTATTTCTCTTTTAAAATCACTGAAGCAAAATCACGTTCCAATTCAAATATTCTGAAAGTCTATCCAGCCTATACACATTCCCCTGCAGCATTTTTACTCTCTTCCTAGGTTTTAGCAAAGAAACATTTCTGTTTACTTCTGTAACTCCTGTGAGGGCATGGAAATTCTAAGTGCCATTATTTTCTGGGTAAGAGAATAAGAAAATGCATTTCAATTTTTTTAAAACCCAGAACCAGGCTTCAATTTTTAATTAGAAAGTCATAACTTATTTTAAAAGAATGAACGAAAGTATTTTTGTTTATAAAAATATTCTATTCCAAACAAAAAATACAAGAAAAGAACTTAGCCCTGAACCCCATCTCATGTATTTCAGTAATCATTTAAATAAAGGTTTCCACCAGATTGCTTTGCCTTTATTTCTGAATCACTCAGTAATCTTTATCCCCATCACTGTGAGGCTTTCTTGGGTCTCAGAGCACAATGAAGGGAAAGAAGGAGATTTAGCACTGATTAATCCTGATTAAACCTAAAGGACAAACATTGTAAACTTGTTCCTTGATTTAATACAACAGTGGCATAAATGTTACTAAATAGTATGGGTACGTTTTACTATCTGAAAATGAAGTATGTTTTCCTTATTTCAAAAACAGTCTTCACCAAAATTTGGCTGAAAAACGTGACTTGGTGCAGAAAACTTATCTTAAATGGACTATAATCGCACTTTCACTTTAGTAAATAGCTAGTTCTCTAAGTGGTTGGAGAAAAAATAATGTCCCTGTTGTTTAATACTTTACTATATGCCACACACTATATGAGGCTCTTCTGATATATTATTTATTTTTTACAACTAGCCTAGGAAATAAGTATTTTTTATTACTTCTACTTTGTGGATGAGTTAACTAAGGATCAAGTAATTAGCTTGCCTGGGTTTTTAGAGGAAGTGTATAGCAGATATGAGATTTGGATTTACTTTATCTACCTATATATTATTTATTTAACACTCAGTAATAACAATTCAAATAGACTGCCTGGTTAATATTGGCAAAGATTACCTTAAAAGATGATAATTCTATTAGCAGTAGTAACTAGTACTTAATAGATCATATAGGCTGAACATACTAAAATCTTATGAGTTTGATATTACTAGTATCTTGTTTTACATCGTGAAAACTGACATCAGTAAGTAGTAATTAACAGAACTGGGACTTGAAGGCAAGTAATGCTTTAGAAATATTCCCAAATATCTACTCTAGAAATATTCCCAAATATCTATACTATAGTGCTATCATGTTATAGAAAATAACTTCAAATTAAAGGAGTATAGTTCAAACAATTACAAAATATTTCTTTTTTTATTTTTATTTTTTATTTTATTATTATTATACTTCAAGTTTTAGGGTACATGTGCACAATGTGCAGGTTTGTTACATATGTATACATGTGCCATGCTGGTGTGCTGCACCCATTAACTCATCATTTAGCATTAGGTATATCTCCTAAAGCTATCCTTCCCCCCTCCCCCCACCCCACAACAGTCCCCAGAGTGTTATGTTCCCCTTCCTGTGTCCATGTGTTCTCATTGTTCAATTCCCACCTATGAGTGAGAATATGCGGTGTTTGGTTTTCTGTTCTTGCGATAGTTTACTGAGAATGATGATTTCCAGTTTCTTTGATGATTTAAGGCACACTTCCAACTGTACTTCAACGCCATTACTTATAACATTGCTGTGACAAAACCACCCTGGAATCCCAGAAGTGAAGGCCAATGAGTCAGTCAATATTGGCTTCATTACATGCAATTTTTCAGATTATTAGTTTCCTTTCCAATAAATTCCTGTGGTGAGCCTATTTATTATTTATTTCTCTTAGAAAATATAAAATATATATTACTATTTAAGCTATGCAGTTGCTTCGTTTCAGATGAATCAATTTGTATTTGAATTCCTTATCAAAGCTATGGCATCTTCATGTTTTCTATAATTTTTTTTTTCTTTTTCATGCAGACTTGTAACTAGGAAGATCAGAAACCATGGCAATGCTGTCTTACTCAAAGAAAGAAAGTTGAACGTAATAATCCTTTGGTTTCTGACATAAACCAGTCCTATAGTGAGGTGTAATCTGGGCCTTTCCCAGTACACTGTGTATCGTTATCGTTACGATGGTGTTTTTTGCTGAATAGCTACCTCAGAAGCATTTCACAAAATTGAGAAAGTTTTAGATGTTGTTTACAGAGACCCTCCAAATCTCAAATCACTGAGATAAATTAGAACTGAGGTGATTTATGTGATGGAAAAAGTACTAAGCCATCAGAGACAGTTATTGTTTGTAAAATCTCACCTAGAGTAAATACAATATAGGGTTGTAAAAAACAATTTTACAAGAATGTTACCAACTTCACAAAAGAGTAAAAACACCATTCTTTTTGTAGGCTGTCACAGTGTCCTCCCTTATGAAGATCATTTTTTTAAATTAAAGGATAGTTGCTGTGTTGGAACAAGAAAAAATATATATGCTGAAAGAAATTAGAGGCAAATTGGACCCACCAACATATTTTCCTCTTCTGATTCTGAATCAAGAGCTGTGTGGAGAGGGTGGTCATCAACGTTTCAAAGGCGATGAAGTTTGTCTTTATCTGCGCTTTTACTTTCCCATTCTTTGCCTTCGTTTTTATACTTTACTATAGCCGTGACCGAATAGTAAGATTCCAGATTTGAAGTGAAGAGGATAGTTTTTGACAAATGATTGTAAATGTTATTAGCTGTGTTGACTTGAGTGGTGATCCAGTGAAATTATATTTGAATATGCACCCAAGTTGAAGAGATGTGAGAGGAATGTCCCCAGCACTCCAGCCTCGCGCAGGCCTGGCTCTGTCCCCTCCTCCCCTTCCTCTAACACTCACTGCCTGTCCTGTGGTGCTTACCTGATCCCACATGCCCCTGGAAGCACTCCCAATTTTTCAACTTGGTCTCTATCCTGATAAAACCTCTGTGAGACTATGAGAACCATCTTAAACTCTAACCCATCTTAAACTCTAATCTGTACAAAATTTGATGATCTGTTACACTCTTACTTCATTTCATCTGCAGACAAATAGCCCCAGGCATTCTAGGTTTTCTATCTATTTTTCTATTATATCTACTTTTCTAAAAAGCATGTTTTGGATGATAACTTTTATGATCATCCTTCCTCATCTATAGACAGTGTTTCTAGTAATTACCAAATTATCTTCAGTTCAATGTCGCCTGGAAAGTTGTGTTTTAAAATTACAAATTTACAGATGCTCCCCAGTCCTCCCAAATGAACTGCAGCATGAGGCTACCTCACAGTATTTGTAATAGGCTCTCCAGTAACTGCTGTAAAGGTTTCATGAGAGTTCATACGTTAGAGGATTAAACTGCCTTGAAGTCTGACAGCCTGGCTTGCCACTGATCTGTGGGAACTTAGGCATGAAAATTAACCTCTCTGAGCTTCAATTATTATTGTTAGTCAGTATTCTAAAAGGAGAATTAATAATAATGCTTACCTCATAGTTTCAAGAGAATTAAAGAAAACAAAACAACCAAAATAAGTAAGGTGCTCGCAAAGTGCTTTTTACATAATACGTAATAAGATGAATAATTAATATTGAGAACTTGTGTGCTTTGTACTGTCCTAAGCACTTTGCATATACAATATTAATATTTAATCTTCACGAAATTCCTATGAAGTTGAGGAAAGAAAGATCTCTGGTCTCCAGTGACTGTGGGGCTGCCCTTCTCATGTTCTTCCAGTGGCTTGGCAGGGAGTTGGATTAGTTGGGCTGAACTACTTTACAGAAGTCGAATAAGGTCTCAGACTGATGCAGTAACATTAGTGTTCCAAACCTCTAGCTGAGTTCGGAGGCTTCTCAAGGGCCTTAGGCCAGAAAGTCCCTTTGTACATAAAACGTTAGGTGTGCTTTACCATCTTTCAGTCCAACCTGTAATTATGTAACTAGTGCAGGGGTAGGATTCCCTCCACTAGAGGGCTCTTCCACAGCTCTGTGGTCCCGGTTGACCTCCAAGGAGCAACAGCAGGGGTTAGAGGGATTCTTGAGCGCCATCCTACACCTCTGTTGGAAAGTGCTTTCACTAAATCTCATCAAAATTTTGCCATGCACCGACAGTGGGATGACCCACGGGGCACCTGCACAATAGAAGCAGGGGAGAAATTGAGGCACGGAGAAGAGAAACTCCCCCACATGATACAGCAAGTAAATGACGCAGCGTGCAGATTAATCTCGACGGTATAGCTCCTCTTAACACTGTTAATGATGACACTTATTGGCATTATTCAGGTAAAATGGGAGGCTTCAGATAAACGTTTTTGGACTGATAGGGCCTTAGAGCTCTCTTCAAGTCATGCTACAATATTCACTCACACACGCACAAAAAACAACAAAAAATGCACTTTCATTAGAATTTTTACATAAACTAGTACAAATTTGGGGTGTGCTAATTTTGTAAATCTAATACTAATTATTCTACATTTTAACATTTAAAGATCATACATTTGTCTTTTTTTAAGATTGGTTGCTTCAATGAGAGTAAAAATACTTTCCCCATCTATAAAATTTCGAGGTTAATTTAAACTAGTGTTTTCCAAAGAACTGAAGAATGTCTCTTAATTGACAGAGTGGAGGCAGGGATGGAAGGAGAAGAAAGTGAGGGAGGGCAAAGTGATTGGCATTATTTACATTCCTAGGTCTGACACTGACAGATTAGTCCACTAATGCAGGCCAGTGGACTATCTTCACCTCTCTCCAGATCAGCAGGTGTAGGGATTTCAGAAAATGGGCCTTTTAGGCTGTATCTGAAGAAAGCATGGCCAGGACAGGGTGGAGACAGCAGAACATCCATGGGAAAGCAGAATCCTACCTTTAGCCTCCATTTCTGATTCAATCACCCAAGACAGCAGACTCAGAGTTGAAAGAATATTCTAGTGTGGATGAGAGTCTTGGCTCAGTCATTGTTAGCTAGTTTTACTTTGGCAAATCACTTCAACCTCTCTGCATTTCCAACCCTCTTTTGCCCCTATGGAAATGGGAATAATAATGCAAGCCTCAGGAAGTTAGTAAGATTTAATTTTTTTTTTTTTTTTTTTTTTTTTTTTTTTGGAGACAGAGTCTCACTCCATCACCCAGGCTGGAATGCAATGGTGCGATCTTGGCTCCTTGCAACCTCTGCCTCCCGGGTTCAAGTGATTTTCCTGCCTCAGCCTCCCAAGTAGCTGGGATTACAGGCACCCGCCACCACGCCCAGCTAATTTTTTTTTTTTTTTTTTTTTGTATTTTCAGTAGAGACAGGATTTCACCATTTTGCCATGTTGGCCAGCCTGGTCTCAAACTCCTGACCTCAGGTGATCCACCTGCCTCGGCCTCCCAAAGTGCTGGGATTACAAGCGTGAGTCACTGCGCCTGGCCAAAAGATGTTTTTCATATATACCACTCATTGCATGGTACTGTTTTACTGTGATAGACATGGTGCATAGAGAGACTGGAGAGAGGGTCTGCAAACTTCATTCATTCATTAAATTAAACTAAAAAATATTCTTCTCAGAAGAACCTACCTATATTTACCAGCTAAGTCAATGAAGGCATTTGTAAGCATTATGAAAATACAATGTGAATAATGTTGCTTCCATAAATTTTTCTATAAAGTGTATGGTAGTGTGGGAGAGAACAAATTTTGTTTTGCCTTCACATTGCACATTAGCAAATCCAGTAGAAAAACAATTCTGAAGATGACTTCGGAAGTCTTCTCGAAACTCTGTTGGTTAAACAAAATAACTTGCATTACAGCACTAGGAATAAATATTAATATCCAACTTTTTCAAGAAAACTTCTGAGATCTCTTTGGCCTTTTCTGACTGCACACACAGATGCATTAGGATTCTCAGTGGAAGCATATAACACAACTAAAAAATGGAATTAACTTAATGATATTGAATCTCTTTTCTATCTTAAGCAAAGTGACATTGAGATGATTATCCCTTTATTAAGAATGAATTATAAGCATTTTTTATTCTCACTGAATAATTTATTTTTGCACATGTATTTTTGAAACTATTTGATTTGGTATCACTTATACTCATTACTTTTAAAAATAAAGTAACATTTTAAATTTATTTTTATAGCTACCTTCAACTAAAGCAAAAAAATATTTCCTTTCCATCTTAGAGAGTGATATAATTTTTCCCTTGTAAGTAAGATAAAGACATTAGGAACATAAGAGTGGAGATGGTACATGGAAGTGGAAAAGCACATTAACATATTTTGAGCATGTTTAGGAAAGGCAGGACTTCACAATCTTAAAGGTCCTTCCTTCCCATTTTAAGAGACTGTGGATTTTAGAACTTGGACATAGTGTGTAGGCTGGGGAACAAGAGAATATATTCCTCACACCTGGACCCCTGAAGATAAAACATAAGATCTTTTCCCAGCTATTTTCCCTTGCAATGAGAATAAAGATGAATTAGGATAGAGGTTCTCAAAGTGTGATTTTATCTATTTATTTTTATTTCTTTTTTTTTTTTTAGACATAGGGTCTTGCTGTGTTGCCCAGGCTGGAGTTCAGTAGCTTGATCATGGCTCACTGCAACTTTGAAATCCTGGGCTCAAGCAATCCTCCTGCCTCAGCCTCCTGAGTAGCTAGGACTACAGGCATGTGCCACCACATCCAGTTCATTAAAAACAAACAAACAAACAAAACAAAACAAAACCCACAATATTTTGTAGAGATGGGGCTCACTATGTTGCCCAGGCTGATCTTGAAATCCTGGCCTCAAGCCAGGATTCTCTCATCTCAACCTCAAAAAATGTTGAGATTATAGGCATGCGCCATTGCATCTGGCCAAAGTGTCATTTTAGAACCAAAAACATCAGTACCATCTGGGAACTTACTAGAAATACAACTTATCAGGCCCTGCCTGTACCTGCTAAATTAGAAACTCTAACAGTGGAGCCCCAAAATCTGTGCTCTTATAAGTCCTCCAGGTGATTCTCATGCCTGCTGAGGCTTGATAACTACTGAATTAGGGAAGCATGTATGTAACATCACTGACCATGTATGCAACTAGAAAAGTAGTCTTATAGTGTTAAGTCTAGTGAAAGCCATCTTGAAAATGATCTTAGCCTAATGAATGTCAGTAAATGTTTTGAGAAAGGGAAAGAGAAATTTTTGCTTAGAAATGAGTTCCTGTAACAGGAGAAGAAATCTCATCAGGAAAGACTTAAACGTACCAATCACATTCAAATACTCTAATATCATTTTTGTTGGAGGGAGACAGTGGCATGCGAAACCAACATAAGGACATGTAAATTTACACCTTTCGGTGCAATGAAAAGCTGGAGTCTCTAAATGTCATAAATCAATCAGTTATACCTGTAGTTGTTAGCTGGGCATTTGGTCCTCTTCTCTTGAAGTCTCCTTACATACCCTTTCTGATGAGGAAGGTGCCTGGCTCATAGCCACTGCTAATGGGACCAAGGATGAACACCTAAGCCAATTAGAGTCTTTCAGCAGAGAGTTTGGAATTGGCGCTCTGGCACTCAGGGTGTATTTGAGAGGAATTAAGAGGCCATGGAAGTTGAGGCTGAGGTGGCTATGTGTACTCCAAAGCAGAAAATGAAAGGCTTTTAGAGGAAGAGAAGCATACCTGAAGTAAATACACAGAGTATCTGACTGTGGAGTGGCATGGGATATGCAGGAGGGATAGGAAGAGGGAATGAATGACAGAGATTGCCAAGCCCCTAATTGTTTCTAATTCCAGCTGCATTTTCTCTTCTTAGGTTTCCTGTGATAACTCAACATCCATCCAACAAATTGCCATAGTTTTTTTTTTTTATTATTGTTTGGATAGGTAAGTCTAAAGAAGTTTTCTATGAAGTTTGATAAGTTTACTACTTATCAATGAATATCAATATTAATTTAAAATATGAATATAATTTTGATCAGCTATTGACTGAGAACAATGGCGAGGATTTGGTGTTGAATACCAAATTTCCTCTCTAACAGAAAAGAAATCTTACAGCATGAAGAATAGGAAATGTTGTGCTATGTGGCAGTTAAATTGATTCCCCTTTATTAACTGAAGGGAAAGGAACAGAAGAATTTAAATTTATAGACCAACCAACAAGAATTGCGATGCAGATTAATCAAAGTCAAAAAGCCAAGGCAGTCTTTCAAAGGATGAATGCAGTACTCCAAGGCTAAGAAAAGCCTGATAGGCAGGCACTAGGGTAAGCACCAATGAAACATAGGACTGGAGTGCTGCTGAGTCCTCCCAAGCACAAGTGCCAAAAGAAATATTAAGGATGATTGCAGCTGAGTACAAAACAGGCACTGGGCCAAACACTGCTAAAACGCAAAACATGTTGGACAAGCCTGACCCTAATAAAAAGGTAGGCAGAACGTGACATAGGGCTCCAGCACAGGCCTCTTTTACCTTAAGTAAGCAATTATGCATCTGGCTCTGAAGTTGCCCATGATAATTATAGAAGCAGAAACTTGATAAAGGCATTTGGGAATAGGAATAAGAAACTGAATTTTTAAGCTCCCAAGAGGTGATTATAAACATATCTCCTTGTCATGTACTTTAGCAGAAGATAAAGTAATAATAGCTTGAAAAATGAAGGCTGATTGTGAAGCTAGGATCCATCCACTCAGTAGATGTATTCTTCCCAATGAAGTGTAATAGTTCCAATAAATTCATTTGGGTTGACTTGGGGAATTTTTAAAAAATCACTTAAAATATGTGGTTACCTCTATAGAGTTTATTTACCTTCTATTTCCTTTCCCTTTATTATATACACCCAGGGGAATGAATAAGATTAACATTCTCATGTTTAGATGAGAATACTGATTAACTGGCTTAACGTATTCATTAAGTATCTCATTCATCATTGTATCTCACTATACAATCCTTAGGATTACCATTATAAATCAGCAAAATTACAAGTAATTAATATCTTGGATTTCAGGTGACTCTAGAAAAAAGGAAACCCTCTGTTTAAGACTGAAAGGTCCACAGTTACATCACTTACTACTATAAAACTAAAAGATGATTTGTATCAAGAAGAGAGAAAGAAGATGGAAAGTCTTCAATTATTTTTAAGTCAAACGATGTACACTCCAGGATGAGAGTTCCTGGAAGGCTGAGAGTAAAATGAGCTAATGTTGCAGCTTTAGAGAAAGCCCAGGTATACCCGAAAAGCTCCTTTTGTACTCAGACGTTCCACCCTTTAACCAATATCTAAAACTTCCCCCAGGACTATTCCTAGGGTATCATGACTCAGGGATTATCCTGAGATTTAGTTGAATTCTTCTTTCTAGATCTGTCAGTGATTCATAGAGGCAGTTAGCAGGAACTGAAGATACCAGGCATAATTTGGATATTTGTTCCCTCCAAATCTCATGTTGAAACTTGATCCCTAATGTTGAAGGTGGGGCCTAGTGGGAGGTGCTTTGGTCATGGAGGCAGATCCCTCATGAATGACTTGCTGCCCCCTTGTCCCCATCCCACAGTAATGAGTGAGTACTCCCTCCATTAGATCACCTGATAGCTGGCTGTTTAAAAGAGCATGGCACCCCTCCCCCCTCTCTCTCTTTTTCCTTCTCCCTGGCCACCTGATGTTTGCCCCCCTTTCCCTTCTGCCATGCGTGGAAGCTTCCTGAAGCCCTCAGCAGAAGCAGATGCTGGTGCCATGTTTCTTGTACATCCTGCAGAACTATGAGCCAAATAAACCTCCTTTCTTTATAAATTACCCTGCCCCAGGTATTCTTTTATAGCGATGCAATACACTAAGACAATACCCAAGATTCAAATGCATGCACGCAATATGTCGTTAAGCTTCCTTCTAAGAGCCATATGAGATAGGATCATTTACTTAGCAGGGCTCATTCTCCATCAGTTCTTACACAGACTTGTCAGTGATTCTCATGTCTTCTCTTTTCCCTCACCACTCTTGTTGGTCATTTTATTTTTTTTTTTTTAATTTTTATTTTTTGAGACAGAGTCTCACTGTGTCACCCAGGCTGGAGTGCAGTGGTGTGATCTCTGCTCACTGCAGCCTCTGTTTCCTGGGATCAAGTGATTCTCCTGTCTCAGGCCCCTGAATAACTGAGACTACAGGCAAGCACCACCATGTCAGCTAATTTTGGTTTTTTTTTTTTTTTTTTTTTTTTAGTAGAGTCATGGTTTCACCTCATTGGCCAGGCTGGTCTTGCACTCCTGACCTCAGGTGATCCACTTGCCTCAGCCTCCCAAAGTGCTGAGATTACAGGCGTGAACCACTGCACCCGACCTTGCTGATCATTTTAAACTCAGTTCACCAGAACAAAATGTGGACATGAGCATTAGACTAGCTAGCCAGCCATTGAATCCTCCTAGAGAAAGTCAGCTTCCTGCATTGGTAGAAGACATGAAATTTATTCAGAAGACAGTAGAAAGTACAGTGGAGCCCAAAGGAAATTACAATGTTATTGATAAGCCAACTGGAAATTTTGGCTTTGCTGACATATCAATTTCCATTCAGAGATTTTAACATCTTAACAATTATCACTTAACTATTTCTCTTTCTAAATAGGCAATTTCACGCATAGTATGGTAACATGTACTCAGATATCTTCAATTTTCTTATAGTTTTTGCTTGAACCAAAAAGCTATAACATTTTATTATGTTGATATATTAATTCTTAACTTGGCAAATTACAACCAAGAGGAATCATACATAATATCCTATGGATTTTTCATTCTCTTCTCGTTGGATTCGGGAGCTTAGGAAGATCTACTTAACAAACAATTGCTGTGAGGTGAACAATGCATTTTGAATGTCAAAGAAAAAGAAGTCAGAATTGAAAAAGGCAAAGAAAATATTTTTATTAGTCTGAAGCAAAGTAAAACTCTCCCCATTATGTATTTACAATAGCAGTATTTAATACAGGTAACAGATTGAGCTTTAGGAGTGATCATGCTAGAATCTAGCTGTTGTTAGCCATGTCTAAATACTGTCATATCAAAGTCTTTACTTAGTTAATTATTTATTATACTTTCAGATTTTTATTGTAAAAACGTATTATTATATTTTGCATCAATTTTTGAAAAAAATTGTAGACTTACAGGGGAGTTGCAAAAATAGTGCAAAGAGAATTTTCCTGAACCCATATCCCATCTTTCCCTGTTTGTTAACATCTTTAAAAACCATAGGACATATGTTGAAATTTAAAAATTAATCTTGTTACAGTATTGTAAAATAAAGTCCAGAACTTATTCAGATTTCACTGGTTTTTCAAATAATGTCTTTTTTTTCTGATCAAAGATTTAATTCAGAATCCCATATTCCATTTAATTCTTTGTCTCCTTGATCTCCCTCATTCTGTAACAAATATTAGTTTCTTCTCATATTTTGTGATCTTGATACTTTTGAAGAGTACTGGTTAATTTGTTTTTTTGTAGAATTCGCCTCAGTTTGGGTTTTACTGATGTTTTCTTGCTCTTAAATGTAGGTTATGGATTACTGGAAAGTATACCACAGAGATGATGTGCTGTTTTTTCCAAAAGCATTGTATTAAGTGGTACATAATGTTCATATGCGTTAATGGTGATGTTAATCTCAATCATTTGCCTGAAGCAGTGTCTTTTAGAATCCTCTGCTGTAGTCACTGTTTTTCTGTTTGTAATTACTAAAAGCTTTGGGAGAGATATTTTGAGACAATACAAATATCTTGTTTATGCTTAAACTTTCACCCACTCATTTTATTATCTAATGAATGACCTCATTTGTTGTAAATATTACTATGAGGTTTAATGGTGATTTTATATTTCTCTCATTTCTTTTATATGTGTTAACTGGAATTCTTCAATAAAGAAGAGCTGTTGCTCTTTCTTTGTTCATTTATTTTATTAACTTATAAATATTATTTTATTTTTTGGAATGTAATCAATGCCATCATTATTTATTTTATTTTCAGTTGTTTCAACTTTGACCATTGGGGACTCTTTCAGGCTGACTTCTGTGCCCTTTTGATATGTTTCTCGTCATTTTGTTTATTTACTTTGATTTTCCATATCCTTTCTGGCACTGCAAGATACTGTAGGCTTTTCTTGTATTTTTCCTGCCACAGACCTGGAATCAATCAGTTCTCCAAGGAGCCCTGGTTCCTTTTATTGGAAAGTGGTATTTAGAAATCAATATCTGGGTGTTTAGTGTGTTCATTGCTACTGGGCCAAAGGTTTTCATTATTGAGTTTTGATGAAAATGATGTTGCTCAAAAATCATTCCTAAAATATCTCAACTCTCAACAGAAATTATGGAATATGATGAGATTTTAACGTAACACTTTCTAATGAGAGTTAATAGATGCTGTGCTTTGGTGGGTTTCCATTGTCTAATAATCACAGCACATTAACAACACATCCCCTCTCTCAGAGATTCACTATGCTAAATAAACTTGTTTTCCTTTGTTAATCCAATTACATCTAAAGTTATTTAACTTTAATTTTTTTTTTCACAATACTACTACAACCATCAAGCAGAAGAGTCAGGGTCAGTTGAATACCAGATTAGGAAACATAATTTTAAATAAAGATTTCCTCTTTTAAATGTTTTCACTAGTTAACGAGTTACAGGATATAAATTACCTTGCTTTTGGCTCTTCATGTGACTAATCGAGCACAATCATCAAGAATAGCTTCACTGAAGCCATTGAAAACTAACGTTGGAATAAGGAGCCTTTGCATTGTCTTCTGGTTTTCTCATGCATTCCTTTGCCCCCAGACATCATGCATGTGTGCGTGTACACACAGACACACACGCCCCTACATACTTTTCTTTCTCCTTCTCCCTTTCTTTCTCCTTTTCTTCCTCCCTTCCACCCTTCCTGCCTGCCTGCCTTCCTTCCTTCTTTCCTTCCTTCCTTCTTTCCTTTCTCTCTCTCTTCTTTCTTTCTTTTCTCTCTTTCTTTCTCTCTCTTTCTTTCTTTTCTCTCTCTCCCTCCCTCTCTCTCTCTTTTTCTTTCTATGAGATATATTGACAGCGTTTCTGATCCTCATAATATAATCCTGGCTTGAAAACTGCAATTTTCCAGTATGAGGAATAACACTATTTCTAAAGCCAACCTATTTTTTAAAAGTGAGAACTCATCTTTTTTATATTCTAATGTGTCCTTTTGTTGGTTGTTGTATTCATGCAGCATTACTTTCTTATTTTTCTCATGTCTCTCTTGTGTATACAATAGTTTTCCAGGATTCTCCTGCTTTGTGATTTATCCATGAATGTCCAAGCACTGTCTCTTTATCTTCTCCTCTTCATGTCAAATTAGACTCTTGACTTTGTATTTAAGATGGTGTAGTTACCTATTTGGAAATCAGTGCTTTTCATATTACCTGGTTTATTTATTAGAAAAGAGAAATCTATTGAAGAAAAATGATTTAGGATATAAGGATATATTTTATAGCAACAAACTCAACTCACCATGAAGTGTGGATTATTTCAAATCATTATCAACAAAACTATATAATTAAACGAGCAAATCAGCAGCACCACCAACAAAACAACTAACTCTTAGAGTTGATCAGAGTTATCAAAATCGTAAACACACATACACACTCTTTCATGATAGAAGACCTAGAGTTCTTATGCAACATTTACTTGTGCAACCAATATTTACTGAGCACCTAGTATGCCAAACAATATACTTACTAATGGACATTCAAACTTAAATATGATATAGCTCTAGCCCTCAAAGATTACAGTCAAGTGGTGGGAAATGAAATGTAAGTCTAATTTTGATCTGGTGTAAATATAATAATGTTACACGAAATTAGGGGAGTACAGAGAACAATCATCTAATACAAAATTATTCAGTATATTAGTCAGCTCTGGCTGCCATACCAAAAGATGACAGGCTAGGTGGCTTAAACAACAGCAAGTTATTTCTCACAGTTTGGGAGGCTGGAAGTCTCAGATCAAGGTCCAGTTGAGTTTTGCTTTTAGTGAGGACTCTCCTTCTGACTTGCAGACAGCCACCTTCTTGCTGTGTGCTACCATGACACACAGGGAAAGAGAAAGAATGCTCTCTTATATTTCTTCTTGCAAGGATACTAATGCTATCAGATCAGGGCCCCATATTTTATGACTTCATTTATCCTTCATTACTTCCTTATAAGGCCTTATCTCCAAATACAGTCACAGTGGGGATTAGGGCTTCGACATATGAATTTTGGTAGAAACAGAAAAATTCACTCTATAACACTCAAACTTCTTGAAAATGTTAATTCTTTTTTAAAATAAATGGTAATTATGTATTTTATTAAGTTTAGGAGACATGAATAGGGAAGAAAAATTGAGTATTTTGTTCATGTAAATATATCCATTAATTACTCATGTCAATAAAACATTTAATTCATTTAATAATTTTAATTTGTAAGGCACATTCACTTTTTTGTGGTTGTTGTTCTACCAACAAGATTGAGGCAGCTGGGCCAATATTATTGCACTTAATTTTCAGATAAAAGGCACAGGGATATACTGCAATTTGTACAAAATTGCGCCATGCATTCACAGTGAAACTTAGATAAATTACTGGTCCCATCCTATGATATTTCTTAATAACCAATAAAGCTTAAGTATAGGAAATATTTAAAATAAAAGATAAAACAAAAGGCATCATATATTCCTTGGTGGTTCAATGTCTTCTCTAAGAAAATAATTATTCACTTCTGGCTTCTAATATGGCATGTGAAGAGCTTAGAAATCGTTACTTCATCCTATCAACAAGTAAAAGGCTCAAAAGACAGAAAAATCAACAATCCTTCTTAGATCTATCAGAGAAAGTCTTCAGAGAAGTAAAATGATGTAAGTTAGAAATTTGGAAGGAATACTATGTATTTGATTCCCATAAATGTGATAATCTAGAAGAAATGGACCAATATCTTGAAAATCACAATCTGTCAAAACTCACACAAGAAGAAATAGACAATCTGAATAGGCTTATTTCTACTAAATAAACTAAACTGATAATTAATAACTTCCTAAAACAGAAAGCACCACAACCAGATGGGTTTGTTGGTAAATTGCACTGAACATTTAAAGAAGAAACAATTGTCCACAATTTCTTCCAGAAGATGATAGAAGCAGAGAGAATACTTCCTAACTCATTCTATGAGGCTAGCATTAGCTTACTAACAAAATCAGACATTGCAAGAAAAAAAAAGCTACAGAACAATATATTTTATGAAGATATATGCAAAAATCCTCAACAAAATATTAGCAAACCAAATCCAACAATGTATAAAAATAACTATACACCATGACCAAATGAGATTTATCCCAGGTTGCAAGGCTGGTTCAACATTTGAAAATCAACTAATATAATTCATTGCATCAACAGACTAAAGAACGAAAATCACATGATCATGAGAGTAGATGCAGAAAAATATATTTGACACAATTCAACACCTGTTCATAAAAAAAAAAAAAAACTCAGCAAATTAGCAATAGAGGGGGAACTTCTGGCTTAGGGAGAATGTATAGGAAGTGTTAGGCAGGGTATTGGGACATTAAGCTAAGCAATTTTTCAAGAGCAGATAACCTGCTACTGAGAAAACTAAGACGCAGCCCGCTTACTAAGAGGATAAAATAAGGTGAATAGAAAAGTGCAGTTCAGAGAATGCATGAAAATCAGGTATCCCAGTCAGTACTTGAGCCTAGTTTTCTTCTCTTCTCACAGTCTACTTTCTGTGTATGTGACCTTATCCTTATTCATGGCTTTACACATTGTCTACATACCAATATTGTGTATACCTCCACATGACTTTTATTAGACACAGACCCAACTACCTTCTTGATTTCTGCACTTGACTACCCCACAGGCTTTTTAAACTTAACACCCCAAACTGAACTCATTACCTCTTCTCTCTTTTCCCAACCAGATCCATCTCTCAGTGAATGACAACTTCATCAAAATGATGCTCCAATTATAATAATTACTAAAATGTTTGATAATTTAATGTTTGCCAAGTGATGTTTTAAGTGCTTGATGTCATCAGCTTCTAGAACCAAAACAAACATAATCTTGTTTTAAACAACAATGGGAGCCAAGATACTTTCCTGTGGCTGGTGTTTCCAAGCACACATTCCATTTGTGTGTGTGTGTGTGTGTGTGTGTGTGTGTGTGTGTGTGTGTGTCTGGAAATTTAAATGTTTTTCCAAATCTCATATCCCAAACAAAACCTGTCAAGAAATTAGGAAAACTATAAAACTACTATAATTCTGCTACTACAATTAAAAGAAGTAGAAAGTGGTTTGACAAAACCCATTGATGTCACATTGAAAGCAAGAGCTGGGTGCACTAACACTCAGAGTTGGAGAATAAGGCTGGACATTTCTGGGAAGAGATGTTGATGATCTAATCACTCAGGTGTGCTCATAGTTGTTGCTGTGTCATAAGTGTGTTTTCATGGTCCTGTCTGCTGCTAATGGTGAGTCCTTCTTATAAATAAAATAAATATTAATAAGTCTACATTGTATATTTTATACAAATCCTATCTGTGGTACTCCAGGAAGTAACAAGTTTTAGAAGAAATATAAGTCCTTAAATTGACAATTTAGAAATGTGATTATGTGATTATGCCATTATCTTTGCTGAGAGAACAGAATGTTAGGTTATTTGAATACTACCTGAAAGTATACACCGGTGATTTTTTGGGTTTAAACACTTGCTTTAGCCTACAGTTATTTGTAAATGCCTTAAGAAGAGATGCAAAGAGAAGCTGATGATTATATTGTCGGAGACTACTCTGATATGAACCCAAAACAGATATAAAATCCAAAGTAACAAAAGCAATATTGATTTCCACAGCAAGCCAAATTTAGGCAAGCACAAAAAATATTTTCATAGTTAAAAAACAAGTTTACATGAAGCAACATACACTCTAAGACCTATCTTGAAGATAACAATGCTTGTGTGCTCCAAAATTTCAGTTTAAGAATACCATTTAAATATTAAATATTTGCTTTTTAAATCTTAACATTATTATTTGGCATTTACTTTGTTTTAATAATTTCTTCTTTTATGAAATATCTCTATCAAGTTAGAGATCAATTTGGATGTTATTGAAATATTTAATCTTGTCATAATATACTGGTTTAAGATTAGAGCATGCACTTTCATTATTCTTAAAAATTACATGAAAATTTTAGTATAGCCTAATCACAGAAATAATTCAGTTTATTATAATAACATAATTATGTAAAACATGTAAATAAATTTTCATGAAAAACAAGGTATAGTAATGTTTTTAAGAATTCCCAGGAGGGCGTGGTGGCTTATGCCTGTAATCCCAGCACTTTGCGAGGCTGAGGCAGGCAGATCACAAGGTCAGGACTTCGAGACCAGCCTGACCAACATGGTGAAACCCCATTTCTACTAACACTACAAAAAATTTAGCCGGGTGTGGTGGCACACACCTCTAATCCCAGCTGCTCAGGAGGCTGAGGCAGGAGAATCGCTTGAACCCTGTAGATGGAGGTTACAGTGAGCCAAGATTGCACCACTGCACTCCAGGCTGGGCAACACAGTGAGACTCCATCTCAAAAAAAAAAAAAAAAAAAAAAAAAAGAATTCCCAAGAATTTCTGAATTCCAATTTCTCATTCTTGAATTCGGAATATTAACATCTTACAGGAACTTGAAAACATTACCTGTTAAACTATTCTGGAATAGCAAGAGTTTTCCACACATGTGTTTAAAAATACTGAGAAAACAACAAAAACTAGCTCTTGCTCCTGGAAGATAAGACCAAATTAAACAAAATAGTTAACATTTCAAGAACAACCACTGGTTGGTTGATCAAGGTTAGCCCTCTTCCTTGTTAGGCTGGTCAGTCCAAAGCTGTTATGTCACACACATTGTGCAATCCCAACTTGGTTCTCAACTTGCACAACTCACCTAAAAATCACTCAATTCAGGCCCTGAAATTATATAAATATCCTCTTCAGGCAACCTTGTTCTGAGAAAATACTAAGATTGGTCAAGGTGATATTCTCCCTACTGTGATAAGTCTACTAAACTGAGTTTTGTTTGATCAAAATATTTTTTTGGTAGTGTTTTGAAGATCAGAAGTTGACTGCTATATAATATTTGCATATGCATTAGGAAAGAACTAACATAATTCTCATTCTATCCGTGAGTATTGAGGCATAGAGAGGTTAAATAACTCACCTCATGTCTCACAGATCAGTGGAAGAGTCAGGATTCCATACAATTTATCTTTTTCTATCATGATCTATCTAGTCCCCTAAAACACGTTGAATTTTTTTCAAACTATAGCTCAATTTCACCCATTTGCTTGCAACTCTTTCCCTTTGACTCACATAATTATAATATTTTACTTGAACTAGTGCAATTATCTGTGAACCGATCTTACTTCTAATCTTGCCCTCCTTGAAATCGCTCTCTAGCAGCCAGCCAGAATGTCAGAATCATCTTTGAATTTGCAAACTAGAGACTAGCTTCCTCTACTTAAAACATTTTCAGTGGTGGTCTACTGAATATACAATTGACAATAAAAACAAAATAAGAAACACACACACACACGTATATCACACTATAAAATCTAAATACTTAGCAAGGTCTCCAAGCCCTGCTTTAGCTGACATTTGCTACCTCTCCAGGGCTATACCTTACTAAACCTTTATAATTTTCTCTCCTTCCAACAGAGTGATTTTCTTTCATTTCTTCAAATATATGGCTTCTCTTTCTTATCCCAGAGTTTTGCACAAAATTATTCTTCTGCTTAGAGTCCCTTTACCTTCTAGGTCTTTTAAAATCACTCATATCTTATCCTTTAGGCCTCTGCTCTAAAACTTTTCCAGAGATTATCCACATAACTTCAATATCTAAATCAGGGGCCCTTGTTAAAATGCAATCAAAATGTTACCTTTCTGTGATAACATGTGTTACAATTTACCATTATACCTTTATTTTAGTGACTATTTAATCCATATTTTTATTCCACAAGACTATCATTTCTACTAAGTCTGGTGGTAAGATTTTTGTTCATTACTGCTGCTATAGTTTGGATGTTTGGCCCCTACAAATCTAATGTTGAAATCTGATCCCCAGTGTTAGATGATGTGGGTACCTAGAGGGAGATATTTGGGTCATGGGAGCTGATTCCTCGTGAATGACTTGGTGCCATTCTTTCATGAGTTCTCACTCTATTAGTTCCTGGGAGAGCTGGTTGTTAAAAAAGAGCCTGGCTCCTCCTACCCCCTCTCTTCTTGCTTTTTCTCTTGCCCTATAATCTCTGTACATGACAGCTCCCCTTCACCTTCCAACATGAGTGAAAGAAGCCTGAGGTCCTCACCAGAAGCAGATGCCAGAGCTATTTTTCTTGTTCAGCCTGCAGAACTGTGAGCCAAATAAACCTCTTTTCTTTATAAATTGCCCAGCCTCAAGTATTTTGTTATAGCAATTCAAACAGACTTATACGACTGTATTTTCGGTATCAACACAATATTGCTACCTAAAAGCAATGTAGTCACTAATAGTTGAATTGATAAATAAATACATGAATGAATGATAGCATACAAGAATAAAATTTCGGAGACTACTAAAATGCTGCCCTAATTTATCTAGGGTAAAGGTTAAGGCTGTATAACTGCTAGTTGGAAATAGCAGTGCTTCTAGGTCAATGGTTTTCAACCCTGGCTGGGCTCTATAATTATATGAAAACTTGAAAAAAATCATTTATCAGATACCACACAACAAGATTAAATAAATGTTTTGGAGAAAGGCTCAGACATCAAGAATTTTAAAATAATTTCCAAGTCAATTCTAATGTGGCTAAGATTGAGAACCATAGTAAGGAGCATGGAAAACTAGATATTCCCCAGAATCATGAACACTGGGTATGCTAAAACCATATTTTAGTTCTTGGAAGGTCATAATACAAATCAAGAGGACATTTAGAATACAAAGGTGAGTTATATGTATCCCACATTTTACTTGATATCTCTATTCTTCAAATTATGGCTAAAACATTGGCTGAAACTCCCAATTTCATGGCTTGTTAAACTCAGATATTGATTAAGATTTTACTACATCTCTAACCTTCCTACATTGCCTCTTCTTCCTACCCTTTGCTTCATACCTATTGCCCAAATTCTGTTCCACAAAATGCAGTATGAGCTTCTTGATTTCACAAGATACAATAAAAAATTCAACTAAGCCATACATTTTATGTATTTAAACTATCCAGAGATTTTGAGCATTGCAGAAAGCATGGAATTGTGCACTGCCAACATTTCATGCCCTGAACCCTCCTGAATTTCTTTCTTCTGATATTTTACACCTCCAGCCAAAGGCAGTCTCATTGAAAGGGTTAATGTACCTCCAGTCTACTGCATTATTTTGTTAGTACCATGAAAACTCTGGTAATACATTTTATACACACACACACACACACACACACACACACACACACACACACACATATTATAGTGCCTTCCTGAGAAACTAGTTTTAGCTCATTGGAAATTATTTCTGTCTCCTGTTGGTACATGAGATGAAGATTATTAACAGTTGCAGATTGGTATCTTTGGACTCATGGATGAACACTCCCTCTTTTTTGTTCGCTATGAAGGATTTGGAGGGATTTTTCTCTGATGGCCCTTTAATGGCCTGACTTTCAGGCTTATCCTGGAGCCCAAGGTAAGAAGAAATCTTCTTGTCCTTTCCTCCAGGTCAATAGTTTCTCATATCATGGAATCACAGCCAGCTGAAATACCATGTATAATCACTACAGAAACCCAGTGAGAGGGGCAAAGAGATGCTGGTAGATGTCTCTGGAAATGTCATAGGTTATATACAGCAGTTTAAAATTTGAAGATAATCCAGGAGACAGGCTTCTCAGCCTACTCCTCTGCCACACTTCTTCCATAATCAGAGATGTTCTAACCCCTCACAGTGGATATAAGCATCATCAGATGAGCACCTAGCCATATCTGCTGTATTCCTCCATGGATCTTGCCTCTTCCCTAGGGAATGGAGAGCTTCAGTTATTTTGATGTTGAAAGAGTTCAGCCCTCAGGTCCCTCCATCATTTCCCAACTTTCATTTTTGGAGGTCCAATAGGGAGAACTTCTCATTTTCAGATTGTCACCTGATACCAGACTACCAGGAGATCTTCTTCTTCTCTTTCTCCTTCAACTTTCCCACCCATCCTGAGGTTTTGGGTTTCTAGGAGTATCTACCAAACTTCTCATAATTGTCTCCAGATTGGAAGCATGTTCATGAATGTGGTCACTAAACTGTGGCCCAGGTTTGTACTGAAGAATTCATTAAGCAGATATGACAACAGACATATTTCCATGCCCTGAGAGCCCCCTGTTAGGAATTTGACATGAATTCCTTCCTACAGTAACTCCATGACCCTCAACATAAATTCAGTGTTTTTTGCTAAAATCATGCTCTTAGATATTATTCCCTAATGGAATGTAAAGTTTCTTCTCCTTCGACTTTCTACCAAAGTTGCTTGGTTAACAGCCACAATTTGGAACTAGATGATGGAAATAGAGAGCAGCCCCAGCCCTCTTGGTTTCCCTAGAAAAGCATGACTACACGCTTTTCTACATATCATTCCCAAAGCAGCCACGTATTCACATTAGCCTGATTTTGAAAAATACTATCTCGGTTTTTTGATTTCTTGAAGTGTCTTGAATCTTTGTGCTTAAGCAGAACTTTTCTTTCTTCTGTTAATGTTAACTCATCTTCATGTGTAAAGCAATCCACAAAATGAAAGCTGTTGTTTCTGAACCCTTTCTTTTTTCATTTAAAAATTGGCCTCACTTTATAATGCATTCATAAAGTTTGGTCTTAAGGTGTTCACGGCAAATGTCTCTTATAGCTCTTTTAGCCTTCATGGTTTCTCCATCACTGTTGTTAGGCTCTGAAAACCCTGTGTTGCCTCACACCCAGACCTGCCACCATGTGTTCTCTCTTTAGGAGACCAATATGAAATGAGGCTGGCAAAAAATTACTCTTTGCACCATGTGGTGGTTATTAGAGAATCACAGTAAATTGTGATACATGTGTGAAATTACTTACTGAAAATACAGATCAATCTCAGAGGAGAAATTTAATATTAGGAGGTAACAATGAATTTTCAACTTAGTTTGCATTTTTCTTTTTTTCTACACAGACATTTTAAAGCTTGATCTTTCTAAGAGTAGTACTGGAGACTCTGTCCATAGTTTTTCTGTGTTCTTCCTGCTTTCAAGTATGTTCCCTTACTCATGTTTAGTTTACATGTAAACTTCTAGTTGAAATTATCACAAAATGAAATCATGGACAAATTGAAGGCCAATAGTGAAACGAAACAACTTTGGTAGATGGCCTACTGCAGAGAGACAAAAGAGAATTTGGAGTTTTAAAGTCTGTTACAGATACTTCACCTAAGAGGTGATACATGTGTTTAAAGGTCAGTTATCAAGTCCTGTGTTCTGGAGGTGGGGGCAGCAAGGCAGTTGAAACCCAGGAAAAGAATAATTGACTACATTACTCTTTTCTAGTCAACATAATCAAGGAAAAACAGACTCTGATGAGACCAGTACTGATGCAGGGAGGCTCCCAAAGAGACATTCATTCTGTCCAGAGGAAATACCTTTGCTAAAGATATTGAGCCTTTATGGTAGGAGGAGGATATAACTGATTATATATAGGTAAAGATCTAGCTTAACAGACTTGGGATACTTAAGGCAAAGGAGGAACATCCCAGACACTAACATTCTTCCTATGTAAAACCTACCTTAAAACTGCTCCTGGTAAGCTTGCAATCACTAGCTCATTTATTCCTTCAGGTTTAATGTATTCTTTCTATCCTAATTGTGACCATGAATTACCCTCTGCCTCTTTGGTACCTTGACTTTAATCAAAGTATTTTTCAAAATATCACTTGACTTAACCTTCTCATCATTGTAGGTTAACACTGACCACATGTAAGTTAAAATTAAGTTTATCAACATGTCTCGAGTTATATATACACTCTATCTCTACATTTGTATTAATATTTCTCTTTTGATAGATGGATATGTGTGTGTATATGTATACACACACACACACACACACACACACGCACACACATATATATATATTCTTCCAAACTATATTTTATGATAAAATTTCTCCACAATGATTTTTTGTACTAGTCATCACACATGCTGGGTTTTATATTCTTTTTTGTAAATATGTCTTTAGGCAATTCACATGTAATTTGTTTAGTCAATGAGTTTCTTGTCACATATATACAAAGGTCTTTTATTCAAGATCAGATTTTTACAAAAGATTTTTCTGGTGGAATATTTGTGTACTTTGTTAGCCTGAGACCTAACATAAAACCAGTTTTTCTTACAATGAAGAGTTAAATAATGTTTGCTCTTAGATTATTTTACTGCCTGTACTATATAATGGACCTACTGCTTTGGCATGATGATTCACTAAATATTTCAACTTTCCTTGAAGTGATTTGAGGATTTTAAGCCACAGGAAGCAGATGCTTTGTCTTTAGGCATAATGTTCTTGGAATGAGAATGTTTATTTTTATTCTCAGTTACTGATTATATTCTGTTACTGATTAATATATTGTTTCATTTTATTTTTTATCATCTTCTTGATGATCATTGCCATTAAATGATAATTATTAAGGGTTTCCATTTGGAAGTTTACAAGTATTTAGGCAAAATTCTTTGGCTATTCCCCCTATTCTCAAGAGGTTGAAGTATATAAACAGATGGCATTTATTTCTATGGCAAATAGCAACAAGAAAGTTATACAAGGAACAGGAAAAAAGGATTTAACAATCAAATGATAACTATTTAGGGCTCCTATGCAAGTGTTGCATAGACTGGAAATAGGACATATGTGGTAAGTGGTAAAAACAGATTTTTCTAATCCAAGCAAGACTTTGGTGTGAATATTTTAATCTGTTCTAATTGACACCAGTTTCCATGATCTAATGGGCATTGTGTGATCCACATTGGTCAGCTGAGTGAGAAAGCCAAAGTGACTCCATTAACTGTGCCAAGGCTCCTCCTCTGGATGGAGAAACATTATCAGATAAGTTTTATTACAAATATATTTTGAGAAAGCTTTGGAAAGAAGAGGATATTTTAGGTACAGAGGCTACTACTTGAATAATTGAGCCAAAGAAGGTACAGTGAATCATTTTGAAGTATTTGTTCTGTTCAGGATGATTCTCGATTGACCTTAGCTCTCCAAATGGGGAAAACCAAAGCCACATTAGTATTTTATGAGCACCTGATCACATGACATGGACCAAGAGTGGAGATTTAAATAAAATGAGGAAATTGGCATTTCTTTTCCAGAAAACTGAAGTTAGCACTAAGATTATCTGTCCTTTCATTTTGTGATATTCATAACACATAAACTTGTGAGTCACCGAATGACCATCCCATGCCTTCCAGGTAGATTGAGTATCAGAGAAAGTTCACAGGGGAAGAGAAACCCCAAACCATAGAGACTGGAGACTGCAGATGAGAGAACAGTACTACTTCAACTGCCTGATATCTTTGCATTTCCAGGTTTCATTCTTCTTTTATCTGACCACACTTCTTTCTTTTTATTTCATGAAGAAAAGTAGGGTTTGTTTCTTATAACAAAGAGTTTAAATATAAATATGGCACCGATGAATTAATTGACACAGGAAGAAAGGGAATAGGCCAGGAATCAGAAGAGAAAGAAGCATAATATATCCCTAGTTAGAGGTCCTATATTTATTTCTCATTTACTTTCTAAATGACTTTCTTTAAATGCCACTGCAGTTTGGTTCTGTCTTTATAACTATATTGGATATATGCAAATATTGGATTTAGGAAATCAAAGCTCTGTCTATATATAGATAGATATGGCAAAGAAACATTTTACTTAGCATTTTACACTCTGTACTGTGATACAATTAGACTTTGCAAACAACAGCAAACAAATGATTTGGCAAGGGAAACACAGTCTCATGTGCTTGAGCATCAGCATCAGAATCAGCTCTGGCTCCTGTCCTCTCTGTCTTCATCCTCGACTGCTCTGTTAAACATTCACTGAATGGGGTTTCCGAGTCTAAAATCTTTTGATTGCTTTTATTTGTATCAGATTACCTCTTAAGGCACTTTTAGTACTCTCTCTTGCTTGCACTGACAAGAGGCAGAACGTCAAATACATGGTTTGCAGACACTCAATGATGATCAAACCTTCTAGGATGAGAAGTAAAATTTCATGGAAGTCGTAGGATAACCCATCATTGTGGAATTTCACTGACTTGGGTTCAACATTCACCAGCAGTGTGATCCTGTGGGAGTTATTTAACCTTTCTGATCCTCAGCGTTCTCATCTGTAAGTGGGGATTATGATGTTCATATGATAGGCCTGTTAGAATTACAGCAAGGTAACACATGCAATGTGTAGGGCATGGATTCTGTCACATCATAGACACAAAGACAAGGCGTATTATTGTTAACTTGCTAGAGGGAAATCCCTTAACACTCTGATTCTTAATTTAGTCACGTTATTGATGACCGAAATCCATTTGTACTCCTTATGTACGCAGAAGCTTTCAAACTTTATTTCCAGCAGCAGAGCTACACTCAGGTAATAAGTCAGCTAAAGAATGTTTTTTTCCTTGAATGAATTATGCGTCTGGTGTGCTAAATTTTCTCAAGGCAGTCAACCATAAAAATTATATTATGTATTTCTGTTGTGTAACTTGTGTGAAAGTAGAGTTTGTCAAAACTGGCTGCTCAGCATTTAATGAGACCCTCCACTGCATTTGATCCCGAGTCAAGCTATATATAAGGAGGGTAAACAAGGAGGTCAGAGAAGGGAGCTCAAACTAAGGAAATCATGCTATAAATAATAAATGGAGAACTTTTAAAAACTAAAATAAAATTGGTAGAAAAATTCAACTAATTGTCATCTTTTTTTATAAGTGAATGGTGAGTTTGCTTTGTGTGTGCCAAGACCTAAAATTAAAGAATTTCATTTCCCTTGAAGTCCTTAATACTCTTTGGTGAAATATGAAGCAGATGTCTCTATGACCTCTACCTAATTGAACAGGAATGTCATGGGGAGGAGAGTCATCAATCTCTGGATTGTCTTGGAAAAAGGTCCTGAGGATTTTCATGTACACTGTTACATGTAGACTAAGTTAGAATATTACATAAAATTAAGAGAAAATATTATAGCACCCTGCTTTTTATGCATCTACATTTAGATGGATGGAGTTTACAATCAAGTGCATAACAATGAAGTTTTACTTTCTTTGTCTCTAATTCATTGCAATGTTAAATGGTATTTTATCCTGGAATTTATTAAAAGATATTTAAATATTCTGAGCTCATCTTGTTTTCCAGCCACCTTGATTTGAGTGTCAAATGCTCATCCACGGTCTGCTGATTGCTTGAAGACAGAGTTGCAGTGCATACTGCAGTGTTTCTGAGTGGGTTTCTGCCTTTTGTAATCATTGCAAATTACAAATACCATTTGCACAGAACATGTTGCACTGCATCAGGATGACCACCTGCTTGTCTACCTGACCTATTATGCTATGAGAGGTTATACTTCCTATTGCTTGTTGTATATTCATCATCTACAACCATTTTCAGCCTAACTCTTTAGTACATTACTGTATTAGCCCATTTTCATACTGCTATAACAAACTACCTGAAACTGGGTAATTTATAAATAGAAGAGGTTTAATTGTCTCACCATTACACATGGCTAGGGAAACCTCAGAAAACTTATAATCATGGTGGAAGGCAATGGAGAAACAAGCACTTTCTTCACAAGGCAGCAGGAGAGATGAGGGAATGGGAGTGAACTGCCAAATACTTTTAAAGCATCATTCACTAGAACAGCATGGGGGAAATGACCCACATTATCCAATCACCTCCCACCAGGTCCCTCCCTTGACATGTGCAAATTACAATTTGAGATGAGATTTGGGTGGGGACACAGAGCCAAACCATATTAATCCACCTCTGGATCCTCCCAGATCTCATGTTTTTCTCACGTTTCAAAACATATCATGCCTTCCCAACACACCCCCAAATTCTTGATTTATTCCAACATTAACCCAAAAGTCCACAATCCAAAGTTTTATCTGAGATAAGGCAAATCCCTTCCACCTATGAGCCTGTAAAAACAAAAGCAAGCTACTTACTTCCAAGATACAATGGGGGTACAGGCATTGGGTAAATTTTCCCACTCCAAATGGGAGAAATTGGCTAAAACAAAGGGGGCTACAGGCCCCATGCAAGTTCAAAATCCAGTAGGTCAGTCATTAAATCTCAGAGCTCCAAAATGATCTTCTTTAACTCCATATCTCACATCCAGGGCACACTGATGCAAAGGGTGGGCTCCCATGGCTTTAGGCAGCTTCTTCACAGGCTGCCATTGAGTGCCTGTGCATTTTCCAGGTGCACAGTGCAAGATGTCAATGGATCTACCATTTTGGGGTCTGGAGAATGGTGGTCCTCTTCTCACAGCTCCCCTAGGTAGTGCCTCATTGAGGACTCTCTGTGGGGGCTCCAACCCCACATTTCCACTCTGCATTATCCTAGTAGAGGTTCTCCATGAGGGCACCACTCCTGCAGCAGATTTCTACCTGGACATCCAGGCATTTTCACACATCCTCTGAAACCTAGGTGGGGGCTTCCAAAGCTCAACTCTTGTTTTCTGTGCACCCACATGCCCAACACCATGTGGAAGCCACCAAGGCTTGGGGATTGCACTCTCTGAAACAGTTGCTCAAGCTGTACCTTGGCCTCTTTTAGCCATGGCTGGAGATGGAGTGGCTGGGATACAGGGCACCATGTCTCAAGGCTTTACAGAGCAGCAGAGTCCTGGGCCTGGCACACAAAACCATTTTTTCCTCCTAGGCCTCTGGGCCTGTGATGGGAGGGGCTGCCATGATGATCTCTGAACTATCCTGGAGACATTTTCCTCATTATCTTGGCTATTTAACATTCAGCTTCTCTTTACTTATGCAAATTTCTGCAGCCAGCTTGAACTTCTCCCCAGAAAATGGGGTTTTCTTTTCTACTGCATGGCCAGGCTGCAGATTTTCCAAACTTTCATGTTCTACTTCCCTTTTAAACATAAGCTTCAATTTCAGATAATCGTTTTGCAAACACATATGACTGTATGCTTTCAGAAGAAGCCAGTTCACATCTTGAATGCTTTGCTGCTTGGAAATTTTTCCTGCCAGATAGCCTAAATTAACTCTCCCAAGTTCAGAGTTTCACAGATGTCTGGGGCAGGGGCAAAATGCTGCCAGTCTCTGCTTAAAGCATAGCAAGAGTGACCTTTGTTCCAGTTCCCAATAAGTTCCTCATCTCTATCTGAGACCACCTCAGCCTGGATTTCATTGTCCATATCACTATCAGCATTTTGGTCAAAAGTATTCAACAAGTCTCTAGGAAGTTCCAAACTTTCCCACATTTTCGTGTTTTCTTCTGAGCCCTTCAAACCAGTCCAACTTCTGCTTATTAACCAGTTCCAAAGTCTTGTCTACACTTTCAGGTTATCTTTATAGCAGTACCCCACTATCCCAGTAACAATTTTCTGTATTAATCCATTTTCATGCTGATATAAAGAACTGCCTGAGACTGAGTAATTAATAAAAAAAAGAGGTTTAATTGACTCACAGTTCCACATGGCTGGGAAGGCCTCAGGAAACTTACAATCATGGCAAAAGGCAAATGAGAAGCAAACACTTTCTTCACAAGGCAGCAGGACAATGAGCGAGAGAGAGGAGGGAAGTGCCACACTTTTAAACCATCAGATTATTTGAGAACTCTCTGACTATCATGAGAACAGCTTGGAGGAAACCTCCCCATGATCCATTCACCTCCCACCAGGTTTCTCCCTCAACACATGGGGATTACAATTTGAGATGAGATTTGGGTGGGGACACAGAGTCAAACCATATCAATTGCCTCATCATCACTTACCTGATTTGTTCCAACATCTTTTTCCAGATCACCTCACCTCTTATCTTGCTTTCCTCCATAACAGAGTGATCATTATAGCCAGCAAAAAGGGGTATCCCTTTTTTGCACAAATTTCTCTAGTAGTTACCTATGGTTTAGGGAAAACTAAAACAAATCTTGCATTGAAATACTATATAAACTTTGTTAATAAGAATGATTATCTTATTTTAAATTTATGCACTTCTTTCAATGGTGTTTTAGCAATGCGAAGCTTATACCTCCAGAATCTCCCACTTATTTTTCTCATATACAAGCTGGATGGAGAAGTAAATAGCAGAAAAATAAATTGATGATATATAAGCTGTGGGATAGCTCAGGACCAGAGCCCTGAAGGCAGTGTTCTAAGCATGGCCTGGATTACTTATTGCTAAAGCAAGTTTCTTGGTCCTAGCTCATAATCAAGCCTGGAATGGAGAACTCTTTCTGTTGTACTATGATACTGCCAACTTTAGTACACTCCCTGGTGATGTTTTTGTTCACTATGGGTAGAGAACCACAACCTTAGGCCATTCAATGGGTATTGGAATGGATTGCAGAAATAGAAATCTATGGTACTGAACTTGGTAGCACATGGAGGTCCTACATGTAGTATTCTGAAGGTTAATAACAAACATAAAAATTATCTGTGAAACTTCTGTAACACTTATCTGTGATCCATGTACTAAGCAATATTGTAAAATTGATTTCTTACTGTGGATTGTAGTCACAAAGTTTTGAAAGCCCTTGCTCCAGGGAAGTAAAATATGCAATATGTGAAACAATCTAATTCTAATATTTAAATGTAGATACTTATGCCTACTTTTAAAAAGGGTGAGCATAGGAATGGTCATATGGGTCAGTACTGAGTTGCATCCCTCTTGCATTAAGTCAAGGCCCAAGGGAAATGTACAAATCCTCACAATGCTGAATCCTGTGAAGCTATGGATCAAGGCTATGTTCCACATTCATTAGAGCCCTCAACGTGCATTATTTCCTATCTGTTCAGTCTGAAGCCTTCAAAAAATAAATATTTTGATGGAAAGTAGACTAGTAGGGTGACCAACTTATTCCTATTTTTCTAAGACTTTCCCCATTTTAGCACAGAAACTCCTGTTTCCTGGCAACCCCCTCAGTTCCAGGCAAACCAGGACAGTTGGGTTACTCTATGTGTAATGCAGTAAATCATCTAAGCTGTTTGTATTTTATTCAAACAAAATTTTACTTCCAATTCCAACATAAACCAGTTGCATTTGAAGCTGCTGTGCTCTAAATAAGGAGAGATGCCAAAGCCTTTCCCAATTAACCCAATGCTGTCATCATCATCCCTAACTCTTGTCCAAGGGTTCTATGAGGACATGTGATTACATCATAGCCTTCCTGCCTGTCTCTCTTATTGGCTAGGTTTTACTGATTATGATATTTTCTCTGATGCTAAATTTCCTCATCTGGAATATGAAAATCAATATTTTTAGGGTGGCTGTGATATTTAAATTTCTCCTACTTGAGGCCAACTTGATTTACAAACCACTTCTATGACAGTATGCACCATAGACAGTGAAATCTCTTCAGTGCTTTTCTCTGGAAAATAATTACAAAGCATAATCATACCTCCTAAGTTGCTTGCCTTGCATAGATTTATACAATAGTATTTAAAGACTGAAATTTAAGTAGCAAAAGCAATAGGAATACAAATGTCAAAAGAGTTGTAGCAGGTGCTTACATTTTAGTATCTTGATTTTGAGCAGTCTCCAATAGAAAGATCAGGGCTCTTTGTAAGTATTATACAGTAATGGAAATAAGAAATGACTAGACAGGCAAACCTGTGGCCAAATCATAGACTAATGGAAAGTCTTATATTATCCATAAATTCTAGAACTTTTGGTTTTGGTGCTGATATATGTGTGTTACTCATAACAATTGGGTTCTCAAAGGAAACTGGTCATTTCACTGTAACTGCCCTTTCAAAAATGCAGATGTTGTGGGTTAGTATCATAAACTTACAGATTAAAATATTGTTAAAGGCAAGGACTTAGAAATACAGATGGTCGCCAACATAGAATGGTTCCACTTAGGATTTTTTGACTTTATGATGGTGCGAAAGCCATATGCATTCAGCAGCAAGCACATTTCGAATTCTGAAGTTTGATCTTTTTCTGGGCTAGTGTTACATGATACAATACTCTTTCATGATGCAGGCAGCAGCACTGGGGCACAGCTCCCAATCAGCCACGTAATTGTAAGGGCAAAGAACACATGCTTTACACTGTTCTGTGTTGCCGGATGATTTTGCCCAGCTAAGGCTAATGGGAGTGTTCTAGGGACGTTTAAGGTAGGCTAGGCTAAACTGTGATGTTTAGTAGATTAAGTGTATTCGAAGTATTATGGACTTACAATATTTTCAACTTATGATGGGTTTATCAGGATATAACCCCATCATAAGTCAAGAAGCCTCTGTATGATTAACTGCAAAAAAAATTCAAAGTGATTCTTAGTGATTACAACTTCTTTAAAGAATTTTAATTTAATTGGAATGGTCATAATTTCAGAGTATACATTTATCTTTTCATGGATCAATATCATTTGTCTTGGCCTCAATGTTGTATATATGTCCATATCAAACTTGTGCTTCCTCTAAATTCTTTTTACACTCATAAAATTTATTTTAGACTAACACAAATTAAAATAACCTTGGCAGAAATATGTAATGCAGAGTATGGTTCATTCTGACTCTTGAAGGGGGAATATGAGAATGGTGAGAAAAATACTCACCATGGAATTAGCAATAATTTTAAACATTCTCCTCTTAGAAACATCTGGCTGAGGCCCAGACACTTTAGGCCTCCTTTTAAAATGGGAATTGATTCCTGGAAGGAAACCAACATTGTCCACAATAAAATCTATTGCTTTGTGAATGAATTGAATTAGTGTCCTCAATTGAATACAAGGAGAGAAGATAAACCTGTGACTATGAATATGCTCCACAATCTCATAGAATTTTGTCCATTTCAACCAAATGGTTTAATAACCTTCCTAATTAAACAAATTGTCAGCTGCAGGAACATGCTGAAGCTTGCCTAAAACTATTCCTTTGGATACAGTTTTGGGCCAAATTAATTTTCATGATAGTTCTTCCACTTGTGTGGCATTGATTGCAATTCATGGAAATGTGTGTATCATCTTTCAGCTCTGTTCTCAATGTTGTGTCTGAAAATGACTTTCCGTAGCTCTTCAGTATTCCACCAGGATTCTGGACAAAGAACGGTTAATCTGTGCCCGTTTGCAGACAGTCACCTGGGTTACTTTTCTCCGTTTCCTCTCTACTAACAGTAGCCTGGACAGTGAGTTCTGCAGTAATGAGATTTTCCTAGACAACCTGACTTGCTGGTGAGTCCCAAGGATGGGGGTAGGGGCATTATAATATTTTGGGTCTTCAATGTAGGTCGCCTTGATGGATTTCAAAAAGTGATCTCATGAAGGCAAAACATTATTAAGAATTATCTGTTCTTTGTTTTGAATATCCCAGGGTCTCTTCTTTAAAAAGATGACATCTAGATTTAGAAATGAGGGCAGCATGTCATTTCCTTGAAAAAGAATAAGGATCTGTACAGAGGTGAGTAAATTATCATGGTGGTAGGGGTGCACTAAAGGGAATATAATAGTGTTAGCAGAGAAAGCAAACATGTAGGCAGGGTGATGAATGTGTGGTTTATACAGTGAATCACATTTGGCTTTTGACACTGACCAGAATTCATTCTTCAAATAGACCAAGTTTTATCCATCAGTTATCTCTTTCTTTTTTTTTTCATAGGCCTTCCCCACCCCTCCTGGGCAACCCTGCTTCCTCAAACTTACACAGGGGAGCTTTAGGATAAGTTGAGATCAAATAACAGAAAACACAGAATGAAAACTAGAAATAATTAAACAGCTCCCTTTATTTTTTTTTAGAAAAATATTTTACTTACAATTTTACAGCTTCTCTTTTAATTATTTCTAATAGTATTCAAGGGAACACTATATTCTCTTGAAAATAAAACAAAATACAACTTACAGTTGTTCTATAATACTTTTATCCACACTTCGTTCTTTCTGTGTTTATTTCATGCTATGCAGCACTGGCTTCTCATACATAGGACCTTCAAAGTTTCACCTTCAGAACCACTTGCCCAAGACAAATTAGCACAGCAGGAAATGATAGTTGCTCTGAGTGACTCAAGAGGAAAAATATACATTATTTCTCTCTAATCTGCTGAAGCACATTTGACTTGATTCCCATGTCGATTTTCATTTTGACAAGACAGATAGCAAATGAAGCACAAAGGTATAGATTTGTGCATTTATTCCCATTTTCAAGGCACAAGTGGAGAAATCTTTCCTGGTTGATGACTTAAAGCATCCTGTCAGTCTGTTCTTAAGTATGAAAGTGTTCGGAAATCAGGATGCTGTAATATGCCATTGCAATATCCCGTTAACTCACTGGGCTGAGCAGTACTTTGAGGTGTCAAGGGCGAAGAACTCTAATTCAACTGCCAATGATTTGTTACATTTACCAATGAGACAAGGCACAATAATGCTGGAGGGTTAATTTTTAAAACTACCTTCGAGCTCAGGAAGAGTTGAACCCTTAGAGTAGGAGGCATAGATTTGTCATCATTCCTTGCCACTTCCTTTACTCGTTGGAACCAGGCATGCACTGGCAGACATGCTTCCTTGAGAGCTGAGCCTGGAGTCTGTGACTGGGAAAGGTTTTTGCCTTTATGAAGTCACATATATTGTCCTGACGTCTTATATGATATGATTATTTGGTTTTCAGGGAAACTTCAACCATCAAAAGGAAGGCATTGATTTATTTTCAGTATTATCATTATTATTATTTTTAGAAATTCTCCCCTTCTTCAGGCTAAGAAAAAATAAAACTGTTTTTGAAAAGATTTTAGACGTCCATGCATGGATGAATACATTTTTGAAATAAAAAAACAGAAAGGAAAAACATCAGATTTTGCATTTGGGAAGAAACATCCGTTGTTATTTTCTGAATTCAAAATCTACATTCCTTGGGTGATGGATACTGCGTAATACTGGATTTCATTCTCCACAATGTCTAAAACCACCATCTGGGGGTGAATTTTAATAGCAGTGTCATGTGCCATAGTTTTGAGATCACATGCCTTTGCTTTTTTATTTATTAACCACAGACTATAGTTATCAGTCTTAATGGTCATCTTGCTGTATACATGTGGTGAAAATTAAACTGGAGGGAAGGAGGATAACTGACTATGTGAAAATTGATCACAACTCCAAAAATCACCTCAAAATTATCAACTCAAATTGAAATTAATTTAACAAATTTCATTTACACTTTCATTATATATGAGACTTTAGCAAAAGCTTATGGAAAGATCAAACAATAAGACACAATGCCTGCTATTACAAAGTTGACAAAGTTGTAAGGGGCAAAAACAAGTATTCTCTCTTTCTCTCTCTCTCTCTCTCTCTCTCTCTCACACACACACACACACACACACACACACATATGCATGCAGACGCAAATATAAATAACAAGGTCAATTCTATTAAACAGGTATATACAGTATTTTGAGGCTATGAAAGAAGAGAAAATTATATGACTGAGAAACTATAAATAGAACATTAATTATGAGCAGATATAAATTATTCATGTGAATTTTCAAAACTTTAAAAAATTTTAGAACACATTTAGATTTACACAAATGTTTCAAAGACAGTACAGAGACACCCTTTATATCCAGATTCCCCCAATGTGAATATCGTTTATAACAATGGAGCATTGGTCAAAACTAAGAAATTAACAGGATATGCTAATATTAACTAAACCACAGACTTTATTTTCATTGACAGGTTTTTAAATAATGTTATTTTGTGTTCCAGGATTTAATACAAAATACATCATTGCATTAAGGATATAAATTATTTTAATTCATTATTGCATCCTTAATAGTGATCCTTGATAGAGGTGGTGAGGTAAGATAACATTGGGTTGTAGGATCAGAAACAACTAATTTCAAATTCTTCTTTTGCCGATTATCTCACCATTGTAACAGCAGTCATGTAACTGAACCTTTCTAGGCCCCAGGTTGGCTCAGTTTTGAAAAAAGAACAATAACAGTAGCAACTTCTGCATTGTTGTACTAGGTGAGGACATGTATTTAAAGTGTTTAGCTGGTGTCTGACCCTAACATTTAGTGATTGTTAGCAAACATTATGCTTGATTATATTGATCCACTTAAAAAATGAAATTGTGAAAGTAAAATGCTGCCAGAGATTTTAAAACCTGTATATGATGCAAGAATAGCAGTGCATTTTTACATTTCAAATTAACATTACGCGTATTAAAGCTGGAATAATAGTAAAGAGAAATTTTAGAGGAACTCTTGTCTTGATTTGGATAGTAAGAAGTGAATAAGAGTTGGATAGACAGGAGAGAAGGATAAGATATTTTAAGCGCACATGTAAAAGAGCGCACCGCAAATCTGAAGAAGGGGCAGGAGATAAGTTTAGCAATAAAAGTAGATTTATGAATATGATTAGTTAGGGGAAAGCTGGAGAGGAAATTGGGACCAGTTTTGATGGGCCTTGAATGTCAGGGTAAGAGGATTTGACTTGATTCTGTAGGCAACATGATTTCATAAGGTGGGCAGAAATTGTTTGCCATGGGATGGGTCTTTTTCAGAGCACATTAACTCTCATTAATAGCCTATAAGGGAGATACATAAAGTACTGAAAATATTTTTAGATGATATAGCAAGACTCCTGGACACATAGACAGGTACTGAATTAACACTTAAGTACTTATTCTCTGGAACATTTAAAAGTAATTTTTAGCTCTTATGCAATAATCACATGAAGCATTTCTGGATCAATTTTCATTTGGAAACCACCCACTTGGTTAATTGCAGATAAAATGTCAAAAATCTTTAACAGCTTATTGAAAATGATATTTTGGCCTATATCTGTGAGTTAATATGGGTTAATATGAGAAATGTTTGTCAAGATCTCTATTGGTATTGTCTCAGCCATGACTTTTGTATTTGTCATTTTAGGTGCAACTGGGTGATAACGCACATATTTCAAGATATAATATGTGTGTGTGAATATGCTTGACTATTAGAACCATAGTATAAAATAGTGAGAGGAAATTATAAAGAGAATTTCTTTGGACTTGGTGTCAAGAGGTTCATGTCCTGGCTCTATAACTTATATCATCCATGTGACGTCAACACATCTCAGGTTCTTTGAACTTTATTTTTTTTAAAGCTGTCAACTAGAATTGATAATATATAATAACAGCTTCTCAAACTTAACATAAGTGTCGAGTTAAATTTTAAAATGGGAGTATTTTGTAAAATGCAAATATTATTACAAATATCAGTCACTATTTTATGATGTTATTTCAAAATGCTAGATTTCTCATGTTTGGGGTCCAAACAGTGGAAAAATTTATATCTGTGAATTTCCTTTTATCTTAATAGTTTTAACTTTTACATCAGTTTTTCATTTATATTACAAAAGAGCCAATGGAACAATATGAATTTACCCTGAATGCTTTTTTTCTCTCTGTCCATTTCCAACTAAAAGTGCCATGCAGGTGTGAAATAACAAAGAAGCCAAACACTGGTGAAAGAAGTGAAATTAAAAGATTGATTCATCCAAAAAAGGTAATAGTTAGACTTCTTCCCATCGAGCTGACTGCAATATCTTCCCTTTACCTTCGGGTTCAAAACATAGCCCTCTTTGATGTCTCATAAACATTTCCTAATAATGTTCTCAAATGAGATAAAGGATTATAAATGAAGTAATGAGCCTCACCCATGAGGAGAATTGAAGAGCTCTTAAAGAAAATCTGCTTCTGAAGATACGGATTCTAGAATCAGGGAGTTGTCCCCAATTCCCAGAAGTTCAAACCCAGTGATTAGCACAGAAACCCAGAACGGATAAATGATTTGTAGAATGTCTCGGTTTTTGGTGAAATTTCTTCAGATGAATAAATGATTAAAATGGCTCAATGAAAATCACACACAAAAGGGTGAAATATAATGACCATCTGATCTGTTAAAAGGAAAAAGCTTTTAAACTAATCGATCTTTTCCACAACAATTTATGTCATAGCCTTTTAAGATGATCCCATCTTAAATGGGGAAGTGACAAAGAAATATACATCTAATATACTTGTTCAATGGATAGATTTTCAGTACCCTAAGAAAATGCATTTGAGAGCTTTCATTTTTAAAGGGGACTACACATTAGATGCTTGTGGATGATCTTATGATCTTATGTTTAGTTTTACCCTTGTTATTGCTAAGGGTTAGAAGGTAGGAAATTGAGACCAAGACTTTTTTCTTTGGGCTTGATGGGCAATTGTGTAGCAATCATTTAACCTCCCTGTGCTTCATTGATAGCATCTCTCAAAGGACTACACTAATGTATGTCACGCTAATGCTTGCCATCCATCTACTTCTTGGGCACATTACAAGGGTTAACTAATAAGGCTGATAAGCACTTTACAAATTCAAAGTACAAAGTAGAAGTGCTAAGTAAGCTAAATAAAAAGAAGAGACTCACCTGATGGTCAACCAATTTGAATTTTCAATGATTTATGGATTTAATGAATACTTTCTTCTACCTTTTGAAATAAATTAAAGCCATTTTAGTACATTTTAAAAACTCATTTCAGAAATACAGGAATGAACATAGTGTGCATCATTTCTAATATGAACAAAGATTTTGTATTACTCAGGTGTTTTCAAAATATACTACTGTTGTGTATCACTTTTTGAAGAAGTCATAAGTTTTTTTTTGTTTCTGCCCTTTTGCTGTGGTGGAATATGTCATAATGACAAAATAATAAAATACTCTAACTGGTGAGAAAACCAGAATGGCAAAGTACAAGTTTCCATTGACTTCTAGGGGGAAATATCTCAACCACGGGAAAGAAAGATAAACTCTAAGGGAGAAAGGGATTTATTCCATCTTGGTTTAATATTCAGTCCTAGTCATACCTACTTCAGCTGTCACGAAGAAGACTAATTAGTGCCAGTGGTGATGGGAGGTTTTGTGATGCCAACTTTTGTCCTTTAAGAACTTGATTAAACTTAAAATCATTTCCTATACTCTGCAAAACAGAATGTTTTGACGATGTCTCAGCCATGTCACAGATGCAACCATTTCTATCAAACTTTGACATTACAGTTACTGTTACAGTAGGTAGCTAGCCATGCATGAGTGGGGCAGGAGAGTGCTCCCCTCACCCACCAGGAATGTCAGCTCACCACCAGGTGATGGTCAGGCAGTTGTCACACTGCCTCTCTAAAAAATAATTGGTCTTAAGACAGTGCCAGGGAAAGGTAGTTTCCCAATAGATAAAAATACCTGTGATTGATAATCAGCACCTTTTAGGAATTGAGCGAGTGAGCTCAAGCATGCACATTAAGAGGCAAAAATGGCAGAGTATGACCTTCCAGGGGCATTCCACTAGGAAAGGGAAGAATGCCTCAGGTGAGCATGCGTATGACTTCAGTAAATACACTGCACTTGTTCACATCCCAAGTGCTAGCAGGCCACCACGCATGTGGGCAGGTCACCCTGAGGGGAGAATCAAGGAAAACGGATGCAGGACCCCAGAAGTATGCCAACATATAAAACCCCAAGTCAAAGGTCAAATGCTGCACTTGACCTCCAAGATACCTGCTTGGGCCTCTTCCAAGTTTATTTCCTTTTTTTCTGTCCTGCTCTAAAGCTTTTTAATAAACTTCCATTCCTGCTCTAAAGCTTGCCTGAGTCTCTTCTTCTGTCTTATGACCCTCAGTTGAATTCTTGATCCTGAGGAAGCAATAATTGAGGTTGCTGCAGACCCCATGCAGAATCACAGACAGTAACCTGGATAACTTCCACTGGTAACAGTTATAGCTAAAGGTGGACAGCAAAGTGCAGAGTAGGGTTATTATCTGGAATAACAGAGACCAATGACACTTTGCCATATGTATTAGTCAGCTCAGGCTGCCATAATAAAGTACCACAGATTGGGTGACTCAAACAATAGACATTTCTTTTCTCACTGTTTTGGAGGGCAGAAGTCCATGATCAAGGTGCTGGTGAATTTGGTTTCTGGTGAGGGCTGTCTTCCTGCCTTGTAGAGGGCCACCTTCTTGATGTGTCCTCATATGGCCTTTCCTCTGTGCTTGCTCAGAGAGCCAGCAAGCTGCAATGTCACTTCCTTTTTATAAGGACACAAGTTATATATCCTGTTAGGGGCCCATTCTTACCACCTCATTTAACCTTAATTACCTCCATAAAGTCCCTCTCTCCAAATACAGTCACATTAGTGGTGGAGGCTTCAACATACAAATTTTTGAGGGGCACAATTCGTTCATAACACTATAATACATTAGATCATTGAGACCCAAACAGTCTTTATTTGACTGTTCTAGACACTTGCAGAACCACAGTATTCCTATCTACTTTAAGTGTTTGAGACTAAGCATAAAACTGTATTCTTCCTCTCTGAAGGCTCTCAAGGAGAATCTTTCCCTGTTTCTGGTGGCAGCTGCAGGTGTTCCTTGGCTCATGTCCACATCACTGCCATCTGCCTCAGTCTTCACCATAACCTTCCACTCTGTGTCTCCTCCTTTTCTTTAGGGACAATAGTTTGCATACACAACAATCTCTGTTCTATTTGAATAACAATGACCCTGTTTCCATTTTTTTTTCCATTTTCTATAGGGACAGTAGTTTCCATATATAACAATCTCTGTTCTACTTGAATAATGATGTAGTTAAGAACAATATATTTTCATCAGTCTCCAATCTAAAAGTAGTTGTTGAGAAACAGTTAAAAAATGTCCCTTATAGCTCTAAGGACTGGTCTTAGAGCTAGTTGGAAAAATCGAGTGATATGACTTTATGGCTATACCTTTTCTCCCTCTAGTAAACAACATACATTACCTGATTTGCTTGAAATTCAGCCAGAGAAAAATTCATCTCAGTACCTAACTCTCCGACTAAAGCAAGACTTTTTAAATGTAAAAAGTAATTCCCTAGACACCTGAGTGTTGAGTTAAATTTCCAGACGTCAGCATCATCATTTCAACCCAAAAGGTGGAGCATACAGAATCTCCATCCCAAACTTGAAGCCAGTAAGTGTGGATGGATTAGTTTTGGAGATTAATTGTATAATTTACTTAAATACTTAAGAGTTTACAGCCCTGCATTGGTTTTGGTGTTATAGTTGCATTTTAAAAGTTGTATTAGCACTCAATATTACCCCTTTCATTATTCTAATAAAGAGAAAGAAACAGAGTTTGCCTAAAGAGTAGAAAGGCCAATTCAGCCCAATATTGGAAAAAGGCCAGACAGTCACTTGGGTGGACAAAATAGTGGCACAATCCTACAACACACAGCTGTAAACCAAAAACAAAATTCTAAGGCCTGCAACCATCTGAATGAACTTCCTCCTCAGCCACAGCACTCTTAAAATTTAACCTGAAAGACTGGTTCAGGCCATGACTGGAAGCAGAGGTGACACATGCCCCATTATACCTCCCTGGCATTAACATCAACAGATCTTAAGTCTGATAAGAAATATTTACAATCTATTCTCTCTAAAGCCTGCTACTTGAAGGCTTCCTTCTCCACACAATAAGAACTTTGGACTCCACAATCCTTTATCTTAATCCAGACATTTCATTTCTATCGATCCCAGGTCCTTAGATAAACTCAACCAATTGTCAATCAGAAAATTTTTAAATCTACCTATAACCTGAAAGCACCACACAGAGCACCCTCCACTTCAAGCTGTCCCATTCTTCTAAACCAATCCAATATATTTCTTAAATGCATTTGATTGAAGTCTCACATCTCCCTAAAATGTATAAAACCAAGCTGCAGCCTGACCACCTTGGTCGCTTGTTCTCAGAACTTCCTGAGGGCTGTGTCATGGGCCTTGGTCACTCATATTTGGCTCAGAATAAATCTCTTCAAATATTTTACAGAGTTTGATGCTTTTTGTCAACACGTCTCAGAGTACATTCAGTAGCCAGCAATCACATTTGTCTCACCAGTGGTCATTTAGTTTCAGAACATAATAATCTGTCAGATTCAATTAAAGCCAAAATTTGAATGATATCTATTTAGATGTTTTGTAATCATTTAATTTCTAAATACATTCTTCTTACATAGTTAAATTAAATACTTAAATATAGAGAGTTTATTCTAGTTTTTGTGTGTACATTTAGTAGGCTCTAGTTGTTTAAGGTTTACAAAATAAGTGAACGTGTTCAATATCACCAGATTTTGGCCTATTTTGACTTTTTCATTATTCACGAGGAGTTATTCAGTCATAGAATGATTGGGAGGTTCACTGCTCTCTTCCCAAAGGAGAGGAATTACGAAAATTTAGTTTACAATTAAGATCTGTGTTTCTTTAAAGGTGTAGTTTTTAGTTTCTTATCATTCGGACTCCAAATGTAATGCTCCACTGAGACTTTCAACAAGGGCTATGATAAGGGAAGAACACAAAGAGGAGCTCTTGCTAATTTCATTATCTTTGTACATATAATTAAGTTAAGGATCTTGTGATGAGATAATCCTGGATAGAGGTGGTCTCTAAATCCAATGGCAAATATTTCTATAGAAAAGGAAGAGACAGAGTAGAAGGTTATGGTGAAGACTGGAGCAGAGACTAGAGTGACGCAGCCATGAGACAAAGAACGCCTGGAGCCACCAGAAGCAGGGAAAGATTCTGTTTGAGAGCCTTCAGAGAGTATGGCCCCGCTGACACTAATTTTGAATTTCTGATGGCCAGAACTATGAATGGATAAATTTCTGTGGTTTTAAGCCTCCATGTTTGTGGCAACTTATTGCAGCATCCTTAGAAAACCAATGAAGTCAGTAAGCTACATCAGTGATTTGCTAGTGGAAACCCCATGCAGGGACCATGGGTGATAGAGACAAAAGGATAACTGGGAGCCTCATCCATGCACCCACCAGTCTTGTAGAATCAGAGTCCTCATTGATCGGCTAACTGCACAGGTATCAAATGCACAGAAATTTGGACTTCCAGTAGGTGGCCTCCAGAGGAACTACCAGAGTGGGCATGCGCTTGTTTCATATTTCAGCTTTGCTTTTTGCTATCTATCACCAGTGTCTGGATGATTCAGTAGAAGTGTAAACCCAAAATGTCCTGTCTGCAATCAACAGATAACAAACCAGCTTCACTGAGCTGCTTTAGTACTTACTAGGGCAAAGACCAAGGACAGTATCAGAGATAATAGGTAAGAGAATATGTATAGGAAGGTAATATGTGATATGGATAGCTACCATAAACTTAGCTTAGCAAGGAAAGTATTTCGTAAACTGAAAAGTATTGATCCTTTGAGGTATCATGACAAGATAGATGGATTTGAACTTGGTTATATGAGCTCAAGAGTGGCAGAGAGAAGAAATCTCTTTAGATTAATAGGAACATCATTTTGATGTCAGTGGCAGGGTATATTATGGTAATCCAGGCTATCAGCTCCTTTGTTCTTGTATTCTGTGGTTCTGCTTTAAGATAGTGGGGAAATAATGTCAAGGGTACTCTGTTAAGGAGATCTGGCAATTAGAGACCATTTGGACAAAATGCATGCCGAATTTTTATTCACTAACTCAAAAGAACATCCTTTGTGCCAGGCCCTTCTTTAGGGCCTGAGAATACACTGAAGAATGACACATGTAAATGACACACTTAGGTTCCCTCCTAAAGCGATCTCTACATCTATCCTTCTAAAAAAGTAAATTTCTGTCTAAAACAAACACACAAAGTAAATCTGTTTGTGACCTTTAACTTTTAGATTATTTGTTTAGTCCTATATAACTGCTGTTTTGGAGCCTACCTTTTATTTTATATCTCGTTTGCCCTCTAAAAGAATAAAAAGGCCACTGGGCTTACTCTTCTCCAGGAATTATCTTAAAGCCTATGAAAGGTCCACATCATAGCCCAACTATACTACTAGCACTGCCCTGAGAATGCAAGAAAAAGGGGTGTCTTTGGCCACAAATTTTATCTGACCTAAGTAATAATACCTTCCATTTGTCTATAACACCTTTATCTTTTCTAAGGAGCTTACACAGTCATTTCATTTCATCCTCATACAGGATCAAGTTTCAAGGCCAAATTGTTCTGTACACTGCCAGCTGGCTCCTTGAATTGCTGGCTTTGACTTCCCAGTGTGCCACTAAATATTGAGCAGGGAAGTTAAACAGGAATCTCTTGACACCATATTTCTGCCCTAGGCAATGGTAACTCACATTCTCCTGCAATTTATTCTTCTCATCTGTGAATAGAAAAACAACTTTTCCTCATCAGGAGAGTCCTGATTTGGACTTGGCATATCAGAATATTGGTCTGACTGGGCAACATAAGTAAATGTAAAAATGACTTTGGAAATGATTCTGTTGTAAGGAACACACTTGTCAATTTTTCCATTAGTCTATCATTTGAAAGGAAAGCAGTGACCTGAACTTTCAACTGTCATTAGAGTAGTAAAGTCAAGCATCATGTATCACACATATTTAAGGAGCAGTTTCCTGTAACGTCTTGCAACGTGCTTGGATGCCCTGGATATGAGAAGAATAATGAGAAGGTCAAAAACTGCCAGTTGTTTTACAGAATAGTTTGAGTGAATGTCTTAAAGTTATAAAGGTAAAATGCTACCAATTTTTTTTGTATATTTCAACTTTTAGAAGTAAAACTAATGAAAATGGAAGTAGAGATGACAGCTGAAGTACGATTTACTTTTTGCATTGCTGTATTTTAAGGACTCTCTGAATACATTAAAATGGACAGAAAGATTTTATAATGTTTCAAATGAAATAAAATATTTTCAGTATCATTTTTTCCAAAAATTAGTAATATACATGGAGATAAAATTTATTATTTCCAAAGAAGTTAATTGTTTTCTCAAGATAATTAAAACATTATTAATTTATGTTGGTGATAGAGAATAACAATATTCAGAGTAGATGATACACATTCGAGATACAAAACAGATTTTAAAAATTAATAATTTTAAAACATAAATGGAATAGAAATAACCTTAAATGTAGAATGTATGCACAATATTTTTTAAAGTCTCACAATACATATGCTATGAAATTCAACTAATATAAAATGTACATGCTCTCTCTGCATTGGATATTTACTATGTAAACTCTCTAAGATGTAGTTCCCTTTAGGATTAAGAAATAGATCAGTGTGGGAAAACAGACTTCTCTTCTAATTCTTGGGGGGAATGTAAAGCATGATTTTGCAATCTATTTTAGCAATAAAAGTCAAGGGTTTAATAATTATCCATAATTATAATTCCTAACACCTAGGAATTATGCTTTTGAGAAGTTAATTATAAAATAATCCAAAATATAACTAGAAACTAGAAAACTTCTAAATACCCAACAACAGGGAATCTCTCTGCACATTACAGTATATATCATGTAATTTTGTAAAAAATATGATACAGCATAAAAAAATTATTTCAAAGACATATGCTTTGAAACAGAGCAAATGCTTTTGACATAATATTTATAAAAATATAGGAAAAATTGTATGAACAGTGTGACCACAAATAAAATATTTTAAGAATTAATATTTGTAATGACAATATTACGAATAAATTTTGAAAACTATCTATGTATATATCTTTTATTATTCAAGGGGTCTTATTCCCTAACCTATAAAATACTATTTAAAATCTTGGAAAACAGGTTTTTATATAAAGAAATTCTTGGAGAATTAAGCTTAGGAGTAGTGGACTGGTGTGAATGAAGGTGGCTCATTTTAGCATATGTTAAGTAAATAGACTTCTGAAGTACTGTTTTAAATCCTGTGGGATGCCCTGGGAATTGCACTTTCTTGGAGATTCTCCCATAGTGGGAAGCAATGGTTTGTAGTGGTTTTTTGTGATTGTGACTTGGCCTTCACTTATCAAAGAATGACTATCACTTCAGAGAAATGTTCCTGGCGGGAATAGTCATTGACTATGTGATCTCCATAATGCAAGAAGAAACTGGGTTGAAGGAACTTTCTATTTGCAATACTTTCTAGATAACTGTTCTTTTGACTTTTGAACATAAAGCTCTCATCATATAGAAAAAAATTCTGATTTATTATTATTATGATTTCAAGATGGAGTCTTGCTCTGTTGCCCAGGCTGGGGTGCAGTGGCATGATCTTGGCTCACTGAAACCTCGGCCACCCGGGTTCAAGTGATTTTCCTGCCTCAGCCTCCAGAGTAGCTGGGACTATAGGCATGCACCACCACACTGGCTAATTTTTGGTTTTCATTTTATTATTATTTTTTTTTAATAGAGATTAGGTTTCATTATGTTGGCCAGGCTGGTCTCGAACTCCCGACCTCAGGTTATCCACCTGCCTTGGCCTCCCAAAATGCTGGGATTAGAGGTGTGAGCCACTACGCTTGGCCTGATTTATTATTTTAAATGATTTATTTTATATTACTAAATGACTTACATATAAATAAAAGGCTCACTAATTTAAGCTAGTTAACATTTCCCTTATTATCTAAGTCATGATGTTTCAGGATAGGAAAAGAACCATGTGAATAGAGGAAGAAGGTAAGAAGCTGGTATCTACAAAGGACCCCGGCTGAAAACCCTTAGCTGTGTAGGTGGAGGGACATCACAACTTTTTGATTTTTTCTTTTTAAAGTGCTATCACAGGGCATGTTAGGTTTACTATGATGGAGAGCAGATTGAGTGAGAACGTTGAAAGAGATTCCACATCCAAATGAGGCGACTGAGGAGAGTTCACAAGGGAAACAAACAAGAGTTGGCAAAGAGCCCTAGGATTCGTAGGTGAGGAACCATTATAACCTCTAATCTTGAAGCCAAGAAGGAGTAATTGCTTGGAAATCCAAGAAAACTAAAATCATAGGAGAGGGCCACCTGACAGGAGATAGAAGCTGTGGTCTTTGATAGAGGGACATTGTTGACTGCTGAGATTGATCCAGGAGCTATTCAGTAGGATGGATAATCTGACCTCACTTTCTCTCATGCTTCTCACCGACCAACCCAAGCTGGAAGGAAAGGCAATCTGTAATCCACACAGGGTACCCTCAGGGCACAGAGCAAGATGGAGAAGGTGAAGAGTGGATCTGAAAAATGAAATGATTCAGCACACAGGTATTCTTAGTGAGGACACTCTTTTCATTTAATCCCCGACTTTCTTGTTTAGGTTACAGCTGTAAATATGACTAAAATAATTTTTTTTTAACTAAGAAAGAGACAACAATGACAGCCTTAGCGGAGAAAGTTAAAAAGTGAAGTAGCTGGAACTTCATCTACTTCAAGAGTCCTGTGAGCAGGTTGCATCTCTATGGTTACAAGTGAAAGAACCAGAAACTGGTGGGTTCATTTTTCACAGAGACATGGTAAGACTCTAGGGGGAGGCAGAATACCTTCAAGTCCTAGGTGACAAACAGTGACTTAAAGTTCGGGACCAGGGCCTTCTTGACCACTCTTGTGGGAACTACGTAAAGCAGTTTATGTGCTTTCATAGTCAACATGGACCCGGAGCTATAAAAGCTCACTGAGGAACACACTCATCAGTGAGACTTCACCAAGTATCTTGGACAAAAGAAGACAGAATATGGTAGAAGGAAAATATCAAAAGATATTTGATAACTGATTTTGCCACAAAGGAACAGCAGCCAGACTATAATTCCAAATCACCTGCGTTAAAAGTGTGAGAAGAAGAGTGATGGAGAGAAGTCAGAAGTAAAGGGAGGAGTGCCCTCAGCCTAGAGATGATTTGCCCTCAATCTTAGATCTCCTACTCTGTCTTCACCAAGGGTCAAAGGGCTGGCCCAGGGCTGGATTACACATTTTAGCCAAAGAAGAGTTGTAGAGGAAAGATGATGTTTGCAATAGAGGAAAGGTGATGTTTGCAATAGAGGAAGGAGGTCTACAACTTTGAAAATTGTGTTAAAAATATTTGTTTAAAATATTTTCACTCTAAATTTTCCTCTTAGCGTAGCATTGGTTGCTTTTTCAAAGTCTTTCTCTGCCTAGTTGCTAAATCTTTTAGGGCTCATATATGTCACTCTTTGGTATCTCTCAGTTAAGACATTTTGATGGGTCTAGCTGCCTAAATTCAGGTTGGTATCAATCCTTATTCCCATAATTGATTCATGTATAATAAAATTGACCTCATTTGATAGTCAAGACTGATGAGTCTTGGGACATATGGATATGATTTTATTACCATCAATTTTAAGAATTAAAGTTTGGGCAACATGAGAGTCCAAAAATGGGTTTAGCATGCTAAATCCTTAACCAATTTCTATAAAACACTTTGTAAATTCAAGTGTTATTACTTTAGTTTGAATGTGGTCATTCACAGTACACACTATATTAATTTTTTCAGAGGAGGAAAAGAAAGGAAATAGGGCTGTACATTTTTTACATTTTCTACACACTATCAAGGAATACAATAGAAATAGATAGCAGGGTGACACTACTTGAAAAAATAGCCACTATTTTAGATTTATCATATCTTTGATGCCGATTCACATTCATATTCAAGATTTCTCAGTCACCTTTCTCATTGTTCTGAGAAGCCAGGGAGAAAATGAAGAAAATGAATGATGAGGCAAGAGCTGGTGAAATTGGGTTTCTGAAATTCTCTTCATTAATGGGTAAATACATCTTTCTCTTATCGCAGGAAAATATATCAGCAGCTAGGTTTGAGTGCTTGAAATGTAGGAGGAGATCTATTTAACACATTGCTGGGAGGCATCCACTGAACAATCCAGATGCTGGGTGATGCTATTCTCACAATCTAATAAATGGCAGAAAATGCTTGGCATTACTGCTGTATGAATCCATCAACTCTGTGGTATCTTGATCCTTATTTTGGAAAGGGAGTAATTAAGTTTTTAATATCATATAGATTTTATACACTTTTTTGAAATAAATATATTAATTCCTATACTATCACCATAATGGAATAGTTTATTCTTTTTTCCTTTTCCATAGGTTCAACTGAGTTAATCATTTTCTAATGTTCACTCTGACACAATACACATTGTAAAACTGCTGATTATTTTCAAATTGGATATGACAGCGTAACAAGAGTAGAAGAGAAACATCTGGACTTTATGAAATAGTTGGTTATGGGAAAATGTAATTTATTTTAAATAATACATACAAAGCATTGATCTATAATGGGATTAATTTGGACCAAATTAATAATTTTTAAAAGTAATTTTAAAAAACTACATGAAGGGAAAAACAAAGACAAAGACAAAGAGACTTTATTAATGTTAGGTTTATTAGTGAATATCATTCTCAAATTACAAAAAGTTAAAGTTTCACAGTCCAAATATATATTGATAGCTGGATCAGTATATCTTCCATCTGAATGAAGAGAAATAGTGCATAAAGGAAATGGAGCATAGGCTCCACTTTGTAGTTTTGTGTATAGGAGCACATTTGGAAGCATAATTTAGCTTACTAATTCTAGAGGCTATGTTTTCAAATGTATTTGGGAGCAAGGAAATACTAGCTCCCTAAATTTGAAGACCTCAAAAGACAAAAAAATAGCTAATATGCTATTTTTTAATGTATTTTTAATGTATTTTTTATGATGATGTAAAGTCCTCTGAATATATATCTAATTTTTTTAAAAAATATTGTTATCTAAGGATCCTCCAGCCACTCTGTCTTAAATTAAAAAATCAAATTCTTACCATTGAGGCAGGTTTTATACCTGGCATACATAGAGATACTGCCAAAATATTACTGATCATTTTTGCCTATTCAATTTTTCTCTTCTCCAAGTTTTCAGAAAATATTGAGCATCATGTCTATACTGCCAAATTTCTTTTTGATGTGGGATGTGTGTGTGTGTGCATGTGCACACATGTGTTATACATGGTAAGTTCTACTCTCTCTCAGGCCTGTACTTGCTCCCTTTCTCTGGCTTATCAAGAGAATGTGTAGCAGCAATACAAAATAATCTTAAAGAACAGATTTTTCTGTCTCCTATAAGGTTCAGGAAAAGGGATAAGGAAAATCCTAATATTTTAGTAAACTTTGGGACCCTCTGAATGTTAAGAATCAATGATAAAACTGAGATGTGGAAAAATAAATTTCATCCAGGCATCTTAGGGACTCTGTGAACATAGCCTTTGTCAGCCCCTCTGTCTCTGCTTCTTTCTGTTCAAATAATTTGCAAAAACAGAAAGATTTGGAAAATCTGTATTTTTTTATACCTAAAAAGTGAGAAAATTTATCTGCTATAATCTAATTTATTTTCCCCCAATGTAGCCGAGTCTCTAAATGTGTGTGAACAAATTAATTGTTTGTGTATTTTAATATGAGTTATTAGAAAATTTGTGATAGGCTTGAAAAAACGTTTTGCAAATCTTTGCCTAATAGCCACCTCAAACATGTAAAAAGGGTGGCAACTGAAAAAGAAGGCCATAAGAGAAAATATATATAGATAAAATTGCTGAGGTGTGCAATTTTTTCTTTTGTCCCCTCAAGTAAAGTGGGAGAAATTATAGGGGACAACTCAGAAAACCTGAGATATATATCTATCTATCTCCTGGTGCTTGCAGGAAATAGAATCTTAGTTTTTAGAGTGTCCTGGGAAGTTTCAATGTATGATGCATAGGCTGTGGCTAACCATAGAGAATAGTGGAGAGACACAGAGAAAATTTGGCCTATACTGATGTTATGGACTGAATTTTGTTTCCTTAAAACTTATATGTTGAAGTCCTATCCCCCAGTTTCTTATAATGTGACTGTATTTAGAGACAGGGTCCTAAAAAAGAAGGAATTAAGGTCAAATGATATTATTAGAGTAGGCCCTAATTCCATATGATTGGTATCCTTGTAAAAAGAGGTTGGGACACAGAAACACAAAGGGTAAAGACCATGTGAAGACACGGGGAAAATGGTCATCTACAAGCCAGGGAAAGAGGCCTCAGAACAAACCCACACTGCCAACACATTGATCAGGGAGTTACAACCTCTAGAATTGTGAAGCATGAATTTCTGTTGTTTAAGCCATCCAATCTGTGGTACATTGTTATTGAATCCCCAAAGTACTAATATATAAGTGAGAACTGGCTAAATTCTGACTTCATATATGGGAAAATTATATGTGGATATTTTTCGTGGACCAATATGGGCCCCATAGAAGAGAGCAGACTTGGTGACATTTTAAATCCTGTCAATGAATAATCACTGAAGGGTCACTGCAACCCAGCAAAGGAGGTACGCTGAGAAATATCCAGGGGCTGAAGGATGAAATTAATCCTCTTCATGACATGTTAATGCAGAAGGGACAGTCTCAGCAAAATCCTGGAGAAGCAGAAACTATTCCCATGAGAGAAAGAACTAGCTTAGAAAATCTACCAAACTCAGAGGAGGCCAAAGTGAGATGACACCAGTACCCAGCAAGCAATATATTTCCTGTAACTTACCTTGCCTCATTTTCCCAACACATCCTAAAACACTGAAGAAGTCAAAGCCACAGTTTGAAAGGTGGTGGAGAGGCGGAAGAAAAAGTTCATTTCTGACCTAAAACATTACCAAGAGGAAAAGGGAAAAGAATCTTAACTTCACAGTTTGAAGATCTTGTCATTAATTTGAATTGAATATTTTACCTATCATGGCAGTCTGTTATTGTGTTGCTAAAAAGAAAGATGTAAGGCTGGGTAATTTATGAAGAAAAAAGATGGAATTGGGTCACAGTTCTGCAGGCTGTACAAGAAGCATGGCACCAACATCTGGTCAGACTCTGGTAAGGGCCTCAGGATGCCTACAGTCATGGTGGAAGATACAGGAGGAAACTGGTGGTATCACATGGTGAGAGATGGAGCAAGACAGAGAAGGGGGTGGTGCCAGACTCTTTTAAACAACCAGATCTTGTGTGAACTGACTGACCAAGAACTCACTCATCATCAAGGCGATGGTGCTAAATCATTCATGAGCAATCCATCCACATGATACAATCATCTCACACCAGGCCCATCTCCAACATTGGGAATTACATTTGAACAACTAAATCATATCATTCTTCCCCTTGCCCCCCACATCTCATGCCTTTCTCACATTTCAAAATATAATCATGCCTTTGCAATAGTCCTGAAAAGTCTTAATTCATTCCAGCATTAACTCAAAAGTCCCAAACTCCTAGTCCCAAGTTGAAAGTCTCATGTGAAGATGAATTCCTTCCACCTGTGAGATCAAAAACTAATTATTTACTCCCAAGATACAATGGTGTTACAGGCATTTGGTATACATTCTCATTTTCAAAAAGATAAATCAGCCAAAAGAAAGGGGCTACAGGCCCCATGCAGTCTGAAACCCAGAGGGCAGTCATTAAATCCTAAAGATTTAAGATAATCCCCTTTGACTCCATGCCCTGCATCCAGGGCACACTGTTGTAAGGGGTGGGCTTCCAAGGCCTTGGGCAGCTCTGCCCCTATGGCTTTGCAGGGCGCAGCTACATGGCTGCCTCCATGGAATGGAACTGAGTGTCTGTGGCTTTTCTCAGATCAGGATGCAAGCTGCCCGTGGTTCTACCATCTTGGGGTCTGGAGGGCAGCAGCCTCCTTCCCTCAGCTCCACTAGGCAATGCCCTAGTGGGGACTCCGTTTGGGGGTCCAACCCCACATTTCCCCTCTGCACTGCCCTAGTAGAGGTTCTCTGTGAGGGCTCTGCCCCTGCAACAAGCTTGTGCTTGGGCATCTAGGCTTTCTCATACATCCTCTGAAATCTAGGTAGAAGCCAAAAAGCTTCCTTTATACTTACATTCTGGGCACCTGCAGACTTAAAACCAGGTAGATGCCACCAAGGTTTATGACTTGAACTCTCTGGAACAGTGCTTTGAGTGGGGATCTGGGCCTGGCCCCTGAAACCATTATTTCCTTCTATCCCTCTGGGCCTGTGATGGAGAGGTTATTTTCAAGATCTCTGAAATGCTTTCAAAGCCTTTTTCCCACTGTCTTGGATATTAGCATATGGCTCCCTTTTAGTCATTCTAACCTCTCTAGCAAATGGTTGCTCTGCAGCCTGCTTGGATTCTTTCTCTGTTACATGACCAGGCCACAAATTTTCCAAACTTTTATTCTCCATTTCCCTTTTAAATATAAATTCCAACTTTTAAGTCATTTCTTTGCTCTCATCTGATCATAGGCTATTAGAAGCAGTCATACTAATTCTTGAATGCTTTGCTTCTTAGAAATTTCTTCCACTAGACACCCTAAATCATCACTCTTAAGTTCAAACATCTGCAGATCCCTATTACCTGGACTTAATGCAGCCAAGTTTTTTGCTAGTGCATAACAGATGTGACCTTTACTCTGGTTCCCAGCAAGTTCCTTATTTCCATCGGAAACCTCATCATCCTGGCCTTCACTGTCCACATCTCTTATCAGCTATCTTGGTTACAACCATGTAACCAATCTCTACAAAGTTCCAAACTTTCCCTCATCTTCTTCTCTTCTTCTGAGCCCACCAAATTCTTCAAACTTCTGCCCACTACCCAGTTCCAAAGCCACTTCTACATCTTCAGGTATCTTTGTTGCAGCACTCTACTCCTCAGTATCAATTTTATGTGTTAGTCTTTTCTTGCACTGCTATAAAGAAATACCTGAAGCTCAGTAATTTCTAAAAAAAAAAGTTTAAATAGCTTATGGTTCTGCAGGCTGTACAAGCATGACACCAACATTTGCTTGGCTTCTAGTGAGGGCCTAAGGAAGCTTACAATCATGGTGAAAGGCAAAGGGGAAAGCTACAGTATCACATGGTGAGGTGAGAGAGGGAGCAAGAAAAAGAAAGAGGAGGTACCAGACTCTTTGAAAAAAAAAAAAACAAAAAAAAAAAACAGATGTCATGTGAACTAACTGAGAACTCACTCATCACCAAGCAGATGATGCTAAGCCATTCGTGAGGGTTCCACCCCCATGATCCAATCACCTCCCACCAGGTCCCATTTCCAACCCTGGGAATAATATCTTGACATGAGATTTTTGAGGGGACAAACATCCAAACCATATCACCTATTGAACCACTTGGGAAAATAAAGACGATCAACAGTCTATTATTATATAGAAGTGACTTAAAACGTGATGGAACCAGAACAACATCTTATCCACAGGCAAAGAAATGGGTGAAAATAAAATACTTTCTGCTTTCCCTCTATGGAGTCCTGTGTATGCAATGTTAATGTTATGTTAAGTGCCTATTTTGATGAAAGGCAATGCTGAAGATGATACAGTGTCCCCAGTAAGTACTTAGTGTAAGGGAGGCAAAACTTTATTTCTATCAGGATTTTCAGCTAGGCCTGAGAATTAAATTGGCGTAAGATAGGTTAACAGGAGAAAGGCATACAAATGTTATGTACATTTTACAGGACACAGGAGCCCTCATAAGAAAATAAAGACACAAAGAATTGACAAAACCTAAATTTCATATGGGGTTAAAGTAACAAAACTGTGTGAGGAGACATAAAAAAGTTAAGAATTATTTTAACAAGGTCAGTTTGTGCAGAATTTTCTCGGCTATGACATGCCTTGGAAGAATTATTTTTTTCTCCTGGTACTGGGAGGGTGTCTTCCACAAAGGAGCTTTTATCTCCTGTTTTCAGTAAGAAAAGGGAGACTAAAATGCTCTTCTTGGATTTGCTGTTGTTCAAGTGTCTTTATCTCAAATGAATCCTTTGTCAAAGTGGCATGCTTTAGGGTGGTATATTCTGCCACCCTTCATTAAGAAATTCTTGAGAACTGACAGGAGCTACTAGGCTCTTTCAAATATATCATGCCATTTAATCCTCTTAGAAGTCCGGCAAAATCTCCATTTTATAGTAATATACATTCAAGGTGACATCTTAATTTCCTGCAACATGTAAAAGAAGAACATGGACTTTGATCCCTGGTATAACTGCCACATAGTCCAGACTTTCAACCATGCCAGATGGTATTCAGTATTACCCTCTACCACTTGGTAATGTCTCAATTGGCATTTTTAAAAAGAAAATAATATAAAATTTCTTCCTGATGAAGGATATTTATCAAAACTTTAACAATTACCCATAATTTGACTACTTTAATTAAGTCAGAAATTTTAATGATACACCTATGTTTATTTAGCAATATGCCACCCATTGTAATTTATTTAAATAATAGAGCACTACTTTTAGCTTCAAAGGCCTCACAGGATAGTAGAGGAATTTTATGATGAGAAATATGTAAGTAACAGCTTGGATCATCCCTAAAACACTTCTTTGAGGAGTAGGCATGTGTACTAAGACAAGAAAACTTTGAAACTGGTTAGGAAAGCATGGAATACTTACCAAAGCACCTGACAAAAGACAGGATAGATATTAGAAAGTCTAGATATTTGAAGATGTTGGAAAGTATATAAAAAGGAGAACTAATGGGTTTATTGGACATTATAAATATCTCAAGGACTTATATTTGAAATAGAATACAGTTCTTGTGCTTTTCAGAGGATCATTTTCTGTTGAATTAATATATGGTTTAGGGTTAGAAAAGTAATTTCATCGTTGACCTCTTTCCCTTATCTTCTTCAGTTTCCAAAGCTGTAAAATCAGGTCATATACATGTGAAATATTGCCAAACACATATCTATTTGCATTCTAATAATATTGAGGCTGAAAAAGTACTATAAATGCTATTGTATAGCAGTATAACAAATGTCTATTAATTTCTTTCAAAATTGTATTTCCTAAATTGTGTTCTGAGAAATTATATTGGTATAGTTTGTGTATTTGTCCACACCCAAATCTCAGGTTGAATTGAAATCTCCAGTGCTGGAGGTGGGCCCTGGTGGGAGGTGTTTGGATCATGGCAGTGGATCCCTCATGGCTTGGTGCCATCTTTATGATAGTGAGTTCTTGTGATATTTGGTCATTTAAAACTGTGTGGCACCTCCTCTCCACTATTTCTTTCTTGCTTCAGCTTTCACCATGTGACATGCCTGCTTCCCTCTTCATCTCCCACCTTGAGTAAAAGCTTCCTGAGGCCTCCCCAGAAGCTAAGTGATGTTTGTGTTATGCTTCCTACACTACCTGCAGAATCATGAGCCAATTAAACTTCTTTTCTTTACAAATTACCTAGTCTCAGGTATTTCCTTATAGCCATGCAAGAATGAACTAATACACCTATGTACTTATAAAGGCTAAAAAGTTTTATGTACCAAAAATGCACTAAAAGATTTTAGGGTCAATAATTTGGGAAAAACTGAATTAATCAAAATTAAACAATTGCATTTATTACAGAACATTTTAGAGTACTTAACATACTAATGTGAACTGTGAAGTTTCAAGAGAGGATGCCCTATGCAGCTTTTCTAAATATAATTTGAGCATGGAAAAGGTTTTTGTAAGAACTTTAGACATCATAAGGGATAAATAAATGTAGCTTGAGTCAGAGTATTTAAAACAATATGTCAATGTGGAAACAAAAAAGTACATAAATGTGGAAACATCTGAACTATTGAGTATATTAACTAAAGTGATAGTCTTACATTCCATAAATTATAAAGTACTTCACTAAATGAAATAAAATATCACTATCATGACACAACCTCTGCTGAGGGTCCACGCCAAATTATTTGGAGATCTTTGGGGCTACGATGGCTGATAATATCATGATGCCCAAGCTGAAATGAATCAGTTGTGAAATTCATAATACTTTTTTCAGTTTTTAATAATTAAAATAGAATTTAACATATGTAGACTATTGCTCAATAATTTTAATAATTATAACATATCACTCTTTGCAAAACTATCACGACAGTGAAGGTAATGAGATAAGTGAGACATTTATCTTATATGCAAAATTTAAGAGCATGCCAAACTTCAGTAACGAAGATAAATCTTATTTTAATGCAACATTTAAAAAAATCAAAAATAATCCAAAAAATCTGTGGTGGACAAAATATCAAAAATTGTAGTAAAGATAATTCCAGCATTACTGAATTTTCCTTTTGCCTTGGGCTTCAGTATGGTTCCTTGGTCCACTGGTTCCTTGCCATAATTTTCTCCAAAATTTAATTTGAAATTATCTGCATAAAATTTCAAACATAAAACTGTTCTCATGGCAAATAGAATAATATTTTTTTGGTTCCTCATTAGTGGTCTGACTTATTTTTATTATTATAATATATAGGAAAAAATACTAAACAACAACAAAACAACAATAAAACTCTTTGAATGTTACAGAGAAAAAAATGACAGTTTCTACAAATCAAGCATTTTCATGGATTTTTTTTTTTGAAGTTTCCTTTTGTTTCAAAGGCTCTTTTCCCAAAACAATTGTTTGTATGTTTGCAAAATAATAATTAATAGGGAAATATATTTATGCTTGGGGATAAAAATCTACTTATCAACCAGGATTCATCTTTTGTGGTAACAATTATTATAAGAGCTTAAATTACACATTTTTGACAGAGAATTTAGCTGTTTGGTAGGTAGTTAGAATACATGGAAATTTCCTCCAGCAACATTTGGTGCATCCCTGGTGGCATTAAAAAAAAATCTAGAACCTATCTAGGGAGTCATTTGAAATTTGCCCACTAGGAAAATCTGTTTTGTGCAGATTGTGTATTTATTTGAGCAGTAAAACAGATGCAGAGTATATTTTGCCTTGCACTATTTTTCCTTATGTTTAATTGTAACTTACAGCCAGAAAGAAGATATAAAATACAATCAAAATGGGAGAGAAAAACACATTCAGAAAAGCAATTTTGATCATAAGCATGTGGTATCTATAGAAACTGTTATGTTGGAAAAGGGTTTGCCATTTCAGTGATCAAGTTAATGAAGGTATCATTAGATCTCTATTTTAACACAGCAATTTGTTACATATTACACTTTATGCAGCTAAGCTGTTACATTGCTAATTTAGCTTTTAAGAATATTAAAATCAGAAATTCTTTTATTTTATACAGAACAAAAGGAATACTGAATATTTGGGATAACTATTTTTTCTGTTTAGAAACAAGCTACAATGTTGTGGCGAGGTACTTTGATAAACAGATTCCTCAATAAGAACTGTGAGTTCTGCCTCTTTCATGAAAGGCAGGCATGTTCCATGAGGCTACCAGACCCAGCTACGTCTGGGAGAATATACAGGTGTTAAATTAGCTAGAGGAAATGTTCTCCAGGTCCTGAAGGCTGATGCACCATATGAAATATTACAGCATTTCTTAAACAACAATAAAAAGCAAGTGAAGTAGGGGCAGGAAGAGAGAAAGAAAAATAAAAATGTCTAGGTAGTTCAACTCTAAATTATTTTCTAATCATTCATAAGTTTCCATATACCATGAGAGCAAATCTCTGGAACTATGGATGAGCTTTATTTAGTCTGCATGCAAAATTCTCCAGATTCTGTCAGGAATTATCTAAACCATTACTGAGAGCAAGTCTTTCTGTGCCACAGGCTCTGTGTTTTCAAGGTGGTGGTGCATTCCAGTTTGAGGGCCCAAGCACTGATCTACCAATGATCTTCACACCCTTATCATCACTATACCAGCATGAGGTAAAAACTACATTGTATTATTTTATCATCCTCTTTGTCTTCCTCAGACCAAACACAATGATTTTTCTATAATGCTAAATATTGCATTATATTTATATTTATATATCCTCCTTCAAATTAAGCTCTGTTATACCAATCACCTTCATCATTTTCTAGAGAACATTTCCAGGTAGGTTGCAGTTGGATCTTACAGTTAAATTTAATAGCACTATCCATCTAATCAGTTATGTGTAGGTATCACAGGCTTCCCCCTCCTCAGAAAAGGAATGTATTTTCAGAAAAATCAAGAACTATATTTTCCCATCTGTGTCTTCATTTCAAAGGACTACTGTAATTTTTTTCAGACATCCTAATTGTTATATATATTTTCTCTCCATTTGGTGCCTCTTTGAAAGAAGGCATATTCAACAAGAGTCATCAAGTGAGAGAATTTATATGAGCAAATTATCTAAATTCAGTAATCCAGTCCTACATGCAAATGAGAAGTGGAAACAATGAACAAAATCACACCTTTCAAATTCAAAAGATCCATGAGACAATATGTCTCATATCAGAATTTTAATCCTACCATTACTCTCTCTATTCATGCTCGGGTAATTTGGCTTTTCCTCTCTCCTTCTTTCTGTAATATTCAGTTGATCCCTTTCATTTCCTCTATTGTGCCTTACCAAGATGGCAAATCCAATGTTCTATTTCTATAAGATAAAATTCACTCCTCACTCTTCAACAAGCTCTATCAACATTTTACTCAATCCAAAATGCTCTTCAGAAAACCATATATTAGGGCCGGGCGCGGTTGCTCACGCCTGTAATCCCAGCACTTTGGGAGGCTGAGATGGGTGGATCACGAGGTCAGGAGCTCGAGACCATCCTGGCTAACACGGTGAAATCCCGTCTCCACTAAAAATACAAAAAAATGAGCCAAGCGTGATGGTGGGCACCTGTAGTCCCATCTACTTGGGAGGCTGAGGCAGGAGAATGGCATGAACCCGGGAGGCGCAGCTTGCAGTGAGCAGAGATCGTGCCACTGCACTCCAGCCTGGGCGACAGAGCGAGACTCCATGTCAAAAAAAAAAAAAAAAAAAAAAAGAAAACTCTATATTAGATAGCCACCATAAAAGAAAGGGACATACTGATTGGAGTTTTGATTTACTGTCCTATTTATTTTTACTGCACAAAGGAAACACTTATTCCTTCCTGTTTTGCATTTCAGAAGAAAATTCGGGATGGTCCAAATGACAGACTCCAAAATGATTCTGGATATTATGGGCTAAATCTGTAACAATAACACACAACAAACAGAGGACTGAAAATATAGCTAATAAAGAACTATACTTATTAATCCAATCATCTGCTGTGTCAAGACTGGGTTAGAATAAGGAGTGGATCTGAAAGGAAAATGAAAATACCCAGGACATCAGAAAATCAAGGGTAAATGAAAAACAAACAAACAAACAATAATTCCCAGGGAATCTTGGAATCACAGAGGATTAGTGGGTGGGGCCTGGGGAGAATGAAAAAGGATGGGAACCTAACTCCATTTTGAGTGACAATCCGGTCTACTATTCATGACATTTTGTAATGATGCCACTTCTAATTCAAGAGTGAGGTGATATTACTGCTCCTGACCCTGAAGTCATGATTCATGAGGCTACGGAACAGTTGTTTTTACATAAAACAATAAGATCAATGTCCTTATATAAGACACACCAAATCTGTGGCTTCAATGTTAGAAATTTATTTCCTTACAATTCTGGAAGCTGGTATGTCCAAGATCAAGGTGACAGCAGATTTGGTTTCTACTGGGGGACCCCTTCCTGTCTTCTTGCAGGCAGCTGTCCTCTTGTGCATCTTTGTTTCTCAGATTTTAAAGGAACTACTCAAAGAATCTGTTATAGACTGGATGTGTCTTCCCCAAATTCATATGTTGAAGTCTTAAAACCTAGGGCAGCTGTGTCTGGAGACAGACACTTTAAGGATAAATGAAATCATAAAGGTGTGACCCCAATCCAATAGGATCAATGTCCTTATATAAGACACACCAAAGAGCACTCTCTCTCTCTCTCTCTCTCTCTCTCTCTCTCTCTGCCAGGTGAGAAAGCACAAGAAGGCAGCTGCCTGCAAGAAGCCAGGAAGAGGTCCCCCAGCAGAAACCGAATCTGCCATCACCTTGATCATTGACATCCCAGCTTCTAGAATTTAAGAAAATAAATTTCTAACTTTGAAGCCACAGATGGGGTTACACATCACAATTCTGGAAGCGGGGATTGTGGGATTTGTTCTGTTGGCCGAGCTGACTAACGCAGAACCAGAACATTCCAACTCTATATTCCAAGGAAGGTAAAAAAAAAAAAAAAAAAAAAAAAAGTTGAGGAAAATAAAAAGTACCCAAAAACTCTTAACTAAAATTTGGATTAGAATAAAATATCCTCAAATCAGAGGGACCTTCCTAGAATAAGCAATGCCGTGAGTTTTAAAGGATGAAAAAGGGTTCAGTTAAGCAAAGATGAAAAAGAAAGTCAAGCCATGAAACAGTGGCGCATGAAGAAGACATACAGGTGAAAAGATCATAATGGTGCAGAAATGCAAGGAGTTGGAGAAGGAAAAGATTTCAAACTAAAGGGGAGGTGGGATGAGGTCATTGGGGGCAGATCAAATGCCTACAAATTATTTCAAAATTTGCAATATACATATCTAATGAAAATCCTCCTTTAAAATTTGCTCCCTGTATGTGCCTCATCAGAATTGCTTATTTGGAACTAAGAGCGCTCATTAGGAAATACAGTATTTCCACATTGTTTCTATTATTTTAAAAGGATAACATGAGTTGACCTTTCTCCCAATTTTTCTATTCATTTTATGAGACAAACAAGTCTTGGCACAGAGGAAGGTGAGGTTCAGACTTTTTCTATGCAGTTCTTTCAACAGACATCAAAAACTCTCTCTATATTAAAACATATTATATATAGGAGTGTAGGGAGGGTGCAAACCACAATATAAAATAAAGCTCAAGTTAATTTATTCTTAGTCTGGAAAGTTGACCAAACTTCTGATTCTGGATTTTTTATTTTCAAAAAATACAGTCTGTGGCAATGATTTCCAATAATTGTGTTATTTTAACACATGAAAACAAATAGACCACAATGCTCTATTAAGGATCAAACAAACAAAAAATGTCTCATATATTTATCTAGAGGAATGGCTCCTTCTTCAAGCAATAGGTGTGCTTATTTTCTTGATTAAAAAAATAAAGTAAAATATTTAGCAGTATTTTATGTATGCTAAGAAACGCATTTGCACATTTTGAGATCTCTGCATTTGAGAGGATTTAAAAATTAACGACTGGTCAGGCAGCAGTCAGGATGCAGGTGTCATTTCCTCAGAAAGCCTAAAATTAGTCATAGTTGTTCATATGGTCTTCAAATCAATTGAGTTATGTGCATTATTAACACTACATGTGTTATGCTTTATTGATCCTTAAAATATCTTCAAAAAGATGACCCTGATTCAGCATGGAAACAAAAATGTATATGAACATAAAAGTATGGCAAAAAAGCAGATTGATATTTGATTAAAATAAATTCATGGCAAGATAGCAGAAAAGTTCCTTTGTAATGGGTGAATAAAAGTTTCAAAACATGTATTAACTAACCAAATCATTTAACTATTAATTTTCTGATTTTAAAATAATTGCTGATTTTATATGTCTATTTTGGCAGCATCAGAATTGTATTATAATATAGACATATGGTTAGGGTCATTTTCTGTGTTTTTTTTTTAAGAGCAATTACGTATAGTAAGATCCATTTTCTAAGTTTCAAACATGGTCTCAGAACACTGTAACATTGACAATATTTCTTGGGTTTGCATGAAGAAACAATGCAAGCGATGAAATGATAGTTTAACCTGTGGATCATGTTGGTAAATAAAATCAGATTGCTAAATGAAAAAAATATTTGTTTCTACTTTCTTTAAAATTAATATGGTTGTATAAAATAAAATTGTTAATGCTATGTTTTAGGGTATATAATATATGGAGATATAGTGCATATATAAACAGTGAGATGAAGAATGGCACATGAGTGTTGAATAGGCCTAGGTTGAAAGGTTTCTGCATTTATGTAGAGTGATAAAATATTAATTCTAAGTAGGCTGTGAAAAAAATTAAGGATGTATGTCTTAATCCTTATAACAACCAGTAAAAAATGTCAAAAGGAACAGAAAAAAAGTCAAAAATAAAATAATTTCTAATTTATTAAAGAGAAGAAGACAAGAGAGGTGAACAAAGTGAAGAAAAAACAGTGAGATCAAACAGAAAACAAGTACTTCTTTTGAGTTAAATCTAAACACAACACTAATTATGATAAATTTTAATAAACTAAAAACTCCATTTGAAAGTCAAAGATTATCAAATGGATAAAAAACAAGATTCACCTGTGTGTTGTCTACAAGAAGTATAAAGAAAGCACAGATATACAGAAACTCTAAGCAAATTAATAGAAAAAATATATATTATGCAAACAGTAAGCATAAGAAGATTGGAATGGTTACGTTAATATGAGACAAAATAGGCTGCAAGATAAAGAGTATTACCAGATAAAGAGGGGGCATTTCAGAATCACAAAAAGAGGTCAATTCATCAGGAAGAAATAGCAATAATAAATATTTATATTTCTAACAGCCTCAAAATACATGAAGCAAAATTGACAAAATGAAAGGGAAAAATAACAACTTCTAAACCACGGGAATGTATTTTAATGCCTCTTTCTCTCAACTATTAATGAAACAATCTACCAAAAAGTATATAAGACATAGAGCATCTGAAGACCACTCACAAATGCTTAATCTCATTGATATTTATAAAATATAATATGCAAAATCTTTATAATACACATTTTATACAAGTGCACATGATATGTTCACCAAGAAGTTGGAACATAAAATAAGTCTCAATTAATTTATAATGATGAAAGTCACATAAATTATCTCCTCTGATCATAATGGTTATTAAAGTAGGAATAAATGATAGTAAGATGTTTAGGAAACTACCAAATATTTGAAAATTAAATAATAATTGGTAAAATAAATCTATAATAAATAATCAATAAATCTATTGGTAAAAGAAAAGCATCACAAAGGCAAATAGAAAGTATTTCAAGCTGAATAATAGTAAAGACATATTATCTAAAACTTTTGGGGATACACATAAAATAATGCTTAGAAGTAAAATTTTTGTTTTATTTAAACAAAAAAAGTTTAAAGTCAAAAACCCAAGGTTCTACTCCATAAAAATAAAAATGAATCTAACAACTAGAAGAAAGACAATGAAGAAAATCAACGTTTTTAAAAGCTGGTTCTTTGAAAATAGTCAACAAAATTCATAAACAACAAGCTGAACCCATCAACAGAAAACAGAGGACAAAAATCACTAGTAATAGGAATTAAAGAGGAGTTGTCCATACAAGATCCTACAGATTAAAACAATAATAAGAGAATGTTATGAAAAATTTTGCCAACATATTAGTAATTTATAAGAAAATGATATATGGAGTTGTAAAGAAGAAATTCATATCCTACATAATTCTGTATCTACTACAGAAATTGAATACACTAACCCACAAAGAAAACTCTAGGCTTAGATGATTTTACTGGTAAATTCTACCAAATATTTAAGGATGAAATAACACTAATTCTAAGCAAACTCTTTCAGAAAATAGAGAGGCAGGGGAATATTTTTTAGGGAATTTTATAAGGACAACATTACCAAAACTAGACAAGACCTTAGAAATAAATAAGTCTACAGATCACCAGCATCATTTATAAACATAGGCATAAACACTCATGACAATGAATTAGCAAATCAAATACAGCAATGTATATTTATAAAAAATGATAGTACATAAACTAAGATCTAGTACATAGACTAGGTGGGATTTATCTCAAGAAGCAAATGTTAAAGCAGTTTAAAAACCAATCTAATTTATCATAATAATAGAATAGAGGAGAAAAGCCCTGTGATCAACTTAATAGAAGCAGTAGCATCAATTAAAAATTCATTATGTCTCAGAAAAGTAGTAGTTAATAGTAACTTCCTCATTCTGATCAAAGAAATCCTCAAAAAACTTACACAGGCACAGAAACACCATCACAGAGTTGCTATAGTAACATCTTTTTGAATTGAAATACTAACGACAGAGATATAACACTTGAAACAGACTCCAAGTGTTCATTTAGTTCGTATTAGTTTGTTCTCACACTGCCATAAAAGAATACCTGAGACTGGGTAATTTATAAAGGAAAAAGGTTTAATTGACTCAAAGTTCTGCAAGGCTGGGGAGACCTCAGGAAACTTACAATCATAGTGAAATGCAAAGGGGAAGCAAGCTTGGACCTTCTCATATGATGGCGGGAGAAAGAAGAATGACAGCAAAGGGGGGAGAGACCGTTATAAAACCATCAGATCTTGTGAGAACTCACTCACTATCACGAGAACAGCATGGGGGAAACTCCCCCTGAGCTAATCACCTCCCACCAGGTCTCACCCTAGACACATGGGGATTATGGAGATTATAATTCAAGATGAGATTTAGGTAGGAACACAGCCAAACCATATCACCATACCTCAGAGTTTTACTTTGTGCACTATATTATGTTAGTCTACTCTTGAGCTAACAATTCAAGTAGCAAATATGCTACCTCTGTGTATTCTTAACTTCAAGTACCTTAACTTCAAATGCCTACCCGCTACTTTTCCTCATCTGTACAATGGGAATAATAATAACATTCATCTCATGACGTTTTTATAAGGATGAGATGAGTTAACTTACCTGAGATGTTTAGAATAGCACTTGGTGTACAGTAAGTGCTTTGTGTGTTGTTTATTATAAAATATACAATAACTATCACATGAAACTGTTAATTGCTTATCATATCACAGAACTTGGATAAGAACCCCACAGAGTATCTGTCAGTCAGATTGTTGATGTTTACTGTCTCCTAACTGACATTATCTTGTTGAGATTTTTCTCCACTTATACTGATGTCATTTAAAATGACTACCTTTATTTTTTGTAATATGGGAATCTCCCTAGTAAACTTTAGTGTCACCACTTCATATATTCATAATATTTACATTTAGTTGGTTCCAATCTGTCTGAGTTGTAAAAAATCATTTTTGTGGAACTCAATATAATAGTCGGCATACTTTCAACAGTAGTTGATTGAGAATATTTCATAATGACAACAAACAAGTTTTGAATATAAATGAATTTTGATAAATTATTCATCAAATTATGAGTATTTGAATAATGGAAGAGCACTGGGCTATTGTAAGTGCTCACCCATGTCATACAATAAGTATACGATGTAAGGATTTTTATCAGGATCTTGTAGATGAGAAAAAGAAACTAAGAGAGCTTGAGTCATGTCTGGAGTCTCACTGCTAGTGAGGTTATAAATTCAAACTCAGGTCTGCTTGATTCCAGATACATTAATAGGTTGTTTCTCATAGTAATGTGTCAGACATATTACTCAGTAAGTTTACAGCCAAGACATGCTGCCTGTGTAGCACCTGGACAATAACTGAATTCCCCAGGTGCCTGTGTCACAAACCCTGAGAACTGGTGTTTTACACCACTCAGCACTGCATGCTTTATCTGGCTATGAATTACCCATCACATTTCTACAATAACACACATGGCTCCCACTTCATTGACTTCCTGCAGCTTGGCAAAAGTGATCCCTGAAAGCCTGCTTACCTCTTCAACTTTTGATAAAACTAGAATACATCCTTCTGAGCTGGCATGATTACTTACTTTTTGTTTCTTCACAGCAGGTTTCATAACATATCTTGTAACACCCCAGTTCATTATGTATTTTGCTTGGAAATTAATTGCATCTTAGCAGCAGGTCCATCCTTCACCATTGATTATTTCTCTCCCTCTACTTTTTTGGGATTTTTGTTCCAGTCATATTTGTCTTTAACTAATATTTTTATTTTTAAAAAATTTCTGTTATGTAAACACAACTTGACAATCAGAAATGCACACTTACATTCTCAGCTTGACAGTATGCCGCATATGCTTTAAGTATAGGACTTTCTTTTCCTTTTCAAATTAGAAACACGTAATTTTACTTAAAAAGTAGTGCAAGTAACAAATACAAAAGAATTTAATCTAGAAAACATAAGCTCTATTACCTTTCACTGTCACTTCTATAATAGGTAAATGCACATTGAAATTTGGATATTATCAAATTGCCATCTTAAGAGTTTATATCTATTTCACTAACACCTACAACAAATGAACTTGCCAGTTTCCACATACACTAACTGTATGAGTTGGGGTTCAAATAGGAAAACAGGTATCTCTACATTTATTTATTTGTTCATTTGAGACAGGGTCTCACTCTGTTGCCCAGGCTACTGTGCAATGCCATGATCACCACTCACTGCAGCCCGGAACTTCTGAGCTCCAGCAATCCTCCCACTTGAGCCTCCCTTGTAGCTCGGACTACAGGCCTGCACCACCACACCTGGATAAATTTTTTAATTTTTTGTAGAAATGGGGTCCCACTCTGTTGCCCAGGCTGGCCTTAAACTCCTGGGCTCAAGGTATCCTCCTGCCTGGGCCCCTCTACATTTAAAATAGGAAGTTTGTGACACAGATAATTGAAGAGTTGAGAAACCAAACCAAGTGTGGTCAAGTGATTCTGGGATTTACTAATTAGAAGGCTTACTGTTAGAAGGCTACTGCTATTACTCCTATGTGGTATGAATTTATGGTATGTCAAGCTGGGGATTAAGGTGGGTACATGCGGAGTGATAGCCTTGGTAAGAGGAGAATTTTGTCATTGACATTATTTAGAATTGCTAGCACATAGATATAATAAAAACAGACTGGTTGTTAGTTTCAATATGATTTTAAATTATCTTCCGACAAGGTACTCCCTTATAGCCCACACCTACTGCTCCAATGTTTTGCATTGGGTATGACACTGGTGGAGGGACAGTGGGAGGATGAGGTCTTACCAGAGCCAGGAAGCTGAATGTATCAGCTAGAAACAAAGCCAAGGAAGCAGTGTTGCTGGCCACAGCCACTACACTACAAAGAGGGAGGTAAGAAATAACCTGACTTACTCTTTTGGTTCAACCTGCAGTCTTCCACCAGTTCATTACTTTGTCAAAAGCGGCTAGAAGGCAATGGATATTAGCCGCTGGGTAATGTGCTCTGTAAGCGCCAGCCCTCCTACCATGAAGAACACAGAAGAGAATTAGCAAAAACTGGAGTGAAGAGTACATAGGCAAATAACCAGCACACTCCAGACTCTAGAAATCACCAAGTGTGTCAATATTTTCCACTCTAGCAGAGAAATAAACATCATTGTTTTCCTGTGATTGGTAGTTGGGTCAAGTGATTTTAAATGTCCATTGCTCATTTGTTGTCCTTTTTTTTCTGAATTGCCAGCTTATGTAATTAGTAAATTTTTATATTGGGTTATGTGTAAATCTTTTAAAAAATTTCTTCAGTAGAACTTCTTTATCCATTTTTGATAATAACTCTCGTTCATATTTGTAACAATGAACCCCATTTTGCCTTTCGCTTTTGTGTCATATGCTATTCAGAAGTTTTAAATTTTATTTTGTCGTGTGTGTCAATCTTTGTTATTATGTCATTCTTTGGAAGGTCTCCTGTAACCCAATATTACAAAAACTGTCTTCTTATATTATTTTTATATTTTGATGGCTTTATTGTTCCTGTTTAATTTTTTAGTTCTTGTAAAATAGATTGGGGACTGTGGTAGTTAAAGATTGAAATTAATTTTTGTTTTCTAACAACATAAAGTTTTCTCAACATGACTTATTAAGTAATCTATTATTTCCTCACGTATGAAATATTACCATTGCCATACTTAAAATGTGTTTTAAAGAGTAATCTTAAACATAATTAAACAAAACTGAAACTTAAACTTGATTGCCTATTTTTATGAAGGTAGTAGCTTTAATCTTTGGGGGGATTAAAAATAATTACAAATAAGCCAGCATGGCTTGAATATAACAATGGTACCTGATTTCACAATACCATTTCTGATAAACTGGCTAATGTTTTTGTCATTGCCTTTGGTTGCTTTGTCTGTCTTCTTTCTAATTTTTGCATAACTGACCAAAAGCTATGTTAGTGATTCCCTGTGGCTCAAATATAAGTAAAATACCATTTTGTTCTAGAAAATATATGTTAAACAAACGTTCAAAATTCCTGTGGTGATTTAAAAGATATTCTCAGCAGCTAACATGGTAGTCGATGAGAAAAAACTAAAAGCTTTTCTCTATAATCAAGAAGATGGGAGGCTCACTTTTGGCACTTCTATTGAACATAATACTTAAAGTCCTAGCCAGAAAAATTAGGCAAGAAAGTTCAGTAAAAGCCATCCAGATTGTAAAGGAAGATGCAAAAGTTTTTCTATTCACAGATAGCATGATCCTATATGTAGAAGACCTTAAAGATTCTACATACACACAAAACCAAACCAAAATAAAAAATTCTGTCAGAACTAATAAATGAATTCAATAAATTTGTAAGCTGAAAAATAAGTACACAAAAATTGTGTTTTTATACAGTAACAATGAACAATCCAAAAAGGAAATTAAGAAAACAATTCCATATACACTGCAAAAAAATGTTCTTGAATCCCTATGGAATCTCAAGAGACATCAAAGAGCCTAAACAATAATAAAAAGGAGCAACTCTGGAGGCCCCACACTTTCTTATTTCAAAACATATTTCAAAGGTACATTGATCAAAACCATATAGCACTGGCATAAAGACAGACATATAAACCAATGGAACTGAATAGACAGCCCAGAAATAAATCCTCACATATATAGTAAAATGATTTTCAATAGGGTGCCAAAGACCACTCAATGGGGAAATGACAGTCTCCTAAAAAAAAAAAAAAGGTGCTGGAAAAACTGTATAACCATGCAAAAGAATGAAGTTGGACCTTTATCTTATATCATATACAAAAATTAACTCAAAATGGATCAAAGACCTAAACATAAGATCTAAAACCACAAAACTCATAGAAGAAAACATAGGTAAAACCTTCATGCAATTGGATTTGGCAATGATTTATTGGGTATGACATTAAAAGCACAGGCAACAATTAAAAAATAAATAAATAGAATCACATCAAAATTTAAAACTTTTGTGCACCGAGGGATACAATCGACAGAATGAAAAAGCAATCCACAGAATGGAAGAACATACTTTCAAATAATATACCTGATAAAGAATTGATATCCAGAATACATAAAGAACTCCTACAACAACAAAACTAACAACCAATTTTAAAATGGACAAAAAAGTTAATAGATATTTCTCCAAATAAAATATATAAATAGCCAAAAGCATATAAAAAGATGTTCAACATCAGTGATCATTAGGGAAATATAAATTAAAGCCGAATGAGATACTACCCCCTATCTATTAGGATGACTACTATTAAAAAACTACAGGAAATAAGTGTTGGTGAGGAGATGAACAAATTAGAATTCTTCACTACTGTTGGTGGGAACGTAAAGCAGTATAGTAACTATGGAAAGCAGTATAATAGTTTCTAAAAAATAAAAATAAAAATAGGCTGGGCACGGTGGCTCACACCTGTAATCCCAGCACTCTGGGAAGCTAAGACAGATGGATTACGAGGTCAAGAGATCAAGACCATCCTTGCTAACATGCTGAAACCCCGTCTCTACTAAAAATACAAAAATTAGCTGACATGGCAGTGAGTGCCTATAGTCCTAACTACTCAGGTGGCTGAGACAGAAGAATTGCTTGAATCTGGGAGGCAGAGGCTGCAGTGAGCTGAGATTGTACCACTGCAGTCCAGCCTGGGCAACAGAGCGAGACTCCGTGTCAAAAAGAAAAAAAATCAAAAATAGAATTACCATATGATTCATCATTTCCACTCCTTAAAGAAATATTTGTACACCCATGTTCATAAAGTATTATTCACAGTAGTCAAAAGGTGGAAACAACTCAAGTGTCCATCAATAGATGAATGAATAAACAAAATGTGGCACATAATGACAATGGCACATTACACAATGTTAAAAAGAAAGGAAACTTTGACACATATTACAGCATGTATGAACCTTGAGGATATACTAAGTGCAATAAGCCAGTCACTAAAGGATAAATATTGTATGATTCCACTTATATGAGATACATAGAGCAGTCAAATTCATAGAAACAGGAAGATAATGGTAGTTCCAGGGGTGGGGTAATGGGGAATTATTGTTTAATGGGTACCGCATTTCAGTTTTAAAAGATGAAAAATGTTCTGAAGATGGTTGGTGGTGATGGTTTCATAATGGTGTCAATTTACTTAATGCCACTGAATTGTACTCTTAAAAATGATTAAGATGGTCAACTTTATGTTACATGTTACATGTGTTGCCACAACTTAAAACATATTTGAGGGAATAATTGAGGAAAATTTCCCCAGCCTTGCTAGGGACCTAGACATCCAAATACAAGAAGCTCAAAGAACACTTGAGAAATTCATCACAAAAATATCATAGCCTAGGCACAGCATCATCAGGTTATCTAAAGTCAAGATGAAGGAGAGAATCTGAAGAGCTGTGAGACAAAAGCATCAGGTAACCTATAAAGAAAAACCTATCAGATTAACAGCAGATTTCTCAGCAGAAACCCTACAAGCTAGAAGAGTTTGGGGTCCTATCTTTAGCCTCCATAAACAAAGTAATTATAACCCAAGAATTTTGTATCCAGTGAAATTAAGCTTCATAAATGAAGGAAAGATATAGTTTTTTTCAGACAAGAAAATTATGAGAGAATTCACCACTACCAAGACAGCACTGCAAGAACTGCTAAAAAGAGCTCTAAATCTTGAAACAAATCCTCAAAATACATGAAAATAGAATTTCCTTAAAGCATAAATCTCACAGGACCTATGTAACAGCAATACAATCAAAGAAAACCAAGGTATTTGGGCAACAAATAGCACAATAAATAGAATAGTACCTCATATCTCGATACTAACATTGAATGCAAATGGCCTAAATGCTCCCCTTAAAAGATACAGAATAGCAGAATGGATAAGAGTTCACCAACCAAGTATCTGCTGTCTTCAAGAGACTCACTTGAAACATAAGAACTCACATAACCTTAAGGTAAAGGGATAGAAAAAGACATTTCATGCAAATGGACACCAACAGCAAGCAGGAGTTAGTTGTATCAGACAAAATAAACTTTAAAGCAATAGCAGTTAAAAAATACAAAGAAGGAAATTATATAATGATAAAAGGACTAGTCTGACAGGAAAACATCACAATCCTCTCTCTCTTTCTCTCTCTCTCTCTCTCTCTCTCTCTCTCTCTGTCTCTCTCTCTCTCTCTCTCTCTATATATATATATATATATATATATATATATACACACACACCTAACACTGGTGCTCCCAAATTTATAAAACAGTTCTACTAGGCTGAAGAAATGAAACAGACGCAGCACAATAATAGTGGGGGACTTCAATACTCCGCTGACAGCACTAGGCAGGTCATCAAGACAGAAAGTCAACAAATGGATTTAACCTATGCTCTACAACAAATTCGCTTAGCAGATATTTACAGAACATTCTACCCAACAACTGCAGAATATTACATTCTATTAATGAACACATGGAACATTCTCCAAGATAGACTACATGACAGGCCACAAAACAAGACTCAACACATTTAAGAAATTCAAAATTATAGCAAGTACTGTCACAGGCCACAGCAGAATAAAGTTGGAAATCAACTCAGAAGGAACCCTCAAAACCATGAAATTACATGGAAATTAAATAAACTTCTCCTGAATGATCACTGGGTCAACAATGAAATCAAGATGAAAATGTAAAAATTATTTGACTCGAACAATAGCAGTTACACAACCTATCAAAACATATGGGATACAGCAAAGGCAGTGCTAAGAGGAAAGTTCATAGCATTAAGTGCCTACATCAAAAAGTCTGAAAGAGCACAAATAGACAATCTAAGGACATACCTCGAGGAACTAGAGAAATAAGAACAAATTAAACCCAAACAAGGCAGAAGAAAAATATAACCAAGATCAGAGCAGAGCTAAATGACATTGAAACCAAAAAACAATGCAAAATATAAATGAAACAAAAAGCTGGTTCTTTGAAAAGATGAATCAAAGTGATATACCATCATCAAGATTAACCAAGAAAAGAAGAGAGAAGACCAAAATAAGCTCAATTAGAAATGAAATGGGAGATGTTACAACTGATACCACAGAAATACAAAAGATCTTTTAAGGCTAGTATGAACACCTCCATGCACCTAAACTAGAAAACCTAGAGGATATGGATAAATTTCTGGAAATATACAACCCTCCTAGATTAAGCCAGGAAGAAATAGAAACTCTGAACAGACAAAAAACAAGCAGTGAGTTTGAAATAGTAATTAAAAAGTTACCAACAACAACAAAAAGTGCCCAGTACCTGATGGATTCACAGCTGAATTCCTATCAGATATTCAAGGAAGAGTTGGCACCAATCCTATTGACACTATTCCACAGGATAGAGAAAGACTGACTCCTCCCTAAATCATTCTATGAATCAAGTTTCACTCTAATACCAAAACCAGGAAAGGACATAACAAAAAAAGAAAACTATAGACCAATATTCGTGATGAACATAGATACAAAATCCTCAACAAAATACTAGCTAACTGATCCTGACAGCATATCAACAAGGTAATCCACCATAATCAAGTGGGTTTCATACCAGGGATCCAGGGATGGTTTAACATCCACAAGTCAATGAATGTGATATACTACATAAATTGAATTGAAAACAAATATCACATGATTATTTCAATAGATACAAAAAAAGCATTTGACAAAATCCAGCATCTCTTTACGATTAAAACCCTCAGCAAAATTGGCATAGAAGGGACATACGTTAAGGTAAAAAAAGTCATTGATGACAAACTTCCAGCCAACTTTATACTGAATGGGGAAAAGTTGAAAGCATTCCCCCTGAGAACTGGAACAAGACATAGATGCCCACTATCACCACTTCTATTCAACATAGTACCGGAAGTCATGGCCAGAGCAATCACACAAAAGAAAGAAATAAAGGGCATCCAAAACAGTAAAGAGGAAGCAAACTGCTACTATTTGCTGATTATATCATTGTATACCTAGAAAACCCTAAAGACTCATCCAAAAAGCTCCTAGAACTGGTAAATTACTTTAGCAAAGTTTCGGGATACAAAATTAATGTACATAAATCAGAAGCCCAGCTATACACCAACAGCAACCAAGCAGAGAATCAAATTAAAAAGTCAACCCCTTTTACAATAGCTGCAAAAATAAAATAAATTCCTTAGGAATATACTTAGCCAAGGAGGTGAAAGACCTCTACAAGGAAAACTACAAATCATTGCTGAAATAAATAATGGATGGCACAAACAAATGGAAACATATCCCATGTGACATGTTTTGCTGTCTCTCCATCCAAATCTCATCTTGAATTCCCACATGTTGTGGGATGTGGGAGGGACCCAGTGGGAGGTAATTGAAACATGGCGGCAAGTCTTCCCTGTGCTGTTCTCATGAAGTGAATAAGTCTCACAAGACGTGATGGCTTTAAAAAGAGGAGTTCCCCTGCACAAGCTCTCTCTCTTTGCCTGCTGCCATCCATGTAAGATGTGCCTTGCTATTCCTTGCCTTCTGCCATGATTGTGAGGCTTCCCTAGCCACGTGGAACTGTAAGTCCAATTCAACCTCTTTCTTTTGTAAATTGCCTAATCTCAAGTATGTTCTTATCAGCAGTGTGAAAACAGACTAATACGCCATGCTCATGTATGGGTAAAATCATTATTGTGAAAATGACCATATTGTCAAAAGCAGCCTACAAATTCAATGCAATTCCCATCAAAATACCACCATCATTCTTCACAGAATTAGAAATGACATTCCTAAAATTCGTATGGAACTAAAAAAGAGCGCTCATAGCCAAACCAAGCCTAAGGAAAATAACAAATCTGGAGGCATTATATTACCTGATTTCAAACTACACTGTAAGGCTGTAGTCACCAAGACAGCATGTACTGGTATAAAAACAGGCATATAGACTGATGAAACAAAATAGAGAACTGGAAATAGAGCTAAATACTTACATTCAACTGATCTTTGACAAAGCAAACAAAAACATAAAGTGGGGAAAGAGTACCCTATTCAACAAAATGATGCTGGGATAATTGGCAAGCAACATGTAGAAGAATAAAACTGGGACCTCTTCCCTCACCTTATAAAAAATCAACTCAAGATGGATCAAGGACTTAAACCTAAGACCTGAGGCCATAAAAATATCTAGAAGATATCATTGGAAAAACCTTTCTAACATTGGCTTAAGCAAAGACTTGATGACCAAGAACCCAAAAGCAAATGTGACATAAACAAAGATAAATAGATGGGACTTAATTAAGCTAAAAAGCTTCTGCACAGCAAAAGAAATAATCAGCAGAGTAAACAGACAACCTAGAGAGTGGGAGAAAATCTTTGCAAGCTATGCATCGAACAAAGGACTAATATCCAGAGTCTACAAGGAACTCAAACAAATCAGCAAGACAAAAAACCAAACAATCCCATCAAAGAGTGGGCTAAGGACATAAATAGACAATTCTTAAAAGAAGATATACAAACAGCCAACAAATATATGAAAACATGCTCAACATCACTAATTATTAGAGAAATGCAAATTAAAACCACAATGTGATACCAACTTATTTCTGAAAGAATGGTCATAATTAAAAAATCAAAGAAGATGTTGGTGTGGATGTGGTGAAAAGGAAACACTTTTACACTGCTGTTGGGAATGTAAACTAGTACCCCATATGGAAAATAGTGTGGAGACTCCTTCAAGAACGAAAAGTAAATCTACTATTTGATCCAGCAATCCCACTCATGTGTATCTACCCAGAGGAAAAGAAGTCATAATATAAAAAAGATACTAGCAAGTGTTTATAGCAGCACAATTCGCAATTACAAAAATACGGAACCATCCCAAATGCCCATTAATCAATGAGTGGATAAAGAAAATGTGCATATATATATATATATATGTGTGTGTGTGTGTGTGTGTATATATGTGTGTGTGTATATATATGTGTATATATATATGTGTGTATATATATGTGTGTGTGTGTATATATATATACACACACACATACCTACACACACACATACACATGCATACTATGGAATACTACTCAGCCATAAAATAAATGAAATAATGGCATTTGCAGCAACCTGGATGGAACTGGAGACCATTATTCTAAGCGAAGTAACTCAGGAAGGAAAAACCAAACATCATATGTTCTCACGCATAAGTGGGAGCTAAGCTGTGAGGACCCAAATGCATAAAAATGATACACTGGCCTTTGGGGACTTGGGTGAAAGGGCGGAATGGGGGCGAGGGATAAAAGACTACACATTGGGCAAAGTGTACAGTGCTTGGGTGATGGGTGTACCAAAAGCTGAGAAATCACCACTAAAGAAGTCATTCATGTAACCAAACATCACCTATTCCCCAAAAACCTATTGAACTAAAAAAAAAATAAAAAAGAAGAAGAAATGTTCACAAAACCTTTGACACTGGTTGCATTAAGAGATAGAGCATATTTTCCCTCCATTTGACAATATGCTGGCCTCAGTGAGTCACTTCTACTATTTACAATGCTGCAGAAGTGTTGCTGTGTTTTTGAAGACTAGTTAAGAAAATACAATAAGGGTTCCTCTGAGCTCTATCTTTCGGGATACTCCTCCCTTGAAACCTTGCTGTTCTGCTCTGAGGAAGCCTGAGCTACATGTAGAAACCATGTGTAAGGGTTCTCTGCCCAATAGCCGGGCCTGTGAGTGAGAAATCTTTTGATAACTCCAGTCTCAGACACTGAGTGCAGTCATATAAGAGACTCAGCTAACTTCTGCACAGTCAACCCTCAAACCATGAAGCTAATATTAATAAATGAGTGTTGTTTTTGTTGTACACCATTATGTCTGTGGTGATTTTTAGTGTAGCATTAACAATCAAAACAACTGCCAAGAGCATAAGCTAAGAAATCAAAGGGACTAGTACTTGGATTTAAGCTTAACGATTTCCAGCTATATGACTTTAGAATTGTCACTTTAAATTATCTGTAAATTGAGAATAAAAGTATCTATTTCATAAAATTGGCTTGGGTATAAATGAAATGTACACAAAGTATCCTTCACAGGATCTGGAGCATAACTAGCCCTTGACACTTTACATAGCGCTGAGTCTTATTATTGTCATTATTATAAAACTTTGAGTGCACCCTAATTAAAATAATTTACATATACGTTTCTACTAAAAATTCCCAAGTTCTGTCATTCATTAATCAAAGTTAAATATTTCTTCTAATATTAATGTTGACTCCCAAATATAGGCTAGATTCCCATTCTAGTTGAATATTGACTTTTCAAATATAATTTTTCTATATGTGGAAGGCACAGAACTAAAATACATTGTGTAGATTTTCTGTCTGTATTTTCTGCAGAATGTTTAGAAATCTTTGAATGTCCAAGAAAGCAATGCATTGCTCTTTGTGGCCGTCCAAACCTTATTAGAAAAATCTTAATTCCTCTTAGCATTAAAATTTATATTATAATTAGACCTTCACCCATTTGAAAATATCCACTGGCCATTCGTTTAAAGTAGAAAAGAAAAAGGAAAAGATTTCCTCTGGAGCAGTTGCATGGTTGTATATGTGGAGCATTATCAATCTCATATATTTTAAGACTTGTAAACTACAGAGGCACTGAAACTATTGCCAAGTCTATAGAAACTATGTTTGTAAACAAAATCTCAGAAGATTGAGGAACTTCTTTACAAACTCAATACAATGCAATGTGATGCAAATAGATCTATTTCCTTTCATTTCTTCTGTTAAAATATGAGATGGTTACTACCACATTCTTTACAAGTGGGAAAAATCATCTGTAAGGAACTCAACCATAAAAAGTGTAATCACCAGCAAATTTTTCTTTAGCATAGGAAGCACTATTTTCTAATTTCTTGCTCATGATAAAAGACTAGAAATGAAACAGTTTCTGTGTGGTTATGTAAGATGTTATGCCTAAAAATCCTATTAAAAATGCCAAAAGTGCCTGGAGATTGTAGTGCATTAAATGAGTTTGCATTGTTCCTTATACCTCTCAGACTTCTGTGTCAAAATTTTTAGCACACAAACGATTCTTTATTATACGATCTCAAATACAGGATCTCAACTGCATAGCAAGATAATTTTATTCTGTTTCAATATTAGAGTTGAGAGTCTATACCACAGTAAGAGAACAAGGAAGTTCCATTTACTTTCCAGAGGTAATATTTGTAAACTCAAAGACATTAAAAAGAGAAAAATGGCTGAGATGCTATATTCATCCTAATAGTGTTTATGTAAGTCTGGTGAAACACATTTACCTTTAAGAGCCACATAAATGCTTTGCAAATATCTGTAAAGTTCAGGAGAAAGCCTCAAAGCCCTCGTTATTTTTGTGACAGTGATAGGTGAATGATAAACCCCTTTGCTATGTAAGGAACTTTGAAGCAAGAATAAAGTCTCAACCTTTAGAAAATTAACCTTTGCAGACATTCTTTGCTGTCACTAATATGTAGGTTATCACATTGGCCAAATTTCTCCTCAAGGTATGGCAGTCCCACATTTTCACTGCTCAGCTTGTTCAGTACTGTCTAATTAACAGCTATTCCTCTCTTTTCAGGTCTTTTCTTACTTGAATGTTAGTTTCTATAGCAGAGTCCCAGATAGTCAGCGACCCTGCAGCAATGATCAAGAAAAGGGCTCCAACAGCTGGTGTGAACATTCTGAAGCCAATTAGCTCATGGTTCATTCCTCTCCCATCCTCCATCACAGCAAATGAAGACTGCCTCCTCTTGCCTTTATCCTATAGTCCTGGTCATGCTTCTTGTCTTTTAGGACATACAAACCACTATTTCCTTTTTGTTCTGCCTTTAAACTTGGGGAGGGGAGAGTAGAGAAATAAGGTGGGGGTGCGAGAGGCTATGATCAAGAGATGTACCTGGTAAGAGAGGACTGCTTTCTCTAATCCCTAGAAATTGCAATCTTTAGCATTTCCTCTAAAGATTGAGATTGCTACAAGAATTATTATTCAAATAAGCTTTCAGAAGAATGATTTTGAATATTTCAGCTTGCTTTATAATAATGAAAATTTTTCTGTTTGATTTTTAGTGATAGATTTTGAAAACATCCCTGAAAGCCCTTCTAAATTTTAAGTCAAATAAAAACATAGTCAAAAATATATTTAGCACTTTGAGTGATTAGTAGATTCATTTTGCATGGTCTAAATTTGGAACAGGGTTACATTTTTTATATATTAATATTTTCATAAGTGAAAGCTCCCTATATAATGTTTTATATATGTTTTGTGTTTATGATGAACAGAACTAGAAAAGTATTTTTGTTAATACTGCCATAATCTAATCCACCTGTGCAGCCCCAGGGATTTAGATTTTTTCTTTTACTATAGGAATTCCTAGTCAGATAAAATGTTTTATTACATATGTAGGCTGCCACAAAACTATATTAAGTGTGCCAAAGGCAACGAGGTTAGGTGGTCATTTTCATTTCTCAGGACAGCCAATTGTAATTACACATGAATCTCATAAAGTTGGGGGAAAAAGACACATGTTCCCTTTCCTGCATACTACTTGAGGGGAATGGGCTAAGGTGTGCCCGTTTTCTTTCTAGCTGGTATGGCAGTGTCCTCAACGTGTCTAAACACAATATACCCTGACTCCATGATTAGAAACTTCAAGTATATTGTTTTCACTTCTGTTTCTACATTCAGCACAGATTTATTAAACTTTCCATGCATCAAGATTGTAAGAAAAAGGAGTCGGTGATACAAAAGTACATAATTCCATTATTGAACAGTTCATGATCTAATGAATTCTCCAATAGTTTTGGCTCCAAAGGTCTAGTTGTACTCACCTCTTTTTTATTTGTTGTTGTTGTTGTTTACAGGTACATAAATGATATATGAAGGTTCATTTTAAAAATCTGAACAAAAAAGAAGTGTATACTATGAATATTAAATGTTCTCTTCTACTTTGACCTACACCCTATTCCATATCCTTCCCTTCCCTAAAACTAGCCCCTTTAACATGAAGTACGTTGTTCTGATACTTCTTTATACTTCTTCTTGATGCTAAGACATCCTTTTTCTAGGCATTTGCATATCTATTACTGGAAATGACACGTTAAAATGAAATTTTCTAGGTCTTAACATTTTAACTGAAGACTCAGTCTTAATTATCTCAAAGCCAAGAAAATGGGGTGCCAATTAAGGGCAAATTATAAGTTAAACTTTTAAACCATTTGCAAAGAGGGTGGCTACGTCTAGCTCAACGACTGGCTTGTCCTCAGTTACATGACAGGTTATACCCTCTTTTTTCTCAAAAAAAAGAACATAGAAATCACGTCACAGCATACTAAATATCCCTTTAAAGAAATTCATATTCTCCAATTCCTTTAGAAACCTAATGGATTCTACCATTCTTTTATATATTTGGAGGTAAATAATAGGCAAAACTTGGGATAAGCAGTTGTAGAACTTGGCCTTTTGGAGTCTGAGAATATGGTCTGATAAAAACTTGAAATCTCCACCGGGCATGGTGGCTCACGCCCATAATCCCAGCACTTTGGGAGTCTGAGGCAGCCAGGTCGCCTGAGGTCAGGAGTTCCAGACAAGCCTGGCCAACATGGTGAAACCTGTCTCAACTAAAAATAAAAAAATTAGCTGGGTGTGGTGGCACACATCTGTAATCCCAGCTTCTGGGGAGGCTGAGACAGGAGAATCGCTTGAACCCGGGAGCCGGAGGTTTCAGTGAGCCGAGATCATGCCACTGCACTCCAGCCTGGGTGACAGAGTGAGACTCCATCTCAAAAAAAAAAAAGAAAAAAAAACCTTGAAATCTCAAGAGGTGAATTTTGAGTAGAATTGCTCGAGAAAGAGAGATTACAGAGAGATATATGTTTAATACACACAACAAGAAGAAAAAGATGTGTGTTTCTCAGATATATACTCTGCCAAAGGAAGAAAAACACGGTTAATCTTTAATGAATCCCTTTGAAGTGTATTTCACACAGGATGAGATGGCCCCTACAGAGGGATGGAACTCAGAAAAATCAGTGCTGAGGAAATAGATATATAATAAGGTAAAGGAGGCATTGCCTTTACATAGAGCTTCAGCCTGAGCCCCTCACCAGAGAAAATCACCCAAGAAACATATAAATAAATTTCATGAGAAAATTAGCCAGCATTGTCAACATGATACGCAAAAAGCCCCAATGGCAGCCAATAAGTTAAGACTTTTTATATCCCTCACCTTCTTTCCCTGTTACAACTCTACGGGAGCCAAGCACATAAGCAGGGGTAGTCGATGAACGAGGTGGTGAAAAAGTGAAGAAGACCTAAATGTTTCCCTTTCTAACGCAGGTTTAAAAATTTAAGGAAGCCCAAGTTGGATTGAAAAAATATTTAAATTTAATCAAAGATAGAAACTTTGCCATTAGGTTACACTAGATCATTTAATAAAGGAGACACAGGTTATACATGAATCCTCGAGGTTTCTCACAAGAGCTATGGGATCTGCCAAATATTACATCCAGAGGAGGGAAGAGTAAGTTGATGATTGGGCTTAATGGAGTAGCATGAAGTAAAAATAAGTTGTTTTCTTTTTATATTCTATTGATTCCAGAACATTCAATAAACCAATTACATAGATAACATGTATACTTATTTAGTTTGGGGATATGAGGCAAAATATTATTTTATAAATATGTATAATCTAATGATATTTTTATATATAGCAATATCTAATGATATATATGTATATATATAAAATCTTCATTTAATTTTCTTTTGTGAACAATTATTCTCAGAAATATTGGCAACTCAATAACAGCCAATTTACCCTTTTTTTAGTGCTTTTCAACATTCAATATTCAACATTTAATAGTATTCATGTCAGTGGGCATGTCTTCAATTGCACCTAAGAGAAAATCAACTCAACGTAGGTTATTAAATAATAAGGGACAATTATCTCACCAAAGAGGATACACAAGACAAGGCAACCCTAAGGTTGATAGATTTGTCAGCTCATCGGTGTCCTTCAAAGCCCAGGGTCTTGCCATTGCCTTCTGTGCCACATTAGCAAGATGGTGTGGTACACAAGTCAGCTCCAGCAGTGGTTACAAAATGGCTGCCAGATATCAACCCAGACTTGACCATGTCCACCAGAAAAACATTTCTTCTTGTTTGTCTTTTTTTTTTAAGTTCATGAGAGCTTTCCCTAGAAGCCCCTCTCTTCATATCCCATTAACCACTTGTAAATCAATTTTTCCCACAGTTAATAGAATTACCATTCTATTAACTCAGAATAATCAAGATCGATCATTATGTTGAAGAAAAAGTTACCTTCTCTGAACAAAAAGCTGTAAAAGAGAAGGCAAAAGCCTGCAAGTAAAATAGAGCTTTGCTAGTATTCTAATCTATATGGGCTGCTATAACAAAGTGCCATAGACTGTCTGGCTAGTAAAAAAAAAAACAGAAATGTATTTATCATAGTTCTAGAGGCTGGAAGTCTGAGATCAGGGTGCCAGCATGGTCAAGCTCTGGGGAAGACCCTATTCCAGGTTCTGTATGCCCCTCTTCCCATTGTATCCTTACATGGCAGAAAGAGGGATAACAACTCACTGGGGCCTCTTTTACAAGGGCACTAATCTTATTCACAAGGGCTCCACGTTTACGATCTAATCACCTCCCAAAGGGTCCACCTCCTAATATCATCATATTGGTGGGTAGGATTTCAACAAAAGAATTTAGGGAAGGACACAAACATTCAGTCTATTGCAGTCAGCAATAAAGAAAAATTAAACATTGTTATGTATAGTGTCAGAAAGGGTACTGGCAATAAATCAATGGTTCACTGAAACCTTGAGGAGAGTTAACTATAGGAACTATTTACAAAGGTGTGAGTGGGCCTTAAAAAACCAGACAATGGATAGTGCAGAACTTTGTGGCTCACTATAGCAGGGAGCTGTTACCACCTCAGGCCTGAAAAAACAAGGAAAGTTTTCTACCAGAATGGGGACCTGACTGAAATTGTGGCCTGTATGAGAGAGAAGCATCTAACCCACAGTGACTTAGCATGGAAGGAGTCAGTATAATAAATATTCAGCCTTATTCTAATCATCCTTCCACTTACTAGTGAGGCCCAAACAGAAGCAAAAGTCTGTGGTTGTACTCCACAGAGTTTAGCTTCCAAGGTCCACACAAGATAGACATAGGTAGAAAGTGAAGATCTGGAGGAGAAATGGAAAATACCCAACACAGATCCCAACAATCATAATTACTACTAAAAGTATAGCAAATGTTAACAGAAAAACTATTTTGTATCAGAAATAGTGTCTGCTATAGTACTTAGGGGCAATCATTTATTCAAAGCTCCATCCAATTTTGAACTATTATAAAAACATAACAGTTACCCTTTTTTTACATATGTGTGAGTATGTGTCCAGATTAGTAGAATTGCTGAAACAAAGAGTATGCAAATTTAAAGTTTTGCTAGATATTGCCATATTGCCATTTAAAAATGTTAAACCAATTTACACTTCATTTTTAAAACTTGCCAAAACTGGATTAAAAATTATTCCCAAACTGGATGGGTAAAACATGAATTATTTTTATTTTAATTTGCATTACTATTGAGGTTGATTTTTTTTCATATTTTTATATAGAGATGGAACATCTTTTCATTTTGGCCACTTTACATGCTTTCATTGAGTATATTATCTGCCTATATTTTTTGCCCAGTTTTTTAATAGGATTGGTTTTTCTCTTTCGTTTAACTATTATCTGTTATGAATATTTATCCTTAATGTGTTACTTATTCTATTTTTTGTTGTTGCTTATTCTTATTTCTCTTCATGAAACTTTTTGCAGAAATTTTAATTTTTATGTGGTCAGGTCTGTCAGTCTTTCACTTTCTGTTCAATTTGTTGTGTTGCTTAAAAAAGTATTCTGCCCCACAGTTCTATAAAATTATTCTTTCATATTTGACCAGTTAAAAATAATGTCTTTAACCTTTAGCTATTTAATCTTTAAGGGAGTTAATTCGTGTATTTTTGTGTATAATGTAAATTGGACAACAAATAGTTTTCCCTAATGGATAATCAATCACTGTATATAAATGTCACTTATAATTTCCACACATATTTAAAAGTAACTTTTTCATGAATCTGTTTCTTGGCCTTTTCACTAATCCAGTTGTCTATTTCTGCTGCTCATGTTACAAGTAATATAACTCTTCTGTGATCTCTGAAATGGCAGTTCTTAGCTATTTCACTAATCCAGCTGCCTATTTCTTGTGCTTATGTTACATATCTGATTACTATAACTTTGTAGTATGTTATATAAGATATTTATGTTATATAAGATACTTATTTAATTTTTGTCATCAATTTTTTATAATTTTCTTGGATATTGTTATGAAATTGTACTTTTAGGCCGGGTGCGGTGGCTCACGCCTGTAATCCCAGCACTTTGGGAGGCCAAGGTGGGCGGATCATGAGGTCAGGAGATCGAGACCATCCTGGCTAACATGGTGAAACCCCGTCTCTACTAAAAATACAAAATACAATTAGCCAGGCGTGGTGGTGGGCGCCTGTAGTCACAGCTATTTGGGAGGCTGAGGCAGGAGAATGGCGTGAACCCAGGAGGCGGAGCTTGCAGTGAGCCGAGATTGCGCCACTGTACTCCCGCCTGGGCGACAGAGGGAGACTCCGTCTCAAAAAAAAAAAAAAAAGAAATTGTACTTTTAAAAGTTAATATGAGGATCATTTTCCAAATTCTACAATAATCTTATTGAACTTTTAAAGGAGGATTGTGTTAAATTTATAAATTATTTAAAACACAATTGGTACTTTAACATTCACTCTGGCACTGTTTTTTGTGTCTTTTTTGTGTCTTTGATATTTTTCCCTGGAGCCTTGCACATTTTCTCTTTGCTATATTGCTAAATCTGTTGTAAATTTTTTCCTCAGTTTTAAAGGGTGTCTTTTTCTGTTATACTTTTTTCTTCGCTTTGGCTGACCTATATGTAAATGTTTATGCATTTTAGTTTTATTTCTAGCTTTTATACTTACTCACAAATGATTTTAATTTTATTTTATCTGATTCTTTTGGATTTTCTTAAAGAAAATTTTGTGACCTCTTGTTTAAACGGGAGAGTTCCCTGATCCCCGTCGCAGGACATGCGACAGGGGTGTGGCTCACCTGTTCAGTCGCTGCTTAAGTGTTAATCAGCTCAATGGACTCTCTGCCTTTCTGCAAGGGCAGGGGGCCAGTGCAATAGCTTTCTGTATCCCTAGCTATTGTCCAGCTTCCCGGAAAAACGGGTCACACATCAACTGGAAAGATGAGTGCAAAAGTTTTATTGAGTGGTGGAAGTGACTCTCAGTGGGATGGATGAGAAGCTGGAAGAGGGGCATGGAGTAGGAAGATGTTCTTCCCTGCATCCTGGCTATCCAGCAGCTAAACCCCTTTCTGACCACCCCCAGCCAAACTGCTGCGGGCGTTTAGAGGTTCCTCCTCCTTTCTTTCTCTGCTGTGTTATTCCACTGACCCTCTGGTTGCCTGCTTGTTTCCTGGTCTTGTCTCTCATCTGCTTCTGGATCCTGGGGTTCGGAGTTTATATGGGTACAGGATAGGGGAGTGTGGCAGTCCAAAAGGCAACTTTTTGGGAGCAAAACCAGAAATGCCTGTTCCCATTTAGGGCCAGGGGTCTTCACGCTTGAGGGTGGGGCCTTTGCCAGGGAACCGCCCTCTTCTACCCAGTGTTTCCCTGTCTCCTGCCCATATCACAAATAATAATAATTCTGTTCTCTTTTATTTTTAAATATGAATTTATCTTAGTTTTTATAAATGCTTATTTCTCTCTCTCTCTCTCTCTCTCTCTCTCTCTTTCTTCATCCATTATCTGTAGTAACATGTTAAAGTCATGATGGGAAGACATTCTTGATGTTTTCATTAATGAAATTCTCTTGATAATTCTCCACTACTACAGATTCTGAGTTTTAAAAACTTTATTATTTATTTTAAAACAACTTATCCTTCTTATCTTAGTTTACTAAAATGTTGGCAGATTTATGTAACTATCTGAAGTCATTTCTAGACTTCAGATATTTACAAAATATCAGGCATCACAGAAGAGTTACATCATTGTCATTATCATCATTATCATCATCAAATAATAATAAAATTAGTCTGTCATGGTGGCTCACACCTGTAATCCCAGCACTTTGGGATGCCAAGGCAGTAAGACCACTGAGCCCAGGATTTCAAGACCAGCCTAGGCAAAATAGTGAGACCCTGTCACAAAAATGATAATAATAATAATGAAATTAGAATGGTGAATAAGTAGAGAGATATTGTTCTAAATATGTATGTGTAATAACACATTTAATCCTTATAAGTAATTTCTGAATTATGTATTTTTATGAGCTCCATGTTACATGAGAAACGTATGAAAGTGCTGGAGGTGGGAAGTGGTTTCCATAATTATGGTTCCAGTAACCATGCCCTTAGACACCACAGTTTGTTGCATAGACTGTAAACTAATAAAAAAGGTAGGTATAAAGCTTTCTCCTGTTACCTTTTTAAAAATTTTCAGGACATTAAATTGCACTTTTTATCTTTTTTTAACCAACACTTAGGAAAGTCTTCTCTTTTAAGAGCCACGCTAATCACTGTCAAAGATTTATTCAGCACTACCTGGATTAGTTTTGGGACTTTCACATTGGGCAGACTCTTTCCTAGCACACAGATTAGAAATATAAACTTCTCTTCACCTCCAGCTCTGTCAAGTCTCAGAGTAATCAGATATCTTCTGGCCACCCAGGAAATCTCCCACTGATTGATTCATGTAAATTTTTTCTTATCTGACCTTTTGATGATTGACACTTCCTTATATGAATGCATAACCACTTTAAGGCTTGGGAATTAGTTCGTTGATATAAGCCTACTTGATTTAAAGGCAATTCATGTTCCCCACAGAGGTCCTCTGCAAAAAGATGGCCAACAGCGGAGCTCATTTATACATACAACTGGATAATCACATATGGGCTTTTTAAAGAAAAATGAAAAAGAACAACTACCATGTATTAAGTACTAGTCACAACCTTCCTGTGTTTCTACCTTTCTGAGTGCTGCAATACTGAATAGTAACAGAAACTAGAGACTTTTCCATACCAAAGACTGAAAAGCAGATACTGTGTAGGCTCATTATACTTTCTTCAAATGATATTTTATGAAAGCAGAGTAAATTGCAATAAGACGTCATGAATTATTTTATCGCTATGATGAAACCAGGTCCTGTTAAATGTGAGTGCTCCATAAATATTTATTGAGTAAATGTGTAAATAAAAAAAAAAAGAAAGTCAGCTTTGTAAATTTCTAGTCATATCCACTCTAGTGAGAAATGGACATGTAACTCTTATTCCCCCCCTCCTTTTCCAGCAGAATCTAAATTAAAATGGTAAATTTCCATTCTGTAAGGCATCTTGTTTATATCTGGCAGTTGTAACATATTTCCTACAAAACAGGTCTCATAATCTGGTTATAAATCAAATTCTTCAAAAGTATTTGAGCTGTGCAGGTTTAAGACCTAATAGAACATCTGTCAGACATGATATATCTTCAGACAAACTAACTCACTTGTAAATAACTTCAGTTTTTAGATTTTTGTAAAGGAGGTTGCTCTAAAGTAATTGAGATGTAATTAGGCCTGGAGTACAGAGATTTAGAATCTAGTCTTGTATTTTTCAACAACTAGATAGTTAATAGTGGGCAAATAATTAAATTTGGTTTAAATTCTGATCTTGGAATTCTGATCTTTAGGATATCTGTAGCATTGAAATAATATGATTACGAGAACATGTGCCTTCTATCCAAATAACTGCATATTTCTGAGGTTTAGTGTTTTAATTTTTTGACATATTGTTAGTTCTATAGCTACCATGAGAACACATTTTTGATGAAGAGCATAGCATCTACATATAGCATTATTTCTGAAGAAATACAATTGATTTTATGGCCATCTGCTCTATAATATAGCTTTTGGAAATGCAATTTTGTAAGAAGTATAGCTTGCTTAAAATAGCAAAGTACCACATTGCTTAAAAAATAATACCATTTTGCAGATTTTTGGCCTACACACTGTGTGGGGTTGCAATATATTTTTAAACAAATTGACGCATGTGCTACTCACACTTGCTTATACACTCCAGCCACAAGTGACCACTATTGCCAATGACTGTCTCCAAAGCTAATAAAAAGTAGAAAACGCATCAATCAAATAATTGGCTGGGCGCAGTGGCTCATGCCTGTAATCCCAACACTTTGGGAGGCCAAGGAAGGCGGATCATCTGAGGTCGGGAGTTCGAGACAGCCTGGCCAACATGGTGAAACCCCTTCTCTTCTAAAAATACAAAAATTAGCCAAGTGCACATCTGTAATCCCAGCTACTCGGGAGGCTGAGGCAGGAGAATCACTTGAAGCTGGGAGGTGGAGGTTGTGAGCTGAGATCGTGCCACTGCACTTCAGCCTGGGCAACAGAGTGAGACTCCATCTCAAAATAAATAAATAAATAAATAAATAAATAAATAAATAAATAAATAAATAAATATAAAAATAAAATAATAATCACCTAACATGTTATTAAAACTAAATGAGGTCATCTCTCACTCATAGCTAGAGAGGCACAGGCTGCACATCTCTCCTAACCACCGAGGCAACTTGGCAAAATAAAGTTCACTACATATTCATTATTATAATGATCAGAAAAACTTTCCAGTGGGAAAGATATTTTTCAGCTTACTATAAGAAAGGATGACCCAGATGTTTTGTCTCATGTCTCTTACAGAAAATGTACAAAATTACATTTAGCTGACAGAAGATGAAATGAAGTTGACAAACTAAATATGACAAATGTAAAATGTGAAACTAAAACACTTTTAGAAGAATGACAAAGGCAAACAAGATTTCAGTGGTCTTTTAAGAGATCTGTGCTACCACAGCAAAGCAAAAAGTAGGCCATTCTAACCAGATTTTTAGCATATCCTGTCATATTACTATAATTATGAATTTATATCTAAAAATGAGGGTAAGTTACTCTAAACCTACTTTTTATCTGAGTAGATAGTTTAGAAAGTAATTTATAGAAAACAGGGGAGGGGAATTGAATCTTAGATAACTGATATTATCTCAACTATTGCATGAAAATCTTTTTTTCTACTAAAGAAAGTCATACTAAAGCTTTCACTCTCTTAAAATCAATTCTGTAGTTAAATTTAATTCATAATTTATAATGGGGTTCCACTTGTATTTATCCTGACTCTCAGAACTGTTAGATAGGTGAAGTATTAATTAGCTAATTAAAAGAAGAAATTGAATCTAAGAGCATATACATGGAACTTGCCAAAACATGACTTTTTAGAGACAGGACCAAGTTGCTTCCATATTGAAAAGGAAGAATGTGAGTATATTAATATCCTCATGACAAAAGTCTTCTAAAAGTTCTACAGATATTGTCACTCCATATTAAGGAAACTACATGCAGTTGAGCTCCATCCCTCTGCAACTAAAATACGATGTTTTCTTCCAATTACATTATTTGACTCAATTGCTAAACCTTTATGGATCACCTGCTTTTTACAAGGTCATATTTTGTATCCTGTGTATATAAAGATGAACAAAATATCAGTAAGTGAATATTTATAAACTTATATTAAAAATCACATTGTACCTGGTACATATGTATACTTATTTTTTGTCAGTTACAGATTAAATTAAATTTAAAATACAAAAGCCTATATATATATATACAGCTCACCTGTCATTTAGGAATATGCTTATAGTTAAATAATTTTAAAGCTACCAGCATTCAGGGAGCACTCTGTATGCATACACAGCACTTAAGACGTCTACTAGAAGAAGCACATCACCCAACCAAAGATGACAGGGGACACTCTAGCCCAATGACTTATGGTAACATATATAAGATGATATAAAAGGTGGGGGCAGAGTGGCAGATTGGGATATAAATCCTATATGCCTTGGACAAGAAGAAAAAATACAACTAAATAAATGGGTTCAAAAAGAAGGGGGCAGAATTAAAGTAAAAGATGCTCATTCTTTAAAGTATACACAAGAGGTTGACATCAAGGGATATCATTTGAATCTGTGCTATCAAATGATAGATACTTAAGGGCATTAATGTCATAAAGATCAATCTCATAATGGTAACTACCTAAATATAAATACAAACTTTGAAAATACCAAAATAATTTTTTAAATCTGAAAAAGCAGAGAAAATTGCACAATGAAATAATATCATAATAATAAAATAGTAAAATACATAAGATAATAAGATGATTGTGAACAAAAATACCAATTATATAAAAATATAAAGGATATTTATGTACTAAAATAGATGAATGCTAAATTAGTGGGTGAAAATTTGATGAAGGACAAAATATATGTAATCATAATGTATACCCACAAGAATTTTTTGAAATTAATAACAGGAAAATAAACTAATCATATAATAGGGAAACCTGGAAGACACAACATTAAATAAGTAAATTAAGTTAACATTACCAATAATCAGCCAATCAAACATAATCTGGTATCTCCTTACCACAATAATTAAAAGAAAAAAAAACACAACTGTCATATTTATGCTAAAAATCCAGTAATCTAATTGTAAGTATCAAAAAACCTAATTGAGGGAGAGCATACAAACATTAGCTGATACTCTTCAAATATGTCCACGTCAAGAAAGGCAAAAAAAGGCTCAGAAAAAAGTTTTAAAGAAACCAGATACATGTCTACTAATGTATCATCTAGCAGCAGAAAATTTTTAAAATGTGTTCCTCTGCTTTCCTTTTCCTACATCTTTTTGTTTTCCTCTTCCTGTTCTCCTCCTTCTCTTTCTTTTATTTCTTCTTCATCTTTAACTTTTTCACCTTCATCTTCTTGTACTACAAAGATATTATTAAGGCACCTATATGAATTGATACTGTAGATTGGATGATAGTATTATATCAATTTTATATTTCCCAATTTTGAAAACAGTATTAGACTATTTTTCTCCTTAGGTGATATACAGTGACAGCACAGGTTTTTCAAGCAATTGTGATGGGAAAATTGGATATTCACAGGAAAAAGAATAAACCTTGACCTAAACTTCACTTCCTATACAAAAATTAACTGAAAATGGATTCTATATCAAAATGTAAAATGTGAAACTAAAACACTTTTAGAAAACAATTGAAAATATTTATGACCAAAGGTATGCAGATAATCTTACACATGGCTTCAAATAAAATAAAAAATATATATATTGACCATTATCAAATTTTAAAACTTTTGCTCTACAGAAGAAGCTGTTAAGAGGATGAAAAGGGCAAGGAGTGGTGGCTCACACCTGTAATCCCAGCATTTTGCAAGGCCGAGGCTGGTGGATTACTTTAGGCCAGGAGTTCGAGACCAACCTGGCCAACATTGTGAAACATCATCTCTGCTAAAATATAAAAAAAATTAGGCAGGCTTGGTGACACACACCTGTAATCTCAGCTACTTTGGAGCCAGAGGCACAAGAATCTCTTGAACCCATGAGGCAGAGATTGTAGTGAGGCAAGATGGCACCACTGCACTCCAACCTGGGCAACAGAGTGAGACCGTCTCAAAAAATAAATAAAATAAAATAAAAGTTTTATAAAGAGGGTGAAAAGACAAACCACAGACCAAGAGAGAGTATTTGTAAATGTCATGTTTTCAAGATGAAAGACTTGGATCCAGCATATACAGATAACTTCCTAAATTCAATAGGAAGAAAGATGCAATGCCAAAGAGGACATGTGAACAGCAAATTCAGACAGGAAAAAAACATTCAAAATCATTAGTGATTAGAGAAATGCAAATAAATGTAAGATAAGGTATAAGGGCACACCTACTTGAATAGATTAAAAAAAAATTAAAGATACCAACTGATAAAGTACAGGTGAGAAAGTGGAACAGCTACATATGTCATGTATTGCTGGAGGATGTAAAATGCTACAGCCAGGTTGAAAAATTGACAGTTTCACATAGAGTTAAACATACACTGCCTGTATGATCCAGCAAACATATGTCGGGACATGTCTCTAGAGATATAAAAACTTAATTTCACACAAAACCTACACATGAATTTACATAGTTTTCTTGTTAATAGCCCCAGCCTGCAAGCAACTGAAATATCTTTCAACAGGTTGGAGGTTAAACAGATTATCGTGCATCCACTATTCAGCAATAAAAAACAATAGACTTTTGATACACATAAAAGTGTGGATAAATCCGAGTGGCACCTGATGAATGAAGAAAATAATAGTCAATCTCAAAAAGTTATGTGTTATATAATTGCATTTCTATAAAAATTAGAGAACAAATGGATTGTTGCAAGGGTTAGGATTGAAGAAGGTATGACTATCGAAAGATAACACAACAGAGTTTCTATATGATGATAGAACAATTCTCTATGGCAAATTCAGTGATGGGTACTAAAATCTACACATGCAAAAAAATCAGAGAATACAGCCTCCAAAATAGTACATGTGTAATAAAAAGGTAAAATACAAATACCAATTATATTTGAGTGATTAGTGTTGTATCAATATCAGTCCCATGGCTTTGACAATGCTATATGGTTATGTAAGATATTGAGGTCAAGAGTTCGAGACCAGCCTGACTAACATGATGAAACCCCATCTCTACTAAAAATACAAAAATTAGCGAGGCGTAGTGGTGGGTGCCTGTAATCCCAGCTACTCAGGAGGCTGAGGCAGGAGAATCGCTTGAACCCAGGAGGTGGAGGTTGCAGTAACCCGAGATCGTGCCACTGCACTCCAGCCTGGGCGACAGAGCGAGACTCTGTCTCCAAAAAAAAAAAAAGAAAAAAAAGTCGGAGAAATGGGGTGAAGTATGCATAGAAAGTCTGTATTCCTTTTACAACTTTTTATGAGTCCTAAAACATTTCAAACTAAAAAAAAATTAAAGGAGATAAGGTGGAAAATGTCTCTATAGGTACTGGTGCTGCAAAGATTTTGACAAAAAAATCAATACCCATTCCTAATTTTTCAACATATAGTAAAGTAGACATTTGCACACACACACACACACACACACTTTTCTCAGTCCTAAAATCAACTAATTCATTTAACAAATGAAAGAAAACTTTATTAAATATATGCTATCTCAGTGTGTAAAGATGCCCACTAACTCCATTAGAATTTAGCATTTTATTGGACATATTATCCAAAACAACTAGCAAAAGGAAAACAATTACATGCTTAAAAACCAGCAAATAATAATTATTTTCATTTGCAGATGATTTGACAGTTTTTCTAGATAACCTAAGAAATACAATTATAAAATTTTCACAATGATAAAATAATCCAAGTAAAGTATCTAGAATTCGTGTATAAAAATCAGTAGTTTTTATATGTACAAATATGGCCAGTTAGAAGATGTAAGGGGAAAGCTCCATATATAATAAGTATTAAATATTTGGGAATACATTTAATTAAAAAATTGAGAAACTGACAGAGAAAATCTCTGAAAAGCACTTCAAAAAGACATAAAAATAAATTTAAATAATATCTTATGTTCTCAGATATGACGGCCAAGCGTTATGATTAAATATTTGTGTCCTCAAATTCATTTGTTGAAACTCTACCCCTAATGTGGTAATATTAGGCAGTAGGGATTTTTGAGAGGTAATTAAAATTAGATGAGAATATGAAGGTAGAGCCTCCATGAATGGAATTAGTGTCCTTTAAAAGTCCTGAGAGCATTTGATTCCTCTCTCTGCCATCCTAGGACACAGCAAGAAGACTGCTGTCTATGAACTAAGGAAGCAGGCCCTCACCCAGTGCCTTGACCTTGGACTTCCTAACCTCCAGGACTGTGAGAAAAGAATCTTTGATGTTTAAGCTACCCAGCTTATGATATTTTGTTATAGCAACCCTAATGGACTAAGACACAGAACATTACACAAATGTCAAGTATCCCCATATCAACATAAAGATTGGATAAATATAATGACATTGGGAGATAAATGAAATTAAAGTATATGGAACAAACATTCAAGAAAATCTAGGAAGTCCCTGTAAAAGGATATTAACGAGGGGAAACTAGACCTACCGAATAATAAAATATACTTCAAAGACTCAAAAATCGGAGTAGTATGAAACTGACACATAAGTTGTCAGATGTGTGGAAAAGACAAGAAAGCTTTAAAAAAAGAATCCAGTATATTATAACGTTTTAGTAATATGAAGAAGGTCACATTGATACGGGAGTGGGGCAGGGAAGTGCTGGATAGAGGAGGGCGTGGTTCCTGGCAAGGGCTCCACCCTCGGGCCTGTGCCTGCCCACTGACCTAGGTAAGGACAAGAGCTCCTGTTTCTGTGCCAAAATGTTGCATTTTCCAAGACCACCCTGGCCTGCCACACTCCCCATCCCATGCTTATAAAAACCCTGAGACCCTAGCGGGCACAGACACAAGTGGCTGGCCATAGAGAGGAACACACTGGTAGAAAAACACACAAGGAACTGGACGTCAGGAGGAACACAGCAGCAGAAGAACACACAGATGCCAACATGCCATTGACCGCAAAATGACGCAGATGCCAAGAGAAATTCAGCTGAGGGTGGTTGGAGGAGAGCCCAACCACTGAACGGCCCAACTCCAGGGGAAGACCACTTTCCCACTCCATCCACCTTTTGGCTCCCCATCAATCTGCTGAGAGGTATCTTCACCATTCAATAAAACCTTGCACTCATTCTCCAAGCCCATGTGTGATCCAATTTTTTGCAGTCTACTAAGGCAAGAACCCTGGGATACAGCAAGCCCTGTGTCCTTGCGATAAGGCAGAGGGTCTAATTGAGCTGATTAACACAAGACACCTGTGGGTGGCTAAGCTGAAAGAGCATATTGTAACACACACCCACTGGGGCTTCAGGAGCTGTAAGCACTCAACCCTAGATACTACTGTGGGACCTGAGCCCACACTCCCAATGACCTGCCCGTCTGCATGCTCCCCCTAGGAGTTTGAGCTGTAGGGCACTGAAAAAGTGAGCCACTCCCTCTGTGGCAAGCCCTGAGAGGAAGATAAGGGAACTTTTCCTGTTTCAACATCTTGTCACTGGCAGGGGGGAGGTGAAATATACTTTCATACAAATTAGTGTTGGGATAACAAGACATCCTTCGGAAAAACATAAAAAGGGACTCATACTTCAAGCCATTCAGCCGAAAGAACTTCAAAGAAGCCAGAGACCTAAATGTAAAACAAAAAAACTGTATATGATCCACAATAAAACAGAACTAAATTCATTTGTAACCTGAGAGTGTGAAAATTTTCTCTAACTGTGACTTAAATTCAGAGGCAATAAAAAAATTTTGTGATTGTATATACAAACACAATGTAGGCAAAGTCAAATATAAATAAGTTAGAAGAAAATATTTCCCCCATATATGAAAGATAAAGTCTAATCTTCTTAAGTTGTAAAGAACTCTAAAATTGAGAAAGAAAAGCCTAAATACCTGATAGAAAATAGGAAAAAGAAATAAACAATTCATTTCTAGGTATATACTCAAGAGATAGGAAACATATCCTCAGAAAGACTTTTACATGTATGTTTATAGCAACATTATGACTAGTAACCAAAACCTAAAAATGACTGAGATGTCAATCAACGTGGGAGTAGATAACATGATGTGGTACACCCATACAATGAAATACTACTAACCAATAAAATAGAGCAAATTTTAGAGTCATGCCAAAACATGAATGATTCACAAAAGTATTATACTAACTAGAAATGGGCAGACAGAAATTACTACAAACTATATGATTTTTATTTATCTGAAATATCCAGAAAAAATAAAACTGTAAAGACAGAAAACAAGAGTGGTTGCCTAATGCAAAGTGTGGCAGTAGGGATTGACTGTAAATAGACAATGAAGATATTTTGGGGATGTATTCTAAATCTCACACATAATGGCTGAACAATTGTATAAATCTACCTAAACTCATCAAACTATACATTTTTGATGTGTAAATTTTATGACATGTAACTTAATAAAAATAAAAATTTAACTCATTAAAGCTGTCATAAGTGTATCCTCCAAACACTGTAAGTTTTGTGAGTAATAAATTTTCTAACATGGCAACTATGAATCAACACAATTTAATTAGTATTTCAAATGTATATGTAAAGAAGTTTGCCTTGTGAGCATAAAAGGAAATAAACATATCTTTCTGAGGATATGTTTCCTATCTCTTGGGTATATACCTAGGAATGAATTGTTTATGTCTTTTTCCCATTTTTCTATCGGGTATTTGGGCTTTACTTTCTCAATTTTAGTTTTTTTCTACACTCCAAGGACTTAAAATATTATTTTCACTACTCATCCTATTGATTTAATTCTCTCAAGGGGGAAATAACTTATTTTCAATGTGCAGCTTCTTTATAAGACACGCTGGCTTCTTTACATGCATTATTAAGTTAATATTGATAAAGTCTGTGCAAGATACAATTATAGTATTCATTACAAATATGACTTCAGAATACTAATTAATTTGTTCATGGTTAGATACTCAGAAGGCAGAAAAACTAGCATGTGAACTGAAGCTTCAAAGCATGTGCCTTTCTTTGTTTTGACTTTTTTTCCCCTTAAATATAGAATTGAGATCACCTTGTTCACATAGCTAAACTATCAGGACTGAGAATCGAGGCCATCTATATTAGTGTGTCTTAACTGTTTGCTTCAGGAAATTACTATAAACCAATTTATCTGGGCAAGTAGTTTGCTGCTGGCCAAAAATCTCTCCTATGAGGACAATATATTGCCCACCTTACTTTTGCAACTTACTTTTAAACACTGAAAGACTCTTTTGATACTGTTTAATTCAATACTAAACAGTTATATCACAAATTTTCTCCATCCCAGATAACTCCATTCCTAGAAAGATTCATCTTAAACTATTCTAGTCCAGACCCTAAACCTTAATAAATATTATACAATGACCACTCCATTCTGAGAAACTATGAAGATTCGTTCAATGTTATGCTATATTCCCCCTTGCTAAAGTAGGCTGTGTTTGTAGGACAAACTGGGGCTATTTAAAATGCATGAAAATTTTCCTTTGTGGCTTTTGTTGTTGTTGTTTGGTCTTTGAGAGCATGATTCAAAGGTAAATCCCATCTCAAAAACTTCCATTCGCTGGATTTGTTGGGTCTGTAATTGGATCCAGCCAGTCATTAGGGTGGGAACTTGAGCCATGAGGTGCACCAGCAACATAGCTGACCGACCATTGCCATCCATCCCTTTATGATTTCTTCTCAATTTAGTCTATGTCTCTGCTAGGTCTGATTCTATTTTCTTACATGTATTCACATTCTAATTCTAACATCTATCTTTCTAGTTGGCATAATTTTACCAATGATAATTTAAAATTATAGTGGATGCTTTGTGAGCTTTGAATATAAATAGTATTTATTTTAGATGTATAGACATGTCTTAAAACAAAAAGGGAGAAAAATTTGAAGCATCTAGTGATCTCCATTTATTCATTGACATGAGGAAGTTCTGAAGTAATTTTATGTAACAACATCGCATCCTTAAAAGTTCCTTTGAACAAGGCAAGTTAAATCTGTGGATACTTACTATTTAGGCTCCCCCTTTCAGGTTCTCCACACTGTAAACTGAACTTTTACACCACTCTTGCTCCCCTTCCACTACATAACCCTCCATTACATTCTGCCCATACTCCTTTCAGACCCACCTACCTTTAGTTCTGGCTGGCCAGACATTTACGAAGATAAATTGCCTCTGAAAGTTAATGCCATTCAGAACAGAGCAGGCCCATTGTGATTGATCTTAAGCCCTGGTCTCAGTCTGAGCTAAGAGTCAATGTGAAAGACTTCTAAAGCCTAGACAAAATAGAAAGAAATTTACAGACTGAGGTAGGACAGATCTAGAAATATATAATCAAACCTTCCCAATATCAGTTGATTTATATTCTATTAAGAACCTCATAAGCAAAAACTTTTGTGGGAAGAGAATAATTAAGGTGACTTATGAGGCCCAGAGGCCTTAGAAAATGTGTAGATGTCGCCTAAGATACTTAGGTGGCTATCGCCAAAGTATTTTCTGTGAAACAGATTGGACCCTAACAAAACTGGTGGAAACATAAAGGTTCTTTAGTATTTTTAGAAGGCATCCAGGAGCAGATTCTTAAGCTAAAAATAATCATTTGGTGGCCTCTAAGAACTAGTATGGAGACTGGGCATGATGGCTCATGCCTGTGATCCCAGCACTTTGGGAGGCAGAGACGGAGGTGGGAAGATCACTTTCATCCAGGAGTTTAAGACCAGCCTGAGCAACATAGTGAGAACCCTTCTCTACAAACAATAAAAAATTAGGCCTGATGTGGTGGCTCATGCCTGTTATCCCAGCACTTTGGTAGGTCAAGGCAGGCAGATCGTTTGAGCCCAGGAATTCAAACCAGCCTGGCTAACATGATGAAACCCTGTCTCTACAAAAAATTAAAAATATTATCTGGTCCTGATGGCATGCTTCTGTAGTCCCAGCTACTCAGGAGCCTGAGGTGAGAGGATTGCCTGAGCCTGGGAGGTGAAGGCTCCAGTGAGCCGACATCACAGCACTGCACTCAGCCTGGATGACAGAGCAAGATCCTGTTTCAAAAGAAAATTTAAAAATAAAAAAAAAACACTATCATGGATATTGCAGGTTAATATTCCATTGAATACCACCAACTAACTAAACAAAGCCTTATCTTAGTAAATTGGTACTTGCTTTACAAATAACCCCTTATATCACCCAGGGTTCATACATAGGCCAACAGATGGCACCTTAGAAAAAGAGATGGCTATGTAACACTTGGAAAAGGAGAGAAACTGGGCTTCAATTTGAGGTCCAAACTTTAAATACTCAGAAGGATTTCTGAACTAGTTCTCTGTGTCCTCTGTCAATTTATTTTGTGTTTTATACATGACCCAGAAAATAGGAAAAATGTGGCATGGTGTATTAGTCAGAGTTCTCTTAGAGGGACAGAACTAATAGGATAGATATAAAGGGGAGTTTATTAAGTATTAACTTACAGGATCACAAGGTCCCACAATACGTTGTCTGCAAGATGTAGAGGCAGTCTGAATCCCAAAACTGAAGAGCTTGGAGTCCAATGTTTGAGGGCAGGAAGCACTCAGCACAGGAGGAAGATATAGACTGGGAGGCTAGGCCAATCTCTCTTTTTCACATTTTTCTGCCTGCTTTATGTTCATTGGCAGCTGATTAGATTGTGCCCACCAGATTAAGGGTGGATCTACCTTCCCCAGCCCACTGACTCAAATGTTAATCTCTTTGAGCAACACCCTCACAGACATGCCCAGGATTAACACTTGGTATCCCTCAATCCAGTCAAGTTGACACTCAGTATTAACCATCACACAAGGTATGATTAAAAGACTGAGAGAAAAGCTATACAATGTCAAATAAGCAAAGAGAAAAACAAAACAAAAGGCCTCACTCAAGAAGTTAATGAGATTGGGCAGGCGTTCAAAACAGAGCATGTCTACCTTTAATAATATCCTACTGAGTTAGAAAATGTACCATTTTAGGAAAATAAGATTGAACTTGTACCCTAACAGATATCTCTGAAATTTGGAGTGTTACTCAAAATATCTGGGAAACAAATCATGAAAGTGTCAAACTATTTTCCGGAGTGCCATACCATTTTGCCTTCCTGTTCACCAGGTATGAGAGTTCCAGTTGCTCCACATCCTCACACATATTTGGTATTGTCAGTTCATTTTCAAATTTCTATTTAAGCAATTCTAAACATATTTTAAATTCTATAAATAATAAACAAATTCTACATATGTGCCATAGTATCCCCATTTTAATTTTAACATGCACTTCCCTAACAAATGATTTTGAGCTTATTTTCATATGGTTTTTGCTACCTATAGAGTAATAGCCCCTTAAGTACATGGAATATGTTCCAAGATCCCAAGTGAATGCCTGAAATCATGGAGAGTACTGAATCAGGTTGCCATCAGTTGGAACACATTTCTGTCCATGTCATTCACCCACAAATTTAGTGCCTTTTCCATCTTAGCTAAACGCTTTTCACCCAGTGGTTATAACTGTTGCAGTCTGAGGTGTGACAACAAAATTAGCACAAATTTATTTTTTCTTCTTCACAACTTCCTGGATAGAAGTTTCATTCTTACCGTAGACCTTAGCAACTTCAGCATACGATTTTTTTCTTTCCTTATTAAGTTGAAAACTTTCACCTTTCCACTTAAAGGAAGCACTTTATGGCTTCTCTTTCATATATTCAAATTGCCAGCATCAGGACTTTTGCACTTTGGGACCATTATTAAGTAAAATAAGAGTTCCTTGAACACAAGCACTGTGATACTTTGAGAGTAGATTTGATCATTGAGAGGACTAATAGGAACAAATGTAGACAGCGTGGATAATCTGGACAAAGGAGAATTCACTTCCTGGGATGGACAGAGCTCACAGTGCCAGTTCTCATCAGGCTACCATGCTACCCAGAACAGCACACAATTTAAAGTTTTTTCCAGCATTGTTTGTTGAAAAGCCTTTGTTTTGTCCATTAAATGGCCTTTGACCAATTAGTTGATTATATTTATGTGGATCTGTTCCTGGTATCTATTTCTTTGATACATGCATCTACCCTTTCATCAAAATAACACTGTCTGTATTACCATAGATGTATAGTATAAAATATACTTCTAAGCCTAACTTTCCCTTATATTAAAACCTTAAAAGTTTATGTTCTTGACGTTTTCTACACAATGTCCTCTTACTACAGGGAAAAAATGTCTAGTTTTTCCCTGCCTGGTTTCTTTATATGAAAATGAATTGTTAAGATTACCCTGCATTACTCCAAGATGCATTGAGGAAAGCTGAACCAAGACAAATCATCCTTTATTTCAGGAGATGAGTAGGAACATATTGAAAAAATTGCAAGCAACGGTAGGACCATATGGTGGGGGAAAGGAAAGAGGAGGAAAGTTGTCATTGTGGAGTGGTGTGAAAAAAAAGAGGTAGGTGTACTTTAGTGTGTGCAATACGGACCATCAGAGGAATAGTACTGTGGTGAAATATTGTACTCCCTGGCATCTCTCTTCCAAGGTTTATCTATTGACATGTAACCAAGCAGGTTCATAGTGGGGATACACATAAGACACATAGGATGCAACAATTTCTTTGAATTATATATTAACCAGAGTTATTTTTCTCATGTGAAAAAACACCCATGAAATAGAAAAGCTAAGTTTTAAATGGTTCTTTTTCCTCAAACATAGCAGCCAGATTTCACATCTAAAGTCCTTCTGTTCCACTGATAAATGTCCCTTTTCAGACATTTTCCTCCCAGATGGCCATTCTGTCCCTTCACCTATCCTCAAAAGAAATAATACTAGCTGCTGATTTTTCTTCTAAACTAAATATATTTAGCAGTATTTTTCATTACTTCACCCTGAGAGTGTAACTCTGAGTCAAGCTAGAGCAGTTTCATCTCCTTTATTTTGCATGAGTCACTCAATTTTTGTATTAATCTTAAAGCAATTTAGAGGTAGTTTTGCAATCATTTTGTATTTATGATAAAAGATTTTGTGATAGTTTTCAAGGATACATTTACAAATATCCCTTTCTTTGTGTTTCTTCTTCTTTATTTTATTTTATTTTATTTTACTTTGATTTTAACCTTATTCTCTTAAATTAGCATGACTTGAGTTTGAGCATGGACTCCATTTCTGCTGAGTCAATATCTTCAATTTGGAACAATTTAGTCCCTGGACAGTCTTTTCCTCATTTGTTGTGCAATTCTTTAAAAAGATGCTGTTTTTTAGAATTCCAAAGATTTCAAATTGCTCAAATTTTAAAATCAATGATGTCTGATAACCATTGGTTATGGACCTTGCTTAGGTGCTAAAACTTAAGTGTACTGTAGGTGCACATATGTGCCAAGTTGCATGCATCCTGGCAAGTAGAGCACATACCTAATTCCACTGATTTTTTAAAACCCTGTACAGATATAACAAAATGGCCAAATAAAATATACCACCGGGCTATAAACTTCTAGTGGTCTCCAGTTTACAGCTCTTGCAGAGTGTTCCATTACCATTAGGATTTTAAAAGTCAGTAAAGATATAGCCCACCTGAAATACATAATTTGATCAAGAGAACCTTATTTGTTTAGATGCGGTCTCTCTTCAGTAGTTTTATTTGTATACTTCTTCCTTTCTCCTTCTTTTCCTTCTTCCTTCCCTCTGTCCTTTCCGCCTTTCTTTCTCAAAAAGCACATTTGTGGTTCTAGATGGAATGTTACTGGCTCTTCCCTTAGAAGTATCTCAGGATGTCATTATCTGTTCTGTTCTATAACTTGTTCACGGGTTCAAAATTGTATAAATTGAGCCACAGACAAACTTATAGCGTCAATTCAATACATAGGACAAATGCATGACCACAGGCACACACACACGCACACACAACACACATACACACAGGAACACACACACACACATAGGAAAACATACATACAGAGAAGCATTAAATTGGGAACTGAAACATTGTTTCTAATATAATTTAAATCAAACAATATTTTAAAAATCTTTGATATACCTACTTTCACTTCAAAGTTAACTTACTAAATATTTCTAAAATGTCAATAATCTGTTACATTTGGTTCTACAAATGAAAACCACAGTTGATCTATCACATTGCCTACTGGAAAAGGATGTTCCATGGTATTGGACTTGTAAACACTAAAAAGTTCTTCTTGGTTTATCATCTCAATGGTTACATCATTTTTTTTTTAATTTCGTATCATTGATATATTTTCTTGGAGTATTCAAGCTGTGTTCATCAAAAGGGCATATGACGTCTTTGAGGAACCAATTACCATAATACCTACTATAAAATCAGTGCATAAAACAATAAATGATTCCTCCTCTAATCAGGGATCAGAATTCACGAAAACTTCTACAGACATGTTAGAGCCAGGCCTTTACAATTTGTTTTAATCCTAAACCAAATTAGGGAATTTTTCTAAGAATAAAATATACATTATATTTACTGCATAACATAATTTAGTCCTGAAGTCTTATGTTATGCCTATTATTTATCTTCAAGCCTTAAAGAAAAATTTTTGCCTTTGCCCTGAACTCTCTGATCTTGAATTTCCAAAATAAATTTAAGTGGCTCATAGAGGTAAAGGAGGTATTCAGCTGATGTACAACAGAGAGAATATCTGAAGATGAAGTGGCTTCCTGATTGAAGCAGAGTCAGGGTTTGGATAGGACAGGAAACACTCGAGGAGCTGCCTTCATGGTTTTGACTTGAGCAGCAATTTTTGACTATTAGTGAAATTCATGACTAGTATTTGTTCCTATTTTTGTGCCTTTTGCTTAGGGTCACAACAATTATCAAAATGGCATTTTCCAGGACTATTTTTGCATGCTTGTGGTTTATAAGCTAGTCAAGGTTCCTGAGGCATGGGAGAGAGATAGCAAAAAGGAAATTAAAGGATGTGGGGCAAAGCTAGAAGGCAAGAGGGGAAATTATAATGCTCTATCATGTTCGTTTCAGTATTTTTATACCTTATGTTTTGATGCTCTTCTACAAGTGTTGACATTTAAAGACATTCCTGGCATATTCCCGTATGACGATTAAATCATATGTTCAGGCAGGGTGCGGTGGCTCATGCCTGTAATCCCAGCACTTTGGGAGGCCGAGGCTGGTGGATCACCTGAGGTCAGGAGTTCGAGACCAGCCTGACCAACATGGTGAAACCCCATCTCTACTAAAAATACAAAAATTAGCCAGGCATGGTGGTGTGTGCCTGTAATCCCAGCTACTAGGGAGGCTGAGGCAGGAGAATCACTTGAACCCGGGAGGGGGAGGTTGCAGTGAGACGAGATCGCACCACTGCACTCCAGCATGGGCAACAGAGTGAGACTCTGTCAAAAATAATAATAATAATAATAATAATAATAATAATATAAAATAATTTTAAAAATCATGTGTTTAACTGGGATATTTTATTGAAGGGGGCTTTTAAATGGATAAGGGAAAAGTATTCAGTAAAGACACCACTTGAGAATTCTAAACTATTCATACAAGTTGTCAGTTTGAGTTATATGGCTAATGCTCCTTCACTGTTACTTGTGTTTGAAAAATCTCCCACTGATTTTGAATTTACAAGCAAGTCTTTGCCCTTTATAAAAATTGCATTGAAGGAAGGACAGAGAGGAGCACTCAGAGAAAGCTGGGAAACACCTTCCTTGCCCCCAAATGGAAGGCAGTTTATGCAAGCTTCCAAGAGTTGAATGGAGGATAATCTCATGATCCTTAGCTAAAAAAGAGGAGTCTTCATGAGCCTCCAGTAGAGGAGATGAGACCTCACAATACTCAGCAGAGGAGGGTTCATTGGGTAATGTACTTACCAGTTAAACCATGATATGGTTTGGCTCTGTGTCCCCACCTAAATCTCATCTTGTAGCTCCTATAATTCCCATGTGTTGTGGGAGGGACCTGGTTGGAGATTATTGAATCATGGGGACAGGTCTTTCCGGTGCTTTTCTTATGATAGTGGATGGGTCTCTCGAGATCTGATGGTTTTAACAATGGGAGTTTCTCAGCACAAGCTCTCTTTTTGCTTGCTGCCATCCACATCAGATGTCACTTGTTCCTCCTTTCCTTCTGCCATGATTGTGAGGCCTTCCCAGCCATGTGGAACTGTAAGTCTAATAAATCTCTTTTTTTTTTTTTGTAAGTTGCCCAGTCTCAGGTATGTCTTTATCGGCGGCGTGTAAATGAATTAATACAACCCACTTCAAAAAGGTCTCTTTTAAAACAAATACTATTGATAAATAATTTAAATAGGTCACTATATTTATCCTGTAGAATATTAAGAATCTATAATTCAGAGTATTTTGTCTTTCTCTAAATGATGGCAGGTAGCACTCTCTTTTTATGCGGGGGATGATATTTTATCTTACTTAAAAAACATACCACAACTTCATGGATATATATATATATATATTCTGCTTCTTTGCTGTTGATTTCTTTCAAGTAAAATGTGAACTTCAGGAATTAGGAGTTTTGTCTATTTTGTTCACTGCTATATTCCCAGGACATATCATAGGCACTCAATAAATATTTGTTGATTTAACAAATAGTAATCATAATATCTTTGTCATACTACATGCATCACATCCAAGAGTTATTTCGCTGAAAGCAAAAACATACACAGCCACTTTCTTTTCTATGGAAAATGCGTGTGTTCCTCACATAAGAATCCAAATTGTATTTTTAGGATGGATCATTTCAGGAGAAAAACATACAGATTGTTTTGGGACCTCAAAGTGTCTCAGAGTGTCCAATGTATTCTCAAAGTATATCAGAAATCTGCTACACAGTCAGAGCCCTGTATCAAGTATGGGTGATACAAAGAATCTAAGTTAGTATCTATGTCAAACAATGGTCCTCAAATTGCCTCAAAGGGATTAATGTAATCTGTGCAAAAAGAACAATGGTTGTATTGTTACCATATTTCACTACCTTCAAGCCAACATATAGAAAAAATCAACACAGATGTTATAATAACCTAAAGCAGATGTTTATAACAAAAGTGCTACTATAAGATGCTCAGGATAATTAGACAGGATATTAGGCTACCCTGCAGAAACATAAAGATCCTAACATTTCAGTGGCTTAAACTAGCAAAGATGCATTTCTCTCTCAAAGTCTTATGTAGGTTAGGTTAACAATCCAGATTAAAAATCTATCTGGTAACTTAAGCATTCAAATGTCCTCCTTATTTTGATGAGGCATCAAAGAGTTATTGGAACAAGGGAAGACAAAGCGTGGAGGACTCATTTTTATCATATACATTAGACCAGAAGTGATACATTTCACTTATTTTCACAAGCCATTGTGTAGAACTAGTTCATGTTCCCCACTTAACTAGATGGGAGGCTACATATAAAAAAGCATATAGAATATTGGGGGTATTCTATAATCTGTGCCATATTGGGTTTCTTATAATTGAAATTACCACCCTATATTTAATAAAAGGAATCATCCCCAATGAATTATTTATATAAAAGAGTTTGGGCTGGCGTGGTGGCTCACACCTGTAATCCTAGCACTTTGGGAGGCCAAGGTGGGCAGATCACGAGGTCAGGAGATTGAGACCATCCTGGCTAACATGGTGAAACCCCGTCTCTATTAAAAATACAAAAATTAGCTGGGTGTGGTGGTGCGCACCTATAAGCCCAGCATTTTGGGAGGCCAAGGTGGGCAGATCACCTGAGGTCAGAAGTTCAAGACCACCCTGGCCAACATGGCAAAACCCCATCTCAACTAAAAAATTTAAAAAAAAATTATCCAGGTATAGTGGCAGGTGCCTGTAATCCCAGCTACTCGGTAGGCTGAGGCAGGGAGAATTGCTGGAATCTGGGAGGTGGAAGTTGCAGTGAGCTAAGATCACACCACTGCACACCACTCCATCTCAGAAAAAAAAAAGTAGTTTCAGTTCTTTAAAAATATAGATGAGAAACTGAGGCTCCCCTTCCACTGTGGTTTGATTGAAGTCTGTTGCTCATACTAGATTCAGCTCACTCCAATTTTTTGCCTTTTCTTAAACTAAAAGCGAATCATCTATTCTACACTAAGATAATGTAAAGCTCATAAAGATTCACTTTCTTCAGAAACATTGCTCTAAATAAGATTATTTCACATTTGCTCTACTATTTACCACAATACCAAAACAATATTGTGAATTTCTTTATATAGTTACATTATTTCAGCTTGAGTTCACTAGGAAAGAGCATCTAATACTCAGACTGGTGTGTAGGAAGTTTATTAGGACCAACTATAAATTGTTAGGATCAATGCCTATATACAGAAGGAAGCAGTTGTGAGTAGAGGAAGAAGTTGGAGACAATGCAGTCTAAACACAGGTCTCAGCCAACCTGCAAGGGGCCTTGAAATCTCCGTGGTCCTTCACAGTTTTCTTATGTTGCATAGAGGGGAGATTCCCATATCAAGCAGTCTTTAGATTTAGGCTGCCCGTGGGAAGGAAGAATTCATTAGGTAAGGCAACTCTCTCTAGCTGAGGGTAATGTCCAGGGAGTTGGGAATAAATACTTCAGTCCTGAGGACAGACTGCAGGACAACTGTTAGCCACAAACATACATAACCGTATTTTATAACATATATAAAATATGCTGATGTTTATATATAAATCAACAAGTATTATTAGTAATTAATATTAAGCTAGTTAATATTGAATAATAACATTAACAATACAATTTTAAATATTTTAAATATTATATAATTAATAATTAATTTTAAGTATATGCATATGTATCTTTGTTTCCTTACTACATTTAAAGTAATTTCAAGGAACAAGATATGCCTTCTATTTCTTACCACTGTCTTTGCAAGAAGTATTATTAATAGTCTACTTAAATATTGAAAATTATAAACATGATACATTCATTGTAGTGATTAAACATTAAGACGCTAACATTGATTTTTCGTTATTGAAGTCCACATGCACATAATTAAAATGTCAAACATTCTTACACATACCATTTGATGTCATATTGTCTGCCAGCCAATCTAATGATAGTTTTATTTGCCATCTGGAATTACTATTGGCTGGGGACGAATTATGGTGTTAACCAGGAAGTTCCCTATAGGTACTAAGCAGATAAGCAATTTTTGGCACCTGCATTAAGTGAATCCATATCAAAAGTGGATTCAAACTTCTCTAGCTTAGTCACATTACAGAAAACTCTAGTCCTTCAAAGAGCCATTAACAGTGGATCATATTAAGGAATAAGAATTCTAGAACTAAGAAGCTATTGTGTTATCTCTTACTATAATCACTGGGAGAAAGGGGGATAATGGACATTATTCTATTTGGCAAACAGCAGGATTGGATAGACTGTCCTCTGGTGTGCCTATTAGTATAATTGGGAATATATTAGAATAAATATCTCTACATGGAGATAAGTGTAAATATATACCTTGCAGTAAGAGTTAACTCATTTATTTATCATTCAGACTCTCTATTCACTTTTGACATATTGGGTGTGCTAGCTATTGAAAATATTGGCGATTATATGAAAAACTTTCCATAGATGGGCAGCAATATAAAAAAGAATAATTTGGGTGGTTTTGAAAAATGTTTTCAAATGTACATTTGTATTGTTGTTGTTCCTTACCTAGCAGAGATAAATAAATAAATAAAACACACATTAATAAATAAATAAAGCACACATTATAAATCTTCCCTGGTTCAAGTTCTCATCTTCCATGTGACCTAACATCTGTCTTCTGCTCCATTGTAACTCCTATGTTGACTCTGGAGTACACTGATTGGCTTTTAGAATTATCCATGTTTAAAATGTTCAATAGATCCTTGTTTCCCATGTGATATTACAAAGCCATGTTTGAAGCTGCTGTGTGTCTCATGACTTGTCATGCCTCAGCCCTCAATTCCACTCAAGCTTCTTTTTCGATTATGCCAAACTTATTCTTTTCCTTTCTCATAGCTCTTTTTTTGTCCCTAATTTTCCCTCACATAAAAATGTGTCCTCTACCTTTTTTTTTTTCTCCCAGTGGAGAGCATTTTATTCCATCCAAACCTATCACAAATCTCATCATTTCAGTGCTGTATTCCCTGGCCTCTTAGGCCTATGTGCTCCTACTTTCCTCTGTGTTGTCATGCGGTGCTGACATTTCACTGTTGTCATACACACGTGCTTGTTTTGCCCAGTATGTCATGAGCTTCTGAAGATCAGGACCATGTCTTAGACTGTTTTTGGATTCCTGAGACCTATACTGCTACCATCTAAGCACATGATAGGTATCTATTGAATTAAGGTCATCTAGGACACTGGAGGATGGGATCTAACACATTTCGATTTATTTGGCCTATGCACAGCATTTACAATATTCCTAAGAACTGTAATTGTATATTTATTCTTGGTTAAAATTTTTATATTATTTCATTTTATTTTATTTATTTTTGAGATGGAGTCTCGCTCTCTCACCCAAGCAGGAGTGCAGTGGCACAATCTCATGATCTCAGCTCACTGCAACCTCCACCTCCCGGGTTCAAGCAATTCTCCTGCCTCAGCCTCCCGATTAGCTGGGATTACGGGCACGTGCCACCATGCCTGGCTAATGTTTGTATTTTTTTGTAGAGACAGGATTTCCCCATGTTGGCCACGCCGGTCTCAAACTGCTGACCTCAAGTGATCTGCCCACCTCAGCCTCCCAAAATTCTGGGATTATGGGCATGAGTCTCCACGCCTGGTCTTGGTTAAAATTTTAAGTGTGTGTGTGTGTGTGTGTGTGTGTGTGTGTGTGTGTGTGTGCGCGCGCGTGTGTGTGTTTTGTGGAGGGGGGAGCATATTCTTACCAGTAGGCAGGAATAGAAAACTGCAGAAGAAGATCAAATTGAGATGAAGGAAATGTAGGATGTGGGGTTTGGTAACAATTCAACAGATATTCCTTGTGCACCTGTTAAATTCAGGACAGTATGCTCATTGCTAGGAGAACTTTGTGCTCGTTGCTAGGAGTACCTGCCTTTGATGTGCTTGTAGGAGAGCTTCTAGGAAGTAAAATCAGGTCTCCCCCAAATAAGAAAGTATAATTTTGAAAGGCCTTAACATTGGCAGGCAATGCAAAATGATATGGAAACCACGAAGAAAATAAACAGTCATTTAAATCGTTTATAACGTTCATCTTGGTTTATAAAAAAATGCCTGCAGTTCAGTATTTTTAAATGTTAAGTGAATGGGTAGTTGTGACAATTTTAATTTTAAATATAATGATCAAATAAGGTTTTGTATATGCAGATATCAAGACGATAGCATAAAGTCAAAAGATTATTTTGGATCAACTTCAGTCATCTTAAATAAAAATATAAGATACCTACCACTGCAAATCTAAATATATGACAGATCATTATTATATTTAGTATTAATTATTTCAGTTTTCAGCAAAACAAGAAGTAGCAGACAGGCAATTCTAAGCATAAGTACATTCTTTTGTTTTTATTCTTTTTGAAACGAGAGTTTAATTATGATGAGATAACTAGAAGTGTTACAACCTGAATTCAAATTAATATTTGATTAAATTTCATAACACAGCATGAAGCTATAACTGGAATGAACAGTTTGATGAAATTAAAATTACTTAGTAATAGATATTAAGCTAAGTAACTATTAAATTGCTTATTTCTTAGGCTGTAATAGCAAGTATCAAAGGAATAGTATAGATTTTCCACAAATGCAAACCTGGTAGACTTCCAGAGATTTAGGGCTCTGTGGTTTACCAATTCTTGATCTTAATTTATATCGCCTATAGCTCTTCAGACCTGTGATAATCTTTTATAAATCTTGGCAAATCGCTGATGGAACTGAAACTACAAATTGTTAATGTTCCTAATCTATATTTCTAAAGGCCAAAGAGAGGGAAGGGGTATTGAAATCAGTTATATGTTAAAGAAAAACAAACCAAAGTATGACTTCCAGCATTTGCAAATATCAAAGAAACAAACACATGGAGACTCATTTGGAAGGAAGAGAAACAACCTGGAGCAAGGGTAGGAATTTCTATTTAGTAGATTGTACTAGACATCCTTAGAGGAAGATAAAGTAGATAGACAGAAAAGGAGGCCAGGCTTGGAGTTCAATGGCAATCCAACTTGTTAGATCCAAGACATTGCACTGGTTGCTAGAATAATACAGACTAACATTGTCTTCTTCCTCAGTGTGACTGGAAGAAAGCAGTAGATGGGCTGAAAGCAGGATACTGAAATGTAACAGCGAATATGGTGAATTTGCTATGGCCTCATCAAGATTCAATTTATAATGCATTTTAAAAATATATGGAGGTACCCCATGATCTGAGCAAGGGAAAGAGATGAATAGAACTAAGGGGAGCATGATCTTGGAGACAGTCTCAACAGCACCTGTTCAGCCCTTAACGGTGATGAGTGGAATAGAAGCCAGGAACCAGTCTCTTGGGTAGAACAAGTGCTTTGGTTAACGCGTGTGGATGTAGCCTTGGGAACCTATACTGGAGAGCTGTGTTTTTGTCTTTGCACTGCCAACTACCTATCAAGTTATGGACTTAGCCCTTCAAGACCTAGTTTCTTCAGCTACACTTAGAAGGAATTAAACTAGATAATGACTAAGGTCATGCTAGTTCTAAAATGGTCTGATCTAAAAAGAATACATTGGTTCCTGATTTATTGATTGACTGATTGATTGTTCAGTCATGTGTCTTGCTGTCTTGCCCAGGCTGGAATACAGGGGCAGATCATAGCTTACTGCAGCTTCAAACTCCTGGGCTCAAGTGATTTTCCTGCCTCAGCTTTCCAAGTAGCTGGGACTGCAGGTGCACACCACCATGCCTGGCTATTTTTTTTTCTATTTTTTTTTGTAGAGAAGGGGGTCTCACCATGTTGCCCAGGCTGGCCTTGAACTCCTGGCCCAGAGTGATCCTCCTGCCTCAGCCTTCCAGAGTGCTGGGATTACAAGCATGAGCCACTGCAACTGGCCTCATTCCTGTTTTGAATGGCCTAGAATACTAAGTTGAAAATTTTATTTTTAATCATTTTTTGAGCAAGGTGGTAGTATGAGTAAAGTTGTACATTTGGAAGATTGTTCTAATGGGGATGCTTAGGAGTAATTCTTTGGGGAAGACCACTTAGAGGCTACTAATGGTCCTAGGTAAAAGGTAATGAAGAACTTGCTGAGAAAATATATTATAGAAGCTGAATCTATAAGACTTTTCTCACCATTAATCAATACCAATAAAAGAGGAAAAATAAATGGAAAAAAATACTACACAGCTTCCAGCCTTGGTATCTGAGAGAATTTTTACCAGAACAAGCCAGAAAGTTTTATGTAGAAGGATCAATGCAAGATGTTTGGAATAGACCTGTCCAACCACCAGCTGGAAATGCAGGCTTAGATCTTCAGTGCTCAAAGTATGGATTAGAAGAGGGCTTACAAACTCAAATGCTTACAGGAACTACTGAAGTAACAGGCTGCATTTGAAACAAAAAAGTAATGGGGAGGCAGCACACTGGAAAAAATATGTCTTTCTAAAGGAAGTAGCTGCCACTCAGCTTCAATAGATTGGTACCCTTGCCATTGCAGACCCTGCTTTGCTAAGACAAGCCAGGCACTTAGACTGTTTCCCAGTTTTTAATTGTTGATAAGGAAATTAACTCAACACAATTAATTCACTGTGGGGAATAAGCAAAACACGACTCTAAGCCACATTTGTTCTGCAGGCTGCTGGATGTGAGTTTGGGAACTCTGTGTTAACATTTTCAGCATTAGCAGAAGTATAACAACAATCAGAATTGTGAAAAAAGATACAGATTTTTCAAAAGAAGAATTTTAAAGAAAAGAAGAAGTCTAAGAAGAAGCCCTCAAAGGATTTGTATATTTAAAAAGTCAATTAAAAGAAAACATGTCCTCTCTACATAATGGTGTTGCCAGAAATGAGAAAAATATGAGCATTACTTATGAAGAATGAAAGGGTGGTAGAAGACACATTAGTCCACTGAGGGTATAATGAGGAAAAGCAATGGAGTGAATTACCTTGTATTTTTCTTTATATAACATAGATACTTTCTATTTTATGTTTTCAAAAAATCTACATTGTTGCCAAACCTATGTATGGGGTTGATTATTATGCTCAGTATCTCTACTCTCTGCCTTTTTTTTTTTTTCTTTGAGACAGAGTCTCGCACTGTCACCCAGGCTGGAGTGCAGTGGCGCAGTCTCGGCTCACTACAACCTCTGCCTCCTGGGTTCAAGAGATTCTCCTGCCTCAGCCTCCTGAGTAGCTAGGATTGCAGGCGCCCACCACCACGCCCGGCTAATTTTTTGTATTTTTAGTAAAGACAGGGTTTCACTACGTTGGCCAGGCTGGTCTCGAACTCCTGATTTCATGATCAGCCCACCTCGGCCTCCCAAAGTGCTGGAATTACAGGTGTGTATCAACGCACCCAGCCAGTATCTCTACTTTTTTGTGCTAACACCTGAAGAGGTTTACTGCAACTGTGAAGTTACTGCCATTACAAGAAGACAGCATGGAAACAAAGACTCAGAAAATTGAATTGTTAATTTGTACCATGACCTAGAAAGGTCCGTGGTCGTGATTTTACTGAAACATGTATAAGAGAAAGTATAAAATGATAAAATGAACCTGATTTAATGTTTACAAGATATTTTGTTTTTGTTGTATTTATTTATTTATTTTTGGAGACAGGATCTCACTCTGTCACCTGGGCTGTAGTGCAATGGTGCAATCATGGCTCACTGCAGTCTCAACCTGCCAGGCTTAAGTGATCCTCCCACCTCAGTCTCTCAAGTAAGTGGGACTACAGGTACACATCACCATGCCTGGCTAATTTTTTTCTTATTAAATTGTGTAGAGATGGGGTCTTGCTATGTTACCCCATACTGGCCTCAAACTCCTGGCCTCGAGTGATTCTCCTGTCTCAGCCTTCCACAGTACTAGAATTCTAGGCATGAGCCACCATGCCTGTCCTACAAGATATTTTAAAGTGCTGCCTCAGCCATGCTTTTTTCATTGACTTTGGAAATGCATTAGAAAAGCAAGTGGTTTCATCTTACTGGACACTACCCAATCTCTTCTGGTAAGAAATCAAGAGTTTCAGTTGCTGATAAGGCTTATGTTTTCTATGAAAAGAAACAGCTCCTCAAACAGATGGTTGACTGCAAGATTTTGCCACATTTCTCAAATAGTCTTTGTAAACCACCAGCAGCCTCATTTAATTCTGTCTATGAGGAAGAAGCAATGAGTGGATGATGAATCAGGCATCATTAACTATAATTTAAAAAAATCAAATGCAACAATATCTTGAATAGCAGTTATAAGATATTAGAAAAGCTTTCTCTTGAAAAGATTTTCTAAATGTGCACAGGATTGTGAAGGAAGTCCTAGAACATGACAAAAAAGAATATGAAAATGAGTGACAAAAATTGAAACGTGCGTGTGTATGTGATTTATATGTAGACCATACTAGGTACTCTGTCAGTACTTGCAATTGCATATTTTTTCTACTCTTGTTGTTCACAGATTTGCTCTGAGTATCTTCTGACAGCTATCTATAGAGCTCCAGAGGTCTGACTGCCAAATTATTTATTCCCAATTTTCCCCGCCATGCTAGTTGACTCCAGAACCTTCCTCTATTGTTTGTTTTTCTTTTCTGGTCTATTATCAATTATTTTCTCACAACCATTTTTTGTTTGTTTGTTTGCTTCCTGTCTTTTTTTCCCCCTCCCTCGGCTTACAAACACACTCAAATTCATGATTTTATATGCTTTATTTCTTCCAATTATCTATTGTTGTATATTAAATCGCACCACCCATAAATCAGTGGCCTGAACAACAACCACTTTATTTTGCTCATGGATTTCATGAGTCAGGAATTCAGAAGAGCACAGCAGGTATGGTTTCTCTCTGCTCAAGAATGTCTGAAGCTCCAGCAAGGGAGTATTGGCACCTGGCGGTACCAATAGAAACTCTGGAGGCTGTAATCACTGGGAGGCTTTTTAATTTCCATAACTGGCATGTGGGATAACTCAAAGCCTGGACTCAGCTGAAACTTTTGACTGTAATACCTACACTTGGAATTGCCACATGGACTTAGACTTCTCATGGCATGGTGGCTGGGATCTGAGAACCAATGTCCGGAGAATGACAATCTAAGAACCCTAGTCAGAGGCTGTATAGCTTTTCGTAAACAAGCATCAGGAATAGGCTATAACTTCCACCATTTTTATTGGTTATAGCAGTCACAACTCAGATTCAAAAATATGACTGTTTTAACTGTTTTAAAAAATGTACAACCCTTTTTTAACCAAATTCTCTGTATCTGGCTTTCACGAATTCAATTGTATTCCAATTCCCTTTAAATACCAAGCTTCCTGGAAAAGTGGTTTACAGTTATTATCCCTGTATCTTTCATGCAGGATTTACTCCATAACCCCTGGCAATCTGCCTCTTGTCAATATCAGTCCATTGAACTTCTCTTTAAAATTCACCAATTGCTTTTTGGTGGCCAAATGATAACCTCTTCAGTCCTCACCACAATACTGATCACAGTCATTAAGCATTTACTATATACCATATACTGTTTCCTTAGTGCTTATAATAATACCATGAAAAGGTAATACTTTCTTTACATAGATTATAAAAATATAATATGAAAATTTAAAATGATTTTTTTCAAAATTTGTCTAGATGATAAACATTTGTGGCAGTAATTAAAACTATGGGCTATACAAAATTAAAAATCCCAAACTACTGTCACTAAGCAGGAGAAAAATTTACATCCAAAATATGAATGCCATATACAGCATAAGAAGGTAATTCAGTTCTGTCTTTATTCAATCTACAGACATCCCCAAATACATTATCAAATGTTAATTTAATATAGTTGATATGGTTCCAAATCTCATGTTGAAATGTGATTCCCAATACTGGAGCTGGGGCCAAGTGGGAGGTATTAGATCGTGGATGTAGATCCTTCATGAATGGATTAGTGCTATCCCCTTGGTGATGAGTTAGTTCTCACTCTGTTAGTTCACGTGAGATCTGGTTGTTTAAATAGTGTGGCAGCTCCCCACCAACCTTGCTTCGGCTCTCACCACATGATACACTTTCTTATCCTTTGACTTTATGCCATAAATGGAATCTTCCTGAGGCTTAACCAGAAGCCAAGGATATGTCAACCAAAGAGATGTATGCTTCCTGTACAACCTGCAGAACCATGGGCCAATTAAATCCCTTTTCTTTATAAATGACTCAGACCCAGATATTTGATTATAGGAATGCAAGAATGGACTAACACAGAAGATTGGTAACAGGAGTAGAGTGTGCTATAAAGATACTTGAAAATATGGAAGCAGCTCTGGAACTGGGTAATGGGCAGAAGTTGGAACAGTTTGAAGGGCCCAGAAGGATAGGAGGATAAGAAAAAGTTTGGAACTTATTAGAGACTGGTTAAATAGTTATGATCAAAATGCTGATGGAAATATGGACAGTGAAGTCCAGGCTGATGTCTCAGAAGAAAACGAGGATCTTATTGGGAACTAAAGTAAAGGTCATTAAATGTTACATCCTAGCAAAAAGCTTGGCTGCATTGAGTCCAGGTCCTAGAGATCTATGGAAGTTTTAACTTAAGAGTAACAACTTGTAGTATCCACCAGAACAAATGTCTAAGCAGCAAAGCATTCACAAAGTGGTGTGGCTGCTCCTAAACACATATAATCAAATATAAAAGCAAAGGAATAACTTAACATTGGGCCTTATATTTAAAAGGGAAGCAGAGCATAAACGTTTGGAAAATTTGCAGCCTGACCATGTGGCAGAGAGAGAGAAAAAATAAAGCATTTTTAGGAGAGAAACACAAGAGGGCTGTGGAAAACCATGTACTAAACAGCATAACTGAAAGGGAGCCAAGTGCTAATAACCAAAACAATAGGAAAAAGGCCTTGAAGGCATTTCAGAAGTTTTCAGGACAGTCCCTCCTTTCACAGGCCCAGAGGCCTAGGAGGAAAGAATGGTTTCATGGGCTAAACTCTTGTTGCTGCTGCCCTATACAACCTTGAGAGGTTGCTCCCTGCATGCTGGCTGCTCCAGCTCCAGCCATGGCTCAAAAGGCCCCAGATATAGTTGAGGCTGCATCTTTGGAGAGCACAAGACACGAAAAGCCTTGGCAGCTTCCACATGGTGTTAAGTCTGCTGGTGCACAGAATGCAAGAGTAAAGGAGGCTTGTCAGCTTCCACCTAGATTTTAGAGGTTGTATGAGAAAGCCTAAGTGCCCAGGTAGAAATCCACCCAGGGACAGAGCCCCTGCAGAGATTCTCTACTAGGGAAATGCCAGGGAAAATGTGGGGTTAAAGCTGCACACAAAGTCCCCATATGGGCACTGCCTAGTGGAGCTGTGAGAAGGCAGCCACTTCCCTCCATACTACACAATGGTAGAGTCACCAGTAGCTTGCTTCCTGAGCCTGGAAAATCCACAGGCATGCAACTCCAACCTGTGTAAGCAGCCATGTGGGTTGCCCGCTGCAAAGCCATAGTGGCAGAGCTGCCCAAGACCTTGGAAGACCACTCCTTGTATCATTGTGCCCTGGTTATGGGACATGGTATCAAGGACTATGTTGGAGCTTTAAGGTTTAATGTGTGCCCTCCTGGGTTTCAGACTTGCATTAAACTTGTTGCCCCTTCCCTTTGGCTGATGTATCCCTTTTGGCATGGGAATGTTTACCTAATACCTATAGCACTATTGTATCTTGGAATAAAACAACTTGTTTTTAATTTCATAGGCTCATTGTTGGAAAAAACTCATCTTTGGATAAGACTTTGAACTTGGGACTTTTGAGTTGGGGGTAGAGGAGGTTAAGACTGTTGGAAAAGGATAACTGAACTTTGCCATATGAGAAGGACATGAGATTTTGGGGGCTGGGGCGGAATTATATAGTCTAGATGTGTGTCCCCTCCAAGTCTCATGTTGAAATGTGATCCCTGATGTTGGAGATAGGGCCTAGTGGGAAGTACTGGATCATGGGAGTGGATCCTTCATGAATGGTTTGGTGCCATCCTCTTGATGCTGTACTTATAATAATGAGTGAATTCTTACTCTGAGTTCGTGCCAGATCTGGTTGTTTAAAAGAGTGTTGCACATCCCCCTTTCTTGTTCTCACTGTGTGACATACCTGCTCCCCTTCACCTTCTGCCATGATTGTAAGCTTCCTGGGGCCCTCAGCAGAAGCAGATATTGGCATCATGCCTCCTGTATTGTCTACAGAACCATGAGCTAATTAAACTCCTTTTCTTTATAAATTATCCAGTCTCAGATATTCTTTTATAGCCATACAAGAACAGACTAATGCAATAGTCATTAAAGATAATTAATTATACTTCTTGGTACACAGACACTTGTATTCTATTAACCAGAAAACAAATGGATCTTGCTTAGCTCTCCCTGATTTGCAAATATCATAATCATCTTTGGTGTGTCTCATTTACTAGTCTTTTAAAACTAAGTAGCTGCTATTCAAGATGTCCACCAACTGTAACCTCTGTCCCAACACAAACACAAACTCAATCCATTTCCACTTGGTTGTTTGATGTACATGACATAATGGTTGTAATTGCCAGCAATCACGTGGAGGAGAGTGACATCAGCAAGATGGCCAACTTAGATGCCCCTAGCACATGTCCCCCTGGAAAAGACAACCAGAACAATGAATAAACACCTATACTTAAACAAAAATAACTGAAGGAGAGTGTTGGGGTGCATCAGAGAAGTAACAGAAACCCTGATGAGCACTGAAACTATGGATGGCCACAGAGAGAATAAAAGGAAATGTGTAACCTCCAACCACCATCCCCTAACTGGGATCAGCTGGGATCTAGGAGGAATTTCTCCCTACGACGGGAAAGTAGGCAAGTGGATCCCAACAACTGCCATTCACATTTTAGACACACTAAATACTTTACCACTAGGATCTCCTGCAGTTCTCAAAGGTACTATGTCCTGCTGAGGGAATTGTCTTGAGTCCTCACAGCTGGGATTCTCTCAGAGAAGGAAACGATACTGTGCCCTGCTCCTTGTGGCCCATATGGTGACTGCTGCATGCCATCTTGGAATAAGAACTATGACTTGACTGTATCTTGCTCCAGGAGTGAGGAGCCACAGCTCTCCTTCATCCCCAAGGCTAAACCTCCACTGAACCACAGCCGCCCAGTGATCTGACTTACCCAAGCTGAGCTGCCAGCAACTCTGACACCCTTCCCCATGGGGCCAAGTGGAGTTGGAACCACTTCGACTACCACTTCCCCTGCCCGATTGGGCTAGAGCTGAAGTGGTACATTCAGAGCAGTATACTTCTTCAATGCCTAAGCTGAAGCAACACCTTACAGCCCAGAATAGTCATGTCTCCAGGCCTCAGCTGAAGTGGCACATCACCCCCTGGAGAATGAGAGCCTTGGCTAAGCTGAGCAATCATGCATCCCAGGGCTGAGCCTACAGATTACCCCACATCCCAGGGAAACAGAGACACCATGCCCTACAGGCAAACAACTCTAGTACTCTGCTTCCCTCATGCTAGACTACCCCCTATCAAGTCTGAGATGCTGAGGCATACTTTTCAGTGGGGAGTGGAGTCATCACCTTGCTGTTCCCTGCCTCCCCAGGGCTTAAACACCAGCTGTCCTTCACCATTCTGGGGGCTTGCTGCCACTGCACCTGACCTCATAGAGTTTGGGACACCAGCAAGACCCAATGTCCTAGAGTCTACAGTTACTACTACACAGTGTTTCACCCCCTGGGAACCAAGTTGCCATTGAACCCTATTGGTTCAAGTTGCAGAACTGAAATCATACCAAATCTCCAAAGCACACTTTCTTCCCCACAGGCTAGTGTTGTACTCTGCCCCCCAGGGTAGAATTACAGCTACAATCCAGCCCCTTGGGCTCAAGCTGCTAGAGAGAAGTTACCTCCGAGTCACAGCTCCTGACTCTGTGAGCAACATACATCCAACCTTGCCACAGAAAGCAAACCTGCTCCCTGAAACCCAGATGCCACAATAGGTTCATGAGACCCTGAGCCTAGCCATCTAGCTCCATAGCTTCTTTGAACACCTCCACCTGGACCCCAGTACCACTGCACTCTTTGGTAGGCTATTTCAGGCCTTATCAAGAGGGATGCCCTAAACTAAGTCTCCCTATGGTGGGGAAAATGAGAATAGGAGAACCCTAAAAGCCTTTAACACTGAGGACATTAGTAACCTGTGTTGCCACTGCCACTGTCATAAACTTCGACAGCATAGGCCACTGAGGTGGCCATAATTGTTGCTGCATAGAGACTGTAGCAGTGTACCTGTCTGTTAAGAGAATCACCACACCCTTCTCAGTCAGCACACTAAAACCCAACTGCAGTTGAAATTCTTTCTCTACAAAAGCCATTTTACAAAGTTTGGAATAGGTGATTACTAGAACCAGATTCATAGACATCAATGCAGGGACACAAGAAACATACAATGACAAGGAAACATGACAGTAACACAGGAGCATAATAACTCTCTAGTAACAGATCCCAATGAAAAGGAAATTGATGCAATTCCAGAAAATAAAATTCAAAATAAAGAGCTGAAAGAAACTCAATGAAATACAAGAAAATACAGGTAAACAATTTAAAAAAATTGGTAAAACAATTTATAATTTGAATGAGAAATTTAACAAAAAGTTAGAAAATTTTTAAAAAGATCCAAACAGAAATTCTAAAGCTGAAGAATTCAATGAATGGAATTTAAAAATACAGTTGAGAGATTCAACAGCAGACTTGATCAAATAGAAGAACTAATCTATGAACCTGAAAAAAAATCACTTGAAATTATACAGTTGAAGAAAAAGAAGAAATAAAAATCATGAAGAGTGAAGAAACTCTACAAGATTTGTGGAATATTGTTAAGTGAAATGGGAATTCCAGGAGATAAGAAAAGAAAATAGGCATAGAAATTTCATACAATAAAATAACAGCTGAAAACTTCCTATATCTGTGGCGAGATGTAGACATCCAGATTCAGGAAGCTCCAAGGTCCTCAAATAGATTCAACCCAAAAAGGTCTTTCTTTAGGCACATTATAATCAAATTCTCAAACGTCAAAGACAAAGAGATAATTCTACAAACAGGAAGATAAAAGTGTCAAGTCACATATAAGTGACTAACATTAGACTAACAGCGTATTTCTCTACAAAGCTTTTTAGGCCAGGAGAAAATGGGATGATATATTCAAAGTGATGAGTATAAATTATAACCAAGAATACTATACTCAGCAAAGATATCCTTCACAATGAGGGAGAAATAAAGTATTTCCCAGATAAGCAAAGGGAATTCAACACTAGACCAGTGTTCTAAAAAATGTTCAAAGTAGTCCTAAGTAGGGAAGCTAAAAGACAATAATCTCTATCCTGAAAACATATGCAGCGGCTCATGCTTGTAATCCCAGCACTTTGGGAGGCCGAGGTGGGTGGATCACCTGAGGTCAGGAGTTCAAGATCAGCCTGACCAACGTGGTGAAACCCCATCTCTAGTAAAAACACAAATAAATTAGCTAGGCGTGGTGGCAGGTGCCTGTAATCCCAGCTACTTGGAAGACTGAGGCAGGAGAATAACTCGAACCCTGGAGGCAGGGATTGCAGTGAGCCAAGATCACACCACTGCACTCCAGCATGGGCATGACAGAGCAAAACTGTGTCTCAAAAAAACAAAACAAAAAGTATAAACTCAATGGTAGAACAGATATACAAAGGAGAAAGAAAATAATCAAACCTTAGAACTACAGAAATCCACCAAGCTGCAATAATAAATAATAAAAGAGGAAGAAAGTATATACAAAACTATCAGAAATCAATCAATACTATGACAGAAATAAGCCCTCAGATATAAGTAACAACTTTGAATGTAAACAGATTTAATCTTCCACTTAACTTGTATAAAAAGATGGAATGGATTTTAAAAAATGTCCCCACCATAAGCTACTTATAAGAAATTTTACTTCACCTTTTAAAATGCATATAGACTGAAAGTAAAGGGATGGAAAAAGATATGCTACGCAAATAAAAACCAAAAGTGCGCAGGAGTACCTACACTTATATGAGCTAAAACATACTTAAGTCAAAAACTGTGAAAACAGAATCATTATGTAATAAGAACAGGATCAATTTCACAAGCAGATATGACAATTATAAATATATATGCACCCAACATTGGAACACCCAGATGTATAAAACAAATATTATTAGATCTAAAGAAAGAGATAAACTCTAATACAATAGTAGTTGGTGACTTCAACATCCCACTTGCAGCATTGGAAAGACCATCTAGACAGAAATTCAATAAAGAAACATTGGATTTAAACTGCAATTTAGACCAAATGGTCCTAACAGATATTAAAAGAACACTTCATCCTACAACTGAAAAAGACATATTCTTTTCATCAGCGCATGGAATATTTTCCAGCATAGACCACATGTTAGGCCACAACACAAGTCTCAAGAAATTTAAAGGAATTAAAATAATACAAAGTAATTCTTTTCTGACCACAATGGAATAAAGCTAGAAATGAATCACAAGAGGAACTTTTGAAATTGGACAAATGCATGGAAATGAAACAACATACTCCTGAAAAACCAATAGGTCAATGAAGAAATTAACAAGAAAATATTTAAAATTGTTGAAACAAAAATAGAAACACAACATAGGAAAACCCATGAGATACAGCAAAAGAAGTATCAAGAGGGAAGGTTAGAAGAGAAAAGCTTACATCGAAAAAGTAGAAAGATTTCAAATAAACAACCTAACATCTCATCTCAAAGAACTAGTAGAGCAAAAACAAATCAAATCCAAAATTAGTAGAAGGAAAGAAATAAGACCAGAGTATAAGTAAATACATAAAATTAAGACAGAAAATGCAAAAGATCATGGAAACATAAAGTTGTTTTTCGCAAAGATAAAATTGTCAAACCATTAGGTATACACTGTTGGTGGGAATGTAAATTAGTACAACTACTATAGAAAGCAGAATAGATATTTCTACAAAACTAAAAGTAGAATTACCATATAATCCAACAATTCCACTACTGTGTATATATCCAAAAGAAAGAAAAACTCAGGGATATTGGCCTAAAATTTTCTTGGAGGACATTATGTTAAGTGAAATAAGCCAGGCACAGAAAAACAAATACTGCATGTTCTCATCCAGATACAGAAGCTTAAAAAATGTTGATCTCGTAGAAGCATAGAGTAGAATAGTGGTTGCTAGAGGCTCAGACGTTTACAGGGTAGAAGAAGATAGCCAAAGGTTGTTTAACAGATATAAAAGTACAGCTAGATAGAAGAAATAAGTTCTAGTGTTTTACAAAACTACAAGGTGACTATAATTAAAAACAATTTATTTTATATTTTCAAATAGCTAGAGGAAAGATTTTGAATGTTCCCAACATAAAAAATGTTAAATGCTTGAAGTGATAGATATGCTAATTACTATGATTTGATTATTACACATTGTATATATGTATCAAAATACCCCACTCTATCCCATAGACATGTACAGTTATGTATCAATTAAAAATAATAATAAAAGTGCACATAAAAAAGAAAACATTTGAGGGAGCAGGCAGTGAGTTAGCTATTAATATTTGGCTGATTGTCATATAATTGGAAGAAGCTAGAATTGGGTACAAATTTTTTTTTCTCTTTTTTTGTTGTGTCTCTGCCAGGTTTTGGTATCAGGATGATGCTGGCCTCATAAAATGAGTTAGGGAGGAGTCCCTCTTTTTCTATTGTTTGGAATAGTTTCAGAAGGAATGGTACCAGATCCTCTTTGTACCTCTGGTAGAATTGGGCTGTGAATCTGTCTGGCCCTGGACTTCTTTTGGTTGGTAGGCTATTAATTACTGTTTCAATTTCAGAACTCGTTATTGGTCTATTCAGGGATTTGACTTCTTTCTGGTTTAGTCTTGTGTCCAGGAATTTATCCATTTCTTCTGGATTTTCTAGTTTATCTGTGTAGAGGTGTTTATAGTATTCTCTGATGGTACTTTGTATTTCTGTGAGATCAGTGATGATATGCCCTTTATCATTTTTTTAATTGCATCTATTTGATTCTTCTCTCTTTTCTTCTTAATTAGTCTGGCTAGCAGTCTATCTATTTTGTTGATCTTTTCAAAAAACCAGCTCCTGGATTCATTGATTTTTTTGAAGGGTTTTTTGTGTCTCTATCTCCTTCAGTTCTGCTCTTATCTTAGTTATTTCTTGTCTTCTGCTAGCTTTTGAGTTTGTTTCTTCTTGCTTCTCTAGTTCTTTTAATTGTGATGTTAGAGTGTCATTGGTTAGTCTCATTACAGATATCTAGCTGGCTAAAGAACAGCCTTAAGAAAAAAGATACATATCAGCCATTGTGTAGAAATATTAGTTCCATGAATGAACAGATAAGCAACACATGTCAAGTACATACAATAGAATATCATCCCACCTTACAAATGGAGGAAATTCTGAAATACACTACAATATGGGTGAACTTGAAGACATTATCCTAAGTGAAATAAGCCAGTCACAAAAAGACAACTACTGTATGATTTCACTTTTATGAGTGCTTATAGTAGTCAAAATCATGAAGAGAGAGAGTAGGATGGTGGTTGTCAGTGGCTGAGAGGACAGGCAATGGGGAGTTATTATTTCATGGGTATAGAATTTCAGTTTTACAAGAGTCAGAGTTCTGGAGATGAGTGGTGGTAATGAGTACAACAATATGAACGCACTTTATACCCCTGAACTGCACACTTTAAAGTGATTAAAATGGCAAATTTCATGTGGTGTGCATTTTAACACAACAAAAATTGGGAAAAAAGAATGTCAGTTCTGTATCTTCTGAAATCAACTCCAAAGGTGACCTTTGAAAGAAAGATTTTATTTATGTTAACTCCCTAGAATATAATAGATTGTCTTTCATATGGGAGATGTACAATAATTTTTTGTTGAATTTAATTGCATTGTGTTTTGATGTTTGAAATGCACAGCACAATATGATGGTTAAATAATTAAAATGAACATTGTAAACTCTCCAAAATTTCTTATAATGTCTGACATTTGGATATCCCAAATGTGTCCAGGAAGTCAAGGGCATGTCTGTATATATGCATAAGACACTTTCTAGGAAGGTCATGTTAATAGGTAAACAGTGAAAAGTGAGTTTCTGGCAATTATATTTTATGCTTTTCTAAATTTCTTTAATTTTTTACAGTGAAAATCACTTTAAATTTGTATTTGAAGATATATAACTAAAGTAGAGATTAACTTCGGTATAGAATGAGTAGAATCCAAACACAAGTGACAAGTGAGATTGGGGAAATAATGAATAACTAAGAGAATATAAGAAAAATGGGATAATGTTAGAAAGAAATAGAAAACGTATAGGGGAGTGCTAAACAGGAGAATTGATGGGTTCTATAGGCAAAGTCATTATATTTCAAATATTTGCATAATGCTAATTCTGCCTTCATAAAAAATAACAATGCGATTCAGAGAAAAAATCTCCATGCCTTAAAGTCTCCAAATCAAAATAAGTTAAAGCATGTGGAGTATTTAAACCATTCCACATTTCAGCTACTATGATAGACATTAAAGATAAAGATACAAATTATAGAATGTCATTGTGAATCAAAACCAATGTAATTTCTGTGCTTAGCTTAGACAATACTGAAGCTGGACATATACTCTTGTAAGTATATTAAATATTACTGTGACCCAGAAAAACCAACCTGCTGCTTGCTCCATGAAATACCTGCTTCTGGAAAATAAGACTAAAACAACTACAGATTATTTATGAATACAAACAGTCTTCTCATCAGGAAGTGCTTCAAGACCTTCATTTCTCTGTGCTCACCACTTCAAAGCTATTTTGTCATAAACTCAAATCAGCTCCACACATTGCAGGATACACCTTGAAGTCAACCAGCCAGGCCATGACTAAAAATACTGCAAATGCCCTCCCATTACCTTCTCTTCTGAGATACAAGACTCTGTTAAGATGGTGTTCTTCCTTACTGCATTACTCAATTTACTGTTTTCTCTGGTGTTGTGTTGTAGAAGTTGACTATTAATACATTGTTTCTGACTTTAAGGAACTCAGAAGTTCAGAAACCATGTTATCTTGAAATTTACCTAGATAGCAGTATATTGGTCTTAAAGGGATTGAAAATTGCACTGAACCTTGTTCAGCCACTGTAATTCTTCAGGGGCCCTGTGTACATTCATCCATTCAACTATTTGAGATAGATGATTCTATTAATTGAGAATACATTACATGCATGGAGTAGTGTCATAGTCATATTTGAAAATTTATATTCACTATACTCAGGAAGATTGAAACCTATCAGTGAGGCAAACACACACAACCATAATAGAAAAAGAGAATAATACTTATCATTAAGTATACACAGGTGCCAATGGAATTATAGAAAATACCAACATGCACCTAGAGAACTCAGCAAAAATGTCATGACCAAGTTTGTGAGTCAAGTATACATTAGAAGGCACTTGAAAAGGTAAAAGTAATGTATGAAAGAGTTAAAAACTAGTGTGCCATGTTTGGGAATCAGAAACAGTCTAACAGTATTGGATTATACTGTATAAAATGTTTGTAGACAACAGATTTTAACTTGTTAAGAAGTTGGTACAAAACCTTGTAAATAATAACAATCATTAAAGAATATTGAGCATGGGAAAAAATTGCTTCTCACTACCTGTTAGCCCAATTCTTTCTGGCAACACTGTGAAGGATAATCTATTAAGGGATAAGAATATAGGTAGAGTGACTAGCTAGAAAACTATTGCAGTGAGGGGAGGATTAAAACAAGATAAATTTAAAAAGTTGAATTAAGACAATTTAAAATTGATTAATCATTAGATGAAGAGGTCCAAAATGAAGTAGCAATTTTCAGATCATTATCAATAGGTGATTGGTCGATTATTGCGCTATTTAATGAAACACCAATGATGAGCAAATATTTTCATAATAGTTTGAAACATTTCTAGACTCATTATGGACAACATATCAATCTTAACGAATCAATAATATTGATCTGCTCAGATACATGCAGTTTTCCTTATTTAACTGACTATGCAAAAATGAATGGCCTTGCTGTGGGTTGTTAATAATGATGAAGAGAAATGGTGGCTATAAAAGTTTATAAAATAATATATAAATGGTTTATATATCCATCAATGCCAGCAATTATCCAGTGTCAATCAGGTCTTGAACTTTAACTTATTGAAAAGATAATATATAAAATAGTCTAACCCAGGATGCCTACTATATTAAGTTTTACTGTACATTTTGTCATCATGGTCTGTGTGAAGGCACAATAAGGAGTGAGAAAATCATTTTTGCCCTACATTTTATTAGAAATCTGAACCTGAATATGGTTGGATCAAATAACAGCCTTAAAAACAGAAAAGTCGTAGAATTGAATAGGAAAAGTTGATTTTTAGAATAGTAAAGTGAAATTGAAACAGAATAGGTTTACTTTGAATGCCAAAGTACGATGACAGATAGAAAGTCTATGAGTTGTTTTCATATATGTTATTTTTACAGCAAGGATGTTAAATTAGAACATCGTTATATATAAAGAAGTACTCCCTGGATCTGGGCATCTCAACTGTTTATACTTATGAATAAATGGACGTGGGCTGGGTGTGGTGGCTCACACCTGTAATCCCAGCACTTTGGGAGGCTGAGGCGGGCGGATCACGAGATCAAAGAGATCAAGACCATCCTGGCTAACACGGTGAAACCCTGTCTGTACTAAAAAATACAAAAAATTAGCTGGGTATGGTGGCGGGCTCCTGTAGTCCCAGCTACTCAGGAGGTTGAGGCAGGAGAATGGCGTGAGCCCGGGAGGCCGAGCTTACAGTGAGCCGAGATCGCGCCACTGCACTCCAGCCTGGGCGACAGAGTGAAACTCCGTCTCAAAAAATAAAAAATAAATAAAATAAAAATAAAATAATGGACGTGAAAGAATCTTTACTTCTTAAAGTAAGACCCTGCTAAATGTTGCCTGCTGTGAAATGTTGAAGAGAAATTTTATTATGCATAATGCACCTAGCCAGGTGCATTATGAGTTGCTGTTGCAATACACAAACTAATTATATTGGTATAAAGGATTCTAGCATTTGATGGATTCCTAGAAAGCATAAAGCTTTTAAAGACATTTGCTTAAAGCAACATTTTTACATTACTATTAAGATGGCTAGAAGGTCGCACCTCACCTATTAATAGAAGAGAGAAGACCCATCTGTTTTCTGAATAGCACAACCATTTTTCATTGTTTTAAAACACAGATTTTATTATTATCCAGGTATGGTATTGCCAACAGATCAGGAGATAATTGTTATTAAAAAGACAGCTTGCTACTCACAGTTCCCAAGAAGAGGGGGCCTGCCAAGTTATGCAGGGGCCACATAGGAAATCACCAGGCTGGGTCAGAAGGCGCGGAGTGAGAGGAAAATGTGGGCAACAACATTTGCTGTGGGTTCTGCGGGAAGGAATGAGCAAGTCAGGGTAAGCAGCCTTATGATTGGCTAGTTTGAATAATTTTAGCAGGCTTTAAGGGGTACCATCTGTCTCTAGTTGTTTAGGACCTTATCTCAGGGTAGTTAGAGCAGGAGAATAGTGGGCCAGATTGTAAGAGAGTCTGATTTATTTAAAAGGTGGTTGACTTGTGGGACCTGGATTGGTTGGTTTGTATATGAAAAGAGCACTCACAAGTGAGTCCTTTACTGTCTTTAGCTCTGGGAGGAGCAGTCTCTCCAGAATTAGAAAGGTTTCAGATGCCAAAGCATCAGAAATACAGAAATAAACAAGCATGATTAATACAACTCATCAATGTCAAAACCTTTATGTTTAGTCACCCAAAAAAGAAACAATTAAATCTGTTCTTCCTTACAGCAGGTCCCAAGAGGTTAATCTTAACAACTAGAGATTTCTGGACTGGCAGTAATCTCTAAGTTTAGAGAGCCTAGAAACTAGAAAATTTCTAATTGTCTTTCGTTTTGTTTTCCCACGACTTCTTAAAACACATCATTGTTGCAGTAGGTAGCTAGTCAGGCTTGAGTGGGGAAGGAGAGGGCTCCCCCCACCCATTAGGAATGTTAAGCGACCATCAGGTGATGGTCAGGCATTTGTCATACTAAAATGATAATTGGTTGCAGCTGGTACCAGGGAGAGAGGCAATTTCCCAATAGATAAAAACACTTGAAATTTGTAATCAGCAGCTTCCAATAAGATATCAGGAACTGAGTGAATGGGCTCAAGCATGCACATTAAGAGACAAAATGGCAGAGTATGACTTGCAGGTGGCATTCCACCAGAAAAGGGAAGAAAGCCTCAGGTGAGCATGCGTACAACTTCCTAAACACATTGCCCACGCTCACCTCCCAACCGCAAGGCGGGTACCACACATGCGGGAGGCTTACCCTAAGAGAAGAATGAAGGGAAAGGGGTGAAGGACACTGAAATCGGCCAGCATATAAAATCCTAGGTTCAAGGTTAAATGGGGCACGTGACCTCAACAGTGCCTGCTTGGGTTCTTCCAAGTGTACTTTTCTTTCTTTCCTGCTCTGAAGCCTTTTAAAAAACTTCTACTCCTGCTCTAAAACTTACCTCGGTCTCTTCTTCTGCCTTATGCTCCTCAGTCAATTTTTTTCTTCTGAGGAGGCAAGAATTCAGGTTGCAGCAGACCTGTACAGGTTCACTGCTGGTAACTTCGATATTCACCAACCCTAACACCACGAATTCAAAAAACTATATTTAAAGTAAAGGTGAATGCCTTTTCCTGTTTGCCTAGGGGAATAAGAACATGGGTTCGTGTTTAAAATCATCTGGTAGAAGAGAAATTTAAAACAATTGAGTTTGCCCCTTTGTAATTCAAATAAATTAACTCATAATCTACAGCAGATGAAAATATATTTCACTCTAAAGCTTGTAATAAGTTTATTATAATACATTTCTATGAAGAGGACAGTGTGAGGTTGTTTCTCTCCACCTTTAATATTGTACATTCGAAAATACAGAGGGTAATCTTCATTGAAGCCTTTAGGATAAAATAAGGCCCATGCACAATGTTCAGATTGAAATGTATAAGATTATTCTATATTTTTTAACAATGCCTTTTGGTTGTAGTACAAATAGCTTTAAGATATTTGAAAATCAATTTTATTTGTATCCAATGAATAAGTATTATTAAGACTGAACCATATTTTAAATCAAGAATGCAACGGGTTCAAGAAGTTTTGTCTTTAAATTTATCAAGAGGTATCTATAAGCACTCAGCCATTCAACAAGTGTCTGCTGAATTCCAAATTTTATGTGTGTGTATATATATAAAATATATATGTATATAAAATATATATATAATATATGTATATAAAATATATATAAAAATATATATAATATATATGTATATAATATATATATAATATATATGTATATTTTATGTTTGGTTATTGTAGGCACAAAATAGTAAATGCTTATTACAAGATTTACAATTATCCCCATAGAACTAGGAGATCACTTTTAAATGCACATTTCAATTTGGTTGTTCCTGAAATAAGAGTGCACTCAGTCCCAGGGTTTTCAGATCACGCACATACATCTTAACAGTGCACATTACAACCTAATCCTGGAGTCAATTAATAAACTGGTTGAAATAGCAGTTTGATTAAAATCTCAGATGTGCTAATTCGCTTTCCTAGTGCCCTTTAATTAAGACTTTAATAGAGGCTGCAATTACCTGCAAATTTTTTCTTTGTCTTAAATATTTGCGCTTCTATCCTTAACTTTCAAAGCTCCTTCAACTCACCAAGCGCAAGAAAGAAGTCTTAGAAATTAAGCTAAAGTATATAGAAAATAGTCATGTTTTCCTTCAAAAGGATGGACAACTACTACAGGACTTTAAAACAAACATTTTTTAATTTGCAAAACGGATTTTTTTACTCTGTAATATGATGTTTTTTGTGTGTGGTGGTGAAAAACATTACTATTGGTGAATGAGGCAATATTCTGTGGACATTTTCTACTCAAAGTATCTTGTACTTAGTTGAATTTGAATATAGAAAACTTAATACTCAAATTTAAGTTTTCCATGTTGAAAATTTGCGTTAATGAGAAAAACAGAACTTTTTCTCATTTCTTTTTAGCTATTGTTTTTGAGCTTTTACTATACTCTGTATAAAGCATTGTTCAAAGTGCTTTACAAAAACTGTGCCATTTACTACTCCGAAAAAAAAAAAACAAGCAAGTACACAGACCTCAGTCTGATGCTTTATTTTTTAATAAGCAGATATGTATACTTTAAAAAATATAGCAGCAAAAAGACCACCTATGTTTGATCGCCCCACAAAAACAACTGCCCTCTAAGCCGAGATTGCACCACTGCTCTCCAGCCTGGGGGACAGAGAGAGACTCTGTCTCAAAAAAAAAAGAAAAAAAAAAAAGAAAAAAAACTGCCCTTCCACCTACCCTCAAAAATTTTCTTTCAGAGAAGGATTGGGTCTGTTCCTAGGAAACATGTCAAAAATTGAATAAAGAAATTTCAAGGACGCTATAAAAACATGCATCATGCCACCTATTTAGTGGAAAGTACCAAAGCAATGCAAAAAGAAATGTAGTTCCCAGCTTATTTTAGAAGTGCAAACTAATGAAGATTCCATGTTTGGGAAATTAGCACTTGAAAGAAATTCTAGTATATTTAATGATTCAGAATATAAAAGTTTATCAAATATATGATTTGGCAAGTTATGAACTTTGTCAAGTTATAAAACATCAAAAAAATATAAAAAATGTAAGTTTTAAAGTCACTTAAATAAAGTAAGCTCATTGCAACACTGGTGATCTAAGAGATAAAAAGGAATTGAAGAGCATTTTCTAAATCATTTTGTATAGGACAGTAGTTTAAAAACATATTTGCACCACAATTTTGTTCACAAATATTCACAATTTTTGAAATTGAAAAATTATATACCACATAGAAATTACAGGCATTTTAAGTTACTTAATCTACACTTAATCCATAAAATAAATGAAATAATAATTTCTAATTGATGTATTTATACACAAATAGTAGACATTTATGTTACTATATTATTAGAAGCATTATATATATAGATGAAGCAACTATGTTTATAAATATTTCTTTTTGGTTTATATGGTAATATCTGACTCTAACCAATGAAATCCTTAGTATTTATATATTTTCAAATACTTTTCTAAAGAAGAAATAAATAGTTTCAGAAAATCTTTGCAATAATAATAAAAACAGGTTATAAAGTATTAGCAAATACTGGTGCCAGGGCTTTAGAGCATATACATTATCTAATACTTTTCCTTCTTCACTTGTAAGCTTCTCCTCTTTCCTTATTGTACTATTATTCTCCATTTGGATTGTGCGATTCCCTGTAACATAACATTTTGTTTCTTTCTTATTTCAGGGTTTTCTAAGAACAAATAACATGTTTTACTTTCTTGAAGTACATTCCGTATAACTGGTACATCACCACATTCCTATTAAATAATGAGAAAGTAATAAAAGGATTACATATTTGAAACCACACTTTCTTGCTGAAAAGCTGTAGAGTCAACATGATAAGAGAAGCAAATATATAATCAAGAAATACTTCTTGCAAGATGAAAATTTTATAGAAATTTGTGAACCATCTCCCTAGAATCTTAAAAAGAATTTATAAATGCATATCATCCACCATGAACATTCTTTAGAATGAACTATTTCACATTAAACACGTTAACTAATATATATTTATATATTTTTATAATTCTCTGCTCAGTTGATATAAAATAGATATTTCCACATGTCTATTATGACTAGGATATTTGCAGTCTCCACTGAATAAAATTATGTGTAGTAGAGTTATAAAATGAAGAAATGCATAATTAGGTAACATTAAATCTAGTGGTTAAGACTTAATTTCCTTGATAGCAATTTTAAGATAAAAACATAGGTGATATATTCAGAGACTCTGCTCTCTCTGATAAGTTTTGTGGATAGTCTACAAATGCTAAACATCAAAAATAGTATTTTTCAAGAAGTGGGAGCAGCACAAATACTAGTGGACTGAGCCAAGGTAACACATACCTAGGTAAAATCTCTGATTGTGCTTAATTAAAGGACATATATGCAAAGAAAGAAATAGCCTGAATTACTGATGTTATGAAAATTAGAATATTTTGTGGGTGAATGAAGAGTATTGGGAGTTATAAAACATTTAAAAAATATTCGAAAACTTTGGATACACTCTAAGAATAAACAGCAATATTTAGCTACATGGAATGAACGCCCTGTATTGGTAGGAATAAAGGAACCCAACCTAGTGAGGAAAAAAAAAGGTTATAAAGAGCAAATGGATATTATTACCTTGTCAAGGTGTACTTACTGATTGCTGAGTAAAGAGGCTCTGTTTTAATCAATGTAATTACGTTGCCCCTCCCTTCTAATAGGACCATTGAGTGTATCACTTTTAGAAAAGTTGAACTCTGGTGCTTCTCATTCTTTGGTAAAATAGTAACATATCTGGAACATAATCTCACATGTTTAGCTACCAGATATGGTAGCAGAAACAACTTCCACAGGGTCACAATTAAAATAAGACTAGGCCAGACAAGGTAGCTCATGCCTATAATCCCAGCACTTTGGGAGGCCGAAGTGGGCAGATCACTAGGTCAGGAGTTCAAGACCAGCCTGGCCAACATGGTGAAACCCCATCTCTACTAAAATACAAAAAATTCTCTGGTACTTGGGAGTATGAGGCAGGAGAATTGCTGGAACCCTGGAGGCAGAGGTGGCAGGGAGCCAAGGTCACGCCACTGCACACCAGCCTGGAGACAGTGAGACTCTGTCTCAAAAAAATATATATAAATAAAATAAAATACGATTTTTTTTTTCAGTGCAAATGCCATAGCTTATATTTAGAAAAGGCACAGTAGAGAAGTTTTCATATCACCCCGAACTTCTCATTATATTGGTAACAACAATCAAAATTAGTATGTCTGCCCTGCCTTGGTTCAGCCATCATCGTTCCTCATCTGGACTACTGTAAGAATTTTCTAAGAAGAGCTCTGCTATCAGTTCTGTTCCATGTGCCTGGCCACTACCCTGGCTCTGTGTAGTCTTTCTGAAACACAGATCTGACCACGTTGTTCCCATGAATGAAATCATTCTTTACCTTTTTATTATAACAGTACAAAGTACAAACTTCTGACCACAACATCCAAAGTCTTTCACAATCTGTTCGTTTATCTCCTATCCACATTTGCATACTCCTGTTCTCCTTTCTACCTTTGCTTTACATTCCAGAGCTGCCAAATTTCCTATCCACTGCCAGGAGTCATGCTCTCTTTCACCTCAATGGGAAGGCAATTCCTTCTCACCTAATTTCTGGTTGGACTTCCCATTCTCTAATTGTCCATCTGGTAAACGTCAACTCCTTGTGGTCAAGGACTTGGTTTAAATGTCTTTTACTCTGGGGAGCCTTTGCCAACCTGTCCTAGCCAACTTTGGTGCATCAGCATCCTGTACTGGTTACAGTACCTCCATCCCCCATTTTATTCAATCTGTATTAGTTTCCTATAATGTTTAAAGTTACCTAACTCTTTTTACCATAATGGGAATATCTGGAAGACAGAATAGTTCTTATTTGCATAGAATCTGGCTCATAGAGCCCAACATATGGTAGGTTCCTAAGAACTTTGTTGCCTGAGTAAATAAGTCAATAAAACTCAACATTCACGAAAATCCTGGTGGTATCTTTTTCACATATTATGAAGCTAATTCTGACTTTATAAAGTCTTACTAACTTCAATCCTTCTAGTAAATTTCAGCAATAGAATTTTTTTCTTAAAAAATAAAACATCTTTGCTACCCTACAAATTAATTATTGCTACAATTATAATCCATTTAGAAATAAACAACAACAATTGTTTAGCTATCAAGATACAGCTGAGGACCGGCTTTAAAAAACTTTTCCAGCTTAGCTGAAATTGGTTGACGCAATAACATCTCTACCCTGTAGAGGTAAAGAGTAAAGTTATTCAGGTACTCACTTTACACATAGAATCTATTTACTCTAAACATATCCTTCAATCCATTCAACCAGTAATTATTGAGTTTCTAATATTTACAGTAAATTCAGTGAAAGATAATGATATTAAAACTAACAATAATTTGTGCTTTCTAGAACTTGATAGCTCAGGTTGCCAGTATCTTTTGCGTTTCACAATTAAAACAAACAAAAACTAGCTGTGGCTCCACCTTTCTCTTTCCCTCTTCACCACAGATTTTGAAAACCCAAATTATTGTAATAATTTTACTTTCCTAGTACTTGACTTTAAAAATATTCCTTGTAAAAATGAATCTGCTATAAACCAAAAAACTCTTCCAAATGCAAAACATTGATGATTTGATTTCCCCACTTGGAAATATATGAATAGTATTTTATTATTGTTACGTGTAAATTATGCTTCAGATATCCCTAAAATTTACTCAATTCTAAATCCTTATCCCTCCCCTGGAATGAGAATCAGATAGGTAAAATTTGAGGAAGATATCTGTTGCAAGCATCACCCACTAATTTTTTGTAATATAATTTCAATCGGTAGTTTTCCTTCTTTTCTTTTGCCTGTCTTTTTCTGTTTTTTACAGAAGGTAGAAAATTCCTGTGATAATCAATTTTGACCCTAATTGTTGTTTACTCTACCATATATTGCTTAATTGGCATAAAAAACAGTCTTCTTTTGCTAGGTTACATTATGCTTCTTTCAATTCATCTTAAAATGGCAATTTTTTTTTCCTTTCTGCAGGCATAACTCCTTATTGCTCCATACTTATTTTACAGTAAAATAAAACAGTCTTTAAAATGAATGATAATTGTTCTGTAATATGAAGACTTTGATTAATCAAGGAAAGTATGCATTGTTTTGAGCATGCTTGGAGAGGATAACAAAGTGTTTCCTTTTCAAAATACATTTATTCAACCAATGATGTATTCACTGGACACTTTGGGGGCATTTATTTTGTGTGCATCACAGAAGCATTTCTTTCCAAAGTGGTTAGACAGATAAATCAGATAACTGAATAAAAACAGTTAATAATCCAAGGGAAAACTTTCATTTTGTGGTGTACTATCTAAATCACTAGCTATAAGCAAATAAAATTCGAGGTAGCTTTTAGTATTTTAAATAAGAATAGAGTTACTTGTGTTTGATATGATATGCTGTATGTAAATTATTTTTATTGGCCTTTGCATTATAGAGAACACTGACAAAGTTGTTCCCAAGGGAAGAAACAAGAGGCAGTTCCGGGGTGGTAAGTTATTGGAAAGGAAACCTAGTAGTGGTGCCAACACATTAAAGATAATCCTACCATATAAGGAGGTGAAGATTGTGTTTCGGTTTTTTGTTTGTTTTAAATTTCAGATGGATAGTCTTATTTTGTTTTTGAGATCACAACCAATCTTCTGTTTAACTGTTAAAAAAAGAGAAATTCCAAAATAATACTTTGCTTAAGAGTTGTTTTCTGCCCCACCCTTCTCCCCCTCCCTCCTCCCCATCGTCCTTCCTCCCATGCTCATGTTTGTTTATTAGCTTGCTCCAATATCTATCGGTATCCTTCTCTATTCACCTACCATGGGCTTAACCTAGTTCTGCAGCAATCTCAAAAGTCTGGCTATATGTCTACATATATGTACAAGCAGGAAGTGTTACAGCTTGATGAAAGGAAAAGACTGAGATACGTTTGAGTTCTGTGATTTATTAGCTCTATAATTTTGAATACATGGCCTGAACACAAAAAATATACATTTCTTCATCTGTAAAATTGAAGAACAACACCTACTCATCAAGTTATCATGAAATTTAAATGAAATAGGCCTATGTAGCTGATGTTTTGATCATTATAAATATTACCATTTTTAATATCTAATGTAGGAAGAACATGTATTAACTTGTGTCCTGGTCCTTTCACAGTGCCTATCTCTTCAGCAAGTTTCCTTTAACCCATTTTGTGCACATACATTAATTTGCTGTCTACCTTGCTTCCCCACTTCTCAGGCTAGCATGCCTCTTCTTAGAACTGCCATTCCTGGCCGGGTGTGGTGGCTCACACCTGTAATCCTAGCACTTCGGGAGGCCAAGGCAGCTGGATCACCTGAGGTCAGGACTTCGAGACCAGCCTGGTCAACATGGCAAAACCCCATCTCTACTAAAAATAAAAAAATTGGCAGGACATGTTGGCGCATGCCTATAATCCCAGCTACTTGGGAGGCTGAGGCAGAGGAATCGCTTGAACCCCGGGAGGCAGAGTTTGCAGTGAGACAAGATCGTGCCATTGCACTCCAGCCTTGGCAACAAGAGCAAAACTCCATCTCAAAAAAAAAAAAAAAGAAAAAAGGAAAAGGAAAAGGAAAAGGAAAGGAAAGGAAAGGAAAGGAAAGGAAAGGAAAGGAAAGGAAAGGAAAGGAAAGGAAGAACTGCCATTTCATCAACTTTCCTCTGGGAGTTGCCATGTTCTTACATGTCCCTGCCTATGTGGACACACTTAATTTAACATTAGGAATCTGATTAATGTTTAGCCTTCATCTAGAACTATTGTAAATTGCTGTGATTCTTGCAGTTTTTGTTCCAGATAATTTTTTGTAGGGAGTGGGTTGGATTTATGGATCTAGAAGATGACTTTACTTAGTGTGCCTAATAAGAATATTATAAATATTTGTTAAATAAATAATTGAAAATATTTCTTAAATATTGTTATAAGGAATAAAAAGTGAATTTTAGGACTGAAAAACTGTCTGTGCTTGTTACTTTTTATTCCTTTATACATTCTGCAATTTTGTAGTAGCCTTTATTGTCAAAAATAACTTAATTTTCTCCTTTATCCCAGTAATATGTGAATCACATATCACACTAAAATAAGATACTTGGAATGTATTTGTACCTTATAAATGATAGAGTAAACAAGTAAAGAGCTCAGTTTTCTTCAAACTATAAAAATTTGACTTTTTGGCATCTTAGGCAAGAATAATATGAATTTTAAAGACCAGGGTAAAGATACAAGAAATCACTGGGGTAAAGAGAATTTCAAAATCTTTGACTTGTGGTCTGTCTCACTAAAAAATTTGCCTTGTTGGAATTTCATTCACAAAAATAAGAAAGGGACTGAAGTCCATGAGAAATCTGAACAGGGTTGTGGTTTGACAGTCAGTCGATTATGACTGATTGGTGACTTCATCCTTGGCAATTTAATGGCTGTTTCCCAGTTTCCTGCAATCTGCCCATCCAGCCATCCAAGGGACACTGCCAAAGTCCGCTTTCTCCTTTCTCTCTTCCATCTGCTGTTTTTATTTTTACTTCCTAATTGTGAAATTAGGTCCATAAAAATTTCAAATTATGCAATATGCTACAACTACAGCAAGTTTTTCTTTATCATATGAAAGTGGTCAGTCACGTGGCGTAAAAGCACTGGGCAAGAACAGATAATCTGTACAAACAACTTGATTGAGTGTGGTCTCAGAAATACATACATACATACAATTCACAAAAGAAAAATATAAACGATAGTTTATATGCTACAAATTTACCACAACGCTCTTTCAAAGTTTGCTGGAAGTCACAAAAGAAAAACACAAACCATAGTTTATTCACAGTTCTATGACATTTTTTCTCCTAATTAATATCCTCTCCAAATATAGTAAATGCAATTGTTCTAAATGTAAATTATACATATTTATTTATTTTCTCTATTGCACTTGTTAATCCTTTCTTTTCTTTTCTTTTCTTTTTGACAGAGTCTCATTCTGTCACCCAGGCTGGAGTGCAGTGGTGTGATCTCAGCTCACTGCAACCTCTGCCTCCTGGGTTCAAGCGATTCTCCTGCCTCAGCCTCCTGAGTAGCTGGGATTACAGGTTCCTGCTACTATTCCCAGCTAATTTTTGTATTTTTAGTAGAGATGGGGGTGGGGGGTGGGGGGGCGGTTTCTCCATGTTGGCCACTCTGGTCTCGAACTCCTGACCTAAGGTGATATGCCCGCCTTGGCCTCCTAAAGTGCTGAGATTACGGGCATGAGCCTCTGTGCCTGGCCTTGTAAAGGTGATTCTAACAAATCCTAGAGACTTCTGTCCTGTTCTCACCTGTGGAATTACATTCAAAGATGGACAGCTGAGCCATGAAGTCATAATTAAAAAGAAAATTGCAGTCTTTGTTTGCAGTCTCTAAGAACATTAAAGGGGATCCAAATTACAGTGCAAGACTGCTCAGGAGCTTTCTTCTCCCTCCCTAGTACTTATCCTTAGCAGCTGCTGAGGTCTGCTCCTGTGAGGCTGTCTTTCAATTTCCAGCAAGTGCTATATTTTTTTTTTCTCTTTACCGCCTCTCCTCTTCTGCTCTCTCCTCATTCTTTATTAAATAGTTTGATCTATGTACTTTGCTAAATCCTCCCTTCTTTGCTTTTGGTTTCTCTAGTTCTATCCTACTCTCTGATTCATTCTTTACCTATAAAGAGATCTGAGAGTCTGAGAGTCGAAGCTCTTTTTTACCTGGGAGTGGTGCTGGGGCATAGAACTGGATGAGACATAGAATTGGATTCAGTTAAGAGCAATCACAAGTAAATATGTCTTATTGTTTCATATTTGCATATATTAAAGGTATACACATTGAGGAAAAACAAAATCAAAATTTTGGCTTCTAATTCTAAGAAAAGAAAAATAATCTCTTTCCTATCATAGGACCTTTCTAATACAGTGATCTTATTGAGACCCTCAGAGTCTCTGATTTCACATTGCTAAACAGATTATTGCTTTTGTTTGCACAAATATTCTGATGGGTGTTAGGTAAGCAACAATAAGCTGAAGCTAGATATCTGAACTGGGGGAAGTCGAATTTAGTGTAAGATATAAAGAATTTGAGATAAATGTAGACTGGAGGTACAAAGAGAATGAGGGGGTGAAGTGGTAGGATGGGGAGAAGGATGGGGAAAACACTGTTTTCAATGTGATTAAAAGGCAAGTGAGAGCCCCTCAAGGCTGTCAACTGAAAAAGGGTTTAAGAGAAGAATATCTATTTTCCTATATAATGTTTAATGCTCTTCTATGTCCCCAGAACATTTTTAAGGTTTTCCAGTGGCACAGGGCCTGGTGTGTGTGTGTGTGTGTGTGTGTGTGTGTGTGTGTGTGTTGATTCTTAATCTTAAGGGAGAGTAAGTTTTATATCAATTTCAACAATTCACAACTGAATACAGACCACACCTAGTTAAGAGAAACATAGTTCATAAATTGATATAATTCTTTGGAAATAGGGATATGGCTAGAATTGGTTATGGGAGTACAAGTCCCCCACAATATTTTAAAACAGTGGGGAGTCTGAACTTTCTTCATCTTATAAAATGGGGGTTCAATCAATTTAATGTAGATTTTTAAGGACAAGGACACTCTGGCTGCCATGTGGATTCTTTGAATGTTGCTCAAAATCTGAATCATCAACTTAATACATCCATACTCATTCTATGTATTCATAACTATAACAATCCTGTAGTTCTTGAGAATATACATTCATAAGAACATGAATATTTTTTAAAAATACACTTAGCCCAATAGATGAAATCGGTTAATAATATCCAGAAAATGCTTATACAAATTCACCTCTTAACTCCAGTCTCAACGCCTGGTTTGTTAGCAGTTCTGCGATTTCCAAATCCTCTTTAAAAAGCTTTTGAATTGCCCTGTTAATGGAGGAAGAGCAAAATATAGCTAAAGTTTAACCCGCATAATTATACCTTGTGTTTCCTCTAAGACATGTCCATGTACTGCATGTAGACATGCCACTTGCCAAGATCAAAAGTCATGTTGTGATGGAAATTACTCTGAATCCCACCGCATGTCTACTGTAATATCTTGTAAAAATATTTTTCAAGGTAAATTAAAATTTATTTGAAATTCCAAGGGTCCGTTTATTTATTTATTAAGCAAATGCTTTTGCCCCTTTTGTGCTAAAAAATATAAACCTTACAGTGTCTTCTCTCTTTTAATCTTCTTATAGTCTACTTGGGAGATAAATACATAAGCAGATAATTTCAATCCTGAGATACATGAACAATAACACAAAAAGGCTTTGAAATTTAAATAGTAATCTAGCAGGTTTCCTGGAAGGACTAGCACATTTATTTGTTTTGTGTTTATGTCTCCACTAAGAAAAGAAATGTTTGACCCCTAACCCCCAGTAATTAAGAATGTGATCTTATTTGGAGATAGGATTTCTACAGGGTGGGCCCTAATCTAATATAATTGGTGCCCTTGTAAAAATGAGAAATTTACAGAGAGAGAGACACACACACACACACAGGGAAAATATCATATGAAGATGAAGATGGAGATCAGGGTGATGCATCTACAAGCCAGAAAATGGCAAAAAATAGCCAGCAAATCTTTAGAAGCCAGGAGAGAGGCATGGAACAGGTTTTCCCTCACAGTACTCAAGCCTGCCAATAGCTTGATCTTGGACTTCCGCCCTCCAGAACTGTGAAGCAATAAATTTCTATTGTTTAAGCCACCCTGTTAGTGGTACATTGTTACAGCAGCCCTAGGAACATTGTTTTGTTCTTGGAAGAAGTAGTATTTAAGCCCTGTCCTGAAGCATGAAAACAGTAGAAAGAAAGCAACATTGGGAAAGGCAATACACACCGAAGAAACAGGATGGGCAAATGCCTGGAGATATAGGAAACAGGGTAGTTTCAGACACCTGCCAATAGCACTGAGGGATGAAGGCAGAGAGTTCACAGAAGAAATAGAGGAGTGACTAGGAACCAGATAGCAAAGTGTTCTTCATGAATCCAGGCAAGAAATGATGGTGGTCTGTAGTTGTTGACAGTTGTTGTGAAACCTCAGTTCTTATCTTCTTGGTTTAAAGGAATTTAAACAAGAGACACACAGCAAAGAAGATGCAGTATAGTGCAATTTATTGCAAAAAACAAAGAATAATCTGAAAGTTAGGCACAGAATAGATAGTACATTATGAGAGACAATTCAGACAGGCTGCTCCTAAGGATGAGACAGTGTGGACTGTTACTTGGGAAACTCCCTTTATGGGGGTCTTACATGATTATTCATAAGAAGGGAGGGAGAAGTGTCACTAGTAAGCATGTCCTGGGTGGTCCTCTGGGTGCACATACACAGCTGTACATGCTTATTCATACATTGTTTGTCTCATTAGCAAATTAAATCTCCATCCAGGGTTGTATTTTTTACTACTATAATGAGCAAAGTGTCAGTCTGAAGACAGGTAAAATGAAACTGCACATGCTATCTACAGGGGAAATTGCCTACTGAATATAGCTTTGCTGGAATGAGCTTTGAAACTATAATGCAAATGCTGGGGCTTATCCTGTTGACAGTGCAGTGTGTAGAGATTCTTATGAAGTCCAATGGACAAAACTTGGCAGTTGGGTCACTATTCGGTTTCCATTTGAGAGTATTGCCTGTTCTCTTTTCTTTCCCCCAAATCTTAGTTTCTGATGTACATTTAAGGTAATCTTGATCTTTTTTATTATAAAATGTGTTCTAAAATATCAGTACATAGAACTGATGCTTATTCTGTTGAAATTTTTGGATTATCACTGACATGAAGAAACATTGCAATAATGTGCTATTCTAACAAGTGGGTTCTAAGCAAAATAATGAGCATGCAAAAGTACATGAGACAGGCTGAAGAAATTTTATAACGAGTAGTTCTGGCAAAATTGAATCACAGTAAAAACAAAAAGGAGTTTCATAGTTATGCCATGGTGTTGTTGGTATTTCTTTTAAAGCCATAAACTTGGGACCCATATTTTGTAAAACCCTTTCTTCAATGACTGAGAGCCACTGAGGATTCTTAAAATGTGGTCAAAGTGACATCTTTGTAAGAACATTCAGTGTTTGCAAGCAAGATTTGCAGGGTAATTGAGAGTTGACTACATATTAAAAAGACTTATCCGGTTTTACCATGAATTTTACTAGAAGATGAAAGCTGGATAAGAAATTGAAATTGAATTGCTTTTCCAAAATGGAATTGTTTTAAATATCACCCAGTGAATTAATCTCTGACAATCATTATTGTATGATAATATTTACTTCTTCCGGACTTGGCAATGTAAATGGTTATGCTTCCTGCTTTTTAGAATCTTTGGATGACAAAAACAATAAACATAAACATAGAAAAGCAGGCAAATGAATCCCACTATATAAAAATCCTAAGAGGTAGTGCTTTGAAAAAAGATAAGTTGAAAAAGTAAATTCAATAAGGAATGGCTTATATTTTAAAAGTGACCCTCTGTGGGAAATTAAATACATATAAGCAGATGATATGAGATAAGAATTGGAAATGTTCTTTGGGTATTCCTTTCAACATTCCTAGTGTCTGTAATGATATTCATTGTACAGCACTTTCATATCTACTATCCCTCTTTTTAAATCCTTCAAATATATTAAAAGTTATTTACATATTATACATATTTACAATCCAACTCCCATAAGCCAGTCCAACAAAGTTTCTACAGAAATTGAATATCAATTGCTTAAAATTAAATAACCGTGTGCTGAAAGTTTGTTTCCTTTTACTTTTTTATTCTTTCTTCTGTTTTATTAATTAATTGACTAATTAATTTCGGAAACATTTATCTCTTGGCATTTTTTGCCTGTATATGCTACACAGAGTATTTAGTCTCAAATTATAATTAGCATATCTTTCCGTTCCCCTGTACATATTTTTCTTTGTAATTGTAGTTTGTTCTTTTTATTTATTGAAGTAACTGGGTCTAAAAGTCTTATACTCTACTACCTTCAGAGGTTGAGTTACTTTATCCCCTTCTCCTACATATGACCTGCAATCTTTCATTCAAGCTGTTACATTTTCTTTAAACACAAAATATAGGAAGGTTTTAAGAAGCCATATACCATCATTCTTCACCTTACTCTGATTTCCTTCTTCCTCTTAGACAAAAGTTCCACTTCCTCAGATCATTCTTTCCTAATCACTACCAAAGTACAAATTGTGTCTACTTCTCTCTTTTTATTTTCTACTTTTTCATTTGCATAATATTATTTTCATAATCTGCACTTTTTTTCATTCTAAATAATATTTTCAGCAGACTCCCTTCACAAAAGGCTCAACATGAGTAGGAAAAATTAGAAACTTCCCTTTAGTCATTGTGTCTTCCTTTTAAATGTTGAAACATGAAAGTTATACTGCAACAGACGTTTGTATTGATTCTGCTTAACCTTGTACCTTCAGTGGCAGGCATATAAACTGCAGCTTGCTTGAATTTGCCCTGCTGCTTGAGAAGGGAGAGTCTGCAGAACATGCATGAAGCTGATATTCATCACCCGTAACTAATGTTCACGACAATTAATACTTGTCTGGGTGTGAACCACAGGTAATACACCACTTCAAAAAGCTCAGCACTTCTTTTCTTTTCCTTTTCTTTTCTTTTCTTTTCTAAATGTATTTAATATCCCTTTCTTATCCACATGCATGGAAAGTATTTTTACTGCTCTTCCATTTTGATAAATCATATGACTTTTGTGTATCAAATTTCTCACTTTGCATTTTCTTCTGTTGACTCATTCAAAATTATCTGGTATGATTTTTATATACGTTAAATATTCCCCCCTTTATTTTTCTCGGTCGGAGAAATATCAGCACAAAGGCGTATGTTACAAATGCAATCTGCATATTACTTTCTTTTTCGCATCTCTACACTAGTCTGCTTTCAAATGTGGAATGCATTTCTCTGAAAGGGAGCACTCAATCCATAATCACAGCAGAAGCTAAATGGGCCCTGGGGCCTCACTCCTGGTCCATTATCTTTCTTTTCCCATCCACTCATTCAGAGGATGCCAGTCACACTGGCAAATGAAGCATTTTTGCATCCAAGACATTATTCATCATCTTTGTATTTTCTTAAAGAGAAGATAATTATTTGCTTGTTCAAACATCATAAATAACTATTCTATGTTTTCCTTTGAAAACATTTGAAATTTCTCATCTGTCAATTGAACAGCTATTTTTGTCCTTGATAGCTGATATCTTCTATTCTCAAAGTCCCTCAGTGGAACAGACTGTACTGGATATAATGATGTTAAAGCCTTCCAACTCCAAATCTTCCTTTCCCAGCCCCTCAAATTCTGTACTATTTCAGGTGCTTGTTTAGAAAGCTTCGGAAAATCTTATCAGCGCCTCCAATGCCTCCCTACTGGGTGTCTGGAGCTACTACTCTCAGGAACAAATGTCTGCACGTGACATCAAAAACTGAATACCCAGCCAGCCCCAGTTCAAGCATATAGTTTTGATGACTTTATACCTGGTACTACTTCTCACTTTCCAAATGTTTTCTAACTGAAATTCTTTATATAACAATATGGATTTAGCACTTACTATAAACAAGCAGTGTCCTTAGCACTATGCATCTTTTTAAATTATTTTTTATTTTTTTTAGATGGAGTCTCGCTCTGTTGCCCAGGCTGGAGTGCCGTGGCATGATCTCAGCTCACTGCAACCTCCGCCTCCTGAGATCAAGCAATTCTACCTCAGCCTCCCGAGTAGTTTGGACTACAGGCTAGCGTTACCACGCCTGGTTACTTTTTTGTATTTTTTTAGTAGATACGGGGTTTCACCATGTTGGCCACGCTGGTCTCAAACTTCTGACCTCAAGTGATCTGCCCACCTTAGCCTCCTAAAGTGCTGGGATTATAGCCACCCCACCCAACCACCTTGCATCTTTTAATTCAGGCAAACCTTAGAACAATCTTATGAGGTAGACACTAGGTACTATTATTGTTTTCATTTTGCAGTTGAGGAAACCACAACACAGAGAAGTAGATTAACTTGTCTGCTGTAAACAGCTAGTAGATGACAAAAGATATTTGAGTAAATAAAGTCTCAGGTCTCTTGTTAAATCCTTCACTTTTTATCTATAGCAAAAAATTCTGAAATGTTTGTCAAGTATAAAAAAAAACCAAATCCAAGAAACCTGCATCAGAATGTGTCTGAATTTTGTTTGTTGACAAACATTTGAATCTTATTAAAATTTGTTAAGGTAATTTAGCATATTTCAATTATCAAATTTATGTATTTAATCTTATAATCATGCTTTATTATTTTAAGTGTTTCCATTACATTTTCTCTTTTTAGGATGTAGGATATAGTTTCTTTTGTTCTCTTTCTTTAGTTACTTGATAGCTATATGACTCTTCATAGTTCTATTAATATTAGTGATTAACATTTCTAAATAACATACTCAAACCTGCATTACTCTTATTATCACAGTTAAATTGATATACTTTATACTGATTCTTTCTAAAGAAGGTATAAAATTTAGCACACATTTATTTCTATTCATAAGTTTGTTCCTATTTAATATAATTTCTGTGTTTTTAGCTTCAGATTTACTTTGTTTTTATATTATGCATGTCTTTTTCCAAATATTAATGTGGCATTTGTGTTCAGTTTAAGTCCTAATTTTTTCAATTCTGCTTAACTGACTTTATTCTGACCCTCATGCTATTTTTGCCATGACTTACAAATTCTTAACTTCTTTATTCTGATACATCCTTCAAATAGCTGGAATATGTCTGAGGGTTTTTTTTCCCCACCTTTTAAAAGCATGCAAACTACGTTGTTGAGACATGTGTATCTGAGAATTGTTTTCTTTTCCCTTTAAACATAGCCATTATAGAGTTCTTGGTGGCAATATTTCTCCCTCAAAACTCTGTTGATATTTCAGTATCTTCTGGAGTGCGTGATGTAGAAAGAGTTTATGTCAACTTGATATTATTCTTGTGCATGTAAACTTTATTTTGTCTTGCCTAAATGTACTTAGGCATTCTCTTAACTCAGACATTTTTAAACTTTCACCAGGCTACTTAGATATTGGCATATTTTAGCTAATAAATCAGGGGGTTCAAATTATTTTTTAGCTGAGGTAAGTTGTCCTCTTCTAAATTCTCAATTATTATTTCTATCCTATTTTCATATATAAATAAAAACAAACAAATAAGCACCAACCTTTATCTAACACTGTACGCCAAAGTGACTCAAAATTGATTACAGATCTCCGTGTAAAAATCTAAAACTATAAAATCCAACAGAGGTGAAATTTTTTTGACCTTATGGTAAGCAAAACTTTCTCAGATCAGACATAAGGCACAAAATATAAAAGAAAAAGATTGATAAAATGGATGTCATCAAAACTAAGTTCTCCTCCTTTTCATTACAAAAATAAAAAGATAAGCCTCAGATTGGGCAAAATTATTTTCAATATGATTATCTGACATGTGATTTGTTTCTAGATCCCATAAAAAATTAGGAAAACAAACCAAACAAATACAAACAATTAAGGTGCAGACAAATACTTAGGAAACATTCAACAAAGGAGATAAGATTTTCAATACCATTAATCATCAATGATATGTAAATTAAAAACACAATGAGATACCACTACATAACAATAAGAATGGCTGTAATAAAAAGACTAGCCACATCAAGTGTTGTTGAGGATGTGGAGGAACTCAATCTGTCATGTTTTTTTGATGAGAAAGTGAAATGGTATAGTCACTTTGAAAAACCAGGAGAAATATATATATATATATATATATATATATAAATTTTTTTTTAAGTTGAAGCTATACCTAACATACGACCCAGCTATTCTACTCCTAGGTAAATACTCAAGAGAAATATATTTCTCAACATGAGAGTTGTACATGAATATGCATAGCAAGTTCATTCATAATAGGCCCAAACTGCAAACAACCCAAGTGCCCATCAACTGATTAGTTGGTGAATAATCTGTGGTATATCTGCACCATACTGCTGATGTATGCAGCAACAGGGATGAATCTCAAAAACATATTGAGCAAAAGTAGCCAGATAAGAAAGAGTATATCCTTTGTGATTCCATTTATATGACATTTTTTAAAGGTAATTTAACCCATAGTGATGCAAAACAAAGAGGAATGACGAAGTTTTGGGGTATAATAGAAATTTTTCAAATCTTGATTGTGATGATGGTTACTCAAGTCAGTACATTTTATTGTATTTTATTAACCATGTCAAACATTCATTTATGAGAATTTCAGGAGAGGCTGCTAACTTTCTATGCAACAAGTTGCCCACATTTTAAGGAACTAACATTCAGGGTGGATATGAATTAATCTTGTATAATTTTTCCTTGATTAGCTTTCTTTATCTCTCTTGAAATTTAGTAGATTGCTGGTAACTATTATAGTTTTCAAGGTTATTGCAATTTGGCACTTTGTTGTTTATTCTCATATGCATTTTGAGAGAGAAGTGAAGTGTAGAAAATTGGCATTGCTAACTAGCTGCTGACCTACATCCAGGTATACCCCTTTTCTCCTAAACCCTAGGGGATCCCTCTGCATTCACATGGACAAGAACTCTTACTTCTGTTGCTTCATTCACCTGGAATCGTGAAAATAGCCTAGAACTTAAAGTATAATTTAAGAAAAATAAAAATTAAAAAAAAAAGAAAACAGCCAGTTGTTCATGTCTTAACTTCATTATGGTACGTCTTTGGGAAGTTTGCATAGCTGTGACTTCTCCATCAAAATTTTGCACTCATGTCTTTTTTTTTTTTTTCTGAAGCCTTCCTATGTTATTACTGTTTTTTACACATTTAGACTTTTTGAACTGCCTTTACAAACGCTCTATGGTTGAATGACTAATTCCAACTGTTATCTTGTACTCTTCCTAAAAAGGAAGGTCCTGAAGCCTTTTAAAATCAATAGAAAAAGAGGGAATCCTCCCTAACTCATTTTATGAGGCCAGCATCATCCTGATACCAAAGCCTGGCAGAGACACAACCAAAAAAGAGAATTTTAGGCCAATATCCCTGATGAACATTGGGGCAAAAATCCTCAATAAAATACGGCAAACCAAATCCAGCAGCACATCAAAAAACTTATCCACCATGATCAAGTGGGCTTCATCCCTGGGAGGCAATGCTGGTTCAACATTTGCAAATCAATAAATGTAACCCAGCATATAAACAGAACCAAAGACAAAAAACACATGATTATCTCAATAGATGCAGAAAAGGCCTTTGACAAAATTCAACAACCCTTCATGCTAAAAACTCTCAATAAATTAGGTATAGATGGGACATATCTCAAAATAATAAGAGCTATCTATGACAAACCCACAGCCAATATCATACCAAATGGGCAAAAACTGGAAGCATTCCCTTTGAAAACTGGCACAAGACAGGGATGCCCTCTCTCACCACTCCTATTCAACATAGTGTTGGAAGTTCTGGCAAGGGCAATTAGGCAGGAGAAGGAAATAAAGGGTATTCAACTAGGAAAAGAGGAAGTCAAATTGTCCCTGTTTGCAGATGACATGATTGTATATCTAGAAAACCCCGTCGTCTCAGCCCAAAATCTCCTTAAGCTGATAAGCAACTTCAGCAAAATCTCAGGATACAAAATCAATGTGCAAAAATCACAAGCATTCTTATACACCAATAACAGACAAACAGAGAGCCAACTGATGAGTGAACTCCCATTCACAATTGCTTCAAAGAGAATAAAATACCTAGGAATCCAACTTACAAGGGATGTGAAGGACCTCTTCAAGGAGAACTACAAACTACTGCTCAAGGAAATAAAAGAGAATACAAACAAATGGAAGAACATTCCATGCTCATGGGTAGGAAGAATCAATATCGTGAAAATGGCCATACTGCCCAAGGTAATTTATAGATTCAGTGCCATCCCCATCAAGCTACCAATGACTTTCTTCACAGAATTGGAAAAAAACTACTTTAAAGCTCATATGGAACCAAAAAAGAGCCCGCATCGCCAAGTCAATCCTAAGCCAAAAGAACAAAGCCGGAGGCATCACGCTACCTGACTTCAAACTATACTACAAGGCTACAGTAACCAAAACAGCATGGTACTGGTACCAAAACAGAGATATAGATCAATGGAACAGAACAGAGCCCTCAGAAATAATGCGGTATATCTACAACCATCTGATCTTTGACAAACCTGACAAAAACAAGCAATGGGGAAAGGATTCCCTATTTAACAAATGGTGCTGGGAAAACTGGCTAGCCATATGTAGAAAGCTGAAACTGGATCCCTTCCTTACAACTTATACAAAAATTAATTCAAGATGGATTAAAGACTTAAACGTTAGACCTAAAACCATAAAAACCCTAGAAGAAAACATAGGCATTACCATTCAGGACATAGGCATGGGCAAGGACTTCATGTCTAAAACACCAAAAGCAATGGCAACAAAAGCCACAGTTGACAAATGGGATCTAATTAAACTAAAGAGCTTCTGCACAGCAAAAGAAACTACCGTCAGAGTGAACAGGCAACCTACAGAATGGGAGAAAATTTTCGCAACCTTCTCATCTGACAAAGGGCTAATATCCAGAATCTACAATGAACTCAAACAAATTTACAAGAAATAAACAAACAACCCCATCAAAAAGTGGGTGAAGGATATGCACAGATACTTCTCAAAAGAAGACATTTATGCAGCCAAAAAACACATGAAAAAATGCTCATCATCACTGGCCATCAGAGAAATGCAAATCAAAACCACAATGAGATACTATCTCACACCAGTTAGAATGGCGATCATTAAAAAGTCAGGAAACAACAGGTGCTGGAGAGGATGTGGAGAAATAGAAACACTTTTACACTGTTGGTGGGACTGTAAACTAGTTCAACCATTGTGGAAGTCAGTGTGGCGATTCCTCAGGGATCTAGAACTAGAAATACCATTTGACCCAGCCATCCCATTACTGGGTGTATACCCAAAGGATTATAAATCATGCTGCTATAAAGACACATGCACACATATATTTATTGCGGCAGTATTCACAATAGCAAAGACTTTGAACCAAGCCAAATGTCCAACAACGATAGACTGGATTAAGAAAATGTGGCACATGTGCACCGTGGAATACTATGCAGCCATAAAAAATGATGAGTTCATGTGCTTTGTAGGGACATGGATGAAACTGGAAACCATCATTCTCAGCAAACTATCACAAGGACAAAAAAACAAACACAGCATGTTCTCACTCATAGGTGGGAATTGAACAATGAGAACACATGGACACAGGAAGGGGAACATCACACTCCAGGGACTGTTGTGGGGTGGGGGGAGGGGGAGGGATAGCATTAGGAGATATACGTAATGTTAAATGACGAGTCAATGGGTGCAGCACACCAACATGGCACATGTATACATATGTAACAAACCTGCACATTGTGCACATGTACCCTAAAACTTAAAGTGTAATAATAATAAAATAAAAAATATAAAATAAATAAAAAATAAAAAAATCAAACATAAAACTAGAAATACCCCAATAGGAAAATTGACAGAACAGGCAAGTTATAATAAATATGAAAGGGCTGAACCTCAAAAGTAATCAAAGAAATGCAAATAAAGTGGTGAGATATCATATTTGCCTATTGTCAGGAAAAAATTAAAATATTCATTGTTTTAGAAGCTGCAGGAAAAAGAGTGCTGGTGGGAATGTAAAGTGATTTCTGAAAAGAAATTTTGAATAGATATTGTTTGAAATCTTTAAGATGTATATTATCTTTTCTCCAGAAATTCTATATCTGATCACTTATTCTAAGTAGTCAGATGAGGGCATAAATGTGTAAGCACAAAGATGTTTATCACAGTGTTTTCCAAAGGGTAAAATCCTCTATTTCTAATAATGGGAGTAATGGATAGTACTTTGTGTAAATGATATGTACCCAATTTTGATGTCTCAGAACATTGTTTATCTATAGAATATTTCACATGGATGTTATATTTGTTTTAAAATGCTCATGTACATATAGAAAACCACCTAGAAATAAATATATTGAAATGTTAATCATGGATATTTATGCTGTGAGATTGAGGATATATTTATTTTCTTTCTTGGCCTTTCTATACTTGTCTGAAATCCACACATTACTTTGGTATTCAGATTTCAGTATATAATTAACTCTGTATTCCATAGGCCTATTTCATACCTCTCAGTTTCTTTGCAATTTGTCTGTATTTGGTCTCATTAGCACCCATCTATACTTTTGTCTGATAGTCTTTAGGGGGAAAAAATCATCATATGACTTCCCGTAAGTGTTCAGGTGACTCAATTGTCCCTAGGGTAAGTTCAAATACAGGTACTTGTATAATGCACAAGCTCCTCTTTATTCGACCTCTAATCTCCCTCTCCAGCTTCATCTTCTGTCACTAGTTCAGTCCTCGTTCAGTCTGTATTTTGGTCTCACCAAACATCTCACCATCATCTTTTTAACCCCATGCCTTTGCAAATGCACTTTCCTATGCCTGGAGTGTCATTTTCTTCCTGACATTATTATGGCTGGCATATTATCCATGCTTATATGCAGGTAAATTGGATATTAAACTTTCAAACTTTCCTTGATTGCTAGATTTTTCCCTTCTCTGGGCTCCCACAGTATTTTGATCATACTTCTGAGGAAATCATATTTTGTAGTATTTAATGATGATTGATTAAGATATCCATCTCAGCAGCTAAGAACCTAGAAGGAGAGAACACATCTTACATTTTTACATTCCCAGAACCTAGTATTCATAAACTTAATTACACATTTGTGAAAGGGAAGAAAAAAAAGAAGGAAGACTAAAGTTTATATCAAGGTGAGGAAACTGAAGTACACAGAAATAAAATTATAAACTACATAGTAGAGCTAGTATTTAGAAAAATTAAATATAGAACTCAATGTTCTCTAATCAGTATGTTTCTTTAAAGCTACTGTCTTTGCAAATATGTTTCACTGGCATTACATGTGTTAAAAGATCAAACAAGATTCTGAATGAGAAGATTTATAAATTCTAAAGCAATGAGTTACAATTTTTAAGAAACAAAATTGAACACAAATCCATAAACTACCTTTGGGAATAGCCATCTTATCTATAACATGGTATAAGAACTTATTCAAGAGATGCATATAAAAGCTCTATAGGATTTTTGTTTTAATCTTTAAAGTGTAAAGGTTTAAACCTCTTTCTCCTTGTTCTGTATGAAGAAGACCAGATAAAATGTGCTGGTTGGATTTATTGAGGAAAATGTTTTCTTCCAATCAAATGTAAAATATTATATAATTTCTAGAAATGTATTCATTACAGCAATATGGGTCAATTTGCCAAAAATTAAATGAAGCAACATTTAGTCTAACCATCCAGGCGGAACGATATTTTGCCTACCTAAACTCCTCTTGACGTTTTCATTGGTTAAAGAATTACTTTTCACTTTATAACTTAAAGTTGCTTAGTGCTTCAGTAAAAACAGCTGCTGAGTCTCCTTCCTGGGGGGAGCATTTGAAAATTATAAATTTAGCAATATTTGAAGCTACTTTGTTTTATTAATTTATAGATTACTTGAAAGTTTTGAATGAAAAAGGTAGTCATTTTAGACACATTTAAAAAATTCCAAGTACTATATATACAGTTTCTCATCACCACAATGTTAAAAAACACTTCAATTGAAATATGTCCTTTGTAGAAAAAATCAATTAATACATAAAACATAAACGTTACTATAATTAATACATTAATAAATATGTTCTTTGGAGGAATAAAGTAGGATGCAATCACTTTCAGCTGTCTTTAGTCTCATTTCTCTCCCTAGAAATGAACACTGTTTTTGGTTTGCAGAGATCCTTATAGAACATTTCCATACATTGACTGCATATTAAATGTATAGCTATTTCATATCTTCACTTAAATACTCACACTATATGTTGTTTTAAAACTTGCTTTTCTTCAATTGTCAATCTATCTTTCACTGACATCAAATCTACATATTCATATTCTTTTTGATTACTACATACTATGGATATATGGTAGGTTCTTAGTTATTCCGTTGATAGAGATTTAGGTCATTTATTTACTTGTTGGTATTTATATTCAACACCTTTTGAGATCTCACTCTTTATCCATAAGTGTCTTAAATAAATTAACTAATTTACTTTTCACACTGTCTTAGTTAGTTCAGGATAAAACAAAAATACCATAGACTCAGTGGCTGGCACAACCAACATGTATTTCTCCCAGTTCTGGAGCTGGGAAGTCCAAGATCAAAGTGCCAGCAGATCTAGTGTCTGGTGGAGGCACTTTTTCTGGTTTGCAGATGGCAGCCTTTTTGCTATATTCTCACATGGCAGAAGGAGAGAACACTGGTCTCTTCTTATAAGGACACTCATCCCATCATGGGGGCTCTATTCTTATGAGCTCAGATGAGCTCATTACTTCCCAAACACCCCACCTTCTAATATCATTTCATCAGGGTAGAAAGAGTTTTGCGATGGTTTGAATGTATTCCCCAAAATTTCTGTGTTGAAACTTAATGGCCAATATAGTATTAAGAGGTTGGGCCTTTAGTAGGTAATTAAGTCACATGAGGGCAGAGCCCTTTTAAATGGGATTAGAGCCCTTTAAAAAGGGCTTGAGAGAGTGGGTTCTCTTGCTTTGTCTCTTCTGCCCTGTGAGGACACAGCATTCCTCTCCTCCAGAGGTTGCAGCAACGGGGGGCCATCTTGAAAGCAGAGAGCGGCCCTCGCCAGAAATCTGCCAGCATCTTGATCTTAGACCTCTCAGCTTCTGTAACCATAAGAAATAAATTTCTATTGTTTATAAATTACCCACCCTGTGGCATTTTGTTATAGCAGCTCAAATAACAGGTTTCAGCAAATGAGTTCTGAGGGACACAGACATGCAGTCCGTAACACACAAGAATTCTATAAATAAATTCTATTATTATCCCTATGTTACAGGCCAAGAGCAACATTTTCTCAAGTTCACACTGCTAAAAATATCTAATTTGAGGAATTAACCCCAGGAAATCTGACTCCAGAACTATGATTTTCACTAGCAAACTATTTCAAATGTTGACCTTCAACTCTCAAAAGACCACCAGGAAAATCTGTAACCAAATACCTTATGCCCTTATCCATGGGAATACGTTCCAAGATCCCTAGTGGATGCCTGAAACCCCAGATGGTACAGAGCCATATATACACTATGTTTTTCCTATGCATACATTATAATGATAAAGCTTAATTTCTAAATTAGGTACAGTAAGAGATTAACAACAATAATAATTAAGAGATTAAAGCAATAACTAATAGTAAAATAGAACAATTATAACAATGTACTATAATAAAAGTCATATGAATGTGACCTCTCTCCCAAATATCTTACTGTGCTGTACTCACACTTCTTGTGATGATTTGAGATGATACAATGCCATGTAGTGAAATAAAGGTATGATGTAGACATTGTAACATTGTGTTAGGCTACTATTTACCTTCTGACAATACATTAGTAGGATCACATGTTTTGGATGATCCTGTGACATGAAGATATTGCCTGTGGGTAGTTAAAACTTAGGAAAGATAAACCTCAGATAAGGGAGGGCTACTGTAATTTTAAATTCATTAGATTGACTATAGTAAGAAAAGCTATCAAATTGACAATCTTAGAGACTGTTTAAGAAATGGAAGATCGGGATTTTAAGGCCTAGGTGAGTGGTTTTTTGTTTTAGAAGGCTTTATACGGTGAGGAACTGAGTGGAACTGGGCAGAATTCATAATCTAATACCTATGGATTGGTGGGCTTAGAGGAATGAGTGTTGAGAAGAAATTTTTGATGAGAAATCTGCTGTTCTTGATAGCTTAGCTATTGTATTTGATTCTTAGTCTTATCTTCCTGAAGCAAGTTGCTAAGTCATTTTGTCGTTCTCAATGTTGTTTAATGAAGAGACAGGAAGATATGCTTAAATTCTACCACTATAGCTACAATAAATAGAGTTGTATATGAGTCTACCTGTGTATACATGAGGATTTTTCAAAGATAGATTCCTTGAAGTGGAAATTCTGATGTTATAGGTTTGCAACTTTTTTTAAGTTAACAGATACTGCCAAATTATGTTCCAAAAGATTGTAATAATTAACATTTCCAATAAAGGTACATGATACTTAATTCCTAATATCCTCACTAATACTGTATAATCAAGCTATCAATTTTCCATTCTGGTAGGAGAAAAATGTTGCTTTGAAATTTTGACTATAATTTCCCTGATGTTTTCTGCATTGCCCTAACAAAGTTGAACATTTTTTTATGGTGTTCATTTATATTTTGTCTTCTGTGATATACCCCTTGATATTCTGTCATTTTTTAATTGATTTGTAGAAATATTTTACGTAACAGATTTCTTGCTCATGTGTCTGAGGGGTGGCTGGATTAACTCTGCTAAAGGCTGCAACGGAGTTGGAGTCTGTTCTATATATACCAATTTTGGACTTCGGTTGAATGGCTACTTGAAACATTTACTTCTCATGTAGGAAATAAACACTCTGGGAGAGGTGAGTGGAAACATGAAATTTCTCCTAAGGACTGACATATTTTACTTCCATCCACATTCTACTACTCAAATCAGATCAACTGACCCAGCCCAAAATCAACAGGGTAATGAATGTACTCTTTTCATGGATGTCAGAGAGAGAAGAAAATGAATGTTTGTGAACAAATGTCTAATCTACACAGTATAGTTAAAGCTCACTCTAGCTTAAGACCTCCTGGGAGATAATCATGATACAGAATTTGTTGACCACTATTGCTATACATATTATTGTTCCTACTCAACAAATAAAGTGAATGTATTTATTAACTACATCCTATATACTGTAGCATTAAAAAACATATCCATGTTAACAAAAGTAATGACTAGTAAACGTATGACCAGATGCTCAATCCTACTGGTAATTAGGGAAATATAAATTGAAATAATAGAATATGACATTTTCCTCTTTTTTTACAAAAATGAATATAACATCAAATATTGGTGAGAAAGAAGAGAAATTCTTACTTATTGATAGTGCAAGTATATATAGAGAGAGTGATTTGGTTTAGACTTATAACCTAACAATTACCTATTCCTTTGAGGTTTTTAAAACTCAGCCATAACCACTGGGAACTAATGTATATTTAGATACAAAACTTGATTTTCATTTGCAATGTTTTCCTATGGTTATTTTGACAATCAGATTTTCTCTTGATTTGTGAATCAATATAGATAATTTGTATTTTTTTCATAATGTCGTTCATTTTATTCAGGCATCTTATTGATGTTTATTTTATATTTTCTCTGTTGATCCCTTTTTATTTTCCAGAGTGCTCTGATATATTGCCATTTTTCAGATTTCTCATTTCCAGGGCTTGGTGTTGGGGTGTGAGAAATCAGGTTGTCAACCTGATTTCCTCTGTTCATACCAGAGTGAGGTTGGATAGACAGAGTGTTGTACATAGGTTATTTCTGATATTTCATACTTTCAAAATTTCACAATAAATATGCTTACATTAAATTTCTAATAACTCAGAAGAAAATGCATATAACATTCAAATGCTTATGGTTAGACAAAAATGTAGTAACTTCCAGTGAAACTTGTTATAGTACTTGACAATGGCTATATCATGGATAACCTCATTGATTTGGCATCTTTTCTCTTCTTTCATCTAGCACTTAGTAAGAAATAGAAGTTGGTAACACCATCAACTTTTTCTCAGTTTGCTCTAAAGTGCATATTCTGTGTTTGTTTTTAGGTTGTTTCAATTTCTTCCTGTTCACATTACTTAAGGGATCTGGTCAATTTTCAGAGCAAAATGGAAATAAAATACAATGTTATCTGTCCAATTCAGAAAATGTTCATCTTAATTTTAATATTTAGACAAACTAGAGACACTTTATACTGTAAAGTTAAAGTTTATTTGAAAAGTGTATTTATGAATAGTAGGTTTTTGGGGTTTTTATAAATGCTTACATGAATTATTGCAATGTATTAGAGAGATTTTATAAGTGGTCTTTTTTTCTATGAAAATCAAATTAATTGAAGTTTGTAGTCTCACACTTTTTGTTTTTTCTAGGACATATAATTCCAGTTGCATACTATGAGTTTGATTGAAATTGGAAACATGGAGATGTCATACAGGAAAGTCAGAAAGTTGAACAACCCTAAATTAGACATTACTGAAATACTTGAACAATTTATAAAGTTAGTTCCTCCAATGATTTTAATCTTGGCCACCAGAACTAATAGAAATCTGCCTAATCTAAAATTTTAAGATAGAATTAGTGGCAAAACAATGATTACAATCTAACTGCAATTCCCAAACCATCCTTACAAATGACCAATAATTCATCCAAATTCAAAAATATGTCCACATTCCTTACTATTAAATTTTTCCAAATATCCCTTACATAAATATATTATGTGGCTGCTACAAATATAATTTTAGCTTATAATCATTTGGTGAGAAGACGAGTAAAAAGCCAGAACTTTAATTTAGTTAAATATCTTACAGAATACTCACTCAGTAGCCTCACAAATGCTAACAAACTGGCTCATAATAAATCAGTCTGCTGTCTAATACATTTCAAAAAATGAGATGTGATACGTATTTTAATGTAACCCCAAATGTTCCATTGTACAAATAGACAGAAATCTCAGCTCCTAATTCACCATTTAGATATATCAAAATTAAAAGAATATAGTGGGATCTTAACACATTTGAACAAATTTGGAGGTTTCAAGCTGCAATTGTTCTGAAATGTCTTTGTATGAGCAAAAATGCTATTGAAAATGATAATTGCATTTCTCAAGTATCAATATAATTCCAAACATTAAAAAAATTCAACACATTTTCCACCCATTATTTGTGCTTCAGGCATAATGCTGTTCATATTCTAATTAGTCATTATCATGTACTTTCTAATTATCTCAATTTTAAACCATTAAAAATTAGAAGATCAAAATTTTAAATGATATTAGCAATGAATTAGCCACCAAAATGGTGAGAGAATTGAATTCAATATAAGAAAAAATGTATTATTTTCAAAAGTCTTTTTTTATTAAATGAATTTTACTTTACATTACCTGAAAATACCGTTTCCAGTAATTTCAGAAGTAAATTGAAAGATCTAATTATTGAGGGGAAAGATCAACTGATTAACAAGATGATATTTCAAAAGGCTCTGTTCCTTCTAGTGGCACAAAACTATGAAATGTTAATACATTTTTACTGCCCACACATCCCAGAACAATTTTCAGTCTTCTAAATGAGAGAATACTGGTAAATAATTGGTGAGGTTTTATAGTACAAACTTCACCAAAGTACATAATCTCTTTCTATGCCACAGAGGTGATCACAAGAGATAAAATTTAATTAGAAACGTATATAAATATCAATTAAAAGTCTTCAGTTCTGACCAAAAAGAATCTCATTTCAACAAATAAATGAGATCAAATAACAACTCTTTTAGATAGGTGAGAAAATAAGATTCCAAGTGTTCTAGCTTACAATCTTGAGGGTAGGATGGCTGGTTTTTTGGAGGTTCAGTATTGTAGAATGGAAAGTAAATATATGTTTTAAGGTCACCTAAAAAATACTTTTACCAGATATTAGCTGAAGTTAATTCCAAATTTAGAGGATTCAAACCCAGAGAGGCTTTGTATTACAGCAGTGAAAATATTAAACTGATTTAAATGGAAACATCAAAAACTATGTATATTTTTATAAGAAAAAGAAATGTACACAATAATAACATGAGAGCTAGTTTAAAATTGGGACAGGTAAAAAGGGGTCCATAGTTCATTATGAAATTTAAACTTGGTTGATAGGAAATAATGGCCTTTTAGAACAGCAAACTAGCATTTGGAAACTTGAAAGTTAATTCTCATTACACTCAACTGAGCTTGAACCCTGTTCTGCCATCTAAAGGAGTGAGGTTAATGGTAAGGCTAAATGAAAGGTTTCTAACAAAAGACAGAGTTCTGCTGAAGATAATCACGAAGGACTCATATTTATGTGATGATATGGTTTGGCTCTGTGTCCTCACCCAAATGTCATGTCAAATTGCAAATCCCCATGTGTTGGGGGTAGGACCTGGTGGGAGGTGATTGGATCACTCAGTATCATGTTGTTCTCATGAGAGCTGGCAGTGAATTATTATGAGATCTGATGGTTTAAAGTGTTTGGCAGTTCCCCCATCGCTCTGTCTCCCGTGCCACCATGAAAGACTGCCTTTACTTTCCCTTTGTCTTCCAACATGATTGTAAGTTTCCTGAGAACTCCCCAGCCATGAGAAACTGTGAGTCAATTAAACCTCTTTTCTTTATAAATTATCCAGTCTCAGGTAGTTCTTTAGAGCAGTGTGAAAATGGACTAATACATGTGAATAATAGAGTTTTTAATAGTTTTGAGATTGTTGTTGGTGTTGTGTTTTGTTGGGAGTGTGTACATAAAAAGAAAGGTGCATTGGAAGAAGAAACAGTTCTCAGAGAAAATTAAGAGGAAAAAACAGCAGAATCTAGAGAAAAATAGGTATATTACAGAGAAAAATTAACATAATAATTGCAGTTTTGTTTTCCAGGGTGCAGCACCAGGTAAAACAATTAGAAAACACAACTAGCATTTTAGATTTCCTGGTATACAAGTATGAAATGAATTGATTCTTATGGGATTAGATCTCAAATCTATACATATAAATACGATTTTTTAGAAAGCACTATAGTGCCCAAAGAAATATAATCAAGTGGGAAGTTGAAGTAGATGAGGAATTTTAGACTTTATGGAAATATGTAGAACATATTTATATGTGACTACAAAATCTTCTCTTTTGAAGAGAAATTTTCTCTTAAAGGAGAAAAGGGAAATGACAATACAGTGGTAGTGTACGACTGCCTTCTATGAAGAAACAGGGTATTGGTGTTTATTTATTTATTTTTTTTTGAGACGGAGTCTCGCTCTGTCGCCCAGGCTGGAGTGCAGTGGCGGGATCTCGGCTCACTGCAAGCTCCACCTCCCGGGTTCACGCCATTGGTGATTTTTTTCTAACAGAGTTTATAGAACTAGTTGGGTGGAAAGATATAATAGTGATGGGATGTACAGTAGAAATACAGGGATTTAAGGAATATTTCACTTTTCCAAATTCAGATTTCCAGGAAGCCTTTATTTGCCTTGTTGAGCACTAAAAAGATAGAAGAACAATAAGCCAGGCTTCTGTGGGTTTTGTTCGTACCAACAAGGAATAATTGGTTTCTAAATTTAAAGTGGTAAGAATTGTGGTAGGAATTAGCCATGCTGCTCTGAATGTATAATATTGAAAGAAAAGAGTGAAAGACATGCAATCTAAAGATTGAGCTATTTCCTCCTTCACGATTCTGTAGCAGTAAGAACGCAATTCCATTGAACTATCATTCTTGGTTGATAATCCATCTCTTCAGAGAGAATTTGAATTTCTCAACTCAAAATCAACACTAGTATTTTATTCATCTTCATATCTTTCATGCTTAGCACAACATTTCATTTGGGAACTTGATACAGTTGATCCTGTATTTCCAGATTCTCTATGTGCAAATTGACCTACTAACAGAAACTTATTTGTGACCCCCAAATCAATACTTACAGTGCTTTTATGATCATTTGAAGACATGCACAGGTATAGAGCGGTGAGACTCACCCAGCACATACTTTTCCAACCAAGGGTGATCAAGTAGGCATTCTTTCTTCTTGGTTCAGCTTCCATGCTACAAACAGGTGTCCTTTTTATGATCTACGTAATGCTGTGTTTTTCGCTTTTTTGTGCTTTTTGTTGCTGATTGTTGCTGTTTAAAATGGCCCCAAGCATAGTGCTGAAGTGCTGTCTAGTCTTCCTAAGTACAAGAATGCTGTGACATATTTTATGGAGAAAATATACATTAGATAAGCTTTGTTCAGGCATGAGTTTTAGTGCTATTGGCCTTGAGTTCAAGTTAATGAATCAACACTCTATACTAAATAAGATGTCTTTAAACAAAAACACATATAAAACAGGGTTATATATTGATTGGTTGGTGAAAATGTTGTGGCCAAGACTTGCAGGAGTCTCACCCTGTGTTTCCCCAGGAGCTGTGATTCAGTATTGGCTAATCCAGTGTTCGCAGTGACTTTATAGAATACAACTGTCATCAATAAAGAGAATCTACTACATAGGGCTTTTTTTTTTTTTTTGAGTAAGCGGTATTTTCACTATGTATCTGTCAGTCATAAGAATGATTAGGTTTATATTTTAAGGTAAGTGCAATTTTATATCTTTTCAGGACACGTAGCGAACCTGCAATTAAATGGATTCGGGTATTTAGGGATTGAAAAGCTGAAGTTCCTGAGTTTAATTTATAGCTCTACCAGCTGTATTTCAGAGAGCATTCTATGATTTTGTACAAGTCTCTAACCTCTTCCAATTTTTGCCCTCATCTGTATAAATAATTGGCTCAGGAGGCTGTTGAAAAGGCCCAAAGAAGTAGTGCAGAAGAAAATATTTTCTAAACTCTAAAATACTGAACAAAGAATTTTTATCCTTCGATTATATTAGTTTTATCTCTTGAAACAAATTAAACTTAAATAAATATTACTGCTTTAAACATTTCTCTCACTTTTTAAACAACATTTACAGCAACTACAAATTATTTAAAGTTCATCATATTTGGGGCTGTGAACATGAGTAATATAAAACTTGTAAGACTTGTAGCTTGCAGCTTAGCTTGTAGCTTGGGTGGATAAATTTTCCATTCGTACATTGGTTTTAAATAGCAACATAAAATAATAAATGATAAACACACAAGAAAAGTATTTTCTATCAGAGCATTTAGAAGGGTGAAACCATTTAATGCTAAGATCAAAGCAAAATTTCCTTCAAAGAAACAGTTTAAACATGGCTTTCTGGGAGCCATTCTAATTATGACTTATACCTGGACTTTTACTTTGGGATAAATCGCATTAAAACAAAAAGAAAGTGTGAAATAAAGTTTACATTTTGGGTATTTTATTTCTTTTCTTTTCTTTTCTTCTTCTTCTTCTTCTTCTTCTTTTTTTTTTTTTTTTTTTTTTTTTTTTTTTTTTTTGAGACGGAGTCTCGCTCTGTCACCCAGACTGGAGTGCAGTGGCGAGATCTCGGCTCACTGCAAGCTCCGCCTCCCGAGTTCACGCCATTCTCCTGCCTCAGCCTCCCAAGGAGCTGGGACTACAGGCGCCCGCCACCACGCCCGGCTAATTTTTTGTATTTTTTAGTAAAGACGGGGTTTCACCATATTAGCCAGGATGGTTTCGATCTCCTGACCTCGTAATCCACCCGACTGGGCCTCCCAAAGTGCTGGGATTACAGGCGTGAGCCACCGTGCATGGCCTTGGGTATTTTATTTCTTTGACTTAAAAAATTATTTAAAATACACAAAAATATTCCTAAGAAACCTTGGTTTGCAATTATTTGTAACTAGATATGAAGCACAATATGTTTTAAGTGTTTTCTATAGAACAATTTTACAATTTATCTAATGCATTCTTTTCCTACACAAAACGTAGGTTTTTCTAGACTTCTTATGTGATTTAATTACATTTGCTAGTTGTGACATGATCTCTATTTACACTAATTATTAACAGCTGTAATTATACAAATCATGCCTATACGCACTAATTTACTTAAGATGATATTCAAACAAAAATTTATCTTTTTCCTGCCTGCAACAGGAGGGAATGAAGTGCTGAGATTTAGTAAATGAAGAGAGTAAAAAAACAGAGACATTATGAGTTGTACAAGCCAGTTGGCAGGGAGGTGAGACAGGCAGGCACTTTTCACTTATGCTGAGCAGCAATTCTTATCTCTACAGCATTTCCCTATCCCTTAATCACATATGTGAAATCCACAAAAGTTGGGGTTTAAATTAGAAGGAATTACATTACTGCCAGATGTAGCAATTCAGCCCAGATACTATTTACTTGCCTATTGGATCCTCTACTGTAACACAACTTTTTTAATATTGCTAAGAATATCAATAAATCTGCAGCTAGTGACCGTAAGAGGCTCCTGAAAAATCCAGTCCTCATTTTATGTTAATCAGAGGAGAGGAAAGGAATGAATGCATTAAATCTTGATTACTTATTTCACCTTTAATATTCCACTTGTCATAATAATCCAATGGGATTATAGTTATATTTTCCTCATTTGAGAAACGTACGCAGGTTTTAATAGTATTTTAAGTTTACACAGTTAATAAGCAGTAAAATTGGTATTAGAACCCTGTTTCAAATATCTACTCCCTTTGTGTTTTATGGTACATCAACTGCACCTGCTCCCTTGAGCCACAGGGTCATAGGCTCTGCCACCTGAACACAGCATGACTATAAAACAAACAAGTCTGATGGGAAAGCTGCTTTTCTCGGTGATAAGAGCTAATCAGTGTTTGCTCTATTATTTTTTCATTTGGTTCTAGATCTTGCCTGTCTGGGCCTGTAACTGTCCCCTGGGATCTGGGTCTGTGGCTCTTGGTGCTCCTGTTGTGTCATTCTATTCAAATTATTCTTCATCTTCTGGTTGGTGCTGGACAGAGGTCAGTCCAACCAGTAGTCCCCTTGATAAAACGCCCTCAACCTTGAGGCTGGAAACAAAACTTAAATTTATACTGCTCGTATTAGTTAGAGTTTTCTAGTGGGACAGAGCTAATAGGATAGATGTATAAATAAAGGGGAGTTTGTTAAGGAGTATTGACTCACATGATTACAAGGTGAGGTCACACAATAGGCTGTTTGCAAGCTGAGGAGCAAGGAAGGCAGTTCGAGTCCCAAAACCACAAAAGTAAGGATGCTGACAGTGCAGACTTCAGCCTGTGGTCCAAGGTCCAAGAGTCCCAAAGCTGAAGAACTTGGAGTCCGATGTTCAAGGGCAGGAAGCATCCTGCCCTTTTATCAAGGGAACTACAGGTTGGTTTGATCTTTGCCCAGTACTGAGTAGAAGAATGAAGAATATGAATAGAATGGAACAATAGGAGCACTAAGGGCCACAGACCCAGCTCCCAGTGGACATCCAACAGTAGAGAAAGATGTAGGCTGAGAGACTAAACCAGTCCAGTCTTTTCACGTTCTTCTGTCTGCTTTTATTCCGGCTGCATTGGCAGCTGATTAGATGGTGCCCACCCAGATTGAGGGTGAGTCTGCCTTTCCCAACCCACTGACTCAAATGTTAATCTCCTTTGGCAACAGCCTTACAGACACACCTAGGAAAATACTTTGCATCCTTCAATCCAATCAAGTTGACACTCAATATTAACCATCACATTACTATTCCCAAATACCAAAATTTACTTTATCTAGAAGGAAGCAAAACAGAATTCAACAGATTGGTTTGGTGGTTAACATAAAAAAGACAGAGGAATGTTTTTAAAGGCTTTGAAGTTTATTTAGTGAAGTTCTAGTCCAACTGATACTTCATGGTAGGCTTCCATGCAATGATTCAAGTGTACAAAGTGTCTCCATTTTTAGTCCTTCCATCTTTTACAACCTTCCTCCAGAGTCCTTTTTCTTCTCTACGTTCTGATGAGTAAGAGAAAGAGGTAAAATAAATATTGTTGGCCTTTTTGTGGGTCCAGATGTCTATTCTTTCGGCCACTCAAATAAACTGCAGGGGGCTCTGAGTTGTGTAGTCAATCTCTGTTCTCAGTAAGAGATAACAGGATTAGTGAGCATTTACTCAGTCTCTAAAATAGAGTATACTCATCTTTATACGCCGATTAATATAACTTCAAAAGGTATGAAGCAAAAAATGATTTAAAAAATTTGTGGAATAACTAACCACTCCATAATTATGGTAGGGTACTTTAGACTTGTAGATTCTATGAATAAATTATGCATATAAGATTTTACATTATTGATCTCAAGAGTTCCCCAGGAGTGGTATAAAGTATATTAAAGCACATATTTTTCATGAGTTAAAAGGATTTAAATTAAGCAGTAAGTGCATCAGTTTTCTAACTGCACTTTCCATCATACCTAAACGTGTGGATGTGTGTCCATACACACACACACACACACACACATATATACACATACACATATATATATTCACTTATATATAAGTGTATATATGTGCATATGTACATATATACACCTAGATTATAGTGCATTGTTTCAAAATACAAAAGAAATATTTCATATATATGTCCTGTATCATATATATGTCCTGTATATCATAAATATATATGATATATTTATTAGAATCTGAAAGTTCTGTGAAAACACTACACAAATTATTTATTAATCACATTTAAGTTGAAGTTACAAACCAATCAAGTTGTCTATTGTCATTTATTGATTGATCTTGCTTTTTTTTTTGAATGAAGGTTGAACAACATGAAATGAACTTGTTACAGGAGGTGAGATTTAGGTTAGTATTTCTAATTAGAAGTATTTATAGACTTTAGAATAAATAGCTTAGGAAAGTTGTTAAACTTTCTTGAATTTCATTAGAAATAACACTAGTTTTTTTTTTTAATTTTGGCTTGATCTTACTGCATTTCAGGAGGTTCTAACTGATAAAACGATTTAGCATTCTGACTCTTCAGGCAAGTATTCTTACTCATGGAGAAGAAAAAGAGACGTTTTTATTCCACATGTCTACCTCTTTTTTTGCTGGCCCAGAGACCTAAGACATACGTTGTACATATCAAGCACAATTACCACTGTTTGTTTATATGTTCCCTCAAATATGAGCTCTTTGAGGAAAGAGACCAAATCTAATATTTTTGTGGTTCCACTACCTTCCAAATACTTGAATGTAGTGAATTTTCACATAGCTTATTTGTGGAATTTCACGTAAAAAGTGGCTCAGGCCGGGCGCGATGGCTCATGCCTGTAATCCCAGCACTTTGGGAGGCCGAGGTGGGCAGATCACGAAGTCAGGAGTTCGAGACCAGCCTGGCCAACATGGTGAAACTCTATCTCTATTAAAAATACAAAAATTAGCTGGCCATAGTGGTGTGTGCCTGTAATCCCAGCTACTGGGGAGGCTGAGGCAGGAGAATGGCTTGAACCCAGGAGGCGGAGGTTGCAGTGAGCTGAGATCGCGCCACTGCACTCCAGCCTGGGTGACAAGCAAGACTCCGTCTCAAAAAAAAAAAAAAAAAAAAAAAAAAAAAAAAAAAGTAGCTCAGCCAAAAATAGGAGATACTTTACAAAAGAAGAAAAAAAAAACATATCTCTTCACTTTACCTCTGTTTCTTAACACATCTATCCATACTAGAATACCTTGCTCTTCAGTCTTAAAATAGACTGGTCTTATTTCATCTGACATTAGTTAAATCTGTCTTTCAACAAGTGGGCATATCAGTGTCAATATAAACTGTGAGAGTGATTCAATTTGTATGTCAATTGCTAATGCGGAGACCAAGGACCATTAATTCAAAAAAGATGAAATGTTTATTTGAAAGAATTCTTCCTGTCCTATTTATTCCAAATTTATGCACAGTTATTTCCTAATGTGATATTGGACCTCTGGCAAAGGGATAACATTTTCTTTTCTAACAACAGTCTTTCTCCCATATGTGGTAAAATATTAAAGAATTTAAGTATTTGCATTTATAATTCACTTCGCTGAGCTCTAGAAAAATGTGGATTTTTGGATTTCTGGCAGATAATCTGCTTCCTTGTATCTCCATGCACAGGCTTCCCCATGATTTGTGTGCTGTACATTTACTTCTACTTTCCAATCTTCTTGTCACCAATTTTACTTTCTCTGATCAGTCTTTTCTGTCACTCTCTCTGGAGTCCCATTTCTGTATGTCTCATAAAAAATATATTAGTTATCACCCCAAAAGACTCTCACCTTCTGTTTCTGTGCCTATCTACATGCAGACTGCTCTAATAGGCTTTACCTACTCTGCTTGCTACAGTTTACCCAGGTACAGGATTATTATTCAAGGTAGCTTCTCTGGGCCCCAGTGATCCCCTGGCCTTGTGTTAATGGGTTTTCTTCCTAAAGATGCAAATAACAGCTGCCTAAATTTCTGTTTTAATTGTCTCAAAAATGAGGCAATCTGGCATCCTCGCAGGGCCATAAATAATCCTCTGAAACCACTTAGAGAAATGTTCTATCACGATGGTTTTTCGGGGCTTGACTGTGAAACATGTGCAGTGCCAAGTAGCCACCATAAAACAGACCACATGTGTAGAAGGGAGTTAGCTGAAGGAAATTCCTCCCTAATTCTACCCCTTACTATATGCATAAAACCCATCTTCATCAGTTAATATTATTCCAGCAGTGATGTTAGCACTCAAACACACTATCCAAAGGATCTTCTCAAGCATAAAGTTGGGGTAAGTTATCAAAATGAAAGTGGGGATGCACCTCTGCTGCAGTTGGGTTAATTTGGCTTACATCTTTAAAAAAATTTTCTAGCAAATTAGAAAAAGATTACGTTCAATCATTATTTGAGTTCATTTTTCAAAACTATCCAAATAGTGACTCTAAGCCCTTTCATATTTTATGCTTGGAATTGTAAGAGTTTTAAAAAGTTCTTGACTGAAAATACAATTTTACTATCATATATTAAATATGATATAGTTGACTCATTATGAAAACTAAATCAACTTTAAAAACAATGATAAGAATGTAAACCAAGCCTCAATATTTATAATCAGTATTCATATTTATTGTTATGTACACAGATATACAGTCTCTGAAGCATAGTAAGTAGTTAATATTTATTGAATACACAGGTTAACAAATATGACTGTTAATACCATTATTAATTTCTCTGATAAAAGCATTGTATGTCGGCTGGATGCGGTAGCTCATGCCTGTAATCCCAGCACTTTGGGAGACCCAGGCGGGTGGATCATGAGGTCAGGAGATCGAGACCATCCTAGTTAACATGGGGAAACCCCATCTCTACTAAAAAAATACAAAAAATTAGCCGGGCATGGTTGCACACGCCTGTAGTCCCAGCTACTCGGGAGGCTGAGGCAGGATAACCACTTGAACCTGGGAGGCGGAGGTTGCAGTGAGCTGAGATCACGCCACTGCACTCCAGCCTGGGTGACAGAGTGAGACCCTGTCTCAAAAAATAAAAATAAAAAATAAGAGCATTGTATATCATTTTATAGGCACTCACCTAGACAGAGATTTAACATTCATCCAGAAATTAAATTTAGCCATTAGAAAATGAGTCAAGAAAGTCATACACTGCATGTGAGAATATCACAAAGTTATTGATATTCACAAGTCGGTAACTCTGACATCAAAAATACCAAGTAGTATTTTGTTTAAGAGGCGAAAAAGATGCAAAACACAGCTGATGAGCATTTTAGAGTGTGGGTAAACAGAGAACAAAGTTTCCATCATGTAGAATACTCATTTTCACTGAGATTTTAAATCATAATATACCTTGATAAATAAGTACATTTTTTCATGAAAAAGGCTTTGGGGAATAGGACACCCTAGAGCAGGAGAAGGGTGGGCAGAATATGTGTCATGAGTCATTACTGTCAAAGTGTAGATGGTGACTGGATTATTCAGTGAGCCAGGCATGGATAGGGATGAGGGAGATGAGGGAGAGAAAAGCAAATTATAAAAATACAGAACTTAGAGAAACTCAATTATCTGGTTCAGCCTTATGCTTTCAGAGAGCTTTGTTTAAAGCATTTATAAAAGAAAAGTTTATTCCTTAATTTAACAATTCCTAAGGGAAAAAGTAATATTGGAACAACATACCTTAGCAATCTGCATTATTTCTTAAAAATTTTACCCCCAACAGCACTTCTTAATATCTAATTCAAAATTTTGCCAAGTGACAAACTAATAAATTGTTCATGAAAATATTCAAATACTTATCAATCTATTTTCCAAATTTTTAATTCCTTTTTATTGTTCCCTATTCAAAGTTTACAAAGTTTCCTAGGACATACTTTTTCCTGAATTCTCTGCATCAATTAATAAGAATGTCTGAGCCTCTTAGAAACAGTATCTGAATGTAAAGTCAGCTGAATATGGAAATAAATTAATCAAAAAATAATTATTAATTTTCACTTCAAGCCTGGATAAATTCAAAGGAATGGAATTTCTGTTTCCACCTCAAACACCTGAAAAACTGAGTAAAACTTTAAAAACAACGTTCCTCAGATATTGGGCAACAGGTTGCATAGGAGGAGAGCCTGAGTGAGGAAAAATAAATGAAGTGACTTCGGTGATTGCCTCAGCTTCTTGCTCAGAGGCAGTTTCTAGGCTGTAATGCAGGAAGAGGAAACCTACAAAGAACCTGGTGGTCAGTAACATGAGGAGACAGAAATCAGAGCTTAGGAAAGTCACGTTGGCTACAATATGTGGCACAAGAAATGGAGAGGAAGTTGTTACACAGAAAGAAGGGTACAGAGACCTACAGAAGGGTCCCCTCAATTCTATGGAAGAGTACTGATCAATGCATGTGTTAAAGGAACTACGCAAGCTTGCAGAAAGACCTACCAAAAAAAAGGAAGGCTCAATAAGTCCCAAAGCTCAGACATAGCCCTGCAAGTAGTTTATATTACCACCAGCCAAAGTCAAAAAATCTCAGTAAATAAGGTTATCAGACAGACTGCAGAAAATACCACCTTAGTAGTACAGCCAAATAGCCATAGATTAAAGACTACTTGGTATTAACTTAACAAAGCTTAAAAGCAAGCCTCAAAAGTGTTAAACAAATTCCAAGTAATTTATCTACAAGCTAGAAAAATCTCAACACTATTTGAAGGAATGCAATACTACCAAGAACCCCAGCATGCAACATCCAAATTATCAGACATCTAAGGAGCAGAAAAATATGACCCATAACCAGGAAAAATTCAATCTATACAAACAGACCCCTAAAGCACATAAATAGTGTTTAAGTTATAAGTTTTAACCAAAATTTTATTGTTAAACAGAGATTTTTAAAAATGTTTTCTAAGTGTTCAGAAAAGTGGAGGAAAACACAAACCTGATACAAAAAAAAAGAATGATACAAAAAAAGACAAAAATTCTAGGGAAAATTTAATGCTGGAAGTGAAAAACTATAGATGAAATTAACAGCAACTAGATATTAAAGAATAAATCAGTAGAATTAAAGACCTAGTATTAGTAACTCCCCAAAATAAAGTACAGAAAGAAAGATTAAAAACAAAACAAAACAAAAACAAAAAACTAGGGGACCAGTGATCTGTGGGAAAAATATCAGTGGACTACAATGTTCATAATTTTCCCCATAAAAGGAGAGAAAGGGAAGCAGATAAAAAGTGTGTATTAGAATATAAATAAATGGCTGGATTCAATTAGTCCATTTTCACACTGCTGATAAAGACTTACCCAAGACTGGGTAATTTATAAAGAAAAAAAGGTTTAATGGACTCACAGTTCCACATGGCTCGGGAGGTTTCACAATCATGGCAGAAGGTGAAAGGCATAGTGGCAGAAAGAGAGAATGAGAACCAAGCAAAAGGGGTTCCCTTTATGAAACCATCAGGTCTCATGACACTTGTTCACTACCATGAGAACAGTCTGGGGAAACTGTCTCCATGATTTAATTATCTCCCACTGGGTCTCTCCCACAACACATGGAAATTATGGGAGCTACCACTCAAAATGAGATTTGGGTGGGGACACAGTCAAACCATATCATGAATTTTTTTCAAAATTGTATGAATACTATAAACCCAGAGATTCTTAGAAATCTAAGAACCCAAAGCTGAACAAACATAAAACCACACCATGGCACTTTAAAATGAAACTGCTAAAAACTAGAGAAAAGAGAAAATCTAAAAGTAGCCCAACAACAAAAAAAAGATTAGTACAAAGGAAAAAAGACTAAAGTAATAGCAGTCTTCTTGTCAAAATATATGCAAGCCAGAAGAAGCTAAAGTTAAATATTTAAAGTACTGAAAGAAATAACTGCCAACCTAGGATTTTAAATCCAGCAAAAAACGTATTTTCAAAAACGAAAGCAAAATAAAGACTCTGCAGGCAAATAAAAGGTAAGAGAATTTATCACTGGTAGACCTACACTATAAGATATGTTTGAGAGGTTATTCTGGCAGAAGAAAAATTCAGAATACCAGAAATGGTAAATATGTGTTTAACTACAAAAGACATTTCTTATTTTTTTAAATTTTCTTTAAAATACAACTGCTATTTATACCAAAAGTAGTAAGATATTTTAGTGTTTACATATGTAGAATTAATATACCTGAGAACAGCAATGCAGAAGGTGGGAGGAAGTAGTACACTGTTATAAGGTGCTTAGAGTATATGTGAAAAGATAGAATTTACTTCACTGTAGGCTGGGATCAACTAACACATCTGTATAAACTCCAGATTAATAAGCTATCTCCACTATAAAACAGAAACCTAAATACTCAATTAATTGGAAAGAAAATGAAGTAGACTGACTTCAAACTATAATATAAGTCTACAGTAACCAAAACAGCATGCTACTGGTACCAAAACAGATATATAGTCCAGTGGAACAGAATAGAAACCTCAGGAATAACACTATACGTCTACAGCTATCTGCTCTTCAACAAATCTGACCAAGCAATAGGGAAACGATTCCCTATTTAATAAATGGTGCTGGGAAAACTGGCTAGCCATATGCAGAAAACAGAAACTGGACCCCTCTCTTAAACCTTATACAAAAATTAACTCAAGATGGACTAAAGACTTAAATGTAAAACCCAAAACCATAAAAGCTCTAGGAGAAAACCTAGGCAATACCATTCAGGACATAGGCATGGGAAAAGACTTCATTACTAAAACACCAAAAGCGATTGCAACAAAAGCCAAAATTGACAAATGGGATCTAATCAAACTAAAGAGCTTCTGCACAGCAAAAGAAACTATTATCAGAGTGAACAGGCAAACTACAGAATGGGAGACAAGTTTTATAATCTACCCATCTGACAAAGGTCTAATATCCAGAATCTACAAGGAACTTAAACAAATTTACAAGAAAAAGACAAGCTACCCCATCAAATAGTGGGCGAAGGATAGGAACAGACCCTTCTCAAAAGAAGGCATTTATGTGGCCAACAAATACATGAAAAAAAGTTCATCATCACTGGTCATTAGAGAAATACAAATCAAAACCACAATGAGACACCGTCTCATGCCTGTTAGAATGGCGATCATTAAAAAGTCAGGAAATGGCTGGGTGCAGTGGCTCACACCTGTAATCCCAGCACTTTGGGAGGCCGAGGCAGGCGGATTACAAGGTCAAGAGATCGAGACCATCCTGGCTAACACGGTGAAACCCCATCTCTACTAAAAATACAAAAAAATTAGCCAGGCGTGGTGGCGGGCACCTGTAGTCCCAGGAGGCGGAGTTTGCAGTGAGCTGTACCCCAGCCTGGGTGACAGAGCCAGATTCCATTCTCAAAACAAAACAAAACAAAAAAAAAAAACAAAAAACAGGAAACAACAGATGCTGGCAAGGCTGTGGAGAAATAGGAGTGCTTTTACACTGTTGACGGGAGTGTAAATTAGTTCAATCATTGTGGAAGACCGTATAGTGATTCTTCAAGGATCTAGAATCAGAAATTCCATTTGACCCAGCAATCCCATTACTTGGCATATATTGAAAGGGTTATAAGTCGTTCTACTATAAAGACACATGCACATGTATGTTTGCTGCAGCACTATTTACAATAGCAAAGATGTGGAACCAACCCAAATGCCCATCAATGATAGACTGGAAAAAGAAAATGTGGCACATATACTCCATGGAATACTATGCAGTCATAGAAAAGAATGAGTCCATGTCCTTTGCAGGGACATGGATGAAGCTGGAAGCCATCATCCTCAGCAAACTAACCCAGGAACAGAAAACCAAACACTGCATATTCTCACTCATAAGTGGGAGTTGAACAATGAGAACACATGGACTCAGGGAGGGGAACATCACACACCAGGGCATGTTGGGGGGAGGTGGGGAATAAGGGGAGGGAGAGCATTAGGGCAAATACCTAATGCATGTGGGGCTTAAAACCTACATGATGGGTTGACAGGTGCAGCAAACCACCATGGCACATGTATACCTATGTAACAAACCTGCACGTTATGCACATGTATCCCAGAACTTAAAGTAAAACAACAACAACAACAAAAGAAAACACGAAAGAAAATAGAGGTGGACATTAAGAGATAGTACAAAGATAAAACAAACTCACAAGGTGATAGATTTAACACAAAATATGCTCATCATTCCATTCAGTGTTCTTATCGGCACTATTCATTAGAGCTGCAATGCAAGCCACATGTATTTTAAATTTTCTAGCAGCTACATTTAAAAAGAAAAAAGAAACAGGCGAAAATAATTTTAATAATATATTTTCTGTAACTAGATGTATACAAAATATTATAGTTTCAACATAATTGATTTTAAAATTATACAGTGTTTTACATTCTTTTTTTGTACTAAAGCTTTAAAACCCACAGTGTATCCTACACCCAAGGCACATCTTCATGTCAAGTGCCCACTAGCCACATGTGGCTATTGGCTACATTATGAAACAGTACAATTGTACACCATGACTGGGGTGGTGCTTACATGACTTAATACATTCATCAAAATTTATCAAATAGTACACTCAAAATTGATTAATTGTATTGTATTACATTGATTCAGCCATGTACACAACACCCAGATCACAATATAGACTATTTCCATTATGCCTGAAAGTTCCTTCCTCACCCTTCACAGCTATTCCCAAACCTAGTCATCAACATCCACATAAATAAGCACTGTTTTGATTTCTACAATTGTGGATTAGTGCAGCTTGTTCTTGACCTTCATGTATATGAAGCATACATTATTTATTCTTTTGAGTTCACCTTGTTTTATTTGACATGGTCTTTGGGAGATTCATTTGTGTTGTGTGCATCAATAATTTATTCTATTTTTATCACTGAGTGATATTTCACTGTATAAATACAATTTAGGTAACCATTTTTCTATTGATGGACATTTGGGATAATTTCAGTTTGGGGCTATTATGAACAAAGTCTCTGTGAACATTATTGTACACATATTTTTGTAACCATAAAGGTGTTTATCTTGATACCTAGTGATGAAATTGCTGTGTCATAGAGTAGGTACATGTTTACATGTTTATTAGGAAGTGCCAAACCATTTTACAAAATGATAGTATCATTTAATACTCTCACTGGCAATGTGCAAGAATGACATTTGCTTCACATCCTTGCCAATGCTTACCATTGTGAGTTCTTTAACATTTTAGTCATTCCAATAGGTATGTAGTGGTATTTCTTTGTGGTTTGAATCTGCATTTATTGGACAAATGATGATATTCAGCACCTTTTCAAATATTTATGAACCATTTTGGTATCTTTTGTTGGTAAAGTCCCTGTTGAATTATTTTGCTCATTTTAGTTTTGGGACATCTATTTTGTTATTGATTTGTAGAAGTTCTTTATTCTGTCTCTGATCGTTCAAGTTTCTCTGTCCTATTATCTTTACAGGAGAGCATCCCAGTTTTGTTCTTTACATTGCTTGTCTGATTACTTAGTGTCTTAATTTCTACCTTCCTGTAACTAATGCAGTTATTAATTCTCCTTTTTTATTTTAATACCCTTGATTTATCCAGCTCACTTTCTCTCAGTCGTACTTGACTCTGCATTCAATTATTTCATCATCTCACCTTTTATCTATTTGGCAAAATAGATAATTCAATATCTATTGAAAACAAAAACAGGCAAGTCTTAACTTTTGTCTGTTTTTAAATAACAATATAATTCAAAATGTTTTTTTTTTATCTCCAGCCAATTTAACTTATTTTAGCAAAATCCTTTTCAGTGCTATATAATTTCTCATTTTAGAGTGATTGATGCTTCTCAAAGCTTGGGTGGCTAATTTTTATTGGTTCTTTTCAATCTGCTACATTTGAGACTTAAAGCCAAAGGACACACAGAGAGAAGCAACTACAAATCACATTTCTCTGGTCTGATGATGATCCAGCTAGAATGAGGAAAGACGTTCTGTTTCCAAAGACTGGCGATACGACCATCAAAGGAGAAGTTTTTCTTCTGGGTTTTCCTCTGCTAGATACTGTGCTTGGAAAGCTGCAACACAGAATACACTACTCTCCTGGCTTGTATCCGTGTTTGCACTTTTTCTTATTGACTTCATTCCCTAATCTACCATTCCCCTCTATTATTCTGTCCCTAATATTTTTGCATTATTAAGACATAAGGAAACCAATTTGATACAAAGCATGAGAGGCTATTCATCTGGCTGCCTCAGAAAGCAGATCATGGTCGATAGGTGAAGTGACTTCTGCCTGCTTACTGTATCAAATGACTTCTGTAACACTTGCTATGCCATCTTATATTTAACCTTTTAAAAAATGACTGCCAGTTAAACTCAGAGCTCATATATAGAACATTATAACTATCAGGGCACTTTTTGCTAAGCTTTGTACGAAGCATTTCAGAAGCAGTACTTCCTTTCATTCTCAAGATAACATTTCCAATAAACGCTATTATCACCTCCATTTTACAGATGAGAAAACTGCTGATTAAAGGCGTTAAGTGCATTGTCCAAAGTCACGCAGCAAGGTGAAAATAAATGAAAGTAAAAGTCTCAATAGGACTCTTAGTGGTATGAATACCAAATTGGTCAAATCTCTCCCATTCATCTTCATCATTTTCTTGTGGCTCCAACTCAATATTCATATGGCTTAAGAAGGATTGCCTAAGTCAATACTTTTTCATGGTGTTTCTTTTTCATCCTATGCTGTCCCCAACACAGATTCTGATGATGATAATAAGTTATCATGGACAGAGATGAGCACATCGATGGTAAAACAGACAGAACTCATATTGCACCTGTTGTTCTACAACTCTAATTTTCATTTTTAAAAATTAGTAAAACCATTTAATAACATCACTTGGCTATCCTTTAAAATGCCAAATAATAATGTAAATTTGCATATAGTTAACAATGCATACTCAAAAACAAGAACTATAAAACATATGCTCTGTGAAATGAATTTTCTTCTACTTTTTAAAATTATTCAGTGTCTTAATTTAAGTGTATAAAATGAACTTCTTTGTTAAAGATACTGTATAGGCAAAGTAAGGAAAGCATAAACCTTTCAATCTTAGAACAATTTTTACAAGTGAAATGTAATTGCCTTTGTTAAACTAGACAGATTAACAAAAAAAATAAGTTTAAAAGAATTGTCCTAAACTTTCAGAACTGTGCATTTCTTATGTTATCACATTTATTTTATTTTTTTGTAAAGACACGACAGGAAGGGCAAAAACAAAATAATTCCAGATGTATTTTTTTTTTTTTTTTTGAGACGAAGTCTCACTCTTGTCCCCCAGGCTGGAGTGCGACATCACTATCTCGACTCACTGCAACCGCCGCCTCCCAGGTTCAAGCAATTCTCCTGCCTCAGCCTCCTGAGTAGCTAGTATTACAGGTGCCTGCCATCACACCTGGCTAATTTTTGTATTTTTAGTAAAGACAGGGTTTCACCATGTTGGCCAGCCTGGTCTTGAACTCCTGACCTCAGGTGATCCACCTGCCTCGGCTTCCCAAAGTGCTGGGATTACAGGTGTGAGCCACCGAATTCCAGATATATTCTAATAAAATTTTGTGTAGAGGGAGAAACTCAATTCATTCTACTATTCAATAGAAGCCACCCTATTTTAATGAACACTATAATGTTCTGCAATGGTAGAAGTTTTACATCTTCAAAGATCTTTCATTTCAAGTAGTTGCTCATTTATAGCTAAGATGTGACTTTCTTGGCAGTTCCTAAAAATTTTCCACCAAAATTTAGCATTATGTCACATGATATAACTTGCCACATGTAAACATTTCAGAGGTCATCAATTGTCTAGAAATACTACAGACCAAGAGTTGGAAAACCTTTTCTAAAGGGCAAGGTAGTAAATAGATAAGGCTTTGTGGACCATTTTTCTGTTACAACTTTGGAAAATCCTTGCTTTACCTAACAGTGAGAGGACATAAAAATGACTATGCAAGCCATGCAAAGCAATCTTAATCATTAATGAAAAAATTATTATTGCTTCTTAGCCTTTAAAATTTTGTCAAAACTTTGAATAGTCCCAGTCAATGGTAAGTGTATAGGAACATGAAAAAGTAGTAAAACTATTTATTTAATATACAGTGACTTCAAACTCTAGAAATACTAATAATTAAAATGTTTTAATTCCTTCTAAAACATGTATTACCCTGGTTTTGATATTGTGCTACTGTTTTGCAAGATGTCACCATTGGGGAAAATTTGGTAAAGGGTATGTGGGATTTTCTGCATTATTTCTTACAACTGCATGTGAACTTAAAATAATCTCAAATTAAGGGAAAAGATTGATTAAAAAAACTTATTAAGAGTAGTTTGAATAATGCTTGCTGTCTGCTTATTATATAACTAAATATATAAAGTGAACATCTTTTCTATGTCTTTGTAAATTGTCAAACTTCTTTCTAAGTTCAGATCAGCTTCTACCATTTTATCCTTTGCTCTTTCAATGTCAGGATATATCTCCAAGAGCGCCTTTATGGTGAAGATTTTTCCTGGCATCACTTCCTCTGAGACATCATTATCTTTTTGTCACAACCACTTTTCTTGTTCCATTAATAGGTTCTCCTTCACCATATTTTTTGGGCCGTACCAACAGTCTCTCTAATAGCCCTGGTGTCAATGTTCCCATGTTCAGCTCTAGCTTCTCTATGTTATAATCAAATTTCACTCCTGGCATTATCATTTTTTTGTTGTTGATGTTCCTTCATATTTTTGATCTCTCGATTACCCATTTTTATAAAAGGTAACATGAGTTTAGCACTAGGAAACAAAGAGGCCACATAGCTACATACTTTGCTGTCTGTGTGTGAGCTGAAGAACTGATGCTTAATGACCATTGCTAATTGGTCACTGACTAGGATGGGACTGTATTATTTGCAAAGTGACTTGTGAACTGCGGAGCTGTCAGTAAAGTTTGTTCTTTAAGCAATTTTGGTTAAGATACCATGGAACTGACATTTGAACCATGTTCTTGAAAGGTTGATTATTTAACTGCTAACTGAAATTTGTGCACATCAGAAGCATGCAAAGCAAGGGCTGCCTGTATGCAACCCTGCCATTGCAGAGAAAGCAGCCAAGACAATATGCACACATATGGGCACTGCTGTGTTCCAACAAAACTTCATTTATAAAAACAGGCAGCTAGCTAAATTTGGTGTAAGGACCATAGTTTATCCAGTCCTGCAATAGTGTCTGCTTACTTGTATGGTTCAAGCATCAAGCCTGCTTGCTGTGTAGTTTGTACTACCGTCTGGAATTGCTATGAAGTCCTCTCTTGCATAGCCCCTCATCCAAAGCTGGCTTCTGTGTCACCAACTAAATAAGTAACAGCCGTATTCCCAAGGGTGGAAGATGCTATCTCCATAATCTCTACAGGCCAAACAAGAACTGATTCTTTTTTTTGGAGTGATGGGAGGTTATAGTTGCAATAATTTGTTTTTCGTCATGGGTGGTATACTTTGACATATCTCAGTCCAATGGATGCATAAACACTTCTCTAATACGGGTCTCTCTTAAATCTTCATAGGTTTTTAAATTCCACCTACTGGACAAGGTGATTTTTACCAAAGTTTACAACATGCAAATTCTCATTCATGTCCAACTAACATGATGTCAATCATTTAGTGATATTCTATAGAATATTTATACAATCCATGTCTTTTTGGACTACAGTATGGCAGAAAGTAGTTAGCCTATCCTAGGGCAAGACCATACATATAGCTCCTGTCCATTCTACATGAAAACTGACTGCCTTGGATTCACCTTTCTGATAGATTAAAAAAAATTCTTTAGATTGATAAATATATAGAATATATGTAAAGTTATGTTAATGTGCTTCAGCCTTGTCTACCACAACAGTATCAATTGGGACTACTGCTTAGTTGAATTCCTGATAGTCCACAGTCAAACTCCTGAATCCATCTGGCTTTCACAAGGATGACAGTAATAAATTAAATGGGAACATGATGGGGACTATATCCTCTACATCCTTTAAGACTCCAACGGTGACCCTAATCTCTGTCACTCCTCCTGGGATATGACTATTGATTTTTATTTACTACTTTGATCAATTTGGTGAACAGACAGTCCCAGGAACTTCCTCTTATCTTTTCCCATTATGATAGCTCTTGTATCACAGGAATGAATGGGAGGATAAAGCAACTTTAGCAGATGGCCTCAACATTTTTGCACCTATCTCCTCTCCTTTAAATTTTTGTGGTCTGTGACTGATGTGACCAGTAGAATGGAGGAATAAATGATGCTATATGCCTCTCAAAGCTAATTCAGAAGAGGCCATGCAGTGTCTACCTGCTCCCTGTGGGATGCTTTCTGTAGTGGACACCAGCTCCCATGTAAAATGTCCAAATACCCTAATAATACCATGGCAGAGAATCAGCATGTACTAGCCTAGATGACAGCCTCGGCTGAACTCTTAGCCACCAGCCACCAGCAAATGCTACCCAAGGGAGTAAGTGGAATGAATCTGATGATCCACAACTCCATTTATTATTTTACCACCATATATCCCCAGGGTATGATTACCAGGTAAATATTCATAGCTTCCTTTAGGGAAGAACTGGGGGAATTATTACTTAACATATTTCCTATAATATTGCAGCATGCTGGGGACCCTGCATCCCATTTAGTCTGTGGGTTCTTGATCAGAAAAGCAACTGGAGCCTGGAAACAGGGTGAGGTATTGTGACTTTTTATTGAGACACTTTTCCCTCAACCTCTTGAGTTTTTTATTTATTTCTTCTTTTTTTTTTTCTGGCTTCATAAGTTAAGCAACAAGACGTTGCCTACTCATCTAGTTTCTTCCCAGGAGCACTGTGTTCTATTAACAATCTCCATAGTGACAATTAGTCTTCTCCCTGGCTTTCAAGTTTCCACTCTGACCTTGAGGCATATTTCAATAATTTTACTCAACTTTTTCATGACAATTAAGCTCTGCCACTTGGCCTCTATTAATTTGTCTTTCCATTGTTCTTCTTGAAATCAGGGAGTCCCTTCTATTGCATCATCTTTTAGAATCATTTCTAGTCTACCTAGGATATCCATGACACATACTTACTTACAACAATGCTGTGCATACTTCACCAACACATTCCTTACTGCTTTGCTAGTGCTCAGGGCCTTCCACAGAACATAGATAAATAGATATCCAATGGGTTTCACAGATTTATAAAGCGTGTCCACTGGAATCTCCCATGGTTGTGAGCATTTGACCTTTTCCAATTGTTTTCCAGGGCATTTCTGTATTTCTCTTTATTTAGTGACGCCAATCACTTTTTCTGAGCTTTCAGAAGCCACCTTAGTAGTATATTAGTACCATCTCACAGAGTCCTTGTCAGAGTGTTAAATTCTGTATAACAGAGGAGTGTTCCCATATGAAGAAACTCTCCCTTATATAACTTTATAGTCTGCAGACCTTGATCCAGCACCCTCAGATCAATCCCATATATACTTTCCTGGGTCCTGTCTGTAATGTGGGCTGGGACCCGCAGTTTCTTTGGCACTCAGTCATTTTTTCCCCTGAACAGGCCCAAAACTTCCCCAACCAACTTATCCTGAGATGTCACACTATTTAGGAGTCTTCTGGCATGGAGCAGAAGCAGGGGAATATCCTGTAAAAGGCATGTGTTGTCTTGCAAGCAGAGGAATCTGATCATCTTTAAGCATGGATAAAATGCTAATCTTTAAACAGGAAGGAAAAGGCCGCTTCTGAAAGCCCAGTGAAATTGAAGTGATCTCAGGAGTCAAGGTTCCAGAGACCATTGACCCAGATTTCAACATCCGTAACCTCACAGTCCCACTTTTTCCCAGTTAAAGACCAGACGATAGCAGAGTTCACTTTCTAAGATTCTCTACCCATCTAATTCAATTCTGGGCCTGATCCTCAGCTTTTTCAACTCTCAAGCATCAGAAAAGGAGAAACTTACTGTATTGCTAAGAGGGCATTGTGACTTTTATAACAATGAAAAAAATAATAATCAACTACACTCCACCTTAAAATAATGATCAACCACATTCTACCTTTCTTTGTCTTTTCTAACCAATTGATAGTACCCAGCAAGAGTTGTACCTTTTATTACTCAATTTTAATTTTTAAGTGCCTCTAATATTGTACTACCCAGTGCCTTACTTTCCACTTGTTCACTACTGATAAAGGTTCAATAATTGCATTGCTCCAGCATACAAGGCTTATCAATACTCTTCCTATTACCAGTTATAGGATCCATAATGCCAGCCAGCCAGTGGGTAAAACAGATTTAATATCTCATTTTACAATTTTCTCTTTAGAATCCATCTTGGCAGAAGTTGACTTAGTTCAGAGTCCTCAGAAACAGTGTATGAGATAGAAATTTGCATGCAGGAGCTGCATTAGGGAAGCACATTGGAACAACATCCATAAGGAAGCAGGATTTGGCAGAGGGAGAAGCTGAACTGCAATGCAGAAGGAAAAGAGTCACAGCCAGACCCATGGGCACCCATAGAAGAGTTGGCCTCTCAGAATGATCACAAATCAGCACAACAGGGCCAGGTCTTGCAAAATTGTGTGTACCACTCCTAGGATGCAAGCTGCCCCCCAGGAAAGAACAAACCCATGGGAGGCAGCTAACTCAGGCTGAGGATAATTTCCTAAGTGAAAAAGTTGTAAACCAATATTCTACAGCCAATACTCATGACTACTGGAGAAATGAATGTGTCGGTCTGAGAGGCATCCAGCGAGATGCACAATTGCATCACGTAAAGAAGAATATTCAATGGTAATACACAAATTCATTGAGGAATCCGTTTTCATCAAGGAACTTCAAGCTGTAAATGACTGTGTGTCAAGGAGCCCTTCACCAGAGTATGCAGTATGGCAAAGTGGCAGGGGGAAATATGTAGCTAAGAGAGTATAAACAGCATGGTTACCTGAAACAGAGAGAGAGGAATGCACCTTCAGTCATTCTCAATGAGTGAACTAAACAGCTAACGTTTTGAAGTTTGTGGTACTAAGTAAAACTTCTGCACTTAAAGGACAGAATTTTGAACAAATGCAAATGCAAGGACTGAAAGTTGTCTGCAAGAAGCAGTAAGACTCCTGTACAGCAACACAGAATAATATGGAAATCAAAAGATAAATAATTGTACTGGGGCATTTCAGACAAAAATATCAACTAACAAGAGATTTACAGAAATCCAGCCCTTAGACTGTCTCACTAAGAGCTCTCATCATATATTCTGTGACATGGAAATCAGCCTCAATGGAGGACATAGCTGAAGGGACATGGATACAGTTCATCCTACTCCTATAGTTTGCACTCAGTCATTATCAACATATATGAATTGCATCCTGAATAATCCCCAAACTAAAGAATGCCTGTAGAATTTTTTTTTTTTTTTAGATGAGTCTTGCTCTGTCACTCAGGCGGGAGTGCAGTGGTGCGATCTCGGCTCACTGCAACTTCCATCTCCCAGGTTCAAGCAATTCTCCTACCTCATCTTCCCGAGTAGCTGGCACTACAGGCACGTGCCACCACGCCCAGCTAATTTTTTGTATTTTTAGTAGAGACAGGGTTTCACCGTATTAACCAGAATGGTCTCTATGTCCTGACCTCGTGATCCACCCGCCTTGGCCTCCCAAAGTGCTGGGATTACAGGTGTGAGTCGCCGTGCCCAGCCTGTAGAATGTTAATATTGAGCAACATTGGCGAGGCTAACTCTGTCAATTGTGGCAGTCAGAATTCTATGACCCAGAATAGACAAAATCAGGTAAGCCCCACACAGCTCTCTAAGTGAATCTTAGCCTTGACTCTGTCTAGATTGGCTACATGTAAAAATCTTTGCCCCAGTGACAAGGATTTTGATAGAATTTCACTGTTAAAAAGATTAAAATCTTAATTTGAAATGAGTTTATTTTAAATAAACTGCATTAAGAGAACCAGAAATTCCTTAGGAAGATAAAAGTTTATAAAACTTTTTTTATTGACAGGAAGTGAGAGAGAGGGAACATTGAACTCTTTCCATTTCTCTAGATTATAAGCAATTTTGGGAAAGGATTTGACAGTATCATATTTACTTCTGTGGCCCAATTAATGAGGAAGTTCAACACTAATTGAAACTCATTTAGTGAAATGAACGCATGCTTCAGCAATATTTCAAGGTAAGTTTATTACAGACCTCTGAGGACTTGTAGTTCTGGTTTTCTTCATTCTAAAACTTGTTCCGCCTTTGATATTTGGTTTTAGGTTTGTCATGTTCTTCTCCTCCCTGTTTATGACCTACCTTGTTCAGTGTTGGCCACTTAATGTCATTTCCTGTCTCCTAATGTCTGAGATACATCTTCCTTCAATGTTTCCCTTCTGTCCTAAGTTCAAGTGAGGCTTTTTACCATGAGGCTTTTTACCATGCAATACTGACCTTCATATCTAGCCAGTGGTGCCCTTTATCTTGTCTACAGACTGAAAAGCAGAGGAAAATGATTTGTACTCTGTCAGCTCTTTACTATCCTTCATGAATTTCCATTCCTTATAACTTTAACTGTCTAAATGTAAAGCCATGTTTTCAAACTTTAAAGCTCAAAAGGTGTAAGTGAATGTCCAGGGTCATTAAATTTGTGTAGACAGTTTATGCAAGAATATCAACTTCTGATGATATAAGCACAAAACAATGTTATTTATGCAAATACTGCTATGTAGTGAGTCCCTTAATATATTGACGTTTTCAATATATTTCTAGTCACTTCTCAATAATTAGAAGAGTTTTTCATTATTGAAGATGCTGCCTTGATTATTTAACTAGATTATAAGTTTCTTCTCCTTTTCACCAGTCCAGGTTAAATCTCTTATGGCTTTAGTGTTATTTTATTTTATTTTTTTCCCTTTGAGATGGAATTTCACTCTTGTTGCCCAGGCTGGTGTGCAATGGCGTGATCTCGGCTCACCGCAGCCTCTGCCTCCCAGGTTCAAATGATTCTCCAGCCTTAGCCTCCCAAGTAGCTGGGATTACAGGTGCCTGCCACCACACCCAGCTAATTTTTGTTACTTTTAGTAGAGATGGCATTTCACCATGTCGGCCAGGCTGGTCTCGAACTCCTGACCTCATGATCCACCAGTCCCAGTCTCCCAAAGTGCTGGGAATACAGGCATAAGCCACCATGCCTGGCCAGCTTTGGTGTTCCAAAACAGGGAGAGAGAAGATAAGAGCAGACAGGATGATTATTTACACATTCCTCTTTTTCTTTTTCTAGTTCTAGTTATTATGGTTGGAAGGAGGGATGGATAGGGGAAGTGAAAATGTTTCTTGGCTTATCCAGAAGAGGGATCAGTTTGGTCAGGTTGATTTTTGTTGTTTCTCTAGATAACTGAAACTGGTTATTCTTGTTTTCTATGTACCAATTGCCTTTTTTTTTTTTTTTTTTTTTTTTTTTTGGAGCAGGAGACCCTGATAGGTTAGTAAGAATCTCCTCCAAGTGGGTATCCTATAGCACAATTTCCTACCTCAAAAATAAGGCTCTGCCTATGTCTATTACAATGCCATGTATTTCCCACCAGTGTCAGTCTATCCCACAGCCTCTCACTGAAGAAGTTCTTCCTGTCTGGTCAGATGATATTGCCACATGTGAAGGACAAGCAACTCCAGGCAGCTTCCTCCTTCCCTGCTCTTCCATTTCTTTCTAATGCTATTTCTCTGCCTATGTAGTACAGGAACACTTTGGCAAGTGCTCTGGATAAGCAGCCAGCCACCGAAGAACCAACTTCTCTCTGTCTTTCTTTTGGACACGTATTCTTATGAAGTGAATCCCTTGGTTTTGGGAAGGTGAACACACTTCTCCAACAATATTCACAAACATTTCACAAGGTCTCATCTCATCTCTTAGCTCGTTCTTATACTGTCCCCTCTGCTGGAGTCATGCTTTTGGGAAAACAAGAAAAATCATACTCAGCCTCACTTGACATTAACAAGTATAACTGGCACTAAGAGTTTCTAATCCTTTATCCCTCAAGGAAAGCCCCATCTGGCATGGACCAGGAGGGTTTGACTTGTGCTGGAGCTGAAAGATCTTTTCAAGGCAACCAAGTCAAGCAAGATTGGCTGAGATCTAGAGAAGCCCAGCCAGATGGCAGTTGAAGAGACAGTGGGAGATAAATGCTGTCAAGTTTGAATCAGAGTAAGCTGGTTGCTGCATAATGTCAGAGGAAGTTCATTGCATGGGAGAACCCTATGTACAGAAGTCCTCCTTTATCCATGATTACACTTTCTGTTATTTCAGTTATCTGAGGTCAATGGGAGTCCAAAAATATTAAATGAGAAATTCCAGAAGTAAACAATTTAGAAGTTTGAAATTGTGTGCCCTTCTGAGTAGTGTAATGAAATCTCGTGCTGTGTAGCTCTGTCCCACCCAGGATGCGAATCATTCCTTTGTCAAGTTAATCCACACTGTATATGCTGCCCACATGTTAGTTATTGACATTGTCTGCTTCTGACATCCAACCATCAACTTCATCATGGCTCCAAGATCCAGGACCACTTAAAGCAGATGATCCTCATCCCAGACTTCTGATATATCCTATTCCACCTAGGTCATTCACCTCACTTCATCTCATCATGTAGGCATTTTATCATCTTACATCATCACAAGAAGAGTGAGTAGAGAACAATAAAATATTTTGAGAGAGCGACCACAGTCACATGACTTTTGTCACAGTATATTATTACAATTGATCCATTTTATAATTATGTATTACTGTTAATCTCTTACTGTGTCTAATCTATAAATTAAACTTTATCATAGGCATGTATATATAGAAAAAACATAACATGTATTGGGTTCAGTACTATCTGTGATTTCAGGCATCCACTGGAGGTCTTAGAACATATTCCCATCAGGTTAGGGGGGACCACTGCATAAAGCAATTATAAAATAAATAAGAAACGTATAAGTTTATGTCTCATTAAAGCTGTACTTTTATGTATAAAAAGTATTTCTTGGGCATAACACAATAAGTCAGATATAACTGAGGTATGAGTGGCAGGTATACAACACAGCTAAGTCATAAATAAGATGAACACTTTCTGATCGATCCCTAATTAACTGGAATTTCTAAGACAGGCCTTGCTAAATCGTTCACAAGTGGAGAGCAAGGGTTCTGGGGATTCCTGTGTGAAATGAGAACAGCAACACTGGGTTTGTACCACTACTAGTTGTGTTTAGACACCATGTTCTGCTACAGCCATTCTGGCTGCAAATCTCTCACACCATATGCAATAGCAAGAATACTGCACTGTCCTGCCTCCATTTCTAGGGGCATTTTCTATAACTGTGCATCTGAATATTTCTCACTTCTCTTGTAAGCATCACTACCAATTTAATTTTCTGTGATTGATCTTAAAAACGGTAGTGCTGGGCCGGGCGCGGTGGCTCACACCTATAATCCCAGGACTTTGGGAGGCCGAGGCAGGTGGATCACCTGAGGTCAGGAGTTCGAGAGCAGCCTGATCAACATGGTGAAACCCTGTCTCTACTAAAAAATACAAAAGTTAGCCGGTCATGGTGGCAGGCGCCTGTAATCCCAGCTACTCGGGAGGCTGAAGCAGGAGAATCGCTTGGACCTAGGAGGCACAGGTTGCAGTGAGCTGAGATTGCGCCACTGCACTCCAGTCTGGGCAACAGAGTAAGACTCCATCTCAATTGAAAAAAAAAAAGAAAGAAAGAAAAAGGTAGCGCTTTTATACTCTTTGTTTTATTCAGAAACCCTGGGTATACAGCATTTTAAAAACATATATGGCCTCCTTCCCTCCAAATTTCCTTGTCCTTATTTTAAGGTACTGATGTGGAAGAAGGAATAGAGTTTTTGGAGAAGTGACAATACTGACATTTTCCTAATATTCATTATACTCTCAATCTTCTTTTCCTTGTCGTACACTGCCCAGAGGACTAGAAGTGACCTAATTATGAAGTGGTTTAGGTGTCTTAGTTGGGATGAATAATTAATAGGGGATCTATTAAGTTGACCTGGACCCTCCAAAAAGTGATTTTAAGAGATCTCACCTCACAAACCATAAAGATGCATTATACTTTGCAATGTACAAGATTTTGGGTCTTCATTTGGAGACCTGAGTCTCATATTAATTGTTTATTTAAATTAAGATATACACATATACCTACACACATGCTATAATGAACATAACAGGCCAAGAACATACTCGGTAAGGAAAGAGTCACAAAATAAAAATGAAAGAAGGTACTGAAAAAGAACGACTAGGCTAGCATATTTCACACACATTTTTCCTTATAAAGTGTGCTGTCAAAATAATTCCCTGCTGATGTTATAGCTTCAAGTATTTTTTCTATTGTTTTTACACTTTTCTCTGAAAGAGCAAAAAGCCAATTGGTTTTATTCACTAATAAAGACAATCTTGTCCAATTAGCATTAAAATGTCATAATTAATTACCACGAATGGAAAATTATTCTATCAAGTGAGCCAACATGATGGAAACCAATTTCCAATCATCTGGTGTCATATGAAGTATTCTTTCAAAAGCATCCTTCAAAATATAGTCTCTACATGGCATCATATATTGTTGATATATTATAGAATATGGTTTCTGCACTTCATTAATATCACTCTGGGATGTGGCTTGAGATTATCACATCTGAACAACATGAAAGAACACGCAAATCAGTTTCATTAAAAAAAATGCCTGTTGTAAGACAAAAAGGACAATGGTACGAGAAAGTCATCCTGTCTATGTTTAAAGACAATGCTTTGTTCTTCCTCTTCCCCTTCCATCTCCCATTCCCTTCACATGCACACACAATAAAATCAGTCTACAAGCCATGAGATAGGGTAACCATAGGGGTCAGGGGAGTAGTCAGTGTGGGATGTCATGGCTAAAGGTAGGTGAGGATGGCATGCACAATGTACAAGGAAGCAAATTATAAGGTAGACTAGCATGGGGTTTGGAGCCCAAATGGGATGAGGAGGGGTTAACCCAATGGAAGCATCAGTGTTTGAATGGCCTGAGAAGGAAATACCAGCATGGGAGAGGGAACTCGGCATGGAGAATGTGATCATGAATAGTATGAGAAAGATGTCTCCATAAAGGCTGTTTTTTCTCTGGGTGTGGGAACCCAAGTGGGTTGAAAAAGACACCTGCATGGGATGACTATACAGTATGAAAGTGATAACCTTAGTAAGAAGAGCGTATCTCCACATGGGAGAACACATTGTCGGGAGGTATCAGACCCCAGGTGAGGCAGGTGGAGAGGTGAAATGAGGGGGAATTCCACGCTATAGTGTAGTCTTACTCAGGGAGCTGGGATAAAGTTGGAGAGATGAGGGCGTTCACATGTTGTAGGAGCAGTGCAGCCTGGAGTGAGATGTTAGAGCTCAAGTGAGATAAGAAAGGCATCTATGTGTGAAGGTAGCAGCAGTGTTGGGATATTGGGTACATAGACGGGGAACTGATCATATAAAGAATTATGCTGATAATAATGGAAACTAGGTTTCTCACTAACAAAGAAGGAAATTACAAATGTAGAAAGACTTTTAATTGCAATGTAATACCATAGGATTTACACTAGTTTTCCCGCTTTCCACATTTGTAAAAACTCATTATTTTTAATGTAAAAATACAGAAATATATAAAAATGTAAATATGCGTCTGTGAATGTGTTTTGCAGGTTTTCCATCAAAAAATCCTGGAAGCAGGGACATCCCAATAGTAATAAGCACACCTTGAACTCAGATATTGATTTCTAAATTTCATTCTCACCCAGAAAGAACCAGGAGTCTCTGCAGAAAAGTTTGATTTTAGAGATTGGGCAGGAAAGGACAAAATGACCTTAGAACATCATATTATACCAGAAAACAAGAAAAGGTTCAAATGATGAACAGAGATGCCAAAAGAACACAGAAGGCGATGTAAAGGACTCCCACTGGCCAAACATGGGACAGTTTGAACATCAAAAGAAGTAATGATGTTAATGGGTAGCAGCTTATTGAATAAAGTAGAAACCACAATTTACAGCGACTTACAAAAACAAATGAATAAATTCAACGTCTGCATGGTGAAGAAGCATGGTAGGCACCACTTTAAACAAGTGATCAAAGTTAACATTACCATAAATGTGACACATTGAGATCTTAGGCAACCTAATAAGATGCAACGAGCAGAATACAATATTACTTCTTTAATATGTTCACCTTAGATGAACAACCTGAATCCAGTTGTGAGTAAACATCAGACAAATTCAAATTGAGAAACATTCCATAAAATATCTGGCCTCTATCAATAAAGGTGCCAATGTAAGAAAGCCAAGCAAAGACTGAGAAATCATTTTAGAATAAAGAAAATTAAAGAGATTAATGCATCATACAATTCTGAACTGAATTCTTTTGCCATAAGGAACACTTTGGAACATTTGGTAAAACTCGGATGGCAGCTTCAACTCAACTTTAAGGAATAAATGGTAGTAATATGTCAGTGCTAATTTTGATGGTTGTATTGTGATTTGCAGAAAACATTATCTTGCTCTAAAAACCACATACTGAAGTATCTGGGGGTGATGAGACACGTGACAGCCACTTTTTCAAATGGTAAAGGAAAAATTATTTTTGTAATACTTTCAATTTTTCTGTAACCTTGAGGTTGTTCAAAATAATAAATTAAAGAATAAAGGTAAAAATATAAAGGCAAGACATTGTCAACATATATGTGTGCTAATGTCACCAAGAAAAGGAAAGAGTAATTTGGTGTTTTTTCCTCTCTGCATATGACAATGAAATGGATAAAAGGTGATACAATAGAAAAATTACTTAATTTGGGGCCAGATGGCTTTAGGAACTAGCTCCAATTCTTACTCACAAATAAAATTGAACAAATCTACTTAGGTCTCAGTTTTCTCCATGTAGATGTGACATCAATGCTCACATTTTTCTCAAGCTTGCTATGAGGCTCAAAGGAGTTGTTTGTGAAAGCATTTTGTAAACTATAAGGTGGCATAGGAAAGTCAATGATTAATTAGTAACATGATCAAGCTGAGCTCAACCTGTATTATTTGTTCCTGTTGCAAAATTCCTGGTGTGTTTGCTCAAGATCAATCAATTCAATTCTGATTCAATGGCCCCTTCTGTTGGTCTGACATATTTCACACTCCACAGCTGTGCCATATGGCTCAAAGGGGTGTGTAAGTTTGAATCTACAGTACTCCTTCTTGCTCCATTCGGCATGCTGCTCTGAAGTTGCCTAATTATCTTGCTGTCAAACATTTTTGGCTTACACACAGCCAAGCAGAGTCATATTTCTGCAAGTATTGCTCTAAGATCACTGAGCTAGCTCAGTTCAGATCTTCTCCTGGCAAATCAGTCTTAACCTTGAAATTAAGAACACTCGTAGATGACATTAATAAAAGGCAACATAAAATTGTTTTCTTTTGTTTGTTTTACAAAGTACAGTAACCCTCTGAGGTAAACATATGAGGAGTTTTGTTTTTGTTTTTGTTTTTTGCAGTATATTTATTTCTAACCATTTGAAAGTTCAGAAAAGTATGGTCCAGAGAGATCATTGCTTTTCTTAAGGAAACTCAGAAGGAAACAAGAGCCTACATCCTCTCTGATCTTTATACAGGCTATACAACTATGATCTTACTGTGGACACTGACTCTGACATGCACCTTTATACTACAATAAAAGATTATGTCAAAGGATGTGGTAACTCACCAAACTAGATAACATATATCCTTTTAAATGAGTTTTCAGGTGATGTCTGTTGGCACAGTTAATTTTTCATCAATCCATAATTCTTAAGCAGAATCAGTAAAAGCATCACACCAAGTTACATTGGAGACTGATGACAAAATATCAGTCATACTGAGTCTATCTTTGCTTAAAATTTTGATGTTTTGTTCATCATAGATTTTTTTCACTAGTTTTTGTTTAAAAAAAAGCATTGCTTTAAAATATGTTTACCTTCATTACTGAGATATTGGGCACCTCCTTAAATTTTGGATCTCACTTGCCTCATCTCAGTCATGGCCTTGGTTCCTAGAATAACATTGGTTATACAATAAATAATAATTATTATTATTACTTACTAATGATTTTAGTATTGTTTTTATCATGAAGTCTAAACTGCCATAATCATAATAACAATGAGACTTGGCTACATTTTGATATCATGGTCTTTATGGCTGCAGAAACATATGTATGTCTGTGTGTAGATCCTCTGCAGAAACTGAAGGAGCTGTGAGGAAGTGTGTCCATTCTCAATCTGTCATCCATCAGAGAGCTGAAACCCTGAATGGCAGAAGCCTGAGAAAGTATTCTCCATAATAATTCATCTTTTCTTATTACACCATAAACCAGAATAGATGGTCACCTACTAGTCCAAAGACTTAGATTTCTCAAGAGAATTCCAAGGAGAAGGAGTTTGTACCAGTGAACTAGCTTAGATGAAACAACTAACTTTATCTTAATTACTACTTATTTATCCATCCATCTTTTCATTCATTCATTCAACAAGCATATTCTGAGTACCTACAGAGCACATAGAAGGAACTCAAGGAAGACCATGAAGAAGAGGTGACATCTAAGCAGAACACTTAAGAACAAATAGGTTGCCCTGGACTACACAAAAACAGGAAAACCATTTAATGCAGAAGAAGTAGGCATGTGAGAATATAAAGTTTTCTAGAGAATTCTAGCAGTACAAAATAGCTAGACAGTAACGTGGTGATGTGGCAAAATTTAAGTCTAGAAAACTCAGAGGCAAGCTTATAAAATAATGTGCAGAAAATGAGAAGGATTAAAGAACATGCTTCTTGTCACATGGATCATAGACTAAGCAATTTGATTATGCTATGACTTGGAGTGGTTTTCTTCATGTTTTTTCACTTGGTCTTTGATGAGCTTTTTGAATATGTAGCTTTATAACTTAATACAACTTGAAAATACTTTGACCATTTTTAAAATAATTTTTGTATTTTCTCTCCTTTCCTATTACTATAAATACATTAATATAGTCTGTTTGATATTGTCCCGTGGCTCACACTGATCCTCTGTTCAATTTTTAAATATATTTTATATTTTAGAATAGTTTTAAATTTACAAAAAGTTGTAAAAATAGTACAGAGAGTATATACCTCACATCAACTTTCCATTAATATTAGCATCTTACATTAGTATGTAAACTTGTGAATTATATTTTCTATGTTTCAACTTTGTATAACTTTGATTGCTATGTCTTCAATTTTACTCATCTTTTCTTGCTACATATAATCTAGTCTTAATCCCATCCAATGTATTTTTCATTTCAGATACCTAATTTTTTAATTTCTAGAATTTGATTTGGGCCATGTTTATGTCACACATGCTTCTCTTTTTTATATTTATGGGACATCTATTTTATTGCACATGCGGTATATATTTATAATTGTGGTGTTAGTTCCTTGCACATTATTCTCATATTCATATCTTTTGTTGTGTCTCTGTCAATTGAGGTTTTTTCTCATTATGAATTGTATTTGCCTATTTGCATTCCTGGTAATTTTGTTTTATTCCAGTCATTGTGAATTTTGTGCTTTGGTGTACAGTTTTTGTTTTCCTTTAAATATTTTTAAATCTCTTTCTTCATACAGTTAAATTAGTTGGAAAGAATTTGATCCTTTTGAGGGTTTCTATGCTAGGTGGACTAAGATCAGTGTAGTCTAGTTTTAACATGTGCTCATTACTGAGGCAATATCCTTCTGAGAATTCTACTCAATATCACATGCATCAGAAGGCCTTTCCATTGTGTCTGATGGGAACAAACTGCTCCTGTTCCTATGTGAACTCTGAAGGTGGTTCTATAGGCTCATTTTGAGGGGTCCCTTTCCCAGTGTCAGTAGTTTCCACATATCCTTGTATTGATTATTACTCTGGTGAAAACTTAAAGGGAAATGTCTCCATAATTTCAGAGAGATACTTCTTTCTCTCTCTCCTTCTATCTGTCCTCTTTCTCTCTCTCCTCTCTCTTTTTTCAGCTCTATCCTCTGTGGCACTCCACCCTACAAATTCTACCTACTTTGCCCTTCCTGAAATCTGAACTGTGTCTTTCAATTCTCGTTTTTGGAAATACTTTCTATGTGGTACTTTGGGGCCATCGAAGGGCTCACCATATTTTTTTTCTTCTCTCAGGAATTATTGCCCCATTATGCTTATTGTCCAATGTCCATCATTTCAAATATTTTGTGTTTTAACTGTTTAAAGTAGAAAGATAATCTGGTCTCTGTTACTTCATCATGGCAATAAAAAAGTAACAAATATATAAATATTTTTTTTAATTATTCCACTTATACTAATGCAAATAAATAATTTAGATGTGTTTAACTACTAATGCATTTTTTACATTTTTCAGTGGATATCTATTTCTTCCTTCAGAGGCACAAAAGACAAAAAGAATTGTATTAGTGTGATCTCACGTTGCTATAAAGCAATACATGAGACTGAGTAATTTAAAAATAAAAGAGGTTTAGTTAGCTCACACTCTGCAGGCCATACAGGAAGCATGATGGTGGCATCTGCTTGGCTCTTGGGGAGGCCTCAAGGAACTTACAATCATGGAAGAAGGTGAAGGGGAAGCAGGCATGTCACATGATGAGAGTAGGAGGAAGAGAGAAAGGAGGGAGGTGCTACATAGTTTTAAACAACCAGATCTCATGAGAACTCACTATCACAAGGGCAGTACCAAGGGGATGGTCCTAAACCATTCATGAGAAACCATCCCCATGATCTAATCACCTCCCATCAGGCCCCACATCCAACATTGGGGACTACAATTCAACATGAGGTTTGGACAAGGACACAGATCTAAACCTTATGAGGGGTTTATTATGGGCTTTTTTTGTTTTTTCCAACTAGAATTCTAAGAGAAAACAGCTGAAATTATAGAGTGGCTAGAAAAGTGCAGGTGTTGCACTGGGGAACAAGAACAGAAAAATACGATTCAGGTTCATCTCAGATGGTTTTAAATCTGCTTCTTCTTTTTTTTTTTTCTTTTGAGACAGACTCTCTGTCGCCCAGGCTGCAGTGCAGCAACACAATATCTCGTCTCATTGCAGCCTCCACCTCCTGGGTTCAAGCAATTTTCCTGCCTCAGCCTCCCAAGTAGATGGGATTACAGGCACCCACCACCACGCCCAGCTCATGTTTGTATTTTTAGTAGAGATGAGGTTTCACCATGTTGGCCAGGATGGTCTTGAACTCCTGACCTCAAGTGAACCACCCACCTAAGCCTCCCAAAGTGCTGGGATTACAGGTGTGAACCACCACACCCAGCCTAAATCTGCTTCTTCATATGTTACTACCTCCAAATGTATTACTTTATAAATCCTTGGTTGAAAGTAACTAATTTTGTCTCTATGAAACCTGGTTGTTTAGGTTAATTGAAAAACAGAATATATTCCTCTTTGATTTTACTTTGGAATCTTTTTTCTTTAGTTCACAATCATGGGTGTGAATTTATTGTGATAAACTACCACAATTGCAGTAATTCCTCACAATGTGAAGCAGTTGATTGAAATTGTTTTCTTGCAACACTATATGTAATCTGAATACATTTTCTGACTTTTTTGAAATAGGGTCAATAAGCAAGTGTATCTGTGTAGTATGGGGTAATAATAAAGCTTACATTCCATTTTGATAAAGAATAAAGAATTCACAATTAAAGATGCAAAAATAACTTTTGGCTAGGCAAGGTGGCTCATACCTCTAATCCTAGCACTTGGGAGGCCGAGATGGGTGGATTACCTGAGCTCAGGAGTTCAAGATCAGCCTGGGCAACATGGTGAAACCCCGTCTCTACCAAAAATACAAAAAAAAAAAAAAAAAAAAATCAGCCGGGTGTGGTGACGAGCGCCTGTAATCCCAGTTATACAGGAGGCTGAGGCATGAGAATTGCTTGAACCTGGGAGGCGGAGGTTGCAGTGAGCTGAGACCGTGCCACTGCACTCCAGCCTGTGCAACAAAGTGAAACTCTGTCTCAAAAAAAAAAAAAAAAGAAAAGAAAAAAAAAGGAAAGAGAAGAAAAATAACTTTCATAATGATTAAATAATTCTGGGAGGAAAAAATATAATTATTACTTTGAGAAAGCCAACTGTTTTCTTATCACAATTTTTTCCATATTTCTTAAAAATGGTTATGAATGATAAATCTGGTTGGTGTTTGTATTTTATTTTGGCAGAAAATAAACCTAATATTGCCTTTTAATTTAATTAACTAAGCCTCTGATTCTATGGCAGCTTCAATTTTGTCAGCAATAATAAGGATGGGATGCATGTCTCTTTGTCTCAAAAATGTTAATATCATCCAAAAAGCGAGAAAAAAGGAAAAGATATTCCACGAAGCTGACCTTGTAAACCTTAATGGATTACTAATTAGTATGTCAGGTTTAATTTTTTGATCAAGAATGAATGGTAACACTTGAGTACATTTTTATTAGCCCACTTTAAATTCTTCTATCACTGCCATTGAAGATATGCATAAAGAAGAGAGTCGACTATTGATGCTGTTTTTTTCACATATCTCCAAAGAAATGATTGTTTACATAATTGTGGTGGATAGCACAATATATCCAGCAAGCAGTAGGCAAGAGAAGGCTCTTTATTTTTCTAATAGTTGATTTGCTTAAATCTAGATGAAGAACTGGAGACCATATCTTACCCTAAAATCTGTGTTGTCACTTGAAATATTTCAGAAAGTTTCCTTTTCCTGTTGTATCATCCAGCAAAGTTTCACGAAACAGCATGCTTTCATTCACAGTGTTTTCCAAAATATATCTTACAAATGCCAACAACTGAGCACAACCTGAAACATCTGTGAATTCATCCATTTATGGGGCAAAGTAATCACTTCCCATACTCTTAAAAAACAGCTGTTCACAGGCATTAATTGCCATGTTACTGACACACTTTAGAACAGCAGCATTTGACAATGGCACACATGTTAATTTGTTTACCACATCTGGTTCTTTTCCAGTGAATACCGTCTTCATGGCAGATGGGAATAGAAGAGTACTTGCAATTATGTAGTTTAAGAGGGCACTGAGTTGAGATGGATTGAGTATCCATTTAAGTGACTAAAATTTTATGTTAAAACCCATGTGTAAATTTCTTTACATTTTTGGCTGAAGAGCTCTACAATCAAGGTTTTGTTTTATTTTTAGAAATATGCAAATTGAGTCTATGAGGATATAATAATTTTAAAGACAATACTTCCATATGTCGGATCTTTAACATTATAACACACCTATCTTAAAAAAGAGGGACACGTTGGGGTCTTCTCTTCCTCAAGAGATCTGAGAGCATCAGAGCTCACCCATACATAGAGTGATTAAATATTGCCCGTTTTCATCACCCAGGACTCTTGGGACAGCAATAGAGGCTGTGACATTCATAGGATTTGTTTGGGAACACCAGATCTTTGTAGATTAAAAGTAAAAAGCTACACTGGCACTTCTGTTTTTTTTTTTTTTTTCCTTTTCCCTGCTAAATTCTTCTTTTTATTTACACTCACGCGCGCACACACACACACACACACACACACACACACACATTTACTCTGAAGACCCAATCAGCCTGGGAGAAGAGACTTGCATATGAATTCTATCAAGTATTTAGTCTGCTAAAATCCCTCTGGGATTAATATAAATATCCAGTGTCTTCTATAGTATCTTCTTTCCCTTGGCTGTGCCTTGAATTGACTTGACTTCTGAAGCTAGTCTACATTCTTCTTTTTTTTTTTTTTTTTTTGAGATGCAGTCTCACTCTGTCATCCAGGCTGGAGTGCAGTGGCCCAATCTCAGCTCACTGCAAACTCCGCCTCCCAGGTTCACACCATTCTCACCTCAGCCTCCTGAGCACCTGGGACTACAGGCACACGCCACCACACCCGTCTAATTTTGTATTTTTAGGAAAGGCAAGGTTTCATCATGTTCCCTGGGCTGGTCTTGAACTCCTGACCTCAAGTGGTCCACCCTCCTTGGCCTCCAAAAGTGCTGGGATTATAGGCAGGAGCCACCGGGCCTGGCTACTCTGCATTCTTGATGCTTCATCCTTGGTGATCTACATTTCCTTAGACGTCTCCATTGTTTCTTACACTATAAGTAACTGATGAAGAAATCACAGATTTTTGTCTAATTCCTCTTCTTATTCCACCCTTTAAATGTCAGTGCTGTCTTCGCAATGTCAAAAGACAAAAAAAAAAAAACTGAGAATAATTTGCAGAATCCATGACAACAGGCTAATTTTATTACTATATCTTCCCATCAACCACAACAAAATGCCGTAACATCTGTCAGGCCAAATTTCCACGTGTGCTACTAGAGTGTGCTACTACTCTTTCATAGAGATATGTATATATGACCTGCATTCTATATACCAGGTGTTTTGATAAGTGATAGACATACAGTGGCTGAAGCAAATTGACATAGTCTTTGGATTCATGCTGTTGAAAATCTTTGGAAGTGGTTTATAATAAATAATTAAGTAAGTGAATAAATCTATTTTAACATGTTATAAGAGATTATCTCCAGAAAAATGAATATAATGCTATGATTAAAAAGCAATTATAGGTTTACATTAGATTATTTGGCCAGGGAGGCCTTTTCTGAGGAGATGATATTTAAGGTGGTCAAATGTCAGATGGAGAAGAGTTGGTCCAGGCAGAGGGATAGCAGCTAGGGAAGCTTGAGTTAGGGAAGTGCTAACTGTGTTTCAAAAGTGGAAATAAAGCTGTATGGCTTGGGCATGAAAAATGAGGAAGGGTGTGGCATAAACGGATTTCAGAGGCCTGAGCACAGTCACGGCAATCCTATTGCATACTGGGATTTGGATTTTATCTTAAAAGTCATGGAACTCACTGGAGAGATTTAAGGAGACTAGTGAAACATTTTGGTTTATATTTTTATAAAATCTTTTTGCTGTATGTTTTATGCTATAAAAAGAGGCCAAAGAGTTAGGGGAAAGGCAGATTATTAAAAACCTGTGACTTATTGTGATTCTCCATTTTACCTTCCAAAAATGTGGACATATCTTTGACTTCTCTGTTTTCTCCACCTACTCTACCATTCTGTGATCAAGTTTTGAAAACTTTAGATTCTTAACATCTCTCATAGGTATGATTTCCTCTTCTACCCTACATTTACTACCTTAAATTAGGGCTTCAAAATCTTTTATCTGAACTATTACAATACAGTACAAATTGTATTGTACAATAGTCTTTCTAACACATTTCTATGACTCCTATCATGCATACCAAACCCAATCATGTAAACCAATGCAAAGTTACCTTAACGAAATAAAAATTGAAGCATAATGCTCCAATACCTTTCTATGCCCTGGCTATCCACAATAAAATACATATATTTATTTATGTAGGAAATATGCCATTTATCGAGTACTTTTACAGGCTAGGTTAATATATCAAATCTTTGTAATAATCCTGTATGAGAGGTTTTGTCATTGCTGTTACCTCATACATAAACTGAGGCTGAGACAGAGAGTAAATGAGAGTGCAATTGAGTCATTTGGTTCATTGCAGAGTAAATCCACTTATAATTGCTTGGTTGATAGACTGCAAGTTAACTTGAGATTATATGTGGAGGAGCTCCCCAACTTAAATTTATAGGCAAAGTGTATTCCATTTAAAAGTCTTTAAACTCTCTTAGGTTGTTTAGCATGCATCATCTTGCCAACAGCTTGGTATGCTGTTATTGGGAATTTCAATATAACTTTCGAAAGTTGTAAAAGTTTAAGATTAAGACTTTTTATTTTCTTGTGTTTCTTTTGTCAGCATTAAACACTTTTGACACATCTATAGGAAATTTATCAAATATTACCTTTTCTGCTGTTTACACTCAATAAATAAGCATAACAATTTCAAGAAACTGATCTTTAATGTGAGCAGAACTATATCTTAAGTCTTCAACATGAGGACAATCTATGCAACAAGAAATGTAGATTTCTGTCAGGCTGTGTGTCCTTAGAACTGAAGCTCATTCTCTTGTTCAACCTTGGAGCTGAGCCTAGTAAGTTCAATACCTGTGCTTATTTCTCTCTTCTCTCCCTATTATACCATCAGCCCTCTAAAATCAGCTTCATTTCCTGGAGAAGGTTAGCAGCCAGTCCAACCAATATTGGTCCCAGTGAGCCTTAATAAAGCTAGCTTTAATAAAGAAAGATAATATAAAGTGACAACTACAGGATTCCACAGAGAGCTAGTCTGTTATCAAAACACACATCAGATTTTCTTCCCTTTACTGACTTCCTTCTCCTCTTAGAGTTAAGAAGAGAAAGAATTGAAGGTAATTTGTAACTTACATTTTCTCTCCAACATGAGAATTTGATTTCCATATAATTCTCGAGGCAAGAATTTTTATAATCTTTTTGAAGATTTTTGGTTGTTCTGGGATTCTATCCAAACCAGACCACTGTGTATCAAGAAAACTAATGTTAGCAACATATGTTAAGCCCAAACATAGGCAATGAGCAAAATATTTTAAAACCATATACCTTTCCCACTAGGGTGAAAGCTTGCTTTTCTGTAGTCAAGAGATAGAACCTGACTTAACAAGATCTAGCATATCCCTTACCTTTCTCTTGCTAAATTAAAATATTCAAAAAAGGAAAATGACAATAACTCCCATGCAAAATAATAAATGAGCTCCTTTCAGAGATTTTCTTCAATTCATTAATAATGGTGTTATGAGCTGAGTTTTGTTCCCAAAAAATCATGTTGAAGGCCTAACACCTAGCACTTTCGAATGTGACTGTACTGGAGATAGGGTTTTTAAAGTGGTAATTTAAGTTAAGCTGAGGTCATAGGGTGGATCCTAATACAATGTTACTAGTGCCCTTAAAAGAAGAGATGATTAGGACAGAGAAACACAGATGGAAAACCATGCGAAGGCACAGGGAGAAGGCCGCCATGGGTCAAGCCAAGGAGTGAAGCCTCACAAGAAACCAACATTTCTGATACCTTGGTCTTAGAATTTTAGGCTCCACAGCTGTATGACAATACATTTCTTTATTGTATTTCTATATGTTGTATTTCTATACATTGGATTTAAGCCACCCAATCTGTGGTACTTTGTTATAGCAGCCTTAGCAAGTGAAATCAGATAGGAATCCATACGATATTAAAACTTAGTTTAAAGGAGACAATGAAGGCCAGAGGTATGAATAGGCAGTCAGAAGTAATGAAATAAATTCACTGATAGAGGCAAAACTGGATAAGAGTCTACATGGTATAAAATGTGTAACATTTGGGGTTATCTTTTCTACAGGGTAGAAATCAAGTGTATCTTGACAAAATTCATTTGCATTACTGTGTACAATGAACATTTTCATTACCATGATTTTTCTGTTAGTTTATTTTTATTCCTAAAAACTTGTAAAGCAGTTTAACTACTAGAAAGTCAATAAAAAGTGCACAGTTCTATTGAATCAGGTATTCTTCCAAGAATCTACTAGCCAAAACTCATCACTCCACTGAAAGGACACCCAGTCATCTCTTTTGCCAATTTCCAAGCATTGTACAATTTTTATTAACATTCCACAACCTCATTCCTTGTACATATCTTTCATCTCATGAATGTATACAACCAAATATACCTCATAATATATACTTACTAAGTACAGTTATCCTGCATTCAGTAATATTTGTGAGTGTAGTTTGCTTAATACATCTATGTACAATGCCATTAGGACACAAGATCCTTCTGGGTCCTGAATGAATCTCCTCTTCCACTACCCTGGCCAAGATGTAGACTTCTGCCAAGATGTAGACTTAGCTAATATTTAGAAGCTTTGTCATGCCCAGATGCAACATACAATTATTCCACATATATGCAAACATCAGATTCTCACAAAAATAATTAACCTGCTCATATACCTCAATAAAATAGATGAAGCCACTTATACAAATGCAAACCTGTGTTGAATTGTATTACCACTTTGAAAGAATTAAATTCATATTTTCATGATCGTACTAATTTCTTCAAGCATAAGAGTCATGACAGTTGGAAAAGAGGTGGGATGTAGTATTATGGAGAAATATATACAGGATTTGGGAAAGGGAGGTGTGAGACAATAATCAAGCTTTATCTGCTACAGATGATTAATAAGATCAACCCAGCCTTTATACCATATACTCCTTGGTTTTATTCATTCATGACCTGATGTATTTTTAACATCACAGGGCAATATTAATAAAAAAATTTCCAGAACCCTCTAATAATCACCCTAAGGCAGAAATATCCTGCAATAGAGCATTTGCAGATATCACAGAAACTAGGTAAACTTTAATACATCATTATCACAGACTTTCTGCTTCCTTCTCCCAGAGTCCACTTTGAGAACTTTGCCCTCATGTCAAATGATAGGAACACATAGGAAATGCCAGATTCCCTAATTTGTTTTTCCTAAAGGTTATGCTACAGAGTTGGACTTTGCTTTTCCTATTTCAAATTAAATTTTCTCAAGAAATTGAAATATTATATAAGTCACTCTAATGCCCAGTTTAAAAATCAAAGGCAACCGAAAATTTGACTTGGCAATGATCTGTGAAGGACAGCAATGAGTGTGGGGGAGATGAAGAACCTGAAGTTTTCAGAATGCCTTAAAATGACATTTTTATTTAAAGTGCTGATCACTTAGTGATTTTTTTAAGTTATTTTCTTGTTTCACCAAGGGAAGATGAAGCAGTGCCTTTCATCGCATTCTTTCCTTCAAAACATTGGAATTATCTTTTCTGTTCATTCAGTTCATGCCCAGCTGCTGCCCTAATAAGCCCCACAAACTTGGCTTCACAGCTGTGCCAGCTGCTTCGGATCTTGGAGTTGAAATTTTTTTCTCAGCACTCTCAGTGATTTGGTCCCAGATTTCAAGTAAACATTCTCATAATCCACAGTTGAAACACATTGCCTTGTACAGAGACCACATGCAAAGGAAAAATTGTTTTTCTAATTTTTATTGTCTTTTGGTGGGGGATGGAAGGACCTGCACCTTTCTTAGTATTGTTGGAATTATCTAAACTAATTTACCAACTTCTTAAAAGTAAGCTAAGGAGATGTGAAGTTAAATGACGTAACATTTGCATTGACCAAGTGAAGCTAAACATCTGAGTGTTTCAAAATAATTTTATTCCCGTCCTCAACTATCCCCCAACTAACCTTGACAGTCCTCAACTATCCCCCAACTAACCTTGACAGTAGCCAAAGCATGCGTTAATTGACGTCTGTCCTTGGCATATCACCTTGGAATCCAAAGTTTGCTCTTTTTTGGCTTAACCAGGACTAGCCTCACCGATGTTTCTTCTACCTCTTTTCTTCACTGACTTTCTAACAACACAAAACAGTCCAGTACTACTCTCCCTCTTCCAGTTTCTCAGTTTTTGCGCCCTCAGAGAACATCTTATGCTCTGAATCTTTGTCCCATCTCTCTCTGGAAAAAAAAAAAAAAAAAAAAAGTTTTTTTTTCTTTCATAAGTGGTCTACTTAGTACAAGGCCAAGTAATTTAATAAATATATCTTATAAACTATGAAATTGATGCATGGCATCAGTTTGTGATCCTTATTTCCTCTATATTAACATTATGTTTGCATCATTTTGTTATTTACCAGATTATGAGTTTCTTAAGGGCAAAATTATGTCTTTTTTACATTGTTGTCACCAAAATTAAGGAGTTAGGGAGATTTTAAATGTAAATTTTAATCTGAACTAAACATTTAAACTTAACTGGGGCTTGTTCTGTCTTAACCCAAATATTGTTATTAAAACAACAATTAAAATGAAATACAAAATAATTATAAGTAATAACACTTTAGCACCTGTCCTGCCTTCAGAGACAGAAAAATGTTTTATTGCTTAATCCACAATTTTGTTTTATTAATTTGGTGGCCAGGTTGAGTAGAGCCATAACTGAAAAGACTTCAAAGGGGCTAAATGGATTTTCCCTAGAAAGCCTAAGAGCCACTAAATAAATAAAAGTTAATTATGAGAGCTAGAGTAGAGGGTTACTAGACAAAAGTCAGCAAATCCTGATTTTCAAAGAGACTTTTCAGAGTTTAGGAGATTAAAGACAAAACATAATGAAATTTTTTTATATGTGTGAGATTTAAGTCCAAACTTCCTCTGCTTTCTTTCTTAGTGTATTTGAGCTGTTATAACAAAATACCATATATTGGGAATCACAAACAATAGAACTTTATTGCTGACAATTCTGGAAGCTGGAAAGTTTAAGATGAAGGCTCCAGCAGATTTGGTGTCTGGTGAGGGTTCGCTCTATGCCTTATAGATGGCACCTTCTAGCTGTGTCTTTACATGGTGGAAGTGAAAAACAAGCTCCATTGGGCCTCTATTTTAAGTGCATTAATCCCTTTAATGAGGCCTGTGCCGTCATGATCTTATCACCTCCTAAAGGCCACATCTAATACCATCATTGTGGAAGTTAGGACTTCAACTTAATGCATTTTGAGGAAACACAAACATTCACACCATATAGCTTTTCAGGTTTTATTTTAGTGTTGATGCTTCTCTTGCATGCAGCCCCATGCGGAAAACTAACTTAAAGACAAATCAATGCTATATAGATTGGGAGTATTGCTTGGTAATGCAATTTCTGTGGTAAGGACAGTGGTGATGGTAAGAGTGAGGTGGGAGTGAGGAGGGGGTGGGTTTGTGTCCCTCAAATCACACCATGTAAGTGACCATGTAAACCTGGTTCACTCACCCTAAAAGCCTTCTAATATATTTTAAACATTCCTCAAGAAACAATTTGGTTGAGCATTGAAGCAAACAAATATTTATCCACTTAAAATTTACTGTACAGATACTTTATATGAACACTACATTTTGATAAATGGTAGATTTTATAAGTTAAATTATTTTTCTTTTTAGAAAAGCAATATACATATGCTATAATTTTAAGAAAACAATATAGAAAATGTGATATCGTAGAAAGATATTTGGTCTTTGTCCTCAGTTCCTGGCACAGAGCTCCTAAAACCCTTGGAATTTGTTTACTGGTAAGATGAGGAGGGGAATCTTTCATTCAAGAAGGCATTCTTGGTGGCCTGGCCCTGAGATAGTTTTAGGAAGGGGGCTGATGACCACGAAGACCAAAGCTTCACTAGAAGCTTGAAACTTTCAGCACCATCCCCAACTCCCAGGGAGGGGAGAAGGGGCTCAAGATTGAATTCATCACCAACGGCCAATGATTCAATCAGTTATGCCTACATAATGAAGCCTCCATAGAAATCCCTAAATAACAAGGTTTAAAGAGCTTCCAGGTTGACACCTTCCATGTGTCAGGAAGGTTCTGCATACCAGCTTCACAGGGATAGAGGCTTCTACACTCAGGACCCATCTGTGCCACACTATATATGCCAATTTATTTGACTTCATTTTTAGTTTTTATTATAAACTGGTACACATAAATAAAGTAGCTTCCTGAGTTCTGTGAGCTGTTCTAACAAATTATCAAAACTGAGGAGGGGGTCTTGGGAGCCCCTAATTTACAGCCAGCTGTTTAGAAATATAGATGGCCTGGGACTTGTGACTGTTGTCTGACACGAGAGCAGTCATGTGGGACTGAGCCCTTAAACCTTTGGAGTCTGATTAGGTAGTTAGTGTCAGAATTGAATTGAAAGTTAGGAAACTCAGTTTATGTCAGTCAGAATTAGCTGGTGTCAGGAGGAAAAATCCTCTGGGAGACTGAAAAAATAACTCACAACACCACATGCTCCCTAGGTAAGCAAAGTTAGAATATGTAGATAGATGTGTAGATACACACTCATACACCTCTCTCAAATGCACATTCATATACAGACAAATAGTTTTATAATAAACTAAGATTATACATACAGATTATTTCATTATCAATGCATAGTCATCGAAAATAATTTTTTAATGAAATAGGATGCCATTTACTTAACTAATATGAACCATCACATTTCAAGGCATCATGAGTAATTGTAAGTGTTTAACCAGGCTAGTAGTCTTTGCTGTGACATCTTAAGGCAAACAAACAGTACTAATAAAAATATAATCTCACAAAAGTTGAAAAAATAGTAAACTTTGGTAATTCATTATACTTTCTCTTTTCTTACAAACTAAAATGTGAATTGGCCTGGCATGGTATCTCGTGCCTATAATCCCAAAACTTGGGAGGCCAAGGTGGGAAGATCTCTTGAGCCCAGAAGTTTGAGACCAGCCTGGCATCCTGGGCAACATGGTGAGAACTTATCTCTACAAAAAAAAAAAAAAAAAAATCAAATTAGCCAGATGTGGTGGTATGTGCCTATAGTCCTAGCTATTCAGGAGGCTGAGGTGGGAGGACCACTTGAGCTCAGGAGGTAGAGGCTGCAATGAGCTGTGATTGTGCCACTCCACTCCAGCCTGGGCAACAGCAACAGAGTGAGACACCATCTCAAATAAAAATAAAATGGAATTGAGACGTGGCCATTTCTGTGAAATATATCTAATAATGATATGGACAGGAGGCAGGAAAATACTGGGTAGAAGAGGGCACAGTCCCTGGTGAGGGCTCTACCCTCAAGCCTCAGCCCAAAGTGAGAACTATCCCTGTCTTTTCCCACCTGAATGTGGCCTTTTGGCCTGCCCCACCCCCTATCCCTATCCTGGGCCCTTAAGAACCCCAAACCACAGACTCAGCAGATACACACAGAAGACAGAAGTGTCTGAAAGTAGAGGGAAGAAGACGCAGTTGAACACCAGAAACTACAGTCAGAAAGGATTTTGGCTGGAAACAGCTGGACTTCAGGGAGAGTTTATCTTCCCACTCCACCCCCTTTCCAGCTCCCCTTCTCACTGAGAGCCACTTCCACCACTTAATAAAGTCCTCCACATTTACAACCTTTCAATTCGTTTGTGTGACCTGATTCTTCCTGGACACCAGACAAGAACTTGGGTACCAAGAGGGCAGGGTTTAAAAGACTGTTATCCTGACCCTCCACTGATATTGTTAACACATAACTGTCCATGGACAGCAAATGCTAAAAGAGCACTGATTGTAACACACACCCTCTGGAGCTCCGGGGGTCACAGACACTGCCTTTCAGATGGCAGAGCTAAAAGAGCATTGTAACACACTTGGATGCTGCCACAGGGCCCACACAGAGCCTGCTCCAGCCAGAGAGGAGTGACCAGCTAGCTCCAGCATTGGCCTGCTCCAGTTCCTATACCCATCCCCTTGTGTGCTCCCTCCCATAAGGTATTGAGTGTGGCAGCCAAGTAAACAAGCCACCCTCTTCATGAGTTCCCTGAAGGGGTAAAGGGAAATTTCCTATCTCAAAATACTAAAAAGTACTTACTATCTAAATTCTGAAAATACTATGTTCAAAATTAACTTTTAGAGATTCTTTTATTTATCATACCTAGCATCACTGAAACAAAATTTCCATTTATTTGAAAAGGAATACACAGAGGATTTGTGATGACTGAATCTTCAGATAAACTGGGATTCTATTAATTAAAAGAGACAAAGAAAGCATAAATCAAATTCCTCATGTAAACTAAAATCAATAGAATTTGTCAGATTAAATAAAACAATATTTTATTATTAACTTCAAATATTACCTAGTGCAGTTAAATGATTTTATTTATTTTTTAACCTAAGTTTTTTTTTCCTTTAACACAAGTATGTTGAGTCATATAATTTTTAACCATGGGGGTCCTTAGATATTGATCAAATATTTCTGAGGTTGTAGTAAAAACTCCTTTGGGAAAAATACTGCATTTCAATCATTTTTGAATCAACAGAGTGACTTGCACGAAAGTGTACATTATTTTATATGAATTAAATTCAATATAAAAAAACACTGTTCAAAGAAATTAAGCGACGTATCCAGTGATTCATAAAGACTTGGATGTAACTAGAATTTGGAACTTGTTTTTTAAAATACCAGACAACTAGTAGTAATAGTATACCAAACTCTATCTTTTAACATATATGTCTTTAATGATGAGAAAGTGTAACACATGACAGCTCTCACCTAATAAAATTCCACAGTGGCATGGATTTACTTACAGCTGGAATTGCATACTCAAATGCCCAGACTAGATGAGATGGGTAAAGTAAGAGAGAGAAGGCCAGTGTTGAGGGCCTAAGTATACATTGGATAAATGGAGGGAATTGTGCTAAATTGCATAACACAGGTTATTTCTTTCACTCCTATCCATGTGAAGACAACACCAAACAGGCTTTGTGTGGGCAATAAAGCTTTTTAATCACCTGGGTGCAGGTGGGCTGAGTCTGAAAACAGAGTCAGCAAAGGGAGATGGGGTGGAGCCGTTTTATAAGATTTGGGTAGGTAGTGGGAGATTACAGTCAAAGGGGGTTGTTCTCTGACTGGCAGGGGTAGGAGTCACAAGGTGCTCAGTAGGGGAGCTTTTGAGCCAGGATAAGCCAGGAGAAGGAATTTCACAAGGTAATGTCATCAGTTACGGCAGGAACAGGCCATTTTCACTTCTTTTGTCATTCTTCAGTTACTTCAGGCCATCTGGATGTATACGTGCAGGTCACAGGGGATATGATGGCTTAGCTTGGGCTCAGAGGCCTGACATTCCTGTCTTCTTATATTAATAAGAAAAAATAAAACAAAATAGTGGTAAACAGTTGGGGTGGCAAAAATTTTGGGGAGTGGTATGGAGAGATAATGAGCAATGTTTCTTAGGGCTGCTTCGAGCGGGATTGGGGTGGCATGGGAACTTAGAGTGGGAGAGATTAAGCTGAAGGAAGATTCTGTAGTAAGGGGTGATATTGCGGGGTTGTTAGAAGAAACATTTATCGTATAGAATTACTGATGATGGCCTGGATACGGTTTTGTATGAATTGAAAAACTAAATGGAATACACAAGGTCAGAATAAGAGAAGGAGAAAAACAGGTATTAAAGGACTAAGAATTGGGAGGATCCAGGACATCCAATTAGAGAGTGTCCAAGGGGGTTCAGTGTAATTACTTGCTTGCTTGGTGAGTTTTTTTAGCTCTATTCTTGACAGAGTCCTTTTTTTAAGTTGGAGGCTGAGCTTGGTGACGTGTGTTTTTAAAAGACCATTAGTCCGTTTTACCTTTCCTGAAGATTGAGGACCGTAAGGGATAGGAAGGTTCTACTGAATACCAAGAGCCTGAGAAACTGCTTGGGTGATTTGACTAGTAAAGACCAGTCCGTTATCAGACTATATAGAGGCGGGAAGGCCAAACTGAGGAATTGTGTCTGACAGAAGGGAAGAAATGACCATGGTGGCCTTCCCAGACCCTGTGGGAAAGGCCTCTATTCATCCAGTGAAAGGGTCTACCCAGATCAAGAGGTATTTTAGTTTCCTGACTCGAGGCATATGAGTAAAGTCAATTTGCCAGTCCTGGGTCGGGGCAAATCCCTGAGCTTGATGTGCAGAGAAGGGAGGGGATGTAAAGAGAAGGGAGGGGGCCTGAACAATCCCTGAGGAGTAGTAGAAGAGCAGATGGAACACTGAGAAGTGATTTCCTTGTGGATAGATTTCCACAATGGAAAGGAAATGAGAGGTTCTAAGAGGCAGGCTAGTGGCTTGTAACCTACACGGAAGAGGTTCTGAAATGACAACAGAATAGAATTGGCCTGTGAGGCTGGAAGGAGGTATTTTCACTGGTCCAAGAACCATTTGCCTTGTGTGGGAAGAGATTGATAGGCGGAAGTTTTAGCTACCTTATCAGCATAAGCGTTGTCCTGAGCGATGGGATCTGATGCCTTTTGATGGCTTTTGCAGTGAATGACTTCAGCTTCCTTTGGACGTAAAGTGGCTTTGAGAAGCATTTTTATTAATGAGACATTAATAATGGACGAAGCTTGCGTAGTGAGGAAACCTCTTTCAGCCCATATAACAGCATGGTGGTGCAGGATATGGAAGGCATATTTAGAGTCAGTATAAATATTGACATGTAGTCCCATTGCAAGAGTGAGGGCCCGAGTTAAGGCAATGAGTTCAGCTTGCTGAGAGGTAGTGGATGGGGCAGAGTGGTAGCCTCAATGATACATGTGGAAGATACTATAGCACAGCCTGCCTTTGCTGGTGAGTGGCAATTAGGCCTGGTGGAACTGCCATCAATAAACCAAGTGTGTTCATGGTGAGTAACAGGAAAGAATATAGGGAAATGGAGTGAGTGTCAGGTGGATTAGAGAGATACAGTCATGGGGACCAGGTGTGGTATCAGGAATAACGTGGAAGGCCAGATTGAAGTCCAGGCCAGGAACAATGGTAATTGCGGGAGACTCAACAAAGAGTGAGTATAGCTGAAGGAGCTGGGGAGCAGAAAGTATATGCATCAGGTGGGAGAAAGAAAATAGATTTTGGAAGTTATGAGAAATGTAGAGAGTGAGTTGAGCATAGTTTGTGATTTTTAGGGCCTCTAAAAGTATTAAAGCATCGGCAGCCACTGCATGTAGACATGAGGGCTAGGCTAAAAGAGTAAGGTCAAGTTGTTTGGACAGAAAAGCTACAGGGTGTGGTCCCGGCTCTTGTGTAAGAATTCTGACCGCACTAACCATGCCTAGGAAGGAAAGGAGTTGTTGTTTTATAGAAGAGATTGGGGTTTGGGAGATTAGTCGGACACGATCAGCAGGGAGAGCATGTGTGTTTTTATGAGAATTATGCTGAGATAAGTAACAGATGAGGAAGAAATTTGGGCTTAACTGAAGTAATGGGGGCTGTCTGTGAAGCCTTGTTGCAGTACTGCCCAGGTAATTTGCTGAGCCTGATGGGTGTCAGGGTCAGTCCAAGTGAAATTGAAGAGAGGCTGGGATGAAGGGTGCAAAGGAATAGTAAAGAAAGCATATTTGAGATCCAGAACAGAATAATGGGTTGTGGAGGGAGGTATTGAGGATAGGAGAGTATATGGCTTTGGCACCATGGGGTGGATAGGCAAAAACAATTTGGATTATAAGGTGCAGATCCTGAACTAACCTGTAAGGCTTGTCTGGTTTTTGGACAGGTAAAATGGGGGAGTCATAAGGAGAGTTTATAGGCTTTAAAAGGCCATGCTGTAACAGGCAAGTGATAACAGGCTTTAATCCTTTTAAAGCGTGCTGTGGGATGGGATATTGGCATTGAGCAGGCAAGGGTGATTAGGTTTTAATGGGATGGTAAGGGGTGCATGATTTGTCGCCAAGGGGGGAGTAGAGGCATCCTATACTTGTGGTTTAAGGTTGGGAGATACAAGGGGAGGATGCAAAGGAGGCTTTGAATTGGAGGAAAAGGCAGCCATGAGGTGTGGCTGTAGCCCAGGAATAGTCAGGGAAGCAGACAATTTAGTTAAAATGTCTCAACTTAATAAGGGAGCTGGGCAGGTGGCAACAACTAAAAAGGAGTGCTTAAAAGAGTATTGTTTAAGTTGGCACCAGAGTTGCGGAGTTTTAAGAGGTTTAGAAGCCTGGCCATCAATACCCACAACAGTTATGGAGGCAAAGGAAACAGGCCCTTGAAAAGAAGGTAATGTGATGTGAGTAGCCTCCCTATTGATTAAGAAGGGGATGGACTTACCCTCCAATGTAAGAGTTACCCAAAGCGTCTGTGATGGTCCTGTAGACTTCCGAGGTGATTGGGCAGCATCAGTCTTTAGCCGCTAAGCCGAGTAGATCTGGGAAGGAGTCAGTCAGACAGCCTTGGGGCAGAGTTCCAGGGGTTCTGGGAGTGGCTGCCAGGTTGGACAGTCTGATTTCCAGTGGGGACCCATACAGATGGGACATGGCTTAGGAGGAATCCCAGGCTGTGAGCATTCCTTGGCCCAGTATTTTCAGCACTTGAAGCAAGTTCCTGGGGGAGGAGGCCCTGGAAGAACGTCTGGTTGCAGCAGTTCAGGCGTTTGGAAGTTCTTGCGTGCTGGAGATGTGGCTGGGATTTGTCTCACAGTGGAGGCAAGGAATTGCAACTCAGAAACACATTGCTACTTGGCTGCCTCTACTCTATTATTATACACCTTGAAGGCAAGGTTAATTAAGTCCTGTTGTGGGGTTTGAGGGCCGGAATTTAATTTTTGGAGTTTTATTTAATGTCAGGAGCAGATTGGGTAATAAAATGTATATTGAGAATAAGATGGCCTTTTGACCTTTAAGGGTCTGGGGCTGTAAAGCATCTCAGGGTTGCTAACAAACAAGCCATGAACTGGGCTAGGTTTTCATATTTTGTGAAAAAGAGCCTAGATGCTAACTGATTTGGGAAAGGTCAGATAAACAAAAAGGAGCATTAACCTTGACTATGCCTTTAGCTACAGCTACCTTTTTAAGAGGAAATTGCTGGGCAGGTGGGGGAGGGCTATTTGCAGAATGAAACTGTAAGCTGGACCGGGTGTGAGGAGGGGAGGTGACAAAAGGATTACAGGGTGGAGGAGTGGAGGCTGAGGAAGAATTGGGACCTAGCTCGGCCTGGCAAGGAGCAGCCTGGGGAGGAGGGGAGAGGTCAGATGGGTCTGTAGAAAAGGAAGATTAGAAAGACTCAGTGACACTTGGGGTTGGGACTGAGGGGACAGGCAGGAGGGAAAGAAGGAGGATTTGGGACAAGTCTCATTGGGAACAGAGACTAGGGAGGGAAAAATGTGTAAAAAATGCCTGGATGTCAGGCATCTCAGATTGTTTGCCCATTTTATGACAAGAATTATCTAGATCTTGTAGGATAGAAAAATCGAAAGTTCCATTTTCTGGCTATTTGGAACCACTGTTGAGTTTGTACTGGGGTCAAGCAGTGTTGCAGAAGAAAATAAGATGCTTAGATTTTAGGTCAGGCAAGAGTTGAAGAGGTTTTAAGTTCTTGAGAACACAAGCTAAGGGAGAAGAAGGAGGAATGGAGGGTGGAAGGTTGCCCACAGTGAAGGAGGCAAGTTTAAAGAGAAGAGTAGAGACATGGAGAGAAGGGGTGGGGGGTACTTGCCCCCCTGGAAAGTGGCGAAGGGGTAGAGACACAGAGAGAAGGGGTCAGAGGGTGCTTGCCCCCCAGAAAAGTGGTGCTTGCCGCTAAGAGTGAAGGACCAAGGCAGGCGTCCCTGCGTGGTCAGACACCTCTGAAACGTGGGTGAATAATCAGGCAGGCATCCCCACGTGATTAAACACCAACAGAAGACTGTCTTCTGGAGTCCGTGACCGGCGCCGGAGTTTTGGGTCCATGGATAAAACACATTTCCTTTGTCTCTACCAGAAAAGGAAAGGAACTGAAATTAAGAGAAGGGAGAGATTGAAGTGTGGCACCAAGATTGAAAGGAGAAAGAGGTTGAGGGATAGTGAGAGAGGCTGGAGAAGAGAGTAAGGAGAGGCTGCTTACTGGATTTAAAATTGGTGAGATGTTCCTTGGGCTGGTTAGTCTGAGGACCAGAGGTCGTAGGTGGATCTTTCTCACAGAGCAAAGAGCAGGAGGACAGGGGATTGATCTCCCAAGGAAGGTCCCCCGATCCAAGTCACAGCACCAAATTTCACTCCTGTCCATGTGAAAAGACCACCAAACCTGGTGAGCAATAAAGCTTTTTAATCACCTGGGTGCAGGCGGGCTGAGTCCGAAAAGAGAGTCAGCAAAGGGAGATGGGGTGGGGCCATTTTATAACATTTGGGTAGGTAGTGGAAAATTACAGTCAAAGGGGGTTGTTCTCTGGCTGGCAGGGGTGGAGGTCACCAGGTGCTCAGTGGGGGAGCTTTTGAGCCAGGATGAGCCAGGAGAATTTCACAAGGTAATGTCATCTGTTAAGGTAGGAACGGGCCATTTTCACTTCTTTTGTCATTTTTCAGTTACTTCAGGCCATCTGGATGTATACGTGCAGGTCACAGGAGATATGATGGCTTAGCTCAGAGGCCTGACAACATCTAAGGCACCTGCTTCACAGCTCCAGGAAACCAGGAAATCTTACAGGTTTATTACTGTGGGGGATGGGTCAGGAAGCTGCCTCCTGCTCAATACTCAAAACAGACAGAAGAAAGAGTTTAGCTGCCTATGAGGAAAAAGGTCAGGGATGCAGACAGAAAAATCCCCACCCCCAAGGCCCAGGAACACAGGTCCATCTGTGACTGAGACTGAGCCAAGAGAATAGAGAACCCTTCTTCAGTCCCAGCCCCCACAACATTGACATAAGCCTTCCATCAAGTAACACGCATAAGCAACTACAGTCTGCTAATGGTAGAGGATCAAGAACATGAAGAGAGACCCCTATGTGTTTCAAGCATTCAGAGATTGCTGAAAGCTTATGGTAGAGCATGAATATTAAGAATAATTTTTCAGCATTGAAGAAAATCGACGTCTCTGCTACACTGATGGTGACTATACCAACAACAACAAAAATCAATCCTAGAAACCTACTAATTGACTCAACCCACTACATTAGTGACTGCCAGAAAAAGAATCATGTCCATTTCTGGTATAAAGAATAGTTCTTTCAGCCTCTACTATTCCCTCATAATAATTAATACTCAAACATTTTGAAACATACTGAAAATAGAGTTTACTGCCAGATAAATCAAACAATACAAAGTCTTACAAATGAGGACATATAAGATAAATCAGATAGGGTTTTTTAAATAACTATAAATAATATTTTAAAAGCTATGGTTAAAAAAATCTGGAAAATATTCATGAATAAATGGAAAATCTAGTAGAGACATGGAAATTATAAGAAATTGTCAAATAAAAATTCTAAGAAAAAAACCCCACCATATCAGAGATAACATATCCCATCAATAGAATTATCAGCTGATGGGAAACACTTAAGGAAAATCAGGAAACTTAGAAATAGGTCCATAGAAATTATCTACACTGATAATTTACTACAAAGAAAACGGATTGAGAACTGTATTAGATAACAAAACATCCATGGAAGCACAGCAAACAAAATAACATATACGTAACTGGGGTCCAAGAAAGAGAAAAGAGAAAGAATGAAGAAAAACGTATAGAGGAATAAAGGCCAACAATTTTCCAAAATTCATCAGAAACAAACACACAAGCAAAAAACAGAAATCCAAAGAGTTAAATGAAACAGCAGGTTTAGAGTCAATGAACGCTGTTAAACATCTTACAATACAGAGAACAGGTTTCTTACAACAAAATCCAAATTGTCTAACCAAAATATGTCACTGGTGCTGAGGATGACAAACTCTGCTCAAGAACTATCATTTAAAAACATTTAAAGTGATATATCTAATAAGTCAATCAAGACCCACCCAAATATATATATCATATGAAACCCAATTTAAACATCAAGTCACCGATTGGATTAAAAAAAAAAAGAGAATGGCAAAATATGTTCCATGTAAACATTAACAATTTTAAAGTGGCATGGTTATATTAATAACAAGGTAGGTTTAAAACAAAACCTATTATCAGGTATAAAGAAAGAAATTGCATGATGATATAGGGCTTAATTCATTAAAGAACACATAATGCTTCTAAATTTGTATCTACTTAAAAAACAGAGTTTTAAAATATGAGAAGCAAAAACTGACAGGACAAGATTTAAAAACAGACAAGTCAAAAATTATAGTTAGCCAAATAAACACCTCACTCATTAATTGATTAAAAAAGATGGAAAATTAGTAAAAATATAGGCAACTTTAATAATACTGTAATCAATATGACCTAATTGAAACTTGTAGAACACTTCAAACAAGAGGAGAATATACATTGTTCAAGTGCACGTGCAACATTCACCATGATAAGCAGAATTTGAGGACGTTGATAATATCAACGCATTTTAAAAAATGTAAATCAAACAATGAACCAATGGGATTAAAATGAAAATAAATAACTTCAGGTAGTTCTACTTTTAGTTTTTTGAGGACCTCCCATACTGCTCTCCCTAATGGTTGTACTAATTTACATTCTCACCAGTGGTGGATAGGGGGGTCCCACTTCTCCAGATACAGGCCAGCATTTATTTTTCTGTATTTTGGTAATAGCCATTCTAAATAGGATGAACTCATATCTCTTTGGGGTTTTGATTTGCATTTCCCTGATAATTGATGATGGTGAGCATTTTTATATATGCCTGTTGCCTATTTGTATGTCTTTTTTTGAAAAATGTCTATTTGAGTCATATATTCTGATTATTAGCCACTTGTCAGATGCATAGTTTTAAGTTGAAAATACTTTCTCTCATTCTATAGGTTGTCACTTTACCCTGTTGATTGTTTCTTTTGTTGTTCAGTAGCTTTTTATTTTGATGTAATCCCATTTGTCTATTTATCTTTAGTTGCCTATGCTTTTTTCATCCAAAAAATCCTTGCCTAGACCAACATTATAAAGTCTTTCTCCTATATTTTCTTCTAATAATTTTATAGTTTTAAGTCTTATATTTAAGTATTTAATCTACTTTGAGTCGATTTTTGTGTATGATGAGAGATAAGTGTCTAGTTTAATTCTTCTGCATGTGAATATCCAGTTTGTCCAGGACCTCTTCAAAATTATTAGTGTCATGAATGACAATGAAAGATTAAAGAAACCAAAGCTTCTACTCAACATGTATGAAATGAAATTTATTTTATCTCCTCAAACATGTTCTTCTGATTTTTAAAAATTATATATAGTAGCAATGCCATGTCCACAGTTACATAAAAGATCAATCAGAAGATGAAATTTTATTAACAACCTTATTCATTAACACTCTAAGCTTGTAAGTTATTAAATTCTGCCAATTTTAACTCTGAAATATCACGCAAATCCACACACTTTCAAAATTTTTATCAAGATATATTAATAATTCAAGTGTCATACAATTCATGCACTTAAGGTATAAAATACAAAGATTTTAAGTATGTTTACAGAGTGGTGCCACCATCATCCTAATAAATTTTAGAACATTTCATCATCTCCCTGAAATGAGTATTGATTGTTACTCACTCCCCACTCCCACCTGAGCCATCCCTTTTCTCAGGCAAATTAATCTACTTTTTGTCTCTACGGATTTGCCTCTACTGGACAGTTTATGTAAGTGGAATCATATAATATATAGTCTTTTCTGACTTGCTTCTAATCATATAATATTAGTCTTTTCTTATTTCTTCCATGTAACATTATTTTTTCAATGTTTATCCATGTTGTAGCACATATCAACACTTCCTTCATTTTTAGCTAAATGATATTCCATTCTATGGCTATGTAGACCACTTCTTGTTTACCCACTCATCAGTTGATAGATATTTGGGTTGTTTATTATACTTTTTGACTATTATGAATGATGCTTTTATAAACATTCATGTACAAGTGTTAGTGTGGACATCTGCTTTTATGTCTCTTGGATATATACCTAAGACTGAAATTACTGGGTCATACAGTAATGCCATGTTTAATGTTTTGAAGAACTGCCAACTTTTTTCCAAAGTGGCTGTATCATTTTAAATGCCTGCCAGCAATGTGTGAGGATACCAGTTTCTTCACATCTTCAGCAAAACTTATTATCTCTTTGTGATTTTAACCATCCTTGTGGGTGTAAAGTATCATTTCAGTATTGCTTCTATTTCTTTTTTTTTAATTATTATTATACTTTAAGTTTTAGGGTACATGTGCACAATGTGCAGGTTAGTTACATATGTATACATGTGCCACGCTGGTGTGCTCCACCCATTAACTCGTCATTTAGCATTAGGTATATCTCCTAATGCTATCCCTCCCCCCTCCCCCACCCCACAACAGTCCCCAGAGTGTGATGTTCCCCTTCCTGTGTCCATGTGTTCTCATTGTTCAATTCCCACCTATGAGTGAGAACATGCGGTGTTTGGTTTTTTGTCCTTGCGATAGTTTACTGAGAATGATGATTTCCAATTTCATCCATGTCCCTACAAAGGACATGAACTCATCATTTTTTATGGCTGCATAGTATTCCATGGTGTATATGTGCCACATTTTCTTAATCCAGTCTATCATTGTTGGACATTTGGATTGGTTCCAAGTCTTTGCTATTGTGAATAGTGCCACAATAAACATACCTGTGCATGTGTCTTTATAGCAGCATGATTTTATAGTTCTTTGGGTATATACCCAGTAATGGGATGGCTGGGTCAAATGGTATTTCTAGTTCTAGATCCCTGAGGAATCGCCACACTGACTTCCACAATGGTTGAACTAGTTTACAGTCCCACCAACGGTGTAAAAGTGTTCTTATTTCTCCACATCCTCTCCAGCACCTGTTGTTTCCTGACTTTTTAATAATTGCCATTCTAACTGGTGTGAGATGGTATCTCATTGTGGTTTTGATTTGCATTTCTCTGATGGCCAGTGATGGTGAGCATTTTTTCATGTGTTTTTTTGGCTACATAAATGTCTTCCTTAGAGAAGTGTCTGTTCATGTCCTTTGCCCACTTTTTGATGGGGTTGTTTGTTTTTTTCTTGTAAATTTGTTTGAGTTCATTGTAGATTCTGGATATTAGCCCTTTGTCAGATGAGTAGGTTGCGAAAATTTTCTCCCATTTTGTAGGTTGCCTGTTCACTCTGATGGTAGTTTCTTTTGCTGTGCAGAAGCTCTTTAGTTTAATTAGATCCCATATTTTGCTTCTATTTCTGTTTCTGTAATGGCTAATTGATATGGCATAGTTTTTCATGTGTTCATTAGTTATTTGCATATCTTCTTTAGATAAATATTCAGATAATTTTTCTTATTTTAATTGGGTTGTTTGTCTTTTTATTATTGCATTTGAAGTGTTCTTTTCATATTTCTGATACAAGTCTCTTAACAGATGTATAATTTGCAAATATTCTCTTTCATTCAGTGTATCGTTTTACTGTCGTTCACCACCCATTCTCTTTTATTTTCACAGTAACTATTTGAATTTGGATACTTGACTTTTTTTTATGCTTTCTGAGTTTTTCTGTAGACTTCCAAATGAACTCTTGTCTTCAAATCTACCCATTCAACCAATTCATTATGTAGCTGTCAGCTGCCCTCCAAAACCAAAATTGTGATTGCCATTTCTTGCTCATAAACCATTGGTGGCTTCTCCTTATACTTAGAATAAATCTTAACTCTCAAAGATCGCATCAATCATCTTCAACTACTGGTCGTAACCTAAGATTTTAGTATTATTTCTGATATCAATGATCTTCTGGTCCCATGAACCTTGAGTCCCCACAACCCCAGCCCAATTATTAGGTTATTTACACAATTAACTTCTATACCTCTGTGCTTTTGCTTATGTTTGAACAACTTTCTCTCCTTCCATCTCCACCACCAAATTTGTACTTATTCTTTATGCCATACTTGGGTATCTATTCCTCTGGAAAGTCTTTTCTAATCACTATGCCTGCAGCATCATCTTAGCATTTGTTTCTGTCTTTCTTATGTAAATGGCATAAGGATTATATGTTACAGCTAATGGTGTACCTGTTTCTTTCACTAGTTGTTAAGCTACTTGTTAAGAAGGACCATACACATTTGTATATGTTTCATGTCCAATATGTATTGATAACCTGTGTCAGTACATGTTTGTTTCATGAACAGTTACAAATATTAAAATTTTAAAAGAGAGCATTTAAAATGTATTACATTATGAAATAATTATTTGCATTTCAAAGTGTTTTTGTTTGTTTTGTGTTGAACTACCCGGTGGAAAATCTATCTTTTATAATAGAATTTATTTATAATCTACTTTCAGGATATATGTATAACCAGAATTGGTACATCTATGTCACTACTTCCACAAATGGTCTTCTGTAATTCCTATTATAAGTAGATCTGATTCCAAAAATAGAGTACTTTGCTTTGTTTTATTCTTCGTTTTCCTCAGCAATTTGCATCACTGGGAAATGCCACATTTTTCATCATGTACACTTTTAATCTCAGTTTATTCATCAGTAAAATAACTATTAGATCAAATTATTTCTAATATTCCATTTAATTTCTTGTATGTGTCATGTGCTGGACATTTGCATATGCTCTGTTGCAGCAGCCGCAGAGCTAGAATGTTATTTTCCCCATCTGCATGTGCCATCAGCACTTAAATTTTATCTTATTATTTAATGGGAATAGTGTTTAAATATTTCAGCTATTCCAAGATAATGGTTCCTTCCTTTCTTGGAGAACTTTACTTAATAAGATATGCATGAAGTTTCCACAACTATAAAGCTGAACCAGTGATTCATTCTTAGCTTATAACTAGTTGTTAAAATTTTGTGAATATTTTAAATGTGTTAAATTCATACTTTTTTGTTCCCCTTGAATTTCTGATATGATCTTTTCCCTTTCCTGCATTTATACAGAAAGTGAATGCTGATGAGAAAATTTTGATTTGAATCTATAAAACTATGTTTATTTCTTCTTGCTTTGCTTTATTTATTATAACCTATACCTTTTCTCATCATATATTTCAATTTCTCATATCTCCTATCCACATGAACGTAATTTGTTCTAGTTGATTTGTGAAGCTAGAATATTTTATTTCTATGCCTCAATATTTTGAAGAATCTTTTTTATCTTCCTTTTCATCATTATTATAATCATCACCATTATATCAATAATAATAATATAAATTATATATCATTTTTGAGTATCTTTATTGTGTCAGGAATAATTCAAGTTCGTTTTGCAATGTTTCTCTGGCTAACCACAAAAAGGCATGATGGGGTGTATATTAACTTCAACTTATAGGTAAGAAAATTGAGATTGAGAAAGATTAAGTAGCTTATTCAAGGTTTATTGAAAGTAAATGGAGAAACTTTGATTTGAGGCAAGGAAAGTCTGACATTAAACCATGTTTCATAAGCTCATACTCCCACTGAAATAGTTACAGCTTTTTAAATCTCAGGCATATTGATAATTTCCAGGTAAATGTTTTTTTAATATACTTATACAGGTCTTTAGAAGGCTGCATCTAAAATTATGATATTGAAATGTAAGGAACAAAACATTTATTAGGCAAGTGCTATGCCTTATGTGTTTCTGAAAAATTCATGTGCTTGCTGGAAACTTAATCCTTCTGCCCTCATAAACAGATTAATAGATTAATGAGGTCTCTGCCCTCATGAAAGGATTAATGTCACTGCCATGGGAATGGTTTTGTTATACAAGCAAGCTCTCTGAGGCTTACTTGCTCTATCTTACCATGTGATGCCTCTCACTATGTCATGATGCACCAGATGCCAGTACCATGCTTTTGAACCTCCCAACCTCTAGAGCCATGAGCTACTTATAGCAACAGAAAATGAACTAGGATAGCTAGATAGATATAAACCTGGGTTTCAGTTTCATGACAGCACTATCTAGCCTCACGCTTTTCATCATTCAGTGAACCTCTCTCTGGCATGGTTTTTATCTCTGTCAAAGGAGAAAACATTGTTACTCTGCATGGGTCTTGTTAAGATGATACCTGATATTATTATTTAAATAAGTGGTCAGACCACACCTTAATCTTAGAAAGCACTGAAGAAGGTACAGAAATATGTGGACTTAAAAAAAAGTATTTAGGTTTTAAAACAGGCCCAAGCTAAAATATTTTTATAAATTACTTATTTACTTCAAAGTTCAACCATTCTTTTATAAAATTATTTATTAAATAATATTAATATATTATATAAATAATATTAATATATTCTGAAAAGTCAATTAGGAGATTTCTGGTCTGCAAAAGATGATGCAGACTTGTTTTTCCCTAAATCTTCCCACTAAGGACAACTATACACTCTGGAAATGGTGCAAGACATAAGCAAAGGCGAACTCTGAAAGGTAATAAGAAAACATACAACAGCTTTAAGAAGCTAGTACTGAAGAGACAGCACAGTGGTGGCAGGGCATCTTGTGTCCCCCTACCCAACAGAGAAAGATCACCCAGACCCAGCATTTCCTGAGCCCTAACATAGCAACAGAAGACAGGCAAATAGACATTCCTTTCCAAATAGGAATGCCTCTGACAATATTAGGGGAGACCAACACCACCAGAAAGGGGCATTATTTGGGAGCCCTGCCAGAAATGAGCAGCCAGGGGAGATACTCTTCTTGACAACCAGGCCTGAAGCTCTCCTTATCCACTGAAAGATACAAAAGCAGGTAAGTAGAGCTAGTAGAGGAGACAAGATATAACAGGTGGCCTGGCGAAGGAAAGCTCCTAGTCCCAATGGATCTAGACTCTTCTACCCTGCCTAGAGACACCAGAGTGTGCAGGTAAAACCTGTAAAAGGGACTCAGTCATCACAAGTAACCTTGTCTGGGAAGCTTTTTGTCTCAGAAGGACCCAGATTCTCATTTCCTTCCAAGATACACGCTGTTGAACAAATTGACAAGGCACCCAGTTACAGCAAGGGCCTAAATCTGACAAGTGTCTGTGTCCCTGAAGCCCCAAGAATTTCCTATCTGACCCAGAAACACTACAAGAGTGGGTGCACTGGTAGGAAAATCACACTATACTTTTCCCCAGGCTGAGATATGCCTGACAGCCAGACAAAAGGAAATGCCTTCACACCCATGGCAGCACCACAGGGAATAGTGAGAGCTACTAGAGGACTAGATAAACCAGGAAGATTAATAGAACACCACAAAGCCTCTCATAATTAAACCACATTGGAACCACAGCCCACAAATGTGGGTCAAGTCCCACACATTCTATCTAAACATAGTGACTGCCTGCTAAGATTTTTTAAAAACAAATAAAAATGACACAGATTCTTCTAACATAATTGATTAAATGTCCAGGTACAATAGAAAAAAAAATCACTCATAATACAAGGAATAAAAAAAAATACAACTTGAATAAGAGAAAACAACCAACTGATGCCCAAATCAAAATGAATCATATGTTGGAATTATCTGATAAGAATTTTAAAGCAGCTATCATAAATGTGCTTGAACTATCAATCACGAAACAAATTTAAACATAGAAAATCTCAGCAAAGAAATAAAAGTTATAAAAATGAACCCAATTGAAATTATGAAATTGAAAAATACAATAAGATGGAAAAAAACTACTTGAATGGGCTTAATTGTAATATGGAGATGGCAGATAATAGAATCAGTGAAATTAAGACAGAAAAAATAGAATTGATGTAATCTTTACAAGACAGAGAAAATGGGCAGAAATAAAAAACTGAACAGATCTTTAGGGACCTGTGAGATGTAACAAAGACCCAACATTTATATCATTGAGAAAAAAAAATGGGACTAAAAGAGTGTTTGAAGAAATAATGGCTGAGACTTCCTAAATTTGGCAAAAGACGCAAACCCACAGCTAGGACGCTGAGCCAACCCTGTACAGGTAAACCGGTAAACCCCAAAAAAATCCATGCTAAGACATAATATAATCAAATATTTGAAAAGTAAAAAAAGAAGAAAAAGTATTGAAAGTAGCCAAGATAAATTGTATATTATCTACAGAAAAACAGCAATTTGAATTATAGTAGATTTCTTATCTGAAACTGTGGAGGCCACGGGAGAGTATCACAATATTTTTCAAGCAATAAAAGAAGAGAGCTATAATAATTAATTTCATAATATTAATTAATAATATTAAGTATACATTAATTAATAAATATAATTAATAATTAATAACATTCCTTTCAAGAATAAAAAGGAAATTAAAACATTTCAAGCAAACTAAAACTAAAATAATTTGTCACTAGCAGACTCCCCTTCAAGGCTGGCTAAAGGGATCTTCAAATAGAAAGGAAATGATAAAAGAAGGAATCATAGAACATCATGAAGAAGGAAGAGTAAAAAGAGAAGAACTAGGGTTACATATAATAGACTGTTTTTTTCTCATGAGTTTAATAAATTATATTTGATGATTAAAACAAAAATTATAACACCATCTGATACTCAAGACAAATATATAGAAGCGGGATCTAAATGAAAATGAGATTTCCATACTGCACGTCAAATGGTGGAATGTTCATGCCAGTAGGCTGCATGTCACACATGTTTATTTTAATACTCATCCTGACCACTACAAAAATTATAACCAGAGATATACCCAAAACTACTTTAAATAAATCAAGATGGGCCAGGCGCGTTGGCTCACGCCTGTAATCCCAGCACTTTGGGAGTCCGAGGCGGGCAGATCACGAGTTCAGGAGATCCAGACCATCTTGGCTAACACGGTGAAACCCCGTCTCTACTAAAAATACAAAAAATTAGCCGGGCGTGGAGGCGGGTGCCTGTAGTCCCAGCTACTCGGGAGGCTGAGGCAGGAGAATAGCGTGAACCCGGGAAGCGGAGCTTGCAGTGAGCCGTGATCGCGCCACTGCCCTCCAGCCTGGGCGACAGAGCAAGACTCCATCTCAAAATAAAAATAAAATAAAATAAAATAAAATAAAATACAAATCAAGATGAAATGTTTTTAAAAATGCTCTTACTAATATACAGTAAGGCAAGAAAAGAGAAACCGCGGAATGAGAACCAGAAGGAATAAAAAACAAAACAAAAAAATGACAGACTTAAACTTTAACATACTAATAATTAACTTAAATATTGATGCTCCGAATACAACAATCAAAAGACAGAGACTGAATGAGTGGGGACAAAAAATAATCTGAACAGTATACTGTGTGCAGCAAAGAATTAACACAGTAAGCCTGAGGTTGCAATCATTAGAAAGACCAGCTTGTAAGACTGGTCCTTGACTGTTCTCTGGGAACTTGGATTTTGGTAGAATTCCCACCCAAATCTGATAAGGTTTTCACTGTGACTAAATGGTACAAATAATATGGTTTATGTTGAACTTTTCTTCTGGGAGTCTGGAATTTTGGTACACCCTAAACAGAAGATGCCTATGTGATCGGTTCCAAAAAAAAACAAAAAACAAAAAACCCTCTGGACACTGACGGTTGTTAAAAAGCATTTTTAGTAAAAACAAACAAACAAAAACAAAAAACATTTCACACATGTTGTCACACTTAGCTTGAGGAATTCAGCACTTCTATGTGACTCGACTAGGAGAGGACTCATCCAAGAGCTTTCACCTCTTTTCCTCTGGATTAAACTGCAAGTACCTTGTCCTTTGCTGGCTAAATCTCTTGCTATAATCAATTATAACCATCAGTTTGACTATGTGCTGAATCCTGCAAATCCTGTTCAGAAAACATACCCAGGAGTGGTGTTCGGAACCTATGATACATCCTGTTGTTTATGACAGACTCACTTTAAATTCAACAACACAGGCAATTGATGAGTAAAAAATATAAATATATATTTTATTTAAATATAAAATGATATACCATGCAAACATTAATGGAAAATAGCAGGAGTTGCTATATTAAAATCTGATAAAATAGATCCCTTAGCAAAGAAAATTGATAGAGACAAAGAGGGACATTATATAATAATAAAAGGATCAACCCACCAGGAAGATAAAATTATCCTGAATATGGACACACCAAAAAAAACAGAAACTTATCCACATAAAACCAAACCTGATAGAGCTGAAAGTAGAAATAGACAAATCCATAATTATAGTTGGGAAATGTAACACCTCCTTCTTCACAGCAATGAATGCAACTTCTAGGCAGAAAACTATTAAATATATAGGAGATATGAACAAGGCAATCAATCAACAGGACTTAACTGACATATACAGAACACTCCTCCTAACAGCAGCAGAATGCATTTTTTTTAAGTATCCATAGAACATTTATCAGGATAGATGATATTTTGGCCAATAAAATATATCTCAAGTTTTTTTTTTGAAAAATTTAAAGCAGCTATCATAAATATGCTTGAACTATCAGTTATAAAATAAATTTATCATACAGAGTATATTCTCTGACTATACTGAATCAAAGTAGAAGTCAATAAGAGAACCACAACAGGAAAATCTCTGAACACATAGAAACTAAGAAACATACTTCTAAATAATCTGACTCAAAGAAAAAAGCTCGAAGAAAATCTTAAAAATATATAGAACTGAATTTTGAGAACCCACTAAACACATCAAATTTGTGAGATGCAGCTAAAGCAGTAGTGAGAGGGAAATTTGTGGCTGTAAACACTCATATTAGAAAGTCAAAAACATGTCCAACAATAACTTATGCGTTTACTTCAGAAACTTAAAAAAAAAAGAAGAAAGCAACATAAATCCAAAGCAAGCAGAAGAATAAAATAAAAATAAAGCAGAAATCAATAAATTAAAAATAAGAAAGTCATAGAGAAAATCAATGAAATAAGCAGGTTTTTTAAAAAGTTAATAAAATTGTTAATTTCTGTGAATTACTGATAACTAAAATGAGATGATACAAATAATCAACATCAGAAATGAAACAGATTATCAGTACAGATTCTATAATCATCAAAAATATAATAAAATACTACAGATAAATGGATACTTATAACTACTACAAATTAAATAAATGGACCAATTCTTCAAATACCACAAACTACCAAAACTCAGTCAAGATAAAACAGATAATGTAAGTAGTCCAATAATTATCAAAATAAAAATTGACACATTTAACAGCGTAGGGGAGATTAGTGGTTGTCAGGGGGTAGAGATGGATGTGGAATAAAAAAGAACAGTGGGGTTAGTTACAAAAAGGCATATGAGAGAACCTTGTGGTGCTGGAATTCTTCATTATTTTGACTGTAGTTGTAAGTACATGAACGTATATAGGTAATAAAATTATACAGGACTTAATGTGCACACACACACACAGACACACACACACACAAGGGTAAAATAACCGAGGAAATCTTAATAAGATTGTTGGATTGTAGCAGCATCAATACCCTGGTTGTGATATCTTTCTATATTTTACAAAACCTTACGAGTCAAAAGTGTTCAAGAGAACTCACTGTATTCTTTCTTGTAACTGCATGCAGATCTACAATTATCTCAATAAAAACAATTTAATTGAAGCTAGAAAACAAAAATCAATTAGTCCAGAAAGCTTACAGTAAAATATATGCTGGGTTGAAAGTCATTGTTCACTTAATGCCAAGGAGATATGGCTCCATTATCTTGTAGGAAGAATAATGTTAAGCTGTTTCTTATTCTATTGTAGGTGAGTTTGAGTTTTTGTGTTTGTGGAGAATTTTAAGATTTCCTCTTTATTCTTGGTGATTTGTAATTTCACCTCAATGTGTCTATGTGTTGATAATTTTCCATTCACTGTGTTTACGATTCAGGCTTTTTTAATGTGAAGGCCTTTAACTCAGAGAAATTTTCATGTAGTTTTATTATTATTCATAACTTTCTCTGAACTTTCTCATTGTTAGCCGATCCTTATTCATCTTTTATCTTTTCTCTCATATATTTACTTCTTTGTACTTTTGTTTTATATTCAGGGAGATTTCTTCAAACTTATCTTTTAATTATTTTGAATTTTGTTTTTAGTGCAGAAAATCCTGGATACTTCGTTATTATTTGGTTTTCTTTGCTTTTTTTTTGAGACAGAGCTTCGCTTTGTCACCCAAGCTGGAGTGCAGTGGGATACTCTCAGCTCACTGCAACCTCTGCCTCCCAGGGTCAAGCGAGTCTCCTGCCTCAGCCTCCCGAGTAGCTGGGATTACAGGCATGCACCACCATGCCAGGCTCATTTTTGTGTTTTTAGTAGAGACTGTGTTTCACCATGTTCACCAGGCTGGGGGCCTCGAATTTCTGAACTTAAGCAATCCACCCACCTCGGTCCCCAAAAATGCCGGGATTACAGTTGTGAGCCACCGCGCCTAGCCTTCTTTGCATCTTTTTAAATGGATAAAAGACTTAGCCCTGCGCAGGAGATAATAATTAGAATATTGGTTTTGTGTTAGTATCATTTATTTTACTCTGTTTTCTTAGAAGTTGTTGTTCTTTGTTTATCTCGGTTTTCCCGTTCATGTTAGTCTTGCGTGGTGGCACATGGTTAAAGATTTGCATTTGCTAATAAGATGAAGGTTGACTTATAGCTGCGTAAACCTGTGTGAGCTTTTCACCTGGAGGACATACCTTCTGAGTAAGGTCCAGGCACATGATCATTTTTCAGGGGAACTCTTAATTACAAGAATGGGAATAGGGATATTAATTCCTACTATTTCTGCCAAAGTCATCCTACTATGTTGTTTTAAAGTAAAGAAACCTACTTCTAGATGGTCCCATTTGTGGGATGGAATCGTGGGTAGGCATGGGCAATCACTGCTGTGCCCCTGTCTTCTGTGCAGCCTCGCAGACAGTTTAGCTACCTCATCAGTTCCACCACCCACTGCTTGTCAGCAAGACTGCGGCTTTCACCTGTCATCACTCAACACTGTCTACTGCTTTTCATCTTCCAGAAACTTGCCAATATTTTTTATTTTTTCATGACTGCCATTAGTTTTCTTTATTGTTCTGAAATATGATATTAAATTTATTGCTTTACTATTATTTTAATGATATGTCAAGAGAAAGAGGAAATATGTATTTGTGTTAAGTCTGCAATTTTCAAACATGTCACCATTAAAATATTCTCATCATAAAAATATAACTGTTGTCAATTTTACTGGTTGTAATTTAAAAATCAATAAATATTACTCTTTTCCCAGGAATGTAATTGAAAACTAAAGCCATAATTATACTTGCCTAACAAGCAATTGAAGCATGGTTTTCTTTCACCTTACTCAAACTCATGTTTCATGTGATTTTAGTTACCAACCTTTCATCATTAAAAATCACTAAGTTCAATTTTTAACAAAATATGTTTAATTCCTTACTTACCATGTCTAGTAAGGAATTAAACATATTTTATTAAAATATGCTTAGTATAATATTATAGTAGGTATAATTTTTTGTCTATAGAGAAGTGTTTTTTCATATTATTTGTGATTGAGTCAATGGTAGGCACACAATACTCAATCAATTAATATTTGTTTGTTCCTGGATGGCCCTAAGTGTAATTTTAATGTGCAACGATGGGCAATTTTATGTTTTGTGAATGTCAGTCGGCTTTCTAATATCACTCTGCTCATCCAAAAATCAATCTCCCTTCCAACCTTGTCATAGGTTTCACTGACGGTAAAATCACTCATTTCAGTGGAGCAGAAAAGTAAAAGCAGAATCATTGTTTGGAACTACTGAGATATTGCACATGTATTTCATTTGTTCAAAAACCAAAACATCCAAGTCATCTTAACCATGCCAATAATAGCGAAATATCTTCTGAGCTCTTCAATCTTTGAACAGCTAAAAACCTTAAACTCTATATGTATCTTTTTCTGCCTGGCATCCTATTTTTCGGTGAGGCCATTTTGTGTAATTCTGTGCTCTTGATTAGAAGTCGAACAAAGGCAATAATGAAAATACATAACCAAAGAAAACACTTAAAACACAGGAGCAAAAGCAATCATGGCCCATCCTGATTTAACCACTTTCTGTGGAGGTTTATGTTCAAGTACTGTCTTAGTTTGTTTTGTGCTGCTATAACAGAGTGGCAATTTATTAAAAAATAGCCGTGTATGTCTTACAGTTGTGAAAGCTGGGAAGTCGAGCGTCAAGGAGCCTGCGTCTAGCGATGTCCTTCTTTGTATGTCATCCTATGGCAGAAGGCAGAAGGGCAAGAAAGCATGAAAGAGCCAGTGGGGGACACAACTAGCTTTTGTAATGAACCCATTCCCGTGATAACTGACATTCATTCGTCTATTCATGAGGACAGGGTACTCATGAACTAACAGTCCCTTCTCTCAACACTGTTGCCTTGGGGATTAAATTTTCAACATGTAATCATGAGGGGACACATTCAAATCATAGTGAGTACATCGTTTTTTAATCATTTGAAGAACTACTATTAATTTAATTAGCAGTGAAGGGAGAAGGGAACAGAAAACTTTGCCTTAAGGAAGCTTGACTTTGAATAACGAAACAGACTAAACATCGACTTTGTGGCTTTTTCTTGTTTTTCTACACAGTTACCAAAAAAAAAATAAAATTAAATTTAAAAAAAGATAAGGCCTCTGGTGGGTGGTGGGGGGCGGGGAGGGAGGTTGGGGGGTTAAGCCAAGCGGGAAATTAAATCTTATAGGTATAAAATTACTGTAAAGGTCTAATTCTCTCAAAGTAGTACTTAAACCAGGGAAAGGATTACTTACTCCCCAAGCAGAGGTAGATAGACATAGAGAGAGATTGATAATATGGTAGATAAATGAAAGTTAAGCTTCTATGGAAGTTTCCTGTGACATAGCTTTGGATTTTTACACATGCAAATATTTTACATAACCACTAAATAATTTCAATCAAAATGGAATTGTAAATCCATAAAATTCAGGAGTTAAACACACACAAATTAGTACAAGTAAAACAAGAGAATTATTAAAAATATATAGGATATATCAAAGCCAATATTATTATTATGTATTTGTATTTTTAAAGGTTCAAAATATGACCATAAAAGAAAACTGAGGTGTATAGACAAGGCACTTTTTGTACTGTTACTTACAACAGCTTGTGAAAATATAATCACTTCAAAAATACTTCCAAGCAAATAACCTGGGATATGTAAAGCAAAAATAAAATATTGTAAAACCTTGTCCATAATCATATTCTGGTAAACACTTGGTACTGCTGTGTTGAAATAAATAAACAAGCCTGCAAAGTAGTTGATGACAAGGCTTTCAGGGTAAAGCAAAGCAAGTACAAATAGTAATTCAAACAATTCAAATATACTCTAAACCATATAATTTTTTTTTTTGGAGACGGAGTCTCGGTCTGTCACCCAGGCTGGAGTGCAGTGGCGCGATCTCGGCTCACTGCAAGCTCCGCCTCCCAGGTTCACGCCATTCTCCTGCCTCAGCATCTCCGAGTAGCTGGGACTGCAGGCGCCCGCCACCACGCCCGGCTAATTTTTTGTATTTTTAGTAGGATGGGGTTTCACCTTGGTCTCGATCTCCTGACCTCGTGATCCACCCGCCTCGGCCTCCCAAAGTGCTGGGATTACAAGCGTGAGCCACCACGCCCGGCCAAAACCATATAATTTTTTAAACATTAACATTAACTCATGTTACATTTTATTGTAAACATATATTTTATATTATTTTTATTTGAAAATATGTAGAATGTGTGAGTTTACTCCATAGTAATAACCATGATCACTTTGAGTACTCACATTGTTATCTAAATGCCATTTCTCATTATAAAAGTAAAGGATACTGAAAATAAATGCTGATTGCAGAAACCCCTAAAATATCCTTAAAACTTGTTAGATATAAATTTTAACATGTTCTAGAAATCTTGGTTTTATTTCTAGGGAAATATAATTCAATAAGAAGGAAATTCCATTGCACAATATACATATAAATCAATCATCAGAAAATAGTAACTGAAAAGTTTTCAAGCTCAACACATACGTTAAAAATAAGTGTTATTAAAACATATTAATAACATTTTGGCTTTTGTGTGTGTGTTAATAAATATTAAACTTTACAATGGTTAAAAAAAGCCTTCTCATGGCGTGAAGTATAGAAAAATCTAATTAGCTAATACATTTTATTTCTCTTGCCTGTAGACCTTACACTATGGAGAAGGAAGAAGGGTAGGGTAGAAAAAAGATCAAGGTTTTTCTAACATTTTTCGGGATTATTTTTATTTATCAACTAAACTGAATAAGCATAACTTTTTTGGTATTACTTCCATTGTTACATCTAGAAATATTATTTCTCGCTCAGGTAATAATTTAGGTAGAGCTTTTTTTTTTTTTTTTTTTTGAGACGGAGTCTCACTCTGTCACCCAGGCTGGAGTGCAATGGCACGATCATGGCTCACAGCAACCTCTGCCTCCCGGGTTCAAGCAATTCTCCTGCCTCAGCCTCCTGAGTAGCCGGGACTACAGGCACCTGCCACCACGTCCAGCTAATTTTTGTATTTTTAGTAGAGACGGAGTTTCACTGTATTGGCCAGGATGGTCTCGAACTCCTGACCTCGTGATCTGCCCGCCTAGGCCTCCCAAAGTGCTGGGATTGCAGGCGTGAGCCACTGTACCTGGCCGAACTCCTGATTTTAATCAGGAGACCAATTGCTGTAATAAACAATTCTAAAATATCAGAAGATTAACATAATAAAAATTTATTTCTGGCTTCCATCACAGTCCACAGTAGGGGATGCTGCTCCACACTGCAATTTAGGGGATCAATTTTTGTTTTCCCAATATAGTGGGCCCAGCATTTCCTGGGAACTCTGCATTCTTACTGGATCCTCTAATTCCTGTTGGCAAATGAAGGAGAGATAAAGTGGAGAATAGGGACATTTTTGTTTTCATCATATTTTATTATTTTATATTAGGGCCCGTCCCTCAAACTATGTCACTGGGTAGATCTCAATCCTAGTGTCTCAACAGGACAACAGACATAATTTGGGGGCCCAGTGCAAAACAAAAATATGGAACTCCTTGTTCAGGCATTATTAAGAATTTCAGGACAATGTGGCAACTTAGCTTTAAACTAAGCAAGCGCAGGGCCCTTCTAAGGGATGCAGTTCATACACCGGAAATGTGGTCTAGCTGTGTATGAAGCAAGAAAAGTCAGTGGTGTTTGCTAAGTGTATTGCCAATAACAAATGATCACAAACTCAGTAGCTTAAATCATACAGATTTATTATTTTACAGTTCTGGAGGGCAGTAGTCTAAAATAGGTCTCAAATCGAGCTGTTAGCAGAGCTGTGCTGCTATCTGGAGGTTCTAGAGGAAAATCCATTTGCTTACCTTCTCCAGCTTCTAGAGGCCACATTTGTTGAGTCGTAGTCCCTTCCTTCATCTTCAAAGGCAGGAACTTTTCATCTCTGATATTTCTTCCCTAATAATGTCCCTTTCCAGCCTTATTTGAGAACTATTTTAAGTACTCGTGTGATTATATTTGGGCCACCTGGATAATCCAGGCTACTATCCTCATCTCAAGGATACTAATCACGTTTGCAAAATCCCTTTTGCCACAGGAGGTAACATACTCACAGGTTCTGGGGATTCGGATGTGAGTATCTTGAGGAGGCATTATTCTGCCTACCACAGTGAGCACATAGCATTGTTTCCACTACACCCTCGTGTTTCATGAGATTTCATATAAAGTATTTCTTTCATGACTTCTACCCAAAGAGGTTTACTTGCTAAAAGTAATTAGTCCTCCTTAAAACAGAGTCACATCATGGCAATCATGGGCTCCCATATGGAGATTACAAAGAAGCTCTGGTGCTGTCTTCCCTTTATACATTCTCCCTAAAAAATTTTCCTTTTCAAGAGTAAATGACTGCTATTCTTAAAGAATGTCTATGAAATCTCCCAGGCCTAGATCTCCTTTTCTACCTTTGTTATGACTAATCTATTTCTAAAAGGAAGACAGCAATTTGAATTGCATGAGAAATAAATTACTGAAGTTGAATTGGTGTGAGGAAAAAAGGAAAAACAAAAATTGTATCTGTATATATACCAAGTCAGAGTAAAATCTAGTACATTTAAGCTAGTTCTCTTAAAATCATCTTTTCGTAATGTTAAAGGCAATTGTTTTTAATTCTGATGAAATATAGCCTGCCAAGTCATGCCATTTTTTTAAGCAATTTCACTTGCTGCCCCTAAAAGCAAAAAAAAAAAAAAAAAAAAATTAAAATTAAAATAAATTTAAAAATTAAAAATTAAAAAAAATAACTTTTTTCTTATTTTTTAATTAGTAGCAGCAAAATTGTTTATGAGATGTTTAGAGGCATGTTCACACAATGTGGTGGGGTGCAATGAGGGAACATCACATTTCATTCCTCAGGCAACTTTGCTTTAGTTCAATTATTTCGGAAAGAATGAAAGTCCTGCTTGGATGCCCTCTGCTTCAATTCCACTATGCATCATTTTGTGGGCTTTTATTAATAGAAGAATTTGGAGAAAGGATGAGAATTCACATTTTAAAAAGAGGGAAGATGAAAGGATCAATTCTAGACATTTCATTTTCCCTCCTCTCAACAGCTGTGTGGGGGGAATAATGACAGACACTCCGTGAGACAAACTCTCATCAGGTGTGGCATCTGGTAATAGTTAAAGCCCACCTGAGGAGAAAGAAGAAAGATGTCCCCCAGGTGCAGATAATCTTTTAGATTATGCTTAACAAGAAATTTTAATAGCGTCAGACCAAAAAGAGTAGAATTTTTATTTATATACTTGTATATTAGAATAAAAGTCTCTTATGTATATGTATATAATCAACTCTCACTGGGTTATGAAATTATTATTAAATAACCCTAACATCTTAGTAGCATACAATAACTATAGTTTAGCTCTTGCTTGTATTCTTGGCTGTGATGAGCTTTGCCTCTGCTCTACATGTTGTCACCTGCCAGAACACAGGCTGAAAAAAGAGGAGTCACGTTGGAAACATGTTATTCTTATAGCAAAGGGAAAAGAGCAGGGCAGCTGGTGGAAACAGTCAACAGTACATAAAGCTTCCTCTAGGAATGGACTCGCACTACTTCTGGTTCATTATTACTGGCAGAAGTCAGTCCCATGGCCAACCCTGACATTGAGGAGAGAAAGTATATTTCACTTACAGGATGACAATGCAAGTCACACGGCAATATGCCAAGCTATGCAAACCTCTTAATTGAAACTGGAAGAGAGGGGCAAATGATTGGGAACTATAACACAATTAATGTACCTTGTTGACACATTTCCTAGCAGGGAGGGAAACCCCTTATTTTTCTAAAACCATGGAGGCCTTTGAAGCACATTTCTTATGCTGTAAAAGTTACAGAAAATAGAGTAGAGACATGTTGATACTATAATGTTTTAGGTACTTAGAAATTTAAAGAGTGTAACAATTCAGAGAAAGCCAGAGTAATCATTGTAATACAGATGGTACAATGTACTGACTTAAGATGGTTCAAGTTTTTCTACTTTAAGATGATACAAAAACATTCAGTAGAAACCATAGTTGGAATTTTGACTTTTGATCTTTTCCCAGGCTAGTGATATGCAGGGTGATACTTTCTCATGATGCTGGGCATCAGCAGTAAGCCGCAGCTCCCAGTCTGCCACATGATCATGACAGCAAACAACCAATACTCTACACTGTACTGTGTTGCCAGGTAATTTTGCCCAACTGCAGGCCAATGTAAGTGTTCCAGGCATGTTTAAGGTAGGCTAAGCTATGATGTTTGTTAGGTTAGGTGTATTAGATGCATTTTCAATTTGTCGCTTTTTTTTTTTTTTTTTCTGAGACAGAGTTTCACTCTTGTCGCCCAGGCTGGAGTGCAATGGCATGATCTCAGCTCACTGCAACCTCCGCCTGCCAGGTTCAAGCAATTCTGCCTCAGCCTCCCAAGTAGCTGGGATTGCAGGTGCCTGCCACCATGTTTAGCTCATTTTTGGATTTTTATTAGAGACGTTGTTTCACCATGTTGACCAGGCTGATCTCAAACTCCTGACCTCAGGTGATCCACCCACCTCGGCCTCCCACAGTGCTGAGATTATAGGCGAGAGCCACCATGCCCCACCCGACATTTTCAACTTGATATTTTCAATTTATTGATAGGTTTTTCGGGATGTAACTCCATCATAAATCTAGAAGCATCTATTATATTTATGCTAAAGGAGAAAAATACTTTAAACAGAGAATAGTAGTTTCTTCCCTGAAGTCTATTCTGTTTTTTAATAGAAATAAATCACTATTTTATTACATATGACTAAGTGCCCAACTAAATGACTACATTTCTCAGGCTCTCTTATAGCTAACATGGCCAATTAGACATAAGTGAGAGCAGGTGGATGGCACTTCGGAAAAAAAACTAGGAGTGGACAGGGTGACAGTGTGCACCTTCACCACTATCCCTTTCCATTTCTTTCTTCTTTCTGCTTAGGAATTAGACCCAATGAATGAAGAGCTGCAGTTTTTTGGATCTTGATCTTGAAGGTGGAAGCTGAGTGCTAAGAATGTTGGAGCTGAATATTAAAGGTATTTTGCATCCTTGCTGGAAATATGTAGTCTCCTGTCAGTCCTAGATGACTTATATCTGGACTTCTTTCATGAGAGGGCAATATAAACTTCAATCTTGTTCGACTCATTATTTTCTATTTCTCTTACTAGCAGCTGTACAAAATTAGTATACGGTACAAGGCTTAACAAAGGGATATTGAGTAAAAATTGAGAACAGCCTATTGTAGCTCTGACAACAGAGGACTGTGTGAAGTGTTAAGTGGGAAATAAGATGATGGGGAACAAGATGCCAAAGAGAAGAACAGAGAAAGTTTATGATGGCCAAGACCAAGAAGAAGGCTGAAACAGCCAAATGTGTAAAACTAAAGAAATAGTGATGTCTAAATTAAGACTGATTGTACAAAACTTAAACAGTTAGCTCCAATAATATCTATTTGTTAACATAGCTATAGATCTAAATATAGATATATATATTTCTCTGAATATATACACATCACGAATTCACGTCAGAGAAATAAATAAAAATCTCAGATTTTTGTGTATTAATAATGTCGAATAAAATAGATCCCTCAATCATACTTAAACCAGGATGTCATAGAACCTTGAGTCCTTAATTAAGTAGATGGACATAAGGTATACTATGTCTCATGGACCATTTGGGGTGCCATTTTCAGCTACTTGCTTTGCTTCTCCAGACATCTCAGCAATAGCTACTCCCAACCAATGGGAACTATTCAAAATGATTCTATTGAAAATGAAGATTAGGGATTGTGAAGACCTAAGTGCTACAGTGTTTTTTGTTTTGTTTTATTTTTTAATGTACCATTTGAACTATTTTTCCTGTTATTCAGTATTAAATGTATGGCCAGAAAAGGAAAAAAAAATGGGGCTTCTTAAAACTGTGGAATCTCTGTCCCTTAACAGGGGTCCTTTCCAAGCACTGGGCTAAGCAGGCGTACCTCACGATGGCCTTAATTCCCATGATGGGTATCCATGCCCTGACTTTGTCCTTTCTCAGGTATTCATCACCACTTGACAATAACTGATCTAAGAGGCTTTGCAATTGCTGGAAGTTTTACTTTTGAAGGCTGTCCTAAAACTGTCAATAAAATGACATTGCCACCAGCCTTCAGAAGACATCCTCCCCATCTCTGAAGCAGATATCATCACTTCCCACATGGCAAGTTGATGGAATTCATTCAAGACCTCTGAGGTCTTCCTATCACTTGGGAATTTAAAAAGAATGATCTCTCATTTTATCACTTCTCTAAGACTGGACATACATAGATAAGTCTGATGGTATGCCAACATCTTTTCTCCTTGTGTTCTTCACAGGTATTCCAAAACTACTTGGGTTTCTCTTCACTAGAGATAACAGGTTAAATCATTTTCACAGCCTTTGAGTAGGAAAGGCCAATGCAGAACTGCATGCTTTCATATATGCCCCAAACATAGCTTTCTCCTGCCCATACACACTTCAGCTTATCTTAAGAGGACAATTTCTTGAAAAATCCCTTAATAAAAGAGCATTGAAATGTTATTCATTCATTCAATTTTTTTTTGGCATTCTTACAATATATAAAGTACTGGGTTACATTTTGGGGAATGCCTCTGCCCAAAAGGTTGTCTCAGCCTCTATGACACAGCCTAGAAAGAAAAGCAGCAAATACATTTAAAATTGCAAATATAAATATGCAATTACCTATCAGTCATAAAAGAAGTGCAAGGGGCTATAAAAAATTAAAACTGGGGAAGTAATTTAGATCAGAATATCAAGAATGGACTCTATGGTCACAATTTTGATATGAAACCTTCAGGGTAAACCCTGAATTGTCCCAGTACTGTGCATTAGGAACAGACACTACTGATAAGGAAATATCTGATCCCTAGTCTTTCTATAAATTTTGGCCTGAACAACAATAGGCTCATATATATCTCATATCACTTATGCTGGAGAACAAGTATTATACATATAATTTAATATGGTTGAGAAAAAGGCAAAAACGAATATTCTTCAATGATTATGTGAAGAAATATTACTAAGATCTGGGGATGGTCTGCTGTAGGGCAGGTATAAACAGCACACATAAACTAATAGGTACTAGACAACCAAACAACTGTACAATTACAAGACATTTTAATTAATTATAATAGTAGGCAGAGGGGATTCATGGTAAATCCCTGTTGTAGTTTCTAGAGTTGGACAAACATTTCAAAATTCTGAGAAAGACTTGAAAGTTTTTGACTGGTTGAAGAAAAGATAGTATTGTTGGAATAAGTAGGTTAGAACATGAAGAACGGGGACAAGGAGGAGGAAGAGAAGAAGAGAAAAAGGAGGAAGAAGTGAGGAAGAGGAGGAATTGGGGGAGGAGGGAGATGAGATGGAAGAGGTGGAGGAGATGGAGGAGGTGAAGGAGTAGGAGGAGGGTTTGTAAAGCTGCATTTTAAGCAGAGGGAGTGAACTGAACGATAAAGGTGAGCAAGTGACAGATGCTGAAGACCACAGAGTAATAAAGAGGCTTGACATTAGCCACTGGCTAGAATGCTACAGACCAGCTAGTTTGGGCCATGTTCAGTCAATTTCTACTGACTGAACATTTCAAAGAGGAAGCAGAGCTAATACTAGATTAAAGTACTAGGTTTGTCTATCAGTGCTTGAATAGCACTGATAGTCTAATTATATGGAGGTGTTAGGTAGCCTCTTGATTTTTTACGTGCATTTGCTGGTTTTATTCTAGTAATTAAATACACAATATTTGTTGTATAATTGCCAAACAGGACTAGATTTAAAAATCATTAAATAATTCTCAAAATAAATACCTTGACAATTAGTCAATGAAATGCATTTAATCTTTTTAATGTAAACAGGCTAATGCTTTCTGTTTATTTGTATTCCTTTTTCTCTTGGGAAAAGTAGAGTAATTATTATTATTATTTTTCTGCTTCAGAATCTGCTTTTTAGAAGTGTGTCAATTGCATTCTAGTTCTTACAGGTAAATGTGTCCATTTAAAGTTATTTTCTGTATTTACCTTGCTGATCCTACTTAGTTCAAAATAGCTATCTTGCTGAAATAGAAATGTCCACAGTAGCCTTTTTTTTCCTTTTCAGAAATCATTTCAAGCCTGATAAAGAAAGAAAAAAATAATAAAACCAGCAAAGCATTTGTGTTGTGTGTTTTTTTAAAAGTGCTGCTCTTGTTTCTTTCAGGCATTTCAGAAAGGATCAAATGTATATTATTTGATTTATTTTGCTGTCTCTGAGAGTACATTTGGTTTTGTATATTTTAAACAGAGAGACAGAAATGACTTGATAAGCAGTATCCTTCAACACAGCTTGGAAACCACTTAAGATGTTGGTCATTACATGAAGTGAAGATAGCTTTTTCATCCATGTATCTTTGAGTGCTCCTCTTAAAAGCATATAGAAGGAAAAAGATGAGAAGGGCAGTAAAGCAAAGAAGTAGAAAGGTTTATGTTGAAAATATGAGTTTTAAAGTTTATGAAAATATGAGTTTAAAGTTTATGTTGAAAATATGAGTTGTTAGTGCCTTTAAAAACGGAAAACACAACCAGCAGAGTTTCCCATTTGATAGTAATGGATGTCAACAATTTGGCTTGAAGTTAAAGCACTGTGGAAAAGCTCCATTGGTTAAATATAAAATTTTGTTTGTGAGAACACATTTCTAGATGTTCTAATTGATTCAAAGTGTCTTGCTCAAAGAAGACACTCAATTTACATATACTGGATAGCTTCATCACCTTTCAACTAAACCAACTAGAACTGTCTGTTAAAGAGTATCAGTGAACCAGCTTTGAAATATATCATGGCAAATATTTAACAGCAAATAACACTGATTGGTAAAGAGGAACAGATATTACTTCAGTAAAATAATAGGAAGCTTCAGAAAGTTGGTGAAGAATTATCCAATTTGAAATTTGGCCAAAAAACAGTGCCTGACACACACCCACACCCTCCTTCAGCAATATGTTTGCTGCTATTTTAAATAGCCACGAACAGCCATAGTATTAGTTTTGTAGCTAAGTGTTCAGCAAATGGAGTCGGTGCTCTGAATTCTAATTCCAATTCCCTATTTAGTTTCTTTATAACAATGCCTCAATTTCTTGACATTAGCCTATTTTGTGGAGTTCTGCAGGACTTAACTCATGTGATGTAATGATTAAAAATTTCTACAATGTCCAGTAAACTAGAATAACAATTCCATGTGGCATAATGGTCATGTCTGACAAGAAGAACACATATAATCAGTATTAGAGAAGACAGAGAGGTGAAAGAAAGCAAACTCCCTTAGCTTAGAATCAGAGTAGAGCTTAAAAGCAAGCCACTACTCTCTCTACAAGCAACAAAAAGCCGCACTGTCTGCACAACAATTCTATTGTCTCTGCAGTTTATCTCAATGTGTTATCTTGCTTGAATCAGCTTCCCTCCCGGGCACAGCATTGCTCAAATTTTCATATTAAATTGCCACCAAACTTTTCACCATGAACAGCATGCTAGAATGCAGAAAAGGATGATGGCTACTCAATCACCAGCCAGATGAACAGCATGACTTTCTTTGCAAGTACTGACTTAGAGTAAGTGCGGTTAATTTTTGCAAACTGAGAAAATCACATTTTAAATGGCTTGTGTATAGGCCATTTATAGCTAATTTGAGAATAAGCACATTTCTCTAAGGCTGAAGACTTAAATAAATGTTAAGATTATACAGATTACTTACAACGTGATAGATACTGCTTTGTGCAAGCTACAAGTAGTCTACACTGTTGATTATATCCTTTCCCAATTTACCTCCATTTCACCTGTCTTAACCAAAAAAAAAAAAAAAATGCACACAATTTATGAAGAAAGAGGAATAGACAGTGAGGAATTGAAACAATAATGAAGCTATTCCATCAACTTATCCAAAAAAAAGATTATTGGTTATCTCTAGGTTGTTATTTTCAGTAGACATTTTTAAGTCCTTATCTATTATAATTCAAAGTAGCATTAGACACCATTAATCATCCTCTTTCTTTTGAAATTTTCTCTCCCTCAGCTTTCATGAACAATATACTCTTCTAATCCACCCCACTTCCCACCTTTCTGGCTCATCCACATTAACTTTTACTACTACCTCCTCCTCTTAGAGTTTAGACAATTGAGGTCCCTGTCCTCAAGATTTGATCTTTATTTCTCACCTTTTTATGATATCTTTTCTCCCTTCACAATCACATCCACATCTGTGAATTTATTTAATTTTTTCTTTCTCTGTTCCTGAGCTTCCTTCTGAATTCCAGACTCATCACCTTCTTTTTACATGGCAGTTGCATTTGGCCATTTCAAAAGACAACTCTATCTCATCACATCTAAAGATGAACTTGATATTTTTTATTAAATACCGTGACCACCTCTGGCATTCCCTATTTAATTGAATGGGCCACGATCCATCTTGTTAAGCAAATTAGAAATCCAGATTTTAGATTCTTCTTTTATCTTTTCTTCCCACATCAAATCAATTTCCATGTTCTGTCATATATATATACATATATATATTCTAAATAAGTGCTCCATCCCTACTACCACTTTGGTGAAAGTTTCTACCTCACTTGGACTACTGCAACAGATTCCATCTCATCTTTCCCCTTCCAATTTTGACCACCTTGAATCTGTTTTCACAGTGAGAGAACAGTGATATATTTTAAAGACAGATATGTGTACATTTTCTTGTTATAAATCTTTCAAATATGTCCATAGTTCTTGAGATAAATTTGCATTCAAGGTTCACACCCCCACTTCGAAAATTTCACTTTGACCTTCCTACTCATGTCATTGCCCAGCTCCACCCTGAGTTAATACCGCCTTCAGCAAGTTAGATCCTTCTCATTCATCATCGCAGTCCTACCATCTCTCCCTAAGAGGAGCCTTACAATATACACAGCCTAGAAATATCTCCCATTACAACCTCTCACAGTTGTCCCCTCTTTATAATAATTGTTATAATAATTTATAATTATACATGTGTGTCATTAATTAGATGATAAGCTTCACAGGGTGACATTTCTGTCTATTTGTATTCATCTAAGTGATAACCCGGTTGCTGAAACACATATTAGGCACTTAAGAAATGTTTTTTGAATATCTAAAGACCTGGTTTATCATATGCATCATTAAGCTGAATTGCATCACTATAGTTGCTTTGTATTCCCTGCGTGTTCTCACTTTTCCATAATCTTAAGTTTGCTTTAATAGCATCTGTCTTTCAATATTGCCTCAGTATCTCTTATGATCTATAAGGAAGCCAAAACAAGGTCAAGAATATGGTCTGTACAGGAGATGGCATGGTTCAAACGACTTCTCCACTCCTGTAACCTTGAGATATTTGGCAAGCTACTTAATAGCTTCATGTCTTAGTTCCTTCATCTGTAAAAATGGGGATTAATAACAATTGACATCATAAGGTTGTTGAAAATTAAATAAAACTGTCTACTTAACTACTTTAGAACAGCACATAATACATGCACAATAAATATTAGTAAGTGTTCCCTATCAGATTTTTCACATATTGGACATTTTTAGCAATATATAGTGCAATATTTGTTACAGATGCTCCATTTTTGAGACTGGTTAGTGTGAACAGTTCCGTAGTAGAAATTTGGAATCTGTTCAAAAAATTGGTTTATGAAGCCATGTATTTTTTCCCCAGTAATGATACAGTTTTTATAAACTCTAAAGTGAATACAGGAAAAAAGACATTGTCCCAGATGTATGACACTTTAGTGGATAACTCAGATCTTCAGACACTTCTAAAGAAGAAAATGACAAAATACTAGTCAGCCATCCATTTCTGGTATAAATGCTAAAAGTCTGTGTAGACATTTTCAGTTTGAGCCTTGTCTTTGGTGTCATCTAACAGTAAAAACTGCTTAATTGGATTTTATAGAGAACACAATTATTCTTGACTTGATTTTTAAAGAGAATATTTATTTTGATGAAGATTATTGCAACTGCAGAATTTTCTAGTTCACATTGATATGATTCTGGAAAAACTATTACAAAGTCTAGAGACAATGGGAATAAAAATGTATCTAACACATTGTAACAAAAGATGACAAATATTTGGCATCTTTTTATTGTGCAGTTCTGAAAATTATTTGCTCTTCATAATTATCTTGATTTTTTGGTATATTTTAAATTTGGTTATCATATTTATCAAACTTATTTGGTTATCATATTCATCATATGTATTTGGTTATCATATTTAGTTTGCATATGCACAGAATTATCCATTGCCAAACAAAAAAATGATATACAGGAAAATACTTAATATTTCCCTTTTTCTCAATTTAAATGGCACATAAATCTACTGCAGTCATCGGCTGGTTATACAATCTTTCTTTATCTTTCACAGCAGAATTATAGCTGCAAGGCAGCTTCAAGTGTTTTCCCCAGAGGTAGAGACAATATGAAAAATAAAGCAGTGTGTGAACACTCTCGCTGACTCCATTCTGGACACTTTTGTCTCAACCTGAATATACTGCCAGGCACCAGGAAGATATAGCTTTAAACAAAGGTAGAGGCAAGAATAACACCTGTCTCAAACTGTGGAAATAGTTTGAATGCTGAAATATTCCTGTTACCTCATATATTTAGTATGTAAAATTTGCCAATTAATGTATAACATACAAACTTATAAATCTGTATACAAGGCCAATTAACATGTAAAAAGACTGTCAACTTTATTACTGAAATCTTCTATGTAAATTTAAAAAGTGATAGAATTGTAATCTAATTAATTAAAAATAAAGGATTATAATAGTCTGAGTAGAGGATGGCTTTGCTGAATATGTACTCACAAACTCCTTTCATTTATGTAGTACAACCTACTGGAGGACAATTTTAAAATATATTTTTAAAGTGTTTCAAATGTGAAAATGTTTTGACCCAGGGTTTTTCCACTTTCTAGAAATTTGTATTGAATATTTTGGCTAGCAAAAGAAATACTTTAAGAAGACTTATTTATTTTTTGATAAGTGTTTCTCTATAAAACAGTTTTAGAATTTTTTTTAAGTTACCCAGATAGGGTCCCCATATACCTTATGCCCAGTTTCCCTTATCATGAGCATCTTACTTTGGTCTGGTATATTTGTTACTATTAATGAACCAATACTGGTGCATTTTTATTAACTAAAGTTTATATTGTAGGGCAGGCATGGTGGCTCACACCTGTAATCCCAGCATTTTGGGAAACTGAGGCGGGTGGATCACGTGAGGTCAGGAGTTCAAGACCAGCCTGGTCAATATGGTAAAACACCCTCTCTACTAAAAATACAGCAATTAGCCAGGTGTGATGGTGCAAGCATGTAGTCCCAGCTACTCAGGAGACTGAAGCAGGAGAATTGCTTGAGGCTGGGAGGCGGAGGTTGCAGTGAGCCAAGATGGTGCCACTGCACTCCAGCCTGGGCAACAGAGTGAGACTCAGTCTCAAAAAGAAAAAGCTTATATTCAGATTCATTCATTTAGTTTTTATCTAATGTTCTTTCTCTGTTTTGACATCTCTTCCAAGATACCACCTTACATTTATTTAGTTGTTATGACCCCACCGGTGGTGCCTCTTGGCTGTGAGTCTCTCAGACTTTCCTTATTTTTGATGACCTTGGCAGTTTTGAAAAGTACTGGTATTTTGTAGAGTGTCCCACTATTAGCATTTGTCGGATTTTTTTTAATTTTTAATTTTTATTTTTGCATATCTAGATTGGAGTTGCATGTTTTTGAAAAGAAGACCACAGAAGTAAAGTACCATTTTTATAACAAAGGTACTGCTACGGACTGAATAGTGTCCACCTAAAATTTATATGTTGATACACTAACTAGTCCCTCGTGTAGTAGTATTTGGAGGTGGGACCTTTAAGAAAAGTAATTAAGATTTAGATTAGGCTTATGACAGTGGAGCCTCCAGAATGGGATCAGTGTCCTCATAAGTAGAGGAAAAGACACCAGGGCTCCATCTCTCTCCGCCATAAGAGAACATAGTGAAAGTAACATGAAATCATCCACTTGCAAACCAGGAAAGAGGCCCTCACAAGGAACCAAATATGTCAGCATCTTGATCTTGGACTTTTCAGCCTCCAGTAATGGAAAAAATAAATGTCTGTTATTTAAGCCATCTAGGCTTTGGTATTTTGTTGTATCATCCTGTTGTGGCTTGGATATGGTTTGTTTGGCCCCACCAAATCTCATGTAGAAACTTGATCTTTGATGTTGGAGGTGAGGCCCGGTGGGATGTGTGTGGGTCATAGGAGTGGATCCCGCATGAATGGTTTGTTGCCATTCTTATGGTAGTGAGTGAGTTCTTACTCAATTCCCAGAAGAACTGGTTGCTGGCCCGGCACGGTGGCTCATGCCTGTAATAGCAGCGCTTTGGAAGGCTGAGACGGGTGCATCATGAGGTCAGGAGTTTGAAACCAGCCTGGCCAATATAGTGAAATGCCGTCTCTCTAAAAATACAAAAATCAGCCGGGCACGGTGGTGTGTGCCTGTAGCCCCCGCTACTCGGGAGGCTGAGGCTGGAGAATCACTTGAACTGGGGAGGCGGAGGTTGCAGTGAGCTGAGATCTCACCACTGCACTCCGGCCTGGGCAACAGAGCGAGACTCTGTCTCAAAAGAAAAAAAAAATTGGTTGCTGAAAAGAGCCTGGCACCTTCTCCTCTGTCCCTGTTTCTCACTCTCACCATGTAATCTCTGTGTACATATGCCCCATTGGCTTTTGTCATGAGTGGAAGCATTCTGAGGCTCCCCCCAGATGCAGATGCGAGCATGCTTCTTGTACAGCCTGGACAACCATGAGCCAAATATACCACTTTTCTTTATAAGTTACCCAGCTTCAGGTATTATTTTATAGTAACAAAAATAGACTAAGACAAGATAACTAATCACTATCAATGTTAACTTTGATCACGTGGATGAGGAAGTAGTGTTGGTCAGCTTTCTCTACTATAAAATTACTTTCTGTTGCTCTTTCCATATGGCATTCTTTGAAAGAAAGTCCACTCTGTGAAGCCTACCTCAAGGTTAGAATATCTACATATATTATTTGAAATTCTTCTTCACAAGATATTTATCTATTCTCCATTTTTTTAAATTCAATAATCTGTTTACATCAGTATGGACTAATGGAAGTTTTATGTTGATATTTATAATGGCACAATTTTGAAAATACTTTAAATGTTCATTTCTAGTGATTAAATAAAATAGGAAATTTCATACAATGGGGTAATATGGCGCATATAACATGATAATGTTAACATATTTATTGACATAGAAAAATATCCATATCCAGGCTGGGCACCATGGCTCACGCCTGTAATCCCAGCACTTTGGGAGGCCGAGGTGGGTGAATTACCTGAGGTCAAGAGTTTGAGACAGCCTGGTCAACATGAAAAAAACCCATCTCTACTAAAAATATAAAAATTAGCCAGGTGTGGTGCATGCATCTGTAGTCCCAGCTACTCAGGAGGCTGATGCAGGAGAATTGCTTCAACCTGGGAGGTGGAGGTTGCAGTGAACTTAGATCACACCGCTGCACTCCAGACTGGGCAACAGAGCAAGACTCCATCTCAAAAAAGAAAAATATCCATATTGATATAAAAAAAGCAAGATAACTATTCATAATATAGTTGTATTGTTGCAAAAAAGTGTGTAAATTGGAGTGTTTTTTTGAATAATTTTTTAAAGTCTGATTTAAAAACAAAGGTATATGTTAAAAGTGGTTTTACCTAGGTATTGGGATTATGGTGGTGGATTTTCACTTTCTATATCATATAGTTTTAATTCTTCTCATCTTTTTTTTTTATCATTTTAGGTTACAGTGAACACTGTGTCCAATTTTTCAACCCTCATTCTCCCTCTTCTAGAGTCCTGTGTTTATTATTTCCATCTTTTTTTTTTTGAGATGGAGTCTCTCTCTGTTGCCAGGCTGGAGTGCAGTGGCACCATCTTGGCTCACTGCAACCTCCGCCTCCTGGGTTCAAGCGATTCTCCTGCCTCAGCCTCCCTAGTAGCTGGGACTATAGGCACATGCCACCACGCCCAGCTAATTTTTGTATTTTTAGTAGAGACAGAGTTTCACCGTGTTGGCCAGGATGTTCTCCATCTCTTGACTTAGTGATCCGCCCGTCTTTGGCTCCCAAAATGCTGAGATTACAGGCATGAGCCACTGCGCCCCATGTATTATTTTCATCTTTATGTCCATGTGACCCCTTGTTTCGCTCTTGTTTATAAGTGAGACCATGAGCTATTTAATTTTCTGTTTCTGAGTTATTTCACTTACAATAATGTCCCCCAGATCTATCCATATTGCTGCAAAGGTGATGATTTCATTTTTTTATGGCTGCATGGGATTCCATGGCACATATACACCATATTTTTAATCTAATCTCCCATTGATGGATTAGTGTTAGTTTGAATCCATGCCTTTGCTATTGTGAACAGTGCTGCAATAAACATACAAGTACAGGTGTGTTTTTAATATAATAATTTCTTTTGTTTGGATACTTTTCATACTGAATATATATTAAATTCATTGTGTTTTATCATTAAATTTTTCCACATTAACTTCTTATTTTGAATGAGCATCATTATCCACCTTTGACTGCACAGTTTTATTTTCTCCTTGCATATTACATAGTTGCAAGCATTCTGCTCATTCCAGGTTTTTTGAAATGGATGTGGCCCACCCATGAAATAGAAAGAGCTATCACTGTTATGTGTAATGAGTGCTATAATCTCTGCTTACACGTCTCACTTCATGATATAAAATCTTGTGACAGATATCACTATCATCATCTTCATTGCTTCAGAGATGAAGTTCTTGAGACTTCTAGAACTGACAAGTCCCACAGTTAGTAAAGGGAAGAATCAAGTTTTAAACCAAGAGGTGTTTAAATCCAAAGTTCATCTTTTTAACCATTATATCCCATATGGTAACACTTGCTTCTAGAAATGTTATACAATAATTATTCCATATCTACAGGTTCCACATCCGAGGATTCAACCAACTACAGATCAAACACATTCAGAAAAAAGAATAAAAATAATATAATAAAAATAGAGCTTAGCAACTATGTAGCATTTACACTGTACTAGGTATGATAATTAATATATGAAAGAAGGTGGATAGGTTATGTGCTAATACTATGCTATTTTATATAAGGGACTTAAGCCTCTGAGGTTATTGCTATCCCGGGGAGTTGGGGGGATCCTGGAACCAATCCCTGTAGATACTGAGGGATTACCGTATAACACTGCCCTTCACTCACCCATTTAATGCCACCTATTTTCTCTTACTCACATTCTCCTAGGCTCTTTAATTCCTAGGCTCTAAGCCTTATGTCAAATATTCTCCTTGAGTCTATTTGATAACTCATCCAAACCAGCCATCATTGTTTTTTCCCTTTTAATCTCAAACATGCTCATAATAATGAACTGCCTTCTGATTCCACCGACCTCAAATTATGAGCTGGACGATATTTGTAACAAGCTTGGGCAATGCCAGGCCTGTATTCTTGTAAGCCATATTCATAAAAGCAATGCCTGTTCCATTCATTCACTGTATTTGTAACGCATGTAGGGTTTTTCATTAGGTTTTAATATTGATTCAGTAGAAAGGGAAAATATACCCTCCTTTGAGAAGAACAAACTTTTTTTTAATGAGTTATCCTTCAAGAAAGAATTCTGTTTTAATTAAAGGCTAAGTATGAAGTAATTACTCATTTATTTTGTTTGACTAGATTTAGTAAATTGTGCACCTGAATATTTTAAATACATTATGATCACAGCCCTTGATACCTAGTGCAGTTGGGCCAAGAGCAAGACTGTTAACTAAGGCTGCATTGTTTAATACTCTTCTATCTCAATAAGTGTTTGCACTCATTTTTCTGACCCATGAAATACTAGGAGGTATGTATCTCACTAATATTTATAGCTCTTATATTTATCTTCTTGCTAAAAAAAAATGCATTTTAAGCTTGAATGTTCTTCAGTAGTTGTGACGTATGTTTTGGGTAATTGCATGAAATCATAAAACATGGCCAGTGTAGGAGATAGGAAATTTCAAAAATAAAATCTGTGTTCATTACTTAAAGTGTAAATGAGTTCACAAGGATATTGATGTTCTTTTTTAAGCTTTCTGCTCCCTTTGACCCTCTTTTTTTTTCTTTTTCTCTGTCACAATAACTCAGTGCTATATTACAAATTATATGACACGAAAACCAACATTATATCTAATTTTGAGATGTTTATTTGTTTTCCCAGCTGTAGTGGTTCTAAGAATCTTGTATTACTGAAAATGCTACCTATTGTGATGAGCCTGCTATCATTTTATTCTGAACAAACCTCATTCTTCAGCCTGTCAATGTTTTAAAGAGGATGGGATACATTTGGACAATCTTTTGTCTTATTGATTTATTTTTGTAACAAATCAGGCTGTCACTCTAAACAAATTGCCTTCCTCAGATTATGCTTTCATTGTAGACATACGACATTTTTTCAAGTTCTTTGAAAAGTGTTTAATTGTTACGAATAATAAGGGTAACTATTAGGCAAGTTTCAGATTGCTTCTCATTTGAAGTTTCCATCAGTTAAAGAAATCTAAATGTGTTTCAATTTGGTAATAGAATGTTTATAAATGTTTATGAAGAAGCTTACCAACACAAACACAAGTAAATACAAGCCACCGAGTCTTTTAGAACAAATGCATAGTAACACTGAAATTATAACCATTATACACTTAACATTATGTAGAAGATACCTATGGTATAATAAATACATTTGGTCTTTTTGTCCCCAGTTCTTAGTACAGGGCTCCTAAAACACTAGGAAAAGATACAGGAAAAAATACAGAAAACACTAGAATAGATACAGGAGCGTCTTTTCTCCTTTTCTTACTCCTAACAAGCATCTTTTGATCACATCTAGGTTTATGTTAATATGGTGACTTAGGGTAGAGCCCCTAGATAGCCTTAGTATGGGGCAGATCATCAGAAACAACAGGTAATTGGAGGGTTAAAACTTTCAGCCCTGCAGAGTTACTTCCAGGAAGAGGGTGGAAGAAAGGGAGATTAAGCTCTATAAAGACTCCTGAGCCACAAGATTCCGTGAGTTTCTGGGTAGGTGACCACATCAAGGTGCTAGGAGGGAGCATCACACTCCCTCCTGCAACACTGACCAAGCCTTGCCCATGAATCTCTTCTGTATGTCTGTTCCTGAGTTGTATTCTTTGTGATAAGCCAGTAAATGTAAGCAAAGTGTTTTCCCGAGCTTGGTGAGTCATTCTAGCAAACTACTGAACAGGAGGAAGGTGTCATAGTAACCCTGGATTTATAGCCAGTCTGTCAGATATATGGGAGGCTCAAACGTGCAACCGGCATCAGAAGTAAGGACAGTCTTGTGGGACTGAGCCCTTTTACTTATGGGATCTGATGCTAATGCCAGATAGACAGGGTCAAAGTTCAATTAAACTGCGGGACACCCAGCAAGTGCCCAGGAAGCTGGAGAATCGTTTGGTGTGTAAAAAACCCACACATTTGCTGTCAGAAGCATTGTATTGAGAGCGACAGGAGGTAGCCAAATGCCTAGGCAGATAGGAACGGGTCCCCGGTGAAACCCCACCTCCAAGCCGAAGACCGTTTAAAGCCTGAAAGCCAAGCTACAAGTTAAATCCTCAGACCCAATTGAGAATTTGTCTTCCTGTTTCTTTCTTCCTGTTCACCTATCTTATATATACCTACGCTTTCCTAGTTGGTTTTTCTACACTGTCGTGGCCACCTTTGAGTGGTGTCTTTGCTTTAACCTTTTATGCATACTCACAAACCAATCAGCATGCACTTTCCATAACAAGTCCATAAAAGGCCCCGGACCCAGCCACACGGGGGTCTTTCCCACCTTTGGGTAGAGGGACCCCCTCTGCATCCCCTCTCCACTGAAAGCTGTTTCATCACTCAGTAAAATTCTTCATCCTCCTTATCCTTCAATGTCTAGCATATCCTCATTCTTCTTGGGCACAGTACAAGAGCTCAGGAACCGCTGAATGTGGGTACAAGCTATAACAGAGGCAAGCTGAGGCATGCCAGCATGGCCTAATGAGGCCGGGGTGGGGCTTCTCCGGCCAAGGGTCCCTGGCTTGCAAAGTGACCAAGAAGAAAAATCCTGCATCAGTATGTGTAAGGAAACAGCTTCTGAGTGTGAGTGTGAGCTCCTGAGTGTGTGAATGTTAAGTTGCAAAATGGTATGAGTAGTACATCAGAAGACATTTAGTCAGCCAGTGTCAAATAATCTATTAAGCTGCTGTGGTTCAGAACTAAGCTAAGAACTTTGACATTCATCTCATTTAATCCTCATGACAACTAAGGGAGATAAATATTACTATCATAATTTTACAAATGAGAAAACTGGAGCCTAAAGTCATTCTGTGTAAAAAAATGGATAAAAGCATTAAGGAAACAGGCCCAAGCAGATAACATGAAGAAAAAAAGACCTTTTTAGACAAAGATTTCTAAATGTCTAGAAAAGGAGATAACCTTTTTTTTTTTTCATGCAAGAGATTTTATCATCACAAATTTTGTTTTATTTTTAAAAGTATTTATTAAAGCCTACAATCTTATGCCTATGCCATATGCCAGGGACTACTCTATTATTATTATTATTTTAGAGACAGATTCTTGCTATGTTGCCCAGGCTAGAGTTCCATGAATGTTCATAGTTGTGGTCATAGCTCACTGCAGCCTCAAACTCCTGGACTCAAGTGATCTTCCCACCTCAGTCTCCCAAGCAGCTGAGACTATAGGCATGCACCAGACCATCACAAATTTTAATAGGTAGAAATAAGCAATTACTATTTGAAAACAATTCTTCCAAGAGGTAAAGATGACAAGACTCTATGAAGTTTCCTCAAAAGCTAGTGCTGTGATTCTGCCTCCAGTCAAGGACCACACGTGGCCCCAAGATATTTAAAAACAAATGAGTCATATCATTGAGTAAGAAGTCTCATTGATTACAATATTTTTAACGCTCCAATGCATGTCACTTTGGGCACCTTTTTCTGCACCCACTGTCATATAATTACTCTGCTGAAGTTTTTCTATTTGTGCTGTGACTTCAGGGGTTGAAAAATAAATGAAGTGGAAATACATTGATGGCTATGGTTAGTGAAGAGGTCAAATGAACTTCTCCTAGCTCTGCACTTTGCAGCCACGGAACGCAGAGACTCCGCCTCAAAGATTTCTGCTAAAGAGTTCTGCACTACAGGAAATGAAAACATGTGGTTCTTTTGGAGATGTTAGGGCCAGAAATAAATATAAAAATTATCTTCATCCATTATGTACAAATGAGTTTCCTATTTAAAATAATCAATCAAGAGAGTTAAGGAGAGTGTGATAGAGTTGGCTAGCATAAATATATCTCTCAAAAGTGTATGTACTTTTTCCAAGAGTTACAATGTTTAGGGTTGCCAGATTTAGCAAATAAAACTACAATATGCCCAGCTAAATTGGAATTTCAGATAGTGAAATTTTTTAGTAAAAGTATGCCCACAATATTACATGAGACTTATATTCAAAAAAAAAATCTTGTTTACCCAAATTTAAAATCAATGGGGATTCTGTATTTTAATGTTTTAACACTACTAGAAAATGTATCAAGCAGAGGACAGTTTGGAAATAAGGAAAATAAGATGGTTCAATAACTCTTTAGGAAGAAAAATGGACGTATCAAAATAAAGGTCTAATATATTAGCCAGAGAGTTAACATTTTTCTGGGCCAAAGCACATTAGGCATGGAAGGTAAAGAGTTTCCTGATAATAAGGGCAAGTCAGTTGCTTTCCAGTTCTGTAGAGATAAATGCAGAAGATCCTATGAATACTATTGCCTTACAAGAAATACACAGGCCCACATATCATATCCATTTTGACTCCTGGATTTGCTAACCTTTGTTACTATAAGGCATTGTTTTGATCAGTGTTCTTATGTATACATAAGCTCTGTTTTGGAGAACTTTTAAGATTTAGAGAGAAACGAAATAAGATTCCTGAATTTCTGTGTATAGCTGTGTCACTTACATTTTATATTGTTGACCACTGAAAAAATGAAAAAAAAAGGGCAAGTTTTCAAAAAACTCAATGAAGCTAGTAACTTTAGACATTTAAGGTAACAAGAATAGGGCTCAATAAGTCACCCCAGCTGGAAATTAAATAAGGGCTATTCAGTCTCATACATCCGAACATATACTTACTTTCTAAATTTAAGAGCAACATCTCATTGCCACTTCCATTTTTTTCATTGATAAAACAGTATGTAATACAGAAAGCAGACCAAAGCTCTGTACATTCCATGAGATTTGTGAGTTTCTCTGAAACATTTGTAATCATGTATCAAAAGGCAGAATGCTAAGGTGGCTTGTTGTAATAATTTATACAGAGAATTCCCATTTTATGCCTCACAGGCCAACAAAGAGTTTAGCAATTGTTCTGTTAAATAAAGTGCTAAACTGGAACTAGAATCCCTGAATCCCATCCCCCAGCAGCATGGCTTTATTACCCTTACATGTCGCTTCTGGCAAAAGCCTCTGAGCATCTCTACCTTACAGTTTGAGGTTTTCACAATTATCATCATCTGCTTTGTTTTTAGGATGCACTTCCACTTCAAAATGGTATTCATGCTTGGGGATTGTGTTCGAAGCCATACAAAACACTAAGCCAATTTTATTTTGCTCATTATAACCAAAGGTTGAAAATATTTTACCCTGTCAATATTTTTCTTTTCTCACCCCATGGACTTCATACAGTCATATGCAACATAACGATGCTTGGGTCAAGATCACATATATGACAGTGGTCCCATAAGATTATAATAGAGATGAAAAATTTATATTGCCTAGTGATGTCCTAATGTCATAGGGCAGTGGATTACCCATGTTTGTGGTGATGCTTGTGTAAGCAAACCTACTATGCTGCCTGTCATTTAAACGGATAGCACATACAATTATGTACAGTACATAACACTTGATAATGATAATAAATGATTGCCTTACTGGTTTATGTATTTACTATACTTTAAAATGTTATCTTAGAGTGTACTTCTTCTACCTATAAAAAATGTTAATTGAAAAAACAGCCTCAGGCAGGTCCTTACAAGGTCCAGAAGAACACTTTGTTATCATATGAGATGATGTCATAGACAATGGCATGGTGTCATTGTCCCTGAAGACCTTCCACTGGGACAAGATGTGAAGGTGGAAGACAGTGATACTGAATATCCTGACCTTGTGTGGGGCTAGGATAATATGTGTGTTTGGGGCTTCATTTTTAACAACAACAAAAAAAGTTTTAAAAAGTAAAAAAAAAAAAAAAAAAAACAAAATAAAGCAGAAAGAAGCTTATAGAAAATATTTTTGTATAACTGTACAATGTGTTTATGTTTAAAGCTAAGTGTTTTACGAGTCAAAATTTTAAAAAAAACCAAAGTTTATAAAGTAAAAAAAGCTACAATAAGCTAAGGTTAATTTATTATTGAAGAAAAAATATTTTTAATAAGCTTAGTGTAGCCTAAGTGTACAGTGTTTATGAAGTCTACAGTAGTGTACAGTAATGTCCTAGGCCTTTGGGTTCACTCACTACACACTCAGTGACTCACCCAGAGCAACTTCCAGTCCATTCATGGTAAGTACCCTACACAGGTGTACTATTTTTTACCATATTTTTACTGAACCTTTTCTGCGTTTAGATATGTTTAGGTACACAAATACTTACCATTGTGTTATAATTGTCTCCAGTGTTCAGTACAGTAACATGTTCTACTGGTTTTCAGCCTAGGAGCATTAGGCTATACCATACAGCCTAGTTGTGTAGTAGACTGTACTATCTAGGATTGTGTATGTGCACTCTACCATGTTCCTGCAACATTACTGACTGACATATGACTGTATATATGGACAAATGTAGATAGATGCAAGATATAGATTAGATAGAATCAATAGATACTAAGTTGGTGCAAAGGTAATTGCATTTTTTGCCATTAAAAGTAATAGATACATACACATATATTATACCCTGAACTTAATACTTTACACATATAGAGTTTAAATCCACTAAAAAAAAGTCTGTGTAGTGGAATTGTCCCTGGTTTGTGGCTATCACACTAACACACTAATCAAGTCATTTTCAAAGAATTTTGTTAAATTACTAAAATGATGTAGACACTAGTCCCATCTTAGAAATTCACTCCCCCTTTGAGGATCCAGAATATGCAGAAAAAGGACAAATGTGTAACATTTTTGTTTGCTTCATTTGGTTGGTGTTTGCCTAGCAAGCTGCAAGCTTCTAGCAAGAATGCAAGCTTTTCCCTCTTCATGGTAGGCGCTCAATGAATAATTAATCATCAAACGAAGCTGCATTGGTTGCCAGGAGGTTAGCCACCGGGCATCAACTGTTACGGTGCGCTGGCTTGAGAGGAAAATATCTGGCTGACATGAAATCAGGTAATTAACGAATTCTAAGAAATTCTTTTGAAGAAAAAGGTCTGCTGCTGGAATAATTCAATAATAATAAAAGGAATTGAAGAAAAATATAACCTCTGCACTTTTTTCAACTTTTCAACAAGTGAGTTGCTAAAAACCCATATGCTTGTCATTCATAAATGCATTTCCAGACTTTATCACTTTCTCAAACTCCTTGATGCTTTTTGGCAGTTTTATTCCTTTTTGCCCCAGCTGTAGCAGTTCACTGTGCTGGAGGAGTTTTGAGTTACTGTGTCTTTCCGAGACATTGATAATTTCCACCTAATACATTGTACCGCTTGCAACTAGGAAAAGAAAATTGTGATGTGTCATCGTCTTGTCTTTAAGCGATTTCACTTGCAAAATTCCCTTAGTGCATAACTTACTCCGATTTCAAGTGAGACAACATGAATACTACATTACAACCTGGTAAGTCATAGATATTCTAAATTAGGAGAACGGGGAACTCAAATAAAGGATACATAAGTTTGTCAGTATGTGGGTGGGTTGGAGAGGAAGGGGAAGAAGACAAACAGAGAAATAATATAGGTTAGAAATTTTGTTCTTTGGATAAAATTGGCATATTGGGTTGACTCTATAGAAACATTAAAATGCATTGGAGATATAAAAAGCCTAGGAAAAAGAAAACTGTAATCAGATAATTCTCTTTATTATATAACCAGAAAATATGAAAAAACAGAGGCAGAAATATTGTTAAAAGTATATTAAAGAGTGTCTGAAAAATCATTTTATCACCCAAAACTTTAGATTCTCTTAGATTCTTTGCTAGTCAATTGTTATGAATCAAAGTTTTCTCTATTTTTTTTTTTTTTTTGTCTCCCAACCAGATAGATTTTGGTTCCCATTCAGGATAAAAGAAGAACAAAATCCATATGAACTATTCAAAATCTCATTTTTTATAATGTTTTTCTTGATCTCCTCCTACCAATACCCTCTCTCTTTCATTGTTCTTCTTTATATTTACTCCTCTGAGATGTCATTTCTACAGAAAACCGAAAAGCAGGAACCTAGCTTTGGAATCTTTGATATGCTCAGTATGTGACTCCATTCCCAAATGCCCTTTGTTTCAACTGAAATCTTTTTAGTCTTTTATGCTTTTTGTTCTTACTCCAGGCTAACATGAATAGAAATGCTTGACTACAAGATTTTGCATTCAATTTTTAGGTTGAAGGTTGAAGCATCTTCCTTCTGAAAGTGTCTAACTCAAAACTTTGCAAGTCACTTGAAAACTTGTTCTTTATTCTTTTCTATGACCCAAACAATTAACCAAGTCAGAGGGACAGATGAGAAAGAAGTACGGAAATTGCAGAACTTTTTCCACAGAAATAATTTGTGAGTGCATTATTTTTTTCTCTCTCTCTCTCCTACCAAATATCTATCTTAGAGAGCCTTAAAATTCATACATTATTTTAATGAGTAAAGGGTAGAAAATATTTTTATAAAATTTAAGGTACATTCATGTCTTTACGTGTAAATAAGCATTATCTTACTAAAGCAAGGATGTAGAAGAGATGACTTTTGGTTCTCTTTTGATCTCGAAGAAATGATGCGGAGACCACTGAGGCAGAAGAATAGGGTCTGGTGGCAGGGAACTTAGGCCGCTGATTTGTGCTGACTTCCTAAAGCTGAATCAAGGGAAACCATCAAGGTCTGGGGGAAAGGAATCTGAGGACAATTCGTGATAATTTCTTAAAGTTAAATCAAAGGTTAAACACCTGGGTCTGGGGTCAGAGAACCTAAGACCAATTAATGCGAACTTCCTAAAGCTAAACCAAAAGGGAAAACCCTGCCTCCCCACACCCCAGAAAGAAGGGATCCAAGGCCACTTTCTCTACAACCCTCCCCACCCCACCATGTCTAAGATGGAAAGGGAGAGTGCCTTGGAGTGGCCAAGGGCCAAGCACTGGGCACCCCTTCATCAGCACAGGGCGCCAGTCTGCTTGGCCTTGGGTTAGCCATGAGCCAATCCACCTCAGTCTTTAGCCATGGACCAAATCCTTTATCTAGATAAGGGTAACTGACAGGGACCTCAAAAAGGAGCACTTCCAACCCAGAAAACTGTAACTGAGCCCTTGAGCTGCTGACTCGGGCCCGCTCCCACCCTGTAGAGTGCTTTCTTGCTTTAATAAATCCCTGCTTTCGCTGCTTCATTTCTGTGTTTCGTTCCAAAGTAACAAACTTCATGCATTTTGTTCAATTCTTTGTTCAAAATGCCAAGGACCTGGACAACTCACTCAAGGCCTTCCTTCCGGTAACACCACCATCATCCTGTTTTGATGGTGTTTCTTGTTCAAAAATTGAAGTTGAGATTAGTGCTGTTAGGTTTCTCCACCTAACTTCTAAAGGGTATTTGTCAGATTGACTTACATGATATTTTATTCCAATTCTACATGTTTCACCATAAAAACACTCCTAATTTCCCTAATGAATATCACTCTTGACATCAGCCAATATACTCCTTTATGTTGTTCCCTTGAGGAAACAATGTTGAGAAAACTAATCTTCGGGAAAGATCCCATAAGAGTTTACTCTACATAGTTTAATTTGTCCCTTGAATATTTGATGTCAGAACAAAATACGTTTTACAGAAATATCTGCCCACACAGATGATTCCGGTGATTTAGACATTGTCTTTAACTTTAACCCCTAACTGTGAAGTGCTATAGTCATATGTGCTCCAATTATGCAAATATTATGTCTACAATTTCGTGGAATTTTTTAAAACCTGTATTTGAGTATTTTATATCCAGACTTTAATGAAAAAATAGACAAATTAAAAACACAGATTAAAAAACAAAAGAGTGAGTGCTTGAAAACAATGCAAAAGAACACAAAGAAAATCATCAAAGAAGTTTAGGGAAGTATTAAAATTAGCAGAAATTAAAATAACACACAGATTATCAAAATTATCATCTTTTTAAAATGACTTGAGAGCCTGGACATGTGTTTCTGGGGAGGTAGATGAAGCTTTCTCTTCAACAGTGTCAAATGAAGCTTTCTCTTCAATCGTCAAATGCAGCCACATGTGGCCCATGTGACTGCTAAATGAGCAAGTTATTTTTCCAATATCAGAAATTTTAAAGGCACTTATTCTCTGATGCAAAATAATTTGAACTATAAGGAAAAGCTTCCTTACTGGGCATTTGTTTCCACCTAGAATCTGAGTACAAATGTTTCCTGAATCACTTGAAAAGTATTGCTGTATAGCAGGGGCCTGATCCTTGTGCTAAACCCATCCTGATGTCTGTTTTTGTGAAAAAGGTTTTATTGGAGCTTGGCCACACCATGTTTACTATTGTCTATGATTGCTTTCACCTTGCAATGCAGGGTTGAACAGTTGCAACAGAGACCCTGTGGCTGGCAAAGTCTAAAATATTTACTCGCTGACCCTTTATAGAAAAGTGGCTGACATGTCGTAGAGTCAACTGTTAATTCATATGACTATTTTTTAAATTGGATCATTAGCTTTTGTCATCTCAATATATTTAATTGTGTGCATGTTAGCATAGAAATGGCAAAGGTAAAGAAGGAAAAGAAGTAAAACTTTATTGCTTTGGGACATTGCTGCTAATCACTAATTTCATGTTTACAATTACAGATCTCTGCTACATTCTCGCAGACATGGTCTGCATTTGAAATAAGGATGCTGCAGTTAGATCTATTTGGAATTACTTTTACTAAAAGTTTGATATTTGGTTCTAGAAATGGGGGTGAAGAGACAAAGGGCTAAGTCTAGACAAACTGCTTCTGTTTAATGCCATGTTCAGGGTGCTGACCTTTTTTCTCTCTTGGTGTCTCTGCTGTCTTTGGATCTCTCTCTCTCACTCAGTCTCTGTCCAAGTCTCTCTTGTTTTCTTTCTGCGTTTTCCTTTTTTTATGTCTGAATCTCTCGGTCTCTGATTTTCTTTTTTTCTCTCCATTCCCTTTATTTTTTGCCCTTCTCTCTTGACTTCTTAATACGCAGAAGTCACACAAATTCAATAGCTGCAGCTCGGCCCCTAAATTGTAACTTTCAATATTTTATTAGGAAACGAAATTGAGAGCTGCCTAATGATCCCAGGAGAAGACTCTCCCAATTTAACATAACCTCTAAACAACATTTGAGAGGCAATTTTGTAGGGCCACCGTGGAACGGGTATTGCAAAGCCACCGGTGCAGGGGTAGTTGAAAGTAATATGCATTTTAGTTCCTCCTCTTTGCTTTTAGCACAGCCATGGGGTCCTGCAGACATTTGCTCCCGGTACTGCTGGCTTCTCACTTTCATTTTATTAAAAAACTAACAAGGAGCATTAAGCAGCTCCCTGTTTAATTTCCCATAGAAAAGCAATAGTTTCAAGCAGCCCACTGGTGGTGTGATATTTAAATGCAAAATGCACAGCTGTGCCAAATGCATGCGCCAGAGCAAAAAGGGTTTCTTAATATGACAGGTTAATATCATGGATTTTTATTTCATTTTCCACTGAAACGGCTAATCAGAGAGAATTGGACTTTTGGAAGCAGAGGTGAAACTGGGTAGTTAAGAGACAAAGGACATAGCCTGTCAACCTTGTATGGGTTTAATATCATGCTGGTGAAGTGCTGCAGAACTAACCAAAAGTTACCCCACTGGGGAAATTTGCACTGACCTGCCACACTTATCTAGGGCATCTAGAAGCTTCCAACATAAGATGCTAAGCGAGCCATGGTTCCACCAGCTATGTACTCAGGTCCTGCCTCTTTTCTACCTAATAAAAACATAATTATTAGATATTAGGCAAAAACTAGAAGAGATAATACAAAGGAAATCTTTTAGACTTCCTCTAAATTTAAATACTTGGTTTCCCTTTGGCTCTGGGTAAACAGATACATAGTAATGTAAATAATTATAGGAAGAAGAATACCCTACGCACAGATTTCATGAAAGCTATTCAAACCAGGTGGCATATCACATGGCCATGTCAGCCCAGCCAAATTTTATAGGTCAACAATTCTTAATTACATTGTTAATAGACATAGCTCTTAAGCTCATCCTGCTCCTTTTAGGCCAGGTTTCCATAATGACCTTTCATTTTATTTAGTTCATAGCATACTCATCCTTGTGAAAAGCCAGATCATGAATCACCATGCTTTCTGATAGGACATTTGGCAAAACCTCTCAATGGTCTTTGAGATCTTAGGTAAAAGTTGTAATTAAGATGTTCATACAAGTTAGGCCTCTTTTTCCTCTTAAAGACCAAGGCTTTGTCAAGAGATAAGTTCCAAAAAAGAAAAGAAAGAACAAAGTAACTTTTAATATCAAAATAAATATTGAAGAGTGTGCCCTGAATTGTCTATTTTAGAATTTTTCCATTCATTTGACATGAAAGTTTGCTTGGCGGCTGGCTTTTCTGACGTCAATATTTGAGTTCTAGCATTCAGTTTTTAAAGTTCAGACCCATTGCTGTCTAGGTGTCATTAGAATATAACTAAGAAATTTTGACAGATATATTTTAGTTTTTACATAGTAAAAGAAGGGCCTACGGGATTCAGGTGTAAAAGATGTCTCGATCCACAAATCTGGAGAAAGCAGGGTGCCAGAAAGATCCAAAGCAGTAGATAGAATGCCACAGAGTAAAGAAAGATAAATTTTCCAATACTTTGTTTACTCATAGCTTAAGGAATACTTCCCTTGCTTTCAAATTAAATCATTTCTGCTCTTCTTCCCTAGACAAGCATCATGAAGGAACTATCTGAGAATCTGAGTGATGTCTTCAACAATAAATTGAAAACAGCCATTTACAAATGACTTCTTTCATACAAGTCCTGCTTCTCTTAGCTAAGTCATTCAGAGGTTAGCTTTCTAGGATGGTAATGACAGCAAAAATGAACGGAAGGAAGGAAGGAAGGAAGGAAGGAAGGAAGGAAGGAAGGAAGGAAGGAAGGAAGGAAAACATATCTGTAGAAATAAACTGTTAAAGGATTGAACAAAGGGGAAAGGGAGAAAGCCTATTATATTTCCAGGGGAGGTGGATCACTGTAATTTCTCCAAGTAGAAACCTGACATATGAATGACCCTAAAGAGATGTTTCCATTTATTTTGATTAAATGGTGCTAAGTATGCATGATGTAGCACCTGAACACCTAGCCCAGAACATATGTGAATAACAATACTTGCTGTGATTTGGTGTCTACTTCATGCCTAGTATCATACTAAGTGCTTTGTAAAATATAAACATCAAAATCTTTTTACTGTTTGAGATCTCAGGTCAGCAATGAGAACAGAGGGAGAATGATATTCAGATGTCAAGCCTTATATCTAAAATGTGGTTACAGCCAAGTTAAAGCTCTTTCTATTTCAGCCTTTTTCTGTCACAGGCTTTTCTACTGTTCCTTTGTTACTGAGTGTTCTTCCATCCTGTCATCCCCCAAAACATAATCTGAACACTGATGAAATAGTCCTTGGTTCAACTGCAGATAGCACAGTTGATAATTCATTTAAGTTCTCAGTGTAAAATAACAATTTACAAGTAAATATGCTCCATTTTCCTCCTTTTTATCAGTGACTGAAACAGGCTGGCCTTCGAGTGACAGTGATGCAATAAGGGGGGGCTCCCACCCATGGGAATCACCCTCGACTCTGGAGTAAAAGTCCCTGGCAATTTCCAACTGATGGAAAAACTCAAAGGCCAGAAAGGAGTAGGAGATGGCACAGTTAGCTGCGGTCCAGTAGATGATGAAGACATAACACTTACAAGATGGCTATAAATGTCAATGTCTTAAATTCACTGTGCCTCCTATAAAAAAAAATTAGCCTGATTATGTTAAAAAGCTTGCCAATGTTATATTCTTTTTTTATTTTACCAGCTTCAGTTTATATACTCAAACCTCCTCTGATGCTGTTTTATTCCTCTAAATGACAATTTAGGAAAACTGAATACACAGCCTTAAAATAGAAGGTGAAGCTATAGACTCAGAAGCAGCCCCCATTATAAGACTTGTAAAAAAGTGAATATGAATGGAGCTAATTGTTCTAATTGAGTTGTGGACCCTAGAGCCAAATAGTGCTAGCAAAAGGACAGAATTCACATAGCTTCAAAGTTGTCCTGCAAGAGCTTTGGTGGCTAATGACATCTAAAGAAAATATAAAACTTGCTCAGATGCCTGAAGGACAATGTTCCAGCAATTAATCCAAAAGAAAAGCCACAGGCCCTTCCCCTTCCCCCTTACTCCACTTAAGCAGCCTTCATTTTCCACCGTAGTGGATTTTCTAGATACATCCTTAGACCTCAAAGTGCTGGAAAGGAAGCTTCTATTCAAACAAATTTATACTGAGATACCATAAATGATACTAATTTTTTGTCCATTTGAAATATGTAAGTTGTGTTGTAACAAATTATCCTGTCAAGTGTAATCAACCATCCATGTAGTTGAGCTTCTGGGATCAAGAAAGTATATTTAAATTGATTCCTATCATTACTAGTGGGGCACGTCTAATTCAAATGTAAAAAGACACATCACACAATCAACTTGCTGCTGATGACAAGGCCTGGGGTCCCGGCCTTCTCCCCCTATTCCTCTGCCTGCTTCCCACCGTACCTACAGCAGCCCTCTAGCCTGGGGGCGCTTGTTAGAGTAGATGGGAAAGTTTCAAGTTTGCAGCCTGTGGGATTACTGCTTGGTGTATGGAGCACTTTGTCTGTACCCTTGGTTTCTTTCTTTAGGTCTTAAATGATGGCAGAAACATAGATTATACCTCCTCTGCTCCCCTCAGAGATTGGCTTTTGGTGAGGAATTCAGGGCTTTCCCTACATCTTTTCTCCCCACCTTTATGGAGACGTGCTGCTTTTTCCTCCCTCTCCCTCAAGTCCTTTTTAGCACTGTCACTACCCAACACTTTCCATTTCATTTCCTTGCTTTGGCCAGAAGCCATCAGGTAAGGTTGGAAAGAGACTGTGACCTCCTTCTTTTAGTTTTAAAACTACATTTATTCACTCTTCACCAGCCTGGGAAACGAATATTAGGTTCTCAGCCCTGCCACCCTTTGCTGTCATCACCAACTGATACAATTTTTAGCTCAAGTTTTGATAAGGTTAAAAGAACAATCAACCAGGGTTACTCAGACCTGCCAGCTCTCAGAGTCCTTGGTGGTTAAACTTGGAGAAAGGCCACATGAAGACACTTGTAAGCACACATTATCTCCCCAAATTACTTTCTTTTCCTGACATTGTTTTTGCTTTTAAAAGTTGAAGAAGTTTTAAGCAGACCTCTCATTTGGTTGTCCTTGCAATCTATTGGGGTCTAGTTTGGAATTTGAAAACTGGAACAAAAAAACCTTGAATTCAGTGCATATTTGGTTTCGGTGCTGCTGCTTCTCAAGATTCTCAGCAGGGATTGAGGAAGAATTCAGTGTACACAGCAGACGTCTGAAATTGGCGGGCTTGACTTCCTGGCAAATTGCTGCATTTTTCCACTTTCTGTTCAGGACTCCTAAATGCTGAAATGTGGATGCATACCAAAATAAATGCAATTCTTTATGTGAAATAAAATAAGTAAATAAATGAAACAGAGTGGTGGTGCTGATTCACATGCCTAAAACCTTTATTTATTTATTTTTCCAGCTGGAGACCCACATCAATAACATTTCCAAAACTCAACTTGTGTCTTTAAATTTAAAAAGCTAGAAAATAAAGTTTATCTGATCCACTTGTATTACAAATGGCTCCAGCAAGAAGTGACATCAGCAAGATGGTAAAGTGGGAAGCCCTGGAACCTCCTTGTCTCCACAGACACATCAATTCAGCAACAATTTATGGTCAAATTCCCTTTTTGAGAAATCAGAAACTAATTGAAAGGCTCTTGTGCCCTGGGAAAATATAACACCAGAATCACTGAAACCCATAGGGAGATTTAGGACACCCTCTTGCCAGAGACTCTGCCCCCAGACAGAGTTACACAATCAGGAAGAGCCCCTCAAGTTCCCAGATTCACCCAGCAAAGGGGGTATTGCTTCTTGTGTCTGGCATCCCAACTTTTCCATGGGGACTCCTCAGAGAACTGGCTTCTGTCTTGCCAGTCTTGAAGCTCTGATAGTGAGAGGTGACAGCGTGCTGGCAGTCCTCGCAGCCCTCGCTCGCTCTCGGAGCCTCTTCTGCCTGGACTCCCATTTTGGCGGCACTTGAGAAGCCCTTCAGCCCGCCGCTGCACTGTGGGAGCCCCTTTCTGGGCTGGCCAAGGCCGGAGCTGGCTCCCTCAGCTTGCAGGGAGGTGAGGAGGGAGAGGCGCCAGCGGGAACCGGGGCTGCACCTGGCGCTTGCGTGCCAGCTGGAGTTCCGGGTGGGCGTGGGCTTGGCGGGCCCCGCACTCGGAGCGGGCGGCCGGCCCTGCCGGCCTGGGCAATGAGGGACTTAGCACCTGGGCCAGTGGCTGCGGAGGGTGGGCTGGGTCCCCCAGCAGTGCTGGTCCACCTGCACTGCGCTCGATTTCTCACCGGGCCTTAGCTGCCTTCCCGCGGGGCAGGGCTCGGGATCTGCAGCCGGCCATGCCTGAGCCTCCCCCGCCCTCCGTGGGCTTCTGTGCGGCCCGAGCCTCCCCGAGGAGCGCCGCCCCCTGCTCCATGGTGCCCAGTCCCATCTACCACCCAAAGGCTGAGGAGTGTGGGCGCACTGTGTGGGACTGGCAGGCAGCTCCACCTACGGCCCAGGTGTGGGATTCACTGGGTGAAGCCAGCTGGGCTCCTGAGTCTGGTGGGGACTTGGAGAACCTTTATGTCTAGCTAGGGGATGGTAAATACACCAATCACACTCTGTATCCAGCTCAATGTTTGTGAATGCACCAATTGACACTCTGTATCTAGCTACTCTGGTGGGGACTGGGAGAACCTTTGTGTGGACGCTCCCTATCTAGCTAATCTAGTGGGGATGTGGAGAACCTTTGTGTCCAGCTCAGGGATTGTAAACGCACCAATCAGCGCCCTGTCAAAACAGACCACTCGGCTCTCTGTAAAATGGACCAATCAGCAGGATGTGGGTGGAGCCAGATAAGAGAATAAAAGCAGGCTGCCTTAGCCAGCAGTGGCAAACCACTGGGGTTCCCTACAGCACTGTGGAAGCTTTGTTCTTTCACTCTTTGCAATAAATCTTGCTGCTGCTCACTCTTTGGGTCCACACTGCCTTTAAGAACTGTAACACTCACCGCAAAGGTCCGCAGCTTCACTCCTGAAGCCAGCGAGACCACGAACCCACTGGGAGGAAGGAACAACTCCGGATGCGCCGCCTTAAGAGCTATAACACTCACCACGAAGGTCCACAGCTTCACTCCTGAGCCAGCGAGACCACGAACCCACCAGAAGGAAGAAACTCCGAACACATCCAAACATCAGAAGGAACAAACTCCGGACACGCCGCCTTCTTTAAGAACGGTAACACTCACCGGGAGGGTCCCGGGCTTCATTCTTGAAGTCATTGAGACCAAGAACCCACCAATTCCGGACACAATAGCTCTGGACCAGTCTAGCTGCCTGGGGCAGAATGGGGGAGATGGTTTGATCTACTAGATCCAATTGATCCTCTCTCCTGCTTGGCACAGAGTGAGCAGATGAAAAATTCTAGCTCTCAGCTTCCCCTTATGGAGGGAAAGAGTTTATCCATGTGTTCAGTGGGTCAGCTTCTCTGGGCCTTTTTTTAAAAAAACTACTGTCTGTCTCACCAACGTTGAAGCTCTAACGTATGGAAGGTCTGATGGGTTCAACATGGTCTAGCCCACCTGGAGGAGAATGGAGATGGAAGCTCAGCCTTTAGACACTATAGCCCTCCCTCATCCCCACCTGCCAGCTCACTGTGAGCAGATGAAAACTATAGCTTCCTGCTTCTCTCTAGGGTAGGAAAAGAGTTGGTAGAGATCCCCAGAATCTCTGGGCAGGCTGAGTGTTGTGGGGGGCCCATCTCCTACGCATGGCCAGTCTGTAAAGAATACAAGTGGTTGCTTTATCTAATGTACAAACAATAACACAAAGAGTAAAAAAAGAAGGATCAAGCAAAAGTGTTTCAAAGTAACAAGATAAATCTCAAGAAAACAACTCTAATGAAATGGAGCTACGTGACTTACCTGGCAGATAATTAAAAATAATTCTCATAAAGATACTCACCAAGGACAAGAGAACAATGCATGGACAAGAAAGAATTTTAACAAAGATATAGACCATATAAAATATACCAAATGAAAATTATGTGACAGAAAAACAAAATAACTGAACTGAAAAATTCACTAGAGGAGTGCAACAACTTACTGACAGAGCAGAAGAAAGGATCAGTGAACTCAAGGATAGGTCACTGGAAATGATTCAGTCAGAAGAGTGAAAGGAAAAAAGAATGTAAAAGAGTGAAGAAACCTTAAAAACTTATGAGACCCATCAAATAGCTGAATATAAACATATTGGAAATCCTAGAAGAGAAAGAGAAAGAACCAAAAACTTATTCAGAGAAATAATAACTGAAAACTTCCCAAATCTGAGAAAGAACACATACATCTATTCTAAGAAGTTCAAAGGATATCATATAAGATAAACCCAAAGAAATCCACACCAAGACACATTATAATCAAGTTATCAAGTGTCAAAAACAGAGAATTTTTAAGGCACGAGAAAATTGTAACTTGTCTCATTTAAGGGAACCCTATCAGTAGATTTTCATTCAGTAAGACTGCAGTCCAGAAGAGAGTAGGATGATGTATTCGAAGTATTAAAAGAGAAAAATTCCAACGAAAAATTTTTCATTTGGTGAAACTGTCCTTCAAACGTGAAAAGAGGTAAAGACTATTCCAGATTAAAACTGAAGATGTTTTTCACCACTAGACCTGCTTTACAAGAAGAGCTAAAAGGAATTCTTTAAATTGAAGCAAAAGGACATTAACAGCAACACAATAACATACCAAAAGCACAGGCAACAAAAACAAAAAATAAAAAGTAGAACTAAATCAAACTATAGCATTCTGTATGGCAAAGGGAAAATGTATATGATTTAGTCTTGGCAAATGACATATTCCTAGGATTTATCTGTTTCTTATGAAATAAAAAGAATTGAATAGACCTATAACCAATATGAAGATTGAATCAGTAATCAAAAACCTCCCAACAAATAAAAGCCCGGGAACAGAGGGATTCACTGCTGAATTCCACCAAACATTTTAAGAATTAATGTCAATCCTCAAACTCTTCCAAAAAGTCAAAGAGGAGAGATTACATCCAAACTCATTTTTTTGAGGCCAGCATTACCCTGATACCAAAGCCAGATTAAAAACACCATGAAAAAAAAAAAACCTACAGGCCAATATCTAGAATGAATATGAACATAAAAATCCTCAAAAAAATACAAGCAAACTGAATTCCAACAGCACATTAAAAGGATCATACACCGTGACCAAGGGGAATTTGTCCCTGGGATACAAGGATGGTTAGCCATATAAAAGTCAACTGATGTGATTTAACCGCATTAGCAGGATAAAAGCTAATCACATGATCATCTGCCTTTCAGATGCATAAAAAGTATATGAGAAAATTTATTGCCATTTCATTATAAAACCTCTCAAGAAACTAGAAATAGATGGAATATATCTCAACACAATAAGACTGTTTGTGAAAAGCCCACAGCTAAAATCATACTCAATGGTGCAAAACTAAAGGCTTTTCCTTTAAAATCAGAAGCAAAGTAAGGATGTCCACTCTCTCAACTTCTATTCAATGTACTGCTGAAAGCTTACCCAGATCAATTAGCCAAGAAAAATAAAATCCATGCAAATCAGAATGGAATAAATTAAATTTTCTCTGTTTGCCAACAACATGATCTTTTATACAGAAAACCCAGAAGACTACACACACACACACAAATTATTTGAACTAACAAATTAAGTAAAGTTGCAGGTTACAAAATCAACATACAAAAATTAGTTGTGTTTCTATATGCTGACAACTATCTAAAATGAAAATTAGAAAAACTAACCTATTAATGATAGCACTAAAAAATAAAATACCTAGAAATAATCTTAGCTAAGGAGGTGAAAATTTTGTATAACAGAAACTACAAAACATTGATAATAGAAATTAAATGAGACACAAACAAATGAAAAAGCAGCTCATATTCATACATTAGAAGAATTAATATTGTTAAAATGTCCATAGCACTGGAAGTAATCTGCCTACTCAATGTAATTCCTACTAAAATTGCCATGGAATTTTTTTTTCACAGTAGTAGACAAAACACTTCTAAAATTTGTATGAAACCACAAAAGACAATGAATAGCCAAAGCATTCTGACAAAGAGGAAAGCCTGAAGTGTCACACTTTCTGATTTCAAAGTATATTACAAAGCTCTACTAATCAAAATAGCATGGTACTGACATAGACATATGAACCAATGGCACAGAACAGAGAAGTCAGAAGTAAATCCATGTATATAAGGATCTTTGACAGTGGTGCCACGTGTACACAATAGGGAAAGGATAGTCTCTTCAATAAATGGTGTTGGGAAAACTGGATATCAACAAGAAAAAGAAGAAACTTGGACCTTTATCTTACACCATACAGAAAAATCAACTCAAAATTGATTGAAGACTTAAATGTAAGATACAAAACAATAAAACTCCTAGAAGAAAACATAGGAGAAAATTTTCATGACATTGGTTTGGCAGTGGTTTCATGAATTTGACACCAGAAGCTCAGGCAACAAAAACAAAAATTAAAAAGCAGGACTAAATCAAACTATAATCTTCTTCACGGCAAAGGAAAAATTCAATGCAGTGAAAAGCCAACCTAGGAAATGAGAGAAAATATTTTAAAGTAACATATTTGATGAGGCTTTAATCTCTAAAATATACAAGGAACTCATCTAAAAATCATAAAAACAACTAATAACTAATATGATAATGGGTTAAGAACTTAAACAGACATTTATTTAAAGAAAACATGCAAATGCCACACCTGTAAATTTAGCTTTCATTACAAAAAAAAATCAAAAACAACAGACAATCAGTGTAGATGAGGATGTGGAGAAATTGAAATCCTTGCACACGGTTGGGAGGCAAAATAGTGCAGCTGCTATGGAAAATAGTATAGACATTCTTCAAAAAATTAAAAACAGAACCTACTTATGATCCAGATATTCTACTTTTGGATATTTATTCAAGAATATTGAAATCAGGATTCCAAAGAAATATTAGCACTCCTATGTTCATTGCAGTACTATATATAATATAACAGTCAATATATGAAAACAACTTAAATGCCCATTGACAGATAAATAAAAGCTGGTATACACATGCTATAGAATACTATTCAGCCCTAAAAAATAAGGGAATTCTGCAATATATGACAACATGGATGAAACTTGAGAATGTTAGGCTAAGTGAAATAAGCTCATCATAGAAAGACAAATACCGCATGATTCTACTTACATGAGGTATCTAAAAAAGGCAAATTCAGAGAATCAAAGAGCGGAATAATGATTTCCTAGGGTTGAAGGGAGGAAGAAATGGGGAGCTACTGAACAATAGGCATAAAATTTCAGTCAACCAAGATAAATGAGCTCTAGAGATCTGCTGTAAAACACTCTACCTTGGTCAACAATAATGTATTTTATACTTAAACATTTTGTTAAGAAGGTAAATCTAATATTAAGTGTTCTTACCACAATAAAACACAATTTTTAAAATGGCTCCCACAGCGCAGAGATTTGTCTGGCCACTCTCAGCAGTCTGCTCCAGCTCTGACATTTACTTAGACTATGAGGACAGCTTTTTCCCATGGAGCACAGGTAAAGTATGTCCATTATTAAGTTCTATAATTTATTTATGTATAATTAGACCTGTCTCCACAGATTGCCTTTTCCTTGGCTTTCCAGTGTCTGATTTTAAAGGCATAGCATGCTTTTACAGGCCAAAGTGCCTTTTTAAATTTATCAAAAGTGAATTTTAGTGGTTTGGCTGACAAGAACTTATTCAACAGAGAATGGCAATAGGACAAGAGTAATTAAGATAGCAGGACTTTAAGCAATAATAGCAATAAAGTTCCAATTTTGCGGTTAAAATAGAAGGTTTGCTAATACCGGGTTCTATCACTTAATGATTTGTATTGTTTGTTTTCTTTCCATGGGTCTATAATTTTATATAAAGAGCTCTACAGGGAGAATGTAATACCTAGAAAAAAGAATTAATAAAAATCTTAAATGATTCCATTATTTTCAAGAGAAAAATAATTCATTACTATGTATTGGTTGGAAATGACACCAATAATGGCAAGGGAAATATTGTGTGTATTTTGTCTTAACAGGAGAGATTAAAATGAAACTTATGAAAAGCTAAACAGAAGCAGAAAGCTTTGGCATGCTTTTTATCCTATTATGATGTATATTTTTAATATATTCACAAGCATACATTCTATTTCAAAATTACTTGATTTTAGATATGCCTATGTTTTATTTTAGTTTTGTTCATCTGACTTTTCTCACTTCCCCTTCTTATTTTCTCCTTTCTCCTCTTATCCCTTCTCTCACACTTCTCCTTTTACTTCCAAGGTTCAGAATTTGTCTAAGTGTGAACCTCTATGTGTTTATGTACATGTTAAAATGTGTGCTTCTTCAGAGATCAGCTTTTGGGAATCTACAAGATTCAAGATCAGTGCAGAAGCTGGAATTAGTTGTAAAGAGCAAAAGATGATCTTTGGCAGATAACACCTGAGCACAATACTGCCAAGCATGAAAGAACTGATAACTACACTTGACGGACAGCTTTTCCTCAGGTCACTGTGCAAAAGAAACAAAGTGTATAAATTCACTGGTTAGGATTCTCACCTAACAGCTACCTGCTGATGGCCAATAAAACAGAGAACAAAACAAAAAACATGGCTTGACAAGAATGCCAAAAATACACAATGGGGAAACGATAGTCTCTGATTTTTCCTTTACATCAGAACATGTGTTCACCTTGAAATGCCTAGGAAAATAGCCAACTGACACCAGTTATAGAAATTGAGACTGTGACAGCCAACAACAGCAAGCAACTGATGTTTGTTTTTATCGATGTTTTAACTTTGTTGTTGTTGTTGCCTTCTGTCTTTTAGCAACTTAACAATTATTTTCTGGATAAGGTCTTCATTTTCAATTTTTAACATTTTGTCTTTTTCTTTCTATTATAAAAGCACTGTGTGTTCCTTATTAAAATGTAGAAAACAGTGACAAAAGCAAAAAACTTTTTGAAAAATGATACAACATCCTACCACCTGAAGACAACTGTTTAAATTACTGATTGATGTTTTGACTTATTCTTTGGTATGTTCCGGATGCTTCCCAACATTCTCTCCTCCAAATAAAACCACTGAGCTCCATAAGGATTAGTTAACTTCATCTCAAGGAGAGACTTTCTCTTACATCAATTTCAGAAAAAGGAGGGAGATCCACAGGGCAGGATTTTCTGTAGCCTATCCTCCCCCAACTGCCACATAATACAGAAAACAACCAAAAAAGAAAGGGCTGCAATTAGAGGTAATGCAGGTTTGCTGTTTTATTCATCAGTGAATAAGATAACTTAAAAGCAATGAAGATATATTGAAGCAGAAAGAATATGGTTACCCAACCTACTTTCTAGGGTACCTCCAGCTGTACTCAGCTCAATCACATAGAAATATAAACTAATTGTCTATCATACCTCAAAAGTATAAGCCTTTATAGCTCCAGAGTTACAAAACATTTCATTTGCTTATGTGAAGAAGCTGAGAGGGACAGCTGTACTTCAACAGTCCTACAAAGTGTGCATCCTCCTCCATCCCGCAAGCAAAACAGCAACATCTACTACAGTCCAACAGTCATTGGTCTTACGTTTGTGAGATTAGCAGGATTGGAGGTTATAGCTAAGATTGTGTGACAGCTACCTGAAAGTAACATCTCTAATATATCTTAATTATATTCATAAGATGTGATCACTGAGACTTCAAACATTTGTTAATTATATTACTGCATTCTCTCTAAAGGTGTCTGGCTTCTTTTCCAAAGAGAAGGGTCTCTGCTCAAATGTAATCTCCTCAGAGAATTCTTCCTTGAATTTCCTGTGTTAAAGTAGGCCACCACCACACACACATCTGCCCACTATTACACCACTTGGTTTTAATTTCTTCATAGCACTTATCATCTGAAATTATCTTCTTCATTCAATTGTTTGCTCATTTGTCCCCACTACAATATATGGCTTATGAAATCAAGGTAGTTGTCTGTGTTATATATCATTGTATGACTAGATGCAATACTTAAAATATTACCTAGAGCATAGTAGGTGCTTGATAAATGTTCATTAAACCTTAAGTTAAACAAAATTGATGCACGTAAAAACTATATCCTCATTAATTATTTTGTTTTCTTTTTCTCCTGCTTAGTATGTTAAAGCCCTCCATTTTGATTGTGGAACTGCCTTTTAGTACTATTTTTCTCCGCTTAAATATTAAAGGTATTTTATTACTTGCATACAAATTAAGAGTTGATGCTTTCTTTCTACAATGACCATTTTATTAGTATAAAATGTCTTTTAACTTGTCATGCTTGCTGCAAGGAAGTCTTCACTTGTTTGAAATTTATGTTGGAATGCCAGCTTTATTTTATTTTGGATTGTATGAATATCTTGCTTCACATTTTTCATTTCAACATCTTTATTTCAGTTGTGTCTCCTGTGAGAAATTTCTCTTTATTTTCTTGTATCTGCCTTGATAATCTTTGTCATTTATTTAAAATCTTTAATACACTATGTAATCACTGAACTATCTGGGCTTAAATAACCTGTCTCATTATATGTTATTTGTCATATTTTTTCTATGCCCCTTTTAACACCTTTTACTTTCTTTTTATTCCTTATACCTTTTTATTATTTTATATTGTTTTGTATTAGGTTGTTACTACACATTATTTTATTGTTTTTAGTAGTTACTCCCGAGATTAAAACATGCATTCTTGATTTATTAATACCTAATACAAATTGGTACAGTTACCATTTCCAAGATGTAATAACCTTACAATAACCTTGCATTATCTTCAGTAATATTCTGGTTTCATTAAAATCTCTTCCACCTTTTGTGTTCTTATTATGTGCTTTAATTATCTACTCCTTTGTTGTGTAGTTTTGTTTTTAATATCTTTATTTTCTGTAATATTGAGTGGGAATTTTGTTGGGTTTAGAATTCTAGCTTGGCAGTTATTTTCTTTCAGTATTTAAAATGCCTAATTCAATTTTCTTCTGGCTTCCTATGTTTTAATTGAAAAATTGGCGGCCAGTTTTATTGTAGCTTCCATGATAGTAGATAGTTGTGTGCATGTGTATGTTTTATTTTCAGTTCCTGCTGCTTTTAAGGTTTTCTAATTTCTTTGCTTTTCAGCAGTTTTATTTTATGTCTAGGTATGATTTTCTTTTTATTTATTTTGCTTAGTGTTTGTAGCATTTTTTGAATCATTGTCTTGATGGGTTTCATTATTTTGGAAATATTGTGAACCATTATCCTTTCATACATTGCTTCTGTTTAATTATATACATTCTTTTGGGGTCTCCAATTACGTACATGGAAGAACTTTTTGTTGCTGTTGTTGTTGTTGTTGTTGTTGTTGTTGTTGTTGTTGTTGTTGAAACAGAGTCTCACTCTGTTGTCCAGGCTGGAGTCCAGTGGTGCGATCTCGGCTCACTGAAACCTTAGCCTCCCAGGTTCAAGTGATTTCCTGCCTCAGCCTACCGAGTAGCTAGGATTACAGGCGTGTACCACCACGCCCAACTAACTTTTGTATTTTTAGTAGACGGGGTTTCACCATGTTGGCCAGGCTGGTCTCAAATTCTTGAGCTCAAGTGATCTGCCTGCCTCGGCCTCCCAAAGTGTTAGGATTATAGGCATAAGCCACGGTGCCCAGCCTAAGCAACTAAACTTTTATGTCTCTTAAATTTTTTTCTGTATTTCCCTTCTTTTTATTTTTTTCTTGCTTCAGTCTTGACAACTTCTTCTGATCTAGTTTTCAGCTTAGTAAGTCTCTCTTTGATTGGATTTAACCTGCTTTAAAACACATTCTTTCTTGAGTATTTAATTTTACATATTATAGATTTCAGTTCTAAATTTCCATTTGATCTTTTTTCATATGTAACTTCTTGACTACTGGCATTCCTCATATGTTCATTTAATTTTTTTAAACAAATTTCTCAGTTATTTTAAAACTGGTCCAATATCTGTCTGTACTATGTTTATTATGTTTTTTTATTTATTATTAATTTTCATTCAGTTTTTGCTTTCTTCAAGGTTAACTTTTCTTATCAAATAGCAGGCATTGTCTGGAATGTTTCTTAAAATGCATGGATAATTTGAGTCTCTAAATCTTGTAACTTTCCTTCAGAGAGTTAAATGTTCATTTATTTTTACTTCTGAATCATGGGGTAAGTTAAGTCGAATCTAGAGTCTTTATCTTTGTGATAACTGGAAAATTTTTGATCTCTTACTCTGAAGTGTGCATATCTGGAAAAAATCACAAGTCTGAAATGTGAATTTGAGATATTCACCAGGGTCATCTCCTTGTTGGAAGACTCAGAACTTAAATTTTCATTCTCCCACACTCTTCCTTCAGTCCCAAGGGATGCTCAAAAGTATAAAATAAACAAAACCAATATTTTGTCCAGTGTTTCTGTTTGTTTTAGAAGTTATATTTCAAAACAAGTTCTATAAGACTGAAATTAAAACTTTCCAAAAGGAAGAGCAATCATTAGCCATCTGGTAAACCTAGCTATCCAGAATGAATCACATCTCTCTGAATTTCAGTGGATCAAGTTTTTATATCTTTCTATGTGTGTTTGCATTTGAAGAAAAACAAATTTATATGACCTTTGTAATTTAAAAAGCATTTTTCTTAAGAAAATATCTAATTTATTACAAAAACAACCCCATGCCCTTGTATAAAATATAAATAGTGTAACGATAAATAGCATGAACATACTATCTGTGTGTGTGTGTGTGCATGTGTGTGTAAGGAGTTGGTAACTATTAGATTTTCCTGGATTTTGTTTTATTTTATCAGCAATCAAATTCTTATTTTGCCTTTATTTTCAATAGGCATTGTTCACATCCTGGGAAGCCTATCTATGTTTGCCAAATTCTGGGTGTGGTGTTACTCAATATGTGAAGCCTGTATAGCTTGTTAGAAGAAAATCAATTCTGTCATCAAAGATTGTTGAGCATTTTTTTTCTTATATAAAATGTTCACAAGTGCATTTTGCAAAAGGGCTAACAATGAAGTATTTTGTCAGTGGAAGACTTTAGGGAATGGAAAGGGTGTGACAGGGTAAGCAAGCAAGAAGTTCAGACAACGTTTAACCGTAACCCAGCTTACCATTTTAAAGTTCACTGACATGTGAGTGTCTCCTTTTCACCTTTTTGTTTTTATGCTGTATATGCAAAGAGACAGAGCTCAAAAGTACGCAAAAAGTACTTGTTTCGGACTTTCCTACTACTTATCTAGATAGGAAATAAAAAAGACATCATACACATTTCAGCTTATTGTGAAGTAAAACATGAAACAAAAGTTGTTTCTCTTATTAAAACTTTTCTTCCTTTTATTTCACAAAATGAAAACATAATATGGTAGGAAGTCGTTGAAACTTGCATTCTGCATTTTTTAAATGAGGAGGAAAGCAATGTGTTTTAACTAATGCAATGGCATAAAGCTTCCAGTTGAGTCCTGGAATGAGTGAAAGGGAGAGGGAGAAAAATGAGCCAGACAGTGAGACTGCTGAATGCACAGATAGCAAGGAAATGGTTTCCTTGGCAACAACAGCACTTTGGAAGGTTTCAGACAAGAGTACAACTAGGCACAAAGTATCTGATTAAAATTTATTGCAGGAAAAGGAAATTGTGTAAGTGTAAAGGTACCAGAACATGCACTGTAAATCTGAATGTGATTGCTGAAAATTATTGTGTAGAATTTTTCTAATTGAGATTATTTTCTCTGTTTTGGTATAAAGCAGCATTTGGGAGGCCATGTCAATCTGGCCAAGTAATGTTTGAAGTATCCAAAGGGCAACTATGCTTCATTTATGACAAAAGAATCAAAATCTACTGACAAAAGCAACAAAGTGTAGATCTAACACAGCAATTCCATAGACCTATTTTGGGGAACTCCTGATATCTCCTGGAAACTCTCTTAAAAAAAAAAAAAAAAAAAGATAATATTCAGTCTTCTTCATTTTCAACCATCAAGAATGAGAATTATTATGGGTCATTTTATATGCATTTTAAATGATTCATATCAAGTATTTAATTTCCAAAGTGAAAATGGTCATACAGATTGTCATGATAAAAATCTGTTTTATATATAAACTTGTGAAACAGAGCCAACCGATCACCTTGATGGAATTATTTTACTACAATATACGATGCTAAAACACTAGTATTCCATCTTCTTGGGCAACTTCCTACTTATCACATTCTACAGGGAAATTGAGGATGAAGAGTTTCGAATCTCTAAAATTTTGCCAAATCTGGGAGAAAAATTTCAAGTAACTTAGGCTAAAATGAATCCTCAACAACTTTTAAAACAAAACCTACTTTGGTCCACTTGTGGACAGAAAATGTTTATTATTATAATTTCATAAAGATCATTCTGTCTTCCAAAGTTATTTGATTGTCACCAACATGCAAGGAAATGCCATCATTCAGTTTACCTCACCTTACCTACTGGAAATCATAGGAAGTGGTTAGTGAACTTAATTCATTTTTATTGTGATTGGTGGTAACCAAGTTTTGAGAGAAGTCAGCATGCCTAAACTGTTTAATGCTAAGTTAATAACTGAAGTGATGTTTCTATAAGTAAATTGACAGTAAGGAAACAATTTCAGTTTTCTCACGTAGAGGTAATGCTTTGTTCAAACACTTGGAGACTTTTGCTGAAAAGATCCAGGGAAACAGAAAGCATTTCTATGTGATACTTTTGTGCTTATCTAAAACTAATATTAAGAAATTTAAATAAAATGAAATGAATGTTTATATTTAATTTGAATTTTGGCTCTTTCGGAAACAAATTCTAGTCAAACTTTTAGCAAAGGATATGGTCCTGAATAATTTAAAATACTCATTCATCCCTAATAATCATGGGTATTTCTAAATAGTAAAAAGTGGGAAATAATGTTAAAATATTCTACAGAGCTGTGTATGTGTATCCACATTTCCTTTCATTACTTATATTTCTGGTAAATTACATTTGAAAAACCACCAGTGAAAAGACAATGAAATTTCTAATTCAACCTCTTCTGTAATATATTCTGACAAATAAAATGTTCTAGCCCTTAGGCCTAAATTTTCACTATTAATTATTGAGTTTATTTAAATTCCCATATTAATAGACTACTGTTTTAAGAGAGAATAGTCATCTGCTTGAGTAGAATCACAAACTTTTTTTTCCATTTAATAAATTTGGTACAATGCACAAGTCATTATTCACCATGCTAATTGCCCTGCAGATGAAAACCTGACTTGTATAGAGATAATTACAAGTGTGCAAATTTCTAGTAATTTTCAGCATTATATCTAATTCATTTCATTAAAACTTTATTGAGGACCTACTATGGGCTTAATACTTCTAGTTGATACTTAGAATCTGAAAAAGAAGTCTAGAGCAAGGACTATGCTCTAAATAAGATTACAATACTCTAATGGGAAAAAAACCATAAATGTCAGATTAATTCTATATACTCCATTCTATCATGTCTCTGAGCTTTTTAACACAATACAAGTCAATAATGTACCTAGCCATCAATGTATATTTTAAATGCCACTATCTTTATACCTGCAATGATTCATTCAGCTAGACATAGACTTTTTTGTACTATATTTTCCCCCATAGGATTATTCTTGACCTGAATGTCAACAATTCTAATATGGGTAGTTATTTTGATATTTTATGATTTAAGAGCAATCATAATTAATGATAATTAATATATAGTCCTTATATGTCAGCTATTTTTGAGTGATTTGCATATATTAATGCATTCATTCTCCCAACAATTTTATTTGGTAAGTTCCATTATTACACATTTTGCAGAGGGAGAAAGTTAAGTATAGAAAAGTTAAACATCCTCCCAAAGTTCCTAATCCTAGAGGATGGTACACTCAGTCTTTGAAGCCCAAAGGTTTGGCTCCTGAAACTATATCCTTAAGTATCACTGCCTGTTCTGACTACAAAGTAATGAGTTAATTCTTGGCACAACCCAAATCTGATATAAATCAATGATGCATCTTACAACAATTGGTTTGTTAGCTACAGGGAAATGTGGTATTTTTCTAATATATTTTTAATACTTAAGTATAATCCAGCTTAAACTTCCCTACTGGACAAAAAATTATTTGTGGACTCTAGAGCATCTTACAAAATTGACAGGCTCTGCTGATGTTAATGTTTAATAAATATCTATCATATAAGTGAATAAGAAATAATCATGCTAATTATATAATAGCTTGTATATAAAATGTCAAAAGGGAAGTCAATATTACACAAATTTTGAAAAGTAAATGATGACTAATTAGGCCTGATTTTTAAAGGAAAAACGTTAAGAGGAGAACTCATACTTGAACTGGACTTTGGAGAATTTTTTGGTTTGAATACACAAATAGGATAGGAGAAGGCATTTCTCAAAGGAGAAATGTGTAAGGAAAGATTCAGGGGTAAAATTACATATTCAGGACTAAATGAACATAACAATTTTGGTAAAGTAAAGGATTCCATTATGGAGATAAACTAGAAGATAAAGACAGAGATAAAGCTGGGAGAAGATGGGTGCAGTCACTGAGAGGCAAGTAAGGAGTTTACAGTCCGTCAAAGCTGATAGAAGGTACCTACACAAAGTGAGGTTTTAGGATTATTAATCTAGCAGCAATTTGAAAGAAAGATAAGTTCGACAGTGATTCACCACCTAGAATAGTAAAATAAGTAGCGAGCTAATGAAAACCTGTAAAAAAATGATGACTGTAACAAGACAAAAGAAGTGACCAATTTAAAAAAAGAAATATACATTTTAAAAGCTAACTATCCTTAGCAATAAGTAGACATAAAGGAAAAATGAAGAATCAAGAACTGAAGACAGTTCAGTCAGCAAAGAAGAATGTAGAGAAATAAAATGATATTTATAGTCACATGCCCTGGGTCCAATTCTCAATTACTAACTGGAATTTTCAGTAATTTTTTAATGTTCCTTTGCCTTCCTTGCTTCAAATGTAAAATGGGAACAAAAATGATATTTACTTCATCTGGTGGTTATGAAAACTAGGTAAGATTGAGGGAGGATAGTAGGGTCTGGAGGCAGGGAACTTCAGGCCAATTGATGCTGAATCAAGGAAAAACACCAAGGTCTCAGGGCAGGGAATCTGAGGCCAATTCGTGCTGACTTCCCAAAATTGGATCAAAAGGAAAACACTTGGGTTTGAGGAATGGAACCCAAGGCCAGTTAATACAAACTTCCTAAAGCTAAACCAAAAGGAAAAAAAAAAACCCTACACTGAATAACAAAGGATCAAAGACTACTCTCCCTACAGCACGTCCCCTTCCTCCACATCTCAGATGGAAATGGAGAGTGCCTTGGACTGGCCCTTGGCCAAGCAGGGACAATATCTTCATATGTACAGGGCACCAATTCACCTCAGCCTTCAGTTAGCCACAGACCAAATCCTTCATCCACATAAGAGGTAACCAATAGGAACCTCAAAATGAGTACCTAAAATCCAGAGAACTTTGTAACTGTGATGGAGGCAGGGGCCATCTGGAGCAGCCACCACTGGGATGGCCAGCTGCAGCAAGGGAGGGGCAGCCAAGACTGTGTACTCCATGGAGCCAGTGGGAACCAGGAACCGGAGGGAGCCCTCCTCCCTACAAAGTTGGCGGGGCAGGAGCTCGGTGCTCTCAGGCACAGATGCAGCTGTCCAGCCATGGCTTTGGACCCAGGCATCCATGTGCTCTCAGGGGCCCAGAAAGTCCCCTGCCCCTGCAGATTCAAAAGTGCCTATTCCCACTCCCTGGCCTCTCCCTGCTCCTGGTGCCCACTCTGGTGCAGAGAGAAGTTGTGGCTGAGCCTGGGCTCTGTTGTAACATGGCCAGGTGTGTGCTCACTTCGGGTGGCACTGACACATCAGCCCCGTGCCTCCTTGGTCCCCTCCAGACTTTGGGTGCCAACGAGCTTGGGAGGGAGGCCAGGAGGCTGAGGGCAGCATGGCTCAGGCCAACAGGTGTCCCTCAGCACAGACAGCCTGGCCACTGTGGACAGCATGTTGAGGATGGCAGGAGGCAGACAGGTTCCTAGGTGGGAAAGGGAGAGTCCCCAGTGAAGCTCCACCTTCAAGCCAGAGACTGCCTGAAGTCTGGGTGCCAGGCTGCCAGTTTCAGGTGGAGTCTGTGACCCAGAGTGAGGATTTATGGTGCCTTTTCCTGGGCCACCCATGGCTGCTAATTGACCAATCAGCACACTCTTCCTGCCTTCTGAGCCCATAAAATCCATGGACTCAGCCAGCTTCAGATGCTCCTTGGGACGACCTGCTTGTCGATAGGAGCTACCCACTTCATGTCTTCAGAGAGCTGTTCTGTCACTCAATAAAGCTCCTCTCTGCCTTGGTCACCCTCCAGTTGTCTGTGTAACCTCATTCTTCCTGGATGCAGGACAAGAACTTGGGATCCACCAAACAGCAGGAGCCAAAGAAGCTGTAATATATTCCTGGCTGGCTTATGGAGCTTCAGACAGTGACACACTCCCAGACTGTGGGAATGAAGAATGGTGATACTTCAGGGGGTGCAGACCTTGGGATTCCCTGAGCCACAGATGCAGTAACACTATAGCTCTCTTGTCCTCTGCTGCCACCAGGCAGCCACCCAACACAACAGGAGAAATGAGACTGAAAGAGCAGTAACAGAAATGAGCTGAAACACACCCCCACAAAACATTCCCTTTCTCTGCTTGCCACACTGTGGGTGATGAGGAGAGAAGACCTGCAGACCTTCTGGAAGCAGAGCTGGGGGCTCCCTAAGCCAGGGCTGTGACATGCTGTAATACCCTTTTGAGGCTCTGCAGTTCCTGACATCTCTGAACAATCTGGCACCATCACGTCCCCCTTGTCCAGGTGCTGGTCCCTGCAGCAGAAGCTGCTTGAGGTATGTCTGGTTCAGTTGCAACCTAGCACAGAGCCAGCACCTGTGTCAGTGCCTGTGCTGCCCGCCCTGCCGCAGCATCCAGCGTGCCTGGTTGTGCAAGGTGGCTAGACCCCATGCTCACTCGCTCACATACCCTTTGCTGCTCTGCACCTGGCTTGTCCGCTTGTCCTTGGCAGGCATGGGATCTGGGCCAGTAGCTCAAGCTGAGTGCAGCCTTCCTGGCTGAGTGGGTAGAACGAGCCCAGTGGGCACAAGGAAAACCCAAGCAGAGGTGGCACCGGCCACAGAAGTTTCTAACTGGTGAAGACACCCTAAGGCAGGGCTGTGACAACTGTGCCTTTGAGCTGCTTGTTCAGGCCCACTCCCACCCTGTAGAGTGCTTTCTCACTTTAATAAATTCCCCTTTTGCTGCTTTGTTCCTGTGTTTCATTTCTTTGTTACTTTGATTGTGCATTTTGTCCAATTCTTTGTTCAAAACAGGAAGGACCTGGACATCTCACACTCAGTGCCCTCCTTCCGGTAACAAGATGATACGTGTAAACTCCTTAACATAGTGTCTAGCAGGTAGGGAACACTCAACAGCTACTAACATATATCTTACTATTAACTTAGTATTAAATTACTAAAAAAATTCCTAATATTGTTCTACTGATTTGAGCCTAAATGACTCAAAAACATGACAGCTAAATGGGCTTCTAAATGAAGGCTGTTTAGAGCGAAAGATAATATTCTAAATATTTTTATTTTCAAATAATTATTAAGGAACTTGGAAATCACACCAAGAAGTTAAGAACAAGCAATAAGAAGAGAATTTTTAAATAAATCTTTTTGGGTTGAGCTGAAATAAAAGCATTGGTCATTATTCCTACGATGGCTCAGAAAGCACAGTCAAAAGGATCTTCTCAAATTCTGTAAGCCAGACCATTTTCTGCCTTTAGCGTGCTACCCTAAATCTGGATTGTTTTTGTGGAGACTAACAACCTGACAATGTGGTATATAATTTCAGTACAGGACATATGATCCTTGAAGCCAAGGGAATTTCAGAATATATACATCAATACATTATAGGAGACAAACATAAGAAATATTCACTGGACTGTAAGCTCCATGGGAGCAGACACTGTGTCTGTTCTATTCAAAATTAGATACCCCAAAAGATGCCTGCACTCAACAAGCAGATTTTGAGTGAATAATATTTTTTTCTTTTTTTATTGTATTATTATTATACTTTAAGTTTTAGGGTACATGTGCAAAATGTGCAGGTTAGTTACATATGTATATATGTGCCATGCTGGTGTGCTGCACCCATTAACTCGTCATTTAGCATTAGGTATCTCTCATTTTTGAGTTAAGAAAAATGTGACTACTATTTATTATAAGCTTACACAAGGCTGCCCATCTCGTCAGAAGTGGAGCCAAAAGATGATTCTACAGCTGCCTAATCAAAAGCCTGTTTTGTCTTTCCACATATGTGTCAGTAACTGAGTTCAAAATTTTAGTGCTTTTAATGATGCTCAGGGGCGAAAATGGATTGGTTGATAAGGCTAATATTCAACTTTTATTCATTAACTAGAACATGTTCTTTGGTTATGAGAAGTAACATCAAAAATTTTTTTAATGAAAAGTTAATATTTCTGAGGACCTTAAATTATGTTACAGAAATACTAATATTATGAGTATCAAAATGTAATTTAAAATCTGAAGCCTCCAACTAGAGAAGTTTTGCCTTGATCTTTTCAGTTTTGCAGTACTTTTCCCTAATCTCTTACTTTTATGCAATTAATGCAAAATATTTTTGGAAGGTGGGAGATACTTATTTGCTTGTATTAAATTCAGAGTCACTTTCTATTCATCTTTGAGATAAGTAGAACTATCTGTCTGAAATTCAGTCCTAATGAATTACACTCTACTTATGGGCTTAGTGAAATTAACTCCATTTATATTACATCCTTCTGGAAATTGAAGGCAAATTGGGAATAGCATAAAGCTGCAGTAATATTGTTCAATTTTTTGATAGGCATCAGAATTTTCTATAGACTCTTTAGAATTAGTGTAGATAAATATCAGAAATTCAGTCTTAAATACACATTGAATGGAAAGACATCTGAAAGTTCAAATAGGTAAAATAAGTTGTTTTACTTATTTTTACATCTGTTAGATTTTTGAAACTGCTTCTAAAAGTCCATGTATGTTAGTTTTCTGGAGCAACAGAAATGCATGTTTTAGCCTCTCCCTATACTCCACAATGTTTTCTCTATCTAAGTTGATGCTGGAAACAAAATATACATTTTAAATATATCAATTTATAATCTTTTTTCCTAAAACAATGTTACATCTTTTTATCTAGCACTTTTGATATTAGCTTAACAACACTTCATTTTCCATAACAGTTTTTTAGACATGACTTGCAACCACATTTTATGCTTTGAATATTAGCCAAATGTCTGAGTTCTTTTGTTTGTTGGTTGGTTTGTTTTAATTTTATTCAGCAACCCTAGTCTTCCATTTAAAGGAACACAAAGTGACAATTAAATGTGGATAGCATGATTCTTAAGTGTTTCTGTACTCTTACTCATTGTTTTGCCTTACATTATTTTATTGATAAATATACTGACCTTAAGGAACAACTTATCTTTACAGCCTCATCAGTTTAAAAGCTACATTTGATTTAATTAATAGGGTGAGTTTATGGGAAAAGCTTTTATCGATGGGCATTCGTTTAAGATATCTTGGCCTTTTGAAAGAGATGCACTATGATAATTGGTCTAAGATCATGTTAGAGAGGGCAGGTCACTTTATATTTTCTCCCAACTAATAGAGAAGTCAGGTGAGGTTGTTTCCTGACACAGCTACTATTTCATTGTTTTGGCTGATATTACTGACCCCAGAAAGCTATTTCCAGTATTACTTGGGCCCAGTAGATATAGTCATTGGCAAGCACCATGCAAATATGGAAAACAAGTTGTTCTATTCATATCAGAACATCAATTTACCATTAATTTTCCACTCTTGATTACATACATTGCATCTATCAAAGCCATCATATTGTTATCTGCAAACAAGACAGGCAATTCTGGTTTGGTGACCAAGGCTAATTATTATTGTGGATGTAAGGGGAAGCTGTATTTTAGACCATGTTTTGACACGGTAAGGCTTTGGTCAAATAATCTTATTCAGTAATTTTCAACTTTAACTGAATACTATTGACTCATTTGAACATTAAAACATAAATAAGTTAAAACAAATCAGAATGCTGAAGACTGTATCCCACTCCCAGAGATGTATCCTTCTATTTTTTTGGTATATCAAATTTTCCAACTATAATCTTAACATACTTGTATTTTTTTTGCAAATAGGCAGTAGCAAATTTGACCCAGAGTTGAAAAGTCCAGAAGAAATATTTTATGTAATTCATATATTTTTAAATTAAAAATGCATTTCCCTTCTTTTCAGTGACATTGAGTCTGTAGATATTTTTTACTTTTCTTAACACTTTTTAAAAATTTTTTTCTTTAATGAAGTACATCTAATCTAATCTAAAAAACAAAATGGAGTCAAATCCAATCCTAAATGTGGTATTTTTAGAGGACAGACCCCTAAATATTTTACCTTTTCAGTTAAAATAGACTTCCAACTGAACATGTAAATACATCCAAATTGTTGCCCCAAAGTAAGAAAGTTTGATTAGTTGGTTACTGTGTAATATAAACCTGTTACTATTATTCCATGGAATTTTGAGTCTCTTAATATTCAAGTCTCATTTGGGAGGAATTATCAGACTGCAATATCTTCCATTTTCAACATAGTAGAGAAAATATAACCTGATTATTATAGCTATATTATTGCTGTGTTTGACAGAGAAAGAGAGTATAGTCTTTGACCCTACGGATCTTAAAACCTCCTGAGAGCAGACCCAGCTCTTGTTGCTCCAGAAAATGAAATAAAAATCTTTGATTATTCAGATAATTAATTTAAATTATATAAACAAAAGGTCAAATCTAGGGATTTTTAGTCTCAGAAAAATGGAAAAGATACCAAAGGGAAGCTGACATAAAAATGAGGAAGAAAGCTTTCTAACTAAAATTCTCATCCCTTCGAAGCCGTAGTATTTGAAGCTGTGAATATCATCCTGACCTCGTGATTTGTGGCTGTACTATTTCCCCCCCTCTCTATTCAATTAGGAAAATTTGCGCTGGTCATTCATCTCGATCTGTGTTACGGGGGCTCCGAACCCTCTTGAATTCTTGCTGAATTTATACATAAGTCATTGAGGTTGACCAAGGAAGACAGACCAATGAGTACATTCTCAATGTTTATACCAAGGAAATTAATTTAAGATATAAGATCAAACATATAGGGTTGAATTTGTTGGACATTCAGAAGCTATGAAAATCTCATCCCAAAAAGCAAAAGAAGGAACTAAACCTAGACACATTCCATCTTTACCTGATAGAGAAATTTAAGATTGCCTTGAGACGAAAATGTCCTTGCCTCTTTGCTATTTGTCTATATCTTTTTATTCCTTATTGTATCTGGGGTTCATTGTATCAATTACCATCAAGCTATTTTTTTTCTTTATATTTCACATTATCATAAATTCAGGAGACTGGAGAAGACCTTGAGAGTCTCAGTTTTATCTCTCCTTCTCCTCAGACAGTATTCTTTCTTCACAATCATAGGCTGCAAAAAATGTTCAGAGTACTCAGTGAAGTGTTCCACATTTGTTAGCACCAGATGATGTCACTCTCCTTGTTTCTATAGCTTTTTATAGAAACATTTCATCGTTTGAGATCTTCTTGGGAATCTTCCTGTCTTTTGATAAAAATTTATGTTGTGCCACATGAACTCATAGATTTATTACTTGACTTTATTTCACTTTAAATGCATTATTTTATTTTTATCCTTTTGAATATGTATTTGCTTGGTACTTTGTTTTTAATCAATTTGCCTTTATATTTTTCCTCCTTACTTCACTCAAAAACTAGAATCTAAAAGCCTCTTATCTATTAATATTTGAGAATCTAGAGATTACCTTTTATTTCAGAATAAAAAGAAGCTTAAATTGTCTGTATCTATATTATCTACTATCTAGCTATCTATCTCCAAATTTTGTATTTTGTTCTTTGGTTTTATTGTCATCACTTCTTTTGCCTGTCCAATTTAATTAATACTATTAATTCCCTACTATGATAGATAACATAACACTGCAGGTTGAAATCATAGAACAATTAACCCCCAGGAACATTGCAGTCATGGCCCCAGGTTTCAATATGCCACAAACACTCATCAATTTAATTTGAAATTAATTTGGCTTTTGCTAGTTATTCGAAAACACCAACAGTTGTCGATTCCCTTCAGTGAACTAAATGTGAATAGTTATTATCCTGCAAGCATTTCTCCTGAGGTAAAGAAAATGTGAGCTCTTATCATAGATACCCTCACCACCCTTGCCCACAGCCTGCTGAAGACCTGACCCTAAATGTATTTGAAAGATATTTTACCATCCTTTCTAGTAGATAAGAACTTAAATTTAATTACAGTAAGTCCAAAATTATAGCTTTTGGGAAAGAGTCACATACTAAATCCAGGTTTATAGATAACCATAAAATTGAAAAAGTTGGAACTTAGACCTAACTTAGAACTGACTTTTAATACCAAGTTATTGAGCAGTCCATTTAGATTAAGGGAAAAAGTAAAATATTTTACTCATGGATTGCCATCTCTTTTTGAAGCTTGGTGGCTTATTTTTAGGTATCTTTTTTTCCTTCTAAACCTACTATAAACCTTAGTGTAAAATATTTTACATGTATAATTGGCCAAGATAATAAAAATGCTTAAATGCAATTCAGAGTTATTTATCAAATGCACTGTTCCTAATCTAATGTTCCACAGATTATAAATAAGTAAAGTGTAGTCAGCCAGTTTTTTGTTTTGTTTTGTTTTCTATCTTGTTAAATGTGAACACCACAATAAAGGCCTATTATATTTTGTTCTTATTTATGTTATTAAAATTTTATTTTAATATACTTTTTTATTTCTGAAGTGTGAATTCTTTTACATTCCAATGGATAATAATATTCTGTGGGAAATAACAAGTAAAACTGAAGAAACATTTACTAGAAAGTGAAACAAAATTCTGTAAGATCATTTTCAGAACAAAAACTAAGGCAAATTTTTGACTTTCAATCAAATGGTTTATTTTTAATTTTCTATCTGCTGGACCTAGCCTTTTTGAAAATTAAATTTTGAACATTGTTCTTCTGCCTTTCCTTTTATTGTCACTTTCTTTCATCTCAATTTCATCTCAATTATTACCAAAACAAACACTAATTGTGTGAATTATGATATACCTGAAATTATTCCCAGTGCTTTCATACCTTATTTACTATTCATGCCTACTGATATGGTTTGGCTGAATCTTCACCCAAATTTTATCTTGAATTGTAGCTCCTATAACCCCCACATGTTGGGAAAGGGACCCTGTGGGAGGTAATTGAATCATGGGGGCGGGTTTTTCCTGGTCTGTTCTCATGATAGTCGATAAGTCTCATGAGATCTGATGGTTTTATAAAGGGCAGTTCTTCTACACGTGCTCTCTTGCCTGCGGTCATCTAACACATGTCTTTGCTCCTCCTTTGCCTTCAGCCATGATTGTGAGGCCTCCCCAGCCATATGGAATTGTAACTCCATTAAACCTCTTTTTCTTCATAAATTACCTAGTTTCAGGTATGTCTTCATAGCAGTATGAAAATAAACTAATACACCTATACAGCAAGGTAGGTATTATTACTCCCCTTTGCACAAAATAGAAAACTGAAGTATATTGAGATTTATCGTTCTTCCCATATCTTCATTGTGTGAAAACCCTCAGGCATCTTAGAATAGATGAATTTTGCTCAAGCTTTTCTTGAACAAAATAATTTACATAGGATTTGAAATGTAGACAAAGTTGCTAATTAGATATGAATGTAACTTCTACATCCTTAAATACTTCCTTGTTATTTAAAGTGAGTCTGGTCCTCTCTTTACAAGTTCAAGAGCTCAGTTTCAACATACTCAGAAAACGATCAAACCAGACAGTCTGGTATGAAAATCTATTCCAATTAACCATTTCAAAGTATCCTCAATTAACCAAATTGCCAATGTATTAATTTGTAATGAGATATTTAATTTCCTGAAATACAATGATATTTGCTGATCCATGTTAACATGAAAACCAAACTCATCCTTGAATAGAAAGGAGGGAGGGATGTAAACATTACATTCATATTTGGTTAACACCAACACTACTGTTCAATCACCCTCCTCTGAGACTCATCTTAGGCATCCAGCTGTCTGTTTGTTAAAGAGATTTACTACTTATTGTTTCCTCTGACCCCAATAGGTTTCTTATCCCTATTAGATTATTTCTTAAGATACATCTTTAACATCATCCCAATTAGGTTATCTCTTTAATTTTTGGTGTTCTTTCTTCCATATATCTTTTTTTCCATCAGCTGAAGATTATTTTTCTGTTTTTCTGTATCTATAGTAATGTCCTTTGCTTTCCACTCCTAATGTTTTCACTCTAGCAAGAAATGTCATATATTCTGCCTAGAACGTTTTAATACTCTATGAACTGCAATATTCAATACATTTTATTTATTGCCAAAAGATTTTTTAAATTATAGCTCAAATAACATTTCTCCTCACAGGTTTCTCATTGCCTATTGAATAAATGAACAAATATTTTAAAAACTCTTAATTGTATATTCAAACCATTCAATACCTCACTAATCTTCATGTCATTCGTGATTTCTGAAATTAACTCTACACATTCCTAACGTACTCACTAAGTCTCCTTTCTCCTGAAATAATTTTGATTCCCATCTCCTACCTATTAAAATTTTTAACCACTCTGTGAGGCCATTTTAAACCTCACCTCTTCTATGCAATCTTCCAGAGCTTCAGTAGCTAGATATCACTTATACCTCCTTTGAATTCTCAGAAGACCACATTACCCTTTCTTCATCACATTACTAGTCTTTCTGATAATTGGAGCTACTTATTTAATCATTTACATTTCCAACATTCTACTAACTTCTAAAGATGAAGATTTATTGTTGTTTTCCAGTAGTATCTATTTTCTAATATGTATTTCATAAGAGCTTGTTCCATTTTTAATTAAATAGAATGAAATGAACCACTTGCAGTCCCAAGTTTTGTTTTATTTAATCTTGAACCTTTACTTCTCTGTCATATCCCCCAAAATGTTTATACTTTATGTTTCAGCATATTTGCCCATTAGTCTACAATTTCAACTTATGCCTGAAAGGTTGAAGGCAACGGTTCATGACCAAACTGTATTTCATGGTTTCCAGTAAGATTTGAGTTTAAAGAGATTGCCTGTACTAGGTATATGCTATAAAGAAATGCAGGTTAAGTGGAAACTTTGTCATTTATTTAGTTTTAGACAGTTTAATAGTAGAATCAATGATGGTTTATCTCAATTTCCACTTAAAACACCTAATATTGTTCACTATTCAAAGAATTTTACAATTAAATTTAGTTACCCTTTTAGTCAGACACTGTAGGCTCTTTAGAACATTGTTGTTGATGAGTTTAGTGCACTAAATGTTCTTTATAGTTCTCCAAGTAAATATTTGGGAAGAAAATACTGCTGGGAAGACACAGAGCATATGTGAGGAACTGACATGGGCAAACTCTGCTTTGAGCATCGAAATGCTTATAGTTAGTGCTCAGATCCAGGGCAGTTTCACCAATGAATCCAGGAAAATAGAATGACTATTTGGCATCTTTCTTTCCAATCTGCTTCGGAATATTTTATTCATGGTATGGACAATCTGAATTTTTTTTTGTTAAAGTGATGAAATCTCACTGTACACAAACAGGGAATTATAACTTGTCAGCTAATTAAAAATATGTCAAACTAATAAGAGCACCCTCTCTTACAAGCACATATGGAAAAACTCTTCTTGAAAATGGAAGTTCTACTCTATTAAACCAAAGAAAGATTCCTTACTTGAAGAACTTTGATTATGTGTTGAAAGCTCTATAAGACTCCTATATGATATTCTTTTCTTTTATCCGTGCAAATTGATGGGTCACTTGAGAAATGTGTTACATGTATAAAATGCATAGTAATCAAATCAGGATATTCAGGGTGCTCATCACCCAAACACAATATGTTTTTGTTAAGTTACTCATCCCACTCTGTTTTCAAACGTTGAATTTATTCCTTTCATCTTACTGTATGTTTTTACCCTTTAACGCATTCCTTTTCATTCTCCTCACTCCCCTCTCCCTCACCCTTCCCAGTCTCTGTTATCTATTTTTCCACTCTCTACCGCTACAAGTTCAAAATTTTTAGCTCCCACATGTAAGTGAGAACATGCAGTTTGTCTCTTTGTGCTTGGTTTATTTCACTGAAGCTAATGACCTCCAATTTTATCCATGTTGCTGCAAATGACATGATTTCTACATTGTCAGCTTCTGATGGCGGGGCGCTATGCTCCTCATCTTCAAGGTTCTCCTCTCCATTGCAAAACTTCTTGAACCACCACTCCACTGTATGTTAGCAGCTCCTGGGCCAAATGTGCTGTTGATGTTGTGAGTTGTCTCTGCTGCTTTATGACCCATTTTGAACTTGAATAAGAAAATCACTGAAATTTGCTTAGTGTCTAATATCATTTCCACAGTCTAAAATAAACAGCAAGTAATTAGTTACTAGCAAAAAAAATAATAAAGTGAGAAATGTGCATTAAAATGATGTATAACATAATCACATTTATTTAAGATTGTATTCCAATATCAAACAGCAAATTTCAACAATGCAATAACCGCAATTACTTTTGGATCAACCTAATGCAAAATGGTATTTCTATATAAATCTTTCCAATGTCTAGTCTTTTTTGGAGGCTAGGCAATGTGGACTGATTGCAGAATGATGATGATGATGATGATGATGATGATGATGATGATGATGATGATGATTCAGTATACCATTGAAGCTCATGTAGGAGCTGGAATATTCAACAGGATGCTGGAGACAAGGTGACTGGGAATATATGCAGGAGCTCGTTTTAGTTCTTGAAGCACGCCCTAAAATGCCTCCAGTTTTATTTTTTTCTTTAAATTCAGAACCTTATAAAACCAAATAAAGTATTCTTGAAGATATATAAAGTAACATTAGCAAATAAAGAGAACAGCTTATGAAATAAAAAGTTTAGTGGCAAATTCCAAACAATATAATTATAAGGTAGATCTGAAATTAATTCCTCTTGATCATTTAAAAATATTTCTGAAGCAAGCAATAACTAGGGTTTTCTGTGTCTCAGTCACAGTCTGAAATGTTTTCTCTTTTTGTCATTCTGTTCTTCCCACCTCCATACCCCAAGCAGGAATCAATTACTTCTGACTGTTGTTTGATATCAGTTGCTATATCAACAATATTTTAGGTTCTTACTACAATTCACCAAAAGTTAATATTTTAAATATGAAGTCTTTTACATCATCTTAGCATAAATTGACACATTTCTGCTATTACTCAATGGCTTCTTTCTATTAATTATCTTTGAACTAATCTCTGCAAATTAAAGATTCTAAGAGATGCAAGTGAATGGTGTTTTCAAATATAAGCATGCCGGACAAATTTCCTTGTCTGTAAAGCCTGTCCATTGCACTAGAGCGTGGCATGTTACAAACCTCACTGGCTTGGGCAAGCAGACCAATACATTTTGAAATGTGTGCTGTCTGCAACACCATTATTCACAAGTTTTTTTCCCATGTACATCTCCCACTAGCAACTACATTAGGCTACAGCCTCCAGGACTCAAATGAAACAATCTGCAAGATGATGTTTTCCCATGGACTTATTATTACATGCACACTAGACAATGGTTGTAAATAGAGTGGTGATGTAAAACTTCATTTTATGTGTAAATGAAGGATGCATAGGATCTCTGGGCAATAACTTAAAATATTTTGTGGAAGTAATTTGCACGTTTGGAAATCGGATTTTGACATATATGTAAAAGTAAAAGGGTACTTTAAAAACCACAATCGACAGGATATCATGATGGAGGACATACAGGGAGTACAGAGTCTAGACATTTTTCTTTGGAAATATGTTGGTGTGATTTCACAAGGTGATTCATCTTAACTGTGATTACCTTCCAGTGCAGACAGAGAATAATTTTCACATATATTCTCTAAACATTCTTCTTAAATAAAATAAACACCTTTCTCTTGCTCCCTTTTAACCTGGGTTTTGGGTAGCATTGAATATCATATTCAGGTGGTATTTTCAATTTGAATGTAAAAGCAATCATATCGTCGGTGGGAGGGGGGTGGCAAGGTGAAGTAATCAGAAGTGGGATATTTCTATTGAGTTCTAGATGTACCACAGTTGTGTGTGGAGTGACCATATTAAAGAGAACACTTGTAGTGTTTTAAAGTATAACAAATGATAAATATCTCATATAAAGCTCAAAAATCATCTTCAGAGGGAAAAATGTTGAGTTGTATCCACTCTGTTGTGCTTTCAGAAGAATCCTCCAGTCACCTTATCAAAACATTTCTAAAGACTATGTTTTGGTGCTTTTCTAGAGATTGTGCTGATCTTTCAGATTTAAATTTAGTTTTCAGCTTTAAATTTAGTTTTGAAATTATGTGTTCATTAATTTGCAGAATGTCTAAGGAGACATTTAATTCAAAACATTGTACTAAGATATTCAGAGTAAAAATATAATTGTATTTTTTATATTGTCTTTTCCTTTGGCATTTCAGGAAAATCCATGTCTTCAATACAATCCTCATTCTGCAAGAAAGGATAATATGCCTTCTCAGTAATTTATCACTTTCTGTATGATGGAAAGGCTCATTTTCTAAAAGAAATATCAGAAAAGTGAAGGAAAGCAGTTTGTACATTATTTCATCATTTTATCAAGAACAAAAAGAATGGTTTAATACTTCCTGTAATTCCACTTTCTCCTTCTGCATACAAATTAAGTTGCACAAGTTCAAGATTAACAGATCCTAATTGAAATGCTAAAAGACAAATATACAGTGTAATTATCCAGTTTGAAGTTTAACATTTTTGAAGATATTTCTATGTGAAAAAAAAATCTGTTCAGAGACTTAACACATGTCATATGATAGAAAGAAATAAGCACTGAGTTTTCTAGATATTTTCAGTGCCTAACAAAATATGATATTTTATCTTGACTTTGTAACCAAGCACCATATTTTTTAGCAGATGCCATTTCTCTTCAGATTACTCTATCCCATTATGAATTACCTCTATTGGGAAGAAGATGGGAGAAAGATTTGTATCAAAACGTAAATCTATGCACCTGAAATACACTATTTTCTGAATACAATAAAAAATTATACACATACAAAATCTATCTTTGCCAATTTGAAAAATAATCAAACCTTTAGAGCAGAAATACTGATGCCTTAGTAGATATCATAAAACCATTAGAGTGGTATATTTATACTTCCAAAGGTGGTATTATTCTACCCCAATAAGACCTTTGCATATATGCAAACAATAATGACAGAAATGTAATTGAAATATCCATAAAATATTATATTTTTTTCTTATAGGATTGTTAAAAAGATGTTATAAGCTACAGTGCTGCTAGAAAGTGCTATCATGTTGCACAAACCAAGGCTTCTAATTAGACTTGTCAATCACTGATTGATTACCACCACAAGATGAAAGAGCAATTGCATCTCAGCAATTATATTTTCTTGAGGGTACAAAATGCAATGTTCTGCTCTCAGCTGTCAGCAAGATTTCACTGAATGAAGGTCTGTTCTATCACCACAGGCTGTTCAAAGGCCCTTCTGAGAAAGAACCTAAATATTCCTTAAGCTCCAGAAATACTGCTACTCAGAAAAAAAACTAGTCAAGTCAAATTGACGAAATTTTAATTGATGAATGAGAAAATTATCTCTGTAGCCTCCTATTGTGTAATTTTAGCAAAATGTAGTTCATGGAAACACACAAAAGTACTGTTCCATACTTTATATGCTTCCTTTCTCCTTTCCCCTTCTATCACTCTCTTTCTTCCCCTCCTCTATTTTCTCTCTCTCTCATGTATACACACCTTCACTTCCATGAATAGACACATATATTTCCTTTTTGATGAATTAAAGTTTAAAAATATTCAATGAATACTTATATTTCTATGCATATTCTAGCAATGCAAGTATTTTTCTTATTTTCCTGAGAATAAAATACTGTCAGATTAATAATTATTTAATAATGACTCCAGAATAAGTGCCAAATATTATTTTGCATTCCAAAATATGCTATTTTGGAATAGCAATGTTTCCAGGAGCGTCATTTTAGATGTCTCTTTCACATTCTAAAGTCAAAATTATGGACAAATGTGGTTAGAAACTCAACAGTCATAATGTCTGTTGTAGTTTCAAATACTCTGGGAAAAAAAAAAACAGGCAATTGATTTGGAATAGGCTTGAAAGCTAAGTTAGAGGTTTATTTTGAATTTAGATATTTTGCTTTTAGCTTTTCCAATAAAAAATATTAGATGACATTTCAGTTACTATTGCTGCAAAACAAACCACACAAAACTTGGAGTTGAAAACACACCATTTTCTTATGCTCAGAATTCTGTAGGTCAAAAATTAGGACAGGGCACAATGGAGCTATCCTATCTGCTTCACAATGTCTGAGACTCACCTGGGAGTATTCCAGCGGGGAACTACATTCCTCTAGAGCCTTGTTCTCATGGCTTTCTGACACCAGAGATGGGGTGACTGAAAGGACAGGCTCTGCTAAGGATGTTAACTGGAGCACCTACATGAGGCTTTTTCATGTGGTTTGGGATTCTCACAACGCAATGACTGGGTTCCAGGAGAAAGTGTCATGAAAGTGAGCATCCCAAGAAGTTGCATAGACTTTTATAAATGAACACTACCGACACAGGATCATCTGGGTTGGGCTCTACTGGTTGAAGCAAATACAACCCCATCCATACTGCTGGCAAGAAAACATGAAACTGCCTCTCATGTGAGAAGGGTCAAATAATTTGCTATTATTATTTTTAAAAGCCACCAAAGTTTGTCTTTGGTCACAAGTTATTTCTATTTATTACATCTACATAATAGATTCAGATGTTCCCAAGACTCCCCAAATGTCTCAACTTTTTATGTAATTGAGTTCAAGTTCAAGGTCCAAGATTCTGTCATCTGAATCAGGTCCAGGTATGAATAAGTTTCCTTGGTGTGATCCCTCTAGTACAATTTTGGTCCTCGAGTATAATTCCTTTCCATTTGAAGATGGGAGAACTAAAGAACCAAACTACACTGATGGAATAGGCATAGGATAACTGCAGTGGTAGTGCAGCTAATGCAGCTCAAAAATAAAGGGTGGGGGGACAGGGAAGAAAAGGACCGGAAGTACACAATGGTCACTGATCCGTAGCATTTCTGAAATCCAGGCAAGTTTAAGTTGCTGATTTCTATATTAGTGACCAGTCCTATTTTCTGGCTGTCAGCCTTAGAGTTATCTGTGCCTGTTACCTCCCACTCTGGGCTCTTTTTCTGTCTCCCGAGTTTTGTTGTTGTTGTTGTTGTTGTTGTTGTTTTAATGTAGGCCCTGTTTGTAGCTGAAAAGTTATTTCAAACTGATTCTGACTTAGAAAGAGCAAAAGGTCCAAACCCTTTTTTTAAATTTTATATTGTCTGTGTGCCTTCAAGTCCAAGTTTCTATAAAAATTATAAAACTTTGTGTGTTTCTTGTATGCTGAACTATCATCCACTTTATTAGACAAAAGCCACACCTAAAAATCTATTCTCTCTCAAAAACTCTGTAAAGCTTCTGTGAGACAATATCTTGAAAGTCTTAGAACCCCTAGTGTTTATTTAACAAGGCAGGTCTGAGAAAGACTTTTATATACTAAAAGAGTCTATGAGACACCACCTTAAACTTTTCAGAAGTCTTACAAAAGATGTTACAGTCATCCTTTCCTTCATTTTTATCTTGAAACCATATATTTCTCACAGCACCCTGGATTTGATCTTTGCCTCAAGGCCCTTTATTATATGAAATATTCTGCTAGAGTTACTGGAGGTGGTGGCCATAAAAGTGTATCACTCGGCTCTTTTGTGAGCAGAAGCTAATGGACGGATAATTCTAGCTGCTGCACTCTGAATCCACCACGTATGTGATAAGCCCATGTTTTCCTGGGCTGCTCTGAGTGAATAAGTGTGGCGAGGACACTAAGTAAATTGCTTTCCTGTGAAATGTTGGATTCCTTCAACAGGAAATTTTGACTTGCAGACTCACCAACAACCTAGCAGAATTCTTAGAACTGTGCTGCGGTGTGAAAATCTGCTTATCCAAAACTCTTTCCTTCTCTCTCTCCTTTACAGTGGATAGCCCTACATCACAAACTGATAGTTTTTCCATCCTCCTTTGGCTTCTTCATTCTTTTCCCTCATGGCATTTACTCCAGTAAATCTCTTGGACGTGTAATCCCCTCTTGCCATCTCTTTCTTAGAGTAACTAATACAAATGTTCCAGGAGTGAGAATTATCATAGTGGAGAAGGCTAAGTAGGAACCTCTGAAACTCTCCCCGCTTTCCCTACCATGATATTAAAACAAAAACAATATGATATTTTATGGTAGACAGAGTTTGGAGTCATCATTAATGTCCTAAAGGATGCAGGAGTGAGGATCCTATCATATCTCCATTTAATTCACCAGTTCAGCCCCAATAAAACTTTGATGGATCCAGGATATGACTATAGACCTTAACCATGTAGTAGCCCAGATTGCAGCTGCTATGCCAGATGTAATATTATTGCAAAAACACATTATTAAGGCTTCCTGTGCATTGTATGTGGCCACTGATTTAGCAAATGCTTTCTTTTCCATTCAGAACAGAAAAGTATATCTAACAGTTTGCATTCATGTGGGGTAGACAACAATATTCATTTATAGTTTTGCCTCACTTTTATGCTAATGTTCTCATGCTCTGTCATAATATGGTGTGAAGAAACCTGTACCACCTGGACATCCCAAAAAACATTACACAGATCATTAGATTGATTACATCATGCTGATGAACAAAATGTAAAAGAGGTGGCTAGTATGCTGGAGGTCTTGGTAAAGATACAAGAGCTTCAGAAGTTGAGATATAAATGCTGAAAAGTTTAGAAACTAGCAGAGGAAATAAATATTTCCCTGGCACATGAGACTTGTAATGCTAAAATTAGGAGTCTTAGACAAACCGGTGTGGTTGGTCACTGGATTTGGGTCATAAAATCTGGCCAAGCCTATGATGATGGAGATGTCAATGTTGAAGAAAAAGCCAGGATAGAGCTTATGTCAAGTTCCACTGCAGACTCTTGGAATTCTAGAAAAAGGCTATAATGTTCCTAGCAGAGTTTGATATACCATTTGAGAAACAGATACTAGAGTGTTACCTAGCATGGTAGAAATAAAATTCTTGACCTTGGAATACAAAGGGAACATGCCTCTGAAGCTTTTTATCATGAGTTGAGTTCTGTTAGATCCACTAAGTTACACAGAGTCAACGGATAAACAGGCTAAGCAGTAATCCATCTTAAGTTGGAACTAGAACATCTAGATTTCAGACAGAACAGGATTAGAGGACACGGTATACTGCATGAGCAGGAAGCCCATACCCTCACATCACCCCCAATATTTGCAATAACACCTCTGCTGCAGCTTGCACTATGGCCATCAGGGGACTTTGTATGAACAGCTAAAGAAGGAAAAAAAAATCCAACCTTGATTTATGCATAGGTCAGCTTGGTACATGGATGCAAACAAAAATTGGATAGCAACTGCATTACAGCCACATTCATGGGTGCACATGAAAGACAGTGAACAGAGACAATCTTAATGGGCAGAAATTTTAGTGATATACTTGCCCACCTACTTTTGAGAACAAAGTGATGATATGGGGCAAGAATATGTACAGATTATTGGGCAGAGGTCAATGACCTGGCTTTCTCTCTGATCAGAGCCCTACTAGTAAAATTGGAAGATCAGAGACAAGGAGGCCTGTGGTAAAAGTATCTATAGAGATGGGCATACAAGATTGAGCACAGGATTTGGAGGGTTTTATACTAAACTTTAATGCTTACCAGAAAGCATCTATTATGGAAAAGGCAGTGAAAACTGGGGGATACAAAATTACTTGGCCATTTGACAATAGCAAACCTTTGATCATTAGGCACCCTGGAACAACATGATGAGCTCATGAATGGAGTGGCCAGAGTGGCAGAGATGAAAGTTATATATGTGCTCAAAGGCACAGACTCACACTTAAAAAGGCAGATTTAGCTACTGCTGCCTATGAATGTCAAGCTTATCCACAATCGAGACCAATGTCTAACTGCCAATATTATCAGTCCTCAAAAAGAGAAACCGGACTCTTTTTTGTTTTGTTTTTGTTTATGAGATGGAGCCACGCTGTGTCGCCCAGGCTGGAGTACAGTGGCACGATCTCAGCTCACTACAACATCTGCCTCCTGGGTTCAAGGGATTCTCCTGCCTTAGCCTCCTGAGTAGCTGGGATTACAGGCGTGTGCCACCATGAGTGCTTAATTTTTGTATTTTTAGGAGAGATGGGGTTTCACCGTGTTGGTAAGGCTGGTCTCGAACTCCTAACCTTGTAATCAGCCAGCCACGGCCTCCCAAAGTGCTGGGATTACAGGTATGAGCCAATGCACCCGGCTGACAAATCAGGCTCTTGAAGGCAGGACAACTGCATTGGGCCGGGTTTTTCCTCTCAGACATATAGACCTACTATGAATAAGGATTTCCCTTTCCTTATAAGAGCCTGAGCCAACATCATTATTCAAATTCTTATGGAATGCTTATAGAATGATTCAAAGCTAGGACTCTTATACAGGATAATATCTTGCCTGGGGATCCACATCAATGGTGGTGCTGGAGGGGACTTACAACTATGGCATCTATGGGTTTTATCGCATGCCACACTCTTCAGAAGCAGATGGACGGGTAGAATGCAGCAACAGCCTTCTAAAACATTGCTGAAGTCCTGTCTTGGAGGAAACACTCTGAACAGGTAGACTGTACCATCGGGCATTTGGAAGTACTTGGGATTTCTTGTGTCTAGGAGCCAGTAGATGAAAAGAGGAGTCACCATCTTCCTAGTTTACCCTGATTAGAAGAAGGTAGGGCTGCTTTCACGCAGTAGAACATGGGGAGGAGATAGGTGTGGAATTCAGGTGATCAACTTGGACCTCACCTGGCATTTCTTCATTTCATTGTAACTGTGAGTACATGTAGCAAGGTATAGTTGCCAAGAGTTCAGCCCCTCAGGAATGAAGTTTTGGATACTAGTTAGTCTGCAAGAGCAGACAAGGAAAAGCTGAGAGCAAAGGGGAATTTAGAGTTAATAGTGGAGGAGGATGAGAATGAGTGTTGTTTATGGCTCCGCAAAGAGGCGAAATGTTGGGGGCTGTAGTTCACCCCACTAGCCTCACATTTCTAAGTTTACTCTCAGGAAAAGAGGCCCATGGGGACCTACTGCTCGCTGTGCACATGTAGAGAAGTATATATGTACAGCAGAAAGAGTGGACTGGCTAAAGAGTGGTGGCTAAAGAAATGTGACTCAGATTTTCTGTTGTAGGGAGTATAATTGACAGATGACTCCAGCTGCTGCACCCTGAAGCTATCAGCATTTTTGTACTACAGTCTTGATTCCCATAGAGAAATTTTTACCTGGCAAAAGTTTCTTAACTTGCTATTGTCTGAGATTCCATCTATCTAACCCTCTGCCTCCCCTCTACACCATCACAGGTGTCATACCTGCATTGGGATCTACCAGCTCTGCCTCTCTCCCCAGGCTCTCTCTCCTTTTTTACTTCACAAATATTTTCCCCTATAAATCTGTTTGTCTATTTCTGTCTTGATACCTCCTTCTGAGAAGACTTACCACCAATGCACAGGGAATAATTTGTCTGTTAATGCCAGGAATTCCTGACTTTTAAATAGTTTTCTCTAAGTTCCACCTGAAAACTAAACAAGATCTTTAGCTCATCTGTCTCTATTTCTCACTTTATGGTGCACAACTACAAGAAACCAATTGACACTCGTTGAACACGTGCTTGGAAATCCAGTTAGATCTGTCAATTCATGGGATACATTGTCTATTTTCCATGTTACTGCTGATGCCAGTTGTGCTTAACTCTCCATCATTACGTAACGAGAACTCTGTTTTCCTCCAGTTTCCAATAAAGTCTCCCTGAATTTCCTTTAAGCCCTCCCAAAGCCTCCTCAATGCCCATTCAAGTATACACATATGACCCAGCCCCAAAGCCAACAACATGTTTAAGAATTTTCTTTATGTTTTAAATCTTTTGTGGTTTTTTTTTTCAATTTCATTTTTGTTCAGTGGTTTCACCCCACTTCAAGTTACCAAGTTCTATTCCAACTACTATTGCTACCTACGAATCCTATCTCCAACCAAAGGCATACACAAACCATTGTTCATGCATTCACTTCTGCTCCATCTAGTGTTCAAAGTCATTCCCAAACCCTCTAGTTACAAGAGGGAGAGTACGTGAACCCTACAGCACAAGAGAAAATGTGCCAACCAATTTGCAGCCATTTATTAAAACTTCCACAAGTGATATTCACCCATTGGTTAGCATTCTTAAAATATGTAAGTTTAATGAGCAAAAAATATGTGAAGCTGAGATATTAACAACTTAGGGAATTTTTTCAGAAACCTTTAAACCTGTAAAAGTACTCACCAATCCTTCCTATATGTAGGATTCCTCCTTCTATGACTACTACTTTCTTTTCTGTATATAAGAATAATTGTTTCTAAAACAGGTTCTCTGCCATCCAGTGACATAAGTCTCTTCTGCTAATGAGCCTACAAACATTTCTCATTATTTGTTAGCTCAAATCCAATGTTTTTCAAACACCCTTTATTTGCCTCTGCCTTGAGTTTTGACTCTTAACTTCCCCTTCTCCTCAACATCAATTCTGTATTCCAGAAAGTTCAGTCCTCCCTGTATGCCTTCATAGTTTGAGTCCTTGTCACTTTTCTATTTCTGGTGGCATGGAATTTATCTTTCTTCCCCATCAATCCGAATCATATGTTTGCTATAACAAATGGGTAATATCTAACTTTTCCCAAAAGACTGGCCTTACCCAGCATCTCACAGTTTTCTTTCTCTTTTAATTGCTAAGTCTTCTAGACCATGTGTTTTTTTTTTTTTTTTTCACTGTAGACCCTGTTAGATAAATGAGTTTCAGACTTACATTTCCATTTGCTTTGTGTTACTTAAAATCTATTTCTGGATGGCTAAGTTAATTGTTTCCTTGGACATTTTTGTATGTTTGGTTTTTAAAAAATTCTCTCATTCATGGTGTTGAGCTCCCTCAGATGTCTGCTGATCATTAGTTTTATACTTTTGTTTTTTAGCAGAATTTTCTTATTCATATTCTGGGCTGTACTGATGCCCCTTGTGGGCTGTGACATTGTATTTGGGTCCTCAGCTTATTACTGTTGTGGTAAATTTAGTTGGCTGCCTTTTTTTTTCTCCAAATATACTGTGCAAATTCAGCACCTCTGAGAATTCTCCTGTATTCTGGGCATAGCTATGTGCTTATTAATCAGTTTTTATGGTTCTCTTTCTGTACTTTTGTAGATTTGGTGTGGCAAGCAGTGATTTCAGTATGTGCTCAGTCTGCCATTTTGACAGTGAAATTGTCCACTGTATACTTTATGTTGCCTTTCACACAATTGGCAAGACTCGTATTTTTAGCATCTTGGCTTACATTGTAGCTAAAAGAGTATCTTAAATGTGGTAGCAGCTCAATTAATGTGTTTTCAATGACAATTTAATGCCTTGGTTCTAATTTAGGGTTTAATTCTGACATAATCTTGGGAATATAATTTTAAAGTGAAATGAAACCATAATATCTCCCCAAAGATGTAAAATGTAAGAAAATATTCATAACCAGAAATGAATGTGGGAGTTGAGATTTGTTTCAGAGAAAAAAAATACTGTTAGATTTAATCTACACTACTCTAGCCATTTCAGCTCAGACTGTGGCTTATTCCTTCATTCAACAAATATTTGAGTAACTTGTGGTTTTCAGGTGTTGTTCTGGGTGCTGAGTTATAGAAATAAACAAACAAAAAACAACAAAACAGCCATCAAAAACCCTATATGTGCAAAACCACTAAGATGCACATACCTCTTGTTATCAAGGAGGCAGTATGGCTTAAACAGAAGAAGTGACAGGAAAGTACAAGATAATATGAGCAGAGAGGTGATGAAAGCAAGATTGTACAGAAAGTCTTAGATCATTGTAAAGATTCAGTCTTTTACTCTGAGCCATATGGGGGACCACCAGAAGATTTGGGTAGAAGAGTGATATTATTTTACTTATACTTTTGCAGTGCCACTGCTGCGTAGATGTCAACCAGCCATGTGTATATTAGCCTGGAAGGGCAGAAACCAGAGTCCAATTTGGATGCCATTGTCATTATTTAAGCAAGAAATGGAGGTGGCTTGGACAAGGAGTAATAGTGATAAAGGTGGTGAGAAGTGGTCAAATTTGGGGCTACTGATATAAATGTGAAAGACTGAAGAATAAATTCATTTTGGAAATATGTAAGGCTCTATTTTTTAAATGTCCCAGAATCAAGGCCAATTTTATTAACCAAAACCATAAAGGTAAAAAAGAGAGTGCTCTAAAACTCTTATAACCATAAGAGAATTTCTCCCTTGCATTTCAGAAGACATTTCAATCTTCCAGGCTTTATTAAAATGGAGGTGATTTATTGCTAGAGGGACAAGTACTTCAAATGATATCCTTCCCTAGCTCCTCTAGTAGTGCCCATCACCTGCATTTACTTTCACTATGCCCTATAAGCAGCCATTCTCAAGCTTTTTGGTCTCAGGACCCTTTTACTGTCTGATATGGTTGGGCTTTGTCCCCCCGCTCAAATCTCACCTTGAAGTATAATATCCCCCACATGTCAAAGATGGGGCCAGGTAGAGATAATTGAATCATGGGGGCAGTTTTCCCCATATTGTTCTCATGTTAGTGAATAAGTCTCATGAGATCTGATGGTTTTATAAATAGGAGATCCCCTGCACAAGCTCTCTTGCCTGCCACCATGTAAGATGTGACTATGCTCCTCATTCACCTTCCACCATGAGTTTGTCACCTCCCCAGCCATGTGGAACTGTGAGTTAATTAAACCTCTTTCCTCTATAAATTACACAGTCTTGGGTATGTCTTTATTAGCAGCATGAGAACAGACTAATAAACTGTCTTAGAAATTTTTCTGGCTCCGATCAATAGTCAGAAGCCACACAGTAATTTTAACAGGGAAAATTTAATGTAAAGAATTACTACTGAGCTACCATGAAGAATAACCATGAAGATGGAAAGATAGCTCTAAAGGGGACTCTGGAACTGAGGGACAGTTGCTAAAGGAAAATAAACTTTAAAAAAAACAACAAAACAAAACAAACAACAACAACAAAAAAAACTGTGTTCCCAAGGATGGGGCTCAGACTTTGTTGAAAAAGGTTTGGTGATAGCCCACTGGATGATAGAGAACTTTGTTGTTTCCTGGAATGAAGCTGGTCCACAGTCCACAAGCAAGTGGAATGAACGTTCTGGGGTGCAGGCGACCTGAAGTTAGTGTCCAGGCCCTTACAGACTCAGAGCACCATTGCAGACACTGCTGAAACCAGGACCTGGACAGGTCTCCCTTTGAAGGAAACTAGCTTATTGTGGCCTGAGCCATGTGGAGTAAAGGTAGAGTGGTCTACTCGCTAAATAAAAGCATGATAGGGCCCCTGGTATGAGCAGTTGTGCACTAGGCTAAAGAGAGGATGTGGGGAGCAGTAACAGGTTGGGCTGTACATTCCCACAATGTCAGAGGTCCTGGTTTCACTGCTGATGCCTGAGTTGACTGCTTCAGAAAGCATGTTTTGTAGGAGCCTGACAATGAAACCACACTAGAAGCAGAAGGGGAACCCAAATCCCTCACCAGTGTCAATGCAGTTCCCTTACACACAAAGCTTAACTTCTTGCTGTTTCGAAAAGGTGAAATATGTAAAAGCACAGTACCATTATGACAGAGCAGGCAAACAGGCTGAATTTGGAGCTGAGAAGAATACATTAATACCTGGCACAAGGATCCCAAAGGAGATTTTGTTTATGTGGATGAAATCTATTATAGATTAACACTTTAGAAATTTATAAAATATTTTATAAATTTTAGATTTGCAATAAATCCATTATAAGTCAACGTATGTTCATATTTTATGAACAATATTTTTTAAATAGTGCAAAGAGTGGTATTATTTTACAAGTTGAAAATTACTTTGATGACTGATTTAAGAGAAGACAATTGGATTCTCATATCTGCTTCTGCATTCAACCTATTACAATATACTGTTTGTTTGCAGTATATTTTAAAACGTCAATTTACCCTCAGAGATATATACTTGCAGATTGGAGGAATATTTTCATTGCCTTTTCATATAGCTGTGGATAGTCTTCATTGATATAACACCCAAAATTGACAAGTTTTTCCTTAAAGATTGGTTGCACTGTGTAATCTGAAACTGTAGCAGGAGGAGCCACAGACAAAACCCCACAGACACCGAGGTAGTGAAGGAAGTGGCTTTTCATCAGCTGGAAACATTGGCAGACTAGTGTCTCAAAATCCGAGCTTGTCGAGTGCACAATTTCTGTCCCTTTTAAGGGCTCACAACACTAAAGATTTTACATGAAAGGGCCATGATTGATTGAGCAATCTAGGGGGTATGTGACAGGGGCTGCCTGCACCAGTAATCAGAGTGAAGCAGAAGAGAACGAAAAGTTTCACAATGTCCTTCCATACAATGTCTGGAATCTGTGGATAACATCAGTTGCTAGGTCATGGGTTGAATTTTAACTATCAGGCTAAGGTCAGCCAGGCTCAGGCCTGGTTTTGGGTCTGGTTTTGGGTCTGGTGCCTGCCACAGGGCTGCCTGCCTTTGGTTTCACTTCCTTGTTTCTTCTTAAAACATGTGCTGAGTATAAAACAATATAGAACATTATGGGGGGGGGGGGTCTCTTTCTCTCTTCTCTCAAAACTATCAATGAACTCTTCATTTTCGATTACATAAATATGCACTGATAAATCTTGCATTTTGAACAAATGTTTACCCACACGTGATTTTGTAACAATGTATTGGTCATTTGCAAAATGTTGGTTCACTCATTTATGCAGGACTCTTAAATGCAGGACTCTTAAATTTATGCAGGACACACTTAATTAGAATATGCTGCAAAAAAATCACATTCATTTAAGTACAAATAATCTCATCAGAAAAGTCATTAAATATTGTGAAACTGACAAACTCACAGTGGCAGATAAGTTTTCCAAAATGTTAATTTCCCCTTGAAAGCTCAAGTTTTATTCTTGGCAGCATATGTCAGTTGCTTTCATCTGTTGTTTATTTTTGAGAAAATATCTTACAAATATGCAAGTCAAAATATTCTGTTTATCAGTTTGTCATTCTTTTAAGTAAAAATGATGTTCCATGAGGAAAAGCTGTTTGTTCAACCTCATAACTTAATCATATAAGGTCTTTTCCTTTAGGCAACCATCATACTTCAGTAGGCAGGAGTACTTTATGCATGCTTTTCATTTTGTCATGCAGAATATTGAAAATGTGTGCTCAAAATTGGGAATTTAATAAAATTAATACTGCTTCATCGAGGACATTCAGAAGTGAAATTGTGATTGTATTACTGAAAAAATGTGACTGAAAAATACAATGACTACTAGTTCATGTCTTGATCCCTGCAGAGGCACCAGTCCTTTTCCTCATCATTGCCTTTGAAATGTCATTTCTTCCTTTTCTGAACTCCCTTAGTGCTTTTGATGTACTTTAGTATATGTACCTTACTCACCCTTGAATTATGATCATTTATGTGGCTGTACTCACACCATTCTCAAGCTCCCTAAAGTCAAGATTGATATTTGATTTCTTTTTATTTTCCAACTTTCCCACCCTCATGCAAATGCCTAACTCAGTGACTTCATACAGTACATGTGGAACTGCCCAATGGGTTCTTTTGCTTGCTATGCAGATACAGTGAATTTATCAAGACATAGGAATTGCAATAGAGAAACAGTTTAATTCACACAGAGCTGACTGAATGGGAGAACAGAGGAGATGTATTACTCAAACCAGTTTCTCCAGAAATTCAGAGAGGGTCTTTTAAGAATAATGTGGTGGGTAGGGGGCTGGGGAGTGAGGAGTGCTGATTGGTCAGGTCAGAGATTAAATCATAGGGGGTTGAAATGGGTTCTTCTTGCTGTGTTCCTGATCCAGATTACCAGTCTGGGTGGAGCCAACTGATTCACCAGAATGCAAGGTCTAAAAAATATCTCAAGGACAAATCTTAGGTTTTACAATACTGATGTTATCCCTGGTAGCATTAGGGGAAGTGCAGAATCTTGTGGCCTCTGGCTGCATGACTCCTAAGCCGTAATTTCTAATCTTGTGACTAATTTGTTAGTCCTACAAAAGCAATCTGGTCCTCAGGCAAGAAGGGGATTTGTTTCAGGAAGGAGCTATTATCATCTTTGTTTCAAAGCTGAACTATAAACTAAGTTCCTCCCAAGTTAGTTTGGCCTACACCTAGAGATGAACAAAGGCAGCCTGGAGGTTAGAAGTAAGATGGAGTCAGTTAGGTTAGATCTCTTTCACAGTCATAATCTTCTCACTGTCACAATTTTTCCAAAAGTGGTTTCAGTTATCTAATAAATATTTGTTGAATGAATAAATAAATTAACATTTTAAAAGACAATATTTATTAAAATCTTGTTGATGTTTATTCCTGTTAAGTCCCTCTATACTTAACCTGCATACAATGTCAGATTGCAATACTTGTATGCATTGTAATTTATGCTTACCAGTATACAAGAGTAATAATTGGCCTTACAGGAATATATATGCATGATTTTATTTTAATTATTGATTTACTTCTCTGTTTCCCTTATGATAATGAAGCTCCTTGCAGGTAAGGCATATCTTATTTTTCATTTTGAAAGCTCAGTGTCTAGCACAGTGCCTTAGGTGTATGAGTCACTCAAAAATTGGTTGCTTATAAATAAAAGAATGAATAAATGAATGATTTGGGGATAAAAAAATGTATCACACATAAAGAAGACAGGAACTTTTCTTGTACATGGCGTCCACTAAAAATAAGCTATATTTTATAGATTACAAAATATATCCACACAGAAGATTTTACTTGTCTTTATGATATAACATTAAAGTAAAAAGCACAGAAATTGTTCACCATTTCTGTCACTTGTCATTGCTCCACATTTATGCTAATGTTATCCAGTTCTTTTACTTATTTTGAATATTAACTTTCGATTGACTTTTGGCTGCATGATACATACATACACATGGACAGATCCATAATTAATTGAACATTTGGATGACTTTACCATACTGCTAAAGTTATAATAGACACAATAGTTAACATTTGTTGACTATATACTACATATTGTGACAAATGTTAAATATTAATTGTTACATTTATCTTAACAACCATGTGAAGGAGATTATATAAGTGTTTGCATTTTCCCGCAAGGAAATGGAAGCATAGAAAAATCAAGTAATTTATAGAAATTTACACATTCAGCAACTAGAGCTGGGATTTGAACCCAAGTGAACTGACTTCATCATTCTCTTAAATACTATAATATAATGTCATCCTCTCCACACAAATAATCATAAAATATCGTTAAAAAGCCAGTACTAGGCTAGACCTTCTAAATTTGACACTGTTTAACATTGTAACAGTTTGTAACTTCACAAATGTACCCTACAGATGAAGAAACAACACGTAGCAGGAGGCTGTATTGCCTTTAATAGCTTGTTTTACATGATGGTGTGGAATTAAATAACTGTAATAATTTGAATTCCACTGACATATATTGCCACTGCTCTTGTAATAGTCTATCAACTCACAGAGTCCTCTCTTAATTCACCACTAGTTTCTGGGAACCCCAGGGGATATAAAAAATGCTCATAAACATGTCTCTTTCCATCAGTCGTCATGAACTCCTGTGTGTGTGTGTGTGTGTGTGTGTGTGTATTTGAGACAAGGTCTTGCTCTGTCACCTAGAGCGGTAAAATCATTGATGCTCACTGCAACCTCAAACTCCTGAGATCAAGTGATCCTCCTGCCTCAGCCTCCTGAGATGCTGGGATTACAAGTGTACACCACCATGGCCAGCTGCTCTTTTAATGATTTGGTAGAAATAGGGGTCTCATTATATTGCTCAGGCTGGTCTCAAACTCCTGAGCTTAAGTGAATCTCCTGCCTTGGTCTCCCAAAGTGCTGGAATTACTGGCACGAGTCATTACACCCACCCTGTGATCTTTGGGTAAAGGTGATTGCCCTCTATAATGTAAGTGGGACTCATGCAAACAGTTGAAGGCCTAAATAGAATAAAAAGGCCAGCCTTCCTAAACTGGAAAAAATACTCCAGCAGATTGCTTTTAGTCTCTCTCTCTCTGGTTCTTTCAGTCTCTCTCATACACACACACACACACACACACACACACACACACACACACAAGATATAGATAGATATAGATATACATCTATGGTGTAGTAGATATACATATCTACTATATCTATTATATACATCTATAGTATAGTAGATATACATATCTACTATATCTATTATATACATCTATAGTATAGTAGATATAAAAATATCTACCATATATTTATAGTAGATATAAAAATCTACCTCATATTTATAGTAGATATAAAAATATCTACCATATATTTATAGTAGATATAAAAATCTACCTCATATTTATAGTAGATATAAAAATATCTACCATATATTTATAAGAAGAATATAAATATCTAGCACATATTTATAAGTAGAATATAAATATCTACCATATATTAGTAGTAGATATATAAATGCATACTATATAGATGAATCTATTTACAGATATATAAATATATAGTAGATATTATATCTATATATCCATATATTATCTTATATATATCTGTATATTATATTATATATCTATGGATCTATAATATCTATCTCTGGATAATACTGTTTCTCTGGAGAATGCTTAGAATGCTCATATCCCAGGCCCAGCTATCAATGACCTAGCATGTCATGGCACCCAGGCTACTTGGTGATTTGTGACAAAATGGAGATAAAGGCCACTGCTAGTCATGCAGTGTTTTGTTAGAGAGCTCTTTAAGCAGGGCTGTTTGTGGCCTTACGTTTTACGGAGATTTTTCTGTAGAGTGTTTTTACAGTTCTTTTTCTCTGTACAATCTGTGGGAGTGGGCTGGAAGTACCCACCATGGTGGAATTCAAATCATGACTCCCCTTCGACAATAATGACTCTGGCTTAAATAGTCGGCTATCATGCACAGCTACTTCTTCCCTTGGGATGAATTATCTTCCTCTGTTAGTGTCAGTTTGGCCTGTTATGTAATTTATTCAAGACATGCTCCAGACAATTTTCAAGTTACATTCTTTCCCAAGGGTTTCTTCAAATGCCATGGAAGGGAATTCTCTTAGGAATATATCACCAGGACTCTAAGGATGCTCACACATGCCTGAATACCAACAAAGGGAATGTTTTTGCAGTGTGCTAGAGAAATATTTTGATATGTATAGTAATTCCCCTGGCATTCATACTCTGTGGAAAATCAACTCTTCTGTACCTTTCTATATTTTTCAATTTTACCCAATAAGCACATAATACTAAAAGTCCCAGTAACTTCACATATGGACATAAGAGGGACTGTAATTTTACTCAAATTTGTTTGTGTAAAAAAGGTCCCTACATGAGGAATGAGGACATATTCTAGCCTTGTATGCGGCAGTGCTTTGGGATAAATGTACTTTGCTTGATCTGACCAGTAAGTGCACATGGGGACAAATACGTAATATCTGAATGGTCCAAAAAAAGCTGGCTTATACAACCATATTAATTATCATTCCAAAGAAGGTGAGATTGGGAAGAAAATGTAAGAATAGAAAAATATACAATCTAAAATAGCAAGTTCTATTTAATTTTTTGAGATAGTGACCAAGGACAGCTAATTAGGGTTTAATGTTTAACTGAATAAGGTCACAGCTGTACTTTTGGTTTTCCTCCTATTATTAAGTCTTCTACAAATGATGGAATTTGGGGACCTGTTTTAGGATTAGAGGAGAAAATGTACTTAATATTGCAGGAGATAAAAAGAAGATTCTCTAGGCATTAGGCAACTTCATTACTACCTACACATTACCTGTCTTAAAACAATAACTGCTTAGTCAATGACTCATCCAAACCAAACGTGCAAAGTGTGCAACAAACTTTAAGTAAATCAAAAGTCTTACCTTCCATCCTCTGGTGTTAAGAAAAAAGATTAACATCGAGGATATAGAAAATACAAGGTGATGGAAAATTTACTACGCCTGTGGATACTAAGGGGTTTCAATATCAGCCAACCTCAATTATCTGTTTTACAAACAAAGACACCTCAATTATGTCCCCAGAACCATAACTACTAGCCTGGAGGTTACCCTCTGGATGATTTCAGGAGGTAACAAGGAGGCAGGTCTGCTTGTCAAGTTAAGCTACATTTCTGCCCCATTAATATTGGATATGTCAGTATCTAACTGACTTCACGGAGAGAGCACTTTCCTGTTACTGAATAACCTGCTCATTTTTAAAATCCCAAAATATTACTGTTAGAATTCTTAAGCAAAAACTATTAACTGTAGTATTTATCTTCTACTTTTAAAGTTGTTAACTATTTTGTGTTTTAAAGCTTCTGAACATAAAAGTTACCCATTGAATTAAAACAAGTAAGTTTTCTTAATAACAATATAGTGATAATATACTAATTTTGAACTTCTTAGTGATAGTGTTAATTTTGAATTAGGGAATTTTATGTACATTGATAAAATTTTAGGAATGGCATTGGATATGGCCTAATTATAAAGTTTCTTTTATAATATTACAAAAACTATATATTTTACCACTGTTTTAGCACTATCTTATTCTCTCTTTACCTGAGTTAAGGGTGTTTAAGTATATCCCTTGCCTGTTGAAAAATGCTAAAAAGCATTATTTTGCTTTCCTGTATATATTCTCCAGTATTCCATGATTAAAATGATATTCTCTTTCAAATATTCAGTTTTACTATACATAACTTACTATTAATTTTGCAAAAATACTAATCATTGGAAGGACTAGAAGTAAAAAAAAAATTATGATTACATTTCCACAAATACAAAATAGTACCAAAAGTCTTCCCCAGGACTTCAGAACAAAACCATGATTCTTATCTAATTTTTTCTCTCATCACATTCCTCTTGGTATTTACTTATGGCTAATTAGAAATAATGATATTATGATCTACGGCAGGCACTGTTTGTTGCTGAAGAAACAGCCAGCCATCCTTTTCCAATTTTTCTTTGTTAATACAACAACAGATTTACTCACACATCAGGTGGCCACCTGCATTAGAAAGATGAGCTCCCCTTAGACCTAGCTAGAGGTTGAATCTTGATTACTGAATATCATGACAATTCCATTCCTCTCAACCTTGATTGATATAGATGAGATTTTATTATGCAATTCTGGAGAAGTACAGTGTTGAGGAAATCATCCAGGGGCTTCTGGAATGGGTTTCATCCATCTTAGAAAGATCAACACCCTTTTTGTCCCTTTTAGCATTTAGATGGTTGGGGATGGTAGCATGCTGAAAGCTATTCAGTTTGCTACGGTTTGAATGTATCCCCCAAAATTCATGTGTTGGACATTTAATTCCCAATGCAACGGTGTCAAGAGGTGAGACCGTTAGCAGGTAATTAGATAATGAGATGATCTGTCCTCATCAATGGATTAATGATATTATCATGGGAGTTGGTTACTTATCATGCGAGTAAGTTCCTAATAAAAGGGTGAGTTCAGATCTCTTCCTCTTTGCTCCTGCACTCTCTTGCCCTTCTGCCTTTCAACATGGAATAATCAGCATGAAGACCCTCACCAGATGCAGGCAAGCTGACACTGGATTTCCTGGGTTCCAAAACTGTGAAAAATACATTCTTTCCTTTATAAATTACCCAGTCTATTGTAGTCTGTTATAACAACACTAAATGGACTGATATTTTCTTAACCTCAAAAAGGGTCAGATCTGAGGACATTAGCTGACAGGGTGAGGATACATGCACCGGAAGATTTTTTAAAATGAGTGTTTGAGGATTTTATTATCTCACCAATCCAACAAATTCTGGAACCTCCTTCCCAGTACTCTTGTTACATGAAGGCTTAACGTTCTTACTGTTTAAGCAATTTTGAGTTGGGTGTGGTGCTACCTTAGCTGAAAAGGTTCTAATTAATATTTTCCTGCATTGAAAAGCCATGTGTATTTCTTACCTGTTTTCACTTTAGAGCCAAGGTCGTGGAACTTTGAGAAGAAATGTTGAATCCCTGCCCTCAGAGAGACCACACTTTCCTCCAAATAACTGTTGTTGAGGCTGCTAAAGAGCACATTCTGAAAGAATATGGACATTCTTAGGTAATAAATTTGAAATCAGGAATTCCCATCAAACTTTGTTAACTATACAGTTATTTTTAAATGTTACAGAGTGACTACTGTTGAATTAATTAGACTAAATTTGTATAACTGTATAGAAGGTGTAGAATTATCTTTATATATACATAGTATTATACATTTTTTGTCTTACAAACACTATAGACTAATCTATAATCTGTGTCAATATTATGCATGTAGTGAGATTTAGAATCTAGAAGCTTCACCAATTTTTCAGAGAGCAACTCAGAAACTACAAACTTTCTTGTTAGAACAGATGGGTTTTTTAAATTGATGTTGTAGTGCATAATTCTACCTCTGTTGAATCATTTTAACAAGAAAGTGTTTTAAATGTTCCACCAGTTGGCTGGTCAAATTAATATCAGGCACCAGTTAAGATATACATCACAAGCATAAATCTATCTAGTGACCCATGAGCAAGTAAAACTATATCTGCAAAAGAGTCTTTCTAGAAGAGAAGGTCACAAATATATCTTAGAAAGTAATATGAAAATGAAAGTTTCATATTGGTTTCAATTTCCAGCCAGTGATAATTATAATATGACACAGGTCTATCTTAAATATAGTCATCTGAATATTTGAAACAAATAACAAAAGAACGAAAGCAATTAAATTCTCGAATTTTAGTGTTCAAAATGTCCTGAAGGAAAATGTACTGTCTCAATACTAGATTTAAACTAGGTTAAATAAGTGGATTGGCTGGGCGTGGTGGCTCATGCCTGTAATCCCAGCACTTTGGGAGGCCAAGGAGGGTAGATCAAAAGGTCAGGAGTTCAAAAACAGCCAATATGCTAACACCCCATCTCTACTAAAAATACAAAAGAATTAGCCGGGCATGGTGGCATGCACCTGTAGTCCCAGCTATTCTTGAGGCTGAGGCAGAAGAATCGCTTAAACCCAAGAGATGGAGGTTGCAGTGAGCCGAGATCATGCCACTGTACTCCAGTCTGGACAACAGAGCTAGACTCCATCTAAAAATAATAATCATCATTATAATCATAAGTGGATTGATGACATTTTCTAGTCACATATTTGTTGTTCATTGGTTTAATAGTGTACAAACATATTTAGAACATTATAAGTATTACCCCTCATCAGCAGCCAAAAAGTTTTACATCCAAATAATTTTAGTAAAGAACAATGTAGTTTATTCATTTAATTCCAATGTAGCTCATATCTTTTTGGTGCTTTTATTTTTAGTTGACATGTAATAATTGTGCATATTTATGGGATACAGAGTGATATTTTGATACATGTAGAAAATGTATAGTGATCAAATCAGAGTAATTAGCATGTCTACCACCTCAAACATGTATTCTTTCTTTTAGCTTTTCAAAAATATACAGTAGATTATTGTTAACCATATTTACCCTACGTTACCATAGAAAACTAGAACTCATTTCTCCTATGTAGCTGTCATTTTGTATCCATTAACCAACTTCTACCTATCCTCCTCTCCGCTATCCTTCTGATCTTTTAATAATCACAATTCTACTCTCTACTTCTACAGCTCCCTCATGAGTAAGAATATGCAGTATCTATCTTTCTGTGCCTATCCTACTTCATGTAACATAATGTCCTCCAGGCTCATATATGGTGCTGACAGTGACAGGATTATATTCATTTTTATGGCTGAATATTACTCCATTGTATATATAACACATTTCTTTATTAATTATCCGATGGGCATTTAGGTTGATTCCATACCATGGCTAATGTTAATAATGCTGCCATAAATATGAGGTGCAGCTATCTCTTTTACATACTGATTTTTTTTAGTTGAGCATGGTGGTATGCATCTGTAGTCCTAGCAACTTGGGAGGTTGAGGTGGGAGGATCACTTGATCCCAAGAATTCAAGGCTTATGTGAGCTATGATGGCAGTGAGCTATGATGCATTCCAGCCTGGGCAAAAGAGCAAGACCTTGTTTGTAAACAAAAAAAAAAAAAAAACAAAAATAATACACTGATTTCCTTTCCTTTAGATAAATACCCAGTAGTGGGATTGCTGTACCATATGGTAGTTCTAGTTTTACGGGAAACCCCATAATGTTTTTCACAGTGAATACAAAAACTACATGCCCACCAACAATGTATGAGTTCCCTTTTCCCCATACTCTTGCCAGCATTTATTTGTCTATTCAATAACAGCCATTCTAACTGGGTAAGATGATATCTCATTTTTGTTTTGATTTACATTTCTCTGATGATGAGTGATGTCGAGAATATTTTATATATTTGACTATTTGTATGTCTTCTTTGGAGAAATGTCTATTTAGAATCTTCCCATATTTAATCAGTTTCTTTGTGGGTTTTTTGTTTGTTTTTGCACTGTTGTTTGAGTTCCTTGCAAACTTTGGATATTAGTCACTTGTCAGATGAATAGTTTGCAATTTTTTTTCTACTCTACAGGTTGCCTCTTCATTCTGTTGATTGTTTCCTTTACTATGCAGAAGCTTTTCAGTTTGTTATAGTCTCTTTTGTCTATTTTTGTTTTGTTGCTTGTGCTTTTGAAGGGTTACCCATAAAATCTTTGCTTAGACCAATGTTCTGAAGCATTTCCCCTGTTTTCCTTTAGTTGTTTTATAGTTTTGGGTCTTATGTTTAAGTTTTTAATCCATTTTGAGTTGACTTTTATATATATCATGAGAGATAGGGATATACTTTCATTCTTATATATATGAGTATCTATTTCTTTCAGCACTGCTTCAGGGTATACTTTCCTCAATTGTGTTCTTGGTGCCTTTGGAGAAAATCAGTTGGATATAAATACTCGGGTCCCTGTTGGTTCCCTGCTGAAGTCTCGCATTTTCCTTTAGACTTTCTATTCAACATGTGGTCATCTACTCACGGTTTTTGTCTTTCTTTGTGGAAGAGGTGAGTGCGGGGCACGTCTAGTCAGCTGTCTTGCTGATGTCTCCCACTGTAGCTCATTTCAAAGACCATATTATATAAAGGGAGCCTTTTAAGTTAAACTATCCATGATTACTGCTTCCACAGTAATTTTACTAAAATTAAATAAGGATGCGGCACTATTCACAACAGCAAAGACTTGGAACCAACCCAAATGTCCATCAGTGATAGACTGGATTAAGAAAATGTGGCACATATACACCATGGAATACTATGCAGCCATAAAAAGGATGAGTTCATATCCTTTGTGGGACGTGGATGAAGCTGGAAACCATCATTTTCAGCAAACTATTGCAAGGACAAAAAACCAAACACCGCATGTTCTCACTCATAGGTGGGAATTGAACAATGAGAACACTTGGACACAGGAAGGGGAACATCACACACTGGGGCCTGTTGTGGAGTGGGGGAATGGGGGAGGGATAGCATTAGGAGATATACCTAATGTAAATGTGAGTTAATGGGTGCAGCACATCAACATGGCACATGTATACATATGTAACAAACCTGCACGTTGTGCACATGTACCCTAGAACTTAAAGTATAATAAAAATAAAAAATAATAAAATTAATAAATAAATAAAATTAATAAATAAATAAAATTAAATAAGGAACTTTTGAACTTTCAACCCTATCCTATGGGCTAACTAGGAACTTACCAGTAAGTTACAAGTTCTGTTTTATATAAATTGGAAAGAGAAGTAGGGACAATTTGTAGGCTTGGACTCCTCTGGGAATGCTGCTGGTTACCAGTCGGCTGGTGGATCTGTTGGGTTGAAAGTATGAGGAAAAGTATATCACTTCCAAGATTTTCTGCTTATATCCTTATTAATTTCTTCTAACATAATTACTTTATTATAGTGTAATTATTGAAGACTAGTGATCCACCAAGAACCATCATCTCTTTTCAGCAATTTATTCACATAGACTTACATCTTTCTAATTGTGTAACTGATTTTAACAAGTGTACTTTGATATATTTGCTGATGGCTACATGGGCAAACTCAGTGTCAAGTGGTATAGTAATGAATTCATTATACTGATATCTGGGATAAGAAGTAGTCAGTCTAGAGTAGGTCTATGCTGTGGAAACAAGCATCCCCAAAGTTTCCATGGTTTAACAAAACAAAGATTTTTTTTTTCTCCCCAGTACCTATTTTGTTATAGATTTGGGCAAATGTTGATAACAATCAGGGCCCAGCAATGCTGACTGTACTGCTCTTATAGCACTCATCTCAGCAGGAGGACTTGCCTGTTGTCCCCTCAGCAGAGGAGACAGCTGGAGAGTTGTGAACTTGCTTTTTCAAGCTTGGGGTGGGGGTGATATATCACTTATACCCACAGCCCATAGGCCAGAACTCATCACATGGTCCCAGGTAAATAGAAGGGCACAGGGACATGGCAGTGCAGATAGAGCATTTGGCAGTTGCAATTGTCTCTGCCATAGTGGAAGTCTAAAACTGTTCATGATTCATAGTGACAACAACAGCAAAACATTTCTGCTAACATTCCAGAAAAGAGTTGTGAATGGAGAACAGGAGAAACTAACTGAGATATAACCAACTCAGATGTTACCAGTTATCACTTAGCAGATTGAAACTCATTTCATATTGATTTATCATCTTCCACACCTGCAAATAAATTGATTTTTAGATTCAGAGAGTCAAGAAATGTTAAAAAGCCAGATGTTAAGTATAAGTTAATTCTCCATGTGTCTTTATAGACCCCTCTTTTTTCCACTTTTCATTTACACTGCATTAATAGAAAAAAACCATCAAATAAAAGTTCCCTCTATTTTGAAAAGCATATATTTGGTTAATAAGTTTAATAAATCATGACTTTTAAACCCTTAATATAGCTTATAATTATTATGACCCGGCACTATTCTCCACAGGTGAGAAACTTGAGGAGGGCCACCGAGTTTAAATGACTATTATTTCTCTTGCTTGAACTTAAAACACACAGAGGGCTCCATGTCTTCTGAGTTCAATTCCTGTGTTCATATCTTGCTTCCTTTGTCCTGTATTTTGAAAATAGCCCTATATTGTGTTCTGTCTTACCCACTAGACAAAGGGCTTCATAAGATCAAGTGACCTGGATATTTGGTATGTGCTTGATCTGCATTGTAGGGATTACTGCCTTATATAGTCCAAAGGTCTAAGGAAGCACCAGGGATGCATTCACACTTATGTACACACTGATGTCATCAGATCTAGGTTCAATATTTTGGGAAGATACATAATATTCACTACAGAATAAAATCCACACCACAATTCTAATTCCCTAAATAAGATTATTTTCTAGAGCAAATCAGTGATGACAAAAAGAGGGGAAACAGAGGAAGGGAAGAGACAGTTCTAGGCATGATGCTTACACAATATTGTTTAATATTCACAACAGCCATATTTATAAATGAGCTAACCGGCTCAGAGAAGTTCAGTAACTTTCCAAAGTCACTTAAATTTGAGATTTGATCCCACATCTACCTGACTTCAAACTGTGTATTTCCCCAATTCCATAATGACTCAATACAATGAGAATATTTAGTATGTTAGTAAATAAAAATATTGTGAAAAATGGCATGTCCCACTTCCCCATTCCTTTCTCCTTGATGTGTTATTTACTTTTACATCAGGCAGGAATTGAATCCACCATTGCAGCAGTAAGTCCATCAGTTGATTTGCTTTATTAAATAAGATTGTAGTGCATGAGGGTCACTGATCAAATAATTCCCCTAGAGCTGGCCTCTGCAGTTTTCTTCTTTGGCTGGAAAAAGTCAGAGGGCAGAGCTGTCCTCATCCTAGGTAAACACATTTTTGGGAAATCACAGAGTTTAGGAAAATAGTAACCTCTCTTAAATGCATACCCAAATACTCTAAAAAGGAATATGTTCTGGTATTAACAGGAGAGAGGACACCCTTCTTTCTTCTGTGATCTTTTAGCTCCCTTTGCATTCCAGAAAACTCTCTGGGGGTAGTTTATTTCCTGTTTCTTCACTGGATGTCAGAGACATTTCTGATACCACAGACACTTCAAATATTTATTTATGTATTCATTCGCTAAATATATATTTATTGAATAAATATTTATTGGATTTTCAAATGCCAGAAACTTCAGGTATTGTGTACAACTGAGAATATATGTATTCCTCTCTTTCAATTTACAGTCAGGAAAAGGAGGCAGATAAAGACAGCATGAGGGCAGAGGAAAGAGCAGTTATTTCCTCTCCATCTCTTAAAATATGATGAACGAGATGAACAGATTTCAATGTTCCATTAGAATTTGCAACTTGAGGATATTGGGACAAAGATCACATCCAGAATCTTTTATTGGAGCAGTCTGCATTCTCCTTCTGCTCTCCCATCTTGGATTATCCTTGAGGCCAGAGGAGCAAGCCAAACTCTCTGCTCACTACCCACATGATTGCTACCAAGTTTGCATGAAATCTCATGTTTGTGATTCCGTCTAAGTAGCATGTTTTTTCCAGGCAGTAAAACTTGTTACCGATTTGGTGGAATAGGGATGAGACCAAGACAAAAATGTTTTATGTGTATTTTTAGGCTGAATGAGAAGTGGTGAGGTAGAAAGGCAGGCAGAAGGTGGCTTAAATTAAGGAAGACATTTTCTGATTACTGTCTCTGGGTAAAAATTGAATGCACTTCCCATGAGTCAACTATCCCTTTGTTTACCTGGGCACAAGCTGGATGCTCATCCAGCAGGGATGTTGTCAAAGGGTTTCAAGTTTTAGACAGAGAATTAGACTAGATAACTTCTAAGCAGTTATCTATCTTAAAATGCATAGAATTAGAAAATCAAGGAGTCCTAGTACATTACAGATTTAGGAAAACCTTTTCTCACTAGTACAAATGAAATATATTTTATTTAAAATTTGGGAGTGAAAGCATAATGCATTTGAAAGAATGCAGATATATTTCACTGAATTGGGAATCTCAAAGTATACAAAATGCTAAATTAAATATATTCAATAATCAAAATATCGCCTCATATTTTGTGTTGATATTTGCAACTTGATTGAAGCAGGAGCCTGGTTTTAATTGGAAAATTTGACAAACGAACTACGTTTAAAAATGTGGTATTTTTTTGACATTCTTCAATCAAGAGGTAAAATTTATGTCCTCTTCCCTTGAAACTGGGTGGGCCCTTTTGGCAGGCTTGACAAATATAATGTGATCAAAGTAATGTTGTGTGACTTCTGAGGCTAACCAAGAAAAAGCCACACACATTTGGTGTTTTGGGACAACGGGCCTGGTGGCAGCACAAAGCCTCATGTACGAAGTCCAACCACGGTGAGTGGTCATATGCAGAGACCACGTAAGGAGAGAGAGGGATGCCTGAGGAGACCTACATCAGATGCACGAATGAAAGAGCCTCCTGGGTGTCCCAGCCTCAGCTACTGTCTGACGGCTCCATCATGAGGTACCCTGAGCAAGAACTGGACTAGCTGAGTCCTGTCAATCCCCAGATTTGTGAGCAAAATGAATGATTGCTATTGATTTACGCCACTGTTTTGGGGTGGTTTGTTACACAAAAAATGAACAACTAGAACACACAAATATCCCACTACTGTGCTTTCCTTATATGATCCTTATCCATTGACTTGGAAACAGGAAAAATCCAATGTTTACTATTTTCAACTTCCCCAGCTCTAAATATAATTTTCCATTAAATTACTGGAGAAAGTATGTCTTTGGTGACTATGTGGAACTATAGTTCATATATGAATTTATATAAATAGACCTTGCCCTTTGCTATCAGAAAATTATAATCCGTGATGTATTAACCAATAAAAAGAATGTACATATATATAGATATAAATTATCCAAATATTAATCAAATTCCTAGATTAAAGAAAGTGATTCATTATGTGTAGAAATAGGACAAAAGAAACTTTGTAGTGCTGAAAAATACAAATGTCTTAGGTGTTAAGAGCCTGAAGATAAATCACTATCCCAAGGAGGCATGAATGTAGAAAGAATGAAGAATGAGCCAGTGCCCACAGCTGTGGATGGGAACATAACCCACAAGTCAGGCTACTGAAGAACCTCTTTCCTACCTAAGGTGTCCAGATGACACATACTTTTTGATATGTCATAGGGCTAACAAGCATTTAAAGAACTAAAAGCTCATTAGCCTTTTCAAATATTAGTTTGTAACATATACATGTTTACTAATTGTTATAGTAAATAGGTTACTGTTTACTATAGGTAAATAACAGTAATAGGTTACTATTCACTATAGGTAAATAACAGTAATAGGTTACTATTTACTATAGGTAAATAACAGTAATAGGTTACTATTTACTATAACAATTAGTAACCTAACTAATAGAGTAACCTATTTAACACTTGTTAGAGTCTAACTAATTGTTACTATTTACTCATTCTATTCATAGTCAAATATACTATTTTAATCGGTATTATCTTTGAGCAGTTACTTAAAATGTTGTTAAAAATCAGCATTTTAATGTCATAGTTTGTATGTTACAATGACAATAATAGCATTCATCATAAAAACATCAAAATATCCCATGCAAAAGCAATAGCAAAAAGTGATTATTTCTAATGTCCTCTTTTATAGATTATAGTTTCAGATTAAAGTAGAATAAGGTAAAATATACATACACTTGTTCATATAATAGTCAAGATCTTTCAAATCTATTCAAAATAAAATATGAACTTAACAATCCATCTTTACATGTGTTGTAAGAATAGTTGTATTATTTTTAAAATTAACTTTATAAAATGAACAAAAAATGAGAAAAATTTAAAATAATATCCATTCCTTTAAAAATATCTTACCAAAAATTGATACCTATGAACTTTAGTTTTCCTGTGCAAATCAATTTTAACTTGCACTATTGTATATGCTGTTGTATTTCATAAAATATTTTAATATAATCCTGTTGATTCTTTGTATTTTCCTTAAACATTTAAAAATTGGCTGGTGAGATTGGCTCTCATCAAAAGTGTCTCTGAGTTCTCATTGATTGTTCTATTTTTGGTAGTAGCAAATTTAAATAAAGACCAGTTTTTTTAAAACATGTAAAAATTTCTCACTTGAAAAATTGACATTAGCTTTTAAACCAAAATTTATTCTCAAACTAATTTTTAGATGATATCCTAAAACCCTTCTTTCATTCCTTACAGGCATGAATGAAATCTGTTTTATTAGATGAACAGGGGATTATTTATACCTGTAAAAATCACAAGGTGATAAATTTGAATAACGTCAAAGTTTAAATACCACAACCAGTGTTAATTACCCATCCCCAAGTGATTATTAGAATTAAAAAAGGAAAATAAAAACTAGAACTTTCATTCTTTGACATCTTGAGAGTATGAATTCTTCAGTAGAATAGTTAGTATAAGAGTGCCTCCAAGTGGCATTTGTCAAAATTCCACATCAAAAATTTAAATATCAGATCTGAAAGTTAAGCTTTAATAATAACAAACCCTGAAGGAAAGTTCTCACTCTTTTCTTTCTGCTTATTTATAATCTACTCTTCATATATATGATTTCAGTTTATTATGAATCCCTATGTGTCATTAAATATCCACACTTCAGCTCCATTAATTCTCAGAATTCTAGGTAGTTTTTTAATACCTTAATTATGCTGCCTTGACACAGTGTTTTGGTGTGTAAGTAATTATTTCATTTCCATAAATTGTACAGTAGAATCTGTTTTGTTTAGCTGTACTATATCTTTCTTTTCAGTATTCTCTTAGAATCTTTTCCATATTTGCTGGATTGTAGAGGATAAGAGGGACAAGAGACTTCTTTCTTAAACATAGAATCTTAGAGTTATAGGATAATGTAATTCCATTACTCCAATTTTAACATTAAATCTAAGAATTTAAGAAATTTTCCCATGGCCATCCCGGTTAGTGACTAAATTAACAGAATCTGGTTCCCTGGACTTTTCATTCAGTATTCTTTCAAATATGTTTACTATAACACTTAAAAGGGAGTTCTTCCCTATACCCCCAAAAAATGCACTTTTAGTACATGATCTTAAAACTCAAACTCTAGAATATCAAATACAATTTAGAAATTGCCTAAGGCAAAACGTGTTCAGGGACTGACAAACTGATAGCTTCTCAATATATTTTGTTTCAATTAATTAATATGTAGAGTTTTGGAATTACCTCAGTTTTATGTCACTGAAATGTTTAAATCAGTAGAGCAAAAATGATCTTAGGAACGTCATAAACAGGGTAATTGAACTTATACTGTAGAGACTGAGATGTATGTGTTTTGCAAAGGTGACACTTGTAGTGAAGCTCATTTTCAAACTAGTTTCATTTGTAAAAGCTATTTCCATTACTTTGCCACTTTTTCATAACATTTATTCTAAATTTCTTTTTTTACTGTTTATTTTCCCTTCTTCCATTTCATATAAATGATTCCAGTAAGGCATTCTTCTCTCTTTTCCCAAAGGTGTCATATGGATGCTATTCTTTCCTAATTCTTATTCCTTTTTCACTTTTTAATTGCCTTTTATGGCACTTTTTCTCTCTCTCCTGCCACTTCATCTACAGCTTTTTTGGAATGAGTTAGCCAACATCAATAACAAAATTTAAAGTTCATTCTCTGAGGAGCTATAATGTAGATATATCTGGAGCATTAAGTATAGAAAAGTGCATGTAGATTTTCAGATAGATATGTAGATTTCTGTGTATGTATAATTTGAACTACTAACTTTTTAAACCTTTGAATGTAATGCTGTAATATCTATGGAGCTGTTATCCTGCAAAATTAGAATACAGTGTTTTAATTTAATAGTTACTCTTACCTATTTCCAGACTGCCTTTAAAAGATTGAACTCACAAGCTATAGTTTCCATTATTTTCTTCAGCTACATCCCATTGGAAAAATTAAATGTGTTTTAACTTTCTTGCCAAGATTCTACTTGTTTAAGATAGTTTCCAGCAGTGACCTTTTTTTAAGTGGTGTTTTTAGTATCTGCCAATCTGAGTTCATGTCAGAATGTCATTAGTGTGCTATTCACTCCGTCTCTCAGATCATTAATGAGGTTTCAAGTAAGACCAGGCTGACATACATCGCTATGACACTCAGCGAACATGACACTGTTTACCATCACTCTTTGATTCAAGCCCATCGCCCAGATTTTAAACATTATGACAATACTCAATGCAAAGCCTGTTTAAATTAACTTCTCTGAATAAAATTTCCAGCTGAAATTTAATGAGATACAACAAAACATGGCTATATTTAATACAATAAAATTTTCAACATGTCTACAGCTGTTAATCTTGTTTATTTCTCCCATGATTAACTATTCATATGTTTATTTTTCCCATAGTGAGTCTGTCAGATATTTTCCTTGATATTTGCATCAATTTTGTTAGTGATACATATGAACTTTCATAAATACTTCAATACTTGTTGGTCTGGTAAAGATTATTTAACTTTTTACATTGAAGCCAAATAAATTCAGATGGTGTACATATATAAGAACAAAATACATTTAATTATAGAATCCAAGTTAATATTTTATGAAATTTTTGATAACTTATTCCCAGAATTGGAGCAAGTGATAAACTAAAAATGAGTAAACTATATATTTTTTTGGTTTTATGTTAATTAAATACAGCAATAGACAAAATCATTCTTAAAAGATGAAAATCCCCACAAATCTATAAATTAAACTGTTATAAGATATTTTATTAGGTCTAATAATAATTTATTTATATTTGCCTGCTTTATAATGACATCTGACTATCTGCTTTTCAACCAGTTGTCAATATTTTATGCTACATATAGGGAAAGTTATAAAATTATCTATATGTTTAATTCACTTTAACTGGGAATAATCAAGGAAAATAATGTAAAAATGAAGGTAATCAGAAACATCTGCATTTGAAAATTATGGTTGCTAGAAACTATTGAATAATCACTATTTGGTGATTGGTCCACAAAAGTCCTAAAATGTGTATGTATACTATATCATCCTAGCTAGATTGAAAAACACTGAAGGCAGGCATACATGCTATTCAGTAATAAACACTAACTCAATATTTCCCACAAAATAAATATTATTTTCTAACTGACTGATGTTAAGGAGCTGTATTACCCACAACAGTATGGTCCTTGTGATAAATTGCTTCAGAATTACCAGATTTTGTCTGTCAATAACTGAAATAGAATCTCTGAGATGGGGCCAACTACAAGCTGTCCAGATGAGTTGTTTGCAGTCAACAGTGCTTGAGAACCATTGTCCCATAAACAACATAAGCAACAAGAAAATAAATGAAAGAAAAAAACAATATTTAGATGCTCTCCAAAGGCACATGATGAAAAAACTGAAGCAACATTTGTATTGAGCTAAGAGACAATTACTTCAAAGAATGTTTTTGAATTGGTTATCAGCATTAATAAAGTCTGATGGCCAGACAATTGCTCGATTTGCCTGATTATGTCACCTATGTTGACTGAATATGATATACAGTATAAGCTATTTAATCACATAATCAAGGTGTCAGATTATAAACAATATGCCACAAATTAAAATGAAAGTGAAATAGCTAAAAAATCAAAAAATATTTATGTTTATTACTTTAATAAATTTCTGTTTGTCTCTTATGTTTAACCAAGGTTTAGATACATTCATATTGGTAAAATTGATGCCAACCATTGATCTAGAAACCTAAGTCAAAACACCTTCCACAAAAAAGGACTCTAAATCTTTTGACTAACTGCTTTTATATTTCAAAATTAATATTCCCAAATGGAAGCTACCTGATTTCTCTATTAAATTAGGATAAATGTACAGTGCAAATTTAAGAACATGTTTTATTAGTTAATACTGTATGCTTGAGAGGAATTGTGGAGGCAACATGGTTTAGTGAAGAGTGTGGATTTAAAGAAGGATACATTTATGTTTTAATTTTCATTATAGAGCTTGTTGGTGCATGACTTAAGCCATGTTATTTTAACTTGTCTTTTCTAAAACAAAATAATAAAACTTACATGGAGTGGGGAGGGGTTCCAACACAAAACGTGATTAAATTGAATCATAATACAATGTCTCAAATCTAGTGGAGTCTTCACAAATGGTTGCTATTACTTTCAATCTATATAACTTTTTTTTTTTAAAGAAACATAACTTTGTTATTTCTTTTTATTTTTCTTACTTTTACTATGGCTTTCATTCTTTGTGTCTGTGTGTGTGTGTTTCTTTTTTTTTTTATTATACTTTAAGTTTTAGGGTACATGTGCACATTGTGCAGGTTAGTTACATATGTATACATGTGCCATGCTGGTGTGCTGCACCCACTAACTCGTCATCTACCATTAGGTATATCTCCCAGTGCTATCCCTCCCCCCTCCCCCCACCCCACCACAGTTCCCAGAGTGTGATATTCCCCTTCCTGTGACCACGTGATCTCATTGTTCACTTCCCACCTATGAGTGAGAATATGCGGTGTTTGGTTTTTTGTTCTTGCGATAGTTTACTGAGAATGATGATTTCCAATTTCATCCATGTCCCTACAAAGGACATGAACTCATCATTTTTTATGGCTGCATAGTATTCCATGGTGTATATGTGCCACATTTTCTTAATCCAGTCTATCATTGTTGGACATTTGGCTTGGTTCCAAGTCTTTGCTATTGTGAATAATGCTGCAATAAACATACATGTGCATGTGTCTTTATAGCAACATGATTTATAGTACTTTCGGTATATACCCAGTAATGGGATGGCTGGGTCAAATGATATTTCTAGTTCTAGATCCCTGAGGAATCGCCACACTGACTTCCACAATGGTTGAACTAGTTTACAGTCCCACCAACAGTGTAAAAGTGTTCCTATTTCTCCACATCCTCTCCAGCACCTGTTGTTTCCTGACTTTTTAATGATTGCCATTCTAACTGGTGTGAGATGGTATCTCATTGTGGTTTTGATTTGCATTTCTCTGATGGCCAGTGATGATGAGCATTTTTTCATGTGTTTTTTGGCTGCATAAATATCTTCTTTTGAGAAGTGTCTGTTCATGTCCTTCGCCCACTTTTTGATGGGGTTGTTTGTTTTTTTCTTGTAAATTTGTTTGAGTTCATTGTAGATTCTGGATATTAGCCCTTTGTCAGATGAGTAGGTTGCGAAAATTTTCTCCCATTTTGTAGGTTGCCTGTTCACTCTGATGGTAGTTTCTTTGGCTGTGCAGAAGCTCTTTAGTTTAATTAGATCCCATTTGTCAATTTTGTCTTTTGTTGCCATTGCTTTTGGTGTTTTGGACATGAAGTCCTTGCCCATGCCTATGTCCTGAATGGTAATGCCTAGGTTTTCTTCTAGGGTTTTTATGGTTTTAGGTCTAACGTTTAAGTGTTTAATACATCTTGAATTGATTTTTGTATAAGGTGTAAGGAAGGGATCCAGTTTCAGCTTTCTACATATGGCTAGCAAGTTTTCCCAGCACCATTTATTAAATAGGGAATCCTTTCCTCATTGCTTGTTTTTCTCAGGTTTGTCAAAGATCAGATAGTTGTAGATATGTGGCGTTATTTCTGAGGGCTCTGTTCTGTTCCATTGATCTGTATCTCTGTTTTGGTACCAGTACCATGCTGTTTTGGTTACTGTAGCCTTGTAGTATAGTCTGAAGTCAGGTAGTGTGATGCCTCCAGCTTTGTTCTTTTGGCTTAGGATTGCCTTGGCGATGAGTGCTGTTTTTTGGTTCCATATGAACTTTAAAGTAGTTTTTTCTAATTCTGTGAAGAAAGTCATTGGTAGCTTTATGGGGATGTCATTGAAACTGTAAATTACCTTGGGCAGTATGGCCATTTTCACGATATTGATTCTTCCTACCCATGAGCATGGAATGTTCTTCCATTTGTTTGTATCCTCTTTTATTTCCTTGAGCAGTGGTTTGTAGTTCTCCTTGAAGAGGTCCTTCACATCCCTTGTAAGTTGGATTCCTAGGTATTTTATTCTCTTTGAAGCAATTGTGAATGGGAGTTCACTCATCAGTTGGCTCTCTGTTTGTCTGTTATTGGTGTATAAGAATGCTTGTGATTTTTGTACATTGATTTTGTATCCTGAGACTTTGCTGAAGTTGCTTATCAGCTTAAGGAGATTTTGGGCTGAGACAATGGGGTTTTCTAGATATACAATCATGTCGTCTGCAAACAGGGACAATTTGACTTCCTCTTTTCCTAATTGAATACCCTTTATTTCCTTCTCCTGCCTGACTGCCCTGGCAAGAACTTCCAACACTATGTTGAATAGGAGTGGTGAGAGAGGGCATCCCTGTCTTGTGCCAGTTTTCAAAGGGAATGCTTCCAGTTTTTGCCCATTCAGTATGATATTGGCTGTGGGTTTGTCATAGATAGCTCTTATTATTTTGAAATACATCCCATCGATACCTAATTTCTTGAGAGTTTTTAGCATGAAGGGTTGTTGAATTTTGTCAAAGGCTTTTTCTGCATCTATTGAGATAATCATGTGGTTTTTTTCTTTGGCTCTGTTTATATGCTGGATTACATTTATTGATTTGCGTATATTGAACCAGCCTTGCATCCCAGGGATGAAGCCCACTTGATCATGGTGGATAAGCTTTTTGATGTGCTGCTGGATTCGTTTTGCCAGTAGTTTATTGAGGATTTTTACATCAATGTTCATCAAGGATATTGGTCTAAAATTCTCTTTTTTGGTTGTGTCTCTGCCCGGCTTTGGTATCAGAATGATGCTGGCCTCATAAAATGAGTTAGGGAGGATTCCCTCTTTTTCTATTGATTGGAATAGTTTCAGAAGGAATGGTCCCAGTTCCTCCTTGTACCTCTGGTAGAATTCGGCTGTGAATCCATCTGGTCCTGGACTCTTTTTGGTTGGTAAACTATTGATTATTGCCACAATTTCAGCTCCTGTTATTGGTCTATTCAGAGATTCAACTTCTTCCTGGTTTAGTCTTGGGAGAGTGTATGTGTCGAGGAATTTATCCATTTCTTCTAGATTTTCTCGTTTATTTGCGTAGAGGTGTTTGTAGTATTCTCTGATGGTAGTTTGTATTTCTGTGGGATCGGTGATGATATCCCCTTTATCATTTTTTATTGTGTCTATTTGATTCTTCTCTCTTTTTTTCTTTATTAGTCTTGCTAGCTGTCTATCAATTTTGTTGATCCTTTCAAAAAACCAGCTCCTGGATTCATTAATTTTTTGAAAGGTGTTTTGTGTCTCTATTTCCTTCAGTTCTGCTCTGATTTTAGTTATTTCTTGCCTTCTGCTAGCTTTTGAATATGTTTGCTCTTGCTTTTCTAGTTCTTTTAATTGTGATGTTAGGGTGTCAATTTTGGATCTTTCCTGCTTTCTATTGTAGGCATTTAGTGCTATAAATTTCCCTCTACACACTGCTTTGAATGCGTCCCAGAGATTCTGGTATATTGTGTCTTTGTTCTCGTTGGTTTCAAAGAACATCTTTATTTCTGCCTTCATTTCATTATGTATCCAGTAGTCATTCAGGAGCAGGTTGTTCAGTTTCCATGTAGTTGAGCGGTTTTGAGTGAGATTCTTAATCCTGAGTTCTAGTTTGATTGCACTGTGGTCTGAGAGATAGTTTGTTATAATCTCTGTTCTTTTACATTTGCTGAGGAGAGCTTTACTTCCAAGTATGTGGTCAATTTTGGAATAGGTGTGGTGTGGTGCTGAAAAAAAATGTATATTCTGTTGATTTGGGGTGGAGAGTTCTGTAGATGTCTATTAGGTCTGCTTGGTGCAGAGCTGAGTTCAATTCCTGGGTATCCTTGTTGACTTTCTGTCTCGTTGATCTGTCTAATGTTGACAGTGGGGTGTTAAAGTCTCCCATTACTAATGTGTGGGAGTCTAAGTCTCTTTGTAGGTCACTTAGGACTTGCTTTATGAATCTGGGTGCTCCTGTATTGGGTGCATATATATTTAGGATAGTTAGCTCTTCTTGTTGAATTGATCCCTTTACCATTATGTAATGGCCTTCTTTGTCTCTTTTGATCTTTGTTGGTTTAAAGTCTGTTTTATCAGAGACTAGGATTGCAACCCCTGCCTTTTTTTGTTTTCCATTTGCTTGGTAGATCTTCCTCCATCCTTTTATTTTGAGTCTATGTGTGTCTCTGCATGTGAGATGGGTTTCCTGAATACAGCACACTGATGGGTCTTGACTCTTTATCCAATATGCCAGTCTGTGTCTTTTCACTGGAGCATTTAGTCCATTTACATTTAAAGTTAATATTGTTATGTGTGAATTTGATCCTGTCATTATGATGTTAGCTGGTGATTTTGCTTGTTAGTTGATGCAGTTTCTTCCTGGTCTCGATGGTCTTTACATTTTGGCATGATTTTGCAGCGGCTGGTACCGGATGTTCCTTTCCATGTTTAGCGCTTCCTTCAGGAGCTCTTTTAGGGCAGGCCTGGTGGTGACAAAATCTCTCAGCATTTGCTTGTCTGTAAAGTATTTTATTTCTCCTTCCCTTATGAAGCTTAGTTTGGCTGGATATGAAATTCTGGGTTGAAAATTCTTTTCTTTGAGAATGTTGAATATTGGCCCCCACTCTCTTCTGGCTTGTAGGGTTTCTGCCGAGAGATCCGCTGTTAGTCTGATGGGCTTCCCTTTGAGGGTAACCCGACCTTTCTCTCTGGCTGCCCTTAACATTTTTTCCTTCATTTCAACTTTGGTGAATCTGACAATTATGTGTCTTGGAGTTGCTCTTCTCGAGGAGTATCTTTGTGGCGTTCTCTGTATTTCCTGAATCTGAACGTTGGCCTGCCTTGCTAGATTGGGGAAGTTCTCCTGGATAATATCCTGCAGAGTGTTTTCCAACTTGGTTCCATGCTCCCCATCACTTTCAGGTACACCAATCAGATGTAGATTTGGTCTTTTCACATAGTCCCATATTTCTTGGAGGCTTTGCTCGTTTCTTTTTATTCTTTTTTCTCTAAACTTCCCTTCTTGCTTCATTTCATTCACTTCATCTTCCATTGCTGATACCCTTTCTTCCAGTTGATCGCACCGGCTCCTGAGGCTTCAGCATTCTTCACGTAGTTCTCGAGCCTTGGTTTTCAGCTCCATCAGCTCCTTTAAGCACTTCTCTGTATTGGTTATTCTAGTTATACAATCTTCTAAATTTTTTTCAAAGTTTTCAACTTCTTTGCCTTTGGTTTGAATGTCCTCCCGTAGCTCAGAGTAATTTGATCGTCTGAAGCCTTCTTCTCTCAGCTCGTCAAAGTCATTCGCCATCCAGCTTTGTTCCGTTGCTGGTGAGGAACTGCGTTCCTTTGGAGGAGGAGAGGCGCTCTGCGTTTTAGAGTTTCCAGTTTTTCTGTTCTGTTTTTTCCCCATCTTTGTGGTTTTATCTACTTTTGGTCTTTGATGATGGTGATGTACAGATGGGTTTTTGGTGTGGATGTCCTTTCTGTTTGTTAGTTTTCCTTCTAACAGACAGGACCCTCAGCTGCAGGTCCGTTGGAATACCCTGCCGTGTGAGGTGTCAGTGTGCCCCTGCTGGGGGGTGCCTCCCAGTTAGGCTGCTCGGGGGTCAGGGGTCAGGGACCCACTTGAGGAGGCAGTCTGCCTGTTCTCAGATCTCCAGCTGTGTGCTGGGAGAACCACTGCTCTCTTCAAAGCTGTCAGACAGGGACATTTAAGTCTGCAGAGGTTACTGCTGTCTTTTTGTTTGTCTGTGCCCTGCCCACAGAGGTGGAGCCTACAGAGGCAGGCAGGCCTCCCTGGGCTGTGGTGGGCTCCACTCAGTTCTCACATCCCCGCTGCTTTGTTTACCTAAGCAAGCCTGGGCAATGGCGGGCACCCCTCCCCCAGCCTCGCCGCCGCCTTGCAGTTTGATCTCAGACTGCTGTGCTAGCAATCAGCGAGACTCCGTGGGCGTAGGACCCTCCAAGCCAGGTGCCGGATATAATCTCATGGTGCGCCGTTTTTTAAGCCGGTCAGAAAAGCGCAATATTCGGGTGGGAGTGACCCAATTTTCCAGGTGCGTCCGTCACCCCTTTCTTTGACTCGGAAAGGGAACTCCCTGACCCCTTGCGCTTCCCAAGTGAGGCAATGCCTCGCCCTGTTTTGGCTCGCACACGGTGCGTGCACCCACTGACCTGCGCCCACTGTCTGGCACTCCCTAGTGAGATGAACCCGGTACCTGAGACGGAAATGCAGAAATCACCCGTCTTCTGCATCGCTCACGCTGGGAGCTGTAGACCGGAGCTGTTCCTATTCGGCCATCTTGGCTCCTCTCTCCTATATAACTTAAAGTAATTACAGTGATAAGAACCTAAAGAGACTACAGTTGAGCTTCGGGTTGCAGAGAACAATTGAGATTCTTCTCTAGTGTAATTAAACACATAACTCTCTTTTATGTGAACAGGATTCATTGAGTTCAAAATTCCTTATTTGCTCCCATAAAAATTTGTGATTCATGATTTTGTTCCAGCAGAAATGCTACATAGAGGAAGAGGCAGATGTCAGGGAAATCTGTGTACGTCCTGTGAATTGTAGCCTTTGGAGTGAGTACTTGAAAAGAAAAAAAAACTGGTTTTGATTAGAGAACCATGGGGAAAAAGGTCCCTTCTGCAATGATGCAAATAGGTTATCTAATGTTTTAATTATTAAATGACTGAAAATTTGCTGCTGGAATGTTTACACCTAGCTAAGAGGATGCTGAACTAAATAATGCACACCACTTTGGTGTGAGTCTTTAAAAATTATTGTTGATAAACAGATTGAATCAAAATAACTGATACTTAGAAGTTGTAAATTGCTTCTGCTCATGATGCTGCAAAGGTGTTCAATAGAAATGAAATTAATAAGACCTACATTACAGAACTTATCTCAGCATTTAATCAATGTGCTGAGTACCTACAGTATATAATAACAAGACAGTAGGCATTTTCAAATATTGAAAATACAAAAAATGTACCTTAATCTTACCTTCAAAATTGTACAATTTATCCAGGTTTATATTAATACTTGTAAAACATGTAGAAAACAATATAAAAACTCTTCCTACATAGAAATACTATAGGAATTTGAAAGAAAAGATTTATAGGGTGTAACTTGGGAAAGCTTTATGAGGAGATGAGACCTTTAATTAGTTGTGAGTTTTACATAAAAATGTGGACAAAGTCAAACATTTTTAAGTCTTGGTTTTATTTCTGGAGTTTGTACTTACATTCACATTTCTAAGAGTCTTTCAGAAATGTACAATTTGGAGTACCAATTGACTCTAAGAGATTCTTGAATCAAGCATTACAAAGTATAAATTGTGAGCCAACAGATTTAATGAAGAATAAATAATTATTCGAGGTCAACCAAAAAAGTTAGAATAAGTTAATGGACGAGTGGCAAGAACAGAAAACAATATAACAGAAGTGAAATTCATAATTCCAAGATACATCAAGTAGTATTACTCTAAGACCAAATTCCAATTACAGGATAAATTAAATACTCTAAATATGCAAAGAAAGAAAGGCAAACAAAACAGTAAGAAGAGAAATTTAAAACATTAATAAAAATTTTATTTTACTTGTTATTTTTTATTTTTTGAGACAGTTTCACTCTGTCACCCAGGCTGGAGTGCAGTGGCAAAATCATAGTTCACTGCAGCCTTAATCTCCCCAGCTCAAGCAATCCTCCTGCTGCAGCCTCCTGAGTAGCTGGAACTGTAGGTGAATGTCACCGTACCTGGGTAATTATTTTATTTTGTGTAGACACATGGTCTCACTTTGTTGCCAAGGCTGAACTCGAGGGCTCAAGCAATTCTCCTGCCTTGACCTCTGAAAGTACTGGGATTATAGGTGTGAGCCACCATGCCCCACCAAATATATTTTAAAAAGCAAATCCAAGGAGGAGCCAAGATGACCAAATAGAAACAGCTCCAGTCTGCAGCTCCGAGCAAGACCAATGCAGAAGGTGGGTGATTTCTGCATTTCCAACTGAGGTACGCAGTTCATCTCATTGGGACTGGTTAGTCAGTGGGTGCAATTCACACAGAGCAAGCAGAAGCAATGTGGAGCGTCATTTCACCTGGCAAGTGCAAGGAGCCAAGGGACCACCCTCCCCCATCCAAGTGAAGCCGTGAGGGACTGTGCTACCTGTCCGGGTACTATGCTTTTCCCATGGATTTTTGCAATACGCAGGTCCGGAGATTCCCTCCTGAGCCTACACCACCAGGGCCCTGGATTTCAAGCACAAAACTGGGCAGTTGTTCAGGAAGACACCGAGCTAGCTGCAGAAGTTTTTTTTTTCGTACCCCAGTGGTATCTGGAACCCCAGTGAGACAGGAGAACTGTCCACTCCCCTGGAAAGGAGGCTGAAGCCAGGGAGCCAATCCCACTCCCATGGAGCCCAGCAAGCAAAGATCCACTGGTTTGAAATTCTCACTCCCAACACAGCAGTCTGGAGTCGACCCGGGAAGATACAGCTTGGTGCGGGAAGGGGCATCCGCCGTTACTGAGGCTTGAGTAGGCGGTTTTCCCCTGACAGCACTAAGGAGACTGGGTGGTTTGGACTGGGCAGAAGTAACCACAGTGCGGCAAAGCGGCTGTGGCCTGACTGCCTCTCTAGATTCCTCCTCATGGGGAAGGAATCTCTGAAGGAAAGACAGCAGCCCCAGTCAGGGGCTTACAGGTAAAACTCCCATCTCCCTAGGACAGAGTACCTGGGAAGGGGCAGCTGTGGACACAGCTTAAGCGGACTTATCTTTCCTCCCTGCCAGCTCTGAAGAGAGCAGCTGATCCTGACAAGGGGGATTCCCCCACACAGCACACCAGCACTGCTAAGGGACAGACTGCCTCCTCAAGTGGGTCTCTGACTCCTGTGCCACCTGACTGGGAGAGACCTCCCAACAGGGGTCGACAGATACCTCATACATTAGAGGTCTGGCTGGCATCAGGCCGGTGCCCCTCTGCGACGAAGCTTCCAGAGGAAGGAGCAAGCAGCAATCTTTGCTGTTCTGCAGGCTTTACTGGTGATAACCAGGCAAAGAGGGTCTGGAGTGGACCTCCAGCAAACTGCAGCAGACCTGCAGAAGAGGGACCTGACTGTTCGAAGAAAAACTAGCAAACAGAAAGCAAAAACAACAACATCAACAAAAAAGACCCCATACACAAAAACCACATCCAAAGACCATCAGCCTCAAAGATCAAAAGTAGATAAATCCAAAAATATGATGAAAAATCAGCTCAAAAAAATCGCTGAAAATTCCAAAAGTTGAATACCTCTTGTCCTCCAAATGATCACAACACTGCTCCAGCAAGAGTGCAAAACTGGATGGAGAATGAGATTGATGAATTGACAGAAGCAGGCTTCAGAAGGTAGCTAATAGCAAACTCCTCTGAGTTAAAGGAGCATGTTCTAACCCAATGCAAGGAAGCTAAGAACCTCGAAAAAAGGTTACAGGAACTGCTAACTAGAATAACCAGTTTAGAAAGGAACATAAATGACCTGATGGAGCCGAAAAACACGGCAAGAGAACTTTATGAAGCATACAGAAGTATCAATAGCCGAATCAATCAAGCAGAAGAAAAGATACCAGAAATTGAAGACCACTTTGCTGAAATAAAGTGTGAAGACAAGATTAGAGAAAAAAGAATGAAAAGGAACAAACAAAGCCTACAGGAAATATGGTACTATGTGAAAAGACCAAATCTGCAATTGATTGGTGTACCTGAAAGTGATGGGGAGAATGGGACCAAGTTGGAAAGCATACTTCAGGATATTATCCAAAAGAACTTCCCCAACCTAGCAAGACAGGTCAATATTCAAATTCAAGAACTACAGAGAACACCACTAAGTTAATCCACAAGAAGATCAACCCCAAGACACATAATCATCAGATTCTCCAAGGTTGAAATGAAGGAAAAAAATGTTAAGGGCAGCCAGAGAGAAAGGTCAGGTCACCCACAGAGAAGCCCATCAGAATAACAGTGTATCTCTCTGCAGAAACCCTAAAAGCCAGAAGAGAGTGGGGACCAATATTCAACATTATTATAGAAAAGAATTTTCATTCCAGAATTTCATATCCAGCCAAAGTAAGCTTCATAAGTGAAGGAGAAATACAATCCTGTCCAGACAAGCAAATGCTGAGGAATTATGTCATCACCAGGCCTGCCTTGAAAGAGCTCCTGAAGGAAGCACTAAATACGAAAAGGAAAAACTGGTACCAGCCACTGCAAAAACACACCAAAATATAAAGACCAATGACACTGTGAAGAAACTGCAACAACTAATATGCAAAATTACCAGCTAGCATCCTGATGACAGGATCAACTTCACACATAACAATATTAACCTTAAAGGTAAACGGGCTAAATGCCCCAATTAAAAGACACAAACTGGCAAATTGAATGAAGAGTCAAGACCCATCAGTGTGCCGTATTTAGGATACCCATCTCAGGTGCAAAGACAAACATAGGCTCAAAATAAAGGGATGGAGGAATATTTACCAAGCAAAAAAAAAAAAAAAAAAAAAAGCCATCATTCTCAATGAACTAACACAGGAACAGAAAACCAAACACTGCAAGTTCTCACTCATAAGTGGGAGTTCAACAATGAGGACACATGGACACAGGGAGGGAATCATCACATACCAGGGCCTGTCAGGGAATGGGGTGCAAGGGGAGGGAAAGCATTAGGACAAATACCTAAGGCATGCAGGGCTTAAAGCCTAGATGACAGGTTGATAGGTGCAGCAAACCACCACAGCACATGTATACCTATGTAACAAACCTGCATGTTCTGCACATGTATCCTGGAACTTAAAGTAAAATTTAAAAAATAAAGATGGACAAAGGGCAGTAGACAGTTAGTTAGCAAAAATAAAATACACATTGTCAATAAACTGAATCAAATCCAAAAGATATATTTTTACTTCTGAAAAGAAGTAAATGTGGCAATAAAATATACAGAAGACTTCATCGTTGCTAATAAAACTATATAATCTGTCCACAGAGCAATTATCTAATGATATAAACAAAGCTATTTATTTTAACAGAAATTTTCTAACTTGATTTTTTTAATTTTAAGAAAATGACCCTATATATCTATGAAGAAAGAGTTTACTTACGTTTGGACATAATATACATGGTATCGTAAAATAAGTATTTTGCAAAAGAATACTCATTTTGACACATAGCTAAGTTTGGCAGAATGCTTCATGAGCCTTCATTTTCTTATAAGGTGTCATAGTTTTCTCTCTGTTAAACTTAAAAAAAATAAAGATAATGGATTCTTCAATGAAAAATGTAATGCTTATTTATCCTATCTTTGTTTTAAAATAAAAAGTTAAAATTCTTCTAATGGGAAGATCTCAACATAGCAAGGTCAAACAATAAATACCCTTAGGACACATAGAATAACCACAGAATAAATTCATAGCCCATGGAATAAAAGTAAGCAGTTAAAGATATCTAAAGTTATCTGATTTTATGAAAGGCTCAGAAAACAAAGAAATTATTCTGTGTACTTAGTCATTTGGGAGTTTGTGTAATAACATATATTTTGGCTAGTGGTAATCAATTACATGCCTGCATATGGAAATAACAATTGCTTCAAATTTCTGGTCAAGAAAGATATTAGAATCTTGCAGAGCAGATGAAAATGTAACTCAATAGGTTACAAGTGTTGCAAAAAATGGAGTTGTCACAGTTCAATTACTTATACTCATTTTCGGGGCTGGAAAATGCAATAATCTTATAAATTATTTTATGGAAGGCAATATCAACCATCACATATATGCAATAGAGGTTACTATTAGCAGCAGGCTGGCTAATTTATCTATTATAAATTAGCAACTAGGAAATTATTTTCCCTCCTCATGACATCTATTTCTGTACATTTTTTGGCCTTAATTTCCAGGTGATCTTGTTCTACTGCTTTCAAAACTGATCATTTCCTAAGCATAATAGCCTCATATTTGAATAGCTATACACATTTTAGTGTATTCAAACATTTATTGGAAATGTATTGTTGCTAAAAAATATGTTGGATAATGTGGGAACCTCAAAGATTAACCAGGAAAGTTCTTTTCCTTCAAGGACATAGAAAAAGAAACAGATAGATATATACCACAAAATATAATTTTAGTGTTGATTATAACAGTTTTAATTTTGTGTAATACAGAACTAGCTATAGAACCCTAGAAGAAATTGTTTTGAATATATTGGGGGAAAATGCATTAATTACAGCACATATAGCCTTTGAAATGGCACTTAATGGATAGCAGTAGGAAACATGAAAGGGAAAGGAGGAAATTTAATGCATACCATTTAAAGATGTGAAGGCAGAAGATAGAATTTGTCATTTCTGGTAGAAAGGAGGTGTTTAAAGATAATTTAGAGCCAAAAGCCCTTCTATTAGCCATTGTATATTGTTTTCCTGTTAAGATAATTGAATTCAGTGATTTCTCTCCTAACTGAAATATTGCTGATATAGCTACTGTTTTCTAATTTGATGAATCATATTTGCAACTCTCCTTTTCCTGCTCATTCAGAAAGCTGACTATCAAATTCAGCAAATTTACTTAGGTTTCCTTTCATTTTAAGTATTTTTATTTTAGCTAAATTTCAGAATTTTCTTTGGTTACATTTGAATAAAGAGAACATTGCAAACCTAGAGTCAATTTCCTTTTAATTGACCTTCACAATAAAAGTCCATTGTTTTTTTCTTTTCAATGCAAACTTTTTAAAAATAAAACTTCTTTCAGCAAACAGCTTTCAGATTTACAAAGCATATCTAGATTAAAAACTTTGTATTTAGCCAAGAAAAGCCAATGGAACTCATTTAAAAATTAGAAAAGTTTTACTTTCTAGAATTTGATATTTATTATACCTTAAAATGTTCATCTATAGGATTGTGATGAAATTGTCTTAATAAAAACTAGTAAGGCATTTGTTAATTGTTCATCATTTATTAAAAAATTCAATTTCTCCTATATAAAATTTATAATCAATTATTTTTAAATTTATAGATTTAAACAGTATGGTATAAAGGGTAAAATTCTGTTGTGCTCATAAGAGATCAAAGAAGTGAACAAATGTAACTCTGCATTATCAGAAAAGCCTTCATTCTAAAAAGGAATTATTTCATTGCCTTTACATTTGCCTCTTCAGAAATTACATGGAACAATGAGAGGGACCATATTTTAGCATATGAGTGCACATGGTGTCTTGCCTTTGTTTCTTATTTAGAAAAGTTTAGACAAGCTCTCGCTCTGTTGTCCAGGTTGGAGTGCAGTGGTGCCATTACAGTTCACTGTAACCTCTGCCTCTGGGCTCAAGTGATCCTCTCACCTCAGCCTCCATAGTAGCTGGGACTGCAGGAGCAAGCCACCACACCTGGCTAACTTTTATATTTTTTGTAGAGATGGGATTTCATCATGTTGCCCAGGCTGGTCTTGAACCCCTGAGCTCAAGCAATCCATCTGCCTAGGCCTCCCAAAGTGTTTGGATTACAGTTGAGAGCCACCACACCCGGCCTCTGTTGGCATCTTTATCTTTTGTAATATCCTTCTTAATGCTACTGTGCCACAACCCAAATATATTTGTCTTAACAACTCACAGGTCTGCAGTGAGGCTAAGCAATTTTTATCTAATGTTTATAAAATATCAGAAATCACTTATTTAATTTCTCCTCTAAGATTAATCAACAAAGAAATGAAGATGGTTTGAAACATATAATATTTCAATTTTGAACTGTCCATAGATTTAAAAGTTATATTTCAAATAAATGATTTCAACAACTTCATTCTATTTCTTGAATTTCAGCAGTATCCAAATCAACAAACAATTGAATACTGGTATCTTTGAAATATCTCATAATTTCATATATTCAACTTAGTTTTTTCTCAATAGAAAAAAAAAACTATGATAATAGAATCCCACGAGTATTACTTAGCTAGACTTAGCTGTGTAGATGACAAGTAAATCAGCACTTCTATCACTCTTGTTCATGGAAATACAATGGAAATAAGAAAAAAAAATTACAAAGAATTCTCTACCTCAAGAAAATGCAAGAACTAAGATATTCTGGCTCCAGTTTTTTCCTGATGTAGTAAGATTAAAACTCAAACTTTCTCAATTCTTTTCTGCTCCTCCTTCTGCTCATTTTACCAACGAAAATAAAGTGTTTTAAAACATGCTAATTCTTTGATTTAAAATAATGATTTTAAATAAAATTTGCTACCCTACAATCACAAAGACAATATTACCAAGACTCTATAATTAAGGAATAATTTTAAGATCTAATGGTGAGCTTCTCTGAAGCTATAAAAATAAAAGAAAGGAATTCAAAAATTACTGTATATCTACTGTTTTTCTTCACAAAATTTGTAAGTTGTTATTATTATCAATATAGAATAAATGAAGAAGTTGAGACCCAGATAGGTGATATAACTTCGCTGATATGACACCACTAGTTAAGTGGAAAAACCACAGATACTGTCGAATCTACGTGTGGAGGGTCAAGTCACATTTCTTCTTATTTCCAGAGATGTTATCGCCTTTCGGATGTCACACAATCTTTAATCTTTGGGACTAAAATTTAATGCCTTCTTGAAACAAGGTTGTTTGAGTAGAAGATCTCATTTTTCTCTATAATTCTGTTATTATGATTCCAATTAGTGACACACATTGATAGAATAATTGGCCAGGAATATAGGGTTGTGGCATCAGCTCCAATGCTTGCCATAACCGACTTAAGAAAAACCCAAATGTAATCAAGGCTCTATTATAATTCATCCTATAGTATTCCTTTGTCCTGAGAGAGTTAATGTACTACCCTGGATTCTTGTCTAATACCAGACAGTAAATGAGGCATTTAGGAGATGGAGATCAATGTCATCCCTACATGCACATCAACTGTAAAATAATTAGCTAAAATTGCAAACTAGGAAGTTCGAAAATTGAAATGCTCTCTAGTGCACTCTTCCATCACCAATCATTGTTGTACCTTAATGTTCAGGATGTACTTGTGATTGAGGTTAGCAGCCTTGACAATTTAATGAAGAGAAGATAGAACACGATAATCCTATAGAGAGCAAAGCTGGTCTCCTATTTATCAACAAATGCATTAAGAATCTTCCATCATCAAATTATGCATCATAATGATATAAAATGAAAAGAAACAAGTGCCAAATAGGTTACCCAGTGTAACAAGTGTTGAAAAATGTAAGCTTTCATATGCATGGAGAGACAGCCTACTGATCTATGACCTAATTGTGCAGTGATATTAATAGGAATTGTGTTATAGTTCTTAAGCAAAAATTCCACTAAAATAATTTGCTTTGGTAAAAGCTACAGTGTAAGTCCCAACAGACCTCACAAATAATACGCAGAAGTTTGTAAATATATAAAGATGTATAAAGTAATACTGCTGTTACAATAATGTAAATACAACATGACAAAATAGCTTAACACACAGAAAACAATCAAAACTAACAACAAAGAATGTGTTATATGCAGCCATGCACTGTAAAACAATGTTTCAGTCAGGGACAGACCACATATATGACAGTGGCCCCATAAAGTTATATTGTACTTTTACTGTACCTTTCCTATGTTTATATCTGTTTAGATACATGAATACTTACCATTGTGTTACAAGTGCCTACAGTATTCAGTACAGTGGCATGCTGTACAGGTTTGTAACCTAGGTGCAATGGGCTGTCCCCTATAGCCCAGGTGTGTAGGATGCTATATCATTTAGGATTGTTTAAATGCACTGTCCATGCAATGGTGAAATCAACTAATAAACATTTCTCAGAATGTGGCCTTGTCATTAAGCAACACGTAACTGTATTTAGAATATAGAGAAAATGCTGGGGGCTCCTTTAACCTCAAACTATCTATATTGTCATCTTTACATAAAATTAAATTTGCTGTAAAAATTGTACTCTGCTCTACAAGAACATAATGTTATCTACAAAATCACAGCCATAATAATTGTTTCTATACATCATTATGTAGTAAAAAACAATAAAAAATTGTTTGACTAAAATTGATTATAGAAAATATATTTTTTCCTTTTTAAAAAAGTGTTATTAAATCTTGATAGCATTATCTTTTTTAAAATAATTGTTTTGAGATATTTTACACTAATTCTAAAAATACAACAAATGTCAAAAAAAATTTGTTTGGGTCTTCTTTTTACAATTATAATTCAGAACCACAGGGAAAAATCTGTTTTCCTTAGTTTGTTTTTACAAATTTTAATTATTGTCCTGACACATTTTATTCACAAACCAGTTGACTGAAGAATTTCCAAGATAGTATGTTTAATTTCAATGTTATGTTTAATATCTTCCCCTTCTTGGCTGGTAACCTTGGGCATATTTTTTATCTCCCAGAGACTCTGTTGTCTTATCTTAAATATGGAAATAAAATAACTACTGACCTCAAAGAGTTGTAAGGATTGTTTAATAAAATATGCAAAAGCATCATTATGAGAGATGTAAAGATATATAAATGAGAGTTATTACTTTTAAGGAAAATTAAGAAAAACATTTTTGTTAGTAGGGATACGTCTTCACTCCATAAATTTTCTTCTTGCTAAGACTGTTTAATGAGCACATCTCCCAGATTCTTTCTGCTCATGTGTTCACTGTCTTCTACAGAGATAAAGTGACATAGCTGGTGGTTAAATTTGGGAAAAATAACTAGGCATGCCTGGACAGTGCTTCCTGGTTTCCTCCTGCTCTGGCAGGGAAAATGAGTTCAGCCTACTCTTGTGCTTTCAACTATATGGGGAGCTCTGAGGAGGGGTATCCTGCAGGAAGAGTGCTGCCTAAATGCAGAACGGCCATGCCTAGCTGGGGGAGCCTACCATATTACTGGAAATCTTTAGATGGCTGATTTGGTTCTCACACTATGCTCTCTCCTACAAAGTAGATGTTATCAGCGATAAGGTGACAATTTGGCTTTCATAGTTATATTTTAAAACACGAATTGTCACCTCATTTAGAACCCAGGTGAAAACTCTCAAAATGGATATTGAAAAGAATACACTATAAACTCTTGGGTAATTTGAAATAAAAGTCGCAAAATGTATAAAGGCAAAATTGCTGGGATTTGTTGTAAACTCTCTCAGTGACTGCTGAGAAATTTAACATTTATCCTTTGGCTGCGTCCTGGCAGGACTGTTACAAAGTTAACTCAGAGTTAAAGTAATCTAATCTTTCATGTAGATGAAAGTATTTTGGTGATTCTATATTCTAAAGAGTATATATATATTAGATTCTATATTCTAAGATATATATATGTATATATAGTAGCATGTTATATGTATCATTGTCATTGTTAGTTGTGTTCCAGACCAACAGAAATTCAATGTTAGTCATAAATGTGGCCACACATATAACAAAAATTTCTAGGAATCACATTAAAAATAAAGTAGTAAGAAAAGGTGAAATTCTTTTTTATAATATATTTTCTTTAACCCATTATATCCAAAATATTATCCTTCATCATGAAATAAATATAAAACATTGATGAGATACTATATATATTTTTATTCATACGAAGTCTTCTAAATCTTGTATGTATTCTATACTTCCAGCACATCTCAGGTCAGTCTAGTTGCGTTTCAAATGTTCCCTGGCTGCCTGTGGCTAGTGGATGGTGTATTTGACAATGCAGATCTAGACTTTTAACTGGTTACTATGTCAAAACATCATAAATACACGTGAACACACACATTCATGCATTCAAGTAAAAGCATCATAACTAAAATGAATGAGAAATACAATACTCTGATTAACTGAATCTTTTCAATTGACCTATATTTGGGAATTTTTTTCTCTACTATATATCAGTTATCTTCCTTTTTGTGGTGAAATATCATTTAGCAAAAATTATTCCTAAAACTTAATTTATCTGGCATTTTCTTCCTTTATTCATTTACTCTCTTACTCCTAAGCAACTCTTTCAAGAGGACTGAAAGAGAGCCAAATGCCTGCAAAAGCCTTTCCCTAATTTTCCTAGACCGCACCTGCTTTCACAATCCCTGAAATAATTTTCCTCCTCATTGCAAGACTTTCAGTATTAAGACTCCCATTATTTGGGATAAGAATACTTCATCCCTATTTCAGATAACCCTCCAAGCAGATTTTGTCTTGCTTATCCTCATTCTATTGTTTGTAGGAAAATATTATCTTTCAACAATTATATATTCTTCTGTTTTTCACACTGATTATGATTACATTTGTAAACTTGAACACCACGAGAATGTAGTTCATGCTCAACTCTAATCACACATATCTGGAAAGCATAGCTACAGAAGAAATTTTTAATACTTTTTTTTTTTTTTTTTTTTTTTGAGATGGAGTCTCGTGCTGTCGCTTAGGCTGGAGTGCCCATCTCGGCTCAATGCAAGCTCCACCTCCTGGGTTCACTCCATTCTCTTGCCTCAGCCTCCCGAATAGCTGGGACTACAGGTACCTACCAACACGCCCAGCTAATTTTTTGTATTTTTAGTAGAGACGGGGTTTCACCATGTTAGCCAGAATGGTCTCGATCTCCTGACCTCGTGATCCACCTGCCTCGGTCTCCCAAAGTGCTAGGATTACAGGCGTGAGTCACCGCGCCCACCCTTAATACTTTTATATGTATTCCTTTATTAAGACATACAGGCAGGCTAAGTGTCTACATTTTTATATTTTTTAATTTATTATCAAAATGTTTTAAGCATACAGACAGAGACAAATAATATTGTGGCACATATTCTTGGTTTTACCATTCAGATTTAACAACTGTTAACATTTTTCATTTTTCTGTAGTAGTTTTAATTGCTGCAAGTCTTTTTGTTGTTGTTTTGTGAGGCAGGATCTCACTTTGTTGCCCAGGCTGGAGTGCAGTGGCATGATCATGGCTCACTGAAGCCTCAACTTCCTCCCACCTCAGCCTCCCAAGCAGCTAGGACTACAGGCACTAGCCACCAATGCCTGGTCAGTTCAAGTCTTTACTTTAAAGAAATAAAACATTTCATAAATAGTTAAGCATTTCCATTCTATTCTATTCTGTCCTTCCTGTTTTTCCTAAGTTAAATAATTTCTCAATTTGTAGTATATTCTTATTGTCCTCTGTATCAAATTACTGGTATTTTGTATTCATTAACAGTAAATAATGTTTCTGCATCCTTAATTTGCATAAATTGTATGTATCTTTTTGCAGCTTGTTTTATTGAATATTAACTTTTTAAATGTTGTCCCAGTTAACCCACTGGATCTAATTCATATATTTTAGTCCCTCTTCAGAAAGGTATTTATCCATTCTCATATTGATAAGCACTTCTATTTTTTTCCAATATTGCAAGGAACACCATACCACAAGTATACTTATGTGCATATTGAAGGGTTTTCACTAAGAAATTCTGTATTGTAAAGCATAACCAGTACCAATTTTATTTGATATTGCCAAATAAAATTTCAAAATAATTGTGTCAATATACACTCCTCCAGTTATGTATATATTTCCATATCCTCCAATGAGTTTCATGGGACTTAGTAATTGCAATAAACTCATAAATTACTTTGGGGAGAATTAACGTATGTTATTTATCTACACCATTTTTACATACCATTTATGAACATGGTATGTTGGCAGAGACAGTTCTTGCACCTCACATATTGTTGGGTATGACAAGAATGCTAGGTCCTAACTGCTCTTACTGGGACCGAATAGATCATTTCTCAGTGTTGTTTCTATAGCCGGTAACTTTGAGAAAGGAGGCAATGCATCTCTTAAAACTGAAAACAGAGAATAAACAAGCTTGCTTACTGTTTGCTGTAAAAGCAATGGAGTTCCCAAACTGAAGTGTTTCTTTCCTATAATCCAACCCACTTCATGTGCAGGCATCTATCTGGGCATCACCCTATGGTCTTGCTGGGTGGAGTCAGGTAAGGGAACAAAGGTAATGACGGTGGTACCTATGCTCCTTCCCTAGCTGTGAGTAATGAAGTGTTTGTCTCTGACGCAGGAGTCATGTGTCTTTTACAAGAATTTATGAAATAGTAACAGGCTAATTTGTTACTTTTTAAGTAGAATAAAATAAAATCTCAGAGGCACTGTACATTTTATTTATTGAGGGCTTTTATTATAACCCTCAATTTAGATTTATAATTGTCTATATAAAGTCCAGCATATCTTCTGTGAGATCTATTGCTAGATTTATTATGATTATCATTGACATTTTAAATGGACTTTTAAATAAAAATGTTTGCATTTTATAGAAATGTTTTTAACATGCATGTATTTAGATATAGATCTACTTATAAAGATAAATGTATGGATATATTTGAGCTCAGTACATTTTAAAATTTATTAATTGCAGTATTTTTAAATTGTCATCTAAAATAATAATTTTATTTATTCCTTTCTACCTGTAATCCTCATTTCTTTTCTTTGTTACGCTGGCTAAGGCTTCTATCAGAATTCTACAAAAGATAAATTTATTGAGGATTTTTTTACAGTTCTTATTTAAAAGGCATACTTAAAATTTATTTTCATGAGATATGATAATGATGTTAGTTTTGGTAGATACCCTTTATGTGGAAGTTAAGAAATAGTCCTTCTCAAACCAGATTTCATGGGTTGATTTTCCTCATTGATGGATATGGAATTTATCAAGTATTAACTGCATAAATTGAGAGAATAGTATAATTTTTCTTCTAATATTTGTTCATGCATATTTAAATAGGTTTGTCAAATACTTTATTCCTAGGATAATCTTTCTGGAGGGTATGATACATTTCTGGATTAATTTTTAAAATTATTTTAGCAAGGATTTATTTAAATTTCTATCCTTAATTATAATTCATTGATAATTTTCCCCAAGCTCAGTTTCCTCCTCCAGTAACACAATCCCCTGCATTGGAAGCACACATCTTGACCTATTCCTTTTCCTCTGTGAATTCTGAGAGACAAAGAAAAGGGCCACAAACATAGTACCTTGCTGTGCTGTGAATAATAAAACTTTTGTCTCTAACTTAGCTGTCTTACATCTTCTTCTGCCATCCCAAAACAGTACCAAGCTAATTTAGTAGCCTGTAAGTATTCCATAGTGATTAGGTGCATGTGTATTTCAAATGAATTAAGTTGCTCATAATCCTATTAACACCTAAAATACCATCTTCATCATTACTTTCTGGTTTTCATTAAAAATTTCTCACCAGGATTATCAGAGTGCTTAACTTGCTATTTAATTGTAGCCAGTTTGCTTTATACAATTTGAGGCCATACTTCTACATGCATATGAGTGCAGAATTGTTAAATCTTCAAGCAGCTTTTTTCTTTTGCATTAACTATCAAGCCCTAATGTGACTTAGACTCTTAAAATTTTATTTATTAGCATTGTTCTGCTAGCCTTCTTTTGAATAAAATTTTCCTGGAAAAGTTACTTGCAGCCTTTTTATGTTCTTCTGTTCTAGGTGTATCCTTAAAAAGAACATTAACTCTTTTTTTTTCTTTTCAATGCAGTTGGAGAATACTGAGCTACTTGAATTTGTAATAGCTTATTTTGTACTTTCTATGCTTTTGTACACTTTTTTCACTTTTTCTGTGTCCTCTTTAAAGATGAAATATCTACTTTACTTCTTCATGCTATCATACTTTTTCCAAGATCTGGTTTCGAAGATATATATTGTATTTTTAGTGTTCAATCCTTAAAATGTAACTCTTTTTTTGGTATTTAGCAAAGTCTTTAAAAAGTCAGTATCTCAGTCCAAACAATACAAAGCTCTCGAACTGCTTTAAGCTGCCTTATCATCTTACATAATATCCTTGACTAGTGCTTAGTCCCATTTTGTGTTTACTAACCAATGAATCATTTATTTATTTTTAGAGATTATCTAATAAGACTGTGTTAGTTCATTCTCATGCTGGTATAAATAACTGCCCAAGACAGGGCAATTTATAAAGAAAAAAGTTTTAATTGACTCACAGTTTCCCATGGCTGAGGAGGCCTCAGGAAACTTACAGTCATGGAGGAAGGGGAAGCAAACATGTCCTTCTTCACATGATGGCAGGAAGGAGAAGCGCTGAGCAAAGAGGGAAAAGCCTCTTATAAAACTATCAGATCTCATGATAACTCATTATCATGAGAAGAGCAGCATGGAGGTAACTGCCCCCATGATTCAATTATCTTTCACCAGGTCCCTCCCATGACACATGAGTATTATGGGAACTACAATGCAAAGTGAAATTTGGGTTGGGACAGAGCCAAACCATATCAGACTTGCTCATATGTTTAGCTTTTATTTTTCTTCCTATTTGCTTCTTGAACACATTTCTAAATTTTAGGCTTATTTCTTATGATAAAGATTACCCTTCAGTAATTCTCCCAGGGCTGGTTTATAAATGCAAGATTCTTTTAGTGTTTGTTTGAAATGTCTAAATTTTGCTCCTACTTTTGAGTGATACTTTACCTGGCGGTGGAAGTGTAGGGAGTTGTCAATCATTTTCTTTCATACTGTTGAAGTTGTTATTTCATTGCGCTTTGGCATTTATTATGGCTGATGAAAATTTTGTTCATTGTTACTGAATAAATAAATACATTCTGTGAGATTACTCTTTCCTTTAATTTTTCACTAGTTTAATATTTTCACTACGGTGTAGCTAGGACAGAATTTGTTTCCATTCTGTTTCTTGGGACTCCATGAGATTTTTCAATCTGTTGTTTCTTCAACTATAGCATTATCCCTTTGAACATTTGTTCTCCTTTGTATTATGATTTTTTCCTGGAAATTTCATTAGACTACTTATAGGATGAATTCTATTAAACTGTCTACAGAACAATCTAATATACCTATGTTTCTCTTAATCATTCTTATTTTTCTACATTATTATATAATGCCAAATTTGGGGTTATTTAATTTGACCTGTTTCTTTTTTATAAAACAAGACTTATTTCCATCTGTGGAGGGATGTGGCAGTCTCTAAACAAGCTTCATTTAAGTTTGTTGGCTTGAGTTTCCATTACTAAATTGGTATATATTCAAATTTCCCTTTCCTATATGTGTTATGTTGACAGGGCTGATTTATTCTGGAGGCTTTGGAGGAGAATAAAATTTCTTGCCTTTTCCAGTTTTTAGAAGCTGCCTGCATTCCTTGGTTCATGGCCCCTTCCTCCACATTTGAAGCCCATCACTCCATCTTCTGGCTCTGTCATCACATAGGATTTTTCTGACTTTGCCCCAGTTGCCTCCCTCATATGAGGACCCTTATAATTACATTTACATAATTCTGGATAATCTCTATGCTATGGATTGAATTTCATCCCACTAAAATTTGTCAACTGAAGTCCTAACCCCCAATGTAACTGTACAGCCTGCTCTTCATACCCATGGGTTCTGCATCTGCAAATTCAACTAACTGCAACTAAGAACTACTTACATAGCATTTACATTTTATTGGGTATTATAAATAATCTAGAGATGATTTAATGTATACAGGAGGATATGTGTGAATTACATGTAAGTACTACATCATTTTATATAAAGGACTTAAGCATCTGGATTTTGGTGAGGGAGCAGGATCCTGGAACCAGTCTTCCCCACATATACTGAGAAATTACCATATTTAGAGAAGGAGCTTTTAGGAGATAATTAAGGTTAAATGATATCACAAGAGTAATGTCCTAATCTGATAAAATTGTTGGCCTCACAATAAGAAGAAAGGGAGATTCTCTATCTCCACATGTGCTCACTGAGAAAAGGCCACAAGAGGATAGCGAGAAGGAGGCTGTCTGCAAGCCAGAAAGATAGCCCTCATAAGAACACTACTATGCTGGCATCCTGATCTGGAACAACTAGCCTCCAGAACTGTGAGAAAATAGATTTCTGTATTTTAAACCACCCAGCCTATGGTACTTTGATATTTTGCCTAAGTAGACTAAGTTACTCCCCACCTCAAAATTTGTAATGTAATCACATCTGCAACATTTCTCTTACCATGTAAAGTCCACATATTCACAGGTTTTGGAGAACAGGGTGTGGACATCTTTGGGAGATTGTTATTTAGCCTGCCACATTATATATGGAAAGAAATTAACATTTTGTTTGATAGTTTTAACCAATCTACTGCTGCAGAGAGGGGGCAACTTTTCTCGGTAATTGATTGTGTCTGATTTTTTCATTCGGCTTTCTTGTGATTTTCTGTATCTCTTTTTGTGCAAAGCTCCTGTCTTTATTTGAGCTTAATCATTAGTGCTCTTTATTTCTTTGGGATGTTATGGATTTAGGCTATGGGTGTAACCACTTGCATTTACTCATATTTTCCTAGTTTTCCTTCTTCTCAGCCTGAAGCTTTATTTTTAAAACGATGTATATTTTAGCCAGCATTCCCCTGTTTGTTCTTTAACCAGACATACCAATCTATGCATTTAATAAAATTTAATGACATTTATTTAATGTTTTTGTATGTGTGTATTTATATCTGTATCTCCAAACTGTAGTTGTCTTATGCTTTTATCTTTATCCTCCCCCTATATTTTCTCTCCATTAATACTGTCTTTAATTTAAATATGGTTGTCACCATGATACATAGTGACCCTAATGAGGTGTCAGAAATATTTTAAACGTAGCTCATTTCTTCGACTGTCACTCTAATCCCTTAACAAGTACTACATATTTAAGATATAAATAGATCTCCTTTATTCCAATTCTTCCTTGGCAGCTTAATTCAAGTCCTACCATCTCTTGGTCTAATTTTCTATGGACTACCAGTTCTCAGTGGACTACAATAATAACTTTCTAAATAAGCTTCACTCACTTTCCTTATTTCTAATTTATTCATCTATATGATTAAAATCTCTTAAAATACAGCACTAATAACTTTAAAAAATTTAGTAATATTTAACAACAGCCTTAAAATGTAGGAATTTGACTTTGTGATTTATTTTTGGGCATTTCAGTGGCTAAAGAAAAATATCTTAAGTAAAGAAAATCATTTAAATACTATGATTATAGCCATTTTTAAATTGGCAAAACTTTGAAAAATACTATAAATGCTAAACAATATAGGAATCGATCTTTTTATTAGACACTATGTAGCCATTAAACATTAGGCTTGAGATTATATGGGGAAAGTATTTTGACATAATGAAAAGTTTAGAAAACTTTTTAAAATGCTTGGGTAACATGCTTAACAAATCGACAAATTTTCATAAACAAATGATAGAAGAAATATTATTAAAAGAGAAAAGTGATCATTCATGAATTCCTTCTACTTTTTTGTATTTTCCAGTGTTTCCATAAGAAACAAATCTTACTTTCATAATAAACGATAATACATCTATTATTTTAAGTTTTCTTAAAAAGCTGGCTAAAATATACATCATTTTAAAAATAAAGCTTCAGGCTGAGAAGAAGGAAAACTAGGAAAATATGAGTAAATGCAAGTGGTTACACCCATAGCCTAAATCCATAACATCCCAAAGAAATAAAGAGCACTAATGATTAAGCTCAAATAAAGACAGAAGGGGCTTTGCACAAAAAGAGATACAGAAAATCACAAGAAAGCCGAATGAAAAAATCAGACACAATCAATTACCGAGAAAAGTTGCCCCCTCTCTGCAGCAGTAGATTGGTTAAAACTATCAAACAAAATGTTAATTTCTTTCCATATATAATGTGGCAGGCTAAATAACAATCTCCCAAAGTAGTTTCCTATTACTTATATTACTGCTTCCCAAAATTGCCCTGATGTCCCAAGAACTGAAAGGACCAATGCTTTGCAGATAAATGTGCCACGGCTTCTTAGCTGGAAAACTGCAACGAAGCCAGATTTTCTCAGGATAATGCATAATTCCCTTAATAGTTTGACTTAAATGCAATACCGCCCATATTTTCTACCATTCTTCAATATAAATCTTATGGAAAATAATTATATTTTTTGAACATATAACAGAGTCTTGTCTCTTTATGTGGTCTTTTTTTTTCCTCTCCATCTGATAAACGTATTCAACTATCAAAACGTGGTTTAACTGCTCTCCTGCTGTGAAATTTCTATGACAATCCAAAGTAGGGGTTATAGACTCAAATACTCAAAAGTTGTAGACGGCAGCAAATTATTTGGTTGAATGGTTGGTTTTTGTTGCTCTTCTTCTTTCCAACCCGTTTGTAATACTGCTTACTGTACTGCAAGCCTAAAACATTGCATGTTCCACCACATTAAAGCATAAAATTATCTGCCAAATGTAAGGTCAAATAAGAGAGAGAAAGAGAGAGAGAAGGAAGACAGGGACATAGGAAGGCAGGCCGGCAGGAAGACAGGACAAAGGTGTGACACGTAGTGTCCAAATAAAACACATCTCTCAAGCAGATTTGGAATTATTGTCTGCCAAATTGCCACCAATGTGCTAACCTGTCCAGCCTGTGAGGTACATGTGCTTTGTATAAACCTGTATTATCCCCCTTAGCCCATTTAATCGCAGTTGTTTAGTTGCATTTGTTTTTGTTACTGTCCCTCAAGAGTAGGTATTCTGTCTTAATCATCTCCTAATTTCAATGTTTGGGATTTTGTATATAACATAATAGCACATGTTATCTTACACATATTCATTTAGGATTTTCATGTACTTGTTTTAAATTGTGAAGTCTTCCAAAAAACACAGATCATATATTCTCCTTTCTTTCTATCTCATAAGTTGGTATAATATAGAATTCTGTATGTGTACTCAGAAAATAAATGCAATTGACTGATAGACTGATTGTCCTAGTTGGAAGCATATTTTAAGAATGTTCACAGCAATTACTCTCACTATTTAAGATTATTGCAATCGTAATAATCACTTTCATTTGTATAACGCTTTATATTTTCCAAAACCCTTTTAATATACATTATTTAATCTGGTCACATAACAACCCCGGATCTACAATAATTAACATAATAGTATCCACTTAGTAAGGTAAGTTGATTATGTATACTTTTCTCTTTTTTTGAGACAGTCTTGCTCTGTCGCCCAGGTTGGAGTGCAGTGGCGCGATCTCGGCTCACTGCAAGCTCCACCTCCCAGGTTCACACCATTCTCCTGTCTCAGCCTCCCAAGTAGCTGGGACTACAGGCGTCAGCCACCATGCCCGGCTAATGTTTTTGTATTTTTAGTAGAGACGGGGTTTCACCATGTTAGCCAGGATGGTCTCGAGCTCCTGACCTCGTGATCTGCCCGCCTTGGCCTCCCAAAGTGCTGGGATTACAGGCGTGAGCCACTGCACCCGGCCACTTTTTACACATAAGATTAAAATAAGCTAACATTATGCAAAAATAAAAAGGCAAAGGACTCATGTGCTTGTTATTTTACCCATAGTGAGCATTAATCCAAATCATTTGTGTTGACTTTGATGAAGCTGCATCTGTTTGTAAAAGTGCTTTGATCTGTCTTACAAAGGAAATTGTCCGGAGGGTAATAATAGTCTGAGCCGAAGAGGATAGAAATTTTCCTTTGTTTTCAGATTTTGAATTAGATAGCTTCGATAGCCAAAATGTCTCAGGGCTGGGAATATTACCTTTTCAATTTAATTTATAAATGTGTTAAACAGTTGTGTTTTTTTTTTTCTTCTTCTTCTTCTCCCCAAAACTATTTGTAATATTGCTTACTTCACTCCAGGTCTAAAACATTTTTATGCTCAATCATGTTAAAGTGCAAAATTGTCTTTCAGTTTGTAGATCACCAAGATGGACTGTTTCTTTGAGAATAATTAATATCTGGAGACCCAATTTAGTCCTTTTTGTTCTAATGTTCAACAAAGATCCTCATTTATCAATGTATCTTTCCCTTGCGTCACATTGCTATCTGGAAAGCAGGTCACAGGAAGCACAGAATTGACTTTTAAGGTCTAGTATTCAAAGATGCTGTTCCAGTGAAATTGCATGTCCCCAAAGCAAAGATATCTAAAAGGTCGTTGCAGGGACAACCAAAACCACCTTATAATGATAACAGAAGTTCAGAAAATGTTTTAAAGTGCTAGAGAAACTGCTTTCAACTGAGTAATATTGTAGTATAAAACATGAAGAGTATATTTATATGTGCATAGCAACCTTATTCAAATGGCCCAATCTGCTTAAAATAATACTGTAATTGATGTGATTATGAGGCCTGGTAACATTTTAATTTAGGAATTATGTTTTTAGTAATATTGGTAAGGCCATTGAACTACACAGAAAGATCAATTAATAAAGACTCAGTCTAAATAGGAACGTGTTGCAATGAGGGGTGACTTTAAGCAATTTAAAATTACAAATGACAGAAATATTTTCTAAAAAACACATGAAGGAAGGAATAGAGAAAAAGAAGGAAGGAAAGAACAAAGGAAGAAAGGAACGAAGGAAGGAAAGAGGAAGAAAGAAAGGCAGAAGGTTTAAAGACTAATTCATATATACTGTATAAAAATGCCAATCAAAGCAATATATATCACCTAAAGTATGTCTCTTTGGAATAAGCTAAAATTTTGTAACGTTATCAGTTAGCTTCTGCTTTTAAGAGATCTTTTCAGGGTTCCATTCTTGTTCATTACAAGTGTTCCCAGACTTCCTTTACTTCAAAAGCTCCTACAACTGATGAAAAACTATCATTATTGACACAGGTAATGCTGCATACACTATCGCTAGGCAGGAAAGAGTTTTAAATTTTATGCTTTCCCAGCAAAATAAAAAAAGTATATTGTTTAATTAAGCTTTTTAAACTGTTGCCTTATAATTCATTTATACAAAAATTATTGAGAGCTTATTATGTGTTTCACTTCAGGGATACAGAGAGAAGAAGCATGGAAGAAACTTAAAGAAGTCATAATCAAGATAAAAAAGAAAAATATAAAAATAAGAGGAACTCTATGATAGATATTAGAGCAGAAGAAAATACAGGTTATTTTGGAGGATCAAATGGGTTTTTCTCCCACGTTTCAAAGTGTCATTATTTGTATGACATTTTATGACATTTTACCATCTTAAATATTATGAAAGCCATTACAAGGACTGAGGAATTTCAAGTCCAAGTTTCAGTCCAAATGGTACTAATTTTTAATAAAGGAGAGAATGTCCTCAATTTCAGTAACATATTCACAAGATGTTTGTACTAGGTCTATTAGAGTTGTCCAGAGAAACAGAACCAATAGGATCAACAGGAGGTATTTGTATATATATGTATATATGTGTACGTGTGTGTGTGCATTATATATACATACGTGTGTGTGTGTGTGTGTGTGTGTGTAGGAGAGAGATGTGAGAGATATTTATTTCAGGGAATTGGCTCATGTGACTACGCGGTCTAGTAAGTCCAAAATCTGCAGGTCAGGCCAGCAGGCTGGACTCAGGGATGAAAAACTGAAGTTGCAACTCCAGACCAAAGACAGTGTGAAGTCCGAATTATTCCCCAAGATACCTCAGTCTTTTCTCTTTTTATTTATTTGTTTATATTTTTTAGAGACAAAGTCTCAGTCTGTCACTTAGGCTAGAGTGCAGACGCAGGATTAGAGCTGCAGCCTTAAATCCCTGGGCTTGAAAAATCCTCCTGCCTCAAATTCCTGAGCAGCTGGGACTGCAGGTTTGCACCACTATGCCTGGCTAATTCTTTTGTTGTTGTCGTTGTTGTTGTTGTTTTGTAAAGACAGAGTCTTGCTACATTGCCTGGACTGGTCTCGAACTCCTGGGCTCAAAAGATTGTCCCACGTCAGCATCCCAAAGTGTTGAGATATAGGGGGCGTGAGTTATTGCACCTGGCCAGTCTTCTCTCTTAAGATCTTTAACTGAGGTCCACGCATATTATGGAGGGTAATCTACTGTATTCAGTCTCCTAATTTAAAGGTAATCCCATCTAAAAAATACCTTTATGACAACATTTAGACTGAAGTTTGCCCATGATCTTGCCAAGTTGACACATAGAATTAACCATCCCACTAGCTTAGGGTTTTCCTCTGTATTTATGGTGTTTGAGCTTATAGTTTCATGCGGAGGGATTTCTGTTACAGTAGCATCTCTATCTTTTCTCCCTAATGTTTACATATCACAAAAAATATGCAGTTAAGTTTCAATTGCTGGTGGCATGAGTCTGCCCATGCTTCTAACTGATGGAACTAATCTATTTTTTTTAAATTGACAATACCGAAGACTCATTCTTTCTTTTTTACCATCCCAGGTAAGAGGCAACAGTTCTTGGCTACTGTTACAAGTGAGTTGTTTTAGGATTTAAACTGTAGAGAAGTGCAGGATTTTAGCAAGTGCTTTTCACTGCACATATAAAAGCATGCCTTCCAGCCAGCAGTAATCAGTATTAAAGGTGACGTTTTAAATTTTATTTGCCTCCTAGAAATTGCTATTTGAATTGTTGTAAATTCAGAATTTAAAACGGAGGGAGGCATTAATTAGTGTTCTAAAACCATAACACCTTCGTCTTGTCCTAGGACTTTCAGAAATGGACAAAGACCTGTACTTAGTGACCAAAATACAAGTGAGCATCAAAGTTTATGGGTAAGACACGGAGGCTGCTTTAAGTTTTCACTAAAATTAGTGCAGTTAACACGGGATTGTCCTCAGTGGGTCATTGCCATTTATGGGCACGATGTCTCCTAGTAAGTGGATATCATTACACATCCAGGGCTACTCGTTAGTTAATAGAAGTTGACCTTCGTGAGGTTAGGTCCTGTGGAGGGTGGATGTCTTCAACTGACCTCACTTGATTCTTGCCCATATCAAAATAGGTATGGCTGAGGCCAATTATTAGGTTATACAGAATGGAGAATCTTGAAGTCCTAGTTAAAAGCTTTTATATAAACGTCTTTAATGGATGGAACAATAATGGCTACTGCATTTTGGCTAATGTATTTTGCCTATTGCATTTCTCAGTCGGGCCTGTAGTTCTAGAACTTAAATTCCAAAGCGTCTAAATTATAGAGCAATGTGGAGCTCTGTTCCAGGTTTAGTTAATCAGCATTAAATAAGCTGTTTGAATTGTGTTCATCAAATGTCCTTTGGAGCTGCATTCAGGGCCAGCAGAAAGAATTGCGGAGAAACTAACTTCTTGGAATTATGCGTCGCCACCACAGGCTTAGGAGTCTTCTTCTACCATGTGATCTCAGGTTGACTCTATCTACACTATATAATCATCAACAATGACTTCAGATTTCAGGAACCTAGTCAATGGTTTCATCCAGAGATCAGAGAATAAATTGTCTAGTGCACATATTAAAAGAAACAGTAATATTATTACCTAGTACAGCAGTCTTTAGTACTTTATCTTTTGTTTATGTGTGTCTAAAAAAATTTCAAAAACTACATACTAACTCCAAAATATTAAATTGACATTTAAAATTTGTTCTTAGGAAAAAGAAATTGTGAAGACTATGAAACCAGTTACAGTGTAGGTATTGAGATTTTAAAATAAAATAACTGCTTAAATGGAAGCAATGTAATCTGACTATCATAGTAACAGTAAATACCTGTCATCTGTCAAAAAAAGAAGCTTAATTTTAACAATGAAAAATTTTATATGATGTTTTCCCTGAAATCGTATTTTCATTCTACTTCCCTCATATAATCTTGTGCAATATGAAATATTACATGCCTGAATGACTTTTGTCGATCCTCTTATATCCCAGCAACAAAAAATATAAATACAACTTAAAACTTTAAAATTGCTATTTGCTCTAGATTCTGTTATTTTTTAATTAAATTATCACTATAATTAGTCTTAATTTCAATTGATCAAAATAAAGTATATATTAAAATACATTTTTAATTGGTTATTGTTAAATCTTATTAAAAATTATTAAATCTTTTGTTGAGATGATTGTAGCTTGTGTTTTTAAATAGTTCCTGCACACATATATTACTGTTATTTGTGATATAATAAAACAAGATTTAACCTAAGTTTCATTCCTGTACTTCACTTGTACTGATGTATACACTGACAAAATATGATCGTATTATATTAATACATGAGAAAGAAAGGAGTCTTGTTTTGTGGGTTTCAAATTTTTTTTAATTTTTACATATTTAGAGAGCACAAGTGCAGATTTCTTACATGCATATATTGTGTGGTGATGAAGTCTCACCCTTTAATGTACCATCATCCTGATAATGAACATTGTACCCAATAAATTCAACCCTCCCCCTCTCCCACCATCCCACCTTTCAAAGTCTCCAATGTCTATTATTCTGCTCTACATGTCTATGTTTACCTACTATTTAGCTCCCACTTACAAATGAGAACATGGGGTATTTGACTCTCTGTTTCTGCATTATTTCACTTAGGATAACGGACTCCATGTGTTGTTTTTAATAGTGATAACACACACTTGTCTTCTTTCAAAGAGCGTGCAAAAATTCACGTAGTCATCTATGATTAAATGATGTTATAAATTATATATCATCCAACAAATTAATTATCCTTTTAATTTTACTGAGATAAAAGAAATAGAGATGCCCTCACTTGCAAAAATGACTCATTAACCTATTTTAAAAGGTATTTTTTTAATTGCAGGAAAATATACCAATAAAGTATTAGAATAATTTATTAAATAATCGTTATTCTAAGTTGATACCGTTTATTTCACTCCTTCTTTCCTTCTTCCTTCTTTTCTTTCTACCTTCCTCCTTCTCTCCCTTCCTCCCTTCCTTCTCTCATTCACTTTGAGAACTTTGTGAATTGAGTGCACTCCAAAGTGGTTAAGTTGTCTAACTATTGTTTTAATACGTTTTGCCAGTAAAATATACATGATAAAATGCTCTCATCATTTATCATTTATACATGATAAAATGCTCTAATCAATGATATCATTTATCATTGATATATGTTGTTATCAAAACACTAAAGCCACAGATTCGGCTCATCTCATTTATGGAACATAAACACAAACTAGCTTAATTAGCAAATCCAATTTTCATTATCAAACTAACCAGCCAATCAGAATTATCTTTGGTTATAAAATAAAGTATGGCATCATTTTTTAAAAGTAATTAAGTGCATTAATAGTATTTAGAGAAATATATAAATTATTTATATATAAATTGTAGAATCCATCTTACAGCATGCATTGCTAAAATTAGCTGAATCGGATTTAAAAGCATAGGTGTCTGACATAATTTCTATTTTTTCAAAATAAGTTTTGAAAAGAAGCCAAATTATTTGTCTTATAATTTTATTTTTAGTACTAAATGTAATATATACATAAAATTTATATATTTTTCAAAAGTGAAGAGTATAATAATAGGCATTATGTTCATAGGGTAAACGCCAGTGCATAACTGTAGTGACCTCTAGTGTTTAACTTTTGCAAGTAATTATATAAAAACAATGTATAAAAAAGACATAAAAAAGCAAAAAATTACATATGTATACATGTGCCATGCATATGTAACTAACCTGCACATTGTGCACATGTACCCTAAAACTTAAAGTGTAATAATAAAATAAATAAATAAATAAATAAATAAATAAATAAAGATATAAATGAAAAAAAAAACAAAATAGAATTTGAGGAGTTCATGGTAAGACAATGGTTCTGAAAGGCAAGTTTTGGAATAAAAACATTGTTTAAAAAAAAAAAAAAAGCAAAAAATTGGCCAGGTGTGGTGGCTCACGTCTGTAATCCCAGCACTTTGGGAGGCTGAGGTGGGCGGATCACTTGAGGTCAGAAGTTCGAGACCAGCCTGGCCAACATGGGGAAATCCCATCTCTACTAAAAAAATACAGAAATTAGCTGAGTGTGGTGGCGGGCACCTGCAATCCCAGCTACTTGGGAGGCTGAGATGGGAAAATTGTTTCAACCTGGGAGATGGAGGTTGCAGTGAGCCGAGATGGCACCATTGCACTGCAGCCTGGGGCAAGAGAGTGAGACTCTGTCTCAAACAAACAAACAAACAAAAATTGTAACCTTTGCAGCAACATGGATGCAACTGGAGGTTATTATCCTAAGAAAATTAGTGCAGGAAAACAAAACCAAGCACCACGTGTTCTCACATAAATAGAGCTAAACATGGGGTACTCATGGACATAAAGATGGCAACAATAGACACTGGAAATACTACTGGGAGAGGGAGGATGCAGTGCATGGGTTGAAAAACAAACTTTTAGTTCTATGTTCAGTAGCTGGAGTGATGGCATCATTCATACCCAAACCTCAGCATCACATGATATACCTAGGTAACAAATATACACCCCTGAATCTAAAATAAAAGTTGAGGGGAAAAAAAAGAAATCAGTAATAGAAAAAAAAAATGAGAAAGTCACAAATATGTGGACATTAAACTGTGTGCTCCTAAGTAACCAGTAGGTTAAAGTTTCGAGAAAAATTAGAATATATTTTAAGATGAACAATATGAAATGTACTAAAACTTATAGGATGCAGCTAAAGCAGCACTCAGAGGGATATTTATAGCTGTAAACACCTATATTAAGAAAACAAAATCTCAAATAAATAACCTAACTTTCAACTTTAGAATAAAGTAGAAAAAGAAGAACAAATTAAACCCAAATCAAGCAGAAAGAAGGAAATAAGACAAAAGTGGAAATAAAATAAAATAAAATAAAATAAAATAAAATAAATAGAAAAACAGATGAAAAAAATGAATGAAACTAATGAATGGTTCCCTGGAAAGGTCAAGAAAATTGACAAACCTTTAGCTAGACTGACCAGGTAAAACAGAGGGAAGATTTGAATTACTAAAATCAGAAATAGAAAAGGGACATCACTACTGACCTTCTGAATGTAGAAAACATTATAAGAAAATGCCATGAATAACTGTATGCTAACAAATTTAAAAACCTAGACGGAATGGACTCATTCCTGAAAAGACACAAATTATTCAAGCTGATCAAAGAGAAATAGAAAAATCTGAACAGACATATAAAAGGTAAAAGGATTGAAATATTCATGTTTAAACTTTCCACAAAGAAAACTGCGGGCCCAGATGGCTTCCTTGGCAAATTCTACCAATCTTGTCAAGAAGAATTAAGACCAATCTTTCTCAAATTCTTACAGAAAATAGATGAGGAAGACATTTCCCATTTGTTCGATGAGGCTACTATTACCCTGATATCAAAACCAGGAAATGGCATAAAAATAAGAGAAAACTATATATCCAAACTATACTGAGACGCAGTTTCTTAATAAGATTGGCAAAAATCTAAAAGTTTAGCAATGTATTATTCTGATGAGGTTGTGAGAAAACAATGACTCATAAAATTATAGCGGGAATGTAAAATGATTCAACTTCTATGGAGGGAAATTTTGCAATATTAGCAAATTTTATATTTATTCTTAATCCCAGCAATCTCACTTCCAGGAATCTAACCCAAACATGACTGGCAAGTGCAAAAGGACATGTGGCAAGACTTTTTGATCCTGTACTGTTTGTAAAGACTGAGAACCACCAAAGTGAAGACCCGTTGTGTCATGCATTCACCCAAGGATTAGGACTCCACAGCTATAAAAACAAATGAGTAGCTATGTAATCTTCAGGAAAAGCAGAGAAGTGAAGCACAAAAAACAAAATGGAGAAATGTGTGTAAAGTCCTCTATCATGTACGCGAGAAAGAGGAGGAGGAAAAGCAACACACATGCATTTATACTGAAAAACTAAAAGAATAAAACAAAATTTTTTTTTTTTAAATCTTACTTGTGGGAAGGAAGAACTAGGGAGAAGGATAGTTATAGTAGCCAGTCTCCTCTGAATGAATCTTGTTTGCAGATTTGGCTTTGCAAAAATGTAAATGTTTTACATAATTATTAAACAAAATTAAATTTAAAAACAAATTCATAAAACTATGCATGAAAAATCAAAGGAAAATTAAATAAGTGAAACTTTAAAAATGTTTTTTAAAAACCCAGAAATAGCTTCATGAAAGAAGCACAACTAAACTGTCTCTATGGATTTAATTTAAAAAATTACTGTTAAACATAAGATATACACTGAGTTTAGGATTAGGTAAGATTTAGTTTTTGTTAACATGATGTAGAAAAAGTGCTAAGCATTTTATAAGATGAAATAAAATGATAATTTGATTATAAGTAGAATATTTTGGGATACGATTTCGTTAAATAGACTGTAAAACCTGATTAAAATACATTCACTGAGGCTGGACATGGTGGCTCACACCTACAATCCCAGTACTTTGGGAGGCCGACTTCTGCGGATCACTTGAGGACAGGAGTTGGAGACCAGCCTGGCCAACGTGATGAAACCCTGTCTTTACTAAAAATACAAAATTAGCTGGGTGTGGTGGTGGATGGCAGTAATCCCAGTTATTCGGGAGGCTGAGGCAGGAGAATTGCTTGACCCTGGAAGGCAGAGGTTGCAGTGAGCCGAGATCGCACCACTGCACTCCAGCCTGGGCAAAAGAGAGAGAGACTCTGTCTCAAAACATAAAATAAAATAAAACATTCACTGAATCTAGACAAAGTCATGCAAAATGTCTATCTGTGAGTTTTCTGGAACATAACCTGGATTATTTGATAATATTTGAAAAACATTCTTAGTTCATTTAAAATAATAAATATCATAACCTGTAATCTTTCCTCTGCTAGAAGATTCTAGCAAATAACAGATCCATTGGCTTAATGTTAAAATAACTGAAAAGAATTTTTATGTTTAAAGACATTAAATATAATTTCACATTCATAATTTTTAACTAATACTGTCTTTGCTTTGTTCTTATCAAATACTTCCCCAAAAGAGTAAACTATAAACGGACAATAGAAGTTATGAAGTCTTTAAATGAAAATCGTCATTCTTATCATTCACATTATGTAAAATATCCAATTTTATAATATCTCAACAAAGGCCAAACTACTCCATTTCTAAGCAGTGTATTTTGTAAAAGATACTCAATTTTAAAAGCACCAATATAGATGTACACAACCTTGAATTTTCATGATTAAACTTCTTTTTCCAAAGTATATTGTTTGAATTGTCCTGTGGTTAGGATCTCTCATTTTTGCCTCCTGAGCAGAAAATATAGCAAGATTCAGGACAGAAAACTCTCTTCCTTTTCCAAAGAGAGAGGTAGGAAAGGGAAACGTATTAGGAAAGGAAGGAAAGAGAATAAATCAAATTTAAAAGGCCAGATCAATGCACCTTTGTAGATTTCTGTGTAACTCCAGGGGCTCACATACCCCATTTTAGAGACTACTGACATGGAAGCTACCCCATCTTCTTGATTGAAGAATGGAATGGCTTATTAAAATATTATACACAAAAATATGAATGAAACAATTATATGTATAGGCCTGTGTTTGGAAATCTCGGCCTTTATCAAACAGACTTGCACAGGAATTTGAAAGGTAACTGGATTAGTTTTAAACATAGATTATAGTATAACTCCCAAGGCAAGAGCAATGGGAGTATGATAGAAATATCATGAAAGAGAAGGTGACAAGAGAGTGTCTTAAAAGAAAGGTTGCAATCTGAAAGGACAAGGCTGAAATAAAAAAATATCAAAGATGTGCCTGGGACTGTCTGTTGGTAAAAACAGCATTAAGGAAAAGGAGGAGCTGCTTTCGTTATTATTCTGTATGAAATATGAATGCAGGTCAATGCTACAAAACAGAAAAAACAAAGGCAGGATCTCAAAGAGAAGACTGAAATGACTGATTGCAGCCCAGGGTGCTAGATGCAGAGCCAGTGGGGAAATAGACATTAGGAGATTTTTATTGCATTGAATTGAAAGGAAGGCATATCAAGTGAGTCCTGGTGACTGTAGTTGCCGTAATCACAAATGTCTCAACTTTGTAAGAAAGTGTAAGTGTCTCAGAGAGCAGACACAGTAAACAAAGGTAAATGTCTTCCCAAGGAAACGTAAAGATATGGTGACTGTAGTGTCTCAAATAATCTTAATGAGATATTTTTTCCCCACTGAGTTTTAGTTCCTATGTCATAATCTCTGGGCAACGATAAGCAGACTGGCGAAGCTGAACCTAGAAAGTTGTTGTGGCTTGACTCTTCCCATAGATATCATTGAGTCTCTCGTGTGGTTTTGGACAAGACGAACATTGATTGTCCGGTTTATATGAAGCATTGAGTTCTGGGAATATCGTTTGTGCCTAGGACAAGAATCTAATAACCAGAGAATCACTTGCATTTCTAAGATTTATTGTGGAGGTTTATACTCTACATCTTCTGTGCCCAATTATAAGAGTTGATATAGTAAAGGCTCTTAAATTTGGGTTGGATTAATTCCAATTTTGAAAATGTTGAAGAAGCCATACTCAGTCTATGTAAAGACAGCCCACTGTTCCTGCTGAAAGAACCCCAAGTCTATTCAGACTTTACAACAAAAAAGGCCAACTCTGGCAAGACAGAGAAAATAAATGAACAAGCAATTGGGGAATTTTATTCCAGACTTTATTTTTTCTTGAATATGTAATTAATTACTTTGGACTTTGATCATGCTTTACTTTCACCTACTAGGGAAAGAAGGTTACATTTTTGATATTTAATTTCTTCCTGAGAATTTCTTAATTCAAACCATGTACACCTCTATGTGGTTAACATGTATGTTGCATAACCTCTGATGAGTTCTATTGTGCAAGGTATCTGGACACAATTTGGGATAACTATTAGAATAGAGAATACAATTTTGGTCTTAGAATTTACTATATTAATGTCCTTTCATGACCTATTTTTAGAGCTTTCTGGCAATAACAAGTAACTGGAACATGAGTGTCCCCAAAAAATAAGAAAAAGAACAATGCTAGGTACAGTGAGGAGGCCTGCTGATCAGCTGATCTCCTCCCCAGATGTAGCTAGCCATGTGCTTGATCCACTACAAACCTTAATTGTTAAGCCTAACAAATTAAGAGACAGGAAACTGCAAAGTATTAACTAAGGATATTGGGGAAGAACACTTATTTATTACTCCTCCTGTATGTATAGAGGGGACAAAATTATATTCCATTATTCAGGAGGAAAAAAATAATAAAGAAGCATTTTCAGCTGCTTTGTTCTGTCTTTCATTCCCTTTGTGAGAGAAATGCCTTACCTGATTATTTTGTCAGAAGAAACTTACTTTCCTTTTATCCTGTTTCCACATCTGTCTTTTTATGAAGAGGTTGCATTTTGCTTGTTCCTTTGTGGCAGGACGTTGTTGTCCAGCAGGCTCATTAACTAGGTAGGTAAATCAGTTTAATTTAGGAACTTAAGTCCATTTTTCCTGTCTATTCAATATTAATTTCTTCAATCAATTTTATCAGTAATATAAACATAATTTCAATCTCCAATTGTTTGATCAATGTCTACTTTTCAAATGATTGTGAAGGTGCAAGGGGTGCAAGAATTAGGGTGTTATTTCTATTTTGGATAAAATATGGAGGTTTTGGTACCATATGTGAACCAATGGGGTTTACTAGTTTCTCAATACCTTAAAAGTCTGATTGTTTCCAGATACTACATCTATTTTTTTTTTTTTTTTTTTGGTTTGCCAGAATTACTTTTGATGACAGACAGTAGTCAGTGTAAAATCTGGTGTCTTCTGCCCAGAAACATCAAAACTTTATTTGAGTGATAACAGAGGATTAAAAAGAAAGATGTGGGCTCATAATACAGGAAAACTTACAAGCAATAATAAAATATGTTGGCAATAGAGATAACTGAATTTTTGTTCAAATTACAAAAAAAAATCAATAATTAATTTTGTTTTTTAAGTTGCATTTCTCCCTAAATTTATCTCACCTCAAAATAATCAACAGTAGCAATATTGTGTTGACAAATGAAAGTCTTTAATTTGAATTTAAAACTGGTATTTTACAAGGTCTACCTTGTTTCTGCCAAAAAGACAATGATCACATCTTTTAGACAGGAGAAAAATTTAAAAATCCCAAAAAATTAAAATAAATCACATAGAATTTTCAACCAATAAATGATTAATGGGAATTTTTTTTTCCTGTTGTGTACACATACAATTATTTTAAACTAATGACTTTTAATCTAATTAATAATTATCTTCCTGTTTTCTTCTTTCACATTTTGCTTTCCAATCAAGAGATGTAGTATTTTTAAATTTACTATGCTATATGAATTATCTATTGCACCAGGTAGAATGATTTTGGATGCAAAGAAAACTCTATAAAAAGGGGCTTAATGGGGGCAAAAAATATGGAGATTGGGTGGTCTTTCCCAAATGAGAACCTCTCAACAATATTATCAAGTTCTCAAGTTCCTTCTATCTCTGCTAAGCCATTTACAGTGATTGACTTATCCTCTAAGGCTTACATCCCTTTTGATCCAAAGGTAGCTACCACACTTCTAGGTGACACAAGCAGATAAGAAGACAATATCCAGATCCTGAAGCTGTGTTTTTCTCCTGTGCATCATTTTCAAAAACAAGGAAAATAATATCTAGACATCTCCAGTGAAGCTCTTCTCATTACTTGGCAGAAGTAAATCTAATGCACCCTTCTAAGCCAATAAAGGAAAATGAATTGAATTATTAGAAATGATATTTAAATATTGAACAATCATTGTAACATGGTCACCTTCCAGTTAGAACTGAATATAACTAATCAGAATGGGCAAAGGCCATCAACCATTAAAGAAGAATATTCGGTTGTCTGTTATCTGCCTATCTGTATAGCACTAGGAATTGCTATTGTTGCCTTACATTAGTGGTGCTTAAACTATGTTCTTTGAAGCAGCAACTTCAGCATCATTTGGAAACTAGTTAGTAATGGAAGTCCTAGGGTTCCACCTCAAACCAACTGAGTTAGAAAGCACTGAGGATGGATGGGACCCAGCAATCTGTATCTTACCAAGCCCTCCAGGTAATTACAATGCATGCTACAATGTTAAAATCATAGGCATAGACAAATCATTATCCTACCCTGAAACACACAGACACCAAATAAATACCTCAACTAAGGGCTTAGTAGGGCCAATATTATACAGGAAGAAATTGAGGGAACAGAGAACCAATAGTGTTTCTAACATATCTACCTTCTCCTTTTTATCTTTAAATAATTGAGAAATTCAGAAGAATTATAGAGAGTGGTCAGGTAATACACAAATTAAAGTAGAAAATTGATACTACAATATGGTTAATTATACCCTACTTGCTTTTAAAAATTTGTAGTGAAAGTAGTCATGAACAGACATGAATTATTTTTCCTGTAATAATTCTGGTAAGCTGGAGTGTGCTGGAGATATTTCAAACAGAGTGAGTTAACAGATTGTGTAACTCTACCAATAATTATTAAGCACCTACTATATGCCTGGTTCTAGAGTATACACGAATTATCTTGCATTTCTTCTTAAGCCATGTTAAAATGTATCTTAAACACACATGAGAAAGGGCAAGCTTACAGTAAAGGAATTTCTTAAGTATAAGGTGATTTGATTCTTAGAACCCAAGACTTTTTCTAGAAGACTCATCACTGCATCACTGGCTTCTTAGAGAGTAAAACAATGTTGATAGTCTTGAGATAGAATGCTTTAATATTGAGCATGCATACAGATAACAAGTAATATTTTATTAATGTATAATTCTTTCAGGGGTTTCTGTCAACTTTTATGAACTCCCAGGAGGGGATCACTTGTGATAATGCTTCTAGAGTAAAAGATGTTTTCAGAAGTTCCAATCTGCTCTTCATTGACACTTTCCCTACAGAGATAGGAGCATGAAAATGGTTTTCTTTAAAAGAGTTGTAAGCTTAAAAGAAAAGGCAAACTTAAAAGTTTTCAGAACATCAAAGAGAATAATCATATATTTCATAAAATATATGTATCTTGATATGTCAGCCAGTATGTGTTTTCAACAGAAGAAAATAGTTGTAAAAACCCTCAATAGTAGGCAAACATAAAGGTTAAATTCGGGCTTATTTTAATTCTACTGTAATATCTAAACTAGTTTTATCATATTGTTTCTTTTTTTTAACCCTCTGACAAAGAGACTTTACACAAAAAGTGAGACATTTGCAAACTGATGAATCATTATTAATTCATGGGGATATGTATATGCAGTGAAGTTTGCGACTAAAGGATATTAATAACTTGTAATTTTGCAATTATTTATTATGTTTCTTGAACCCAGCAGGTAACAGTGCTTTGAACATTTTGACTTTATCATAGATCATAGAATTTGCCAGACCAAAACAAAAATTCCTGAAGATTGAGCAAAAAAAAATCATGTTTACTTACACTTTTCCCTCTTATGCAATCTTATTCTCATGTTTAACTTTAAGAACTAAATGTGGCCAGGCGCAGTGGCTCTCGCCCGTAATCTCAGCACTTTGTGGCGCCGAGGCGGGCAGATCACGAGGTCAGGAGCTTGAGACTAGCTTGGCCAGCATAGTGAAACCCCGTCTCTACTAAAAATACAAAAATGTAGTCGGGTATGGTGGTGGGCAGCTGTAATCCCAGCTACTCGGGAGGCTGAGTCAGGAGAACCACTTGAACCCAGGAGGGGGAGGTTGCAGTGAACCGAGATCACGCCATTGCACTCCAGCCCAGGAGACAGTGTGAAACTCCGTCTCAAAAAAAAAAAAAAAAGAACTAGAGGTATTTGATAAAATTTTATGTTTTTTTCTGTTAAATTATCTAATATTTAAAAAGTAAGAGTCTTTCTGAAGTTTTAGCTAGAACATTTGAAGAATATGCAATTATTCTGTTTGCACAATTATAAGAAAATGACTTGTGAAATTAATAACAGTAGACTCATCTCTTTCAACCAAACTTCAGAAAATGAATGATTTTCCAAATACGTGAATATGAGTGAACTGAATGAATATGAGTGAACACTTTGCTCCTAAAATATAAAGCCAAATACATAGAGGACATATACCAGATACTGCAACTCCACTAAATCTCAGATAATGCATTGTTACTGTGTATACTGCCGGAAAAAAACAAAAAATCTGGAATTAAAGTTGTAAACCGACATTTTAAGACAGACACATCCTGATTTTAGAGATGTTAAAATGTGTAAATAAGTGGATTCCAGACTGTTAAAATATACTATATCATATTTGTTTCTCTTCCTCTTGTCATTATTTCCAGAGGTGAGAAGGACTTGTACAAATTAAGAGAGTTGACAACAACTAAAGAGGATCACCTTTTTTTTTTTTGGAAAACTTTTGATTAGAAAAATATTAATCTCTATGATTCAGATTTTTAACTTATTTTAATTCATCCTTTATTTTATTTCAGTTAAAACCAATACTAACTGTAAAAATGTTTTATTAAGGCAGTTATCTTAAGGTGCAGACCTGGAAATGCCACAGTAACTTATCAACAATTTGGAACCTGCGGCTAAACCACAGATCTAAATAAGGAAGATGTTGTGCCATACTTATCAATGGCTCCCCACTCCCTACAGGAAAATATGCTCACTCTCAGCACTACTTATAGGGAGTTTCAGCCAAACTCATACCTACACCATAGCATCTCATTTGCAACTTCCCTACTTACCCTATATCATCACCATGCACAACACAATAAAGGCCAACGTCCTCAAGCTATTTCATATTTCTGTGTTTTCACAGATGCTCTTTCTCATCCTGCAATGTTCTTCCCATTGTACACTACATGGAAAATCCCTCCTCATTATTTAAGGCCCTATTCAAGTGGCTCCTGCACTCTGAAAACTTTCCTAACCTACTGTTTTAGTCAGGATTCCAGAGAGACTGAACACATAAACATATATGTGTGTATATATATACACACACACACATATATATGTAAAGGATATATGAGTGTGTGTGTATAAATTAACATATATATACATATATGTTAATTTATCCTTTATTTTTATATATGTATTCATTTATTTTGAATATATTTATAGATTATTACAGGCATGCAAACATAAAGGTTAAATTCATGCTTATTTTAATTCTGCTGAAATATTTAAACTAGTTTTATTGTATTCCTTCATATCCTGTCTTCTTTTCAGCCTTCTGAAAAATAGACTTTATTCAAAAAGTGAGACATTTGCAAGCTGATGAGTGTTATTAAGTCAATATTAAAAATTCATTACTAATTAATATTAAAAATGTATGTAATATATTATATATATAATAGTCATATATATACACATACAAAAAGAGAGAGAGAGAAGAAGGGATTTACTAGGGTAATCGACTCACTTGATTATGAAGGCTGAGGAGTCTCAACATAGGCCATTGGTGAGCTGGAGAACCAGGGAAGCCAGTAGTAGGGTTTAGTACAAGAACTAACAAAGCCAGTGGTGTAATTCTCAGTCCAAAACTGAAGCCCTGAGATCCTGGGGGATGCTGATGCCAGTCTCAGAATCCAAAAGAGAGAGAACCTGGAGTTCTGGCATCCAAGGGCAGGAGAAGAACGGTGTCGCAGTTCCAGAAGAGAGAGAGCAGGAATCTGGCAAGCATTCGCCCTTTCTCTGCATGTTCGTTCCATTGGGCCCCCAGCTAACTGGATGGTGCTTGCCCACATGGAGGGCAAATCTTCCCCACTCCATCCACAGACTCACATGCCAATTTCCAGAAACACCCTCACAGGCACATCTGGGGCAGACCAGTCATTCTAATCAAAAGCAAAGCCACCAGGCTTTCTCTTTCAGCAGAAGGATGGGCTCAGTGCCTACTGAAGCATTGATAATTATTAATACAATAATTACAAATAAATAATTCTTCATTAGGTTGGTGCAAGAGTAATTGCAGTTTTTGACATTAAAAGTAATGGCATTACTTTTTGACATTAAAAATTGCAATGACAATTTCTAGCCCCTATTTTATTGTGTGTGTGTGCGTGCACATGTGTGTGTGTGTGTGTGCATCTGTGTGTGTGTGTATCTGAGAATGCATTAAGGGACCAAATTATGTCCTTCATTTCTGTTTCTTTTATAACCATTACTATACTACACACATACATGGTACTGAATAAAAGTTTGTTGAATCAATAATTGTTAAATGGAATCTAACAATGACAATTCTAGCCCCTATTTTATTTTGTGTGTGTGTGTGTGTGTGTGTGTGTGTGTGTTTGCATGTGTGGGTGTGTACCTGTGAATCCATTAAGGGACCAAATTATGTCTTTCATTTCTGTTTCTTCTATAACAATCACTGTACGGCACACATACATGGTACTGAATAAAAGTTTGTTGAATCAATAATTGTTAAATGGAATCTGTAAAAATATTTATACTTTCGTCAAACAAAATTGACTCAACTTCTTTTGAAGAAAACTTTTATTTTCATTGTCTTTATTGTGAAACTTACGGAACTTGATCATTCTTTCTTTTCTAATTGGAGAGGGATATTGGTGGTCATTTTCTACATGAAGAAAGTGAGATCCTTGGCTTAGGTCTTCATTTTTTTAAAATTATACTTTAAGTTTTGGCGTACATGTGCAGAAGGTGCAGGTTTGATACATAGGCATATAAATGCCATGGTGGTTTGCTCCACTCATCAACCTGTCATCTACATTAGGTATTTCTCCTAATGCTATTCCTCCCTTTGCCCCCTACCCCCGACAGGCCCTGATCTGTGATGTTCCCCTCCCTGTGTCCATGTGTTCTCACTGTTCAACTTCCACTTATGAGTGACAACATGCGGTGTTAGTTTGCTGAGAATGGTGGTTCCCAGCTTCATCCATGTCTCTGCAAAGGACATGAACTCATCCTTTTTTATGGCTGCATAGTATTCCATGGTGTATATGTGCCACATTTTCTTTATCCAGTCTATCATTGATGGGCATTTGGGTTGGTTCCAAGTCTTTGCTATTGTGAACAGTGCTGGAATAAACATATGTGTGCATGTATCTTTATAGTAGAATGATTTATAATCCTTTGGGTATATACTCAGTAATGGGATTGCTGGGTCAAATGGTATTTCTAGTTCTAGATCCTTGAGGAATTGCCACTCTGTCTTCCATGGTGGTTGAACTAATTTACACTCCTACCAACAGTGTAAAAGCATTCCTATTTCTCCACATCCTCTCCAGCATCTATTGTTTCCTGACTTTAATGATCGCCATTCTAACTGGCATGAGATGGTACATCTCATTGTGGTTTTGATTTGCATTTCTCTAATGACCAGTGATGATGAGCTTCTTTTCACATGGTTGTTGGCTGCACAAATGTTTGTTGGCTGTTTGTCTTCTTTTTAGAAGTGTCTGTTCATATCCTTCATTCACTTTTTGTTTGTTTTGTTCTTGTAAATTTGTTTAAGTTCTTTGTAGATTCTGGATATTAGCCCTTTGTCAGATGGATAGATTGCAAAAATTTTATCCCATTCTGTAGGTTGCCTGCTCACTCTGATGATAGTTTCTTTTGCTGTGCAGAAACTCTTTAGTTTAATTAGATCTCATTTGTTCAATTTTAGCTTTTGTTGCCATTGCTTTTGGTGTTTTAGTCATGAAGTCTTTGCCCATGTCTATGTCCTGAATGGTATTGCCTAGGTTTTCTTCTAGGGTTTTTATGGTTTTAGGTCTTATGTTTAAGTCTTTAATCCATCTTGAGTTGATTTTTGTATAAGATATAAGGAAGGGGCTCAGTTTCGGTTTTCTGCATATAGCTAGCCAGTTTTTCCAACACTATTTATTAAATAGGGAATCCTTTCCTCATTGTTTGTTTTTGTCAGGTTTGTCAAAGTTCAGATGGTTGTAGATGTTTGATGTTATTTTTGAGGCCTCTGTTCTGTTCCATTGGTCCATATATCTGTTTTGGTACTGGTACCATGCTGTTTTGGTTACTGTAGGCTTGTAGTATAGTTTGAAGTCAGGTAGCATGATTCCTCCAGTTTGTCCTTTTTGCTTAGGATTGTCTTGGCTATGTGGGCTCTCTTTTGGTTCCCTATGAAATTTAAAGTAGTTTTTCCAATTCTGTGAAGAAAGTCAATGGGAACTTGATGGGAATAGCATTGAATCTATAAATTACTTTGGGCAATATGGCCATTTGCATGATGTTGATTCTTCCTATCCATGAGTATGGAATGTTTTTCCATTTATTTGTGTCTTCTCTTATTTCCTTGAGCAGTGGTTTATAGTTCTCCTTGAAGAGGTCCTTCAAATCCCTTGTAATAGGCATTTTATTTTCTTTGTGGCAGTTTTGAATGGGAGTTCACTCATGATTTGGCTGTTTGTCTGTTATTGGTGTATAGGAATGCTTGTGATTTTTGCAAATTGATTTTGTATCCTGAGACTTTGCTGAAGTTGCTTATCAGCTTATGTAGATTTGGGGCTGAGACAATGGTCTTCATCTAAAAAAAAATAGATTGTTAGTCTTTGTTGTTTTCCTTCTTTTCCATTTTGCCCTCTGATTGACTCATCTGGAAGTTCTTCTGTAGTTCTGATTTCCAGCCGTGGTTGTATTTCTTTTACTAACACTCCTTACTATATACACTTGACCTCTGTGTAAGAACCAACTGTCGGCTATGTAGCCACACCAACACTCTTCTTACTCTTTCTTTCCCATAAATAAAATATAATATTGAAAACATTTTTACTTTTTTACATCCACACCCACAGATGAAACTCTGGAAAGTACTTTATTTCTTCTGCTCCACTTCCATTCAGCAGGTTTTGCTGTGATCACTTAGAACATTTAGTTCCTTATAGCAGCTTGTGTCTTCTATTTTAAGAAATTATAGCTAGGACTGATTATATATTATCAGTCACTGTATCCTTACCCACCACTTACCACTGCATTTTTCTTTTCCTTTTCCTCTCATTGAGATCACCAATCTGATTTATCTATTAGAGTTTGCTTGAATGTTGAGCTCTTATTAAATGTAAAGTTATAGCCTATGAAGCTTACATACTCTCCAATATTTTATTGCCAAGTGAAAGCTTTCTTACCTAGGTAGAATATTCTTTGGCTGAAGTCTATTTCTCTTGAGTTTATATTATATGCTTTTATAATGTCTAGGGTCACTGGTGAGAAATTTTTCTTTTCCTTTGTCTGTAACTTTAGCCTTGTGTGTGGCAGACTCAAAAATTCTTTAAATTTGGAGTTCAGGAATTTTGCCAGGATATACCTAGTTCTGTGTTCCACCAATCTTGCCCAGAATTTAATGAACAATTTTAATTTCCCGACTCAAGTGTTCCTTCACACCAGGGAAATTTCCTTCTCTATTTGTTTAATTACTGTCTCTCCTCCATCTGTTCCTTTTTTTTTCTTCTGAAACCTCTATTATTCACATGTTATGTCTTCTGTATCTGTTCTCAATTTCTCTTTTCTTCCACTTCATGATTTTCATCACTTGATATTTTTGCTGTGCATTTTGGAATATTCTTCTACTTGATTTCCCAGACCACTAATTCAAATCTTAACAGTGATAATCCACTTCCTTTATTCAATCTTTAAATTTTTGGTTGAAAATCATGTCCTTATACTTCCAATAAGTTATTCTTTGTGCTATTCGGAATTTTCAGTGATAATAGATAGATAGAGAGATAGCTAATATATAGGTAGAAATATAGGAATAGACATAAATTTATGAAACTGGAAGTTTAGTATGTATATTTTTCCTGTACCTTTCCATGGTATTCGATATGCTTTTAAAATTACTCTTTAATGTTTGCCTTGAATTTTATTGTTTGACTACATCAAATTTATTAATAACTAAGCATTTAGTAACCATTATTGAGCTTTTTGGCTATAAGTGTTTTACTCTGTAAAATTTTGCTGTGGCAATCCTTTCAGTTGTGCATATTCTAGAAGTTGAGATACAAATGTGTTAATATCTAGGGCTTGAGCCATATTTTGAGTAACTTGTTTTTTTTGGCTTCATTGTTTACTTTACGAAAAATTTCTGCAATAAAGGCATATTGCTTCTATAGTAGAAAACTTGTTTTTGTCTTTTTCTTTCTTTCTTTCTTTCAGACAGAGTCTCACTCTGTTGCCCAGGCTGTAGTGCAGTGGCACGATCTTGGCTCACTGCAACCTCTGCCTCCCAGGCTCAAGCACTTCTTCTGCCTCAGCCTCCTGAGTAGCTGAGATCACAGGCATCTGCCACCATGCCCAGCTAATTTTTGTATTTTTAGTAGAGGCGGGGTTTCATCATGTTGGCCAGGTTGGTCTCAAACTCCTGATGTCAGGTGATCCGCCTGCCTCGGCCTCCTAAAGTGCTGGGATTACAGGCATGAGCCACCGCGCCCGGCCAGAAAACCCATAATTTTAAGTAAATTTAAAAGCTTAAAGACAGAAAACAAAAACTAGTCTGTTTATAGTACAAATATAGCTTCTTTGATGTCTACGTATTTCTCAACTCTCTAACCATCCACCCTTTCCTCTTCTTTGATTACTTACCTCTATCATTTGTATGTATTTATATAATTTCTTTATAATAAAATTTCCTTCAAGGGAAGGATGATTTTATTCATTTACGTATATCTCACAATGTTAAAACATTGCTTTGAAAAATGCAGATAAACAAAAAATGAAAAATTAATGGAAAAAAGTCATTGGTTTAAGTTCCATTACTAATACTCTGCTCAATTTCCATGCTAATTTTACCATTCAACATAGGTAAAATTTAAAACCAAGATAATTTTTAGCAACATGAACCAGGAAAGTAAATTCATATATTCATTCATTTTTCCATTCCTTATTTATTAGTTAATTCATCAATCATTTATTTAGCACTAATTATTCTGCCGAACCTCAGCTTGGAGCTAACTATCCTTTGCTCTTCTTTTAAAATAATAAATGTCCCAAAGGCATTCTTTCTCTCCCCTTACACTTTACTGGCTTGGTCTCAACTGGTAATGGTAAACATGTCCCATTTTACTCATTCAATTCATTTTTAAAGTAAGAAATGTTTCAGTTCTATTGTTGAAATAGCGTTCTATCTTCTATTGCATGACAGATATAACTATATTGTTTCTAAGAAAAAGAATGTCCTGATTTGGTATATATGATGCTTGTTATTTAATAGATTAGAAAAAAAAAATTAATCTTTCTGTTTACTCATTTCCACCTTCATCAACCCTCCAAAAAGAGTGGTACTTTGGGACAATATTAACTTTTGTGAAGTCAGCAGAGAAGTGTTAGAAAAATCCTTTAGCCTCAGAGTTTGAAGCTATAATCAATTTGGCTAAGTGTACAAAATAGAAAACAGCCTAAATCCTGCCATCAATTGTGAGCTGCAATGTTATTCCTGTGTGCAGACAGACTGAACAAAATATCATAAGGACTGTGAATAGCCTCAAGCCTTGTAACAGTGATGCTGACTAATGTGAGGCAAATGCTGCCAACAGATTATGGACGAGCAAAATCTTACAGGTAACTGAATTTTAGTACTCAAAAGTATATCGCTATTTTAATGAATATCTTTGCACCCCAGTTTGCATGTGGTATTTTCCTACCTAAAGAGCAATCAATCAAGCTGATGGACAAAATACAACTCATGGGCTATCGAGGCATCAGTTTTAGCCATTTGATTTTAATAATCTCCTCAGTTTCTTAAAATCAAAGTCAGGAAAGGTTCACATAGTAAACCTTTGTAGTATGAGGCAACAAATAGAAATAAGCTCTACTAAAGGCTACTCAGTAAGCATATTGATTATTTTGTTTGCCTTTCCAGGCTCAATAATCTAAAGAGAAATTATGTGTTGGATTCCTGAGACAGCTGTCATTTGCGTTGGATGCATCAAAAACAAAACAAATGAAACTATCATATATAAAAATGAGGGCCGGCATGGTGGCTCACGCCTGTAATCCCAAATTTTTGGGAGGCCGAGGCGGGCAGATCACCTGAGGCCAGGAGTTCGAGACCAGCCTGGCCAAAATGGAGAAACCCTATCTCTGCTAATAACACACAAAAAAATAGCCAGGCGTGGTGGTGTGTACCTGCTACTTGGGAGGCTGAGGCATGAGAATCGCTTGAACCCAGGAGGCAGAGGTTGCCGTGAGCCAGGATTGTGCCACTGCACTCCAGCCTGGGTTACAGAGTGAAACTGTGTCTCAAAAAAAATAAATAAAATAAAATAAAAATGCAAAAATATCCTATGAGAGAAAGATCATATCTTACTAGAGAATGACAAACATGTAATTAACGTGGGTCGAAGTCTTAAAAAATCTACTAATTCTGTGCAGCATGATACTGGAACTGACATAATTATGTCTCACTAAGGAATAAGTGAACTTCTTAGCTAGGCTAAAGAAATGTTCTACAATACCTCACTCTGGATTATCTCTTTGATTAACTCACTATCTTACGTTCTTCTAGTGGGTTCTCTGTTGGAATGGTAGGTGCTTCATATCAGTGAATTAGACTAATTGAAAATAATTTCCAGACTCTAGGTTTAGAGTAGCTCGGAATTCAGATTACAGAATTCTGTACAGAATTCCATTACAACTCTAATTATACATCAAAACGCTTCTTGCTTTCTGTTTACTCTGCAAGTTAACCCTCTTTCAACTTAGGAATTGTCTCCATGTTCACTGCTGAAGTCCTTGATGTCTTTCCCAACTGTGCTTCTGTGGACAGGTGCCGAATTACCTCCATGTTTCCCTCCCACCTGCAGAAGAGGAGAAGTTCTGTAGCCCCTTGTTTTGTGATTCTGATTGAAAAGTTTTCCCAATAAAATGGAAGTTATAACCTTATTAATATGAGTGTAACTCTATCAAATTATCCTTTTTTGACTTTAACATTTAAATTTTCCCCCTTTTTATATCCATGGCTGCATGTCTAGGTTAAAGTTATTTTGTTTGCAAGTAGCAAAAACCCACTCAGGTTAGCTTTAATAGAAATGGAAAATGTATGATAAAACTAAACCTGTAGCTCATGGACTTTATGGGGGTGGGGAGGTATTTAGGTCAGCCTTTGGGGAAAAAGGACCAAAAAGACATCAGGAATTAAGGCAGCTCCTCTGTTTCTCTGGCTATCTTCATTCATTTCTTCCCTGTCTTGCTTTCCTTCTCCCCTCACTCTTTAAAGCTGTGGAGTCTTTCAAATCTGATTGATTCAGAGTACCTTAAATTCTGCTCTTCTGCCTGAAGTCTCCCTGCTCCTCTTTTATGTGGGGAAAATGTCAGTCCAACTGCTTTGTAGTCATGAATTTTAGTATAGAAAAAAAGCCAGAATTAACTAGTATTTCTATATCTCAATTAAAAATTCATGCTCTATCCAGGTGTCTAAACCAATTGCAGATAGCTATGTCCAGGACAATGAATTCACCCAGAGCAATCACAGCTGCCAGGACCCCCACTGAGAGCTTGGTAGATGAATGGAAAAGTCTTTATTACACTATCTAAAAACAAGCCAAAAATATTTTTGCAGTGATTTAAGATATAAGCACTCCTGGTCCATGAAGGAAAAAAGAAGGAAAAGAAATCATTTCTAAAACCGCTGCAGTCAAAAAGGTATATTAATGCAAGTCACTTTTCAGACCTTGAATTTATACAAGGATAGCTTTATAGCTTCTTTGGGAAAAATTCCTAACTAAGCAGTCTGTTGAAGTAGAGGGCTAGTATGTAATATTGGGGATCTTGTGTTTCACATACAGAAATAGATGCAGAAAGAGTGCAGGGAAAGTAAATTGTTTCTTCTTTTTGAAGAGTCTTGAACTCAAATTAGGGTGTGATTAGATATACATATTTGATATATCAAGAGAAACATTAGTTAGTTTAAAGTAAAGTGCTAGGTAGTATGATATGAATTACTAGGGGCACTAGAAAACAATTACTAATGTAGACTGCCATAGTGAAAATAATTTCTTTTTGAAGACTAGACTGTTTCTGGGCCTTTTGAATGTATATTGGAACGTAGGAAGAAAAGATAGGTGGGGAAAAAGAGGACCAGAATTATAAAGATAGAAAGAAAAATTGCTTAGAGAATGACTAAAAGAGACAATAAGTTACTATCAGAGAAAATTTTGAAAGGGCAAGCATGTTGTCAAATAAAATATACTGATTACACAAGCAAATGTTTAAGTTGATTCCTTTCTAAAACAATTTGAAAGAAATTGTTCTTAGTAGATTAATGTGACAACTTTTTTGACATCTAAACATTATAACCTAAGATATAAAGTGCTGACAATATTATTTCTGTTATTATCAACAGAAGTCTAGGAATGGATAATCCATAATTTTCAGAATAAGAAATTGATACATTACTGTTGCTAAAATAGATTTAATTTTTTACTACAATCCCTAGAAAATTATAAATGAATTAATTTATTCAACAGAGAGATGGTAAGCACTTAGAAAAGAATGTAGTTTCTACAGAACAAGCAAAGTTAGCCTCATGTTTAATAAGATTACTGGACAAGAAAATAAGGAAAGTACTGTAATATAATGCATCCTGATCACAGCAAAAACAACAAAAAAATGATGGTGGCCTAACAATATTTAGATAAGTCTATCTATCAATCTTAGTAGTAAACACAGAATCTAATTCTGGATATTTTTTAAAGAAAAAAATGTAAAGGATAACTTTAAAAAGAGCCTATTAAAAGGAAACCACTTTTTCTAACAGGCTAGGTCATATATCAAAATTACAGGGAAGGATTGTGCATCAGGTTGGAGGTTCAGGTGCCAGACATCTAGCCCAAAGCCAAAGGACAGATATATTCTTCTGAGGATCATCTCACCAGCAATACTGATCATATGACAGAGTTCTCGGTGTTTTAGTTAGGGAATACAATATTGCCAAGTGCCTAAAAATATGAGCAGTGAGATGAGAGAGTTCAGGCTTCCCATCTTCTTTGTAGTTATGTTATTTTGTAGTTTATGTTACCTTGGGTAAATTCTGGTTTCCTTGTGTGTTTCACATAAGTGAAGTACCCACGTAAGATGGCTGTTATATAAATAAACTGCTTAACATAGTAGTGGCTGCCCAATAAGTAACCAGGAGGAGGAGGAGTATAGTTGTTAATTTACTCAATTTTGACCAGCAGAGCTGCAGGGCTGGGGGATAATGATCTTAGTGCTAACATCCATTCCTGGTCCCTAGAAAAGGAAGAGTAATTCCATTATTCATTGTACTGCCTAGGTGATATATATAGCACTGTGTTCAGTCCTGTCTGTTATATTTTAGGAAGAATTTTGAAACCTAGGTATTTAATATTTGATATTTGGAGGAATTTCATGTAGAAATAAGGTAAAAATTCATCTGCATAGTTTCGTACATGAGAGTGGGAACTAATGAGTTGGAATTACAGGGACATAGATTTCAGATCATATAAGAAACAACTCCCTAATGAATATGGAAATAGGGTGCTCTTTCATCTCCAGAAAGGAATAGAGTGACTTTCTTTGAAGTAATGAGAACCACAGACATCTTCAAGCAAAAGTTAAATGAGTATTTTTAGTGATATTATGGGGTTCCTGTATTTTGTGAAATTTTTAAAAGCCCCTAGGATCTTTTCCCATGATGAATGAATTGGTGTGTTAACCTACCTTGAAAAACAAATTATACAAGTTAACTTTGAAAAGAGGGAGATCAGTACAGCAAATTGCCAACAACCAAGTTGGTAATATAACCAACTTACATTCAAAAATCTACTCTGTAATGATAAATGTTTTGATGGTGATAGAAATGCTAATTACCCTAATTTGATCATTACACATTGTATACACATATTGAAATATCACTCTGTATCCCATACATATGTACAATTGTTATGTGTCAACTAAAAGTAAAAGGAAAAAATAAAAATAAAAAATTACTCTGTAATATACCAAATACCCTTTCTCCTACTTAACAAAATTCTACTAATGCTGCAAGAAAAATAATGACAAAATCAAGCTACCCTAAAAATCTTTGTTGCTTAGGTGGCCAGCTTTGGAGTTTTGTGTTAGCAAGATTGAAAGACATATTTTATAAACATTTTACACATACCAAAAAATCAACAGTGAATCTTTCAGTTCCCTCAGAAAAACAGAAAATAATGTCAGAAATCAAATGATATAACTGAGGCTTTTAAAGTTAGGAGCAATTTATAAAAGTTGATATTCATACTAAATTTTACTGCTCTCAAATTGCAGCATAATGGTATACCTTAAGGAATAAAAAATGAAATAATAAAGGAATTTAATTTTTTTTTAGTAACCTTCTAAAAAAGACAAACTCTTTTTCTCATGAGAAAAAAAAATAAAGAAATGTGATTTCAGAGAGGAGCTGAAAAGACTATGTTTCCTAATCAAAATGCCAAGGTAAGCTATGGGTAGTGTGAAATTAGCATTCTATTGATTTTGAAACAATTTCCTTTTCATGTGGAGAAAACATATGTGAAGATGAAGTTGATTTAGCATAGGTAGAACATCATTTTCTTCTAAACCATTTGTAAGGAAATGTACTTAAATCTAAGCATATTTAGTTAAATTCTAGACAGAAACATGCCAATTTCATCTACCAATCTACTAATCCAGGAGAAGCTAGATCTCTGCAAAATGGAAGCAAAGATCACAGGAATCCAGGGAGCAACAAAGCAGTGCACTGTAGAGTTAAAGAGATGATGACATGTGCAGTTTGCGGCTTCAATTCTCCACTCAGAAACCCTTTCACCTTGCACGATCTCTGTTTTCCTCCAGCCTTTTTTCCCTGAAAAATGAAGAAAAAATATCTTTTGATTACATTGTATCTCTATAAAGATATTGGCATACTGTAAATTACTATGCAAGAATGAGAGTATTATTATTTTAAGTAATTGCAGAATAGAAGCCTCAGAGGTACACGTTGGTTAATGGAACAATTCTCTGAAGCTGATTTCCGTGTTAGGAATGCAAGTGCTCAGAATTTCAGACACACAAAATGGTTAAAGTGAAAAACAATAATTTATCAAACTTGCCAAAGTTAAATTCTAAACCTAGCATTAATATTTTTATTATCATTTTAGTGCATCTGGCAAGTATTGGGAAAATGGAAATTAGCAGAAAGTGGCCAACATTGCAGATGTCACACAACTATCTTTTTTTTGTTTTGTTTTTGTTTTTTTTGTTTTTTTTTTTTTGAGATGGAGTCTGGCTCTGTTGCCCAGGCTGGAGTGCAATGGTGCGATCTTGACTCACTATAACCTCCTCGTCCCGGGTTCAAGCCATTCTCCTGCCTCAGCCTCTCAAGTAGCTGGGACCACAGGCATGTGCCACCATGCCCGGCTAATTTTTGTATTTTTAGTAGAGACGAGCCTTCGCCATGTTGGCCAGGCTTGTCTCAAACTCCTGACCTCAGCTGATCCACCCACCTTGGCCTCCCAAAGTGCTGGGATTACAGGCATGAGCCACCACACCTGGCCACAACTATCATTTATCTCACTGTTCCCATCAATAACTACTACGGGAAAATATAAAAATAAATAGAACAATTTCAATCCTGTGGTAGATTCTGCATATGTATTATTTCAACAAACTTTAAAAATCATACAATTATGCTCATTTTGGAATGGAAGAAACAGGTTCAGAGTAACTGTGACTTGCCTACAACACAATTAGTGAGAAAAAGAAATGAGTTTTATTTCAGGCCTGAGTTAATTCAAAATCTAAGTTTGTATTACTGGTTTTTTTTTTCAAAATATGATGGTATCTTCATAACCAGCATATGGATCTTCTGATGACTATATAATACAATATTAAAAAGATAATTTGCTTCTCTGTGACTCAAGCTTTGCATCTTACCATTCCTGAAGACATCCTTGATCATATTTAGCCCTGGACAAAATGGCCTGTTTTCTACCTTTTTCTTAACTGCCCATAAAAAAAATACAAAAGAATCACTAATTATTATTCTAGAATAAAATCTACAGTCTCGAATTGCTGAGTTACGAAGAGCTTTAGGCCCAAAGATACAGTATTGATCATTAAAAATATTGATGAATGTGTCCACCAAGGCATAAGAAAATTTGAAGAGTTAAAAAATGGGGGATAATATAGTTCATAACCAAAAGAAGAACAGAGATATAAAGAAGATATAGACAGGCTGTCTAAGACAACGGACAATCTTGGGGTTGTCAAAAGACAAAATCACAACATACTTAGTAACATATCTAATTGGCTTTTATTTGTGACTCATAAATCATGGCACCATCCTGTTCTGTAAAACAAAATGATGTTCCCACTTGGAAAGACCAGAACAGTGAGTTTTGACAGGTGGAAACAAGGAAACAAAACAATAGAAAATAAAAAAGTGGTTAACTTCAAATTACTTCAGGCTAGTTTTTTAAGGGCTAAGGCAGAGGGGACTTCCTTATTATACTGACTCAGGTACTGGAATCTCCTGTTTTCAGGAAAACTAGTCTGCCTTAAAATTGCAGTTTGCTTATGAGGCACTTAACATGAGTGGCTCCATTTTGTTTTGGTCCTGTCTGTTGGGGCCTAGTGCAGGGGCTCAGTCCAAGACAATGGCCTCTCATTTTGTTTAACAGGGTATAGGTCCAAAAAAGGAGAGAAGAATTATTTTCCTTTTTAATAGAAGACCATATAGTGGACTAGTGCCACTAAATATTTGTTCTGATATCATAAATGTCATCTTTGCCAGCTCTGTACTGGAATACAACAGGGATTATCTGCAAAAATAATTGTTGTTGGATATTACATTATATTCTCCAATCAAATATAGTATTTTTTCCTTAATTGTAAATGGGTCATTCTTTCTATCATTTAACAATTCAAATTGATTTTTTACATGACTACACACCTACTTGCCTCATCCATCCACAACTAACTAAAATATATAAGTTTAATTTGACCATAGAATCAACAGAATTGTTCTGTTATTAATAATTTTGGGGGGTTTAAAGGTAAAAAAATAAAACTTTTAGTTACTTGTAAAAGTCAGATACATGAGCAAGATACTGATTTTGTTTTAAAAATGTGTGCATCTATTCCATAATAAGCAAATATCACTCATCCCAAGTCAGTTTTCATTCAATTATCACATAAATTACAAAGACAACCAGAAGCATCTTTCTTTTCTATATTTGGTGACATCAAGATGCTCCAATTGACTGAATATATTATGTTAGCACCGAATCTTGTTGGCAAGAGCGTTATCTGACAACCTCCGCATTCCTCACCCTACCATCTGTTTTCCTTGCTCCTTAGTCATAAGGAAAAAAATCTATTTTTTGTAACATCCATATCAAGCTAACCTAATCACAGATTTCCATTGACTTCAGAGAATACTCAGCATTTAGATTATTACCCTGAGTGTGCAAAGAAAGATGTGAAAATGATTCAGAGAACTATGTAAGTGAAGCAGTGTCACCATTGGAAGAACATACAGATGCTCTTCTACATTCTGGATTCCAGTGAACTAAGGCCGAATATCATGTATTGAAATATATTGCAAAACAAGTTATTTTTAAGAGCAGATTGAAAGTACAAACTGACTTTCAATTATTACTCTAGTAGATATGTTTTCACATATCATCCATTTGATTTGACAGCAGAGTCATACTGCAAATCAAGTTTGCCTTTGTAAATATATCAATCATTAAAATTGCTACTGGCCTATATATTGATGACTTCATTACAACCAATACACTGGCCTTAACTTATACCTAATAGCTTCTTTCTCCTAACTCTTTCTAATGTCTTTGATCTCTAAACATACCATTAATCTGAATATATTCAATGTTTATGAGCACAGACTGTACAACATGAATAATAATTTCTAGTATGGGCTGTGTAATTATCTTAGGTTCATTCAGTCACCAGCAAGTTAATTAAGACCTTCTATGTCCTCTTGGTGTGCTTAGGTAAGATCTAGTCTTGGCTGTCAAGCAGCTTCCACCTTCTTGAATAGAGAATATACACTTTCAATATGTATATTTTTTTCTTTAAATGAACTCAAAAACTCCTCTTCAACAAGAGCAGTTGCTGAGAACTCAATATGTTCTCAATAGTTTGTTTAGAAGCAGCCACAATCCCTGTGCTGATGGTGATAGGCATAAGCTGATCATGTGGATGACTATATCTAGAAATACCTTGTCTCCAGCCATACGCACATAATTGTGCTCTTACTTGTATCACATGAACTTTCTCCATATTGGACATACTCTGAGGATAAAGACCCATTTTACTCATGTTTATATCCCTCCTTAATCTAACAGGATGCTTGGCACATAGAAAAAAAAATATTTAAGGAACACATTTTTTGAATATGAAGGAAATAAATTAACTCAAATTTCTAAATGGATGCCCGTCAATCACCCATAGTTTATATTAAGTCAGTTTTGTGATTCTGTCATCTTCCATGTACTTTATATTACCCTACATAGGAACAGTATTTCCTTTGTTGTTTTTCCTCTTGAGTAGAAGCATTTGATCAAAAGATCTACAATTACAAACAAATATTTATCACCCTGACAAAAGAACATTATTATTCTATTCAGACAGCAGCTTTTGTAGCTGAGAGTTACAATAGAGTTCTGTGAAAATAGTCCACATCGGTTCCAGTCAAGGTATCTGCGGATTTATTGGGAATAATTTCAAAATGGCTCCACTGGTATATGGGACAGTGATAATTGTTGGACAAGGCATTTATGGTTTTCTGCAGTCTCAACTACTTTAGAAAACTTAGTAATCATCCAAAGCTACTTCTTATGAATGATTGCAGCTTTCTTTCAGGCATTCAATGCAAGCCTCATTGATTCTCTTCATGATTTATTAAGCCAGGGCACTTTTGTGGTTAAGTGACAGAATTCAGATTTCACTGTAATATCTTTTGTAATGGTTTTTAAAAAGCTTTATGGAAGAATATGAAGGTTGTACATTGCCTAAATTAAGTGTGTACTTATTCAAACAAATGTGACTTGTTTTCAAACAATTTCAGAACTACTCCTAGCCGATGCTTACATCAGAGATAAAATTATTTGTCTTTGGGGTATAATTGAAACACTTAAGCAAAAACCGTCTGTATTTTTTACATTATTTTAACTAGGACTTAGTTGGAAATAGGATTATCCAATCAATAATGACCAAGATCTGGGGAACCAGGTGGGTTAAAATATTCAGAAAAGAGTAAGATAGGTGTTCATCCTCAGAGAGAAATAACATTTAAAGAATTTATAGGTAATAGGCCTCAGAAGAATCTAGAAGCCACTAGCGAAGACTAGACCACTGAGAATGGAAACAAAAAAGGAAATATATTTCTGAAGGATGGAGGACAGAGGAATGAAAGATTTTAGTTTAGTAGAACTTGAATATTACCTGAAGAACTAAGAAAAAACCCAATTGTATGTTGATACAACAAGGTTGCAGTGGTTAGAAATGTAGTATACCTCAAGGTCCTCATCATAGTCAATGAAAAGTCGTGTTACTAGGCTTGGTGTATAAAGTTAAAGTAGGATCAAAAGTCTGCTGGTGTTTGATCCTAAGGAAAATAATTAATAGCCCAGATATTTTTTTAACTTACCCAAAGGTTTCAGGTTCCATGGAAGAGCTAAATTTACCTAAGAAACCTAAAGGACTCCAACATCAAGGGTCAGAGGTCTGCAGCAGCACTAATTGCATTTATAGCCTCTTCTCTCTCCGTACTTCATGAAGGTCATGGACATCTAAGGGCATTTCAGGAAGAGAAGATGAAAATTGTAAAACATTAGTGGCTATCTCGAACTCTTTCTGTAAAAATGTGCAAAAAGAATGTATCTTTAGTTTGCTGATACATTTTGCTTTTTTAGAAAAAAAAATACAGGAATTTCCTGGCCTTTCAACAAGGTGGAATGTTGGATAGAGGAAAGATTTATCTTCAGGTAGCATCATGATGAAGAGGTGACATTTTCATTGTCTTTAACTTATCAAGAGATTCAGCTTACTACCTGGAGAAAGGAAGGAAAGTAGAGAGAGAAAGGGAAGGACTGAAAGACAGAGAGAGAGGGAGAGAAAGAGAAAGAAAGGGAGAGGCTCTTATGATTTTATTCTTTTCAACTACCACATCGTTATGTGTCACTCTTTAACTTTTTTCTTTTAAAAAGGCATTTTCTTTGGACTGGAGGGAACAATAAGAAAAAGTAGAAAATAATGCTTTGAAAAGGAGCTTCAATAGCTGTAATAGTGAAATTATCCCCCCTTTTCCCTCTTCATCTTTCTCCACCTCCCTTAATAGTGTGAATTTGAAAAATCAATCCACAACTGCATATCGCTCCTCTCCCCTCCAGGTATGAAGAAACCAGTGTGTGACATGTACACGTAATTCAAAAAATATTTCTGAATGAGATCACTGCCTCTATGAAAAGGTTAATAAAAGTGAGCCTGCTGTGAGGAACTCATTACTTTATGCACAATGGGTATAGGGAGGCCAGTAATAAATTGTAATTAGCCATTTCATAATACATTTCATAAATAACACTGATTTGAATAACTAGGTTTTTTAAAAGAAACTCGATATGTTTCACCTCTCAAAATATTTAAAACATATAAATAAACTGAATAAATCTGTACTGACGATCCATTGCTGTTCAATGTAGGTTCTGTAAGAAACCACGTAAGGAATTAGGGAAGCAAAACCAAAGACTGGGAACCCCTGAAATTTTTGTGAGTTTATAAACATGCCATAAGTTGATTAATTTTCTTGCCCTTTTTGCCAGCTACCATGAGTTTTCTCTCTCTTCTGCAATTACAAACGTGCAAATATGATAGCCTCAATGGAATGTAGAAAGATGACTCTAGATCACTTAATAATGTATTCTTTTTGGGCAGATTCATACTCTTCTGACCTCTGTGAAAAGTTCAAATCCTTCTTTAGGTTTTTGACTTCAGTGTATGACCCTTGAGCCAGTGTTTTAAACTACCTGAGACTATTTTATCATCTGTAAAAACAAAAGCGACAAAACCTATTTTACTATTCTTATGGATGTTTTCATGAAAAATAAGTGTGCATTATGTACCTTGAATAGGTTAAAGTAGAAGGTGTTGGGATTAATCATGGCATTCCAAATCACTTATTTCTCTAACTCTGAGGTCTCTTGAGTCTATTCCTAAAATATTATAAGACCATTCTGGGATATGAATTACCCCTGCCAGCCTTGAAAAGGATAATAAATACCACAGTAAAAATACAGTCTTCATTCATTCAGTAACTGTTTTGAACATCTACCATTTGGTTCCAAGTATTATATCATTTGCTGTGTACAGTGATGAATGAAATAAACGTCATCATTACTTTGATGGAGATTATATCTAATGATGAAGCAAAAAAATATATTTTACAGTACCTTTAGGAAACAATCATCTTTTACAAAGAAATAATAGGAAGCAAATGTTTACAATGTTAATCAATATGAATAACCAGTTTGTATTAGACCAAAGCATGTTTCTTCTATGGACACCAAAAATTTAAGGATTGTAATTTATGATTTAATTATCATTCATACCTCTGGATGTTTTCTCACTTTATTTTGCTTGCCTGGACCCAGATGCATGTTCAGATGATGACTTTTTTTACTTGTATATAAAAAGACAATTTTAATGAGCTAAAACCTTGGTTGTCACTGACTACATTCTGAATGTTCTTCTCAAGGTCAGAGTGGCTGAGCTCTTCAATTCAGAAGCAGGTATATATGATCAATTTCCAAGGTTGAACACTGTTCACAAAACATCTGGGGTATGTCTCCATGTCACCAAATCACTAGAGAGTCCTGTAATAAGACAGCCCATGGCCATTTCTGGCTGGAAATATGCCAAAAATACAAGTCACCCTAAAAAGTTCTGACCAAATGCCAAATGCTATTTCTGCTACATGAAACAATTCAACTGTCAACAAACCATTTTACAAGAATTTTACTTAAATTATTCCCTTGTGAGAAATCACTTGTCCTATAAAAACAGACTAAATTTTTAATTAGACCTATGAACAATTAAAAAACCATAGAGTCATTCAATTCTCTTCTGGGTTAGATCATGGATTCCTAGCAGGTAGTAGAATAAAAGAACAGATCACAATATGTCTGTATGTGTATGTGTGTGTGTAAAATCAACAATTTATTCTTTTTCACTACAATCTTTGAGTCTAGATTTGGACAAAATTTCCCAGCTAACTTGTGTCTGTAATCTACCAAAAGACAGACTTGGGGGAAAAAAGATATCAAGGCTGATTTATAGCTCATCAAAATCATCCTACCAGTAGAGATTCATCAAGATCAACTGAGTAATGGTCCGACCAAGTTAGTGAAAGTCAATAAAGTGCTGACAGAGTACATCTTAAACTTCAGAATTATAGCTTTGAATTGGTTAGCTAAGATAATTGATGTTATATTTGCCTCAATAAAACTTCAGTTCACCAGAAGATGAAAGAAAAGAGGTTCTGTCCATATGAGTTCTTCTCATTAACAAAACACAAAACAGAACACTTTTCTTGCAGGAATTTTTTCATTTCCCCCCTTTAATAAGTACGTAGAAGATTGAATCTTTCCTGATACATGTTCTTGTTTTGCTTCAAGTTCCTTGATCTATCAAAGAAAGGCAGTTAAAGAAGCCACTTGATATATTAAAGACACACACAAAAAAGTTCAGGGGGCATTGTAAAAGTTGTGAAAAACGGGGTTGATAATTTTAAAGTAAAGGATGTGAGAGATAACATAATGCAGTGATTAGACAGGTGCTGTGAGACAAGGCTTCCTAAATTCAATGTAACTCCCTAATTTCTTAGGTGTGTAGCATTGGGCAATGCTTTGGTTTCTTCAACAGGTTGTTATGAGGATCAACATTTTAAAAGCTCTTTGAACGAGGCCTGCATTGGATTTACCATACTTTAAGTATTTCTTAAATAAATAATACACAGGGACAAATAATTTTCATAAATGACTCATAATTGGCTTCTAAAGCCAAATGAAAACAAGACAAAACAAAAAAAATTTTTAAATATTTTGAATACAAACCACATCATTAGAATAAGAAAATGACCTTTCCCAAGGTGACCACTTAGAACAAGCATTAATTTGAATGTATCAATAAGTAGAGGCATGTTTCTTAAAAGCTGTTTTCTCTTGAATCCCACCACATATGATGGCCTAGTTCTGTCTGATAATCATATCAAAGATTTTGTTTTAGTTGTTCAAATTCCTCTGGAAGAGGAAGAGAGCTTTGAAATCAGAAAAGTGAAATTTAGTGCATTAGACACAATAAGAGATTCTTCTTTTTAAAACTAATGAAATGTCATTACCTTTATAGTTAAAATCAAAAATGAATAGGATGAAGAAGAGCTATTAGGAGTCAGAGATAGAATTTATTACAACTAACTAGAAATATAGAAACACTAGAATTACTTAGCTGTTGTGTGTCTGAGTGATTAACAGTCTGCAGAAAGGTTTCTTTTTAAAAACTACTCTGCATATCACAATTTATATGAGTGGAAAAGCATAGTAATTTTTGCTTTCAACCCCAAAGAATCAGAATTTTGAAAGCTTATCTCTAAATTTCAGTTGTGAGCAACTGGCTAATTTAGAAATATTTCATATTTTAATTTGTTAAGTTATATTTCCCCAAGTCCAGAAAAGCAACTGAAAAACAGAAAATCTATTAAAATAATGAGGGGCAGGGGCAGAATTTTGTTTCACTTTGTTTGATACACAGCAAATCAGTCACCTTTCTTTTGCTATATTTTTATCTTACTCTATTTTTAAGTTAATTTAATTTTTAAATATTACTTTAAATTGACGAATAATCATACATATTCATGGAGTACATAGTGGTGTTTTGATACAGATAATCTATAGTGTTCAGATTAGGATAATTAACATTGCCATCATCTCAATCCTTTATCAATTCTTTGTGTTGGGAATGTTCAATATTTTTGTAGGTATTTGAAAGTATATATTATTGTTAACTATAGTCATCCTATAGCATTGTAGAACACTAACACTTATTCCTGCTGTCTGGCTGTAATTTTGGATCCTTTTACAAATTCCTTTCTTTCTCTCCTTTACCCCTACCCTTCCAGCCTCTAGTATCCTCTGTTCTACTTTTTACTTCTATGAGATCAACTTTTTTAACTTCCAAGTATCAATCAGGACATATAGTATTTAACTTTCTGTTTCTTAATTATGTCGCTTAACATAATGTCCTTCAGTTCCACCCTTGTTGGCTCCAGGGGTGAGATTTCATTCTTTTACATAGTTAAATAATAGTATTCCATTGTGTGTGTGTGTGTATGTGTGTGTGTGTGTGTGTGTGTATATAAAATATATATATATACACACCACATTTTCTTTATCCATTCATCTGTTGTTGAACACCTAGTTTGTAGTTCTATTTTATTTTATTTTACCGTTAGCTTGTGGTTTTATCATTGACAGAGCCGGACATAATCGGAGAATTTTCAGATGTAGAACTAATGTGTGCACATTATCATAAAAAGGTATCAACACATGATGACTATGCTAAAGGAAGAAATGACGTAGAAATTAGGATGATGGAAATTGTAAGTGGATTTAATGATTGTCAGTTTCCTCGGTGACCAACCTTCACCATATGAATAAAAATCTCCTGAGTCAAAAAAATGCTGACATCATCTTCCATTTCTCTCCCCTTTCACTGACTCTAGACCAATCCACTCCAGCTTCGTTGTTATCTCTTGAAATCACCACAACCCTGCTATGTTAGTTAGGGCTCTGGGTTCTCCCGGGAAAAAAGACTAACAGGATGTAGAGAGATCGAGAGAGACAGAGAGAGAGAGAGAGAGGTGAGAGAGAGAAAGAGATTTATTTTACTGAATTGGTTTATACAACTGCAAAGATGCAAGTCCGAAATCCGCAGACTGAAGATCCAGGAAAGAGCTGCCATCTGAGTTCAAAGGTGGTCCGCTGCTCTCAGAAGTCCCTCTTGCCTGGGGGAGGTTATATTAGTCAGGCCTTTAATTGATTGAATGGGGCCTACTCACATTATGGAGAGAAATCTGTTTTACTGAAAGTCAGCTGATTTAAATGTTAATCTTATCCAAAAAATATCTTCACAGAAACATTCAGAATAATGTTTGAACAGGTTATCTGGGCATATGGCCCAGCCAAGTTGACACATAAAACCATAGCATCTCCATATCCCACTCAAGGCCTCTGGCACCATTCTGTCTGGTGGCAATACCCCTTCACCAGGTATCTGTGCAATGCTTTTCTTCTCTCCCCTCCTTCAGGTATCCCCATCATGAGTCTCTGTGGTACCCATCACCATTTGACTGATAATATGGTCACTTGTTTTTGTTTCTTTGTGTGTTTATTTTTGTTTAGTATTCACCTTCCCCACTAGAATGAGATAGGAGACATTGTCTATTTTGTTCACGACTGCTGTCCCACATCTTGAAAAGTATTGGTACATTATAGGTGATATAGGAGTCAAAAGGAATGATTTAGGCAGATAGTGAGGGTAAGGAAGTCCTCGGTAAGATTTTCCTTTTAATGGAAAGCAGCCCCCAAATCATTTTCTTTTCTAACAAAGAGCAGCCTGTAAAACCGAGCTGCAGACACAGAAGCTTGCATGGGTAAATGCTGGCCGTTGTGCCAATAGGAAAGGGTCTACCTGGGGCTAGGCATGTCCAACATGTTGGCTTCATCTTCCCTTTTCCTTTCCAACCACATCGGCAGTAGGGAGCAGACAACATTGGGCAGTCATTTGGAAAGCCCATTTGCATAATAAGATTAGGGTGGGGTGGACAGCTTCCCTGCGTGCCACATCTACTCCAGACAATCTGTGGGCCTCTTTTAAATCAGCAGCTCCTCAAGCCTGTCTATAAAATCCAGTGCACTCTGCCACAGGCTGGAAGTCCTTGTTCAGGCACCCCTCTCTCTCCCAGGAGAGACAGCTGTTCTCCTTTCTCTTTTTTCTTTTTTTTTTTTTTGTTTTTTTTTGTTGTTGTTGTTTCTTCAGACATAGTCTCACTCTGTTGCCCAGGCTGGAGTGCAGTGGTGCAATCTCAGCTCGCTGCAACCTCCACCTCCCTGGTTCAAGCAATTCCCCTGCCTCAGCCCCCCAAGTAGCTGGGATTACAGGCGCACGCCACCATGCCCCAGGCCCAGCTAATATTTTTGTATTTTTAGTAGAGACGGGGTTTCACCATGTTGGCCAGACTGGTCTCAAACTCCTGACCTCAGGCAATCTGCCCACCTTGGCCTCCCAAATCTCCATTCTCTTTTTTTGCTTACTAAACCTCCACCCTTAAACTCACTCCTTGTTTGTGTTCATGTCCTTAATTTTCTTGGCATGAGGCAACAACCCTCAGGTATTACCCCAGATAATGATGCTGCTTCTGAGGCACTCAATAAAGATTTATATATTTATGGAACATATTATTTTTCAATCAATTCATTCATTATAAGGAGACAATCTCCACAATAAATGGAACAGCTGTGTTTTATACAAATGCTGAGGAGCATATCAGATAACTCTTCAGTATAACATATTGTCACTGTGCCGCCAGGTACATCACTTAATCTATGTAAAAGGTGCTTTCCAAATGGAACACTGTTAGAAACTCTGTATTTTTCTGACAGTGCATTGCTTTATCTTAAATACTTTATATGGGCTCAAATTATAGTGATTGGTTGCAAAAGTCACAACTCCTGAACAATAAGAACACATGGACACAGGGAGGGGAACATCACACACCGGGGCCTGTCGGGGGTGGGGGGCTAGGGGAGGGACAGCATTAGGAGAAATATCTAATGTAGGTGACAGATTGATGGCTGCAGCAAACCACCATGGCACATGTATACCTATGTAACAAAGCTGCACGTTCTGCCCATGTATCCCAGAACTTAAAGCATAATAATAATAAAAAAAAAAAAGACATTAAAAAAAGGTCACAACTCCATCTGGCTTAAGAAAACGGAAGACTGTATTACCTTATATAAGTGGAAAAATCCAAGAGTCAAAGCTGGTTTAAAAACGACTAGATTCAAGACTACAAAGAATGTAGTTAAGAGTTAGTCTCAAAATCTCCAAATCTTGGCTCCATTTTTTCATTCTGTCCTGAATCAGTTCTGCCCTTATGGTGGCAAGATGGCCAATAGCTCTAGGCCTGAATGCATAAAGCTCAAAGTCTGCAGAAAAGAAAAAAATACCTCGTTGTCCCTCCATAATCACTTCAGGATTTTCTCTGATTAAAGTAATTAAATTTTTAAATTAGATGTCTGTCTCTGAAAAGGTCTGTGTGTTTATATAAAAGGCAAAGCTCAAACGAGCCAGGCCTGGGTCACATTCCCACTGCCGGAACCAGGCACTGAGCCCGCTCTATCAAAGATGCATCATCTCTTAGAATGAGTAAGAAGTGGATTTTTTAAAATAAACTTTTCATTTCAGAATAGTTTTAGATAGAGAAAAGTTGCAAAGAGTAAAAAGTTCCCACATATCCTGTACCCAATTCCCGCCATTGCTAACATTCTTCATTAGTTCAGTACATTTGTTCCAATGAATGAACCAATATTGATACATTATTACTAACAATAGTCCATGCTTTATTCAGATTTCCTAAATTGCATCTAATGTCTTTTCTGTTCCAGGATCCCATCAGAGATATCACATTACATTTAGTCATCATGCCTTCTTAGGTTACTCTTGGCTGAGACTACTTTTCACACTTGTTTTTGAAAAACTTGACAGTTTTGAAGAGTACTGATCAGGTATTTTATAAAATATTTTTTAGCTTGGATTAGCCAGATATTTTTCTCATGCTTAGACTGGCATTATTTCTTTTGGGGAGGAACATCACAGAGGAAAATTGCCATTTCAACACATCATATCATGGGTATATGATATCAACATAACACCGATGATGTTAACTTTTATCACCTTACTGAGGTAGTGTTTGTGAGGTTTTTCCACCATAGAGTTACTTCCACCTGATTCCATTATGTACTCTTGCAAAGGGAGTTACTATGTGTGTACTGTCAGTGAGTGGGGAGCTATGCTCTATCTCTTTGAGGGTAGAGTGTCTATGTAAATTATTTGGCCTTCTTTTGCATGGAATATATGCCTATTCTCCCCAACTTATTTATGTATTCAATCATTTGTTGATAGCAGTATAGACTCATGGATTGTTTTTTATGTTTTTAGTTATAATCCTGTGCTACATTCTTTATTTTGTTGTTCAAATTGTTCCAGCTTTGGCAATTGGGCTCTTTTTCAGCTGGTCTCTGTATTGATTTGACATATCCTAACCTTGTGGGGCTTGAGTATTTTTTAGTACTTTCCTATTTTCTGACACAGTAAGGTGCTCTGGTAGTGGAAGTTTAAGGACAATAATCAGAAGTATGGTAAATTACAATATGAAAAAAACAACTCAGGCCAAAGACAGGTATCAAATCCTCTATAAATAGAGCAAGAATATGTCTGTGAACTGAGCTCAGATTTGGATCCATAATGTATAATGTTTTGTTTTATTTTTTTCTAAATCAGAAAATTCTGACTTAGAGTTTCAGTTTATATATGCCATTGAATCATTTTTAAATTTTATTTAAGAAATCTTTTTACATAATTAAGCACTGAGGGTGACATTCCAACTCAAATGCTAAGGTCCATATTGACTGTGTTTCTTTCAGTTCACATATCCATTTTAATATTTAACATAGAATATCTTAAATGGAAGCTCACTTGCCTAAGCCAGCATTTAAAAAAAAAAACTTTCTTATTCATCTTTAAGTTTTCATATAACTCAAAGCTTTCATTTTTTTTTTTTTTTTTTTTTTTTTTTTTTTTTTTTTTTTTTTTTGAGACGGAGTCTCGCTGTCGCCCAGGCTGGAGTGCAGTGGCGCAATCTCGGCTCACTGCAGGCTCCGCCCCCTGGGGTTCACGCCATTCTCCTGCCTCAGCCTCCCGAGTAGCTGGGACTACAGGCGCCCGCTACCACGCCCGGCTAATTTTTTTTTGTATTTTTAGTAGAGACGGGGTTTCACCGTGTTAGCCAGGATGGTCTCGATCTCCTGACCTCGTGATCCGCCCGCCTCGGCCTCCCAAAGTGCTGGGATTACAGGCGTGAGCCACCGCGCCCGGCCAAAGCTTTCATTTTTTAGAAAATGTTGTGTTCCATGTCAGATCCAAAAATCATGAATTATCACAGTTTGATAGTAAACCATCCATTTTATTACATCAATCCCCATAAAATAGTTTCAGTTCTGGATCCTAATGTGTAAATGCTTATTGTAGCAGAACAAGGATAAGGCTGAGAATGAGAAACTTACTGTGCCAAGACTAATTCTGTGAAGATGATGATGAACTTGGTCTTTATCATTTCTCTAAAACCCAGTCCCCTCCTGTGTGTCTTCATCCAGTCACACTGTGACTCTTATAAATGAGTCAGGCTTTAAAATGACCATTTATCCTGCTAGCAATCCCTCAATCTAAAGTCAGTTTCTCTCAGTACCATATATTTACAGTTTATTAGCCAACGACTATTCTCCCTTAGAAAACATCTACCATGTACAAATAAAATGCTTTCTAGCTTAATAACATCTAACTGTATTTTTTCTATGTTAAAAGTATTATTGGCCGGGCTCACACCTGTAATCCCAGCATTTTGGGCAGCCAAGGAGGGTGGATCACGAGGTCAAGAGATTGAGACCATCCTGGCCAACATGGTGAAACCTCATCTCTACTAAAAATACAAAAATTAGCTGAGCATGGTGGCTCACACCTGTAGTCCCAGCTCCTCAGGAGGCTGAGACAGGAGAATCGCTTGAACCCAGGGTGCGGCGGTTGCAGCGAGCCAAGATCATGCCACTGCACTCCAGCCTGGTGACAGAGCGAGTCTCTGTCTCAAAAAAAAAAAAGTATTATTATTGTTTATTATAATTGCCTACTAATTCCAGAAAGTTCTTAACTTTATTTTCTTTTATTGTGGAGCCAGTAGAAAGAAAAAAAGTACATCTCTGATTTGCTGGCTAGTGGGATTATTTTTGTAGAAATTTATATGCACTTTGAGAGGGTTGTTAAGTTCTGTGTATGTAGTATTCTCACAACTGCATAGCTCTCTCAGGTCATGTTTTCCCAGTATCAGCAATTTTTAAGGTTCTAGCTATTCTTATAGCCACATTCCAAAATACATTCTCTGTGCCGTTCCTCTTTTGTGTGTTTCTGTTTCTGAGTATCCTTACATAAAACTCTGATTGATGCCTTTACAGCTCTTCACATCCTCTGTGTGTGATCTGTTGACAATTTTCACTGAATTAATGACTTCAAATGCAATTTCCATCCATAGCCAACAGGTATAATCCTTCTATTTCTTATGTCCATCTTTGAAGAGGTTTACCAGAGCAAGGCAGGAAAAAGGCAGTGATCAAATAATAGATAGATGAGTGTGTGTGTGTGTGTGTGTGTGTGACTGTGACTGACACTTAGAACAAAACAGTATCGTATTATGGGATCTGAAAAAATAATTGTTGTCTTCTACTTTCAGTTGGTTCCCACAGCAGTAGAAGTGCTGGGAGGTTGGGAGAGGTTAAACTACTCTCACTCTTGAATAAAATATCAGAGCAATCCCATGATTCCCCTCATCACCTAAGAGTGTCCATAGGAATTTAAAGTTACAAATACAATTTTAATTAAGTAAATAAAATTACAAATCCCTGTGTAACAAGCAAATCTTCAAAATGTACTCAGGTGGATAGTCACCTGTAGAGGGAGTTGGGGTGGGGGAGGGTTGAAGACAGGAATTTTTAGTAGATTCACCATTCCATTCAAAAACATTCTTTCAAACTGCAGAAGCAAAATAAATGTCACATAATATTAGAATGTACAAACCTGAAGAGGATTAGTAAATGATGTAATTTCTAGAAATTTGAAGCAAGTGAAGAAACTTGAAACAAAGTGAATCATTTAATCCTGTCTTCCTCAGCAAGGTTAAAACTTTTCAGTAACTCTTTTCGATCCAGAGAACTAGAGTCACCTTGTCTAGGTTATACAAGATATGGCATAATTTGGCTCTTGAACTCCATCCTAGCTTTACTTTTCACTGAAACTTTCTTTGTATCCGCTTGCCATATAGAATAACTGGCAGTTCTCAAAATTCACCATGATATCTCAAAGCTTTCATTGACTATCATGCTGTTTCCTCTGCTTGGAATCTATCACTTCTGATGTAGCCATTACAAATCTCACTTTAGTATTACCGGATATTTAGAAACTTGCCTCTCCCATTGCATTCTGTTTCTTCATCCTCTATGTTTTTTTTTTCATTGTTGTACCCTAAGTGCCTAGCAAGGTACATATCACCTACCAGATGTAAAATAAGTGCTCGTTAAATGGACAATTGAATCCCATCTGTAATTGAAAAAGTATGTAAACTATGACCAAGCCTATGAGTATAAGAAAAAGGATCATAACAAAACAAAATGTCAAAAGTTGTATGACACATACAATAATATACACACCTAGCTATTGATATTAGTGGTGACAATTATACCTGTAGTAGATTGTATATAATATCCTCCCAAAACGTATGTCCTCCTAGAACCTCACAATGTGACCTTATTCGGAAATATGGGCTTTGTAGATATAATTAGTTTAGTTAAGATGAGGTCATACTGGATTACAGTGGGTCCTAAATCTCATGAGTGGTGTCCTTATAGGAGGACAGGAGATTCAGAAGCACAGAGTGAAGAAGGCTGTATGAAAACGAGGGCAAAGATTGAAATGGTGCAGCTATAAGCCAAGGACCACAAAGGAATTCCTGAAAAGCACCAAAAGCTATAAAGAGAAAAGAAAGGATTCTCCCCTGGAGACTTCAGAGAAACCATGGCCATACCAAGACCTTGACTTTGGACTTCTAGCCTCCAGAAGTATGAGAGAGTAATATTTCTGATACTCTAAGCCACCCAGCTGATGGTAGTTTATAGTAACCCCCAAGAAAATAAATACAATTCCCAAAAAGTAATTTAAGTAATAATTATAAGTGATTAATATAGATTTTTGTGATTAATCTAAATTTTTCCCACATTTTTGTTCATGTCATGTATAATTGGCATTGTTGAATGATCTTTTTGGTGGTAGGAACAGTTTAGCCCTCAGTTCTTTTTTGGACCCTGGCATGCAAACTCCTTACAAGCCAGACATTTCAGACCAGATCAGACATGTTTGGGGTGGTATGGCCGTAGACACAACCCAGACATTTCAGATCCTTTTCCTAACAGCACAATTTCAGAACCCAAAACTTCATTCCAATACCTAAAGTGGAGTTTCCTTATTTTCCTTTATCAGAGATCCTCAGTCCACTATCTCTTGGGTATTTCTATCTTGAAAGTCTTTTTAAAAATAAAAATCTGCTCCATACTTCTCTGAAATGAATACTTTTCAAACTCATCTTTATTCCCAAAGCCTCTTATTCCCCTTCCTTTCTCCTGCAACTGACTTTGTAGTTAAAACCACTGTATTACCTTTTTTTTTTCCCCAGTAATCCCATGCTGTTCTACACTTGAAAGGCTGAAGTACCACCAATAAAAGAGGCAGGGAATAACAGAAGAGAAAGCAAAGGGGAAAATGTGTATAAACTGGAAGTTTTGATAAAGGTTTATTAAAATCATAATTTTGAAGAGAATTGCCCTCTATCACCAACACTGTTAATGACAAAGTTATGAGAAGCATTGAGGGTCTTGTTGCTCTTCAAATATCAAGCTTAAAGAAAGCGTGCTATGAGGAGGCACTTAGAGGAAGCCTCACTGGGGGCAGGAGCAGACTTTGCTAATGATAGATCAGCTATCCAGACCACCCCTCCCACTTAGAAAAGTAAAAAGGTAGGAAAAAAATATAAGAGCTCATGAGATAGTAAGAAATTAGAGATCTGAAAATCAAGTGAGTGATGGGGTTCAGGCTACATTATCCCAAAATACGGCACTTTGGCATTTGAGAAAACAGAAGAAGCAAGATCACTGTCACCTTCCCCTGGCCTTTCTCCCCTGTAGCAGAGCATAAATTCCTTATTCTAGAAGAGCCATCCATATACCCAGAGGTGCTGCTTGATATTAATGGTGACAATCATTCCTGTAGTAGGTTGTATATAGTATCCTCCCAAAACGTATGTCCTCCTAGGACTTCACAATATGACCTTATTCAGAAATAGGGGCTTTGTAGAGGTAATTAGCTTAGTTAAGATGAGGTCATTCAGGATTAGAGTGGATCCTAAATCCTAGGTGTAATATCCTTAATAAGAGGACGGGAGATCTAGAGGCACAGAGGGACGAAGGCCATGTGAAAATGAGGGCAGAGATTGGAATGGTGCAGCTGTAAGCGAAAGACAACAGAGGAATTGCTGGAAAGCACCAGAAGCTAGAAAGAGGAAAGAAAGGATTCTTCCCTAGAGCCTTCGTAGGAAGCATGCCCATACCAACACCTTGATTTGGTGTTCCAAATCCCAAGATTTGGAAGGATAATCCAGATATCTTTATCTCAAAGATACCAGGGCACAAAGAAGAATCTGAACGCAGACCTCCCATTTATTACCATTAGATCATAACCCCTTTATCTTACAATCATATTTCTCCATGACTGCCCACTCATTATCAAACCTAAGCATAAAAATACACAAATTTACTTGTTTCTTTGTGTATTCACTCCCTTATGAAGGCTCTAATGTTATGTAAAACATATCCAATAAAATTTTATGCTTTTCTCTTGTTAATCTGTCTTTTTTTTTTCTTAATATTGTCCTCAGCCATGAACCTACTGATAGGCAAGGAAAAAGAATTATTTCTCCCCTGCAAGGGGCAAAAATCACAGAGACAATTTTGACATTTGAAGCTGTTTTGGGCTACACTGGTGCATTTTAAGAAATTGCTGAGGTTGGTCTTTATTATTATCCCTGGCTTTGGAGCTACCACCTTTTCTTAGATAATTTACTTTCAACGTGCACCTAGGTTATGGAAAACAGAAGCTGTTTCAGAGGAGGTTACTTCCTTGTTCCTGGAAATAGCCATATTTCAGCTGCCTTCTAAAAGCTACTTATGACCCCATTGAAGGACATTTTATGGGAGAAGGGGGAGGATAAAGGTAGAAAAAAAACTAAAAACAAAATACAATTAATAGATTATATTATAATTTCCTATCTCATTATTAATTCAATTTATAAAAATTGACATGTCAGAGCCTGCTTTTTAGGAAGGATACAAACTGTGACATTTAGTTTGATAAAACCACAAATATCCAAATGTACTACATAAATGAAGCACACTGTGGACATACCATATTTTTTAATAGTCCACAGATTTAAGCAAATTACCAACCGTAAAACTTAGGCTAAAAGATATTGGTTGAATAGAAAGAAAAAAATTCATTTATGTTTGTAATTATTTCATAAACCACCAAAAGGTGGCATCAAAATCTTAAAAAGCAAAGACCAAGTAGACTGGGTCCATTCACAAATCCACTAGAAGAGTCCTACTGGGGGCATTGTGGTGACTTATTCACACTGTTTCAAAAAAGAACATGGATTCATCAGGAATCCAATTTGTTAGAGGTTAATAACATTGAGCATTTGACTGCAGAGGCCTGTTAGAATAGGATATAGAAAATGTAAGGATAATTTAGACACCGATGAAAGAGAAGCTAAAGAATGCCAAATTCATGTGTTGCTTCTTTGGTGAACAATTTCTGTTAAAACATCATAGCAAGGTTCTGAGTATAGTGATTGGGAAAAGGATGCAACTCTAGGACCACCACACTTTCACCAAATGAGAAACTAGACAAGGCATGCCGTTGACATTTCCACATTTTGAAATAAGGTGTTTATTTATTTTCTGGCATCCTGTTGAGAAACAGTTTGGTCTTCAATTTTCTCCTCTGCATTACAAACAAAATAGAGCTTTTAAAAGGCAAAATGGGAGTTGAAGCTGATAGGACTCAAGATTTGTGCCTTTAACAACAAATTAACAATTAGCAAGAGCCATCAACAGTACTGGGAAAATCTGTACAGACAATTTAGATCATTTTCAATTGTTTCTAAATAAAATATCAGGGAACACATTCAAAAATAGCGATTCAGTAGATCTTAATATCAAACTTGCAGTCCAAAAAGCAAGAAAATATATTCCAAAACTACTTAAAACACTTAATTGCAATTATGCATTGATCTTGGAAAAACAATACTAATATTGTCCTCTATTACTAAATAATATTAATTTTTTAAAGTTAACACAGAAAAAGATACAGAGTTTGATATAACAACTGACTTCAATTACCATTCAACACATTGACTAAGCACTACCAAAATTTTGCTAAGCAAACCCTGTTGAATAGCTGTCTTAAAATGCTTCAATCAATAAGAAAGACAAAGTTTGTTTTACTTGCAGTCAAATTCTAATTCTACTTTCACTTTTTCTACAGGCTAAATAATTACAATTAACCACTGATTAATGCTGTGTTTAATGAGAAATTAAGGCATTCTTCTGTTTTCTCCCCAACCCAAAACAACACTTAGCTAAAATGTATTTCATTGTTGACAGGAAAAATAGAACAGTGAGCAAGTCTTTTTCTAAGCTAAATGCTACTCATTTAAAATTCTTTCTTTTTACATTTTAATTCAGAAATATAAAGCCCATTAAGTTTTTTCTTCAGAATTATATATGTTTTAATAGCGTACTTTAGATTTTTTATTCTAAAAAGAAAGTAATTATATGTTTTTAAATCATTCAAAATATTATTTTTTCAAAGAACATCTACAATAATCAAAATGAAATCTTTGGAGAAGCTGATGCAATTTTTTAAATAACATATTTACCTTCCATTACATTTTCTTCCTACCACATCTGATTTAATCTCATTGTTTTGCTTAACTACAAAACAATTTTAGCTGGTATAAAGTTGAGAGAAAGTATGTGGGTGATTATGAGGATCAAGTTGATGTATAAAAGCAACAATTTTAATTATCACAAGAAAATGTTTAGTGCTAGCTCAATTAACTGGGGGAAGATTGTGATCTTAAGATACTCTCTGCATTTTAACCTTTATAAACTTGGATTGAATTAACTGTTTGCCATGCAAATTAATTATCCAATTTCAGTGACAGGGTTAGATGAATGAATTTCGAACACCATTTTTTAGCACCAAATTCTCTTGTCACTATTAATTCTACTATACCACCTATCTTAACAGAAGTACAATTCAGAATGTGGTGTGGTATCAGGGTTAAAAATAGCCTTAAGGGCTAAATTGATAATCTATTATCTCCAGTGTCTTTTTTCCAATTTAAGTTTTCACTGCAAGGTGAGCAAGGACAAACAATGGTGGTGTGCTTTAAATCTTTGATGTTTATAATTATTTAATAATTTCAGTGGGTTATCCAGTCTAATATTAATAAGCAAGTTGTGATTCAAGAAAGATTGACATTTGGCATCCTCCTCACACATTCTTATGGCAACTTCATTCTCTGTGGCTCATTCTACTACCAAGTGCCTAAAACCTTTATTCTTCTCATTGATACTAAGAATTCCCCCATCATACCCACCAGGCAATATTTTCTCACTGGATAGAGTAATGCTTTTTATGACTGCCTCAAAAATTGCCTACCTTGCAATTACTGTTTCAGAAGATAAAAATGGACTCTCAGAGATGTTAAATATCTTGCCAGAGGTCACTCATCTAGTGTGACATAGAGCAAGACCTTTTCTTTCTTTTTTTTTTGAAACAGGGTCTCGCTCTGTCTCCTAAGTTGGCTCACCGTAGCCTAAACCTCCTCAAGCGATCCTCCCACCTTAGCCTTCCGAGTAGCTGGGACTACGGGCACACGCCACCATGCCAGACTATTTTTTACGTTTTCTGTAGAGATGGGGTTTTGTCATGTTTTTTAGGCTGGTCTCAATCTCCTAGGCACAAGGAAACCACCTGCTTTAAGCTACCAAAGTGCTGGGCTTACAGGTGTGAGACACTGCGCCAACCATCGCAATTCTTTTCGTAGATTATCTGATCCCATTATCTGCACACTTTCTGCTTTCTCATATTCCTTGTTTCTGATTAGAGGGAAGAAATAAAGGGTAAAAGAAATGCTTTAGGAAGATGACTCTGCACATCTTTAATGAGTATCATTCCCATAAAAGAATATGTAAATAGAAACTCCTAAGTTTTGCACTGTACAACATGAGTGATCATAGGCAGTAGCCTCATGTTGATGATGAAAGAAACAAATTGTATATATTTTGAATTTGATAATAATTAATTACTAAATTTGGAGGACTGCAGAGAAGGAGGCCTCAAGGATGATTCTGAAACATAGCTTTAGTCTTAATTATCTTTAGAGTAAGGGACACGAGAAAAATGGCAACTGTGAACGGGAAAGTAACGAATTCATCATTAGACACATTGGACTTGAGGTATACAGGGTTCCTGCAAATAGAGATGTCCAGAAAGTGAATTTGATGTCCAGTAGTTCAAAATGTGGTACTGGAGTTTGAGAAAGAGAGGGTTTCATTGGAGATTCAAATACAATACTCACAGACACAGAAGTAAGAATTGAAATCATTATGTGGCCTGAAAATAGATTATAGAGAAAGTAGGAACATCCCAAGAATGGAGCATTAGGGAAAAGATAGTTTGCTATTCAGAAAAATGAAAGGGTTAGCCAGCAAAATATTGCTATTTAATACTGATATGATTTGGGACAGTATTCCACACCGAAATCTCGTGTTTAATTGTAATTCTCAGTGTTGGAGGTGGGGCCTGCTAGGAGGTGATTGGATTATGGGGGCAGATATCCCCCTTGGTATAGTGAGATAGTTCTGCTGAAATCTGGTCATTTTAAAGCGGGTGGCACCTCCCCCTCCCCCTCTTCCGCCTGCTCCAGCCACGTAAGATGTGCTTGACTTGATTCCTTCATCTTCTGCCATGATTGAAAGTTTCCTGCGACCTCTCCAGAAGCCCAGCAAATGCCAGCGCCATCTTCCTGTACAGCCTGTGGAACTCTGAGCTAATTAAACCTCTTTTCTTTATAAATTATCCAGTCTCTGGTATTTCTTTTTTCTTTTTTTTCTTTTCTTTTTTTTTTTTTTTTGAGACTGAGTCTCGCTCTGTCACCCAGGCTGGAGTGCAGTGGCGCGATCTCGGCTCACTGCAAGCTCCACCTCCCGGGTTCCCGCCATTCTCCTGCCTCAGCCTCCCGAGTAGCTGGGACTACAGGCGTCCACCACCATGCCCAGCTAATTTTTTGTATTTTTAGTAAAGAAGGGGTTTCACCGTGTTAGCCAAGATGGTCTCCATCTCCTGACCTCGTGATCCGCCACCCTGCTTCCCAAAGTGCTGGGATTACAGGCGTCAGCCACCATGCCCGGCAGTCTCTGGTATTTATTTATAGCAATGCAAGAATGAACTAATACAAATACAGAATCAAAAACATTATAATCATATGAACCTGAACAAATGGAGAGACTTTGGAGGAGATGACACAAATACTTCTACAAAATGATACTGAGAGGAAATGGAGGATAAATTCCAAGAGGTGGTCATTAAATGTAATGAAAAGGAGCTCGCTAGGGAAAATAAAATAAATATATACCCTGAGATACATACATGGTCAGCTAGGCTCACTCATTTACCTAAGGGGTTTTTCCTACATACTAATCTCAAAATGCATCACCTCCTTTAGCCTTTGCTTCAGGCATTTTGCAGATTGGTTAAAACAATTTGATAAGGATGTTGTGAGTAGTTCAAATTTTGTCAAAATCTAGAATTCAAATGATCTACAATATCTAAAATTATATAATTCCAGCATTGAAGGGAACTGGATTTAACAATAGCAGCTGGGCAGAGAGAAATGAGGGAAGGGAAGCGAAGGGAGGGGAAGAGAGCAGAGGGGAGGGGAGGAGAGGGGAGGGGAGGGGAGGGGAAGGGGGGAGGGGACAGATGGGAGAGGGAGGCGGAGGGAGACAGAGAGAGAAGGGAGGAAGAGAGTTTCCTTTACCTTGTTGCTTTTTCCTTTGCTGTAGGAAAAGATGAAAAAAAAAAGAATTAAAAGTGGTTTGTTTTTTCTCTTTAATGTATCACTACATATAAAACAGACAAAATGTGTTTATCGCTTGTATTATCTGTGTCCCACATGAAAATGTAGGCTTTATGAGGGTACAGACTTCTGCTATTTTGTGACTTTCGTATCTCCAGCACCTCAAACTATACCTGTCAAGAAGTAAGTACTGAATAAATCTTTGTTGAATAATAAATTTCTTGACTTTGAACTTTCAAGAGCCAACGTCTCAGAGATTTAAGGGTGACTTAAAAGATTTTCAAAGTTTATTTGGTCACATACGATTTTACACCTTATTTATCGTGTTCAAAATCTAGTCCCTGCATAAGCTGGTTCGCCACCATTTTGGACATGTTTATACACAAAATCTGTGCATGTGCTTACATAATATATCTATGGCACAACACGTGGTAGGATTTCACATATACAAAATCATTTGCCAGCATACCTGTAAAGTATAAAGGAGAAACACAAACAGGAGCTTAAGGCTGAAGAAGAAAAAAAGAATAGTATTAGATTTAAATTTTAAAAATACATTAAAATCTATCTCCAATACTTTTGAATTTTGAGTATTTTTACAGCTTCACTAACATTTTTGGCAATAGATGGATCTATGAAGCCCAAAGGTGTCTCATTATGGGGTGTCCATCAAAAATTGTATCCAAAAATACACAAGTTTTAAACTATAGATTGCATATTTATATTTTGTCAGAAAACAAATTCACAGATTCTATTAAATTTCAAAAAATAAAGTTAGAAACTACTGATGGAAATTTAAACAAAAAATCATTTCTTAACTCATCCTCAGTGATTTTCATTTATGCGTCAAGCACATAGACGCTAGGAGTATATGCTAGGTTCATGCTCTGTGTTCCGGTGAGACCCTTAGGCTACAACAGTAAAAAGATGCAAACTATTCATGTCCCTTTAATTACAGTCTAGTAATATCTGTAAATGTGAAAAGTATCTAGTTTGGGATCAAATGTCTTATACGTATTTTAAAATCCTTTCTCATTTTACTTCATTGAATTTCAAATCAAATAATACCCCAATAAATTCAAAATGTATTATAAGAGCAATTCTATTTCATGTTTATAAAAATGTATTTAAAGAAAATAAAATCATACATTTCTTATTATGTAGTGTAATATCATACATTATTGATAGTCAGCTTTCCTTTTACTTGTTAAAATATGCAGCATTTGGTTCTGATATTTTAAGTGTTTTGCACATTTACAAAAATAAAATAGTCGGCACTTTAAAGTCGCTATGATCCCCAACCTCATCCTAATGCAAATGTATAAGTTGCCTTCTTGCAAATTAATGAGAAAAATACATAAAAAACAAACTCATTTGAAACCTCTCTTATTCCCTTTCACTATTCATAGTGTTTCTTTACACTTTTATAAGAGTTTTATTTTAATTAAGTGTTTAAAAATCTTGAAATGGAATCATTTGTTGCCAGAAGTGTTAGCTCTCTTCATGTTCCTAATCTGTCAGGCTCTTTGTTTCTTCATTTACAGAATATTAATCTTCAGACCATAAAACAATATTACTTTTGTGAACAGTTTTCAAATTTCATCATTATTCCTCTGATGTATGAATAGTCAGGTCAAAGATCTATCTAGAGTCCATATGAGATAATGGTTGTTGATTTCAGATTCATTTTTCCTTCTTTTCACAATTCTTGATCCCACAACATTATGGAGAAATGAGGACATCGTGATTTCATCATTTTTCTTATAATCTCTTTGCCTAGATGGCATCACAGCACCTGCATTCAGAGTAAAACATGAGTTTCTATTATAATGGAAAGAAAATTTTTTATTTGGATTTTCCCATAAGCTTATGTAACTCTGTTTTTTTACATGAGAAACTAATATTCAGGGTAAGTAATGATTGAAGGCCACTCTTACATAATGAAAACAAACATTACATAGAGAGCCCTGCCTTGCATTTATTATCACATTTGTATTTTTTTGGACAAAGGGATTTAATCAGTGAAACTCCAGCTAAATGAATACTGTTGCTAATCTCCTTTTAGATACAAAATTTGTATTTTCTGCATATATTTACTCTCTTATTGCACAACACATGCACTTAGCACACTTTAACTTCATTTGTTGTCTTACTAAAAAACATTTTAGATGTCTTAATGAATATCATATATTTTAAGTCCCACAATACGGTTATAATTACTCTATATCATTAGTGTTCATTTAGATTTACTCTCAGATTCATATTCTTTGCCTTTTCTTCTTGCTTCGTTTCGGAGATTACCTCTGAGATTATCTTTTTTTCTGCCTGAAGAATAGTTTTTGTTGTTTCTTTTTGCATTTTTGTCTGCTGGTAGTGAATTCTTTATGGTGTGTCTGCAAATGTATTTATCCCTACTTCATTTTAAAATATGTTATTGTCTACAGTGGAGAAATTCTGGCTGGCAAGTATGTGCCTTGGCATCTTGAAGATTCTCCACTGTCCTAGGCCTCTAATGTTGCTCAGTAGCCAATCATTCCTTTGAGGCTAATCTTTAGCTACTTTTAATATTTTAATGCTTTGTTTACTTCAGCAATTCTGGGAAATTCCCATCTATTATCCCATTAAAAATCTCCTTGTGCCTCATTTTGGCTATTCTTTTTTGTTGCTTTCCTCTTTTGTTGCGAGACAGGTATTACACCCTCTCTTGGTATTCTCTCTTACCCATTTTCTTGATTTTTGTATTTGTTTCTCTGCTTTTTTTCTAGCTCAGCTGTGTCTGACCTGCTAATAAAATCATACTTGGTTTTAGTTAGTATATATTTTGGTTTCATAATTTCTCATTGATTTTTATTCAAATATGCAGTATCACTTTTTATAATTTCCAGTTTCTTGCTTTAAATTCTAAATTCATTTTTCTTACTCTGAACAGACTAAGCACAATTGTATCATAATATGTATCTGAGAGTTTTCATAACCAGACTTCCTCTAGATCAACATGTATTAAATGATGATGTACTGATTCTAGTTTGTTGTCTTTGATTGTTTACTTGAATAATTATTTTCAAAAATAATTTGAGTCCTAAGATGTTGATGTATTCTTTCAGAAATGACTTCTGTTTTCTTCTACAGTAGTGTGTATGAGCAGACCAAGACCAAAACTTGAGAACTGTGTGATTTAGTTAACTACATGGCCTGCTGGAGTTAAGTCCATACCCTACCTCTTGAAGGCAGTTTCTCCAGGTTCCTGCCCAGAGCAAGAATATTAGCTCTCAACTTTCCAGCTTTCCATTTGTTAAATGATAGTTTCCCTCTCAGATGCATCCAGGACTCTGACCCTATTGTCTGCCTTTCAATGGTGTTCTTACGGTCGAAAATTCCCCTGAGAAGTGGCACATTCTTCTCTCCCTATTCTATGAGGCTGTCATCATTTTATTAAGATAATTTTAATTGGTCCTCTTCTTTAGGTAGCTTTGACAGGAGATGATCTGAATCGTCTAGTTCACCATTTCATAGAAATGGATTCTCCTCAAATATTAGTTTTTTCATAGACGCATATTTGAAAAAAGTTAACATTTAAAACATGTGTATTGGAGATCTTAAAAATATTAACAACTTTTGCCCTAAAAATTCCACTATTTATTATTCCACAGTTTATTTTAAGGAAAAAAAAACAAAACAAACAAAAGCAAACAAACAAAAATTCATGGAAACACTTTATATATACAAAGATAATAATTATAACATTTTTTAAAGAGTAAGAAAAAACGAAGTATCAAGTATGAGGGAATAGATGTGCTAATGATGCTTTATCCATATAATATAATATTATATAGCAATTAAAAAAATTTCCACAATAATTATAATACCTAAAATTCAGAATATAAAATTTCATAGACTATAAGATTAAAACTACATAAATAAAAGAAAAAGGACTATAAACCAAAATGTTGAAAGACAAATTACTAAAAATCTATAGTAATTACTTTGGAATGTATTCTTATTTATGTATTTATATGTTCTCCTAATTATAAAAAACTATACTACATTTACATTTATTAAAATATTATTTAATATCCATCTGAAAGGAAATATAGCAAAATATAATCAGTAATTTTATTTATATAATAAGAATTTCAGTTTTCTCCTCTTCTTCCAATTTCTTTGTATTTCACAAATTCTCTAAGTATGTACTGTTTCTATGATCAAAATGAAATGTACTCTAATTTTTAATTGAATGTTAAAAAAGTTTTTTTTTTCCTCTGGAAATAATGTTACATAGACTCTTCCTTCTATGCATTACATAAAATTGTCTCTAACAATAAGGTTAAGATCATCCAGAAGGATGTATAACACTCTTCAAAAAAAAAAAAGTTTTAGGCAACATGTTTGCCAGCTGGTGTTTGAGTAACAATAGTTCACACAAATAATTGACATGAACTGGCAGGAAATTTTTTTTCAAGTGTTCTTTTCAAGATAACCTGGTTTTTAAAGACTCTGCTTACAGTGTTTAAATAAGCCCTGAATTAAAAGATAATTTCATATGGCACTAATTTTCAATCATTTCCTTAATGTAGAAACATAGCTAAAGAAAGAAAAGCAGTCTTTAAAGACTTTATATTACAAGTAAAATATCAAATGCTATTTTAAAAAGAGCACATCTGGAGTATACCCTTTGTTCAATAAATACCATTATGTGTAAGAATAACTTAAATTAATTGCATAAAGGCAGTCTTCTGGCCCATATAATGTGTTCCTTTCTCTTCCAGCATCAAATCGCTCCTTGCAAGAGATCCTTAAGTACTCTATCTCTCTGTAATGGTAAAAGAAAAGGCATTTCTAATTCCTCCCATAATTGTCTTGATGTCCAAATCTAATTGTTGTCCTAATCCATCACCTCCAATTAACTCTAGCCTTGTTTCTTTAGTTGCTGTTGGCAACACTCACAATTCTGTTTCTAATGCTGCAAGAGCTGTTATGTAATATTCATCTTGCATATTAGTTATGAATCTACAGATATGATTTCGTTCACAATAATTTTCATCTACAGAACTAAAGCAAATTAACCAAAAATGCATTATGCCCTTGAATTTTTTCTTGCCTGCCCAGCCAGTTAATTGTGACCTCGGCATAAGGAAAGAATGGCTAACTGAGCTGCCGATTAGGCTACTGAGGTGGCTAAACTTGTTTGGAAAACAGAAGGTTGCTCTTTACAAACGAATCTTGTAATATTGTAATTTTTACTTTCTTTTCAAACCAATGACTTTAAAACGCACATTTGCTCACCCTTGATATTTAGATAAACAAACCAGCAAATGGCTTTAAATTCTAAGTTTGTCAAGATTTTTAATCCTGTTTTCTCACAAAATTGTTGACCAGATGGTTTTATGCCAAATTTGAATATGAAAGTTTTAAATACAAATTTTTTTTGTGACTGAAGATAACTTTAAAGATTTTATAACTTTATAAAATCAGTCTTTATTTATATCCACCTATTTGTTTGTATCTTTGTCTGAAAGGTTTTAAGATAAATGTATACGTGTGTATGTAATGAGAATAAAAAATACCAATATAATTAAATAATAAAAAAAGTGGGACAAAGGAAAAATGAGAAAAGGAAACGTAACATAAAGGAAACATGCCATCAATACATGAAGTGCCCACCAACATATTTTCCAGCTACAGAATACAAATATGACTACAAATCTTCCAGTAATTAATATGAAATAAGAAATATGGCAAGTAACATAATTTGGTAAGAAAAAAACAATGAGTTTTTTTTCTTTCTTCAAGATGGCAGACTGGAGGCAGTGTTAGCATGCCTGTCCCACTTGGAAGTATAGAATAGTGGATAGAGATTCATGCTGTGACTTTTTTTTTCCCCAAGAGCCAATGCAGGAATTTAACAGGAAACCCAAAAGAATCCATAGTTCCTTTGAAGGAACTGGCAGGTTGCAACCTACTCTGTGAGACAAGTGAAAAACTGTGAGTTCCTGGAGTATGAGATGGGGAGATTCTGCCTCTAAGCACATGTCCCCAGCAGGGAATCTGAAAATCCAGGTCAGGGAGAAGGGCTTAACCCTACCCAGAGCTGACATGCTTGAATTTAAGAAGCTGCATGAAATATTAAAGTAGAAGCAACAGCAGAAGTGTCTTGTAGTCATTCCTAATCTCCACAGTAAATGTGGGGAAGTCACTTCTGACTATATCCCACAGGGGCTCTTGAAGAAATCAGCCAGAGAACTCAGGGAGGGGTCGCAAGATGAAAGCTCCCAACTGAATTTTATGATATAATCTTGAATGGGGACAAACTCCCTTGACCAGAATCTGGGGGCCAGCAGGAAGTGTGCTGCAGACATGAACACAGAAGCTCGCAGCTCAGCTTTATGGGCAGAAGGGGAGGAGTGTGGCCTGAAAGCTGTGCTTGCTATCTATGCAGGGAAGCTCATGGCCTGGGGCAGGTCTGAATTCTGTGAGCAGACTTCCTGGATTTAAACCTAGTAATTATTAAGGGAGCACTGTGGGAGTGAGACCAGCCTCACCAACTGCGTGGGAGCTGGGTGGGGCTTTCTGCTGACTGCTTCTCCCCACTCCCACTCCGTTTGTGAATATTTCTGAGCAGCAGAGGTGTTACAGGTAGTTAGACAGGCATGAGTGAGGCAGGAGTGGGCTACCCCCCCAACCCACTAGGAATATCAGGTGGTAATTCAGCAACTACCACATTGCCTCTTTAAAAGTGATAAATTGGCAGCCTGTGCCAAGAAGAAGCCATTTCCTGATATCCCCACCTGTTGCACTTAGGTGTTCATTGAATGCAGGTGCCAGGGAGAAGCAACTTCCTGGGCATTTGCATTGTGACACAAAATGGTGGAGTGTGACTTTCTGGGGACATTCCATTGGAAAAGGAAAGATAAGCCTCAGATGGACATGCATACAACTTCCTAAACACACTGCGTGTGTTCACTTCCCACACGTGAGAAGGGCACTGTGCAAGCAGACAGCCCATTCTAAGGGAGGAATCATGGGAAAGAGGCCAGATCCTTGTCTGATATGAATAGCTGGAACACTAGGACAGGAGCGAGGCTGGAAGGGAGGTGGATGGCTTTCCTGCTGCCCTGGCAGTGGAGCTGAGGTAGATCCCACCCATCACTCCCTCAGCCACCTTCATCAAGGCTGGGACCTCTGCCCACTATTGGGTAATACATCCACCCACTTGCTTTAGCTATAACCAGTGCCTACCCAGGGATATCTCCCTTACTGGCCTGAAGCCTGAATCATCAAATCAGCAAATAAAATACTGGGGAAAAATTAAATAAATAAATAATATATACACCATAAGAGAATGAGACAAGCTTCAAGAGATCCCTAAAATTCCAACCGCATAACAGACAGTGAACTTGCTCACACGACAAGTACGTACATTACAATCAGGATCTGGGAAAGTCAGTGCACAAAGACTCTTTATAACTAAGGAACTCATATAGCATCTTCACCCCTAAAAGTACCAAGAATCAAATTAGGCTATAATAATAATAAACACTAAAGTCAGATCCTTAAGAGGGAAAAAAAGAAATTAAAAAGTATATAGTGAAATCAAAAATAAATTCAAGAACAGTTTGAAGAAATAGTCTACCCAAATGGGAAGAAACCAGAAAAGTAATTCTGGCAATATGACTAAACAGGGTTCTATAACACCCCCAAATTCCACAGCAATGGATCCAAATGAGATAAAATCTTTGAAATGCCAGATAAAGAATTCAGAAGGTTGATTATTAAGCTCCTCAAGGAGATGCCAGAGTGAAGCGGGCCTGCCCCTCCACACCTGTGAGTATTTCTCGTCAGGTGGGATGAGAGACTGAGAAAATTAGAAAAGAAATAAGACACAGAGACAAAGTATAGAGCAAGAACAGTGGGCCCGGGAACTGGCACACTCAGCATGTGAGGACCTGCACTGGCACCGGTCTCCGAGTTCCCTCAGTATTTATTGATTACTGTTTTCACTATTTTTGCAAGGGGGGTGCAGCAGGAGAACAGGGTGATGGTGGGGAGAAAGTCAGCAGGAAAACATGTGAGTAATGGAATCTGCATCATAAATAAGTTCAAGGGAAGGTACTGTGCCTGGATGTGCATGTTTCTCTTTACCCAAACATCTCAGTGTAGCAAAGAGTAACAGAGCAGTATTGTTGCCAGCATATCTCGCCTCCAGCCACAGGGCAGTTTTCTCCTATCTCAGAATAGAACAAACAGTTGGCTTTATACTGAGACATTCTGCTCCCAGGGACGTGCGGCAAACAGAGTCCTTCCTCTTATCTCAACCACAAAGAGGCCTTCCTCTTTTACTAATCCTCCTCAGCCCAGACCCTTTATGGGTCTTAGGTGTTGGGCTGGGGGACCGTTAGGTCTTTCCCTTCCCACGAGGCCATATCTCAGGCTGTCTCAGTCGGGGGAAACCTTGGACAATACCCAGGCTTTCTTGGGCAGAGGTCCCTGCGGCTTTCCGCAGTGCATCGTGTCCCTGGTTAATAGAGAATGGAGAATGGCAGTAACTTTTACCAAGCATACTGTCTGCGAACATATTGTTAACAAGGCACATCCTGCACAGCCCTAAATCCCTTAAACCTGGATTCAATACAGCACATGTTTCTGTGAGCACAGGGTTGGGGCTAAAGTTACAGATTAACAGCATCTCAAAGCAGAAACAATTTTTCTTTGTACAGATCAAAATGGAGTTTCTTATGTCTTCCTTTTCTACATAGACACAGTAACAATCTGATCTCTCTTTCTTTTCCCCACACCAGAGGAAGGTGAAAACCAACATAAAGAAATCCAGGATATGAATGAACAATTTTCAAAAGAGATAGACATCATAAAGAAAAGTCAATCAGAACTTTTGGAAATGGAAGACACACTCAGAGAAATGCAAAATGCGGTGAAAAGTTTCAACAATAGATAAGAACAAGTAGAAGAAGGAATTTCAGAGCTCAAAGACAATGCTTTTGAGTTAAGCCAATCAGACAAAGTTAAAGAAAAAAGAATTTAAAAATAAAGACTAGTGTCTTAACAATGTGGGATTATGTAAAATGGCCAATATAGGAATAACTGGTGTTCCTGAGGGAGAAGAGGAGTCTAAAAGTTGGAAAAATTTATTTGAAGGAATAATTGAGGAAAACTCCCCTAGCCTAGTTAGAGATCTAGGTATCCAAATACAAGAAGCTCAAAGAACTTCTGGGAAATTCATTGCAAAATGATCATCACCAAGGCACATAGTCATCATGCTATCTAAAGTCAACATGAAGGAAGAATTTTAAGAGCTGTGAGACAAAAGCTCAGGTAACGTATACAGGCAAACCTATCAGGCTAACAGTAGATTTCTCAGCAGAAACCTTCCAAGCCAGAAGGGATGGAGGTCCTATCTTTAGCTTCCATAAACAAAATAATGGTCAGCCAAGAATTTCGTATCTAGCAAAACTAAGATTTATAAATGAAGGAGATACAAAGTGTCTCCTTCAGACAAACAAATGGTAGTGCAAATTCCCTCAGGCAAACAAATGCTGAGGGAATTTGCCACTACCAAAACCAGTACTACAAGAAATGCTAAAAGGAGTTCTAAATCTTGAAAGAAAAGCTTGATATGCACCAAAATAGAACTTCCTTAAATCACAAATCTCACAGGGCCTATAAAACAATAACACAATGAAAAAAAAAGTATCTAGGTAACAACTAACATAATGAATAGAACAGTACCTCACATCTCAATATTAACATTGAATGTAAATGGCCTAAATGCTCCATTTAAAAGATAGAGAATGGCAGAATGGATTAAAAAAAATGCCAACCAAATGTCTACTTCAAGAGACTCATCTAACTCATAGGGACCCATATAAATTTAAGGTGAAGGAGTGGAAAAAGATATTCCATGCAAATGGAAACCAAAAGTGAGCAGAAATAGTTATTCTTATGTCTGACAAACAGACTTTAAAGCAACAGTAGTAAAAAAAGACTAAGAAGGACACATATAATGATAAAATAATTAGTCCAATAAGATATCACAATCCTACATTTATATGAACCTAACACTGGAGCTCCCAGATTTATAAAACAATTACTACTAGGCCTAGGAAATGAGATACACAGCAATACAATAATAGTGGGCGACTTCAACACTATACTGCCATTGAGAGAAAAAGTCAACAAACATGGACTTAAACAATTGTGAGAATTAACAAAATGATGCCATTTTTCTACCTTGGTGGCTGTGTTTCCTACCTTGGTAACAGTGTTCCCAAAAACAAGGCAAAAGTCAACCTCGCCCATACCTTTAATAGAACATAACAACCCTGACTACGATGAAGCCTGTCCGGCCCTTACCACATCCTTACCCAGCCCCCTATGCTTCCAACCTGCCAGCACTTCTCCAACCCTTCCCCTATAGAAACTTCATTATAAAAACTCAACTTGTAAGTGATCAGGGTCTCAGCCAGATTCCTGACTGGAATCCCTCGAGGGCTTATTCTTGTAAATAAACCTGTTTGGCCTATGAGTTGCCTTCTCTCTCACTTCCTTTCTTCAAAAATCTTCCCAACAACTATACTCTAGAAAAAATAGACCTAACAGATATTTACAGAACATTCTACCCACAACTGCAGAATATGCATTCTTCTCATCAGTACATGGAACATTCTCCAAGATACATCATATGATAGGTCACAAAACAAATCTCAATAAATTTAAGAAAATCCAAATCATATAAAGTATCTTCTCAGACCACAGTGGAATAAAACTGGGAATCAACTCCAAAAGAAATCCTCAAAACTAAATAAACACATGGAAATTAAATAATCTACTCTTGAATTATCTGGGGTTAGCAATGATACCAAGAAGAAATTTACAATTCTTTGAAATAAATGATAATAGCGACACAACCTATCAGAACATCTGGGATATAGCAAAAGTGGTGCTAAGAGGAAAATTCATAGTGTTAAATGCCTGCATCTAAATGTCGAAAAGAGCACAAATTGACAAACTAATGTCACACCTCAAGGAACTAGAGAAACAAGAGCAAAACAAACCCAAACCCAGCAGAAGACAAGAAATAACAAAAATCAGAGCAGAACTAAATGAAATTGAAACAAAAAAAATACAATAAATAAAATTGAAAGCTAGTTCTTTGAAAACATAAACAAAATTGATAAATCATTAGCAAGATTAACCAAGAAAACAAGAGAGAAGATCCAAATAAGCTCAATTAGAAATGAAACAGGAATTATTATAACCAATACCACAGAAATACAGATCATTCAAAGCTACTATGAACATCTTTATGCACACAAACTAGAAAATCTAGAGAAAATGGATCATTTCCTAGAAATATATAACTCCCCTAGATTAAATCAGGAAGGAATAGAAACCCTGAAGAGACCAATAACATGCAGCGAGATTGAATCAGTAATAAAAAAAATTAAATTGCCAACAATAACAAACACGTCCAAGACCGGATGGATTCACAGCTGAAATCTACCAGACATTCAAAGAATTGGTACCAATCCTACTAAAAATATTCTAAAAGATAGAAAAAGAAGAAATCCTCCCTAAATCATTCTATAAGGCTAGTATTACCCTAATACCAAAATCAAGACAGGACATAACAAAAAAAAGAAAACTACAGACCAATATCCCTGATGAAGAGAGTTGCAAAAATCCTTAACAAAATACTAGCTAACCAAATCCAATAGCACCTCAAAAAGGTAATATATCATGATCAAGTTGGTTTCATCATAGGGATTTAGGAATGGTTTAACATATGCAAGTCAATAAATATAATATATCACATAAACATAATTAAAAACAAAAACCATATGTGATCATCTCAACAGATGTAGAAAATGTATTTGATAAAATCCAGTATCCATTTATGATAAAAACCCTCAACAAAATAGGCAGAGAAGAGATTTATTTCAAAGTAATAAAGGCCATATATGACACACCCACAGCTGACATCATACTGAACAGGAGAAAAGTTGAAAGCATTCCCTCTGATAACTGAAACAAGACAAGGATTCCCACTTTCATGAATTTTATTCAACATAGTACTGGAAGTCCCAGCCAGAGTAATCAGGCAAGAGAAATAAATTTTTAAAAAATCCAAATTGAAAAAAATTAAGTCAAAAACTGTTGCTGTTCACCGATGATATGATCTTATACCCAGAAAACCCCAAAGACTCATCCAAAAACCTCCTAGATCTGATAAATGAATTCACTAAAGTCTCAGGATACAAAATCAACATGCATAAACCAGTAGCACTGCTACAATGACCAATAATGACCAAGCTGAAAATTGAAAATTAAATCAAGAACTCATTCCCTTTTACGACAGCTGCAAAATAAATAATAAATAAATAAATACTTAGGAACATACTTAACCAAGGAGGTGAAAGATCTCTACAATGAAACCTGCAAAACACTGCTGAAAGAAATCATGGATGACACATACAAATGGCAATACATGCGTGTCATGCTCATGGATGGAAAAATCAATATTGTGAAAATGGCCATAGTGCCCAAAGCAATCCATGGATTCAATGAAATTCCCATCAAAATACCATCATCATTCTTCACAGAAATAGAAAAAATAAATCCCCAAATTTATATGGAACCAAATAACAGCCTGCATAGCCAAAGCAATGCTAAGCAAAAAAAAACAAATCTGGAGGCACCACATTACCTGACTTCAAATTATACTACAAGGCTATATTTACCAAAACAGCATGGTACTGGTTTAAAAATAGGCACATAGACAAATGGAACATAATAGAGAACTTAGAAATAAAGCACAATACTTATATCTAATTGATCTTTGATGAACCACACAAAAACTGAGTTGTGGACTAAAGAGCTGTAAGCAAAGTTTTTACTTTACGTAATTACTCACAATTCATATATCATGAAAACTGAAATTTAAACTGTGTTGTTGGAGGACTGTTGTTATTTAACTAAAATGTGGCAATTTAAATTAAACTGTGTTTTTGGGGACTGGTCCACAACTCAGTAAGTTAATGTTTGATGTACATCATGATCAGTCACCAACCATGACACTTGTTTCAAAATGTGTTGGCAATTGATTTCGGAGCATCTATTAACAGGTCCACAACCAGGCAGCAAAGTGTAGCACTGTGTTGCCTCCCTGTCTCCCAGTGGTAAATCTATGCTACGTTTTATGGAAAATGGAAAATTGAAAGAGAGAAATGACCAAAAAAGATAGAAGTGTAGCAAAAAGAAGGAGGAAGATGAAGAAAAGTGAAGATGCTGGAAGTGAAATTCAAATAGAATGTAAATTCAAAGAATCAAATTCAGATAGAATTTGATTTGTTAAATGATATACAAGTTTATTATTAAAGGACTAACTGTCATAACTAACATATATTGAAGGCTTACTACCTCTCAGCACTAAGTGCTTTACATACCCAAACAATTATTTACACTGCATACTAACACAATACATAACTGACTGTGAGAATGTTAACACTGCCATTCAAGAGACATGTAGCCAAAGAAAACTATTATTGTAAAGGTGAACTTAGTGACATAAATGAGGAAAGTTGTTGTGATTAAAACGATGAACATGTCCCAGATAAGGTGACACTCATAAAAACTTCACAGGAACTCTCAGAGATATTCTATAACATTTTAAGCACAAAGGGTAAAATGTTGGAAGCTGATTCAAACTTGAAAAGGAGTAAGATAACTTACCAGAGCATGAAAAAATATCATTTTCTCATCATAACTTATACAAAAAGAAAAAAAGAAAAGTTTTTTAGGAAAGAAATAGAACACTTTGGTTCTCAATGTCTCTAAGGTTTTAAATTATGATGTACTAAGTAAATATTAGTTTTACTGAGTTTTTGCATATCTATACATCTATAATCAACATTAAGAAAGTTTTTACTGTTTGGATAGAAAATTTTAAAGGTCACAGAAAATCGGAATAGTCCTACTCATTAATAAAATTACTTTACATGTTTGGGTATTTTATTTTTATAGTCCTAAAACTGCCACAAAGAGAGAACTACTTGTATTAAAAATACCAAGTAAGCAAATAAACAAATTAGCTATACTATAATATTGGTAAAATTCAAATAAATATTGCATATGAAAAAAGGATTCTGAAGTATTATAAGAAAGTCAGAAAATATAAAAGTATATTCATTTTAACGGTATTAACAGCTTCCTCAAAAGTAACATAAGCAAAATTAAAATACAGCATGTGAAATGCAAAGACTTAGCTAATAACTAACATGAGGAATTCAAATAATAAAATTTACAAATAGGTCAAGTGATAAATGGGCTATCAGAGAAGAAAATAATCTTTAGAAAGGAAGATTGTGGTTGCAAGTAACTAAATTATAATGAAGCTTGCACAAATTGAAAGGAAATAATTAAAAAGCAAGATGTTCAGTCTTCATGGGAATTAAGCTTGGAGCTAGAAAGTCGAGAATTATTTATTCATAATAAAATTTGGGGTGATCTCAAAATAGTAATCATTCAGCTATAACTTAACAGTAAAGCCCATTCATTAAAAGTAGTATTTTGAGCTCTCCCCTCTCCCCTCTCCCCTCTCCCCCTCCCTCTCCCCACAGTCTCCCTCTCCCTCTCTTTCCACAGTCTCCCTCTGATGCCCAGCCTAAGCTGGACTGTACTGCTGCCATCTCGGCTCACTGCAACCTCCCTGCCTGATTCTCCTGCCTCAGCCTGCCGAGTGCCTGCGATTGCAGGCGCGCGCCGCCACGCCTGACTGGTTTTCGTATTTTTTTGGTGGAGACGGGGTTTCACTGTGTTGGCCGGGCTGGTCTCCAGCTCCTAACCGCGAGTGATCCACCAGCCTCGGCCTCCCGAGGTGCCGGGATTGCAGACGGAGTCTCGTTCACTCAGTGCTCAATGGTGCCCAGGCTGGAGTGCAGTGGCGTGATCTCGGATCGCTACAACCTCCACCTCCCAGCCGCCTGCCTTGGCCTCCCAAAGTGCCGAGATTGCAGCCTCTGCCCGGCCGCCACCCCGTCTGGGAAGTGAGGAGCGTCTCTGCCTGGCCGCCCATCGTCTGGGATGTGAGGAGCCCCTCTGCCTGGCTGCCCAGTCTGGAAAGTGAGGAGCGTCTCTGCCCGGCCGCCATCCCATCTAGGAAGTGAGGAGCGCCTCTTCCCAGCCGCCATCCCATCTAGGAAGTGAGGAGCGTCTCTGCCCGGCCACCCATTGTCTGAGATGTGGGGAGCGCCTCTGCCCCGCCGCCCCGTCTGGGAAGTGAGGAGCATCTCCGCCCGGCAGCCACCCCATCCGGGAGGGAGGTGGGGGTCAGCCCCCGCCAGGCCAGCCGCCCCGTCCGGGAGGGAGGTGGGGGGGTCAGCACCCCGCCCGGCCAGCCGCCCCTTCCAGGAGGTGAGGGGCACCTCTGCCCGGCCACCCCTACTGGGAAGTGAGGAGCCCCTCTGCCCGGCCACCACCCCGTCTGGGAGGTGTACCCAACAGCTCATTGAGAACAGGCCATGATGACGATGGCGGTTTTGTGGAATAGAAAGGGGGGAAAGGTGGGGAAAAGATTGAGAAATCAGATGGTTGCCGTGTCTGTGTAGAAAGAAGTAGACATGGGAGACTTTTCATTTTGTTCTGTACTAAGAAAAATTCTTCTGCCTTGGGATCCTGTTGATCTGTGACCTTACCCCCAACTCTGTGTTCTCTGAAACATGTGCTGTGTCCACTCAGGGTTAAATGGATTAAGGGCGGTGCAAGATATGCTTTGCTAAACAGATGCTTGAAGGCAGCATGCTCGTTAAGAGTCATCACCACTCCCTAATCTCAAGTACCCAGGGACACAAACACTGCGGAAGGCCGCAGGGTCCTCTGCCTAGGAAAACCAGAGACCTTTGTTCACTTGTTTATCTGCTGACCTTCCCTCCACTATTGTCCTATGACCCTGCCAAATCCCCCTCTGCGAGAAACACCCAAGAATGATCAATTAAAAAAAAAAAAATTTAGATAATCAGGAGAAAATTGGCATACTCACGAGCACTGTTTGAGATACTGCAAATTAGTACAATGTTTGAGAAAGAAATTTGTCAATGTATAACAAACACTTAAAAATGTGTTTCTTATGACCCAATTTCACATTTAGAAATTAATTTTTAGGAAATAATTGTAACTTTATGAAAAAGTTAACATATGAGGATGTTCATTTTTATGCTATTTATAATAATAGAGAATGAAATTAATAACCAATACTCTATAAGAGAATAAGTGGTTATATTCTTACTTAATGAAATATCATTCATTTTATAAAATTCATAGAAATCTTCCAGTTCTTCTCTATAGACATGCAATGCCCATGTGTAATAACATGGAGAAAGGTATAGGTTCTTTAATTTCTCTCTGAGAGAATATTATAAGTGGTAGGAAGAATCTGGTAAAAATCACTTAAGATAAAAGAATAACTATAAAGCAGGACTGCTCAAATTATATGTGGTAAAGGACCAGTTGTGTTGCTATTGTTGTTTTTGTTAATCCTAGCTCATTGTAGGCCAATATTTTAAAAATAAAGTTAAAAGAATTAATAGAAAAATAAAATAAAACAGCACTAAACTGACGTGCTTAATTTTTAGATTCAATACACAAAAATTGCTTAGTCAAATCACCGCACAGGTTTCTAAACACTTACTCTCAATTTCTGTGCTTATCACAGACTTATAACAACCAATTTAATTTACAGACCACCAAACTGTGGAACACGATTTGAGTAGCATCAAAATAGTACATTATATGACTGCTTTCTGAAGAGTGTTGGTCTTGTAAACGGCAAAGCTTTTGATTTGTTAAAATGGTATACAAGTTTATTATTAAAGGACTAATTGTCGTAACAGATATTGAAGGCTTACTCCCTCTCAGTACTAAGTGATTTACATACCCAAACAATTATTTACACTGCATAATAACCATGTGAGTAGAATTATTCCATTCATTTTACAGATACATAGAAGTTAAGTAACGATCCTAGGGACATACAGCTAGTCAGCAGCCAACCTGGGATTTGAACAGAGACGTTATGACTGTGAATCCACTGGGAGCCACTGTCCCTTGTCATCCCATACCACATTGTCTCTGGGGACAAAGCTGAACTGCTCACATCTGTGGAATAGAGGCTAAGCATCATATCTGGAAAGATAGCAGTCTACTGGCAACGGCAAGAGAACTCACAGATGCACCTGAGAAGATGAATGAATAGAATTTAATGGGGGATTGTGCTGGAAACTCCTCTGTCTATTCTGTGATGTCTTTGATATATTTGAGACTCCCCACCTCCAAAATTATTGAGTATAATTGGATGTATGGGGAAAGTAAAGAAAGGGCTGACATGTATTTCAATGTTTAGTTGTCACTGTTCTTCATAGATTGCAATATACATAACAGACCAAAATTAACTGTGTTAAAAGGTTACAGTGTTTTTTAAATGAGGGTAATATTCTTTTATTTATGTATTTATTTATTTATTTATTTACTTATTTTTCTGAACCTCAGATACAGAGAGAGAAAATCAATCATGTGTCTCAGTTCATGACAAAAGTGATCTGGGCAAGGCTCTTGTTTTGTTTCATGTTAATATTTATTTCCCTTTGTCTCAGTTGCCTACTGCCATTTCTCTGCTCAGCAAAAAGGCAAACATTTTAACATATTTCTCATATAGAAGGGTATGTGTGCAGGCGCATGTGTGTGTATACATACATACACGTATGTGTGTACGTACATACACGTATGTATGTGTGTACGTGCATACGTGTGTGTATGTGTGTATACATGCATACATATGTGTGTATGTGTGTGTGTATACATGCATACATGTGTGTGTGTGTATACATGCATACATATGTGTGTATGTGTGTGTATGTGTGTATACATGCATACATATGTGTATATGTGCATACATATGTGTGTATGTGTACGTATACATGCATATATGTGTGTGTACATGCATATATGTGTGTGTGCATACTTGCATACGTGTGTGTGTATGTGTGCATACATATGTGTGTGCATACATATGTGTGTGTGCATGTGTGCGTGCATACATATGTATGTGTGTGTACGTGCATATATATGTGTGTATGTGTGTATGTACACACATACACACATACATATAATCCTTTTATTTGCTTGTGTTCTTGTGTAATAGGAATTTTGTGTTTGTATTTTAAACTTGTTTTTCTCAATGACTTGTTTCAAGATCTACCTACCTCACAGCTTGTACATGTTACTCATTGCTTCTGAATATGCCACACTGTCCATCCAGAATGCATTCTAACTGCAAGTGCTCTTTTTCTCTTGAAGCTCTGGGTCAAAATAATAATAACGTGCTCACCTAAAATAAATCAATTTAACAGAAAGGAAAATATTTTTATGTAAAATTAAATAAGCAAAGCTCTGTAGTGGTCTTCAGATTTTTTATATTACATGCTAACATACATAAGAAAAGTTAAGATTTATTATCATGTTTTGGTGAATTAAAATAATCAAGTGGTTTTACTTATATGACCCCAGGATTATAAGTCATTATTTTTCTATATGTAAGATTCTGGAAGCATAAGATCATTATGTATACATAATTTTACAGATGTTCATGGCATTTTTAGAGAGTTACTTACAGTGTTAAACAACCCAGTTACAATCAAACTAATATTTTAGATATGCTTAGGATTCTGGAAAAACATGATTTAAAATGCTTTAAATTCAGTAAATTTTGACAACGGGACTTGATGGGAAAGTACTTGGATAATTGAACCCACCTATAAAATCTTGATACAGGAACAGAATAGTTAAATTGAGATAAACCTAATTGAAATCTTTAAACAATTACCAGAGAGTCTAATTTCATTTGAGTATAGAGTATCAGTGTCCAACATTGTTTAAAAATGACTTTAAAAAATAATATTTAGGCTGGGAGTGGCGGATCATGCCTATAATCCCAGCAATTTGGGAGGCAGAGGCAGGCTGATCGCCTAAGGCCAGGAGTTCAAGACTAGCCTGGCTAAAATGGTGAAACCCCGTCTCTACTGTAAATACAAAAATTAGCCAGGCTTGCTGGCAGGCGCCTGTAATCCCCCCAACTCAGAAGGCTGAGGCAGGAGAATTATTTGAACCCAGAAGGCAGAGGTTGGAGTGTGCCAAGATGGCGCCACTGCGCTCCAGCCTGGGCGAAAGAGTGAGGCTCCATCTCAAAAAACAAACAAGATAATAACAATAATAATAAATAATGTGTGGTAAGGAAATTATTTTATATTATTCATTTTTGTTTCCTATTATAAAAAGAAACTGCTTAATGACATTAAGAAATTGACTACAGGTAAATGAGAAATTAGCAGTAGTGCCTGGATTAAAAGTTATTGAGCCCCACCAAAGTGTAGGCCCTAGGAAGACAGAAGATACTGATCCTTGTTCATCCAGCTCCTACCATCCAGCTGGGCATATTGTGTACATCCAATAATGTTTGATGATCCAATGGATAATTTAGCTGCTTTAGTAATACTACCCATGAGATTTTTAGGATTTTAGAAGAATAAAAAATGTACAGAACTTGGGGCAAAGGAAGTATGTAATCTTTGGAGATTTAATAGTAAGTGATGAAACGAACACACAGTCAAAATAAATCTTAGGTGAAAAATAAATTTAATATATACACAGGAAAAGCACTATATACATTCCTTAAATTGCTAATAATTTAATATTAATATTAAATCTGGTATTAATACATAGGCATTTGATGTATTAAGTACATTCTATCCTGAGTAGAAAATTATAAATTTATGATACGCTATTTTTATTATAAAACAACACTCTAGGCCCCACAATTTTGTTTTTATTATTGTTTTTTTCTATTCAGAGTAATGAGAAAACGCTAGCCCACCCACAAACTTTCTGGTATCTACTGAATCTTGGTTAATTTTTTTTTTTTTTCTGGTGAGAAATGGTACGAAAGAATTTTGAGAGCCCAGTGATACGGCTCTGTTGTCTGGGGAAACACCCAGGGTCCTTGGTCTCCTGCGGAGAAAATTAGCAACACGGACACACGTGGAGTGGATTAAGCAGTGGAAAGATTAGTAGCCAAGAAAGAAGAAAACAGCTCCCCCATACAGGAGAAGGAGGGCGCCCAACGGAATAACCCCGCCTGAAGCGAAAGCGGTCCGTTATGTTAGGAGGCTCCAGGAGGCAGTGTTTGATTTGCATAGGACCCAGGGGTTGGTTTGACCAGGTATCTCATTCACTTAGCCTTGGGGAAAAAAACTGGCTGTCCCCCCCACCCTAGCTTTTTATTATGCAAATCTGGCTACCTGGCGCAAGTGGCCTTGACCTGGATGCGCGCCATAATGTCCGCACATGTGGCAACAAAGAAAAAGTAGAGGAAATCACCATATTAGGTAGACCTGACTCTTAGCCGCCTGCATATACGTATGTAAGCCCGTGGCTTTCATATCAATGCTTGCAGGTCTGGTTTTTCAGGCCACTTTCTGTTAGAAACAAAATGTTTTGGGGGCTGCTTTTTTCTTAAAAGAAAAAGCCTTACGGAAGACTCTTTTAACCTTTCTAACTGCCTAAATTAATTTCTTGATAACTCCTATAATACCGGCACAGTAGCTCTTGCCGGTAATCCCAGCTACATGGAAAGCTCAGGTGGGAGGATTGCTTGAGCCTAGAAGTTCAAGGTTGTAGTGAGCTATGATCCCACCACTGCACTCCAGTCTGGGCGATAGTGTGAGACCCTTTCTCTTAGAAAATGAAATAAAAAGAATTTTGAAACCAGTAGTTACATATAAGCATGGGATAGCATGAGGATCAAAAGATTACATGAATTGGTATGATTAGTGTCTTCCTTTGATCCACTGTCTTTTCAGATAGTGATAGACGATCAGTAATTAAGTTTCTCATTGCACTAATGTGCACGGTGTATCTAGCACTGTAGGTTGCGCACTATAATCAGGATCAGAGGAAGAAACAGAGAGATTGTCTTCTCTTACAGATATTAAGATCTAGGAGAAAAAAAGGTGATATCTAAATATAATATAAGATGGAAAACATGAAATAAAAGGCAAAAGTAACTTGAGAAAGGGAGAAATCACATCTGGCTAAACTGGCAAAAGAGGATTTCTTGGAAAAGGTCATACTTATATCTGTATTGAGAGTTTTATATCAAGCAACATGAATATAATATGATATATTAAGATCACAGTTACCTCACAGGGAGATCCGATGAAAGACAGTGTGAGCAGTGTAGTCAAGTTAGAAGGTCTAGGTGCTCATCTTGGCACCACTGCATGGGATATGTCACCTTGGGCATATCTTTATTTTGGCCAAGCCTCATTTTCCTGATTAAAAATGGATAATAAAAGTCTATACTACCTTGATTGGAAGTCAAGAGGAATAGCATTGACAAGAGGAATTTTATCATAGGTTATTCTCCCTACTTCTTAGAATTATTACCTTGATAAGTTGAGACAATATAAACAGTTTGCCTACTTACTGGAAAACTCTCTATATAATGTATTGTTAATAATAAGACAGTAATCTGGAGGCAAAATCCAAAACGGAATATGTTCAACTATTTTGTACTATAGTGAATGTGACATAATAGCTACAAGAGGAAACATTTTTTGGACTGCGACATCAGATTTTGAGAATTTAAATCCCAGCTTTATCACCAAGTGGCAATGGCAAGCTCTCTAATCCTTGGAGCCACTTCCTGTAAAATGGAGTTAATGATAGCTTTTATTTAATAATGTTATGAAAACTAAGAGATAATATTTTAAAAGCACTTAGCATACTATTTGTCATTATAGTAATTGATCAATATGTATTAGGTTTTGTTTATTTATTGAAAATATATATCCAAGTAGTTAAAGAATTAATGAATAGAGTAAAAGGCACCTCTTATAATCCTCTTCAATGACTAAATATTATTTTGAGAAGAATACTATACAAAGTTGGACCAAACGGTGAGTTATTTCACCATTAGTTTACAATGCAAAGTGAAGTACAGAAGAGAGGAAAAGTTGATGTTCAGTAAAGCAAACTCGCTGCCCATTAATACAAAATTTATAATGAGTGCCACATCTTAGAGTCTGGTCCTCAAGTTTGCAAACTTGGAAATTTTAGGTTTCTGAATAACAAGTTAACTCATGCTAATCAATCCATCTTAATTGAAGTTTCTTATCTGCAGTTCCACATTGAACCACATTACACAGAAAATGTTTGGAGTGACAATTTTCTTAATTGTTCCAATGAGTACCATTTTAGAGAGATATGTGAGAAGTTAATTCACAACATTCAGTGGATGTCTTGGGGCATCAGCGCCTAATTCTCTCATGATATTCCAGTTAAAAGATATATATTTTCTTTTTTGGTTGTGTCTCTGCCAGGCTTTGGTATCAGGATGATGCTGCCTCATAAAATGAGTTAGGGAGGAGTCTCTCTTTTTCTATTGTTTGGAATAGTTTCAGAAGGAATGGTACCAGCTCCTCTTTGTACCTCTGGTAGAATTTGGCTGTGAATCTGTCTGGTCCTGGGCTTTTTGGTCAGTAGGCTTTAATTACTGCCTCAATTTCAGAACTTGTTATTGGTCTATTCAGGGATTCGTCTTCTTCCTGGTTTAGTCTTGGGAGGGTGTATGTGTCCAGGGATTTATCCATTTCTTCTAGATTTTCTAGTTTATTTGCATAGAGGAGTTTATAATATTCTCTGATGGTAGTTTGTATTTCTGTGGGATCAGTGGTGATATCCTCTATCATTTTTTATTGTGTCCATTTGATTCTTCTCTCTTTTCTTCTTTATTAGTCTGGCTAGTGGTCTTTCTATTTTGTTAATCTTTTCAAAATACCAGCTCCTGGATTCACTGATTTTTTTTGAAGGGGTTTTCATGTCTCTGTCTCCTTCAGTTCTGCTCTGACCTTAGTTACTTCTTGTCTTCTGCTGGCTTTTGAATTTGTTTGCTCTTGTTTCTTCAGTTCTTTTAACTGTGATGTTAGGGTGTTGATTTTAGATCTTTCCTGCTTTCACCTCTGGGTATTTAGTGCTATAAAAAAGACTGCTTTAGCTTTGTCCCAGAGATTCTGGTTCATTGTGTCCTTGTTCTCATTGGTTTCAAAGAACTTATTTATTTCTGCCTTGGTTTCGTTATTTACCCAGTAGTCATTCAGGAGCAGGTTATTCAGTACCCATGTAGATGTGTGGTTTTGAGTGAATTTCTCAATCATGAGTTCTAATATGATTGCACTGTGGTCTGAGAGACTGTTCTGATTTCTGTTCTTTGCATTTCCTGAGGAGTGTTTTACTTCCAATTATGGTGGTCAATTTTAGACTAAATGTGATGTGGTTCTGAGAAAAATGTATATTCTGTTGATTTGGGGTGGAGAGTTCTGTAGATGTCTATTAGGTCCATTTGATCCAGAGCTGAGTTCAAGTCCTGAATATCCTTGTTAATTTTCTGTCTCATTGATCTGTCTAAAATTGACAGTGAAGTGTTAAAGTCTCCCACTATTATTCTGTGGGAGTCTAAGCCTCCTTGTAGGTCTCTAAGAACTTGCTTTATGAATCTGGGTGCTCCTGTATTGGGTGCATATATATTTAGGATAGTTAGCTCTTCTTGTTGCATTGATCCCTTTACCATTATGTCATTCCCTTCTATGGTTTTTGTTTTGTTTTGTTTTTTGTTTTCTTTTGTTTTGTTTTTGTTTTTTGTTTGTTTTTGTTTTTTTTTGTTTTTTTAATCTTTGTTGGTTTAATGTCTGTCCTATCAGAGACTAGGATTGCAACCCCTGCTTTTTTTGCTTTCCATTTGCTTGGTAAATATTCCTCCATCCTTTTATTTTGAGCCTATGTGTGTCTTTACACTTGAGATGGGTCTCCTGAATATAGCACACCGATGGGTCTTAATTCTTTATCCAATTTGCCAGTCTGTGTCTTTTAATTGGGGCATTTAGCCCATTTACATTTAAGGTTCATATTCTTATTTGTGAATTTGATCCTGTCATTATGATGCTAGCTGGTTATTTTGCCCATTAGTTGACACAGTTTCTTCATAGTATTGATGTGCTTTACAATTTGTTATTTTTTTCAGTGGCTGGTACTGGTTTTTCCTTTCCATATTTATCACTTCCTTCAGAAGCTCTTGTAAGGCAGGCCTGGTGGTGACAAAATCTCTCAGCATTTGCTTGTCGGTAAAGGATTTTATTTCTCCTTCGCTTATGAAGCTTAGGTGCTAAAATCCCATATAAAATACTGGCAAACCAAATCCAGCAGCACATCAAAAAGCTTATCCACCACAATCAAGTCGGCTTCAACCCTGGGATGCAAGGCTGGTTCAACATACGCAAATCAATAAATGTAATCCATCTCATAAACAGAATTAATGAAAAAAAAACACATGATTATCTCAGTAGATGCAGAAAAGGCCTTCAATAAAATTCAACACCACTTTGCACTAAAAATCTCTCAATAAACTAGGTATTGATGGAACATATCTCAAAATAATAAGGGCTATTTATGAAAAACCCACAGGCAATATCATACTGAATGGACAAAAACTGGAAGCATTCCCTTTGAAAACTGGCACAAGACAAAGATGCGCTCTCCCCTCAACTCCTATTCAACATAGTACTGGAAGTTCTGGCCAGGGCAATCAGGCAGGAGAAGGAAATAAAGGGTGTTCAAATAGGAAGAGAGGAAGTCAAGTTTTCTCTGTTTGCAGGTGGACATGATTGTATATTTAGAAAACCCCATCATCTCAGCCCAAAATCTCTTTAAACTGATAAGCAACTTTAGCAAAGTCTCAGGAAAAAAAATCAGTGTGCAAAAATCACGAGCATTCCTATACACCCATAATAGAAAAACAGAGAGCCAAATCATGAGTGAACTCCCATTCACAATTGCTACAAAGAGAATAAAATACCTAGGAATAGAATTTACAAGGAATGTGAAGGACCTCTTCAAGGAGAACTACAAACCACTGCTCAAGGAAATAAGAGAGGACACAAACAAACAGAAAAACATTCCATACTCATGGATAGGAAGAATCAATATGGTGAAAATGGCCATACTGCCTGCCCAAAGTAATTTATAGATTCAATGCTATTCCCATCAAGCTACCATTGACTTTCTTCACAGAATTAGCAAAAACTACTTTAAATTTCATATGGAATGAAAGAAAAAAAAAAGCATATATAGCCAAGACAATCCTAAGCAAAAGGAACACAGCCAGAGGCATCACGCTACCTGACTTCAAACTATACTACAAGGCTACAGTAACCAAAACATCATGGTACTGGTATCAAAACAGATACATAGACCAATGGAACAGAACAGAGGCTGCAGAAATAACACCACACATCTACAACCATCTGATCTTTGATAAACCTGACAAAAACAAGCAATGGGGAAATGATTCCCTATTTAATAAATGGTATTGGGAAAACTGGCTAGCCATATGCAGAAAACTGAAACTGGACCCCTTCCTTACACCTTACACAAAAATTAACTCAAGATGGATTAAAGACTTAAACGTAAGACCTAAAACCATAAAAACCCTAGAAGAAAACCTAGGCAATACCATTCAGGACATAGGCATGGGCAAAGACTTCATGACTAAAACACCAAAAGCAATGGCAACAAAAGCTAAAATTGACAAATGGGATCTAATTAAACTAAGGAGCTTCTGCACAGCAAAAGAAACTGTCATCAGAGTTTACAGGCAACCTACAGGATGGGAGAAAATTTTTGTAATCTATCCATCTGACAAAGGACTAATATCCAGAATCTACAAGGAACTTCAACAAATGTACGAGAAAAAAACAAACAACCCCATCGAAAAGTGGCCAAAGGATATGAACAGACACTTCTCAAAAGGAGACATTTATGCAGCCAAAAAACATATGAAAAAAAGCTCATTATCGTTGCTCATTAGAGAAATGCAAATCAAAACCACAGTGAGATACTTTCTCACGCCAGTTAGAATGGTGATCATTAAAAAGCCAGGAAACAATAGATGCTGGAGAGGTTGTGGAGAAATAGAAATGCTTTTACGCTGTTGGTGGGAGTGTAATTTAGTTTAACCGTTGTGGAAGACAGTGTGGCAATTCCTCAAGGATCTAGAACCAGAAATATCATTTGACCCAGCAATCTCATTACTGGGCATATACACAAAGGATTATAAATCATTTCTACTATAAAGAGACATGCACAAGTATGTTCATTGCAGCACTGTTCACAATAGCAAAGACTTGGAACCAGCCCAAATGGCCATCCATGATAGACTGGATAAAGAAAATGTGGCACATATACAGTATGGAATACTATGCAGCCTTAAAAAAGGATGAGTTCATGTCCTCTGCAGGGACATGGATGAAGCTGGAAACCATCATTCTCAGCAAACTAACATAGGAACAGAAAACCAAACACCACATGTTCTCATTCATAAGTGGGAGTTGAACAATGAGAATACATGGACACAGGGAGGGGAACATCACACATCAGCGCCTGTTGGGAGGTAGGGGGCCAGGAGAGGGATAGCATTAGGAGAAATACCTAATGTAGATGATGGATTGATGGGTGCAGAACACCATAATGGCATGTGTATACCTATGTAACAAACCTGCAGGTTCTGCACATGTATTCCAAACTTAAAGTATAATGAAAAAAGAGAGACCTAGAGAATATATATGTTACTTAATTGCTATATCTATATTTATCTGCATACATTTCATATCTATATCTATATGTCTTTATATATCTATACCTATCTATATATCTATTTATTTACTTATTTTGTCTTTTCTTCCCTCCTTCTTTCTTTTCATCTATTTATCTATATAGATAGAGAGATATTTATAATAAGAAGTATGACTATTGAGTTTATTAACTGAACAGCATTTTCATTCCTGCAGGCAGACCTACATGAATGCCAATTATTATCAGAAAGACTGTTGTTGGAATATAAAGTAGTAGTGCCACTGAGTCATGAGGACATGATTTATTTCTCTTCCCAGTAAAGGTAGAGTTTCTGCAAAGACTGGACAATTAGTTGTAGTCCAGGGCACGTTCTCTCTCCCCTGAGCTTTAGGCGTAGAGTCATTATATGCCTTCTTGACTTTCTTTTCAATGATTTTCTAAAAACCTTTCTTCTGATTGAAGCAGCTTCTCTTTAGATATCTGTCATACATATTACTATGCTAAAAAAGTGTGCTTGACTTAAACATATGGCTTGCATGTTTTAAAGAAGGGGATTCTCTTCCCAAGGAGCTTAAAATATTTTAAAATCTCTAATTGCATATCACATTTTAGATGTGATCTTTGCGGTTATATTTCAAGCATCTCATACACTTCCTTACTTTGTTATTTCCCTTCACAATAGAATATAGAATTGACAGGCTTAGACTGAATGATCATCCATCTGAGTCAAATTCATTTTCACTTTCAGCTCTCCTATTGAGTCCCACCTTTGCTTTAGGTATATCAAGGTTATGAAACCTGTATTTTATTATTAAAACCAGCCCTCATTTTCTGGTTTTCTTTTTACTCATTTTAATAAAAGCGAAATGTATAACAGTGGTAAAGTATTTTTTTTATGATCAGAATGTTCTATTATTCAAATGACATGTAAAAGTGTTTGAAGTGTAGTCACAACCAGGAGACCCACTAGCCTGCACTCTCCTCTTTTCCAGTCAAAAAGCAAAGAAATTCCTAAGACATATTTGTAGTGCCGTAGTGTGAGGTTTAAAAAACACTGCAAAGATAGATGCTAGATACAGACATTTAGATACATAGATGAAATAGGTAAATGCCTGATCTGTAGTGTATTAATTGCAGTATGTTAGTGAAGCAGTGTATCAGTTTCCTTTTTCTGCTGGAACAAATTACCACAAATTTAGTGACTTAAGCAAGACAAATGTGTTATCTTACAATGCTGTAGGCCAGGCTAGAAGTCCAACCTGGATCTCAGTGGGCTGGTGTCAAGGTGGCAGCAGGGTTCCATTCTTTTCTGGAGACTCTAGGGTTTTGATTTCCTTTCCTTGGTTATTTGGGTTCTCGGCACAGTTCAATTTCTTGTGGTTGAAATTCCCATTTTCTTGCTGGCCGTCAGCCAAGATCTGTTCCCAGCTTCTTAAATTCCTTGACTGATGGTCCCCTTCCTCCATCTTCAAAGCCTTCCCTGGCAGCCCTGTCTCCCTCATGCTTTGAATTTCTCCTCCTTCTTTCTTTTTCATCCTTCTAACCTAGCAAGAATAGGTTCTCCACTTTTAAAAATGCATGTTATATGATTAAATCAACCAGATAATCCAAGATAATCTCCCCACCCCAGAATCTGTATTCATGCTCACATATTAAAGTAAAGTTTTCCGTGTAAGACAACATGTTTACAGGTTTCAGGGATTAGAACGTGGACATCTTAGGGATGGGGGAGAGGTTGTAATTATTCTCTTTACCACATGTAGTGTTTGTGTAGTCATTTGCATTTGCTTCTAATGTGAAGGCCTTGACCAACAGGCCATGTTGGATTTAAATAGCTCCTTTAATCAGTTTGCATCCTAGATATTATTTTGACCATTGAGGAGGCTTTGCCTACCACAGTTTGATTAATTATACACTGTTGTTTTTTCTCTGGTGAATTCCTAGAGGAGAATCTTGTGTTTTGATTTCTAATATTTTAATTGAATTTAAGTAAGAAAAACTCACAATTGCCCACATGCAATCAGCATAATAGAGGGGGTTGTATTTTAGACCATGGGTCATCAGATTAATCAGACTATTACTAGTCCTGCCAGCCATTTAGCCATTAAAACAAGTACACATACACAAAACAAGGATAGTTACTGAAGTGACAGAATTGGCCCAAAGCTAGACTGACCAAAGTTTTGAATAAACTGAAGAACCAAACTTTGACATGCTTATCTGAATGTAATTGGAAATTCAGATCTCTATACAGTCACTTATCCTTAAGTTCTAAGTCATCGCATTTCATCTGTTATTTATAATCTCATTTGTATTTCAGAAAAAAATTCAATACTTCATTACATCTCTTAATTTATATTTTACCTTTAAGATTTGGTTACTCTTTGAGCCAAGAGCACAACAATTATTCATGTGCACAGGAGTTAAGAACTGCCACCAAAGGTGGCACTCATATAACGGAGACAGAGTTGTTGGTCCAACGTTGGTGTCTGAACGGTAATTTGAATAATGAAGAAAATGACATTACTCCTGAGAATTCCAGGACAGAATCTTCCCATGGCTTCATGGCTTTGGGCCAGCCATTTCCCAGGCATAGTGAGTAACAGAGGAAGGGAAGGATATTAATAGCCCTCCTTGGGTTGCTTTTGTTAGCTTTAGTTACTAGAAGCTGACATGACTGCTACCCAAGGCAGAACTTCTATAAAAAAATCCAGCAGTGGAACACTATACATGCCTACTGTGCTAATAAGAGAGAGAAAATCTAGAAGTTTCTTTTCTCTCTCACTTGGGATACTAAAGGGCAATAGAGCAGCTATCAGCAAAAAGTCCAGAGGCGCAAATCTAGCAACAAAGAGAGAACTCAAAAGTTGCATTTCACAAATGGTAAACACATGATATGTTTTCTCTGCATTCCCTAGGGGTCAGGCTATTTCTCAAATGCCAATTCCCATCACAATTGGCGCCTTTGGCACTTCTGAAATACAGGGTGTTTGGCATTCAGCTGGGGAATTTCTGTGTTGAGGAACCAAGGACTGAAAGAAGGCAAGTGTCCAGGTCAGCTGCTGCCAATCACCATCTCCGCTCCACAGGGGTTCACTCAAAGGAGAATACAGCTCAGGTTTCCCTTTAGGGAAGTTTCTCTCTCATTGCCAGAGTTAGTCCAAGTAGGTTTTCTACTGCCCTCTAAAATCCTGACAAGCAATATGGAAGGAAAAGAGTAGCACATTTCTGAAAATAAAAAATGTGCACAAATAATGACATTATATAAGGTAAAGTCACATAACTTATTAAATACAAAGCAATGAATAACACTGCATGGGTTAGAAAATACCGTAGTTCAAAGATATTCTTTGCCAGGATTTTAATGAGTCTAAAAAATACAACACATTAATGAATGCATTGTTACATTCAAATACTTTGATTCATTTCCAAATAAAAAGAGGGGAAAACAACCTCCCATTCCCAAAAGGTCAAATTCAGGGCATATTAAAACACCTCTTTCAGGTTCATTTCATAACAAATGCATTTTAGAAATGACTAAATCAAAGTGTCATAACCCAAAGAGAAAAAATAACAAGCTCACCGGTAAACTTATCATTGCTGGAAGAACAGTGGGCTATGAGAATGATCTTTGAAACTAAAAATCTCTTTAAAGCATTATAGAATTTGCTATCAGCACAAATTGAGAGTAAAGAAATAATTACCAAAATCCAACCAGCTATAAATTTCCATCCACTGGGCAAAAATCCACATCAGAATGTGAGAAAGCACAAGAATTTGCTTCTTAAATGTTACGTTGTGCCAGAGGAATTATAAACAGCAGGCACCATCAACAATTAGATTAACAGTTTTTTTCTTTAAGAAATGGGACTGAACTCTAGCTACAACACCATTGAGACAGGCACCTGGAGGTGAGCGTAGAAATACCAACCAACTTCACAAGCAGCTGGAAAGTCTCAAAGTTCTGTGTCCTTTGTATTTTCCAAAACAGGATTGCTTACTTTCATGCATAGCTGTAGGAAATAAGACTCATTTTTAATTGTGCAAACTTAAACCAATTTGTTTGTGAAACACTAAACTATCCCATATTGAAACTGGTTTGGAAGACCTTCATATGTAAGTATAATCTATTTGGCTTGCAAAATTCACATGAAACTGCATAGAAATTCTGTATACTTTCATTGCTTCCACAATTTTCTCTCCTCCCCATTATAGGCTAAGAGGGTATATTTATGTCCTGGCAGTAAATAATTGCAGGATAATATGTGTTAGCATTGCCTTACAAATAAATATTCCCTTGAAGAACCAAACAGAGTAGAAAGGACAGGCATAATGCATTACACTTATGTAGCTTCATTGCATCATTTTATTTAAGGCCCAAGCTGATCCGCTTAGCGTGGTTATAATTTCTTTTGGTCTACACAGTGTACATTGAGTTAATGAGGTCAAGTCAACCTCTATATGGTACCCTAAGTTCATGCCATCTCTTAATAAAACATATCTTCTGGTGACGAGATGAGAAAAGGGGAATAAATTTATGTGGATCAGACTGAAATCTGGGAACATTTTAGATTTTCCCTTTTCCTCATGCCCCATATTAAATTTGATCATTGAAAATATCTCCCACGTTGGTTCTCGCCACTGCATCTCCTTCAGCTCCAGCTTTAATTCAAGCTATCATCATTTCTTATCTGGTTTGTGGAGTAATCAAACAGATCCCTCTGCCTCCCATCTGTCATCGTAATCATTCTATTCTACGCTGATACCACAGATATATCTAAAGCACATATTTAACATATTTTCTCTCTTATTTAAACCCTTTGGTTGCTTGGCTAATTCTTTGCATGTGCACATAGACAGCATTCCCATTAGTGGCATTTAACACCCCTGGGCAAGTAACAACAGGAGTCAAGTAACATATCCTAAGCTCCTGCGACTTGGAACTATCATGAGAAAAAAATTGAACATGGCTCATGGCAGGAGTCCAGACCTATGCAGACGTGTCTGACGGATTGGAAGATCTTATAGAAACCTGATTTCAGGAAGTAACAACTTTGGTTCTGAGAAGAAAATCTCCAAAAAAATAAAAAAAAAGAAAGAAAACAAATTAATCAAAGTGGAGTATACCCAACAGCCATGTTTGCTAACAACTATAAGCTAGTTTTAAGGTGTTCAATTTTTTTCATCCAGAGATGAAAAAAGATAGGATCAAAAGTCACAGATGCTCACCCTGGAAACATGTTTAAGTCACCTTTGGCCATTTTTGAAAATTCCTAAAAAGACATAAGGAAAGTGATGAGGTTCTAGTATAGGTTTTTGTCACAGCAACCTGACTGATCTTCCATCAGTTAGCATTTGTATTAGTTAGGATGCTTTGGCTGAAAGTGGTAAAAGGCTCAACTCAATATAACTTAAACAGAAAAGGTATCTGCTATCTCATAACAGGAGTCCAGATATAGGTTGGTTCCAATGTTGTTAATTCAGGGGCTCAACATCATCATCAAGAACATAGACACTGTGCACCTTTCTCCTCATCCAACGTCGGAATGTCACTTTGACCCTTTGACTTGCTCCTCATATGGGTAAAGTAGTTGCAGATAAGTAGTTGCACCTTATCATCTAAAAGTAGATAAGGTGCTTCTTTAAGATCAGAGACACTTTTCTCATTTATACACCCACATTCTTCACATCTGACTGGGTAAGCTATGTTTTAGGCTCACCCTAAACTAGTTACTAGCAATGGGAATTAGAATACCTGAGTAGTCTTAGACAAATTTCTACTTGTCCTGAATGAAACTGGGGTCTTGTTAGCCAGGACAATGTGGCAGAAATTATAGTTTTATTGGCATATATAATGTTGTCAATAGCTAGCAGTCACAAACCACTATGATCTAGGTCAGTGCTTTGCAAAGCTTAGATTCTGATTCAGTGGATCTCAGGTAGGGCCCACGATTCTGCATTCGAATACTCTTATAAGTGATGTTGCTGCCAGTCCATGGACCACACTGTAAATACCACGCATTTAGGTGACATTCATATAACTTTTTGTTTCACTGGCTTTAATAGCCTTCAGAACAAAATCCATGTTCCTTAGCATGAATGTCATACACAATTCTTCATTACACCTAATCTTGTAACAATTATTATTGCTCTTGATAACTTTAGTGCAATGTGCTCCAATATGGCCATGTTATATTCAAAGTGCTGTGAGTTTAATGCCCTATGGCTTTTTGCTCTCACATTTATCATTTCTTCTTCATACAATAGAATTTCTCATCCTTTTATTTCTATTTCCTTCCTTCTGGCTAAATCAGTTACTTTGGGAAGACTTACCTAATCCCAACTCTTCATACCTTATCATATGTTAGGTACCTCTTTTGGGTCCAATAACCCTATAATTGTAAATCACACTGTAATGTAATTATTTCTTTACATTTCTGTCTCCTCCATTAAATCGTGGATTTTTCAATGGTAAGGTTATTCTAAATATCTCATGGTTAATAAAATATCTGATAAAGGGTAAATCCTAAGTAAAACCATATTTTACAGAGTAATGCTCCTAATATCCCAAATCTTTTATACATGTCTATCTGTCTACAGAGAATGTGGTCACCACCTAATTAACATGAAAACTGGAGTTCCATTACCACATTATATACAATTACATGACATTATTTACTTTACACTTACTTTTACTCTACCTTGTTTTTCTCTTTTAATTTTTCTCTCAGCAGTACCAAGATTATACTAAATTTTTCATAAATATTTTTATAAAAATAAATAAATCCTGATTGTAAAGGAGCCCAGGTTCTACTAAGAGAACTAAGACATGCATATTATACAAATCTAACAAATGATTGAAAATGAGAAGTTCCATAAAGACAGATATATAAAGCAGCATGAGAGTTCAGAAGAAGAAAATAGTCCAGATAGGTTATCAATGAAGTTGTAGCAGACACTATTATTCACTCGTTTGTTGTTGACAGGATGTGAACAGACTTTTGGTCAATCTAATCTTGGAAGTAACATCCCACCATTTTCACCATATTCTGTTTGTTAGAAGAGAGACTCCAGGTCTAGCTCACATTCAAAGGAAGGGGATTATTCAAGGACATAAGCATAGGAGGCAGAGATCAATGGGGGCCACCTAGGACTCTACCGCACATTTACCTCCTGAGACTCATTAAAATGACAAAACAATAGCAAGCCAAAATAGAAGCACAGACTCTCCTTCTAGTAATTCAAATGTAGGTTTCTCAGAAGACAATCTGGAAGGAAAGACCAGGATTTAAAAGAAATGGTAAGCAAGAAAACTGGTGAATATGAACACATCGTAATAAGAATTGGCATTATAAAATAATAATATAAAATAATAATAATAGTTTGATGACTAATATGGAGAGTAATAAAACAGCAGACAAAATTACAAAAAGGAAAAAAAGAGTAAGACATCAATAACATATAAAAGAAGAGAGGCAACTGAAATTGAATCATTCTCAGGCTTTGTATTGTTTTAGAGTGTCCCAAGTCCAAGTATGCATATTGTGCTATAAGGGTAACCATTAAAAAGGAGACATAGGCTATGCTAATTTCAGAACATAGAATGACTGTATGGGTGTGTGTTCAAGGGAAAGAAAGTAGAAACATAAAGAAAATCAATAAAACCAAAAGAACACAGGAGACATGGGTATTGAGGGGCATGGAAAAAGCAAGATTAAATAAAAATCACAGAATGTTAGAAAAGGAATTGTTTAAATACAAGGAAAGCACAAAGTGGAAGACCTATTAATTAAGCAAAATCCAAAGATGATAGCAATTGATTAGATATGCGGGGCGGGGAAAGAGAAAAATTAAAGATTTGTATTTTTCACTAGAATAATTAGAAAGTTGACTGTGACATAATCAGTATTAGGGAATATGGGACAGGTTACTATTTAGTTAGAAAGCACGACAAGTTCAATTTTGAACAATTTGGAATTGAACAGCACTTCCAGAATTTCTAAGTAGCGTGGCCTTCTGCTTGGCAATCAGGATAGATGGATCTGGTACATCTTTGTTTTTATAGCATTTTACATAAGATTGAGAAAATATCACTTGTCCATATCCAAGGAGATTAATGTGTGTTGTGTGTGTGATTATGCATGCAGTGGGAATGAGAATGGATCTATACTTCTTTCAGGCAGCCTTTTGTTACTACTGGTTGAGTCTAAGTTGCCTATGACACATATAATGGAGCTATTCATTCAGGAAGAGTATGGAGGAATGGATGCATAGAATAATGGTACCGTCTCTTGTCAGACAGACCATGGGTTAAAACAGTTTTCCTGTTTACTAGCTGTATTATGTGGGCCAAGTTACCTAATGCTTCTAACCTTAGTTTCTTTGTCAGCATAATGACTATAAGAGCATCACTGTTATACAAATTCATTCAATTAAATAAGATAATGAATATAAATTGCATAAAACAGTGCCTGAAACACAGTGTATGATTAAGAAAACAGCTTTATTTACAAGTCAAATTCTGTTACCTTTAATGGCAATGAGAAAAATTCCAGTAAATAATATACATTCTATTCAAAATTTAGCATAAAATGAAATCACATCTTGATTTTAATTGTGTTTTTTTTTTTTTTAAATCTACTAAAAGACTAACATGCCACAATGTTTCTGCTGAAGAATCTCATCACTTGGGTCATATTTGTTAACATTTCTGAGACTGTTATTGTTGAGTCATAGAATTCCTTGACATAAATACCAGATTTCTGCTCAGAGTTAAGAAGCACATTTTCCTATTCTGTAGTAAGAGATGAGTTTGCCATGAAATCAGGACTGCAATAATTTACTCTAAATTCTTAGACAATTAATTTGAATACATCATATAGAATACATGAAATTTGTTTATTTCTACCTTTACATAAGAGTGCCAACAACTGGAAAAACTTCAATTTATATGTGGACACATAGTCTCTGGATAAAAATATAGAAAGAACATAGCCTGAGATAAAATCATGAAATTTAAGAAAAGGAACCTAATTAAATGAGAATAAAAAGAAAAGAAGGAGTCACTTCAAGACAGTGTACAGTATTGTACCAGTAAGAATACTAGATAGACTCTGACATTCAATTTCTATGAGGCCATGGATAAATCACTTACTAACATTGAGCCCCATTTTACTTCTTTTTTAAAAATGTTTTGAAATAATTTCAAACAAGTAATTTCTTAAAACAAGGACATGTTTTTTTAAAACAAATACATATTAATAATTTCTTAAAACAAAAACATATTTATACTATGATCATGCAAGACAATCTTACATAATCATAGTATAATTATAGAATTCAGGGTATTTCTCATCTCAGATATTTTAGACTCCATCTCAGTCATTTCTCTAGAAGTTTGATTTGAGTCATTTCTATATCTTTCAGGTCTCTAAGTGTTTAAACATACAGAATATGGTTATAATGATTCTTTTAATGAACATTGCTGCTAATTCTAACATCTCTGTCAGTTCTGGATCATTCTTTAAAAATAACTTTTTATTTGAAAGAAGTAAAGACTCGCAAAGAATTGCAATAACAGTACTGAGACTTCCCATGTAGCCTTCCCTTGACTTTCCCCAGTGATAATATCTTACATAACCATATGCAATGTCAAAATAAGGAAGGTACTAAGTTACTAACTCAGTTACAGGCCTTTATTGGGATTTCTCATGTTTTGCATGTACTCTGTGTGTGTGTTTTTGAGTGTGTGTGTGTGTGTGTGTGTGTGTGCATGCGCACGCATGTAACTGAGTAGAAAGTATGGCTCTATGAAATTTTGTCACATGTATAGATTTGAGCAACCAATACCTCAGTTAGGATACAGAACCATTCCATCACCACACACACACACACACACACACACACACACACACACACCCTTTCTCAGATGATTCCTCAATAGTCACATCCTTCTTCCACCTCTAACCTCTGACCACTGATGTATTTTCTGTCACTATAAATTTGTCACTTCAAGGTTGGTATATAAATGAAGTCTTGTAGTATGTAACACTTTGACATTGAATATACACATACAAACATACATATATAGAATAGTTTATATAACTCTATATCTATATTTCATATATATATTAAACAGAAATATATATGTATTATTTTTTGAAAATCAAATTTCTTCAAATCAATTAGCTTAAGAATGGCATTGACTTTACTAATAAATTTGGGGACTATCATTTTATTACTGCTTATTTATTTACTGACTTATTCTTCTAGATATCTGTGTATGCTGTGGTATTTCTGTCTGTTTTGTTCCAGTTGCTATTGGTTTCTTGGTTGGTCTGGAGAGAAGGAAGTTGAAGATTGACCTAAATATAGTTTGACACATTAGTCTTAAGAAGCTCTCTCAATTACAAGTGTCCAAAAAAAATCACTCATTGAATTGTGTTTGAATAAGACCTATTCAAGTTTGAAAGAGGTTACTGCAGTATTTTCTATAGCAAAATGTCAAAATATGTTCTGCTCAACATAAAACTCAATGCTATATAGAGTTGAATAATAGAAAAAAACTGGTACATTCTTTCATAGATATAATTTAGATGAACTAATATAATATCTCATAATTCATATAGTTTAAATACTTAATAAACTATTTATAATAGTGTGTATTTGTAGCAGTCAAACCATTGCAAACGTATTTTTGAGCTTAAGTGTTAAAGTATCACATTTGAAAGACAGGTAGTCAAACTGTTAAATTTTTTCAGACTCCTTTTACTTCTCATTAACTATTAATAATTATAGAAAGAAGATCTGTAGCCAAGGTAACAAGGAAAAGAAAATGATAGTGTAAGTCCAAGAAGCCTTGCCCTATCTGGCTCTGTTTATCACAGTACACGATGTTTACTGTGCTCCTTCAGGCACTGAGGTGTAAACATGCTTTGACCCTCTTTTCTTTACCTTGCTGAGAAGAGCAATTTCAATAGAACATTTAAATGCTCCAAAAACAGTTTTGACAAATACAGTTGTACCCTATGTTTCTATGACTGCAGTCAGTCACATAAAGTTTGTAATTTCTGACATTTCTTGGACAATCATTTTGAAGCAAAGTAAAAGGTAGAGTTGATCTCAAAGAGAAGTGAAACTACAGAAACATTATTTTTGTTGTGGTCCAAATCTTCAGTAAATATATTGTGTTGATAAGTTTTTTTTGAAATGTTTATACAAAAGATATATGCAGATACTAGTATTAATTCATTTTGAAATTTTTAATACTGATTTACAAGTAAAGTAAAAGCATACTTGAATTGTTTCCATTATTACAGAATGAATTTCTAGCAAAATAGTCATACCACTTTAAGAAGCACTGTGGTTGCCATGTGTATACCATTCAGCATTTCTAAGGGTAAAACTTCCTAAAATAAATCTATTTGCTCAAGTATGGATGTCATAAAATATTGGGAAATAATAACAGATTTGATTTTTTTTTCTATATTTTTTCTTCCTGCTTTGATCCCATCCCATTAACTTCATGGCAGCCCTTCCTTGGAACAGGTGGAGGTTGCGGAGTGGGAGGTGGTATAAAAATGAGTACAAAATAGCTAAGCAAATTTCTTAATAGATCGTTTTAAAAACTCATACCTCCCACTATTGTAGTCTTATATCAAGGCACTTTTGAACTTGAATAGCTGGCTTGTTTGAAAAACTTTTTGATGTTTTATCAAGGTGTTTAAGTTTTATTTTTTCTTCTAAAATCAAAAGACATAGTTTATAACACAAACAACAAAGTAAAAAAAAACTATGATGATACGAGTCACCTCTTGTTCCACACTAGATAAAAGATATGACTTGAAATGAGAGAACTGTGGAAAAAAATTAAGTAAATTAATACTTTTGAAGGCTATGAAGGATGAGCTGATCTTTCCCACTGCTCTTGAATTCTCCCAGCTGCCTACCAGGGTTAGGAGGGAATAACAAAAGGTCAGTACTTCTAGAGGAGCCTAATTGCAGAAGGACGAGTGTCTGACTTTCTGTACTGAAATCTGTAAATAGACACTTCTGAGAATGAATGTCAGGGCATGAGGTGGCAGGAAGAGAACTCTACTGTCCCTCAAATCTTACTCTCAGAGAAGCACAAGAAAACATTTAACAAATTTTAATGTTCCTCCATTTCCATGCCGTGAGAGGCTCATATATAGCTAAGGGCTATGTAGTTGGGGTAAGCGGGGATTAGAAAGCCTAAATATTTCCAGGGAGGAAAGGGCAAAGAACCCAAAACAGGAGCAGTAGGAATAGGAGCCAATGATTAAAAATCAGTGGGAATTACGTACCACAGGAGCAGCCAGGAAGATGCCTGCTCAGGCAAGGTTCAGACAGCTTTCCCCTATGTAAGCATAATATGTGAGCCCTTGACCAGTGTTTCCTATTTGCCACTCCAGATTTATTCTTTTCTGCCTTGCTCTCCATCTTGAGCTGACTTGCATAGATTGCCCCACTTGGGCAGGCCCTATTGTCAACTGTCTTATGGTTGATTTAGACAATAAGAAGCACTAGTAAGAGAGAAGAGGGAGACAGATAAATAGGTCAAGAATCACTTATATTTTTCCACCACACTCTCCACATTTTATCCAACTCTACCTGTTTCTGCCAAGACAAATTTTGGCATAGGATGACTTCTCCATGTCTGTGACTGTTCATCTTCACTGGGTTTCAGGTATTGCTTCCCCTGTTGCCTGTCAGGTATAGGAGTAGTAACAACTTCTCCCTGTTGCAAATCCTTGAGCAGTTCACTATCTCTTACTCCTATCCCTGAAACTTGCCCACATGTTTGTAAATAATCCCTTTTTCATATTCTCTACCTTTATCCACTTTGAACGTGTCATTTATCACCTAATCTTGAATTTAGATGACCCTCTGGCAGAAACAGAAACAGAAGTTAGAGGTAGAAATTTCTGAACTGATTAAATATTTACCCAAAAAACATTAGAAGCCATGAGTATCCTTTAAACCAGTAGAAGATTTTTCTACCAATTAAGGAAATGCTATTTTAAAAATAAAATGAAATTCTATTAAAATGCCCAAAGAAACTTTTCATTTTGTATACTTGAATCATGGCCTTTAATACTCAACTAACTACATATAAAGACATTATTTTTCAATTTTTTTAAAAAAAATTCAAATGAAACATTTTACTCATTCCAAAAGGAATTAGCTAGATTATTTTTTAATGTTTAATAATTGAACATTAGTCTTAAATTAAATAGTCACTTACAGTTTAATTTTCCCATCCTTTCTTTAACTTATTTGTAAAATTGGTATTAAAGAGTTCAAACTTATGTTCAAAGAGTCATTTGCAATGTAGAAGTAGTACAGATATAATTATTATTTTCAGCTTGGACCAGCTTGAAATTTACAAACCATTAATGTGCTAGACTTTATTAATTTATATAACTTACAAAGATCAAAACTTAAACCTACAATGTCTATAAACTCTATATTCTTGAGCTGTATCTTTCTTTTTAAGGAAATCTGTAAATGTACATGTGTGTGTGTTTGTTTCTCTGTGTGTGTTGAGTGAATCCCAAATAGCATAAACCCAAATAAATCCATGAGAAGACACACAATTAAACTTTGTAAGCTAAAAACAAGAAAAAATCTTGAAGGCAACAGACACAAATGACGCATTGTTTACTTGAGAGCACCAATTTGAATGACAAAGAATTTTCCAACTAAAACAATAAACACCAAAAAAGAAACAGCACAGCATTTTTCAAGTTCTGAATGAAGATAACTGAAAATTCTACATCTGAGGAAATTATCCTTTAGGATAAAGATATTGGGGTGGAGCCAAGATGGCCAAATAAGTACAGCTCCAGTCTACAGCTACCAGTGTGAGCAACACAGAAGATGGGTGATTTCTGCATTTCCAACTGAGGTACCGGGTTCATCTCACTGGGGAGTACCAGACAGTGGGTGCAGGACAGTGGGCGCAGCGCACCATGCGGAGCCGAAGCAGGGCGAGGCATCACCTCACCCGGGAAGCACAAGGGGTCAGGGAATTCCCTTTCCTAGTCAAAGAAAGGGGTGATAGATGGCACCTGGAAAATCAGGTCACTCCCACCCTAATACTGCGCTTTTCCAATGGGCTTAACAAACGACACACCAGGAGATTATATCCCGCACCTGGCTCGAAGGGTCCTACGCCCACGGAGCCTCGCACATTGCTAGCACAGCAGTCTGAGATCAAACTGCAAGGCAGCAGTGAGACTGGGGGAGGGGCGCCTGCCGTTGCTCAGGCTTCAGTAGGAAAACAAAGCTCGAACTGGGTGGAGCCCACCACAGCTCAAGGAGGCCTGCCTGCCTCTGTAAGCTCCACCTCTGGGGCCAGGGCACAGACAAATAAAAGACAGCAATAACCTCTGCAGACTTAAATGTCCCTGTCTGATGGGAGTAGTGGTTTGAAGAGAGTAGTGATTCTCCTAGCATACAGCTTGAGATCTGAGAACAGACAGATTGCCTCCTCAAGTGGGTCCCTGACCCCAGAGTAGCCTAACTGGGAGGCACCCCCCAGTAGGGGTGGACTGACACCTCACACGGCCAGGTACTCCTCTGAGACAAAACTTACAGAGGAATGATCAGGCAGCAACATTTGCGGTTCACCAATATCCACTGTTCTGCAGCCACCGCTGCTGATACCCAGGCAAACAGGGTCTGGAGTGGACCTCCAGTAAACTCCAACAGACCTGCAGCTGAGGGTTCTGACTGTTAGAAGGAAAACTAACAAACAGAAAGGACATCCACACCAAAAACCCATCTGTATGTCACCATCACCAAAGACCAAAGGTAAATAAAACCACAAAGATGGGGAAAAAACAGAGCAGAAAAACTGGACACTCTAAAAATCAGAGTGCCTCTCCTCCTCCAAAGGAACGCAGCTCCTCACCAGCAATGAAACAAAGCTGGATGAAGAACGACTTTGACGAGTTGAGAAAGGAAGGCTTCAGAAGATCAAACTACTCTGAGCTAAAGGAGGAAGTTCAAACCCATGGCAAAGAAGTTAAAAACTTTGAAAAAAAATTAGACGAATGGATAACTAGAATAACCAATGCAGAGAAGTCCTTAAAGGACCTGATGGAGCTGAAAACCATGGCACGAGGACGACGTGACAAATGCACAAGCCTCAGTAACCGATGCGATCAACTGGAAGAAAGGGTATAAGCAATGGAAGATGAAATGAATGAAATGAAGTGTGAAGAGAAGTTTAGAGAAAAAAGAATAAAAAGAAATGAACAAAGCCTCCAAGAAATATGGGACTATGTGAAAAGACCAAATCTACATCTGATTGGTGTACCCGAAAGTGATGGGGAGAAAGGAACCAAGTTGGAAAACACTGTAGGATATTATCCAGGAGAACTTCCCCAATCTAGCAAGGCAGGCCAACTTTCAGATTCAGGAAATACAGAGAATGCCACAAAGATACTCCTTGGGAAGAGCAACTCCAAGACACATAATTGTCAGATTCACCAAGTTGAAATGAAGGAAAAAATGTTAAGGGCAGCCAGAGAGAAAGGTCGGGTTACCCTCAAAGGGAAGCCCATCAGACTAACAGCTGATCTCTCAGCAGAAACCCTACAAGCCAGAAGAGAGTGGGGGCCAATATTCAACATTCTTAAAGAGAAGAATTTTCAACCCAGAATTTCATATCCAGCCAAACTAAGCTTCATAAGTGAAGGAGAAATAAAATACTTTACAGACAAGCAAATGCTGAGAGATTTTGTCACCACCAGGCCTGCCCTAAAAGAGCTCCTGAAGGAAGCACTAAACATGGTAAGGAAGAACCAGTACCAGCCACTGCAAAAACATGCCAAATTGTAAAGACCAGCAAGGCTAGGAAGAAACTGCATCAACTAATGAGCAAAATAACCAGCTAACATCATAATGACAGGATAAAATTCACACATAAGAATACTAACCTTAAATGTAAATGGGCTAAATACTCCAATTAAAAGGCACAGACTGGCAAATAGGATAAAGAGTCAAGACCCATCAGTGTGTGGTATTCAGGAAACCCATCTCACATGCAGAGACACAAATAGGCTCAAAATACAAGGATGGAGGAAGATCTACCAAGCAAATGGAAAACAAAAAAAGGCAGGGGTTGCAATCCTAGTCTCGGATAAAACAGACTTTAAACCAACAAAGATCAAAAGAGACAAAGAAGGCCATTACATAATGGTAAAGGGATCAATTCAACAAGAAGAACTAACTATCCTAAATATATATGCACCCAATACAGGAGCACCCAGATTCACAAAGCAAGTCCTTAGTGACCTACAAAGAGACTTAGACTCCCACACAATAATAATGGGAGACTTTAACACCCTACTGTCAACATTAGACAGATCAACGAGACAGAAAGTAAACAAGGATATCCAGGAATTGAACTCAGCTCCGCACCAAGCAGACCTAATAGACATCTACAGAACTCTCTATCCCCAATCAACAGAATATACATTCTTTTCAGCACCACACCACACCTATTCCAAAACTGACCACGTAGTTGGAAGTAAAGCACTCCTCAGCAAATGTAAAAGAACAGAAATTATAACAAACTGTCTCTCAGACCACAGTGCAATCAAACTAGAACTCAGGATTAAGAAACTCACTCAAAACCGCTCAGCTACATGGAAACTGAACAACCTGCTCCTGAATGACTACTGGGTACATAACGAAATGAAGGCAGAAATTAAGGTGTTCTTTGAAACCAACGAGAACAAAGACACAACATACCAGAATCTCTGGGACACATTCAAAGTAGTGTGTAGAGGGAAATTTATAGCACTAAATGCCCACAAGAGAAAGCAGGAAAGATCTAAAATTGACACACTAACATCACAATTAAAAGAACTAGAGAAGCAAGAGCAAACACATTCAAAAGCTAGCAGAAGGCAAGAAATAACTAATATCAGAGCAGAACTGAAGGAAATAGAGACACAAAAAACCCTTCAAAAAATCAATGAATCCAGGAGCTGGTTTTTTGAAAAGATCAACAAAATTGATAGACTGCTAGCAAGACTAATAAAGAAGAAAAGAGAGAAGAACCAAATAGATGCAAAAAAGTGACAAAGAGGGTATCACCACTGATCCCACGAAAATACAAACTACCATCAGAGAATAGTATGAACACCTCTACACAAATAAACTAGAAAATCTAGAAGAAATGGATAAATTCCTTGACACATACACTCTCCCAAGACTAAACCAGGAAGAAGTTGAATCTCTGAATAGACCAATAACAGGATCTGAAATTGAGGCAATAATTAATAGCTTACCAACCGAAAAAAGCCCAGGACCAGATGAATTCACAGCCGAATTCTACCAGAGGTACCAGGAGGAATTGGTACCATTCCTTCTGAAAATATTCCAATCAATAGAAAAAGAGGGAATCATCACTAACTCATTTTATGAGGCCAGCATCATCTTGATACCAAAGCCTGGCAGAGACACAACAAAAAAAGAGAATTTTAGACCAATACCCTTGATGAACATTGGTGCAAAAATCCTCAATAAAATACTGGCAAACCGAATCCAACAACACATCAAAAAGCTTATCCACCATGATCAAGTGGGCTTCATCCCTGGGATGCAAGGCTGGTTCAACATATGAAAATCAATAAACATAATCCAGCATATAAACAGAACCAAAGACAGAAACCACATGATTATCTCAATAGATGCAGAAAAGGCCTTTGACAAAATTCAACAACCCTTCATGCTAAAAGCTCTCAATAAATTAGGTATTGATGGGATGTACCTCAAAATAATAAGAGCTATCTATGACAAATCCACAGCCAATATCATACTAATGGACAAAAACTGGAAGCATTCCCTTTGAAAACTGGCACAAGACAGGGATGCCCTCTCTCACCACTCCTATTCAACATAGTGTTGGAGGTTCTGGCCACGGCAGTCAGGCAGGAGAAGGAAATAAAGGGTATTCAGTTAGGAAAAGAGGAAGTCAAATTGTCCCTGTTTGCAGACGACATGATTGTATATCTAGAAAACCCCATCATCTCAGCCCAAAATCTCCTTAAGCTGATAAGCAACTTCAGCAAAATCTCAGGATACAAAATCAACGTGCAAAAATCACAAGCATTCTTATGCACAAATAACAGACAAACAGAGAGCCAAATCATGAGTGAACTCCCATTCACAATTGCTTCAAAGAGAATAAAATACCTAAGAATCCAACTTACAAGGGATGTGAAGGACCTCTTCAAGGAGAACTACAAAACTACAAACCACTGCTCAAGTAAATAAAAGAGGATACAAACAAATGGAAGAACATTCCATGCTCATGGGTAGGAAGAATCAAGATCGTGAAAATGGCCATACTGCCCAAGGTAATTTATAGATTCAATGCCATCCCCATCAAGCTACCAATGACTTTCTTCACAGAATTGGAAAAAACTACTTTAAAGTTCATAGGGAACCAAAAAAGAGCCTGCATTGCCAAGTCAATCCTAAGCCAAAAGAACAAAGCTGGAGGCATCATGCTACCTGACTTCAAACTAAACTACAAGGCTGCAGTAACCAAAACAAAATGGTACTGGTACCAAAACAGAGATATAGATCAATGGAACAGAACAGAGCCCTCAGAAATAATGCCGCATACCTACAACTATCTGATCTTTGACAAACCTGAGAAAAACAAGCAATGGGGAAAGGATTCCCTATTTAATAAATGGTGCTGGGAAAACTGGCTAGCCATATGTAGAAAGCTGAAACTGGATCCCTTCCTTACACCTTATACAAAAATTAATTCAAGATGGATTAAAGACTTACATGTTAGACCTAAAACCATAAAAACCCGAGAAGAAAACCTAGGCAATACCATTCAGGACATAGGCATGCGCAAGGACTTCATGTCTAAAACACCAAAAGCAATGGCAACAAAAGACAAAATTGACAAATGGGATCTAATTAAACTAAAGAGCTTCTGCACAGCAAAAGAAACTACCGTCAGAGTGAACAGGCAACCTACAGAATGGGGGAAAATTTTTGCAACCTACTCATCTGACAAAGGGCTAATATCCAGAATCTACAATGAACTCAAACAAATTTACAAGAAAAAAACAAACAACCTCATCAAAAAGTGGGCGAAGGATATGAACAGACACTGCTCAAAAGAAGACATTTATGCAGCCAAAAGACACATGAAAAAATGCTCATCATCACTGGCCATCAGAGAAATGCAAATCAAAACCACAATGAGATACCATCTCACACCAGTTAGAATGGCGATCATTAAAAAGTCAGGAAACAACAGGCGCCGGAGAGGATGTGGAGAAATAGGAACACTTTTACACTGTTGGTGGGACTGTAGTTCAACCATTGTGGAAGTTGGTGTGGGAATTCCTCAGGGATCTAGAACTAGAAATACCATTTGACCCAGCCATCCCATTACTGGGTATATACCCAAAGGATTATAAATCATGCTGCTATAAAGACACATGCACACATATGTTTACTGCGGCACTATTCACAATAGCAAAGACTTGGAACCAACTCAAATGTCCAGCAATGATAGATGGGATTAAGAAAATGTGGCACATATACACCATGGAATACTATGCAGCCATAAAAATGATAAGTTCATGTCCTTTGTAGGGACATGGATGAAGCTGGAAACCATCATTCTCAGCAAACTATCGCAAGGACAAAAAAACAAAAACCGCATATTCTCACTCATAGGTGGGAATTGAACAATGAGAACACATGGACACAGGAAGGGGAACATCACACACCAGGGCCTGTTGTTGGGTGGGGGGAGGGGAGGATAGCATTTGGAGATACACCTAATGTTAAATGACGAGTTACTGGGTGCAGCACACCAACATGGCACATGTATACACATGTAACAAACCTGCACGTTGTGCACATGTACCCTAAAACTTAAAGTATAATAATAATAATAATAATGATATTATCAGATGAAAGAAAACTAAGAAAATTAGTCCCTAGCAAACCCGCCATTAAGAAATGGCTAAAGGATGTTCTATTAACAGAAAGGGAATGATCACAAAAGTTTTGTAATTTCAGGGAAAAGAAACCTTTGGAATGGGTAAAAATAAGGATAAATACAATAGGCTATCCTTCTTGTCATGGGTCTTAAAACATATTTAATTATTAAAGAAAAAGTTACACCACCATCCGATGTGGTACTCAATATATATGGAAGAAATACCCAAGGCTGTTTGTTACATTGTCAAAGTAGGGAGATGAAAGAAATCTAAATGGAAATAAGGTTTCAGTACTTCACTTGAAGAGATAAAACATCAATACTGGTAGGCTAGAATAAGTTATGTATGTGTAGTGCAATACCTGGAGTGACCACTAAGGAAACTATAGGTTGGTACAGAAGTAATTGTGGTTTTGCCATTAAAAGTAAAAGTAATGGCACCCACCTAATACACGCAACTATATACGCAAAAACACCATAGATCAACATAAGCTCTTTTTTCTTTTTTGAAGTTCTAAAATAAACCAACCAAAGGGAATACATGGATAGGTATCTAAATACTTCTGTCACAAGTAATTGGATGGACAGGTGGGGTGCCCTTGTTAGGGAGCTGACCATGGATTTAGAGTTAGACTCAGGATCCATGGTGCCAAATTCAAAGTGGAAGAAGGAGGTTGAGTTTTCCTCCAGAGTCCACATGGCACGACATGGAGTAACAGTGTAAGCAATTATAAAAAGCACAAAAGTAAAAACTAAATACTCACACACTAAAAAGTCAAAATGCCAAGGTCTACAAGAGTTTGAAGCTAAGCCAATGAGATAAGAGCGAGAGGAGTTACGCAGCAAGGAGAGAAGTTGGGGGAAGGAAGGCTGGTGCAGAGTTTGCACCTATGGGCTGGCAATCATGCAGTGCATTGTGCTGAAAGCATCTGACTCACCAGAAGTACAGAGGGCAGGAAGTGCAGTGTAGGGGACACATAATAGCAATTATTTGGTTTCCATGCCTGTAAAGAACTTTCCCTACATCATCTCATTTAATCCTCTCACTAGCCTGTGACAAGAAACTTTAGCCTCATTTTCCAAATGATGACTGAGGCTTAGTGACTCTAATAACTTGGATGTAATAATTTAGCCAAAGACAATTAGCCCAAGATTTGCATCTAGCATAACTTTCATAGGTCTTGCTCATTAGGCAGCATTCTCCAGCTGGAATGAGCAAAGGATCTGGATAGAAAAGAATGGATAATCTCTCTACAACCTCCTCCTTCTAATGTTACGCAGAATGAACTTGTTCAGCACATGGATAATAAAACAGTTCCACAAACTTTTAAAAATTATATGAACAGAAAAAAATCTTAAAATAAAACAAAGCAGGACCTTGGTTTACTGAGATCACAGGGAAGTTAAAAAAGAAATAAGTAAAATCTAATGGTAGAAAAATGAGAGTTATTCAATAAAATCCATTTTTAGAAAATATTAGTGCCAGTAGTCTGCTTGTAGTACTTTTAAAATGATGAATCTTAAGGAAAAATGATGCATTTTTACTATTCACATTTATTTTTTCTGAGAAATCAGAGTTGCCCAGTATTTAAGAATACAGGCTTAAAGTCAACTGATATGGATGAATCCAGAATCAGCTACTTCTTAACTGTGCAACCCTGGGGATAATATTGAACCACTCTAAAATTTAGTATGTTTATCTGTAAAGTAGGAAAAATCATTTGGGTTTCTGAGAGATTTGGAAAGTAATCAAATTTTTAGTGAATATTTGGAATTTTAAATGTTAACTCTTGATAGAAGATAATGTTGATGAGGTCGTAGTCTTGACCTTTGGATATTTATTTCCACTTTTTTTTCTTTTTTTTGAGATGGAGTTTGGCTCTTGTCACCAATGCTGGAGTGCAATGGCATGATCTCGGCTCACTACAACCTCCGCCTCCTGGGTTCAAGCGATTCTCCTGCCTCAGTCTCCCGAGTAGCTGGGATTGCAGGCACCTGCGACCACACCTGGCTATTTTTTTTGTTTGCTTTTTTTTTTGTTTTTTTTTTTGTATTGTTAGTAGAGATGGGGTTTAGCTATGTTGGTCAGGCTGGTCGCGAACTCCTGACCTCAGGTGATCCTCCCGCCTCGGCTTCTCAAAGTGCTGAGATTACAGGCATGAGCCACCACACCAGGCCAGAAATTTATCTCTACTTTCTATCCACACTTTGAACCCTGAACAGAAAACCAGCAACCGATTCATCATAGTCCTGTGGGACTTGGGTCAAAGAGTATATAACAGGATCAAAGAAAATGTAAGCCTGCTGTGGGAATACAAAAATATCTCAGAGTACATCTCCTACCTAAACTGGGCTAAGGCTGCCATGAAGAACAAAGAAGAACACATGGCTAATGAGTATTCAATATGGCCTTTAAAGAAAAGAAATGTAGCAGAATATAAAATGGTTTGGAAAAAAATAAAGTAGAAACATAATGCTTACTCATAGAAGACACATAAGGAAAAGAGATTATTTGGGAGGAAATGATTGCAAAGAAAAACAAGCAGCAATTTTCTCACAGCTAAAGACCACGGAATAAAGGATGAACACTAAGCCACTTAGGTGCAATGCTATGAATCCCAACTGTGTATAAAGAGGGGTTGACAGAAGACTAATTTCTCATCACTTGAATCAATATATCACTCTGGTTTAAAAGCAAAAGTGTGGCATCTAGGGAATGGATTTTTATTTTTTAATCAAATGTAAATATAAAAATAAAGATCCTCTACAGCTTTATTTTAAGCGATCAATGCTACCGTGAGTGATTGCTTTAATTTTATTTTTGTAAGGCACACATCGATTAAAAATTAACTCTGTTAATTTTTGTCAACAGAATAATGTAGTCATTTATCAACAGAATAATGTTATTTTTATAAAATATTCTAAAATGATAGAAATGCTTGTCATTACAGAAATAAATCCATTTCAAACAGTTTGCAAGGTATCAATTCTATAATAAGGATCTAGTTTTTTTGTAACTCATTTTAAAAGTTAATACTTGAGAATTAGAAATTTTGTTTTATTACACAATACGTGTCAGATTAATTAACATCTGTTATGTCCAACACTTTTGTCCATTCTCAAATTTTCAAATGGTAGTGGAATATGAATTGGCAATCCATGTTTATTCATTCATGCCCTGGAGGAACACTACTTTTTGTTAAATAAGTTCATGTCATAGAGCTAAGCAAAATGTTTTCTCAAATTTGACATCTACGTGGTCTTTTCCAAGACTCTTAGTACAATATACATTTTTTTTCATTTGGCCAACATAATGATATATGTCAAATGTGTGAGATGCATGAGATAATTTATAAAATCTCTTTGATGAATTTATCCTTAAGATTTTTTAATTTTTCCCTACTGGAACTCTTAGTATGCACTCCTTTTCCTTGTGTTAAATTTTCGCATATAAACAAACAGAATTTTCTCTTTTTAAAATTTTTGTTTGAATAGCTTTTGGGTTACAAATGGTTTTTTCTTACATGGATGAATTATATAGCGGTGAATTCTAAGATTTTTGTGCACCTGTCACCCAAGTAGTGTACATTGTACATAATGTGTAGTATTTTTTATCCCCAGTCACCTTCCCACCCTCCCCTTCTGAGTCTCTAAAGTCTATTATATCACTCTGTATGCCTTTGCACACTCATAGCTTAGCTCCCACTTATAAGTGATAACATACAATATTTAGTTTTCCATTCCTAAGTTACTTCACTTAGAATAATGGCTTCCAGCTCCATCCAACTTGCTGCAAAAGACATTATTTTGTTTTTTGTTATGACTCAGTAGTATTCCATGGTGTATATATAACACATTTTCTTAGCCACTCGTTGGTTGATGGGCACTTAGGTTGGTTCCATAGCTTTGTAATTGCGAATTGTGCTGCTATAAACATGTGTGTGCAGGTGTCTTTCTCATATAATGACTTCTTTTCCTTTGGATAGATACCCAGAAGTAGGATTGCTGGATCAAATGGTAGATCTACTTTCAGCTCTTTGTGGAATTTTCATACTGTTCTCAATAGAGGTTGTACTAATTTACATTCCCACAAGCAATATAATAGTATCTCCTTTTCATCACATTCAGGCCAACATCTGTTATTTCATGATTTTTTAATAATGGCCATTCTTGAAGGAGTAAGGTGGTATCTCATTGTGGTTTTAATTTCCATATCCCTGATGATTAGTGATGTTGAGCATTTTTTTCACATGATAAATAGGATTTTCTACAAGAAATTCTTAAGCCAAATATAAAATACATTTTACTTTGAAAAACTATAGCTTGCTATTATATATGTTTTGAAATATAATGATCATGTTTTAGTGTTAGTATTAAACAAAAGCAGAAATAAAATTTAGGCACCATTTTCTGTGTATCTTTTTTCATAAGACAGAGATTCACATCATGGTTTAGATTTTATTTGGGACATTATTTTTCATTTTTAAGAAATCTTCCATTGCATTTATAACCACAGAGGCTCTGTATTAGTCCATGCCCACTCTGCTATAAAGGAGTGCTTGAGACTGGGTAATTTATAAAACAAAGAGGTTGAATTGACTCACATTCCGCATGGTTGGAGAGGCCTCAGGAAACTTACACTCATGGTGGAAGGGGAAGCAAACACATCCTTCTTCATATGATGGCAGGAAGGAGAAGTGTTGAGCAAAAGGGGGAAAAGCTGCTTATAAAACCATCAGATCTCATGAAAACTCACTCATTATCATGAGAACAGCATGGAGGTAACTGCCCCCATGATTCAATTGCCTCCAACCAGGTCCCATCCATGACACATGGGGATTATGGGAACTACAATTCAAGATGAGATTTGGGTGAAGACAAAGCCAAACAATATCAGGTTCCAAACTCTCTACTGAAATTATTCTTTTCTTCATTGTATAAATTAAATAACTTAAACTGGATTCTATGTGGTTATAGGAATTAAAATACTGCCTTGAAAATTCATGCAGATTAGGCTAAGAAAGGGAACATTGATTATTGTTTTCTTACACCTCTCACTGCAGACTTCTCTTCTCAATAACCCTTTGACTGTCCTCCACCATGCTGTATCAGCTTACTCCACTTTGCTAAAACCACAAAACATGAACAAAAGTATGCCTACTTCCCTATGGCAGAGCAATTAAAGATAAAAACTAATTTCATAAGTTAATAAAACTTATTTTGAAAACAGGGTGGGAAGTTGCTGAGAGAAATCTTGGAGTGAAAGAGAAAACAACCAAAAAGTATCTGCTGGATTAAAAAGGAAATAACTATTAATATGTACAACCACATATATGAACCTCAAATGTGCTATGTTAAGTACAAGAAGCCAAACTCAAAAAGTATGATCTCATTTATATTTTAGCCAAAACTCTGTAGTAAAGACAAAACTATGAGACAGAGACCGATCAGTGTTTGCTAGGTATGGGAGGAAGTGAAGAAATAAATTACAAAGGAGAATGAGGAAACTTTATGAAGTTAAGGGACCACCAGACACCTTGACTGTGGAGATGTTTATCTGACAGCATATATTTATCAAAATTCATGGAACTATACAGCTTTAAAAAAGAATATTTTTCTCAATGTAATTATACCTCAGTAAACTTTATAATTTAAAAGTGGGTGCTGGCTGGGCACAGTGGCTCACGCCTGTAATACCAGCACTTTGGGAGGCCGAGGTGGGAGGATCACCTGAGGTCAGGAGCTCGAGACCAGCCTGACCAACATGGAGAAACCCCGTCTCTACTAAAAACACAAAATTAGCCAGGTGTAGTGATGCATGCCTGTAATCCCAGCTACTCAGGAGGCTGAGGCAGGAGAATTGCTTGAACCCGGGAGGCAGAGGTTGCAGTGAGCTGAGATCGTGCCATCACACTCCAGCCTGGGCAACAAGAGCGAAACTCTGTCTCAAAAAAAAAAAAAAAATAATATATATATACACACACACACACACACGGGTGCTATCCAATATTATTTTTCATATTTCTTAAATACAACTTGAAAATGTTCTCTTATAGGCATAGGCCTAGCTCCCTGCTTCCTGCTCCAACCGGAAGTTTTATCTCCTCTTAATCTTATTTCCCATTTCCAAGGTCCCCAAACTTATGTCCTTTTAATCCCCCCACCAAAAATGCCTTAATCTCTTAAAACACAAATAATCAATTCACTTAAAAATAATTTATTGTCAGACAGAGACATTTTTACCACTCATTATTTTGAACTAAATTATTGTTTTTACCTGATCGTAACCAAGGCTTTCAGAAGTATTTCTTTTCCTTCTTGTTTTATTTTTCATAAAGGAACTATCTATCTCAAAGGGGGATTTGCTGTCTGTGTGTGACCCCTCAAATACCAGTGGAAGCTATACATTAGAATCTTCCCCACCAAACTTCCCAGTCCCAGATGTAATTTTTAACAAGGGTTCTGCTGCCAAGTACATGTGTTTTTTCTTTCCAGTACCTCTCATAAAAATGAAAGGACTAAATACTAGAAAATTCATCTACTTGAAATTTATTTTCAAACTATCGTTTTTTGGTTGTCTAGTATCTCTTCAGTTACTAGTCATATTAGTTGTTCAAATGACAAAAAAAAAAAAAAAGAAAAAGTACTACCAATTTATCCATTTATTTGCTTACTTTCTTCCATAGATTTTCATTTAGAAAATATTTTATGTTCAAAATGGATTCCATATTGATAAAAATATGTGTTAATTCAAAGGGATAAAACATATTTAAAAATACTTTGCATTGTTGCCTTTAAAAGTATAACATAGTAATTTCAAGCTTATGGGTATAAATGAGATTAACTCATATTTCCAGCCCCTCTCACCCATAGCTCAGCCAGTTCCCTGGGGTGTCATGCATATTGAAAGACAATTATCCACAGTCTTTCACATTTCTGCACGTCTTCTGAACAAAAGGGCTGGACAGGTATGCTTCAGAATATCTTATTGTATTAGTCAGCGTTCTCTAAAGCGACAGAACTAATAGGATAGATGAATAAATGAAGGGGGGTTTATTAGGAGAATTGACTTACATAGTCACAAAGTGAAGTCCCACAATAGGAAGTCCACAAGTTGAGGAGCCAGAAAGCCAGTCTGACTTCCAAAACCTCAAAAGTAGGCAAGCCAACAATGGAGCCTTCAGTCTGTGGCCAAAGGGCCTGAGAGCCCCTGGAAAATCACTGGTGTAAGTCCAAGAGTCCAAAAGCTGAAGAACTTGGAGTCTAATGTTTGAGGGCAGGAAGCATCCAGCATGGGAGAAAGATGGAGGCCAGAAGACTCAGCAATTCTGCTCTTTCCATTCCTGCTTTTATGCTGGCTGCTGATTAGATGGTGCCCACCCAGACAGAGGGTGAGCCTGCCTGTCCCAGTCGACTGACTCAAATGTTAATCTCCTTTGGCAATACCCTCACAGATACACTCAGGAACAATACTTTGCATCCTTCAATCCGATCAAGTTGACACTTAATATTAACCATCACACTTAAGAATTTTTGTACAGGAAAGGGCTTTGGAAGAAAGATAAAGATAGTTTCTCCCTTCAAGGGAGGCCTCTCCCAAGAGGGCAGATTTGTTTGCTGATCAAGGTAATAAAAATAATGTCTCTCTCCAAGGGAAAAATTGGTCAGGTGTGCTAGGAGCCCCTTTAAAAGATTGGGGTTCCAAAGCACAAGAGTACTCCTCGGTAATGCAAACCCACTAGCTGCACCTCATCTTCCCAAGCCAATCTGCTTCACCCTATGGGATCTGGGGGAGAAGGGAAACAGATATGACCATAAAGCTCATGATGACTGTTGTATTATGAGTAATAAAGTTATTTGTTTCTGACTCAGGAGTTTCGTGTCTTCTACCAGCATTCATGAAACTGTGGAAACTAATTTGTTAGCTTGAAAGCAATGTAAAATCTCAGACTTTTCATGGTTCTTGACAACATCATAGTTACAAATAAATTCAACTCACATATGTGTGCCTTGCTGATATCACCTGTAAGCTATTGGAGCAGTGCCCATAGTGCTGTCATTGAATCTAGATCACATCCCTATATATCTTCCTAAACTATGTACACAGCACTGCACCAGAACTGCTGTCAGCATCCACACTCAAGCAGCTGCTCTTCTTACAATGCTTCCTGGAGGCATTCTCTCTTTTTGATTTTCTAAGACTGCTACTCAAACCACTGATGCCATCACAACTGACTGCCCTACTCAGGCATCTCTGAGATGCTTTGCTACAAAATAAGGAGAAAAATTCTCTTTCCCATGTGGTCTTTTTTGGACACATTTCATAGTAGGGCTGCTTGGTGCTAGAATCAGTCTGGCTTTACAAATACATGACCTCATGGTCTCTCTCTTTCCCCAGGATAAATGCTCAGGGATAGCCGGTAGGTTAACCTGAGTTCAACTAAAGCTGACTTAATGTAACCAGGATGATTCATCCTCTCCAGCTCTGAAATCTATCACTGAGTCAAGCTGTATTTGATATACACTCTCCTCCATGATCATAGATTTTCTACCAGGGGGCCCACAGTCACTGGTAAATTATGGTAATTTGGATACTGTTATGGAATGAATTATGTTCCCTCAAAATGCATATGTTGAAACCCTTCCCCTGATGTGGCTGTATTTGGAAATAAGACCTTTAAGGAGATAACTAAAGTTAAATGAGGGCATAAGTGTGGGGCTTTAATCCAATAGAACTCATGTTCTTGTAAGAACCTTCTTCCCCCACCCTCTCCTTCTCTCCCCCCTCCCTCCACCCCCAATGCATGCACACAGGAAAGATGATGTGAGTACACAGAGAGAATGCAGCTGTCTGTAAGCCGGGAAGAAAGAACTCAATAGAAACCAACTATGACAACATCGTTATCTTGGACTTCTAGCCTCCATAACTGTGAGAACATAAATGCTTTTTGTTTAAGCCACCCCATCTGTGACATTTTGTTATGGCAGCCTGAGCAGACTAATACAGAAACTCCTGTTTCTGCCTTCCCCCCTCCCACAATCCCATCAGCAGTGCAAACTCTGAGTGAAAAGAATAGCTCATCAAGTTACTTAGGCTTTGGGAAATGCTCGATGTCAGTCCCTGGACTATTGTGGGACGGCAATTTGTCTTGTCTGAAACATAAGATGTTTATTTATTTGTATTATCTTTTTTTTTTTTTTTTTTTTTTTTTTTTTTGAGACAGAGTCTCGCTCTGTCGCCCAGGCTGGAGTGCAGTGGCGCGATCTCGGCTCCCTGCAAGCTCCACCTCCCAGGTTCACGCCATTCTCCTGCCTCAGCCTCCCGAGTAGCTGGGACTACAAGCGTCCGCCACCACGCCCGGCTAATTTTTTCTATTTTTAGCAGAGACGGGGTTTCACCGTGTTAACCAGGATGGTCTCGATCTCCTGACCTCGTGATCCGCCCGCTTTGGCCTCCCAAAGTGCTGGGATTACAGGCGTGAGCCACCGCACCCGGCCCCTATTTTTATTATCTTTTAATAAAGCTTCTATTTATGCCTTCTAGATGGAGACATGAGAGGCAGCATGCTGGCTTATTCAGGGGAAAGACTTCACAAGTTGATAACAAAAGGCTGATGTTGCAAGAATCAAGTCATTTAGGATGCAGCTTTAACCTTATAGGTCATAGACATTATTACACAGGAGTCTAAATATTTGGAAATAAAAAAATTGTATGTTTTTCTATGAGCAACAATGATCAACAAATTATGAAGAAATATAAGAGCTTCCCTCTATTCTATTTTTATTTTAGAGAAAAGGTCTCATTTTGTTCCCCAGGCTGGAGTGCAGTAGCACAATCATAGCTCATGGCAGTCTCAAACTCCTGGGCTCAAGCAGTCCTCCTGCCTCAGCCTCCCAAATAGCAATGAAATCCAACCCTCGCTCTATTTTTATAACTTCAAAAATATTTTCCCTACCATCTTTAATGTTTCAAGCATGGAGAAACCATATCTAATATTTTAACCCAATTAGGAAATATAATTAAATGCTAAAAATATTAATATTTATAATTACAGTTGATTTTTTATGTTTGTATAACTTTATTTTCATATTTTATACCCAAATTTACACAATAATATTTTATATTTTTCGGTAGAACTATTAAAATATAATATTAATAGCACATTTTAAAGCCAGTTGGCTATAAAATCATGATCCAAATTTCCCTAAATAGCAATCTGTTATGACAGCATGCTAGGTTATAATCCGTCGGGAAGTCAAGAGGCGGTCAACAACCATTTCCCACAGAGTACGTCTAAATGGTACACGTTGACACATAAGATGTTTGAGACAAAAATTGGCCACAATTTCTGAAAATAAAAATGTCCTTTTGGTTGTTTTCTTTTCTTTTCTTTTCTTTTTTTTTTTTTTTTTTTTGAGATGCAGTCTCATTCTGTTGTCTAGGTTGGAGTGCAATGGTGAGATCTTGGCTCACTGCAACCTCGGCCCCCTGGGGTTCAAACGATTCTTCTGCCTCAGCCTCCCGAGTAGCTGAGATTACAGGCACACACCACCCAACCCGGCTAGTATTTGTACTTTTAGTAAAGACAGGGTTTCACCCTGTTGGCCAGGCTGGTCTCGAACTCCTGACATATGACCCACCCACCTCGGCCTTCTAAAGTTCTGGGATTACAGGCATGAGCCACTGCACCCAGCCAAAAGTGTCCTTAAATGTAGTAGCTTCTGTTCCTCTTTTAGTATGATTTCCTAACATTTGCTCTTGATAGGGAAAGATAAAAAGATTTGAATATTTACCTGTTACTAAGCTTTGTCATTAAAAACTATTTAATTTATAACTTACAATTAGTTACTACATGAGTCTAATTGCATATGAAATAATTTATGTTTTACTTTTGAGGCAGTCTATAGACGGCAGACTAAATACGAAGAAAATTGATCTAAGCTGGTCATTTTTCAAATGTCAGGGGCTGTTTTTTCATTGTCATTGGTTTACTTCTATAGAAGAGACCAAGGCAAAGTGAATAACTCCTGGAAATTTTGAAGGAGTTATTTATCAAATGATTGAGATAATTTTGGGCTGTTTGCCCTCAGTTTATTATTTTTTTTTTTTTGCCTCTCTCAGCTCTGCAGGATGAATTTCCCTGAATTCGCTGGGATGAACTGATGGAAAACCAGGAGAAGCCAGAATATATCTCATCCTCCCCTGCCTCAGCTACTCCACCACCTCCTCACCCTCCTGCCCATGTCTCTAGCTCCCACTAGAGAGGCCCATTAGACTCCAGCCTCTGTCACATTATCCTGGCCTCTGCACTCTGATATCATCCTACATTCTTTATGTCAATTGCCTACAAATGGTAATGACTTTCTACCATTTCTATTTGATTTATCGCACCATTCTCTCTGTGCCTCTATCACCTATATCATCAATTCCTTACTGATTTCCTCTCTGTTGTATTATATATTCTTAAAGTGGTTTTGATTTTCTCATGTGGATACTAATATGTGTATGCATTTGCTTGTTTGTTTATGTCATAACTTATGCCGTGCGTTATTCCAGAAAAGGTTTAAAGCAATTTGGAGAAAATGTAAAATATAAGAAGATATATATCAAAAATTAAAAGTGGATTTTTTTTAAAGCTGGGTACAAGGATAAACTAAACTAATTTGATGTAATAATGTCAGGTATAAAGCTAAACTAGCCCGGGCATGGTGACTCACACCTCTACTCCCAGTACTTTGAGAGGGCAAGGTGAAAGGATGGCTTGAGACCAGGAATTCAAGATCAGCCTTGGCAACGTAGCAAGACTCTGTCTCTACAAAAACAAAAAAAAAAACAAAAAACGAACAAACAAAATTACCCAGCAGGCATGGTGGAGCAAGCCTGTAGTCCTAGCTACTGTGGGAGCTGAAGCTGTGGGATCGTTTGAGCCAGAAGGTCAAGGCCTCAGTAAGCTATGATCACATCACTGCACTCCATCCTAGGTGACAGAGTAAAACCTTATCTCTAAAACAAAATAAATAAATAAATAGAGCTGAAACAATGCACAACCAGCCTTTGGCAGCAGATGGCCCTTACATTTAACTCTAAACTTTCTAGTAGTAAGTGTAAAAAGGGAAACATGATTAGCTTGAAAATTCACAGGTAGGAAGAGAAGAGGAGAAGGAGGAAGAGAAGGAAGTAATTGTTTATTTAACTATTAGGATCCACTGTTATTTGTGACATCTGATTAAGGTACACGTAAGGTTTTATCTTTTAAAATTTTTTATTTTCCTAAAAGAAACCACTCAAGCATTCATGTGGCCATCTATTATTGTTTAATTCACTCCATATCCAACCACTCTCCAATATTCCTGGAGTTGATTCAGTCCAAAGAGAGCTTTCATGATGTATCATGGTCACAATTGGATTCTTCATATCCAATAAAACTGTCAGAGTTAGGCACAGCTCCATCAGACCAGACGCACTCTTTTCTCATAGAAAGCCGTCTTCTTTGGGAGCTCATGGGTAACTTCCTAACAAGGACCTCGGTGCAACCAACACTGGCTGTCAGAATGTCCTAATGGCATTGAATATTGTATGCACAATTTGTTTTGTAGCTTCTAAATGATGCAAAATATTTCATAGTGTCCACAATCACATATCTTTTATTCATTTCCCAACATTATTTTCAGCACGTTACATTTGTACTCTGTACAAGGATTTATTTGGGATATACACCTAGAACTCATTTCTCAGGGGCACAGAAGCCCAACAGGAAACAATTAAGATCATTAAGTATAGACAGATTTATTTCCAAAAGGGTTTTTCTCGTTTATGTTCCCCATGATAATAATTTTAAAAGATTTATAAATATTCTTATTTTCTCACATCTCTGCCAATGTTGTTTTTATCTAATTTTCTAATTTTTACCTACGGAGACTGTAAAGAGGTATTCCATTGCAGTTTCACTTTTCTCTGACTACTAATGAGTTTGAGCATTTCTCCATATAACTTTACATCAACTATACTTCTTTGTAAATCAACTGCTCATCTTCTTTACCAAATCTTTAATTGAGTTTCCTTTCTTTCCTTTGGAAGTTAACATGAATCATTAAAGATAAATACTGTTGATTTGTGTCACCTGAGGTCAGGAGTTCCAGACCATCGTGGCCAACATGATGAAACCCTGTCTTTACTAAAAATCAGAAAATTAGGCCGGTTGCGGTGCCCGTAATTATGCCTGTAATCCCAGCACTTTGGGAGGCCGCGGTAGGCGAATCACGAGGTCAGGAAATCGAGACCATCCTGGCCAACAGAAACCCTGTCTCTACTAAAAATACAAAAACTAGCTGGGCGTGGCGGGGCGTGCCCGTAGTCCCAGCACTCGGGAGGCTGGGGCGGGAGAATCGCTTGAACTCAGGGGGCGGGAGAGTCGCTTGAACTCAGGAGGCGGAGTTTGCAGTGAGCCAAGATGGCGCCGCTGCACTCCAGCCTGGCTACAGAGGTAGACTCCCTCTCAGATTTAACAAAAAAAAAAAAAAAATAGCTGGGCGTCGTGTCGGCACGCCTGTAATCTCAGCTATTCAAGAGGCTGAGGCAGGAGAATCGCTTGAACTGGGAGGCGCAGGTTGCAGTGAGCCGAGATCGCGCCACCAAACTCCAGCCTGGGCGACAGAACAAAACTCCCTCTCAACAACAACAACAACAAAATACTATTGATTTGTTTAGGCTGACTTTCTGAGCAACAATCTTGATAAATTACTTTATTTATTGTAATAATTGCTTTTTTTCTGTTGAATTTAATTTTATTTTGACAATTGTGCAATCAACAAATGAAGACATTTTTAACTCTACCTCTTCGTATTAGTTCGTTTTCACACTGCTGATAAAGCCATACCTGAGAGTGGGTAATTTATAAAGAAAAAGCGGTTTAATGGGCTCACAGTTCCACGTGGCTGTGGAGGCCTCACAATCATGGCGGAAAGTGAAAGGCACATCTTGCATTGGCCCCAGGTGAGAGAGAATGAAAAACCAAGCGAAAGGGGTTTCCTCTTATAAAACCATCAGCTCAGGTGAGACTTATTTGTTACCAAAAGAACAGTACGTGGGAAACCGGCCCAGTGATTCAATTATCTCCCACCGGGTCTCTCCCATAACACGTGGAAATTATAGGAACTACAATTCAAAATGAGGTTTGGGTGAGAGGACCCAGCCAATCCATATCCCTCTCATATCTCAAACTCTTTTTTTTTTTCTTCTCTGATAGTTTTGGTTATAACTGTGCAAAACACTATTGATGAAAATAGGCATTCTTTTATTTGTTTTTAAAGAAACTATGTTTAAATGCCCTCAATTAAATATAACATTTGGTATAGTTCCCAAGTATATAGGCACATTCTTTAGGGACGCTTTTTTCTACCACAATTTTTCTGAGTTTTTAATAAAAACAAGTGTGATATTATTTATTTTTCAGATCTATTGAAGTGATAGTGTTTTTTATTATGTGGTCCTTCAATGTGATGAACAATAGTATACACTGGTTACCAATTATTAACATTATGAGTAGATGACAGGTATAATTGAAGTCACGTTGTTGGCTGGGGTAAATACCCGAAGTTCGTCATCTCACGCCAAGGATATTAAGTAGGCGGACACACAAGAAGTGGGTTTAGAAGCAGAGGTTTAATAGGCAAAAGAAGGAGAAAGGAGCAAAGCTCTCTCTCTCCTGAGAGACAGGTGCCCCAGTGGGACTTCTGGCCATCAGTGGAGCCCACAGGGTTTTATAGACAGCCTGGAGGAGGCGGTGTCTGATTTACGCACAGCTCACAGATTGGTTGGACCAGGTGTGACGTTTACATAGTGCATGAGGAAACTGGCCACCCCAGCTTAATCTTTCGTTATGCAAATGGGGTCTCTACTTGGCCAGCACTATGTTCCCTGCTCCTTACTGTGCCCGTGACAAGGAAAGGAGACGATGGAGCCGCCATGTTGAACACGTCTAGCCTCAGGTAGCCTTTTCCTATTGGCACAGCTGCAGGCATTCACCCTTGCAAGCTTCCAGCTCGCTCATCTATGTCTGCAGCTTGTTTTTACAGGCTGCTCTTTGTTAGATAACAAAATGACTTGGGGGCTGCTTTTCATTAAAAGGAAAACCTTACAATCTGCCTAAATAATTTCTTCTTAAGTCCTATATCATAATTTTCTGTCAATAAGTATCGTTCCATTTTAAAAATAAACAGTATTTTAAGGATTTTAAAAATTTTCCAACAAACTGTTTAATTAAGATAGTCAAATTTTATTTAATAGCTATGCATTTGCATTTATAAGATTGGTCTCTAATTTCTTTTCCTTATTTCTCCTTATTCTTATTTTATGGGATTTTATGAGCTACAACAAAATGAGTTGGCAATTAGTCTTCCTTTTGATTTTTGTGACCATTTGTTTAATGTTTTTAAAACATTTAGAGGGGTAGATTTGAAACAATTTGTCTCTAAAAATGTCTGGGCATGAGATTTTTTGAGGAAGTATAGGAATCTTTGTTTATCATTTAATTTCTTTCATGAATACAAGTCTATTAACATTTTCTATTGCTTTTTTTTTTACCAAATTCTGCCATTCTCATTTTTCAGAAATGTATCAATTGTATTTTATTTTAAAATGTATTTTATGCAATCTTTGTAACATGCTTTGAAATTTTAATATTTTGATATTCCCTTTATTTTTTATATATTTTTCGATTTTCTCATTTATTTTAGTAAGTTTTCTACTGGTTCCCTATCTCATTAGTCTTTTCAAATAAACAAATTTAATTTTATTCAATTTCTCTATTTTTCTTTGTTCTTGGTTTTGCTGATATTTGGTTTATGTCTTATTATTTATTTCCTTCTTGTTTAATTATGTTTACTTTGGCAATGTTTTTCCAATTCCTTGAGTTAAATGATTAGCTCATTTAATTTCTTTCTTTTTTTCCAACAAATGCATTTTGTTATAAATCCCTCCTTAATATTGTGTTTAGATAATAAATATTTCCATTGTATTATGTTCTAGACATCGTAAGATAACATCATTTCTAATTTCTTCTTGAGCTCAAAGATATTTAGCAATTTTTTAAAAAGAATTCAGGGGAATAAATTTTTGAACCACCTTCCAATTTATTTTAAACACACACACACACACACAAATTTGGTATCTATATGTCTTTAAAATTAACGTATTTAACCTGATAATATTCCTTCAAGATAAGCATATTCATTATCTCTATTTTAAAGAGGAGGAAAGTAAGGCATAGAGAAGTTACATAATTTCTCCATGCTGTAAAACTAGGAAATATCAAAGTTGAGATTTAAATCCAATTGATGAATCTGGAGCTTTTCACTAGTATGATATCCTAAAACAAAATCAGTATTGAACAATGATACAGAGTTTCTCAAAATGAAACTATGATAAAATAATGAATAGGTAACAGTAGTAATGAAACATGATTACTAAGAGAAAAATATCTTCTTAGATGCCTCAAAGATAAAACATATAGGCAGCCAATTCCAAATACTTTTGGTAGATATAAAATTAGAAACTGTGTGACCTATTTAATGAATATAAGCATCCAGGGGCAACAGATATAGTTAACAACCCATAATGAGATTTCCTCTTGGTTGTTTTTGCCAAGAAGATAAATTTCCAGTAAAATGTCAAACAAGGTTACCATTTAAATAGCAATGCTAATAATTACATTCTGAGCTCTCACCTCAATGAATGGCATAATTTATTTATTGCACATTTCCACTGTGTTAAGAAAATGGTTTTGTTCCTATGAGGGCTCTTGATTAACATTTTTGAAATTTTGATTAGCAATTAGCTTTAATGGAACAACTTAAATCATTTTTTATGGAAGGGATTTTTTGAAACAAACAAACATGATTCCTTCTATTATGTAGATATCTGTCCTGGGACACCAGTCATCTCCTGAATAACACTGTCAGCTAAAATTACACAATTTCCAGCAAAAAGAAAAAAAAAGATTCCCACGGATAACCGTGAGTTTTTTTTCTGTTTGTTTTATTAGTGGCTGGACTTCAGTACCTACAATTCTTACCTAATGTGTAATCTCTGAGGTAAATAAATAACTTTAATGTACAATCTTGTATGTTTTAGTTTAATATCCTAAGTGTAGAGACCAGAATACACTTGTGTTTGGCAGATATCAAGAAATTCTAAATTATTTGCATTCATCACCATACATATTAACAAATTGCAAAAAGATCACATGTAATAGCTACAAAATTTATTATATTATAAGAAAAAGCTTTCAATTTGGGTAAGAACTCCAAAATAGAAACTATATGGAAATAGAAAGTCAGAAGATCAGAGGCTACATGTATCAAACCTAACACAAATCTGGAATTGTGTTAATAATTAGAACTGGAGAATATTAGCCTTAAAAAAGTGTCCACTCGCCTATCCAAAGTAAAAACAAAAACAAAAACAAAAACTAAAATGTACCTACCATCCTCCCTAAAAGTTTCCAGCTGACCTTTTCTTAGTACCAGTGATTGAAAACTTGTTGAGGAAAGAAACTTTAATCATCTAGCTTGCAATGCCAAGAAGACTTTTAACCTAGATAGTACTGAATAATAAGCCAGATTGATAGAAAATATTTACAACACATTTATTTGACCAAAAACTTTTACTTAGAATCTATGAAGAACTTTTACAAATCTATATTGGCAAGAAAACAATCAAAAATGGTCAAAAGTCATAAAAATATACTGGACTAAAAAAGCAACAAACGTCAATAAGTGCAATAGTCACCAGGAAATGCTAATTAAACCAGAATGAAATGCTGTTTCTCACCCCCTGAAACAGCTAAACCATGAAAAACAGATACTTCTAAGTATGACAACTGTATGGAATAAATAAGCGTCCCATATATTGCTCATGGGAGAGTAAAATAATATGATCACTTTAGAGACCTGTTTGACATTTTGTTATAAATTTAAACATATATCCACTCAATGCCCGAACAATTCAACTACTAGATATTTATCAAAGAAAAATGAAAACATATACTTATAAAAAGAGTTATTAATTACAGCTTAAAATTGGAAACAACCTAAATGTCTATCAAGAAGAAAAATGTATGCATATATTACAGTTTATTCATACAATGCAGGGCCAAGACCAGAGTAAGACAAGGAAGGTATGTGTGTGTATGCCCATAAGTGTGTGTGCATGAGTGTACGTGTTTACATAAATGTGCATATATAGGGACACACATACAAATATATGATATAAATTTATTGTGGCTAGCTACATAACTTACAGGTTGCAAAATGGAAAAATGAATCCTCTTGTTCAAAAGGCAGAAGTGTAAGTGCCATTATTGTTCATTTTTGTGTTGCACAAAGCTATTTTTAAGTGCCAATAAGAGCATGTGGTAGAGTATGTGGAATTACTGAAATTACACAGCTCTTATTTCATAACTGAGCTATGCATATGAATTTTGTTCTTACCAGAATGATGGAAATGTACATTAATTCAAATGTATTTATTTCATTTGGATACAGGCATATTTAACCAATACTTACTACCTTCAGCTTATTGATTTATAAGGACTAATTGAAGAAAAAAGAATTATGGGTTGTCCTATCTTTTCAGTTCTTTCCCATTCAGTGTCACCATTTTTAGCATAAGGTGTTGACTAGTAAAGGGAAGTAGGACTCCAAAGAAAGGTTACATTAGGGTTCCTTGGTTGCCCGTGTTTCGTAAAATGCCATTGCTTACTTTTGGCGTGAAATGTGAATGGAGTGGCAAGAAAAGGCAGCAAACGTGCATATTTCATGTTTCTCTTCTGCTAATGTGCATGCTCCATTGTCCCATTGGACTTCACCTACAAATCATAAGTTCAAAGATAAAATTATCAACAGTTTTCAAGATGGCAACAGCAGAACATTAAGCCAAACATAGATCCTTCTGAACCTGGAACCATTTGAGACTATATATGTGGCATATGCAAAAAGCCAGCCTTTATCAGTTGAATACATAGATGATAGATAGATAGATAGATAGATAGATAGATAGATAGATAGATGATAGATAGATAGACAAATATTGAGATAGATGAATGATTGATTAGTCTATATTAGCAAAGCACCCTTTAAAAGGTGATATGGCTTGGATTTGTGTCCCTGCCCAAATCTCATGTTGAATTGTAATCCCCAATGTTGGAGGTGGGGACTGGTGGGAGGTGATTGGATCATGGGAGTGGAATTCTCCCTTGCTGTTCTCCTAATAGTGAGTTCTCACAAGATCTGGTTGTTGAAAAGTGTGTAGCACCTCCCACTTTCCTCTCTTTCTCCTTCTCCGGCCGTGGAACACATGACTCTGTCCTCTTCATCTTCTGCTGTCTTTGTAAGTTTCCTGAGGCCTCCCCAGCCATGCTTCCTGTACAGGCTGTGGAATGGTGAGCCAATTAAACCTCTTTATAAATTACCAAGTCTCAGGTAGTTCCTTATAGCAGTGCAAGAACGGACTAACACAAAATGTAAAAGAGACTTCAGAGGAGAAACATGATGAGAAGTAATCAAAATCTGAATATATCTTGATGAGTCGAAAGAGCTTGGTTGTGGGCTTTATGAGGAAAAGATAAATCAAAAGTGACTCAAGGTTTTTGGCCTGAGAAACTAGAAAAGTAGAGTTATTATGTAATGAAATGGCAGTGACTACAGGAGGAGGTGGTTTCAGAGATGAGAGAGATCAGAAGTTCAATTTTGGATGTACTAAGTTTAAGTGCCCATTATACATCCAAGTGTAAATGTCAATTAGGCAGTTGGATATGTGAGTCTGGAGAGCAGGGAAGACATCTGAGCTGGAGATTTAATTTGAGAGTAGTCAGCACACTGGTGACACGATATTTAAAGCCGTGAGAAGTGAGAAAAGCTGATGCAAGAAGTAAGTGTAGATGGAGAAGGGAAAGGTGTGAGGACTGAGCCTTGGATCACTTCACTATTTAGAGATTGAAGAAATGACGTGTGACCTACAATGGAAACTTCAAAATTAACTTTGGCAAATGACTTAATATCTCCAAACATTTTTTAGTTAACTGTGAAGTAAGGATATTGATACCTACTTCTTAGGATTGCTGGAGAATAAAAGATACAAATAATATTATCTAAACTATCCAGAATACACAACAAGATTGCCTTCTCATTCTAAGTGTAGTGTTTCTTTTCTCTGGTTCATTTCCCGTCCTTTCCCCAAAGGTCTCAAAACAAACAAATAGACAAGCTTATTTATTTACTTATTTGTATCACTTCTATTTGCTTTCTTAATGACCTTCCCTACTGGTCACTTGCCCAGGACAGGAAACATGACTTATTTATCTTGGTGAGTACATTAAACACATTGGCTCACAATGAGGTTTTTTTATACTGTCCAAAGCAACATCACTTCACAGTTCTTAAGAAGTCAGTACAATCAGGAATCTGACCTATAAGAAACATTGTTTTACATTTCTTATAGTTATGTTTCCTTTAACTTGGTGAACTAAAAATAATTTGAGAATGAATTTTTCATATTTTTCTTCTTCAGAGCTAAGAAGAATAACAGTGAAAAATTTAAATATGATAGCACCTATGGGAAATAAGTAACTCTTCTAACCTACTCTAATATCTAAGTTGAAAACTAAATGTTCTTTGGCATTCTGTAGGACTTACAAAATGTCAAGATAGCCTCCACTCTGATTATTCATAAATTTGAAGTGCCTCCATTTAACATTCAAGCTTGCAAAGTACCTCTCTCTGGTTTTAGTGGAAAAACAGAGCTTTTTACATTAATGATAACTTATATACAATTGTGTTAAAGGGCTTTAACTGAATCCAGGGAGAAAAAAATGTACATCTAACCCTATTCAGAGCTGCCGAGGCTCTGATTTGGGTTATATATAGCAAAGTCAAAAAATCACATAAATTTTAGCTAAATCATTTTCCTTTCTTGCACAGCTGTTCTCATTGGCTAGCCATTGAAAAGATGCAAAACTTCCTATTATCTAAGAGTCAAAAATTGACCCTAATGTTTCTTTCAGTGTTTGATTAAAGAGGTATGCTCTCAAAGAGTATGAAACTGGGAAATACTGGCCGTTCTAGGGATGATGTCAGAACACAAACTGGAAAAGAAGAAACCATTCTGAATGTATAAACCAGAGGGAATGAAATGCAAGGAACCAGCTAGATTAATGATGAAACACTCCAGAAAACAACCAGGCCTTGGCTCTTAGATGGCATTTTGGGACATGCCCTGGACCAGAGTGGAAGCTCACTGCCCTAAAGGGTGAGTCCCAGGTCAGGCAGCATTCACCACAGAATTAAATTAATACCACAGAATTTAATTCTGTGGTATTAAAGGGATACCACAGAAATACACAAGTTCTTTAAATGCCACTATGAACAAAATCTATGAGATGCCTGGGCTGGCTTTGCAATTCCACTGTTCTAAAATATGTAGTCCAGAGGCCTGAAGATCATGCAGTCCAGCAGCCTGAAGTTCATCCAGTCCAGTCTACTACTACTGGCACTAGAGCACTCCTCCCAGAGGCCATAGGTTGGACCCACCCACCCTGCTATTACTACTACAGCTGCACTCACCTGCATGTACTACTTGCAGGCCTAGAGATGACTGGTTAATTGATAATCAGTGAACAGGAGACAATAAGGCAACCCAGAGATTAACAACAATAGAAGTCCCTACATTCTCCACTACTACACTAAAGAGACAAATTAAGAAGGTGGTTTTTACCAGGGATCAAGAACCAGGATTATCTAGTGGAATCTAGGGCTGTGTTCACACTGACTTGTCAGCACATCCTTTCTATATAGGACAGTGATTATCAAATTTTATGTACATAAATGTTACATGAGCAATTGCTTAAAATGCAGGTTCCCAGAACTCACCACCAGAGATTCTGTTTCAGTAGAATCTAGTGGTATTAATCCCAGGAACATGTAAAACAAATGCCCCTTGGTGATTTTAATATATGTGGTCCCGGGGTCACATTTGTAAGTGCATCGTTCAGGAGAGATTTTCATGGAAGGACAAATCATAGCAAAACTGCTATTTGGAAAGAAATCAGCCCAATGTTGGGTGAGAAGTGATGGAATCAGAAAATGTTCTGAATGCATTAATTTTATGTTTCCATTAATGCCTTTCTCTTCCATTGCTTTTCTTAGACTCTATGCTGATCACATTCTACCCCTCTCAAAAAAAAATTTGAACTTAAAGGTATATACTAATTAGGATTCTTTAAGATTGCAAGTAATAGAGACAGATTCAGGTTGCCTCAGGATTTTGTACCAAGTAACTGAGGAGTAAAAAGAGCAAAGAAAACTATTTTAAATGACAGCACAGCTGCTTCTGTAAAACTGAGATTGTAAACCATTATTTAGGACATTATATTTAACGTCAATTCTGGTGACCCAATAGAAGGTCTCATGACCTCGTCTTTTTTATACCCTCAGATACATGAGGTTTGCACCTCTACTTCCTTAGTCACTCTTATGACTCAGTTTTCTTATTACCTCCTTCTTTTTGTGTGCCTTTTTCTCTAACTCCACATCCTCCTCAAATGATTCATTCATTGCTAACTCTGAACTTAAAGCTATTTATCTCTTTGCATTCAAAGATGCCCAAAAATGTTGCAATCAAGTAAATGAGATAATGAGATAGTATCCTATATGGAGCCTATATTCAATAGAGGTCTCAGATTTGTTTAGGTTCTTCAGCAAGAATCATATTCCAGTCCTGCTTTAAGACTGCATGCCTCAATATTTCTTCACATGTTATTAATGGACAGTCACTCAAGTAATTTCAGCACATGATGAATTTTACCAATTTCATTTTGATTTTTTTCTAAAGTCCATCTCAAAATTATGAATACTTGACTGTTAAACACATGTGCTCACCAAATATTCAATACAGAAAATGAATTATCTGCTACTCAAATATTTCTACTAAAGATGTTTTCATAATATTATCTGTTTGCTTAATCTGTCATTGCAGATCATTTATCATTCCAAGAATCTTTCTAAGAAGCTAGCAACTGCTTCACTAAAACATTAATTAATACATACTAATGATGTCTGAAAGATATGTAGAATATATATAATCATCTATTCTTTCTCCAATAGAATAGCTACACAAATATTTAAAAGCATCTATTATGGCTCTCTGAAGTCTTTTTTTTTTTTTTTTTTTTTTTTTGAGGCAGAGTCTTGCTTCATCGCCCAGGCTGGAATGCAGTGACATGATCATGGCTCATTGCAGCCTCGACCTTCTGGGCTCAAGCAATCCTCCCACCTCAGCCTCCCAATTAGCCAGGACTACAGGAACACTTCATCACACCCAGCTAATTTTTGTGTAGATATGGGGGTCTCACTGTGTTGTCCAGGCTAATCTCAAAATCAAGCAATCCCCCCAACTCAGCCTCCCAAAGCATTGGAATTAGAGGCATGAGCCACTGCACTCAGCTCTCTTAAATCTTTTTATCTCCAGACTAAATTCACCAAGTTCCTTTAATCTTTCCTCATGGGTCAGAGTTTTCAGACACTTCATTGTTCTGAACATACACTTATTTGCCAATGACTCTGTTACCTTGTGGTGTATAGTGTTAGAGAAAATATTTCAAGTGTGAATGCTTAGTAGATGGGGGTCCATTCTTTATATGGACATGATATTGGATTGATACAACTTACTACCATGTCATGATAATATTTTTAGCGGCATGATCAGGGTGTTGACACATGCTGAACTTATCATGGTCAACAAAACACAAGACTTTACTATGATAGTACAAAGGTACTATCATACTGTTTCTTCCTAGTCATTACCTACACAATCATTGTTTTATCTTTACTAATAAAGGCATAAATTGGCATTTGTTTCTCTTAAATTTTCTATTAATTTTATTCTATTACTGATTTTTGTAAGAGTGATTTGAAATATTAAATCATTTAATTTTAGAACCAAAAATACATTTTCATCTGCAGAGTCAAAATAACCAGAGTTGACAAGATAATCTCTGTAGTCCAGAGTTATTTGACCTGCCCTATGCATCAATTCTGTAGTTCTCTAATCCTATACATGGGTTATCTAAATATCATAACTGTAACTAGTGAAACTAATTTGGTTTCCAGTTAGCATTCACAGCCACATGCATGATTCTGGAGGAGGACATAATGTTAAGTAAAAAAGTTAGACACAGAAAGATAAATGCTGCATGTTCTCATTCATATGTGGGAGCTGAAAAGAAAAATTTAGCTCATGGAAGTAAATAATATTATTGTGGTTATTAGAGGCTGGAAAGGGTAGGGGAGAGGTAGGAAGAGTATGATTAACAGATACAAAACCATAACTAGATGGGAGGAGTATGTTCTAGTGTACTATAGCACCTAGGGTGAATAGGTGTAACAATAATTTATTGTTTATTTTCATAAGCTAAAATAGAGGATTTTGAATATTCACAGAACTAAGAAATAATAAATGTTTATGGTGATAGATATGCCAGTTACCCTAAATTAAGCATTACACATTGTCTGCATGAATCAAAATATCACTCTCTATCTTATAAATAGATAATTTATTTATATAAATAGATAATTTATTTTTCATTTATTTGTAGCTGACAATTATTACATGTCAGCTACAAATAAAGGAAAAATGTATAAAAAGAGAAAAAGACATTAAATGAGTATAATATACAGCAAAAAGTGGAACAGAATGCATATGACTCTTTGAGCTGTAGAATATATATTCTACCATATATCTCGATCACAACAGATGAATGAATAAACATAATAGGGCATATACATACAATGGAATAGTAGCAGCCTTAAGAAGTAAAAACATTCTGAGACATGCTAAAACATAGATTAATCTTGAATACCTTATGCTAATAAGTGAAATAAGCCAGTCACAAAAGACAAATAATGTACAGTTCTACTCATATGAGGTGCTTAAAGTCATCAAATTCATGGAGACAGAAAGATGATGATTGCCAGAGGATGGGGTCATGGGTAATGGGGAGTTGTTTAATGAGTATGATGCTTCAGTTTTGCTAGACGAAAAATAGTCTGTGGATGGATAATGATGGTGAGTGTTGCACAACAATGTCAATTTACTTAATGCTACTGAACTGTACAATAAAAATGGTAAAAATGATAAATTTCATGTTATGTACATTTTACCAGCGTTTTCAAAAATACTCTTCTAGACATTGGCCTGGACAAATAATTTTTATTAATAGCTCAAAGCAAATGCAACAAAGTTAAAAATAAACAAATGCGATTCAATTAAACAAAAGAGCTTCTGCATAGCAAAAGAAGCTCTAAATAGAACAAACAGACAACCACAGAATGGGAGTAAATATTTGCAAACTATACATTCAATGAAGGACGAATATTTGAATTTATAAAGAACTTAAATGAATCAACAAGAAAAAAGCAAAGAACTCTGTTAAAAAGTGGGTAAAGGATATAAACAGACACTTCTCAAAAGGCATACATACAGCCAAGAAACATTTAAAAATGCTCAACATCGCTAATTATCAAAGAACCACAAATCAAAACCACAATAAGCTACTATCTCACACCAGTCAGAATGGCAATTATTACAAAGTCAAAAATAACAGAAGATGGCAAGGCTGTGGAGAAAAGGTAATGCTTATGCACTTCTGGTGAGAATGTAAATTAGTTCAGCCAATGAGGAAAACAGCCTGGAGATTTCTCAAAGAATTAAAAATAGAACTAACATTAGACCCAGCAGTTTCACTACTGGGTATATACCCAAAGAAAAATAAATTATTCTACCAAAAAAGATATATTCACTTGTATGTTCATTGCAGCATTATTCACAATAGTAATGACATGGAATCAACCTAGATGCCCATCAGTGGGTGTGCTGGATAAAGAAAAATTGGTACATATACATAACGGGTTACTATGCAGCCATGAAAAAAAAAAGCAAAATCATGTCCTTTGCAGCAACATGGATATAGCTGCTGGCTGTTATCCTAAGCAAATTAATGCAGAAACAGAAAACCAAATATTACATGTTCTCATTTATAAGTGAGCCGAGATCGTGCCACTGCACTCCAGCCTGGGCGAAAAAGTGAGACTCTGTTTCAAAAAAAAAAAAAAAAAAAAAAAAACTTCCTATTGACTATGTGATGGGATCAATAAAACCCAAACTAAAAAAATAACTTCCCTATCTAACTATGTGATGGGATCAATAAAGCCCAAACTTCAGCACCACACAATATGCCCTCATAACAAACCTGCACATGTACCCCCGAGTCTAAATAAATATGGAAATTAAAAATACTACTAATAAATAAATAATAATTGAAGCCACATGGTGGCTTATGCTTATAATCCCAGCAATTTCAGAGGCCAAAATGGGAAGATTACTGCTTGAGGCCAGGAGTTCGAGACTAGCCTAGGAAATATAGTGACAGCCTGTGTATAACAAAAAAAAAATCTGAAAATTAGCCAGTTGTAGTGGTGGACACCTGTAGTCCCCACTACTCAGGAGGCTGAGGCAGCAAAATCCCTTGAACCCAGGAGTTTGAGGCTGCAGTGAGCTGCAATTATGACACTGCAGTTCTGGCCTGGGCAACACAGCCAGATCCAGTCTCGAAATAGTAATAATAAGAAACAATTTTTAAAAATAAAACTACAATTAAGCTGATATCTGACATGTTAGAATCAAATCATGTTCTTAATTTTCTTTACACCTTTTTAAGGTATGATCTTTCCATGGCATGATCTAAAACCATTTTTCTTACACTTGGTTTAAGGACTTCATTACACTCTTCAAAATTATTGAGGGGACTTCTGTATCTGGTCAAGATGGAAACAGGTAAATCCACTATAAAATATCTTTTTGGCCACAAAACAAGTCACAATAAATTTAAAATCATATAAATTATATTCTCTTACTAAAATGGAGTTAAATTAGAAATCAATAACTAAAAGTTATCTGAAATACCCCTTAACTACTTGCTAACTGAACACTTATTAACATCCCATGGTTTGAAGAAGAATTGAAAGAGAACATTAGAGAGTATTTTGAACAGAATGAAAATGGAAACAAAATATACTAATATTTATAGATACAGCTAAAACAATATTTAGAGAGAAATTTATGGCACTAAAACACACACATTTAAAAGAAAAAAAGTTTCAGCTTAGCTTCTACCTTAATAATAGAGAAAACAACATACTAAACCCAAAGTAAGCAGTCAAAAAAATAAAATAAAGACAAAAAATAAAGACCAAAAAAAAGATGAAGTAGAAAACAGATAAAAACAATAGAGCAAAGTCAATGAATTTGTTTAACTTTTAAAAAAGTAAGAAAACTCCATCCAGACTAATCAGAAAAGAGAAAATATGCTAATTAACTATGTCAAGGTTGAGATAGGTGATGTCACCAAAAAACTGACAGATATTACAATTACAACTTTATGCCAATGAATTTGACATCTTAGATAAAATTAACAGTTTCTTAAAAGACATAAATTACTAAAGTTCACTTCAGAACAATTAGATAACCTGCATATTTCTATACCCATACAATCACTGCCCCACCTAAACTGACACTACATGGTGGCCTGGGGATCATCCCATCACTGCCTACTACAGCCATTACCTGCATGTACCACCATAGGACCTAAGGAAAAGAATGCCTGAGCTGGCTTTGCAATCCACTGTTCTAAGATATGCAGTCCAGGGGCCTGAAGATCATGCAGTTCAGGGGCCTGAAGTTCATCCAGTCCAGTCTACCCCTACTGGCACTTTAGCACTCCTCCCAGAGGCCGTAGGTTGGACCCACCCACCCTGCTATTACTACTACAGCTGGCACCCAATTGCATGTACTACCTGCAGGCCTAGAGGAGACTTAAAATCCCATCACAGCCATCACCAACACCAGCAAGCACCACTCAAGACCCAGTGGTCACTGCCACTGACATCACTCATGCCACACCTGCGGTCCAGGGGCTGTAAAGCTGCTCATCCATCTGGCCCATCACTACCACTAATACCTTCTGAGCAAGCCACCTGGAGGCCTAAGAATTGACCTACCTGGATGTACTAACACTGATACCAGCATATGTCACTCTGGTGCCCAAGGACAGACACAGTCAGCCCACTGTTGCCACCACTGGGACTCAAAGTCTGGCCCACCTAGTGCCCCAGTCCCCAACAAAGCTTCACTACAGCCACCACTAAAAACTGTACCCTATCCCACCAAGGAAATCACAGACACCACAGATGCTATTTACATCTGAGAAATCATGCAGAGACTACACTACTCATGCACCTAGAATCAAAGACAAAGTGCCATATCCAGCGAACACCATAGATACATCTTCAGGAAAAAGTCTTCCTCTACTAAAGCAAATTCAAAAAATAGGGAGAAATGACTGTTTCACCAGATGCTCAGATATCAATATAAACACACAAGAAACATAAAAAGGCAAGAAAATATGACACCACCAAGTGAACACAATAATTCTCCAGCAACAGATCCCAACTAAAAATAAATTTATGAAATCCTGGAACGAGAATTCAAAATATTGATTTTAAAGAAAGTCAGTGAGATAAAAGAGAATGCTATAAACAATACAAAAGTCAGAAAACCAATTTAGAAAGTAAATGGGAAATTAGCAAAGGGATAGATATTATTTAAAAGAATCAAACAGAAATTCTGGAACTAAATAATTCATTCAATGAAATACAAAATATATTTTTAAACAACAACAATAGATGAGATCAGTCAGAAGAAATAATTTCAGAATGTGAAGACAGGTCTTTTGAAATAACCCAGTGAGACAAAAAATGGAGACCTGGGAATCATGCCATCCCTGCTTAACACAGCCAGCTCCTATATGTATACCACCAGGGTGCCAGAGGACAAAACACACAGCCTGGCTTTGCAACTCCTTTGTGCCAAAGCATGCTGTCCAAGGGCCTTGGAATTGCCCAGCCCAGGCTACTACTGAGAAAAAAGAATTAAAAAATTAAAAAGAACAAAAAAGAATGAACAAAGACCACATGAAATATAGAATATCATAAAGTAACCAAATGTTTGAATTCGTGGAGTCCCAGAGGCTAAGAGAAAGCACTAGTGTTAGAAAACATTTTTTAAAATACATTAAAAGCTTTCCAAGTCTAGCAGGAGATTTAGACATCCAGATATAGGAGGCTCAGAGACCCCCAAATGAATACAATGCAAAAAGGTCTTCTCCATGATATATTATAGTCAAACTGTCAAAAGTCAAAACCAAGAACAGAATACTAAAAACAGCAAAAGAAAAGCATCTAGCCATCTATAAAGAAATCCTCCTTAGATTAACAGTGGATTTCTCAGCAGAAACCTTACAGGCCAGGAATGAATGGGATGATATATTTAAAATGCCAAAAGAAACAACTGGCAGCCAAAAATAGTATATTCAGGAAAGTTACTCTTCATGAATGAAGAAGAAATAAAGTTTTTCCCAGATAAGCAAAGGCTGAGGCAATTCATTACCAATAGACCAACCCTACTAGAAATGCTTCAGGAAGTCCTACACCTGGAATTGAAAAAATGATATCTACTATGAAGAAAACACACGAAAAAATTGTTTCAAACACTGGTAGAGCAAACACACAAGGAAGAAAGAGAAAAGACTCTAATGTTAGCATTATAGAAATCACTAAATCACAATAATAAACAATAAAAGAGAGAGAGGAGAAAAAATGTTATATAAAACCACCAGAAATCAATTAATAAACCACAAGAACTAGGCCATCAGATATTAGTAATAACCTTGAATGTAAACAGATTAAACTTGCCACTTTAAAGATAGATTGGATGAATGAATTATCAGCCATGACCCAACAATATTCTGCCTACACAACACATCCCACTTGTAAGATACATATAGAGAGAAAGTAAAAAAATGGAAAAAGGTATTTCATGCGAACAAACACCAAAACCAGCAGGGGTATACTTATATCAGATAAAACAGACTTTAAGTCAAAAGCAGTAAAATAAAATACAAGAAGGTCATTATATAACAATAAAGAGATCAATTCAGCAATAGACTATAACAATTCTAAACATATATTCACCCAACACCAGAGTACCCAGATATATAAAGCAAATATTACCAAATTTAAAGGGAGAGGTAGACTCCGATACAGTAATAGTGAGGGAGTTCAACAGCCCATTCTCAGCCCTAGACAGAATATCTAGGCAGAAAATTAAGAAGGATGCATTGGATTTAAACTGCACCTTAGACCAAACAGATATTTACAGAATATTTCATCCAGCAGCTATGGAATACACATTTTTCTCATGAGCACATGGAATATTCTCCAGGATAGGAAATATGTTAGGCCATGAAACAAGGCTCAACAAATTTTAAAAATCAAATGAAATATATTTTCAGATCACAATGGAATAAAACTATAAATCAATAACAAGAGGAACTTTGAAAGCTGTATAAATGCATGGAAATTAAAGCATATGTTCTTGAATGACTATTAAGTCATCTAAGAAATTAAGGAGATAATTTTAAAAATTCTTGAAACAAATGAAAATTGAAACAATACAGGAAAACCTGTGAGATATAGCAAAAGGAGTGTGAAGAGGAAAATTTATAGCAATAAAAACACTGAATCAAAAAAGTAGAAAATTTTAAAATAAGCAATCTAACAATATACCTCAAGGAGCTAGAAAAGCAAGGACAAACCAAAGCCAAAATTAATAGAAGGAAAGAAATAATAAAAATTAGCACAGAACTAAACAAACAAACAAAAAGACTAAAAGAACAAAAGTTCAATAAAATGAAAAGTTGGTTTTTTGAAAAGATAAACAAAACCAATAAACCACTTGCTATACTAAACAAGAGAGAGAGACCCGAATAAACAAAATCAGAAATGAAAAAAGGAGACATTACAACTGATACCACAGAAATACAAAAGTTCTTTAAATACCACTGTAAACAACAATATGCTAACAAACTGGAAAACCTAGAAGCGGATAAATTCCTGGGCACATACAACCTACTATGATGGAACCAGGAAGAAACAGAAAACCTGAACAGACTGATATGAGTAATGAGATTGAATTGGTAATAAAAAGTCTTCCAACATAGAAGGGTTCAGGACTGAATGACTTCACTAACAAATTCTACCAAACTTTCAAGGAAGAATAAACACCAATTATTCTCAAACTATTCTAAAACATTGAAAGAGAGAATTCACCCTAGCTCATTCTACAAGGCCAGCATTTCTATACACCAATAATGATCCAGCTGAAGACCATATCAAGAAACCAATTCTATTTATAATAGCTAAAAAAATAAAATAAAATACCTGGGAGTAATTTAACCAAGGAAGTGAAAGATCTCTACAAGAAAAGCTATAAAATTCTAATGAAGTTGAAGAAGATAAAACAAAAAACAAATACATCCTATGCTCATGGATCAGATGGATTAAAATTGTTTAAATTATCATACTGCCCATAGAAATCTACATATTTAAATGCAATTCCTATTAAAATACCAATTCCATTTTACACGGAAATAGAAAAAGTAATTCTAAAATTTGTAAGAAACCAAAAAAGAGCCCAAATAGTCAAAGCAATCCTGAGGAAAAATAAAAAAGCTGGAGGTATCATGCTAACCAACTTCAAAATATATCACAAGACTGTAGTAACCAAAACAGCATAGTATTGATATAAAAACAGAGACACATACATATAGATCAATGGAATAAAGATAGAGTCTAGAAATAAATACGCTTATTTGCAGCCAACTGATTTTTTACAAAGATGCCAAGAACATGCATTGAGGAAAGGATGCCCTCTTCAATAAATGGTGCTGGCAAAATTGGATATCCTTGGGCAGAAAGATAAAACTGGACCCCTATCTTTCACCATATACAAAAATCAAATCAAAATAGATTAAAGATTTAAATGTAAGACCTGAAACTATACAATGACAAGAAGAAAACATATAGAGAAAAAACTTCAGGACATTGGTTTAGGCAAAGATTTTGTGGCTAAGGCCTTAAAAGCATAGATAACAAAAGCAAAATAGACAAATGAGACTTTATTAAACTAAAAAATTTCTGTGCAACATAGGAAAAAACAGAATGAAGAGATAACCTGTTGAATGGAAGAAAGTATTTCCAAACTGTTTATCAAATAAGAGACTAATATCCAGAGTATGTAAGAAACTCAATAGTGTCTATAAACAAATAATCCCAGTTAAAAATGGGCAAATAATATGAATAGACATTTCTTTAAAAAAGTTGTTTTGGCCAAGTGTAGTGGCCCACACCTGTAATCCTGGCACTTTCGGAGGCAGAGATGGGTAGATCACTTGAGGCTAGGACTTGGAGACCAGCCTGGCCAACATGGCAAAACCCCATCTCTACTAAAAATACAAAAATTAGCCAAGCGTGATGGTGCATGCCTGTAATCCAAGCTATTCAGAAGGCTGATGCATGAGAATCGCTTCAACCTGGGAGACAGAGGTTGCAGTGAGTTGAGATCACACCGCTGCTCCAGACTGGGTGACAGAGCAAGACTCTCTCTCAAAAAAAAAAAGAGGAAGAAGAAGAAGATTGTATTAAGCCATTCTTACATTGCTATAAAGAAATGTCTAAGATTGGGTAATTTATAAAGAAAAAAGGCTCAGGATTCTGCAGGCTGTACAAGCATGAAAGTGGCATCTTCTCAGCTTCTGGGAGTCCTCCGGGAGCTTTTAATCATGGTGGAAGGTAAAACAGGAGGAATTGTCTCATTTGGCAAGAGCAGGAGCAAAAGAGGGAGAGTGAGCATTAGGTGCCACTCACTAACCTGAGCTCACTCATCACCAAGAGGATAATATTAAGCCGCTCATGGGGAATACACTTCCATGATCCAAACACCTCCCAGAAGGTCCCAACTCCAACACTGGGGGTTATATTTTAGCATGAGATTTGGTAGGGACACAGATCCAAACCATATCAAAGATACAAAAATGGCCAAGAAGTAGATGAAAAAATGCCCAACATCATTAATCATCAGTGAAATGCAAACCAAAACCACGAGATATCATCTTATCCCAGTTAGAATGGTTATCATTAAAAAGGCAAAAAAACAGATGCTGATGAGCCTACAGAGCAAAGGGGACTCATACACTGTTGGTGGGAATGTAAAATACTGCAGCCACTATGGAAAATAGTATGGAGATTTCTCAACAAACTAAAAATAGAACTACCATACAACCCAGCAACCCCACTATTAATTATTCAAAAAAAATCATTATACAAAGGGATACCTGCACTCACATATTTACTGAAGCACTATTCACAATAGCAAAGATATGGAATCAAACTAAGTGTCCATCAATGGACAAATGGATAAAGAAAATGTGGTATCCATACACATTGGAATACTATTTAGCCATAAAAAATGAAATCATGTCAGTTTCAGCAACATGGATGGGATTGGAGGGTCATTATGTTAAATGAAAAAAGCTGGGCACATAAAGACAAACATGTCATGTTATCAGTATATGTGAGAGCTGGAAAAGTTAATATCATGTAGGTACAGAATAGAATGATAGATACCAGAGGATGAGAAGGATGTGTAGGTGACAGAGGCAATGAAGAGAGGCTGGTTAATGGGTACAAATCTACAGGTAGATAGAAGATGTAAGTTCCAATATTGATGGCATAGTAGTATGACTATAGTTAGATACAATGTATTGTCTATTTCAAAGTAGCTAGAATAATGGACTTGAAATGTTCCCAACACATAGAGATGATATATGCTCAAGGTAATGGATACTCCAAATTCCCTGACTTGATCATTACACATCCTGTTCATGTAAGAAATAATCACATGTACTCCATAAATATGTTAAATATATATATCAATAAAAATAATAAATATATTTCAACATAAGGAACTAAAACAATTTGTCATATCAGCAGAAAAAAGCACATGATAAAATTTAAAAATTTAAGGCACATGGCAAAATTTAAAAATTTTAAAAATATTTATTAGCAGAATAGTAATAGAAGAAACTTCCCAACCCAATACAGAGCATCTGTATAAAATTCACAGGTAACATCATACCTACTGGTGAAACACTGAAGGCATTCCTCTTAAGAGCAGAAACAAATCAAGGATGTCCATCTCATTTCTGCTCAATATTTCATTGAAATGTATAGCGATTGTAATAAGTCAAGATAAAGTAATAAAATGTGTTTAAATTGGAAAGGAAAAAATAAAACTGTCTTTTTTATAGAAGAAATGATTGTATACATGTAAGATGAGTAAAATAATGAATAAAATCTACAAAGAAGCTGCTAGAACTAAGAAGTGATATTGTTAAGGTTGGAGGATGAAAAATTCATTTAAAAAGTCAATTTTATGTACTAGCAACAAACAATTGGAAAATAAATTAAAACTGAAATGGAAAGTATGTATACAATAACATCAAAAAATGAAATTATAGTACCTGCCAATATAATAGTTTATTAGGACAAATTATATTTACTAATTTTTTAAAACTTGAAATAGAAAGTTTCTGACAAGGGATAATTGAGCAAGATATGTGAAATAATGCACTTAAAAGTACAAAATATTTCTGGGAGAAATTATAGAAATTGTAGATTATTTGATTTTGTGGACACATAGTAGGCATATCTATTTGTGGGGTATTTGAGATATTTTGATACAGGCATGCAATGTGTAATAATCACATCATGGGAAATGGGGTATTCAACCCCACATGCATTTATCCTTTCTGTTACAAACAATTCAATTATACTTTTTTAGTTATTTTAAAATGTACAATTAAATTATTGATTATAGTCACCCTGTTGTGCTATCAAATACTAGGTCTTAGTTATGGTTTCTAACTCATTTTTTGTACCCATTAATCATCCTCAGCTCCTACCCACCTCCCCACTACCCTCCCCACTACCCACCTCCCCACTAACCACCTCCCCACTACCCCACTGCCTCTTATGACCCTCATTCTACTGTCTCCATGAGTTCAATTGTTTTGATTTTTACATCACATAAATGAGAATGTATGATGTTTGTCCTTCTGTGTCTGGCTTGGTTTATTTAACATAATGACCTCCAATTGAATCCGTGTTGATGCAAATGACAAAATCTCATTTTTTATGGATTAATAGTACTTTCTTTATCCAGTCATCTGTTGTTGGACTTGGGTTGCTTCCAAATCTTGGCTATTGTGAACAGTGCTGTAGCAAATATGGGAGTGCAGATATCTCTTCAATATACTCATTTTCTTTCTTCTGGGTATCTCTCCAGCAGTGGGATTGCTGGATCATATGGTATCTCTATTTTTAGTTTTCTGAGGACTCTCCAAACTGTTCTCCATAATGGTTGTGCTAATTTGCATTACCACCAACAGTGTACTAGGGTTCTCTTTTCTTTACATCCTCATCAGTATTTGTTATTGCTTGGTTTTGGATATAAGCCATTTTAACTGGGGTGAGATATCTCATTGTTGTTTTAATTTGCATTTTTCTGATGATCAGTTATGCTGGATGCCTTTTCATAAGCCTGTTTGCCGTTTGTATGTCTTCTTTTGAGAAATGTCTATTCAAATCTTTGGACAGTTTTAAAAATCAGATTATTAGATTTTTGCCTATAGAGTTGTTTAAGCATCTTATATATTCTGGTTATTAATTTTTTGTCAGATGGATAGTTTGCAAATATTTTCTCACTATGGTTTGGATCCATGCCCAAATCTTTTGTCCAATTGAAATCCCCAGTGTTCAAGGTACGGCCTGGTGGCATGTGATTAGATCATAGAAGCAGTTCTCATGAATGGTTTGGCACCACCCCCTTGGTGCTATATTCTCATGATATTGTAGTGAGTAAGTTCTCATGAGACTGGTTGTTTGAAAATATGTAGCACCTCTCCCCACACACACTTTCCTCCTGCTCTGGCCATGTGAGGTGACTTCTCCCTCTTAGCCTTCTGCCATAAATGTAGGTTTCTTTCCTGAGGCCTCTCCAGAAGCCAAGCAGATGATGCTATGCTTCCTGTACACCCTGCAGAACTATGAGCCAATTAAATCACTTTTCTTTATAAATTACTCAGTAATTACTCATGAAAGGAGTGGGGCATTGCTATAAAGATACCTGAAAATGTGGAAGCAACTTTGGAACTGGGTAATTGTTAGAGATTGGAAGAGGCTGGAGGGGTCAGAAGAAGACAGGAAGATGAAGAAAAGTTTGGAACTTCCTAGAGACTGGTTAAGGTGTTGTGACCAAAATGCTGATAGTGACATGGGAAGTCAAGGCCAGGCTGATGAGGTGTCAAATGGAAATGAGAAACTTATTGGGAACTGGAGCAAAGGTCACTTTTGTTATGTCTTAGCGAAGAACTTGGCTCCATTGCTCCCCTGCACTAGGGATCTGTGGATTTTGAACTTGAGAATGATGATTTAAAGTATCTAGTAGAAGAAATGTCTAAGCTGCAAAAAGCATACAACATGTGGCCTGGCTGCTTCTAACAACCTATGCTCACATGCTTGAGCAAAGAAATGGCCTATAGCTGGAACTTATATTTAAAGGGGAAGCATAGTGTAAAAGTTTGGAAAATTTGCAACCTGGCCATGTAGTAGAAAAGAAAAGCCCATTTTCAGGAGAATTCAAGCAGACTGCTGAGCAACCACTTGCTACATAAATCTGCATAACTAAAAGGAAGGCAAGTGCTGATAGTCAAGACAATGGAGAAAAGGCCTTGAATGCATCTCAGAGGACTTCATGGCAGCCCCTTCTATTATAGGCCTGGATGTTTTGGAGGAAAGAATGGTTTCATGCACTAGGCTTAGGGTCCCACTGCCCTGAATAGCTTCAGGACATTGCTCCCCACATTCTGGCGACTCCAGCCTCAGCACAAAGGGTCATAGATACAGCTTCAGCCACTGCTCTAGAGGGTGCAAGCCATAACCCTTGGCAGCTTTCAGGTACTGTTTAGCCTGTAGGTGCACAGAGTATAAGAGTTGAGACATGGAAGTCTCCACCTAGATTTCAGAGGATGTATAGAAAAGACTGGATGTCCAGGCAGATGTCTGTTGCAGGGGCAGAGCCCTCACTGAGAACCTCTACTAGGGAAGTGTGGAGGGGAACCGTGAAGTTGAAGCCCCTACACAGAGTTCCCACTGGGGCATTCGCTAGTGGAGCTATGAGAAGAGGGCCACCATCCTCCAGACCCCAGAATGGTAGAGTCAACAGCAGCCGATACCCCTCAGACTAGAAAAGCCACATGACTTATATGCCAATGTTGAATGTGGAAAAGGCCTTTGTAGGGGGCAGAACCCTGTAAAGCCACAAGGGTGGGCTGCCAAAGGCCTTGGGAGCCCACTCTTTGTATCAGTGTGCCTTGGATATAGAACATGGAGTCAAAAGTGATTGTTTTGGAGCTTTAAGATTTAATGACTGCCCTGCTGGATTTGATTTGCATGGGGCCTGTAGCCCCTTTCTTTGGGCTGATTTCTCCCTTTTGGAATGGGAGTATTTACCTAATGCTTGTACCACCACTGTATCTTAGAAGTAAATAACTTGATTTTGATTTTATAGGATCATAGATGGAAGGAGCTAGCCTCGTCTCAAATAAGACTTTAGACTTTTGAGTTAATGCTGGAATGAGTTTAGATTTTGGGTGACTGTTAGGAAGGCATGATTGTATTTTGCAATGTGAGAAGGACATACGATTTGGGAGGGGCCAGGGGCAGAATGATATGTTTGTATCTGTGTACTTTCTCAAATGTCTTGTCAAGTTGTAATCCTCAATGTCTGAGGCGAGGTCTGGTGGTAGGTGATTGGATCACAGGGGCACTTTCTTAATAATGGTTTAGAATCATCCCCTTGGTGCTGTTCTCATGATAGTAAGTTCTCATGAGATCCTGTCAGTTAAAACTGTGTGGCACCTGCCTCTCTTTTTCCCTCCTGCTCTGGCCATGTGTGGTGCCTGCTCCCATCACCTTCTGCCATGATTATAAGTTTTCTGAAGCCTCTCCAGAAGCCAGGAAAATGCCTCTATGGTTTCTGTACATCCTGCAGAACTGTGAGCCAATTAAGTCTCCTTTTTTAATAAATTAACCAGGCTCAGTTATTTCTTTGTAGCAAAGTAAGAATGAATTAATATACTGTGCATTGTCTCTTCACTTTGTTGATTGCTTTCTTTGCTGTCCAGAAGATTTTTAACTGGATGTGATATCATTTGTCCATTTTTGCTTTGGTTGTTTTTACCTATGGGAAATTACTCTAGAAATTTTTGCCCAGTTCAATGTCCTGGATAGTTTCCCCAATATTTTCTTGTAGCAGTTTTTTAGTATGGGGTCTTAGATTTAAGTCTTTAATCCATTTTCAATTGATTTTTGTATGGAAAGAGATAGGGGTCTAGTTTAATTCTTCCATAAATGGATATCTAGTTTTTTCAGCACCATTTATTAAAAAGGCTTTTTTTTTTCTCCAGTATATATTTTTGGCACCTTTGTTGAAAATGAGTTTACTGTACATGTGTGGATTTGTTTCTGGGTTCTCTATTCTGTTCCATTGGTCTGTGTCTGTTTTATGCCATTTACATGCTGTTTTGTTTTCTATAGCTCTGTAGTATTATAATTTGAAGTCAGGTAATGTGACTCCTCTAGTTTTGTTATTACTGCATAGGGTAAGTTTGGCTATTCTGGGTATTTTGTAGTTCAATATAAATTTTAAGTTTTTTTTTTCTATTTCTGTGAAGAATGTCATTGGTAGAGATTGCATTGAATCTGTAGATTGCTTTGGGTAGTTGAACATTTTAACAACATTGACTTTTCCAATCCATGAACAGGAAATATTTTTTCATTTTTTGGTCCCCTCTTTAATTTCTTTCATCACTGTTTTATAGTTTTTTATTGTAGAGATCTTTCCCTTATTTTGTTAATTCCTAGGTATTTAACTTGATTGTAGCTACTGTAAGTGGGATTACATTTTTATTTATTTTTCAGATTGTTCACTGTTGGCATATAGAAATGCTACTTAATTTTACATGTTGATTTTGTATTTTGCAACTTTATTGAATTTATCAGTTCTAATGTTTTCTTGTGTGTGTGTGTGTGTGTGTGTGTGTGTGTGTGTGCATCTGTAGTCTTTAGGCTTTTCCAAATATAGTATCATATCATCTGTGAACAAGGATAATTTGACTTTTTCCTTTCCAATTTAGATGCCCTTTGTATTTTTCTCTTGTCTAATTGCTCTTGCTAGGACTTCTGATACTACAATGAATAGCAGTGGTGAAAGTGGGCATACTTGTCATGTTCCAGATCTTAGAGAAATGATTTTCATTTTTTCACCATTCAGTGTAGTACTAGCAGTGAGTCTGTCATATATGACTTTTATTATGTTGAGGTATGTTCCTTTTATACACAGATTTTTTAGGGCTTTTATCCTGAAGAGATGTTGAATTTTAACAATTGCTTTTTTAGCATCAGTTGAAATAATGACATGGTTTTTGTCCTTCATTCTATTGATATGATGTATCACATTGATTGGTTTGTCTATATTGAACCATCCTTGCATCCATTGGATAAATTCAACTTGATCATGATGAATGATCTTTTTAATGTATTGTTGCATGCAGTTTGCTAATATTTTGTTGAGGATTTTTGCATCAATATTTATCAGGGATATTGGCCTGTAGTTTTCTTTTTTTGATGTGTCTTTGTCTGGTTTTGGTATCAGGGTAATACTGGGCATATAATGAGTTTGGAAGTATTTATTCCTCCTCTATTTTTTGAAATAGTTGGAGTAGGATTGGAATTAGTTCTTTTTTAAGTGTTTTATAGAATTCAGAAGTGAAGCCATCCTGGGCTTCTCTTTACTGGGACACTTTTTATTATGACTTCCATTTCATTAATTGTTACTGGTCTGTCAGGTTTTCGATTTCTTCATGCTTCAATCTTGGTAGTTGTATAGTCGATAGGAAACTTGTTAGGCAGGAACGTGTTCATTTCTTCTAGATTTTCCAATATATGGCATATAGTTGCTCATAGTAGCCACTAATGATTCTTTGAATTTCTGCAGTATCAGTTGTAATGTCATTTTTTCATCTCTCATTTTATTTATTTGGATCTTTTCTCTTTTTTTCTTAGTCTGACTAAAGGTTTGTCAATTTTGTTTAACTTTTCAAAAGAACAGCTTTTTGTTTTATTGACTTTTTGTATTGTTCTGTTCATTTCAATTTCATTTATTTCTGCTCTGATCTTTATAATTTCTTTTTTTCTACTAGTTTTGGGTTTGGTTTCGTTTTGCTTTTCTAATTCTTTAAGATACACCATTATGTTGTTTATTTTAGGTTTTTCTTCTTTATTGATGTAGGCACTTACATCTATATACTCAATTCTGAGTACTGCTGTTGCTATATCCTATAGGTTTTGGTGTGTTGTGTGAAATTACATCATTTGTTTCAATTTTTTTTTTCAATTTTTAAAAAATTTCTTCATTGACCCACTGGCCATTCAGGAGCATACTGTTTAATTTCTGTGTATTTGTATAGTTTCCCAAATCCCTCTTATTATTGATTTTAGTTTTATTTCATTTTGGTCAGAGGAGATGCTTGATATTATTCTAGTTTTTCTGAATGCTTTAAGTTTTGTTTTCTAACCTAACATATAGTCTATACTTGAGTGTAATCCATGTGCTGAGAAAAAGAATGTGTATTCTACAGCCACTGGAGAAAATATTCTGTAAATATCTGTTAGGTTCATTTGGCCTAAAGTACAGGCTATATCTGATGTTTCTTTGTTTATTTTCTGTCTGTGAGTTTTACTCATTGATGAAAGTGGGTTGTTGAAGTCTCCAGTTATTATTGTATTAGAGGTCTATCTCTCTTTTTAGTTCTAATAATATCTGCTTTATATATCTCCAAGTGTTGGGAGATATATTTAAAATTATTTAAAATTTTATATTCTTTTACTAAATTGACCCATTTATGAATATAGCGACCTTCTTGGTCAATTCTTCATAGTTTTTGTCTTGAAATCTATTTTGTCTGATATAATAATAGATAATTCTGCACTATTTTGATTTCTATTGGCATGGAATCTCATTTTCCATTCCTTTATTTTCAGTCTATATGTGTCTTTATAGATAAAGTTCAGTTCTTGTAGGCAGCAGATCATTTGGTCTTTTTTTTAAAATTCATTCAGCCATGTAGGTCTTTTGATTAAAGAGTTTAGTTCATTTACATTTAATGTTATTATTGATTACTAAGGACTTACTCTTGTCATTTTGTTATTTGTTTTCTGCTTGTTTCGTGGTGTTCTCTTTCTTCTTTCTTTCCTTCATGTCTTCCCTTTACTGAAGGTGATTTTTCTCTGTTGATATGATTTAGGTTCTTGCACTTTATTTTTTGTGTATTCAAGGTATGTTTTTTGGTTTGAGGTTACCATGAGGCTTGCAAATACTATCATACAAACCATAAAAACCATTATTTTAAGCTGATATTCACTTAATGCTGTTTGCATAAGCAAAAAGAAAACCTAATAAAAACCCCTGTATCTTAACTTCATCTCCCTGTTTTTTGAGTTTTTGTTCTTTCTATTTGTATTTTATTGTACTGCCCATGTCTTCAAAAATTGTAGTTGCTATTTTTGATTGGTTCATCATTTAGTCTTTCTACTTAAGATAACAGTAATTTATACACCAGTTACAGTGTTATAATGTTCTGTGTTTTTTGTGTGTAGTTACTATTACCAGTTTCTATTATAATCTGTTTGTTAAATTTATCTGATAGAATTCTGAATTTCTTTCCTGTGTTATCTTGAATTTCTATGAGTTTCCTCAAAACAGCTATTTTGAATTCTCTGTCTGACAGGTCATATATGTTTCTTCAGAGTTTTGTACCTTCGGATAATTTCTTACTGCTAATTAAGATCTGTTTCTTTCTGATTGAAGTACTTCCTTTAGCAATTCTTGTAGTACAGGTCTGGTGTTATTGAAAGCCCTCAGCTTTTGTCAGAAAAAGTGTTTATTTACCTTCATGTTTTAAGGAGGTATTCACCAGATATGCTATTTTAGGTATAGTTTTTTTTTTCTTAATCGCTTTAAGTATGTCATACTGGTCTCCCCTGGCCTGTAAGATTTCCGCTGAAAAGTCTGCTGCCAGATGTATTGGAGATTCATTATGTGTTCTTTGTTTCCTTTCTCTTACTGCTTTTAGAATACTTTTTTTTTAACTTTGGGAGTTTGATTATTCTTATTATTATTTGATGCAGGGTCTCACTTTGCTACCCAGGCTGAAGTACAGTGGTGCACTCATAGATCACTGTAGCCTCAACCTCATGGGCTTAGGGAATCCTCTGGCCTCAGTCCCCCAAGTAGCCGGGACTACAGACATGTGCCACCATGCCCAACTAACTTCTGTATTTTTTGTGGAGGTAGGGTTTTTACAAGTTGCCCAGGCTGGTATCAAACTTCTGGACTCAAGTGACACTCTCAAAGTGTTGGGATTATAGGCATGAACCACAATGCCTGGTGAAGACAGTCTTCTTTGAGTTAAATGCTCTTAGTGTCCTATAACATTCTTGTACTCGGATATTGATATCTTCCTCTAGGTTTGGAAAGTTCTCTGTTATTATCCCTTTGAATGAAATTTCTATCTCTATTTCTTTCTCTACCTCCTGTTTCAGGCAAAGAACCCTTAGATGTGCCCTTTTGAGGAAATTTTCTAGATCTTGTAGGCATGCTTTATCATTTTTCATTATTTTTTTAGTCTCCTCTGACTGCATTTTCAAATATTCAGTCTTCAAGCTCATTAATTCTTTTTCTGCTTGGTCAATTCTACTATCAAAAGATTCTGATGTATTTTTCAGTATGTCAATTGCAATTTTCAGAATGCAATTTCAGAATGTCAATTTGCAATTTTCTATAATTTGTTTCATTCTTTTTAATTATTTCAATCTCTTTGTAAAATCTATCTGATTGAATTCCAGATTTCTTCCCTGTGTTATCTTGAATTTCTGTGAGTTTCCTCAAAACAGCTATTTTGAATTGTCTATATGAAAGGTCATATATCTGTTTCTCCAGTATTGGTTCCTGGTGCTTTATTTAGTACATTTGGTGAGGTCATGTTTTCCTGGATGGTCTTGATAATTGTAGATGTTCATCTGTGCCTGGACATTGAGTGTTAGGTATTTTTTACAGTCTTCACAGTCTGGGCTTATTTATACTCATCCTTCTTGGAAAGGCTTTTCACACATTCAAAAGGACTTGGGTATTGTAATCTAAGCTGTATCTGCTTTAGGGGACACCTCAAGCCAAGTAACTTCATGATTCTTGCAGAATTATAGAGGTACACCTTGTCTTGAATGGGATCTGGATGAATTTTTTGGATTATCAGGCGGAGAGACTCATTCTTTCTCCTAACTTTCTCCCAAACAGACAAAGCTTCTCTCTGTTCTGGGCCACCTGAAGCCTGGGGTGAAATGACACAAGCATGCCTGTGGCCACCACTACTAGGACTGTGTTGGGTCAGACCTGAAGCTTGCACAGTGCTGGGTCTCGACCAAGACCTGCTTAACCACTCCCTGGCTACTGCCTATGTTCACTCAAGACCTTGTGGCTCTACTATCAGCAGGTGGCAAAGCCATTAGGCCTGTGTCTTTTCTTTCATGATGGCAAGTTCCCCCAGGCCCCACTGAGGTCCAGAAATTCTGTCTGAGAGCCAAGAACTAGAACTAGAGCCAAAACTTTAGATATTTACCTAGCGTTATATTGTATTGTGGCTGTGCTGCTACTCAAATCACAAGATGCAGTTCCTCCCACTCTTCCCTCCCCTTTTTAAAGGCAGTAACACCTCACTCCATGGCCACTGCCACCACAGGCCCACAGGGAGTACTGCCAGACTAATGCTAATGTCCCCTTAACCATTTTCCCATTTAGGAAAAAAAAAAAAAGTGCAGCTCTCTGCCAGAGCTCATTTAACTTTACATAAACATGGTCGTTGGGGCTGAAGCAAATCTGACTGATTTTCAATATAAAAATAAAATATAAAAACTGTTCTTGAAGTTATTTCTAAACAGAACATCAGAACCATCTGAATCATCAGAATCATCTATTTTGGAAAAATCGGATTCATCAAATGAATCTTCAGCCAACAACTGTTCGAGAAAGATGTTAGCATCACCATAGGAATACTACATTTTATAGGATTTGACATTTTCAGCAATCGAGAATTACTATATTTTGTAAATGGAAATACCACTACTAAAAACAGAATGCTATAAATAGAATGATGTCTTTGTTTCCAAAGTCAATACACTAAAGTGATGTGAACATAATAAAAGTGCAGTATTTCATGACAAAGTTATCTTTGGGTAAACACTGTAGCCACAAGTGCCACTAGTGAGTATTCTTGGGGCAAACAGAAAAAAGGTTATGGCCCTTGGGCTCTTAAGTCATCTTGTGGTGAATGCTGCCTGACCTGGGACTCACCCTTCAGGGCAGTGAGCTCCCCTCTGGTCCAGGGCATGTCCCCAAATGCCATCTAAGAGCCAAGGCCTGGAATCGAGGACCCCAAGAGCCCGTTAGAGCCCCAGAGCTCTAATCTCTGTGGCCAAGCTGGTATGTAAGGTGCAAGACAAAGTCTTCTGCACTTTTACCTCTGCTTTTCCCAAGCAGAAGGAGTCTTGCCTCATTATCACCACTGCTGGGAATGTGCTAAGTCTCACCTAAAGTCAGCAAGTCGCAGAGTCTTCCCCAAGGCCCACAATCTGCTACCTGGGTATCACTCTTAGTTATTCAGGGCCCAAGAGCTCTTTAGTTATCAGGTAATGATTTCTGCCAGAACTGGATCATTCCGTTCAAGGCAGCAAGTTCTCTTCTGGCCCAGGGTTTGTCTAGAAATGTCATCCAGGAGTTAGGGCCTCAGAAGGGCACCTTGTGACTCTAACAGGTGCCCTATGCTGCTGTGGCTGAGCCGCTATCCAAAGTGCAAGACAAAATCCTCCCCATTCTTCCTTCTCCTCTCCTCAAGCAGAAAGAAGGGGTCTATTTTGGAGCTACAAACGATGCAGCCTGGGCTTACAGGAGGGATGATTTCAGCACTCTTTTATCTGCCCTAGCTTGTGTCTCAGTATGTCATATGACCCCTCAGTTCACTGGCTCTGGGTCCAGTTCAGCACTTCGACTTATCTAGGAGTTGCAGTTCTTGTTGCATAGGCTGCCTTTCAAGTTTATTTGGTGACCAACAGCACTTTAGCCCACAGTAGCAAGGCTTGTGGGAATTCAAGTTCCAACCACTAGGACCAGTGATTCCCCTCTGTCTAGGGTAGGCTTAAATGCTCCCTCCATGGGTGGGCATCAGCTGAATTTGGTCCAGTCTTACTTTTTGCTATAACAGGGTAGCACTAAGTTCAATGCCTCACATTTGGTTGACTCCCCCTCCCCTCAGTACGCAGAATCACGCTCTGCACCTTGCTGCCACTGCTGGGGTATGACCGAGGGGTAGCATTGGTGATTCAAGACTGTTTTTCCTGCTTCTTCAGTGCATCTTTCATATATAAAAGTTAAAAGCAGGTACTATGAGTGCTTACCTGATTTTTGGTTCTTATGAAGGTGCTTTTTTTTATGTAGATAGTTGTTAAATTGATGTTCTTGCAGGGGGGATAATTAGTGGAGCCTTCTATTGTACCATCTTGCTCTACTCTTCTCTCCAGAAGTGTTAAATAATGGAGAAATGTATTGTGTTCATGAGTCCGAAGATTACATATGGATGTAATTTCTGCCACAAATTCAGTACAATCCCAATCAAAATTTTCGTAGGCTTTTTTTTGGGTAGATATTGATTGCTGATTCTAAGATGCATATGGAAATGAAAGTAGCCAAGAGAAACTCAAGCAACTTTTTTTTAAAAAGAGGAAAGTTTAAGGTCTAATCCTGTCTTATTATTTCCAGACTTATTAAAAGCTACTATAATCAGGATAGTGTGGCATTGGCATGAATATAAACAAATATTTCACTGGAACAGACTATATTATCCAGAAATAGACTCACACATATTTTTTCAACTGATATCAACAAGGCAATTCATTGGAGAAATGATGTCTTTTATAAAGGGCAGTAGCAATTGCATATCCATATTTTTAAAATCAACTTTAATTCTTCTTTTACACCTTAAACAAAAACAAACTACAAATGGATCTTACACCTAAATGCAAAACTTTAAGCTTGGAAACTTCTAGAAATAAAACAAAGTAGAAAAATTTATATGCTTTTGGTTTAGGTAAAGACTTATTAGATGCAACAAGAACAGCAGGATTTTTTTTTTTTTTTTTTTTTTGGTTGAGGGGGACAGAATTTCATTCTTGTTTCCCAGGCTGGAGTGGAATGGGGCGATATCGGCTCACTGCAACCTCTGCCTCCCAAGTACAAGCCATTCTCCTGTCTCAGCCTCCCAAGTAGCTTGGATTACAGGTTTGCACCACCATTCCCAGCTAATTTTTTTCATATTTAGTAGAGATGGGGTTTCACCATGTTAGTCAGGCTGGCTGCAAACTCCTGACCTCAGGTGATCCACCCGCCTGGGCCTCCCAAAGTGCTGGGATTACAGGCGTGTGCCACACGCCCAGCCCCATTTTTTAAAATGTTAAATCAGACCCTATCAAAATTTAAAAACTTCTGTTTCTTCAAAGATACTGTTAAATTCACTTTCAGTAGAAAAACATTGAGAAAACCAGCCACTCTCTGAGACAAAATAGTAGAAAAAATATTATGTATCTGGAATAAATAAGAACTCTCAAAATTTATTGCTAAGAAAACAAGTGACTCAATAAAGAAATTATTTATAACTTACAAAGACACTTCAACAATAAATATATGTAGTGTAAAAATAAGCACATAAAAAACATTCTCACCATCTTTCCATAAAGTAAATGAAAATTAAGACCATTTATGAAAATGATTAAAATTATAAACACTAATCATATTAACTGTTGGTGAAACTATCAAACAAATGGAACTCTCATACACTGTTAAAAGGAATGTAAAATGGTGCAACCACTTTGGAAAACAGTTCAAAAGTTTCTTAAAATGTACATCTACCATATGATCCTTTATTTTTACCCAGAAAGCATATATCCACACAAAGGCTTGTACATGAATGTCCATATCACCTTTATTTTTAGCAACTAAAAGCTCAAAAGTACCCAAATGAACTATTGATACATTTAACAACAAGAATGGGTCTTGAAATAAATTTGCTGACTGACAGAAATCCAGACAAAAAAGAATACATACGCTATGATTCTATATACATAAATTTTTGCAAATGAAACTAGTCTGCAGGAACAGAAAGTACATGTTCCCTGGAATGCTAGGGGACAGGTGAGATAAATGGATTACAAAAGATCATAAGGAATACTTTCTGGCGATAGATATATTTATCTTGATTGTCATGGTGGAGTCTTGATTAATTATGTCAAATTTATCACGTTATTCTATAAATATGCAAATATTGTATTCCAGTTACACCTCCATAAAGTTGTTAATATTATTGTGGAATTAATAGCCATTTGTGTGGATTATAGCTATCAATATTACTGACTAGACTGTTAAAACTAAGAAAAGTTAAAGGTATACAGTGATTTATTTTAAAATAATAATAACTATTACATGCTGGCATAGGTAACATTTTTATGAAAATAACTAAACTTACTGAAAACTGGGACAACAGTTTACAGCTTTGCAAATCTTTTTTTAAGCCTGACAATAGAAGGCAATTAGATCCTCATATGATTTTGCTTTCAATCTATTGGTATATGTTGTACTGGTTGATTAAAGAAAATGCAGACTCACACAGATACATAGTTGAAAAACACAGTAATATTTTAATAGCCTTTTCGAATAATTGTGACCATTATTTGATATTACATCAAAACTCAACAAGTGGAAATTTCTTAAAGGTGTGTTGCAATGTGAAAATTCAAATTATGTCAATACATTTTACATGCCCTATTACATTAAAACCCATTATGCTGCAGTGCACATTGAATGGATTTTATCCATGTGTGGATGGCTCATGGACTATAAATGAGAAAAAATCTTGATTCTCTGAGTTCTGCAGTTCTTTCCAAGTTATAAGTAATTTCATTCTACAATGTCTAAGTAAAAAATTTCAGTTTCATCTTGAGAAAAGAGTCTATTTTTTCCCTATATCACCATTCACTAGGTCTTTGATATTCTGTATAAGTAAGTAGTTACAATCATCCCCCTATGAGTAAATCTCTAACTTCTATCTCTTTATGCTTCTTTTTATACAGGTAGAAACTGTTCTATTACAAAATTAATATTCATATTATACTTATTATGGAATATGAACCCTTCAAGATCTGGTTCCTCAAATACGTTAACAGCCTTCTTACCCTCCTATTTGCTAAACTCAAAGTTTCCAGAATTCAACTTGCTTGTACACATTTTGTCGACTTTCCACACATCCATACATGTATAGGTATTCTTATTCTGGAGAGCTCTTTATCTTCTTGACCAAAGAACTTTTATAGTCTGGTAAACTGAGTTTCTTTGCTGTTATTTGAGACAAGCTTCCTTTACCATTTTGATTGAGATAGGGGGTTCCTTTCATGTACTGACATAATAGCTGATCCTACCACTGTCTTTGTCTTTTTTATGAATTGAGGAAAGGCACTCCTTCCATTTGGGTACAGGCATACACAGGATTTGGCAGCCTGTTGGAACCTTATTCAGTGAGAAATAAGCAGGTCTTTCTCTAGCTGGAAACAGCCTCCAAGTGGGCACAGGGCTAGAAGGAAATAACTGGCTTGAACTTTGATCATCACACATCAGTCATCCAGGAGTAAGAGTCATTGTAAGATGACAGTACGCAAAATCCTTTCTGCCTGTCCCAACCCTCTCACAGCACATTTTCTTTTCATTATATAAAAACATCCCCAGGTAAACTCTAAGCAATTTGAGGGAAGAATCTCTGCTCTACCTGTGTCCCCAGGGTGCAGCACAGAATCTGACACACAGACAGCTTCGCCATATGTATGTTGAATAAGTGAATATTTGATGAAACATATCAAGATGAATATCTATCTACAAGAAAAAACAACGTTCATCGGGGACTTCTCTCTGAGCTCATGTCATGGTATATATGTCTTGTGTCCTTCAACTGTCAAATTCAATACACCATCAATCTTCAGTTGATAGATTAGTGTGGAAATTTGAAGCATTAAAATGAAATTATTCATGGGAAAAGATTTTTTTCTTTTCAAAATAGAAGTGTGAGGCATGAAAAGTACATGAATAAATATATTTGACATATTAATTTGGGTAATAATTGAAGGAGAGAAAATAAAATTTTCAAACCTGCTTCTAGATCATGGAAGGTTCAGAGGGAATGAGATGCTGTGGAAGAGCACACATTGTTAACCTTGATGAGAATGGGTGGGTATGCTGGCTAAGTTCCTTTCTGGCCACATGAATTTGGGCAGATTGGTTATCTTCTCTGATCACAGGTTTGTCATTTGTAAAATAAACGTATCATTACCTCCATTGCAAGGTTGTTGCGAAGATTTAAAAATGAACGATGCATATAAAATACCTAGAATAGTATTCTGAACTTTGCAGGCACTATCTGGTAGTTCTCCACAATTAAATATGAGATATAAATAAGAGAGATATATATCTCATATATGTCTCATATTACATAAGTAAAAGACTCTAAATAATTTTAGATCTGAATGAAGTTCAAAGATGACAATTATTTATTTTCTTGATGGGTTGTATCTGTTTTGGATACTTCCTCATATTTTCATATCAGTGATAAATATATAAAAAGGTGTACATTTAAAAATATTTAAGTCAATATACAGAATTTTAAAAATGGATATTTGCTTCAAGTTGACTCCTGAGGAGCCATTAAAACAAAAGAGAGAGAGAAATGCATAGTTGCTTTATTATTTAATAATGCATTTGGCTTCAGATAAACAAAAACATAACCTACAGCAACTTTGAAATTTGAGTTTTGTTATACGTACCATAAAATCTTGAGAGGAGCAGCCTCGAGCTGGTAAAGAAGCTCAATGTACCAGGAAGGATGCAGGTTCTTTTTATTTCTGACCACCACCACTGCCACTGAACTTTCATCCCACCTTTTTCATCTTTTACAGCTTTCATTCTCATGCTTATTCTCCCTAGTTGGCAGGATAGATTTTACACCCTCAGGGATCACTTGGCTGCCCATAGCTGCAAGGATGAATGGAAGTTTAATTTTTAGCTTTCCAGAACTCATAGTAGAGGAGGGCAAGTGAAGAGATTAAGAAGCATATTGATTGAGGCCAACTACAATATCTTCTACAGCAACGAATCAACCTATGTACACTTAAAGGTTATCATACACATGTTTGAAATTAAACAAATTTATCAGTATTCTACATTATACTTCTTACTTCAATTGGTTTTGTATTTTAACATGAAAAATGTCAATAGCAAAAAATGCACCCTGTTTTAATACTGTGTGTTTAATAAACATGTGTCCTAAGACTTTCATATATAGAAAGTTTGTTGAAAGAGGTATTAGCTTTATTTTATTCACCCCAATAATTCAAATTAGATTTTAACTTACATGAATTACATATTGTCATTGAACAAGGTTTGTGGCAATTATAAAATATCTTAGATTTAAACACTTTAAGTACCTTTTCAAGTAAGACATAACTTTTGTGAACCAGTTGTAAACTTGTAATATGTAGATGGTCTCTTTTACTTTTACTCAATATTTTATAATAATAAATTATTTTGAATAGTGGCAAATAAGAATATGTTATATGTTGTGAAAAGAAACGGAGTTACTAAATAGAATCTGACACCACTAAGTAGGGAATAGATTTGTAAGATCTGAAAGATCTGTCAGTACATCGGAGAGCTCTATAAGTAGGTGTGTCTTTTGTTTTAACATCAAATCTTTAGATGATAATTTACAATATTTTATTTTTTATGTACTTACAAAAGTGATTTTTGATCATTTGTCAAAAACTAATTTACTTTATGCATATTACAGTAAAATTAGGCAAGCTGACTTGAAATAGGACATAACCTTGGAAACTTTCAACATTTTTATATCTTTTTTAGCCAATCAGAATTTTTGTCTTCCTCGCTAATATTCCTGGTATCTGCCTCTTATTTTTAGCACCCATTAACTTAGTTTTTATTGAAGTAAGAAGCACAAAAGTATCATAACTACTTTTATTTTTGTTATTTTAGAGCAAAACCAAATATGTCAAATGAATTCCATTTATCTCATAATAATTTCTTAAAATCAAGATACATTCATATAATTATTTTCTTTGTTTTTTTCTCCTTTTCTATTTTATGCTACATATTTATTGACCTGTTTTTATTCATTTATATAAGTATTTACCACATTTATGAATGTCTGTTTCTTGGACGAAAAAAGACACATGGAGTTGTTGCATTTAAAAGTATGTTTTGGGTACATGTTTGGCTAGTGACATTGATAAGGGATGTCATTTGTAAGAGGATCATGGAAGCCAAGGAGAAGTTACAGAGAAGTAGAAGGGCAGGAAGACAGATGTATTTATTGAGACAGTGTAAAGACATATAAGCAGTATCAGTAATATTTAGTGATAAAAGACTAAAGGATTAACATATAATTTTTGAGAGAAACATACACTTCACATGGTTTGTTCAAAGATGTCACCAATATATTTTTTAAACTTAGAGGGTATTTCTGGATGAGTTCAGGATTTAAATCAGTGAATTTTGGGTAGATTGCCTTTCATAACATCGGTGGGCCCTATTCAATAAGTTGATGGCTGACTAGAACAAAAAGACCAGCCTCCCCAAGCAAGAGGGAGTTCTCCAGCAGACTGTCTTAGGACTTCATCTGCACAGGTGCCTATTCTGGGTCTCTAACCTGCCAGCCAGATTTAGGACATGCCAGCCTCCATAATTATGTGAGCAGTTTCCACGTGATATGATTGTGTATGTACAATATCCAAAAGAATATATAAAATATTATAATTAAAACAGAAACTTTGTAGGATTCCTCTATACAAGGTCAATATAAAAATAAATTGCATCTTTATATACCAGCCATCAAGAATTAGAAACTTAAATTTTAAGAATTATACTGTTTACCATACAATTCAAGATGGACAAGTCTCCTGCAAATAAAACTATAAAATATTAGGGATTGAAATTGAAGAAAAGATGAATATATAAAAAAAAATTCCCAAATTCAAAAAAGGGTATTAGTATTCCCAAGGTATTCTTAGGTTTGATGCAATCAAAATCCCAGAAAGTTTTTAAATATTGATAAGTTGATTTGAAAAATCTTATAGAACTAGGAACAGCCAAGAATAGTCAAAATAATATTGAAAAAGAAAGAAAAAATGTCAGACTCACAATACCATAAGTCAAAAAATATTATAAAGTTACAATAACTAAGACACTATAATAGGATTGATAAACACAACAATTTAATAGAATAGAGTCAAGAAAAACACCCACACATTCATAGTTACAAAAGTATCACTGATGTCCAGTTGGAAAAGGGACCCTTCCCAAAATATAGTACTGGGTTAATTAATTCTCCAGATGCACAAACAACCCATTCTAGATGGATTGTAGATCTATCCATAAAACTTTTAAAAAATTAAAATAAATTAATTGTTGTATTTAATTGGAGAGTCACTAGCCACCTGACTATTTATATTTGAATTAAAAATTAAAACTTCATCCAGGCTCAATGGCTCACACCTGTAATCCCAGTAGTTTGAGAGGACAAGGCAGAAGAATTGCTTGAGGCCAAGAGTTTGAGATAAGCCTAGGAAACATAATGACACTCTTTTGAATTTGGGGTGTCTCTAAACAAAATAAAATAAAAACTCTACAACAAAATATAAAAATTAGCTGGGCACAGTGGCTTGCACTTGTAGTCCCAGCTACTCTGGAGACTGAGGAGGAAGCATCCCTTTAGCACAGGAAGTTGAGGCTGCAGTGAGCCCTGATTGCACCACAGTACCCCAGCCTGGACAACAAAGGGAGAGTCTGTCTCTAAATAAATTAAATAAAAAAATTATTTTATCAGTAGTAATAGCTACATTTCAAGATCCCATTATTCCCATACAGCTAGTGACTACTGTATATAATCAGCACAGATGTAGAATATTTTCCTCATCTTGGAAAGTTCTATTGGTTACATTGGTTCTGGAAAATAACAGTGGAGAATTTCTTCATAAAATTGGTGTAACAAAGATTTCTTAAATAGAAAAGAAAGTGCTAATCTTAAAGACAATTTCAATAATAAATTGAACAACCTTAAAATTAAGAACTTTTATTGATCAAACATATCATTAAGAAAGTAAAAAAGATGACTCAGCAAGTACAAGTAGATATTTTAATTGCATGTATTTGACTAATATTGAAGAGCACATATTTTTTAAATTCTTATAAATCAATAAGAAAAAAATAGTCAACCAAATCAAAAAATAGAGCAAAGACTTGAAAGGACATTTCACACAAAAAGAGATACTAAATGTCCAATCAACATCAAAACTATATTGAAAGAAATATATTTATATATTTATATATGTGAACATATGTGTACCAAAGGACATGAATTAGCATGCGCATGGCAGCACTGTATGTAACAGCTCCAAATCTGAAACATCTCAAATGTATGTTTACAGTTAAATAAGTAAATAAATTGTACTAAATTCATATAATGTAATATGAAACATTAATGAAAATTAATGGATGATTACTACATGTAACTACATGGATGAATATGAATTTTACACACATTATGTTGAATAAAATAAGCCAAACCAAAAAATATGTAATTTATGATTCTACTTACATAAAATTTTAAAACAGAAGACAATTGAGTTTTAAAAATCAGTAAGGAAGTTTTATTTGAGCATAACGATGACTAGGAAGTGGAACAAGGTAGGCTTCTTTATTCTGATTAGGTTATATTTTTAATTTTTTTGTATTTAAATAAAATTTGGTGGCATTATAATATTTATTTAGTTGTGTATTTGTGATTTGTGCAATTTTCTGTATATATATTATACTACAATATAGAGTTTAATAAGATAATTTTTAAAGATACATTGTACATTGGGCCTTAACTCTATGTACAAATGCTTTGATAAAGAAGTTCCACTTGAACACTTAAAAGTTTGTTAAGAGATCTCACTTTGTGTTCTTACACAATAAAATAAAATTTTAAAAAATAATGTTTAAAAACTGATTTAAAATACTCATAGAAAGCAAACAACTTAGAAAACATATTTCAGGATATTGTTCATGAAAACTTTCCCAGACTTTCTAGAGAGGCCAACAGTCAAATTCAGGAAATACAGAGAATCCCTGCAAGATTCTTCACAAGAAGATCATTCTCAAGCCACATAATTATCGGATTTTCCAAAGTCAAAATGAAAGAAAGAATGTTAAAGGCAGCTAGAGAGAAAGGGCAGGTCACCTACAAAGGGAACCCCATCAGGCTAACAGCAGACCTTTCAGCTGAAACCCTACAAGCCAGAAGAGACTGGGGGTCTATATTCAACATTCTTAAAGAAAAAAATCTTCAACCAAAAATTTCATATCCAACCAAACTAAGCTTCCTAAGTGAAGGAGTAATAAGATCCTTTTCAAATAAGCAAATGTTGAGGGAGTTCATTACTACCAGACCTACCTTACAAGAGATCTTGAAAGAAGTACTAAATATAGAAAGGAAAGACCACTACAAGCTAACACAAAAACACACTTAAATACACAGACCAGAGACAATATAATTCAACCACACAAATAAGCCAGTATAGTAACCAGGTAGCAATAAAACGACAGTATCAAATCTATACATAACCTTGAATGTAAACAGGCTAGATGCCCCACTTAAAAGGCACAGAGTGGCAAACTGAATAAAAAAGCAAGACCCAATGGTATGCTGTCTTCAAAAGACCCATCTCACACATGATGACACCCATAGGCTCAAAATAAAGGGATGGGAGTAAATCTACTGAGCAAACGGAAAACAGAAAAGAGCAGGGTTGCAATCCTAATTTCAGAAAAAAATTAATGTTAAACCAAAAATATCAAAAAAGACAAAGAAAGCATTACATAATAATAAAGGGTTCAATTCAACAAGAAGACCTAACTATTCTAAATATATATGCACCCAACATAGGAACACCCAGATACATAAAACAAATTCTTAGAGACCTATGAAGTGATGGAGACCCCCATACAATAATAGTGGGAGACTTCAACACTCCACTGACATTATTAGACAGATCATCAAGGCAGAAAATTAACAAAGATATTCAGGACCTGAACTCAATTTTGGACCAAATGGATCTGATAGACCTCTACAGAACTATCCACCCCCAAACAACAGGTAGGTATAAATTCTTCTCGTAGCCACATGGCACATACTGTAAAGTTGAACACATAATCGGACATACAAAAATCCTCAGAAAACGCAAAAGAACCAAAATTATACCGAACATGTTATTGGACAACAGCCCAATAAAAATAGAAGTCAAGACTAAGAAAATCACTTAAAACCATGCAATTACAGGGAAATTAAACAACATATTCCTGAATGACTTTGGGGTAAATAATGAAATTAAGGCAGAAATCAAGAAGTTATTTGAAGCTGACAAGATCAAAGATACAACATACCAGAACTCTGGGACACAGCTAAGGCAGTGTTAAGAGGGAAGTTTATGGCACTAAACACTCACATCCAAAAGTAGAAAGATCTCAAATTAACAACTTAACGTCACAAGTAGAAGGACTAGAGAAGCAAGAGAAAATCAACCCCAAAGCTAGCAGAAGACAAAAAAAAAAAAAAAAAATCAAAGCTGAACTGAAGAAAACTGAGACACACAAAAATTCAAAAGATCAATGAATCCAGAATTTGCTTTTTTGAAAGCATTTATAAGATAGATAAGCCACTAGCTTGACTAATAAAGAAGAGAGAAGTTGCAAATAAATACAATTAGAAATGATGAAGATGTTATCACGGATCTGACAGGAATAAAATTAACCATCAGAAACTACATCAAACACCTCTATGCACACACATTAGAAAACCTAGACAAGATAGGTAAATTCCTGGATGCATACGCCCACCCAAGACTGAACTAAGAAGAAACTGATTCCCTGAATAGACCAATAATGAGCTCTTAAACTGAATCAGTAATAAATATCACCAACAAAACAAAGCCCAGCACCAGAGGAAATCATAGCCAAATTCTACCATATGTATAAAGAAGAGCTGGTCCCATTCCTAGTAAACTATTCCAAAAAATTGAGGAGGAGGGATTCCTCCCCAACTCATTCTATGAGATCAGCATCATCCCGATACCAAAACCTGGCAGAGAAACAACAAAAAAAGAAAACTTCAGGTCAGTATCCTTGATGAACATTGATGCAAAAATTCTCAACACAATACTTGCAAATGGAATCCAGCAGCATATCAAAAATCTATTCCACCACATCAAGTATGCTTCATCCCCAGGATTCAAGATTGGTTCAGCATACACAAATCAATAAATGTGATTATCACATAAACAGAACTAAAGACAAAAACCACATGATTGTCTCAATAGATACAGAAAAGGTTTTGCATAAAATTCAACATCTGTTCATATTAAAAATGCTCAATAAACTAGGTTTTGAAGGAACATACCTCAAAATAATAAGAGCCATCTGTGATAAACCCACAGCTAACACCATACTGAATGGGCAAAAGCTGGAAGCATTCCCCTTGAAAACCAAAACAAGAGCAGGATGTCCTACACCACTTTTATTCAACATAATATTGGAAGTCCTAGCCAGAGCAATCAGGCAAGAGAAAGAAATAAAGGGCATCCAAATAAAAAGAAAAGAAGTCACACTCTCCCTGTTTGCAAACTATATGATTCTGTATCACATAAGTTTCAGGATAAAAAATCAATGTACAAAAATCACTAGCAGTCCTATACACAGACAACAGTCAAGCCAAGAGTCAAATCAGGAAAGTGATCCTATTCACAACTGCCACAAAAAATTAAGATACCTAGGAATACAGCTACCCAGTAAGATGAAATATCTCTGCAATGAGAACTACAAAACACTGCTCAAAGAAATCAGAGAAGACAGAAATTGAAAAACATCCCATGCTCATGGATAGGCAGAATCAATATCATTTAAATAGCCATACTGCCCAAAACAATTTATAGATTAAATGCTATTCCTATCAAATTACCAATGATATTCCTCTTAGAACTAGAAAAAAAATTTAAAATTATATGGATACAAAAAAGAGCCCAAGTAGCCAAGTCAATACTAACAAAAAGAACAAAACTGGAGGCATCACATGACCCAACTTCAAACTATACTGCAGGGCTACAGTAACCAAAATAGAATAGTACTGGTACAAAAACAGGAACTTAGACCAGTAGAACAGAATAGAGAGGCCAGAAACAAGGCCACAAACCTATGACCATCTGATCTTTGACAAAGCTGACAAAAACAAACAATGGGAAAAAACTTCCTATTTAATAAATGGTGCTGGGATAACTGGCCAGCCACATGCAGAAGATTGAAGCTGGATGTCTTCCTTATACCATATACAAAAATCAACTCAAGATGTATTAAAGACCTAAATGTAAAACCCAAAACTATAAAATCCCTGGAGGATGACCTAAGCAATACAATCTTGGACATAGAAATGAGCAAAAATTTCATGACAATGATGCCAAAAGCAACTGAGACAAAAGCAAAAATTGACAAATGGGATATAATTAAACTTAGAAACTTCTGCACAGCAAAAGCTTTTTGCATACCAAAAGCTTGTTGATAGTTGCTAAGAACTATCAATAGAATAACAGGCAACCTACAGAATGGGAGAGAATTTTTGCAAACTATGCATCTGACAAAGGTCTAATATCTAGCATCTATAAATAATTTACAAGAAGAAACAAACAGCCCCATTAAAAAGTAGGAATAGGACATTAACAAACACTTTTCCAAAGAAGACATACATGTGAGCAACAAGCATATGAAAAAAAGCTCAATATCACTGATCATTAGAAAAATGCAAACCAAAACCCCAATGGTATACCATTTTATACCAGTCAGAATGGCTGCTATTAAAATGTCAAAAAATAACAGATGCTGGTAAGAAAATGGAATGCTTATATACTGTTGGTGGGAGTACAAATTAGTTCAATCATTATGAAAGCAGCATGGCAATTCCTCCAAGAGCTAAAAGCAGAACTACCATTTGACCCAGCAATCCCATTACCAGGTATATACCCAAAGGAATACAGATCATTCTGCCATAAAGACACATGCACACGAATGTTCATTGCAGCACCATTCATAATAGCAAAGACACGGAATCAACCTAAATCCCCATCAATGATAGATTGGATAAAGAAAATCTGGTACATGTACACCATGGAATACTATGCAGCCATAAAAAAGAACAAGATAATGTCTTTTGTGGGGACGTGGATGGATCTGGAGGCCATTATCCTTAGCAAACTAATGCAGGAACAGAAAACCAAATACCATATGTTCTCACTTATAAGTAGGAGTTAATGATGAGAACTCATGAACACAAAAAAAGGGATGACAGACACTGTGGTCTACTTGAGGATGGAGGATGGGAGGAGGAAGAGGAAAAGAAAAAATAACTATTGGGTACTAGGCTTAATACCTGGGAGATGAAATAACCTGTGCAACAAATTCCTGTGACATGAGTTTACCTATGTAATAAATCTTCACATATAGCCCAAAACCTAAAATGAAAGCTTTTTTTTTAAAGTAACACCTTAAAATATTTCTAATGTTAAATGTACTGCCAAATCCTGAAATAAGACCTCTATTCCCAGCATGTATTTTCTTAAAATATACTCACTCTTCAATTATTTGTCCACTCTGTTAAAGTTGTCTCTAATATTTTATTATTTAAATTATTTTCTTCATACTCTTTCAGTAGCATTATTTAACAACATTTGAGTTTTTAGTGCATAATTTTTCACTCTTAAACAAAGGTCTAAAAATAAATGAATTACTCATATGTTCACGATTATGGCATTAAAAATTTATCCTTGAACTTCGTCCCATTTAAAGATTCATTCTTCGTTTCCCAGAATACCTGTACTCTAATCTGTTCACATTTCTGATTTTCTCCTTTCCTTCTAACATTTAGGAGCCCTCTTGAGAATAGAGATCCTGAGAGAGGATTGAAACTCCTCATTTTTAAAACTTTTACCCTTGTAATGACCACTGCCACAAATCTATTTTAGATAAATCACATGAAATTTTCGATATTTTAATTTTTGACATACAAAAATGATGAGCTCATATTATTCAAACTAAAATATTATCACTATTTCGTCTCTTAAAATTCTACTCATCCAATGTCACTTTCCTCAGGAAAATTTCCACAATTGCCTTATCCTGAAAGGATTTCTCCTCCCTACAGAAATCTACTCTGCAATCACACTGTCATTGCTCCCTCATGGCATCACTTCTGGAGGTGTCCCTGAGGAGAGAGTAAGCACGGGTTTCAGCCAGAACTGTGTTCAAATCACGACTCTTTCATGTGCTTGCTTGGTGATGTTGAATAAGTTATTTAACCTCCCTTACCTCTCAGTTCCCACACTTATAAAAGTTTCTGTTAAGTACTGAGATTATAAATTTAATATTTTATATACTGTGAATTTTATATAGTGTTCAATAAAAGTCATTTTTAAAAATTCAAAAAAGTTCCACTTTAAGCAATTCTTTAAAATCACACAGAACTAATTTATAACAGAGACCACCAAACTCCCTACTATGTGACTTGTACAAACTAAGAAAGCTCTGTTGGAGCAAATTTTGGAAGATTTTAAATTGATGACTGGCAACAGAAATACTCCCATACACCACTGTTATATATTTACATTAGGTATATAATAATACATTATAGTCAAAATATCACCTGTATGTGACATTATGAGGTATATATATGACATCATAGATATATATGGCATTATATTATATATAATACTAATGTTATTGTATCAGATGCATCTGTCTATAAGAAATATAATACTAATAGTTTTTTAGGTTATCCAACAGATTACTGAAAGCCATTGTATGATTTTTAAAACCAATTATGTTTTAATGAGCATTACAGCACAAGTTGAATTTATAAATAAGCAAAATGTTCTCAGTAACAAGTGAGTCTCCTACCTACTTTTTAGTCCTGGATCCCTCCTGAGAGGTAATGGCTATGAACACCTTCATGTTTATCCTTCTACTCTTTCTATATATTTTTCCCCATATGCTATTCCATATCTTGTTTATTTTTCCAATAATAAATAAATCTAACAGACAATGAATTTTCATATATGCAAATGTGTTTTATTCATTATAATGGTTACATGAATGCCACTGTTTGAATGTACCATAGTAAATATAGCCTGTCTGTCACAGATAGGTATTTAGCTTTTTCCAGATCTTTTTGATGTCTTCTGCACTGCAATGGATATTCTTAGGCATTCACCATTTCACATGGGTAAGTATAAAGCTACAAGACAAATTCTTGAAATTACTTGGTTAAGTGATATTTTTAATTTTGATAGATATTGCCATAGTTGTACATTAAGGTGGAAGCAATTTACCTTCTCATAAGTCAAATATGATTTTAGCAGTTGTGTTTCAGAATGATAATTCTATGTGAAATCTGGAAGATGGACTATAGCAAGAAACAATGACATGTGAGATACTAATTTAAACGCTAATACAGTGATAGAAAAAGGCAATAAGAAGTGAAAGGAAGTAACAATTTCTAGAAGTATTGAAGTAGTAGCATTGAGAGGATTGAGATAATGGCACCTTTGAGTGCTCTATCCATAATGGCCTTAAGTGTATCTTTTACTAAATCAATCAAACTGAAGTCCCAATAATTCAAGAGAAATCCAGTCCATTACCACCTCAACCTTTGACTTCTCAGCTTCTTTTGCCAAATTCTCACTTCATTAAAGTGCTACTAAAATGAATTCCTTTGTCACATGTCTCCACTACTCTACATTAAGCCATTAACATGGGCTTTTCTCTCTTGAGACTTTTGGCCTTAAAGGTTAGCAAACCCCAAGTTCAAGTATTTGGCCTATATCATTGAAAGCCTAAGGGGGAAAAAAACTGTTCTTAAATATGACTCTGTATTTAACCTCCAAAATATCAAGTTCAGCATTAAGAATTCTATAATCCTAGAGGAGAGCTATCCACATGATTTACATGTAGAGAAATGTATTAATTTCTTCTGGAGAAACTGAAATTTATCAGAGAATATGAGCAGCAACTCTTGATTATTGACTTAAATCCTTCACTATTGATAAATCAGTTTCCAAAATCCTTATGATGTGCATGAAATATGTTTTCTTCCTGATGTGAGAAAACCTTAACCCAGTGTCACTCTTCCAAATGTTATGTACCTATAAATTGGAAGAATGTAACTAAAGTTGTTTGTGATGCGATTTCTCCTGTTGGAGAATGGTAGGGCAGACAGCTAGGTTTTTTGAAAATTTTTATTCAACATTTTTGCTCAGACCTGTATTCCACTTGAGCATCTCAATTTGGTTCACTTCTTCCCAAGATGATATAACTAGCTAATTATGACATAAAAAGAATTTGGAAGATGGAAAAAGCAGTGATCCCTGGAAGAGCATGTGAAAGCCTTAAGCAGACATCTTACTAGCAAAGATGTCTGTGGATTATGGGTATACCAGACACTTTTATTTTAATTAAGATTCAAACTTCATGCTAATATCCCTGAAATCTAAAGCTAGCATAGGCAAGGTTGAAAGGGTGGTAGAGCAAATAAATAAAATCTAAACTAAACAAACCTGTTCTTTTAAAGCAGTCAGGAAATTTTCTGCCTTCCAATTGTTAGAGACGATTCTACTTTCAGAGAGGCTGTTTTGTTGTTCTAGGAACACCACACACTGAAAATGTGCTTTTTAATTTTGAGGATGTAGATCAGTGGTGTGACCCCAAGGAATGCAATTGCTTTGTAAGATAATATAAAGAGGCTGGCTTTGTTGCAAGCAGAGTTGCATTTCCGCAGATTGTACTTCCCTTAGAGGAATTTTTCTCCAAGGATGGTTTTAGAATGTGCTCTCTCTGAAAATTATAGCAAGCCCTTGGGGACATTTTTGTGAAAACAATGGCCACAAGATGTCAGCAATAGAGACCTCTAAGGACTTCAAGAAAGACCTGAAAGCTCAATTAACTCGAGCTTGGGGAAAAAAAAAATAAACTGTACAGTGGAAATAAATTGGGCTTGGCTAAACATTAAACTATTAGATTAGATTGTTGATTTCTCATGCTATTATTATTCAAGGCAAGTAGTGTGTTTTTCAAGAGAGGGGCTGATGGAAGACTATTTTGTCCCAATAGGATTGTTCTTTAGAATAAGTTGGGCAAGATCATATGTGTGTGGTTGGAAGTGAAATTGTCCTTAAACAGAATAGAAATGTTTATGAAAATCATTCAGGGAAGAGGTCAAACTTGGAACAGAAACTGAATTGGTGAGTCTAAGATTGGGAGGAAAGAGAAAATCTGTCTTTCCATTGGTAGTAGGATTGTCATGCTAAAGAATACTGGTTTAGGTGGGTGGCGAGCAGAGGAATTAGGAGAAGTGGAAATTGGCCAATACAGTATAGACACAGGCTGGAAGCTAGACAGGAGCTATCTTGTGAGGAGCCTCTAAATAGTAAGTTCTAGTTTAGGTTTACCTTTGAGCTCTGAGATTGGCATATCTAGTACCAGTTATAAATTACACACAAGGTTTTGCTTCTCTTCTAAAATGTTTTAAGTTTCAACTTCCTCAGTGAGAAATTAAGGACAAATTTACACTCATACTTGAGAAGCAGGACAAGAGAGAAAAATCACAGAGACAACACATTCATTTGCTCATTTTTCCACATGTTTGTCACCCCTGCTATATACCAGACACTATTCTATGCAGGGAATACATGGGTGAGTAAAATAGCCTTGATAAATGAGACAATGTCTCTTACAAAGCTAACATTCTAATGTGAAGAGATGAATAAAGTAATTGGCGATTTTAAAAAATGAACAGTATAAAAATTTAGATACTAATTAGTATTATCAGAATAATAAAATAAGTTAATATAATAGATGATGGGGACATCATTTTGAAAAGATGGCCAAGAAGGCCTCTTTTAAGAATCACTTTTGAATAGATACCTGAAATGATACGAAGCCAGCCAGCTCCTTATGGAGTTCCATAAGGAGCTTAGTAAAAGCAATTTGTACAGAGAAACACCAAACTCCATGGCCTTAAAGAAAGCAGAACTGGCCGGGCGCAGTGGCTCACACCTGTAATCCCAGCACTTTGGGAGGCCGAGGCGGGTGGATCACGAGGTCAGGAGATCGAAACACCGTGAAACCCCATCTCTACTAAAAATACAAAAATATTAGCCGGGCATGGTGTCATGCACCTGTAGTCCCAGCTACTGGGGAGGCTGAGGCAGGAGAATCGCTTGAATCCAGGAGGTGGAAGTTGCAGAGCCGAGATCGCGCCACTGCACTCCAGCCTGGGTGACATGCTGAGACTCCATCTCAAAAAAAAAAAAAAAAAAGCAGAGATGTACAGTCCAATAGGTGGGTAGAAAGCAAGGATCAATAGACCAGAAGCAGATGCCAAAGTGAAGTGGAAACTGAAGACTAGGTTTGCTTTCCAGAATATATAAATGTAGTCTAGAAATTTGCAGAAATTATTTTGGCAGGGGGGGAGCTCAGTGAAAAAAATACACACACAAAAGCACACACACATATATACGTATATGCAATAAAATTAGAATGAGGCATGCCATTTTGAAATACAAATTTTGAGGGCAAATATAAGCTATTTTGATACTTACATGCAAGTAAGCCCTTGCCATACCATTTATACTTATATTTTTAATACAATAAAATAACTAACTTGCTCTGAATAGGTATTAATTTTTGAAGCTGATATATCTAGATTTACATATACATTGAGATATATATCTTTGTGCACCTCAAAATTAAACTCAACCTTCACAACAGGTCCCAGTTTTCATTTGGGGATTTACATACCAAACAAAGTCACATATTAATGGTGCCACAGTAAAACATGTGACCTAGGCTAAGTCCATCAGCAAATTCTGGAGTTTTTAAAAGATTTCTGAGGCTAAGAAACGAGAAGCAAACATGCAGTCTCATGAGGTGCTAAAAGCCATATTCATACCATGATGGGAAAAAGCTTTAGGATGACACCAACAGATTTGAAGGCAAAGTGGAAAGTAGAGGAAGCATCTTCCTTGGAAATATCATTGACTATTGAGTCTCTAAATCAATCATTATCTGAAGACAGTGCTATCTCAAATCTTATGGTTATGTAAATCAAACAATTTATTTTACTATGTAAGACTTTTATTTTTTTGACACTGGGTCTCACACTGTTGCCCTGGTTAGGGAGCAGTGGCTCAATTATAGCTCACTGAAGCCTCAAACTGTTGTATTTAAGCAATCCTCCTGCCTCAGTCTCCAGAGCAGCTGGGACTACAGCAAACACCACCATGCCCAGCCAGCTTTTTAATTTTTTAAATTTTTTTAAGTAGATGGGATCTTGGTATGTTGCTAGGGCTGGTCTCAAACTTCTGGTGTCAAGTAATTCTTCAACCTGAGCCTTCCGAAGTGCTGAGATTACAGGTGTGAACCATCACACCTGGCCAAGACAATTTTAGCCATGTCTATTTATTGTTATTTCCAACCCCCACCCTCCCCAAAAATTATAATATAAATTTGCCTGTAAATTGGTAATTAGCTTATAGTTCATCATGGTGCAGTGACTGGAAATATTTGTAAAATGGTACAGAATTCTTATGAGAAAAAATGATATACAAAATCCTCAAATCAGATCAGATGTGCATAGAGTTTAATATGTACTGTAATGCCAGCACATCTTTTATGCCACGATTGATGCTCAAGTATTTTTATATTTCCAGAAATGTAGATATGTGAAGCTTTTGTTCCAAGAAGCTTGGAGTTCTTTGCAAGCATCTCATAAATCCTCCTCATTATATCTCTCTAAAATAGTCAGGTTATAGGTATTATTATTCATATTTAACATAAGACAAGAGCAATTTAAAACGCTTATAATTCCATTTATCTAAAAAGATAAAACTATTCACCCCAGAAAGACTAAATATAACTTGGCAGTGAGACATATTGGTCCTGAGTTGCTTTAAAGTTCAATGCAACTAAATGCTTTTAAGTCTTATAGCTTTTCTTTTTTCCATTTGAGAGCGCCAAAAGCTGGTAAGAAAGAAACTATCCAGTGCTCACTTTAAAATAATCTCTTATGTGCTAATTTGTGTGTCCCAGTTACACTCTTCAAACAATGGTGTCACGTTAAGACTCGATCAATATGTCATTTATGTACAAAAAAGACTAAATAAGGTTATTAAATAGAACAATGTTTTGAGATAGTATTTAATAATGTATTAAAAATAGTAAATGATAGACTTAACATTGATTCATTTAACTTTGTCTACCCATCCCATTCTCAGTGTTTCTTTGGACTAAAAATGCAGGTTTTGAGAGACCAGTTGTCAGAGTTAGAAACACAGTATGTGGCAAGAAAACATTTACATTAACCAGTTGAGATAATTCATTAATTAGAAACTGACAATTATTGCTTTGCCAAGTATGAGTACATAATTGCTCTTTCCCATAGTAGTCTTCTGTGAGTCTTAATCTCATTTTGTATTAATCATTAAATATCAGACTTTACCATACATTGGGATTACAGTTGGTAAATTCAAGAGAGGCACATTATCATTATTAAATGGGTATATCCCGCCCACACAGACTGTCACAAAATCTGGTGCTTTGAATTAATGAACTTAATGGTTAAGTATTCCATGATTGCTATCAAAATAGTCAAGTGTTATTTAAATATCATTTTTACGGAAATGAGAAATGGGGTATCTTCCACAGACCTTCAAAAGAATAAATACATTATAAATTTACTTTCTATAAAATCCCATTAAAGGGAAGTAATGAATTTTTGTAAAGGGAGATTCTTATACAATGTTACTGGAAAATGAATCAATTTTAACTCTTAAATGGTTTCTAGATTAATATGTTACTAGGAAATTCATTTTGGTGTGCACATCTGTCACTTTAAGCTACTAATTGAAATGTCCTGGCCACAAAAAGTCACCTTAGAGAGTGCAGGGTCATGACTCAGAAAAGTCAAATACTATTTCCAGTAAATGTTCCTCCTGAAATTTAGAAAGTCTCAGGAATTAAAGGTTTTGTGATTGAAGTAAAAATTCTTGTCAATTAAGAATTATTTTTTGATAAAAACTAAAAATTGGTATATATGTTCTTTTAAAAAATTACAAGCTGAATTTTATTTATTTTCAGTTATTAATTTATTTTTATAGAGACAGGGTCTCACTCTATCACCTAGGCTAGAGAGCAGTGGTGCCATCATAGTTCACCACAACCTCGAACTCTTGTGCTCAAGTAATCCTCCTGCCTCAGTCTCCAAAGCAGCTGGGACTACAGGCAAATGCCACCATGCCCAGCCAGCTTTTTATTTTATTTTATTTTTTTGGACAGATTGGGTCTCACTATATTGCTAGGGATGGTCTCAAACTTGCACTGTAGCCTCAAACTCTGGAGCTCAAGTAATCCTCCCCACTCAGCGTCTTGATTCGCTGGGACTACAGGTATACTCCACCATGCTAGGCTAAAAGCCAGTTTTGAAACAAAAATTTCCAAATATATTTCAGTTTACTTCTAAAATTGCTGAAAATGTTAAGGCAATAATTTAGATAGCAGGGGTCTTCAGTTTCTGGCAAAAGGAACACTTTAAATACTATAACAGTCTAGTTTCAGAAGTTAGACAATGTTGAAAAACAATCAAATTTTCAAAAGGACAATGTTACCCTAATCTTGATGATATGTGGTTAGTGAATTACCTTAAAAAATAAAATGCTTCTACATTTCAGTGTGTGGCATTAATAACATTTATCCTGAAGACTTACTAAGGATTTTCAATTTGAACTTGTCAGTGTGGCTAACACTGTGATTATACACAAAAAGTAGATTGGTTAACACACAATCTAATTGAAACATTCCTAAAGTTTACTTCGTAAAGGAATTTCACAATTATGTTCATCTAATGACTAGCTCATATGTGATATACATGTGCATGCACATACACACAAAGGGTGAAAACACTTAGCAACATAATCTTCATGATAATACTCCTTATCACATCTTAGGTCATGATGTGCAGTGCAGAAATGAGATTTAGATTTGGGCAGGGATTTGAGGGAGTACTTGGGTAGCAGGTATCATCAGGTAAGGCTCAGGTATAGAGTAGGATTTCAGGGATGAAGTGGGGGATGAAGGATAAAATGTTACAGTAAATTATAATACTTAGTGTTTTGGTTCATTTGGGTTGTTATTAAGAAGTACGTGGGGCTGGGTAATTTATAAGAAAAAATGATTTAATTGGCTCACAGTCTGCAGGCTGTACAAGAAGGAGACCAGCATCTGCTTCACTTCTGGGAGGCCTCAGGGAACTTTTATTCATGGTGGAAGGTGAAGGGGGAGCAGACACTTCACATGGCAAAAGCAGGAGCAAGAAAGAGAGTGGCAGTGGGGGTGCCACACTTTACAACAACCAGATCTCATGAGAATGCACCACTGTGAGGACAGCACCAAGCCATGAAAGATCTGCCCCCATGACCCCACCAGGCCCCACCTCTAAAACTGGGGATGAAATCTCAACATGAGATTTAGATGGGACAAATATACAAACCATATCACTTCAGGAAAGTAAACTAATACAATAAATTATAATTCATCAACTTGCAACCAGGCACAGTGGCTCATGCCTGTAATCTCAGGACTTTGGGAGGCCTAGACGGGCGGATCACAAGGTCAAGAGTTCGAGACCAGCCTGGCCAATATGGTGAAATCCCGTCTCTATTAAAAATACAAAAAATTAGCCAGGCGTGGTGGCACACACCTGTAATCCCAGCTACTTGGGAGGCTGAGGCAGGAGAATCACTTGAACCCAGGAGGCGGAGGTCGCAGTGAGCCGAGATTGTGCCACTGAACTCCAGCCTCAGCAACAGAGGGAGATGCCATCAAAAAAAAAAAAAAAAAGAAGAAGAAGAAGAAGAAGAAGAAAGAAAAGAAAGAAAAAGAAAGTAATTCATCAACGTTAAGTTCCAAATAAGTTACATAGGTCTAAACCAGTAGCCTCATTCCTTAGAATTGATACTTAAGAAAAAGTATTTAAAAACCTTAAAGGGTAGGGGAGAAACTGTATCAATGAAGATGCTCTTTGTGGTGACATTGTATCTGCAGAAGTTAGAAACAATCTAAAACTACAACAATATGCAATTAGCTTATTTATTTCAGATTCACCTACTTGATAATTTTTGTGTTAATTTTTTCAGTCAGCAGTGTTTATTGAGTGCCTTCTATATTCCAGGAAACATTACAGGTGTTGGAGATGGAGTGGTAATACATTGTACATGGGTCCTATCTTGTTGGAATTAACTATATTTCAGTCATAATCAACTATGATAATATTGAAGACTGTACAGTATATAGAACAATGGTTATGTATTTTTCAACTATTGACGTTTGAAAATATATTTATATAGAAGTTGTAAACATACTGCAGAGCATTCTAAGGCATCCTTCACCCGGATACCTGCAATGACAACATTTTACATAGCCAAAGTATAACAATCAAAACCAGGAAATTGACATTGGCTTAATACTATTAACTAAATTACAGACTTCAGACATATTTCACTAGGTTTTTATGGACACACTTTATGTGCGTGTGTGTGTGTGTGTATAGTTCTATACGATTGTTTCACATGTGTAGATTTGTAACCACCACAAAAATCAGGATATAGTAATATTCTTTCATTCCAAACAAAACTGCCCTTGCTACAATCTTCTAGTCCCAGCCTTCCCACAGCCTTAACCCTTGACTGCCACTGATGTGTTCCCCAACACTATAATTTTATTATTTCCAGAATAGTATACAAGTGGAATCATACCAAATGCAAGCTTTTGAAATTCCCTTTTACACTTAGCATAATGCCCTTGAGATCCATCCAATTTGTTGCATGTCTCAAGAATGTTTTCTTTTATATTGCTAAGTCATATTATTTTGTGGGGATGAATCACAATCTGTTTACACATTCACCCATAGAACATTTAACAGTTAACTTTTGATCCTATTAGAGTGATATACATTATTAATATCTATTTTTAAATTATACAATATGTGCTCTCCCAGCCAGCAAGGTGACTAGATCTATTAGGTGATTAATAAATATTTATTGGTTGAATCAATTTCCAGGAAAAAATATAGAAAACATATAATTATGTAGTTCATTCTATGAAATAATTTGTAGTAATTGATTTCATAATTTTGTTTTTCTAGAACTCTATATTTAAAAAAAAACATGAGCTATGGAACATTATAATTAATCTTCTAATGCTACCTTATTCACTATGATACCTTTTACATTCTATTAATAATTTTCTCCAAAATCTAGGTTATATTATGTCATTTAATGACCCAATTTTTAAAAAACTCTCCATGAGAAGGATTATTCTCCCCATACTGCAGATAAGAATACTGGAGTTCAGCAAATTAGCATACAAATTAATAAAATAAGAGACTAATTACCTCATAGAAAAATAAACAACATTAATAAGATGCCCAATAATTTTAAAAATGATTTATTCTAGTAAGCCAAAATATACTTATTGAAAGACCAATATTTTTTAACTATTGAACTATCAAAGATTTGTTTTAAGTGATAAATACCCAAGACTTCTGATTCACTACTTAGAGGATCCAAAGTTAGCATTAAGTTCCAGAGGAAAATTGGCTATAAATATCTTCACCAATGTGACTTAATAAATCTACTTCAAGTATTTTTTTCTGAAAAAAAGTATATGTGTGTGGGTATACATACACATATTTGTGTACACTCACACACATATACACACATATATATTTATTTACAAAGGTGTTTATGCTAATAATGAAAACCCCAAAATTTTTAGCTCAGACATAATTTAAATACATAAAGTATAAAATAGCAATATTTATAGAATTTTACAGAGAAATTAAACTGATTTTTTTTATATTTTAGGTTATTTGTGATCCTACTTTTTTGAGACAGCGTCTTACCCTGTCCATAATTTTTTAATGTTTCCTGTGTTTCACAATATAATATTGCATCTGTTTACAATAATTACATATTTTAAAATCAGAACATATATACAAATATATGTAAACATACATACACAGAATATACATACAAATATATGCTTTACGTCTTTAATATCTTTTCTATGCTTGAAAATCACTTCTCACTTTATGTCTCAGTTGGTTTTCACAGTAGCAATTTAAGAATGTCATTATTGTTCCATTTTGCTATCAGAATACTGAGATGTAAATTGAAAAGTGATCTGTCAATATCTCACAGATAATAAATGCCAAATTTAGCTCTCACAATCAAGTATTCTTTCGCAGGGTGTAGTATTCTTTTTACTGCACTCTGCTGACTGCATATGAAGTGTTACACTTCATAGGTAATAAATATATTTCACCATATTTGTTCACTATAATACTTAGACTTGCCTAAGTGGTAGTTTTAAGTACGTAGGCTTAAATTGATTATAGCAATTTAAAGAATTATTTAGTACTTGAAAAATGTAAATGGCAACAAATTCATTTCCTATCAAAAGAAAGGTTTCCAAGTAGCTAAATATTGAATGGAACTATGCCATTTGTATTTCCAAGATTCAGTTGCTACGAAGGACATTGAATTTCCCTATAATGCAAGCATAGCCCAGGGGTGCTATATTTAAAACTACATTGGCATTTCTATTAAAATTCCAGCTTTTCAAAGGTTTATGCCAAAACCATAAAAATTCTATTTGATAGAAAGGCAGAATTGAAAGTCACTGTGGAGATTGTTTCCTTTCTTTCTCATATAAAATCAGCCTACCTGCTTGTTTTCTTCATGAAATCCAAACACTTTAGCTGAACAAGAATCTTGGGTAACTGTGAGGTTGTTCAGTATACCAGCACTCTACAGATTTGAGAAAACTGTAAGGTAGTTGTACAGTCTGAAGGCTTGTTTATTCCAAACTCTGTGCTTGTAAATCTAAAAACTCTTTTTGTTAATAGTAATGGACTCCAGACCAAGAACATTTTTAGTCACTGTGTCAACAGTTCATACTGAGTAACAAAAGAAATGATAGCTTGTCCATATTATTAATTAACTTCTATGACTTATATTTTATGTTTTGAAGGGTAACACAGAAGCCTGTCCACTAACACAAGGGCATGTCAATTTAGAAATTTTGTCTTTATAATTGTTTTTCTGTCACTCAGTTAAATATGCCTTCATTGAGTCCTAGAAGTCTTTGCTTAGAATTGTTATTACGGTAGCAGATAAGCAGGAATACTGGACATAGCTCTGGGTTTTTTTCCCCTTTTATTTTAGGCTCAGGGAGTACTTGTGCAGATTTGTTACATAGATAAATTATGTGTCACTGAGGTTTGGTGTATGAATGATCCCATCAAGTAGGCAGTGAGCATAGTACCTAATAGGTAGGCTTCCAGCCCATGCTCCACTCAAGTATTCTGCAGTGTCTGTTTTTCCCATCTTTATGCCCATGTTTATTCAACATTTAGCTTCCACTCATAAGTGAAAACATGCAGTATTTCATTTTCTCTTCCTGTGTTAGACTGCTTGGAATGATGGCCTCCAGCTGCATCCATGTAGTTGCAAAGGACACGGTTTCATTCTTTTTTATGTTTGTGTAGTATTCCATGGTGTGTATGAACCACATTTTCTTCATCCAGTCCACCATTTATGGGCATCTTGGTTGAACCCATCGTATAGTCTTTGTTATTGAGTGTGATGAATATACAAGTGCAAGTGTCTTTTTGGTAGAACAATTCATTTTCTTTTGGGTATATACCCAGTAGAGGGATTGCTGTGTCACATAATAGTTCTTTTTTTTTTCTTTTTTTATTTATTATTATTATACTTTAAGTTTTAGGGTATATGTGCACAATGTGCAGGTTAGTTACATATGTATACATGTGCTATGCTGGTGTGCTGCACCCACTAACTCGTCATCTAGCATTAGGTATATCTCCCAATGCTATCCCTCCCCCCTCCCCCACCCCACAACAGTCCCCAGAGTGTGATGTTCCCCTTCCTGTGTCCATGTGTTCTCATTGTTCAATTCCCACCTAAGAGTGAGACTATGCGGTGTTTGGATTTTTGTTCTTGCGATAGTTTACTGAGAATGATGATTTCCAGTTTCATCCATGTCCCTACAAAGGACATGAACTCATCATTTTTTATGGCTGCATAGTATTCCATGGTGTATATGTGCCACATTTTCTTAATCCAGTCTATCATTGTTGGTCATTTGGGTTGGTTCCAAGTCTTTGCTATTGTGAATAATGCCACAATAAACATACGTGTGCATGTGTCTTTAAAGCAGCATGATTTATAGTCCTTTGGGTATATACCCAGTAATGGGATGGCTGGGTCAAATGGTATTTCTAGTTCTAGATCCCTGAGGAATCGCCACACTGACTTCCACAATGGTTGAACTAGTTTACAGTCCCACCAACAGTGTAAAAGTGTTCCTATTTCTCCACATCCTCTCCAGCACTTGTTGTTTCCTGACTTTTTAATGATCGCCATTCTAACTGGTATGAGATGGTATCTCTTTGTGGTTTTGATTTGCATTTCTCTGATGGCCAGTGATGGTGAGCATTTTTTCATGTGTTTTTTGGCTGCATAAATGTCTTGAGAAGTGTCTGTTCATGTCCTTCACCCACTTTTTGATGGGGTTGTTTGTTTTTTTCTTGTAAATTTGTTGGAGTTCATTGTAGATTCTGGATATTAGCCCTTTGTCAGATGAGTAGGTTGCAAAAGTTTTCTCCCATTTTGTAGGTTGCCTGTTCACTCCGATGGTAGTTTCTTTTGCTGTGCAGAAGCTCTTTAGTTTAATTAGATCCCATTTGTCAATTTTGGCTTTTGTTGCCATTGCTTTTGGTGTTTTAGACATGAAGTCCTTGCCCATGCCTATGTCCTGAATGGTAATGCCTAGGTTTTCTTCTAGGGTTTTTATGGCTTTAGGTCTAACATTTAAGTCTTTAATCTATCTTGAATTGCTTTTTGTATAAGGTGTAAGGAGGGGATCCAGTTTCAGCTTTCTACATATGGCTAGCCAGTTTTCCCAGCAATATTTATTAAATAGGGAATCCTTTCCCCATTGCTTGTTTTTCTCAGGTTTGTCAAAGATCAGATAGTTGTAGATATGTGGCGTTATTTCTGAGGGCTCTTTTCTGTTCCATTGATCTATATCTCTGTTTTGGTACCAGTACCATGCTGTTTTGGTTACTGCAGCCTTGTAGTAAAGTTTGAAGTCAGGTAGTGTGATGCCTCCGGCTTTGTTCTTTTGGCTTAGGATTGACTTGGCGATGCGGGCTCTTTTTTGGTTCCATATGAACTTTAAAGTAGTTTTTTCCAATTCTGTGAAGAAAGTCATTGGTAGCTTGATAGGGATGGCATTGAATCTGTAAATTACCTTGGGCAGTATGGCCATTTTCACGATATTGATTCTTCCTACACATGAGCATGGAATATTCTTCCATTTGTTTGTATCCTCTTTTATTTTCTTGAGCAGTAGTTTGTAGTTCTCCTTGAAGAGGTCCTTCACATCCCTTGTAAGTTGGATTCCTAGGTATTTTATTCTCTTTGAAGCAATTGTGAATGGGAGTTCACTCACGATTTGGCTATCTGTTTGTCTGTTGTTGGTGTATAAGAATGCTTGTGATTTTTGTACATTGATTTTGTATCCTGAGACTTTGCTGAAGTTGCTTATCAGCTTAAGGAGATTTTGGGCTGAGACAATGGGGTTTTCTAGATATACAATCATGTCATCTGCAAACAGGGACAATTTGACTTCCTCTTTTCCTAATTGAATACCCTTCATTTCCTTCTCCTGCCTAATTGCCCTGGCCAGAACTTCCAACACTATGTTGAATAGGAGTGGTGAGAGAGGGCATCCCTTTCTTGTGCCAGTTTTCAAAGGGAATGCTTCCAGTTTTTGCCCATTCAGTATGATATTGACTATGGGTTTGTCATAGATAGCTCTTATTATTTTGAAATACGTCCCATCAATACATAATTTATTGAGAGTTTTTAGCATGAAGGGTTGTTGAATTTTGTCAAAGGCCTTTTCTGCATCTATTGAGATAATCATGTGGTTTTTGTCTTTGGTTCTGTTTATATGCTGGATTACATTTATTGATTTGCGTATATTGAACCAGCCTTGCATCCCAGGGATGAAGCCCACTTGATCATGGTGGATAAGCTTTTTGATATGCTGCTGGATTCGGTTTGCCAGTATTTTATTGAGGATTTTTGCACCAATGTTCATCAAGGATATTGGTCTAAAATTCTCTTTTTTGGTTGTGTCTCTGCCAGGCTTTGGTATCAGGATGATGCTGGCCTCATAAAATGAGTTAGGGAGGATTCCCTCTTTTTCTATTGATTGGAATAGTTTCAGAAGGAATGGTCCCAGTTCCTCCTTGTACCTCTGGTAGAATTCAGCTGTGAATCCATCTGGTCCTGGACTCTTTTTGGTTGGTAAGCTATTGATTATTGCCACAATTTCAGAGCCTGTTATTGGTCTATTCAGAGATTCAACTTCTTCCTGGTTTAGTCTTGGGAGAGTGTATGTGTCAAGGAATTTATCCATTTCTTCTAGATTTTCTAGTTTATTTGCGTAGAGGTGTTTGTAGTATTCTCTGATGGTAGTTTGTATTTCTGTGGGATCAGTGGTGATATCCCCTTTATCATTTTTTATTGCGTCTATTTGATTCTTCTCTCTTTTTTCTTTATTAGTCTTGCTAGCGGTCTATCAATTTTGTTGATCCTTTCAAAAAACCAGCTCCTGGATTCATTAATTTTTTGAAGGGTTTTTTGTGTCCCTATTTCCTTCAGTTCTGCTCTGATTTTAGTTATTTCTTGCCTTCTGCTAGCTTTTGAATGTGTTTGCTCTTGCTTTTCTAGTTCTTTTATTTGTGATATTAGGGTGTCAATTTTCGATCTTTCCTGCTTTCTCTTGTGGGCATTTAGTGCTATAAATTTCCCTCTACACACTGCTTTGAATGTGTCCCAGAGATTCTGGTATGTTGTGTCTTTGTTCTCGTTGGTTTCAAAGAACACCTTTATTTCTGCCTTCATTTCGTTATGTACCCAGTAGTCATTCAGGAGCAGGTTGTTCAGTTTCCATGTAGTTGAGTGGTTTTGAGTGAGATTCTTAATCCTGAGTTCTAGTTTGATTGCACTGTGGTCTGAGAGATAGTTTGTTATAATTTCTGTTCTTTTACATTTGCTGAGGAGAGCTTTACTTCCAAGTATGTGGTCAGTTTTGGAATAGGTGTGGTGTGGTGCTGAACAAAATGTATATTCTGTTGATTTGGGGTGGAGAGTTCTGTAGATGTCTATTAGGTCCACTTGGTGCAGAGCTGAGTTCAATTCCTGGGTATCCTTGTTGACTTTCTGTCTCGTTGATCTGTCTAATGTTGACAGTGGGGTGTTAAAGTCTCCCATTACTAATGTGTGGTTGTCTAAGTCTCTTTGTAGGTCACTCAGGACTTGCTTTATGAATCTGGGTGCTCCTGTATTGGGTGCATATATATTTAGGATAGTTAGCTCTTCTTGTTGAATTGATCCCTTTACTATTATGTAATGGCCTTCTTTGTCTCTTTTGATCTTTGTTGGTTTAAAGTCTGTTTTATCCAAGACTGGGATTGCAACCCCTTTTTTTATTTTCCATTTGCTTGGTAGATTTTCCTCCATCCTTTTATTTTGAGCCTATGTCTGTCTCTGCACGTGAGATGGGTTTCCTGAATACAGCATACTGATGGGTCTTGACTCTTTATCCAATTTGCCAGTCTGTGTCTTTTAATTGGAGCATTTAGTCCATTTACATTTAAAGTTAATATTGTTATGTGTGAATTTGATCCTGTCATTATGATGTTAGCTGGTGATTTTGCTCGTTAGTTGATGCAGTTTCTTCCTAGTCTCGATGGTCTTTACATTTTGGCATGATTTTGCAGTGGCTGGTACCGGTTGTTCCTTTCCATGTTTAGCGCTTCCTTCAGGAGCTCTTTTAGGGCAGGCCTGGTGGTGACAAAATCTCTCAGCATTTGCTTGTCTGTAAAGTATTTTATTTCTCCTTCACTTATGAAGATTAGTTTGGCTGGATATGAAATTCTGGGTTGAAAATTCTTTTCTTTGAGAATGTTGAATATTGGCCCCCACTCTCTTCTGGCTTGTAGAGTTTCTGCCCACAGATCCGCTGTTAGTCTGATGGGCTTCCCTTTGAGGGTAACCCGACCTTTCTCTCTGGCTGCCCTTAACGTTTTTTCCTTCATTTCAACTTTGTTGAACCTGACAATTGTGTCTTGGAGTTGCTCTTCTCGAGGAGTATCTTTGTGGCGTTCTCTGTATTTCCTGAATCTGAACGTTGGCCTGCCTTGCTAGATTGGGGAAGTTCTCCTGGATAATATCCTGCAGAGTGTTTTCCAACTTGGTTCCATTCTCCCCATCACTTTCAGGTACACCAATCAGACGTAGATTTGGTCTTTTCACATAGTCCCATATTTCTTGGCGGCTTTGCTTGTTTCTTTTTATTCTTTTTTCTCTAAACTTCCCTTCTCGCTTCATTTCATTCATTTCATCTTCCATCGCTGATACCCTTTCTTCCAGTTGATCGCACCGGCTCCTGAGGCTTCAGCATTCTTCACGTAGTTCTCGAGCCTTGGTTTTCAGCTCCATCAGCTCCTTTAAGCACTTCTCTGTATTGGTTATTCTAGTTATATATTCTTCCAAATTTTTTTCAAAGTTGTCAACTTCTTTGCCTTTGGTTTGAATGTCCTCCCATAGCTCGGAGTAATTTGAATGTCTGAAGCTTTCTTCTCTCAGCTCGTCAAAGTCATTCTCCGTCCAGCTTTGTTCCGTTGCTGGTGAGGAACTGCGTTCCTTTGGAGGAGGAGAGGTGCTCTGCTTTTTAGAGTTTCCAGTTTTTCTGCTCTGTTTTTTCCCCATCTTTGTGGTTTTATCTACTTTTGGTCTTTGATGATGGTGATGTGCAGATGGGTTTTTGGTGTGGATGTCCTTTCTGTTTGTTAGTTTTCCTTCTAACAGACAGGACCCTCAGCTGCAGGTCTGTTGGAGTACTGGGCCCTGTGAGTTGTCAGTCTGCCCCTGCTGGGGGGTGCCTCCCAGTTAGGCTGCTCGGGGGTCAGGGGTCAGGGACCCACTTGAGGAGGCAGTCTGCCGGTTCTCAGATCTCCAGCTGTGTGCTGGGAGAACCACTGCTCTCTTCAAAGCTGTCAGACAGGGACATTTAAGTCTGCAGAGGTTACTGCTGTCTTTTTGTTTTTCTGTTCCCTGCCCCCAGAGGTGGAGCCTACAGAGGCAGGCAGGCCTCCTTGAGCTGTGGTGAGCTCCACCCAGTTCTTGCTTCCAGGCTGCTTTGTTTACCTAAGGAAGCCTGGGCAATGGCGGGCGCCCCTCCCCCAGCCTCGCTGCCGCCTTGCAGTTTGATCTCAGACTGCTGTGCTAGCAATCAGCGAGACTCCGTGGGCGTAGGACCCTCCGAGCCAGGTGCGAGATGTAATCTCCTGGTGGGCAGTTTTTAAGCCCTTCGGAAAAGCGCAGTATTCGGGTTGGAGTGACCCGATTTTCCAGGTGCCATCTGTCACCCCTTTCTTTGGGTAGGAAAGGGAACTCCTGACCCCTTGCGCTTCCTGAGTGAGGCAATGCCTCGCCCTGCTTTGGCTCGCGCACGGTGCGCGCACCCACTGACCTGCGCCCACTGTCTGGCACTCCCTAGTTAGATGAACCCGGTACCTCAGATGGAAATGCAGAAATCACCCGTCTTCTGCATCGCTCACACTGGGAGCTGTAGACCGGAGCTGTTCCTATTCGGCCATCTTGGCTCCTCCCCCTCATCCCCACATAATAGTTCTATCTAAGTTATTTGAGATACCTTCAAACTGCTTTCCACAGTGGCTGAACTAATTTACATTCCCACCAGAAGTATGTAAGTATTCCCTTTTCTCTACTACCTCACTATTGTTTTCAACTTTTTAATAATAGCCATTCTGACTGGTGTGAGATGGTGTCTCATTGTGGTTTTGATTTGCATTTCTCTAATGATTAGTGATAATGGACATTTTTTTCATATATTCGTTGGCTGCCTACATGTCTTCTTTTGAGAAGCATCTGTTCATGTTTTTTACCCATTTTTAATGGGGTTATTTGTTTTTTGTTTGTTGAACTGTTTAAGTTCCTTATGGATTCTGGATATTAGACCTTTGTCAAATGCATAGTTTGCGAATATTTTCTTCCTTTCTGTAAGTTGTCTGTTCACTCTGTTGATAATTTCTTTTGCTGTGCAGAGCTCTTTAATTAGATCCAACTTGTCAATTTTTGTTTTCTCTGTTCTTGAAGGGCTAATAATTTCCTTGGGGGAAATTAGATTAGCTCATGAAACACGCAGTTCAAATACATACTCGTAATCATTGTAAAGCATTCACTAAAAACATAGATGAAAATTCTAATAATGTTAAATACACTTTAACTAGTTATAACCTAACTTTTTAAGGATTTTATGACTGAAAACAACATAAGACAACCTACTGCATAAGGAACATTAAGAAACATGTAAAGATGTATCAAACCATATCTCAGTTTTTTTAATTATAAGGTGAGAATTAGCTGTGATCAGTGTTTTTTAAACTGAAAGAGGGCTGTTATACTTCCTTTAAAGTCATGAAAAGTAGTCATGAAATTAAATAAATGGGCCACAACCAGCATTCTTCTAATAAATAAAATGGTATAGAATAGAAAGAACAGAAAACATCAAAGCATATCACATGAGGGTAAGTGCTGTTTCATGAAATATTTTTTAAAGTTATTTTGGAATATGTCTCTGTGTGTGTATGTGTGTGTGTAATCCATCATAAGATATATTTCCTTTTGTGGGTCATCATACATATAATTTAGATTAGATGGACTAGTTTCATTTCATTTCTTAAGTTCTGCAGTTTTGTAAACGGTCTTAGATTCCATCAGGCTGTAACAACACTGTGTCACATTAAACACTAATTTCCACTGGATTTAAAACTTTCATCAGTTTAAGCAAAAAATTCATCTCTTCTAAAATCCCTGTTCTCCCAATTTGTTATTGTAGAGAATGTGAAGGCTGGAGGTATCCTGCATGTGTCATGATGATTTGAGTATAATTTTTTCTACTCTGGCATTCTTTTCTAGGAACTGAACCAAGTTTGTGCTGAGACTCATTTTCAGTCCTTGAAGTTTCTGCAAGTGCTATATTTCATGCACAGTATCAGGTTGACCCTGAAGCACCAAAGCTCTATTCCTGGGATCTCATAGTGCAGTTAATGAAATGAGTTATTTAAGCTTCTATCTTGAGCCTACTTGTTTTTGCCAGATATCAAACCTAACCTAACTGACTGGTAAGCCAAAAAATGCTGTCCTATCAATTCTCTAATTTTGTCACTTCTCTCTCCTCTCCCTAAGTCCTCCTGCAAAAAGATTGTCCATATTCCTTCAGCCAAAAGATAAGGGCACTTTCATGGAGATCATTTGTCTATTTGCTCTTGACCCCTAACCTCCATCCTGCCTGACTGCTATGTATTAGGAGACTGAGGTCAGCACATTGTATTTCTCAGACCTCCTCTGACAGCTGGCTTTTTCTTGAGTACTTATCATTAGGAGAGGGAACACGGAATCAGAAAGTGGGAGGAAGAGAGAAGCTTTCCGTTTCTGGTTCATTCACTTTGGTAGTTGTTGAAAATTGCTAGAAATGCAGAGAGAGAGGATGATACTGGACTTCAGCGATCTGGGAAAGGCTACCTTTTCAGTGTCAGTCCTGGGATGGTTAAGCTGTAACCTCTTTGGTGGATCAAACACCAACTACAACAGAGTTTCTAACAGAATTGCATCAGGCACAAGCTCATGGACTCTAGGTCAAGGACTTTCACAGCTTTTGATCTTTGAGTATCATATCTTTTGCCTTTTCTTTCTCTAGATAATATCACCCTTTCCCCCTTTTGATATTCCTGTCCTTTCTACATGTTTAAAGCCAGTTCTCCATATTGCATTTCCTCTAAATTAATAGAGTTGATCTATTTCTTTAACTGAACTCTGACTCAGTCCTTCAACACAAACGGGGATGGAAGACATATCACCAAAAACAGCACTATTTTGAACATCTGAGTTCCAGCTCTACTTTAGCCTATGGAATAAGAGATGAAGGCATTTGCTTTGGGTTTATGAGTAGTCTTAGCAAAATTATTTTTTCCTTATTGGTGCTTGAAGTAAATTAGAACATTGTTTGACAAAAATTCATTCCCTCTGATCTACATATAGGGAGTACATTTCTATGCTCCACAGATGTGGAACATAGCCATGCGATTTCCCTTGATCCATGGGATATGAGTTAAGTAACAGCAATAAAGTAGCAATCTTATGCCTTAGGGGGCATCACATATTTCCGCCAATGCCTTGGGAATATTCTGACTGCTACCAGAAAAAACTCCTGCTTCAATTGGCTTCTTCCTGTCTCATCCATGCATGGATCAGAACTGTTCCAACACACATGCAGACTTGCAGCACAAAGCTCAGTTGCCTCCGCCAAACTACAGGCCTGAGAAAATGTGAATAAAAGCTATGTTTGTCTTTGAGATTTTGAAATTGTTTGATATGCAGACAAAGATACTACTGTCATAGTTTTCTGCCATATTTTAGCTTTTCCTAACTTACTGACTTCTCTCTATGTAATTGCTAACATAGATAATCTCTGTGATCAGTATCTGTGCAACTCTCTGACCTCGCCATCGTGACCTGTTGTGACTGGCTACATAATATCTGGTGATTTCATTTAAAGCCATGAGAAAATGAAAATGTTATTAATTTTTCAGCACTTGCATAACACAGAAAGCAACTGGTAGGCTTGGCCAACAATTTCAAGAAATAATATTTTCAAAAAAGACATATTTTGCTTAAGCTAAAAATGTGCTATCCTTTATTAATTTATGTATTTGTTCATTATTCATTATTATTTCAAATGTGGAGAATACACAAACAGAGTTTCTTGATCTCATTCTAAAGACAGACTCTAAAATATAAACAAATAAATCAACAATATAGTGCCATATGCTATTTTAAATAGGTTGATCAGTGAAGATCTTTGGCCTTTTGCCATAGTCGTCATAAACACTAGCAGGGTTTGTTTGTGTTATTGTTGAAATATATGTATAAACCAATAATTTCATATATAAGATTAGTCCAGAAAAAAATATTCTTTTTTTTCATTCAGCAATAATTTTTTAAATGAGATTCTGTGCCTTGCAAAATACTCATGATGAAAAAGCTGGTATTTATTACAAAGTTACCAAAGGATATCTTTCAGAACCCAAATATAAGAACTTTAAGCAGACGTATCAAATGATTGGAACTAGAAATTAGCAAATTACCTGAAGAGCTGCTTTCTCCATTTCTCTCTTTTCTGAAGCTGCATTTCCTCTGCTCTTTACTTTGCTTGATGAATATCTAATTTATTCCTTACTCTGCAAAATAACTTTCTCTAATTGCCCATGACCCATGTGGCCACTTTAGCCCCAGATTCATAGGTATTACATAAAAATAACTGATAACATTCTCCAATTCCAAATTCTTAGTAAGGGGAATCTTACTAACTTTTACTGAGAGCCCAAGCTCAAAACTTCTCTAGGTCAGTGATTCTCAAAGTGCAATTTTTGTACCGGTAAGAGTAGCAACACCTGATAATGTGTTAAAGATGCAAATTCACAGGCCCAGCTCCAGACCTACTGAATTGGAACCTCCAGGGTGGCTGTCAGAAATCTGTGTCTCAAGCCTTTCAGGTGATTCTAATGCATGCTAAACTTTGAGAACCACTGCTCTAGGTCATGCCTCTAGTACTAATGAAAATATATGAAAGTAGATCACTTAGTTCATATAAAACTACTCACTTTTATGAATCATGGGGTAGGGATGAGATGGATTTTAAAGAAATTTCTTTTAAATGGAAAAGGGAAGTATGGAATAGAAAATAAATGATTAACCTCCTTAGTACATCTAGGAGCCTTCTCATCTTTGGTTCCATTAGGGAAATTAAGCATAGATTGCCTCCCATCCAAGATTGGAATTTTTGTTAATAAAAATTACTTCTACTAAGTATAAGAAATTTATTTTTCATATATGATTAAGTAATAAATTAGAACACACAGGAAATATGTGTTTAATTTTTTTCCAGAGGAATCAGATCCAAAGACATAGGAAAACATTTTACTCATAAGACCCCTCATAAAAAGTAGAGTGTTTGAATTTATCTTATATTGTGTTTTGGTTTTTAAAATAGTATAAATATTGTTTTTAGAGCAGTTTGATAGCTAAATAACTCCATGGGAATCCCAGCACAATATGGTTCATAAATACTGGATAAAGCTACGTGATGTTCATAAAGTCTTTTCTCTGACATCCTTACATGCTATGTTAGTATTAAATTCATAAAGACAGCAATGAGATTTAAAGCATTGCTTGTTCAGAATATTTTCCAGTAAAATAAAGGTCTTGGTATTAGAGTACATCATAGTAGGAGAAGAGAAATTTCTGGTGATTTAATAACCACTATTTACTCTGAAGAAGTAGGAATCAAATAAAGTCCTCATCATCATAATGCTGTCCCAGGCACTGAACAAAGATAACTACAGGATGTGCCCTTTGTCCTTCAAGAGATTACAATCTGAGAACATTTATTTTGCCTTAAAGAAACTGATTTAAGCAACCTAGCACAGAGAAGAAGTCACACACAGAGTTCCCAGGCAGTTAAAAAGTCGGTGAAACAGAAATGGAAGAGACAGGACTCATTTCATGTACATGGCAATAGAAAACTTTTAAGAGTATGAAGACTTGATCTTTTCACCTGTGTTAAATACTCATAAGGCACAAAATAACTTCCTTGATTTCTGTTCAAAATTTTCCCACTGCAGTTCACTATCTTTGCTTCTCTTCTTCCTCTCTCAATGATAAACTGCTAAAGTAAACCATAGAAAGTGAGACAAAAATGTATTTGTTCTGGGAATATTAGAGCCAAATAAAACACATTATTGAGAGCAGATGCATGCAAAAGACAATGTAGAGAGAAGAATGTACATCATGGTAGAGACAAAGAGAAACAACGAAACAAGACCTGGACATGACCTCAATAGAGACATATTAAGATGTTCAATGAAGACATGATTGCCAAAACCTAAACATTGAAACAAACAGAAATCCTAACACAACACAAACAATTAAATCTAGTTTGTTCATTTGATAGAATAATACACAACAGCTATAAGGCTTAAACTAGACCTGCAGGCATACCTCAGAGATATTGTGGGTTAGGTTCCAAATCATTGCAATGTAGAGAGTTATACATATTTTTTGGTTTCCCAGTACATAAAAAAGTTACATTTGTACTGTATTGCAGAATATTAAGTGTGCAAAATTATGTCTAAAAAATGCACACATTAATTTTAAAATATTTTATTGCTAAAAAATGCTTACTATCATCTGAGCCCTTCAGCAAGTTATAATCTTTTTGCTGGTAAAGGTCTTGTTTCAGTGTTGATGGCTGCTGACTGATCAGGTGCTAGTTGCTAATGGTTGGGATAGCTGTGGCAATTTCTTAAAATAAGACAACACGGTGGGAGGATCACTTGAGGCTGGGAGGTTGAGGATGCAGTGAGCCATGATTGTGCTCTGCATTCCAGCCTGGGCAAAAGAGCACAACCCTATCACTAAGAAAATAAAATAAAATATGAAATAAAATAAAACTAAGACTGCAATATCATATCGACTGACTCTTCCTTTCACAAGAGATTTCTCTGTAGCATATGATGCTGCTTGATAGCATTTTACCCACAGTAGAGCTTCTTTTAAAATTGTTTGCTAACTAAGTTTACAGACTATTCTAAATCTATTGACATTTCAACACTCTTCACAGCATCTTGACCAGGAGTAGATTCTGTCTCAAGAAATCACTTTCTCTGCTCATCCTTAAATAATAAGTCCTCATCCATTAAAGTTTATCATGAGATTGCAGCAATTCAGTCACATCTTCAGGCTCCAGTTTTAGTTCTAGTCTCTTGCTATTTCCACCACACCTACAGTTACTTCCTCCACTGAAGTCTTGAACTTCTCAAAGTCATTCATGATGATTCAAATTGACTTCTTTGAAACTCCCGTTAATGTTGTTATTTTGACCTCAACCCACAAATCATGTTCGAAATGGCATGTAGGATGGTGAATCTTTTCCAGAAGGTTTTCAAATTACTTTGCCTGGTCATCAGAGAAATCACTGTCTATGGCAGATATTGCCTTACAAAATGTATTTCTTAAATAATAAAACTTGAAAGTCAAAATTACTCCTTGATGGTTGCAGGTACTCCCTTCTGTGGAAAAAAAAAATACTCCTTGATCCATGGCTGCAGAATGATTACGTTAGCATGAATGAAAACATGTGCATCTCTTGAATCTCCTTGTGCATCTCTGTCAAAGCCTTTGGATGACCAAGTGCATGTCAATGAGCAGTAATATTTTGACAGCAATCTTTATGTAAGCAGTGTCTGAACAGTGGACTTGAAATATTCTCTAAACCATGCTGTAAAGAGATGTGCTGTCATCCAGGCTTTTTTGTTTCATTTGTAGAGCACAGGTAGAGTAGATTTAGCATAATTCTTGAGGGCCCTATAATTTTTGCAATGGTAAATGAGCATTGGCTTCGACTTAAAGTCATCAACTGCATCAACCTCTAACAAGAGAGTCAGCCTATCCTTGAAATTTTGAAGCCAGGCATTGACTTCTCCCCTTTAGCTATGAAAGTCTTAGATGGCATCTTCTTCCAGTAGAAGTTTATTTCATCCACATTGAAATTCTGTTTTTTTAGTGTAGCTGCTCTCATCAATTATCGTGTCTAGGTCTTCTGGATAACTTCTGGCAGCTTCTACATCAACACTTTCCTCATCTTGCACTTTTGTTTTATGGAGATGGCTTCTTTCCTTAAACCTCATGACCCAACCTCTACTAGGTTCAAACTTTTCTTCTGCAACTTCCTCACCTCTCTCAGCCTTCATAGAATTGAAGAGAGTTAAGGCTTTGCTCAGGATTAGGCTTTGGCTTAAAAGAATGTTGTGGGTTGCTTGATCTATCCAGACCGCTAAAAATTTCTCCATATCAGCAAGAAGGCTGTTGGCTTTCTGTCATTCCTGTGTTCACTGGAGTAGCACTTCTAATTTCCTTAAAGAATGTTTCCTTTGCATTCACAACTTAGCTAATGTTGATACGAGAGATCTAGCTTTCTGCCTGTCTCTGCTTCCAACATGCTTTCCTCACTTAGCTTAATTATTTCTGGCTTTTTATTTCTGGCTTTTTATGTAAAGTAAGAGACAAGCAACTCTTCTTTTCACTTAGACACTCAGAGGCCATTGTAGTATTCTACTTGGCCTAATTTCAACATTCTTGTGTCTTAGTGAATAGGGCAACCTGAGGAGAGGGAGAGAGACAGGAGAGTGGCCAATGGCTGGAACAGTCAGAACATACACAACATTTGTTGATTAAGTTCACCATTTCATATGGGTATGGTTTGTGGCACCCCAAAACAATTATAAGAGTGACATCAAAGATCACTGATCACAGATCACTCTAATAGATAATAATAAGTTAAAAATGGAAATACTGAGAGAATTACTAAAATGTAACAGAGACATGAAGTGAGCACATGTTGCTGGAAAATAGCACTCTTAAACTTGCTCGACACAGGGTAGTCCCAAACCTTCATATTGTAAAAAACACAATGTTTGCAAAGTACAATAAAGTGACATGCAATAAAAAGTGTAAGAATGTATATGTGTTAGCATAGGCAGATTGAAAACATATTTGAGTGGAAAAAAAGAAAATTGTAAAATGAAACACACACCATACTCTTAAATATGTAATAACAAAAACCTGCACCAAAAATTTTATAAATTTTCTTGCACATATTTGGAGATATAAACTGTCTTTGTGTTTTCCCCTAAGGGAATGCACACAAATCAGGCAAGGATGGGGAGAGTGGAAGATAGTTGTGAAGGGACTCAACCTTCCAATCTCATAGTCTCATTATTTAAAAGACCAAGGCAATAAAGTATTGCTTGTGTAATAAAAATTTGAAAAATGAAAATAAAAGTAAATAAGGCTTAGGAGGCATTTTCAGAAAAGCAGAAGTTTGAATCACAAACTCAGGCTGGACTCTAAATATAATGCATGGTATCTCTTCATACCATGCATTGGAAATAGAAGCACTGGATTATGATAGTAGGAAACATGTAAATAACTGCTCTTCTTTTGAGTCTATGTTCACCTACTTCTTATAGTTTGATCTATGCCCCCAAGGAAAGTATATGCTTAGCTTGGCAGGATGAATTCACTTGTTAGCTGAGTATTGGATGCTTACCGTGCACCACTCTCTGCTCTGCATAATGGGAATACAACAGTAAACAAAACAACAGAATCTTTCCCTGTGAAACTTATATTGTAGTGTAATATGTAAAAATGTTAGATGGTAGTAAATGATATGAAAAATACAACAGAAGGGAAGATACAAAATTTGAGGGAGTTATTTGGAATGAAATGTAGGCACGAGGATTATTAAGTTGTTACAGGTTTTGAATCATACTCTGAGTTAAATGAGAAACAGTTGCCAAGTTTTAGGCAAAAAAATTATTAGTACCTCTTTGGATGCTGTGTTGAGAATAGAGCAAAACAGAGCTGGGGTAGAAATGGTAAGAATTGTTAGATTACTATAGTAATCCAGACAATAGAATATGGTGCTTTGGACCAGTGTAGTAGCAGAGGGATGATGAGAAATGTTCAAATCAAGATGTGTTTTGAGTGTAAAGTCCATAGGATTTGCTGTAGGATATCCTATGGATTTCACGGGGATACTTTACTCCAGAGAATTTAGTTATATTAGTACAAATAAGCAATTTGAAGTTTTAGGGATAAGCATCAAGGTCTATATTAATTTAACTTAGGGAACAAAAAGAAAAACTAGAATATGTGGAAATTTTATTTTGATCCTAAAATGAATGTCTTTTTAATTAAAAAAAAAAGCTAATGCATTAATATAACATTTTGGACTTTGATTTTAAGGCTTGACCATAAATCATAAGAACTTAAGCAGAGCCTCCTGTTGAATTAGTGATACTTGAATATTCTCACTATGTTACTGTGTTTCTTCACTCATGAGACACTGATTTTTTTCTCATTTTAACACCGTTGAAATTTGATGTGTGTTGAAATCAATAGTGTCTCCCAACAGCAATCAGCCAGTGAGGATAATTCCATTACTTATTTATGGGCAACCATCAAAATGCCAGACAAAAACTTGCAGAAAAGGTAGCAGTGGCTTGTAGGAAAGCCCAGAAATAATTCTGGAGAGTTCTTTTAAATTCTTAGAAACTATGAGTAAAGAAATTGAATTAGACAGTATTTAGTAAAATTCCTGATGTGGTATTTAAAAGTAAGCTAGATCATCATAATTACAAAGTTGTCTTAAGAACCCATTACTAAAGTGTTCTTCTATATATGATTTTAGGAAATACTATATTATCAATGTTTTTGAAGATGATATCAATTGCTGAATTGAAAAATTACTTAGAAAATTTGTAGTCTAATTATGTAAAATTTACAGGAACAACTCAACCTGTTTCTTATTCTTGATAAAAATATACCCTTTAAAAAGCTCTTTTAGTATACACATATAAAATACAAATGTAAGTGACAGTAAGCATTGAATTTTAGTTTAATTGGAAGCATCTTTTTTAGAAGTAACACTGCATCCTAGAGTGAATGGTGCTTCAGAGTCAAGAAGTACACTATGTGCTTTAAAGTAATCGGTTTTTTTTAATCAGAAGTGAGATCAAGTTAGCTTTAGAGACTGTAATATCATAGGAAGTGCACTGAGTCATAATTAAGAGGTCTAGCTGTGACATTAACTTTCAGGGAAACATCACGTGACACCAAAATATTTATTTTACTGGTCTCTAATGCAAAAATGAAAACAATTGATTAGGAAATACATTATCTGGTAGAAATCATTCTGTAAATTCACTTCGTGTTCCAAACATGTTTGTGGATTTTTTGCATGGCTTCTTATATACAAAATAGTAATCTGCATGGCACATAACGTTTAGTAATCATTTTACCAGGGATATGGCAATGAAGTTCAAAATAGCAACTTTTGAATTAACTATCTAGAAAAGCTCAAATATATAGCATCACCCCTTAAGTCAGTGAAGCTATCTTTTCAGGAACCAGAGATAGTATAACAGTTTTGGAAAATACAAAAACAGATAAATAAGTCCATCTGTTTCTTTGATAATAGAAAAATAAGTACAATTAAGTGGAAACTGTGAGCCAAGTGTCTTTTTTCTGACCACCACATATTAAGTAACATCCTAGTCACTCTCTGTCACCTGCTTCTGCCAATGACCTACTCCTGTGGTCATAGCATGCATTATATTAACATTTTAAATTATCTCTTTACTTTGTATGGTCATTCTGTCTCTCAAGAGCATAATATCTGTAAGAACAAAAACTGGTCAGGTTTCTTTACTGCTATATGTTTGGCTCTTAGGAAGTGCCTGAGATACAAGAAGTTTCCAATGAATATTTGTGGTATGAATGAAAAAATGTGGTGTTTGAAAAGAGCTTTGAGTAAAAAATCTAAGTACAATATAAATGTAAGAATGTTGTTAAGAATGAGAAAGGGAAGGCATGAATCTTAGCCTATATTTTCAAAGGCACACAGTATATATGCAAGTATATAAGTGGCTTTGTTCCCACATCAGGATATATGTACTGGTATATATACTGTATACATACATATACAGTATATATGTACTGGTATATATCAGTATATATGTACATGTATACATATATACACATAAATATATATACAGAAATATATATATATGGAGAGAGAGAGAGAGTATATATACTGATGTGGGAACAATCCCACTTATCTGTGGTGTCCAAGGAGAGAGGTGTTTTCAATCTAAAGGATAAGGCAGGGGCTAAGAAAATCAAATTTGATCTTTCTCTTATTTTCTGGTTTCTCTTGTTTTTCATTGCACCCTGACATATTTTAAGATAAATTTTGATGTCATATATTCTATGACATGGAACAATTTGGTGATGGCTTTAGGAAGAATTTTGAGAGTAATTTTTATATCATACTTACTGAAACTTAAATTACTCTGCTGTCTTTTGAATTGTTATAGTTATATATTTCTATTATAAAATCACAAAAAGAGAGTTTTTTATACTGCTTTGAGGTTTCTCCCATTGCTTAAATTTAGAATACAGGTTTTAGTTATGAGTAAAATTATTTATTTATTTTCTAAACACTTTAATTTGAAGAATTTGCTATTTAACCTTTAGATTTAGAGCTCTTCATCAACCATCTGTGAAATATTTATTAATAATTTTATGTGCCTTTGTGTTTGTAGTCATGCTTGACCTTAAGAAAAACACTTTTGCAAATAGTAGTGAGTGAATAAATAGTATATGCACACTGACATTTAGATAAACTCATCTTTGAAGGACTTTTTTTTGGCAATAACTACTGGGTAAGTGTACTTCACTTCTGGATATATAACTAAGCACAGTTACAGAACTGATCAAATTTTTAGTTGTTAAATAGCTATTTTTAATATATTTCTCTCATTTTTAATGCAGAGAGGGCATTAAAAATGCCCGTCAGTTAATATTTAGAATTTTCCATATTTAATCTCATCTCAAGCTCTAAGATTACTTCCACTGAGATAAATAGTAATACACTAAGCATGTTCTACAATAATTTAAAAAAAGATGAATGTTCCCTTTCTTGTCTCTTTCTCTAAGTGTAAATTATTCAGGCCATAATAATATTACTAAGAATTAACACTTTTGTGTCCTAATTACATGTCTCTAAACACTAAATATGTAATCACATGTAACTCCAGCACTACATACTCTATTTATATCACTTCATTTAATCTCAAACAATCCTATGAGGAAGCTAATATTTTAGAATCTAGGAAAAACCATATGGAGAGGTTAAGAAACATTCCCCAGATTAAGAAACTTTAAATTCAGATCTTTCCAACTCTACTCCCAAATCTTAACCATGACGCTATAAAGAAGTAGCATGCAATAACAAGATAAAACTTTATAAATTATAGAATAATTTTGTTATAGTGGAAATGTCAATGGCTGATTAAAATGTATTTCTATTGTTATTCCTAACAGTCCTGTCTTAGAAAATCTGACTTGAGAGGATTGAACCTGATCCATATTTGAGAAAATACTGAGGTATATCTGCTACCATGCTAAACAGATCTGTAAATTGAATGAGGTGATCTCCATTATATCTTTCATTATATGTTTGTTTAATTCTAAGTAAAATAACACACTATGTCATTAACATAATATAATTTGGCTCAAATACATTAGCATAGATGATTCCTTTGACCCACACAGGCATTTTTAAATTATTAGTCATCTTGTAACTAGTCATACTAAACATGTTTGAATATACAATTCATTCAAATTAAGCTACAGAACATCTTCATAGTCTTACCTACAGATAACATTTGCATGTAATAAATATTAAATATATATTTTTAATAAATGGACAACAGTATTAAGAACAGAAAAGCCGTTGTTCACAAAAAGACATAAGGCATACCTAGTTATGAAATATTTACTTGTTTGCCCTGCAGTTGTCTTAAAATGAATTTGTAATGTGTGATAGGCTGAAAAAATAGCCCCTCAAAGATGTCCATGTCCTAATCCCAATCCCTAGAACCTGTGAATGTGTTACCCTACATGAAAAAAGGAACTTTACAGATGTGATTATGTCAAGGATCTTGAGGTATGGAGATTACATTGAATCGTAAGAGAGAGGAGGCAGAAAGAACGAAGTCAGTAAAAGGAGATGTGATAATGGAATCAAGGGTTGGAATGATGCACTTTGAAGACACAAGAAGAGGCCAGAAATCAAAGAATGCAGTCAACCTGTAAGTACAGGAAGAGGAAATGGGATTCTCCCCTGAAGCTTCCAGAGGAAACATAGCTTTGCCAACACCTTAGTTTTAGACTTCTGACTTCCAGAATGTTGAGAATAAATTCATGTCATTCTACATCACTAAATTTGAGATAAATTCTTGTAGCAGTATTAGAAAACTAGTAACTTATGGTTGTTAAATAGGACTTCTCAGAGTTGCACCTCTGGCCAAGATTTGCCATCACACCAGAAATAATCAAACCAAATAAAGCAAAACAAAAATGAGCAAACAAAAATACATGAAAAACAGTTTTCAAAGTACTGGACATCAAATAATGAAAGACAGTCATTTCTTCCAGGCAAATGAAATGAATAAACATATTAATTGAGCCCTGTAATTTTCCTAGTTTGCTGTCTTCAGAGAAATTTCAGGCCATGGCACAGAAAGGAGGAAACTTGGTATAACATGGAGAGCTCACTGAATTGTGGAGACAGAGCTAAGAATCTGAAAAGAACGTAACAGCAAGATTTCACAGAACAGAGTGTCTGAAAAGTGAGAATAGCTTCCCAGACATAGAGCTGTGGGAGAGCTGGAAAGAGGAAACTGCCTGAGGCTGGGGAAATGCCAACCATTAATTAGAAAGAATAGGGCTTGGAACACACACAGCTGGGAACTGTGTCCAACTCTTCCAGACACACTGGATAAACTCATAATACATGCGATAGAGAACTCAGAAAGTTTATCTTGGTAGTTGGGAATATATACCTATGAACTGAGCACTGCTCTAGGCACAACTAACAAATTTTAAGAGCAATACCTAAGAGGACCAAAGTTCTTTGCAGGTAACTTCTCTGAGTCCCCAAAGCTCAATGAGATATCACTATGTATCTATTAGAATGGCTAACATAAAAAGTAGTCAAAACACCAAATGTTGGTGAAGATACGGAGAAATTGCTGGTGGAAATGTGAAATGTTAATGGCCGTTCCGGAAAACAGTTAAACAATTTCTGAAAAAATTAAATATGTAGCTGCCATACAACCTAGCAACTGCATTTCTGAATATTTATCTCAGCAATGTGAAGACTAATGTTCACACAAAACTTTTACATTAATGTTTATAGCAGTTTTATTCATAATAGGCACAAACTGGAAGTAACCTATATGCCTCTTGCTGAGTGAATAAACAAATTGTGGCATATTTGCACCATGGAATGCTACTTAACAATACAAAGAATAAGCTATTGATACACACAAGAACTTGAATGAATCTCCAGAGAATTATGCTGAGTGAAAACATCCAATCCCAAAAAGTTACGTACTGTATGATTCCGTTTAAAGAACATTCGAGGCCGGGTGTGGTGGCTCATGCCTGTTATCCCAGCACTTTGGGAGGCCGAGGGAGGCAGATCACGAGGTCAGGAGATCGAGATCATCCTGGCCAACATGTTGAAACCCCATCTCTACTAAAAATACAAAAAATTAGCTGGGCATGGTGGCGGGCACCTGTAGTCCCAGCTACTGGGGAGGCTGAGGCAGGAGAATGGCATGAACACAGGAGGTGGAGCTTGCAGTGAGCCGAGATCGCGCCACTGCGCTCCAGCCTGGGTGTCAGAGCGAGACTCCGTCTCAAAAAAAAAAAAATTCGAATATTGTTGAAATAACAAAATGTCAGAAATAGAGATCAGATTAGTGGTTTCCAGTTGTAAATAAGTGGGTGGAGTGAAGTGGATGTGGATGCAAAAAACAACTGAAGAATCTGTGTGGTGATGAAGAATCTTCCTGCCAGGCCCAGCTGCCTGCCCCAGCACAGGCCTTCCCCCAAGTACCCTGGTCTCCACTGCCAGGACACACTTGTTTGACGCCTGGTTTCCCCCATGGCTGCCACGCTGATTCTCCGTTCCGCACATCGTGTCCCATCAAAATGCATGACAGTACCACTCCTTGTGTTTAAAAGAGCCAGTTATTTTGTCAGGCCGTGATGACTGCCTGCTGAACAGAAAAGTCGACGCCGTTGTCTCTGCTCTCAGGGTGTTCATAGTATAGTGGGGCTGGCACACAGGAACCAGGGGTATATCTTGAGCTCTATATCTTGGCTCTTTCAATGTCATTATCCTGGTTGACATATTTTCCTGTACTTTTGCGATATGTTAGCATTGGAAGAGTCTCAATTAAGAATGCACAGAATCTCTCAACATTACTTCTTACAACTTCATGTGAATCTACAATTATCTTAAAATAAAAAGTTTAATTTTAAAAAGATAACTGGCCAATTAAATCAAAATAGAAATAGATTTTAAAGTTTATAACATATATTTATAACATATGTATTTGTATATACATGTACATATATGTACATATATTTATAACATATGTATAGATACAATAGATGCCAACAGGGCAAATGGAAATATACAATTTAAAGTTTATTATTCTATAGGTGAAACTGATAACATCAGTTGAAGACAGACTGTGATAAGTTATAGATATGAGCTATAAATCCTAAAGTAACTATAAAATAACGAAACAAAAAATTATAGCCAATAAATTACCAAAGGGGATAAAGCAGAATCTTAAAAACAATTATTTCCCAAAAAGTGAGAAATGGAAAAATACAGGATAAAGAACACAAGGGACAAAGTGAAAAGTGAAAGCATCAAGATAATAGACTTGAACATAACCATGTCAATTTTACATTAATTGTAAATAGTCTAAATGCTCTTTCAAGACACTGTTAAGCAAATTAATTTTTTTCACTTGTAAAATGTATTTTAATTTAATTTAATTTTTCAAGTTCCAGGGTATATGTGCAGGATGTGTAGGTTTGTTATGTAGGAAAATGTGTGCCATAGTGGTTTGCTGCACCTATCAACCCATCACCTAGGTATTAAGCCCCACATGAATTAGCTATTTTTCCTGATGTTCTCCCTCTCCACACATCCTCCTAACAGGCCCCGGTGTGTGTTGTTCCCCTCCCTGTGTCCATGTGTTCTCAACGTTCAACTTGACAACATGCAATATTTGGTTTCCTGTTCCTGTGTTAGTTTGCTGAGGATGATGGCTTCCGGCTTCACCCATGTCCCTGCAACAAACATGATCTCGTTCCTTTTTATGGCTGCATAGAATTCCATGGTGTATATGTGCCACATTTTCTTTATCCAGTCTATAATTGATGGGCATTTGGGTTGATTCCATGTCTTTGCCATTGCGAATAGGGGGATGAACATACACATGCATGTATCTTTATAATAGAATAATTTATATTCCTTTGGGTATATACTCAGTAATGGGATTGCTGGGTCAACAGTATTTCTGCCTCCAGATCTTTGAGAAATTGCTGCACTGTCTTCAACAATGGTTGAACTAATTTACATTCCCACCAACAGTTTAAAAGGGTTCTTATTTCTCCACAACTTTGCCAGCATCTGTTGTTTCTTGACTTTTTAATAATCGCCATTCTGACTGAAGTGAGACCATATCTCATTGTGATTTTGATTTGCATTCCTCTAATGATAAGTGATGTTGAGCTTTTTTTCATATGTTTGTTGACTGCATGAATGTCTACTTTTGAGAAGTTTCTGTTCATGTCCTTTGTCCATTTTTTAATGTTTTTTTTTCCTTGTAAATTTGTTTATGTTCCTTGTAGACTCTGGATTTTAGATCTTTGTCAGGTGGATACATTGCAAAAATTTTCTTTCGTTCTATAGGTTGCCTGTTCACTCTGATGATAATTCATTCTGCTGTGCAGAAGCTGGTTAATTAGATCCCATTTGTCAATTTTTGCTTTAGTTGCAGTTGCAATTGCTTTGGACATTTTTGTCGTGAAATCTTTGCCTGTACCTATGTCTTGAATGGTATTGCCTATATTTTCTTCTATGGTTTTTATAGTTTTGGGTTTTATATTTAAGTATTTAATCCATCTAGAGTTAATTTTTGCACAAGATGGAAGGAAGGGGTCCAGTTTCAATTTTCTGCACATGGCTAGCCAGTTCACCCAGCAACATTTATTAAGCAGGGAATCCTTTCCACATTGCTTGTTTTAGTATGGTTTGTCAAAGATCAGATAGCTGTAGATGTGTGGTGTTATTTCTGAGTTGTCTATTGTTTTCCATTCGTCAATGTGTCTGTTTCTGTACCAGTATCATGCTGTTTTGATTACTGCAGTCTTGCAGTATACTTTGAAGTCAGGTAGTGCGATGCCAAAGTTTTGTTCTTTTTACTTAGGATTGTCTTGGTTATGTGGGTTCTTTTTTTGGTTCCATATGAATTTTAAGTAGTTTTTTTTTAATCTGAGAAGAATGTCAATGGTATTTAGTGGGAATAGCATTTAATATGTAAATTACTTTAGGCAGTATGGCCATTTTCACGATTTGATTCTTCCTATCCATGAGCATGGAATGTTTTCTATTTGTTCGTGTCCTCTCTGATTTCCTTGAGGAGTTGTTTGTAGTTCTCCTTGAAGAGGTCCTTCACTTCCCTTGTTAGCTGTATTCCTAGATATTTTATTCTGTTTGTAGCAATTGTGAATGTGAGTTCATTCATGATTTGGCTCTCTGCTTGTCTGTTGTTGATATATAGGAATGCTAGTGATTTTTGCACATTGATTTTGTATCCTGAGACTTTGCTAAAGTTGCTTATCAGCTTAAGAAGCTTTTGGGCTGAGACAAAGGGGTTTTCTAGATATGGGATCGTGTCATCTGCAAACAAAGGCAATATGACTTGCTCTCTTCCTATTTTAATACCCTTTATTTTTTTTCTCTTGCCTGATTGCCCTGGCCAGAACTTCCAATACTATGTTGCATAGGAGTAGTGAGGGAGAACATCCTTGATTTGTGCCAGTTTTCAAGGGGAATGCTTCCATTCAGTGTGATATTGGCTGTGGGTTTGTCATACATGGCTCTTATTATTTTGAGGTATGTTCCTTCAACACCTAGTTTATTAAGAGTTTTTAATATGAAGGGATGTTGAATTTTATCAAAAGCCTTTACTGCATCTATTGAGATAATCTTGTGGTTTTCATCTTTAGTTCTGCTTATGTGATGAATCACATTTATTGATTTGTGTATATTGAACCAATATAGCATCTCTGGGAGGAAGCCAACTTGATCATGGTAGGTAAGCTTTTGGATATGCTGCTGGATTCGGTTTGCCTGTGTTTTATTAAGGATTTTTGCATCGATGTTCATCAGAGATATGGGCCTGAAATTTTGGTGTATTTTTTGTTGTTGTATCTCTTCTAGGTTTTGGTATCCGGATAATGCTGGCTTCATAAAATCATTTAGGGAGGTGTCCCTCCTTTTCAACTGTTTGGAAGAGTTTCAGAAGAAATAGTACCAGCTCCTCTTTGTACCTCTGATAAAATTGAGCTGTAAATCCGTCTGGTCCTGGGCTTTTTTTTGCTTGTAGACTATTTATTACTGCCTCAATTTCAAAACTCATTATTGATCTATTCAGAGATTCAACTTCTACCTGGTTCAGTCTTGGGACAGTGCATGTGTCCAGGAATTTATCCATTTCTTCTAGATTGTCTAGTTTATTTGCATAGAGGTGTTTATTGTATTCTCTGATGATTGTTTGTATTTCTGTGGGGTCAGTGGTGATACACCCTTTATCATTTGATTGATTGTGTCCAGCATTTTTTTAAATGAGGCACAGACTGGAAAAAAAGTATAAAGCATATTTTATTTTATTTTATTTTAATGTTTATTTTGTTTTGTTTTTTTCTGTTGCCCAGGCTAGAGTGCAGTGGTGCAATCATAGCTCACTGCAACCTCGAGCTCCTGGGTTCAAGCAATCTTCCTGTGTCAGTCTATCAAGTAGCCAGGACTACAGGTATATGCCAGCATGCCCAGCTAATTTTATTTTATATCTTGTAGAGATGGAGTCTCACTGTGTTTCCCAGGCTAGTCTTGAACTCCTAACCTCAAGTGATCTGTCTCAGCCTCTCAAAGAATTGGGATTATAGGTGTGAGCCATCTCACCCAGCCTGTAAAGCACATTTTATATAAAGCATATATTTTGAACTATTAAAACTCAATAATAAGAAATTCAAAATTTAAGGAAATGTGCAAAGATTTGAACACTTCACCAAACAAGATGGCATATATGCACATGAAAGATGCCCAACATCATTAGTCATTAGGGAAATGCACGTTCAAATCATAATGAGATAACATTAAAAGTGTATTAGAGTGCCTAAAATTTAAAAAGACTGGACATGACAAACGTTTGAGAGGACTGGAAGTTTCATACCCTGCTGGTGGGAATAGAAAATGGTACAACCATTTTGAGAAACAATGGCATTTTTTTTTAAAGGTGAATATACACCTACCATATGACTCAGACATTTTACACTTACGTGTTTACCCAAGAAAAGTGAAAACATATGTTCATACGAAGACTTGTATATGAGCGTTCATGATAACTATCTTGTAATAGCCAAAAACTGGAAAGAATCCAAATGCCTACCAAAGGTGAATGGATAAACACATTGTGTTACATCAATACAATGAAACACCACTCAGCAATAACAGGGGTGACCCATTGGTACACACAACAATATAAGTAATCTCAAAACATTATGCTTTATGAAATAAGCCAGACAAAAACATAGGCTTACTGTATAATTCCACTTACATAGTGCAAAATGATGGATTTACAGTGACAGAAAAGCAGACAGTGGAGAGAACAAGGTACAGAGGGGCAGGAGGGAAGCATTAGACGTGTGCATTAGAAAACTTTTAGGGATGATGGATTTGTTTATTGCTTGGTTATGATTGTAACGGTTTCACATGTGTATATGTAGGTCAATTTTTTTTCAAATTATACCCTATAATTGTGATTCATTACATGAACAAAAAATGAAGTTTTAAAAATCCCATTTACAATACCATCAGAAAACAAAAATAATGCATTTAATGAGATGTGCATAATGTCTGCACAGAAAACTCAAAATATCTTCAGAGAGAAATTAACGAAGAGCTAGATAAGGAAAAGGATTTACCTTATTCATAGATTGGAAGCCTCAATATCTTTAAGCTCTCAGTGCCTCTCAAGTTAATCTGTAGATTCAGTGCTATCCCAATCAAAATCCTAGCAGGATTTTTGGGGAGTAAAAATTGACAAGTTGGAAGGTGCTAGAGTAACTGCATATTCATATGGGGGGGAAATGGATCTTTCCCTCCATCTCACACAATACAAAAAAATGCATAGACAAATTCATAGAGACAGAAAGTAGAACAGTGGTTATCAAGAGTTGGGGTGATGGTGGAATGGGTAATTATTGTTTAATAGAGTTTCAGTAGGGTTTGATGAAAAGTTCTAAAAAGGAATAGTGATAGTTTCACAACAGTGTGAATGTAAGTCATACCAATAACCTGTACACTTAAAAATGGATAAAATAGTAAATTTTATACTATATATATTTTATCATAATTAAAATGAAAAAATAGTTTAGGCTTTGAAAAGCAGAGTGGCCCTAAAAGCAACCTCTCCTAACTAATGTGTGGTTTCTCAAGTAGGATAGAGAAACCGTTTAGCCTCTCTTAAAGGCTTGGGAAAGATATTGAGCAAAAATGTGCTTTGGACTTGAAAGTATACATTGTACTGATGGAATAAAAATATATAGCAAGTGTATGTTGAAAATATGTGCTTAGATCTAAGAAAAAATAACTAGCAAAAATGTGTTGAAAATATGTACTTAGAATTAGTAGAAAATGAAATAACATAGCTTCCACTAGATGAAAACCTCTAGAGATGTCACATCTGGCTTCTTGTACAATTTCATCAGTGTCATTTATGAACAATTCCTTCAGTGATCAAAACATGTTTTCTGATGGATATGTTTATTATCTTGATTTGTGATGATGGCTTCAAAGAGCTATATGTGTCAAAATCCATCACATTATGGACTTTAAATTTGTACAGATTTGGGTTTTGTTGTTGTTGTTTTGTTTTGGTTTTTTTTCTAAGACAGGGTCTTGCTTTGTCATCCAGGCCAGAGTGCAGTGGCACAATCACAACTCACTGTAGCCTTGACCTCCTAGGCTCAAGTGATCCTCCTGCCTCAGCCTCCTAAGTAGCTGGGACTACAAGTGCATGCCACCAAGCCCAAGTCACTTTTCGATGTTTTATAGAGATGAGGTCTCATTACGTTGCCCAGGCTTGCCTCGAACTCCTGAGTTCAAGTGGTCCTCTCACCTTGGCCTCCCAAAGTGTTGGGATTATAGGCATGAGTCACTGAGCCTGGCCAATATGTACAGTTTAATGTACATCAATTATTCTTCAATAATGCTGTGAAAAAATAATTTTTGGTGGATGACAGACAAAGACATAAAAGCCATAAATATAAAACTTCTAGAATAAAAGAATAATATCCCTATGACTTTCTGTAGACAAAGATTTCTTAGGCAGAGCACAAAGATCACTAATAATAAAATCAGAAAAAGATAAGATCTAGACAACAAAATAATATGTGCTTATTAAATGAATCATTAAGAAAATGAAAAAGTAAACCACAGACCTGGAGATAACATTGGCAATGCATATTTCTGATAAAGAATTTGTATGTAGAATATATATTAAAAAAATCTCTAAAACCCAATAATTTTTTTAAAAGCAAGCACAATAAAAACTGGCAAGAGATTTGACACTTCCCCAAAGAACATACAACTGGCTAATAAAACCACAAAAAAATGTACAATATTATTAGTCATCATGGAAATGCAAGTAAAAACCACAATAAGAAGTCACTTCACTAGAATGACTAAAATTTAAAAGAATGGAAATACCAAGAAGTCATAAACATGTAGAGATGCTGGAATTCCCACATGTCACTGGTGAAAGAGAAACTGTACCTTCGCTTGGAAAACTCTTTGGCAAATTGCTGTAAAGCAGTACCTACTTCATGACCTAGAAAATTTACTCTCAGATGTTTTCCCAAGAAATTAAAATTTATATTCCCAGAAAGACTTTTATAAGAATGTTTATCATAGCTTTATTTAGAATGCTAAAAGCTGGAAACAAAGTAAAATGTGAAAGAGTAAACAAATAGTAGTCATTTATATAATAGCAGACTATTCAGCAATATAAATCAAAATGTGATCAAGGCACACAACAGCATGGATGAATCTCACAGGAATTATATTGGGCAAAAGACACTAGATATTCAAAATTTCATTTACAGTCAGTTACAGAGAAGAAAAAAACTGATGATAGAGATTAGATCAATGTTCACCAGGCCTGGGAAGAGATTGAGTGGACAGGTACATGAGGAAACATTCAGAGGTCACAGAAATGTTCTCAGTTGTAGTGGTAGCTACATAGGAGCATATATTTGTCAAAACTCATTGAACCAATCACTTAACATCTGTGCATGTTATGCCAATTATGTCTTGTAATGGTTAATTTTATGTGTCAATTTTGAGGTGTTTTTGGATAAGATTAACATTTAAATTTGTGAACTCTGAATAGGGGATACTGCCTCCCATAATGTCATTGGGCATCATCTAATCATTTGAAGACCTAAATACGGCACAAAGATAAGTCTTGCTGATCAAGAAGGAATTCTTTAGCCTACTGCCTTCAGACTTCATTTGCACCATTGGCTCTCCTGGGTCTCCAGACTTCTAGCCCACACTATAGATTTTGGATGTGCCAATCTCCATAATCTTGCAAGCTAATTATTTCTAATAAATCAGACAGATAGATAGATAGATATAATTAATAGGAAGAAAGAAGATAGATACATAGATGATTCATAGGAAGAAAGTAGATACATAGATAGGTAAATAGATAGATAGGTAGATAGATAGATAGATAGATAGATAGATAGATAGATAGATAGATAGATGATGTGAAATATGCATGCATCTTCTGGGTTCAGTTTCTCTGGACAACCCTAACTAATATATAACTCATATCCAGGAAATAGTATAGAACAAATTCTTTAGAAACAATAGGTTCATTCTTTAAGAAAATTCTTGTAAAGTCAAAAGATTTCATTCCAAGCTAACTTCAGAGTGTGCACTTCAGAGATTACCAAAAATATTGTTGATTTTTCCTTATGAATCTTGAATATTTCTACTACTACAAAAATCAAGTTTGGAATTTATTCTTCTGATCCCATCAATTGAACCACCCCAACCTCCTCCTTCCTAAAGTTTCTAAGTCATTTTCCTCCATTAAATCTATTTCTAAGCAGTTATTTCAGTTTGTTGTTACTCCTAGATCATCATTTGCATGGCTGTGCTCCTACAGCAGAGTCTGTTGTTAGGCCATGACCCATCTGGTATCTCACAGCTGGAAGCTCTTGGAATCTAACAAGGACCCTCTCTCGAAAGCAGATGCCAACATCCGCCTCCCCAAAACTGTTCCTGAAATCTCTGTTCACCTGTTTGGCTTTTATCTACTGTTTCTGCTGAGTTTCTTGGAATCTCGCTCTGTAGGCATCAGCCGATTCTTGAGAGAAATTTGCATGCAGATTTTTAAACTCACTTTTCTGAAGTTTCCTCTCTCCAGGACTTTTTTCTCACAAGTTCTATCCATTTTCCCAGTACCAAACACACGCCTGTAAAATTGGCCATTTTTGGCTTGGGCTGTATTCGCTTGAACTGAAAGTTGGCAAAAGCCTTGAGAGGAGAGAGCCAAAATACCTGCATGTTACTGTTTTTGCTTCCCTTCTCTTAAGAAAAAGAGCCCTACATCTTATCTTTCTTAGTTCTCTCTAATGTCTTTTAATGGTTGCTTTAAATAGTTTCTCTATATTTAATCATTGCCTTCGTGGACATGTTGGATAGAACTAGGGGTAACCACAGCAACCTTTAAAAATATAAATTACATAAAGTCACCTCTAGCCTTAAAACCCTTTAATGGTTTCCCTGTAAACTTTTGAACAAATTCAGATACGTAGTCTTGACCTAGAAGGGGCTTGTAATCTAAACCTTGCCTGTCTTACCTAGTTCACCTACAGCCACTGTCCCATTGTTTTCACATGTCCCTCCTTGCAAGTCTTTAAACAAGCTCCTTCCTGCCTTTATATTTGCTGTCCTCTCACCTCTATCGGAAACACTGTTCTCTAATTCTTTTATTGGTTAATTTCTTCTCCTTCCCATGACTGATGTAAATACAACTTTTCAGAGAGGTTCTCTTTGACCATATTATGTAATTTCATAGTCCTTTGTTTTTCACTATTTCTGCACACTGTTTTTTACCTTTTGCTTTCAGTGTATATCACAATATAATGAATCACGGGCGAAGTCATACACAAAGAAGTGGGGCAAATGAACCAAAAATAAGGATTTAGCTATGCAGGGGAGAATATAATAACATCTGCAAAGTCAGTTTACAGAGCCTAGTGCGGATGTGAAAGTTCATGAGAGGAAGATGAGAAAAATGAAAAAGGGTGTAGATGTGAGACCCAGTCCACAGTGTTCTGTGCAATAAAGAGATTTGCTTTCACTCCGTAATTTATTATCCAAACGAGCATTAATTAGAACTTAAGACCATTCTCTGAAAAACTATAATCGAGGTGTTCTTGAGTACCTGAAAGAGACATTCTGTGCATTTCTCTGATTAATTTTCAAAGGATATACTCACAAAACAAGAAATTTCTGATTTAAAGAATATGGGCATATTTAAGGCTTAATATTGTAATCGTCAAAGTATTCTAAGACTGAATGTGCTGATTTACAAATAACTGGTATCATGCAAGAGTGCCAGTGTTTTGCCATATCGTCTCCCATATAGGATATTGCTGCTTTTTAACATTTTTGTTAGCTTAATGGAAAATGACACTTTCTTTTAATTACAAGAGAAATTCAATATATTTCTTATATTTATTAATTGTATTTCAACAGTTATGAACTTTTTGTATACCTGAACCACTTTTATATTTATACACACATTGTTTTTACTAAATTCAAATAACTTTTCATATATTATTGCAAGTTTTGATTGATGGTTTCAAATGAACAATTAAAAAAACATGAAATGATTCTATTTTTATCAATATTTAGGCCAAATTTGCTTTGTGTATCTCTAGCTCCTTTTACACAAGTGAAGAAAATTAACATTTTAACAGTGTCCTTTCTTCTCAACTCTTTTGGGCAATTAATCAGGTTTTTTGTTCTCAAATATAAACTGTCTCCAAAGTATTGCACCTATTTTGCAGTAAGAATAGTAGGTCTTTATTACATATATAGTATATAGCTTTAAAGTTTTACTTTTAATTATATTCTAACTTTTGCCCTATTAAAAGTTTTTATTTTATGTGGATAAATCTATGTCTTTTTCCTTTATGGCTTCTCTTGTGGTATTATACTTTTAAAGTATTTCCTTATCCTAAGGTGCACTCAATTTTTTTAGTCACTTTAAAATTTCATGTCTTAAAATATTAAATACATCTAGAATTTATTTTGACTTATGCAGTAAAATAGGGAATCTAAGCTACAATTACCTAATCATCAGCCAATTATCACTATATATTATAAAATAATCTTTTATCTCCATAGCTTTAAGATGTTAATTTTTAAAAAATAATTAATATAAATACAAAATATGTATATACTGTATAAGAATTCCATACACCCACACACACCTGGATCTGCTTCCAGGCTTATTTCTCTGCTCCCTTCATATACCCACTAACATTTATAATAGTACTTCTTAATAACTAATTGTAAAATAGAGTAAAATTAAAAATGATATGTCATTAAATTTTTACTTAATATATGTTTAGTAACCAAACTAAATAATTAAGTATGGTATATAACATCTCAACTTTACATATGTATCTTAATATATCTTAAGGCAAAGCACCTTTCACGGTCCTTCTTTTCAAAAGCTATTGAATATTTTACTTTCTTTATTCTTAAAAATGTGCAATATTAAATGATTATCTTAAACCACATTTTAGAAAGTCACATTTGATGTAAAATTGAGAGTCATCTGGAGTTTGAAATAAATATAAGGAAAGAAATGTTTCCTGTAGAATTGGGATAAAAGTAGATTTGAAGGATTCGTTCAACACTGTTGTTATTCATCCTCTGCTGTGCTGAGAACACAGAAACCTTTCAGTAAATATTTATTGATTGATTCAAAAACATATTTGAAGGCTTTTAAAATGTGAGCTATTTGTCCAAGCTGTAAAAATCAAATTACACAAATAAAAAATACCCCTTTACAATTTTTATGACACGTGTGTTCAATCAGTTTGAATCAACAATTAATATAATATACATTGGTTACTCGTAGAAATCTCAGTTGTTTTAGAGTATATAGAAAGAAGTAGAAGATATAATAAGTCTGTCTTCTCAAAGAGTTTGTAATCAAATCAGAGAAATATGTAATGTGCATTCAACCGTTAAAAGAAAATTAAGAATTCCGAGAAGAGAGAAGTTTGTAATGTCTGGAATCTCACAGTTTCCTCTCTTTGCCAAAAGAACAATACTCTTTTCCCTCAGGTACACAGAACAATAGGCAGGTAAACTATACAGCAGAGATTTTCTCCCCTAATGCCCAGGAATCCTAATGACAGAACTCCAGTGAGCTATTCCCATAGAAATAAGTAGACTTTGTGGTTTCAATGACAACTATTTTAGGTTGAATCCTTTTTGAAGAGACTTTCAACTGTAAAAACTGAAACATGATGTTTCAAACTTTTTTACACTCTTGTGCATTTTCCTTTTCTAAAAAAAGCAAACAAACAAACAACCCCCCCCCCCCCCGCCACTTTTTTTTTTAATTCTGTTTTGAGGCAAGAGGCTTGGGTTGTTGACATGGATATCAATGTAAGTATTCAGTTGGGTATTCTATAGTTTTTAATACTGCCCAGCTATTTAGGATAACTATTTTCTATGTATCTATTTTCTTTAATGACATAATAACACTAAAAGCACAGCTTATTTTATTATTTTGTCAATTTAATGGAAAATGACACTTCCTTTTAATTACAAGAGAAATTGAACATCTTTTTCTACATTTATTAATTGTATTTCAACATTTATGAACTTTTTGTATACCTCAACCACTTTTCTATGTTTACACACATTGTTTTTACTAAATTCAAATAACTTTTCATATATCATTGCAGGTTTTGATTAATAGTTTCAAATTAACAATTAACCATTTTTAGTATTGCCCAGCTATTTAGGTTAACTATTTTCTACATATCTATTTTCTTGAACAACATAGTAGCATTATAAGCACAGCTATACAAAAGAAACAAGAAAGGAAAAGAATATTAAATATATTCAGGCTTACTGTGTGTTGTGTCTATAGACATGAGGCTTAGGCCTCTTCAAGGGAATATACAGTTAAATTGTTTTGACTTTTGGTACCCTCCACCAAGACATATGCAAGAATAAAGCAGAGCAGTTACCAAGCTAATAACAAAAGTTATGTTCAGGCTCAAATGTAAATAATTGAATAATACTTGGTAGTTTTATTGTTAACATATGTATGTCATATGCTTTTTAATAATCTGTAATATTTTATATTTGCTTGGAGAATTCAGTTCAAAACAAAAAGCTTTACAATAGATATGTCAACTTGAGCATCACATTTCATATTTTATCCTGCAATGTTTATGAATTCTCTGCTCCATTAAGGCTTCACCTTAATAACCTTAGAAGGCCTCATGAGATTATCCATTTTAGTGCCTGTTGGTTGATATCTATATCTTTCAGCAACAAATGCTTTTATTTTGAAATTACTTATTAAGGGGTTAAATTATTTCACCATACGCAGAGAATAAACACCTATTTTTCCTCTGATAAAATACCAAGAAAAAAATAAAGAAATAGGTGGATTTATGGATGTGTACCAAAACATCACTAAAGCTTAGTTGATTCTGCTTACAAAGCTACCTTAATAATCGGTAGAGATCACTGCCACATTGACTTGATGATAGCAGTTGATGTCAATAGTAAAGACAATCAGAATCATTCTCTCAAGTATATTGCATCCTACCTCAGTTAACCAACCTAGACAGGCATGGTTGCAGATACCAAGCTCTGTCTATCATTCTCTTTTTCCTTCATTTTCTCTGCAAATATTTTATAGAACACAGATTGCATAGCCCACTTTTGACATTAGAGTTTCAGTAAGAAAATGAAACACTCTCTTTCTCTTCCCTAGTCCTAGGTCAGGATGGGTGGAGTGGGCCTGAGACACATGTGTCCTCAGTAACTTCTTCATTTTGATATGTGGCAATGACTGAAAATGAACTAACCAGGGTATCTAAACCCCAAGTATCACCTCTTGTACTCAGGGTGAATTGATCAACAGAGTTCATGCTCCCCAGGGAAGCCCTGTAAGCTAAAAGGTAACAATTTATGATGGTACAAATTATTTCATAAGTTACAGCCTTGGTTTTAGTAGTTATGCTTCTGATCAATTCACAAAGTTGTATTCAGCATGTATCCAGCAACTAAGACAAAGACCTTTGAACTTCTTAACTCTTTGTAAAACTAAGTTCTAATCCAAGTGATAATACCCAGTCTTAGTGATCAACAGGAGCTTGTTCCATAGCTTCCTATTCCAGTCCACCCCTGCCTATAATCTCTCCCAGAGAACTCTCCACAAATAGAACTTCTGGAACAAGAAGGGTGTTCTTTATCATCTTCTGTAAATCAACTTAGACATATTTCTGTTGATATCAAAATTATGACACTGAGCTACTTGTCAGAGTGGCAGCCTCTTATTCAATGTTCTCTCCGCCTACATTCATACCAGTAGCACGTGGTATTGATAGCGCTCTTCACAGAGTTAGGAGAATTACGTGAATTGATACATGAATAACACTTAGAACAGAATAAGACCTCACTGGACATTAATAGGTGACTCCTTGGCTTTTTGCTGTGGCTGTTGTCACTACATGCATGTCTGCCTCACCTTCTGGCTTCCTCTCCAACTGCCGCCCCCCAAACCATCGTTTGGACCATTGCAGCTACAAACCTGAAGGCAACCGGGAGTGGAGTGATGGGCATGAGACAAATACAACCTTCACTTTACCATTTTGACACTGGAGTGAAAAAGGTCCTCCTCTAAACCCCTCTATACAGTATTGTGGCTGGATTGCAGTTTTACAAAAGGTAAACTGAGAGTTCATGAGTAACCAGGTGGTATACAATCAGCAGTTATTTCTAATGGCTAAACGCTTGTGGTTCTTTTCAAAGTCCACCGGTCCAGGACATATTCAGGGGAAAGCCTAGCACTCAAGGTGACAACTTGCTTACAACTGCTAGGGGTCAGCTTAGTTTTTACCATCAAAAAAGCAGTGGAGCATTCTCTTCTAGGTTCAATTATTATGAAGTCTGGGGAGGAAAATTCTCCCATTACCCAAACCCAAGGCTTGTATCCTGAATTCTCATTTCTTGTCCCAGATTCTGTCTTTCCTCTAAGTCATCCTCAACAAGAACTCATTTCTGCAGTATAACAATACAGTTTAATGTAGTTTAACCCAATCTAAATCTCTTAAAGAAAATAAATATTTCTACCATCTGTTTCCTCCTGTCTTCTCAACCAGGCCAAAAACAGCAACAATGTCAGCAGAGATAGAGCTCTGACTCAGACAAATGCACACAATTTTATATTGTGAAGCTGAATATTTAGCTTCTCCCGCTAAATCATCTGCATTTAGGTTAATGGGCACTTCAGTTCTTCCCACAGAGCAATGGTTGGATGCATTAGGGAATATTATGAACATTTACAGATACATTCGCTAATTATTCCAAAAATTGTTTTAATTGCCTATTATATGCTTGGCACTGGTAAATAAAAACAAATATGCAATTTTTCTAGAATAATGAAAATACTAGGCTGTATTTTGAAGCTAAAATCTAGTGGTAGAGAAATAATAAGTCAAAAACAGAGTATTATGAATATTATGAATAAGTTTTGTGAAAGAAATAGAACCTGGGTAAGTTCTGGAAATACTAGTAAAAAATCATTTCATTAAATGTAACTAAAAGTGGTTGTAATAAAGATAATTAAATATGTGAAAAATAGCAAATTTGGCATGCATATTGGGATAGACCTTTTGAAAACAGTATTGATTTCCAGGAACAAATAGCAAAGCATACATCATGTAAACAATGCTGTCCTTATGCAATAATCAATAGTCAACAAGAGTAGCCTGCCGCCCTTCCTCACCTGCTACCTGCCCTATTTTCTATAGCTTCATCCACCTTCTAGCATTCCTATATATGTTTCTTATTTACTGCTTTTGCTATTTATTTATTTATTCCCACTAAGTTCCACAAGTGAAGGGTTTTCTTGTCTGATGAATACCAAAAACAGTGAATGGTGCCTTACAGGTAGCAGTGGTAGCAGTGGCTCAGTAAATATCTTAAGTCAAGCCATATGTAAGTAAATGAATGAGCAAATGAACAGATTAAAAAATCTGATCATTTCAAGACAAAAAATGTCCATAATATAGGATGAATTCTAAAATTAACTTGCATTTGTGATTTTAAAGCAATAAGATAAGTGATCACCAGGCATAGTGTCTCACACCTGTAATCCTAGCTTAGGAGGGTTGCTTAAGGCCAGGAGTTCAAGACCAGCCTGGGCAACATAGGGAGAATGCACCTTTAAAAAAATAATAAAAATAAAAATTAGCCAGGCATGGTGGTGCATGCCTACAGTCCCAAGTATTCGGGAGGCTGAGGCAGGAGAATCCCTGGAGCCCAGGAGTTTGAGGCTGCAGTGAGCTATGATCCTGCCCAGTCTGGGCAACAGAGTGAGACCCTGTTAAATAAATAACAGGGTCTCATTAATAAACATTAATAAAATAAACATTAATAAAAGTGACTTTATTAATCTTTGCTATCCTTCCTTTTACCTAAAGAAGCCTGGTGTAATTTCTATAGTTGATCATTTTAATCACTTATATCTTTTATTAATATACAAGGAAACAGTGTGAAAGAATATGGGAATAAGTTATATTCCCATATTCCAATTTATATGAGCAAATGTAGGGATTTTTAAAATACGCTAATATAATAGTCAATGTGTTCAACAACAACTCAGCAAATATTTACTGAACACCTACTATGTATTGGGCATATAACTCTGAAAAAAAATTTTCTTACCTCATGGAAACAAATGTAAACCAATATACAAATTAAATCATTCCAGAGAATTCTAAATGAAAAAATTTGGTGGGGAAGGAATTGGGATTTCACTTTTAGTTAAAGCATTCAAGGACGATCTCCCCTGTAGGTAACGTTAGAACTGATGCAGAATGGGAAAATTGCACTTGCTACAAGGAGATTGAAGAGAAGATTCCAGGCAGAGAGAAGAGTGAATATAAAACACTAGAAGTGACCAAAATGGGCTGTTTGAGGAATGGAATGAAGGCCATTGTATTTGGAGATCACTGAGAAACAAAAGAATACAATGTGAGTTGAACTCAGAAAGTTATCAGGAGCTAAATCATGTAAGCCTTTGATGACTATGAATAGAATTTGGCCTTCATTTCCTGTTCCCTTGTAATTTTCCGGAGAGTGTTGTGCTGCAAATAACACAATTTGATTCCTACTTAAAAAAAATCCCAGCTATATATAGACAAAGGCCTGTACTTGGGGAAAGAAGTCTTTATCACATGTAGTTTCTATTAAATTTCTCAATGATAAAGTATAACGAAAAGGTAGTATTGAATTACTATTACAATTCTACACATGTTCCCTTTCATGCATTAAAAGTCACAATTTTTGTAATTTTATTCATGTGCATCACAAATATAAAACTTTTATTTTTATCACTTCTGTCTTCAGACACATTTTAAGATTGATTTTATTTATTTTTTTATTTTTTTATTTTTTTATTTTAGAACTAACCTAAATTCCCCTGGATGTGGGAGGGAAAATTAATGACAATTATTCCAGTCCAAGAGTATTACTTTCTATAAAACTAACCCTAAATTTTGGTTTACTTCAGCCCTAAGAGAAATAGCATATTAACCCTGGCTGATTATAATGGGTAAACATGATCAATATTTTACTCCTTACTTCTCCTGAAAAACTAAAACCTGACAGGCTAAAGTAAATTTAAAGTCTAAAACACAAAGCTGTACCAAACTTAGCTTGGGCAGTAAGTAGATATTTTTAAACCTGTACGACAGATGTGACTAAAACAATTGGTCTTGTTGACATTGCTACCTTTGTATGGATAGAAATAAATCTTAACAATATAATTTACCATTGCACATTTTGGCAAGAAAATTTTTACCATTCATAGTCAGGTTGAGCTTACTCTCTGTGGCAATGTCACAGCCTACTTCTGATGGAAAACATTTTTATCCACAATTGACTAAGTCATTTGTCTTAGTGAGACCTCACAGGCAATAGATGGCATTAGCAAGTAGATATAGGAAAACTGTCATCATTAATTATACTGAGGACTGCAATCGGGGTTCCTGAGTTTCCAGTGGCAGACTCACAAAGTGGGTAATACAATTTGTGGATCAAATGCAATTAAGTGTAATATATAGTTAATGTCTTTCTATTTGCTTCTTTAATTGCAAGATCAACTCTGAGTCTACATGATGGTAACTAGTACTCAACTAATTCTTTGGCTGTGTAATCTGGATTTACTAGTGGCATTGTATTTGAGCTTCCTGAAAAGTTTCATGACAATCAGCAGTGTGTTATGAGTAACTTTAGCCAGTATCTACACAAACAAAGTGAAAGACAGTCAAGCTAGTTTTTCTCTGTACATGTTGATCATCAGGATGAGTAAAATTTCAAGGAAAATTTGCAGACAAACAGAGTTTACATTTTTAGAAAATTTTTGGCTGAGCACCGTGCCTCACACCTAGAATCCCAGCACTTTGGGAGGCCAAGGCGGGCAGATTCTTTGAGCTCAGGAGTTCAAGACCAGCCTGGAGAGCATGGAGAAACCCCATCTCGGCAAAACATGCAAAAATTAGCCAGGTGTGGTGGCATGCACCTGTAGTCTCAGCTACTCAGTAGGCTGAGGTGGGGGAGGATTGCCTAAACTCAGGGAGGTCAAGGCTGCAGTGAGCCATGATTGTACCACTGCACTCCATCTTGGGTGACAGAATGAGACCCTGTCTCAAAAATAACAACAATAATAATAAATCAATAGAAAATATTCCTGTAAAATTCATTTAAAATTAAACTATTTATGAGTGCCAACATTAACTTTAGAATATTTTTAATTGGATAAACAAGAATATATAAAAAACTTGCTGCATCTTTTGGCCCTGGTGTAATAGATGCAAATTCATTCAACCCTAATGGCTATAAATCAATATTAATTTGATTACTTATGCATTTAACTATTGCCCTAGTATTTTCTTCTGTGGAATTTACAGTTTAAAATGCATTTCTACTTATGCTCTTCTATATTGATTAGGATTACAGTTTGTTTCTTACTAGCTCTGATTCAACAGCATTTTGTTATGCTAGTCTTTCCTTTTATGCTCATTCACGTCTTTAATATTTTTAGTCTATTGAGCATTGCACTTTAATTTTGGTCAGTCTATTTTCCTTCCCTAAAATTACACTGGCATTTCTACTAACATTTATCAGAATTTTTACATGCTGGTTCATCTACTTTTCACATTTAAGAAATTTTAAAAAAGAAATCTTATGTGGCAAAATTCTCCTCTCCTCTCCATACAGAGATCTCTGATTACATAAATCAATGATCAAAAATGCACATACCTCTCACAAATGCTTTTTCTCACTAGAATAAATTTAAAATATTTTGCAAAATGTAAGGTAGCTTTTTGTAGAAATCCCAAGTTTACCTTCTAAAAGTTACATTTATAAAACACTAAGAGATTTCTGCGATTCTTAGAAACATTCACTATTTACTTCTCTCCTCTCATTCACATTTATAAACTGATGAGTGTGTGTATGTGTGTGTGTTTATGTACCTTAAGCGTTCAGTGGATTTGAGAGAATTAGTTGGCTCGGCATGATTATGTGAAAACCATATTTCACCAAACACAGAGGAACATAATGACTTTCTTTTCTTTTTTTTTTTTTTTTTTTTTGAGATGGAGTTTTACTCTGTTGCCAGGCTGGACAGGCTGGAGTGCAGTGGTGCTATCTCAGCTCGCTGTAACCTCCGCCTCCCAGGTTCAAGCAATTCCCCTGCCTCAGCCTCCAGAATAGCTGGGACGACAGGTATGCTCCACCATGCCCGGCTAATTTTTTTTTTTTTTTTTTGTATTTTAGTAGAGACTGGGATTCACCGTGTTGGCCATGATGGTCTCGATCTCCTGACCTCATGATCTGTCCGCCTCGGCCTCCCAAAGTGCTGGGATTAAAAGCATGAGCCACCACGCCCAGCCATGACATTTTTTATGTGTATCTTTCCTTCCTTCTCTTTTCCTCATTTTGCCATTGACCTATGAATATAGAATAGTGTAGGGATGGTAGCACTGTTTAAATATGTTAGTTCTTGCCTTCTCCCGCACAGTATAAGTACCTCAAGAGATACAGAGTAACTTAGGCACATTGCAACTTTGTCTTCTTGGCTGTACTATGTGTGTGTGTGTGTGTGTGTGTGTGTGTGAGAGAGAGAGAGAGAGAGAAGAGAGAGTGTGTGTGTGTGTGCGCGCGTGTGTGTCAGGGTGAAGGTCTGGGGAGTGGGCTGTGAAGAAAAAGAAAATATTAGATGTCATTAATATGATTATAGCTACTCTTCTTACATTAACTCACTTCCTTCCTGCAACTTTTGTTATTATTGGTTGAATCTAAAGAATTTTCAGACTAAGCTAAGCTTAAGTCAATTTGACTACCATTCTGTTAAGGCAGACACATTCTAACACGGCACTGCTTTAATGCATACCTTCTCTATTTCCCACTTCCTCCTGAACAAAACAAAACAAAACAAAAGCCTTTAGATTCATCAACCTGTAATGAGGTATGTAAAATACTATGCCATTAACACAGTAGTGCCTTGTCTCAAGGTCACTTTCATATGGCTAAAAGCAAAATAGCACACTCCCTTTGACTCAAAAGAGCCTACATATTCCATATGGTATTATATACATAATGGAATACTATTCAGCCTTTAAAAGGGGGAAAATTCTGCCATTTGCAATAACATGGATGAACCTGGAGGACATTATTCTAAGTGAAATAACCAGGTACAAAAATAAAAATACTGCATGATTTCACTTACAGGTGAATCCAAAAAAGTTGAACTTATAGAATCAGAGAGTATGATGGTTACCAGAGGCTGAAGTAGGTGGATGAATGGGGAAAAGAGAGAAGCTGGTCAAAGGGCATAAAGTTTCAGACAGATGGAATACATTTGAGTTATCTATTGCACAGAATGGTGACTATAATAAATAAAAATGCATTGCATATCTGAAAATTGCTAAAATAATATATTTTAAATATTATCCCCCCTCAAAAAAAAAACAAGTGTGTGAAGTAATGGATTTGTTACATAAGCTGATTTCCACGTTGTATACATTTATCAAAGAATCACACAGTAGCGTATAAATACACGTAATTATTATTTGTCATTTAAAATATGATTTTTAAATCATATTCACATTCTGAAGGTGAGTTCTTTCCAGATACAAGCTTTCTCTATCCAAAACTGGTATTTCATCTTCCATATCCACAGAAAGAAAAAAGTTGTTTGGAATGAGGTCTTGTTGTGTTGCTTAGGATGGTGCTAAATGCCTTGCCTCAGCCTCCTAAGTAGCTCCACAGAAAATTTTACTAAGAGATGAATGGGATAGGAGAGAAAGGGGCACTCCGTGATCATGTTATCATGTGTAAAACCTCCTGTGACCAAGAACTCATCTACTGATTCTCATCTATATTTGACCTTGCTCATAAATCAATGGATTGTACATGTTAGAAACATAAACAAGACCATAAATATCTTAAATTAATGCACTGATGACAGTTCCATACAGCTTTTCAAAAAAACTTCCCATGAAAACATCCCTAGACCTATACAATATTATGTAAGTCTCCCAGGAACCCTGTGAGGGAGATAACACGTCATATTATTACAGATAAGGTAACAGACTCAAAGAGGTTGTCTTTTGACAAAAGCTACAGAACTAAAAAAAAGGCAGATTCTCAGTATAAATTCTGTGTGTTCTGACTTTAAAGTCATGTTCTATTCAATGTGTCATGGAGACCCCAAAGCAGATCTCAGCAGAGCTTGGTAATATCAGCAGCGCACAATGGACTGACTTCAGACATGAGAAATACAGAATGTAGCACTCTCTGTGTTTTTTAGCAGAGAAACTCTACACAGAACCAAATTACCTTATAGGAGAAAAATAAAGAATAGTGTTTATGTATAGTTACACTATATATAAACATATATAAATATATGTTAAATATAGTTACACTATATTTTTGCAGTGTTTTACATATTGTTACATATATAAAATGTTTTACATATGTAGTGTTTTACATATTGGAACCTTTGTATTTACTATTATCTTTGATCTTCATAACAATTTTAGCTTATTAGCTCTATTTCATGCATTGAGAAACTGACTAAGAGAGATTCTGAAACCAAAAAAAATTCTCACAGTAAGTACAATTGTCCTTAAATATCCATAGAGGATTTGTGTCAAGACCCCTCACAGATACCAAAATCAATGGATGCTCAAATCCCTATTTAAAAAAAAAAAAAAGTTAACACCTGTAATTCCAGCACTTTGGGAGGCTGAAGTGGGCAGATCCCTAGAGCTCAGGAGTTTGAGACCAGCCTTGGGCAAAACCCTGACTCTACAAAAAATACAAAAATTAACCAGGCATAGTGGCATACACCTGTAGTCCCAGCTACTAGGGAGGCTGAGGTGGGAGGTTTGGTTGAGCCTGAGATTTTGAGGCTGCAGTGAGCTGTGATCATGCCATTGACCTCAGTCTGGGTGACGGAGCAAGACCCTGTCTAAAAAAAAAAAAAAATTCAGTATTTTCATATAACCTATGTGCAGCCTCTTGAATTCTTTAATTCATCTCTAGATTATTTACAATACCCAATATAATGTAAATGCTATATATATTTGTATTTGTATCTTTTTTGCTGTATTTTTAATTGTCTTTTTTTTCATAATTTTTTTACCTGCATTTTGTTGAATCCATGGATACAAAACCCATGGATCCAGAGGGCTGACTGTACTGAACTGGGAGTTGAACATGAATCTTTCCCTTCAGGGTTTGCTTCACTATCCATTACAATACACTACCTTTATAAGCTATTGATGGATTCTGCTCTTCTGCTTTCTCAGAAATTTTTGCCCTGGTTAAACAGCATCATTCCCTTCTACATTAGACTCAATCCCTTCAAACAATAATTAGGAATTGATAAACATCTCTAAAAAGGATAAAAGACCAATGATCCAGTCTTGTGCCCATTACAGTAAGCAGTCGAGGGCATCAGAATATGCCACCCCAAAATATGCCACTTTGGCATAAGAATTATTTTGTGTTGAGTTCCGGAAGAATTCTCTGCACTCCCTTTAACTGCCTAAAAGTAGAGCATAAATCTCTCTTTGTGAAGGGATCCTCCTCCTTCCCTGTGTCAGGCATAGAAGAGCATTAATCACTGAGAAAGAATTTACACTAAGAGATATTGACATCAACAGGCCTTACTAAAATAACACTTATCTTCCCTCATAAGCTTCCTGGTCGATTCTCCAGGATTTCTTGACCCTTGAAGCCCAGACACCTTTTCCTTTGTTAAAATGATATATGTCCCCAAGTCAAACCACTTTGAGTTTTCCTTATTTTCTGTGAATTCCCATGCATGTAAAACATTAATTAAACTCTTATGCTTTTTCCTCCTGCTAATCTGTCTCTTGTTAGTTTAATTCACAAGCCCCTAGTTACTTAACCTAAGAGAGTAGCAGAAAAGATCCCCCTTCCATCACAATAATATGTATAATTTTTTCATTTAAAAAATTTAAAAAATCTCCATATATTGTTCAGTGACCTGCCCCTGACAACTTCAAATTCAACCAATCCTAATGTGTTAATTCATGTTAGGTATTTTCTTCTCATACATTGATATGAAACTATTTCTGAAACAAGTGAAGCACTAAAACATAATTGGAAAGGCAAGCAGTATGGGAGCACTGGATAAATTGAAGTGCAAGGCAGAGAATAATGAAGGAGGATACCTATAAAGAGGCTTCCTATATTATGATTTTCTCTGTATTTGACCGTGCTCATAAATCAATTGATAGTACGTTAGAAACATAAATTAGATCATAATGTCTGAAATTAATGCACTGACGACACTTCCATAGAGGTTTTCAAGGAAAATATTGATGTTTTTGGAGCTGTTTTTTGACATTTGAGTTGGCATCAGGTACAAAACATCTCCTGCCACCCATCTTTTGGTGCCCTACTAAGTGACAAAATTCTGATAGGGGCAGCACCCAGCTGACTCCATGTAGCAGATATGATACTTTTGCTTTTATGATGCCATCTGCAGAGAAATAAATCATCATAAAGTTGACTGAGTGTGTCCTATGTTCATCTGCTTGAACAAGTTCGATGTAATTGACTGACAATAATAAAAGGGGATTAGAGAAAAAAAGTCCTCAGTATTGTCAAGTGAGTGTCACCCAACCCCTGACTTCTGAAAGATGGTCAGGACACAGATGGGCTGAAAGAAAGAAGAAGCTATCCAAGGAGAGCAAACACAGACAGGACATAAGGAGTGTGACAGCATGGCATCTGTGTCTGTGCTGGGAGAGTCTGCATGCGGTGGAAGAAATGGGAGGAGAGGTATTTTGCATAGTTAAAAGGTTAGTCTGATTGAAATAGATAGTTCATGTTGTTAACTAATAAGGGATAATTTAAAACTGTACAGTTCACTGAAATTATTGAATGCTATAATTTGGGTTTATTTTTGTATCACATTTGACATCTCAGCACAGTAGCACAGGTAGCACACTGAGGAAGAATTAATTGAGAGCATTCTGCAGAGGTGAGGCTTTCATGCTTTTTCCTCCTCTGCATACCAGAATAGGAACTTAATGGAAAGTCTGCATCTGGACAGACCAGGGCTCTGTATATAGCAAAATCTTGAGGCCATTTTTGAAGGGATTGTATAAAGAGAAGGAGTATGTAAAAAGTAGTGGAACCCATATCTGTAATGAGACTTCAGTACATTAAATGCTTATACACAATGAACTATAACATCTCTGCAGTGAGTTTTTGTTATAACCTTGGTTCCTCCCATTGAAGCACTAGTGGAAACCATTGGCCAGAGTTTTTCTGATGATCTGATTGGGTTTGTTGCCTGTGCCTTGCCCTCTTGCTTCATGATCCATGTTGATCCTCAGATAGTTCTTAATAATTCTCTAGTTAATTCCTTTAATAGCGTTTGATGTTTTATTTCTGCTGTTCATTCCAGCTTGAGTGGCTTGTTAGTGTGGTCTCGTCTTCTGAGCAATAGATTTTTGAAATGACAGACAGAGGATTTTAAACTTCCTTTAGAGGAACTTATGAATATAATCAATGTTAAGTGAAAAGGGCCAATAGGCCACTTACACATGTGGATTGTCTACCTGTGAATTGTCTCAATCTTAGAAACTTAGATAAGCATTGTGTTATAAGCAGATAAATGCTCAGAGCATAATACTTAATAACTTACTTCCAAAATTTGGTGGATTTCTTTGCAAATATTTATGAGTATACAATTTCACTCCATGCCTGGACCTAATATTCAATATGAGATCCTTGAGAGTCCATTTTCAATGCTGATCAAAGCCTTTGTGTTCTCATACCCACCATATGATGTAGCTATAAAGATGGATAGCAGCAGAAAAACTAGTGGGCTCCTGTGCAGTGAGTCAAATGGGAATGACAAACAGCATGACAAATAGAAGAAACAATCAGTCAATCAACATTCATATACCGTGCCCCTACTAGAGTCCCTGCTAGGAATCAAAGAAAGAAATGACATAGATCTTGGTTAAAAAGATCGATTTGGAGGTCCAACATTTATTCGAATATTTTCAAATATTCATTTCCATATTCCAAAATTTCAATATTTATTAAATAATTAAAATGTTAAGGGCAAATAATGATATTAAAGGGAGTTAAATATTAATGTTATGTGGAATCATCAGGACTAAAATGTTTTAAAAAATCTTCTTTGTTTTCAGTAAGACTTTGTAGCAGGATTTAAGACTGGAAGTTTCAGAAATAAATATGAAAGCTATTGTAAGAATTGGGGAACCAATGTAACAAAAAACGTTGAAAAAAGACTGAATGTGGTGTATTATGGAAATATGGAAATAGTGAGATTTCACTTAAGAGAAACCTTCATCAAAACACAGCCTAAAGTAACAGAAGACCATCTGTTCAGCAATAGTAAATGTAGAGATTCACTTAGCATAAGCAAAGAGGCAACAATTCAAGAGACAAAAAACAATAGGTGTATAAAATTGAAAGAGCTGGCTAGGTATGGTGGCTCATGCCTGCAATCCCAGCACTTTGGGAGGCTGAGGTGAAAATATTGCTTGAGCCCAGGAATTTGGGACCAGCCTGGGCAACATAGGGAGACTCTGTCTCTACAAAAAAAAACACATAAAAATAAACCAGACATGGTGGCACATGCCTGTGGTCCCAGCTACTCAGTGGGAGGCTGAGGTGAGAGGATTGCTCAAGTCCTGGAGGCTGAAGCTGAGTGAGCCTTGATGGAACCAGTGCATTCCAGGCTTGACAACATAGTGTCTCCAAAAAATACATAAATAAAATTAAAAGAGCTTTAAAATCCTGTTTCTTACTGGTAGTCCATTGACATTTTGCACACAATAGGTGTTCAAATGATACTACAGAATTATTGGCTGGGCAGAATAAAATATGTCACTTTAAAAGTCAAATTGAGACTTTTTTCCTCCAAATATGTTTTGACTTTGGAGATTTAGAAGGATCAATTTCTATCAGTGGTAGAGGGCTATACTCTGAATATCGAGTTTAAGATCCATCATTTGCTTGAGCTACATTATAATAGTTTAATTTTTAAAACAACACTGCTGAAATAGTTTTTGGAGCTAGATAATAGATTGTAATACAGACTAGAAGGAATTGCAGTACATTTCTTCAGGGCAGAAAGCAGGTGCAGTTATATCTCTGCATGTGCATCCGATGCTTATGTATTTTAAATGTAAATTGTTTCTTTTAAGAGAAAATATTATATTGAACATTGATGCAAAGGCATTATGTGTTTGTGTTTTATTTTCCTGAGATATAAAACTCATTCTTCACCTATAATGAGACTTCGATGAAATATTCCAAAGTGTTTGTAACAAATCTGGCATTTAAGGAAGCAGATTTATATAAGCTATAGCTGGGATTTTTTTCTTTATCTATTTCCAGTTTCTTTATAATATTTTATGCAGGCTTTTGATTTTATCTATAGGTGCATTTAAGTATGTTTTGAATAGTGGGGGAAAATTAAAACTTGAAATTTAACAAAGAACTTAAAGTGAGTTACCATAACAAAGCATTCTTAAATAATGAATTTTAGAAGTCGGATAAAATTCTTCCTAAAAGGATTCATTATATAAAGCAAATAGCTGAACAATGTCAGGTTGTAACATAGTAATCAAGAGAAAGAGCTTCCAGGCGAGGTGCAGCTATCACTTTAAGCCCCGGGGCAACCAGGCTGCTTCTCACATGGTTGCCGGGGAAGCAGAGGCTTCAGCTTCTGTGGTCAAGAAGCTGGGTATGTCATGGACCAGTATTTCAGATATGCTTGCATTCAAGAATGATTTTTCCAGCTCTCCCCCAAGAAAAATTGTTCATCTTGATGGAACGGGGACAGAAGTCTTGCCGAAGGACAAAGAGTGAAACAAATTTAACTTTGAGCTGTTGAAGAGCCAGTTGTGAGATTCAAACATAAAGGATGACCAGATCTTGAACTGGCTGTGAAAATTTTGCTCTTCTATCATGTACTTGGCAAAAGACTTTGAGCAGCTCCTCAGTATTACATTGAGATTGCCTTGGTTGAATAGAATTCAAACAGTGGTGGAAGAGTATTTGGCTTCTCTGGGTAGTCTTGTAACAACAGACTCTTCCTTAGCCCAAGTCTCAGCATAATTGCTTCCCATTTGGCGTACCCTCCTTGAATGATCATTAAGAAGAGCCATGTAAATGTTTCAGATTCTGATGATGGAGATGATTATCTTCCTGCAGATTTTGACACACGTCATACAACCTTACAAATAACAGCAAGATATGTCCCACTGGCACTGTGGTTTCTTTTGCCCATACTGGTGGAAACATTTCCATTTGTTCAATCAGAGAGAACACTGGAATGTTACATTCATAACTTACTAAAGATTAGTATATACTTTCCAACCTTGAGGAATGAAATTCTGAAGCTTATTATTAAAAATCTATTCAAATTGGATGTGAATACATTCTGGCATGATATTGAAGATGCTGAGGAAACAGCAGCTCAAACTTGTGGTGGGACAGATTCCATGGAATGATTGTTCAATATGAACGAAGATGAAGAGACTGTTTCTAAGGCTGACTCCAAATGGCTCGGTCAGATGGTGCACCCTGTAGCTGAATGCCTGGACACCCTGCTGTCTTTGCTTTTGCAGTACTTGAAGTATGTCTGCTATGTAAAATACATGGTAAGGTTGATAACAACAAAATAAAGGATTTATAATATATCACAAACTGATAAACATATTTGACAAACCCCTGCCTCCTGTCACGTACAGTTTTTTATGTTTTACCTCTGTGGCTTAAAATTGCGACTCTCAGAAGCATTTTTGGAACGTCTCTGGGAAAAAAAAATGCAGGATCCAAATAATCCTGTCATCATCAGGTGAGCTGCTGGAAATTATATTGGAAGCTCTTTGGCAAAAGCTAAATTCATTCCTCTCATTACAACTATAAAATCATGCCTAGGTCTTTCGGTTAACTGGCCACACAAATACCTTACTAACCAGGATCTGAGAATGAAGGCTTTTTGTGATATTGCTCTCCATCAAACATTTTACTCAGCCTTCCAAGCTGTGTTCCACACCTTTGTTTTTAGACACAAGCAACTTTTAAGCGTAAACCTGAAAGAAGGTTTGAGATGTCTTCAGTGCCTACATTTTTAAGGGATAGTGACTAGGCAGCTAAATCCTCTGAATATTTGCCTGCCCTCAGTGGTTAACTTATTTGCTGCTGTCACGAATAAATATCAGCTAGTCTGCTACACTATCATTGAGAGGAACAACGGCCAGAAATACAGCTGGAGGAGACTCGGTGTGAACGTGCACCAACCCATTGGACGCCTTCTTCCCCTTTGATCCTTGTGCGCTTAAGCAGTCAAGGAAAGTCATTGATTCTATTTATCAGATATGGGAAGACATAAGTGTCGAAGAGCTTCAGGAGTTTAAGAAACCTATGAAAAAGGAGATGGAAAAAGATGGAGATGATCTTTTGAAAGGTGAAGTTCCCCCAAATGATACCATGATCGGGATTATACCGAGCCACTTTGATGCGATGCACATTTCCAAAGTCCTTCAAGTAGTGTGGGCTCCCCACCTGTGTTACACCTGCCAGACCAGTTCCTTCTCATCTCGAGGATTTGTGATTGAGATGCAGCATTCTTCCCCATCACTCATCATGTTCTTTAGCAACTGTTTATGCTGTTTGGGCACTGCATTGAACTAGAATGAGCACCTGACTCAGGCATCATACTTTCAAGTTAGACTTCAGCATCTGAACAGACTTTTTTTTTTTTTTGCTTTTTTGTTCCCCTTAGAGACAAAATTAGAAGACTGAATATCATGTGTAATATTTTATGGTGGGGTTGATGATAAATGATAAATACTTTGCTCGTTTGTTTAAGAAGTACTTTTCTTGGCCAGGCGTGGTGGTGGCTCACGCCTATAATCCCAGCACTTTGGGTGGCCCAGGCAGGCAGATCACAATGTCAGGAGATCGAGACCATCCTGGCTACCACGGTGAAACCCCAGCTCTACTAAAAATGCAAAAACTTAGCCAGGCACGGTGGCACGCACCTGTAGTCCCAGCTACTCAGGAGGCTGAGGCAGGAGAATGGCATGAGCCTGGGAGGCGGAGCTTGCAGTGAGCCGAGATCATGCCACTGCACTCCAGCCTGGGCGACAGAGCAAGACTCCGTCTCAAAAACAAAAGAAAAAAAAAAGAAAGAAAGAAAGAAAAGTACTTTTCTTATGCATTACAGCTTTTTGAGATAATTATTGTGTAATTTCTAATATAGACAGCAGCCTATTTTGACAGACTGCCTTTTTAACACAGGATTTTTTTTCAGAGCCACATTCACAGAACTTTGCTGATCTACTTTCAATGAAGAATCCTTTAAGATAAATCCTCTATTTAAAGACTTTAACTAGAATGTTTTATTTTTGCTGCATTGTTTACCTCCTGCTCTAGTTGTGTGTTGGAATTTCAGTAGGGTGCAGAGGAAATGGAAACTGGGGAGACATCCAAACCTGGTCTGGGACAAAGAGAGTTGGAGCTGGCACTGAAGGAGATCTCTAGGGACCCCAGAAACCAATAACAGCCAGTAGGGAAGAGATAGAGAGATTAGAGAAACAGAATCAGACAAATAATATACTTTCATGGTGTAAAAATGAATTTGAAAAAAAAAGTGGAGATCCAGGTAAATGTAATTCACGTTGACTGAAAGTAGGCTTGGGCTTGCATTAAAAAAATTACATCATATTTTACTCTTCAGCTTTCAAGTGTCCCGTTAGAACTAGAATTGCTCTTTGGTAGCAGTTAGATAGAGTTATTTTTGACCTGCATCATTTGGTTATTTTGAGAATTTCTTTTTTCAAACAGGAAAAAAAAAAATTAGGGCCGGGCATGGTGTGGCTCACGCCTGTAATCCCAACACTTTGGGAGGCTGAGGCAGGTGGATTGCCTGAGCTCAGAAATTTGAGACCAGCCTGGCCAAAATAGCAAAACATTGTCTCTACAAAAAGCACAAAAATTAGCTGGGCGTGTTGGTGCATGCCTGTAGTCCCAGCTACTCTGGAGGCTGAGGAGGAGGATGGATTGAGCCCAGGAGGTAGAAGCTGCAATGAGCTGTGTTTGCACCACTGCACTCCAGCCTGAGTGACAGAGTAAGACCCCATCTCTTAAAAAAAAAAAAAAAAATGGAGGTTATTCGGTGGAATGGTTTTGCTAGCAATAATAGGCCAATAATAGGCCAAACTTACTATGGCAGTCTTTATCCAATAGCTATGCCTATCATGGATTCAGCTTGGTGAAATCCTTCTCTACAAGCCTCTTTTTCTATTTTCACAACTAAACACTGGGAGAGAGGGGAAGTCTAAGATGAAACCTTGCTTTATAACAAATTTGCCCAAGCACTGCCCGAGTCATTGTGAAGTTCAAGTATATTTTTGCTTTGTTTTTTAAATGTGTACTTTTTTGTTTACTTGTGAAAATAACCATCTTCAAGCATATTTATTTTTCTGCCCCTTCTATTTATTTAAAGACAGGCAATATTTTCTTGACCACAAATATTTTGTAATGAATCACACCCTCTATCCTAAGGCTTTGTATGCTATTGCATAATTACACTGGTGGCAATATAGAGTTTGAATTTCAGTCTATAAATATGTTTTTTGGAAAACAGAAATTGTCATTGCTTAAAAAAATTTGGATATTGGTGATTTGATTTTGGTGACTTGGTGGAAAGTCATTTGAGAACCTCATGGTTCTTTTTTAATTGCCGACAAAAAGTGGCTTTTTGTAAGTTGGATAAAATGAGTAAATGAAATTGTATCTAGAGAAGTTAAGAGTAAGTGTAATCTTTGTGGGTTGGAAAGCAGTTTTAACACAGAAGGACCTATTTACAAATAAGTCTGTTTAGCTTTGAAAGAGTTTGAGAAAAAAAAATCCATTGTGAAAATAAAGCAATGGTATGATTAATCCAGAACCTTCATTCTTATGCCAATAAAAGGAGGTATCCCAATTTTAAAAAGATTTCTCACTTTAAAAAAAAAAGAGAGACAGAGACAGAGAGAGAGAAGGGAGAGAGAAAAGGACTGTAATCAAGACTCTATACCCAGCCCTGAATCATTCATCTGTCAGAGCAAATAAAGCTATCTAATGATACGCAAATAATCAAAACCATATTATTCTACACCGGTTAGAGGAGAAATGGATCGAATTAAAACCAAACAATAACTAGAACAGATTGCTCAAGTATCACTATGGAGGAGAGAGATCCCCCAACCAAGAAAAGGGTATTTTGTGAGCTCCATTCTGGGGGAAAAAGATTGGGGATGCTGGAAATCAAATAATAAATACAGTAAGTATGTTATTTGGTCAGCCTACATGCTTTATTGAAGTGCAACTAAAGTCCTAGTCTTTACTAGTTCTCTATCCAATTGTGCTCAGCCTAAAGTTGAATCTATGTACGTTTTAGTGTCTGCATTTTTATTATCAAGATTTTAATTGATGTTTCTTTTATACTCATATTTTATTGTTTCAATCTTCCTGTTTTTTACTTCCTAAATAATCTAAAACACACTTATTCCTCTGACCATAATTTGATGTGGAAGAAATTTGTCATCTGAGTGCTTAATCATTGTGTATGTCTTTCTGAGTGTTATGCTACTTAATATAATTTGAAATTTTACTTTGTAGACTTAAGAAATAATTTCATGTGATTATTAATATTCTCTCTCTCCTCCCACTCTAATTGCCTTACTCAAATCATGCCCACCCACTCAATTCTGTTTTTCAAAAGTAACAGTCATAGTTCCAGTAGCCCAACTTGTAAGAGGCACTTCTGCCTCCTACGGGAGCCAAACTTGTATCTTTTTTTCTTTTTACCCAGATCCAGAGCACTTTAGGCCCATAACTTCAGCCCTACTTAGGGTTTTGTTGTTGTTTTTCTACTTCTTATCCACAGAAGTATGTCTTCTTTGAATCCCAGCTATGATTATTTTGCTTTTCTTTTATTATGTTGTCTATTATTGCAGTTTTGAGGACTATGTTGTGTGGAAGTCTTCCCACTTCCTCTCTTTTTCCCTCAATCTCTCTCTCTCCCTCTCGCAAACACATACACACATATATCTTATTTTCTTTCCTTTGATCCATTCCTAATCGAATTCCCTCTTAGAATAAGCATTGATTATTTCTTTCATAATCTGCATTCTTCCCAAACCACTGTCCATGCCATTATTTATACCCATGGGGATTTTTGAATAATATATAGTATATGCTTGTATGTTTTATGATCAAAATTGCATTATATACTACGTATCATGAAAATGTCATGATTGTGGTTTTTACTGAATATTTTACTTTTGATATCTCTGTCGATATAGATAGATATTATTCTTTCTACTGTTCTATAGTATTCCATCATATGCATATCACATATTGTGTCTCTTCATTTTCTTATGTTTAACATTTCTAATCTTTGTTATGGAAAACATGCTTATATGGACAATAGCCCACATTTCTCTTTGTAAGTGAAGAAGTGTTTCTGCGGGATCCAGTACAGATAGGGCTGATTTCCAGCTGGACAGGAAGAGCTCTATCTGTATCTCTGGAGGTGCCTAGAAGACTGGTTTTTGAACCTTTGCCAAGGAAGGGGCAATGGAATTCATGATATTCTGTTCAGGGTTTGAAACTTTCCTAGATACCCAAAGTTATCTTCCTTTCACTCTGTCACTCAGGCTGGTGTGCAGTGGTAGGATCTCAGCTCACTGCAACCTCGACCTCTCAGGCTCAAGCAATCCGTCCACCTCAGTCTCTGCACTAGCTGAGACTATGGGCATGCACCACAACGTCCAGCTAATTTTTTTTATTTTTTGTAGAGATGGCATTTTGCAGTGTTGCCCAGGCTGGTCTTGAACTCCTGGACTCAAGCAATCTGCCTGCCTTGGCCTCTCAAAGTGTTGGCATTACAGGAATGCACCACCACGCCAAGCCCAAAGTTAGCTTCTTTATTGTTGACTTTGTCTTAACCCATTGGATAAGCCTGATTTTACTATTTAAGGAGGCACTGAGAGCTTTTGAGGGGAGCTCTTCCAAAGACAAAATTCCTAGCACAGATCCTGGAAATTTGAATCAGAGACTCAGCTCAGTCCTAGAGCTCAAAGATAAGACCCCCAAGAGCTCATGCTGTAGGTATCTCTTGGATTTCCAAAGCTTGCCTGCATTCTTTAGATATTAGGTTGGTGCAAAAAGCCTTAAAAGCCTCAAGGAGGTCTGGTGAGACACTTTAAATAACTGATGTGGGAAAAAAACAATACAGATATATACCCAGGAGTAAAATTGCTGGGACATTGGGTATGTTCCTATTTAGTGTCAATAAACTGAATAAAGCTATTTATAATGGCTGTACTGGAACAGAGTGCAAAGTGGACTTCCTACTTTTCCACATTCTTTCCAGCTGTAAATATTATCTAAATTTTTAATTGTTAACAACATGATTCATATATTAAAATATTTCAGCATGCCTTTAACATGCACTTCTCTGATTTCTAAAGTGCCCATCTCTTTAAAAATGCATTAGCCATTCAGGTTTTCCCTTTGGGAATTGCTTATTTTAATTCCTTGGTCATTTTTCTATTGTGTCTTCTTTCTTCCCGAGGAGCTTCTTAAATATTCTAGATATAAATTTTTTCCTAATCTGTCACTTTCCTATTAACTGGGCCTATTATATCTCTACTTCAGTTTTCTGATTTGTAAAGTAGAAATAATCATACCTATAACTCTTTCTTTTTTTTGCCTCTAAGGATTAAATGAGATAATGAATGTGAAACACTAATACAACATCTGACACATAGTGAGGGTTCAATACCACCAGGGATTTATTAAGCCTCTTTCTTTTTTATATATACTTTAAGGTTAAGGGTACATGTGCACAATGTGCAGGTTAGTTACATATGTATACATGTGCCATGTTGGTGTGCTGCACCCATTAACTCGTCATTTAACATTAGGTATATCTCCAAATGCTATCCCTCCCCCCTCCCCCCACCCCACAACAGGCCCCAGTGTGTGATGTTCCCCTTCCTGTGTCCATGTGTTCTCATTGTTCAATTCCCACCTATGAGTGAGAACATGCGGTGTTTGGTTTTTTGTCCTTGCAATAGTTTGCTGAGAATGAGGGTTTCCGGCTTCATCTATGGCCCTACAAAGGACATGAACTCATCATTTTTTATGACTGCATAGTATTCCATGGTGTATATGTGCCACATTTTCTTAATCCAGTCTATCATTGTTGGACATTTGGCTTGGTTCCAAGTCTTTGCTATTGTGAATAGTGCCGCAATAAACATACATCTCCATGTGTCTTTATAGCAGCATGATTTATAATTCTTTGGGCATATACCCAGTAATGGGATGGCTGGGTCAAATGGTATTTCTAGTTCTAGATCCCTGAGGAATCGCCATACTGACTTCCACAATGGTTGAACTACTTTACAGTCCCACTAACAGTGTAAAAGTCTTCCTATTTCTCCACATCCTCTCCAGCACCTGTTGTTTCCTGACTTTTTAATGATTGCCATTCTAACTGGTGTGAGATGGTATCTCATTGTGGTTTTGATTTGCATTTCTCTGATGGCCAGTGATGATGAGCATTTTTTCATGTGTCTTTTGGCTGCATAAATGTCTTCTTTTGAGAAGTGTCTCTTTTCAAATTGAATTGATATTTTGTTGTACCTAGATATATGTATAAATTTAGGAAATTTAAGTTTAATCTAGATTTAAACTAAGTGGTTTTCCAGTAGCATATAAAATCTTAGGCTAGACACCTTAAGCTTAGCATGTAGACTACAGTGATAGACAAAGATGTGCTGGGAAATCAGGAGCCTTACTCTGTTCTTGAACCCACATTAGCCGGGCACTCCTGCCTGTGTGGGAAAGAGACCCTGTCCTTAAATCTGACCTCCCTTTCTGCATCAGGTACCTGACCTGCCGATGACAAAGGGATTCACAAAAGTACCCATTAAATCTATATGTTTATATTTTCAAAACTGTGACACTTTCATCATCATTACTCTACTCTAGCCCTTCCTGCAGGGTTTATTACCCAGGTTGTCAAAATATTTTGAAAAAGACATCGTGAAACACAACGTCTATGTTGTATCTGATTTCCTTTCCTGAAGAAAAACAAGCCTAGAAGGGAAAGGAAAAAAAATGTACTGCTAATATCATGATAGGGAGTAAAATAATTCATAAATTGATGAGTCAAGATGTGTTTTCTAAAATTTGCATTATAGATATTAGCAAACAGAGATAGATATGAAAGACAGTGGAGCAATTGGAATGTTTTTAAATGTGCATGGCATATTTTTTAGTAGAAAGTTTTCCTTTCAGTTGCTAAACAAATTCTCTAAACATTAAAAATATTTCAGAAGTTATCAGGAAATAATCATTAAAGTAAATTGCTAGTTGGTAAATTCCCACTCCAATGTCCATTCTTGGCTCTATTAATTCATACTCTAATCTTAGTTGGAGTCTTTACTAGCAAGGTGTCCTGGGGAGCATTTTATATTCACTTACTAAATCAGATTAGTCTAAGATGCACCTTTTCCCAGAACTGTGTACACTCAGCCGAGGTTGGTAGACAACATTTCATTCCTTAAAGATCATGCCAGGAGTATTCTGCCGAGGAAATGAAAGACCACATCTAGAAACAGAGGAAAAGAGTGAAGTGCGAGCTTTATTCGCAATGTCTGCAGTAAGTAAACGAGAGGGAGTAGGTTCATGTGTGTATACTCTGCTCTGGAACCCTCTCTGACTTCCCCAGGCAGAACAATTATTACATCTTGCCATTCCATGAGGATGTAATTTCAGAATATTTTGAAGGGCTCAATTCTAATCATGTTCTCTGGAGATCTAATAGAGTAAATATAAATATAAAATAATTACTTTTCTTGAAAGATTTCAGATCAGCTATGGACTTTTATTGCATTAATCAATAAATTCAATTAATTTATCAAGTAGATTACTAGATATTACAGATTTAGAAATTATACATATGCTAGGGTTTTCCAAACTGAGCTAACCCTCTTAATTCAATGGGCACTGTAAGTGTACTCATAATTGTTTTGTAAACCATATGTCAATAGACTCTATTCTCACAAACATAAAGGAAAGTGTCTCTTTTATTGCTTTGTACTGTAATTGTACTGTAGTCAAGACAGAGAGCACAAGAAGAAAGAGTAATAGACACAATAGGGATATCTCATACAACATGAGTTGGACTCATTAAATAAACAAAGACTTTGGGTCAACAGTTAAGCTAAGAGACAGAGTTGCAAAGAATAAGCTTTTCCTATGATCTCTAGCTGAAAATGTAAACACAGTCTTTTTTGTGGACATGCAGTGGAAAGGATTAGTTCTAACTCTCTGCCGGTATGTGTGTGTATATGTTTCTCCTGCCGTCCCTGGGATTGCTCATGATAGAAGCAACTTCATTTTTGAGAGAGTAGGCTGTGGGGTGTGACAATGAGGAAAGAAGTACTGGTAAAGAATTTCCTCTTTGTAATGCTTCTACAGCTAGAGTTTAATAATACCAGGGGGCATTCTTATTAATGTGATGGCTTTTTATTTTTTTTGAGACAGAATAATCACTCTGTCACCCAGCCTGGAGTGCAGTGGTACAATCTTTGCTCACTGCAACCCCGCTGCCCAGGTTCAAGTGATTCTTGTGCCTCAGCCTCCTGAGTAGCTAGGATTACAGGCACACACTACCACACTCGGCTAATTTTTGTATTTTTAGTAGAGACAAGGTTTCACCATGTTGGCCAGGCTGGTCTCGAACTCCTGGCCTCAAGTGATCTGCCCACCTTGGCCTCCCAAAGTGCTGGGATTACTGGCATGAGCCACTGCACCCGGCCTAATGTGATGGTTTTTTTAATGTGATGGCTTCTTTAAAAAAAAAAGGGTTTGTTTTATTCTGGTGGATTTTTTAAAATTTTAATTAAAATTGTTTACCTCTGCCATGTTTTACTTGTAAAATTTTGTTAGTGAAAATTAGACTAAAATAAATTTTCTGACCAATGACTAAAAATCATCATATTTCAACATGCTTTTCTATTTGAAACCAGAAGTAAGTCCTTGCATATTAAAGGATTTTAAGCTTAACCTGTTAAAAATATTGTTTGTGTGGAATAACTTTCTCTTTTGTCTACTTAATGTATGCCTACTCAAGCTAACAGCCCAAGTTATACTCATGCTAGATCTAGACAGTAAACTGATGCTCAGGCATATGGCTCAACATTGATTTTTTTTGTTTTTATTGTTTTTAAATTTTCTAGTCCATTGTCATAATGCTTTTATTTTTGGTGTTGATTTTAATTTGTGATATTTTAATATAATTTATTTTATTTATTTATTTATTTATTTATTTATTTATTTATTTATTTATTTTTATTTTTTTATTTTTTGAGTCGGAATCTTGCTCCATCACCCAGGCTGGAGTGCAATGGCTCAATCTCAGCTCACTGCCACCTCCACCTCCAGGGTTCAAGCAATTCTCCTGCCTCAGCCTCCTGAGTAGTTGGGATTACAGGCACCTGCCACCACGCCTGGCTAATTTTTGTATTTTTAGTAGAGATAGGGTTTCACCATATTGACCAGGCTGGTCTCTTGGCCAGGCTGGTCTTGAACTTCTGACCTTGTGATCCGCCCGCCTCAGCTTCCCAAAGTGCTGGGATTACAGCGTGAGCCACCGCACCTGGCAATATATTTAATTTCTTAACATAACTATTTATTAGTAGATTTTGGTGAAAAGAGACAACACAGTGGCAATATAATCTAATTCATTATATAATTTAATAACCTGAATTCAGGACACATTTGATTACCTCCTATGTAAAAGGCAGTAAAGAAAGATAAAACTTCATGCTCAGGTAACAAATATTCTAGTAAAAAAAGGTAATTATCTTGGTCCGTTTGCGTTGCTATAACAAAATACCTTAGACTGGCTCATTGATAAAAAATAAAAATTTATTTCTCACAGTTCTGGAGTCTGGGAAATCCAAGATCAAGGTGCTGGCAGATTTGGTGTCTGGTGAGGGCTGCTTTCTGCTTCCAAGATGGTGCCTTATTGTTGCATCCTCTGGAGAAGGAGGTAAAGCCGTGTCCTCACATGGTAGAAGGAGAATAGAAAAGAAAAAGGCTCATTTTTCAGAGATAATGCAGTCTAGGTGTCCTCATATGGCAAAAGGCATGGGAGCAGGGAGGCAGCTCTATGATGCATTTTTTAAAAGGGCATTTATCTTATCCATGAAGGCAGAATTCTCATAGCCTAATGACCTGCGAAGCACCCCACCTCCTAATACCACCTCCTAGGGGGTTAGGTTCCATCATATGAATTTTGGAGCAATACATACAAACAAATCACAGCAGCAATCATGTGTACAGGTAAAGTGAGAACTTAGCCTATACTAAGGGTTATTAAGAGCAGTACAAAAACTGCTACAAGTACAAAAATAAAGGGATATGTTTGTCCTTAGTAACCCAAGGAAAAGAGTGGAGTGAGATTGAAAGAGAAGACAAAGGAGAATGAGAATAGAAATTAACTGAGATTTGCACTGTAAAAGAAGTGATAGGAACGAAAGCTTTCAATGTAGAGGCTGTCAGCAGAGAAGGCAGTTTTTGATTTGTCAATTAGGAAGTCATTAGACCTTTGTCAGAGAGGAGGTTCAGTAACACTGTGGAAGTGAAAGTAAGATTTAAGGGGAACTTGCAGTTAAAGGGGCAGACTAGCCACTTTTACACTGCTCTTCTCTTTAAAGCCAAGAGAATATGAAAAAAAAAAAAGCTTTTTAGAAAACTGAGAAGAAAATTCTGTCTTTAATAAAAGTTAATAGCTATAATCTTAAACCACAAACTATTATATTAAGAATAGCTCTTGAATAAAATGAAGTTTCAGACCTACGAAGTCCAAGTGTGGGGCCAGACACAGTGGCTTATGCCTGTAATCCCAGCACTTCGGGAGGCCAAGGCAGGTGGAATGTTTGAGCCTAGGAGTTTGAGACTAGCCTGGGCAACATAGGGAGACTCCCATCTCTATAAAATAAAAATACAAAAATCAGACAGATGTAGTGGCATGCGCCTGTAGTCTCAGCTTCTCAGGAGGCTGAGGTGGGAGATTGCTTGAGCCTGGGAGGTCCAGGCTGCAGTGAGCCACTGAGCCATGATTGCACCACTGCACTCTAGCCTGGGCAGCAAAACCTGACCCTGTCACAAATAAATAAATATAAAAAAAGAAGCTAGGCATAGAGAGTGCACTCTTATCTTTTGTGAGCCAGGGAGTTCTCCCTGGACAGGAGGTATGGTCCCGTGGAATACAGTGAAGAATATCTTGGCTAGGTGTGGTGGCTCATGCCTGTAATCCCAACATTTTGGGAGGCTGAGGTGGGAGAATTGCTTGATCTCAGGAGTTTGAGACCAGCCTGGGCAAATTAGGGAGTCTACCAAAAAAAATTTTAAATTAGCTAGGTGCAGTGGCACATGCCTGTAGGGCTGAGGAGGGAGGATCACTTGAGCCTGGAACTTGGAGGTCGAGGCTACGGTGCACTGTGATGGTGCTACTGCCTTCCAGCCTGAGCAGCCAGAGTGAGACCCTGTCTCAAAAAATTAAAAAAAAAAAAAAAATCTTACCCAGAGTAGTAATTTTGGAAAATTGGATAGACCAGGGAGCAATCCCTAAACTCCATTCCACTCTGAGTATTGGAAAGAGACATAAGACTGAAGGAGACAGTGTATAGAAAGTACATAGCCATTACTATAAAGCATTGCAGCAGGTTTGATAGGGAAGTAAAGATCAGCAGCCATTGGCTTCAAACATGATGATCAAGTTTAGCTAAGTCATCTTGCCACATGAAACCTACGTTACCTGGTGCTAAACTTGAGTCGTGTTGATTTCCTGCTTTAATAACAAAGAGAATTGGGCCATACCAGGCAGATAAATCCACACATACCTCCAGGATACCTCATACCTCCAGTCATACTTCTGATTTATAGAACATGTTACCTCCTTCAGAAGTAATTATCTTATTTCCTCTCTATCTTATTGTATTTTTAAAAATTTCTTGCAGAGATGGGGCCTCACTTTGTTGCCCAGGCTCATCTTGAGCTCCTGGCCTCAAGCAGTGTTCCTGCCTCAGCATCCCAAAGCATTGAGATTACAGGCATGAGCCACCACACCCAGCCGGAAACATTTTAAAAAGAGACAACAAACTGACTGGAGTACAAAGTAATATCTCAAAGTTAGGATTGAAACTCAAGTTGATTTCCTAAAAAGGGCAATCAAGAAAGAAAATATTCCTGCCTTCTGATCAGTGGTGAATGGGAAAAAAGAAAGAAAGAAAGAGACACAAAAAAGAATATTGCAAAGAAAAGAAGTAACTGCACTTAAGGAAAAACAGAGAGGCAAGTGAGAGAGTTTGGGGCAGTTCAATTTTAAGTTTGCTGAACTATAGCATCCATGGGGAAGAGACACTCAAAATGAGACTCTAGAACTAGGCACAGGCCCGGTGTGTCATATTAAAACTTCACCCTTTTCAGATATCAATAAGAAAGGCTTTTAAGCCTGGGCAACATAGTGAGACCCCCATCTCTACAATGAAAAATAATCATAATATAGAAAAAAATGTATTTTATAAAAGGCCTTTACATAATATCTTAAGACATGATTTCATTTGCATTTTAGAAAAATTGATCTATGGATGACATAGAGTTTTGATTATAAGGTGAAATATAGAGACAGGGAATGAAGTTAAGAAACTGTCCAAAGGAAGTTGTAACATGATGATGAGACAGGATTCTTTTGCTGCCGCTTTGCCAGCTGAAAACCTCTGTGGCTGGTACTCTGCCCCAGCTTTGCTCAGTCCCTCTGGGCTTGCTCCGCCCGCTTGGCCTGGCAGGCTGTTGTTGGCTCACTCCCAGATTCTGTGATCACCACAGCTCTGCGCACAGCCCATAGTGGGACCGGGTGTGCCCAAAGTGGTTTCCACAGCTGGGTGTGGGCCTTCAGACAAGGAGGGACAAGGTGGTGCCAGAGAACTCAGAAAAACAAGCAACCACGGAGCACCAAGTGGGGGTCACAGCTTCTGCTAGGGGAGTCCCGAGGTCTGAGACACCGGGGAATGCCACAACTCTCTTTCTCCTTCCTGCTGCTTGCAGCTCGGCGAGTGGGAACGTATTATAGCTTGTTCATTCCTGCCGCCTGTGGCTTAGTGAACAGTGGTGTGTTACAGCTCTGGCTCAGAGAGTCCCAAGGTCTGGGCCCCCAGAAGGGTCACAGCTCCTGTCATCCTCACCCCCTTCAGCTTGGTGAGCTGGCCAGGAGTATGTTACAAACTTTTTTGCTCCCATTATTCTTCAGGTTCTGGGTTCCTGTCCTGCAACCAAGAAGAATGAGGTATGCAGACAGCGTAGAGTAAGCAAGGCAGAGAATCATTTTATTGAACGACAGAAAAGCTCTCAACAGCAAGAGGGGACCCAAAGTGGGTAGCCCGCTGTGTACCAAGGGCCAGAAAGCAGGTTGCTGTCTGTGTGGCTGAGTCTGGGGTTTTTATAGGTTTGCAATTAGGAGGCGCAGGTTGTAGGTAGCCTTGGAAAAGGCAACATTTGATTGGTTAAAAAGCATTATTCATCATGCCTGTAATCCCAGCACTTTGAGGGGCCAAGGCAGGTGGATCACCTGAGGTCAGGAGTTCAAGACCAGCCTGACCAACATGGTGAGACCGCGTCTTGGCTAAAAATACAAAATTAGCGGAGTGTGGTGGCATGCCTGTAATCCCAGCTATTCGGGAGGCTGAGGCAGGAGAATCACTTGAACCTGGGAGGTGGGGGATGCAGTGAGCCAAAATCGTGCCATTGAACTCCAGCCTGGACAACAGAGTGAGACACCATCTCAAAAAAAAAAAAAAAAAAAAAAGCATTATTCAGAAAGGACCAACTAGGGAAACAGTGGGCGAACAGGAATAGAAGTTCTTACTCTGGTTGTAGACTCTATCTGGAATCAGCAGGTCGGTTTTCAGGCTTTAAATTGTCTTTGATTTGAAGGCTGGGTTTCACCAGGAACCCAACCCTGTCGGCCTAGGAATTTGTCTGTCTCCTGCCACTATCAATGACCAGTTAGACTGAGACATGCAGCAGGAGGGGGAATGCTATAGAAGGAAGGAGTAGACAGTCATTGGTCAAAGTGAAGACTCCATGTTTTCTGTTAAAAACCCAATAGAATTTATGATTCTGTGCTTTTTGTGAAAAGTCATGGATAAGAGGAAATTAGAAAGCAATTTCTTCTGCCTATGTCTTCTGGCTGATTATTTTTTTGTTCTATATTCGTGTCTTTTCATCAATTAAAAATCTGGAGTATCCTGCTTAGCTACTCATTGGTGTCAGTAAAACATTAACCTACTATTGCATTCAGCCTATGTCAGTGCAGTGAGTCCAAAGATCCATTTTTCAAGCACAATAAAGATATAGGGGTCCTGTATGAGACGAATTGCTTTTGTTTTGTTTTGTTGTTAATAGAGATGGGGTCTCGCTCTGTTGTACAGGGTGAAACACAGTGGCAGAATCGATATAAATGTAAAGTGGTATGTAGATATATATTTAAGTATGTGCCTTAAAAAAAACTAAATAAAATGACACAAAAGATATTGAAAAAGAGAAAATCAAAGAAAATATACAAGCAAAATATCAACGAAAACAGGTTTTCCTATATTAAGATAAAAATTAAATTCATAGGAAAAAGTATAACATGAACAAATGGGAATATTTTATTGAGTAAAATGAAAATAAATAATAATAATTTTAGCTACTTGGGAGGCTGAGGCAGGAGAATGGCATGAACCCGGGAGGCGGAGCTTGCAGTGAGCCGAGATCCCGCCACTGCACTCCAGCCTGGGCGACAGAGCGAGACTCTGTCTCAAAAAAAAAAAAAAAAAAAAAAAAAAAAAAAAAAAAAAAAAAAAAAATATTAACTTGTATATTCACTATATATTCCAGTATTTTTTCCCAGTTTGTCATTTGTCTTTTGTCTTTATGCAGGAAGGTTAGGAATGAGGCAGGATCATCAAACCTGGAAACTAGGGATCTCTGAAGCCACTGGAGAGCCTGAAGCATCCATGAGGCCAAGTAGCCTAGAGATGCCCATGAAGGGAATGCAGGGAGAGATCCTTCAGCTTTCACACAATGAGAAGCCTGCAGTTACAGTGAAGAAACAGTTTAACTTAGCATAACATTTATAAGTTGGAAGAAAACATTTCTAACAAACAGAACTGATATTACTCAGGATATAAAATGTTCTACTACAAATAATGCGACAGGAATATGAACCAAAGTTATGATTACCTTTGTCTTAGCATTCAGCTAGAGGTTTTGAAATGCTTTGTTGCATCACAGCTGAGAACTACTAAGAGTCAATGATTCTGCTCCTTTTGGTGTGTTGCGGCAAAGAGGAGGTTGCAAATTTCTGCTCCTGGGAAGTTTGATAGAAAACTGCAAGGCCACCTTTCCATGGTACAGACTCTTTGTCCTTGGGGCTATCCATATTGAATTGTTTTTCATATACCATATAAAGACCATTTTTTAAATTAAAAGCAATAACAATTTCTTAAAATGAACGTTAAAATAACCAGGAAATAATTTGAATTATGAAATTAAACCAATGAGATAAAGTGAAAGAACAGAATGCCAGAAACTAAGAAGTTGAGCAAAAATAAAGAATAAATAGCATAATATAAGAAATAATAAAGCTAAAACTGTGCAAAAGAAAGCAATTTAAAATAATTAATACTGAAATCAGTAAAATAGAAATAAGCATAAAAGTGAGTTATGAAATAAACTAGGGAAAGAAATAAAAGGAATAAAAAAGAGTTAAAAAATGAATCAATATTAAAATAATAATAAAAAGAAAATATAAGAAACAAATTGGACAAAAGTGAAAGAGACAAGCAACTTCATTGGAAAAAAAAATGTTAAAAAAATAAGTTGAGGGGACCACACAGTGTCTCATACCTGTAATCCTGGCACTTTGGGTGGCCGAGGTGGGCAGATCGCTTGAGTTCAGGAGTTTGAGATTAGCCTGGGCAACGTGGTGAAAACCTGTCTCTACAAAAAATGCAAAAATTAGCCGGATGTGGTAGTGCGCACCAGTGGTTCCAGCTAGTTGGGGAGGTTCAGATGGGAGGATCACTCGAGCCCAGGAGGTGGAGGTTGCAATGAGCCATGATTACACCACTGCATTCTAGCCTGGGCAGCAGAATGAGTCCCTGTCTCAAAAAGAAAAAGAAAGAAAAAAAATAAGTTGAGGGTAAGGGGATACAGGGATCTCACTGTACTTTCTGCCCAATTTTGCTATGAACCTAAAATTGCACAATGGAATAGAATAAAATCTATATAAAAGAATAAACATTTTTTAAATTAAAAATAAGCTGAAAAGGAAAATACAGTTCAACACCATGTAAAACAACAAAATATGGTAAAACAATACAGCAGGGAAAAGCTGTAATTTATTTTAGACTGAATTAGTGTATCCTGAATAAAACGAATGATTACTGTTATGTAATTATGAGTGATATTGCTCAAAACTATTGCACATATACTTGGTTGTTTACTTTGTATGTTTGCAGGATTATTTAAACTTTGTATAATCTTTTTACAAAACAATTTAAGTATAGAATCTTTCCACTTTGGGAGGCCAAGGCGGGCTGATCACGAGGTCAGGAGATCGAGACCATCCTGGCTAACACAGTGAAACCCTGTCTCTACTAAAAATACAAAAACAAAATTAGACAGGCATGGTGGTGGGCGCCTGTAGTCCCAGCTGCTCAGGAGGCTGAGGGGAGAGAATGGCGTGAACCCGGGAGGCGGAGCTTGCAGTGAGCCGAGATTACGCCACTGCACTGCAGCCTGGGTGACAGAGCGAGACTCAGTCTCAAAAACAAACAAACAAACAAAAAAACAGACTCTTTCAAGGTGAAAATAAAACCTGTTTATCTGAAATAAATAATAATAATTAGCTCTGAGGAAAATAGATGTGATACAATTCCTTATCAACTTTTTTTTTAATTGAAACAGTATTTTGAAGCTTACACTCCTATTCTTAATCAAGCTTTGGAACTGAAATTAGCATAATTTCAGAAAATGAACAGGAAAGCTCATCTTTTTGTATGATCTGGAATAGTTTGAATAACATGAGGTTCTCCTAATCTTTAATGCTGTGCTAGAATTCATATGCAAAACTTTTCAAACGTAATGTTGCCTTCTATTTTTTTTTCTGTACTTCCTGGCAGTGGGGATGTTTCCTTTTATACAATAACTCTTTAAATGCATTTTTAATCTCCTCTAAAGGAATTGTTTTCTTCAAGTGTTTCTCTTATTTGGTCAGTTTTGAAAATTTGTATTTTGCTAACTAATTATATTTTTCCTCTAAATTACAAAAATATTTCTATAGAGGACACTATTTTCTTACATGAAGACAAGTTAAAATTTCAAATGCATTTGTCCTTTTCTGTTTCTTACTAGCTCTTATTCTTATCTAATACTCTGCATCTTCCTTGTCTAGATTCAGAGCCCCTCAGAAGCACTTTTCTTTGGCTTTTGGGGACATATTGCACCATTCTTCAGATCCTAGTCTAGTGAACTCTTTTCCCCTGCCTGCGATGTGGGGTTAAGACAATTTAGGAATTTGCTATATTTTGGTGTCTGTCATACTGTAAGCTATGAGAAGTTTCAAACGACTGGCAAAATGGTGGACCCATACTGGACACTTCCAAAATGGGAAATTTTACACCGTTTATTAGTGACACTAGAAAATACTTTGCCAGACAAACATAGGAAAAAGGACAAATCCCAGAAGAGGATCTTGAAGTGACATCTCCAAACATCAGCTCTACACTATCCCTGTTGATAGTCATTTTTAATATTAAGAAAAAAAATTTTCTGTTGTAAGTTGTTATGGTAAAAGAGGGCATGTACATCGTACCTTGTACTATAGAAAGAAACCCTGGTATATGAAAGCTTTGTCTTTAAATGGAGATTTTGTAATGCCTGTTCCCGTTTTCCAGAGTCATCATGACATCAATGATGTTGTTATGTGGTCAATGATGTCAATATGACTCAAGTCACTTTGGGTTTTTCATGTTTTACAGGAAACTCAGAAATTCCTCATGTAAACAATCAGACAATTGAGCAAATTGACCTGCAAACACATATAACAGAAAACTACTAAAGTTCTTCTGCTACCGCACATGATTTAGATTGCCTTCTATACCTTTGTGAGTTTAACAGTGAGGGAAAAGTTCTGATCTAGGAAAAAGGGAATGGGTTATAGGAATTTTAGATTCTAAATAAATTTTAATCACCAACTGGCAAAATGTCATTTGCTTATAACGAGCCCTTGCATTTTCCTCTGAAAAACTGAAAATACAACATATAGAGAGGGTAGGAAAGTCCCCGCCCATTACTGAGAAATTTTTCTAATAACCAGACTATGTATCTCACAGGAAGGAAAAAGTAGATTGTCTAAACATAGCCTAGTGATTTATTAGCATATTAATTTGCTTTGCCTTCCCTGTTGTAGGAGGGAGAGGGAGAAGAAAGGAGAGTATGGGTGAGGAAATGAGAGTGCAGTGGAGGGAAGAGAGAAAAAGGGAAAAAGAAAAGGAGAGAGAGAGAGAGAGGAAGAGAAGGCAAGAGGAGGGCATTAGAGAAAGAGGAGAGAAGGCAAGAAGAGGGAAAGAGGAGGGGGCAGCAGGAAAGGAAGGAGAGGGGAAGGAAGGACAGATAAGGGGAGAGGGAAGAAGAGAGGAGAGATAATTTTGTGTGTGCTCTGTTTTTTATATTTTCCCCTACCCATATAGAGAAGATGCTGTAGGTTCCTTGGCAGAAATTGCTTAAGGCAAATCTCATGACTGGCATTTGAGAAAGTTTTTGTTATGTTATATTGGTTATCCCCAAGGGGAAGTTTGGAAAGAGTGATTGGGTGTGCAAGGCCCCAGGGATATGGTGAGGGGAAAGGAGAGGCAGGAGGGCAGAGAGAAGGAAGCTAATCTGCCCCTCCCATCTGGGAACTTCCCAACACCCTGTGTAAAGAAGAAAGGAGAGTTCCAATAATGACTCAGAGTAAATTTTCCTCCTAAGAAGTCACATGTGAGCTCTGCGTTTTTATTTAATTAAGAAAAATAGCGTATTGTGAAATTTTCTGTTTACCCAAGTTTGAGACTGCAGTTTTTTTTATTAGTTCTTTCCTAACTTGTCTCTGTCTTTAATCTCATTACTCATTTCACATACTGAGCACCCAGCATTAGAGTGTTATGATCAGCCTGGTAGTGCAGCCTTGGATTCTTACATAAAGAGTTTGCTGATCTGAATTTAATTTAGTTAATGATCCAGCAAGCACCCATTTTAGTCTACTAAATGCTAGATACTGGCCTAACTATGGCGAAAATGCCCTGAAGAATAAGAATAAAGTTCATGGTTCAAGATTACCTTTTGAGAGGACAAAACTTTCCCATATTTCCAATAATCAATTTTTAGAAAATAAACTAGATCTTAATTAAAAAAAAACAAATTAACCAATTCAGTAGATATTTATTTAGCTCCATACATAGGTAGAGCTCTGAGGAGGATAAAATTAGTCTTTTCCTCTCGGAAACATATCATTTTATAAGCAGGATGCCATACCTGGAAATTAATAGACAACTCGGAATTGTACAACAGCTTATTCTGGCAACACTTTTTTTCTTCCTGTTTCCAAAAGGAAGGAATGGTATCTCACAGTGTTCTCTGTTTAACCTTGACTGCTGGCCCTGTAGCGGGTCTTGCTTTCACCCCTCCCCGCATGACTCGTTCTCTCATAATTCCCTTCTGTATTTAGCGGCCTATGTTATTATACAAGTTTTGCTCCCCATTACATCCCTGGCATTTCACTTTGTGCTTGGTACAGAGAATATGCTTAATACTTTTCTTGAATGAATGAAAGTGTCAACTGAAGAATGACAGGTTCATACATTTGGAAAGGAGAGCTTCATTTCACATAAAGGATTGCAGCCTGCAGGGTGATCATTCTGACCTCTGAAAAGTATAGCCTCTAATCAGAAGCTGGAAACAGACATTTTGAGGGAGGAGCAAAGGAAACAGAAATTTATGTTGAGCAGGGTAGCTGAATATATATATTCAATAAGCTATAGGGGAAGCCATGAATATTTGTGAAAGGAGAAATGTGCACATGCACAATGGAGTTTCATGCTTCTCCATGGGATCCGTGTTCAAAAAATGACAGCATTAATACAATCTGAGGGGGCAGTTTTCAGCCCAATGTGAAGCAGAGGACATGAAAACCTTTACTGCACATTCTCCATAGACTAGCCAGAAACATTCCATGATCAGTATTTTCTTTTTGTTCCAAACCACAAAAGAGAGGGATAACACCAGGTGATGGTTGATGTCATTGGTGTAATCTTTTGAAATGACTGGTTTCTTTTTAGCCATAGGGCAGAAAGCCTAATCATAGTTAGTGATGGAGCGGGTATGTGTTCCACTTCCTATCCTGTCATGGCCAAAAACTTAGTTTTCAAGTTTACTCTGGGATCCCCTTGGCCAAGAGCGTGTCCGTTCAGTTAATCTAGGGGCTTGGGATTTTATTTTTATTCCTCAAATGTAACAAATTTAAAGAAAGAAAGAAATTTATAAAACATAAGAAATAGAAGTATAGCTTAGACCTCCAAGCAAGTTCTTTAAAGGTGACAAGTTAAACAGTAGTTTTTAAGATAATATTTTGATGAAATTTTTAATCATATTATTACAAGATTTTAGAAGAAGCAAGATCTTGTGAAAACAAAACCTTAATGTCCATATCTAGCTCTCTAAATCTATAGTCAGTCTTTAAAAGAGTGACACAAAAATGACACAGATCCGCCCTCTGGTTCGCTCCCCATATATTAGAGCCTGGTAATCTTCCAAAGTTTTTACAGCATGAGGCATACACAGAATAGATGCAAAAAAAGTACACCTTCTGAAATTTCCTGAATGGATTCAAACTTTTACTATTCTAAGTTAATCAATTGGTAGTCTACTTACTTTATAGGATTATTGTAAGGATAGGATCAATGAAGTGAAATATATTTTATTTTCACTGGTCAATTACTCGTATTAAAGCAATTTCATGCACTTTATCTCCCTCTCTTGGAAACTGGAGAGTAGTACTTTTTGTCTGGTTACTTAAGATTAAAAAAAAGACAATATGTCACTTTTGACTTGAGTGTCATGGTATCTATGGCCTTCAACCTGCATGGTTTTATCGTTTCAGTAATCTTGGGAGGAAGGTATTATTAAGTTCATTTGATAAATAGGAGACTGAGCCTCCACAAGGGTTAAGTGAATTGCTCAGGGTTATACAATGAACACTTGATAGAAATGATTAAATGACACTTTACTTGATTTGTTGTGGGTTACTAAATAAAGCATAGGTGTGCATAAGTCATTCAATTATTCAAGCACATTCTTCATCCCTAGTCCTAATATCGAAAGTCTTTGCTCTTAGTTTTTATAACTACAAGGATATTCATCAAAAGACCCAAGCTCAGGAATAAGCCTAAAGAGGTAGTCAGACTAGAACAAAAGACAATTCACAGACTTAAATGAATAATTTGCATTAATGAAGTTTGCCAGGCTAGTTTCCACTTGAATCTTCAGATCTTTCTTCCTTCATTGTCTTGTTAACTGTCCAGATTTATTACCTAGGAGTTTTTGAAAACTCACATATTAGGCAATAGAGTGTATTCTGGAATTGAGAGCCTATTTTAAACTTTTGACTAAAAAGTTTACCCATTAAATGTCATAGATTCAACCATCAGACTGAAAATCCTCAGTGTATTTGAAGGAGGGTATTGTCTCAAAAATCCAGAGCTCAAAGTGAAGAAGAAAGGCAAAATTTGGAATTTAGCTCTAAGACCAACTCATCAGTTCAGGGGTCAGAGATTTATATAGTTAAAGGACAAGTGTGTGTTTACCTGAGTTTAAAGAGCAAAGTTGCCTCTGGAAAGAAGCCCTCACTGGAGGCTCTGGCATTTGAAATGGTGGGCAGGAGCACATGTTGCTTAAATTTCTGACAGTGGCTGGAGATTACCGATTGGTTAGGGGAGAGGAAGTAAAGTAAAATATTTATAAATTCTCCACTGGGTGGAGTCTGAGCAGTTCTTTGAATTTCTCACCCTAAGATCTGGCCTGTACATTTTCAAGGAATTCTTGAGAGGTTCTTGGAGAGATTCTGGGAGCCAAACACTCCATTGGGATCCTAGCTGGTAAGCTTGAGGCGCTGATAAAAACTCTCTACCCTAATGTTTACTCCATGTTTTTTCCAAATGAAACTTCTGTCAGCTAGAATCCTTGTCATAGTGTTTTAGAGGTTTTTTTCTGCTACTCTCTTCTTTTTTTATATATATTCTTTTTGTAAATAAAAATGGTATGACCTTCCTAAAGGCCCCACCTTTAGAAATGGGTTAAATGAAAAGATCTTTACTAATGTAATAGAAAAGAACTGATGAACATAGTGCACTGAATATGGTTACATTTGACAAACCAAAGTTAGTCCTGTTCTTATTTGAGTTTAAGCGGTAAGATTAGGTCAAACTCCAGACGAGGGAAAGATATTCTTAAACAGATTTTAAGTCCTCTGTTTTCTGGTAACTTTAATTGTCTTATGCTGCTAGTAGTCATATTAAATATTTATTTAGAGAAGTGAAAATGCCTACTCTTGAACAGAGTTTCTTCCCCTTTCATTTTATGAAACCTAAGAAAAGAAAGTTGATACACTTTTTAAAAATATACTAGATTTTCTTTTTTCCTTTCTGCTTTTATTTTGAGGCCAGTGGGGTGTTATTTAGTAGTAACACTGAAGCAAATGTATTGATTTTCTTAACGTGTTCAGCAAGTAATTCATATCCTAGATATGAAATATACACTCGTAGCAGAGTAATGTTACCCATTTCTCAATGATATGCTTAAAGAATCTTGCTCAATATGCATATTGTTTTTCCTTTTTTCTTTACTAATGAAAAACTACACGCTTTCTCAACATATTTTTAAGTCAGGTTCTAAACTTTGAACTCCTATGTACAATTTGCTTATTTCAGGCATGAATGTGAAACTGTGTAAAGATTAACTACCAGACACTCAGTCATTTATTTAACTATTTAGCCCTAAATCAGTGGGTGACTAGGAGATTCTGAATTCTGTGATTTCGTTAAAATCAATCAGTTTTTAATTATTATACAAGCTTTTTACTTTAAAGTTGTAGCTGTCTAAATAAAATTGTGAAAGCACAATTTCCAAACCTAAATCGAAGGCACATTGATGCTGTCCATCAGAAGGTATTGATAATTTAAAAAAATATTACAAACTATCTTTTATCTTTTTATAAAGGACCTAATGTCATTTGAGCTTAACCATAATCCTTTGAAGAAAGTAAAATTTAACTTTAAATAACATTGACATACAGAGCAGTTAGGTGATTTGTCTGAGACCATATGGTATGTATGTCCCCCGTCTTGATAAAATTAACACTAAATATGTAACATTTGAAAATTTGTAAAATATGTAAAAGTTGAAGTTTTTAAAAGTTTGGATTTAAGTTCTTCCTTTCAGAATATGAGCATGTCACTTTATTTGCAAACTAAACATGGCATAACATTATGGCTTGTGAACACTAATTGTCTTAGCTGCTGGGGTGAATGCAGAATTAAGCAGCAATTAGTATGAGTGAATAAATTGCATCCTTAGAGTGAGTGCACTATGCTATTCTGGGAACTAAAGACTATATTTGAGACCATGCGAAGTTGTGCAAGTGGTGGAGTAGGGCAGGGTGCAGTCATTTGGAAGACTATGCCCATCAGGTATCTCAAGGTACCCCAGATGTGACAGGCCCAGGAGCGGAACCAGCCACTTTAACTTTTGCCTGGCTGAAACTGGACTGGGAAGGATGGATTAAAAAGGTAAATCAATTCATACGTAGCTTGTGGTCCTTTGCAGCTTAAGTGTAGGACTGAAAAAAGAAGCCAAAGAAAAAGGGAATGAGCTGAAGAAATACACACACGTACACACACACATCAGGAAGCAACAGGCAAGGAAAAATAAAGTGAGAGGTTCAAGGCTTCGAGGAGGAATTGAGCTCTGTGCATTCCATTCATGGGCTTTGCCAAAGACCAGCACAATGGACTCAGCATCTCAGGCATGGTTAAGTACCCTACTGTGCACTCTGCTATCCTTTTAGTCCACTGGTTTCTACTCTGTCTGTGCCAGGTTTTCATCTCAATATAGAGGAAAAGGATTCTGATGCCTCAGGATTATTACAAGCATTAAATAAGATACAGATAGAATGACGCTAATGAGTATCATTTTTAAAATAAGGAAAGTTGAATTTTATTCAGAATCTGTTGGTAACAAACTAATCTCTTTATTTAAGTAACCCCACTTAGAGTTTAAAGTCACCTCCAATCAACTCAAAGGGCTGACCTCCCAAAGAAAGTCTCAAATATAAGGCAAGCTCTCTTGATTCTGAATTTCATTAGAAATGTTTGTCTAAGTCTTTCTCATATGGTCAGAATGAGAGAGGGTGCCCTTCTAGTAATATGTCATTATGTCAAATAATTCATCAACCAATTTTGTTTATTCTCTCGAACTGCCACTTTGGCGGCAGGGGTACTCTGTCTAAATGAGATGTCTATAAAGATAAATTAAACATGATTCAGGCCCCCAGGTAGAGTTCAGTTCAGTAGGGTAGAACAGCAACTCAGTCCAGCTACCATCAGTAATATGTTTGTAGTAAGACTAATCTGATAGTAAGGCAGAAAAACATCTCATGGAATTTTAGGAATAGCCAAGAAGATGGGTCCCCTGGAGACTTGCACATAGCATGTTGCATGAAGGATTCAGTGACTTGCAAGATGGGCTTGTCTTGTCACCTTTTCAGGAGACATAGCTGTTCAATCCCTTGCCATTGTGTAACTAAGTGACTCTTACTTGCTGCTGGAATCACTTCATGCTTTTCATGCTTTAACAATCAGTGGTTCTGTTTTACTTTGAAAAATGAGTCATTCTATGACAGTATTCCTCCTAGACCCTAGCATTTCATAGCTTCTATCTATGATTATTTTAAATTCTAGCTCCTGTATCTAACTGAATGAATAAGCACATCCCACAGCTCAGATTCCTGAAAGAATTTGATTATGTACTCAGCTAAACATCATCACTGTTTGGTTAGAGCTTTTATAGCAAATAATTCACAGATCTTTGATGAAACTACATTGTCTTTAGTGGGTAAGTGTCCAACAGAGGTCTAATAAACTATGACCAGGCAATTGATAATGCCAAGCGGTAGAGACACAGTGATCTCTCTTCAAAATGCAGTTTCCTTCATCAGAAAGCTATGTGTGGGGAGCCATTTAGAATCAAGTTTCAGGCATAGCAAATGTTTTTGATCTTTCCTATCCATACATATGTCCAAATAAATATAGTACCTGGCAGAATGTATTATTATCGTAAGTAAAGTACATAAGTGTGCTCTTAATTGTTATTGGTGTTCAGAGGAAGACGGGCTACTTTTGCCTGAGACATCCTAACAGGCCTCTTGAAAAAAGCATTGGAGCATTAGGTCTTTGAAGGTTGGCTAGAATCCAAACAAGTTGAAGGGGAGCAAAACATTTTAGGCAAAGGAAATGGCATGAGAAAAATCACAGAAATAGAAAATTTCATGTGGAGGACAAATAATACTTATGGTCAGATATTGAAAGCACCATCCATCAATGTTGAAATCCTACACTTTTGTACAGAACCATGGATTGAAGCAGTTAGGAGTCACAACTGATATCAAAGTAAAAAACATGCAATGGTGAACCTTGGTATCTTTGTCTAGGAATATAAAGAATGGCTTATCAGTGGAGACCATCGACAGTTGAGAAAAGAAGAAGCCCAAAAAGTACAAGAATGAAAATCGAGAGTGTAAGAAGAATGTCTGTTTTACTGGCATTATCTAACACTCAGATATGCAACTCTTTATTGCCAAACACTGTGTGTGTTAGTTAAGGTAAAAGGTGAAGGGAGGCAGAAGAATGGAGATTGAATTGAATTCTAGAGCTTTAGTTCTGTGTGAGTTTGGGCCCCCAGAAGTTCTAGACATTAAGTACAGTCTGAATTGAGAAATATTAAACATATCTTGTGATCCAATATTCCCCTAAGTTATACACTCAAATATCCAATGACCAGCTTGACATTTCTACCTGCATGTTCAATACTTATTTGAAACTTAATATATCCTAAATATAATTTTTTTTTAAACAGTCATGCTCTGTTGCCCAGGATGGAGTGCAGTGGCACAATTAGCTCACTGCAACCTCAGACTGCTGGTCTCCTACCCCATCCTCCTCGGTAGCTAGGACCACAGGTGCATGCCAGTGCCAGCACACCTGGCTTTTCTTTTCTTTTTTCTTTTTTTTTTTTTTTTTTTGTAGAGATGACATCTTGCTACGTTGTCCAGACTGGTCTCAAACTCCTGGCTTCAAGCAATCCCCTGCCTCGGCCTCCCAGTGCTGGGGTAACAGGTGTGAACCACCACAACCAGCCTGCTAAACTGAATTCCAATTTCCCTCCTCAAAATTTTTCTTCCCCAGGTATTTTTATTTCATCATATTTCACATATTTGCCCATATCCCAAAGCTAGAAGAAAGCTCCTTTCCTGTCCTCACTAGAAATAATCTATCCACCAGTCCTATCTACTTTTTCTCCAAACTACATCATAAATCCACACTCTTCTCTCTACCTTTGCCCTCATCACCAAATTTAATTCACCACCGTTTCTCTCCTGAACTACTGTGTTATCCTTAATCGGTCTCCCTTTTCAACTTTTTTTTTTTAATTATACTTTAAGTTCTAGGGTACATGTGCACAACGTGTAGGTTTGTTATATATGTATATATGTGCCATGTCAGTTTGCTGCACCCATTAACTCGTCATTTACATTACATATTTCTCCTACTGCTATTCCTCCCCCATCCCCCCACTCCACGACAGGCTCCGGTGTGTGATGTTCCCCGCCCTGTGTCCAAGTGTTCTCATTGTTCAGTTCCCACCTGTGAGTGAGAACATGTGGTGTTTGGTTTTCTGTCCTTGCGATAGTTTGCTCAGAATGATGGTTTCCAGCTTCATCCATGTTGCTGCAAAGGACATGAACTCATCCTTTTTTATGGCTGCATAGTATTCCATGGTGTATATGTGTCACATTTTCTTAATCCAGTCTATCATTGATGGACATTTGGGTTGGTTCCAAGTGTTTGCTATTGTGAATAGTGCTGCAATAAACATACATGTGCATGTGTCTTTATAGCAGCATGATTTATAATCCTTTGGGTATATATGCAGTAATGGGATTGCTGGGTCAAATGGTATTTCTGCTTCTAGATCCTTGAGGAATCACCACACTGTCTTCCACAATGGTTGAACTAGTTTACAGTCCCACCAACAGTGTAAAAGTGTTCCTGTTTCTCCACATCCTCTCCAGCACCTGTTGTTTCCTGACTTTTTAATGATCGCCATTCTAACCGACATGAGGTGGTATCTCACTGTTTTTAAAACTCATTACAGAGCTAAGTGGTTTTTATTTAATGTAAATTTATATCACATTACTTTTCTACTCAAAACTCCCCAATGGTATCCCATTAAACTTATAAAATTTCAGTTTTCTTTCTGGCTCCCAAATTTCTTTTTTTTTTTTTTTTTTTTTTTTTTTGAGATGGAGTCTCGCTGTCGCCCAGGCTGGAGTGCAGTGGTGCAACCTCGGCTCACTGCAGGCTCCACCCCCCGGGGTTCACGCCATTCTCCTGCCTCAGCTTCCCGAGTAGCTGGGACTACAGGCGCCCGCCACCTCGCACGGCTAATTTTTTTTTTGTATTTTTAGTAGAGACGGGGCTTCACCGTGTTAGCCAGGACGGTCTTGATCTCCTGACCTCGTGATCCGCCTGCCTCTGCCTCCCAAAGTGCTGGGATTACAGGCGTGAGCCACTGCGCCTGGCCCCAAATTTCTTTATGACTACCTTCTGCCTTTGTTTTTTGCATATCACAGTTTGTCATTCCTCCTTCCCTCTTTTTCCCTCCCTAGTGCATTTAGTTGAACAAGCCAAGCCCATTTCCACCCCAGGAACTTTGCACTTGTTGCCAGGTTCCTCCAGGTCCAGGTCTTCACATGATGTAGACATTCTCATCTATCACTTTCTCAGAAGGATGAACATGACCCTTTAAGGTAGCTCTTCCACACTCCAGTGACTCTGTCCCATTACTCTGCTGTTTCCTCATAGCTCTTAAGTCTGAAACTACATTGTTTTTCTATTCTTCATTTACAAATAAATTGTACAAGGGTTGGCACTTATGCACTCTCTCATACACTGCTGTCCTGCCATTACTGGGAGTCACATAATAGGTACCAAATAAATACTTGTTGAAAGAGTAAATAAATGTATAAATTAAATGAAATCAGCAAAACTATATGTAAATCTAACTAGCCCAAAGAAATTTTATTTCCTGTAATATCATTTTGTTCAAAAAACCAAACTTAGGAGAGGAGAAATATAAACAAACAAGCTTGGGTGAAGTTTAAAACGTATGTGATTAAATCTCCATTGTCATTTATCCTTTTCCAAAAAGTGGGAAATGTTGCATGATGATTAAACAGAATACAATGTGGTTTCAAGAAACATCACACAATCCTGTTTGTTCTAAGATAATAAATATGGTGTTGAAAGGAAGAAATTTATAATTACTAACAGCAGCAGGTGGATGAATCTCTTTGGTATTCATATGAACAAAATACTAACATTTTAAGTAAAGTTACCTTTTCCATGAATATGGTTTTCACTCACAAAAAAGGATTTTGTTCAGGTTCAATATGTCCATAGTTTTAAAACCATGATCCAAGAACCACTGGGGGTGGGACAGTGGAGTTGGGATATGGAGAAAGACAAGCTAAGTGGGATGCTGCTTTTCGACACTTTGACAAAGATCATCCTTACCATTATCTCCTCATAAGATACCTAGAGGAAAAGGTGATGACATTATATATATTTGGAAGCCACAAGTGTGGTACATATTTCTAGATAATAAGAATGGAATGAGCTAACATTTATTGGGAACTTACTCTGTCCTGAGCACTATTATCTAATTTAGTCCTTTCAATATCTCTAAGTTACTATTATTTTGTTTCTCTTTTCCTTTTTTTTTTTTTTTTTTTTTTTTGGTTTGTGTTTTGAGACAGGGTCTTGCTCTGTTACCCAGGCTGGAGTGCGGTGGTACAATCCCAGCTCACTGCAACCTCCACCTCCTGGGTTCAAGCGATTCTCCTGCCTCAGCCTCCCTAGTAGCTGGGATTACAGGCGCCTGCCACCATGCCACCTTTTCCCAACCTCAGGAATAATATACTTAACCAACCAGCATTAAACTCCATGCATGAGTTTTTCTCATATATGAAAAGAAGAAAATAGGCCAAGCGTGGTGGCTCATGCCTGTAATCCCAGCACTTTGGGAGGCCGAGGTGGGCGGATCACTTGAGCCATTTTTTGTATTTTTTTAGTAGAGATGAGGTTTCACCATGTTGGCCAGGCTGGTCTCAAACTCCTGACCTCAAGTGATCCGCCCACCTCGGCCTCCCAAAGTGCTGGGATTACAGGCATGAGCCACCATGCCTGGCCTATTTTCTTCTTTTCATATATGAGAAAAACTCATGCATGGAGTTTAATGCTGGTTGGTTAAGTATATTATTCCTGAGGTTGGGAAAAGGGAGTCTTAGTGAAAACAAAAGGTGTATTACCTAAAGGGCTCATTTTCTACAGGAAAATTATGGTGGCTAGATTATGTTTTATTATTCTCTTTCAGTTTTAGAGAACAACTTGTAATGGAGCCTTCATCTCTTGAGCTGCCGGCTGACACAGTGCAGCGCATTGCGGCTGAACTCAAATGCCACCCAACGGATGAGAGGGTGGCTCTCCACCTAGATGAGGAAGATAAGCTGAGGCACTTCAGGGAGTGCTTTTATATTCCCAAAATACAGGATCTGCCTCCAGGTAAGAATGCTGGGAAGGTTTTTAAATTTTATTTATTTATTTATTTTTGCTACTGCATGTGTTTATTATAATCTTTGAAAATCATTGTTGTATTACATAATAGAGCTGTTGCAATTATGTTTGAAAAGCAGAAGATCCCTGGTGCTCTCAATCAACCTGTCAGCCTACCTTAGCCTCAAATTATCTGTTTTCTCCCCTCCTCTGAATGAAATACATGCAGGGTACTTATACTGTCAACTACTTCTCTGAACAATTGAGTGACTGATTGAAAATTACAGGCAGATACATTTACTTGTTCTCTAAGCACTTGGGATTCAAAGCAATTATTTTAGAATGCAGTGTTAGAATAGCTCTTATATTCTGGCACTTAGTTTATAATAATATGATGTTTGTCTTAGAGAAAATATTGTTTTGTGACCTGGATATATTAGAAGAGATGTTATATGAATAGCCATCTTTGCATGCTGTAAAGATGGCGAGTGTAAGAGTTACCAAGAAAAGAAACAACAAATGCCCAACAAATACATACTACATTTTAAAATAATGTAGTAATCTGACTCTGTTCTGGGTTTGAGGAAGTCATTTAAAAAAATAAAACATAAGTAGCAAAGGTATAACAATAAAAAATGATTCATCATATTTAGCTTTACTCCATTTTACATTAATAAAAAAGGTTCCCAGGTTGAATGGAATTAGTCTACCAAACTGGGTTTCGCATCCTTTATAATAGTCTGATTCCATTTTTATTCAGATTAAATAAGGTACAATTTTGGGTCCAGTACTCAGGAGCCATGAAGGTCAGCTAATACAATTTTAGGATGTCTGGTTTGTATAACACTAATATATACTATGTAATAAATGTTAAAAACACCTATTTGTCTTCAGCTATGTACCCAACAACCTATAGAATTCTGGAAGAATGAAAGAAGAGAAATACCTGTATCTGACTTAAAATTGTGTAGTATAAGTTGAGGGAGATATTGATGGAAATGACAGCTAGAAGAGACGAAATAAAATGAGGCTATAAGTGATCTGAGACCATAGAAGAAAAATCTTCTAGGTCATTCTAGAATCGAAAATTAAAAGGACATTTTTATTTGAATTGTAAGGGATAAAATACTGCTATGGGAGTGAATTGTGAGGAAATAAAATTTAGGAAAGGAATTCTTAACGGAAATGGGAGATAAGGGGCTTGGTGATATGTGCATCACACAATGTGGAAACCTTTAGAAACAGCGAGGACCCACATGAGACAAGTCAGGTCTGGTTGATGGTGGCCCTGCCCTGATGTGCTCTCTGGCCTACAGGGCTCCTGTACTGAGTCAGAACCCAGTTTAAAAATAGCATTGTACAGCCGGGCGCGGTGGCTCACGCCTGTAATCCCAGCACTTTGGGAGGCCGAGGCGGGCGGGTCACGAGGTCAGGAGATTGAGACCATCCTGGTTAACACGGTGAAACCCCATCTCTACTAAAACTACAAAAAATTAGCCGGGCGTAGTGGCGGGCGCCTGTAGTCCCAGCTGCTCGGGAGGCTGAGGCAGGAGAATGGCTTGAACCCGGGAGGCAGAGCTTGCAGAGAGCGGAGACTGCACCACTGCACTCCAGCTTGGGCGACAGTCCGAGGCTCCATCTCAACAACAACAACAACAACAACAACAAAATAGCATTGTACCTCACTAATCACCAGGAAAATGCACATCAAAACCACAGTGAGATATCACCTCACACCCTTTTCTATGACTACTATTAAAAAGTGCAGGATATAAATATTGGCTAGGATATAGAGTGATTACAGCCCTTGTGCACTCTTAGTGGGAATGTAAAATGGTGCAGCCACTGTAGGAAAGAGTATGGCAGTTTCCTCAAAAACCAAAGAATAGAATTACCACATGATCCAGCAATCTCACTTCAGGATATATTGCCAAAAGAATTAAAAGCAAGATCCCCAAAAGATATTAGTACACTCATGTTCATCATAGCATTATTCATAATAGCCAAAAGGTGGAATTAACCCATCATCAATAGATATGATGGAACCTTATTAAGTTTTAAAAAGAACCATGCTCTACATGGTTCACATGAATGAACTATGAGAACATCATGCCAAGTGAAATAATCCAGACGCAAAAAGAAAAATACTGTGTAATTCCAATTATACCAAGTATCTAGATTGGTCAAATTCATAAAAACCAAGTAGAATGGTAGTTGTCAGGAACTTGGAGAGGGAGAAATGAGGAGTTATTGTTTAATGGGTATAAAATTTCAATTTTGCAAGGTAGAAAAATTCTGGAGATTGGTTGCACAATAATGTGAATGTACTTAACTGAATTGTACACTTAAAATTGTTAACAGAATAAATTTTAGGTGCATTTTAGCACAGCATTTTAAATATTTATCAAAAATAAAAACGTTTTCCCCTTAGAGAAAAGCAGCATTGTACATATAATCACTTCTGTTATACTTAAAAGTTGACTTAGTATCCTAATTATAGGTATAATATTGATTTTGATTAGTTATCCAATAGAAAGTAACTGAAGGATTACAACCTTGGATAAGTCATTGCTGATTCTTAAAGATAAGAGATAGAAATTGGTTTAATAAAGAATTTAAATAGTTTGCTTGTTTAAAAAATATAGTTTTGCTGGACACGGTGGCTCACATCTGTAATCCCAGCACTTAGGGAGGCGGAGGCTGGAGGATCACTTGAGTCTAGAAGTTTGATACCAGCCTGGGCAACATGACAAAACCCCATCTGTACAAATAATACAAAAATTAATTAGGCGTGATGGCATGTGCTTTTACTGCCAGTTACTCTGGAGGCTGAAGTGGGAGGATCACCTAAGCCCAGTAGTTCAAGGCTGCAGTGAGCCATGATCACACCACTGAACTCCAGCCTGGGTGACAGAGCAAGACCCTGTCTCTAAATAACAATAATTATTCTAATAATTTTGAATGATGTAAAACTTTATTAACCCCAAGTGTTCTTCTACATCAGTGATTGTCAAAATGTGATCCCTTGACCAAAAGCATGAGGTTCACTAGAGATCTTATTAAAAATACAAGTTCTTGTGTCCTAACTCAGAATTACTGAATCAGATTGTTAAGGTGAGGCCCAGCCTTCTATTCTAGATCCTCTAGGATAAGATGGTATCCTAGAGTTGGGTCAATTAATTCCCCTTCTTACTATTCTCACGCCAGTTGCATCTTAATGTCTAAGGATTCATGTATTCGGCAAATATTTAATAGTCAGTTACCCTACTCGAGACACTTCTGTCAGAACGGTTCAGAGAACCAAAGAGCAAAGCTGTCGCATACTTGAACGTGTATCTAGTATGACAACAGATAATAACCAAACTTAGAAACAATTATGCTCTACCATCATGTAGCACTCTAAATGATAATGAGGGCTGTGAAGATAAGGGTGTGACCTTACCCACAGAAATATGGTGAGGTGCCATCTGAACAAAGATGACAGCACAGTGAGGAAGTGAGCCTCATGGAGCACAGGTGAAGCTGAGCCTGGTCGTGGTCCACGTTTATGCTGAACAGAGGTACCAACTCAGGAGCACATGATGTAGGAGCAAAAAGATAACACATTTTTCATAACCATCACAAGGGGCATGGCTGATGTTTCTATAACAAAGACAGGTTAGCAAGAGAAAAACCCAGGGAAAACTTGAGATTTTATGCTAAGTTGAATGAAAGAAATGAATAGATGTGACTAAATAGAATTGGAATGAAATATGATCTAACCGTAATCAACAGACAGTGGCGGGGGGACTCAGCAAGTCCTGTATTTTTGGATTCTTCTTGCTCCCTCGGTGTAGCATTTCTTCCCTCTGCATATAGGGCAGGACACCTGTCATATGAAAGTCTATCCGGGAGAAGGGAAAAGGTCAGTGCGTGAGCTTTCTAGGTTTTAAGGCTTGCTGTAGGAGAGGATTTCAGTTTCTTTGACTCACCTGGCTGCAGGACACAGGGCAGGGGATTGGAGAAGATCAGAAAGACCTTGTTTCTGAGGCCCTCTCAAATCTCCTTCAGTTCCAAGTACTCAGCATTCCAAGGCACTGTATTTTAGAATACTATGTTCTGACCCCCAACGGTGTTGAAATTTCCTTCTTTTTTGTTTTGACAAGATGTGAATTCATCAGGAAACCAGTGTTCCCTATCTTATTAAAGCCTTCCAAGAGCATCTAAAAATGGTAAAGCATGTTGGATTATTTTTGGAGACTAGCATAACACCAAGAAAATAAACTTTCTTTAGCAGTTCTGAACAATGAAAAACAGAACAGAAATAAACAAGTTTTGAACAAATGAAAGGATCACAACTCCCAATATGAGATTTTTTTTTTTAATCTTGAAGAAAGTCTACAGGCATAGCCTGTACTTTTTTGATGTTTTTCTATTATATATTATGTTTTCTCTGGGTTTCTAATATAAATTTTATTAAAATAAGTACTTTCATTTTCTATTCTTAGATGGTGCCTGAGATGTTATCAGAGAAAGGGGTCAAAAATATTTTTAATCAGCTTTTGTACTTATGTTCAACATTGTCCTAAAGAGCACAGCTGAAAAATAAACAAGCAAAAGAAAGGAGGAAGAGAGAGAGAGAAGGAAAGAAAAGAAAGAAGGGAGGAAAAAAGGAAGATATAAGAAAGAAATAAAAAGAAAAGCAAGAGAAATGCAAGGCATACATGTGGAAAGATATCTTTCTAAAATTTTTAAAATAATAAATATTCCTGTTTGAAACATCCTCATACCTAAATTTCTGAAAGCATACTGGATAGCCCCATAAGATATATGGCTTTTGCACAGACACAGGACAAAGACAATCTTTTTCAGAGTGTCAAACTGCCATCCCAGAAACAAGTTGTGCAAATTTACATTTCCTCCAACAGTAAAGACAATTGCCTCACTAACTTTGGGGATCAGTAGGATTGTTTTTGTTTCTGTTTTTTGGAGACAGGGTCTTGCTCTGTCACCCAGGCTGGAGTGCAGTGGCGTGATCTCAGCTCACTGCATCCTTGACCTCCCAAGCTGAAGTAATCCTCCTACCTTAGCTCCTGGGGTAGCTGGAACTACAGGTGCGTGCCACCATGCCCAGCTAATTTTTGTATTTTTTGTCAAGGCAGAGTTCTGCCATGTTGCTCAGGCTGGTCTCAAACTCCTGGACTCAAGTAGTCCTCCCGCCTCAGCCTACCAATGTGCTGGGATTACAGGTGTAAGCCACCATGCCAGGCAGGATTAGCAGTTTTAAGAATCTTTGCTCATTAGATAATAAAATAATTATTCCATTCTTCTTTGAATTTGCAGTTCTTAGACAACCGTTGGAGATAGTTTTCATAAACTCCTTGGTCATTGCTTTCCTTTTTGTCTTAAGTTGCTCATAATGTATACATTTAATTTTAAACTAAAATAAATATAAGTGGTAATGTTTCATTTTTTTTCTCTTAAGGATATAAACTCCTTCTCTCATATATCTTAGGAATTTTAAGTGAAAATGTCCAGTTAATATAGCTGGCTAATAGCAGAACCAGAAATGGGTTCCAAATATTGTGACTGCTAGCCCATGTGTCTTGACTCAATCCTGCTTTTACTTTTTTAAAATCACTCAATTGAAGTATAATTTATGGACCATAAAATTCATCCATTTTAAGTATACAATTTAATAATTTTTAGTAATTGCATATGATTACAGTACCATTATAATCCAATTTTAGAACATTTCTTCATTCCATTTTTTTATCTCTAGCCTAGGCAAACAGTAATCTACTGAACTTGCTGTTATTTTGATCTATATAGAAGATTATTAACTCAAAGAATTTTTTTACTATTAAACTATATTTGGAGAAAAAAAAACGGTGCTGCTTTCAATATTCTTTTCATAGTCAAATAACCCTCTCCTTCAATCTTACCACACATCCAGGAGAGAGATCAGTAAATTGACACCCAACTTTAGTAGACTTTAGTAAGTACTTATAAAATTTAAAGTTATCCAAACAAGATCTTTTATAATTTTGCACATGTAATTGTTTGGACTCAGATAAAATTGGCATAGCAAAATAATCATGCTTCAGTTTGTCTCCAGGGCTTCCATATAACATAATAGAGAGCCTCTTAAACTCAACTGCTTTTAGGCTTAGAAGGCTGTGACAGATATGAGTTATCAGTGCATGAAATACAGGAAAGCATACTTTTCTCTATAAACTAGAATCTTTTATTCAACAACAGATAAAGATATGTTAAATAAAAGATTTTATCCAGCTATAAAAGGACATGTATTTATAACTGTAATTTTGATAGTCTGATAAATCTCTAACTTTCATAAGAAAACAATTAAGAGTATTCCTTAGTTAAAAGTTTAATTTTGTAGACATTGAGACTTTTTTTTTTTTAGATGGGGTCTCACTCTGTCACCCAGGCTGGAGTGTAGTGGTGCAATTTTGACTCAGAGCAACCTCCACCCCCTGAACTCAAAGAATCCTCCCTCCTCAGCCCCCCAATTAGGTGGGACTACAGATGCATACCACTACACCCAGATAACTGTTTGTATTTTTGGTGGAGACAGGGTTTCACCATGTTGCCCATGCTTGTCTCAGACTCCTGAGCTCAAGTGATCTGCCCATCTCAGACTCCAAAGTGTTGGGATTACAGGCGTCAGCCGCCATGCCTGGCCAATATTGGGAGCCTTTCATGTTACTTAAATTCTGCATTTAGTGGACATATTTGTAACCTTGTTATTTCATTTGCATTGGACTGTCTGCTCCCTGAGTGTAGGAACTGTCTTCTTTCTCTGTGAATGTGTGGGAGTCACCTAGGCAGACCTTAGTGTGGAGTGACGTCCAATCATGAAGAGGGAACAGCATTTGCAAACACACAAGAGAAAGCATAGTTACTTTGATCCCTAAGAATAGTTTTACATGATCAAAGAATGTCATGTAAAAAGCTGGGTATTGGTAAATGGTAAATAATAAGGTACGGAATAGGGAATATAGGGTACTAGGATGATTGGTATAATAGGGTGAAGAGTAAATGAGTGCGTGTGGGTACCTAACAGTAAGTCTGAAGAAGTAAATGTAATAGAAGTGGAGGTAAAGGAAAATATTCAGTAAATACATGAAATACTCATTAAATAAACCTGATTTAGTAGTAGGAGAGGCATACCATGAGCCATAATTTCTGTTTTAGGTGAATAGTGGTGATATTCACTGATACAATTAACTTGTTTTGGAAACTATTCATTGAAAGAGGAACTAGTTTTTTATTTGTTTGTTTATCTCTTGTTGCCCTGTCACCTGTGGCCTTGACCTCCGAGTCCAAGTGGCAGCTGTTACAAGCAGTGAGAATCAGGCAGTGACAAAGAAGAAAAGACAAATAATGTGTGTGCACTCTCCCTTGAGAAAGGTTTCAGTTTGCCTCATGAGTTTTAACGCATATATAGACCTAAGCCCCTGGGCCAGTGTTTGGTCATGGCCCTGCCTATCTGCAAAGAAGACTGAGTCTAAAACACAATTTTTGTTCTTGGTGGCCACATGCAAAGCTAACAATTCTATTTCTGTAAAGGAAAAATGAAATGCATGTAGGGTACAACTAGCAGTTGAGTTTAGTTAGAAGGTAGAAATTTGACAGTCATCAGCATTTAGGTAATAGTTGAAACTGTGGGTACGGATGATATTATCTTGGCATCATACCTAAGTGAGAAGAAGGTGGTAGAAACAAAATTCTAGGCATTGACAAAGAAAGAACTCTAGAAAGAGCCAGAGACACAGAAGAACAAGGAAAGTGTCGTGTTCTAAAACCAAGGGAAGAGACATATTCAAAGAAATCAGAGGGCTTGCCATCATCAGCTATCACAAAGACTGTATAAGCCTTTCATTTAGCAGTCAGGAGAGCTTTATTAAATTGTCTTAACTTTAACAGCTTCACTGGAATGACAGGCAGGGAAACTATGTACATTTCTAGATGTCATTGAAGGAGTAAAGTATCGGAAATGAGATTTTTAGGCTTCTTTTCCAAGAAACCTTGCTGTAAAAGGAAACATAACAAGGAACAAAAGGAAATGAATGAATGCTTTTTTCAAGCAAGGTGGGGGCTTGAATATGATTGTGCATTGAGAAGATGGTATGGGAAAAAAAAGAGACAGACAGACAGATAACAGAGGTGAATGTGATTTTCAGCCAAGCAGAGTGCATGCTGGATCTGTTGTCTATTCCCACCTTTTTCAGCTCATGGAGCCCAATATTCTAAGATAATGCAAATTGCTGAAGACAATCTTTCCCTACTCTCTAAGGATATATTGGCCCCAATGTCTAAGGTCAACATTAGCCAGATTGAGATTTTACAAAGAAATCTCAAGGTCCCAACCAACTTTTCCATATTTTTGGGCAATATGATACCAGGCATAACATACCTCAGCCACAGGACAAAGGACTGGGAATAGAAAGATTCTTACAAGGAGAGTACACTTTCACCTTTGCCTGGGACAATGTTTGGTCTTTTCTGTCTTGCCATATGAACTCTTTCCTCAAGGAATTTTATCCACAAAGGCGTGGAAAATCTCTTTTGAAATCCTCGAAATACGAAGTGTCTCTCCCTCAGATGCCATACCACTCATCAATCTAGACCTCAGAGAGAACTAATGGGTTCAAAATTAGGCAAGAGTATCTAAGGAGTGTGTGCAAGTAGACTGTAGTGATCCTACATTTTTCTCCATCTTCTTCCTGAAATTATAGGAATTATATTCAAAGTCCAAGAAGCTTGTTGGGAGCATAGCCTTGTATGGGGCATCCCTATTGGAAAAAGGACATGAATATTTCCTCAGTGCACCACCAGGAAATTTAATATTATGAGGTACATAGCAACACAAAAAAATCTTCACTCACTACCTTCTGAATAATAGTAAAAAGAATATACTTTTTTATTTAGTAAAATGCAGAAATCATACATCTCTACAAATTTTACAACATGAGCACCTCTGTGTAACAAGATCCTAGATCAAGAAACATAACATTGCCAGCACTTGGGAAAACTGCCTCGTACCCCCTTTCAGGAACTCCTTCTTTAGGGTTAACCAGTTTTTCTGTAGCCAGTATGCGAGTATCAACTTGTGGCATGTGAATGCCACAACTTAATATGTATTTAAGAAAATATGTTTAATAGAAAATAGGTTTAAAATGAAAATATGTATGTTTCCATATATAGAGAGAGATGGAAGAATATATATTTTCTTTTTTAAACTAATGCCATAGTTCAATTATTTAAGCCAGACAGCTAAAACTGCTTCTTTTTGTCCAAGTATATGGCTCACCCCTGTAACCCAGTACTCTTTGGAAGGCTGAGGCAGGAGGATGGCTTGAGTCCAGGAATTCAACACCAGCCTGGGCAACATAGTGACACCCTGTCACTACACACCTTTTTCTGTTCATACTTCTATTTAACAAGTGATGCTGGACCATGATGTTCCCAGCATTTTATTTTTTAATTTCATCCTAAGATCTGCTCTTATCCCCCATTAAGAAGGATTGGTAGAATGTTCTCTTTCCTAATGACAGAAGTATGAAATAACTTGTTCATCAGGAGAGTTTATTATTGATATTGTTAATATTTAAATACACATTCCATAAATTGGAATATTTTGTTGTACAGTCTGAGATTTAACACATGTATAGAATTATATTAACACACCTTCTCTCAGTATATAGAACAATTTCATAACCCCCAAAAGACTCCTTTATGCTAGCCCTTTGTAACCAATCTCTCCACTATACCTCTAATCCCTGATAACCACTAATCTATTTTATATCCCCATTGTCTTTTCCAGAATAACATATGAAGAAATTATATACTGTATTTAGTCTTTGGAGACTGGTTTCCTTTACTTAAGGAAATGCCTTTGAGATTAAGCAAAGTTATGTCAATGAAGTGTTTCATTTTATTGCTGAATAGTATTCTACCCCAAGAATGGACTACAGTAGTTTATTCATTTGTCCACTAAAGGCCATTTGAGCTGTGTCCAATTTTGGTGATTATGAATAGCTACTATTAACATTCATGTACAGGATTTTGTGTGAGTGTAAATTTTTTATCTAAATTTTTTTTTTAAGATCAGATAGTAAATATTTCACTCTTGACAGGTCTCATGTATTCTTTTTTTATTTTTATTTTTTTAGAAAAGGTCTTGCCCTGTCACCCAGGCTGGAGTGCAGTGGCATAATCACAGCTCACTGCAGCCTTGATCTCCCTGGCTCAAGCAATTCTTCCATCTTAGCCTCCTGAGTAGCCAGGGCTACAGGCGTGCACCACCACACCAGTCTCATTTTTTAACTTTTTGTAGAGATGAGGTTTCACTGTGTTGCCTAGTCTAATCTTGAACAAAGCTCAAGCAGTCCTTATTCCTTGGCCTTCCAAAGTGCTAGGATTACAGATGTGAGCTACTGCATCTTTCCAGGTCTCATATATTCTTTCTCTTCTTTTTTTCCTTTGTCTTCTCCTAGTTTTTCTTCTCCCATTTATAAATGTAAAAACATTCTTAGCTTTCAGGCCATACAAAAACAGGTCATGGGCTTGATTTGGAACTCAAACCACAGTTTGTCAAGTCGTTTTAGAATGCTATAAGTTGATTGCTGGATCATATTATAGGTATATTTTTAACTTTATAAGAAACTGGCAAACTTTTCCAGAGTGGCTGTACCATTTTGCATTTTGCATTGCCACCAGTAATGTGTGGGAATGTCTGTTGTTCCCCATATTCACCCCCAGTTGGTATTACCAGTTTTTTGTTGTTTTGTTTTTTAGTCACATATGTTTGTATAAGTATCTTATTTTGGTATTTATATGCATGTTCCTAATGGCTAATGAACTTAAGCATTAAACATTTCATAAGCTTATGTACCATCCATGCTCTAGAGAAATGTCTGCTCAAATATTTTGACTACTTTTTTTTAATTGGATTTTTTGTTTTTTAATTGTTGAGTTTTGTTTTTTGGGGATTTTGGAGCTTTTTGTTTTTTTGTTTTTTGTTTTTTTAAAGAGACAAAGTCTTGTTTCGTTAGCCAGGCTGGAGTGAAGTGGTACAATCATAGCTCACTGCATCCTTGACCTTCTTGGGCTCAAGCAAATCTCCTGCTAATTTTAACAGACAGGGTCTCGCTTTGTTGCCCAGACTGGTCTTGAACTCCTGACTTTAAGATATCCTCCCACTTTGACCTCCCAAGGTGCTAAGATAACAGGCGTGAGTCATGTTTTCAGTTTTAAGAGTTCTTTATGCATTTCAGCGTACAAGTTGTTTGTTGAATCAATGATATGAAAATATTTTCTCACAGTCTGTAGCTATCTTTTTATTCTCTTATTAGCGTCTATCACAGAACACAAGATTTTAACTTTGAGGATGCACAGTATATTTATTTTTTCTTTTATGGATTGTGCTTTAGTTACCATGTCTAAAACCTCCTCATCTAACCATCAGTCTTAAAGACTTCTTTCGCCCATAATTTATTTAGAAGTGTGTTGTTTAATTTCCAAGTATTTGAACATTTCCCAGTTTTCTTTTTATTACTGATTTGTAGTTTAATTGTATTGTGGTTAGAAAACATTTGTTAAGGTTTGTTTTTGACCCAGGACAATGGTCTGTCTTAATGACTCTCCATGTGCATTTAAAATAATATTTATTCTGCAGCTGTTTGCTGGAGTGTTCTTTAAAAGCCAGTTACATTCATTTGGTTCCTGGCGTTTTTCAGTTCTGGGGATTATTTGTCTGCTAATAAAATGTAGACCTAGTTCCTCAGAGGACCCTGGTCACAGATTTATGGACATAATCATAAATCCCACTTAAGCACTGTTCCAAATTGCTGAAACTCAATTCAATATTACCAGCAACTGTAACAACACAACAAATAAATCACATTAGTACCACAATTATTAAGATTGGGAAAGTTTTATAATTAGACAGTTGTCACCCAACAAATTCATATTAGATGCTTATATTTTTCTTGGTAATACCAGAGATCCAAATAATCAAAGCACAAATGAAACAAACACAGCTGAAATCTTTATGCTTTCTATTACTACTTATAATACAATCAGCAACAATTTCAGGTTCACCAATCTGCAGAAACATTGTATATCTTTAGGGATGTGCTTTTCTTCTTTTTCCTTAAATTTTTGGTTAAAAAAAAATAAGCAACACTTAAGTTTCTCAAATGAACAGTCATAATATGTTAACATTTTAACCTACGATATCTAAACAGGAGAGCATTCTAATAAAACCCCTAAACTCACCTGGCCTTTTAGTAGAATATTATCTTTACATACAGATATGGAGGAAAATATGTTAAATGTAAATTCTTTTTTCTTCTCTCTATCTTCATTTATTTATTTATTTATTTGAGACAGGATGTCCCTTTGTCATCTAGGCTGGAATGCAGTGGTGCTGTCAGAGCTCACTGCAGCCTCAACTTCCTGGACTCAATCGATCCTCCCACCACAGCATCCTGAGAAGCAGGGACCACAGACATGCACCACCATGTCTGGCTAATTTTTAAAAATTTTTCCCCAGGCTCAGTGTCCAGCTCCTGGGCTCAAGTGATCTGCCCACCTTGGCCTCCCAAGGGGCTGGAATTACAGGCATGAGCCACTGCACACAGCTGAATTCTTTTCAAAACCAGCAAATCATACATTTCTCATAGAAGTTAACTTCCACAGAGATGTTTTATTTTCTTTTTCTTTTTTTTTTTCATACTTCGAGGCCAAAAAATTGTCATCAAGATCCTAGCAATTGCTGCAGCCAATCCCAGGACTTTGCTTCCACAGTAGCTATTGAGCATCAAATGCTCTCTTAGATCATAGACCACAACTTTGATGAGCTTTCATTCTTAGCTATGTCTTAGGATTCTCCTGAAATATGAAGGGTAGGAAGTTGTATTCCCTAGTTCAAGGGAAAAAAAAAATCAATTTAAATTCAATGGTATTAAAAACAATGAATATTTACTTCAAAAAATTATTATAAAGCAAAATATGGTACAAACTAGTTTTTCCTTCTAAACTCAAATACCTAGCTAGTAATATTCCAAAAATAAACATTAATTATATGGAAAGAATTTTTAAATTTTTGCAATGCTGAAATTAATCAGTGGGAATACTGACGCTCTTACCTGTGGGTCTTTGTTCTTAGAGCTCCCAAGATGGGGCGGGCCGCTCCCAAGATGGCAGCAAGCCTTTTGTTCTCTGACCTTGGGTTCTTGGCCTCACAGATTCCAAGAATGGAATCTTGGGCCATGCGGTGAGTGTTATAGCTCTATTAGAAGCTGTGGGTCACGGAAGAAAACCATGGAACCCAGCGACTAGTGTTCAGCTTGATTAGGATGAACCCAGGCACTTAGCTGTGCAGGAACAATGGTGAGCCTTTAGCCCGATCGGGAGCAGAAATGGGCACCTTGCTGGATCAGGAGCACAGCAGACACTCTGCTAGATCCAGAGGGGTGGGAGTCAATGGTGGGTCTGAGATGGTGGCAAACAGCAGTGGTGGACCCGGGTGGGAGTCAATGGCAGGTCTGTAACAGCGGCAAACAGCGGTGGTGGACAGTGAGCAAAAGCTCAGCTCAAGCCGTAACAAACACGGACCAGAAGAGCGTGCAGTTGCAAGATTTAATAGAGTGAAAACAGAGCTCCCATACGATGGGAGGGGACCCAAAGGGGGTTGCCACTCCCTGCTTGAATGCCTGAGTTTATATCCCGATCATTGTCCCCTTGTTGTGCTCTCAGGCGATATATGATTTGACTGTTTCTTTACCTCCTGCTTTTAGCCTAATTTGTGTTTCAGTGAGCCCTCTTTACTACCCGATTGGTCAGGTGTGAGCTGAGTTACCAGCCCTGTGTTTAAAGGTGGGTGCAGTCACCTTCCCCAGCTAGGCTTAGGAATTCTTAGTCAGCCTAGAAAATCCAGCTAGTCCTGTCTCTCAGTCCCCCATCTCAACAGAAAAACCCAAGTGCTGTTGGGGAAGTTGGCCGAACAACGCTCTTAACTGCTTCCTGCTGAATTGGGGCATAGTAGGGGTCGTGCAATTGAGATTTCCTCAGGAGGAGTGCCTTTGATGTCATCAACATAGGAGCATGGGCTAGGAGGCTGTCCAGGGGCCCACAGTAGATCTTAGTCATGCATCTGGGGCTCCATTTGAAGAATGATTTGTAGTTTTATAGCTTTGATTCTGGAAGACACAAACTTAACAAGGAGGTTAAAGATACAGGGATTGAAATGTAGGCCTGAAGTGCAGGGGAATATTTCTTTGGCACACGTCACAGGCCCTGACTATCTGCTTGATAGTTTTGAAAAGGCCTGGTCCAGTAAATAATGATTCGGCCATCTGATGGGTGCTATCAATGCCTAAGTGAAAGTGTTACTGGGGGGTTCTAGCTCCCAGAGCTCCCAAGATGGTGGCAGGCCCCTTCCAAGATAGCGGCAAGCCTCTTGTTCTCTGACCTGGGGTTCTTGGCCTCAAAGGTTCCAAAGAATGGAATCTTGGGCCATGCAGTGAGTGTTATAGCTCTATTAGAAGCCATGGGTCACGGAAGAGAACCGTGGAACCCAGTGACTAGTGTTCAGCTCCATTAGGATGAACCTGGGCACTTAGCCGTGCAGGAACAATGGCAAGCCTTTAGCCTGATCAGGAGTGGCAGCGGGCGCCTCGCTGGATCAGGAGCACAGTGAACACACTGCTGGATCCAGAGAGGTGGAAGTCAGTGGTGGGTCTGCAACGGTGGCAAACAGCAGTGGTGGATAGCAAGCGAAAGCTCAGGTCAAGCCGTAACAAACACGGACCAAAAGAGTGTGCAGTTGCAAGATTTAATAGAGTGAAAACAGAGCTCCCATACAAAGGGAGGGGACCCAAAGAGGGTAGCCATTGCCAGCTCAAATGCCTGGGTTTATATCCTGATCATTATCCCTCCCCCTGTGCTCTCAGGCAATAGATGATTGGCTATTTCTTTACCTCCTGTTTTTGCCTAGTTAGCATTTTAGTGAACTCTCTTTACTACCTGATTGGTCAGATATGAGTTAAGTTGCAAGCCCCATGTTTAAAGATGGATGCGGTCACCTTCCCAGCTAGGCTTAGGAATTCTTAGTCGGCCTAGGAAATCCAGTCAGTCCTGTCTCTCAGTCTCCCTTCTCAACAGGAAAACCCAAGTGCTGTTGAGAGATTGGCCGATGATTGCTCTAACTGCTTCCTGCTGAATTGGGGTGTAGTATGGGCTGTTCAGTTGAGATTTCCTCTGGAGAGGTGCCTTTGATGTTATTAACTTGGAGCATGGGCTAGCAGGCTGGTCCGGGTCTGCAGTAGATTTTAGTCATGGACTGCATCTGGGGCTCCATTTGAAGAACAATTTGTAGTTTTATAGCTTTGATTCTGGAAGAGACAAACTTAACAAGGATGTTAAAGATACAGGGATTGCAGCAGGTGGAGCTTGCAGTGAGCCGAGATTGCACCACTGCAGTCTGGCCTTGGCGAAAGAGCGAGACTCCATCTCAAAAAAAAAAAAAAAAAAGATACAGGGATTGAAATGTATGGCCTGCAGTGCAGGGGGTTATTTTTTTGACACACTTCACAGGCCCTGACTATCTGCTTGTTAGTTTTGAAAAAGCGTGGTCCAGTAAATAATGATTTGGCCATCTGATGGGTGCTATTAATGCCTAAGTGAAAGGTTTGGTGAAGGGTTTTAAGTAATTTCTATTGTTTAGTTGCAGGCAAAAGTATTTTTCCTTTTTCGGTGGCTAGCCATTCTGAGGGGAGGAAACTACGTCCTTGTGAGGTTCCCCGTTCTATTTCTCCTGCTGAGTAGCAGCTTGGGTTCCCAGAGGGGATTACCCCATACTAGGGGTCCTTCTATAAGCATTTTTAATGGAGAGTTCTGCCTTGTGGCTCTTTTAGCTTTAATACCCGCTTGGCAGTTTCCTTCTATTTTTCTTTCCTTTTCTTTCTGATGACCCCGGCAGTGTAAGACTGCCACCTCTTTAGGTTTCTGTACAGCCAATAATAATCTCCTAATGGCTTCCTGATGTTTGATAGGTGTTCCCTCAGAAGTTAGGAATTCCCTTTTTTTCCATATTGCTGTGTGGGCGTAGAGGACTAGGTAAGAATACTTTGAGTCTGTATGTATATTTACCCTTTTCCCTTTTTTTAATTCTAGTGCCCGAGTGAGGGCTATTAGTTCTGCCAGCCGAGAGCTAGTTCCTGGAGTGAGGGGATTACTTTCAAGTATTCCATTATTACTGACCACTGCATACCTCGCTTTTGAAGTCCTTTTTTTACAAAGGAATTTTCATTAATATACAAGTTGAGTTAGGGATTAGTCAAGGGAACCTCTAGAAGGTCCCTCGAGTGGTATAGGTTTGAACAATTACCTGTTGACAGTTATGTTTTATCTTTTTCATTGTTTGGAAGAAATGTGGCGGGGTTAAGAGTTGCGCAAGTATGCAGTTGCAGCACTGGCCCTTTAATTAATAGAGCCTGATATTTAAGCAAACGATTGTCTGACAGCCACAAGTCTCCTTTAGCAGTGAGTATGCTGTTTACATCATGAGATGTCCACACAGTAAGATCTCTTCCCTGTATTATTTTAACTGCTTTACATACTAAGACTGCAACTGCCGCCACTACCCGTAAACAATGATGCCAACCCTTTGCCACTACATTAATTTTCTTACTTAGGTATGCCATGGTTTGCAAGCTGGTCCCTTGAACCTGTGTAAGGACTCCTGGAGCTATTTCTGTTTTTTGTGACATATGAAGAAAAGTCTTGCCCCGTTGGTAAGCTTAACACTGAGTCTTGGGTTAAGGCCTTTTTTTAGGGCCTGGAAAGCTGCTTTTGCTTTAGGAGTCCATTTTACTAAATGGGTATTGGCTTTCTGAGCTTCCTTAATTAGTGTATATAATGGCCTGGCTATTTTGCCGTACCTGGGAATCCATATTTGGCAGAAGCCTGTTATGCCAAGGAACCTTTTATTTGCTTTAGGGTTTTGGGATGAGGATAAGCCAGTATAGGCTGGATACATTTCTTACTGAGGGCCCTGGTGCCTTTGGATAATTTTAGCCCTAAGTATTTAACCTGCTGTAAGCAGAGCTGAGCCTTTGGTTTGGAAACCTTGTAGCCACAAGTGGTGAGGAAGTTTAAAAGCGCTTGGGTGGCTTGATGGCACAAGGTTTTTTCAACAGGCAGCTAGAAGTAGATTATCCATGTACCAAAGGACAAGACTGTTCAGGTATGAGAACTGTCTCAAGTCTTGAGCTAATGCCTGGCCAAATAGATGTGGGCTATCTCTTAACCCTTGGGGTAAAACAGTCCAGGTGAGTTGAGACATTGGGTTTGAAGCATCTTTAAAGGCAAATAAGAATTGAGAATCAGAATGTACAGGGATGCAGAAAAAGGCATCCTTAAGGTCCAGGACTGTAAACCACTCTGCTTCCTCTGGTATTTGGGAAAGCAGAGTAGAAGGGTAAGGTACAGCTGGGTATAGAGGAACAGCAGCCTCACTGATAATCCTGACATCTTGTACTAACCTCCACTGTCTATTGGGCTTCTTTACTCCTAAAATTGGAGGATTGCAGGGGCTATTGCATGGTTTTACTAGGAGTAGGGCTTTTAGGTCCTTAACAATTTTTTGGAGTCCTTGTTGGGCCTCGGGTCTAAGGGGGTACTGCCTTTGGTAGGGAAAGGAGGTGGAATCCTTTAGTTTAACTAGAACACGACGGGCATTATTTGCTCGTCCATATTGTCCTTCTGTTGCCCAGACTTTAGGATTAATTCCTTTTTCAAGCAGGGGACAACAAACGGGTGTTCCTTTTCCTATGTTCAGGTGTATAATGGTCCCTGCTTTTGTTAGAATGTCTTTCCCTAACAAGGGAGTGGGGTTTTTAGGCATAATTAGAAAAGCATGTGAAAAGAGTAAAGTTCCCCAGTCACAGCTTAGTGGCTGGGAGAAGTATCTAGTGGCTGTCCCAGGACCCCTTGGATAGTGACAGATCTGGAGACAGTTGTCCAGGACAGGAGAGTAAGACTGAGAAGGCCACGCCAGTGTCCAGGAGACAGTTAACCTCCTGGCCCTCAATGGTTAAGCATACCCGGGGCTCTGTGAGGGTGATGGCATGGGCTGGCGCTTGCCCCAGGCACCCTCAGTCCTGCTGCTGGATCATCTGGTTAGTGGCTTCTGACTCAGAGGACCTTCGTCCCCTGGGGCAGTGGGCCTTCCAGTGATTCCCTTGACATAAGGGGCATGGACGAGGGGGGTGGCTTATTTCTATTAGAACAATCTTTTTTAAAGTGTCCTTGTAGATCGCACTGGAAGCAAGCCCTATTAGGCATTCAATTTGTCCAGACTTTCCCTGTTCCAGAGCCTCCGAAGTCGTGCTTGCCTGAGGGCCATGACTAAAGTGGTGGCCTTTTCTTTATCCCGTTTATCCTGTTCTGCCTGCTCCTCCTGATCTCTATTATAAAAAACCGAGGTTGCCAAGTTCAATAGGGTTTCTAAGTTTTGCTCTGGGCCTAAGGTGGACTTTTAAAGTTTTTTTCTAATGTCTGCAGCTGACTGAGTGATAAACTTAACCTTTAAGATTAGTTGGCCTTCAACAGAGTCAGGTGACAGAGAGTTTGCTTCCTCAATGCCTCCCTTAGTCTCTACAGAAAGGCAGTAGGATTTTCTTCCTTTCCTTGTGTTATAGTGAACATCACTGAATAATCTATAGGCTTCTTCCTAGTTTTCCTTAGTCCTTTAGCAAGCAAGTTAGCAAATGTCTGTGGCACCAATTCCATGTTCTGATTCTGTGTCCCAATGAGGGTCTACACTGGGAACTGCCTGCTGGCCTGTGGGGAATTGTTCTTTTTCCTCTGTTGTCATCCTATCATTGACCTGACTGAGATACCAGAGATCACCAAACTCTCAGGCTGCAGTTATGGCAGCACTTCTCTCATTTGGGATTAGTGTCTGATCTAGCAGTAACATTATATCTCTCCATGTCAGATCAAAGGATTGTCCTAACCCTTGTAAAGCATCAATATAGCCAACAGGGTTATCTGAGAATTTACCTAGGTCTATTTTAATTTGCTTCAAGTCTGACAGGGAAAAAGGTACATACACTCTGACAAGGCCGAATTCTCCAGAATACATTTTAGGGGTGTTTTTGCCTTGGGGGGAATGTTTTGCCAGCACCCCTAGTCATTTTCTGATGAGCTTAGTTCTACAGTGTTCTCTATGGTCCTTTCCACGGTGTGTAACCACCCATGGACCTCTGCTTATCGGATTAGTTGTGCTCACCAATGTAGCAGTCCTGCACCCCTTTTCCCGCCTTTCTTGACCACAAAGAAAGGGATCCGGGCTGCTGGATTCTAGTGGTCCTTTACCAGCGTGCCCAACATTGCCTTTGTGCTCAGGGGTGAGTCCTAGAGCTGGGCTGAGTTCCTGAGTCTTTCATAACAACCTGGCTGCCCATCAAGATGCATTCCCATAAACAACAGTTCTTATGCAAATTCGTTTCAGAGAGGGTGAAGGTAACCTTTTGAGTCAGGAGTGAGATGGAGTTCTTTGCCCACTAGGGTCTTTGTCCTTCTTTACTTTTGTAGGAATATGCCCTAAATATTGATATTAAGCTTTTTGTTGCCCCAGATTAAGTCCTTTTGGGTACGAAATATGAGAGAGGGATCCTGTTTATCTTATGTGCCTTTTTCCTACGAGGAGAGCAAGGAGAAAAAGATGGGCTTGCTGGTTTTGTAGGTACTTTAAGGCTTGGCTGAGTGCAAACAGCTCACACGTTTGACAGACCAACGATTAGGGAATTCTCCTAACTCTTCTTCCACAAGAGTCTCACTATCAATTAATGAATACCCATTGTGGTTTTTTTCTCAATCACCCGAGAGGAAGCATCTATCCTTGTGTCCCGAAGGGAGTTCCTCCTAGGTCTGGTAGGACCTTTGTATGGTAATTAAGATTTAAATCCCCTGTTAGGAAAGCTGCTAGGTTAAGGGAATTTTCAGTGGTTAGTGTTAAATCACCGTTTTCTAATAGAATAGCCCGATACTTTAAGATTTTTGAGTTAGTAAGCTACCTTTTTGCTTTTTTGACTTAGGATAGCTCTGAACTGGTTATGTGTGCTCACAATAAGGTTTCCTCTAAAGGTTATTTTTCTACTTTCTTCTGTTAGCAAAGCAGTTACCGCTACTGATTGAATGCATTTGGGCCATTTGTGGGTTACTGGGTTAAGAATTTTTGATAGGAAGGCTACAGGTTGTCAGTGGTCTCAGTGTTTCTGGCTATGCCCTTGTTTACACTGACAACAAGGTAGTATTGGAGTATTATAGGGTCACAGAGAAGACCTTCGATTATCAATTATAGGTTTTAAATTTACCCTGGCTTTTAAAGGAATAGGGCACACTGTTTTTCTTTACTACTTCTATCTTTCTATTTCTTTCTCTCTCTCTCATCTCTGTCTCTCTCTCTCTCCTCTCTGTCTCTTTCTCTCCCTTTTCTCTCTCTCTGCCTCTTTCTCTTTCTCTCCTCTCTGTCTCTCTCTCTCTCTCATCTCTGTCTCTCTCTCTGTCTCCTCTCTGTCTCTGTAGATGGATTTTGGAAAACAGCAGAAGGAAGTTCGCTTGTTGACCCCATTTGCCACTATAGGAATATGTGCCTCCCTTTAGTTTACTCAATTTGCTTTCATCCTGATCTATTATGTTGTTGTAGACCCAGTTCCAGAAGTTAAAGTACTAGGTCATCAGTTCTAAGGCCCTGGCCAAGGAGCCAAGGCTTGAAGATTGTATTGAAGATTGCATTGTGGGGTGGTGGGTCGGGGGATGCTGGGTAGAAATTAGGGGAGGAGAGCATCTTAAACAATGAGAGAGGAATCCTAGCCATTTACAAACTCAGGGCCTGGCAAGAGTGGTGGAGAACGGGTCCCACATAACTGCCCATGTCAAAAGTTATATACCTAAATTGGGAGGGGCACCAGGGACAAGATTCCCTGGTTTCATAGCCTAGATGCCTAAGGATGCAGCATAGCGCTTCCTTAGATCCCTTTGGAGATACAACCTACTCTAATACTTGGGAGAGAAAGTGAAAGTCTGAAGCATTAGTATCTAGGAGGCAGGGATTGGAGGAAGTAGATTCAGAGGTAAGGAGAATTTTGGGGCTACACTTTCAAGAAAGTCATGGTTAGGACCCAAGAGGTATGGGTCAGAAGGACAGGTAGGGGCGCACACATGGGCGACTGTTGAGTAGAGACTTCTAGCCTGCACCATGATCTCGACCGGCCAATGCCAGGGGTTCAGGACGACAGCTTTCTGCCTCTAGTTGACCCTTGGCATCCCTAGGAAAATTGTGAAAGTGGAAGCTGGTTCCAGGCAGACCAACTCTCCCAACCCAGAAGTTGTTAGAAAGCCTTTTCCCAGGAAGCCTCACACCTGAGTCTTTAGTCCGGTGGCCATGCTAATCGTTTTTAACCAGCCGACAGGTGCCCGGTATTTTCCTCCAATTCTAAGGTAGAGGACAGAATAGCAAGCAAAAGTGGTCTGATATTACTCACTGCTTTGGAGAATCCCCATACGAGGCCACCAAATGTTACCAGCGGATCTTTGTTCTTAGAGCTCCCAAGATGATGGTGGGCTGCTCCCAAGATGGGGCAGGCCACTCCCAAGATGGCAGCAAGCCTTTTGTTCTCTGACCTGGGCTTCTTGGCCTCACAGATTCCAAGGAATGGAAACTTGGGCCATGTGGTGAGTGTTATAGCTCTATCAGAAGCCGTGGGACATGGAAGAGAACCATGGAAACCACTGACTAGTGTTCAGCTTGATTAGGATGAACCTCGGCACTTGGTTGTGCAGGAACAAAGGTGAGACTTTAGCCCGATCAGGAGTGGAAATGGGTGCCTTGCTGGATCAGGAGCACAACCTGCCAGATCCAGAGGGGTGGGAGTCAATGGCGGGTCTGCAATGGTGGCAAATAGCAGTTGTGGATGGTGAGCGAAAGCTCAGCTCAAGCCGTAACAAATACGGACAAGAAGAGTGTGCAGTTGCAAGATTTAATAGACTGAAAACAGAGCTCCCATACAATGGGAGGGGACCCAAAGGGGGTTGCCACTCCCTGCTCAAATGCCTGGGTTTATATCCTGATCATTGTCCCCCCGTTGTGCTCTCAGGTGATATATGATTTGACTATTTCTTTACCTCCTTCTTTTAGCCTAATTTGTATTTTAGTGAGCCTTCTTTACTACCTGATTGGTCAGGTGTGAGCTGAGTTACCAGCGTTGTGTTTAAAGGTGGGTGTGGTCACCTTCCCCAGCTAGGCTTAGGAATTCTTAGTCAACCTAGGAAATCCAGCTAGTCCTGTCTCTCAATACTTCAAATATTCTTTACACAGACAAGCCATTTAAAAAAAATTAGAGCTTACCTTTGCTTTTCCATCAAAACATATTGTTACTTCTAGGTTTCCTCTTCAATTTGCAAAAGGAAAAGGAAAATATAGGTAATTTCTCAATTAAACTTACACCTGATTTTCAATATGAGTTTGTTTATTGAGTGTTTGTATATGTGTGTGTTTGGCAGTTAGAAGTATGCTGAGATTTTTATTCTTTTAGCCTTTGGGGGAACTGGACTGGCCCTTCACCTCTGTCCTAATGTAGCTTTTTAATTTTATTACAAATGGGAAACAATGTAATTTTCTGTATGTTTCATCTGTGAAAAGTATTGGAAAGTTTTGAGTTCATATGTATTTTATTATTGAATTTTAAAATATTTAAAATGAACTTAATTAAATCTTAAATTACAGTAACCTTATGCTGTAGTAAGTTGAAGGTAAGCTACCTTCTGTGACCTTGAATAATTTAATTAAATTGAGAAGTCTGTTTTTTTTTTATTATTTGTTTTGTTTTTAATGGGTAAATTAAATGCCAGGCCTCTGAAGTGAGTTCATATAAGGAACTGGTTGTGGGATTTTTTTTAAAAAAAATATGCCTATATTAGAGTCCTACACCAAAAAAATTTAGAGTTTTTGACTCAAACCCAGGCACTGGTATTTGTTCAAGCTCCTGATGTGATAGACCAGTATCTAAGTCCTAATAAAATATGAAATGATCAATTTTTTTTTTTTGAGATGGAGTCTTGCTCTGTTGCCCAGGCTTGAGTGCAGTGGCACGATCTTGGCTCACTGCAAGCTCTGCCTCCTAGGTTCACACCATTCTCCTGCCTCAGTCTCCTGAGTAGCTGGGAACACATGCGCCCACCACCACGCCTGGCTAATTTTTTGTATTTTTAGTAGAGACAGGGTTTCACTGTGTTAGCCAGGATGGTCTTGATCTCCTGACCTCGTGATCCACCCACCTCAGCCTCCCAAAGTGCTGGGATTACAGGTGTGAGACACCGTGCCCAGCCAAAATGATCTATTTTCTAATTATATAATTCAAAAAATTGTTTCAGGAATATTATTCTAACCAGTTTTAAAAGTAACATATCAATATATGTATGACATTAACATTAATGGCAGTTTGTCTCTTTCAAACACAGACTATCTGGTACTTGTATCTAACAATGTATTTACAATTGTGATCATATATGGCTAGTGTTGATGCTATTAATAGGATGTTCCAAACATATATCAAGTTTTTTTTTTTGTGGAAGTCATTATGATAGGTAATCCATATTTGTAGAAGATATAAGCCTTTACACAAAGACTTTAACATAATTACAATTCAGATTAAAATTAGCTTTATTGGGATGCCAACAATGAATATATTAAAGGGACATACAGGCATAACTCATTTTACTGCACTTTGCTGTTTGTATTTTTTTTTTAATTTCAACTTATATTTTAGGTTCATGGGATATATGTGCAAGTTTGTTATATGGGTAAACTGTGTGATGCCAAGGTTTTGAGTACAAATGACCCTGTTACCCAAGTAGTGAACATTGTACCCAATAGGTAGTATAGTTCCTCCCTTTATAGCTATATGTACCAAATGTTAGCTCCCACTTAAAAATGAGAACATATAGTATGCAGTTCTCTGATCATGCATTAATTCATTTAAGATAATGGCCTCTGGCTGCATCCATGTTGTTGAAAATGACATGATTGCATTCTTTCTATGGCTATGTAGTATTTCTTGGTGTATTTGTACCACATGTTCTTTATCCAATCCACCATTGAAAGGCATCTAGAATAATTTCATACCTTTGCTTTTATGAATAGTTCTGCAATGAATCTACAAATGCTTGTGTTTTCCTAGTAGAACAATGTATTTTTCTTTAGGTATATACTTGGTAATGGGGTTGCTGGGTCAAATAGTAGTTCTATTTTAAATTCTTTGAGAAATCTCCACACTGCTTTCCACAGTGGCTGAACTAATTTACATTCCCACCAATGATGTATAAGTGTTTTATTTCTTTGCAACCTTGTCACCATCTGTTATTTTTTGATGTTTTAGTAATAGCCATTCTGACTGGTGTGAGATGGTATCTCATTGCAGTTTTGATTTGCATTTCACTAACAATTATTGATGTTGAGCATTTTTTCATATATTTGTTGGCTGTATGTATGTCTTCTTTCAAGAAGTGTCTATTCATGTTCTTTGCCTTTTTTTTTTTTTTTTTTTCTTTGAGACAGAGTCTTGCTCTGTCCCCCAGGCTGGAGTGCAGTGGTGTGATCTCGGCTCATTGCAATCTCCACCTCCCAGGTTCAAGCGATTCTCTTGCCTCAGCCTCCCAAGTATCTGGGACTACAGGCCTCTGCCACCAAACCTGGCTAATTTTTTGTATTTTTAGTAGAGACGGGGTTTCACTGTGTTTGCCAGGATGGTCTCAATCTCCTGACCTCGTGATCTGCCCGCCTCTGCCTCTATTCTTTGCCCATTTTTTAATGGGGTTATTTGTTTCTCGCTTGTCGAATTGCTTAAATTCCTTATAGAGTCTGGATATTAAATATTTGCAAGGAATAGTTTGTGAATATCTTCTCCCATTCTGTAGGTTGTCTATTTACTCTGCTGATAGTTTCTTTTGCTGTGCAGAAGCTCTTTAGTTTAATTAGGTCCCACTTGTCAGTTTGGGGGGTTTTTGCAATTGTTATTGAGGACTCAGTCACAAATCCTTTGTCAAAGCCACTGTCCAGGATGATATTTCCTAGGTTTTCTTCTAGGAATTTTATAATTTTAGGTCTTACATTTTAGTCTTATCCATCTTGAGTCAATAATTGTATTTGGTGAAAGGTAGGGGTCCAGTTCCATTCTTCTGCATATTTCTGGCTGGTTATCCCAGCACCACCTATTGAATAAGAGTTCTTACCCCATTGCTTGTTTTTGTCAACTTTGTTAAAGATTAGACTGTTGTAGATATGTGGCTTTATTCTGGGTTCTCTAACCTGTTCTATTGGTCTATGTATATGTTTTGGTCCCAGTACCATGGTGTTTTGGTTATTGTAGCCTTGTAGTTTGAAGTCAGGTAATGATGCCATCAGCCTTGTTCTTTTTGCTTGGGATTGCTTTGGCTATTCAGGCTCTTTATTGGTCACATACGAATTTTAGAATAGATTTTTCTATTTCTGTGAGAAATGACATAGGTAGTTTGATAGGAATAGCTTTGAATCTATAAATTGCTTTGAGCAATATGGTGGTTTTCATGATATTGATTCTTCCAATCCATGAGTATGGAATGTTTTTCTATTTGTGTCATCTATAATTTTTCTTTGAGCAGTACTTTGGAGTTCTCCTTGTAGAGAGCTTTCACCTCCTTGGTTAGATGTATTTCTTAGTGTTTTACTGTTTTTTCGCTGTTGCAAATGGGATTGTATTATTGATTTGGCTCTCAGCTTAAACATTCTTGGCATATAGAAATGCTCCTGATTTTTTAATGTTGATTTTATATTCTGAAACTTTACTGAAATTGTGTAGCAGTTCTAGGAGAATTTTGGTGGAGTCTTTAGGGTTTTCTAGGTATAGAATCTTATCATTAGTAAAGATAGATAATTTTTTTTCTATTTAGATTCCTTTTCTTTCTTTCTCTTGACTGACTGCCCTGGCTAAGATTTCCGGTACTATATTGAGTAGGAGTGGGAGATATCTTTGATTTGTTCCAGTTCTTAAGGAGAATACCTCCAGCTTTTATTCATTCAGTATGATGTTCGCTGTGAGTTTGCCATAGATCGCTCTTATTGTTTTGCGGTATGTTCCTTTGATGCCTAGTTTGTTGAGGGTTTTTATCATGAAGGGATATTGGATTTTACTGAAAGCTTTTTCTACATCTATTGACATGATCATATGGTTTTTGTTCTCAATTATCTTTACATCCTGAATCACATTTATGGATTTACATGTGTTGAATCAATTCTGCATCCCAGGAATAAAACCTACTTGAATGTGGTGAAATAACTTTTTCATGTGCTTCTGGATTTGGTTTGCTAGTATTTTGTTGATGATTTTTGCTTCAATGGGGATATTGACCCGTAATTTTGTTGTTGTTGTTGTTGTTGTTATTTCTTTGGCAGATTTTGGTATCGAGTGATACTGGCTTCCTAGAATGAGTCGGGGAGGAGTCACCCCCTCCTTAATTTTTTGGGATAGTTTCAGCAGTGTTGGTACCAGCTCTTCTTTGTAAGTCTGATAGAATTTGGCTATGAATTCATCTGGCACAGGACTTTTTTTGGTTGGTAAGATTTTATGACTGATTCAAGTTGAAACTCTATTGGAATGTTCAGGGTCTTAGTTTCTACCTGGTTTAGTCTTGGGAGGTTGTATCTTTCCAGGAATTTATCTATTTCCTTCAGATTGTCTAGTTTTCATGGATAAAGTGTTCATAAGAGTCTCTAAGGATCTTTTGTATTTCTTTTTTTTTTTTTTTTTTTTTTTTTGAGATGGAGTTTCACTCGTGTTGCCCAGGCTGGAGTGCAATGGTGCGATCTCGGCTCACCACAACCTCTGCATCCCAGGTTCAAGCGATTCTCTTGCCTCAGCCTCCCAAGTAGCTGGGATTACAGGCATGTGCCACCGCACCCAGCTAATTTTGTATTTTTAGTAGAGATGGAGTTTCTCCATGTTGGTCAGGCTGGTCTCGAACTCCCAACCTCAGGTGATCCGCCCACCTCGGCCTCCCAAAGTGCTGGGATTACAGGCATGAGCCACAGCACCCAGCTGGGATCTTTTGTATTTCTTTCTTCCTTTTTTTTTTTTTTTTTTTTTTTTGAGATGGAGTCTTGCTCTGTCACCCAGGCTGGAGTGCAGTGGCACGATCTCGGCTCATTGCAAGCTCTGCCTCCCGGGTTCACGCCATTCACCTACTTCAGCCTCCAAATTAGCTGGGACTACAGGTGCCCGCCACTGCACCTGGCTAATTTTTTTTTGTATTTTTAGTAGAGACAGGGTTTCACCATGTTAGCCAGGATCATCTCCATCTCCTGACCTCGTGATCCATCCACCTCAGCTCCCAAAGTGCTGGGATTACAGGCTGGAGCCACCGCTCCCGGCTGGATCTTTTGTATTTCTGCAGGATTAGTTGTAATGTCATCTTTGTTGTTTCTGACTGTGCATATTTGAATCCTCTGTTTTTTTCTTTTTAATCTAGATAGTAGTCTGCTGATTTTGTTTATCCTTTTAAAGAAACAGCTTTTGGTTTCATTGATCCTTTTTATGAATATTTAGGAGTTGATTTCGTTTTCTCCTTTGATTTCAGTTATTTATTCTACTAGCATTGGGGTTAGTTTGTTCTTGCTTTTCTAGTTCCTCTTGGTGTGTTACTAAATTGGGAATTGCAGATCATTCTAACTTACTGATGTAGGTGCTTAGCACTATAAGTTTTCCTCATAATACTGTGTTTGCTGCATCTCAGAGATTTTGGCATGTTGGTTGTGTCTCTGTTTTCATTTATTTCAAATTTTTTTTTGATATCTGCCTTAATTTTATTGTTTACCCCAAAGTCATTCAGGAGTAAGTTGCTTAATTTCTATGTAATAGTGTACTTCTGAGAGATCTTCTTGGTATTGATTTCTACTTTTATTCCACTGTGGTCTGAAAGTATGGCTGGTATGATTTCAATTTTTTGAATTTATTGAGACTTGCTTTATCTCCAAGCATATGGTCAATCATAGAGTATGTTCTGTTCACAGACGAGAAGAATGTATAATCTGTGGTTGATGGGTGGAATGTTTTGTAGATGTCTATTAGGTCCCATTGGCTAAGTGTTGAATTGAAGTCTAAAATGTCTTTGTTAGTTTTCTGACTTGATGATCTGTCTAATGCTCTCTTTGGGGTGTTGAAATCCCTACTAGTATTGTTAACCATCTAAGTCTTTTCATAGGTCTAGAAGTACTTGTTTTATGAATCTGGGTGCTCCAGTGTTTGCTATGTATATATTTAGGATAGTTTAGTATTCTTGTTGCATTGAACATTTTATCATTATGTATTGCCCTTCTTTGACCTGTTTTATTGCTATTGGCTTAGGCAGTCTGGCCACTCCTTGGCACCATTACAGTAGCTTCTACTGGGGCTATGGCAGCTGATGCCTAGCTGCTCAGGGATCCAAGGCCTGTGCGGCTCCACTGGGCTTAAGTGGTACCCCTGCAAAGATTCCAGGCTGGTCTCTGTGTTGATTTGGAGTTCCACTGAGGTCAAGGGCTTCTCCCATGCCCAGGATTGCAAAGGTCCATGGCAGATGTTTGGATCCCCTGGGAACTCTCACTCATCAACCCTTTCCTGACTTAGGGAACTTTCCCCAGGTCTGTACTGGTCCCAGGTGGGCAAGTCCTTGGCTTTGCTCCTCTCTTCTCTGTGAGTCCTCTTGCTTTCTTGTTGAATCCCAACATGACATCTTAGATGATCTACTTGAAGTCGTAGCATTTACTCACCACTTTGTTTTCTCTCCATGAGAGCAGCATATACTAGCTACTTCTAGTCAGCCATCTTGAGCACCTCACCTGTTTTCCAGATTGGAAAACTGCCCATATCTGGGGAGCTCTGCATTTTTCTTTAGAGTGCTTCACAGATACTGCATTTTTTACAAATTAAAAGTTAGTGGCAACTCCAATTCCAGCAAGTCTATAGGCATCATTTTTCCAAGAACATGTGCTCACTTTGTGTTTCTGTGGCACATATTGGCAATTCTCACAATATTTCAAACTTTTTCATTATTATATCTGTAATAGTAATCTGTGATCAGTTCTCTTTGATGTTATTATTGTCATTATCTTGGGGCAACATGAGCTATGTCCGTATAAGATGGTGAACTTTATCAATAAATGTTGTGTGTGTTCTGACTGTGCTAGAGACCAGTTGTGGGGATATGTGAGGGCAGCCATGTTGCCAGGCACATGTGGGGACAAGAGGAAGACAAGGGAAATCACCATGTTTGGTGGACCCAGTTTCTAATGGCCTTTATTTGCATATTAAAGCTTGCCTGCAGGCTCTAAGAGCCGGGGCTTTCCTGTTAGACAAGAAACATTTCTGGAGCTGCTTTAAAAGAAACAAAAACTTCCCAAGGACGCCTTTTCATCTCTATCTGCCTAAAATAATTTCTTAATAACTCCTATAACAAAAATATACTGCAAAAGGGTCATACCTGAGAAGTCTGCTTGTTGAGTTGTGGTAATTTTTGCATAAATATTCTAGAAATATATTGTATGAGGTGGGAAGTGGTGGTAGTGAGCAGATCGTGAGACATCAGCTTAAGTATTCATTAACTACTTCAGGAAACTGGAGATTGGAGGTCTCCAGTGGGAAGGAGATTTTCATGAACTCAGAAAAAATACTTCATAAGGGAAAGAGCTAACCAAAAAGCACCAAAGCTGGACTAAGATTTTCTTGCCTTTCTTTTTCCACTCCATTGGAGGAATAAGAAGCAGCAGCAGTGAGGAACAAGAAAATAAATTGTTAATAGACACATTCCTTTGTTCCAAACTGCAGTTTCCTGAACTTAAGTCAAGCATGAGCTAGGGCTGGGGAGAAGATTTAAATCTGAAGTGATGTTGATATTTTGAAACTAGTTCCTAGGTTAAGCTTCATATAAACTAAAAGAGTAAGCTCATAAGGTCCACAGTGGTGGACATTTTTGATGCACTAAAATGCTCCTCAAGCAATAAAGTGAGTTTTCAGAACCATGAGCTTTATAGCAATCATACTGTAGCCTTTTCAAAGAAAGGAGCATTCCAGAAGAATGGCTCTAACACTGTTGACTTAAGGACTAACTGGAGCAAGCCCTGCTTGTTAAAAGCTGAAAATCTTGAGCTCGTAAACAAGTTTGAAGTCAAGTGAACTTTTAAGCAGAGTGCTATGGGTTGAATTATGTTCCCTAAAAATTCATGTGTTGACAGCCTAACCACCTGTTCCTAATACTGTCCTTACAGAAATAATCAAGTTAAAATGAGATATTAGAGTGGGCCCTAATTCAATATGTTGTGATGTTCTTATAAAAGGGGGAAATCGGGAAACACACAGGCATACTGGGAGAAGGCCAAACACACAAGAGATGGCCATCTGTAAGCCAAGCAGAGAGGCCTAGAACATATTCTTCCATCACAGTGCTTGAAAGTAATCAACCTTGTCAACACTTGATTTTGGACTCAGAGCCTGCAAAATTGTAAGACAATAAATTTATGTTTAAGCTACCCAGAAGCTTTAGTTCTAGAAGCCCTAGTAAACTAGGGGGGCTTGTTACATGAAGCAAGTATTCCCAGCTCAAGGAGGATTTACTGAATGTGGAGACTTGGCTGATAGGGGGAACTGATGAACTCTTTTAACATGCCCAATCTGTGCCAGAATTTGAAGTGTGACCCTAAGACAAGGCTCAAAAATCTCTGCCTTCTTTTTGGAATAAAGTTTTTAGGATCACTGCCACATTTATTTTTTAATTATCTATGGCTTTTTTAATCCTATCATAACAAAAAAGAGGAATTGCAGCAGAGACTGTATGGCTTGGAAAGCCTGAAATATTTACTTTCTGGCTTTTTACAGAAAAAGTTTGCCTTGCCTTGCTTAAAACAAGGGTACTGGTTACAGATCCTGCCTGCTGGGTATTAACAGAACAAATGCAGCAAATGATGCTGATCTGAACATGAACCCACAGGATCCCCAGATCATGACACCTCTCAGTGTTTACTCAGAGTAGATCTGGACAGTATGGATTAAGAGGAAGAAATTGAGACACCTTACCCCCCTTTTCCTCCCTCTAATAAGATCAGGCTAAATTCAATGCAGGAAGACTTTCCAGGGAATAAGAAGCAAAGGCACTAAAAGAAAGAGTTGGAAAACAATACCTACAAGAAGAGTGAACTGCGGTCTTGAAGCATTGTGACTTAACCAAAATTTTGGGATTTACTAACAGGACATGTGTTAATCAAGCAGTTCACTTTGAAAAGGAAAGTTCTAGTAAGCTCCACGGCCTTTGTGAAAAGGCCATTGAAGTGAGAGAGAAAACCAAGAGGACCATTGAGAAACTGCAAAAAATGTATGCCCTAATTGGCAATACCTACTTTAAAGAAAAATGTAATAATATCACAATCTCTACAATAAATGTTTTAGCATAGCACTAAACCCACAATATGCTAAAAAAGTTGTCAGTAGAGGAGACAGAAAATAATCCTAAAGAACAGGATTGACTGGTGTACATTAATCCTGACTTGCCTTTGGGAAAAAAAGGTAAATACAATAAATGCTTCAGAAAGGGGACCCTCTCCCACTTCATAAGCATTAAATACTAAACAAGATGTGCAACAGAATCCACACGACATTGAGTTGTGCAAGAGTCAGCAGTTGGCACTGAAGGACTGGGAACTATGGATGAACCCAGAGCTCCCATATTCTCAAGGGTTGTGTAGAGAAAGCACAGGAGCCATGAAAACTGTGGATATAATCCCAAAGGCACTAAACTTGGACTCAAGCTATAAGGAGATTATCAGTAATGTCCAAACCATTGATGTGATAACCTTTTATTAAAAAAAAAAAAATTAAATAGAGATGGAGTCTCACTATGTTGCCCATGCTTGTCTTGAACTCCTGGGCTCAAGTGATCCTCCCAATTTTGCCTCCAAAAGTGCCGGGATTACAGGCATGGGCCACTGTGCCTGGCTGACATGATAACCTTGAGGATGGGAAATGGGGAGGCATATCTAATCCTAGATCCAGGAAATAATGGATACCTTAACCAAGAGGAATCTTCTGGCACACATGTGTAAACAATATATACATATATTTTATTGGTCAGGCTTAAAAGATGCCAATGAAAAACAATATCTATAAAAGGGATCAGGTTGAAATAGATGGTATGTCTTTAAAAAGTCTTTAAAGGTTTAATTAAGTAGTCTGAAGTAAAGACCAACATAGTACTTAATGATTCCAGTGAAATATAAACAAGAAGCTTAGTCTTTTTTTCCCTAAGATATAAGAGAAAACTCAGTAGTTTACAAATGTGATTGTAAACTTGTGACTTTCTGGACTACGTCTTAAGCACATGGATTGGTTTGTTTGCAGTGGGTTAACTGTAGGATAAAAATCATCAAAGTTTGATTTATATGAATAAGAAGTAGATGTAGAAAACAATCTTTGCCTATACATGTGTTAGTACTATGTGTACGTGTGTATGGATATAGAATGAAAAAAACCGCATAAATCCAGTACATCTACTTAAGTTATGTAAATAATTATTTGCATTTTTTAAAAAAATTGCCATGTCTACAACACAAATTAGTACCGTGTTAGTACTTGACTAAATTCTGGTAATCTTCTTATACAATTAGATAGGCTGATGTATTTCCTAATTAAAAACATTTGTTTTTAACTCTTTTCTAATGCTTTGGCAATTCATGATTGGAAGTACTTGCTAATTTAGATTTCCTCATGGAGCACAGTAAATATGAGAGATCCTCATAATAGCCTCTATAGGTTTAAATTATATTTTAAATGTAAATGCAAAACTTAATTATTTTTTAGAGGACCTGATGTCATCCTTGGGAGTAATTTTTAATTACTTTTTATCCTTCTTAGAGTTGATTGTATTAATTATTTGTACTGGCTTAACAATACCATACTGAAAAAGCTTTTATTTTTTTTTTTTTTTTTGACATTTCTTCTGTTTCAGTTGATTTATCATTAGTGAATAAAGATGAAAATGCCATCTATTTCTTGGGAAATTCTCTTGGCCTTCAACCAAAAATGGTTAAAACATATCTTGAAGAAGAACTAGATAAGTGGGCCAAAATGTAAGTATTATTTTAAAAGCTACTACTCTACATCTCATACAAAAATTTACAAAATCACATTAGGTTGTCTAATATTTGGAAAGATGTGTAATAGAATCCTAGTACAGTCATCCCTTGGCATCTGTGGAGGATTAGTTCCAGGGCCTCCCTATCATTCCAAAATCCACAATGGTCAAGTCCCTTATATACAAATGGCATCATATTTCCAAAGAACCTAGGCCTATGCCATATACTTTAAATAATCTCTAGATTACTTATAATACCTAACACAGTATAAATGTCATGTAAATAGCTGTTATACTGTATTGTTTAGGGAATAGTGACGAGAAAAAAAGTCTGTACATGTTTAGTATATATGCAGCCATCCATTTTTTTCCCCAAATATTTTTGATCCGCAGTTGGTTGAATCCATAGAGAGGGAATCCATGGATACAGAGAAACTTTAGCTGCTCAGTAGTCTCATTTGATTGATGAAATAACTGAGGATCAGAATAAGGTGACATAGCAAGCTAGTGGCAGAATCAGGACTAAAAACTTTTACAATATTTAAACGTTTAAGTTCCTCTCATGTGTTGACATCTCTAAACCACATGTAATCATTTTATTTTATTTCTTTAGTAACTAACAGAGGAGTTAATATTCTGAAGCTTAATTTCTTCATGATTAGGCTAAATTATCAACACTTACTTTTATGATAACCAGAAATATTTTCTAATTATTTGAAACTGAAAAATCAATATGAAGATGAGCCAAACTTGACAGTTAGGAAAACGTTTCAGAAAGATGAAACCAAACCAAATAGAATTTCAGAGGAAAAACATTTGGCTGTCATAGAAACTCAGAATACATTCTTTACCTTTCTTCATTCTTCATGCTACTGGTTTTCAAATTGGGAACAATATCCATTCTTTAAAGTTTAGTAGGCCAGTCACAATGGCTCATGCCTGTAATTGCAGCACTTTGGGAGGCAGAGGTGGGCAGATCACTTGAGGCCAAGAGTTTGAGACCAGCCTGGCCAACGTGGCGAAACCTCACCTCTACTAAAAAAATACAAAAATTAGGCCGGGAATGGTGGCTCACGCCTGTAATCCCAGCACTTTGGGAAGCTGACATGGATGGATCTCCTAAGCTCAGGAGTTCGAGACCAGTCTGACCAACATGGTGAAACCTCGTCTCTACTAAAAATATAAAAATTAGCCTGGCATGGTGGCAAGTGCCTGTAATCTCAGCTATTCAGGAGGCTAAGGCAAGAGAATTGCTTGAACCCGGGAGGCAGAGGTTGCAGTGAGTGGAGATCACCACTGTACTCCATCCTGGGCGACTCTGCTTCAATAAAATAAATAAATAAATAATGTTTAGCTTACACTGTGCAAATGATTACAACTATGGCTATTAGATAACACTGTGAAGTTCTTAATTTTAGTGATTAAGAACGTAATTTCACAACTTGATGTAAGAATGATAGTTTATATAATTTATTAATCATGTTATAACTTTATCTGCATAACTTTTATGCATAATTTGCAAAATACATACCACCACATTTGCTCTAGCAAGTTTTAGTATTTAATGAATGGGGGTCATAGTTAATAAAAATGGTTAATATTCATTTTTGGCCTTAATGTAAGAGAGGGCAGATAATTAGATTGAATGAATTTGAACTTTATAGAGTGTCCTTGCCTCTTGGATATTCATTCAGCAAGGTTGTGAATTTTTATCCCCTAAGCATTTAAAATATATTCTGCCCTGCTATTCTATTCATATCCTTATGGTCATCCACTTAAGTAAGAAACCGGTTGATTATTTTCAAGACTTTAAAGTTGCATTTCAGGAAAGCACCTCATGCTCTTCTATTGTTTTGTCTTTTATATTTCACCTTGTGATGATGGAAAATTTCATCATTTTAATTAAACCTTCTTACTGAGTTTTCATTAGACAGATGATTCAGAAAGGCTGTATATTTTAATGCTTCAGGCAATGTACAGTGAATTAAAGAAGACTTCTAAGCAAATGGACATCTATTCCATCCTCGCTTTGTTTATTTTAGTCTTCTTGTTTTAAGCTGTAGTGACTCAGTCAACATCATGGACCCGCCCATAAATGTCTGTGGTGTTTGGGATGCCTGATCACCTGCCTCTTTTTCCTACCTCACCCATCGTTTTTGATCCCAAAAGTGTTTGCTCATTATTATTTTTTACCTCCCAAATATTTAGCTTAAAATCCCACTTCTGATGTTTTCCAGCTGAAGTTCTGTTGGGAGGAAACTTTTTCTCTACCAAATGAGTACTTAGGTCAAAGTGATTGAGGGCCTGCCAATTAATTGACAACAGACAGGTTAACAGGAGAAAAGTTTATTTCACACTCAGATACAAGAATTCTACAAGGGGTAGTTTGATGAACAGCCATGGGTAAGGGTTTATATACCAGCTTGACTAAAGGGAAGAGTTTTAGAGCTTCAGTGGGAAAATATGAAAGTTTCTATTGGGTTTTTTCATCATGATGCTAATGGGCAGTATCCTTCCTAGCTGGAAGCTCCCAAGAGGGAGATGAATGGCAGCTGAATTTGTACCTCCAGGTGCTAAGGTCCATCTACCTCTGAGGATGGGTCAGTAGCAGCTGTATTTTTAGGAGGCTTTGCTTAAGTTTAGATAAATTTCTTTCTGTGGCTGCTCTTTGTTCAGATGTGTTCAAAGTAGTCAGACCAGGCATAGTGGCTCATGGCTGTATTCCCAGCACTTTGGGAGGCCAATGTGGGTCACTTTAGCCCAGGAATTAAAACCAGCCTGAGCAACAAAGAGATGGATGCAGTGGCTACCATCTGTAATCCCAGCACTTTGGGAGGCTGAGGCAAGCGGACCACAAAAGCCCAGTAGTTCCAGACCAACCTGGGCAACATTGTGAGATCTCAACTCTACAAAAAAATACAAAAATTAGCTGGGCATGGTGGTGCATGCCTGTAGTCCAAGCCACTTGAGAGGCTGAGGTGAGAGGATCATTTGCACCCAGAAGGTCAAGGCTGCAGTAAGCTGTGATTGTGCCACTGTACTCCAGCCTGGGCTACAGCAAGACCATGTCTTTAAATACATACATACATACATACATACATACATACATACATACATACATACATGTAGTCTTCATGCCACTTCAGTGGTCTGTTGGTCTCTTCAGTTTTCATTCTCACTGTTGCCTTGTTTTTTTGTACTAAAATCAAACCCTGCATGTGTTCAGTTGCCTCTACATCCAGGGCCTCCCATTATTGTGGTAAATTTTATCTGATCACTTCTTCCTCTTTGCCTCCCTCTATGCCACTTCTGCTCTACTTCTTGGTTGATACTCAAGCCAGGTCAGTGACTCCCTTTCTTCTTGACCAATGGAAGATTATGGGAATCACTGAGTCAAAGAGGATTACACACTTATTAAATACTACAATGCACATTGAAAGTAGTTGCTTAGTTGAAAAAGATAATGTTAAAAATGTATAATCTTGACCAGGCGTGGTGGTTCAAGGCTGTAACCCCAGGACTTTGGGAGGCCAAGGCAGGCAGATCACTTGAGTTCAGGAGTTTGAGACCAGCTTGGGCAACATGGTAAAACCCTGTCTCTACAAAATATACAAAAGAAATTTAGCTGGATGTAGTGGCACATGCCTGTAGTCCCAGCTATTCGTGAGGTTGAGGTGGGAGGATCGCTTGAGCCTGGAATGTGGGGGTTTGCAGTGAGCTGAGATTGTGACACTGCACTCCAGCCTGGGCAGCAGAGTCAGACCCAGTCTCAAAAAAAATTATAATCTTAACAGTAACATAAAAATTAGAGTGCTTCAACAAAGCAAGATTTTACACAGGCATATAGATGTCAAATCTCTGTCTATCCAAGTATTGTAAAGTAGGAAATGCCATTTGGCTCACGGATTCCATCTTCTCCAGTTTTATGGCCTATTGCAGACATATTGCCTACCACACCTAAGTATTGAATAAATGATTTTTTGTCATAATGCAGCCTGATTTTGTAATTCATAAGGCTACCATCTTTGATTTCTTATACTAAGGAAAAGCCAAGAATAGAGGTACAACTAGAAATATTTTAGGATCTGTCTTGGTTTGTTCCCGCTGCTATACAAAATACCTGAGTCTGGATAATTTATAGAGAAGAGAAATGAATATTCTTACAATTCTGGAGGCTGGGAAGTCCAAGATCAAGGTGCTGGCTGACTTAGTGTCTGGTAAGGTCTGCTCTCTGCTTCCAAGATGGTGCTTCTTGCTGTAACCTCATGTGGCAGAAGAGGCAAACACCTGCCTCCCACCTGTTTTACAAGGGTACTAATCCCATTCATGAGGGCTCTGCCCTTATGACTGAATCACCTCCTAAAGACTCTACCTCTTAATACTGTCACATTGGCAGATCAAATTTTAACATAAGAATTTGAAGGGGACACATTCAGATGATAGTAGAACCAAATGATTTCTAAAACTTACACTTATTTAAGGAAAACTGTGAAAATAGTTTTCTTAGAATCTTTTACCTCTGTGTTAGTTTTAAAATTCTATTACCATTAATTTGCATTTTCATTTTCAACTCTATGGGATTTCTAAAGTAGATTAATAACACATTGAAGAATATATTTGTTTTGCAAAATGGCAATATTTAGGCAATTCCAGTATTCTGAAATATAAAACTTTTTGGGTGATTATATTTATTTGATACTTAATAATTATAAGTAAAAAGGTTTTGTAACAAGAAGAAGCAACAATATGCCTGAAGCCTATGGGTCTGTTGGAATGAGTAGGCAATAGGCATGAAGTATTTGGGAATAATAGTTTATATTAAATATTTACTAATGACCTGGATTATTTAATGAAGAATAACATTGGTTAATAATCATAATGCCACAATTCAGCTAGAACAGAAGGATATATCAGTCCTAAAGAGCATATTGTAAGCTGGGAGATGGGTATTATGTTCCTAAAATAGAATCACAATATTTTAGGTCATTTACATTGTCAAATCTGCTACATAAAGGGTGTTCTCTCTTTTTCATAAGAGCAAAAACCTACTACAGTTTTGTCTCTACAGGGATTCTTCTAAGAACTGTGACAGTTTAGGTAAGATTATTTAAAGACAAAAATGTCCCTTTGAATTAAATATCAGGAATAAACCACAGAGTTTACTTTACATGGCAGTGTGTGTGTGCTGACAGGACACTGATAAAACATGCCAGAGAGATGTAGATGCCTCCTTCAGACCCCTCTAGTCTCATTTAATTTAAGGATTTCTTCCATTAAAAGCAATAGTGTTTGAATAAGAGAGCACTAAGAAAATACATAGAATGGCATGTTACAAAGATTTTTCACAACATCTTTGTTTTTGTTTTTCTAATTAACATTCTTTTTTTGGAGTCAGGGTGTCACTCTGTTGCCCAGGCTGGAGTGCAGTGGCGTGATCATAGCTCACTGCAGCCTTAAACACTTGGGCCCAGGCTATCCTCCCACCTCAGTCTCCTGAGTAGCTACGACTATAGGTACATGCCACCAAGCCTGGTTAATTTTTTCTTTAATTTTGTAGAGACGACGTCTCCCTATGTTGCCCAGGCTGGTCTCAAACACCTGGTCTCAAGGGATCAACCCACCTTGGACTCCCAAAATGCTGGGATTACAGGCGTGAGCCACCGTCCCTGGCCTCTCAACATCTTTATTGGCTAATCATCAATTGGATCATGGAAAAAAAATTATAATGTAATGAAGGCAGCCCATGAAATTGTAATTATTTACTTATGGAAGGAAGCTTTCTAAAAACAGGGCCATTTTTCACTTTGTGGGATGGTTACAGCATGGTCCTACTTTAAAGAGGATCCAGGTTTCTATTAACTTCCTAATTTTACATCCTGCAATTCTAATTTTGTGAGTAAATACTCCTAGTAGATGTCTCAGAAAACACCCACTTATAGCAATGATTTATTCTGTGGCAGTGAGTTAACTCTCTCCCATGCTCTCTTTTCCTTTCCAGCATTTGTAAAAGAAGATTACATCTATGCTGCGACTATTTTAAGTAGCTTTGTTTGAACAATATATTTTTTCTTAACTTTAATACTGATGTTTATAACGGCACTTTAATCTACATCAACTCTTTCTAATGACAGGCCACTTTACTTTGGGTTTATTTGGGTAACACTTTCTAAATACATTTCACTACCCCAGGCTAGTGGGCTAACAAAATGAAGAAGCAGACTCTGTGTGGTATTTTAAAGGGAGGGAGATGCCAAAAGCATTGCAGGAAGAAACACATCCTTAAAGATTATTACCACGGTGTCTACCAGAGTAAGGAGTAGGTGGCATAACATTCTGAGATATAAATTCTCTGAGGCAGAACATAGAATTTTACTACCTAAATGTAATAAGATGTATTGTGCTATCAGCAAAGGCCATGGAGCTCTATGTGATGAAAATAAAAAAGGATCCAAGTATCTTCCTTTAACTACCATTTAATGATAATGATTTTTGTCTTTAGCATTTATATTAGAAATCAAGAAAGAGGCAAGCTGCAGGCTATCTAATAATAATACAAATAATAATAACTAACAATTGCCCCTCTCTTCCATCCTTAGTTCTTAGCAGCCTATGTTTATTCTCAAAGAAAGTCCTCTTCCTTCATCTTAGTTTATATGGTAATAGAAATGTTAGTTTAAAAATTGTGTTCTACACCACATGCTGATGAAGGTAGTTTTAGCATTAGATTTACATTAGGAAAGAAGACTCAGAAACAGGGTACTATGTAACCGTCTCTTTCACATGTTATCTCATTTATTTCTCATGGGAATCCTTTAAGGTCCATATTGTTACCCATTTACTTGTACAAATGTGGAAAATGAAGCCCTATAGCTTCCAATAAATGTGGTCTCATGACCAGTACTGACCTGGAGCTGGCTTATACCAGATGTCAAAAGCCAATTATTAAATACTCAGAATTTCTGTTGGTAGTATGAAATCACCCATGATGGGAGTATTTATACCTTGGAAATCTGCAAAGGAGGAAAAACAGTGCTCTAGTCCTCTGGTCTTACCACCCCTTTTAGGGAGTACCAGCCCACCAGCACCAGTTTACTGACACAGATTCAACCCAGGTTGGTACTATACAAAAAGCACATTTTCATTCCTTTCTTTCAAGATGACAAACTTTTGGATTCCTAAAGAATTAAGAACTGTTACCCAGAAAAAATGGGTTTTATTCTTTTGGTGAGTAACAAAGGTCTTTCTGGAGACATGGATGATGCTGGAAACATCATTCTCAGCTAACTAACACAGGAACAGAAAACCAAGCACCGCATGTTCTCACCCATAAGTGGGAGTTGAACAATGAGAACACATGGAATCAGGGAGGGGAACATCACACACTGGGGCCTGTGGGGGGTGAGGGGCTAAGGGAGGGAGAGCATTAGGAGAAATACCTAATGTAGGTGACGGGTTGATGGGTGCAGCAAACCACCATGGCACATGTATACTTATGCAACAAACCTGCACGTTCTGCACATGTATCCCAGAACTTAAAGTATAATAAAAAAAAAAGTCAGAGGAATATATAGCAGGCTCAAATATTTATCTTTTTAATTGTGAAATCATCTTTGCAATATTTATTATGAAATAAGTTTTAAAATATTGCATAATTCTAAAATATGATTTAAAATAAATTATTTCTCTGTAGTAAAAAAAAATAGAGCAGGTTTTGATCAATAGAAGTTTGATTACTTGGCATAAGTAAGGAGGACACTGGGAGTTTTCACAAAAGCAGTGTCTCCCAGAGGAAAAGTGACAGGGAAGTTTTATGGGGTGATAGGGAAGAAGGTGCATCATCTCATGTAGAGGAAGAGTTCCAGTTGCGGAGATGCAGTGAGTAATCACACCAGTGCGTAGATCGCATCTTATGGTAATGAAGCTATAGCTCCTCCCCAGGGTGGAGACTTTAGCATGGTAATGAGGAAATTTCACACAGACTCGTCTATGAGTTGCTGGGGTCTGTCAGAAGCTTGCCCTAACCAACAAGGTGACAGCATTACACACCAGGCTTGGGAAAAAAACAAGTGATAGGGCAGGAGGCTGTAAAACAGGCTGATGGTTCAACTTTATTAAATGTTATAATCCCTGGAGACCCCCCTGCCTGCTTACAGAACTATCACATTCAGGGCATCATAAGATACAACAATGTAACAGCACTCAGAGGCGCTTCATCTTAATCCTCTGTTTTAATTTCTTCTATGTTTTTCAAGTGTATTTGCCTTCTTCATTTCATGGAAATTTCTTGAAAGTTGAAGTACTCTATGTATTTTGCATTTTTCTACTATGCCTCCTGGGATACTTACTAGAATAATAAAATTGAGCTGGAATGTGACAGATGAAATTGCTAGCAAATATGTCAAACCAAGTAGTATTGGCTTTGATTATTCATAAATTTTGTTATTTACCTATAAAATGGTATCATGAGTATAATCACATTTTATACACTTCTATTAAATTTACAGATTATAGCTATATTTCAATTTATAATCATTTTAGTCTCTAGCCTTACAAAATAGTATGGAAGTTTTAGTATAGATACTACATTCTACAGGTATAAAAGTAGTGTTCAAATAATCTTAAAAATTGCAAAATAACTGAGACCAAAAAAATTAGACTCTAGAATATAGCAAAATATTAAAATAACATATGAACAATCTCCCCCATTCCTCACAAAAAGAAAATAAAAGAAATTTAAAAAGAGAAGTTAAAAGACATTAATCCCAAGTATTATATATTTTGTTTTAAAAAGGCCTGATTTTATATAATTACTAACACATAGAAAGGTCCACATAGAAATGTTTATTTGCTAAAGCTGATATTTGAAATAATCACACACATGCACATAAAAGCTAAGATATGTTTATGTCCGTTTTCAATTTCAGAGCAGCCTATGGTCATGAAGTGGGGAAGCGTCCTTGGATTACAGGAGATGAGAGTATTGTAGGCCTTATGAAGGACATTGTAGGTAAGTACAAAACACTGAAGTTTTTCCAAATGAATTGTAAAGATGTTATCATTTAGTTATAAACACAGGCTCATAAAGTCAAAATCTTATTGAAGAACATAGTGATTTTCTATTTTAATCTATAATAGTAAAAAGGAAGTACACTTTCAACTTAAATTTGTTAACTCAAAGATTGCTATGGTGAGCATAACAAGGTTATTTATATAAAAATAAAATATATGTTATTTTTTTCTGTCATACTTTAAATGTAATATTTATCACACATGAAAAACACATACATTGTATTAATTTATAATTGAATACATTTCATAAAAATCAACTGAAATGAATTTTCTATAATTTAACTATTTGATATAATGAACATTTTCACATGCTAAAGGTGTAAAACACCAATCATGTTTTTGCTCATTTCAATTTAATCTTTGGTGATCTATTTAAATTTTAGCTTCATGTTACTGAAAATGACATAGCTGATGCTGTTTTTAGTCTAAAATGTGCTATCCTAAAGAGAGTTATATATACTATCGGTGGTATTTAAGATAGTTTTAGATGGTAAATGTGTTAACATTTTGAAAAAATTTATTTAATTGGCTTAAATATTCAGCATTGTTTAAAATTTAAGGTACTGAACAAAAAAATTAATGATATTTTGGTAATTGGAGTGGTGCTATTTGGAACTATTTTAAGGACTTAGGGAAAACTCAAGTTTTCAAATCCTTTTTGAAAGCTTATTCTCTTATAAGCAAACATAAAAATATCTTTATTGCTTCATTCCATTTGAATCTTGACCAGTAATTAGAGAGAAAATCAACGTGGCTGGAAGGGAAATGGAGTGGGGAAAGCTGGACTTATGCATAGAAAAAACTATGGCAACTGGCAAATCATTAAAATCTGGAGACTATCTTGTTTATTTAAAAAGTAATTATTGATTTTTTGCTATATGTCATGACTTGTGGGAGCTCTGAGGACATAAAAGTGAATAAGGGCTGGGCATAGTGACACACACCTATAATCCCAGCACTTTGACAGTCTGAGGTGGGTGGATTGCTTGAGCTCAGGAGTTCGAGACCAGCCTGGCCAACATGGTGAGATCCCATCTCTACAAAAAAATTTTAAAAATTAGCCAAGCATGCTGGCACACCCGTAGTCCCAGATACTTGAGAGGCTGAGGTGGGAGGTTAGCTTGAGCCTGGGAGGTTGAGGCTGCAGTGAGCCCAAATCGTGCCACTGTTGTTCAGCCTGGACGACAGGGTGACACCCTGTCTCAAAAAAAAAAAAAAAAAACAAAAAACGAACAACACTCACCTTCCTTATCCTCATAGACTGCCAGTAAAGGAAGATGCAAATAAATCCAAAATTAATGTACATACATAAGTAAAATACAAAGAAATATAAAATTAATCACACTACCAAAGAGGCATAATTTTCCAGTTGATTTAGGACTGAACACATGCATGTAACTACTCTTTTTTCTAAAACCTCACCAAAGAATTCTGAATGGAATAGAAAAAAAAATTACAAAGTCTAAACTGCAGAGGACAAAATAGAATGCCAAAGGAGATGATAATAATATCTGGGGAGTTGGCTCGCTGATAGACAAGTGGTAATTGCCTTTCTCAAAAAAAAAAAAAAAAAAAAAAAAGTAAACCAAATCCTAATCTCCCAATGGCAAAAAAATAAAAAGCCAGCTGCTTTACCCTGCTAATCACCTGACCATGAAAAGAGCCAAATTCTGTAAAATATTTGAAGAGTAAATTTTTCTGTAAAATATTCTGAGCCAAATATGAGTGGTCATGACCCAAGGCACAGTCTCAAGAGGTCCTAAGAACATGTGCCCAAGGTGGTTGGGTTGACAAAAGACATCAATCTACACATGTGAAGTATCCATAGGTTTGGGGGAGAGGAGGGGACAGGCGCACAGGTGGGAAGTGTAGTAGTTTATAGGTCATAGGATTATAGATGGAGTCAAAGATTTTCTGATTGGCAATTTATTGAAAGAGTTAAGTTATTATCTAAAAACCTGGAATCAATAGAAAGGAGTGTCTGGAGGAAGATAAGGGGTGATGAAAACCAAGGTTCTTATTATGTAGATAAAGTCTCATAGGTGGCTGCCCTTACAGACAATAGATGGCAATTGTTTCCCATTCATACCTGTAAAGGGTTCTAGTCTCTCAGTTCATCTCTTCAGGATTGGAAGGGACTGAAAAGGGAAAGATTTGGTTATATTCTTCATATTCTTGACAGATGTAAATTTTCCCTCACAACAGAAGGCTTTGTAGGGCCACTCAAAGTATGTCAAAGAGACATATTTTGGGGTAAAATATTTTGATTTTCTTCTTTATCTGTCATTTGATGTTACGCCAGAGTAAGGTTGGAAAGTAAGCTTGTCATATAGGATAAAATAAAACCCATCTGGTGAGATTTTATGGTTTGTAGGATGTTATTCCCCAGGCCTCTTAGGAATTTGGGCAAGACAGAAAAAAGGTCAGAGTTTAGTCCTCACACCTCCAGAAGGTAGTGATGAAAATATGAATTTTTAAAAAAGAAGATTTGTTGAAATTCTGTTTAAAATACAATTAGAATATCAGATCCCCTTGCCAACTTGATGCTGCAGGTGAATACTCCCACACCCCATTTCAGGAGATGACTAGAGGATTAATTTCCAGAAAAGGGAGGAGAAAGGGTCTCCAGACTGCCATGACAAACACCACAGACTGGGTGGCTTAAACAATATAAGTTTATTTTTTCGCAGTACTGGAGGCTAGAAATTCATGATCAAGGTGCAAAGTGCTGTCAGGGTTGGTTTCTAGTAAGGGTTCTCCTCCTGGCTTCTCCTCTTGGCTGCCTTTTCACTATGTCCTCACATGGCCTTTCTTTTGTGTACTGGAGGAAACAGTTCTCTGGTGTCTCTCACACGTCTTATAAGGACACCTAAGGATACCAGCTCTACCATATCAAGCCCTCACCCTTATGACTGCACTTAACCTTAATTACTAATTTGTAGGCCTATCCCCAAATACACTCACATTGGAGATTAGGGCTTTAACATATGAATTTGGGGCCACCAACTCAATTAATAATATATACCATAGTTGTAAGGTTTCTGTATCGGTTTGAACCCCGAGAGCACGTCAATAGACAACACGAGGTGGTGTGGAGCAACATGCTGTTTTAATGAGCGCCTGGGTGCAGGCGGGCTGAGGCCTAAAATGGCATCAGCACCAAGTGAGGACAAGACAAAGGTTTTATAGTCTCCTGTAAACAGGAAGTGTTCTAGTCTGACATAACTGCTGCGTTGTACCTGGATGGCCTCTTTCTCGATCTTCAGGGTTACGTGTCTTCCGGCCAGGGTAGCTGTCTTTCGGTCGGCTCTCTTCCTGCTTCTGATATCTTGCTGGCGCACGCCGCTGACGTAAGTAGCCTTGCGCCTTCGTACTGGGCCTGAGAAGGAAGGAGTTATTCATCTCCTTAAGCTTTCAGGCCTCAGGGAGAATCGTACATTCCCGTCTATTTGGTTGTAGATAAAAGGGATAAGGGGCCTCTTTCTCAATAACTACTTCACGTGTGATATAGGGGGTGGTGTGGGCACCTTGGAAAAACAAAACCTTAATTTTTTGGGTATTCTTGAGAGACGGGTTGGTATCCACATTGTCCTTGTAGTAGGAGCATCATCTGTATTGTCTGGAAACGCGTCTGTGCCTGCAAGACAGTTATGTTGAGAGGACAAGGAGGTGTCAACAGGGAGAGGTATAGCCTCATTTGCTGCTTCACGAATGAAAGACTGTGTCTGGATTAAGGAGGGGAGGTAATTTCTGAGTGGGTTAGAGTTTGGTAAGGGTGGAGGCCCTAAGATAAAAGTTCGGCCATACATGATTTTAAAGGGACTATAAAAAGAGGCTGCTTTTGGTGTTGTGTGGAGTCTCATGAGGGCAAAAGGGAGATTTTTTGTCCACGACTGGTGGGTTTTTAGAGCCAGCTTCGTGAGTTGCGCTTTAAGTACAGATTTAGTTTTTTCAACTTTGCCTGAAGATTGAGGCCTGTAGGGTGTGTGGGGAACCTACTTCATATTTAGAGATGTAGAGACACCTTGAATAATTTGGCTGATGAAGGCCGGCCTGTTATTGGGCTGGATGGATGTTCAGAGTACGAAATGGGGAATTATATGCATGATGAGAGTTTGTGTGACGACATTTGCACCTTCTGAAGTTGTTGGGAACATTTTTACTTACCTGGAGAAAGTATGGACAAAGACTAGAAGATAGCAGAGCGGCATGTGAGTGAGGTTTACTTGCCATTCTTGCCTTGGTACCTGGCCCCAGGCTTGGTCGGTAGGAAAAGGTAGCGGCCAGAGGGAGCCTTGGGGTGACACTGAGTGGCAGATAGAGCCAGACTGGGTAATTTCTCAGACATGGCTGGAAAGGTGAGGACAAGTGAGAATAGGGTGGAAAAGTTGCAAGAGAGGTTTGTAACCGACATGGAAAGAGTTGTGGAGTCTTTGGAGGTGAGGAAGATTTTGAGAGTGAGGAAGAACAAAGCACCTTTCCTTGACATACCATGGTCCTTGCTTTTGAAGGTTTTGGGCTCAGAAGTCCTGCTTTTCTTCTGAGGAGTAAAGAGGAGAGAACAAGGACAGGGAGAGAAACTGGCCTTGCACGGATCATAGGGCTATTTGTTTCACTACCTGATCTGTTAGCGCATTTCCAGCCGATATGTGATTGTCTGGGGTTTGGTGGCCCCTGCAATGAATGATGGCAACTTTCTGCAGGAGCCTGATAGCTTGAAGGAGTTTGTTGATGAGAGAGCCATTTATGACAGGAGTGTTTTTTGCAGCTAGGAAACCCCGTTTTTTCCAGGTAGACGAGTGTGACTGTACTATATGGAACGTATAATGAATGACAAATTGAATATATGTTAATTTGTTGTCCGGCTGTCAGTGTGAGAGCTTGAGTGAGGGCAATGAGTTCAGCTTTTGGGAGGTAGTGCCTAGGGGCAGTGGATTGGCTTCAATAGTATGTGGGGGCGGGGGGCGGGGGACACTATAGCATAGCCAGCATGCCGGCGTCCTTGCTGTAAGAAGGAGCTGCCGTCTACAAACCAAGTAAAGAAGGGGTTCATCTGTTAGATTTGGAAAAGGTATAAGAAAGGTTTGAACAGTGTTCACACAGAAGTGTTTAGGGTCTTTGGCGGTTGTAGCTTCAGGTAAGAGCATGGCTGGGTTTAGATGGGAGCTGGTTAGCATAGTGATTTGGGGGGTTTCTATGAATAGAGCATACAGTTGGAGGAGTCATGGGGCAGAGATGAGACTAGTACACTGCAGTGAGTTGGCATGTCTTTGATGTTATGGGTTGAATAAACTGTTAGGTTGGCATGGAGAGATAGTTTTAGGCTTTTAAGGGTTAGGACAGCAGCTGCCGCCAATGGTCGGAGGCAGGCAGGCCATCCAAGAACTGAGGCTTTAAGCTGTTTAGAGAGGTAGGCAATAACCTGAAGGGTGGGTCCTTTAGACTGGGTTAGAACACCTAGTGTAACTCTATGCTGTTGGTCAGTATAGAGGGAGAAAGGTTTGGTGAGGTCTGGGAGAGTGAGGACAGGGCTGAGGTGAGAGCCTTCCAGAGTAGACGGAAAGGTTGGGTAATAGGCTGTGCAGATTTTTAAGGCTCATGGAGTGGGGCTTTAGCAGCTTGGTATAATGGTTTGGCAAGTAGAGCGAAGGAGGGAACCTAGAGCCTAAAACATCCCACTAATCCTAGAAAAGAGAGAGAATTTTTTGCTTAGTTTGCAGAGGCAGGAGGGATTGGAGGAGAGATATGCAGTCAGCTGTGAGCCCTTGGGTTCACGGGGTAAGAGCTAGCCCTAGATAGGTGACTAAGGGGGTGCATAATTGTGCTTTCTTAGAGGAGACCTAATACCCTCGTTTTGTCAAGAAGTTTAAAAGAGAGAGATAGTGTGGGTGTTGCAGTGTTTTTGAGAGGGGCTACACAGGAGCAGATTATTAACACATTGAAGGAGAGTGGATGGTTTTAGGGATAGGGTACTGAGGTCAAGAGCAAGGGCCTGTCCAAAAAGATGGGGGCTGTCTCTGAAACCTTGAGGTAGTATGCACCAGGTGAGCTGATGTGAAAGTTTGGAGTTGGGGTTTTCCCATGTAAAGGCAAAGAGGTTTTGGGAATCAAGGTGTAAAGGAATTGTGGGGAAAAAAAAGCATCTTTTAGGTTTAGAACAGAAAAATGGGTGGTATTAGACAGAATTACGGAAAGTAAAGTATATGGGTTAGGAACTACTAGACATACTGGGAGTACAGCTTGGTTAATGAGCCTGAGGTCCTGGATTAAGCGATAAGTTTCATCTGGCTTTTTGACAGGTAGAACTGGTTTGTTAAAAGGGGAGTTTGTTGGGTGGAGTAGGCGACTGGTGAGGAGGCGAAAATGATAGGCTTTAGGCCTATGCGAGTTGCTTGGGAGATGGGATACTGCTTCTGTGATAGGAACTGGGTGGGCTTTTTAAGGGCAATGTGGATGGGGGTGTGGTGTTTTGTGACTGAGGGTGTGGAAGTGTCCTAAACAGAGGGGTTAACTACGGATGGGGGATAAGGAAAAGTTGCATGTTTTAAGGTGGCAGGTTGGAGGAGTAGAAGAAAGTTAGAAGCCCCAGAGGGGTCTGGGTTGGTGCGTTGGGTACTATGGGGAACATGGAAGTGAAGAGTAGTGTGGAGCTTTGAAAGGAGTGGAGTTTGGCATGAGGGTAGGACTAAGAAAGTGAGTGAAGGAAAAGGTGTATAGGGAGCAGAAAAGTGGAGGGGTGGCTTGGGGTTTGGAGACTTGTCTATTAATTTCTACAATAGAGACTTGGGAGAACTCAGTGGGTCCTGAAAAATTAGGTAAAGCAGTGTAGGTTGCCCTGGTATTAATTAAAAAACATACTGGCCTACCTGCCACCATCAGGGTTACCCTTGGCTCGGATGAAGAGATGGTAGTTGCCAGGGTGTCCATTTCAGGGCACCGTCACTCTTCAGTGGCAAGGCCGATGAGATCCTAATAGGAGGTTTTGGCCAGCTTCGGAAGGGATGGGGGCGGTCCTTGTGGGGTCCGCTGACAGTCCAACCTCCGGTGGGGTCCTCCGCAAAGGGGGCATGGCCTGGTGGGCTTACCTGGGTTTGGGCATTGTCTGGACCAGTAGCCTTCATTGCCACACTTGAAACAGGCGCCAGGTGGAGGTGGATTGCTAGGAGGCTTCCCTGTTGAGCTGCAGCCCTGCGGGCCTGGTGGAGGTAAGCATTTGAGACTACCTGTGTTTTGCCTTTCATTTTCCTCATCACGATTGTTAAAGACTTTGAAGGCTAAATTAAGAAGGTCTCCATGTGGGGTTTGAGGGCCGTCATCAAGCTTCTGAAGTTTGCGTGGAATATTGGGGGTGGACTGGGAGGTGAACCAAAGGTTTAAGATAGTGGTTCCTTTTCAGCTGGCTGAGTTTAGGTTGGTGTATTTTCTTATGACTTCAGTTAAACAAGAGAGAAAAAGGGCTGGTTTTCGTCAGGACCCTGGGTGATTTCTGAAAGTTTTTCATAGTTTACTACTCTATGGGCACCCTTTTTGAGTCCTGCAAGGAGACACACAATCATGTGGTCTTGATGGTGGCATCCAGAGGCCCCATCTTGATAATACCAGTGGGGGTCCTGATTGGGAACTGCCTCTGCGCCAGTAGGCTGGGCAGGAGTTTGGTGATGAATTGTATCAGCCTGCGCCTGAGCTAGGGTCCAGATATGGTCTTAGTCTTCTGGGGTGAGGGTGGAAGAGAATAATGTAGAGGTCATGCCAGGTTAGTTTATAAGACTGGGTAAGGTACTGAAACTCCCTAATATAAGAGGTGGGGTCTTCTGGAAATGAACCGAGTCTTTTGTTAATTTGAGACAGATCAGTGAGGGAGAAGGGAACATGAACTCTAGTAATACCTTCAGTTCCTGCTACTTCCTGAAGTAAGGGTGGGTCATAGGCTAAAGATGGCATCTGAAGGAGTATGGGCCGGAGGGAAGGAAAAAGCCGGAAGTGGTTCCTGCTGAGGGTATGAAGGGGGAAGGGAGTTGAGTTGATAAGCAGTGGAGGATACATACGGGCGTAAGGTGGCAGGATGGGTTTATAGGCTTCAGGAGAGGGCGATGAGGAAGGAGAATGAGTACAGGCAATGCTAGAATTGTCCTGATGGGACGGTGTAGGAAAAGAAGTGGATACAGCTGACTGGGAAGGTGGTGGCTGAGAAGATGATGACTGAGAAGACAACGAACGGGTTAAAGAAGGCGATTGAGAGAAAGAGGTAGTGGCTGGGAGGCATGGACAGCAGTCTGCTGGATTGAATGAGGAAAAAGAGGTAGGGTTGGGAGGAGAAAGGTGATCTGGATAGCAAGAATGGAAGAGAAGGATTTGAACAGGTAAACAAGAATTGTAGAGGTCGGGCTGTGATCTGAGTGCAAAAAACGCCTGGACATACAGAATTTCTCCCCATTTCTCCAGTCATTGGCAATAATTGCTTAAGTTCGTTAAAATTATAAAGTCAAATGTTTTATTTGAGGGCCATTTAGATGCATTGTTTAATTTGTACTGCATCCAGGCTATATTGTAAAAAAAGACGGGGCACTTAGGGTGGATATCTTGTCTGAGGCCTAAGGTTTGCAGGGTTCTTTTATGAGGCAGCCTAGAGGGCTGTTTTTTGGAATAGAGGACCAAGAATTTCCCATAACGGAGGGTAGGCATGGGAGAACAGAGAAAAAGGAGACCGTCCTGGACAGCTGGAGGGAGACGATAAAAGGAGTGATCGTCACTGCTGCCTTTTTCGTTCCCGGAATGGGATCAGTTGGCTTAGAGGTGTCCCCTAAGAACAGATGATCAGCAACTGCCTGGCACACACCAGAGCCTTCTTGGACCAACGCTGGATTTTTGGACCGGAGAAACCAAGAGAGGCCATGTAGATTTTTCCCTGTTGACAGAGCTCCCAGGAAACTTACTGGTAGGTGAGATCAGTGACTAATGTGCATGCAGAGGGGTGACTGGAGGCTGAGGAGTTTCCTTTGTCTGGCTGCTGTGGCCTACTCTCTGGGGTGGAGGGGTAGGCCCAAGGAGGACGCAGACTTGAGCCCCTCCCAGGTTTTGGCACCAGAACGTAAAATTTTTGTATTGGTTTGAAACCCAAGAGCGCAACAGACAAGATGAGGTGGTGTGGAGCAACATGCTGTTTTAATGAGCGCCTGGGTGCAGGTGGGCTGAGGCTGAAAATGGCATCAGCACCAAGTGAGGACGGGATAAAGGTTTTATAGTCTCCTGTAAACAGGAAGTGTTCTAGTCTGTCGTAACTGCTATGTTGTACCTGGATGGCCTCTTTCTCGATCTTCAGGAGTATGTGTCTTCCAACCAGGGTAGCTATCTTCTGGCCAGCTCTCTTCCTGCTTCTGCTATTTTGCTGGTGTACCCTGCTGATATATGTGGCCTTGCACCTTGGTACTGGGCCTGAGAAGGGAGGAGTTACTCATCTTAAACTTTCAGGCCCCAGGAAGAATCTTACAATAGTGAAAAAAAAAGCATTAAATAAATGTTTATCCACTTGCACTCTTATTTAGCTACCAGTCCCCACACAGGAGGCTGGACAAGTCTACTCTGTTATCTGCACAACCTAAAGAGTCTGACATGAGGGCATTTCCCAGCACGATGGGCAAATGGGATCACCTTACAACAAACCCCATCACGTGCAGAACACACTGTTAAAAAAAAAAATCATGAGCCAAACTAAATTTAACGGAGTTTAATTGAGCAAAGAACAAATCATGAGTCAGGCAGCCTCTCAAGCCAGAGTAGGTTCACAGACTCCAGCACAGGCATGTGGTTGGAAGATTTGTGGACAGAGAAAGTAAAGTGATGTACAGAAAATGGAAGTGAGGTACAGAAACAGCCTGATTGGGTACAGCCCAGCATTTACCTTAATTTAACATGGTTTGAACAGTTGGTCTCCTTTGATTGGCCAAAATGTGGTGATTAGCACAAGAGTAGGTTACAGTCTGCTTATGCCTCCATTTAGGTAACAGTTCATGATTTTCAGAGAAAGCTTTAGGCTGGACTTAAAATATGTAAGGAGGCAAGTTTAGGCTAAAGTTAATTTAACAATCTCCCTTTTTGGTCATCTTCTCAATTTTGAGAGATTGACCAAAACTTTAGTCATTGATGTAACTATCACCATCATAAATGTCCTTATTTGGTTTCAAAACCCACCGGAAAATAGCATAATAGTGGATTTTGTAAGATAGGAACAAGGACTTCGGTAATTTTTTTTTACGGGTTAGAGTAGAGGGTACCTCCTCATGCTGGAATATCCTGTTTACAGGAGAAAAACAAAACCTAGTCTGTTCTAGGATATATCTGTTTCCTTGAAGTCTTATTTTTTATTATGTCACATTTATCATAAGTGACTGCTTTTTGGTTTGGTCTGGTCTGTGGGGTCCTAGTGCATGAGCTCACTCCAAAACAGTATCCTCCCATAATTTTGTTTAAATCTGTTAAAAGAAAATCCTTAACCAAATTAAATTTATCCGAGTATAATTGAGCAAAGAACGATTGACAAATTGGGCTGCCTCCCAAGCCATAATAGACTCAGAGATACTCCACCGCAGCCACGTGGTGGAAGAAGATTTATGGACAGAAAAAGGAAAGTGACATACAGAGAAGGGAAGTGAGGTACAGAAACAGCCAGGTTGTTTACAGCTCAGCATTTGCCTTATTTGAGCAGGGTTTGAACAGTTTCTCTTCTTTGGCCAAAATGCGGTGATTAGCACTGGAGCAGGTTACAGTTTGTTTACATCTCCATTTAGGTTATAGTTCACTATGCACAGAGAAACCTTTAAGCCAAACTTGAAATATGTAAGTAGATAGCTTTAGGCTAAACTTGATTCAACAACACTCATGTTTATTATACCCAAATTACAAAACTTTTCATGAAAATCTATTTTTATACATCCATGTTGTGTGGAAAATTTTTTAAAAAAAGAAAAAAGAAATCTGTTTTTAGTTTATGACCATATGAATATGTTAACCTATTAAATTTTTTTTAATAACTTTATAGGGGGCCAGGCATAGTGGCTCACACCTGTAGTTCCAACACTGAGAGGCCAAAGCGAGAGGATCACTTAAGCCCAGGAGTTCAAGACCAGTTGAGGCAAAATAGTGAGACCCCGTCTCTACAAAATAAATAAATAAATAAATAAGTAAAATAAATAAGAGAAGAAAGAAAAATTAGTGGGGTGTGGGTGGCTCATACCTGTAGTTTGAGCTACTTTTTAGGCTGAGGCAGGAGCTCAGGAGGTGGAGGCTGCAATGAGCCATGATTGCACCATTGTACTCCAGCCTGGGTGACAGACTAAGACCCTGTCTCAAACAAAACAAAACAAAACAAACCCCTCAAACCTCAATAGAAGAGTTGTAAACAAAAGCAAACTCAAGTTCCTACCAATTATTATTAATCATTACATTATACAAATTTCTATTGGTTTTGTGCGACTATGTTGTAGATCAGAATATCAACTTCTAGTTTAAGATAACAGATTGAGTCTGAGAGTGGTGGCTCATGCCTGTAATCCCAGCACTTTGGGAGGCTGAAGCGGGCAGATCACAAGGTCAGGAGTTCGAGACCAGCCTTACCAACATGGTGAAACGCTGTCTCTACTAAAAATACAAAAATTAGCCGGGCATTGTGGCACGTGTCTGAAATCCCAGCTACTCAGGAGGCTGAGGCAGGAGAATCGCTTGAACCTGGGAGGTGGAGGTTGCAGTGAGCTGAGATTGTGCCACTGCACTCCAGCCTGGTGACAGAGCGAGACTCCATCTCACAAAAAAAAAAAAAAAAAAAAGAAAAAAGAAAAAGAAAAGATAACAGATTGAGTACAGACCGAAAATTCTCCGTTCTATGACAAATACCGAGGAGTGACTGAAAAAAAAATTAACAAACATATAGCAACAGTTAAAAATAAGTAAATAGAAATCTGCATAGACCAGAAATTTACAACTATTATTGAAGAAAAGAACAGTAAGAAACCAGAAAGTAGTATTTTGGGGGCAGCTCACGTGGAGTCAGGCTCAGTGTAGGACTTGAGTGAAAGACTTTCCCAAGAAGCCCCAGGGCTAATCTGGGCAGCCCTGGATGCTTAGGTCTGGAACCCAGGGCCAGAATCTTTGACAGCCAGATCCAGTAAAGGCCAAAACCAAGAATCTCCTCCCACACCAGTGGATTCTCAAAACACAGTGCACTTGATCAGGCTGTCAGAATTACCTAGAGCAGTGCATATTCTGATGGAGAGAATTCTCTGAACAATCCTGAATTGCATTTAAAAGTGTGCGAAATATTTGTGTAATAAATCCTTCGTTTGTGTTCATTTGTTAGAAGCCAATTCTAAACATTCAAATATTCTAATATGTAAACAAAAAAACTGGAAAAAGAATTTGCATTTAATTTGACCGGAGAATATGTGCTTCTCTTAGCTGTGAATTTTTTTTCACTTTATTCAGTTTGCTTTCAGAACATAAACTGCATTCTAATCCTGTTATTTTGTTCTTAATATTTATCATCCTCTAAAGAGAAGTTAGAATGTTTATATAGAAGCCAGGGAAGTGGTAAAGTGATATTATTCAGTGAGATTTATTTATGAAGCCAATAAATCCTGCAAAAAGATGTCCTTTGACCATTTAAAAGTTTACAGCTCTATTGCAACTTATTAAATGTCCAAGAGCCTTGTTGACACATAAATACATGTATGACACATAAAGATCACTGAAATTTCAAACCTGTCACCTTTCATTATTGTTACTAAGGAAAAACAAAAAATAAGAGAAAGACTATAAATATTCAGTCTTGTTTAGAAAACTAAAGGGATTAAGCTTATTTTAAATTTTTAAAAGAAAATTTGTCAACCATAGCTGTAGGGGTTTTCTGCCTGTCTTTGAAAAACCACACAGTAATATAATTTATATTCTGGCCCACAAGACTGCCGCCACTTCAGATGCCAGTCAAAAATCCTAGAAACCACCCTTACTTTAGACGCACCAGCTGTAAATTCAGGGATTTCCACAGTGCCCTTTGCAGGCTCCATAATTTGCTAGAGCAATTTCAGAACTTTACTTTCACTTTACTTTATGTTTGCCAGTTTACTATAAAGATACAACTCAGAAACAGCCAATGGAAGAGATGCATAGGGCATGGAAATGAGGGAGCTTCCATGCCTTCTCTGAGCCTGCCACTCTCTTGGTACTTAAATGTGTTCATCAGCCCAGAACCTCTCTGAGTCTTACTGTTTTTATAAAGCTCAATCCCAGCCCTCCTCTCCCTCTGGGAGGTCAGTGGGTAGAGCTAAAAGTTTCACCTCTACTCCCTCTGATCACTTGGTCTTTTTGATGGGCAGCCCCCCATAGTGAGATGTCTCTCAGGGCCCCAACTTAAGTCACTTTATTAGCATCAACTCTCCTGTGATCTAAGGGAGCTTGTTATGAATAACAAAAAATACTTTTACCACTTGGAATATCCAAGGGTTTTAGCAGCCCTGTACCCTGAACTGAGAACAAAAACCAAATATTTCTTGTTATAACACACCTATGGGACAAAATTCATTTAGTTTTCTACATTTTTGTCTTTGAATGCTGCATTAGTTAAATTAGATGTGTTTGGTCCCAAAATATAATGTGGGATATAGAAGATAACAATTATTTCTTAAAATGGGCAAAGTGAGTTTTGTAGACCTGAAACTTCGTAAAGAAAATATTTATAACTTTCCCAAAGCCTCAAACCTTATATGACAAATGCATTGTCACATTTTATTTGAAGTCTTTTCAGTGGTCTGGGTTGTAAATCAGAGTTAGGAAGGGTGTGATAGCTCCTATGGTTAGGGAGTTTAGAGCCACAGGAATTTAAGAGATTTGCCATGCTGAATGGGCCCTGAACCCACGACCTGACCCGTAGGTAATTTAGTTTCCTAAACCATTGGATCCATCTTTATCGATAAAGGAGCATCTGTTTCGGTCTTTCAGATCATACTATTAGCTCCAAAATTTTTTAACTTCCAAAATTAAATACATATTAGTCAGAGAAATGGTCCTTACTTAAGTCAAATTGAAAAAATGAATAAACGAGGCACAGTGGCTCACGCCTGTAATCCCAACACTTTGGGAAGGTAAGGAAGGAGAATTTCTTGAGCCCAGGAGTTCAAGACCAGTCTGGGCAACATGGTGAAACTCCGCCTCTGCAAGAAATACAGATATACAAAAATTACCCAGGCATGGTGGTACATTCCTGTAGTCCCAGCTATTCGAAAGGCTGAGGTGAGAGAGTTGCTGGAACCTGGGAGTTTGAGGCTACAGTGAGCCATGATCATGCTGCTGCACTACATCCTGGGTGACAGAAAAAAAAAAAAAAGAAAAAAAAAAAAGAAAAATGTGTAACTTCACTCAAATAGACTCTTTTAGAATGTGTTTTTTTGTGTGTGTTCATTTTGTTTGCAAACCCCATGCAGCTTCCCGTTTTGCCTTGGTTACTAAGAAGTTCTGAGAAAAATTTGATCAAGTTTGAAGTAACAAAAATATTTAATAAATTCTAATTTGTTTCTCATCTGCATTTATTGTGTTGCTACTTTCTATCATTCTTCCTCAAATAGTTTTGTATTACAATTTATCTGAAACCCTCTTTGGAAGTAAGTGTGGTTTAAATGATGAAATAATTAAAATAATTTTGTAGTAACTGCAGTAAAGAGTAGCAAAGGCCAAATTTATTTTTTCTACTTGCTAGGGTTACTAGCAGCAAATCCATATGGGTCTGCAGCAACCTCGGTTTTTGCCTCTTTAGAAGAAATAATTCAACTGAGGGGCGTAAGGCAGGAGAGATCAAGGCAAATTTTAGAGCAGGAGTGAAAGTTTATTAAAAAGTTTTAGAGCAGGAATGAAAAGAAGTAAAGTATACTTGAAAGGGCCAAGTGGGCAACTTGAGAGATCAAGTGCATGGTTTGACCTTTGACTTTGGGTTTTGTATTTTGGCATGCTTCTGGAGGCTTGTGTCCCTTCTCCCCTGATTCTTCCCTTGGGATGGGCTGTCCTCATGCACATTGGCCTGGTAGCACTTGGGAGGGGCTGCATGTGCAGTGTGTTTACTGGAGATATGTGCATACTCACTTGAGGCATTCTTCCCTTACCAGCTGAATGTCCCTAGAAGGTCACATAAGAGACATTAAAAATTGGCCATTTTGCCTCTTAATGTACATGCTTGAGCCCACTCACCCAAATCCTGAGATATTGGGAAACTGCTGATCACGAGTTTCAGGTTTTTTTCTATCTTTTGGGAGACTGTCTTTCCCTGGCACTGGCTGCAACCAATTATTATTTTAGAGAGACAGTTAACAACTGCCTGACCATCACCTGACATTCCTGGTGATGGGAAGGAGATGCCTGCCCTGCTCATGTCTGCCTGACTACCTACTGTAACACCAGGTTGTCTAAATGTGCCATGAGCAAACAGACAAGTTGTATATTTTGGGTCGTGATTGAGTCTTCCAGGTTCTTAAAACCACAGCCTTTAATTTACCATAAAAAATTTTAAAAAGAAGTTACCAGGAGGATAATAAAAATTATTATGTGTACAAATTGATAGTGTGGATAGAGAAGAGAAAGAAATAATAACCATATTTATTCATAGAAGTAGAAAAAATTCAATTTCAGATGAGAAGAAAAACTGTTAATGAAACATTTTATAGAGAGCCAATAATTCTTCAAAACATGGAATAACTTTCCCTTATAATTAATGTCATATTATCAAGATGGTAGAAATAAAATTGCTGAAGAATATTATTAATATTATTATTAAGCTTACTTCTCCCTGGATAGATAAAAATCACACAGCGTTAGCTACATGCATTCAAGGTTATAAAAATGGTGTAATGTGAACATAAATTTGCTTTATGAAATCCGTGGCTGACCCTCAGAGAAGCAATAATCCCTGGAAGCTATCCCCCCACAGCTGCAGACCCTCAGTCATGTACCAGCCACCTCTAAAGGCTGCTGAAATTTGTTACTTGAAAAATGGAATGTAAAGTTCTTGGACTTAGCCTAATTACAAACCTTACAGCCAAATCCACAATAACATTTGCATCTGCTTAATAAAATATACAGAACATTGTATGGCAGTTATGAGACCCGTAATGAACCCTCTTATCCAATGGTAAACAGCTTGGGGCCTTGTCATCCCCACTTTGCAAGAGATTTGAAATTATGTTAGGATTAAAAAGACACAGAGGGAAGTTGGTTAAGATCCTCAGTCTCAAGTCAAATACACAGAGTATTTTCTGTAAACAATGCTTTAACCCTGAAAGAACATTCTTATTTTATTTTTCTTCTACAAGACTTTTGGTCAGTTAGTTCATCTCTTTGCACATCAGTTTCCTCGTTATGAAATGAAGAGAATTAGAGTAGGTACCTTATTGAGTTGCTATGCATGCTGAAATAATACAAGTCACATAATTAGAAGTGCTGAAATACTTAATGGATCCATAAACATTAGCTTGCCAGTCTTTGAGACCAGAATGCAGTTGCTTGCATTTAACTAAGTTTTATCTTCTGGTAAAGCAAAAATATGATGTTCAATAAATAAATAAACAAGGAATAAATAAGCAGAGAAGCACTCTTTGGATTAGAGCACTGGCTCACACTCATCTCAGAAGTGATTTAAATCTTGACATTTATTGCAGTGAGTCATAGATGATCTGATAAAGTAAAGATCCTTTCAAAACCTGCTAAGCTCTCCAGAAGCATTTTAAAAATTTTGCCCCAACATAACTGGAGCTCTTGATGTTTCCACATTAATTCAAAATAATTAGGAAAAAGTAAAGGAATGAAGAAAAACAACTTGAATAAACTTTGGTTAACTTTTAAAAAAAAAAGATTGTTAGTGAAATGATGATATTGAAACATCTTAGGACAATATTGGTTTCAGAAATCTAATTTGAACCAAAAAAGATAGGCCAATTAGGTAAATAATCTTTTGAAAATACAGACATACCTCAAAGATATTGTGGCTTGGTTCCAGGTTGCTGCAGTAATGCAAATATTGTAATCAAGTGAATCACACACATTTTTGGTTAAACAGTACATACAAAAGTTATGTTTACACTATACTGTAGTCTATTAAGTATGCAATAGCATTGCATCTAAAAAGCAATGTGGATACCTTAATTAAAAAAATACTTTATTGCTAAATAATGCTAACAATCATCTGAACCTTCAGTGAGCTGTAATCTTTTTGCTGATGTGGGTTGTCTTGCCTCTATATTAATGGCTGCTGACCAATTGGGATGGTGTTACCTGAATGCTGGAGTGGCTGTGGCAATTTCTTAAAATAAGATAGCAATCACGTTTGCCATGTTAATTGAGTCTTCCTTTCATGGAAGAAATCTCTGTAGCTTGTGATGCTATTTGATAGTATTTTACTCACAGTAGAACTTTCAAAATTTGAAGCAATCCTCTGAAATCCTGCCACTGCTTTATCAATTAAGTTAATGAAACATTTTAATCCTTTGTTGTCATTTCAACAATGTTCACAGCATCTTCACCATCTTCAAAATCTTAACCATTTTTCTTTGCACTTTCGTAAGAGGCAACCCCTCATCTGTTGAAGTTTTATTATGAGATTGCAACAATTCAGTCACATCTTCAGGCTCCACTTCTAATTCTAGTTCTCTTGCTATTCCACTACATCTGCAATTATTTCCTCCACCTGAAGCCTTGAGCCTATCAGTCATCCATGAGGGTTGGAATAAACTTCCCCAGTTCCTGTTCATGTTGATATTTTGACCTCCTCCCAATAATCATGAATGTTCTTAGTGGCATCTAGAATGGTAGATCCTTTCCAGAAGGTTTTCAACTGACTTTGCAGAGATCCATCAGAGGGATCACTATCTGTGGCAACAATATCCTCACAAAATGCTTTTTTTAATTGTATTTAATTTTTTTTTTTTTGGAAAAGCAGTCTCTATCGCTCAGGCTGGAGTGCCGTGGCACAATCTCGGCTCACTGCAACCTCTGCCTCCCAGGTTCAAGTGATTCTCCTGACTCAAACTCCCAAGTAGCTGGGATTACAGGCATGCACCACCATCCCTGGCTAATTTTTATAATTTTAGTAGAGGTGGGGTTTCACCATGTTGACCAGGCTGGTCCCGAACTCCTGACCTTGGGTGATCCACCCACTTTGGCCTCCCAAAGTGCTAGGATTACAGGCATAAGCCACCCCACACCTGGCCTTTTTTCCAAATTTTTAACTTTAATTTTTGTATTTTGTTTTTTATTTTTATTTTTTATTTTTGAGACAGAGTCTTGCTCTGTCACACAGGCTGGAATACAGTGGTGCAATCAGCTCACTACAGCCTTGATTTCCTGGGCTCTGGCAATTCTCTGGCCTCAGCTTCCCCCGAGTACCTGGGACCACAGGTACAAGCGACCATGCCTGGCTACTTTTTGTATCATTGGTAAAAATGGGGTTTCACCATTTTGCTCAGGCTGGTCTCAAACTCCTGAGCTCATCCAATCCACATGCCTAGGCCTCCCAAAGTGCTGGGATTACCCTGCCCGGCTGCCAAATTTTATTCTTAAAGAATACTACTTGAAAGTCAAAATTACTCCATGATCCATGGACTGCAGAATGGATATTGTGTTAGCAAACTTGAAAAGTTTAATATCCTTGTACATCTCCATCAGAGCTCTTGGGCGACTATGTGCATTGTCAATAAGCACTAAATGTTTTGAAAATATTTCTTTTTCTGAGCATTAGGTCTCAACAGTGAGCTTAACATAGTCAGCAAACCATGCTGTAAATAGGTGGGCTGTTGTCCAGGCTTTGTCGTTTCACTTATAAAGCACAGGAAGAGTAGATTAAGCATAATTCTTAAGAGCCCTATTATTTTTTGAATGGTAAATAAATATTGGCCTAAACTTAAAGTCATTAGCTATGTTAATCCTGAATAAGATTCTGCCTGTCCCTTGAAGGTTTGTAGCTGAGACCTCCTTTCTAGCCATAAAGTCCTAGATAGCATCTTCTTCCAATAGAGGACTCATTCATCTACACTGAAAATCCGTTGTTTAGTGAAGCCTGCATCAATGATCTTAGCTTGATTTTCTGGGTAACTTGCTGCAGATTCTCCATCAGCACTTAACTGTTTCACCTTGTACTTTTTGTATTTCAAATAGCCAACTTGAGACAAGTTTATTAGTAATTTCATGGTACCCTTTTGTGGGCTGATTCTCACCTCACCCTTCCCCAAGCAACTCCTGTGACTAATGTCAAACAATATGTCCTTTTGTTGCTTTTTTCAGCCACCCTTACAGACCCCCAACACAATCAACCTGGAAATGACCTCAGTATGTGTAATCTTAAGTCATCTTGCTAACGCAGACACCTCTGAGGTTCCCAAGAAAACTTCAGTGGAGTTCTCTAAACTGAAACCTTGAGAGAGGAAGATTTTCAAGTAGGAACCAGACAAATTCACTTAAAACTCACCACTACACACCTGTGTCATAGAAGCATTCCATTTTTTCTATTGCAGATGGGATTTCCTCTTCAAGCTTACTGTACTGTGTCTTTTTAAAAAATAGTTGAAGACATCGGAATAAAAGCTAATGTCCCAAACAGCGCTTCCCTGGATATTGCTGTTTCTTTAAAAGCCTTTTTCCCAGCTCTTCTGAGATGGTCCATGACATTGCCTTTCTTGCTCATTACCTTGATCCCTTGAATGGGCCCAAAACTTTGGAATGCAAAAACATTCATTCCATTGACTTGGTTGAGAAAGATGATAGGTCAGGTTTTTTTTCATCTAAAGATTATCCTGGGCATACTTCATTTGGGCCCAAATGAGGGATTATTCCAAAGAAGATTGAAGAAGCAATTACTCCTTCCCCTAGTAATATACTCTTTGGCAATGATTACAGTTTGCATTTCTGCTGATAATGCTGTGTGCTATAATTATATGTAAGTTTATAAGAAACCTGGGGTAAAACCGTGGACTTTCTCCCTTTTGCTGGCATCATCTACAGAAATACCATGGGCATCATGAAAGGCAGTATAGCTATAGGCTGAAAAAAGCAGGGTTCAGTTTGCTGCTGTCATGATGCCCTGTTGAGAGACTGCTCTTCAAAGTTTCTTGTATCATTGGGTCCTCCAAGTCAGGCCTGGGTGCCTCTTTATTTACAAAGAGTAGTTGCCTCTATTTTCTCAATTGAAATGACCAGATTTTTAAGATCTAATAATTGTGTCCACCGAAGAAATCATCAATAAAAGGATCTGCATTTCATGATACACAAGTGCACCTGGACCCTATGCAGGGAGTGGCACTGCTGCACCCTGGTCACTGCCTGGCTCCTATGCTATGTACTCCTCTTCCTGGGACCTATGTCCACCTTGAACTTCTAAGTTTCTTTCCTTAAACCTTATGAGCCAACCTGTGCTAGTTTCACACTTTTCTTTTACATCTTCCTCACCTCTGTCAGGCTTCAAAGAATTGAAGAGAATTGGGGCCTTGCTCTGGTTTAGGCTTTGGCTTAATGGAATGTTGGGGCTGGTTTGATCATCTGACCAGATCACTCAAACTTTCTCCATATCAGCAATAAAGCTTGTATTAGTCTGTTTTTAGCCACTGATGAAGACATACCCAAGACTGGGCAATTTACAAAGGAAAGAAGTTTAATGGAGAACTCATAGTTGCACATAGCTGGGGAAGCCTCATGACAGTGGCAGAAGGTAAGGAGGAGAGAGTCACATCTTATGTGGATGGCGACAGGCAAAGAGATAGCTTGTGTAGGGAAACTCCCCTTTTTTAAACCATCAGATCTCATGAGACTTATTTACTATCAGGAGGACAGCACAGGAAAGACCTGCCCTCTTGATTCAATTACTTCCCACCAGGTCCCTCCCACAACATGTGGGAATTCAAGATGAGATTCGGGTGGGGACACAACCAAACCATATCATTCCACCTTTGGCCCCTCCCAAATCTCATGTCCTCACATTTCAAAACCAGTCATGCCTTTCCAACAGTCCCCCAAAGTCTTAACTCATTCCAGCATTAACTCAAAAGTCCACAGTCCAAAGTCTCATCTGAGACAAGGAAGGTCCCTTCTGCCTATGATCCTGTAAGATAAATGGCAAGTTAATTATTCCTTAAATACAATGGAGGTACAGGCACTGGGTAAATACAGCTGTTCAAAATGGGAGAAATTGGCCAAAACAAAGGGGCTACAGGCCCCATGCAAGTCCAAAATCCAGTGGGGCAGTCAAATCTTAAAGCTCTGAAATGATCTTTGATTCCATGTCTCGCATCTGGGTCATGCTATGCAAGAGGTGGGTTCCCATGTGGTCTTGGGCAGCTCCACCCCTGTGGCTTTGCAGGGTACAGCCTCACTCCCAGCTGCCTTCATGGGCTGGTGTTGAGTATCTGTGGCTTTTCTGGGCGCATGGTGCAAGCTGTCAGTGGATCTACCACTCTGGGGACTGGAGGACAGTGGCCCTCTTCTCACAGCTCCACTAGGTGGTGTCCCAGTAGGTACACTGTGTGGGGGCTGCCACCCCACATTTCCCTTCTGCACTGCCCTAGCAGAGGTTCTCCATGAGGATCCCACCTCTACAGCAAACTTCTGCCTGGACATCCAGGCATTTCCATACATCTTCTGAAATCTAGGCAGAGGTGCCCAAACCTTGACTTCTGTGCACTCACAAGCTCAACACCATGTGGAAGCTGCCAAGGCTTGAGGCTTGCACCCTTTGAAGCCACAGACTGAGCTGTACCTTGGCCCCTTTCATCCATGGCTGGAGTGGCTGGGACTCAGGGCACCAAGTCCCTAGTCTGCACACTGCAGGTGGGCTCTGGGTCCCACCCATGAAACCACTTTTTCCTCCTAGCCCTCTGGGCTTGTGATGGGAGGAGCTGCCATGAAGACCTCTGACATGCCCTGGAGACATTTTCCCCATTGTCTTGGGGATTAACATTCTGCTCCTCGTTACTTATGCAAATTTCTGCAGCTACCTTGAATTTCTTCTCAGAAATTTGGATTTTCTTTTCATCGTGTTGTCAGGCTGCAAATTTTCCACACTCTTATGCTCTGTTTCTCTTTTCAAATGGAATGCCTTTAACAGTACCCAAGTCACATCTTGAATGCTTTGCTGCTTAGAAGTTTCTTCTGCCAGATACCCTAAATAATCCCTCTCAAGTTCAAAGTTCCATAAATTTCTAGGGCAGGGGCAGAATGTCGCCAGTCTCTTTGCTAAAACATAACAAGAGTCACCTTTGCTCCAGTTCCCAACAAGTTCCTCATCTCCATCTGAGACTACCTCAGCCTGGATTTCATTGTCCATATCATTATCAGCATTTTGGTCAAAGCCATTTGACAAGTTTCTAGGAAGTTCCAAACTTTCCCACATTTTCCTGTCTTGTTGTGAACCCTCCAAACCATTCCAACCTCTGCATGTTACCCAGTTCCAAAGTTGCTTCCACATTTTTGGATATCTTTTCAGCAATGTCCCATTCTGCTGGTACTAATTTACTGTATTAGTCTGTTTTCATGCTGCTGATAAAGACATACCTGAGACTGGGCAAATTACAAATGAAAGAGGTTTACCAGAGAACTCACAGTTCCACCTGGCTGGGGAAGCCTCACAATCATGGCAGAAGGCAAGGAGGAGCAAATCACATCTTACATGGATGGCAGGAGGCAAGGAGAGAGCTTGTGTAGGGAAACTCCCATTTTTAAAACCATCAGATCTCATGAGACTTATTCACTATCAGGAGGACAGCACAGGAAAAACCTGCCCCCATGATTACGTCCCGCCAGGTCCCTCCCACAATACATGGGAATTCAAGATGAGATTTGAGTGGGGACACAGCCAAACCATATGAAGGCTGTTGGTCTTTCTTATTGTTGTGTTCACTGAAGTAGCAATTTTAACTTCTTTCAAGAACATTTTCTTTATATTTACAACTTGGCTGTTTGGCACAAGAGACCTAGCTTTCAGCCTACCTCAGCTTTTGACATGTCTGCCTCACTAAGCTTAATCATGTCCAGCTTTTGATTTAAAGTGACAGGCATATGACACTTCCTTTCACTTGAACACCTAAAGGCCATTGTAGGGTTATTGATTGGCTTATTTTCAATGTTGAGTCTCAGGGAACAGGGAGGCTGGAGAAGTGGGAGAGAAATGGGGGAAGGGCTGATCAGTGGAGCAGTCAGAACACACAACATTTATTGATTAAGTTCTCTGTCTTATATGAATGTGGTTTGTAGCATGCCAAAATAATTACAGTATTAACATCAAAGATCATTGATCACGGAAATAATAATAAAGTTTGAAATATTGCAAGAATTATCAAAATGTGATACAGAGACATGAGGTGAGCACATTCTTTTGGAAAAATGGCACTGATAAGATCAGTTGATGGAGGGTTGCCACAGACCTACAGTTTGTTTAACAAACAAACAAACAAACAAAAGGCCAGGTGTGGTGGCCTATGCCTGTAATCCCTTCAGCACTTTGGGAGGCCAAGGCAGGAAGATAGCCTAAGCTCAGGAGTTTGAGACCAGCCTGGACATGGTAAAACCCTGTCTCTACCAAAAATACAAAAAATTAGCTGGATGTCATGTAACAGAGGTAGAAGGATTGTTTGACCTTGGGAGGCAGAGTTTGCAGTGAGCTGTGATCATGCCTCTGTACTCCAACCTGAGTGACAAAATAAGACAAAAAACAATGAAGTGAAGAGCAATGAAACAAAGTATGCCTGTACACTAAAAATCAGTCTGTTGTAGCTATTTGATGTTAAGAACACTAAATTCTTTAGTGCCTTTAGGTCATATTTGTAGTAAACACTTCTGTTAATGTTTTGAAACTTTACTATTTGCACCACCCCCAGTTATAAGTGTACACATTCTTGCATGTTGGACTAACCCTGTCCTTGGACAAAGGTCAGTAGCAGATGAAGATTGCATTTTGTGATGTGCTCAGTTAAGTTTAATTTAAAGTGGTCCATTGTACAATAATGTTTGTATATGTGTACAGAAAAATTGTTCAAATCAGGAAGGGATTATTTACAAAGAATTGGCCCAAGTGTGAGGAGGCCATTGAAAGTGAAATGAGGGAAGCTCTATACCAAGTGTAAGTGTAGTTTAATTCTGCCCAGCACATCTGGAGGGGAACATGTGTGTAGGTGCATCACATTCCCAAGCCAGAAAAATTTTAGGTGATTCAAAATGAACACTGTATTGTTTGGAGAACCAAAATGTCCAGGAATCTGTATCGTGTTTTGTTTGTTTGTTTTGTTTTTTGAGACAGAATCTCCCTCTGTCACCCTGGCTGGAGTGCACTGCTACCTCTCCTGACCCGCCACCTTCCCCAGGCTCAAGCGATTCTCCAACTCAGCCTTCCAAGTAGCTGGGAACACAGGCATGCACCACCACATCCAGCTGTTTTTTGTATTTTTAGTAGAGACAGGGTCTCACCATGTTGCCCAGGCTGGTCTTGAACTCCTGAGCTCAAACCATCCACCTATCTTGGCCTCTCAAAGTGTTGGGATTAGAGATATAAAACCATCATGCCCAGCCTATATCCAAATTTTCTTTTTATTTGTTTTTGTTTGTTTGTTTGTTTTCTTATTTCTTTCTTTGTTTTTGTTTTTGCTTTTTTTTAGATGCAGGTTCCACTCTGTCACCCAGGCTAGAGTGTGGAGTGCACTGGTGCAATTTATAGTTCACTGGAACCTCAAGCACTCTTCCTGTCTCAGCCTCCAGAGTAGCTGGAACTATAGGAGCATGCCACTACACCTGACTAATTTTTAAAAACTGTTTGCAGAGACAGAATCTCACTATGTTGCCCAGGCCCATCTTGAACACTTGGGTTCAAGCATTCCTCCTGCCTCAGCCTACCATTATATCCATTTTAATCAGAATATAATATTTAAGCAAAAATGGAATGTCTGAGCTTCTACAGAAAGCCTCCTTTTTCCTGCCTCTTCCATTTCTTGATTTTATTTGTGATAATTATTTTTTCTTTTATTTTCTCCTCACTTTATTCTTTAAAATGCTTCTCTTTCCACTAATTCTGTATTTTTCTTCATATTACTTTTTCTTTCCTCCTTCCACTCACCCTGCCATTTTTTTTAAATAAATGGTTTTCCAAATAGATGTGTGCAAATAACAGGGAGTCAAGAGTAAGATCAAGTTACTTTAGATAGTGTTTGTTTTAGAAATAGCAGTAAAAATTCACTCTATAATTGTTCTGTGGTCGACAGGTTTATGCAAACCTATCCCCCAAACCGGAGGAAGCTGAAAGGCCCAAGTAAGAGACTGATAAATCCAGTTTCTCAGAAAGAAACATTTAATAGGGAGTGAGAAACAGAAGTCATGATGTCCTGGCAATTGACAACAACAAGATTAGATAGTGAATCCCCCCGTACCATTACCCACCGCGTATGACTTATATGTAAAACATAGGGAAGGATTATGTGGAACAATTGAAGTCAACCTCTCAGGGAACGGCAAGAATGCTATGTGAATCTGCCTAAGGGCAGGATTTATGGTAGCAGCAGTTAAAATAGAAATCTTAAAGGCATTCCCAGAATAAGGGTTACCCAGAAGTCAACATGGCAGATTAACACCCAATATAGAGTTGCTTTAGCCTCCACAATAATGTAGGGAAATAAATATAATGAAGATGGCAGTATTTTTTAAACCATATTTCAAAGAAATCTTCTCTTTGAAACATGGAGAAGAAGGCATATGTCACTATATGCAACATAAGCTTATATTCATATCTATTTAGTATATCCAGGACAAATTTTATTTAGTTCTAGGAATATACAGTGAGATTTTTCTTACTGCCCCTTGACGTTAGATATTATTCACCTTACAGTGATCAGAGATACGTCTTTTAGCATCCACCACTTGTTCATCAACCTTGTCTGTCAAATGGAGAAATCTATGTGGCAAATGCAACAAGAAGTTTTCCTTGACCCAATAAAGATACAGGTCCTTCCTTAAATGGCTATGTTGAAATATAAATTCTTAAATTATATACTTATTTACATGGCTTCTCCCCTCTAGTGAACTTATCCTGGAATCTGTCAATTAGATTTATTCTATGTACTGTCTATTCTTTTAAAATGGGACTCTCTCAGAAATATCCCTCTGGATAAGGTACACATCTCATTTTTCTCAGTGACAGTAAAGGGGCGTAATTTCTATTACACAGGTCTAATTGCCTTGAAGAAACATCATAAGGACTCAAAACATGGAAGGTATTATTATTGTTGTGATTATGCTTTGAATTCTTAAGTAACCAATGTATTCTCTGTCTCTGGATCTGTTTCTAGTGTCAAAACCCTTGTTAGCAGGAATTAGATCAGATTATATTAATAATTATGTAGTGGATATCTTACTTTTGCATATTTTCTCATCAGACAATACACGTCTATATTATCTTTTATCTCAGTGTGTATGAATAAATGTCAGAGCTATTTGGGTCATAATTTGCTATGCGGCTGTTTTGTCTTGTTATATATTTCACTGTAATAACAGTGAGTTATGATTCACAAAGTTTGCCTCCTTTTATAAAAGGTGTATTTTAATTTGATGTTAGAAACAACGAACTTTAAAAATGTAATTGGCCTTAATATCTTTTTAGATTCCTTTGAAGATATACTTAGCACAAAAATATGCTCCTTGGGAATTTGACAATTGAGCTGATAATAGGATATATCATTTTTAGTTTACAGGCAAAAGCAAATGCTTCATTATTTTGTTGTTATTTACTACATCATAAAAGAAATTTAATTTTAGCTAGCTGTGTGCATCTAAGTCCAGATATCATTTGATAAAATGAGTCAAGTGGGAAAACTTCCATTTCTTTGTGATGACACATCAAATATGCCCTTATCTCTAAAGACATTAAGAATGATTGAGTGAAGTCTTCCTACTTTGTTTTTTCAGTATCTTTAGACATAGTACAAACATCTAAATTACGATATGTTTATTTTACAGGAGCCAATGAGAAAGAAATAGCCCTAATGAATGCTTTGACTGTAAATTTACATCTTCTAATGGTAAGTTTTCTTTCCCACTAATGTTTAGAACACATTCATTTACAGAATCTGATGTTTTTCTATCTTTAATTCATGAGCTTCTGGGGGTTTACTTATTTAAAAATAAATTGTGAGGTTATTTTCATTTTTACTAGGAAATGCTGGACCATGATATAATAGCTTCTTCCTAATCATGGAAGAGTTGACTCTTGAGAAGAGCTTTAGAATAATGAACAGTTCTTGTCTGGGAAAATAAAGAATAAGAGCCATAATGGGTAAATAGGCAAACTACATGCAAGCCTACAAAACAGTGATGTACAATGCTAGCAAAGCACTGACCTTTTTGGAAAGACAATTTTCTAATGGCTTCAGCAGAGTGAGTTAGTGGATCAGTATACTTTTGTATATTAATATAGGTTAAAAAAGACTTGGAGTATTAAATTTTTAAAAAGAGGTCTAGTACCTTAAATGAGTTAATGTGTTTAAAGTACTTCTTACATCTTACTCAATAAACAGTTTTACCTTAAAGTGTCAAATCTATTATCTATTAGGGATATTGTGTTAATGGTGACTGCCCAATGCTTTAAAGAATCTTGACTTCATTTTTTCAAGTATGTTTTGGAAACATGTCTACAAGTTCAGATATCCCTGGATTTGACTCCCAGCTAAATTACATAATGCTTATTTGAGGTTGAAAAAGGCTTTTGGCATCTCTAAGTCTTAGTATTTTCCTTTGTAAAAATGAGAAACATAATATCTACCTCAAAGATCTGCATGAGAATTAAATGTAATAATATGTGAAAATTGCTTTAGTACCCTGGCCAGTGATCAACACTCAGTTAACAGTAGCTATCATCTTCGTTGTTATTGTTGTCAATATCACTCTCTAGGAACTGTGTGGAGAAATGAAAGAGCTTCACTGAACAAATGAGCTACTATCAATACAAATAAGACATACATAGACCATAATATTTCAGTGTCATGCCATCAAAATTACCATGAAATGCTTTGGGAAGATAATTTGTCAATTAACAGCTTTTTTTGTTGTTAATCATCAGACTTTAAGTTTCATCAATTAATATATAAGTAAAGTTTGAGGATTCGTTATCACATTCACATTTTCCCCCGAGTTTGCTGTTTCATTGATAAGCAAATTGAGCCAATATCTTCTTTCTCTTTGAGATTCACTGGAAACATGGCTAATTGAAAAGGTAGTCCTGACAAACACTTAAGATGTTGAGTTAATTAATGTCTTTAAAATACTGGAGATTATAAAATGATAGTGTGACATAAAATGAACAAATGTATAAATTGTGTATTAATGCTTTCTCAATAAATCCATTTTATTGCAGTTATCATTTTTTAAGCCTACGCCAAAACGATATAAAATTCTTCTAGAAGCCAAAGCCTTCCCTTCTGATCATGTAAGGACTTCTTCAAATTGTATTTATGTTCTTTCTACTCTTCCTAGAGCAGTGTATCATTTGCCTGACTTGAATGTTTACTCACTAGGCTTTTCCAAGCAATCTTACAATAAAAAGATCTGTCAAATGCTTTTGATTAAATTTTTTAATAGATTATAGCTTTATTTCTTTTGTTAAAGTAAAACACGTGTTAAGGGAAGAGAAGATGGAATAGGAACATTGATTTATTAGTCTTTTTAAAGACATTGAGCAAACCACTGCTCTAAATCAAGTGCAGTTATAAATGTTTTATTAATTCTTATTGCTCTTTTATTTTATGAAATCAAATCAATACAAACCCCAGTGCTTAACCCTTTAGCTAAATAGAATAGGAATATAAACTTTTATTTGTCCAGTGTGTTTTCATAGCATGCTAGCATAAATGTTGGCCCATTATTATCAAAATATTATTTATTAGAGATTAAAAATATTTCTTGTGATTTACTAAAAAAAGTCACATTACTTTACTTGATGATGAGTTGTTTATTCTTACTTGATAAGAAATGTAATGGTTTCAGACACAAACACAAATAAAAGTACAATGTAAGTCTGGGCACAGTGGCTCACTCCTGCTATCTCAACACTTCAGGAAACCAAGGCAGGAGGAACACTTGAGCCCAGGAGTCTGAGAACAGCCTGGGCAATATAGTGAGACCTCGTCTCTATAAAGTAAATAATAAATAAATAAATTAATTAATTTTAAAAGTACATTTTATATTTTAGTTTTGGTGTTAGAGAAACTTTATTTCTCTATATTATTGCTGTCTTTTACTCTAGCCCTTGTAATTTTAGGGCAAGTAATTATGTCAAATGGAATAAAACCCTAATATCTTACTAAAATGGATCAAAATCCTAATATCTACAAAAGATTCCAGGTCGGTGTGGGGGCTTATCCACATGCATATCTGGTACTCTTAATGAAGTAAACTTCTTAATGCCTTTTTTTTAGCTAACTTACTCTTCCTAGGGTAAGCCATTTCTATATCCTATGTTCAAGGATGACAAGTCCCTACTATTCATTTTGCTTATTTTGCAAATTCTGGTTTTGACTTAGATTAGATGATTTAATTTCTTATTCTAAAATCTCTTATAATTCCTTAAGTCAAGGAGATCCCTCTGTTTTCATCTATCTCAAAGAATGTTCAGAATTCTATATGTGAATTTTATTAAGTGGTTCTTCTCTGTTGTGTATTTTGTTTAGGTGTTTTAACCTTCACCTTGGATTTAATATAATAATATGCCCTTATTTTTACTTTATTATTTGTTATTTCAATGTACTTCTGTGCTCTCAGCTTGATTTGATAAATACATCATCTTTCCTTTTTAGTATGCTATTGAGTCACAACTACAACTTCACGGACTTAACATTGAAGAAAGTATGCGGATGATAAAGCCAAGAGAGGTATATGAGAAAGAAAGAAATATTTGTCATGCTTTGTTTAGTATTGATTTTTTTCTTCATTTTCCTCAAAAGTTTATTAAAATCTTCATTACTTTAATGGAACTTTCAAGAAAGCATGAAGGACCTATACTTCTGTTACTATTAGATCATTTTGCTTAAAATAGAGAATAACTCAGATGTGTATTTATTTTCATTTTTCAAGGGCTAGCCATATGGCAAGCAAACTATTTTTCTGTTAATACCACTGGATTCTGCCATATTCTTCAATGGGATGGGAAAAGGGTGACAAATTTAGTATATCATTTTCAATTCCAAATGTCATGCCCATGGGTGCCATTAAAATCATGCTAAAGACCAGAATTATTTGTTAAAATGGAATCGTGACTATATTTCATGTCCCCTCTTACTCTAAGTATCAAACATTTTCTTTGTGTTTAGACTAGGATAGTGGAGAAAGGGATGTGGTATAATGGGAAGAGCTTTGGCTTTACAGTCTGGCTAATATTTCCAGTGAAATCTCAGACTCTCCAGTTTACTGGGTATGTGACTTTGGGAAAGTTACTTTATTCTCTGAGACTCCTTTATATTTAAACAGATAACAAAAGCATGTGTCTAATCAGGCTTGACCTAAGATCTAAATGTGTACTTTACATTAATAGAGATAAAAGGCTCACAGACTTTGACATTTAAACCCTGCAGCTTGTGTAATTTGTCACTAGTCGAATCATACAGAATAAATTTTAGGTTTCACATAAGATGCTCCCAGACCGCTAGTCATTGTTTGGACAATTACTTCTTTCAACCCAGAATTACTTTGAATAAATTAAAGATGTACTCTATTCACTTCCATTTGCCAACATACAATAAATTAATGGAATAAAAAGTTCTCACATGAGAGGATATAAATTGAGAGGATATAAATTGTTAATTTCTAGCAAAAATGAACATAGCTGCTAATAATCACATAAGTGACCAATATTGTGGAGTTTCATGAGTTACTCATAATCTTGGGACCACTGTTGAGCATTACCTAGAACAAGTCAACATGAGAGAGGGCCGTATCCTGTCGTTGAAAAATGTATTTCTTATGTGCTTAATACTGATTTTTTAAGATATAAATTAAGTATTAGTATCTATAATATTTTCCTTACCACTTTATTGGAAATTATGGTGGGTAAACCTTATTAGATTGTTTTAAGAATAAAGAGTTTTGGATTGCCAAGTTATCAATTTTACTTACAATTAATGACATTCTTTTCTTTATATAAAGTATACTTCACTTAATAATTCAGATATTTTAATAACAATCCCATTAATATTGGGATGCCAATTTTTATTGATGCCCATTTTGTAAACAAATTCCTGGTTTCTTCTAGTAGAGAGTTTATTTCACACCCACACACATACACACTCACACACACACACACGTACTCTCTTAACATGGAGCAGAGTAATTGGCAAATACCAAGATAATTAAAAATTAAAAGTAAACTATAGGATAATATCTTAATGAGCTTCCCCCAAATATTAACGTAATTAATGATGCATTGACCTCAAAATCATGTCAGACAGCACTGGAGAAAATTCATGGCTGGGTGCAGTGGCTCACGCCTGTAATCCCAGCACTTTGAGAGTTTGAGACAGGCAGATCACGTGAGGCCGGGAGTTCAAGACCAGCCTGACCAACATGGAGAAACCCCATCTCTATTAAAAATACAAAATTAGCCAGATGTGGTGGCACATGCCTGTAATCCCAGCTACTCAGGAGGCTGAGGCAGGAGAATCACTTGAACCTGGGAGGTGGAGGTTGTGGTGAGCCAAGATCGCACCATTGCACTCCAGCCTGGGCAACAAGAGTGAAGCTCCGTCTCAAAAAAAAAAAAAAATTATGAAAACTTCAGAATTGCTAGGATACAGGATACACATAGGTACTTTGTATTTAACTAATTTTTTTCAGCTCAAGTTGTTTGCAAGACCAAATCTAAATTCATTCACAACCTTTAGTAAGTAATCAATTATTAGTTGTAGTGGCAAGATATAAGGAAAAAACCCTCTATTATAGTCAGTTTTATTGATATTTTTCTTCTTGTTTGGGTCTTGAGCTTTAGATTAGTTTGGAGGAGATTTTAATCTTAATCTAATAGAAGATATTGGCTAGGTAAAACTCAGATAAAAGATGTGTAAGTGTTATGTTTTCTTTGGTTTAGTTTAATTTAGTTTAGTTTTTTTCTGAGACAGAGTTGCTCTGTCACCCAGGCTGGAGTGCAGTGGCACTATTCTCGTGCTTCCGCCACCCAAGTAGCTGGGATTACGGGCATGCACCACCACACCTAGCTAATTTTTGTATTTTTAATAAAGACTGAGTTTCACCATGTTGGCCAAGCTGGTCTCAAACTCCTTACCTCAAGTGATCTGCCCACCTTGGCATCCCAAAGTGCCAGGATTACAGGCGTGAGCCACACACCCGGCATGTTTTCTTTTTTTGGAAACAATAACAGGATATCAGATTGATAAATGCAATACCAATTTCTGATAATTTATCTTGCTATATAATACTTCATGGACTTCTTGCACTTTGTGGTGTTTTATTAGTCAGGAATAAGGAGAAAACAACTTATAGCTGTGGAAAGAGTACAAATTAATTTTTAAAAACTGGAGAATAAATCAAGCAATTCGGCTTTTGAAGACTTTCACTTGAAAAAACACTTTTTACTTTTTAATTATCATTTCTTAATAATAAAAATTATGCTCAAATGCTGCTCTTATGCCAGATTTTTAAAGAACCTTAATCTGAAAAAAAAAACTATTTTATAATGCAAAAGGGCTCACGGTGAAATTTAGATCGGCAATATGAAATTACAAATTTATTATTATCGATATGACCTAACTTGTGCCTAACTTGATTTAGGGGGAAGAAACCTTAAGAATAGAGGATATCCTTGAAGTAATTGAGAAGGAAGGAGACTCAATTGCAGTGATCCTGTTCAGTGGGGTGCATTTTTACACTGGACAGCACTTTAATATTCCTGCCATCACAAAAGCTGGACAAGCGAAGGTATGCACGCCATTTACTTCTTCCCACCTTACTCCAAACATCACTCTACTTAAGAGTGTTCTAATTGCATGACTTGTGAAGTACTTTAGCTTGTGTCTGAGTAAAACTATTTCAAAAGTTAAAAAAAAAAAGAGTAAACCTTGGGCCAGGCACGGTGGCTCACGCCTGTAATCCCAGCACTTGGGAGGCTGGAGCAGGGGGATCACGAGGTCAGGAGTTTGAGACCAGCCTGACAAAAATGGCGAAACCCCATCTCTACTGAAAATACAAAAATTAGCTGGGCATGGTGGTGGGCACCTGTAATCCCAGCTATTCGGGAGGCTGAGGCAGAAGAGTCACTTGAACTCGGGCGGTGGAGATTGCAGTGAGCCAAGATCGTGCCCCTGCACTCCAGCCTGGGCAACAGAGCAAGACTCCATCTCAAAAAAAAAAAAGCGAGTAAATCTTACATTTTTAAAAGAAAATCTGTAATCTTTTTTGCTTCAGGCATCTCTATTTAAACTGCTTTTTTTTTTTTTTTTTTTTTTTTGCCACTTCTGTGGTCTCACCTCCTTAGTAGCAGCTGCTCTGTGCATTTGCCTCTAGTCAGCAGGCCAGGCAAGCTGTAGGTGATGCCATTGGTACTCAGCTGGTCAGTCACCAGGAAGCAGACAAAATACTTAAGATAGGAAGTACATGCTAGGTCTATTAAAAATTCAACTCATACTTTGTCATACTATAAATCACTCTATAAATGAGTTTTCACTTAATGCTGAGTATCTAAAGATGAAGAAATGCAGAATTCAATTTTATCAGTAGATCAAATTTTATACAAGTTACTTTAAGGAGGCCATTTTATTCCTAAGACTCTTGAAAATTTTTTATACTGCCTGTAATGAGAGCTTTTTTTCCTACCCACTACTAAATCACAGTTAAATTGTTTTGAAGTCATGTCTCTTTGTATGTAAGTGTTTGTAAAAAGTGTTTTTAGTATTTATTTGAAAAAAAAGGGCAACATTCAACAGTCACAATTTGTGTTTAAAATCTTTAAATAGCACTTCTATTTCATTCAGCAATCAAGCCATGTATTTAAAAATGTGACAATTGAATTTTATTCTGAACATTAATAAGTTATGGGATTAATATACATGTGAGATCTAGTTAATATATTCAGTTATTGAAGCTAATGAATGGAACTAATTAAAATATATTTAGCACTGTTATCAGCAGTCTCTAGGAATTTCTAACAACGACTTCCAACTGCTTTGACGGATAACTCTGAAAGTGGTGCATTACAAAAGATATAAAGATAATGTCTTCTTAATTTAGATGTTAAATGTTAAGCACCAAAATAAAGGGAGGCCAATAAAAAATCATATTTTAAAATGTTATGCAAGTAATCAGCAGTCCCTGCTTCCTTAGTATACACGTATGTCTCATTAACCTTCCTAGACATGAGACAGCAAGATACAGAAGAAAGACCATGGGTTTCCATCACACAATCTGAGGTTCAAATCTTGGCTAGGTCATTTAATTGTTACACAATCTTGAGCAAGTTACTTGACATCTCGCTTTAAAAGTGCTAATTTAACATAACAGCACCCACCTTACAGGTTCAGTGTGAGAATGATGAATATAAAACACCAAATGGATTGGCACACATTCTGCTATTAAATGATGGTTTCCTTACCTTTCTACTCTTCTCAATTAATATGATATTATAAAGTGGTTGAGAGACACTTTCTTTTGTTTCCCATTGAAACACAAAATAAATTTGTTTACTTTAGGTTTTATAAGTAAATCTCATACTTAAGTACTTTGATTGCTAAAGCCATTTGTTAAATGTTTTGCAGGTTTTCTTTAACTTAAAAAATATAGTAAATGCCTACCAAGTTAGTCTCATAGAACTCTCAGTCAAATAAATGAAGGTAGGAATGAGCAGCTTTAAGTGTAACTATGAAGAAGCAATCAATACTATGGGAATCAAATGGGGATATAGCAGATGTAGATTTATCCATTATCAAGATTATTCTAACAAATTTTTACCCTCTTGCTGTAGTTCCTCCTATTATCAACCAAGGTGAGGCAAAGTTCTTTGAAATGTAGACTTCGATAGGTCTCTCTGGTGGTCTGGTCATCTGTGAATAAAACTGAAGAGAGAGGCAGAGAAGAAATTAAAGGTGTCAATCAAGAAAGAGATAGGAAATTCTAAGAACAAAGGGCATGACACAGTCACTGGTAGATTTGGACATGTGAGGCAAAAAAACGTTTTCAGAAATAAAGCATGGTGGGAATACAAAATGATGGTGGGATGGAGCAATGAGAGTCAATCAGGAGGTTCTGAGGTAAAATCTTCATAGTCATGTGATAAGGAAGAAGAAACAGAAATTGTGAAAAATATTTTAATTTAAGAAATGTATGTATACCAAAAACAGCATGAATCATAAGCAAATAGCTTCATGAGTTATTTTGAGGCCTTATAACCATCACCCCATCAAGAAAAAAAAAGTATTTCCAATACTCAGAATCCTCAATCGTGTCTTCTTCCAAATACTACCTGTTACCTTCTGTCTCTGTCCACTTGGGCTGCTATAACAAAATACCTTAAACTGGGTAATTTAAAAACAACATAAATATATTGCTCACAGTTCTGGAGGCTGGGAAGTGCAAGATCAAGATGCCAGCAGACTTGGTGTCTGCTTAGGGCTGCTGTTTGTTTCACAGATGACGCCTTGTTGCTTTGCCCTTCCTCACATGGCAGAAGGGCTAAGGGAGCTTTCTAGAGCCTCTAATACAAAGGGACAAATTCCATTCATGAGGAATCACTTAATCATGACTTAATCATTTCCAAAGCCCTGACCTCCTAATACTGTCACATTGGGTATAAGGTTGTGACATATAAAATTGGGGTCTGGGGAGACCAACATTTAGACCGTAGCATCCCCCTTTCAAATTTATAATTCCCCTAACTTCTAACCACATAGTCAGCTTTGTCCATTTTGAACTTTATATAAATGCATTATTTTGTCTAGTTTTGAACTTTATATGAAGGTATACACAGGTTGAATATTCCTTACCTGAAATACTTGGGACCAGAAGTATTTTGGATATTTTTGGATTTTGGAATATTTGCATTATACTTACTGCTTGAACACACCAAATCTGGAAATCTCAAGTGCTCCAATGAAATTTTTATTCTTTGAGCATTCTGTCAGTGTTCAAAAAGTTTTGGATTTTGGAGCCTTTCAGATTTCTGAATTTGGGATTTTAGATGCTCATCTTTTATAAAGTTTTTTTTTGTGTTTGGCTTATTTGCTACTTTTATATGTGTGAGATTCATTCATGCAGTACCTAGCAGTACTTTTGTTTGTTTTTTTTTTCTATTTCAGTGTATTTTTACATAGTATGAAATAGATCACAGGTTTTTTCCGTTTTATTTAGGGTAGATATTTGGATTTTATTTTCATTTGAGAACTACTAATATAATAATACATGCTACTCTAAATATTCACATAAATTTTGGGGGGTATACATTCATATACATTTCTGTTAAGTATATACCTAGAATTAGAATTCCTGAACCATAAGGTATTTGTATATTTATTTCTAATCAATAATGCCAATCCTCCAAAAAAGTTGTTCTTCTACCAGCATATATTAGACTTTCTGTTTCTCTACAGCTTCACCAATAGTTACTGTTTTCAGTCTTTATAATTTTAGCTGTTCTAAGTAGTTTGCAGTGGTAATGCGTGGCAGTTTTATTTTGCAGTTCCCTGATTATTGATAAGATTGAGAATCTTCCAAATACTTGTTGATTTTCTATATATCTTTTATGAAATGCTTGTTCAAGTGTCTTGCCCATATTTCTATATGGTTAGCTTTCTTTTCCTGGTTTGATTGTAGGTGGTATAGAAATTGATTTTGAAGGAGAGAGAAAATACAAGATTTCAAGTGGTCATCAAAGAAGAAAACTAATTAATAAAAAGAACAATTGATAATATGACTTTGATTCACACAATAGATTTAAGATACTGAGGCTTTTCTTAACTGAGGAGGCCTGAGATTGTAGCAAGTGGGGGAGGCCAAGGAAAACAGGTTAGAGAGCTCAATAACAAGGGAAGGCCAGCATGTGGCAAGAGACATCAGTTTGAAGATGCTTCTTCAAGATGAAGATGTGCCAACCCATCTTTTTGGAGCTCTGTCTTACTTCCATGTTTCTATATTTTTCATATTCTGTTACTTGTTTCTACTAGGAACTTCTTTCCTACACCCACTAATTGTAGATGTTTCTGATTGTCCCCTGCATTGTATCTCTAGTGATTTTTAACCACTGCCATAATTCAGCTACCACTGTCAAGTGCAGACTCCAGGCTACTCATACAATAGGAAATAGCCTGCATCTTCCCACTACATCCGGATGTCCTATATGTACCTTGGGATCAATATGCTCCAAAGAGATTTGTGTCATCCACAAGATGTCTCTACTGTATCATCATGTCACCATCTTTCTGGACCAGTACACTCAGCTTTTCTGTTCTTGACCTTTTTAACCTATCTCTTATTAATTTCATCCTTTCAGGGTCTGTCTTTCTTTTAATATTTCTGAATCAAAGATGAATGTTTTCAGCTACAAGAAACAAATGTTAACCTTGGGTGAAAAATGCAGATTTCTTTTTCTCACCACGAAAGACTTGAGGCAAGGGGCTGCTGGGGTCCACTCAGCAACTCAATTATGTCTGAGTGCCATCTCCCAAGTTTCCTTAGAGTTTTCTCAGACTTTTTCCATCACAGTCACAAGATATTTGTCTCAAATCCAGAAATCTCATTTCTATTTAAGGCAGAGAGAAGGAAGAAGGGAGAAGCAGCAGGGCAGCTTCATCTGTTTCTTTCATCCTAAGTGCTAAATCTTTCCCAGAAAAAAACCTAGCAGATTCCTGCTAATGACTCACTGCTTCCTGAAATGGCAGCTAAGAAAGAGCATGAGTAAGGAAATATTTCACATCTATGGCCCTAAAGTAGAGAGAGACTAAGAGGAAGGGGTTGGGAATGGGCTTCGGGTTGGCTAAATATAATATTTCTTATGTTCCTCAATTATACCCTCATAGGATCTCATTGTTCCTAACCCATTTTCCTCTTTCCTCTTTCATTGCTCCTTTTTCCTTTTTTTCTATCCCTTTATTCTTCCCCCTCGCTCTCCTTTCTTTTTGTTCTCTCCCTTGCTCTCTCTCTTTCTTTTTTCTTTTATCGTCTCATTTCACAAAGCATTTGAAACAATTCATGGAAAATTGACAAGGTGAAAATAAGATATAAAGCAAGAGGAATCAAGACTGTATGCCTAAATCATCTTGAGGTATGAATAGACTTTCCCACAAATTTAGATTATAATAAGAAATAGGAAATAAATAATGAAAAATATTTTAATAAGAACTCTTGATGTGTTAGGTAGAATAGTTATTGGTTATAAATAAATACAGTCACAAATGTCTTCACAGTGATAGATGTTTATATTTTACTCATGCATCGGGCAGGAATTAACTTTCTCTCCATCCATTAATTCAGGTTTCCAAAAGATTCATGGTTGTGTCCTTTGGCTTTTGTGTCCACAGCCTCTGTCTGGATTCAGTCAAAGGAATGCACACTAACTTCTTTAAAGTCTTAGCTTAGAAATGGCAACATTTACTTCCACTTATATTCCATTGACTAACACTCAGTCCATGACCTTTTCTGGGAAATGAAGTATCACTGCATGCTCAAGAACAGCTGTTAGTTTTGCTACACCTGGAACTAGTTATTGTGTGTTCCTGATGGAATAGGATACTTATTCTAAGATGCAGTATGGCATTTTCATTAACAGAATGTGTAGATCAGGAAGACACAGTCAGACCTGGACTTGACTCTAGGTCTCTACATTACTTTTCAGCATAGTTTTAATTCATTTACTAATGTGAGTTATTTTGTCCATTTAACAAATTAGGAAAATAATCGTGCCAACTTCACAGGTTTGTTCTAAAGAGAATGAAAAGGTATACATTTTAAAAATACTTAGTGCTTAGCAGATGGTAAGCACTCAATAAATGTTAGCAGTTGTCAACATGTTAAGAAAAAAAATTGGACTATCCAGGCTTGTTGGAAAAAGAAATAATGAAGAAATGAGATTTTTTAGGCAGAAAGTGAAATATCCAGAATTTTTTATTAAAGACTGTCACTGAATAGTTCCACACTAGAATTAAAAAAAAAAAGAAAAGAATAATCTAAGCAGTTTGGCCAGGACTCAAGAGACTAAACTGAAGTTTTAAAAAGTTAAGAGATGGAACTTACAAAAATTTTAATAGTCTTATTTTTAAAAAACTCAGCACAAACTCTTTGTACTCCTCCATCCCTTTCTAATTTCATCTAAAGTGGCTTAAAGCACATGGAAACTTAAATGGGACCTAGTTGTTAGGAAGAGCCAAATAAGTATTTGTTGAATGAATGAATGAATGAATGAATGATTCCCTTAATTTCTCACATCTTTTACACATTTTAGTGTACCTAATGGATGCTGGCATATTTGTTTTTTTTCAGCTTACTAAAAGTTGAATGCAAATGGTGGTTAAAAAGAAGACCAAATTCTGCAAACTCCAACATTGTTTTATTAGCTTCTACTTCTTTGTGTGCCATATGATGCTTTGTTTGGGTGCAAACGTCTCACATCTCTTAGACTCAATCATAAGCTGTTTAAATTATTAAAAAATAATAATCACAATGATAGCCCAGGCAGTTTGAATAAAAATGAATTACTTCTGGATCCAGAATAATTTAAGGCAAAAATCAGAAATACGAATAAAGACATCATTAATAAAATCATTTAGTAAAATCACAGGTACCCAAACCACATTTAAATATGAATATCCACCTCAGTGAACCTTCTATTTATCTTCAGATAGTCCTAATTATTTTTTAAAAACAATTTTGAGTTTATTTTAGAACACACCATTGAGTGATCAAGCCTCAAATTTCTACAGAAAGCTTGGCCGTGATGCTTTTAGTCCTGAAAATTGGAAATCAACTGTCGTAATATTATAATAGAATAATATCTCTGTAATATCTCTATTACAGTAGAATGATATCAATAATACATGGGATATCAGAACTTGAGCAATTAATTAGCTAGAATAAATGAGTACTAAACACTTTTGTGTACAAATATAAATTAGCATAATGTATGAAATTTTTATCCATAAAAATTAACCTCTTTCATAAAAGTTTAATACTGGAATGTTAAATAAGTCATCTTTACCAGAAATTGTTGACATTAGAGACATTTTGCTATTGTCACTGGCCATTCACCGAATAGGATCTTAGTGTATAAGAAGAATCCTGTCGCTATTGTTTCTATAGTAGAACCATAGAATAGCATGCATTTGGATCTTTTATCAGTACATATTTGGTCAGTAAATTATAATAAAGGAGTTGCAAATAGAAACACCTAACTTAACCTGGATTGTCAGGGTGAGACCTTCTTAAAGAAGATGAGATCTGAGCCAATTATAGAATATGGGTAGAAGTTATCAGGTAAAATCCCTTCTAGAAAGTTAAAAATATTGGTAGGATTGCAGGGAAGCAAGTATTTCAGTGTAATTTGTGTAATTTTAGAAAAGGGAGGACAAGTCTATAAAGCAGACCAAAGGCCAACTAAAGAAGGTCCCACTAAGCCATTTAGCTTTGCCCTGAAGACCCATGGAAAGCCATTGAAAGGTTTTAGCCATTCAAAGAGCCATATTTATATTAATTTTACAAAGAAATATCCTGCATATGGTGATGAGAATAGATTGGAATGAAATACAGGTGGACGAAAAGAGGCAATTGCAGTATCTTTGCAAGAATTTGAAAACTCTCTGTTGCGTGGGCGCCGTAGCTCACGCCTGTAGTCCCAGCACTTTGGAAGCCTGAAGCAAGTGGATTGCGTGAGCCTAGGAGTTCGAGACCAGCCTGAGCAACATGTTGAAACATCGCCTATATAAAAAATTAAAATATAGCTGGGTGTGATTGTGTGTGCCTGTAGTCCCAGCTACTCAGGAGGCTGAGGTGGGAGTATCACTTGAGCTCAGGAGGTGGAGGCTGCAATGAACCAAGATCACACCATTGCACTCCAGCCTGCTGGACAGAGTGAGACTCTGTCTCTAAATAAATAAATAAATAAATAAATATGCTCTGTCATTATGATACAGTTCAAAAGATGAAGGTATGAAAGGACAGATCCATTTCATGCACACAATTTTTTTTATCTCAGGGGAAATCATTTTTATTCATCCTCATTCCCTCAGTGACAATAAAAACAGGTTACGTATAAGCATCAGAAATAAAGTATCTGTACTGAACTCCTGTAGTTTAACTCACCTTTGGTTCTATTCACAGAATTCAAGAAAAAGACATGTTAAATACACACAAACACACACATATATATATTTGTAAATATTTTTGGGTATGCTTATATACGTGTATATGTACGTGTATATATATACTTGACACATTTTCAGGGTGATAGAAGATATACTATATCTGCTTATGAAAAATGTTGATTAAGGAATTTACACCTGTATTTTGATGTAGGGGAAAATGACATAAAGCTTAGATGCAATGTTCCATTAGCTAATTGGTCTTTACTCTTCACTTTGGAAATAGTGGAAGATTGTTTTGTTCAGACAGATAGTGAACAATCTGTAGTCTTAAATCCATGCAGGTGGAAGCCTAAAATATGTCAAATAAGTCAAAATATGTTGGTGAGGATCAGTGCCCAAGAATCTGAAAATTTTGAGCTGTTTCTAAGAAGTCTTCATCAGGTGTTTAATTTAAGCTTTTGATTAAATAGACCATTTGAGAAATAATGATTAATTCTCAATGGAAATGAAGCCTGGCCTCCAGATGTTGTTATAGGATTACAGATCTGGGAAAAGCAAGCCTCCTGGTTGTCAATCAGGATCTCTGCTTCTGCAGCCACCCTTATCAAAGCCATGAGGGATATCTATTTCTCCTGAATTAGCCTCATTCATTGGCATAACAGCTAAACCTAGGGCCTCCCGAAGGAAGTGTTACACTTAAGTTTTTTGTAGATGATAGATGTTTCATAAAATACTTAAGTTGCCTAAAGCCCAGAGTATATTCTTGAATATTCCATTTTTCATGCCTCTTGACTAACCAAGGAAGGCAGATTTAAGTCTTTGTTAAACTGAAAAATGAAAGTGTTCCAATGTGAAATGTACACATCAGTTCTAATTTATTCTACCCTCCATAAAAGTGGAAAAGGAAGGCTATGTCTCATGGCAATAAAAATGGAATTCCAAAAGATCTTTGGGCAGAAAAAAAATTCCCAATAAAATATGAGAGATTTCTTCCACACCATTCTCTGAAATTCACTTCTTTCATCAGTTAAATTATTTATACAAACAAGATTAGGGATGTCAACATGAAAGGTTAGTCGATTTGAAGAGAAAATATTTTCGCAGCAGATAATCTATCTTATGGAGGAGGGTGGTGAGCAAAGAAGATAATCATCATATTGTCTATAAAACCTGGCATCAAAGGAAGCAATTTAGAAGCAGTGTCTTCGAGAATTGTCCCATAGTGTCTATGCAATATTATCAAATTCAGTATGTAAATAAATATTTTAAAATAAAGTAAATTTGGTTGAGGAATAGGCCATTCATGTTGACACAGTAATCAGCAGAAAAATACCTTATGGGAGACTGTTCCTTTATTTTATATCTAAATGGGGCTATCTCCAGATATAACTGTCACTAGTACGTGATGGATAAATTAAATACTTGCTTCAAATCCACTTTATAATAAGACTAGTAGGTAAATTGATGAATAAAGGTTAAAAGTCACCATGTGTCTGAAAAGTCAGTTGGACTTTGTTGGGACAGTTGTGATTGGCACCATGTTTTGCCTACTTGAATTTCCTGCATCGTGTTTCTCCCACAGGATGACCATTGTTCCTTTACTGATTGTGGAATAGAATGCAAATAACTTCAGCTCTTTATGATTTTGCATATGCTGAATTATCAGTATCATATTTTCCACTGTTCTCCTTCACATAACATATATCAGCTAAGCCAAAAGTTGTATATATTCCCTGTCTCAATGTCCTACTTTGTGCCTCCTTGTCTTCCTTTTTAGCTTTCCCTCCACCTACATATTCCCACAAGTGAAGATTCTCCTTTCCTCTATTCCCAGTCAACCATTACTTGCTTCACAGGTTACAACTTGTCCTAGAGGTTTGCTTTGTGTAGGCCCTCATTGTATTAGCAAACATGGTGTATTTTTAAAATGTAGTCATATGCCAACAATAGGAAATCATGAGATTTCATATAAAGACTCCTGGTTTCAAATATCTTCCAAAAAATTAGAAGTTTGACAACAATGGACCTTCATTCCTATAGGTGGCAACACTGGGTAGCAGCTCTGTCCCTTAGATGGGGCTTAAGCTCTTCGACACAACATCCATGTTTACCCACTGAGCCCACCATTGAAGCCAAGTCATCGCTGGTGAATATATCTATATGAATACCACAACATTATGTGTGTGTGTGTGTGTGTGTGTGTATTCATGCTTATGATATTCTTACAATGAAGTGTAAAATAAAGTATTTCTTGCAGGCCCAACTCGTACATTGCTTGACTGACTCTTGTAGAAACCTGCAAATGAAATCCTTGACTTTTATTGGCAACATTTTCTCACTTTTCTGTATCAGGATATATCTGTCTTCCTGCTATACTTCCACACCATGATGAAAAATGTATCATTGGCCACCGTTTGCACTGTCTTATAATTACTTCTATGCCTATTTTAACTCTCAAATTTAGGAAGCTATGTCAGTAGAGTGTTCAATGACTGATTGAGGGTAGACCTTGCAAATTTCACAGATTCATGTGCTTTGCACATAGTCTTTCATCATTAAATACATACCTGCTAGACAAGTGAATGTATAAATGTGTGTACATCAGCAGTCAAGTGGACCAGGTTGATTTGATGGAACAGTACTGCATAAAAAGCACAACTGTATTCCTGCTTAAAAAGAATCAGAAGCTTCTACAGAATAACTTATAATGGTTAATTAGTCTAAAAAATCAAGATGCTTTTTGTAAGTTTTGAGTTCTTTTTCAAATTCCACTTCTATTCTTTGACACACTTAGGACGTGCAGACTGCTCCGTTAAGTCATTAAATATTAAATGAACTAAATTAAGCTTGAAAAACTACCTTAAGCTATTTTTCCCATCTTGAGTCTCAGAAATAAATCAAACAAACTACATTTTGTGTGAGGTCCTTGCTAGCCAGAGAAAGACTGTAGAAGAGAACAGCATGACTGAATTTATTTAATTTTTCTTGGTTTTCATACTTACTTTTGACAGTAAGTAAAGACAATTATTTTTTTCTGGTAAAAAGAAACAGCTGAAATTTGCTCTTTCAAGCATATACTTTATTTAAAGTGGCGTGATTATTGTACCTGCAAATTATACAATGGTTTAGGGGCTCAGGATTGGTTTGCTTTTCCTTTCTTCCAAACCCTTTACTCTTATCCATCCAGCTGTCAGTTCTCTCTAATACCTTCTCAATTCACACCTTTCCCTTAAATTTCATTAGCAAAATGCTCATTTTCTTCCCTCCTCTTATCTCTCATCTCTGGATTTGACAATCTTGCCAATGTCTACTTTAAGCAAGCAGAGATGAAACAGTGAATCTAGTCTCTGAAATAATGCTTCGTAAAAATGTGAATGATAATAGCTACAGTTGATGGCCTACTGTGTTTCTGGTACTTGACATGTATTTCCAATTTTCCTAGCAACCCTAACAGTAAGTTTTCACCACTGCTCATTTGAGGAGAGTGAATCTGAGAGAGTTTAAGCACTTCCTCAAGGCAATTTAGCTGGCAAGTAAAGGCTAGAATTTGTGTCTAGCTATAGCTGATACCAAAGCTCTCTTTCCACAGTATTGTCTTGTCTATATATATATATGAATTTGCCATTTATAGTCAATTATGTAGACTACAGAGACAGAGGCCATATATATATATATATATATATAGAGAGAGAGAGAGAGAGAGAGAGAGACTGACTACAGAGATGAGGTCTCTCTCTACATATATATGTATGAATTTGCCATACATAGCCAATTATGTAGACTATAGAGACAGAGGTCTCAGATTACCAAGAAAAGAAAGGACCAAGAAAAAGATTGTATCTTTGATGTTTGTAATGCTGACACCAATTTGCCATTACATGATTAGTGTATATATATACACACACACACACACAAATCATATATACATCTAATATATATTTATATATAAACTAATCTCATATATACACATTATATATATTTTGTATGTATATATAAACTAATCATATAATGGCAAATTGGTGTCAGCATTTAGAAACATCAAAGAAAAAATATATAATCTTTTTCTTGGTCCTTTATTTTCTTGGTAATCTGAGACCTCTGTCTCTGTAGTCTACGTAATTGTCTCTCTTGAGAATATTGAAAACTCACAAGTTTTACTTTGCTCCTAAATGTCAAGAAGGCATAGCCTAAATGTCAATAAGCATCAAAAGTCTTTCTGAATGAGATAGTGCCAGCATTCATCACTGTTCCTTCTCAGAACCTCAAGCCTACTCTTTCCAATTACCCTCATATAGGGAAGCCCCAATACACTGGCCCCTCCATACCCCTTTTATCTCCTTCTGGCAGGTCTCTTAGGCAGTTGCTCCATTGGCAACAGCTCCCAGCAATGATGGCTGCATTACTACTCCCATCCTCATACCTTCAGTGACCTTTGGGGTGTTTGCAGCAGCTTTCCCTCTAATTAAGAGCTTGCAAGCCTCCGTGTGCTTGGGAAACACAGCTGCAAACCACTGGAGAGAATTCCAGCAGGAAGTACTCATCCCTCGCTCCCATTGTCTAATACCAGCTGAGGTGTACATTACACTCAAGAAATTTTATTCTTTCAGATGTATAATGACCTCTCATTTTACGTCAGGCTCTGGGTTTAAAAAGAGACAGACAGAAAATAGAGAATAAAAGAAAAAAATCCCACCATCTCTGTCTTTAAAGAGATCAGAATCAGATGTGACATAGAAATATGTAAAGAGAATATTGCTTTAGACTGTGTTAAGTGCTTGACAACGGGAGACAATAGATTCACTAAGGTGTCTTAGAAAAAACACCCTCGACATGTTCTAACACCACCCAAAGTATACTTATGTATGCTCCAATTCGTTTAGCTTTAAAGTTGCCCAAAACCACAAACTGAATAACCTCAAGGAGAGCATTCAGATAGTTCAGAGCATTCATTCCCATAGTCAACCAAAAAGTATCTGAGACAAGTCTCACTCAGTTTAGAAGTCTATTATTCCAAGGATAAGTACATGCCCAGAAGAAATAAAAACGGAATCACAGAAACTGTGGTCTGTGCCTTTCTACAAAGATAATTTTGAGGGCCTCAGTAAAGGGAAAAGTGGGCTGGAGGGGAAAGAGGAAGGGTATGGTAACCCACATGGTGCAAGAGAGAAGGAGCAGGTAAGGGAATAATCAATTATGTATTCCTCTCATGCTCAGTAAATCAGCACTTTACATAAAATAAGGTGAACGTAGAGTAGGATTTAACCTTTTATCTGTAGCTATCTGCTTAAGAAAAACAGGAAAGGCAGCTTCTAGTATGACTCAGCTTTCAGCTTTTTCCTTTTGGCCTAGTAAATTGAGGTCCCAGTTTTTATTTTCCTTTCACACCACTGAAGTTGAGAAGCTGTCATTTCCCCCTGCCATCTATTTGCATAACTAGAGGGCATAACAATGGTGCCAGATTCTTTGCCAGTTTCCCCCAAGGAGTAACTGACTAGCTATGTAAATCACATTGCTGGAAGCCTTCTGGAACTTAAACAAAGAGTAACTTGAGTTACATATTAATTTTAAAAAATGTAAAGGCTCTCCTTCTTGTGAAATAAACATAGCTCAAGAAGGCCTATACAAATTGTGATAGCTTGGCCATCTTCAGCATCTTCACCATCGCTGTTCAGGAATCCAGGGTTTTTATTGAAAGACAAGCATCAGCTTGCTTCTGTCCAGCCTCTTCTCTCCAACTACCCATTCTGTGACTCTTTTCCCACAGGACATTCCCTTCATATTTTCCTTTAGAGTAGCAATAGTTATAAGCTACTACACTTTTTTAAAATATTAGGGTATGGCTTGAAATCAGTGGGTAATAAAATTCTAATGATAAAGTCAGGAGCCACGGAAATACTGGTAGAAGAGGCACTTCCCCAGCAGAGGCCTCACCCTCAAGCCTGGAGACCATGGCCCTAAATGAGAACAGTTATCCCTGTTTTCCTGCCTAAATGTTGTTTTTTCCAAAACCACCCTGGCTCACCATGACTGCTCCCCCCACCAAATCCTGTACCCATAAAAACCCCAAACTCCTCTGGCAGAGGAGCAGAGTGGCATGGCAGAAAAGGAGAGAAGAAGCATCTGAACATCAAAGAGGCAGCTGGACAGTCAGAGAGGATTTCAGCTGGGACAGCCAAGCTCCAGGGGAAAATTAGCTACCTACTCCATCCCCTTTCCAGTTCCTCATCCCACTGAGATCCCACCTCCATCACTCAATTCACCATCCTTTAAGTCCCTGTGACCTCATTCTTCCTGTATGCCAGACAAGGACCTCCTAGGTGCCAAGAGGGCAAGTTGTAAAAGACTGTCACCTGACTCCACACTGAGCTTGTTAACATTTGGCCATCCATGGAAGGCAACTGCTGAAAGAGCACTAATTGTAACATACCCCTAGATGCTACCATGGGTCTGGAGCCCAAAAGCATTCACCCTGGCCCCAGCACACACTCGCCTGCATGCTCCCCCTCCCACAAGCAGCTGAGTAAGTGAAGCACACCCAGGTCGCAAATCCTCTGAAGGGGTCCAGGGAGCTCTCCCATCTCCCTAATTCTGTGTTAGCCTAATTTGCACAAGTTGATAAATAAATGAATATATCTTGATGAATTCATTTCACTGTTTAGCTTATCCTTGGATCCATACCAGAGTTTTTAAATCACTACGTAAACATGTTTACTCTAATTTCATTCTGATTCCAAGTTAAAGATACTCATTTTTAATTCAATGAGTTCCTTGATTGTTGTGCACACTTTTCTCATGATACCCATTTTTTGATTCAGAACACTCCCTTATTGGATTTCTTATCTTCAAAATTAATGTCACAGGTGCGACTAGCTGGGGCTCGTCATGGGTGGTAAAGGAATTTACCACGACAGTCATAGGTGAAGAAAGGCAGATTTATTAGAGAAGGTATGAAGATACCTTGCAAGAAAGCAATGGGCATTACAACAGAGAAGAGGCTGTCTGCAGAGAGGCAAGGGGTGGAGGGAAGTTTTATGGGGTTGTGCTGGAGGGGGCCACATGCTGACCGAAGCCATGCTGCTGGGGCTATGTGTGGAAGGAGGTCACTGTGTCCACAGGTTACTTGTGATTAACATTTCTCAGAACAATTATTCATTATTCTTCCCCACCTGGGGCCCTTTCTTTGTTGTTGCTTACTTATCAAGGCTCCACATTTAACCTTTCTGGAATCTCCCAAGTATATTCATGGCATCCAGTTCTCTAGCATTAGCCCACCTGAGTGGCATGGAGAAGTGTTGTCTCTACCAGGGCCTGTTGTCTCCTCTGTTTGTATATATTGACACAAATACAGTCATTCAGTAGCTCTAGGACAACGGGGTTTTTCCAAGTTATTTGTTGTGTAAAGGTTTTTTGTAATGATCGCCTTCTCTATGCACTTACATTTTAAAATATTTGGTAAAAGATATATTTGAAATCTATCATTAGGTAAATTACCTTAATTTTAGGTAATTTATCAGAAGGTTGTGAACTCAAAAGTATCTGAGACAGGTCCCAGTCAATTTAGAAAGTTTATCTTGCCAAGGTTAAGAACATACCCATGACACAGCCTCAGGAGCTCCTGATGACATGTGCCCAAGGTGGTCAGGGTACAGCTTGCTTTTATACATTTTAGGGAGACATAATACATCAGTAAATACATACCAGATTTACATTGGTTTAATCTGGAAGGGAAAGACAACTCGAAGCTGAAAGCCTGGGGAGGAGAGGGCTGGGCTTCCAGGTCATAGGTAGATTTGAAAATATTTTTGGTAACTGGTTGAAAGAGTTATTATCAATAGAAAGGAATGGCTGGGTTCCAGTAAGGGGCTGTGGACACCAAGGTTTTATCACGCAGATGAAGCCTCCAAGTAGCAGGCTTCAGAGGGAATAGAATGTAAATATTTCTTATCAGACTTATGGTCTGTGTTGATGTTAATGTTGGAAAGCATAATGAAGTATGTCCATCCCCTCTTCCATCATGGCTTGAACTAGCTTCTCAGGTTAACTCTGGAATGCCCTTGGCCAAGAGGAGGGGTCCATTCAGATGGGGCCTTAGAATTTTAGCTGTGGTTTACAAAATTGAGGCTCAAATATTTTCTACCATCTGAATTTTTCTCGTTTCTGTTCCTGTTTGGTGCTCAACTAAAATGTGAGCATTTAGAATTGATTTTCAGGTGGCTAGCTTCCTGGATGGAATTTTGTGTGGATATATATATATATGAATAATCATATTCATTTTTTGATATCTTATATTAACTATAAGAGCCATAGGATTAAAATAAGTTGGAACAGTATTCTGGTTTTGTCCTGCAGAAAACGTAAGCTTTGGTTCTGGTTGCCGTGTGACATGATTTCTACTAAATTTCACTGAAGCTCCACTTGAAGATTGTGTCTTTTTCCTTTTTATTTGTGTTGATTTTCATTTTCTATTGTTTCATGTTTTAATAGTGAGGAGTTGCTATTCTCATTGAACTATACTATACTGATATAAATAAATGAAGCTTAATACATTGCATAAAATAGTAGATAGCTATATTAAATAATTTTTGGAAAGGAATTGTGACCTGTAGAACTTACTGACTTTAAGTACAGCATGAACATAATATGCAAATAATGCTTAGTTCCTACTCATAACCAGAGAGTTGGGAGGAAAGGAAAAATAAAGAGTGAGAAGGATTTTTGAAGGCCGTGGCAAATTTAGTCTGCATGAAAAGCAGAACTTTCAGAATAGAAATTCACTCTGAAAAGAGGCATTTACAGAGATAGTGGAGGCCCCTCTTATAGAAATATTTACTGTTGTTTTTAACTTAGCACCTAAGTATGCTTTTGAATCATAACACTTGAATGAGTTCTGGAAAGTTAAATGCTCCAAGACTGTGGCAAAAAAACCTACCAGCTTTCATCTTCCTCCTTTCCATTCCCAACTTTCTCTAGTACTATTCAAAAACTCCCTAATTAGGAATTCCTTTGGGAAATTCCAATATCAGAGTTAACTAGCCAACCTATTATTGCTAATCATTTATTCCTACCCTCTATATAAAGATGACCAGCATGTGTGCACACACACACACCCAGACACACATCTCCCTATACCGTTTTCTTTTTTTCGTTCATTTTCTTTAAATTTCCCATTATACTTTTTAAAAAGTAATATTGTCCAAATTTATAGCACTGTAGTTCTTGGATTGTTTCTTATTACTTTTGCATCAAGCAAGAAATGATATTCAGAACACTTAAAGTTCTGATTGGTATGGTATAGAAGCTGCATTTCCCACAGTCACAAAGAAGGTCATACTCCATGTTAATACCAGGTAGTATCCATCATTAGCCTATTAGAAGGTACTGATAGTCACCTGGAATTCACCTACCATAATGATAGTGGCACTGGCAAAGGCATTGTCTCATCCACTGGAGTCTGGGCCAGTCCCTAGCAGTGAACATTCACAGGCTGATATTCGCAGACACCTCTCATGAACTCAAGGGCTGCAACCATGGTTGGTTAGTCAGGTGGCTTAGGACAAAGACTTTTTATGTACCTTAACTATTTTATTATTTTAATAATTAATAAGAGCGTATCAATGCATACCATCTATATATCAGCCCCGGGTATAGTGACAAATATCTTATCTTGTATAAGTACTATTTTTCATACCAAATTTGCTAATTATTAAGAGTCTTCACAGTTCACAGGATTTAATCTTGGTGAAAAAGGAATAAACTAAATAATAACAATAATAATAGTCCAAAATCAATTTGATACCAAATCAATCAATAAAGTGATCAGAGCTTTAATGCTACTAGGAAAATACTTCAGCTTTACCATTTTATGTTTCATTTCAATAGGCAATTAATCAAAGTTAGGAAAGAGTGAGCTAGCTTTTCTCCTGGAAATTTCAGCACAGGCCCTATGTATCATATTATTTCACTAATTAGAAAAAATTTTAGTTTTGTGTTAGTGAAGATGGCAAAGACAAAACACACACGATATTTCTTGTTAATTGAGAATGATTTTGAACATATTCTCAACTACTATTTTGCCCAAGATACTTCATTCTAAAAGATGTCATTTCTGAATAAAGAGCACATGCAATAAAATTGCATCAGAAACAGAATCCCTCACATAATATTCTTACAAATTTAACATCACTTTAGAGAATAGCTATTGACTTTTGTAAGACTTTATTATTTGTTCATTCATTTATTTTTTTATTCAACAATTATTTGGGTTCATACTGTGTGAGAGAAGACAGTAAGATTAGAAAATTGTTACAAGAGAGATATACAAACAGGGCAGTAGAATAAGAGAGAAGAGAAAGATGGTTAAAGAATCTTCACTCAAAGTTATCTGGTGATCAAAATCTGAGCTTGCTAGGCAAATGGAGGAGAGAAAGCACATCCCCAGGAAAGGGAAAAGTTTATGTAAATAGAGAGAAGTCTATATGGGGTATCTGAACAAGGGGCACTAACAGATCATACAGATCTTTAGTCATACCCAGGAGGGCTGGGTATGGTGGTTTATACCTGCAATACCAGCACGCTGGGAGGCCGAGGCATAAGGATGGCTTGAGCCCAGGAGTTCAAGACCAGCCTGAGCAACGTAGTGAGAACTCATCTACAAAAACTTAAAAAATAAAAAATAAATAGCTATGTCACCAGAAAAGGGCTCCCAATCCAAGAGACCCCAAGAGAGGGTTCTTGGATCTCTCACAAGAAAGGATTCAAGGTGAGTCCATAAAGTAAAGTGAAAGCAAGTTTATTAAGAAAGTAAAAGAATAAAAGAATGTCTACTCCATAGGCAGAGCAGCCCCGAGGACTGCTGGTTGCCCATTTTTATGGTTATTATATTTCTTGTTATATACTAAACAAGGTGTGGATTATTCATGATTTTTCTGGGACGGGGTTGGGCAATTCCCAGAACCGAGGGTTCCTCCCCTTTTTAGACCATATAGGGTAACTTCCTGATGTTTTCATGGCATTTGTAAACTGTCCTAGCACTGGTGGGAGTGTCTTTTAGCATGCTAATGTATTAGCTTATAATTAGCTTATAATGCTAATAATTAGCTTATAATGAGCTTATAATGCTAATAATTAGCTTATAATGAGCAGTGAGGATGACCAGAGGTCACTCTTGTCATCATCTTGGTTTTGGTGGGATTTGGCCAGCTTTACTCAACCAGTTTTATCAGCAAGGTCTTTATGACCTGTATCTTGTGCTGACCTCCTATCTCATCCTGTGACTTAGAATGCCTAACTTACTAGGAATGCAGCCCAGCAGGTCTCAGCCTTATTTTACCCAGGCCCTACTCAAGATGGAGTTGCTCTGATTCAAACACCTCTGATAACCATACCAAGGACTATGAGTTGCATTCTGAAATTAATGGGGGCTCTGTGAACAAAGGCAGTGAGTCTTATAATCAAATGTATGATTTATAATGTTTCTGGGAGGAAGGCAGGCTGGAAATAATCAGAATGGCCTGAAAATGATTGCAAGTTTTGGATTGACTATAAAGTAAGGTGGCATGGTGGCTGAACAATGCTGTGCTGGTTGTGTCAATATGAGTGTGAGCTGTGTCAGTATGAGTGTGATTGTATCAACATGAGTGTGAGCACCTGTGGGTAATTTTAAATAAAATGTGTTGAAAAATACTTGATTTTTATTGAAAAATTGCATAAAGTAGCTACTCAAGTATAGAGTGTTTGCTTTCACATATGCATATCATGTTACCTACATGAGGCAAAACAATGAAAATAACTGGATGGCTGTAGAAAGGTTTTGGAGAACCATTAGATTTTTTTAATGTTTAAGATGCTGCCATCTAGTGACACTTTTGTGAAATCACTTTGCAGTGATATTCATGTTTGTATCTTCCAGTTCTTTTCTCAATACATTTTATATTTTAATAATTTATATTGTCTACCAACCAATGGGGAAATAATTACAAATGCATTAAACATAGTGTAGAAGTCATACTTGATTTTTCAACGTGGTACCACAAATGTGGCCAGAAGGATTTTCATAATGGGATATTGTACATAAAGGTTTGTGGTTTCTTCAGTGTGCCATTCTTTATAAGTAATTGATAATGAAAGTGCTGCTTTTTCTATTTCTTGAGTTTTCTTAGAAAAATTGAGTTGTAAAAACAAATCTGTGAAAATCTGAGCTGTAAAAATTGCTTCATAAAAGTTGCTTTAATTGGAAATGTTGAAGAGAAGAAAAGAGAGTTTCAAATTTAGAATAATTAACTTTTTTCCCCATATGGAATTTCAGTATTATAAGTATATCTTAAAATATAAACAAATAAATGTGTGTGGAGGGGTGTGTGTGTGTCTGTTAAAGCTAAACATTAGTCTCCAAACCTAGGTTGTGATGACCTGATGACTTCTAAGTTTTGATGAAGATTAATTATATTCATGTCCTATTACTCCTTAAACTTATATTACAATGGAGCACTTGTCTTATTTTCATGGTACGTATTGCTCATTTTCTTTGGTGAGGAACAAAGAATAAATTAATCTCCCTTCCTCCCTCAAAATACAGTTATATTGTGCTGATATATTGTCCTTTTGTGAGATACTAACTCCAGTCATACTATAGTGAATGAGGTTTTAATTAATTAACTTTTCAGTATATTGAGGTTTCTTTATGCAAACCAATCCTATAGGGTAGAGGTAAGCACATCTTTCCGTAAAGAACCAAGTAGCAAATATTTTAGGCTTTGTGGGCCATATGGTCCCTGTTGCAACAACTCATTTCTGCTGCTGTAGCGTAAAAGCAGCCATGGACAATATTTAAACAAATGAGACTGGCCGTGATCCAAAATTAAATTTACAGAAACAGACTATAGTTTGCATGTCTCTTCTCTAGGGAAAACACCTGTATTTGTAATTTGGGGTTCTTTTTTTCTTAGGAAGTGTTAGAACACTTCTAAAATTTATTTAAGTATTTACTTCAAAAACTTTAATTCCATTGAGAGTTGTGTGCCTTCAGTGTTCCAAAAAATCTAGTTTGGAGCAGGTATGTGCACTTGGTAAACTAATCGTACACATAGTAAACTACACTTGGTAAACCAGTCATACACAAACCCAGAGGTAAAATGTTTTGCAAAGTTCTATCACCTGCATTTAGCCAGTTTTTAAATTCATGTTCATGTACAAAGTTGTCTTAATGTGGAATGAATCTTTATATTTTCTCAGTAAACATTGCAACATTTTGATATGCAGTAAGTTAAATGACTTTGATCATCAGCAAATAAATTAGAAACTTCCTACTTGGGTACAATTTGGATAATATGTATTCATTGTTCCAGTTTGTGCTTCTGGGAATTTAGTGGAAACAGAGACTTGCTTTTTTAACATTGTGAATTCCACTAGGCAGACACACAAAACACTTAAAACCTCATGACAAGTAAATAACTAAAACAGAATGGAGTCAGATCAGAAGAGACTCTTAGGGTACAAAGTCAATGTGTATGAAGGAGACAGTAGAGTTAATATTAAACTTTGAAATTCTCTCCCAAACAACTTCATTCTTCCTCTTTATTTTTGGATAAGAATACTTTTTAAAAATTAAGCACCATATAAAACAGCTGGCTCACATTGAGGATCTGTACTGTATCAAAGTATGCATATTTTGCTTACCAAATAGTATTAAGCAAGGATTGTTACTCTTATTCTAACATGAGAACTAGAAGAACTCACGCAGTAACTGATCCAAGCCTCCATCTTGTGATCCTTTGGTATCTTGTACTCTTTAAGAGGAATGGCAGGGGTAATTCCTAAGACCAAGTAAAGGATGTCTTGGTTTTTGGGAGCTGAGTATATCAATTCACTCTTCCCTTAAAATGCTGTGTAACAAATCATCTTGAAACTTGTTGTCTTAAAACAATAACCATTGATTTTATGGATCACCTTGGCATCAGAGCATCAAGGTAGGACTTGGCTGGAGGGGTTCTGCAAGTCTCAGCTGAGCTCATTCATGTTTCTGTGGCAAACTGCAAGGGGTGAGGAGGGCATGGAGGAGCAGCTGATCCAGATTGAGTTCAGGTGAGGATGATTATGCTCCACATTTCTTTTATCTTCCATCTGGGCCAGCAGTTTGGCCCAAGCAAGTCCTTCTCATAGAGATGGCAGAGAGCAAGAGGGAGCAAGCTTAGTCACTCAAGTACTTTTCTGAGACTATTTTTATTACATGTGCTAACATTCTGTTGGTCTAAACAAGTCACATGGCTGATCCCAGTGGCTGAAACTTACACCTTACCCACAGTGGAGGAACTAGAACTTACATGGCAAATAACATGGGCGCAAGAGAGGGCAGAGAAGCAGAACCATTGATAGAATTTATAACAGTGTATATACTTGAACTGATTAAATATGCACATGATGTGGGATTAAATGCTAAACAAGAAAACTATTGACTCTTTCATATTACTAGGATACACTTAAGCAGCAGTTCAGAAACTTTTTAGAAAAGGAAACCTTTTACACTCTTAAAAACCACTGAGGGTCTTAGGAGATTTGACATTGGCTCTATATCTGTATTTACTGTATTTGCAATTAAAACAAAATTTTAAAATGTATTTATTTGTTTTAGAATAACAACAAATGCATTACATATTAACATAAGCAAAATATTGTTATACAAACTATGTTTTCTTTAAAAAACAGTAGCATTGTTTATATATGGCAAATCGTATTAGCACCTGACTTAATAAAAGACAGCTGGTTTTTTATACCTGCATTCAATCTCTTTTTTTCTCTTTTTGAATCTTACAAAGAAAATAGGCACTCATGAAGATATGTAATCAGAAAAGGCAGGAGTAGTTGAATAGCCTTTCCGTCAATTTTGTGTATTCTTTGATACTGCATCAGAATTTGACAAGTGAGAACTTTTTAGGAGTTCTGGTATGGAATTTGAAGCTGAATCACTGAACTTTCTGTACTTTATTATATTAAAATTCATTGACTGAACTTGCATTTTGAATAGATCCTTTATCAATGCACAATATGTAACATCGAGCATTGGCCATTCAGAAAATATTGGTTCATTGAATTATGTGTATTTTCCAAATATTGACATATTTAATCATATAATAATTAGAAATTATGTATTACTACTATATTCATCAGAATTATCTCAATAATGGGAGCTAGTCATACTCATGGAAGTGGATACAAGTTTTTCAATATTCTAATTTCCCCTGGAAACTCTAATTTTATCATTGGCAGCAAATATTATAAGTTGTTTTATTGAAGTGACACTCCATTTTCAAAAGAATATCTGTTAAATACATCACACATGTGAATCGTCATTGTTTGTCAGTTGCTCTTTCATGCAGAAATGGTTGTCCATGATATAAAAGTGGCAGGTTCAGCTTGCCACTCAAATAATTGCATAAATACATTGCTTTAAGATAGCCATCCTACATCAGAATGTGGTCAAGGGTTTTATGTGTACTTCCCACACTCAACATTAAAAATATAGAATTAAGATATTGAGATTTAATGAAAATTGATCATTTTTACAGTTTTCACAAGGATATTTTCACATGAAACTTTCCCATGCCCCCAGGTGAAAGGCTGGAACCAATGTAATGACTACTAGTACAGTTCGGTACCGCTGCCTTGGCTCCTGCTAAGGTGGCAGCTGTTTTACCCATCACTGCTTTTGCATTATCAATGCAAGTGTCAATTCAGCAAAAAAGGCAAAGAATGTCTTAGCATGATGACAATTGCTTTGATCTGGTGGGCCTTCTGAAAGGGTCCTGGGAATTATGGATCATACTTTGTGAACCATTGCATCAAAGAGCAAACCATAATTTATGGTACAGAAGTTTGTCAAATGTTTTCTTAAAAATATTTGTACTTATTATTTCTAATCATGAAGCAAACTTAAAGCTTATTATTGTGTTCTTCCCTAGGGTTGTTATGTTGGCTTTGATCTAGCACATGCAGTTGGAAATGTTGAACTCTACTTACATGACTGGGGAGTTGATTTTGCCTGCTGGTGTTCCTACAAGGTACAAACGAGTTAATACATTTACATCCCTTTATTTCACATTGACTTTAATCTGAAGGAGAAACTGGGTCTGTGGGCCAATTTTAAAGATTTGAGTTACTTTCCCTATTTCTTTTATTGTATTTTCTGCTTTTTGTTAATCGAGTTATATGATGGAATAGTATGATAATTAATATAATTCTAGTATTTCTATCAATATAGAGAAATTAATTCTTCAATTCCTTGGCTGCTATGAAAAAGTCAGGAGGTTCTGTAGAAAAATCCCTACACTTAATTCAAATTGATCATCTTTTTAGTTTTTTTATTGATAAGTTGTGAAATTTCTGCATATATAAAGATAATATTTAGAGAATCAACTTAGAATTCATATTTGAAAACAGTTGACAGGGAGCATGAAAATAAAACCAATTACAATTTACTTGCTTTAAAAATATATTTTTATTATTATTACAATATTTTAGGACAAAATAATTTAAATGTATGAATTTCAAAGCCAGATCTCATTAAAACTGCTTTCTACCAGCTGGAGCAAAATTGCCCCGTAAAAGTAATAGCCATTTATTCTCAACCTAATAATACTATTTTTTATTTGTTTTTCTTTGAGGAAGGTGACCTAAGCTTCTGTTTTATCATAAATACACAAATAATCACACATTTTGAACTGATCAAATGTTGTGGTTTCAATTAAAAAATTCAAATGACTACATTGTTTAGTTTTGTCATATATTTAAGTAAACCCACATAATTTAATTTATTTTCAATCTAGTATTTAAATGCAGGAGCAGGAGGAATTGCTGGTGCCTTCATTCATGAAAAGCATGCCCATACGATTAAACCTGCGTGAGTACCATCTTCAGCTAATTCTTTGGTGATGAACAAATTAATTTGCATTAATAATATGTTAAATTTACATGAGTTCCTTAAGATGCTATCCAATAGGAATTAGGATTGGATTATAATTATTTTCCTACTCTGCTAACAACAATATACTTCATTTGAAATACATGCTTTCCAAAGAATTCAATTGGTTGAACAAGAAATTTAATCAAAAAGGGAAGCTTCAGTGCTAAAAACAAGTCACTGCAATCATGTAAAGCGGATGGTTTAATGCAAAGAGACCACTTGAATATTTTTTTTCAAAAATTAGACTTTAGAAAATTTCAGATTCCTCACGTTGATGAATAAATCAAAGGCAACCAGAGCTGTGCCTAATAGAGCCTTAAATGTGGCATGTTATTATTAAAATTACATCTACCTTTAAAGCTGTAAATGTTACATGATAGCTTGTAGGGAATATCTTCTGTCCTAAAAGACTTTATAATCCATGAAACCCGAAGAAGCTGAACACTGAACAACAGACTGACTACATAAAAAGTAATACTTTTCTGTTTTATAGAACTCTTCATATTTTAGAGCAAGTATAAATGCAAATATAATACACCAACAAACTTACACATTTTTATTTGACTGGGGAATTCATAAGTGTTCCTTTTACTTTTTTCTGGTATGGAAATAAAGAAATAATATGCTGGGAAGAAAAAAAAAAACCCTTTTCATAGTTGTTGTATTGGAGTATGTGTGGTGAGGAGACTGTCTAGACTCCTAATAGATAATGTAATAATGTTTGATTAGTTTTCTGAATTTCCTCAGCCACTGACTGAGTGGTAAAATCTTTACAAGAATTGAAGCTGAATTAGTAATAGGCTTTGGAGCACCTCACATTTCTGAAGTTCTGTGCATATAAATCCTAGGAATTTAAGATGATTTTCTATAGTTTCTTTAATTGTGTCTAAATTTTTTTCAAGGTTTTAAGGTTTTAAACTTAAGACAACATTTGTCTTAAGTTTAAATATCTTTGGACAGATATTTAGTCAACCAGACATCTTACTTGAATATCATTATCAGTACATTAGATTTCCCTCCATGTATGTCCCAACATCTCTGAGAAGATTAAAAAGCAAATATTATAAGAATACCATGTTTTCCACATAGACAGTATGTAAGATATTGCTTGCTTTTGTATGATGACTCACAACCCTGGCCATTTCTCAGTCTCCATTTATTTAAATTGAAATAGAGGATCTCATGTATTATATCAACCCAAAGGGTGAGCCAGTGCCCGGATAGAAGGAGGTGGGGTGGGGGGGAAGAAGTAATATACATAAATTCTAGAGAATGTCAGTGTTCGGAGTTAAGCTTTGACCTCCTAGCACACACAGGTCTTGTACTTGAGATTTCTCTCAGCATGGACAAGGAACAAGGACAAAGGGATTGTATTGTGCTCACATATGCCTCATTTTGTGGAATTTCAAAATCTTCTAGACAATGTTTAAATCTATGTTAAGTCTAAGCTCCCAAGAGAAAGACCATCTAGGCAGACCAGGTTCACAGTTCAGCTTGGTCTTTCAGGGGTCTGTCACCTGGAGAATCTTCTATGATTGTTCAGTATTCTGGTCTCTGAGCTGAGGTAGTACCAGCCCCTACTCATAAGCAGTTATTGTGAGAATAAAATGAGATGATGTATGTAAAACACTAAGTGTATCACTTGAACATTTAATATGGTTTGGATTTGTGTCCCCACCCAAATCTCATGTAGAATTGTAATCCCCAGTGTTGGAGCAGGGGCCTGGTGGGAGGTGATGGGACAATGGGGCCTTTCCCTTTGCTATTCTCATGATGGTGAGTTCTTAATGAAATATAGTTGTTTAAAAGTGTGTAGCACCTTCTCCTTCTCTCTCTTCCTCCTGCTCTGGCCATGAAAGATGTTCCTGCCTCCCCCTTCACCCTCTGCCATGGTTGTAAGTTTCCTGAGGCCTTCCCAGTCATGCTTCCTGCACAGCCTGCAAAACCATGAACAAATTAAACCTCTTTTCTTTATAAATTACCCAGTCTCAGGCAGTTGTTTGTAGCAGTGAGAGAATGGACTAATACAGCATTATATGTGATCAATAGGTATGGGGTTATATGAAAAAAAAAATCCAAAATTTACAATATACAGGAAAAAGATGGGTGACATTCTGTAACACCCTAGCCCAAGTATTGTTTGGTAATTATTTAGTACTGACCCCTAAGTACTTCGTTGACTCACTGAGAATGTGCATAGTAACATGTAGACTTTGCCCAGTGGAGATCATTTCTCTTAAGCAGAAAATATAACCTCAAAGTTTATGGTTTGTGACTTTGTAGGACATTAGTTTGTAACTATCACCAAGTTTATTTTAGCAGACCTTTGATGAGCTGACTGTAGAATATAATCTCCATTCCTTGGAGATATAATCTCTCTTATATGCTATAAGAAAGAATTCTGGCCTTCCTACCATCTTACTGATTCCGCCACTATTTAGTGGGTTGAATGAGATCTTTCATGGCTGTTTATTTTGTGTGTGTATGAGAACCTTGCTTTTAAGTTTTTTGGAAAATTATATGTTATTAGCTGTTGTTGCATTTTAACAATTTAGCCATGGAAATTTATGGGACTTAAATTAGGCTTGACTCATGAAGGCCACGTTAAGGAAAACCTTGGTTGTTTTTCTGTTTATTGTTTTCTCACACTCCTAAGCTTCTTTTTAAGTGATGTCAGTGACTGATCTCAGTGCTGTCAACTTCTAGCCTTGGCTCTCTATTCTGTACCAAGTATCTTATATTGTACTTCATTTGCATTAGGAGATCGGAGTTCTTTAATTAGGAATGGAATGCAACAGATTTGGACAAGTCAAGGACAAGGTATTTTCCAGTCATCACTTCATTGTCCCTGATAGGAAAAGAAATGTTTTGCTGAAACTTAACTTTGTGTCCCTTAGTGTGTTTTACTTTTTTATTCACCTGAAAATCAAATACCACCTGTGAGAAGAGTGATAAACAAAGAAAAGACCCAAAAGCCTACAATATCACGCTGCTCAAATAAGTGTAATTGTTCAGATGTTACGACAATGTTCCATACATAAAATATTGTGAAGATGGGGAGAGGAAGTTTTCTTGTGAATAATATTTATAGTTCCACGGTCAAATCCAATTTAAACTTTGAGTAAACTTTAGAGTCTGTATGACTACTGACTCTATTTGCCAATTAATAATTATATTTCAGTTGTTAGCATTCCACGATTAGCTGGTTTAACTATGTTTAATAAGCCTTCTGTCATCTTACTTTTCTGTTCTCTTAGAGCTTTAGAGAGACCAAAGAGTTTTTCACTGTTAAAGTGTCCAGTATGTAGCCGAGAACCATATGGAGAACATCAAATACAGTGGAACAAATGTAACTGCTATTGATGTCACACTTTGTGAAGTAGTCTTTGTTGCTTAAAAAGGGTGACATCTAGTGGCTAAACATGTTATTTCAAATAAATAATATCGAAATAACATTTCTTCTCATGGTCCACTCATTCACTCTTTAACAAGTATTTTGAAGTATATATGTTTGAATTATGTGTTCTTCTTTTTGACAATTTGACTATATGTTGATAGTGCAATAATTGTGCAGTTTAAGCCTTCAATAAAGAGGTAGAATGTGATGAAAATTGGAAGGAAACCTGAGGGGGCATTCTTAGTGCTTGGTTAAACAGAAAGCTTAACAGTTCATGAAGGCTGGTCTAAGAAAGGAATTATAAGCATGGGTGACCCACCTGGTGTAGAGAGTGTATCCCCAGATATATAACATTGCATTTTAGAAGTCTAATATTTGGTATATAATTTTTGAAATAGTCCTTTATGTGATGTTTCCATTAGCAAACAGCAAATTGCATCTGTACCAAGAGATTTCACTTCCTTTTTTGTTTAAATATGCATTTTGGACATTGTTCAAAACCTATGACCTAAGGCTTTTCCAAGAGCCCTTTGCCCATAAAGAGAATGAATAAATTAGAGGCCAGAGTCAACGCACGGCATTAAGCATCATAACTCAAGCTGTTATTCTCACCTAGAATTTAACCTTTTCCTAGTTCATTATTAACTTAGCTCATTGCAATGTCATATTCTAAACTCTGTCTGTACAATAAATTAGGACTGGTCATGACTTCTTGGATGTTTTTGCCCCACTTCAAGGTAGACTTTAATTCAGTCTACACAGTTAATTATTGCTCTGAAATATGAAGGGAACTACTCTTAATTGTACAAATTTGACAATATGAAATGTTTCACTAAAAACATGCTTAAATAACATTGTAAATTTTGAATGTTTTAAAAAAAGTTACAAATGTTAACCCTCATGGCACACTTTAGAGGACTATTTAACCTTTCAACTTTAGGGGATTCAAAGCTTTGTGAATCCTTTAAAAGGATTCTTCTGTAAGAGCCCATACATTGCGATTTAAGATACCACCTCCCTCTTTTTTTGTTAATAGAGAGTCTACTATGAAAACAGGAGTGGATAATATGAGGTATTACAAATCCATCTATCATTTACTTTTTTATGTGAGCCAGTGAAATCATACATACTGAAAACCTGCTGTTCCTCACTCTTCACGCTGGTGTAGCAAACCTCCACATGTGCCCATTGTATTAGATTCTCCTAAAATGCACATTTCCCTTGGGATACTTTTCTTCTGAGCTTTTTTGAATGGGCAAGAATGGGGCCGACTGACAATTTTGATAAAAATACTTGAATTTTAAATCATGCCAACACATTTCCATAATCAGCTAGAGGTATTTGATTGAAAGTTTTAAACAGTGATGACATTTTAAAGGCCTTATTAAGGGCTTGAATTATCTCCTTTATTGTAAAGAGTAATTTGCTGGTGAAAAAGAACCAGTTGAAAAGGCTGGCTGACTTCAGTGCATGGTTAAGAAATAAGAGTTGTTACTATTTGGCAACAACATTAGAAAAACAATATGCATCAAACAATTCCCAGGAAAGTCCCAGAAAGAATAAAAATAAACATCCAGAAATTTCAGCAAAAAGACTTAAAAAATTATAACTTTATACCATGCTTGTCCCAACTGTACAGTTAACATTGTATGAAGAGATCGTCTTTTGCACATTTGTTCAGGGGAACACTGACTTATATATTTCACTTCCATATGCTTTTCCAGGCAACAGTTGAGAATGCCATAGCCCAAAACTTATCTATAATTTAAATCCTGTTTTAGTTTTCTAATGATGCCTTCTGAATTACTACTTATCAAGTCCCTATCTAGTACCAGAATAAGGCCTTCTTGTGCAAAGTTTGAGACAACAGGAAGCATAGGTCGCAGTAGCAAGATGTGTGACTTCACAACACTTCTGATGCTTTCAAATGAGATAGACCAGTACCAATAGATTTCTCAGTGAGTTTTTATAGAATCCCCAGTTGAAATATGACCTCGGCCTTCTGAGTCACCTGTTCTGCTTGTTTAGCCTGTATTTAGCCAGTGTTAATATGGATGACTTTCCAGCTACAACTTCTTGGCTTCTCAGCCATATATAATTGGCTATCTCCTTTGTCTTTAATATTTGCCTCCCACATCTCTAAACTTCTGTGGTACCGTTTTCTTTTGCTTCTGCTCCAATGGATGTGAGAACTCTTCTGTATTTTAAAATGTTTACTTTTTCACCTTTTCATTGATTCTCTCAAAACCTCAGTCCTTAATCCTCTTGCCCAAAAGTATCTCATCCACAGTTATTTCAACAATATACAACTGGTGTAGAAGAAACGAACTTTTATTTCCAGCTTTACCACTTGCATAATTTTTAGCCCTTATTTTCATCTGATTGCAAATTGCAAGAGTTTGTCATTATTCAAACATGATCTCAGTCCCCAAAGATATAAGGAAAATATTCACTAATAAACTCCCTGCTTGTAAAATTAGTCCTTACCTGAACATCATTTTCCAAGTAGCAGCATCTATCTCTATGAATTACTCTACAAATTCTTAGTATCTTGCTGATTATATAATATCATAAATATCAGATAATACAGTGAAAATATAATGAAAATGATTTTAAAGTAAGATTTTTCAAGGGAGATTCAGGATGTCATGATGCAAGTGAATTTGGAAAACTCCTGAATCACAAAATCATGGCTAATGATAATATGTCAGAGCAGTTAACAGGTGAAGTAGAGGACATTTGACAATGTACTTCAAAAGGAAATAACTGGAATATCAGGCATTCAAGATAAATGATAAATGCCTCACAAATCTATGTAAAAATTATCTTTAAGGTCATGCTGAGAAAGTTAAGTATACTATAAAAGGGATGATATTTTGCTACCATATCATTTTGTCAAGAAATATACCAAAAAATCAACACACCTTATCCTTATTCTTAATTATTAGAATATTATAATTTTAATCTATATTTCTCCAAATCATATATTAAATTTTAAAAATAATTTTAAGCTCTATATTTTAAGATAGCATCTCTGTCAAACCTTCTGCCATTGACTTTAAAATTGATTTATTTAAGTGGTTTTTTCATATTTTCATTTGTCATCAGATATTAAGGACTTTGGATATGTCTGTATATGTGTGTGTATACATACACACACACATACATCTTTCTATCTCAGAAACTAAATATGGTAAAACTTGCATTTTATCTCACATAGGTATCTTTCTAAGGTAATCTTCACTTTCTCATGTAAAGAGAATGATCCTGAGTTTATTAAAGAGACATGAACAAACATAACCAACCAATATTTTTGTGCAAAAAGCTTTCATAGATGAAAAATAAATATAGGCTATTGCCTGCGATTTTAAAATGTTATAATTCATTTGGAGATATATCTTTTAACCAGTTAAATAAGTGATTTAAGTCACAGGCAACCCAAGCTTAGAATATGTGCCATAAGGCAGCCTCTGATTAATTACTGGGTGAATTCTCAGACTGCTTTTGCCGTAGGGGCAGCGGAGGTATAGCAGACTGACTCAGAGCTGCTTGGGAAGAGCTTGAGCAAGGAGGTGGGGAAACTCACAGATACGAATCTTCTGTAAAATGGAATGCAATACTAACTAAGTGAATAAATTTACTTTGTTACATTGAAAACTAAAATTGTTGCCTGTGAGAGAGATTCATTTCAGAAGTTCCATAAATTTAAGGGGATATAAAAAAGAAGAAAGAATTACTTAAATGGCATTTCTTAAAGGAATATGCCAAGTGATCTTTTCCTTTTTATTCTCCTCATTAGAATTTTTATGGAATTGGAGTTATTGACTTAACATTTTAAAGCCTGCCTCATTATCATAAAATTGTTCTTTATCTTTCAACAATATTTTAGCCATTATAAACAGTGGTAAAATCGTGATTGCTTTAAGCTCTCCCTTCGCTCTGGGAACACACTCTTGAAGTGGGTTACACCTGTCATCAGTCTTAGTCCTCAAATGGTGACTGTAAGGGACCCAAAAGTAGACACACCACTTGAAGAAAACTCATCTGTGGAATCATGACATACAACCTAAACCTATTTTCATTTAGAAACCATTTTAGATCAATAATTTTTAAAGGATTTTTTTAAAAAATCTTCCTGGCTTGACAATTTTTACTGTGTGAAATTCTCCAGATAATTTTCTTGTGTAGGGAATTTAAGCTGTGATCATAAAAATAACTTACATGCATTGAGGCACGAGCACAGTTAAAAATAAATTCAGTAAATAATCTGTATTTTTTTAACTCCAGAGATGAAGTAATCCTAGATCTTAAAGAAAGCCAAAATAGTAATTATCAGTATAAAAACATACATTAAAGCTATTCTTGCTTGTAAATCGCTACTCTCAGATAATGATGAAATAGTCATTAATTTGAGAACACTGAAGTCCTTTGAAACCTAAACATTTATTTTCTGTTCTAAAACTGCAGTCCAGTGTCTCTGAAGATATATAGGGTCAATGAACCTTTCAGGCATAAAAAGTAAAACTTGTCAAAGAGCTTCAGCTCTTGTTTTAATTACTTCAAGTTTTAGCCCTAAAGTAACCTTTGAAATCTGCAGGGACTTTATTTTTTTTTCTTACTATTAATCGTGAAGAGCTATTGCTACATTTTCATGTGTTCTTGTTTAGAACATACATGTATCCATCTGGCTTTTTATGATTTCCAAGCAGACAGGGTGGAAGTTTGTTGTAATAATCCATGCTGTGTGAAGCAGCATTGCGAGCTGCCTCAGCAACACAGACCAGGTACCAAGTCCTGGTACTTCCAACACTGAGGCAGGCTAACTTCACAGTCTACACAAGAATACTTGGAATATATTACTCACAACAAACTTCTAAACCACGTGATCCATATTCTCCATGTTCACCTGTTTTGCTCTTCAAGAGGAGAGAATTTGATTGGGTGGGAATTATTCTTTTGTCCAGAGCTAGCATCTATTGTCCTCATGACCAACTCATGTATAGATAGCTTGCTTTGTCTCCCATATCAGTCCCTGCTCCAATCAGCTTTGGTCAGGATTTAAGAAGATTTCGCACAAGCCATGGCAATTTAGGCAGAAAATAACCATGTGGCACTATGTTTTTTAAGGGCCCAATGATCCCTATGAAAATTCATTTTAGCATGTCTTATATGGTTGCTTAATAAGTTTATTATAGATTGAAATCTTAATTCTAAATTCTTTGAGTCCTGGGACATTGTCCTGTTAATCTTTCTTTACTTTCATAATCTACAGTGCCCAAGAAAGTATTTTTTAAATTTTTGTTGTTGAATATATGGCTCTGTCTTTACTCTCAGCATAATAGACAAACCATCTTCTAGCATATGGAAGCATTTCTACTTTGCAAATTATTCTGAAGCGGGTATGATTTGCAAAATACTGTCAAATTAAATATGCATTTCCATATGCTTCTATGAAGACCAAATATATCCATGAAAACTAGCTACAGACAACTTTAAAATCCTTCATGAATTTTTAATCAACATTGATGAACAAAATTCAAGTCGTTCTTTCTAAAGTCCTAAATCTAGAAAACTTTCTGTTCTTGGACTTGGAGCATCGGTATTAACTCAAAGGATTATTTTACCAATATTTCAAAATAATAAGATATTTCAGAAAAGTATATTCAGAAAATGTTCAAAGGCTTTTTTGTTACTAATAGTCTCATGCCAAAAAACATATTGACTTAGCTCTTATAAGAACAACATATTCTGAAACTTTAGAAAACAATTTTTATTAACTAAAATTTATCATTTCTGGAAGTGCTTTTTTATGACTATGCTTATCATACTGTTAGCTTACTGGACATATTAGAACAAGCCTCTTACAGAGTAAGATTTGAAGAGGTAATTGAATATGTAACAGAACCAAGTGAAGCACTAATATTTACAGATGGGTGGGCAAATGAGAAGAAAAAAATGAAACTGAATTTTATGATACATCCTAAAACTACTTTCTAAAATAGCATTAAGTCAGCTAACTTCGAACAAAGCAGAACAATTGTGATTAGATGAATATTTTATTAAACTAGGAATTGATAGAGATCTTTTTAAACTAAGAGTATGTTAGCAATATTGTACCTGTTTAATGGCATGGCATGCCATGCCAAGCCTTCTAATGGGCATGCTTGGGGACCAGTTGCTGGCATCAAGGGGTGAATGTACAGTTTATGAGCTGAAGCAATCTACTTTCTCAGTTTTCAACACTTTTTCTTTGTCATTAGTACCTTTGAATCTGCTTTTGTCACTTAGCCATACTTTTGTTTTTCCTACCGCTATGCTGATTACCAACTGCCTGGATTTAGACTCTGTTTGCTCCTTCTCTCATTGTTTTTTGTTTTGTGTTGTTTTGCCCACTTGTTTTGATGCATATCTACTGTTTTGTCTGATTGTCATTTTATAGGCACTAGTTCGGTGTTCTCTATATGTGCCTGAACTACTCTTATTTCTGAACTCAAATATCTGCTTGCACTGTACCAAACGTGTCTCTGTTTCCTAAGCCTTTCTTCTCACTACACATGGTAGTCTAGCAACATTAATGCCCTACCGTGGGAATATGGCTGAAGATCTTGACTAGGGGACTTATGAACCCATGCAGCCGTGCCCAAATCCTACCAAACTGACCTTACTTTCTTGAAGACGGAATTGTAGTATGGTCGAGCTCATGCTTTTTGTAGTAGGCCATCCAAATTCGATTGACTGGCTAAAAAAGATTGTTAGTGGAGGCTGGAAGAAACATTTTGGCTGATGATAGATGAATAGAGCTTGGAACAATCAAAAGGAAAAGCAGAAAGTCTATACCTATTCATAAGAAAAAGTTAGTATGTTTACCGAACATTATGAAAGAATTATGACATTTTCAAAGTTTTAAAATTTTATTTTGTAGGGACGGGGTCTCATTGTGTTGCCCACGCTGGTCTGTTTCTTGAGGATTTACTATAGACTGGGCTGTATTCAAAGCATTGGGGATACAGGCATGAATGAGCCCCCATTGTCCTGAACTTACCATTCAGTCTGGGCAGTGAAAGAAGAGGGATGTTGGGAGAACCTTACAAAGATGAAATGTAAGCTAACTGGAGAAATCCCCTAACTTTCAGTCAGACTGAAAGGGAACAGGCAGTAACTGTGGGTAGCCCTCTTGGGCAGGGTGATTTTCCACATGTGCCAGTCAGGGGCCAGAACATTAAGATCCTTATGTTCCAACTAAGGAATTTTGATTTTATTTTAAAGACAAAGGGGAGCCACTGACTGTTCATGAGGAACAAGATTACAAATTCAGGTCTCTTCACCTCTCATTAAGTCTTGGTTTGCCTGTGGAAAAAATAAATAGACCCCAGTGATCTCTGGAAGATTCTCTTCCAGCTTTCGAATGCTGTCATTCTCAAGTGATAAAAATGAAGCATCACAATTGAGTGAACTGCTGGTAGTGATAGCTCAGAAACTAAAACCAGCTTGATGGAAATCTGAGCATCACCGGCTATATCAATAACTTCAGTGACCCTCCTTTCCACTCCTTTCTGTAATAAGTGCATGCAGTAAAGTACAGCCAGTTCAGACAACTTGATAACAAATTTGCTATAACATTCTTATCTTTTTCCTTTTCTCAAGTATGAATGAGTACTATGTATATATTTCTTAAACTTCAGTTGCTAAAGTTTTTACTGTGAATATTAAGACTATATCAAAGTTATTTAAATGGATAAATTTCCAATTGTTCTCTAAACAAAACAAGATTTGTGGAAGTTTTGACTCTATGAACCCTGATTATTTAATGAGGAAAATAAGTAACATACTTCAGATTAGGTTATAGAGGATGCTAGGATGACAGACATTCTAACTTATCCCAAGTTGTTATTACAGACTTTGTTTATTTTTAGAATAAACAATCATGCTGTACCCAGCATGTTCCATGTTTTTGCAATGCTATGACAATTTGTCTGATCAGCACATTTTTTAAAGCCAAGGAAACAGTAAGACAATTATATTTCATTTTAAGTTATAGCCTTTAGGAAGAGAGAGAAGAGGAAAAGAATGTTCGCATTCCTGAACACAAACTTAAATTATTAAATGTATGGTAATAAGTTGCCAAATTAAAGAAACTTATGACAGCAGTCTTCTATGAAAATGTATGTTCTTAAGAAAGATTGTGAACTATTTTTATTATATTTTGATTTGGTGCCAAAGGGGAAATTGTTCTTTAACATAAGCTAAGAAACAGATGTTTGTTGTTTAGTTTTTGTGAGGTTGAGGTGAGAGATAAGGGGTTTAAAGGATAAGTTAATGAATGACATATTTAGGAATTCATATTGAGCATTTTGCTATTAAAGACTTGCTGAAGAGATCAAGGAGAGTTTGGATATTTCATTTCATAACTCCTCACATCCGAAATCATATTCACTAGATCCCCAGTGGCTTTCTCTTACTGAATCTGAGTATCATGCTTCAAAGATGTCTTTATGATAAGCGATGCTTTCCATTTGATAACATTTATTTGAAACTACTTTTTTGGAATTTATGATGTTCAAAGAACACACAGCATATTAATATGTCTGCTTTTATTATTTACTGGATCTCTTCCAACACGTTACTTCTCTCAAATTCTGTTTATATCTCCATTCTTAGTAAATTAATTCCCTTTTTGATTTTTAATTTTTGATGAGAAAACATTTGAATTTCTAGTCCAAGCACAAGGAGATTGTATCTTAATTGTTATTGTTGACATTTAGTTTTTAGGAATGATTTATGAGCCCATTGTGATAATAGCTACTTATAAACTAATTCAGTGGTTTTTAATTTTACTTCATTAGCTTTCAAATATTTGCTTTTTAAGAATCCAAGATTTCATTACGATTGCATTTCTTTTGTGTTTGGATTTTACCTTTCCTACATTCCAAGTGATGGATCTTAAAATGAATTTAACTTCCTCCTAGATTCTGTGCAATGTATTTCGTGTTTAAATGTTGTTTTGAAATAATCATTTCTTTATTTGCTTTTTAAAAGGTTTTAAACAGCGCTTATTTCTGTTTGTAAAGACTTGAACTTGTAACAGATGAGTGATATGCTTACTCAAGTTCACTAAATCAAGTGTCTAGGATCATGCATTTTGAAGAAAGGCAACTCCTTATAGAGATTCTAAAAGAATAGAGAAGGTCAAAAGAACATTTGTTTGAGGGAGTGGACATTGTATATACTAAAAAGAATAGCTTCTGTGACCAGGCGCAGAGGCTCATACCTGTAATCTGACACTTTGGGAGGTTGAGGAGGGCAGATCACAAGGTCAGGAGATTGAGACCATCCTGGCCAACACAGTGAAATCCCAACTCTACTAAAAATACAAAAAAGTTAGCTGGGTGTAGTGGTGCATGCCTATAATCCCAGCTACTCGGGAGGCTGAGGCACAAGAATCACTTGAACCTGGGAGGCTGAGGTTGCAGTGAGCAGAGATCACGTCACTGCACTCCAGCCTGGCAACAGACTGAGACTCCGTCTCAAAAAAAAAAAAAAAAAAAAAAAAAAAAGAATAGCAGCTCTGCCATCTTAGCCTATTCTAGTCTATCCTAGCCTAGCATTCTGCCAGCCCCAAACCCGGAAGTAGTCTGGAGAACATTGCTTTTATTAAATCACTGGTTCATTTTTAAAAACCTGCTCCCGATGGTTTTGCATTTTCTGTGAATATCCTGGGTCATGATGGTCTATATCTACATTTGGACTTTAACAATAAATAACTGTGGAATCTTAGACTATTTATCAAGAATTTTAGAGCCTTCATTTCCTCCTTTGTATTATAATGTGGATAATGATAGTATAATTCATAGGATTATTTTAAAAATTAAGTGATTGCTTTGAATGGTGTCTGGCTTATAATAAAATCTCAATTAACATTTCTTTTTGTTGGTCTCAATATTATTAAAACAACTAAAAGAACCTAAGTGGAAGAAAAATCACACATGCTCTAAGTTAAACTTGTTTGATTATTTTTATAAGACCTTAGCTGAGTGTTTGAGGAGTCATCAATCACCTAGGGTCAAGTTGTGAGCTAGCAATTGGAAGATAATATGGGAAACAGGCTCTCTAATATTGTTTTACTAAATGTAATTATTTTTTATTTTCTTATTTAAATTAGTAATGTTTTTCAAAACTTTAGCTAACCATGTATCAGTATGGGCTGTTACATTAAAAATGTAATATCATTGATGTTGTTCGTCATGAAAATATTCAGAATAGCCTGAAAAATGTCATACATCATAGAAGAGAGCCAACATGTCTTTATTTCACAAGGGGTATGGGTAAAAATAAATTTTAATAAGACAGAAATCTCATCTTCTTGTTATAGTAATCCACTTAAATGATTAAATTTCTTTTATCAAATGATTAAATTTCTTTATCAAATGAACATGTAGAGCATTCATCTTACCAAGTTGCAATTTTTTCCAGAGGAGATAACATTTAGAATTTCATTAAGATTGAAGATCAAAACCACCAATTATTAAAATAACAAGGTAATTATTAATACTCTATATCCAAATAAAGACATAAAGGAAGAAAAACATCATATGAAAAATTAGTGACAGTCCGAAATAATTAGCTACCAATGGCCCCAGGACTTTATAGCACATATAATACGAAATATTCCCTCCCCTACTTTTCTGTTGCTACATGGCAGAAAACTATGTGAGTCTGTATTTATGACTGGTTGAATTGTTTTGATGAATATTTTATTTAAGTAATTGCTATGACCACTGAATTCAATGATATCACTGTTACATCGAGATATTAATCTTTATGCCATGTTTTACAGAAAATTGTATTATTTTCCACATCCAGAGTACTCTGACTCCCTTTACTACTCATTGTTAGAGAATTATAATATAAATAAACTCTATAAAGAGCAACTATTTTCTTTATTCTATTGATCTTACTCTTATTGAGGTCAAAATAGAATACAGAGACAAATCTCTAAATTTAACATTTTATTTGTGAATCACAGAATTGCAATTTGGGGCACACATACAGATCAGGCAGTCATCAGCATGTCTAAAGAACAAAGAAAATGTTGGGGTATTTATTTTAAAGAAATGTTACATATCCTTTTGAAAGAAATCTCTCTGGCACTAGAAAAGCTTTTGGAAGCTGGCATATCTCTAACTGGTGAGTGACAGTGGTAGGTAAAACTAGTCTTAGTTATAGCAGGTATTTCAGCAGATACTAAGTGAAACTGGGCTTCGGGTTACAGCAGGTAGTTTCAGCAGCTGGGCTTGTGGAGAAGTCAATTCTTGGAGCAGTGCTATGTGCCCTGGGTGCTTTTTTTCCTCTGGCCTTTAGACTTTGATTTAGGTGAGTATGACAAGAATGACCCAATTTGTATAATCAGCATTCACCCTCTTCTCCCCTTGTAATTGCTTCAATATTCATGTCGATAAAACTGAAACATCTTATCTTGAGTCTCTGGTTTCATATCCTTCAGTGTTTCAATCCACTTATTGCCTCACTCATGATGGGATATGTCAGCACTTTGTCTTCCTTAAGTACTGACTATGAAAATATCAGACACCTAGCTTTGACTCTATTTTCCTTCTCTTCATTCTTTCTATCTCACTTTGTCCCCTGGATTGTTACTTCTTGGTGTGGAGTCACAGATCCTATCTAGGCAAGAGGGAGTGAGTTAGACAAAGGCATGAACACTAGGAGGGCACTTTAAGAGTCTGCCTACCACAATTCCATTGAATATACTTAATTACCCCCTACCCCAGCCATCCTCACACCCAATAGACTTTAAACTATTGGACAGGGATGGTGGGCAGAGACAATGCCTGTTTTGTCTTATGCTGTCTCTCTCGGGCTTCTAGCAAATTGTCTCATTAACTATTTTTGGATTATTAATAAGTGAAACATAAGAAAACTCTAATAAGCCTCCAAAAAGAAGGATAATTTAATCAGGAGCATAAACAATAGATATAGAGCCCTTAGTAACAAGTATCAACTGTAGAGTTGTTAAACCATTTTGCTTTACTCAGCCCTACTTTTCACCTCTGCTCTTCCATTCAGTTTCCAGGGACCGAGCATCTCAGCTTCTGCTTTCCTGCTGGCTTGTTAAGATACTCAGTTTTACTCCCTCCTTCAACTTTGTTCTGGTTATGCTATCTTGATCACAGCTTCTTGCTTGTGGTCAGTGTTCCTGATTATTTATTGAGCAGGACATTGGCTTAACTAGCTGTGCCCCTTTGGATGAGTCACTCAACCACTTTAAGCCATACTTTTCTCAAATCTAAAATGGTAGAAAGAATATCTACCTCAAAGTGGTGTTGTAAAAATTTAAGTGAGAATACAGGAAATGACTATGCCCATTTCCCAGCAAACATGTCTTAGTTTCCATCCATTTTTCCTTAGCAGCTAGATGTGCAGAAGCTTTGCTAAACTATTCCTTTTGAACAGGATTTCTTATTGGCACAGGAGCCAATAATTTGATTCGCCAGGCCATTCTTAAATGTTCTATGGGATTTTATAGCTTCCATACAGGGGTAATAGATCCACAGGTAATGGGGATGGGGAAAGACAATGGATGGCAAACAATTAGAATCTTCGGTGGAGCTGGTTCAAGGTCCAGGTGCTCTCTTTGTGTCCTTTGTACAAAGCTGGCGGAAATATATAATTTCTTAAGTGAATAAATGCAAAAAAGAGATATTAGCATGAAATAATGAGATAGGCAACTTGGAAATTCTTTCTTTGTAAACAATCATATTGTACTTATACTTTTTCAGATATAAAGCACTTTTGTAACTTCAGTAAATAAAACATTAATAAAACCCCAATGTCTTGACCACAGTTACGGAATCAGTTCTGAGTTCTTTTTTCCTAAGAACACATTTTACTCTTCGTGTAGTCCCTTGTTTCTTTCATATTTGGGTTATGAAAATGTCATCACTATTTTCAAGCACAAGTTATTATTTCCTCCTGTGATACTGTTTGAACGCTAGGTCTTTGATGTTTCTGTCAGATATACCCAGCAATCATCATCATAACTCATACTCTTGAATTTTTAATATCACTCCACACACAGAAGTGTCAAGTACCCAGTTCTTTAGTGAATGCACAAAAAATGAAAGAAAAGTTTGTTAAATAAGAAGAAAGATTGAAATACTGAAATATTCCTCCTGATTTTTGTTTTGATCCCATTGAAAATAAATGGGAAATACATGTTGCTATTTTTTTCATTGCTCTGTCTCACAGCCACTGTTTGCATCAGATTTTTAAAAAAGAAAATGCCAAGCAGTACATTTTGAATCAGTTTCCACAGAAAACATTATGTGCATAAAATTTCATATATTATCTTTGATATGTAAATATAGGAGAAATAAGTTTCTTTGGTAAATTTTAGCATTTCTTCTTTTCAAAAAATAAAACATAAAATAATAGTCAATGGCCCTATGGTTGTAAACTATGGTGAATGCATCTGATTCATTTATGCTAGAACTCCTTCCTTATTTCCTCCTTTTTATGCAAACATTATCTTACCAGCCTTAATGGGGGAGTCACAATAAGTTCCCCTCAGTACTCAGCACAGGGCCATCCATGCTTGCGGAAAGAATGGGCTTTGAATATACATCATGATAAACATTAGTACATTAAATAAGCAATTACTTTCTAAGATGATTTTGTTTTTCTACACAATTTAACTCATTAATATAGCTCAGTTATCTGTTCAAATTAACTTAAGATAGCTGTCCAATCCTGATTCTGATATTTAATACAAAAACACTTCTTTACAGCTGGGGGGGGTGGCTCACACCTATAATCCCAGCACTTTGGGAGACCAAGGCAGGGGAATCACCTGAGGTCAGGAGTTTAAGGCCAGCCTGGCCAAGATGGTGAAACCCCGTCTCTACTAACAATACAAAAAATCATAATAATAAAATAAAATAGCCAGGTGTGGTGGCGGGCACCTATAATCCCCGCTATTCAGGAGGCTGAGGCAGATAATTGCTTGAACCCAGGAGGCAGAGATTTCAGTGAGCTGAGATCACGCCACTGCACTCCAGCCTGGGTGGCAGAGTGAGACTCTGTCTGAAAACAAACAAACAAACAAACAAAAAACACTTCTTTACAAGACTTTGGTATTCATACTTCAAAATTTTGTCATTAATTTTGCTTGTCTACAGAAATTTGATTTTTTTTTTCTGTAAACCAGATGATATGGGTTAGGTTAGGGTCTAACTGGAATATGAAGGAAGGAGTAGATAACAAGGCCATTTTGAAGAATAAACAACAAAATTAATAACTGATAAGACTCAAAGAGAAGAGGGAAATAACCTAATGGTGTCCAATTCAGGTGTCTAAAACTACCTAACAGAAAGAGTGGAGCTGATGAATAAATATAAAGAACGCTGTGTTTGACATATTGTGTTTTGGGCAGAGGCAGAACTAGAGAATAGGGCTTCTGACTTCTAATCGAAGACATTCTCCTATTACTTGATTAAGATCTTCCATGAACAAACATCACTTTCATTTACTTTAAACTTCCAGAAGACAGATTACTTAATATGCCTATCATTTTGACTAATTCATGAAAATGTAACAAATTCATTAGATGATAGGCTTCTACATTTCCTTCCCCATGCATTAATTTTCAACTGTAAGGTTTAAGATGAATACCAGATATATTCAAGTAGGGAGGGAATCTAACTAATGTTTACAATAAGCTTACCTTGACAGGCACTGTGCTAGAAACTTCACACTTTGTTTAACCATAGGCCTATGAAGTTATAGATGAATAAACTGGTGCCCAGCTCTCTACTGGTAGAAAGTTGTGGGATTGAGATTCAAGTCTCAGGTCCAGTAAAATCTTCCTTGTCAGCTCTCAACATGGATAGTTCTAAATGTGTTGAAGCTGCTAGAGGAAATAAAAAATAAAGGCAGCCTGGAATGGTTGCTCACACCTGTATTCCCAGCACTTTGGGAAGCCGAGGTCAGTGGATCACTTGAGGTCAGGTGGTCGAGACCAGCCTGGCCAACATGATGAAAACCCGTCTCTACTAAAAATACAAGAATTAGCTGCGTGTGGTGGTGTGCGCCACCACTCGGGAGGCTGAGGCAGGAGAATCACTTTAACCAGGGAGGCGGAGGTTGCAGTGAGCCAAGATGGCACCACTGCACTCCAGCCTGAGTGACAGAGCAAGACTCTGTCTCAAAAATAAAAATAAAGGCAATATTCATTTTTCCTCCCGAGCATACAATACTATCTTTACTATCACCAATGTTTCCTAAATTCTAGTTAAACTAGGTACTACTAACTTAAGCACTTAGAGTGATGAAATCATATCTCATTAGGTGTCACCTGGAGGGAAGTTAATCTGCCATCACCAGTATCTAACCCCCCTCTACTAACGGGGTCACTAGTATTATTTTCATTGGTTGGGTGCCATCTGATCCAATGCATCACCAATCAAATCACCTCAAGGCTAACATAAATTGTGTTTTCTCTAAATAAAAACCAACAAAAATATCTTGCCCTAGCTTAAGCTAAGAGTGAGGCTTCCTGATAAGTAGGTCATCCAGACTCTAGGGATATGTTTTCCCCATGTTGGATGGAAAGATCTACCCTGTAGTGGAGATGTGAGGTATTTGACAAGTGTAATAGATGATTCAAGTCTGACACTAGCAAATTCATTAATACTATGATGAGACTGCAGTCACAGATGGAGAGATCAATCCTTCCCCCAGGCACTGTCTAACACTGCTTTAAAGGGTAGAAAGCGAAAATGACCTACCTGGTTGTGTCTAAAGTTTGCTTAGGGCAGTCACATTTCACTTTAAGAAGTACCTGTAGAGCTCTCATATACCAGGTTCCATGTTAGGACCTAGGCATGCAAAGAGAAACAGAACAAGGCCCTGCTCATAAGAGTTTCCAGCGACCTAGAGAAACTGGAAAGAAAATAGTCTGGCCCTTTTTGTCAACAAGTCACATGTGCATCTATAATAGGAGTGAGAACTTGACGAAAAAATAAGAAGAAAGGCTCAGTCATATGTCAGTAAATTTCCCGGGAAAGCAGAAGTATACAAAGTTGTATGTTTGCAATAGTATAAATATATATAGCATAAAATAGTATAAATATACAAACCTTGTATATTTGAATAGTACATTATTTCCCAAGTATTTTTGTTATGATTACCAAAGAGAAAAAACCTGGAACTATTTAGGTTGGTGCAAAAGTAATTGTGGTTTTTGCCATGGAAAGTAATGACAAAAACCACAATTACTTTCGCACCAACATGTAATATTTCTGGGTAGAGAATGATAGATTATTGGTTTACAAAGACCAGTCTGAATAGAAAAGGATGGAAAGCAAGGTAAAGTTTGCTGCAGTCTAAAGCTACAAGTACACATTGCTTCAGTTCATGCTGTGTTCCAACAATCCATGGAAGTCCTCAGAACCCAAATCACTGAAGCTGTAAGTAGAGTCTAGAATACTAATGGCTCTGGGAGGAAATATCCAAAGTCACTGCTGATTCAGCTAGAGAAAATACACTGGAGGGAGGAGCCAAGATGGCCGAATAGGAACAGCTCCGGTCTACAGCTCCCAGCATGAGCAACGCAGAAGACGGGTGATTTCTGCATTTCCATCTGAGGTACCGGGTTCATCTCACTAGGGAGTGCCAGACAGTGGGCGCAGGCCAGTGGGTGCACGCACCGTGCGCGAGCCGAAACAGGGCGAGGCATTGCCTCACCTGGGAAGCGCAAGGGGTCAGGGAGTTCCCTTTCCGAGTCAAAGAAAGGGGTGACGGACGCACCTGGAAAATCGGGTCACTCCCACCCGAATACTGCGCTTTTCTGATTGACTTAAAAAACGGCGCACCACGAGATTATATCCCACACCTGGCTCGGAGGGTCCTACGCCCATGGAATCTCGCTGATTGCTAGCACAGCAGTCTGAGATCAAACTGCAAGGTGGCAGCGAGGCTGGGGGAGGGGCGCCCGCCATTGCCCAGGCTTGATTAGGTAAACAAAGCAGCCAGGAAGCTCAAACTGGGTGGAGCCCACCACAGCTCAAGGAGGCCTGCCTGCCTCTGTAGGCTCCACCTCTGGGGGCAGGGCACAGACAAACAAAAAGACAGCAGTAACCTCTGCAGACTTAAATGTCCCTGTCTGACAGCTTTGAAGAGAGCAGTGGCTCTCCCAGCACGCAGCTGGAGATCTGAGAACTGGCAGACTGCCTCCTCAAGTGGGTTCCTGACCCCTGACCCCCGAGCAGCCTAACTGGGAGGCACCCCCCAGCAGGAGCACACTGACACCTCACACGGCAGGGTATTCCAACAGACCCTGCAGCTGAGGGTCCTGTCTGTTAGAAGGAAAACTAACAAGCAGAAAGGACATCCACACCAAAAACCCATCTGTACATCACCATCATCAAAGACCAAAAGTAGATAAAACCACAAAGATGGGGAAAAAACAGAACAGAAAAACTGGAAACTCTAAAACGCAGAGCGTCTCTCCTCCTCCAAAGGAACGCAGTTCTTCACCAGCAACGGAACAAAGCTGGATGGAGAATGACTTTGACGAGCTGAGAGAAGAAGGCTTCAGACGATCAAATTACTCTGAGCTATGGGAGGACATTCAAACCAAAGGCAAAGAAGTTGAAAACTTCGAAAAAAATTTAGAAGAATGTATAACTAGAATAACCAATACAGAGAAGTGCTTAAAGGAGCTGATGGAGCTGAAAACCAAGGCTCGAGAACTACATGAAGAATGCAGAAGCCTCAGGAACCGGTGCGATCAACTGGAAGAAAGGGTATCAGCGATGGAAGATGAAATGAATGAAATGAAATGAGAAGGGAAGTTTAGAGAAAAACGAATAAAAAGAAATGAGCAAAGCCTCCAAGAAATATGGGACTATGTGAAAAGACCAAATCTACGTCTGATTGGTGTACCTGAAAGTGATGGGGAGAATGGAACCAAGTTGGAAAACACTCTGCAGGATATTATCCAGGAGAACTTCCCCAATCTAGCAAGGCAGGCCAACGTTCAGATTCAGGAAATACAGAGAACGCCACAAAGATACTCCTCGAGAAGAGCAACTCCAAGACACATAATTGTCAGATTCACCAAAGTTGAAATGAAGGAAAAAATGTTAAGGGCAGCCAGAGAGAAAGGTCGGGTTACCGTCAAAGGGAAGCCCATCAGACTAACAGCGGATCTCTCGGCAGAAACCCTACAAGCCAGAAGAGAGTGGGGGCCAATATTCAACATTCTTAAAGAAAACAATTTTCAACCCAGAATTTCATACCCAGCCAAACTAAGCTTCATAAGTGAAGGAGAAATAAAATACTTTACAGACAAGCAAATGCTGAGAGATTTTGTCACCACCAGGCCTGCCCTAAAAGAGCTCCTGAAGGAAGCGCTAAACATGGAAAGGAACAACCGGTACCAGCCGCTGCAAAATCATGCCAAAATGTAAAGACCATCAAGACTAGGAAGAAACTGCATCAACTAACGTGCAAAATCACCAGCTAACATCATAATGACAGGATCAAATTCACACATAACAATATTAACTTTAAATGTAAATGGACTAAATTCTCCAATTAAAAGACACAGACTGGCAAATTGGATAAAGAGTCAAGACCCATCAGTGTGCTGTATTCAGGAAGCCCATCTCACGTGCAGAGACACACATAGGCTCAAAATAAAAGGATGGAGGAAGATCTACCAAGCAAATGGAAAACAAAAAAAGGCAGGGGTTGCAATCCTAGTCTCTGATAAAACAGACTTTAAACCAACAAAGATCAAAAGGGACAAAGAAGGCCATTACATAATGGTAAAGGGATCAATTCAACAAGAAGAGCTAACTATCCTAAATATATATGCACCCAATACAGGAGCACCCAGATTCATAAAGCAAGTCCTGAGTGACCTACAAAGAGACTTAGACTCCCACACATTAATAATGGGAGACTTTAACACCCCACTGTCAACATTAGACAGATCAACGAGACAGAAAGTCAACAAGGATACCCAGGAATTGAACTCAGCTCTGCACCAAGCGGACCTAATAGACATCTACAGAACTCTCCAACCCAAATCAACAGAATATACATTTTTTTCAGCACCACACCACACCTATTCCAAAATTGACCACATACTTGGAAGTAAAGCTCTCCTCAGCAAATGTAAAAGAACAGAAATTATAACAAACTATCTCTCAGACCACAGTGCAATCAAACTAGAACTCAGGATTAAGAATCTCACTCAAAACCGCTCAACTACATGGAAACTGAACAACCTGCTCCTGAATGACTACTGGGTACATAACGAAATGAAGGCAGAAATAAAGATGTTCTTTGAAACCAACGAGAACAAAGACACAACATACCAGAATCTCTGGGACACATTCAAAGCAGTGTGTAGAGGGAAATTTATAGCACTAAATGCCCACAAGAGAAAGCAGGAAAGATCCAAAATTGACACCCTAACATCACAATTAAAAGAACTAGAAAAGCAAGAGCAAACATATTCAAAAGCTAGCAGAAGGCAAGAAATAACTAAAATCAGAGCAGAACTGAAGGAAATAGAGACACAAAAAACCCTTCAAAAAAATCAATGAATCCAGGAGCTGGTTTTTTGAAAGGATCAACAAAATTGATAGACCGCTAGCAAGACTAATAAAGAAAAAAAGAGAGAAGAATCAAATAGACACAATAAAAAATGATAAAGGGGATATCACCACCGATCCCACAGAAATACAAACTACCATCAGAGAATACTACAAACACCTCTACGCAAATAAACTAGAAAATCTAGAAGAAATGGATAAATTCCTCGACAGATACACTCTCCCAAGACTAAACCAGGAAGAAGTTGAATCTCTGAATAGACCAATAACAGGAGCTGAAATTGTGGCAATAATCAATAGTTTACCAACCAAAAAGAGTCCAGGACCAGATGGATTCACAGCCGAATTCTACCAGAGGTACAAGGAGGAACTGGTACCATTCCTTCTGAAACTATTCCAATCAATAGAAAAAGAGGGAATCCTCCCTAACTCATTTTATGAGGCCAGCATCATTCTGATACCAAAGCCGGGCAGAGACACAACCAAAAAAGAGAATTTTAGACCAATATCCTTGATGAACATTGATGCAAAAATCTTCAATAAAATACTGGCAAACCGAATCCAGCAGCACATCAAAAAGCTTATCCACCATGATCAAGTGGGCTTCATCCCTGGGATGCAAGGCTGGTTCAATATACGCAAATCAATAAATGTAATCCAGCATATAAACAGAGCCAAAGACAAAAACCACATGATTATCTCAATAGATGCCGAAAAAGCCTTTGACAAAATTCAACAACCCTTCATGCTAAAAACTCTCAATAAATTAGGTATTGATGGGATGTATTTCAAAATAATAAGAGCTATCTATGACAAACCCACAGCCAATATCATACTGAATGGGCAAAAACTGGAAGCATTCCCTTTGAAAACTGGCACAAGACAGGGATGCCCTCTCTCACCACTCCTATTCAACTTAGTGTTGGAAGTTCTGGCCAGGGCAGTTAGGCAAGAGAAGGAAATAAAGGGTACCCAATTAGGAAAAGAGGAAGTCAAATTGTCCCTGTTTGCAGATGACATGATTCTATATCTAGAAAACCCCATTGTCTCAGCCCAAAATCTCCTTAAGCTGATAAGCAACTTCAGCAAAGTCTCAGGATACAAAATCAATGTACAAAAATCACAAGCATTCTTATACACCAACAACAGACAAACAGAGAGCCAAATCATGAGTGAACTCCCATTCACAATTGCTTCAAAGAGAATAAAATACCTAGGAATCCAACTTACAAGGGATGTGAAGGACCTCTTCAAGGAGAACTACAAACCACTGCTCAAGGAAATAAAAGAGGATACAAACAAATGGAAGAACATTCCATGCTCATGGGTAGGAAGAATCAATATCGTGAAAATGGCCATACTGCCCAAGGTAATTTACAGATTCAATGCCATCCCCATCAAGCTACTAATGACTTTCTTCACAGAATTGGAAAAAACTACTTTAAAGTTCATATGGAACCAAAAAAGAGCCTGCATCACCAAGTCAATCCTAAGCCAAAAGAACAAAGCTGGAGGCATCACACTACCTGACTTCAAACTATACTACAAGCCTACAGTAACCAAAACAGCATGGTACTGGTACCAAAACAGAGATATAGATCAATGGAACAGAACAGAGCCCTCATAAATAATGCCGCATACCTACAACTATCTGATCTTTGACAAACCTGAGAAAAACAAGCAATGGGGAAAGGATTCCCTATTTAATAAATGGTGCTGGGAAAACTGGCTAGCCATATGTAGGAAGCTGAAACTGGATCCCTTCCTTACACCTTATACAAAAATCAATTCAAGATGGATTAAAGATTTAAACGTTAGACCTAAAACCATAAAAACCCTAGAAGAAAACCTAGGCATGGCCATTCAGGACATAGGCATGGGCAAGGACTTCATGTGCAAAACACCAAAAGCAATGGCAACCAAAGCCAAAATTGACAAATGGGATCTAATTAAACTAAAGAGCTTCTGCACAGCCAAAGAAACTACCATCAGAGTGAACAGGCAACCTACAAAATGGGAGACAATTTTTGCAACCTACTCATCTGACAAAGGGCTAACATCCAGAATCTACAATGAACTCAAACAAATTTACAAGAAAAAAACAAACAACCCCATCAAAAAGTGGGTGAAGGACATGAACAGACACTTCTCAAAAGAAGACATTTATGCAGCCAAAAAACACATGAAAAAATGCTCATCATCACTGGCCATCAGAGAAATGCAAATCAAAACCACAATGAGATACCATCTCACACCAGTTAGAATGGCGATCATTAAAAAGTCAGGAAACAACAGGTGCTGGAGAGGATGTGGAGAAACAGGAACACTTTTACACTGTTGGTGGGACTGTAAACTAGTTCATCCATTGTGGAAGTCAGTGTGGCGATTCCTCAGGGATCTAGAACTAGAAATACCATTTGACCCAGCCATCCCATTACTGGGTATATACCCAAATGACTATAAATCATGCTGCTATAAAGACACATGCACACGTATGTTTATTGCGGCATTATTCACAATAGCAAAGACTTGGAACCAACCCAAATGTCCAACAATGATAGACTGGATTAAGAAAATGTGGCACATATACACCATGGAATACTATGCAGCCATAAAAAATGATGAGTTCATGTCCTTTGTAGGGACATGGATGAAATTGGAAATCATCATTCTCAGTAAACTATCACAAGAACAAAAAACCAAACACCGCATATTCTCACTCATAGGTGGGAATTGAACAATGAGATCACATGGACACAGGAAGGGGAATATCACACTCTGGGGACTGTGGTGGGGTGGGGGGAGTGGGGAGGGATAGCACTGGGAGATATACCTAATGCTAGATGACGAGTTAGTGGGTGCAGCGCACCAGCATGGCACATGTATACATATGTAACTAACCTGCACAATGTGCACATATACCCTAAAACTTAAAGTATAATAAAAAAAAAAAAAAAGAAAATACACTGGTTGTCCCCAAAGCGGAGGGTGTCCCCAAGTTGGAGGTTCTCCAAAATACAAAATGTTTCCTGCGACAAAGGAGAACAGAAGAAAGCAGCTATCTCAGAAGGGGCTCTGGACCAGGCACGATGACTCACGCCTGTAATCCCAGCACTTTGGGAGGCCGAGGCGGGTGGATCACCTGAGGTCAGGAGTTCGAGAGCAGCCTGGCCAGTATGACATAGCTCCATCTCTACTAAAAATACAAAAAGTTAGCTGGGCCTAGTGGTGCATGCCTGTAATCCCAGCTACTCGGGAGGCTGAGGCAGGAGAATGGCTTGAACCCAGGAAATGGAGGTTGCAGTGAGCCAAGATCATGCCACTGCACTCCAGCCTGGATGACATAGCATGACTCCATCTCCAAAAAACAAAAAAAAAAAAAAAGAAAGAAAGAAAAAGGGACTATGGAGTACAAAGGCCCATGTGTCATTTCCCATAATATTTTTCATATTTTTGTTTTATTTTTTACTGTGTATATTTAAGGTCTATAACATGATGTATGGGATACATAGAAGCAGTAAAAGGTCGCTGTAGTGAAGCAGATTAAGATATCCACCTTCATGCAGTTACCCATTTTTTTTCTAGCAAGAACAGGGAAAATCTACTCACTTAGCTTGAATCCCAAATATAATACAATTGTACTACCCATAGTCCTCATGCTGTACATTGGAGTTCTGGACTTGTTCATCCTGCATATCTGCTACTTTGTGTCCTCTGACCTACCTGTCTGCATTTTCTTCCCTCACACCTGTCTTTGGTAACCACTCTTTTGTTCTCTATCTCTGTATATTTGAATTTTTTTTAGATTTCATACATAAGTGAGATCATGCAATTTTTCCATGTCTGGCTTTTTTCTTTCTTTTTTTCTTATTAATTTTTTAGAGACAAAGTCTCACTATGTTGTCCAGGCTGGAGTGTGATGGCTATTCATAGGTGCTATCACAGCACACTGCAGCCTTAAACTCCCAGGCTCAAGTGATCCTCCCACCTCAGCCTCCCACGTAGCTGGGACTACAAGTGTGTACCACCACACCTGGCTCTGGCTTATTTTACTTAGCATAAGGTACTCCAGGCTCATCCATGTTGTGGTAAATGGCAAGACCTTATTATTTTTTAGGGCTAAATAATATTTCTCTCTCTCTCTCCCTGTCTCTCTCTGTTTCTCTGTCTCTTTCTCTGTGTGTGTGTGTGTGTGTGTCCATCATATTTTCTTTTCCACTCATCTGTTGATGGACACTTAGGTTGATCCCAAATCTTCACAATTTTTTGAATATGCTGCAGTGAACAAAGGAGTGCAGATATCTTTACAAGGTGCTGATTTCATTTCCTTTGGGTATATGTCCAGAGAAGGAATTGCTAGGTCTTATGGTAGCTCTATTTTTAATTTCTAGAAATTTGATAGTTTTAAAGAAAAGTTGCATATATGAATGTTATCAGGTCTTGAATTTAAATGAGCAAATAATTTTATTTTCTTTGTTTTTGTCTATCTGAATTTAATTCTATCCTGAACCCACATCTGTTTCTTGAAGGAAATTTGGTCTTGTAACTTCTAGGTAAGCTTAGTGACTTTTGTTGTTTTTCTCAGTAAATTTGGAGTTTAAGTTCTGTTGGTTCAGCATTCTTTTCCTTTCCTCCACAGAATGACATTGCAAAGGTAGATGATATACAGAACACTCAGGCATAGGTAAGGGAGAGGCTTCGGACCCACAGCCATCTCCTGGAGTACATTGAGATGTGCTTGTACCCTTTTGGTCAACTGCTCTCATTACCATTACATTCTCCAAGATGTGTATGAAACTGAAATGGCCTCATGCCTTTTATCCCAACCATCCCAAAGCTCCATTGGAGACTTGGGGTCTGTCAGTCACTTCTATACCTATCCCTGGGGGAGCAGGAATTTCAAAATAGTCTCTTGCGTCTTTAGAGGATATAGTATGAACCTGGGTTTTAAATGGAGGTGCTATCACACACAGGTCCATTCTCCTAACATTCCTACACAAAGATTATGGCACCAATTTGGGGCATGAAGAAATTCTTTACAAACCTTTGGACTGCCCCTTAGGGCTGAGGGAACATGGCTCAGGCCATTTCCATCATCAGATCTTCTCAAACATATGTGGAGTTCCCACTGACCTCTCAACCCTCCCAGCCTCATCCCTTGGATTTTATCTAGTGGTATGGAGTACAACCTGGCTAAGTATTGGGAACCTGAATCAGGTATGAATCTCATCCTTTTCTGAGGCTTCTCCTTCCCCAGCAGGAGCAAATTTGGTTTAATTAATGGGTTAGATCCATTGTTTCTTCAGTTTTCTTTTATATGTGCTGTTTCTGGCATAAATTTTATGCTGGGCTATATGTAACACATGATTTGAGATCAAACATGTCTACTGCAAATCAAAAGTCTTGGCTTTTAGAGAGAATTGTCTCTGCTATAAGTTTCAGAAGTTTGTTTTGGAACTCAAAGCTAAAAATTAGAATTTTTGTTCTATATGCACCGTTTGGTGTTCTCCACTTAACAAATGATCCTGAAGCAATAAAATGTATTGATTCACTGTGGAGAAGAAGAAAGTTACGGGAGACCATTTATAAATGATGAGCAAAATTCTTAATACATTTAAAGTTTTATCACCTCAAACATTTTCCAAACAATAGGATATGAGTAGTTGTCTCTGAATCCATACAGTTTTCAAATCAGAGGAATGACAACATGAGATTTAATATAACATAGAAAAACAGGGACAGATTTAAAACTCATCAGGTGTTTGTTTATTTGTTTTTTGGGTTCGTTTAGAGACAGGGTCTGGCTCCGTCACCCAGGCCGGAGTGCAGTGGCGTGATCATAGATCACTGTAATCTTGAGTTCCTGGACTCAAGTGATTCTTCCACCCTAGTCTCCCAAGTAGGTGGGACTAAAGGTGTGTGCCACCATGCCTTGCTATTTTTTTGTTTTTTAAGAGACAGATCTTCCTATGTTGTGGAGGCCAGTCTCAAACTCCTGCCTTCAAGCAATCCTCCTGTCTTGGCCTCTCAATTGATGATAAGTTTTCTAATCAGATTTAGTGCTTTTCTGGAAAAATCATTAGACAACAATTCTGAAGCTAAATATTAAGTGTGTGCCTAAAAATTTAGCAAACTTAATGGAAGAGGTCCTCAGAACTCTTTTAAGATCAAACAGTTCAATACTAAAAGTAAAAATTTGAATGGAAAAAGAGGGTGTGGGGAAACCAAATTACCTATCCTGTATGCATATTGGAGGTGGAATGAACAGACCAGGGGCATCATGCAAAATTCTCAGGCGCCAAGTAGAGTGAATAAGTGTGTGGTAATTATTCACAGTGTCAATGCATACAACTGAAAATAGGATCAGTACTTAAATGCTGGATATAATATATTATCAGGTCAAGACTCATGACCTGATAAAGACCATCTGTATGTCCTTAAATGTCCTTAAATGCTAGATGTAAGCTTGGATATTTGTTTATGTTTATGTGAATGACATTCCTTCTTTCTTCCTGGGTTTTTGTCCCTCTTTTATTTTGTTCTGTTTATGGAGATGAAGTTCTGCATTAGATAGGATCAGTGAAATATAAACATAGATTTGTGAGCGTATAAATGAGACTACCCAAAACATTTCCCCTCAAATTAAGACTTTATATTTTGAGACACACTGGAATCAGTGACGTCAGTTTGGAAGCTCAGATTTTCCTAGCAACAAATAGTGTGGCTTAGACAGAACGTCAGTTTCAACAGTGAAATTCATTGATAGGTTCTTTGAATTTAACTCAGTGGCTCAAGTTCAGTTTGGAGTAATGCCGGAGGCATGTCTTTGCCCTAAGAATAGTCTATTTCCTCACACCTGAAACATATTCTTATCTCCTTTCCTTTTTTTCTCCAGACTGTTCAAAATCTGTCCTTTAGCTGCAAGTCTAAACAACAACCAATTCTAGAATATAGTTTTCTCTAAACGTTCATTCTGTTGAAATATTTTAGCGAGTTAACACTTAAAATAAAACTTGCTCTGAGGCTTTGAAAAGTGAAAGTGGACGTCTGTACAGATAAAGTATCAAGTTTATTACTATCATGTAAAATTTTACAGTCAGTGATTATTTCCTTTGGAATAAGATTTATGTACTTCACCTCTGAGGCAAGACCTCATATTCAGCTGTATTTCAAATTCTGTTTTTCACATAGATGCACATTTCAATATGTTAATATGTAATTTAGGAAACAATTTGGTTGTCTCTAATAGGATTATAAAATTCTCTCTTTCATGTACACAATGCAGGTTGAGAATTTTCTCAGTGGACATGAATTTTTTTAAATCATTACCAGAAAAGTCTCAAGTACTTTATGCCTGTCTTCTAAATCAATTCTTAATAATTTTCCAAGTGAAAATCCATTATGATTAGCTTGACATCTCATACAAACAACTGTGTCAAAATTTTTTTCTCCCAGTTTACCCCCACTGATGTAGTTCAGTTATATGAACTGCTGTTTATATTAGATTTGAGAAGGGTTCTGACTTGTGTTCTAACCATACCAAAAAGAAAATTAGAACTTTTTATAATTATGACTTTATGGTTTAGTTCCAGTTTGTTTATTTCTTATTTTTTATTTTTATAACTTCACCTTTTATTTTAGATTCAGAGGGTACCTATGCAGGCTTATTACCTGGGTATATTGTGTGATGCTGAGGTTTGGGGTCCTACTGATCCCATCACCTAGGTACTGAGCACAGTACCAGTAGTTTTTCAATTCTCAATCCCCTCCCTCTCTCCTCGCTTTAGTAGTCCGCAGTGTCTGTTGTTACCATCCTTATGTCCACGTTCCCATCTTTATGTCCATGTTTAGTTCCTACTTATCAGTGAGAACCTGCGATATTTGGTTTTCTGTTGCTGCATTAATTTGCTTAGGATAATGGCTTCTAGTTGCATCCATGTTGCTGAAAAGGACACGCTTTCATTCCTTATTATGACTGTATAGTATTCCATTGTGTATATGTACCATATTTGTTTTATCCAACCCACCATTAATGGGCACCTCGGCTGATTCCATGTCTGTGCTATTGTGAGTAGCTGCAATGAACATACAAGTGCGTGTGTCTTTTTGGTAAAATAATTTATTTTATTTTGGATATGTACCCAGTAATGAGATTGCTGGGTTGAATGGTATTTGTAAATTCTTTGAGAAATATCCAAACTGCTTTCCACATAGCTGAAAAAAATTACATTCCCACCAACAGCGTATAACTGTTCTCTTTTCTCCACAGGCTCACCGACATTGGTTGTTTTTTGACCTTTTCTCTCTTTTTTCTTTTTTTTTTTTTTTTTTTTTTTTGAGATGGAGTTTCAGTCTTGTTGCCCAGGATGGAGCGCAATGGTGCAATCTCAGCTCACTGCAATCTCCGCCTCCTGGGTTCAAGTGATTCCCCTGCCTCAGCCTCCTTAGCTGGGATTACAGGCATGCACCATCACGCCCAGCTAATTTTGTATTTTTAGTAGAGACATGGTTTCACCATGTTGGCCAGGCTGGTTTCAAACTCCTGACCTCAGGTGATCCACCTGACTTGGCCTCCCAAAGTGCTGGGATTACAGGTGTGAGCCATAATGCCCGGCCATTTTTTTAACCTTTTCATAGTAGCCATCCTGACTGGTGTGAGGTGGTGTATCATTGTGGGTTTGATTTGCATCTTTCTGAGTGATGTTGAGCATTTTTCATATGTTTGTTGACCAATTGTATGTCTTCTTTTGAGAAGCATCTGTTCATGTATTTTGCCCATATTTTAGTGGGCAAAATATTTAGTTCAATTGCTTAAGTTCATTTCTTTTGAGAAGCATCTGTTCATGTATTTTGCCCATATTTTAGTGGGCAAAATATTTAGTTCAATTGCTTAAGTTCCCTATAGATTCTGGATATTAGAACTTTGTCAGATGCATAGTTTGTAAATATTTCCTCCCATTCTATAGGTTGTATGTTTACTCTGTTGATAGTTTCTTTTGCAGTGAAGAAGCTCTTTAGTTTAATTAGGTCTCACTTGTCTATTTTTGTTTTTCTCACAATTGCTTTTGAGGACTCAGTCATAAATTCTTTGCCAAAGCTGATATCCAGAATGGTATTTCCTAGGTTTTCTTCTAAGACTTTTATAGTTTTAGGTATTATATTTAAGCTTTTAATCCATCTCGAGTTAATTTTTCTATATGGTAAAAGGTAGGGGTCCAGTTTTATTCTTCTGCATATTGACAGCCAGTTATCCCAACACCATTTATTGAGTAGGGAGTCCTTTTCCGATTGCTTGTTTTGTCTACTTTGTCAAAGATCAGATGGCTGTTATGCAGCTTTATTTCTGGATTCTCTGTCCTGTCCTATTGGTCTATGTGTCTGTTTTTGTACCAGTATCATGCCATTTTGATTACTGTAGCCTTAGAGTATAGTTTGAAGTCAAGTCATGTGATGCCACCAGCTTTGTTATTTCTGCTTAGGATTGCTTTGTCTATTTGGGCTCTTTTTTGGTTCTCTCTATATTTTAGAATAGTTTTTTCTAGTTCTGTGAAAAAATAATGTTGGTAGCTTGATATAGGAATGGTGTTGAATCTGTAGATTGCTTTGAACGGTATAGTCATTTTAACAATATTGATTCCATGAGCAAGGAATGTTTTTCCATTTGTGTCATCTCTGATTTCTTTTGGCAGAGTTTTGTAGTTCTCCTTGTAAAGATCATTCACTTCTTGGTTAGATGTATTCCTAGGTATTTTATTTATTTATTTATTTCCAGCTACTGTAAATGGGATTGTATTATTGATTTTGTTCTCAGCTTGATTGTTATTGATGTATAGAAGTGCTACTGATTTTTTTACATTGATTTTGTGGCCTGAAACTTTATTGAAATTGTTTATCAGTTTCAGGGCCCTTTTGAAAGATTATTTAGGGTGTTCTGGATATAGAAGTGTATCATCAGTTAAGAGAGATAATTTAACTTCTTCTTTTCCTGTCTGAATGATTTTTATTTATTTCTCTTGCCTGATTGCTCTGTCTAGGACTTTCAGTAATATGTTCAACAGCAGTGGTTAAAGTGGGCATCCTTGTATTGTTCCTACCTTAGAAAAAAGGCTTTCAATTTTTCGCTGTTCAATTTGATGTAAGCTGTGGGTTTGTCATCTATGGCCTTTATGTTATTGGGGTGTATTTCTTCTATAACCAATTTGTTGAGAATATTTATTATGAAGGTATGTTGAATTTTATTAAGTGCCTTTTCAGCACGTATTGAAATTATCATAAGGTTTTTGTCCTAGATTGTGTTCATGTGATTATGACATTTACTGATTTGTGTATGTTGATGGCTCAAGCATGTTGGATGCAACATCCTTTCATCCCTGGGATAAATGCTACTTGATCATGGTGAATAATCTTTTTAATGTGTTGTTTGAATTGAGTTTCTAGTATTTTGTTAAGGATTTTAGCAACTGTGTTCATCAGGGATATTGCCCAGTAGTTTTCTTTTTCTGTTGCTATGTCCTTGTCTGCTATTGGTATCAGGGTAATGCTGGCCTCATGGAATGAGTTTGAAAGTATTCCCTCCTCTTAAATATTTGAAATAGTTTGAGTAGAATTGGTATTAGTTCTTCTTTAAGTGTTTGGTAGAATTTATTAGTGAATCCATCACGTCTTTGGATTTTCTTTAATGGGAGGCTTTTTATTATTGCTTCAATCTTCTTACTGTTTCTTCATAGTTCAACCCTGGTAGATCATGTGCATCCAGGAATTTATTAATTTCTTCTAGGTTTTTCAACTTGTTGCATATAGCTGTTTATATAGTCTGTAATTATCCTTTGTATTTCTGTGGTATCAGTTGTAATATTCCCTTTTCAGTTTGTGTTTTTATTTATTTGGGTCTTCTTTTTTCTTAGTCTGGCTAAAAGTTTGCCAATTTTGTTTATCTTTAAAAAAACCACAGCATTTAGTTTTGTTGATCTTTTATATTTGTTTTATTCTCAATTTTATTTATTTCTATTCTGATCTTTATTCTATCCTTCCTTCTACTAATTTTGAGTTTGGTTTGTTCTTGCTTTTCTAGTTCCTTGAGGTGCATCATTAGGTTTTTTGTTTGAAATCTTTCTACTTTCTACTTTTTTGATGTAGGCATTTATTGCCATAAACTTTCCTCTTGCACTGATTTTGCTGTATCCCATAGGTTCAGGTGTGCTATGTTTTAATTTTCATTTGATTCAAGAAATTTTTAAATTTCCTTCTTACATTCTTCATTGACTCACTGGTTGTTCAGGAGCATGTTGCTTAATTTCCATGTATTTGTACAGTTTCCAAAGTTCCTTTTGTAACTCATTTCTAGTTTTATTCCCTTATGATCAGAAAAGATACTTGATATGACTGCAACATTTTAAAAGTTGTTGAGAATTGTTTGTGGCCTAACATATGGTCTATCCTGGCAAATGTTCTAAGTGCTGATGAGAAATATGTGTATGCTAAAGTAGTTGAATGAAATATTCTGTAAGTGTCTGTTAGGTCCATTTGGTAGACTATAGTTTAACTTTGATATTTCTTTGTTGATTTTCTGTGTAGACAATTTATAGGTTCCTTTCGATCTTGGACTGTTACTAAAAAGATGCACTGAGTATAATTATACATAATTTACTTCATACTTATTCAAATACTTTTGGAGATTAAATTTCCAGAAATGAATTTCGTAGGTCAATGGTGTTTATCTTTATAACTTTGGTAGCTATTGCTCATTTATTTTCACAGAGGTGCATCACATTATACTCTCAAAGTAATACATGGGAGTTAGCCCTTACCCACAGTCACACCAATAGAGTACATAATCAGACTTTTGTATTTTTGTCAATCTGAGAGGTGAACAATGGTATCGCAATGTAGTTTTAATTTGTATTTATATTATTAGTAACTGGAGAGATTTTCTTTTTAACTTTTAAGAACTACTTGTTTTTCTTTTCTGTAAAAGGTCTATTCGTATCCTTTGGCCATTTTTCTTAGATTTTTATTTTTGCCTTATTGATCTATATGTACTCTTGTACTAGAAAGATTAACCCTTTTTAATATGAGCTGCAGAGGATTTTTAAAAAATATATTGTTGTTTGATAGGACTTTCTCTTCTGATTCATTGGTCTATAGAGTTGATCCTGAGTTTCTCTAGCTTTATTAATATAATGAGTTATATATTGTTTTTTAGAGATTTCTTAATATTATTTGTTTTCCCAAATGACATTAGAATCAGCTTTTCTTCTTCCCAAATAAAAATCTATTTTTACTGGTGTGTTAGGCTTTTCTCACATTGCTATAAAGAAATACCTGGTACTGGGTGATTTACAAAGAAAAGAGGTTCAATTGGCTCGTGGTTCTGCAGGTTGTACAGGAAGCATGGTGCTGGAATCTGCTTGGCTTTTGTAGAAGTGTCGGGAAACTTACAATCATGGCAGGAGGCAAATGGGGGGCAGGCACCTCACGTGGCAGGAGCAAGAGAGAGCAAGGAATGAGATGCTACACGCTTTTAAACGACCAGAAATCACAAGAACTCACACACTATTGCAAGGACAGTACCAAGAGGGATGGTGCTAAACTATTCATGAGAAATCCATCCCCATGGTCCAATCAACTTCCACCAGGCCCCACCTTCGACATTGGGAATTACATTTCAATATGAGATTTGGGCAGGGACACAATCCACATTATATCAACTGAGATCATATTAAATTTGTGCATCAATTTAAGGATAATTGACATTTTCTTAATATTGAATATTGTTCAAGTATTTTTATTGTTCAGGAATGCAGGTCTTGAACACTTTTTTGGTAATATATCTGTTTGTTGCAATTTAGATTTCAGATATTTATTTCTTATATTAATTTTCCACCAGACTACCATACTAAAGTATCTGAATATTTATATCAAATAAAAAAATTATGTAACTTGAAAGTACAGTAGTAATAATTTACATCTTCTTTCCTATTTTTATATCTGCCAAATCTTGGTATTAACGAAAATTACTTCGGTGTTGCTAAATCAGAGTTTGACTTTCAGGCTGAGGTTGCTGTATTTCATTACATTAAGTATCTTTCTACTATTGTTTTCTTTAGATTTTTTAAAACTTAAGAATAAGAATGTCGTAAATGTCTTTACAGGGTTTAAGGAGATAATCTTATTTTTCCTTTAGCTTTATTAATAAAATGAATTGTATATTCATAAATTTGCTAGTATAGACCCATTTTTGCTCTATGTGAACCCTACTGTTCATAATGTGTTGTTTAATATGCTGTTAGAATCTGTTTGCAGTATTTTATGATGTTTGTATTAATATTTTTAAGACTGAATATGTATGCAATCCTAACCTAGTTTAATATTAATATTATAATAGCATCACAAAAAATGATAATATCTCCCATACCTCTTTTTTGATTTGGTTTTTGTTTTCTATGCACTGAGCTAGTTTAAATAGCATTGGAATTATCTACTAAAAAGTATTGATAGAATTTCCCCATGAGATTACCTTCTTTTGTGAGTTTTAGATGTTTAAGTCTTTTCTCTATTTCTCCTATTAAAATCTATTAGTTTCCATTTTGTTCCTTGCTGGGATTAGGATGAATAAGTAATATTCTCCCAAAAAATTATTCAATTAATCTAGATTTGTCAATTTAAGCAATGTCTCTTTTATGATGTGCTTATTTTTCCCTATTTTGTGAATATCCTTCTGCATATGTTTTTCTTTTCATAGCTTTACCTTCTTATGTTTTCTTGATCAATTGGTATTCCTCTCCCTCACCACAACAAACTTGACTTATGTATCAGTGTAACTGTCATTTTATGTTTTCTAACTATTAATTTCAGCTTTTTTCTTTGTTAATTGCATACCGCTGCTTTATTTTAGATTTGTTTCATGTACTTTTATAACACTTTTTAGTCTTATTATTGATTTATTTGTTTTCTTTCTAATTTTAAAATTGATCTACAGTTTAAAGCTATGAATTGTTCTCTCTGCACTGTTTTGGCAATTTCCCAAAAGTCTTGATCTGGAGCTTTTAAAAATCATTCTTATAAAGGAAATTTTACCAATTCAGTATGTATTTCTCTTTATCCTAAAAGTAATTTCAGATCAATTTACTTTAAACTTGCCAGGTAATTGAGTCTTTTCATTTTCTGAGTTTTTTATTGATTGTTAGTCTTATTGGATTATACTCAGATACCATGGTCAGCAATATATACTTTTTGGAGATATTAAAGATTTTGTATAGTTATAGTCAACATTTTATGAGCATTTCTTTTGAAAGCTATAATCTTTATTTCAAGTCACAGCGTTAAACATTTATGTTAGATTTACCATCTTAATTGATATATTTGTCCCCTTGATCTGTCATGGACTTAGGTTAATAAAACTTCTGCCACAGGATATTTCTCTCTCCTTATAGTCTCTGTAATGTTTGCTTTATGAGTGTTGGTGTGGTATTGTGTTATGAACAGCAATTCATAACTGTTTTATCTTTACTGTGAATTTTTCAAATTATTGACAAAACTATCAAGTGATAACAGATTAGGTAGAAGGAAGAGGAAAGCTGCTAAATCTATAATTGTTCAAGGAAGAGAACTAATAGAATAAAGAAAAAGAAAAATTTAAAACCTTAAATATCAAAATAAGTACTAAATAAAAAATAAGTAAATTACTCAAAAAAAAAGCAAATCATCTCATGTTGAAAGACTTTTTAAAAAAGCTTTAGAAATAGAAAATATGACATTAAATGACATTGAATTAAGACCAGACATATTTGTCAAAGTAATAAATATCAATAGGTTTAATTCACATATTGAAAGATAAAGTCATCAGATTGTACTACGAAGCAAAGACACTCAATTAAAATAAATAACTCAGAAAAAAATTGAATAAAAGGATGAGCAAAAGTATAAATAGAAAATGTAAAATAAAGCAAGATGCAATCTTTATATATGACAAAATGGAATTCAGACCAAAAAAAAATGATGAGGGATACTTTTGTCAATAATTTTAACTTTCTTGATATTCACTTTGTATTCTTAGATTTGATTATACTTGTTTTACCTGATCTATCATGTTTAAATTATGGATAGTGAGTAAAACTATGTTAACTCCTCTATTTGTTTAGTTGTTTATTTTTACACTTTCACATATCATTTCCTATTTACTGTTACCTTAATCTCCACATTTGTTCAGTCTCAGTCCTATAATTAAATATATTCGATAGTCACAATATGTCATTTTGTTATAGTTTCACCAGTCATCTCTTGGCTGACTTAAGTTCTTTTTCCAGTAATGAAGAATTCATGGGAAAAATATTAGCTGAACACTTGCTTGATCAATACCAGTAAAACTTATACAATTTGACTTGGTCAAACATAGCATTCATGTATCATGTTTTTTTTTCTCTGAGTATTGTACAGGTATTTCTATATTAGTCTCTGTCATTGAATGGTTGCATTTGATACATTTGAAGCCAATCTGACATTTCTTTCTTTATTCTGACTTAACCTTTTTTGAGTGGAACTTCAGTTTTTTCTCTATCCTTAAAATCCAATAATTTTAATAGGCAGTAACCAAAATTGACCATTCTGAGTTAATCGCTCCCAACTAACTCAGAGGATGTTGCATTTTTTCAATGTAGATTCAAATCATTTTTATTTCCTCAAAGTTGTCTTGAATTATAACTTTAAAAAATATTCTTCTCAGGCTTTTCTTCTTTGGAAACTCATTTTGATTATGATAGAACTTATTTATCTGCTTACTAAATTTGTCATTTTCTCTCTAAACTATTTTAAATATATCTTTTTGTTTATTTTTTCTCACAACTATCTTTTGTCCCTTGCTAGTTTTTCCATAGTATCCTGCCTTTCTTGAAGTTTTTCAAATCTTTTTTCCTTTCTTTTATGTGTTTTGTTTTTCTTTTCTAGTTCTTTCCTGATTTCTGCATGCTCATTTTCATCCCTCCTATTGTTAAGATATGTTAATCCTATTCCTACATTTTTACTTGGCTTTTTCCAAACGCATGGAATATTATTTCATTAAGCTTCTGTTGTTTTCTTTATGTATTCATTTTCATTACATTTCTCATCCACTTTCAGGCAATCTTTTCCTCGTGCATATTTTTCATCTGCTTGTAGATTTCTCCCATTTTTCATGGAAAATCTTTGTGTTGGTGCTATACCCAGTTCTTTTTTCATTGTTCGTCACTGAATGTGTTGAATTTTCCTAGATTAGCAATTTGGGGGAGGTACCTAAGCAGGAGGCTAGGGGAGAAAGGATACAGTAGCCCTTCAGATTTTTCATTTGCTCACTACTTCCATCCCTTAGGGGTCCTGTTGATTCTTTCTATGGATGTGCCTCCTTTTTCTGCAGGATACATAATGTAACCACTGCTCTGAAAATGGCCCTGCTCTCTTGTATTCTATACCCTTAATTGTATCAAGGGTGTAGCTTTTGGAATTCAAATTGGGCACCTTGTTTTTACTTTAGATAATTTTTTTTTTAAACTGGAACTTCAGTAGATATTCCATCGCTTGAGCTTTTACCATTCTGCTCTGACTTTTTTCAGTTCCTCCTATGCAGATTCCACCCAATATCATCAATATAGGCAGAAGAACCATTGGGGACAAAAAGAGAGGATTATTAAGTTTCTCATAATGAATTACTTGAAACGAGAGAATATATATTAGAAATAAGGTTTCAAAGGTATGCCTGGGTTGGTACACTATGAATTTTAATAAGTTAGAACTGTATGATATTTTTAAGTGATGGATTTTAAAAAATTAATCATTTGCATAATTAATCAGACTCTGCTAATTAATTCTATAAAACTATATGCAAAATGCATAAAATATTTTTGAAATTAAAATTTGGACTAATAAAGAGGAGTTAAAATGATAATTAGAAACTTTCTTTGATGCAACAACAATATGTGCTCTTTAAGAAAAATCTGGAAAACATAGGAATAAAGCATAAATTAAAATATTTAACATTTTGGCCATAGTTAAATATAAATGCATACATGTTATTGTTTTAAAACTAGAATCACACTCAAAATATTGTGATCTCTATTTTAATCTTTTTGTATATATATTCTTTTAAATAGGATTTTTATAATGGCTGCAGAGTATCTCTTCATATGCAAAGGTGTAATTTGTTTTTATCAGTTCTCCATTATAAGATATTCAGATGGTTTCGACACTGAAAATTGTATTGTGTTAATTGTCCTAATGAAGCAGGATATTTCCCTGACCCCTTCGCGGAATTCCTGACAGGGGTGCCTCATTTACTCAGCCCCGCTCGCTGCTCTCAGCTCCTCGCGGGAGGGAGTGCACGAGCGAACGAGTACGGGAGCTGGAATGAATGAGTGCTGGAATCGGCTGGCCACTTGGCGCTGGTAGGACCCAACCCCACTCACTCGGACCTGCAGCGTTCCACCCCTCATGGGAGGGAGCGCACAGGTGAGCAGGTGTAGGAACTGACCCCACACTTTAGAACCGGCAGGATTGAACTCCATGCAGGCCCCACAGCAGACTCCAACCGGGGGTGCCTGCGACTCTCAGAGCCCCAGAGGGCACGTTACAGTGCTCTTTTAGCTCTGCTGTCCGCAGTCCGCAGTCCGCAGTCCGCATTAGTGTTAATAGCTCAGTGGGGCCTCTGACTTTTCACATGAGGCGGCTGCCTTCCACCAGCCAGGGTGAAGAGCCAGTGTGACAGCCAGACTCTTCTCGAAGTTACGAAGTTACGCCACCAAGCTGTCCCTCTGAAGTCAAGCCACTTCTCTCCGATGCCCAGCTGTATCCTGTCTACTGGCTGAGTCTGGGATTAATATAGGCACAGGATGGGGCGGGGTGGGGCCATGAGTGGTTTAGGAAAAAGCAACATTTGAGCGGGAAAACAGGGATAGAAGTTCTCACTTTGGGCTGTGGTTTCAGGCTTTTCAGCTTGAGGGTAGGAATTCCTGGGGACCTACTCTTTTCTGCCTAGATTTTCTGTGCCTGCTGTTCCCTATCACTAATACACAAATCTTGGTGTACTTCAAATAGTGTAATCCAAATAGTGTAATCCAATTTAGATAAATTGGAAGGAGTAAAATTTCTGGGACAGAAAACAATGCATATTTCCCATATATCTTCTTAAATTGTCCTCTAGAAAGATTTTATTACTTATTTATTATCATTATTCAACAGTGGTTGATTTCCTTTTCTTTGAATCTTTAATGAAAATATGCATAATTTTAAGTCATTTTGTATATTTGATATATAAAATATGGTCTCATCTTTACATTATAGTGTGAAACATTAGTGAGATTGAGGTGTTTTTGTTTGTTTTGTTTGCTTCTCCTGAATTCATGGGGCACAGACATTTCTCCTTTATAAACTGCCTGTCCCTGCTCTGTAGCTGGGTTGCTCTTGGTACATTGTCCTTTTTCTATGTAAAAACTCTTAGTGAAAACTCTTTCATATGGGACAAATATCACTTCTCTTCCCCATCTCTGGTTTGCCTTGCAATTTTGTCTGTCTTTTTAATACAGAATTTTAAATGTTTATAAATCTGTTGGTATGTTCCTTTGAATTTTCTTCTGTTTTATACTTAGAAATTTCTGTTTTGAAAATCATGAGTATGTAAATATAATTTTTTCATTTTTGCATTTTGGAAATGTCATAATTAAGAGGTGATAATTGTGACATGATCTGAGGACTGTTTCTGTATTTACCGTCATATCTCATTTGTCTCACTGATGTTTCTTTACTAGAATTAGTCTCATTTATGTACTGCATTTTATAATATGCAATATTATCATATAAAGCATATAAGATACTATTACAAGATAATATAGCATATTCCTCACTATACTTTTCTATTCTATATAAATTTTAAAACATTTTGTCATCTCCCAAAAAATAGTGTCTTGGAATTTTTATTTGGACATCACTAAAACTAAAATATTTAGGGATAATTGATCAGAAGCAACATGATATTTCTCTTTCTAAATTTTTTATATTTTTCTCTAAATTGTTTTATAGTCTTTTTCATGTAATATATACACACACGTATGTGATTTTCCCTATATATTTTGTATTTTATGTCTGGCTTATTTTACATTCTTTTTTTTTTTTTTTTTTTTGAGATGGAGTCTCACTCTGTCACCCAGGTTGGAGTGCAGTGGCTCCATCTCGGCTCACTGCAACCTCCCCCTCTGGGTTCAAGCGATTCTCCTGCCTCAGCCTCCTGGTAGCTGGGACTACAGGTGTATGCCACCACGCCCGTCTAATTTTTGTATTTTTAGTAGAGACGGTGTTTCACCATGTTGGTCAGGCTGGTCTCAAACTCCTGACCTCATGATCCACCCGCCTTGGCCTCCCAAAGTGCTGGGATTACAGGTGTGAGCCACAGTGCCTGGCCAACATTCTTATTAACAATATGAGGCCAGGCGTGGTGGCTCAGGCCTGTAATCCCAGCACTTTGGGAGGCTGAGGCGGGCTGATCACCTGAGGTCGGGAGTTCAAGACCAGCCTGACCAACATGGTGAAACCCCGTCTCTACTAAAAATACAAAAAAGTTAGCCGGGCGTGGTGGCACATGCCTGCAACCCCAGCTACTTGAGAGGCTGAAGCAGGAGAATTACTTGAACCCGGAAGGCGGAGGTTGTGGTGAGCCAAGATTGCTCCATTGCACTCCAGCCTGGGCAACAAGAGCAAAACTCTGTCTCAAACAAAACAAAACAAAACAAAACAAAACAAAAACAATATGAAAGCAACCAATTTCCTTTAAAAGTATTTTTAAAACTTTCAACAATTGTATGGGCTTTTTGGGTACATTTCTCTTTAGAGATTCTATTGTGAAAATATTGTATTAATTGTTTGACCTTTTTGAGCTTTTAGCTTAATTTTAAAATAAAAACTGCTTAATATTTTTGTTCATTTTATATTAAATAAAAACCGGTCATTAACTATAACTCTTAAGTTGACATTTCACACAAAAATAATAATAGAGATGGATAGATTTTTATCCTCATTCTTTTAATTATAAATATTAATTACCATATGATACCAGATAGTATTTTATCTGCTGAAGTATTTGATGACTTATATTACAAATGGCTTTATAATGCAGGCCCCAGATTTCTAAATTAGTAGTGTTTATTTTTATAGATCAAAATATCATGTCCAGTCACAGTGGCTCATACCTGTAATCCCAGCAGTTTGGGAAGCCAAGGCTGATGAATCACTTGAGCTCAGGAACTCAAGACCAGCCTGGCCAACATGGTGAAACCCTATCTCTACTAAAAAGACAAAAACTAGCCGGGCATGGTGGTGCATGCTTGTAGTCTCAGCTACTTGAGAGGCTAAGGCACAAGAATCGCTTGAACCCAAGAGGCAGAGGTGGCAGTGAGCTGAGATCACGCCACTGCACTCCAGCCTAGGCAGCAGAGCAAGACTCCATCCAAAAAAACCCCCAAAAACCTAATGTTTTTATTTATATTTTAGATTAGTGGGATGGTTTGGCCATGAACTCAGCACCAGATTTAAGATGGATAACAGTAAGTGTATTTATTTTACCTAATGCCATTTTTATTTTAACTTTATTTCAATGTTCATCTGTCTTTGTATTATGTGTAATGTATATGCCCCAGGGAGAGTGCACTTCAAAAATGTCACTGAGAATTCTCAAATAAGAAATGACATTTCCAGAGTGTAAGACTAAGAGTTTATAGATTTTAGCATGATTTTGAGTCTATCCCTTAGCAGGGAGATAAAAGAAAATGAAGTCCAAGGTAAGGGTCATGTGGCTTGGTCAGGTGCCATCAACATAGAGTGCCTGAAACACTGGGCATGGAGGACAGGAGGAAATTTGGGGCTTGGAGTCAGATCCAGAAAGACCTGGGTGTTAATCACACTTTGCTGCTTAATAGTTTTTTGATCCTGCACAAGTTATATCATCTTGTGTCATTGTTTTTTCTTTCCCACTTATCTAATGTGAATAATAAAATCTATTTAAAGATTTGGTTTTAGGGTTAGTCAAGCTCAAAACAATAAGCCAAGTAGGACACAGCAGTACCTTAATAAATACTCATTTTCACTCCTCTTTTTTCCTATTTTCCTTTTGTGGCTTTTGCCATGTACCAAAGAGTGTAGCAATTCCTGTGAGCAGTTAACCCCAGCAGATAGAAGTGAAACTCTACCATGCAGAGCTTCCTTTTCCTGCATGACCTCATTTCTCAATCACATGGGATGCAGAAAGATCATACGTGCTTTGAGAGTTCAACATAAACTTGATCCTTCAGATTGCTTTAAACCCTGAGATACTGTTTTAAATTTGTTTTCATTTTTTATTGACTTTATTTTTTTGTTTTTGAAACAAGGTCTTGTTCTGTCACCTAGGCCGGAGTACAGTGGTGCGATCAGGCTCAGTTCAGCCTTGATATTCCTGGCTCAAGCAATCTTCTCGCCTTAGCTTCCTAAGTAGCTGGGACTAGAGGTGTGCACCACCATGACTGGATGATGATGATGATGCTGATTATTATTATTATTATTTAGTGGAGATGAGGTCTTGCTATGTTGTCCAAGCTGGCCTGAGATAATATTTTATATATATAGGTGCTCTTTGACTTACAATGGGGTTATTTCCTGATAAGCCCATCATAAGCTGAAAATATCATAAGTAAAAAATGCATTTAATACACCTAATCTATAGAACATCATAGCTTAGCCTAGCCTACCTTAAAACACATTCAAAACACTTACATAGCCTAGAGTTGGGCAAAACCATCTAACACAAATCCTATTTTATAATAAAGCATTGAATATATTATATGATTTATTGAATACTATACTAAAAGTGGAAAACACAATGGGCGTATGGGTAGTCGAAGTATGGCTTCTACTTAAGATGTACTGCTTTTGTATCACTGTAAAATTGAACAATTTTAAGTCAAACCATTGTTAAGTCAGGGACCATTGGTATGCAGATTTGTAGCAACCAAATTGCAAAATGGGATATTCCAGTCAAGTCAGGATACCTGTATTTTACCTTGGCTGCTAAAATAATTAGATCTGTTATTATACCAGTTATTTAAATTCTTTGAGATGGGTTTTCTTATTTGGAAATAAAGGAATTGAATTTGATCAGGGGTAGCAAACTTTTTCTGTGAAAGGCCAGATAGGAAATATTTTAAGCTTTCTAGGCTATACAGTCTCTGTGGCAAATACTCAATTCCGTCATTGTGGTGGTAAAGCAGCCATAGGTGATACATAAGTGAAAGATTGTGGCTATGTTTTCATAAAACTGTATTTTAAAAAGCAGGGCCTGGCACGAAGACTCACGCCTGTAATCCCAGCACTTTGGGAGGCAAGGCAGATGGATCAATTGATCACAGGAGTTTGAGACCAGCCTGGGTGACATAGTGAGACCTTGTCTCTATAAAAACTACAGAAATTAGCCAGGAGTGGTGGTATGCATCTGTAGTCCCAGCTACTTGGGAGCCTGAGGCGGGAAGATCACCTGAGCCCGGGGAGGTCAAGGCTGCAGTGAGCCATGATTGAGCCACTGCACTCAGGCCTGGGTAACAGAGTGATACTCTGTCTCAAAAACAAAAACAAAACTAGTGGGTCAAATTTGGCCCACAGGCCATATGGCCATATATTAGTCTGTTTTCACACTGCTATAAAGATACCACCTGAGACTCAGTAATTTGAAAAGGAAAGAATTTTAATTGACTCACAGTTTCACATGGCTGGGGAAGTCTCAGGAAACTTACAATCATGTCAGAAGGCAAAGGGAAAGCAAGGCACATATGAGGTGATGGGAGGTGAGAGAGAGAGAGAAAGAGAGAGAGTGCATAAAAACTGCTGTTTTTGGCCGGGCGTGGTGGCTCACGCCTGTAATCCCAGCACTTTGGGAGGCCAAGGCGGGCGGATCACGAGGTCAGGAGATCGAGACCACCCTGGCTAACACTGTGAAACCCCATCTCTACTAAAAATACAAAAAAATTAGCTGGGCGTGGTGACAGGCACCCGTAGTCCCAGCTACTCGGAAAGCTGAGGCAGGAGAATGGCGTGAACCCGTGAGGCGGAGGTTTCAGTGAGCCAAGATCGCGCCACTGCATTCCAGCCTGGGCAACAGAGCGAGACTCCATCTCAAAAACAAAAACAAAAAAAAAAAACAAAACAAAAAAAACTGCTGTTTTTAAAACCATCAGATCTTGTGAGAACTCCTTCACTATCATGAGAACGGCATGCAGGAAACTGCCCCCATGATCCATTCACCTCCCATCAGGTCCCACCCTCGACATATGGGGATTACAATTCAAGATGAGATTTGGGTGGGGACTCAGAGCCAAACCATATCACCATAGTTTGCTTAATCCTGGATTTGATAACTATAAAAAAGTCATCAAGTTTTAACATTCTTTTAGTCAGTCATAGTGTTAACTTATCTCTGACTAGCTATCTTAACCCTATTGAATTTAACTTGCTACAGTTCAATCTGCTTAATTCTAATTAGTAGAGCATCTGTTATTAATTTACCTTTTTTATATACTTAGGCAGATCTTTTTTTTAAAGCTCCCTCTATTGTGTGTGTGTGTGTGTGTGTGTGTGTGTGTCTGTGTGTGTTCTGTAAGAGAAACCACTTGACCTAACAATCCTAGAGCTAAAAGTCAGCTTCATAGGTCATTTCATTCATATTTCTGCCTTTGGGAGACATTACAATTACATGCCACTAAAAGCTGATGCTCTCTCTCATTGACATGGTTTCATAATAGAATAGCAAATGTTGAGCAGAATAAGGAATCCTGGCTTGGGAATAGGAAGGCAGAGAATGAGATCCAGAAAAACTTCCAGAAGAGGTCATTTTTACCTTGGGTCTAAGATTTCTGGTGTTCTGCTAAGAAGTTGGGGACAAGGGAGGTGGGAACTGCTGGTAAACGGGAAATAACGTCGATATTTTAGTTCCATGGAGCTTATCTTAAATATCTCAGAAATCCTACTTAGGAAGAAAAGTTTAAGTCTTGCTCTTTTACTCTCCAGTACTCTAGTATCTTTATGGACACTTTTAAAGTTACCTTCTATGATAATGACATGATATTAATTTCTCAGAACTGCAGTTAATCCCTGGGGTCTGTGGATTCCGAATTTCAAATCCTCCCATTTTGTTGGTCTGTTCCTTGCATGCTAGTTTAGAGGTAAGTGATGTGTGTTTCAACCTTCCCACATCTTTGCGTTTTTTCTTGATCTGTTTGTGACAATTCATAGTACTTTCTCTGCTACACAGCAAGATGATACATGTGCACTGTGCATGAACAAGGGACAGAAGGCAGCATTCCCCTTTAGGACAGTGATGATGTGGTGAGGGTCTCCCTTCATTCATGTCACCAGCCCCCAGCACAATGCTTGGCACATTGTTGGCACATAGTAAATATTAAATGGAACTCTTTTGGGGAGATACGTTTTTTACTCCACTTAGAATCTGTTTAAACATGAATAAGTTATTTAACCTTCTCTTGGCCTCTCTTTATACCAAATAAGCATGCAATATTTAGTTCTTCATAAATTCGCTCATTCAACATAAATTTATTGAGAAAATATTGTGTGCCTGATGTGATTACTAGGGACTGTACTTTTTCTAGTTCATTGTAGGTGAATGAACTGACCAAGTACCATGTGACAAAGCTAGGAAAGACTTACTTGAAGGAAAAAAGAATAATCAGAGTAAACCAAAGATTAAATAAGGTTGTCTCATAAGGTAGGGTGGTTTTATGATTTTTTTAAATTGGGACTTCTATGCCATTATGTCCATTTATAGTCTCCACTATCACTGACTCAATATTTTCCTTTAAATTAATTTATATTTTTATTTAGGTAAATTTAGTCTCACCCTGAAATGATAAATATACATAACAAGAAAATGAAATTGTGATTCCTTAGATACTATTATTTAGTGTTAGACTAAATGTGGCCAAGTAAAAATATATAGGTTATATAGTATAAAATTCATATATAATGTAAATGTATAAATATTTACATAAATAATGTAAATATATAAAGTAATTGTATATTTTGTATACCTATATTTAAGTAAAATATATTTTAAGTAAATGTGCATATATATTTCTAATAGAAGTTTTACATAGAACTATTCAAACAAGGATTTGAAATTTTTTCATGTCTCCTTCTAAAATCATGTAGTTTATGATATTTTGGCAAAAACTTATAGAGGATTTCAGCATCAAATGAGTGACAGGATGAAGATTCAAAATTCCTTCTAATCTAAAATTGCATAATTCTGTGAACACTTACAGCAGTTTCTCATTCTGGCCACTGGATGGCAGCATCAAGTTCCTCTGTTTTTATTAAATTTCACCACTGGATAGTGATCATCACCTCATTTCATTCTGTCTCAATTTAAAGCGCACCTACTCAGTTTAACCACTAGATGGAGCTTGTGTTGTTTTCACTTCATGGCAGAATTTTTCTTTAACTTGGAAAATAGACACAGTAACGAGATTTTTCAGCCAGTGATATATATTTTTGACAGTTTTTTGAGTAAAAATCTGCTTAGTAAATCAGATAATGATATTTGAGTTGTTTTTATAGTATCCATTCAGATAAATATTTTGTTTAAACATTTTAAAACAAAATAAAGTTTCTGCATTCCTTGCAAGTTTGTATCAGCGAGATGTGTGACAATATCAGAAGCACCAGGACATACCTTAGGAAGAGCTTGTACCTAAAGTAATTTCCTCTGGTGCCCATATCTTTGCAAATAACTTCTCAGACGTACCTGGAAATTTCCTTTTAGACGCCTTCACTTTGGCATACTTTCTGCAGTGGACTGGCTTTTCTAGTAGTATTCACCCTTCTCTTGTGGGAAAGGAAGCACATTCCTATTCTTCCAGCCACTGTTTTCCTACCACACTGTATTAGAGTCACCTAGACAAAGTTTTTATTTTCAGTTATAATCTGAGAACTGATTTATTTTTTCTTTTTAATATCTAAACTTAAACCTCAGCCTCCTGAGTAGCTGGGACTACAGGTGTGCACCGCTACACCAGGCTAATTTTTGTAGTTTTTTGTACAGATAAAGTCTTACTATGTTACCCAGTCAATATCTAAACTTAAAACCCTAAAAGCCACAAGAAGAATGATATGCATTTCTCTGGATCTTCTAATCACTTACATATTTCCCTTGAGCCTCTTTCTGCTCATTTCACTGCTGAGACTATGTTCTAACCAAAATTATCTTTAGTTAATCAAGCCTTATGTTGGTAAAAGTGTTTTTTCAAAATTCTTTCCTACTGTAAATTGCAAAATTTTTGAATTACAAACTAATGCATTGAATTGCTTCCCTTTCTCTGTTAAAATGTCTTATTTTCTAGACATTTATGGGTTTCTCATGTGAGTAAACATCAGTGAATTAACTATGCTTCTATTAATACTTACCTTCCTTTAAGTTTTATTTATTTATATTTAGAGATGAGGTCTTGCTCTGTTGTTCAGACTGGAATGCAATAGTACGATCATGGCTTAGCATGGCCTCAAACTCCTGGGGTTCAAGTGATCCTCCTGCCCCCACCTTCCAGGTAACTGGGACTGCAGGACTGCACCACCACACTTGGCTGATTATTATTATTTATTTATTTTATTTCTTTATTTTTGAGACAGGGTCCCCTTCTGTCACTCCTAGAGTGCAGTGATGGGATCTCAGCTCACTGCAACCTCTGCCTCCTGGACTCAGTTGATCTTCCCACCTCAGCCTCCACAGCAGCTGGGACTACAAGAGTGCACCACCATGCCCGACTAATTTTTGTATTTTTTTATAGAGACAGGATTTTGCCATGTTGCCCAGGCTGATCTTGAACTACTGGCTGCAAGTGGTCCTCCTGAGTAGCTAAGACTACAGGGCATGCCACTGTGCTCAGCTTATTTTTAAATTTTTTTAGAGATGAGGTCTGGCTATGTTGTCCACGTTAATCTGGAACTCCTGGCCTCAAGCGATTCTCCTGCCTCAGTCTCCTGTTTGAAATGTTTGTTTTTCAGTGCTATAAAGAAATAGCACTTGAACGCAAATTTAATTTATTTAGTAAGGCCATTTTTACTTCCTGCAGAGAGGATACACTCGCCAGCAGTTTTGCCATGAGAGTACACCGAACAAAGGAGACAGGGTCATTTATAACCTGACGTGTCCACCCTACTGCTGTGTCCAGTTCCAATGGCTGGAATGGGACCTCCCATTCTGTATTTGTCCCGATTGGCTAGTAACTTAGAACTTTTTAAAAGACGTAAAGGTAGAGGGTAACAAAGGAAGGAGGAAGTAACTTGTGGAATGCTAAGAAAGGTAAAAACACTTTTAAATAAGGAAGAGGAACAGGCTGTGACCTAATGCTGCTTGGACCAGTATAAGCATGCCAGGGCAAATATTTAGGCTAAATTGTGGGAGCTAAAAACATAAAGTATATTGATTTATTTATTACAGCTAGCAGATATTTAAGAATGTTAGCACAGGTCTTTGAATAAATTTTGCTTCTAAGAGAAGTTACTATTTATTCCTAATTAGACGGGAAGGAAAGTCTTTGAAGAGGAACCTCTACTTTACTTTTTATACTCCTAAGCAGTTGGGATGACAGACGTGAACCACTGCACTCAGCCACCTTATCTTTTTAAACCAGTTTATTCCATTTTAGGAGATAGGTGGTTGAAGTTTCAATAAACGAAAGAAGTAAATGCATGAATCAAACTGCCTCTTTGTTGTCTCTACTTTTAAGAAATATTCAACACAGTCAAATACGAACTGGAGGAGAGATTCTATACTTAAGAATCAATCACATATAAATAAGACCTTAGATTTTTAATGCAATGACTTTTTAAAAAGATATTAATATGGCTTTTTTTAATAAATACATGTGTATATGGTTGATTGATATAAAAAATAGCACATTGTAATCAGTTTCAAACTGTCCTTTTGTTTATATTTTTTTATCTGAATCATTTATACAATAGTTCTTAAAATATTGTGGATCAAGGGATGAAGCCTGAGGCCAGGAACCTGGTGGCAAGTACTCTCTCCCTCAATGGACACGAAGTGTGACCTTACACAAGCAACAACTCCCTTTGGATGTATTTGCCTTATTTTTTAAAGTAAGATGTTTGGACAAGATTATTTTGGAAGTCTCCTCACTTTCCAAAATACTTAAATTTAAACAATACGTATATTATATTTTGAGGGTTCATATTTATGTGTAGCGATAGGTAGACAATATTTAGTCCCTTTCAGTATTCTGAATTCATAATGAAATAAATGGCTTCAAAATACAAAGTTAGAGCATTCAATTAAAATACATGGCGAGTCAGAAGACTCAACAAAGAAATGTACTATACGTTTCCTTTCAAATTTCCTAGAGAGACAGTTTTAAGAATTTAAGAGAAAAATATGACAATTGAAAACATCACACCAAACTTATTTTTCCTGTTTAAACTTATCTAGCTTTTCAAGCTTTGTGTTCATTTTGTCAGTAAGAAAAAAAATACAAGTAGTTGAAACTCTGCAAAGTATTATCTTCTAAGCTGAATATTTTTCAAACCACAGTTTTCATTTTTTCTAATTTAAAAAAATTATTTTCTCAATATTGAAAGCATAACATTTATGAGAAGCAAAAAAGAAAATAGAATATTTATGTTACTTCCCTATTATTCTCTCTCAATATTTTTATGTGAAGCTCAGAATAGACTTTTACCCTCTGTGAGATGAATTTAAAAGTGCCTCAGAATGCAGTTGCCCTTATTGTGGTTGTAATGGAGAAAGTAAGTTTTATATTTAAAAGTTATTTTATGATTTAAAGAGTGTTAACATTCCACAGTATATTAAGATGGAAGCTATTTGTCATACCAAAAAAATTGGTTTCTAGTTATCAAGAGAAAGCTTCAAGAGCAACATTCCCTACGCCCCTTTAAAAACTAAATGCAAGTAATATTCCTCCAAGTTTTACTAACCTATGCACACAAATGAACTATCATTAAATGTGATACTTCACATATCGATTGCCCCCATGTACATATTAGGGCACCCATAGCATAACCACAAAATTTCCTAGAATTATTTATTATTTAGAATTTCTTAGAATATTATTAAGCTCCAGAGAGAATCTTGGAAAGATTCCTCACATAGTCTTTTTATTCCAAACTTCACAGCCAAACCAGCTGTGGCCCGTGCCTTGCCTGTCCCTGCTCCTCTGGGAGAATTTTGATTCTTGTCCCTTGACCCAAAACTTGGCAGTGTTCCCTTGAGTCTTCATTATGCCAAGTCTACCTACATTTGCTTTGCCCAAGAAAATGAAGGAGATGCCTCCTACCAAGTTCTGTGTAACCTGGGTCATCTGAATCTTGGAGCACTATTATTTGTACTGCAGATCTCTCTCGGGAGCTTATGAAGCCAAGATATCAGCCTCTACTTGAGCTGTCTCTGTAGACTTCAGACATTGTCTGGGAGTTGTGGTTGAAGAGAGAGACAGGCACCATTCTGTCCTGTTTTTCCTCTCTTGCTTAGATATCATTTACCTTCAGTACAGTTCCCAGCCTCTCCTTCAGCCAATCCATAGCCTCTATACAGTATAGTTCCAGGAAATCTATGGCTGAATGGTTTGAGTTTTATTAGAGTGCCTGCCTACACATGCCACGTGTACATACAGGAATAACTGTTTTCATAGACTTGATAAAGTCTCAATATCACCAAATGACCCTATCTTTGCTCTTGATATCTTTGCTCATGACACAGAAAAGGAACATTAAGTGGCAGGCCAGTGCATCACGCTCTGTTTGCAGTTCATTTAGTTCTTATACATAGGATATATTTTTACACTCTACTTGACCTTAAGAGATAAGCCAGAAAAGCACATCTGTTCTGACCCCTAATATTCCAACACCAGTTATTGTGTGCCCTTGTCACTCATCTTAATATAAGACATCTCAGCCCACAAATGGCAGTATTTTCACACCAGTGCTAGAGTTTAGAAGGGGGGAAATGAGAGAAACCAAGCCCAAATGCTTCAGTAAAAATAAATGCATTATCTAATATTATTTGCTTTCCTCTCTGAGGAAACTTAGCATTATTATTTAACTGCTTGTTTTCTTATTGTTAAACTGGAAGAGATTTGGGAGTCAGTAAAGCAGTTATAAATATCACCAGTAACACTGCTTTACACATTTGCACATGTTTAGATCATATTGCACTTTTTTGAGGATAAACAAACTTTACATCAAAGTTGGAAAAGTCTTCTTGATTATGATTTCAAAAAGTGGTTTTGGGGAAAAGCTTACATTGTATGATATTTAAATCCATTTATTAAGGTATGTTTTACTTGATTATACTAACTTAATTTAAAATAATTTTGAAGGTATGTTCCCGGACCAAATTGAGGGTTGGGCTGCTATTTCTCATGGCCCAATAACAAGATGCAGATGAACAGGGGAGGAAGAGAGTTTTTATTTCTGTAACTGGTTACAGGGAGAAGGCCTGGAAATTATCACCAGACCAACTCAAAATTACAAAGTTTTACAGGTGTAAGTGTGCATTCATCTGAAGACATAAGTGATTAACTTCTTTTAATCTACAACTAAGGTCTGAGTCCTGAAGACCTTCCTCTGGAGCCTCAGTAAATTTACTTAATCTAAATGGGTCCAGGTGCTGGAGTGATTACCCTTATCTTGTCTTCTGCTAAATCACTGAAGTTTGAGGAGTTCCTTTAGACCTTCAATAAACTTGTTTGTAGAGGCCTGGAGAGTTTCTTCACAACCACAGTAAAACTTGTTTAATCCTGAATGGGTCCTGTTAAGAATTCCTTCATTATTCTGTCATGCTTTAAGGCCCAGGGAAAGCCTAGGCAAAACTCTTGATAGGCTTTTGTTCATCCCAGCCTTTGTATAAGGGCACTGACTTTTTTAGTTTTTAATATTTAATGTAACCACTCGGTCAGTACTGAAACAGTTGTGATGGAGGCCTGCATTAGTGAAACCTGGCCTGCCACAGGTACATGATATTAACTTACATTTTCTTCCTTTGCAAGTTTTATTTAAGTGACATTTGTACAATTTTTCTGTCATGGAAATTTTACCTTCAGTATTTAATAGCAAAGCATTTAAAGGAGGGCATGATTTTACACAAAAAGATTATGTAAAGGGAGATATTTATTGGAAAGATCAAATATGGGCATTTCCTTTTTATGCATGATTTACTCTTAATTTTTGCTTCTTTGTAAATCAATAAGACACTTTAATCTGATTGTTTCTCATTCCACAGATCTTTAAGCAAGCGACAATGAAGGCATTGCGGAAAAAATCTGTTTTGCTAACTGGCTATCTGGAATACCTGATCAAGCATAACTATGGCAAAGATAAAGCAGCAACCAAGAAACCAGTTGTGAACATAATTACTCCGTCTCATGTAGAGGAGCGGGGGTGCCAGCTAACAATAACATTTTCTGTTCCAAACAAAGATGTTTTCCAAGAACTAGAAAAAAGAGGAGTGGTTGTAAGTATGTCTTGCTTTGCTACCAGATTTTGTCTATGGGCCGCATGTTAGGGATAAAATTTGGACTCTTTGGTTTATTCATTGTTGCATGTTATTTCACATCAGTCAGTCAATTAAGGATAAATTAAGTGCCAACTAAGCCCTCAGCACTGTGCTAACTGAAAGGCATAGAGATCTGTCGTTTCTGATAAAAGAGAAGATACCACAAACTTGGCTTATAGGAATAGTTTTTTGTAACTTACTCATTCTTTTCATAACAGTTTGGGCAGAAAAAAGTTATTATTTCATCATACTCAGTCAGGACATTGTTTTCTCTAGTCTGTACTACAATTCATTTATTGGATGAATGGAATTAAAGATCATACCAATTTATTGAAGGGTTAAAAAAGAAAGTCTTATTTAGTCGCTTGATCAAATTAAGTTATTTTCAACCTTGTCACTTCTGTCAAAAAAGATATATATACACTTCTCAGGAGTGGTAACATTGCAAGGAATAATTTTTTTTTAACCCTTCAGCCTATATGACCTTCTTGGTCTCTTGAAGAGAACTAATAAATGTGAACTGAGTAATTTCAGGGAAAAAAGATAATGTATCTACTTCCAATGATTATGTAATTAAGGCATTGCTTGGCTCATGTTTACCTGTAGGAGAGGTTACTCCCAGATGCTGGAGACACAAGTCAGAAATTCAAGTTTCTAAATCAAACTCTGCTGTCGTCAAACTCTGTCCTCTTTGGAAAGTTCATTAGGATCTATTGGCTTGAAATTTTCATCCGTATTTGGGGTATAAAATAAATTACCTCCAAGAGTTGTGATTGGATTGAAATGGGACAGCACACATAAACTATATACTATATTGTCTAGCCTATAGCAGGTGTTTTCTAAAGTTAACCATAGTGATCTCTAGGCATGTCAAATTATCTGGTGCTACTTCAGGACCTACAATGTAGCCCACTTCTTATTTGTGAGATCAAAGATTAGAGAATTAAGTTCAAGGATAATTTACTAAAACTCTCCAGACCCTAATGAGGTTTTCATTCACTTAAATTCACCCAAGAATTCCAGTCCTTCCATGGGGTCCCCACGGGAAAAAAAAAACAAAATGTATTTATGGTCTATTAAATGCTTAAGGAAGATAGTTGCTGAATAGATTTCAGGAATCTATCTTGGCTATTTATGCACCAATCCATTCTTATTTCTTAAATTATTATCAAGAGAAAAGTTTCATAAAACAGAAAAACACCATGTTTTAAAGTAAAAAAATTTTGCATATATATTAATTTTTAGGGAAATCATTATGAAAGTGCTTTACATAAGTTTATCTGGAATGTAGATTTTCAACGTGTGAATAATGCTAACATTATTGTGGCTTTATTTTTTCCCCACAGTGTGACAAGCGGAATCCAAATGGCATTCGAGTGGCTCCAGTTCCTCTCTATAATTCTTTCCATGATGTTTATAAATTTACCAATCTGCTCACTTCTATACTTGACTCTGCAGAAACAAAAAATTAGCAGTGTTTTCTAGAACAACTTAAGCAAATTATACTGAAAGCTGCTGTGGTTATTTCAGTATTATTCGATTTTTAATTATTGAAAGTATGTCACCATTGACCACATGTAACTAACAATAAATAATATACCTTACAGAAAATCTGATATAATTTTTCAGAGTCTGTGGCACTAAGGAGTCCACAGGGCTGCCTAGGTGCTTTGTGTTTGGGGGACCAAAACTGTGTTGGTTCAAGTATTATCTATACAGTCTCTATAAGCTGTCACATTTCATGGTCATTGAAATGTTTTATGTTGGTTTAATTTCTGATTTAACTGACAACTTCATAATGTATGTGCAATTATTGTGTCAAATTTAGAAATATTACTTTAGCTTCAATTTACCAAGGAGTTTCTTTGAAGCATTGTAGTCTGATATATATATATATATATATATATATATATATATATATATATATATATGTGTGTGTGTGTGTGTGTATATATATATATATATATCATATATATATGATAGTGGCTTTCAAATTTTTTTGGGTACAATCCACATTGCTCCTGCTGATCTGTAATATCAGAAACCAGTATTTATGTGAATATATGAGAAATATTATTGATTCTAAGATATTTTATCATATTTTAACATCTTTGAAAGAGGACCCATCTTTCAATTTTCGATCAATAGTTTCTTACAGTCACCATTGGCCATCTTTCTCGTTACCATCTATGAAATTAGCATGCATCTCAAATAAACAGTTACCATCTTCTATTTGATAAAATAGTCTAAATAGCAAAAATAAAAGTTTTTACAATTATTTGCCTGTGCTCTAATAGGTACTATTCTATTTTATCTCATAAGAAATGTTGGAAACTCATTATATTGATTTCCTTACCCACTCATGGGCCCTAATTCACACTTTTTAAGAATGTTTCTTTCTTTAATGTTATCATAATCTCTTACTTTTTAAATGAGAACTTCCCCTAATATAAGAGCTTAGATATTATATTACTATGTTTCCATAGTAAATAAATAACCCCAAGATCTTTTTGGGGATTAGAGATATAAGAAATATGTGCTCCATCTCTTGACATCTTTATCTCAAATCTATGGACCTTTCTTACCCACTGTGAAAAACCTAAAGTTACACTTAGCCCTGTTGGACTTACCTAGTTTTCAATTGTTGATGCCACAATCATTATTTATAAGTTGACAAAATAGTGTAGATTTGTATACATAGTCAACAAAAAGAGTGACATAATTATTGCCTCCAATTAAACAAGTTTGAATGAAATAAACAAACTTAGATAAACACTTCGGATGGTAGACGTAAACAATAATATGTGGAACTCCAACATCAACACCTACCAATACCAGTAACTACTGATATTTATCATGTACTTACCATGTACCATGTATTGTGCTACATTACTCATGTTATCTCCCTTAATTGAGTGGCTACATACTGCTTTAGCAAATCTTCCTACTGTAACTAATCCTCATAGATGGAAGAGTTCTCAAAACCTTAAAACTCATGCATAAGTGGATTCATATACATATATAAAAATATATATAAATATATATACTTTATATATATTTATATTTATATATTTATATATTTATATTTTAATATATTTATATAAATATATATAAAGTATAATATATATAAAGTATAAATATATATATATTTATACTTTAAGTTCTTGGATACACGTGCAGAACATGCAGGTTTGTTACATAGGTATACATGTGCCGTGGTGGATTGCTGCACCCATCAACCCGTCATCTACATCAGGTATTTCTCCTAATGCTCACCCTCCTCTTATCCCCAACTACCCAAAAGGACCTGGTGTGTGATGTTCCCCTCCCTGTGTTCATATGTTCTCATTGTTCAACTCTCACTTATGGGTAAGAACATGCAGTGTTTGATTTTCTGTTCCTCTGTTAGTTTGCTGAGAATGATGGTTTCCAGCTTCATCCATGTCCCTGCAAAGGACATGAACTCATTCTTTTTTATGGCTGCATAGTATTCCATGGTATATATGTGCCACATTTTCTTTATCCAGTCTATCATTGATGGCCATTTGAGTTGGTTCCAAGTCTTCGCTATTGTGAATAGTGCTGCAATGAACATATGTGTGCATGTGTCTTTATAGTAGAATGATTTATAATCCTTAGGGTATACCCAGTAATGGGATTGCTGGGTTAAATGGTATTTCTGGTTCTAGATCCTCGAGGAATTGCCACACTGTCTTCCACAATGGTTGAACTAATTTATACTCCCACCAACAGTGTAAAAGCATTCCTATTTCTCCACATCCTCTCAGCATCTGTTGTTTCTTGACTTTTTAATGATTAGCATTCTAACTGGCGTGAGATGGTATTTCATTGTGGTTTTGATTTGCATTTCTCTAATGACCAGTGATGATGAGTTTTTTTTCATATATTTGTTGGCCGCATAAATGTCTTCTTTTGAGAAGTGTCTGTTCGTATCCTTCACCCACTTTTTGATGGGGTTGTGTTTTTCTTGTAAATTTATTTAAGTCCCTTGTAGATTCTGGATATTTTCCCTTTGTCAGATGGATAGATTGCAAAAATTTTCTCCCGTTCTGTAGGTTGCCCGATCACTCTGATGATAGTTTCTTTTGCTGTGTAGAAGCTCTTTAGTTTAATCAGGTTCCATTTGTCAGTTTTGGCTTTTGTTGCAATTGCTTTTGGTGTTTTAGTCTTAAATTCTTTGCCCATGCCTATGTCCTGAATGGTATTGCCTAGATATTCTTCTAGGGTTTTTTTTTTGGCTTTAGGTCTTGCAGTTAAGTCTTTAATCTATCTTGAGTTAATTTTTGTATAAGATATAAGAAAGGGGTCCAGTTTCAGTTTTCTGCATATGGCTAGCCAGTTTTCCCAACACTATTTATTAAATAGGGAATCTTTTCCCCATTGCTTGTTTTTGTCAGGTTTATCAAAGATCAGATGGTTGTAAATGTGTGGTGTTATTTCTGAGGCCTCTGTTTTGTTCCATTGGTCTATATGTCTGTTTTTGTTCAGTACCATGCTGTTTTGTTTACTATAGCCTTGTAGTATAGTTTGAAGTCAGGTAGTGTGATGCCTCCAGCTTTGTTCTTTTTGCTTAGGATTGTCTTGGCAATACAGGTTCTTTTTTGGTTCCATATGAAATTTAAAGTAGTTTTTTCTAATTCTGTGAAGAAAGACAATGGTAGCTTGATGGAAATAGCATTGAATCTATAAATTACTCTCAGCAATATGGCCATTTTCAGGATATTGATTCTTCCTATCTATGAGCATGGAATGTTTTTCCATTTGTTTGTGTCCTCTCTGGTATCCTTGAGCAGTGGTTTGTAGTTCTCATTGAAGTAGTCCTTCACATCCCTTGTAAGTTGTATTCCTAGGTATTTTATTCTCTTTGCAGCAATTGTGAATGGGAGTTCACTCATGATTTGGTTCTCTGTTTGTCCTATATACATATGTTGGTATATAGGAATGCTTTTATTTTAAAGATGGAAGATGATGTCTCTCTATGTAACTCAGGCAGGTCTCAAACTCCTGGGCTCAAATGATCCTCCTACCTTAACCTCCTGAGTAGCTGAGACTTTAGTCACACACCACCATGCCTGACCAGGAATTGTTTTTCAACTTCATAGTGGTAAACAAAACATATGTGTTTTCAGTTCTCATGGAACAAGCAGCTTAGTAGGAGAAACATATGTTGAACTTGTAAGCAGAGAAGTAAATCTATAATGACAAATCATAATTTCTGAAGGGTATTAATTAGATGTTTGAGTGAGGGGAAATATTGGAAGGTGCTCATAAGTTTATAAATGTTCTAAAATATTTCATGCTAATCACATTAAAATTATATCAAAGTATATAAACATATCATGGAAAACATAATCAGCACCATGTACTCAACACCTAGGTTAAAAAATAGCATTAAAAATTCTCTTTCCAGCTCACATTCTGCTCCCTCCCCAAATCCACAGATAACCATCGAATTATATTTTGTTTTCTTCATTCCCTTACTTTCTTTAAGTTTTACACCCATGTATGTACCCATAAAAATCTATTAGCTAATTTTGGTTGTGCATGAATATTGTATCAATGCAATTATACTGTATATATTCTGCTTTTGCACATATTTTTAGATTCATCCATTTGTGGCATGTAGCTTTCCATTCATTTTCACTGCTGCTCAGTATTGTATTACAAATTTTACATTTGTTTTAGGGAAGAGTCATAAACCATCTTTAAGTTCTCCTATGTTACAAGTAATTTTGTAAATGATGTGAGGTGGTGATTCTATTTCATTTTTTCCCATATAGATAATTTATATTATTAATAATTCCTTCTATTTCATAAGCCAGGTTTCTATATATCTATATAAATATAGATATGTAGATATATGAAAGCAATATATATATGGATGTCTTTCTGGGCTATCTGTACTTTCACACTGGCTAATTTGCTTGTTTTTTCATCAATACTTCACTTCCTTAATTACTACAACATAGCAGGGCCTGGCATCTGCTAGATTAAATCTCTCAGCTTCTTTTTATTAAGATTGCCCTGAATTGTCCTGGTTATCCTGGGCCCCCTACTTTTTTTATATTTTTGAATACATCTAAATAAATTTAGAATAAATCTATTGTGTTCCATAAAACCCCTGTTGGGATTTCAATTGAACTGCAATTAAATTTTAGATCAGTTTTGGAAGAATTGACTCAATAGTGAGCCTTCCTACCCAAGACCATGGCATTTATTTTCATTTATTTATGATTTCTTTAATGCTTCTCAAAATTTTTTATTTTCTCTATTATGGAAACGCACATTTATAGTTTGACAAATTCCTAAGTACTTCTAATTTTATTGTCATTCCACATTATCTTTTTTGTTGTTGTTTTAAAAGACAGGGTCTCCCTCTGTCACCCAGGCTGGAGTGTACTGATGTGATTATAGCTCACTGCAGTCTCAACCTCCTGGGCTCAAGTGATCCTCCCACGTCAGCCTGTGGAGTAGCTAGGACTACAGGCATGTGCCACAATGCCTGGCTCATTTTTAAGTGTTAAGTTAAAAAAAGTTGTAGAAACAGTGTTTTGCTACATTTCCCAGGCTGGTCTCAAACTCCTGGCCCCAAGCAATCTTCCTGCCTCAGCTTCCCATATTCGGATTATACGCATGAGGCATTGCACCAGCCCCATGTGTTATCTTTTATAAAATTTAACATTTAACTGATAATTGATACTGTATATACATGAATTCAATTGGTATCTATTTTTAATATGGGAAATTTTATGCAAATGAGCACATTTTTCTCCCTTCCTTCCTTCCTTCTTTCCTTGTTCTCTTTCTTTCTCTCTCTTTCTCTTTCTCTCTTTCTTTCTTTCTTTCTTTCTCACAGGGTGTCACTCTGTTGCCCAGGCGGAGTGCAGTGGCACATGATCATAGCTCACTGCAACCTCCAACTCAAACACTTGAGTGATCCTCTGTCCCCCGTTTCCCAAGCAGCTGGGACTACAGGCACATGCCACGATGCCAAGCTAATTTTTAAAAATAATTTTTTTTGTAGATTCAGAGTCTTGCTATGTTGCCCAGGCTAATCTCAAACTCCTGGCCTCAAGCAGTCCTCCCTCCTCAGCCTCCCATTACAGGCATAAGCTGCCACTCCTGGACCTCTTTTTTTTTTTTTTTTTTTTTTTTTTGAGGCAGTCTCTCTCTGTCACCCAGGCTGGAGTATAGTGGCACGATCTCAGCTCACTGCGGGTTCAAGCAATTTTCATGCCTCAGCCTCCCAAGTAGCTGGGATTACAGGCATGGGCCACTATGCCCAGCTAATTTTTGTATTTTTCATAGAGACAGGATTTCACCATGTTGGCTAGGCTGGTATCAAACTCCTGACTTCAGGTGATCCGCCCACTTTGACCTTCCAAAATGCTGGGATTACGTGTGAGCCACCAAACCCAGCCCCTCATTTTCTTTTTGATTTTTATTTATTTTCCTCTGTTTTTCTTCTTTTGGATTTAGGGATGTGTGTGTGGAGGTGTATTGAGTCCGTTTTTTCTTTCTATTTGTGTGGAAATTATACACTTATTCTTTGTTATTTTAGCAATTACTCTGGCTATTTTAACATGCAAATATAATGAAGTTTAGAATTAGCCATTTTTTATAACTCTCCTTCTGACTAGTTGAAGAAATGAGAATGCTTTAACATCAAACAGCCAACTCTTTACTTATACACTATTGCTATTCATTATAGCATTTTTAGTCTAGCTTCCTCCCTCCTCTTTCTCTCTCTCTCTCTCTGTCTCTCTCTCTCTCACTAATGTTTGCTATTTCTCCCTACAATTCAGAATTTTATTTATGGATGAAGTACATATATAATTTATTACAATTCATTTTAATGAAAAACTTTTAGTGGTAAATTGTATTAGTCTTTGGGAAAAAACATTTATTGATACCATTTTCTCATTACTTAAAAATAGTTTCACTTCATATAGAATTCTATGTCGACAGTAATTTTCTTTCAGGAAGTAGAAAATATTAAGTTACAGTATTTTGGCTTCCATTACTGCTGTTAAGCATTCAGATCATCAGAGAAATGCAAATCAGAACCACAATGAGATGCCATCTCATGCCAGTCAGAATGGCAATCATTAAAAAGTCAGGAAACAATAGATGCTGGTGAGGCTGTGGAGAAATAAGAATGCTTTTACACTGTTAGTGGGAATGTAAATTAGTTCAACCATTGCTCTTAAGGGCTCTTTGTCTTTAATGATCCGCATTTTTATTATGATGTGTCTAGGCAGTTATTATTGTGTTTATTCTATTTCTTTATTTGCTGTCTATCCAAGATTTGAGGATTAATTTTTTAATTTCTAGAAAATTCAGAAGTATTATTTATTTATTCAATTATTACCTCTTTCTATTATTTCCTTTTTAAAATAAAAGGGTATATGTTAGAATTTTTCACTCTCTCCTTTATGCCTTTAACTTCATATTTTCTATTTCTTTGAATTTCTGGGCTGCATTCTTAAGAATTCTAAAACATATATTTTAGTTTCTAAAAGTTTCATTAGATTTCTGTTCAAAATTCCTTCCATTTGTGATCTTTCGAATGTGCTTCTGCTTTAGGCATTAGTAGTGGACATTCTGGTTCCCCATTGAGCTTCCCTGCATCAGCTGTTTTGCCTGGTGGCTGCCACCAACGCTTTTAGCTACCTCCCTCCTCAAACTTTGGGGTCAGGCCACACACTATAAAGGATTGGAAAAAAAAATGAAAATATGAAAAACTTACACTTTGTATCAGTCAGGAGAAGGATAATCTTCACACTACAGTTTATGCTTCAGAAGCCACCCCTTCTCTGTGGATTAGACCATGACTAGAAGTTTCCTGAGACCATCCCTTGCCCAGCTCTTTTGGTGATCCCCTTCACTTCCTCTGTTACAGGTTTCCCTGATGAGCACTCCTTCAATAAAACATAGTCATCCAAATCCCAATCTCAAGCACGGTGTCACGGGAACCTGATCTAAGTCAGCATTTTCTTTATTCTTAATCACAACTAGTTGATAGTCCATATCTAATATATAATGAATGTACAGTTGTTTCTGTTGGAGTTCACATATGATGCCTTGTTTCCTTTGTAGTTTTGTGATTGATAGCTTCGAACTGCTCATTTACCTTGACCTTTTGAATTCTTTGAAAACTGAGTTAAGTCTGATTTTCCAGAGTTTTTATGTTTGCTTCTGTCAGTTGCAGAGAATCAATGAGAAGAACACTTTAAATTCTTGTTTTCGGTTTTTTTCCAATCACATAAGTAGGATTTACCTGAATATATATATAATATATAAACATATATTTATATAAAATAAAAACATATAAAATATGAAATATATAATACAGTATAAAATCTATTTTATGTAAAATCTATTTTATGTAAACATGATAATTAAATATATATTTAAATAATATAAATATAATAAATATTTGAAGCAATTGTATTTTTTAAAAATTTCTTCTAAAGAAAACCAGGATACATGTGCAGAACCTGCAGGTTTGTTACATAGGTATACGTGTGCCATGGTGGTTTGCTGCACCTATTGACCCGTCCTCTAAGTTCCCTCCCCTCACCTCCCACCCCCCAGCAGGCCCTGGTGTGTGTTGTTCCCCTCTCTGTGTCCATGTATTCTCGCCTCCCACTTATGAGTGAGAACACGCGATGTTTGGTTTTCTGTTCCTGTGTTAATTTGCTGAGGATGATAGCTTCCAGCTTCATCCACGTCCCTGCAAAGGACATGATCTCATTCCTCAATACTATGGCTACGTAGTATTCCATGGTGTATATATACCACATTTTCTTCATCCAGTCATGCAAATTTATATGAATGTCAATTCTTTTATAGTGATCTTCTGGGGCTATTACAATATATAGGGCTGTTTTTTTAAAACTAATTATATTTATTTCATGTTGCTTTAACTTATTAAAAAACAGACTGAAGAAAGACTGGGTGTGAAGTCAGTAAATTAATTTCAAATTAAATAAACTTTTCTACAGCTATTTTATGCTCAATAACTTTCTACTTATTCTTGAGTTCAAAACTATATGGGTTCACATTTAAATTATATAGTGTATTTTCTCCATAAACTGAAGTTGTTAGAACATTGATTTTTTTAAGTAAATGGATTTTTGCACCACTTCAAGAAAGAAACCTTCAAACAGCCTGGAAATATCACATCAATAAAGCACAACCTGGGAATCAAAGTATTAGGGTACCTTGTTACTGAGATTATGGATGTGATGCTTCTGTGGGCCATTAGCATGTGCACTGTGTGTATGATATGCTCTATGTTCTCTTCCCACTAATAATTTTATTTTTAATTTCAGCAAGATTTAGTCTCAAATAACACAATAATAATGGAGGTCATTGTGAAGTAGTGGATGTAAATAGATCTGATGTGGTTTTGGTTTATTGCAGTAATTGTTTTGACTAATTCTCTAGTTTTTCAACTTTTGATTGTTTAAGATGGTTCTTGAGTCCTTTTGACATGACCCTATCTATTTTTGATAACTTCATAGCCTTTAGTATAAAAACAGGTAGGCTTATATTACATATTTCCAACTTCAAACTTGTTATTTATTTATCTAAGACTATACAGTTCTTTTCAGAGAAAAACCTTCTTTATAAACCAGAATCTTAACAGGAAGAGTGCTCATTTTAATTGAGCTGATCATGTTTCTAGGATTTTTTAGTTAAAAGAAAATACATATTTTAAAAATATAAATTATATTTTTATTTCATAGTGGTATTTTCAATTTTGTCTGGGATAATAAGATGTTTTATTTAACTTGTTTGATTTTGTAGTTTTATCTTTGTGGGAAGGACCTGGTAAGAGGTAATTGAATCATGGGGGCAGGACTTTCCCATGATGTTCTCATGATAATGAATAAGTTTCATGAGATCTGTTGGTTTCATAATGTGGAGTTTCCCTGCAAAGGCTCTTGTCCTGTCTGTGCCATTTGAGACATGCCTTTCAACTTCTGCCCTGATTGTGAGGCCTCCCCCGCCATGTGGAATTGGGTCTTACTTTTGTAAATTGCCCAGTCTCAGGTATGTCTTTATCAGCAGCCTGAAAACTGACTAATATAGTAAGTTGGCACCAGTAGAGAGGGGCACTGCTGAAAAGGTACCCGAATATGTGGAAGCAACTTTAAACTGGGTAACAGGCAGAGGTTGGAATGGTTTGGAGGGCTCATAAGAAGACAGGAAAGTGTGGGAAATTTGGAACTCCCTAGAGACTTGTTGAATGGCTTTAACCAAAATGCTGATAATAATATGAACAATGAAGTCCAGGCTGAGGTGGTCTCAGACAAAGATAAGGAACTTCTTGGGAACTGGAGCAAAGGTGACTCTTGTTATGTTTTAGACATAAAGCAAAGAGACTGGAGGCATTTTGCCCCTGCCCTAGAGATTTGTGGGACATTAAACTTGAGACAGATTATTTAGGGTATCTGGAGGAAGAAATTTTTATGCAGCAAAGCATTCAAGAGGTGACTTGGTTGCTATTAAAGGCATTCAGTTTTAAAAGGGAAATACAGCATAAAAGTTCAGAAAATTTTCAGCCTGACAATGCAGTAGAAAAGGAAAACCAATTTTCTGAGGAGAAATTTAAGCTGGCTGCAGACATTTACATAAGTAACAAGAAGCTGAATGTTAATCACTAAGACAATGAGGAAAATGTCTCCAGGGCATGTCAGAGACCTTTGTGGCAGCCCCTCCCATCACAGACCAGGAGCTTTAGAAGGAAAAATGGCTTCGTGGGCTGGTCACAGGGTCCCTCTGCTGTGTGCAGTCTAGGGACTTGGTGCCCTGTGTCCCAGCAGCTCCATCCATGACTAAAAGGGGCCAAGGTACAGCTTGGGCTGTGGCTTCAGAGGGTGGAAGCCCCAAGTCTTGGCAGCTTCCATATGGTGTTGAGCCTGGGTTCACAGAAGTCAAGAACTGAGGTTTGGGAACTTACACCAAGATTTCAGAGGATGTATGGAAATGCCTGGATGCCCAGGCAGAAGTTTGCTGCAGGGGCAAGGCCCTCATGGAGAACCTCTGCTAGGGCAGTGAAGAAGGGAAAAGTATGGTGGGAGCCCCCATACAGAGTCCCTACTGAGGCACCACCTAGTGGAGCTTTGAGAAGAGGGCCACTGTCCTCCAGAACTCAGGATGGTAAATCCACCACGCACCTGGAAAAGCTGCAGACAATTCCAGCCTGTTAAAGCAGCCAGGAGGGGGCTATACCCTGCAAAGCCACAGGGGCGGACCTGCTCAAGGCTGTGGGAGACCACCTCTTGCATCAGTGTGACCTGGATGTGAGACATGGAGTCAAAGGAGATCATTTTGGAGCTTTAAGATTTGACTGCCCCACTGGATTTCAGACTTTCATGGGGCCTGTAGCCCCTTCGTTTTGGCCAATGCCTCCCATTTGGAGTGGCTGTATTTACCCAATGCCTGTATCCCCATTGTATCTAGGAAGTAACTAACTTGCTTTTGATTTTACAGGCCCATAGGTGGAAGGGCGATGTTTCTTTCTGGAGGCTCCAGGGAGAACTCTGTTTTCTTACCTTTTCTGGATTCTAGAGGCTTCCCACAATCCTTGGCTTAAGGTCCATCTTTAAGCTTTGTCTCTGATGAGACTTTGGACTGCGGACTTTTGAGTTAATGCTGAAATGAGTTAAGACTTTGGGTGACTGTTGCGAAGACATGATTGGTTTTGAAATGTGAGAACATTTAAGAGGGGCCAGGGGCAGAATGATATGGTTTGACTTTGTCCGCAGTCAAATCTCATCTTGAATTTCTATGTGTTTGGAGAGGTACCCGGTGGGAGGTAATTGAATCATGAGGGCAGGTCTTTTCTGTGCTGTTCTCATGATGGTGAGTAAGTCTCATGAGATCTGATGGTTTTATAAAGGGGAGTTTCCCTGCCCAAGTTCTTCTCTTGTCTGCCATCATGTGCGATGTGCCTTTCACCTCTGCCATGATTATGAGGCCTCCCTGGCCATGTGGAACTGTGAGTCCATTAAACCTCTTTCTTTTGTAAATTGCCCAATCTTGGGAATGTCTTTATCAGCAGTGGGAAAACGGATTAATATACTAATTTATAGCTAGTAGGTAAAAAGCCAGGGACTTGCCATTAGCGTTGGAAGTGGGGTTGTGGGGGCAGTCTTGTGGAACTGAGCCCTTAACCTGTGGGGTTGAATGATATCTCCAGGTATATCATGTCAGAATTGAATTCAATTAGAGGATACCTAGCTTGCGTTCAATGCAGAATTGCTTGCTGGTGAGGAGAAATCCCTATACACATTTTGGTGACCAGAGGTAAAGCATTTTATGTTGATTCTTGAGTGAGAGAGTAGAAATAACACTGGTTTTTTCCCTATGTCCTTACAACCACCAATTGGATACATTGTTTCAGTATTTTGAAATTTTTCATTTAATTTTTATAAATTTTCTTTTTAAATTTTAGATTCTACAATATCTCCAATTCTTCAGTTTATTCCCTCTTACTATGTATAAGTATTTCCCCAAGTTTCACTTTATCTTTCTATTACTTTTTTTACATAATAGAGCTATAAAGGCAATTCACAATTCTCTCTTTTCTCATATATAATATAGAGCATATTATAAATACTCTACTTTGGAAAATTATTCTTTATAGGAAATTACAGATAATATTTGATGAAGAAAATCGAATATAATCATTTTTCAATACTTAGGATAACAGATTCAGGCAAAGATAAAACATTAAAGGAAAAGTTAGTGAAAACTATTAATATATAGTGGAGGCATCACGTTGTTATGAACTTCATTGATCAATACTGATACCACTAAAAATGGAACAACATGTAATTATGTGCTCAATGTGATGAATATGAAGTAGACTGCACCACTCTGCAGTACAGTCAGGAAATAAGAAACCAAGTCCAATCAAAATAGCCCTAAAGCTACCTTCCAGTTTATAAAAAGTATGAAGAATAGAGGGGCAATTAAATGATACCATAAAGAGTCAAATACAGGGCATGCAACATAGCTGCTGATTGGATTTATTCAACATGTCAGTGGCATGAATACAATAGGAGGCAGGTAGGGAGAAGGCACTACCCTGAATTATGAGACTGAAGAGATATAATAAACAAATGCAATGTGTGGACTTGGTTGGGATCTTCATTCAAAGACCAACTATAAAAAGACATTGTTGTGAGAATTGAGGAAATTTGAATGAGAAATGTATTTTTATCTAATTTGTTAGCTGTGATAATAGTATTGTGGGAGTAAGAAGCTATTCATATTTCTATATATATATACCAAGTACATAGGAGTGAAATAATACAAAATCTGGAATTTGCCTTAAAATTCCTCTGCAAAATTATAAAAAAGAACGATGACAAACTAAAAAGGTGTAGTATTCTTCTATGGCTGCTATAACAAATGACCAAAAAACATAGTGACTGAAAATAACCCACATTTATTATCTTACAGTTCCATAGGTTAGAAGTTCAACATGGGTCTCATGAGATCAAAAGCAAGGCCTTGGCAGGGTGACGTTTCTTTCTGGAGGTTCCAGGGGGAACTCTGTTTTCTTACTTTTTTTAGATTCTAGAGGCTTCCCACAATCCTTGGCTTAAGGTCCATCTTTAAAGACAGCAACGTTTCATCTCTCTACCTATTCTTTCATCCTTACATCTTTCTCTAACTATTCCTTTTCTTCTGTCTTCCACTTTTAAGAGCCTTTTTGAGTCTATTGAGGCCAACTGGACAATCAAGGATTATCTCCCTATGTTAAGGTCAATTGATTAGTGACCTAATTCCATCTACAATCACAATTCCTCTTTGCCATATAATGTAAAATATTCATACCTCTAAGGATTAGGACATGGACATCTTTGAGGGTCATTAGTCATCTTACCACAGGAAGGAAGGAAGGAAGGAAGGAAGGAAGGAAGGAAGGAAGGAAGGAAGGAAAGGGAGGAGAGGAGAGGAGAGGTAGGAGGGAAGAAGAAAAAAATAGTATGAAAAAATCTTGATAAATTTGAAAACTGGGTGAATAATATGTGGAATTCTCTCTATTTTTGTTAATGTTGGAAAATTTAATAAAAACAATGAACAGTGATGACTTCGGTGAGAATTTATGTCACCTGCCTCAAAATTTATGACTTCAATAACACCTTGTATGTAATATTTTTCACCATATATTCTGATGTTGGAAACAATCCCTTCTGCCTTTGTATTAGTCCATTCTCACACTGCTATGAAAAATACCTGAGACTGGGTAATTTATAAACAAAAGAGATTTAATTGACTCACAGTTCTGCATGGCTGGGGAGGCCTCAGGAAACTTACAATTATGGCAGAAGGTGAAGCAGGCGCCTTCTTCACAAGGTGGCAGGAGAGAGAAGAAAGGAAAAGTAAAGGGAGAAGAGACCCTACAAAACCTTCAGCTCTTGTGAGAACTCACTATCACAAGAACAGCATGGGGGAAATCATCTCCATGATCCAATCACTTTCCACTAGGCCTCTCCCTTGACATGTGGGTATTATAATTCAAGATAAGATTTGAATGGGGACACAAAGACAAACCATATTATTCCACACCTGACCAAATCTCTGGTCTTCACTTTTCAAAATCATGCCTTCGCAACTGTCCCCCAAAGTCTTAACTTGTTCCAGCATGAACTCAAAAGTCCAAGTCCAAAGTGTCATCTGAGACAAGGCAAGATCCTTCTGCCTATGAGCCTGTAAAATCAAAACCAAGTTAGTTATTTCCAGGATACAATGGGGGTACAGGCATTGGATAAGTGCTCCCATTTTAAATGGGAGAAATTGGCCAAAACAAAGGGGCCGGAGGCCCCATGCAATTTTGAAATTCAACAGGGCAGTCATTAAATCTTAGAGCTCCAAAATTATCTTCTTTGATTCCATGTCTCACATTTGGGTCAAGCTGATGCCAGAGGGGGGCTCCCATAGTATTGGGCAGCTCCAACCCTGTGGCTTTGCAGTGTACAGTTCCCCTCCCAGCTGCTTTCCCAGGCTGGCATTGCGAGTCTGCAGCAATTCGAGGTGCATGGTACAAGCTGTCAGTGGATCTCCCATTCTGGGGTCTGGAAGATGGTGGTCCTCTTCTCACAGCTCCACTAGGCAGTTCCCCAGTGGGAACTCCATGTGGGGGCTCCAACTCCACATTTCGCCTTTGCACTGCCCTAGCAGGTGTTCTCCATGAGGGCTTCGTCCATGTAGCAGACTTCTGCCTGGACACCCAGGCATTTCCATACATCCTTTGAAATGTAGGTGGAGGCTCCCAAACCTCAATTCTTGACCTCTGTGCACCCGCAGGCCTAACACCATGTGGAAGTTGCCAAGGCTTGGGGCTTGTACCTTCTGAAGCAATGGTCTGAGCTGTACCTTGGCCCCTTTCAATCACACGTGCTGGGATGCAGGGCACCAAGTCCCAAGGCTGCACAGAGCCTAGGCCCAGCCCAGGAAATAATTTCTTCCTCCTAGGCCTCTGGGCATGTGATGGGAGGGGCTGCCATGAAGGTCTCTGACATGTCCTGGAGACATTTTCCCCTTTGGTCCTGGTGATCAACATTCGGCTCCTCGTTACTTATGCAAATTTCTGCAGCAAGCTTAAATTTCTCCCCAGAAAATGGATTTTTATTTTCTATCACATGGTCAGGCTGCAAATTTTCCAAACTTTTACACCCTGCCACCTCTTGAATGTTTTGCTGCTTAGAAATTTCTTCCACCAGATACCCTAAATAATCTCTCTCAAGTTAAAAGTTCCACAGATCTCTAGAGCAGAGAAAAAATGCCACCAGTCTCTTTGCTAAAGTATAGCAAGAGTGACCTTTGCTTCAGTTCCTAAGAAATTCCTCATCTTCATCTGAGACCACCTCAGCCTGGACTTCATTGTCCGTTGTCTATCAGCATATTGGTCAAAACCATTCAACAAGTCTCTAGGAAATTCCAAGCTTTCCCACATCTTCCTATCTTCTTTTGAGCCCTCCAAACTGTTCCAACCTCAGCCTGTTACCCAGTTCAAAGTCCCTTCCACATTTTTAGGTATATTTATAGCAGTACCCCATTCTCCTGGTACTAGTTTACTGTATTACTCTGTTCTCACACTGCTATAAAGATACTACCTGAGACTGGGTAATTTTTAAAGAAAAGAGGTTTAATTGATTCACAGTTCCACATGGCTGGGGAGGCCTCAAGAAACTTAGAATCATGGCAAAAGGCAAAGGAGGCATCTTCTTTACAAGGTGACAGGAGAGAGAATAAGGTAAGAGTGAAGGGGGAAGAGCCTCTTATAAAACCATCAGCTATCTCGTGAGAACTCACTCATTACCATGAGAACAGCATGGGAAAACTGCCCCCATCATCCAATCACTTCCCACCAGTTCTCTCCCTTAACACATGGGGATTACAATTCAAGATGAGATGTGGATGGGGACACAAAGCCAAACTATATCAGCCTCCATATTTTAAAAGCTTTTGTCTGTAATTTTCTTATAATAGGCTTCGAAGAAAACATTGGATCCTGCATTGTATTTGTGGACAAAGTATTTCCTCCTTCCTTTAACATAAGCCACTCAATAATGTAGTTAATATTTCTGTTTTTGTTGGTGTATACAGTACTTACACTTGTGCTGAACACTTAATTCATCCCATCATGAGCAGATAATTAATGAGTAGTGTGTAGTCCTGACAAGTAATATCTGCTGTACATATTTACCTTGAGTCTAACAGTGGGGCCTTTGCCTTAAAACAGCAGGTTATAGAAACTTCTTTATAATTGAATCGGATTCACTGTAAGCCCACTGGAAAAATTCAGAAATACATGAAATTTACAAAACATAATTTTAATAGATACCAGTTTTCCACATGTAGAAACTCAATTTTACTCTATTATCCAGTTTGAAGATAATTATAAAATCTTCAGATTTGAGAGCATCTAAATGCACTGGCTATGTCTTATTTATTATCACACTACAACCTTCTTTGCCTTAGAAGTGCCTCAAAGACCCTCTGCCAGTGCCCCACCTAGGACTGAACTTGAGAATGACTTATTTATCCTAAATCAAATGAGAAACATGTTTTAAAGCATGATTTCTCAAGAAAGACAAACAAGCTAACATTGGATTCCTTGGCCTCTGTTGAAATTTCAATTTCACATACTCACAATGTTATTTTAGGTGAAAAGAATTTCATTTTTATGCCAATATTTACTAAACAGAGGTCTTAATTTTCTCTTTCCCAGTATGTGGGAGCTTCACTTCATGCAGCTCTCTGCACGTTCTATTGTGTTAAAACAGCAAGCTTGTCAAGAATGGAGACATTGCAGCAATATACACAGTCTATGGGAGACATTTTCTCTATGGGTTAAAGTAAGTTGTTGGATCAAAGTCAGGACATAGATGCTACAGCTGGTCTGGGAAAAAATGGCAATTAAGAGGGAAAAAAAGAACAGAAAGAGAGAATCACAGACAGTCTTTTTTTAGGTGGCAACAACAGAACCAGACTGCTTGAAACTGGTAACTGACTCCAAATGTCACATTTTTCACTGAATGCTAAATAATATTGCTATTTTATAACCATTACTTGGTTATGTTGCTGGCCATATTAACTTCTTTCATAACAAGCTTGTTACATATATTTTTATACATTATATTTGTTGTCCAGATTCTTTCTTATCTTTCTTTGTTTCAACAGTGCTTAGGAGGATTGAAAAGAAGCAGGTTAAAGGTTCAGGGACACTTCCCTTGAATGGCTTTCAGTCCGTCTAGCCAAAGGCTGGCATATTCATTACAATCAATTCATGCACTTCTGTGCAGTTTAACATTCAGCGCTTGTGTGATTACCTATTCATTAGAAAATAACTTATTTAGCTTAAATGTATACTTGTGTCAGAGAAAGTAAAAATATAAAAAAGGCAACAACAAAAAACTAAAATTTTAAGTACTTTCTCTGGCAAAGTTGAGTAACTTACAATAATCATAAGTGAGAAAAATTACTGTATAATAACCACACTTCCAGGTAATATTGGTGATCTAACTCACAGAAAATGTTAACAAATGAATAAAAGTGGTACCAACATGAAAAGCCCTTCCAAAATGATAAGGGACAAGAGCATATTAGGAATGTCAACTTACTCAAAGCTAGAAAGTAGAGGAAACTGACTTAGCAGGCTGCAGAAAAGTTCGAAGATAATTGCCTGTGTGAGAAGGGGAGGTTATCAAAGAGTAGTAGTTGATCCAAGTCAAAGAACCATGGAAATGTTTCAGCATTGGAGGTACTAGTTATCGCTGAAGCCTACGATGCAGGGGAGTTGGAAAACAGGTGGTTGAAAGTCTGTAAAGTTAGCAGTTGGAGCCCAGATTCTTTCCTCCAGCCTGTGCAACCAGAACACTGAATCTTCTCCACATCCATGATAGTGGGAGTTTACCCTCTAGAGAAGATGAACTAGTATAGTTCTGGGCTTACAGACATGAGTACATCCGAGGAGGCAGATGAGTGAGCCATTTGATAGAAAAATAGGGTGATTCAGCAACATTTTGCATTCTAAGTGGTGAAAGCCCCAGCTCCCTTTCCCTACTTAGCTCCTAAGAACTTACTCATACACCCAGGCTTATACTCGCCTTTCCCCCAGCACACCCCAGGAATATGATTATAGATTTATCTCTGGGAAAACTGCCCAGTCCAATTGATAAGAGCTACAAATCATTACATCGGGCTCATTGTGGTACAATGGTGTCCACCAATCAAAAAGTTCTGCCCTTGCACAAAATGCTTGCACCTGGTTTTTAGAGTTCCAGTTTTAAAAATGAATGCACCCAAAGTATCACCAGACTGTCAACCATAACATTTAAAATTCAGGACAGAGTCCAAAAGGACAAACAGGAAACAAACAATTCAATGGAAACAGTGAAGATAAAGCACAGGGAAAAAAGGTATAATTAATATATTCAGAGAGAAAAGAAAATACCGTGGAAAAACTATCCTCTTAAAAAGATACAGAGAACAAGAAAGAGCTTGTGAAAATGAAAGATGTAATATAGGAAATAAATAATTCAAGAAAATTTTGTAATATAAAATTGAGAAACATTTTCAAAATTAGAACAAAAGAGAATAATTAGATTAATGCAAGAAGTCAGCAGATGGAAGTTATTTTCAATTCGGAATTATATGACAAGCCAAATTATCAATTAATGTGAAGGTAGACTGAAGATGTTTTTCAGTAAGCAAAGTCTTAGAATATTCCTTTCCCATCTACTATTTTAAGCTCTGAAGGAACTAATTTGAGGATCCCAATAAACAGAGACAACAATGTTGAACAAATGTAAATGAAGTCAATTGTGAACTCTAAAATGAAACTATGCAGTAAAGGAAATATTACCAGAGTAAACCAGGTAATGTACAAAATATGACATATTTAATATTAAACATTGCTAAGTCCCCAATATATTTTACCTATGTCCCTACTCTTTCATATGTACACAACACCAGTTGTAAATAATATTAATGTAGCCTTAAGCATGCAAACAAGGAATATTGATGTGATCAAAGTCATGATTTCATTATATTTGGAGGATGAGGAAAGAGAAAATGTGTATGTCTGTGCTTGCATGCAGGCACAATGTGGGAGAGGGAGATGTGTGACAGCTAAATCTTTAATTTTCACAATAGGGAAAAATGTAAATTTGAAGATACAAAATAGCAATCAACCCATATTACTTAAAAATATTGAGCTAAATATAAGTAGAAACAGCGAAAATAGTTGTAAGCAATTCCCTATTTGCAGAAATTAAGATAGATGTGAATGGGTCAGAGGACCATTATTTTTAGCATAAGAATTAAAATCTACAAATAACTACTCTGTAAGCATTAAATTCACAGGCCCTGAAAGCAAAATATAGGGTTCAAATACTGTTTCCACCACCTAATAGTTGTGATATTGTGGCTTAGATATTTAATGACTTTATTTCTTTGTTTATAAAATTGAATACTAATATTAGTGAATCATATTGATATCTTACAGATTACGTGAGTTAATATGTGAAATCACTTAAATAATATTTGGCACAATTTATTAGTATTAGTACTGCCATGTGGCTGTTAACTATTTACATGAATTACATCAATAAAAAATTACAAAGAAGGCAAACACATAGTAAGATACATGGAAAGTAGTGAATAAATAGAATCATTATATTTCAAAACTGAAAGTTGATGAATATTCAATAATGAAATAAAGTATGTTTCTTATTATCTAACATCTAAACAAGAATATTTCACTAATTATGCTTAATCACGAAAAATTCATTTGTTTCTTTTGTAACTACCAGTATGTGAATATATTGCCAAAGGTATAAATTAAAATAGGCTTCTAAAAAAATAGGCATCTTATTCACTGAAAAGAATCAAGACAGTACAATTGATTTCAAACTAATAATTAACATTTGTCAGAAGGATAATTAATCCTTATGTTAATATTTCCTCTGTTCTGCTGAACATTAGTACTACATCTGATTTAGATATGTTCATATAGTAGTAGATATGCTTTCTATATCTCAATTTGACATTAAGAAAATTCTAAATTCTCAACATATTTTAACACATCTCTACCTTTTATAACACATCTCTACCTTTAATATACAGTGAATTCAAAATTTCAGCAAAATTGATATTGACATTTTTTCTCTTCAGTGGAAGTGAAAGATTTTTTTCCCCCAAATATCAACTCTATTTAAAGAAATGCTGTTAACTAAGAAAAAAAAATCGGGTAATGTTTTGATCATGGTGCTTTTATTAATTATAACATGCAGTAAATCATGTTTGTGTTTTTATTTATATTTTCAACATACAATGTAAATAAGAACACCTCCAGATATTCTTTTGGCAGGCACAAAAACTGTTTATTCGACAGATGATATAGACAATAATGTATGGCTCATAATTAGGGAGAAAGCTGTAATTTAAGAAGTTCTGATGGTATTCAAACAGTTTGTGTGTAACTAAACTACGGCTGTTACTGAATGGCAGCTTTAAAACATTTTAAACATGTGGACAAAAAATTGAATTTTTATTATTGTAAATGAAAAAGGAGATTTCTGGAGAAGCTAGACAACATACTGTAATCCAGGCTTGAGTGAGTTGAGGAATGGTGTCGTATAAATAGAAACCTGCTCTTCCACACATGGGCCAAATCTTTGCCTCAAGTCCTCATGCACAACACACTCTATAGGGAAGTATGGGGTAACTGAAGAGACAAGTATATCTGTATGGTACACATCCTGTGCAAAGATCATTACTGAGTGATACACATATACATTCAATTTAATTGCTAGTCAGTATAACATGCATAAATCCTTAAGCTATTTCAATTCGTAATTGATATGGTGTGACTAAAATTTAAGCAGGTCTCCATACTTAAAAATAAAGACAATACATCACTTTCAATTATTTTGAGCCTTAATCATCATTTTGGGTTGTCTTTTTTATTGTCAATTAAGTTTATTACTGCACAATTGACCTTTCAGAAGTTCAGAAATACAAATACAGCTTTCTTTGGCCAATTTTGCAAAGTTACATTGCCACAACCCCAAGCGCTGAGTTTGTATTCCATGGTTGACCCAATTTTCTCAGACTAATACAGAAAGAAAGTTTACCATGTAGACTAAGCTCTTCTACAAATAAAGAAAAGTTCAATTTTCCTGATTTAAATATTATGTAGAAATTTATATTTTCATAAATGGTGAAAATTAGAATACTGTAGAGCTAAATAATAATCTTCCATGTTTCCAAGTCATAAAAATTAAAATATTAAAAATGACTGTTATTGAATCGACTTATCATTAATTTCCTTTAGACTTGAAGATATAATTAGAAATAGAATTTACTGAGAACTTACCAATTCCAAACACTGTGCTATATGCTTTACATAAAATATCACATATAATTCTCATCACAATATTGTGAAGTAAAGGTTGCCACCATCTTCATTTTATATGTGAAGAAATAGAGGTTCATGATGTAAAATAAATACTTAGTTTTCATTTTTTTAACATACATAATCTAAAAAAGAGGAAAGATATCACGTGATAATATACAACATCATAATATACAACATCATACATTTTATTTGGATCTGGAAGTATTTTTATTCTGAGTATCTGAGGGTCAGGAAAGAATCAAAATGAGACATGTTTATCTTCACAAGTTTAGGCACATCCTAGAAATGCTGAATAATATATAATTTATGAAAAAAGTAAAGCTAGTGTGTGTGTGTGTGTGTGTGTGTGTGTGTGTTTGTATGTGATGACTAAAGGAAAGAACAAGTTATTCAAAGGACAAAGACTAATCCAATCATTACTGCCAGGCATATAACACTTAAAGACATTTCTAGTCAAAAAAGTTTAGGTATGAAGAAACTACATGATAATGAAAAATTTATCTACATTTTCCTCTGTTCATTCAACTCATGTTGTATTTAGTTATTTAAAAGTTATTTGCAGCTTGTAAAACATTTCCAATTTACTTTCATAGTGTTTTTTTACCAGACAGAAAATGAAGAATGAGAAAAGAACAAAAAGGAAAGGAGAACAAATTAGTAGGACTAAGAAGATTAATTGCTGGTTTTCTTTTGAAACATTCGTCATATAGAAAATTCAATTCATTTTATTTGCTATATTTAGATATTAAATAGAAAATCACTTGTTATTACAGAATCCTACATATAGTAGGAATTTAAAAAATATTTGCTATACATTGAGTGCCTAAGATGTATAATGTAATATTTTGGCTGTTTGGATGGTTATAATGAGAACAAGTTATATCTCTCAAAGTCTTTGAAAATCTAATTCTACTTCATCTACTTATGTCAATTAAAATAAAAAGTAAGCCTGCTGATTGACTCATGCACTACCTTAGAATGAAAAAATATAGAGCAGTGGTGTTCAATGCAAATTATACTGTGAATTTGTAAACTGTATATAGTCTAAAGAATGGCTTCACAAATGTAGGACAAGGTATGTGGGAGAAATAAAGGTACCTACATTGTTAAATATAAAAGAGACAAAACAAACTTTTTGTTTTAGTAACTCCTACTAGAGTTGATTCATATCAGAGTTAAAAGACAACTTCATAAAACAATAATTATAAAACCATGTTAATGGGTTTATAATGTGTAATGGTGTCATTTGTATGACAATAATAGAACAAAAAAGAGCAGGGAATAGTGATACATTGAAGCAATGTTTTTATATACTATTGAAATTAAGTTGATTTTCATTCAAACTACAATGTTTTAAGTTAAGATGTTATTTTTATTCTCAAGAGCAATCTAAGAAGATTTTTTTTAATAATAAGGGGTTAATCAGTAAGGCATACCAATTTAAACATGTATGCCCCTAACAACAAAGCTCAATAACACATAAAGCGCAAATCAAATTGATGGGAGAAATAGAAAATTCAATAATAATTGTTGGAGACTTCAATATTATATTTTTAATACTTAAGGTAACATGGGGTAGAAGATCAACACACAAATATAAGACTAAAAAACTCTATAGACAAAATAGACCTAATAGATATCTATAGAACACTTCACCTCACAACAGTAGAATGCAAGTGCACATAAAACAGTCTTGAAGATAGACCATACATTAGACCATAAAACAAATTTGAAAAAACTTAAGAGTTGAAATCATACACAATTTGTTTTCCAACAACATGGTATAAAATTAGAAATCAATAACTGAAGGAAATTTTAGAATTTCAAAAATCTGTGGAAGTTAAACAGCACACTCCTCTGTAACCAAGGGTCCAGGATGGAATCATAAGGCAAATTTAAAAGTAGTTTGAGGTGAAAGTAAACAAAAATGCAGCATATCAAGTTATGGAATACAGCAAAGGCAGTGCTTAAGAGAGAAATGTGTAGCTAAAACATCTATGTTTAACAAAAATTAAGTTAAATTAATAACCTAATCTCTCATGTTAAGAATTAGAAAAGGAAAAGTGAACTTAACCCAAAGAAAGCAGAGAGACAAGAATAGTAAAGCCTAGAATGGAAATTAATAAAATAAAGAATAGAAAAGTAATAATGTAAATCTACTAAGCCAATAATAGGTTCTTTGATATTTTAACACCATTGACAATTTTTTCACTAGGGAAACCAAGAAAAATAAGTAAAACTGAAATTACTAAAACCTGGGAAGAAAGTAGAGACATCATGAATAATTTTACAGAAATAAAAAGAATTAGAAGGAAACACTGTGTAAAATTTTGTGTCCTAACACCTTAGATAACCCAAATGAAAAAAAAAAAAAAAAACAAAGAGAAACATACTTCTGAAACATAAATGAAAAGACATGGAAAATCTAAATACACTTAAAAGGTTTTAGTTAGTAATTTTAAAACATCCAACAAAGAAACTTACAGGCCCAGATGTCCTTAATGTTGAATTCTATCAAACGTTTAAAGACTTAACAGCAATACTTTATGAACTCTTCTAAAAAATAGAAAAGGGAACATTTCCCAACTCATTCTACGAGACCAGTGCTATCTTCATAACAAAACCAGAGTACAAGAAAAGAAAACTACAGAGTCTATCTATTAGTGATATTGACTCAAAAAGAGCAATTACAGCAAACTTACTGCTGACATCATACTTAACAATAAAAGACTAAATGCTTTCCCCTAAGATCAGGAAGGAAACAAAGATATCTATTATCCCCACTCTCATTCAACAAAGAGTACTGGCAAGCATAATATTGCAAAAATGACAATAATTTTAAAAAGACGTAGAGATTGAAAATGAAGAAATGTAACTGTCTTTATTTGCAGATGACATTATTGTCTATGTAGAAAATTCTAAAGACCAATTTTAAGAAAATTCCTAGAACCAATTAATCATTTCAGCAAGGTTACAGGATATAAGATCAATATTCAAAAATAATTACATTTCTACATCCTAACAATGAACATGGATGGAAACCAAAACAATGAATATTTGGTAGAAATCAATATTAAAGACATAGTACCCTTTGCAAGTGCTCCAAAGAAAATGAAATTATCATTTATAAATTTTGCAAAGCATGCATAGGATCTGTATGCTGAAAGTTATAAAATGCTAATGAAAGAGATCAAAGAAGATCTAAATAATTGATGAGATATTCTGTATCCATGGATTGGAAGAGTCAACATAATAAAGATGACAGTTCTCCCTAAATCTGTAAGTTTAAGACAATTTCTATTAAAAATCTTGTCAGCTTTGTATATTTTTATTTATTTATTATTAGCTGGTTACTTGAAGCTTTTTATAGATGTAGACAAGTCTAGTCTAAAATTTATATGCAATGCCAAAGATGTACACCAGCAAAAACTATTCTATATTGTATGAAAAGAAATAATGTGAAAAAATCACTCTACTTGACATTGAGGCTTACTATATAGGTACAATATTCAAGACAGTGTGGTACTGGAGGAGGAATAGATAAAAAGATCAACAGAACAGAAGAGAGAACCAAGATGGAGACCCATACAAAAGTGTCCCAGTGATTTTTTTCAAAGGTGAAAAAGCAATTCAACAGAGGAAGGTACCCTTTTCAAGAAATGGTACAGGAGCAATACCATTAGATAATACAGGAAGATACCCTTTTTAAGAAATGGTATGGGAGACACTCATCAGCAGAAGAAGAGACCTTGACCTAAACTTCACACCTCATACAAAAATGTGCTAAAAATGAATCACAGACTTAAATGTGAGACATAAAACCATAAACTATTAGAAAAATACTTAGGAGAAAATTATTGGAACCTAGGGATAGGCAAACAGTTCTTGGACTTGATACCAAAAATATAGTTCATTAAAAAATTAAGTTGAACCTTATCAGGACTGGAAAGACCTGCTCCAAGAAAGATCCTGTTAAAAACATGAAAATACAGCCTACACAGTGAGATAAAATATTTTCAGACCACACATTTAAGAAATGTCTTCTAGCTAGAATATATAAATAATCCTCAAATCTCAGCATTAGTAAGACAAATAATCCAAATAGCCAATGGGCAAAAACCCTAAAGAGATATTTCACTGAGGAGAATATACAGATTTTAGATAAGCACTATTTATATTTAGTAAAAAATAATAATTAACATGTTTAGCATTGTTAGCCATTAGGAAAATGTGAATTAAAACAAAAATGAGATATTATTACACACTTATTAGAACAGTTAAAAAAAATCATGATAATATCAAATGCTGTTGAGGTGAAGAAAAATTGGATCACTTATATTTTGCTCGTTAGAATGTTAAGTGGCATATCCACTCTGTAAATTAGCTTGGCAGTTTCCTTTAAAACCAAAAACGTGCTTACAATAGAACCCAGCAATTGGACTCTTGGAAATTTATACTGGAGAAATGAAAACATATGTTAATGCAAAAATATGCACACAAATATTCATAGTAGCTATATTCATAATAGAAACTGAAAAGAAGCCACACGTCTTTCAATAGATGAATGGTTAAACAAACTGTGGTACATCCATACCGTAAAATAGTACCCCTAAATATGAAGAAACAAATCAGTAATACTTACAGACACTTGGATGAATCTCAAGGGGATTATGTTGAGTGAAAAAAGCGTGTCTCAAGAGGTTACACACTGTGTATCTCAATTTACACAACATTTGTGAAATAACACATTTTACAGATATAAAGAACAGATTGGTGGTTGCCAGGAGTTGAAGACTGGGAATCAAGAAATTGCTGTGAAGGGGTAACTTGAGAGTACTTCATGGTGATGAAAGAGTTCTGTATTTTAATTGTTGTGGTTATATAATGCTATAATGCCTTATCATGTAATGAAATGGCATAGAACTATACACACACACACACACACACACACACACACACACGAGAGCATGTGTAATTATGAAATATGAATAGGTTCTGTGTATCGTACCAATGTCAATTTCCTGTTTTGTTATTGTGCTATAGTTATGCAAGATAGCAACATTAGAGGAAGGGAAGTGAAGGTGCGTCAGATCCCCCTGTGTATTTCTTGGCAACTTCTGCTTTATAAAAGTTTTTTTGAGAGCTAGCCATAAACATGCAAAACTTATCACTTCCTATTCATTTTACTTTTATCCATACTTTTCAGTTTATGTCTATTGTATCTAAATATGAAAAAATACTATAAAATGGCATATTTTGTTCTAATTCTGCATTCCTTAACATTACATTGACAGCTTAAAATAAGCCATGGTAGAAGTATTTATACCATGGAAATCGACAAACACTACAAAACAGGACTTGACTTATTGTTTTATTGATTTTTTAGACATAAAAAAGAGAATATTAATAATTTAGATAAAACTTTTAAGTGTGTCATGGCTGTAGCTGCTACACTGTGAATAACATTTTGTAAATGGGGAAATATTCTTTCAGTATTCAAAACTATTATCTGTTTCATCAAAATGTCACTCACATCATTGAGGAACAAGTTAATATTTTTGTTGTTGTATTTACATCTGGCACATTACTGTAAATAAATAATCAGCCAACATTCATGTCCGAAGTATACTCAGATTACTAGTCGTTAAACGTCTACCAGCACATCCCAACTTAGATTGATTATGTGGTCCTGGTTCTGGAAGAACTCACAAGTGGACAGATATAGGTGAAGAAACTGAGGAACCTGATTTCACTGTTAAAATGTAAACTTCTGCAGCTACAGAGCATGCTAGGAATTCCATAGCTAATAAGATGGGAGTAGATTGAGCCATGTATAGAATTGTGGGCAACTCATGACTTAGGCAAACTCCATGTGTTTTAGGTAGTGTGTCCACACATGTAGTTGTCCATCTAAATCTCAACAATAATTTGTTGCAGTTCCCACACACTGAAATCATATTGGAACTACTTAAAATTCTCTGGAATTTCTAATGGTGGTTCTTTTTGGTCAGATAATATAGACATAATTTTTCAGGTCATAAATCTCTGTTAAGAGATTCAACAAAAAGTAGCTGATTGACCAAAAAGTATTCTGTCATGAAGGAGCATTCTTAGCCTACCTCCCAATGGACCCCAGTAGACTTCCGACTTGGATTTGCAGCAGGCAGTCACTGATTTGTCTTTATCAGGGTTCCCAAGGTTAGGACTTGTGTTTCTATCCTCTGGGTTCCAGGTAGGCAGGAATGTGTGTACAAGGAGTTCTTGTGAAGGATTCCGTTGAAGCAAGTCGCTGTGCCTTCCCTGTTAAAGCTGCTTTGGCAATAATAGAAGGACATTTTTACCTCTTACTGACTTGGGGTTTCAGGGGAATTGTGAATTTCTGAGAACTCCAAAGAATTAAATAATGATACATCTATAGAGTTAGAAGTAGCAGATTTTGGTTGTACAATGCTAACAAGAATAGGAGCTCACAGCAGTAGAGGATAGCATTAACATTATTCTAGATTGGGGAATAAATAGTAGCTCAGTGTGCTTATCACTACCTAATCTCATTGGTGCTGGTGGGACACAGACAATGATTCAGAGAAGAGTGAATAATTAAACCTGACAGCATATAGAACTTCAGGGAGAAGAAGTCCAAGTTGCTTTTAGCATCCATAATTAAGTGATTTCAGGTCCTATTTATTCAGTGAGGTCACTGTAGTGTAAAAATACTCTAGTAACTGTAGTCCCAGCTACTCAGGAGGCTGAGGCAGGAGAATCACTTGAACCCAGAAGGCAGAGGTTGCAGTGAGTCGAGATAGAGCCACTGCACCCCTGCCTGGGGAACAGAGGGAGACTCCATTTCAAACAAACAAACAAACAAACAAACAAACAAACAAACCCTAGTAAAAACTTGTAAATTCTCCCAGCATTCTCTCAATCCCTCAAATTTCTCCATCTATTGGTGACCTTCATATCGTCTTCAGTGTATGTGTGCTCTCCATTCACTTATAAGCACCGTTGTTTTGATTATAAGTATTTCTTGCCTGGGTTAAGGTAGTAGAGTCCTACTTTCTCTGTTCTCAGTCTCATACCCTCCTAATCCATACTTCACAACATTGCCAATACACCAAACTCCAAAGATGTCCCTTAATGAATCATGCCTGTTGGTGCTTAGGGCCACGTGTATTCCCTTCCCACATAGAATATGTCCTGGGCCTGTAACTTGCTGGGATCAACAGAATGCAGCAGAAGTGACATTGTGTAACTTTCCAAAGCTTCATTTTAAGAAATCTGCAGCTTCCACTTTTACCACTTTGAATGTTACTCCTTGAAGCCAGCTACCACACTATGTAGACCAAACCAGCCACATGTAGAGTTCTACATGGAGGAGAACCAAAGCCCCAGCCAACAGATCAAACTGAGTTTATAGCCAGCACCATCTCTGCTGTTAGGTAAGTGAGAACATTTTAGACTTTTAAGCTCCCCCAGCACTTCAGATCATATCATATTAAGCAGAGGATTACCTATTCAACTGACACAGTTGTGAAAAATAATAAATTGTTTCTGTTTTAAGGCACGAAGTTCTACGATCATAAGTCAGTTACAAACAACTGACTTTTTTTTTTTTAAAAAAAAACAACTCATACCTAGAAGTGAGGTGTTGATGTGACTAAAACTTAAAATATCTGCCATTGCACTTTGCAGCTCCACCCTGAAGTTCCACATGAAGACACTTGGGTGAGTCAGATGGGAATATTGTTCTTGTATACCTCATTGCTTTAGCTGGTCACTTGGAAGCTTGGAGCAGAATCCTTCACATTAAAGGATGGGATTGGGGGGGGGATGAATTTATTTTCTTACTACGTGTGCAGACTGGAGCCCCTACTGCTATTGTCACCTCACCCACAGATTGTATTTATGTTTATATGTATGTACATAGAAAGTTTTGTGACTTCATCTGTCCTTTCCACAGCATAGGACTTTGAATAACAATGATAGGGAAAACAATGGAATGAGGGTAGATTTGCACAGACTGGAGCACATTCTTGCACAAACTAACCACGTATCCTGGTGAATTCTAGATGGGTTTGAGATATTGTCAATGAATCATATGATACCTGGCTATTTCAGGTTTCTGTAAAAGAAGGGGAAATCTAAAATAAATGCCCTTCCATATATATATATATTTTTTTTTTTTTTTTTTTAACAAGAAAACAAGAATGTGAAGAACTGGAAATTATTAAGAAAGGGTTTCCCTTCCTTTAAGCTCAGAGGTACTATTGGTTAGGAGTTGACTAAGTCAGCCTGTAAAACACAACTCCCCTTTCCAAAGTTGTGCATATAATATTGCAGGTTAAATTACTTTATGTCAGGTCCTATAAAAAAAGATGTGGTTTCAGACTGAAAGCATGTTTCACAGGTGTTTGCTTCCTTTCAAGGCAGAGTTCCCCATTCCCCTGGTGCAAACAATGCTATGTATATTTTGAAATATGGCTGAGAACATGTCATTGGTTTCTGAGGCCCAAGGTGAAGGACTCCTGGAAGCCACACTGTGTAGTGTATTTGAGGGATCAGTCGTCCCTCTTGTATGTGGGCCTGGTTGCCCTACCTCAAACAACATGAGTTTTTCACACAAGGAGAGATGGGGGGTGGTGCTGGGAGTCCTCTCCCTCTCCTATTGCATCCCCTTTCTTACTATAAGGTGCTCCAATCCACCAGCAGCCAACCTCCTGGGTTTGAAAAATTTCAACTTATCTTTATCCTTATTCCTGACATTGGCTGACTTGCTACTGAGCTTGCTTTAAAAATCTACACTCCTGCATTCTTAGGTATACCAGGGAAATGTTGAATAGGAGGGTGGAAAAACCAAGAATTTTGTTTGCCAATTATTGTATCTGATTCTTATAAGTTTGAGTTACACAGGGCTAATTTATACCCTTTTTTCTTGGGTTTTGGGGGTGGTGGAAGGTGGGAAATTTGGGTGATTCCTTGACTGTCAATGAGGATAAAATGTTAATACCTTTTTTGGGCTTAACAACTTTATCCTATTCTACAGTAGAGGAACAATTGGTACTCACCTCAGTGCTGCACTCAACTACGAAAAATGCAGAGTTTTCTTGCCCAGTGGCCAAACTAAAGACATCAGTTTATTGGTCATATATTTGTTACCTGGAATGGAACTTGAAAGCAAATACATTTGATTTAAGAAGTATATATGTATCTGCCATTGGCTTTAGGACCAGAGATTAGGTGGAGATAGAAGGGCTTTTTTAAGAAATATATTAATGAGAATTGAAAAGATAATGAGTGCTTTGATATTGGAGGCCTGAGAAAAGTTGACTCATGTTAGTGACAAGAGGTAACATGAAAGACAGAAAAAAAATCTAATAAACTTGTAGATTTAGCTAAGATTTCCAGACCAACGGTAAAAAGTGACAAGTATTTTTATTTTTTTTCTCCTATGATAAAAATCAGATCTAAAGAGATGAAATAAAGAGCTTTGTTCAATTTTCAATTAGAATATAGAGAAAACATTTTCAACCAGGATTTCCAGAGTTGGGAAAAAAGACAATTTCTCAATTATAAACCTCTTTATCCTGCAAAAGATTCTCAAATGAAAATACAATCTGAGGGAAAAGATCAAATCCTTCCATTAAACATGGCTTCAGACTCAATATCAGATGAAAAGTGCAGATGTAGGATCTTCAGTTCAGATTTTGTAGGACTTCTTAACCAGACAACATTGCTTCTGAAAATCTTAACAGTATTTTTTCCTGGCCCTGTAACTCTCTGCCCAATATGAAATGAGACTTTTGTGAGTATCACTTTTTTCTAGTAAATTATAAAATTTGATACAGAGAAAATCTGCAATTTTAAAAGAGTTGTATCTATTGGCCTTAAAAAGATGAAGGCAGTTCAAAGTGAAGAGAGATCTATAGGTTCCCAAATGACTGGGGTATAGCAGCTTCCAAGATGTCTCCCAATGATACCCATTTCCTGGTACTTATTTCCTTGTGTAATTTCCTCCCCTTGAGTATAAGCTGAACATACTGATTTGCTTCTAATAATAGATTATGGCAAAAGTGATGGGATGCTGCTGCCAAGATTAGGCTCCATAAAAACTCTAGCTTTTCTCTTGTTTGCCCTCTCTTGTGCTCTCACTTCCTCAGTTTAATGGAAGTTAGGTGCAATATTGATATCTGCCCTTTGGAGAGAATCATGTGGCAAGGAACTAATAGAGGTCTCCATTCAACAGCCAAGAAATGAAGATCCTTAGTCTAATGGTTCATGTGAAACTGAATTCTTTCAACAACCGATTAAGTGGAGTTGGAAGAAGCTCCAGCCTTGTTTGAGCCTTGAGATGACTGCCAACACATTGATTGGCCCATTGATTCCAGCCTTACAAGCAACCATGACTTAGAGAACCCAGTTAAGTTACTGAATCTGAGCCACAGAAACAATGGTATTATAAATCTTATTCTCTTAAACCTCTATGTTTTCAGGTAATTCATAACACAGCCATAGATAACTAATTTAGCAAGAAGCAGGTTGAGAAAGCTACTCAGCTTCAAGAATGTTCTATTTCTCATGTAAAAGAAATAAAGACTCAAAATATAGAAATATAGAATCAAGAGCATAGAAGTGAAACAAGGACCTTCAGAGAACCACTCCAAAGGAGTAAAACTGAGTCCTAATCAAGGAACTGGTCACATGTGCCAGTTGGATTTCAGAATTGTTATGGACCACTGATTGCTATGCACCTTCCATACTTTTTCTCTCCTTTTGAATGGGAATCTCTATTGTGGTTTTCTGTCCCTGTCTTTCACCATATTATTGGGTACATTTCTCTTTAATATACTGTATTAGATCATTCTTGCATCACTATAAAGAAATACCTGAGGCTGGGTAATTTATAAAGCTTAATTGGCTCTTTGATATGATTTGGCTGTGTCTCCACCCAAATCTCATTTTGAATTGTAGCTCCCATAATTCCCACGTCATGGGAGGGACCAGATTGGACGTAACTGAATCATGGGGGCAGGTCTTTCCCATGCCGTTCTCATGATAGTGAATAAGTCTCATGAGATCTGATGGTTTTAAAAAGGGGGCTTTCCCTGCACAAGTTTTCTTCTCTTGTATGCTGCCATGTGAGATGTGCCTTTCACCTTCCACCATGATGGTGAGGCCTCCCCTGCCATGTGGAACCACAGTTTCAACTGAGTCCTTTAAACCTCTTTATTTTTAAAATTGCCCAGTCCTGGGTATGTCTTTATCAACAGCATGAAAATGGACAAATACAGTAAATTTGTGCCATTAGAGTGGGGCGCTGCTGTAAAAATACCCAAAAATGTGGAAGCAACTTTGGAACTGGGTAACAGGCAGGGATTGGAACAATTCGGAGGACTCAAAAGAAGACAGGAAAACATGTGAAAGTTTGGAACTTCCTAGAGAATTGTTAAATGGCTTTGACCAAAATGCTGATAGTGATATGGAAAGTAAAGTCCCAGCTGAGTTGGTCTCAGATGGAAATGAGGAACTTGTTGGGAACCAGAGCAAAGGTGACTCTTGTTATGTTTTAACAAAGAGACTGGCAGCATTTTGCCTCTGCCCTGGAGATTTGTGGAACTTTGAACTTGAAGAGATCATTTAGAGTATCTGGTAGAATAAATTTCTTTCTTTCTTTTTTTTATTTATTTGAGATGGAGTCTCGCTCTGTTGCCCAGGCTGGAGTGCAGTGGTGCGATCTTGGCTCACTGAAAGCCCCGCCTCCTGGGTTCACTCCATTCTCCTGCCTCAGCCTCCAAAGTAGCTGGGACTACAGGCACACGCCACCACACACGGCTAATTTTTTAAAAAATATTTTCAGTAGAGACGGGGTTTCACCATGTTAGCCAGGATGTTCTCGATCTCCTGACCTTGTGATCTGCCTGCCTTGGCCTCCCAAAGTGCTGGGATTACAGGCATGAGCCATCACACCCGGCCAAGCATTCGAGATGTTACTTGGGTGCTGTTAAAGGCATTCAATTTTATAAGGCAAGCAGAACATAAAAGTCTGGAAAATTTGCAGCCTGATGATGTGAGAGAGAAAAAAAAAATCCCATTTTCTGAGGAGAAATTCAAGCCAGCTGCAGACATTTCCATAAGTAGCAAGGAGCTGAATGTTAATCCCCAAGACAATGGGGGAAATGTCTCCAGGTCATGTCAGAGGTCTTCATGGCAGCCCCTCCCATTACAGGCCTGGAGGCTTGGGAGGGAAAAATGGTTTCGTAGGCTGGACACAGGGTCCTCATGCTGTCTACAGCCTAGGGACTTGGTACCCTGCATCCCAGCTGCTCCAGCTGTGGCTGGGAGGGACCAATGTAGAGCTCAAGCCATGGCTTCAAAGGATGCAAGCCCCAAGCCTTGGCAACTTCCACATGGTATTGAGTCTGTGAATGCACAGAAGTCAAGAGTTGCAGCTTGGGAACCTCTGCTTAGAGGATGTATGGAAACACCTGGATGCCCAGGCAAAAGTTTGCTGAAGGGCCAGGACCCTCATGGAGAACCTCTGATAAGGCAGTACAGAAGGGAAATGTGGGGTCAAAGTCCCCATGCAGAGTCCCTAATGGGGCACTGCCTAGTGGAGCTGTGAGAAGAGGGCCACCATCCTGCAGACCCCAGAACAGTAGATCCACCAACAGCTTCCACCATGCACCTGGAAAAGCCACAGACACTTAACACCAGCCAGTGAAAGTAGCCAGAAGGGAGTCTCTACCCTGCAAAGCCATAGGGGCTGAGCTACCCAAGACCATGGAAACCCACCTTTTGCATCAGCATTACCTGGATGTGAGACATGGAGTCAAAGGAAATCATTTTGGAGCTCTAATATTTAACTGCCCTGCTGGATTTTGGATTTGCATGGGGCCTGTAGCCCCTTTGCTTTGGTCAATTTCTCTCATTTGGTATGGCTGTATTTACCCAATGCCTGTATGCCTGTTGTATCTAGGAAGTAACTAAATTGCTTTTGATTTTACAGGCTCATAGGCAGAAGGGACTTGCCTTGTCTCAAACAAGACTTTGGACTGTGGAATTTTGAGTTAATGCTGAAACGAGTTAAGAATTTGGGGGACTGTTAGGGAGGCATGATTGGTTTTGAAATATGAGCACATGAGATTTGGGAGGGGTCAGGGGTAGAATAATTTAAATGAAATATACAGGATGAGAAATGGAACAGAGTGTTGGGGAAAGAGCATCCCAAACAAATGGCAGAGTGCATGTGGTGCAGAAGGGCTTCACATGGAAATGTGCTTTATGCATTTGAGAAACATTTAATAACCAAGATTTCCTATTTGAAAGTTCAAAAACTTTGTCCTACACTAACCATTCAATGAAAAGGCCTTATACAAGGGTTGGTACACTATGGCTTCTTGGTCAAATCCAATGCACCAACTGTGTTTTTTTCATCTCTGAAGCTAAGAATCGTTTGTACATTTTCTTTTTCTTTTTTTATTTTCCTTTTTTTTTTTTTTTTTGAGACAGGGTCCTGCTCTGTCGCCCACTCTGGAGTGCAGTGGTGCAATTTCAGCTCACTGCAGCCTCCACCTCTTGGGCTGAAGCAGTTCTCCCACCTCAGCCTCCAGAGTAGGTTGGACTACAGGCCTGCACCACCACACCTAGCTAATTTTGTAATTTTTAAAATACAGATGGGCTCTTGCTATGTCACCCAGCCTGGTATTGAACTCCTGGCCTCAAGTGATCCTCCTGCCTTGGCCTCCTAAAGTGCTGATATTACAGGCATGAGCCATTATCCCCGAATCGTATGTACATTTTTAAATGGTAAAAAATAATTTTTAAAAAAAGTTCATGATGCATGAAAATCATATGAAATTCAAATTTCTTCATCACGTTCTTTTTTAACTCGTCTACACTCATTCATTCATGTATTGTTTATGTTATCTTTCATACTGTGGTGCTGGAGTTGTGCAGCTGTGACAGACCTTATCATCCACAAAGCTTAAGTTATATATTCTCTGTTTTATTTATTTATTTATTTTGAGATCAAATCTCACTCTGTCACCCAGGCTGGAGTGCAGTGGTGTGATCTTGGCTCAATTCAACCTCCGCCCCCTGGGTTCAAGTGATTCTCCTGCCTCAATCTACCAAGTAGCTGGGATTACAGGCATGTGCCACCAAGCCCGGCTAATTTTTGTATTTTTAGTAGAGACAGGGTTTCACCATGTTGGCCAGGCTGGTCTCAAACTCCTGACTTCAAGTGATCTGCCCTCCTTGGCCTCCCAAAGTGCTGGGATTACAGGCATGAGCCACCTCACCCGGCCTCTGTTTTATTTTTTACAGAAAATGTTTACTGACACCTGCATTAAAATATTAGTTTGTTGAGATATTATCAGTAATACACTCATACTACTAATATTCAATTCAGTTTCAGGCCCATGACTTTTATTGTAAGCTTTAAATGTATCTTTTTCTACCTTTAATTTTCAGAAATATTATCCCATTAACACACAATAAAAACAATCAAATACTTTTATTTGGAAAAACTATATGACTTTTTTTTTTAACCTTAGTTTTTTAATAGCTTCCTAAATGTTATTTGGGGCTATTGAAAAATTCTCTGAAATTATAATACAAAAAGTTAACATTAGGTGTCAGTATTTTACATATTATTTAATAAGTGTGTGTCAATGAAAAATGTATTGCATTATTGCAGACAGCATCTTCACTGGAAAATTTCAACTCTTATTATACTGTTTTCTCTGCCATTTTTTGTTTTCTGTGTTAATGAATTATTTTAATGACATCTACAAAACAAATTTTTAGAAATCATTTTTTAGGTGTCTTCTGTTATGTTTTTTCCATATGTCTGTGAGTAGGGATATTTAACATACTGCAACACAGTCTCAAGAAATGAGTGTTTTAATACAGATGTCAGTAAACCTTTTCTGTAAAGGAACAGAGAATAAATAATTTAGGTTTTGTGGATGATAAAGTCTGAGACAACTACACAACTCTGACATTATAGTGTGAAAGATACCATAGACAATACAGGAATGAATGAGCATGGCGGAATTCCAAAAATACAAAATTGAGAAAAAAAATTGAATCTTATATAATTTTCACGTGTCATAATATTTTTTTTTCATTTTTTAGTCATTTGAAGGTGTAAAAACCATCTTGGACAAGTGTCTTCTAAAAGTTCTTTATTGTGATCTAAATAAAGTTTCAAAATAGAGACCATTTAGTGGCAAAGTAGTTTTGTTGTGGAGAATACTAGGGAAGCATTGTAAGGACGTGGAAAGGATATGGAGTTTGAACTTCCGCTCCAGGACTTGATAGCTTTGTGATTTGGAGCAATTTCCTTAATCTTATCTATGCCTTACTTTTCTAACTTGTATTATTGTAGGTGGGGCAAGGAATCATCTAGTTTCTACTCTTCAGCGTTGCTGTGAAGATTAAATATTCTAACACTGTTTTTCATAAATCACTTGTCAAAGTAATTGGCTCAATAGATGCCCCACAAATGTTGGCACTCTCTCCTGTCATTTCTAATGTTTCTTTTATCTTTATTTTGATTAAATGGGTTAATATAACATATGAAAAAGCTCCAATACAGACCTTTAAAAAGATTTCTTATCTCTAATCATTTAATCACAGAAAATCTTATAATTCCTTGTGGGGTGTGTGTGTGTGTGTGTGTGTGTGTGTGTGTTGTATATGTCTCAAAGAACTTTTATTTGTCTTAATATCACCAAGCTTAGAATGATTACCCAAGAAGCAAGGATTAAACAAGATAAAATCTATTCCACACCTCTATGTCTCTCTGAAAATATGAAATGTTCTTCCATATCTTTGTGTAATATATAAGCAAACCCATTTTCTAGTAATATGAAAACTTTATTAAGCCCTAATAAATCAATAAGAGAAAAATAAACACTCAATAAAGGACAAAGGACACAAATAAACAAGCACGCATATATGTATAATCAGTATACATGATCAATAAATATTTAATATAATTTCAACCCTATTAATAAAGAATAAAGTTAAAATGGAAACACTGAGATTGGAAAATTGCTAAAAATGCTCATCAGTTTTTTTCTTATTTTGAATGAATATATTAGATTAAATGTGGTCAGGGGCTTCTTGGTTTCTCTTCTCATTGTGAAATGGAATCTAACTCTTCCTCTCAAATCTGAGCTCACCTTAGTGACTTCCTTGTCCAGTAGGATATGGACCTTTTGTGGCTGTCGTGGAAGCCTTGCAGTTTACACTCTGCTCTCTTAGAATGGTTTCTCAAGGGGAAGCTGGTGACCATGTCAGAAGGCCCACTCCCTCAAACTGTCATGCTAGAAAAGGTACATATATACATTCTCATCAGCAGACCCAGTTGAGGCTAGCCATCTATCCATCCGCACCAAGGTACTAGACATGTGAGTAAATAAATCTCAGCCCCTTTAGACCAGCGCATTTGCCAGCTGAATGTAAGAGTGTCCTCAATTGATGTCACAGAACAGAAGAATCATTAAACCAAGGCTTATTCAACTACTGGACAAAAAATTCATGAGATGAGTTGATTTTAGCCTCTAAATTGTGGAATGATTTGTTAAATAGCAAGAGATAATCAGAACAATGGCAATCTCCAATGTTGGTGGAATGCTTAGAGAAGCAAGGAAATAGACTTTAAATTGCCAGATAACATATGACTTGGTGGCAAAGTAAAAAAGTAAATATTCAAACATTCCAACTTAATTATGGAAAGAAATACACATCCTCACTTCCCATCTTTGAAAAATCTCTGTTGCTCCAAAGCCCCATGAAACGACTGAGAGTAGGGTGGGGAGAGGACTCAAACTTCATAATTAAAGATATTCTTACTTAATTCATTTTAAGTGAATTGGCATGAGGCTACTTATCATTTTTATTTATTATACTTAGTGTGAATATTCATATGTTGAATATTTACTTATTTTGCTGCAGTTATATGAATGCATTTAAGTGGTGGAAGTGTTAGGTATTGTACAATGTATATAACATTTACTTTGTAAACTCAAAAAATCTCTAATTCTAAATTGCAAGCAGATAAGCATGTCATCACAGGAGCCAGACTGCTGGGTTTAATTTTAACTCTGTCACTTATTAGTGTATGACCATGGGCAAGTTACTTAGTCTCTCTGCACCTTAATTTCCCCATCTGTATAATGAGAATAACAATGAGACCTACCTGAGAAGACTATTGTGAAGATTAAGTAAGTTTTTATATATAGATCAATTAGAAGGCATCTAGCACAGAGTAAATGCTTAATAAGTTACTATTATTATTATTATTAATTTGCTTTTTTCTCACATATCTATAACTAAGAAGTAGTAAGGGATGAGAACTTAACTATCTTTATGGCACCTGAGGGGGGTTTTCTTAACCATGTCTTTGTCCTTGCTGGACTTTAAAAAGATGACCTTTTTCCTGCCTGGACATCTTTCTTGCTAGATGCTACTTCTGAGGTCCACTTTGGGAAATTTATGCTGCATTTTAATTCTCGCCTACCTTTGCTTTCCACCTGGAGAGAGGTGTTAATATCTGAGCCATCCTATGCCAACAACTCCTTAGCTATAAACATGTCCTGGAAAATAAATAAATAAATAATAATAGTAAGTAACTTGTTAAGCGTTTACTCTGTGCTAGGTGCCTTCTCATTGATCTGTATATATACAAACTCCTTTAATCTTCACAATAGTCCTATCAGGTGCCAGATGTCGGCTCTTTTTTAGCTACCCCAGTTAGGTGCAGGTCACTCTGCTAGGCAGGCTTCCACTCAGAGTTTTAAAAAGGCATCAAAACAAAAAGCCTTTCTTCCTTTGGGTCATCAGTATTGTGTAGGGATTTTCTTCTGCCTCAGCCCAATTTCTCCTCAGCCCAATCTTTGTTTGAAGTTTCTGTCATTAAAAAAAAAAAAAAAAAAAAAAAAAAATCTCCCTAGGCTCCCTTCAGATGAATGCCCTACTTACAGCATTTCTCTGTTTTGAATCTCACCATGATGTCTTGAGTAGTGGTTCTTAAAGTGTGGTCCCTGGACCAACAGCAACAGCAATGTCTTAATAGTAGTTGACACACAAATTCTTGGGCTCTACCTAGTTGTTCAGGAACTCTGAGGGTGGAGCCCAGTGATCTGACACACGCTAAAGTCTGTGAATCACTGCTTAGAGAATAACTGTATAGACCTAGTCCACCAGATTTGCTTCTTCACATGTTTACTATTTTAAGTGACTTTTAAACCCTTGTTAAATCAAGTTAGGTTTAAACCTGCCTCCTTACATATCTTAAGCTTGGCCTTAATGTTTTTCTGTACATTGTAAACTATAACAAATGGAGGTGTAAACAGACGGTAGCCTACACTTGTGCCAATCATTGAGTTTTGACCAATCAAAGGTAGCCAACTGTTCAAACCATGTTCAAGTAAGGCAAACACCAAGCTGTAACCAATACCTCACTTCCATTCTCTGTACGTCACTTTCCTTTTTCTGTCCATAAATTTTCTTCCACTAACTGGGTGTGCTGGAGTCTCTAAGCCTACTCTGGCTCAGAAGGCTGCCCAATTCATGAATAATTCATTGCTGAATTAAACTCCTTTAAACTTAATTCGGTTGAAGTTTTTCTTTTAACACCCGTTTTCCTCTTGATAAGGTTTCTGATTTTCCAGACTATAAGTCTCAATGAAGAATTCAGGAAAGCCTAATTTCACATAGCTGAACAATGAATTATGTTACACTGTATCTGTGTCTCCCTAAATCTAAAATCCCCTATGAGAACTCATAGGAATCATGATTTAAGGAGACCAGAAAGACCTCTGCTTGGTATTTTCCAGAAATATTATCCTTCTAAAAACTAGAAATATAATTGTATTTCTAAGCATTTTTCTAAATTTAAAAATGTTTTAATTATCTATTGCTGCATAAATTTCATGGCTGGGAGAACAATGTTTTGATTTGCCCATAATTCTGTAAATCATAAATTGGACAGGGCTCAGCTGGAGTGGTTTTTCCACTTACATGTCATTGTCTGGAATGTCTTACAGGGTTAAATTCCACTCCAATGGCATCTGGGGCTGGAATAACTAAGATGACTTGACTTACATATCTGGCACTTTAGCAGGGATAGCTGAGATGCTGGACACCTGAGACTTCTATCTCTCTCTTTCTGCCCACTCCCACCCTACCCCACCCCATGGATGCTCAGGCCCCTTTTCATGGTGACTAGATCCCAAAAGCGAGCATTTTAAGTCGTGACAGCAAAAGCTGTAGATGTCTTTAGGCCAAGCTTTGAAAGTTTCCCAGTGTCACTTCCACCAGATTCTACTGACCAGAACAAGTCACAGGGCTAGCCTAGATCCCAAGGAAGGGGAAATTCATACTACTTCTTGATGCTGAAGCAGCATAGGCATACTGTGGGAGACCACATAGATGGGCTTTCTGGTTGTAGCTACCTTTGGAAACATAATAGACTCCAGAAAAATTCATAAAGATTATATTCAGGAAAGCTTGTCTAAATATTATTTATAAAGATAGAAAGCAGGAATCAAATGCACAACTGTAAGGGACTGGTTCAATTATTGCATCATTAAAAATCCTGTTTGAGGGCCAGGCATGATAGCACTTTGGGAGGGTGAGGTGGGCAGATCGTTTCAGTTCAAGAGTTTGAGACCAGCCTGGGCAACCTGGTGAACCCCCTCTCTACAAAAAATACAAAAAGTAGCCAGGTCTGGTGGTGCACTCTTGTGGTCCCAGCTACTCAAGAGGCTGAAGTGGAAGGATTGCTTGACCCTGGGAGGTTGAGTCTGCATTGAGCTGAGATTGTGACACTGAACTCCAGCCTGCGTGACAGAGCCAGACCCTGTCTCAAAAAAAAAAAAAAAAAATCCTGTGTTAGAATTATTTTAGCATTTATATATATATATATATATAGAAAATAGAGAAATAGGATTCCAACTCCCAAAGAACAAGAATTAGAAATAAAGATAAATATCATTAAATCTAAGTCAGAATAAGCTAACAGAGGTACTTCCACCAAGTCTTATGAAAGTGAAGAGGAGAGTTTTAATCCTAACAACAGGGATAAAAGAAGACTTCCTCTTTTCTTTTTTTTTTTTTTTTTTCAGTTTCTGGAATTCCTCAGAAGACTCAACTTCTCAGGTTTTCTTCATGAGCAGTAATGAGTGAGTCAGAGAGGAAATGGCATCATCTAAATACGGTGGCATTGTTGCATGCAGAATGTTTCACTTTCAAACGCTTGGACTAAATGTGCTCAGTCAAAATAAATTAAAAATAAAGAATGGCCTAAATTGTGTAGGTGGATGATGCAGCTCTTCATTCCTTTCAGTGAGCTGAGGACCCAGGTTGAATGTGGCCAAACTGACAAAAATTCCTCCTGCCTCTCAAGTGTCTTTCAGGAACAAGCATTTCCCAGAGCATTTCCCAATAGGATTCTAGTGTTTATATGAGGTCTATTTTGTACTATTTTTTTTACTCAAAATACAAATTAGATACATGACCTGGAAGTCAATCAAAGTGTCCTGTTTTCCAGTAATGGAGGAAAAACTGTCCACACTGGACTTATTTAAAGAATATAGGCTTCTGGCATGTTGCCTCCATTGAAGAGCTGCAGTTTGTTTAGAGGTCATTGGGGCCCTAAAATTCTACATCCCCACTTTGTACAGATGTAGAAACTGAGGACCAAAGTAGTCAAAGTCTAGAACCCTTAGGTTCTAATTATGCCTGTTCCTTTTCCCTCTCCCTTCTATACTGTGTTTCTGTGGGGATTCTACAATTCTCAATTGCTACACAATCCCTTAGGGGGATAACAATATTGCAGATTATTACTGATTATTTTGTTTAGCTGCTTAAGCCTCTTTATAAACCTGCCTCTCTCCTGACAGAGGTGATAGTCTTTCACAGGATTCTCTGGCTTCAGTCACCACACACTTGTTTAAAATATGGAATATTTAGCATTGAATGCAGGAACTATTCATTGATTTACAGGAAATACATGCGCAACTCTGACCATATGCCAAACTCCATTCCAGCCAGGAAGGGTGGGCGCCTGTAACATTTTCCTTGCTTTCTCCATACCTGCTTTCACTGCTTTCACACTAACTTTCAGGAAAAGAAAGCAATAATTCATGCATACTGCATGTTCTATACAGGCATACATTGCCTTATTGCATTTCGCTTTATTGCACTTTGTGGATATTTCATTTCATACAAATTGAAGGTCTATGGCAACTGTGTCACACAAGTCCATTGACACCATTTTTCTAACAGTGTGTGCTCCCTTCATGTCTCAGTGTCATATTTTGGTAATTCTTGTGACATTGCAAGCTTTTTCATTATTATATCTGTTATGGTGATCTGTGATCAGTGATCTTTGATGTTACTATTATAATTGTCTTGGGATGCCACAAACCATGCCCGTATAACTTGGTGAACTTAACCAATAAATGTGTGTGTTCTGATTGCTCCACTGGCCATTTCCCTGTCTTTCTTTCTCTGCATGGGCATCCCTACTCCCCAAGACACAATATTAAAATTATGCCAGTTAATAATAACTTTACAATGGTCTCTAAGTGTTCTAGTCAAAGGAAGTGTCACAGGTCTCTCACTTTAAATCAAAAGCTAGAAATGACTAACCTTAGTGAGGAAGGCATGTTGAAAGCAGAGACAGGCTGAAAGCTAGGCCTCTTTTGCCAAATGGTTTAGTTAATGTGTGAATGCAAAATAAAGCTCTTGAAGGAAATTAAAAGTGCTACTCCGGTGAACACAAAAATGATAAGAAAGCAAAACAACCTTATTGCTGACATGAAGAAAGTTTGGGAGGACTGGATAGAAGATCAAACAGGTCATACAATGTTCCCTTAAGAGCTAAAGGCTAATCCAGAGCAAGGCCCTAACTCTTTAATTCTGTGAAGGCTTACAGGTAAGGGCACTGCTGAAGAGGTTGCTTCATGAGGTTTAAGGAAGAAGCCAGCTCCATAACATAAAACTGTAAGGTGAAACAGCAAATGCTGACCTAGAAGCTGCAGCAAAGTACCCAGAAGATCTAGCTACACCATACAACAGGTTTTCAAGTAGAGGAAATAGACTTCTAGTGGAAGAAGATCCCATCTAAGACTTTCGCAGCTAGAACATAGAAGACAACGCCTGGCTTCAAAGATTCAAAGAACAGGCTGACTCTCTTGTTAGGGGCTAATGCAGCTGGTGACGTTATATTGAAGCCAATGCTCATTTACCATTCTAAAAATTCTAGGAACCTTAAGAATTATGCCAAATTTACTCTGTCTATGTTCTATAAATGAAGCAACAAAGTCTGGATGACAGCACATCTGTTTAGAGCAGGATTTACTGAATACTTAAATCTATTATACAGACCCACTGCTCACAGAAAAAGATTCCTTTCAAAATATTACTGCTCATTGACTATGCACATGGTCACAAAGAACTCTGATAGATTAATGTTGTTTTCATACCGGCTAATGCAACATCCATTCTGCAGCCCATGGAACAAGGAGTAATTTTGATTTGCAAGTCTTATTCTTTAAGAAATACATTTTGCAAGGCTATAGATGCCATAGATAGTGATTCCTCTAATGGATGTGAGCAAAGAAAATTGAAAATATTTTTTAAATGTTTCACCATTCTAGGTGCCACTAGGAATATTTCATGATTCATGTGAGGAGGTAAAAATATCACGGATACTAGGAGATTAGAAGTTGATTCCAATCCTCATGGATGGCTTTGAGGAGTTCAAGACTTCAGTGGAGGGAGTATATGCAGATGTTGTAGAAATAGTAAAAGAACTAGGATTAGAAGTGTAGCCTGAAGATGTGACTGAATTGCTTCAGTCTCCTGATAAAACTTTAACAGATGATGAGTTGTTTCTTATGGATGAGCAAAGAATGTGGTTTTTGGTTTGTTTTGTTTTATTTTGTTGTTTTGTTTTTTGAGGTGGAATCTTCCTCTGATGACTATGCTGTGATCATTGAAATGACAACAAAGGATTTTGAATATTTCATGAACTTGGTTGATAAAACAGTGATAGGTTTTGAGAGGATTATCTCTAATTTTGAAAGAAGTTCTATTGTGGGTAAAATGCCATCAAACAACATCACAGGCTGCAGAGGATTCTTTCACGAAAAGAAGAGTCAACTGATTCTGCAAACTTCATTTTCTTATTTTAAGAAATTGCAACAGCCATCCCAACTTGCAGCAACCACCATTCTGCTCAGTCAGCAACCATCGACATTGAGGCAAGACCCTCCACCAGCTGAAGGCTGGGGTCTTCGATGATTGTTAGCATTTTTTAGTAATATTCTTTAATTGAAAAGTACATTTTTGGACATATGCTATTGTACACTTAATAGACTACAGTGTAGTGTAAATATTACTTTTATATGGGCTGAGAAACCAAAAAATTTGTATGACTCAATTCATATGTGGTTTATCATGTGCTTTATTATGGTGGTCTGGAACTGAACCTGCAATATCTCTGTGGTATGCCTTTAACTGATAGTAACCAAATCCCAGCTCCTAAAACCCATAGAGTATGACGTGTATCCCCTGAGTATTGGTACTGTCTTGATCTCAGCTCTCAAGGTCAAAAACCCCTCAGCCCTAGGGACATACTGGGCAGGTTTTTGGTTTTTTGTTTGTTTCTTTTTCCTGCTAGCCTGGAAAGCTTTGAAAAGAATGTATAGACAGGAAATTAGGGGAAATAGAGTAATCTCACTCCACACAAAACTTTCATCCAATCTACAATAATAAATTATTAATTAACTTAATGTTAAAAATGCAAACAAAAAATATTTTCTACTAGAAGCAATCCCTACCTGACATGCTCATAGGAGTAATTTGCCTACTTTAACCAAAACATTACTTCCTCCTCAATAGCTAAACATACTTTTTAGATTTCATGATTAACCAAAATGAGAATAATTTTTTATAAATGATCTCCTGTTTCATGGCCCTTAAATACCTAGTCCTACTTGATAAACATGAGTAGTCTGGCTTAACCACGTTCCAAAGCCTCATTTTGCTTCTGCTCATTATTTAGCAGCTTTGGTTACATACTTGCTTGTTGTATCTGGTTATAACCCTTTCTACTAATTGGAGAATGAGACACTTGCAACATATTTTAATATCCAGCCAGCATAAGCAATGTGGAAGTGTCTTCTCAGATCTATCATGAGCAAGAGGCCAAAGAGGAAAAAATAAAATTATCTGATAGTACCCACTATTGTTCCCCAACATCTGGGATGGATCCTACATGAGAATTAACTTCTGTTCCTTCCCCAAATTATCGTTCCTTCCTCAAGTTACCATCTGCTTCTGTTACTATAATTCACCGCCTCCTCAATTAAGCTTTGTTTTCTTCAACTTCTATCCTAGGTTGGGGAATTAATTTACTGCTGCTGCTATAACAAATTACTATAAATTTAGTGGCTTAGAACAACACACACTTATTATCTTACAGTTCTGCACGTTGGATGTCTAACATGGGCTTCACTGGGCTAATATCGGGGGGTTGACAGGGCTGAAATAGTTTCTGGAAGATCCAGAGAGGAATCCTTTTCCTTACCTCTTCCAGCTTCTAGAGGCTGCCCACATTTCTTGGCTCATGGCCCCTTTCTCCAGCCAGCAACATTGCATCTGTCTCATTATTGCTCTGGAGTCTCTCATCACAGTTGGGAAAGGTTCTCAGCTTTTAAGGAGCCATATGACTCGATAGACACACAGCGATAATTGAGATTGGGATAATGATATTTCCCAATCTCAAGGTTCTTAACCCTAGTCACACCTGCAAAGTCCCTTTTGCCATGTAAGGTAACATATTTATAGATTCTAGGGATTAGGGCATGGACATTCTGGAGGCCATTATATTGCCTACAATGGTTGGTTTCTGACCATTTCCTCTTTCTCTCCCCCTGAACCGGGGAACTAATTAGGAAATCATTTGCTAATATTAGCCTGTAACTGTCGGTGGATATTTCCAGTCTGATGTAAGCTTATGTAATGGGCAATATCTTCATGTTACTTATATTAACATTATTGCTTCTATTAAATAATAGATTAGTCCAATGTGATGTAAGGAGTTCAGTAGTGTGATTAGAATTTAGGATAGTCAGATGTTGAGCTTGAACGCTTTCTTAATTGGTGGCTGCTTTGGGGTCAACTATTGCGTCTGGAATTGGTGCGTTCTTGGTCTCACTGACTTCAAGAATGAAGCCGCGGACTTTCACGGTGAGTGTTACAGTTCTTAAAGGCAGTGTGTCCGGAGTTTGTTCCTTCTGATATTCAGATGTGTTCAGAGTTTCTTCCTTCTGGTGGGTTCCTGGTCTCACTGGCTCAGGAGTGAAGCTGCAGACCTTCGTGGTGAGTGTTACAGCTCATAAAGGCAGTGTGGACCCAAAGAGTGAGCAACAGCAAGATTTATTGCAAAGAGCAAAAGAACAAACCTTCCACAGTGTGGAAGGGGACCCCAGCGGGTTGCCACTGCTGGCTGGGGCAGCCTGCTTTTATTCTCTTATCTGGCCCCACCCACATCCTGCTGATTGGTCCATTTTACAGAGAGCCGAGTGGTCTGTTTTGACGGGGCACTGATTGGTGCCTTTACAATCCCTGAGCTAGACACAAAGGTTCTCCACGTCCCCACTAGATTAGCTAGATACAGAGCTTCGATTGGTGCATTCACAAACCCTGAGCTAGACACAGGGTGCTGATTGGTGTGTTTACAAATCTTGAGCTAGATACAGAGTGCCGATTGGTGTATTTACAATCCCCTAGCTAGACATAAAGGTTCTCCAAGTCCCCACCAGTCAGGAGCCCAGCTGGCTTCACCCAGTGGATCCTGCACTGGGGTCACAGGTGGAGCTGCCTGCCAGTCCCGTGCCTTGGGCCCGCACTCCTCAGCCCTTGGGTGGTCGATGGGACTGGGTGCGGTGGAGCACAGGGTGGCACTTGTAGGGGAGGCTCCAGCTGCACAGGAGCCCACTCGGGGGGTGTGGGGGGAGTGGTGCGGGGGTGAGAGGCAGTGTGGGACCCACCAAGCCCATGCCCACCTGGAACTCCAGCTGACCCGCAAGTGCTGCACGCAGCCCCGGTTCCCGCTGGCGCCTCTCCCTCCACACCTCCCTGTAAGTTGAGGGAGCCAGCTCTGGCCTTGGCCAGCCCAGAAAGGGGCTCCCACAGTGCAGCGGCAGGCTGAAGGGCTCCTCAAGTGCCGCCAAAGTGGGAGCCCAGGCAGAGGAGGCGCCCAGAGCCAGTGAGGGCTGTGAGGGCTGCCAGCACACTGTCACCTCTCACTATGATGGTAATATTTTTTTACCCTCTGCAGGAAGGTTGTTTCCTAGAGTCTAACGACCTGTCCCTCTTTAGATTAACAGTTAAACTTACAGGGAGATTATGTAATTCTGTGGGAAAGTTTAAAGTTGAACTAAGATTCTGTCTTGGAAAACCAGCTATCACCAGGCTTGGTAGGCTTGTCACCCCTACTCATGAATCTTCCCCCTATTTTGCCACATAGTTGGGTGTGCTCTTTCAGCTGTTCTTGAGTAGCTTGTCTGGTTTGGGGAGACTTGGCTTTGGTTATCTATGTAAAGTTATTTCTAGTTAATACATTATGCAGAAGGTATAAGGGTTGGTCTTTGCTTTTTTATGCTTGTCTTAGTTTTTTCATCTTTCCCTTATGGTACTATGTCTATTGCACAAGGTAAAAATATCTATCACCTATACTTCTGTTTAGGTAAGTGATTTAATTAAGATAATTTGATAATATTTTTAGAGAAGTTTGGGTCTAGAATTGGCTCAAAGAGATCAAGTTGTGATGAAATCTTGTGGTGTAAGCCAGATGCTTTGGGTTAAGTTACACACTTTGATTTTTCCAAGCACACTTTCCAGTATGCTTACCATGTTACAACTTATGTCGTCTATATATGGGTAGAGAGCTTTAGTAGTATTTGTTTCTAGAATAATATTTGAGGATGGTTATGGGTGGCGTGTGTGTGCTTCATGACCCTATTCAACCAAGCACTCAGCTCTTGGTTTACTGCTAAATCCTCTTTGAGCCCTTAGATTTCATAAAGGCTATCATGAGATTTTCTGGGTAAAGAAAATATAGCCTCATAGGCTACACCTTGACCTAACATTTTTATGTGTATACTTGTGCTTACTTTGCAACCTTTCTAGGGTTTGCTGAAGATGGTGGCATATAGGCTGGGGGCAAGAGGTGGTGAGGTGCATCGGGGTTTATCAATTATAGAACAGGCTCCTCTAGATGGATATAAAGCACTGCCAAGTCCTTTGAGTTTTAACCTGTTGCTTGTAGTATTCTGGTAAATTGTTTTGTTAATTTAACTATTATAGTTTAGGGCTAAGCATAGTTGGGTATCTAATCCCAGTTTGGGTCTTAGTTATTGTGTTTTCAGGATATTAAAGCCACTTTTGTAGTTTATTTTATTTCAGCTGGAGTTTTTTTACAACTTAGATGGAGTTTATCTTTATTGAGGGTAGATCTTAAACACTCTTTATGCCAAGATCTATTAGCTTGGGTTAATCATATAACCACAGTGGCTAGCACGAAATTGACCAACCCTAAGTATTAGTAGAGCTTTTAAACTTTTGCTTATTGCTAAAGATTTATCACTGCTGTTTCCTGTGGGGGTGTGATTGAACAAAGTATTTTGAGGTGCATTTGTGTGTGCTTGATACTTGCTCCTTTTGATTCAGGTGATCTAGAGGGCATCTTCACTGGGATGGGGATGCTTGCATGTGTAATCTTACTAAGAGTTAACAGAAAGACCAGGACCAAACCTTTATGTTTATGGGGTCGTGCAGACCCATCTAGACATTTTCAGTGTCTTGCTTGGAATAATTAAGCTACATTAACTGCATAAATGTTTGAGTATAAAATTAAAATATAAGGGGAAGAAATAGTCATTTACAATTATGGTAATTTAAGTGGTTTAACTTGAATTGGCAGAAGTTTGATTGAGAGGGGTTTTACATTAGGGGTAATTGTTTTAGGCTGTTGTTTATGGGTAGCACTTTCAGAGGGTTATGTTCAAGGTATTATATTAGTACAAGGGTGAAAATTTAGTTATTATATTTGTTATATAAGTAGAGGCTTAATTTAGTAGAAAGATTTTTAAGATTTTTGGGAAACACATCAATCAAAGGGCACCTGTTGGGGTATTCATGATTAAAATATGACTTTTGGACTCTAACTGGGTTTTAGTCTCTTGTTTTTGGGGTTTGGCAAGGGTACACTTACCTAGGTTGATGGTAAAGTCAGGGGTGGGGGAGGGGGAGTTTGTGGATTAAGTTGAAAATAGTTCTTGAAAATAGGCGTACATGATCGTGCCTACATGATCATGCATACGTGATCGTGCATACTTGTCTATTGGTTACTCATTATGTCCTTTAAGCATGAATTAATTAACATCTTATGGTTGTTATGCCAGGTCAGAATATTAAATATAAGCTCAGTTTCTACAACTGGTTTGGCAGAAATCAAATCCGAGTTTGTCTACAGTGATTCAGAGGGGACCAGGCCTTTCGCGATGGTAATAGCATCCCCCAAAGTTAAAAATACCAAATGCATGACAGTGCTCCCCTGACTGGCTAATAGGGTGATAGTCACTAGTCCATTGAGATGTCTTATTTAAGAGGAACGTGTGGTCGATCTTAGTTTTATGGCCCTGAGGTAAGAACCAGATGCCAGGTATAGTTTCAGTATAGTCACCCCCAAGTGTTATGGGCCCGGAGCGAGGAAGGTAGTACTCCCGAGTGGGATGATGATTTCTCGGAGGTTGGTAGATTAAGAGACCAAAATTTGGGAGGGGATATTCATGTTGACAAGGACTTTTTTGACTGAAATGTGCTATGTTCGATGAAAATTTTATGTACTATGTAATATTAAGGATTTTTAGTATGGGTCGATATTCGTATTGACTGGATTTTGTTGTACGATTAATGATAGTGAATGTGCAATAGTTGGAGAGTCATTAATACATGCTTATATGCTTATATGTATGTGGATTGTATTTTTAATGTACCTTGATGTATTAATGTACTATGTACAGTTAAGCAATTATAGTACAACATATTATTCATGGGGGCTAGCAGTAATGCACGAAGTACATAAGAGCACTAATGTGTTAGTGCTAGTTCATTAATACTGGCATGGTAGTTAAAGTGTGTGCTGAAAAAAGTGCAAGGAATAGTTTAATCAGAATTTCAGCTTTGGGTGTTGATGGTGAAGTGGGTATACTTTTTTTCCTGAGTTGTACTGGGGAGGAAATTCTCCATTTCTGGTTTACAAGACCAGAGTATTGAATTATATTACAAGGGCAGTTTCATTTAAGTAGCTTGTTTTCAATTAGGGCAATGATTAGTATAAGGGTGAGGACGGTAAAGAAGTACATAATGGATGCTGTCTGTCTGATGATAATAAAAGGGTAGTTGACTCACTGCCCTCCGATTCATGTGAGTGTGAGCAGGTCAGCACTAAGATTCAGAATAGGCATCGACTTAATGGACAGAATACTATGTTTTGTTGTTTAGATGTGTGAAGTATAGGAATAACTGCTAGAATGAGAATGGAGGATGTAAGGGCGAGCATACCTCCTAGTTTGTTAGGGATGGAAAAGTATCACTCTGGTTTAATGTGGGGTGGGGTATTGAGGGTGTTGGCTAAAGTGTAATTATCCAGGTGGCTCAGGAGATCAGGTGAAAATAGTACTAGGACTATTAGGAGGAGGAGGGGGAGAGTTAGGCCTAGAATATATTTGATTACGTAGTAAGGTTGGAAAGTGATTTTGTCAGGGTCTGATGAGATCCCTGAAGGTTATTATATCCTGTTTCACGTAAGAATAAAAGGAAAACAGTTGTTAGAGCTGCAATGATGAAGGGAAAGATAAAACGGAAGGCTAAAAGTTGTGTAAGCGTGGCTTTGTCAACTGAGAATCCACCTCAGATTCATTATACAAGGTCAGTTTCCATATATGGGATTGCTGATAGTAGATTTGTAATTATTGTAGCACCTCAGAATGATATTTGGCCTCATGGGAGTATGTAACCTATAAATGCTGTTGCTGTGGTTGTGAGTAGGAGGATAATGCCAATATTTCAGGTTTTTAGAAATATAAATGACCCATAATATAAACCTCGGCCAACATGTAGGAAGAGGCAGATGAAAAATATTGAAGCGCCGTTAGCATGAAAATAGCAGATTATTCAGTCATAATTTACATCTCGGCTGATATTGGTGACTGAAGAGAAGGCAGTTAAGGTATCCGATGTGTAGTGTACGGCCAGAAATCATTCTCTGATGATTTGGAGAATTAAGCAGGCACCAATAAGTGAGCCAAAGTTTCATCATGTAGAAATGCTGGATGCTGTGGGAAGATCAATGAATTAATGGTTAATAATTTTTATTAGCGGGTGTGTTTTGCGTATTTTGGTCATTAGCATTCTTACAGTTGAAATACAATGATTTTTTTATACCATTAGTTATGATTATAGTCCGTGTAGGAATAATGGCATATATTTTATTCGTATTAAGTATTCTTTTTCTTATAGGATTTGTAGGTTTTTCTTCGAAACCATCTATTTATGGAGATCTAGGGATGATTATTAGTGGTGCTGTGGGTTGTGGTATTGTGTTGAACTTTGATGGGGCTTTTGTGGGGTTAATAGTGTTTTAAATTTATTTGGGTGGTATAATGGTTGTTTTTTATTATACTGCGGCAATGGCTACTGAGGAATACCCTGAAACATGAGGGTCAACTATTGACATTTGAGGGGCTTTATTATTAGGGTTATTAATAGGGTTGGTGTTGATTCAGTGAATAGTTGAGCATGATGGGATGGTCATCACAATTAATTTTAATAGTATGTGGAGTTGAATAATTTTTGAGGGTGAGGGGGTGGGGTTATTGCATGAGGATTCTGTCAGTGTGGCTGCTTTGTAAAGTTATGGATGTTGATTGCTGGTAGTTGCTGGTTGAACATTGTTTGTTAGTATTTGTGTTGCAAATGAGATTATTCGGGGTAATAGATTAGATAATTTAGAGTTAGAAGGAGTAAAATAAAAAAGGAGAGAAAGTAAAGTTTAATTAGGCCTTTTTGAGTAGATACAGTAATGGTGGCTGATATTTGGGTTTGTGAAATGGTTTTTGGTGTGGACTTTTCTAATCAAATTAGGTCTAGTAGAAGTGAGGCCAGATTTTGGCTTGTAAATAGACTTGAGGTGGGGGGTTGTATGGTGGATTGTGGCTAGTAAAAACCTAATATATTGGAGAAGTTAAATGTCTGTAATGGATAATTTAGCTTAAGGTTGTTAGTTATAAAATTTAGCTCCATTGCTAGTAAGAGGCCTAAGGCAGTCACACCTAGGGCTGTGAGTTTTAGGTGAAGTGGCATAGTTTTTTGGGGGGATGAAGTAGGAGTAATACTATTGGTAATGAGGAATCCAGCTAAGATGCTGCCAATTATTAGATGCTTAATTGAGTTAATTAGGAAGGGGTTATTTTCGTTAATATGAATCAGAGTTGTGAAGTGAGGTTGTCCTATCAGAGCAAAGAAAATAATTCAGGTACTACAGACAGCTGTTAGGGAGGTTACAATAAGAGTAATAGAAAGGGCTCAGGTGTTGGAATATGACATGTTTGCGATTTCGATAATGAGGTCTTTAGAATAAAAGCCTGTGAGGAAAGGCACACCTGTAAGTGTGAGGCTGCCAATAATAAGGGCGGAGGAAGTGAAGGGTAAAGTCTTGAATAGTCCTCCTATTTTTCAGATGTCTTGTTTATCATTGAGATTATGGATGATGGGTCCTAAACATACAAATAACATAGCTTTAAAAAAAGCTGTGGGTGCAGATATGAAGAAATGCTAGGTGTGATTGATTAATGCCAATTGTGACTATTATAAAGCCTAGTTGGCTTGAGGTAGAGAATCCTATGATTTTTTTGAGTTATTTTGTGTTAGATCACAGATTGCTGTAAATACGTTGGTCATAGCCCCTAAATATAATGTAAAGTTTTGGAATAATAGGTTATTTTCTATTCAAGGGTAGAAGCAGATAAGTAGAAAAACCCCTGCTACAACTATAGTGCTAGAGTGGAGTAGGGCTGAGTCTGGAGTTGGGCCTTCTGTGGTGGAAGGAAGTCAGGGATGAAAGCCAAATTGAGCTGACTTTCCTGCTGCTGCTAGGAGAAGACTAATTAATGGAAAGGGATTGGAGGTAGGATTTAGAATAAATACTTTTTGAAGCTCTCATGTGTTGGAGAATAAGAGGAATCATGCTATATAGCTAAAATAAAGCCAATATCGCCTCTGCGGTTGTACAGGACCGCTTAGAGGGCTGCTAGATTAGCGTCTGTTCGGCCGTATCATCAGCCATTTAGTAAAAAAGACATAATTCCCACATCTTCTCATCCGATAAAAAGTTGAAAGAAGTTATTGGCAGTAATTAGAATTAATATTTTGGTGAGGAAAATGAGTAAATATTTGAAAAATTGATTAATATTAGGGTCTGAGTTTATATATCATATTGAGAACTCTACAATAGATCAGGTAACAAATAGCGCTACTGGGATAAATACTGTGGAGAAATAGTATAGTTTGAAGCTTAGTGAGAGTTTAAGAGTTTGGATTGTTATTCAATGTCACTTTGAGATTATTCTTGGTCTATAAATATATATATTGTGGTAGAGATGAGGCTGATAATAAAGGTGCATGCAATAGATATTTTTACATAGTATGGGTATGAATCTTTTTGCAGGGGTTGGCTAAGGTAGTAATGATTGGTAAGTTTAAGGGGATTAGGGTTGTTATAGTAGTGGTAAAATACATGTTTATTACTTTTACTTGGAGTTGCACCAATATTTTTCGTTCCTGTGACCAATGGATAGCTCTTATCCTTTGAAAGTCTGGAAAGCCATGTTATTAGGCATGGGGGCATGAGTTAGCAGTTCTTGCATACTTTCTCGGTAGATAAGAAGTTACAGGCTTCTATTATTAGATTCACAATCTAATGTTTTGGTTAAACTATATTTACAGAATGCAAACCCCATAATAATAAGGATTAAGGATAATAGGAAGATAGGTGCAAAGTGTATAAGTATTAATGTATTTTCTCATGTAAAGGATGGTTTAATACTGTTAATGTAATACACAAGTGTCCCTCGTTGTGTTGTGGTTAGCATATGTGAGGAGTAAAGGGCTGTAATTAGTATATTAAGTCCTATAAGCATAATGGTGATGTTTGATCAGGAGAATGAAGCCATAGCGAGGAAGAGTTCTCCTACTAGATTAATAGCAGTGGGTAAGGCAAGGTTAGTAAGACTTGCTAAAAGTCATCAAGAGGCTATCAGTGGAAGCAGTGTTTGAAGGCCTCAAGTAATATAATTTGGCTATGGACTCGCTCATAATTCAAATTTGCTAGGCAGAATAGTAAGGATGAAGTGAGTCCACGGGCAATTATAAGGGTGACTGCACCTGTAAAGCTTCAAGGGGTTTGAATGAGAATAGCTATAATAACAAGTGCTATGTGGCTTACGGAGGAATATGCGATAAGTGATTTTAAATCAGTTTGTCATAGACAAATAGAGCTTGTCATAAGATCCCTCATAAGGATAGTATGAGGAAGGGGTAGGCTATATATTTGTTAGGGGGTTGAGGGTAAGGGTAAGCCGTATAATACTGTGGCCACCTAGCTTTAGGAGTACTGCTGCAAGTACTATTGAGCCAGCAATAGGGGCTTCCACGTGGGCTTTGGGGAGTCACAGGTGAAGTCCATATGGAGGCATTTTTACCATAAAAGCTAAAATACATGCTAATCATATAAGATTATTAGAACAGGAGTTTAATAGTTCTTGGGTGGTAAATATTATTACAGTTATATTTAGAGAACCCGAGGTATTTTGAGTATGGACAAGTGTAACAAGTAGGGGAAGGGACCCTACTAGTGTGTAAAATAAGAAATATGAGCTTGCATTGAGTCGTTCTGATTGGTTACCTCAGCGGGTAATGATAATTAGGGTAGGAATAAGTGTGGCTTCAAAGAGAATATAAAATATAATTAGTTCTGTGGCTGTGAATGCTATGATTAAAAAAATTTGTAGGGAAATTAATATGGAAATATAGAGTTTGTTCCATGGGGGTGACTCATTGGAAAGGTGATATTGGCTTGCTAGAATTATAAGAGGTAGTAGTCAGGTTGTAAAGATTACAAGGGGCGAAGTTAGAGGGTCAGAGGAGAAGATTAATGAGAAGTTAGATGAGTTATCATTTAATTGGTTAAAAATAGTAGCGTAATAAGGCTGATGAATGGGCTGTGAGTAGTCATGTTAATTCGGCATATAGAGTTTTTAGAGAGTCATGTTATTGGTAACAGTATAATTTTTGGAATAATAACTTCTAGCATTGAAGTAAACTTAGATTTTGTACATAATCTAGGCTGTATATGTTGGAGACTGAAACTAGTAAGGCAAGGCCCACTGCAGCTTCACAGGCAGCAAATACTAGGAGAATAATGGGTATTGTGGATGCTAGAGCGAAATGTATATTTAAAGTTATAAGAGTAATTATAATGAATATTGATAATATTATGCCTTCTAGGCATAATAGGGATGATTTTAGGTGGGATCGATAGACTAATATTCCCAGAAGTGCTATGGTGTATGCTAATATAATATTGATATAAATAAAGGGCATTTGGTAAATATGGTCTATCATAATCTAATGAGTCAAAATCATTCATTTTAATTTAAACTATTTACCAATTCAACTCAATCTAATCCTTTTTGAGTTCATTCCTAAGTCAAGCCTAGGATTAAAATGGTAACTAGTATAAGGGCTGTGCTGATTATTAGTGTCAGGTTGTTTGTTTGAAGGGCTCATGGCAGGGGTAGGAGTAGAGCGATTTCTAAGTCGAACAGGAGAAATGTGGTGGCCACTAGGAAGAATTTTATAGAGAAGAGGAGGTGGGCGGAGGTTAATGGATCAAATCCACCTTCATGAGGGCTGGATTTTTCTATATAAATATTAAGTTGTGGGAGTCAAAATGTGATAACTGTTGGTATTGGGGCCAGTAAGGTGTCAGTTACTAGGGCTAGTGTCAGGTTAATTACTCTTTTTTGGATATTATAGAAACTTATTGATTGGAAATCAATGGTACTGCTTATACTAAAAGAGTAGGATCCTCATCAGTAGATAGAGACGTATAACAATAGTCACACTACATCTACGAAGTGTCAATATCAGGCGGTGGCTTCAAAGCCAAAGTGGTAGTTAGATGTAAAATGGAATTTTAATTGACGGAGGAGGCAGATAGTGAGAAACGTTGACACCTGTAATCGCAGCACTTTGGGAGGCCGAGGTTGGCAGATCACCTGAGGTCGAGAGTTCAAGACCAGCCTGACCAAAATGGAGCAACCCCATCTCTACTAAAAATACAAAATTATCCGGGCGTAGTGGTGCATACCTGTAATCCTAACTACTCAGGATGCTGAGGCAGGAGAATTGCTTGAATGTGGGAGGCAGACATTTCAGTGACCCAAGATCATGCCATTGCACTCCAGCCTGGGCAACAAGAGCGAAACTCTGTCTCAAAAAAAAAAAAAAAAAAAAAAAAAAAAAAAAAAAAAAGAGCGTTGAGCCATAATCAGAGGTAGTAAAAGGGGCCTCGAAGTATTCTGAAACTTGTAGCAGGGTGAAGTATATGCCTAAGGTAATTGTGACAGCTAGTTTTTGAATTATTTGCTTTTGACTACCTTCCATCAGGCTGTGATGAGCTCAAGTAATTGAAACTCCTGAAGTAAGTAACACAGATGTATTCAGGAGGGGTACTTCTAAAAGAATGAGGGGAAGAATGCCTGTTGGAGGTCAATATCCCCCTAACTCTGGAGTTGGAGCTAGACTAGAGTGGTAGAATGCCCAGAAGAAACCAGCAAATAAAAGTACCTCTGAGATAATAAATAGAATTGTTCCATATCGGACACCTTTTTGGACAATTGTTGTATCGTGGCTTTGAAATGTACTTCCTCAGATAACATCATGTCATCATTGATACATAGTTAGTGTATTGGTCAGTAGATCTAACGTTAAAAGAGTAATGGAGTTAAAGTGAAATCATATGGCCAGGCCAGATGTTATTAGGAGAGCCGAGAGAGCTCTTGTTAGTAGTCAGGGGCTGGGTTTGACTACATGGTAGGCTTGTGTTTGGTGGGTCATTGTGTATTATCATGTAGATAAAGGCTTACTAGTAGTGTGAAGACATAAGCCTGAATAAGAGCTACAGCAAATTTGAGAATGGTCAGTAAGATTAGAATAATGAGAGAGATTGAAGCTGTGGTGATACTAATAGTTGATAATACTAGTGTGCCTCCTCTAGTTAAATGTATCAATAGGTGACCGGCTGTAATGTTGGCTGTTAATCGCATAGCTAATGCTACTGGTTGAATAAATAGGTGAATAGTTTCAATGACCACCAGTATAGGGATAAGTGGCATAGGTGTGCCTTGCGATAAAAACTGAGCTAAGGAGGTTTTGATTTTAAAGCGGAAGCCTGTGATTACTGTGCCTGCTCACAAAGGGACTGCTATACCTAGATTTATTGATAATTGGGTAGTTGGTGTAAATGAATAGGGTAGAAGCCCGAGGAGATTGGTTGAGGCAATGACGAGAATTAGGGATATCAGCATAAGGGATCAGGTTTGTCCTTTAATATTATGGGTAGTTATTATTTGTTTTAGTGCAAGTTGAACTAATCATTGTTGGATAGAGATCAATCAATTACTGATTAGGTGATTGGAGGTTGGAAATGCATGGTGGGGAATAAAATGATTAATATTACTACGGGTAGGCCTAGAATTGTTGGGGTAATAAAAGAGGTGAATAGATTTTCATTCATTTTAATTCTCAGGAGTTTTTATGTTTTTGTGTTTTGATTATTTTTGGTGTAGGAGATACATGGTAAATGAAACTTGATAATTTTAACTGAATGATCGAGAATAAGTTATGATTATTGACTGGGTAACAATGAATCATGTGGAAGTATCTAGTTGAGGCATTCACTGTAGAGAGGTGTAGATCATCTCAGTCTTTAACTTAAAAGGTTAATGCTGGATAACTTTACAGTGATGTTATAGTATGGATGTAGATCAGGTTTTGAAATTTTGTAAGGGAATTAATTCTTGGATGATAGTATAAAACAAATTTCTGAGCATTATCTGTGGTAAAGGCCTGGTCGTGTAGCAGTTAAGGTGGATTGATTTAGGCGTCCACAGATTGCGTCTGTTTTGAGGCCCAGTGAAGGGAGAGTTCATGAGTGCAGGACATCTTCAGATGAAATTAATATTTGGATAGGAATTTCTATTGGGAGGATTGTTTGGTTATCAACTTTGAGGAGTGGAAGTTCTCCTGATTTTAAGTCTGCTATTGGGATTATATAAGAATCAAAGCCTAGTTCTTTATAGTCTGTACATTCATAGCTTCAATATCATTGATGGCCAATTGTTTTGATGGTATTAGAAGGATTATTAACTTCATCTGTTAAATACAGAATACATAGGGATGGGAGGGCAATTAAAATTAAGATAAAAGCAGGTAAGATAGTTCAGACAGTTTCAATTTCTTGGGCATCTATGGTGCTGGGGAAGAGATAAAGGAAATGGTCCAGCTACTTCGTAGCTGCCTTAGAATTCCTGATCCCTTTACCATGAAATGCTTTACCTTCATCCCCGGCTTTGGTCAGTAACCAAAGACCGATTTTCTCCTAGAAGGCAGGCTTCCAAATCATTCACCCATGCGTTCTTTGAAGTTCATAGCTGCAGGAAGCAGACTCAGGTGGAGGTTTGTGTGCAGGAGGTATTGGGAAATGCTCTTGAAATCAACACAGTCTGTGTGGCGGGAGGAGAAGGAAGCAGGACTGGGCTGACAAGAAAAGATGAGCTTTCAAAGACTTCTCAGTCAACTGCAGAGAGCTCCCAGCAGGGTGGTCCTTCAGAATTGCCTTCCAATTGCAGTTCTTTGCACTGGGCACATCTCCATAGACACAAGCTGTTCCTGGGGAGGGGAGCATAAATCTACCTCAGACTAGGGACAGATATTTACTGAGAGAGGCTAGTCCCCAGCATTCTCGGCGATGAATGTTTTGGAGAATGAATGTTTTGGTCCTGAAGGGTGAGGGGTTGACATCAAAGTTAGGGAACAAAGATAAATGATGGACTAGGAAAACAAGATGGAAGATTTGGGAGCAAATGGGGATGGGATAGCCTAATATTTCCTATACTAATCATTTTGCTTGTTATTGTTTGTAGGTTTGAACCTATGTGACATGTCAGGTTTAATTATTAGGAAAGGAACAGAGGTAATAACCTGATTCCTGCTTCTTCCCTCTTTCCTTGTATAGGATCTGATCTTTTATCTTTAGTCCAATGAGCCTGGGTACCTGTGCATATGTGTGTATTTTACAGCAAGCCATAACAAAATCACACTTAATATGGAAACATTATATATGTGTATATATGTACATATATGTGTAAACATACATATACAAAAATCTGTATAAGCAGGAAATCCTGCTTGATAAATTTTTGTGGTTATTTTGGGCTGGAAGTGTATTTGCAGTTGATTTTTGTGTAACTAAAAGTCTAATCTGAAGATGGTTTTCTTTTAAGAAAAAAAAGGAAAACAAAAAATCAAGATTTTTAGTAACTACTAGAATTAGAAGTAGATCACAAAATTTATTTCTCATGTATAAATCTAGAAGACGTTAATAAAGTTAATAATTTAAAAAAATTGTAAAGAGAAAATTGTCCCCGACCTGGCCTGGGACAGACCTTTTAAATCATAACCTCCTTCTGGGAAGAAATTAGCATTCCTGATAAACTGATTAAGCAATTTTCAGATAAACTTTTAATGATATTAAGACCTCTTCTGGGAAACCAGTTGTCATTTCACTCAGCTGAGTGATAGTCAAGAGTTCAATGATCTTTCTGCAGACATATTTTTATGTTTCCTTTTTGCTAAAAAAGATATCTAACCATCAAGATGAAAGCTTCAAATTGTCTAATTTAAGATCTTTTCTTTTTCAACAATGTAGAAATAAAATTTGATCAGTGCACATAACTAAATTTCTTGGGGGAAAATATCCTTTTTATATGGGAAGTATTTCACTAATATTTGGTACCATTTAGAAACATAACATCCTTTAAACATTTTAAGCTACAGTGTAATTTCAGTGTCCTCAATTTCACTCATTAAATACTTACATTGGCTGAAAAGTTCTTTGAGTACTTAAACAATTCTTATGAAGTTTTCTCAATTAATTTAAAAAATAGAATAAACCTACACCAATGATGTTCTAATACTCTACATAAACTTACTGAGATTTTAAATAAAAACCTTAAATGTAAGATTACACAATTGCATGTTTTAAACTGGAGTAGCAAGCCTGACCTGTTATTTTAATATGTCAAATTCTCCAAAACATTTCAAATATTTGAAATATTAAATATGCACAGCTGGCTTAACAACAATGGCAAAATAATAATAATATCATGAATGTGATTCTCTTAAGCATTTTGTTGCTTAATTCTACTTCATCTCAAGGCAAAAAAACAAACAGAAAAACAAAACAAAAAAAACAAACAATTGTACAAAATGAAACAATTATGACACCAGCACAGTTTTGGTTACTTTCCCATGAATTTTTGGGGTTTGCCTTTCCCTTTTCTGGTTCTTTTTTTTTTTTTTTTTTTTTTTTTTTTTGAGATGGATTCTTGCTCTGCTAACCAGGCTGGAGTGCAGTGGTGCTATCTCAGGTCACTGCAACCTCAGCCTCCCAGGTTCAAGTGATTCTCCTGCCTCAGCCTCCCGAGTAGCTGGGATTACAGGCACCCACCATCACATCTGGCTAATTTTTGTATTTTTAGTAGAGACGGGGTTTCACCATGTTGGCCAGCTTGGTCTCCAACACCTGACTTCAAGTGATCTACCCACCTCTGCTTCCCAAAGTGATGAGATTACAGGGGTGAGTCACCATGCCCAGCCTACTTTTCTGGTTCTTAAAGACCAGAATGTATTGATTGGCCAACAAGCAATGGATCCTTATCTGGGATTCCGATGAAACTTCCCATGTTTATTATAGGATCTAAGAAAACCCTTCTAACTTAAAATGGGCAGACATTTGGATGATATCCTTATACTTGAGTCATATCATTACCAAATCTTCACATTAACCAAGAGTCTGTATTAACCTACCACAGAATTACATTTCATTCAATTCTGTATTTTTTCTATAGAAATAGCTCTTATTCTAGATCTAAAGGCCCATGAGCTCAAAGGATTTTCACTTTATCTTAGTTTCATATAAGTTTAGCAGATATGAAAATGATATCCAATGAAATCCATATATCTCTCTTGAATCTGTATGATTAGTGAGTCACAATTACCAAAGTCATTCTGTGGACATTGTTCTTTCTCTAAGCTCTTGAACTTCTTGCTTCTTTGTCTGAAAATAATGTCAACAAGCTGTATTTTCCTCACTACAAAGTAAGAATATTGTCCAACTCACAAGTCTGGACAACTCACAGTACTTAATTAGGTAGTATTTCTAAAATTTATTTGTAATAAAATGAGTATTGCTGGGTTTTTAAAATTACAACTAGTAACCACCCCTTATTGGGTTTTTATTATAGGCCAGCCACTACAATAGGGACTTCACATTATCTAGCAATGCCATGTCATAAATAATATTAGGTTGGTGCAAAAGTAATTGTGGTTTCACCATTACTTTTGCACCAACCTAATTGTAACCTTTACTTCAGAACTAGAACTTCTTTTCAGAGGTTAAGGGATATGCCCATAGTTGTGATGCTAATATTAATGGAAACAGAATTTAAACCAGATCTCAGGAACTACAAGCATGGCTCTTTTATATGAGCAGTGGCTATAGAAAAGGAGTCCTATATGCTAGGTGCTGTAGGCAACCAGAAATGTGTTCAATGATCAGTCTAAACGGTAGCAACCCAGTCTTGTCACAGAAGTGATCCACTATTTCTTTCACCATACTTTTCTTTAACCTCCATAAATGGCCTTTTATTCTTTTGTTTGTTTGTTTTATCTTTGCAAGACATATATTACTAACTATATAGGAAGTAGTTCCCAGACAGAGAATATGTTTCACATTGTTTGGGGCTCCTTGATAACATGCAACATCATTCAGTACACAGGATACACAGGGTAGATGCCAAGGAAGTAGTTGCTGAATGAATTAGGCAAACGTTTTTTTTTTTTTAAAAAAAGGACATAGGTTTATGTTATTTAGTACTTCAAGCAGAAGAGATATTTTGTGGGGAAAGAACATAAACCCTTAAAAAACTTACACTTTTCAGTTCTGCACTATATGAGGCATTTTTCAGTTCTATACTCCAGGCATTAGTTCTGCAATACTCTAAGTATTTACACACTATTTATTCAAGCCTTTCAATACCCACAGAGATAGGCTGTATGGCCACAATTTATTATTGTTATTGTCACACTGAAGAAGTCAAGGGACTTGTCAAAGGATAAAGATCAAGGAAGGGTCAGGGCCAGACTATGGAGGGCATCTGATTTTACTCATAAACAAAGAGCCTGTGTCTTGATCATGAAGTGAGCACTGAATACTGCTAAGTGTTGAAATTATTTCCTACCTAAATGCTGAGCATTCTTATTAGAACACTTTCACAGAGTACTTGTATTCCTCAACTGAGTTGATTTAAATATAATACCATCCTACTGGATCAGCCACTTGAGAAAATGTAAAATGTGCCAAATTGATCTCAATGCCCTCTTACTCCACCTACATTTTGTATACACCTTTTGTACTCCAAGCATCTGTCACCCAGTGGATCCTCAGAATTTTCCAGTGATGCCATTCCCATCCTTCTTAAACAGGTCTAGAGTGAAACTTTACGGCTCATTCACAATGCAGTTAAAATTGAACTCATTGTCTTCCTAACTGCCCCAAATGAGCCTTGTTTTTGCTCCCTTTCACCCACTATCTCATTTAATACCTTACCATCCATTCATTTGCTCAAGCTAGATGGTCATTTATAGACTTCCCCTTCCCTCAATCTCCTGTATCTAATCAATCGCCAAATTTTGTTGACTACTTCCTACCACCTTTAGAATTTGTTCATTTTTCTTATTCCCATTGTTAGGATCATAGTTCAGTCACTATCTTTTTTTTTACTTTGGATTAATAAAAATGCACCTCATATATTTCTCTGTCTTGGGTCATAACCTTTGAGTTCTCCACATTGCAGGCAATAGTATCTTCTAAAAGGCAAATATGTTCTGATTGATCCCTTTTAAAAAATGTCACTATGTCTAGAAATTTGGGGACAAAGTATTAATTCTTATCTGGCTCTGATTCCCTTTCAAGCCTCATATTTCACCACTCACCTCTTCCTTCAAACTGCTAGTCAGCTACAATTCACCCTGTTTTCTCTTGCTTTGTTGCATGAGCCATGCTCTGCTGAGAAAACATTTCTAATGCCTTATTTACTGGTTACTTTCTACTCATCCTTCAAGCCTCAGCTAAGTCTTCACTTGCTAATGAAAGCTTTGTTGATGAGTACAAGCCTAATCTATAACAAGGTCTTATGAACTATCTAAATATTCTCATGGCAAAATTAACGACTCCCTTATTTGTGTCTCCATTGCAACAGTGTACTTCTCTGTTTTCATCCTAATCATCATATTGATCCCCACATCCTGAGTTTGGGAAAGAAGTCTGAAACATAGTAGGCATTCATAGAATGTTTGTTCTTTTGTACTATTAAATTCACTCATCATATTTATTATTCATTTAATGTAGGAGACTTCAGATAGCTGAAACACAAGTTTTTAATAGGTCTGTCCTATATTAGAAATTAAATTTATAAAGCAAAAAATAAGAAAATAATAAATCATGCTAACTAAAAGCAGAACATTATGCTTATATGAGTTTGAACAGAATGAGAACTTAATAAGATTAATGTGGAAATGTTTTAAATAAAATTGTGCTAAATGAATGGAGGAATAGTTAATGAAAAACATATTTATAAAATTATTATATGACATAATGCTATATATTTAACTTATCTTCTATTTCTAGCTCTTTTTAGAACACAGCCAAGCATTCTATTGGATGGCCTTTTGGGTCAATTTGATTAATTTAAACAAGTGGGATACTGAAATTTAGATTAAAAAATGAAATATTAAAGATAATAGAGAAAGAGTTATAAAACAATGCAGTTGGTACAAGTGAGGGAATGTAAAATGCTCAGTCAGAATATAAATTTTGATTTTGTGGCATGTGTCTGTCACTGTGTCTTTCTACAAAAACCACAAAAATCACATGAGTTTATTGAATTTTATATTGAGCAGGTGAAATGCAAGTATTAACATAAATATTCTAAGGGAGACTTCTGACGGGTAAGGTAGATTTCAGCATTGTTTTGACCAGTTAAGCAATAATGTTATTTTGTTTGTTTGTTTTTGGCTTCTGTTTTGTTTTTGTCATACAACAAACTTTCACTCAATATTGGTGACACATTTTATTTACATGCCCTGCAACCTTCACAAATGTCTCAGTTATATATCAGTAATTCATGCTTTTTTATTCTTCAATTTTATTACCTAAACTTACTCTTCTAAGCATCATTTTATGTTTCTAGTTAAATATAAGTGAAAATTGATTGGAGTATTTCTCAATGGAATTTTATCTTTATTTCATCATAATTGCTTCATATTTGAATAATGACAGATAAACTGCCTCATTCAATTGCAGTTTTAAGGCTTTGAAGTCACAATAATCCTGAAGCCATGATTATAGCAGAAAAGACATTGGGGGAAATGGAAACTTATGGTGCTATAATTTGCTGGGGGGGAAAAGACTCCAATGGTTAGAACATATTATTTCCTGGACAATTTCTAATCTAGGACATTAAGGCATAAGAGTGAACTGGACAGTTACATCGTTGTCCCACCTTCCTAAATTACTTCTAGAGCAACATTTTATAAATATTGAGCCAAGATTCACATCACAAGTAAATGGCACCACAATTATCTTGTTTCAGGTTGAAGCATTATCTCAGTGGAATTTATAATTCTATTCAGCAACAATTCAGTATTTCACTAATAGAGGGTTCATCAGATCTTTTTCTTTTTTCTGACATTTACATTAAGCGCTGAGTACTTGTTAATACTCTAAGGTATGCATTTCAAAGTTCTCTTTGTCTTCATATTCAGTTTTAAGTAATGAATCCAACAATATGCAAAGGCTAAAAGTAAAACACAGATCCCGCATTTAAAATTTCATTTAATATAGCTGACATATTTGGTGGTGGCTGCTTTACACATACAGCATTTTCATTTGTTGAGTAAGACATTGTATTTCTACAAATGTGGCATTAAAAATTTTCCAAGATCTCAATATACGGTGGCATGAAATACAAAGTAAATAGAACAAATTAAAACATGAAAGCACACTTAGTATAATTCGGAGCACGCAAAGTTACAACATAAGATGTAATATTTATGAAGAGTTACAATGGATAACATGAACTTTAAAATGGCTCCCATTTAAAATTATAGAAAAACTCCTTTTAATGGAAATTTTCCTTGCTCATATAATAAAGCATATTGAGACTCCAAATAGGTCAATAACTTTTTTAAGAATGAAATTATATAGAATGAAATTAATTATATATATACTATAAAATTATATACTTTTTACTAATATTAAATTTTCTAAAGATAGAAAGTCCTGTAAATATCAGTTTCAAATCCAATAGCATCATTCAATATTTCTGCTGTATTGTATCATAGCCCACTATGAATGAAGCCCCCCATAATGTGGGGAAATTTCTCTTAATTGCATAAATTACAATCTTCATGCTAAAACTCTGTTTAAACTCCAAAATTTTGCTTGTTTACATTTTAATGCTGTTTTAACACTCAGATGTCCTACTTCATTTGGGCTCTAGAGGAGACATGAGATTATCTGAGTACTCAATCTATGCACCCCGTCAACTTCTACATGCTTAACAAACTATTTAAGAAACCACCAAGGTTTTTGAATCTTCAAGATGAGTCTATAACTTAAGAAAAAATTCTTTTTTAACATAGCATAACAAAACCATATGCATATAACCTTGACTATTAGTTATTTTCAGAAGATATATTTATGTTTTATGTTATTTCCTTTCCATCCTGTCCTTCGTCAAGTTTTAGATTCTTGCTTGAATTGAGGAGAGCTTTGTTTGGTAGATTTTACATTTGAATTTAATTTGGTCAAGATTCATCACGTTGATTGATTAATTTCAGATTATATGTCTTAATTTACTTTGATTCTAATTTCCATTTGCCAACTTCTCTCTCTTGAGCTTTTTTCTTTAAAAAAAGATCAGGAACTTAGAAGTAGTAGTTGGCAGCATTTGATGTGGTCTATAGACAAGCATGGAGGAAGATGAAAAACTGTATGAAAATATATCAAAGTTCGATTGCCCTTCTGTGTCCAAATGAACGAGATGATATCTGGTATTACAGACCTAGGAAAATAATGCTTCTTTTCCCCACTCACCTCCTAAATCCACTTTGAACGGTTGCAGAGCCCAGAGCAGGAGTAAAAATAGAGACCCATATATCATATTACCAAATAATTAAAAGTTGTAAAACAAATTATTAATAAACTATTAAATAAAACATGGTTCTCTCTTCCCACCATGACATACATTCCCTTATAATGACCTGGAAAACTAGATTCAAAGTTAAAATTCTTATGCTTTTTAGAGTCCACCCTGAAATGCGGGTGCAGGAGAACAGAGCCCCTTGCCCCTGGTTCTCAGTTTGAGTCCTGGTTTATTTCCCACCTTGGGCTCCATCCCACAGCTCAAGGGATTCACTGACATGTATGTCCACCCCTTCCCCTCCGAAACAGCTCTCGCATAGTCAAACCTGAGACCTAGTGGTACACAGAGCCTTGCAGTAAAGGAAAGAATTTTACTAAGATCTGAGAACAGGCTCAAGGCTCTTTGGGCAGGAAATTTCCAAATCTTCAGTACCTTTAGGTGTTTAGGGGTACAGAGACATGGATTTCAGCTAGGCACATGTCCCTGGCCCTGAGGACTCCTTACCCTATAGGAAGGAGAATGACTGAAAGAGAAACCAGAGCAAGGCCTAAAATATGTAGGTCTCATCTCAAGGCAGGGGCTCCACTTGTGTCAGTTTTATGTTAGAGAAAAAGCAACCTAAGGTCATTCATATAAACATGTGAATGGCCAATAGTACTAATTCTTCAGTAGGGCTGAAATGGTCCCCTACTTCTGAAATCAGTGAGGTCACCAAATTCGCATTTTAAAGATCCAATTTGTAGTGCGATAGTTGGAAACCTGGAAGGTGCAAAGTGGCAATTCTGTTGTCAAGTGGGTCAGCAAAAAGCCTTCTTAGTTTATAATACCATTGGAAAAAAAAGAGAGATGGCACAAATCTCACAACACTAGTTAATTAAATTAGGTACAGAAATGGAAAAGGAAAGAAAATCCAGATATTATTTAGTTTTCTGTAACTCTTTATAAAATTTGAAGTCTCTCAATGTCAACTTTTCATCATGACTTTATTTGCTAATGTCCTGGGACCATTCATATCAGAGTCTCCTTAACTCAAGGAGCATTGTAATATAAGAAGGGAGCTTGTAGAGCAAGCTGCTGGCCTTCTATTGTTTTGCCAGTCTAAATCTGCAGCATAGCCTGCTGGTGGGACTGGCACCAAGCCGGATGGGTACAAGGCTATAGTTGTTGTTTATGGGCAATGTCTCTTAATGATCAGTCATTGCCTATGCCTTACCAGTACTTAAATATTTTGTATATCACCCTTATCTGTTGGATCTGTTCATTGCCTTTGGGGCTAAATGAAAGAAGTAAATTATCTGAAACATAATCTCAAGTAAGCTGTACACAAGAAAATGGTAAATGCATTTTAAATATAGTAAATATTGCAATAAGTGAAACTCAGATATAAAAAGAATGGCATTAGTTCTCTACTATTCAATCTTTTGTCATGAAGTGGGCTAACTCAACCACAGGAAGCATGACTCAGGAGACAGTGTGTTCTACATTTCCAGTATTTTTTTCTGCCCAAATCTCTTCATATATGGCTGATCGAAGTAACCGAGTCTCCAACTAACTATAGAGCCATGTAACTGTGAGATTTCTGAATTTACAACCTCCCTACAGGAAGTACCAGGTGGCCACGAAAGGCAGCATGGTCCCCATCTCTAATTAAGCTAATGTAAACAAGTGCCACAAGATGGCGCCAAACCACAGATGAAACTGACGCCAATTTGGATTCTTTGGGTGGATGGATCTCCCAGAACTTCCAGCTGGCTAGATGACAGGATAGCCCTTGTGATTTCATTCATTAACCTTGCAATAATACAGTCTTAGGTTTTGCATGATTCTTTTTTATTATTTGGGTCTCATTTATCTTCTTTTAGAGGGATTGTACTATACAAATAAATAAAACAAGAGAGAGAGGAGATGGAGACACCGATCAGTAAAACCAAATAGGAAAGTTTGCATAATAAGATGTGGAAGAGACAGCAAGTTTGTTTGGACAGCCAAATGTCTACTAATTGTGAATGATGCCTATGATTAATTCTACAAACTGGAGAAGGGCTCAGCATTGATAATGCTATCAGTATTGGCAACATTTTCTTACTCTGTGACATTGCTTTGTATCAGCCAATATTTCAAGAAGTGTCTCCCTAAATTAAGTGAAATAATAAAAGTAGCCACAATCCATCCACCAAAATGGTATTTGTTAACACAGATAGTATGACGAATTTTTGATGGCTCTACTTTGATTTAAGAATAAAGAATGAGCACTTAGGAATGACATGATTTTAAACTGGACCTTGGCTTAACCACAGGATTTCACCTTCTTTTAACTCATTGATGTGTGCTTTTGTATACACATGCATCCATATATATATATATATATATATATGCTTATATATATATATGCTTATATATACACTTTTATGTAAACTCTAGACATACAGAGCTATTTTTTCATTAATAATGTAGGTTTTACTTGTTTATAGTTGAAGGTAGAGTATCTCACTAGATTTTGTATCGTCCTAGATTTTGTGATCTGTAAAGAAAAAAAAATCATACTGGTCACCTAAAATTAATACAACTTAATAATATAAAATTTACCTAAGCTTTCATTTTGGAGTCCAGAAACAGTGGCTTATCCATTAACCATTTTGCTCTTCTATGTTATGGAATCCCAATTTTCTTTTTGGCTGTCAGTGTGCCCAGCTTTTAAAAGACCACATTTATGAACTTTGTTTTCCTGGCCTATAGTGGTCTGTAACATAAAAGTAAAATTATTAAGTGAAACAACTAAGAGAGTGTTGTTTTGCTCATTTGCCTTTTATGCCCCCAAGGAACTCAGACATGAAGGCAGGAGCTAAGGCAGCTGTCTTGGCATCATGAGGGCAAAGATAAAGAGTCACAAACACCTGGACCCTTGCTATTCTAAGGCACTGAATCAGTGCCAGCAACGAACTAGTTTTAGATTCATTATGTAAGAAAAATAAACCCTATGTGTCTAAGCCACTGATATATTGCATTTTCTTTTGTAAGTAACTGAATACAATCCTAACTAATACAGAGAATAAATATCAATCATCTTTATATGATTGTCTTAAACATATAAGTGCGCTAAAACTAGATACCCATAAGTGTTTATTGAAATGAATTGAGCTAAGATTTTGCAAAGCTTTTTACAGCTGTAATGTTTCTAACTCAGTTTATAAGTAATGCTAATTTGAGCATTCCAAAAATGCAGTTAATTCAGTTATTATTTATTAGGCATTTACTACATGCCAGGCACTAAAGAAGATACTGGAGATACATATTGTAGACAATACAAAAAACCTACTTGATCTAATGGGGATGCACATTCTTGAAGAGGAAATGAAATGAATAAATAGAAAAATAAATAAAAAATTTAGTACCATGAAAAAGAAACAGAGAGACAAGATAGAAAATGTGGAACAAGATGTGACATTATATAAATAAGTTGAACAGTCAGTCAGAATTTCAAGCTGAAATTTGCAGAAACTAGCTATGGAAAATGTGGGAGCTGGGCATGAGGATGGGGTGCAGAGTCTCCGTAGCAAAGTAGACAGCTAGAGCAATGTCCTCCAGGAGGGAAGAGCTTGGCATATTTAATAACTGAAAGAAGAGATAGAGTGGGGACAGAGCAACACACAAAGGAGAGAATGCCTAATATGTTGTAAATGCTCAAGATATATTTGTAGAATAAACAAACATGACTACTGTAAAATAATTATGTCGATATAATTAATCAGTAATAATTAGGACTGAAGTTCAAAAAATACCATACGCTTAAATAGCTCTATTTTTGACTATAACTTACATTTTTTTTTCTTTTTCTTTCTTTTCTTTTATTTTTGAGATAGAAACATTGCCCTCAATCTTCCAGTGAGCCAATAAAGGTTTTACAATGAGTTAAGCATAGTAAGAAGATAGTATTGTTTCCCAAGAGCCACAATAGATTTTTTTTTATTGTATGGAAGGATAAATACATGTTTTCAGTTTACATAATCAAGCATATTTTAGAGAGTAAAAATGTAACTCAGCTGAAGAATCATTATCAGATTTTTTTTTAAACTGGAAACTTTCCCCCTGCCCCCAGCTGTCTACAGAAATAGATTATTTCTTCTAATTTTCTGATTTAGTTATAGTCATAGTGTACATAAAAACAGATTTGATTTTCTTGGAATCAAACATAAAATGAAAGCCAAGGCCTTATCATTGAAACAAGACAGCAGTTTTGCAAAGCTGTGTACATCCTTTGAACTCAGATGACATTGTCTCAGAGGAAAAGATGTTTGATGAGTTTTTTACACTTTAAAGCTCTTGCTAAGGAAAATGAGCTAGGAATCTCCTTTGGTAGAATTCAAGGGGGGTGGATCATTTCGTCTTCAAAAGATGAGGGGAAAAGTGTCATTTTCTATTTCCCTTAAGTATCATTCTTTCAAATACTTGTGTGACAAGAGGTTCAACAGGCTTAGATTTGAGTTTTTAGTTTTCCAGAAATGCATAGAGGACTTAAATGGCCCTGTACATCAAAAGGAAGAGAGAGAGAAAGAAATCCCCTAGAAAGAAGGAAATGGTGTGGAAAACCCTTGAAAAATATAGTTCATAAAATTGCTATAATCAATTCTACATCCTACAATTTAAAAGGAAATTAACAATTGAAACCCAACACTGAACTAACATTATGCACATCTAATTTAAGTTGTCAATGATAAACTCAGCAAGAAATTCTCTTTAGAGATAGAAACTTTGAAATGTATTGGTTTATTCCACATATATAGATTATGTGGCAAGGCCTATATTGGGTGTTGTATTCATATATTGAAGTTGAGGTCAGGTCGAGTAAAGTAAGAATAAAAAATAAGACAATATAGCATAAAGATTTGGAAGAAAGAATGAAATGACCAGTGATTGAAGTGATGAAAAGTACAAAGGAGAAAAGTCATAATTGGAAGAATTGAATGCACTGATAACTGCAAAGGGTTTGGGATTTTGCTCTATGTACAAACTAGCAAGGAAGTCTGCTGACGTTTTAAAGATGGTGGAAGAAGACTGGAGAGTCCTGGGTCAGATACAAAGGACTTTTACTCACAGCACAGCTGGCAGCATGTGCTTCATGTTCCTATCAATTTCCCTTGCCCCTCAGGTCCCAGGGAAGCAATGTGGACCTGGGCTCAAGTGGAAAATGTTCACACAGTGAGGTTTCTGTCACAGCTGAGAAAACCTGAAATTACAAAACCCCCATCATGTATAAAGAAAAACCTGTCCAATCAATTTTTGCACCAAAAATAGACATGATCTCTATTATTCTCAGCAGTGAACAAGTCTCTTCTTTGCTCCAGAGGAAGACACTATATGTTCCAAGGCTGTTTCCTATACAAAGTCCTTGAAGAGATACTCCAGAGAAAGCCATTATGGCCTCTAGCCCATAAATGACCAGAAATGCAAGAGACCCATGGAAAATTAACTGCCAACAGGATGTAGAAGGTACAGCAGCTTTTACTAGCATCTCTGCAACATTGTACCACTTTATGTCTTCACAGGCCTTTTTAGTAGACCAAAATATTGGTACAAATAATTCTTCCATGTAATCTTTTAAAAACTCTGCTTATCTCTGTCCTTCCTGAGCAAAGCAAACAGACATAGCTTGGGCAGTTCATAAGACACAAAAGTGTATAAGACCCATGACAAACCCATAAAGACATCGCTTTAAGGAAACATTTTAGGTATTTTTTTTGGCCATACATGTTTTAAATGTGATTTTTTAAGATTCTCATTAATTTATTTTTCTTTATTTTTGTTGTTGCTACTGTATTAGATGAAAATATATCATTGCATTTGCCAAGTCTAGCAGGATGCTATTTATATTTAGGTTGCTATTTATATTTTCTCCATGTCCTAATTATTCTCATTTCTAGTGGTGAACAAAAAGAAAGTTTAGCCTCATTATTATGTTCTTTCAAAGAGGTCCTAACATTATGTTTGAATCTAACCAGATAGAAATGCTTCTGTTGTGTTTCAGTGTGAAACACGTTAGTGATAAGTTGTAATATAAAACCTTGAAATAACTCAAAATCCGTTTCTGGGAACTATGTGGCCCCTGTGTGTGTATATGTGCATGCTTTAGTTTAGAATATAACTTTTTCATGAAGAAAAGACATTCAACAAAATTCACCATCTTTTCCTGATAGAAACTCTCAACAAATTAGGTACAGAAGAAAATGTATCTCAACTGAATAAAAACCGTATACAGAAACCCATGGCTAACATCATACTCAACTGTGAAAGTGGGAAGTTGTTCCTGTAAGATCAGGACCAAGAAAAGGATGCTCACTCTGGCCACTTCTATTCAACATAACAGTGGGGATCTTAGCATAAAAGGAATACAAATGAGGAAAAAAGAAGTTAAATATGCTCTGTTTGCAGATGACATATCTTCTATATAGAAAATCCTGAAGACTCCACCAAAAAAAACCTGTTAGAACTAATAAATTCAGTAAAGTTGCAGAATACAAATCAACCTACAGAAATCCGTAGCATTTCTAAACACAATGAACTATCCAAAAAGAAATAAGAAAATAATCCCATTTACAGTAGATATACTAACTAAATACTTAGGAATAAATTTAACCAAGGAGAAGAAAGAGCTGTACACTAAAAACTGTAAAACATTGATGAAATAAATTGAAGAAGACACAAATACATGATAAGATATTTCATGTTTATGGATAGGAAGAATTTATATCGTTAAAATGTCCATACTACTCAAAGTGATTTACAGATTTAATGCAATGCCTATCAAAACTCCAATGTCATTTTTTTTCAGAAATAGAAAAAACAATCCTAAAATTTGTATGGAATCACAAAAGATTCCAAAGAGCCAAAGCAATTTGAGCAAAAATAAGAAAGGTGAAGACATTGCCCTACCTGATTTCAAAATTGACTACAAAGCTCTAGTAATCAAAACAGCATGATACTAGCATTTAAACAGACACATAGATAAATGGAACAGAATACTGAGTCCACAATCTACACACTTAATGTCAATTGATTTTTGACAAAGATGCCAAGAGCACATAATGGAGAAACAACAGTCTGTTCTATAAATGGTACTAGGAGACTGAATATTCATATGCAGAAGAATGATATTAGACCCTCATCTCACACCATTTACAAAATCCAACTCAAAATAAATTAAAGAGTTACACGTAAGACCTGAAACTGTAAAACTACTAGAAGAAAACATAGGAGGAAAGCTCTGTGAGATGGGTCTTGGAAAAGATTTCTTAGATATGATCTCAAAAGTATGGGCAACAACAAAAATAGACAAATGGGATTACATTAAAGTAAAAAGCTTCTGCATAGCAAAGGAAGCAATCAATGGAATAAAAAGACAATCTATGGAATAGAATATATTTGCAAGCCATGTATCTGATAAGGGATTAATGTGTAAACTCCATATGGAACTCAAACAACTCAACAGTAAGAAAATAAAAATCCGATTAAAAATATACAAAGGATCTGAATAGACATTTTTTCAAAAGAAAACATACAAATAGTTAACAAGTATATGAAAAGATGCTCAACATCACTAATCATCAGGAAAATGCAAATCCAAAACTTGGTATTACCCACAGCTGTCAAGATGACCACTATCAAAAAGATGAAAGACAACAAGTGTGGCAAGGACGTGGAAAACAGGGAACCCTTGTACGCTTTTGGTAGGAATGTAAATTAGTACACCCAATATGGAAAGCAGTATGGATATTCCTCAAAACATTAAAATTAGAGCTACCATATGATCCAACAATCCCACTATTGGGTTGTATTAGGCCATTCTCACAGTGCTATGAAGAACTATCTGAAACTGGGTGATTTAAAAAGAAAATAGGTTTAATTGACTCACAGTTCCACAGGCTATACAGGAGGTATGGCTGAGGAGGCCTCCGGTAACTTACAATCATGGCAGAGGGGGAAGCGGGGACCTTCGTCACATGGCAGCAGGAAAGAGAAAGAGAGCAGGGGAAAGTGCTACACACTTTCAAACAACCAGATCTCATGAAAACTCACTCACTCTCATGAGAACAGCAAGGGGGAAGTCCACCCACATGATTCATTCATCTCTCACCAGCCCACTCTTCCAACATGTGGGGATTATAATTTGATGAGAGATTTGGTTGGGGCCAAAAGGCAAACCATATCATGGGCATATTTCTAAAGGATATGAAATCAGTATGTGAAAGAGATATCTGCACTCCCAAGTTTATTGCAGCACTATTCACAATAGCCAAAAATCAATGAAAAATGGATAAAGAAAATGTGGTGTATATACACAACAGAATACTACTCAGCCTTAAAAAATAAGGAAAAATTCTGTCTGTGACAACATGAATGAACCTGGGGTAGACATCAAGCTAAGTTAAATAAGCCAATACAGAATGGCAAATACTGCATGATCTCACATATAAGTTGAGTGTTAAAAAGTTGAACTCACAGAAACAGGAGAGTAGAATGGTGTTACCAAAGGCTGGGGAGTGGAGGGGTTGGGAAGATGTTGGCCAAAGGACTCAAAGTTTCAGTAGGTTCTAAGTGTTCTCACCACAAAAGAAGAGGATAAATACGTAAAATAATGAACATGTTAAACAGCTTGATTTAACTATTCCGTGACACTTACATATCAAAACATCACATTGTACACCATAAATATATATAGTTTTTACTTGTTAATTTAAAAAATAAAAAAATAACTTTTTCAATGAAAACTTTCTGTTATTGCTTAGAGGTATTGGGTTAACTCATTCCATCAACAGCATATCTCCAGTAGTATGTGATAAATATATAATAATGGAATCTCTGAGAACTAAGGCCCCAGATTATAGAAATGTTGCCAATTTCTGTGGTGTAAATACTCATTCAAGCCTGCTTCAGCACATTACTAGATAGCCTCATCAGTTGCTTATACTTTCCATCTGTAATATGGGCTCATTGGAAAATTGGAAGGCTACAATTTGGTGTTTAGTTGGCAAAATAAAATGTATAATGAGGTATGACAGCAGCCAGATAATCACAGAGAATAATTGCAGTTCTTTCCTTCTGGCGGGTACAGGGCTCATAAATTATCATATTCACCAGAGCAGAGAGCACAACCCCATCAGTCAATGCCTCTCTTTACGTGTACATATACACAGCCTGATAATGCATCAGAATATTTCCTCAAAATTCAGTTCAGAAAAATCTCAGTTAATGGATATCATACTCATCTCAATCTACCATCTTCTATCCTAGTCCCCTGTAATGTCTTCAAGTCTTTTAATCAATTGAAGGATATTCTAAGCCTTTACTTCTTTATATTTTGTTTTCTACCATTTTATTTATTCCTTTCCTTTGGAACTCCTTTGAGATGTATTAAATTCTTCATGTTTCTTATTCATTCCTTTGTATTTGGCATCTTATTTTTCTTGCCATATTATTGTTTTTTTTCATGTCTTTCTTCAAGTTTGCTAATTATCTATTCACCTATCATTGATTTGCTATTTGGTATATCTTTTAAATGTTTAATCTTACTACTTAAAAAAATTCTAGTTGATTCTTATAAAAATAGCCAGTCATATTTTATGAAGTGCTGGTTTTCCTCATGGCATCTATTTAATTTGTAATCTTTGTATTTAACCTTACTACTTTCATTTTGGAGGTTCTTTCTGGTTTTCTATAAACAAACTTTGAAGAAAGTATTTGTCCTGTTTTTATTCCTGATGACTTTTGCAGGTGCTTGATAACTTCTTGATATGCAGTGTCATTTCACATTGTGAAAGCATTTTATTATGAGAGTGTGAGTGTATGGCTGGGGCTGAACTTCCATGCAGTCTGGGTTGAGAAAGTGTTGGCTACATAGTTGTTTTACATTTGTTTCTTCTAAAGGTCACGTGGGTTTCACTGAGCTACAAGCTGTTTGTTTGTTTTTTAATTTTTTATTTCCATAAGTTTTTGTGGAACAGGTAGTATTTGGTTACATGAGTAAGTTCTTTAGTGGTTATTTGTGAGATTTTGGTGCACCCATCACCTGAGCAGTATATACGTAACCCAGTTTGTAGTCTTTTATCCCTCACCCCCTCCCCATCCTTTCCCCTCGAGTTCCCAAAGTTCACTGTATCATTTTTATGCCTTTGCATCCTCATAGCTTAGCTCCCACTTATGAGTGAGAACATGTGATGTTTGGTTTTCCATTCCTAAGTTACCTCATTTAGAATAATAGTCTCCAATCCCACCCAGGTTGCTGCAAATGCTGTCGATTCATTCCTTTTATAGCTGAGTATTCCATCAAATATATATATATATATATATATATATATATATATATACACACACACACACGATATATATACATTATATATATGAATATTCCATCATTTGTGTGTGTATGTGTTTGTGTGTGTGTGTGTGTGTATATATCACATATATCACACTTTCTGTATCCACTCGTTGATTGATGGGCATTTGGGTTGGTTCCACATTTTTGCAATTGTGAATTATACTGCTATAAACATGAGTGTACAAGTATCTTTTTCCTACAATGACTTCTTTTCTTCTGGGTAGATATCCAGTAGTGGGATTGCTGGATCAAATGGTAGTTCCACTTTTAGTTCTTTAAGGAATCTTCACACTGTTTTCCACAGTGGTTGTACTAGTTTACTTTCCCATCAGCAGTGTAGAAGTGTTCCCTTTTCACCACATCCATGCTAACATCTATTATTGTTTTATTTTTTGATTATGGCCATTCTTGCGGAAATAAGGTGGTATCACACTTTGGTTTTGATTTGCATTTCTTTTTCATATGTTTGTTGGCCATTTGAATATCTTCTTTTGAGAATTGTCTATTCATGTTCTTAGCCCACTTTTTGATTGGATTGTTTTTTTCTTGCTTATTTATTTGAGTTCCTTGTAGATTCTGGATATTAATTATTTGTCAGATGTATAGATTGTAAAGATTTTCTCCCACTCTGTGAGTGGTCTGTTTACACTGCTGACAAAACTTTGCTGTGAAAAACTCTTTAGTTTAATTAAGTCCCACCTATTTATCTTTGTTTTTGTTGCGTTTGCTTTTGGGTTCTTGGTCATGAAATCTTTGCCTAAGCCAATGTCTAGAAGGGTTTTTCTGATGTTGTGATCTAGAATTTTTATAGTTTTGGGTCTTAGATTTAAGTCCTTGATCCCATCTTGAGGTGATTTTTGTGTAAGGTGAGAGATGAGAATCTAGCTTCATTCTCCTACATGTGGCTAGCCAGTTATCCCAGCATTATTTGTTGAATAGGGTGTCCTTTCCCCACTTTATGTTTTTGTTTGCTTTGTTGAAGATCAGTTAGCTGTAGTATTTGGTTTTATTTCTGGGTTCTTTACTAAAAGCAGTTTTATATGAATTTGTAGTGTTGGGACTTCCAGGATAAGAGAAGAGATTATGATTCTAGATCCTCAACATGAACCAGTTTTCAATTTCTCACTAAAGACATTTTTTCCACCTAGAACCCCAGGCACAGGTAAGCTTTCTTGCTTTTATCTATTTTAGCTCCTCTTTTGTGATGGTCATAGACACTTTATGGTTTCATCTTTAAACAGGAGTAACTACTAACTCCTGGCTTTGGATAAACTCAATTCCATGGCTTCTTTTCCTCAACGAACATGAAATTCCTTGACCCAAGGGACTGCACTCCCCCTCAATTTGCTATAGCAGCAGCCTGCAAGTTTACTTCATTAGCTAGAAATTTCCTTTTAAATTCTGTCTCTTCGTGAGTTTACTTTCTTTTCTGGGAGGCTTAGCTATGTGGTTAATATTCTTAATTCATATTTTTTCTTGCATTTCTATGCATTCACAGTGGGAGGAAGATCCTTGTCAGTTCAGTAGGCAATGTTGCTAGAACAGGAAGTCTCTTCATTATAGTTTGCATACACATTGTGGCATAAACTGAAATGCTTCAGAAATAGCTTGCTTCTTTTTCTGTTTCTCTCATTAGAAAGTTTATAAATTTGGGGGTTCTCAAAATGGAGATAGAGGCTAGAAGGTAAGGCCTGTGTTCCTGAAACCTGGGCTAGGTACAGGTCCCCATAATCTTGTGGTTCCAGATTATATTCCTGAGCCAAAAGCAAATCCTGAAGACTTCACCTTGTGGGTATTTAAGTTAATAAAAGAAAGGCAGCCCTTGTCCTGTTATGAAATTAAAATGAATGACATGAATAGAATAAACCAAGATGCAATTACAGTGCTTTGATAGGCAAAGATGGCAGAAGAAAGGCAAACACTTTTATCTTTAAATTCACACTACCTAACATAATAAGTTGTACAACATACATAAATCATTGTTATTACCTTGCCATCCAGTGCCCTACATAATCTCCCCGTCATTCTTTATTTTCCAGGCATACATCTCTTGCTATTCATCAAATTGTTAAGCATGCAAAGAGTAAACTTTGCATTTACTCTTTTCTCTGTCTGGAACACTCTTCTTTGGATATACACCAGGATCCCTCCCTGAGTTTTCTGAGATCTTGCATCAAATGTCATCTTATTAGAAATATCATACCCATCTGCCTTCATATGGATACTTTCCTTTTTCTTCTGTTCCATGAATTGTCTTTCTTGACACCAAAACCAATATCTCTCCTTTGACCTACTTGGGGTCATCACTCCAATAAGTCATTATTTTCTATGCTGAATTAATGAATTCTTCCAGTCTGCATACAGTCAAGCTAGTGTTCCCTTATCTGGAAAAAGGAAACAGAAATAAACCCCTCCAGTCCCTTCTTCCGCCTCAAGGAACTAATACATCTCTAACTTCCCCTTAGATCATGATCTCTTGAAAGAGTTGTATATACTCGCTAACTGCTAATTTCACCTTCCTTTCTCCTTGGCTCTTACTTGGGCATATTTTTTATTAATATATTTCATTTTCTTATTTGTTTATTATCTGTCACTCTCCACTCAATGACATTACTAATCTCCAAGAAATCATATGCTTGGAGCTTGGCTCTGTGTCTAGAATAAAGCAAGTGCTTGTATATATTTCTTGAGTGAATGAGTGACTGAATGCAGACTTTTTTTCCCTATAAGAGTATGACATTTCCTTGAAAGAAATGTCCCATTTTTCTTTGTTAATAATATAAATTTGGTCGTGTCCTTCTTTCTTTGGTGAGAAATGTAATTTCTATCACACTTTGTCCCCCAGCTCCACCACCAACCTTCAGCCCTTGAAACTACACAGAAATCCCTGGTGTCTCTGTGGTCCTCAGGCAAGCTCCCCAGGCCATTATGAATGTGTCTGAAATGCTCCTTGTCAACGTTCAGGGGCACAATTTGTAACACATCACTCTGATGTTCCTGGCACCCAAGAATCCTCACGGTGTTGGACTGCTTCACATGGTCTCCGCCCTCCTAAGACCTCTAACCCTTTACCCCATTTTTCCCCCATGGTAATTCTTATTCCCATCTTCCTATTTGACTGGAAGTGTTGTTGTAATTGGAAAAGAACTTCCACTGACACCAAACAGTGCACCTCCCTGCTTACCTACACCTTGCCCACGTACTCTGGCTTGGCTCTTGTTACAATGAGTGAGAGCTACTTCTGCTTCTCACCAAGGCCAAGGCCAGTAATGCCACCCGTGCCCTGAATCTTATTACCTCTCTTCTGCTTGAGGGCAGGACTCCGTAGGTTCTTCCCTTTCTCTCTGGCATCATCAGTTTTTTCCCTCTATAGAATCATCCCCCGATGACATACACACAGGTTGCTATTCTCCCATCCAAAACCAACCAAACAAAATACATAAATAAAAACTAAGCCCTCTGACTCCATTTCTTCCTGAAGGTGCCATGCTGTTTCTTATATGTCTATTCTTCCTATAGAGTATAATTTAAAAGATATCTACACCTGCCGTCTTCAACCTATTAAAAGAAGATTTCCTCATCTATATCTCACACAAATTGCTTTTTTGTCAAGGTCACAGTGCCCTCCATCTTGCTATATCTGAAGGTGATTTTGCCACTCTCATTTGAGGTGTCAGTAGCATTTGACAATTTATCAATCTCTCTTCCTTAAAAAACATTTTCACTTGGTTTTCAGGACACCACATTCACCTGTTTTTCCCTCCTTCCCTCCAGGCTCCCGTTTTGTTTTTGTTTTGTTTTGATTCATTTAGTCTGTTTTGTTATTTTTCTTTCTCCCAATCGTTAAACTGAGCTCTGGCGTTCAGTCCTTGAATATTTTCTTTTTCCTAGATACACACATTCCACAGGCTGTCACATCCAGTCTCGTGTTATTAAATGGTGCTTTTATACTGACGACTTCCAAATTTATGTATTTAACCTGGACTGCTTCCTTGACCTGTACACTGGCCACCTTCACTGAGATGACAAATAAACATCTCAAACTTAACATGTACTTCATGCAACCTAATGTGCCCCAATCCACCAAAGCCAGCTCCTCTAAAAGCATTTCTGTCTCAGTAAAACTTGATTTCTACTCAGTTGCTATTCAAAAGAAAATCCTATTGAGTCCATATTCAAAACACATCTAGAACTTGACCATTTCTCTATTATACCTGCTGCCCCACCTTGGTCAAAGTCCCAATTACCTCTGCCATGGATACTTGCAATAGCTAGCAAACTGGTCTCCCTGGTTCAACTCCTGCCCCTCTTCAGCCAGTTCTTCCTACAACAGACAGCATTACCTGATAAAACTGTGAGTCAGATTATCTTAACGTTTTTCCTCTTCAACCAGATTTTTTAAAAGATTAAGGGGACCCACGTGGTTCAGCCATCAATTACTCCTCTGACATAAGTCCCTGTGCCCCTCGTGTCTCACTCCACTGGAGTCACTCTCATCCCCATGAGGCTTTTCTACCATGCCAGGCACAATCTTCATTGAGGGCTTTTGCACCAACTATTCCTACTGCCTGGAACGCCTGCCCTCCATCTCTAATTTCACAGTGCCAGTTCCCTCACTTTTCTTAGGTCTTTATTTTCCTTAGTGAGACCTCTTTCATACAGCTTAAAATTTTATACTTCATCATCATTTTATGACCCATTTCTCTCCTTTTCTCTTTTTTCCTTATCAGTATTACTATCTAATGTATTCTATATTCTAGTTATTCATATTCTATTCCTAACCAGTATGTAAGATATAGTTGTTTTAGTCTGTTCAGGCTGCTATACCAAAAATACCACAAACTGGCTCTCTTAAAAATGACGAAAATTTATTTCCTACAGTTCTGGAGACTGAGAAATACAAGATCATGATGCCAGCAGACTCTGTGCCTGGTGAGGTCCCACTTCCTTATAGATGGCACTTTCTCACTGTCTCCTCACAGGGAAGGGTGAGCTAGCTCTCTGGGGTCTCTTTTAGAAGGGCATTACTTCCAGTCATGAGAGCTCCACCCTCATGTCCTACTGACCCCACAGAAGGCCCCAGCTCCTAGTACCGTTACCTCAGGGCTTAGGATTTCAGTGTATAAAATTTGGAGGTCGGGGGGAGCAAACCTATACCAACAATACATGTAAATTCTACTATATTGCCTGACATAGAGTAAGTGCTCAATAAGTTAATAGATTGCTCCCCGCAGATGAAAGCTTTTGCCAGCGCTGGGCAGCTGCTTGGGAGCGAAGCATAGCTCTCCCACGGGGAGAGAAAACCATCCCTCTCTCTCATCCTTGTCAGGGGAAACCTAACTCTTTCTCAGGTTAGGTCATGCCTTTCCTCCCTTTTCTAGTCTCCTTTAGTGTCCAACTCACAACATCCGTTCAGAGGGACTAGAAACCCCTGTTTTTCTCCCTAACCATACGCAAACACACAGATGCAATGCAGGTAAATATTACCTGAGCCACAAGAGCCAAGACCAAAATCATTTAACTTCTGGTGATAAAGGAGGAAAAACAATTCTGTGTGATAAATTTATCTGGACCATATATTTACACCAGATTTAGGTTGCTGGAACACAGTGCCTGCATATATTTTATTTTGTTCATTTTTGCCAGATTGCTTATCAGAATGGTTTCAGTTTACATTTCCTCCAGCAATGTATGAGAGTTCCTTTTTCCATACATTCTCAGCCAGATTTTTACCATTTCATTGGGAGCCAACTTAACTTGTATTACTGTAGATCTTGTGCATCTCTTCACACACTGGTTGGATATCAGGACAATCCTATTATTGAATTACTTATTCAACTCATTTTCTTATTCTCCAATTGGGATGCTTATCGTTTTCCTATTGGTCTGTATAAATATTTTGTAAAGCTAGATATTTTCTACTAGTCTCTTATTTTTCTATAATATTTGTCTATGTATTTCTTTAGCAGAAATATATAATGTATAGTGAAATACACATATTTTTGCTCTTTTTCTTTTTAATGTAGGGACACTGTTTAAGAAAGTTCCATTTTGCAAAAATATTTTCCTTCCTGTTACTGTGTCAACAGCGTGGTTTGACCTTTCAACTGTGGTTTTATCCATGTGAGGTCCATCTTTCCCTGTGTCTAATGTAGAAGCCCAAATCTATTATCCTCTATTTAGTAAGTATGTCTCACCAATATTATCTGATGAAACAGATCTGTTCCTTTTTGTTTATCTATGATGCTATCTTTGTCATATGTCAAGTTCCCAAATAAATACGCTGATTTTCTGAGCTGCTCCTTGGCCCAGCATTGAAATGTTTTTAATTCTGTGATTTGGACCATGTCAATCTAACATAGAAAATCAACAGTCCTTGATTTTTTGTTTGTTTCAAAATGAGCTTAGGTATTCTTGGACATTTGTTCTTCTAGGAAATTCTGGAAGGAGCTCATTGCATTCTTCAAAAAGTCCAGTTGGAATTATAATTATGATTTTATTGAATCTATTTGTAGAATAATTTAGGTAGATTGATGCATTTCCACTTTTTTTAAAAATCTGTGAACATAGTACATTTCTGTTTATCCTGATCTTCTTTTAATTTCTTTGATATAGATTTAAAATTTAGAGAACTTTCTGGAGACTTGATTTTATGATTCCTAGAAATGATTCCTACCTTCTAAGTTGATCATTCCAGTCAGTGAAAAGGCAAAAGGAATACCAGAAGTAAAATTTTTCCTGAGCACTATTGGCTTAGAGTTGTGCTGCATGCCAAGTGGTTAGGAGCTAGCACAGTAATTGAGAAAAAGGGCTCTGAGGTCAGAGCATCTGCGTTTGACTCCTGGCTCTACTCCTTACTAGTTTGGGCAACAAAGTAACCTCAGTTTCCTCATATGTAAAAATAATACAATAATATTGGCTAGCTCACAAATTTGTTGTGAGGATTAAAAGGCAGAATGAATGTAAAGTGCTTGGTACAATGCTTGGATTATGGCAAACATTCAAAAAATCTTAGCTACTAAAAACAGTGAGCATATCAAGCCACAAGTGTCAAGGCACTGACCTGTAGCCTTAATCATAGTAAGTACCTCTCCTTTTAGAAATCAAATCCAGGGCCGGGCACAGTGGCTCACGCCTGTAATCCCAGCACTTTGGGAGGCCGAGGCGGGCGGATCACCTGAGGTCAGGAGTTAACAACCATCCTGGCCAACATGGTGAAACCCCGTCTCTACTAAAAAAAATAAAAAATTAGCTGGGTGTGGTGGTGCACGCCTGTAATCCCAGCTACTCGGGAGGCTGAGGCACTTGAACCTGGGAATCACTTGAACCTGGAGGCGGAGGTTGCAGTGAGCCGAGATCATGCCACTGCACTCCAGCCTGGGCAATAGAACGAGACTCTGTCTCAAAAAAAAAAAAAAAAAGAAAGAAAGAAAAGAAAAGAAAAAAGAAATCAAACCCAGGCATATCACACTGCCTAAGGGGCTCACCTTCCACCTTATACAAAGAAAAGGGGCACTTGTCTCCATTAACTAATTGTTGATGCCAACAAATATTGTGTCACCCTTAAGCAGGTATTTACATTTATTTATTACCATAAGGGTATATTGTTATTTTATATTTTTCCTAGTCAGATGCCTGATGTTAGTATCTATTTAAAAGGAAAGGCATGGCCGGGAGTGGTGGCTCACGCCTGTAATCCCAGCACTTTGGGAGGCCGAGGCGGGCGGCTCATGAGGTCAAGAGATAGAGACCATCCTGGCCAACATGGTGAAACCTCGTCTCTACTAAAAATACATAAATTAGCTGGGCATGGTGGTGCATGCCTGTAATCTCAGCAATTCGGGAAGCTGAGGCAGGAGAATCCCTTGAACCCGGGAGGCAGAGTTTGCAGTGAGCTGAGATCGCGCCACTGCACTCCAGTCTGGCAACAGAGCGAGACTCCGTAAAAACAAGCAAACAAAAACAAGGAAAGGCCTAATTTATTTTCCTTGTCCTAGACTTCTGAGTCTAACTCAGATTTACAAAGGCTTAAATCAAGCAGAATGTACTGAAGTTCTCTGATGCTTCTTAGGAGTTATCAACATTTCCCAGCTCATGCTAATTTATATATCTACAATTCCTTATGATATACAAAATATATACATCTATTTACTTATCGTGTTCCCCAAGATGGATTTTTTTATGCGGATGTTTCATTACATGGATAAATGAACTAAATTTCAGAGAACTTAAGTAACTTGGCCAAGGTTAAGTGAATAGCAGTGTCAGAATTAAGCCCGGAATTCTGCTTTCCTCACTTTTAATATTATGAACTTTCCATTTTCTCTTCGGTGTTAAGGAGAAGCATTCAGTACAAATCTTCAGGACTCTAAACACTTAAAAAGGTCCTTCCTGAAATGAGAACTGACAGTGAATTCTAGGGTCAATCTGAAATGTGATTTTTAGAAAAAGATCCCAGAGAAATTCAGTTAACTGATAGGGACATGCCATCCCTAACTTGGGCCATATCCACCAAATCTATTTTTAAAGATTGACTTTTAGTATGCCAAACATTCTATACCACTGAGCTCTATTACACAGATTTCTAGTCTAATTGGTTTGTATGACAAGAGATTGTGATTTAACTCTCTCATATATTTGGAAGGAAAGCTTTTCCTCTCTTCCTTTTATGATTAAGCTGCAAATCTCACAAAACCAGCCAAGCCTGAAAATCCAGGAGCTTATTCTTGAACTCCATGGCTCAATAAAGATGCACATCCTAGAGTTATTTCTGAGACCCCTTACAAATATGTCTTGGGTTTGTTGAAGTTTGACACAAGAGGGCATTCAGCAGCATGCCAAAATGATATTGTTTGGATCCTTTATTATAATATATATTTTTTTTCTTTTTAAGTCAGACCACACAAAGAATCACTCAGCTAGAGCAAAAGCTCTTCAGCAGGTTTCAGAACTGCTTAGGAAATTGCCAGAGTGGACACATCCGTATGAGAGCCACAGTCACAGCAAATGCCACAGGGTGTGTTCGACGAGCATGATGAACACCTGCCTTTTCCCCAGATGCTCAGATGGCGGCGTGGCTCTGGGCTGTGTTTTCTGAAGTTCTAATGCAACCCTCCCAAGGCCTGATGAACCTGTTAACTGGATCAGGTTTTGGTGGGTCCTTTCATGAATGAGGCAGAGGCACCAGCTCTGTGAATTGGAGGTGGCTTCCTTGCTTCCAAAGTCAATATGCAGAGTGTCCTGATAGCATGGGAGCATCTCAAGCGTAGCCAGCAGAGTAGACGCTTCATTTTTCAGCCCTTGCTAGAAGGCAGAGAAAGAGGAAGTTTCTTCAGTGCTTAGCAGTCTGCTCCTCCCACTGATGAATTTTTAATCACACATTTTCCTCCCTTAAGTTAAAATTGATAAAATCTCTATACATGTGTCTTGTTTGACAATTGATAATAACATTGAAAAATAACAATATTGTTGACTATACAAGGCAATTTCTTCAAATTGAGTAATGATGTGATGTGTGTGGTTAACTGTCTCTACCCAGGAAGTGGTTTTATTTAAAAGTTTTGTGCTCACCCCACCCCCCGCCTTTTTCTTCCCCCAGTACTGAAATTAAGCAGCATCCAACACAGGCCTACTCTTACGACATGTGACTTTACTGTTTTCCGTTTTTGTTGAAAGAGTCATTAACAGTTAGGAGTTGATGGCAGTTTCAATAACAGGTCATTGCCGAGAAAAGGTAAGTTTTAACTTTATATTGTACATGAAATTTAAACTTGAACATGTTCGGCAGAGTTTCCTACATTTTGGTGTGAACATATAAACATTTCTACAAAATATGACGCTTTTACCTGTGATTAAAACATTGGCTGGTTTCCTTTGATGTAGAAAAGAATGTTCTTTTCATATTTGCAGCTGTCAAATTCCAATGTCTTTTACTAAAATGTTATAATAATAAGATGATTTGCTAAGATTTTGTACTAAAATGTTAAAGACAGAATAAGTTATAAAGTTTTAGTTTGAAGTGCATTTAAAAATAACTACTAGAAATAATGTGAGACTTTGCACCTTTAACCAACTGTTTTATAAAAATATGTATTGTTCAACATCCAGATAAGGAAAGAGAAAAGGGTATAACAATGAGAAATAGCTTGAATTTCAGTGTGAAAGATACTCACTTTAAAGCATTGTATTAATGTTAGCACTAAAAACCCTTAAAAAGGTTACTATGTAGCTAATTAAAAAGCAAGGAGCTTTTAAAATGTAAAGGAATACTGTCTATCATGACACTTGAAATTTTTTTTCTAAATTTCATTTAAGATATAGGGTGAAATGAGTGTAAGTTTCTAATTCATAAGCAAACTTTTATATTTAAAAAAGAAGTCACAGCTGATTTCATTGAAGGTTACTCTGAGAGGAGAGGCAAATTAGAGGTATACTTTTGTTATTTATGTAATTATATAATTTTCCTTCTTTGAAATATTCCAAAATAATAAACCTTAGAAATGAAAAGGATTTGTTAGTCCTAAACTGACATGTAATTTTCTTTTATATTGACTTCTTGCTTTTACAGAATGTCTTTGTGTGCTGTAACATATGTGCAGAAAACATCAAAATATTGCTAATCTCAGAGACAAATACCTAAAATAAATCTGACTGTAGATTTTTGAAAGAATTTTAATAACAGCCCAAGATATGATCCATTCTTCCCTAATATTATTTTTATTGTGCTGCTGGATGGGAGAAGTGATGGCCCCCACAACACCTATTTTTTGTGTTATTAAAAAATGGTTACAGGGTTGATAAGTGGCAACAATTTTCTTTTCTTTTATTGTCTTCTATTGAAAGACACACATAAATGTTTTTTGACATGGTCAATTTAGTAGGAAATTATTAGGCATAGTAGTACACTCCATTTTAAGACCTCTTCAATTGTCAATACTGAAGCTAGCTACTTGTTGACTATTAAAATGATCACAGAAAAATAGAGATTAGGACTTGGTGTTCAATACATTTTTTATTGTTAGCATGTAAGAAGACCCTGGTAATATATATTTGCTTTGATATTGTGATTAGATTTTCAATTTGTTGCATTTCCTCACAATGGAAAGCATTATTTAAATCTGTCTTCAATATCGTGGTTCTGAACCTCTGCATCTATAGAAGCTGTATAATTCTGATAATTTTGGTTGATATGTTATTACTTTCTTTCATTTTATTATAAAAGAATATCAAATGAATAAACACATGCAATACTTACACCTTAGCAAGAATGAATATGCAGATAAACATCTGGCATTGAGGAAAAGTCCATGAAAATTTTTTAAATTGTTTAATGCTTTTAAAAAAGAAATTCACTGTAAAAATGAGTGTTTCTTGCAGAAACTGTTAAATTAAAATACACATATTTTATGGAATATGTGTAAAATTAAGAATGAATTGAAGAGAGCTTGATATGAATTTAGAAAGATCAATGAGTAAAGATGATAGGTAAATTAAAATACCTTCAGAATTGTTTGTAAAGAGCAGTAAGGTACAAACCAAATTTTAAGACAGTTAATTGCAAATAAGTTACTATAGAATTCTATTACTTTATATGTTTTAAGTGGATGAGTCAGAAACAAGTTTTGATGAAATGAAAATAATACGGAAGATTTTATTTGGAAAGTCATATTAAAGCTAATTTGCTCAAAGAATGTCGTGCTTTTCCACTTAGGGCCAGCATTCAGTAAGATTCAGAAAGGAGAAACTCTTTCCTTGATATTCCTCCTGTTGCTCCTTTTTATTATTCTCTTCTGGAGCGGCCTGCTCTGCTCCTAATTTAGAGTCCCATAGACTTGGTACCTAGAAAGATAGACCCTTCCATTCACTGGCTCCTTCCATTCAACTGAACTTTTAAAATGTACTCATCCCATTTTCCAGCACTTAGGGAATCTAATAAAAATAATCCACGCTTATAGGAGAAGGCTACAGAGCTTTGACTTCCTAGCCAGGCCTCCCTTTCTCCCCCCAGTGGAATTTTAATATGTTTCCTCAGCAGACAGGGCCCAAAGGATTAGCTAAATGTTGGATCTCAAGTGAGGAGACTGATGCCATGGTAAATGGTTGGGGGAAGACTTTAGAGGGAGAGTGTTTTGTTAACCATTGGTCCTGCCTGTGGCATTTAAACACAGAATTTCTGGAAGTGTCTCATATGAAGGATCCATCCCAGTGATGTATCCATTTCTTTAAGATAGTCCTGAAGAAATAAACACCTTTCTTGCAGCAGGTAAAAAAAAAAAAATATTGCACTACATTTTCAGGCAATTTTGATATTCCCATACACTTAGAAATTATTTAACATAATTAGTTTTTAATAGATGTATTTTAAAAGTCATTGAACACTCTGAATTTAATTCTTTGGATACTAAAAGCATATTTTTTACACTGTACAATAAATGCTACATAATTAGACTTTAAAATGCCCTTGTAAGTATTCTAAATTTGAGCTTAGAGTGTGCAAAACTTCTTTGTTGGCAAACGATAGAAAATGAGTTCAAACTAGCCTAGGCAAAAGAGATATTCTTTTATGTGTGAAAAGTCTAAGGATAGCAAAGTCAGGAATGGCTGGATCCAGGAGCTCACACAGGATTATCAGGAGTAGGTCTCATTTTTTTCATTCCTCAGCTCTTCTTTTCACTATGCTGTAAGCAGTCTCTAGTGGAAGCTCTCACGAAATTGTCAAGCTCCTACTGAGTTGATCCTTTCAGCAAACTGTGGGGAAAGAATGCTTTTCCCCAGTCACCACAGCAAAGTGTCAGATTTAGATCTGATGGGACTGAATTGGATCACATGACCATAGCTGAACAATTACTGAACTTGGGTGCAGACAGCATGCGTGACCATGCCTAGCTCACAGGCCCACTCCTGCACTGGGGGCAGCTACAGCTGCAGCACTTGGGCTCTCTGCTAAAAAGAGGGGTCTCCTGATGTAGAAATTAAAATGCTTTCCCCAGAAGAAAGGACAAAAGCCTCAAAATTCTACTACGGAGTCACGTATGGTCACATTTTAAACAGTCATTATTTCCCAACTTCTTCAAATTCCATAATTGTACAAAAATACAGTTTTAATTGAAAGGCGGATCTGATTGAAACATGAGTTTGAATTAAACTAAATTTTAAAATATTTTTCAACAGCTACTGTATGTTTGACAACTCCTCACAACATTTGCCTTCTAAAAGCTTATAATCCAGAGTGACTATTATTTTAATAATTATGATGCAAATACAATTTGTCAAGTACCATAAGAAGATACAGAGAATGCTCTATTAGAGTTCAGAAATTCATCCAGCATTTTTGCATTCCTGTTATTTGCCGAGCCATAAACTAGAGAATTTTGTAAGTGTTGTATCATCTGATCACATACTTTCAGGGAGTTCTGGACAGTTTTGGAGGAAAGTTTTGTGGTAGTTTTCAGGGAAATCTAGCACTGGGAAGATGAGAAACATTGCAAGGGACAGGAAGGAAATATGTCAAGGCACAAAAACACGGCGTGTCAGAGAATTCCAAAGTAGTGTGAATTCTCCAGTTTTGTTAGACAGAAGTATAGTAATAAGAGGTAGGCCAGAAAGATAGTGTGAGATCATAAATAGAGTAGACCTGGATATAAGTAACAGCAGGGTTTTTGAGCAGGGGAGATACGTAATTGGATGTCCACACTTTTACATCTTGATGGGTTGTCTGTCTAGGGTCAGGATGTATTTGTTTCTTCCATTTATCTCACTGTGAAGTGACATTTTCTTTGCAGAAGAGTTTGAAGTCAGTGGAGATATTTCTGTAAGGACAGGCACTGACTTACCTGTTCAGGTGCCTGAGGTTCTTATTCAAGTTATGGTTATAACAATCTTTTTTTTCATTTGATGAAGGCCTTTTGTTTGTTTTGTTTGCTTTTAATTTAAGAATAGATGATATAGTGAGATGGTTCAAAATCAATATAAAACCAAAACACAATGTTTTTAGATAAGCTATTTCTTATATTTTTATTTCTATCTATCCCATTTATCCCCATCTTAATCCAACGTAACCACTTTTCATGTTTAATATATATATTTATACTTCACAGTTTATGTAAAAACCATATATATATGCACATCTATGTGTGTATGTATATAACATAACTGCACGCACCTCTCCACTTTGCTTTTTTTCTTTTAGAAATATAGATTAGAGATATTTTATAACAAAACTAAGGAACTAATTCTCTTTTTTACAGCTGTATACTATTCCACTATATGGAAATATCATACTTAATTTAACCAGCCTCCTGTAAAAAGAGTGATGGATGTTTTCAAGTTTTTCTAATTCAATGAATGTCCATGTAATTGTTTCTATTTGAAAATCTATCTATCTATCTATCTATCTATCTATCTATCTATCTATCTATCTACCTATCTATCTATCATCTATCTATCTATCATCTATCTATCTACCTATCTATCTATCACACATTTCCAGAAATAACATTTATGAGACAAAGGATAAAATAATTTTGATAGTTGTTGCCAAACTATCCTTCATGTTATTTGTAACTTTTTGAACTTCCACCAGCACTTAATGAGAATGCTTGCAGAAGCTTCATTGCTTTTTCAAGGGATTGTGTTGCCAAGCTTTGCAGGTTTTGCCAGTCTCTAACAACTGCATCTCAACACAGTTTTATTGATATTTCTGCTATTATGGTTAAAATTGATCTTCTTTTTAAAAGATTAAAGGTCGATTTGCTTTCCTTGTAAGAAAATGTATTCTTTCTCAGCTGTATAACTAAAGACCAAAACATTAGTGACTTTAGTGACACTCAAGCCTTGGAGTGAGATGTCAAAGGAAGCAAAGAACTAGAGATAGCATATATGAAATGCTGTATTCCTTTTCTTTTTTTTTTTTTTTTTTTTGAGACGGAGTCTCACTCTGTCACCCAAGCTGGAGTGCAGTGGTGCAATCTCGGCTCACTGCAAGCTCGGCCTCCCGGGTTCATGCCAGTCTCCTGCCTCAGCCTCCTGAGTAGCTGGGACTACAGGTGCCTGCCACCAAGCCCAGCTAATTTTTTTTTGTATTTTTAGTAGAGTCGGGGTTTCACGGTGTTAGCCAGGATGGTGTCGATCTCCTGACCTCGTGATCTGCCCACCTTGACCTCCCAAAGTGCTGGGATTACAGGCGTGAGAGCGCGCCCAGCCTAAATGCTGTATTCCTTTTCTAAAGCTTGAAATAGACAGTAGCTTAAAAGGGGGATAAAATATGAATGTTCAAGTGAAGGAGGAGAAAAGGAATGAAAATAAAGGAACCCAACAAGGTCTCAGAGGAGACTAAGACAGATGGGTATAATCACTGGCTCAAGTAGATGAATTAACCTTAAACAGAAGAGAGAGCACTTTAATGAGCGTGAATGCAGATGAATTGGATATAAGTAAGATTCAGTGAGGAGAGGAATTTGAGGGAATACATGCTTCATAGTTTCTATCTTTGCCTAAATGGTGGGAAAGTTCATCTGATGAAAGCATTTTCTGCATGTCAAAAACTAGACAGAATATCTTATTTTAAAACTTATCCTTGTCAGTAACACACAATACAATTGTGGATTTTGCAACTTATTTTTTATCTTTTGCTGGTTATTAGTCCAATTCCATTCAACTCCATAAATAATTTTGAACTCTAAGTATACTATGTTGTCCTAAGGATTGCTGGAGATACAAAGAAATAGATATGCTACTTAGCCAATGAAAACTGTTTAGTAGGTAAGAGGTACACAAAGATAAGTATCTAAATATCAATTATACATATAAGTCCAGTGCCATAGAAATATTATAGAATATACCATTGACAGAATCCCAAAGGTCTTCATTTTGCCAAATCTAATAGCCATTTATGTATCTTTATATTATTCACTGTCTGAGCTGCATTTGATGCTATCGAACCCTCCTTCCCTCTTGAAACTCTCTTTTCATTTGACTTCTGGAATACTTTTTTCTTCCAGTTTTCCTCCAAACTACCTGAATGCTCTTTCTGTATCCTTTGCTAACACTTTCTCATCATCTAGCTCTCTAAATGTTGGAATGTCCTGAGATCAGTCTTTGGATTTCTACTTGTCTTCTAGGTTTATTCCTTTGCGGTTTTATTTAGTTTCATGACCTTAAATGTTATCTATATACTAATTATATTTCAAGACCAAATCTTTTCTCTTAGCAGTAAAACTATAAATCCAATTGCCCATTCATCATCTCCACTTGAGTGTCTCATAGAGACATCAAAGTGAGTATACAGTACTCAAAGCAAATCTCCTAATTACTGCCCACCTGTCCCCCAACCCAGCCTGCTTCTTTCCTTTTTGCCTCCACCTTAGTTAATGACACCATATTAATCTCTCTTTTCAGGACAAGAGTCTAAGAATTATCCTTGATTCTACTCTTTCCCTACTACTTCCTACCCAAAGTTTCATCTAGTTTATCAGCAATAAGTAGAGCCTGTAAAATATAAACTTACTTTTCATTATACTGTTCACGTGACTTTTCTCAATAATGGCCCTTAAGGTGTTATATCTTTTTTTTTTCAGTCTAATACTTCTTTTATTTTTTATTTTTTTGGTTGTCAATACAATGACTTTTCTAAAAAAATCTTGCCAAGTGAATACAGCACAACATGACACTTGGATGAACATCAAACTTTAGATAAAACACACACACCAATTTACTCTCTGCTTTCAAGTTAGAATAACAAGAAGCATATGAAACAATGTTGATTTGTACATGTTTGAATTAATTCAAGAAGGTTGAAGAGGTGGCAATGTTTACAACCTTTTAGTCAGACTTTTTGTTGGGCCCCCGGCTCCAGGTGACTCCTGTGCTGTAATTTGTTATTAAGTATACTTTGAGGGCATGAAAACCGTTAAGTCTCCCAATCCTTAAAAATATTACTGAAGAAAAAGATATGGAAAGAGAAAATGTAATAAATAAAAACTCCTTTTATATTACATTTTGTTTACAATTTGTCTTCTTTCAAATTGTTGCTATTATGTACTTGAATCCTTTTTTGAGGTTCTATTGATATACTTTTATACTTATAAGTGATGATTGGAAATCTTAGGCTCTTATTGAATAACTTTGTATTTCACGGGAATGAATTAGATATTAAGCAAGAGGTATAGGTACATCAGAATATCTTGAATTCAATCACTTCTTTCCACTTCCACTGCTGTTATTGCAGAATTCTCCTGACTCTCCTCCCTGCTTCTATCTTCCCCACAATAGTCATTGTCCAAGGAGTAGACAGAGTGGCCATTTTAAGAGTTCAACCATGCAAACTCTTTTAATATAATATTCCAAATGACTATTATACTTCAAATTAGATTCAATCTCCTTTCATGATTTGCAAGGACCTCGTTATCTCATTACTCTGCTTTTGTTTTCCTTCATATTAGTTTGGCTATGGAATTTATTATTTATTTTTCAGTGTTTAGTGGCTATTTTCACCTTAGAATGTGTGGTCCATGGGAGTATTGACCTCGCCTGTCTTTTTACTGCTAAATACCTAGAACCTAGAACAAATGGTAGGTGTATGATAATATCAATAAATATTTGTTTAGTGAAAGGATAAATGCCATAAAGATTGACTTTGGGCTGTAGAATCAAGGAAGACAATCTGGAGATGTGTGAATTTTCCTGGTCTAAAATATAGGGTAATTTAGGAGAAGAGAAGCTAGAAATATATTTCAAATAAAAGACACTATATGTACTATATATATGGTACAGTTTTAGTAAGTTGGCAGTGATGAAAGGTTGGGTTTGAATTCTGTATCCATTATATGCTTCTGAAAAATGGAACAAATAACCCACCAGCTGAAAACATATTGCCATAAACTGATGAGAAAGAGCAACTACCTCTAAGTATTTAAATTTTAAGCAATTTTACTAAAACCATGGTATTAAAATTGACTAATTTTATGTTCACTTTAAATCCATTTCCTAAAAGAGTCAAAACAGAACATCTCTTTAAAAGAGCTATGGAAGGTAGAATGCTCAGGAAATTGGATGCTGAGTCAAGGGAAACTTCCGTTTCTGTTCATTTATCTTTCTGCTTTAGTTAATTTCATGTTAGAATTTTAAAGACTAGAAACTGAGCAATGGAACCCAAATTCAGCTCTCTGCTAAATGCACTGGGGAAATCAAGTAATCTGAGCTTCTGTATAATATCACCTATTCATACTTTGATGGTTCTCCTAAAGTAGAACATTAAAGGAAAAAATGTATGGTGATTACCTCAGTGGTGTCTCAAGCACTGTGGTAAGTACTATAGTTGTTACCAAAACTAGACAATATTAACTTATTCTCAAGATGTTTACAGTTGCTTGAGAAATTCATCAATATAAATTATTAGAGTGAGATTCTTAATAATTATCATCATAGCTATGACTTACTCTGTGTAGATTATGGGACAAGAATTTTGCATGCATAATTGCATTTGGTATCCACAAAAATCATGTAAAGGAATTTGTATCCCCATTTTAAAGATAAGGAAGCTAAGGTTAAGAGATTAAATATGCAAATTTACAAAGCTTCTCGGTAGGCTGGGTCATGAGTTGTACATAGATCTGGGTAATGCAAAGTCCATGTTATTTTCAGTATGCCATGCGATAATTTTGAAGCCTGTTAAGTGTTAGCAGTTAAGCAATGCTGAACTTTATTCATGAGGCCCTAGAGTCTAAAAGGCTCTAAAAGAATCCTACTTTGTTTGATGTCTAAAGCAATGCCATCTGTAGGAAACCTGTTGTTTCTTCTCTGCAAATATTGCCTATGCAGAAGTGTTGTAAAACTTGTGAGGAAGAAAACGTTCTTTTGCCTTGGTTTTTGCCATACTGCAGGTGTCTTTCCTCTTTCTCTTTTTCTGGTCTCCTCTGGATTCTATGTCTCCCCCTGGCTCTTAATTCTCAAAAATTCCTTCTTAGATCCACCTATCCAATACGGTAGCAACTAGCACAAGTGACTATTGAGCACTTGAAGAAGGGCTAGTATGAATTAAGTGTAAAATAAACACCAGATTTTGAAGACATAGTACAAATAACGAAAATGTAAAATAATTAATATTTTGGCATTTAATCATGCTCCATTGATTATATTTCGAAGTATTGGGTTAAATAAAATTATTAAAATTAATTTCACTTATCTCATTTAACTTTTCCAATGTGGCTACAGGAAATTTTTAAACTACATGTGTGTGGCTCATATTATATTTCTAATGGATGCCACGGCTCTAAACCATCTTCTTTTTGGTCTCTCTTTTGACGTTCTTATAATTTCAATTTCATTCCTCAAATACGGTCCTTAAATTTCTATCTTTAGCCTTGGTGTCTCTGTCAAAATTGTTCCTTATTTCTAATTGTCACTTGATACTTCCTCTATGATATCCCATCAGCAGGTTAAACTGATTATGTCCCACATTAAATCCATGGCCTCTCCCAAGGGTTATTTTTGCCTTCCTTCCAATTTCGATTACATCTCTACTCCTGAAGTCATATTATTAAGGGACATGATATCATCCATATCATGTATTCCATACCACTTATTCCATACATCCAATCAATTGCCATACTCAAGCAGCATTTATTCCTTTCTTTCCGTTTGCACGTATCATCATGGTCACTATTGGTCATCTATTGAGTCTTGTCTAGATTATGGCAAAAGAGTCTCAGGCTTTTATATTGCTATTTCTCTTGCCTCTTTATTTTGCTTCTTATAAATGTATTTTAAGGCTTTAGGGTGATAGTTGGGTTTGAGTTAACTAATGCAAGTAATAATGTCTATCATCTATTTATATTCTATTTAGAATTTTAAAAGTCGTTTTGCATATGTTATTTTACTTGGTAATTCTAGAAAGCCAGTGACAAAGTGGGAGCTTTTAGTAGACTTCGTAGAAAAAGGCAGTGAAGCATGGAGAAATTGAATTGCGGGAGGACACAGAAGGGCTAGGACACATTTCAGGTATAACCATTAAAACATACTTTTTCTCAAATTTTAGTACGGAACTTTTTTCTTTCTTACAGAGATAGTAGTGGTATTAAAAGCACAAGCTGGGAAGTCAGAAAAAATAAAACTCAACTCTGGGCCCTACCACTTGCTAGATCCTGTATGATATTTTGGGCAAGTTACTTAATCTTTCTGAGTCTGCATTGGCTCATCTGTAAAATGGTGAGTTTCCTCCCAAGGAAAAAATATAAAATGATGTATGTAAAGATGTTTACCCTGCATGAGGCACATAGTAAATCACTTTAAAAAGGTTAAACGCGGTGGTAAGAGTAGCAGTAGTAATTGTTTTATCAGGTCTTGAATCAAAGAGTGACTTTTTTTTCTTCACTATGATGTAAAAATCATGCTATGATAATTTTGGTTTATTTCAATTCTAAGTATTATGATAAAATTATGAAACTCATCAAAAGCAATTTCTTGCTATTAGTTTCATTTTCTCAATACAGCTGTGTGGGGGAGTATAGTATAGCTGTGTGGGCAAAGGGAAGAAGAGATAACTCTTTTCTTGTTTGTTTACCAATTTTTAGTTGATATGGTAGTTTTCCTTCAAGCAGCTCAAGATGTACCCTCACCAAAAATACCCTTTAATTATGAAGAATTAATATTTATCACATAAAACAATTCAAAAACAGGTAGGCAGCCACTGACTCTTATGCCTGAAATTAAAATGAAGCAAAGAAAAACAGCAAACACGAGGAGAGAAAAGAAAGTAGAATTCTCTTCATGCACTTTTATTTTAAATCTAAATTTTTGCATGGAGTGGTAAGGTAGTAAGGTAGATAGTCCACAAGACAGATCTACTAGGGTCCTAGAAAAATAATTCTGAGAAGGGAACATATAAAAGGAAACTAGGAAGTCCTGAGAGTATAGATTGCTAACCCAGTAAAGAAGTCTTTTGTCTTTTTTTTTCTTCCTTTCTTTTGTTTAATTTTCCTTTGAGGAAACCAACTCAGGATTCTATATATGTAGGTTGAATGAATATCCCAACTCAGTCCTAATTTTGAAAGCAATTGGTGTTAGCGCATCCACTTAATGAGAACAAGGTGCAGCAGAGGGGAACCCACGTGCTGACAAAATGCTGGGAAGACAACCAGCTATGGTGCTGTCCACAGAAAGCTTGCTGTATCCTATGGCCAGCTGGCATTGAGCTTTAGGTTTGAAGTCTGGCATTAGCAAAGGGGATTAGCAAGTGGGCAGTAGGTTCAGGGTGGGAAACCAGCTTGACAAAAAACCTGGAGACCAGTCAGCATGGCAGATGTGTAGAGCATACACACCCTGGAGCAGGGATGGGGGAAGGTGAAATGCAGTGATCTGACTTCTCCTGACCATGATGAGCTGTATGGTGCATACATTTGGCAGCTTTAGATGTGGAGAGGTATGCAGGAAACACAGGAATCCAACAACACTTGGGATTTGGAGTCACAGTCATTCTAATCTTGGTGGCAAACTTGAACATGCTGGAAATGCTCATGGCCTGGGGGAGTTCAAGACAGGGGATTTCAGACAGTGCTGAATGAATATACCAATTTCAGTACTAATTCTGAAACCAGTTGGTATTAGGGCATTGAATTAATGAGAGCAAGGCATGGGACCAAGTGTCTATAATGTCCTAAGTACAATACAGAGCAACAACACTGACAAATACAGTGTCTGACTTTAAGGAGCCCACAGTCAATTTGGGCAGAAGAGACACACAGCTCAAATAGAGAACAGAAACCAATATAAGGCAGGATATAATTATCTGCCAAAATATAATAGAAACAGTAGAGGAGGCAGAGAAAAGAGAGGGAGGAAAAGGGGAACTTGCTTAGCAAGAGCAAAGAGCACAGCACAATATCCTACTCGTTGTAACTAAGATCATGTTGAGAAAATTGTAAGAATAAATGAAGTAATGTGAATGTCTGACGATCCTCTTTCTAAAGCAGTAGTACAAATGCAAATGCAAATGCAGTCTCCTGGTTCTGCTCTTCATTTGCGATCTTACCAGCTTAGATTTAAAAATAATGAAATACTGAAAATAATATTGACTTAATAGGCAGCACAATCACCATTCAACCCATACATCAGAGGAGCAATGTTCCTAGGGGTGATTGACACTACGAGCCACAGTCGGGAATGCCTGCAGGCCAGTTGGGATATCTATACAAGATAAGTGGGTAGGAGAGGACCTGTAGACAAGAGAACGTCTATATGATGCCTTGTCTATAGGATGTAGAAGCTGTCCACCCGCAGCTGTCTCTTACCATACACACCTGGATCAGTTTGCCACATTTTATGAATTTTCAAGAGAAGACATATAGACATACTTTTCTGTTTTTTTTTAAAAGTAACAACCCTCATTTTTCAATTGGAAATTGATTCAAAACATTCCAAAACATTGTTCAGGCCCAACAACATATGTCTGTGGGTTGAATTTGGTTGGCAGTCTGCCGATTTTCCACCTCTTCTTGAATTTATAGCTGCTCCTAAAAAAGCAGGAGCAGAGGGTAATGATTAGAGAGAACTGGAGTCCTCCAAATAACTTCTGTATATGCAATAAATCCCAATAAATGTTTAGAGACTGACTGGAGCATTAGATTATTCTGTGAAAAAAGCATCCATTTATGTATAGCTTCTTCATTTAGGTCCTTGTTGTGTCTGTCTAGCTTGCATGACTGGGCTCATTTTCCTAAATTGAAAGAACAAACTTTCTTCTGCTGCCAACCCTCCCCAAAGCATTTTTTTAAAAAAAATCATTAAAAGATGTCTCTAAAAGTTTAACTTGACTAAGTCATAACAAATACATTTGTCTTTGCATCAACTGTTATTTTTGAATCGCATGATGTAGGTAGGGTATGGATCAGAATGTGTGGAAGTACTGTTGTAAGGGAGATGAAAGAGAGGTTTGCATACCTTGTGTTGTGATAGTAACAGTGGCAACCATTTAAATACACATACATGTGTGCATGCTCACACACACACAAAAACACACACAAGAACCCCACCAGTAAGTGCACAAGATGGGGAAATGTAGCTGGGGCTTGGTTGCATAACCCATTTCATCACGTTTTCTCCTTTAATAGATTAGATTCTCTGTCTCAGACGTAGTTATAACAAAGGATATAAGTAAATAAAACAAGACAGAGAAGAAAAATGTTCAATGATTTTTAAATTAAATGGATAATTCTCCCAACTATTTAATACTCTAAATATTTATGCATTTTTTACTTTAATGTGTCCAAGCAAAAATCCTATATTTCACTTTGTGAAGCACCTAAATTTAGACAGAAATTTGGCTACACTAATTCAAATTACAGTAGCACTCAATTAACTGGAACCTATTAGTTATATCACATATGTAACCATCTCCTCCTCTGCCTCTCACCTTGAGGGGAGAAGCCTGGGAACTATACTTTGAGGAAGAAAAAGCAAACTAAACTTGTTTAAGTGGAGTATCTAGTCCCCCAGATAGCTCCTATATTAAGATTCCTGAAAAGGCAGTTGAATCACTTCAAGAGACTAAAGGCATCAAGAGAACCTTCAGTTATTCATCCTAGAAAGAAGAGGATACATTTTAAGGTGTACATATACAATATACAATTAACATAGTATATTGTATCTCTTATCTTCAAAGAAAAGGATTGAAAAACTCAGTAAAAAATTTCAGTTTAAGTAATGTGAACTGGCAAATATTTTTTCACTATTTTGATCATCTGGGCTTCTTGAAAGGAAGCCTGAGGATACATAATTTTGTGGATTTTTTTTTCTCACACCAAACTTCCTTTGGTCTTTATCAAGGAGAGCTATTTTCTTTCTTTTTTTTTTTTTTGTCCCTCAGACAATTACTTGAACCACCTCAGGGCTAAATCATCCACCGCTGGAACAAGAAATAGAAAACCATCAAGACACTGGGACCAACTTCACAGTAATAAGAGTACATGCTAAGCCATTCTATCCAGAACCTACTGCAAAAGCAATGGAACTGAAATTGGATGGGCATTCCCATACACTTTTTTTTTTTTAACTTTAAGTTCAGGGATATATGTGAAGATTTGTTACCTAGATAAACTTGTGTCATGGGGGTTTGTTGTACAGATTATTTAATCGCCCAGGTATTAAGCCTAGTACCCATTAGTTATTTTTCCTTATCCTCTCCCTCTTCCCACCCTCCAAACTCCAGTAGGCCCCAATATGTATTGTTCTCCTCTATGTGTCCATGACTTCTCATCATTTAGCTCCCACTTATAAGTGAGAACATGCAGTATTTGGTTTTCTGTTCCTGTGTTAGTTTGCTAAAGATAATGGCCTCCAGTTCCATCCATGAACCTGCAAAGGACATGATCTCATTCTTGTTATGACTGTATAGTATTCCATAGTGTATATGTACCACATTTTCTTATCCAGTCTATTGTTGATGGGCATTTAGATTAACTCTATGTCTTTGATACTGTGAATAGTTGCCTCAATGAATATACACATGCATAAAGGGATGATTTATATTCCTTTGGGTATATACCTAGTAATGGGATTGCTGGGTCAAATGGTATTTCTGTCCTTAGTTCTTTGAGAAATCTCCATACTGTCTTTTACAATGGTTAAACTAATTTGTACTCCCACCAACAGTGTACAAGCATTCCTTTTATGAACTATTTTTTAAGTGTTGAAATTGATGTTATTTTACTCACACTTACCAAGTTCATGATATAAATAAGCAAAGAAAAAGTAAAAAGCACTCTTGCACTCAAAGTTGTGTATAGACCCAGATTGCCTAGGAGCTCTTTGGGGATTTCTTTTATGCAAAAGAATTTATTTTCCAGCAATATTTATGACTGGATGTTGGTCTGGTTGACAAAGTACCATATTTTAATTAGTCTTAAGTAGAATATTTACAGCATCATTTTCATGCACCTATGTGTCTATTTATCTATTTACTTACCTGCTTAGCTACCTACTCATTTATCTCTCACTATTTTCAACTATTGCCCATACCCCTACCCCTCACCAGCATATTCTAAAGTGAACTTTCATTCCCAGGAAAATTAATTAGAGCAGTAATATGAACAAAATGAAGATAGCAGCAATGGGCTGTAAAATAAGAAGACACCATAGTAACAAGTAACTATTTCACAATAATGCGCGTATAAAATTAAAGAATAACTTACATAAACCTTTATAAAAATAACTTTTTACAAAAGGGTGCAGCTGAATCCCTTAGGGGTTATGACCAAATATGCAATTTCTCAGCCTCTCCCTCATTCTCCTTAAATGGGAATATCTGTGGAAGGTTCAGCTAAGTCTGCATATTTAATAAGCTCCACACATTGACCATTGAGAATTACTACTTTATAGCTCTCTTTCTCTTTACTACCAGAAGCATGTGCACATCTGGAACTGGTTATTTCTGACCCTTACTCTCAGGTGAAACATTAACTTAATACAGACAATCTTTAATTCTAGTGGAATGGGGTTTTGTGGATTCAACAATAAATTATAATGAGTGATCTCATCTTTTGGTCTGGGCTTGTGATGTACAAATCAAGTGCATTCCCACCTTATTTACAAGTCCCAGCACTTCAGTGGGTCACCTCTTCCTCACTGGACATTTGCTTTCTCCTTGACCGCAACTTCCTTTGCTGGTAACCTGGTCATTCATTGCCTCACTCTCTTGCTAGGGTTGAGGTTCTACCTTTCTATTGCCAATCTCCTTTGTGGATAATTGAGCTAGACCTGAACAAATAGCCGGAATTGAGAACTGTGCCACCTAGCAAAAAACCTCCTAGTTGATAACAATCTGCAAATCTGAACTTCTCAGTATTCCCCACCCTGTCAGATTATCAATGACTGTTTCTGCTCACTTGTTGTATAACTCTTCCTATTCAACTTGTATCCCCAGTTGCCAATATTTACCTAGATTGTGACCACAGATCTATGTAATTGCTTGACACTGTCAGCATCTTTCAAACTGAACCTTTCGTCACCACGTGTGGCTAGGAGAGCTCTCCAGAAACTGGTCACTTCAGATGAAAAGCCAGTTCCCGGTTCTTTCAGGAGAGATAACAGGTCCTTCCAATTTATATATGTATAGGGGTGTGTGTGTGTGTGTGTGTGTGTGTGTGTGTGTGTGTGTATAATATATATATAATATATATGTAACTTTATTTCCATATGGAATATATATATATCTCACACCAAACACAAACATTATTTCCAGATGAATCATAGTTCTAAAAATAAATAAAGTTGAAACAACTCATTTAGAGGAAATCATGGGAATAGTCTTTGTTGCCTTGAAATTAAGCAAGGGTCTCTTAAGAGGGCAATAAAAGCACTAATCGTAAAAGGATATAAATAATAAGTTAAACAATATTAAAATTAAGGACCTCTTCATTAAAACATGCCATTAAGAGAGTGAAAAAGCAACCCACAAGTGGGAAATGATAACTATTGCAACATATATATTAAAAATAGACTTGTGGTTATAATACATAAATAACTCCTATAAATCAGTAAGAAAAAGACAAACAATCTGATCTTAAAAACAAGCAAAAGTATTGCACAGGCACTTCACAAAAGAATATTGCATAGCAATCATCTTTACAAATAAAAGTTTGAGTGAAATAAGCCCATCAAGAAAAAATAGACCCTTTAGGTTTTCATTGATATAAAGTTCAGAAATAGGCAAAACTTAGAAGACAGAAGAATGATTAGCTTTAGTGGGGTGAGGTGGGTAGTGAGTGGAACAGAGCTGTGCGGGGATTCTGGAGTGCTGATAATATTGTGTTTCTTGGTTTGGCTGTAATTACAAGAATGTGTTCAGTTTGTGACAGTTCATTGAACTTTATATGCAAACATAGGCATGCACACACACACACATACACACAAGCTATTTAAAATGTATTTTACTCATAAATAATTGAGCAAGAGAGAACTGATTTTTAAATGCATTAAAGGAGATACTCTGAAAACTTTTATTTTAATGATATAGTTATTGTCCTTCACAACAATAGACTATGACATTAGTGTCCCATCATTAGACATGCCCTTTTGGCACTGAAATTCAATCTAATAAATTCAGAGTTTGGAGATGAGCATTAGGGAAAGACTAATAGATACAACAGCAAATTTGCTAAATAAAACAAATGTCAACCATATCTGACTGTTGTCAATTACTGATTACTGTTAATTACTGTCAAGTACTAATTATGCAATATGCAACTTCCACATATTTGAACCCTGGGCAGGCCAAGATAGTGATAGCCTGGCATAACTGCAACCAATGGGTGATTAGATTTAATCTGCCTGATAAAAAGACTTTGCGACTGGGTCAAGCACTTTAAGAAGGAAAGACAGTAGAACAAGAAATCCCAGGAAACTGAGACAATCGCAGGTTAAAATTTCCTTTTTGCACTTGATACTCTCCCAACAAAGATTAGAGAAGTAGCCTGTCCCAGTGAGGGTCTGAGACTCCATTTGTTTCCCCAGTGTTTTCTAACGCTGTGGCTGCTGAGCAACTTGTTCTAGAGCTGATGTTTTCTCTTTAAGTGACATTTCATCATCAATGCCCTAAGATAGTCACCCTGTTTTCCCTTAATTGATAGTTGTACGCAAGAGGCGGAAAATCGCTCAGCATTTCTTGCTAGATTAGGTCAAAACTGACAGAGGAAACAGAGAGAAGATTGCATTACTTATGCCCCTTATGGCTCTCATCTGTATCTAAGAAGATTGCCATTTTATAAAATTTCTTATGCTCCCTAAATGTAATTACAATGGCGCAGGCATTTTCTTCCTATTTGCTTTTCAATTTTTTACTACCTGCCTGATCATCAGAGGGAAATTCAGAAGCAGTTCCACTAATCTTAACTTTATTTTCCTTATGTCTCTTTAATTAGATGCAATTGCACCCTAGGAACCTTTTCTTCAAATGCTTTATTTAGTTATTCCTTTTAAGTCTTTACCTTTCTTTTCATTTGATTGTTGACCAGAAGCATTGAACATGTACCTAGATGTTCAGAGTGAAGTACCTAAAATTCTGGAATATTTTTTCCGTATCACAGGGTGCCCTTTTCATAAGATTAATGTTTACAAATAGATACTGTAATATTTATTCTGTTTTAAAGTTAATTAAGAAGCATCCCACGAGCATGTTATATATTTATTTTGTGGCCTCAGGGGTCAAGGATTCTTACTTGTGGATTTCTTTTCATCAAGTATCTTAGAAAGGGGTTATACCTTAAACAAAATCATCAATTTCCCCAGGATCTATAAGACAAAATCCCAATTCTTTAATAAAAATAACCAGGTTCTCCTAAGGCAGCCTTAATCAACCATAGCTTTCCCACTTAGCCACCAACACTGTATCATCTTGTGTGGATGTTCACTCCCCTTTCCTTAAATCTTGTGATCTCAGCCTGCACTGCTCTTGATATCCCCTCTCTGCCTTTCAGAGTCCTGTTTATCATACAGCATCCAGGCCTCACATCACCTCCACCCTAAAATCATCTCCAGTCCCATTCTCCACTGCACTCTAATCAGACTTCATGGTAGGCAAGCCTGCTTGTGCTTAACTCCACTGCAGGGTGCTTAATAACTTTGCAGAACCTGTGGGATGTGGCAAAGTCTATGTCTCAGAGTAGAGGCTCAATAAATATTTGAAGTGTAAAATGAGCTGCTTTGCTCCCAACAGGATGGAGTTTGAAAGGTTAAGAGCTAAGAAAGATCATGGTTGCCTACCACACACTTATTCTACTTTTAAAAAATATTTTACTTGACATTTTCACCATTTAAGATGGCCATGTGCAGTGATAATAACTGTATTACAATTTACCATGCTGCAGACTTGTCAGACTTTGTCAGCAAATGCAGCAAATACTCCAGATTCCCTGCTATAAGTTAAATAAATGCAAAAACTTATTATCACATTTCCTATATATAACACCTGCCCAAAGACAATGTTACCCAATGGGGTGGCTATGGTCACATTCCTTTACTGTGATCTTCCTTTCTCATTATATTTGACATTTTTGAAACTGAGTTTTATTGCACTCTCTCAGCTTACAGAGTGGTCGGGGAAATTAGACTTAATAGAGATGTAAAAGCCACAGGGAGAAAACAAAAGGAAAGTGAAATGGAAGGAAACTGAAATTAAAATGCTATTTTGGTAAATGGCTGCTGTGGTGGAGACAACAAACAATTGCAATGCGAGTTAATTACTGACCTGTCAGGAAAGTGTGACGCGAAGGTTGTGGCACACATTACTGGAGCTACCAGGACCACAACTCATTTCCACAGGGGAACAGACTTGTTCTACCACAGATCAACATAAGATCTTTCCAGGGGATAGAAATGAATTTCTCGGAGAAATACTATTTATCTGTGGAGTTGTCATGAGCTCTTAGCAGACCTGGAGAAACAGCTCCTCTAATACATGTAGAGCAGGGAATGGGGTTGTGTCACCAGAGAAAGTTTGTGCATGTTTAGGCAGAGGGGACCTTCGCTCCTCGTGGTGGACCTTCGCTCCTCGTGGTGGATGTGCTAAATATACAGCTCCCTTGCCATGGAGTGAAAACTCAGGCTAACACTCATGAAATGGGAATTCCCTGGGTGTATGGCCATTTCTTGCCTCTGAGATTTTACTCACAAAACTCTCAGTGGCAACCTATGTCTTCCAGAAGCATCCTTCTTTTAGGGAAAAATATCAAGTACCTATCCAAATCTGAAACTCAAGGAAGACTATTCTCAAAGCAAAAATCCCTGAAAATTCTAAGATTGTGATAAATTTGATCTTTTTTTAATGAGAAGAAGATACAGGGCTTTTGGGAAATAGAAATATGATATTTTTAACCCTAAAATATTATATGAATCTCCAAGCATACTTTAATATTAGCCTCAGAACACAGAAGAAACATTGTTTTCTTTCTGCCTCTAACTTATAATAAAATATCCATAGTTTATTTACTCTAAGAAATATTAGCAAAGGTGAGTTACACATTTTTAAAGTAAGAAAATTGGTCAAAGACATTTTCTTCTTTGCCAGGCTACATACACTGGCATAAACTAGGTTCCATATTTGTTTTTCATTTATACATTCAACAAACATTTAAGTCTCTATTGTTTTGTCAGGAAGCAGAGGAACATTTATAAATGATTAAACAGAAAGACTTGCATGATACATACCTAACGTGGCTACACTATGATCATTTTATCTGCCAGATTTTCTTTACATTTCTTGTTACCTTTTCTTTCCATACACAATGTCCACTTGATTTGTGGGTCTATGGCGAAATCAAGGATGCTGGGGGGTGTGGGCCCTGAGTGCCATCCTAGAGTTATTCTGAACAGAATGTGACACCAGGGGATGGTGTTCAGTATACCCAAGCCTACATTTTCTCTACTCAGCAGCATAAAGATTATATCATAGTGCCTATCCAGTTTTTCCCAGCTCAAAAATTACTTAATATATTTTTACTTTTAATGCTGTTGATGTGAAAGAGATGTCAAAAATACACATTCTAACTCAAAAGGGCAGGCTGCTGAGCTTTAGTGTAGTTAACAGAATGCAACAAATAATTGGGAGAGCAGCTATGAAATTTATGATTAGATGAAATATCATGTTCACTCCTATTTGCAGTATGAGTAGGAAAATCAAGCCCAGAAGCCCAGGACACCATCGAACCACGTAGTTTGAGCAGAGCCAAAGTTCGTGTTGCTCTTATGAAGTGCATTCTCATTACTGCTTCCTGTTTTTAAACAGGATTGAAAGGAGAACTAGTGCAATATCACAAGGTATTCTTGCTCTTCTGTTGGTACACGTAAAATCAGGAAGTCTAGAGAATAGTGAAGCCAGTCTTAAGTGATTTACATTTCAATTTCTAACTCAGGGATATTTATTTGGAGAGTTTAGTAAAATCAATGGATATCTCAAACACATGCAAAATGAGCCAGTTCTTCAATATTTTCATTAGTCATTCACCAGTGCTCTGTATGCCTCCTGTAAGAACATAAAAACACAAGGCATCAAAGTTTTCTCTAACAAAATTTAATAGTAACAATAATGATGATGACATGAGTGGGTAACGTGTTCTAGGAAGAACAAGGGGAATACTGAAGAGGCACATAGATCAAGCAAAACCTAAACTTAATATGATTTGAAGTTAATAAGCCTGATATTACTAAATTACATAGAAATAAGCATAAGCAAATATTATTGATTTTACAATCTACCAAATCTAGAAAATTGAAGGTCAGTGAGGAATGAAAACATGGGTGGAACAACAGAATATAATTTAAGATTCCTGTGAATATTTTTGGAATAATAATGCAGAAAGACTCACAAAACTGGAGTTCCTCGTTCTCTTTGAGAGAACACCCTGAAATTAATACAGATATTCCTGGAAGAACAACCACTCCTAGGTTCTGGAAGCCAAGTCAAGTTGGACTCTGGGGTATGAGGGTTTCTTTTGAGTCGATGTTGAGCAGGCTTTGCAATGGAGTTTCTTCCCTAGAACCTTATTTCATAAAGGCTAAAAAATAAGACCACCATGGAAGGGATATTGCATCATACAGCTCTAGGAGGCACCATTTTCCAGAATGCAATGTTAATGTCCCATCCCCAGTCACAAATCCTACCACCTCTGAATTTATGTAAGGGCATAAATAGAGTGGACTGATCAATGCTCTTCTACTCTAAGATAGTTCTTTCATGTAGCCAGAAGAGTTTCCAGTTTGAGATTCAGTTAAATGCTTCCTTGAGAGTTAAGGGAAAGTCTGACTGATATAACATTGTGTTAGCTAGTCTAATCATACCCCTCCCATATACATCTAAGTGATTCAGAGGTAAGAAAGAATGGATGATGGAAATTTTTATAAATTTTGACACTGTAGTTAGATTAAGCCTAAGTGAATGCTGCAGTGGGTGCTCTGGCAGCTGAAATATGAAAAGGATTATAGGGTGTCTACTAGAGAAAAAACTGTTGGGATGTAGGCAGGGGGAAACTGGGGAGTTGAAAGGGAATAAAGAAAGGGCTCTAAGTGGGACCCCAAAACAACTTGCAAAATATGGCCTAGAAACAGCCCTGTCTAATTGGAATGAGAGGTTCCTAACGGGATGAATCAGAGGAAATCGTCTCTGAACCCACAGGTACAGCAGTCACAGGTCCCACAGCCACTGGCACAGCTGTCATCATCCTGTTAGATTTCCATCCTCAACTGTCCTCCTTCTGTCCGGCAGCAGGGCTCTGCTTCCCTCTCAATTCATCTCCATTCTCAATTCATCCACAAAAAAACATTGTGTGTTATGTACATCCAGGACAACACACATTCTCTTCCTCAGAGTGTCTAGAATACCAGCCCCTCTGGTACTGGTTGGGTTAGAAGGGATGGGACTCTCAGTCAATCATTCAGCCAGATGAAAGATAAGCGAGATGATCAGATATCCCCACAGAGAGGTCAAATGCTACCTTCTCTATGAAATCCATTGTTTCTTTCTTTCTTCGAACTTCCCTGGTACTTTATGTCCCTTCATGACATATGTCAATACCTACCTTATAATATCCCAGGTATCTGCACACCTTTGCATTGCCAAATCCTTTGCCAGAAATGTCCAACCTGCACTGACTTAGCTCTGATGTAATCTGATCTTCTCTTGCAGACTTCCTCTCTCTCCACCTCCCACTTCCACCTGAGTTTAATGCCATTGCTCCTCTCCCCACCTGGGCACTGCCCTATTCTCAGTTAATTATTGATTGTTTCTCTATTGCCCTCACCAAACTCTGGGGCACTTGATAAAGATTATCTCTAGTCTCTAAAATGGTGCCTGCCACTTAGGAGAATCTCAGTAAAGGTCGAAGGGGTATATGTATGTTTTCTGTTGATAGAAATCTTTAAGACGAGGTTTTGTGTCATTTTTCTCTATCTTCCCAGAGCAATATAGTGGTCTGCAAAATTAGAAATCCCCAAATATTTAACAATAGAAGAACAATTATGAAATAGCATCAAGTCAATGACCTTGCAGAGCAAAGTACGTGGGAAGCAGAATAAAGAGAACAAACTTAGTGGAGGGGGTGTCAACAAAATGTAACAACAGGGTGAGATGGAAAAGGAAGTGAGGGCTGGAGGAGAGACAGTGAGCAAATTGAGAGAAATAACATTAACATTGTGGTAGAGAGAGAGATCCGCCTGATGGAAAGATCTAAGAAAGCAAAATCTTGAAAGTATTTTCTGCAGCTTGTCCCCATGAAAACAGAGGTGGGGAAGCCAGATAAAAGGCTTTGTAATGAATCCAGCCTTTTGACAGTAGCATATCACTAGGCAAATTATGGTTTGATTGTGAAATCAATATAGGAATGCAAATTTTGATTTGACACTGAAATTTGTCCAGCTTCTGAGGAAGCAACATGTCCTATAAATGGTGTACGGTTGGGCTATGTAAACACCGTGGCTAGATGCTCTTGGCCAGAAGAGAGTGGCTTCAGCCTGAGTGATTTCATCCACCAATATTACAAACACACTGTCCTTAGAGTTTGAATCTATTGAATAATGTGGGAAATCAACCCTTGAAGGCACTCAGAGGAGAAAATATTTTTCTAGAAAAATATATGATTTTCTTCTTAATACATACTTCAAATTTTTATTTCATACTTATTGAAAAAAACTCTTGCATTCTCAATTAGATAATTTTGAATAATACATTACTCATGTAAGCATATAAAAAGGAAAATAAGAGCAAAATAAATTGGCTAAGCAATTGCTAAAACAACTTTTCTATAAACATCTTCGTGATTTATTACTGAAGAATCATAAAGTGCAAGTGTTTAAAGTATACAATTTGTTCATTTTTAACATGTGTAAATGCCTATGAAACCAACACCACAATCAAGGTAACAGACATACCCATCATTGCCAAAACTTTGCTCAATGTGATCCATACTTGCCTCTATCCTTTCCCTAAGGAATTACTGATCAGCTTTCTGTTAGCATACCTTAGTTGGCATTTTTGAGAATATTATATAAATGAAATTATATAATAAATCTTCTTCTTCTTCTTCTTCTTCTTCTTCTTCTTCTTCTTCTTCTTCTTCTTCTTCTTCTTCTTCTTCCTCCTCCTCCTCCTCCTCCTCCTCCTCTTCCTCCTCCTCCTCCTCCTCCTCCTCCTATTCCTCTTCTTTTTTTTTCGGTTTCTTTCACTCAGCGGAATAGATTTGCAATTCATCTATGTGGTTTTATGCATCAATAGTCTGTTCCTTTTTATGGTTTATTGTTTTCATTGCATAAATTAAAATGTGTCTATCTGTTCACCTGTTGATAGACATATGGGTCTTCTTTTGGGAATAAAATACCTGCTCCTCCACCTCTTTCTGCCTGCCTGTTTTACTGGAAAAATTATGAGTCTCTCTGATCCTCATTTTTTTCTTATAAAAATATGGGTTTAATGGCTATTTTATAGGAGTTTTTTGAGAATCAACCATTGAGCACATTGCTTAGCACATAGTAGATACTAAGTATTAGCTTCTTTTCTAATTTGTCATTTAATTGCCTTACTGGTATTTATTGTAAAGTAACAATTTTCCTCCTATCAAAATATTTCCTTTTCTGTTCGTCTTAGTGTCTGCCTGCTTGGCCATTAGAATGAATGATTCTAGCCTCATTGTCCAACAAACATTGGGGTGGCTATACACTTGCCTCCTTAAAACATGATTCTTCTTTTGGATTATATTCGCTCCCATAACTGACTAGTCACAGTTTTGTTCACTGTACACAGTGCTCGGAGCCCGCTATAGGATGTCTATTAGGTTAGACTTGGAGACAAGAATCAGACAAGAAGAGGGCTGTTTCCAGAAAATGAGAAGATGTGTTTGTATTGCAACCATTCTGTTTGTAATGAGGTGCTGTGTTCACTTGAGGAACTTTTGGGGAGGGACATTTGAAGAGGATTATGGATGAGGGGCTCAGCTAAAGCTCTACCAGTCCACCCTCTGGTGCTGCCACAGTTTAGTTCTCTTTGTTTTCTTCCTCCAAATTCTATTTTTTCTCATTGCTGCTCCTTTAAAGTGTGTCCATACTAAATTTTCTTGCCTAAATCAGACTCCTTCTATTAAAATAAATGGTGCTGATTTTTTTCTTCATATTCTTTATAAATACGATGTCCAACTAAGCTAGCAAATCTAGTTCAGTTGGCAGATGGCAGTGGATGAAGGAATTTTAATTTCCCCCTGTGAGTATTGTGAGTGGGGGTAGGGGCTCTGGGGTCTGTTTTGCTCTGACACCAATTTTACTCACTTAAATTTGTCTTTATTCATAGAGATTTTTGTTCACCAAGAATGGGTGCTGATGGTAGCATGTAGGGGTAAAGTGGGTAATAGACCAGTGAAGTTGTGGATTAAAAAGCATATATCCTCAAGACAGTTGGTGGGCAACACCATTTCTATATAAGGAAAACTGTATCTCATTACTGTTAGGAGTTTGTTAATGGAATTAAGAAACACAGTCTATCGTTGTGCTACCTATAAACTTCTGAAGTCCTCTGTTATGTATAGTGCTATCCACATGTAAAGGTCCCAACTGACAAAATAACTTACAAAGGAACTACTTTTTTCTTCACTAGTCAGAGAGGTGAAGACTCTTGTTTATCAACTTTTAATATCCTAATGATTACTAGGGACACTCCATCAAGAGTTTTCATGGAAAATTGTATGTTTAGAATAACATAATACATTTTATATTTTATCAGGATAGCACTATAATATGCAGAAATCTACAAATTCTGATACTTCCGTGGAAACACTGAATTCTACCCGCCAAGGCACAGGAGCTGTGCAAATGAGAATCAAAAATGCCAACAGCCACCATGACAGGCTCAGCCAAAGTAAATCCATGATCCTCACCGATGTCGGGAAGGTCACTGAACCTGTAAGTCAAATACCCCAAATATCCCAAGTTCCTTGTCATACAGAATTTTGTAAAAGGAAAAAAAAAAGCTAATTAGTCTTGTTTTATTTGTTTTCCTAATGTGCATGAGAAAACTGTTTTTGTAATGCATTTTATCTTGCATACTTACAGTCATGATAATATCCCCAGTTGCAAGAGAAGAGCTGGGCTTAATCCAGAGTGATAAAGTGGATTTGGAGCTAGACTGAAGAGCACCTTTGACTCATTTTAAGGGCCTCTACTATCATGCTTCAGTGTCATAAAAATAATGAGGTTATGCTAGCATGTGGTGTTTGTACTTCCAAATACAGTACATCACTTTGAAAAGCCAGAGGCTAAAATTAGCTAAGAATGAATTGAGAAAAAAAAAAATCTCAAAAAAAAAAATGTGAAAATCTCTTCCTTAAAATCTCCCAATAATATACGATACTGGAAATTATGATTTGATTTGGAGTGGGCTTAAAGGATTGAAATGCTGTGGCTATTTAAGGTTTGGAGAGGAAGCCATTTTGTCTCGATAATGTGTCATTAGGAAGATTTGAAATAAAATAGTTAGAGATGAACTCTACTGCCAATTGTGTCGCTGGCCCTGCACGCATCCTGAGCCACTAAACCCACTGATTGCGATGAGTCTCCTCTGGTTAATTTTCTTCCATAATGGTGGTAACTTGCAGCTGAGGCCATAGGATGTTACAAAATTATTTATGCAATGTTAGCCACTCTTTTGGACCCCAGATCTATTTTGTTTCTCACAGTGAGAGCAAGAGGGAGGAGAAATAGGTTAGCTGGGGACAGGCTGAGTTCCAGTCACCCTGCAGAAACATGTGAGCTATTAATTGAGTGTTCTGTTAATATCATAGGGGCCTATGAAATATTCAGCTTCCTAACTGAGTTATTAAATGAGATAAACTTGCTGAGTAGCATGTTACCAATTGTATTTATTCCCCATTTTTCACTCAAAAAATTAACCCACAGCAATCTCAGGAACATGAGAAATATGTGATTTTAATCATTCTTTCCTCAGGTGTTGTAGACAAATTTAGCATGAGGAAGCCAGTGATTATATTTGGAGAGTGAGAACTACATCCTTAGATAAAGTAACTAATGAGATATGCATTTTTCTTTATTTACTTTCTCATTTAAAAGTATTGTCTCCTGGGAGGTACAACACTGCCAGCCTGACTTTGCTTTTAAACCAGCTAAAATGTTCATCAACTATGAACTTGAGACAGTGGTTAGAGTAAATTATTGGAATCTCTATAATGTATTATCAGTAAGAACTGTACCTTTGAAAAAGTTTAAAAGTTAAGTATATTTAATGATGCCTAACATATTTTATTGGCTGTGTTTAACAAAAGGCACTATGCCGCAGTTGTTTTTGACAAGCATGAAAACATCACAGCATGAGACTGCAAAAGGAATTATGGAGAGAAATTACAAGTGATCCATCTCTCAATGAATTATCCACCTCAATAGCCTGCAGAACTCAGCTACCAATTAACACCTACTTTATTACATGTTGGGATGTACTTAATAACTTTCATGTGTTTATGCACTATTACCTTGACTGATGCCTCTTGTACAATTAGGCATAATTGGCATATCAATATGCAAAAGTTAAAAGGATTAACCCTCTTAAAACTAATGAGCATTTCTGTATCCAGCTGCTAAATGAGACAAAATTAGCATTTTTCACTTTTGGGCAGGATTTTATCATGCAGTTTCTCATTGTTGATATTACCTTGTTACATAACTTTAGTTTGGGGGGTTGTATGCTGGACTGCTAGAGAATAAGAGTTTTCCAAAGTTAAATTAGCTATAATTATCCCAGCTTTTGTTTCCGCATTCTTAGCCTGGGCAATATGTATTCCTCGATAAGGAACAAAAATAAAAGTTACTTTTGGTTATGTGTGCTCAGTGCATAATTATATAAAAGGGGTATTTTAGTGAGGATGTGTCATTTCACCGAGAAAACTTGGCTCAGAGATACTGTATTGAAAGCTTGCCATGGCACTAATTTTCTTTCTGTCTCAGTTCTTTTCATCTCTTTTTTCCATGCACAATTTTCTGACTAGATACTGACAGAATGTAAAGTATTTTGGCATATTTATTCAAACAAGCCTGTTAAAGTTATCTGCTCAAGCTAAACTAAGAACTTGATTTTTCAGAAGTTGGGTGGTGGGGTGAGGTCAAGGGGGAGATTTTGAATTTAGAGGTGGGAAGAGATGGGTACTAAAAATGTGGGCACATATTCAAATGCAGTAGGGTTTGTTGTAACAGAGGCACATACATGTAGTCTGTACAGAAAAAAATCAAAAGTATTTAGAGATCATACATATGTCATGCATCCTACTTAATATATATGGCATATGCATACTACTTGTTCACTAGTATAACAATTATGCAAATCCAGTATGACTTACTGGACTATATAATAACACAAGGATCTGATATTACATTCATCATGACTTAATTCATTACAAAAATGATAAAATATTCTAGAGTCAAACCAATTCTGTAATTTTCTCACAAATTCATAAATTCCTCTCGTAAATTTTGTTCAATTAAAATGTTTTTAATATGACTCTTAACTTAGAACACAATACAAAATTCTCCTGTATATGTCGTAAAAGCTTTGATTCTTAGTTATCTTAAATGAGGAATGCTATGAAATGCCAATATAAACATTTATCCAACCCTCAGCTATGCAAACGTAGGTGAATTTACTTGCTAAGTTAGAAATTTTGATAACCTAAATGTTGCAGGAAAGCATCTCAGTAAAACAGATATGAATCCTCCATTAGTATTTTATTGGTGATGTGCATCGTTTTCTTTAGACATCAAATAATCATTCTAAAATTTGGTTAATAAAATCAATGCCTTTTCAAAATTCAAAGAAGTTACTTTTTGACGTGGGAAATGTTGGAGAGGTGGGCAGTTTCGAGAGGGGGAAGTGGTTTGCAAGAAAATCGCCCATCTGTAAGAGAGATCTGGAGAGCTCCCTTTGGTGGGGAAAGAACAGTCTTTGGTCTCAGTGATTTGTTGTCCCGTCCTGAGCACCAGAGTGAGACCTCTTAAAGGTAGACAGCTTATTTACCAGAATGTGCTAAACAGAAAATCAGACAGCTGAGGGCCAATAGATGGGGGCAAGTGAACTGTGCCTGTTTAAGGGCTAAAAAGACCAATGTGCATTGCAGCAAATAGCTATTGCAAAAGGTTTAATGTGGCTTTGATGTTATTTATAAGAGAGATGCTCCTGCCTAATACACAGTTTAGAATAGATATTAATGAGGAGTTTAAATAGCCCGAATCAGGAAACTGCAGACATATGATTTGCAGGCAAGAGTAGTTTCGGCATTTAATGCTGGTGTCTTAAGCAACAACGTGTATGAATATTCACCGTTTCCATCTTGTAAACGCCACAGAACGGCATTACTTCATTCATGGCCATCATGAACAGGAAAATATTTTTTATTGGTGTTCAGATAAAGACTTAGGTGGAGCCATTTTTAAACATTAACATACAAGATTCCTTTTACTTCCATTAACAGATTGTTTGTTCAGTTTTTAAATATATTATCAGAAAAAAGAGGAAACAATTTTCTTTTGTTTCTTACTTCTGTGATTATAGGATACTTGCCAAAGTTGTGGCTAGCCAAAAAGGCAGACATAAAAATTGCTACTAAAAATATAAACCTTCTGTTTAGTAGAGTTTTTAAGAAATATTATGAGATTGTAGGGCTTGTCCATGTTTACTTCAAATCAAGCTTATAGTTAGGTTTGAGGCTTTGTTTGTATAAATTGTCCTGAAGTGGATCCTGATATTTAATTAAAATGACACTAAATCACATTGAATTGATAAGACTTGGCATCTCAAACAAAGGTAATTGCCCGTATTGGTTTTGTGCAAAAATAGCGCTGCTTGGAAAATGTGCAGCCAACACAGACTGTCAACTCCATTTATAGATCAATATGTGAAAACCATTGATCAGGCAGGCATGTGTAACAGTAACACTTTGCATTTATTTGTTGTTTTTATACCACATTAAGGCTTACAGGATTATAGGATTCCTAAATATTTTGACTTCCTCATAAATATATGATCTGTTGCATGTTAATTAAATGAGAGTCTGCAGCCATTTCTAAAATTGTTTTTAGTTTGATGATTTCCTTTTATTGCTGTGGATCGTATGATCTGAAAATGGATTAGTTTCCTTCTGCATAAAGATTATTAAAGCTTATTTTAATGTGTCCTATTTAGTGTAAGATGTGTCTGTATTTTTGCTTTGAAAAACATAGATACAGACAATTATTTTCTCGTAGCGAGTGGCTGATCTTTTTTCATTAACTGGGCATTCTCAGCGCTCAGGGTAGAATTATTTCCTGACATATTTTGCACACCCTGTAGATAACGGGTCTTCTTGACTTCCCTGATAGAATTTGTTTTCTTTCTTTTCCTTTTATCTAGCTCTGTAGTACAGGCATCTGACCAAACATTATGTAGAAAATAAACTGATCATCTCAATTAAATTCTAGACACACACAAATATAATTTAAATTCTATTTTTCTGATTCAAGAACAAGCCTTATGAACTGTTCTTATACACTGCATTCTTCAGTTAAATCTCTCTTATCTCATCAATGTAAGGACAGTGTTTTGTTCCTAATCTTTATTGGACTATTGTGGATGACATTTGTAAGCCATTTTGGTTTATAAGGAAAAGCTGGAGGACAGTGGAGTGAGACTCTCCAAAGATCCAGGCCTCTGATATGACTACACAATAATGTGTCTTCCACTGCAATTTTCTTTACCACTGGGAGGGCAATTTTGTTGAGATTTTTTAATATTTTCTATATACATTAGGAGTGCTGCTTTCAAGACAGTGCTTTCTATACAATATTAAAATAATAAAAGAAACAAGATTTTAAAAACAGCAACAAACAAATAAGCATGAAATTCGAAGGTTTCCTAAGGTATTTTGCAGACATGCTGTAGAACAGATGAAAAAGTTTGTTAGCTAGAATTTTGACTTTTACACAATATGCCCCTGGGAGAAGAAGATTCAAAAACCACTGGAGATTTCTTTCCTTGTCCATGCCACCCTTTGCCATCTCATGCTGTGAAAATCTTTAACTCTATTTACCAAGCACAAATTGGACTTGCCAAAAGGTTCAGAAAGTTTATGACGACAGTGAAGAGTCCATACTTCAAAGAAAGAGCTAGGGCTCTCACAACCACATATGTGGCTGCACCGTTTCCATCTTAACCTGAGCATAGCTAAATTTGTTTATAATCTCCTACTGATAGAACATGGTGCTGAATGTACATGAGATACATTTTTTTAAAAGTTAGTCCTCTGATTACTAATTTGAATCCAAAACTCTAACCTTGTTAGCATCTGGACTTATTTCCATAATAACAACCCCTTCAGAACCTACAAAGTAATGAATAATTGACAACAAATGAAATGTTTTGATAGTTGTCGGCACAAAGCATGTTTAATGTTTTGTGTTGCTTCCTAGCTAATTATGTAGATGACACATTTGTCAGACCTTGACTGCCATTAGAAACGTGTTTCCAGAGGGGAGAAAAACAGGCTATTCATAGAGTAATTAGCTAGAATGCTCAATGACCTGTGAGAGATTCAAATCGCTGCCAGTTCAGACATTGTTTTGTTACAGAGCAGAGGGGTAATTAAAATTCCAAATTACAGTCCTATGATGGAGCATTTGTTTGTTGACAGTATACTCTTACTCTAGTTTGTTAATTTTTTTTTAAATTGCTTCTAATCCATTTTATAGCTTTAGGAGTTCCGTCTTTGAATTTGCTGACAACTAATATTATGGTAAATTGTACTTCAGCTGAGTACTGCGTGCCTCACAATTTCAAGGGACCACAAGGTTGGTGGGATAAAATAGCTCCTTCTCAAGACTGACAGATCAGGTGCTGTCAGCGAGAATGCCTCTAACATGGAACATCTTGTCAAATACTGCTTCCAATTCTATATGAGGGGGAAATGAACTAGTGGAAAATACAAAGGTAGAGAGGAAAGCAACAATGAACAACTAGAACGGAGCAAGAAGCTGTTCTCCCAATAAGAAATGATTGATTAAGTGTTCTGTTACCGAGTAGGAGAGAAGAGTGAGAGCTGAGGATGATTTGGGAAATGGTGTTGAGATTGTGGTGCTGAGTTCAAGGCAGAAGATGCGGCCGTCTGTAGGAGGGCTCACCTAGATCACCCAAAGGATGGCATGTTTCACAGTAACACCTTTCATCTCAGGTCAATAACAAACCATGGAATGACAGATATCATTCATGAGATGTTTCAAGGAAATATTGGGATAGTTTACAAATCTAGAGGGCTAAAATAGTCTAAAAAATTCAGTTCCAGTGGAACATGTATTTAGGTTGCTGAAAGTGAGAATATAGTTTTATTAAAAAGATCTGACAGAAGTCACACGGTGTTTGATGCAGGCGAACTGACAGAGGCATCCAGTGAGCGCTGATTATCCCGAAGTCACTGTCAGCTAGGATTGATTTTCACTTTCTCCGTTTATGTAACGGTTCCTGTAATACAGCTGACCCCGAATCACGTTACCTTGTCATTTCTCTGCATGGATCAAGAAGAGATGAGCTGAAAATAGCTAGACACTGACCTTGAACTTACCAGAAAAGTGAGAAGTGACAGTGGGGTTTTTCTGTAGTTCATGTACAGAGACGAAGGCACACTGTTCCTCTGTCGAGTTCACTGCAGCAGCACAAGGGGGCAGAGCAGTACTAGAGATTACAGGTAACACAGCTTCTGCAACAGCATGGAAAGACTCTGAAATACGGAGTTAGAGCCAGAGGTCTCATTTTTACATCTTAGTTTAGACATAAAGGAGAATTACTGATGAATCAAAATCTCAGGTCCCCTGATGTTCATAATCAGTAATCTAAAAGTGTACCTTCTAATTAAAAAAGGTTACCTAATACGCTGTGTGCCAGCAACTATGCTTTTCCACTAAATTTTTGCAGCATCTCTTATTTAATTCTTATAATACTCTTCACTCTTAAAATAACTTTGGAACCATAGTCAATATTATTAAGAGAGGTTTAATTTATGGCAAACTCCCAAGGTGATATGTGTCACTTTACATACAATTGTATCAGCAGATGGGAATATTCTTTACATATTTACCAGATGTTAACACCCAAAAATTAAAACTGGAGAGTGTTTAATGGCAGTGTGCACTCACGAACAGGTAAAAGGCAAGCTAGAAAATGGTGTTTACCATTTAATTTACATTTATTTATGCCTGTATGTCTTCCCATTTTAATATCTGCCTCAATTTTCAAAAATGTATTTTAATAGATCATCATTATAACCTTGATTAACCTAAAACACAGTATGTCAAATATTATCCTTTGCTTGCTAGCACTTAGTTAAGCTAAATCATTGCTGTACTGATGCTGAATGTTTCTGATAAATGGCACTTTAAAATCTTGGCAAGTGAAGCAGAGAACTGAAGCAGGTTGAGAAACAGAACAGCAAACACTGACTCAATTATCCCCCAGGTTGTAAGTGCCTTATGTAATGGCACGGTAGCATCTTTGCTTGTGTGATGGCACAATAACATTTTTGCAGGCCTCCATAATAACTAGACTCTTCCTTGTATACAGTAGATTCTATGTATGTGTACAGGTAGTATATGTATATATACACACACATTTCTTTATTTATATAGATATATAGAATATATACATATCTATATACAGATATATAGAAATATATGGAGAGATGTATTTGTATATAATTTATATTTGGACCTATTTTTATGTTCCAGGAGAAAATAATAACATATATATTTACAAGCTGAAATATCAAGATTGCCTCAAGGTTCTTCTTCTGTAAATATAACTCAGGACAAGCTGACAATAAGATCAGAGAAACAAGTAGACTTCCAATATGTTTCAAGGACAGAATAAATAAGAGATCATTCTATTGCCAAGAATGTGGCAGAAAATATTCAGAATATCTGTGTCATCACAGAAATCTATAGTACCTAGTTTTTGCCCTTTGGCAGAAGAAAAGCACAAGTCCTCTGACTTAGAAAGATTTGCTATTTGGAGGAGGCGATATAAGTGGGGGCGGCGGTGTGTTTATAGCTATAAAATTTGTGTGTCTAAAAATGACACCTTCGAAGGCAAGCCTGAGGAACAGATGCATTCCTTGAGAATCACACAATTACTTTGCCTTTCTGCTCCTCAGAGAGTGCAGGAGACCTCTTGCATGGCCTCTCCTAGGTGGAAGGAAACCCATCCCTAAACGGTTGATTAGCCTCTGCTTCGGAGGTCAAGGCAGACATAAAGGTGTTGTCTGCTAATACACTTCCCCAGAGTTTTATTTTTTGTTTCATTCTTTTTCTTTCCACTGCCTTCAGTGTGCAAGGCTTTTAATAAGGGACTTCAGTCCCTGATGTGTTCAGATTCGGTTTATTGTTACCATCTGTTTAATTATCCTCTCAGGTTTGTGTTAGGAAGCATTAAAGTATTTTATCCAGCCTTTGAATCCCCATGTTCCTAAAGAGATGTGGGTAAAGTACGTGTCAGTTTTCAAAGAGCATATTAAAAACTGATAAGCAGAACCATCTCCAAACAATAACATGTAAGGCAAATACATTTTTTTTACATTAATGCATGTTACAACTAATTAGCAAATGTACAGCAATGTGGCAATCTCACGGAAATGATGCCATCTTCTCTATATGAAATCTCATATGCTTCTCCTTTGAGGTGATGGATTTTTATGATTCCTATTCACTTCCAATGCACTGACAATAGGTTTATTGGGGGAAGAGATATGGAATTTGATTTGCAATAGGACATATAGTTGTCATATGTCAAGCAGATTTATGGATGTGCTGAAGTTAAAGATAAATCACATACCCAGAGAAAAAGGACAGAATGTTTGGGGAAAAATGAAAAAACCCAGGGGAAATTCAGTTACTTGATTTTTTTCTCCTCTTCCTCTTGAATTTCCTCCTCATTATTATTATTAGATTTCATGTCATCATTATTATTACTACATTGCATGCTTTTTTTTTTCTGGAGAAAAAGCAGCATGTTGCTTCCAGTAAGCACTATAGTCACTGTTATATCTGGTGCAGTTTTCCATGTGCAAAAACCATTGATAACAAAAATTACATGGGCTGACACAGACGTGTTATCAGTTTATGTCCAAATTATTTTATATATCACTATTTTAGTGAAATTTTTGGAAATTATAAAACAAAATTAAGTATAAATGTGTAAGTATCAAAATGTTTTAGATGTCAGAAACCCTGAAAATCAAACGGAAATAAATCATGCTTTTACTTCCTAAATCAAGGAAGCCAAATGATTAATCATTATTCTTTTTTATGTATCCCTTACGAGGTGATTTCAATAAACTTTTTTTCTGAGATTCCAAGATGTTATTAGATTTAAAATGTATTTGAAAGTGTTGAGAAATGGTAGTTTTGTTTTGTGTAAGTACCTTTCCACAGTACCATAAACATAAATGACCAAAGTACTGATCTCTTTTTATTCCTTTGTGAAGAAACCAGTGCTGTTCTTGCCTTATGCTCTTACATTATCTCTGTGAAGGAAGAATAGTGATGACACCAACTTTCCTCCACTACTTTTGGACACTAAACCTGCTTTCTTTCCCACAGGGTAAAATAAAGCTGCTGTCTTCATATTTCCAATGAGAAGGGACATGTGTCTCCTTGCATTGAATTGTCTTAGATCATATCATGTAGCACAAAGTGACCCAATATAGGAAGACAGGAAAACAAAGTGACAGTTTTGTTTGCTCTAATGTAAACGCCAACATCAAAACATGGGGCAAATCCTAGAGGCCCACTGCCAGAACACACAAATTAAATAGCAAGAGCTGATATTCTGTACTTAAAAAAATGTATTCAAGGGATATTCTGTAATCAGCAGTGAAAGGTTAATGAACAAATAAGCTTAGCTCAGGTTAGACAAACTGAGTGTAACTACCACTGTTTTTAAAGCCATGAGAAAGTGAATCTGGCTGATACTTGATAATACATCACACACTGTGGTCTTACCTATTGATTACAGGCTGACAATGGGTAACCTTTCATGGCAACTTCCTCTTTTACCATGAATTATTGACAGTATTAATGCCAATAACACATCATCAAATAGGAAAGAAATTTACATTCCTGGATGTACTATCCTTAACCTCCATGCCTTTAACGTCAAGAAAGAAAAGAAAAGAAGAAAGAAAGAAAGAGAGAAAGAAAGAAAGAAAGAAAGAAAGAAAGAAAGAAAGAAAGAAGGAAGGAAGGAAAAAAAGAAAGAAAACAAAGGAAGAAAAAGAAAGAAAGAAAGAAAGAAAAAAAATATCTTCTTTCTTGTCTTGAAAATGCTAATGAATTACCTTTGACTTTTAGACAGGTTATTCATGTGACATCCCGATTATTCTCATCCACAACACAATCTGGGTAACACAGCCCTACATTTAAGGGAATCTTGCTGTTGTTATTTTCACCCTAGTGTCCTCTAATAGTTTATAGATCCTAGGAAATTTTACTCTAGTGGTGTGTCCTAAGGTCTCTGCATTAATAATTCCTGCTCGTTGAGTGGTCACCATCTCAATCCTGCCCCTGTGTGTGTCCCTCTAAGAGTCCCCAAAGTGGGAAATAGGAGAACACGTTTCATCTATTCATTTCATCTATTTATTTATTTATTTGTACATTTTTATTGGCACTAACAGTATGTCAGAGACTCCTTTGAAGGCTGGGGACATAAACCAAAAAGTTTCTCTGTCCTCTAGGAGGTTACATTCAAGTGAGGTAGAATCTTTACCTGGAATAGCCCAGACTCTGCTGTTAGCTACCTAGACATCCTCATTGCCACTGCCACCACCACCTCTTCAAACTAGTATTAGTGTCAAGTACGTTGCATTTTACCACAAATACTTTACACTATGCTTAAAAATGGCCTGTAAAAAAGAGACGTTCACCTCCTGTAGGATGAATTTCTGTGTGTTGTATATCTCAAATGACAAGCTTTGATTTTTTAAAACTTCAAATTATAAGAATTCCACCTGATTTTAACCTACTTTAAACTCCCTTGCGCACTTTGACCTATTTCCTATGTCTTGTGTTTGGTGTACCCAAGCTATTGAAGTACTTTCTTTGGTAACAAGTCAAGCTGCTAGTATTCTTATCTGGTTAGATTTATAATGCCTCTTTTATTCATCATTCTTTCTTTTTCCTTCTTCCTTAGTCTTTTTTGAATTTATGATAAACTTTTCACTGATGTTGAAATAATAATTTTTATGAATACGAATGAAAGTGTTAATATATTTGATGTCTATAACTATTTTTGTTTCAACACGAAAACTGAACACAGACATAATTTAAACTTCTACAGAGCATTCAAAATTTTCAAGTTCTTGACTTAAAAATTTTACTTTGATCTTTGCTACTAGGGTCTGACTGAGCATTGTCCTTCAAGTAGCCATAATTTATGGGGTTGATTGTGGTTTGTACATGATCTAATTATAACTTGCCAAAGCAGTTTTTATCATTAGTGTTATTCTTATCTATTCTTTATTCTTATCATGCCATTGTAGCCTTTAAAGTACTTGCTGGCCATTTTACTAACGTGCACCCCATCAAAGCAAAGGTAATTACATTAACCAGGAGACAAAATAGGCTCTACTGAGACCTCACAATTCCTTATTTTTCTTACATATGGATAATGGGACAGCAGTCTTGCTATGAGAATGGCCCAGGAAACCCAGATTGGATTCAGTATGCATTTAAGACCATGGTTTCTCACTTTTTGACTGTTAACCTGAGCTTGCCACCACTCATGCTGCCCTTTCTAACTCTGAGCCCCCTATCTCCCATCTGACTGCTTTGATGAAACCTTGTTCCCCAAGGTCACCAACATGTACCTAGAACCCTGGTTGCTTTTTTTCACCTATGCTTCAGAGGCCTGTTTCAGACTTTTCCTCATCAAAAACAATGACAACTTCATGTTTAGTATTCACACTCTAGGGTGAAAATGATGGGTCTAAACAGGGGTTACCATCAAGTGGTGGCTCCACCCAGGCAATATGACCAGAGGTACTTTTTATTTGGTTGGAATGGTGTTTTTAATAGTTTGAATTTGAAAGCCTTTCATTAGAGTTGTGGTGTTTTCCTGCAGGTTGCATTACCTGCTTGGCCCTAAGGACATTTGACTTGGTATTCTTAAAGCTGTTCTATTGACTGGCTGTTCACAGATGAGGACATAATGTGGTAAGTCAGAAAATAACAACTGTTGGTCATAAATTTGAAAACTTAGAAGTTGACAGCCATAAAGCATAAACTTAGAAGTGTAGTCTTTATCACATTTCACTGGTAGTGAAAGTAGCTTATATTACATAGCTAAACAGGAATTTTGTTATTCAGATTTTCTCATTTGGACTTAATTTCAATTATTTATGTATTTATTATTTTAGAGACAGGTTCTGGCTGTGTTGCTTGGGCTGGAGGGTAGTGGTGCAGTGGCATGTTTGTAGCTCACTGCAGCCTTGAACTCCTGGGTGCAAGTGCAAGCAATCCTCCTGTTTCAGCCTCCCCAGTAGCTAGGACTACAGGTGCACACCATCAATCCTGGCTGTTTTTCAAGTTTTTTTGTAGAAACGGGGTCTTGCTGTGTTGCTCAGGGTAGTCTAGAACTCCCAGCCTCAAGCAATCCTCCCACCTTGGCCTTCCAAAGTGCTGGGATTACAGGCCTCAGCCACCATGACTGGTCCTAATTTCAATTTTAGTCTCTTAAATTATTATAAATTAAGAAACATCTTGCTGCCTTTCAAGTAACACTAAAAAGTAACCATGGTTTTCTGTGGAAAAGGTGTTCTCTTGTCATCAAGTTTTAAATACTCTGTTTATTCTGGGTTATCTAAGATTTAACTTTAATCATTCTGAAAACTTGAAGAGACGCTACTTTGTATTTAAGTGAAGCCGTGCACTTGTAAATCTTATCATAAAGAATCACACAAGGCCCTTACAATATTATACAAAATTTAAATCAACTTCGATTTAACTAGTCATCTAATTATCATCATTTACTTTACATTCTCACTAATTAATTTGGAGACTTTTAAACTTTGTTAGAATTTTTATTTCCTTTTCCATTGACATGTAACATCCATTAAGAAATGAAACAACATAAAATGAACTCTACAAACAGTCTCCACTCACTTCTTCATAGCCAAAATGTCTTTTTTGGGAGCATCTCTGCTTTACCAAATAGAAGCCTTAATGGATAGAGAAGCAGGTTCACATGAGGAAGATAATGCTACATGGCCAAGGGCCTCTTTAGAATTTCTCGACTTGCAACTGGCATGTTGAATTCCACCTAAAGATGTATTTTATTTTGCCTAGACAGTGCTTTCTCCTCTTTGCTTTCTAATTGAGCTGACATATTGACATTCTGAGATTTCACATGAAAATTTGTATTTGTGACATGTCTCAAAAAATCAGAAATTCTGGCATCTGGGGCTGGTTCCCCAAGAAGCAGGCAATAACTAGCTGAAGCTAAGTATCTCTTGCCTCCTCTAGATGGGGCAAATTCTCCCTAGTTCAAAACAGTCCAGCCAGGCCCCCTTCATGGGGTGTTTTTACCTATCTGGCATTTGAGTTGGTGATGCTGGCTTTAGCATATCTATTCCAACTTTATTTGTATGTCCCCTGAGGACCATAAGAAACTGAGTTGTCATGCAGATAACTGCAAAACTCCTGTCTCCTTTCAGTATAACTTTTCCGAGTTGCCTCCTAGGTAGGAAGAAGCTTTTGAAATAGGAGAAAATAGTTATTTCATGTATTCAGGTGGTTATTTGCATAAATGAAACTTTGGAACACATTATCCTTTGCTGATTCCCAAAGACACTAATGCCCCTGGGACACACCCAGGGCACTGATTTGAATTGCCAATGACAAATCAAAGTGTCAGTCATGGGTAGATATGGAAAGCATTTGTGGGCCCTCCAGGTTCAATCAGAACTGTCAGTGGCCCTCCAGGTTCAATCAGAACTGAAGTGGGCCCTCCAGGTTCAATCAGAACTATCAGTGGCCAGTGTCGTAGAGGTAGTAATGCTTTTGTTTGTTAGTTATGAGCATGATACAGGTTCAATAATCTGACCAGTAACATTGCACTCTAGCCAGGATTAGAAATATTTTTAGGAAGTCAAAGCCAGATGTAAATTATCCCCTCAAGTAAATCTTCATGATGCAGATTCTATAAAAATTGTAGAAAATTGCTATTATCATTATGCCACCTGTTTGTATAAAGTCCTTTTGTCAGGCCTGGCTCTGTACCTTCGAGCTGCTCTGTGTGCCTCACTCTGCCATTTGACCATCACTTTTCAGCAAATGAGCTTCCAACACCCACCTACATTCTGAACCATTATATTTTAAACCACCCTGAACTCTTATTCAACCTGTTCTTGATTGATTGCAGCTTCTGATTCTTAGGGAAAATCACCTCTGCGTTTTATTATTCTTCCTGTAACAATGTCTGCTGACTTCCATCCTCAGCTACAATTCACAGTGAGCTCTTACATTACAATAATACAAATGTTTACCATGTGGGGACATCTATATGTACTCGGCATTATGCTAAGTGCTATAACTTGATGAGAGACTACTTTGTATTTAAGTGAAGCAGTGCACCTGTAAAGAAGATTTGGTTAATCCCACACCACTGCCACCAACAAATACATGATTGGACTGAGATGTGACTTTAAAGATACCTGATACCAACCAAAACTCAAGCTTTCGACATGCTGGGGCACACTCTGTGTTACTGACCCTAAGCCCTGAAACTCTCCCTACTGCATGCATTTGTGGATACATTCTGCCATGTTCAATGTGGCTAAGAGAATGAGTGGGAATCAGATGTGTATTCTCCGTTATGCCTATTAAAATTCTATTCAACTTCAGAGAGCCAACTAAAACTCAACCCCCTGCCTAGTTTTCTCTGACTGACCTTTCTCTCATCTGAACTCCTATAATAATTATTCCTTTGATTGATTCTGTAATTGTTCACCTTGCACAACTTTAGTGCATTTCTTTCTGCTTTATTTTAAAAACTTATTTATCCTCATTATTATTAGTCAGCATTTTATGTGTTCATATTATAGATCCCCTGTTACAATGAAGACTCCGTGAAGTCAGACACTTTCTCTAACCTCAACAGAACCTTGATGAAAATAAGCATTTAATTTTTTTCAACCTAAGGTACTTTAAAAGGTTTAGAATATTAGGTGGCTAGTAACATCTAATAATATTCTAATTTCTGGAGAAAACATTCCTGAAGACACAGAGAGGGCAAAAACACAAGAATAGCAACAACAAAAAAATAGAATTTAGAGATACCTCATAGTCATAAAGCTAAAGGAGCTGAATTAAAGAAGAAAAATAATAGTTCAGCTATGCTTCACCTCATGAACATGGAGTGACCTCAGGATATCACTATTGTATTCATTGAGGCTGAAATTGGCAGCTTATCTTTTCTACTGCCTGCCTTGTGGTTCAGAGTTTATGATGTGCAAACCCACCAAATACTAGGCAAGCATCCCTGTGCTACACAGGTGTTGTTTTCTAAAATAGCCAGAATTCTGTTGCTCTTCGTCTTTGCTCCTCTTTCTATATCCATTTAGAGACTGGAAGTCACAGGAAACAACACGGCAGGAAGAGTGGGGGACTGGCAGTAAAATAAGGCATCCTGGAGAGTATAGTAACCACAATTATATTGCTAAAGATGGAGCTGGAGTTACAGAAAGCACCAGTAGAAAGGCAGGCTGGGGATTTAATTTTTTATGTATACTAACTACACCCTTACATCGACAACCAGGCTGGGAAAGTTGGAGATGATTCCACCTGTGTCTAGCAAAACTATGCTAGTAGTCTTGTTGATGAAAAATTTGATAAAGAATAATGCTTATCAAACTGCCTCAAGCTGTACCTAACCCTAAGAAAGGAATCCGTCCACCCCTATGAATAATGAATTCAGTCCAGGAATGGTCACATGACCTTCTGTAACCATTAAAGGTTCCATTTGGCTCTATGTAGCAGAAAAGTGGACATAGTGATTTAAATAAATAAATCTGTAGTGGGTTTTTTTCTCTTTTTCTTTTTAAATGTTTGTATAACAATAATTCAGAGCAGTTGCTGTGCTTGGCTAAACACATTATCAAAGACACAGGTTTATCATTTTTCTCCACTCACCATCTTTAGAATGTAGTTTTTTTTTTCCTATTGCCTCTCTTCTCATGGCCAGCAGATGGCTGCTTTATCCTTAGCATTTCAGCTACATTCCAGGCAGGAAAGAAGACAAGCATTAAGGGAAGAAGGCATGTGCAAGATGAACCTGCTCTCTTTTAAATAGCTTCCATGGAAAGCCCATTCAGCAATCTCTACTTACATCTCGTTGTTCAAAAGGGTATCAAATGTTCACGTTTAGCTTCAAGGAAGACTGGGAGATGTGATTTTTAATCAGGACACTTCGCTGCTGCAAACAAAATAACACTGGATAGAGATTAAGGCTAATATAAGATCAGAGTGAATTAAGAGTGAGGTGAGAGTAGGGACACTCCTCAGATCACACAGGGCTTTGCAGTCGACTACAAGGAGTTTAGATTTTATTATTTGATGCACAATCAGAGGCCACGAAAGGATTTTAAGCACATAAGTCTCTCTGTTGGGTAAAGCATAGGTTAGGAGAGGAAGAGAGAAAATGGGGACACTATTAAGGAGCCTGTCCATCCTATTCTCTATTCAATAAATCGTGGTGGCTTGTGCTAGATTGGTTGAGTGGGTATAGATGGAACAAAACAATTAAAGGACATTGTCAATATAGAACTGAAAAGAGTTGCAGAGGGGTTCGATGTAGGTAGAAAGAAAGTAGGAGTCTTCTGAGAGTCAAGATGGAGAAACTGGGTGGATGATAGTGCCAATCACTGAGACAGGAAGAACCAAATATCACAGGGATCTGGTGAGGTGAGATGTCAAGTGGGTCATATTCGGTTGTGAGAAGCTTGAGATTTCAGTGCACACCGAAGTGAAAGTGTCATAGGGACAATCAATTACGTGAGTTTGGAGCTCAGAGAATAGATATGCCTTGGAGATATAATTTTGATGTCAACAACCAACAGATGGTATTTAATGCTACAGAAATAGCCAAGATCCCATTGAGACAAAGCGTAGAAATATAAGAGGGCTCGAACCTTTAAGGAGCCTACAAAGAAGTTAAAAGACTGATTGGAAAAGGGGGAGTGAACCAGACGATGTCAGTTGACATCCATGAATTTCAATAAAGAAGGGGTGCCCAAGAAGACTCAAATAAAAAATATATATACATACACACAAACACTTAGGTAACTATGGATTCAGTTTCTTTGAAGACAAAAATACTTCAAAGGAATTGAAAATGAGTCAAAACTAGTAGATGTAAATATTGGTATATATGACCTAAAAATATTTTAAAAAACCCGAGATGTTTGTTTCATGTACAAGTATTTTGGATATAATTTATAATCATATACAAATATGCACAGTTATACAAGTAGTATTTATAATTATATATTTAAATGTATGTTTTGATAAAAACTAAGCAATTTTAGAGATTGTTATATATTGTAAATGTTTTTTCGTCTCCTATAAAAGAAAAACTGAAAATTTATTTTGTACTTTTAACTTTCCCATAAACATATCAATCCTGGTTCAAGGGAGGGAATATCTCATTGCAACATCAGAAAGGATAGGAAAATGTCTGGAAAATGATAACTGGCTTCAACATGCAAAATAAATGTTCAAAGATAGAATCAAAGGGCAAACATCAAGGTAAATATAAAGAAGCTACACACAGATAATAAAGATAATCCACAAAACTTAAAAAAAACCTCTAATTTTATCTGGAGTAAATTGAGTGGATATTTTGAACTTTATTTTTCATTTACAGTTTGCCCCAGGATAAAATGATAAGCTCTATTAATCAGAAAAGGTTAATGGCATATTATATCTTTGGTAGATTGATAACAGTCTCTGGACCAAGTTGTTTGTAACTTCTGTTCAAGAGTACAATAGTACCTCAGCAGCAAATCACATGAAAATGTCAACCGTATGTTAGATTTTACCCACTTAAAGAAAAAAATCCCACAAGAAACGTTATAGGATAATGGAATGTGCAAAATTAATCGCTTTTCAAGGGGTCGTTCCGAGTTTTATTCTCCTTGGTTGAATTCCCTCCCCAATTTGCCCCTCAGATATGCATTCTCTTATTGAACGATGTGATTGTGGCGACTGTACTGGTGCCCACTTTGAGTCAACGTCGCATTTATCAAACAGTTCCCTCTCACCCAAATATTCCCAGTGTAGTCACTGCTAGCAATCCTCCTTTATTTGTACTCTCCGTTTGTACCTGGTGGATTATATATTATATTAATTCATAATACCAGCTCTGCCAGGCTCCCTACAGTTACAATTATTAAAGCTGTAACTGAAACGTTATCTCTCATATTGATCTTCAACCAGAAGTTCTTGTCCCGAAGCTTTTGTTTCACATTAAGACACTAATGATCACCTTCACCAAATGAGCAGCTTAATAGTCACAAAAAGCTAAATGAAAAGACTTTGATCACCACCTTTGAGAGCACTGTGTTCCAACATCTCTCCCATCCATAATTGGCAAACACTAACTGAGCTTTTAATTTTTTTTAAAAAAAGAAACATACAAAATACTCTAAAGAAACTTATTTTTTCAGAAAAATTTTCTCCTTTTTTGTTGTGTTTGCCAAGTATGCTTAGCCCTACCTATTCTATTTGTTTTCCAGGTCATATAAAGCATCTGTGTGCCTATAGGTTATTTCTTTATATGTGATTTTTAACAATTTATTCATTTTCTTTTCATAAGAACTGAGATGAGTTATGAATTCAGTTGAAGTGATAGAAATTATGCAGCACTTTTGAGTGCCTATTTGATTTACTTGTTAAAAGAATTGGTACAGATTAATCAGTATGGTCTCCCCCATATCTGGAGGGACAATGGAGCTACTCAATGGTTCTTTCATATTCACATTTCCTCCTGGAAAAAGTAGAATAATGACTCTATAATGAAGTCTTTATACAAACACAATGTATCCCGAAAAAATATTAACAATATTTTTGTAATTGATCAAATGGGAAGAAAATTCTCTTTGGGTATTAATTAGACATATCAACGTTATTCACTCCACTGCTAAAAAAGTAACAACACTACAGAGACTTTTTATATCCAAGTTTTAAATCAACTTTATATTGTAGACTATTAATTTTCCCAATGAACCTGCAGATGCATAATCTGAAAGTGGACACTCTGTAGTGGTGGACTATGCATACATAGAAAGAAAACCACAGAGGGTTAAAAAATAGCAAGCCTGAGTTTTTATGGGTCATTAGCTCTTTAATGCACCTCAAGGGCTCCTAAACCAATGAACTGAGAGTCTTGGGAAGACTCTAGCCTGACCCGAGTGAAAGAAATGAGGAAGAGCACAAGTATTAGCAGTGCTCGATGCTATTAAAATATTAACCAAAGACTAATTTGAAAATGTATTAACCACATAGTAAGTTAAGGCCCATCACAGATCAAATGCTAAGTTTTGGGACAGGAAGAAATTGGCGTAAGTAACTGGCAAATATTCAGGGTGGAAAGATTGGAAGGGAGAAAAGCTATCATGGAAAATGACCTGATAGCCTTTTGAGGCCTTGTGGTTGTCAGAGATCCCTGTGATAATGATCTGCATCCATTGGTGCTTCTTCCCTGAGGAGGCAAATGCCTGAAAAACAGAAGCTCCAATATTTCTATGGGTGTGGAGCAGGTATCCGCATAGCACAGTGAAGAAAAGTAGTGGGGATACTCACCACTCTCATTCTCAGCCACAGATCTTGGGGTGACTAACGCTCTCTGAAGTCATCTTCAGAAGCCACTATAACTCTTTTAAAGTTGCTTCCTTGAACTTAGAAATGGGTGCAATATTTTGGGGGAGGCCTCTCTAACTGCTGCAAACCACCAATATCTCTAAGGCTATTAATGATGATCATCTTGAAAACCCAACCTAGTAGCAGATGTGGTTTCAATGGAAAAAGAAAGAGTCAAATCCATGTCAGAGAATCAGAAGAGACAGTGGATGTTGTCTATTTGAGTAATATAAAAAATAAAGTGATATAATTGAATAGTATAATATACATAATACTTGAAAGAAATTAGTATGTTATACATTGAAAATAAAATACGTATGTCTGTCTAGAGACTATTTTTTTAAAGACGGACAGATTTCAAGGGAATCATTCCACGGTTATGCTTGAACACAAATGAGTTACTATATCTTCAAAGATTCCTTCAGATCAACAATTGGTCATGTGAGGAAGAGAGATGACTTAATTCCCTTAAGCAAAATACTTCAGGAGGCTTTTGTCACATGGTTCTAAGGATTTACAAAAATTATTTAATATTGATGGAAAATATTAAATGAGCAATTATATAAGAAAACTTTTATATTATTCACCTATATCAATGAAACATTTTACTCAGTTTTAGTTGCAGTTTTCAAAAACAATTGAGAAAAGTATTTAATAAGAAAATAAATCTAACTACTTTGTTAATTTAGGTTATTTGCATCATGTTATTAAAAAAGTGGAATTGATATTCATATGCAGAAGACATGCTATGAATAAATTAATAATTATATATCCTAAATAAGCTTGAGTTTTGGGCAGCTAGTTAAATTATTACATGATAGCAGAGGATGTATCTTCTTTCTTTTGTCTTCTCTGTCATTTAATATTAAGTAGTAAAAAAAAACTAGTAAATAAGACTAAGAATAATCATGTACTGCTCAGGTCTTTTTTGGTTGTAAACGTAGAAACCCCATTTGAACTAGTTTAGAAAAGAAAAAAGAGTATTTGCTTTTATAACACATATTCATGATCTACTGATAAACCATCCCCAACTGTGTATTTAACTTACAAATCTGCAGTTTGGGCAGGATTCACAAGGCAAGGCTCATCTCATTGGCTGGGGCAGCTCCACTTAGGCCTGAAAGATTTACTTTGAAGACAGTTCTCTCACATGATTGAAAGCTAATGCTATTGTTTCCTGAAAGCTCAGCTGGGGCCGAGGGTTGCAGATTGGAGGGGGCTCTCTTTCCTTCCACATGGGCCTTTCCATGGCCTCCTTCAGCTTCCTTATGGCATAGGGACTACGTTCCAGGAGCCAGTGTTCCAAGAGGACCAGAAAGAAGTTGTATAACCCTTTATGTACAAGTTTTGGAAGTCTTAAGGAGTCACTTTCTTGGCAGTTACAGCCCTGCCATATCTAAGGGAAAGGAACATAGATTCTCACAGTGAGGAGTATTGTGAATGACTTGGAAAATAAAATATGCGACATAACTGAAATTTAGATATGCTCTTTTCTCTATCTGTGCACCTTTGCCTCTCTTTTATATGCTGTCTTCTTTTTCCTCTGTTAAGACAGTCTTTCTCCATTAAGTGGGTAAGATGAGAGCCGGCTGTTCACATGCTTAGAGTACTCTGTCGTAGAATTAAAAGGAATTCTTCTCCATCAGCTTGAGGGGGAATAAGGGCTTAAAAGGCAAAGTTAGAATTTGGACAGTACTCGTCAGAAACATAATTAGGAAAAATAGTCCCCACTCTCACCAAGTATGGGTTACATTCAGGTCAGACAACATAAAGAACATCCACTAAAAGTTTTGACAACAGAAAAGGGTCTTTTGCATTTTGCTGCCTACCTTTCACTTTCGATTGCATACTCATTTGTTTATTCACTCAAGTATCTGTACTTACACTCTCTGACAGGGAGTGTTCTACATCAGTGATTCTCAAAGGGTGATCTAGGGATCCCTTGGGGTTCCTCATCCTTTCAGGGGGTCCAAGAGGTCAAATCTATTTTCATAATAATTCTAACATATGATTTGCTTTTTTCACTCTGATTTTTATAAGGGTGTACAGTGAAGCCTTCCAGAGCCTACATGACATGTATCACAATAGTGAAGAGATTTCCTGCTGTCTTCTCTTAAGCCAGACATTAAAGACATTTGCAAAAACACAAACCATTGCCTCTCTTGTCACTGAATTTTTCTTTATTTTAGAAAATAGTTATTTTATTAAAAATATGCTATTTGTGTTAATAAGCAATGCATTTATTTACTGTATCTACTTAATATGTGTTATTAAAATTACTCAAATTTAGTTTCTAACAAGCTAAATGTTGATAGTTGTAACCCACATTAACAAGGTCTTTAAGGAATTAAAAAAATTTTTAAGAATATAATGTCCTGTGAAAAATGTTTGAGAACCTGTGTGTAACTTGAAATGTGATATCCAACAAAGCAAACGAAGCCTCTGCTTTCTGAGTACAGAAGAGATGCCAGCCTACTTCAAGGAGGATTACAAGATTTATTATGCCGCACCATAATTATCTATCAATGGTCAAGGTCCTCCACAAAACTCTAAGTTTCTAGAGGGCAGAGACTATATATTATTTTCAGAAAAAACTTCAAAAATTATAGTTATTTTTTCAATGAGAAATACAAAAGTATTCAATTTTAGGCATTCATGAACTCCATTGAAGGATGAAATTTTTCTTATTAATTTACTTCTAAGGTGGCAATAAAAATTGAGAAGTTATCAGTTTTAAAGAACTCATTAAAATCTAAGGCTTATCAGAAATTGATATTGGCTAAATAGTATCTAAAGTGACATATAAATGTTCATGATGTCTGTATTGAAGAATTCACGCTAAATAAAATGGTATTATGTTAAGTGCATTTTACTGATTTGGGGTTGTTATAAACCTACAAACAAAATGTTGGCTATTTTTCTTCTTTTAATTTTTAAATTTTTTATTACTATTATTTTTTGTAGAGATGTGTCTCGCTGTGTTGCCCTGGCTGGTCTCAAACACCTGGCCTCAAGCAATCCTCCCGCCTCAGCCTCCCATAGCACTGGGATTATAGGCATAAGCCACTGCGTCAGGCCCATTTTTCTGATCTTGTGTTAATTTTCCTGCTACTGAGCATACATAGTACATGCTTCATACATTTTGAGTTTGATTGTTTTAGATTAGATGCAGATTGTAATATAGAAATGCAATATAGAATTGCTTGAGCACCGCTTTTCATCGCCAGTCTGGAATCACCAATTTATTTTCTTTGGCTATGATTTTGGAGTCTTTAGAAAGCAACACTAAAATCCTAGAGGTAAAGCCTTAGGCTCATTTAGAATGAGAAATGCTCATTTGCTGCCATGCTAAGGTGCATGCAATTATCCAGGGTACCTGGCAATTAACACCCTTCTCTAGTGCAGTGATTACCTAATTTGGCTAAGAATCATTAGAGGGCTTTTTAAAAATACAGATTCCTGCACCTAACCTAGACCTTACAAATCAGAATCCAGCTTCTACTATTTACTGAGTGTCAAATGTTTGATATCTCAAAGCTAAACAAACAAACAAAATCTAGGAAGAGTCCCTATATTTGCCTGTCTCTGTTTTGAAACTCAGCCTATGAAACAAAGAGCACTATATCATAGAAGTCATCTTGCATTCAAAAGCTACAAATATCCACCTTATATCCTGCCTATAAGTCTCCAACTTCCTCTTATGTCTTAAGAAAAGTCTAGACATAGCTCAACTGTGTCTAAGCAAATCTGTGCAAGCAAACTTCAGATATATTGCAGGTTTGGTTCCAGACTACCAAAATAAACAAATATTGCAATAAAGCAAGTCATACAAAAATTTTGATTTCACAGAGCAAATAAAAGTTATGTTTATACTATTCTATAGTCTATTAAGAGAGCAATATCATTTTGTATAAAAAACAATATGAGCCAAGCGTGATGGCTCATGTCTGTAATCCCAACACTTTGGGAGACTGAAGCAGGAGGATCACTTGAGCCTTGGGATTCAAGACCAACCTTGCCCATGCAGTGAGACCCTGTCTCTACAAAAAATTAAAAACAAAATTAATCGGGCGTGCTTTTCCATGCCTGTAGTCCCACCTACTTGGGAGGCTGAGGTGGGAAGATTGCTTGAGCCCTGAAGGTGGAGGTTGCAGTAAGCCATGATTGCACCACTGCGCTCCAGCCTGGGAGATAAAGTGAGACATTGTCTCAAAAAAAAAAAATGCATACCTTAATTTAAAGAAATATTATTGCTAAAAAATGCTAACAATCATCTGAGCCTTCAAAGAGTCATATCCTTTTTGCTGGTGGAAGGTCTTGCCTTGATGTTGATGGCTGCTGACTGATCAGGGTGGTGATTTCTGAAGGGCAAAGTGGCTGTGGCAATGTTTTGAAATAAGTCCACAGTGAAGTTTACCACATTGGTTGCCTCTTTCTTTTGTGAAAGATTTCTCTGTAGCATGTGTTGCTGTTTGACAGCATTTTACCTACAGTAGAATTTCTTTCAAAATTGGAGGCAATCCTTTCAAACTCTGCTGCTGTTTTATAAACTGAGTTTATGGAATATTCCAAATTTTGTCGTTCCAGCGACATTCACGGCCTCTTCACTGGGGTACATTCCATCTCAAGTACATTCTTTGCTCATCTGTAAGAAGCACCTTCTCATTAAAATTTTATCATGAGATTGCAGCAATTTAGTTACATCCTCAGGCTCCACTTCTTATTCTAGTTGTCCTGTTATTTTTACCACATCTACAGTTACATTCTGCATTGAAGTCCTGAACCCCTCAAAGTCATTCATAAGGATTGGAATACACTTCTTTCAAACTCACATTAATGTTGATATTTTGACCTTCTCTCATGAATCATGAATGTTCTTAGTGACATCTAGAATGGTAAATCCTTTTTAGAAGGTTTTCAAATTACTTCGTCCAGATCCATCAGCGGAATCACTGCCTATGCAGCTATAGTCTTATTAAATATATTTCTTTTTTTTATTATTTTTTTGAGACGGAGTCTCACTCTGTTGCCCAGGCTGGATGGAGTACAGTGGCGTGATCTCGGCTAACTGCAAGCTCTGCCTCCCGGGTTCACTGCATTGTCCTGCCTCAGCCTCCCGAGTAGCTGGGACTACAGGCGCCCACCAACACGCCAGGCTAATTTTTTGTATTTTTAGTAGAGACGGGGTTTCACCGTGTTAGCCAGAATGGTCTCGATCTCCTGACCTCGTGATCCGTCGCCTCGGCCTCCCAAAGTGCTGGGATTACAGGTGTGAGCCACTGTACCCGGCCTTAAATATATTTCTTAAATAACAAAACTCTAAAGCCAAATTTACTACTTGATCCATGAGCTGCAGAATGGATGTTAGCAAGCATGAGAACAACATTATTGTCCTTGTACATCTCCATCAGAGCTCTTGAGTGACTAGCTGCATTGTCAATGAATAGTAATATTTTGAAAGGAATCTTTTTTTTTGAGCAGTAGGTCTCAACAATGGGCTTAAAATATTCAGTTAAGTCATGCTGTAAACTGATGTGCTGTCATCCAGGCTTTGTTGTTCCATTTATAAAATACAGGCAAAGTATATTTAGTATCATTTTTAAGGGCCCTAATATTTTTGGAAGGGCAAATGAGCACTGGCTTCAACTTAAAGACACTGATAACTAGAGAATCAGCCTGTCCTTTGAAGCTTTGAAACCAGGCATTGACTTTTCCTCTTGAGCTATGGAAATCCTAGATGACATATTTCATATAAAGGTATTTCATCTACATTGAAAATGTGTTGTTTAGTGTAGCTAGCTTCATCAATAATTTTAGCTGGATCTTCTAGATAACTTGCTGCAGCTTCTACAACAGCACTTTCAGCTTCACCTTGTACTTTTATGTTATGGAGATGACATCTGTCCTTAAACCTCATGAACTAACCTCTGCTGCCTTCAGACTTTTCTTCTGCAGTTTTTCCACCTCTCTCAGCCTTCAAGGAATTGAAGAGGGTTAGGGCCTTGCCCTCAATTAGGTGTTAGCTCTTAAGGGAAAGTTGTGGCTGCTTTGATCTTCTATCCAGACCACTCAAACTTTCTTCATAGCAACAAGAAGTTTGTTTTACTTTCTTATCATTCCTGTGTTCACTGTAGGGGCACTTTTAATTTCCTTCAATAACTTTTCCTTTGCATTCACAACTTGACTGGCACATAAAGCCTAGATTTCAGCTTAACTTGGTTTTTGACATGCTTTCCTCACTAAACTTAATAATTTCTAGCTTTTGATTTTTTTTTTTTTTGAGACAGAATCTCCCTCTGTTGCCCTGGCTGGGTGCAGTGGTGTGATCTTGGCTCACTGAAACCCCTGCCTCCCGGGTTCAAGTGATTCTCCAGCCTCAGTCTCCTGTCTCAGATACTCCCAGATACAGAGTATCTGGGATTACAGGTACTCAGCACCATGCCCACCTAATTTTTGTATTTTAGTAGCAATGGGGTTTTGCCATGTTGGCCAGGCTGGTCTCAAACTCCTGACCTTGGGTGATCTGCCCACCTCGGTCTCCCAAATTGCTGGAATTAAGTGAGAGATATGCAACTCTTCTTTTCACTTAAGCACTTACAGGCCATTGTAGGGTTATTCATTGGCCTAATTTTAATACTGTGGTATCTCAGAGAATAGGGAGGCAGAGGAGAGGGAAAGAGACAGGGGAACTGCCAGTTGGTGGGGCAGTCAGAACACACACAATGAAGCTTAATAAGGTGAAGCACAATAAAATGAAGTATGTCTGTACTTATATTTTCCTTCTCCACAAAACATTTCCCTAAGGGGTGTGCATGTGTGAAAGATGGGTGGTGGGGAGGAAAAGAGGAGAGAGAATATTGAGTTATTGCAGGATCAACTTTGCTCCATGAACTTTGTAGGGGCTTTTACTTACTTACCCTTGCTGCCGTTCACCAGCAAATCTCAGTTTCTAGAAGGTTGAGAATTAATACAGTTTTGAGGACTGGCCCTAGTAAGGCAAATGTTTGAGGGTGAAAGAAACTCAGAGACATTTGAGGCAATCACGTGCAACAGCTGGACTAGGTGCCTGGCAGTAGAAAGCTCACAAGGACTTAGGTGAGATGGCGTTATGTAATAAGAGATCTGACTGTATGTAACAGGGCACCTACTAAGTAGCAGGGATACTAACAACATAACCTACCAGGAAAGAGAATGAGCAGGACCTCAGGGGAGAAAGCCCTTCAAGCAGCAGAGTGGTTCAGGGTAAATATTCCTCATCACTGGAAGGATCAGGAGACCAAAGGCCAGCTGCCAGGAATAGAAGATTAAACTTAACAGATTAAGCCAGTACTAGAAGCAGGTAAAGGAGAGAGGGAAGGGCTACAAGAATGCTTACATTAGACCTAGCACTTCGGCCTAACTGGCAGCAAAGATTCAAAGTGGGATACTCACTGACTTTGAGACTTGAGAGGCTCACTGAATATGTATTCTCTCAAGATAGTAGAAGAGAAGGGCCTGACTGTATTCTGGCTTCTGTTAACTGGTTCTGTAGCTAAACTAAGCCTGTTAGAAGAGCTGGTCTTCAGATAAGCAACAGTAGGAGAAAGTCAGCTTGGCTGTGAGGTGTTGTCAGGTATTGTAATTTATTCATAACAAATACACTGATTTTTCATGACCAATGACTAATTAGCATCAGCCTAAAGAGGTCTGTATTGTTGAAATTATAGAGACTTAAGGTGTCTTTCAGATGTAAGCCATGTTTTTTCTGGGTAGTGGGAACAACAATCAATCAGGAAAGTGAAAACAGCATCAGTGGGCACCATCAGAGGCTACAATTTTTTTTGTACTGATTCAAACATATCTTTTAAAAATGATTAAGTATATAAAAGTATCTAAAAAGGATAAGATAAGAAATACGAGCTCACAAAGGGGGAATAAAAGTGTAGAACAGCCGAAAGGGTCCCTCAGTTTCAGGCCGAGTGTGAGAATAGGACACTCTAAAACACTTTAAAAATCTCTAAATACCCAGAGATTTCTTTGTTTTGGATTGTATTTTTCTTTTCTTTTTTTTTTTTTTAAAGCTAAAGATGAAATGCTGTCATATTACAATTTTGTTTACTGGAAGCAAAATTGACCAAAAGAAACTGTCCTTAAACTGAAGTTTAAAGTTGGAACCTCATGAAAAGACAGTCTTTATAAATGATCAAGTTGGCATGTCAGGGTAAAAGACAGGAATGTAAGATTAGGCAAACCAGAATTTTCTCTGCTGTGATTGCCCTTGCTCTTGAGAGCTCGTTCTTTCTCTTTGACTATTAGCCCATGGCAGTTGACTCAACTAGGGAGGTCAGCTTCTCAGCCGCCCAAGTCCCAGGAAGAAAAGACAGAAACACGTAACCTGAAATGACACAGCCGCTGATGCAGCTTGTTGCTCTGCTTGCTTATATTTTGAAGTATATCATGTAAGCTGAATTGCAAAGAATAGCATTCGACAGGGTGAAGGGTTGCATACACTGAAGAAAAGGCAAGATTCTTGGTGAGGCAAAAGTCTGAAGGACAAGTGCCTTTAGCATCAACTGAAAGTCTTACTGTATAATATGACCTCAACAAAATTGGACAGTGCTGCATAGTCAAGAAAGGGATAGCAAACTGAAAGAACTGATTTAGTGGTATTGCCATCTAGCTAGCTTACTTAGGAATTATTTCTGATGACTTTAATTTCAATAAGGCAGGACTAATTCCTTTATCCACATTTCCATCTATATCTTTGTTGGATGTTTGGGGATGGAAGAGTCCAATAGTAAAAGGGAAGTAGATTCTTATGTGGCCTCAAGGAAACATTGTGTATTAGTATGGGACTGGATAACTAGTTATCTAATATCTAGTTACTTTATATATTTGAGCATAAATTTAACAATTAATGATACTGATTTAAGAGACTGATTTTGTCAATCAAATGACATTTTGGAGGTAGGTAAAAAAAAAAACTAAAAATAATCCCGCCTAGCTAATACAGTCCTTTTCTTGCTGTTGTTGTTGTTTTAAGACAAGTTCTTATTCTGTTGCCCAGACTGGAGTACAGTGGCGTGTTTATAGCTCACCACAGCCTTGAACTCCTGGGCTCAAACACTCCTCTTGCCTTGAGGTAGGCAGGACTACAGGTACACCACGATGCCCAGCTTTTTTTTCTTTTTTCTTTTTTTTTTTGTAGAGACAAAGTCTCACTATGTGGCTCAGACTGGTCTCACACATCTGACCTCAATCAATCTTCCCTCGTTGGTTTCCCAAAGTGTTGGGAATACAGGCTCAGCCAACACAGTATTTAACACAGTATTTTGCCTACAGAAATTACTCAAGAAATACTCGTTTAAACTGTAGCTCAATTTCCTCATTTTCCAAATGAATGTAATAATTTCCTCTATATAATATAGTGCTCTGCTTTCACAAAATGAGTTTAATATATGTAAAACAATTTTGAAAAATGAAATGAAACATTTTTATTAATACGTTCCGATTGAGTTTAATATTTATCCCATGCCTGCTATGTACCAAGTGCTCTGCTCATCTGTTTACTAGAATGGTGTGGATATGGTCTCTACTTAAAAGAAAAATAATCTTTTTCTCTTTAATTTACTTCGTCCCTATTGAAGTTTTCATTGTCCCATTGATTTAAACTATTGACACATAGATTGAAGCTTGTATACTTTGAACTTATCTTGTATTTTTCTTTGCTTCAAACTTTTGGTTCTCTGATTGGTTTTTAATCTCTGATTGTGCTGGGACCAGGTCATAATCACATGGAAGTTTCCTTCAAACTGCAGTCTCCTCTAAGATTCTGCAATATCCCCTAGGAGTGCTACCCCAATCCTATAATTACTGCAATATGAGTGGCTGTCATTTCCAGATGTGTTTCCTTCAGGTGTGTTTGAGGGTGGTCAAAATAATAGAGATCCTCATTCCCGATAGATCCTTGTTTCATGGTTAGAATGCACTTCACCTTCATCATGTACTATGGTATCAATCATTAACTGCTATCATAGGAAATCTATTTATTCTTTGCCAGCACCATTAGAAAGACTTCATAAACCAGGTAAAAGTGCTTTCTCTTAAGCAGAAATTTTAAATGATGTTTTGTAGCATAAAGTGACAATATATATATTTAAAAATTTTCTAACCCCCAAATTCATTAGTTTCACCAAGTGCTTCCAGCCTCCATCTTAGTCCTTTTCTTCTTTAACTTTAGACCCCAAATTAACTTCTCCAGAGCTCCCTACAACGTATCTTGTTTCTTGAGGGGGAAAAATAAACCCCCACCAAATTCCTGTAAAGGATACTTAATAAATAGTCATTACATTCCTTCAATAACTTTACCATTAAGCTTCTGTTGAGTTTGTGGCTAACATTTCAAAAATAATCTCAACTTTTTCTTCTTATTGCTGCTGAGTTGGGTGTGTCTTTCATTGTGGCTAGATGAGGGACATAAAATTAGTGGTAAAGCCACAAATAACCAGAGAAATTTGATAATATGAAATAGGAATACAATCATATTTTCTTTGTTTATGAATAAAATTTAGGAATCTCTATTTAAATAATCTCGACTTATGAAGAGCAAAAATGTTTGCCTTTTGCACTATGAAAATTTTACTTTAAAGGTTATTCTGTTAAAGTTTTCTGTTTTAAAGTTTAGCTATACAGTTTTTGTTTTAAGAGTTTATAATTCTTGTTCTTGGGGGGAAAAGAGTTAGTATTACAAAATTCGTTTATATTAAACATGTCCTTTTTGCATGTGACCAAAATCATTGGTTCCTAGGTATGTTTTGCACCTGTTCATGTCCTGTGATTTTAGTTCTCCATTCCTCATCTTTGAATTGCCACTGATTTCAAATCCCTGTCTCCAAAACAATATAATGACCATTCTCTGTTAGTCTATCTTCAAAACATTCCCACTTGGTCCTATATTTTATCAGCCTTCACATTTCCCTGAAAATATCCCCTAAATGAACCACAGAGGATTCTGTGCTAAATGCCCAGGACCACAATTTGGGAATCATTACTCTATGTGACTGATTTCTCCCGAAACAAACACTTTGATCATTTAAAAATGATGGCTCTTGCTGAGAGTACTAATGAGCAAATTCGTGCTTTGTGGTTTATACACAATGGAGGATTAAAAATGGGTTCAGAATTGGACTCCCTCTTTAGTCTTCCAAGGGGAACATTAGTGAGAGAGTTATTTTTAAAAAATTAATCCTATTTTGGCAGCTTCCCTTGATTTGAATATGAAATGGTGTTAAGTAGGTGACCAGTGAAATGACTTTCTCTTTTCTTTGTAGATGTCTGTAAACAGTGGAAATACGAAAATGTTTCTGTGGACTTTCTAGATCCAAGGATCTAGTGGCCCCTCACCCGCTAATAACAGCCAAGAGATTATTTTGCAGCTCCTTTCACTTAGTGTCTAGAAAGATAAACATAGAGTTAGATAATAGCATGAATTTTTTTTTCTGATATGGTGCGAAAGCAAATGTAAGCATTTCACTAGTTGACTATTTCTTGGGGAAGACTCATTTGTCTGTGTAAAATGCCTTCAAAGACCAAGAGGAAGCCAAGGCCACAGGGAATTAGAGAAGGGCTAGAGTCCCCACATTCCTTTGCCTTCTCCTTTAACCCCGACTATGTTTACAGCCCTTAGAAAGTGCATTAGGGAGTGAGTCTTCAATCTGAAGCCTTAAGAGCAGAAGGGTATGGCCTCTACTTTAAAAAGGTATTGTTTGGATAAAGAATGCAGGGGTTCCTTCGATGATAATACTAGCTAACATCATTGAGCACTTATTTCACACTGCCCTTGAAGTCACTTCAGAAGTATTAATCCATTTGATCACTCCACAACTCTAGGAAATAGGAGCTATTATTGCCTCCATCTTGTAGATGAGGAGACTGAGACACAGAGACGTTAAACGAATTGCCCTAAGCCACAAAGATGAGAGGTGCATGCAGTCTTTGAATCTACTAGTTGCTACCATTGTAATTTTGCGAAAATTATTCTCTGCTGAATCATACTTATAATTCTTTTTGTATTCCACTTATATTGAAGGATCTGATAAGGAAGTGGGACTTTTCATGATGTAAATTGATGGGTGAGAGCTCTCATTTATCCAATTAGGTGGGAGAATAGCCTGGTCCCTTTCTCTTTCTTTCAACCTTTTGAAGAAAAAGTTTCTTTTTAAAATGATACATTACATTGTAATCAATATTTATGTTTATTAAAGTTATACATGAAGTTAAGACTTTAGTCTAGAAAACTTTTGATTCAACATAGCATTTCTCTGACTTCTCTACCTGTCTATTCATCAGTTCCCCTTCCTAGAGGCAACTGCCTTCAACAGCTTTGTTTTTTTGTTGTTTCTTTTTTGTATTAACCTTCTTTTCTTTTTAAATATTACGCATATACTGTTTTCCCTGATTTATCTGTTCTAGGCATTATGCACTTTCCGTTACTATAGTTTAATATCTCATTTACACCTCACAGCTTCTTCCCTTCCCTCTATTGTTTCATCATAGTTTTTCACAATTTTTAGTTCAATTACTAATTGACATTATTATTTTCTAAATTTTTCCAACTATGTCAATAATTATATAAACATAAATTTCTTTGTATTCAATTTTCTTGGATGGAGTAAATGATTGCCTAAATTTTAATTTTACTTATATTTTATCATAACTATAGCTATTTTTCCAAAAATATCAACAAAATTGCCAAATATCTATCTTTTGGCCAAACACTGAATTATTAAATAATGTAGTGCCTCCTTTTAAAAAATTTCCTCCCATTGTTCTCCATCTGCTTGCTTAACACATCTTGAACTAAAGGCTCTATTGGCCTAACACGCAGTGCAGAACATGTAACTTCTTGTTGCCATGTTCCTATGTTCCTGTGTTCCTGTGCCTTATTATTTTGTCATTATTATTATTATTATTATTATTATTATTATTATTATTATTTGTCTCCCAAGCTAGAGTGCAATGGTATGATCTCAGCTCACTGCAACCTCTGCCTCCCAGGTTCAAGCTATTCTCTTGCCTCAGCCTCCTGAGTAGCTGGGATTACAGGTGTGTGCCACCATGCCCGGCTAATTATTTTTTTGTATCTTTAGTAGAGATGGGGTTTCATCATATTGGCCAGACTGGTCTCGAACCCCTGACCTTGTGATCCACCTGCCTCGGCCTCCCAAAGTGCTGGGATTACAGGCATGAGCCACCGTGCCGGCCCCTATGCCTTATTTCTAACGATTTTTTTTTTTCCCTTGGTCAAATCCTTCATTTTGCCTAAACACTTCCCCTAGTTGCTTCCAAACAAGAATATAGTGGAAATAAACACATTTAGTCCTTCCATATCAGGAAATGTCTTTACTTAATGCTATCATTTGATTGATAATTTAACAGATTATTTAATTATAGGTGGACAATATTTTCTCCTCAAATTTTGAAAGCATTCTTCTAGCCTCCAGTCAGTTTTAGAAGAGTCCAGTACGATTCTGATTACCAACTTTTTGTTGTAAGTGATTGTTCCCCCTTCCTCTCTCTTCCACATACACTATTTTTGGAAGATTTTACAATCTTTTCTTAGCCCCAGTGTTCTGTAACTATATGGTCCTTCTTGTTCATTTATTGTACAGGGCACTTGGTAAGCTCTTTCAGTCAGAGGCTCATATCGTAAAATTTGGAGACATTCTCTTGTACTTCATGTTAAATTCTTTTTCCAGCTATTAAAAAAAAATTGTTCTTTTGGATTTTTCTATTAGGTAGATGTTGAACTTCCTACTTTATTCTCTGATCTTTTCTTTCTTTCTTTTTTTTTTTTTTGGGAGACAGTCTCATTCCTCATTGCAACCTCCCCTCTCAGGTTCAAGCGACTCTCATGCCTCAGCCTCCCAAATAGCTGGGATTACAGGCATGGGCCAACACACCTGGCTAATTTTTGTATTTTTAGTTAGGATGGGGTTTCACCATGTTGGCCAGGCTGGTATCGAACTCCTGACCTCAAGTGATCCACCCACCTCAGCCTCCCAAAGTGCTGGGATTACAGGCGTGAGCCACCGCACCCGGACTTGATCTTTTCTTTCTACTCGTGTGTTCGCTTTTCCTGATATTTTTGGGTTAGCTATTTTTTCCTCCAGAAATTTACTTGATTTAAAAAATATATTTATATTTTTACTTTCCTAATGCCACTCTCATTTATTATTTCTGTTTTTATGAATCTTATATATTTTCTTATTTTAATTACAGTGCTAATAGTTTTTGTTCGCTTGTTTCCATCTGTTTCTTGTATTATTTCTGCTTACTTTGGGTTTCTTTCTGTTTGCTTATTTTGATATTCTTATTTCATTTCACAATTTTTTCTAAAGATTGTAAGCTTCATGAGAACAGAGAGTGTTTTATTTAGCACTTGAAACAGTATATTGCACATATTATTCAATGTTATTATTCATACAATAAATATTTCCTTAATTATTAGTTGTAAGTTAGTAAGTAGTTAATTTATAGTAACTCATATCTGCCTATTCACATTTTTAAAAGAGGCATTTAAAATGCTGATTAAAATTTCCTTGTGTTTGGAGCAGGGGCACTGGACTTCTTGACTGACAGTCTTCTCTAAATCAATCACATTATGAAGCTGACTTTTCATTGCGGATATCCAAATTTTAGTGTCTGCAGGACCTGGGAGCCATTCACTTCTGCTAGAGAAGACTCCTCCAATTTTCTGGATGAAGGGATATATTTTTGCCTCTGACATATCTGGGAGGTTGACTGAGGATGGGGACTAAAAGTCTTGTTGCTAATGAGGTAGATTTTAATCCCCTAGTTTGCAGTCTCACACTCACCTCTTCCCTCTGCAATGCCAAGTGACCTTGAGTCTAGACTCTAGAAGCTTCCTTGTTTAATTTTGTCTCATGAAGGTCTGGGAGCCGTCAGCTGACTATTTGCAATGGGTGAGTAAGCCTGGGAGTCTAGCCTTTCTGAATGATGGCTGTTGCAGGCAGTCTTGACCATATCTTCATGGTACCAGGCACTACCAAGTGATCAGCCTCTTGGATATTCTGTAGCGAAAGGCAAATTTGTTAACTTCTTTGTAATTAATACCTTCATCCCCACAACTGCACCCCGGGAGTGCAGGGGTGCAATCTCGGCTCACTGCAACCTCCGCCTCCCGGGTTCAAGCGATTCTCCTGCCTCAGCCTCCTGAGTAGCTGAGACTACAGGCGTGCGTCACCATGCCCAGCTGATTTTTGTATTTTTAGCAGAGACAGGGTTTCACCATGTTGGCCAGGATGGTCTCCATCTTTTGACCTCATGATCCGCCCGCCTGGGCCTCCCAAAGTGCTGGGATTACAGGCGTGAGCCACCGCACCCGGCCCACCTATCTATATTATTATTTCTTCTCCAAGAAACATTTCCAATCAAAAGGTCAGGTTTTTTTCTTTAGAAAAGGAACATAAACCCCAAGTATTATATATGCTACGCAGGTCGAGGAACTAGTATCCAAAGTATGATCAGTTATTTCAATTAAAGACTCATTGTCGGGGGTCATTTTGAAAATTCTATCTTATTTCAGTAAGAGTAGATGTCAAAGCTCCTAAGAGAAATTATGGAAGTCCACCTGGAAAAGGCTTGCAACTGACTTGGTTCGTATTTTAAAAAGAATGATGTATATGTTTCTAACAAGGTATCTTAGGGTAAAGCTATTGAAGTTTGTGGTGAATTCAAATAAATAATAGGTCACATGTATAAAGAGGTACAATATAAAGGTTGAAAGGCCAATTCCAATATAGTGTTATACACTATGCTAAGTATTGCAGATTTAAAGATGAATAAAACATGCCCCTTGCCCTCAAGAGTCCCTTGATAGGACATCTGCTTTTCTTCATTTTCAAGAAATTAGTTGTATGTGATTCTTACTGTTATAATCTTGGGATGTGACAAGTTGTGAGAGAAATGATTTATCAGGGAACTTTGATAGCTAAATCATACCACAGCAATCAGATTAATGAGTTTTGGATCAATCTAGTCATTCTTTTTTCTATTTTCACCAGAAACTCCTAACTCCCAATTTAGCTTCAAATAATATTTTTTCAACTATACCGATTTACCTCTTCTTTGACTAGTTCTCTTTTAGAATACATCTAAGTAAGTGGTACTAACCTGGAGGTAAATGAAGGACCCATCTTTTATAAAAATGTGCTGCCTTGAAGAATTTTTTTGACAGAAAAAAATGGCAGACTTTCTCTTATAAACCGTATGTTCTTACATTTCTGATATCTGGAATCAACAGCTTGCCAGAAACATTTCCAATCAAAAGCCAGACTAACCCATAAAGGTGTCCAAAGAAGTCTGTTCTGATTACTGAAGATGTTGAACTAGTCTTGACTTCAAACAGTAGATATTTCTACACTTTAGTGGTATATGACAGCTCTATTCATTCCACAATGTCAAATTCTTTGGTTTTGGCCATTGGGTATTTATGCACTTCTGGCTAGGGAAGCAGAGAAGCCTAATTTGATTCTGGAGCCAAAAGTTTTTAGGCCCTGTTCCTTTGGAACTTGGACTGGAGAATGTTGGCACTGTATAAAGACTAGGACAGATCAAGTAGTCACACATAACTAACTGACTCAACAGAGCATATTCAGAGAGAAAGATCATGCCTACACATGGATAACCATTCTCCAAGGCAGACTAACAACACCCTGAATTCAATCACCCCTAAATAAACACACAAGGAAAGCACAGCTTTAACATACCTTCCGGCACAGCTCTCCAATGCTGCCTGATTGGTTTTAGTGCCATAGGCCAGGCTGCAGATGCAGCCATTACTGTTGTTCTTACTTATGTCTGTCTGCTGTCTGCTAACAAGCATTCATATGCTTTGGATCATTAAAGTCACAACCTCCTATGCCAATCTATTCCTCTCCACGGGTTTGCTGTAGATTTGAAAGAGAGATGCTATTTCTGTTTCTTTTTCTTTCCATTAAGACCTCCAGTCAGGGTTATTTCTGAGGTCTGAATATCCTAGCTTGTACCCTTGCCCTCATTGAACATATAAATTGTGTTCCATTAAGTTTGTTCTTTTTGCCTGATTTATTTCCCTTGCTGTTGTATGTGCCTTTTTAATGCAAGGCAAATGATTTGTGCTGGAACTGCAACAGACAAAAGTGCTGTAACTTAAGCTGCTTCCTGATGCCACTGCTATCTATGAGAGGTCTGCTGTACTTACACCCATGGTAAATATCTTCTGACAGACTCCAGGTGGTCAGGATTTTCACAATCCAACCCATTTCAGTGTTAGCACTTGTCATGTGGGGCTCTGTGAATTCTTCCCTTTCATCTTACTGTTGGTGGCAGGTTGGATACATTTGGACATACCTGTACAAGGCCACATGTGTCCACAGTTATAATCGAAGGTGGAGAAACACAAGTTTCTCTTTCAGGGAAGCACAGAGGACAGATATTGTACAAAGAAAAAAAGAAAAAAAATTGTCACTTGTAGTATTATGCAGGCTGCCCATCTAAACCCATCATTGCCTGGCACCTACACACTAAGGGCAAGAATCCAGCCAACTTGTGAGTGGGCACCATGCCATTTGAGCAGATGGGCATGGAAGTCGGCAGCCAGTAGACCATGTATGTGCATCAACGGTGGGTGTTGAGGGCACGATTCCCAGAGGAGAATGTCCTAACAGCTGTCTGGCCTGAGCCAACATACTTACGACCAAGGAAAAGTGCCATCCTTCAATCCTGCTGAGTTGGATTAACCTTCAGAACTAAATCTGCTTTTTCGGCAGCAGAAGGTGAGTTTAGGGTCTCTGAAAATCTCAAAGAATAAGTGAAGAAAGGAAACTGGGAGGATACAATTATTCTCTATTGACTAAAGATACTGAGGACATTCAATATGCTTATTTTAAATCTTTGACTGAGAACCTGTTAATTCTTGAAAGAATGTTATAATTGTTCAAAGCTTGGCTTCCCACAAAGCTGTTAAAAGTGACCTTTAAACATAGGCAGACCATTTTCAGTGAGTTAACACTTTTCCACCTTTGCATTAAGAAATAGTGATATATGAAGAAAGGTGTCAGTAGACTACTGACAGCTGACTGTGGGTAGATATCTTTGTCAAACTTGACATATCATGGATTAAATTAGATCTATCATGGATCAGAGCTTTCACAAAAGAGAATTTCTTCTTCAGTGATGGAACATACACTTGAAGAAGTAAGAAGTAAACTTCCTATTTCAACGAAAGCCTTTCTGGGCAATGAAAGAAACATTTTTATTTGAGACTGAAAATAAAGCCTGATTCTAATTTGTTAAGAATTTCCAGACAGTTAAACATCATTAAATTAGATAGAAATTGTTTCTGCCAAACATAGCCAAATGGTGATTTGACAATGATTTGTTTTACTTGGTTAGGAATAGGTAGATAATTTTAACATTCAGATCCTTAATTATTTTCTATGTTGCTTTCTTATGAGGTATTTGTGTGGTAGTTCTTGCTATTGTTTTCTGTTGTCTTAAATCTTTTTATTTTAAATATAACATATGACTTTAGTTGTGGATAAAATATCAGTTTGGTTCAAGATTATCCACCTACGTTTTCTTAATCTACTCCCTAAACTATTTCATTTTGTTTATATCAAGAGAGTAAGTGCTTATATTATTGGGAGTGAAAGAGATTAATAAGTTATTTTATCTGCTAATGGTAGGAACTATAGCTTTGGCTTTGATGAATTATATAATGTCTTAGATCTAATACCATTAGTAACATTATGAGTAGAATAAAATGTTTATATGTCTATTTTGGCCCTGAGTTTCTCATTATATCAATTTAGAAATTCATGGCTAAAAAATACGTGATTCTACAGAGAAAAACCAAGAAAATTATATTACTTAGGCATCTCTGAGTTTCTTGGCTCTGGTGGTTCTTATCTTAAAAGCCGATTTGAAGGCTAAAAATTGTGGTATGTCCAGGTTCCATGTGAATGACCCCTCTCTGTCTGAGAAAACAGAGAGAAACGATCTAGCGAAAATATACAAAAAACATAGGGGAAAGCTAAAGGGAATGGTATTCAGCAATAAGCAAGAAAATGTGTGTATTATCTATAACTAATTTTTATTTAAATAGTAAGGTCATGACGCAGTTTGATTTTCTTTGTGGAACACATGTGTTTGGGACTAAATAAAGCAGAGAAAGAATATTAAGGAGTTAGAATCATTTTAGCAAACGCTTCCCTTTGGCTATCTGGGATATAGGAAAATGTGGTTGAAGCTGAGTTAAAGTCAGCTAGACTTGTGCCAGGAGCGAGAGGCTGGTGGGCACTGCAGGTGATGCAGATGTTTATAAAAAAAAATCCACACTTTTTTAAAAATCTGATAAACTTTTATTTGTCCTCAAGAAGGTTTTTGAATCATTTCCTTTCATTTTGTGCCAGGGATAAAAAAGAAAATAAGAGTGTCAGATTTCTGACTGACAATAATAAACAATCAAAAGAGGCTTAGGGAAGAGCCCCCCTCCCAAAAAAAAAAGAGAGAATATTTGCTTCTGAATGTCCACTATGGCAATTGAATGATATTGTGGGCAGATGGAGGAAAGTGGAATTGTGAAACAATTTACTTATCATACACTAATAAGGAACAAAACAGAAAAATTGCATCTTTCTTTCGTTTATGACATTGGCTCCCACTAGGATTATGAAAAGATGCATTTAGGTAGTGTTAGAATAATTGTGGGACATGGATAAATTTTACATGTGTCCACAAATAGTTAAAATTAGAAGATTAACTGTAAAGAAAAAAAAAGCTTCACTAACTTTCCTTAATTCCTGATTGTAATAGCTTTAAGAAATAGAATTTGGCAAAACAAATGAAGATTTGAATGTAAGAATTGGGATACACCAAAAAAACTTTTAAGAGACTGTAGAGATAAAAACTAAACTTAACCACAGATTTATTGCTGCTTTTCATCCAAGTATCCAGGGACGTTGCTAATGGGAGGTACGCCTCAGAAACGTACATGTCTGTGAAAATGTTGGAACAAACTAATGCTTTTCTTCAAGTGATTTTATTTCAATTCTAAGCCACAAGATATAAACTTTCATCAAAAATGGGAATCTATTTAAAAGCAGAGCTATGAGGAATGTTTCATGTTTATGTATAACTTTCATAGTAGACCCTCCTACACACGGAAAATAATATGCCCAAATTCTGTTATTTTTACAGTATGTAATATATCACATACTAATCCCACCCATCAGTTTCATATCCTTTAAATAGATAAAAATGAAAAAGGGATGGAAGAAAAAATGAAGACACTTTGAAAAACTGACTTTTTAATTCCTCTTTTTGGAGAAAAAGATATCTGAAAAACTTAATTATGATCCATATCCTAATAAGAACAAAGAGGAATTTGAAGGAAAATACGCATTATATATTCAGAATACTATCTTTTTTCATTTCGCTTTGCACAATTAGAAAGCTAAGTACCTGGGGAGGGGAAGAACAGAAGTAGAAAGGGAGAGAGTGGTGGGTGGTGATAAATAAGGAAAAACACAGATTTTCAGTAATACTAGGTTCAAAATAATCCAAGTCAGAAGAATTTTATATTTCAAGTTTTTTCAATGGTAGTTACAAATCATTCCTATTTGCAGGACGTGATAATTCAATAGGAAATAGTGCCATTGAAAACAAGATTGCCCACACGCAGTAAAAAGATAAGGTTGGACTCTTTTTTTCTCCCCAAAAGAAGGGTTACCATCAGTTCAAATATTTATCAGGAAAACTCAGTTGCTTAATATGCAGAATATTGTAATAAAAATAATTTAAGACATAATTATGCCACCTTGAATGAAACTCTTAATAAACAGATCAGAGAAACAGAATTGTCAGGGCCCCTTTTCTTTTTCTAAAATATTGCAAGTAAATTAAGAGTAGGAATTCACAAAATTTTTCAAGTGGGAATTTTAGCATGATATTGAAACCAACATTCCATCATTTATAAATATAAGAACTAGCAAAATAAATGAGGCTGTGAACATTTAATTATGCAATAGACATATATACATGTTCTATTCTGTTTAGAGGGGGGACCTATATACTATATAAAAACATTTGGAAACAAAATAAAAGAGACATGCATAAACATAATACATTAAAGCTTCTCAGAAGCTTTACAGAAATGCTTCTGTTTTTAAGAGAAAATAATTTATTGAAATAAAGTTGTATCAAGCTACTGCTAATATTATTCTTCTATTCAAGTTTTCAAAATTCAATAATTAATGAACAATTCTAGCAAAAGCAAAAAGGATTGAAGATCAAATGTTGGAACCCTCCTTTGTCAGCATTCTGAAACTTAATCTAAGCAACTTGAAGAATAAAATGTAGGGTTTTTATATCAGATACATTTTAAAAGTTCTGAGATTGTTGAGGAAGAATTTAAACTACTGTTTAAAATGAAATTCTCTCTGCAATACTGGTAGTAGAGATTTTATAACACAAACAAACAAGTATATTTTGATCACTTACTATTAGAAATTACTGACATATGGATGTACTAAATGTGAAATGTTTTCTGGGTATAAATAAATGGTTCATAAGGACATCTAATGTTTTAAGCTGGAATATTTGTCAAGAGCATGTCCCATAATAATTTGTAAAATTGTCAGATAATAATAATAAGCTATTAATCGATATCTATATAAGTACTATAACATTTTCTGTTATTTATACTATGGCTTAGGAGAGACTTTTTTCCCTTCAAACTTACTTGATAAGATTTTGGTTGACCCAAGTTTTCTTTATAATTATTATTTCAATTAAGTATATTATGTAAAAACAACCTGAAATATTCTAATTTTTGCTGATATCCATGCAAAACAATTAAGCCATTTTGGATCCAGAATTTCCTAAGTCATAAGTCTCAGTCAACATAATCTGATTTGGAGTGATCACATATTTCTTTGTCTAATGCTTTACTGAGAACAACATTAAAGCAAAAGACAGGTGATGAAAGCTCTCTTTTTTCAACATCTTCATAACCTGGTTGAAAATGATAGATTGGCTAGTTTATTGATTTAGGAATGATCAGCAATATTACTTCCCCTAAAGGAGTATTAAGATGATTCACAACAAATTTGAACCTGATTTCTAGCATCCTGTATAAATGTGTACAAATTCATAAGTCTGACTCTAAATTCTACCTTAGAAATATCTTTTTATGCACGTGGAGGCTCTCAACTTTGTAGTTCCCCAAGAATGTAGTGACTGCCTACACACACACACACACACACACACACATACACTTATATTGCTGGAGAAACAATAAAGTGTCATAGTTGAGCTTATTCCTAGATCTAGGTTAAAATACTACCTATGCCTTTCATTAGCTATGGATTTTCAAAGTTACTTAAACTGTGTTTACACTTCGATACTTATAAAAATGGTTAATATTATTAACCTTTTAAGGTTTGGGTGAGAATTAAACATGCTAATAAATGAAAAACATAGAGAACCATGCCTGGCAGATAATAAGTACTCAATATATGTTAGCATACAATATTATCTTTGTATAAATTTCTCAATTTGCATTCTTATTTGTACCATGGACTCAATGGGCCCCTTTAAGGGTGAAATAAGTATGTGCCCAGTTTCTATTTTGAGTCTTCTTATTTAGATTTGTTTCCCAAACTTCAATCATTCACTTGCTATGTTTGTGAGTTTTTTCCATATTTCATACCATAAATTACTTATTTAATTATATTATTTAAACTTAAATAGCTTTATTTTAAAATAAAATATATTCATACCACTAGTAAATGGTTTTGGTGTGATACATTTTTCTATGAAACCTTAGGATTTTATAAATCATTACAATGAAAACACTCATCAGCTAAAATAATCTCTTATGCTCCTAATAATATGTACACCACACATTTCCAAACACTGCTTTAAATAAAAGCTTTCTATAGGTGATTGGAAAGGAATATTAAGAGGCAAGTGGGTCTGTATGCCCATAAGAATTTAGTAGTGGTCAGATGAAAGAGGGCATGGAGCTAGCCATAGAAGAAATGGTGCAACTGACATAGTTAAAGGCCAAGTGCCCACTCATCAATATTGTGGAGACATTTACTTGCTACTTCTCTAACACTTAAGACTTGAGTTTCTTTACTTTCCAGGAGAATTACTTTTGTCCTAAGAATGGGAATCTAGTTGGGTTTTAAGGAAATAGAACAGGAAAACTCCTTCCATCTTGGAACTCTTCCACTCTTGAAAGTTAAATATAAGACGTATGTATGAAATTTTCAGTGGAGAGTATAAATCTTAGTATAATGAGTAGTAATTAAGAGTAGTACATTCTAAATGTATAGCAAGATAAAATAAATTTCTGTTTTTAAAGAGGTTTAGATACCAAATGCATATATTCTTTCACTCCTGAGAAGAAGCTGAAGTATCAGTGGATAATTAATAAGTGTGAATTTTGGGTTTCTACGATCACTCCCATTAACTAAGTATTCTGCCCTCAGTTTCCTCATGCATAGACCTTTCATTTAGACGTTAATTGAGCATCAACTATGGGTAACATATTTAAGGTAATGCTAGCAGCTGTAAAATCCTCTAAAATAGATGATGGTTCCAAAAAATAGAAGCTTATTTCTCACTTATGTAACAGTTAGATGGAAGTTTTCTTCAGGAACTCCCTCTGCAACTTTTCTCTTAAGTATAAAATTATTCCACAATAAAAATTTAGCAAAGAAAACAAAGTGAGCTTTACTGGCCTATGTATGGTTTCCCCACATGGTGATTCAGCGCCCAAACTCCTTCCATCTTGCAACTTCATCCCTCCGTAGGGCCTTGTTCATTGTTTTCCCAGCCAGGGTGTAAGGAAAGAGAGGACATGGAGGGGAAACACTCCCTGGTTAATAGCCTTAGCCAGGGAGTGGCTGGCATTGTTTCTGCTCACATCCCTTGATCTGAACTAGTCACATGGCCACTCCTAACTGCAAGGTAGGCTGAGAAATGTAGCATCTAGAAAAGAGGATACAATTTTGGTGAACGGCCATACCCTTCACCATATAGCCGTTTACACCATCCATCCACCTCCCCAATGGACACAGCCTAAAGTTCCATCCAGTTACAGCATCAAGCTCAAATTTCAGAATCTCTGGTGATAAACAGCTCTCTCCATAAAGCTCAGGTTTTACGGGAGGGGTGGGGAGACAGCCCAGGTAAGTGATTTAGAGCTTGAGATATAAGCTCTGTCCCACTTTCCCTACCACGTCCAATGGACAACAATGGAGCAAGAACTTGGTACCTGGGAAAAACAAACAAAAACCTTTCTCATTTGTCAAAGGAAAAATAGGTAAACAGCCAACAGTCACTGGACCAAAACAATAATTGAATCCTGCTGGCCAGTCTCTGTGAGACAACTTCCCTCAAAGTCAAGACAGTCCCCGGCTCTCCTTTCTGAAATTCCCCATGGCCACTGTTCTCCAGGGTTTCTGGCCCTGCTTTCTGGAGTCTGTTCCTTCTCAATTATCTTCCATAGGACACCTGTGAAGCGAACATTGGGGAAAATTATCTCCTTGGATTTTTACTTTCTTCATAACCCAGTTTTCCTAGAGCAAATGTGGGGTTCCAGGTTGTATAGAGTCGTGGAATTTTTTAGGCCAGGATTCTGATTTTTTTTTTTTTTGGTAGAACAATTCTCTCAAAATCTTCACAGACATTGATCTAATTCCTTCAGTCAGTTGTATGTGCCAGTAACCAGAACCAAAAACAATAAAGTCCTTTCCTAGACATAGTACTCAGGTCTGCTTTATTTCTTTAATTTCTTACACTTATCTCTCTTTCTCTCTCTTTCTCTCTCTCTCTCATCCTCCTCATGCCCCTTCTTCCCTCCTTCTTTCTCTCCAAGTAAATATGAAACAATATTAATGGGAGTTTCTGTTTAAATTACAAAACAGTGTAAGATTTTATTATAAATTCTCTTTCTCTTTATGTTTTATTGTAGAATCTGTCTATTATGCTTCTTCAGGAAAAAGAACATTAAGATTTATTTTAATTTGTTCTAAAAGTACATAAGAAAGTGTGATTTTTGAGTATTTAAGCACATCTGGTTACTAATAGAAGACAAGAGACTTAATAGAATGTTGATCCTGTAAAAGCTGAGCTCACATCATCAACAAAAAAAAATTTCAATATGAAATATTTTGTCCTAGTAACAAATCACCTTGAAACATAGAGGTGTGAAACAATGTTTTTGTCATGCTTAGAGTATGTCCAAAAATTTAGATGAAGCACAACAGGAATAGCTTGTTTCTACCCCACGATATATTTGAGTTCTCTTCTGGGACGTTTGAAGTTTAGGGGAAACTCAATGGCCAAAAGGCAATCATCGGGAGTTCTTTTTTTTTAATTTTTATTTTTTTTTAGAGTGGGGTCTCACTCTGTTGCCCAGGCTGGAGTGCAGTTGTGTGATCATAGCTTACTGCAGCCTCAAAATCCTGGCTCAAGTGATTCTCCCACTTGAGCCTCTGGGGTAGCTGGGGACTGACTGACTATAGGTGTGTGCCACCATGCCTAGCTAATTAAAAAAAAATTTTTTTTGTAGAGTTGGAGTCTCACTATGTTGCCCAGGCTAGGGCTCTTTTTAAATTTAATGTTCCATTTTTAATTATTAGGGGTACATAATGGGCATATATATGTACGGGGTAGTGTGATGTTTTAACACACGTCTACAATGTATAATAATCAAATCAGGGTAATTGGGGTATTCACTAACCCGAGCATTTATCATTTCTTATTTCACGTGTTCTCACTCATTTGGGGGCGCTGTAAAACAATTGATCTCATAGAGATAGGGAATAGAATGATGATTACCAGAGCCTGGGAAGGATAGAGGACTTCTTTATACTCACAAGCTTGGTGGTTGATGCTGGCTGTCTGCTGGAACCTCAGCCTTTCTATCAATCGGAAACCTATAAGGCTTTCCTTGTGCTTACTCTGTGGGTGTGATTTGGGTTTCCTCCAACATATTTTCCAAGAGTGAAGGTTCTCAGAGGACACAGGAGAATGTATGACATTTTTGTGTTCCAATCTTTGAAGTCATAGAGTGGAACTTCTGCTGTACTTTTTTATTGAAGCAGGCATAAGGTCTGCCCAGGTTCACATGAGAGAACACAGACTTCAACATTTGAAGAAAGGGGTGTCAAGGTTACATGGTAAGAAGAGAATTGGGTTTGAGATATGCTTGCAGCCAGCCATCTTTGAGTACGTATTTTATTTAAATTAGTCAATGTCCAAAACATTTACTTCTCATTTTATATCTACTTAATTCACATGCTTGAATAACACTGAATTGGTTATTTTATGTGTATTCTTACTAAACTCTATCAAGAAAAATTATGTAATAATATCCAATGTCAATATATTTGCAGATATCCAGACACAGAAGGAATCATTCACAGCATATCTTGAAAGATGTCATTCCTCCATTGGAACAACTGGTGAGTGTTTAAGTCATTATATTCTTCATCTACTGATACAAAATAAATTGCCACAAAACTCAGCAACTTAGAACAGCTTAAGTTATTATCTCATTTTTCTGTGGGTCAGGAATCAGGGCACCACTTAGTAGAGGGATCTAGCTTGGAGTCTCTCAAAACGTTGCAACAAAAGCATCAGCCAGAATTGGGATCTCATTTGAAGGCTTGACTGGGGAAGGTCTGCTTTCAAGCTCACTTATGTGGTTGTTGGCTGGGTTCAGTTCTTCCAGGAATGTTGGCCAAAGGCTGCCCTTATTTCCTTGCCACAAAGATTTCTCCAAAATAACAGCTTGCTTTTTCAAAGCATCCAAGATGAGAAGGCAAGAGGGAGAGTTTGCTAGCAAGATGGAAGTCAAAAATCTCTTGTAACCTAATTGTAAAAGCAATACGCCATCAGCTTTGCCACATTCTTTTGGTTAAAATTAAGTCATTAAGTCTAGTTCACACAAGGGGAGAGGATTACATAAGGATGTGAATAATAGGAACCAGAGACTACAGAGGGCTTATTGTAAATGTTGATAGTTTTTTTTGTTATTGTTGTTGTTGTCTTCAAAAAAAAATTAATCGACTCAACATCCGTAAGAATGGCACTTTTTTCCATGTTTTTGTGTATTGTTATATCCTAGTGACAAAAAGAGTACCTGAAATATTGTAAATAACATGAATGAATAAAGTATTATATATATCTTAAAAACACGTAAGACCAACCTTTCTGATATGTTCTGATACTTCTTTCTTTTAATGACCTCTTTTTTGATAAATACAATGTGCTTTTCCTCTATGCTCATTCAACTTGTCTTTCCTGCTATATTTCATATTGGTCAATATGCTTCCAGTCTTATTGGCTTACAGGATATTGCACTATGATTACTGCATTCCTGTCTATCTCTAGCTATTTCATCCCTGTTATCTTTGGGATGTCCCATCCTTAGCACCAACAATAATTTCTTTTTTTGCTTCAGTGTTCCTGTTTTCTATTGCTTTTCATGTTCCAGATCCCACATCCCCACTCCAGCTATTTCTCCTTACTCTGCTTTACTTTAGGATAAGAATTTCTCCAAATAATTGTCTACCTTTGCTGTTTCCAATTTCTGCCCTCCCTTTGTCTCTTGAACTAACTCTGTTTAGGCTTTTATCTCAATCATTCACCTCTTATCCAGGTCACTGATTGCCTCCATGTTGTTAAATCCATCAGTAACTTCTCAGTTGTCTCTTCAGTAGGTCTATCTGAGCATTTAACCCAATTGATAGCTCTCTTCTTGAATCAATTGCCTAGTGGGTACAATGCTCACTGTTTGGGTAGTGGGTACACTAGAAGCCCAACAACCACCAGTATGCAGTATATCCATGTAACAAATAAGCACATATATCCCCTGAATCTAAATTTTTTATTAAAAAGAAACATTTTCCTCACATGACTACCAGTAACCACTTTCTCATGGCTCTCCAATTAGCTGGAGAGCCACCTCTTTTCAACCCCCTTTACTGGTCCCTCTTCATTTTGGAGCTCAGTTTTTATTTTTTATTTTTTCTGTCTGTAGGAATTTCCTAGGGCATCTCATTCAGTGTTGTAGCTTTAGACCATGTAACACTAGCCAGTTCTAAATTTCTATTTCCAGCATGGACCACAGCTTTGAACTTCAGTACTATAAATTCTGGCATTTTTACACACAGTTCTAATATACATCCTAAACTTAGCATATCTGAAACTGATCCCGATTTTTGCCCAAACCCGTTCTCCATTTCACAAGTCTTCTCCATTTCACAAGATGGAGAAGCACCTCCAGGTGCTTCAGTCAAAACACTAAAAGTCATCTTCCCTTGTTTCAGTCGTAACATAAATGAACACCAAAGAACCCAGTTTGCTCTGTCTTCAAAATATACCCAGAATCAGTTCATTTCTCACCACCATTACTATCATCTGTCACCCAGTTTATTGAAATAGTCTCCCTGTTTACCCACTTTCGCTTTCTACTGTTTATTTTCAACACAACAGTGGGAGTGATCCTGTTAAAATGTAAATTAGATTTTGTTTCTTATCTTAGTCAGTCTGTTACTACAACAGATACCACAAACAAGGCGGCTTTTAAACAACAGAAATTTATTTCTCATAGGTCTAGAGGCTGGAAGTCCAAGATCAGCATTCCATTCTGGTCAGGATCTGGTGAGGGCCCTCTTCTGGGTTGCAAACAGCTGACTTCTCCTTGTATCCTCACACGGCAAAAAGAGGGCAAGAGAACTGGGGTCCCTTTTAAAAAGGCATTAATCCTATTCATGAGAGCTCCACCTTTATGACCTAATTACCTCCTAGTAACATTACATTGGAGTTTAGGATTTCAACATATGAGTTTTAAGGGGAAACAAACATTCGGTCCATCTCACATCACTCCTTGACTCAAAATCCTCCCTGGCTTTTAGTCTACCCCAGGTAAATGCTAAGAAACATCCAATGGTTCACTAGGCCCTAGAAGACTCATCGACTTCCCCAGTCTCACCTCTCCCTTTCTTCTCCTGTCTCCTTCTGCTCCAATGAAGCTGATACCTCTTCCTCTGCCCGGCCATCCCACCTGCTTTTGCCTCTATCTCTTACAAAATAATATATTTGGTGCCCAGAAATTTGGATATCTCATATGTTCCTCTGCTTTACATCTCTGCTCTAATATCACCTTTTTAAATAGGTCTTCCCTAATCTCTCTTAAAAAAAAAATGAAACAAAAACAAACAAACAAAACCCATAGTGGCCAGGTGTGGTGGCTCATGCCTGTAATCTCAGCACTTTGGGAGGCTGAGGAGGGGGCTCACTTTAGGTTGGGAGTTCAAGACCAGCCTGGCCAACATGGTAAAACCCCATCTTTACTAAAAATTAGTAAATTTTTAAAATTTTAAAATTACAAAATTAGCCACGTGTGGTGGCACTCATCTGTAGTCCCAGCTACTTGTTAGGCTGAGGCAGGAGAATCACTTGAACATTTGGGGTGGAGGTTGCAGTGAGCCAAGATTGTGCAGAGAGAGATAAAAAAAAAAAAAAAAAGAAACAGAAAGGAACCTACAAATGAACAAACAAGAAACCACACCATTTCCATGTACACTTCTGTTACCTTAATTTACTCTATAGACCTTACCACCAGATGGCATACTACAGCATTTATTTTTGTTAAGTTTGTCACTCCATTAGAATTTTAGTTCTATGAGGGCAAGGACACTGTCTCCTGTGTTCATTACTTCATTCCCATGACTACAATAATTGCTGGAACATGTTAGGGACTCAGTAAATATTTGTTGAATGAAGGCATAATGAAAATTTAATGGCTTTTGTTTTCACTTCCAAGCTTGTGATACACAGGTCTATGCTTGTAACCTTTCTCTCCTGTGAATTAGTCATTTGTTCTAGGATGTCATCTCTATCATCACAGAAATGAAATCCCTCAAGTTGAACCCTTCATCAGTGCCTTCTCAAACTGATTCCCTCTTTCCATTGAGCCCATCTCTATTAGTAGCAAACATATATCTAGGATGAGAACACATTTTCTTTATATTCTTTATTTTCTCCCTGGCCCTTTGGATAAGTCATCATTTTCTGATGAAACGTCTCAATGGTTGTGGTGCCCATATGCTTCTCCTTGTGCACCCCCAAACCCTCACCCAAGCCTTGAAATGCTTCTGACCTTATCATACCCTATCATCCCCCCCACTGATCCTAGGCAGCAATTCCAGAACAGCCTTCTTTCAATAGTACTTTCATTATTTCATTTTCAAATTTTCTACAGCATCATGGTCCCCAATTTACGTTATTTATTATCCTCTCTCAAACACATACCCTCAAGCCAGGAGTAGTAACATGATTAAGACATGGCTCTTACCCTGAAGGAGCTTGGATTTCCTGTAGCAATTACAGTCCTTTCATCCCAGCACATGTTCATGTGTTGTTTTGTGTTGCTCACTCTTATTTCATAGGTAATAGACTTGTTCCATGGCTGGATTGTAAATGTCTTGAAGTTAGAGGCCATGACTTGTATTTTCTTTATTATATCGTACTTCTACTTAGATTGCTTTTGGCACTAGTACTTGTTCAGGAAAGACATGCTTGTGAATTGATGTAATAAGAAATTAAAAGTTTATTAAAACAATGTTGCTAGTTGCAGACATTAATAAATATATGCCTAACATTTGTAGTGAAAGCCAATTTTTCAATATAATTAGATATACTAATATATTGTTTTCAAAATTAATTACGTGGATCTCAACTTAGCATTTTCTCTAGGAAGGATTTCTCTAATTCCTTAAATTTGAATTAGATAGCCCTTCTTTGATCTGTCTCTCAATAGCAGCTGGGTCTTGACTCTATTCCAGCCCCATCACACTAAAATTGCCTATTTCCTTTATTGCTCTTACTGAGCTATAAGCTATTTGAAGGGAGGACTATGTCTTATTTATTGTTTTACTATTAAAACTTCGTATAAAGGCTGGCACACTGTAGTTCTCCAATAAATAGGAAAATAAATGCTTTATTTGTTTGGTTTTATTTTAAATAAATTTGGATTACACAGAAAATAAAGTACAAAAATAATTATGAAGAGCTGGATTATTTTGTAAAAATAACACATAAAAAGTTTGCTCTGAAGTAGTCGATGAAACATGGCAAAAGTTAGGCTGAAAATGGAGCTCAGTAAATGTCTGTGTTTGTGTGTGTGTCTGTATGTTTATACATAAAATATATATGCACATATATTTTAACAGTGCCTAAAGGTGCCCCAAAGTTTTTTACATAAAAAATTATAATATATATAAAATCCAAATTATAGTTATTTAAAAAATTAATTTTTATATAATTTTTAATTGTGTATTTTCTATGCCACTATATCAAGCATAAGCTAATATCAGAAGAACCATTAGAATATTCAGAAATAGTTTTCAAAATTTACCTGCCTACTCTTAAGGCTATTTGTTGATTTACTTGCATATAGTAGGGTTTCTCTGCAGCCTCAGTTCTAAATAAATGAAACTCACTTTGAATATCACTAATTATAGATAATATAGTAATAGATAATAGATCTATTTGCCCAATACTCTATTTTAGCCCCAATGACCTTGGAAAAGTAACATCGAGAAGTCCTGCTAAACAGAAGCAAAAACAATAATTTTTAAGTTTTTTACCTTGCAATTTATCTCTTTTTTGCTGCATACCCGAATATTTTTCTGTTTTCTCTTTTTCCTTCCTTCTCTCCCTCTCCCATTGACACACACACACACATAAACACACACACACACACACACACACACACAGTGCCATGAGTTCTAAAAACTTTTGGAACTACCAATCAGCTTACTTCCTAGTCTTGACTTGGGTTTTCCTGGATCATCTCTCTGAACGCTTATCTTGCTGTGTCTTGTGAACATGGATAACATTCAACTTTTATCCATCAATCTCTACTTGAATTGAATTTCTTACTTACTGTTATTTTAAAGGCAGAAACATTATCTTCATCCCAAATTCTTATTTATGAATTATCTATATTGATGAACAATGCCCCAATAATCACCCATTCCCCCAGACAGAAAATCTGATTGATTATAGACCATTCATTATCGTTCACATTGACACTTGAATTATTTTTCAGAACCTATGAAGTTTTCTTTACATCTGATTAATCTAATGCTGTGTTCTTTTTACCAGGACTCACATACTCTTTCTGCACTCTGGTATGTTCCCTACTTTCATCTCTCCAACTCTCCTCACCTCCACCATGCCTTAGGGTGGCTTCCAGAGTCATCCAGGAGTCCTGGCAGTAGTTTCCTTGGCTGTACCTACCAGGATGAGCTATCATATATGAAATAATATACAGGAAAATACTTCTGAGAATTAATGACATTCTTTCCTTTGGAGTTATTATCCATCATCTCTACTGTATGGATCTTCAGGCTTATTTATTTCTAAAATGTTGGGATATATAAATCTCAATTCCTTTATATCTCATATTGAGATAACTCTACTGAACATTCTCCAGGAAACACGAGAGACATTGGCTTTTGGCCAAATTTATCAAAGTGTCCTATTAGGTCCACCATGTTGTAGGACAATTATTCACTTTATAAAATGAAATCTGCCATTTTGGATGCTCTCATAGAGGCTAACACCCTTTGGGAATCATGCTCCCTCTCTTAATGTTCCTTTTAAGAAAATAGATTGTAAACAGCATGGTTAAACAGAACAAAGCATTTATTTCTTTTGAATATTGGCCAAAATACATTCCTAATCTGAATCTAAAATTTCAGAGTGGAAACTACCCAGTTCACTGACAGATGATGTTATTTATGCCACATGTATGTAAATCCATAGGGTTTCGGTAGAAGAGACGGAAATCATTTCCTGAGAATCGGTGTGGTTGCTTAGAAAGTGCTATAATATCACAACAGTTTTGTACATGAATCATCAAATATATCAATATGCATTTGTTTCCTGATCTTGTATATTCTATATTATAACTGTTCATGAGACCTAATTATTTTCAGGGTACTTTTTCTTTTCCCCTTAAAGAAACATTCAAGAAAAAGAACCCTGTTTATAACATGTTAAATCTTTATCTTGTTTATTTTTATCAACAGAGTGTAAGACATGTCTATGGAAAACCCTGCAGGAGTCAAAAGCCTGTGGCAGGTTTTTACAGAATCATCTGCTACCTCCTGAGCTAGGAGGATTTTGAGGACAGAGCTCAGGAAGTTGCTATGGCTTGGGGGCAAAGCAGGCTTTTGCAGATAAACCTTAAGTCACAGATTCTACCTTTTAGAGCCAGATATCATTTTGTGGATTAATTAATAGTAGTGAGGGCTTTGAGCATGAAAGACATTGTGAGAATACAGTGTTTTCTTGTTTTAAAACGAAGGACATAGACTTTGGGGGAATAGTTCTATTGATCAAGCTGGGCTTTCCTTAAACTGCTGAAAAACTCTAAAAGCTCTTTAGTCTTTCAAAATTCTACCTGGGTAAGACAAAATTAGGTTTTCTGAAATATCCTTCCAGATCTTCAGGCTGTTAATAATAAGTTATGTAACAATAATAAGTTATATAATTTAATAATGCTAATAGAAACCATCTCTAAGTTTTCATTATTTCATGTGCCCTTCCTTTTCTCAAGTAAGAGCATGTATATTAATTCAAGTATTTGTTGAGGCCATCACTGTGCTAGGCTTGGAATATGTGATAATATGCTAACTGGCCATGTCCCTTTCTAGAGAAGCGTTCAGTCTAGGGATGAACAGAAGTGTTAAATAAAGGAAGGCATAATTCTATAAGTCCAAATTACAAAATGTGCTATGATAAAAAAAAAACAAGTTTCTGTGAGAACCTACACTGGATTAAGTAGTCACACATGGATTCTTTGAAATGGCCAGTTAACTTGAGATTTTGCAAGATTGATGGAGTTTGCCAAGCAAAGAACTGGAAGAAGAATGTTGAAGCAGAAAGAAACAAGTGCAAGGGTCGCCAGGTCAGAACAAAGTTGTTACATCTGAAAAACTGCAAAAATTCCACAGCAGCCAGAATATTATGAACAAGGGAAAAGAGTCACGGGTTTTGAGGAGAGAGAGGCAGTGCCCAGATTGCAAAGGGCCTTGAAGTGATGGTAAGAAGTTCAGAAGCCATTGAAACACAGAAACAAATGACAATACCTCTCCCATCCAGCTCCACATTTGAAATCCATTTAACTCTAGAGTAGAGAAAAAGAACACACAGAACAGCAACAATAAAGGCTATTAATATTGAGCAATCCTTTCTTCCCCACTGCCTAGACTGAAATTAAGTTATAACGCAGAAATTGAATTACACTAATAAGTTGCCCAGACAGTAACCAGGAAGGCCATTCTCATTGAAGTCCAGTGACAGGCAAAGAACGAGGAACATATTTACATCAAAGACACAAATAAATAGAATTCAGGGAAGAAGAGAAAGCAATGGTGGGTGGAAGTTGGGTGGTGCATGAGGGAGGGAGAGGTGAGCTATAGTAAAAGCCTCCAGAAGACTGAAGAAATTTCTTGAGATACAAAAAGGGTGCCTTCCTCAGCCTGTTTCCCAAACAGAACCTGGATTCCTTGGTGGTGACCAAATGAACACACCGGTTGCCAGATGAAAGGTTCAGAAAAAAAGTCGTATGGGGGTTCTTAAACATCAAATAATAACATTTTCAAAATGACATTTTGATGAGTTAGGGGTGAATAAATCAGAGACATACAGATAAAATTTCCCTTGAAATACACAGAGGTTTAACATGATGGGGAAAAGCACTTGGCAAAACATAATATGTGCTTTGCCAAACCTAATATTTGAAAAATGGTTTAAGACATTCAGCATAACCCCAAAGCTGGACATGTTGTCTTATCCTAAGTGAGAGAAAGTAAGGGAGGGAGGCTACCCATGAAAACATTGCTCAACAAACTTATTAAAGAATATAAATAAGTTGAAATGAGTAAACCATGCCTAAATCTGAAATCAAATTTCATGCTGAAATCAAACACGCTTATCAAGGACCTCTTTGAGAATTCTTGGTGACCTCTTTCTATCACCACTTATGTATGACCCAGAACCATTCTTTGCTTTTCTTCTACTCTTCTTCACATGCAATCATTGCATCCAACTTTAGATATTTGGTTTACCACTTCTTAAAAATGTGCACACACAGTAAATGATGTATTTACATCAGACAAAAACATCATACTGAATCTATGTCTAAAGGCATAATATTTCATTCTTGAGCTATATTTAAGGCAGTTCTAAAATTAAGACTTTTAAAAATGTTTAAAAACTATTAGTACTTTATATGATGTACAGATAAGCTGGAGTTTTAAGGTATTTTTTCTGTTTTTGATTCTGTTCTTAATGGATTATGTCCACAGTGAGTTCGCCGGTAATGAGCAAATCAAATATAGCATGAATAGCAGAGACAGTATGGGAATAAGTGAATATTGAGAAGAAAATGTAAGCAATGAGTTCCAAAGAGAAAGAGTGCAACCTAAAAACAAAGGCAAAATAAATAAATAAATAAAAGCAATAGAAAAAAGAAAGACAGATAAGGTAGATATTTCTATGAATAGTGGAGAAGTAAAAAATGGCGGGCGTGGGTGGGGGGCGGGAATTTAAGAAGGAAAGTGAAGCATCATTTGGGGGTAAAATAATGTAACCAAATGTGTCCTCATTCTGTGCTCTTTAATAGAAATCATTGAAACAGACAAGATTAACAGCAAAGTACTATGATCTATTAAAAGTTCAGAGAAAGTATAGCAGCTGCCTCGTTATTAAATAGGAAAATAATTAAATGCTAAATCTGCTTGATAATTATAGTGGCCCAGGGTTGTAGTTATAGAGAGATGATGCAGAGTTCTTTTAGAGAGAGGTCAGTCAGTCACACAGAAGGTTTCATAGGGTGATGCTACTTTAAAGGGATCATCTCAGTTTAGAGCTGGGGCCTGTCTCAGCATTGTGGATCCAGAAAACTCATATTTATCATCATTATTAGTGTTTACTGAGATGAAGATCCCTTGAGTCTATCTCACAGTACATAATAGGGAATATTCTGATACTATTTAAGTCACCCGCTTTCTACATCAAAGAACCTAGGAAGCTGAACTAGGATTCAGATGGCTGCCAATGAGCACATTATCAGAACAAAGGGGAAGAGAACAATAACTTAAATACATCAGCAGAGAAAACGTTATGAGGCATAAGGACCATGTGGTTCTGGTGTTAAAAGCCAAACCCTTCTCATCAAAATCTGGTAAAAGTTGCAGATTAAGTTTATTTCCATTTATAAACAGAAAGGGTTATTTTAACAGAACCCTTTGGTGGAATGGTGTAGATGAAAATCTATTATTTGCAATTGTATCTGAGAACAACATGAAGCCTTCTCATAAAAAAAAATGCAGTGTGTGTATGTACAGTTAACACACTAGTCTTTCTGCCATGATTGTTACCATTAATCAAAGGTTGTCTTCTGCTCCCCTGTCTTGTCTGTCGCCTCCAACGTAGGTTGATAAACAGGTGCTATCTGGGTATCCCACTGCCATTCATTCTTCTCATCTGTATCTCAGCATGGCTGTGTCTGCCGAGCACTTCCTCAGTGCTTGCAGACTGGCTGGCATCCAGTATGAACAAATTGCTGATCTTTCCAGCCATTTAATGTTAAATAGGGCTTCTAAGGAACATTGGACAAATAGCTCAAGAAGCCAGATTTAGCATCTAAAGATTGGTTGACATTTCTTAAGTATACTTAGTTCAGGGACTGCTACTTCTTTAAAGAACTTCAATTTGGCCTAGAATTTGGCAAGTAGTATCCTAAACTTAGACCTAGAGCTGTAAGTAATTTTGTAAATTACTGGAGACAAGACCATCTGAGCTCTAGATGACTAGCACGCTCAACTGGAATTTATAGATCATTGTCCCTTCAAACCATGGGATTAACATTGAGTAGGAATAATTATTAGAGAAACTAATAAGGTACCATATATAAACCCACATGCAAAATGCATAGCAATCTTTTGCTTGCCCTAATACTTCTTTCGGCACACTATGAGGCTCCCAGAATAACTGATTCCTGGTGTCTGAAACATGGTGACGTATTTCAAACTATCATGACAAAGAATAGTAAAGTAATTAATCCTACCTCGTGGAAACTTCACTTGCCAGCATGAGACCCTTTACAATGCAGTGCTTTCAGTGCAGAAAGCATAATTGGAATTTTCTACCCAGGCTAAAAGATGGCCTGAGTCTGTGAGATGACTTAAGCAGGGCATGGTATCCCGTCCCCCCAGAAAAGGAGCAGGAATATCTTGAATATGAACTCCCAGGAGTTTAAGCCTCAAGAGGATTACAATTGTCCTATTAATCTTTCCAGTTCTGTTGTAAGCAGAGAAGCTGGCATTTAGAGGAAAGAAGTGTTATTAATTAAAAATGTGTTGAAAAGAATGAATAAGTGTACATCAAGTATTAAAAAGACAATGAAAGGGCCGGGTGCGGTGGCTCATGCCTGTAATCCCAGCACTTTGGGAGGCCGAGGTGGGTGGATCACCTGAGGTCGAGAGTTCAAGACCAGCCTGACCAACATGGAGAAACACTGTCTCTATTAAAAATACAAAATTAGCTGGTCATGGTGGCACATGCCTGTAATCCCAGCTACTCGGGAGGCTGAGGCAGGAGAATCACTTTAACCCAGGAAGCAGAGATTGCGGTGAGCCGAGATTGCGCCATTGCACTCCAGCCCACGCAACAAAAGCAAAACTCCGTCTCAAAAATAAAATAAAATAAAGAAGATGAAGGAAAATAAACACCTGATCTCAGAAGTGAGAATGTGTGCACAGTGGTAGGACATAGATATACTACGTGTAGAAATCTGCATGTAAACATTTAACAAATATGCATGGTGGTAGCAAGTGTAGTAGGTAATAGAACATAGCAGAAGCGTTATTAGCTTCTTCTAATGACCTGGAAGGCAGCCTGACTTTGGAAAATGATATAAGAGAAGATAACTAACTTGCTATTCAGTCCGTCCTCATTTTTCCTGGGACCTCTGTATGATCATTCCTGAAAAGTCTATTGCATTGATCCAAGACCATGGAACTGGCTCAGCCACTGATGACAATGATGTCACATTTATTGAGTCTTAACTTGAGAAATCCAGCCCTTGGCATCAATCTCAAGTATTCTGGGAAAAGTCCTGCAGTGTCTGGGGAAATGTTACTTATGTATTCAAAGAAAGAGAATTCTATGATGTACACCTTAAACCTGTTTATGTTGATTTCTCCCTATAAGAGTATTAGCTTTTTCCTTTCACATTTCCTATCTCTTTTAGAAAAATTTTCATCAATAATTTATCTTTGTGGGTAGCAAATGTCTACCGAGGGATCTTTTGTGAATTTTTGGAAAAAACAATTGGGGCTATATTTTTAGCAGAGAACGCATGCATCAATTTTTATGATGGGTTGATAGGTTTTTGTAGTTTTTTTGGTAGATAAATCCAGGTTTTGGGTAACTGTTAATCAGAAGAAAACTTAAATAAAACAATAAATTTTTTCTACGGTTACACAACAAAATTTCTCAGTATACATTCCTAAAGAAAGGAACCTCCTTTGTGGTGGTAATTGCTATTGAAAACATCTTTCTTCCAAACATTTGTGGATACCAGTGATACACAGAGTTAAACACTAAATTTATTATATGGGTTTTACGAGGTAGAAAAATAAAATTCCTGGCACCAAGAAAAAGGGACAGTATACATAGAATAAAATGTGGAAAAAGCAAATGAATAGATGTATCCAAATACAAAACAAAAAGGCACCAGTGAATACCATGGTTCTCAAAATTATCCAAGAAATCTTCCTTAGATGCTGTAGAGTTGTGGAGAACATGGTGAAGTAAAAGAAACTTTCTGGATATGGAGATAAGTAAAAAACACTTTGCTATCATTTTCATAAGTCATCATTATTATTATCTCTATCATTATTTATTTAGTCAAAAATGTATTCATCAAATGCATTTTAAAACTAAGTCCCGTGCTATGTATTAGGAATAAAACAAGGCAGAAAAACTCTCACCTATATCAGAGCAGACATTTAACCAGTGAGATTTTAGTTATTTGGAACAACTCCTTTACCTCTAAATATCTCTTCCTTTCACTTGTAGTATTGAAGATAAATTTCTTGGCTTGCCCAGTTTACTATAAATATTTAAATAAACATTTAAATAGCCATTCATTTACTTATTTGTTCAAACAGTTTTATTATTTTGACTATTGGCACTACCAAAATATTCCAGAAGCTAGGAATCCAGGTGTGAAAGGTACAGTTTTTTGCCTTTGATGGACTCATAGCACATTATTTGCCTGCAGGCACAGATAAATAAAATGACATTTACAACATGATCTGATATGTGCTGTCACAGTGACAATGGCAAACTGAAAATGGAGATTCAGGATGGTGCACCTAAAAGAGATGGCAGAGAAATCATGGAAAGACCCTCTAATAAAAAGACGTGCACATTAAAATTTGGTTTTCTTCTTATTTTTTGAGATGGGGTTCTTGCTATTCTGCCCAGGCTGGTGTCAAACTCCTAGGACCAACAGATTCTCCCACCCCAACCTCCCACACAGCTGTGATTATAGACACTTGCCACCTCACTGGGTTTTACTAATTTAATTTTGAAGTAGATTAAATATACTTAAGACTTTTGTGAGATGAAGACATGGTCATGGTGGACTATTTCAGCTAGGGGGATAACATGGGATGGCACTGAGGGAGTGTGGTCCTCTGATACTAGGCAGCTCAGGGAGAAGGGTGTGGGCAATTCACTAAGAGTGAAAGATGAAGGCTAACGACTTGGGATGGGGCATGTGAGGCAGACACAGGAGGGTAGAAATAGGATGCTAAGAAATTAAAACACCTAGTACAGACTTTGCAGGGAGTCAACCCATCACAATTTGCATTGTGCATTTATTTTGCCAAAACCTCCGCAAACACTTCTGCGGAGTTATAATGACTTGTTGAATTTCCTTTAAGAAACTTGCAGCTCTATTAGAAATGAAAGCCAATACAGTATATGCAAATAGGAAAAGGAAGCAATCCTACATCATGGAAGAAGATAATGAGATACTGCTACTACAGGGTATCTTGGCAATTGACCAAAATATATGAAATGTTGCTATTTTAAATGCCCTTCCATGATTCAACTAGCTCAGTTACCTGGTCCCATTGAAGTCTTCCTTTATCCCGGCTTCGGAAGGTACATGGGGAGGCTTGAAAAGAAGAACTTTTCTAAGGATACTTGGTAAAATAAAGGAAGGCATTCAATTTGTCTTTCTTTTACCATTTGCAATCAATTTTTTAAACAAGTGACTTCAACGCCCAGAAAGAAAAGTCAATAAAGGTGTATCACTATCTAACAAATCATTCACATTCCTCTTCATAGTCTGTCTTTTAGATATTTAACAGCTTGTAATGACTATGATTTTGCAGGCACTTCCCATAAGCTATATATGCATTATTAATAAAGTTCTATGACTGAAAACTTCCGTCACTGCAATGACTCTTGAAAAGCATAGGTTTATTCAAATCAACAATGCATAGTAGTTTGTCACGGTTTTAACATATGCATTCTTCTTGCAGATGGTTGAAAAAGAAGGTTATCTGCAAAAAGCTAAAATTGCAGATGGAGGAAAGAAACTAAGGTAATAAAATTCTTTAATTCACTTTTATATAACTATGCTGGTTCTTCATATGCTAAACTTGTGCCACTGTTATTGTTTGGGATGCAAGTCCCTATGGTACCAGACTAGAACAGTCTCCTCTGCTACTGCTATGATCAACATTATTTTTAATGGAACTACAGTTTTTAAAGAAAGGCACTACATTCTATATTGTCGAACAGAACACATAAATGAGATGCTTTTTGTCCTCCTTGGACTTGAACTCATAAAACACTGAAAATAAATAAGACAATGGATTGTGATTTCTGTGATTGAAAGATTAGAGAATGAATGCATTCATCTGCAATACAGAAAAGTCTCTATACAATACCTTGTGAGAATAATTTCTTGAAGGATGGAAGATTTGAACCACTTTTGTAGCTCAAAATAGAAATTGATAAAATAAAAGTAACATCATATTCAGAGGTGAGAGAAATTTGAAAAGGGAATAAGAACCTTCAGAGAACAATAACAACAAAAATCTTGAAGAAAAAAAGTAAGGTTGATAGGACGGTAAAGAAAGATGATAATTGTGTGGTATATACCGTATGTTTAGAAATAATCACCTCCATTTTAGAATTTTTGCTATTTCTCGTATTGGTTCTGTTACATATTTAGCTTTGTGCTGGGTGATATGCAAGTTACCAAATTTGTAGAAAATGCTCAAGTTGAGAGACAAGGCATTTACTCTTAAATGTATTACTAACAATTAAAATTAATAGGATAAATGTACTAATTAGCTACACAATGGGACACATGTTAGTTGTATAATACAATTCATTACTAGAATGACACTCTGGGTCAACACCAGAGAATAAAGTCTGCTTTTGTTTGATGGTTATAATGAATTAATATATTTATTTAAACAAAGTAAAATTTGGAGGGGGGTGGAGAAATCATCCACAATTTCACTACTTAAAATAGCTATTTCAGTTGTAAATAACAAGCTCTATTTTCTCTCCATATTGTGTCTTATTCTGGGATAGTGAACAAGGCCTTAAATCTTTGCCTGGACTGTTTTTCTGGAGTGGCCCTGCAGCCACCTTCCCTTGAAGAGTTCAGGAGAGAGATGCACAGGAGACAAGATCAAATGCAAGGTTGCTTTAAGAGATGTGGCTAGTCCCTTCCCCAGTGGTGAATTGGGCTTAGAGAATTGGGTTCTGAAGGAACAACAGGAGGAAGTCTTTGAGTAGCCCAGCCCGAGTGCTCTCCTTTCCCCTAAACCTTATCATGACCTTATCAACTCAGGAAGGAGTGTGGAGGGTACAATGATGCCTCTCCCCAAGATGAGTAAGTCATGACCCTTTCTTCCCTCAGCAGCCATGTGGAATAAAGAGTTTCTTCAAAATTATCTAAGTTAGCCAGTTCAGCCCTCCACTAGAGCTGAGTAGGAGAATAGAGGTGACAGCATTGGTCAGTTCCACCCTCCAGCCTCATGCAAGGAAGTAGGGGAGATCCTAAATGAAATAATTTCAAGAAAGCAGAAGGAGGTTCTACTGTGTGGTTTTGTAAAGTATCCTTGTCCATAACCCCTCTGTAAACCAACCTTATAACATACAGAAGGCAGTGTCAAGAGGAAGCAGAGAAGAACAGGTCCCTTCCCCCAGCCAACTCACATGAATATGTTTTTAGGTAGTTTTATTCAATTTGTATACTATTGTGTTTTTGTTTTATTTGCTGTTACTTTCCTGTTTTCCGTGTTACAGTTAAATTAATATAAACATTTGTTTGTACTCTGTTTTATTATTTCACTTTGCATACCATTATGCATTCTTTCAGCCTTTTCCACTTAAAGTTATATGTTTTAGTTTTCCTTTTTTTTTTTTTTTTTTTTTTGTTGCTGCTGTTGTTGTTACCCCAGGTGCACAGAATTGAGCTGATTATATCCTTCGGTTTGTGGCCTTGTGCTATTATCATTCTGGGCAAGAGCCCTAGCTGGTTTTATTTTATTATCAGTCTCCAATCCTTGCTTCAATCCCTTGTAGACCTTCATTTTAATGTATTTAATGTGTGTTTATCAAACTCATTCTCCATATATATCTATATTTAGCTGTATATGTGGCATTCAAAAAAGAATGTATAGTTGTGTATGTGTGAATGTGTTCTATATAGCATAAACATTTTTGTATCATAAACCTTATTATGTTTCTTACTACTTTCATTCAATGTTAGCTCTTGGGCAGCTTTCTATGGTGCTATAGAGACATGCGTCTCTTAATGATGGGCATATGTCCTGAGAGATGCATCCTTAGGTGATTTAATCATCATGTGAGCATCATAGAGTATACTTACACAAGCCTAGATGGTATGTGATATAGCCTATTGCTCCTAGGCTACAAACATTTACAGTATGTTGCTGTGCTGAATACTGTAGGTGATTGTAACATAATGGTATTTGTGTATCTAAACATACCTGAACATGGAAACGATAATGCATTGCGCTATGATGTTATGAAGACTACCATGTCGCTAGGCAATAGGAATTTTTCAGCTTCATTACAGTCTCATAGGACTACTATCTATATGTCGTCCATTGTGGATTAAAACGTTTTTATGCAGTGCATGAACGTCTTTAAATCTAGTTCATTTCTTCCAATTGCTGGCCACTTTGCCATCGTTTATGTGTAGTCATGTGCCACATGGTGGCATTTTGATCAGTGATGGACAGCATATACAGCTGTGGTCCCATAAGATTATAAAACTGATGCCTACTGTACCTTTTCTATGGTTAGATGTGTTTAGATATACAAATACTTACCACTGTGTTACAATTGCCTACAGTATTCAGTACAGTAACATGCTGTACAGGTTTGTAGCCTAGGAGCAATAGGCTATGCCATATAGCCTAGCGTGTGGTAGGCTTTACCATGTAGATTTGTATAAGTACACTCTGTGATGTTTGCACAGTGACACAATCACCTAACGACACACTTCTCAGAATATATCCTCATCATTAAGTGAAGCATGACTGTATATGAATTGTTACTTATCCAGTCTCCCAGCTGTGGACATCTAAGTTGCCTCTAACTCCTTTCATTCCAAACAACATTTCAATAAATCGCACATATATGTTTCCTTTGAACCTGTTAGGAATTTTCTCAGGGGAATATTTCCAGGAGTACAGGATTGCTCAGTGGTAAGTCACATACATTTGTAAATCTACTGACTACTGTTGTCACACTTTCTCCTGAATGAGTGCACCAATTCACACCAGTTCAATGTGCAATACAGAAGGGATTCTACTTTCCACAGTTTTATCAGCACGTAGCATCATCCAATCTAATTATCCATAGAACATTACCTTAATGTTGCTTTTATTTGTGTTTCACTGATAAGTATTGAAGCTGAGGATCACTTTATCTGTTTAGAGACATTCAGATTCTGCATTCTGAGTCTATTCATAAACTTTGACTATTTTCTATTGAGTTTCCTGCTTTTTTATTCAATAATTTGAGGAAACTCATAATATATTTGGGATAATAATGCTTTGTCAATTTTACATGTTGTACATATCCCCTCCAAGTTTATGGGGCTTGTTTTGTTTTTATTGTAAATACAAATTGAACATTGTATATGTAATCACCATGTTTAAGAACATGATAATCCCATTATGTTGATAGGCTATAATATGCCAAATCATCCCTACCTCTTTTTTTACTTGATTTTTAAGTTGAGTCTGGTTTTATATTTATATTAAATTATTTGTATTAGAAGTTATCATTGCAATATTTCTCCTGTTGCTTGTCAATTTTTCTTTTATATTTTTGTCTGTTTTTTGAGACAGGATCTCACTCTGTCACCCAGGCTGGAGTGCAGTGATGCCAGCCTCCTCCACCCCCATCCATCCACCCACCTTATGCGGGGATAAATGAGTAGCTGGGACCACAGGTACACACCACCAGGCCCAGCTATTATTTTGTATTTTTAGTAGAGACCTGGGTCTCGCCATGTTGCTCAGAATGGTTTGGAACCCCTGGGCTCAAGAGATCCACTCACCTTGGCCTCACAACGTATTGGGATTACAGGCGTGAGCAATAGCACCCAGCCTTCTTTTATATTTTCTAAAGACAAATGCTAAGCCTGCATTACTTGATCAAATCACACGACCATTTTAAATGAATCTTAGTATGCACTGCCATATTGCTTACCCAAGGAGTGTATATGCTTTTATCACTAGCAACAAAAATGGTCAGTTTAGTCATAACCTTGAAAAATTATGTAGTTTTTATCCCATTGATAGTTTAGTAACTAATAAATAATATAACATACTATAATTTATGCTTCTTATATAAAATTTGATAGCCTTCATTTCATTTATCAAGGACCTTTGTATCTTTTATAAATTTTAATGAATTAATAAGCAATATTAATAGATGCTTACTCTGTCAAGCACTTGGCTGAATTCTTTATCAGTAATACTTAAATGATACTACAATATAGACTCTATTATTGCTTCCTATTGTATAAATGGAGAAACTCAGTCAACAGTATTAACCTCTTATTTCTCCCAAATCTTATTTTATATATAGTTAGTATCACAGAATTTAGCCCTGACCTCTGCTTGAAACACGTTTGCTTTATCTCTCTTGCTTTAAGCTATTTGAGACTAGTGAGCAAAAATGGTCCTCTTATTTCATGCCATCAACAGTACCAGGTACTTCAATTGTCACTTAATAAGTATTATTTTATTAATTTCTATCAAGTTTTCTACTTATAAATCCATAATAGATCATCATACCTTGTATTGTCTTCTTATTTTCCTTCTTTCTCTTCTTTTTTATGTGTCTTTATTTGTCTCTTTAATGTATTTTCTCTTTCTCTCAAAGAAAATTTAACTTATCTCTGAATATAAGCAGGAGATGGTAAAAGGAAAGATAAATTATTGGCTATATTTGACATTCATAAGAGGCCATACCTTTAGCCTTATTTTGAAATGAGGTTATACACATTTCCCCAACAATACACTGACAGGCTTGAAAACAGAATACATTCAGCATTCACTTTAATTTTTAATTGTGAACACTGAAACTATGCCTTAGCTTATCTGATGAACCATAGGAATTTCTTCATTTGGGGAATTCCGTCCCCAAACCTGTAAGTAACCCTGGCTTCTCTGAAACTCTATGACACCTTAGTAAAAAGTTATTTTCAATGCTTACATTTACAAAATACACCTGACAGTATGTTTATGAAGTCTCAGCACCACAAACTTTCTTCTCCCTCGGCATCTAGGTCTTCCCGTCATCAGCTCCTGTGTGGCTCTGCGTATCTTACCACAATATAGAGTCACATTCTTCTCTCCTTAGATGGACATAGAAAGATATACTTGGGGGTGAAAATATGGCCAGAAGATGGCTACGAAAAGAAATGCAGAAAAAAGATTGTGCAGTGGTTACGTCTACTAGTGCCTGCTTTCATCCTAGGGCCCATAGCTACTAGGCCTTCGGTTGGGTTTTTGTTTGTTTGTTTTAACAGTTGTTATTCAGAATGGACTTTCTTTGGAATGTGAGACTAAGGTGTGCGCCTAACGTCATCATATTTTTTCTTTAGTAGTTTCTGCTCAGTATCGCAATAAATTCTTCCAGGCTGAATCTTTCTTCATTTTCTTGCAATACTGACAGAGATGGGTATTTTTACACCTCAGTGTCTTTTTGACCCACCTTTTAGCAGTCATAAATTACAAGATGCTTAGAATATGAGACAGAAGAAGTAAGTTCCTAGACCAACCAGTTTGAGAATGAGTCTGTACGTTTAACAGTGTCTGAGTGATTTTGCGGTAAATCAATCAGGGACATTAGAATAAATTACTTTCACTCCCATCACTGGTGTGGAATCAAGTCAAATCCAGCATGACCAAGTTAGGTAACAAAGGCAGATGGACCAAATAAGAGAACCTGAAATTTGTCAAGGAACCTCACATATATTTTCTTCTGACTTTTTGGTTTGCCACTCTGTCATTACCTAAAGAAGGCAAAAGAAAGGTAAGCGTAGGATATAAAGCTTTTGGTGTTTAGAGCAAATGAATGTGTTAAACCCGGAGTTTAAGCTAACAGATTCTTATAACGGTAATGAATATTTTAAGAGCCATTTTTCATCAAGCATTTTCCAGATAAGCTGTTACAATCAAAGTTGCTGTTATTATGTGCTGCCATCCGGTGTCCATTTTGTAGAATGCCAAGCTGATGGCTTTGTTGAGTTTTTGTTTTTGTTTTTGTTTTGGGGGTGTTTTGTTGTTGTTGTTGTTGTTTGGGCTTTGATTTTGTTTTTGTACTTCTATTTGTCTGCTAGTTTTTTTTGCATTTTTCCAACTTCACAATTCAGGATTTGCTTTAGGGAAGTTTTATGAAGTGTTTCACTTGGATAAAATGTCCCACCAATTGCATAAATGGTACATAAATGCCCTCATAGAAATTTAGTTCTCCCTACTTCCCAATTGTAGTTAGCACCCCTTTTCCCCTTAGATGTAATTTGTTTTGTATGTCAAAAGATAAGATAAATACCTGCATTTCTTTTTTTGTTTTGTTCTGTTTTGAGACTGAGTCTCGCTCTGTCACCCAGGCTGGAGTGCAGTGGCGCGAACTTGGCTCACTGCAGCCTCTGCCTCTCTAGTTCAATTGATTCTCCTGCCTCAGCCTCCCAAGTAGCTGGGATTACAGACACCCACCACCATGCCCATCTAATTTTCTGTTTTTAGTATACTGGGTTTCGCCATGTTGACCAAGTTGGTCTCAAACTCCTGACCTCAAGTGATCAACCTGCCTCAGCCTCCCAAAGTGCTGGGATTATAGGTGTGAGCCACCGCACCTGGCCCAACACTTGGCATTTCTTGCCCTAGGATTTGTCTCCTGCATGGAATCACTAGGATCAAACCCTTACCTGATTGTTACCTGTAAATTCCTGTGGAAACTGATGGCTGTCTCCCTTACTCTTGGCACTTTGGACTGTCTTACTAAAGTTAGATATTTCCTGAACTGTGTGTCTTAGTTACCCCTTTAGTCTATCCAACACCTTAATTTTTGTCTCTCTGTGGAAAAAATAGAAAACTATTCTCTCAAAGTTATGATGAAATGTGGAGGCACTGATTGGTCAGTGGGTGAATTTGCCTGCTGACCATCATGATAGGGGTGGAAGACAGGGATAAAGGGCTCGCAGTTCAGCATTGCAGGATGGCCCAGGTCAGGCTAAGACATGGCTTTGCTCCAAAGAGAAAGAGATTCTAGTACTTCCCTGACAAGTGTTCCTTATCTCCCCCTCTTAGCTCCTCTCATGAGGCTCTCAACTGGCATGCTCAGAGTGACTACAGAGAGAGCTGCATGCCACCTGCTGAGAGACCATGGAGACACTGGAGTGAGCAGGGGCCTGAATCCCATCTCTATGGCTTGTTTTCCCTTGGTTAGGATGCAACCTTACTGGGCTTCAGTTTTCTCTTCTGTAATATGGGAGTATCCTAGGCTCATTCAGAAGACTTGGTTTCCATGTTTATTGTCCATCTTCTTGTAGTTAGAAGTACAGTTTTTGAGGAATGTCTTATTTTCCATCTCTTTTCAGCCCTTAGAATTGTGTTTGGCACGTGGTAAATGTTTAATGGAGACATGTGACCAGCTTAGTAATTAAATCACATAGTGCATATAAAATGCCAGGTGGCATACCTGGAACAGAGCAGAAGCCAGTGCAAGCTCAGCGTGGGAAGCCCTCTGGAGAAAGCTCAGGTATTGGACACTAGAAGCATAAATTAGGAAAAAATATCCTATATCAGAAGTGTTCGATAGTTAAGAAAAAATAATGCTAAGAATACCTTAATAACTACTAGGAAACTAAGGAACAGAGAAAGGAAAAGAAATTTTTCAGTCCTTGTTAATGACGAACAGCAAACATAAAGCAGAAAAAATCTCGATTTTTTCTGAAATTTGAAAGGCCATATACTCTTTTACTCAAAAAATCTTTAATAATCACCTACTAAATGTCAAACAGTATGCCCAGTACTGGAAATGCTCTTAAGAGGAGAGAGGTGGTTTCTATTTCTTTGTGGGAGCTTGGGGCATAGAGGGACTTCCTAGTGCAAAAACTGTGTTTATCCTAGAAAATAGTCTATTTGCAAAGTTTCCTCAGAAACTGCTGGACACACCTATCCTGGCTAAGGCTTTTAAGCTTGTATGAGTTGCCCACTTCCTGAAATGTCACCTAATATATTGAATAAGGGTCATATATAGTGATTTGGTTGCGTATAGAAAATATCAAATCCTTAAGTCAAGGTAAAACCTTGCCAAGTGATCCTTTGCACACTCCAGAGCTGACAATGCCTTACGAGAGAGTCACTATGTTAAAGTAATTGGGTGAGAAAGCTATTCCCCTGATATGCTAAGAACTATGGGCAACACAATGGGTCAGACATGGCAGCCATAAAAAAAGGATGAGTTCATGTCCTTTGCAGGGACATGGATGAAGCTGGATACCATCATTCTCAGCAACCTAACCCAAGGACAGAAAACCAAACACCGCATGTTCTCACTCATAAGTGGGAGTTGAACAGTATATAAAAAAGAAATTATTCTTTGGCCATTGTTGTAAAGTCATAATGTAGTTAGGGCTGGCTTCACCGGTGTGCGTCCAGGGCCCCATGCTCAGAAGGACTCTGCCCTTGATTTAATGCTAGATTGTTACTGTCTTAAAATACTTCATAATTTTTGGACACGGAATGGTGCATTTTTATTCCGCACTGGGCTTTGCAAATTCTGTACCCAATTCTGTTTTTCACTGGCAGATAGGTGTAAACTCATGTCTTTCAGTTATTCAAAAAAATATGTATTGAGGCCCTAAAAAGTAAATTAAAAAAATTTGGATTTAAAAAAAAACAGCGGCCGGGCGCGGTGGCTCACTCCTGTAATCCCAGCACTTTGGGAGGCCGAGGCAGGCGGATCACGAAGTCAGGAGATCGAGACCATCCTGGCTAACACGGTGAAACCCCATCTCTATTAAAAGTACAAAAAATTAGCCGGGCGTGTTGGTGGGCGCCTGTAGTCCCAGCTACTGGGGAGGCTGAGGCAGGAGAATGGCATGAACCCAGGAGGCGGAGATTTCAGTGAGCGGAGATTGCGCCACTGCACTCCAGTCCAGCCTGGGCGACAGAGCGAGACTCCGTCTCAAAAAACAAAACAAAACAAAACAAAACAAAACAAAAACCAGACAGCATAAAGTAACGAACAGATTATAGGTTTTGGAGCTAGAGAAACTGGGTTTAACTTTAAATCTAAGTGTAAGGCCTTAAGTTACCCTTTGAGCCTCATTTTTCATATTAGTAAATAGAGATGTTAGTACTTTCATCATTTTTGTGTATGAAGCTAAGCATAAACTAGATGATCAGGTTTACGCTAGGTATTCTAAATAATTTATGCTAATTATTATTTTAAAAGAATCATGGGAAAAAATCGAGATGAAAGAGGACATCTAAAAGGTTGTCAGCAGCATTATTATTCTTCGTTTTGAAATGAAATTCTTTTCAAGCAATAACACTGAGCCCATGGAAAAGCTTTCACTTTTATTCAGAGAAGATAGACAGTGTTTATAGTTTATAAATTCAAAACAAAGTAGCACCGTACATAAGGCGTCAGAGCAAGTCATGTTGCTAAGGTTTTGAGACCTGCAGTTCTTACCCTCTTCAGTTTTTTCATCCAATTCACCTAACAGGCACACAGTTCACAGCAGTTCAAAGTCCTTATAAAGAACAATGAGATAATTGCGTTTCATGCAACTTCAGCTCTAACCAGTTCCATTTCCAAGTTTAAGGATGGGGAGAGTTTTTGCCAGCAAGTTCTATAAATGATCAACATCTGAAACAGATCCAAATCAGAGCCATTTATCCAGGACTTACTATAGATAGGATGCAAATAAGGTATAGTGTCTCCTTGTGAGAATATGAAATGTATAGTGGGAAATATAATAGGTAGGTTAAATATGGATTCTTCGTGTGTGAGGGTGTTCTGTACTCCCTGACCACGTATGGTCAAAATAAGGGTGGTGTTAAAAGATGCCCAGACTAGACTTCTAATAATCTTTCTCTTTTTCCTGTTTGGAGTAATCTATTATTATGACCTGAATGAAGAGAAGGCTATTGCTGCTTCAATTCACTCTGCTGCTGCTGGTACCTAAAAGGCAAAATGGGCACTAGGGCAGAAGGAAACGTCTGTGTGGTTTTCTTTCTGGGTTTTGTTTTTTCATCTTTTCATTATTTAATTGAAAAATTGATACTCTTCATTTAAAGACAAGTGGGTCCAAGAACACAGTGTTTGTATTTGGATGTTGAAAAATACACATTGTGCTTCTTGTGTGTCTGCTTATTCTGTTCTTTTTTAACACAATGGTGTATCATTAAGAAAGCTCCAGGCATATAAGAGCAACCTAATTCTTTTTGTAAATATTAACCTTACTGAATCAAAGCTGTCCTTTCAATCAAGCTCTTAGTTTCTAAAAGACAAGTGGAAATAAATTACGCAAAGATCTTCAATAGTCATTTAAAAAGTATTTTGGTGTGGTTTTCTATTGACCTGAATAAAGTCTTTCCATAAACTTAAAAAAAAATCACTTTTGTGAAATGAATTCAACTGTTTTGAAGTGAATGTTAAGCTGAAGCAAACTGCAGCAATATGCTCTAATGGGTAGAAACTTATGTATATTAATCTCCTTAATATCTTTACTATCTACAAAAGAGTGCCTTCATGACATGAACATATATATATTCTAACTATAGAAGCAATATGTGTTCAATGCAGAAAACTTGGTAAACACCAAGAAATACAAAGGAGACTCAAAAGCCGCGATTTTACCACTTGATTTAACTACTGTCATATCAAGACTTTTTTTCCAGGCCAAAGTTCAGTCATTGACTCAATACATATGTATTTTGCGTCTATTCTGTCCAAGGCACCATGCTAAGCATTGTGGATACCTTTGTAAAGATGAACTGATTTCTACCATCTCGAGGCTCATTTCTTAATGGAGGATAGAGGTGAAATTTATGAAAAATATTTTTAAATTTATCATAAGTGTTATGAGAGGAAGTCATGGAAGGCACATATGACAAAGCAATGTTTTGACTTCTAATTAATGGAATTAATAATCAGAAGGAGTGTATGGGTGAAGAAAGTCCTAGGTAAATAGCACAGCACGGTTATAAACTACGTGTATTATGGTCTGCATTAAAACCTTCGCACATCAGTATTCTTCTACAGCATAGGGTTCATTATTCCATTATATGGACCTATTATATGCAATTTATTTAACCTATCTTTTTTATATTTTATGTATGGAATTAACAAGTAATGATGCAATTAATTTCTATGCATACAGACTCGGCAATTTGTGAGACTATTTCTCTAGAATAAATTTAAATTCGTAGGGAATGGACATTTTTAGCCAAAAGATATACACATTTTTAGGGATTTTTAAAAAGCACATTTTCAAATTGCACTCCAGAAAGGAAGCAACAGTCTGCATTCCCACCAATAGTGTATGAGAGAATCTATTTCCTACACTGTGATTATCCCTAGATGTTATCAGATGTTAGTTCTTTTATTCCTTGACAATTTGATGTACAAAGAGGGAAAAAGCATGTCACTATTTTTATTTGCATTTCTTTGATTTCTAGTAAGATTCAACATTATGAAAATATTTTGAATTAAGCAATGACACATGAGGCTGGTTAGTTTTTAAGACTGAAATACACTAAACCAATGAAGAGAAGAAACAATGAAGGAAGGAATAGGTTCTGATTCCTATTTTTACTTTGCTATTTTTGGTTTGCTGTAAAAACATAAACTTTTTATGGGAAGGATGCACATGGATACACAAAAAATGGATTTTTGGTAGTTGAAAAAGATATTAGGAGGATCTATAAATTAAGAAATTCTTACTATAAATGCTGTACTTTTAAATAATTCCAGAATGTCTTTATTATTACCCAAATTCCATACCACTTATAGATTTTAATAAAGAGGAGACTTTTAGCAAGACTGTTAAAAATAAAGATGGTCTCTACTCATTCCAAATGTTGCTCATACTGTATCTATAAATGATTTCTTCAACTGATAATGCTTTCTTTCCCTTTTATTTTTTTGTCCTAAGGAAAAACTGGTCTACTTCCTGGATTGTTCTTTCTAGTCGAAGAATTGAATTTTACAAAGAATCCAAGCAACAGGCTCTGTCCAATATGGTAAGTAATTCTCTGTTTCTATTGTTAAATATCTTTTCAGAAATATTGTAGAATTAAAAGTTTGGTTTTATCAGAAATCACACTAAAACCTCCAAGCTACCAACATCTGAAAACAGATGGAGAAAATGACTCAATAAACTTTTAATCAGATGAAGGGAAAATAGAACTTAGTGTCTGTTTTATTAAGTGGTGCATTTGGAGAATAATCACAAAATGAGATGTATGGTGAGCAGCTATGTAGTAATGCGAAGGTAACACTTTAAATTAAGGTGCCATTTATAAATGCCTTATTCTTATTTATGAAATGATCACTAAATGCAGCTACTTGCTCAAATAATGTATTATAAAGTATGTTATAAAATGCATTAGTAATAAATGCTTAACGGATGATACTATGGGAAGCTGTTTTAAAGAATATTATAAGACGTAAATCATATTAAACCATGTATGTGCATCTTTAATACATGAATTTAAGTTGGTATCTAGCATGCTATAAAGTGCTTCAGACATTAATAAATAATAATAAACTGTTTATAAATGGCACCTTAATATAGGGTATTACCAATGAGGAAACACTCTAAATTAGCCAAGTGATTTTTTATCTTCGTCTAACTGTGACGTTCACTATATCCAGCTAACCTTTTTGAATATTTCTATGACTCCATCTAATGGAGCTAATACAATTTCTGTATCCTGTAGTTATTACAAAGTGAAATTTGTAGGGTTTCTTCCTTGTACCTGGAGGAGGGCCTCACATATACCTACAAAGATTTGACAGTGATAATAAGTAAGAGCAATTCGGAGCCAGTTACTGGGGCAATTCAAGCTCAAAACCTTGCTGCCCAAACACAAGAGCTACCACAAGATGTAGGAGACAGTGGGCAGGCAACATATCTGACAGCCTCCTGATTAGGAAGGACTCCGGGCAGGAACTAACCTGCCACAGCCCATCGGCCTGATGGATGATAAGGAAAGGGGTCGCCTGGCAGGAGTTACCCACAATGAACTAATTTGTATTTGACAGGTAATAAAACGATGGGAAGTTCTTTGCTCTCCAGCCACTAGTTGTGTTTGCTATGTAATCCTCTTTAAATAGAAAATAGAAAATCATTTGCTAGGAGATTTTTCTTAAAAGAAGATTTTAGTAAGAACAAAAGGTAGCATTTGACTTGCTTCTGATAACCGCAGTAGCCTTTATCCCCAAGTGGCTTGCTGATTTTGGAGTCTCAGTGCTGTCCGATCTGTAAACTAATTATGAATAAATTAAAAATATATCTCAGTCCTTTGTATTTTTAATTTAAACTGCCTCAGAAATTTGTTTTAGGGTTTTATTTTGTTTTTATTTTTGGATACAGTAAGGTTGAGATAATCTTTTTAAGGAAAATAAAGTACCCCTAAGGGCCAGGCACAAAACAACTACCATCCACTTGCAGGTCCTTTGTCTTCCCTTTGAATGAGCTCTAAGGGGGAAGTCAGGAGGGGAGGAAAGTCGCTGGCCTTGCTGAGTTTGGCTGCTGAAAAGATGATCTTCCCCTGCTGAGTGAGAAGAATTCCATTGGGAGGAGAGTTTATGCGAATGTGTGGGATAATGGGAGAGATAAGATTCCATATTTTAAAGCATTTGGTTTATTTTTATTTTATTATTTTAATCTCTTTATACCATGAGATATAATTATCAGCTGTTAAATTTTATACAGGTGAAAGAAAACTCCCTTTTTGATTGCAGGCAAATCTTGCAAGTTAGCTCACTAATTGCATGCCTCTCGTTCAACCTTCAGAACTGTTGTAAGTTGACAATAGACTTGACTTGTAGAAGAAATTTGTTAACATTTTCCTAGGAGTCCTTATTTATTACTTCTGGCCCCATTTTTAATGCTCTTATGGTTTCTACCAGGCACTCATTGTCTTCAAAGTCAATTCATGGCAGGAACTAACTGTGTTTTGTGGTAATGGGTAAGAGAATTACAGATTTATGTTTGTGCTGCATGAATTGACTTGCTAGTCAACTTCTTGGATCCATTTCTAACCCAGTATTAAAGGCCTAGTGGGATAGCCCACGTTTACCAGTTCCAGTCTTAGAGAAACGATACAACGATTGCCAGGCCTTGATTAAAGATGCTGTGGTTTTATTTTGAAAGAGATTTATGCTCAAGTTTCTGAATTTCTCTTGCACCCCCTTAGAATTTTTCTGGTGTTGCTCATTGTGCTTCTGGAAAAAAGTCTGCCCTTTCCTCCTAGGGGTCAAGACAAGCTGCCTGAGTGAGTGCAGAATGTGATTTAAAAGAATAAATGGTATTTTAGTCCTTATACAAATGATCTTTAAGTGTTAATGCAGCAGTGAGACAAGGCAACAAAACCAGCCAGAGCAGTTTTGAAGTTGGACTCTAGGGGATGTAATTCCTTTTTTTTTTTTTTTTTTTACCACTCATTAGCTGATAACATTACTCACTTCTTTGAGCTTCAGAATCCTTACCTGTGAAATGGGCATAGTGATACCTGCCAACAGAATTAGTAAGGAATGAAATTAATTGGTAAAAACAAATACATAATGAACAAAAAATTATTGTGCTTTATTATATCATATGCTATTAAATACAGAAATATAACATATTCTATAGTACACAATAGAGAGTATAATTATATTATTACATTAGTTTTGTACTTGACCTGATTCAGACATTTATAGAAGAGAGAATATACTAATTAATTCAAGAAACTCCATCATGCATGACCTCCAAAAGAATGTATCCAGAAGTAGCATAAAATGCTGTCTCAGAGCAATGACTAATACTGAAAATAAAGCCAGCCATCCATTTAGGGCTCTAGATGTTAACCTCTTGAATGTCCATACAAAGTTTCCCGGTGCCCCCATCTTCTTCCTTTGGCTCTTACCCTTACTGTTTTCACATTTAATACAGCATGTTACAAAGTATTCTGCCTGACCCCACATTCTGTGTTTGGTTACTTTCCTTTCTCACTGAAGTTCTTCCAGTTCATATCTGTCTTACTCAGTTAGGACTGCTACATCAAAGTACCAATGGCTGGGTGGCTTAAACCACACACATTTATTTCTCCTGGTTTTGGAGGCTGGGAAGTCCACGATCGAGGCACAGGTGAATCTGGTGTCTGCTGAGGTCCTGCTTCCTCATTTGCATCTGTCCTGTCTTCTCACTGTATCCTCACATGGCAGAGGGCAGAAAGTGAGAGAGCAGACGTTCGTGTCTTTTCACATAAGGCCACTAATCCCATTCATGAGGGCTCCACCTTTATGATCTAATTACCTCCCAAAGGCCCTACCTCCTAATGGCATCACACTGGGGTTTAAGGTTTCAACATAGGAATTTTAGAGTAACACAAACATTCAATCCTTAAAAATATCCAAGTCACATTTTTATCAAAAGCAGCCTTACTGTGCAAATAAGCACAGAATCACTTTGCTTATTTTCATAGAGATTCATAGGTACCTCAGTGAGTTAGTAAAGGAGAAGGAAGAATGACCTATTCTGTTCTTGTTTTATGAAAAGGACATTAAATCGTAACTGACCACCTACTATCATCAGCATTTTATAACAGAAAGGACATTATAAAATACCCAATCCAAAAAATAGAAAGGATAAAATTATCAGAATAAAAGACACCCTTTACCAAAAAGAAAACTGTCCCCCTTATTTGCCTAACATACTCTCTCTTTTGCTCATCAAGACAGGTGGATCGGGACTGGCTGGTCCTCCAGTGAGGAGGAAAACCACTCGTGTCCCTAGATCCAGATTTCCTGAATTATGAAGGAAAGGATGGTGTTCATATTCTCATATTTTTAATGTATTTTTATTTATAACTCACTTAAAATATTATAAAATAATACAGAAACCATTTTAAGTAAAATGTATAAAACATCTATGTGTATTTTTAATAGGTATCAATCAATCACCTGCATAAGCACTACCCAGGATGAGTTATAGACCCTGCCAGCCCTTCAGAAGCCCCAACCCCTATCAGTTGTCCCTTTGTCATCATAGCCTCTTCCCTTCTCTGGAGTTAGCCAAGAACCTGCGTTTTAGTCATTATTTCATTGCCTTTCATTATTTTCAAACCTATAGCTATATACCTTAAAAATATAATTTAGGTGTTTTTTAATTCATATAAATGGAATCCTAGTGTATGTTTCTTTTGTTTCTTGCTTCTTTCACTAAGTATTTCTTGCTTTTTCTGTCCTTTAATATTTTATCATTCCATTTTTTTCTTTTCTCTACTAGTTTGGGAGGATACACTTTGTTTCTGCTCTGTTAGTATAGTTAGCCTAGGGTTACAGCATTAGTACTTATCAACAAATAAAGCTAGTGTGAGACCCTTTACCTTCTACTAAGATGTTACCTTGGAATATTTTTAATCAATTTATCCCTTTCTCAATGTATATGTTATTACCATCTGGTGTTTTAATTTTTTTAATATCACCAGACATTATTATTCTCTTTTATGGAGTCAATGTTTGTTTACATTTGCCTAATATTTGCCACATTCTTTGCTATTTATTTCTCCATGAACCTTGGACTTGCTTTCTAGGATCACTTTTTCTTCTGCTTGAAATATATTCTGAGAAATTCCTGTGCTAAGGGTCTTGCAGGGACAATCTATCTCATAGTCTGCTTACTTGAAAAAAATCTCTATTTCTCCCTCATCCTAGAAATATATATTCTCTTTGAATATAGAATTTTTAGTTGGTAGTCATTTTCAGTCAGCATGTCAAAAATATCATTACACTGTCTTCTGTTATCCATTCTTAAAATCAAATCACCTGTTAATATAACTGATCTTTTCTGATTGCTCATAATATTTTTCTCATTACCTTTGTTTTTCTACAGTTTCATCATGATGCATACAGATGTCAGTTTCTTTTTATTTTTCCTGCCTGGATTGTTATGCTTCTTAAAATTATTGATTGCTGTCATTAATATATTTCAAAAAATTTCCAATAGCTATCTTTTTTTTTTTTTTTTTTGAGATGAAGTCTCACTCTGTCACCTAGGCTAGAGTGCAGTGGCATGATCTTGGCTCACTACAACCTCTGCCTCCCAAGTTCAAGAATTCTCAGCCTCAGCCTCCAGAGTAGCTGGGATTACAGACACGCACCACCAAGCCCGGCTAATTTTGGTATATTTAGTAGAGATAGGGTTTCACTATGTTGGCCAAGCCGGTCTTGAATTCCTGACCTCAAGTGCTCTGCCTGCCTCACCCTCCCAAAGTGCTGGGATTACAGGTGTCAGCCACCGCACCAGGCCCAATGGCTATCTTTTCAAATGTAGCCCTTTTTACATTCCCTCTCTCATTTCCTTCTAAACCTTCAGTTAAACCCATGTTAAATTTCTCACTGTATTCTCTAAATGCTTTACACTCTCATTTTTCTTATATTTTTGTCTTTCTGAGCTGCATTGCAAATAATTTCTCTTTAGGTATCTTCCAGTTCTTCTTTCTCCTTAATTTCAATTATTGTAATTTTTATTTCTAGAAGTTTGTTTCTTTTAAAAATGTACTATGTATATTGTTAGAGTTAATTTTTTCCTGCAGGCATTTTTTAAGACTCTATTTTATTTTGTTATAACTAGGAGGCATAGTTGTTTTATAATCTGTATTTTGTGATTCTAATATCTAAATTTGTGTCAGTATGTTTCTGCTGGTTCTTATGTTGCTTTGTTTTCTTGTGTGTCTGGTTATCTTTGACTGTGTGCTAATCATTGTTATTGAAATATTATCATGGGAGGCACTCTGAGGCCTAGGATAAATGTGTCCTACTCCAGAGTATTTTAGATTTTTCTCAGGAGGTTTGGGACATTCCCAGAGACTGACTATCTCAATCTAAATTAACAGTATAAAACTCTCCAATTATGTCTACATAATAGGAGGGCCGTAGCTATCCTGCCACTTCTCAGGGACAAGATTGTGCTTCAGTTTTTCTTATTTTCTTATTTTACATTGCTCATCTACCAAAACAGTCTTCTTTATATTTCCTTCGGTTTGGAGAAAGGCCACAAGTTTAATATCGGTTCTCCCTTATTCTTTATAACACTTTGGCCAGGACCTTGCTCCATTATTCTGGGTTTGATTGACCAAAGCTCAAATGTGTAGTATAAACAAATGACCTCAGGAAAAATGCAGTTGTGTTACTTTGATATTCAGCTTCCCTCACTGAATTCATATTCCCACCCCTAAAAAATATTTACAGTGGCAGTCCCACTGTCTTTTCAGACTTTCAATTCTTTTAAGGGGTAATTTTAAAAAGAAATATTTTATCCAGCATTTTTATTGTTTTCAGTGGGAGAATTGATCCAAAAACATAGCTTCTCATTGCAATCTACCTCACTTCAAGTTAAGTATGCATTTGGTTAATCAAGTTTGTGCTATTTATATAAATCTTGGTGGGAAAAGACTTCATAAGAATATGTATTGAAATTCTACAATGAACAGCTTGCTCGTTAGGGCTACATATAAGGCATAGAGATATAATCAAGATATAGTCTTTGCCTTATAAAATCTCTGCCAAAAAATAGGGTGAGATGAAATAAGAAACATAGTAGAGTTGTTTTTTTTTTTTTTTCCACTGAGATTTTGAAGAAGGCGAGCTCACATCTGTGAAAGATTTGAATTGGGCCTTGTAGGACCGTTATAATTTGAATATGTGGAGATTTGTAGGGAGGGAGTGCAGGGGCATAAAAAACATGAACAATGGCATAAAACTGAGAATGGACAGAGCCTGTGCACAACAAGGAGAAATGAATTTTTGTTTTGGTTTGAAGATAGGATAAGAGAAAAGGATTGAGAAGAGTTTCATGGCCTGAGATTTGCTGAGTGACAAATTTTTAATAAGTAGTGTTAGCGTTCTCCAGGTGTCTTCATTCTGGAATAATCTGTCATGGCTATTGTTTTAACAAACATATACTGAACAGCAGTACTAGTCAGTGGTATGTGTCTTAAAAGAGCCAGGCCTATTGTAGGGCCAAAGCAAGAGAGGATGCTCCTTCTTCGAGGCTCTTCATCTCATTTACTGCAGAAGTGAAAACTTTTTCCTCAAAAGCACCCACACTAGTGTTTGTTTCATCTGGTGCTAAAGAAGTACTAGAGAATCAGGAGTTGTCTGTTTGATTTATCTTCTCAGGCCTTGACTCACACTCCTTGTATTTTTCAGGTACACTTTCCTATTTTAGTATCAGTGAAGTATTTCAATTGACTCTAGCACTTCATTTGCAGCTTGACTCCTAAGTACCTGCTGTACTTTGTGATTTTAGAGCTTCTGCTTGATGTGTTCAGGAGGCACCTGACCATGTTCATGGGATTTGGCAAATCTCCATTTTTGGTTAAACAAAACCCATTTGATGGATTGCATCATAGAGAAGAAGCTCTGCAATTTAGAACATCCATTCATTTATTCTCTCAACAGTTAACAACTCCTACCAGGTGTCATATAATTTTTTTCTTTTTGTTTTGTTTTGTTTTTACATTAGGGGCAACAGAAATATTCAAATGAATAGTATATGATCCCTGCTCTTAAAGTACTCACAATATGGTAAAAGAGACATAATTTTGTATAGGTTTATTATAATAAAACCATGACTAAAGTGTTAAAAAATATTAGACAACATGCCATGGAACCATAGATTTAGCTATAGGTAGTCTTTTTCCAGAGAAACTATTGTTGCAAGTCATGTTCAGCTTAGGTATCTCTCCTTTTGTTCAAATATTACTGTTTGATATTATTATATCAAATATTATTGAGCATCTCTTATGTTTAAGTCACTACGATAGGTGTTCTGAAAGATAAAAAATGAACCAGACTGAAACAAATAGAAAGTATGGCCTTAGATTGAGTATAGTGAAGAAATGGATGTTGGTAGTTGTCCTAAAATGGCATGAACAGAGACATGGCGTCGTTTTATGATAACTCAAGAGAAGAGTGTGATTGCTTCCATTTGGACAGGATTTGAAATATATTCATGGAGGAAGTGACATTTGAGCACATTTCTGAAGGATGTATAGGATTTTGATGTAAAAGGGGGCAAAAGATATTTTATGTACTAATAAGAGAGTAATTAATAGTGAACTATGGAAAATTCTTTTTTTGTTGTTTATTTTACAGATGTATATTGATCTCTTGCCTTCTTCCATGCACTGTGTACTAGTCACTGTTCTTGAAATGTTTGAATGGGGGTTCCCTGAGGCCTGGAGTGAATATTTCCTAGTCCAGAGTATTTTGTGTTTCTTCTCTAAGTTGCCTGGGAGTGAGGAACAGCTTTAGACTAAGTTGCGGAACAGCATTGTGGAACAGCAAACAGTGTAATTTGGTTAGAAAGTCAGTGTGGAACCGGTTTAGGAAAGACTTTGAACAGGATTGGGAGAAGAGATCATTTCATTCTGTAGGTAATGTGGGGTTTTTGTAACCAATATGAAATATTCTCAAATTAAGAGAGACTCAGAGTTTTCAGAGACATGTTTAGGGAACTGATATATATATCAGTTGTCTATAAAATTAAGTCTCTCTTAATTTTGTGTATATATAACTTAAAAACACATGCAGGACTTGGTAAATTATCCGAGAGACATGTTCTAAAAATTTATGCAAATAGATGTGAGCAATAAGGCCTGAGCTCTTACGACAGAGAAAATTGTAAAACGGCTGTGTGTCATCATTTTGGCTCAATGCATTTAGTAAATCACAGGACATCTTTTCACTGACAAAATATTTTGATATTCTCATATGTCTCTGACCTCCAACAGTATGGCCATTTCTAAAGACGTTCTAGTGCAAAGAGAACAAGCAGAGCTATCCATCTAAGGAGAGCGAAAAACATGCTGTCCCAAGAACTAGGTGTGTCACCATCTCAGTGAGCACCCGTTGCAAACCTACTGGTGCTTCCATCTGACTCCAGAACATCTGTTTAGTGTCACACCCTACTTAAACAAATGCATTGTGTGAAGTCTTTCCACCAACAATCAGACGCTGTGGAACTCATTGTCACCAATTGGGTGGATGAGAGCCACCGTTTCTATTATATTCATCACACACTGCTCAGAAAATTTAGTGTCACTTTTGATATAAATTCAAAAACATTGTAAACATTTTAGGGAATATTTTCCCCCTAAAATGGTGTGGTTCTAAAGCCAGTATATTCAGTAGAAAGCCTATATGTTGGTTGTGTAAGGGACTTTTTTGTTACTCTTATGTTTTTTATTTTACATTGTACTAATATGTATTTTTAATCAGAGCCAACAACTGGCAATTTTTACTTTTTAAAAATTATATTTTTGGGTTTTACATTTAAGTCTTTAATCCATCTTGAGTTAATTTTTGTATATGGTGTAAGGAAGGGGTCCAGTTTCAATTTTCTGCATATGGTTACCCAGTTCCCCACATTTATTAAATAAACTATAAAAACTCTAGAATGAAATCTAGGCAATACCATTCAGGACATAGGCACAGACAAAGATTTTATGATGAAAATGCCAAAAGCAATTGTAATAAAAGCAAATGGTGACAAATGGGGTCTAATTAAACTAAAGAGCTTCCGCACAGCAAAAGTAACTATCATCAGAGTGAACAGACAACTTTCAGAATGGGAGACAATTTTTGCAATCTATTCAGCTGACAAAATTCTAATATCCAGAGTCTATAAGGAACTTAAACAAATGTACAAGAAAAAACAAACAACTCCATTAAAAAGTAGGCAAAGGACATGAACAGATACTTCTCAAAAGAGGACATATATGCAGCCAAAAAACATGAAAAAAAGCCCAACATCATTGATCATTAGATAAATGTAAATCAAAACCACAATGAGATACCATCTCACACCAGTCAGAATGGCAATTATTAAAAAGCCAAAAAACAACAGGTGCTGGTGAGGTTGCAGAGAAAAAGGAACACTTTTACACTGTTGATGGGAGTGTAAATTAGTCTGATCATTGTGGAAGACACTGTGGTGATTCCTCAAAGACCTAGAGTCAGAAATATTATTTGACCCAGCAATCCCATTACTGAGTACATACCCAAAGGAATATCAATCATTCTATTATAAAGACACATGCACGTGTATGTTCATTGCAGCACTGTTTACGATAGCAAAGACATGGAATCAACCTAAATGCCTGTCAATGATAGACTGGATAAAGAAAATGTGGTACATATAGACCATGGAATACTGTGCAGCTATAAAAAGGAATGAGATCATGACCTTTGCAGGGACATGGATGGAGTGGAAATCATTATCCTTAGCAAACTAACACAGGGACAGAAAAACACACTTATAAGTGGGAGCTGAATAATGAGAACACATGGATAGAGTGTGGGGAACAACAAATACTGGGGCCTGTTGGAGGTGGGTGGTGGGGAGAGGGACAGCATCAGGAAGAATAGCTAATAGATGCTGGGCTTAATACATTGGTGATGGGATGATCTGTGCAGCAAACCACCATGGCACACATTTAACTATGTAACAAACCTGCACATCCTGCACATGTACCCTGAACCTAAAAATGGAAGAAAAAAAATGTATTTTTAAAAAGTACAGTGTGATCTTTTGATGCATGTATACATTGTGGAATGATTAAATCAAGCTATTAACACTTCCATTACCTAATTTTTTGTGTGCAATGAAAACATTTAAAATATAATCAGTGATTTTTAAGTATATAGGATGTTATTAATTATAGTTACCATGCTGTACAATGGATCTCTAGAATTTATTATTCTTGTCTAATAGAATTTTGTACTCTTTGAGCAACATCTCCCCATACCCTTCCCCCAAACCCCCAGACCCTGGTAAGTACTATTCTACTCTCTGCTTCTATGAGTTTGACGTTATAAAAATTTTACTTTTAATAACAGAAAACTCTTCCAAGGCATTTAATGAACTATTAACTTTTCCAAACCACTCATTCAGCCATAACCTTGAAAGCAAAAATGGGCAACATAAAAGGCCTCATTAAAATAATTTGTTTTCAGCCTGGCCCACATATCGAGACCCTGTCTCTACAAAAGTTTTTTTTTAAAAGATTAGTTGGGTGCAGTGGCCCATGCCTAGAATCCCAGTACTTTGGGAGCCCAAGGCAGGTGGATCACCTGAGGTCAGGAGTTTGAGACTAGCCTGTCCAACATGGAGAAACCCCATCTCTACTAAAAATACAAAAATTAGTTGGGTGTGGTGGTGCCCACCTGCAACCTGAGCTACTTAGGAGGCTGAGGCACAAAAATTGCTTGAACCCAGGAGGTGGTGGTTGCAGTGAGCCGAGATCCCATCACTGCCCTCCACCCTGGGTGATAGAGTGAGACTCTGTCTCAAAAAAAAAAAAAAAAAAAAAAAAAAAAAAACCACACATGCACACATGGTGGTCATGCACCTGTAAGTCCAGCTACGTAGGAGGTCGAAGCAGGAGGATCACTTGAACCCAGGTGTTTGAGGCCGCAGTGAGCTATGATTAAGTCACTGCACTACAGGCTAGGCAATAGAATGAGACTCTGTCTCTAAAAAAATAAAACAAAATAAAATAAAATAAAATAAATAATAATTTACTTTTAAAAAATATTGTTTACTTTCAATATGAGTAATGAACACACACATTAATTAAATAATGCAATATATCTAATGCTCATTCACTGTAGTATGACTTTAACAACAAAATGAACTTATTTATGGAAGGAAAATGATGTGATTTAGCAAAAAGATGAAAATAGTTTCAATCAGAAAGCTATTCATGAATTATTGAGTATTCCGTGCAAAATGAATATGGAATGATTTTATCTTTGTAGAGTGAGTATTGAGCCCTTATTCAGACCCCTGCTTAAGAAGATCATGAAAAAATGGAGGGGCAAACAAAAGATCTATCAGCCTTAGACTAATGAAGGCATTTTAAAATCTCTGTTTAATCATTTAATTCTCATAATAGTAGTACTCTTGCCACATCAGCATGGTTATCATTGATGCAGTATGTTAGTATAGCTGTAGATTGCACCATCATATGGCCTCATCAAACATTTAATGATTAGGAAAAACAAGTTACAGTTCAAAATCTGGAGGATAATGGGTAGAGATGGAAATACAGAGAAGAAAAAAAGGAAATTAAAGTTCAGTGTTTTATTAATGTAAACTTTGGAAGGAAAAAATCAAGTGATCGATATTGCTATAAATGAAGCCATGTTCTCTGGTTATATTTTTTTCTAGCTTTGGCCATTAACTATAATAAATTCTGTAACTTACATAATTTTTAATAACCACAGAAATCCATGAAATTGACAGGATTCTTTACAAATGGATCAGAGCTTACTGTCCCTCAATAAACCTCACCTTAGGCTCTCTCAGAAAACTGTTTTAATTATGAAGCTTGTCTCTCTGTGGTTTATCATTTTGGCCAATGAAATGCATCTGTTTTGGAGCTTGCATTTCTCTAAGATAAAATGAGCTTTTACCCCACAGTGTATTTTTTAATTTATAGAGTATATGTATAGTCTTTCTTAAAAATTCACTACTAAATTGAAATGCTCTGAGAAGCAGTATCACATTAGGTAGAAACAGGGGCTTTCAAGTCAGATCACCTGGGTTAGGAATCCTAGGTTCATATTTTACTTGCTGCTCTAGTTTATTTTCAAATATTAATGATAAATTTATTTTCACATATTTATTGGCTATCTCAACTGCAATATGACATTAACAAGGGTGACTATCTCGTAGAACTATATGTGAGAAAATTGATGCAATGTGCCTCACACAGAGCAAACATAATAAATCTTAATTGTATTTATCGTTGTCGTTATTACTACATGAAGCAATAGAGTATAGTGGTTAGGAGTAGTGGCAGATGAGGGAAGGGTAAAGGGAGAATGTGGGAAAGATCTGCATGTGCCTAGAAGTCTTTTCGCTCACATTCCAGTGGTAAGTATAAATAATTGGCCACATTCTGATGCAAATGGGGCTGGGAATAAAGTCTTCAGCTGGCAAGCTGCTTCCCAATGACAACACAAGGCACTTGAAGAGGGAGCACAACACACATTTTGGTGGAGAACGATTCACCTCTGCCACAGCGAGAGCAGCATCAGTGGTCTCAATCCTGGTTTTCTGGAATACAAAGCCTGAATTAAGAGCCTGACTTTATCTGGGAGGTACAAATCCAGGACAAGAGAGTGAAGTGAAAAGGAAGTCAGGCCAGAAGTGATGGGCAGTGGTACAGGGATGTTACCATGTTGGCTCCCCACTACAATGAGCTTCAAAGAGACGGAGAGAAAAGGGTCTGCAAGTACGCTGGTGAAAGCTTAAAGCAATCTGTGGGAGGAAGGGAGCAGAAGAAGGAAAAGGAATTTATCTCCCATATTTCTTCCCATTTCCTGCACTTTTCCCATTTCCTGCACTTTTGATTAAAGTTCACCACCCAGAGTCTTCACTTGCCTGCTTCAGTCGGACCTGCCTCAGCCATGGGAGGCTACTCAGAAAGCCAGGTCCCACTCCTGCAAAGTGGCATTTCATCTAAAGTAGGAAGTGGTGGAAGGAGCCAAAGGCCCTTCTATAGTCTGGCAGCCTAGGGGGAAAGTCTGGTATTCCAAGAAGGTGGCTGGTCATTCTCAAGAGGTGGACTGCATTGCCCAGGCAGGGCTGGTCATCTGCAGGGACAGCTGAGGTTGACTGAGTGGATGACAGTCTAAGAGGAAACTCTGAGGAGGCACCTGAGACATCAAAAGTGTACCCAAGCTATTCACCTTGCAGAAATAAATTGCCTTTTTAATGTAAATGTAAGACTATATCAGTTGAGAAATATAATCATTATATTTATTCCAGCAAGATTTTGATTCAGAAACAAATACAATAGGTGCTCATTTCTTGAAAAGTGTAGAATACTTTCTCCTCAAAAACAAACAAAAAGCACATAACATTCTAGTGCCCACAATCACTAACAAAGGTTTATTTTTCTGAAAATGTGGTTTGATTTGGTCATGTAATATACTGAGAAATTTCACTGTAGAAACAATTTCTGTTATTATTAACATCATTTATATTCATATACATAAAACCCACATCTTATAATCAAAGTATCCTCTTTTATGTTGACAGGGGCCATACTTTAGACATTAATAAGATCAGGTATCCATTCAGCCCTCTTTCCTAAATCATTTTGCCCAAATGAGAATATATAAATGAGTTTTATCCTCCTCCATGAACGATTTTCCAGAATCAAAACCAGTTATGTGATAAAACTTAATTCCTCTAAACAGATTTTGTGTTTCGAGTTTCAAAATGATAAGGACAATCTGAGTCTATATTCTGGAATAGCAATTAATCCAAAATAAAAAATGGCGCTAATAACCTATTTCATAAAATCCGAGCTTTGTCTCTCTTTTTGAACCACATCTAGTAATAAGGGTAAGAGGCTGTGCGGCCAAATGATTTGTGGCCTGCGTATATGCCCAATCTTCATCATGGAAGCTATCATCAAGCTAAAGAGCATCTGGCCTTTGATATTTTCTTAATATACATTAAAAGACTATGGACCCCAAATATCCCATAAAGAAAAATGGGAAACTTAATCCCACAGGTTTAATCTAAGTCAGAGAAAAAAGTATTACAGAGAAAATACTCTTAGCTATTATTGGGAAATGGTGAAGATAGACGAAGAGAATAATAAAAATCAGAAGTGCAAGAGACCTAGGGTCAATTTTTAATGACTTCACATTCCTCTAAAAAAGAGGCTTTTATGTTTTATTGTCCAAAAGCAGTAACTCTTAAATAATTCTATTTAAGTATTTTAAAAATCAGTCATTTCTATTTTAAGTTTACCCCAGAAGAAATATGGTGTGTACATTCTTAGATTTAAATTCATATTTAGTCATTTTTTAAAAAGTGTATTTTTATAATGATGTAGAATATGATCCATTGGCATCATGCTGTTCATTAGCAGACTTTTTCTTGTGTTTTATAGCTGTAGAATCGGAAATATGTTTTCTATTAAAGGATTCTTTAATTTCAGGCTTCTTGAATAAAATCTTGATTGTCTTCCGAATAAATTCTACAACTTTTCTGAACTACTTATTCCAATAAGTAGTTTAAATGTTTAACATTTAAACACTGAGAATTTCTTCTAATAATCTCGATTCCCTAAAACTGCTCTTCAGGCATAGGTCTTTCTGCTGTAGCTTTGTGAAAATGAACTACTTATTAGGACCATTTTTACACAATCCTCCAGCTACTTATTCTAGTTTTCTCTTTTTAAAGCGAATATATTTATTATTACTTAAGAACTTTGTTTTTTTATCTGTCATACTTTTGAATTCACCCCAAATCTCTATTAGCTTTGATTATACCATATGATCAGTTCTTACTTAAAGTTGGTATAAAATGGAAATATTATTCCATATGTACTTCTCACTTTGTGAACTGTCATTCTGAGATGTATTATTTATTTTTATTTGTTAATGCATTGGAATCAATCCAGATATTTTTCATTGTCATTCTCTATCCAGTTCCTCAATTATTTCAATAGTTCACAAATAACTGTTGAACACTTATTTGGGGCCACTTTGCTAGATTCTGGAAAAATAAAGAACCATAAGTCAAACCCATTCTCTTACTGGATAGCTAGGGGAAAAAAAACACACCAAAAAGGAGTAGCAATGTGTGACTAACAAGAGTTGTAACACAGTATGTTTCAAAGTAGGGGAAATGGTGGAAGGAGTGAGTGACTACCTGCAGAGGGAAAATTCTCCCCATGGATATTTTTATTTTTTTAAGTTGTGTCTTGAAAATGAGCAAGATTACGGCAGATGGTAGGCAAGCAGGGTAGATTGAAGAGAGAGATAAATGTATTTCAGATGAAAAGAATGAATGCATACTCAAATCCCAAATGTCTGGCGTTGTGAAAACACATTGCATTTTGGAAACTGCCACGGATGTAGCGTAGCTGGTGTGAAGAATGGGAGAACGCATAGAACCGAGAGGGATGGTTGGAGGAGGACAGAAAGGAGCTCGTATACCTTACCAAGGGATTTGGACACTATCCCGTAGATAAATTTTCCATAATAAACAATGTGAGGTTTGTGTCTCACATTGAACGAAAAAAGGTCAAAATACAGAGAATGAATTGCAAGGGTTTTTGACTGGCCACAGAGGCAAGAGGTAGAAGAATTCTTGTGAGAGAAAATAAGAACTCTACTGAGGTTAAGGTCATGAGATGGAGAAAAAGGAACTAATTCCAGAATTCGAGACTTTGTGCCTTTTGATTATGGATGGTGAAAGAAAGGAGGGAGTTAAGAAACTTTCAGGTGAAGTGAGTGAAGGGATTATTAAGCAAGACAAGCAATAGAGAAAAGGAGGCAGGTAGGAGAAGAAGATAATGATTTCACTGAGGTGACTGTGCTACACTCTCATGGTAATGTAGAAAATATAATTCTGACACATCAGAGGGAGCTGGAGGCCAGAGGCACCCATTGAGGGGTCAACATATGGCAGGTAATGGGACAAGACTAGGGGCAAGACCAAAACCCATAGGAATCACATGAGTGAGGAGAAATGATGAGGGCCTAGAACGCTAAACCTGGGGTTACTAACATTTAGAAAGTGGGAAGAGGAAGAGGACTCAGTGGAAGAAACTGAAAGGGAAGAGTATAAAAGGTGAAATGCTTCCATGGCCAAGAAACAAGAGGGCTCTAAGGAGAAGGGCCAACAGAATCTAACAGTGCAGAGTTCAAGTCAGATGCAGATGGGGAACAAGGCATCAGATTGTTTTTGTTGACCTTAATGGTTAAGACATTTTAGAAAAGTCAAAGAAGGAAGTAAATATCAGACTGCAGTGTTGAAGAAGAGAATGGAGTCTGAGCAAACAGAGAACATGAATTGAGGAGAAGGACAAATCTGGCAATAACGGAAAGGAAATAAGTGAGATTGAGAAAAAGTGAGGGTGTGGAGTTGATGCTTGCTTTTCTTCTTCTTCTTTTTTTTTTTTAAACGGGTAATGAACATGGTTAGAGGCTGAAGGACACAATCTATTTGAGGGGGAGAAAGTAGAACGAAATGTGAAATTCTTATTCTTGGACAACTCAGGAAATGAGGGACAAGACTGGATGAAATTAGGAACTAGAGATAAATAAGCCTTGGGCAGAAGGAGTATCTCTTCCTCTGAGGCAAAGCAGGACATGCCTTGTGAGTCCTTTTTGTGCTTTATGGTACTGACAGGTCAGGTAATTTTGACACTCACAGAGGCCACTGTCCTGCCAAGGCATGGGAGTTTATTAGACAGATGGGCCAGTCACAGCCCCAGAATTTTGGGGCTGGAAGACAAAGTGGGAAATGACACAGGAAAAAAATGGAAAATGTGAATTATTATTCTTGGACCTGAAAAAGCCATTTTTAGGTGAACTAGTAGGAGGAAAAAATGAGTGTGGAGGGGAGGCCATGGATTCCATTGTGATCAAGAACTTTAAACTTGGAATCCGATAAAAGTAAATTCGTATCAGCTCAGGCACTTTCTAAGTACATGACCTTATGTCAAGCACTTGGCCGCTCTCTGCTTGGGTTTCTTCATGTATAAGTTGAAAGCAATGGTAATATTTTCAAAAGATTGTTGTAAGAAGTAAATGAGAAATCAATATTAAGCTTTCAGAGTGCAATAGAGGAAGCTATCATTAAACTTTATATTCATTTGTTTATTTGGATTACACAGACTAAGTATGAAAGTGGGAAGAGTTGTGACTGTTCCAGCACAAGGGCTGTGATCTCCATGAAGTCAGAACAAACCATTTCGTGGGGTGGACTCATAAGGGTTGAAGCTTTCAGAGAGCAGTGGCAAGAGGAAGAAGAGAAAGTGACTAGGAACACATACAAAGTATCTTAAGCAGAGTCAAAGGCCCAGCTGAAGAAGGTAGACATTATTTGTAATATTGCTACCCTAAGTAGTCAAAAGTTATTTCTCCAGTATTCGGGGATATGAGGAATATTATGGAGGGGCAAGCAGATGAGAGCGATATCCTTGGAGGAGAGGGCAGGTGGAGGGGGTGGTTGAAGTGACTGTGGAATCAGGAATATAGGACCTGAAAGGAAGTGAAGCCAGGAAGGAATTCAGAGACTGGGAGATTGCACAAAGGTCAATGATTTTAATAGCATCAGAAACACACGGATAAGAAAATCTCCAGAAATGGAATCTGTCAGATGAGCAGCAGAATGAAAATCACTGAAGTGGAGACAAGGTGAAGGAGTGAGATTGTAAGGAGTGCAAGAGACGGGCAAGGTCCTGGAGAGGATGGCCACAGACAGGGTTTGGATTGTGATAAACCCGTGCCAGGTACTGTGGAATTTGCCTTAGGAGGCTGTAGGGTAAACACACCTGATAGCAATAGCTTAACAATCTCTTTGGAATGACCCTCTATGGCAGACACACCTGAATGTGTGTTTCAAGCTAGGGAATCCAGGAACAGCTAACCTGGAGATTCGTTCCTTGTCCGTGAGGAACACCTGAGCCCTCATCCAGTCTCGTGGATCACAGGCTGCACAGGGGAATGAGGCTTTGAGTTTTGGGTTGGATGAAGGTTGCCAGGTGGAGGTCCTTAAGGGGAGGGCTTTAAGTGAAAATGCTATATAAACTGCATGCTGGTAGCAAGAGGTTGTGGTTTTCCTGCCCAGCCCTCCGCCACTGGGCTGTGGAGCCCGCTGCTGCTGGTGCATTCTTGTACGTGAGGTGTTTCTCCTGTCCAGCCTGGCACCACTGGCCTCTTTCCCCGGTATGTAAACCCTTAAAATCCCATATCTTGTTTGCTGGCTCTGGGTCTCGTCTTTGGCCTCTTGAACCTCAGCCCTATTGGGTTAATAAGGATTCAGCACAACAGATGCTGATGAGAACATTTTGAGATTGACAAAGCTAGATGATGAGAAAACTGTAAAAGCTTAGACTGTTTTACCCACAGGTTTCCTTTAGCTCTATAGCATATGGAGTTTGTAGGTAATTATACAGAAATCTAAAGCTAATATGAGATTTTTCAAGGAAGAGTCAGTATCTCCCTTATCCCTGGAGTTCAGGGAGCCCAGCACAGTGGGTAACACATTGACACATAGTAGGTGTGCAATAAATGTTAATTGAGTGACTTTGTGTAATCTCACATTTAATCCAAATATGAGTCCTTTGAACTGTTTCTCACTTTTCCAAATCACAAAGACTGCTTAACCATTTAAAAAAAATACAAATCTTAATTGCTATAAAATTGGGAATTTTAAGACACTAAAGTCTTCCTTCCAAAGCACAAAAGCTAGTTGCATTTTGGTATTTTTCCTTCATTCATGAATTCAGCAAATATTCATTGAACAACAACTATGTGCCAGGCACTGTTCCATACATTGGGAAAAACAGTAGAGGAAAAGGCAAACAAGGCCCTAGCTCAGGGAGCTTAATTCTAGTGGGGGAAACACAGACAGTCAGCATATAAAAATATATATGTTAATTTCAGTTAGGAGGAGGGCTGCAGTGAAATTAAAACAAGTAGTGGGATGGAGAGTAACCAGGAGTACTGGAGTACAGCTCTTTTATATAAAAGACAGTCAAAGAAGACCTCTGACAAGGTGACATTTAACTGGGAACTGAAGGATAAGAAGGAGCCAGCCGTGTGAAGATTGGGAGGTATTCCAGGTAAACAGGTGGTGTAAAGGACCTACGGCAAGATCACGTTTAACAGAGAAGGACAAAAACAAGATGAATATGTCTATTCTGGAGTCTAGTGAGAAAGCCATAGCTTTTCCCAAATTCTTACATGTTTTTAGCATATGATCACAGTGTCTATTCAATTTTTAAGGGCTGCATCATGGTTAAGAACAGTCTCTGCAGTGACACTGCTTGGATCTAAATCCTGGCCCCTCCTTTTCTAGCTGGGTAACCTTGAGGAAATTTACCTAACTATTCTGGCAGGTTTTCTTACCTACAACTTAGTGATGATAATACCTACCTCATACAGTTGTGAATGTAAGATTTCACAGAATCATTTGGTTAATATTTATTGCACACTTATTTTGTGTCCATGTGTTAGCCACAGTGCTGGGCCCTAGAACTCCAGAGGCAAGGAAAATACGGAATCTTCCTCATTTTAGCCTTAGACTTCTGTATAATTGCCCACAAACTCTCTATGATACAGAGGTTATACACTAAACGAATTATCAATAATTGTTGTACGTAGGTAAGTACCTGGAACATAAAAAGTGCTTCTTAAAATAATTATACCTTTTTAACCCCCTGACTTGACTGTATGGGAAAAATAAGCCATTTTGTTACGTACTCTTAATGATTATTTTCGTTGGTTCTGAGTATCCCCTAATGTAATTAAATCTATAAGAAGCATGTTGTTGTTAATTTTTCTACATCATAAATCACTTGACAAAGACTATCATTATCATGCTTTGAAATCTAAAATAGTGATCACCTGGGTGGCAGAGCGTGGGTGAAACAATAAAAACTTTTCACTGATCAAAATCTCTTTAAGGAGCATGGCTCATTTTGATGGGTTTCTCCTGAGGTTACTAAATAACAACAACAAAAAAGGTAGATATGCTATCAAATTCTATCCTGCCGGCTGGGTTTATCCTGTAGGAAAGTTATACAATGTTTCAAAAAAAAATTCAGTTGCCAGAAAAAAGTCTCATAATTTACCATAAAAAAACAAATTTCTGGCTTCTGAAAAAGCCTATTTATGTTGAACTTATAGAATTGGATATAATGGCTAAGAGGCAACAAACATGGACAGAATATGTTTTTAAAACATATTTACCATTCTTTCATAATTTCATGTTTTATCCTAATGTTCATAATGTTAAAAACATTGGCTAAAAATATAATAAGCTTCATATACTAAAATTCTGAAGTATTTTATGGACAATGACTTGAGAAAAGTATGGAATCTACAGAGAAACCTAGAAAATTTATCTGTGGAGAAACTTCTTGAAAAAATAGTAAAGAAATTCTCAACTGGTAAACTTTTTAAAAAATAATTGGCGGTATGGAGGTATGCCAATGTAAAGTTGTATAAGTATGATTAACTTGAATCAAGTGAAAATATGAAAAGACAAATGTGGGTGATATTCCTATTGATTATTGTGAATTATTGAAATAAAAAACATCTTTTAAGTAATACCCACATTGTAATTGTGTAATAGGAAGCACACATTTTAATCCTTTTGGTCTAAGTTAAATTTACCAAATGAAATTATATTTGTGTGTATAGTCTTAAAGTCTGAAAAGTGAATTTCTAAAAGGCATAGTTGACACTTAATAAATATGTATTGAATTTGCTAACATGTGAAACACAAACCTGAAAGGGGAATTGGAGATTAATCCACCTGCTCAATTTTCTAGATGATGTAGTCAGATTCTAAGCAACTCTACTATAGTCGCAAAACTAAAACTCTGTAACAGTTTTTTGCATTGCACTATGATTTATCAATTTTTTCTTTTACTGTTAGGTCTAAAAGTAATATAACTTAACATGCTTTTATGTTACTTTAGACATTGAAGAGCAATATTCCATATTACTAAATAGCAGATTTTAAAACTTTCATTATTCTTAAATTACTAAAGAATACCATCTCAAAATATCAGTATTCTAGATATTAATTTTTCCTATGGTTTATAGTTAATTAAATAATTTTAAAAATAAGTCTGTAATTTTAGACATTGAAAAAAATTAGGTCCCAAATGAAAATTCCTACAAATTAGGTTTCCCCTGGGGAAAACAAAAAAGGCATTATATCATAAATATGTATAGCTGCTAACTCAATAAACTCCTATTTCTCTGACATCTATCTACAGTGTTGCATCCTCTTATTCTTACTTCATTTTTGTGATTACAGAAAACTGGGCACAAACCAGAAAGTGTGGATTTGTGTGGAGCACACATTGAATGGGCCAAGGAAAAATCGAGCAGAAAGAATGTCTTTCAGGTAAGAATGTTACATATATTCAATTTATTCCTATTCTCTCTAAATCTGAGCTCTCTTGGGTAACTAAAATAAGACTACCTTCTTGTGATGTGCTCATGTACATGAACTCGTTGTCTGAAGGTCATGAAAGGCGACTCCTCTTCCCAGTTGAATCTTTGGTTTTGTTGCTTTTTTTCTGGCGACTGGTTGCTATCTAAACACAAAATGTATGTTGCACGTTGATTAATATAAACACACAAAAGTCATTGAAGTTTGCAGTATATGCGATAGATGTCTGGAGTTCAAACATGGGATGTTTGACTTAAGTAGATTTGATCTAGAATTTTCAGATGCACACAAACTAAGACTCACCAAGTATAAGCTATTTACATTCATTGACACTCTTGCCTTCTAGTCATTAATTACATTTACCAGTATAACTTACAAGAATGGAGAGGGCTGAACAGCTATAAAAAATAGATTCTTTCATATTGCTTACTTTAGTTTTTTGAAAAAAAAAGTTGATTAATAATTGCAATCATATTCGATTGAATGGCAAGAACCAGATGAAATCCTTGAGAGAGATAAAATTGGAAAATGTAATTTCACACGTTACCAAAATCACCTAATTGCGTGATTTATCTGGTAATTAATAATTTGAGATCTTGGAGTTTGATTTTTGTTCTATTTTATATGAAATTTAATTTTATATTTCCAAAGTAACCAGTAATTAGATATATTTTAGAATTTATATAATTTAGTAGAAGAGAGATAGAGTATAATAATTATTTTTTAAATTAAATGTCTTCTGAGAGCATGTTGGCCCTTGAATAAAAGTCAATTCTTCTACTCTTAAATGCTTTGCTGAAATTAATATTGGGTCCTATGGAAGCATAGGTAGGTGACATTTTCTACCGACACTCTCACTGAGGGGAAGAAGCTGGTTTCCAGTTCGGTTTGTATTTTCCAGATGCTATTCAGGTATATCCAAATAATTTGGGTCCATAAAATATTTTAACACATTCTAGAATAAATTACTTTTCTGGTTCTAGTTTTATTTTGCTTAGGTATAGAGATTTTTTATCAAACAAGAAAGTGAGAGAATATATGCAATTATTATTTGTCAATTAAAAATAAAATTTAAAAAGGAAGGAAGGAAATAAAAGGGAGAGAGAAAAGATAGAAGAAAACCAAACACGCTTGTCCTGAAATCAATGCTCTAAAGCTGAAAGTGACTAAAATGTGGCTTTACAGAATCAAGAAGGAGAAATAAACTTTCTTTCAAAGGGAGGAACTATAGATCAGTGACTTCCCCTTTCCCCCAATTTCTTACTCTTATTATTCTACCATAAATAACAGTTTAGAGGTTATAATTCTAGCCTTATGACAACTTAGATGATCAACATAAGAAGCTCTGAAGTAGACCGGGAAAGCTCAGTGGTAGAGCCTTATTATGTACTGTGAATTTAGCATCCTAATCACCAAAATTGTAAAAGATGTTGAAATTTGTCATAGACATTATTCTTGGACAATAGCAATTCTTTGGAGATGGGCTAAGCCAGCCTTTTTCAGTTTCTTCTGTTAATCTTATGAAGAGTTAAATTAGTTCACAAATGAGGATGACAGTCAGCTATATTTGATGCATACAGGGCTGAAAATATTGATGAAAAAATTATGTATATTTTTATATAACTATGAACATTATATGCACAGATAGACATTTCAGCCACCTATATTGACAGTGTGTATCATCCCAATCTTTTCAGGATATGACTAATCACCTCCTGTTGCAATTTTCTATTTGATTTTTATATTTTTGAATGTAGATCCTTCCAAAGATATTAAAAACTATTCTCACTTTTGGTAGCTTTCTGAAGGTGAAAATTTTGCCAGCTAGTTTTGTTTGTAATGTAATTGAACAGTTCATGGGGCCTCAGTCTTCTTACAGACGCTTTATTTTTTTTTAGTCTTGTACTTTTAGAGAAACAAGAGGTGATCATAAGGATATTGTGAATAACAAACCAAAAGAAAAGATTCAAGTTTCATGTTCTGTTTCATTCTTTTTGAGTGAATCCCTTGGTTTCCTTGTCGTGCTGAAATCTTTTCATCACCTAAATGCATGAGTTTTGGTAAAACTGACTAATACATATCCATAGATACAGACTATGAGAGTAAGCCTTTTGAGAGGAACAATATAAATAGCTTCTATAGTTCTGTTAACAAAAAAGCGTCGGGAAGGATTTGCCAGAGAGCTAAATCTAGATGACTTGCATCAATATTTGATTAGATACATTAGCTGGTCGAACTCTCAAATGATCAGAATAAACATGATTATGTCTTAAAAACATGGTATTAAGGCATTGTTGGACGTTGGAGTGTATGTGTGCAATGGTTTCATTACCTGCAGAATAATGAAGTGTTTCTTCCTGACTGAAAAAGACCATCATAGCTTCAGCTGATGTGCTACATTGGAAATAGCTTTAGAATTCCAAGTTTGAATTAGGCTTGGTGTTCAATCTCAGTCTATGAATTATAGATTACAGATAGCAAATGACTATTGAGATTTTTGGTTCAAGGAAAATCAAAGAAGAGCAAAATTAGAAATATTTTAAAATTTGAAATCTGTCTTTAAAAAGTTTGATGGATTAGCAATTGTATGCCATGTAATTACAATGTCTGCAGAGAAGTTGAACTTAAAATGAATAGGAAAACAAACAAAAAATTGTATGTGCCTGAGAAATGTTGCAAGTCTCAGAAGCACACATTTGTGACAACCAAAAATGGACAGATTTCATTTATTTCATTTGTTCATATATGCTGTTTGGATGTTTGAGTTGTTTTCTCTTTGTACTGAAATCCAAATTTTCCTTCCTAGTTGAAATCCTATCAAACTGTTGACATGGACTGAATCTTATTTGATTGCTATGTGGAAACATAACAATGACAACATTAATTATTAAGTTTTGGTATTCAACAACTTTCAGTAAATCAGAATGATACTTGCTAAGTTTAAGAATATCTGCATATTTTATAACAGCACACTCTTTGGCCTAATTGGTACTTCTTAACAATAAATAATAAAAGAATTCTATAATAAAGTATGTATTAGATGTTATAATTTATATTAAAATATATACATGAATATACATGTATAAAATATATATACTTATATACATAAAATATATATGCAAATATACATATGTATATATACTCTACCTGTGTGTATACACACCTAATAGCTTGACCTTAGGAAATAGAGTAAGCACTTCCACACACAAACACAGAAAGATAGTACACATTTATAAAAGATCATACAAATTCTAAGTTAAAGTGGTAAATGTCCATTGCTGCTAACTTTTGTTTAATTCTGCATTTATGTTCATTGTCAAGGACTGTCACAAGTTTGATGTAGTTCGAGAAACCTTTAGCAACTCAGCTATAACGAGCTGGGTACGCGTTTTCTTAGTTAACAGCAACACTAGGTCTTCATCAGGGATAGAGTGAATAAAAAGATTTATGTTCAAACCACATGTTTTAAACATTCCTGCTAAGTGCTAGTTTGCTCTTTGGTGTTTAGCCTGAAATTTAAAGCACTAAGGATTAAAAGGATTACAACATAATCTTAAATAATCCTAAATGTCATTTACAGAGAGATAGTTGTAATAACTAAATAAAACCATGTGAAAGGATGGCAGCATTGTCAGGCAGCCTCCCTCACACAAGCGGGGCTACTGTCACCTTCTGTTTCCTGGCTGGGCATGTTAGGCAGTTACAGTCTTTCAATAAGAAGTTCAACTGAGAAAATGGCTGCAAAATAATTTAGAACAAGTTTGTTTAAAAAAAAAAAAAACTCTTATATCTTGTTTCTAAGTTGAAGGAAATTTTTCAGTTAGGTTTTGTCTTTTCCTTTGAACACAAACCTTTCTGAGTTAAATATTTTGGAAAGCCTAGGGAAAGGAAGTTCGTGACATGGCTATCAAATAGACAACTGATGTATCTCTAAAAAATTCCCCAATGTCCAAGGAGATACCCCCTTATTAAATATGTGAGAGTCTCAGAGCACTATAATTATTTCCGTGTCATTAAATTTAGTACTTAAATATCCTTTACTTAAATATTCTGTCATGCAAATTAGTCTTGTCTCCCCAAAGAAAATACATAGAAACTATATCCCATACTGTCTTCTACTTATTAAGCCAGAAGACTGAACACTTTTTAGCTGAATAATTGTTACTGCTAAGGGTACAGTTGCATTCCTTTAATAAAACAAAACAAATTCACTCCTATTAAAAAAAAAAAAGTTATTTGTATCCACAATATAGGCCCTGTACTCCAAAATTTCCAGGGTGTAAAATAGGAAGTAAAGATGAAGAAGATAACTGTTTCCTGGGTCTTTTTCATTACAGGTTATAAGACAGCATTATTTATTTAAGATAATTAAATCATTTTTACTCTAAAAATTTACCTTTTCTTAGAGCCAGACAGTGACTGGCCTCAGTTTTCCTGAGCTTCCTTTAAAATAAAGTTTTTAAAAACATACATTGGGCTCTTCTATAGATTTCATGCTTTCAGTAGGATATTTCTGCCAATTAATAAATCATGGCTGATTAGGAATATGTCAATTACCTGTTTGCTGCTTGAAAGGCAGAAAAAATTAAATGACTAAAGAAGAGGAAAGTCTGTTATCCTCCCCCCGCCACCACCAATTTGTAACCTCAACAAATATCATGGTCACATTTCCTGGATTTGAGATTATTTTTCAAGATTCTTTTTCAATATATTAAAAAATAGATCTCGGGGGACAGATTCTGTCCCTAAAAGTAAACCTCGGAATAGATTTATTATTTATATTACTTCTCTGACTTTGGATGGAGTCTTCTGACTACAATGTATATTAAACTTTTTTATGTAATATTCTCCATGGATATGCATTACATTTAAACATAATTTGATCTTTCTGATCTGAATATGTCTTATCTTAAAATGTTTAAGTACTACTTAAGTTTATTAATGTGAAGATAATTTAATAACATCTTAAAAAAACATAATTTTAAGCCAAAAGGAAAACTACTGGTATTGTGCTTTTATCCATTTCCTTGTGTTACAAGTGGTGGTTTAAAATAAATCCGAGCTTTTACCAATTTTCTTTCATTTTTCAGTGCTTGTAGTTAGACTAAATGCAAAAGGATGATTCTTCACATTCATACATGCATTAGATTTCCAGTAAAGCTGGTTTCACTTTAGAGAATTAAAGTATCTTAAAAGACACGGCATTAAAAATAGACCAGAGTAAGAGAAACATTCACGTCTAACACAGTTGTTTTTTGCCCTACAGCTTGTCCCCAATCATTTCATCTACCTATTAGATATTCATCCAACATTCAGGAGGTGCAGTGGAGAGAACACATGGGTCTGGGGATGTGTGTTCCAATTTGGGCTATGTCAGTTGTAACTTTATGCAGAACTCACAGCAGGATCCTCCTCCAACTTTGTCACACCAAGGAAATAAGAGATGACAGTCCTCACCTCACCTGCCCATCTGTGTTAATACTAAAATGAAGCAATCCTGTATGTTTGTTTGAGAGCAACTACAAAGAAGTGATTTTAATACAAATACAGCAGACTTTCATTATTCATCTACTAACCACATCATCTCACAATGTTTTGAGGGAAATTCCAGATATGAATTTTAGAAGAATAGGGTTGAGAGAGGTAAATATCTGTGAAATGTAACTCAAAATTTCTGCTCTACTTCTGGTCTTTCTGTTGCCTTCTGAACTTAATAGACTGATATTTAATACACAACATGAAAATCTTTTTATTGTGTGACTAAGAATATAGATCCTTAATCTTATTTTTAATGTGCTATTCTTAGTGGCATTAATGTAATATCCAATTAATTAATCAATGACATATTCAAATTAATACTTAAAAGCATATCACCTTGAAAGCCCTACCAAGCTGTTAATAGAAACTTGCAAAAGGTAACATAGAAACAAGTGTAGCAACTATGCCCCAAGTGAAAGAGGGACAATAGTGACACTTATTACTCCCCTACTGAGGTATCAGTACAATACTGTTTTTCTGATTGAAGGGAAAGAGATATGATTATTTGTATGATGTTTAGCTTCACTTTTGTTGATGCGGTCACACAGATTTTGCACAGAGGGAGGCATAAAATTTTATAATTAGAGATTTGATTTAAGAATATGAATGTCAGGGGTATATAAAGATTGAGTGCAAATGATAGAATCTGGGGACAGGAAATAAAATTGATTGTAAGAATCTAGATGAGATCAAGAGAGCATGTTAGCTTTGACTGATGAAAGGAGAAACAGAAACAAGAAGATGGATGGAAAGTACATTCTGCAAATGAAGAACATGCCTATTGGTTCAGATAATGTGACTTGGGAACCACTGTCTTTTTGCACGTTTAATTTTCTAAGAAATAATAAAACTTTTTTAAAAAATATATTCTAGACATCTAGAATTAAGATTTATAAACTAAGTGTATCGTTAGGGAAAACAACACGAACTTTATGTTGCCTGGGTGATCCCGTGAAACTCACTAGTCAAAGCCTTAGACATCAAGGATGTATGCTCATTTGCACACCTTCATTGTTTCATTACTAGAGGGCATAATGCTGCCTTACTAGATTCATTCTTTTTGAACTATCAAAGCAGCATGCAACCGGATGACAGTAAAGATTGAAAATAGTAGTATTAGTACATTTTGGTCCCCAATTAGTGAAGGGAACCAAAATTTTGTAATTCCAAAATAACATAAAACAAAAGAAAAAAGTCAACTTGGCTTCTTCTGTTTCTAACATTTCAGCAGAAGAATGGATGCACGTCATCTAATGAACTTAGACAACTGGATAGCTCACTTCACATTGCCTTCTGGAATAGCTGGCTATGTGAGCTCAAAGATATGAGTTGTGCAGTTGGAATAAATTCTGGGTTTTAGTCTGACACCAGGCTAAATGCACCATGCTGTTCTTCATTTACCGACATCATATTGTGAATCCCTTCCTCTCATGGAACATATTCTGTTTCTTGATGATTTGGTAGAGCTAGTGTGGTAGTCTCTATGCCATCCATGGGCTCCTGTGGCTTGCAACGCACTTTCTCTGTTTTCCCATAAGCAGAATGAGACTAACTGAGCCACATGGAGATCAAACCTGAGACTTGACACGATGCACTCCAACCTGGGCAAAAGAAACCACTGCCACTGGGGAATTTTATGGAGTAAGGTAGAATCAACAAGTGTATGGTTTTTCTACTTGTTATTTTAATCTCATTTATAAAGTATAGAAAATATATTGATGCTAGCAAGACAATATTCAAGCCAAGGGATCCTTTTTCATATCTGTTTCAATATCTTTTATTTTTAAAGAGAGCAGCCATGTGTATTTCATGCTGTGTATGATTTTTAATAGCAAACAGACCTATTCCAGAAAAAGGAACAATTTAATCCCTAAAGCTGGTACATAATAGATGGGGCCAGTAAATGGTATCACATTTTACAGCTTGTCCATAAGGATGACACAGGATGAAATAAAATTGAGTGCTTTTGGATAGCATAGGATCACTGGCTGATAAATAGATGACGCTATTCAGTTTTTAGAAACATAAGGTAATGAAGCTGGATCTGAAAGCAAGAGAAAAAATACATATATATATATATGTATTCAGTGTTTATATGCCACAAGCCACTGAGCAGGAGGAAAATCTGGGCAGCGGTGAGCAAAGCTGAAACCTCAGAGCAATGTTTAAAGCAATATAAGAAAATAACAAAGCAAGCATCCATAAACAAAGGCTTGAAATGCACAGAAAAATAAGTTCAAGATGAAAGGAAAATGCCCACACTTATGCATAACTGGAAAGGCCACTTATGGCATCTATGCATAGAGTCTCTCAATGTAAGAGTTAAACATACTACTAAACATTTAGCAGAAAAAAAATTCAAAAGGATATAAAACACTGCAGGGCAGTTAAGGATTCTTGGTATTTGAAGAGGGGAGGAGGCTGCTCTTTTATCTTAACAAAACAGGATGTTGAGAGGTGGCCTAAGTGAAACAATGAAATGAAATGGTTGATGTTGGGGAGAAATCAGGAAGGAAGCTGTTTGAACTCTTTTCAGATAACACTGATGGGTATGAGATGGCTTAACCAAGGGAGAGGTGTTCACATGGAGGGTTTAGATGCATTTCTTTTTAGTAGAGAGCTATTAGATTCTTGACCTCAGCCTCATCAATTTACCTAACATTGCATTTCCGGCACTGGGAGAAATTCTAACAGTCTCACTTTCTGGGTGAACAAGTGTAAACTAAAAAAATTACAGTGGCAAAATTAACAAATTGCTGAAGCACCTTGAAAACGGAAATACCAATAATGAGGATTCCTTTCCCAAGTAACTTAGAAAGACCTTGATTGTGGTCTTTTTTTTTTTCTTGAAGTTGAATTTTAAGCAATGCTTCATTTTCAAAATTCCCATGCCCTTGATCAAGTAAAAGGCAAGCTTCTGATATTTGAGATCTGCGATAGATTTGAAATCAATTCATGGAAAGGGAGGTTACGAACATACTCTTTTGATGTGTAGGATGTACTGATAGGGGTGGCAGAAAATTATGTGAAACCCTTCTCTTTTGACAGCTATACTGGAACATTTACAACCACAGATGTTATTTGTCCATCAGAAAAGAAAATATTTGTTTCAAGCTTCAGGCATTTTCTACTACAGTATCAATATGAAATTCAACCTCAATTTAATGTTTAATGCATATGAAAATAAATATTTGGAGGGGGCAAATACTAGAAAACAATTGAACCCCACAAAATGTAACTAGCAATATGGAAAAAAATGCTGGCTTCATTACGAGCAAATTTGTCCTTTTACTAAAGTAAGGATTGTTCTATTATTAACATAGGAAATCTTAGATGGACTGCAAAGAATGCTGCATTATTCATAAAAGCATTGCTGCCATCTGGTGGCTACTTGGCATTTCAACACTGGCTTCTCTGATTCGGTTTGACTGGGTGCTCTCGGGAGGTATTTAAAGAAGAGCTTTAAGTGGTAAAATATAAATGTGGACATCCTCTGGCCCTACATGTCATTCATCTGATGGCAGTCCTTTCTCCCTGTCTTGTCGTGGAATGGAGGATTCAGGGAGAGGAAATGAGATACTTGGATATCTTTTGTCCTGAATGTGAAAGTGTATTTTACATGGCTTATCTAAAGAAGTTACTCTTGGCTGTTGTTGACTGATGAATTTTATCGACATTCATTTCTGTTGGCAAATAAATAAGTATATACCCAAATATTAAGAAGGTTTATTGAATCTAAAGATATGCTATTTTGCTTAAATAAGAATATACATGAGATGCTTTAATCCCTCATTTGGATCTAAGCATGAATTTTTTTAAGTTATCAGTCACTGAATTTGACTTTAGAAATAATATAATTTAGAATGTCAAAAAAGAAAATGTACAGAGGTTCATAAATTTCTTCCCATTTATTCAATTGTTATATTAAAATGGGAGGATTGTTAATGACTCAGAAACTCGTAATCCTTCTTCATGAATTTTCAAGTTAAATGACAAATATTATTCAGTTCACATCGCACTTTTTGTTGAAAATAAAATAGTTAAAATTTAAGAAATTTTGATGATTCTCAAGCATCAGTGTATTAACTCATTCTTAACAAGAACCAATTAGAATTAGGATATCTCTGTAATTTTAGTACGGTTTTAAGTTTCCAATAATCGTAGAAAGTCTCCTTGGTATGTAATGAAAACCTTGACCCTTTAAATGGCTATTTATATAGATCACAAGTCTTTGAAGATTATAGGAGATAATGAGTTAAAATTGCCCCAGGAGGAAAGCTGAAGTTTTCTTCTGAATTCTCAGGGATGATATTTAATAGTTAATATTCAGTTTCTAGTGAATATTTCCCTGTATCATTAAACTGCCTTCTGATTTAGTAAAAGTCAGATAACAAAGAACCATTACACTAAATCTGGAGAATTATATACTGAATTAATATTATCCTTTACAAGAAAATGTGGAAATGCCTATATTGAAAGTAAGACTTTTGGGTTTTATTTTTAAATTTGTGGGTAAGATTTTCAATCTGTGAATACATACTTGATATTCCCTTTGTTACTAGCTATTTCTACCACTAAAAATAATTCCTTCTTCAAAATATGTAATTTGGCTTATGGAAGAATGTTGCTCATCTTCTCTAGGAAGATGGCTCGATTCCCCATCCTTCCTCTGTTCTCCATTCTACTCACATTTAGGAAGGATATGAACAACAACAACAATAAAACCTTGCAAAGAAAGTAAAATCGATAATGATTATATCCCTGTCTCTTTCATCTGTAAGTATAAAATTTCAACTAAATTATTCTCCTAATAGACTTGGATACAACCCTGTGGTGGTTTCTAATGGCTCCATAATAGAGATAGTAAACCTTGTAGCTATGGTCAGGATGCCCTAGGTTTTAGTCATAAGTTGCTAATGTTTGTTTCAATAACATTTGCTCTTTGGCAGCTTTTACAGCTACTTAACACTAAATTCCCATTTAGTCAGGAGGATCATTCATATACTGTAATGAATGATGTCACCTTAAATCCTTTACTATGTAATTGCTGGATGTTACATTTTATAGTGGGGCATTTGATGGTGTATTTGTTTATGCTAAATTTTATGACAGTGACAGCTGTATCTTGGAGGAATGACCTTTTTTTTTTTTTTTTTTTTTTTTTTGAGACGGAGTCTCACTCTGTCACCCAGGCTTGAGTGGAGTACAGTGGCACCGTGTTGGTTCACTGCAACCTCCGTCTCCTGAGTTCAAGCAATTCTCCTGCCTCAGTCTCCTGAGTAGCTGGTATTACAGGAACCCACCACCACACCCGGCTAATTTTTTTTTTTTTTAATATTTTTAGTAGAGACGGGGTTTCACCATGTTGGCCAAGCTGGTCTCGAACTCCTGATCTCAGGTGATTACCAGCCTTGGCCTCCCATAGTGCTGGGATTACAGGCCTAAGCCACGGTGCCTGGCCGACCCTTTTCGTTCATAGGAATCTAGTTTCAAATCTTTTTAAGCAAATAGTTTCATCATATTTGCCTTCTGGCTTAGGCTAGGTTCCCCTGAAAGAAAAATTTGAGACTAGGAATTGTGTGCAAGCAGTTTATTTGATTGAAGAAAGCAGAAATTAAGAACTAGCAAGAGTGAAACAGAAGGAAGAAAAGCCAATGCAGAACCCATTATTGAGTTGGTCATAGGGTAGCTAGGACAACTTGCCAGAATTTTCCACCCAAGGATAGACAAGATGAAGCATTTGTTCATTAGCTCCTGAGCCTTTGGTTTCTGGTTGCCTCTGGGTGGGGATAATGTCTTTAGATCTTGAGTTTCAGGCTGTTCATGGGTGGGCGTGTCAAGAAGGCTCTTTCAGGTTTCCTACCCTGTAGAACCAGGAAATATCCACAGCAGATAGTAAAAGATGTGTAACGCGTGCTGAGGCAAGATGCAGTCAGTACAAAGGAGTTGAAGTCCACACAGAACTGTTGCACCAGCTGCAGCTGTAGTGACACCCACACAGCTAAGAGGATGTGAAGCAGGGCACAGGAAGCATCTGATGCAATTTACCGCTTGCAATATTCAAATTTACTTATCTCATGTTAAATCTAATCTGTTGCCATGTCTTCAAAATGATGGCTGGCCTCAATCTCTACAAAAGAGCTAATAAAAATGTTTTTGTTTAAAAAATAAAAATAAAAAAGCTCCACTCCTCCACTGCAACTGTGTATGAGGCCATATTTGATATTTATCATCTACCACCTTCACTCATTCTAGATTTTCCTCATCCTCAGCCAGGAGGAGTTTAGTCGGTTTTGTTTGTCTGAAGGAGTCAATCGGACCTTTGTATATGCGGGGTCTGAACCTTTGATTTTTTTTTTTTTTTTTTTTTTTTACTTTGTCACGCCCTGTTCACTGTAGTTGACAGTTCACTGCTCTCATCAGGCCTAGATGTACCACAAGACATCTCACTGAATCATCTGACTTCCAGATTCATTCTTCCTCCTGCTGCTGTGCATATGCAACCTTACTTTCTCATTATAATTAGGGTCAGCTATCCCCATGAATATAGTAGCTATTTTAGTTGCCCTCTTGTACACATCATGAGTATCCATAGTTACCATGCAGTGGTCACAGCTTTGAGTTCATGATACTTACTAATCCCTGTTAGAAGCAGAACTCTCCCGTATCCCAAGAATAAGAATATCTAATTCAGCAGAGCCAAAGTTGCAAAACCCAGAAGCATACATGCTGCAGATAGGTTACTACGGGGGCTACTCTTACTCCTACCTTTTGGTCCTTAGACCCACATATTCCACCTACTGGAGACACCATGTCATGTAACATCATGTATCAATGGTGTGCCATGCATTGATTCAGTGAATATACTGCAACTTGGAATATTGAACCCCCAAAAAACAGGATCCTGTCTCCAAACTACTACCTAAGCAGACACTTTAAGAGGCCACTTCATTATTAGATCAGGTTGATTTCTTCCAAGTGATGTGACATTTAGTAAGAACGGCAGATCTTAAGATCACGTGCCTGGTGTTTCATTTCCCTCATTTCCTTGATTTCAGGCAAGATCATGAATCACCCCACATTGCTAATTCAGCATTCTTAAAGATCTGGAATGGTAGGGCAGGCAGAGACACCATAATCAGAGAAAGCAAACCCATAGAATGAATCACTGTTCCCCCAAGGATGGAAGGGGTCTGATGTTGTCAGTTTGCTGTCAAACACCTGGTTTGTCCTGAAGGGGTCAGTATCTGCCTCTGCTGCTGGAAGATCATGTAATCAGTGGTAGGTAGCCTTGGGGAGAAAAAGCCATGATGTTGAGTGTGTGCAGCATCTCCATCTCTGCCACATGGCCACTCCACTCATGGGCCTATTGTGCATGTTGTAAGTGACTAAAGAGAGGCTAAAGAACTTCAACTGACCAGTCATCTGGTACATTGGCTTACCCTCTGGTAGATGTAGACAAGGATCTGCATGCTCTGGATACATTCTTATGAATCTTCTAACATTTCCCAGGCTTCTTGTTTCTAATCTTTCAGACTGTCTCCTTCCAGGCCTCTAAAGAGCAGGAAAAGTCACCTTCCATTGCCTGGAAATCAGTCTATATTCTAACCTCAGGCTACCCTCCTCTCAAGATGGCTGCTTGCCTCTCTGTCCTGTGGGAGGATTTCTCTTCACCACAGTCCTATAAGATGACTGGGTGGGTCTACGGTGAAGCTGCAGTCTTTTTTTTTTTTTTTTTTTTTTTTTTTTTTTTTTTTGTGCTCACCAACATACTGAGCTAACCCATCCATGAATCAGGCTTGAGGTTTTTTTTCATCATTCATCAGCTGGCTTCAAGCATCTCCATGAAGCCCTAGGGGTGAACTCAGGGAGAGGCACCAGTGTTAACAGTGACAAGAAAAATGGGAATTTGAGCCATCTGTTCATGGAACTTTCTTAATCCCTCTAGACCTGTTTAGGCCAAATTCTGAATATAGCATTTCAATCCATGGATTGTTGTCCACTCTATGATTCAGTGAATTCAAAAATACCCAGGTCATCATGAGAAGCTGAAGCCATAGAGTTGTCTGATGTCATATAATTAGATATTCCTTCTCTATTCTGACCCAGCAATAGGCCAGAAGCTACTTTTCAAATGGGAAGGATATTTTTGCTGTGGAAGGTAAGGCCTTCCTCCAGAACCTTAAAGACTTTCATTGTGAGGCTGTTAGTATAACCTACCACACACTCCACAGTAATATTATATTTCACTTTCTCACTAAATTTTCTGAATCATATTCCCAAGAGTCAAGGAGCTCACATGACAGCCTGGACCTGCTGCAGGCATTGGTAGTTATGAATAGCCACCCTGGTATATGAATGACATTCAGAAATACTCCTATTGTCCAATCTACTAACTTATCTAGTAATGACAGTCCCGGGCTTGTGGTCATATCACCCTATGAGAATATCTGAGTGAGGCCCAGATTCCTGATTGTCTGCAAACAGTGGCAGTTTTAAACCACTAAATATTGGGCCGGTTTGTTACAGAGCAATAGCTAATTGATACAAGTAATATGTCTACAAATACAGTAGTTTGATTTTTACAAGAAATGGTGACATATTTGAAAGTCAAGTTCAACCGGTATTAACGGACCTTGGAAAAAAGATAATGAGACCACAGTTCTTGGTGTCAGCTTCTAATAATTAATTACCAAGCACTAGCTCCATAGAGGCTTGTAGAGAACATGCAGGTGGTGCCATTTCATCTGGTCATGTAGCTTTTCTGTTACTCAGATTGTTTACAGAAATAGCTGCCTAACAAAGTTAACTTCTAGGAAGGATGCCAGGTTACACGGAATCATACCAGAGTCTTAGAATCACATTGGGCTTTCACCCAAAGTTTTTGCAACATTAGGTGGAGGCAATATAATTTGGCTTGAAAAGTTACAAGGGAAAAAAATGTCAGAAAATGCTCATGGAACAGGGTGTTCAGAGTCTTCAAGATAGGATCTTTCTTGGCCTCCTGAAAATCAGAGAAAATTGTATATCTGTGATTTTTTTTTTTTTTTAATAGAACGACCCAACAGAATCCAGGGTTGTCACAGATCATTATTAGGCCAACAACTGTAGAAGTTCTAACCCCAAAATTGAGCTGTAAGACATAGGAGCAGATAGAGCTACAGTTGGAAAATCTAAACATAGTCTAAAAGTTTTGGCGCTTCAAGAGCTTCTGGGGGAAAGAAAAGAAATTTGATTTCTGTGTTGCTGATGGAAAAGCTCAAAAATTACCTGAGAAAATTGTATTTGACATATTTTTATTGCAAATGGTATTTTGCTATTTGTTTCTAAAAGTTGAAAATGACCTTGCACGTTAAAAATCATCAGTTTAGAAAAAATATGAAGTCTGTTTGCATTTGGAATTAAGTATTCCAATAATTTCTTAAATTTAAAAACTACACATAGAAAGTGTTATTATTATTTTGGAGAGTTTTCGTAGGATATTCCAGGCCAATGATACTTATCTGGGTAAGGTGAACATGCAATTCTTAGACTTGCCTTTGTTAACTTTTAGTTTTTTTCCTTCCCAAAATATATAAACAAAAAGGTTTAACTTATTTCTTTCTGAATTTTTCTGACATAAATAAACCCAAGATAAGCATAGTGTATTCATGTTAAAGCTTCATAACGCTAAGTCTGTTCTGTCTTGGACTGAAAATTTATTTGAATTCCTTCAATTAAATTAAAATTTAAAGTTTCAATAAAATATATTATTTCTAAATCTATTTTAGGTTAACTTCAGGAATAGAAACTGATGAAAAACAGGGGGTAAAATTATTCAGTTACATCAAACTCTAGGTGTTAAGTGATTTTTTTTCAGAGTTATTTTCGAAACTGTGTGTTCAGTTATTACTTTTTCATAGTACTGAGTAGAGCTCCAGAAACTTGGAAGAGTCAGTTTTCAAAAATATCTAATTTATGGTTAGGAAACTGAATAACAGTCAACTATTTCCCATTGTTTCCCACTAAGTCCTTTGTTCCACAGTTACTTTAAATAAATTTTCTCACTTCATATAAAATGCCCTTTTGATAATACTGTCAATTTATCTTCTAAAGTCAAGCAAAATTAATTTTTTCAATATAATACAAATCAAACTATGGTGAAAATTTCAGTGATAGGAGAAGGTAGCTGAAATATATTTCAAGTACAAGCTCTAAGCAAGTAACTAAGACTTGGATTATGTAGAGTGCTTACTTTCTATTGGTGAATACTACTTTGCTGGGCCCCAAAACAGGGCAGACTAAAGGTGGTTGGTAGTTGCCATTGTATGAAGGTAGATTGCTTTTACAAAAGATACAATTTGGAAATGATATGTATCTATGATATGTTTCTTATTTTGTTCACTTAGCATATTTAAGTTTACTTATTAAAAATGAAACATTTCTGAGATAATTTTCTATTTTAATGACTCCAATCTGATTTAGAGACAGAGAGATAGAGTTCTCCTTAAATTATTTTGCATAGGGTTTCCATTGTATGGACAAAATTCTTATGCTTTTTTTCATAAACTTTGCTCAGGATTCACTCATGTTTCTAAATAAATAAAAGATAAATAAAAATAAGTTAATGAAGAAAATACTAACAGGACAATACAAAGGACCAAGTATCATTGGAGTTTTGGTTTATCATAGTTCCATGTATGGCCCCTGTATCAGCCAAAATAGGCTAAACTATGCTTTGAGAACAAATTTCTGTTGTTCAGTTCCATACTGTCTTCAGTCTGAGATCCAGGTTGATGGAATAGTCTCTTTCTGGAAGGGTGTGACAAGCAACATGTTTGCCTTTAAAGCTCTTACCTGAAAGTGGCATATGTCACGTCTGTCTTCATTTCATGGGACTAAGGAAGTCACAGAGCCAACAAAGCACAAATGCATAATCCCTCCATATGTACAGTGACGACAGGAAGAAACACTAGTTGGCATGGTAAAGAATTGTAGACCCTACCACAGTCCCTACACAACTAAATATTCAGATCACCTGCTCAATCTAAATAAAGGTTTGCCATAGTTGTTGTTGCTGTTGTTTAAATGAGGCAAACTTTGATAAAGCCATTCCAGAGATAAAAGCACATTTAACATAATTTATTGAGTACTTGTAATTGATGGTAACATAATGACTGATTTAAAAGAACCATTCAGCTCCTTTGATAAACACTGTTAAGTGTCAAGTTATTCAACAACATATGTCAACCTGCATGCCGATTCATATCTATTTTTAAAATTTGGAAGTGTTGGGAATATGGGAAATTTGCATCAATAATTATTTAAGTCCAAGGCAGATGCATAAATTATAGGAGCTGAAGGTCAAAGAATTCAGGGTGAAATAAGTATTTTCTGAAGGTGACAAAAATGAGGTAAGGGTTGAAAAGTATTTGCTTTCAGTAATTGAAATATGTAAATGGGTTTAGTCCTTTTTCCAATAGTAAATGAATGTATGTTATACATCATCAAATGAATTGGTATTCTATTCACAGATATTTGTATACCATTTTTAAAGATATAAAGTGCATACATATCCTACATAAATGTTTTTGGCATGTTGGGAAATGCTCTGCTGAGAAGATATGCTGTTGAGTATCTTTGTTATTGGAATAATTGTTTTTTGGTATACAAATATTTAGCACAAAAAATATTTTCTCTAGCTAGTTTTATGAAATATATCCATGTGGGCATGTATACTAAAGTGATAATATTAGAATGGATCACAGATAGAATGATGGCCATTAATGTAAATTGCTCAATAGAAAGAAAACCCCACATTTTGCTTGGGAAAAAACCATCTGTATTTTCAGAATGAGGCATAAACCTCATTTTTAATGCTCTAGATTTGTTACAACAAGTAAAAACTACTCTAATTTTAGCAAAAGTACCAACTAGAGTCAGTGAAAAATGATTGCAATTCAACTCTATGTATGTAACTATCATGGCAAACTAATTTTATAGAGTGTAGTTTTTTTTTTTTTTCCACTTTGAAGAGATTGGTGTTAAATCCTATTTTTCTAATGTAGAGCATATTGGTTTAAAACAACAAACAAAAAGGCCCTCAAACAACAGTCCCAGTAAACCAAGTTGCAATTAGCTGCCACTCCTGGGAAATATTCTAGGATATGTGGCTGGCACTTGAAAAATTTACACCTTCTGAGGAAAAGCAGAAAAATTCTGTCAAACAATTAAACTGATTGGAATTCCCAAGAATATAAAAAACCAAAATGAGTCTTATGTTAGAAAAGAATGGGAAATAGTTCTATATATGGCTGCAAATTGGAGCAGAACAAGTAAAAGATTTTTTGCACCTTGTATAAATCATTTTTTTTCTTTAGAACAAATAGGAAAGTCAAGGAAAAACTCATTGTACTAGTTTATTTTTAAAAATTACACGTTAGAGTTTGAAAATGTAATTAGTTAAATTACCTCAAAATAGCAATAGGACAGAGAGTTGTTAGTAATATTTTTGGATAAATGTATGAGATGGTTGTTAGATCTATGTATGAATATACATTGGACAACCAAGTTGGTTAAAAGTAAAAATCCGTATATTACTGTTAAAGAATGTAGAAAATATCAAGATGAGAAATATTCAAATTAAGAGTAAGATAGAAGAAGAAATTGGCACTTCTAAGATTCAATTAGGATAAACTCTTATAACTTTGATTAAAAGAAAACTATGCAGTACAATGGAAAGGGAAAGACCCTATTGTATCTGCCTTTCCTAAGTAAATATATTCCAAAGTGTTATAAAAATTTAGACATCTTAGATTCTCAAGGAAATAAAATGTTTTCTTGTTTAAAACGCTGTGTGTTTGGCAGATATCTTGAAGAAAGAGAAAAGACTATGGTTTGCATGTTTCCTATGCCAAATATTTCTATGCTAACATCTTCAAATATGGGTTCATTACGTTCAAATTCCCTAATTTATATAGAAATTAAAAGCTTATTAAAGTAATGCTTCTCAAACTTTTCCATTAATAAGTCTCTAAAGAGAGAATAAAGTACTTTGAAAGTCTGGAGAGCGGTCAGAGATAAAGATATAGATTTAGGGATTTTCAGAATTTAGATGATATTTAACACATGAGGTTGAATTTTTGCCATTAAAGCTGTAATTTTTGTCACATATAAAAGAAATGAGTCTTACGGAAGTCATGATCCTTACAATCAACTTGCTCTTCAGTTCCTAAATTTCACTATCATAGTGATTTGATTGTATTTTTTATAACAGTACTCCTTTTCAGCTGATGGCAGAGACTCTTGATCTCTGAATTAATATAGCCTCAATGAGTCATCCTTCATTAGTAAGATGAAGAATGAATTCTCTTTTACCCAATTAGGCTCTGAGCATTTTCCATGAAGATGAAGCACAAAATAATCCTGAATTTTAAATCTCTGAGTTGGTTATGCATATACACCTTCCAATTGGAAAAAGTGTTTCAAATCACTTCCTATAAGTTATAAATGTGTTAGTTTTTTTTTAAGTCAAGCTACTTTTAAAATATTTATTTTTACTATTTCTTTGATTATACTGAGAAAATCAAGAGGAAAATTATTTAAAATAAATCATTCTCAGGGATATACTGGCCACAGGTTTATGATACCAATCTTGCAATCATGCCTATTAATTGATAAGTGTACACATCCCATTACATGCAAGTATCAGTACCTTTTTTTACAGAAGTTTTCCAAAATGAGGTACATATGTTTTGTTGAGGGTTTATAAGAAAAATATTTCTCCATTAAATATTAATCTGTGTTACTTTTTTTTGTTTTTTAAAAACAGAGTCTCGCTCTTGTCGCCCGGGCTGGTGTGCAGGTGTGTGATCTCGGCTCACTGCAACCTCCACCTCTCGGGTTCAAGCGATTCTCCTGCCTCAGCCTCCTGAGTAACTGGGACTACAGGCACGCACCCCCACGCCTGGCTAATTTTGTATTTTTAGTAGAGATGGGGTTTGCCACGTTGGCCAGGCTGGTCTCTAACTCCTGACCTTAGGTGATCCACCTGCCTCTGCCTCCCACATATTCTTAACCAACTACATATTTTTTATGAAACTTCATTTGATTTTAACTTTGCTTAAAATGTTACCACACAGTAGTCTTCAACCTTGTAGACATTTCTGTTTTGCTTTGAATATGATCTTCTTGGTATTTACAATTTAAAATAAAATTCTTACCCATCCTGATCGGTAGCTTTTCACTTGTATTGCCTATTTTTGAAAGAACTTCAATATTTTTTAGCATTTAGCTATTTGACCCATTGGTGATATTTAATATGTTCATAATTTATTTTGCTGTGTAGTATGAAGTAACTCAAGTACTCTGCACATTCAATATCATTTGGTAATTAATGAATTGCTCTTCTAATGTTTCGTGATGCTTATTTGTAATTACATACTACTTTCCTGTTTAAATAAATGTATCTCAGAGACATTTTATTTCTTTGGTATTGACATAGTATTACTGTTTTAGTTATTTTAAACATATAATTTATTATAACTACTAGAAAATCAAGTCTCCTGGTCAACTTTTTCTTTTCAAAATATCTCAATATTGCTATAGCATTCTCAGACTGTTAGTATGGTATGGAAACAACCTGATTTTGGCTTTTGTAAGTAACCTCTTTGGCACTCGTGTTTATATCTTCATTCAGAAAATGTTAGAAAAACATATTTATCAGTCATATTCAAAATATTTTAATGTATATTCAAAAACATTTGAGGTCAAGTTATTTGTGTTAATGTTCATATCACTGATCAAGTTATGTTTTTCAATCTTCACAAATTCACACTTTCTGTCCAATAGCTCCTCTCCATTTTTCATGTGTACCATTTCTATCTCAAAATTTCCATCTGTCTTTCTTCTGTATTAGAAATTGAAGTTTCTCCTTTCCATTGTCAGCACAATTTTATGCACTATTAATTATGCTCTTTTCTTTCTTTAATAAAGATTTTAATTCTGCTACTGTATGTAGATTTCTCCTGCATTGATTCTTTACCTTTCTTCAGCCATATGTGCATTCCATTTGGTATTAACCCTTTAAAAAAGCAAATCTTCCATTTCTGGCAGTATAAATTACAAGTTTTCTGTTACTGAGAGGTCAACACCAGGTACATTCCTAAAGTTTCTATTTCTTGTAATAAATCTACCTTCCCCCTTAACCCAGATAAACATTTTCTCCGTATCTTTTAAGGATTTCTTCTCTTCTAACTTGTGGACACCTTTTCTAGGACCCAGGTTGATATATGGTTGTTGTTTGGTTTTGTTTGTTTGTTTGCTTGTTGAGACGGAGTCTCGCTCTGTCGCCCAGGCTTGAGTGCAGTGGCGCGATCTCGTCTCACTGCAAGCTCCGCTTCCCGGGTTCACACCATTCTCCTGCCTCAGCCTCCGGAGTAGCTGGGACCACAGGTGCCTGCCACCTCGCCCGGCTAATTTTTTTGTAACTTTAGTAGAGACGGGGTTCCACCATGTTAGTCGGGATAGTCTCGCGCTCCTGACCTCGTGATCCGCCCGCCTTGGCCTCCCAAAGCGCTGGGATTACAGGCATGAGCCACCGTGCCCGGCCGTTTCTTACAGGTTTTTATACTTTCAAATCTACTTGAGTTCTAACAAACTCATTCACTCTCATCTTGAAGGAAAATCGATGTGTCAAATATCGTTTTCCATGTTCTGCTCATTAAAAGGAGATGGATTTATTTCAAGAATTAAATTGAAATGTATTTTAATTTTAAACAGTTTGTGGAATTTCAAACAGTTTGTAGTTCTTTTTTTACTTGGATGCGGGCATGAATCTATAATTCCCTAGAAGAATGAACTATGCCTTGTGTTCTTTTAAATCGCCGGTCATTGTTGATTTTACACATCAAGTGAAATCTATCCTCTTCTCATGCTGCTTCCTTAGAAGCTGATGGTGGTGGCAGGTGAAGAAGATGGGATAAAAAGGAATGTGAATGGTCCTGGTGGCCCCAGAAAACAGGTCACACATGGTAGGCTGATGATTGTGAGGCTTTGCTGTGAGCAGGGCAGGCCAGAACATATTAGGGAGGAGAGCTAACAAGGGCTTTCTTAACATCCATACTCTTTCTGCTTTTTCTGCTTAACATCCATACTTTTTCTTCATTGAAAAGTTCTAGAAATGGGCCAGGCACAGTGGCTCACTCCTGTAATCCCAGCACTTTGGGAGGCTGAGGTGGATAGATCATTTGAGGTCAGGAGTTCGAGACCAGCTAGCCAACACAGTTGAAACCCCATCTCTACTAAAAAGAAAAAGAAAAAAACAAGAAAAAAGAAGAAATTGCCAGGTATAGTGGTGGGCGCCTGTAATCCCAGGTATTCGGGAGGCTGAGGCAGGAGAATTGCTTGATCCCAGGAGACAGAGATTGCAGTGAGCCGAAATTGCGCCACTGCACTCCAGCCTGGCAACAGAATGAGACTGCGTCGCAAAAAAAATAAAAAAATTCTAGAAATGCATTAGCTGCTCATCTCAATCCAGGTGATCTAAAGTATTTAGAGAGTATTATGTTCTCTCTCTTTGAGAGAACTGCCAATCGATATTCTTGATTTTCAGTACTACTAAGGCCTGACCTCTTTTGTTTTCATGTGGTTTTCAGTAGAAAAATATTAATCAAATAGGTACTTGACCACCAGGTCGATCCAGAATCTTGCTTTTTAATTGGATGTGTTTTAAATTTAAATTTAACTCTATATGATGGAATTTTTTTTTATTTTTGGCATTGTCATCTCCAAGTTTGACAATGGAAAAGTACTGATGTCAATATAGACTATTTTTATTTTATGTTTTCAAGTACTTTCTTGATATGTTTGCCAGTTTATAATTTCATTGTTCTTGTGTCTTTTCAATAAATTGTTTTAAGATTAGATTAGTTTAAATAAATTATTTATACTTCTCTATATACATCATTATTCTATTGCTATTTGTGAACACTATATTATTTTAAAACATTTCTGCTTAAAATATTGCTACACTAATATCCTCATTTTCAAATTGTTGACATCCAAAAGTGAAAGAAATTGGGTGGGAATACTTTCATTTAACAAATTAGTTAAAAAAAAATTCAACAAGCTCTAATAGGAACTAATACATATTTTTGAATTATTTGATGATGATTGGTAATAATTACAGATACTTCTCAACTTATGATGGGCTGACTTCATGATAAACCCTTTGTAAGTTGAAAATATCTTAAGTTAAAGGTGCACTTAATACCCCAATGAACCTATTGTAAAGTCAAAAAAAATGGTAATACCATCATAAATTGGAGAATATCTGTACTAAATGGTTTTATAGTATAAAATGTTCAACCTAACTCTAGTTAATAAGTATATGAACAGGCCACTTACTAGTTGGATGAAATATATTACAAATAAAAAATCATAATGCATGTCCTTATGCCATATGTTGCATGACATTTTAAAAAATATTAAATACGTCAGTGTGGGCTAATATTTTATTTGTACAATTTTTTAATTTTATAAATCTCTTCTGCTAATCTTACTTTGTAAATTAATTTTTAACCTATTTTAAATGCTAGTCATTTCCAAAAATTTCATTTCCATATTTTATTCCTATAAAACTTCATCCAGTTAGTAATTTTCTATTTATTGCTAATTTATTTCCTGATGAATACAAAGATTATTGAACATAGTCTGGCTCATGGAGTTCAAATCTTTTTTAATGAATAAATATATTTTGTATTTTTTTTCTGGAATTCTAACAACTCTTCTGTTATATTATGACTGGGAAAATATCTGAATTTGATACATGAACTTTCCAGAAAAGTATGGCTTTCTGCATTTGGTGGCCATCCATTTTATTGTAATCACTACTTATCCTTTAAAATTTTTAAGTAAAATGTCCTGTGAATCTTGTTACCTTTGTCAGTTAGATGGCCTCATTAAGTACTCTGTTGTATAAACATAAATATATTAGATAACAACTTTGCAGCTTCGAGGAAAAGTGGCAAATGTCTCTCTACTCCTTGTTATCTGGGCCTTAGTGACTTATCTAAGTCCTGGCTGTCTTTAAAGTTCAGAATTTTAGGAGTACAAAGCTGTCTTTAATAACTAGTTTGTTTCCACAGAGAAAAAAAAAATCCAAAGCTCTTCATTAATTTTCATTGTTACATTAGAACTAGCTTTTCTCTGGTCTTCTCATCTGTACTTCATTAAGTCACATTCTGTGGTATAATGTTGCAAGTTTGGAAATGCAGAAACAGTTCAAGAAATTGATTCTATTTGTTCTTTCTGTTCAATAGACCTTTGATCTGAAATGTTCAATGGTGCCTGGCTGTTCCACACAAGCCACTTTTAAACCATTGTTCACATTGTAATAGCCTTGTTATCAGGTTGTATGAATTAATTCCATCACATTAGGAGAAGGAAGTTAGACTTCCACAGCACAATCTAATAACTGTCTCATGTTACCATACAATTGATTGGGTCACAAGACAACACATCGTGTTTATAATTGAACTGTTTTGTAAGGTGGTCTTGGTCTTAATTTCAGAATTTCATAACGACATTAATAGGTTTTGATTTCCCCAGGACACCTTGCCCAACAGTCTTTGAGAACCTAACAATGTATAACTGAAAATGTCACAATGAAGCAGGCCACCACTCTTGGTAAAATTCCCGAATCAAACTCTTCTGTGCAATGATGTAACCACCTACAAACAAAACCAGCACTTTGGGAGGCCGAGGTGGGTGGATCATTTGAGGTCAGGAGTTTCAGACCAGCCTGGACAACATGGTGAAACCCCATCTCTACTAAAAATTAAAAAAAAAAAAAATTAGCTGGATGTGTCCCAGATACTTAGGAAGTTGAGGCAGGAGAATCACTTTCACTTGAACCTGGTAGGCAGAGGTTGCAGTGAGCCAAGATGGCACCACTGCACTCCAGCCCGGACAACAGAGACTCCATCTCAAAGAAAACAAAACAAAAAAGCAGAAACCACCCACAAACTAAAAAGGCAATTATCTTGATGGGGCAGGAGGAGTTAGGAGAAATATGGAAGTTCTCTAGTCAGCCGCTGTCAAACCTTGGCAGAGAGTAGCTACTAAGTTGTCTGTGGAGAGATCCCAGAGATCCCACAGGCTTGCCACACCATCACGGAACTATTGATAGCAAAAAATGGAAATTAACTAGTAAGGGAATGGAATAACGTGTTACGTTGCTGTCTCTATCACATATTACTGAGCTTGGTGGTGGTGAGTTGCAGTTAGACAATTTGCAAACAGTAATTTTGAAACAGTTCAAATAGACACATTAACAAATTAACTATTTGATGAGCTGAATTCATTCCTCCACCTGGTTAAGTTCGTATATGTGAGATTATTCTCATTACTTACTTGAAAAGATCCAGTGAGCAATTTTTCCTTAAGGCAAGCTTCCTGCTCTTTAGGTTACCAACCCCAGAGGGATGATCAAGTGAGTTCCCAGATTCTTTTATGTAAGGTAACTTCCAGGGCTATTAACCTATGATAATGTAGTTCCCTGGACCCGGTAGTCCTCTGATACGCTGGTTTGCTTGTGTCTGTACTCTTTTGGTGATATGTGACTGCTTTGAAACAATGGATAAGCCCTTTAACACCACTGTTCATTTGTTCATTTGTTTGACTTCCCAATGCTGAGCCATTTCCCTCCTGGTGTGCCCTCACTTTGCCTCTCTTCCAAGACCCTGGCTATCTGAACAGGTAGGGCTTGTAAGTCTTAAGCTATTAGGTACCTTTGGGCAGCTTTGTTAGACAACTTTCAAGTGACAAGACAAATCCATAAACCCATCCTTTACAACAAGTTCTTTCATGAACTCTTCCTTGACTTCCATAGCGAGAATCGTTCTTCCCACCTCTACTCTTCTGTAGTGCATACAACCTTAAAGAGACTGGTGTGAAAATTAAACATAACTTAGACAGAATGGCTCCCACATCAAGTGTTCAGTAAGCATGAATAATGTTTATGAAGACCATTTATTCAGCCCACCATTTCTAATCTTATCATTACCCTTTACCAAACACTCTAGTGAAATCTCAGCACTCTGTTAGATCTTTCACGTGTATCATTTCTACTCTTTGCAGCCGACTTACCAAATGTATAGCTTGGTCTGTTTTCTTGTTTAAATGAAAGAATTTACAGAGGGATTAGTTACTTTCCCCTATTTCATAAAGCTCTTATGGCAAAATCAGGGTTTAAACACAGAGGTGGGTTGCCTGTAGTGCCTGCATTGCTAATGTTTATTTAATATTACTTCTGGATGACAGTTTTGCTGTCTTTGTGCATTATTAGAATTATTAATCCCATTTGTTAGACATTTTTTGTTAACTGGCATTTTTATGCATATTTTCATATGCCTACATATTCCTTCTCTCATTACATTTTGCATCTTTGTAAAGCAGGGGCCACAACTACTTTTTAAAATCTTCTGGCCAGGTGTGGCAGCTCACATCTGTAGTTTTAGCTACTTGGGAGGCTGAGGCAGGAAGGATGACATGAGCCCAAGAGTTCAAGGCTACAGTGAGCAGCAGTGGCACCACCACACTCCAGCCTTGGTGACAGAGTAAGATTTTGTCTCTTAAAAAACAAAACAAAAAAACTTTAGTGCCTACCATAGTTTCTTGCATGGTGATGCTTAATAGTATGTTTATTCTTTGTTTGGTTTAATTTTGTACCTTGCTGAAACATTGGCTTAGCTTTAGGCACACAATAGAAATGAGCAAAAACTTCAGAGTGATTTAGAAATTGCATCGTTGGAGACTTCCCCACCACACCATCTTATCATCTTTCTATGCACTGAGGCCTCATATTTCACAGTGTTCTTTGTAGTTGTCTTGTTTCTGTTGCTGTGATTGTCATTTGTGTTTTGATCCTGGATTTACTGAAATGCTTCCTTACACCCTCCTGAACTTTCTTTGCTTTTCCCCCTCTAGTATGCCCAGGCAACCTAAGCGTGGAAATGAATTCATTCTTAGCCATTCTCTTTTCAAACAACAAGAAATAAAGTCGTTTATTTTTCATTTGTTGCACACTCCTCAGTAAGAAAAAATGGGCAGTTTCATTACGTATCATTTGTTTCTTATTTCTTTAGTGTAACTGGCAGACATGACTTGTTTGCTTTTGGAAAAAGGAATATGAGAAGGACAGATTCAGGGACTCATATCAGGATCCAGAATGTCCCCCCAGGCCTTAGAATTATATATGTGCTTGACACATAGATGAAATGTCTGCCTGGGTATTTGGACAGATAGAACTTTTACTTTTACATCTTAAGGTAATAGCCATCTTTGGGCATCTTTCTCAGAAAACCTTCAAGCAGAAGCCAATGAGACAAATCCAGAGACTGTACTGCCCTGCTTTGTTTACTAAATGCACCTATTTATAGACAAAACTTGAAGTTGGTGATAATACCTACATGGTGCAATGGGGTCACAACACCCATTTTAATCAGCTGGATAATCTTTAGATTGATTAGTTTCTAAGCCTGAGGTAAAATGGGCCATGATTCCTTCTTCAAATTCTCTGTCTCTGCATCCTCCTCTTGCTGTCCCATTCTCACCAGCTTCTGTAGGGGCCTTTTCCTGCCCAGTTCTCTCCATATGGTTTATTTAGAGAAAAGTACAGAGAATATTTTTATACTCTGTGAGGAAATTTATAGATATAGACTATGCATCTCCAGCATCTTACAAAGCTTGGGTTCATTATCTGAATATTTTTACATTGGTTGATAGTGGCAGGTCTGAGACTCTAGCAGAAGTAATTCTGAAAACAATTCCCTCCAGGTTGTATTTGTTACATTTATATTTTTTAAAATCCCATATTTATATACTAAACAATACAGACATTTTATCCTATGTAGAAAGAAAATGCCAAGATAAAAACAGTGCCAGGGTTGGTTAATTCAATAGCTCAGTGACATCATTGACAACACAGTTGTTCCTTCTTCCTGTCCTGTCATCCCGTGTCACCTTCTCTCACTCACGGCTGCATGTTGCCTATTGCCGGTCCAGAATGTTCGTGAAGACCTGACAGAGTTAAGCAGATTGAAGGATTCTTTCTTATACCTCTTGAAGATCAAAAAATGCTTCTCCCAGATGGTCTGCAGCAGGCACTCTTGTGTCTTGCTGGACTAGAACTGATCACATGCCCACCCCACAATCTAACCCTATAACCTGCGAGAGGAATGGAGGTACCATAGTTGACGAGGAAGGAGGACTGACATTTCCCCAACTTAAGGCTCTACTAGTAAAGAAGAAAATGGCTTTTGAGTAGGTAACTGAGAATGCCTGCTAAATTTGGCCCCTTTTTTAGACACTGACCTTGGGCATTATCTATTGTCATTCACATTTCTTACCCCAAGTATCTAATTATCTAGTCCAAATGCAGGGTTTTTTTCCATTCCCTAATGTAGAGTTCCATAGTGCCTCAAATATTTCTATTCTGGTACAATGCATATACAACTACTTAAATAATACTAAATTGACTACTACAGCAATTTAAAAATACAAGAAATCTTCTTATTTATAGTTTAATAAAAATAACTTCTGGCCTCTTGAGCCCAGAAGGCACTGTGAAATTCATAGTCACATTTTGAGATACAGATATTTTGTTCTTTGTACCTAGCTACGCTGAAGAGTTTCTTTCTTTCTTTTTTTTTTTTTTTGGCCAGGCTACATGTAAGATGGATTAAAAGAAGGCAGATTTATTATACATTGTAGGTGCTGTTTTTACTCAAATAGCAGAGAATTTAGAGGCCACTTATTTAAGTACAAATGCTGCCTCCTACCTAAGTCACTTAATCAGGACACTTTAATTTCTACCACTGCTAAATTCAGCTAATAATACCTGCCCCCTATCTACCTCTCTGGGAAGCTGGGAGGATTAATTAGATAAAGTCTTAAAGCTCCTCAGAGAGAAGTGGTATATGTAAAAGATGTTATTATTTCTAGGGAAGAATGAAGCGGTATCTCTTTTATGGACTGTCCACACTTCTAGAATTTTTTCCTCTTATTCAGCTCAAGTGCCAATTTTGTGGATTTTAATTCATCATGTGAGACCCTTCTCATTCTCAAGTAGTTGTACTTAGAGAAAAGATTTTCAAGTATTGCGTCTGATGATGGGAAGTACATTCCTGAGTTTCACTGAATATTTCAGAGCACTATCCTGCAAACTGGTATATATGCTGGAATCTGGTTGCAATATTTGTAAAAACAAGCCATGACTGCATTGCAGAATGTGACCCGGGCCTATTTTTGAGATCCTTTCCAATCCCCATGATCTAAGTCAGGTCACTTTGGACATAGAAGACAAATTGATAGTAAAATCTTGAATCTCTCATAAATCTTGTTAAATAGTTTATATTTAAATATTCTTTTGAGCTATACATTTTTATATTTAGATTACAGAATTCTATCCTTCAAGAATTCTCAGTTTTGGTTATATAGTTAAGTGTACACAATTTTCCCAACCTATGATCCACTTTACAGAGCTTTGAGTATGCTTGCCTTTTACATTGCTTTATTGGACATTGAACACTTTCATTAACTATTACATTGATGGTTTCCTGTTTAGAAATTGAGTTAGCACATCCCTGTGTGTTTTGGTAACTGCAGCTGCTACTTGATGTTAACAAGTCTGCATTCTGGTCAGTGGTGCAGCAGCTCATTACAGATAGAGATGGGCTTATTTTCTCACAGTAGTTTGAGAAGCCAGTGAGTCACTGGATCCACTGGAGATCTTGGGAGAGCTTGGGAAGTGGCTGTTGCTGGGAACAGCCAGGTTGACTTCCCCCAAACACTTTAGAGAAGATTTTGACCACCTTCAATCATTCACACTTTCTAGAAATGAATTCAACCTATAATTCTTCACAAGTCAAAATGACAGATTCTTTCAAAGCAAAAGCATAGCTATATGATTTACTGGAATCAGGTTTTCATATTTATAGGCTTTCTTTTAAAAAGATAAAATTTCTTGTTTTTCTTCCAGTTCTAAAGGAAAAGATGAGAAATGAGTGTCAAATTTGACTCAGTGACTAATACCAAACTCACTCAATCTGCCAGGCATCAGGAACTGGGCAACTCAATAGGAGCAAGAAAGGATGTAGGGAGCACAGTGTCATTAGGGGAAAAGCCTTTACCTTGCCGGAGGATAGAGTGAAGAAGAAAATCAAGGGTCAGGTCATTTCTAGGTCTATTTATCACATGAAGAAACAATAAAGAGAGGTTAATAGTGCACTTAAGACTTGCACTACCAACCACTTACCTAAGTCAGGTATTGGGCCCTGACCCTTCTCATCATAAACTCCTCTGCTCTTGGCAGAAGCTAGAAATGAGGGTGAGTGAACACGGGCCTAGCATGAGAGAAGGCAGAAATGGTTTTTCCCCGTATGGTGACAACATGGCTTTTCCTAGTGTTACCAGCTTCATTCATCAAAATGTATTATCTGTCTATGGTGCCTTCTTGTGAAGCATTCACAGCCAAGAGGAGTGCTGACATTAGCTTAAAAAGCTAAGTTTTAAGGCTTTGATGAAGGATTCACTGAGTGGTTTTGAGAAAGGAGAATCATGGCTTTGAAATTCAAACACATCCTTAACTACCACCCTCATTCCACCAATTAAATAAAGTGAAATGATGAATAACAGACAATTTATAAGAAAGTATCTATAGTTTTAGATACAAAGAGATGACAAATGCAAAAAGAACACCCCTATATTTTGCTAGAAGAAAAAACATTTAGATACAGATTTTTTAGAAAGTAGTACAGCTAATTAGCAGTAGAGCCATGTTTTACTTACTACATGCTAGACACTAAGAACTTATGCTTAATCCTTAAAACATCACTAAGACAGTTACACCCATTTTACAAATCAAGAAAAGTAACAAAGATTCCAGTCACTTTTCCAAGGTCATATAATTAGTAAGTGGTAAAAGACAGGCCCAGAGCTAGGGCGATCTATTTATAGATGGCTTCATGTTGACTACTCTGCTACACATGTAATGAAGACAATTTAAAATGTGGAAAATAATAAATGCTAATTCCAGATTTTCAAAATACATCAAATATATACATAGGAAGGACAGTAATCACAAGACACCATTAGGCTACTTTAATATAAAAAGACCAAGAGCTTGGATGAAGTCTTTTATACAGAAAGTGCTAAGGAGCATAGCAAGATGAGTTTTATATTAGGATATAATATAATAGGATAAGATATGACTTATTGTTAGGATGTTTTTGCAATTAAGATTTGCTTAAAAATAGAAACATGCTTCATGAGGTCCTGCAACAGTTCAGGTAGGAAGCAACAGCTAAATACAAGAGATACTTCAAATGACTCTTCCATAGGTAACGTGGACTCCCGGGAAACGGGCCTAAGAACCCAATCTCTCAGATGTTATAATGAAGCTGCAGGTCCTCTTTACATTGGCCAACTGTTAATGATGATGTTTCATTATGGTAATACAATGGCCAGTCATTACCCTCACACTTTATTAAAATGTACATGTGTTGCAGATACCTCATCTTCATTAGCAATGATAGACTCCGAATATTCTACTTTCCATTTTAAAGAATCCTACTATTGAGATAAAGAGAAGAAAAACATTTCTCACTTTATTCCTTTTTTATGCTTTTTGATTGCTGAATTATGTGAAAGTGTTACCTAGCCAAAAATATTTTTAAAGTCTTCTATGAATCCAGTATTCATAAGCTTATGTAACTCTTCCTTCACTCTCAGACTAAATGAACTTGTTATAGATGGAATTGAATAAAGTTACCATCTACAGTACTCATAAGTTTTTTCTTTTAGTAGTTTTCAGTTTTAGTAACTTCTTGGAGTTATCACTTTAAAATTGTGTTTCTAATCCTCCTATACTTGTAAATAAATTTGTAAATATCAGAATCATATTGTTTATGATATATGTAAAGTTTTATTTCCCCCTAAAAGTCTATAGACTTTAATCTGCCCTCGTATGGAAGTTTCTCTATTACTTTAATAATAATTTTAATAATGTTATAATTACAGAAGCACCAAAAATAAGGCATGCATCCATCTCTCATTGTATAACATCATTATTGGTGTATTAGTTTGTTTGCATACTGCTGATAAAGACATACCCAAGACTGGGTAGTTTATAAGGAAAAAGAGGTTTAATAGACTTACAGTTCCACACGGCTGGGGAGGCCTCACAATCATGGCAGAAAGCAAAGAGGAGCAAGTCACATCTTACATGGGTGGTGGCAGGCAAAGAGGGAGAACTTGTGTCAGGGAACTCCTCTTTATAAAACCATCAGGTCTCATGAGACATGCGCAGAACAGCACAAGAAAGACCTGCCCCCATGATTCAATTACCTCTCACTGTTTCCCCACCAACAACATGTGGGAATTGTGGGAGCTACAATTCAAAATGAGATTTGGGTGGGGACACAGCCAAACCATATCAGGTAAATATTAATTGCTCCATCTTAAACGTGAGAAAACTGGGATTCAGAGAGGTTAAATAACTTGCCGGATTTCACACAGCTGATAAATTACAGAGCCAAAATTTGGACCCAGATCTGTTTTCACAACTTGTACTCTTCTCACACTGGCATGCTATTTAGAAGGTTAGCCCTTTTCTGGTTAGGCTTCCTCCTCTACTTTACAAATCATTAAGTGCTGCCTCCTGTTGGTCTCCCTTGGCGTTACGCTGTAGCCAGCCCTTCAATACAATCAGTGAAAACAATCCTTGTTGGGAGTAGATCATTTCGGAGTATTGATTCTAAATTTGTCATTGTTTTCCGTGAAAGCTAAGCATAGAGTATAAATTGCCACTCACCACATAAAGTTGATGACTTTCTATGCCCAAATGATTTGACAATTTGTGATTTTTCCCCAGGAGTTTTTTTGCTAACATTTTTCAAGGCAAAATATTCAATCCCTGTCCAAAATGATCAAATTTTGCCCTGCAGCAAACTTGTAAATTTTTGCCAGGACCCGTGAAACTTCACAAGGCAAGAGATCAATAATGTCACACTGTTCCCTTCTCACCGCTTTCCTCAATGTACACACTATCTAGTTTGAAACTGCCAACATGAGAAAGTAAAAAATTTAAGGGACAAGTAAGGAACTCTCTCCTCATCTTTTAAAAATATAGGTGATATCTTTAAAGTAGAGATGATCTGTCTGTGCTCAAAAATTTGAAGTAAGACAAAAATTTAGTTTTGGATATTTAAATTAATTTTACAAAATAGCAACATGCATGACTCTACTCTTGTATTATCCTGTTGTGTATGTTCACATACCCAAAAATATTTTTGGTGTTCTGCCTATTGTGTCTGATGCTGTCAGCCTTTGTTGCAAATCAGGACTTAGGCAAAGAGCCCAGATGGGCTTTGCACTGCTGTCATGCCAAGGCACTAAGACATTTTACTTCCACCTGTAATAATATTAAGGCTTTACTTCTTCAACATTAATTTGATGCATACCTTTCTTTTTTCCCCCACATTAAAAAACGTCAATAAGTGTGAGCCAATGTTTCAGTAGATTTCATCACTCTTTCTCTTCAAACTTTGTCTTTCTATCCAGGTCTGTCTTGTCTGCCTGAATTGTAACTGTGAATATTTTCCCATGTTCACCTATTGGGCTTTCATTCTTCTTGATATCTAATTCCTCCTTCAGATAACTCATCCATTTTCATGGCTTCAGCTATGCCTTTACTTGAATGATTTCCAAAATTCTATCGCCAATCCTTTCCCCTCATCTAAGCACCAGTCATTTATTTTCAACTCTTCACTGGACATTTCTACTTTGATGATTTGCCCCCTTTTCAAAATAAACAAGCTGAATTCTCCACCCCTCGATCGCCTCCCACTCCTGATTTCGTTTTTGTTTTCAAGAATAGAAACCTGTTTCCGAATATTTATTTGGAAATAAATATTATCCATACTTGAAACTTTGGGCCAAGGCACAAGAATGGCAATGCAAAGACGTACAAAAAACTGGAGTTAACATACAGAAGTGCAGTGAGCCAGGCTCAGCTGTATGGACTTGGGGCCTTGGCCCTGTTTTACTCAGCGCCACCTAATGGTCACCATTTAGAAAGGCAGGCCTACTTTTGCCAGATGCAATTTTGCAAAGGAAAATGTAAATGTCAATTTTATAGTGAAATTTATCAATATGTTTAAACGTTGTCACTGTTAAACAAAATGCAGCACTCTGGAAGCAATATGAAGTTTATATATGAGTATGTTTATTCCAAGAGCTGCCAATTTGTGACCACTACGAAATCAGCTGAGCTAAAAGACAATTGGAAAATATATAAATAAATAAAAAGTAACTGGCAGCTCCTCTTGGTTATGATAATGATGCTAGAGCTAACACAGATAACCCAAAAGAATGGAGCCGTTCCAGTGCGTCACAAGACTTTAGGACACTTACATAGTGTTCTGAAAAATAGGCTAAACTAATTTCATCAGTGAGATAACCAACATTGAGCTAAACCCACAAACCTGAAATTAAACATCACACATTGTAAATCAGTGAAGCAAAAATCAAACATCCAGAAACTACAAAAAGTAATCCTGTCTCTTTTAAAATAAGCCTCAGGTTATTCTTCTTTCCTTAAAGGTGCTCTGAGGCATGAAAAGTAAATTTTCAGCCTAAGAGTGGTAGATTTCAATGAATATACAATATGGTTCCCATGTCTCAAATTCTTACTTTGTTCTGTTTTTTTGAAAGACAATGTACATTTGGGTTTTACATAACATATAAGCCTTTGGAAATAAATATTACAGACTTCTAATGTTAGACTTGTGGAAATTGAGCCAAAGACATACACCAGTCAAAGACATATATTGATGACATAAAGCAATCTTTGTGACAAGATCGCTTAAGATTTCAAAAAGACATATGCAGATGAAATTAAGCACATATAAATTTATCCAATGGTTACTTAAAAAATAAAAATAAAAATTAGATTAACTGCCTTCACACTTGGGATTTTTACTTGTAAACCCAATACTAATTGAGAAAATTAAGAAACTATGGAAACTTAACTAATTCAATATTTTTTTTCAATATACTGGCAAGGGTATTTTTATAAACATAAAGGAAATGCAAAATATAAATATACTAAAACATTAAGATATATAAACACTCAAACTATCATTACAAAATCTATGTGAAATATAAATCAGGCAATTGACAGTAAATAATATGAAACTTGTACTTTGTTTGCTTTAGAAATATTATTTTATTTTCCAATATCTTTACCTCGGTCAGGTGGCCAAACTGTCTGATTAGAAATATCTTAGCATAAAGATGAAAAATGCATTCTATGAACTACTATAGCATAAAGGCTTTTGAATTTCTTCTGAGTTGCCATTGATCTGCACGCATTCATTTCTGAATTAGAAAACAGCTAATATTTTGTGAAAAGAGGATACATATTTCTTTAAATTGAGAAACTAAATTTCATGTTAATATAGTATCAGTTTATTGTACTTCAGATTTTAGCACAAGCATTTCAGAACACTGAAAAACTATATTTAGAGTGAGATCTACATATTCCATACAGATGGAATCAGTCCATGAATATATATTGGTATCATTCTTGCCAGTCCTAATAAAACTCTGTCTTTAGTGTGTTTGAACAAGGCTTAAGTTATACATGAAAACTGAAACATCAAACCATTATATACCATTTAAGTGTAGATAAAATAATTTTACATCCGTACAATATTTTTAAATGTTGACTTTAGCAAAAACTTAAAAATTCTCTGAAATTTGAAATGAAAATTCATGATGCACAAAATTATGAAAGAAGAAAATGTCTACTCCAAATATCCCATAACTTTTTTGAACAAACTCTGTTGTGATTTAATCTTTTTCATTTACATTTTCTGTCTGTATTTGAGTTTACAAAGTGCTTTCAAATGCAATACAACATTTAACCTGCACTATGGCCTTTTGTGAAAAGTGGTGTTATTGTACTTTTAATGATGAGAAGAGTCTCCTGGAGGTGAATGACCAACTTCATCATCACACAACCAGAAATAAATGGTAGGACTGAAGCTTGAAGCTCTGGTTCTCTGAATGCCAGCCAGAGTGTTATTTCTAACAGACCACAGTGTGCTATGCTGGTTTCTGATCAGATCCGTTTTTCCTCTATCCATTTTACACACATAAAATACATGAGAACAAGGTAAATGGAACAATTCTAAGTTTTTTAGTTTTTCTTTGTAATTTGACTCTCTTGAAATCCCAGCTTTGTCTAAGCATAGCATAACTCGAATATGAAATCATATTCATGTTTGTGTGCATCTGCATGTGAGTGTGCTCACCCATATGTATACATGTAATGAATTCCTATACAATTAAATGCACTGCTTCCTTTTATTTTCTTCAGAAAAATTGCCATGGTTCTAAGAAGAAAATAGAGAAAAAGAGAATCTCAGTAACTATACAGGAATCAAAGGATTTAGTAAAATGGAAATGCATCGGCAGGAAATCATAAATTTGTTATTTTTTTAAAATACAGTCATGTGCCAATAGGATTACATTCTAAGGAATGCATAATTAGGCAATTTCTTCATTGTGTGAACATCATAGAGTGGAATTACACAAACATAGATGGTATAGTCTACCACATACCTAGGTGATATGATGGAACCTATTGTTTCTAAACCACGAACTTATACGGCATGTTACGGCATTGATCTTATGGGATCACCCTTAGTATATGGACTGTTGTTGGCCAAAACATTGTTATGTGGCACATGGCTATATATAGCCAGGTGGGTAGAGCCCATCTGGACTGTAAATACATAATTCTTAGGAGTCTAAAGTTCTAGAGGTGAAATGGTTTGACCTGAGTTTTTGAGAGTGGAATACTCAATTGAACAAATGTATAATTCTGTTTCTGTTTCTTGGCGTAAACTTATTCCATATATATTCATATAGCTTATTTTTGTCTAATGCTGATATAAAATTTGACTAATAACAAAATAAATTATATTAGTCCTTAGAAGGGAAGTCTGCTTTTGACTTTAATGAAATGTGCCCCAAAACACATTGGAAGAGATTAGACTTAATCTAATTATCTGTTCTCGTACTACTTAGGACAAGCGCTTTCTTCCTTTCTCAAAATCCATCTTGTCTTCTGCTCGGTTTCACTGTAAACTTGAAATCACTTTATGACATCAGCCTGTCACCCTGAAAATAACAGATATCCCAGATGTGTCATTGAAAGTTCACTTCCAAAACAAAGAGGAAGATAGAATGGGCTCTCGGGGGCCTCTGATCTTGTTTAAAGAAATGTCTGAGTCCCAGCGCGGTACCTCACGCCTGTAATCCCAGCACTTTGGGAGGCCGAGGCAGGTGGATTACCTGAGGTCAGGAGTTTGAGGCCAGCCTGACCATCATGGTGAAACCCCAACTCTACTAAAAATACAAAAATTAGCTGGGCATAGTGGTGCACACCTGTAATAGCTACTCGGGAGGGTGAGGCAGGAGAATTGCTTGCACCCAGGAGGTGGAGGTTGCAGTAAGCTGAGATCGCGCCATTGCACTCCAGCCTGGGGGACAATAGCAAGACTCTGTCCCAAAAAAAGAAAAAGAAAAAAAGAAATGTCTGAGACTTCTGCTCTGTGGGTCTCTCCAGGGGAGGTGAATGCCCAGACATATCTCACCCCTGCAGGCTATGCCTTTCAGGTGAAGGATGCTGAATGTTCCATTCAGACTGACTTTCTGATCTTCCAAACTTTAAGAGGTTGTATCGGAGTCATACTTTGAAAAGTTATCTCCTCAAGTTCCTGGTATTCCCTGATGGTTCAGAACTCATACACCTTGGCACATGTAGTTATGAAAGCTCTTTGCATTTGATGAGAAGCACGAAGAAGCAGGACCAGTGCAAGCCCATATGGGAAAAAGTGCCATGTGATTCAATAGTATATAAATCGGCCTCCCATGGTGACAGAAGGTGTCATTCAAGGCCATAGGCCACAGGGAGAGTGTCACTCATATGTATGCACACTCAGTTCAGTCCTGTGCACATCCTACACTTCCGAATGCATACTGACCATTTTCCCCTTGGAGTCACGTACACAACATGCAGAATGGTTATGTAGGAGAAATCCATGGCAACAGCACATAGCTTGTAGATTGTATTTGGAAAAAAAAATTACCTTTTCTAAAGTTTTAAATTTTAAAACATGTAATTCTTGAGATTTACTTGATTCAAACTTGAAAAAAAATAGTGTTGCACAATTTTTTTGAGCACTAGCTTATCTTAAGGCTTTCTGAATAACCTAAGGGCTATTCAGTCTTCCTTTTAGAAACCTCCGAGTTATTTTTCTGTGCTGTGTACATTTTCATCCACAAGAAAAATATTTTCTTCTCATTCCCTTAGATTCCTCGGGACACTTTTTTTTTTTTTGTCTGCAGACACCTTAAAGGACTGTTTAAGACCCTATCCACTCTATCTATTCTTAGCTTCACCTGAAGGGCAAAATCCCTAAGATCTTGACACACATACTGATAAATACATGGAATTATTAAAGGTGCCATCTCAGCAGAAGAGGATTGCTGCTGCCTTTGTTCTCGGGGGAATACATATTTCACCCAGTAGCAAGACACCCAACTGCTGCTACAATCAGAAATCTCTGAAATGCCTTTAAGCTAATCATCTTTGAACATAAGCCTTTGTTGTTGAATCAGGGACCTTCTAGATGCAAGGCACAGAAACCTTTTTTTATTATTTTGTTTTTTCTCCACCTTGCACAAAACAGCATCAAGCCTGTCACCACCGACAGTAAGGTTCAGTGATCTGTCAACATTCACCCCTGATGAAGACAGTGAGAGAAATCCATAGCTCTGGAGAGTTCAGGAGAGAACCAAACAGTGTGTTTGCAAAAGAGCATTTTTATATGTTTTCTTGTGACAGCACTAGTTTAACAGAAAATAGTTGGAGTGTGCCAAAAAGGGGGAAAAATGAAAGACAGTAGTAGTAAGTTAGGCTAGCATGACATGATGGATCTGGGCTATGACAAACCAAATTGGAACAAAGCTTCCCTGGGGACCAACTATACCAGGTTTGCTGAATTGTATTTCTTGATTTCTTACTGTGCAACAGTGCTTTTACTGTTAGATTGACTAGGCTTCAGAATATTTTTAAAATTGTACAAATCAAAATCCATGTAGCTTAAAAATGAAGGATGTAAAAGGTTTAGGAGTTTGATGTATTGAAAGGCATTCTGTATTCCCTCATGTGAGTATTAAGTATACACTTTGTCTGTTCGATGAATTTCAAATCTTTGTGGAAGGCAGTAGACACGATAGCAGTTTACAGGGTGGAAAACCCTGGTTGGAAAGCAGGGCACAGGCTGGAGAGATTCAAAGCTTCTTCCTGCTTATCCCACCCAGATGTGCCCAGGAATTGCAATATGCAGCATCTGTAGGGTCTCACTTGTTCTGAGATGTTTATATAAAGGACAAGTAAAGAAACCTTAAATCTGGTGCCCTCTTAACAAAGGTGTGATGCATTATTCTTATTACTTGTCCTTTCAATTCTTACCTAGTGGCTTTCACATAGTCTAAGGTAAGGCCAGAAGAAAAATAACCAAAAAAAGAGGAAGAAGAATTATTTCAAAGCTGCTAAATTTTACTGGTTTTCATATACCACGTGAAACCTAACAACTAGACAATCTGATTCTTTACAATAGTCATTCATAATAAACTTTGAATAAATATCTAAATGAAAGGACTTTCTTAAATACCCAGGCAAGTTTAGGTACTCAAGCTGCAAAGGCATAAACAATTGAGTCCCTATCTTTAAGGAGTTTACAAGCAATTTGAATAATTAATGAAACTGTCAGAGTGTAATGTGATAACTACCAAGCAACAGCCAAGCTCAAAGCAGATAGCAAACTATCTAGTGGGCTTGATCAACACAGCTCCATGACTTTCCCAATAGCTATTTACGATCAGGAGAAGGGTAGAGTAAAGGGATGCTGAAAGTGAGGTGGTTGGGGTTCAGTAAAATAGAAGATCTAAGTATTGAGGAAGGAGAGCTAAATAAGACATTAGTTCAGAACACATTAAAGTAGGAAACACAGGCTAAAGCGCTTACGGCTGGTAATGTAAGGGAATAAAGTGGTGGTGTTTAAGGGTTAAGGAAAATAGGAAATGATGGCAACAAGCCCAAACTCGAGTTTGTCCCATCCAAAAAAAGAAAAAAAAAAAGGGCAGCGGCTATTCAACTATAGCCCATTGATGCATGCCAGAATGTGGAGCAATATTGCCAAATCTTCTGGTCTTCCAAGAGAAACCAGAAATCTGGATTTTCATATAACATATATTTAAATTTAGAAAACTTTTTTTTAACATTACACATGACGTGGCATTATGTGAACCCAATCAAATGCACCTGAGAATTGTTTTAGCCCATGCACTTTCAAGTTGCAACCGTTTTTTTGACATACTCAGATAGTGTGTAATAATGGATACACAATGTAGGAGGAGGAACAGGGAGCCTGAACTGTTTGGGGTAATCATCAGATTCAAATACTTTTTAACAGTAAATGGCTGGAATGGGTTAGGCTGAGGATACAAAAGAGATTTAGAAATGAGGGAAACACAGATTACTCACTTCTCAAGTAGAGTATGATAGCCGGCAGCAGGTAACGAGGTAGAAAAGAACAGAGCCAGCTAAGTGTGGGTATGGTCAAGAAATAAGAGATTTGTCAGAAAGGACTTAAAAGACAGAAGAGAAGGAAGAAGACAGGGTGTTATGAAGTGGCCAGTGAGATCATCAGTGAGAGGATACACAGTACTGTTCTGTGGCCTGAAAGTGGCATTGAGCTGATCACAACAGAATGCCCTAAGTATAGATTTTTAAGAGAATTATTGAGAGCAACAGACTGTTTCAAACAGATTTGACTTTGAAAGTCCAGGTGATTTAACCCTGGTTTGATAATTTCTATCAGAAATACAGCAAATAAATTGGTTAACTGAATTCAATGCACTTGCAAAATGTACTAAAGACAGTTTGAATGGTATTCGATTAAGTATTTTGGGGGGTACTTGGGGATGACAATGAATATGATGATACATTAGACACTACCTGTCCCAAGGTGTTTACAATCTGTATGGAAAAGCAGCAGACATGTACATGCAAACACAGTTTCTCTCCCTCCCTCCCTCCCTCCTCACTCACTCACTCACAGACACACTCAGGCACATACATTTGTGTGTGTTCTAATGCTTGCTAAGTGTTATGCCATAAAAGCAAAGCATATATGATTGTTCAAAATCAAATGTTATAGTTTTTTCTCTAATTCTAAAGTACTTCAGTGTATTACCAGGTGGGTTCTCTTCAGAGAACCCCAACAGCAGGCCAGGAGGCAGTGTGCTGGTAGATGCCAGGCAATCCAGACAGGATCCCATTATCTTCCTCTCTTGCCACTTTTGTTAAAACCTGGTAAGACTAGCACTCAGCAAACGTTCAGTGAGTTACATGTTTTAATTTGAATGGGCTGATTTGAATTCAAACTGATGAGGTTTGAACCTTGCCCCTCTATATCTACCCATTTTATCATTGCCCACCTTCTCTTCACCAAGGCTAGAGCTGAGACTAGCGCTGAAAAGAAAATTCTTGGTAAAGAATTCCGGAATCTTTTAAGAGTTGTACCCAGACACTGGAGAAATTTAATCAAAAACTCAGTTACATAGAAACAGCATATTTAAAATGTTTAGAATAAAAGTATTTTAGAAACTGGGAAGTTTTAAGACACTTTTGAAAAGCCATAACTACCTCTAACGCGATGGCTATTTCACAGTGGTGCTATTAGACAGCTACAGCCAAGTGCCCCAAATTAATATTAATAACAATGAGTATAAATAATAGTGGGCTTTTCTGTATATAAGCACATCCTATTCTTATTTTAAAATACAGTAGCTTGAGTTTTGCAATGACTATTAAATTTCATCAGCCATTTTGGGGTGACAGTTAGCTTCCAGCCAATAACAGAATATTATAAAAGGAGAAAGTTAAGATCAATCTTAAATGTAATAGTTTTTATATAAGTGTTGCTGCTTTTTTTTAGTTAATTATTTACAAATGTATTTTCTCAATATATAATGCAGGAAGATGCCAATATTACTCAATTATTTTGATCCATTTATACCTTGAACTAAGGAAATAATTGGTATGCCACCCCTAATATTCATTTACTGAAAGATTTGTATCCTCTTTGGTTTGGTTTTATTTATGTGTAAATATGCATAGTTCAAAACTTGTTAGTAGCAACACTAATAATGTCATTTATATACTTCACCTTGTCCATTTAAAATGGATTGTTCTATTTATAGAGTAACAGCCTGTAAAATTAAATTAAATTTTTAATAGAAAAGACAGTCCTTTTAAAAATTATTATAATAGAAAGGTTGATTTTTTTCATAAATCACTTCCAAAGTAATTTTTAAGAAAATCTTATTTTAGTTCCAAAACTTTAAAATAGTCTTATTGATTTTTAAAAATAATTATTCATGTAAAATAATTTATGGCAGAGTTTTCTGTACTTGAAAATAATTCTTATAATAGGAATTTTACAAGACCATTTATTTTAGCAGTGCTAGGAAACACAACTATAATTTAGAAGCTATTGTTGATTGTTTCTAGAAATATATATCGACCTCATTAGTTTTAAGTGATAACATTACTAAGCCAAAGTTCCAATCCAACAGTACCAGAATTACTGATTGTAATCAGTTTTCTTCGAACTTTTCCTTTAGCACTTAGATTTCACTTAGCTTATCATACATAAATATAAATGTAAATTTAAATTATCTTAGAATTCTCATTATTAAACAGTATAGAATTAATACCCATGGAAGCTCCAGTGTCTAAAGTCTTTTGTTACAGTCCCTTTGGTATGCATTTGGGGTCTGGTTGTATTGATACCACCCTCTTGGACACTTTATTATTAATCAAGAAGACACCCAATGGTCTCGAGAATCTTCACCACCCAATAAGCATTCACTGAGTCATTTATTCATCGAGTAATGCTCTAGAGGAGAGGAAGTCATCATCCTCATCACTAGCAACTGACATTTATTAGGTCCTCATACATGCCAGGTGTGTTTCTACACTCTTAACATGTGTTAACATATTTAGTCCTCACAACAAAGTGTTCCTGAAAATGATTTTGTGAAGTTTGTTAGCTGGATTTACAACTGTTAAATATTTAGACACATGGTCTGCACATCTCCATTTATATTCTTGTCTTGAGACCCACTGATTGTTAAAGGCTATCCCAAAACATATCCATTTCGCACAGTTTAGAGTGTGATTTTATTTATTTCGGCAGAGGATAGATTAAACTGACTTTGGTGTCTTAAACCACATCAATGTGTCAAAGATGTCAGGCTTTGTTAATGATGCACAATTTACTAAGCACCTGATGAAAAGCAGAGACTAAAAGTTTCTTAGGTAAGGGTCTTCAGGCTGGGTGTTCTGGGAGGAAGGAAACGGAAAGTAATATTAATATATATGTTTTGCAACTATTAAGTGTCAAAAGGATAATGTGATCATGGGATATTCATATTCAAATCCAAGTTTAGGTATCATTTGCTGACAAATGTTTAACACAAAAACTCAAAGGTAAAATCTCTACTTTTTTGCCTATTCAGTTTGAAAGTTCTATAGTTAAGGCAGAGACAACAGCAAAATCAAGGATAAATATTTGAATTACTCTAAGTCCATTTGACAAAAATAAAGTTCTGGAAATGTAACTCAATGGTAAATTAGTCTTAGTCAATTTCTTTACTTAAAACTCTTCTGGTATTTGTCATAATGATAAATGATCATCTCCTCTAAGCCCTTCCTTTCCCCATAACTGAATTCCTACTCAATAAGCACCTTAAAGATTCTAAGACAGTCTCTGTTGTTATTCTTACATACTCTGGAACCCACAGCACTTAAATTTATGAATGGTTTGAACCACCAACCTATTATGCAAGCGTAACCTAATGTTCTTTGAATATAAGCACTAGGTAAACAAGAAAATATTGCCACATGCATTTACTTAGTGCTTCTGACATTTTGACATTTAATGGATTGATAATTAACTTTTTCAAGACTGGTAGACTTCTCTCCAAACATACTAGTTAGGATAATACTAGCTGCTGTAACAAAGCCCAAAATAGATAATGGTTTAAACAAAATAGAATTTTATTTTGCACTCATGTGAAGTTCAGCATGGACATTGTTGATTGGCAGGCTGCTTTCCTGCAGCCATTAAACCAGGAACCCTGACTCTTCCCATGTGATGGACCCAGTGTCTTCAACATGTGGCTTCTAAGACCACTGTTTCTCTACATCAAGCCAGTGGAAAAGGAATGAAGAGGAGGAGGGTCCTACTTAGACTGGAAGTGACACACATCACTTCTGCTTATTTCTTACTAGGAAGTGTAGCCTTTGGGGGACAGCCACTTTCCAGCATCATCTGCCAAAGGCACTCCAAAATGCAAAAATGTCAGTGATTAGTCCAAAGAAGTGACTGGAGGATTCAGGTTCTCTAACATCCAGCCAATGGCTCTTGTTACTAGATCACTGTTTTCCAGCCAGTGGGACTCTTTCTGCAAACAGGTGACCTCTACTTGGAGAGAAACCAGAAGAAAATTTAATTGAATTCTAAGCTAATGAGAAGAAATGTAATCATAACAAAATAATAGCCAGTGTTTATTGAGCATTCGATATGTCTTGGGCATTCTTCTAAGCACTTTATATATGTTAGTTTGGTTAATACTCAGGGTGATGCTAAAGGAAATTATTTTTAGTAGCCCCATTTTACAGTTGGGGAAACTGAGGCATGGGGCTGTGAATATATTTCCCAAAGCCATATGGTAAGCATCCAATGAAATCTGGATTCAAATCTAGGTAGTCTGATTCCATCAGATTATTTTATCTTCCATCAAAGATAGAAAAATGCCATTTGAAAACAAAGGGGAAAATGGAGAGAAAAGGTTTCTTCCTGAAAGAAACTTTCTCTAATTAGGCATGGCTTAAGTTACACAGTTTGTAATTCTGTACAACTCACTCTCACCCTGTAGACTTGAAAGCCCCTGTTCTTTTCCCTATGATTACTTACCTTGTCCAAGTCATGTGGGCTCAGAAGAGGGAAAAACTTAAAACATGGTCTCTCATCTCAAGGAAGTTAGATTCTGTTGAGGAGAAGAGACCCTAAAATGGTAGGAAAGAACAGTCAAGATTAAAGGACAAATAAAAGGCAGACAATAGGATTTCAGAAAAGGCTGTAATCACCACACATAAATTACCAAGAAAGGTTTCATCAAGGATGTTCTTCTTTAGCTGGTCCTTAATAAATGGGTAGGATTTCATGAATAGAGAGGTACTGAGAATGTCAGGGGAGAAGGAAGCTGAGAACAAAGTTTCGGGTAGATAAAGACACGGTGTTTGTAGCAGCCGGTCTGTAATAACAAGCAATTTTAGGAATTAGTGAGAGTTACATCTTTATCCATTTTTACTTTAGAACTTATTTTTTTGCATATATTTTTAATTCTATGTAACCATCTGGTAATGCCTGGCACTCTATGATTTGTTGCAGTAGTAGTGTTTATCTAAGGAACTACGTATGTAGGCACAGGAAAATGAATACTGAGTTCTGGGAACAAAGGCTGGGGAGGGATTTCCAAACAAATGTCACCTTCTACTCATTTCAACAAGTGTAAGAGTTAAGAAATGTGCCTCGCTGTCACCACATTTCTGGGCCTCTACGGCTTGTTACAGAGAACCTAACCAAGACCTCGGTATTCTGGCTGTCCTGTCTAACTACATTTAGAGTAACTGACCATCCTTACATACCTATATCACTTCCCATCCCTGCTCTCTCATGCAGAGAATATTTCATCCCTCCCTCAAATCAAGGGATGAGCCCCTGGAGGACAGCGAGTGAGTTCTGAATTCTCTGAGGAGCCACCTCTGACTACGACTGTCCCTCTCTGTCAATCACAGAGCACTTCGAGTGACATCATGGCTGTTTGCAGTATTATGCTGTTGCTGTAGGCAGCATGAAATTGACAAGGAATGGCACAGAGAAGAGCTGAAAGGGCACTTCTGCTTTTGTGATGCATCTGACACCTGTAGTTACAAGAAAGAAAACAGCTTTCATAAGCATATTGCTAGGTGATGTAGAAGGTGAATGAGAATTTAGAAGTAGTTTTTCAATGTAATAGCACAATAGAATCTAAACTGCTTCTGTGCACTTGCACCCTAAGAATATCTTCCTAAGTGGAAGCCATCCGGTAAGGTAGTTTCTCAGAAACCTTTGGGTAAAAAGTTAGGCTTCAGTGAAAACCCAATCTAGATCTCAGAACGTTTTGGTCTATGAGATGGGGGTCTTACCAGCTCTGATTTTAATAAAATATACCTTTTTTAGAAACTCGATCTTCACATTTTTTTAAACTTTTACTTTAGGTATTAGGGTACATGTGAAGGTTTGCTGCATAGGTAAACGTGTGTCATGGGGGTTTGTTGTACTTACTATTTCATCGCCTGTGTATTAAGCCCAGTACCCAATAGTTATTCTTCCTGATCTTCTCCCCTCTCCCCTCAAGTAGATCCCAGTGTCTGCTGTTTCCTTCTTTGTGTTCGTAAGTTCTTATCATTTAGCTCCCACTTGTGAGAAAATGCAGTATTTGGATTTCTGTTCCTGAGTTAGTTTGCTAAGGATAATAGCCAAATATACCTTTTTTTCCTTAGGTTATATGCTTATTTGTATTTCTTCTACCTGAGAAATCATATTATAGATTGTAAAGCTAGTGTCCAAAGTGAAGCAGAAAGAAAAAAGGTACCCCAGTATCTTCCTGAGGGGGAGCCTTTCCTATGACTGAACTAACAAATTGACCTAAATTTGTTATTATTACTGTAATAGTAAGAGCAACTCTGACAATTAAGCCTTAGCAAGAGAGGGGATTTAAGCCCAAATAAAGTCAGTTGTTTTGATAACTGAAGTAGTTTTAACACTAAGTGGACAGGTTACAAAATTGGGAAGCAATTGATTGTACTATGCTGAGAGATCACAAGTTTGCACACCATCCATAATGCATTCAACTTGAGCAATGTACTGAGTCTGCAGTACTCTGTGTGTGAACATGGTTGACTCTGCACCTTCCTGTAGCAGCCCACAGTGCAAATGTCATCTTGATAACTCTCTGCTGGGTGGCTCCTTAGACCCTGTCATCCTGATCTTTTGCCTGTTGTCTGGTCATGGTTTCTTCCTTGTTCTCCTTTACCCCCTTTGTGTGGAAAAACATTTTAGTCTTTAGCAGCAAATCAAAGCCATTTTCAGGTGACACTGGTGATCTTCTCTCTTACAGGTATATCCTTCTGTTTCAGGTTTGTTATGATGAATGTAAGGAGCACAGTGAGGAAAGCTATTGCCAGTCTTACTCACAAGCACTATAGGAAAATTAAAAGGAAAAGTCTTCCTGTAACTATTTGTATGTCTCTCAAACCATGGAAACTAAGAAGAGCTACAATTATTGAAATAAAGTGCTATATTCCAGGCTAGGCCAAATATTCAGCAGAGAGCCTGAATATTTCATGTATATGCAGTCAGGAAATAATACAGAAAAAAGAAACCCACCACAAAACAGTATAATTGAGGACTATTACTAGGCCACATGTTTTGAACACAGTATCTCATTTAATCTTAGTGACAAATGTTCTGTGTGATCTTCTACCTTTAGCTCGGCCCATTCCTCTACATTCCTATGTCATTTTGTAGACTTATCATTTTAATTGTTAAATTATACTGCCCTGGGTTCATAGATATCATTCTCTCCAGTGGGAACCTCTTACTCATCTTTTTATTCCCTGGCATCTATTTATCTATCAATTGCCAAAACAAATAGATAACTAGAGTTGATTTGTTCCCTATCACTTCTCTTCGGGCTCTAAATCACATCAAGTTCTCAGATATCTCATCCACGTATGTATTGCTATAGAGATATTAGTACTTCAATCCACACTATGAATTCCCATGTGGAAAAAATGGTAAAAAAGGTAATGTTAGGATTACACCTCAAATTGATGTAATCCCTAGTTAGCATCTCGTAATACTGAAACTCTTTATTATCCTCTTAGTACACCATGGTATTGACAGCACTTTGTTTTACCTTATCATTATAACATCATCTGTAAGAATTTCTACTTGTATCATTAAAAGATGATTATGACAGCTTCGCTAAGCCTCATTCATGTGAATGGAAAATTAGTGCCATAAAGAAAATTCCTAATAATTATTTTCTAGGACGTGTTGGTACTTTTCAAACTTAAACTCATTAAATCGATTTGAATCTCATTTGAGCAAATCCACACAAACTGAGTGTCTTATTAATGTCAGTCTCATACTACTTTTAGGAAAAGATTTAATCAGAAAATATGTTAATAAAATCCACATGCATGGTTTTAATCTCCTCACATATATGGCAATAGTGTCTATGGATCTCAATATTTGGGAAGTGATTATCACAATAATTTACATATTATAAATTATCAAAGTAAATTGAATTTAATAATTAAATTATCAAAGTAATTCAAATAATAAGAGCAGACACTGTGCTAGTTGTTTTACACTTATTATCTTATTTAACATGAGAATTTTTGTCCCCACTTTACAGATATCATAATTGTGAAGGTCAGAGAAAAGTGACTTGCTCAGGGTCACGTAATGCATGTGTAGCAAAAAGCTTTTTGGGACATACTTCTGATAGACTCTAAAATCCTTATTTTTTTAACTTTGCTACAATGTCATATTGATTCATGTTTCCAGCACTGGGTCCTTCCTTTCATTGTTTCTTCAAGAGCAAGAGTATGTGTCTGATATAAAAAGCAAGTACTGAGTTTTCTTAAGTTCTAGTTCAAGGTCTAAAAAATAATGAAGGATTAAACTTTTTTTATTCAACTTATCCATTATGAAACATACTTGAACAAATACACACTGCAGTAATTAAAATCAGCATGCAAAATGCTTTATGTAAGTCTAGAGAGACAGAGTCAAACCTCACCACTCTGAAAATTTGTTTGGGTTCTATTTTCCCAGTGAGTCAGATTTTCCTTTTTAAGCATCAAGAGATAGTAGCCAACATTTTGGATGGAAATCCTCTAAATATTTACCACACTTTCTCATACCTTGTCTGTATCTAATTTAATATAATGCTTTATTGATGACATCTCATTATAAACATATATTACATTATGTAATGTTACAGAGTGGCCCTCAATAATCGTTGAGATATGAGAGATTATTGAATCCTACACTGAATTTTCCCCTTATTATATGAAGTTTCACCTTCTAGTCTTACCCTTATCTGCCACTTTTTTCTACGCTTTGTGCTTCTTTCCATGGTACTCTCTCTCCTTTTCCTGTTTGGCTACAAGTTGAGAAAACTACTTTCTTAAAATTGTGTCTAAAATAAACACTCACAGTCCTTAATGAGGATCTAAAGAGTTCTTCTGTAGGCAAAATACAAGTGTTTTCCATGAATGTGTAAGTCATAAGTGGTGAAAATTTAAATTGTTTTACCATGAATTAAGACAGGCCAAGTAGTTTGTTTACCTGGGAAATATTCATGGAATATTTTGGAAACAACCATGTTGGAAAGGGCATTTGAGTAATATTAAAGAGGAAGGGTTGTCATCTTTCAGGCAGATATCAACCAACAAAGTCTTCATTTTTCTCCCTCCTATATCAACAAAAATCTATAATACACTTGTAAATGAGGCAGCAAGATACTTACCTCATGTGATTTTGTTTAATAACATTTGATAAATGAAATATCTGGGATTATAAAAGGAAAATTGAAATGTGTATAGACAAACTATAAAACCTATTCAAAGGGGCATAAAGTCTGGGAACGTCCTACAGGAGTGTGATTAACCTGATACCTATGTAGAAGGGACCAGGTCTGTTGGTACCAGTGTGGCACATGGAAATACATCATTCAATTTGGTCAACAGATTTGGCACATTCAAAGATTAAAATGAAGCTGAACAGGATGAGACCTCAGGATCAGGTGTGGCCTTGGTGAGGAAGAATTAATTGCTAATACTATATATAATCATAATTTTTTCATATATGAAAACTTAGTAAACTGTATATACTTTTACATATGGTTTCAAGTTATCTCTAAGCATCCATTTGGTTGTCCATATAGGATCCTCAGTGTATGAGTTGGTGTATCCCTAACTAATACAACAGATGAGCCAGAAATGTAGAATTGCTTAACTGAAACAAACATTCAGACCTGGAACTCTACATTCCTGTAAGCACTGGGGGTTCTTGGTTAGGCAGCTCTCCCCTATGCAGTGATTCAGGGACCCTGGTACCTTGCATTCTGTGGCTATGCTTCCTCCTGAGGCCTCATCCTTTCTGTCCAAAGAGAGAACATAGACAAGACACACAGCTACTTACCAGTCTTGTCCCATAAATAGCACACATCTCATCCCCTTACATTCCAATGATTAGAACATAAACATGTGGTTACTCCAAATGCAAGGCAGGCTGGGAAATGGAGTCCAATTGTGTACAAGTTAGAAAAGAGGAATTTGGCACTCTTGGGTGTGTTACATATTAAATTACTACAGGACCTGTCTCTCAGAGGGAACTACCAAACCAACAAGTTTGGTAGCAACTGCACCATTGTATGGATGGAATAACTATATTAATGAATACCTTAATGTGTATGCAATGTCTGACTACACTTTTTTTTCTATAAGTCAAACCCTCAGCATGAACTCTAAGACAATGCCCTTAGTTTTTTTACCATCATCTTTGCCCTTTCCTGGTGACTGTATTTTGGCTAAATACTAAATAAGTGAACATGACAAGAGGCAAATATGAATGAGATGTTCCTGAAGTGTTATATCTAATACCCAAACACCAAGAATATATATTTGAGTTGAAACTTAATATTTGCATTCCTTTTCACTATTTACTTGTTAAATCTTAGATTATTAAAGGAGAGCTGTTCAATGTCTCTACACTAATAATGTTTTGAAGATAATAAACAAAGCCCATTTGTTTATTACACTTCAGGAACATCTCATCAGTATTTGCCTCTTGTCATATTCACCCATTTAGAATTTAGCCAAAAAATATTCAGCTTTGTCAATTTATCATTTTCTTAAAGGTGACAAAAGCACTAATAAAGAAGGCAACAGTCAATATGTGATAAACTTTAGCTATGTGTATAAAAATTGTCTCCACAAGTCACTATGATTACTTGATAGATGGTCAAGATACACATATTGCCACCATTGTCTCTTTAAAATATCTTCATAGAGTTTATGATGTAGGATATTTTTAAGCGTGAAACTTTCATTATGAAATTTGCTTAATGCTAATATAGCACCATTTCTGGGTTGCAAAGAGTTTAATATTTCAGTGAATGTGTGGATTAAATATGTATACAAAATTTGTATATAACACATCTTTCCATATGTGTATATATGTGTATAATACATCTGTCCATATGTATGTATAATACATACATGGACGGATGTATCTATATACATCCGTCTAGATATATATGTATATACATATATATGGAGACAACATATATATGGGGACAACATATATATGGAGACACATATATATGGAGACAGATGATAGAGACATAGAGATAGAATCAATGCTCTTTAAGGATTTTAAACAATGAATATGATCCCACTAGGTTAATCTAATCAAGCAACAACCAAGGTAATTTTATAAAAAAAGTTAAGAACTTCTCTGTTTCTAAAATAGGACAGTGTTTTGTTTTAGACTTTGATATTTGCTATAAGCATGTCCTTGAATGAGTTTTTAATTTCGTTAACCTCAATTTGTTCACCTGCCAAATAGACGTAACCTCTTTTACATAGGCATGTTGAAATGATCACGTAAGATATGAATATCAGATGTCTATAGATTGCATTCTTGGTGTTCCATATCCATCAATTTCTTCCTCTTTCCTTCTGTGTGATTCTACATTTAAAATATCACCCCCTCCACAATCAGTACCACCATTCTTGTCCCTATAAGACTGTTAAAGAGGACTTTTAATTCAACTGACAGATTTTACTTTCTCCCCAAGTTAATTTTTTGTTTAAACTTTCACATAAAAAACTATAGCAAGGTATAAATAATACTTCTTGCTCTGACTAAAAATAATTCTGACACTTTATATCCTTTTTGAAAATTTCAGTCCAATGTGGTGTGAAATTCTGGGCTGAAAAATCTGCATTTCTGGTGAAAATACTTATTTAACTTAGTGGCACAGATATATGGAAGGTGCAGAAGTAATTCTATTTTATGAATTTTATGACAAAAGTTGTCTAAAAGCAGAAGGAGATCAAGCATTCTCCAGTTTGTAGATGACTCTAAATTCTCCCAGGTAGTGAACTATCCACCCCCGCCCATTAGAAAGCTAAACTAATATATTTTATATGCATATCTATTCCCTTCATGTGAATTCAGGAGGAATAGTCCTGCCTCACAAAATGATCCCTTTATCAAAGAGAAAAGACTCAATTGAATAAATCATGAGCTTGACCAGAAGTAAACTCTTGTAATCTAACCCTGATTGGTGAGGATAAACAAAAGGGCTTATATCTTTGAAGATAAATATAATAATTCTGCTCCTCTGTAAATAAGTATAAAATTACAAGGTATATATGCACATTCACAGGCTACTAGAATCACTTTCTAATCCCTGGCTTGTCCATTTAACTTTTTAAAGCAGATTGGGCTGAAAGTATGAATTAAAGACTTAAATGTAAGACCTAAACCCATAAAAACCCTAGAAGAAAACCTAGGCAATACCATTCAGGATGTAGGCATGGGCAAAGACTTCATGACTAAAACACCAAAAACAATGGCAACAAAAGCCAAAATTGACAAATGGGATCTAATTAAACTAAAGAGCTTCAGTAGGGCAAAGGAAATTATCATCCAAGTGAACAGGCAACCTAGAGAATGGGAGAAAAATTTTGCTATGTATCCATCTGACAAAGGATTAATATCCAGAATCTACAAGGAACTTAAATTTACAAGAAAAAACCAACCCCATCAAAAAGTGGGCGAAGGATATGAATGGACACTTCTCAAAATAAGACATTTATGTGGCCAAAAAATATATGAAACTGGCCAGCCATATGTAGAAAGCTGAAACTGGATCCCTTCCTTACACCTTATATAAAAATTAATTCAAGATGGATTAAAGACTTAAATGTTAGACCTAAAACCATAAAAACTCTAGAAGAAAAGCTAGGCAATACATTCAGGACATAGGCATGGGCAAGGACTTCATGTCTAAAACACTAAAAGCAATGGCAACAAAAGCCAAAATTGACAAATGAGATCTAATTAAAGAGCTTCTGCACAGCAAAAGAAACTACCATCAGAGTGAACAGGAAACCTACAGAATGGGAGAAAATGTTTGCAATCTACTCATCTGACAAAGGGCTAATATCCAGAATCTACAAAGAACTCAAACAAATTTACAAGAAAAAACCCCATCAAAAAGTGGGCAAAGGATATGAACAGACACTTCTCAAAAGAAGACATTTATGCAGCCAACAGACACATGAAAAAATGCTCATCATCACTGGCCATCAGAGAAATGCAAATCAACACCATAATGAGATACCAACTCACACCAGTTAGAATGGTGATCATTAAAAAGTCAGGAAACAACAGGTGCTGGAGAGGATGTGGAGAACTAGAAACACTTTTACACTGTTGGTGGGACTGTAAACTAGTTCAACCATTGTGCAAGACAGTGTGGCGATTCCTCAAGGATCTACAACTAGAAATAGCATTTGACCCAGCCATCTCATTACTGGATATATACTTAAAGGATTATAAATCATGCTGCTATAAAGACACATGCACACGTATGTTTATTGTGGCATTATTCACAATAGAAAAGACTTGGAACCAACCCAAATGTCCATCAATGATAGACTGGATTAAGAAAATGTGGCACATATACACCATGGAATACTATGCAGCCATAAAAAAGGATGAGTTCATGTCCTCTGTAGGGACATGGATGAAGCTGGAAACCATCATTCTCAGCAAACTATTGCAAGGACAAAAAACCAAACACCGCATATTCTCACACATAGGTGGGAATTGAACAATGAGAACACAGGGACACAGGAAGGGGAACATCACACACCAGGGCCTGTTGTGGGGTGGGGGAAGAGGGGAGGGATAGCATTAGGAGATATACCTAATGTAAATGATGAGTTAATGGGTGCAGCACACCAACATGCCACATGTATACATATGGAACAAACCTGCATGTTGTGCACATGTACCCTACAACTTAAAGTATATAATAAAAAAGTGAACTTAGAGTTTTGCATTCATCTTTAGCCATTTGATTGTAAATATATTTATTCACAAGTGATTAAAATGAATATCACTTATTTAAAAATAAAAATACATTAAATATATTTAAAAAGCTCATCACTGGTCATTAGAGAAATGCAAATGAAAACCACAATGAGACACCATCTCATGCCAGTTAGAATGGTGATCATTAAAAAGTCAGGAAATGACAGATGCTGGAGAGGGTATGGAGAAATAGGAATGCTTTTATACTGTTGGTGGGAGTGTAAATTAGTTCAACCATTGTGGGAGACAGTGTGGCAATTCCTCAAGGATTTAGAACCAGAAATACCATTGGACCTAGCAATCCCATTACTAGGTATATACCCAAAGGATTATAAATCATTCTACTATAAAGACACATGCACACATATGTCTATTGTGGCACTGCTCACGATAGCAAAGACTTGGAACCCAACCCAAATGCCATCAATGATAGACTGCATAAAGAAAATGTGGCATATATACACCATTGGAATACTATGCAGCCTTAGGAAAGGATGAGTTCATGTCCTTTTCAGGGACATGGATGAAGCTGGAAACCATCATTCTCAGCAAACTAACACAGGAAGAGAAAACAAAACACTGCAAGTTCTAATAAGTGGGAGTTGAACAATGAGAACACATGGACACGGGGAGGGGAACATCACACACTGGGGCCTGTCAGGGGGTCGGGGGCTGGGGGAGGGATAGCATTAGGAGAAATACCTAATGTAGATGACGAGTTGATGGGTGCAGCAAACCACCATGGCACGTGTGTAGCTATGTAACAAACCTGCACGTTCTGCACATGTATCCCAGAACCTATAATAATAAAAAAAGTATGACCGGTCTTAAAGCAATACTCATCTAGTTTTATGGGTGCTTCATCAGACTTGTAATATAAGTTTTGTTTGAACCAAATAAAATTACTAATTTTGTAGTTTAAAATGGTCAAATATTGGCTCTCTAAACCTTTACAAAACATAGCACTTCCAAAATAAAAATTAAATATAATAGTGGTAAAATTATAAAACCCAAATAATATAGATATATCAAACTTGAGATACAATCAATCTTCTTATTGCAGCGTTTAACTGTCAATGAACTCTTTGGAAAAAATAAATCTCTAAAGTGAAGCAAGTAGCATGTCGGTGCTTTAGGAAAACTGGTTCTTCTATACAAATGGAATTTTAGCAACTGTTGTAAACAAATTAAGGGTAATTTAAAATATATAAATAAAATTTAGTGCCAAGAGCATGCCAATCAAATAAAACTAGTTAATACTATATTCTTTAAGATATTCGCCAAATAAGTGCACTGTGTATCTTACAAACAAATCACTTTACTATAAAAATAGTTTGTGAGAGGTACTTACGTTGAATTTTTAACAAAGGTTGTTTTTTAATTTTGGAAAAAATATTTTTCAAACACCTGTTTTCCCACTACTTTATTAAAATCTTTTGGAACAATCTCAGTAATATTACTGGGCAAATTGTGAATTTCTTATATAAGGATATGGCACATCTCTTCAAATGAAAATACTGCGTGACAGAAAAATGCCTTAATATATTTACCAAAAATGTGAGAAAGACATAGAAAGTCGTTCTGAGACTTATGGACAGAGATCAAAGAAAACAGTGGTTACTACAGTGTTCGGATTTGTAGAGATAGGGGGAGACGACTGCCTGCTTAGAGGAGAGTAAACACTGTAGTGTGTTCAAATCATAAGACTTGGAATTGGCTAAATCTGTGTTTGAACATTGGCTCTGTCATTTACTAGCTAATGACAGGCACATGTAACCCACACATATCGATTATATCTTCTGATAAATAGGGCTAATAATCATATATAATAATAGACCTCAGGTGCTTATGGAGATCAAAATAGATGATATATGCAAATTGCCTTGCACAGTGCCTGGCAAACAAACAAAAATATTAATCCTTCTTAGAATTACTTAGGAGAGGATCTATAAAACAAGTATAACTAGTCTGAAGACCATTAGGGTTGTCCTTGGATAAGACAGACCTAAGTCCTCTGAATCCAGACCTCCATTTAATTCACCCACCTCTTCAGTAGCGGAAGGATTTTGTTTTCCTCAGTGGGAGCAGCCCTTGGATAGTCTTTTTCCTCTCACTTTTTCCATCCCTTTCCCCCAAATCCCACCAACTTTCTGACCCCTTAGAATTAGTTTTCTATTGCTACATCACAAATCACAAACTTGACAGCTTAAAACAACACACATTTATAATTTTACAGTGTCCATGGGTCAGGATTCTGGACACAGCCTTGCTGGGTTCTCTGCTCAGGGTCTCACGAAGTTGCTATGAAGTCGTCAGTGGGGCTGTGATCTCCTCTGAGGCTCAGGGTCCTCGTCCAAACTCACTGGTGTTGGGAGAATTAAGTTACCTGTGGTTGTAGACTGAGGTCCCAAGTCCCATACACTTTATGACATAGCTGATTGTTTTCTTCAAGGCCAGCAGGAGAATATTGCTTCTATTTTGAGCCCTTTTTCTGGGGAAGGGCTTGATCATCTTTTAAAGAGTGCTCTTGATGAGCTCAGCCCTCCCAGAAGAAGCAGCCTTCTGATTAACTCAAAGTCAATGGCTTTGGGACCATGGTTACATCTTCAAAATCCCCTCACCAAACCACAGGAGTGATATCCCTCATATTCACAGGTCCTGTCTGTAGTGAAAAGAGAGGATTATATTGGGCATTTATGCCAAGGGGTTATAATTTTGGATACCATATTAGAATTTTGCTTTCCACACCTCCAAACTATTTCAACTAAATAAAGGGCATTTCATTTGGCAATATGGATAAGTTTTAAATGCTAAGGCTCAATAAAGGTAGTAACATGATATCAACATGCAACTGAGGTATCATCAGTTAATACATTCTGATCATTCTGATCAAAACCTTCTGTCCCATATTACAAATTGAATAATGAGGGAAAGAGGTTGATCTGGAGGTAACTGGTTAATATTTTCAGTGTGAAAAGAGAGAGAAAAGAGAAACTTTGCCCCTCATTCAAACGAAAAAAAATTTCAAATACCTACTGTTTGGAGTCTTATCCAGTTTACCTTCCAATGACTTAGGACTGAGAGAGCTGAACATTAGGGGGTCTCAATCAAGCAGCTGGTAAAATAAATTACATAATTTGAAATATTTTCTTTTTTCTACGATATAATTCTTATGACTCCATCTCCAAAAGAAAAAAAGTTCCATTTAAATGAGGCATCACTGCATTTATTCATGGATTCTTATATTTGTTGAAAAGCCTTAGTTTTAGTCTTTCATGAACAAGAAACTAGATACAGCACACAGTTTTATACCTTTCTTGATGAAAAGAATATAATTCACAACCTCTTTCCTCAAACATTTAAGCAAAATTTAAGAAGAGATAATATGCAAACTTTTAACTGTGAGCAATTTTTTGAAAAATCCTTCAGATGGTAAGCTATGCTGTTAGGTCTTTGGTATAGCTGTGAGGTAGAGGAGAATGGAGAGAGAAACAGAATGGGAATGAAATTAATCATTACTTAATTGATTCAATAAAAATAGAATACCATAAATAGACTTAAATCATATCTAAGTAAATTTCTGTCTTAGAGTTTCATCTCATACTCTATTAAACATTTTCAACTTTTCTTATGCATTAAGAGAACCATAAGGGGAAATAAGCAAGCACTTTGTAGCCAGAAAGAACCACCATGGGATTCTTGAGGTCGCACTAGCTCACTGGATAATATTAGGCAAGTGACTGACCCTGTCCAAGATTCTATTCTTTAAAATCAAGGGTAATTGTACCCAGTTTGCAGGATTGAGTTGATAAGAAACACACACACACACACACACACACACACACTACACAATACACTACACAGTGCCTAGCACATGAAAGAGCTATGGTAACTATTGTAATTATGAGTCTTTATATTGCCAATGGCATGTATAGATTGTTTTAAGCAAGAATATGATAGAACAAGCATCCCTGGTAACCTGTCATGAAATGCTGGGGAATGTGATAACTGTAAAATCATTGAGTAAGTCAACGGAGAAGTGCACGTTAGTTATTTGGTTTAAAGACCATTATAATGTTATTATTACATGACACAAGTAAGACTACCTGGGAAAACAGAAGCTGATTCTACTTAAATACTTTATTTACACTTTCCCATAGCCTAAGAAAAGATAGTAAATCAGGAAAAAAGGGCAAACAGATATATTAAACATAAGGGCTAGTATTTGTGCTGCTAATGAAATTTGTATTTGGTATTGACCTTCCTGGCAGCCAAAAAAAAAAAAAAAAAAAAAGGAAGAAAATAATATATTTTAAGAAAAGAAAAGTTTTTATGGAGTTTATTCTGATAATATTATCTCATATTGTTCTTTGTGTGTTAGTGCATTGCTAAAGGTATTTTCATTTTTGTAGTCTATCAAGGACTGTTAATAGAAAAATTAGAGCGTAATAAAAGATGACACACTGAAGGAGATTTGTTCAGCTAATGAGGCCTATTCTTGTGGAATCAACCTTTTCCCTTCATGCTATACCTCTATTTTTAAAATTTAGCAACAAAGAGCCTAGTCAAAGCAATTTGGAACTTTGGCCAATACATCAGAAAATACACACATAATAAAAATCAACATTATACAGATACCATTTGCAGCTGTTGGCTCTGCTGAGAGCAGAGGTTCCCATGTACAAAAGATTTGCCTAAAATCTCAGAGTCAAGAAAATTCAGTTCAAATCCATCTACACCAAAGTGAGTGTAGGCTGATCACTACACTTACTTGGATAGTTATTTAACAACCTTTAAATGAAGAAATGGTACTATACTGATGTCAATGCCCACAACAGGGCCTAGTACATCGGATACACTCCACAAATATGTTTTAAGAATGAATACTATTCCTCTGTGATGGTGGAACCAGTTTGGTGGCTAAGGAGGGTTAGTTGATACAAATACTTGATATTTATCAATTAGAAAAGGGGAGGTGGTAACAATAAAATCCCTAGGTATGTATCAGGGTTTCTCAACCTAGGCACGCTTAATATTTTGTATCAGATAACTCTTTGTTGTGGGGGCTGTCCTGTGCATTGTAGAATATTCAGCAGCATCACTGGCTTCTGCCAACTAGATGTTAGTGGAATCTCAAGTTGTAACAACCAAAAATATCTCCAAACATTTAGACCCCATTTGAGAAACACAGACATATATGAACTTGTGTGTGTGTGTGTGTGTGTGTGTGTGTATACACACATGATGATGATAGATAATAGCTTTGTTGCATATTATTTGCTTTTATTGTACTTTGAATATGCGAGATCAATTATTTTCAATTATTAATTTTATGTTCTTTCAAGGCATAATAGATAATTAACACAATTAGCCCAATGGTCACTTATTTTGAAAATAGCATGAATATGGTCTAAAAGAATTGAGCGTTTTCCAAAATCACAGCTAATGTACTTCATTGCATTGCTTATGGTTCTTGATAAAATCACGCAAACATAAGCAGTCTGATGTTATTTTTTTGTTTACAGTATTACTGTGTTGTTTTGGTTAACAGAATGAAAAACAGCACTGTAATACTACAAGTAAAAATGTTTTATTCTTAGTTTGTTTCATCAATAAAAGCTGACATTTTTGCAAGAAAGATGTTATACTATTGAAATTAACTTTTAGTCAATTGTAAATGATTGTATTATATCGGTATGTTATCATGAAGATTAGAAATCATTTCCTACAGAATCATGTTTTTGCTTCCTCAGCACTGTTTCAATTGAAAGGAATTTGAATGAAGTGCATCTCATTACTAACATAAAGTAGATGGAGCTTGAATAATTTTTATATTTATTTTCCATGGATCGCTATTACATTTCTTATCTATCCAAATTTTATAAAATAAATTGTTTTAATCCATTCTTTGGAGAGGAGCAATGAATTTATTTTTGCAAAAGCTATGCATCTGAGTATATTGTAATATGCATAAAGCTCTGTTAACACAGTTATTTATATAAAAAGTGTAGCTGCCTTACCTTTTATTTAATTTACATACTTTATTTACTTTCTGACAGGTTCTTCTCTTTGCATTTTTATTTGCAAACCAAAAATGTCTTTTCAGATAAGTCAACTAAAACTTTGATGTACTGTATAATCTAAAACTCTATAAAATGTTTTATGTATTGTATAGGTTTATATGAATTTTTAGACTGAGGATATAGAATTTTGGAACTATTTCATTAATGATTCCTATATGGTAACACCATACTTCTTAAATATGATGATAGAGAATTGTCTTTTGTCTGAGATCATGTTTAGGAAAACCTACAGAACTTAAGCCCAGTCTGTTTCAAATAGAAAAACATATCTCTGGCTATTTTTAAGGGTTGTTATTTTTTCTCAAAATATGAACTTCACATAATATGAACATCTTAATCCTTAGAGAATTTGGTACATTTACTGTAACCTTATACAAAAGATTCATATTTTTCTACTCAAATGTTGGAAACAATAAAAGTTGCCCTTGTATGTTTCATAAACTGTAACAGGAATCACCCACCAGTAAAGTAATAAGCACACGGTGTATCAATTCAAAGACGTCCAGTTTTAGAAATATAAACTTAATCCTCTTCCCCTCCCTTTTTTTTTTTTGTATTTAGCTTTTGTAAGCATGGTTTGTATTTGCATAACCCACCATTCATATTCTTGTGAGTTCATGATATAAATAATTTGAAAAATTTCATTCAGTTCCCCAAATTATTCTAGTCATTATGGATGATTCATGAGAGGATTAATCTCTTGGATGTGACATAAAACTAGAGAGGAAAGACACTACCTATCATATCATTTGCAGTTAAGAACATGCTGCATATCTTTAAGCTTTACTTAAAGTGCTTATAGTAATTGGGTGTGCATGCCTTAGCTCCGTTAAAACCCAAACAGCAATATGGGAGAGTGTGGTTTGTTTTTTAAATGTGCAAGGAAGGAAAATTAGTGAAATCTGTTTAAGTCACAAAACTGCCTCATTCAGGACCCAATTCAGCAGCATGGAAAAAGTAACTCAAGTTAACTGTACTCTTAGCATATGTCTAAGCTCACAAATTTCAATTCACTTCAAATTTCTTTCTTCTCCCATGGATCTGCCTGCAAAGAAAAGAGATACAAAGATGGCAAACCGGTTCAACAGTTCATTAGCCCTAGATTCTCTTAGGGTTTTCAGAATAAAAACGTGTCCATTTGCAGACCAAATTCCTTTATGTGTTGGAATGGCAATGCGCCTCAAGAACTGTTTACGTTGCATTGTGGGCCTTCCTTTTTTTTCCCTCTTCACCCTCTACTCCTGCCACTGCCATACATGATTACACACATGCATATGGAGTTAAGGGTATAATGTATTTTGATTTTATCCATGCAAGTAAAATTTGGTGGAGGAAACAAAACTAAGCTAATGAACAAAAGATTTCAGAATTATACAGAGATTGTGGTTTAGTGACCTAAATTGCACCATAATCCTTTAAAGGATTACAGTATTTGGATAGGAAAAAAGATTTATCTTTCTATAATGGCATCTCTGTATAAGAGGATATTATTGGATATGAGCTGCATGGTAGCAGCAGATATTTTTCTCCACGTCTTTCGGCAATTCAGAATAGTTCTCTGATCCATCTGAGAAGTAGCACTGAAGAATTAGTCCTCATTTATAATCAAACATTCTTGAATAACATTTTCTTCCAATTTTTGTTTTAAAGGTCTAACATTTGATCGTATGTTTTCTTTAGTTAACTTTCTATATTATATGGCAATCTCTGCAGTTATTTTTTTCAAAGATAAAAAGAAAAAAAAAGCATGTTCAAAAATGTAGAAGTTATTTTTGCAGTAACGTATGTCATGATTTTTAAACATTCAGGCCTTTAAACTTTTTTTATAGTGTATGTTCTTGCCAATCCCAGCACAGTTCTACAAAGTAAAATATTTGGCAGTGAATTCATATTAACAGATGGAACAAGAAATTAACACGTTTTTGCTTCGCTAATTCACAGTTCTTTTAATACGCTAATTCTAAATCACCTGTTCTGACTTTGACAGGCTACAGACACCTGTTTGGGGTAATATTCCACAGCTAATTATTACATGAGAAATTCAGTTTCCAACAAAAGAGTTTCTGTGTGAAATTGCCATTGTAGTTAACAAATTAATATCAACTATATACAAATACATTTCTGATGTCTTAATTTAAATACAGCTAATATACTACTCATCTATAACTAAAGAATGGTATATAAAAACTAAGACTGCCCTCTTAGTGTTTGAATTCTGTCTGTCACACTTTACACCATGGTTGCACTGATCAAGTCAGAATGTTCTTCCCAGTAGCAGTAATTTACTGTAATACTGTATTTTAAATGGCAGGAAAAGAGTATAGAATTTTCAAGTGGCTGGAAAAATTCCTAACTGTATGTTAAAAATGACTCAGGAGAGTTAAAAAAGAAAAATACTGACAAGATGAGAGAGAAAAAAAGAAAAACTTAGCTTGGGTAGCATAATATGGAAGACAGAACAATAAATAAACAGGAAGTCCACTGCACTACCGAGTTTTTGAAGTATGACGGACTTACATGAAGTCCCATGAAGACTGTTGATTTGTTTGCTAAGAGAAAAGCAAGTAAACGATGCCAGATATTTTATGGATAGAAAATTAAATACCCGCTTCTTATAACTCAACAGAGTTATAACTTAATAGAGAAACTACTTCTATTTTCCACTAAAACCTGATTTTCTTTATCTTCTATATTGTTCTTAGTTATTCTGACATGGTCATTTCCCCTGTGTCACCTCAGACAACTTCCTTTAACACTAACTCCTTTCCCTGCCTCCAATTTCCCCCATAAAAACCATGCTACGGGAAAGTGTGGAGGCAAGGAGTGTGTGTATGGGAGGGTAGGTTGGTGGAACAAGAAGCAAAAATCAGAAACGTAAGGTTTTTAGATGTTTGTAACATAACGACAGATGCTGAGGTAGAGTCTATCTTTAGGTTTGCCAAAGGTTCCATTTTGTGTGTCTGTTTTTTGATTCTCTCTAATTGCTGTTCAGCTTTGTATGTGGCTTTGCTAATGTGTCTTCTGTAGCCACATTGTCGTTTCTTTAATTAACCTTGATATCCTAGTACCCAGATAGCAGAGTTCATCAAGCAGGCACTTGGAACTTTTAACATTCATGCTGTTGTACTTTGATTTTTAAGAGTTATTGTACAAAGTATATTTTTAAAATGCATTTTTATTCTGCGAGACTTAAGGTGGATGAGGAGAGGGCTTTTTTTTTTTCTTGTTTTGTTTTTTGTTTTTACATTTAGCCTCCAGCCTCCTTGTAATTTTATTGTTTTTCTCCCAAATGCTACTCTAGAAAGCACATGGTCTTTCTCTCAAACCATGCTTTATGACATTGCTATTTGCAGAAATTTAACTGGCAGCCCACCCCAGGAAGATAAAATCCTGTTTCATCCAAGTTTGGTTCCCTCCTACACCCACACCTGAAACTATATTTCTGCCAGAGCCTACATTCTGCTAAGGAAGAAACCAATCTTTTATAATACTTCAACATACGTGAATTTTATTTTATTTTTAATTAAAAAATTACATTTCTCATCCAAAAATGCTAGATGACATTTAAAGCTAGAAAAGTGTTTCCAAATAACTCACCTTTACAATTAACTCTTATCAGGACCAGATAGTTATTTCACTGTACCAGGGCAAGCACATGGCTGGGATGAGGCTGGGCAGTGAAAGGCCTCCATGATGATTGTCACTCGATCTCTTGGCAACGTGCAGAAGCACATTATCCCACAGGATTTGCTCAGGGCTCAAAGTTTGTAAGAGAGTTACTGGTACATAATTGGAATGAGACCAGTTTTATTTTCAGTTAATAAGATGCTCAAAGATAAATGAAACTTCCTGGTTTTCAAGGGAGAAAAAAAAAGACTCTTAGGAAGCTTATACATCTCTTAAGTTTTTCCTGAAAACATTTTTAGACATACATTTGCTACCTCTAAAACAACTTGAATGAATTAGATCTAGATGATAATGGAAAATATTTAAGGTTTAATACTGAAAGGATAATGACCTTGCAAAAGTGTGTTTGGCAATTATATTCAATGTGAAATTCTTAAGAAAATTGCTCAAGATAATGAATGACATCACAACGCAATTTCACTCATCTGTCCTCAGTTAAAACACTTTGACAAATCAATTCATTAATAAGTAAATCTAATATCCCTGTACTGTCCTACCTTAAATATACTCATTATATATAATGCAAGACAAAATTATGTAATTTTGCTATGGACTAATATATATGTACGTATCTTTATTTTTATGTATGTATGTGGGTATCCACACATACATACATATGAATACATTTTAGGGAGCCTATTTAATCCTTCAAGGAGGTTTGCAGATTACAATGAGTTCTTGCAGCAACAATTATATTTCACTTAATACTTTTCTAAGCAAGTAGAATTTTAACATATCAGCCTTTCATAAAACAGATTTATGTAACTAGCAGATGCTATTAATTGATAATCACCATTTATAGCCTTATACATATTTTAAAATAGTTCCCTATACATATAACATTACGGTACTATATTTAGGGTTTTATTTATAGAATATATTTTAGAAGGAATTAGGTAGCTTTCATTTAAAAAATTTAATTTTCTTAATTTATCCTAGGCCAATTCTATTAATTTGTCATCTTAGAATCATGATATTATTATAATAACAATAGCTTACTTTGATATACATGTGGCTCCCAAGCACAGCTAAACATAAGAATTGCTGGGATAATTTTTGAAAAATACAGATACCAGAATACTAACTGTATTGCCAAGGAGTGGGACACAGCTGTCTGTATTTTATAAAAACTCCCCAGGTGCTCCTGTGCAGGATGGGAGAAAATGCTATCATTGCATAGTTTCTACTAGCCAGAAATAACAGTTACAGAATAATACTAATAACTATTACAGGAACAATACCACCAATAAGGACACCACTAAAATCTACTCTCTCCAACATTTTTTAACCTAAAAAATGACAAGTCGTGTTATATATTCCTGAATCACCTTAATCCTTTAAGAAATAAATATATATTAAATATTTATTTAGGCCTGGAGCAGTGGCTCGGGCCTGTAATCCCAGCACTTTGGGAGGCAGAGGCGGGTGGATCACCTGAAGTCAGGAGTTCAAGATCAGCCTGGCCAACACGGTGAAACTGCGTCTGTACTAAAAATACAAAAAATTAGCTGGGCGTGGTGGTGCGTGCCTGTATTCCCAGCTGCTCAGAGGGCTGAGGCAGGAGAATTGCTTGAACCTGGGAGGTGGAGGTTCCAGCTAGCCAAGATGGCACCATTGCACTCCATCCTGGGAGACAAGAGCGAAACTCTGTCTCAAAAATAAAAATAAAAATAAATAAATATTTATTTGTAAGGATCAAATATTTTTTAATTCAAATTGTTCCAGACGGGGCATTATTTAAGAAAATCAGACTTTCCTCCTAGTTTAGGTAGGAAATCACCAACCAACCAATCAATCATCATCAAACCTTCCTGCAAAAATGCCATTCTCAAACAAGCAGTATTGACAACTGCTGAGATTTGTTAGAAATGCAGAATTTCAGGCCACCCTGGACCTACTGAATCAAAATCTGTATTCTGCCAAGATTTTCAGGCAGTTTGAATGCACAATAAAATTTGAGAAGAACTCCCCAGCACTTGTGTGTGCCCACATCCAAGCTAGGTGCTAGAGTACCCAGAAGCAATATAGGTGTGCAGAGATTTATCTTTGCCTGGCAGAATCTCGCTATTTGTAATATATACATATATATTAAAATATATATAACATATATTAAAATATATGTTATATATTTTAAAACATATATTAAAATATATATGTTATATATATTTTAATATATATAACATTATAGACTTTGGAGGCTTTCATTTGAATTTGCATTTGAGTCAAAGTCCTAATTCTGGCTACTGTCTCTGATCCATCATGAGATTCTCTGATCAATTCTGTCTCCAAATATGTAATCTCACTATAAGTATCAAACAATCTAATGCCTCAACCTTCAAAATGTAGCTAGAATCTCACCATTATTTCCAGCCTAGATTACAATAAATCACTTCCTAACTCAGTCCCTGCTTCTATATTCACTCCTCTTATAGTATATTTTCCAAAAGTAGTCAAGCTCAGTGACTTCAAAAGACTTTAGGCTTATTGTTCCCATTCAAAATTGAACTTACGTAGTTATAGTTTATGTACTTTAGGTGTCTGCTCAAATGGTAGTGCCTCAAATAAACTTTTCCTGATTATTGCATTTAAACTAAACTTCCTGTCTATCCCTCTCTCTCTCTCTCCAACTTTACCCTGCATTTTCCTTTAGGGTCCTGTGGTCCTCATCACTCTTTGTAAGCAATTGTGTCATATTATTAAATAGTTGACTGCCTGTCTTCACTTGGAAATATAAGATCCAGAAAATAGACACTTTGTCTTTCTTGTCCCCCAGTGCCTATAAGAGTACCAGATAAAAACAGGAAGCAAATAAATAATTTATGAGTGAATGTTTAATCAAATTAGTGAGCTAGGATATTCAGTGCATGTGTGGTTATTCATTGAGTGTGAAGTGTATTCATTGAACACCTAATATATGTCACTATGGCAGACTAAAAAATGGCACATAAAATATATGCTTTTGAGAAATAAATACATGAATAAACAATAGGCATATATTGCACAAAATAAATTCTTTGGGAGTTGAAGGATGATTTCAGTGGCATGAAGTAGAAGAAAGAAGACTTGTTTTGAGAAGTAGGTGATATAGTGATGACATTATCACAAGGGCAAATAGCAAGCTTTAGGGCTGAAATATCTAGAGTATTATGCGTGAAACAGCATACCTGTGGAATTGACAGTTCATTAGAAAGACATCTAGTGACTAGCTTTTGGTGGCTTTACCTCCAAAACTGAGGAATTTGTACTGTATTCTGTAGATAATATTTTCGAGAAGATAGTTATGTGTTCATAACCGTGGTTTGGGGGGATTCATGTAAAGGCAACATACAGGATGGACTGGATTAAGAGGCTGCAAAGACAGATAACTGGTTAGGAGATTGCTCATCCGAAGCGGAAAGAATAGCCTGGGTGAAAGTGTAGTATTAGGAATTTAAAGTATTAAGTGAATTAATAACATTAAGTTTCAGAAAAGCAGATAGCATATTACTTGCATAGGGTTTTTGTTTTGTTTTGTTTTTTGCTATCAACACCTTCATCACTATTATGGCACATAAAACTACCCATAAAATTTTATCCTTTTTTTTTTCTTTGATAGAGTCTCTGTTACCCAGGCTGAAGTGCAGCGGTGTGATCTCAGCTCAATGCAACCTCCGCCTCCCGGGTTCAAGCAATTCTCTTGCCCCAGCCTCTCGAGTAGCTGGGACTACAGGCACGTGGCACCACACCTGGCTAATATTTTTGTATTTTTTTTTTTTAGTAGAGACAGGGTTTCACCATGTTAGCCAGGATGGTCTCGATCTCCTGACCTTGTGATCTGCCCACCTCGATCTCCCAAAGAGCTGGGTTTATAGGTGTGAGCCACCATGCCCGTCCCATAAAACTTTCACACAGTCAGAACGATAAGGGTACTAATATAAGCTGTGTAGATAACAATCCTTCCAGTGATTATGGATATTATCATTTCCTGTTGATTTAAGGCTCAAATGATTTAGCATAGCAGTCTTGGCAATTATGAATCTAAAAACGGGAGTTTATTATCTTAGAAAAAGCCATCACTTCACTTCCAGATTAAGGGCCTTTTTTTTTTTTTTTTTTTTTTTTTTCGAACAGTCAATACAAGAGACAAGAATCTTTTCCTATATTCAAAAGCAACTTTCGTTTATTGGGTGGTAAACTGCTTACAGGCACAAGTCTTTTAATCTTCATTGCTTCCTATTTCTGAGCAACAGTTTTCTTAACCCAACATGAGAATATTAAAATCGACCTGGTAGGATCATGATGAGGGTTAAATGACATAATCTAAGTTAAGTCTCAGTCTCTATGCCTGAGTAGAAAGTCAATAAATACATGTTGCCTTCTCTTTCCCCCAGCACCTAGAAAAGTATCTTGACAACATTAATGCTCAATAACTGCTTGCCAAATAAATGAATGTTGTTGAGTTTGCACTAACTAAATAATGACTTTTTAAACCATTGACCAATAAGCATTCAAATGATCAGGTTCCGAAAACTCCCGCGCAAATATCTTATAGCAATGAACCTCAACTGCAGTCCTGAAATTTTTTCTTAATCTCTTCTAGCCCACAAATTTCTCTTCCTATAGATTTGTGTAGTTACCTACTTTTCCCCTTAATATTCATTTTAGCCATCTGTCTCCTATCTCCTAGACCACAATTTGTTGATTACTTGCCAGGATATATATTTTCAATGCTCTTAGATTGATAGCTCCATTTCTTTTTCTATCCCTTCCACTCCCCTCTTGTGCATGGCAAAAGATTTTCTTTATTGGTTCCCGCCTTTTTTTTTTTTTTAATATGGTGTCTCACTCTGTTGCCCAGGCTGGAGTGCAATGGTGCAATCTCAGTTCACTGCAGCCTCAGCCTCGCAGGTTCATGCAATTCTCCCACCTCAGCCTCCCGAGTAGCTGGGATTACAGGCGCGCATCACCATGCCTGGCTAATTGTATTTTTGATAGAGATGAGGTTTCACCATGTTAGCCAGGCTGGTCTCGAACTCCTGACCTCAGGTGATTCACCCGCTTCGGCCTGCCAAAGTGCTGGGATTACAGGCATGAGCCACCGCACCTGGCCAGGTCCCACTTTTATTTAATGCTGTTAATTTCTATTTTAAATAACATAATATGTTCCCATATTCTGTGCTCCCCAACCCCTGTATTCTCTCTTCTATTTATTCTTCTTTCCTACTTATTTTATGAAACTCTTTTCTGATCTGCACTATAAAAATATTTTCATCTCTTTGCCCATTTTGTCTGTTGCCCAAAGTATTATCTTCCTAATTGGATTAGAAAACTCATCTTTATAGGGCCTTTTATGTGTTCTGTGCACTTATGGTTTTCTGTAAACAAAAATAATAAATAACAGGTGGAGAGCTAAATATATAACTCACTAGGAATGGAGCATTTCAAAGAAGAGGAAAAGGCTATGTCAGAAACATTCTACATAGAGTACACCAAGATCGGTAAAAATGTAAATGGTCTTCAACTGTTACATTTAATAGACTAAGTCATGCTGTTTATTAATCATAAAAAGTAAACATTTCTACTTATCTACATTTTTTCAGAAAGGTATTGTAATAAATATTATTGTAAGTGTGTGTGTCTGTGTTGTACCACCAAACATGAAACGTCTCCTCTGTCCTCATCTCTACCCAGTTCTTGGTAGGTAGAGAGACAGATGGACTCAATGAAAGATAATTAAAACTATGGGGAACTTGCTAATATAAACTACATGACCTGATTAGGATTCTTTAGCTGCATCAATTCTGTCTTCCCATATTTTAAGTCCTACCAGACAAAGGAGGGGCCAGGACAGTGGTGGGCTGGAGCTGGCTGCAGAGCTGATTGTGCACATCTCTTCTGAACTCCACATTCCATGACATAATGTCAGCCCTAAAATGGCCGCAATGGGAATATTCACAGTAGGGAAATTGATAAATGCCACAAATCAGGACTTCCCCACCCCCCCCCCCCCCAGAGATCCTATGATAAACATTTATTTGCACAGCATTCACCCAGGGCCCAGAAATTTGGGGCAAACATATGCTGCAAGTCACTTGACTATAATTGAGAGAAAGCAGTAAGAAGACCCTAGAATCTAACTGGGCTAAGCAAAGCGGGACGCTACAATCTAACTGGGCTAAGCAAAGGGGGAATTCAGGGATGAATCAACAAGATGCTGCTCCGGGAGAAAAGATCATAGCAAAGAGTTAAAAATGAGACTAGACAGGGAAGCTTGGGAAAATTCTCCCAGCAAAAATAGGGTAACTGCATGTTCTTTGTATTGGATAGTTGCGTCCCCTGGTGGGTTAGAGAGGGAGGTTAATGGATTGGGTTTTTAAAGCCCTAAAGTGAACAGGATGAGGTTTTAAATAAAAAGTGACTTTTTAAGATTCATATTGCTGCAGAGCTTTGCGTGCTCTGCAGCAATGTGACTCTATCAGGTAACAACAGATGTACCTGGTGAGACTAGATTTCTGTACTTAGGTACAGCTGTTCCTAGCTGTAACACCACCTTGCAGCCAGCACCAGGCTTTTGCCCGGGGCCTAACAGCCTCCACTTCCTATGGGGGGATTCACAGCCACGGCCCTTGGATAGTCATGGGTACCCCTGGATGCCTGGATGCCTACCCTGGCTCTCAGGGCCCACTACCATTTTCCTGGTATCCTGAGCATTTTCACAGGGGAAGAGCACAGTTTCAGAATGAAGATCGTGTGAATGTGGAAAAGAGGAAAAAGGCCTCAGAGAACTAGAACAAGCACACTCAAGTGTATACAAAACATATAAACACATGGTAACTGCCCCAGTCCAATGTTAGGTCATGGAAAGTATAGGACCTTTTATATTGCAAGTGACAAAAGCTCAACTCAAACTTGTGGAAGCATAAAAGGGAATAAACTGACTTAAGTCCCTTTGCTCTCCTCTTGTCCACTGGTTTTATTTATAAACAGTTTTGCTCTCATAGTCGGTTCACACAAATGTGCTCCTCCTTAGCACTCAGGCAATCAGCTAATAGGAGAGAGTGCTTACTTCTGGTAACTTCCGGGGGAAAGTCCTAAGAGGGCTGTTCACTGGCCTTGCCGTGGTCACCTGCCCTTCCCTGAACCAATAACTATGAGCAGAGAAATAAAATTTTCTTCTGGACTGAGATCCTCTGCCAGACATGGAGAAGGGCCTGGGCCCCATAATCTGAGAGTACTTCCTCCAAGGAAGGAGTGCAAGTTAGCTAGAGAGAGACATCTATTACAATTCTTTAGTTTTGTTTTTGAGACAAGGTCTTGCTCTGTCACCCACTTTGGAGTGTAATGGCACTGTCACAGCTCTCTGCACCCTCAATCTTCTGGGCTCAAGCCACCTCCCACCTCAGCCTCAGAAGTAGCTGGGACCACCGGGTACACACCCTGCTACATTTTTGTGGAGACAGGTCTCTATGTTGCCCATGCTGGTCTTGAAGCCTTGGCCTCAAGCAATCCTCCTGCCTTGGCCACAATTATCTTCCTAATGGAGTCGTAGGGGACTTGCTGATAACCTCCGTAAGTAGATACAAGCTCTAATAATAATCACTCTATCTAGATGATTACTTCTTTTCTTGCTAATTTTCATCTTTCCTGGATTCTATGCCTTTTAAAATTTCTCTCTCCTGCACATACCCAGTGTTCTTTATTTCTACTGTTTTTGGAACAGTTCCAATGAGGCCGCTCAACCACTCCCTGCCACGCCCAACTGCAGATCTGTATCAGAGTTGAGCACTCTCAGTGGCTGGACTCCTAAGCAGTTTGTTTCTGTCAGGCTGACTGATGGCACTTAGGAGATACTATGTTGATTTGCCAAGAAAATCCGTGATCTAAGTAGAAGGGGCTGCTTTCTTAGCATAAATAAGCTAATACATTTACTATTTAAGGTGTTACTTTTATTCATAATTAAAAAGTTTAATCAGAGAGTGGGCTACCTTCTCGGTAACTCTCTAGAGCCCACCGTAAGTAGCTTGTGAAATGAATGGCACAGAAATAATAGAACAATGATAGTTAATCTAAAATGCCATGATGGATTTCCTACTAAATGTAGAAATACAATAATGTAATAACAACAAAAGGGATATTCTTAATAATAGCAAGTAACCACAAAATTAAACATTTTCCTTTAGTTAGAATTTTGAGGCTTAAATAAGTTTTGAAGTTTTCCATTTTAAACTGTTGCCTGATGGGAAAAACCAAAAGTCAGCATTACCGTGGATAGAATGACCTCAGGATCTAGCCTAATTATTGCTGTTACTGAATTGTTTGTTTACTTCCCGTCTGAGTTGCATGATGCTTCGATGTGGTACTGGATTAGAGAAGGAGGAGGAATTCATGAGTGAAATGTTTGTCCTGATAACTGGGAGAATGGCTAAGGTGAAGGTTTAATGTTGTAAGTAAGCAACACTATTCCATTTGCAATGATATGAACTTAATTCCTTATCTTTTAATGTTTGTACTTTTAATTATCAACCAACTGGTTGTCTGTCTTAGACTAATGAAAATTAGGTGACTTTGGAAATAAAGTTTGGTGCTGAATAGTTAAAAGCTTGTATCCATCTGTCCCTCCCTTGACCAAAGCTTCCAGTTTGCCTAGGACTCTCTTGGGTTGATGTATGTTTTTCAGTGTACTTTTTACTTTGTGCCTCCTTGCATAAATTGTTTTTATTTAGAAAATGTAGATAAGCTACGTTTATGTTATGTGTGAGAGTGTTTCACAGATTGAGAAGGAACACGTACAGGTTTGTTACATGGGTATATTATGTAATGCTGAGATTTGGGCTTCTAGTGAACCCATCACACAAATAGTGAACATGCTTTTTGTTTTGAAACAGTGGATTGCTCACCAAAATCAGTGGAAATGGGTAATGAATGAGGTCATAAAAGTAGCTTTCTTCAGGAATCTTTAGGATCTGATGAAGCTGGATATGTGCATTGCCCAAAGATGGCTTAAGAAGTCTATGAATGTGGGAATTGACTTGGACTTGATGATCACCTTTACTTAGCACACAAAACTATAAACACTTCGGACAGGGATGAAACGTCTGAAAGTGTGAGGAAATTTACTTCAACATTGAAAAATCAGTCTTACCTCAAAAATGATTCAGTGGCCCATTCTGTTTTATTATATTTTCTAATTAAAAAGAAATCTAGGCTGGGTGTGGTGGTTCACGCCTGTAATCCCAGCACTGTGGGAGGCTGAGGCGGGTGGATCATGAGGTCAGGAGATCCGAGACCACGGTGAAACCCTGTCTCTACTAAAAATACAAAAAAAATCAGCCGGGCGTTGTGGCGGACACCTGTAGTCTCAGCTACTCCTACTCGGGAGGCTGAGGCCAGAGAATGGTGTGAACCCGGGAAGCGGAGCTTGCAGAGTGAGCCGAGATCGCACCACTGCACTCCAGCCTGGGTGACAGAGCAAGACTCCGTCTCAAAAAAAAAAAAAAAAAAAAAAAAAAAAACACCTAAATAGGCAGACAACGGGCCATGTATCAGTGAATTTCAAACATTAGGATTTCCTTAAAATGCTTTATAATTAGCTTTGGAAAAACTATCTGAAGAGATGTAAGCATGAAGAAGTTGAGGCCATGTGCTATCCCATCTCATGGATCTGGGCTTCAAATGTCAACTCTACTACTTACTAGTTTTAGTTCAGTCTATGGTATTTTGGTTTAAAATTGCATTATAAATGCACCCACATACATAGGAACATACCCACACACAAAACTACAAGGAGAACAAAGATTCGTATGTAATCATTTCTTTCCTTAGTTATAACATCCACTAAGGTTAATATTTTTTTTACATTTTGTTTTTCTAACATTTTCTTCCTGTTCCTTAGAATTATAGCATATTCTATGTGGACTGGAAAAATAGTCAATGGTTTTCTTTTGGTGTTTGCGTTCTTAATTCCTGAGGTGAATTACATGCTAAAAATGACTTGTATGTCTGTTTGGTGGGCTGCCACCAACATAGAAAGTCTGACATATTTTCCGTGGAAGAAATACTTATTAGTTTGTAACCTAATATTTATTTGCACCGTATTTTAGTGAGGAAATGAAGGCAGAGTAGAAATGAATTTGTTCAAATTTAAGCATTCACTAGTACTTTCATTTCTGTACTTGAACGTACAGGGTTAGCTGGGAAAAATCTGTACATTGGTTTTCAAGCCATAATCTTACGTTCAGATTTTGTATGCTGGTCCGTTGTGTAAATATGAATTTTTAAGCAATTTAGCATTTCATCAAAGTAACACGGCACTTGATTTTCATTCATCCATATGAAAACAATTAGGAAAAAATGCCACTTATCTTAAATAGTATTTGTCAGATTTTCTTCATCAAACTTGGTAAATACAGATCTCTTGACATTTTGATGAATTTTCATCACTCTGTGGTAAACCTAAGTGACTAGGCTGTGGCCCGTGAACAGCTTTTGTTTCTATGCGACATTAAAATGTATTTTTTAAAAAACATGATTATAATGAATATTCAAAATTAGATTCATTCTCTAGCATGTGCACAATAGGTCACAAGTCATGGCTGGAGAAGAACACTTACTAGTCAATCTCAAGGTTTTATTATTTCTTATGAATCACAATTTTTTTCAGAGATATAACTATCAAAGAGGAAAGCCAGCTAAACATACACCATTTTGAGTTTGCCTAGACAACTCTGAAAATTCATTTCATATGTAGTTAACTTAAAAGTTACTGTATTTCCCTAGCTGTGTATTGTCTTGACTCAAAATTTCTTGGACCGTATGTTCAAGACAGCTTGAAACAGACATTATAAATGAAGAATAATCAGTTACCATAGTTCAGAGCATTTCTTCAAATACTCTTCAATTTCTGGTTCCAGCAAAATTTTATTTACTTAAATATAAATCCTCTTTTTTAATACTCTAGAGCCTCCTCCTCAACAAAACACCTCATTTTAGTACAATTGTTTTTATATCCTGTCACAGGATGATGATGATAAATGGAAAATGATTAAGTATATTGTTTGTCAGATTTCTTCTTTCACAATTCAATAAATATTCCCAGAGTCCTCCCTAGTCACCTTCCTTGCAATGATTATCAAACGGAAAATATTTGAAATTCAAGGAGGAAACCTCGTTTTTATTTTGGTTGTTCTCCTTTTCCAAAAAAATACAAAACATGAATTAAAACTTTTGGGAGCTTACAAACCAAGTTAATTACTTAGAGACATTAAGTCCTTTATTTGGGGACCTTGAGCTGTTGTATACTTCAGAAAAAATCACTCTAAGCCTCTCTTTCCATGGAATGTACATTTGTAATGAACAGTGCTTCTATGTTGGTTATACTTTCATTATTTAAATACTTGATTTCCATCTATAATGCACTTATTCAATGAAAGTTTATTACATCTACTATTTATTATATGCCAGAAATAATCACCAGGAAGAATGATGACAAGTAAAAAAGGAAACAAAAGTAAATCCTTTCCCTAAATATTGCCCACACTGATCTTCATGGTCCCCGAAAATTCCACACTATTTTGCACTTTGTGGTGGTAAATTATAGGGTCTCAGTTGAAAGGCTAATTTTATTATTTGCTGTATTTGTCTATTTCTAAACTTCCTTGTTTCAGATTGATCCTAAAATTGCTTACATGTTTATTATATCAAATACAATAAGGCAATAGATTAGAGATACTTAACCAAACAGAAAAACGTCACTGGGGAACTTATGCTATGAGTGACCTACATTTTTATGGTACTTTATTATTTTCAAAGCCCTTTTCTCATTTAATATGTTGTTATATATTCTTTCCAGTAATCCTGTGAGTAAACAACAACATTTGATTTACTATTATCTGAGCAACACTTATGAAGTAGTTGCTTTTACTCCTTTTGTTCTAAGTGACAAAATGGAAGTTCAGAGAGTTCAAATAACTTACCAAAAGTCACACTGCTACTTACTGACAGAGCTGGAATTCAAACTCATGTCTGCCTGGCTCTACACAGCACTATTGAGAAAGAATGATAAACGGCTTTATCAGCTAAAGTCCTTGTTCATTCACTGAGTCTTTTGTATCTTTTAGGAACCAGCCTAAATCTCTTCTTTAATAGTGACTTCTCCAACAATTAACTCATTTCAAGTGACCAATTTTCTGAGTTACTGTACATGCCACTCATTTTGACATTTAATTACACACTATTTTCCAATATTATTTCTGAGTGTATGCATTCCTGACTTTTCTACCCTGTGATATTTAAATGAAAGCAACACTCCTTCATGCTACAAAGTCTCAATAAACTAGGTATTGATGGGTCTTATCTCAAAATAAGAGCTATTTATGACAAGCCCACAGCCAATATCATACTGAATGGGCAAAAGCTGGAAGCATTCCCTTTGAAAACTGGCACAAGACAAGGATGCCCTCTCTCCACCACTCCTATTCAACATAGTGCTGGAAGTTCTGGGCCAGGGTAATCAGGCAAGAGAAAGAAAGAAAGGAAATTCAAATAGGAAGAAAGGAAGTCAGATTGTCTCTGTTTGCAGATGACATGATTGTATATTTAGAAAACCCCATCATCTCAACCAAAAATCTCCTTAAGCTGATAAGCAACTTGAGCAAAGTCTCAGGATACAAAGTCAGTGTGCAAAGATCACAAGCATTCTCATACACCAATAATAGAGAGCTAAATCATGAGTGAACTCCCATTCACAATTGCTACAAAGATAATAAAATACCTAGTAGGAATACCACTTACAATGGATATGAAGGAGCTCTTCAAGGAGAACTATAAACCACTGTGAGGACACAAACAAATGGAAAAACATTCCATGCTCATGGATAGGAAGAATCAATATCGTGAAAATTGCTGTACGGCCCAAAGTAATTTATGGATTCAATGCTATTCCTATCAAGCTACCATTGACTTTCATCACAGAATTAGAAAAAACTACTTTAAATTTCATATGGAACCAAAAAAGAGCCTGTATAGCCAAGACAATCCTAAGTAAAAAGAATAAAGCCGGAGGCATCACACTACCTGACTTCAAACTATACTACAAGGCTACAGTTAACAAAACAGCTTGGTACTGGTACCAAAACAGATACATAGACCAATGGAACATAACAGAGGACCCCTTCCCTACACCTTATACAAAAATTACTCAAGATGGATTAAAGACTTAACATAAGACCTAAAACCATAAAAACCCTAGAAGAAAACCTAGGCAATACCATGCAGGACATAGGCATGGGCAAAGACTTCATGACTAAAACACCAAAAGCAATGGCAACAAAAGCCAAAATTCACAAATGTGATCTAATTAAAGAGCTTCTGCATGGCAAAAGAAACTATCGTCAGAGTGAAGAGGCAAACTACAGAATGGGAGACAAGTTTTGCAATCTATCCATCTGACAAAGGGCTAATACCCAGAATCTACAAAGAACTTAAACAAATTTACAAGACAAAAAAAAAAAATCCAAAAAGTGAGCAAAGGATGTGAACAGACACTTCTCAAAAGAAGACATTTATGTGGCCAAAAAACATATGAAAAACTCATAATCACTGGTCATTAGAGAAATGCAAATCAAAACCACAATGAGATACCATCTCACACCAGTTAGAATAGCAGTCATTAAGTCAGGAAACAACAGATGCTGGAGAGGATGTGGAGAAAAAGGAACACTTTTACACTATTGGTGGGAGTGTAAACTAGTTCAACCATTGTGGAAGACAGTGTGAAGATTCCTCAAGGATCTAGAACCAGAAATACCATTTGACCTAGCAATCCCATTACTGAGTATATACCCAATTAATTATAAATCATTCTATAAAGACACATGCACATGTATGTTTATCGCAGCACTGTTCATGATAGCAAAGACTTGGAACCAACCCAAATGTCCATTAATGATAGACTGGATAAAGAAAATGTGGCACATATACACCATGGAATACTATGCCACCATAAAAAAGGAGTTCATGTCCTCTGCAGGGACATGGATGAAGCTGGAAACCATCATTCTCAGCAAACTAACACAGGAAGAGAAAAACCAAACACTGCATGTTCTCATAAGTGGGACTTGAACAATGAGAACACATGGACACAGGGAGGGGAACATCACACACCAGAGCCTGTCAGGGGGTAGGGGAGTAGGGGAGGGATAGCATTAGGAGAAATACCTAATGTATGTGACGAGTTGATGGGTGCAGCAAACCACCATGGCACATGTGTAGCTATATAACAAACCTGCACATTCTGCACGTGTATCCCAGAACTTAAAGTATAATAAAAAAATAGGATGAATAAAAACTACTACTTCATAGCACAACCAGCTGACTATAGTCAACAATAATTTATTGTACATTTTAAAATCACTAAAATAGTATAATTGGAATATTTGTAACACAAAGAAATGATAAATGCTTGAGGTAAAGGATACTGTGTTTACCCTGATGTGATTGTTATGCATTACATGCCTGTATCAAAATATCTCATGTATCCCATAAATATACACACCTACTGTGGTACCCACAAAAATTAAGTTTTTTAAAAAGTGACAAAATGAAAGCAACTTGTACATTTATATTCTCTAATGTTCTCCTTGATTTCTCAATGATACAACCTTGCCCTCACAAGTGTTAAAGCAGTAACTTTACTATGCTCAAGTAAGGTGTGGCAGGTGAATTCTAACAGTGCCTCCATGATCTCTGTTCCCTGGTCTTATGTCTGTGACTAGGTTACATTATACGGCAAAGATGATGGATTTGGTTACATTTTATGGCAATGGTGAATGAATTTTGAAAATGCAGTTAAGGTCCCAAAGCAGCTGAATTTACTCAAAAAGGAGATGATCCTGAGTGGGCCTCATTTCATCATGTAAGTTCTTTGAAAGCGAGTCTAGATGTGAGAGACAATCTTCTACTGGCCTCAAATCAGAAAACAGCCACATTATGTTCTGAGTATGGAGAGGGGTGGCCTCTGGGAGGTGAGGGCCTCAGCCTCAAAACCACAGGAGGTGAATTCTGCCAAGAAGCATATGAGCTTGAAAGAGGACCCCAAAGCCTCAGAAGATACAGTAACCCCATCTGACACCTTGGTTACAACCTGTGAGATCTCAAAGAGAGGACCCAGCTCATCTGTGCACAGACTTCTAACCCATGGAAACTGTGAAATAAGAAATACTGTGTTTTGAGCTGTTAAATTGGTGGCAATTTGTTACACAGCCACAGACAACTAGTACGTAAAGTTATATCCAATGCACTATAAAACTTGTCAATTTATGTAGAAATTATATACACATACACATGTAATTTATACATATTTGCACATACACACCCCCCTCCGTAGTTCAGCAGTAGCATCACTAACTTAGAGTTTTAATTGCAAAACTTTCATTGAAGCTGTGGAGCCACTCTACAAAAGTTATGAGAGAACATATTTTTAAGAAAATTGCCCCCCTGCCCTCCAACCCCCATCACTACAAAAAAAAAAAAAAATTAGCCAAGCATGGTGGCACACAGCTGTAGTCCCAGCTACTCAGGAGCCTGAAGCAGGAGAATCGCTTGAGCCCAGGAGGCAGAGGTTGCAGTGAGCCTAGATTGCACCACTACACTCCAGCAGCCTGGGTGACAGAGCAAGGCTCTGTCTCAAAAAAAAAAAAAAAAAAAAAAAAAAAAAAAAAAAAACCAAAAACAAAAAACTAAACTAATGATTAATAATTTCAGGGGGAAAATTGGCATTAACTTCAATGTTTAGTGTTTATTTGTCAAAAGCAAGACAGAAGAGTTTAAGTGAAAATTGGCCTAAGGGATCTGTAAAATATAAATAATATGGTGTAATGTTAATATTTCAACATTCTGCCTAAAAAATTTTGTAGATATAACTTTTAACTATCCTAACATTTTCCCATCAAATTTTAATATACAAAACAAACTTGCATAATAGAAACAAATTTCTCAAGTGGCACTGTATAAGACAAATACATAAAATACCCATAGTAATTTGTGTTAAGTTTATAAGATTTCATAAGTAGCCATGTATGATTCCTAAGTCCCTGTCACTTTACAGATGAATAAAATCTATATTTTTCAGTCTCTTGAGAACATTGTATAAAGGCAAAGAAACCTAGTGAATCAGGCCTTCAGAGTTTTGAAGTAGCACATACACAATATTGCTACATGGTTTATGCAATTTCAACATATTACCCAAATGGAATTATGATTTCTAATTCAGTTTGTCCTTAAGGTTTCATTTCTCCATCAGTGATATATTGGAAAACTCCTCTAGGCAATAAATATACACAGGATGAGTTGTAATTTTCCATTTCTAAAGTAATATGTTTGGTAACTGTCAATGTCCCCAGATCAATGTGGATGTCCATAGGGAAAGTACTTATTTGCACATTAAACATAAATAACCTACATTATATGCATGCTCTTTAGATTTCCTTATGAAGGATGTTGAAGTAAATATTACTGAACCATTGTCGCTTTCTCTCTAAAGATCATTTCTTTGGTTTGAGTTGTAAGCTGATGGTCCTCGTTGGGCCCTTCATTTAATATGGACCTTTGAGTTGATCATAAATCATTTATTTCAGCTTCAAAAGGACAGAAGTCATACCTGCAGCAAGAGGTGGCTAGGAAGATCAGATGTGAATGAAGGAGTTTCCCAACTATGAGCCCACACATAAACCAGAGTTGTCTTTTACTTTATTATAATACATAACAAACATATATTTTTCCCCCTGGGAACTACATTTTAGCAATATATTTTTCATTATTTTCTATTCTTCTGGACATTATACACTGATTGCCTTTAAGATCCCTTTTGTGAAGCTTTCCTTGCTCCGATCGCTCTTCTTCCCATCCCAACTTTTTATAAAAAAAAGCATGCCATCTTTAGGTCAATAGTGTACCATAGACCTATATAACTTTATGCTGGTACTTAACTATACATATTTGTTTATTTCTGTCTCCTTTACTAGACTGTCCACTTTTCAGAGCAGGAACAGTGTCTGGTACATGATTTGTTTTGTTAAAATCCAGCAGAGCACATAATGAGTAACTATCATTCAATAAAGTGATTTTGATGTTATCCTTTGAAAAGAAATCTATGAATGCATGAGTGAATAATGAAAATTTTAGCAGTCAGATTTTAGCAGCAAGGATTATATAGACACATCTGCTTTCATATATCTCTTTCCAAAAGAAATATTGTTATGAAAACAACAAAGTGCTCTTAAGAGGTACATGAGAAAAAAATTGAAACATGTAGCTACTTTAGAAAGGCTAAGATTTTCTTCTGAGGTAAAGAGAAATGGCTGGATATTTTAGCAGTAGAGGTAGGGTTAATATCATTTCTTAAGCCTGACCTCAGGTTTAACTTGTGATTCTAATGTTAATCATTATTACATCTTATAAGACGTAAGCTTCACACCTCATAAATTTAGTCAGCTTGTTTCTACTATCCAGAGCCATGTTAAAGAACTGTTTTACAAAGCATACATTTCTAGAGTTCTTTCTGTGCCTTTTTTCAAATTGTTTCTTGTCCTTCTAGCTAATTTTCATGTGGTACCTGCCACAAAACCCTAGAAAATAATAATGCAGATGTTTGAGTCATAAGTGGTCCATCTCTCTTTCGGTCAACCTATTACGTAAATAAAATTGTACCCTTCCTTTCACCTATTTGTACAATAATTAGATCATGGTATCAATTCAAACAAAGAAATTGATGTCCTGGGAACTGGTTATACAAATACATTATTTCTTCTCTTTGAAATGAGTAGAAGGAAAGGGAACTAATAATAAAATATCACATTATTGCCTACCCACTAAAGGCAGCCTGAAATTTTACAAAACAGTCTTCCTGGGGTCGTCTCGATGGTGAGATATAACTGCCTTTCATAATACTAGAAGTACAGACATCCTCATATTTTTAAAAAATGCTTAATAAGATCTTCATCTGTTGTATTTTTCAGTTGAGATCTTTTATGCTTTATATTGTATCTAATAGGCCTATTCACAAATGAAGAGTATATGAGGGAAAAGATGAATATCACTTCATAACAAGACATTGAAATAAACTATCCTAAATTATGAAAGCTTCCCAATGCATGTGGCTTTTTTCTTCACGGCTTTTCTATTCAAATATCAAAGTGCTTCAAGTGGCTTTGATGACATACTTATGAATTCATGAAAGTGTTTTTCATAATCTGCTCACCTTTGGTGCTTAGAGGTTACGCCGATTGCTTTTATTTGCTTGGCTGGAAAAGAAGAGCTCTGAGTGGGATGCAGATACATAACACTTCAAAACAGTTCCTTACATTGTCTTAGCTACTTTTCAGAAACTTGCTGGAACTCTCTACCCAAACTTCAGGCAATGATAAGAATAAGTGTCAAATATTATTAGTTCTGGAGTATAACTACTAATTTTTGTTTCAACTGCATAGTACGTATAAAAACCTTGGAATATTTCCAGTTATCTTCACTGTCATTTAGTCCTTAAAACCCAGAACAGACATTTAAAATGAAAAAAAAAAAAAAAAGCTACCATTATATTGAGGCTGCAGATGCAAGTTGGCATCGTCAGAAGATGAATGCTTGTAGCCTTCACTGGCAACCTGACCAGACATATTCTATATAATTAAATAACGAGCAGTTTAAAAAATAAAATTACAACATCTTGGGCAATCCTTTGTGAATAATGGAGTAAGCAGGAGAGAGAGAAAAATTCCAAATGTGATTAGCAGTTGCTCTTCATGAGAAATTTTCTCCACCTCTAATATGACTTTTCTGAAAGGCTTTAATGAATACTTTCCTCAGTTAGACTGTTGTTTTAAATATCACTGTGGACTCTTTGCAGTGTTATTACCATATGAAGATGACACGTCGGTGAACTTTATCAAATGCCATGCAGCTCTTGGCATGCCATGTCTATGTAACTCATTCGAGCCCTTCTTGTCCGAGTTGCAGTACTCTTTTGCATAAATGTTAAGGTTACCACAATTCCAAAAAGAAACGAATTTTCAGAGACCTGCTTTATGAAGAAAACGGCTTTTGGAGAAAGCAGGAAATACTAGTACATCAAACAAAGTGAAAGACAAAGTAGTTTAACTTGTTGGTTTGTTTGCTGAAACTCAAAAGTAAATATACTGTAGCTCAAAGTGTTCCATTTTTATCTGCCTCCTGCAGTAATGGCTGTGTTACTTCGGGGCTTCTACTTCAATAATTGATCAGGGTTTGTATAGCACCGGCTAAGAGCAAAAATAAGAGTGTTGCTTTGAACAAACTGCTGCAATGTTATAGCATTAGGCACAGAAACAAGATTCGGGAAATATAGATATAGAAGAAACAGGAAAAAGATGGATACATTGGGTGGTAAACATTGCTTCAGGCTAGAAAGTAATGAGAATTTTTCCGTGGAGAGTTTTGACCTGCTATTCAAAAATTGTTTCTTGTCTTAATAAAATCCTAAAAGTGTAATTTACTTGCAAGAGGGAAAGAACAAAGGCACCAAAATTCTTTTGATAACAACACTTGTTAAGGTTGATAAGTTGGGTTTCAAATGTGTGAAGAAAAATGTGTGACAATTTGTTTTAAGGTGACACCCTAAGTGTTCAGATACTTCCATCTTACACTACTTATCAAGCAGGATCCTAGTTGAAGCTTCCCCTTGTACATTTGCAGTATAGACCATACTGAAATGGTAGGAACTGAATTAATCTAGAAAATATAGTTATATTTATTAGAAAACCAACAATCACAGATCTCTCTAATTTTTCTTAAGCTGGTAAAAATAAGAGTACTTTTTTTTGTTTGGTTCTAATTTGTTTTGCAGTCTAAATAAGAAGCACCAATACTTATAGAAAATACCTTTTTTCTCAACATGGAGTGTTCAAAAAGAGAATAGCTATGATATACCTTATTTTTTTCTAGACTTAATCTTACATGACTCACAAAGGTATCCATTGTTAGATGCCAACTGTTGCACACACATATGTGTCCATTTTTTTCTATTTTAAAGTTAAATTTCATCTAAATTTCAGATTCATGCCATTAAAATACTATAACCTGCTGCTGCGGTGTGCCAATGGTGATAAGATGTAAAGCATGATTGCAAAACTTTAATAATAGTGTGGGAGGAAACTGCAGTGAAAAATAATCAATGTGATTTTTTTCCTGTTATGTAGCATATTCCAAAGAGGTTGTTTATTTTATGCCTAATCACCATAAAGAAGAAAATCAAGCACTCAAATATTTCATACTAAAGAATAAGCAAAGAAGCATCTAAAATATTTGTTCATATTTATATATGCCCTTCAAAATAAAATTGGTAACTAAATGTATCCCAAATAACTGCTTCAACAGCCAGGCGTGGTGGCTCATGCCTGTGACCCAGCACTATGGGAGGCCAAGGTGGTTGGATCATCTGAGGTCGGGAGTTCGAGATCAAATAATTGCTTCAGATCTCGACTTTGCTATGCACATACTACTGTAAGTAAAAGGCAAACACTGGGATGAGAATGTGGTGACCAAGACTAGCTTTTTCCATAGTGAGTTTTTATAATGTCATCAAACTCACGATCAAAGGAATTTGGGAAATGTTGAGCATAACAAAGATAAATAGATGTCTTGACTGGAGAATTTCTCAGGGCATTTAATATGTTAAGGACCTGGAATTCAGTGTTCCCAAACATATCTGATCATGGACACTTTTATTGAGAATCCCAAGGGACCAGTGAGTCCTGGAACATACTTTGAGAAATACTGATCTTGACCTATAGCCAGCACCAACTCTGATTAGCTGTGCAGTGAGAAAATCACTTTCCTCCTTCAACTTTCTAAATTAAAAATGTCCTTATAATTCCCAGTATATTTCACAATAATGGAAAATCCTCTTAAATTATTATAGTGATACAATACTGTTTTAAGTAAAAATGTGAAAACCGTTTTAGATGCTGAGTCAGAGCGGCTGATTAGACTAATCAGCTAAAGGGTGTCTGTGGGTAGTAGTCCCCCTTCTTGCATAGTTTTGTTTGGGATTCTGCAAATTTCTGTATGGCACACGCTTTGGGGAATTTCATAAGGAGGTGAAATTATAAATATTAAATGTTTAAATGCCAAGGAAATGTTAAAACTTATTGGAACTCTTCTATTCATTCAGTATATACTTATGCCAAGCAATAACCCAGGAAGGAAGGGCATGAAGCTGAATCTGTGTTTAGGGATATAACTACCTAGGCAGAAAAGACAGACAAAAAAGCAAGTCTCTCAGTGTTTTAAGCTGTCAGATGAAACCGTAGAGTCCCATAGGTGCATGTGGTAGGAGTCTGAGTAAATTACCCAGACTGGGAAAAGCCAATGTTCACATTTGAGGTGGTTCATGAAGGACTTGAAGGGATTATTCAGGCAGAGGAAATGCACTCCAAGAAGACAGGCACAGGTGTGGAGAAAATCATGGTATGTTTCATGATTCCAATAGAAAGCTCCAGGGGAGAGGAAGGAAGCTGGAATAGTAAATGAAAATGATGATAGTTTTTATTTATTATTATTATTTTGTAGTTTATTTTTTTTGAGACACGGTTCTCACCATGTCACCCAGGCTAGACTGCAGTGGTGTGATCAATGCTCACGGCAGCCTCGACCTCCCAGGCTCAAGCGATCCTCCTGCCTCAGTATCCCAAGTAGCTGAGACTACAGGAGCACAGCAGCACACCGCCACACCTGGCTAATTTTTGTATTTTTTGTAGAGACAAGATTTCGCCATGTTGCCCAGCCTCCAGCTTGTAAATGTTATGCCACAAACTTGGATGTTTTTCCCTGGGCAATAGAGGAAACCACTGAAGGGCATACCTCTATAAGGGGAGAGGCAGATGAGTGATAGAGAAACAGCCAGAGATGAATACTGAAATCTGTGTTTTCTGATGTGCTTGAATGTATAAGAACATGACCAGTTTAGAAATAGTTTGGGGAGTTGAAAAATTATGTCAACTAGCAAAATTGACGGAGGGCAGTTCATCCTCACTATGACATTGAAAGACAAAATAATTATTAGATGGTTTTATTCTAATAACTGATTTTCAAATTATTTTTAGCCTTGGAATCCTTTGCCCATGGATTCTGCAGTTTAAAAAAAAGTGCAGTGATAAAGCAGGCATGGCTGTGTTTAATTGGTGATGATGTGGGTATGAAAGGCCCCAGGGAACTACCCTGTAGTTCTCTTTCCACTTAGCTCCCTTCTTTCCCAGGCCCAGGTATGCCCTAGGAGAGGAGGCAGAGTATGAAAATCATTCTTAATAGTGAGAAGTCATATATTTAGTCAGACATGCTAACTGGACTATTTTGTGTTTGAAGAAGACTTTCTGCTTTCTTTTTGAATTATTGTCACATTTCAGTTTTATTTATTTACTCTATAATATTTATTGAGAGCATGCTTTGTGCCAGGCCCTAGGCTGGAGACTGGGAAAACAGTGGTGATCATGGATAAGATTCCTATCACCAAGGAGTTTACAGGCTGTAAGGAAGAGGGCCCTAGATAGGTATGAAGCTGCCAATGTGCAGTGTTTCAGGAGGTGGAAGGGGGTGGGAGAGAAACCTCCAAGACATGCAGGTAATCTGGTCAAGGAGGACAGAGGGAGGGAGTTTTCGGTGAGGTGGAAAGGGCAGAAGGTGGAGCTTGGATAGGTGGGGAGGTAAGGGGTTGAAAGTGAACTCCAGACTGAGTGAAGAGAGTGTGCAAAAGTGCTGTGAAGATGGTCCATTTGAGGACTTCCCAACTTGCTGGTCTAGCTGGAGAGAAAGAGCAGAAGAAGGTAGCAGAAGATAGGAGGCTAGGGAGGTGGGAGGAAGGGGCCAGATTGCAGTTTTGATGGCTGAGTTAAAGATTTCATATTTATTTGAAGTTCAATGGGAAGCCATGAAATGACTCAAGGCAGTGCAGCATGATGTTGTTTTTTTGGCATGTGGTATTGTTTCTATAGGCTGTATATGACAAATATGTCAAATTTTGCATTACGTTCTGGATTCAGGGATTTTGCCTACCTAGGTTTCTGCATTACATTCAGGAAAGAGCTACTTAAATGGAAACATATAAAGTCATTACTCTGAAGGTCTCTCTACTGTTACCAATTTTGATATGAAATTAGCTGTACAATACCTTCTTTTCAGGGATTTTTAGGAATTTAACACCTTCTGGAGTTCTCTTTTAGGTTTTCGTACTTTTGGGATCACAGTATTTATTTTCAGAATAACTCCAGGTCAACTAAATTCAGCAATGACTGGCAAAATATCAAACATAAAAAAAAAGTGGAAGGTGTGCTGCTTATTCGATAGCAAAATCCTACCAAAACACTGGAAGGTAGAATGCCATTGGCCTATGATAATTAAATTGAAGGGGAGAACACAGCATTAAATTAATTGCTCAGCTGGAAATTATTTAGTAATTCTCTGACTTTTAAATCCCCAAGGTTTTCTTCTTGATATAGTACTGTTAGACATCTTAAAATGTAAATTTTTGAAGGCATTACTCCTCCCTTTCACTTCTAGTTCTCAAATGTACCTTTAATGTGTCTAGTAACAATAATAAACACTTACTGAGCCCTTAAGATATGGTGAGCATTAATCTAACTCTTATATGTTCTATCTCATTTTCCCCTTACAATTACTTCCATGAAGTAGGAGTGCTATTATTATTCTTTGAGAGCCTTTAGAAGAGATAACTTACTTAGGAGTATACCAGTGAGTAAGTGGCTGAGTAGAGGTTTAACCCAAGAAGTCCAATCAAGAGCAGAGTGATTAAGTACTGTAGTAACCTGCCTTGAAAGTAAATAGAAATAAACATAGAGCTGTATATTTCATGGTAGCTAACAAATTTCTAACATGTGGACAGAAGAAGAAAAAGACTAGTACCTTCAACTCACGTGGATCAGATTCAATGGTTCTTTGTATTGTAAGGAAAATTATTGTCAAGGAGCAAAACTATTTATCTCAGAGACTAGAATTTGTTAGTGCAAGCCTATGTGACATTAAAATACAATGTGTGAAAGGCATCCACAATCTCTCCAACAAATAGAATCAGGATCCTCTATTTGATTACTCGATGGGAAGTAGGAGATGAAAAGAAGGCATTGTACAGCTAATTTAGTATCAAATTGTTAAATAATAAGAGTAGAGAGACTGTCAGAATAATGACTTTATATATTTCCATTTAAGTAGCTTTTTCTTGCAAACTCTTTAAGGTAAAATCAACCAAACCAAAACTTCACTGTAAGGCATGACTTTTGACCCAGATGTCTATCAGGGAAAAGAAAGATCACAAAACCTGTGCACCAATGCCCTGGAGTCAGACTGCCTGGTTCAAATTCTTCTTCAGTTCCTTGATAGGTTGCTTACCCTTTACAAGCTATTCAACCTTTCTAAATTTCAATTTGTTTATAAAATTAGAACTAATAGTACCTCCCTCACTGTGTTGATAAAAATTCTGGGTTCCAAAATTCAAGTTCTTTCCACTATGTCATTCTAGATAATAGAAAACCAAGAAAGAATGCCATAACAAGCAATAAGTATGAGGTAATGTGTTCTTTGTTGGGGATAGCTATCCATTTTTTTTCATAAATATTGATTGAATGCCCATTATATGTCAGACTTGATTCTAAAGGATATGCCCCTTAAATGTCATGCCAACTTCTAATATTTAATTAAAGAGCAGGAAAGGGCCTGTTGTTTTTGTTGCTGTGGTTGTTGACTGTAGCGGAGTGTTGGGTAGTGAAAAAGATGACTGAACTAGGATGTGTGACCTTGGTGGCAGGCACAGACCTCCCAGGTTGGAGCCTTTGGGCAAGTCTCTTTTCTCTACTCCTGAGTACTCAATTTCTTATCTCTAAAAGGAAAGACTAGGTAACACACTGAGCCAGATATTATTCACAAATAGGGTCAGATTCACAAACTTTTGATAGTCAGATACAGGATACAGCAATGAATTATAATGGGATAGCAAAGATGAATTATAGGAAGAGTGGGTAATACTTCTCATCAGAAACATCAAGCAAACCTACAAAAAGAGATGCTGTGACTATGAAGACAGATTATGTTATATTCCAGACAATCTTGGGTGCCTGGAAAGGAGTCTGGAATTACTCTATTGGCAGCGAGGCCACCAAAAGAAGTCAGTTCCTACCTATTTCTCCCATGTCATCAAATGTGAAACCCAGACCTCTGTCCATTTTATTAAAATTATCCTAGATTCCATCTTGCTTCTCCACGGTGCCTATGGTTTTGTCTACTGACAATCTATGACTAAGATTCTCAAGTTATACTTTATGTGTGTTCACATAAAATAGCACACTATACTTTAAAATGTAGCCAGCTATTCAGCATCATCACTGTAATTTGTATTTATAGTATTGAAGCTAATCCTGTGTCTCACTTACTATGTGAAACTCTCTGAAGAATATTTTGGGTGTTCTCATACAACTTTGTAGATGGCCCATAAATCAATAAGGACCTTCTTTCAACAAACCAGTCATTTTATTCCTTCTTGATTTCTAAACGTCTCAGACTCACATAACCCAACATTAGTGTTCTTTCTTTCTCTTTGAAAACTACAATCAGTATGTTTAAAACATACTGCTCATATATACAGAAGCAATACGTATATGAAAAAGACAAAAAAATAGGACTATTTCATTTAAGAGAGGGACATTTTGTCGTTTGGGCAGATACCTGCCAGTCTAGGCTTTCTATACTTTTATTTTACTTATTGGAATAACGGTTTAAGCTGCAGAACCAAAGAGAACCAAGACAGGTTGGAAACTTTTCAGGGTGAAAGTGACCAGTAATAAACCAGGCAAAGCAAGAGGAAAGAGACTGGAAGAAAAAAAGGCCTGTGGGTGCTGTTTTATGGGATAGTGTTGAGAAATTTTGACGGAATGAACAAGGTAATTTTAACATGTGCTCCACTGTGTAAGATATTGAGACAGAGCTGGGGAAAGATTTTGAAGGTTTTCTCTGTCTTAGTGATGTAATTTTCATTTGCTGTCTATTATAGCTGATTTTATCCTAAATTTTTAATGGCAGATTTTTTCTCTTTTTTTTTTTAATAAATTTTAAAAGAAAACAATTACTTTTTATGGGCAAGCAGTGTGCAAGCACCTTTGTTCAAGCTGTTCATAAACCACAAATCTGGCAACTTCTAAATTGGAAAACTCAGGGTGTCATTAAGAGCAGAGATTGCCGGAATGCTGATTCTCATAACAAAGGCCACCAATAGGCTCACTTTTCTGAAAGAAGGCAACTTTGGTGGCAAGATTTGCTCCTCTGTTCATATGATGAAACCCTAGCACTAGTGGAAAGGTTGGTGGCACACAATGGAAAAGTACGCTTACTGAAAAAATATTTTTCTTTTTCTGTTTTTCTGACCTTTGACTTGGCAATGCTAAATTAAAAACGGCTAAGTGGAAAACTATACTTGGAAAAAATAGAAGTTGATCTAATAAATCAGAATACTGAAATGTTCACTATCATTTGGCCAACGTAAGACAGGTAGCTTTTTGTTTTTACCGTTTTGGGAGTATTTATTCATTCATTTGACTTAGTTTTGTCCATTGATGATTTGTTCTCTAAAAACATGCAGAGAAGTCCCTTCCTCTCTTCTCTGTGAACACATAGAAGCCAGCGGGTCCTGCTTTTGTGGTCCTGTCACATCATCCATTAGATATGGCATTTATCTACCTCTCCGGCATCCCTTCTTTTGGAATTTCATTGAGGGGATGAACCACATCCCCTTTTTCTTTCGTATTCATTATCTTAGAATAGCCCCTGAACCATAGCCTACTCATCAAATCACTCTTTAAGACACTGTCATATTTGAATTGAGATCTTTCACATTATCCACTGCTGTTGTGAAAATATTAGGATTTCACTGATATAACAACTTTATAGGTGAAGCTAACAGATTCCTCAGAAGTTTCTGGCAATGTGTGAGGTTTCCTCTAGGACGAATAACACCTTTAAATCCACTCCCAATGCATTTTCTGAAGTTAATTTAAAATAATATACAATCTGTTTGTCCCAGCTTCAGATTCCCCATGTCCTCTTCTTTCCTTTTCGGTTTTGGTTATGCTTAGTCTAAAGTCACATGTGCATTTGAAAGCAACAGAACAAGGAATTCTACACCAAATTTCATCTCGCCAAACCATTTTTTTCCCCTACTCATGTAAGTTCCTAAAATTTCTTGCTTACTCTGCATTAATGCTAAATTACAACATATAGAATGTCTCCCAATGATTTCCAACCAAAGACATAGTACATATTGGTTTCCCTTTCTGCTTATTTAATAAAGTTAGTAGACCCACATTGCCCTGATCAGTCACAGAACTATTATTAAAATTATGCAAAATGTAGAATTTCACAAAATACTGATTATTCTTAACTCTCAGCAATTCTGCTGCTTAAATGTTTCAAAATATAACTTGCTTTCAGTTAGATGATATAAAAAGTTATATAGTTTCAAACTTAAGAAATAGTTTTAATCATTAAAAATACATATAAACCCTATTTTGTATTTAGCTTATCCAATATTCTTCACAATGCCCATGCATTAATGGTAGAATTGGAGACAACTCCATATTTGTTTTCAAATACCACAAGACTTATTGTGAGCTAAATGTCTATTGAGCAGAATTTTACCCATTGTACATAACGACATGATAGAAAATTATGATGATTTGGAGATTCATAAAAGTTGAAAGCTATATCCTAAGCATCAACAGATACTATCTGGGCTTTTCATGGGAATCATGGGTATTGCTAGTGTTTTCTCAAAAAGAAAGAACACTCATAAGGGAAGTTTATATGTCTAGAAATGTAGGACAGACCAGTCTTTAGAGGGAAAAAATACTCATCTAGCAGTATAATATTTCATAAGAAAAAGAAGTGTCTCGAATAGGAAAGATGATTTACTTTTTGTGCTATTAATAAAGCCTTAATAAAGGGATTTTTAATGTGAATATGCCATGATCATTCTCTCCTGTATGGCGATAGAGTAATTTGGCTACTTATAGGGTATTCATCCAGACACATGATTCTTCAGTGTTATTGTATAAGTAATTGCATTTTAAAGGCTGTAAGCTTTACACAGGGTCTTATGTCTAGCACTGAAGTTCCAAAAGGCTAAAATAAATTATAACATCCCACCTGTTGCTCTGACAACCTTTAAGTTTGTGTAGAATTATTTCTTTGTTAAGTCTGTGTGTCAGAAACTATGCTGGGTTCTGGATGAGGCAAAATTGTATAACAGCTTCATAGCATGAGTCCCATCATACATATAAGACCCATTGTGAATATATGATCACTAGATACCTTTTCTTAAAATCTCTCTCCTTAGTGAGCTGTTCCCTAACAATAATATTGACAATATTAATCACCTCTTCCAATACCACACACTTTCCTTCCTTGTTTTAATCTTTTTTTGTAAGAACTTAACACTACCTAACCGCATATATGTGTGTGTGTGTAAATTAGTATTTTTTGTTGTATTATTTTGCAAGTTGAGAATAAAATTTCATGAGATTAGAAAATTTTATCTATTTTTGTTCAGTGATATGTTCTCAGTTCCTACAACCTACAACAAGCTTCATAAGTATTTAGAGAGTGATGAAGACAGTATAATTAGTAGTAGGGTAGATTTTTATGATGATGTGATAGCACGAATGATAAACCCCGCACTGGTTAAAGTTTTTACAGGAAAATCATATTTAATCTGAGTTTTCATGGATAAGTAGGAGCTCACCATGTGGACAAGGGAGCATGGAGAGAGGCTAATTCAGGAAGAGAGAAGAGCATCTACAGAGCATGAGGACGCATGTTGAAAAACGGCAGTCAGTTCTGGGATAGAGAATAAAGGCAACAGGTGTCAAGGGAATTTGGCAGGGGGTGGGGTGGTCAGAAAGGGTCAGAGAAAAAAGTTACTGAAAGGATCAGAAAACAGGTAGAGATTGGACTAAGAATGTTTTATATCTTTGTTAGAAGTTTAAATTTCAGGCTTACAGCAATGAGAAATCTTTGAAGGGCTTTCTGCAGGGCAGTGGAAAGATCAGATTTGCCCTTGAAAGATCACTGTGTTGGCAGTGTGGGGGGATGGATAGAAACTCGATATTTGTTGCGTTAATGAATGATTTCTCAACGTTACTTTAGACCTTACAATTTGGTGATTCTTCAAGCTTTACTATAAATATTGACAGATTGAGAAAATAAATAACTGAGTGATGGAGCAGCTCTAGTGAGGAAGACAAGATTGCACCCAATTTTTCAGGGCATTAAAATTGGGGAGCTTTCTCTAAGCCTCTTACTATTTCTGCAACTATTCCTACCATTACACTAATCTAGGTTACTCCTATTAATAATCTCTTTTCTCTGAAAATCTTTAACTGTCTTAAACAGAAGCTTTCTACTTTAAAAACAAAAACAATTTTTGACTTTTGCTGTCTGCCAAAATTGATTTGCTACAAATCAGGTTTAGCTATGTACTTCTTATTCATTATGGAAAGTAGTTAATGCAAATTTAAATATCAGCACTCCCCACCACAGATAAAAACAAACTTACATAAAAAACAGATTGCCAGGCAGGCTTTGAGGAGTCTCTGATGTACACACATTCAGAACGATTACTTGTTCCAAATTCCCTTTCAATAACACACCTTTTATTCTCTCATCTACTCCAATACGTTGGGAATTAGTTTTCTCAGATGGTTGTTTGAAAGTGGTTAGCGTCTTTAACCCTGAGTAGAAAAGTAGTATAGGCAATTTGGTATTCTTTCTTTCAAAGCCTGATATAACTAATGCATTTATCAAGAGCAGAAATTAAGTATAGATTGTCTCTAAACTGCTATTTGTATGTAAATATCAACAAGTTTTTTAAGATGTAAGAATTGGCTTAATTTTAACAATGCTTTTGACCTAAGCCTTTAGTTATGTAATTATTTACTCAAGTAAAAGTTTAGGTAGCAGTATAGTAGAGTGTGTATTAAGGAAGTACTGAGCTAATTTTCTTCAATTAAATAAAACCTCTCTCTGGCCAGATTATATAAATCAGCTTTGGCACCATGTGAAAAAAGAATTCATTTGTCATTAATGAAATGATATTTTGTGAAAACTTCGGCATAAATTATTTACAAATTTATACTAGGTTAGTAAATTCTGACCATTCCGTGGAAAAGTTGAGAATATTATGCAGACCATGGCTTGAAAAGAACACTGTATCACATTTATTCATTTTGCACATTTTTTACTGGGTGTCTTATAGATGTCAGGCAGAGAGGAGTGAAGACCAGCAAGATCCCTTCTGTGACAGCACTTACACTTCAGTAAAAAGAGGAGAAAGGCAATAAACAAATAAACAAGTAAACTACAAGGAATATCACATAGTCAAAAGGGCTTTGCTGAAAATATAACTAATGAGGAAGGCTGCAGGGCTGCTCTGCAGGGCTCTTAAGCGGTCGGAAAATCATTGCTGAGAACACAAGACTTGAAGTTGATCTCTGATTTTCTCAGAAGGCCTCTCTTACTTCAACAAGGTGTGATTCAACAATAACATCAACAAATCACACCAGCAGTTCAGAGGTTAGGGTTGATCATTTACCACATTTTTTAACTTTATACTGTTAGCATTTTAAAGTCACCCAGCATTATTATTAGCAAGTGGATTTATTTTCAATTTCATTTCCTAGTAATGTGATTTAAAACTATCTCAAAAAATGGAAATTATGGTTTCAGTAGTTAAAATTATTTTATGGGTTTGGAGCATATGAAATCAAAGAGCTACAATTAGCCTAAGCCAGTATCAGTTCAAGCTTCCCCCACATGGTTTTACTAATACCCTTCAAATTCTGACTTCTGCCATTCCAGCCATATGTCTCTTTAAGCAGATACACTGTGTAGTGCCAAAGTGTGTCAAGGACATCACTAGGTTACCAAAATCATTTTTATGTGCAACTTCTTGCAATATTCCAAAGTACTCTTCCACCTGAACCCCACCCCAACCCCTAAAATATAATTTTAATAACACACATTAAAATGTCATGCTGATAATAAACTCAGAGATAAATTACAGGGAATCTGTCTGTATTTTTTTTTAACGCTTTTGGCACTAACATAATGGTGTAAGCACATGGACTCACACACATTGCCTAAATTCAGTTTCTTTCATTTTTTTGCAGGCTTTGGGTACAGAGTAGTGCAAAAATTTATAATTGTTATTCAGTGCATACATTTTAAGAAAGAGCTAGAATGCTAGGCATATGAATTTGTGTTTGCAAGGTGTATACTAAGAGAATAGAATTGTACATATATGTGATGTGGCTTTTTAGTTTCTGATTGCAGTTTTATCACCATATTATCTTGTGTTGCTGCTGGGGAAAGCAACAAACAGTGGCTTTTGCCATCTCAGTGAACGGAGATCTCTGGAAATTGCACCTGTTCATTATATGAGAAATCCTTCTGTGGGCAGAGAGGAGGGATTCAGTTTTATTCTCAAACTGTTGCCTAATTCTTATAACTTGTGCATATTTTTTTGAGTCATGATTGTACAATCTGCTACCCATTTTGGGATAAAAACACTATTGAAATTGAGCATACTAACTTTAACCAAGCTGCATTTTTTATGAATCAGGTTGTAAAGTTGACTGCCACGATACAGTCATGTCCTGTACAAATGAGCACACACACACACACACACTCTCTCTCTCACACACACACTCTCTCTCTCACACACACACTCTCTCTCACACACACTCTCTCTCACACACACACACTCACACACACACACACACACACACACTCACAAACACACCAGGGAGAGGATTACATTGAACACTCGGAAGCTCATTATTCTTCCAAAATAAAGAGTTAATTTTTTCCCTACTGGTCTTTCCATCTTTGAAACACCATGAGTCACGGTGTTTCCCATTTCACAAACACCACGGATTCTTTATTGTCTGTGAGGCTTCCATGTACTGCAGTAATTTTGAATTGGATATGTTATGTCCAAATTGACAGTAGTGATTAAGCCAAAAATAAGTGCATTTTCCTTTAAATGTTAGCTGCAGCATCAAGTAACATTCCCTACATTATGCTATACTGAAACAAGTCAGTCGGCACCGACCAAAATGTTGATGGATATACAGCAGATCAAAAAGAGGAGAATCATTTTGAAGTGCTCGCTATCTGTCTGAGACGATAGGCTTCTGAATTTGTACCTCTTTGCAAAAAGAGACTTCACATTATTTTGTCAGTTTGTTTCAATTTGAGAGGTGTTGAAAATTGGTATTCATTTTTTTGATATAACCCTTAAATTGTACAATTTAAGAAAACTGACTGAAAGAGATAAATTAAATGGGTAGAAATATTTTCAAATCAAAGACCAACTGACACATATAAAAATGATGTATGTTTCTTACATGGTCCACAGGGAGAATTCTGCAGGCTTGCTATGATCTCTACAATTTGCTTCAGGGCAAACTAGATTCTGGGATATTCTATTATCCCTTTGGTCTGTTTATCATGGAAACTGATGTACAAATCGAGAGGTCTTTTTGGTCTCTTTCTTTCTATATGGTTGGAACTGGTAAGAATTCACTTATCTCATGTCCTCACCTTCGGTAAAGTGCTACAGAAGAGTTCAGTGACCAGTAATCAATTATTATTGAGAAGCAATCAATTGCTAATTTCCATAATTATGCACATCTAAACACTATGAACAAGAAAGAGAAACAAAGCTGCACTCCCAGCATTGCCTTGTTAGCAGTATTTTGTTAACACAGGCTCTAAAAAAAGCTGCCGCAGCTGGTACCACAAATGTGTTTCCAGTATTCAGGCCATCAACGTGATTCGTCGCTAAATGTATAGAATCAGCTTCTTGCTAAAAACTACAATTACAGGTGATATACAGATTGAAATCACAGGGCTGGTTTGTCGAAGAAAATTGTCCTAATGATGGGTTTTCGGATGGGGAATGCAGCTCTTTTCTTTCTCTGTGATGGGTTGTGAAGGCAGCTGCACCTGCCTCTATGCTGTATTCTGCCGCACTTAATGATATCTGATGATATCATTAGGCAAAGTGTTCATAAACAGATGTTGAGCCTGTGCCTAAATGCTGTCAGATGAGCGGTTGCTGGCCTGAAACAGTATTATTTATATAGAACATTTACGTTTGTTATGTTAATAACCCCACTATTAGCTCTCTGGATGTTGCGTTAGGAATGTAAATGTAGTTAATATGAATAACAACCTCTTTACTCTTTGTGCTGCAGTTGAGTATAACTTTTAGGCTTTGGGAGAGAAACAAAGATACCCCCACCAAGTCCTTTTGACTTCGTGATTTTTTTTTTTTTTTTTGGCACCATTTGAAATTTTGATCAGAAGATAAATGGTAAGAATCCTAAGACAGATGTTAAATATTAGAATTTGATTTTCCTCACGGTTCATAATTTTGAGAGATTTTGATATCTGTAAGTTATTTTGTGTGAGCCCAGTTTGTTACCCTAATAAATCAGAGTGATGATCATGGACACTCAATTGACAAAGTATCCATTTCAACTAGAATGTCCTAAACATACTGTCAGATATGGACCCATTTTTGTTCCAGCTCTTTTGCTGACATGATCATATTTTTTCCCCAGTAACCTATTGGGGCACTAAGGTCATATGTCACAGTCATTTTTGTCATATTTGTGTTGGTGATTTAGGCAATACCTTGATGTCATACTCACAATGCCTCAAAATGTCACATGACAATTACTGCGTGTGTGTTTAAGCCAAAGTTGAATTTTATGCCTCATAGTTAATTCATGCAGAGTAAGTTATGTAAATTCTGACAGTCATCAAATGTGCGCTATTTCTCTGAAATAATGTTCTACTCTGATAGCCACACTATTTTTTTCGAAAGTGCCTTTGTCATTCTTTATGATATTTTAACTCTTTCTTAAATTTCCAGTACTGAAAAATTGCACTTGCCTATTTTCAGGATTAAAAAAAAACTGTTATTTTCAATTGTTAATGAAGAATAAAACCAAACAGTGTTAAACTGGTGCTTCATTACAACCATAATTAGAGGTTAGAGTGCTTTCTGAAGTGTCAGCTTCATCTCAATTAATGCTTATGAAGTCATTCACGTTGCTAAAAGTGGTAAAGGTGTCCATGTATGTTGGTCTGTAGGTGTGAGCAGCAAACTAGAGGTACACGTTTACATGTGCGACTATTCTCATTCCATCTTACACCTAAGGATAGTCTGAATTATTTGTGATTTTAAATAATCATTATAAAATTTCAATGGTGATAGTTTTTCCCATGCCTCCACTACCTGTCATTTCAATACTGATCTTCTAGAAAATGCTGAAAATGCCAGATCCTTTTTATATGGAGATTTACCTCCAATCTTCCAAATAAGGAAATGGGAAAAGTAAATTAAGTCAGAAGGTGTTCCATTCTCTATGAATCGCCTCCTGATTATGATGTTTATGTGGAGTAGATTTTTAAAAATCTGTAACTGTTCGATAAGAGAAATGTGGGTACTGGAAGGAATGAAATAACTCCTAACATCCTGAACAACACATACAAATATAACATGTCAAAGGACTCTTAAGATTATCAAGTTATTTAGACCCTCCAAAGTTTCTTTTATTGACATTGTTGGAAGTTGTTCAGAAGAAACTTGAAGATTGCATTTTTATTTGTTCATCTAGTCAACACTTAGGAAAGCTAGCCAATAAAAATGTTCATTCTGAACTTGGAAATTTAGATCGATTTGAGTGAGAGGATAAAAGGGACTGCTGAAAACATCAACTATTGTTGAAAAAAGATCAATTCATCAAAGTCTATTTAACAGGCATGGGAGCCTACCACTGTCTCCAAGAAGTCTTCAGTTCCTGTCTTTTCCTCAGTGGCAGTAATTCTGATCAGTTCCTTAGGATGAGTGCCTATCCATGGCATATATTAATTCACCTTCATTCTTAAAGATGGAAAGTAATGCAGTCATTTAGCTTGTAATTTTCTAAAATAATTCAGTTTCTTATGTTGAAATTGAGTGAGGGTCACTTTGCATGTGAAGATATCTCTGCTGAAGCCAATTAATGCATTCTATTTTTTGATATTTGTATTTACCTACATAACTAGACTTTCATGTAAATCTCTTAATGTATAATAAATATCTTTTGTATTAGTATGATGACATTGTTAACCTATGTGCAGGGATTGTAGCTTTTCCTGTGTTTCACAACAAACTCCAGAGTCCGAGTGTAAAGCAATGAATAAATCTGAAATCTAGCAATGTGAATTTTAGCCTCAGCTAAGCTAATTTCTATGTATGGTTGAGCAAGTGCATTACCTTTCTAGGCCTCAATTTCTCTGCTATAATATATTTATGCTACCTTACTCTCTTGTTTCTTGGAAGGATATGCATATGGATGATAAGATATTAAGATCTGTAGAAGAAGAATGGTTTGAGTCCACCATTTCAATTTAAACTTAGTGGCAGTTAGTTGAAATATAATAGGCCTTTTTGACAACACATTAAAATAAGCACTTATTATAAAATATCTCCTTGCAATAATATTATCGTAGTTTTATTTTTATTTTCTTAATTTTTGTTTATACCCTAAAAATGGAGAGAGTATATAAAAATATATTTTACCATCACAAAACAGATTTTTGGACTATCTTCCCTCAGTGAAAACTACTTTAAGTCAATATCTATTCATGTTTATAATTAGTTTAATTTTCAGCATATTTTTTAAAAAGCATATCTTTGATTCACTGATACTGCATTTTGTGCCTCCTGTATGTATTCTAACTGGAATGACCAGGGATTTTTATCATTTGCCTGAGTTTCAACATCTGTAATAGTTAGGAGAGTTCATGTAGAACTCTACACTCATGAACATAAGAAAACTGTTTGCCTTTTTAAAAGTAAGGCTAGTATCTTCAGAATGGACCATAACTAGTTTCATATCAAAGAAAAGTTGGAAACTGCCTAGAGGATGCTAATCCATTAGTTATTTTATTTTATCATTTATTTTTCCAATGTATGAAATTATATATTTTGTGGGCTGGGTGTGGTGGCTCACGCATGTAATCCCAGCACTTTGGGAGGCCGAGGGGGGTGGATCACGAGGTCAGGAGATCGAGACCATCCTGGCTAACACAGTGAAACCCCGTCTCTATTAAAAATTAAAAAAAAAAAAAAAAGAAAGAAAAAATTAGCCAGGCGTGGTGGTGGGCATCTGTAGTCCCAACTACTCAGAAGGCTGAGGCAGGAGAATGGCGTGAACCCAGGAGGTGGAGTGTGCAGTGAGCCGAGATCGCGCCACTGCACTCCAGTCTCGATGACAGAGCGAGACTCAGTCTCAAAAAAAAAAAAAAAAAAAAAAAAGAAATTATATATTTTGTGGTAAGATGGCCTCAAGGAGCAAATAGGAAATATTCAGCCAATTGTCTCGGTTCTCTTTATGTATCTTACTGGTCTTTATTAAAATATCTATTATAGTATGTAAGTAAAGCCAGTTTCAAAGTCTGGGGCTTATATAGTACCCAGAAGGTCATTTAGGTCTTTATGAGAGAAAACTGGAGTTGTAAAGACAATAGACATGCTGTAGCTGTGAAGGTCAAAAGTTTAAGAATGGATGCCGTATGCACAAAGTATGCTTCTGACAATAACTGCAAAAAGTTACGTGCATTAATATGAACTCTTGATTGTTATTTAGCATGTATAAGGACTACTAGTCTATTCTTACCATTTTGTGTTGGTCTTTTAGTCTAAAACAGCCGTAAGCAATCAACTAATATATTTTAAAGGTTCATCATGATTGATATATGTTTTTGATAAGGCACATTCTTCTACTGGGTGCTTTAATATCATCAGGGAATTGTCCAGCAAATAACTGAAGACCTCAAAGCTGATTTTCACCTGGAAAGGAAGAGAAGGGGGAAAAGGGGAGGGAGAGAGTGAGACTACTGAATTTCTGGATATAACACTATAATCAAATTCCACCTTCATTAAGCAAAATGCTTCAATGGACAAAGTATATTTGCCATGATGAGCAGAATTTGCCCTAGGTGGTCAGAGTCACCAGTTTCTTGGGTCCATTTCTTCTACAAGGAATGGCTTTTTAACCTGGCGGGATAGGCGATGTCTATGGTAGTGGCCCGAATTTGGGCATCTGTAATTATGTTAGCTTGCAATTAAGCTGACTTGTGGTGGGAGGATTAATGTCAGAAGATTCCCCATTTTTCAATCTTGTGTCTACATCAGTAAGATCGAACTAATTGCTAATTGGCATTTAGAAAATGAACTACTCTGGTACCCTGGAGCTTTGCTGTGATATGGCATGGAATTAGGAATATGATATTTCTCTCTTTGATAAAAGAGAATGGTATTTACTCCAGGAAGTAACATAGATTCTCATTATACTTTTCTTATCTAAAATATAAATAAAAGGATCAGTTCACTATTTATAGAACATATTTATTTACAAGATGTGGATTTCCTAGATACCATTATCTTGGACTAAATCATAAGAAACAGACATCATTCATCAAGAATTAAGACAAAGCTTCACCCTGAATAACCTTTATTGTCCTCAACTTTCGAACAACATTACAATTCTTTGTAGTTTGATTTACATTGTATTGCAGTATTTTAAATGTGCCCCTCTGCCCCCCATTGCTTTTGGCAAAGAATACCCTAACATATTTAGTGATTTTTAGTTTTTTATGATATATTTTCCGGGGAAATTTATAGTTTGGAAAACATTTGTTTAAAGAGCTTTCTTTATGTACTACTGCCATCTAAATAAATAAATATTGTTAAGAAGCTACTACCAGAAAATTATGTTAAGATTCATTTAATAGACTTTTAAAAAATAGATTTGCCTTTCTCTACCTTCTAGAGTCATTGAAATAAAATAATGATCTTTAAAATGTGGTTGCCTTCAAAACACCTAAATATTTGGGGTTTCATTTCAATCACTCTGATTAGCATTTTTTTAGACTAGTATTTTCTAAAATGTGGCCCATACTTTCCATGATGATCTATGGAAAAATTATCAATGGTCAAATAAGTTTGAGGGAATTTGCATGTGCTATAATATTTTCTACCTGGAGAGCCACAATACAAATTAACATCAAGGCTGTGAGAAGTCCTGAATAAAAATATTTCTTTGCTTAACTCAGAATTTAAAATATTTCTGTAACTATGGAATATCCTTTTATCTTTGGATTAAATACTGCAGAGCTGATGGTCAACCCAGCTCACATTGACCAACATTTTACAAATTATTTTGCATGAAAGGCATAGGCAGATTATTTCCACATAAATAAACTGTCACCTTAACAAATTCTAATTTCTTCCACATCCTTTGCGAATTGAATAGCTAAAATGTTACTGAGTTGTAAATAAATCTTTCTTAAAAAGTGTACAATCTTTGAAAGTTCCATTGCATCATCATTATCAAAACCATTATTTATAATTTTACTTTAATAAGTACATGAAATTTTCTGATTTAGGGTTTCTCCTACTGTTGAAATGACATATAACATTGAACTAGAATAACACTTTATAAACAATTTAAAGAAACTTTTTTTTTCAGGAAAAGAATAGATGTGTAATACATTTTAAAAAAAATTAGAAGGCACATAAGCAAGAAATGATTGACAAGCTGGGCCTGGTGGCACATGTTTGTAGTTCCAGCTACACCGGAGGCTGAGTCTGAGGATTGTAGGGCCCAAGAGTTTGAGGCTGCATTGAGCTATGATCACACCACTTCACTCCAGCCTGGACAACAATGTGAGATCCTGTCTCTAAAAAAATTAAATAATAAAAGATTGACATTGAATGTAAGGACAACCAAGATTAGTCCAGCCCTTTAAGAGAAACTTCTTGTGCTATAAAGGGTTTTGGTGCTTTTTTAGCAAAGTGGGAAAATGCAACTGTATACTTATGTCTTGCTGGTTAATATCCCACTGGTCTCTACACTCTTTAGTTAGGTTAAATACATGGTGTGAAGGTGGTTTTGCATTGCTAAAGATCTTTTTATTTTTAATTTTTTTTAGAATCTCAAAATTTTTACTCATTCAGTTAGATAAATGAACCTGTGTCCGAATTACATGAGACAGGAGATACACAGAAATAACGCCTATCATTCTTCAACCTGAAACCGACAAATGAAAGCTTCTTCTCATTCCAGGGTTCTAAAATTGTGAGATGGTTGCAGCCCGATTTCATAATTTCCATGTATTTGTTGATTGACTGGGAAACTAAGGAACCATAACTTAGAAACTGTTTTAGAATGTGCCAAGATTATCCTGCAGTGTCTTAGGCATGGATTTTTGTTTATAAATATTTTCTCAGAACATCAATAATTGTCTTTTCAGTTCAAACATATTAAAAATGCTACGGTAACAAATTATCATTGAAGTTTGTTGCCCCAAAGTTGTCATGATGGAGCAAGATTTTAAGGCTCTAGAATGATGTTGTCTACAGAGCAATTTTACCTGTTCAGGTATTTTTTTTTTTTCTTCAAACAAGAACCTCTCCCTTGCATTGGTGGCCTCAGTAAAACAGAGATGGCCCTCTGAATTCCTTCCTGATAAATGGATTCCGAACAGGAATGACAATTATCCCACATTCATAGTTTAGAATGAGAAATTCACATCATCTCCAAGTCTCTTCACACTTTCAGAGGGAACTGGTAAGCTCTGAGGTTCAGTATGAGAGGCAGTTTTGAAACTGCAGCTCCTCCCTCCAAGGAACCGCGTTCACCTCAGTCGGAATGAATAAGTAGAAATCTGTGACACAATGATAGTGGTGACATTCGTGCAAACAAGTGTCTCATTGAAAGCAAAGAAGCACATTGCTTGGTAGGATCCCTAAGAGCCCTAAAAGTATGGCTGTCTACGAGCACACTCATACACACAGTAGTATTTCAGTACTGTTGGCTTAGCTAGCAAACAAAACATGGTTCAAATGGTTTAACAGTCCTAGAAACGGAAGGCACCAGTTTAATGAGGTCTCCTCTGCTTGAAATTAAAGTGGAAGGAGTTTTACGGAGAACAGTATTCAATAACAAAATATTAAATGATAAACACAGATTGCTTAAAATCAGACGGGCCATTTTAAGAAAAGCATTTTAGCTCATCATGATATGTAGCACCTTATTTAAATTAGGAGGTGTTAATTCGTAGCTTGAATAATATATTAATATAATATGTAAAGTGAATGGCATTGTTAATCACAGTCGCGCCTGGAACGACTTTGCTTCTGTGCACTGAATGTTAATTTTGCAAAACATTAATTTCAAAGATTTTGCAGCAGTGCTTTTGTAATTAAATATTAATGTCACATGTTATTGCAGTAGCATGTTTATGAAAGCCGGCAACACTTCAAGTCAACTCATTTGTTTTTATATTTATTCTTGTACATCTGCAATCCCTTCCATTTCACAATTTCAAAGTGAAGGCCATTTTGAATAGTCAATATGTGAACATTTTTCATTGTAAGCGTTTTTTAACATCCAACAGGGTAAATATTTAATGTTGTGTTTTTAGCTGGTATAATTTTTGAGAAAATTGGCTATAACTTTTAACAACTCAAAGGTACCTAAACTGTCTCCAGTTTTGGCTTAAGTAATCTGAAAATAAACTAGCAATAAATGTGATGAAGCTGTGTAAAAATATTTAAGAATTAGAAGGCTTTATATAAAAGTTTGAAATTAGAATTGCAATTCCATACACAGGATATATCAGCAGTTACCAATTCTCCATATATTTTTATTATGGCACTGTATTATCTCAAGAAAACTGAAAAGACAGCCTAGACTTTCGGTTAACTTTTTTCAAGTTCCATAACTAGACAAAGAATAGAAAAATGTTTCTTGTCGGTGATGTGATTTACACTTATTACATGTTCTGAAGTTATACATTTGCATGAAAGGAAAATCCTTTTTATGTTCACCATCTTATTCCAAGTATAGACAGTATACAGGTCATTATATTTGGTTTGCCCACGACTATTCTGACCAAATCACTACAGCTAGTAATCTTGTCCATGATATTACCAATCAGTTAATTACAGTTAGCCTAACAATTAAGTTATCCCCATTTTTGAACCTTGACAAGAAATAACATTCAAGGAATTATATTTTAAAGCTGTTATTTTATCCATCTAGTAAAGTTGTCTTTACAATCAAATCCCTAGATACATTTTGTCTTTTGAAATATGGAATGAGTTATCCATAGTACCAAAAAAATCAGGAAAAATCAAGATATATTATGTTTGGTTATGGGCACATTTAACAGTTAAAAATTATATCTGCACCTGATGTTGCATGTTAACAGCTAATGCCATTTGACAGTGATGAAATTAAAGGATGAAGAAGAGATACAAACTACATTTTACAAGCATGATGGGTCTCCAACAATGCCATTTAAATATTATTTGTCACTATTTAAAATGAACCTTTCCCCTTTAAGCTATGCCATTACGCTCATTTGTCCTGTCACCACTGACAGGCTATATGACTCACACACAAAAATGGTCATTAGGTACTGCATCTTCATCTTATTAAAAAAAAAAGAGAGAGAGAGAGAAAGAAAGAAAGCATTCTGATGCCTCTAAAAGCCTGTAATTATTTTCATCCGAAGAGATAGTGTTGCTCGGAAGGTAATTTAATAACCTTTTGCATGTACCTGGGGAATGCCTCTCCAGGGAACCAAGGTGCCGACATGCCATTCAGTCGTCAAAACATGACCTTTAATGGTTGCTTGGAGAGAAGTTAGCGTGGAATGTTGTACACACTGCAATGCTAATTCTGCTTTCTAATATATGCAAAATTTAGTTCTTGAGCAATGATCTTTGTAAGATGAATTAATATAGGTACTGCTCCAGGAAACAAAAGAAATTGCAACATGAAGGCACCACCCCCCTTCCCCCACCATGATCTTTTATACTTCAAACTGAAGTAGCTAACAACTTGCACAATTTGTATTAAAAATAGTGCGAAACACTCCAGAAGTCTTTGCTTCCTTTCCCCCTTTAAGTTGGTTGATGAATTCTATTCTATATACTATGGAAATGTAAAACAGGATTAAAGGGATTTTCTTTGATAAGTTTATTTCCCAAAATAAAGCATTGGCCCCAACTCCCTGAAGAAGAAAAAGAAACGCTTACCTTTAATATACCCTCTCTGTTTTATAACACAATTTATGTGGCTCGTTGAAATTACTAATGCAGTTACTGAGTTAATTTTAAAAAAATCCTTCATGGATTTTCATGTTGAAATATGATATTTTGAACACTTGCATATACAAAAAGATGCACAGGCTGTTTCCTGTGACAACCAGGTTCAGAAACTCCTTATTTTGGTAGTCTGATATTAGATCCCGCCTTAGTTAGAAATGCTAGGATTTCAACTCCTACCCCTGACACGCCATCCGTCAATTTATTAGCACGCTGGTGCAGTAAGCCACTGAACAGGCTATATCAATTCGTTTAGTTTTTTTCTTTAAAATGTCTGTAATCCTCAGCTCTGCTTTCTCAACCGGTCAGCATTAAAGATTTATGTTGCACTTTTTTTCATCACCACACCTGAATATGGATTACTTAAATGGGCTGTAAATAATTTATATCTGGGAATAAGTTTCCATTACTGACCAATGTTGTAATTTAATATACTGTATTATGGGTTATACAATTTTAGATTGTTTTCTGTGTGCATTCTGCAGTCAGGCAGACAACAGTTTAAGTAAAAAGGGTGAGATGTTTGTTCAGCTTATTTTCATGTTCACTCTGTGTGCTCAAATCAGCAACAGGGCTAAAGGAAGCAGAAAGCTACTTTCAACTACATGTTTTTCTGCTATTTATGGAAATCTTTTTTTTTTTAGGCACTTGACCTGAAGCAAAATACAAAAACACATAATAGCTATTATTGATAAATACAAAAAAAGAAAATGTGCTAATGTAGGTGGCTAGAAATCTTAATTCTTGAGAACTGAAAAATATTCTTGATTCCTGAACCCAAAGGTTAACTTTCCTCTTTAATGCTTGGTTCTTCTGTGCAGAAAAATGCACATAATAAAATTATAATTTATTTGACAGGTTTGAATGAGGCTACTGGATCAAATATGTAAAATGTTAAAGTACAAGCTATTTTTAAAGCATAGGCAAGTGTTTACTCTTAAAGCTTTAAACAATTTAAGATTAAGTTGAGTATAGTAAAAATTAATAATAGATTAATACATGAAAATCTATGAAGACACATAAGATAATGATTTAAAAAGGAATAATTTAAAAAGATGAATTAAAAAGTCGAATCAGAAAAGAAGGCCAGCATAAACTAGGGAAAAACATGCTGTGAATAAAGTCTGTTAGATCTTGAAATAGGAGAACTGCTAAATAATGCATAGTTTTATTTTTCTATCATTTGCATAAACCTTAAGAGAGTATTTATTTGTGTAAAACTTGATGTATCGAGTAAGGAGAATGAAAAAAATGGCATTCATTTTGTTTTCATTTTGGTATTTAGGAAAAATATTCTGTTACATATGGACTACTTAGACCTAATCATCTGACTGAATGTGATGTGTGCCTTGAGCCAGGTTGGAAAGGGCTGGCTGCAGAACAGTGCCCTGGTCTTGCTGCAGGCGATGCAGGTTGGCCCATGCTCTGCTGGGGAGCAGATGGTGAGCCAATGCTTGTAGTCACACTTACCTTCCTTGCTAAATCCATAATCCCTCACTGGACACGGAGCCAAGGCAGGCTTTGGAGGCAGAAAGGAGGTTACAATCTGGACTTGGGTAGTGACTGCCAGAACTGAGAAAACAGCTCAGAAATTTCAAATGCTTAACAAGTTATCTGTCTTGTCCCTAAGCCAGTGCAGCATTTTTAAAAGTAATTAAGACATGATTGAAAATGTGTATGCCATCTAAATACAAAAATCTTCAAAAATCACCAAAACCAATCATTAAAAGCCACATTTAATATGACATTATGCAAAAATATATTTAAAATAAAATATATTTTTGTGATTGAAAGAAAATATGTAAAGTAAAAAAAAAAGAGGAAGCATTTATTTTTTAGGAAAAGGCACTTATTTTCTTTACAAACCTGGACCTTATAGAAGGAAAATATTTCATACATGTCTATAAATATGCTGCATGGATGAAATATTTTCCTTCTATAAGGAAATAGATAGCTATGCAACATATCTATACTAACAGATTCTTCTATATAAGTTTTTCTTTCAAAATATTAAATGATTATAGTTGATTTTTCTATATAGGATACTTATGTATGTATATGTATGTTTTTATATGTGTGAATGGAGTTCATCATCAACACAGACATTATAAATCAGAAAGACAAAATAAAAATATTGAGTGGGTAGCCAAATTCTAATCATTTATAATAAAAGGGATAGTAAGTACCATCTGTTTAATGTAAAAAAAAAAACCAACTGATAAAATGCATACATATCTAGTAAATTAAAATCATGGAGTAATTCATATAAAACAAAATATGTATAAAATGTCAACATATTCCATTAGGGTGCGATTGATTTAAACATGTACTATCTACATAATAGTATGATATGAGAAATAGAAAAATCTTTTGATTATGTTTGGTGCTACACCACAATTTTTTAAAATGTTTTTCTATTAAGTGGTAGGAACAAAATTCCTTAGTTTTCTCCACTGAATTTTTGAGTCCTCATTATCTTAGGCAATACTTTTTTCTTGCAAATGATTCTTAGGCATACTTTCATTGAAGTTCATTGACTTTGAGGGAATTTCTTATAACCTTCCTTACTCCATCTTGCAACATCTACATTTCTCAAGCTGACAAAATGCTACCAATACCCTATTTGTGTTTATGAATAACTTGAGCTCTCCAGTCTAGGACTATCATCAACACCTTTCATAATTTCCCCCTTTTTCTATTGCCTCTTTTTTTGAAAAATATTGTCACTCTTAGGAAAATGTTCTTAATTTCTTCTCTTTGTGACTCTTCTTCAGAATTCATTTCTTGCCAGTGCCTTCATCCCTCAATATGTCCTTTTCTGGTTATACTGTTTTCTTCCAAAATCGATGCAAAGAAATAAAGAAAAATGTAGAAGCTTCTTTCTCTGCCTCACCCAAAAATTCAAGAAATGTGCCTTGATAGGAGATATGTGCAGGTCAGTATTTATAAAAGGAGATATAAGAACAAAAATGTTTATCATAATACATTTGGGAAATATTATGCTTAGTTTTTATTCACACAATAATGTGCCTGTTGGTTTTAACTTTTATTTTAATTTAGTTTACATTAGAAAACGGAACCCTTGACTACAATTATATTTACAGAAAGTAATGTTTTCATGATTTCGGTAGGAAAATTTTACTATAGGGTGACATCATAAAGTAGTTTATCACTTCATTCCCAAACCTAAAATGAGGAAATATGATATTTACAAACACTTTTTTCTTTTAAAAAGGGCTAATTACATAGAGTTTCAAAAAGGCCTGGAAAGATTGAGTTAATGTGATTTTTGTTCTCAGGTGAGAAAAGAAAGTGAGAAAATTTCAATGGTTATTTTGACAATGCAAGTTTCCTATAAAATCACATTTCAGAAGGCCAGACTGGTGGCTCATGCCTGTAATCCCAGAACTTTGGGAGACCATGGTAGGAGGACTGCTAGAGGCCTGGAGTTAGGAACCAGCCTGATCAAAATAGACACCATCTCTACAAGGAATTAAAAAAAAAAAAAAAATAGCACATTATGGTGGTGCTCGGCTGTAGTCCCAAGCTACTTAGGAGGCTGAGGAGGGAGGATTGCTTTAGCCCAAGAGTTTGAGGTTGCAGTGAGCCGTGATTGTGCCACTGCAATCGCGCCTGGGTGGTGGAGAAAGACCTCATCTCAAAAATAAAAAAGAACTTTGAAAATCACATTGCTCTTAATAAATATCAAAAGATTATTCTAGGACATTGTAGGCATCAACAACTTAAAAGCAACAAGTCAACACGATATAAATTTTAGCAAAAAAAAAAATGATCTTTAATATTAGATATATTTCCTCTGTCCAAGAGTTTTAAGCAAAGACATTGGACTTGAAAACAGGAAACCTGAGTTTGCATTCCAGTTCTGCCTCTGACCAACTAAGAAATATAAGAAGTATTTATATCTCTGGACCTTAGTTTCCTCACCTGTATAATTACAGCATTTTTCTAATGATTTCTAGCATTTTGATTGCTTACAAAACAGTCTGTGACTATGTGAAGGTGGAAGAGTTAAGTACTAATAAATAGCACAATACAGGTGATATCTCCAAGCAACACATGCTTAATTATCAAATAAGAGATTCAGGCAATTCTTGAAACTAGTTAACAAAGTAAACATTTATATGGGTTCTTAATGTTTTATGTTCTAAATTTCTCATTGCATAATTTTTGATACATAAATTGGAACACATTTTGGCCAATTTAGTTGACATTAACAATGGGAAATGTCTCTATGTAGATCTCTGAACAAAATTTTGTAACACCGTCCATGTCTCAGAACATTACCACCAGAAATGCCATTGGCACGTTCCACGCATGAGTTCCACATTTTTAGGGAATCTAAGGTTCCAGAATTGCAGAGAGAGAAGCTATATCTATAGACACTAGGGAGAAAGTGAGTAGCAGAAGTGATCTACACAAGCAAAAAAAAATTTTTTTTAAATGTACTCAAGATTGAATTAGAAATCCAATTTATCAAAATCCTTGGAGATGGCTTCTGATCTCCAGTTGAATCTTCAGCCCTTTGATATGTCACCTATTAGCCACCCAAGAGGCACGTGCCAATTCTCATGTAGTATATAAAGTCTCCAAATAATTATTATCTTAACTATCAACATTATTACAAACATTATTAATTAAGAGAGACCTCTGTATTTCCGTAAAAGGGAAGAGCACTCTTATGGAAAAGGACGTATTAAAGAATTGGAATTGTCAGAAGTTGCATCTCTTGGATGAAGCATAAAGCAGAGATCTTGATGTTAATGGTCACAGAAGATTCTGTGTTGCCATCTGTCAGGAATTATTTACCAGTTTTTGCTGACCAAATTCCAAATTAAGGAGCTCCATTTATTGGCTCAAACCTACCCTCTGTCTTAATTAAAAATAGTGTCCATCTTTACTATTTATGACCTATTATGAGACACATGGACTTTGGGATTTAAAAAAAAAAATTCTGCTTCCTCTTCTTTAGTTCAGGTTCTCATCATCTATTAATTGAATTTCTACCATAGGTTCATAAACAATATTCACATCAGACTTCTTGACCCACTCTAAGCCATTCTCCTGGGGCTGGCTGCCAGAGAGATTATTCCAAAATGCAAACAGTTTTTCTAGTTGTTCACTGTTAATAATTTCTCTATGAATCCCAATAGCCTTTAGGAAAAACAGTTCAAACTCTTTACTATAACTTTCAAAGTTCTCCGTGATCTGGCTACTGCTTATCTCTCTAGTGTTATATCCTATGCTGAATCGAAGTTCTATCCATCCTGGAAGCCTACCTACAAGTTACCAAAGTTTAAGTTGGTTTTCCAGATTTCTTTTTTAACCAGGAATGCTGTTCTACCTAGCCACATTTCCTCATTTTTCCTCCAAAAGGCCATTCCTAATCGCTTTCCCCAACCCCCAAGTCTGGTTGGATGTATCCTTTTTACGTGCTCCTATAATACCCTGAATTATCACAATTATACATCAGCGTAAAATTGTCTGTTTCCCTGTGTCTCCCATTAGAATACGAACTTCAGGTTCAGGGGCCAGGTTATATTACTTTTCATATTTCCAAGGCCTAGGCTATTCTGTGGCAAAAAGCAGTATTTGGCACAGTTGTGCTCTGTCCTAAAATACCTTCTTCTCTGGGCTTCTTTGGCATCAGCCAGTCAAGGAATGTTTCTTCTGCCTCTTTGGGAATTCTGCGTCCTCCTCTTCACCTCTTATTTGTGGAGATTCCCAGGGATTGATCTTCAACCCCTTTATTTCCTTAATATCTGCAATAGTCTAGATGATTTTATTCGGGATGAAAATCTCTACAGTTAGTCTTGACCATAGATCTTCAGACCTATACATCCAACTGTTTCTTTGATGTCTTTATTTGGATGTTTAATATGCATCTTAAACTAACAAGACTAAACAAGAATACTTATTTTCCTTCCCACTCAAAATCTGTTTCTCTCTTGTTATTTCCTACCATAATAAATGAACTACTCTAACTACTTGGTTGTACAAGGTAAAAATCTAGGATTCATTCGTGACTCCTATCTGAACACACCCCAGTCTAAATAATCACTGTGACCTCTCAGCCCTGTGTTAAAGCCACCTGAACACATCTGCTTTTTTCTGTCTCCATTAAGCAATCATGGTCCATGTCACCATTATCATTCTCTGGACTACTATAGTAAGCTTCCAGTTGGTCACCATACTTATGTTCTAACTCTCCTATCCTACCTTTTTCAAGAGTTGCCAGAATGATCTTTTAAATGTGTAAATGAAGTCAAGCCATTTTCCTATTCAAAACTTTATAATAATTTTCATTCTATTTAGAAAAAAATCTGCCATCTAATCCTGGTTTAATATTCTCTGCATCATTCAACCTCCTCCAACATTCTAGCTCCATCTCATCCCATTCCCTTCTTTTCACTTTGCTGTGGCCACACTGGTCTTCATTCATTTTTTTGGAACATGTTAACTCAGTTTTGTCCTAAAGGTTTTGTCCCTACTGTTTCTTCTGTCTAGAAAACTCTTGCCCAGGTGGGGTGGCTTATGCCTCTAATCCCAGCACTTTTGGAGGCCAAGGAGGAGGATCACTTGAGGCCAGGAGTATGAGACCAGCCTTGCTAACATGGTGAAACCCTGTCTCTACTAAAAATACAAAAAATTAATTGGGCTTGGAGTTGCTTGAACCCGGGAGGTGGAGTTTACAGTGAGCCGAGATTGAGCCACTGCACTCTGGCCTGGATAACAGAGCAAGACTCTGTCTTCAGAAAAGAAAAAAAGAATGAAAAATAGAACACTCTTGCTACTGTTCTTTATATAGTTTTCTTCTTTCTGTCATTCAAATTTTACCTGCTTGCCAAGGCTTTCCTTAAGGGCTATTTCAAAAAGTAGCCACTTAGTCATTTGCTGTCACAATATTCTATATACCACCTATCATTATCACATATTTCTCTGCATATCACCTATCATTTTAATACTCTGCACAACACCTATCATCACCTCTATATGTTTGTCAATCAATTTTGATTTATCGTCTCCAAACTCACCAAAATACTAACTTCATCAGATCATGGGACTTGCCTGTCTTCTTCACTGCAGTATTCCCAACACCTAGAACTGGGTTCCAAACAATAGAAACTCAAAAATAATTGTCAGATAAAGGAAATAGCAATTGCATGGGAAATCAAGTTTGAACAGTGAAACTTATTTGAGGATTACTACTAATAGATGGAGAGTGGAAGAAGTTACATGTCTTCTTCTCAAATTTTAAAATGTTTAGTAAGATCAACGAGCAAGATTAAAAAGTTCCTTTAACAAAGACACCAATTTCTAGAGTAGAGAAAGACCTTATAAAGTATTTGATGTTGTCTTAAGAGGTACCGGGGAAGCCAAATCTCTTTCAACTATTTTTCCCCATCGCAATAAGCCAAAAATCAGAGAGGAAACAGTAGCAAAAAAACAAACAACAACAACAAAAAAAAAAAAAAAACATTCAATCATCCATTACATAAACTAACAGATATCATCTGAATAATATTGTAGGCACAGATTCACCTTACTCTTGTGCTATTATATAACAGAAATTTAATTTTTTCCTTCCTTGGAGTTTTACTTGGAAATTATTTTGTTCTCTCACAGAAGTAGTTTAGGATTCATTTAGGAGTGGGAGTGAGAAGTGGGAGGGACAGCATTTCATTATTTAAGAAATATTTATTAAACACTTTCTAAGGAGCTTACAATCTAATAAAAATATAAAACCTGAGCATGATACTTATAATATGTGCTAGACAATTACAAGTATGATATTATAAGTACCAAGTAAATGCTGGGAAACTTTAGAAGAGAGAAAAATTATGCCCCAATGAAGAATCAGTAGGGTTCATGTATTGGAAAAATCAAGAAAGCTTGGTTTTGAAGTACGCACAGAATTTTACCATGTTGCAGATAGGGGAAGAAAGATATTTCAAGGAAAAAGGACTCTCACAGAGTACATGTACTAATTTAAGTAGTTCCAGGCCAGGCACGGTGGCTCAGGCCTGTAATTCCCAGCACTTTGGGAGGCCAAGGCAGGCGGATCACTTGAGGCCAGGATTTCCAGAAAACCCTGTCTCTTAAAAATACAACAATTATCCAGGCATGGTAGCAGGTGCCTGTAATCCCAGCTACGCAGAAGGCTGAGGCACGAGAATTGCTTGAAACCAGGAGGCGGAGGTTGCAGTGAGCAAAGACTGGGCCGCTGCACTCCAGCCTTGGCAACAGAGCGAGACTCTGTGTGGGAAATAAAATAAATAAATAAATAAATAAATAGTTTCATTCTAACAAGACACAGGAAAGGAAGGTGGAACAGTAGTCTTAGTTCTTATAATATAGAGGATGTAGTACACCCGAATAAGGAAAAGAAATGTTCTAAAGTTCTCTGTAGCATGTAAAACAACTGACCACCCAATTTGTGTTAAAACCTTATGACCCTATCTCCTATACTTTGTCTTATCTTGTGCCTTTTTCTGTTTTCATCTTTGGCTTCTCTTCTCCAGTCCTAAGGAGTAAAATAAATAAGAAGCTAACCTGAGCCATCTATTAGGACAGGATATTCAGCAAATGCTTTGGCACAAGACTCTGTTGCTTTAGGTCTTAGGGAAATCTGGCAATCATCCTTTCAGATCAAAATCTCTAGATTCCTGATTCAGTTTCCTGCTGCTAACTTTCTGGTGGATAGTTTGTGTGACAATGCTGATCCCTCTATTTGCACATTGCCGTAATTGTCAGGCATATCAGACATACTTTGCCTTTTAAGCACTCGAAAATGTGCACCATGATCTAGCACCAACCATCACCTCCACTTTGAAATCTCACTCGGATCTTCTATGTATACACCACACAAATCACCAGCAAGAAATTACAGAGCCTGGATTATAAACATAGAACTTCCCGAAATTGAATCTTGCCTTCTCACTTAGGTCATACAGGACCTTAGACAAGTTTTTTAACATCGCTAATTCTAAATCGATTTATATGTAAAATAGCAATAATCATACCCACCTTTGAAAGAACCAACTCTGTGAAGTTACAACCACAACTATTTTTGCTTCAATGCACAAATATTCCGAAGATCAATGACAGAAGGTGTGTAAAACACCAGGTACATACTAAGAACTTAATAGAGATTAGCACCTCCTTGTTTTGGGTTTTTCGATTCTTCTAGAAAGCTTACTTCACATTTCCAGCTGTCTAATTTTTACTCTTATTTTTATATTCAGCTCCTATATATTCTAAAATATTTTTTGAATGACCAATTGAAAAGAAGTTTTATTACCACTAATTTCTCCATTTTCCAAATTCCCTAAGCATTTTATCAGAAACTCTTTAATCGTAGTTTTCCTTCTCTGCCTTGGTTATGGTAGCACAGATAGATAGTCTCTCTCTTATTATGTGTTGAGGTCCAATTTTAATTTTGTATCCTCACAGCATTAAATATGCTATTTTTTCAAGTAACAGATCCTGTATCTACACATGCTGAATCACTTTTTTTGGATGATTCTTTCTGATGTTAAACCGTTGTCAAATAATGTAGATTGTGGAAAATCTGTAAAATTATATCTAGTAATTTACCTAATAAGGTCTATACTTTGCTATGGACAGCTAGATATTACACTAATAATACATGAATTTTCTTAGTTTCTAGTTAACAAATTTATATCAAACTGCCTAAAATCTATTCAAGATCACCAATTCAAAAGAATAATAATTTGCACATTTGATAAAAATTCCATGAGGAAAACAAATAATATTTTGCTCCTAGGTCAAAGTTATAGTGTTGATAATAAACAAAATACTAAAAATTGTGCATTTTGGTATCGACTTTTTGTGAATTTTCTTTAGGGAATTTGATTAATGCCTTCTAGACTAATTCTATAAAAATCTATATGTTTCAGTTTATTATTTGAAGATTTATTTAATAGGGTTAAAGAAATGATTCAAGTAAACTTAGAAGCAAAATAAAATCACACACAAAAATCTATTGGCTCTTTAATTCTTAAAATCCAACTTAGAAAAAACAATCTTTAAAAAATTTCAGTTGGAAAAATCGTAGTTATGTAATTATTCATTCCTCCTGAAATTTAAAATAAAATACATAAAGGGTGGTCTGGGTATTTCTCTGTCTGTGGCAACATCTTTTAACTTGACTCTGCTATCTTAGTGTTTACTTGATTTATCTTAAAGATATTTTTCAAAGTGTCCTGTATCATAATTGGCAGGTCCATGACACTTGCAATTGGCTCTAAAAATGTTTATAGTAGCCAAGATGCAGTAGTAGCATTGTTTAATTTTACTTTTGTTTTAAATAGAATGAAACATGTAAAAGAAAACTTCTTCAATTGATTAGACATTACATAACAATCTTAATTTCCTTCAACAGTTTTTTCCTATTCTTTGGGTAATGTATGTCTGTGTTTGCTTCATCAACCTCTCCACTATTTGTGGACAATGAAGATCCCCCAAAATTAATTTTATCATCACCTCTACCTTTGCTGTCAATAAGTTATCTCTTCCATCTCTGAGGGTTCTGACCTCTTGCCCTTCCTACAGTTGAAAAATGTTGTTTTATTTATCTTCATCATCCTCACAATTTTCTCTTTATTTGCCATCTTTCCTTTATCATGTTGTACTCCCTTGACTTCATTTTATAATCCTCCCCATCCTGTTTTGAGTCTCACACAACTTATCCTGCATATTGCTCTTCCTTATTCCTGATTATTTTTGTATTTTCTTGTTCATACTAATTGGCTCCATTTTTATTTCCAGTATATTTATAACTAAATGGCATTCATTGCCTTTGGGCATACATTAATTTATCTTTCAGGATTTTCCATTTACTCTCTGCATCTTTTCTTTATATATTTCTTCTTGTAACCTCCATTTCACTTCATTTTTCTCATATGTTTTGGTGTATTATTTTTGTTGTTGCTTTTTAAATATCCCTTCATATCTGTAATTCATGCTTCATGTGTTATTAGGAGGGTTTATAAAATAAACCACTGTGTATTTGTCACAAACAGCATTAATTTGAATAGTCTAAAAATAGGTTTGGATTCATTGTACTGCAATTTTCCGGCCACCTTCTTTACAGCCATACTATAGGGCTTAACTAAATAAATAATTAGAAGCTAATTTTACAAATTAAAAGAACTACAGATATTTTAATTTATTTACCTGAGGTCAGAAAAGGGTAGTTTATTGAAAGATCAATGGACAAAGGCAAAACTTATTTCAAGAGAGAGATGTTTAGACCTTTGGAGGTAATTAACTGATAAGAAAGTGGTGCATATATGCTAACATCATTAATCTTCATACTTTTCTATGCCTTCATGCATATAATAAAGGACACATTTAAAGCCAGATATCCCTTCTTCAAGAAAATCCTTGAAAAGCACAAATTTGAGGCAAATAAAAATGTACCAAATAAACTACAGTGCAATGTGGAAAATATTACATGTTAAATAACAGTATATTTAGTGTGTGATTGGAGTAAAGAAATATGAAGAGCGTCTTAGACGACTTTCTAGAGCAAATAACATTTCAGCTAAGTATCAAAGAATCATACACACATTGCCACCTGGAGATGAGGAACAGTGTTCAGAGATGTTGTTCCACATTATAATTGAAAGGGAGACTTAACAGGGAGAGAGGCACGAAAGAAAAATAAAATATCAGCATATCTTTTACTAAGACATTTGGAATTTTCCTACAGTTCAGTGGGAGTCATTGGAGAGTTTAAGCAAAGAAGTGACATGATCAGATTTGATTTTGGAATGAGAACTCCAGTAGACATGAAGAAACTGGACAGCAACACCACAGCCACTTAGAGTGGTAAAATAATAATATCAATGAGACAGAATGAGGACACAAACTAAAGCAGAATCTGAAGGAATAATTAGAAGATATGTGAGAGTCATTAAAAGGTTCAGTCAAGAGAACTTGAGGACACTTAGGCGTGGGGGCAGAAGAAAGCAAGTGAGAAGCAAGTGGAAAGCAATTTTTCCATAGGATTCAAAGCCACCCACTTAATTTCAATTAGAAAAATAGAGCTGTGAAATGGCTATTAAGTTTAATTTCATCCAGATAGATTCTCCAGTTTGCATTGATGATTAGATCACTACTACCTTATGACAGTGATTACCTACCTTATGACTTATGATTAACAGTTGAATAAATTAAATGTATAGTCAACAGAGAAAATAAAAATAACAATATTAGAATGATACTTTCTTTATTGCATAAATGAATAGTGACACATTCAGACTTCCCAATGTGCAGCAAGGGAGCCCAAAAAACAATAAAAAATATTGCACAGACATTCATGCAAAATGAACCCTGATGGTAGTAAATTCTAAAAATGGCAGAATTTAGTTTTAAATGCAATTTCCACATTTGCATACTATGTAAGAAGGCATCTTATAACTATGTTCATAGTATATTGTTCATCTCATTTCCATAATCTAATTCAGTGATACTTATGCTCTTCAAATAGTATTCACTGATCATATTTTATCTCTTTTTTATCTTAAATTATGGTTCTGTGAATTACAGACCACATCAGGGAAAGATTGTAAATATCATAAATATAATGCCAATTTTCCTTTAAAATGGCAAATTATATAAAATATATTTTCTGCTTTTTCTTACAAGGACCAAAAGTAGACAAACCTTTGAGCTTAGAAGTGGATTAGAATACCTTTTAATTACATAGCATATAATTTTTTTAATTCCTCAGTTTATTAAAAGATTATAATTTTGAAAAGGTAATCCTGAGTAATGTAGAGCTGTTGATTTTAAACAGACTTCAATTTAGTCAAACTTTCTTATCCAAACTTCCAAAGTTTCCAATATAATTGCAGGTTGAATTTGCCATAGATAATGCAGGCATTTGGGCCATACATATAATATACTATCTATTTAAGCTATATAATCCATTGTTATATACTGAGACCATTTTAGTGCAAGGTATTCTACCAGGCACTTTGCAGAGAATATTTTATGTAATACAACAACTTTTCAGAGAACGCAGTATTCTTTTTCTTCTTCTTCTTTTCCTCCTACTTTTTCTTCCTCCTCCTATTATTATTATATCAATTTATTTACTGAAAATTGAATTTCCAGGAAGTTATATAATTTGCCCAATATTTCTCCCCCGTAGATGTAAATCCTGAATTGGGATTCATATCTGTTTTATTCTAAAACGCATGCTCACTTCCACTGAATTATGCTGTCATAAGGTAGCAACATCACAATCATTTTGGGACAGTAAGAAGTAGATAAGGAGTAGGTCTTAAAACAGTTCTTCTTTGGTGCAAAAGAACTACATCATTTTATGTAATAAAAAACTGAACTGTAAGAACCCTAAGGAATGATAACACAAACCTTAACAAACAGGACTTATGCAAGCATACCAATTTCCCCCAGAGATGTTTAGCTCATGGTGTTTCTTTAATAACAAAACTCAAAAAACAGTGAATTTCATCAATTACATACTTAAGATCCTTGGCATGTCTTGCTTTTTCATTTCTCCAGCCCATGTCAATAGTACTGAGGGGGAATATCACACTCTGGGGACTGTTGTGGGGTGGGGGAAGGGGGGAGGGATAGCACTGGGAGATATACCTAATGCTAGATGACGAGTTAGTGGGTGCAGCGCACCAGCATGGCACATGTATACATATGTAACTAACCTGCACATTGTGCACATGTACCCTAAAACTTAAAGTATAATAATAAAAAAGTAGTACTATTGTATCAAGTCATACTGATTATATTGTATATACTTACAGCTTTTGTAATTATTTAATATATATTTGATGCCTTATGAGGAAATTATCTAATTAGAAGGCAACATCTTCTACATCGTTTCTAAAATTATTTTATTATATTTGTTCAACAATAGTTAGAATTCTTAACTCTGACAAGCATCTACCAAGCAGGATTTGAGTCTGTTCTATGTGGACTAGTATACTTCATGATACTCAAAGCAACTTCAGATTCCTTTTCCCAGTGGTGATGTGTGGTATTTGAGACAAGCACACTTCCTTTCATTTACTTCTTTCTCTACTATGGTATCTTGTAAACCCATGTTAAAAGTTTAATGTTTAGTTTTTTTCCATGTTTCAAATGATTATGAAAGACAAGATACCTTGTTTGCTTAATCATGACTTTTTTTCTCCTTTGAGACCACTTGGACCAAAGTGACTATCAAAATAGTTGTACAATGTGCCCTGATAAATTGGGGGGAATAGGTTGTTGGGGAATTTTATTTGTTTTTATTTATTGTTGTTTGTTGTGGTCATTGTTTTGACTGTAGACACCTATTTGAGGTCTACTTTTGAAAAAGAATATTATTGGATATAGAAAGTAATTCAAATATTATTGGCAAGATAAATTTATTTTACTTTAAGTTCCGGGATACATGTGCAGAACGTGCAGGTTTGTTACATAGGTATACGTGTGCCATGGGGGTTTGCTGCACCTATTAACCTGTCATCTAGGTTTTAAGCCCTGCATGCATTAGGTAGATAAATTTCTGCAAGAAGTATAATGAGAAGGACAAATTGATGAGGACATCTTCTCTAACAATGAAGAAAGAGTTTTATATATTATTTGGCAATCTCTAGAGTTTCTACATGAGACTCCAAGATGGCATATTGTCCGTCTTTCTATCTCCCTACCTACCTATTTATCCATCTATCTGTCTGCCTGCCTGTCTATCTATCCGTCTTCGTCTCCTCTCCCCACCCCCAACACAAATATGACAGAAATGAATACATTCAGATTATATACATACAGATTCAGTTTCATCTGGTTTGATTTGGTTTGGTAATAATCCATACACTGAGCTAAGTGCTCCAATTTTCTTTTTCTTTTTTCTTTTTCGAGGCTAGCTTGTTCCCCTGTTTTGGAAAATTTCCTCCTTACTGAAACATCACATTACAACCAATATTATACTTTGCCAAATATTTTGTTGTAAATTCTGATGGCCCACTCTTAAGCAATCATTTATATGTGTACTTCTAGTACATAAGACTTCATTGAGTTTTCAGTTTGTGCATTCCATTATCATGAATGTACTGAGAAGCAACTTAATGATTTATTCCTTAACCCAAACACTTAATTTTACTCCTTTGACTTTTACAAAAATATCATTAGTCTTTCAAGAATAGGAAATCTTACAAATCAACACTAAAGAACTTACTCATGTAACCAAATACTACCTGTTCCCCACGAGCCTATGGAAATAAATAAATAAATAAATAAATAAATAAATAAATAGGACTAGTCAGCTGGGCACAGTGACTCACACCTGTAATCACAGCACTTTGGGAGGCTGAGGCAGGAGGATCACTTGAGCCCAGGATTTCGAGACCAATCTGGCAACATAGTGAAACCCCATCTCTACGAAAAATAGAGAAAAAAATAGCCAGGCATGGTGACACGTGCCTGTAATCCCAGGTACTCGGAAGGAAGAGGTGGGAGGATCACCTGAGCCTGAGGAGGTCGAGGCTGCAGTGAGCCGTGATGGTGTCTCTGCATTCCAGCCTGGCGACAAAAAATAAAATGGAGTAGTCGATTTAAAAAAAAAAAAAAAAAAAAAAGGACCCAGAGACTCCAAGAGTTCTATTTCACCAATGATACCATAGCTTCTTAATCTACTCATGTACATGTGACTGTGCTTATATAAATTTGAATTTTAAAATTGCTTGTAGACAAATTAAGATAGAAAAAGAAATAAGATATCACATTAATGAATGGGTATTCATAAATTTATATATAAACTTCATATTGTATATTCCAAAGGGATCTGGAAATTTTTATATTTTTATGGGAGTTAGGAAGATTCTTTCTTTACCACTTTCATTACATTATTTCATTAAGGAATCTGATGAAAGATATGGATACTTGCCTTAGAAAAAATTTCACATAAACAATGTCAAATTGTGGAATTCCTGAAGCTCATTCACAGGCCTCCCTGGAGTCTTTGATTTCAGTGTTATGTCAGTTAACATGTATTAAATTCCTGTCATATGCTAAGCAATTTTAAGAAGGCTTGAAAAGTTTGGGCACAAAAATGATATGTTCTAGATGATAAAGATAAAGTATGTGCACCTCATTTCACTGATGAGTAGTGAGTGGACACCTTTTAAAAGCCTATGACAGTGCCTGTACATAAAAAGAGATTAATAAATGTTAACCATCCTCTCTCCTCTTAAAAAAAAAAAAAAAAAATCTAGTGAGGGAGATACACATTTAAGCAATTATATTCAAAAAATAGATGAGACAGATAAAGAGAAAATAGCACATAATTACACAGTACTTACAATTTCATAGTCCCTTTTATATTGGACAACTTTATAACCCCTTTTGTATATTTACTCATCTGAATCTCAGGTCATTATTAGTCAGGTACTGTTATTCCCATTTTATAGATGAAAATATCAAGGACTAGAGAGGTAATGAAACTTGCTCAAGATTGCACAAGTATTGGCAGAACCAGGACTAAAAGCCAGGTAATGTGTTCCAAGAATCCATGTGCTTAACCGTCACATTTGCTATCTCATAAAAATACAACAAAGGCCAGGCACGGTGGCTCACGCCTGTAATCCGAGCACTTTGGGAGGCCGAGGCAGGTGGATCACGAGGTCAGGAGATCGAGACCATCCTGGCTAACACGATGAAACATCATCTCTACTAAAAATACAAAAAATTAGCTGGGAGTGGTGGAGGGTGCCTGTAGTCCCAGCTGCTTGGGAGGCTGAGGCAGGAGAATGGCATGAGCTGGGGAGGCGGAGCTTGCAGTGAGCCAAGATAGCACCACTGCACTCCAGCCTGGGTGAGAGAGCCAGACTCTATCTCAAAAAAAAAAAAAAAAAAAAAAAAAAAAAAACACAGAAATGTCTCAAGCAATATGGAATGGCAAGATGAAAGAGCAATTACTTTTGTTGGTAGTCTAGGAAAAGTCTCAGAGAAGCACATCAAATTTGTGTTAGGCATTGAAAGAGTAGAGGAGACATATAGTACCTAGGGTGGGATGTCTTATTAAATATAAATATGACTTAACATACTTAGTGTAATATTAATAAAGTTCTATGTCTCCTAATGAAAGAATAAAACATAATTATTGAGTTACTCATGAACAAGAAATCCCAAATACATGAAACATCCTGTGGACCTAGCAAACCTGCAAAACCATTTTCCTGAGGCTAAACTGTTTTCAGAAATATGTTAGCTCTTAAAAACAGGTCTATAACAACAAATCCCAAATATTGTGTATCTGTGAGGTACAATTATTCTGTTACTCACATATAACTGATTTGTACTTTTGTTATTTCTCAAAGAATTGGCAAAGGGTGCCGCAACGTAAGTGGATGAAAGCCATTATAATGGGTGAAATAAAATCCGGTGGCTAAGAAAGAACAGATTTCTAAAGGGGAAAATATTATTCAGTTCCTAGTTTTAAAAAATGGGATATAGAATATTATAGGTGGATTATGGGATATTGTCACTGGAATGTACCACTTTCACCTGGAGCCACACTATTTGGTGTCATTAGTAGCTGCTTATTCTCGCCATTTTCCCCACCCCATTTCTTTCCCACTGCTACCCCACCCTGCCATATCCTGCACAGAGACAATCCATTCTTTGATTCTTCTTTGGACAATAAGAGTAATTTTTACATGTCAGCACTCGTAAATCCACCCTATGACCATAGTAGGTTGTTTTTTGGGGGGGTTTCTGTTTGCTTTTTTGAGATAGTGTCTTGCTCTGTCACTCAGGCTGAATTGCAGTGATGTGATCTTGGCTCACTGCAGCCTCAACTCCCTGGACTCAAAATTCTCCTGCCTCAGCCCCCTAAGTAGCTGTGACCACAGGCATGCACCACCACACCTGGCTAATTTTTGTATTTTTTGTAGAGATAGGGTCTCACTGTGTTGTCCAGGCTGGTCTCAACCTCCTGGGCTTAAGCAATCCTCCTGCCTTGGCTTCCCAAAGTTCTGGGATTACAGGCATGAGCTACTGCTCCTGGCCATAGGTACTTCTGGAAAGAGTTGTTCTACCCCACCAGACTAATGACTCCTCCAGGACAGGTATGTATAATCCTTTTCCCATTTTATAATCTCAGAATTTAATGCTGTTAATACATGTGTGCCAAAATGATTGATTATAAAAGGGAAAATAAATGAATATATGATCATCACAGATTCACTATGAGGGTGAATCAACAGTGGGATCCATATTTGTAAAATAAAACAATGAAAAAATAAGAGGTTAGAAAGAAAGGAAATTTGGCTAGATATGTTAATCACAGATGTGGACATTAAAATGTAGTCTAAGTCATCTTATGACAAAATAGGTACTGATATATGACAGTTTATATTTTTAAAAAGCAAATGTTTATTTAATTTCAAGGTTAACATTAGTGATGTTATGCTAAAATGTGTGTGTTCCTAGTAATAATTGCATTACTAACATCTATCTAGATGAGAGCTCTCTACTATAATCAATAGAAATGTCATTGGCCTCCCCTCCTCTCTTCACCTCTCATTCTGCCATTTCTCCCTAGAGCACTATTAAATGTAAATTTCCCAAATTCTTTTCTGTGACTTTTATGGCCTGAAAGTAAGTAATCTGATTGGTGATGAAAATTCAGAACAACATAGCCCAAGTACCCTGGGAATCACAGTTCTGCCAAGCACTTATGAACTAAGAAAAATATACTCTCTTGCACATGTGGAATGTCAGAGGAGGAACTGTGCGGCTCACTCAGCTCACTAGGTGTTAGAACAACAGTGCAAGGGTATCCAGTGGTGACATACATAAAGACATGGCCTCCCTGGGAGCTCCAGTGATTTAGAAATGAAATCTTAGACTGCCCTGTGAAAGTTGAAGATCCTGTTGCTTTACAAAGGAATGGATATTGCATAACTTGAAGATAAAGAGAGCAAACCCACTGATAATACTGCCATGGTTAAGTGTTCTTACTGAAAACTTCTATCAACACTATGGCTCTAAAGAGTTCATTCCGGCAGCCAAGAACAGGGAAATGCCAGCTGAGACCCCAACTACTCCAAATGCTCATTAAATAGATTTTACTTTTTTCGGTGATGGTTGTTTGAAAATAGGAGTGTTTATGAGAAGCGCAAGCTCTCTTTAAAGAAAAAGTAGAAAATGACAACAGAACAAGCTCACATTGTAAAATGCACTATGCAAAGAGAAAAACAAACAAATACACACGCATGTGGCATTCTTTGTCATCTCTGACATCTTCAACTTCCGCGTTTCCCATTGGTTGCAATCAGAGCTGGTGTTTAGAATAATGACTGCTAGGTTCTGTAAGATTCTCAACATTACAGATATATTTCATTATGCAACCCTTTAGTATTCTAAAAGTGGAAGGAGAAATGAACTAAGCCATTTTAAGATAGATTTAAATTACAAAGATAGAAAAGCAGAGAGATTTTTATTCATTCTGAGCTAACCAGGAAAATCAATTAACTAAAATTCCTGATTGCCAGAGCATGCTATGTAATTTGTATGATATTAACTTTGGTTTTACTTACCTTCAATTGTTTATAGCCTGTCAATGAAAATATTTCCTGAACAATGTTCAAGTATTAACATTCATTGATAGAATCAATTCACTGCAGCCTACTCTGTCTGGCTTGCGTAAGGTTGGTGTAGAAAACGAAGCTTCCAAAATCAGGATCCGGACCAGAAGGAAAGCTTTGTATATTATGAGCTAAGAACATTTATTTTTATCAATTTCAGATATGTATATGGTAAGACTTAGAACACATAGAATAAAATTCAGAAAGTAACATGTACCGTGGAAGCTAACACTAAGCATTAGAAAATTTGATCTTAATTAGATTTATTTTAAAGGGTATGCCATATAAAATCTATCATTAATATTATAATAATTTAATATTTAATTTAAATTCATACTTTAATTTACTCCCACTTTCTTCTGGCTTTCTGTTTCTCAATTTTATATTTCTTTTTGAGCCTATAATAAAACATAAACCTGGTCTCAGCTCAGTTTAATATTTTGAGATGTCGAATATTTAATTTCACAAAACATACTTTTTCCACTCCTCAAATGCATTCCTTTTTTGCTTTTTAGATTGCACATATACTGTGTTTTGTATTATTGGTAATGGTAAATACTTTCCTGTAATGCCTTTTAAATATTTTGCTCAGTAAGTAATAAACAAGAACTTCAATTCATTTGCCTGGCATTAAAATGAGACTTTGCTCCCTTATTGAGGAAGTACAAGTTTTGGATTTCGTTTACAAATGGCATATATGGACTGCTTTCCCCAACATTTAGTAGGGTTTTCAATGACAGGCTAATAAAATGTATCTTAAAACATTTGGGTAAAATTGTAATCCTATAAAGAATAAATACTTTAAAAAAAATCCAGCCAATACTTACCAAATGAAGTTATATACTGTACAAGAGAATTTTTAAGTAGGAAGAAACTTTAGTGATCATTTATTCTAGTTTCTTGTTCTAATTAACATACTTTTTAAAAACCTCTTTCTACAAAATTGAAGAATAAAAAATTGCTAGCACATTTTCAGTATTTTTTTCTTTTCATTATTAGAAAAAGTGTTTTGTAATACATAATTATTTCAGAAAAATTGAAAAAATAAAATAATAATGCCCAAAGTGTCTATTATTAAATATATTACATAAGAGTTACATATTTTTCTGCCTTTATTTACCTTTACATATACATTGTTATTTTATAAATTGGGATCTGAAGCTAGTTTTGTTTCCTATTTTTTTTCACTAAATTTAGAGTGTGAAAGTTACAAGTCACTAAATACTTTTCGAAAGACAATTTAATTTCTATGAAGTTTATAATAAATGTAATACAACAAATACAGTGTTAAAAAGGTTTGAGTTGGAGTTTTGTAATTAATTTACAGCAATAAATTAACAAAGTAGCAAACAAAATATTATAGAACATATGCCTTTGCATCAGAACTTTTTTGTTCCTGATTGAGTATACATCAGTTTAAGACATTTCAGTCTTCTCAATGTATTGCTCAAAAGCGAATTCTTTGAATGATGTTTATAAATAGGCTTTTTTTATATGTACTTTACATCTCTCTCTGATTTAAATAGTCCCTTTTCCCCTCACAACAAATATACCAAAATATAGTCTCCAGTTAAACATTAATAATTAATTTAATACACTCAGAATGTCATAACACTTAATGAGTAGAATACTTTGGCTTTAGAAACAGCCTTTGGAGATAAATGCAGAAAGGAAAATAAACATAATGTTTACTGAAATTAACTAGAATGGTGAAGGGTCCCCCTCACCAATGCCTTGGATGCATGACTTTGGGAGATATGTTTCAATTCAGCAAAGCAGGTGATCTAGTAATAGTGGCTAATGTGATTAGCACTTGTGAAAATAAGGTCATAAAGCACAATTTCTAAGATCTTTTAGAAATAACTTGTAGGTGGTTAGAAATTCAAAGCCATTCTTGAGTCTGGAGATACGAAACAGTTTATTAAACAGATATTAAAGTACTTCTAAAACTTTAAGAAATAAAGACACTTTTCTATCAGTCTCATCTGGTATTAAGGCTAATGTTATGTATCCATGTTACCTCTTGGCATATTGGGGTCAATTCCCAGTTATCTATCCAAAATAGTAATATACTGGATCAAACCCAATATCTTTCCTGTTCTGAATTCTCTCTCTGATAACAGCGGTAGTTTATAAAAGAGCTGTAGTCACTCTTAATGCCTTAGAGAAAGAATATACTTCCAAAACAAAAATCAATGGGAACTTTGAATCACTCAAGAGTATCATTTTAGCCAGTTTTTTCCAACATCTTCCTAAGCACCATCCTCTACCAGTTCTGCTAAAAGTAGAAACATTGATTGATGTGTTTTATCTCCTTCCCCCTCCACTGCCATCCTCTAGCAGAGATTCTAGAAAGAGAAGAAATGCCCTAAAGACAGGTTGCTTGAGGAAAATGGAGAAGTCAAAGATTTGAATTATATCCACAAACTGGATAATCAATCTCTAAAGTATTGAAAGTTGACTGTACACAAAAAGTGCAGTAGATAAATATTACAGTTTGTAAGTTGAAGCATGTAAAATATTGAAGGGAATGGGTGGAATCTTTGATGTTACATGTGATAAACCTTGGAACCAATAAGGTTTTTTTTAATTATTTTTTTATTTTTTATTTATTTATTTTTTAAGTTTTAAAGGTTTGAACCATGAAGTTTTAAATGGGAATTTCAAAAATTTGCAAGTTAAGCATCCCCGATGACTTGTTTTAGAACTTCAAATTTCCACATATGCACTCATTAAAAGCAGAGATGATTAATCAATTGTCTCAAGTGCATGCATACATGCCTTCCATGTACATGACTAAACTAAAAATGGGAGTGAAGGTTGAGAACTCAGTCTGTGCACCACATGAGTAAATCACCATCCAAGCATCCAAGCATAAATTTGCCTGTTGTTGCTGATCAGTGCTTGAATTCATAGTAAAATGACCCACACTGATCATTTAACAAGGTGGTTTTTTAGGCATATATATATATATATGTGTGTGTGTATACATTTGCCTGTTGGTGCCGATCAGTGCTTGAATTCATAGTAAAATGACCCACACTGACCATTCATAGTAAAATGACCCACACTGACCATTAACAAGGTGGTTTTTAGGCATATATATGTGTGTGTGTGTGTGTGTGTGTGTGTGTGTGTGTGTGTGTGTGTATGAGAGAGAGAGAATCAGCTTCATCATGGTATAGTTTACACAATTCTCTCTTTAGTTTCCTGAAAAAGAATCTGAAGTTTCTAATGTGAACTTTCATTGTTTTTGTCTTCTACAAAGATGTATTGTCAACTATAGAGAAAAGTGAACAACCAAAAGTTGTCATAAAAATTAAATTGAAAATAAAGGAATCTGAAATAATTATTAATAAATTTCCCTTTTTCAAGTAAATATACTTCAAAATTTAAGTAGGAAAAATAATGACTATTTTTTTCAAAGAAAAAGTAAAGGAAACAAATACACAAATAGGTAAATTTTAAAGACGTTCTTACTCAACATCCATTAAACAAATATTTTATTGTGCCAGGAACTAGATTCTCATTTTCAATCCTCAAAATTTGCAGTGGAACAGAGCAAAAAGAACAAAATTACCCATTTTTGTATGTATCTACTTTGTGTAAAGCAGTATAGTAGGTACTTTCCAAAGAAAATGATGAAGGAAGGGATAAAAAGAAATACATCAGGACTGTGGTTATAGCCCTCAAGCAGATCTAATCTAATTGGAGAATTGAGTAGGCAACTGATAGTGTAAACAAAACAGATAAAGCAGATTAATGAGTTCTAATGTAATATGTTAGTACTCTGCTTCTTATTAGTCTCCTACTTAATCTACTATTTGAAGTAATAATGTAGTATAGTAGGAAGAACGTTACTCTGTGGTTTCCATTCCTGGCTCTGTTACTAACATTTGGGCTGACCATGGGCAAATGACTTAATAACAGGAATAGCTACCATTGATTTGATTGCCTGGGTGCTTTGCATGCATTGTTTTGTTCAATCCTCACGTCAACCATATGGTATCATTCTGACTATAAAAGTGACTGTAAGTCCAGTTTGTTAGAGATAGTCCTGCTTTTGCCCTATTGTCCAAGTACACTTGTTACCAGTGTCAGTGTCTCCTTTTACCCTCAAGAGTGCTCCAGTTTGGATGATATAATAAATTTTCTCCATTTGATGAGAAACTTGATAATTGCAATCTAACAAGTAGTAGAAACAGATTTGATCCAAGGCTGTTGATGCCTAAAGCCCATATACATAGCCACTCTATATATGTTCATTCTGGTTAAATAGTTGCTGCGCTTCCTTGTATATACATAAAATGAAGCCTTTAAAGTAAATGATCTCCAGGATTCCTTCCATCTCTGAACCCTAGGACTCCAAGTACAGACAGACACATATGTGTGGGCTCATGATACTGGGATATAAACTTTACATCAGGCTTAGCGAACAGAATTAGGAAACAATGATGAAAAGAAGGCTAGACAGAATGGGACATTTAACACATTATAGAATTCATAATACAGGTGCGGCTCTGAATACTTAACAGAAAGAAACTAGCATCCCCGGGCAATGTGAATGAGAGATGACCCTGGACTGTTAGTTAAGCGAAGCTGTATCTTGGTGTGTGAATGACACGTTAAGAACATGGTATAATGTGGCATCCTGGTTCTTGTATTTTGAAAATACTTGAATATTGTTTAGAGTCATTTGCATCTATTTAAAACAAGACTAATTGTATTAAAACAAGTCTAGTTGCGTGTATTTAAAACAAGTCTAGTCGAGTGAAGTCTTCATTCAAATTCTCTTTTTGCTGAATATTATATGGCCTACAAAGAGTTGTTTGGCTTTGCTGTGATTTTAAGGTGCACTTCAGATTTATATTCTCCCCAGATGATTATATTTTCCTGGGGAATGTTGATGCATTCCCGCCAGCTTTGACTTCTCATATTCCCTTCTTTACCCTCATCTTATTGGATGTCTGCCATCAATATTAAATTGTCTTAATCCTGATTTTTCTACCTATTGCTGCTTTTGCAGTTGGCACTGATTCTTATGCCCCTTGAAAGGTACTTGTGTGGCAAAAGATTGAAAAAAAAATTGGCAGTTGTTGTCAGGGTTAATGTAGAAAAATAAATCTCTTATATTGCCAGTTTGGATTTACTTTTCATTTTTAATGGCCCCAACAGATGTTGGAGGAATCCTCTACTTCCTGCACACTTCCATTTTTACAGCTGGTACTGCTTGACTGGTTCTTGACTTTGGGGGAGCAGTTCCTGGGTGTTTACACAGTGATTTACAGGCACCCTCTCACTATAGACTATGACCATCCTCTTGTGTCTTTTTTCCCTTGCGATTTTTCTTGAAACTGATGTAACTCTCAATGCAGCACCTCACAAAGTTTTTCTAACCCAGTGTTTCCTGAGCAATAGATTCTTTCCCTACTGTGCAGCATTCTGAAATGTGTGGTATGTTAGATTTTTTAAAAAAAGCATAAAGGGGAGGAGGTACAAATAAGAGGTGATTTTCAAACTTAGCAAATCAGGCAATCTATCCTTTTTGATATCTCTCTTTGTATCTTTTTCTTATGTTTTCCCAAAGTATTCATCACAATTTTCATCTAGGTGGTTCACTTCTCTTGATGCTTTTGCTTTTTCCTAAAACCACCCTCCCTTCTTTCCTTTCTTGCTTCTTTCCTTCCTTCCTTCCTTCCTTTCCTTCCTTCCTCCCTCCCTTTCCTTCCTTCCTCCCTCCCTCCTCCCTTCCTTTCTTTCTTCCTCCCTTCCTTCCACCAGCCTCAGTGTCACTAGCTTCCAAAAACTGTACTAATATCCTAAGGCTACTGTAACAAAGTACCACACAAACAGGAGGCTTAAAACAACAGTAACCTCTTGTCTCACTGTTTTGGAGGCTAGACATCTGAAATCAAGGTGTCTTCAGGGCACGCTCCCACTGAAACCTGGAGGAATCATGCCTTGCCTCTCTGGTTTCTGGTGGACAGCTGCCAATCTTTGACAGTCCTTGGTGTGCAGCTGGATCATCCAAGCCTCTGCCTTTGCTGTCACATGGTGTTCTCCTTGTGTGTCTTCACATTCTCTGTGCATGTATGTCTCAGAGTCCAAATTTCCCTTTTGGTAAGGACACCAATCATATTGAATTAGGGTCCCCTTAATGACCTCATTTTAACTTGATTAGCTCTGCAAAGACCCTGTATCCAAATCCGGTCACCTTCTGAGGTACTGGGGGTTAGGACTTTAACATATCTTTTCTTGAGGGGGACACAATTCAACCCATAACACCAACTAAGAACAGAATTTTCCTCACACTTGCTTCCGAAAGAAATGTTGACAGCTTTTAGCAATTGGGAAGATCCCGTGAGGCTGAAAGTGCCATCGCCGGCTGCTGTCTTGTCTGCGACTTTTCTGTGCTGTTCACTTGCTCTCTTGGTTTGAGAGTTCCCGTAGCAGAAAAGGCAGAGTCAGACACAAAACTCTCATAAAAAGCATTTGCTTAAGTGACAGATTCGAACCACAGCCTTTCAAGAAGCTCTTTAGTGAACTGTATAAAATTTGCTTGGTAAACATCCTGACTTGAGAAAAGAAAAACTATCAAGCATTGTGAGAAAGAAAATTATCAAGTACCAGTAACACTAGCCATAGTTTTATTTTCTTCCCAAATTCTTACGTAGACGTGTGTCAAGGTTGCAGAGGATACCAAAAAAGCTTATCAACCCTCAACTGTGATGCCCTGTTTCAGTAATTAATAAAGCCATTTAAAAAGTCTTTTAAATTATACTAGGGATAGGAAAAAAACACATTAGAAATGACATTTCAGAACTATTGCACAATTTGCCTAAGAAGGCTTCAAAGTTTTCTTCTAATAACAAATAATGTATAATTGTCATTGTCACTTCTATTGGAAAATGGAGGAAAATAGAACACTTTTCTCAAGCAGATTTCTTGGCTCACTTATATAAGGTTAGCAAGGCAATACTTTTATTTGAATGTATCTTTAAGAATTAGAAATAGCCATGAATATTCTTGATTACTAATAAAATTGTTTTAATGTCAAAAGAATTATATTTACAAATCCTCTATTGTTAATAATGCTGCTATAAACCTATGTGGAATCCAAATCGTCTCTCTCGGAAGTGCTTTACTGAAAGTAATTATGCCAAATATGGAAAGTATACACAATAATTTGTATAACATTCTCGATATTAAGCCAGATCCTCGCAGTTCTCAAACAATTCTTCAGTATGTTAATTTGATTTAAATTTTTAAAAAGTTGATTCAGGAAACTGTAGAAAAACAAAATAGTTAAGCCACTTGTTCAGTCAAAACCAGTAATTATGTGCCTAAAGTATTTTGTCTCCTAATTCATTTGCTTTGACATCACATAGACCTAGTCTTATATATGGTAGCTTATACTAGACCATAAAAGGTGTTACGCAGTGAAATACTAAACAAGTCACATTGGACAAATCTGATAAAATCAATATTCTAGGGGCAGGATTTACAAGATGGGGTCTTAGAGTCTATGATGAAATATTTACAGCAATAAAGAAACAGGTATTGGAGAGAAAACTAAAATTGACAGTCACCTGCATGATCTTCTGGGGCCACCCTGGAAAGTCCTTGCCATCCTCCTCAGACAAGAGAAAAGTCATCATTAGGCTCCCGAGGGTAATTCAACCTTGCAGATGACTATTCCTCTACTTGGAAATAGTTTGACTATACGTAAGTGAAAAAGACTCTTAAGAATTTTATTTTAAAATTTTATTTTAAAAATCTCAGGACATTTAAACGTATGCCTGTTGATTTTTTTTTTCTTTTCGTTGATTTTTCATGGAGTTGATGGAGATAAAAAGATCAGCCTGGCAGCTTGCTGGCATGGAACTGGAGTGTTTAGGGTTTGTTTTGCCTTTTTGCAAGATTGGTCCACAAGAACTTTAAAAGGAGAAAAAGACGATGCAAATTAAATACGTTAGAAACGTATGTCCCATCTGTTTTTATTTCATTTTTAGAATAAGGTTTTCATACCTTCTTTTATTTTTATATTCTATGATACCACACTATAATGTTGGCCACCTCGGAGACTAACTAAATTAGCTATCCTGACCATATGGAAAGGAAAAGCTTTACCAGCTAAAGAAATAAATTTAACTCAGGCAAAAAGGCCTATGTGTTTTAGAGTTAAAAAAAAAAAAAAATGTTGCTAAGTACATAGTAGGGGAATGTAACCCACCTGCATAAGTAAAATTTGAAAAGAGATTTGGATATTCAAAATAGCTGTCTCTTTTCTTGGCGTCATTCAGGAATCACCCATATTTGAAGTGTCCTTCTGTTGTGCTATCATCTGGATGTATTTGTAAGTAAACTCACAATCAGAGACATGAAGGCTCCTTGAAAGGCCATCTATTTCTGCCTCTGCCTCTGAGAAAAATTAATCCTAACCTGTCCGGGGATACCTTACCTTACCCCATTATGGGGGTTGGGGGGAGGAAAAAAGCTTCAGTGCATTCAGAGAAAAAAACTTTTCCCCTAATATCTTTACTTTGGAACACTGAATAAGACATTCCTTTATAGAAAGATACTTTGTTTCATTCTACAAAAGCCCATACTGTCAAGCACTTGATAGAAGCCCTAGGCTACCATTTTATTTTACCTAGAGAGAAGCTTCTCATAAATTCACCATGTAAAATTGATGACTGCTTCAGTAATCTACCAATCTTAGGTTTTTATATAAACCACAGTGAGGGAATAGAGCTTGCAGAAGTCAAGCATATGTTTTGTAGCCACGCAAAGAGTAAAGGAGTGTCTGCCTGATCTAGGACCACTTTTGAGTTGACACATGCAGTTATTTACAATGATTGAGAACGTTGTAGTTCATGTACAACTCATGAAGACAAGATAAATAGATGGGTAGAGAAGCTTAAACTAAAAAAAGGTCAACCGAAGTGTTTTCTGTCACTTGACTGTAACTCTCAGCACAGGACCACTCAACTTTTAGAGTGCTGAAGTTAAAATTCTCTTTATTTCAACAGAATAATAGCTAAACTTATAAGTGAAGGCATATGTTTTGAGAATTTTTCTGTATACATTGGAAAGCCTTTTTTTCTGGACACTCTTACCAGCAGGCATTTCACCAAAGTTCATACCAACTACTAAAATTACCTGAATGTATTCAAGATGTGTCTCCATATATTTTTTCTGTACTAAGGAAGGTGGAATTATAGTAGTAATTCCTTTTCCCAAATCATGGGACACTCAGTGTAACCATTATCTAGCCTGTAATATAACTTTCCAACTCTCAGATATCAAGCTAGTAGGATGGCTTTGAAGTACCATATTGTTCTCCGAAACTAAAGCCGTTTGTTTGTATTAGATGAAACAAACTAATCAAGCAAAAGTATTTTTTCTTTAGAAAATGTAGATGTCTTAGATAAACATTGATCTAGATTTTTTAGGTTCTTTGATTCATATCTGTATTAATATTAAGATAACCAGAAGAGACAGAACTATAAGACCAGTTAAAAGGCCATCTCAGACTCTAGCAGTTGTGTTTGATAGTGGAACACAGTGTTGATGCTCTGAACTACATAAATAAATACTTCCTCTCTGTCGTTTCTTAGGACATCTTAACTTTCATATTCAACTCTAATCATTGTCATAGTCCAGTTTATGGCCAAGCATAAAGAATGAATAGTTTCCTTAAAACCTACATGATGTAATTCACATTATCAATAGAGGGAGGAAACGCAGATGAATTCCACTTGAGGTATATTACAGCCTGATACCACTCAGCCACCAACACAGAGCTGATATATCATTTGTGTATTCTCAGGTTGGATGTTATAAACTAGACAAAAATGGCCATGGGTTTTTCCAAGGAAAAAAATGTTAAAAATCTAAATAGATATGGCCAAATATGCAATTTTCCACTATGAGTTAGTAAAATGAGCCATATATCAAAAAATAGAATTTTCTTTAATTTAGAGCTTGTTTTGTAGTTAAGGAATACAATTTTTGCAAATGCCAGTGGGGGGAAAAAACGAGAAAGCACAACTTGTCTTGGATTAAAAGGAGAAAAATCAATGCCTACTGAAGACTCATGCTTGAGAAAGTAACATGTAAATAAATACTAGGCTCTTCAGGTAAAGCAAAATTCAAAAATATTAGTGAGAAATAGACTGAAGTTAGAATACCTTTTTTCACTCACATAATAAAGGGCCAACAGCACACACATGTACACATACAATGCTAGAGTGTCTACTTCTGTGCATATTTATCTTCAAAATGGCCAGCTTATAATATTGTATAAAGGTTACCTGTTTCACAGTACAAATATACACAACAGAGTACAAGCATGCACAACAACCTCACTACTTTGCCATGTAATATTTTACCACAAATAGTTATAAAACATTAATTCCTTTTTGGTTTCTTTTGTTGTTGTTGTTGGTTGTTTATTTTTTTTTTGGTGGGAACATGGATGGAGCTGGGGGCCATTATCCTTAGCAAACTAATGCAGGAACAGAAAACCAAATACTGCATGTTCTCACTTTTAAGTGGGAGCTAAGTGATAAGAACTCATGGATACAAAGAGAAACAACAGACACTGAGGCCTACTTGAGGGTGGAGGCTGGGAGGAGGGAAAGGAGAAAAAATAACTATTGGGTACTAGGCTTAGTACCTGGATGATGAAATAATCTGTACAACAAACTGCCGTGACACAAGTTTACTTGTGTAACAAACTTGCACATGCACCCCTGAACCTAAACTAAAAGTTAAAAAAATCATTAATTCCTAGGGAAAAAAGATGAAAAAGAGTTCAGATAGTGATTGCACATTTTGTAATGGTGGAAGTTCCTTTTGTAAAGGAATTTAGGAACATTGATGAATGTTGAATGAAAGTAATTTTTATCTGATGTCCTGATACCACTGATAATAAGTGACAATGATTTTGAAAATTAAACAGAATGTAAGAGTCCCAACTCAGGAATCTCCTTCACATTTGTCATTATATCTTATCTTTGATGAGTGAACTCTTTAAAAAAATAAAGATTAGCTGCCAATAATACTGATAATATAAATACCAATTATTGAGCACCCATTGTGAGCCAGGCCCTGTTGTATACTCTTTTCAATTATTAGTCAACAGATTCACAAAATGAATTGGCATTGTATTGACATTTTACAGATGAAGAAACAGATACACAGAGCAGGTAGAGAACTTGCCTATGCACATGTAGCTAGTCCACTGTTAATTACCAGGTATGAACCAGGCCATAGAGATGAAAATGAATAGAATGTATTATTGAATCTTCCCAAAATAGAAAAAAAAAAACACAGCTACTGATCTTTATTACAAAAAGTGGGAAAAAACAGAGTTCTTAACTGCTACTCCAGAACCCTTGTCAGTACCCTTATCTGAAGGTGAAAGAATACACATACACACACACGCATGCAAGCACACACACACGCATGGACGCACATACACATACACGCATGCGTGCACATACACATACACGCATGCCTGCACACACACACACACACACGCATGCATGCACATACACACACAAGCAAATGATATTTAGAAGATCTCTTAAACAGGCCCACTGAAATGCCTCAAAGACTACCTAATGCTTTCCCTTTTCTTTCTAAAATGTTATTAACTCATATCAACACTACTAAATACTGCTAATATTCCACTTTTTGGTATGCCTATGTTACTGTGCACCTGACAGTTAAGTGAGGTACTTAAAAAGAAAACTATTTGTTTCCAAAATTATTCACGTTATTTGTAATTAATATACAAATACATCATTTAATTAAATATTACATGAACTTATGAAATAACAGTGTTCAAAGAAGCTGTCATTTGTATGAAAACCAAAGGTGAATGCTTTGCAAGACTTGATAAATAAGTTGCTAAAAGAATTTTTCCCAAATTAGATATGAGCAAGACAACTGTGAAAAGCTGCAAAAGAAATCTTAAAAATCCAGAAGGATTCTGTACTTGGTTTACTTTGTATGTATCACTGAATTGGCACTCTAACGAAATCAAAAGTAGAAATTATGTGATACACTACAGATGGGTTTATGGGAGAGAGACAGCACAAACCCCCAAACTTGGGCCTTCAGACAAAGAAAGGCTTTGGCCCTACATAAGAGTGTTGCCAACTAAATATGTATTTGCTCTAAACTTAATAGGCTTAGGGAGGCATCGTGTATGTATAAACTATACATACATACATACATATGTGTTTATACATACACAATGCCTATAATGATTCTTCACTTAATTTTTCAAATTTCTCATCAAGTATTGGTCTTAATTGTTCCTTTTAAGAGTGCTTCTGTAAGTATTAAATCTAACTTATATATTCCATTAATTTGTAATTTAATTGCGTGTCCAATGTACAGCAGTAACAATCAGAATCTTCACAAAGGCCAGTGCCATTTTGTAAAATCTTTTTAAAGGATTAATTCAGTTATGTTATAATTAAGTATAAACATCGATATGAATACTTTCAAGTCTCCAGTTCATATTACTATATGTCAAGTGGAGAATTAATTTTTTTTTAATTTGGTAAACTAGTAGTTTAGATAGCTTCAGTGTAGGTAGTCCCTAAAAATATCTGGGTAGACTGTGAAATTGTCTCATATGCCTTGATAATTTCAGTTTTTAAAAGGAGTAGCTTAATATTTCTATTTTCTGTTCTTTTACTCAGACATTATTATTATTATTATTATTATTATTATTTTTTATTATTATTATTTTACAAATTGTATTTAGTATGTGTTTTTGAAACACAAAACTGGCATGCTGGTGTATCTGGTGAATTTACTATTAAGCCCAGGTCTGCACCAGATGGGCAGGTGAAAATGTGATTATGAGGTGTGTGGCGTTATATCCATCTCTGTAATACTTGACTCTCCAGGTGACTTGTACGTCTGTTACATTCATGAATTCACTTTACGGTTATTCTTACAGATACTGAAAGAAGCAACCTTACACCACGCAAGGTCTATGGAAAACAAAAACTTCCCTCCTTTAACACAATCACAATAAATGTTTCATAACAACCAGATAAATAGAAACATGTCAGCATTTTCCCCGGCAGGTTCAGAAGTTTGATGCTGAAATACTGGTTTGCACATCTAGACCAAGACTAAAGTGAGTTTGCTATTTCAAAGGAAAATGCAAATTGAGGCTTAGGCTGCACCTTTCTGTATCACTGTTTTGGTAAGTCCACATGGGGCAGACAAAGCCAAACACCAGCTAGGTGGTAGAATTCCCCAAATATTCATCTGTGCTGAAACCTTCAAAAGTCAGGTGCCTGGAGAGCTCATTTAATGAAAGGGTTATCTCTGCCAACCAGTCAGTAGTTGATATTTTTTTCACCAGAAGTTGTGAAATATTATTTATGTATGTAGAAGACAGGGGCTTCCTGCCGTTGTTGTTTACTTGTGTGTTTGGGCAAGTTTCCTCCTTTCCAGAAAGCAAGTTTTCCATAAAAGCAACTTTGCAATGGCCCTACTCCTTTTGTTTGATACCCCAGGCAAAAAGCTTTTCATGGTATTGAAATAATTTTCATTTAAAAACAGGGAGCTCAGATGAACCAGTCCTTTATTAAAAAAAAAAAAAAAAGCAGTAAGGTATCCTTGGTTAACTTTTTAGTTATTTAAAAGTAGCTTGTTGAAGATTGAATATTTCTATGTTTCACTAGAGCCTTTAAATATAAAAGAGATATGAGACTATATCTGACACCATCAGGCATATTATATTAAAATTTATGAACAACTTCATCAAAAACCACTTTCCCTCTCCTGCATAGAGACAGATTTGCTCTGACATAAACGTTACATGGCTGGTTGCAGCCTCAGATTAATGCGAAGACCCTGGCGATTCCTTTTAGACGTTATTTTATGAAATAATACCTGTCAGCTGCTGCCTGATCCTAGAAAAGGGGGCAGGTTTTCCAGGTCATCTTACCATCTGTCAGCTAAAGCTCATCTGTCCCTCCACATTACCACCTGATCTGTGCTAACAGGCCTCACGGGGAGGCCTGCTTCATTGGCCCAGTGGGAACCAGGGAAAGAGACTGTGAGAGGACATCACCTGTGATGCTGAGATTTAATTATCGCTGAAGTGATGAAGATGTGCACACAGATTGAAATGCTTTTGAATAAATTCATGGAGCAGGAGATGCTCTGCCCCACTCTCCGCTTCCCCCTCCCTTCCTTTTCTCCCTCTTTAGCCCCAACTCCCAGCCAAGTGTGCTTCCTAGTTCCAACACAAAGCTTGCAGATCCCCCCACCGTGGATATTTCCAAGTACACCCTTGGAAAACACATGCACACACACACACACACACACACACACACACACACGTGCAAAGAGAGAAATACACTTGCTAAGGTACCAACCCAAAGGGAGGGAACAATCCTTGTACTCCGGGGAAAATTTGCCTCCGCTTTTTACAGCAACCCTGATTATTTTCTGCCAAAGTTCCTTGTTATCAAATTTTAAAGCCGTATTGATTGTTGCTGGCTTGAAAATCAGATTTCATTGTGGGACCAGCTTTTTACCTAGGGTTTTACTCAGTTTGTGGTAACACCAGCACAGAGTTACCTGGGGTCTCCTGTGGAGAGTTAATGTGAAAGTTCACAGTGGAGGTGGAAGCGCGGTAGAATATAAAAGGTAAAGAAGGGCATAGAAAGTCCCTGGAAACCCCTGTGACTGTGGGCTCCCTCACGTTCTCTGAATCAATACCCTGCACAAAAGTTATTACAGGTCCAGGCCTTTTTGCTTTCAAAGCTGCTTAGGCAGTATGTGGCATTAATTCCCTCCTGTACAAAAATGTAGTTGATAATCACCTGGCTGAGGAAAGGATTTAAGGCTAGAACAGCAGATTTCCTCACAGATTACAGAATAAAACCTAGTTTCTTGGGATAAATCAGGATAATTAACTGTAGTGAAGTATGTTACCCTTGTTGATTCATGTCCATGTGATACCTTTGTTAGATGCAACCACAGAGAAACATTTATGCCATTATGTGAGGCGAGATCTGATTTCTACCAAAGCATGCTATGCAGCACAATACAAGTTTTTATTTTCTTGGTTTTGGGGAGCCTGCCTTCAGTCTGGAGGCCAGTTATTAAGCAAGCACTTAACTCAATTGATTCCTAATTATAAAGTTACAAGAGAAAATGATACACTACCACCAGTCCCCTTTCCTGCCACCTTTTGAGCAAAGTTGCATGGCCCTGAACTGCTCTTGACTCTGTGGCTGTCAGAAGTTACAGAATTTCCTTCCCACCATCACTTGCAGAGCAGGATACCCCTTTCCCTGAGAAGGAAGACTTGGAACAGCCGAAGAAGACCCAAGGGTTTTTTCTAGCACAGTGGTAAACTGAAATTGTATATTTCCTTTTTCTTTTTAAGGGAAATCATGAGCAAACATTGCCTTAATTCACATTTCAAAAATGATTACTACAGATTTCAAGACATTTATCATGTTGTCATTGGAACCTGGGAAAGGTTATTCTTGTGGTACTTCAGGTCACAAAAAAGAACGTATTATTAGAAACTAACACATAGGCTATCCAAGAGATTCCTGAGGGGAAATTAGAGGTCCACTGGCTTTGACAAAAAAAACAAAAAAAGGTGACAGGAATGAATTAGGTAACAGGGACCCACAGAAACTTATCATGCTCTGAATGGTCAGTTTCCAAAGTAACTCCAATCTATTACATGATACAGTTCTTGTGAGAACACACCGGAAATATACTTACAGTCCCTGTTATACTTTTCCAAATACTTACTACTTTTATTCTCTGCAATGGCATGGATTTTTATGAAGCTGCCATTTTCCAATAATTTTAGAGAAATGTTAAATGTAAATAAGTATATAATAGAAAATATTTTAAAAAGAAATATTATCCTGCCAAGTCTTTTGTCATTTGATCCACATCATCAACTTTCAGAAATATATTATTTGTAAAAATATGTATTGAAATTATATCTTCTGAAAGACTTATATGTCATCTATTTTTTCAACAGATGTAGATTTAAAATCCTATACATACAATTGAGTGTTAAATCCTACCTATATGATGTGGCATGTTCAAGTAATGAGTGTATCTCCACAATATATCCCCTTAGCTCACAGCAACACTTACATATATACTCTACTCATAGAAGACAAATGAGATTTATTTTGGATAGCTTTGGATGAGTGTGGCTGTTTCAGCAGCTTGAAGTAATGCTATGAAATCAGCAAGTGAAGTAGAGATGGATGAGGTATTGAAGAAACATAAACAGAAAATTAATGAATCTGCTGAGAGTTTTTTGTTTTGGGTTTTTGGGAGTATAGAAAAAATTCTGTACAGTACATATGTCTCTAATGATATAATCTTGACCTTTGGGTGACTGGTCTAGTTTTCAACAAAAGTCATTATCTTTGGAGAATTGTTCAGTAATTAGAAACTTTTTTTCAAACTAACTCATTGTAGATGTGCATCTCAAGACAGAAATCTCCATAGATAAAAAAAACCTCATAGTCAATCTTAAAAATACAGAGTATATGTTAAGTGTGTGTAAAGGAGAAGAAGAGGGAGAGGAGAAGGATGATTTTCAGATACATCTTAGCTTTTTCCCCTCTTTTATAAAATACATTGTTTACAAAGAGATGATTTAAAGCCTTTTATTCTAAAGGTTTCTGTCCCTGTTTTCAGTTTTGGATTGCTGAAATTGAAGAAAAATAAAGTTAAACCTAGACAGCTCAAAGATCTACCCAGCCAAAGCTAGCTTCCTCTCTCTTTTGCCTAGATTATAAGATTTAGATTATTATAAATTTTATAATCCAGGGACTATCATTGTTAATATTGCATTTTATGCATTAAGTGCTAGGTCTTATATCACCAATAATAATTTGTCCACTAGATAGACATCATTATTAATATTATTAAGAAGAATGCTAGTTATCCATAATTTATCTTTTAGAAAATCTCTCTAGATAATTTACAAGAAATCTTATGTTATTACTTAATTGTTACTTAAGAAATCTAAAGTGAGCTGGGCACGGTGGCTCATGCCTGTAATCCCACCACTTTGGGAGGCGAAGGTGGGTGGATCATGAAGTCAGGAGATCAAGACGATCCTGACCAACATGGTGAAACCCCATCTCTACTAAAAACACAAAATTAGCCAGGCCTGGTGCTGCGCACCTGTATCCCAGCTACTTGGGAGGCTGAGGCAGGAGAATGGCTTGAAGCTTGGAGGCAGAGTTTGCAGTGAGCCGATTGTGCCACTGCACTCCAACCTGGGTGACAGAGCGAGACTCTGTCTAAAAAAAAAAAAAAAAAAAAAAAAAAAAGTGAAATTTGGAGGAAGGACATTAAGGTGTCTTTCACAGGACTGTCTTCCCCGTTGGGACATAATTAAAACAGAAACACTTCAAATTGCTATTACCGTACAGCCGATCTGACTGTAGGAAGAGCAATCTACTGAAAATATCTACTCGGCAAGCAATACTTCTCAGTAAACATTTGTCAGCATTGGCATTCTTATGAGCTGGAGGATGGAACCCCCAACAGGGCCATGTCCATCCTGCTTCTGTGGTTTAGGAAGACAGCAAATATTAAGTGTTTTTCTAAAAACTCCACCCTTTTCTAAAGCAAGGCTATTAATTATTGGTGCATATACACAGTGATCACTAAATAAGCCTACAATACATACAATGACAACTTAATTAGGGCTTTTCAAATGGACTTCTTTGCTCATCCAGTGCGACACACACTTAACTTCCATACAACTTTAAGCTACAACCTCATTACCATTCTGCATAAACTAATTGACTCTTAGCGATGAAAGCAGCCACAAATATGCTAGTCTGTGAAAGAGAGGGAGATGTCCAAGGTGACTCAAGAGCTAGTGACAGCCAAGACAAGAACACAAATGACTCTCTCCCTTGTTGGAAAGTTGTAAAAAAAGAAGACTGCAAAATTGTGGACATAAGAAAGACTAATGAGACCATGGCAAGAATAATTGTTAACAGTGCAAGCATGGTTTCCAAGAGACCTTGACTCTACATTACAGATGCCTTATACCCTCTGTAAGTCACCAACCCAGAGGGATCTTTTAATGGTGATAATGATAAAGAGAAATTCTGTCAACCTCTCACATTCCAAATGGCCACTTTAATGACTAGTACTGTCTTCTACCTGCGGAAAACAACAGAAATTAAAATATGAAGACTTTCCCAGGTTAGGGAAGCCATGTTTCAGGAATAGGCATCTTTTTTTAAATCCTAGTTGAGGACTTATGGTAAAGTACAAAGAATCATCCCATACACTTCAATGTCAGTTGTATTTCACATTTTGAAATGCTTGTTAGAGTTAAGGAGACTGGAGAAATCCTAGGTTACATGATAAAATGAGTTTTCAGAGAGCAATGAGACAGTTTATTGATCAGCTGATTATCTTGCTATGTCTTATGAGGAGGAGAAAAAAGATTCCAAGACTCCAGCCTGTATCATATTTTCAAGAAAAAAATTTGAAAGTGGTCGAAATTTACCATTCAGAGGATACAGTGAAGAAGGCAAGGAGCAAGAAAGATTGCTATGCTTAGTCTGAAAGACACTGTCTTTCTGGATCACCTACTACCACATTTAGCAACCAAACCAAACATAAATAATAAAAATTCAAAGCACATAGATTATAAAACGTGAATAATATAATAATTTTAAAAATGATAGTTGTTTACATTAAAGGAGCTTAAAATTTATTGAGGAACAGTCATTACTATATAAGAATATCAAAGAGGAATTAAATCAGATTGTGGGAGGGGAGCATTTCAGCTTGACTTTAAATAATTGAGTAGATATTCAACAAGCAAGGAGGTGAGAGAGATTTCAAGTGAGAATGAGTGATGTCCCAAGTCAATAGAAATGTTCCAGCCCCTCTTATATTTCTGACCTAGAACTAAGAATTCTCTGGTGAATAAAACAAAGTCGATGACTTCATGGTGTTTGTGGTCTAAATCAAAAGAAGGATACTAAGCAAATAATTAAATATTCACACATTTGCAGAGAGCTGTTCAAGAAGAGTACAAAGTACAATGGGAACACACACATAGTTACCTATAGAAGATGTTCTTGTGATATAAAAAGCAAAGGAACATAATTAGTGTTAAAGGCTGTCTCCAGCAGTATCTAGTCTAGAGGGTGAAGGAAGACTCTCCTAAGGAAGAGACTTTTAGGAAAAGGAGAACAAGTAACCATGCATGAGTGAAAAGAGAATCTAAAAGGTTTACAGATAGAAAAAGTATCTCATTCAGTGGCCCTGTGGCAGGAGAAAGCATGGCATATTTGAAGAGCTAGAAGAGGTCTGGAAAAAGAGAATGAGAAAGACAGAAAGGCATAAGGCCTGTGAGGTAGACAGAAACGTAATACAGGTCCCTGTCAGCTATACTAAACATGTTTCACTTTTATCTATGAACAGTGAGATGCTATTGATGGTTTTGGCAAGCAGAGACAAGGTGAGTTGGTCCTGGTGTGCAGGGTACAGAAGTCAGGTGTACTGGCAGATGAAGATGATGCTAGTCAAAATCAGAACCAGAACTCAAAAATCCCAGGAAACACAAGTACTTCCTTCATACTGCATTAATCGATATTGTGGAACTGTTGGTCTTTGTCACTACACCCTAGACACTGTCAGCTTCTGAGCAAATTTCTCTCTTAAAATTTTACCACAAATCAAGATACTTTACTGATGTTCTCATCAAAAACGAGGTAAAAGGATTCTGTGTTTTTAGTTTTTTTTCTGAGTCTATTTTATTCCGCTGTGTTTGGGAGCAACAGAAAGAAACTAAACATTTATATTATTGCTTCTGTACTTCCAGAAAATTCTTCCATTTCAACAGAGTAAGAACGTTATTAGTAATATCAGAATTTCATGAAGCAAACCATAGCATCTTCTCTGTGCCATAACTACATTTTCAATAACATACCAAAGAGTGTAAACTGATGGCCAGCTTAACTCAGGAATACAGCATCACCTGTTAAGGGTTTTAATAAGCAATGAGTCCCCCAGTCAAGTGGTCCCCAGAGACCAACAATTTAATGATGCTATGACAGACCAAGTAAAGTGTTTGGTTCAATAATAAGGAGCTTATTGTGTGCGTGTGTGTTTTTTAAGTACGCTCCATATAAATATTCCAAAGAAAAAGGGATTTAAGTTTTTTTTTTTTTTTAATCTAAACGGGTATCTCCAGCTTCCTGAATGGTTTCATGAACTTCATGCTAAGGAAAACTATCCTAGGAAATAACTATCCATTGGAATATCTGTCGCTCATCTAGATGCACATTGAGGTCCAAATGGCTCAAGCATATTCAGTCAAGGAGATGAAGCATCTCAATACCCAGGACCTTTCCCAGGAGCACACTGGAGTGCATTTAACAATTGTGATTGTAGGAATATGTATATAGCTCTTTGAAGTCTGTGAAGATTATTTATATGAATTATCTCAATATTTCTAACCTGCAACAGTAAAGGCGATGAGGTATAGTGAGGCAATGACTCACCTAAAGTTAGAGATGGAGGAAGAGGAAGAATTCTGGAAAAGTCTTTGACATTTCTTTTTGAAAATAGAGTTCTCCTCCTCCACATTATTTCCTAATTTTTCAGTGCTGCAAAGAGAAAAAGTCCACAGACTCCTCTTTGCCAGTTCAAGGGCAACCTATGTACAGATGGAAGTAGATCCAGATTCATGGCAAGAGAATACAACTGGGGTCAGAAGACATAAATCCCTAAACATAGTTTGGATGATTATTTCATCTCAATGAAGTAGTTGTGAAGATCACTGATTTATGTGAACAATAATGATAAATAAGAATGACAAGAAAGACAAATATGGACAATAATAATATGAGATATGTATGTGTGTGTGTGTGTGTGTGTGTGTGTGTGTATATATATATCTCCAACCTTAGTTTCATGTGATAAATGTGTGACTAGTACTTACATTTCTGGTCATTTGTTTTGCATGAACAATTTTTTATGTAATTTTAAAAATTGCTTATTAAAAAATTGCTAAATCTCTTAGATTCTAAAGGAAGAGAATATAAAGTTGATGTATTAGAGATACTGTGTGGAAACAATTAATATGTTAAAATATTGGCAAAAAAAAACGAAGAAGAAATAAAATATAACCCTAGCATTTTTACTTGCAGTCTTCTCATTTTTGCTTAACTTTTTTCATAAATAGCAATTTAACAAAACCTAACACTTTAATGTGACAAAACCAAACACTTTAAGAAAAACTGAGCTCTACAGTGTACTATACCTGATAAGGTGCTGGATGTCACCAACATCATTAATTTCCACTGAGCTGAAATTTCTCTAACATGCAGGTCTATCTCACAATGTTTCATCTTCATTTAGAATATTTGGAGTAGTCCTCTTTAATTATTTGAAATGTATATAGATAGATTCATATCTTCAATGAATTGATTATAAAAATTCTCAAAGAAAGCAAGAAATTATTTTTCTGAGTAACTGGATGAAATCTGTAACCTGAGTGTAGACTCTCATCATTAACTCCTCTCTGCCTTGAAATGTTTTCTTTCTGCTTTTACTGAACTCTTAAATCTGCTTTTTAAAAGTTTCACTATTGTACAAAAGTCCCATAACTATGAGTCATCTTTATTTCATCCTCCCACTTAGCAAATGTAAGAGCAAGAATCAGATTTCATACTCCTCAGCCTAAGCAGTTAGACTCCAAGGTGGACTCAAGAGGTGCTGGGGAAGGCAATTCTGTTTTGTGATTTAGGCAAAGTTAATGTACCACCTCAGTTATGGGTTAAATGTCAATTGCCATAAACTCTAAGAGAATTAAAGTTTCCTAGAATTTTGTATCCTCTACCATTGCTTAAACTCAGCAGCCCAGCTGGGGTTTTGGAAGCTTTCAGCTTTGAGCTTTTGTAGTTGCTAACTCCGCTTGTTGTAAATGCAAACCTGTATTTCCATCTGCAGTGTTGTTGATTTCCTCCAGAAAACACTGAGGCACACTCAGTTCATAGGCACAGATGACTGGGTTAAGAGCTTCCTCCAAGCATAATGCTGTATATGATTGAATGTAAACGACCAACTCTGATCATCACCCACACAGTGGAATGGAAATAAGAGTTGCCGAATGATCCTGAATTTTCTGGTTCATAAACAAACAGAAAATAACAAACCTAATATATTGAGTTTTATGTGCAGTTTGGCCATGAAACAAACTTTCTTCCCCTTGCAATGTTTAATGAGAAGCATCCCTCTCATTGCACTTTCACTTTAGATTTAAACTTCCCTATCTCAAATAATCAATTGTTTATAATAAATGAAAAAAATCCTCATTTTTTTTTTTGAAATGGTTTCTGGCATCTAATTACGGAGGATTTTTGACCTGGCTAGACAGATAATGTTAACACAGCTTCAATACTAAACAAGCCTGAACATGTGTGTGCTTGACTTTTATTAAACTCCTACTGAAGAAACAGATTAATTGGAGGCTGATTCACTGGTGAACAGGCGTTAAAGACAGAAGGACCTTCTCACATTTTGTTCTGTTATCCAGGCTTATGCCATCTCAGGTTGGCAAGGAGATCCCAACTGTAGTGTTTTGAAATATAACTGAAAGAAATTGTAGAATAACAGGTGCAAAAAAAATGCAAACCACTTATAAAAAGTTGATCTCATTCCTTTCTTTTTCTGTTGCCAACTGGCCACCTGACACTTTATGGACTGAGGTACTGCCCAGATAACATTTCACATAATAATATAATGTGGAGGCTGACTATGGAGGTTTGCAGCTGTCGTAATTATCCCTTATACAATTATTACTTTTTTTTTTATCCTTTGAGACATTTTTTCTTTAGAAGAAGAGGGGTACAAGCTGTAAGTAAACCATTTCACTTAGGCTCAAAGAGCACTGAGGCAAAAAAATAAAAAAAAATGCCCTTCTTGGCAGCTTTGCTTCTATCTAAAAAAGCTGGAATTTTATTCCCTGAGGTTTCTTTTGTTGTTTAATGGTTTATGTTCCATAAGATAAGCAAAGCAAAATAATAATAATAACGATAATGATAAAGCAACAAGGAACTAAGTTGCTGGTGAGTTGGAAAAGGGCCTTGTAATGTATTTGTGGAGAACATTACGATTTACAGGGTTTTCCCACGTATTATCTCATTCATAATATCTCTGTGAAATAGGTGCCACCAGATTTTTACAGCTGGGAAAAAAGCCTCTTAAAAAGGTTAAGAGACTTCCTACAGTCGTTCACAGAGTAAGTTAGGCAACCAGAACTCCAACCCAGACCATCTGACTCCGGGTCTGCCTAGGGCTTTTCTAGGAATGTGCCCCTCTGGAAAGCCCCTCAAGCCTTCTGGATCTGATCCTTTTCCTCTATCAGATAAGGACATTGGTGGGAAGATGATCTTGAAATCTCCTTCCAACTTCAAAATGTGATGTTGAAATGTGATTATAAACTACTACAATTATAAAAATAAGCAACAGATTAGTCAACAAATATCTGTTGCAATTTGACTCCAGGCAAGGGTGATCTGTTCAGATCCTCAAAGTCACATCAGCACACACCCAAGTCTAGTTCATATCACTAGGTGGTTCTGTGAACTGGTTGTTTTTTGACAAAGCTCCATTAGTATCATCATTTTCTTCTGTGTAAATACATCTCTGCAAGCCATTAATATAAACAATGAGATGAATGTCTGAGTTTAAGGATTTCAGTGTTATATTTTTTTAAGTCTCAACTGTTAGAAATTAAATGTTACAATAGAAATTTGGGTGGGTTACAGATTTTATCATATTTTAAGGAATTTAGGCTTAAAATAAGGAGAAAATACAATTTGTTGAAAGTGAATGATTGAACTTTTAGGTGGTGGCTCTACAGGAGGAGTTTGCACTTCAAACTACTTTATTTGTAAATAGGGTAAAATTCATTTACTTTAAAGAAGCAAGAAAGAAGAGTTATCTAGTTGTTTGTTTACTGAGACCCTGTATCTTTTCACCAGAGTTTTGAGGTAGTCTATAACTTACATTTTTGTAATTAAGTGCCCTGAGATCACCTGGTGAATTATGAGCTATCACATAAAAATATGCAAGTGCCATGCAAATCCTCATATCCATTCACTTCAAGGTAGGATACACATGCAAAATTGAAATGGACCTATACTAGATATACAGATAACCAAATACGAAGGGAGGCCTTTATTTTCAGTAATTACCTTTAGGAAATACGTTGACTGTGCTGTCTACCTTTAACTTATGGATAGGGTGTTCCGTCCTTCTTATTTAAATTTTATGCTGGATGACAAATAGTTAAGATGACATATAGTAGAGAAAATTGCAGGGTATTGTTTAGTCTCAATTCTCCCCCTATAGGGGAGTTGAGTAGACTTTTCTATATATGTTTTCAACAGCTGATTGGGGACTTATTGATTTTTGAGTACATTTCAGTGTAGAATGAAAGTCCGAGAACTCAGTGAACTTTTTCATCTCTCCACATTCCAAGCCTGGTAAAACCATTCCGCCTGCTAAATGATGTTATAAATATCAAGATTAGTTTCTTCTGAAATCACCAGCGCCAGGTGCATTCCATTTCTCATGTCATATAATATTCTGTTACCAGTGTTCACAGTTTAAGATTTAAAGAATGTGTAGACAAAAAAAAGAGTAAGGACACATAAATGTGACAACTATTTACATATCCTATATAAGATATGCTGGAAAGCAGGATTAATAATTTCTTTTTAGTTTTGTCTTTGTTTTGTTTAGGTGGGGTAGGATGAATGGAGGTAGAAATAAATATTTATAAATTAGCTATTATCTCTATCATAAATAGATAGAAAAATTTAAATATATTACTTGCAAAACCAATGTTATTGTATTTTGTTAGCTGCACTTCCAATGCATAAAAATCTCAGCACTCAAGATGTCCCCATAAAATCTTTCACTAAACCTTTGTTTTAAAGTATTTGAAAGGACATCATTCCATGTGGGAATATTACATACAGCCACTGATTCAACAGTAACTGAGAACTTATGTACAAAACATTCTTTACATATTGACAAATATTTCTAAAAAATGAATTGGTATTTTTTGTTGTTGAGTGTTTCATGAGTGACCTTTACCTCTGTAGACATATGCAGTTTTCAGTTTTTTGGGTGAGACTTTCAAAATATTTTTTTAGAGTGTTCAATGTTAGCAGTGACATTTTTACAGTGATTTCAGAGCCTTGTAGTTTAGAATATTCTATTTGCTTTATTTCTAATTACTTATACCATCCTCGTTTTAAATCCTGTGCAGATGTAATTGACAGTGATGATATACAATATGTATGAAATGAGCTTTTTCCTATCGGTGGTGTGTGTCATGCAAGACTCCATTGCAATATTTACAGTTAAACTAAACTTTTTAGAACGAGCAAAATTGCATTTGTTTTGCAGATTTGCTCATCATTAAATGTGAAACATTTCACATTTGTCTTTTTGAGTAATTGGCTTTTTAAAATGATAAGGTGCTCTGAACACTTGTTATGTGGATAGGTCTGACGTTGTATCCCAGAAATCCATATGCCATACAGACAGAACAGAAGAAAGATATTCACAAGCATGTCACAGATTGGACTAAAGCAAGCCAAAAACCCAAGTGCCATGGCATTAACAATAGCACCAGATTTACTGTCACGATCACAATCTGTGCTGCATCACAGACAGAAGGAGAACTTTTGATAGGTAACACCTCAGTGTTTTTTTAATCTTTTTGGCAAATTATCATTTATCATTATATTTTTGCCTGCCATATAATATTATTACAATGATATAAAAAATGCAGGATACGTTTATTAAGCCCCAACAAAAGAACTGACTTATTCAGTCAGGCCATGTAGGATTAAAGAGAGAATGAGAGGCACAGATATTCTGTTGTTTTATTACAGATCAAACTAAAGTTGGAAAAATAGACAACAGCAAAGGTACTAGGGAAGATTTAGCTTCTTCTGAGTTCGCAAAAGGAAATGGCTTATTAGTGACAGAGAAAACAAAAGAATTAACCTGCTTGGGAACTTGAAAACTCTGATGTTTCCAAAATATGTGGTTCCCCAGGATAAAAACTCACAGCTAATTTTATTTTCTAAATTGGAAGGGGGGGTGGGTGGGGACTATTTTGAGATGTGAAACTGTCCAATCCTTTCTGCTCTGTGTGCGTTTCCCCATGATGCAGATATGAAGAGACCACAATTCACAGGATGTCCCAATAGGTACTAAAAAAAGATTTACAAAATCACAGCTTGAGAAAGAGCCTCATGTTGGGCTGATTGAAGGAAAAACCCCAGAAACACTGCACAGAGATTCCTGGCATCTAATAGAGTAGAGAAACATCAGTCGATTGTTTTTCTTAATTGAAGGTCACTTTGGGACTTCGATGAAAATTTTTTTTCACCTGTTAGCTGTCTACCTGGCTAAGGACATTTCTAGAGGACAACCTATATTTTTCTTATAGAAGAATATATTCTTAAGTCATCTGGTTTTGTTAATTTCAAATATTAAAACCTAGTTTCTCAAAGATTTAAAAGGATTCAAGTAAAACCTTTAAAAGTAATTAGTAAAATGCTAAGCTATACAAGTATAGCTATGTGGAAACAAAGGAATATCAATCCATAAGTTAATTTTAAATTCAGTTGGCTGAAATATTATATATTCTAAAGTAAATCTAGTTTATATCATTTTCAAACCATATTTTTCCACCAAAATTGTAATTATTTTTTATTTTTTTTCTTTTTAGCCTTGAAACCAATAAGACCGTTTGATTTCTAGTCTTGTATTAATTTGGAGACCTGGGTATATTATTTTCTTTCAACACTCCACTTGCCAATGCCTGTCTTCCTTAAAGCTCTGAGGATTTATTTACTGTGGACCACTTCCAGTTCACATGCCTCACTTTCATGGGACTTAATATATTTCTTCTAATTTTCAAACTCCATCAACTCAATTTAACTTATTTTTCACTAACTCAGAGATAGATTAAGTATTGTGATGGTTAGAAAGAGGCACATAATAGTTACTATTTTCAAAAATACATATGTATTACTAGGGATCAAATTAGAAAAAAAAATACAACCCAAAACAAAAACACAACCAATTTCTTAAACTGTTTTTAAAAATTGCATAATACATAATAATGGAGAAGGCATGCCCAGCAATGGAAGAAATATATGCGTGAGATATGAAAACAGACCAGAAAAAGACTGGAGTTTCAGCAGTCAAGGGAAGAGTGCATGTGTATACGTGTATTTTTCTGTGTGTGTGTAATTTTAAATACAATTATTTAAATTTTGTAAAATAATCGTTCTATAAAATCACTCAATCCCTTTGATTGTTGAGTTTCTATTATGAGTATATGAAGCTAACATAAACAGCACTTAAATTTTCACCAGAGACAACTATCCATGCAAGACTCTCGGGAGCTGCACACTTGGTACCAGGATGTAATTTTTTTTTTTTAAAGAAAAGGAAGGGGAGCCACATTACTCAAGACATATTCAAGTGAGAGTAGATTGCAATTTCTCTAGTTTAAATGGAAAATCCCCATAATGTTAATATTTACTGGCTTTGGAGTTGTTGAGAAACATGATGTAGCTATGATATTAAAGTTATTAAATATTCAGTTGTTAAAAGGAAGGGAGTCCAAAGACAACATGGTGGCAAATTTTGGCATCAGTAGGGGTTAGAATATACTGATGATTCTGAACCTTGAAGGACAAGGGAAACATAAGTGATCATATACTGCAGGCAAAGGAGATGGAGAAAACAAGAATGATAGAGTTCAAGAACAAGAATTGGTAAAGACAATGATAGTGGCAATGATAGAATTATGAAAGTCCGGAAGGCAAAACATTCTATGGAAGAAATTTGTATTGAAGAAGTAAAATTTGATAGAGACCCTAAGATATGTATAGAATATAAATGAATAAATTGACAGAAACAGATGGGATCAAATTATAGCCTGAAAATGTTGTATGTATCATTTAATCTAATACAAAAATTTATATTTTTTCAGGAGCATGTTTATCACCTAAAGCATGGGTACTTCTAATTTAAAATAAGTATCTGATACTGCATGTGTGGGTTTCCTTTAGGTTAGTATTAGTTGATTAATATTTGATTTAAACAGTCTTTGTTCAGCTTAAATAAGATGTAAACTATGAAGTCATGTTTGATTTAGTCATTCAGCAGCAAACACTTATGAATTCCTACCAGGTGCCTGACACAAGCTCTAGGGATGGTTCTGAGAAGCTCTGGCATAGAGCAACCAAAGGAAGATGAGTGCCTCATCAGGCAACAGCATTAAGGAAAATTGGTGAATTGCATTGAGTTTATAAAATAAGAAAAAGTAAATAACGGGACTCGTGATCATGCTCTTAAAATTAATGAAAATTATTATTACTTAGGTAGTGGTGAGAACTTACACATTAAAACAGAGACAGATGATATTGGCATACGCAGTATGATGTTTCTCAAAGCCTGCCTGAGATGAAACCCATATTATCAAAATTTACAACTTCTACATGAAAACAATCTGTAGGTTAGATTTTTCTCTCTTTGCAGTGATTCCAAAGTATGAAAATAATAGGTGAAAAATCAAGGTGAACTTTACAATGACAGAGTTAACCCTTGCTAAATAATTTGTAATGCAAATAAATCTTTTTATCAAATTCTATATCAATTTAATGTGTGATAGGAGAAAGCATTTTATGAAGTATATTAAGTAAGTTTGATGTTATAATGTATACCTTCCTATAGCAAAACAAATAAATAAATGCTTATAAGCCAGGTGTTTTTTTTTTCTGCTTTTGCTTTTGCTTTATTTGTTTTGTATCGTGGCCTTAATCAAATTTTGCTTATCATTTTGTGTTTTTTATTTTTTTGATTTCCCCTCTTATGAGAATTCATTATTCTTACGGTTATCCTTGTACATTTTAGTACTTGTTTCATCAACTTCAGTAAAATTTACTCCCTTTATAAAACATAAAAAATTTGTGCTCCCCTTTTCACATTGTCATAAACTACATATAGATTTATTAGTTATATTTTTTGTCAAGTTGACTATATATTTTCTTCTGTCACTCTAATTCTCAGTAAGTTTTAGCTTAAGGAGTGTCCCTCATTTTATATAACAACTTTCTCACTTGAAGATGTTTTTAACTGTTTTGATTATTGATTGGTTGGAATCAAATGTATTACGAGACTCACATTGTCCAAGGCCATCTTTTTGGGTGCCTTTGTGTGTGAACATACACTTGACTACATACAAAGTGCTTGGGTAATGCTTCATTTCTACCAGGACCCTAGACTTTCTCCATCGTTTCTTGCATAAGAATATTGACATAAAGAAGTCTGAAGTCAGCATGTTTTGCTCTAATAAGTGACTTCATATTTCTGCCTTGAGGTCCACAGGACTTTTTTCTTTGTCCATAAAGTCTGGTAATGCTGCAAGATCATATTTTAGGATTTTAATTCTGTGGCATTTTTTCCTAGAACACTTACATCTTATCTACTTGTAAATTCAGGTTTTTCTCTATTTCAGGGGAGTTTTCATCTGTCAGATCTTTGAATATTTTTCTGTTTCATTTTATTTCAATTTTCTTTTTCAATTGTACCAATGATGAGCATCTTACATGTCTTTTGTTGTTTTCTCATATCTATTGGCTTTCATAAATGGATGTACCTCAGTTAATAATTTTTTACTAGTTTGTATTTTGATCGTAGAATTTTCACCACATGCCCATATTTTGTAAGCTAATGTTGTTCAATTTTAAGAGTTTATAATTCTAGTTTTAAAGTCTTTTTTACCAAAATATTCTTTAGAAGAGTGTTTGTTTATATGCTATGACTTCCAAGAGAATGGATTCTTTTCAGCTATACTATTTGCTTTTAATTTCTAATTGTAGGACATCATAGTTAAGAGGTGTGGCTTTGGTGGATCATTGATACTGTCTTTGTGTCTTAAGCTACAGTTAATATTTTAAAATATTCTTCTTTATGATATGTGTAGACAATTGTGTTTACATCATTGTGTTCTTTAAATCCCCATGTTCCTACTTTGTCAATCTGTCAATTTAAGTTTGTCACTTTTTCCATTTATTTGTCAATATATGTTCAAATTTATCCTTGTATTTCTGACCATTTTTGCTTTATATACTTTATTTAATCAGGCATTATTTTATTTTCTCACATAAAATGCATTTTACCAAGATAGACTACTTCTATGGTAGCACTAGGCATCATAATACATGAATTTCATATTCTCAGTGTCTTAGCACAAAGTTTATTTCTTGATCATATCATAGTTCATTGAGTGTGTTCTCTGTAAGGCAATGAACACCATGGTCATTTAGGGACTCAGGTTTCTCCCATCTTATGGTTCCATCTTCTATTAGTTTCTGAGAGTCCTCTCCATTCAGCTAAAGGAAAAGGAAAGGGGATGAAAGTTGTACAGGAGAACATCAAAGGGCCAGGTCTGGAAGTGGTGGATTTACTGTCCGTATTCTGTTAAGCATACATAACTACAAGGGAGGCTTAGAAATGGAGTCTAGCTGAGTTCCTACATGGAGGAAAAAAATCTGGTGAAAAATAGAAATATTTGGGCTACCATTTATTCATGCTTATCCCTATTATATCTTTTGTTTTCTGAATATTGAAAGTTTATTTCACATTTTTTATAACATTTCAGGAGTATACATTTGCATCCTTCATTTTAAGCTTCATTGTTTTCTTAGTTTAATCTCTTGTGAATAGTGTATTGATAGATATCTCTCTCTCTCTTAACTCAGCCTCATAAGCTCTATTCATTAATGGGAAAATATAACCCATTCATATTTTTTAAGATGAAGTGTTTAATATTTCTGTGATTTTATTTTATGCTAATTGTTAAACCGTAAGTAGTCATCATTTCCTTTCCTATTTTCTACCTTTAGAAAATGTAATGACTTTTTGGGATCTATTTTCATCTATGTAGTGGTTTAGAAATATCATTCACTGAATGAATCAAGATTCTGAGCATGCTTTTTCACTCCTCAGTGGAAATGAAAACAACAGCAACAACAACAAACCAAATACCCTGGGATGTTCTTCATGTAGATATTGGTTTTTTGTTGCTTTGATGGAAATGTGACAGGAGAGTAGGACTAATGTTTGTGTTCACTCTACCAGTAGGATTAAATCCAATATTCTCTTCAAAATCTTTGATTTCATTTTTTTTATTTTGTGTATTTTACCCTACCTGTCATTGTACCTATTCTATTTCTTGCATTTTTAGTGTATTTTAATTTTTGGTATAATTTTTCTTGTAATACTGAATTCTTTTGGGCTCTCAGTATGCTCGTTTTATATTTTTGCCAAATTATCTTTTCCTTTACCATTTGCATTTATTCTTGTATATTTGTTTCAGTAGGTCCAAGTTTTCCTAGAAAAAATTGTGTGTGACATTTTCTCCTGTTTTCTGGAATAATTTTTCTTCTGGTGTGGGTTTTTAAAGTCTGACTTCTGTGTGTGTATATATATATATATATATATATATATATATATATATATATATATCCTTTTTCCTCTCACTCTTTTCTGAGGAAGTAAAAGCAAGAGTTGTAATGTCTGTGCCTGTGCCTGAGCCCCACACAGAATGCTCTCTGTTCATTAATCTTGGTATAGAAAGGGTTGATTTCAATTTCAAACTATTTAATCTGAAGAAAGTTGTGAATTTTTCTTTGGACAGTCTCTCTCCCTCTCTCCCTTCCTCCCTTCTTCCTCCTCCTTTTCTTCTCTCTTTTCATATTCTTAATCTGCAAACTACTTTTAATAGATTTTTTCTATAAAAATCTATAAAATTTTTATATAATTTTTTTATATAAATTTTGTGCGCTTTTCTATATCTGGACTTCTTTTCCTTCCTCACTGAAACTCTGGACCACACTATTAAGATCTCTTCCAGCTTTAGGCTGCATATATCTAAGCCTACTACTATCTTTGAGAACATGTTATGAAATATTACAAATTATTTCACATCTAAAAGTTGAGATTAGATTAAGAATTTCCTAACATCTGCTGTCTTAGAACTCCCCCACTCATTATGCTAATAGTTCTCATATCATTTTTGCCAAAGGTGATTTCAAACAGATTAAAAACTCCACAGACATTACTTATACTCTTGAAATACATCAGTATTGTGTATGTGTTCAAGTACTTCTATTATGTAAATAATTGCAAAAAAGTAAAATATCTTCTTTAAATATAGATGATATTTGAAGCATTTGATTAGAATGTATACATATCTAAAACATTCATTTTTTAATTTTCATAAATTAGAAAATATCAAACTTCAGTATAATTAAATTAATATTTTAACCATTCAGCTAATAAAATTTTCTGTGGTTTGGGAAGGAAGAATGATAGCTTAAATTAATTCCCTTTGTTATTTTGAGATTTTTTGTTCATTTGGGACTATAGATAAAAGAAGATAATGTTCTCTTCCTTTAAAGCTTGGATTGAAGGGTGTATCTTACATGTATTATAAACAATATAAAATATTCTGATAATGACATTGTTTAATTATGAGTGTTTGACATAGAAAGCAATGATCTCTGACACTTTTTATTTTTTCAGAATAAATTGAAAATATATTACCTGGCTACCTAACCAGGTGCCACCATGTTAAGCAATTTTATTATAGTTTCAGAGAAAAGCTAGCCTATGTAAAGCATGTTCTTTGAAGATACAAGTCTAACACATTGACACATATATCATACACCCACACCTACCAATAGAAAACAACAACAACACAACAACCTCATTAAAATTAATGAGGCAAATGGTGCTATTTTTGATGGGACACTAATGAGAGAATCTTTTTTTTTTAACCAAATAGAATCTTATTAATTTATGTCAGAAACAGAAGTGGAGACACAGTCATATTAGAAGTGTTAATTCCGCAAGGGAATATCTCCAATGGTCCTTTAACTGGGCTTAACCACTTATTTAATCAAACTTATTTAGCTTCATGTTAACGTTACATGATTTAAGATCATTCCTATATCATAGTATAAGCTCTCTGAAAAAATGTTATTATTCACCTATATACCCCCAGTACAAAGAATAATACAGTCATGCACTGCATAACAATGTTTTGATCAATGACAGCTCATATATGTGGTGGCAGTTCCGTAGGAATATAATACAGTATTTTTACCATACCATTTCTATGCTTAAATATATTGAGATACACAAATACTTACCATTATGCTACAATTGCCTGTAGTGTTCAGTACAGTAATATGCTAGACTAGTTTATAGCCTACAAGCAATAGGCTATACCATGTAGCCTAAGTGTGTGGTAGGCTATACCATCTAGGTTTGTGTAAGTGTACACTCTATGATATTCCCACAATGACAAAATTGTGTAATGGTGCATTTCTCAGAATGTATCCCTGTCATTAAGTGATGTGTGACTGTACTTTGAATGCTGTAGGAGCACCCTTTCTTCCCCTATTCTAAAATAAAAATATATTTTGTTTCACTTTTATAGTTTTTGAATGTAAAAAAAATTAAATAAAACTGAGATGTTGATCTTTTAAATTGAACCAAAAATCTTTCTGAAACCAGTGTTGGTACACATCATTTTGAAGGGTACTATATAAATAAATAAAAATAAAATCAAATTTTAATTAAATTTTATTATACCAACATATTAAAAGTAATGGTGAATTCCATTATAAAATGGTATATTCCTTGTAATGTGAACATCTGTTATTTGTCTTGATGACAAATAAGATGTCATCATCACATCACATGAAGATCCATGTGATGTTTCATCAACTACTGATGTGGACACATGTGCATAGTAACAAATTCATCTTTGAGATGAATGTAAAAAATGTGCTTAATATGCTTATTAATTGACACCAGGCTACGTGATTGTCTATCACAATACACCCACTTTTATGTCAGCATTTTCTCATATTTGAGATAGAATACCTATAGTCTATCCTGGAGGGGAAGAAAGCATGCAAAAATGCATGAACATTCATTCTGCAAATACTTAGTTGAGCGCCTACTTTGCATCACAGAGTGGTATACATATGTGTCGAGCATTAAGATATGTACTGAGAAATAGCAGTTAACATACAGAAAAGGACTCTGCTCCCATGGAGTTTATATCCTAATTTAATGAGACTGGAAATGGGCAGAAAAATAAAATATGTAGTGTATATGTGTTGCTATGACAACAAGAAAATTAAAACAGAGAGCAGATACTGGAAATTTAAATAGGGTGGCCAGAGAAGGCCTCAGAAAGGTGACATTTGAGTAAAATCTGAAGGAGGTGAAGGTTTTTTTTTTTTTTTTGAAAAAGTATAGTTAGGTTTTGTTGATGACAGGGATTTATATGATCATGATAGCTTCAATCAGAGTAAAATAAAAAACGAAAATATCGTAGGAGGCCAGGCGTGATGGCTCACGCCTGTAATCTCAGCACTTTGGAAGGCCAAGGCAGACGGATCACCTGAGGTCAGGAGTTCACGAACCAGCCTGACCAACATGGAAAAACCCTGTCTTTATTAAAAATATAAAAATTAGCAGGGCATGACGGCAGGCACCTGTGATCCCAGCTACTCGGGAGACTGAGGCAGGAAAATCACTTGAACCTCAGAAGCAGGGGCTGCAGTGGGCCAAGATCATGCCACTGCACTCCAGCCTGGGCGACAGAGCGAGACTATCTCAAAAAAACAAAAGAAGAAAGAAAATATAGTAGGAAAGGGTACATTAAGATACTTATAAAACTATATATTTTAAAGACCATAGCAGGATTCATATTTTAGGAACCATGGCCTTTAGTTCTGTATTTAATAAATTTAACAGAAAATTATTCTCTAAATATAAGCATTTAAAGTAATCATTAACTTGCTGTTTGGAGATATGCACATTAATCAATTACTTTTCTATCAAAACAAACAAAGTTTACATCATTGTGACATGGACTTTGCTTCCGTTAACTTCTCTATTATAGTTACCATATTGATTACTAGTTATTTGTGTGTTTTGTTATTATTCTATAGCTTTATTGAATATAAGGACCCTATGTGTTCATCTTTTTCTTGTGTACAAAAGCAGAGTAACGCATGGCACTCAGTAATAACTTTTGAATAAATTGATTCATTCATTCAATAAATAAGTATTGACATACTACTGTTTTAAGAACTGGAGATACATTGGTAACTAAAACAGAAAAAATATCTGGATTCATGAAGTCTACATGTTAGTGGAAAAAGTCAATAAATCAAATAAGCAAAAATACATGTCAATTAAAATCTATTATAAGAAAAATCGAGAAAGTAATAGCAAGTAGTGAGAAAGTATATACTCTCTTACCTTTTATACCTCCCAGAGGCAGTGATATTGAAGATGAATCAGAAAGAGAGGGAATAATTTGAGTCAAGGGGATTCCTGAAAGAGGAAACCAGAAGTCCAAAAGCTCAGGTCTTGCTCAAAGGCACAGAGCAAGAGGCTGAGGTTTGAGAGGAGAGGGGTCAATATGATAGGCAAATGGTCAGGTCACATAAACCTGTAAACTGTGATCGAGTGTTTCAATTTGAACCAGTAGTGTGTTTGGGCCAGAGAAGTGACATGATTCTGTTTATATCTTTTAATGATTGCTCTGTCAGCTTGGTAATGAAATTGAGTGTAAAGGGTTAGGAACGGAGGCAGGTGGAACAGTTCGGAAGCTCTATGTCGTGTTTTTAAGAGGTGGTCCCTGTGTTGATCTAGAGTAGTAGAAACAAGGGTGATTAAGAACAAAACGGAAATGGATTAAATATAATAGTACGAAGGGAAGCGTCATTGAAAATATCTGGTTGGACTTTTCAAATACATGATTTCTTGTAAATGTATTGATATATATAATGGTGATATTTGAATTGTATCACTATTTGGTAGCTTTTAACAAAAATTTCAGCTATCAAAGTGAAATATTTATCAGAATCAACCTCAAATTGTTATTGAGGATGAGTGCTATCTTTTCACAGGTTTCTTGTGAAAATTACTTTTAATTGTAGTATTAACTGGTAATTTATTATTGCTTCTTTAAATTAAAAATCACCTTTTTGGGGAGTTCTTCTAAGAATTTCTTGGTCTTTAGTTTTTGTATTTACTTATGGTATAGCTAGGACGGATTTTTTAAAAATTTATTTATCCTGGTTGAGGTTTGTAGTGATTTTTGAATCTGTGGCTTAATGTGTTTCAGCAGCTTTGAAAAGTTCTCAGCCATTAGGTTTAAATACAGCTTCTCCTCTCTCTCCTCTTTTACTGAGACCCCAGTTATACATCTCAAAACCTTTTCTTATATCTTATGCTGTTTTCACAATTTTCCATTCTTTTGTTTCTCTGTGCTCCAGGTATGCATGTTTTATTCTGACCTATTCAGTTTATTTTTCTATGTTTAATCTACTATCAAATTTCTCTTAATTTCAACTATTTTCAGGTCTAAATTTTTATTTTATTGGTTATTTCCAATTAGCTGCCAAAACTTTTCATCTTACTTATATTTTGAAAATATTGTATCTATATCTGGATCATCTAGATTTATTATGGATCCAATTTCATCAAATTCTCTATTTGTTGTCAATTGTTTATTAAAAATCTTTTTGAATCAAGTGTAAGACATTACATATTAAAAAGTACAGAGATAATTTAAGAATCTGGAGGATGATATTTTATTCCAGAAAGAATGTGTTTCTTTTCCATTTTTTGCAGGCCCTTTAGGTTAGGAGCAGATCACCTTAATCCGAGTAGAGATGATGTTTATTCAATACCGGGTTTCTGCCTTTGTGAGGGATGGTATATTTCTGGTTTGCTCTTCTGTTTAAGGCATAGTCCTTCAGGATCCCAACTGAATGCCTCAGGGCCCCTTTACCTTGGTAGAATATAAACGGCAATTTTGTTTCTCAAGCCCTGTGAGGCTGCCATCAACTCTGATAAGCTTCTCAGCCTATCACCTATAGCTTTTAATTAATTTTTATTGATTGATTCAGACAGTCAATCAATAACAGCTGTAATAATAGCTCACCGTAATCTTGTGAACTCTTTCACTTAAGTGATCCTCCCACCTGAACCTCTTGAATAGGTTGGACTACAGCTGTAAGCCACCACAACCAACTAATTTATTTTTTATGTTTTGTAAAGATGGGGTCTTACTATGTTGCCCAGGCTGATTCTGAACTCCTGGGCTCAAGCGATCCTCCCACCTTGACCTCCCAAAGTGTTGGTATTACAGGCATGAGCCACTTCAACCAGCGTACTCATAGCTTTTCAATGCAGAATGCCTCAGGAGAAGAAGCAAGACCAAACTGTGAGCTCATCTGTCCAGGATTCCATTCTCTTCAAAATCTTGGCTCACATGTTTTCTATGTGTTGTTAGCTCTTGAGTGCCCTAGATGGAAGGTAGGTAGTTGTGTGTGTGTGTGTGTGTGTGTGTGTGTGTGTGTGTGTGCGCGCTCTCTGGCAGAAAGTTAATCTGAAGCTAGTCAGCCATTGCCTGAAACGTTTTGCTTGATGGAAAAAAATGACAGAATACAAAATATTTTTAGAGGACTATTAATCACCTTATTGCATATATTTAGGAAACAAAAAATATATATGTATATGTATACTTATATATGTAATTAAATATTTAAAAGGTATAAAAATCAAAATAACCCCAAAGAAAATGTACTAAAAAATTTAATAAAGATAAAAGCCAAAAACGAAATGATGAGGCAGCAAACTAAAAATGAAGCAGATTTGATCAATAAAACTGAAAAGCTGTTCCCTTAAAAAGAAACAGTAGTAACATTGAAAATATTTGACAATTATAGCCAAAAAGAGCGAAAAGAAATTATACTGGAGATAAGAAAATGGCTACAAGTAAGAAATGTCTTACAAAAAGTATTTGCATAAAACTCCATTAATAACTCAGAAAACATAGATAATATTAATTATTTTTAGGAAAATTTAAGCCTAGAAAATTAACTCAAGAAATTGAAATTTTCTCAATAGAAAAAATTTGAAAAATAATAAAATATCTGTACCTGAAAGAGCATAAGGAACATTTTTTATAGATGCATATTACCAAACCTTCAAAGACCAAGCACTCTCCATGTTATATAAGGTCTTACACGTAGAAATATGAAAAACAGGCAGGGCATGGTGGCTCACATCTCTAATCCCAACACTTTGGATGGCGAAGGCAGGTGGATCACTTGAGGTCAGGAGTTTGAGACCAGCTTGGCTAACATGGTAAAACCCTGTCTCTTGTAAAATACAAAAGTTAGCCGGGCGTGGTGGCGCATGCCTATAATCCCATTACTTGAGAGGCTGAGGCAGAACCGCTAGAACCTGGGAGGCAGAGGTTGCAGTGAGTCAAGATCACACCACTGCACTCCAGCCCGGGCAACAGAGCAAGACTCTGTCTCAAGAAAAAAGAAATATGGAAAACATCCCAATTTATTTATGAGAATTGAATAACCAGAAAACAAAATCAAGCAAGGATAGCACCAAAAAGGAAACTAACTGCAGGCTGATCATGATGATGGTAGGATTTCAAAATACAATATTAGTAACCAAATCTTGTTGACCAAGTGAAATACTTATATTCAGAGTGCAAGTATCTCTAACAGGATGAAATTTGTTTTGGTATATCCTAACTAAGACACAATAAAGAAGAAAAATCAAGTGATCATCTCATTCATTGTTTAGGAAAAAAAATTGATAAAATTGAATACCTGATTTTAGAGAATAGTGGACCACAATAGAAATAGATTATCATAGGAAAAAATGACTTATGTAAACAAATTTTAAAACCATAAAATTTAAAACCTCTTTGTGACTAAAGATACTACAAAGAACATAAAAAAAGGATTGGCAGATGAAAAAAATATATTTGCAAGGAGGGAAAATATAAGACAGCACCTCGAAATGCATAAGAAATATGCCAATAGATAACTAAAAAAAATTTAAAGGCAAATAATTAAAATTTTGAATAAGCTTATAGAAAAAAAAGTTTAACTTTACTAAGAGTCAGGGAATTGCAGCCTAAATTGGGACACCATTCTCACCTATCATGTTGATAAATATTAAAAAGTAAAAAGATTAATCATGTTCCGTTTTAAAAGAATGCTGGTGAAAGGCATTCTTATTCAAGATGATGTCTAGGTGAAAGGCAAAGTTATAGCAGCACAATTTGTAATTGCAAAAATGTGGAACCAAACCAAATGCCCATTAATCAACGAGTGGGTAAAGAAACTGTGGTATATATATACAATGGAATACTACTAAGCCATAAAAATGAATGAATTAATGGCATTTGCAGCAACCTGGATGAGATTGGAGACTATTATTCCAAGTGAAGTAACTCCCGAATGGAAAACCAGACATCGTATGTTCTCACTCATAAGTGGGAGCTAAGATATGAGGATGCAGAGGCATAAAAATGACACAATGGACTTTGGGGACTCAAGGGGAAAGGGTGGGAAGGGGCTAAGGCATAAAAGACTACAAATCAGGTGCAGTGTATGCTGCCTGGGTGATGGGTACACCAACACCTCACAAATCACCGCTAAAGAACTTACTCATGTAACCAAACACCACCTGTTCCCCAATAACCTATGGAAATAATAATTAAAAAAAAAAAAACCTAGATGATGGATTGTTAGTTGCAGCAAACCACCGTGACACATGTTTACCTATGTAACAAACATGCACATCCTTCACATGTACCCTGGAACTTAAAATAATTTTTAAAAAAACAAAAACAAAGGGTGAAGTTACTTGGTCTCGTGGCATATAAAATAATAGTCTGTATTCTCCAAGTCTTTCATTTATTCTTTCAATAAATAGCACTTTCTCTTTGCCAAACTGAATTAAAGGTCCTGGGGACCCTGCAAGCCATAAAGAGGCAAAATTAGAGTTTCTGTCCTCATAGAGTTTGCCTTCTAAGGAGAATCCTTGCTGGTTTCACTCGATTGCAGTTGGTCTGGTCTCCCCGTTGTTCTTTGTCCTCTGTTACTCTGTCATGCTTGCCTGGATTTTGTTGTTGTTGTCAATTTGCTTTGGTTTGTTTTCTAGCTGGTATCAAGCTGCTCCCACTGCCAAAGTTGGTAAGCCCTTTCTTTTGTTTTACTTCTGAGGTCCCTTCTTTCTCCAGCCTCTTGGTCCTGACCTCAGGTTGGAGCTTTTAGTGCATCTGTAATTGTTCTCACGGGCACAGCAACGCAAACACAGTAACACAAGCCATTTACAGACTGTCTTAGTCCTAGGCATAGACCCTGCCTCTGCCCTTGCTTCCCTGCCTGCCACTTCCCCCACCACCCCCCCACCCCCACGCCCCCACGCCCCCACGCCCCCAACACCACTCCACCAGAAGCTTAGGATCAGGCAACAGATTTCTCTCAGCATACTGTCTCACCTCTAACCCCTCTTGGGATGGGGGTCAGGACTACCAATTCGCTTTTCAGGGATTCTGGCAGGCGTTTTCACTCTAATAGGGATTCTGCGAAGTCTCTGTGGTTGAGGTGCTCCTTTCCTTTTTTGCTTCTTAGAAGTTGCCATTGAGGTGAAAACTTCTTTGAAAAAGTTGGTCTAAGAGGTATTGGAGAATGTAGTGCCTGAGTAAGCAGAAAGATTCAACCTGGGTCTCGGGGGGTCTTAAGTCAGGTCTCTTTATCCCCTTCTACATAGGATTTAATTGCTGCAGCCTACAATAATATGCTCATTACTTGTCACATTTTCTAATTGCATTTTGTAATTTATCTGTGCCTGATGATCACACCTGTGCATTATGGAGATATACCACACATGCTTATGCATAGGTGTGAACGGTTACACATACTTTCTTCTTTCTCCTGCCATTCTTTTGAAGAGTTTCTCTTATTTCACAAAATGCACTAGGAGAAGAGCATCTGGGGGAAGTAAAATGAGAGGGGTGGTTTCAGATACACCTTGTTCTGTACTTGTCTGTACTTAATATGGATAATTAGATACTCTTTACTAGGTACTTTGCCACAGGGTTTTCATGGATTGCATTTAATTGTTGCCACATTCTTATGCAGTGGCTACCCTTTTTAATCTCTACAGGTGAGACAGAAGCACCAAGTAGTGAAATGACTTGTGCAGGACTGAGCTTGTGAATGACGGGCACAGATATGACCAAAGTGGTATCTGCCAAGCCCATATGTTTCAACTTGAGCGATACTGTCTCTTGCTGTTCTGCTACTTTTATGTTCTGCTTCTGCACTCAAAGTTATAGGCTTTCATTTTGTTAGACATTATAAAGATGTAAAAGAAATTTAAGCCATAGTCCAAAAATTGAGAATGCCATATGATATATCCAAATGTCATAATATTACATGACTACTAAAAAGATTGTTTATGAAGAGTTTATAGTAACTTGAGAAACCAATTTTTGGATAAAGGTAAAAACCTGGATCCACAATTGGATGAAAGTTTCTGCAACTGCTGATGGAGTAGGGTTTCACCTGCCATCATCTGTAGAACAAGAAACTCAAACTAATAGGAATAGTATATTTTGGGTACAATAATACTATTTTTTATTGTCAGAAAATTTGCATGGCTTTGGATTAGTACCCTAGTAGCACCTGTTAGCTTAGAGTCAATTGCAGAGACTGTGTCCTGTGAGAAACACATGCTACAGGCCCAACAACAGGAAGAGGATAAAGGGATAGTGGCCTCACTGGAGTCATCAGGACAGCCCCGTGGTAAATGATGTGATAGAAAAATTCTCCCCATCTACTTGTGCTGAGCCTTTCCTTTCTTGGAGTTGTAGTTTCTCTTTTGCTGAGACACCTGTTGTCCTCAAGTTCTTCTCCAGGCCTCTCTCAAAATTCCATTTCAAATACCTAAGGCTAAGTGTAAATATTCAAATGAAACTGTCAAAATTTACTAAGAGATATAAATAAAACCTTGCAATAGTGAGACATACTTTCTTTTCTGAGGTGGAAGTCTTACTAGTTTTAAATTTTTTGTTCGTCCCAAATTAATATAGATATAATATACAATCTTATCAAATTCCCAATAGGATCTTCTGGAGGAAGAGAAGAAATATTTAAAGTTCACATAAAAGATTTAGGGTCCTTCAGATGATTTCTAAGAATTAAAATATAAATTGGAAAAATTACAAAGAAGTAATACCTAAAGCTTACAATGGAAAAATTAAAAATAACACATTTATATGTAAATAAGGTTGTCCCATGAACAATGTGGATTTGAATTGCAGGGGCCCATTAATATGAGAGGGGTTTTTTTCCCAATAAATACAGGGGTCTCTCTGTATCTGATGTTTCCACATCTGCAACCAAGAGTGCAGAGGGAAAGAGCAGTATTCACAGAATATGAAACACCTGATATTGATGGCTGACTTCTTGTATCGAAGATTTGCTTTGGGCTAATGGTGGGACTCAAGTATGTGCAAATTGTGGTATTCACAGCAGCCCTGGAATCAAGCTCCTTTGAATACCAAGAAACAAAAATAATTTCATTAAAAGTGCCATTCAAAATAAATTGGGGAAAATTTATGTGGTAATTGTCACCAAAATTTAATAAACTTCCTTAAAACTGCATTCCAATCTTAAAAATACTAAAACTTAAAAATGTGTAAGCACATTAGTAAGAAATTCTAAGAAAAAAAAACCACAAATGCCTAATTATAAAAGAAATGCAAGCCTAAGAAAAAAGGAGTTTCTTATAAAATTCACAAAGTATATAATGTGTTACTTCAGAGAAAATATGAATTGAAATGGGCTTATGCTTTAAATTTTGGTGAGATAATACAACTTGGAACAAACTTTCTAGAAAATGATTAGTAATGCATTTCAGCAGCCTTTCAAAATTCTTTTATTTGACCTAGTAATTCTATTTCTAACAATCTCTTCTAAGAAAAACAAATCAGAAATCTTAACAAAAAGTCATGCTTATGCAGCGTGGGTTTATTTAACTAAATTGTGGAAAAATAGGAAGACACTTCAATTTATTAAAGTAAATCTCTATAACAAAATGTTAGGAAGTCATTAAACAGATGCTTTCAAAGAATAATGCCATGGAAAAGCCTTCATGATATGTTAAAAAAAATAATAAGATACGATATTGTATATTTAATTTGACCTATGTATGACCTATATATATATATACAAACACATATATATGTATATAAACATAACATATGTATTAAAGAGTCTGAAGGAAAATACATTAAATACTAAGAGGGATATTTTGAGTACTATGATTAGAAGTGTTTTTAGTTTTTATACATTTCTGGTTTTGCATATTTTAAGTCTTCGAGTATGCATTTATATTCAGAAATAGTTTGCTTTAATATATTTTCCTAAGAAAAGTAACAGCAATATCTAAACAAAACAGCAATATCATTGAAAATGTATAGAAAAATATCATCCTTTCACTTAATTGTTTTAAAGGCTTCATCTAAAGGAATAACTTAATTAAAATTCCAGACCTTAGACGGCAGGTTTAGGGAATTAGTTTGTCATCCAAAGAGGCTTCTTAAGGCTCCCAGAATCACACTACATGGCAATTGACAGTACTGCCGATATAAGTTTTAAGGTCAGGTCAGGATACGGTTACTGAAGTCTCACTTACGGACAATGTGGGGAAATGCAGTTCACCAATACATAGGCATTTACCCAAGTTTCTCAAATGTAGTGGCAGTTTTAGAACACAGCAATGATAATGGGCTAGGTGGAGGAGACTCAATTTACTCATTTTTTTGAGCCTGCAAATTTTGGAAAATAATGACATGGGGAAAGAAAGGGATGAACAGAAGATGGAAAAAGAAAAGAGAGCAATCTTAGAGCAGCAAGCACCTTGAATTGTAGTCTTGAAGGCAGCACAGAAGAATTGAGATAGCTGGGGGAATTGTATTGTGTATCTGAAGTACACCAGCTCTGTTTCATAGGCCTTGTGCCATCACATCATCTGGGTTACATTACAAAAACACTCTACTCCTCACATAGCATAAGTCTCTGGTAATTTTGGTGCAGGAAGGATGAGTAATTTTTACTATATTTAATTATCATTGTGGTAAGTGTTCTCTGAAAGCCTTGATGTAGCTGAAGCCTCTGCGGTAATTTACCAAGAAGTCTTTGGAGTCCGCTTAGAATCTTGCCATCCTGGGCCCTTCGATGACCCTGACTTTTTGTGATTTTGCTTAAGATATCCTATCAGGTATCTGCCTGATGTCATGGGAGCATAAAGGCATGTGTTGATGGCAAGAAGACCATGGAGTCTTATTCTCTGATAATGTTTATTCCACATCTGTGATTTGTGTCCTACAAGGCTCTTGGGACTTAAACCACATGTGCTATATTTGCATTAATGGGAATTTAAGAAGGAGAGGCCATAACACTATTAAAATGTTTAGCTTTCGCTCCCATCACACAGACACATGCTAGTAACTACTCCCAGATCTTGTATCATGGTGCTGCAGGATGCAACGTGGAGTGCACTCATTGTTTCAATACAAGGGACTTGAAAACAAATAGCTGCCATCTCTGTCTCTGATAGTTTGCCAGGCTTTTAACTTCTTTGGTTTTTCCCTCTCCAGATCATGGTGAGGTATCTCAGATGTATTCCAAACAGCACATTGCCCCATCTTTGTTTCTTCTTTTATAAAGGAACTCTTGCTTTAAGGTATATTTAGAAAACCTAGAGTCTAAGCCAAATTCTGAAGAACCACATGATAATTCTACTTTCAAATGGCAGGAAAGGACTTAGTGCAGAATCACCCACACAGGGTTATTGATCACCCAGGCCTAATAGTCACAAACGTGACAAATATGCTGGAAGTTTTTCCTAGGTTTAAATATCCAACTGTTAAATTACATATGAAGATATTTTGAAGCATCTTATAAACAGAGAGGCAGGGAGGGTGCAGGGTGGGAAGAGAAAAGAAGGGGAAGGGAAGGAGGGACAAAGGGACTGGGAGAGAAAGAGGGAGGAAAAGAGAAAGAGAGCACATCAAGGAACAGGGCATGAAGATCACATCTTCATTACTCCCTAGGCCAGAGTTTTTCAAATTGCAAATTCTGTGATCCTTTAGTGGGTCACAGAATCAATTTAGTGAGTTGGGACCAGCATTTTTAAATGAAATCAATTAAAGAAAAAAAGAAACCAGGATAGAAGATATATTACATCACATATAGTAAAGGGAGGTATTATTAAATAAAACTTTTGTTTCAATTATATGATATATATACATATATAAATGAACATATGCACATGGTGTATATATATATATATATATATATATATATATATATGTGTGTGTTTCATTATTATACATTGAATAATAGATGAATTTATGTGTAGAAAGATACCTAGATGACAGAAAGAGAGAGAGTGTGAGAGAAAGAGAAAGGGGGGGAGAGAGAGCAAGAAAGAGGTACTGATTGGCAATGATTACTTCTTAACATGTTTCATGAACAAAAATGTTTGAAAGCCATCACCAGATTATACCTCCAGGACAGTGGCTTCTTTAAATTTGGAATACGTTCTTCCCTTAGTGCCTCCTCCACCTGCATTCAGGTAAATTAACAAGCTGCATATAAGTCTCATCTAATTAAGCCACAAACTTTTAAAGAAAATGTTGTGGATGAAACTCAGTGAAATATGAATCCAATGCTGTGAGCCTCAAGGGTAGCAGATTACAAACCCAATACTGGTTCTCATGATAGAAAAATGTCCTCCTTAATGTCCTACTCCCCAGGATACTAGAGAATGATAAATGGCACAATAGTTGATAGTAAGCCTCAGAAATTGAGGGAGAAACTTACTATACTGATGATCTTTAGATATCATTTATTCAGGGATTGGGATTATTGTTTGAGATCATGAAAAAACAAGTTAATGGCAATGGAACCATCTTGATGAAGCAGGCAAAAAACTATAGTTGGGACAACTACTATGGAAAAGTTTGAGCTGATAATATTGGAAGGAAGTGTGTCTTCTGGACAGAATACAGAACCCAAAAAGTAAGATAACAAAATTCAGTTCAGGCTGTTAGGGTGTGAGTTCCAACCAGAAATAACAAGGATATTTTAAAGACCATTGGATGATTGCTGAATACACTGACATGACTCATTTTCAGATATTCTTATAACTATGGTGCCTTGAACGCAAGTATGGATTATTTCTTGATTACATGTGTAACAATTCAGATGGGTGAGGCAGATGGAAGGTGGATTTAAAGAACTCAGTGAGGTGCAATGAGGATCAGGGAGATGCTCTGCAGAGCCCCAGTTCCTAAAAGGGGGCCTGGCAAAAGGACACTACCAGCCGAGAGAGTCTGGTATGTGAGATAAACCACCAGAATAGGGAACCACAAGCCGGAAGCAAGAAGAGGATACAGCTACAGAAATGAGCTTTGGCAAAGACAGGATATCCAAGACTGTGCATTCTCAACTCTCAAGGCCTGAGATCACGTCAAGTCACTTTGGGTTATAGCAAAGGTCTTTATTCAAATACCAAGCATCTCAAGGTGGAGCATCTAACATTGAAAGCAGAGAAGCATCTGTTGAGTTGTGTAAAAGAGGAAAAGATCAGGAACCAGAAAGAGCTGGAGAAACCCCAGGGGCCCATGGAAGAGGTATTCTTCTTACCAAGATGGTGTATCATCTTTTCAGATAGATGCATTGATACAACCTTAGAAGGCAGTGGTATGTTGACAGTTATGGAAGTTGCAATATAGAGCCAGCTTTAAGAGGATGTCTTCCCCACTGTGACACTGTGGAATAGCTCACTAATACAGGTTCTCAGTGACTAATCATTGCTTTCCTCTTTACTAGTATACCAAATAAAATCTGTTTTCTACATTTCATAAGCCTTTCATTATGTGGATACCAAAACCCTTTAGTATTAACCTAAGCCAATTGAGCTATCATTCATTCTATACCCCTTTATTGAGAGCTGGTGCTATTCCAGATACTTGGCTGAATGCAGGGACATGTGGTTTTGTGGTCAGGGAGCTTAATGTGTAGAAAGGTCAAGACACTGGATGTGTACAGTAGTGAGATGCACACCATTATGAAGTTAGTACAAACTGCTGGAGGGATACCTCTTTTTTGACCTCTAGATGTTATAAAGGACTTTCCGGAATAGGCAGTGTCTGAGTAGTTTCCTGAATGAAGAGGTGGAGTTTGCAAAGTCCAGGAGACAATCAATGAATCAGTCAATAAGTGAAATCAAATAATAACATAATATTTTAAGTGCTAAGTATGTACCAGGTATTATGTTAAGTTCTTCTCCTGGATTGTATTTTATGTAGCCCTTATAATGGTCCTATGATGTAGGTATTATTGTTTTTCTCAGGTTATAGGTGAGAATATAGAAACACAAAAATTTTAAATAAATTGTTCAAAGTTATGCAGTTAATAAGTAGAGGAATTGAAAAGGTTAGAGACAGAGAAATTATGAAATGTTTTGCAACATACATTAAATAATTGAGGTTTTATCCTTGGGATAAAAGGAATCCATTCAGTGGCTTTTAAGTGGCATGTGACAGATATGGATTTAGGTAGATCATCTTTCTATGGTCTAGAGCAGCAGACTCCAATACAGCATAATTTTCAAATCACTCGTGGAGCTCTGTAAACAGACAGACTACTAGGCCCTATCTCCAGGGTCTGATTCTTTTAGGTCCTAGTGAATGTGAGAATCAGACTTACAAAGATCTCCAAGGACAAAGTTGATGTCAGTCAACTTAGGAGTTTACTGATGAGTGGATGTAAAGAATGGATTGTAACTATACCATCTGTCATTAAGGAGGTCAGACCAGAAGTCACATTGGTCCGAATTGCAATAGAGTTACACATTAGGGATCTATTAGTTTTACAAATCTAATTTTTTTTAAAAAAATGAGAAATGGTAATATAATTCTGGAGCGTGTCTGTAAGGGAGAAGAATCATGTCTTACAGGAAAATGTTTGGTAACACCACCATTTAAGGGATGAGTGAAGGGAAAAGATTCCACAGAGAGGGCATAGGGACAGCTTCTTCATGTCCTTTAGAGATGCTGTATACTTTCCTTCCTCTGAATCTTTGTACAAGCTTTTCCTTTCACCTGTGTTGTCCTCTTACCCTGCCTTTTCTTCTACTAAATCTCATCCATCCTTTTAGGATCCTTCTCCAACATTCATCCCTGGGTCCTCCATTATACCCTCAAGGAAAGTTTGATTTCTTTCATTGAAAACCATTATGTGTCCCATCTTGAATCCTTATGTAATTGTTGTTTCTAATGTTTTCACATGCTGGTCTTTTCTCACACTAGATTAGAAGCTTCTTAAGAGGAAGGGTCACTGCTAACTTTTTTGTATACCTCACAGTTCTTAGAATTGGACCAATGACAGGTATTCACTAGGCACCTAAATGGTTATTAAATGACTCTCAGTATTGTGTGTGTTGGCTAGTGATCCATATGTCCCAGAGACACAAAATAGGCCTGGTTTATACCAGTTGTCCTGGTGTGTTATTAACAGTGCCTTTTGCCTTCAGCATTATCATAGTTTCAACAATAAATTATATAGTCACCCTACTGATAGTGCTACCAATACATTTTTTAAAAGTCTAGCATCTTTAAGTGGTAACATTTCAATACAAATGTCATTTTGTTTTGGGGAGTAAGGAGTGTTAAGATATTTTTGCACACATTTGGCATGGAGTGATATGTCATTCCAGATGTCTCCTTATTAGGTGGGTGGCCTGTTGCTCAATTGACAGATGTCATTGTCTATTATAGAGTCACAGGTGGTTTATTTTAATAAAAATACCATTAAATTATCTCTATTTTTCTGTTGTGCTCTCTTTATATATAGAGAGAAATAGAACACATATGTACACATGTACTATATTACATATTATATATAACTTTATAGTATGTATGTACATATATGATACGTATCACTACATCATATGTCACTATATGTGATATACCTATATATCATATATAGTGATATATATATGAACATATTACATGTACATATGTACTATATGTTTTGTAAACCACTAACTATAGTTTTAGAAATGTCAGATGCTTTTTCATGTTTGGTTTAAAGATAACCCTTTTGAGTAAACAGTTAGGAATGTTCTCCAAACAGCAGAATTACAATTTTTCCACATTCTCAGAAGAAAATTTTCAACATTTTCAATTTATTTAAGCCTCTCATTCATGGAAAAAGAAGCATTACTACTCATTCATGAACATCTTAATTACATAGATAGTTAGTTTCATTCCTAATGAATGATCATGCTCTTTCATGGAGAGCAAAATCTAGATTGTCAAGCTCTTGGTTAAACACAATTTCAAAATTATGAGACACCAAAAGTAAGTTTGTAGTATTACACTTACTTCTTGAATTATGCAGTTTGGATTCTATAAAAAAGAATTCACTGGTTAATTTCCAAATCTCCACCTAATATTTGTTCCTCTCCCCAAAGTATATAACTTGACAGCAGAGAAGGAAATAGATACCGTTCTTTCTTGTGAGCCACACACTCTGCAAGGGCCATTCCTAGTTCTGCTATTTCCCAGGACAGAGTATCAGGAATCATGTGGGAATAGTTCATATGTGTGTGTGCCTGGGCTAATCTGTGTTTACTAGTGTAGTACAGAGGGGCACTGTTTATGTCTGAGAAAATAGTTATAAATCACACTTCTTCTGATCACAAATACTCATTTATCTTTAGACTATATCACCACCTGAGTTATTTTTATGTAAATATTGCACCTCTTAAATATAATGATGATAATAGAGGCTGTGAATCCTTAGATTTGCTCAAGTGTTCCCTTTTTCAATAACTGAAAATATTTAAATCCCAGAAGCTTTAGCATCCTAAGAGAAGTAGCAGACAGATGTGTCAATAGAGTGAGACCTACAGAAGTTGTGAGTAATGAATAAGTCAGAGTCATGGGCTTCTGTAAGGGAACTGCGGTGCATTTCCTAGGTTGGTATGTTCTGGCTATGCTGCGAACCGTAGCCCAGAAATGACTGACTCAGAGAGAGTCCTCAGCTGCTTTGCTCCTTTCAGCTCTGTCATCACATAGAAAGGTCTCTTTGGCAAAGTGTCGGAAACAACACAAGGTGGGCAAGCATCTGCAGATTTCCTCACTCAGTCAGAAGACCAGCTAGAGTCATCCAGCTTCTGGAAATCAGTAAAGAGACCAACTTTGGGTAGCGAGTCCCCAAGATCACAGAGAATCTATGTTGTGGTGGCATCACCATTCCTTATTTGTTGGCATCCTTGTCTGGAAACTGCCTCATTTGGCTATAATTTAACTTGAAGATTAAAGCACAGATTTTCATATGTATCTTCTGTTCTCTGAATGTAAAATTATGAAATACACCTACATTCACTTCTAAGTGGCAGTATTGTAATTGAGCAGATTTTTGTTTTTCACTGAAACCTGGAGTTGAATTGTCTTGAGCCGGAAGGCATTCAAGTTGCTGTTTTTTACTTAGCTATATTTCTCTATAAGCATCTAATTGTTTCAAAAAGTGAGGTAAAGTATGTGAAAACCTGAATCTAATGCAAATAAGTCTGTACAGCACTAAAGCTAACAGGTGTTCTCATTAATGTAAGCAGACATGGAACAATTCTTGAATGTTTTATAAACACTCATAATCATGGCCAAATATGTTACAATAGCATAAAGATACATACTGTAACATCTTTTATTCTTGTTGTACACTCTCAGTACTTATTAATAGGAGACTAGTGGCAACAATACCTACTTCTGCTTAAGTCACTGTATCATAAAGTTAGCTAATACTTCTAAATAAAATTAACAACGTAACTACTACCTCCTCCCACAGTTTGCTTATTTATTAATATTAACAGTGTTCTTGTAAAATTGCTACAATGCTGATGGACAGCAATGAGCATCTTTGCATCACTGAGTTTCTCTAAAGACTTGACCCATTAACCTAAGTATTAGCTCTTTAAAATTTTGAACTTATGTTCCAGTTCCCATACTGTCAACTCCCAATTACCAAAGCCTATATTTAGGGTGAGATTCTTAGATGATCTAGTATAGATGATCCCTGTAAAATACTTGGGTGGCTTTGGAATATAATCAAGAACGTTCTATTTTAGAGATATGCATTGAAATATGACTCTTGTGCTTCCCAGCCCTTCCAAGTTTAATCCTATTGTCTGATGTCTAGGACTTGCTGACTGCTGGGAAAATATAGCCTTCAGACTGCCATTATCAATCTTCAAAATAGTTTGCCTACTCTACTCTTATGAAGTGTTTTCAGTAGACGTCAGTATTACATTACTTATATTACCTGAAAGAATGCAATTGTATTGCAGCCTTCAAAATTTTATGACAATAGAGAATGAGTTAAATATATTATGGCATATCAAACAATGCAATATAATGCATTCACCAAAATGAATAAAGTAGATAAGGTTTGTCTATTGATTATTTTCTTAGTGTTCCTTATGTGTCTGTTGTTCAGCCATGCATGTAGACAATTGTCATTGGCCTCAGGATTATTATAGCATAGTGGGGGGAATGGAAAGACCAACAAGGCATTGCAACATAAACCAGTTTGTGCTAAGATAAAGGAGAAGCAGGATGTTATGAGCGCACTTGGGGGAATATCTATTTCAAAGAAGCCTTTACTGAAAAGGTGACATCTCAAATGATTTGAATGATATGACAGAGGATGTCAAAGGGGTCTAGGCAGCAGGAACAACCTGCTCTAAAGTATGGGACAGCTGGGGAACCAAAAAAATCAGTATGGCTGGATTGTGGAAATGCAGAGGAAAATGTGGAGCAGCGGAAGTGCAGAGTGGGTCAGTGCCAGAGCACACAGGGGCTGGCATGCCAAATTAAAGAGTTTGCACTGCACTGCAACAGCTGTGGGGAGCCTCAGAATGATATCAAGCAGAAGAATGGGATGATCATATCCAAGTTTCAGAGGGATCACTTTGGCTGCAATATATAGTATGGACTTGAAGGAAAAACATGGATGAGACAGTGAGGAAAGCAAAGGATATTATGACTAAATTCTCATGAGAGATGATGGTAGTATATATAGTAAAAGGCACAAAAATTTTCATAATAATATACATGATATTTTCATTAAACTGTAAACATACATAATGTTTCCTCGTGGGTCAAAAAGGTATGTAGAAAGAGACAACAAGTCAGTGTATCTTGAAGGAAGGGAGATTCTATGTTTGTTAATTTGAATTTATTAAAACTTTTAAAATTGAGCATTACCTACATAAGGACAGTAATAATAAAAATAATACCAATTTGAAAACAATGGGGGCAGCAGATTCCCAAGTGTCATGTGACTGTGACTAAATGAGTAATTGAACACAGTGAATATAGCTCAGGCAAGAAGGTGATCTGTGGTTGGCAGGGAGTGACTGGTGACAAATCCCAGGATGATTCATTTATCTACAGACAAGTACACCCCCCCAGTTTAAAAATTAAGAGCAATAAAAGTCTAAGTTGATATCTTTATACACCAACTGCTTTGATTAGTCTCTTTTTGAGTCGTTTTTCATATGAGCACCACAGGCAAAAGTTTTGGTGTGGCTGCTGCAAAACTGTGGAAATTGCTAAACTATCTACTAATTACTTGGATAGTATTCTTTCATGAATATTGAGAAGACTGTTTCTCAGTACTTAAAATATTTTAACACAATAAAAAGAATGAACATGAGGGTTTTTTTTTTTTTTTTGCTTGTTTGAAATAAATTTTGGGTTTAGATATTTGTTAATAAACAGAAAGTTAGAGTGGGCAAGTAATATGGGGTGTGAATGTTCACTACAGGGACAATTTTATTATGCAGAACAAATCTCTGTTGTACGAATGCATGGACAAAATTATTTGGGTGTCAAAGTACAGCTCAATTTCACTTAAAAAGCATTGTTTCTTGAAAGGTTGGCCTTAAACCTTAGATTTTGGAATGTACTGGAGGTCTGTCATGTACGTAACCCGACATTGTTTACTTTCCATTAAATAAGAAATTGCTTACATGGGCAGGTTATTTTGATATGATGACACCACTGAGGGTTCCAATAAATGTACATGCAAATCAATCAACCCCAAACACATTGAAAACATATCCAATAAGCGTCTGGAAACTAATGAACGCACATTTGTTAACATAGGGGGAGTTGTGGAAATGCTGAGATCCATTGGTGGCCTGGCTTATTTAGTAGCATGTGGATTTAGGAACATTTCACGGAGTCAGAAGAAACAGAGTAATTATAACATAAGGTTCAACATCTTTAGATATGTAGAACATTTTCCGTTGCTTAAAACAAATATTCCCTAAGAAAGTATAAAACATTTTTCTGACTTGCAAAGTTTTTGCAGTCTATCATTTAAATTACTTAAATAAAGGGAGCTTTACTGCTCCCCAAAGCTGAGAATATAACACCCTCCATGCATATTAGCTTGATCTTCTTGACAGACCAGAAAAGTGTTTGTGTGTGCCAATTAAAACAAAAATGGATCCCTAGTGGCTTGTTCCTCATACAACTTTTGAAGACTGCTATCATTGTTTGCTAGGGTAACCCTGGATAAGGCTGCTATCCAAAGTAAACAAACTTTTCAAAACTTTCATGACAGATGGGGATTACAAATGCATTTTAATAAGAGAGTTGCCAAAGTAACTTTTTTTTTTTTTTTTGTAATCAGCATATATTTACTTAACATCTAGCAACATTGGGAACACAAGGCAGATACTTTCTCACAAAATGCTTTAACAAGTAACATTTTTGGAAAGGCAAATTGAAGACCTTTTACATCTAACTGATATTTTACCCTTAGTTTTATTTTAACTTTGCTCAACATGTTAAGAGAAATGTTAGGAATTACTCAAACCAGACTGTAATTTGAGACAGACATTCAGCCTGATAGTGTAATTTCTTTGGTGGTCATAAACACCTTTGAGACCAAGTAATTTAGCTATTAGTATAACCATGACAACCTTCATTTGATCAGCTATATGTGGAGTGATGCAAGATGAAAAAAATGTGAATCTGTGTGGGTTTTGTAAGCATTATTACTTCGATTTTAGGTCTTGATATCTCCCTATCATGTGTATATTTTCTGCTGGGAGTACTGAATACAGATATGGACAAAATTACTATCACAAAAATAATTCATATTCACTTCAAATAAAGTTAGTGTATGTTGATATAACTTTTTATTTTTACTTAATTTAACTCAAATATAAAAATTATATCATGAAGTCCAAAGTCTCTCTAAACATAATAGCAATTAAATTCCATTCCTCTTATTTATGTCTCTCTAGAACCACTGTAGCCATATTATTTAACATGTTTTAGGGCTCTTTGGATATTTGGCATATTTTATTATGCATTTCCTGCATACTATTTCAGTTTCACTAAAATGGAATAATCCCTCCTTAGGTTCTAATCAAAATGCGAAAGGTATTTGTTCAAGTGTAGGATTGCTTTAGTCCTTTCTAGGATTTGAAGGAGTTGTAGATAACCCAATTCAGTCTTAGATATATTTTTTCATAGCAAGAGAGTGCTTGTTTTTGGAAAGAAAAATCAGAGCTAGGATTTTGCATGATCTTTTAAAATCGGGCTATCTTTAGCCTAACTGCAAGGAAAGAAGCAACTTTGTCTAAAGTTGCTATTCCAAATTTCATAACTGAAACCAAATTATCACGGCCCTTTTCCTGTTCAAACACACAGTCCTTGACTGTATACAACTGTTTGCTGAGAACTAGTGAACTAGAAATCAAGATCTTTGTAATCTCTTAATTCTATCATTTAAAATGATGCCAATTTGATAGAATGGCATTCTCATTTTCCTCATTTGCTTCATTTTCTTCATTTGCAAAATTACTTTATGATAGTGGAGGAAAGCTGCATTTGGAGAATGTTTATTATGTGCTTTGAGATCATTAAAGCTGATATCACTTTGCATACCAAGTGGTGGTATTCATATCCTTAATATACTGAAGTTCTGATACAATCAACGTTTAAAGAATAACGTATCATGACCACCAGTTTATGCATACTTTCATGATGTAAATGTGCCTGCAGTAACTACTCCTTCCTCTGAAATCTTGACATGAGCATTGTGTGTGCTGCTCACATTGGGACTCAGTATGAGCCATTTTCTATTGTTATTTATCTGTATATGCATATGTCCTATTTATCCAAACAGATTGTGAGTTCTTGAGGGTGGGGGCTGTGTATCCCTAGCTTCTAGCAATGTGCCTTGTACTTAATGGATGCTTAATCAGTCATTGTTAATGATTAGTAGGATGTTCTGTCATGAACGCATCCTCTCTATTCTTCTGTACATGAAATTATTTGTGGGATTTATTCTGCAATCAGAAGGGTGGGGCTCTCAAACAGGGTAGCACCATGTCACTCATTATCTCTTACATCTTTGGTAATCTCCCCATGTGCATCTGAAGTCAGTTGGAAGCTGGTAATATTTTACCATCAAATATGTTTTGCTGATGAGGTGTATCTATCTATAACATTGATCATTATTTCTGTTTGGTTATTATTTATAAAAGATTGGCAATAATGAAATTAAAATACCTACAATGTTTACTTTGTGTAGCTATGCATAATTTTGATTCTTTATCTTTATTTTTCCCAAATTCTACACAATGAAGTATTATTCTTAGAAAAAAGAAGTTCTAAAAAAGGTTTTGTTTATATTCTAGTAAACAAAAGTATGGAAATTTATAATGGTATAAATGCCATTCTACACATTAATTTCTCATTTAAATTAAAAAATCTAATAGCATAAAATCTTACTGCCAGAATGAATATTGATGAGAGTGTTACTTAATTGACAATATTTAAAAGAACAATACTTAAATCAACATAAACACTACTTCTTAAAACTCTTTTAAGATGTTTTAAATTAGCATAGTAAAGCTCCATTTAATTAAAATCTAAAACGCAAATTTCTTCGCTCTTCATCAGTGAAGTCTGGACTTGCATCTACCTGCCTCCATATTAAGAGGAACCGTACCAAGGACACAGACTATTCTAAGCCCACGTGAAAACTATTGTTGAATTAATTCCCAAAAGCCTTAAGGAATGTGCCCACTCTGCATGTTGCTCAGTGGACACGCTTCTATAATTTCCTGGGCATAAATTTCTTACCAGCAAGAATTCAGATGGACCCTTATTTAGTATGAAAAAGTTCAAGACAAATTTCCCCAGATGGATACTTAAAGATATGCATTATTGACACTGCACACTTCATTAAGGTTACTTTGGTGCCCTGATATATTCCTTCAAAATACGACCTGGTGTGGTAATGAGGGATTTCAAGAAACATTTGCCTAAATTAGGTTTCTAAGCAAGATGGAGACCAGCAGCTCTTATCTAAACCTGTTATGTTGTCTATAAGTTCTTCCTTCATCCCCTTACCCCAGCATCTGTCACGGAGGCAAAACATATAGAAAGAGTACATTAGCACGGCTTAATATCAAAGCCTTTATGTCTGTTATACATCATTTTAGATTGTCATCATAAGTTGTTCAATCAAAAGATTTAGTCAGAGCTAACATTCTTTACTGATGTCTTTTTTCCCCAAGAGTGTTGGAAATTCGATTGTTCAAAGTGCAAATATGATTCAGCAAACCATTTATCAGAAATCCTAAAGAGGTAAAATAAAAAAGCGGGTTGAGGAACCTGAATTAAATGGGCTTTACCAGTCAAAGATTTTGAAACTACTTTCCTGTGAGTGACTGGAATAGAGCAGAACAAAGTCAATTACTGACTGTAATTAAGAAGTGGATGCATTTAAACTGTAGAGAGCAGTAGCAGACTTCTCCAGACTGCCTGGTAACTCGAAAGATTAGTGGGAAGACAGAGGAAAGGATGTGAACTGCATCTCTCTGATAGTATGTTTTGAATGAATTGCATTCATATAGCTCTCTGATCTAGCTTCTCAAAATGAATTCGTAAATCACTGATTATGTATGATTAATGCAGTAATATATTTGGACAAAGGAACTTTTAAAATACATTTTGCTTTTGGTTGTGTTAGCAATATAAGATCCCCTTTGCATTGCATAGCATGCACCAAAAATGCAAACGCACTGCTAAAGTACTTATATTTTATCACTGTTTGAATTTACTAGACTGCAAGCTGAACTATGTTGGCTCTTTCGTAAACCCTCATAATATAGCAAATCTAATTATGTTTGTTTCTCGTACTTCTTAAATGTTTCTTTTTATAATTTTAATAATGGTTTATTTATACTGGCAGAGAAACATTACATTGTACATTGTGCTTTGGCTAATTCATTTGTCTTTGTGTATGTTAACAAATTATGATGTTAGAAATACATTCATAATCAAAATATTTCACTACAGATTAGGATGAAGGTAGAGGTCTAGGACATTACTAGTTTTCTTGTGTTAGAAATGACCTTATATTTTTAGATTACTATTTCTTAGGCAACACTCTATAAAGTAAATATTTGGAACTTTATCTGAGTAGAGAACATTGCAATGGTGTTCAGATAATTAGGCAAACATCACCTGAGCTGTCTTTTACTGGATACATAAAATAGGAGGCTGTTTTGAGCCATCCTAAATCTTATATGCAGTTTCATTTTAAAAAGAGAGAGAAAGACTGATTGGCCTCAGTAATCTGTCAAATTCTAGTGTGGGCAATTAAATCTTTTTATTTTTAAATCTTTCACTTCTTATAATTGTATACACTTTAGACAGTTCTTCTCACAGTTATAGAGACAACATTTGATATTGGAACCCATCTCAATCAAGAATGGTTACTTTGCAGTACTGATTAATATTGAATCTCTATAGAGTTTTTCTAAAAACAAATGACAAATGAATATATATGCACATATGTAACAGATTTCTTTCAAAACCCCAAAATCATTGTCATTAAATGTTGCCATGAGAATCCTTGAAACCTTCAGAATGAGCCATTTGGGGTAGTAATTGTCACTTTAATGATAGAATTATAGAGATGGCCTAAAGCGTGATTTGTGATTTTCTGAACCTGTGCCACATTTCAGCGTTCACCTCCTGTTTAGAGCAAGGAAGGCTGAGAAGAGGTGACTGGCTCCTGATTGAGTATTTTGAAATGTCAGTCCTCTAAACCCCTGAACTCTGTGTGACAGTAGTTGGGAAATGTTCATCTTCCAGTTGCAAGGAAAAGTCAATAATACAAAGGGAAAATCTTCACAGTTCAGATTGATGGCCAAATACAAAAAGCATGTCCACACCCACTCTAATCAATTTTTTCTCTAAGTTGCCCGTTATGTGTGAAACTAAGAGTATTGCTCTGTTTCTGTAGGGTCGTATCCTTTTCTCACAAGTCTGGGGAGAAAAAGATTCACTGTAATGAAAAATGGACAGTTACACGCTAAATATTGCCAACTACTTAGCAGTCTGAGAGTCAGGAACCTGAATGTTCATTTGATAAATACTCTCCCAGAGAGGTTCAAATATGTAAATGAACTTTTATTTTAATATACTCCTTTTGTGGGGAAATTGGTTTTTTTATTACTTTCCTATAGATCTCTGATAAGAAAGTAGAAATAGTCAAATGTTATTCATTTCAATGAACTTTTGGAAGTCTGCAATTAGTGTTTTTGGTAAATAAACTGTTTTAGAGCTCTCCATAAAAGGAAATCAAATATAGAGATACTATTAGATTTGAAAAAGACAGACAGGAAAGAGGCAAACGTGCAGAATGAATTCTGACACACCCGGGTGCATTTTTCTGCGGGTTCTGACTTAAGTGTGTACTGTCTGCAGTTCTCTGAACTTCCTGGCTTGTTTCTCCTTAAGTTGGAGTAATTCAGCTCTAGCCCTACTCTGACTTAATCGTTCTATTATTAAAACAATAATGTATTTGTTATGACGTGAAAAACAGTTTATAGAGAGCGGTTCAAAATGCTCCCAGTTCCCAGAAAGACAATTACTGGAATACAAGAAAATATTTCATTTTATTAAACTGTGTTTTTTAAAAAAGGATTTTTACATGTAAGAGATCTATCTTACATAGTTTCTTTACCTGTCTATTTCTTTTTCTTTTTTTTTTTTTTGCAGATCACAACAGTATCAGGAAATGAGTTCCTTCTACAGTCAGATATTGACTTCATCATATTGGATTGGTTCCACGCTATCAAAAATGCAATTGACAGATTGGTATGTATTTGTTTTGGCTGTTACCTTTATTAATTAAAATGTAGTCATTTAAATCTTATTGCTCAGGCATATAACACACACACTCATTTAAATAGATCCTATGGACTGAGAGGGATTAAGTTCTTTTAGTTTAAATAGAATCTACTAAAAACCTTTTCAGCAGACAGGATTTGTAGAACTGTCGTTTAATTTCTCTCTTTCAAAAATATAGTGCATTCTTTCTTTTTTTCTGAAATAACATAGACATTCATTTACTGGAGGCTGTAAAAAGCACACAAGCACTTAATAACTACTGATTTTTTTTTCATTTTCAGTTTATGCAGTCCATACTACATACTCCTGTAAATAAATAACATATTTAAGACTCACTGTTATAATACCAATAAATAAATAATAACCCTTTGTACTGATTTTTATTATTCTTCCAGCTAAGCTAGATTGTTCTTCTTATGAAAATTACATATCTAGAACTTCATGAAATTATCCTAAAACATACATTCAGAGTATGTTTTCTAAGAATGAACTTATTTAAAACCACTCATTCCATGCTGAGTCTCTAGAACAAACATTTAATTTTATGACACTAATATTTGCAAAATTTTGGGAAGAAATATTCTTAATACGGAATACAACACAATAGTAAAAGATTTTCTGTGTGATTTTCTTGATACTTAATTGCAAGCTTTCATTATACCATTTTGGGATTAACACTTTAAAAAGTAAAATAACAAATTTACTTTTTCCTGTTATTAGTATATTCCCCTTAAAGGGGTGTGTGTGTGAATGTGTGTGAGTGCACATACATACATACACACAGTTTGTTGCCATTGAGGATGGACTCTGGAACCAGACTGCTAGAGTTTGAATTCTAGTTCTATCATTTGTTACCTGTGTGGCCTTAGGCAAATTACTTGCCTATTTTGGCCTCATTTTCTTAATGAGGAAAATAAGGATAATAATAATACCACCTACTCTATAGAATTGTTGTAATGATTAATTGAACTAATGCATGAATAGTGCTTAGCATTTAGTAAGTACCATCATATACATATATAAACTATTATTAGAGTATTGAGCTTAGCATAGAGGACCTATCCTCAAATAATTACCTTACTTCAAATTTCCCCATAAACAGCAAAATTGAACACAAAATTCTATGGTGAATCCTTTCTTTCTAGTAAAATTATTCAGTCTAATTATTTGCTGTTTCCAGCCAAAGGATTCAAGTTGTCCATCAAGAAACCTGGAATTATTCAAAATCCAAAGATCCTCTAGCACTGAATTGCTAAGTCACTACGACAGTGATATAAAAGAACAGAAACCAGAGCACAGAAAATCTTTAAGTGAGTATTTTCTTTGACTTGCTCATTTTAAGTTTGTCTAAATGCAGTGCTTATGAAATATAAATGCATTGAAATGAGATTTAAGCCAAACTCATCATACTCATGGAAGATTCGTAGCCATTTCCTGGCCAGGGATTTGTGCACTGGAGGGCAGTCTGGGCACTTTGCTCACATCATTGTTGGTAATGCCTTTTGAGAAAATAATTGTTCCAAGGTCATGGTCTCTGCTTACAGCAAACCTCTGAATCTCTGAGTAATAGCCATGGTGTTCAGATCAGTGATTGATTTTGAGAGTGGGAAATGTCAAGCATCTCCAACCCTGGTATCCTGACTATTTTATTTGCATACATTAAAGGGTATGAGTGACCACCAGTGTGGTCTAACTTAAGTCAACAGGCTATGCCACTTTCCACACCTTCAGACCACCAGAAACACTTAGAAACGTGCTTTCCAGAGAGGCTGATAGAAAATATGGGATGTGAATTAGATGTTCTCCAAGGTCACACCTAGTTCTAATATTCTAAGAATTAAATTTAGAGTAAAAAGAATGGTCTCACTACTTACACAGTGATCTTGAGTATCTTTCTTAACCATTCCCCAGACTGCTTCTTCCTCAATGAAAAGGGGTTATTAAAATATGCAACACATATCTCACTGAGTTGGTTTGAGTCTCAACCTCCTGAAAGAAAAGGTAGACATCTGGCTGGGCGAGGTAGCTCACGCCTGTAATCCCAGCACTTTGGGAGGCTGAGGTGGGTGGATCACGAGGTCAGGAGCTCGAGATCATCCTGGTCAACATGGCCAAACTCCATCTCTACTAAAACTACAAAAATAAGCTGGGCATGGTGGCACGTGCCTGTAATCCCAGCTACTCAGGAGGTTGAGGCAGGAGAATTGCTTGAACCAGAGAGTCAGAGGTTGCAGTGAGCTGAAATCATACCACAGCATTCCAGCCTGGTTGGCAACAAAGCAAGACTCTGTCTCAGAAAAGGTAGACATCTTTGGAACCAGAGAAAACCTATTTCCCAAAGTCTTAAAAATTATAGTATTTTGGGGGAGTCTTCTACCTGGCTGACCCCAATCTTGCAAATCATCATTTTTTTCCTGCTATTTCCCTCTGACAAAATATCAGTATACTGACATCCTAAACTTTAGAATTTAAAGAGAACTCAGTAAGTTGAGAAGAGCTGCTAATGGAATATATGTGTACATATATACATATATACATACACATACACACGTATGTATGTATGCTAGATGATTATTTGTACGTGTACATATATGTGTGCATTAAGAAATATATGTATATACACATACATGCACACAAAGACTCATACACATATGATAGGGAAGAGAGAAGCTATTTATATGTGATAACATATTTGCCAAAGTTGAATTACTGAAGTCTACAAATCTAGAAATTGCATGAGAATTTAAGAGTAGAAGCACCCTTTTGAAATTAAGTCTTTATGCAAAATCCCATGCCATAATTTTCAACAACTGCTAGACACATTTACTTAGCCAGTTGTGCTAAGTTGGAGTTTAAGATTATCAGTGTTAATGTCTAGAAAATGCATGGTTTATTTGTGGAGAGTTAATGCCATTTCAAAAGACTTTTCCATAATGGTACAGTTTAGAGGTATTTCATTTAAAGAATGTTTTCCTTTCATGCCTGATCATTGTCTTCTTTTACTTCATATGGTTTGAGACATAAGGTAAGATTTCAGAATTGGGATTCAGTTGGGAGTATATATTTAGTGTTAATCATATAGACATTCTGTAGTACATATAAAAGAATATGTGATGCAATGACTAGTAGGTCTGGAATCTTAGATATAATTGCTGGTTCAGAGACCTTAAGATGTTTCTAAAACCTGAGCTATGGAGAAAATAAAGGTTTGCAAAAATGTATTTGAGAAACATTGAGGATAATGAATTCTCTATTAAGTAACAGTCACTTTAAAAGTATTAAGATGCTGCTGAAAAAAAAATCTTAGATAGAACACTCACTACTTCTCTTTAGAATCTATTTTTAATTGGAAAAGACAATTATTTTTCTACTTTGAGCTTAAACTCAATCCTACTTAAAAACAAGGGAGGCCAGGAGTAGTGGCTCATGCCTGTAATCCCAGCACTTTGGGAGGCCAAGGCGGGTGGATCACCTGAGGTCAGGAGTTCAAGACCATCCTGGCCAACATGGTGAAACCCTGTCTCTACTAAAAATACAAAAATTAGCCGGGCATGGTGGCGAGCACCTGTAATCCCAGCTACTCGGGAGGCTGAGGCACAAGAATTGCTTCAACCCGGGAGGCGGAAGTTGCAGTGAGCTAAGATTTCACCACTGCACTCCAGCCTGGGCGACAGAGCAAGACTCTGTCTCAAAAAAAAAAAAAAAAAAAAAAAAAAGGGAAGAGATACATGATTTATTCTATTCATTTCAAAATCTAACTAATTGTACAGTGACTTCATACTCACCTTTTACTTTGAAGTTAAAAAAAAACTAGAAAATATGAAACATTTACTGTGCACCAGGCACTGTTCCAAGTGCTTGTCTTATAGCAATACATTTAATCCTCTCACCAATCCTATGAGGTAGATACTATTAGTTACCTTATTTTATAGAGGAGAAAACTGAGGCATGAAGAACTAAGGTAATTTGTACAAAGACAAGTTATGGAGACATGTTTCAAACCCAAGCAGTCTTATTTTAGAGCCTGTACTTTTAATCATTACATTATAACAAAGTGAACAAGTAAAAGGTAAACTTAGTTTATATCGAACTTAGACTTGGATAGAAATATTATGTTAAAAATAAGATTCATAGAAATCAGTAAACTTGAATCAGGACCCAAAAACTTATTGGCAAAAATAATTAAAACTGGGTGTTTTCTTTCAATTTTGATTTCACTATTAAAATAATAATTTAATCTTTAACACTAGCTCTAATTTTAGAAAATGATTCTTTTCTGTATCTTGGTGAGTATGTATAGTTGTAAGCCTTTTTTTTTAGGGCCAGTATGTTTTTTGCAATGTAGGACACAGTTAATATCCATCTATTACTTTGAATTAAGTTCATTCAATATGTATGTATTCATTTTCATTTGAAAGGCATAATGATTGACCCACCCACACAATATCAAATTAGACCATGCATTTGAAATAGTGATTGACATGTTTTATATTTGATGCTTTGTAAAATATATTTTTTCAAGTAGGAAATACCCTGTGTGAAACCCCTCTGATCTCAGTCCTAGATTTGAACACCCAAACTTAGGTTTCTTAAAACTTGCATTCGCTTTTATGTCACCCTTTGGAGATTAAATAATTATATAGAATCAGAGACTCAACAGTATCCTCTTCCTTATTAGTAGTCTAAGCACAAACTTTATTGTCGGTTTTCTGCCTTTGGCTTCCTGTGCCCTTGATGTTCCCATGAGTTTTGCCGCCAAGATTGTAGACAGATAAAGCCAGAATTACTTTTTTAAAAGGCATGTGAACATCATTAGCAGCTAACAGGTGGTGATTTCGTTGTCCAGTTTGTCTATATAACATGGGAAAAATATGTTCTCTCAATGAGTGAATTCAGAAAGTTATGTTTACATATACTTTTCTTTTAAAAAATATGATTCTAACCTGCCAACACTATTAAGAACGAATCAGATATTTTAAGATATCAGTTGAGTCTAACAGACAAGAAGCCAGAAAATTTAATGCAAGGGCCAAATCACTGTGGGAAACTCAGGACACCAGCCTGGGATGAGAGTAGGAGAGCAGCTCTCCAGGGAGGGCTGTTATGGAAAGTGGAGAGTCAATCAAAGAAGATGTGAACATATTTCTCTGAGGAAAGAGAATTGTCTTCCACTGACAGCAAAGAGGGGGAAGGCCCAAATATAATAAATCTTGCATCAGATAACCTTGGCGAGGTTTCTTAACTTTTCTGAGCTTTACTTTCCACATCTATAAAAATGGGTCTAATACTGTCCTTAAAGGATCGTGTGAGAATTTGAAATTAGACATGTAAATACTTAGCTCATAGCAGGCACTCAGTAAGTAGGAGCTCTTATTATTATCCTCCATGTCCCCAAGCAGATAGCACTGAGACAGGGCTTGAGCCTGGTGGTGGTTGATGAAAGACTGGAGCAGGGCATATAAGCTTGCCATCCTACTCCCTGAGTGTATGAAAGGTAGAAAAAGGGTACCAGAATTGGATATGGGAGTCATAGCTGCAAAAAATCTAAGTACGAGCAGCTGGTCTTTCCCCTGGCAACTCCCATGTAAAAGGGGCAGGTAGGGCATTCTTGGGAGCAGCACACCAGGAAACAGTAGAAAGGAGCCAAGAAACACTCTTGATTCTCCTAAACCCAGAAAAGCATGCCATTCAGAAATTCAAGTTGATGGGAAGGATTCAGCATTAGCCATCTCACTATTCCTTTACACAAAGTTCTAGTTTATTCATTCATACACACATTAATTCTTTTTTATGAAGAAATACAACTAAAGGTATACAACTAAAATTCTTGATTTCACTCATCTGTGCTTTCAATTTTTAAAAAATAACTTTTGTATGTAGGTTATGCTTTAGTAGTAATATATCTCATACCTATCAATTGCTAAACTGTAAAATCCATGAGTGTGGAGACCTTGGATAACTTGAAAATAAAACTGACACTTTAGTATTGGAAATAAGCACCCTGAAATGAACATGAGTTAGAAGACTAAAGTCAAAAGGTAAGAGAGCTAAAAGGAAATGGGTTTTCCTTTAGCTGTCTCTTGATTAAGTTATCATAAAAAACAAATGTGTTCTGGGTGAAATCCTAAATGCATATGTGGATTTCCCAAATCTACGTTCTCTTAATGACATGTGCAATAAGGGTATATGTAATATGTTTCTAATAATTAGGGTATATGTATTTAAATGTGCATTTCCCAGTTCCATATCCCCTTAATGATGTGTGCAATAAGACAACAGAAAGAAAAAACTTGAATTGAGAGAGTTACACAATAAAAATTAAAATGCTACGGACTTTTAACTTGTCTTTGTTTAAAAAATTTGCCTGCAAAGTATCATGACCATGCCAAGTGATGAAAACAAGTTTGATAGAGAAAACATTAATTTTTTGTACTAATCTAAATAATTATAATACTGGTCTTCTACAACTATAAGTAGGCTATGTTCTCAAAATCCAATTGTAAATTGGTTGCTTAGACCTGGTATGTTTTCACAAGGAAACCATGTACCAAGCCACAAAAGCACACTTGAACTTTCTGCAGTCACTTACAATGTTGTTTCTAGGGAACAACTCATTCTGAATTTGCTGCACCTCTGGCCCTGAGAGCTAAGACTTCCCAGTAGCATTGCTTTCGATCTAGTTTCCGGTCTAGATCCCCACTTCTGTACCGTCTCCACCAAAGCGATTAGGAGACTCAGAATGGCTTTTGCTTTTGCTAGGATTCTGGTGAGCCCTGAAAGTCCCCAGTAGTGGCAGGGAGGGAATTTAAAGCCTCCGAGCCGGAAGAAATAATAGAAAAAGGAGAGAATTGAGGACTGGGTAGGCAGCTTTTGTAGCATTAATGGGAAGTGAGTCCTTAGCAAGACAGATGTTCTTTGTAAAAAGTATGTGTAATGACAGATTAAGTCTGGAATTGTCCCAAATATAAACATTTGATGAATCTAGGTGGTGCATAGGCAAGTGATCATGATCCTATTGTTTCATTTTTTTTTGTATGTTTGAAAAGTTCTCCAGTTAAAAATTGAAGTAAACGCACATACCCACACAAAAGTAGGTATGTCCATGTGCCTAATTCAATAAAAGAATATACATATTTTCTGATTATGACCTGAACCTTTCAAAGAAAGATCAAATTTTCTGAATATAAGTTACATTAAGACCTCTTTACATGAAACATTGATAACTCATTGTTTTCCTATTTTCCTCCAAAACCAATATATTTTTTTCCTGTGACCATTGAGACCTTTCTGGGAACTATGTAATTAAGAAAACTTTTAAGATATTTATTATTATCCAAAATTAAAAAGTCACACGAGTTTCTTGGATAAATATGTAATTATCAATTGTTAAAACACATACTGTGAAGCCTGTTCTGGAGGCTCATATAAATACATATTTTAAAGTTTTTTCTTATTAAGAATTTTGTGTAAAACAGTCTAATCCTGCCAATGTATGAAAATAATAAGATGAACAAACCATCTGCCAAGGAAATGAAAACAGTATTAAAATTGCACAGATAAACCATATCTAGTTCTGAAGAAATGGAAGAGCTCTTTCCTGGAAAAACAAAAAAGTCGTGACATTTTTGTAGAATATCATGGGTTATTATATTATCAAGAGGACAAAGTTTTCTGATTTGGGTGAGAGGGTCACTCACCCTTTTTTTTTTTTCCCCAAAATAACTAGCGCCACTCTGGTACCAGTTTTATTCAAAACCCTCTTGAGAAAAATAAACTATTGAGCTAAAATGTGGAAACAAATCACTTCATATTACTATACTTATAAGACAGACAATATCTAAAGAATAGTTGAGTGTCACTTGTCTTTTCAGTTGTTTTTCACAGGTTGAGAGTTACTTATTTCAAAATAGTTGGTAAAGAAAAAAATTGAAAAATTATAAATGACATTTATGTTGTTAAAGCTGCAAGATGTAAACATCATGAGAGGAAAAGAGTAAAAATTAGACACATTTGATAGTCAAGCATCCACATTAATTTATCAGAATAGTATTATGCATGAAGGTCCCAGGCTTCACTATGGCCCTGTGTGACTCTAGCCATTGTTCTGACATATGTTCCCAAGCAGCAGTACCTACTTTTTCTGGGACCCGTAGATTGCACTTTCTTCAAAACATTCAGTTTTCAATGAATCATTTGATAAGAGGACTTCATTATGAGCTGAGCAAAGAATGTCCTGATTAATCTCTTCTTTCCCATCTAAGGGGCTGATCTCGCCCTCTGACCTGTGGATGTCCATTGTCGTGTATCTCATAGCATCAGCTACTCTGAAAGTCCACCTAACCCTCTCAGTGCTCAAGCACTAGATCACCCTATCTTCCTTCTGACCCTGGCAATAACACCATGAGCATATTTCCCCTTAGATGAACTGCATTTAATCAATTTCTGATTTCATTAGGTCAAATGGCATCTTGCTTTCAATAATAGGGCAAATCCAGAGGGCTCTTTGCTCTAACTCTCAAGCAATATTTTATTGGCATTAATACACTACTGTGATTGTAAACAAAAGAAAAAAAAAGATCTTTGGTATCCTCAGAAAGTGTCCTTTTGTTTATTCCATGACTTTAAAATGGGCGTATATTAATGTTTTCTTATAAAGTTAGGCATATAATCATCATTCATTGTTGTCACAGCAGATTTAAAGAATCTTTGCTAAAGCTGACATTTAAGCATTTAAGGTGTTTGTACAGTGAATCCATGTGCAGAGCAAAACATTATTTTGAATGCAAATGATCACCTCTTTCTGTATACAGGATTTATTTGGTCAATTCCTTTTTGTTTCTGAAGTATGGTAACTTACGCTACTTTCCTTCAAAATTCTAAAGAAGTAATTTGCTTTTTGATGGATTTATTTGGATGTCCCAAATAGGCCTAATAACATGCTTGGGGGAAAAAAAAAATCCGTTGTTAACACATGGAATCTTTGAGATTTTCTTGTAAAATAAGTTTCTTATTACTCATAGTATAGCCCTCACTAAACAAAATCAGATATTGCTTTCACCCAAAAGTATTAGATGAACCCAGAAATACCAGATGTTTTCATCAAACTTTAATAAAGTGAGATCTGTAACATTAGGATTCCTAGCTTTCTTCAAGAAATGGCTCATGGATGACTTGAGAAACCTAAAGCAATCTGCCAATACATCTTTCTTTGGTTATTTAAGTAGTACCTGAAATCAGTTGTTCCTGCTACCCAATTTTCCTAATGTAAATAAATATACCCTATTTGTATACAAAATTAATTGGCCTAAAAAGGTAGAGGACTAGATAGGAAATGCCATAACCAAGTAGAAAATATAGGACTGGGATTTTGCTGTCAGATAAGGTCTTCTCCAAAATTGAAGTCAAAGATTAAGAACAATTATTTTTTTTTTTTTTTTTTTTTTTTTGAGAAGGAGTCTCACTCTGTCACACAGGCTTGAGTGCAATGGCGTGGTCTTGGCTCACTACAACCTCCGCCTCCCAAGTTCAAGTGATTCTCCTGCCTCAGCCTCCCTAGTAGCTGGGACTACAGGCTCGGGCAACACCACGCCTGGCTAATTTTTGTATTTTTAGTAGAGATGCGATTTCACTCTGTTGGCCAGGCAGGTATCGACCTCCTGACCTCACGATCTGCCCACCTTGGCCTCCCAAAGTGCTAGGATTACAGGCGTGAGCCGCTGCACCCAGCCAGATTAAGAACAATTTCTAATGACTGCATTGGAATTATTGCTCTTGGAATTAGAGTCCAAGTTTCTGTATAGAAAGCTCATTATGATCTGTGCCCCTTCTCCAGTTTTTTTTCATCACTCCCTGACCCATAATTTATGTTCCAGGTAAATAGTCCCTATAATACCTGATGCACACTGCTACATGCTGACTTTTACCTTGAAATCAGGGTTATCTCTTTACAAAGTTAACATCCTTTAGGACTCAGCCCAGATCATACTTCCCAATATTCCCATCATCCATTCTAACACCCTATTTTATTTGAAAGAGTTACTGTGATTCATAGTTATTCTTGCAGCTCTTCTGTGGGCTCTGACTTGGAATTTTCAAGTTTCTATTGGAGGCAATAAAAGAAAAAGAAACTCTGTAATATATAACAAATAATTACAGTAATTTTGATTATTTTTATAAGACTGAGAATACTTTTCTCTAGTGTCAGCTTATTTGTAAAAATCCAGTTTAACACAAAAGTTATCAAAGTGTTAGCCCTCAGAACCCTGTTCAAAAGGTTGTATGAGATTGTGTAAGAAATTTGAGTCTGAGAGTCAGAAAATTTGAGTACAGTTCTTAACTCCAAGATATACAGCCATATGACTTTGACAAGTTTCTTAAGTTTCTTGAAATTGAGTTTCCAGATAAATATAATATATATTTTATATAATTATAAAATATTATAAATGTAAATGTTGATTATCTAAAAAGATTATATATGTATTTGATCTAGAGAAAATGTATATAGTGGATCTAAAATATATCAAATAACTTTGTAGATTATATATTATGTTATAAAATGATTTCCATCTGGGTAAATTCTGAGTAAAATAATCATGACTTTTGTTTGTTTACTATAAATCTACCAATTTAGAAATATAGCAAGAATGTACTTTTGCAACTGTTGAAACAGTTGCCAAAATGCAGCATAAACAAATGCGTAATTTTTTGAAGGCTTAATTTCTTAATATCTTCATTATTTTATTGACTCTGGTTAACATATATCCTTTTACCTTTTGTTTTCTTAAGGGATCCTAAGTGTCATGGGGAATAAATGCTTGGTTTTGTCATTCCTGAGTGTGAGCCTGACACGATGGCAATCTCTAGAGATTAAAGTTTGTCAAGTGTCTGTTGCCATTTCCATTCTTTTTTTTTTTTATTTAAGTTTTAGGGTACATGTGCACAATGTGCAGGTTAGTTACATATGTATACATGTGCCATGCTGGTGCGCTGCACCCCTTAACTCGTCATCTAGCATTAGGTATATCTCCCAATGCTATCCCTCCCCCCTCCCCCCACCCCACAACAGTCCCCAGACTGTGATGTTCCCCTTCCTGTGTCCATGTGTTCTCATTGTTCAGTTCCCACCTATGAGTGAGAATATGCAGTGTTTGGGTTTTTGTTCTTGCAATAGTTTGCTGAGAATGATGATTTCCAATTTCATCCATGTCCCTACAAAGGACATGAACTCCTCATTTTTATGGCTGCATAGTATTCCATGGTGTATATGTGCCACATTTTCTTAATCCAGTCTATCATTGTTGGACATTTGGGTTGGTTCCAAGTCTTTGCTATTGTGAATAGTCCCGCAATAAACATACGTGTGCATGTGTCTTTATAGCAGCATGATTTATAGTCCTTTGGGTATATACCCAGTAATGGGCTGGGTAAAATGGTATTTCTAGTTCTAGGGCCATTTCCATTCTTATAGAAAATAGTAAAATAATACAAGGGTAGAATTTTGACAGAGAGTTATGTAAATTCACTTAAAAGCAAGGAAAGATTTTATTTAATTTTAATGTTTAAATAATACATATTAGAATCAACTCAGTGTCATGAAGCATCTGGTGATAAAAAGATGGGTTTTGTTGACTAAAGTAAACATATTATACAAATCACATGGATATTGAGCCACTTATAAGGAGTAAACTGAAAACCACTGAAAGTCTGGTCTCACCAAACTATAGTGTATTGATCAGCTGGCAAGGGATGCCCACCATGTTCACTGTATCAAAAGGATTGTGATATCTGAGTTCTGGGGAGTAATCCTAGCTGACCTAGCTTCAGTCATTAGCTTAAACCAGGACCACTCTATTCCATTAGACTGCAAGTGCCTGGAGGTATAAGCCAAGACCTTCTGCTAATTACCCCTCCCTATCCCCATCACTCAGAACAGAGTCTGAAACCTAGTGGTGTTCAGAATTATTAGCTTGGCTCAAAAGTAATTGCAGTTTTGCCATTTTTTAAACCTCGTTTACTTTTGCACTGACGAATAAATGTCTGAGTGAGTGAGGAAACAAGTGACCGAGAGCATGAGAGGGGAACCCTGAAGAAACCCTTACAGATTTTATGCATGAGGAATGAAGGGAAAGGCTGAACTGTGAGGCACTGTCCTGTTGATGGGTGTTTTGGTTTGGGTTCCTCCAGAAGCAGTCCCTGAGACAAAGATTTGATCACAGGTAATATATTTGGAAGTGATCCCTGGACACACATAGGTAGGGGCTGGCAGAAGAGAGCCAGGGAAGAGAACATACCTATGAAGGAGAATAAAAGGTTTATGGAGTTTAATGCTGCTGTGGAACTCTAGCAGTTTTTCAGATGGAGAAACAAGGAATGACAGAGAAGAGCATGGATAGACTTTTGTACAGGAAGGAAAGAACCATAGAGCATAAAATAGTTGAAGAGCACAATAGATTGGTGAGGCTGGAATGTGCAAAACATTGGGGCAACAACTGGAGATCAGGTTGGAAATGAAGAGTGAACCATTGGCAAAGGGTCTCTCACGGAATGCTAAAAAATTAGGACTTTTCACTATAAATAATGGGAGCCTAGTGAAAGACTTCAATGCAGGCAAGAGACATGAACAGATTTGATTTTTAGAGTAATAATTTTGGGGAAAATGTGGAGAATGGCAGAGATAGGTAGCACAGAGTGAGAGATCAGAGGTAAGAAGATGAATTCAGAGATCAGAGGTAAGGAGATGAATTCAGAGACTATTAGAATAGACCATGTACCATATGCTGCAGGTCCAAACTAGGCAGTAGGAATAGGTGAAGAAGAAAGATTCCAGAGATATCTGACTTGATATTGATAGGTTTTCTTGACATATATTGTAAGTCTTGGCAGCTCCCAAATACCCATTGCCTCTGTGGTTTGGAAAACAACCATCAGGATGCCAAGGAGCTAAGCAGAATCTCATTCTTTCAGGAGCCTACTAGATTCTTGTTACTCTAGATATAATCCATGGACCAACAATGACAATATCACCTAGGAGCTTGTTAGTAAATATGGCCTCTCCAGCCCAACCCCAAACCAACTGAACTGAATCTGCATTTTAACAGGTGATTCCCATGCACATTAAAATTTGAAAAAAACATTACCATATGACATAAATAACTTCTTTAAAGAGGTTTTTGAAAGTCCAGAGCCAAAGGGTGGCCTTTGGGACTTGGACAAAAGACCTACTCATATAAAAGAGCTATCTTGTCGGCCTTTGTGTAAAATAACCCTGCATATGGTTATTATATTGGTCATGCTATGACAATGCATGATTTTGAATGGTGGCTATTTAATCTCATCAATCCCTTCCAACCCATGATTACGGACTAAATGAGAAAGAACCAAGACTTACACTGCCTTGTAACTTTTGCCTGTGCCACACCTAAGTCAGAAATTCTGAACTCCCACATCAAAAAGTCAACAGTCCCAGCCAAAGAACAGCAACAATATCAAAAAATGATTCTGAGCCTAAACTACCCTCACCAAAACAGACAAACAAGAAACCAAAGCTCCAAGCAATTCCCTGGAAATTATCCATTAATTCCCTGGATAGCTCAATGTGCAAAATCCATTTGAAATTCTACTTATCCCTTATCTTCCATTTGACTCTTCTTTTCGGAACACATAATCTCACATGTAGCCTCTTTTTGTTATTTCCCTTCTCAAGCAAGAATAATAGTATTTGATTGCTTAAATTTCTTTATTTTTATGTTGTTCTTGAGTACTTGAATTCATTTCCCATTGGCCTTTCAGGTTAGATGTTAAAATTCTGGATGAGCAGCAACGTAGCTGTTTTACTCGTAGACTAAGTTTATTTGCTGCACCTGCCAAAAGAATCAAGGCCCACCAGGCTGCACTTCAGTCAAGCTGTTTTGAAAAATTGCAAAGAAAACAAAAGTAGGCCCACAATTTCACAATTTAGTTATCAAAAAATAGAGGAAAGATTCAAAATAAAGTCTGATTAACCCTCTTAGTAGGGTGAGATTTCACTTACTGGGAAGAACTGATAATGATTATTTCTGAAATAAAACCTCATTTTTTTTCATGTCTACCTTTTTTTAATTATAGGAAATGGAAACCAAAATGGGCAAATAATCATTCTTTTCTCAGTAAGAATCTTTCTCATAAATTTGCCCCTAAAATGTCCAGTCTTTTAAAAATGTTTTGGACAGTAATGAGACAGGTCTGAAAGAGATGCCTTAAAATTTTAGTAGTGCCTAGATTCACTTCACTTATTTACCTTTCTTACTTTAAGACAGCTTACATAAGAATAATTAATCTTTTTTTTTTTCCTAGTGAGTACCTGGGTTTGTTATTGAGGTTTCATAATTAATCTTTTTTTTTTTTTCCTAGTAGGTACCTGGGTTTGTTACTGAGGTTTCATGCTTTTTTTTTTTTTTTTAAATCGGGCATAACCATAATTGATTTCCACGGAAGGGTTTGGCTGAAGACCCAAAGAATTTTTGCTTAACTCATTTTTATTGAACGAAATCCAGAATTTTAGTCAAGAAGCATTAGATATTAATCACATATGAGTGGGGTCATTAAAATTTCCTTTACCTTCCAGAACTGCAGGTCATTATGGAATCATAAGAAGCAGTGAGCTCACTTAATCTTTACAATTACATAAAAGTGATTATTTTCTTAAGTCTTACAAGAAGCTCTTAACTATTAGTTGAAGAGCATGTTGGAATATTAGAACATCTGTGTTGTGTTATTATAGATGTGACTTGTGAATTAAAAAAAAATTCTCTGACTCAAAACTCTTAGAAGTTACCCTTTCCAGCTTGAATAGTTTTAATTCTTTAACACAGTTTGGGAGTATATATTTTTTACCTCGCAAGTAGAGACCTTGTTGCTGAAATATAAATTCCAGTATCATTTCTTAATTATTACACTCTCAACTTTATAGAAAATCAGAGGAACTTCACAGGTTCTAAAGATTAGGAAAAAAAGAAGAAGAAAATTAGAGGAGAAATGCAATTTTTTTTACTGCACTTAAGAATAACAGTTGGTGACAATTTAAGGTGAGTCAGTTTAGGGAAAAACTGAGACAAATCCATCCTCTAAATTATTGTTGCCTGTCTCCATCTTTTTCTTGTAACCACTTCTCATCTTTGACTTTGAAACCCAACAGTTTAAACTTGGTTCTTATTTCAGTGGGCTAATCCCCTTTCATAAATCTTGCTCAAGAGCTGAAATAATTTGCACATCATTTAAAGAGTATTTGCTTTGAAATATTCACCTCAAGCCCTTTTGTATATCCTCTCTCTCTAAAGATTTGTAGTATTTGTTTTGTTCTCTGAGGTATAAAAGACCTGGATAAACTTTATTCCTGTTGTTTCAAGATTAGTTAACGAAAATGCATATTAATTCAGCAGGGACGGAAATAAACCTCAGTAAAGATGATCATACATTCGCCTCTCGGGGATAGCAAAGTACAAAATGTCAGTCTTCAAATCTCCTTGGACTTGCTCAAAAGAGCATTTGGGGATTTAAATTTCCAGAATATGTCTACAAATGTATTTTCTTTGTTGTGGAGAACAGAAGCTATACTGATTATTTTTCCCCAGAAAATTGATTCTAATTTGTGTTTGAACAAAAATTAAGCCATCTAGAAAGTAGCACTTCAAGAAGACAGAGGAAAACTGCCACTGAAAAGGTAAATTTAACATTAAAAATTATATTCTTGATAAGCCACTAAATTTTTAGTTTATTTGTCATCAGATCCCAAATCCCAGGATAGTTTCACAGAATTTCTGTATTTTTTTCTATGAAAAAATTAGAATTGAAAGGACCTCAGAAAATCAAAAGTAGACATATTTAAATAGAGTTAAATGTTCCTCTGCATTTATAAGCTCAAATTTTAAAGTTTGTTGGTCAGCTCAGAAAAAAAATACAAATTTCTCTAGATAATATATTTGTTTCATATGTTAAGATGTGCCCTGTGTTTTTCTTAAACTGAAAATGACCATAAACTTTTGGCACTTAAGTGCTTATCCGGAAATGACTAAGTGGATTCAGGAGTAATAAATCACTCATATGGATCCAGCCACCCACAGTCTTGTTCCACTTCTCTTCTTTACAAGTGTAGTAATAGACATTTCCACAGTCCTCAGGGTGCCGAACTTTGCACCATTAGGAAAATCTGCAAGTAGCTTGATTTATCTTCCTCACTCAGTTAGCTAAGACCCAACTAACTAAAAATCAGCAGGAATGAACTTGACTTGTTAAACTTTTTTAATAGGGAGATGCAACAATTACAACTTTCCTCCTTTGCCACTTCAATTTACATTGGATGTGAAGCCCCTGGTGAAAAATATTCAGATGAGAACTCAAATTATAGGTGCATGGCTGGATGATGCTGACTCTAGGTTTTCATTATACACAGAGAATCGTCTGCTGTTTGCAATTAATCCAGACACAATCCTCTTGGTACTTTGGGAGGAATGCGGAAGAAATAGCCATTTTATAAGTTGTAAACTCCTAAATTACCCTAAATTAGAGACACTATTAATCGAACACTTTGATATAGGTAGGATCTGCTTATTGTGTAGGCTCATCTTCCCCTGATGGAGCAATCAATTAAATATTTAGGATGTGGAATACCTTCCGGGTTGGATAATGCATTTCATTTAAATTATGGCCCTCCAACCCGAAACATTAAAGGGGATCTTAACGGATGGAAGCACATTACTGTCTCTTGGATTGGGCGCATTAACACTTTAAAAATGAATGTGCTTCCCAGGATTTCCTATTTGTTCCACCAGCTGCCTGTGGATGTGCCAGATAAACAGTTTAAGGATAAGTATGTAAAAGATGCATGTGTAACTTTTTGTGTGCTGAGGTGCACCCTTGTAGCAAGAGTCCTCAACTGTGGCCCCTTTGGATTTTTTTTTTTTTTTTTGTCTCAATGCTGTAGCAGTCTAAAATGAGAGTGCTCATTTGATCATGGGAGAGTAGGAGGGAAAGCCAACAAAAGATGTAATTAGACTTCTGACAAAGGTTCTGTCTGTGTTTAATCTTTTATCATTTCTACCTATAATTTATCCTAATAAATAGTGATTATTACTAGAAAATATTGGGATGATATAGTAGAATTCAAAATAAGCATAAGCTTTCCCATTCTAAAAATATTTGGCATAAAGGAAATTATTTAATTTTTACCCAAGGACAATTACTATGTCAAATTTATGAACAGTATTGTAAGAACAGAGTTGTTATGTCTCCCATACCACGGAAGCATGGTATAGATATGGTAAATACTTTAGAGAGCTTACCAGGCTGTAGGCAGCATTCTAAGCACTTTAATCTACTCTCATTGAATCCTGTCAACCCTATGCAGCTCAGTGACATTATTATCATCCCCATTTTATCTATTAAGTGACTGAGGCACTGAAAGGTTAATCAATTTACACAAAGTTATATAATTAAGAAGTAGCTGAGTTAGAATTTGAAACCAAGCAGTCTAACTTCACAGCCTGGAACCACAAACCACTGTGTAGCATCCGGCTTCTGGAGTGAGGTTGATGGTTTCTGCAATTTACTAGCTCTACAAACTTTGAGCCAGTCACTTAACCTCACTAAGCTACTGTTTTATAATCTTAAAAATGTCAATAATAATAGTATCTACCTCACAGAGTTGATTGGAAGCATAAATTAGATTAAGTAATGTAACGTTTATAGCATTGTTTGGGAGAATGTAAGTACTCAATAAATGTTAATCATAACGTTAGTACAAGTATTTTCTTTTCTTCCATAGTATTTGGAAAAGTTCTCCTAATTTGGTTAAGAAAATGTTATCTTAAAGATAAATGATTGAAATTCCTAGAGATTAATGTATTTTCCAAAATGTCTTTGGACTTACAGGGGAAAAATAGTATATTGAGTGCCTTACAGAAGGCTATAAACTTCCTGAACCATGAGTCTGTTTTCATTCATTTTCCATTTATAAAAGTCTTGATTCACTATTAACATAATACATAAATATATCATATTAGCTTACTGAGTGAAAACAAATTTATCCAATCGGAAAAAAAAAAAAAGATGTTAAAGATAGGGGTCAATTTCTTTGTTTCCCAGAGACAGGCTTTTCATATCAAATCTGATAGAACACATGCTTCAGAAGGGAGCAGAAAACTCAGCTAACTGGTATAATTATGTAACTCAAATGGTCATATTGAGAGGGTTAAACTTTGGCAATAGAATGTGGAAATACAAAGTTCAATGAAGTTGTAGGAATTTAACTGAAAAGAAATTACTTATCAGCATTTTGATGGGGAATAAACAAACAAAAGAAACAAATTGGTCCTTTCAAAGTTGGGTGGAAAGAATGTTCCTGAAGCCTTCCTTAGTAATCACCGTCATTGAGAGGCCCTGAGGACTCGTATCTGTAGTAATTGATACCTAGTCCTCATGCTCAAGGAGGAAGACAACTGGTATTTATGGGCTTGTCAAGAAAGGAATTAGTTGGAATTCCTTTTTCTACTCCATCTTTCACTAGTCTTTATTGAGCCAAGTTTATTGTAAGTTAGGGGTGAATCATACAGATACCTTTACTCTTTCAATATGCTAAGAAAACAATTGGGATGAAAAGAGAATCTGATATTTTAAACACCAAGCAATGTGTTTTATTTGGCTGGGAATACAGTCTTATGGGCAATCACTGTATATTTATCTGTTTGCTTGTTTATTTGGAAGTCCTACCAGTGGAGTAAAGCTCCTCATCTATTGAGCTCTGATCTTCTTCCACTGAACAGATAGAAAGGAAAGGCCTTAGACAGAATTATAATAAAGGTGTATGAGGCAACTCAGGCTCAACCAGAAAGATCAGCCAATCAACTCTGAAAACCAACAAAGATGCAAGTTGCACAGAGCAATACTCCTCCTAATATTTTTCTTACGTTCATAATATGGGTGGATTAATAATTTTTCTGTGTTGTAATATATTCATAATACAAGCGGATTAACTCAGATTAAAATGCTCTATATCTGGTGAATGAGGGAAGACAAAATAGGCCCTAAAAATGGGAATGCTTATTTAGGGAACAAACAAAGATGACGTAAACTCTAAAAAGCTGGAGTACTCAGAGCAAGAACTCAGTTCACACATTCACATCACAGACATTTGTAGGGGAGTTGCTTTGTGCATGCACTGTTTTAAGCACTGGAGTTAAAGAGACTCCAAATGTTATCAATTCCACATTAACAAAGAGAGTTTGTTACTGGAAGGGGCTCCCAATCCAGACCCCAAGACAGGGTTCTTGGACCTCGCGCAAGAAAGAATCTGAGGTGAGTCCACAGAGTAAAGCAAAAGCAAGATTATTAAGGAAGTAAAGGAATAAAAGAATAGCTACTCCATAGAGCCGTTCTGAGGGCTGCTGGTTGGCTATTTTTATTGTCGTTTCTTGATTATATGCTAAACAAGGTGTGGCTTATTCATTAGTTTTCAAGGAAAGAGGTGAGCAATTCCCGGAACTTTTTAGAACATGCTAAAGGACATACTAAAAGACATTTAGCATGCTGATGCATTATAGTTAGTGTATAAGGAGCAGTAAGGACGACCAAAGGTCACTTTCATTGCCATCTTGGTTTTGGTGGGATTTGGCTGGCTTCTTTACCACATCCTTTTATCAGCAAGGTCTTTGTGACCTATACCTTGTACTGACCTCCTATCTCATCCTGTGACTAAGAATATCTTAAACTCTTGGGATTGCAGCCCCAGAGGTTTTATCCTTATTTTACCCAGCCGCTATTCAAGATGGAGTTGCTCTGGTTCAAACACCTCTGACATTTATGGTCAAATTTTAGGTAGCTATTTCCCATTCTCTAACAAGTTGATTTAATTTAAAGATGATTATACACATGATGAAATACTGTTAAAATATTCCTGCTTGATTTTATTAACAAAACGAATATAGTATTTTGATCTAATTTACATGTCTAGCTCATATTGAATTTTTTAAGAAATTTCGCATTTACATTAGGTCCAAACTCTCATCTATGGAGTATTAAGTAGCGCCATGACCACAGTCCACCAAAGTGTTTAAAAGGAAAAAAGTTTAATAAATCAAAATGCTCCAATCTTGAGTCCTGGTGTCTTTTTTTAAAATCCCAAATGGTCTGGAGGCTGACATTATTTCCTGGCTGGCCCTAGGAGGGAGGATCTGTCACTTGTTAGTAATAGACACAGAGTTAAATGACCTGGAGACCTGCCATTAGGAAGCAAATACTACCCATTATTTAAGTCCAGAGGAGGGCAGCTCACCTGAGTATCCAGCTGCACTGTAATAATGACGAATCTGGGTGGTAGAGCCAGAAGCCTCAGCTTAAATCCTGACGCTGCCAGAACCTACATTTGGCTTATGCAAAATTTCCTCAAAGACTGGCAGTGAGGGCTAAATAACTTAGCCCCTGAAAGTTCTCAGAATAGTGTCTGGAGTATAGTAAGTTTTCATTAAATGTTGGCTATTAACATTGAGACTTCTGTTAGACCAAATATAACAGTCCATACAACTTGCAGAATATTGAAAACAAAATGGTAAACATATAAATGACAGAGGGCAACTTAATTGGAGGTTGTAGAGAAATATTTAGAATCATTAAAAATGAAATCATTTTGAATTTTCTATTGTGTTACATACTAAAATTAACATTAGGAAACAATGTGAAGTAAAGGTGTAGAGTGAAATGGCTAAACTTATTTTCATAAAGTGAAAGCATTTCCCTTCCAAAAAGAAAAAAATTGTAATCAATCTATATATATTAGTATCAGTATGAATTAAAAAAATAAAATTTTGTATTCACCATGAGCTGTTCTAAGCATGTAGCATGTATTTTCTCATCTTCAAGACAGTTATATGTTAATAATTTTATATTCATTTACAGAGGAGGAAACACAGATATTTAGTTTTGGAGTCTAGATTATAACTTCAGCAGTCTAAATCAGAACACATTCTATTATACCTTTTATAGGCTTTGTATAATTTTCCTTTTGTAACTTGCCTTTAAGTTTTATTTGTTATTATATATAAGTAATTATGTTATTAAATTGTGTACATGTGTTTTGAAAGACAGATTTGTGCAGATATAATGCATGTATGTCTATAGTATATAAAAATAAATTTTAAGGGGCATATTGACAGATGGAAAAAGCATAAATGTCAAAGAAAGTTGATTTAGAAATTAATATATAATAAAAATTAAACTAGCATTTATTAATTTAACAGATGGTGAGTTAAAAAGTAAAAACAAAATCTCGAATCGTAACTTGATTTTTACAATTAGTGTGATTATTTCACAAACTTATTCAAAAGTTTGCTATTTTCTTGTTCTATTTAAAAGAAAAAAGCTCCCATCTCAAAGTTTCCACCAAATAATTTACTACTTTCATTTAACAGATTCTGTTCAGAAATCTGCATATGTACAAATGAGCACCAGAATATAAAATTTAATCATAGACCAACATCCAAAAAATTATAGTGGATGTAGGTGAGGCATGCTAGCTCATGCCTGTAACCCCAGCACTTTAGGAGATAGAGACTAGAGGATCACTTGAGGCCAAAAGTTAAAGACCAGCCTAGCCAACATAGTAAGACCCAGTCTCCACAAAAAATAAAATACAAAACAATTAGCTGGACATGGTAGCATGCACCTGTAGTCCCAGGAGGCTGAGGGAACTTACTTGAGCCCAGGAGTTTGAGGTTACAGTGATTATGCCACTGCACTCCAGCCTGGGCAACAGAGTGAAACCCTGTGTTGTTTTTTTTTAATATATATATATTTATGATGTAAAACTATATTTTACATATTTATATTGTTGACTAATATATATTATAATTTATACTATAAATACAAATATTGGACATTGTTTTTAAATACCCACAGTATTTATTATTAACTATATACTAAATCCACAAAATTATACATGCAAAAATTATTTTAAAATGTGATCTGTGTAAGATATAAAAAATTGATAACAAGAAATTAACAAAATACCCCAAGTACCTTATTAATTTAAAAATTTTCTGTCAATTGCTTTTGTCTTAAGGATAAATCCAATATCAAATTTAATAGTATGCAACCAAAATAATATTCAGAGGCAAATGCATAGTATTAAATGTTTTTAATATTAAAGAAGTAAAACAATTACATAAGAAATATTTTAGGTTAACTAAACATAACTAAAGAAATCTGAGGTTAGAAATGATAAAATAAAGAAAAATCAATCACATGTAAAACAAAAAAATATTATTGCACTAAAAGTTATTTGGAAAGTAGTCTCTTAGGAATGAAATAAAAATAACTCTGAAAATCTAATTTTAGAGAACATAAAGAAACTAGAAGGACATAAGAAAAACTAGAATATTTGAACATACATCTTCAAAATCTCCCTCAAAAAGGTCCCAGGTCTAAAGATTTACTAGTGAATGATGTTAATCTTCTAACTGGTAATTTTCATGTCATTTGAAAGCACACAAATAATCAGTGAGTAAAATTTTCAAATACTCAAGTAATGATCAAGGAACTGAAAAATAAAGCAACAGACACATGCCAACACCGCTGTGTCTGCAGCTATAGTGAACGGCATCAGGATGGTCTGAAGGCACTTGAAATCTAAGTAGGACCAGAGCTTTGACCCTTGTTTTCCAGGAAATTCCTTCAGGGAGACAGTTACTGAGACCTGCGCAATGACTCTGCGCACTACCTGCAGTGTGTTCAGAGACCATTTAAAGGGAAGGAGATTCCTGCTGAAGGGCCGGTGATCATGGGCCAGAGGAAAGAAAAATCTGAAAGTTCTTCGTGTCCTTGACATTTGAAAATGGACTCTTCAAATGGGGAACTTGAGAACTCTGGCTCTTGTCAATTAAGATCATTAAGATAGACATCATTCGGATGAATAGTTTAGTGAGGAGAAAATTTATTCCCTCCTTTATAATGTTTTCCTCTCCTTTGCTAATGAACCATTACATTTTGCTTTGAAGTTATGACTCAGCTGTTTTGACATTTTCATAGTGACCAAATATGCCAAAATAGAGCAATTTTTTTGGAAGAAAATATTTGCAATACTTGGATTGTGATCAGCTTGAGGTAATATATGTAAAAAATGGTAAACTTGTCATAATGCTTAGGGTCACCTGACCTCTTAAATGTAGCTGTTTGGTACATGATACTAATTTTTTTTCTTCTTAATTTAAGCAACTGACTAGAACTTCTTTAGTCTCAGTGAGGTCATGCTCTCAAAAGGCATATTGCCAGCTGGTCTCAATGCTTGGAGGCATAGTTGTAAATTTTTATACAGCACCTTAAGAGTTTTTAAGGTTGCTAGTGGCTTCAATTAAAGACCACATTTAATAGATTAACAAGGGATGCCAGATTAAGACTTGAAAACTTTAAGCAAGTCACAGTGAATTTAAGAAAGTTGCAGTGGGGTATAGGAAATAGAATGATTTGAGTAGCTAATGAAAAAGAGTTGCAAAGATTTGTTTTTGCCAGCATCCAATCCAAGTTTTAGGATCAAGGTACCACTATCTGATTAAAATGCCAAAATGGTGCATCTGGTTAAATGGGGGGTGGGGGGAAGGATGCTTTATTTGCCTTGTTTCCCATCCTTCTCAGTAACATTTCTAATCACAAAGATGATTAGCTCTATCATTTAAAAATAAAACTAAAGTAAGAAAGTGGCATATTAATAGTTTTCATAAATCTTATCAACTACTATATTTCATTGCATCATAATCATGTAGATATAAAAGCATGTGTGTGCCCACTCAGGGGTGTATATAAGTATTTTATCTGTATTGCATACCTATGCTTTCTGTATACAATATTTGGAAATACACACTGAAAGCCTTAGAAATATGTGTACTCTTAATTTTTTAAAAAAAAGATTGTACTCCTCAAACGATTTCAGTTCTTAAAATCCATTCAAAGAAAACTAAAAGTCTGAATTGAAGTGTTTTTTGATCATAGTGAAAAATTTGAAATAATCTACCTGTCCAACAGTGGGCCTTTGTTTAAAAAATCATGGTGTATCCCTATGATGGTATATATGTAATCAAAAACATTTAAGTTTTCAAAGAAAATTGTGGAAGCATAATTCTAAGTATGAAGCATACTTAGAATAAACGTGCATAATGTGAAGTATGGGAGAGGGATACAAAACTTGTTTGATATGAAGTATTAAAGCAGAGGCCTGGTCTGCTTGGCCAGAGATGCATCCCTGCATAAAGTAAGGGCTCATTAAATATCTGTTAAATAAGTGAATGAGTATAGGATGTAAAAGAAAAATAGCAACAGCAACTCTAAGTAATACAGTGATCATGGGTTTACTTTGTTTTCTTCTCTAGTCTCCCTCCCTAAGTCTTCTAAATTTTCCATAATAAATGTTTGTTTCCAATATCAGAAATAGTATAAAATATAGCACAATTGTGATGGATGATGAGCAAGATTATTAGTGGAAATATATCTCACAAAGTGTGTACTATGTTTTGCCCATGAATATTTGGCTCTTCTCTTCTGAAATTCAAAACTCTGAGGTTTGCTCACACGAATTTTTTTCCCCACACTTCACCAGCCCTTGACATGTGACTACAATATGTATTTTTTGCTACTAGTTTTATTCATTTCATTTTATCCTCTGCATTCTTGAAGGCATGAATGACAGACATCTGGAAAATATATATATATCTAGACACTGAAAACATAATTTCTTATCAAAGAGCTGGAATATAAACATCTAGAAGACAAAGTATCTGAATAATGTTAAATTAGAATCTTTATTTTATACTAACCAGATCTCAAATATGAAGCACAAATTGTGGTTTATTGCTTGATATGTAATTGCATTAGGGTTATCATTCTTTTTAATATCATTTTTTCCCTCAGTTGGATTTTATCCAAGAAGTGATATAATGTGCTAGGAAGACTTTACCTAAACTTTGATGCTTTTAAACAACATGTATGTGGGACTCCTCCTCTCTTTGATAAGAAGAAAATGGGAAAATGAAGAGAAAGCTGAAACATTACCATTTTAGGGGAAACTTAGGAAAGGAACCCAGAGTGGGCAGCTTCCAGGGGCAGTTTCACCATTCTTGTCAGAAGGGAACAGACACATAGAATGTAAATAACATACCCAATATTGACTATGGGAATAGAGGCCCCTTCTGCCTTCCTTTTATTTGAAGTAAAATGTTTGCCCCTTCCTCAGGCTTCAAATTGCTTAGAGCATCTAGAAGACTTGGCTGGGCATGGTGGCGCACGCCTGTAATCCCAACACTTTGAGAGGCCAAAGCAGATGGATCGCCTCGGGTCAGGAGTTTGAGACCAGCCTGGCCAACATGGTGAAACCCTGTCTGTACTAAAAATATAAAAATTAGCCAGGCACGGTGGCGCACACCTGTAATCCCAGCTACTCGGGATGCTGAGGCAGGAGAATCGCTTGAATCCAGGAGACAGAAGTTGCAGTCGCACCACTGCATTCTAGCCTGGGCTACAGAATGAGACTCTGTCTCTCAAAAAAAAAAAAAAAAAAAAAAAAACAGAACTCAAGCCCACCTTTACATTAAAATCCTTAAACAATTTCTTTTGATGTGGCGTATTCTATTAGACTACTCTTATACGTTGAACACAACTGTGGGGTAGTGAAGTTGTGATGTAGAAACTCTGTTTCCTTGAACTTAGTGCTAACTTTAGGGAGCACAGATATTAACATTTCTTCATTTGGGCTAAATGTTATAAGAACAATATAAACACTAGAGGATTTTAGCTTCACCACCATTCGAGAAAATTGGTTTTACTCCCACCATTAAAAGGAAGCAATCTAAAGTAAAGGAATCGATCTATAAGTGTAAGAACAACAGCAAATTTATCAGGAAAATGTTTAAACAGACAAATTAACCATTTTTCAGTGTCCATTTTCTTCATTATGACCAAGGATATCCTTGACTGTAAAGAAAAATTCAATTATTTGCCAAACCGTAGGTGCTAATCCTGTTTCTGCAGTTGTCTGTAAATAGAATTCCCCTTTGCAGTGCCGTTTTCTGCATGGTACCTTAAACAAATAGGTCTTAGCAATAGTTCCAATAGGATTGGAGGTTCACCATTAAAAATAGACTTATCGGCCTGCTGCTGTGGCTCATGCCTGTAATCCCAGCACTTTGGGAGGCAGAGTAAGGCTGATCGCTTGAGCAGCCTGGGCAACATGGCAAAACCCCATCTCTACAAAAAATACAAAAATTAGCCGGGAATGGTGGTGCGCAGCTACTCGGAGTAGTTCCAGCTACTCAGGAGGCTGAGGTGGGAGGATGACTTGAGCCTGGGAGGCGGAGGTTACAGTGAGTCAAGGTCATGCCTCTGCACTCCAGCCTGGGCAATAGAGCCAGAACTTGTCTCAATAAAATAAAATAGACTTATTACCAGGTGCACATGATATGTAAAGTTGGTTGTGTAAAGTAAATAAAGTAAACTATAATTGATAGGCCATCTCCATTCTGCTGGGAATTGTTGTGTTCACTTGTTTCTAAAATTTTATTTTTGTGGTGGAAGTTTGCCTCTACAAAAATGACAGCTTACAGTTTTAAACTATTGGGGAAAAAAAATAAAACTAAAAGACTACAAAGAAGAAATGATTCCTGACCATTAAGTCTTCTGCAATGCCATGATAGCAAAAAAAAGGCACAAAGTTTTACTGAAGGTTAGATACACCTCACATTCCCAGTAGATATTTACAGAATCTCATACATCTATTCATTCAATAAGTGTGACACTGTCCTATGCACTGGAGATACAATAAACAAAATAGATGAGCGTCCTTCTCCAAAAATGTCTCACATATGAGGGAATGCTAACCTTAAAATCAAAGCCATGTGCATTGAGTGTTGAAAGGTAACCAAGACTATACCTAACCAACCTACTTTTACAAAAGACAAAAGTTAGACCAAACAGTCATTGTAGAATCACTCTGGGTTCAACAGAGAAGCAGTACTACTACTAGTAAGATGTAGTAAGATGGATGGATGGATGGATGGATGGATGGACAGACGGACAGACAGACAGACAAAAAGATTTTTCCAGTTGCAGGAGCTTGCTATGCAAGTCTGAAGTTCATAAAGAAACAGTTAGAAAGGGAAGACACAAAGTAGGCTGGAACTCCCAAGGCAGAGGCTATTTGGGGTCTCTGAGCTTAGGGAATATCTAAACCAGGCTTGCTTGTCCAACCTGCAGCCCCTAGTCCTCCTGTGGCCCAGGATGGCTTTGAATGCAGCCCAACACAAATTCATAAACTTTCTTGAAACATGAGATATTTTTGTGATTTTTTTATTTTTAGCTCATCAACTATTGTTAGTGTTAGTGTATTTTATGTGTGGCCCAAGACAATTATTCTTCTTCCAGTGTGGCCCAGGGAGCCAAATATACTGGAAAACTCTGATAAGCCCACTCCTAGGTAGCTCACCTGGCCTAGTCTGATATATCCATAATATATATATATTATAGGCCGGGTGCGGTGGCTCACGCCTGTAATCCCAGCACTTTGGGAGGCCAAGGCGGGTGGATCACTTGAGGTCAAAAGTTTGGGACTAGCCTGGCCAACATGGGGAAACCCTGTCTCTACTAAAAATAGAAAAATTAGCCAGGTGTAGTGGCGGGCACCTGTAATCCTATCTACTCAGGAGGCTGAAACAGGAAAATCACTAACCCTGGAGGCAGAAGTTGTAGTGAGCTGGGATCATGCCATTGCATTCCAACCTCGTAATCAAGAGCGAAACTCCATCTTGGGGGGTGGGGGGGGAAGATGTCTTATAGATAGGGGTGTCTATAATAAATCAGAACAGGCCAGTTGCAACCTTTTTATCTAACCATCCATCCAGCTATCCTACATCTTACTGGTAGTGGTACTGCTTCTCTGTTGAACCCAGGATGATTATACAATGCCTTTTTGGTCTAAATTTTGCCTTTTGTAAAATAATATACCTTCTGATTAACTTAAAGTCTGATTATTAGAGACTTTAATTTCCTCTAAAAATTTCTTCACAGCACCACCTAAATTGGTGTGTGATTGAATGACTAGGCTATATAGTTCACCCTAGCTAGGTTGACATATTAAAAAGCCATTACAGGCACATTCACTTGCCCAGTGTCACACAGCTGTCAAGTGGCTGGAACTAAAACTGACTCATTTCCTCCCCAGTTCATTCTGTGATGGGCATACCTATCCAACATTCACACCCTCCATTCTCCTGTTCTTGAAGACATCTCCATTCAACAGTAAAATGTTGCTTTCAACTACCTCTTACCCTCTTTTCAAAGAACAAGATTATAAAATGACCTGTAATAGTTGGCATGTCTATAAATTTAATTATATTTTAGTCAAAACCACTCATTTAGCTTTGAATTGGTAAGGCTGATGACAAAGCCAGTTTGGCTAGAACTTCTAGAGTCTCGGAAAAAATAGGCTATTTTTCTATAAGAAATAAGGTAACCTATTTATTAAATTGATAGAGAATCAAGGTCAATAATTCTTTATTCCATTTTATTTATTTTAATAGTGACCTAGTAAAGTAGATATAACTTGATAGAAATAAAGAATAGACTGAAAATATAATCTTATGGAAAACAGGTGTCTAGCCTTGGAGAAACAGAACAAATTACATTAGCGATTTAAGACATACAACAACATATCCTAAAAAGAATTCTTATTAACATGGCAAACATTGCCTTAAAAAGCATAAATAAATAAATAAATCCTCTGTATATTCATGTAAATTTGGAAAACTATGCTTAGTCTTGCCAGACAAGTTATTTATATTACTAAATATAAATGACAGAAATTTCTATGACAAATTCTAGTCAAGACAAACTTCTGTTGCAGTGAAAATGATGTAATCAAGCCGTTTTGCCTCTTTACTTGCTGATAGTCAAAACATCTCAAGAAGTTTGTGTTGGAGGATAATGACATTTCCAGAGATTTCTATTATAGGCTGTACCCTCATAATTTTTTTGTTCTAATTTTGTCTTTATCATAGGTAATCATGATATTAAAATTCTATCACTATTCTTTGGATTCCTACATTCCCTTAAAGCTTTTTATTGGAAAATTTTGCTTTATCTTACATAAAAATCTTTTTCATCTTATATAAGGCAATTACGTCGTTTTTCACAATCAAATATTTATTATAACAAGTTTTATTTTTTAAACTTAAAAAACACCCTTCTTTTAAAATAGTTCCTCACATGAATAAAATTGTTTCACTCTTTAAGTGTTGAGACTGAAAGCCTTTCTCCCATCAGTCTCTCAAAATGTTTCTATTATTCCTCCCTTTTAACCCATTGCTATTTTCTTTCCTTCTTCCTTAGGTCTCCTTAACCTCCTCCTGTTTTTTATTTTCTCTGGTTTTCCATTAACATTTTAAAATACACTTTAATGAGCCTCAGCCAAAGGCTCTAAGATGAACAAAAGCCTGGAGAAGAGAATCAAGAGAGGGAGGACAAGAAGGAAAAGAGGAATAGTGGGCACTGCTCTCAGTTTTAAACGAATTTCTGTGGCTGGCTCTCACTTTTATAGCTGGACCTGAATGCTACAGCACTTACTAAGGCCACTAAATCATAGCAAAGTAAGGGTCTGGCTATTAAGAATTGGACCGTCCTTAAATCAGGGATTATTACTGTAATCTTTACATTTAAATATTACATATATGGGCTATTGAAAATGTAGCAAATCTGCTCACTGAAGGCCTTTACTCTGTTGATATCTGCATTTTCAGGGTATAACTGGCAGTCCTTTTAAATATCTGTTGTATTTATTTTAGCATAAAGGTAATGCTTTGTATTTTTTTCCAGTTTAGAAATCCAAATGCTAATATATACATGCATATATTACATGAAAAAAGCATAAAATACTTGAAAACATAATTACCTTTTAGATGCTAATAAAGCAAGAAAAATAAGTTTTTTTTTTCTTTTCATCACTACTTTTTGACATGTCGGCCAATAAAAATCAACTAAAGTTTACCTTCTGTTATATTAGCATCAGTGACTTTCTAATTTGCTTCACTTTCTCCATTTGTGCTTAGGTATGACACTTTTTGCAATTCCAAATTCACATCACCTCTCTAGTTCCTCTCTTCCAAAAAGACAAAAAGTCCCTTGCATGGGTTGGATACTCTATGTCTCTGTTTAGGGATTCATTTAACAGATACCCCAGCACTGCCAGTAAACAAACGGATGCCTTGAACAGTGATGGTTTACAATGGAGACTGACTTCTTTCTTTATTTCCCTGCATTCCAAAATTTTTTTTTTTTATTTTCTTTGTAGTTTGCCTTTGTCACATTGGCATGCAGGGTGAGCTCGGGTCCCAGCAAATATCCCCAGGATGGTAAAATTAGTCCAGAAGAGAAGTTTTATTTTGATTGGCTATTGTATTTTCAGTCTGTCATGGTTCTCTACTTCTATATAGGAGGACAAATTATTTGGGCCAAACAATACAATGTGGTTTGGAAACAATTGGCTTTTATGGGCACAATCTTATTCTTTCCATATCCATTTTTTTAAAAATTGTGAAAATCAAGCCAATTTTTTTTTCAGAACTATGCAATTTCCCAAGACTCATGGAAAAGACAGCTTGGGTTGAATTTTTTTTTTCAATTTCTGCTTATGGGGAAAAAGAGTTGGTTGTATAAATCAGCATATATATTTGTCCAAGCATTCATACATTGTGTTTGGAGTATTAGTGGAAAAGAGTATTTTACATAATGGGCTTTGTCTTCTGGTTTAGTTCTTCAAGTTCCTGACTCCTAGTCCAATACTCATAAATCAAGCATATTCAGGCAAAAAGCAGGTAATTGAGAGGAGCTATTCTCTGGGTAATTCCATCCTCTTTTTTGTGCACACATTTGCAAATGTAAGTGGTTTTCATCTGTGCAGACACCCTTGAGGGGCTCGTCTATCCTCACATCATTTTTAGACATCCAAGAAGTTTCTTTGTAAAACTCTTATTCTGTGATGCCAGATGGTTGATGCCACCCTACAAGACCATATTTTGAGTAAAAAGGACCAGTTTAGCAGGTAGATGAAACAACACCCATTACAATTATTGTTGCATCTCCTGATTCAGTAATGGCAAAATGTACTTCTCATCACATGTTCATTCCAAACACAAAAATGAGTAAAATTCATATGGTTTTCCTTTTACTCTAAGAATTGGGCACAGCTGCTCCCTTACAAGCATTAAAAGGAAAAAATAAAGGAAAAACGTCTTTAATTTCTCGTGTTTTTCAGCATCTCTTCGAAAAATATCTTAGTGATACATGGCTCAACAGCCTGAAAATACCTACTCTTGCTATACTCTTAAGCATAGTTTTCCTTCACATTATAGTATGACAGAGGGAAGATTTCTAATATATAGACTGGGGAATCTAAGGAGGAGAAAATGAAAACTTGAAATAATGCTTAGTCATGCTATTCAATTACTCCATGGCCTTTTTTTTTTTTTTTTTTTTTTTGCAGTCTTTTGTTTGATTCCTGATCTATGCAGTCTCTGAAATGAGTGTACAATTCATTTACCTTGTCTGAAAAAAAAGTTAGTAGTTACATATGTGGCAAATATTGAGTAAAGATGAACATTTTAAGTACTTGTTAGACTTTCAATTATTTGGGTTTTTCCAGAAAATTAAAATGCATTGATCACAAATGTAACAGTACTTGGTTTGGGGTTGTATAATCTTCAGGAAATTATATGTGCAATAAATTAATGCATCAATATAACCAATAAGCATTTGTTACTGATTTAAAAAATACTAAAATAAACCCAGGTACCCAAAACTATTGTCTGCTTCCATCATAAGGATTGACTAGAAATTTCCCGAAGAATATCTTTAGATGACAACATAGATATAATACATAATTCAAGTTATTAACTTCTCCATTTAGGCTTATAGATCTTATAGACACAACTGTTTTAAAAGAAGAACAAGATTTTCATGCAAAAATATGAATTATACAGTAGTTTTACTGAGTCTATTGCTAATGCACATGGAGTTCAGAACCATAATGACGATATTGGGCACTTAAGTCATTAGCCTGTCATATTACAGCAAAATTATTTGTACTATATAATCATTGTTTCCTTTTTTATATTGCACAGATCTAAGCTTAGTTCATCTATCTTTGCCATAGCAGTACCACTTTATTGTTGTAAATACCTATTTTTTAACAATGATTTGAGTATGTTCGTTGTAGTTTAAGTTCATGTTTATTAGACCTTTGCTTCCTTAAAGCTGGAAAACATGAAGTTTACAATCTGCCATAGGGTGCCTTGTTTGATTGTGTATTACTTCATAGCATCAATTACTGTATAGTTTATATTTTAAGTACTTGTATACACACTAAAAATTTCAAGGGGAATGGGAACAAGTTTTTTCTGGTTTTTTTTTTCTAGCAACATTTCCATCTTATTCATCATATTTAAGACATGCTCTTATTCTTAATATTAAAATGGAATTCTGTTTGTAGTCAACTTTTTTTCCTTTAGGGACTTTTAAAGATGAACATGTATAAGTGATCTCTGATGACTATTTTCAATAAGAACAAAATCATTTGTGGAAAAAAAAGCTGAAACTGAAAGCTTCAGCTGCAACTCATTTGTGAACATAAGGTGAATATGGCTGTGGTTTTCAGAACTGGTTCCAGGGTTTCATAAACCTTTTAGAAATGGATATTGATTATTACTATTCAACTAATAAAACTGCTTTCTCAGAATCTGTTTTGCTTGTATTTGATGCCATAAAGGATTGTTTGCCCTATAATTAAATCCTAGAGATTATAGCACAATATAACTCACCTAGCCCATAGGTTGCTATGGGTTTCTTTGTGAGAGAGAGAGAGAGAGAGAGAGAGAGAGAGTGTGTGTGTGTGTGTGTGTGTGTTGTAAAAGTTAAGAGGTGTGCATACTTCTGAGTTTGAATAAGTTGTGGCTGAGACTATTTGAATTGATTTCATACTGGGAAATGGCATACAAGTAAAATCAGTAGTCTATTCAAATCATTGTACAGTCAAGTCAGCTAAATATATGGCAATGAAGAAGTAAAATCAAACCTCAAATTGAACAAAACCAGTCTATTCTGTAGTCAAGTAGACACTATGTCTGTCTCTCTAACTTCTCTGCCCAGACCAAAATCATGATTTGGAGAATGCACTGTAACCAGACAATGCCTATCCAGCCTTTCCTATATTAAAAAATAGATCATCTGGAACTGACCCTTTATGAGAATTTATATTTTTTTACTTTGCCATGAGTTTTCAAGAATAAAATATTGTGTAATAAGAGAAAGGATCAGATAAGCATTGCCACTTTAGAAGCTTTATAACTGTCTCAAGCACAGACTATAAACTTCAAATACCCAGGACCCCTGAGAACCTGTAGTCGACCCATTCACACCTGACAGATATATTTTAAAGTCTGGGTATAAATATAATTATGGAGAGATGACTAGCATGAGTGAAATTTCACAGGTAGCATGCTAGAATAAAGCAGCGCTTGAAAATGGGCATACTAAAATTCAGAAACCTAATGATTGCAGATAAAAGAATGAAATGCAACTTGTACAACCTGCTCTACCGATGTGAGATACAAATACATTTTAAAACTTTTTCTTCTTATACACCCCTGCCCACTGCCATAGTGAGCCTATCGCTGAGTCAGGCCACTGTGCCAACTGTAGCAATGCCCCACACGCGAGCTCCAGTGGGCCAGTTCTTTGTATTGACACATACGCAAGTTCGGACATGACACCCAGAGGCTTGCTCCAGACCTACACCATCCAATAAGAATGTTACTAGCCTCATGCAAACACTGAGCATTTGAAACGTGGCTAGACTGAATTGAGATCCACTTTAGGTATGACTTACACACAAGATTTCAGAGACTTAGTACAATGAAAAGGATATGAGATATCTCATTAACAAATTTTATATTGCTTCCATGGGGAAATGATAATACTTTGGATAGATTGAGTGAAATATATTTTTAAAATTAATACTATTTCTTTTTAATGTGGCTACCAGAAAATTTAAAGTTATATATGTGCCCCACATTGTATTTCTATATGGAAAGTGCTGGTCTAGGGGTCTGAGACCTCAGCCACATGCTGGACTACCCTTTCCAAGAACCTCAATCTGACTCTCTCACTCTCTCTCTTTTTTTTTCTCTCTCTCTCTCTCCATAATTGTCAGATACAGAGAATTCTCTTTATCATCCTCATCCTATTTATTGTCATTAGTCACACAGGACTCTTATCTTTACAATGTTTTCCTTTGTCTTCCATTCACCTTGCCAATGATAAAGATGACTTAGAATGATTTCAGTATATCCATGGATGTATAAGTATCCTTAAAAAAAATTTAACTTTTTTTATTTTAATGTATTCTATTTTTCTTTAAGAAAGAGCTCAACATGATTTGGCACTAGTATCTGTGAATAGGTCAATAAGGAGAAAAATACTACAACTCTTTCTAGGTGTTCAAGGTTTTGGAAAAAAAAAAAAAAAGGGAACTGAGAGCCTGGATCTCCTCTAAGACCTGTTGTGTATATAAACTCAAACTGTCATTTAGTGATAATTACCAATCATCAGTTCCCTTCTTCATAAAACATTAGGTGGTTTATTTTCTTAGAGCATAGGGCTTTTCCATAAATGTTTAAATGTTAGAAACAAGAGATTAAGAGTTTTCATTTTTCTAAAAAAGGAATTCATAATATTCTTTTGTTTTATATATATATATATATTTCATTCTGGGAAATAGCATAAAAGTAGTGTGTGTGTGTACATATATATATGCATGTGTGTGTATATATGTGTATATATATACATATGTGTGTATATATGTGTGTGTATATATATACATGTATATATGTGTGTGTATATATATATGTATATATGTGTATATATATGTGTTGCCTGGGTAAGCATCCAAACCTGTAGATGGAGGTGATTGGTTACACTTCTTGTCAGTCATTCATCCTACTCCAAACAGGTTGGCATATATATATATATCCTGCTCCAAACAGTTTCGCATATATATATATACACACACACGTATATTTATGTGTGTGTGTATATATATACACGTATATTTATGTGTGTATATATATACACGTATGTGTATATGTGTATATATGTGTGTATATACACACATGTGTATCATATGTGTGTACATACACACGTGTATCATATACATGTGTGTATAGATAAAGAAGATATGAATATGTGTGTATATATGCACACACACATGTGTGCATATATACACATATGATACACATGTATAAATGTATATGATACACATGTGTATATATACACACATATACACATACATGTATACACACATGTGTGTGTATAGATACAGAAAGAGGATATGAATATGTGTGTGTATATATACACACATATATGTGTGTATATATACACACACATGTGTATGTGTATATGTGTATATATACACACATATATATATACACATAGAGAGCATGCATTTATTTTTGTTTGTGTATATATGCACACACATACTGAGCACTTTTTTGCTTAAAGATTATCTGGGACCAGAGTCTCTAGAACTGAGACTAGAGTCTCTACAAAACTAAGTAATTAAAAAATTGGCAAAAATCCTGCTCTGGGAAAGCCTCTCTAATGGGAGAGAAGAAAAAAGAGATATTATTAAAAGAAGTAAAATACATATTAGATAGTGATGTTTAGCAAAGTAAAAACAAAAACAAAAACACAGAAAAGAAAGGGGATAGAGGGCTCCTAAGTGGGGAAAACTTACAATTTTAAGTAGAGAAAGAACCTAGGAGAGGAGGGAATGTTTGGGGACAGGCCTGAAGGAAGTGAGGTATGTTACCATGTGGATGTCTAAGAAAAGAATGTTCAGGTCAGAGGAAGAAGCATGTGCAAAGGACCTGAGGCAGGATGTGCTCAAGAAAGAGCAGGAAGACCAATCTGTTTGGAGTAGGATGAATGACTGATAAGAAGTGTAACCAATCACCTCCATCTACAGGTTTGAATGCTTACCCAGGAGACACTCATTTTGAGGACCCATCTTTTACTCTGCTGTTCAGAGCTAATCTATCTGAAAAGTGACGGAAATTACCCTATGGCCTGCAGAAGCAAAGCAAAGGGTCTCCTGCCTACTAATCTACTCCCTTACCCCCAACCGTACTCACAGCTCAGTTCCTTGGATCTTTAGATTCTCCCCAGAGCTGACATTCCATCTGCAATTAATCAAGTGTTGTGTTAAATTTTTTTTAATATGTAAAAGATGTTTCAGCTGTGATTATCAAAGTATACAATTGTGTGTCCTAAGGCTACATGGCATGGGATATACATCTGATGCAATTCTGATCATTATCATCACTACATAAGGTAACATTGTTCCACATTTATCAAATCAGACCTCCTGCCATTTCTGTTTGGGTAGACACGGCATAAATTTTAAATTAAGGTGTATAAAATAAAAGATTTCTATATATTTTTTTAAAATTATTATTAGGAGAAGTGGTAGTAGTAACCCACACCATGCATTCACCAGGGAGATTTATACTACCAGTACATTTATTGCTATCAAGTTGCAATTAACAAACATTCATGCAGTTGGAGAATTGGGTATGCAATGCGTCAAAAGTGTGAGAAAATGTACTGTCTCAACAGGCGATTCCTAGGGCTCTTCCTATTCAATATGAACATGACTTTTTAATGAGAGCTAGTATTAATATAAGCTTAATTTAATTTTATATACTTATTCCAAGTTTCTTAAATTATTCATATCCTCTTTCTGTTTAGACGCATCAGTATTGTGAGGTTTAATTGTTAGCTCCCAAAGCCTAAGGACTATCTCTATTTAACTCACTTTTCAGCTAAGCTAGTGAAAGCTGTAAATTATGATGATGATGGGGGGAATGATGAAGAGGAGGAGGAAGGGAGGGGAGGACTGTAATCTACTTGAGTATATATAAAGCACTGTGATATTGTACATCATAGTATTTAATCCTTGCAACATGGCACCAAGATCTTTTTATCCTTATTATGCAGATGAGGAGACTGGGCTCCAGGGAAGTTAAGTCACACACTTGCTAAGTGGTAGACCCAGGACTCAAAATTAGATCTCTTAATGCGCAAGCCTGTGTGCTTTCCACCATACATCTTGCTCTGATACTATTCAATTATTAAACATTTTTATTGATCACCGCTACATACTAGGCTTGATGACAGACAGTGTAGGAACCACCATTAAACTCCAAACTAGAACGTGAAGACCCACCTCACCCCACCTTCAGCCTCACCTCCAGTTTGCATTCCAACAACATTTTATTTCTTGTGGCCATGAAATGAGAAAAGAAATATTTTTGCCAAACCATCACATGACTCAGAGAAATTCTCAGCTGGCCATTGACTTGCAATGGAGCAATAAATTTCCATTTTCCTTTGCAAAGGCCCACCTAAGCTCCATGTTTCTGTCCCCCTCTGCTTTCCTTAGCCATTGCATTCCCCAGCACTTGTTCGTGTTTTCACACTAACGTTCACAGGTGGCCTTTTCTTTTTTCTGCTGTGCCAGAGTGCAAACAGCTAAACTTTCTTTCTGATGACTAAGTGAAGGAAATATTTCCTGGTGGATATTTCCTAACTGAACTGCTTGACAAAAATGGGGAGGGAGTCAGATCCTGCCAGAATATTTCTCTTTTACTCTTGGTTCTGCTTTGACAGTTTGGAGGATTAAGGGACAACAATGACAGTAGTTCTTGTTATTAGCCATGTCTTACCGTGTCTTTCTCACCATTCACAGTGTCCCTGTTGGAATAAATGCTGATGACTACATCTGTTGTGTTATTTAAAGTAGATCTTTAAGTCAAAATGAGGATGTGTGCGCACTGCCTCATTTTGAGTTTGCTTAATGTTTCCAGCCATATTTTAGAAATAAATCCCAAATGCTTTTTTGCTAAGTGCATTTTCCTTTCGATTTTAAACCTATGTGTATTTTAAAGGTCATTTAATCTGTGCATTTCCAATTCCTCCAGTCTTAAATCATCACTGTGTTATTTTATGTAAGAGGTACTTAATGTCTCAAGAAGCTTTTGGAGGCCTTTAAAACCCAAAGACTTTTCTTTTCCAAGACCAGAAGTTCCATTTTGTGAAGAGTAAACAAGCCTGAAGAAGACCGAAATCTCAGCCCGTTCAATAGTCCAAAAGTTCAAGTTTCAGAGGGGTTGGAATTTGGCGAAATGAATTTTCCCATCCATAGCTCAATCCTCTATATTCCCTCCTAGCTTAGGCTGAAACACATGGAAATTATATCCAGCAGGCACTCTTCTCAGTGACATCTGCATCTGTAGGGGTGTCCTGGCATTCAGCAACAAAATCCTCTTCCCCCAGGGAAAAGGAAGACTCAAAACCCCAAATAATAATAATCTATTACAGATTTCAGGTTACCAAAAGTTAAAGAAATGGATAAAAGCAAAACACTTAGCATTGCTACATGTCAAAAGGAAGGCTACTGTAATCACCCCCCACCCTTGAGGCATGTATTTTTCAGGTTATTATGCATAATTATGCATACAAATTTAAATATATTTCCATATTATATTCAAAACTGCCCAATTCTTAAAAAATGTAGGATAAAACAAAATTAATTGATGGCAATTACTGCATTTAGATTTAAATCTAAAATTCCTGGTTACTGGAAGAATTGGGCCAGTAGTGGGCACCTCGAACAACAGAACTGTCTCTTCTGGAACATTCTTCTGGATTTAGGAACAGTGTTTCTCTAAAATTAAATGTGAGATTAGAGAGGCATAAAGAGGTGCTGACAGAAAACCAGAAATGGTGATTAAGAAATTTGGATTGAACCTTTATTTCTTACTACGTGGCCTTAACCAAATGATTTAAACAATTTGGGCGTCTTTTTCTTCATCTGAAAAGCTAGGCGCATTCACTCCATGCTCTCTCAAGTTCCCTCCAGATTTAATATTTCATGTTTCTGAGACTCCAACATGAACTGTGCCCAAGAATGGGGTTATCTGACGGTCAACAACAGAAAAAAGCTTGGCAATTTGATTACAATTAACTCATTTAGGAAAGAAGTAAAATATTTGGGATAACACTGGAGTTTTGGCAGTAAGTAAATCTCCCATCACAATTTTTAAATGGAAGGAAGAGTTAATCCAAAAGGGTGGCTGGAAGCAGAAAGTAGTTCCATTTGTCACACACATGGTGACCACCATCACCATACAGCACCCAGAGGGATTTCAAAATGGACAACACATAAAACAACCTATATCCAGACCACATCAAGTGTCAGAATGATGTGGATCTTTGTGGGGCTTTTCCTAGTTTTCTCTCCTTCTTTAGAAATGTATGTTATGAATTATGATTATTGCAATAGAGCCAAGTATTCACCGGGCTCCAGCTAGATCTTTGTTTAGTGAGCATAAGCTCCCTGCCAGCTGCAAACTGCAGCTGTCTGTCAGCATTTGTGAGGACAAACCACCCCACTATCCCTGATCACTTAGCCGTAGACGACATACTGTGTCCTCAGATCTGCTCAGAGCACCCCTTGCATTTTTCAATACACTTCCTGTGGGGGAGGGCATCAGTGCTTCGCACGCACATTTTGGAGCAAATAGCTTAAATCTTATGTCAAAATGATGCTTTTAATAGAGGGTTCTGTCCCAACAAAACTATTCTGTGAGAGACTCACTGACTCTGGCCTGACATTTCCGGATATTCGATGTCCTGAAAAAGGCAAGGGAGGCTACCACTCTGACAACCAACTGTTCCTCAAGACACAGTGGGCCCTACAGAGGGTGCCAAGAGCATGGGCCCCAGGCCAGGAACCTGTCTTACAGCTGGGGAATGTGGGGGTAAGAAGGCCATGGCAAAGGGGTGAAGCCAGAGGAAGGGCATAGCCCAGGGTGCCCAGAGCAGCCATCCTCCTGGGCCATAGCTTACAGCCAGAGACAAGACCCAAAGGAATCCTTATTTCAGGAGAAATCGTTGTCTAGAACATTCAAGTAAACTTGGAACTCTGCAGTTTTAGAGGGGCTTTGAGGGATGATACATTTTTCTTGACTCTCATTTGCCAGCCTCCTATGCAATTTATTTTCCTTTAAATTGCAAGGCATGCTCAGAATGGGAGAGAAACTGGCAGCACCACACCAGATTTAATTAAAGCATTGTTGGAGTTAACCAAGAGTCTCCCCTGTTTTTATCAAAAGTGACTCATGTGGGTGAGAAAAATCATTTTTAGAGGGGTGCCAATTTCAGGAATACCCTGAGAATTACCCTCGGAATTTAGGAATACTCTGCTTTTTCCAGGCACTTGTATACAGTAAACTTGGGGTTTCTTAAAGGATAAAAACTATTGCTGAAGTTTCTTTGGGCTCTGGGGTACTTCTGAAACACTCCAAGAAGCCTGAGCTATGGTCCCCTAGTACTTGTGGAAAAGACTTCTTTGAAACATGTTTAATAATAATATTTTCAAGTAAAAAAAATAAATCTGGAATTCTTCCTACTCATGGGGGTATTGTGAGAATGCTCTTTGTTATGTAAGAGTACTGTTTCAGTAAGAACTGTGTCCCCTTGGGAAGAAAGGCACAATGCAAATTCAAATTAATAATAAAACTGTACAATATGTAGCATATGCCCAAAGTTGGCTTAAGTCACATAATGAAGAAAACATTCTAAGGTTTGGGAAAAGACTCAGCCCTATGCATATGTGTGTGTGGAGCTGTATGTGTTTATGGGCAGGAGAGCACTGACCCAACATAAACACTTTCTTTCCCACAACTTAAACATATACACAATACTTAAAATAGTTTCTTTCAGGAGTAGAAACCATGAGAGTCACAGGGTCATTAAACAATAGCAAAGCTCTGTTAGTCCATGATCTTTCCTTATTCAAGAGGATTATAAAATAAAAACAAAGATTCTGCAAGGAATCAATATTTTGCAAACACATAGCAATTTACAGTACAAGAGTATTTGGATTGCTAAGTACCTTCACTTCTGTGTTGCTGTTTGCTGCTTCATTGTGAAACCTTTTTGCTGGATGTGTTACATGCGATGAGCTTGGGTGTTATAATAAACAGAGAGGAAGGCTGCAATAATGTATTTCAGTTAGGAAGAAGCACTTGAAAGAAATTGCTTTTGCTATACACATGATGTGAGCCAATCAATAGTGGTTTAGTCTGACAAGCCCTGTCAATATCCATTGTCACAGTTCAGAAAGTCGTTAATGGATAGTTCTTCAAAACCCAATGATTTTAACACATGTTCAAAGTCTTGAAATACACTCTACCTGGCAGAAATTAATCACAGGTAACTCTTGGGAAAGTATACAAGCATTTTTTTAATGAGAGCCAAATCATTTACACACACACACACATGCTCGCACACACACACACACACTCGCGCACACACACACACATATACAGCAGCTAAGGGTCTAATCTAATAACAACAGATGCATAGTGAATGCTCAGTAAATGTTGAAAAAGTGAGAGACACTGGGATGGAGGCTGAGAAGGGTCCTTTTTATACACCTGTTCTGTAAATTTAATGATTATTACAGTGGTGATGATGATGCAGGATGCCTATCATATTTTAATTATTAATCATATTTTAATCATTAATATTAATCTATTAAGATTAATAATTGCTTCTGTTAACTACATATGTATTATACATTAGACATTGAGCTGGATGTTTTTCCTATATCAGAACATTTAACATACACAAAAATCCTTGGCATGGATATTATTATCCCCATCTAACAGATGATACAATACAGGCACAAAAAACTGGCATAGCTTGAATAAGATACAACGTTAAGTGACAGAGTTGGAATTCAAAATCCAAAGCCTATATTATTCAAAAAAGAAAGAATGGGTAGGAGAGAAAGGAACACACTTGAAAAAAAGGAAGAAAGAAAGAAAAAAGAAAGAAATGGCATTAGCAATTGGAAGGAAGCATATCAATGGTTCTTATCTGCTTTTCCCCAAGTCCTGATCCTGAACTCTTACACTCAGTTCCTGTGAAGCAACCAGGAACAAAACAAGCCTCTGAGCTCTGGGGTTGGGCATAGAGAAGAATGGGATTTCCCAGTTTGGCTGAAAGAAGAACTAAGGAGTTTGCAGAAGTAAATGTATTCACTTACACTGTTGTGGGCTAAGTGTGTGTCTGAAAAAGATTGTGTGAGGGCAGGGGTAAAACTGAAAGACACAGCTAGGTTGCTAGCCATTTTTGCCTGAAAGGAACCCCCAATTCCCACCTACATCTCTCCTTCTGTGTTCATTGTTGTCTTGCTGCATAGAGCAATCTGGAGCATGGTGAGTGATTTGTCTTCTGCCCAGTATGCATCCTTGCAGCAGAACTCAATTCATGTCCATGGTGGTTACAGTTCTGTCCTACCCAGATGTATTCTTCAACTGTTCTTATTGGCAATCCAGAGAGTATTCAGCCACCAGCTCCACTGTTGTCCCATGATTCACTCATCTTACCTAAGATGACTCTTTTTCTCTCTCAGCCGTACAATGATACACACCACATGGATAGTTTCAGTAATCAGTTCATGGTAAAGCAGATGATTTAAGACCTTAGGTTGCAAGTACTTGAGTATGGTGAGGCAAGGGGGTGGGGGACATTACCATCTCTCTATGTCCTTAGACACGGTGACAGCATTGCCACACAGATGGACAGGCAGGGCCTTAGGGCAGGGAATCAGACACCACCTGAGTTGTGGTTCTGCCACTGATTTGCTACTTGGCTTAACTTCTCTGAACCTCAGATTTCTAATCTGTAAAATGGATAATAATGGAACCTACCATATTGATAAGGATTAAATGAGATCAATGTGCTTAGTAAATTCCTTATTATATAGCAAATAACTTCAAAATATTAGTCATTATTATAAATATGACATTAGAATAATCCGATTGTCTAGCAAAAGTGGAAATTAAGACTATTTTAGAAGAATTATGTATAACTTATAATCTAAGAAACATTTTCCCACTTCTTAACTATTGATTATTTGGCTTTAAGACATTTCTCAAACTATCTGCACATGTCATGTATGTTTTTCTGTCCTGGCTGAAAATTTTGTTTGGAAAATTAAGGATACATTATAGCATATTCTTTACTAAAGATACATTGTAACACACAGTCCAGGAATTTAGAGATTTAAAGAAGAAGCCTCAAAATTACTATATGTTACTCCCCTCTATACCTGCTGAGAATGTATCTTTACAGGCATTTTTACAAATGTGCAAACAAATACGTACATATGATATACAGTGGTAGCTCTCACTATGTATGTATACATGGAAAGAGTATTTAAATGCCACTCAACTGAAATACTGCTAATGATGGTTCAGAATCTGAGTCCATACATCAGTACTGAAATATCCAATATTCTTATATATGCATGTGTTTTATTCTCCAACTTGACTTACTTTTTTGCGGAAATCTAAGTGTTAATTTCGTAGAAGGCAGAGGCTATCACCTCTCTGGTGGAATTACCACGCCTACAACTCTTTTTGGGGTTTTTTTTTTTTCTCTTTTATGGACTGATGTTCACATTTATATTTAAGGCTCTTCTCATTTGATTTGGCTGTGGCCTGTTTTCTATCACTAGAAGAGAACCCATTCCTGTATTTAATATACAATCTTTCCTCATGGAAAACATATTTCTGCTTCACAGTGCCCTTTGTGTGGATTGATGCCCTATGATATTTTCTTCTTTTTTTTAGTAATTCAGCTTTCAATATCAGCTACTGCCTTAGCTCAATAACCACTTACTTTATTAGCAAATTTATCAAAGTTTTGAACAGCTCTCAAGTGACAAAGTTTTACTGACACTATATCAAGTCATAAGAAGCCCAGTTAAAATATATAATCAATAGAAGAATGTCTAAATGATCTGAATCTTTACATTTTACACTGTATCTCATTTTGTTTTAAGGAAAAAAAAAATGTCATTGTGTTTCTCTACATACAAGATAGGTTTTGCTGTTTAGGTATATTTTCCCTCTTTTTATTGTTTTTCTGAAAATGTAGTATTTTCATAACCTGTGACGCAAAAAAAAAAAGTCATTAAACTCTGGCTTATAAAAGGAAACCAGATAAATCTATAGTGGAAGGGAAATTAAACATTGTGATGGTATACTTAATATTTGCAGTATGGGATTGAAGTTATCAATCATCATTATTACCATTAAAAGTACTCACTATGAAACCCAAAGCTATGCTAAGTGCTATAACAAAAAGAGTTTAAACAAAACACCCTGCCTTACACTATAGAAATACATTATCAATGTAGATACACCTAAGATGTATTACGAGCAAAATAAAAATACTAAGTCTATACATGAAAAGACAGTGAAGAATTTACATCATAGACAAATGCATTAGAAGTAGAAGACATGGATACATAAATTCCTGAGAAAAGTAGCCATGAAATTTTCCTATGGCTGAATTGACAGTAGACGCCAGCTGTTCACTGATATCAAAAATGCAAAAATGTGGTTAGATTTAACTACTTAAAGTTGATAATGCAGTCTAAAAGTAAACATTTTAATTGTATGAATTTTCACTTCTCCTTAAATGGGTAGATAGCATGAATATTAATCATGGAATAGATGATGAGTACACACCCTTCTGTTATGAATCTAATTGTCTATTTTGTATTTCCACAATGTCTAAGTGGGAATTAAGTGGTTAAAACTGAGCACTGCAGTTAAAGTGCCCAGCATTCCCTCTTTCAATTATTTCCAGATTTAATCATGATTTGTGTTTTGAGCAAGTCACTTAAAGTTTCAATAACTTAGTTTTTCAGGCTGCAAGTTGGGGTTTGAAATTATGACTTCTATTTACACTGAGCAAGTGAAAAAAAGAGATATTAAATGACCAACAGTACATTAAGCCCAAACTTACCCTTTCTGCCCACTCTGACATAGGGAGTTATGTGCAAAGTTCTGGGAGCTCTGAAACCACAGGCGGGGGAAGGCAAAGCAGTATTTATTACAGCCCCATGAATTAGCACAAGCGTGAATGCCCTGGAAAGGAATAAACAGGAGGCTGGAAAGAAATGTAATAAACTTGATTTCTTTTTTTCAATCAATTTGGGATAAGGTGCTCTTATTTATGTAATTTGGAAAGTAGTTAAGCAGGGTAATTCCAATACAAGAAGTTTGTGTTGGAAAATGTGAGTGGAGATAATTCAGTACTTTGTTATGTAATCCCTATGATGGTGTGAGAAGAGTTTTGGAACCTCTGGGGATTAAGAGCCTGACAAAACCTTATTTTGTCTTTTTTTTTTCTTTGATTTCCTGCTCTGAATACTGCAGAGTGGTAAGATGATGGCACTAAAGCTACTGTTGCCAGCTTTGCCCTTGATGTCCTTTTGGAATTGAATTGAAATGTTTAGAGCTCCTAGCTGCTAACAAAACTATCTACCTACACTGATGTTGATCTCAATGTCAAACCTCACCGATAAAGTGAGAACAAGTAGTGTAGAAAGCTGTGTGTAATAGCTTTTCTGAAGTATAATGACTCCACTTTCCTTTAGCAACATTTCTGAAATGTTGGCTGTCCCAGCACTTCCAAATTTCAAAAAAAAAATAATAACAACATGTAATTGTAACATGGGAATACCGCGAGAACAGCAGTTTGGCAGGAAAAGAAGGTATTTCAAAATAAGGTCCCCAGAAAGAGATGTTCTGGCAGATGCACAATTTTGGATCATATTATCCAAACCGTTGAATTCTGGAAGATTTGGGGGTTTTCTTTTTTGGTTCCCATACCCTAAATGGGAGTAGATATTCGTCGTCCATCCAGAGGGCATTGTTTCCCCTTCCTGTTACTAAAGTGAGAAAATAAGTATACTAAGGGCACCCATTTACAGTAAGCATTCGTAGCTCTAGAGGTGATTTTTAATAGCACAATAGCTGTGTCAGGTATAACACTTGTGTTGGGCTAATGCCTATTCTCATATGTAATACTATTAACTGAAGATCATCTTAGAAAGCCCACTATCCTAACATCTTAGAAAGCCCAGAATTCTAACTCCCCTCTGGTGAGAGCAGTTTTAGCACCAATTAAGTCTCTCAACTGGTTAAGAATGGTATTTAAAGCTAATGCCTTTGGCCTGTGTGTTGAGATTTGAATTGCCTATTGTTATTGAAAATTCTCAGTCTTTGAAAAGCATTCTATTTGTTCAGGCTTGACAGAAAAGATCTCCAATGGGAAAAGCAGAGGAAAACATAAAGGAAATATAAGTAAATTCTAGAATACCTGGAAAGCTAGTACATTTCAGGTTAAGGTTAATGTTTATGGAGGTAAAAATACCTAGGATTAAGAGTGATTGCTCTAGTCTCTTATGCAAATCAGATTAAATATTTCAGAGTTTAAACCCATATCTCTTTTGGCTCTATTTATTTTCAAATAAAAACTCAAAGTGGGAATGGAAAAAAAAAACTACTCGTTGGCTTAACATAAATCTTTAAACTGCAGGAAGCTTCACCCTCAAAAAGTAGTTGAATCTCTGAGGGAAAAGAAAAGGCTGAATTCTATTTTTCATAAATGATGGATTATTGTACCACACTGTGTATTTTCCAGTAAAGTGTCCTTTTATTTGCACTGTGTGATTACAAGTTTCTAAAAGTATGTGTGGGGTCACTTGGGTGCTGTGGGAAAATGGAAGGAACACTGTTCTGTTAAAATCAGTAGTGAAATCAGAAGCAAACTATGTCCCGATTATCACAGGCATGTGTTTAAATTTTGCTTTCCTTAATTGGTTATGTTGTATTTACTTAAAATGAACAATTTGGCAAGTTTTTCTCCCTTGACAACAGAAAAGCGTAAACTGTTTTATAAGTTTGGCTGTTAAAATCAGATTTGTAAACCACGATATTCAAAGACTTTTACGGCTGTTTACAGGGTCCCAGTGATGGACCTTGCTTTATATCCACGCACTTCTTAACATTTTTATTTTGTATTTATAGTGCTTTCAAGTTATTTGGTTAATAAAAAGTATGCTATATATTATAGTCATCTATTGACTTCAACCTCTACATAACTCTTCTTAGAACAAAATGAGTGGAATGAATGATGGCACAGGCCTTGTAATTTGACTTGTCATCTGAGGACAATTATTTACGGCATCAGGAAATGGAAGTTGACGTTCTAGTCTGTCTCCAGGAAAGTAATCATTAGAGCCAACTTTGGAGAGTTTGGCTACGTTAAAAACTGTCTAATCATGTCCAAGACTCTGCTAGTTTCTCAGTATGTATGAGAAGGAAACAAGATAAAGCATTTAAAAACATATTTTCATTTTCTTTGAAAAACCAATGCACCTTACACGCATTTCTCACATGTGGAGCCAGATGGTGGTATTGAAGACAATATGATATACATATATATCTCTCTAATTAAGAATACTATCACCAGAATACCTAGGGGAGTTTCAAAAAGATATAACTCATACCGTAATTATTTTCATAATCTAGCATTTATACGTCATGTGTGTATATTTTAATTTGCAAAGTACTTTCTAATGGCATCGTTTTTACTAGTTCCAAATGGAAGAAAAAAAATATACCGTGCTTGGCCCTGCATTTCTTGGTATTCTATCATGGGAAATGGCAAGGTTTTTGAGGTGAGACCAGAAATCGAAAATATTACTTTTGTAACCTGTGAAAACTTAGATTGATTATTCTGTGTCATTCCAAAGATGGACTTGAAACCAAAATTGCCCTGAGGCAGAGTTATTCTGAAGGATGTTAAGTGTTTCTTCAGTCTCCAACACTAGAATACAGACCTATGGGACTTTGACTACAGCTGTCAGTTGAAGCAGATCATACATGACTGGTGGTCACTGCGATGACTGGACCTAGAAGGAAAGTTGTTAGGATAGCACATAAACACACTTTGTTAAGATGCTCAGAATGACTCTTCCAACTATACAATTTTGAATTTGTTAATGGCTGATATTCAAGGTCTTGTAAAAGCAATTTTTGTTTGCTTGGGTTCTCAGGGCACTTGATATTTCTCCAAAATGACCTGAGGTCAATCCCTCCTCTTAGATCCTTTAATCTCTTACATTTCCATTTGACTCCTTACTGTGCTGCATTATAATTACACAGGCCAGACAGGCGGCCATGGTGGCTCAGACCTGTAATTCCAGCACTTTGGGAGGATGAGGCAGGAGGATCACTTGAGGCCAGGAGTTCAAGACCATCCTGGCCAACCTGGTGAAATCCCACCTCTATTAAAAATACAAAAATTAGGCCAGGCGTGGTAGCTCACACCTGTAATCCCAGCACTTTGGGAGGCTGGGGGTGGGGTGGATCACTTGAGGTCAGAAGTTCAAGACCAGCCTGGCCAACATAGTAAAACCCCATCTCTACTAAAACCACAAAAATTAGCTAGGCATGGTGGTGTTCACCTGTACTCCCAGCTACTCAGGAGGCTGAGGCATGAGAATTGCTTGAACCCAGGTGGCAATGGTTGCAGTGAGCCGAGATCGCACCACTGCACTCCAGCGTGGGCAACAGAGAGAGACTCCATCTCAAAAAAAAAAAAAAAAATTAGCCAGGCTTAGTGGCACATGCCTGTAATCCCAGCTACTCGGGAGGCTGAGGCACGAGAATCACTTCAATTTGGGAAGTGGAAGTTGCAGTGAGCTGAGATTGTGCCATTGCAACCCAGCCTAAGTGACAGGGTAATGATTATCTCAAAAATAAATGAATAAATAATAAAAATAAAAATAAATAATTACACAGGCCATATACATGTTATCCACAACAATTAAACCCAGCACTGCCATGTATATAGTAGGTGGTCAATTTGTGTTTATTTTTTATTATCTTCCAGCACTGTCCAACATGAAACATATGTATAATGTAAAATCTTCTGGTAGCCACATTTTAAAAAGCAAAAAGAAACAATTTAAATAATAAGATATTTTATTTAGCAGAAAATATCCAAAAATTATCATTTCAACATATGGCTCAAACTGCATGTCAAGTGTTCAATAGCCCCAAGTGACTAGTGGCTAGTACATTGGATAGCACAAGTCTAAAGCAGTGCTTTTCAAACTATTGAGATACACAGAGACAATCATACTTGTATAACACACTGGTGGAAACTGCTCATAGCCAAAGAATATACAGTACAACTGCCACAAGGACTCAGGCTGTCTTGGTCTTGCCTAAATTACCCTAAGAGCTGAGGACATCTGTTAACTCTCAGACCTATAGTACCCATTTTTTAAAGTTTACTTTAATTTAAAAAAAAATTTTTAATTTCCGGGATACATGTGCAGAGTGTACAGGTTTGTTACATAGGTATACATGTGCCATGGTGGTTTGCTGCAACTATCAACCCGTCATCTAGGTTTCAAGCCCCACATGCATTAGGTATTTGTCCTAATGCTCTCCCTCCCCTTGCCCCCACCCCTTGAAAGGCCCTGGTGTGTGGTGTTGTCCTCCCTGTGTCCATTCTTAAGAGCCCCATAGCTGGGAAGCTGTCTACCTTTCTCACATGATAGTCACTGTACTTTTATTATCAATTCATTTAAAAAATAGATAGCTCATGACAAATATATAGATAGATGGTAGATATGTATGAGATTGTGTATATATACATACACACATATGCTATAGATATATAGACATTTATTTTTCTTTTCAGAGTTCTTTTACATTTTCTCAATGTATAGATAGACCTTCCACCGATAAATGAGAACTTCAGATGGCCCTATAATTTTTCCAATCAGTTTAAGGCAATGATCATCAACAGGAAGTAATTCTGTACCCCAACCTCCACCCTCATGGACCTATGGCAAAGTCTGGAGGCATTTTTTTTTATTGTCATAATTAAGGAGGGCGTGCTGCTGGCATATTGTGGGTACACACCACGGATGCTGTTCCATATCCTACACAGAGGACAGGCCTCTACAACAAAGAATTGTCTACCCTAATATGTCAATAGTACAAAATTTGGGAAGCAATACTTTAAAGTAATATAAAGTATTACAGATTTTCAGGTAGCAAGAATTGTCTCAATTTAGTAATTTACAGTACCTAGTCCTATGTGATAATCCAAACTTTAATTGAAAAATAAAATTCCACCCTTCTCCCAGCTAGGAGATAAGCAGGATATTTTTCTTTTTCTGTCATTCTCAGTCTTGAACTTCACCTTAATTCCCCATTTTGCTAATTCAAGTTTGAGCCTGCTTTGTAGTCAAAGGCAGGGAAAGCAGGATGCAAAAATTCCCTTTCTTTGCCAGTTATAGAGAGGTTTCTCACTCCCTGGACCAGGTAGATTTTCAAAAGCATATCTATATTTATTAAAAAGAATACCTAATAAAGTATCCCAAACCCTCTCATTATGTCAACAATTGAATGAAGGCAGTGGAGCGTTCAGTTAAGATATATATCTTGTCTACAGACACAACAAATTACTATCAGTAATTAATAATAAGACACCTTGGGCCAGGAACAGTGGCTCACACCTGTAATCCTGGCACTTTGGGAGGCTGAGGTGAGCAGATCACTTGAGCCCAGGAGTTCGAGACCAGCCTGAGCAATGAAGTGAGATCCCATTTCTACCAAAAAAAAAAAAAAAACTTTAGTCAGGTGTAGCCAGTAGTCCCAGCTACTTGGGAGGCTGGGGTGGGAGGATCATATGAGCCTGAAGGGTTGAGGCTGCAGTGAGCTATGATCACACCACTACACTCCAGCCTGGGTGACAGAGCAAGACTCTGTCTAAAAATAAGAGGAGGAGGAGGAAGAAGACATCTTGGATGTGTTTAGACCATGCTTAATGAAAACCCAGACCTCATGTATTATATTCATCCCCGAATTCACAGCCTTTAGCATGGAGCCTGATTAGTAGACATTCAGCAAATATTTGTTCAGGAGTGAATTTTACACACACCTGACTTTGAAGATAAATCTGAGAATAGGAAACTGAGGAGAGGGGACTAATGAAGACATGGAAAAAGTTTGAGGCAAATTATGTTTCTGAATTTCACATAGAACTGGTAGTAATTATACATCAATAAGGAGAGTAAGAAATACCTGCTTCAGAAAAATAAATCACTTCAGGTTAATATAGAAAAGAAGATTGACAAGTTTATTCAAGCAAGCAGGACCTCCAGAAATGTCTGCATTAGCTAGGGATGGTATATAATCATATTTAATTGAAATCAGCAATGCTAAAGAGTTGTCTCCTGTAGTTTAGATGAATTTTTCTTTACTCTGACCACAATTTTGTGCATAAATACATGGAATTATCCATGTAAAGATTACGTTAAATATAAGGAAATGAAAGTGAAAATAAATTGTGAATATATGGAACTAATCCCATTCTCATTGTACATTCATGCTGCAACAACAGGACTAATACTTTCATGTGGGCAAATTTTACTCACATGGCTTGTTGTAGACAGAAGAGCCTGAGCTATTAATTCAGGTAGTTGTTTCATAACTACTGTTTTCTATTCAGATTTGCATAAAGTAATAATCATAAAGGAGAAATTTACCAAAAGCCTCTGATTTTTTTAAATCTTCAGTGTTCAGACTGCATCACAGTGCTTCCGATACAAGCGACAAAAATCGAGTTAAAAGCAGATTAAAGAAGTTTATTACCCGAAGACCTTCCCTGAAAACTCTGCAAGAAAAAGGACTTATTAAAGGTACAGGTCATTTTATACTTGTACTATAACTGTGATAAATGAATGTGCCTCTGTGTTCATAGCTAATCAGCTCTAAAGGAATATTAGAATATTTTATTCTTCTTAGGTTGCTTATTAAATTTTCTACTCTGTAACAGAGAAAAGAAAAATAATTGTCCAGAAAACAGATCCTGAGAAAATAAAGGAGGTATCATGGGGCCATTGAACAATATACCTAGTTTTGCCCACAGAGGATCTGTGTTCTGCACTAGGAACAGAGAAAGGATATCCTAGTGTCCTGCTAGAATGATACCATGTCCTCCTGTGTCTGGGTGGTTCCAGTTCACAGCTGGGTTTTAGTAAGTATGAACCAGCACACTTACCAACCCAGCCCTTTTCACTATCAGAAATGTCCAGATTTGGATAAAAGGTTATCTGATCATCCTAGTCATAGTCTGAAGTAAGTGCTAGGAAGAAAGTCTAAGACAAACTAGTGTCATGAAAATGTATGGATATTGAGAGCTGGCAGTCTAAAAACTCAATCCAAACTGAAATAACTAGGTAGTTTTACAAATATATGTAGAGGGCAGAATAGATGATTGTAAGAATAGATGATGGCCACCAATCATGGTCTCTGGCATTAGACTAATTAGATCACCAGTCACTCATTTTGACATTGATCAAGTTATGATCTTCTCTGTGCCTCAGCTTTCTCATTTGTTAAATGGGGATACTTATATACATCATTGAAAGGAATAAATGACATAGCCTATGTAAAGCATTCAACAGAGTTTCTGGAACAAAAGTAAATATTCTATGAATGCCCACTGCTTATTAATATAATTATTCATTGTTGTTATCACTGTTAGTGTGTCAAATGAAAGGATGAATGGATAGATAGAACCAGTGATTAGTATATTTCTATAACTGGAAATTATCTTACAGAATATACAGACTAAATTGATTCTTTTTAAAAACAAGAAAACATGAAGTTCATTATTCTCTGTATTTTTCAAATTTTCTAGCTTATGTGTACATTTTGAAAATTAAATGTAAGAAAGAATTTGAAATTGGGCGAAAAGAAACTCCTAACCCTCAGAAGAAAGCTGAAAGGCTAAACTTTATAGAAATCGAGAGGTGATTTAATAAGCAATCATTTCTCATGAAGAGGGCAAAGCAGATCCTAATTTCAGCATTACTTAAAAAGATTAGCATTTAAATAATTTATAACAACTGTTCAATCTATCAGTTTCCGTCCATTTTGAAACAGGTGAACAGATCTGAAAAATTAGCTAGCACTTTGAACCAATTGTAGAAGGTGAAATTTCATGAAGCAAAAGCATACACATTACTAATAGAATAGAAAATTCTTAGGATTTAAGGGTAAAACGAGGACCTTGCTTTAAATCAGAGTTGCCTCAGACTTTTACTCTCCGATGCATAATACTTTTCTGAGTTGTAGACAGTAATTGACCCTCTACAGATTCAACTTCACTAAGTAGTATTACTAGTACCTTCAGTTCTGCCTTAGAATTCATCCTATAGATGATCATTTTCTTGGAAAAGATTCAGTTGCAGGTTAACTGCCATCTTGAAAAATATAAAACCAGCTAAGCAACCAACAATCCTAACTTTACATAATGTCCGAGTTTTTCACGACTGGGACAAAATAAAAGGGGTTTTAATTCAGTGGCAGGGTCTGGCTCCACATGAAATGCTGAAGGATTAATTACTACAGTGCTCTAGAATTGGTCTCAGAAAGCATTAGGAAAGCTGGATGCCTAATGCAGTTTTCATACCGAAGCAATGGAACCGCTAAACACACTCTGATTCATGCATTTCTTATCTTAGAGCTCCATTAAATTTTCACCATAACTGACCAATGAGTCAGTATTCATTAGTAGGGCTATGGAAAATCTATGTAAAATTCTGATTTGATAAGCTTCCATTGTTGTCTTCAGTAGAATTTTTTTCCACGTACAGATCAAGTTATGCAAATGTAGTCACTTCTTGGGCTTGTTTCAGTTTTAGCTATGAACTTTTTTTAAGGCTTTTACTAAGTTTTTGGGTTTTTTTTTCCCAACTCGGTAAAAGGCATTAAACCAATTTTTAAAAATACCTGGCTAGTCACACTTAGTACTTTAATCCATTTTTTTCTTACACTTAAAGCAAAGACTTAGAAAAACAATAAAATCAGTATTTTTAATCAGTTAAGAAAAATTGCATACAATTAATGATTAATGGTTAAATGGTTAGTTTTTGCAAGCAAAATGACTTAACTCTTTCAAAGGGAAGAATTATTTAGAAAGAGGAATAATGGCTTTAGAATTGTTCTGCAGCTCACTTGGCCAGATAATCTATATCATACTTTATAAACTGTCTAATCTTCCAGATCGGCACAAAAGGCCTCTATTACCAAGGTTCAGGAAAGCTGTGCTTGGCAGTTTGGGCCTTAACAATTGTGCTTCCTGAAACCTGGGAGGGATTCTGCAGCGACATGTCAGTTTTCTTTTTCTTTTTGTTTTTGTTTTTGTTTTTGTTTTGTGATGGAGTCTCGCTCTGTCGCCCAGGCTGGAGTGCAGTGGCGCAATCTCGGCTCACTGCAAGCTCTGCCTCCTGGGTTCACGCCATTCTCCTGCCTCAGCCTCCCGAGTAGCTGGGACTACAGGTGCCCGCCACCACGCCCGGCTAATATTTTGTATTTTTAGTAGAGATGGGGTTTCACCGTGTTAGCCAGGATGGTCTCAATCTCCTGACCTCGTGATCCACCCGCCTCAGCCTCCCAAAGTGACGGGATTACAGGCATGAGCCACCACGCCCGGCCGGCCATGTCAATTTTCAAAGTGTTTATTCTTTCACGTAATTCACCAGTAGGTTGAGGAGGCTGGGCTTTGAATTCAACCAGCCTTTATTGAGCACCACGATGGGGGCAGGAAGGGCTAATATTTTATTGACCCTATAACGCCCATCAGAGTCACGTCCACAAAGCACTTAATGTGAAAAGAGATTTACCCCAATATCACACAATCTAAACTCAATCACAAGCCCTTTCTTCAAAACCTGTTTTATATGTGGTTTCATTAGCTAGAACCTAGACTTGGAAACAGTCCCTTGATGGTGCTGTATTTTCTTATTTATTTATTTATTTGTTTGTTTATTTTTTTGAGACAGAGGCTCACTCTGTCGCCCAGGCTGGAGTGCAGTGGCATGATCTTAGCTCACTGCAACCTCTGTGTCCCAGGTTCTAGTGATTCTCATGCTTCAGCTCCTGAGTAGCTGGGATTACAGGCATGCACCACCATGCCCCACTGTTTTTTTGTTTGTTTGTTTTTTAGTAGAGATGGGGTTTTGCCATGTTGGCCAGGCTGGTCTTGAACTCCTGGCCTCAAATGATCTGCCTGCCTTGGCCTCCCAAAGCGCTGGAATTACAGGCATGAGCAACCGCACCTGGCCCATATTTTCTAATTTCTTTAATATGACTAAAGAGAAGTACATATTAAGATATCAAATAAAGTGGGCCAGAAAAAAATTCTGAATGATTGCTCAATGAAAAGAAATCTTAATAGCTCAGGTGGGTGTAGCAAACATTGTACCATTGCAGTGGTAGCTTTGGAAAAGTTCTCCAAGGGCATTCAAGTTTGCCAAGGAATGGTGAGCCCTTTTTAAATATATGAGTTTATTAACATTGAGCATCTCATTGGGAACAAAACTTGAATCCGTTTAACATATAAATTATAGGCAAAAGCGTCCATTTTTGGGTGGTAGGAGTGTTTATAAATCTCCTTGGCCTGCTTTTGGAACTGAAGTAACAGCTCTTTAGTTTTAGCCAGACTGCCTTATGTAATCTTTCAAATAACAGTATTGACATCCAAGTTTAGGTAATACAGTTTTTAGAGAAGATAACCATTGTTTGGCTTTTTAGGAGCAATTAGTATGCCCTTATGTCAAAATAATAGCATCAGAGAGGATTTAGAAATGTTTAGTGTTTAGAAAGTAGTTTCATTCATCCTAATAAGGACAAAACCATACTGGATGGCATTAGTAGAAACTGAAATTAGTATCATATTACTTATTTTTGAATCAGTATATTATAAAACCTGCTTGAAGAATAAATAGCACACCTCAGGGATTTATGATAAGGAGAAGTGCTTTCTAGCCTCATCTTAGTTTTGCTCCCTAAAAGGTACCACTTTGAACAGTTTCTATTTATAGTTCTGGTGATTTGGTCCATACCTACATCCTTCTTATTTAGGGTAAAAGCTGGTTTGTTTTTTTGTCAATGTCCTTCTTATCTTCAGTGTTGTAATATCTTACTTTATCAGTCTTAGACAGTACTTTAGGTTTCTACTGCAATAGGCGTGAATTTTACTCAACTACACCAAGCCTCATCTTAGCTTTTTTTATTATTATTATTTTTATTTTTTGGAGATGGATTCTCACTCTGTCACCCAGGCTGGAGTGCTGTGGCATGATCTCAGCTCACTGCAACTCCTGCCTCCCAGGTTCAAGCAATTCTCCTGCCTCAGCTTCCTGAGTAGCTGGGACTATAGGTGCACACCACCACATCCGGCTAATTTTTTGTATTTTAGTAGAGATGGGGTTTCACCATGTTGCCCAGCCTGGTCTTGAACTCCTGAGCTAAGGCGATCTGCCCGCTTTGGCCTCCCAAAGTGCTAGGATTATAGGTGTGAGCCACCGCGCCTGGCCCTGCTTGGTTCTTCTCCTCGCCAGATACTTACAGTCAAATACAGCTCATCCCACAGTCTCCATTAGCTTTCTCCACAACTTGCAAGATGCCTACATCTCTACTTAAGTTTTGTTAACCCTAGAAAATTGAGCGCTAAGCCTCCATTGGTAAGATGAAGAATTTACAGCCACCTTCTCCTCTCATCTCCTCTGCCTCTTCTCTTCTACTTCTATGTCATACAAACTTATTTTACTTTACTTGTTTTTATAAGTATGGCTTATTTATAGGTAAATTTTAAAAGTTAAAAAAAACATGGCTGAGCATGGTTGGCTCATGCCTGTAGTCCAAACATTTTGGGAGGCCAAAGGAAAAGGACTGCCTGAGGTCAGGGTTCAAGATGAGCCTGGGCACGATAAAGAGACCCTGTCTCTCTACAAAAAGTGAAAAAAAGTTAGCCAGGCGTGGTGATGCATGTCTACAGTCCCAGCTACACAGGAGACTGAGATGGAAGGATTGCTTGAGCCCAAGAAGTCAAGGCTGCAGTGAGCTATGATCACATCACTGCACTCCAGCCTGGGTGACAGAGTGAGACTCCCTTTCTTAAAAATCAATCATCCGGGCGTGGTGGCTCACGCCTGTAATCCCAGCACTTTGGGAGGCAGAGGCGGGCAGATCACGAGGTCAGGAGATCAAGACCATCCTGGCTACCATAGTGGAACCCCGTCTCTTCTAAAAAATACAAAAAAATTAGCCAGCCGTGGTGGCGGGCACCTGTAGTCCCAGCTACTCGGGAGGCTGAAGCACGAGAATGGCGTGAACCCCTGAGGCGGAGCTTGCAGTGAGCCGAGAATACGCCACTGCACTCCAGCCTGGGCGACAGAGCGAGACTCTGTCTCAAAAAAAAACAAAAAAAACCATCAATTAATCAATCTATCAACATTCATACTATTATGCTTACATAAGATTGTTTACTGTAGCACCACATAGACTTCCTTTCCTGTACTTATAATATCACAACTCCCGTGACTCTCAAAGGGTAAGGCCCCTGATTATTGTGGAAAAACTCTCCTTTTACATTTGAGGGATATATTAACAGTTTTATGCTGTTTCACGTTACCTCCATGGCTTTTTCATATTTTGGACTAAATGGTGAAAAAAACAATAATCAGCTTTATTTTAGTCATGTAAATACTATCAAATCTTTGGCCAAGTTATATGCCAGATTGGTTGAACATATCCATGGGTGGCATGCTGTGAATTATGGGCCACTCCAGTTATACTGTTCTTGCTTTCAAACCTTATGCTCTATCATTTGCTTATAATCACGCTTTTAGTCTGATTCATTTTTCCATTTTGAATTTCCTGCACAGTGTTCTTCCCCTACCCAGAGTTTCATTTTTTTCTTGCATTCTGGGCCCTTATGTCATTATGTGCTTTCATTCTCTCAAACTGTCTGTGTATTCTAGTCTGCCACTCCTTGCTTTTTTCCCCCTGAGTATCTTCTTCTAAAGTCCTTTCAGCCTCTTTCTCCAATTTGCACTGGTTGCTCTCCAGCTGATTGCCCTGTGATCTCCTTCCACTGCTCCTCTGTGTTGGATCCACTGTCTTCGGCATCCCATGCCTTCCCTTCTATTACTCTTTAACAGTTTCCATGAACCCATTTGGAAAGCATGAGTCCTCAACGGTCTAAAAAATACCTTCAGTATGCCCACACACTCGATCAGTAGCTTAGTTGGGTATAAAATTCCATTGCCTGTCCAACACTGAGTTGCAGATTCCGCTCTTAAAATTGTTTTGCTTGTACCATTGTTACTTTGAATTTCTCTCTCTCAGAATCATTGGGGGGTTTTGGTCTTTATTTTGAGATTCTGGAATCAAGATAATGTATATAGTGGACAGGATTTTTAAATTTTATTCTGCTTGGCCCTTAATTTTAAGAATTATGATTCTTTCTTCAGTGCTGGATTTTTTATATTTTTGTTATTACATTGATACATTCCTCCCACCTGTTTTCTCTGTTTCCTATTCTGAGGTCTTTTTTATGTGATCATTAGATCATCTGAATTGATGGTTTCATTCAGTGTTATCTTTTCTCAAATTTTGAAAGAATTCTCAGTTTTGTTCCCCAATATTTATATTATTTTAACTTTAGCAATCATGTTTTCAATTTTCTAGATTTGTTTCCCATTCTTCTTTTTTTGCACATCTCATTTCTCACATACCATGAAAACAAAAACTGTGTTGACCACTCTACTCCTATACAATAGTGAGGATGGCACATAGAACTCAATAAATATTCGGTAATTGAATAAATAGGAAAAGTAGATATTTTTTAAAAGCTATCTGAGGACATAGATTAGAATTTGTTGTTGTTTTGGAGTCTTGTTTTTATTTTTTATTTTAAATTGTTCTCTTCTGGTCTTTAAATGATCAATTTCATCTATGGTCCTTTTCTTTCCTTTATTTGATTCATTCTATTTCTATCAAATTAGTGACTTTGCCCAAATGTCTGATGGGCAATAGTTGTCCACTCTTATTAAAGAATGAGTCTCTGTAGAGAATGACTAGAGCTCTGAAAACATGGGTAGACCTGGCCAATGATATGGTTTTGCCTTAGGGTGGTCTGCTGGTGCATCCCACACTAATCCCATACCTCAAATATCATATATTTTCAAAGGATACAGAATGCTTTATATTCTCTTGATAAACTGAATCAATCTTACTGCTGATAGTCAATTTTTCAGCTCCATTTTACAATTAAGAAAAATGAGGAGAAAATATCTCAGATTATTTGAAAGTATAGCAGCTTTGAAATTTGACCAAGCCAGGCTTGAAGCCAGATTCTTTGATTTACCAGCTATTAACTTAATATCTGGTTATTGACTTTCTTCTTTATGAAATTTACATTGAAAGTTTAAATGAAATGATATATGCGAAAATGGTGCTCAGCTTATCTTGGCCATCCCACAACTGTTTTCTCCCTTTCTTTTTTGTTTCTTCCTTTCTTCTTTCCTTCATTTCATCTTGCCTTTCTTATTTTTATCTTTCTTTCCTTTCTCCCTTTTCCTCTTCTTTATTTAGGTGCACAGAGTAAATTATGACCAAGATGGCCCTAGGAAACCATTCTGTTAAGTATTTGCTTAAAGCTCGAGAAATCATTGAAGGCAAGCATCTAGGAAAGGCAGCAGTAATTCACTTACTTCAAGAAACATACACTGATAACTTGGGCTTGGCTTATATTTCTCTTTTTGGTAATTTTAATCATGATGCTCTTTATACATAAATGGGCATGAGCTCATTTTTCTAACTACACTCACTTATATAGTGTCATGCAACTGCTGGAACATTTAAGTAATTACCCACACAGACATAACTGATTGTTTAAGGTGTCTGCCATAAAAGAAAATAATGTCTTTGAAAAATTATAGTTCTTTTAAAAATATGTCAATTATGTTGAGAAACAAAAAAAAGATTTGTCATTCAAACTGCAAATACAAGCTATCAGCCCTAGACTTAACAGTCATGTTTATGAATAGCAACATCATTGAGTTAAGAGAAAAGTGTTTTTTAAATAATTTGTTAGAACTGATATATGACAGAGTAACATAATTGTCACACTGTTAATTTAAGCAAAATATATATGATCAACACTGTAAAATAGCTTTGGGTAGAGACATGCTCCAACTTTGCCACTTTATCAGTGTTAGTCTGAGAATAATTATACTTGAATTTATATACTAGGGCATGGGTCTATCATTGCTTGGGTCTGAAATACTCTGACAACTTCCACGATATGCACTAATGTGCTTAAAAATATCTTGTAAATCTTCTTTTTTAAAAAACTTCTTTATGGTTCAAAATTGAACTGTGATCTTTACGTGTGCGCTGTGTCATGATTTAATATTAGCCAAAATTAATAGCCAACCTTAAGCTTCTTTATCTCGGCCTACAAGCTTCCTGGTTCCTTTGCATTTATAGTTCTCAGGCAGTTTCTGTTATTTAAAGGCTCTTGGGAGCAAATGTGTTGGTAATACAGTACCACATAGTTAGCTTTTGTTCAATAATAAGATACAGGACACCATGCGAGATGGAGAAATGTTGAGAAAAGGGTGCACCTGGGTAGCAGGTTAAGCCCATGTATTTTAAAAGCCTGTTGTGCACACAGGAAACAATCCAGGTCTTGTGAGATATTAAAAGCAGAATAGCTTTGGAGCAAACTAGAGAAAATGAGGTTCAGAAATGGGAGCAAATTAGGTAAGGGGAAAAAGAATGAGCCAGAATGATAAATTGGTTTCCCTGTGGTTCAAGAATTTATTTTCTTATGGGGACAGATCTTTTTATACAGATGTTAGTGAGAATGTAATATTTGAGATTGTGACTTACATACACTTGATTTTTTTAACCTACAAAATGGTTTTACCAGTAAATTTCTGGTATGTAACTCACTATACTTTATGTGTTAGCAAACAACAATGATAATCATTCTCCTTTTAGTTCCTTTAAATTACATTTCTTTCACATTAAATCAAGTCCTCAAGATGTTTCCCTTTTCTCAAGTAAAAGAAATGCCAGATAATACCAGGCTTCAGCCATGAAACTGACCCAATGCCTAGTAATAGCTATGCTTAATGCTGGGAATGTAAAATGAATAAAACCCAGTTGATTCAGCCAGCATATTGGCATTTTGTTTTTAGCCAATGACCCCTAAAACCCATACTAAATTTTGCCCTGGCAATAGATGCTGGTTTTATTCATTCTGTGGACTATGTATCCTTAAAAGATTGCCCAGAATTCTGGCATGCCCTATAGGGTTACATGAATCTGGTGCCAGTTTGAAATATTGTATTTGAGCCTTCCAGTTTGAGGACTGACAAGCTTCCACAAAATAGGAAGAAATAGATCATACACACCAAAAAGGAAGCAGTAACAAGTGGAGGCAGGCTTTGTTTCATCTTATGACTCTATGCCATGTTTTAAGCATACTCTGTGCTCTAACTCAAATCTTGTGTGTGTGTGTCTAAATTGTAAAACAGATACAAAACCTCCCCTTCCACCCCCAACATTGCACCAAAGTTGATGTGCTCTCGAAAGCATATCCTCAACTAGTTGGAGACAACCAAAAGTCAGGCTAGGGTGGTAGTTCCTCCTTGTGTTAGAAGTCTGCTGCGCTCTGGAGAGATGGCCCATGGCTGTTTCAGTCCTCTAATCACATCCTAAATCTTTCCTCTGTGAAACCACCTGATGAGAAGAAAAAGATGCAGGGCCCTTGTCAGTGTTCAAAAGAATCCCCTTTTTAAAGGTTAGCATTTATTATTGATACCCTGCTGTTCTCCAGCAGGTGTTCTTGTACCGCATAGTTCCCTCCTGACTCCTAAAGCCAGCTTCACGAGCAGTGGAAGATTCTTCAGCTTAGTTCTTGTTAGCTTTTCAGGGCCTCCATAGACCTACGAACAGTATCCAAAGCCAGTGCTGGATGCTGCTTTCGCCTCTGTCGTTGGTATAATTCTACTGCTCACACTAAGTACTAGATGGTGATTTCATTGTGTGGCGAGGTGGATAACTGAGGGAGAAGAAAGCAGAATTTCATTCTGACCTGGAGATTGATTATTTGAGCAAATGTGTGAATGAATGCTTCTTATATAGTGAGACAAGTTGAATTTTCCATGCTATTCAAGGAAGGAGGTCTCACTCCTTCCTCACTTATGATATGAATGGGATTTTAGAGTTCACATGGTGTGTATGTTGAGTGTGTCTCTAAAGATAGTACATGTCAGAGCTCTCATAACTCAGATATCCTCATTAGGGACCCCATTCAGCAGATGTGTTAGACTGCTACGAGCAAAGGAAATATTAATATCCACAATTCATTTTGACATATCCTAAGATTAAGAGAGTGCTCTTTTATTTCCTTTAGCATCACTGACAGTTTGGCCTACAAATCTTTTTTCTCCAAATTCATGTCTATTATAAATCAACAACATTTCATAAATTTCTAAGATTCAAAAAAAACTTGCATTATTTTATTTCAGGGGCCCAAATTTTGTCCGATATTAAAAGCATCTCTCTTTGGACTTCTTACCCCACCTGATTAGTGATAACGAAAATTAACTGGGCCTCTGTAAAACTGAGTCATCAGGAAAAATAACTCCATGTTGTAAAAGTGCTATTCCTGCATTTTCTATTCTTCTCTGTGGGAGGGAGGCAAGAGGCCATATCAGAATTTGGATAGTCATAATTGGTGGTCTGTCAGTATTAGTGAAATTGCAATAGGGAGAGGTATATCTCCCAGCTTTTCTTTGAAATTGACTATATTGCTGTAAGTGTGTTTTATCAAAGCATTTTCTGGGGCAACAGATCTGAAAACATAAACTTTATGTAGCATTGCTCCTCCTTAGATATTTCCCTTTAATATGTCTTTTCTTTTTGAAGATAAAATAAAAGTACATAAAAGAGTTCTGGGAATAGGCAGCTATATGTCATAAACACCATTCACTCCCCCTCACCCAGAGCTCCCACCCCCCAAAATTTGGAAACGATTTGATTGAAGTGATGACTGCCTTGATCTTGTTTGAATACTCCTTCTTCATTGTCTTCTTCTCTCAATGGGAGGCAACAACCCTGTCACAGAGACATTCCTGGGAGGGAAAGAGGTATTTCTAGCAACCATATTTTCCAAACACAAAATTGAGACACATGGCCTGACAATGCCATAATATTTGAAGTAGGGACTGTGCTCAAAGATCCAGAACATATGGTGGAAAGAGTTTTCTTATAAAAGGCAGCCATTTAAGACACTTTCTAGATTCTTATTCACAAAAGGCTCATTCCCCCATCCCTTTTATTCTCATTAAAAAATATTACCCACAGATCAGAAGACTGACCAGTTTTCCCTCAAATTTGCTTTTTTGCCAGCTTGAGAACCACCCTATTGACTAAAAAGTTAAATGCACAGCCATCCAGGAAGAAATGCAAACCAGACTGCCAAACATATTATGAATATATTGCTCTTCTTAAAAATGCTAGTTGGTTTTTCATACTGGAGTATTGACTAACTGTCTGTGTTTGATGTATGGTTTACCAGCCTGATGTCGACTTATGGTTAGAGCTTAACTTGTTAGTTCTGCTTTTGCAGCCAATTCAGAATAACTACAGATGCCTCGAGATATTAAAATTGACTGCTCAAATGGACTCAGTGCGGGAGTTTCATTGGTTTTAAATTGATAACAGCTGAAAGAGTGAATGATTAAAGTGTAAATGGGCATAGGACACAGCTCTTTCATAGAAACACTTGTGAACAGACTTCAGTAGTGTGGGAGTTTTTTCTTTCTTTTTCTATTGTAGTTATTTCTAAGCAACCTTGAGTTAAATTTTAAAAGTGCTCAGGAATATTCAGGAGCCTAGAGGAGAAATAATTCCTGAGAAACTGAGATAAATTTTGATGAAGTGGGTTTCTATTCTACAGGGAACATTTAAAGTTAAGTAGCATTCCATAAGGTGGTAATTGTGTCTATTTCCCAGGCATTTAAGTTAAGTAAGCTGTGTAGGAAGTATAAACTGTCATAATAGAAGGGTTAGAGTGTTGTGTACATCTCTTTCTTCAACTCATAAAAACCAAAGCTCCAAAGTGCCTTATCACAGATAAGTCAAAGAAAGCCTCTCCTTTGCTTTCTTATTCTCCTAAGAACAATTATTATTATTTTCATTATTTAAAAAGATGTTCTGAATACTTTCTTGTCGCATGGAGAAAAAGAATACAAAAGAGAAATAAAAAAACTTTTCTCCCCCTCCTTAAATCAGCAATACTTATATAAAACAGGCTTTATGAAAACTTACTTTCACCATTTAATAGTAGCTTAAGGAAAAGGCACAGTAAAGAGAATAATTAAGTGAAATGTAAAGAAATTTATGAAAAAGAAATATCTGTTTATAATACAGCCCTTTTTCAACTTAATATCTTTCTAAGAGTTAGGTGTGCTCATTATACAATATTGTGACCTAGCTCCTTTCTGTTTTCAAATGTCTCTTAGTATTTTATCTTTGATATTCCATCAGGAAATATTTATACATTTTTTATTTTATATATTTTTATATATACTTTTTTAATATTTATATATGAAGAACTTTATATAGCTAACTGATTAAAAGCATCAATCTACAGTAACACATTAAGGCAGGATTTGTTGACAAAATATAAGTCCATATAGTATGTACTAATTTCACATATTCATTTTAAAAAAATTGAATCATTGTGCCTAGCTAGTATGTCCCCACATATGTAGCAAATATTCACCTTATGTTAATTACAATTTGTGGAATAAGAGATTTAGATATATTTGACAGTAACATTAGTGAATAGTGATATGTATGTTCAGATGTAAGAAAATCAAATTATGAAGGATGCTCTGACTTTAAAACAAAATAAGCCACAAATATCCTGGTCAATGTTTACAAGAAAATGTGTTATATATTTATTTACTGCTCAAATTTTCCCCAAAATTATAATGTATATACCTGGACCACATCTTAAAATTGCAGACTCAAGTTGCCTTCATGAAGCATACAGCCGTTGAATCATGCTTTTGTTGTGATAGACAGCTTATGCAGATAGCCGTCTAAGAAACTGCTACCAAGGTTGACATTTTCACAAGATATAATTCCTTTAGATATGTAGAGCAAAAGAGAGAAATTTCATTCTCTTTCAACAGTTGTTCAGCTCCAATTTTGTAATGATTTTTTAAAATCTATCCATATGAGACAGGAGGGAGATTTTAGAAGAGATGTCATCCAAATAAAACATATGTGAGGGTCATTAACTTGAATATAACACTCCTAACATGTCCCTTTGAACTTGGAACTCAGATTCATAGGAGGAAAGAAAAGATGGAGCTGAAAGAGGCCTGGTCTGGGTTAACCTCACAGTAAAGGAATCTTTCACATAACAAGAGACTGAGAAATAAGCCGATGGTATAAAAGTGATATCTTGAGGATATCTTAATATGGTGAGATTCCGAATACTCTAAATTTCAGAAAAACCATTGCTCCCTTGGACTCCCTCATAATTTGTACCACCTCATACATTCATTCATTCCCTGGACAGTGAAATACGATGTTTACATCTTTTGTGACTTCACATTTTAAATGCATTGAAGCCTTTACAATGTTACAATGAGCATGTTACAATGTTTGCATCTTAAAAAAGTAATTAGCATAGGAGACCATTTGATATTACATAAAGAATTTGACAGGACCTCACTCAATGCCTTTTAAGAAATAATATCGAAAGAGGAAGTGAGAGCCTGTTTTAGTTATAAATCTGTTCACATAATTACCAGTTGAAGAAGATATCATAAACATTTTAGAAGAGCGAGGTTAGACCCTCACTTCATTAAAAACAGAATTCCAAATGATGTCAGATACCTCCAGTTCTCTAGCATCCGTTTCTTATGTTCATGTACACACTTGCATGCATGCCTTTTTAGTCAGAAAGATCATGTATTTGTAGTACGAGTAAATAATTTTGAAGAAAAATAACATTGGTTAGAAATATACTACTAAACACATGAAGAGAGACAACCAGATCTGCATGTGAGGTTAAGTTCAACTTGAGATGCCACAGTGATATGGACAAAGTATTCCAAAGGTGGCTTTGCAGTATAGGAATATAAATATTCCAAATGTGACTACACAGTGTAGCAGCCGACTGGACTTTTCCATAGGAGAGGTCTCTGCCTAGGTTTCTCTACTACAGCATGAAGAACAGGATGGGAAGCAGAAGCTTTTGCCAGGGAGCTGTGGCCTCAAAGGTATTGACCGGGCAGGATGTGAATAGTGGGTAAAGTTGGCACCACAGCCTTACTTCATCCAGGACAGAAGGTAGAAAGTAAACAGTCCATTGGAAAATGTTTGGGGACACAAGACATGGGATCTGAGGAATTCTAGGAATGGTAGTAAAAGACTTTGGGTTTGGCTGGGTGCAGTGGCTCACACCAGTAATCCCAGCATTTTGGGAGGCTGAGGCGAGTGGATCATCTGAGGTCAGGAGTTCAAGATCAGCCTAGCCAACATGATGAAACCCCATCTCCACTAAAAATACAAAAATTAGCTGAGTGTGGTGGCAGGTGCCTATAATCCCAGCTACTCGGGAGGCTGAGGCAGGAGAATCACTTGAGCCTGGGAGGCAGAGGTTGAAGTGAGCCAAGATCGCACCATTGCACTCCAGCCTGGGTGTCAAGAGTAAAACTCCCTCTCAAAAAAACAAAAACAAACAAACAAACAAACAAGACTTTGGGATCAAGTCTTAGTGGAAAGCACTTCCCTGTGATAAGCCAAAGCCATCTGTTCCTATAATCAGTTATTACAGCATGAATACTACCCAAAGCCTAGAGGAAGCTTCTGTGTGTGGATCGTTTTGTTGTTGTTGTTGTTGTTTTGTTTTGAGATGGAGTTTCACTCTTGTCACCCAGGCTGGAGTGCAATGGCACGATCTTTGCTCACTGCAACCTCCGTCTCCCAGGTTCAAGCAATTCTCCTGCCTCAGTCTCCTGGATAGCTGGGACTATAGGCACCCACCACTATGCCTGGCTAATTTTTGTATTTTTAGTAGAGATGGGGTTTCACCATGTTGGCCAGGCTGGTCTCGAACTCTTGACCTCAAGTGATCCACCCACCTCAACCTCCCCAAATGCTGGGATTACAGGTGTGAGCCACTGTGCCCGCCCCTGTGTGTGGATTCTTTCTGGCCTCCCAGATGCAACTCTCTGAGAAGCTGCCATGAATGTGTATGTTGAGCTTCAGTTTCATTTACTGACCAGGACCATGGACATCGATCAGAGATCTGCTAGAGAGAGTCTGCGCTAACCAACTTGGCATACCATCTGCATGCTAGTAGTGGTCTAGGAAGACTCTGCTGGGGAAAGCGTTAGCCTTTTGGCTCAGCCTTTTGCCCCCGTTATGACCAGCCTAGAATCCTAGACACAAAGAACATCTAAGAAAATATGTAGTGCGTTCTTGGGAGAAAGAGATACTACAGCACAATAACTGTATTAGTTTTATATAATGTTTGAGTATGTAAAGCACACTTGAAATAATTAAAATACATGAAGAAAATCTTTTTCTTTTTGTGCTTGGGTGTGTATAATGGGAAGTCATAAGTTGTAGTGAAAGGGGCAACCAAGACTCTTCCTGTGCTATTTAAAAGAGCTGTATTTTACTTATTCAGGAAAACAGAGTATTGCAGAACCATAAAGATTACCAAATTTTGAAGTAGACTTGGCTCTGCTACTTACTTGTTTTGTGAATTTGGGCAAGATGATGAAATGTTCTTTCTTCACACTCTCCAGCTAATACTTCTCAGGACTGGTAATGTTTTATAAAAAGCAAGTAGCGTAGCAAACAATAGCTATTGATGGTTATACTCTACTCCCAGTTCTACTTAGTATTGCGTACCAGTCCTTCACCTGACTGCAGAGAACACATTCTGAAAATTGCAAAACAGATAATATATGATGAGATTTTTTGTGACATTGCATTAAAATACAGTTAGCATTTTGAACACTCTGTGTGCCTAGACTGTGATTATAACTTTTTCAGGCATTATCCAATGATGAGGATGAAGAGCTATGCTTGCATTTCTTTATGCTACAGGTATGATTGTTATTCCTATTGCCTACTGACATGTATTCTCTGAGCCACTGTATTCTGAGAGGATACAAAGCTACACAAAGCAAGGTCCCCAGGAAGTGAGTAAGGAAGATAAATGCACAAAAACAACGGTGTAATATATCAGATGTCAAATGCTCTAAGGGGTATTTAGGTCACAAATTTGGGGAAATTACACATGGAAAAGTGTGGGAAAGATTAATGCTTTTATCATTTTATGGTCTTTAAACTGAGCCTTGAATTAGAGCCTTGGACTTTTGTAAAAATGGGTGAGACATTTGAGGTACACAATCGTAGGAAAGTCTGGAGAACAGCCTTAGATGAAATGTAAAGAGTTTGATGAGAAGAAGTGTCTGTGGCAAGTGTTTTGCACAATCCCAGGCTTAGGAGTTTGTATTCTACTTTATAGGCAATTTTGTTATTCATTTAATATTTTTTATTTGTTTTTATTTATTTTGAAAACATGTATTGAGGACCTAGCATGTGGCAAGCCATAGGCTGGGCACTGGGCCTACAAAGATGTATAAGTTGTGATTCCATCCTTCAAAATTAGACATTCCAGCCTGCTTGGAAGGAAATATTCTGCCTCAAGAAAATCACCTCCATACCCCCAAAACTTGGCTCCACTAGAAGACACACTAGAAGGCTATATTATGAAATTGGTACTTGTTATCTACTTTGAGTTAATTCCTACGTAATCGCAATGGCCAAAGCCCCTGCAGCTGTGGGAATGAACAGAGTAACACTGACCTTACAGCACAAATGTCCCAAGTCATGGCTCCCTCCTGTGTAATCACAACACAGCCTTTCTCTGCCTCCTCAGCTACTCAAGGGAGTCCCTGAAGTGTGTTGCACAATTTGATGAATTACTGTCTTTTGCCCCATTGTGTTCTCCTCTCTCATTTCTTTCTCTTTTATACCCTTACTACCCACAAGCTGCCTGAAGAAGGCACCTTACCTTGGCTGTGCAGCCAGCACTTTCTGAGAGTTACCTGCTTCCCTGCCTAGGTACTGGCCAGGGCTCCTGAGCCTGCAAAACCTTCCATGTGCCAGAATGTGCTCCATCCCTCTGGATCCCACTGAATTTCTAGTCCACTTTGTCTTCAAAGGAAACAGAAAGGCTGTTCTCCTCCCCACCCTGCCTGCATGGTGCACCTGATTTTTTAGGGCCTGAAGCAACAACTCTTACTCATTGAATCTCACAAGGTGAGAGAGTAGCTTCTTTCCACTGTGTCTGAGGCTCTTTCCTCAACAGAAATTACACCTAGTCCCTGGGACTTAGCCAGAGTACATGTGCCATTTGCCATATCTCAGGAGTTCACAATTCTCCTGACTGTGTTTTACCAACTAATATCAGCTCTTGCAAGTAAGCATCCATGGTGGCGAACATCATTCTGCCAATACAGTAGGCAGATCCAACTGAGATACTCCATTCCTTCTCTAAGTCCCCTCCCTCCATAAGAGGTCCCAGTAGCTGGAAACATAACTGTCAAGCATGCAACAAACCTGGCAAATGAGCAATATACAAAGCAGCATCTCACAACATGATACCTATTCATTCAGTTTGGTGGGCAACTTTGGGACAGGATAAGGTGTTTTGGAAATGTTGTTGCATTGTCACTTTCTGCAGTAGAAACTGAAAAATGAGAAACACACTGTGTTTGACTGGAAGCCCAAAGGAGACAAAATGTTTTCAGAAATGTGTGCATCATGGCCTACTAATTTGGGCTCATAACTACTCTCCAATTACATTCCTGGAAATGTTTTTCAATTTCTTTGCGTGGAATAACTAGCAGACCACAGTGCTCAGAACAGCCCATGGGGAATGGCATTCCTGAGTAGAGGTTACATCACACCTCCATGGAACTAGCCAGCCCTTCTGCAGAACCACATGATTCCCTGGCTCTTAATATGGTTTATTAAAAAATCCTTTACCTACCTCAAAGCACTTTTCATCAAAGCCACTTTTAAGCTGAAGCTGAGGACTAAAGAATGCCTTTAACAGAATCCTGAAATAGCTTTTAACCTGAGGCTGAGAGAGAAAGTGCTTTTAACCTAAAGTGCTTTCCTCTTAGGTGCTTCAGTGCATACCTAGCACTCAGCATTAGTGGCTTTGAGAACACCCTTAAGACCCAAATGAAAGAGACTCCATTATTGATATTCAAACCTGTTATGTTAATATATTAAAGTAATATTTGAAATCATTAAGCAGTTTTACTCCAACTAAATTTGAGTCTTTTCTTATTGAACTATGCATTCATGCAAATAAATTGAAGTCGTACCACCTGGGATTCTAACAAATCTATGCTGATATTAGGAAAAGTACAGTCTTCTTTCCTAGGTTTTACTTTAATCTAGAGTGAGTCAAAATTTCTACACTTTCCCCACCCAAAAAGAATCTTTCAACTCTTCTCAATCACTGAATGACACTTCCAGCTTTAGTCCATATAAGTTGTGCCTTAAAGATAAATCATTTAGTATTTTTAATTACCTGAATAAATTCTGTGTATCAAATTTTCTCCTCAGACTTGTCACTCAAACAAATGCAATTAATAATTTCACAGTAGTTTTAATCCCCCTATAAAGTTCCTACTTAGTCAAGTAAGTGACAACCTAATTGATAAGTTTTAACTTCAGATTAATAGTAAGTTATATAATTGAGCATGTGAATTTCATGGACAGTTTTCTATTCAAAGTATGTAAAGAACATACAAATATGGGAGAAGGTAGCAGAACTTAACATTTGAATTGTATTACCCTTCCCTTCCTTTGCTGGCCCTCTCTGTAATTCTAATGAGATGATGACAGGCAAATGAAAAGCAGAAAATATCATCAATCCACAATGTACGTCAACAGTCAGCTGAACAAAATTTGGTCATGTTAATTATTTGAAATACATGAAAGCAAACAATGAAAATATGTTTCCCTCATACTCAAGTGCTCATATTACAATCTTTAGATAGAAATCGGTTTCTTGGACTACAACCCAGTGAGAAAATATTAGACTAATTAGTCTGTCCTACTGTGGTCTGTTAGAAAAAAATATTGAAATATTAGGGTATTTTCCTTAAAAAATAAAAACATTCTTTATAAGCTGTTTTAATATCAAAGGAAATAATTTTCTTTTGTAAATTTTTCTCATATTTATCTTTTAATCTATTCATACATTCATTTATGCACTCATTAGGCAACCAGAAGGCATGTAATATAATAAATGCAATAAATATAAATACAAGTAGAAGAAACTGCATTCATCTTTTCCTACCGTGTAAAGTTTTGTTGACCTTGAATATCATTTTGTAGCTTCCTCTACTTAGTAAAATTGTAATCATTTTTACTCTTCCAACTCAGTTACCAGTGCCACAAAGCTATCCCTTTCTTCTTCATTCTCAATTAGTCCTACCTTCTCTTTATCCAAAAGCTGTAATTTCATTATTTTAATATCTTTCAACTGGATTATGAGCTGTATCTAGTAGACCAGATACTATTTTACTGAACTCCGTACTTCCAGGAGTTAGAAAGAAATAAGGAAATGAAGCTGGACATGAAATCTTGCAGTGGTTTTAGAGTTATTATTTACAGCTTCTTATTACTTCCTATTGAAACTCTCATGTCAGTGAGTGCCCCTTTGGTGGATCCTGCTCTTCTCCCCATCTTCAGAATGTTGGGTTACCCCTATGTTAAGGCCTTGGACTTCTTTTCTCATTTCATTCTTATTCTCAGACTATTGGACATTAAACATTCAGAGTTGAAATATACCATTCATGCAGCTTCGAATTCCATCTAGAGGTTGATGCTTTCCAAACTTAAAACATCAGTCTCAAACTTCAGACTTGCATATTCAAATATTGATTTCATGTCTTTTGGGGTGCTTGGTACATATCTCAGATTTATCTAGAGTAATCCTTGATTCTTCAGATCCCATGTGTCCTCTATCTCAGGAAATATCACTGCCATGTGCCACCTGGGATCACCCCCGCTTTCTACTCTGTCTCTTCCTTCATCAGTAGATCCCACCTTTAAAATATATTCTAAATTCAACCACTTTTGATTACTTCCATTGGATTCATTCTTACCCAAGCACCATCATCTCTTCCTATATTTCACTACCCCCCTGATGAGCCTTCCTACTTCTCCTCTTAACCCCCTTAAATCTAGGCTTCACACGGCAATTAGAAGGATCATTTATAAATGTAAATCATATCATGTCACCCCCCCCTCCTCCATAATCTCCATTTACTTAGAAGAAACTCATTCTTAATATCTAATGTGTGTCCTTCCTGTGACCTATAGGGTCCTACCTGCTTTGACCCTGAGGCTACATTTTATGTTTTTTCCTCAGCCATACTTCCTCTTGTTCACACCACTCCAGCCACTCAGGCCTTCCTGCTCCTCCTCTAAGGAACCTGGCTTACACCAGCAGCTTTATACACTTGCTGCTCCCCTTGTATGTACATGGCTCAGTCGGTCACTTCATTTGGTGTCTGCTCAGATGCCATTGCCTGAGATGCCTTCCCTGGCAACACCAATAGCTCTCTGTCTCTCTGCCTTGCTTCATTTTTTCCATAGCGCTTATCACCATCTGACATTATATGTTAATGTGTTTTCATGTTTATTTTCCCCATTTACATATAGACTCTGTGAAGACAGAGAGTGTTCTTTTCACTACTCCATCCCCAGTGGGCATTGAAAAATACTCATAGATGGTTAGATTCAATGGATAAATCCAAAAATGCATAAAGGATTTACTTGGTGAAACCCTTCTCTATGCCGTTGTGATTCTGTGTGCTGACGTACATGTGTGTATGTGTGTGATGTTGCTTTAGATAAGCAGAGGGTGGGAGAGATAGGTACAAAGTATTGACAAAGTTCTTGCCTTGAGTAGACAAATATAGAAGAATTTCATGCGCACAGTGTCCCATTTGGTTAATAACTCTTTAAGATGCAAATTTCTTCCTGGCTGGTGTAATCACCAAAATGCCTACTGCACTAGTCAGACCAAAATTAGATTGACATCTATTTCCAGGTGAGTTTAGGAGCTGAAAACGAGGGGCCAAAGGGTACTTCACAGAAGTACTGTTTAGGGTTGAGAGTGAAACTATGAAAACTGAAGACGGCCAGAAGCCTGAGAAACAAAGAGAAAAAGTAGAAAGGGCTGGGAAGAACTTTTCTCTTCTGTCAGTCCCATCCCTGAAACTCATCTTTGGGCTGCCTTGATCAAAGGGTGCTACCCCCGCAGCTAAATGTCCAGCTTCATTTGAAAGCTGCAGCAACTCCGCTATCCTTGTTCGGGGAGATCCTCTTCCCCCAGGCTAGTCTCTCCGTAGCAGATATTGTCATTATCACCAGAGACTTTAGAATCTGTTAGGTTTGATGAGATGCAAAAATATAAATAAACATGTGGGGGAAAACTATTCACAGAAGCGCATATATTTGGTAACTCCTATTTATTTAGATTCCAAACTACTTAGAAGTTAAAGTAATTAAGCTTTTTCTTGTACTTGCCTCTTATGAAAAAAAAAAAAAATAAGTAAACAAGGCAATGAGAGAGGTTTACTTCCAGTGCATGTCGTAGATTCAGCAGAGAATCGGCCCAATTTTTGATATCTATGTAACATAAAGCAGCAACCGATATTTCTAATCAAAGCCCCAAAGCATCATAAGTTAACGCAGTACCTCCTGAAGCACTTACAGTATATTCTGTCGTGTTTTAGCATTAGGCGTATTTTTTCTGTGTCTTAATTCAAAAACATAGGCCATTCCATAACCTATAGCACTAACAGAAGTCACCCAGTTCTCCAAACATTCTCAGTAAAGTTTTGGGAAAGTTACATGACATGGGGCTCATGTCGTGAGCATTTTAAAGGAAAAGAAAAGATGGTGGGAACAGAACTGGAGAAAATATAAAAGATGAGAGTAGAGGCTGGGCATGGTGGTCCACACCTATAATTCCAGCACCTTGGGAGGCCGAGGCAGGCGGATCACGAGCTCGGGAGCTCGAGACCATCCTGGCCAAAGTGGTGAAACCCCATCTCAACTAAAAATACAAAAATTAGCTGGGTGTGCTGGCGCATGCCTGTAATCCCAGCTACTCAGGAGGCCGAGGCAGGAGAATCGCTTGAACCAGGGAGTCAGAGGTGTAGTGAGCCGAGATTGTACCACTGCACTCCAGCCTGGCGACAGAGTAAGACTCCCTCTTAAAAAAAAAAAAAAAAAAAAAAAAAAAAATAGAAACACCATGCTTTGATAAGCAATCTAAAAGTTTTGGGCTGAAAACCAATTCTCAAAAGGAAAAACTAATGTAATTTATAGTTTAAAATCAAAAGATGGAATTATTAAATTGCTGAAATCACCCATGTTTGGAATACGATTTTGTCTTCCAATATCCGCTGCCTCTCTATTATAGCAACTTAGTAGGAAATAATCTGCCCATATGTGTGGCATTGCTGTGGGAGAAAAATTCTAAGTGAATGCTACCTACTATGGAAACTACGAGGGCTGTATTTTCTCTCCCCACCCATTATTTTTATAACATAATCCTGATCAATGAAGCATCATCTAGAGAAACTTCCAGTCTAGAGCGATTGATGACTGGAAGTTATTATGACAATGCTGATGCTGGTGGTGGCCATGAAATGAGCACCCTGACCCAGCTACCAGAGTTAGAAGACAGTCGCTTTTTCTCCTTCTTCCAATTTCATGGCTCCGCTAAGCATCTTCATTTCTGAATATCTCCAAGACTGGTCCCCTAGCCTCTCATAAATTCATTGAATTCCTTCCTACTTCCACCCCTCAACATCATTCAAATAAACTTTCCGTTGCTTAATACAGCCACAGTGTTGTGTTTTTCCGTTGCTTGCAGCCAGAAACCTTAATCAATATACGTCATTACCACGATAGTTGGATAATTGTCTGATTTGTTTTTGTGACTAAGCCATTTGGGCTGCCATTATTGTTTTCTGCTTCGCTCTGTGTTCCGCATGTGTGTGTCCTTCTAGGTGCTTTGTTCTTCCTTTTTGAAGTTTACTAGAATCGCTGCAATGGCCCTCTCTCCTGAAAGCAGAGTCACATCATTTTGAAAAGCCTGTGGAGACTGTCTCCTGCATAAATGATGATAAAACCGTCACATTATTTGAACATTTAACTGCCTCTATTGAGCAGTTGTCCTCATAGTTTTGATTCATTTGGAATCTGACTGACAGAGATCCCATTACTGGGTGTTCTTTCCATAATTTGTCAAAAAACTTATAGCAGTGATGAGGGAGAATGAAACTAATTTGTAATCTGGAAGACTTAACCTGGTTATGCTGATGAACTAACAAAATCGGTCAAAAAGTTTGAGAGCTTAAAGATTAAAAACCACCATTCTCTAGTTAAACACTAATTCATTATGTAAACAACATGATTTATAAGGGCAGTCATGTGGAGGGTCTATTTATTTTTCTCACCAAAAGATGCTTTCAAAGAAAAATTGCAGAAAATGAATTTTTTTTCCCAATCAATGTATATCCTGCCACCCCTGATCATTAAGTGCTGAAACGGTGGGATGAAGATAGAATGATCACACTGGCCAAGGTCACAGGAGTTTGCAGAAGATTCCAAAAATATTGGCACCCCTAGCAAGAGGTGCTTTCTAAATAATATGCATATTTTTATGGTTGTTAAGTGAGGAAGAAAGGATTACCAGTAAGCACACAGATGGGAATATAGGTGGGAAGTCAGGAGCTCAGGGTTTTGGAAGTGTTCTTTTTTGTTTGTTTGTTTGTTTGTTTGTTTTTGAAGAGGAGAGTAGAAATAATCCTTAATGTTGTTCCAGGACAAGAGACATGAGCATTTAGGGGACAAAGTTCATTAATGCTTGCCTGGAAAGCAGAATGCCTTTTCTCTCCCTCCCTTTTTTTATACTATTTTAAGATAGAAGTTTCCATGGCTCAAATGGATTTCTATCATTGAATTGTCCTCCTTGGTGTATGAAACTCTAGGTGTATTAGATTTACAAATGGAGAGCAATCCTACCACAGCACTTAAATTCAACAATGACAGTGTAGTTAAATCTCTGATTTCCTTTCTTTGGACAGCACTATTTACTTTGCAAAGCCATGTGATGTGCATTATCATCTCTTCTCAATTATTTAATTCATTGTCTGTCAAGGGCTAATGTTGTAGTCTACATTCTTTCCACTGTAAATGACAGAAACTTGTCCAAACTGTAAAAGTCAGAATGGAATTTACTAGCTACTTAATTGAAGAGTCCAAGGGACAGGGATAGCTTCAGGCATGACTGGATCTAGGAGTTCAAAATGCTATCAAATATATTTGTCTTCCATCACTCAGCTCTGTTTTCCACTCTTCCAGAGGTGGCAGCATAGCGTCTAGAAGATCAGACTCATATCTTCATAGTTTAATATCTCTCATAAAAAGAGGGTTCCTCTCTCCCAGTAACATCAGAAAAAGTCTCAGGATTTACTTGACAGGATCCACTTGGGCCACATGTTCATGCCTGAACCAATTACTGTGGCCAAGAAGATAAAATGCATATTCGTCACTGGAGATGGAGAGGGTGGAGTCAACACTACCCAAAACAAATGGCAGCAAAATGAGAAAGGACCATCCCCAAGGGAATCTCAGGGTGTTCTTGCCAGAGAATAGGAGGATAGACACAGGACCAGCAAAACCAATTGATATCTACCATACTCTTCCTAGCCAGTGTCATCTGTAAGCAGTGGATCCCATTGAGCTATTTTGCCAGACCTGGTCCTGTTGTGACTGTAATCCCTTTCTTGAAACGTTTGTCCAATGCTACATCCATATTTTTGCCAGGTGTATTTGCTTGCAATAAACAGAAATTTACTCAAGAGTTCTATTAAAATGGGTGGGAGGGGATCTCATGGTATTTATGGAGCTCATGACATGGGTATGGCAAGTGCCATGGCAAGGATACAGAGTGCCTGGAGTAGGCACTGGAAAGTCAGGAGCTGAGTTGGATCTGTTCCATTTGCCTCTCCCTGCAAACTAGTTCCTGTGTCCGCTCATCTGCGGCACATAAGCATCTTCCCAAATTGGCTGTCCCAGCCCCCAGGGTTTAAGTGTAGGCAGCCTAGAGTTCTCATCCCTAGAAACAACCACCTCAGTCTCTCAGTATCCAAATTCTAAATTTTGTAGAAGAAGCGTTGCTTTGTTCAAGCTTGGGGCACATGGTGACCTTTGATGTAACCAAGTTCACCTGAGATACTAGGTTCTTGTACTCCAGAGCCCCACCTTCTTGGGTGAGTACAGCAAGTTTCAAGAGAGGCTATAAGTGAGAAGAACAGTTTTGGCTTTGCTGGTAACTGGGGAAAGCAAACATCTGCCCTCTAGCTAGTGAAATTCCAGATGTCTAGGCTCTTTACTCACCAAGACACCAATGGCAGTTTTTCCCTTGTGAGGGACTGGATGCACTTGCCTGGACCACCAGTAAGTGGCAGTAATGTACCTCCCCCACTTCCAACATTATAACCGCTAAAAATAATCAGCAGTGTACTTCACCCAGCTCCGTGGCAATAAAAAATACCCTGTAGCTGAAATTCTCTCCTATCCATCCCAATTCAAAATCCTCTTCCAGGTCTTATCTCCACTTATAACTAAGTAGTCCCCATATGCTAGCCTTTTCACCTCTAAAGTTCTTAAAATAGGAGTCTATTTGCTGTCTCTACTTCTTCACCTTCTCTTCAAGTCTTAATTACAACTATCTGCTTTTCAGTTTCACTCCTCTACTGAAACCATTTTTCTTAAGGTCACTCATATCCTGAAATTGCCAAAATCCAGCGAACATTTTTCATCTTGATCTCTCATAACCATTCTGCTGCATTTGAAATACTTTTCCTTAATGTCTAAATTCCATTTCCATTCTCAAGACCCTCAAGTAACTGCATCTCTGTCTTCTCCAGTCAAGCAAGGAACTTGGCAGTCACTTTTACCTGGTGGATCAGCTCACCTCCTACACCCACTTGCCAAACCCGACTGAATCACTCCTTCTTGCCATGACAGGTTTATTGTCTTAGTTCGGGTCCCCATCCTCCCTCCCCCAAGAGCCTAATGCTCTGTGACCTTTCACAAATAACTCAATATCTCTGGGCCTTAGTTCCCTCTTCTGTAAAATGAAGATGATGATAGTATACACGCTCAAAGGATTGCAGGTGCATGTGAGAATTAAATGTTAGAATATATAAAGTACTTTGAGCCCTGCTTGGCTTAGTGTAGTGTACAATAAACCCTCACTATTTTTTTACACGTATCTGCAATAGCATTAGTCATATTATGTTGTAGCTGCTTGTGACAGTTATTCTGTCCACCTAAACTGTAGGAGATGGTGCATCATTACATTTTCAGGCTGGCACACAGTGTCTGGCTTATAACCTGCATGAAATAGTTACTGAATGAATAAAGCAATCTTTGCATTATTTACAATATGGAGCACATGGTAGGTGTTCACTAAATAGTCACTGAATGGAATTGGATGGAATTGGGTTAATCTGGAGAGAATGCAGAAGAGGTGCCATAAAATTTGGTAAGGCATAAATAATTTAAATTTTAAGGTGAAAGTAATTTTCTTTGAGACTCCTCCTGAGGATTGAAATTAAACTGAAGGCATAACTCCACATTCTTAGCAAATTTAGAACTTTTTTTTCTGTTTTGTTCACTCTCCAGTTTTAGTTTCCATGTCCTGCCAACCCTCTTTGTTTTCATTCTCACAGCATAGCTTAGATCATATTTCACCAAAAACCTGGACTCATCACCACCTATGTGAGTAAGCTATTGCTACATGACAAACAAACATAAAATCTCAGTGGCATATAACACCGAGCATCTATTTCTCATGTGTCTGTGGTGCAGGCTTGACTGGGCCACTCTGCTTTAAGCTGCAGGTCTGACTGGACTTGTCTCTTCACTGAGGGTTGCCCTCAGTTCTGTGCCATATGTATGTATTCTGGAGCCCAGGCTGAAGGGGCAGCAGCTCCCCAGGGAAGCTCTTCTTTGGCAATAGCAGAGAAACAAGAGGATGAGTAGAAATCTGCAATGCGTCTTAAGGCCTCAGTCTGGAACTGACACATTTCCACTCACATCATTCCAAAGAAGACATTTGGCCGAGCCCAATATCAAAGAAATGGGGGAAAATAAACACTGCACACTCTATTGGGTGGTACGAGATGGTTCCATGGCAAAGGAGGTGAATGTATACATCTAATTCAGAGAAGACAAGAAGGATTGTGCACAGTGATTACACCTATCACACCCTTATCCTGATTCTGGTCTTCGTAACATCTTTCCTAGGTAATCACATCAGTCGTTTAACTAATCTCCTTGTGCTTCATCTTCCCCACTATATTAACCCCCCCACCCTCCCTTTTCTTTACAAAGTGCTACCAAGTAAACCTTCTCAAGTAGAGTATGATTATAATGATCACTTTACTAAAAAACCACAATCACTTCCTAATGTCATGTCATATGCTTTTGGCTGCAGATAATAGAATACCTAGTTAAAAATGACTTCTTTCATATGAAAATAAGTCTAGATAAGGTGTTTTAGTGTTGGTTTAAAAGCTCAGAAGTGTCATCAGGGTCTCAAGTTTTGTTGCTTATTTTTAATACATTAGCTGCTGTTCTTAGCACTCATTGTCTCATGGTGACAAGATTGCTGCAATAGCTCCAAGCATCACATCATTGCAAAATGATATTCAAAGATGGATTAAAAGAAAAAGAAAAAAGACTTCTTATATATCCCTTTCCTTTCTTCAGGGGAAACAAATCTTTTGCTATATAGTCCTGAGTCACTTTCCTAGACATTTCATTGACCAGAGCTATCTAATCACCCAAAGTTGCAGAGCAGGTAAAAATCAATAGAGATGATTTTCACTTTCTGTCATATGAGTGGCTTCTAAAAACAAGAAAGAAGGTGGGAGAGGAATTACTTATATGTAGAAAATCAATGGTATCTGCACACTCTCAAATAATTTAACTTACCTGGCAAGATTTAAGATGCTTTATAACATAACCTCCATCTCTTTTATAACTTAATACATCAAGATTTCTCTAAGAGTGAATGTATTCCTCGGCATACCCCAGTCTTCCTATCATTCTTCCCATCATTCATGCATTTGTTTCCTTCCTTTCATTCCCGAAAATGCTCTTTGTTCCCTCTTTTACTTGTCTTTCCTTATCTTTGAGGATTCAGTTATTCAGAGAAGGGAAGCACTCAAGGCTGATCTGTTGCCCCACCACATGCTCCCACATTGCCTCTGCGTTTCCCCAGTTATAGCAGTTTTCTCATGATAAAATGTTCTTACCTGTTTACTTATATACTGCCTCTACTGGGCAAAGATTTAGAAAATAGGGAATGAGTCTTGGTTGTTATATTACCAGAGCCTTTCCTAGCTCTAAATACAGTATAGCCACTCAAGATGTTCTTTTGCAAATAACTAAATGAATAAAAGAGTAAATTCCCTGGAATGCTGTTGTCTGTATCTTCTCATATCCACCTGTCTAAAACAAAACAATTTCTCCAAACACAAACTCTCTCTCTCCCACCCTCTGTTGTACAAACATACACACACTGCACACCACGTCTACACTAAATGACACAAAAAGACCTCATACTAAAGGACATTTTTCTTAGCATTCAGTACCTTTTATGACACCTGCTATATTCTTTTTTTTGTATATTCTTTGAATACTTTTATTAGCCCCCTATAATATTACAAACTTCTCGATATTGTTTTTACAACTCAATATGCCTACCTCATTGCTGTGAAGATAGAAGATAATATTTGTGAAATTGATTTGAGTAATAAAATCCATTAATGGGTTTTTTACTTTATAGCAATTCTTCTTCCTGACTGTAATCTCCAGACAATGTAAATCATTTGATCTGATCTACTGGGTTATTTTTTCCTAGATAATATTTTATGTCATTCTTTCTTGGAGTGGTTACACAGTGTTTTGAACAAGTCATTGTTACTTGACCAAAGTATTCAAAGCAAATGCCCATTACTATTTCCCACTTCTCTATACTATGTCCATGTGTTTTGAGCTTCTTTCTGTTACTTGGATAAAAATGCACATTTCCATATTGGAGTTTTGTTTTTGTTTGTTGTTGTTGTTGGTGTTGTTTTGAGATGGAGTCTCACTCTGTTGCCAGGCCTGGAGGGCAGTGGCGCGATCTCAGCTCACTGCAACCTCTCCCTCCGGGTTGAAGCAATTCTCCTGCCTCAGCCTCCTGAGTAGCTGGGACTACAGGCACGCGCCACCATGCCCAGCTAATTTTTGTATTTTTAATAGAAACGGGGTTTCACCATGTTGGCCAAGATGGTCTAAATCTCTTGACCTCATGATCCGCCCACCTCAGCCTCCCAAAGTGCTGGGATTACAGGTGTGAGTCACCATGCCCGGCCTGGAGTATATTATTAATAGTGTTTTAGCTTTAATTGTTCCCTCCATGTTGGGTTGTCACCAATTCAAACCATTATGTTTTCCTAAGAAATAAATGAAAATTATGATTCATTGAATTCTCTCTACACTCGATTTTGAGTATCCCCTTATAACAATATATATCACTGAACATTATTTTATGCTGCATTATTATTCTATCTAATTTTACATATACTTTAAAAAATGTATTGACTACCTCCACTGATGGTTAAGATGATGTCTTGCAGTCCCTCATTCTACAAATGTTTATTGAACTTCTAGTATGTGCCAACACTGTCTAGGTACTCAGGATCCAATAATAAATGGTTGAGATATGACGCCTACTCTCCTGGGTTTTGCCTTCTAAGCAAGGGAAACAGCTAAGCAGAAAACATTTCAGTCTCATATGTCAAGTGGAGATATGTGCTCTAAGAAATGTAAGGCTGGGAAAGTGGCATAGAGAATGGCATGGAGTGGAGCCATTTTTTTAAAGGCTGGTAGGAAAGGCTGCAATAAGAAGATACCATTTGATCAGAGACCTAAGGCAATGGAGTTCCATGAAGAAGAAAATGCAAAGTCCCTGCAGCAGAAGAGTGCTTGGCAGCCATGAGAAACAGCAATGTGGGGCTATTACAAATTTAAAGACGGGGAGGAAAGACCCAAATGAAATCCATTAATTAGTGGAGGTCAGATTATGTAATACCTTATAAGTTACAGTAGGGACTTTGATTTCATTCTGAGTGAAATGGGAAGCCCTTGGACCCACTAAATATTTGTTTCATTATCAGTAATAAACAGATACTATCTCAATAGCAAAACCCAGAAATTGATGGTGGTGAGGGTTGCACAACATTGTGAATGTACTTAATGCCACCGAGTGGTACATTTAAAAATGGTGGAAATGATCAATTCTATGTTATATGTGTTTTACCACAATTATAAAAAACAAACATCTGTCTTTAAATACTGCAGGCCAGAGTCTGTGCAAGCACTGGTGAAGACATAGATGATTCAGACACTCAGAATCTGCTTTGAGAGAATCTATTCCATATATTATAAATGTAAATACACAATGCAAGGTAGCGTCAATCATGTTCCAAATGAGAGGGCTAGGCTAGGATTTCACAGTGGGTATTCTCGGAAACATTAGTCTGGAGACATGCTCTCTGAAATCAAAGGATGTTGCTCAAATAAGTTTGGGGGAAAATGCATCCTTCACCCCTCATGGGGATTCACAGCACACATTGGCATATCATGGGCTTTAAAAATAAATGCATGTTAAACCTGTCTAACTTTGCAGAACCTAATGATGTGAAACCATTTTGTTCGCAGGCCCTTTTTCCTGAATCATCTATTAACAGCCTGAGGGTCTGGTATTCCAAAGAACCTGTGTCACAGGAGACACAAAGCTGAGATAGGAAGGAGTTAGTGAAGAAAGTGTGATCTGAACTGAGCCCTAAAGGAAAGGTGATAGTTAGATTAGAGAAGAGGAAGGGCATTCAAGGCAGGAGAAATGCTAAGTAATTCACTTCGAAGCAAGTCTCCTAGAACTTGCCTCCTCATATACTATTGAGTTGCAGAATGAATGTCCTAAATATACTGATAACATTGTAATTTTCGTAACCATTAACTGGTAAACTTCTTCTAAAACACTCAGTATACCAAAGACACTAAGATAAATTATTTTGCAAAAATTTTCTCAATTCTTTGTCTTTCCTTTATAGACCACAAAATTAAGGCCCAGAGAGACTATAACTTACATAGTCATCCCTGCCTAATCGATGCCTGAGCGTCAGTTTTCTCACTCTGGGGCGAGGGTCCTGTTCCATCAAGGAGGGAGTTGTGGTCTTCATATGTCTGCCATAGACACTATGGAAATAAAGCAAAAAAAAAATCTTATGCAAGATGAAGATTTCAGCATGCAATGGATATGGAAACGGAATCAAATTAAAGAACAACGCAAGCTTGGATTTTAATGAAGCTCATCTTTGTTTCTTTTGCAGATCAAATTTTTGGCTCTCATCTGCACAAAGTGTGTGAACGTGAAAATTCCACAGTTCCGTGGTTTGTAAAGCAATGCATTGAAGCTGTTGAGAAAAGAGGTGGGTGACTGAATGTGCAGCAGTTCCCCCCATTACTGCACCCTCTACACAACCAATACTCAAGTTAGCAGTGCCACCTGATTTGTCTGAGAAGCCATGCAATTAAAACTTGACTTGTGTTAATCGGTTAAGAGGATCATCTTTCTTATTAACTTCAGTTTGTTTTTACAATAGGGACATTAGTAATTCTCACTAATGTTCTTTTTTGTTTTTAATATTTTGTCTGTCTGACTTACTGTTGATTCAAGTGCAAACTTCTTGTTTTCAAGCCAGTGATAAAACATTCATAAAATATCAGCACTCACAGTGTTAGAACCTTCCTAACATTCATGCTGGTAGACGTTGTGCCAGAACAATTTTTGGTAAGCCCCCAACATTACCCAAGTTAAGCAAATAGCATTCTGAATCACAGACAGTGATATCCCACCTTCCACATGTCTCTGTTCAGTACAGAATACGCTAACGGGTTTTTTCAGGAACAATTAAAAGACACACCTCAAAAGATGACCTTTGATTCCTCTATTTCAGCATTCTGTTTTTCTTCTGAAATTATTTCATCTTACTGAAGGGAACAAAACAAAACCCAACTGAATCATCATTTCTACTCCACTCTATCTGTGGGGTGTTTTTCCTTCAAACTATGACTTCATTCATTCAAGGTCATTTTTCCTGGAAGATACATATAGTAGATGCAGAATCTTAAAAAATGTATTGTATAAAAATGCAAGGCTTCATCACCATCTGTTACAAGTTTACAACATATTCCCAGGATCTAGGGGGATATATATCATGTAAAAGATAGAGGTGTTTTCAGAAAAAAGGATTGGTGAACCTATTCCCATTTCCAGCTCCTAGTCTCTTAAGACAATAGAACCAAGGGGAAAAAATCTTTACCCAATAATCTACTAGGAAAAAGCCATTTTAATTCTCTCAGTGTTACCTGGCTTTATTATAAAAGCATAATAAAAATGGTCTGCAATTTCTAACTCCTGGAAATTCATACTTTAATTATACTGTAAGGACAGCCTTGGGATCCTATTATTCCCCTATCAGTAGGGAATGAGAGAATAACAAGAAGGGGAAGAGTGGGTAGGGAATGTGGATAAAGAGAATGACTTTGGGGAAAGCATATCAACACATCAGAGAGAAGAGCAGAGAGTACAGTGAGAGTAGAAAGCAGCAACTGCAGGATGAACATGAGGAGAGGTATCTGTGAGAAATGAAGTCAATTGGAGTTTAGAGAAAAATGTTTTTATTGCAAGTTGCAATTTCATTTAATTTTATAAGTACATTTTTAGGAATAAATATTCTTTGGTAAGTACTTAAAGACAAAATGGATCACTGAGAATATTATAAAGTTATTATTTCCAATAACTAAATTGTCATCATTTTCAGGAAATCTTCATCCACTTATAAATACTCAGCCCTGACAGTGTGAGCACTATTAGACCAAAAACCCAAATAGGGCGTTGGGGAAGCACATAATAAGATGTGTGCATGTGTAAAGAAGCGCTCCATTCCTCCCGATTTATGTCTCCACCCTAGGCAAAACGAAAAACTGCTAGATGCAGCTTTGCGGTGTGCAGATATTATAATATTGCAGAGTAGAAAACGTCTATAAATAGAAACCATGTCTTTTGTTCATGGCATTTTGTTGGTGATTTTTAATAAAATAAGACAATGTTTTTGCTGACTGGAGCAATCACATCTAGCATTATATTTCATTGTCCCTGTGTTTACTCTTAAAATGAATTTGTAGATCCAGCACTAAACAGGCGCTAATCACACATATGATTATTAAAATAATTCCTAAGCATTTTAATGAAACTCAAAGACTTTCCAATTCCACAAAGCAACTGATAATTCAAAGCACTTTGGCAGCATCAGCTTAAAGGAACCCTATGGAAATATTCAGTAAAAACTAAGAAGCACAAGATAAACCTCTCACATCATTGCAAGATTTACAAGTGTGTACTTTTGATTATAATTTTCTATGATCATTTTGTTGGATTAATATTCTTATATTTATACACCAATTCTATTTACTCAAAGTGTTGTTTTTACGAAATTCTGGCATAAAGCATTTCAGGACAGAAATAATTTATGTGAATCTAAGTCCAATGTTTATGCAGGCTTCTGATGACATTTTATGCTGGGGTTGGTATTAGGAAGTAGCATATAAAGGCGCCAAGTCTCTCAGCATGGCTGGGACTCAGCATATCTGGATCCCTCCTTCTAATGGCCAGATACTCTCCCAGCCAAGAAACTCAACTGCAGAGTCATGGGAAATGCTGATGGACCAGTTATGGGAAAGGAACATTTAATGAAAACTATGTGTTTACTCTCACAGTCTTAGGGAAATGGTCTTGATACTCACTACATCGGCACATTGGCTGTTATAAAAAAGATTTGTTTCCTTCTCTTTTTTTTTCTTGTGATTATTTTTTACTCCTTTAAAAAAACCTACAAATTGTGGCTATATCTCTAAAATGCTTATTAGATGGATGATTTAAAATGAAACATTATCAGGAAGGCAGATCTCACTATTCATTCATTAATTCATTCATTTATCCATCCAGTCAGTCAGTCAGTTATTTGTCTTACCTGTTTGTAATGAACAGAGCCAAATTGCTCACACTTCTGTAGTCTCTCCAAGGAAATTCTACCCAGTACTTGGCAAAAGATGCATTCTTTATTCATCCCTGGTAAAGTGATATTAGTTACATTTTAAATTTTGCAACTTTTGGACATGCCTAGAAGAAAATCTACCAATAAACTGAATGTGAACCAATTTAGCTAATAACTTGTTTAGTATGTTTCCTTATCTTGATTTGGTTCTCTTTATTACTCTAAACTACCAGAGCATTCTCCTTCTCACCAACTATTATAACTAGATTAACTTCATTTCTGTGGTTTCTGACATTGTCTGCTGAGCCTTGAAAATACAAGCAAAATTTGGAAGACAAACTGTTAAGGAGCATGTTAGTCTTTAAAGCTCTTCCAAGTGGTTCCTTCCCGCTTGCCTTGCCTTTATAGTCGTAGAGCATGTATATGAGAAATCATAATTAGCCAATGAAAAACTCAACTTATGTTTCTTTTTTGAAGCAATTTCTGTGAAAATATTAAAACACGGTTCTGCTAATTCTTAATTCATATCCTGGGTACAATGACCAAAAGCATGAGATCATCTGACACTATTTTGGAGGTTTGAGGAAACAAGCATGTAGAGCAGGGGTATCTAATCTTTTGGCTTCCTTGGGTCACATTGGAAGAAGAAGAATTGTCTTGGGCTACACATAGCGTTACATACACTAACGCTAACAATAGCTAATGAGCTTTAAAAAATGCAGAAAATCTCATAATGCTTTCAGAAAGCTTACAAATTTGTGTTGTGCTGCATTAAAACCCCTGGGCCATGGGTTGGGAAAGCTTGATGTAGAGGAAGGCATTGTGACATATAGTAGATACAAGCAGTGAGAAGTTCATTTTTCACTATGTTATAGAACACTTTGTGTAGTTTATGATGACGTCATATGTGTAGAAATTGCTTACTTAAAAATGCGATCACCTGTGTCTCTTAGATAGAAGGGCCTAGGAGACCTGAAGTAAACAAAGTATATATTTTAAACTGGTATAACAAGTAAGACCTTAATTCATAGTTCTTTTTATGCAAAGCATGTAATTGACTATCCTTTGTTGAGGTCCATTATTTGGAAAGAAGCTTTATACAGCACGTGACACCTTGTAAGTACTCAATAAATATTGGTTAAATGAAGCAATCGAAGCCAAATAGCTATTGAGTACCTACTTTGTGTCATCTTCCATGTTACCAGCTGATAATACAGAGGAGATAGACATTAAGCAAACAGACACACACGGTTATGTATGTTAGCATAAACTGTGATAAGTACTATGAGAGAAAAGAACAGACCCTACAAGACAGAAGAACCATAACAATAATAAAAAGCAGGGAAATACGTGTGTTTAAAAATGATGTAATAAACCTTGAACGATAAACACATATTTATCTGGTTTTATCTTCATTATAAGACCAGGAGACATTTAATTTTGCCTTATTTTGCAAGTTATTTTCTTAACATTGTGACTATGTGATATAGGGAGTCCTTTGGTGTGAGATCTAAAAGGACATGCCTTAAGTGGCGAACCAGTCATGTTTCTACCCAATAATACCAAACATGCATTTTGCCAAATAGATATTTTATATAAGAGTAGTGTTAACTAGATAAATGAGCATATTTCTACCCTAAAGATATTTTTATGGATCCAAAATTTTTTTGGTTTTAAGGGAATAACATTAATTTTTTTAAGTTTGTAATATAATTTAGATTAGCATTCATTTGGAATATGTCTTAACTCATACTTCCTTCATGATTCCCGGTTCTGGTTAATATGTACCCAAACTATTTTAAAACATTAAAATGATACCTAGAGATTTATTGTACAACAGTGTGAATATACTTAGAATTACTGAACTATACACTTAAAAAGGATTAGGAAGAGAAATTGTATGTCATATGCTTTTGACCACAATTTTTTTAAAATGAAATCATGTTTTTCAAATGTGATAATTCCAGGTATAAGCAACTTTGCAGAATGCCTCAGCAGATGCTAATCAACAAGAAGTTTGCCCTTTCTGTCTTTTTTCTGGAACACGAAATACTATGACAGGAATGGTACACAAAGTTACATATTTGACTTGGTGCCTAAAAGCCACCCTGGGATCCATAACCTTGCTTAAAGATTTAAGAAAGACCTTTAGTCTACTTCTGAGAAGGTCCTTAGCCTCAAAAACTTTATCTCTCAACTTGACTTCTTAGCAGCTGTTATATTTTTTTTGCTGTCGTTTGTTTGACAGGATCCAGTTATAGGTTCCGATGTCTGTTTAAAGAAACAAGGAGGCTGTTGGCTTTAAAATTCCCTCATTGCTTGTGTGATCAGCATTTTCCCAGGCTTTTCTACATAGTTTGCCAAGCAAAGGGACTGACCTTTTGTAGCAAACACTTTTTCATTTCAAAATGCTCACTTTGATTTTTGTCCCATTTTATGCTCATTCCAAACTGTTTACAACCCACTAAAAATGACTGTGAATTATATGTTTGTGTAATGGATTCCTTTTGTGGTCTGAGTGGAATGTTTACTTTGAACAATTAGTTATCTTTGGGTAGATTATAGCAACTTGGAAAAAGGATGGCTAAAATTATTATTATACCTTAACTGTTTCTTTTTTGGTAATTCCTCTACTGTTAGGAGAAGTTTGAGAGAATATGAAATTAACAAGCCTGTGACATTATAAATGAAACCTGTTTAATTATGTGACTATTTGGATATGTGTGTTAATATCACGAGAAAGCGTGGCTGGACACCTACTCAACTCAGTAATATACTTATCTAACAAAAATGTAAAACTTGGCATGTAAATAAATACATGAATATTTGCCATATACATGTTGCATTTGCATATGCACATGAATGTGTTATATAAATAACAGACATGTTAATACAGCTATTGTACAGTACCCATTGTACAGTATAGTAGCAAGCATTGTAGTTGTTAATATAATTTTCCTGATATTTGATCCAGTGCACCAGTCTGCCTCTTGAGATCCTACCGAGTGCTTACTTGCAAAAATCAGACTTTACATAGTTGTTTCCCGTTGCCTTTGAATCCAGGCCCCGAAACTGCAGATCATATTGCCTTCCCTAGACAAGCTCTGCTCCCAGTTCTGCTAATTTTATACTGTTCATTCTTTCCCACTTTGGGATAATCTATTATAGTTGGATCCAGGCACGCACTAAAGGCTGATACTTCCATGAAGAATGTGCAATTTGTACTGTTAAGTTTGTGATGAGATTCTTGAAAACTTTTATGATTCTATCTTGTTCCAGAGAGACTTCTGCTTGCTAGTTTTATAAGCAGTGAGTAAAAAAAAGTAACAAAAACAAAACAAACTGATAAAAATTACATGCTCCAAAAAAAAAAAAAATCAAGAGTACAAGATAAGCACTTTTTCTTTTTCCCTGGAGAATATTTGTGGACTGAACAAAAATGTTTCTGAGGTCAGTGACCTATGTTTTTGTTTTTTTTTTTAAGTGTTTGCTTTTCATGCCTTATGTTAGGCATCTGCATGCATTTACAATGGAGGTGATCTTAAAGAAGCTCCATGAAAGTTTGCAGTGAATCTCCTTGGCTTTTCTGAGTTAAAATTAAGACCAGTTTAGTGCTTTGGTGTTTTGTGTTTTGTTCTGTTTTGTTTTAATGCAGCCACAAAGACTGCCACCTTCCTGACAGCACAGTGTTGTGCTGGGTCCAAGCTGGAATTGGCTCTTTGGGGTAGTCACGCTGGGGCCTCTGTGTCTGTAAGAAAGCCACATTTAGGGCTCGAGGGGAAGACAAAATCAAAAAAGAATAAACAGGAAACAGCCAGCAAGAGTATAAAAGAGAAACTAGGAAAAGACAACCAAAAGAAATCAGAGATGACAAGGTGGAGAGGCGGGGGAAAAGCTGCATTTTGCAATTAAGAAAACAAATGTGGATAAGAGGACATGCTTGTGAGGTCTGTAAGAAAGAGAAGACAAACTAGTGAAAACATTGCCATCTCTGCCATAGGTACCTGATACCTGCTTTGCTGTTCCAGAGAAACTTACTTATGCTCAAGAAAATGCTTGAAACTTAAACCTTGCAATTTATGGCATGCATTGAATGTTCACAAACTCTGTATACGGAGCTGGTTATTAATTAATTCACATATTTATTAGTGACATTTAACAGAGTTTATCTATGTCTAGCAATGCATGACAGTCTTATTATCAAAAAGAAAGCTTAAACATAACAGAAGTTAATGTAGGAATAAACGTGCAGTTCAACAACCAGAGAGGCTATCTAAGAAATACAGCAATGTGGCTCTGGTCAAATCAGTCAGCGGATATTCCCACACTTTAAAATCCACAATGCATCAGAATAAATAATGTCGCTTCCCAGATACAGCCTGAGTCTAATTTCCAACCTCCACCCCCAATGTAAAGTTTAGGTTCTTAACATACTTTTCCCTTGGAGTCAGTTGGAAGGAACAGAGCCAAAATTAAGACCCTAGGAAATTAGCTTCTTATTGTGTATGGGGAATTTAAATAATGCAACACCTCAACTTACCAAGATGCAATACTCTCAAATAGCCTATACTGGTGTCATTTACACAGTGGGAGTTCTAGGACTGGGAGTTTTCCCATTACAAGGCCCTATATGCAGAACTTAAGAGTTCCACCATAAAAATAATCTTGGCTGAAAGTTAGCAGGATGTTTTAGCCTGGAAGCAAATGTTTACAAAATTTGAGAAAAAATTGCATGCATTTGGAAAGCTTTCAGGTTTTCAAAAAGCAGAAGCAAATAATAATAAGGCAGTCAGAGATTTTCAGATTTTTTTGCCCTAGCATTCAAAAACTGACTTGTAGCTTTTCAGTAGAAATGTTTTGATTCTTGTCCCATAATATGAACTGATTGATTAAAAATAATCAACTTTCACAACAGTGTCACTCTGTTTTATGAAATAATTTGTTGTTTACTGGTAGAAAAAGAATCTATACATTGTATTTGTGTAGGTATTTCCCTAGGGTTTAAAAATTAATGATAATTAAGAAACCAAATTAATTCAGGAAGCTATAAATGAAACCCAAATATTATACTCCTTTGTGGATTTCCTAAAGCATGATGTTCTTTTTTAAAGTTTATACCAAAAAAAATGACATTTTCCAAGGGATTTTTATACTTTCAAATTGTATACTCAATTTAAGCATTAATCAATTAGTCTACACATATATGGTAAAAGAGACATACAGATTCCAGGTGAAATAATTACAGTGGTCTATATGAATGAACATGACATATTTTTTTGTACAGGATATTTAGAACTTTTTACCCATTTCCTTAAAAGACTCATGTCTTAGAGATTCCTCTAAATTCTTTGGGAGGTTATCTTATAGACGAGTAGGCTATACAGTTAAAGATGTTTTTCTTGGGTTCAAAATAATCATTTATTTTCTTGTTTTATCTCTCTTTGCCTGATTTTATACGTTTCAAGTCGCTTCCTATTTTTGGTTCAGAAAAAAAAAATGGAAAAAATCAAGGGCTGGACACTTTGAGAAAAAAACCTAACTCTGCAAAACCAAAATAGCTCTGAAATGATAATGCTGGAAGAATTCTTGAGGTTATAGTAGACCAGAGACCCAATATGTAAATACACACTCTTTTTTAAGAAGATAATAATGTCCTATATCTAGGGTGTAAGTATATCTTATAGAAGAAAAATATTTAAAATATTAAGTACATGATGTGCTCCCTCGTGTATAAGCCAACTTCTCATATGGTACCTAACACATAATGAATTCTCAGTAAATGGTGTATAATCAGATAAATTATATTCAACATTGCTGAAATCCTCATTGGAGAGTTGCACACCATTGCTACCGATGCATATAGTTGATAGTATAAAAAGATCAATCACCAACAGTTGTTGGTTGAAGGCAGCTCAGAGAATAACATGGTCTGTAAATCCACTTTTTAAACATTTAAACAAGTTCATTTCTGATAAGAGTATATCATATTGTTCAATAAGGTACCATTCTTGCTATCAATACACAGCTATGCTAAACAATTGAAGTTAGGTTTCCTTAATGATTTTATTTTCATCGATTTTTGGATACTCCATTTAAGTTAACCATCAGCAACTACTAAAATATCCATTCTCTACTCATTTTCATCAGAGGAAGTCATATCCCATTAGGCATTGTTTCAATTCCAATAGCCTGCTGTTTTTAATCAAGTAACTGAATGGTAACTATGACTTGTAATTGACATGCCTGAGAATGGTCAGGCTTAGGCTCAGTTCCCATAACCACACAGCAAGTTAAGCCCCACATCTTTTCCTTTAATTCAGACTTGGAATGCCATGTTAGTGCTGTTTTGTATTAGTTTACTTCCCTGTGAATATATCACCCTCTTGATTCATTGTTTGTTTTCCATGTACCTCTCAGGAAATTTTTATTTGGATGATAATTTTTTTGAGTTGATAGAGACTGTCCAATAATTAAAATAAGAAATATATGGTCAATACACAGGATCTATCAATTTGAAGTTAATGAAGACAGAATACATGATTTTGCTATTGGATATTGATTTCATTTCCTCCAAATTTACTTCCTAGCAGAAAAAAAAAGTTAAACTCTGCTGTTGCTATCAAAAGCTCTGTAAAGACGTTGAATATACCAATGTTATTAAAATTGGACTGTTGTCTTTCTTCTTTTAAAATGATGTTGTTCTTGTTATATTTTGCATTTTCTGACAGTTTGGGATGACTAACTCTTTAGTCTCCCTATAGAACAGTTGCACACCTAACAGATGGTATTGTCACGACAACAGTGAGATTTTTTTCTTCCTTTTGTCTTGAAGGTAGGCATTTGACGATGTATTTGATATTACATAGTCTAATATTGGAGTCCATGTGTTTGGCCTAGAGTTTGACAGCATAAGAAACATTCATTTCCTCTGGATTTAATTATTGACTCTGACATTTCATGCTACTGGTTTTCTCAGGGTGATCTCAATTATACCTAAAGCTTCAGTGAGCCCTTCAATGACTTCAGAGCTCCTATATGCAAATAATTACTCAAGCTGTTTTTTTCCCACTCAGATCCATGGTCTAGAAACAACCCTTCTTGAATTTCCCTCTGTCTCCTCAAACTGAACTTTTTTGAACTAAACTCATCACTTTTCCCAACAAAGATGTTCCTCCTATTTTATTTCTTAACTCAGCCCGCAGCATTACAATCTATATTCCCCATTGCCCTAGAAAGAAATATGTTAGACATCTTAGATTCTTCTCTCTCATTACAGACAGAATCATTCACCAAGCCTCATGAGCTCTACTTTCTTACTATCTCTTGAATCTGGTTCTTCCTTTCACTTTCTGTGACCTTGATTGGGCCTCCATACTTCCTTTTGAGATAAATCTCCTAAGGAGGTCTTTGCCTTTGTTCTTATTTCTGCCCAGGCCACTCTTTTCAATGCTGCCAAAATGATCCCTCTTAAATACAAATAAGATTGTGTTATCCCCTCTTAGAATCCTCCAATGATTCATTGATCTCATAAGGATAAACAAAATTCCACACTAATTACCCCCATAAAAAAGGATAAGCATATGACCTCTGTCTACTGTTCAGCTTCATATCCTTATAAGCTGCTTTCTATGCTCCAGGAATACCAAGTACATGAATTTTTCTAATGGCCTATTCCTTTCCCATGCTTTTCTTTCTCCCTTTTTATCCATCTGCCAAATTCACATTCATCTTCTTGTGAATATCACAAGAATCACCTTCTCCAAGGAATATTCTCTAACTTAAATCCATAACCATCCCGCCATGATCTCTTGAACATCATTAGCCCCTTCCTCCACAATATTCCAGTGACAGCTTTGCTTTTCCTAATAGAGCCCTTATTGCCTGGAACTACAATGGCTTGTTTCATTATCTGTTTCCCTATCTAGAGTGTGAGTCCTTGAGTCTAGGAATTATGGTTGGATCACCCCGTCCCCACAGTGCTTAGCACACTATACCTGGCATATGATAGGGCCTCAATTCATAATGGATGATTAAATGGATGAAGAGACAAATATTATCCAAGCTTTCTGTTTATCCACTCATCCATGCCTCTATCCTTAGAGAAACAAAGCTTACAGATTGACGATTCAGTGACCTGCTAGAAGAGACAATGATTAAATGTCTCTTTAAACATAACGTAAAGTCATATTATCCAGAATGTAAAGAAATTACCTTAAAAGTGAAAGTAAGGGTTTTGTTTTTTGTTTGTTTTGTTGTTGTTGTTGTTGTTTTTCCAGGGGGCATGATATATATGTAGACCAGTATGACATACCATATTTGTAATAATCTTGAATAGGATAGGACGGAAATAGGGCAATGACCTTTGTGTCCAATACAGGTTTCAGACAAAACATACTTTCTCATTTTTAATAGGGAGAAACCAGTCTCTCAACAAATAATGTTAAATTGTTTCATAAAACTGAGGGATTCGACTAACTAAAGCCAAATTTGATGCTTTTGAGACCGACCAGTGTCATAAGAATAGCACTATCCACTTTCTGGTTCAAAATATTATGCTCTTTTTTATATAAACCTTCAGGCATTGTGCCTACTTCCTTGTAAGTTTGTGTATAATTTTTCCCATTATCACCCCCTAGGTAATCTTTCACCATCACCACTTTCCAGGCATCTACCATCCACTGAATAGCCATGTTTCTGATTATCTTCTCCCAAATGTATCAGCTTGCATTATTTAAAGCTGAATCTCATTTTATTATTTCCTGCTCGTATTTCTAAACTCCTTAAGTCCATTTGTATGATTCTTTTGTCCTCACAGATGTCCACAGTTCCTCCCAATTTAGTATCATCAGCAAATTTAATTAATGCTCTGTTTACCTCTCCTTCTAATGAAACCAGTCCCTTGTTTCATTTCATGATACAAAGTAAAAAATGTATTGGCAATAAAACAGTCCAAAGAAATGTTTCCTCACTGTAGGAGGGGAAGTTAAGGATACAGCAAAGAACAATGTGGTGAGGAGTGGACAGTGCAGCAGGGTGGTGAGTTAGTTTGCTATTGCCCTGAAGCAAAACCTTTTTCACAGAGACTACACTTTGGCATATTGCCTGGGTTGATGCTGTGTGTGTATGTGTGTGCGCGCATGTGTGTGTTCTGTTCTGGAAGGTAGCTTTAATATCCTAACTGAGGACATTTTACCAAAGATGTATTTATGAATATATGAAAAGCATATTGAAAACTATAAATATAAATGTAATTATAGCTTTATATACATTAGTATTTATAGTTTTAAATACAATAAAAGGTAAGCTAGTAATGTCTGATTCATGGTGTAGTTACAAATCTAGATATGGATGCATACATCTGGATATATACAGACATTCAATCATTTTCAGTGGGCTTTTTCTAGCATTCACTGTGATGTAAATTTATCTCTGTCCTTAACTTGATTAGTGTTTTAAATCCAAATTAACCCTTGGATTTGAATCAAATTCTTTGTAAATAGCAGGTTTATAGGGTAAGAAAAAAGAACTTTTTTTCAGTTGTATCCAACATGCAAACTTCAATCAAAGAATATTTTAACCTCTACAATTAATAGGCTAGAAAATTGAGCTTGATCAGAGTAAAAGGCCTAACCTGCTAACTTGAAGGTAAGCCAGCATATGTTCTAAAAGTTACACTATAACTCTTTGAAGGTGTGGATATACAGATATTGTGTCATTTACATGAGGAAAACAAAGATGACATTTATTAAGCACTCATAATGTTAGTGCTTTCCAGCATACATACCAATACTGTGGAATAAAATTGTACATTAATTACTACCTGATACTTCATAGTCTGTATTCTTAACTCCAGCAAAATCTCATAAACGTTTGTCAAGTTTCATATTAAGAGTCAGTCTTCAGAATGTGGATGGATTAGTATAAATCCAGTGACTTTACTGGGAAAAAAAGTACTTTCAAGTTTATGCTTTGAATGGACAGACAGATGTTAAGATCAAGATCTCTATTGTTGTATACAGGAGACAATGCATGTTCACAATGCTGAAATGAAGGCTGATATGTACTTTCCATACAGGACAAGGTCACCAAAGATGGCATCACCAAGGGATGGTGTTAACAAAACAGTGACTGGGAATATTGTTAGGTGGTTACAGCCTCACATTGCTTTTCTAGTGAGAAAAATATCTGATGCATAATGCATCCTTATGAGAGAATTTTCTCAGATGCCAAGATTTTACAGGCATAACTTCCATAAGCTTTAATGGGAATTTCCTGCCAGCACCTGTTACAGTATAGAGTTCTTACTTTTCACACATAATCCAAGACTGACTTGGAACACTGACTTGGAAAAACTAATATAGTGAAAGCTTCTTGTAATGTTTCCTCACATATAATGTTCATCTTTTAATCTTTGGTCTGATGATATATGTATGTCCATGTTTTCCATTCAAATTCTTTTCCCACCAGTAAGGTTTCTTTTCACAAGTTTTTTTATGGATGAGAGCAGAAAAAGCAATTCTTCTTACTAGGTAAACTAGTGGAAATGATACATAAAGGGGAAAGTTATTAGGATAGCAAGTGACTTAATGCTAGAAATCAACTATTCTTGACTTAAAGTAGTTTTATAGATATACTGTAGACTCCTGAGCAGCCAACAATTAGAGTACCGCATGCAAAAACAACTGTCAGGGACTCCACAGCAAAATCACAGGTCAAAATAATATAGTTTGACCATATTTTCTCATATATTTATAGACTAGAATATGGTAACTTTTAATATTTAAAAAGATATTGTGTAGATATACCAAAGGATCTATTTTAATATTTCAAAAGATATTGCATAGATATACCAAATGGGCAATGCATTGGGTAGAGGAGAAAGTTAAAAGTTTTAAATTTCATACATTTCTAATTAATTCCCCAAACTTCCGTTACCAAAAAACTCAAACAAAAACAGGTCACAGTGCTCCTGCTTAACTAGAATTATTGGAGATTGTACAGAACGACTATTTTATGAACAACAACTTCACTTTTAACTTTTTCACTTTCTTGAAGTTTCTTCTTGTCTAGAGTTTCTAACACACAATGACACATTAGAATGAAAACAGACATTTATACTCAAATTCCTGAATCATTTCTGATCACTACCCTGAGTGACAGGATGATGAGCAGGGGGAATGCTTTTCACTTGTTGAATGTTGAAAGACAGTAAATTTTTAGTTCATTTTTATGACAAGATTTTTTTAACAAATGTTGGCAGGTAACATGATTAACGTTGGAAGAACTCTGAAACCCCGAAAACAAGAGAAGACGTGTGAACCTGTTCATTTAATTTCTCACGGGGCAAAATACGGGAACTGAAGGAGAACAGTGCATTCGCATCCTTCCTTCTCTTTCTTTGGTGTGTGATTACATTACTCCATGATGTCACCTTGAGCCCCTGTCTGACCTCTGATACTCTCCTTCTGGCACACCTGCCTCAGAAATATCATTTATACTCCAGCTTGATGTTCAGACACCCTTATTCACACTTTTGAGTATTACCTTGAGCTTAACTGTTTTAAAAGGTATCAATAATTTGTCTCCTATTAGAGTATGTTCAAGCACCAGGAAAGAGGATTTTGTTTTGTTTCATTTGATAAGGCAAAGAAAGGGAAAAGGGAGTCTCACTGACACTTCTAAAAGCATGCTGTGTTTCCAAGCTTGGTACCCTCCTCCTCTCAAGGGGTTTTGACTGTAGCACACTTTGCTCTTAGTGGAAATAAGGTTATTACTTTCTTTTGATACTCTGGCCAGTGAATTAATAGAAATGCATTTGTTTCTGATGTAATTGCCTTTATTAAGGTTTATTTTAAAACTTAAGAGCAGATTGGAAATCTAAGACCTCGTTAAGTCTGCCATAGTTCAAAGCCATGCATTACCAGCTGAGGCCAATAAGCCTTAGGTTGTTACTGGGGAAGACTTAAGACTTGTGGCATTGTTTGTGTATACATCACTGGCTCCATCTGACACCTCTCATCTCTCCAGTGAGCCTGATGGAGTTAGGCTTTGTATCCCCACCCACATCTCTTCTTGAATTGTAATCTCCATAATCCCCACATGTCAATCGAGAGACGAGGTGGAAGTAATTGAATCCTGGGGCTGGTTCCTCCATGCTGTTCTCATAATAGTGAGTGAGTTCTCACGAGATCTGATGGCTTTATAAGGGGCTCTTCCTCCCTCACTGGCACTTCTTTCTTCCACCTTGAGAAGAAGGTGCCTTGCTTCCCCTTCGCCTTCCACCCTTACTGTAAGTCTTCCGAGGCCTCTCCAGCCATGCTGAACTGTGAGTCAATTAAACCTCTTTCCTTTATAAATTACCGAGTCATAGGCAGTTCGTTATAGCAGTATGAGCATGGGCTAATACAGACCCAGTGATGTATACACAGACAACGCCACATACAGTAAAACTGCAGGAGAGTGATACGGTGAGAGAAGTACCTGTATTCTCTGCAGTCCTTACCCAGAGAAGAGACAGGCCTGGCTCAGAGATCTGATGATTTCATGGGAGAATGCCATGAAATATTCACGACATTTCAATCTATAGAAAAAAAGACCTATATGGGGCCAGGAAAAGTGGCTCATGCCTACAATCCCAGCACTTTGGGAGGCTGAGGTGGGCAGATCTCTTGAGCTGAGGAGTTCGAGATCAACCTGGGCAACATGGCAAAACACTGTCTGTACAAAAAATACCAAAAAAAATAGCCAGGCGTGGTGGTGTGTGCCTGCAGTCGCCAGCTACTTGAGAGCCTGAGGTGGGAGGACCTGAGCCTGGAGAGGTTGAGGCTGCTGTGAGCTGTGATCATACCACTGCACTCTAGCCTGAGTGATAGACTGAGAACCTGTCTCAAAAAAAAAATAAAAAACAAAACAAAAAAACCTATATGAATTTAGGAACCTCAGTTTAGAGCATTGTACTCACCTGAAAGAAAAATTATTTTATAAGTTTTCCCTGAAGATGTTATTTTTTACAATTTCCATATTTCTAATTTCCTTATGATAGAAAATTACTATAAGAATAAATTATGTTAAAATAAATTGTGATTAATCAAGCTTAAAAATGTGCCCCTTCTCCCCCAAATTTCTAAGTACAGTAATATACTTCTTTTTTTCTGTGTCTTGGTGTGTCCAAAATAGCAGGTAACCCAGGAAGGGAGAAACTTTGGATAATAGCAACCACTCTTTTGAATTCATTTGAAGCCAACATGTTGTACCCATTTTCCCTTTCTGTTCCTCTCCCATTATGTACTTGCCCCCTTATTCTCCATCTTTTTCTCTCCCACATCCTACACAAGTAAACTCATTGTACTTGTTTTCTTTTCAGTTAAAGTCTGCTCCCAGTAAAGGATTTAATAAATTAATCCACATACTAAAGCGTATATGACCAGTGAGGTTTGATGTGAAATCCTCCAATAGGATTTCAAGAAAAAAGGACGAATTCTAATTGCAGAATTTTAGGCATAAGCAAGGCTGTGTGAAAGAAATATTTTAAGAAAGAATTATCTTCCCAGATTTTCTGAAAATAAACTGCAAAAGTAGCCTCTATAATTAATATTAACTTACGTTGGGAACCAATGGCATAAAATCCAAGTCTTCAAATTGATAATCTTTCATTTCTATCTCTCATGGCACTTCAAGATTTAGCTATACTGCCTGATTATGGATTTCCTAACATTCAAACTCAATGGAGTTTCTAACATCAAAACTCAAACTCTGCCATCCCCTGGAGGAAACAGGGAAATTAAGACATCCTTTATTTACATTTCATACAAGAGAAAACATGAGATACATTTATAATTGATATCTTGCCACTTTAGAAAGTCACATATATGGAGTTAGATATTTCATAAATGTTGTATCAATGAACATCAGCATATATAAAACGTCTTAGTTTTTTTTAAATTTGTGGATAATGTATGTTTTTTTCACATACAACATGAAGTTTTAAAGTATATAGATATTGTGTAATAGTTAAATCTATGTAATTAACAAATTACCTCACATAGTTATCATAGATGAGAGCACTTAACATTCACTCTCATTACATTTTTCAGGAATATATGTCATCATTAACTGTAGTCGTCTTGCTATCCAATAGATCCCTTGAAATTTATTCCTTCTAGCTAATTATAATTATGTATCCTTTGACCAACATTTTCTCATTCCTACCGTCCGCCTAATCATACCAGCCTCTAGTAGCCACCATTCCATTCTCTTCTTCTATGAGGTCAACCTTTTTGAATTCCACATGTGAGTGAGATCATGCAATACGTATTTTTCTGTTCCTGGTTTATTTCACTTAGCATAACGTCCTCCATGTTCATTCATGTTGTCACAAAAGCAGGATTTTTTTTTTTATTATTTAAGTTTTAGGGTACATGTGCACAACGTGCAGGTTTGTTACATATGTGTACATGTGCCATGTTGGGGTGCTGCACCCATTAACTCATCATTTAGCATTAGGTATATCTCCTAATGCTATCCCTCCCCCCTCCCCCCACCCCACAACCGTCCCCGGTGTGTGATGTTCCCCTTCCTGTGTCCATGTGTTCTCACTGTTCAATTCCCACCTATGAACGAGAACATGCGGTGTTTGGTTTTTTGTCCTTGCAATAGTTTGCTGAGAATGATGGTTTCCACCTTCATCCATGTCCCTACAAAGAACATGAACTCATCATTTTTTATGGCTGCATAGTATTCCATGGTGTATATGTGCCACATTTTCTTAATCCAGTCTATCATTGTTGGACATTTGGGTTGGTTCCAAGTCTTTGCTATTGTGAATAGTGCCGCAATAAACATACGTGTGCATGTGTCTTTATAGCAGCATGATTTATAATCCTTTGGGTATATACCCAGTAATGAGATGGCTGGGTCAAATGGTATTTCTAGTTCCAGATCCCTGAGGAATCACCACACCGACTTCCACAATGGTTGAACTAGTTTACAGTCCCACCAACAGTGTAAAAGTGTTCCTATTTCTCCACATCCTCTCCAGCACCTGTTGTTTCCTGACTTTTTAATGATTGCCATTCTAACTGGTGTGAGATGGTATCTCATTGTGGTTTTGATTTGCATTTCTCTGATGGCTGGCCAGTGATGATGAGCATTTTTTCATGTGTTTTTTGGCTGCATAAATGTCTTCTTTTGAGAAGTGTCTGTTCATATCCTTTGCCCACTTTTTGACGAGGTTGTTTGTTTTTTTCTTGTAAATTTCTTTGAGTTCATTGTAGATTCTGGATATTAGCCCTTTGTCAGATGAGTAAGTTGCAAAAATTTTCTCCCATTCTGTAGGTTGCCTGTTCACTCTGATGGTGGTTTCTTTTGCTGTGCGGAAGCTCTTTAGTTTAATTAGATCCCATTTGTCAATTTTGGCTTTTGTTGCCATTGCTTTTGGTGTTTTAGACATGAAGTCCTTGCCCATGCTTATGTCTTGAATGGTATTGCCTAGGTTTTCTTCTAGAGTTTTTATGGTTTTAGATCTAACATGTAAGTCTTTAATACATCTTGAATTAATTTTTGTATAAAGTGTAAGGAGGGGATCCAGTTTCAGCTTCCTACATATGGCTAGCCAGTTTTCCCAGCACCATTTATTAAATAGGGAATCCTTTCCCCATTGCTTGTTTTTGTCAGGTTTGTCAAAGATCAGATGGCTGTAGATATGCAGCATTATTTCTGAGGGCTCTGTTCTGTTCCATTGATCTATATCTCTGTTTTGGTGCCAGTACCATGCTGTTTTGGTTACTGTAGCCTTGTAGTGTAGTTTGAAGTCAGGTAGCATGATGTCTCCAGCTTTGTTCTTTTGGCTTAGGATTGACTTGGCAATGCGGGCTCTTTTTTGGTTCCATATGAACTTTAAAGCAGTTTTTTCCAATTCTGTGAAGAAAGTCATTGGTAGCTTGATGGGGATGGCATTGAATCTATAAATTACCTTGGGCAGTATGGCCATTTTCACGATATTGATTCTTCCTACCCATGAGCATAGAATATTCTTCCATTTGTTTGTATCCTCTTTTATTTCCTTGAGCAGTAGTTTGTAGTTCTCCTTGAAGAGGTCCTTCACATCCCTTGTAAGTTGGATTCCTAGGTATTTTATTCTCTTTGAAGCAATTGTGAATGGGAGTTCACTCATGATTTGGCTCTCTGTTTGTCTGTTATTGCTGTATAGGAATGCTTGTGATTTTTGCACATTGATTTTGTATCCTGAGACTTTGCTGAAGTTGCTTATCAGCTTAAGGAGATTTTGGGCTGAGACAATGGGGTTTTCTAGATATACAATCATGTCATCTGCAAACAGAGACAATTTGACTTCCTCTTTTCTTAATTAAATGCCCTTTATTTCCTTCTCCTGCCTGATTACCCTGGCCAGAACTTCCAACACTATGTTGAATAGGAGTGGTGAGAGAGGGCATCCCTGTCTTGTGCCAGTTTTCAAAGGGAATGCTTCCAGTTTTTGTCCACTCAGTATGATATTGGCTGTGGGTCTGTGATAGATAGCTCTTATTATTTTGAGATATGTCCCATCAATACCTAATTTATTGAGAGTTTTTAGCATGAAGGGTTGTTGAATTTTGTCAAAGGCCTTTTCTGCATCTATTGAGATAATCATGTGGTTTTTGTCTTTGATTCTCTGTTTATGCTGGATTACGTTTATTGATTTTCATATGTTGAACCAGCCTTGCATCCCAGGGATGAAGCCCACTTGATCATGGTGAATAAGCTTTTTGATGTGCTGCTGGATTCGGTTTGCCAGTATTTTATTGAGGATTTTTGCACCAATGTTCATCAAGGATATTGGTCTAAAATTCTCTTTTTTTGTTGTGTCTCTGCCAGGCTTTGGTATCAGGACGATGCTGGTCTCATAAAATGAGTTAGGGAGGATTCCCTCTTTTTCTCTTGATTGGTATAGTTTCAGAAGGAATGGTACCAGTTCCTCCTTGTACCTCTGGTAGAATTCGGCTGTGAATCCATCTGGTCCTGGATTTTTTTGGTTGGTAAGCTATTAATTATTGCCTCAATTTCAGAGCCTGTTATTGGTCTATTCAGAGATTCAACTTCTTCCTGGTTTAGTCTTGGGAGGGTGTATGTGTTGAGGAACTTATCCACTTCTTCTAGATTTTCTAGTTTATTTGTGTAGAGGTATTTATAGCATTCTCTGATGGTAGTTTGTGTTTCTGTTGGATTGGTAGTGATATCCCCTTTGTCATTTTTTATTGCGTCTATTTGATTCTTCTCTCTTTTCTTCTTTATTAGTCTTGCTAGCGGTCTATCAGTTTTGTTGATCTTTTCAAAAAACCAGCTCCTGGATTCATTGATTTTTTGAAGGGTTTTTTGTGTCTCTATTTCCTTCAGTTCTGCTCTGATCTTAGTTATTTCTTGCCTTCTGCTAGCTTTTGGATGTGTTTGCTCTTGCTTCTCTAGTTCTTTTAATTGTGATGTTAGGGTGTCAATTTTAGATCTTTCCTGCTTTCTCTTGTGGGCATTTAGTGCTGTAAATTTCCCCCTACGCACTGCTTTGAATGTGTCCCAGAGATTCTGGTATGTTGTGTCTTTGTTCTCGTTGGTTTCAAAGAACATCTTTATTTCTGCCTTCATTTCATTAGGTACCCAGTAGTCATTCAGGAGCAGGTTGTTCAGTTTCCATGTAGTTGAGCAGTTTTGAGTGAGTTTCTTAATCCTGAGTTCTAGTTTGATTGCACTGTGGTCTGAGAGACAGTTTGTTATAATTTCTGTTCTTTCACATTTGCTGAGGAGTGCTTTACTTCCAACTATGTGGTCAATTTTGGAATAGGAGTGGTGTGGTGCTGAAAAGAATGTATATTCTGTTGACTTGTGGTGGAGGGTTCTGTAGATGTCTATTAGGTCTGCTTGGTGCAGAGCTGAGTTCAATTCCTGGATATCCTTGTTTACTTTCTGTCTCGTTGATCTGTCTAATGTTGACAGTGGGGTGTTAAAATCTCCCATTATTATTGTGTGGGAGTCTGAGTCTCTTTGTAGGTCACTAAGGACTTGCTTTATGAATCTGGATGCTCCTGTATTGGGTGCATATATATTTAGGATAGTTAGTTCTTCTTGTTGAATTGATCCCTTTACCATTATGTAATGGCCTTCTTTGTCTCTTTTGATCTTTGTTGGTTTAAAGTCTGTTTTGTCAGAGACTAGGATTGCAACCCCTGCCTTTTTTTGTTTTCCATTTGCTTGGTAGATCTTCCTCCGTCCCTTTATTTTGAGCCTATATGTGTGTCTGCACGTGATGGGTTTCCTGAATACAGCACTATGATGGGTCTTGACTCTTTATCCAATTTGCCAGTCTGTGCCTTTTAACTGGAGCGTTTAGCCCATTTACATTTAAGGTTAGTATTGTTATGTGTGAATTTGATCCTGTCATTATGTTAGCTGGTTATTTTGCTTGTTAGTTGATGCAGTTTCTTCCTAGCCTTGATGGTCTTTACAATTTGGCCTGTTTTTTGCAGTGGGTGGTACCGGTTGTTTCTTTCCATGTTTAGTGCTTCCTTCAGGAGCTCCTTTAAGGCAGGCCTGGTGGTGACAAAATCTCTCAGCATTTGCTTGTCTGTAAAGTATTTTATTTCTCCTTCCCTTATGAAGCTTAGTTTGGCTGGATATGAAATTCTGGGTTGAAAATTCTTTTCTTTAAGAATGTTGAGTATTGGCCCCCACTCTCTTCTGGCTTGTAGAGTTTCTGCTGGGAGATCAGCTGTTAGTCTGATGGGCTTCCCTTTGTGGTTAACCTGACCTTTCTCTCTGGCTGCCCTTAACATTTTTTCCTTCATTTCAACTTTGGTGAATCTGACAATTATGTGTCTTGGCGTTGCTCTTCCCAAGGAGAATCTTTGTGGCATTCTCTGTATTTCTTGAATTTGAATGTTGGCCTGCCTTGCTAGATTGGGGAAGTTCTCCTGGATAATATCCTGCAGAGTGTTTTCCAACTTGGTTCCATTTTCCCGCTCACTTTCAGGTACACCTATCAAATGTAGGTTTGGTCTTTTCACATAGACCCATATTTCTTGGAGGCTTTGTTCGTTTCTTTTTATTCTTTTTTCTCTAAACTTGTCTTCATGCTTCATTTCATTTATTTCATCTTCCATCGCTGATACCCTTTCTGCCAGTTGATCGCATCGGTTACTGAGGCTTGTGTATTCATCATGTAGTTCTTGTGCCATGGTTTTCAGCTCCATCAGGTCCTTTAAGGACTTCTCTGCATTGGTTATTCTAGTTATCCATTCGTCTAATTTTTTTTCAAAGTTTTTAACCTCTTTGCCATTGGTTCGAACTTCCTCCTTTAGCTCAGAGTAATTTGATCTTCTGAAGCCTTCTTCTCTCAACTCGTCAAAGTCATTCTCCATCCAGCTTTGTTCTGTTGCTGGTGAGGAGCTGCGTTCCTTTGGAGGAGGAGAGGAGCTCTGATTTTTAGAGTTTCCGGTTTTTCAGCTCTGTTTTTTCCCCATCTTTGTGGTTTTATCTACCTTTGGTCTTTGATGGTGGTGACATACAGATGGGTTTTTGGTGTGGATGTCCTTTCTCTTTGTTAGTTTTCCTTCTAACAGTCAGGACCCTCAGTTGCAGGTCTGTTGGAGTTTACTGGAGGTCCACTCCAGACCCTGTTTGCCTGGGTATCAGCAGTGGTGGCTGCAGAACAGCGGATATTGGTGAACCGCAAATGCTGCTGCCTGATCGTTCCTCTGGAAGTTTTGTCTCAGAGGAGTACCCGGCCGTGTGAGGTGTTAGTCTGCCCCTACTGGGGGATGCCTCCCAGCTAGGCTACTCAGCAGTCAGGGACCCACTTGAGGAGGCAGTCTGCCCGTTCTCAGATCTCAAGCTGTTTGCTGGGCGAACCACTACTCTCTTCACAGCTGTCAGACAGGGACCTTTAAGTCTGCAGAGGTTATTGCTGTCTTTTGTTTGTCTGTGCCCTGCCCCCAGAGGTGGAGCCTACAGAGGCAGGCAGGCCTCCTTGAGCTGTGGTGGGCTCCACCCAGTTCGAGGTTCCTGGCTGCTTTGCTTACCTACTCAAGCCTGAGCAATTGCGGGCACCCCTCCCCCAGCCTCGCTGCCGCCTTGCAGTTTGATCTCAGAATGCCATGCTAGCAATGAGCGAGGCTTCGTGGGCGTAGGACCCTCCGAGCTAGGTGTGGGATATAATCTGCTGGTGTGTCGTTTGTTAAGCCCATTGGAAGAGCACAGTATCGGGGTGGGAGTGACCCGATTTCCCAGGTGCCATCTGTCACCCCTTTCTTTGACTAGGAAAGGGAATTCCCTGACCCCTTGCACTTCCCGGGTGAGGCGATGCCTCGCCCTGCTTCGGCTCATGCACGGTGCACTGCACCCACTCTCCTGCAACCACTGTCCGGCACTCCCCAGTGAGATGAACCTGGTAACTCAGTTGGAAATGCAGAAATCACCCATCTTCTGCGTCACTCACACTGGTAGCTGTAGACTGGAGCTGTTCCTATTCGGCCATCTTGGCTCTACCCCAAAAGCAGGATTTTTTAATGGCTGAATAGTATTCCATTTGTGTGTGTGTGTGCACATATATATCATATATGTGTATATGTGTGTGTGCATATATATCATATATATATGATTTAAAATATATATATGATATATATTATATATATGATATATATGATATGATATATAGTATCACATATATAATATATATGATATATATAATATCACATATATAATATATATATGATATATATAATATCACATATATAATATATATATGATATATATAATATCACATATATAGTATATATATGATATATATAATATCACATATATAGTATATATGATATATATAATATCACATATATAGTATATATATGATATAATGTATATCATATATAATAACATATGATATATATAATATCACATTTTATCATTCAACCATTGATGGACACTTAGGTTAATTCCATATCTTGGTTATTGTAAATATTGCTGTAATAAAATAAGAATGCAGATATCTTTTTGATATACTGATTTTATTTCCTTTGGATATATACCCAGTGGTGGGATTGCTGGATCATATGGTATTTCTATTTTTAATTGTTTGAGGAATCTCTATATTTTTTCCCATAATTGTTGTACTAATTTGCATTCCCACCAATAATATAAAAGGGTTTCCTTTTCTTCACATCCTTGCCAACACTTGTTATCTTTTGTCTTTTTAATAATAGCCATTCTATCAGAGGTAAGGTGATATCTCATTATTGTTTTAATTTGCATGTATCTGATGATTAGTGATGTTGAGCATTTTCCCATTTACCTATTGGCCATTTGTATGTCTTTTTTTGAGAAGTATCTTTTTAGTTTTTTGCTCATTTTTAACTTGGGCTCAGGTTGTTTTTTGGTTGTTTGGTATTGAGTTGTTTGAGTACCTTATACATTCTGATGTTAACATCCTGTCAAATGTATATTTTGAAAATAATTTCTCCCATTCTATAGGTTGCCACTCCACTCTGTTGATTGTTTCCTTTGCTGTGCAGAAGCTTCCTAGTTTGATGTAATCTCATTTGTCTATTTTTTGGCACATGTTAGTTTAATATATTTTCTTTCCATGACAATAGATCAGAAAGAAATGAGAGATATTAAATATATATATATAAATATGTATGTGTATATATATGCAAATACCCAGATATTTCCACAAGTCTTTCAATGTAGATCTATGTGACAAAATCCCCCAGAAGCTGAAAATCTGGTTTGTATTACACTAGTGCTAGATGAGTTTAAATAAGGGAACAACTGTTATTGGAATGCCTTTTTTTAAGTCAACAAAGTGTTTTGAGTAACCAGAGGGTGCATACTTCTTTGTTAGATGGTTAACAGCCCTTATGTAGTACAGAATGAAGCTGAGAAGTTAGGTCTCTCCTAGACCACTAGAGGAAGGCTAATCTTTCTACTTTATATTGTGATCATAGGAAGTCAGAAAGCCAACTTTATTGCTACCTCTTGTCTTTTGCTTATACATTTCTTTTTGTACGAGTCCCAAAATCACAAAAGCCAATGGTATAAATTGTCCAGGGAAAGGTAGAGCTTCTAAGTAGGGAAGATGTTTTTGTCTTTTCAGCTCTATTCCAGATACCTTATATTTCTGTCTCCAAATCTGGATGTGATTTCCCCAATAAGAAATAGTTTATGAAATACTTAATTTTGAGATTTCTACTGTGTGTCCCATGAAGATTTTGAACCTCATTTTAAGAGTCTTAAACCATCTTTCAGCTAAATTAGAGATACAAAATACAGCATTCAAGGATACAGAATAGATTTATGATAGTCTCCAAACATTTTTCAAGTGGATCTGTGGGGACATAAACTCATAAGTATATATTATCAAATAATTTCAATCTGTGTCATAATGTTTTCATAATAAATGTCATTAATATTTGTTCACAAGAGTAATATATATGTATATACTACACACATGTGTATATATGTATATGTATATAAACACATAAAATAGTTGGGAAATATGTAAAACGATTTAAAAACAGAATCATTTTTATAATCCACCTCACAGAGAATATATGTTCTCACATTTTAGTGCGTGTTATGGCTCTATAACATCTGGAAATGTGTGTACCACATTTGTTACTGTATCCCCAATGCCTAGCACACTTTTGCTACATAGTAAGTACCTACACAATATCTGTCAAATTGCCTGGAGAGTTGGAATTCACCAATTCAAGGGCCACAGAATATCTTAGAATTGATCTGTTCTTCCATTTAATCACAGTTTAACACAGGTCCATCTGCCAAGCAGGAAGGAACATGACCTAGTCCCACCTCTCTGTGGAGCAGAAGTATTAGTAATATCCACTACGCAGTTTCTCCTGTACTCTCAAAAAGAAAACAGTCATCCTATTTGTGTTTCCTGAGAATAGGAAGCTCAAATGTCTCAGCTTCATCCACTGTCATGGTTAGGAGCACCTTCTTCTTTGCCTGGGAAAGAGGCTAGTGACACTATAATTTCTCAGAAGTTTCGAAAGGCAGCAATAAGCTGAAAAGAACCATTTTGTCTGTGATCTAAATAGGACTTTGCTGATGGTTAGTATACTCAAATGGGTTTGTAGAATATTTTGTCTTGGTGCCTGGAATTTGCTTTTACGAACTCACTTGAGAGGCAGCGGCCAGGGAAGAGCTCTCTCTCACCTGAATGCTTAGCAGAGGCAAGCCATCAAAACCTTCCAGGAAGTGGCAAGCCAAAGGGTCTGAATTGGAGGCACCTCCCCAAAGATCAAAAGTTATGCTCCACCAACACAGAGACACTGAGAAATGGTTGAATGTGTTCTAAATTAAACTGCCCTGGTGGTGAGCAGAGATCTGCCAAAATCTTTCAATTAATCACTTTTACCTTCAGGGCAGAGTTAGGCCTGAGAGTATTTCAATAGATTTTTATTGGAACAGAGTTATTTCAGATATTAAACTATGTTGCACAAAGTAAAAATAATGTTATTTTTTAAGTTGCTACTCTTGTTAAATAAAAGTTGGCAAGCGTTCTCGGGGTCTGTATTGTGTCTGTGTATTTGTGAATGTGTGTGGCTTTTTCTTGTGCCATAATCCCCATTGATTTTTAAAAAGTGAACAGCAATGAACTAGGTGATAAATATATTTATATAATATTTTCATTAATAATGTGTTATAAATAATAGAAGAAAGGTTTTAAGTATATAATTCGCTACATCACAATTGGGATTTTTTTTTCCTACGTCTTCAGCAGTAAGTTAATTAGAATCACCTGCATTTCCTTGGGTGGACACCAAATGGATTGCAAACAAAAACAGATTAAAATAGCTGCTGGAGCTCATGGCATACAGATGACAAGATTCACAAAAAGGACAATGAGGCACTGAAAATGTTCGCTTTTCAAACAATTCTAGAGGAAATTTAGCTCTCGCGACTTCTCTGTAAAAGCTGCCTGTAAGTGTTTTGCTGAAAGGCTAGAACAGCTTTGTTTCTGATCCCTTGATGAGTGAGAGAAATGTTTAAGAAAGATCACTTTACAGAGAGATTCAGGCTGAAATGTGATGACTGTGATTCAAGCCAAGCCAAAAATTACAGTTCAGAATGAAAGGGGAGGGACGTGGTTTGGGAATCCATTTTCCCACATTCCTGAATCTCAATCATCCCAGCCAATGTTTAGAAAAAAATCCAATGGAAAACAATGAGGTCACTTTGTTTAGATGTTAAAAAAAATACGGGTGGAGGGATTGAAAAGAATGATGGCAAATATATGAATTTTAAATCAGTATCTATTTCAAGTATGATGGGATCAAAGGCTACACTTTATATAACTCTTATGACTTCATCCCAAAAGGATCCATTTTTCAGTTTTCTTCTTTGTGTTGGTGAGCCTTTTATTGTGTTTCTTTAATTTATGAAATAGTCTCTTGCTAAAATTAAAAAAAAAAGTGTATGTAGGCACAGAGTACAGATTACTCCTCCTGAGACTCCAAGCTTTCCTTAGGAATAGCATCTCCAGGAATCTGGTTTTCTTTCTTTAAACCTGCTGTGGCCACCCCACTGCTGTGTAGATCTCAGGTTATGCTGGTGTATTGGCTTGCAAACTACCAGATGATAATGGCAGACCAAATTAGATTCATTGTTCTTGTTACCTCTATTTGTTTTAATGAAACACACTAAGCAAGTCATACTACCAAATGAATGATTTATTTACATCAGCATGATCACAGCGTAACAGTAGAACTACAACATAAAAGAAACTCAGAGAATAATATGAGATAAACCAAATATAACCTCCAACTTCAATATCTTCCAGATACACTAAGTTTTTCTTCAAGGCAACAGCTCTCACTTAATGATAACCAGAATCATTGACCAAAATTTGTCTTCAAGACTAAGATTTTTTTAAAAAAAAGAAGATGTAAGATTTGTCAATGACTGTTTATAGGTACCTTGTTTCCCAATCTCCAGAAATCATTTCAATTCATCATCTTTGGTCTGATCAGACCACTGATGCTAGGTTCTTTTCTAGAGAAATTTCTCAAGCAAACTCAGAATCTTGCTGAGATCTTTCTTATCTTCAGAGATTTCCAAATGATCCTAAGGCTGGCATATATCTGTAAGTCACATTTATGTCTACTATCCTACAGGCTTCATGCAGTTAGGCCTCAAATTCTTAGCTGAGCTTAGAGAGATATGTAAGAATGAATGTGCAGAAAATAAGACACAAATAGGACACTATTGTTCCACTATTGTTTCATGTTAACCAGGTATTAAGGTACATAAATGGCTTATCAATCTATATCACATTAGCCACACTGGAACTTTTTCCCCTTGTCTTTTCCCTGGTTGATTACCATTTGGTAATCCTTAAGTTAAAAGGAATCATTTTAAAGGTGGGAATTAAATTAGATGTATAGAGGCTATATACACAAACAAGCCTGATCCATAAAGAATCACAGCAAATGGAAACCAGGAAATAATATTTTTGAAAGTATACTACTGCCTATACTTCCGGATTCCAAAGGTATAGATAAGCATCTCCAATTATAAAAAAAAAAAATTGGTTAGATATTGTGGCAAGAACTAAGTATAAATATAAGGGAAAATTCTAATAATGAGGCAAGACAGTGGTTTTACTCCTGTATCCAAATTGAGGAGGGATGACTTTTTTTTTTTTTTTGTAACATTTGAAGAAGTCAGTGAGATTTTCTTCTACTTATTGAAATGTCTGATATCCTACTTAACATGAATGAAGGAGATGAAGAAACTAGGAAAGTAATGCAATAAATTGTTTTCCAAGACTGAATCCAATCCTGTGTCTCTATACAAGAATACCTGATAATAGTAAAAAGCAAGATAGCCAATCACTCTCCTCCCACACGTCTCCCTACCATCCCCCCACCCACAATCCCCAAACTCTATTGTCACTGAACTTTTCAAGGCATAAATGATACAATGTAGAACCACTAAGAAAACCAAACCAGTAACACACTTAACATTCAGGGTATTTAGTTCTTTTCCTCACCCAATTTTGATGCTGAAGCAATGTAACAACACCTGTCTTCCCTGGTGTCCAAATAAGACGAGGTTTGTTAAGAGCTCAGGACTGGGCAGAAGAGCAAATAGGACCAATATTAATGATAAATATTTTTGCAAGAAAACAATCTTATTTCCTCATATTAACAAATTGAAGTAACAGGGGCAAAAGAAGGAAGTGGGAGTGAAGCATTTGAAAATGATCCCAATTGCCCAAGTGTTCAAAGAAAAGTCCTTGAAAAGCATTCTCCTTTCTGATTCAAGAGTCTATTTGATATCACCTTCTTCTTAGTATATATGTATATACATATACATATATATTCCTTTATTATGTGCTCTTTCGAGGTATTTAATTTAAATCTGGAATTTGCCCCTAGCTCAGACACTGGCTATATAAACAATTTTAAATAATTGCTCATTTTTTAGTATCATAGGTTCTAAGCCATTTTCTTAGAAACGAAAAAAAAAAATCCTTCTCTTAGTGACCTCTTTTTAGTCTAACATTAAAGAAAAATTACAACAAATATTTATCTCTTCCATGTCTTAAGAGAATAAAAATTCTTATTTTCCATATGAATCCCCTACAAATACCTGGGAAATTAAATACATTTTTTTCAGAAATGAATAATCAAAAATGAGCCAATAAAATCTAGATAATGATGATAACCAAAAGCAAACAAAATAATAAAGGAAAAATTGAAGGTATTTTGTTATGACATTAAAAAGAAAAACTTGTTGCAATAATTGTGTCTATGAAGCAAGCATTTCATAGCAGAAATATGAGGAAGGTAGAACAAAAAACCAAAATGAGATAAAAATTGAAAAGAAAAGGCTCACGAAAGAAATGGAAGAGAAAACTAAAACAACTTCAGGTAATAAAAGGAGAATTGAAAAATGCATAAATGATAGTAGGAATTTCTATAAACACAGAAAAGGACAAGAGTAAGAAACATGAAATGAGAGATGTACTGAAACCCTGTATCAACCTATACTTCCAACATTAGAATTGGAATCACGTAACAACTGTTTTAAATATTCATAGTTTAATCCCTCACCATTTATTTCCCATGTACCAATAATGAAAATAATATAATAGTATCTTCCCAAACTAATGAAACTTCTGTTTTCAGTTTTTAAAGTTCTTTTTTATGAAAAACAATGTAGGCCTCACATTCAAGTTGGCAGTCTCAAAAAAGCATGTCTGATTCTCTTTCCTCAAAAAAATCCCAATGAAATAATAGAAAATATGTGTTTTAAAAACAAAAAAATGGATAATGGTGCTGAAAACAGAAAAGGTGCCATCAGCAGATGAGAAATAGAAATTCCAGGAAGAGAGGAAGCAGATGGGATCAAACAAATAGAGAAATGAAAGCAGGAGAAACACCATTCCCAGACACCACAATTAGGCACAGTTCTTTCCAGGGGTGTCCCAGAGAATAACCAAACTTGGAGTCAACAAACAAAAAGAACAGAAATTGTCAAGAGGGCAGTAAAGAAAGTAATTCATTAAATAACAGGATCTAACAGCTGTGAGAACTGGGCTCCTCTTTCTTTATCCTGCACCAAGGAAGCACCTACAGCAGGTGCTTGAGCCTGAGAGCAATTTCTGTAAGGACGGAAAAGTTGCTGGCATCTGAGAAAGAAGACAGTGGAGAAGAAAGTGTCTCAGGTCTTCTCCAACAGAATTAGATATACCTTTGCCCAGGTGAAAAATTGGTAAATTTCTCTATATCCCAAGTTAAGTCTTCCTTACTTTGATAACTGGGGAGAACCCCTGGCCTATTGTCTACTCACCACCCATTTATCCTGCGAGACACTCCAACACACCATTCTCATTTAAGATTGGACAAGTTGTGGGGAGGGAGAGAGTTGGACACATACAGAGGTACCCATGACCACTGTTTAATCAGTCTCAATCATAAGGGTAATCCAATATTTGATAATCCATCTTAAATAAATTCTAGAGAAGAGAGATAATAGAGGGAAAACAATATTGAGCAAATAATATAAGAAAATGTTTTCCAAATGAAAAGGCCCAGATGGGGAGCACATATGAGTGACATTTTACTGCTATAAGTTTAAAGAGAAATTTTTTTTTAATCCAAGAGCAAAAGCAATTTACCTGCAAAGTGTCAAGAATCAATCTGACATCAGACTTAACAGCAGGGATGCTAGAAGATAATGGAACATATATTTTTCAAAGTTAGAAAAGTAAAAGATTATGAAACTGAAATAAATACTCAAGTCAACAATCAATTAGGAAGCAAAAGAAAACAGTCAGATGGGTAAAGTAAGAAAAATTACCGATCACATACTTTTATGAATCAAGAAACTTCTTAAACTTCAATCCAAGAAAGAATAACAACGGAATACAAGAGAAGGAGGGTAGTTGATGCTGACCTAGAGCCGCATTGTCTAAAATGGTCATCACCAGCCACGTGTGGTTAAGCTACTCAAAGCTGAATAAAATAAAATTAAGTCCCTCAGTTGTATTAACCACGTTTCAAGTGGTTAATAATCTCTGTAGCCAGTCATATGTGGCCAGTGAATGCTGGTTTGGACAGCAAAGACATAGAACATTTCTATCATTGCAGAAACTTCTGTTGGGCAGCACTTAATCTGAGGAAATGAAGAAACCTAGAAAGGAGGAAGAGGACAAGTTAAGTCTTAACTTTTGGGAGCTCTCCTTTGTGAAACTAAATTTTAATGTTAAACCCCAACATGTTCCCTTTTTAAAAAATAGTGGCTATTATTAACCCATAGATAAGTCTCAAAATAGTTATAAAAAACAAAATGTCCCAAATTTTAAGAATATAAACAAACGCATAAAGAATAAAACTGGGAAGGGAAGTGGTAGAGAGAAGTAAGAGTAAATATACTGCTTTGTTTTCCATAGCTCAGAGATAATTTGATATGCTAAGATATAGAAATAGGCAAATTAACTCAATGAAGAGAAAGAGGGTGTACAGATAAGTGGTAGGAACTACGAATGCACTAAGCTCTTTATCTTTTCTGAGAAATCAATAAATACCATTCAAAGTTAATAAATTAATAAACAGAAATATGACATATTAACATTAACAAAAAGAATGAAAATAGAACTTTTCTTTTCGAGACAGGGCCTCACTCTGTCCACCCAGGCTGGAGTGCAATGCTGTGATCAAGGCTCACTACAGCCTCAACTTCCTGGGCTCAAGTGATTCTCCTACCTCAGCCTCCTGAGTAGCTGGGACCACAGGCATGCGCCACCATGCCAGGCTAATTTTTAAATTTTGGCGGGGGGAAGATAGGTTTCACTATGTTGCCCAGGCTGTTCTTGGATTCCTGGGCTCAAGTGATTCTCCTGCCTTGGCCTCCCAAAGTGCTGGGATTGTTGGTGTGAGCCACTGAACCTGGCCTAAAATAGAACTGTTAACAATAACTGTCTTTGGAAAGCATGTTGGGGCAGCTACTGTACTTAGTTCTGATTGTATATTGTTCTGTATGGTTCAATTTTGTATTTTTTATTGTTTTTTTAACCATGGAAATATAGCAAAAAAAACTATATATTTTTAGAATGGTTTTTATGAAGTCATATAGTTATCCTATAGAATAAAATGATTCTTGTTTGAAAATCAAAATTGTGCCAGCTATTTCCTAAGGGAATCATTCTTAGGAAATAGCAAGGCTATTGAAGGATGGGTGTCTCATAAGAAATTAACAATAATTAAATTAAAATGGCAGATAGGTACAAAATCAACACCACTGAGTTGGAAGAGAGATTAGAATTTTAAATTATATCCTGTACTCTCAGTCATCGAATTTAAAGTGTGTGAACAAATAAGCTAGCAAGAAAATGTTGGAAACACTCATTTCAACTTAGAGGAGGAGGCATAGGTCTGAATGGCACCAGAGCTTCTCATGTTTAGCTCAGAACCCAAGTAGAAATTTGGAAGGACCGAGACAGAAACGTGCAGCGTTGAGGACAACCTGAGTGTTCCCGTGCTCAAAGATTTTCGCCGGAGGGAGAAGCCAGAAGTTCAAAGTATTGCGAGAATGGCACTTCTTGTGGTAGCTCTGGCCTCCTAGGAATTAGGAAGTGCCATAAATCTCAGGAGAGGGACTGTTTGTGCAAAATTCCCAGCCCACATTTGCAGACTGTAGAGGTTCAGATGCATTTTGTTATGGGTTAGAAAAACAAGCAGGCTTTCAGGACACACCACTCAACCAGGCTCAAACTCCACATCTGCATGGTTTGTCCATCATTCGGGCTACCAAAAATGCTACCTAAACCAGTTTTCAACTATTTTTAACAGACTCATCTGCATTGTCAAAAACTGTCCATATTTTGGCAGATAAGCCAGTCAAATCTGGTCTTAGATTTCTTTTTGCAAAGTGTCTAAGATTTATGGTGGGAATTACTCATAACAGCTGCATTCTTTCCACTGGGCTTAGACCACCATTTGGTCTAATAACTCCTAATTGTGTGTCTATCCCAGTCTAAGCTTCTTCAGGAGAAAAAAAAGTCGGGGTGGGGAGGCAGGGGAAGACTTTTAAAAATCCCCTACAGCAATACCCAGTGATTTCTGCCAACAGTAAACACTATTTTGAAATATAAGAAGGTCAGCTGATGATGAACGAATAAACAATATTTCAGTGAATGTGGATTTCTTCAGATAATTTTTCATACTACCATTAATGCCACTCTTATTTAAAAATAAAAAATAAAATGACTTAGTTTTATCGTGTTCCCAAAGTATTTTTAGCATAACAGGCAAAAATCCTGTCAGCATTTACGGTCATGTTACTTTCTTGAAAGAGGTACCTCTCAAAGCGATTTTTCACCAACCTTCTCCAAAGCACAAAAGAGGTACCTTGAAGACGTTGGTCATTTAAAAATCATACGACGTCTAATTATATTTCCAAAATAAGTAGTTTGCAATCCAGCAAGGATAATGTGGTCATGAAAAGGATGTCCAAATCCACCAATTTACATTGGTTTGGTTTGGCATAACTTTCAAAGTTCTTGGAGTAAAAGGAGGATGGCACGTGAATAATTGTAATTTGGGTAATAGTCCTAGAACTTTGGGTTTGCTGTTCTGTGAGCCATTCAGGGGAAAGCAAATCAACTCCAAGACTGTACCTATATAATTTATAACTGTTAAAATTCACTGATATGTTCCAGATTATTTTGCAAAATGTAATACCCTCCTTTTTAATATGTACTTTGTCATTTTCACTCTATTTATGTAATTTAAAAAGTATGATAGCCGGAGAGCATGAGCCATTCAAAGCAGGAGCCGCTAATGTCAGAGATCATTATCACTCACAAGATATATAGTGTTGGTATCTTTGAATCTAAAGGGCTTGGAAGTTGTGTCAAGATAGATTCATATTGCATCTAATATGTTTTGCTTTACTCCCTTTTACTTTCTGGTTTCTGTCTCCAGCCACAGAGCAGTTTCTCTGCTGTGACTCAGGTCTACAACCACAGCGGTAGCACAGGTCTGATTTACCCTCCCTGTCTCCACCAGCTGTGCTCCCTCCTTTTATGCCAAAAGAAAGTTGTGTTATTACTTTAGGATGAGGCTGCTTTCTTTAAACAGTATACTGCTTTCCAATTGTTTATATGTGATATGTCCAATCCATACTACTTTTTCAAATGGTTTTGATTACTGGACTTAAAAAATTGTTTACAGAAATTTATGAAAGACCAAGGAAAGCACTTCTTATATTGTAACACTCTAAGAGAAAAAAGAAGTTTTGGATACAGGGAATTTCATCAGTTAAAAACCAGTTTACAATTCTATGCATTTCAATAGCATATAGAATAATATTTGAAAAGGAAGAGTGCTAACTTCAAAATCAAGACATGCACTTGATTTTACACCTTGTATAAATGAATATGCATATTAAAATGATGATTAAGTAAGGCCCTTATTTGCAATTAAATTTTGAAATCCAAATAATTTCATTTATAATAGACCTCTGATAAGGGTCTAGCTAATTAGCAAAACAAAATTTTTAAAAACACACAATGTTCTCATTTTTATTGTAATAGATATTCACATTTTATCTTTAATCACTGTAAATAGGACTAATTTGATTGATTTTTTAAAAAATTAGAATTTCTCTTTTAGAGAACATAGACCCACATATTCCATTGATGTTTCTATTTTCTAAAATAATTATTATTCTCTAAATTCCTTAAAATCAATTGATAATCCATGGGAAAATAATCAGGGCCACATTCATTTGATCAAACTTTGTTTGTTTGTGGTGGCAAGCATCAAGGTGACTTTATTCACCACTCATGGTTCTGATGCCATTTGTCTGCTTCCAAATCCAAAACTCTCTCCAAAACCCCCAAGCATGCCATTATGAACATTTTTCTGTAAACATTTCAGGGCCTCTGAGGGTGATTTTAGAGAAGAATTTTAAAATAATTTCCTCAGTAGCTATATGCTCAAAAAAATTAAGAGGGAAAACTTTGAGAAGGACACACTTGAATGTACAATTTTTAATATTTTTAAATCTATCACGTTATTTAAAATTTCATAGGTTAAAACTAAGTACCAAACAGCATCTAATGACAAAGGAAAAAAAGAAAATGATAAGTTTTTTGTAAATTAATTTTTTAACATTCTGGGTGTAAGTGCATGAACTTAAGACCAAAATAGACCAATACTAAAAGTAGGAATTAAATATTAGAAAAATTTTAATTAGGACTATTATCACATTTAAGCTGTCAAGCAGAAATTGTACTTTAAAACAAACAAACCAGAGTAGACTTAGATTAATGGAGGTAATTTGTGCATCACGAAGAAAAAATATATTGATTTTTACAAATATATGTGTCTTAGAAACTTTCACCACTGGCTAACTGGTGTCCAGCTTCACCCAATTCCTCACAATTTATAGTTCTCAGGAAGAGACAGAGTCTCAGTAATTTCTTAGATTATTCTAGAACTATAAAGTCACATCAATTAATACATTTGTTAATAGCTATTCCATTTTATTGCAATTATCTCAAGTAACCCTAAAGTTTATTACATGGAAGAGTAAAAACTATAGTGAATGATTGTCTTAAATTATGCCATTATTACCAATGTTATAAGTGATGTTATTCTACCCTAACCTTCCAATGCAATATTTTGCACAATGGCAGAAGTGTTCCTAATACAAAGTGTGTAAAATGGTAAAGCAATAAATGAGCTCATTTTATGCCAGTAAAGTGCTTTGGGAAGTCTTTATTCTGTTACACTATGGCAATAATTTCTACCAATCTATTTAATACTGTTGTGAATTACAATGATTATCCATGATGCTATACCACCTCCCTAGAGAAACTGCTAAGACCTCTGCATCTGCTGGCAATCTCAGCTAGTCCTGAGTGCCCAGACACATCAAAGAATATACATTCTTGACATTAAAATTATGTTTTCAGCATTTTTAGATACTATTATAGTGTTTGACTAAGTGTTTCCCTTTTCGTTTTCCTGTTTCTTCATTGTCCTCGTAACGTGGCCAAGAAATTAACTAGATTCTATAAATAGATGTGTGGAAAACAAGTGAATGATTATTGAAATTCACTGCCAGGATAAGTTATTTTGAATTACAGATGACCAGTTCTAAAATAATCTGAAACTCATTTTACCATTTCGCTAAAGATTTTTTAAATTTTTCTCTCCATAATGGAGCACCTCATTACCTATAATACACTAGAAATTATCAAACTAGCATTATATCTAGAATAGAATTTTTACTCTTTAGTTTCAAATAATCAGATCAAAATATGTTATTCTGTAACAATCACAGGAAAACAAGAATAGAATAGAATAGAATAGAATAGAATAGAATAGAATAGAATAGAATAGAATAGAATAGAATAGAACAGAGTAGAAATGGAGAGAAGAAAAAGAGCTGAGAAGAGGAGAGGAAGGAAAGAAGAGAGACAGAAAGGCAGGAAGACAGTAAGTCAGGCCAGTAGCAAATGTCTTACAAATGTCTCGAGTTATTTTACCTTGCAGAAAAAAGGCAATAATACACAAACGTCTGGAGGTTTCCCCCCTACCCAGTTGGATTCCTATATTTTCCTTGTAAATGAACCTTAAATATATGATGTAATCCTATTCTACCCACTGCTCTTTTTGCCTCAATTAGACCCAAATTTATTGATGATAATTTTAATTAAGACTGAACACCATGATTACTTTGAGATTAAAATTTTGAAGATTGCATAATTTAGAACACACAAATTGGTTTTATCTGAGAAGAATAGATATTTGATTTACTCCTTCTTTTCATAGATTTTTTTTAAACCATCTCAATTCCTATATGTGCTAATATAAAATATGCCCTTTTGTCTTCAGGTCTAGATGTTGATGGAATATATCGAGTTAGTGGCAATCTGGCAACAATACAGAAGTTAAGATTTATTGTCAACCAAGGTAAGTGATTTCCACTTCAGAGATTTTTTCAAACAGTTTCATATGGAACAATATTTCATACACTGTGCTGTATGTACTGTGAATAATAATAAAACTTTAACAGGAGAATGTGAAAGTGGAAGAAATTTAAAAATTATCAGAAAAGTAAAAGATAACCAACTAGTTTATCTAGAAAAGAATAGCATATACAGATAAACAAATTAATAGTCTATGTGAAATAAATAATGAATGGAACATGTCAAAATAAAAATGGGGGAAAGAATAGAAAAAGAGTAAAAGAAAAATGACCCAGATTCAAAAAATGTTATTGGCTTATAATGGACACTTACTATATGTTGATGAATGAAAGAATGAATGATGGAAAATGTAAAAGTCAAAATAACAGATAATAGAAAAATATATAGTAGGTAAGAAAAAAATTAGGAAACGCATATGCCATCAAAGAGTTGTAAATTAAAACAATGAGATACCACTACACACCTGTTAGAATGGCTAAAATACTGACAACACCAAATGCTGGCCAAGATGTGGAGCAACAGGAACTCTCATTCATTGCTGGCGGAAGTGCGAAATGATTGAGTCACTTTGGAAGAAAATTTGGCAGTTTCTTATGAAAATAAATGTATTTTTATTGTATGATCCAGTACTTCTTGGTACTAACCCAAATGAGTTAAAAACTCATGTACACACAAAAACCTATACACAAATATTTACGGCAGCTTTTTTCATAATTGGCAAAGCTAGAATGCAACTAAGATGTCCTTCAATAGGTGCAAGGACAAATACACCAGAATACATCCATATAATGGAATATTATTCAGGGATGAAAAGAAATGAGCTTTCAAGCCATGAAAAGACTTAGAGTAATCTAAATGCATATGCTGAGTAAAACAAGCCAGTGTGAAAAGGTATGATTCCAACAATATACTGGGAAAAGGAAAACTAGAGAGAGTAAAAGATGAGTGGAAGCAGTAGGACGAGCTTGGGGGAAAGAGGGAGAGATGAATAGGTGAGCACAGGGGATTTTGAGGGCAAACAATTCTGTATGATGCTGTAATTACCCATACATGTCATTACACATTTGTCAAAACCCATAAAATGCAACACAAAGAGTGAATCCTCATGTAAATTATAATATTTAGTTAATAATAATGTATTGATATTGGCTTATCAATTATAACAATCTACCCCATTAATGCAAGATGCTATTAATAGGGAAAATTTTGGGAAGAGTGAGGAGATACATGTTAACTCTCTGTACTTTCTGCTCAATTATTCTGTAAACTTAACACTGCTCTAAAAGAAGTCTATTAATTCGAAAAGTAAAAATAAGAAATTAGAAAATGAAAAACAAGAAGACCAACACATCTTAAGTTGGTGTTATAGACAGCTCATAGGTTTTAAAATCATACAGATGGGGTAGAACTTAGACTCTCTCCTTGTATCCTTGGCATCTTAACCTCCCTGTGCCTCTGTTTCCTATCAGGAAAAACAGTAGGGGGATGCCTTGGAAACATTTGGGAAAATTAAACTGGGTAGCATCTATGACACTTAGGAATGTGACAGACTCATGTTAGTTTTCCTTTTACTTAAAAACAGTCAAAAGTGTCTTCAGAAGAACTCCAAATCCTTGTACTCTAGCTTCCCACTTAGCTTCTATAATAGCTGGCTTCAGGTCCTCTGAATGTTTTTCATAATACATTTAACATATAAACTGTACTCCCACATTTACATACTGTTGTGTTTTTTAATGTCTTTGCACATGCTCTTCCCTTTACTTTCAATATCCTCCTATCTTTTCCTTCCCATCCCACATACACAAGCTTCCAGCCTGGTAGATTTCTTCTTTTTCTTCAAGGCCCAGATTATAGCAATTTCATTCAATAAGCCTCCAGTCAGATTTCTTCTCTGTTCCCCTTACTCTGAGTAGCTGAATTTACAGTAGTACATTCACATCTAACTTTTAAAATTCCATCTATTATAAGACCCATAGATTTAATGCCAACTTTTGGAAAGGATATAATCAAATGTACTCGGTGATTGTATTTCAGAAACATTAAAATTTGTAAGTCTTGGAATCAAAAAATAGGATACTGGCTGAAATGTCTGTCTCTTTCACAAATCTCTAAAAAGGTAGGACTTGAATCATCCTTGTATCTTTTCCCATTAACCAGTTCTAGCCTTGGTGTTTCCATACAAGGAGTTCCTCATACAGGGAGTTTTTAATTAATATTTGTTGAACAATGTGTGTGGGTGTTGCAGGTAAGAGAAGTATTAAAACTGGAAAGCATTCAACTCTCCAGCAATTCAACTTGGGTTGAACCAGTTTTTTAAATGTTGATTGCAATACTTTTGGCCACTTGCCACATGACTCTTGTTTCTAAGAATCTCTATAACTGAGAATCTCTACAGCTCTGCTTGTTCACTAATGCAATTCTTTGTCTTTCACAATTACTCTCTTTCCTGGGCAAAACACAGAACTAAACTTTACCTCATTCATTTATATTATTTCCATTTAACTGAATCAGCGTACCCCCTCTGTGGGTAAAATATGGATAAAATAGCCCTAGCCTCATATTCATTCTAGCTTATAACCAGCTAAAATCATTCTTACAATATAGTTTATGCTGAAACGATATCCTGATTGGGATTCTAGACAGCTGGGCAACACATTTCTTCTACAAAGAAGAAATCTCAAAACAGAAGCCATGCTAGAAACAAACACTAGTTGCATTTCCTGCCTTTAAAAAAACTATGCTCAGCAGTTTGAAAAGGCAAAGAAAAAAATCTGCAATGAAAATATGAAATCTGTCCATCTCGTCTTTTGCAATCCAAACTTCAGCGTCCTCTGAGGCTATGTAACTGCTCATGTTTCCATGAGAATTGACAATGTAAGGCTGGACAGAGGCCTGAGTTGGTATCTGGTAGCACAGAATTGTCAGTAAACTGTCTCCCTGGTTTATAGCACTGTCAGAATGCAACATACTCAACACAAATTATGCTACATTAGGACCTTTGATACTGGTAACTTTGTCCAAGTTGTGTTATGGAGTTTTCTGAATTAGATGATAAGTGAAATGCATATACCAACCCCTTTCAAAATTTGCTAATCAGATTATCCTTTGAATGCGTTTTCTGGACTGGCCCCACAACCTTGTTGCTAATGCCATACCTTCCCCTCCATCTGGACCAGGACTCTAATAGTAGAGCTGACTTGAAAATAATCAGTGCTGGGTGCAAAGAGATTGTAAGTGTACATGTGGCCCTCTGTGGCCCTCTCTCTGTGTGTCTAATACAATAAACTGGCAATGCAGGGAAAATTCCATGAAAAGCATAAAGTGCTATGTAAAGGCAGTGCATCATTTTTGCAGTCTAAGCTGAAACATAAATGATTTTTGCATACCTGCCTTGTATTAACATATTTTATTCCTTCTTTATTCACCTTGCACATGTTTATTTTCTAGAAGGCTCTAAATATACATTTTTAAACAAGTAAGCCCTGCCCACTGTTAGACTAGACAAATAAAAACTGATTTTTGAGATTTTCAAGACAGATGAATTGCAATTTATGTATTTCACTAACTTTCTTGAATGCTATAATCATCAGCAATTCTAAATACACCAGTTGAATGACTCAATTTGTTTTGGTTTTCTATTTGACTTACTAAATCAGTGGGAATTAGATACCCTTATTATACTTCCAGTTCAGATGACATGCAAGTTATATTCAAAGTGTTCACTTTTGAAAAGCATTTCCTAATTATAACTAGTAATGATGATAATAGTAATTATTATCATAAAAGTAAGCAGCATTTTCATAATTTATTATGTGCCAGGCACTGTACTAAGCACTTTATTTACATAATTTAATCTAATCCTTTCTTACATCCCATAGAGTAGGCACTATTATTATTCCCATTTTACAGATGTAAAAACTGAGGTTCAGATAGTAAATAATGTCCTAATGTCATACAGCATATAAGTGAAGGAGCTAAGACTAGATCCCAGATCTGTCTGACTCAGAGCCTATGCTGCAAACCACTGCCATTATTCTGCATTTCCAATTCATCAGCTGTTGATTATCTCTTTATAAAAGCAGAGATTAGTCTTTTCATGCTACACACGCTCATTCATGACTTTCCTTTACACCCCGCCTCTTGGTGTTGGTAACTGATGAGTACTACCGTTGGAGTTTTGCTAAAATTGTTCAAGAGCTATTTGGAGAAACGCCAAACATCACAGTTAGGAAGAAGCCTGGCATTGCCATTCTCTGTATGGCTTTATGTATCTATGTTTGGCCCAAGAAACTACTTTAACACGCTATTCTGTTGCAGCCTTTGGGAAAGGGATCGAGGATTCTCGATTTACTAGGCTGTTGGTGCGTTTGTGAGCAGCGCTCTGCCCTGTTTGTTGAATTTGGTGACAGCTTTCAGTGACATTTTGCTGATACAGCTCTTCTGCTTTGTGAAGGCATCCCCAAAGAAAACTGGTCCATGACCTTAGATGTCAACCTGTCATCAGCCTGCGACATTGCGTTGATTCTTCAGAATGATCTGTGACCTCCTTACACTTTTCTTGCATGGGGGGTACTTTGCAAATGACAGACTTCAGCATGGAGGATGCTGCATGTCTTGAGAACTTTTGACAGAAAGTCTTGGAAATTCCCCTAGGCTAAACTCCCCCTCCTTCCCACATTGATACTTGGGTTTGAGCTGCCCATCTATGCCTTAGGCTTATTGCCCAAACTACAAATTCAGTTCAGACTCACTTGGTATTATTTAGACATCCTCTTTCACCCTTTGAAAAAGGGACAAGAGAGATTGGCATTCTTTTTGGAAAAATCTAGCTATGAACCTTCCCAAGCCCATGAGCCAATGGGAGAGCTATGAAGCATTGCCGGAAGAACTGACTGGGAATTTTCCAGATGGGTGTCTGTTAGTACACAGTTACAAATATTCTCTCTGTTTTCCTGAACTGAAGAAAATTACTTCTTACCAGGATTTTAGACATGTTTTTCTTTTTTCTTTTTCTTTTTTTTTTTTTTGAGACGGAGTCTCGGTCGGTCTGTCACCCAGCCTGGAGTGCAGTGGTGTGATCTCGGCTCACTGCAACCTCCACCTCCCGGGTTCAAGCGATTTTCCTGCCTCAGCCACCTGAGTAGCTGGGATTACAGGTGCCCGCCACCAAGCTCGGCTAATATTTGTATTTTTAGTAGAGACAAGGTTTCACCATGTCTCAAACTCCTGACCTCAAGTGATCTGCCCACTTCGGCCTTCCAAAGTGCTGGGATTACAGAGTAAGCCACTGCGCCCGGCCGACATGTTTTTCATTTATAGAAACAAAATTTGAAGAAAAACTGTTAAGGACAACCTTCTCTACTTGTGCAAACAAGGAGGAACAAAATATACAAATGCTATAAATCTACATGATCAAGAATCTTGTTTGTGTGTTTGTGAGCACACACACGCATGTGCATTTGTTTTAAATGAGAGGATTTTTTTCATTAATTTATGGTCTCGTAGATATCTTTATCTACCCAGATTTTATTGGCATAATAATCCAAATTAGATATTGGCTTAAAGAGATGGATGTGCTTAGTTTAAACATGCTAAGAATAAGCTCCATTAAAAACAAACTATTAGAAAAACAATTTTGTTTTTATCAACTGTACCTAAACTACTTTAATATAGATTTGTACCTTAAAGCAAAGCCAAGCATTAACTTTAGTAGCTATCCCTGTGCTTTTCATATTATTTGCAGCATCAAAAATTGAATAAAAGAAAGAGAAAGTGAGAAAGAATGTGAACAATTGGCAGTTTCATCATGAAATAAGCAATTGGATGAAACAGAAAAAGATCTGAAAAAGGATTTCAAATTTCTGTTCTTATAAAATAGCCCTTGTATCAAGTCCATTCATTTTTCTATTAAATAAGTTTATATTGCCCTCTTATTATTTTTAAAACGAGGTATTTCCTTAAGCCTGCTCTACTCTCACCGCCAATCACAGCAACAACGAAACAAACTCTGTTATTCGCTTTATTCCATTCCACAGGGTGGTTTTTTGGTAAGTTGAATCATTGATATTGCACCTTTTTGGCTTTCATGTGACAAGATTATCTTTTAACAATGATTTATTTTTCCCATTAAAGTTGAAAAGATCACTTGATCATAAAAGAGCCAGACTCTAACATCATTCAGGGCTTTGGAAACTTTCTTAGACCTCATTTTTCAGCTACATTGAGTCAGGGAGCTCAAAGACTATTGATGAAGCATGTATTGTTTTCTAGCTGCTTAAGAAAATGTATTGGCATTAGTAAATAATGCTGAACACAGAGGTCAAAAGAGTAAGTTATTCATGTTCATGCACATTTAGTTTCTGATTTTTACATTATAGTCCAAAAATAAGTTTATGAATCCTGACAGTCTCCAAGACACACAAATCCTGGCTACTTATTTTAAAGCAAAACTATACCACACATTTACCGTGGATTGTATTTTCTAATTCATTATGTACCAACCAATAATGAACTGACCTAATGCTGTTGTGAAATAAAGGCAGAAGGCATCTAATGGGGAAAAGCACCAGATAAATGTTGAAGGATCGACCTCTTTATCTTGATTCTGAACTATTTGGAAGCCTAATAGAAATTATTTTAACCCCTTTAAATCACCAACTCTTCATTTCCAAAATGGGAAAAATAATGGAAATGTGAGGACTTTAAAAAGTGAATCAGCCAGGGGATAGTTATTATTAACTTTAATTAAGATGACAAGTAGATAGATGAAATCAAATCACTATTGCATTTTCTTGGTAATAGCATGATACCAAATATTTATAATCAAATATGGTTTTTGCCTTCTACATGATTGAATTTTCCTTGATGATAATTGGAAGAAAAAACAAATAAAACTTTGGAAACTCTTTACTATCCAGTGTTTGAAATCATTACTAGCCAAATTCATAGGCCTTCTGAATTCTTGGACACAAAAAAGAAAATTTCATGTTGTCAGTATGGTTTGGGAATATTCTAAATTGCAAAGAATAGCTTCATGTTCATTGGAGAAGGGGAGCGAAGTCTACTGAAATTTAAAGTATTAATTCGGTTGTAGCTTTTCCATATAGACTTGACTACTGAGTCTGGAAATTAAATTAGTCAGAGTTATGTAACTACTAATCCCCAAGAAAAACCCCTAAGATATTTACAAAATTCCATCATGATCATCACCATCATCATCATCACAAATCATTGCCATAACCATCAAAATTAATAAGTAGTTATTAAAAGCTTCATAGGAAAACACACCATGCTTGCTTCTGCTCTAACAACACTGTAGCACTGGTTCCCGGCCTTGACTGCATATCAGAATTGTACTGCATATCTCCTGCTGCCTAACCATATTACTGCCAACTTAGCTACCTAAAGCAATACAAATTTATTATCTCACAGTTTCTGTGGGTCAGAAGTCTGGGCACAGCTTAGCTGAATCCTCTGCAAGGCTGCAAAATCAAGGTGTCAGCCATAGGCGGGTTCTCATCTAGAGGCTCAACTGAGGATAGGTCTGCTTCCAGGTTCACATAGTCATTGGCAGGATTGAGTTCCTTGTGGGTTGTTGGACTGAAGGCCTCAATCCATCATTGGTTGTTGGCCAAAAGCCTTGTGGACCATCTTACAGCATGGCAGCTGCCCTCATCAAAGCAGCAAGGGAGAGACAGATTATTAGTACAGCAGAAGTTTTAATCCCATGTAACATAATCATGAAGGTTACATCCAATCACCTTTGCTACCTACTGTTGGTTAGAAGCAAGTCACAGTTCCCACCTTACATCCTAGGGGAGGGGACTACACAAGGTATAAACACAAGAAAGGGGGGATAATTAGGGGTCATCTTAGAACCTGACTGCCATAAGAATCTAGTGGTAGAGCTTTTCAAAAATAAATATTTTTGAAGCTCATTCATTAAAAAATCCAATGTAAGAAGTCTGCAGTTTGAGCTATAAGTAAGTGTTTTAAAAGAAAAACTCCCCAGATAAGTAAAGTGCATAGCCAGGTTTGGAAACTCCCTGCACAATGGAAGCTAGTTTTATTCTGGCTCTCTGGTGGAGACATGACTTACCAAGACATAACATATACAAGATTTGCATTTGAAAAAAGGGGAAATAGACCATGAATGCCTGTTTCGATAACTAGTTTTCTAGTGAGGGGAAGTCTTCTCTTTGGCTATTGATTAATGTAATAATGTTCAAAAACTTTTATGAACTGCTTCATTATATAACTAAAAACTACCATGGATATATTATGTATGTTAGTATGATTAAAATTACGCATTTTACCATAACAATCCTTTTCCAATGTTGTGAGTTCTGAAATAAATGAAAATAAAAGGTGCTTTACCTAATCATTTGCTAACGAAACTAAGGGGTAAATAATATGAAAAATGTAATACATTTATATCATTGCTGATAATAGGAGCATTTAATTGAGAATCTACTACATGACAGGTACACAAAGTTAGAGGAATCTCTGACCCTCATAAAAGTTTTCGAGGTAGATAAACTTTATTATCCACATTCTTCACATAGGAAATCATACTTAAGAAAAATTAAATAACTCTTAGGCCACAAAATTAATACAGTATTGAAGGCAGGAGGTGAATCTATTTTAAACTTACTCCCAAAAATATATTGCCTGGTAGCTGGATTCAATTTACCATGGGGAAGGGGGCAGAGAGATGTTATCTTCTTTTTAACATTAAGGAATCCCAAATCACTTATTCTCATTATAGTACTATATTTTCCAGGTGTTCAGCCTATGGGACCCTCTATAAGAAAAAAACATCAATTTTAAATTACCCTTTTAATAAATAACCCCCAAATGCTTTGGGGATTATAAGAGTAGGAAACTTGATTCATTTTTGAATCTCCAGCATGGCAAAGTGCCTGCCACTTTGAATGTATGAAATTAAGGTTTGATTCTACAAAATAAGAGAATGATGAACATCTTATACAAACCAACTCTATATAAAATAACTTCATTGGTACATTATGTTAGGTTCCATTTTCTCAGCAAAGAAAACTCAAGCTATATTTTACATTATATTTTCTCCCAGATGCCTATAAGTTAGCACTTAATTTTAGACTGGATAAAAGAAATGAATAGTGAAGGATCCCATATCCCCATTTTCTGTCTCAACAAAACAAAGCTTGAGGCGAGATAACTTACTGTCCCTCAACATGGTATCTTGTTAGTAATTGAACATGTCAGTCATGATATTGGAAATAGTGGTATAACTTGGCATGCCATCTTAGTCCTCCAAAATGTTGGAAATACTTAGGGTTGGATAAATAGCAATGAAGTCATACTGCTCTTGCTAACCCCCAGGCCCTGAATTTTGAAAGCATGTCTTTTGTTTTTGTTTTCACACAAGGATCCCTGTTGCTGGTAATTACAGCTTTAGTGACTCACATATATTTATATAGCACCTCTTTTCCAAGGTGCCCCATGTACTTTGGAAACATTTCCTAACAAAAGTGTGCTGTAGAAAAAAAGTATTCTCATCTCCTTAAAGCTGTTCCTGAAAAGGAAAGTAACAGTTGCAGAGATGGGAAGAAATTTTTTTTCAGGTCCCCAAGCACAACGTGAAAATAAATATTCAAAGTTAACAAATGCAGGGCTAAAGCAAGATTCAAACTAAGGTCTGAATGACTTAGAACCACACAGATTCTATTATGCCCTTATGTGTATGGACCCACTGGAGAGGTGGTGGAAGATAGCCTTATCTGCTTCTTGCTTCACTGAGGGTCCCAGCACAGCAGGATTAATATGGAAGGGAGAGATGAGCTCCATAAAATAAGATTTTGGCTTTTACAGCATTCATTTGACAGATGCTTAAAGAGCTCCCACTAGATGCCAGGCAGTATGTGGGACACCGGAAGTACAGCAGTGACTAGGACAAGTGACCTTTCCATTCACATGGAGCCTCCATGTGCATGGACATTGCAATCTATCAGCTAAGAACCCTGGTGATGGGTTCAATGTGAATTAGTGGGAAAATACTAGGATCTGCAGGCATCCCAGGTCTGCTCCCTCCTCTCTCTCTGACCTCACTGTGTAGCTCTCTTCCGTCCTCATTATTTTCCAACCACCACGGCTTCCTTTCTTTCTCAGATTCATCAAGCTCATCCTCTTCCTGGGGCTTTTGCATTTGCTCCTGTCTACTGGAAATGAGTTTCCAGCAGATCCCCACAAGATGCCCCCCTTTCCACAGTCAGGTCACCTTCTCAGGAAGCCCTTTCCTGAATAATTCGTCTGAGACATGCCTTCACTGTACCCACCCAGCCACTACCTTTCCCAGTATCGTGTTTTCCTTTCTTCAGAGCACATGCTATCTAAAACTGCCTTGCTGCTGCTTTTTTTTTTTTGAGACAGAGTCTCGCTCTGTCGCCCAGTGCCACGATCTCGGTTCACTGCAAGCTCTGCCTCCCGGGTTCATGCCATTCTCCTGCCTCAGCCTCCCAAGTAGCTGGGACTACAGGTGCCCGCCACCACGCCTGGCTAATTTTTTGTATTTTTAGTAGAGAAGGGGTTTTGCCGTGTTAGCCAGGATGGTCTCGATCTCCTGACCTCGTGATCTGCCCCCCTCGGCCTCCCAAAGTGCTGGCATTACAGGGGTGAGCCACAGCGTGCTTCTTTATCTATCACCTCAGTGCTTGCCTTCCTCCTCCACACTGTGGCATCTATGTAAGCAAGACCTTCCCTGTCTTGGTCTCCTCAGTATCCCTAGCTCTTACTGTGCCTTCAAATAAAAGCTTTTTGGATTTGAATGAATCTAACAAACAAGTGCATTAATGAGTCATGTTGGGTCACCAGCAAAGGATAGGCTCTGATTGAAAAGCAGGCGTTAGCCCTCAGGACCACAACCCAGACCCAGGAAAACATACAGCCCCGAAAAGAATATCTTAAGAATTTGAGAGTTGCTTTCTAGTCAGTCCAGTGAAAGATGTTCCTCTTCCCAACCCTCACCTTCCACCTCCACCTGAAGTAACTGTCTTCCAACCCAACATGGAATACATTGGAAAGATTTGGGAAGAAGAGGAGGAAGCTGCCAGGCTTGGAAGATCAGAGCCAGCCCTGCCAGCCTTGTCCTTTAGGCCAAAAAAGACTGCCTAAGAAACAGAGGACCCCCAAACTCAGGTGATACTAAAGCCACATTTAGGGTCTTATGTGAATTATATGAATTTCCATAGTGTAATCCCTTTCAGTGAGGTGATTTGTTGCCAAGTCCCTGTCGGCCCCATATCTCGCTGTACCTCACCTTCCGTTTGCCAGAGAACACCTCTGGCTCAAATTACAAGTGGATGTCCTGGTCTTGCTATGGCTTCAGTGAAGTAACATAAACTGCAAAATAGAATAATCAGGAAAGGAGGGAAATTAGCTAAGGGTATAAAATAAGGCCTAAATGCTGGGAAAACTGGCTAGTCATATGTAGAAAGCTGAAACTGGATCCCTTCCTTACACCTTATACAAAAATTAATTCAAGATAGATTAAAGACTTACATGTTAGACTTAAAACCATAAAAACCCTAGAAGAAAAACTAGGCAATACCATTCAGGACATAGGCATGGGCAAGGACTTCATGACTAAAACACCAAAAGCAATGGCAACAAAAGCCAAAATTGACAAATGGGATCTAATTAAACTAAAGAGCTTCTGCACAGCAAAAGAAACTACCATCAGAGTGAACAGGCAACCTACAGAATGGGAGAAAATTTTTGCAATCTACCCATCTGACAAAGGGCTAATATCCAGAATCTACAAAGAACTTAAACAAATTTACAAGAAAAAAACCCCATCAAAAAGTGGGCAAAGGATATGAACAGACACTTCTCAAAAGAAGACATTCATGTAGCCAACAGACATATGAAAAAATGCTCATCATCACTGGTCATCAGAGAAATGCAAATAAAAACCACAATGAGATACCATCTCACACCAGTTAGAATGGCGATCATTAAAAAGTCAGGAAACAACAGATGTGGAGAGGATGTGGAGAAATAGGAACGTTTTTACACTGTTGGTGGTAGTGTAAACTAGTTCAGCCATTGTGGAAGACAGTGTGGCGATTCCTCAAGGATCTAGAACTAGAAATACCATTTGACCCAGTGATCCCATTACTGGATATATACCCAAAGAATTATAAATCATGTTACTATAAAGACACATGCACACATATGTTTATTGCAGCACTATTCACAATAGCAAAGACTTGGAACCAAGCCAGATGTCCATCATTAGTAGACTGGATTAAGAAAATGTGGCACATATACACCATGGAATACTATGCAGCCATAAAAAAGGATGAATTCATGTCCTTTGCAGGGACATGGATGAAACTGGAAACTATCATTCTGAGCAAACTATCACAAGGACAGAAAATGAAACACCACATGTTCTCACTCATAGGTGGGAATTGAACAATGAGAACACTTGGTCACAGGGTAGGGAACATCACACACCAGGGCCTGTCATAGGATGGGGGGCAGGGGGAGGGATAGCACTGGGAGAAATACCTAATGTAAATGACAGGTTGATGGGTGCAGTGAGCCAGCATGGCACATGTATACTTATGTAACAAGCCTGCACGTTGTGCACATGTACCCTAGAACTTAAAGTATAATAATTTAAACAAAAAAAAAGCCTAAAATATTGGCCTAAATGAAGACTTCAAATGGGGATTTATTCATTCAAAAATATTTCTTGAAAACCTTTTATGAACCAGGATCTCTTCTGGAAAATCAGGCTCTGGTGGATCATCCATTTTGGTGTCAAGAGATACATAATAAATACACAAGATAATTTCAGATGATATCAGAAATTATAATCAAGATCGTGATGTAATAGAGAAGAACAGATGGAGACGGGTGAGGTGGCCCTTGATTAGATGACCTGAGAAGGTCTCTTTGAGGAGGAGACATTTGAATAGACACTTGACCTGATAGGAAGCAGGGAGGCATGGAGAGATGTGGGGGGAGTGCAAAGCAGGGAAACTGGTTCTGGGGAATGAGGGCTTCTGTGAGATCAGGACACACAGAAGGCCAGAGGGATGGGCAAAGCCAGGCCAGGTAGGCCTTGCCAATCAAGATTAGAAGCTTGGCTTTTATTCTAAGCTCAGTGGAATGTCAGTGGGGTGTAGGGCAGCAGTAAGCAGAAAATTAGCTGAACCTATTTATTTATTTGTTTTTAAATTATTCCACTGGCTAAGAGAAGAATGAATTGTAGGGGGAAAGAGTACATACAGGGGACAAATTAGAAGGTTGTTACAGTAGCACAGTCAAGCTATAATAGTGGTGGCTGATTTGTATGAGGGAATACTTCATATTCTATTTGTCTTATTTTCCATATGCCTTTTAAACCATTTCCTTTAAGCAATAAAGTGTAGAGAGAAGAGTGGCCCAGGAGTTAGAAAGCCTAGGTCAATTTTCATGTCACCTCTTAATAATTGTGTTGTCTTGCCCAAGTCATTTAACCTCCCCAGGTCAATTTTATTATCTTTAAAGCAAGAATATATTTTCTTTTAAGATGAGTCAATCCCATGAGATAATGAACCTGTTACAATGGAAATTGCTACACCATATGGAAGTTATATCTAAATGTGTCCCTTACAACCATCCTAATGAAGTAATCTATTGTAATATAATGAAGTATAACATTTTTTAAAGGAAAGAATATTTTATAAAGAAAGGGCTTATCTCAAGTTCTTCTTGGATTATTTAAATGTCACTCAAATTTTCCCTGGAACCTCCCCCCAAACCACAAGAATCACTCCTCATTTTAAATCCTATGTTTACAACTTCAACTACTCAATTTACAATAACCTCATATTGTGTATAATGTTATATATCACTAGTGAAAATCACATGCTTATATCTTATCTACTCAACACACTAAACATTTCTTAAGGGCAGAGTTCATATCTTTTAAACCTGTCTCTCCTACTTTACCCAGAAGAATATTTTGCAGCTGATAGAAGCACTACACATTTTAATTTATTGATTGATTCCATCCAGAGTTGGACCATTTTTTTATTAAAGAAGGTGAGGAATTTGGCACATGCTGGAGATCAGTCTCAAAGTGAACAATTTTTCACTGTGTACTATTGAACTCAGTTCCAAAAACAATAGCAAGAAATACATAAAATGTTAGCATTAGGTATTGGTGATTTTTATTGTCTTCGTTTTTCAAAATACCTTCCCAATTTCCTGCAATTTACACATTATTTCTTTTGAAAACAAATATTGAAGAAAAGAGAAGATATGTCTTGTTTCAAACAGGTCAATCCTTTTTTTTAACAGAATAGAATTTACAGAACATACCAACAGAACCAAGAGAATGTCAGTACTTGAGTTCTCTAAAGCAGGGGTTTCCAGCCCCCCAGCCAGGGGCCAGTACCAGTCCATGGCTTGTTAGGAACCTGGCAGCACAGTAGGAGGTGAGTGGCAGGTGAGAGAGCATTACCCCCTGAGCTCCACCTCTTGTCAGATTAGCAGTGGCATTAATTTCTCATAGGAGTACAAACCCTATTGCAAACTGCACATGGGAGGGATCTAGGTTGCATGCTCCTTATGAGAATCTAATGCCTAATGATCTGTCACTGTCTCCCATAACCCCCAAATGGGACTGTTTATTTGCAGGAAAAAAAGCTTGAGGTTCCCATTGATTCTACATTATGGTGAGCATGTAACAATAATAGAAATAAGGTGTACAATAAATGTAATGTGCTTGAATCATCCTGAAACCATACTCTTCCCCTTACAATCTGTGAAAAAATTGTCTTCCACGAAACTGGTCCCTGGTGCCAAAATGGCTGGGGACCACTGCTCTAAAGCACTTGAAATGCTATTACACTAAATCTTTGTAAGAAAGCTACCCACTTTATAGATGAACTAAAGTCTCTATGAATTTGAATGAGTTGCTAAGAGTTGCATTTCTTCATTCAGCTGAGATTTGGAGAAGGCATTATGTGTTTCCTGGTAATTTAGAGAGAAGGTGACATGAAATCCCAGCCACAGTCTCCTAACATCCATGGGATTCTAAAAAGCCCATGGAATAATTCCCTTTAAATAGCAGCAGGTATTGGTGGCATCTGCATTTCTTGCTGTTTCACCATCTCCTCATCCTTTCTACTTCTCCAGATTGTTTGTCTTTTTGTGGTCTCCTCACTCTCTGGCTACATTTTTCCTGAGCAAGTACCCCACTCCCTCTTCTTGTTAGTCTATTACTTTCATGTCTGGCAGCCATAAGGGGTTCACTCACCATTATCTGCTTAGGATGTTGGAATTCAATATCCCATCAGTCCTGGGGGCTGGAGTATGTATGCGTATTATTATTTGATAGGTCCCAGCAGAACAGTCTTTCAGAGCAAGATGCACATCATCAGTGGTTTTGCTGATGGATGAGCTCACCTCCTTGACACAGATCTCATGATTCTTGGCATAAATCTCAACAGGAATTAGCTGCTTCTTCCACTGTGTTCCCATAGCATGTTGTCCCTGTGTTTCAGTACTGGTTTTAGTCTATTTCATATGCCACTTCTCTCCCTTTCATGACTGTTAGATGCTGGAGACTGAGCTATTTTTCAGTTTCCTCTGGATTCCTCCCTATGCCCATCATGTGCCATCTGCATTGTAGGCTTTCAGCAAAGCTGTGCCTGCCAGATCCTCTTATTTCTGGGTGCCAAAATACTCAGCATTACACTTCTACCTCACAAAGATCTACCTGGCTTAAAATCATCACCCACCTGTGTGTGCCTTTGGAGCCTTCATTTCACCCCTGTCCTCACCCCTGACACCTGTAAGACACTGAGTCTTACTGAGCCCACTTTCTCCATAGTCATACTCTATGCACACAGCCATCTTCCCCATTCCTCTCTCCCTCTCCCTTTCCCTTGCCCTGTTCTCAGCGTTATCATCCCCATCTCTCAAGAGTCCACTCAGACTTTCTAAGGTGATCATTTGTTCATCTGAGCACAGTAGGTCATGCTTCCTGCTACTCCTGGGAATATAAGGTAAGAGACGTCATATAATCAGGTAAATAGTGAGGATTTCCAGTCTCTACATAAGGTATTTTCAACAGTAGTGTTGACTCACCTCAAATCACACCACTTAGACAGCTATAAAGCCAGGCTTACCTGGAATTTTCTTTTTCTGACTCATGAAACTCTTGTCTCTGTCATATGTGTATTTTTACTTCTGAATTAATATAGCCATCCTGAATCCTAAATCCACGCGTGATTTCTGAGACCACTACTCTCACTGCTAATCTAGTTATGTAGGAATCCCTCCTAAATAAAAATTTTAAAAGATAAAACATACAACCAAAACACAAAGAGCCATATTGAGAACCATGCAAAGCACTTTAAAAGTGGTAAAAGATACTAGCTAGATAAATTCAAATCTCTAGATTACAAAAATGGAAATTCATAAATTAAAAAAATACCTCTAGATACCTTTATATTTGTTTCTTTATTCCATCTTGTGTGTTTATAGAAGAAACAATATTCAGGTACTTTTCATTTTACTGGGATGAGAAATGGAAATGCTAACTACAGTGCAGCTTCATGACTCAAAAGTCTGTAACTGGTATTAATGAACTTTTAAAATGCTAATTTTAATGCTTACTCCAACAGAAAGATGCCTTAAAGCAAAACTTCACATTTCTTATCTGCTAAAAGCAATGTGTTTTGCATCCCTTACAAAATAAAATGGTTGAAATAAGGTTTTTAAAGGGCTTAAAGTTTCAAGGACTTCTCTTGTTCTTCTAGAGAAAAGAAATTTATAAAATCACATCCATTAATGGTCCCTCTGCTAGAAAACGAAAATACTCCCAAATATGTTCCACTCTAGGAAAATCAAAAATAACATGTAAACTACAAATATGTTAGCCAATTCAGAATATTTATTAACTAAATAATTTAATAATAAAGAAAATGCCGACTTGATTAATTGTTACAGAGTAAAAATTACAATAAAACTGTCTTGATCAGTGCTTTGCAGAAGCGCCATTACTGTCTGTGCAGTTGTTTAACAAGGATTTAATTGGAAAGATAAGTGAATGCACATTTAAAAGTATTGTTAATTTGCTTTATAATCACCCCATCCTTCACAGTATTGACAGCACAAGGCACAAACCCCTTTCTGTTTTACAAGTATTATTTTCCATATGTGCACAATAAATTCTGAAGCAGTAATTGGAAATTTTATGGGATCCAGTATACCTAGTATAGTGGGTTTGGAGGTGCACTCTTCCTTTACAAGAGGTAACCCAGTTCTAGTTGTTGGAAACGAGTGACAAATCTTTGATGTATATATTTCCCCTATCCATGTTTGTTCAGGTTCATATTTGGTCCATTTCTAGAAAAGGTTGCCTCTCTTATATTTTATGTCTAATAAAATCAAGATTGAGAGGAGAAAAAAATATGAATTATTTTTAGTCTGTGACTATTTGTATTACTTTCTTGAAAATGTGCATTATCAGTGGAGGTTCTAACCAAGGATGGTTTCTAGACTGTAGCCAAACGAAATCACCTGTATCTGAAAATAGTGGTACCTGAACCTATTAAAGGAGACAAGAGAAGGGGCAAAGAACATCTATGATTGATCTCTACCTCTGCAGCCACACTGACACTCACTCACACACATCCCTTAGAGTTTGGAATCATCTCGTCAAAAATCTAATCAGTGTGGTTTGCAAAACAACATGAGTGTAATGCCTCAGATTTCTAAGAGGTGGCAACCTTGACTACCCAAGTTTCCAATATACAAAGCCCAAAGACCTTCCTTATTGTAGAAAGAGCCTAAAGCTACTTTGGAAGCAGGTCATTTGCTCATTTCAAATGGGTAGAGAATGTTAGAGTGCCTTGTTTATTGGCTGATTCTCAAGGAGCCACAGTCTTTAGGATTTATTTCAAAAGATAAAAGAGCCTAAAACTTAAAGTATAATAATAATAAAATTAAAAAATAATAATAAAAAAGATGAAAATATGAGCGTCTTCTTGAAAATGGGGAACTGTTCATTAAACCTATTTTGAAGGCAACAGTTGTTCGAATCCTCTCTATTGATAAAGGCTGCCCACTTGGTTATGACGAGCAGGGAGTGTCCCCAAAGTGTCTCATGCCAGTGGCAGTAAAAGCATGAAAAAATATAGGGAACATGCTAAATAGCCTCTTGGCCATGCCCCCATTAGCTAGAATTGGTAGAAATATCTTTAGGTTTGGTTAACTATAGATTTATTTTTTTCCTGTAGACAGCAAACACTTCAACTATAAAAGCTTAGAAATGTCTTCTGAGGAAAATTTTCGTTAGAATCCTTTGCAGTGTAAACCTCTTTGCCCTCTGGATAAAATGTGTTACCTTACGTATTGTCATGGGAACAATTATTTTTATCTTTAGTTTGGCTATGCCTCTAAATCTCTAAACTTCTCACATTTACATTAGTTTTTTATGCTTACAGAGTAAAATAGATACACATATTGAGTTTCACATGTCTAGAGATTTTCCAATACATGCTAATATCCGATCACTAATACCAACTCGCAAATCACATAAATCTATTTCTTCATTCTGACATGTATATATATTTCTCTAGTGAAAATTCTTACCTTGCTGAGTTTCACTCTCCCTATATGTGTAAGTACTTGTGTGTTGTAAAAACTGTGCGCAGACACACATATGTGTACACTTTAAAGATTACTTTTACTACTTTTTCAAATTTCTCCATTGGAGGCATGGATTTTAAAACTGTTTATCTCTGGTGAAAATGTCTTTGGGACCAAGACCTTTATATGCCCCATTTCAACTAGACAGAGCTGAGACTGGTGCAATAATGAAACGTCCAGCTGTCCTTTAATTAACTAAAATGAGGAAAATGTAATGTTTTGATGAGAGAACCAGGATTCTGTGAGGGATAAGGGGAAGACTATATGTTTCTGCGCCTTCCTGCATATGACACAGCCATGGGGTGCAGGAAAGAGAGGAGGCATTTTTATGCCCCAGTAGGGGGAGCTTTCTTTTCCCTACTGTAAGGACAGCATGGTGCATGTGTTTAAATACACCATCCTAAAATGCAGACTTTTCATTTTCATTTTGCAAGTGGGAAATTTCACTATGTGATGGGCACATTACTCTTCTTAGCGACACATTTTGTGCAAACTCATTTGGGAAAGAATAGGAAATTTAAAATACTGCCTTCATATTTCTTCTGGAAATGTTAGCCTGAATCCATTATTTCCAAACCTGATGAGGATTACAGTTCATTTGTATTTCACAGCAACCCATATTGTATTCTGTTTTGTGAAGTAAATAAGAGATGATACCGTTCTAATAGTGCCTGTATTTTGCTTTCCATGTTAATAGTCTTATTCTGGGGGCAAAAGGGAAGGAAAAAGGCAGAGAGTGGAATACTCAATTTAGCCTTCTCTAGATGGAAGGAATGTGTTATTCTGACAAAGAAGTGCCCTGAATTATTTTATAAATAATCTAAACCGGAGGAGGTGGAACACAAACTCACTTAGGTCACTGAGTATATCCATATTCAAATGATATTATAAAAAGCACTGTTCATTAACACCCAAATCTCTATCTCTTATTTAACTACGTTTAAAATACTCATGGACTAACCTGATTTGACAGCAGTGTAGGTGGATGCTTATGTGCCACTGAAGGGAATTCTTTACAAAATAATTTCCCACCAGCATTTCACTGTGCCTGAGATGCCACAATTTGAAAATCAATTCATTGGCTGAGGCAGGAAAGACAAATAATTTCACCTCTTATACTAAATACAGTTGTTTCTTGGTGACTGACCAGATGGTTGTGTTAAGAAGGATACTGAAACATTGTCCTAAATAAGTGGGAAAGAGTTCTGTGATCCATCCATAATGGATCACATTAATAATGTATGGCACAGATATTATTTAAAAAGAAAAAACCAAGTGCCTGAATATGCACACCATGCACTTTATGTTTCCGGTTTAAGATATTGGATTAAGAAAAAATTGACTGTTATACAAATAACATCTGAGTCTTACACTCTATCGACGTAATCATGAACACAAATCTTTTAATCTGGTAGGACATCATATAACCTAGCATACCTTTAATGGAATACAGCAAAGAACAGGAAATATCAGAAGAATCAGAAGAAGGGAGGATTATATGATAAAGAAAAAAGAACTCTGGGAGTTGAGTTAGATTAAAAAGTCACATTTTACTTAACAATTTTACCACCTCTTTTTCACCCACTGACTAAATTTCTTTCTGATATAAAGTATGACTAAACTATTTTGGTTGACTCTAGTTCATAGATTGAGGTTATTTCTATTGGAATGAAAGGAAGTCCAAAGTAATCCTCCATTGAAGAAATGTCCCAGCCCAATTAATGATTTTAGCTGATGACCATATAGACTATCTTTCTGTCTACAAAGCTGTCATCAAACTATAGCTAAAACTAATCCTCCTAATTGCAAATCACTTGAAAATAAAAGCAAATCACTTGAAAGAGAGAACATCTACAATGGAATGTATAAGTAAAGTCTTCCCACTTTACCTTCACTTACTTTGGGCTCAGGTTGGTGAGATTTATTTTCATTAAGACAAATTCTTAGGCCCTGAAAAAATAGATGAAACCTACCATCTGCACCACATTTCAATATTTGACTTAAGTCATCTGTTGACTTTGAACACACTCGTGTACCATTCCTCATACGAGCTAAAATGTAATCCCCTTCACTGGGGACTGTAAAGAAATGTTGACTTTCGATTTCTTTACATATTTGATCTTTCAAGATATGAGAATGCTGCAGCTGGAAAACTCAGCACCATTAGGGAAACAAAGCAGAAAATAAAACATACAAGTGAATCAGTTAGGACTCTTCTGATTTTAAGGGACAAAAACCAAAGGATTTTTTTCCTTTATGTAACTGGAAAAATCAGGAAATGATGCAGCTTCAAGCATAACTAAATTCTGAAGCTTAAACAGAATCGTAAGGCCTAACCTCTCTCGGTCTCTCAGCTCTGCTCTCCTCCCCATTAGCTTCATACTCAGGCTTTGCATGGTTGTAAAATGACCACCAGCAGTTCTGGATCAACATGATCCCTGCTTCTAGTCCCTCAGGAAGCTCCTTTCCCAAAGCACCTGACTATTATTAACCAAAATTGTGTCATTAACTCATCCCTGAATCACTCACTGTGGCTAAGGAAATAGAATGGGCTGATTGGCTTAGAACAAGGTAACAAGCCCCCTACATGGAGGTAGAGGGAGATTCCCATCCAGAATTCAGGAACTGCAGTATAAGGAGGGGGATACTCCCCAGAGGAAACCTGGTGCACTATGTTCAGAAATAAGATGCTCTCTACAACGAGTAAGTGAATTTTTACAGTTAAGACAAAAAATGCCAGACTGTACAGATAGAAGAGATGTCAAATGTCACTCAGGCAATTCTCTTACTTGCAAGCAGTCTTTGAACGTGCTTAAAACTCTTTAGATAAATTAATTTTGCAGAGTTTTGGGAACTTTTTAAAAATATTCAGTAATTGCTTTGGGAGCTGATGTACATAAACCTCACAGCAATTGATTGGTTCAGGAAAGGGGTAATCATGTCCAAGTTACGTTGGTTTGCTAGCTCAGGTATAAGTGTGGACCCTCATATGTCCTGAGTATTTCATTTATACATAATCTTTGAAATGTTTTAGGAGCAAAAACCACATGCTTTCAAGGTCTTTTAGGCAACCAACATTGAAAAGAAAAAAAACTATCATTAAAGCTAAGCACATGTTGTCATTCAAGTACCAAGATATTTAATAGAAAATTACAACATGGAGTATGAAAGATGAGAGATTTAACTTTCAACAGGCAAAGGTAAATATTGAGAGGGCCAGAATAATGATGTGGAATTATGTAGATGAAAATCTTGCCAAGACCTGATAGCAAATACAATCCAGCAAAGGGCCAGGGAGAGTAATGTTGAAATCTTTGATGACTCTAGGCCATCTAGAAAGCGCCAATGGCGCTCTATACATTTTTAAAAAAGGTGGGGGGGTAGTTTTTTGGTTGATAATTTTGGTCATTTTTAGTGGTATCCCTGTGCAGAAGAAGATGCTTTTATTCAATAAGAGAAAACTGTTTACTGTTTTTGTTGTATCAGGGACACATGACAAAGCATTCAAATATGCAAATAATTGCAAACTGATGTATCCAGCAGTTTAAAAATTGAATAAATAATTTAGTTTTTACGCATGGGCAACTCTTGCTAAAAAAACTACAAATCAGAACTCTTCTGTTTGAATCTATTTTATTTTGTTAATAGATGAGCTAATATGATAGGCATTTAATTGTATAATATATTATTAGCCATTTTCTTTGGCATACCATTAACTTTAAATAGTATTAATATTTAACATTTCATAATATACACTACAAAGTTCTTATTTTTTCCAGCTGAACAGAAAATGTACATTGATAGTAAATCTCTTTAAAGTGGGTTTTAAGATGCTAAGTATGCAAAACCTGTTCCATTTATACTGTTTGATCAGAAATACTCAAAATGCCACAGCATAATAAGGCAAATGCTGTAAGATGACAATGATGCCAAAACTGTATTATGATTGTGTATTCAAATACAATGTATCGCATAATTAAGCATAATTATATAATTTGAATATTTAAGAGAGCATTTAAAATGTGATAGGAAGCATCTAAGTACATCGACTTCTCAGGATGGTTAAATCAGAGAGTGTAAAGTTGCGATTAGTATTTGTTACTGAATGGAAAACTAATTCAAACACAAGTTTGCAAGGAGAACACTTGTAGCTGGCTCAAAATCATAGGCCCTAACTTTGTCTCATTACATTTGAATCTGTTTAAATTTGAGTACCATGTTTTTCTGTCCTTGCAAAACGTCATTTAGTTAGTTGAGGTGGGGCTCAGAGTTTCTAGGATAGTTGTAGGATGCCTAGGATAAATGATGCTCTTTGTTCCATGGATATCAATTGTGCCCTTCATTCAGACCAGCATTCTCAGATAGGTGTGCCCACGACCGTGAGGGGAGCTCGTCCAAAAAGAATAAAGGGAGCAACTCAAATGCATCCCTGTTTCCAGGAAGACTGCCCAGAGGCTATGCCCCACTTAGTATAAATCAGCCAGATCTTTTTGTCGAGGGAAGAATAGTGCTGATCATGCAACTTCCTAAGTAGAAGATGAAGCTTGATTTCTTATTAATAAATATTTGGGGGGTATAATTTTAAGTGGGCAAGAATTAAGATTCTGAACTTTTCCAGCACTCCCTGCACAGAGCTTTTTTTCTCCATTACCAGCACTGAAACATTTGTTTTATTTTTTTATTTTTATTTTTATTTATTTATTTAAGTTTTAGGGTACATGTGCACATTGTGCAGGTTAAAAGAACTTTTCTTCAGCTCTCAGTGTTCTTTCTTAATAAAACAAATGTTTCTTCAAAACATTTGTTTTATTAAGAAAGAACACTGAGAGCTGAAGAAAAGTTCTTTTTATTTCTAATTCTCCCTAAATTTTCAATGATGTGAACATAAGCCCAACAGACCAGGCTTATGGCATACTCTAAAATTGCAGTAGAAACTCGAACAATTTTTTCTACTTCATTTTATGTAATGGTGACTTAATTAGGGGCTAAAGACAGGTGAAAGAAGTTGTCCCAACAACGAGTATTTAATATGTCAATTTTTTCAGAGATTTGTGCCATTGCAAGTAAATAGGAAATGAAAAGACAAAATTTAACTAAAGATTTCCTGTATCTGTTAGTACCAAAGCCAGATAAATTTCTCCAGAGGTCAACATATTCTCCAGAAGCTGACCACATCCAATTATTTCCAGCCCACGCCCAACACGAATCTTATGCTCCTGCAGACAAATATAATTATTACAGGCAGAGAATGGTATGTTTATTTCCACCTCGATGACTTGCCGGTGACAACAGATTCTGTATTCTGGATCTCTTCTTTTCCCGAAATTCTCTTGCTTAGCCCATTTTTCAAAACTCCACTGAGGTTCCAAGTTCCTGTGATGAATTCAGCTCATTTTCTTACTCATCCTTCTTTTAGATGTATTTTTAAATTTTAATATGCGTTTTATCACAATTATTTTAATACCTTAAAATATTTAATATTTTAATACTTTAAAATATCCTAGTTTTTTGTTTTCTGTATCATTACAAATATATTGGTACATAATTCTAATTAATATATGTAATTTTCCCTTTATACTAATTCATGCACTTGTGCCTTGTCTTCCCAACCAAAACCATCTAGATCCTCATGGATAGGATCATATTTGACTTTTATATTTTTACCCTCAAGCTGTGCAAGAAAGTGCCTATAAATAATGGATGTTTAATAATGATGGTCTTAATGATAACTAATATATACTGAGCACTTCCTATGGGCTAGGTACTGTATGTGCTAAGTTTTGAACAGTAGTATCTTGTGATCATCACAATAATCCCACTTAGCAGGTTCTATTTTCATTCTCATTTTAAGCTAAAGGAACTGAGGTAGAATGTGATCAGTAACTTGACTGCAGGCACAGAATTGGTAACCAGCTTCACACAGGTATGCTTGAACACCGTCCATGTTTTCAGGCATACTCGATGGACTAATTAGCTCCACAAAAAGCCAGAAGATGCAAGTGCCAAGTGACATTTGTCTCAATATGCCATAAAGGTTAGAGAAGCTGCATTTTTTTTATAGTTTCACTTTACAGAGAACTGGGCTCATTGTGGCAAACAAGCAACTTGCTGTGCCAGCTGGTACATGGCTATGTGTCATTGCCCACACTGCAGTCACATCTTGGAGTGCCCTTCCACCCCACAGCCCCATAGCCCCACAGCCCCACACCCACCTACAAATCTCTTATTCATCCTTCAAAATCAAGCTAATATGTTATCACCTCTCTGAAACTGTCCTTAAATTTCCCAGGGAGAGGCAACCTCTCCTTCTCTCCTCTGGTTTTCCTTCATTTTATCCATGCATTTGCCATAGCATTTAGTACTGTATAATCATTTACCTTCTCACTTCGAGAGCTTGAATTCCCTAATAGCAAGTAGGGAGGGCTTGTTACCTTTACCTCTACTGCCTGGCAAAGGGATTAGTACAACAATGTAAATAAATAGGTCTTAAATGAGTTACAGGAAAAAAATGTAGGTTATACTTGGAATTAGCTGTCTCAACTCCGGAAATGGCACATTCTGTCGCTATTCTCCGGCATCTCCCCCAACTTCACATTCCCAGAATCTTTGGAAGAGCAAAAACTCTCATCTTCAAAGACAATTGCTTAAAATTTTCCAAGGATTGGAGCTTCTCTTTCACAATCATTTCATTGGTGGGGAGGGTAAAGGGAGGAAGGAAGAGGTCAGTTTCTTTTCCTGAATGACATTATCTCTAAAGACTCTGGAAAGTGATAAGTGCCATTTAGCACTCTTTTATTTCAAGTGTCTATGATGTGAAGAGTGTTTGCTTCTGCAGGCTGAGCAGCCCCATTGGAGTCTAATATTAGACGTGATATAAGATGTGCACATCTTTCACATTATGAGGCTTTATGTTTCAAACCCCCATACCTTGCCTCTGTGTATTTGACAGCTGCTGTCCTGCAAGGCAATGGCCAGTAAGAGGCATGATTGCACTAAATTGGAAGCATGAGGCAAAAGGGTGTGTTTTTATTAGGGGGGCAGGGAAGAAATTTGAGGGTAGTAGGTTAGAAGAAATCATCCACAGATGCTGATCTCTGTCGGTTAGTGGATGTGATTTCTGAATTGTGGTAATTCCTGTTTCTGTGACAGTTCATCAAAAATCGAGGGCACTACTTTTGAAAATTACCCATGGTTTCATTTCCAAACTAGATGCAGACTCTGTGCTTTTGATTATTAGAATTATTCAACTCACTCTGTGGGGCAATGAGGAGGGGCATTGATAAATCCTACCCCAACTGATACTCTGTAAGAGATTCGTTACAGAAGCATGAGGTGGCAGAGCAAACTCCATCACTTTTTAACAAGTGTTATCTAAACACACAGTGGCAACCGATGAGTGAGCCAAAGTGACAATTTGGAAATTCATTTCTCTCCTTCAGAAAGTCTGTGTGGGTTGGGAACAGTAGAACTAAAAGATGTGGAGACAAACTTTTTTCTACTTTTATTAAGCATTTCTAGATGAATTGTGAAAGGCAACTCAGCAGATGTCTACTGGCATCTCTCTTTCCCCAAAGACTTCTTTTAAAGTCATATAAAACACTTCTCATACCAGCTTGCCAATGGGTGAGGAGGAGACAATACTTCAAAAACTTTTCATGGTTAACACCAGATTGATAGTTCCTTTAGCAAAGCTAAATCTTGAAAGCTGTTTTTCTTTCATTCTACCAAGAACTGGCTCAGGTTGAGTCCCAGCTTTTCTTCAGGGATATGGGAACACTCAGATGGGAACTGTGTAGATGGAAGAAGTGTGGAAAGGGAGAGATGAGTGTACATTGGCTACGTCTAGTGCAGGGAAATCATTTCTCCACTGGTCTCACGTACAGCTGGCCACCCTCCTGATCTTGCTAAAGGGGCATATAAGTGCCATTGTTAAGAGATGGGGCTTAAAATGTAAGAGGAGTTTCAAGAGAAGTGAGCTGCAGATCCACATAGGAACATGTCAGGAATTATTTAAGTGGCCGGTAATATGAGTATCATGCTACCAACACTGAACAGTTTATCACATAAATATAATTGTCTTCTTTGAGAAGAATAATAAAAGCTGACTCCATATGTTACATATTATTTAAAATTGTTCCTGCAAGATGTATTAGTCCCAGAGAAGAAGCAATTCTTCTACCAGAGGACAACAGCAGTTTTATTGTATAACATTGTCATTTGTTTAATTTGTTTGTTCCCAGTAGTAGTTTTACAGATTTTTACGAACTGTTACTTTTATAGAAAGTTGAGTTACTCATGATGGATATTGCTGGCATTCGTAAAGACAAAAATGGGGGGGGTGGAAGAGGTCAGAAAGGTAGATGGTGTGGATTTCCCTAATGAAATTTGCTTAAGCCAATGCTTCTGAATTCTTAGAGAAACCAAAAATTACTGTAGGGAGTTAGGTTCTGTTTGGGACATTTCTAAGATTTTTGTGTGAGTTTATTTAAACATGATCAAGTTAAACTCAGTCTGGAAGACCTCTTGTGAACTGACAAACAACTACTTTTATTCAGAAATAATTGTGAGTAAATGGGAGTTCTCCGAGGTTTTATGTTTTTGTATTTGAACCAATTACCAAAGAATACTAATTTTATAGTTCAATGTCTACTACCAATTTTTAGGCATTTTATTGGTTAAGAAAACCAGTTTCCTCTGTCATTTCTCACAATTTCAACTAAACTTTACTTTTTAGCTAAATTAAGTGAAACTTTTCTAGGTAAATTTGGAAATTTTGGAATTTTAAAATGGAAACATTTTAGTTTGCATTCTCCTTTGACTGATAGATTTAATATATACCGAATGAGAAAATGCCACCCAAGAGTAACCATTCATGTTTTTTGAACTGTTAAAATGCATTCTATTGCAGTTTCACAACACTGAAAGCAAGTGTCTAAAATTACCGAAATAAAGCTGTCCCAACAGGGTAGATGAAAAACTGGCCAGATAATCAGCAGTAAAGACCAATCTTCTTTGATATCAAGGTATCTAGACATTCACAATTTGTTCATTTGTAGCATTCTGGCAGACTTAAAACTCTAGACGAGAATAGCCATGCTATTGCAATATAATCTGGATAATTAGAGCATTTAGAAATCCGACAATAGGCCATGTGCGGTGGCTCATGCCTGTAATATCAGCACTTTGGGAGGCCAAGGTGGGTGGATCACTTGAGGTTAGGAGTTCGAGACCAGCCTGGCCAACATGGTGAAACCCTATCTCTACTAAAAATACAAAAATTAGCTGGGCGTGGTGGCAGGCACCTGTAATCCCAGCTACTAGGGAGGCTGAGACAAGAATTGCTTGAACCCCCAGGAGGCGGAGGTTGCAGTGATCCAAGATCATGCCACTGCACTCAAGTCTGGGCAACAGAACAAGACTCTGTCAAAAAACAACAACAACAACAACAACAATATAGAAATATAATACATATCTACAAAAGCCAATTGAAGTCAAACTGGAATTCTGCAAAGCAATCTTTATGAATGTGAGTAAGTTAGGTCATATTAGGTTGGTGCAAAAATAATTGCAGTTTGGCCATTATGTTTGCACCAACATAATACATCTTTTATTCTCAGTGCAAGATTTTTGATCTACATTTCTGAATAGCTTGGAAAATAAAGTATGGTCACATCAGAACCAGTGGCAGGTAAAATTTCTAATTATAAATTGGCTCAAATGATTTATATTTGACTTTGGAATGTCTTGCTAATATCTTCGTACATGTATTTTACTTTTTGCTGTTAAAACATTTTCTAAACATACTGATAAAGACTAGAGAGATGGATCAGAAACATACTGGGTGTTAAAAAATCATCCCGAGGTTTAAAATGTTCTTTCTAAATTTAGATAAACGCAAGATAAATCCCACAGGAAGTTCACAATTCCATAGATGTCTAAAACTAAAAGAATGCAGAGATTTTCTCAGCTCCATGCCGTTTCTTGTAATTGTATGTTGACTGAGTAGAGAGTTATAAAAACACCCCAGCCTGATTTTATGCAACTATATTGCTGTTTGTCAAAAGAATACTTAAAAACTTGTCAAAAGAATATTTACAAACTATATTTAAGAATATTTAAATAACTGCTATAAAATTTAAATAATACAAAAATATACAAAGAAAAATTACATCATCTAGTCATTTCATAAATAAACACATACATAAATATACACATAAATAAATATCTTAATATTTAGTGAACAACACCATTCTAGATGGCCCTATGTGTTGGTGTAGAGAGATTGATAGAGATGAATAGTCAGATAAAAATATGATTCTGCCACAGTGGTTATTCCTTAGCAAAAATGTTTTATGTTTAGTTCTACTTGAATTTTAAGAAGAAAAAGAAATTAAATGAACTTGAAAAATGACTGAACTTCAAATAAATGTTTATTTGACCCAAGAAATATTAGCTTCTGAAAGAAGTGTTTTTAATAAAAAGTGTTTTTATTTTAGACCAAATCTTTCTCATTGATGAGGAAATTAGTACAATTATTCTTCCTTCCAGATAGTCTTCCAAGTTATTTAGGATTTTATTATTGAAAATGTTATATTATTTACATTTATAAGTATATCCCCAATATTGTTTGGTCTTATTCTATGCTGCACAGGAAATATGTTCACCCCTTTGTTATTTTACCAAGTTTTCTCTGTAAGGGAAAGTGCCTTGCTGTAATTTTGTGTTTATTAGATTTAAGCATTCAGTTACTTTTCCAGAAAGAATCATGGTTAGGCTACTCTCTAGTTTCTGAATGTTTCACAGTGTCTGCAAATGGTCTTATACTGGAAGAGCATGTCACGGTATAAAATAATATATCTATATTTAAATTTCTCTAAATTTTGCACACTTTTTCATGTAGCACTCAGTGTTGCTGTGAAGTTCTCTGAGGTCATTCCTCCCACCACCACCCCCTTGGTTAGTATGATTTACCTGTGCTGCCTGGAACACCATATGGCTATATTTTTAATTCCTAAATTTTAATAGCTACACTAGGATTTGTTAGATTAATTGTTCTATGTCAAATTTTCCTGGGACTAAGTGTGTCACTTTAGTAAGGAAATTTAAGTCCTTCTGTATTTTCAAAACTTTTCTTCTATTACATCTTTAATTTTTTTTTCTGTGGCATTTGCTCTATTCTCTTCTTCAAGAGAACTAGTCCTATTTTTCTTGTGTACTGTAATCACTTTTATCAATATACTAAAACTATTCATAGACATATTTTATGTCTTTAATCTTTTTCTTTTCATTTTATATAATTTCTTCTAGTTTGTATACCATTCTGTGTTTTCAGTCATGCATATTTTATTTTGCTTCTACTTTGACATTTATAGGGATTTGTTAATTCCACTAATTTCCTGAGCTCTACCCACTGCTTTTCATCTTTTTGAATACTTATAGTTCTTTTTAAATACTCTTTCCATTGCATAATATGTAAATATTTTTTTTTTAACTATAGGTTAACTATTTGTCTGAATTCCACTGGTTTCTTGAATAATTCATCTTCTGATGTATAGCCCTTCTTCCTTTTTACTTGGGTCTAATTGATGATTTCATGCTGTTTCTGTAATTAGCTACTTTTTCTTGAAAAAGGCCATTTACTCAATTACTCTAATTCTTGATTAGGGCAATTTTACTCAATCTCAATCTCTCAATCTCTCAATCTCTCTCTCTCTCTTTCTCTCCTCCTCCATCCCTCTCCCTTTCCTCCCTCCAACACAGCTCTGTGTGTCAGAATCTAGAAATTTCTGTTTCCTCTTCCTCCTTCATGCAACTTCCTCTTTGGCACTGTTCCTATGTGATGATCCTGAGGAATGGACAATAAAATGATTTTGCCTTCAGTACCACCTCCCTTGACTTTCTGCAGCATGAAATTTCTAGGTCATTTCCTTACTCATAGGATACAGCCATTCCCATGTCCTGATACTCTAATCAGATTGTCAGATATTACTCTTGAAACTGTAACCCTTTAAAGGAAACCTCTTTCATCTGCCATTTTTGAAGTTTGTGTTGACTCTCAGATTCTTCCCTCATCTTGGTGCAGACTTCGATTTCTATTTTTACAGTATTTCACAGTACATATGACTGTGTATGGTTTGATGCTATGGCTATTTTTGTTTTACTAAAGATTGAAGGGTTGTATTGTTAGTGTGGTGGCTCTCTACTTTTCAGGGTTTGTTGTTTTGGGAATGTTTTGAAAGAAATTAGTTCTGATGCTTTTCACTAGAAATAATCTATGACCTGAGCTCTTGTGGACTCCTAAAGTTTGTGCCACTGTGTTTCGGTCTTACTTCAAACATTACTTTTAAAAAAAAGCCTCTTTCTATTGAATTATTTCAAACAAATCAAATATATTATGTTTCCTGAATACCCCTTGCTTTAGTTGGCTTTTCCCTTCCCATAATGAAGGATGAGGACCTTCCTTTCCTTTGTCTTCTGTCTTTCACAGTCGTTTCTGGAATACCAGCCCTTCTATCAGAACTGGATGGAGACCTGTGGACACCCCTAGTAAGCTGCAGATTTTTCACAGTGGTCATTTGACCTCCAGAGCAAGCCAATAATTTGTCACTTCATTAAACTGGTATTTATATTTATTAAGTTTTTTGAGATACAATCCCTAGTATTGAGTGATAGAAGAGCAGAAAAGAAGTCTACTGTTGTTAGCACCTCAACTAACTGAACCCATTAAATCAAAAGCCTTTCTCTTAACTGGACTCACCTTCCTTAGAAGACGATTTAACAATGTTTTCTTTCTGCTCAAGGATAATCATTTAGAATTTTAGCCCTCTTCCTTCTTTCCAAACAGCTTATCAAAGAAGGCTATGTAATTGTCCCCCTAACAGAAGTTCTAATAATATAAATTCCTCCCACTCATTAGATTTCAGTTATGTTTTACAATCCCTTTTGGACAGGAGCTCTGGGAAGCCAATGGCACCTGCTGTCTACCCCTCCATCTAACTTTCTTCCCTTTACTACATTCTGGAGAAGCCATCTCAGTTGCTCTAAGTACTTATGTATTTGCCTTTTCCTAATATTGGAGAAAATTTAAGCTTTCTATTTTTTTAATGGCATACTCCACTGCATCCCAATTTGCTTTTGTGAGTAGAAGAGACAGGTGTAAATTTTTCTTTTAATTTTTACTTTAAGTTCCAGGAGACATGTGCAGAACGTGAGGTTTGCTGCATAGGTATACATGTGCCATGGTGGTTTGCTGCATTTAATGACCTGTCCTCTAAGTTCCCTCCCCTTGCTCCCCACCCCTAACAAGCCCTGGTGGGTGTCGTTCCCTTCCCTGTGTCCATGTGTTCTCATTTCAACTCCCACTTACGAGTAAGAACATGCAGTGTTTGGTTTTCTCTTCCTGTGTTAGTTTGCTGAGGATGATGGCTTCCGGCTTCATCCATGTCCCTGCAAAGAACGTGATCTCATTCCTTTTTGCGGCTGCATAGTATCCCATGGAAATTTTTAGCTAGTTAAATTGACTTGTATACACTCTGGGCATGCCCACCAGGAATTCTCCCACAAATAAACATCCCCTGTACTGTGTTAAGCAATAAATGATTCTGGAACCTGTTCTTTTCTGCCCAGTTTAAACCCTCTGCTTTTTGGATTGGGCAAGTTTTCTATACTCTTTAATAAATTTGTTTTCATATTTGTTGTCAACCAGCTGACAGTTTCTCTGCCCTTTTTATAACCTACTTCCTGATTCAAGACATTGGGTCAAGACTTTTAAAAGGCCTTGACTTCCCTTTTGCTGATTCCTCTTCATTATTTCACCTATTAAACTAGGCATGAAAAAAACTCACCATTGGGCCCTCTTGCCTACCCACTACTCCCTCAGAAAACTTGCAGAGTTCAAGCATCACTTGCAATCAAATTATTCTCATACCTGCATTTCTAACCCTTAGTTTCCTCCTTTCAACATATCATTAGAAGTGTGATTTTCATTGCCTAAATATATACTTCCACTTAAGTAGTCACTGGTCACTGGAATGATAGAGAAATTTTATCTTTGCTCCAAGAGATCTACTTCTTCTCCATGTACTCTACTGCTTATAGAAATTGACTGCATTTCCTTTCCAAAGGTGACAAGTTTAAGTCATTTCTAATACCTGCTTTTTGTCTGTCTCAACCACAACTTTAATAGCATTTCTTGAACACAGGCATCACACTGTGGACTTTATTTATGTTATCTCATTTAGTAATCACAGAATACAAAGAAGTAGACATTATTATCTCAGTTGTTCTGGTAAGGAAACTGAGGCTTAGTGAGGTTAACTTACTCAAAGGCCCCATCTAGTTTGTGACAGAGCCAACATTCAAGTCTAGGGTTGATGGACTCTAAAGTCAATGTGCTCTTAGCCACTTTGCATATCATTGCCTTAAACCCATCCCTCTTTAGGTCTAGGGTAGGCTTCTTGAGTCTGCAGCTACTCTCTTTTCAACAAACATCAATCAAATGGCTATGATATCCCAGACCCAAGGTAACAATATAAAGATGGGTAGGATGAGGTTCCTGTTCAAAAGACTTTTGGAGCTAGGGAAAAACAGAAGCACTAAAGCTTGGAAGTAATTTTATCCATTAAACATAAAGTGAAACTGTTAAAAAATTAAAATTAAACTCATATAAATAGGTGAAATGTATTTTTTCAGGTATTTATTACTTTATGTGTGTAACTTAACAACTCAGCAAGACCGATTTTGGCAGAAAGGTGTGGCTTATATGATTCTAGAATATAGAATACAGTATGAAACAGGATACTTGACTTGCACAGAAAAATATCAGTGAAGATAGTAAGGATTAAAACTCATTTTGTATTTGCTCCATGAAGCAGTCACTGCTTTCTAGTGCCCTTGATTCACCTGAATGTCCATACCCCAGCTGTTTAGCTCATTTCCATGTGCATGCCCCATTTCTCCTTCTTGAGAGAAAACACCATCTTTTAAATATTTTCTTAATTTTTCACAATCTGTTTTCCAGAGTGGATGGCAATGCTAACAGGCAAAATTTCTGTTTCTCTTTAATTTCCAATTAAAAAGTAGCTCAGAAACACTTAGCATACACTTTTGCTCTGTTTTCTTCATAGTATTACAGCACAAAGCTACCTTGTTTAGTTGTCCTGTCTGTCTCTCTCCATGAGCAGAAGGATCTTGCAGTCTCACTCACCACTATATCCTCAAAGACTGACGCCATGATAGGAGTTTAATAACTGCTGTGTGAGTATAGGGATAAATGAAAAGATTTGGGACAACAGCCACTTTAGCCCTCACTCCTGTCCTCCAGGTCACTCCTCTCTTGACCACTGCATAAAGGACATCAGGCCTCAGCTGCCTGGCCCCTTCTTTTCCTCACCCCCAACCATCCATTCCTCCTGGGTATCTTTATGGAATCTAAGTGCTGATTAGAAATCCTTCCAGAATCGCCTTCTATAATGTTTCTGTTTTATTATCTTTATTTTTCTAGTAGACTACAAGATACTTGAAGGCAGGGTGTGTCTTTTATTTTGTCACTAACAGCATCTAGTATATTACTTGGGCCTTCACTAGATGTTGTTCCAGTGGATATTTGTTATTGAATGTTTTTTATTAATTGGCAAAAAATTAAGTTTGGATGTGTGCCATGTATAGCTGCACATTTTTTATCAAGTGGTGAGTATTCTTGTTGCCGCTGCTTCAAAGACTTAGTAATTAATACATGTATCTTTGCTCTCTCTCTCTCTCTTGATTCAGTACCTATTGCAGATGATAGCCTCATTTGAGAAACACAGATTTTCTTTTTATCATTTATTTCCTACCCAGGAGTTATTTCTTCATAAAAAATTAGTCATCCAATCCAGGTCCTAGTGAGAACTACATGAGTTTGGGATATCATGTGCATATAGGAGCTAAAAATATATATATTGTAAATTTCCAAAAGTATACATTTGGTGCTTAACTCACTATTCACAGTTACTTTATTATTTTTCCTACTAATCCTTTCCAACTAACTTCTATCCAGAGGATCCACTTCCCCAATCGATGTGATTTTGCTTTCTATTTTTCAGTAAAATTTTCAAAACATATGCATTAAATATAATATTAGATTGTGACAGTCAGACCATTCATTTCATTTCTAGGCACAAAACAACATTTGCTTAAAAATGTGGATCCTGGAATCACAGTGGTTTGGGGTAAATTCATGCCATGCTGTGCAAAAGTGGCACAGCCTTGAATTGGTTAAAATACTTCAGGGCTCTGCTTCCTCAACTATAAAATAAGACTAATAATACTTCCTAATTTATAAAGTTTTAATATGAAACCCAAGTGAAATAGATGACTATTATTATTGTTATTATTATGCAAGTGTTTCTGGGATAAGTTGGTTTTTTTTGTTTGTTCTTTTTTTTTTTTCTTTTTTTTTTTAGAGAAAGTCTTGCTCTTGTCCCCCAGGCTGGAGTGCAATGGCACGATCTCGGCTCACGCAACCTCCGCCTCTCAGGTTCAAGCGATTCTCCTGCCTCAGCCTCCTGAGTAGCTGGGATTACAGGTGCCTGCCGCCATGCCTGGCTAATTTTTGTATTTTTAGTAGAGACGGGGTTTCACCATGTTGGCCAGGCTGGTCTCGAACTCCTGACCTCAGGTGATCCGCCTGCCTCAGCCTCCCAAAGTGCTGGGATTAGAGGTGTGAGCCACTGCACCTGGCTGGGATAAGATTTTTATAACTCTATTTTGAGAAGGATTTTTGTCTGAAGAAACTCACTTTTATCACTTTATTTTGCCCAAATAAAGCACTATAGTCCATATCTCTGTTTCAAATATTATTTATTAAATTCAATGTTTCCTGGATAATATGCCCTTTCTGAATGACAGTCAAATGCCATTCAGTAATTCCCTCATTTTTTTCTGCCAATCCTAATATATCCTCATTTGTTTATAAACAATTCATTTTTAAAATTATACTCTCATATAATAAGTGAAGTGTCTTTATTTTGTTCAGATATTTATTACTTTATATGTGTTTAACTTCATAACTCAGCAAGAAATTATAGCATCATTTTGGAAAATCTCCAGTCAAACTCTGATCTTTGCCTATAATGTATCTGGTTTTATTTAACTGAAATGGGAGAATTGAATACTTTTAGGTTTTTCTGCTATTCTTAGTTGACTATTTGACTTTAGTTGTGTCGTTCTGTAAGAAACCTTGACAAGTTAAATTTATCCATACAGAAACCTATAGTTAGGAGACCTGTGAGATGACTATAATTTCCTTCCCATTAGTTTCAATGAATTCCATGCATGTGAAAGAGAATTGGAGAGTGGAGTCTGCAGCCCTGTGTTTCTCGTTGTGCAGGTATATTGAGGAGGGAGATATAGTCCAGGTCTCCTTAAGTTGTTCCTCTGCTGCACATTACCCTTAATCCTCCTTTGAGCAAATGCAGACTAGAGCAGCTATGCCAAGAAGAGAAGACTTAACTCTTTAAACACAAGGGGCCCTTGGACACTTAGCTTATGCTTCATACAAAACCTGTGAAATGGTTAATATAGAAATGTGAGTGTCATTTGTATTGTAGCCAATATGAACCAGAAGAATTGAGCTGTAGCCAGCATTTATTTAAGCATCATTTTTGCCATCTGGATTCTTTTGTGGGGAAAGAACCATTCGAAGGGAATTGCCTTTGGTTACAAAGGTGATTTGACTTTTCTCTCTATTTATATGTGCACCATCCCACTGGCACCGTTGTTCAAGGTTCCATAAAGAGACACTTTTGTTCTACTGCTGCTTGAGAGTTTAGGTAGCATAGGAGAGCCTGAAGAAGATGTGGGAAAGCGTATCAAACATTTTTGTGGACAAATTGGATTCATAAAGGACATTGGCCTGTATGTGGAAAAACCAACTAAATAATTTAATCCAGGTAAAAATTATGCAGCCATTCACTCACACAGGACTCATTGGCGTCTTCCCTAAAATACAAGTCACTTGATGTGGCAAATCATTTGTAGGTCAGTGTTCAAACCCAAATGCTTGTTGGACACCTACCTGTCAGCTGGTTTAGGTACTGATTCAATCCATTCCTTAGCAATGAACCTGTAAACAAAAAATGGCTATCACCCAGGAATCATAATTTCTAATTACCTTTGACCTGTGGCAAAGTACAATAATTTAAAGATGATAGTGAGCCTCTATTACACAAATGTTTTGAAGATTAAAACTTGAGAAGATTGGCATTCACATCTGGGAATTATAAATTTTATTTTGATGTTAGAAGAAAGGCTTTTACATGAGTATGATCTGATATATTTTATTGTTAGGTTTATAGGATTCAGAATCCGTGGTTATTTTATGATTATGTGATCAGGTAATTTTTATCTTATCTGAGAGCTCTTTCATAATACTGCATTAATTAAATCGCTCATCTGAATAAGGAGTTTAAATGGTACAGTGGGCAATGAAGTAAAATCTGTAGAATTCCCAGCCATAGCACATATTATTTTAAACTATATTAGAGATAAAACTATTTATTGAGTGCTAACTTCTGCAGAGCCTTATCTTAAATACCCCTAGAATATATAAAAGAAACACTCACAAGTAAAGGTCTTTTAAACCAACAATAAAGTAATAGATCAACAAATGCAAAATAATATAATCTGTGCAAAATATTTATGTGCCATTCACATACACGTTACAAAAATGATTGAAATGGAAATGAAAATTATTGGTATTCTAAGTATTCATCCCCTTATACTATTAATTGGAAACTGATATATTATTTAACTCTTAAGCAGAAATGTGTGATGTTTAAAAATAAACAGCAAATTATGAAGTCACAAGGTAAGTGTTAAAATACATATATATGTGTGTGCATGTGTGTGCGTGTGTAGATGTATTAATCTCATCATTAAAAGGAGGAAAAAAGAGCCTTTAAAGTTTCCATTATCCATTATGTCAGGTAGCAAATATCTTCTCAATGTAACTCCAGACATTAAATCTGTCGAGAGGAATGCTGTAAAATAAATGTCTGGGATACCTTCATAAACAAAAATCTTATTTCCATAATTCATACAGCTGGCTGGCATTTATTGGCACGTCAGGTGCAATGGGGACATTTCAGGAACATTAACATGTACAGCATCATTTGTCAACAAAGCAACAATGTAAGCAAATCGTTCAGAACTCATACAGATTTACAGCTTTCTCCGCCAGCTGCTAATTACGGTGTGCTCGGCCTATTTGGTATGGTCTTTTTATTGGAAAATGACAAAGGGGTTATAGTATCCCAGTTTGGAATATAGATGTGGCTTTTAGTAATAATATGAATGTAATATGACGATGTAGCTTGGAGTTGTGATCCAGTTTTCCTGGTCTTATAATTGATCAGCTTTGATTGATGAAGGACAAGAGAAATTCACAGCCTATTTTGTTTCTGATGTAACTAACCTCTAAAACAAAGGAAAAATAGGGGAAAAATTATCAAAGACCATGTCACAGCAGTTCTTAATGTTTTTCCCTATGGAACATGACACATAATATTTACCTCTCAAAGAAAATCTGATATGTTGATTGCTGGTGGAGCAAATGTTACAGGAGCCTGTACATTTCAGAATTCTACGTTGTACTTTGAACAATCAGAAAGGCCTTACACAAATATGCTTAAATAATGTTAAGGTTATGACAGAAGGTGACAAATGTCAGCAGCATCAAAGTTAACATCTATAATCACCCCCTGCTTACATTGTTCAGTTTTAGGAAAAGACACAACCGTACAAGCAAATGATGGAGTGTCAACTCTACCTTCAAATTCCCTGGATTGTGTCAAGGCATATTATAATCCATAAAATGAAGAGTGGTGCTGTCTTTGTGCCCATGATGTAAATCTGTATTTAGAGATGGTCCTTCTGTTTAACCAAAATGCAAAAAGCTAAATTGGTAAATACTTATTCGAACATTGTTTAGATTTATCCCATCCCAAACCTTATTAAAATCCATTAAATTCCAGAGTGAACCGATTTGACATTCAGCAAATCAGTTGCTGTCAGAGCAGCTGACTTGACCAGATATTAAAATATTTTCAACTTTGCTGGCATCAGATCCTCGGCCCTTCCTAGAGCTGATAATGTCAGGACAGCAATGGTTGACTGGATCCAAAATGCATTATACTAAATAAGTATCATTCTCATGTTCCAAAAATAAAGATTCTAACTCCAGAAATAGTTTGCAGATAGTGTCCTTCTATTTTACGTAATGCCCCGTGGAATCCTGTACCATCTTCGCTTACACATTTGTCATTATGTATTGTAATTGTTGGTTTCTTCCTCCTCCACTAGAATAGGATTCCTAAAATCAGCAAGTAAATTATGTTTAATTTTGTACCCTCAGAGCCTAGTACTACCTGGAATATAGTAGATGCCAAATTAAGACTAGTCAAAAGAATGAATAAATGTGTACATATTGGGGCAGCCCTGCATGAGATTGTGATGGAGGAGGAATTTGCTTTAATATCTTGCCCACTCATCCTTTCTTGAGGATACCGTCTCCTAAGTCCTCTGAGATGCATATTTCCCATATACTTTTTTCTTTGTCCCTTATTCTAAAACCTACTTGCAGAAGAGTATCTGAAACTCATAAACATTAAGATGTAAAATATAAACAATCTTCCAAAGTATTGTCTTTTCCAGGGGCATTTATATTCAAACCAAGATCCATCCCTTAAACTGAAATTGAAAATTAATTTGAGGGTATTAGACATTATTTTTTATGTAAAGAAACATTTTTACAGTGAAGGTACCATCTTGGTTTTCTTTAGTAGAAAGGCACTCACTCAACTTTTCCCCAAACCACCCTTGCTTGGTGCTAAATGGAGATGGTGTTGGTTCTATTCTCCAGGATTATGTGGCATGTAGATTCTACTAGGAATTGAAATGAAGACCTTAGAATGGAAATGTGGCCTAGCTAAGGAAGAATACTATGATTTTAATTTGCATTAACATGAAGTCCTTCTAGACTGAGTCAATATGAAGAGAACCATCTAGTGCATCAGAACAGAGCCTTTTCAACCCATATTATTGTCTTTGTGAAGCAAAACGTGCTGCTGGAATTAAAAACAAGCAAAAGGTTGTATTTTTTACTGTTCAAAGAATGCTAAAACTTTCAATGCATAACAACCCCAGAGAAACAGGGTTGATGGAATCAGAGAAGTTGGAGGACAGACACCTTAAATTTAAAATTGAATACTTGTGAAGAGTTGCAACTCATAGTCTGCCTTTAAAATATAGCTGGGCAAGGAGGTCTTGTGTCACCCTATATGATGATCACTTCAAATTGGTTTTAAATTTACAACAATTATTTGAATAAAAGCCACTATTTCCAAAGCCACCCATTTGCCTAAAATAATCTCTGAAAGTAAGTTATTTATATATATTTATTTATAAACTAGCATTTGTATTAACCCTTACCCAAATGGTTATCCTTACTTGTATTTAAAACCACTAAGTCAGTGCTTTAGAATAGTCTATGTTAATCTTTACAAATAATTCATGTTGCGCTAATTAATGATTCATACATACTTGAGAGAGAATGGATTGATGTTTACCTGTTCATTATGCAAAAAGTCTTCACAGAAAATATTTCCAAAATTCCAGGAACATTTTAAGTGTTTTTAATTATTTTAGAGGTATCTATGTATCTTCACAAAAGTAATATTCTAACTATAAATCCCTCATAACTAATCATTTATTCAGACCCTCTAAGGACCTTCACTAAGAACCATTTATTATCCTCAATAATACATAAGAATCCTATTTTAAATGATCTCAAAGTTGACTACAATTTGTATTTCTCACTAATTTAAACAGGCCTCTCCTATTCTTGTCCTCTTCCTACCCCTCCCTCAAGCTTCCCATGGTAATACATGGCTACTAACTGGATTGAAAGCATAAATGATATGAAGCAGAGTTTTGAGAATTTGTAATTCAGAAAATATGGCAAAATCTAGGAATTCTCATATTTTAATATCACTATTAGTTGATTTGCTTAAATGCAAAATATTATAATAAAGAAATAAAAATATAAAATTTGTATTTTATAAGAGCAATACTAAAATTACAATTTAGGATGCATAATATGTATATATTTAAGCCTATAGATCTCAATACAAATGCAACTGAATGTAGAAAGTCTACCTTTAATCCAGTTTATGAGGAAATGTCTTAACGTCACCTTTCTAGGAGAAAGCAAGAGACCAATCATGAGAACCATTTAGTCCAGCAATCTCTCAAGATGCCAGTCGCCAGCTTGATGGAGTGAGCATTTAATTAGCCTAGTAATTCCCTCCTATTGTTCCCTTCTCAACTCTAATTGAAGAGAGACCTTAATCTCAAAGGAGAAATATTTAACTTTTAAAAATGTCACAGAAAGGTGGAAAGTAACTGTTTTGTTAAGTAAATAGCATTTACTCACATGAGAAAATAACTTTTAAACAAATATTTTATGTTTGTTTCTTAAGGTCTGTAGTAAAACAAAAACAATTTCAAGCAAACAAACCTGAGAGCTCAATATCAACAGATTCTTTTGAAAAGGAATTATCAATTGCTGCTGCCATAACAAAACACTTAAGACTGGGTAATTTATAAAGAGCAGAAGTTTATTCCCTCACAGTTCTGGGATCTGGGAAGTCCAAGATCAAGATACTAGCATCTAGTGAGGGTCCTCTTGCCATGTACTCACCTGTCAGAAGGCAGAAGAACAAGAGAGAGTGGGCCTACTCCTGCAAACCCTTTTTGTAGTGGCATTAATCCATTCATGAGGGCAAAGCCTTTATGACCTAAACTCCTCCCCAAAGTCTCCACCTTCCAACACTGTTGCATTGAGGGTTGTTTCCAACAATGAATTTTACAGGACACATACAGACCATAGCAGTTATTATAAGGACATATTTCAAGAATAAGCTACATTATCCCAGCAGGAGTGTCTGAAATGCATGAAGTTAAGGCTAACAAAGAACATCTAAACTAATAGGTAAATCCAAAGAAACTCCATGAAACAAGGAAGTCTCATTTGTGTGGTGTAAAATAAAAGTCTAGATACGGATCAAATCTTGGTCAAAAATAGCATCAAATGTGGCTAAAGGAGTGATCAAAGTTAAAAACTTCAAATGCCTTTAGTATTTCTGGAAGTAAAGACTTCAGTTGTATTAAGTGAAATACACGTGTTAAAATTCCGAGGCCATCATGCTATGTTACACAGATGGTCACCATCCGCTGTAAGGTGGCTAAAGGGAAAGAGGTGAGTAGCTGGCTTGGGGTAGCCACCCAATAGGGCTAGCCACCCAATAGGTATATAGCCACATTATACCTTACCCCTTTACTATGCCTGGCCTGATCTACTGCAGCAATGAGCTGTTCACTCTTTTTGGGCTGGGCTCAGTAGTTCACACCTGTAATAGCAGCATTTTGGGAAGCTGAGGCGGGAGGGTCACTTGAAGCCAGGAGTTCAAGATCAGCCTGGACAGCAAAGCAAAACCCCCATCTCCGTAAAAACATGAAAAATAAAGAATTTTAATTATCCAGGCATGGTGTACGCCTTCAGTCCCAGCTACTCAGGAGGCTGAAGTGAGAGGATCACTTAAGTTCAGGAGTTTGAGGCTGCCATGAGCTATGATCGCACCACTGCACTCCATCCTCGGAGACAGCAAGACCTTATCTTAAAAAATAAGTTGGTTTTTTTTTTTTAAAAAAAACTAAGTTTTATTTTATTTTTTGAAGTTAGAAAGTATGCAACTTGTCTGTGGGAGACAAAAACTCTGAGAAATATATTAAACATTGGAAAGGAAGGGAGAGTAGGGGTACATTGTTCAGGGTTGCAAAGTGAAGTTGAGAGTCTTAAATAGAGGGAGGCCTATGTACTTTCTTAAAATCAAACCAACAGCAAATAGGAACACAAGCAATAGATTCTGGAAGAATTGTTTGCTATGGAGTAAATCATGTATTTGTCTATTCACCAAATGCTATATACCTAGATGCTTCTACAAGGAAGAACAAAAAACCATGTTAATGAACTCAGACATTTGAATAGTGTTGTTGCTGTCCATAGATGAGAGCTTTAATAGTGTTGTTGCTGTCCATAGATGAGAGCCTAAGCAGTTTTCCTACCAGCAAAGAATAATGTACCTTGAGAAAGATGTGTGAACATGTAAGTTCCTATTAATGCACATTTATCACAAAAATTAATCTGAGCATAAGCAATGGGCAATGTGAGTGTTGAGGATCGCTTGAAATCAGGAGTTCGAGACCAGCCTGAGTAGCAAAGCAAGACCCCTACCCCCGCCATCTACACAGAAAAAAAAATTAATGGTAACTAAAACACAACGAAAATATTGTCAATCAGAAACAAATAATACATGAGAAAGAAACGAAGCCATAACTACCAAAACCAGAAATGTATGTCTCAGAGACCAGAAAACACTTTTGATCCAAAATTAAATATCCAATATTTTCACACAGTTAGAATTCATCTTATATTTCTAGTCTAATCTATGCTTGACGCTTTCCATTGCTACTGGGTGACACGGATCACTTTTCTCTAATTTTGTTTTCAGTTTTGCTATTTCTTATATTGTGTATCTGCCTCCATGAGTTTTAAATGGCTAAATTATTTGCTTAGAATTCAGGTGTTTTTCTTAACAGATTATTTCTAGCTGAAGCTGTTTCTGTCACATATTGTTGAATTCCAAATGCCCCCCTAAAACATAACCATAAAAGTAATTTCTTTCCTATCCTCATCAACACTTCAGATAGTTAATAGCTGCGGGCACATGTTATAAAAGAAGTTGCTGAAGAAGGGAACTTGAAGTGAATTTGGCATAGAGTCATGGATGGTACTAAACACATGGATGAAGTTATTTACTTAAAATTTTTCTTGTCGGCCTGATTTGGCTATATTTTCAAAATTGACACATACTATGCTGTAGACTTCTATTTTCACTAGCTGAGAAACAGAATGATTACAGACTTTTGCATGTTATGCATTTTTAAATATCACCAAGTTAAACTTAGATTTTGATTCCGTGCCCAGGACCAAGTGGAAAAAAATCTCCATCTTCAATAGTTCCTATTATCTTTTAGTCACAGGGCCACATACTGTATTTCTTCCATGAGTAAAACTCCCACTTGGAATTCCAAGCATTGCATAACTAGTGGAGTATTCATATCATATATAACTCAGTAGGCCTTCATATCCTAATCAGCTATTTCATCTGCACAATATTCTTCTTAGCAGTTAAAAATCTTAAAATCATAGTTCAGAATGGAGCCAACATTTAATTCAGCCAACAAATATTTATTAAACACCTACTTCTACTACTGGTGTTACAACCATGACTACTACTTTACATAGTTTTGTATTGCTTTAAATTGTTTTTACAAACCTCATCTCATTTACTACAGTGAAATTACCTACTGCTTTGAAGGAGCTTAGAGACTCATAAAGTAGATTAAATCAATTGTCAGAAAAACTGGGCTTTAAAGAACTTGTCTACGATGGTACCGGCTACTGTAGTATTTTAGATGATTTTGGTGAACTCTCAGTTGATTTTAGGTAAAAGATTCATCTGCACAAATGTATATTTATCTTTCATTGTATTTTTTATTACAATCTAATATTTTTTAAAAGCTAAGAAAATGCAATGAAAATAACATTTTAAAAAGTGTCAGCTATATGAATGATATTCTTTAATGCATGTCACATTTAAAATATGACCTATTTTTAAAGTACATTGTATATGTCACAAGCCAGATTTGGTCACAGGCCATGGTTTGCTAATCTCTGTCCTAAAGCAATATGGTAGTTCTGAACGTTTGGCTGAAGAACATGGATGGCGGTAGAAGTCCCTAAACTGGTCTTCATAGCTTAGAATAACAGAACTGCTGAGTTTGAAGGAAACCGAACAACTTATCTCACTTACTCTCCAAACACTGTTCAATTTCTCTTCATACTTTTTTTTACAATGTGGTAGTCTCTATATTTATATTTGATTCAAAATATAATGTTTTAAAACGGCCTGTACTGATGTCTCTTCAAAATCTTTATCTTGCTTAATCTTAGAAACTTTCTTGCCAAGGAGTGTAGGAGTAGACATGATAGCAAGGGAAAGGTAATAGAATAAATTTTGAAAGCTAAATGCTTTATTTTGATATAGCTAATATTCATAGACCTTAACATTTACATTAGTCAGCAATCAACCAAAAGTCATAGTTTCAAATACACGAGGGCAGAATCTGCCTAGCTACACAGGATTTGACCACTTAAAAGTTGAGCTCTATGATTATTCTGATGAAGTGGATTGGAGACCATCACCTTTCTCTTAGTAAATATTTGTCCTTCACATACCAATCGTAAGTATAATTAAGCATTTTTTACTTCATCTGGTGCTTCAAATTTTGTATGATGCAGGATTTAGTTTTCTATTCTAATTCCTAAAAGCCATATTTCAGGCTGCATTCTATTAGGGGTGTCTCACTTAAAATAAGAATACTATTATGTAGCTTAACTTGCATCTATTTCCTTTTTATTATGGCCACTCAATTGTTCCTGACTTTCTTTGGGAATGATTTGTTAATTTTATTCCAGTCTCAGCTATGTGCCTTCACTTAACAATGAACATTGACTACTGGATACTTAGCTTACCTTTTTTACAAGATATATATTTCAAGGTTTTGTTTTCATATAACATAAAACAGTAAGGCATTCATTAATCACTATTAAATTCATTCTTTTCCTCTTTATTGAATTCTAAAGGAAAATCAGCTAGTCTTTTTTTTGGCATGTGTCAGCAAAAGTATGTTATTATGAGGTGTTCTTAAATAATATATCTTCATAAAACAATATAGGTGGAGGTTTAAGGAGAAATAAGGAAAGAAATTGGAACCATCTGGATATCCAAAGTAGAGAAAAGTTTTTACTAATGGTTGTCATGTACACGTTACAAAAATAACATTATACAGCTTTCTAACTGGACAGGAAAAGGCAGAACTATCAAAAAGTTGAAAAAGAAGATAGCCCTGGAGTGAAGCAATTGACAAATAAAATCATTTATAAGACATGCATTTAGAAGAAAAGTGGAGATTCATGGTTCTTGGGTCAGTAAGGATTAAACATATCTCAGAGATGACCTGCTTGTTCCTGGGAATCGAAATACAGTTGCATTCCAAAAAGGATGGCTCCCTGGGAAATGCAAGGAGGGGAGGACAGGAGGGAACAGATTTTTGTTGTTGTTGTTTTTGTTTGTTTGCTTGTTTTCAGGGATGAGTGGGAAAGCACCTTCTATGTACTTGCTCCTAAATCAGCCTGGTGAACTGGGAAGAGTAGAGATTCCATGAAAGAAAAGAATGTGAATACATGCTTTGGAGATAAGACAGAAAATGGGAGAAAAAGCAAAGAAGGAAAGAAGGAAGGGAGGGAGGAAGAAAAGAGAGATTCTCCAGAGACACACTGCACTCCCTCACATGTAAATGTTATATTAAAGAAGCAATATCACTGGAAATTCACTTCATCAGATATTTAAGTATTAATACATAAATTAGAAATCAATTTTAGGAGTGTTATTCCTCCAATACAAACATTTTTTTCTGGCTTTTCATCTCCTTGTCATATTCCCAGCAAATAACCACACAGACGGGGTGTGTGTCTCTCCTTAAATGAGATTAGTGAAGGTGGCCCGATCAATTATTTTTAAGCCTGACCAAATAGGCGTACTCTAATCTTGCCTATTTCAGCATAATGTTGCCCAGCATGATAAAATACTTATTTAAACAGGTGTATCAGTCTCAGAGATCTGTATGTATAGTTTACCTTGAAGTCAATTGAAAACAGAATATTCCTTATTGATTTTGCCTGCCTGGCTGCTATATGTAGTCAATGGGACTCACGTGGATGTAAATAGAGTGAATCAACTCCTTGCTGGCCCTGGACCTCCTTGAGTCATGTGAAGTAGGTTTCTGATTCCTTTATGTTCAGGCACAGCCAGGGAGACAAGAGTACTACTGTCTTCTGCTGGTGCAGAGAGTTACCTCAGGCTATGCAGGAAAAATCCTTTTTTCTTATTTTTAGACCTGAATCAGTCTATGCCACTAAATGTATTCTTGTGAATACAGATGCACTTTGTTGTCATGCTCGTGGGAAGGCAATGGAGTAACCTGTTTGGACGCAGCTGCAGGCCACCTGTAGAGAAAGTCAAATTAGGGAGAGACCCCACTGTTCTTTGCATTAATGCTTTTTGTATTGTTGTTTGACTTTTCCCCCTCTGTCGATGTATCTTTTTCAACTAGGGAGATCGGGAGCACATTTTAAGGCCTTCTGTCCCTTTAAGGCATCTAATGATTGAAAGGACTCTAAGATTTGAAAGGCTGTAAAAACTCCCCAGTTGGCAATGAATGATGGCAATACAAAGAATCTTAAAGCTGTTGAAGTTGAAGTAGTCTTCTTACAGATTTAGTTTGTTTGGTGAACTTCCAGCGGCAGCTCTTACAAGGTACTGTTCAAATATTCCCACCTATCTGTGCTGCTGCTCCTTCTAAAGATTTATCATGTTCTCAGTGGAAAAGTAGTTATCCATATTAGCAGTTAACTTTACTACAGATAAGAAACAAAAGAAATTCTAAAAGAAGAAGAATAAACTCCTCTTCTTCCTTTCCTCATCTACCAATGTGAAGCTCTAAAAAAGAAGCCCATAAATGAAATATCTACTTTAGCCATAAATATTAAGGGAGGGAAATGCACAAATAAAACTTGTTTCTGGAAAGCTTGATTTTGGCTGAATATCAAAAACCATTTCCTGACAATGAAATCCATTAGACTACGAAATAATCTCTCAAAGTAGTGGTTGCATTGCTTATAAGATTTAACATTTAAGGTTAGGCTGAAGACAGCCACAGATCCTCAGGCTCAAATGCAGAATGTTATTTCAGAAGTTGGAGGGACCTACTCTTTTGATCCTAGCTGTTTCTCTTGTTTTGGGTTCCTTTACTTGGAAATTCAGGTTATAATATAGGGTTTTATATTAATTTTTTGGTGTCCTCCACCATGGATCCTTGAGAGCTGTTTCAGCTGACTGGGATCGAATCACATGAACCAGCCTGACTGTGTTTGTGTGTGTGCACTGTTCTTCACGCATCTGAAGCAGAGGAGTCGTCACAATTATTCTAAATGCAGTTAGAGGATTCTGTCTGCCTCAGCTTTACAATGTTTATCAAGCTCCTGTATTAACTCAGTAACACAACCTGCCATTACAAAATTCAAACTTTTGATAACCAGCATTTCACCAATATGAATTTATTTATACAAGATGCCCTTTCAGAGAACATATTATATCTAGGTAGTGACTGAGAGGTTCCCTAATCAATTCTTCAAGATGCAGCTTCAGTACCTTAGTCCTGAGGACCATGACTAAATTCATTTGATACATGTATGTTATATATTCCACTAAAATCAAAGAAGATATGATAGAATTTGTTGCAACTAAATAGTGGCACTCAGACAACTTTAATTCTCAAATTCTTGGCACGCATCCTGAAAACTCGACTCTGCGCTTTCTCCTAAATGCTCTGCTCTCTTTTGCTTTATTGTAGTGAAGAAAAGAGAAAAGTAATGATAATACCGTGCATAGCATAATATTTTACAGGGTTTTTTTGTTTTGTTTTGTTTTGTTTTTGTTTTTGTTTTTTGAGACAGTCTCACTCTGTCGCTCAGGCTGGAGGGCAATAGAGCAATCTCAGCTCACTGCAACCTCCACCTCCCAGGTTCAAGTGATTCTCATGCCTCAGCCTCCTGAGTAGCTAGGATTACAGATATGCACCACCATGCCTGGCTAAGTTTTGTATTTTTAGTAGAGACGGGATTTTACCATGTTGGCCAGGTGGGTCTTGAACTCCTGCTTTGGCCTCCCAAAGTGCTGGGATTACAGATATGAGCCACTGCACCCAGCCATACTTTGCATTTTTACAGCTTGTTTTCACCTATATTTTTTGACTAAATGCTCACAACAGCCCAGCAACTGAGGCTGAGATTAAGTGATAAGATTCAGGACTTGAAGGATGGAGCTCTGACTCTAAGCTCTTTGCTCTGTCCACCTCAGCGCCATAGCTGAATTCTCATATGAAGAACATTTTTCATGTGGTATTCTATTCTGCTGGGACTGACACATAATTAGCACCTTAAACTATATATCCAGGTAAAGAATTAGTCCTGTGTCAGAAACAAGGCATTTCCAGAAGCATAAAGTATAGCACCTCACAACAAGGTAGTTGGAACCCAGGGTCAAAAACAAGACAGATACCCCAGGGGAAAAAACCATGTCCCTAGCTAATATCCCTAGCAAATGATCCCTAGCTAATCATGATGCCAAGGTATGCTGCCTCAGGAATCAGATTCGCGGCATTTAAAGTAAGAAATTTTTGACTTCCAATGTAGGGAGACAGAACTGATGGGCCACAGGGAGCCAATTGAAACCTACCTTAAAAGCATTCACCTCCAGGCATGGTGGCTCATGCCTGTAATCCCAGCACTTTGGGAGGCAGAGGCAGGCGAATTGCCTGAGCTCAGGAGTTCGCGAACAGCCTGGCCAACACGGTGAAACCCTGTCTCTACTAAAATACAAAAAAAAAAAAAAAAAAAAAAAAAAAATTAGCCAGGCATAGCGGCGTTTGCCTGTAGTTCCAGCTACTTGGGAAGCTGAGGCAGGAGAATTGCTTGAAACTGGCAGGCAGGGGTTGCAGTGAGCGGAGATGGTGCCACTGCACTCCAACCTGGGCGCCAGAGCAAGACTCTGTCTCAAAAAAAAAAAAAAAAAAAAAAAAAAAAAAAAAAAGCCATACATCTGTCTCTTTCGCTACCTGTGTTTTGAAGTTGAAATGATTTTATACTACTTTTATCCTTGGATGCTTTCTTCATAGCTTAACACAGGTATTGTTTACCAATTAAAATGGGAAGCTGGTTTAAATATCAGCAATCATGCTACAACAGCACAATTGAAGGAGTATTTGACTCAAAGCCTTGGCTCTCCTATTCACAAATTTTGAGTGGTTATTTCATTGAACTTCCATTTACTATCTTCTAAAATGTGGAGAATATGAACTAATAACTTTTCCCCAGATTGTTGTGATTCTTAAGTGGGATAGCGAATGTGAGTGCTTTGTTATCTGTAATGCACTATATCAATATTATTGTTATATTTTGCTTCAATATATTTATTAGCTTGCTAAAATAACTTCCTAAGTTATCTAGCTAATCGCCTTTTTAACACCCCAGTCTGATCTCTGCGTGCACTCAGCTCATATCAGAGTAGTTAAAAGTAAAATGGGAAAACGTGAGCAATGTATAACAATCCTTATTTCAACCACTGTATATAGACAACTCCTATTTTTTGTCAGCTGGTATATGAGACATCCACATGCAACCATAAAGCCTGTGTTGTAAAGAAGTTTTTAATGCCAGAAATCCCATATGGTTTTGATGTAACTAAAAGGTGTACACTTTCCTCAAGGTCAAGTCTAAAAATTGGACCACTACAGGCTCTGACCACATGTATGAGAAGCCAAAGGACCTGTGATCTCACCTGCCTCAATCATGTGCCATTATTTACTCCACTTGCCTCTTCTGAATGGGTATGATCCCAACCAAACATAGTGAAGGGGAAAGTTAAACAATATTTGGAAAGCCATGTATTTGGAAAGCCAATGTAAAAGGTACATTATATTACATTTGATATAATGCAACAGTAATTATAACTATATATGCAATTCGTATCTACATAAGCCATGATAGTGGAGGATTTCTTGAAATTACTTTCTTTTCCCCCAGTGAAATGTCAGTTGTTTTTAGTTTTAAGTTTTGCAAAATTTGGAACCTGGTTTTCTTACACACTGTAAATAATTACTGCAGATACATTTCAGTCACGCTGCTCTAACTTGGGAGAAGAATCAGCACCAAAATTCTATGATGTTTCAGGTGGGGCAGAGTGTGAGAAGACAACTCAAAAAGAGGCTGGAGAGTCTTACTTAGCAGAAACCTCAGCTCTCACTTCTTTTATGGCTGTATTTCATAACACTTATCTTTTGACTTAGAACATTTGCCAGGAAAACTTTGATTCTTAGGGCAAATAACCCTGATAATTTAGAACTTAGAGATGTCTTATGAGTTTGCAAACATCAATGCATTATCAAAAGCCCTGTGAATTATTAGCCATTTAAATACCAGCTACCTATTTTTTTCTGATTACTGTTTCATTTTAATTGCTCCCATTTCCTGTCCTGACCTTAATGTTTCAGTGAAAAGAAGGCCACCCACGAGAGAGAGAGAGAGAGAGAGAGAGACAGAGAGAGAGATCTTTCATTTGTGAATTGCAAAGCTTCAGAGGTCCGAATTTGGCCAGTATGTTTGCTGCAAAGCCTTGGAATGCTGTTTTGCAGTTTCAAAAGTGATCATACTCAGCTTCCCAGAATTTTTTATGCCTGGAGGATGCCACAAGAACAAGGGCAGCCTTGTTAACAAGTTCCAATCTCTCAAAAACAAGATAGGATTCGGATATAAATCATCATTTCAGCTCACAAAGCCATGTTCTCCACCCCACTGAAGGGCTTCATTTACATCTAAAATGGTTAATACTGATCTGCACCAGAACTCCTAAGTGGAGGAATGCAGCTGCCATGTGCTTAGTGACTCTGGGGTTAGGGAAGAATGACATCACCAAATGTAAGCATATTATCATGCTGACATAGAGGCACCTTGTTTTCTCCTCTGTGGATAGAGCAAGGATTGTGTTCTGTCTCTTGTTTTTTTCCGCTCGAAGAATACCTTTCCCCCTCCCTTCTTAGCAGCTGCAATATGAAGGGCTGAAAATGTCACTTCAACTAATGATGAATGATGCTTGACCTCTGGATGGGTTACTCAGAATTTTATGCAATTCTAAATTAATATGAAAGATCCCAACTCAAAGGACTTCGGCCGTTAAGATTTGCTTCAAGGATAGATTTGTGTAAAGCAGTTAGTAGCTTTGGGGATTTTGTTGCTGTTGTTATTGTACTTGGTGGGGGACTGGGAGACTCGTGCTCTGTAAGCAAGGTAAAAGGCAGAATGTGCTAACATTTTTATGTGTTATTTTTTTCCTGTGAGATTAATATCTTTTTCTACTAGAAATATTGTCAGTAAGCAGAACCAGTTTGTGAAAAAAACATTCTCAAAAGGGCACAGGCCCACACGTCTTTGTTGTTTTTATTTGAATATAATTAATTATGTAAAGCAATAGTTAGTGTAAGATTAACAATTAGTAGATTCTGTCAAGTAGTCACACGGAAATTACTAACTAATTGAACTACTGGTCGTCTATTGTGTCAGAAAGCAGTACTGAGTGTCATTCTTTTTATCTTTTTACTTTGTTGTTTTCACAGATCCTCTTGTTTCTAAGATGTATGTTTCACAGCCGACTAATAAATAAATAACCCTGGTTGTAATTTCATAACATGCAAAAAGGTTTGAAATAAAAACACCTGTTTTAATTAGCATTATGGTTTGTTCACTTTAAAAAAAGTGATAATCCTGATGCAGTTAGCTGACATTTTTAAAGCTTTGAATTTCCATCTGTATCTTATATTATGATGTTTCAGGATTGTCATGAGTTAATTATGTTAACTTGGGAAGCATTGCTTGCATTTAGAATGAAAAACTTCAGCTTGAATAGACAGAAAAGCAGATGCTATCTTTCTTGTCAATTGCTTTGTTGTGGGCTGCCTTGCAAGTTTTCATGTATTTCTGGATCTAAAAGGAAGTGTAAATCTCTATTTATTTTAAGTTTAACATAAACTACACAATTTCAGTATTCTTCTGTTTTGGCTGTATGTGTCTTGTGTATCTTTACATGTGTAGCTTTCCTGCCCCCAAATTCAGAAATCCACAGTCAAATTATCTCTTCTTTAATTCTTAATTTGTTTTGTTGTGCCTAGGCATTATGGAGATTAGTACATAATAAAATTTAAGAATAGGACAACTCTACTGGCTCAATTCTCTCTCTAGTTATTTTTTTCTACCACCTTTTTGCTTTTGTACATCAACCTTTTAAATGGTACAAAATACATGCAGCATCTGGGCACAACAAGGCATGTTAAGAATGGAGTAGGCACTCTAAGTAGGAATTTCCATGCTTTTGTGAGTTTAATGTTCCTTTAACATAGAGAGCAGCTGTGTTTATGTCAATAATTACACATTGGGATAAATGCGTGTACATGTTTTTCTTTATGGGATTAAGGATGTTAGGTATGGCCTTACACAAAAGATTCTTGTCCCTCCCATACCCACCCAAAAAGTTTCTATAAAATTCAAAACCAAGTTACACTGTTCTGAGATTCTGAAATATTTCTCTAGGCATTTGCACTTCTAGATTTCAACTGACAGAATATGGGATTGATGTGTTTGTAATCTTCTCTTTGCCCCCCCACCTCATACCCATTCTCCACTCTTCACTACCCTGTTCGGTACCCAGGATCTGTATGCACTCGCCTTCCAACAGGCTTCCAACTAGATTGGGCCAACGAGAGGCATCTGCAGCAGAACAGAGGGCAGGAGACAATGCAAGAATGCCAGGACTGTGAATGCTTAATCCCTGAATTGGTGCCATGAGCAATAAATGCTCGTGCTCAAAAGAAAGTGAGATCAAGGAAAAGTGGATCACTCTAGGCAGAACTTCTGGGATAAACAATCTTCCTTTGGGCTTTAAAGAAGTGGTGGGATTGGGCCATAGGAGGTGGGTGGGTATGATAGCTTAGGTCAAGAATGAGCAAGAACCACAGTATGGTTCTTGCTTGGGAATATCGAGTATACTAGTATAATGGGCCCAGATGCTCAGGTCTGAATGAGGTCAAATTTTAAGACTGAATGGCAGGTTGTGGCCTGGAAAAAGAGGCCTCGAATGATGGAATTAGAAAACTTAGTGTTTAAAATGTATGGTGAAGGTGTGTTCAGTATATAAATCCAATCTGTAAGTGATATGGAAAGTGGAAGTTTATTCAATGCCTTATCACATATTCAAATGAACGTATGGCTGCTCTACCACTTAAAAATAGCTCTGTTCATTAAAGGAAATGTAACCTAGATTTTCAGAAAATTAAAATACAATGTTCTTAAGTCAGTTTAAACTTTAACTGAGATTCATAGTTTGGTTCTGCCTTCCTAAGCATTTGGACTAAGGCAGAGAGTATAAATCTGATGGGTCATCTTCCTGACCAATCGACTTTCCATTTTGATTGCAAACAATCCACTTGTTTATTTAGATACAACCACTGAACCAAGTCATTTAGACACAAACATTGAACAACAACCCATGTGTTTCATTCCTCTCAACTTTAGGTGTATTTTGCCTCATAAAATGTACGGCATTGTAATTGTTATTAATTAGCTACACATCAAAGAGCTTGGGTTAGCAGTGGGCCATGATGGCCTGAATCACAAAGTGTGACTTGTTCAGTGTATTTATTTATTTATTTATTTATTTATTTGAGACAGTCTCACTCTGTCACCCAGGGTACAGTGCAGTGGTGTGATCTCGGCTCACTGCAGCCTCTGCCTCCTGGATTCAAGCAATTCTCCTGTTTCAGCCTCCCGAGTAGCTGGGACTACAGGCACGCACCATCATGTCCGGCTAATTTTTGTATTTTTAGTAGAGACGGGGTTTTGCCATGTTGTCCAGGCTGGTCTCGAACTCCTCACCTCAAGTGATCCAACCACCTTGGCCTCCCAAAGTTCTAGGATTACAGGCGTGAGCCACTGCACCTGGCCTTTTACAGTGTATGTAAGACTAACACTACTCCTCTAGAAACAAGGCTGTATACCGTAATGGAATTTACCTTCCCAACCAAGCTGATTTGTTTAGATGCTGATCATTGGAAATAAATTATTAATCCAGGAACTCATGTTGTTTGTTAGTTTTTTTAATGTAATGGTTTGAAGCAGGCTGCTTATGAGCCTCGTGTAAAAATGATTCTGTTATTAGTTCCAGGGCATAAACTTGAATGACACTTTTTCCCTTCTTGCTCTATATGTTGCTATACAACTGTTTTCATCCCTTATTGTTTTAGGTGGTTTTGCAAAATAATTTGTGAGATAAATCAGGGTTGGAATGTTAGCCTTGACACTAACTTCTTGTATGAATTCGAGCAAGTTATTTAATTTCTCTGGTCCTTAGTTCCTCACTTATAAAATCCGTGAATACTACCTTGCTTTGTTACTATGAAAATGACATAAGATCATGCAGATAAAGTACCAAGCACAGCGGCTGGCACATGACAGGTGTTAAGTTAATGGTCTTGTCGTCTTTGTTGTTACAGTTGTTGTTATTATTACTCAACTTTCACTTCTATGCTGATAATTTTCAAATTTGTCTGTCCAGTCTTTATCTCTTTACCAAGCTCCATAGTCCAAAGTCCAAATATCTACTTAGCATCACCAAACAAAAGTGTCAATAGCATCCCCCAACCAAACTCATTCTCCCAGGCATCTTTTTATCAAAAAACAAACTGAACAAATTAAAAATCCTAGCTACTCTTTCTCAAGTATTACATGTAAGATAACTTGCATAACTAGCTACAAACAATAGTTTTCTTTGGTTCATTCCCCCTTTACCACCCCTATGTTCATTAAATGGATGGCCTCACATGGCCTTTTCGTTGCATTTCTACAAATACTATTTAGTTCTGGCCTTCATGGTATCTTGCTGGGCTGTTTCCAGGGTCTTCTAACTAATTTGCATATTCCTACTTCTCACCTCTCAAATGCATTATTCTATTTCCTACAGATTTATCTTCGTGAAATACAGTCTGGATATTTCCTCATACAAACTTTTGACAATTCTTTCACATCTAACAGAGACCATTTAATCTATTAGCATAACAGTTACACTTTTCCCTGGCTTCCAAGCTAAGTTCTCATTACATTTCATCATTCACCTTTGCACTGGTCATAATGAAGCCTCTTGCCAATATCAAATTTTGATCCATTTCATACCTCTTTGCTAGAACAGTGGTCCTCAGAGTTTAACATGCATCAAAATCACCTGGAGGACTTGTTAAATCATAGACTAATTAGTATTTGTAGAAATGCAATCACACAGCCAGTTGCATCCAAAAGCCTCTGTTTCAGTTAAAACTGAGGTAGGTCTTGATAATTCACCTTAAATGTCCTGTGTGTGATGCTGATATAGCTGGTTCTGGGACATCCTTCCTCACCCATCTCAGTTCAACAAAATCCTATGCACTTCTCACTGCCATTGTGTGGGAGACGTTTCATCTGTCACCTGTCAGAATGAACCATTCCACACATTGTGTTCATGAGATAGGAGGCAGGACTCAACCACAGAGGCGAGGCTCAGACACCAAACCAAAATGAGGACTAGCTAAAGCAGGGACAGGGCAGACCTGGGCAAAGCCAAAAGGCATCCCAGTGAGGCCCGATTTGGAGTTTACCTGTCCTGTATCACTAGCAGAATGATTGAGGTTTTAGGTGGAGCCAGATTGCCTGGACTCCGCTACTAAATACCTGAGTGAACCTGAACAAGTTCCTTGATCTCTGGAGCTGCTTTTCCATCAGTAAAGTTGAACTAATAACAGTACATCCAGCATATGTTGATGTGAGGATTAAATGAATTCCTGCATGTGAGGCACTTAGAATAGTGCCTGAGAAGTGCTCAACTATTATTGGTTTTCTAGTAGTTTATACCTTTACTACAATGCTCAATGACGCTTAAAGTTTGTAGGCCTATCTCCTTTTGAGATGTCAGTTTCCTTGAAAGCAGAGACCACGTTGTTGTGAATCCCCAGAAACATAGCCCTGGGCTTAGCACTTTATAGAAATCCAGTAAATAAAATTTTTAATTAAATGGAGATCAAAGAAAGATTGCAAAAGGATCTTAAGTAAGTAAAAATCTTCTAAACAATAAACAAACCATCCATTTCTTTTTCCCTCATCATAAAGATGAATAAAAATGAGGTCAATTATTAATAATACATTGAAAGTAGGTTTGCCTTTTCCTTTGAATTTTCTAAACTCTATAATTAAAATGACTTCAAATTGGAAGATTGTTAAGAAGAAATTAATCTTATTGGTAAGTAAAAAAGCAAATCCCATGGTTGATGATAGATATGACCTGTTAGCAATAGTCACACTTTTATATTTTATTTCCTTACAATCAGCATGTGGAGACCAACATAATCCAATTAACTGTAATTCCCTTTTGTAGCATCCGTAAAGTAGTTTATGATACTAAAACACCATTGAAGTCTTATCTCTGGTCAGATAATCCAAATGGATTCTGATTTGCAAACTACCAGCAGGTCTTTATAAACTTCAGGAAAATAGAATATTTTGACTTCCCTGAACCTACAATAAATGTGATACACAAAAATTCGTCTCTGAACTCTAATCCTTTGTAAATGCTAGCCATCAGTTTTCTAGACTTCTTTCTCTGCACCTGTTTCTTATTAACTGACTTCTTTTAAAAGCATTTTTTTCCACAGTGAATATCCAGTATTTCAATACATCAGAGCCTCTCAGCTGAGCTTCTTGCTCATTGTGTCTTTTTGGACACACCACCCCTCTTCTATACGCCCACTCCAACCCATCCTACATGCTACTGCCAGAGCATCTTTCTAGAATGTTGCTCCCCTGCTTATGGTCATCCAGACTCTTTCAGTTGTAAGGACCTTCATGCTGTACCTTCTGCCTTCTTTTCTATCCTCAACACCCTGAGATATGGAATCTATGCCTCTAGGGTCTCCGACAACTTGTGGCATCCCAAATGCATCATGTTCTTCATTCCTTGGCGTGATTGTTACTTCTAGTTGAATTTTTCTTCATCTCTTCTCTTCCTCTCTCCCAGCTCCTGCACCACCCTCACTCACCTGACTGCTCATCGTTTAAGATCATTATTATGTGACACCTCATCTGGAAAGCCTTCTGACTACACCCAGATGAAGCTTGATGCTAATCTTCTATGTTCCCATAGCAGTCTGCAAGAAGTTATATAATAACATTTACCGTACTTGATTACATTTTTTTCTATTTGACCAAACTTCCTATATACTATGAAATCTTTGAGCATAGAAGCTAGATCTTTATTTATCTTATTTTTACCCCAGCAGCTATAACATGCCTAGCACAAAATTTGGGTTCAATAAATATTTGATAAGTGAATGAATAACCTACTTATGTCTTCAGTATTTGTTAAGTGTTTTGAAAGAGAATGATAAACAAAGAGAATACAAAAATAATGCTGTGTGTGTATACATATATCTATTGTCATCATCGTTGGTATTATATTATGAAATAGCCTCTGTTATCAAAGGAGGTTAAAATTTGATAGGTGGTACAAATATATGAATAGCTAATAAAAATGAGTGCATCAGTCACTGGCTAAGCACTGGGGATATAAAGAAAAATAAAAACAAATTTCTTTGAGACAGAGATAGAGGAGAGACCCTTTGTTTAAATCACTATAGTTAAATTAATTAGGCATGCCCCAGGAGTGATGGGGTTCTCAGGCTAGGATTAGAAACATGGTAAGCAAAGTTTGAAATGAAACCCAATGTAGGGAAGAGTCAAGATTAACAGCATAGATAGCTAGGCATCACAAACTATCGGCAGAGACCGGGAATTGGTGCCACAGGTTTGTTTAGGCCAGAATAATTAAGATGATAATGTTGTTCAGTAGTTTCAACAAGAAGTTGTTGCACAGGGACCTAGCTATTTTACCTTACTTTATGCAAGTAGTTGTAAAATTTATACATCTCCCAACTCTTATTTTGTGTACCTTTGTAGAGCTTTAGTGGTGATTGTGGTGAAGAAAAGTCCTGTGATGCAGAAAATTTAGTTTACTCCCATGAATCCAACTAATCGAGATAACTTAGGTTAAAAATTATCATTAATAATTACTAGAAATCATCTCTTCATTTTGGTTGTCTTAATTGACAACTAACAGATGTCTTATCTGGGGATAACATAGTTTCAATGAATGAGAGTAGCAATATCTTAATCTACCAGTTTTGTTTACCTTTTATTTCAATTTTTCTGAAGAAATACTTCCAGACAGAAAATTCTAAGTTAGCAAAAACCCAAATCCATATCCTTTTCAATGTTACCATTTCTAACCCTACACATATCACCAACATAGTAAGGGGAATGATAAAAGCCAGAAATTATATTACATTCTGGAAATATTTGCCAAAGTCTGTCTACATTGGATGCTTTTCATATATTACATCACTTAAATCTCACACAAAATTAAGAACTCTCATTTGACAAGTGAAGAAACCAGAATGTTAAGTAACTTCTATATATGCATTTTTGCTTACAATGGACATATTATCTGTATATGGGAATTTATAGGACTTAGTTTATTTCCTAGATATCATTAAGAGATAGGTTTTGACTTGGCCCTGTGCTTCATATTTGCAAACGTAATATAACTTGGAGGGAACAATAGCAATGGTGTTGAAATTTAAAGCCACTATGAAGCAAGCTTTCAAAAATGACTTTGTCGAAATTTAATCCTATGATTCTCTCCCCTTTGGAGTACGTAATGTATGAAATCATCCATGGAATTCCAGCAAATTCAGAATCTGTTTGGAGAAGATGGTTAAATAAAAAGAACCATTGTGTACGGTATCTATAGAGTACAAAAAGCCTTTGACTGAATGGAAATAAGAACAGAGTTGGAAGCTCTGAGTAAGAAAGGAATTAAAGAAATATATATGGGTGCCAGGAAATACATCAATTTTTTTTTATGATCCTCACTGAAAGAAAAAAGTCTGTTCATTTTTGTTGCTGTTGTTGCATCTAAACAGGACTACCTTTTCTCAGCTACCTAAACGAAATATCTAAAAGCCTGGAGAGCAGCATAATGTCACTAACGTCATTTTATAAGGTAGCATTATGCATGGAGTTATGATGATGGGAAGATGTTTTATGTTATGCCATTATAAATTAAAAATGCACAAAGCAATGACACATGTGTTATACTTTCCATCTGTGGCACCTGCTTCGCAAGTTTCAGTTGCACCTATTATGTTATTCTTTACATTCAAATGAAATCTGAGGAGAAATAAAAATAAGACAGTCTTGCTCCTAACTAGCTTCCTGTACTGGATAGAGTAGAAGACCGTTCCACCTCCTTCCAAGAGAGTAACTAAAGATATTTCATATGAGCCTGTGACATGCGCATGCTTTGGTCTTCTCAAATAATTTCCAAAGATATGCACAAAACCTCAAAGCACACCGAAAGCAAGCTAACGTGGCGTGCCAAAGTAGCCCATTAGATGTTCAGAAATAAAAGCTTTTAAAGAAAAGTTTTAAAATCTTAGAAAGTTTGTGGTTACTTCCTTCCTCCCTCTGTCGTAATTCAAGGAGGCCACAGAAAACCAGGTTTTATAGACCAGGTGGTAATAGAACCATCTATTCTACGCACAGGTCTGTCTCCTCTTGCCAGAAAGGAACCATTTTCAAACATAGGACTCCTAAGAGCTTCCTGGGGGTTACTGTGATAAATCATATGAAACAGATCTTGTTGATTTTGCATACAAGTTTTCATATTTAAAACCACTTTGCTCCTTTCTCTTTGATAGGTATCATGACCATAGACAGTTGATTGGACTTGAGTTGAGTTTTTCCTGAGGAAGTTTCCAATGTTTTCTAGTAGTACTTAGAGTCTCAGGTGATGGCAACCATGCAATATTTCCACTTTAGACATAGTAGTTGGACAAAGAATGAATATGAAAACGGCAATCATGATTTTATTCTTTCTCTGGAGACCACACTGGAGAGTATTCTGCATGTTTGTAGAGAAAATCATTTGAAATAGGTTAAGCCTGAATAGGCAGGCAATTTTTCAACTAATTCCAGCTTCAAATCTGTTCTCTGAATATTGGTAATTATTTTTCTTCAAATGGAATTACCTAAAGAGCTAACTCTGTTGTTCACTGTGTTTCACAAGTGTAGCATAGCCCTTGTGTTGAGAAGATGTATAGGTATGATCCAGAAATTTGACCTTGTCTTTCTCTGCTCAAAACCTTGGGGCATTGTATTAGTTTGCTTGAGCTACCATACTAAAGTACCACAGACTGGGTGGTTTAAACACCAGAAATGTATTTCCTCACAGTTCTAAAGGCTGGAAGTCTGAGATTAAGGTATCGGTAAGTTGATTTCTCCTAAGGCTCCCTCCTTGGTGTATAGGCAGTCAATTTCCTCCTGTGTCTTCACATGGTCTTTCCTCTGTGTGCACCCTAATCTGTTGTTATAAGGACACCATACATATTGGATGGGGACCCACATGACCTCATTTTACCATAATTACCTCTTTAAAGATCCAATCTCCAAACATAGTCACACTATGAAATATTGGGGGTTAAGACTTCAACGTTTGATTTTGAGGAATGGAAGAACACAATTCAGCACATAACAGGCACGATGCATATTTTTGGGTGATATATTTGTTATTTGAGTTTGTCCTGGCTTGCCCCCAAGGACAAAATAATATGATTCTAGGGAAGAGTAACAGGATGTAAAATGTCCAGAACTTTATATTCACTTTCTGAGCACCTGATGAAGCCCTCTCCTTTGAGGAACATAAAGCAGCCTCAACAGCTGTAGCTTTAAAAACACAAGGCCCAGTATGTAGTCTCCTTCCATCTCTGTTTGTTTGAAAACAATTAAGTGAACAAACAAATTAACTGGCCAACTGGTTTAGTTTTCTCAGATAATATCCTCAATGAAGTCTCATGTTACAGCCAAGGTGTGGAAGGAGGAGCTTTAGCCAGTGCAGCACAGAAAGATGCTACTTTTGGCACAGGGTGACATCACCGTGTTTGAGAATGCAGAACCTCTCTAATCCACCAGAAATCAGACCAAACCATCACTTTCAGGAGCCAGCACAGCAAGAAAAGTTGAGCTAGTTGAGTGATTCAACCAACTTACTTTTGATCCATTCCTTTAAATACTAAACTAAAAATCTTCTATATCCTTATAAACAGTGTCATTTTATCCACATTAATATCTAATCTTTCAATTTGATTTTAGGGCCAAACATATTATGTTTTGGATCGATCATCCCTCTGGCATCTCTTCCATTTGGGATGTGACTTTCATGTACCCAGCAGGCCTTTTAGATAAGGGATCCAAATGGTCATCTGTGCTGGAAGCAGGGACATCATCCTTTATGAGAGTTTCATAGTGTAACAAGTTCTTTTCACTGTATTAATGAGATCAGGGCTATTCTTTCTGTATCCTGGGAAAGCTAGGGTGTCTTTTCCTCTTTTTAAAATTGCAACAATAAAATAAAAGTTGGAAAGAGGTTTTAAAAGTGCTATGAAAACTATTACAAGGTAAAGAAGCACTTGTTTTTAACACATGAAGAAGATTTTCTTTCTTGACTTGGTTACTCTTCTATTCTGGATAGTCCAAGTGCAAGCATATTTCAAAAAAGACTAGGTTAAAACAGGTTGAGTCTAGTTAAAATTGGACCTGATATCACAACTGCTGGTTATATATACCAATACCTACAAAGCAATATATAATACAAGAGGAAAGGGGTAAACTCCTTTTTTTTTTTCCTTTGAGACGGAGTCTCGCTCCGTCACCGAGGCGGATGGGGTGCAGTGGTGTGATCTTGGCTGACTGCAACCTCTACCTCCCAATTCTCCTGCCTCAGCCTCCCGAGTAGCTGGGATTACAGGCATGCCACCATGCCGGGCTACTTTTTGTTATTTTTTTTTTTACCATGTTGGCCAGGCTGGTCTCAAACTCCTGGCCTCAGGTGATCTGCCCACCTCAGCCTCCCAAAGTGCTGGTATTACAGGCATGAGTCACTATACATGGACAGTAATTAAACTCTTAATGATATTTAAATGCTCCTTGTTCCTTGGAAACTACCATTGACCTACTATGGCTATCAAAGGTTCATCTTTCAGTTCTTTTTAAGAAAAATTATTCCTAATAGCTACTGTCAAATTTTTTCTTTCAAATATAATTTGTAAAGCTTGATATAAATAAGTTTTTACTTAAAAGATACCCTAAAGGCTCTTCAAGAAAGAGCATTTCAGGGTAACCTTGTTTGGGTACAACATTTAGGTTGTGTGTGTGTGTATGTGTGTGTGATCTCATAAAATTCACATGGTATTTGCATTGTGGAGCTTAACCTATCTTTAATTCTGTTTATAAGCTTTAAGGCAAAACCATAACCAAAATGGATTTAAGATAACCTAATTAGAGGGCCAGGAGAAACCAGCACAGATTGAAAGGATTGTGAGACATCGTGATTCAACCAGACTTCTTCCTAGGATTGGACTATAACATGTGATATGGTTTGGCTGTGTCCCCACCCAGATGTCATGTTGAATTGTGTTGAATTGTAATCCCCAATGTTGGGGGAGGGACCTGGTGGGAGGTGATTGGATCATGAAGATGGATATCCCTCTTGCTGTCCTCGTGATAGTAAGTTCTCACAAGATCTGGCTGTTTAAAAGTGTATAGCACTTTCCTCTTCACTCCTCTCTGCTGCTGGCCATGTGAAGATGTGCTGGCTTCCCCTTCACCTTCTCCCATGATTGGAAGTTTACTGAGGCCTCCCCAGTTGTTCTTCTATACAGCCTGCAGAACTGTGAGCCAATTAAACCTCTTTTCTTTGTAAATTAACCAGGCCCAGGTAGTTCTTTGTAGCAATGTAGTTTTTGTTGATCCCGTTCAAGAAACTGCATCGTACTGAGATAAATCCTCTAAAACAACCAGGCTGGCTTACAATGTTTGTTCAGTGTTTCAGTTGCCTTAGTCCCTTTTTTATTTTATCATTTTGGCCTTTACTCACCTGCCTCATTCTGGTGACATATTGGATATGTTTGATTCCTTATGCTTTAAAATGTTTTTCAGGTACATTTTCCCATTTGATACCAACAATTATCCTTCTATCTTCATTTTACAAATAAATAAATAAATAGATATACAATGAATTAGTGGTAAATCCAGTCCTGGAGTGGGTGTTTCATATGGTCTTTTTCCTACTCTATCATATTTCCTCTTCACTCCATTGCTACCTAACAATTTGCTCCATCTGTGCCCGTTTCCTAATGCAGTTGCTTCTTATTACCAATTTGTTTTGTATCTGTTTATATAAGAATCTGTGCCTTCTACAAGTCTGTAATTACCAAAGATGAGAGTCAGTTTACAGGTAAAAGCATAGCCTCGAGTTAGACATTTAAGGATAAAATGTAAAAATTACAATCTTGACATAATAGTCAATCAACTACCATTTGCAATTACTGTTTATTTGCCTTTTCCCTTTCTGCTTCTGCCAGCCAAGATTAAGTCTGAACACAGTGATTTTAAACATAGTGGGGGCTTACTGGCTCTTTATCCTGGTTTCATCACTTGGCAGCCATGGGAAAATTGTTTAATCTACCTATGCCTCACTTTCCCTATCTGTAAAATGGACATGATGATAACAATAGCATCTTCCTCATTCCTTGCTGAAAGCATTAAATTAGATAATGAATGTAGAGTGCATAGCACAGTCCCTGGTACAGTGTAAGCTCTAAGTAATTGTTGGTTATCGCTTTCGTTGCAAAGTAGCCTGAATGAGTTCATATGGATTTTGTTCTATAAAAAGTTATGATTTTGTCAAGAATAATTACCAACTCAAGGTCATATTAAGGAAATATCAATATGTGTGTATCTAATTTTCTAGTTCCCTGACCACCTATGGTAGACTTCGTAAATCTTTGTTGAGTTACTTCTACAGACACTTATGGACTTCACTATAGTGGCTCTCAACCAAGAATAATTTTGCACCATGGGGAGATACGTGGCAATCTCTAGACACAATTTTTATCATCCCCACTGGGAAATGCTACTGGCATCTATTAGATAAAGGTCAGGGATACTGCTAAACATACTAGAATGTACAAGACAGCCCCCACCACAAAGAATTTTCCAGCCCCAAATGTCAATAGTGTGGTGCTTTTGAGAAACTCTACTCTATTAGAAAAGGGAAAAGTATAAGACATCATCACTGTGTAGAATCTAGTTAGAAAATGCTTATCAAATAATGCAAATATATTTGTAATAATGCCTGTTAACACCAGGGTAGGGTTATGGTTAGTTCATCTTGAGGACTGGTTGGCTTCATGAGAAGGCATACTATATGGACATAACTTCATGTTTAGATAAACTACAGTGGCCTTGCAAAATTTGCCTTAACATCACCTGGTTTACAAGGGATCTTAACCTTGGTTGATTATGAAAACTTGATATAAAAATTAGTATTATATTTCAAAATACTCTTTCCAACTATTTGCCATATTGCCTATTTAAGCTACTTGCCGAAGGGCTACAAATTATTATTATTTCTTTAAATGGAAACTACATGGGAATCTATAGTAGGAATCTTGGTTTAAGGGACACAGTTAATATTATATGGTATTTTAAGTAGATATAATCAAATGGTATCTATTCATGGGTAAATTTTCTTTAGATATCACTATGTTCGATTTTCATGTTCACTTGAATTAACTGATATTAATGTGGAAATGAGTAATAGTAATGCTGTTTTCCTTTGGTTAAGCCATTATTTGTTGCTGCTGCTGTTGTTTCCTTGCTCAAGTTAAAATCATTCTCTTTTTTACCTGCTGAACACTTTCCTTTAGCAATTTCAAACTTGTGCACCAAAACGGCATTTTGTGTTGGACTTTTCTGATAAATTTTTGGTAGAGATAGTTGTGTGTGTGTGTGTGTGTTTGTGTGTGTGTGTGTTTAGGTTTCCACTTAAAGTTCAGTGCCAAAGCTACAGTACTTATACATTTTCTAAATGTGTTTTAAGCAATAAGTTGTACAACATTTTTAGAACATGTGTTAAGCTATTTCTCTAAGAATGAAGCTCTTAACAAAACATAAGCACTCTGCATGAGATCTTAGCAGCAAAGTGCTTAAAAGATAAAGTAAGAATTGGTACCATGGGAAGAACACCAGCTGTAGAGCACACAGGTCCATTATGAGAAGTATGGTAGTGGGTAGGGAGAAAATGATTTAATCAGGAGTAAAACCAATTTTATTATAAGGGCACGCAGGGGGTGTGGCACCATAGTGAGAGGGACATTTCAAAATATCTGACAGATTTCAACAATGTGAAAACCCCGTTCTTTAAAGTGACAGTAAACCCCATCAGGTCTCCCTTTTTGATGCTATTGTTAACAGTTGACTGTTTAAAGCTGGCCTGCTAAGATGCTGTCGGCCTATTTCAATAGTGTGTAGCCAAATAAAAGACTAATTGTTGAAATACAATCAATCAAAAATGATTGCAGGGCAGAAAGAAGGTCTCCTCTGCTGATTTTGTTGTGTATCACATTATTGTGTTATGATTGAGGTAGGAATGAAGACTGAAAGGGAAGATTAGCCCGTCTGAAATAAACAGATTCACCTTCATGTCTTCTCTTTGCAAACACACTGTTGAGCAGGAACACCACTTACTATAAGCCTTAGAAACGATCGTTCATTTATTTAAAAAAAAAAAAAAAAAAAAAAAAAAGAACTGCTGAAGATTTGGGCTAATGTTTTTAAAAGGACGTGAACATTATTAGCAAAACAGCCCATGCAGAGAATCCCTACAGTGACAATTCTCAGCTTTTCTTACATTTTGGTGCAAAATGCTCCTCTGGATTCATAAAACTGACATCCAAGGGACATGTGAATGCGAGCCCAAGACATCAGTAAAGAAACAAATTTTCAGTTGACCAAATACCTCGGCGCTTGCCAGTATTCTCAGCTTTTCAGTTAACCCCCAGATTGTCTAAAATGATTAGTTTAAGGTTTCATGAAGCCCCGAATCCAAAACCTTTTCCATGTTGCACGTTTAGAAAGACAAATCGTCTGGCTCGACAGCAGTGCCTTTGTACCTCGCTTCCTTTTAATTTTATGTCAAGATGTCCCTTTCAGACGTGAATGCATCCACTTCTTGGGTGAGACTAATTCCAGACATTCATATTGAGGGTGAAAAGGACAAAAATAATTGCCCAGCGCACTTTATTTCTATTAAAACCTTCATTTTGGGATTTACTTTCTTTAGTATTTCAACATCTCCACTCACTCAAGCTTCCCAAGCAAATATTTCTGTTGTTTCTAAAAAGAGTTGGTAAGCACTTGTGGTTTGTCTTTAGTGTGTTATCATTTTTGACAGCTTTGCATAGCCTACGTAGGCCAACAGGGGTCTGTCTAATATTGTTGCTGGGCATATTTTCCTCACTGAGATGAGAACTAAAAAAAAAAGATTTTGAAGCAGTAAGAAAAGAATTAATATCCTTTCTCACTCAGTATTCTCTTCCTTGCTGACTTTATATTCAGGCAAAAAAAGGGAAAAAGTGTTACCCATTATTCCCTTGTACATAGCAAGGCTAACACATGTAAAGCAATAACTCATTTTCTATTGCCATGTTTAGCATATGTCTCCTGTTGGCTCAGCAAGGCCTTTAGGCCGGTCCCTTGAGCCGGCCATCATTGGCAACTCTTAGCCCCTCGGCCTCAAAACCAAATAGCTTTGAATCATGTTGAGCTGTGATGCTAATTTTCATACTGATGCATTATGGGAATAAACGTATCTGACATACTGTGTCAATGGCACTGTCTCTTTGTGTCTCTTGTTTTTTTGTTAGCTGCATTCCTACAGATGGTATTCCATTGAAAATGTTCCCTTCCTACGGAAAGAGGGAGGAAAAAAAAATGCACAGCACCAAACCTCTAGGTGCAGAAGGCTGTTAACGGTTGCTGATGATAGTAGGCAAACATTAACATAATAATTAGTGTCTTGTAATTGTTTCATTAAAACCAGTTGTTCCATTTCTCCTCGTGTTTTCCCAGAAGAGAAGCTGAATTTGGACGACAGCCAGTGGGAGGACATCCACGTTGTCACCGGAGCACTGAAGATGTTTTTCCGGGAGCTGCCTGAGCCGCTCTTCCCTTACAGTTTCTTTGAGCAGTTTGTGGAAGCGATCAGTAAGTACCTCACAGAAAAGGGCAGGTGGTAGAATAACCTGACATCCTGGAATTATTAAGTAAATAATAAGAATGATTATAATAATAATCATGGGGAACAGATAGTATCCCCGATGCTCCATATCTTACGTTTTCGTTTTTGTGTTTTGATGGCTTGTTTTATTTCTGGCCCTGCAGTATTATCTGAGGTTTGTTTGTTTTTAATTAGGAAAAAAAATATGACATCCTATTTAGGGTAGCCAATTTAACTAAGTATCCTCAAATGAAAATAGTGTCTCATCAAATCTGCTTTAAAGGGTTCACTGTGTGCACCCCTCATCTCTGCCTTTATACTTTCAGAATTGCAATGAGTTTGAATACAAAGCGGTCTCGAAAAGGATCCTAAGTGAATTAAATATTACATTTCATGAAATATGTGTTAAATTATCAACTAAGACATCATGTTCTCTTGGTTCACTCACCCTTCACCCACCAACACTAGTAAACAGTCAGCCATAATTTGCTTATGAGCAGCGTGATTATCAAATGAAGTAATGGCAAGTTTCTTCTGTTAAACTGGTGACTTTATAAGAGAGTGAGTTATATCTACTACTAACCAGTAGTCATTGTACACTCCATGAAGCTTCCTTTTCTGTTTTTTTTTTAATTCATAAAACACACACACACACTTAAGTAAAAGTGAATAAATGAATGAATGAATCAATGAAAATCTTTTCCAAATGGAAGGGTACTTCTGCTATTAATCCTTGGAGAAGCAACTACTGGTACGTCTCTAAATTTAATATCTTAGGGTATGCTTACTGTAACTGTGACAGCTTGGAAAAAGTTTCCTGGCAAGCCAGCTGATTTAAGGAAGAAAAAGAAAGAAGAAAGAAAGGTAAAATTAAAAACCTTGCAAGCCTGGCAGGAGCTTAATTAAAATCCTAACGAGACAAATCTCCAAGAAAAAAAAAACTGCTGTATTCAGGAGGTCTGATCTTGGATGGCTGGGTATGAAGTGTTCCCATTAGCACAAGTGGAGATTTGGGGGTCCTGTGTTGGAAAACAGCCCCTCAACATGCCCTCTAATTCTGTCATTCACAAAGCCTTCACCCTTGTTTAAAGCTCTGGCAAAACGGTATCAAGAAAAAGAAGAAATTTCTCTCCCAAGGTCTTTCTCTTGTTGCTTGCTCACAATTTCAGATTTTGTTGTTGCTATTGCTGCTGCTGCTGCTGCTGCTGCTGTTGTTGAATGCAGTAACAATACTCTAAAGATGGGTTTTGAGTTGAGGCTGGAACTCTTATCCCTTGTCGTGACTTCATCTCATGACCCCTCTACTTCTTCAGAACAGCAATGTTTCATAGTTCAGCATGCTTTCCTAACTTCATTTGAAAAGAAGAAATAAAAAATAAACAAGCAGGCATTTCCATAACAGCTTTTTCTGATATTCTGTCTTGGAACACCCAAGCAACTTACAATGTTGGAACAGCGTTCTGGTAGGAAATTGGAGGGACTTTGCATTTGGATGCCTATTTCTGATTGTGTACATTTAAAGAAGTCATATAAATTTCACATCATCATCTCCACACATTCAAGTGAGGATGATCTCATTTGGAAATATACTTCGGTATGTGCTATTTGGGGGCTATAACTAGGATATCCATCATTTAAGCTTCCTTTAGTTCACCTGATTCTAAAGATGTTAGGAAAGTCATTTTCTTAGCTTGAGAGATATGGAAAGCAGGCCCTCCGAATCCACATGAGAGTATGTCTTTTGAATTTCTCTAAGGAGTAGGATCATCTCAGGGATATTCTAGACTTAAGTCCAAATTTTATAGAATTTCAGAAATATAGGCATGGTAAGAACGGAACATGGCAGAGTTGAGGCAGCAGACTATTGGGATTGATGGCTCTTGCAAGGGTTTCTGCCAACACCTATAAAATGGGTTATGGCGAGAATGAATAAGAAAGTGCCTAAGAAAGTCTTTCAAAAATGTAAGAGGGTGCACAAACAGTGCTAAAAGTGTTTCTCCATATGAGCTTTGTTTGATAATGTAATTTGGAAGAGAAGAGAGAGGAGACTTCGTCCTTCATTGTTCAAGGCAACAAGAATCAAACTCAGGGTTATTGTGTCAGGACGTGGTTCCTGCCGGTGGGTTCGTGGTCTTGCTGACTTCAAGAATGGAGCCGTAGACCTTCTAGGTGAGTGTTACAGCTCTTTAAGATGGCACAGACCCAAAGAGTGAGTGGTAGCAAGGTTTATTGTGAAGAGCGAAAGGACAAAGCTTCCACAGCATGGAAGGGGACCCCAGCGGGTTACCCCTGCTGGCTGGGGTGGCCAGCTTTTATTCCCTTATTTGTCCCCTCCCATGTTCTGTTTCTGTCCTATCAGAATGCCCTTTTTTCAATCCTCCCCGCGATTGGCTACTTTTAGAATCCTGCTGATTGGTGCATTTTACAGAGCACTGGTTGGTGCATTTACAATCCCCCTGCTAGCTACAGAGCGCTGATTGGTGCGTTTTTACAATCCTCTTGTAAGACAGAAAAGTTCTCCAAGTCCCCGCTCGACCCAGGAATTCCAGCTGGCTTCACCTGTCATTATGATCTGAAAGTTTGTTTCCCATCAAAATGTATATGTTGAAGTTCTCACCCCCAAGGTCATGGTATTAAGAGATGGGGGGGCTTTAGATGGAGATTAGGTCATTAGGGCAGAGCCCTCATGAGTGGGATTAGTGGCCTTGTAAAAGAAGCCCAAGAGAAACCTGTATCTTCTTCCACCATGTAATGGCACAACTAGAAGTTGCCATCTATTAGCCAGAGAGTGGGCCCTCACCAATACATTAAATGGGCTGTCAACTTGGTCTCATACTTCCAAGACTCCAGAACAGTGAGAAGGAAATTTCTGTTGTTTATGAATTGCTAAATTTATGGCATTTTTTATAGTAGGCCAAATGGACTAAGACACTCAGCAGCCTTGCTTCAACTCAAAACAGAATAGTAGAATGTCATTATTTTTTAATATGTAAAACAGAGGGATCAACCAACAGGGTAATGGGGCTGAGACATATGATATTGGACAGAGACGTACATTTACTAACCCACGTATTTTTGATATAACCTTGAAGCTAGTCCTTGTGTTCTAAACCTAGGAAAAACTCTAGGTTGTAATTCATATTTAAATATTCTTAAGCAATGAGAGAATGGCCACCTAGATCCTTGGCAATGGTAAAAACCACACCAGAGGAAATACTTTCTCTCCATGTGTACCAATTGTACTAAAAAGTCTTTCAAAATTTTAAGAACATTTATACCCCGTCACAGGGCTTTATCATAGCTTACATAGCCTCTTGTAAAAATCTATGCAGTGAGAAACTCAACAGATCCACTCGCGAGTTTTCGGCTTTATATGGAAAGGGACCAACCAGGTAAAGTAAATTCACAGGACAGGATGAATTGAGGACAAAGAGGCTGGGTCTGGGCCTCTTTGTCCTCAGATCCTAGTTCTTCCCTTTTATTCTCTGTACCATAGGAGGGTTGGTCCTAGCCAGCTATATTTTGCAGATGCTGTTTTTGTGGGGTTTTTTTTCGACTTTTATTTTAGATTAAGAAGGTACATGTGTAGGTTTGTTACCTGGGTATACTGCGTGATGCTGAGGTTTGAGGTACAAATAATGCCATCACCCAGGTATAGAGCATACTACCCAACAGTTTTTCAACTCTTGCTCACCTCCCTCCCTCTCCCATCTAGTTGTCCCCAGTGTCTATTGTTGCCATCTTTATGTCCATGTGTACCCAGTGTTCAGCTCCCACTTATAAGAAAGAACATGGGGTATTTGGTTTTCTGTCTCTGCATTAATTTGCTTAGGATAATGGCCTCCAGCTGTATCCATGTTGCTCCAGAGGACATGATTTCATTCTTTTTTATGGCTGTGTAGTATTCTGTGTGTATGTACCACATTTTCTTTATCCAGTCCACCATCACTGGGCACCTAGGTTGATTCCATATCTTTGCTATCGTGAATAGTGTTGCGATGAACATGCAAGTACTTGTGTCTTTTTGGTAGAAAGATTTGTTTCCTTTTGGATGTATACCCAGTAATGGGATTGCTGGGCCCAATGGTAGCTCAGTTTTAAGTTAAGTTATTTGAGAAATCTCCAAACTTACATGTGCTCTTGAGATGCTGTTGCACCCGGTCAAAGCCACTGGAAGGAGATGGTAGAAAGAGAGAGAAGACAAAGGCCAGCAGTTTATGAGTTTATCCCCAACCCGTTCACCCTTGCCACCCATCTGCCTCAGGTAGCTTTTCAGCCTGAGGCTCCTTCTCCTCTACAGCTTCAGCTTTGACCAGACAGGGCCCATCTGGTTTCAGCTCCCATCTGGTGACACAGACTCTCCTTTCTTTGCTTTTCCAGCCTGGAGAAGGTAGTGGCTTCCTGATGTGTCTACTTTCTTGGTTACTCCACTCTTCCTTATCTGGTTCTCAGCTTCTTCTTTATATGGGTAACCAATTGTCTGCATCAAATTAATTCCCTTTGTTGGTGTAAATACTTAAAATGGTTTCTGTTTTTTGCTTACACACAAGTAAAACATCATGTCAGTTGATGTCATGGTACATGTTGTCATAACATTATTTCCCTTTTCTCTTTTATTACCCCCAAGCCCAGTTTGTGGAGAGTTAACATTTTTATTTGGCCCCAGATTGGGAGATCTGTTACTCTTTCATGGAAGAGTTAAAAGGTGGTTAGACCAAACAGAATTTTGCATCCAACTGGAATACTTTGCATCTGAGGAGAAAATGCTATTTCTAGTACAAGCAATTAATGACCACTGGAGCGGTCTGAATTACTTTAATTTTTATTATATGTTTGAAAGTTATCACATAGTCCAAGAAGAGTGAACAGAAGGCATTTACTTTTTAAAATAACTTCTTTTTGGACCAAAAAAAAAAAAACCCCATTAATATCATAAGACCCTGCAATTGCCATAGTAATCCCTTGTCTGATAATACTCATTGGGGTAACAAAAACACTAGGGATTGTTTTATATCTCAGAATCCAAGTACAGCAACTATTGATCTGAAATTCTATACTTGAGATCAATCCAACTGGGTCACCTGCAGGTTATTTCATGGGGATTTAACCCACTGACTGCAAAGATTTAATTCCCTGGAAATGACTTGTACTGAAGGCATTATTAGTACTGTAAATGTGAACTCAGTAGAAAAGCACAGCCAGGGAGTTTTATGATAGGTGATGCAATCTTGTGGCTAGAGGCCTGCAGGGGTCCAGACATTTCCAGTAGATCTAAATCCTAGGAAATGTACTAACTTTACCACTGTTCCCATCTTTTTCTTCTGGTAACTCTACAGATCCAAAGAAAAAAGACAACAAGCAATGTTTTTTCTGTTTTAATGTCTGCATTTTTCCAAAGTTCCTGAAAAAGAGAAAGGGAGGAGAAAAACTCATTGGCATTTCTAATAATTGTCTCATGTAATTCTCAAAATAAGAAAGCAGGAGATATTGGAGAAATGGAAAGATCATCTGCACAATAATTTCTAGCTCATAAAGTAGTTACTATGAGAATGAGAATAGAACAGGATTTTCTTACTCCATGTTAGGCACTTAGTAAGCTATTTAAAAAGAAATTAGTTTTTAGAGAAGTTATAAATGCACATAGCTCAAAAAACTAGACTTGGCATTCAAATACAAATATAAATACTTTGTATCATTGTATATTGCCTTGAGCAATAGCTATTGCCAAGTATCTGTATTTTATATCATCCTACAGAAGACCCATATGTCCTATGTCATCTTATATAAGACTACAAGCATTTTTTCTACATTTTAAAAGCTGAGTTTAGAATTAAATTAATGGTCAGAAATTTCAGTATTGGAGTTTTAGGTTAGAAATAAAGTAGAACTTTCCAAGAGTGAGTGAGATTTCAATGTTTAGTACTAGATATTAAAAGCATTCATGCCTTAAATGTTGACTTCTCTGGGTACATTTTAACCCTGCACTCTGATTTCTATGATCAATTGCTCAATATCTCCTTTTGAAATTTATTTATATGTACACAATGTTACTTTTCTATTTCATATGAGTATTTTAATTGTATTAAGATTCTTATTTATAATTATTTACTTGATCAAATTACAATATTCAACAAACAAAATCTTACAGAAGAAGTTAGGATGAAAAGCAATGGATTGGGCCCTATCACATCATATCCCCTGACCTACTCGTGAGAGGAAACCTCATTTAGTGATTTTAATTTTTATCTCTTCTGGTTACTTTCATAACTCTAGATAATATCTCTACTTTTGATTTATCAACTATGGATAATATCTGTTACCTAATATTGTTTCATTCTACTCCACTTCTTTTAGTATGTGGTAGCCATATATTATAATTGCAAGCTAAATAATATGCCTAAACCTCGTTTTCTTGTTTCATCAACATTCAACAATATCTGCTAACTCTTCCATTCATAAGGTGAGCATATACTCCTTCCCACCCTTTCCTTAATCTTTCTATAGTTTATTTTTAATTTTTAATAATTGAGGATTTTTTTCTAGTTCTACTGAGGTATAATTGGCATACAATGAACTGCATGTTTTAAAAGCTTAACTTTGATAAGTTTTGACAAATGTTTGCACCACAACCAGGAAAAAGAACATCTCTGTTATTCCCAAAAGTTTCCTCTTAATCCTTGACAATTCTCTTTCCTTCCCCTTTCCACCTGCTCTGCACTCCCATCCCAAGCCACCACTGATCTGCTTCCTGTCACTATCGATACATTTACATTTTCTAGAATTTTATATAAATGGAATCATACAGTATGCACTCTTTTGGGGGAGAGGCTTTTTTTCATTCAACATAATTATTTTGAGATTTATCCATGTTATATTAGTTCATTTTTCATTAATGAGTAATATTTCATTATTTGAAGATAACACAATTTGTTCAGTTGTTTATGGATATTTGGGTTGTTTCTAGTCTTTGATTGTTACAAATGAAGCATTTACAAATCTGTGAACATTTATATACAAATTTTTGTGTGGACAAATGCTTTTAGTCTTCCTGGTGATACTTAGAAGTGGAGAGCTGGTTCATATGGTAGGTATATATGAACTTTTTAAGAAATTGCTAAGCTGTTTTCCAAAGTCATTGAGCCATTTTTCAATTCCCGTCAACAGTATATGAGAGTTCCAGTTTCCCCACATCCTCAGCAACACTTGGTGTGGTCAGTGTTTTTAATTTTAGCCATTCTATGTGTGAAGTGGTATTTTGTGGTTTAATTTGCATTTCACTAAAGATTAATGATGTTAAGCATCTTTTCATGTGCTTATTGGCCATTCCATTATTTTCTGCAGTTAAGAAACCTACTTTTTCAAAAAAATTGGCTATTTCTTTGCTATTGAGTTTCAAGAGTTCCCTATATATTCTTAATGTTAGTTCTTTATCAAATATATAACTTGCCAATATTTTCACCCATTCTATGGCTTTGTTTTCCTTCTTTTAACAGTGTTTTCAGAAGAGCAGACATTTTTAATTTTGATAAAGTCCAGTTTATCCATTTTGTCTTTTATGGATCTTGCTGTGCCTTCACGTGGACTAATACTATTTTCTTCAACATCTGTTCTGTTGTTAGTCTCAGCCAGTGAATTTTTTTTAATCTTAGGCATTGCAGTTATTATTTTTAGAAGTTTGCATTTTTAAATATATTCTGCCTTAAGGTGTCTAATTTTTCTCTAGCTGTTTTAGCTTTTATTATTTTAAATGATGCATAATTGTACATATTTATGGGGTAGAATATGATGGTTTGATACATGTATACAGTGTGTAACAATCAAATCAGGGTATGTGAGCTGGCAGTTGTTGATTTGTTGAAGTTTCCAAAGTTGCCTTTTGTGTACAAAAATAACTTTTCCTCCCACTCCTGGGCAATGTTCCATACATTTTCCATTATTAGAATGCAATCAATGCTAACTCCGTGATCAAAAACAATTTTATGATTCCAATGCCATCACTTTTGGTGTTTTTTTCTGGCTTGACTAATAGTAATATATAAAACCATATGAACATATATATTGTGTTCATATATATATACATATGAATGTATGTATGCATAGGACACAGAGATTAGGCAAGTCGGTGCTAAATTGAGATAGTAATGATGTTACATACAAGTCTTCAATTTAAAGGCTACAATCACACATGCCTTTGAAGAGTGTTTTTTTAAATGCCTGGTTTTTTTTAAATGATTAATTAAGGAGTAAAACAAGTTGTGAGAAATGGCATCCATAAGATCAACTGAGCACCATTAAAATGCAGACTATTAGCCACCAAAAGTAGAGATTATCCTGTGCCTAAACGGAACTCATATCCCTGTCTATACATCAGTCACATCCTCATCAGATAAAAATAATACATTGCCCTATGGCAAAAAGTACCTATTGCATGTTCTAATGGTTTTTCCCCCCATGGCCTTTATTCCATTTTGCCTTTAGAGTATACTCTCAATAGGTAATTGTGGGGGGAAAAGCCAGTCAAGTATATTTGCAAATATTTTCTTTACTCTTGACTTTATCTTGCCCTTTGGTCAAACTATTTCTGATGCATCATCAACTCCATGATGACACTCTTTAGGAGAAAAGAAACAGAGCTTGCAAGGCACTTGACTAAAAACGGTTGCTAAACATGAAAGCATGATAGTGACAAATTGCCTTAAAACCAGAGAAAGAGCAGGGTGTAAAGGTTCATCACAAAGAAAGCAGAGATGTAAAAATAATGCAGTATAAAAATATCCTCTATTGCAGCATTTCAAGGAAATTTGAAATTGAAACAAAGGTAAATTTTACAAAGCCTGTTTTTTTAGTTTCCACTGCAAGCTAACATTCTCACAGACTTGGTATTTTTGTTGTGGTTGCTTTTTAATGTGTGTGTGTGTGCACGTGTGCACGCAAACTGGAAAGTTTATGGCTAATGCCTAGCCTGTCTCTTAACTCATTCTAATTATATTCATAATGAAATTGAAGAAAAATACTTGACTAGAGCCAAATGGCTTGCACAGGTGTCTTTTTGTAAGAATGGTTTAGTGCTAGATGATAAACAACTGGACCTCCATCTCCTTAATTTGGCTTAATGAAAAGCCCTTTATAAGTAAAACTAGAAGGTGATTCAGAATTAAAATTGGGCCTTGACTCAGAAATTAATTGAGTGGTAAGACATCAGCTCCATTAGAAAATGTGGTGCTTGTCTTTTTGCCTTTCCTGAAAACTTTTATTTTACTTGCACTCCTTTCTTCCATCTACGTAAGGTCACTTTTTCAAAGCAATAAACTCTTCAAGCTGAGCAACCAGCCAGGCAGCCTTCATGAGTCAGCTTCCCTAGCATCCTTACTTCTACTGAATAGACCTGCTTTTAAAAAATAGATAACAAAACGCAAAATTTCTCCTCAAAACTTGGTGGAAAGCAATTATCTTCACCTATTCTTCTAATAGTGGAATTGAGTGGTTGGTTTTCACTGCATCAATAGATTGTAATAAAACTGAAGGTTGGGAGGCCTTCTATCCTACACTGAGGCTTCTGCCTAATTTCTTATGCTTTGCTTGACACCACATTGTGATCACCACTGATGAGTCCTCTAAAATATCTGCCCACTTACCCCCAACTCTGACTCAGGCCATCTCTAGGAGAATGGTCTCTCCTATTTCCCATATTCATTTTTTTCTCTACCCAACCCAGCATGATTCTAGTTCTAAAATACACGCAAACTGATATATCTGGCTTGCATTTCATTTTGAGAAAAATCCTTCCAAGGTCTTCAAAGTCCTTTATGATCTGGTCACCCACAAGGTCTCCAACTTCATCATTTACTGTTCCCTGCCTTGCCCATTGCATTCCAGCCCATTGGTACCCTGGCTCTTCTTTGAATACCCCAAGCACATTGAAAGTCTTTGACTGCTCCATCTGTCTACCGAACACACTCTCCCAGATTGCTACTCCACTGTCAAGTCCTCAGGGAAGTCTCTCATCAGCTAAGCTAAAGTTTCTACCCGCACCGCACACCACCACCTGTATTCAAATCCTGTCTCCACCATTTACTATCTAGACCTAGAGCAAATATTTAATCTCTCTAGGCCTCCATTTCCACATTTATAAAATGGAGGGAAAAGTTGTATCTTCACCATGGCAATTGTAAAAAGAATTTCATGAAATGCACTTATTTACAGAATCCCTGGCACACAGTATCAAGTTCACTGGTATTATCATATTAGAATATAATCAGAGTGTCCTTTAGTTAACAGTCTCAGAGCTTTAGTTAACAGTCTCAGAGGACCTTGCTGTCCATTCTAACTAATCTTTCCACTTCTCTGGAAAAGCCATTTCAAATTATTGTCTTAAAGCGGCCATCTTCATTCTGCTTTAATATTTTGCTTTGAGAATTTCACACAGCACCAAACATGTTTCATATGACAGGATATTCTCTTGCTTCGTGACCCAGGGATCCCATTTCCTTCATCTCATGACATTTCTCCTTTGTTCTGCCAGATGTTCTCAAGCCCAACCCCACTTGGATAATCCAAAGCCTACCACTTTATTATAGAACTTACGCCTTTATCATAACCCAAATGCTATCCAGCTTCTCCGACCTGAGCTTGCCTTGCTTCTATGAAATATTAGCAAATCTGTGATGTTCACGGTGGCACCAGAAGAGCCAACTCCAAAGTGATACCTTCTCTCAGTTGGGAAATTTGTAACACTGTAGATCCCAAAATGTTATCAGTTGAACACAGGGACAGACAGACACACACACACACGTTCTCCAAACTGGAAATGTTTCACTTTTTCTTTCAGTTGCCACACAATACTCTAGCTTTGAAAGGTAGACTTTTTATTTTTTAATTATCTCAAGAGAACTTTCATATTAACCTCTCAGGAGCTTTTTTTTTTTTTTTTTTTTTTTTTTTTTCAAATTTTTTGTAAAGACAGGGTCTCACTATGTTGCCCAGGCTGGTCTCGAACTCCCGGACTCAAGCAATTCTCCTGCCTCAGCCCCCGAAAGTGCTGAGACTACAATCCCAAGTCACCATGCCCAGCCTCGTGCTATTTTCAAAGCCTGTTATGGAATAAGAATGGATCCTTTACCCAGTACTCTTGTTTGCCTACATTCAGTCAGACATTCTCATTTGCTCAAGCACTTGTCCTTTCTCCAGCCCTCCTCTGTCAATACAAGAATTTTCCTTAAATAGCTTCTAGGACTATCATAAGCACCTTGAATTGTGGCTTTTCTTGATCTGGCTCATTCCTACTGCTCTGCAGAGTTAAACATTAGATGTGATGGCTCCTGGAGTACTATAAATTTCCTGGGGGCATTCTGCTCATGTTGGAACAGTGGAATATCCACACTGAGAATTGTCATGTGGTTTAGAGAATGGAATTTTTCCCTAAGGATAGGCTCATACATTTTCTACCTACACTTTCTGAACAGAAACATGGAAAATGAATACACTATTATAGAAAATAAGTAGTGGTGCTGGTTTAAGAGTAAAAGTAATATGTTTGGAAGGATGACAGCAGATATATATATATATTTTAATCTATGAACTATAAAAAAATTATATTGGATAATTATGAGTGTTTTCTTTTCATTGGCTTATTTATAGTTTTCTATTTAAATGTGAAGTTCCTCCCACTTCCAACCATTTAATTACATATAACACCTTTATTTTTCAGAAATTGGAATTCTAAAAGATCAAATACCTAAAGCCTGAGTCCATGATTACTGTCTAGCCAGACAGTTAGTTCTTGGCCCCTTTCCTTTTTCTTCTCACCTTGAGTGTCCAGCAGGTGAAAGGTTGACCCTTTCCCATTTCCAGCCCATTCCTCTGCCAAGTAACGGATGGGCAGATCTAATTAGTACCATCTGTCCCGCTAGTTGCAGGTGGTTACTGTCTTACAAAGAGATGAAAGCAACAATCTTTTAAGCTTTTCTTCCAGGTCCCTAACTCTAGGCACAATGGTAACATTATTCTTTGACACCTTGTGTGTATTATTCTCTGAATATCTAATTGGCATCTAAGAAGAAACCATTACCTCATTGAAATATTCTTTGGAAATTTCTATGTGCTTGTGTCATGTTATGAAAATGTTTTAGAAAAAGTCGTCAGGAAAAGAAGAATGATCCTGAACAAATATTAGACCCAGAAAGGCTTCAGAAGCTCCTGTCTGTAAGCTTGGATTTGTGATGCTCAGAGCTTCTGCGAGCTGGGCCCCCTCCGTGTTAACTGAGCAGAAATCTCCACCAAGGAGAAAGACAAGCCAGAGCACAACTAGAAAAACCACTTTGGTCAATGTCAGATTTCCAGCAGGATCTTTTTCTAACAGCCCCTTAAATATTTTTAAAACACTTAAAGTGTAACCCGTAGAGCCTGTTCAGTGCTCTCCTTTCTTCCTCTGCACTTTCAATAATTTATCATGAATCAAAGTTTCCAGACCCTTCATCACCAAGATCACACTCCCTCAAATGTGCCCTCCTAAGGTTTGGAAATTGTCTCAGTCAGATCAGGAAGCTATAGCAAAATACCAGAGAGTGTGTGGCTTAAATAATGGAAATTTATTTCTCACAGTTCTGGAGCCTGGAAGTCCAAGATGAGGGCACCAGCATGGTCAGTTCCTGGTGAGGGCCCTTACCCTGGCTTGCAGATGGCCACCTTCTCATTGTGTACTCAAACACAAGATCATTGTGTCCTCAAATACAAGAAGGAGTGGGCTCTGATCTTTCCCTCTTTCTGTAAGGGCACTAATCCTACCAGGAGAGCCCCACCCTCATGACCCTATCTAAACTTTGTTGCCCCCCCCAAAGACCCTTCTCCAAATACCATCACATTGAGGGTTAGGGCTTCAATGTATTAATTTTTGGGACACATTCAGTGAATAAGAGAAATCATACTTCAGTGGACCGTTTTATTTGCACAACTTTATCAGTGCAGAATAAAGCTTCCTCCTATATTCTCACAATATCTTCCTCTTACTATGATAAAATATTTGATTTTTTCCTTATTAATATTATACTATTGGGATCCAAAATTGAATTTAGAGTCCAAGTTCTCACTTTTACCATTTTCTCTCTCAGATAAGTTTGTACAAGTTTAAATTTCCATGCTGAAATGTGCACACCATCTTGTACCATGGTACAAGAGAATTTTGCTTTAAGTTTTGCATATTCAAAAGACTTATGTCACCTGAGTCTCATAACAACAGGAGCTGGGACCAAAACCCAAGTTTTTAACTACAAATTCATTGTGCCTTCCTCCTAGTATTGTGATATTTACAAACCTGAGCAGTTTGTCTTCCAAGTCCATATTTACGTCCTCAAATACATTCAAAACCATATAAGACAAATTGCAAGGCCATTTAAAACAATGGAGCAGTTAGAGATAAAAATTTACAACATTTGGGGAGGAAATTCAAATATTGTGCCAAAAAAAAAAAACTCATCCGACAAAGGGCTAATATCCAGAATCTACAATGAACTCAAACAAATCTACATGAAAAAAACAAACAACCCCATCAAAAAGTGGGCGAAGGACATGAACAGACACTTCTCAAAAGAAGACATTTAGGCAGCCAAAAAACACATGAAAAAATGCTCACCATCACTGGCCATCAGAGAAATGCAAATCTAAACCGCAATGAGATACCATCTCACACCAGTTAGAATGGCAATCATTAAAAAGTCAGGAAACAACAGGTGCTGGAGAGGATGTGGAGAAATAGGAACACTTTTACACTGTTGGTGGGACTGTAAACTAGTTCAACCATTGTGGAAGTCAGTGTGGCGATTCCTCAGGGATCTAGAACTGGAAATACCATTTGACCCAGCCATCCCATTACTGGGTATATACCCAAAGGACTATAAATCATGCTGCTATAAAGACACATGCACACGTATGTTTATTGCGGCACTATTCACGATAGCAAAGACTTGGAACCAACCCAAATGTCCAACAATGATAGACTGGATTAAGAAAATGTGGCACATATACACCATGGAATACTATGCAGCCATAAAAAATGATGAGTTCATGTGGTTTGTAGGGACATGGATGAAATTGGAAATCATCATTCTCAGTAAACTATCTCAAGAACAAAAAACCAAACACCGCATATTCTCACTCATAGGTGGGAATTGAACAATGAGATCACATGGACACAGGAAGGGGAATATCACACTCTGGGGACTGTGGTGGGGTGGGGGGAGGGGGGAGGGATAGCATTGGGAGGTATACCTAATGCTAGATGACGAGTTAGTGGGTGCAGCGCACCAGCATGGCACATGTATACATATGTAACTAACCTGCACAATGTGCACATGTACCCTAAAACTTAAAGTATAATAATAAAAAATAAATAAATAAAAGAAAAAAAAATATTAAAAAAAAAAAAAAACTCAGAGAAGAGACATTCCAAATTTACAAAGTGAAGTTCTCTAGACATTTGGACAACATTTAGAAAGAATTTGAATCACTAATACTATAAACTATTAGACTAGTGGGAATTTAAATAAACCCCATAACTGTCCATATGATTACAATTCTAATTTCTAGTATACTTACCATACTTTTACTTACATATAGCCAATTGCTATGTGTACATTTCACTATTTAAGTTTATTTTTATAATACTCCTTTGTGGTTACTATTATTCTTCCTATTGTTTCCATTTGGGAAATTTAGACTAATCAATATTAAGTAGCCTTCCTAAGGCTACCAGCTGGGAATTTGCAGAGCTAGAATTCGAACCCATAACTGGAAGATTCCAAAGCTGTTACTCTTAACCACACAACTGTAGTTTTTGACTAATTTGAAAAAAAATGATTACAAGTGTCTATTTAGAAATGAGATAATTAGTAGATTCAGATGTAGTTCAGATAAAGACTTTATGTTGTTAAAAACTACAATGGGAGGAAACCAAACAGGACACAAATGAATTTTCTCTGCTCATACACGTACTCAAAACCTCATTGTTTACTTAAGACTTCCATCTTGACTATTCAATTTAAAACAAATTCAACATTTTTAATTGCTTTCTGTATCCAAGGCAACATTACAGGTACTCATTCTTGTGCCTGGGTCACTGGAAAAATTTTTAAAAGTAAAATAAGCACCAGTGAAATTCAAACACACCTAGCAGATGGAGAAGGCTAAAGGATATGTAAATTTATTTGTAACAAACATTTAATTTATCTTTTAGGAATGTTAGCTAAGAGCACCTATTCTGTGCAAAATGCATCACTAGAAGAAAACAACAACAATCAAGCTCCCATATTCCAAATGCTTAAAGGTAGAAAGAAGGCACTATGTCCTTATTACAATCCCCGGCAAGTGAATTAGGAAATAACATTATAAAATTTCTTAGAACTTTCATCATATGTGTTATTTAATTAAAAGGTGAAACTGCAGCAAAGTGTCACTTCATCCCTCATGTCATGTGCCAGAAAAGTATTTTCATGGAGTCTATAAATTCATTATTTCAACCCTCCATACCCATAATAAAAAGAGCTCAATTATAATTAAAATACTATGTCTACTCACATTCAGTGGTATTCCACTTTTTAAAAAATGTTTAACGTCTTTGTTAAAACACAGCAAACTTACAGAATAAGACCACAGATCTTAATAGTATTGTAAGAGTATTTTTAGTTGGGACATTTTAAAATAAAATTTGTTTCCCAGGCTTGTATGTTTGTGACTCCTTTTTCTGGCAATTAATTGTAAATTTTCTCTACTGAGTTAAATACACAAAACTGGGTATAAATTGTCTCTTGTCTAGGTACAGACCAACGAAAATATCGTTTTATGTCTGTTTATCTGACATAAACTTCTCTGGAGTAGGAGACATTTCTTACTGATCTTTGTAGTTCCGGCACTAAATGAATTTTTAAAACAATGTGCTTTGTGGTGGTTGTTTCAAGTAATTCCTCCTAGAACAATCCATAGTAGTTAGGAGCAATGATCTCAAACTACTGAAATGGGGAATCAGAAGGAAGAGGGTGGCGAGAAGGTGAATGGCAGAGATGGAAACAATGCTTAATTCAATCCATTTTGTTGACAGTAAATTCAAGAATTAACTGTTTACATCTCTCCAAATGTTCCTATCTGCCTTCTGAGCTCTGTTATACAGCTACTACCAGAGGACTAGGTGGACTCTAGTATTCACATTTTCTACATGTCGAAGAAGTATTATTACTACTTAGTTTCCAGAAATTTCATCTCAGTGGCTTAAAAGTTTATGAGAGAAAAAGGGAAAAATTAAATGAGCAAATCAAGTCTTTTGACCAGGCTAATGAATTTTGCAGTCTTCAAAGGGTTACCTGAACTTCTGCTAGTACAACTTGCCAGCCTTAAATGCAGAGAGCAATGGTGGAGAGAACAGTAAAACTGTACTATAAAAATAAATTACTGTCATGAATATTAAGCAACAAGAATATAATAAACATGACTGTTTGCATGATTCTGATTTATTGGTACTGATATGCTTATAAATTATGACACTAAGTGTTTATTCTAGTTGTTTCAGAATATGGGCCAAACAAAGCTGGGTGGACACTTCCTGCAGACCTGACCATCTGCCACCAAATTCCTACTTCATCGCTCTTGTCATTGCGTTTCTTATGTCAGTGGCATCAGGGCCATGTATGAACAACCATTCCCTTTTAGTTCACTTTGCAGACTGAAGTAGGTTGCCTTTCCAGGACCTGGTGTGACAACCATCATCATGAAGTTTGTGATGTCTTGCAGTGGAACAACTGCAGCTGCAAAGCATCCTGAAGGCTGTTCCAACTTACGCTGTTAAACAGTACTCACTTTTGACATAAGAGGGTCCATTACTGTATTTATGAACCTCTTGGCACCAGATTGGGGATTTCCCAATGCGAAGCAGCACTGCATTTTGCATACTTGCTTAGCGGTGGGGGCTCCATAAAACTGGTGCTGAGAAGTTAAAGACCTAAAAACAAACAAACAACAACAAAAAAAAAACAAACTGTGTATTCATATAGAGTATTTCAACTGCCATAAGATAACTACACAAATAGCACTGTTGTTCTTTCTAATATCCACAAGTAAAAGTTATTAAGATTTGCTATCGGTTTTTACATTATTTGGAACCAGATATTTGTTCAACAGATGGCTAGAATAAGGTATCACATGAGAAAATAGCATTCTCCTGCTTCAGGTTTTTAGCTTTCATGTTACATCTCATCAAAAGTTACTTCAGGAGATTAATTATTTTAAAATTTTCTTTTCTCTAATGTTGGTGGAAACCTGCAAGGAAGACAGCCAGTAAATTTACAGTAAGCTTAATGAAAGATGCAATTTTCACACAGTAAAGTATGCTATAAGGGTATAAGTTGGTGCTGCCTGTAAAGAACTATTTATGATATAAACTTAGCTGTAGATGAAATGCCAAAGTTCATGATGAGACAAGGCCTGTTACTGCTTTGAATCAGAACTCTTAGAAAATTTGTAGAAGGACTTTTGGCTATATTTAGCAAAAGCCTTTAAAATGTGCATGCATTGTACTGACAGTTATATATCTAGAAATTTACCTTAGGACATTTTCAGAGATATGCACCAGGATGTATACAAACTTGCCCCTCAAAACGTTACTTATAATACTGAAAAATGTAGAAGTATGTGTACAAACTTAAGGAAGGTTAGATAATGGCCCATTTATATTATGAAATACTAAGCAATTGGTAAATTGTGATATAGAAAGCATTATTTCACAAGGTAAAACACCAGTAAATATTAAGAGAATATAAGTATGATATGGCATGTATAGTATAAGCCTATTGTAAAATATGTTTGTAAATATTTATATGTAGAGAAAAGAATGAAAGGATTTACTTCAAAATATTAGCAGGGAATGATTATACAGGTTTTTTTCTCTTTTTTGTTTTCCTGTGTTCTGCAAGTTTCTGCACTAAGTATATTTGTAGTGATTTTTTTTTATGTATAAGAAGAGGGTGAGTAGATAATGTTGGGGGGGATTTCAGAATCAGTTGTTTGAAGGCTTCTCAAACCTGGCTTTTTGATCCAACTCACCTTTGTGGAAACAGATTCCTGGACCCACCCAGGTAGATGTTGATTCATTATGCCTAGGGTAAGTTTCCAAAATGTTTTCTAAAAAAAATCATGAGGAAACCCTCAGGTGATCCTGGCGGCAGTCACATTTGGGAACCATTGATTTTGGTTCTTTTTCCTTGGTGAAGCCAAATAAGAGGAGAGCAGCTCTTCCTACTCGTAGTATGTTGACATCACAGCACCTTGTCCAAGCCATGCTATATGCTCCTCAAGGAGAGTACTGAAGAAGTAAGAGGTACATTCCCTGAACTAGAGAAGAACATGTGAGCACATGTGATCTAGCAGCACAATGAATGATGAAGACAATAAATGTTCTACAGAAGGGAGAGACAAAAATGCAGTGTTTGGGAGGCCTTCATGAAGGAGGCATTAAGAGTATATGGAGTTTGGAGAGCCAGCCAGGGAATGTTGGCTCCAGCCAAGCACTGACTCCAGCCCTGAGACCAGGCTGCTGTTTTGTGGAAAGTGAGGAATTGGGGTTGAAGGCAGCAATGATTTTGGAGACAGCAGTAGGAAACAAAGGAGAGCAGATACAGTTAATCCAGTATTGTGAATCCCTGAAAGCAAAGCAGTAATTTCTTATCCTCCTGCCTATCACAGAACTTTCCACAGAAAAGGGACTCAGTAAATTCTTGGTCAATAAATTAACTAATTAATTGCGGAGAATTCAATACTGCAGATGGGTTAAATTTTATGCTGCAGGCAGGGAAACTCCATTAAAGATTTTTGAGAAAGGTAGTGGAAAGCAGAAACCCATGTTTTAGAGAAGATAATGTGGTGGTAATTGTCAGGATATGTTTAAGAGGGGAAGGGAAGCAGGAAACCCCATTGTGATTTGGCACTACATTTGGCTATCGCCCAAATATAACCTTGGGCAAGTGACCTGAGTCCTCTGGGACCCATGCATGGATATGCCTCAAGAGGCTCATGTGCCACTCCCCAGAAGATTGGCCAAATTTATGTACATGTGAATCTGTGTATTTTCTGGAGCAAGATTCCTAGATGTGTGACACCTCCCCTCCACCCACCCCCCCCCACCAAAAAAAAGTTATAGAGTGTTACTGAAAGTATACTTTAAAGACTGGTAGCATCAGAATCACCTCGGATCATGTTAGACTGTAAATTTGAGGTCCCCACTCCAGACCTCCTTTATGATAACCAGTGAATATAGAGTCTAGGAATCTCTTTTTACAAGCTCTCCAGGTTATTAATATGCAGGCAAAAGTTTAAGAAGCATCTAGTAGCTTGGTTACATCTAAGGTGTTCACCAACTTAAAAATATTTCACTATTTTGCAAAAGAATAAAAGGAAGAAATGAAGGAAAAGAAGAAACTTTATGTAAAAGATTACAAAAAAGAAAAGTTGCAATGATTTAATGACATCTCGGTTAAACGGTCTTGGAAGAAATAGATGGGTTAGGGTTTGAAGCTAGATAACCAAGAGGATAGAAATGTACTTGACAGAAATTGAGAAGCTGTGTTGATGAGTTGTTTTGCACACAGTAGAAAACTGAGTCAAACACAAATTATCAGTCAGATGATTATTCTTACTGGCATTGCTCCTACAGACAGAATCCGGACAGTTGTAGGGGCAAAAAAGTACAATACATTTTCCTTACCCATTTTGAGGGCCATGGCTGACACCTCTATAACAAAAGAAAGATTAGTAAGGGGAAAGCATAACAGATTTATTTAATCAAAAGTGTGACACAGGAACTTTCAGAAATGAAGATCCGAAGACCTAGGGAAAACTGTGCATTTTTATGTTAAGGTTTGATAGAGAACGAACAGCCATGTAGAAATGTGGTTGGACAAAAGTATGATCTAATGGTAATAGACTGGGGGTAGGGAGTGGAACTCAGCAAGGCCTGTTTGCTAGATTCTTTTCTGTGTCTCTGTATGACATTCCTTCCTCTGGGTACAGGGCAGGACACCCATCACATCAGGGTCTTCAGGGGAGAAGACAGAAAGTTAGAGAGTGACATTTCTAGGTTTTATGGCTTGCTTTGAGGAAGAGTTCTAGTTTATATGATCAGCTTCCGGGGAGAAATGAGAGGAGAAAGGAGTGCAGGCAAAGATCAGAGAGAACTTCCTGCTTCTGAGGCCCTTCTAATCTTCTTCAGTTCAAAGCACTCAGCATGCCAAAGGACCATACTTGGAGGTATCATGTTCTGAGCCCCAACACAGGTCAGTGTACCTTTGTAAGGAATTTGTTCAAGATTACCCAACTGAATTTTTACAGTGACTGGAACGTTGAATAGCCAGTCAGAAGTTGACAGTGATCAGAACGCAAGTTCGGCCAGATCAATGATACCAAGATATAAGTTGCTGCGTGCAAAAAAAATCAAGCCTAAAACTTGGATTCTCACGTGAAAAATATAAATGTGTATGCATGTTAAGCCATTTTAGTTCTAGTCCTCATTTTAAATGTCTCGATGGTTCTTGATAAATTATATTCACTTTATAGCACATACTTTTATCTGAGTATGTCAATAACAACTCAGACCCCTTCTATCTGCTATCCAAATATAGAACAGAAAGTATAGAAAACTGTATGTTGGGGGACACCCACTGCCATATAATTGCGACACCACTTCGTACAGTGAGCATGTTTGGAGTAAAAGTAATATGATTGGATGAAGATGTATGATGCAAAATTCCTATTACATAGGTTTGAGATTGTTTTACATCTTTAAACAGAGCATTAAGAAATAATCAAAAATGGTTAATTGAACAGGCAAAAATGAACTTTGGCTAATTTTGGCATAAGCTCTCCAGCTCTACAAGCCAAAAGATATCTTTAAAGTAAAATCTTTAAAGTAAATGAAACCAACTCCCTTGATTCAAGAAAGAGAAAAGATCTGCAGATTGAAAAGAACTTTTAACTCTAAGTCTACACTGTCATTAAGTGTACTTAGATTTGTACCATATAATTATTATGATTGTAGCAATTAATCAACTGATTAACATGTAGGGTCAGCAGGATCCAGTGATCTTATCTTGAAGCTTGAATTAATTAATTATACTTTCTTCAACATTATTATTTTCTATTTGCATACCCAGTTTGTACAAGTTGCCCCTTATTGACAAAATGTGGTTTAGTCTCTGTACTTATCACAGCAGGTATGAGCACTCACTGAAGTACTTTTGCTCATATAAAGTCAGAATTATAAGGAAACTGAAATGTCGTCAATACTTTCTGAAATAATTGTCTTTTATTTTTCATTATCAAATATATAAATTATACAAATTAATTAGATTCTTTTGAATGGTAGGGAACATAAGATCAAATAACTCTTGTCTGAGTAAGTCAAATTCCGCGATACTATTGAAGCATCACGTGGTGGCTGTATTATTCAGGAAATTCAGCTTATATTGCAAGAAATGCCCCAACCTGCACCTTGCAAACACAAGCTTTTTTAAAAAATATTTTTTAAATATTTTCAAATACATAATCTCTCTTGCAGAATCTCTTTGGCCAAGTTTTTGCAAAATGTTCAAGATGGCATTATTCCCATTCGTTAGATGAGGAAACTGAAGCAAAACACATGAAGTGGTTTGTCCAGAGCCTCCCAGATAGCTATTCTGGCAGTAATGGAATTGAAAAGCTCTTTCACCAAATATGTACTGAAGGATTTCTTCAGCACGCACTAATGTTGAAAGTAGAAACAGTAAGATGAGCAGGGCATGGTGTTGCACTCAGGAAATTCACAGTCCAGCAGGGGAAACAGACATGTGATGAGATATTTACAAGTGCAGCACCATAATAAATGTATGAAGGGCTGTGAGAGCAGAAGGGTAAGAATGTCAGTGCATTCTTCTATTCTGTTGCTCATGGTGTTTCAGAATGACACTCTTGATGGAGTTGTTTCATATGAAAGAAGAAGGTGGAATGCAAAAGAAAAAAAAAGATTGTGATATGAGACCTGTTGCATATGCTAAAGCAGCTTTTTTCTTTTTCCTAGAAGCCACTTATTAGCAGGGCCTGTCTCAGTTGGAGGCTCTGCCTTTTTTGCTTACAGACTGTCTGACGCCTTTATAAAGTGGGCCACTGCATTGTTGATTACTATACACCAGGGTGGTCTGTGAGCCACTGTTTTCTGCCATCCCACAGTGAGACAGCATCTTCTGACGTTCTGGTCTCGTATGTCCTTAGAGAACGGTTTGTGTTTCCCAAGAAGCTTAAGTCTGGATGATTTACATGTAACATTTTAAACTCCAGTTGTGTAATGCCTTGACTGGGATTTATATATGCTGAAAACAGTTTTTCAGTTCTGTATATGACAGTTAGTATGTATTGTATTGTCTACCCTCATTTATCTATGAGACCAGAGATGTGACCCACAGTAATGAGGATCTAAAAAGTGTGTCCTCTACTGCAAAATAACATCATGCAGTAGATGCTCTGACCACATACTATAATCTCATAATCAAATGATTAAGTGCTTGTCAATCCAAATAAGACGTGTTTAATTTTGACAAAAAGAAAAGAAAACCGAGAGTAGCAATTGGGTTAAGACATGAAATGGTCAGTTTCTTTCTGCCTGTGTTGAGTTTCTTTTCACCCACATACTCTTTTGCTTTTTTCCAAGAGAAATGGCACATTTTCTGGATGTGAGAGTTGGTCAAAAGATCACAAAAAAAGTCAAAAAATAATTCTACTCTGTGAATGAAAAATGGATATTTGTACTTACCCTCATAAGCATTAAAAGAAAATAATGCATGAAATTCCATAGAAATGTGCCTATCATGTTATACTGACTCAAACCAGAAGACCTAGAGTATGATATTGCTAATATAATACATGTGGTGGGTATGAGTGGAAGTATGTGTGTGAGATTTATCATTGCCATAGTGTAAAAGAGTTGAATTAGCTTCCACTTGACTAGATGAGAGCTCTTAGTTCTTATTTTGAAAGCAATCAATTGAGCATGGTTAATTAGGATATCACCAAGTAGTTAAAAAAAAAAAAAAAAAGAACATAAAAAAAGCAAGGCACTTATTAGAAAGTATACTTTGAATCTGCTCACATTACAGTGCTGATCGAAGGATTATGGAAAGAATACACCAAAGCAGGAGTTGTTAGGTGCTTTCTACATGAACACATTTTTCTTCAATTTCAACAAATTATTATAGTTATTTTATGTGGTACTGCAAGGCTGCCTTTATGTGAATCATTGAGTTACAAACAAAGAATACATTTCAGTCATCCAAGCAGTAATTGTAAGAGGACAAGCCAAAAAGATCTCATTTGGGGAAAAAATTAATCTTTAATTCTGTACTTATTCTGTCCGTCAGAGCTCTTTTATCTCAATTTACAAACATACGTCGCTTTATATAATGTTAAATTACAATGAAAATTCAAAATAACTAGCAACGTTAACTAGCTATCCAAGATTTATATGGTATCATTGAAGGTATGCCTTTCACTTAAAATGTCCCAGTGTGAGAAATAAATTAACTTTTCTCATTAATATGGAAAATAAGAATGGTTTTCATATTTTCACAGACATGCCCTCTTCATTATATTTTGATGGGTATAAGACTCATTTCAAAGTAGGTCCAGAAATCTAGCAGCCCAAGAGGGCTGAGTATTAATCCTCGGAATATTAGTCCACTCAGAGGATTGATACTGCAGCACCCAGCTTGTTCCCTACATCTACTAATAAACTCAATGGGAGTCCTCTTAACCCTGGGCAAGGTTGAACACTTGCATGATTTGAGGTTTTCAAACAAAAGTACAAAAACAAAATGCACATTCTGCCCTAATGCTTAGCTGGTTTCTTGTTACTCGAGTTCTATAATTTAAACTTTAGCCTTCTTGTATGCATTAATTTATGAGTTACTGTGCGGCCACCACTGAATGCAGCAAGTATCCTGCTATTTGTGTGCTTGAATGCAGAAACATACAAATGTTAAAATTTTACATGCATGCCCTAATTGTTCAAGTAACAGTATTAGGCAGATCTAAGTGCTAGTAGCCTACAGGGTAATTCAGATTTGAACATATATTATTTTTCCCTGCAGAAGATTGTTTTTATGTCAAGAATAAGAGCCATTTGTTCCTCTTCTCATTCGTGAACTCAAGAGAATAAACTTGGATCTACATGTTGAAGCTGGACATGTCAAGTCCTTGACTGTTCATGTCTACTAAATCCTTGGGCTATTTTGGGTTTTTCCTTCCCTCCCCACACCTCCTCCTCACGCTTTGTTATAAAACTACTTCAATTTACCTGAAAATAAGTGTGAATCCAGGTAAAAACCTAAATAATCAGAAATAATGGCTTTAAATTTCTAAATGAAAAGAGTTACCTTGTATCCAGTATGGTAGCAGAGGTTTTCACCACGCCCTGTAGTCACAAATAAAATGTCCTATGATTTTCATATAATCACAGTTTTTCCAAAGAAAATCCTTTGCTCATAAAGATGCAGTGTTAGGTGCACATTTCTCCATCTTCATCTATCTTTTTGCCATTCTGGGAGTGAACAGTAAGGTAGTCTTTGCAGTTCAACTATATAAAAGAGGGTCGTATCTCTATGAATATAACAAGACATAGTGCAAACCACACTTTTAGTCTCAGACCTAGTAATTTATAAGCAAGTCAAAAGATTTCTCTGACTTCATTTCATAACCCCTAGTCAATGTACGTGAGTCTTAGCATAGTCAGGGTCATAGAGAGCAAGGTATTTCCTAAAAATTCCTATATTTATCAAATACTGTAAAAAAGCAAAACCTCTCTCTAGCAACAAGCTTAATTTTCTTCTATCATTCATCATCATCATCATCATCAGTGTAACCAGTTGCATAACCAGCATGTGGTTCTATATTTCGATGTTTGCTGAAGAAGCAAGACACTGAAAGTCAGATCTGTTGTTCATTTCAAAACAGTCCTCAAATTCTCCTTTGGACAAGGAAAGAAAACTTTGGAGAAACTGACATCTCAGTCCCTGGTTAGGAAGTAAATATGGAAGTGCAAAATGGCATTTTTAAACAAAACTGCTTTCCTGACCGTAACTGAATTTTCACATTGTCAGCACTTCCATTATAAACATTTTTTTTAGTTGGGAGTTTATAACGCAAATGTAAAGATTTGCTATGGGCTAAATCTCAACCCAAGAGCAAATGTTTATACCAATTTTGAAAACAATCAGCTTGCCCATTTGTAGTTATGCATGTGTTCATCATCTGTTATTGCTTGTCCAATGCTCTCCAACTTCTGGGAGAAAAAGCAGACATCTGGAGAGAAGAAACAATGTTTGCTCTCCAGCAGATGTAGTCTGTTTTCCACAATCATTGAATAAGGAAGGTATCGAACAAATGTGTGCCCTTTAATACAAGGAAATGAAAATGACAAGATTCTGCCTGCATGCCAATACTGTGGAAATGCTAATTGGACAGTCTATGAATTGGCCACTTTGAACAACTAGAACTCAGAGCTCCACCCATTTTACAGGTGGAAGGAACTAGTATCTAATATGAATGACAACAGTGAAATACTTTCACCTATAAAGTACATTACACTTTAGGGATTGCCAGAGTAAGTGAAGAATAACCATTTCACTAAAAACTATTTTTACCACAAATATTTAACATTTTCCAAAATTTTATAAATTGTTTCTTGTCTTCCAGTTTCATGTTGTTGGAGGTTTTTTTTCTTCTTTTAAATTCCGTCAGTAAACTAAGTAGTCAATTTTTTCCCTGGGGAAAAAAATGATAACTCTAAAAAATGTTATCTAGCTATGGATCCTGATGGGCTGAGAGATAGATGCTGGGACTATGCAGATTTGTTTTCTCCAAAATGATATAACATTTCAGTTTTCTTTGGTGAAGTGTCTATTTTTATTACCTACCTGAGGTGGCACTATCATTATTCAAACAGCAAGAATGGTTTACCAAGAAAAGAGTGGGTTGGGAAGTGATTTAAATTCTCCTGCTTCAGGCCCTAATGAGTTCCACCACATCAAACAAGTCACGTGTCCGCTCAGATCTGTAGTTTGCTTCTTTAAAATGGGATTATTGAATTAACTAACCTGTAATCATCTTTTCTGGTTCTAAAATGTGATGGTTTTATGGTGCTATACCTTACAGTACCTTCCTCGGATGTTTGCAGTTCTTCAGTGAACCAAGTCTTTCATCTGATTTTCCCATAGTATTGGGTACTGCACCCACTAAGTATTCTCAAGGTTAGGAGCAGAGCCAAATGAAGGAGACAGGAAAGCACCTTTGCCTTGTTTTGAGGAAGGTAAAATTGAAGGTTTTTACACATGGCAAATCCTGATTGTCAATACAATTCATTTGGTATTGCTGGGGTTTCTGTGGTACGTACTGAAGATGAAATTAAATTCTTGGTTTAATTTGTTGTATCTATATGGTGGCAGTTAACATACCTCGCTATTTGGTATATAATGTTATTTTATTACCAAAATCCTTACAGTAAAATATGATCTTAAAATTAACTCTAGAGTGTGATTACATAGCACTCGTCTCATGTTTCATTTTCACCCAAATCAGCACCATAGGTTGTGCATTTTTGCTGTGCTAAAGTTACATTCCCATGTTGTTCTAGAGGACTCCTGCAGGAAACTCCTGTATCTCTATGCACTAAGTACATTGTTCATACATAAGACTGTCAATTACTTATATCTTGTGATCAGCAGAAAAAGTCCACTGCAGTGAATTCACTGAAATACAGGTTTCCTAGTCTTACCCAGAATAAAAATCAGGGAGCATTTAAATTTGTTTGCTATTGTTATGTGTTCATTTTCAATAAAAGCTATAGTAATACAAAGGTAAAATTGTTCTGTATTGAAGTGATTCATACAGATTTTTTCATCAAAATTATGAGCACAACTTTCACCCCTAAATGTTTCCCCACGCCCTTTCATAATTTCCTTCCTCCACTCCCTGGTCCCTGCCCCAGAGCAAATAATTTGCTTTTTTATCTGGTTTATTTTATGTAGAACAATTTATTTTAAATTTCATTAATGCTGTTGTTGTGTATCAAGTGATTTTATTGCTAAGTAGCATTCCACTGTATGGATACAACAAAATTTGCTTATGATTTTATTTACTTGTTGATAGACATTTGGAGTGGTCAGTTTGGGCTTATTACAAATAAAGCTGCAATGAATACTTGTGTATAAGCCTTTATATGAACATACGCTTTCATTTCTCTTGCATAAATACCTAGGAGTGGAATGACTGGGTCATATGGTAGATGTATATTTAACTTTAACTGCCAAACTGTATTGCAGAGTAACTATATCATTTTTCATTCCTACCAGCAGTATAGGAGATATGCATTTCCTCCACATCCTCATTAACACTCAGGATGGTCAGTTAATTGTAGCCATTTAAGTAGGTTTGTACAGGTATTACATTGTGGTTTGTATTTCCATTTCCCTAATGGTCAGTAATATTGGGCATCTTTTCATGCTTATTTGCCATCTTCATGTTTTCTTTGGTGAAGTGTCTATTAAAATATTTTGCCCAGTTTTATTAGGATTTTACGTTTTCTGATTATAGAGTTTTGAGAGTTATTTTTGTCTTCTGGATACAGTGGAAATACCATCCTTTCTCTTTTTTGTCATCTCTGCATTTTTATCAGATGTCTGTTGTCCATGTAAGTAGAGGTTTATTTTGAGACTGTCCACTTTGGGTCATTGATCTATACATCTAACTCAATGCCAGAACCACACTTCTTTATTAGTGTAATTTTGATATAAGTTTGAGAGTCAGATAGTTCTCTACTTTTTTCTTATTCAAACTTGTTTTTGCTACTCTAGGTCAAGGGTCAGCAATTATATTTTTCCTGTGGAGGGACAGAGAGTTGATATTTCAGGGCTTGTAGGCCATATGGTTTCTTTTGTAAGTACTCAGTTCTACACTTGCAGTGCAAAAAACAGCCATAGGCAATATGATATGACTGTGTGGCTGTAAAGCTTTATTTACAAAAGAAGGCAACAAGCTGGAAGTATACCGCAGGTCATAGTTTGCTGGCATTTGTGCTAAGTCCTTTGCATTTCCACATTAACTTTAGAATCATCTTGCTAACTTATATATATTTTTAAAAGCTTGCCAAAATTTTAATTGGCTTTCCATTAAACCTGTAGATTAATTTGGGAGGAATTGACATTTTCACAATATAGGGTTTTCCAACCAATGAACAAGTTATATCTCATTATTTAATGAGGTCTTCTTTAATTTTTCACAACAGTGTTTTACAATTTTACACATACCTTTGGTCATATTTATCCCCGAGTATTTCATATTCTTAATTCTATTGTAAATTGTATCCTTATTTCATTTCCTGCTTGTTTGATGCTACTATACAGAATTGTAACTGGTTTTGTATTTTGTTTTGTACTCTGCAACATTGCAATACTCAATTACTGGTTCTGATAGTTTTTTGGGAGAGCATCAGATGTTCTACATAGAAGATTATGTGATCCTTGGATTAAGACAATAATATTTTTTGGCTTTCTAGCTGGATACATTTTTTTTCCTGCCTTATTGCATTGGCTAAATCTCTAGTACCATGTTAAGTAGAAATGATGAGAGTGGACATTTCTGTCCTGTTCTCTTCTTTAGATGGAAAGCATTCAATCTTTCATTATTAAATATGATGCTAGTTTTAGGTTTTTCCTTCCCATCTGTCCTGAGTATGCTAAGAGTTTTTAATCACAAATAGATGCTGGATTTTCTCAGAAGTTTTTCTGCATCTACTGAGATGAACATAAGGTTTCTCTTTTCTAGTCTGTTAATACAACAACTACATTGATAGATTTTTAAAATGCTAAATCAAAACTACATTCCCAGTACAAACCCACTTGGTCATGATATATTCATTTTTGAGTTTCATTAAAATTTTCTTTAGAATTTTCATATCTATATTTATAAAGCATATTAATCTGAATGATTTTTTTCCACCTTATATCTTTGTATGGTTTTGGTACCAGGACAATGCTGGCCCTAATTGAATGAGCTACGAAGTACTCCATCCTCTTCAATTTTGTGAAAAAATTTTAACTAGAAATTCAATTTCTCTAATAGACACAGGAACATTCCTAATTTCAAGGAATTTCTCCATTTCATCTATTTTGCTAAATATATTGGCATAAATTTGTTCATAATATTTTCTTATCATTCTTTTATTGTCTATGGAATAGTGATGTCATCTCCCTCATTCCTGACTTTAGCCTCAAAGGGAAGGAGAATACAAATATTTAAGGAACTGATTAAAACTTAAGAAACATGAAATAAAAGAGATGAGAAATAAGTCTTCCTGAAGGAATACTACCTGCCCCCCATACTGGGTCGGCATTCCTTATCGCACTTTTCTTAATTGTGTTTGTATAGTCTGGGATGACTAGCCATTTAATTCCTGTTTTGTTTCCATAGTGCCAGAACAGGGCACAGTACCTGGCATATAATAGGTGCCAAAAGTTATTCTTCTACTGTGTTACTGTGTTATGAATGAATTAGTGTAGTCACTTCCCAGATTCTGGAAGTTTTTCTACTATTAAGTTTTTATCCTGAAGGCAATTAAAATCCACTGAGGATTTTAAACAAGTACATGACATGATTAGATTTGAAATATTACGTGTATATTTAGAGAATGCAAGGGGGTAGACAAAAAAAGACTGGGGCTAGGGAGTCAGTGAAGAAGCTATTGGTTATTTAAGCAATATTCAGGGAGTAGAAATTTTAGAATGGGTTGGCCAATGACCATCAACAGTAGAGAATAGGGGTATTAGATCTAGGGATTGAGAGAAAAATACAGAACAGATTCTCAGAATTATGATTTGGAAGATTTGTTGGAGTGTGGTGCCATTAAGTAAATTTTAAAATAATGGTATAATAGAATGCTTTATATTTCAAAATGACAGGTGCCCAGTTTGCTACCTATATAAATTGGCTCTTTGATGATTTCATCCCTGCAATCATCCTCAGTGAGGTCACTATAACTTACTCAAAAAGGAGTTGAGAAAAGCATAATATACTTAGGTTTGTGATAATGTTTCATTATCAGGTATAGCACTGATTCAGCCAAATCACTACAATTGATTTATGTAAGTGAATTTTGCAAAAAGTGAAAAAGCCCTTTAAATATGAAATCTTTTGGTATTAATTTTTGTATAGAAATTGTGCTAAAATGCATCACATACTTCCCTAAAGTATTTTCAGATTTTGCCAGTCATTCTGAGAATAGATACAAGCATCCTCATTTATCCAATTAATAAATTGAGACTCAAAAAGGTTGACTGACATTTCTAGTGTCACCGTTTTGAACTGTCAGTCTGAAACCCAAGGGTTTTTATTCTAAATCTGGCTTCTTTCCCCCTTGCTAAACTACCTCTATGTATATTGTGATATTATCCAGTAATGTTCTCTTGAATATATGGAAATTAATTATAAAGACAAAAGAACAACCAAAAGTTAAAATATGACCTGAGAGGCTGAGGAGGCAAGAGGATTGCTTGGGACCAGGAGTTTAAGATTAGCCTAGGCAACAAAGCAAGACCCGTTTCTAAAATATAAAACAGAATTGGCTGGGTGTGGTGGCACACATCTGTATTCCCAGCTACTCCAGAGGCTGAGGTGGGAGGACTCCTTGAGCCCAGGAGTTTGAGACCAGCCTGGGCGATATAGCAAGACTCTCCATCAAAAAATGTTAAAATACGAATTCTGATAAACTCATGGCAAAGGTAATAACTTATTTCCCTGGGGCAGCATTTTTTCCCATAAGTTATTGGGGTACAGGTGGTATTTGGTTACATGAGTAAGTTTAGTGGTTTTTGGTGCACCCATCTCCCGAGCAGTATACACTGCACCATATTTGTAGTCTTCTATCCCTCGACCCCCTCCCACTCTTCCCCCCAAGTCCCCAAAGTCCATTGCATCATTCTTAAGGGCAGCATTTTTCAATGAGGAAGTAAAACATGGTGTTATGGAGAGAATATGAGCCTTAAAGTCAGGTAAACTTGGGTTTGAATTTGGGCCCTGCTACATACTGCCAGACACAGTGTGGTAATCAACAGGATTTCAACACATCAATTTTCTCATCTTTAGAATGAATCTGTTATCTAACTGATAGGATTGTTTTAAGTATTAATATCTTTTGATGCATAATTTCTAGCATGAAGCCTGGCACTGTTAAATGTTAGTTTTCCTTTCTTCCCCATAGTAGAGTTGATTTTAGGAGCAAGGATTTTAGCTTTTGTATATTACAGCCTTACTAAACTAGGTAACTGCCTGGTGGTATGAAGGACTTTACTAACCTTGGTAAAAATAAAAAATTACCATGCAGTTTGGAAGAACTAAGTACATAGACCAAAAACAAGAATCAGTGTTTTCCTGCTTCTACAAATCCACAGTTTGACTCTTGGCAGTCAGCCTCACCAAGGTTGCCCCACCTTAACAAGTGATGCCAAAAAAAAAAAGTTCCAAAAGGAGAACAAGACAACTCAGCATTCGGTACGTCCATTTTCCAGATTTATGTCAACAACTAGAGAATATCATTTGGTTTTCTTCTAGGATCAAAAAGCCATTAGCTTCTATGCAGTATGTGGTTTTTCACTCACTGCAGATCTTGTTTAAGCACATTCTCACTCTGAACTGATTAAGTGCTGCTTGATTTCTGGATGGCAGTTGCTTATAAGTTATAATATTTCTTAGTTATAATAGTTTCTTAGTTATTGTGCAGAATCCACAATGATGCTTACCTTGCATACAAGATGATGTTTTTATCTGCAGAAGTCATCTTTGACCACACTACCCACAGATCTAGAGTAAAAAGACACCACAAATGGCTGAAAGTGTCAACATAAATAACTATCAATAAATGTTAAGGAATGTGGCAAAGCATTTGGCTTCTTGTGTCTTCCCAACCTATCAGAGCTAACTATGGCTATTATTGTCAAAAGTGATGCTCCCGGTTTAGTTATATACAGTATTTATAAAGTGCCCATCACCATGGTATCTAAACACTTGGGCAGTCTAATTAGGCTAGTCAATTACTTGTGCAAAAGTAGAAGAGGTACCCTTCCTTATATCCCACTCCACTGGAACCAATTTGATTGTGTTTTTAAAAGCAAGAAAAGCCTTCTGTGAGAATAGCTTTTTAGGCCCCTTGTTCCAAGATGAAAAGACTGTCTGGGTAAAGAAATGACTGTTTCTTATTCCTTGAAGGTGATAATGTTCTGAATCAAGCAACTCTCCAGTGGTAGAAAACACCACAGCCCAGAGATCTTGATTGAGAACATTTTATTCCCTTTTCTTTTGAACTTCACTCTGGGGGCAGGTAACGGAAAAGTGCTTTCTAAAAGCAGTTCACCTGCATGTGAATTATTTCCAAAGCCTTCCTTGGTGAGAAAACTGTGTTCTCTCCTGGCCTCCTGAGTCAGAGAAAGAGTACTCCTCCTCTTCAGGACATTTAACTGGGTCAGACCTAAAGCAGAACTTGGTCACAAAGACCTCCCTTCTGACTTCTATTTTGGACAGACATGGACAAGGTTTCTAAGACAAAGTTTCTGGTGTGTGTGTGTGTGTGTGTGTGTGTGTGTGTGTGTGTGTAGGAGTGAGGACATGTTATCCATTAGTAAAATCACTAATAAACATTTTTAGAATTTATTGTTGATCAAATACTTTAAAAAAGCTATTTGTGGCCGAGCGTGGTGGCTCACGCCTGTAATCCCAGCACTTTGGGAGGCTGAGGTGGGCAGATCGTGAGGTCAGGAGATCGAGACCATCCTGGCTAACACGGTGAAACCCCCTCTCTACTAAAAATCCAAAAAAATTAGCCGGGCGTTGCGGCTGGCGCTTGTAGTCCCAGCTACTCCGGAGGCTGAGGCAGGAGAATAGCGTGAACCCTGGAGGCGGAGCTTGCAGTGAGCCGAGATCGCGCCACTGCACTCCAGCCTGGGCAACAGAGTGAGGCTCCGCATCTTAAAAACAAAACAAAACAAAAACTGTTTCTGTACAAATGAAATACTATGTTTATGTGTTTCTGAGGCAAACTGAATACCACGCTTATTCAGAAAAATAGTATGTCGCTGATGTACACTTCAGGCTAAAGAACAGTTGTCTTTTTGTACTAGCAAGATTTCTTCCTGGAATTTATTATGAATTCAATTTGATATGAATCTAATTTACATGATATCTTATTTCATAATGTTTTTCATAGCTATGCAAAAATCAAGTCAACATGGCCTGTAATGTTTCAAAGTATAATTTAAAAGTTCAGAGAACTAGCATTTTACCTTGAAAATGAGTAAACTATTGTTTTGTTCTCTAGTCATTCCACCTATGTCTATCATATCGCTTATTGCTTAATTCAGATTTTAAACAGTCTTATTTTCCTGTCATTTCTTCATGTCACAGTCTCTCCCCTCCTGATTTGATTTGTTGATTTGTCATTGATTTGTTCCTATTGTGGCCTTGGGACATAATTTCGAGACTTTGTTCAGTTCAAATTATTTCAGTACCTCAGTCCTTCTGATTCTGTTCCTTCAGTTTGGTGTTCCTGTTTTGTATTCATTCCCTGTCATAACAGTTCTCTCCTATCTTTCAATATACATTTTTTGAAAACATCCCTATGCGGCCACATCAGTTCCTTCAGTAACTACTTTTCTTTCTCATCAGAATCATTTGAAATTGTAATTCCCAGAATTTCATCTTTTAGAGCACTGGATTCCTCTTGAGCCATCTTCCTGTACAGAAATTCTTACCAAGGGATCTTAATTTGTTCTCTGGCCATTAAAATGATGGTTGCAATTATTGAACATCTACTTCATGACAGGAATTTTATGTGCATTATCTTGTTTACTCTCTACCACTCTCTTATAAGCTAGGTTTATCTTCATCGTACCAATGTGAAGACTAGAGTTCATAGAAGACATGTATAGGCAGTAATGGACAGAGCAGGGTAGAACTTCGGGTGTATTTGTATCAAAAGCCTATACTCTTAACCATTATGTTCATATCTTGTATCTCAGAATTAAACTTTCCTAATTATTTTCTCCTGTAAACTACTGAGAGACTTCCAATTATTCTTATGTTGGTATCAAGTACTGTGTCAGTTGGATAGGGTTTAGCTGTAATTGACAGAAAATCAACTCAAAAGGGTTTAAGGAAAGAGGCAATTTTTTGGCTCATGGAACTAGATATCCAGAGGTAGGGTAAATTACAGGGTTTGTTCATATGGGGATTCAAAGATGGAGATCACAGACTCAGGCCCATTTTTTTTTCTGCTCTGCCACCTGTAGAGCTGGCTTCATCCTAATGCTGATTGCAGCATTGTGGAGAATGCTCACCAGTAGCAACACAAACCATGTCCTTCCTCTGTCACTTCTGGTAAGAGATAGAGGAGGGCATTTTTCAGGAATCTCAAACAAACACTTCCTTTCACTTAATTGATTTGACTTCTATCACGTGCCCATTTCTTAATATAGCTAGGAAATTTCCATTTGAGTTAATCACAGCTTAATCTCGAATCAGGGACTGAGTTCGGCTAATGATGAGTCCTATAATAGATCACTGAACAATACCAGAATTCTCTTTAGAAAGAGAAGGAGAAGAATAGATGTAGGATAGACAGTCAACAGTATCTCCTGCCCAACTCACTGACTACCTATCAAGCACATGCACCCTTCTGTTCAACATTTACTTTCACAGCCCTCGTATCTACTTGAAACCACTCACTGCTCATGCAACCTCATACAGCTACTCTTCCATATATGTTCCAAATATAGCTGGCTTCAAAAATCAGAGGTGTGATGTGACTTTTCTATCTTAACAATAGCTATCCGCCACCAAAGCACTTAAAATTTGTAAGTAGGGAAAAAAGGGATAACAATAACTAAAATTTCTATTTGGTGGGGATCTAATATGCGGCATAGGGGGTGATGGACATGTTAATTACTTTACTTGTGGTAACTATTACACAGTGTATACATTTATCAAATTATCACATTGTGCAGCTTAAATATATTCATCTTTATTCATTAAATTTTTTTAAAAAAAATTCTATTTGGAAAAGTGAGGAGCTTATGGTAGTTTGTGTGATATTCTGACCAAGAAGAGTGTGTCTTTCATGCCCTGGCTGGGTAGTGATTTCCTGGGTCAGCCAGTCTGATAGCTCTTAGTTCTACTTTCTGAAAGATTCTTAGGTATCCATTGCTTTCCACAGTCACGGGTGAGAAAGGAGGACATTCTCTAGCAGTATCCCTTCCAAGCCACTACCGCCCTAGGGGCTAGTGGAGACATTAAGGAGTTGTCTGCCCTTCCTAGGCAGGCATGGGTTTATGTGGTAATACAGGCCCTTTTAAAAATTTAGAAGACTTCTGGTTTGTTTCTAGTCTATTTATCAGCTTTCATTAGTTCTAGAAGTCTTTTGTGGGAATTCTGGAAATACCCATGTCTTAGCAACTAGTTTCTGTGTTCTGCCCATTTCTCTGGCACTTGGTTTAGTCAATGCTTTTTATCTTGGAGTTTTTTTTTCCCCCAAGAGAATTTGAAGTAATAAGTGGGTGTTCATCTTAAGGAAACATGCTAGAAGTAGCCACCATGGGCCAACATCCTGAATTTTGAATTTTTCCTACCATTGTTCCTAATCTGTGGGTAGACACGTGGTCTGTGTTCCAAAATACAACAGATGTGAGTCTCAAATGTTTTGCTGCCATGTGACAAGAATAATTGCAAACTTCATAGACTAGGATGATGGGGTCCTTCATCCCTTCCATGCTAACTCTTCCACTCAAACTTACCTCTCTGTAAAACCTATTACTTAAAGTGTACCAATTTGATCTGTTTTTTTTAAATTGTATCAATACATTCCTCCTTCCTCCTCCACATTCTGTATAATTCTTCAACTGTTGAATGTCTTTCCTATTCTGTAATCCCAGAAATTTTAGGAGACAATGGGAATTCCAATTGCATTTGGGGAAAAGTTGTTTTTGCCGATACTGCTTTCAAGCAGATACCAACGTTCCATAGTTTTTGGCAGAATTTGGGAACCAACAAAGGGAAATGTACCCTAACAGATTAAAGCAGGGTTAGTGGTTTAACCTGTCTAAGAATCAAAGGGTTGGAAACAAGGAAGACTTTATTTTAAAATCGTAAGAATAAGAATGAACCCTAAAATGAACACTTTATGAATTATTAGGAGATCATTTCAGGAAATTACTCACTTAGCGACAGACCTGTGTAAAACTCAATGAACTGTACATGTGATGGATCTCCACTGGGGTCATCTTGATTTGAGTACCAGTATGATAAATTGAAAAGTAAGGGCTATGTGCTTAAAGAAAAGATTGGGCTTACCATACGTTTCCTTGAGATAAATCTTCTCCTAATTAATGACCTTTTACCTAGGAGTAGAAACAACAAAGAGAGTTTGTGATGGCCAGCAAATAACACAAGGCTGTGTCCTCATTGTATCTCATCCCACGTTCTATTAGTTTTCTATTGCTGTTGTAACAGATTACCACAAACTTAGCAACTTCTTACAGTTCTGTAGTTTAGAAGTCTGGCACTGGTCTCACTGGGTTAAAATCAGAGTGTTCTTAGAACTGTGTTTCTGTCTGAAGGCTCTAGGGAGAACCCATGTTCTTGCCTTTTCCAGTTTCTAGAGGCCTCCCACATTCCCTAAACTGGGAATAACCAGCTTCCTGCATCTTCAAAACCAGCAACGTTGCATCTCTCTGACATTCTTCCATTCTCATGTCTCTCACTGACCACAACAAGGATTTCTTTGCTTTTAAAGACCAATGTGATCAGATCAGGCCCACCCCAATAATCCAGGATAATCTCCTCACCTCAAAGTCCTTAACTTGATCACACTTGCAAAGTCCCCTTTGCCACGAAGATAGCATTTTCATAGGTTCCAGAGATTAGGATAGGGCCATCATCATTGAAGGTCTATTATTCTGCCTACCACGTTAAGTCGATATAACATTGCTTACATGATAAACACTTGAAATGTGACATTGTTTTTATATAGATTAATAAAACAAAGAATGTTCAATTAATGTCAATTATGAATAGAGGGAGAAGGAATAAATGAGAGAGACAAGGGTACAAAAAAAGTATGTCTTCTTAAGGAGTATGTGTTCTTATTAAGAAAATAAGATTTTAAATGATGACTCCTTGAAAATAAGTGCTCGGGAGGAGCCAAGATGGCCGAATAGGAACAGCTCCAGTCTACAGCTCCCAGTGTGAGCGACGCAGAAGACGGGTGATTTCTGCATTTCCATCTGAGGTACCGGGTTCATCTCACTAGGGAGTGCCAGACAGTGGGCACAGGTCAGTGGGTGCGCACACCGTGCGTGAGCCGAAGCAGGGTGAGGCATTGCCTCACTTGGGAAGCGCAAGGGGTCAGGGAGTTCCCTTTCCGAGTCAAAGGGGTGACGGACGCACCTGGAAAATCGGGTCACTCCCACCCGAATATTACGCTTTTCGGACCGGCTTAAAAAATGGCGCACCACGAGATTATATCCCGCACCTGGCTCGGAGGGTCCTACGCCCACAGAGTCTCGCTGATTGCTAGCACAGCAGTCTGAGACCAAACTGCAAGGCGGCAGCGAGGCTGGGGGAGGGGCGCCCGCCATTGCCCAGGCTTGCTTAGGTAAACATAGCAGCCGGGAAGCTCCAACTGGGTGGAGCCCACCACAGCTCAAGAAGGCCTGCCTGCCTCTGTAGGCTCCACCTCTGGGGGCAGGGCACAGACAAACAAAAAGCAGTAACCTCTGCAGACTTAAATATGCCTGTCTGACAGCTTTGAAGAGAGCAGTGGTTCTCCCAGCATGCAGCTGGAGATCTGAGAACGGGCAGACTGCCTCCTCAAGTGGGTCCCTGACCCCTGACCCCCGAGCAGCCTAACTGGGAGGCACCCCCCAGCAGGGGCACACTGACACCTCACACGGCAGGGTATTCCAACAGACCTGCAGCTGAGGGTCCTGTCTGTTAGAAGGAAAACTAACAAACAGAAAGGACATCCACACCAAAAACCCATCTGTACATCACCATCATCAAAGACCAAAAGTAGATAAAACCACAAAGATGGGGAAAAAACAGAAGAGAAAACTGGAAACTCTAAAACGCAGAGTGCCTCTCCTCCTCCAAAGGAACGCAGTTCCTCACCAGCAACGGAACAAAGCTGGATGGAGAATGACTTTGACGAGCCGAGAGAAGAAGGCTTCAGACGATCAAATTACTCTGAGCTACGGGAGGACATTCAAACCAAAGGCAAAGAAGTTGAAAACTTTGAAAAAAATTTAGAAGAATGTATAACTAGAATAACCAATACAGAGAAGTGCTTAAAGGAGCTGATGGAGCTGAAAACCAAGGCTCGAGAACTACGTGAAGAATGCAGAAGCCTCAGGAGCCGATGCGATCAACTGGAAGAAAGGGTATCAGCAATGGAAGATGAAATGAATGAAATGAAGCAAGAAGGGAAGTTTAGAGAAAAAAGAATAAAAAGAAATGAGCAAAGCCTCCAAGAAATATGGGACTATGTGAAAAGACCAACTCTACGTCTGATTGGCGTACCTGAAAGTGATGGGGAGAATGGAACCAAGTTGGAAAACACTCTGCAGGATATTATCCAGGAGAACTTCCCCAATCTAGCAAGGCAGGCCAACGTTCAGATTCAGGAAATACAGAGAACGCCACAAAGATACTCCTCGAGAAGAGCAACTCCAAGACACATAATTGTCAGATTCACCAAAGTTGAAATGAAGGAAAAAATGTTAAGGGCAGCCAGAGAGAAAGGTCGGGTTACCCTCAAAGGGAAGCCCATCAGACTAACAGCGGATCTCTCGGCAGAAACCCTACAAGCCAGAAGAGAGTGGGGGCCAATATTCAACATTCTTAAAGAAAAGAATTTTCAACCCAGAATTTCATACCCAGCCAAACTAAGCTTCATAAGGGAAGGAGAAATAAAATACTTTACAGACAAGCAAATGCTGAGAGATTTTGTCACCACCAGGCCTGCCCTAAAAGAGCTCCTGAAGGAAGCGCTAAACATGGAAAGGAACAACCGGTACCAGCCGCTGCAAAATCATGCCAAAATGTAAAGACCATCAAGACTAGGAAGAAACTGCATCAACTAATGAGCAAAATCACCAGCTAACATCATAATGACAGGATCAAATTCACACATAACAATATTAACTTTAAATGTAAATGGACTAAATTTTCCAATTAAAAGACACAGACTGGCAAATTGGATAAAGAGTCAAGACCCATCAGTGTGCTGTATTCAGGAAACCCATCTCATGTGCAGAGACACATATAGGCTCAAAATAAAAGGATGGAGGAAGATCTACCAAGCAAATGGAAAACAAAAAAAGGCAGGGGTTGCAATCCTAGTCTCTGATAAAACAGACTTTAAACCAACAAAGATCAAAAGGGACAAAGAAGGCCATTACATAATGGTAAAGGGATCAATTCAACAAGAAGAACTAACCTAAATATATATGCACCCAATACAGGAGCACCCAGATTCATAAAGCAAGTCCTGAGTGACCTACAAAGAGATTTAGACTCCCACACATTAATAATGGGAGACTTTAACACCCCACTGTCAACATTAGACAGATCAACGAGACAGAAAGTCAACAAGGATACCCAGGAATTGAACTCAGCTCTGCACCAAGCGGACCTAATAGACATCTACAGAACTCTCCACCCCAAATCAACAGAATATACATTTTTTTCAGCACCACACCACACCACACCTATTCCAAAATTGACCACAGAGTTGGAAGTAAAGCTCTCCTCAGCAAACGTAAAAGAACAGAGATTACAACAAACTATCTCTCAGACCACAGTGCAATCAAACTAGAACTCAGGATTAGGAATCTCACTCAAAACCGCTCAACTACATGGAAACTGAACAACCTGCTCCTGAATGACTACTGGATACATAACGAAATGAAGGCAGAAATAAAGATGTTCTTTGAAACCAACGAGAACAAAGACACAACATACCAGAATCTCTGGGACACATTCAAAGCAGTGTGTAGAGGGAAATTTATAGCACTAAATGCCCACAAGAGAAAGCAGTAAAGATCCAAAATTGGCACCCTAACATCACAATTAAAAGAACTAGAAAAGCAAGAGCAAACACATTCAAAAGCTAGCAGAAGGCAAGAAATAACTAAAATCAGAGCAGAACTGAAGGAAATAGAGACACAAAAAACCCTTCAAAAAATTAATGAATCCAGGAGCTGGTTTTTTGAAAGGATCAACAAAATTGATAGACCACTAGCAAGACTAATAAAGAAAAAAAGAGAGAAGAATCAAATAGACACAATAAAAATGATAAAGGGGATATCACCACCGATCCCACAGAAATACAAACTACCATCAGAGAATACTACAAACACCTCTACTCAAATAAACCAGAAAATCTAGAAGAAATGGATAAATTCCTCGACACATACACCATCCCAAGACTAAACCAGGAAGAAGTTGAATCTCTGAATAGACCAATAACAGGAGCTGAAATTGTGGCAATAATCAATAGTTTACCAACCAAAAAGAGTCCAGGACCAGATGGATTCACAGCCGAATTCTATCAGAGGTACAAGGAGGAACTGGTACCATTCCTTCTGAAACTATTCCAATCAATAGAAAAAGAGAGAATCCTCCCTAACTCATTTTATGAGGCCAGCATCATTCTGATACCAAAGCCTGGCAGAGACACAACCAAAAAAGAGAATTTTAGACCAATATCCTTGATGAACATTGATGCAAAAATCCTCAATAAAATACTGGCAAAACGAATCCAGCAGCACATCATAAAGCTTATCCACCATGATCAAGTGGGCTTCATCCCTGGGATGCAAGGCTGGTTCAATATACGCAAATCAATAAATGTAATCCAGCATATAAACAGAGCCAAAGACAAAAACCACATGATTATCTCAATAGATGCAGAAAAAGCCTTTGACAAAATTCAACAACCCTTCATGCTAAAAACTCTCAATAAATTAGGTATTGATGGGACATATTTCAAAATAATAAGAGCTATCTATGACAAACCCACAGCCAATATCATACTGAATGGGCAAAAACTGGAAGCATTCCCTTTGAAAACTGGCACAAGACAGGGATGCCCTCTCTCACCACTCCTATTCAACATAGTGTTGGAAGTTCTGGCCAGGGCAATTAGGCAGGAGAAGGAAATAAAGGGTATTCAATTAGGAAAAGAGGAAGTCAAATTGTCCCTGTTTGCAGACGACATGATTGTATATCTAGAAAACCCCATTGTCTCAGCCCAAAATCTCCTTAAGCTGATAAGCAACTTCAGCAAAGTCTCAGGATACAAAATCAATGTACAAAAATCACAGGCATTCTTATACACCAATAACAGACAAACAGAAAGCCAAATCATGAGTGAACTCCCATTCACAATTGCTTCAAAGAGAATAAAATACCTAGGAATCCAACTTACAAGGGATGTGAAGGACCTCTTCAAGGAGAACTACAAACCACTGCTCAAGGAAATAAAAGAGGATACAAACAAATGGAAGAACATTCCATGCTCATGGGTAGGAAGAATCAATATCGTGAAAATGGCCATACTGCCCAAGGTAATTTACAGATTCAATGCCAACCCCATCAAGCTACCAATGACTTTCTTCACAGAATTGGAAAAAACTACTTTAAAGTTCATATGGAACCAAAAAAGAGCCCACATCCCCAAGGCAATCCTAAGCCAAAAGAACAAAGCTGGAGGCATCACACTACCTGACTTCAAACTATACTACAAGACTACAGTAACCAAAACAGCATGGTACTGGTACCAAAACAGAGATATAGATCAATGGAACAGAACAGAGCCCTCAGAAATAATGCCGCATGTCTACAACTATCTGATCTTTGACAAACCTGAGAAAAACAAGCAATGGGGAAAGGATTCCCTATTTAATAAATGGTGCTGGGATAACTGGCTAGCCATATGTACAAAGCTGAAACTGTATCGCTTCCTTACACCTTATACAAAAATCAATTCAAGATGGATTAAAGCCTTAAACCTTAGACCTAAAACCATAAAAACCCTAGAAGAAAACCTAGGCATTACCATTCAGGACATAGGCATGGGCAAGGACTTCATGTCCAAAACACCAAAAGCAATGGCAACAAAAGACAAAATTGACAAATGGGATCTAATTAAACTAAAGAGCTTCTGCACAGCAAAAGAAACTACCATCAGAGTGAACAGGCAACCTACAACATGGGAGAAAATTTTTGCAACCTACTCATCTGACAAAGGGCTAATATCCAGAATCTACAATGAACTCAAACAAATTTACAAGAAAAAAACAAACAACCCCATCAGAAAGTGGGCTAAGGACATGAACAGAGACTTCTCAAAAGAAGACATTTATGCAGCCAAAAAACACATGAAAAAATGCTCATCATCACTGGCCATCAGAGAAATGCAAATCTAAACCGCAATGAGATACCATCTCACACCAGTTAGAATGGCAATCATTAAAAAGTCAGGAAACAACAGGTGCTGGAGAGGATGTGGAGAAATAGGAACACTTTTACACTGTTGGTGGGACTGTAAACTAGTTCAACCATTGTGGAAGTCAGTGTGGCGATTCCTCAGGGATCTAGAACTAGAAATACCATTTGACCCAGCCATCCCATTACTGGGTATATACCCAAAGGACTATGAATCATGCTGCTATAAAGACACATGCACACGTATGTTTATTGTGGCATTATTCACAATAGCAAAGACTTGGAACCAACCCAAATGTCCAACAATGATAGACTGGATTAAGAAAATGTGGCACATATACACCATGGAATACTATGCAGCCATAAAAAATGATGAGTTCATGTGGTTTGTAGGGACATGGATGAAATTGGAAATCATCATTCTCAGTAAACTATCTCAAGAACAAAAAACCAAACACCGCATATTCTCACTCATAGGTGGGAATTGAACAATGAGATCACATGGACACAGGAAGGGGAATATCACACTCTGGGGACTGTGGTGGGGTCGGGGGAGGGGGGAGAGATAGCATTGGGAGATATACCTAATGCTAGATGACGAGTTAGTGGGTGCAGCGCACCAGCATGGCACATGTATACACATGTAACTAACCTGAACAATGTGCACATGTACCCTAAAACTTAAAGTATAATTTAAAAAAAATTAAAAAAAAAAAAAAAAAAAAAGAAAAGAAGTGCTCAAGGGAAGTTTGTTAATTTAATCTTTGGGAAAATGCAATTTATCATAATTTGTGATAACTTATTATAAAATTTCAGAAAAAAAAATACACTGATGGCAGGGCACGGTGGCTCCCACCTGTAATCCCAGCACTTCAGGAAGCCAAGGTGGATTGCTTGAGCTCAGGAGTTTGAAACCAGCCTAGGCAACGTGGTGAAACTCTCTCTACCAAAAATACAAAAATTAGCCAGGCTTGGTGGCATGTGCCTGTTGTGCCATCTACTCAGGAAGCTGAGATGGAAGGATCACCTGAACCCAGGAAGTTGAGGCTGCAGCGAGCTATGTTTGCACCACTGCACTCCAGCCTGGGTGACAGAGCAAGACCCTGTCTCAAAAAATACATATATAAAAATATATTTTTTAAAAATACATATTTTTAAAAAGAGAAACATTTAAAAAAAAAAGTTGAAGGAGAAAGGGTTGAAGCATGTTTTGTAGATTTAGTAATTTTAGAATGGGAACTAGGTAACACTGTTCGCAAATCTGAAATGAAGTCTAAGTTTCAAATCTCATAGGATAGAAAGTACTGTGTAGATATTCAGATTTATCTGGATCTTGACAATATGTTGATGTAACACTCCCATCACTTCCTAAAGGGTTACCTTACTGCCTTGATTCTATTTTCTTTTTTTTTTTTTCTTTTTTGATCATTGCATTGTTTTCAGCATACAGAGCAAAGTTAGGCGGCAGCTTTCAGCTCTGAATGGCTAATGAATTGTTCATCTGTGTGTAGAATCTCCCTGGTGCAAGCTCTGTGTGAGTCTCTATTCCTCCCTATTCAAAGATGACATCGTCAATTGTGGTGATCCTACCCATGTATGCAGATCCAGCTGAAAATACAAATGAGAGACTAGCATTCCTTTCTAAAACCCATGCTTTAAACTATGTCCTTTGTTTGCAGGTGCAATTAGCTAGTTTGACAAGCCTGTTATCTGACTCTTCTTTTTTATACAGCCTACATGACCATCTCAGTCTAAATAAGTCACCCCATTTCTTTTTCTGCAGTTCATCTGTCAGTTATTTTCTTGTCTTAGAGAAGCCTGAAGTTCTGATATACTTGTGGTTCAAATCACTCTTATTGCAATCCTTTGATGAGTAATTTCAGCTTTCCATCTGAAGCTAAATACATAGACAATTCCAATGAAACTCTTCAAGAATTCTCCATAAAATCAAGGATCTAGGCCACAAAATTATTCTGATTTATACCACAAAATTTGGTTCCAATAATATTTCCCAAAGAGGAAGGATGGGAGAAAAATTAAATTCATTTAGAGGTAAAATATAATTTAAAAGAAATAGTCTTCTCTCTATAAAAGAATCAGAATTTTAATTGTTTTTTAACATTGGAATTGGTAACCAGGTTGAAAGTCTAAACTATCAGGCCTCAGACCCCTGAGCTTAAACCTTAAAACCTTAATTATAGCTAACATTGATTGAGCATTTATGGACCAGGTGCTAATCTAAGCACACTAAAAGTATCCACTTAAACTTCACAGCAACCCTAGGAGATAGATAGTATAATTGTCTCTATTTTTCAGATAAGAAAATTTCAGGTATAGAAAACTTATTTACCTTATTCAGCTGCCCAGTAGAAAGGCTTGTGTTCAAACTTCACCTGTGTAATGTCAAAGCCAGCTTCCTTACCCACTGTACTATATTACCTCTCCCATGTCTCCTATTTTGAGGCATAGTTGGACATGAATCACTTACCTATACCAAGATGGAACCCAGTGAGGAAAGCACAAACTTAGATCTAATGCCTAGAACAGTGCCTAGAGTACAGCAGATTGAATGAATTAATGAATGAACAAACTAAACCTCCCATGTTATGGCTCAGACCTTTGAAGGACAGCCACAAGTATAGGTACCATGTGGAAATTTTAAAAGGTAATGATAGCAACAGCCATGGTTTGTTGAACTACATTTCCTAGTTCACAGATGACACCTTCTAGCTGTGTCCCCACAATGCTGGAAGGGGCAAGGCAGCTCTCTGGGGCCTCTTTCATAAAGGCACTAATCCCATTACCTAATTAGGTTTCAACATACGAATTTTGAGGAAACACAAACATTCAGATCCTAGAAAATATATTTTATAATCCAGCAAAACACTTGCCTCAGGGTATTCTGCTAGTCTGGGAAAATGAGAGTTCTCAGACCTGAAGGACAGGGAGATGGCCACAGGGCTCCAGTATGGAGGGAGCCAGGATATATCTGATCTGAGAACACCAAAATGGAGGCAAAAGGGCACCAAGTGGAAGTCCAGTGTATCATGCTGAAGTTAAGTTTAGGCTGACACAAGCAACAAGGGTAGCATCCTGTTCAAGCTGTGTGTGCAAGGCATGTAGACTAGAGTTTCTTAAATGCCCATTAGTGCTTAAGGTAAAGGCAGACTTCAGACACCAGGGAGGAATTGAGCCCCAGTGTGGCAGTCCATGAATTACCATGGAATAGACAGAAGAGGCTTGAAAACTCTAAGAATCAGACCCCATACAGAAAAGCTCTTGCTGCTTCTCAACATCCTCTGAGCAAACCCACTTCTGCTCCCAACCACATTTCAGCCACCTTTATTTATATCTTCTACTTTTATTCCCCTCATAATGAGAAGACCTCACCTGTTTCTCTGTATTTCTAGTGCTACTGTATTTTTTCCTGGTGTCAACGTATTTTCTGTGTAAAACATGTATCTTATATTGGAGGTTGAGCCAGGCCAGATGACAAAATCTGGGTTTGAAGATCAGCGAGACTGATGACTCAGACTTTTGCCCAGCAAAAAGGCAGTGCAAAGGATGCGGAAGATCAGGGATCTACCTAAGTGCACTCTGCCCACCCGTGCCAATTCTTCACAGCAGCATACCCCATGTTCCAGAGTGTTCGCAGCCTGACAGAGTAAGGGACCCGATAGGTCACTGGAGACCAGAAGCCTCTGTTGGCATCCTGCTCTTTGTTCAGCCAGTGGTGGTGAACACATCACCATTCAAACCCACCCTACCACCTTAGACCAAATTTCTTTTTGTACCCCAGTAACATCTACCCAAGTCCTCATTGTCTCTTATTCCATCATCAGGTCCACTGCAGGCAACAGAACATGCCCTGGCCTGTTAAATTTACAGGAAAACTGTGTTTTATATGTAAAACTATTTCTAAGTATATATTTTAAGGAAAATAATTGCTTTGCATATTGTGGGCTTCCAAACATGAACACTTTATCTCTGTTTAATCAGCAGGTGAATTGATGCACTGAACTGAGGCTAAACAGCAGGCCAAGGACAAAGAAAGCTATTGGCAGAAATTACTGAAAAAGTACTCTCAGGAATACTCATTTGTTCTTCTGGCTTTCATTACACTACACCTCCTTTCTATAGTTATATTTTCTTTAAGAAAATCTGCTAATGGCATACCATCTGAGAAAATCATGTGTCAGAAAGCTAAATAACATAGTCTATGTAACTAGTTGAACAACAATTGAACATTAGTATGAACAAGGTTCATGCAATATAATGCAATGAAGACACAGCTTTCGGTTTTCTTTTGAAGGGGTCCTTTTGCAAAATTATTATTTTGATTTGGTGGTTCAAAAGTTAGGCTTTTTTAATTAGTTTTTTTTTTATATCGCTGGGGGATTTGCTTCTAGGTATGCATGTATAGTACTCTGAGTATTTCTACTTGAGTGGCTGCCTGGAAGAGTAGCTCCTTAGAATCTGTCATGAGCAATGGCTCTTTTTGACACATCAGAGGAGTTAGCTAAAGTGCATCATTCTTGATTTAGGAGATAATTTTGCCTTTGGTGAGAAAAGTGAAGGATTATTGATTTGACTAAAGAACTTCATCTTTATGGACATCTTAGATGAGATTATTTTAGATATTGTTTTATCTTTGCAAAATTTTAGTGTGATTAAGCAAATAACACACTTATAGGTGTCCAATTAAACAAATAGTGGCAAAAAAAGTCATTGCATTTACTTCAGGAATGATCTTTAGTTGGGTCATTATTATTGAACATGAAAAATGACCTACAGCTGTACTGTACCTTCAGTTCGTTTTGCTGGAGGTACTTTCATGAAATCCAGTTACCCATCATTTATCCCTATCTATCTCTGTATAATCTTTAAAGATGTCATTATGCAGCATATTCAACTGTCTCCTAACACATTATTTGTAAAGTTTTTGATTGTCTTTATGTATTCCTTTAAATATAATGTAGCATATCCATATAGGTAGCTTCATAACAGTTGCTTAATGTGAATTCCAGCCTGCACTATCCTCTTATAAGCTGAAGATAAGAGAATTGTCATTCTTGATCTATTCAGGTTCCATAATAGGAACTTTACAGAAGGTTTTATGTATAAAACAGACAAATAGTGTGTACTTGGTGCTATGAAATGCCCATTGTTAATAAATTTTAGAAACATATCAGTAATTATAACTTAGGTCCTGTCATGCCTGCTTTAATAAAAAGAATATTTTACCTACATAAAGGTAGATGAATTACATTATTTGGAACAAATTGGTAGATTTTCACTTCAAGAGAGGTATAAAATATAGAGAGAGTCATTAAGGTCTGGTAAAAGTAAAGCACTGAGATATAGTATTAGGCAGACTTATCTGAGGTGGGCTTCAGTGTAAACTGAGGTTCTCAGATATGAAAAAAAATCTAAGTGGAACATAAAAACACACATAAATGACAGACAAAAACCCATAAAGTGGCTCATTGTTAGAATACAAAGAACTATCACAATTCATGGATGTAAAGAGCCCAACTATGAGACAAATGCCCATAAACGCATAATAGAAAACTCAAATGATGTTAACTAATGGATGTCACTACAGATATTTTGTGATACATTTTATCACATAATATCTGTGATAAATTTTGATTCCAAAATTTAGCAAAACCGCACTCGAGTTAAACTGGTTCAATTTAATAAAAAGTGGCAGAAACTAAACTCAGGTCCACTGATACATGTAAAATGGAAGTCTGGCCCAAAAAGACAGTCCAGTATGAGACTGGGCCTTCCTCCACTTGCCTTGGAACCTTGTCACACTCTAGTTTGAGAATAAGTTAAATAAAATGAATTTCCACATTATTTGCTTTGCCGATGGTAGAGATATCCAAAGACAATGGTAAAGCACATAATTTAGAGTTGATTGAAACTATAGTTTGAATAAGCAAGCAAATCAAGAAGTTACTGAGACACAACAATTTTGCATTCCTGTACTTTCAAGAATTACTGAAAAGTTGAGTTAAAAAAATATGTCAGAAAGGAAGTATTTACTTCTCTCCATAATAGAGTGTCTGCTAATAAACTTTCCCTCCTATTCTAAAGAGCTATGAAATTGGACACAATATAAGAGGCATTAAGAATTATACAGAAAAATTAAGAAAAGGGAACCACACAATACGAGCCCCATGATTGTGCCAGCTTTCCACCTGGGCACACTTGATGCTACAGCATGGGGAAGATTCAATATTGGTAATAAATTAAAAAAAAGAAAACCTTGATTCTTACTTTACAACATATACAGCGTTTGAGATTACTTAAAGGTAATATTCAATTCTATATAGCATCTAGAAAACAAACAGAGTGTAGACTACCTTTGAGACCTAAGAAGTACGCAGAGACACAGAAAGCACGTTTATGGGCATAACACAATCTTTTTTTTAGACGGAGTCTCACTCTGTCACCCAGGCTAGAGTGCAGTAGCATGAGCTCGGCTCACTGCAACCTCCGCCTCCTGGGTTCAAGCAATTCTCCTTCCTCAGCCTACCAAGTAGCTGGGATTACAGGAGTGTGCCACCACGCCCAGCCAATTTTTATATTTTTAGTAGAGACAGGGTTTCATCATGTTGGCCAGGCTGGTCTCGAACCCCTGACCTCCAGTGATATACCTGCCTTGGCATCCCAAAGTGCTGGGATTACAGGTGTGAGCCACCACACCCGGCCTACCACAATCTTAATGTAAAAATATAAATTGGATTTTACAAAGTCACCATTAAAAAAAATGAAAAGGCAAGCCTTAAGTTGGGAGAAAATGTTCATAGCACAAATATCTGATAAAGGCCTTATATTGTGTGTGTGTGTGTGTGTGTGTGTGTGTGTGTGTGTATATATATATATATATATATATATAAACAACTCCTGCAAATTCATAAGACAAAGTCAAACAACCCTATACAAATGGGGAAAAGAATAATAGTCCTTCAGAAAGAAGATACACAAATGATCGATGAACACATGAAAAGTTTCTTGATATTAAAAGTCACCAGTGGATAAAAATTAAAATCCCAATGGGATATGAGTTTATACCCACCAAAAAGGCTAAAATTAAAAAGACTATTAATGTGAAATATTGGTGAAAATAATGAGCAACTGGAACTCTTGTACATTGCTGATGAGAGTATAAAATGGTACAATCATTTTAGAAAAGCATTTGTAAGTGTCTTAAAAATTGAACATGCTCCTAATCCATGACCCCAAAATCCTTCTCCTAATTGTATACTCAAGAGCAATGAAAACATTTGTCAACCAAAATGACTTGTACCAGAATCCACAAGCTTTTTTCCTCATAGCCAAAAACTGAAAAATGACTCATAAGCTCATCAAAAGGGAGATTTGTCAACAAATTACACAGAGCACTCAAAAATAAGGAACTGCCTCTATTGACTACAATATGGATGAATCGTTAAAATTTTTTCTTGAGCTAAAGAATCCAGACACAAAAGAGTATATACCTACATTATTCCGTTTATAAAACATTCAAGAATAAGTGAAATTAATCTATGACTAAAATCAGAACAATAGTTGCATATGAGGGAGATGGAGATTGACTGGAAAGATGTATGCAGGAAATTTCAGGGTGAGAAAAATGTCCTGTAACTCGACTACTGTTGGTTATGTGAGGGCCTACATTTATCAAAACTTACAGGCATACCTCAGAGAGATTGTGGGGTCAATTTCAGACTACCCCAATAAAGTGAATATTGCAACAAAGTGAGTCATACGAATTTTTTGGTTTCCCAGTGCATATAAGAGGTACGTTTATACTATACTGTAGTCCATTAAGTATGCAATAGCGTTATGTTTACGAAAACAATGTACAGGCCTTGATTTTAAAATGCGTTAGTGCTAAAAATGCTAATGGTTATCTGAGACTTCAGTGAGTCATAATCTTTTCGCTGGTGGAGGGTCTTGCCTCCATGTTAATGGTCGCTGACTGATCAGGGTGGGGGGTTGCTGAAGGTTGGGGTAATTGTGACAATTACTTAAAATAAGACAACAAATAGATTTGCCACATCATGGGCCCTTCCTTTCACAAAAAATTGCTCTAGCGTGCAGTGCCGCTTGATAGCATTTTACCCACAGTAGAACTGCTTTCAAAATGGGAGTCAATCCTCTCAAACTCTGCCACTGCTTTATCAACCAAGTGTATGTAATATTCTAAATCATTTGTTGTTATTTCCACAGTTTTCACAGTATCTTCACCAGGGGAGATTCCATCTCAAGAAACCACTTTCTTTCTCAACCATTAAAGTTTTGTCATGAGATTTGAGCAAATTAGTCATTTATCTTCAGGCTCTACTTCTAGTTTTAGTTCTCTTGCTAGTTCCACCACATCTACAGTCACTTCCTCCACTGAAGTCTTAACTCCTCAAAGTCATCCATGAGAATTGGAATCAACCTCTTCCAAGCTCCTGTTAATGTTGCTATTTTGCCCTTCTGCCTATGAATCATGAATGTTCTTAATGGCATCTAGGATGGTAAATCCTTTCAATAAGGCTTTCAATTTACTTCGCCCACATTCATCAGAGGGCTCATTCTCTATGGCAGCCATAGCCTTATAAAATGTATTTCTTAAATAATCAGACTTGAAAGTGAAAATTACTCCTTGATCCATGGGCTGCAGAATGTATATTGTGTTAGCAGGCATGAAAGCAACATTGGTCTCCTTGTACACCTCCATTAGAGCGGTAATACATTGACAGTGATCTGCTTCTCTGAGCAGTAGGACTCAACAGAGGGCTTCAACATTCTGTAAACCATGCTACGAACAGATATGCTGTCATCCAGGCTTTGTTGTTGAATTTATGGAACACAGGCAGATTAGATTTAACATAATTTGGAAGGGCCCTAGGATTTTTGGAATGGTAAATGAGCACTGGCTTCAACTTAAAGTCACCAGCTGCATTAACCCCTAACAAAGAGAGCCAGCCTGTCCTTTGAAGCTGTGAAGCTAGGCATTGACTTCTCTTGTCTAGCTATGAGAGTTCTCAATAGTATCTTCTAACATAACACGTTTCATCTCCATTTAAAATTTATTGTTTAGTGTAACCACCATCATCAAGTATGTTAGCTAGGTCTTCTGGATAACTTGCTGCATCTTCTACATCAGCACTTGCTGCTTCACCTTCCACTTTTACATTGTAGAGACAGCTTTCTTTTTAAAACCTCATGAAGCAACCTCTGCTAGCTTCAAACTTTTCTTCTGCAACTTTCTCACCTCTCTCAGCATTCATTGCAATTGAAGAGAGTTAGGGTCCTGCTATGGATTATGCTTTGGCTTAAGGGAATGTTGTGGCTGCTTTGATCTTCTATCGAGCCCACTCAAATTTTCTTCATATCATCAAGAAGTCTGTTTTGCTTTCTTATCATTCATGTGTTCACTGGAGTAGCACTTTTAATTTCCTTCAAGAACTTTTCTCCTTTGCATTCACAACTTGGCTAATTCTTTGGCACAAGCAACCTAGCTTTTGGCCCATCTTGGCTTTCAATATGCCTTCCTCACTAAGCTCAATCCTGTTCTGCTTTTGATTTGATTTAAAGGAAAAGAGGCATGCACCTCTTTCTTTGACTTGAACCACTTAGAGGTCATTGTAGGTTTTTTCATTGGCCTAATTTTAATATTGCTATGCTGCAGGGAACAGGGAGGCCTGAGAAGAGAGAGAGACAAGAGAATGACCCATTAGTGGAGCAGTCAGAACACATGCATTTATTAAGTTTGCTATCTCATATGGGCGCAGTTTGTGGCATCCCAAAACAATTACAACAGTAACATCCAAGATCACTAAACACAGATCACTATAACAGATAAAATAATAATGAAAAAGTTTGAAATACTGCAAGAATTACCAAAATGTGACACAGAGACACAAAATGGGCACATACTACTGGGAAAAAGGTGCCAACAGACTTGCTCAACCAAAGTTGTCACAGACCTTCAATTTGAAAAACAAACAAACAAAAAAACCCTCAATATCTGCAAAATCTGCAAAGTGCAATAAAGCAAGGTATAGTCAAATGATGTGTGCCTATAATTAAATTGTATATTTAAGATTTGTGCATTTCAGTGTCTGATTACCACCTCAATTTTACTTCAAAAAAAGGAAGTGATTGAAAGACCATTTATGGTATGTTTCAGTTTGTGTTATTGTGTTTTGATCATACATGGTTCCAGTACTCATCCCATTCATTGTGAATCTTCATGGTTCCAGTAATTCTAATATTGACCCAGAGTGCCAGTTAATTAGGCTTAAAGCAAAAGAGATGAAATAGGGAATTCAGACCTGATGAGCTTGCTCAGGGATTTATGTGTGGTGAACAGCAAGTGTTTTGGAATACATGGTTAGTGTATCTGTTAACTGAACCATGAATGGAACCATGGAATGTGTATTGTTTATCTTTTGACATTGGTGTAGGGAATAAAACAAGACTCCTTGGTTGTTGGAACCCTCACCCCTACTTGCATACGGCTTTTCTGGATTTTCCCAGAAAGATATATTTTTCTTCCTCAAGTACCCACAGAAATTTGTACCATTTTTCTGTGCCTTGCATTTTAATTATATCTGTGTCATATCACCCCTCCTAGTTGGTGTGGCTAAAAGGCTAAACTCTGCTCACTATCTCTGCCACCCATAGCACCTATAACATTCTTTAATTTAGATCAAGTACTTGTTGAAAGTTTTAAATATTTGATGGATTTGATTTGATTGGACTGGATGAAATAACCTTTGTATTTAATGGAACCACAGACCAGGAATTTGAGGAATTGAATTCATTTGTGCCTTCATATAATGAAGTTATTGAGTACTTATCACATGCAAGACACTGAGCTAAGAAATCTTAAAACTCAAAGATACATAATATGTAGTACCTGCATGCAAAATTCTACCAGTCTGATAGGGAAAAGACAATGTGTATAACTGATACACAATAAAAGGCAGAAAGTCATGTGAAAAAAGAGAGGAAGAGAGGCTTTCTTATGAAAATCCAAAAGAGGTCAGGTGCGGTAGCTCATGCCTGTAATCCCAGTACTTTGGGAGGCCAAGGCGGGCAGATCACTTGAGCCCAGGAGTCCAAGACCAGCCTGGGCCACATGGCAAAACCCTGTGTCTATTATACAAAAACATAAGAATTAGCCAGGCATGGTGGTGCATGACTGTAATCCAGCTACTTGGGAGGCTGAGATAGGAGAATCACCTGAGCCTGGGGGGATGGAGGCTGCAGTGAGCTGTGATCATGCCACTACATTCCAGCCTGGCTGACAGAGCAAGACCCCGTCTCCGAAAGAAAAAGGAAAGAAAGAGAGAAGAACCAAAAGAGGAAGAATATCTTTGCCTCTATTTACACTTTGAAACCCTTACTTTCTTTTAGACCAAGCTTAACTCCTATTTGGAGTATGCATCTTGAGAAAGCCAAAATAAATACTAGCAAGTAGTTTTTGAAATTTTCTTGTCAATAAAAAGTCAAGAAAAAACAAACATTCCTTAGAGGGGAATATTCAGTATTCCTTCTAGAATTATAAGTGAATGGGAAGTGATGCCAACAGTTCCAACCAAGTTTGTTCCTTTCTTCCTCACAACAGCGAGCATTAGCCTGTGAGAAGCCCTGGTTTCTAATTTCATCTCTGCCCAAAACTACATAGGTGTCCTGGTCAATTCACTTAATTCCTCTGCATCATAGTTTTTACATCCATAAAATTAGAGAAGAGAACAGAATGTTTTCCAAGGTCTACTCCAACTCTAAAAATGTCATGATTCTATATTCTGTGGCTCTGTGATCCTAATTACTTTTGATAAGATCATTTATGTGATTTTGGGGATTGGAAAGAGATTGTCAAGTTTCCCAAACTTCATTGATCCATATGCTAACTTCACTGATTGTATTTTCAGTAGTATCGATGTTAATTATTTTTCCTAAAAGCAAATGACTTTTATACTTAAATATATTTAGCTTTATCCTAAGCAATAATATCTATGAAAGCATACATTTTTTAGTGTTACTTATGGTTTTTTAAATATGCATTAAACTAAATAACCATTAAATTTGTCTCTTATGCCACCAATAACATATATGTATTCTACTTTAAGAAACACTGCTTTGCTGTAGTAAGTAGGAAAGTCTGATCCAATATCTTTGCTAGTTGATTAGAAAAGTCAATCATAAATGCTATCAGAATAGGTCAACCTATATGCACCAGTATCCACAAAGGCTAAAAAAAAAAAATATGCTGCACTCAACCAGAATCTTCAAAAATCCTGGGATTCGGCTCTTAAGTGGGTTTGTGCATTACCTGGAAAACAATTTGCAAAACAGATTTTTAAAGTTCAGAGTAAATTGGAGAAAGGGCTACATTACATTTGAACCTTAATAAATACTTAATAACCCATAAGACAAATAGCCATGAATTACTAGAATGATTTCAAGCACAGTGCTTCTGCAGAGTCAACCTGCTCTTATTTTTGCTCATTATAAAACAGGAGTTATAATATTGCAAAGTTTATTAGCTCTGTTGATTTGTGTGTTTTATAAAACAAGACATTTGAATAATATAGAACCAGAGCCATTAGGAAAATCTATTTCCTTTTTCTTCTCTATCTAGTCTCCTCTGCCCAAGATAGCTTGAAAATGTCTTTCTCGTAGAAACAGAAAAGCATGAAGATTCCTCCAACTCTGTCCTTTTTTATAGATGTTGTTTATTTCTTGAATGAGGGGGTGCGTGTGTGCGTGTGTGTGTGTGTGTGTGTGTGTGTGTGTATGTGTGTGTGTGCAAGCTTAGGTCCTCAGGTGGAACCGTGGTTCCTGTGCTTTCGTCCTCGAAGCTGTTTTTCTGGAAGGGAATGGAGGCAGCTGTGTTTACAGCTCAAGTCTTGGCATACATTTACCAGAATCTATTATTCATATCATTCAGTATCAGGGAGAGATCTCAGGCCACCTGTCTATCTGACAAATTCACCCTTTTGTGAGCTTTCTGTTCATAGCAAATTATGTTCACATTGATGAATTGAGTTTTTATGAGCATTGCTAACTAACATTCTCACAGAAGGCCAGGGGCAAGAGCCTGCAAGTGTTTCTGGTCCATAAGTAAATGATTAAAAAAAAAAAAAAAAAAAAAAAAAAAAAAGGAAAAAAATGGTAGTGTTTAAAGACAATTTGCCATGGAGGAATAGTTAAATCATTTGGCAATGCCTTAATATTTATAATTCCAAGACTTTCCATAAATTATTGCAAATACTCAGCTTATAACAAACAAAAACATGGAAAAAATCCACACAATATTTTTCTCTGTAGCACAGAATATTATTGAAAAATTGTTCTGCATTTTGACAGGTAACCATTGACCAGGGCAAAACATGGGGTAGTTGAAGAATGCCCAGCATTAATAAATCTAGCAATTTTATACAATAATGTGGAAAACTTGCAGCAATTGTAGCTTAAATTCCAGCTTGGTATTTCCATAGATACAAAATGGATTTCCTTTTAATCTCTAGTAACCCTATACTGGTTATGGAGCTAAGCCATGTGGCTTGAGTTAAATAAATGAGAGCAATCTTTCACAAAAGGCTAACAGAAATCCTTCTAAATGGTGGGTGGGGAGATACCCAGTGTTCATGACAGAAATAAAAATTTTCTTTGGTTTACATGTAGAATTGGTTCTTCTCTTGGGCCTCCATGGCCCTTGCATTTACCCTGACTCTTAGTCTGCATTTCATTTAAAACAGCTGAAAAAGAGAAGGTGGTTTCACCAGAGAGACACGTTCTAGTTTTCCTGTACCCACATTTCAAAGCGCTAATTCCAAATCTCCTTAAAATGATAAGCCTGCATAGGTGGCAGAGCCACTAGTCAGTATATATTTACATAAAAAGCAACAAAACAGAAATTTTACAGGGCAGTGAGTAATATTATCAATAAAAATCCATGACTTCTCAGTTCACTCAAGAACTGTGATCCTATCCTCCCAAAAGACAGATTACTACCTTTGATAAGGGACAATCCTATTCTCTGAAATCTTAGTGAAAGTCAGTAGAAAATTCTAAATCTCTTCATAGTAGCCTGCCAAAATGTGTCAGACACATCACCTTTCAGTGCAAAGACACCATAGCACAAAGAACACTTGGCATTATCCCTTGAAAATGCACACCTTTCGAAGGAGCAAATGGGAAGTGTAGTCTGTTAAACACCATATGTGATGGAGCTGCACCAGTCTCATTTCCCCTTCCAAACGCTACAAGCTGCTACCTCATTGTGGTGTGTGTGACTCTAGGGGGAAATCAGTGACAGCTGAGTGTCTACCTGGTCCCAATGTCAGTTGGCTTGTTGACCACTTAAGTATGCAGTTCAATGTGATACTATGCTTTAGTGACCTCTGAGAAATAGAATCCCTGGGCCTTTATGTTAATTTAGTAGCGTATGTGAAACTTTTGCAAACTTTCCAGTAGCTGCCCTTGCCTTCAGATTTGTGGGTAAAATGAGGAGACTGGATTTGCAGTCCTTAAAGTATGGAAAGATGCAGACGGGCAAATTTCTTTGAAAATTTGTCTTGACATTTCCTTCCAGTCCTAAAACTACTATGGATAAATGCTTCTGTTTTATTAAAAATAAATTTGTGGAGAGTCATGGCCATAAAAGTCTTCATCACAGGTTTGATCGGAATTTTCTGTGGTAAGCATAGCGACCATTCATCCAGATTCTCTATAAATAGTTCAGTTTCCATATAGTTCTTCCTTTTATCCAACCGTATGTTCCTATTTTTGTTCAGACAATATGGTCAATGAGGCTTTAAGGCAACAGGACCAATTTACCTGCAAGAATTTTTCACTCTAAGATTACAGAAATTAACACAGGAGATAGAAATCGAGGTGTTTTGTCTCTAAGCAAGCAATTTGAGATAAAGAATGCATTCTTTGGTGCCAGAGGCATGGCAAGCAGCACTCTGCAGCTTGGTGCCCTATTCATAGTGTCAAGCAGCTACAGGACCACCATTTTGCTCCTTGAAACTGCTACAGCATTTTAAGTAATGCTAGAAGGCTAAAAGTTGACTGCAGCTAGTAGAGCATTGTTCTTTTTTTAACCCATGTGATAGGTATCTTCAGCAGTGTCAAACAAATTTGTAGAGCTGGTGATTAGTTGCCCAAAGAGCATAATGTATGCATTATTAATTAAAGAAGGTAAGTTTGGCTAATTGTCATTTCTATACAGTAGCAGTGCACTAAGATACATTTTAACAATCTATAAATAATTGATAATTTTTTTTCTTTCATCTTCCTTCCTAGTTTGCATAAAACTAATGACTTGGTAAATGTTACTCTCTTCAAAATATTCCACCGCTTCTATGAAAATTAAACTAACGCTGTAACCTTAGCAAATAAGGAGATTTTTTTTTTTCCTTTTATTGCAGGTTAAAAAAAGATAGGAATTATAACACTTAAAACAAAAATGTGATTCTGTGGAAAGCCAAATGAGAATCATAAATAATATAAAATCAGCAATGAATGTGACTTTAAGAAATAGAATTGACTTTAAAAATGTGAAAATGCAAAAACATGATTACATATATACATATATACACATATGTATGTGTGTGCATGTGTATACACACACATGCACAGATATATATATATGTACACGCACACACACATTCCAGCAGCCCCAAAGTCTTGCTTGTTCAGCTTTCAAAAGCCTAAAACTACAACCAAAAGCTTTGCTCCAGGATATCTTCCAAGTCTGGTGCTGGTGTTTCAGTACTTACCAATAGCTACATGAATAATCCTTCAATCTCATTAGCAGAGGACACAAAATTTTTCTCAGCTGAAGTATTTGAGTTTACTTCCTATATACTTTGCTAATTTGATCATAGCACCTAGATGGATCCTTATGAGAAGAGATTTACTGCAGCAAACCTACCCACTTCTCCTTTTTCGCAGGAGTTCTCTGTTATTCTTACGAATCCACAATCTGCCAGTCTGGTGTAATAGCACAAGAGCTTGCTTACTCTCTAATTTTCAGTGCAACTGAATACATTCCCGGAGTTATTGATGGCACTGTAATTTTACGTTTATTTTGTTTGGAATACATTGTGGTTAAAAAAAGATTTCTTTAAGAAGACCCACAAACTAAAGTATTGCCTAAGTGACATATTGTTATTTAAGCCTTCGTCGAGTCTTACATATGCTTCATTATGATAAAAAACAGGTTGTAAGGACTGATTCTGTGACCTTTTTTTCTCATTTTAACCCTACTGATATGTCACCCATGGCAACCTTAAACTGATTTTAATAGAGTCGATCCTATTATTCATTTAAATTGAGGTGCAAGAGCACTTAGACCAGGGAAATTTGCATTCAGCAAATGGGGATTTGATGAGCAAAAATGATAAGATATATGTTGTATAACATGGCCTATTTTGCTAGCAAATAAACAGCTCTTGAAATTGATAAACTTCAGAATATTTTATCCTCAAATGTTTATACATAAATGATTAAAATGCATTAGCAATTCTGCTTTTGAAAAAAAAACATATTGGGAAAACAACACAGTTGTGTTGCTTAAATTTGTAATTAACAAATTTATTACTAATTCTGTTCAGTTCTTTAATATGCTGCATTCCTGAAGAAGAACATTAATACACAATGGCAGAAAGAAGCTAATTTTAAGACTTTGGAGAAATGAATGTCTTTTAATGCTGTGTGTTTCTCTTATCTACATGCCACATTATTGTAATAAGTACATTCAGGAATAATTTCTTTTCAAATATTTTTACAAATCTTGCTCTTATTTGCATGCAAGTAAGTTGTCAGCTTAAATCTTTGAAATGCAAAATATATCTCATTTCTATATTTCATCAAGGAGCCTTTCATGTTTAATAAATTACAACTTAGATCCTCCAAGACTTTGTTTTTCATTAACTAAAAGCAAAAGGATACATTTAAAATCTTAATCACAACCTGCAAGGGTATTTGCATGTTGCTGATATTTGTCTTGATGGGACTTTTAATATTTGCAAACTAATCAGGATAGCAAGGTTATACCAATAATTTCTGAAGACAAAAAACTTTCTGCATTATTTTATTATATTGAAGAAGAAAACTTAAAAAAAAATTCCAGTGTCTTAGCCTCAATAATCTGTACACTTTTTTGCACACATTTATCTCCTAAAGATTTTAATTGGACAAATGGCCACATCTCAGAAGCACTATTGAAAAATGTGTACAAGAATGTCACATCTGGGTTCAGTCTAGTCTTTTATTAGTGCTTGATCAGCATGTATTGGACAGAATCGTTAACACAAAACAAGCAAGGTAAATCATCCACTACACACTACCACCCTGATAACCACCTTGTGCCACTGAATAAAAATGTGGATCCAGGAGAAATCAAAGGACATCCTTCACTCATTTGATTTGATTCCAGTTTAGACAGGGGGTTAAGGGTGTTTCTGCTTTTTTGGGGTTTTAGTGGTTCTTTTTAGTTTAACCAAATACCCTAGCTGATCTTGCAGAAAGTCTTCTGGACTCTGAAATAGGATGGATCATCTCATCTCAGCAAAAACAAAAAAAAAAATCTTGACAGCATAATATCCTTATTGGGGGGTCCCATGGGCCACAGCAATACAATGTCACAGAAGAGGCAAACTTCTGCTGAACTTGCTGCCCAGAGACCTTCAGTTAATCTTTCTCTCTAGAATGGAAGATCAAAAAACCCCGAGCAGCTTAAAAAATATGCAGCTAATGTCATGTAGTTAAACTGATGTAGCATGCATGTTGTTTTGCAAGCTAACCGGTTAAATATGGCTTTGCTTTAAGATTCCCATCAAATTTCGTTTTTATAGAGAAATCTCTGAAAGCAGTAGGGGTTGAGGGAAGGTGAGGTAAAAAGAAATAAATCATTGTAGTCTCAGGAACAGTAATCCTTGTTGAGGATTTTGGCTGATTGATATAAATAACATCGTCCCCGCCATCTGTCCGAAGAGAGACCTTTCCAGTCAGTGTTAAGCTGCAACGGCAGAATAATTAATGAATGGTGTCCTTTGTGCTGGTAATAAAGACAAGACAAATTATGTTATAATCCAACTGCTGCTCATTTGTCACAGCCAAATAAAATGTCAAATAAAAGTGAGGGGGGCACTGTGTTTGTTTAATGGACTGCAAGCTACCTGTTTCTGTTGTTGACAGACAACTAGAATGTAAGTTTTGAATGTTGCAGGAAAGCAAACCTCCACACCGAAGTCGCATTTGCTCGGGAGAGGGGGGTGGGCTTGTAGGGTGACCATGGGGGAGGCCTAACACATCAACATTGAAGTAAGTTTTAATTAGAGAGCTATAATACCACCGGCTCCTCTGAGTAAGTTGGTTGTGATTACAGTGCAGAAGCACTGCCTGGAAAGTCCAAGTTCAAAACACAGTCGAGCTATTTGCAAATCTGTAAGAATTTGGTAGGGCTCTCATCTTGCATTTTCAGGATAGACACATTCATCCAGTTGCTAGGAAAGCCAAATAATGAAAACATAGCTGGGATTTAGCAAGTTCCATTGGGAATTACCTATGATAGAGGGCAGGGCTGCACTTCCTCAGAACATGCTCCTGCTGTAAAAATTCACAAACCTGGCATTCATACAGGCATCTGTCGCTTGCTCTAATGCCAGTTCATAGTATACATACAAACATCTGCTTCCGTGCACAAAGGGATACAGAGCGCTTGACAGGTCTGTGTTAGCAGGGTTCGCAATGCCAGTTCTTTATGCAAAAACCCTAATGCTTCCCGTCAAGCCATTAGAAGTGATACAATCAGCCCAGGCCCCATTAAGCCATCAGTGTCCACCTGTGATAAAGATGGCCATTTGTTTTCTTAAAGCCCACTTAATGTCTGCTTAACTCAATTTGTCAGGAAATGTAGAACAATTTCCTCACAGCCTGAAATTTGGTAGTGGTTCAAAGTCAAAAGGCCAGGTCTAGTCCTATTCAAATGATATAATAAACAGTCTTCAAATCGAAATCTCTCTTGAGAAGCTGATGTTTACTTTAAAAAAAAAATTATGTTAGCTGGAAAAGAATAACATTTGTGTCCAGTATTATTATTTTTTATTTCTAAAGTCCTGGAATATGTCTACCAGTGAAAAGGTCCATTGCTTGATTGTATGAGAAAATAATTTTATTCTCTTTACAAATTCAGCCAGAAATTGGATGTAGAAAAATGAAAGAGGGCCTGGCGCGGTAGCTCACGCCTGTAATCCCAGCATTTTGGGAGGCCGAGGCAGGCAGATCACGAGGTCAGGAGTTTGAGACCAGCCTGACCAACATGGTGAAACCCCTCTCTACTAAAAATACAAAAATTAGCTGGGTGGAGGCTATTCAGGAGGCTGAGGTGGAGAATCGCTTGAACCCTGGAGGTGGAGGTTGCAGGGAACCAAGATTGCACCACTGCACTCCACCCTGGGTGACAGAGCGAGACTCTGTCTCAAAAAAAAAAAAAAAAAAAAAAAAAAAAAAAAAGCCCTTGCAAAGCACTACTCTCAATATAGCAATCACTCCCAACCCCTAAGGAATCCCACTGTAATATGCACACATTTACTTTTTAGTCTAATTCTATTTAAAATATTTCCCACCTTGCTTACATTTGTTGGAGATTAGTATTGTCTTTTTATATCCCTTAAAAGTGAAAATTAAATGACTGTTTTTGAACATATTTTATTGTGAAAATGGTATAAATGCCATATAGAGGCTTACTTTGCCCCCATCTCAAATCACTTTTAATCACAGGGCCAATTTCCTGTGCTTAAATGTGTCTGGTCAGAAAGGAATCCGAAGACACTTCTAAGATTAACCAACAGGGGGCTCTCTTAAATATTCCAGATACACTGACGTCCTACTGTTTCAAATTAGTGGTCCATACAAATCTAACACCAATTTTGACTTAAAACTGAGCCAAAAACCTTAATTCTTGTTTGTCCAACAACTTCTGCATTCAAAATATTTAACTTCTGGTTCCTTGTGTTCCCGTGGACTAGAACTGGGAGCTATCAATGTTAATTCTAAAGAATATTTTCTCAGCTCATTTTGCACATAAGGTACACTGAAGAATTGAGTCAACTGTCTGGACTAGTTGATCGACAGATATTAAATGGGCATCTAATACTTGTAGAACAATTGAGGCAAAATTAAAGTTTAGGGATATGAATCAGCTGGGTAACTATCTTATTTCTCTACTTTTCTCTGCAAGTAGAGAAAACTTTAACGGACCTATTTTTCTTAAAGAAAAGAGGGATTGATATGGCTTAAAGGCTCAGGTATGAGAAAAAATGTGTGTTTCAATACAAATATTTTGAAATGAACAGCTGACTATTTTCTTACTTAGAAATGTTACTGTGACTTCTCATCCATGAACTAGTGTTATGTGTATAGGTTTTATTTTCCACTCTTTGGAGGCTCAGTCCAATAAGCAATACAATTCCCTAAGAAAGGATTTGATTGAGGAAGAGCCAGAAATTAGAATATGAAACTAGAATATATTTACATACATGGCACTGCAGGGTCCTTAGTCCTCCTTCAGACTGCAAATATATAGTCTAAAGGCATTTTATATCTTCTGTACTCTCTCTGCAAGTGCCCCTACGCCCAATAACTTCACCCAGGAGAAGATAGTGGCAAACTCAGACTTTGCTTTCTTGATTCTAGAATATATTCACTAAATAAAAGGTTAACTGCAACAGAAATACCTAGAGGAAAGTCTAGCACACAATTTTCCCTGAAGTGATTTGATCTGTGCAAATAGTTTATCTTTCTTTTGGCATAGACCAAACTAAACGTTATCATTTTACCAACACAGAGAATTACTTTTATTATCAAAATAACACAAACTCATTATTGAAAATGTGGAAAATAAATTTTAAAAATGAAAAAAGAATCCATACTCCTATTATTTAAGCATAACTTATCAGTTAATATTTTGGTATATTCCTACCAGTCTTTTTAATTAACTGCTTAGCAAAATTATATGGTATCTAAACAATTGTACAAAATTATTTTTAAATTGCTTCTTTTTACAGATTAAAAAATAATAAATATTTATTGAAGTTAACTTGAAATTTACAGAAAAGTGAAAAGAAAAATTACTCTAACAATAACCATGTTTTGGGGCTATTTCCTTTGACATGTTCATTCTGCATTTGTTTTATCCTAGCCTGCTTAATTTTAAAACATGTGTAACATAGGAAAATTCATATGTAATACCTAATTGCTTGATTTTCTAGTTTTTATCACTTTAATAGCCCTCCACTCAGTTTTTTCAATACCATTATTATAGATACAAAGCAGGTTTACCAAGTATTCCTACGAAGAGAAGTAAACATTATGCCACTCTCTGCAGCTTTGATATTTTTGAAAGGAATAAAAAACTTGTTTAGTATCTCTCCAGAGCAATGTTCCAATGTTGTTTTCTAGCAAACTCCAGAATGAACAGCACCAGTCATTGTTTTAAATAATCATCAAATGCCCCCAGAGCTTTCACCTGAACCATCAAGGGTGGACCACAAGAAAGGCATTTCCTGTCACCAAGAGCTAAGTGGAAGCCAGAGAGAAGTAATCCAAGGAGGCCTTTGGAGTTTTAGATCCAAATTAAGTAAAGAAGATGCTTAGTTTTGTTTACAGTGTCTCTATTCTTGAGTTGTAAATTTTGATTCATCACTTAGTAGAATTACATAAGCCTTCACGTAAACTTTTCAAGAAAGCTGTCCTATTATAAATCTTTGCATACATGAGAATGTCTTTGTTATTTTAACATGCAAAAGACAATTTTGAGTATGCACACAATTTGAGGGCCACAATTTCTTTCCTATAAATTCAAAAGATACTGCCTTGTTTTCTTTTAGGATTTAGTGAGAAAAGTGTTAGGAAAGACTAAATGTTTATTTTTTTAGTCTTCTTTTTCTCTGAATATTTGTAGAATGATGCTCTATCCTTGCCATTTGAAAGTTTTGCCAGAATATATCAAGATAGTATACCACCTCGATAATATTTTCTTAGAACCTCACTGTCATTTTCAATATTGAGGTAGTTTTTTAACTCACAGGAGTTTTCTTAATTTTGTGCTTGACTTGCATATTTTTCAAATGTTCTGGTTTCTTCCTCAAGTATACTTATAAGCTGTAGATAATCTCTTCATTCTTTGACTTCCAACATGTCTTCTTTCTCATCATTTTTTATGTCTCCATATTCTGGGAAAACTTCTCTGGTTTGTCATCCGTATCACAAACCTAATTTTTCTGGAGTAACAATTTGAACTTCAGTGCAAAATTTAATTTTGTTTTGCATTTTTAGTTTTCACACTGTCCTTCCTCAAATCATCTATATAATTGTCATCTTATTCTAGTGATCTTTTCATCTTCCCTGTCCTCTCCTATGGCTTGCTGATCCTTCTCATTCCACTCCCTGTGTCAAATTTTATTAGAGATACTAAGTAGCTTCTTAATTGTCTAGCAGTTACTGTAAGAGTTCTAAGCTTTTTATGAGCATTGTTCTCTGAGTTCTTTCATAGGTCAAACGTTGTTGGAAATTTTGTTATGTTTACTCATCTCAAAATGTAGAAATGTATGCAACATTCTATGCACACTGATTTTTACCCTCTGCTTCAGCTCCAGCCTTAGCATTTTGTCTTGAAGCTATACTCAAATGGCAAATTTATAATCACAGCTCTTACATTAATTCTTATCTAGCATACTTGTTCTCTTAAGGCACTAGTATCCTGACATCGAATTTTCTCCCACCCTAATTCCTTGACTCTGTGGCACTCTAAAAGATAAAGTGCATAAAGCATTAGAATTCCAAGAATTTCTTCCTAAAGAATTTTGCCAGTCTCCACCCTTTCTTCCCTTTATGTTTTACATATGGGACTACACAATTCCTATGGGGATATGTGCCATTATCAGGACTTTCCTTCTGCCTTCTACCTACAATATCCTCAGTTATACTTCATGGAAATTGCTATCTTTAAATGATCCCAGTATGAAGAGAAGTCTTGATGTGTAGCTTAGAAAGGAAGGCGACTGGTGAGAAGGGGCAGAAGGGAAGCATTCACACTACTTCTAAACAGCATTAACTGTGTAGGAAAAAGCTGCCCAGTTTTTTGGTTGGCATAGGCCTGGAGGCTTTGATTCTAAAAATCAGACACTTGAAGAAATATAAGGATGCTTCTATCTGCTTTCAGGAAGGCAGACTCTCTGGTTCAGTACTTCAATAGCTCATGCACCACTGGCACTTTCCAATTAAGACCAACATGTCTTCGAGTAAGTTATTCTTAAATTTTTGTCACTATGTTACTCTCAGTCCCTGTTTAAATTATTATAAGAATTCTATTATGTTTTCTTTGCTTTGAAGCAAATTTAGTGACAAGTTTCAAGAGGTGGTTAGGTGTTGCCAACCAGATGCCATTTAAAACCAAAAGTCATGATTTGCATCAGCTCTTTGCAGAGGGCATCACACTGAAAGTTTGCAATCAAATTCTTCCTTGGGGTGTGACCTCTGCCTATGGCTACTTCTTTACAGTTGCTGTTGCGTCTTTACCTGGAAATGATAACGGGCCCCAGAGGGGAATGTTTATTTTTAGTCCTGCCATTTACAAGGGCCTTTGAGCTTCTAAGAAGATGCTTAGAGTTACAAAATGTAAATCAATCATTTCATTGTAATGATAGATTTCAGAGTATTATTTTTTCCATTTGGGGAAATTTTTTTTCACTATCTAAACCACACCTTGGTTCTTTATAAAAAGAATTTTGGATTTTACATCATAGAAAAAAAAGTTTCTCTTGGCTTGACTTGCTGGTAAGGAGGTGTGCGAATGGTCTCAAGTTATACATTTGCAGAGAAAATACCATCCAGATGCTCAAGTCAGCCTTTTTTTTGGCAGACAGCTAAAAACCATACCAAAACTGAGTCTCAAGTCTTTAACAAAAGAATTCCAAAAGCTCTTACCTTTGGAACGGACATTAATTAAAAGAAGCAGTCATATCCCCCGTGATCAGAGTTTAACTGCTATTAATCAGAGTTCATCACACAATTAACACTTTGAACTGATTAGCAAATGAAATTATAGCAAGAAATGTTGAGGTTAGGACAGCGGACGGACGTACTCTCTTGCCCAACTCACAGTCCCTCATCTTTTAAAAGAAGGGAAAAAAAATGAAGCACTCTGGTCATAACGAATTGTGCAGATTTTGTTTTCAGTGAGGTGTTTGCCATTACATATTGCACATAATGTATGGCACTGTTAGGAGGAAAAAATTGGAGTCAAAGTGGCTGGAAAGTTAGGTCTGCTCTGTAGCACTGTGAGATTGTTGACATCTGCCGAGGTTGGAGCGCTCAGTAAGCAGGAAATGGGGTGTCACTCTGAGTGGTAGTTTACCATTATCCTGGCATCCTAATGAAGTGTCTGCAGTGCACAGAGCTTCTGGATGGCATCTTAACGCACGGCTAAGCAAAAGCACTTCTCTCCCTGTCACTGTCATCCATCTGCCTGCACCCTACTGTAGCCAATGGGATGGAACCATGCTACAATGTGCTATAAGCCATTTAGAGTTGCACATTGCATAATCAGTCCCATCAAATATGTAAAAAATGGCTATTATTGGTTATTCTCCTCAAACTGGCACCTGGAGTTTGATACATGAAAGTTCAACTTTTTCAAGTACTGTTTCTGCTATTAATTCCACTCCCCCCAACACATTATCTAAATGGGAATGAGTTGCATCTTCATTGTCTTAAGGCTTATTAATGGATTGAAAGTGTTGTATGAATATTCATTAATAATTTCACTGTACATCACACTTGGAGAATTCATCAATTTACAATATAATGGAATGGTCATTTTCTTTGTGATAACCATTTTTAAGAAAAGGACAACTCCCATTGCAGATTGGCTGTTTTCATCTTAGTTGGCAGGGAGAGTTTGAGGTCGTTCAATAGGTTTTCTTTTTAAAGACATAGAGCACTTCACCAAGTACATTTGAATTTTAAGCTATTATTGCCAATGCCAGATGATGGAATTTGGTGTTTTAATATTACCTCCGATGAAATTAAAATGCAGTGCAAAAGAGGATATCTGTTGTTAGGTGACAGAAGTAGAGCAGGGTGTGTGTGTAATCCTCCCGAAACTTCTGGATAGGTTTTGCAAGCAAGGCTGCAAAGCAGCTAGACTCTCATGGTAAGAATTGAAGTAGTAAGATGGTCACAAAGTTGAGGAGGAGCTTTCTGTAATAGGCAGGGGCAACAATAATCTGCTAAATTGGGGCAGGGGGGCAGGGAGGGTAGGGTTAGATAAATAAAAGGGCATAACATAATTTGGTTGCATCAGGAATTTTTTCACAGACATTAAAACTATGGTAAACATAACAGCGGGGAAGCTTGCACTGCCGCACAGTGGGAAGCTTAAAGCGTCTGCCTGCACTGTGCCTGGCTCAACTACAGCTAGAAGTCTCCGACTTTCATTAGCACTCAACAATTCACCCAGTTCCCCAGAAAAGGAGGAAACCCAAGGCAGCAAAGCCCCTCGCTAATTATTGTAAATGCTCCCAGGTTACAGTATTTGGGTGACAATAATGGCAAGAGGGTGTGAAACTAGAACCAAAGAGTCATTCTGAAATGAAAAAGAATGAAGGAGTTGTTTGTTGCTTGTTATTTTTATTTGTTTTAAACCAGTGTAGCCCTTCGTTTGATGGGTAAAGCAGTATGTTGGAATATTAGGCCACCATTTTACAATGAAATTTTAGAAGACTGCACCAAATTGTGTGCAACTTCTTTTGAGCAACGGAAGTACAGGTTAATTTCACAAATGACCTCCTCCCCTTGGCCTCCAAATTTATGTGAGTATATTTCACAAGTCTCTGCAACAGAAACTGTTTCCTTTGAAGGAAATTTGTAATAATACAAAAAATTACATGGAACCAAATGTTGCAAGGTAGGCAGACTAACACACATCACTGCAAGATACTGCACCTCAGGTTAAAGTTGATATTTTTTTCCCCTTCAAGAATGGAGTCATTTGAGAAAAATATTGGACTTCTTCAAAGGAAGAGGGGTCTACTTTGGATGCCTGTAAGCATTTAAAGTGATAGTTTTTTTTTAATGGAATGATAGGTGTTTATTCTTGCTAAATCCAGACTCGGGAATCTGGTTTCTTCATTCATATCCCCCCAGCTGCTGTCAGCAATGCAGCACACCAGCGTTCCTTCATGTGCGAATATTTCTCCAGCACTCATTTGCAAGAGAGTCGAAGCAATATTAAACACCACATCTAAACCTCTTTTAAACACACAAAGCAATGGGAAAACACATCAGAACTAGACCATTGAGAAAATCCTCCTTTCAAATTTACTGTTTGCTTCACATGCTAGTATAAAATATCCCACAAAGTCCCGTTTGTGATCCATTTGAAACAATCTTGATTTGCTTAAATTGTCACATTCTTCTTGCACATTTCTTTCTAAATGCAAAAATGGCAAAGAATTCTACTCCCTCTTCATTATAAAAGTACAGAATTTCTGGCTTGTTTATTCCTAATGGAACACTTGAGAAAGAAGAAAATATATAAATATCTTTTTCAGAAGATTAGTTGTCTCAATCTTTTTAAAAGGGAGGATTTGTTCATTTTTTCTCCATGGTAAACAACTTGGGCTTTGCACTGTAATTTTCCATTGTCAAATTAATGCATTTCATTTTACTGACTTGAACTCATGGTTTTAAAACATCAGACCTTTTAATATCTTTATTTCTTCCATACTACGTATTAATGTATGTCATTAGGACGTTGATAGTTAGGGATAGAATCCAAGCATCTTATAAAAGAAATTTGTTGGAGGAATCTTCTACTCCATTATAACTTACTAACAGTCTGAAAGAACTCACTAGCAAAATAAAACTGGTTTACTTCTTATAAGAACATATTTCCAAGCTAAGGATTTCAGGCTTGGAATGAGCTGTTTTGAGTATTTCAAATCAAGCATAAGAAATTTTGTCTGATCTACTGGTAAATATTCTATTGACAAGGTCAAGAACAGAGAAAGTCTGGACACCATGTCAGAAGAGAGAATAATTATTTTTTTTAAGTAGACAGTCTTTCAACTTCAATTTCTAAAGTACTGCGCAGGCTTTATACAGAATGTGCAGGAAAGTTTCTTAACTATAATGAAAGAATGTTCATATTTACATCTGCCATATATGTGGTACTTCAAAAATTAAAGGCGTGAATTTAAAAATGGCTAATATTTTCAAGAAACTATAAAAAGAAAGGGGTGGGGGAGAAGAATACAAGCTGTGGCAAAAATCTAGGCTCAGCAGCTTTCTGGGGGAAATGGTGAAATGTGACTATGTGATTTATAATGAGAAAAGGTATCTACAACATACAATTTTCTACCTAGCTGCAAATAATAATTCATAGTGATGTCCCTTCCAGATAAAAGACCTTTGCTATGTAGGACCCATGTGGTAAAATGATCATGATAAATGTCAGACCAGTGCAGGTAACGGCTTTACAAACCATTAAGATTAGCTGGCAGTTTTTTTTCCGATGATAACAGTAACCATGCTGTGACTCTATGTGGTAATAATATCTCAGTCCTGATAAATGCCAGAGCCAGGCAGAGGTGTTTATCACTCCCAGTTCAGAAATGCTGACTAAAGTTGCCACATGTTGCCTGTTTTTCTTCTTTTACAATAGTCTCACAATTTAAAAAGCTGAATCATAAAATTATTTTATAACCTATTTTTAAAGGATTTTGATGTTTGTTTAATTAATAACTCTCTCTGCTCTCAGCGTCACTATGTGACCATGTCAGATGAACTAGCTGGACAGTTTACTATACTAACCATTATCTCCTCTTCAGAGGTCTTTTGTTCAAAATGAATGGTTAAGGATAAAGTTTAATATGCCTTCTTCAAAAACAATATTTTTAACCCAAAGACAGGAAAAGTGTTTCTTAATTCACATTTTTCTTAATTGTGATATAGATCCTAGTTGTTTTCAAGTGAGTTTTCTAATCCCTTATAAATTTAATTGGTCTACCAATGGAAAGACACACATTGAAAACCTCAAACCTTGAAAAGTATTTGTAGGATTTCCACCCTTATGAAAATGTACAAAGATAATGCTTAATGTAAATAGCTAGTTGAGTATTTGAATTACTGGCTTATGATGAAAAAGATTTCAAATGACTCAAAATAGTAAAGACTTTTTTTAATTAAAAAAAAGGTTGTAAAACCAGATATAAATGAATAAATATAGTTTCAAGAAAATCTTCACAGGAAAATTGAATTAGAGAAATTCAGAGAAATAAACCCATGAGCTTTATTTTCTCAGCACAGACTATCGCCTAAGGATGAATTAGTATCTTTGTAGGTTACAGAAATGTACTTGGCCACCATGACACCTCCAAAATTACTTTGAAGAGCAAGAAATTCTAGGAAGGACAATAGGATCATGCTTTTCCTGTGAAGATTGCTGCTGGAGTGTCAGCCACTGCCTTACGCTCCAATTCAGACAAATAGAGGCATCACTACAAAACTGAGGAGTGCAAGTTTGGTTTAAGAACTGGTTTCAGATTGGTTAGTCTGAGGAAATGTTATCATCCTAAAATTGATTGGACCAAAGCAATATCCCCTTTATTAAAAGTTACTTAAGCAGGATATGGTGGCTCATGTCTGTATCCCAACACTTTGGAAGGCTGAGGCGGGTGGATCGCTTGAGCCCAGGGGTTCAAGATCAGACTGGGCAACACGGTGAAACCCCACCTCTACAAAAAATACAAAAACTAGCCAGACATGGCAGTGAGTGCCTGTAGTCCCAGCTACTTGGGAGGCTGAGGTGGGAGAATTGCTTGAACCTGGGAGGCTGCAGTGAGCTGAGATCATGCCACTGCACTCCAGCCTGGGTGACAGGGACAGACCTTGTCTACCAAAAAAAAAAAAAAGTTACTTAAAGACTAAGACTTGAATACATTTTCCAAACTCGCCCCAATGTGAGATCATAGTGCATCATAACATAGATAGATACAGCCACATGAGAAAGAAAAGATATTATTACTTTCCTGAATGTATTTGTGAATGTATCAAGAAGTTAAGCATAATAATTTTGAAGACTTCCAGAAATTGATTAAATAGAATTTTACACTCGTTGATTTGTATCAATTACACATCTGAATTATTTTGGAATGAGTAACATCTCAGAAGCTTTTTGAGTTTCACAATTATCTTAGATGATCCCTTCAGTTAGAAGAAAGACATAAACTTCACTGACACCTACATAATGACATGCCTTATATTTAAACATCTATTATGACACCTTTTGTAATTTATCTGCCCCTCCAGATTGTAAAATGAAAAGATAGCAACCAACTTTGTATCTGCCACAGGTTGCACACAGGCCTGAATAAATAGGGTTTTCTTATTTATATATAAGATAGATATATAATATATATATAATTTCTTAAGAAATTATACCTTTATTTTTAATAATTTATGGCTAGAGAGCAGGGATAGAGGTAGAAGGAAACAGAGATTACCCTTTAGAAGATCATTCTTAACATCCCTCCTAAGAGCATGCTGTACATGGTCTAATTCCTTCGGGACCAGGACCAGAAATGGTTCTGGAAACAGTGCTAAAGGGGCCAGTGAGTTGAAGCTTCCCTCATTTAACAAATCCATAAACTTATGCCAATTAATTGGCCAGAGTAATTTTTGATACTGACAATTATTGACTATAAAGAGTTGTTCCCATTTTTTAAATTCTTCCTAAGAGGGCTTGTTTATTCAAAAAAACAGCCAAAACATGAATATCTCCTGGAAGGAGAAACTGTGAATACAAGGAAATCTGGTGTAGAAAAGAGGTGATCAGTTCCAACTCTCAGGTGATCCTCCCTAGAGAAAGAAATGTCTTATTTGAGTCAGATAGATTCAGTTCCTGCTTGGTCTTTCCTGCAAGTAATGTACCTCTCTTCTCAGGTTGAACTGTTTTGACACAGTTTGTCAACATCAAAAGCCAAACTTACAATGTATTTGACATTGCCTTCCTTTTAATTAAATATAAATATGGCTTTTCTGGGGTTTGGGGAGAAGGGCACAGAACCTTGAAAAATTGCAAATTGCCAACTACGGGCTACGCTCAAGGCGGTGGTTTTTCCTTGTTTATGATGCAATGACACTTCTATTTATGATATACTGTAACTACTTAGGAATTTTAACCAAATTCTCTGATAATTGACAGCATTCCATATATTTACAAAGCTACAACATACTGTACCCTGTTCCTACTTTTAGGAAAGCATACTAAATAGTAAAAGTATGACTTCATTTGATTTCAGAAACAACCTTGAACCAGGAGCAGTTATGTATCAGGGATGATAGAGAAGACAATGAGAAAGAAATATGTTTTAAGGGAAGAGGACTTACAGGGGACTTACTTAAATGATCACTTACTATGTGTACATTTATGTGCACTGAAATATTTAATTCTACGAAAATCCAATAAGATGTATAATTTTTCTGTATTTTCAAGTAAAGAACTAGAAGCATCAATAGTTCAAGCAACTTGCCCAAAATCATACAGCATAGCAAAAATTCTAACCCAGTCTTTTCCAGATTCCTGAGAAGTGGTATGTCACTGGATATACCGATTTTCTTATTTATAATGTGAGTTTGAAGCATGTGTATATTTGTATCTATTTGTGAGATTTGAATTTGCCCCCAGAGCATCTCCTCTTAAAGCAACTATGAGTTACTCAAAGATATTTATCAAGCAATTGTTGTCATCCCTGAGATGACTCCTCAATGGGCAACTCAAGTTTTGGCATTAAAAAGTGTATCCTCAGAGGTTTGTATCCAGTTGTAAGGCATGCTGAAACAAATAAAATGATCTCTGGAGATACTCCTTCCTCCTGTAAGCAAGCACAGTCTCTAACTAAATTCGGAAATGGCCACAGTACAAAAACTATAAATTGAATAGAAACTAGAGAACTGCTATTCTTCCAAATATAGCTCTGACATATAGGGACTACCATGTTTTTCATACAGGGTGCATTAGACATTTCAGAATAACTTTCAGAAGCAGAACAGCTGTGGTACCACTGACCTCTTTAAAACAAAGGAATACAGTTGTCCTTTAAGAACTGTAGACAAATGAGATGAATATTACTCCCTATACATTGATTACTGGGATAAACTGGTCTTTTCTTCCTCTGAGTGGACCTATATAACAAAGCAGAATTTATTTTTAAATGTGATTTAACATGAAGCTATAAGAACAATAAAGGCATGGATGATAAGGACAGAAAAGTGTCCAGGGACATTGGATCCAAGGTTCTTCACTGTACAGAACTTTTTCCATCATCATATACAGCTTTATCTTATCTCTTTTCTAAAAGGCATTGGGTTGTAAACGTGCTTTAGTAACAACATTTCATGCAGATGAATGCAAGTGTAACTATCATAAACCATATTTTGAAAAATGTGCCCTCAAAACTATAAAGCCACATTCTTATCATAACATTAAAGGCTATTTCACATCACGTAGGTGTTACTTCTCTGAACAGCATGGAATCATTTTTTAAACTTGTTTACAACAATGAGTTTGATGTAGTTTGAGAAGATGGGGGCAGGTTGGTGAGGAATGGGTATTAGTAAGAAACAGTTGAGAATCACTATTGGATGGAAAAAAACGAAGCACTATAAAAAGTTGTGTGTGCAATTGTGGGTTCACAGCTTAGAGATTGAAGAGGCTATTTGGATATGGGTGGAGAACTAAAATGGAGGTATTTCATGGAATAGAGGCAAAAATAAATCATAATAGAATAAGGGCAGGAGTAAATGCAAATGAAAGAGGGAAAGAATTATGGAGTTCATTACTTCTGGAAAGATTTTGTATAAGTCTCTTCACATACAGTTTGCCTAAGAGTACAAAAAGTTCCTTCCTCCTCCCACCAGTCATAATGTAAAAAGTTAGTGATATCTCAAAGTCTTCTCAGAACCTTCAGCGCTTCATAATGAGAAAAACATATGCTGAAGGAGAAATATTAATAGAAAATGCTGTCTTTCAGATGCTCACTGAATCAATTGAAGACAGTTGACACATCTTTAGTAAGCTGTTTATGAATCTTAGCTCATTAACCACTCCTGTATTATGTATGCTGATTCCAATTCCTAATATGACACATCAATAAACCAGATCTGAAAAGGTGTCATTTCGATTTTAATGTATCCAATTGTATTTTTAGATGTTTCTCCACTTGAAGTGTTTGTGTTATTTCCTGATTTTACAAGCTATGGAAGAGTGGGTGTGGTATTGATTTGAATGAAAAAAAACACTGCTTTACTATAACCTTTTCAGAAGATTTTGTTCTGATTATGTTGTAAGAAAAATAAATTGTTCCTCCTTAATATTTCAGCTCTCTCTAAGCCATGGTACACTTCCCCATTTAGCACTTAAGTATAACTTGGCCACAAATATGCATGCACCAATATCCAATTGTCTGATTCCCCAAGAATGTGTGAAAGTGGAAAAAGAGAGAAAAATATTTCTATAAAATATTCTTCATGTAGAATGTTTCTTATAGGCAAACTTGGAAACCGACATGTACTTTTCATAAGGATACTTATACATAACTGACCTGCTCACCAATCAGACCATCAATTTCTCAGCCTATCACAAAGTATTTAGGTTGTTGTGTAATGTTGGGCTACTATAGCAATTGTACTTTCACCAACTGGCACCAACTCAGTTCATGAATTAGCAACTACATTTTGAATGTCCCTGCAACCAAATAGTATGCTAACTGCTGGGATTAAAAGGTGAACAAGACCCAGTGGCTTGGGCCTCAAAAGAGGTGAGAGGGGTGCAGGGGAAGGTGAACATTTATATAGTACTTTGTTTTACTTGTAATTGTGCTTGGTACATTACATACTATCTTGTTTATTCAACAAAACTACACTTTTAGATCTTATTCAAAGAGAGTAAGAAACTTCTCCAAGACCACACGGCTAATAAAAAGCTGTTACAGAATTCAAACCAAGGTCCACATATTCCAGTTCATGGTCACAACTTTCATTAGTTCACTCACTAATTCCTTTTTCATTCATTTAACCCACCACATGCTAGCATAAAAATTGCCTAGCTTTAAAGGAAAATTCCCTATTTAATAGGGGAATTTGACAAGCATTCAAGCAGTACAAATACCATGTGAAGTGTTGTGTAAGTAGAATATTCTAAATGCAACAGAACTCAGGAGAGGGAGAGCTGACTCTAAGAAAGCTCACAATTATTTTACCTGTTGGCTTAACGGACTTGACTATGTCTTAATTCCTGCCCAAACACCATGAAAGTGTCCTTGCAAATCAGCTCTTTCTAATTAAGCAACGGCCAATCTTTTCTAACCCCACCCTGACTGGATCATGTTCCCTATAAGTAAAGTTTGCTGGTTGGAACCAACAAGACTACTCCCCACTTCTTGCCTGTAAAGCTTAATTTATAGCTGCTACTTCTGTAGCCCTCAATGTCAACTGGTCCCTTTTTTGGAGACTCTGGCATTAACCTGATTATTACTTTAGTCAGAGACTTCAGTGAAATTAGAAAGGTCTCTTCTCCTCCTCTCTCCTCTCCTCTCATCCCCTTCCCAGTTTCATACTGATTGCTTGCACCTAGTAGTTCACCAGATCCTCAGGTAAACTGTACTGGAATCATGCCAAACTGTACAGAATGTATCCACCTCTTGAATGAATATATATATATGAGTGTGTGTGTGTGTGTATACACACGCATATATACACACACAATTATGGTTGTGTGGTATTAGCTTCAAACGGTTGGATAGAAAGCATTCAAGCATCCCCAATAGCTCTGACCTGGGCATACTATGCCAATTTCACTCTCATCTTCATTAACTTGTACTTTTTTTCTGGTTTATGATATTTCATAGGCCCCAGTTGGTCTTGTGAAGCATCACATTTTCTTACCATCATTAAGCTCCAAGAGGGCTTTTTACTATTTGGCAGAAAAGATGAGGTCTGGTATAGGCTATGATGTTGCAACTTTCTTTTTTTTCTCTTTCTCGCTCCCCTTTGTTTCTTTTTTTTGCAGTTGTCCAAGCCATATTATGTTGGAACTCTTCTAAGAATAACTGCAATTTTGAAAGCTTTGACTGTGGGAGGCATTATTTATAGGCCTTTGTGGTTTTAGAAGGAAAAAGAAAAGCTTCCAAGCAGAGTTCTACTAGGAAGACTGCCCCCATCCCACTTTAGCCAAATACCATCTTCTGCAGGATATTTTCCTGTAATTCCTTATAAAAAAATTCTTTTGCGACAACATATTAAAGAACCTGCCAGTTTCTAAACTAACTCTTTCTTATCCTACTGTCATAAAGTTTATATATCTATTGAATTGGACTTTTGTAAGTACATCTTATTATTAAGAACTGTATTTGGCCTTAGTATCAGAGATCCATCCTCAAAGGCTTCAGTACACAGGGCTTATTTTCTTATGTCAAAGAAACCCAGTGGGCCAGGCGTGGTGGCTTATACCTGTAATGCCAGCACTTAAGGAGGCCAAGGCAGAATGATTGCTTGAGCCCTGGAGTTCAAGACCTGCTTGGGCATCATAAGGAGACCCTTTCTCTACAAAAAATAAAGTGAGCTGGGCATGGTGGCATGCACCCGTGGTCCTAGCTACTCAGGAGGCTGAGGCAGGAGGATAGCTTGAGCCCAGGAGTTGAGACTGCAGTAAGCCATGTTCACACCACTGCACTCCAGGCTGCACAGTAGAGCAAGATCCTGTCTCAAAAAATACAAAAGAAACCCAGAGGCAGACAGTGCAGGACTAGTATGACTGCTCCACAGATTCGAGAAAGCTCTTTCTACCTGTGTATTTCACTCCACAGAGCTTCAGTTCCCCAGATTAGCTCATAGTACAGCCACTCCATCTACATTCAAAGAAACAGAAAGGAGGAAAGGTACACAGGCTAAAAGCTAAATCAGCTCATACATGCTCTCCCAGAAGGCCTGACCAACCCTGTCACTTCAGTCTCATTGGCCAGACTTGGTCCCATGGCCACTCCAGCTCCAAGGCAGCTGGGTCTATTACCATCCTCTTAACAGTGGGATTGTCTTGCTAAGGAAGAAGAGAATGGTTATTGGGTGGATGTTTGCCTTACATATTAGTCTTTTTTATATCTTATTTTCCAGCTGTGGCCTGTTTAGAATCATCAAGAGCCCTGTGCTAGAAGTTAAAGTATAGAAAGGAAAGTGCATGAGGTGTTTAAGTTCAATAAATAATTATACCTCTAGATGATAAGGCCCTGGTTAAAACTGTGGAAAGATGAATTCCCTAGTGTACTAAGTAAATCAATTTTTACTTTTCCATCTATAAACAAAACAAAATGAGAGAAATCAATGTGGTATGCAGTTTTGAACAACTTCCTATTTTATAAAATGTTTATGACCAGGAAATATGCTATTTCAATTTTTTTTTCTGTTTTACCCTCTTATTTTAAAGCAAAAACAAAATGTGTAAGGGAAAAAGGATAACATGGAAATAATTTTTAAAACAATTTTCCCTTCTACAAAATCAAGCAACAATAGAATATTTGTAATCAAATCACACTATATGTCCTTGTTTAGTTTCCCATTGCTACTTAACACTCACACAAACTTAAAACACAAACTTATCCTCTTACAGTTATGGAGGGTGCAAGTCTGAAATCAGTTTCAGACTGAAACTGAAGAGGTTGGTAGGCCTGCGGTATCCCTAGAGGCTCTGTCTCCTTGCCTTTCCCAGCTTTTGGAGACTGTGGCAATTCCTTAGAAAGCAGCCCCTCATCGCATACCCTCTCTTTTCTGCTCCCGTTGTCACATGAGAACTCATATCACCTTTTCTGACTCTCATTCTCCTGTTTCTCCCTAATAAGGATCTTTGTGATTCCACTGGGCCCATTGAGATAATCCAGAAAAATCTCCCCATCTCAAAATCTCTAACTGATCATATCTGCAAAGTCCCTTTTGCCATGTGAGGTAACATAGTCACACATTCCAGGGATTCAGACACGGACATCTTTGGAAGGCCCTTGTTCACCCTACCACTCCTTGTAAAACAGGACATTTAAGAAAACCAAATGTTAAGATCAGGAAGATAATGTCAAAGTCACATTGTTGTTGCTTTCATGTTAAGATTATCTCACAGTACAGCCATTCTATCTACATTCAAAGAAGCAGAAAGGAGAAAAGGTACAAAGGCTAAAAGCTAATCAGTTCATACACAGCCTCCCAGAAGGCCTGCCACTGTCAAATTCAGAGTCAAAATAAAAAGAAACTCCTTAATAACCAGGTTGAGTCCACCTATTCCCTTTGACTACTGACTAGGACTCTTAGTTGCTAGTCTCAGTCCAAAATTTTCTCAAGAAAATTTTCTCATGTACCTGTACCTATGAAATCTTGTTTTTTCCCTAACCTTCCTTTTTATTTTTTTTTCCAGAAAAGCAAGACAACAACACAAGAATTGAAGCTGTAAAATCTCTTGTACAAAAACTCCCTCCGCCAAATCGTGACACCATGAAAGTCCTCTTTGGACATCTAACTAAGTAAGTTGTAAGGATTTCTGGATGTGTCATTTTATAGTCATTTCCTAAATGGGCAATATTGAATTTCACATCTCTAAGGCAAGAGTTTCCAAATGCGTACATCTCGTATTTTCCCTTGTAGCTGAACTAGGTCTTTCTGCAGAAGCTGGAGAATGTGTTAGGGATAGGAAGGACAATCTACAAAAGGAACTTCTGAAATAACTTATTTTTCAAGGCCCTTTCAACTAGTATATGTTTGCTGATTGCTTGTCAGAACCATCGCCTGGACCCTGGGATGGGTCATCTTGACTTTGTTATCTAACATAATGAAAGAACATGAAATGATTCAGACATGGATTCAAAACTCAGCCCCACCATGTACCACGTGCTGGGGCCACAAATAAGTTACTTAAACCCTCTGCAACCAATTTCCTCATCTGTAAAATGTTGGCTCAGATTGATAAGGTGCTATCCATGTAAATAGCTAAGAGAGGAGTCTTCCAGGAAAAAAAAAAAAAAAAGGCAAATGTAAAGCCCTAGAAGCCCCTAAGAGCTGGAAGTATTTGAAAAGCAGAAATTAAACCCGAACTGCTAGGCCCAAATGTGGAGGCAAGATGGGATCAGGAGCTGAAGTCCCAAGTATCACACTAGCATCAGATCACATAGGTTCTTGTGGTCCACAGTGAGAGATTTGGATTCTATTCTAAATTCAAGGAAGAACCACTGAAGAATGCTACAATTGAGGGAGTGTAAAAGATTGATCTGGCTGCTAAGTGGAGAATGCATTGCAAAGGTGAAGAGAGGAAGACCTAATGGCAGACAACCACAGTAGTACAGGCAGGAGATATTGGTGGCTTGAGTGGAGCCCTCAGAGAGAAATGGGTAGAGATATTGTGGAGATGGATCAGGCTGGACTTGCTGCTGGTTGGGATACCATTGGGAAAGGAAAGGAGAAATCAAGTGTGCAAATTTTGGGTTTCAACTTGGGCAAGTGAAGAAGCGATAGTATCGCAGAGATGGGTAAAACTGCAGAGAGGAACAAGTTGAGTAGGAAAAGCAGGTTTGAGAGCTCTATTTTGGACATGTTAAGTCTGAAATGACTGTTACTCATTTGCCTTCTGTTAACACCTTCTTCAGATAAGGCAGAGTGCAACGCAAGTTATGAGGTTTTAGCTTTCATGATATATGCATAGTAAAATTGAAGCCTGACAGAGGTTCAAATAGATTGAGCAGTTTTGCTTTTGTGAGATTAAATCTCCTTAAACACCTCAATCACTCATAATTTGGGATGAGTCATTCCTACAGATTATTCAACTAATCTATTACATGATTTTTCATTGTGAATGTAATACATGCAATTGCACCCCCCAAAATTAAGCAACAGTGATGCATTTACATTTAAAAACTGAAATCTGCCTACCACTCTTAGCCTGCTGAACAGAAGTAACTAACATTTTTGTATGTATCCTTCCTGACCTGTTCCTAAACACATGCAAACATATGTGTGTATGGTTGCTTCTAATGTTAAAGTACATCATATTGCACATATTATTATACAACTATTTTGTAACTCATATACAGACTTCTATTTCATTAAACAGACTTATCTTATTATTTCTAATGATGTCAATAGTATTTCATGGTATACACAGTCCATAACTTGCTAAACCAGTTCATTGCGTTAGGGAACATGTTTTAATCTGACTCATCATTTTCTGTCTTATTTTACTCTCAAAAGGGGAACTTTATCTTAAAGTTCAGAAAATCTCTTACTATTAGAGTGTTCCTTCTTGTCACTCCCACATACTGGCTACGGTGAGAAATCCAATGTGGTTTAGTGAAAGGATCTTGGGCTTTAAAGAAATAGAAAGAGAGACCTAGAGTCAAATCCTTGCTCTATGCTTTACTCCCATTATGATCTCAGGCAAGTAAAATCGGATTAAATACTATCAACCATATCTTGTGGTTATGAGAATTAAATGAGATAATGCATATAAAACGCCTGGCACAAGGTAAGCATTCCTCAAATGTTAATTCTTTTCCCTTAGGATCCAGACACACCATGAAAGCGGTTTCAAGTTACAAGTAAATACTGGAGTGCTTATCTCAGTAACTTTAACTGGACAAAGTCATAAAACAAATGGAAAAGTATACCCTTTAATGCTATGCAATACCTTGTCTTAAAGTTCTTGAGAAATATCCGTTACTCTGTCCCAATTATTCCCTTTTTTTTCAACTGAAGAAATAGCTATAAAATAAAGAAACTAAGAGTCAGCTAAATCCTCCTTCAAATAAAATAAATAAAACACACAGAAGAGAATCTATCTAGTTAAAAACCTTCAAAGGATGACGATCGTCCATGTCCAGGCCACATAATCCCAGTTTTAACAATTAATGCCTGATCCTGTTTTTTACATCCCAGTTAATTTCCTAATCTTGTCAGAACTTTCATTTAGTTCAATAGAGATGGAAATAGATGTTTTAAATTAAGATTTAAGATCAGATTATTATATCACTTCACAGTATTCACATTTTAAGATTGATTATTATACATGGGAAGAAGTGTTGTTTGCTAGCCACCAACCTTTCTTGGGTGGTATGACTATATTTCACCCTGTACCAATTTATAAACTGGGTTTAATTATGCACGAGTGTGTGCACACAATTATATCTTGTTAAGCATTTTTTTGCTAAGTTTTTGATAAACAGCCAATCGTGGCGTGTCATCAAAGCCTGAGAAGACTAAATAAGAAGATTGTTTAACAGGAATTTAAATATATTCGTGTTTGAAAGAATCATTAGAATGTTTTCCTTAGTCTTAATGCATTTGGTAGTTCTTCAGAAAATCTATCGTCAACCCTTGTATGTAGTGTTTATTCCAAATTGTTGCAAATATATATATTTTGAAGTTTGTTTAGTGAGGGTCAGGGAATGTAATGAAGTGCCAAAAATTCCACTTGACCTACGTACTCTACAGTCAACAGAAAAGCACTCCATTTTTGCAGAGCTCTGAGTTAAATGCACTCCTCAAAGCAGATCAGCTATCAACTGGGAAAGCTTAATGCGGCACAGTTGGACTAGAAGGTAAATGCAAATCCTATCCACAAAAGCCAGAATTTTTAAAGGATTGTGATTATATTAAGCATAAGGTTGCACAATGGCTGCACAGGCTGACTAGTCTCAGAGTCCAGAGTCTTCATTCTTAATCAAACTCAGGGTCAAGTTCTATGCATCTGCTATCATAGCTTAAGACCAGGAATTCGGAATAAGCTATCATCTCAAGATCCCGTCAGCCAGAAACCTTTATTAATAGCCATTTTCACAAACTGACATTACAGTGATAGGCCCTGGAAGGTCCTCTGGTACCTTCTGAATCATCATATAAATGGCAAAACTGTCTCTATAAAATACAAGTGTCAAATGCATTTTCCTATAGCCTGCTTCTTTGGAAAGGCAGAGAGGCAGAGTGAAGATGAAGTTAGTGGGAAGGAGGACCTAGCAAGATGGTTTACTTGCTGATGGATAGTAGCTGGTGGTTGAGAGCCAGTAAAGGGGTTAAATAATAACTAGGGAATCGTTAACCTTTTATGAACCAGAAAATTGCATGATGTGCTCAGTGTTAATGTAAGAGTCATCTGACAGCAGAGTATAGGATGAAAGAGGTAGAAAGAGGAGAGAACCCAGGAGGTCCCAGGGGAGTTGCAATTGGATTGGAGTGATGGACGTCAAAAGGAAAGAAATGGCCAAAATCTTGAGATTTTTCAAAGGAAAAGTCCACACAGTTTTCATTTGTCTCCCATATCCAGTCAGCCATAGAGATACATCTGAGATTTCAATGATAAGTACTTATGAAAATAGTCCCCCTGATAGCATTATTTTTAAAAGCAAAATGAGATATTGTTTAGAAGGGTGCTCTTTTCTCTGTTTTCCAAAAACAGACATGGGAAAGAAGATGACGAGGTTGTAGCAAACTAATGAAATAGGATGAATCCGATTTTGGCAGGTGTGTATTAATCAAGGCCTCTATATGCTGCTGGTTGGGATGGACAGCTAACATATCGGAAAACCCGTATATGCAATGTATCTCGAGAATGCAGACTTTTCAAAGTTTCATACCTTTAAAACCAGTCACATAGAGGTGAAAAGTTTATGCAGATAAAATTGTCCATGGTAGCACTGTTTGCAACAGTGAGCATTTGGAGACAATGTAAGTGTTCAGTGATAGGGGAGGGTTATGTAGAACAGGATACATCATATTGCCTTAGTAAAGTGTAGTTCATGGTTTTTATTTTCTTTCTGCTTCAACTTGGAGAAATGCTGTGTTAAATGTTAAATAAAATCAGAGATACAGTCTTTTGCATATTCAAAGAGAGCATAATTATAAATATGGGGGAAAAAGTTGTGAATGTAGAAAAGACTATAAAAATATTTACTAAAATGTTGATATTTCTTTGAGTTGTTGGATTGTGAGAGTTTCGTTCCTGTGTTTCTTTTTACCCCCTAATAATGGTATAGGAGGAGACATTGAAGTTAAGGGAACAAAGAAACCAGGCTTTGGAGTTAGGCTGATCTGAATGCAAGTCTTGGCTCTGCCACTTACTGGATGTATAACCTTGGCCAATTCATTCAACTCTAAGCTTCCATTTTGTCATCTGTCAAAGGGAGATTATAAAAGAACTTATTTCTGTAGTGAGAAGTATATGAATAATGCTTTTGAAGAGTCTTGCATAGTACTTAGCACCTAAGTATTAAATAAACATTTTACATCAATGTATTTTTTAAATGTATTATATTACATGTATTATTATTACAGTATTTTATAGTGAGGGTAATATAATTATTAATGAAATAAATATAGCAAGAATTACCAAGGCAGTGCAGGCTAAATTACTGCTAAATTTCATGATTTCCAGAAAAGTCTTTATCCCATCTCAGGATCTTTTTCCAAAACTTGAGTTTCCTTACTGTCCTGACTCAGCCAGTTTCCCAGAGTCCCAGTGAGACTATTTCACATGTTTGACAAGCTACATCACACCCCCATTCTCATACCCAATCCCCACTCTTTTCTGTCTCAGACACCCTGTCAGCCTGGCTGGCATATTGTCCCCTGGTCTTAGTTCCAACTCTTTTCACCCTCCAAGTGATAGTTTGCTAATGTGATCATCTAGTCTGCCGGCCTTTGGGGCAGGCATAAGGAAATTGGAAATAGGCACAGGTCTCTCTATGCCTCTTATGAAGAGCCTCCTCTGTTAGAAGAGTCTCCCTAATAGACTTCTAGTTCCCTTGCTTTGTTGTATAACTTCTCAGAGTGATTTTCATGATCAGAATTTCCTGCCAAGACAAACAGAACACCAGCTTTATGAAAGCCTGATAAGTAAGAGATTTTGAAGCCAGCAGGGCCATACTCTGTGTCCCAGTCACCAATATAAACACTCCTAGAATCTTATCAACTACATATCCACCTAGAATCTTATCAACTACATATTCACCTGGAATCTTATCAACTACTTATCCACCTAGGCCTGGTGCTGCCCTTTGGAAGTACTAGAACTTTTGTTGTCATGACTATTAGTATATTCTAGATATTGCTGAAGTCTTTTTCCATATTTTCATTTCCATGATAAAAATAATACATAATTATGGAAAATTTAGAAAATAAATAAAGTCTTTCCACAGAGCTAAATTTAACTAGTTGACCAGATTTCCTTTGTGGCATGCATTTTGCAAGCCAAAACAATCTCAAATTTGTGAGGGGGGTGTAAGGACTCAAAAGAACTTTTATGTACACATTATGCATGCACACATTACTCAGAGAAAATAAAATGTCTTAGAAATGGGCAACTTTTAATAATGACTTAGGAAGTAATGTTATTTGTTGATTTTTAAAAATAGCTTTGGAAGAATATATTTGCTGCAGATTTTACGTGCAAATAAACATTATTGTAGGAGACTTGCACTTTGTAAAATAGGTTGAAAGTTAAAATCTTCCCTTTTGCATTGACTCTAAGGAAGTTGTCCAGCTGTTCATAGAATTCCAAGGTGAAAAAATGATATGGCTGAATAGACAAATCTCATGGACTAATGCCAATTGAATGCCTCATTGAAAGTAGAAACTGTTGAGCCCCAGAAACTGTTGAGCTGGGGCTATTTTGTGAAAGTAAACCAATATTTAAAGCTTCTCTGTGGTCTTCATGGATATTAAATAAAATATTCTACAAAAGCATGTCAGAGGCAACTTAAATGATAATGACCTAGAAATATAAGGGTTGTATCAGAAAACAATGGAGACAAAATAATTCGTCCACCCTGTCTTTAAAATGACACTGTAGGTATTTCTGATGTTTTGGTGGGGAGAAATTAGATATGCTTAAAGAATGGACTTCAAAGCCCACAGCCATCACCCTTCTCTCTGGTCGTCAGGGGCCATGCTGGTGACGCTCTCTGCCTCCCATCCAGGCCTCTGAATGCTCAGCTCTGCTGTGCTTTTGAGCACGTTATGTTTTTCTGTGCTGTCTTCTGGCACTCCATTCTTTTTCTGTACACTTTGGTCTTTCACCCAACCACAATACCTGATATCCAAAGACTTGCAGACATGGATATTTTTACTGGAAAATGAGGAACCTGTGCAAATTATTATTTTCTTTTACTCTCTCTTTTCTTTTTTTTTCTCTTTTCCTGTGGGACACGGGTTGTGAGTTGTTTGAAATAAGCCAGAAGCTTCATAGCTCCTTTGCTTTTGTATTTGAAATGGCACCCTGATCACTTTAAAGAGCTAATGTACTTCCTATGGGCCTGAAATTTCTCAACTGGACTCCCATAGCAGAATTTGGCCTGGTAGTTAAGAAAATTAATTACTCTGATCGCGAGGGTGAAGCAATAGTTCCCAACTCCCCATAGTAATCATTAAAATGTCATCTACTTAGGAGACATCTTGGCATGGGATTTATAAGGTTTGTGAGCTGAGGACTAAGGTTCAGTGATCCTTCCAGCAGTGCCTCCTCGTTCTAGAGGAAGGCTGTGGGAGATAAGGTTTTAAGACGGGAGTGAAATTATTACTTTAGATCTTTAGATTTAACATTTGAATGGTAACATTCACCACTGAAAAATAGGAAACAACAAAACCTAAAGTTGCTACCATCCCATCTATCATTGTTGTCTCTATTGTTAAGTGATGGCCAACTGTATGAGGGTATTTCCCTCATGAGAGGTAAAATTTTTAAGTTGCCCCACCCTTCTCTACTATGAATCTTGGCCTTTAACCTAATGGAAAGAATTTGGAATCAGAAGACATAGTCTCAGGCCCCATTCTCAGCCCTTAGAAACTGTACAACATTGAGAAAATCTTTCAAAGTCTGTAACCGTCCCTTTTGTTCAGGTGTTAATTAAGTCAAATAAATTCATATTTGTGAAAATGTTTGGTAACTGTAAAATTCTACCTACAAATTCCTTCAGGAAGTCTCAAATGAGTGCCTGCTATATTCCAGACCTGAACAAAATCAGGGGTTGGAAAAGTGTGGCCCACAGGCCACACTCAGCCTGCCTCCTGTTTTTGTCAATAAAGTTTTATTGAAACACACATCTATTTGTTTATGTTTTGCCTATGGCTGCTTTCATGCTACAAAGGCAAGAGGTCACAATAAGTCATAACAAGGTACACAAGGCCAAAAATATTTACCATCTGACCCTTCACAGAAAAAAATTGCTGACCCTTCAACTCAATGTTAAATGCATAAAGAGGATTCCTACCCTCACGTATCTTATCGTCTCCTGAGGCAGATAAATTAGTAAACAATTATAATAAACATGATGCAATATCTAAAATGCTAGGAGAATTCTAGGCAGCAGCTGAAATTTAGCTTAGAAAAATCAAAGGATGCCCCCCAGAGGACATGAAACAAGCTATCTTTAAGGATGTTGGCTTGGCAGACAACAGACCTACTGTAGGGAGAGAGAATACTCTGTACAAGAACATGGAAGAGAACTGCAATGTGGTAAAGAAATGGTGAGTCCTCTGGAAGGATTAGAGAATTAGGAATTATAAAGAGAATAAACAGTGGCAGATTATGAGCCTCTAACGTTGTAAACAAGTTAAATTGTGAAGAATACCATACAGTCTGATAAGGAGCTTGAAATTCTTTCTGTAGGCTAAGCACTGTCGCTCACTCATTTAATCCTAGCACTTTCAGCGGTTGAGGAGGGAGGATAGCTTGAGCTCAGGAATTCCAGATCAGCCTGGGCAACATAGTGAGAACTCATCTCTACAAAACATTAAAAAATTAGCCAGACATTGTGGCATGCATCTGTAGTCCCAGCTACTCAAGTGGCTGAGACAGGAAGATCACTTGAGCCCAGGAGTTCGGAGGCTACAGTGACCTATGATTTTGCCAATGCACTCTAGGCAACAAAGCAAGATCGTGTCAAAAAACAAAAACAAAACAAAACAAAACCTGTAGACATTAGGAAAATCACTGAAGGATCTCAAGTGGAGAGGTAAGGTAATGAAATTTGTATTCATAAAGACCACAGTTTTTATAAGAGTGAAGGACAGCTTGTAGAAGGGCAACACCAGAAGTAGGGAAAACAGTAGAATGCTGGTATAGTAGTCCAAGCTAGAGATCCCCAGCTAAGGGAGTGATAGGGAGAATGGGGGAAAGTGATGGATACAAGAGGCATTGAAGCAGTAGATGCAACAGAACATGTGCACCAAGTACATGCGAGAGGTTAGGAAGACGAAGGATTCCAGGATGGCACCCAGATTTTGAATTAGCTGAATGGTGATATCCTTAACTTACATTTCACATAGGAAAAGGACCAAACTGGAGGCATGAAAAAAGCAGAAATTTTGTTAACATAATGTGACTTGCTCATTGTTATATTCTATTAGCAAAATCCAGTCAAGGATAAGATATATATGTTTGGAATGCAAGAAAGGTGATTGAGATCTAGGGACAAATTTTGGAGTTGTTGGTTTAAAGATGGCAATGGGGTAAGGTCATGAATGCCTCCAAGGGACCGTGTGAACCCAGAAGAGAGTCAAGGGTGAACCCAGAAGAGAATCAAGGACAGATTCCTAGAGACTTCTAACATTGAATGGATGGTCAGAGAAAGAGATAACAGAAAAGGAGTCTGAGAATGGCACGCATATTGATAGAAAAAACATTTGGCAAGAGCAAAGGTATATTTTGTGATGAAAACTACTCATTACACAAGGAACACCTAGAATAACCTCAGCTTAACAGGACACTGGGCAGAATTTATAACAATGACCAGTTACTGTTCTTACCTTCACCCTTCAGCTTTAAAAAAAAAAAAACCCACAGGAATAAGTATAATCTAGCAGGAAAAAAAATGATATTCTATAGCATAGCCAGGTCCTGAAAATATAAAGAACTAACCTGGCTTCTTCTGCTCTTAGAGCACTGGCTCCAGAAGGGCAGAAATTTGTGTCATTTTGATTCCTGCTATATCCCCTAGCACCGTGTCCTACATAGATACTCAATAATTTTTGTTGAACAAATGGAATCGCGTTACTTCATTGAACAAGATGATAATCTAATAGCCAGTGAGTGGTTCCAGGTAACATCAACTACGTAAGCCTAGTGTATTAGTCCATTTTCATGCTTCTGATAAAGACATACCCAAGGCTGGGAAGAAAAAGAAGTTTAATTGGACTTACAGTTCCACGTGGCTGAGGTGGAGAGACCTCAGAATCATGGCGGGAGGCAAAAGACACTTCTTATATGGTGGCAGCAAGAGAAAACAAAGAAGAAGCAAAAATGGAAACCCCTGACAAACCTGTCAGATCTTGTGAGACTTATTCACTATCACAAGAATAGCACGGGAATGACCAGCCCCCATGATCCAATTACCTCCCGCTGGGTCCCTCCCATAGCACGTGGAAATTCTCAGAGATACAATTAAAGTTGAGTTTTGGGTAAGAACACAGCCAAACATATCATTCCATCCCTGACCCTCCAAATCTCATGTCCTCATATATCAAAACCAATCATGCCTTCCCAACAGTCCCCCAAAGTCTTAACTCATTCCAGCATTAACCCAAAAGTCCACAGTCCAAATTCTCATCTGAGACAAGGCACGTCACTTCTGCCTATGAGCCTATAAAATCAAAAGCAAGCTAATTACTTCCTAGATACAAAGAGGGTACAGGTATTGAGTAAATAGAGCCATTCCAAGTGGGAGAAATCAGCCAAAACAAAGGGGTTACAGGCCCCCATGCAAGTCCAAAATCCAGTGGGGCAGTCAAATTTTAAAGCTCCAAAATGATCTCCTTTGACTCCAGGTCTCACATTCAGGTCATGCTGATACAAGAGGTGGGTTCCCATGGTCTTAGGCAGCTCTGCCCCTGTGGCTTTGCAGGGTACAGCCTCCATCCTGGCTGCTTTCATAGGCTGGCATCGAGTGTCTGCAGCTTTTCTAGACAGACAGTGTAAGCTGTTGGTGGATCTACCATTCTGGGGTCTGGAGGATGGTGGCCCTCTTTTCTCATAGCTCTACTAGGCAGTGCCCCAGAAGGGACTCTGTGTGGGGACTCTGACCCCACATTTCCCTTCCGCAATGCCCTAGCAGAAGTTCTCCATGAGGACCCTGCCCCTGCAGCAAACTTTTGCCTAGGCATCCAGGTGTTTCTATACATCTTAAATCTAGGCAGAGGTTCCCAAACCTCAATTCATGACTTCTGTGCATCCACAGGCTCAACACCACATAGCTGCCAAGGCTTGGGGCTTCCACCCTCTGAAGCCACAGCCCAAACTCTACGTTGGCCCCTTTCAGCCATGGCTGGAGTGGCTGGGATGCAGGGTACCACATCCCTAGGCTGCACACAGCACAGGGACCCTGGGCCCAGCCCATGAAACCACTGTTTCCTCCTGGGCCTCTGGGCCTGTGATGGGAGGGGCTGCCATGAAGGTCTCTGACATGGCCTGGAGACATTTTTCCCATGGTCTTGGGGATTAACATTAAACTCCTTGCTACTTATGCAAATTTCTGCAGCTGGCTTGAATTTCTCCCCAGAAAATGGGTTTTTCTTTTCTACTCATTATCAGGCTGCAAATTTTCTGAACTTTTATGCTCTGTTTCCCTTCTAAAACAGAATGCTTTTACAGCACCTAAGTCACCTTTTGAATGCTTTGCTGCTTAAGAATTTCTTCCACCAGATACCCTAAATCATCTCTCTCAAGTTTTAAAATTTCACAGATCTCTAGGGCAGGGGCAGAATGCCACCAGTCTCTTTGCCAAAACATAACAAGAGTCACCTTTGCTCCAGTTCCCAAGTTCCTCATCTCCATCTGAGACCACCTCAGCCTGTATCTTATTGTTCATATCACTATCAGCATTTTTCTCGAAGCCATTCAACAAGTCTTTAGGAGGTTCCAAACTTTCCCACATTTTCCTGTCTTCTTCTGAGCCCTCCAAACTGCTCCAACCTCTGCCTGTTACCCAGTTCCAAAGTCACATCCACATTTTTGGATATCTTTTCAGCAACGCCCCACTCTATTAGTACCAATTTACTGTATCAGTCCATTTTCAAGCTGCTGATAAAGACATACTCAAGACTGGGAAAAAAAAAAGAGGTTTAATTGGACTTACAGTTCCACATGGCTGGGGAGGCCTCAGAATCATGGCAGGAGGTAAAAGGTACTTCTTACATTGTGGAGGCAAGAGAAAATGAGGAAGATGCAAACACAGAAACCCCTGATAAACCCATCAGATCTTGTGAGACTTATTCGCTATCACGAGAATAGCATGGGAAAGACCAGCCCCTGTGATTCAATTACCTCCCACTGGGTTCCTCCCACAAGACATGGGAATTCTGGGAGATACAACTAAAGTTGAGATTTCGGTAGGAACACAGCCAAACCATATCACCTGGAATCTTAGAAACTTGGTATTTTCAGACTAGTACTAGGAAATATTCCATCTTAAGGGTATTGGTAAGCAAGTTCTTCCTCTCAAGTTTATCTCCCCTCACCTGATATTTTTCTTTTCATCCTGACAAACAAGCAGAGCTCTTCTGATTATAAAAATAATAATACTTTTAATGGGGCTGTTTGTTTTTCTTGTAAATTCGTTTAAGTACCTTATAGATGCTGTATATTAGACCTTTGTCAGATGCAGAGATTGCAAAAACTTTCTCCCATTCTGTAGGTTTTCTGTTCACTCTGATGATAGATTCTTTTGCTGTGCAGAAGTTCTTTAGTTCAATCAGATCCAATTTATCAATTTTTGCTTTTGTTGCCATTGCTTTTGGCATCTTCATCATGAAATCTTTACCCGTGCCTATGTTCTGAATGGTATTGCCTAAATTTTCTTCTATGGTTTTTATAGTGTGGGGTTTTACATTTAAGTCTTTAATCCATCTTGAGTTTATTTTTAAATATGGTATAAAGAAGGGGTCCAGTTTCAATTTTCTGCATATGGCTAGCTAGCACTATTTATTAAATAGGGAATCCTTTCAACACACATTGGGGCCTGTTGGAAGGTTGTGGGGGTGTGAGATGGTGGATGGGAGGAAGGAGAGCATCAGGAAGAATAGCTAATGGCTGTTGGGCTTAATACATAGGTGATAGGAAGATCTGTGCAGCAAACCACCATGGCACACGTTTAACTATGTAACAAACCGGCACATCCTGCATAGTTACTCCTGAACTTAAAGGCTGGAAAAAAGAGATACTCTTAATATTAAGACTGCATGTTAAAAGGGTGCAAGCACTACAATGAATGAGTTCTAAAAGAGGCTGGCCACACCAAGGGAGACTCAGTCAGGGAATCTGTGACCACCCATCAGTGATGGGTGGAGCCTATTAGATCAATTACTGCAGTACATAGTAAAATTGCCAGTTCTTCTGGTTTCTTATCTGGGATTAGTAGCAGATCTTGAAATACAAAAATTTATTTCTACATCTTCTGTCATAATTCTCACTACTAAATAACTTCTACCACTTCTAGCTCCTATCAGGTCAACCCCAACTTCCTTGTCTATCATTTGAGATCCAATATTGCCATACTACCTTGAATTATTTAGCATCAGCTGAAGAAAAAAAAAATCACCTTGACTTAAAAAGCTTGCCCTCTGCTTTTAAGTGTATAAAGAAATTTGGTTCCCTTGTTTTATGGAGCAAACTTCAAAGTGGAAGGGAGAAAAAAATCAAGCAGACCTCAAGTCACCTGATTTCCAGTCCACTAAACCACACTCTGCTTTCTTGCCAATACCAATACTCGATTGTGTTTCCAGGGAAGAAGGAATGGTAAAACAAAGAGTGAGAAAGCTGAGCCAACTGTGATAGAGGCACAGGCCAATCCCTCAGACTCCTTTTTTCTAATTGAACACCAGATATAATCCCAGCCCTTTAAATAAAATTACCTAATTAATCCTAATTAATTAGTGAGCCCTTATATTTATAGAAGGGGTTTTCTTAGTGTCTGTCTTCTCACCCTCCCCACTTCCCTGCCTCTACTACATTTCTTTCCATCTAAAAAGAAAAGTTTCATTTTTAGGGGTCCTTTTTAAAAACAATTTCCATGTCAACATTTATTAATGCTTGTGTGTGTGCATGCATGCCTGCATATATACACTTAGAGCACGTTTTTTTAGAAGGCAGTAATGGTGCTGCCTTTTATCACCTTCTTTCTCCTCTTTAAATGGAAAGCACTGAACCCAGATGCCCAACCACGGAAGATATTCTTCCAGAAGCAGCATCTGGCTTCCTGGCAAGCCCTTCAGGCAAGTTGTTTGGGGAGCATTGCTGTTGTCTCTCGGTCTGTCACGTGTATCAGATACCGTGGCCTCTCTGGCTGGCATGTCCCGGTAGCTGCCAATTCCTTTCAGTTCACCTTTAATTCTGAGAAACTAGTTTCCTCATTTTCATTTCTTACTGGACTTATTTTTCTCCCCACTGCCCATAGGAATTCCAGGACAAACCTAAGTCCTCACTGCTTTCTGCCTGTCAAGCTCCTTTCCAGACCTCCGTCTTTTGAACCCAAATGAAAACCTCAGCCATTTACTCCTACATTAAAATAGGTTATTTTAAATAATATTTCTTAGCCACTTCTTGTCAGCAAAGCTCCTTGTAAACTGTGGAGTTGTTCCCTGAAAAGAAAAACAAAACATTCCATCCGAGTCATTTATTCTGGTCTGTACACAAGACATGAAAGTGTTCTTGACATTTGTGTATTATTTAGTTAAATCGTATTGGCTCCCTACATCCTTGTCACACCATGAACAAAAGAGCATCACGGGGCTGGGAAAGACGAGACCATGCTGCAGTTAGTCAAGGCTGTGCAGCCTTTACACATAGCACCCGCTCCAGGAAACTGCATTTCTTAAAGTGGCTTTTTTTTTTTTTTACCTGTTAATATATATTTTTTAATTGTGAAGGATCTTCTGGGGTTTTTTATGGATAATTGTTAAGAACACAGAGTCCGATGGTAGCCCACGCAACAGGAAGCCGTGACAAGGTGCTGACAAGTCCGGCAGCAGTACCCAGAATGCAGAGGAGAAAGCAGAAATTAGAGCTGCAGGGTGACATCCAGGAATACTTAACACAGGGTATCTGCAAATTTTCATGTCGTTGGGGTTTTTTTTTCTCATGCAAGAAAAAAGTACATATTATATATGAGATTTCAGTTCTCAAGACTGTAATGTCTAGGCTGAGAAAAGGCTGAAGTTGAGCAATGGACAGGAGGAAATCTCAGCCATAAATAATATTTTGTCTGTAGCTAGTAGCAGACTCAACCCACACTTGACTTTGAAGCAGTACATAACTAGAACCCTAGGCTTCACTTGAATGAGAGTCCCTAGGGGGCAAAGAAAGGAGGTTAGGGGCTGTCTTGGTCAGGCCATTGGGAAAAATCTTTTTTGGAAGTAGCTACAAAACAGTAGAGCTCAAATTTAAGGTTAGCATTTTTGAGCCTATTATGTTTCTGCCTCAATGACATTTTTTGGTCTATAATTTTTCCCCAGCTCCATTCATTAATATGTAAAAAGAAAGTTTAAAAATACATGCCAAACTCACAAGTTTTACACTACATTATTGCCCTTGGTATAGAGGTTCCTGTATCTTATTTCTGGTCATTTCTTCTCCTCTTCTATATCCTACCCATATTCTTTTTAACTAAACTGTTTCCTCATACATTTTTCCACTGTTCTCTACCTTTCCTCCCAATATTCATCATCCTCTGCAGATTCTTTCTCTTGTCTGTACTCTGAAAACTCACTTCACATTCAAAACATTGTTGCCTACATCATCTGTCCACACATTTATTCATGAAACAAATACAGGTTGAGTACTTACTGTGTGGTAGATGCTGAGCTGGAAATGAAGACACTTTTACCAGGAAAGCAATAAAGCTCTAGGATCTGGAAGCTTCCCTTCCCATGTCTGGGAGTGTTCACATCCCTCAATCTCATTCTTAATCCCCATTTTCTGGCTCTATATCCTTCCACTTCTAACAGGAATTTGTAAACCAGCCTATTTTTAACAGGCATTAAGTCAGTCCTTCCATTGGACTAAGTAAACCCCTTCTCTTCTTTCTCATTTCAAAGAGACAACAAGTAGAACACGTTGGGACAGAACCGCTGTAAGGGGTGGGCAAGACATAGGTTGGTTCTCTGGCACTGAAAACACCTCTTTTCCTGCTCTCCATGAACTGATGGTCAATAGACGCCTCTTCATAGTCTTCCCTATATCAATTTTGTACATTCATTTCTTTACTTCATTTATTGATTTTCATTTACCTCCCATAGAGTTTGTGATACGAAAAGATAAAGAAATCACTCCAAATGAACTTTTGTCTAATTAATCTGTGTATATGTTGTTGGGCATTAAAACAGATTAAATTTGCTTACATAGTGAAAAGGCATGTAAAGTGATATGTTATCTAAATCAGAATTTTTTTCCATCTGGACACTTCATAGCAATCATTTCACATCTCAGAAAGATTCCATTCTCAAACACATCTCTTCTTTGATAACAGCACAACTCTGCCCTTGCAACTCTGCCCTCTTGGCTTCCTGCTCACCCATCTTTTCCACTTTTCTTTCATTTCCAACTGCCATTCCAGAGCCACGTACTTCCCCTGGTGCTAACTTTTAAGTCAACAGAAGGGAATTCCATTCTCTCTCCTGGTGCCACATTTCCTATTTAGGGCCAGATATTCCCCACAGAGATATTGAGGCATTTTACTGCTAGTTTACATGTCCTACTATATTTTTCTAACTAGTGGGAAAAAAGAAATAAATGTACGCCCTGCCCTCTCTGACCTCATCTTCCTTTCATATCACATTTAAAATAACCAATTCCTGGAGTGGCAAGCTCTTAAAGCAATTCATACTTCCCTGGCAATCACAGAAATGTACCCTTCATCTTGGCAGAGGAAGGCCTATTTCTTCCACCTGTTGTCACATTCTTTTTATTCTCTGCATGGGTTTCCCACACATACACCCTATAATAAGTTAGATAAGGTTAGAAGCAGGTGGCTACATAGAGAATCAAAAGAAATGTTCATTGTCATGTACGAGAAATTTCTGATCCCAAAGCACTTTTTTTTCCAAGAAATGGTAATATATAGAAAATTGGCCTGCAGTTAGTTGTATGTAGGATTGTGGATACTGGGGAGAGTGGGGGCGGGGAAGATGATGACCAGAGAGAGCGTTTTGTTCGTCATGAATGCAGCTACCTGAAAAACACTAGCTAATTAGCAGTCTGTAGCCACACAACACAGCAGTTTAGTATAAGAAGTGAACAATACTTTACCTAATTGAAACTACAGAGCAGACTTAGGTAGGCTGAATGTAATTACACAGATTGGAAGTCAGCCAGGACGCCGAGGTTAACAATCCCTTCACTCACAAAAAGCACCACGGGAACTTTAATGACCACAAGTGGTAAGGGCCGCTATCCTGCAGCCCAGCGAAAGGCCTCACCTCTCGCAACCGAGACTCCATCAGAAGAGCCTAATGGCGTCAACTAATTGCTAGAAAAAAAGACTGCCCTCTATCGACGCAGATGCACCTGTGCCGTGTGACTCATTCACCAAGCACAGTAAACACTTTTAAGTACTAGGGCGAAGGGGGATTCGAATGAATGAGGGCATCGAGGGGGTCAAGTGGTGGACAATAGGAACTGTGAAGTCTCCTCTGCCTGCCGGTCCTGTGGCCAGCACTTCTGCTGCACTAGCTTCCCTAAAAGAGGCACACGACTTCCCAAACTTCAGTGTGCTCACAAACCAAATTACCTAGCAATCTTGTTAAAAAATGCAGATTCTGGGTCGGGCACGGTGGCTCACGCCTGTAATCCCAGCACTTTTGGAGGCCGAGGCGGGCGGATCACAAGGTCAGGAGATCAAGACCATCCTGGCTAACACGGTGAAACCCCATCTCTACTAAACATACAAAAAATTAGCCAGGCGTGGTGGCGGGCGCCTGTAGTCCCAGCTACTCGGGAGGCTGAGGCAGAATGGTGTGAACCTGGGAGGTGGAGCTTGCAGTGAGCCGAGAGCCACTGCGCTCCAGCCTGGGCGACAGAGCAAGACTCCGTCTCAAAAAAAAAAAAAAAAAAATGCAGATTCTGATTCAAGAAGTCTGGGATGAGGCCTGAGATTCTGTACAGAGAACAAGCTCCCAGGTGCCACTGCTGCTGCTGGTCTGCAGACCACACTTTCAGAACAGGATCTAAAGACAAGAAACAGGAGGAGGAAAGAGGTTCTCTGTGGCCAAGAAATCAAAGTCTGGGCTAAAAGAAAGAGGACTTTAACATGGGGTTTGACACCCAGAATTATCAGGTTTGCATCATTTGTCCTAGGAACTAAATGAAGCAGAAACATGGAGTGTCCAAAATAATAATCCAATCCAAAACCCACTCTCAGAATGGCTTTTTCCATGGGGAGAAGAAAAGGTAAAGAACATGGTCTCTGAATGTGCTTTATAAATGAGGTGCCTACTCTGCAAAGTGTCCAGCTGTAGTGCTGTGGCAGGGGGATATCAGCAGTGGTCTGTCAGGACCTGCAAGAGCCAAAAGTGTCTGACTCTCAAGATGAATCAAGAGAAGACAAGATGGCAGAATGCAAATTGTCAAAGCTTAACCTATGAACAAGGATGGGAGTAATAATTTTCCTTCAAATGTTTGCAAAATAAAATCAAAGTTGCTGAAAAACGTGGACCTTTTTAAACTTTTTTTTTTTTTGGAAACGGAGTCTTGCTCTGTCGCCTAGGCTGGAGTGCAGTGGCGGGATCTTGGCTCACTGCAAGCTCCGCCTCCCGGGTTCAAGCAATTCTCCTGCCTCAGCCTCCTGAGTAGCTGGAACTACAGGCGCCCACCACTGCGCCCAGCTAATTTTTTGTATTTTAGTAGAGACAGGGTTTCACTGTATTGCGCAGGCTGTTCTCGAACTCCTGAACTCAGGCAATCCACCGGCCTCGGCCTCGGCCTCCCAAAGTGCTGGGATTACAGGCTTAAACTTATGTTATGCAAACATGGTTTACTGCTGTGCTACCTAGACTTCCATAATAAAGCCTCAGTATAGCATTAAAAACTTAATTGTTGGTTAGATTAATTTGTATTCTTTAGTTATTTCCTCAATGCTTTTTATACTAATTTCTATGTATTTTGTGACTTCTTAATGACAGAATTCACTTTAGATACTTGAAAAGAAACACACACACACACACACTCACACACACACACACGGCAAGACCCAATTAATCACTGGTTGGTGCAGTATGGTTTTCTACGTTTAGACATGCTGCAAACATGTTGTAAACTAGATAAGGCTGGAGTTTAAATATACATTTATCCTAATATATACCTCATCAGTATAGCTGTAAAAAATGCCGTTACTTGCCAACAATATATAAATTTAGGATATCCTTCAAAATTTATCATTTGAAGTGTTCAGCTACCTGAAGCTGGCAGGGCAAAGTACATATACAAGCAGAAGCACATAAGCACCAATGAATGAAGCATGCCTATGGAGTGCCTGCTCTGTGTTCCATACTATACGCAGGAAAGTGGAGAAGATAAAAGTGTGCAATCGGAAGTCTAAGGTTTTGCCTTTGCAGTGCTACTAATGTAACAGGAAGGGAACAAAACACTTAAGAAAAAACAGAACAGAGACTAATTAACTGTTAAACAGTATGTGCAGCCTGTAATTCAAATGAGAAATGGGCTGAAAGAGTTGAGAAGTCTCCAGTGAAAGGTGGAGCTGGTGAGATTTGGATGTTCCATGGAGTGGCTGGAGAAAAACCAAGAGGGAACCAGGATATAGGTGTGAGCAGCCTGTCCTGTGGCCAGAGGCAAAGGAGAAGGAGAGACCTGAGTGCAGGGTGGGGCCAGGTTATGGGTGGGGCTGGCAGAAACTTTTCTTGGAATCTGACATCTCAGGCTATAGGAAACCAAGGCAGGTTACTGAGCAGTTGAAAAATTTCTGCTTTTGTATTTAAGTACAGTCACACACCACATAATGACACATCCATCAATAATGGACCTTACATATGATGGTGGTCCCATGAGATTATGACACTGAATTTTTGCTGTATCTTTTCTATATTTCAATACACAAATACCACTGTGTTAAAACTGCCTGCAGTATTTAGTACAGTAACATGCTGTGCAGGTTTATAGCCTAGGAGCACTAGCCTAGGTATGTAGTAGGCTATACCATCTAGGCTTGTGTAAGTACACCCTATAATGTTCACATAACTGTGAAATTGCCTGATGATGCATTTATCAGAATGTATCCCCCTCGTTAAGTGACACACTGCCATCTCAAACAACCTATCCATTGGTCCTATGTGAAATGGACTTAGGGATGGAGGGGCTGAAGGAGGAGGCTGGGGCTGAAGGAGGATGCTGGAGCAAAGCCGGAAAGCCAACAGTTCTCTTAACGTGACTACGGAGCAATTGTTTTGGTGTTGGCTGTGGAGCTCATTGGGAAGAGAGGAATTCCTAGGGCAGCTTTGAAGTAGGTCAGGAGTATTCGCTGGTATTTTTGATATGAATCTCCACAAAGGACTGGAAAGAGTCCCAGACAGTGCCACAGGGTGCAATCTATAGATTAAAGAGAGTGGTGGTGCCACTGATAAAACCAGGTCATCTGTGTACTCTTACTGAGCACCTACTGTATGCCAGGCACTGTTCTAGGAGCTTATCACACATCGGTCAACTTAACAAAAACCATCCTTGCCCTCATGCAGGTTAAAAGGGGGAGTCAGTTACAGCCTTTTGCGTAGGAATGACATGAACTGACTTCCGTTTTAAAGGATCACTGTGTTGATAGTACATTCTAGGTGAACAAGAGTAGACACAGAGAAAAACTGTAAATTATCCAGTTGCCAATTTAATTAGAAAGCAGTATTTGTGGGTGGACAGTGCTGTGTGCATCTGCCTCTGATAGGTTAAGAGAATCTAAAGAACTGGGCTCCAGCCCCAGCTTCAGTATGAGGTTCCACAGTGACTTCAGGCACGTCACTTCACGTCTCAGCCACTGTTTTATCACCTTATCATAGAAATAATACCTAATTTATCCACCTTCATGTGTGTGTGTGTGTGTGTGTGTATGTGTGTGATCTAATGACATAAAGAAAGTAAAATCCAAGAGTACATACTGTTGCTTCAAGTTTGCCACAATTGGAAACCCAAGCAGAGAAATTCGATCTTACATTAAATCCAGTAGCTGGAGTGGAGAGGTCACTGGATTCAGAAGCAGAAAACCCAAGTTTGCATCCTAGGTTTATGACTCTAACCGTGTCACCTTGGATAACAGCTTCTCTGAGTGTCAGTTTCCTCTTCAGTTACAATACCTAATACCTCAAAGGACTTTTAGAAAATTCAGAGTTACATGTGAATGAAAGCCCACTATAAACTCTAAATCATCGAAGAGACAAAGTTGTTTCTTACCGCCCTGTCAGGCTCTGACTGCAACCATAGAGAGCTGTACTACTACCCCTGGTGTAAAATTGTAATTAATCCTTCCTCATATGTGGGTTAACTTTAATCCTTCAGGGCAGGAATCATTTTTTCCTGGACCTTGTAGTGTTCCATTGAACTGGTAGAGAGTCAAGCAATAGGAGGTATTTAACAAATCATTTTAGCAAGTGGGTAAGTGGAGGTGTGATATTAAAGGAGGAAATGTAGGTTTGGGAATTAGGTTTTTAGAGGAATATTTCAAACCATGAAAGTGCGTGCATTTACCAAGCATGTTCAGAGCCCCTGAAAAAAGGATGGAGTTAAACACAACTTTCGGACAAGCATAGTAAGAATAACTAGCCAGCAAAGGAAAAAAATGTAGAAAATAAAATTCACAACGATCAGCATTATAAGAGTCTGAAGAGCATCATCAAATAGTAATACACAACTTCTGCTCCAAAAGGATCAAAAAACATTTCAATTCGCTATTTCACAGAAATTTCAATCAGAAATGTCTAATAACCTCCACCCACTTATCTAATAACCACACTCTAGCACAGAGATAACTCAAGTTCCTCAGGAGAGCTTCAAGATTCAGAAGTTCTTTCTGAATTACCAAAGGATAACAATGTGGTGTCCATTGTAATTTTAATACTAATTTTGTTGTTCGATTATTGTTAATCCACATATGATAAGTGTTTTTGACCAGAGCATTTGCTTAATCAGAACCTTCTATACTCCATCTAAGTAAAAGAAGTTTTATTGGGAATGAAAGAAAATTGCACATAAAACCTTTTTTCATAGCCTGTTTCTTAAGGACACAGCAGTCAATCTTGTGACATACCTAGCCAATAATCTCCACTGCCTCTCCGAAGCCCACTTCTTTGTGTCTTTTTAACTGACATTTTGGAATTCACCTGAAAACACCAAGAATTTGCCAAGACAAATTTGGCCTGTGGAGAAGACACCATATTCAACACCAATCTGGAGAAAACAACGTACTCTGCTCTTTTAATTCATTATGATTTTAACATTTATTATCACATCATTATCACAATTTGAGGATTATAACTTGTTCTCAGAAAACTGGCCCCTAGGCAATAAAGAGTTAAGACCAGAAAGTTCACTCCCTGTGCCCTTCCTTTTTTCTTATCACAACCCCTCCTTCCCTGTGGTTCCACAAAATGAATAATGCCTTAGACATAGTTATGGCAATGCTAATATTTGAACAGTAAAAGATACCTTAAGACCTTCCTCAAGATTTTTTAAGGACTCATTTAATGTCAGTGTCAAGGTTCTGTGAGGAATAATTAATATAACAAAACAAGGTCTATGTGCCCATCGATTGCCAGGGAATTTATGCAGGTAACTCATTAATGCCGGTGGGGGTTCAGCATGTAAATCCCGAAGCCTCGATGAGGAAATGGGACCAAATGATTTTTCCCCCTATAAAAAACACAAACAATGACAAGTATAAAAGCAGATAACCTGAATATCTATACAAACAGCTATATGGCTTGTAAAAGTTTTCCATTTACATCCTGTCACCTCTTCTTTGTGCATGTATAAAAGATGGGACAATTATTTCAACAAACCTACCCATATAAATCAATGCAGTTTTGCTGTGGGAAGACTGGGTGTTTAAGGCATTTAATATTTCAGCATTGCCAGATTATCACCAGGATCCATTTCGCATTGTGGTCAAGTGCATGATTAGCACTGTGACAGGGTATTGGCCATTTTCATATGAAGATCTGCAAATCCTAGTAAACAAATACCAGTTGGAAAAATTAAGAACAAGTCTGTGGACTGGAATGCACCCTACTTGTAATGGGAACAAAAAGCTGGCAATCAATTTTAAAGAAAAAGCTAAATCACAGCAGAATGACCTACTTTAAGGCATTTGCCAAAGAGGCAGTGTTTTTAGACAGCTCTTCTAAAGTAGCGTCTTTCTGTCTATGCCATCTGCAGATTTATTACTCTGCCTGAAAAAAACAACCAAAAAAAAAAGAAAAAAAAAAGCTTTATTTGAATGATACTGAGAGCCTGGTCTATAGGAAAGATTCCAGTATTGTGGGTACCACACCCACACCTACTGATGTGGTCCAAGGTTTTGCTTTAGAGGCACCTAATTAAGAAACCCTGACTCATTTACATGGAGACGTTTGATCTAAATTACACTCCAAACCACACCAAATTGGGAGCATCTGTGAATGTGAAATGTTTGTTCCCTGTGACGGCTAGAACAGGGCCAGCTCTGGACGGCACATGTTCAAGTGACGAAAAATATTTCACATGTAACGTACTTCTGAGACCCACTTTTCCACTAATAATTCATAGTGAACCTAACCAAGTATCTGTACCTCCACAATTATTTCAGGCTGTGAAAAATTATGTCACTATTTTTTTCCTGCTGCAAGAAAGAAGTAGAAGACCACCTACTTTGTTTGCTGTCATTGATAAAGGGCCTTAACTGCAGCCAATAGCAAAAGGCAAACCTGGATAGCACAAAGGCTGGTCACTATATAGATATATAAATCTCAGCTTGGGATCCACAGACACAGAGCAGTGATCTAAAGGGCTAAGTCTCAGTTACCCCCTCCATCACTGCCCTAACCTCTTCCAGCCTTTCCACTCGGCTTGCTGGTTCTCAGCAAAGCTTTGCCTTCCAACTCCACTGAGGCTGTACTTGTATGCAAAAGAGCCAGCCCTTAGGATGAGGTGAGAATATTGATAGGGTAGAGGTAGCATCAACTGCAATTAGAGGACATGTCATTTCCACTGGGTAAAATGTCTAAGAAAGTAAAAAGAAAACATTTCTGCCATTGGATGTGATGAACAGTACTCAGCCTACAGTTCACACGAAAGAGTGTTGTATTTCAAGTATAATAAACAGAGTTTTATAGATACAGTCAATCCTGCACTTTGGTACCTGATGGCCGCTTTACCTTATTCGGCCATATATCACCTATATTTCAGTGGGAGTCCAAGGAAAAAGAAAGAAACTTTTAAAAAAATAACCTCAGGTTCTTTTGTTTAAGAAAGATATTAATGCATTTATCTGATGTACTGTTTTTTGCAGTAGCTAGAATGAGATTTGAATATATTAATATTTTCAGCAGCAGAGCCCAGGGACTCCAGTTAATAACTTATGGATGGCTACATAGATATACTTTAGACAGAGGTAAGGTTTTCAGCTCTCATGTTGGTAAGGCTCAGACAGATCGAATGAACGGGGCTGTTCTCCATGAGTCTTTGTTGTGGGCATGCATTGTAATGGTATGGAGACAGAGTTCTTCTGGTTGTCTACACAGCCTGGATTCAATAAACTGTTATATATGCATATTATGACAATGTGGTCAAGGAAACCAGATTTTTTTTACTCTACCTTCAAATGCCTATGGAGCCTAAATCTGGTGCTTATTTTTCTTGTCCTCATTCAATATGTTAACATATTCATAATTTGACACAGGTTACGTTTGTTTTATAATTAAAGTTATGGAGTTAGCTGGAAAAGCATTCAGACTATACTGAATTTTTTAAAAATGTGTATCTTTTTTCTATATTATACTGCAGTGTTCAATGTGAATCTGAAGTCTGGATAATCCCAGACTGTGTTAGTTTGCTAGGGCAGCCATAACACAATACGACACACCAGGCGGCTTAAAAAGCAGCCATTTATGTTCTCACACTTCTGGAGGCTGGAAGTCCAAGGTCAAGATATCAGCAGGTTTGTTTTATTCTGAGGTCTCTCCCCTTGGCTTGCACATGGCCACCTTCTTGCTGTTTTACCCTTCACGTGGTTTTACTTTTGTGCTTTTTTTCCCTGGTGTCTCTCTGCGAGTCTAAATTTCCTCTTTCTATAAGGACATCAGTCAAATTGGATTAAAATCCACCCTAATGGCCTTATTTTTAACTTAATGACCTTTTTAAAGGCCCAGTCTCCAAATGCAGTCACATTCTGAGCTAACGGTAGCTGGTGCCTTATCATATAAATTGGGGTGGGGTTAGGTGGGATAACTCAGCCCATATCACACACAAAGGGTATATTCACATCCAAGCTGTTGACATGCCCCGTACCAATGATGTATTTATTTGAGCCCCAAACTAAAACCTAAATTAATATTTGTAAGTCTGGAGTATTCTTCTAGTATGATTTTTCAGTCACATCCTCTATGGGAATGAAACAATGATGACTTTGTAAGGTTTAGGGGAACAAGCAGCAGCATGACTCTTCTCATACCTTCTTGCTAGACTGGAAGGAAGCAGTTCCTGTGTACAGTAAGTGTTACCACAGTGCCCGACCGAGCCCCACCCCGCCTTCAGGGACCCCGGTCTAGAGGCATAAGTGCCTCCCTCTCCATTACTGCCGCCCTCCATTAGGAGCAGATAATGCGTGAGCTACCACTCTCACAATAAAACATTGCACTTACACCACACCTTTCAACTCAGCATTTCCAAATGCTTGAAAAATCATTATTATTTTTATTATTTATTTGTGGAATCCCAGCAGTCTACTCAGCACTGGGAAGTGCAGTGAAAGCCACAGAGCTATGGTCTCAGTTACGCAGACTTAAACCGACACTCAAGTTTCCTCCGCGATGTACCAGTAAAAAGTCTGAAGGTGGACGTTTTTGCATGTGCATGCATAGCAAGAAAAAAAGTGAAAAGGCAATTTAGGTCTGAGTTACCCCTGCGGCTCACATACCTGAGAAAAGAGCCATTTGTTAGTATTGTTCTGATAAATGAAGGACCCAAGCAAGAACAAAGCAAGAAAGCAAACACAGTTTTAGACCCTACAGCTCAGAAAATGGAAATGCATTTCCCTAATCAAGGGCATCTACAATAACACTTTTAAAAGGATTATTAAGCAATGCAGGAAGTAGAAATCAATCAGGCTCTGCTTGTTGTTCACTGGTCATTATTTCCTGGGTCAAATCTGCTTGACATTCAATTTAATACAGTCTTTCATCAAGTCAAAAGGCCTTAGAGAGAAACTTTCACTGGCCACCCACATTTTCAGCAGGGCTGTTGCCTGGTCCGATTCACTTTTGTTTTCCAAGTCTTTACCATCATTGCATATTACGCCTACTTCTATTGAAACAGCTACTGCTTTTGATGATTTCCACAGTGGTGAACATATATTGTTCATCCCTGTAATGCTAGAAGCTGGTCCAGTGCTTGGCATGTAGTAGGTGCTCAATAAATATGAGATCTGTGAAAAACAAATTTTCACCTTACAAAGGCATTCTCAAAATGAATTTGACACATCCTGCTCTCTCTACAAAGTTACAAGCTAAGATAGATCACAGCAAAGCAGAGATATTGCAGACACAGATTGAAAACCAAGTGAAATAATGATTTAGATTGCCTTAAATCAAAGTGACTAAATGCATTTTTAGAAAGTACATGTTGAAAGTTATCTTGACTAGTCTTCCATTTAGCCAGGAAGTTTTCTGGAAGAAGTATAAGTTTAGGGATTTTTTGTGAGGTGAGAGGGAGAAATCATAAATAAGTATGTGTTCTAGAAAGTGGGGTAAGACCACAGAGGAGTCCTAAAGGTATTAATAGAGGTCAGGAATTGGACTTTAGAAAAACAGAAGAGGCAAGGAATTGAGAACAGAGGAAAATCAGATTACTTGGAGTGTTCTAATGAATGGCTTTCAAAGAAGATAAAGACCACCATATATAGAAAGCTACTTTGAAGATATAAAAGGGTTTGTTAGTAACATGACTGGGCATATACTAGAGTAGAAATTCCAAAATAAGAGCTGCCACAACGCAGCCAAAGTGAGAAGATATTTCTCTGGTCACCTGTGCTTGGTGCCAGCCACCATCCTCTACTGTTCTTCATTGTCCCTAGAGCTGGAGGCTTAGAAAGGCCTAGACACACACTGTAATCGTATGTCTCTTTCAGTTTGCTGGAGAGTGACTCACAAAAGGGTGTTTCCCGTGCTGACACAAAAGTATGCAATATTTCTTTGTCTTTCAAACTGGTAATTCATAAAGACTGTATACTATTCCGTATTGGACAATGTTGAGGCTTAAATATCCTAAGCCCCTTATAAGAAGGATGCTGCAAACATGAGAATAAGGGGTGTCTTCTGAAAATGAGTGAACTAAGCCACTTAGGAAGTTGCTGGCCTCATCTCGAAACCCACCAAATAACAGCAGTACAGCTAGAAATAGAGTTCAAAAGTCAAAAGTGCCTGGCTGCCCTAAAATTTTCTCATTGCATGACTTGGTTCAAGGGGCTTCATTATATTTTGTATTTAGATTTCACACGTTTATATTCCACAGTGCAGTGTCTCTTTAAAAATGTAACTGTTGAGTCTAAAAATCAGGAAGTAGTAAAGTGGCTTCCAGATACATATAGAAGGTTTTTGTTTGGGTGGTGTGTGGGAAGGGGTTGGTTTTGTTTTTAATTTTGTGCAATTTCAGTCCAGTCAACACCTAGAGCACTCCTTTAAAAAAAAAAAAAAAAAAAAAAAAAAGGGAAAAAGGCTTTTTTTTTTTTTTTTTGATTCAGTGTGCACAGAATTTATTGCAGACATCTGGGAGTTTAACCAGAGACATCCAAGAGGCCAGTAGAAGTGGAGCAGCAATAGAGAGTAATAGTTGACTTTTATCCTCATTTTTAAGAGGGAAATGGTCTATTGGTTTTAGAGGTGAAACGCTAGAAAGGAAACTGCTCAATCCTCTCATTTCAAAGATGAGCAAACTTGGGACTTTCCCAAGTCATCTAGCCACTTTGCATGTTCTATAACCCAAATTTACTTTAAATTGTGGAAAGAAAATGGAAATAAACTACCTTGAAGGCATTTGAGCTCCAACTGACTAATTATTCTAGGTCGTTAAATACAGTTAGAGTTGTTAGATTTTCTGGTTTCCAATGGGGGTAATTCCATCACAGAGATTCCTTTTCTATCAAATTGTTGGTGCTTCATTTTCTTAGCTCTGCCTGGTGGTCTCTATTACCTCCATATAAGAAGGCTTTTCTTTTCCACCAAATGAATGAATTTTCTCATCAATTCCAGTCATGCCTCATACATCTCCCTCTCTAGGACTTTCTCCACACTCGTCCCTCCAGTTCAGGTTCCTCTGTGCGCTCTCTGCCTATCCCAGATTCTACCACTTCTTCAGAGGACCTGGCTCAATATCCTGCTCTTTTAGATCTGCTATTCAGAGATCTGGTCCTAACTGCAGAGACTTTTCCATACTTTGAATTCATAGCCTTTCTTATGAATAGCTGTAAAGGTGAATTTGATGCTTGCATATAGCATAGTGAATTTAGGGCAAAGGCTATGCTTATTATTTTTTGATTCTTGCAGAATAGCACGAATAGACACAACTTATTGAATACTAACCATATGTCCCATATCTTGCTGAAAAATTTTAAATACATGTTCTCAATTCAACAACCATGTAAAGTCATTATTATCCTCAATTTATGGAAGCAAAATCTAGCATCCAGAGAGAAGGTGTTATTTTCCTAGATCAACCAACTAAAAGTGATGGGGTCAGTATTTAAAATGCAAGTATGTCTGAATCCAGAGCCCCTGTGGCCAGCTTCTATGCAAAATTGCCTTCCTTCTCAGAGTTACTTGCACATAAAAATCACTAAATATTTGTGAATTAGACAGATGAATGAATGAATGATTTGGAACCTGTTCCTTTCACCAATTTGACTTGCAAAAGGGAAAATAATAAGAAATTCTGAATCTTGTTGCCTCTGGACAGATGTGGTCAGTTAGCACAAGCAAAGCAGAAATGTTCTCACAAGTTAACAGTAAAAATCACTGGACACCTACATGGAGGTAAAATGACTCACAGGGAATGAAGCAAGCCTGGAATAAAATTTGGCCCAAATCCAACAAGCATTTGGAACCTCATAGCATGCATTTGGAATACTACCTTCATCCCTTATTTTTTCTTCACCTTTATTGTCTTAGTCATTTTAAGTATATTTTAACTTTTTTATATTGAATGCATTTTTAAAATGCAGTATATTCTTTGTGGAAGTATTAATCAGGTTAATATGAAATAAAATAAGATTGATGCTCATATTTACAAAGTAAGTTCAGAAACGTTTACTGACAGGGTAGAAGTAGGTAGCTCACAACCTCACATTTAATTTTAGCCAAGCATAGAACTATAACTGTGAAGCTGTATTTCAGGGAAGATCTAAAATGTATGGATTTCCAGGAGGTGTTTAAATAATACAGGTTGTCAGTATTAAAATCAGAAGTGTTTAAAGGCCAATGGAAAACATATGAGATTTTCATAGAATTAAAAAAAAAAACTCACTAAACAGTACACATAGCTCCTGGTTTGAAAATGATTTTATCTTTAAATACCCCATAAGGTTTGCAAACTTTAAAAAACAGAGATGAGGGTTGACTAAAAGACATGGTTTTCTTGAAGTTTCTTGGTAAAGTAATATCAAGATAATAAGGAAACCCTCCTTCCCCATTTTTGTTTTTGGGTTTTTTTTTTTTTTTTTTTTGAGCACACCAGATGGCATTTCTCTCTGTTGCCATCACTGACACACAATTATGTTTTCTAATAGAGAGGGAGGCTGGGAGCCACTGATCTACCCCAGTCATGTCACATGAATATCTCCACTTTCATAAAGAAAGTCTTTGTCCAGGATTTCTCCAGTGGTGGTAAAGGAGCAGTAATGTTGAGGCAACTCTCAGTTCATGGGAACAAACTTAGGTCAATGGATGAGCCATGGTCAGGAGGTCAGTTGGGAGAAGAGAAAGAGTACTTATTATCAAATCGTCATTGTGCCCTCTGCTCCATCAGCGAGCATCATTGTCTAAGACAAGTTCTCAAGGACCTCTGAAGAATCTGAGTTGAGCCCTTTCTAGGAATGCTGAAAAGGATGGAGATCTGATTCATTTTAACGGCAGGCATGTGTGTGACCAAATAAATCAGATCCCTGAAGAGTCTTTTTCCAGATGCATATGTAGCATTTGTACTTCATCTGAGCCCATTTTGGAGAGTGAAGGCCCTTCAAAAGTAAAATAATCTGTGTGGATTGAGGATTTGGTACCCAAGAACCCAGACTTCAATTCCCAGTTACATCCATCAACTGTGCCTTCAGTTACTGATTTCATCTCTAAGCTAGAAAAATAAAAACTGTCCCAACTTCGTTTTTCAGAAAATACAGTAGCAAGTTTAACAAACTTATTTCCCAACTCGTGTTGTAAGACAAGCTACCATACATTTTCAGTCAGAAGCTATAATTTATTCAGAGATTAAAAGAATTCATTTGCATTTCTTCATTTGCTTAGTCTATGAGATTATGAGGAATTTTTCTCTGTTTCAGGACATTGACCCCTACCTAATAAGATAAAAAAGTGTGTGTTTTGGGGAGGACTTGGGGGAATATGTACAATACCTAAGATGGAATTTCTAGAGTCTTTAAAATCTTTAAGTCCATAATCTATAATATCTACAAAATTTTCTTAAAAAATTATTTAAGAAATTTCTTATCTACATTTTTTACTGAAAAACTACTTCTGCAAAAAATTTGTTTTAAGAAATTTCTCTTTTATCTAAATTTGTTTTATAAAAATCTTAACTATAACCCTGCCCCCATTCATGTTAATATTTGATCTTGATCTTTTTGTGAAGCATCCAGTCTAGTCTAGCAGGTGAGGGCCTTCCCTACCTTGGTTTAGATGTGCATGAATGCTAAGTTCTCCCTTCGAACAGTCACGGTCCTTTTCTCATCAGAGATAGCCAGGGGCAGCAGCAAAGGGTGAATGAGATCCATCATGAAATGTCCAGTGTCAATGTGCTCTCCCAATTTACTTACTGACCTTCAGCTTGCAGCCACACTCCTGACCCTCATGAGATGGAGCCTAAGGGGGAAATGGCACTGAGGACCAATTCCTGTGTCCTGTTGGTCTGTGGTCTCAATTAAGTGCTAATTAATTACCACTGGCATCTTTGGCATCGCTTGTCAAATTGCATTTAGGAGTATATTTTCACTGTTTAAACATCAGTAGTCCAAAACCCACGCTAAAAATCCCATGTTCTCATAAATCCCCCTTTGTTCCCTCGTAAAAAATTGTGTTTTAAAAATTCAACAAATACATCTATAGCCACTGCAGGTAGCTTTCAAATACAAGAAACAGGAATTGGTATTGTCGATTTTGATTAATTGTACTTCATTAATAAACATCCTGTTATTCTGTCTCCACCTGCAGTTGCTGATGTTGCCTGGAATCAATTAACTCATATAATTTGATTTATTTTACAAAGACATTTTGGGATGTGCTGCGCTGATGATAAAGGTCCTATTTTAGCAGTTCTTGATTGCAAGTTAGATTGTACCTGAATGGATTTCTGTTTCTACATGGATATGTATACATGAGTGTGTGATTTGCAAGTGAGTAGGAAGAAAATACTCCTTGAAGAAGTCTTGAATTAAAGAATTCATTTTAAACATGGTGGGGGGTATTCCTCCTGAATATTCTGACTTTATCTGAAGACTCCTAAGAAATACAGATCCTGAAATGTCGTGTCCTCTCTCTTAATCAAGACCTTTTATTTAGCAGATTAGCAAATATTCCTTCAAATTAAAAAACGAAATAGTAGTACTAAGCACCAAAGTTAAAACACCCACTAGAACTATGATTTTAGAGACAGATATTCGATTCAGCTTCATGTATAATTTACTTTGCTTTGTTTTAAACGTAATTTCTTTTTCTCTCCTAAATATTTATAAGCCATGGTTTCTGGATCAATCTATTTGATACCATTATTTACTATGTGAAAACCTATCTTAGGCTTCCATAGGTATCTAAGAAATGCTAAGTTTAGTGCAAGTGACAAAAGCCCAACTCAAACAGTTTAGACAAAAAAGAGAATTTGCTGGATCACATAACTGAAAATTCCACAATCAGACGTGACTTTGGGCGTGACTAGATTCAATTGCCAAAGGGTATTGCATAGAATTTGTTTCTTTCCATTTCTAAACTCTGCTTGCCTCTGGGTTAGCTTTGACTTAAAAATCTTTCTCCCTGGTAGCAAGATGGCAACACCAGAATTGTATCGTATCAGCTTAGCGTACTCAGGGGCAAGTAAGCTTCTCTCTCACTGTGTGAAAAGAAAATTCTCAAAAAATTATTCTTCTTGTCCTGGATTGAGCCCCTTATTATTTGTTCGTTCCTGATCCATTCTCTATGGCAGAGGACTGCATGGCTCTCATTAGTCAGGCTTGAGACACAGGCCCACTCAACCACACAGACTAGAAGTGAGGGAGAAGCAGTTTTCCCCAAAGATGGTCTTAGCAAGAAGAAGAAGAATGACTAGAAGTCAAAAAAAAATCCACTTATCCACAGTAGTAAAGTATAACTACAATATTTTTTGTCCAACAAAACTATCCTGTCTCTGCAACAATATTTCAATCAATAGACATAAATGAAGGCTAACTCACATTAAGGAGCGCTGGTGCCTATAATTAGAAAAGGTTGCCTATCCCTCATTCTCATTTGCTACTACTAAATTGACAAGGCTTATGAAGAATATCAAAGTACTATCCATCCATCTGTGCATTTCTTCATCCATGTAACACTCATGAGCACATGTGATGAGACAGGCACTAAACTGGGCACTGGGACTACAAGAATAAGTAAGCCAGGTCCTTAACCTATATGTGTCAGGCGCAGTGGCTCACGTCTGTAATCCTAGCACTTTGGGAGGCCGAGGTGGGTATCACCGGAGGTCAGGAGTGGATCACCTGAGGTCAGGAGTTCGAGACCAGCCTGACCAACATGGTGAAACCTTGTCTCTACTAAATACAAAAAATTAGCCGGGCATGGTGGTGCATGCTATAACCTCAGCTACTCAGGAGGCTGAGGCAGGAGATTCATTTGAACCCAGGAGGTGGAGGTTGCAGTGAGCCCAGATTGTACCACTGCACTCCAGCCTGGGCAACAAGAGCGAAACTCTGTCAAAAAAAAAAAAAAGCAAAAAAACAAACAACACACCTATATGTGGAGACAGTAGAGTACAGTGATAGGAGATAAGGCTTTGGAATTAAATAGAGTAGGGTTCCAATCCCAGCTCTTTTACTTACACAAAGTGTAGAGTGTATAGTTATAGACAAAGTGTAGAATGTAGACAAATTTCTCATTTCTTCTAAGCTTCAGTTTTCATATCTACAAATTATTATAAGAATTAAGTGGGTAATATATATTAGGTGTCCAGCATAGAGCCAAGCACATAAGTTTTCAAAAATTAACAGTTACTACTCTGTATATCAAATGAGATAATGCAAGCAAATTGCTTTACACAATGCCTGGCACACAGTAAGCCCTCAGGAAATGATAGCTGGAAGCTATTGTCATATGAAATAGAATGAAGGACTAGATCTAAAAGAAAGCAACATTTCAAAACCCAACCAACATCTATCATGATAAATTTGGAAAAGGCCTTGAGAGTTCACCCAGATCTATCCCTACCCTCAGAGAAAACACTTTAGTAATTTTAGACATAATAGAATATTTTTCTCTCCAAAGAAAGTGTTTGCAAAGCAACTCTCTTCCTTTTGTGCTCATATTTCATCAGTTTACATAATATTTAATTAAATTACATAATTACAATAATAAGTACAACTGGCATAAACTTGTTTGGGACTCTCTCCTGGGACTTTCCTCTAGTGGGAACAGATGAGCGCAGTTGAGAGTCATTAACTAGCCGGGAACATTGAATATGTTGTGGGCATTGGTCAATATGTTTTACGGAGGAGATAGAGAGCTGATTAAGTGGGAGTCAGCCAAGAGAGTTTCTACTGCATTGCAGCAGTCTCCTGCATTCTCTTCATTTACATGAATGCTCCTGGTTCTTAAAACTTTGTCTCACATTTGACCTATTTATGCATTTTCTAAACATCCTTCAGTAGCTGATATGCAGAAAGCTTTATTACTAGAATTGTAAACATGCCTTATAGAATTGTTTTGTTATTCTATAGTCATAACCATGTATTGGGCAGAGAAAGCAATGTAAACTGAAAATGTAGAACATGAGGATGAATGCTGGGCACTGCCCTTTGTACATTTCTTCTGCCAGTCATAAACAATAGGTTTTAAATTCATTCCTAAGAAGAAAATGATAGAAACATGTCTCGCACGTGAAAATGATACTATCAATTGAGTAGAACCAAAAAGATTCGAACATGCTTATTTAATGTCCTCTGGCTTTCTGACTGGCCAAATGCATGAACATAAGGAACCATTCTTCCCATCCCTAATGGTAATCTCATGAAAACTTTTGAAACCTATTTATTTTATTTATTTATTTATTTATTTATTTATTTATTTATTTATTTTTTGAGATGGAGTTTTCACTCTTGTTGCCCAGGCTGGAGTGCAATGGCACGATCTCGGCTCACTGCAAGCTCCGCCTCCTGGGTTCAAGTGATTCTCCTGCCTCAGCCTTCTGAGTAGCTGGAATTACAGGCATGCGCCACCACACCCGGCTAAATTTTTGTATTTTTAATAGAGCCGGGGTTTCACCATGCCGGTCAGGTTGGTCTCAAACTCCTGACCTCAGGTGATCTGCCCATCTCAGCCTCCCAAAGTTGAAACCTGTTCGTTTACTGCATTGCAATCCTCAGAATCAGAGCACCACAAACCTGAGAAGCATCGGCAGCATATATATATTTTTTAACTTGGGCTTTGGTGGGGGATTCATGATGCCATTTTCAGTTTTAAATAATATTCACTAGCAGATGAAATCTATTGAAGTTCTTATTTATAAGGTACTTCTGCTGAGACAAGCCTTAGAAACAGCTCAATCTGTGCCTCAGGAAGTTAAATTTTTTTTTATCAGAGTAGCAAATAAGCTATCATATAGAACTGGTCAAATCCAGAAGGAATATGCCTTTCACTAGTAGTCTGTGGAGTCATTTAGCGTTCTTACGAATAAAGGCACATTTCAATCCTCAACTGTGGATTTGAACATTTGGATTTTTCCCAAGTAATCACTGGCCATCCCAGCAGATACCAATATTGTATAGGTTGGTTGACTGGTTAAAGCAGACTTGAGCCAGATCAATTCCTTTGACTTGAACAACTTCCGGGCCTCTCTTCGAACATCATGGAGACTAACTGATCATCATTATTTATGTGAGATAGGTTCTCTGTAGTCACGATAATGTCAAGCATTTTTGGTGTTAATAACAATTTAAAGTTTAATAATTACTTTTGGTGAGAAAAAGATTTGTGAGCAAAAGCATCATTTTTACTTGTTTCTATTTCTTTTCTTAATCCATGAATTGACTGAGCTCTAAAATCCGCAAATCACATGCTTTGCTTTGTAAAGAACTTACATTCACCAGCAATTACACAGACTGATATGTCCTTAACGCCAGGTTAAATGTCCTTAACGCCAACAAAAGACACTCTGGTTGGTCCCATTCCTTGGTTCAAGCCTCCGCCCATGATTCAAACAGCCGTAACGAAAACAAGGTCAGGTGTCCTCAATTGGGAGAAAAAGGAATATTCTGGTGAATGATCATGGATCATTTTGAATGAAGATCACTGGAAAGAGAGGCTAGAACCAGGTTATCAAAGGAATAATGTGTCCTATTATGGAGCTGAGATTTTACCTTATGGACAATAGAACCAGCTGCTGGTTTTTAAGCAGAGAAGACTGACCCAGTGATGAGGCTAAGAGAGCCCATCTGCATGCACACTCCATCTTGGAAGGCTCTGTGACCTGTGCTTAGGGGCAAACAGTGATCGCAGGTGAAGTATACTTGGAAGACCAGAAAAAGACAGCAGCCTTAGAAGAAGATGATAGCAAAAACAACAAGAGGGAATCAAGCTCCCTAGCAATCCTGCTGGGGTTCAAAGCTAGATTCTGGTCCTCATGGGAAATGAAAAGTAAAACCGAGAATCAATATCACAAGCAGAAAGGCCATTTGGGAAAACTGGCCACATACAGCTCAGTCCTGCTGCATCCTGAAATCACAATCCTGTGAGCTGGCAAGGTCCATAGGCTCTTATAAGAAACTTGAGTGCAGCTGAAGCAGGCAAGAAATAGCGCCCAGAGTCCTTGGGAATTTTGCATCATCATTCCACTTAAAATTAAAATTTGCTCAAAGCTCCAACTCTTCTAAAATTAGAACCCCAGTATCTTTCAGGTTATCAGAAAGGGTTGATATTTTCTTGAGGTATTTCTGGTCTGATTTCCTGCTACCCTTGAACCCACAACTCACTCATGCCTTCCCATTGGCCAATGTTCTCTTATCTTGACAATTCCTTTTCATTGTTTTCCAAGGCTCACTCTAGGCCATAGCATTCAGCTGACTTTTACTGAAGATTGACAGAGGATAGAGAGATCACATCACACCCAGCCTAGCTGATAATTTAAAATGCAAACTATGTAAACTTAAATAATAGGTGCCCCTGTTACTAAAATGCACCTTGATCATTCTCCCCACACCCCCAACTAAGGAATTTTCATAGATTGTCATTTCCATTTGGTCTCCAACTTCCCACCGTGTCATTCTGCCCCAACACTCTACTTTCATAATCTCTCTTTTTGCACACAGCTCTCATAAGTCCATTTTTGTGTTTTATGCAGAGAATTTGGTTCTCTTTTTTTCTAGCTGTGTTTGAGAGATTATGTTTCCACAACCAAAATGGTCCATCAAAATGTTTTGCTAAGCAAAACAGAAAAAAAAAATGATTTTCTCCACTAGGAGGAATTTTGCTGTCAGATATTAAAATAGCATTTTCCCTCATATACATGAATCTACAAGATGAGCGTAATTATATCTCTTATTAGCTTAGGCAAGGATTGATAGATCTAAACCAATCTGCAGAGAATCTACTGGGCTATATGTATATGTCCTGACCGTTGTGGCTACCACTGTCTGTCTGCATATTAGGAACAACAGATACATCAGAATCTACCTCTTGACTTTCTGTGACAGGTAGAAATGTAGTGTCTCCAGCAAGGCAATTCCCTTGAGCCATTACACATGCAAAATATTTCCTCAATTGAAAAATGCTACTGGAAATTTTCACAGAGAACTCTAGGAAAGAAATTCCTGAAATTGCAGTGTAAAAACTCATAAAAGAGCTCTGCAATAAGAAGCAATATTCTCACCAGGCTGTTGATACTGTTTGAGAAATTTACATCAAAACAGCGTCAGCGGTGGTGCTAACAAGCGCAGTGTCAACGAGATCCGCCAGGTCTGTCAGTTGATGTAGTCCCAGGTACAGCAGGGGCAGTTTGCTGTCTTATTGTAGAATAAATGTGGGCCCCAAAACTGTCAGTAGCACAGAGCTATTTAGTGCCTTAAAAGACAATGAAATTCTCTCAGGAAATGAGAAACACAGGATCTACTCAGCTTCCAGTTTGAGGGCCATATTTATGTGTTTCAGCATGGATTTACACTGCCTTTTGTTTTGCAAATGCTAATACCATCCCATCCATTTTTTTCCAGAAATATTGAAGCTGTGGTTAATTGAAAAAAAAAGAAAAAGAAAGGCGAGGATTTAGCAGCTATATTCAATGTACTGTATTGCTATAAAACTACTTCACATCCTGTCACTCATCTCCCTCCTCCATTCTTGTCCCACCCAAAATCACTGAACCAAACAATGACAAAAATATAAAAGGACCAAAGCAACTCACCCGCATTGCCCAGTAGTGGTCCCTTGGCAAACACGGTGAAAACATCACTTTGGCAGATGACAGACACTTGGGCCTTGGCTAGGGCATTAGTGAACAATGTTATTAAGGACTAATTAGATGGCTTTTGTTGAAATATTTCCAAAGAAATGAGCAAAATAAAGCTGACCTAAAGAAAATATTTTAAAACCTCCCACTGAGCATGCTCAGAGAAAGCATTTTGACTTCTTTTATTTTTAAAATGCTCAACCATTTTCTTCAAAAACTTGGCTTGATCTTCCTGATTCAGTGATAACTGAAGTCATGCCAACTTTGATGTTTTTAGCTTCAGCTGTTTTAGAGCTATATGTGATCCCCCCAAAAAGGTTGGAATGAATTTTTTTTCTGAGTGAAGAAGGAAGCATATGTTTTAACCCTCATGTGCCTTTTTTGAAAAGGATGAATTAACATCCTATAATATTTTATCTTTGAGCTTAAAATAAAAGAGTTTAGTTTGAAAGTCAAAGAGACATTTTTCAGAAATTGAAATGGAGACTTGGGCCTTCAAGAATTAAGACTATGAATTGTATCTGCTTTACCGAATACATTTGGAGACTTGCATGTCTGCTGCTATTGTTTTAAAATGGCAGCAGAGACCAGGCAGCCTGGAGACTTGAGCAAGATGGACCACACACAAACCAAATTTCAGGACATCAAAAGGACATAAAACTAATATGCAGAAATGCCGGAGCATCTTGAATACATTTTTTTTCCAACCAGATATATGACATGAAGAATGAGAAATAAAAATGAACTCAGAAAGCTTTAATCCACCTGATGATCTTATTTTCCCTTCTAAGTTATAGAAAAAGGAAGGGAAGAAAAAACAATAAGCAGCTAGAAACTGATTGGTACCAAATATAATTGATCCCATTAAAGAAGGAGCTACATAGAGGAGACAGTTATCAGTTATCAGGAAGATTTCTGAGAGCCAGGTCTATATTCTTTTTTATTATTGACCATGCCCATGATTTGTCAGATTTCCCCTGGGACCAACTGGTCTTTGGATCTCCTTAGGACACACCAGAGGCAATAAAAAAAGGAAATCACACTAATTATAGCAGATCTGATCACAAGCTAGGAAGGTAGACAACAATTCTAGTCATGCACAGAGCTATGTCAAATGGCTCCATGGTTGGTGCAAACCTGAAATGAGAAGTGGCTTCTGACTTAGGGTGAGACATTTCCCACGTGACTGCAGATGGAAACACAGGATATCCGTGCTTCCAGATCAGACATAGGTCATTTTTGTGGAAGACCGTGCAACGCCAAGTCTAGAAGTCTAATAATATCAAGTTAAATTTCTTCAAGTCAGAACTCCTACTACATTCTGGTACGTACCCAAAACACTGGAAAACCAACAAAAGGAAAGAATCGGTAAAGAAATGACAAATGTCTCCCTCTTATGTCAGAAGAAATTTGGGCAGAAAAATTGAAACCAGAATGAAAGAAAGGTTTAAAAGGAAATTGAGTCTGTGTTTACAAAACGATTCCAATCTGAGGTGAACTGTCCAACTCAACCAGTTGCTTTGGAGAAACATGATTAAAGTGATGACTGAGGTGTTTTGCGTGCTAGCCTCAGTTTCCTTTATTCCCCTCACAGTCCAGTGACAGCCAATCAGAAAAGAACCTGGCCCGGAGGCTTGTCAGTGATAATAATTGAAAACATCTGTCCATGCAGCAAGTGTGGGAAGCCCATGCAGCTCCCTGACAGAGCGAGTTCTCACACAGCAAAGCCATAACCACGACTGCTCATATTCTCCTTCACAGACTTTTCTCACTGCCAGCTGTCTTTATTCTCCTGCCAGGAAAGCAAGGGGCCTGGGGCTCCAACCCAGGCTGGGGTTAAGTGAGCTGGGACCAGGGGAAGAAAGGGGACAGGCTGGCTCCCAGCTCTGGGTCTAGAGACAAGGGATATCTGATTGGGAACTAAAGAGAGCGGCGACTGAGGAAAAAGAATAGCAAACAGAGAAACCAAACAAACTGAAGAGGACAGATAGGCAGCGGGATAAGAAGCGTTCAGATTCTAAACTCAGGTGAGCCGGGTTTAAACCTTGGCACAGCATTTTCACTATGTCACTGGGCAACCTCCCTGAGCCTCAGGTTTTTCGTCTCTAAAATGGGAATAATAGTACCTGTCTCACAATGTTTTCATGAAAAATAAGATAATGCACTTCAGTAGAACAAGGCAAGGACTGAATACACATTAGCTCCTTTAGAAGGGGGCTTCCCAGACAGTCATTAAGGTGTAGAGGTAGAAGACCTCTACTGAGGGGCATGCTACTTCGGTCATGTGTAGGGAAGGCCCTACTGATGGTGTTCTATTGACTTGGACAGTCTCCATGTGGTTCCCGCAGATGTTCTTTCCCTGCCTGTGGCCTGTGTTAAGCTGCTTTATCAACCTGTGCCTCTTAGTTTCTTGCGATCTCTGTACTGACTCCTGTGGCCTCTCTCTGCCATGAAAGCCATGTTCGGGGACAGCACTAGGTTGTACCTGGTCTGTCTTCCCTTGCTCCTCGTGTGCCAATGCCTCGTTCCCCGTTTCAGCAGTTTGCCAGATCTTTCAGCTTGGTATAAAACATATCAAGGGGATATCTGGTTAGAAGAATGCCAGCAAAACATTATTTCAGCCAACTGAGGAGAAACTTCCAGATTGTAGGTTAGAGAGTAATCAAAACACGGAAAGTTGGAGTAAGGGGAAGAAAGAAAATAAAGTCCTTAGTAGCAAGGTTTGGATGTTCTCTCTGCCTTCCAGAAGAAAAAAAAAACATTATTAAGAATATAATGAACCAATAGATTTACAAAGGAAATATAAACAAAATGCCATAAAGGACAATATTTTAAAATTTCAAATTATCCAGATCATTTCATTGTTTAAGATACCCTGTGTACATAAATTAATCACCTTTGGAAACTGCATTAACAGTCACATCACAATTGTATTTATAGCTAACTCACAATTATTTGATGTATGATGTTCACTTGGAAGCTGGAAAGAATAAATCCAGCTTGCAAAGAAGCAGAACTTACTTTTAGGGTGGGGCTTAGGTCCTGAGAAAATCTAGCTCAACACATGGGTGGCAAGGAATAATACAAAAGGAGAGACTTGGGGAGGCCAACTTTGTATCATTAGTTAAGAACAGTTCTGCATTGTATATGTATCCAACATAAACACTTGGCTAAGGATGTTATTCTACTGACAGTGTTTGGTTTTCCTTATGGTCATCAGCTGGATGACTACCGCTACTTGGCTGAGAAGCACTTCATCCATAAAGAAAAGCACCATAAGTAATAATGAGTGCGAGTTTGTGTTAGTTGCAGAGCAAGAATTCAGATTCAACAAGGGATTTTTTTAATCCAATTGAAATGAATCAAACTGTTTAACCTAATTGAGCTTCTATAAATCAGGAGTGTTGTCATATTAGTAATCCCCCTAGATAAGGCACTGCAAAGAGGCGCCGCACAAGAGTGCGAATGTATAAACACAAAATACAGGGAATCTACTGAAGCTCCTTTATTCAGCATCCTTGTACATCTCCCCTCTCTTTATAATCACTATTGCAATAAAATTATCACTTAACCACCAACATTAGTACATCTTTTTAATCATTGAGAGACTATTATAGTTTTCCTATGATTCTGTCTTCAATATCCACCTACAACCATGGAAAGGCCTGATCTTTTCATGACTATAAAATCAACAAAATATAGGGAGGGAGAAAATGTACATCCGTTGGGAACTGGGATTTAAAAATACGTACTATGAATATTGTAAAGTTATTGTTTTAAAAATGAAGCAGATCTATATGTGCTCACCTGAAGGGATCACCAAGACATATCCCATTTACATAGATTTCTCTAAAATCCGCTTCAAATATTTATCTTTGTAAATTACTTCTAATATATTCCTAAAGTCACTGTTTGTCTACTTTGATACCTCTATTCCTTTAAATTTTCCCTTCTTTCTATACTCACTTAAGGGCAACGTGGCTCAAAACCCCCAGGAGCTTGCCTCTCAAGTTCGCAGATTCCTTCTCATCCAGGAATACCTTTTGTTGCTTCCATAGATGTATCTGGTTACCTTTTGAAATTACTTTTCTGCTGAATGGCACATTCCTGGCATACATGCCACCATTCCCCATTCCTGAACCCATGTTGACATAACTGAGTGATCATATCACCCTTTTACACTGTGACTTCACCTTCAGGGTCCTTTCTCACAGAGCAGGCAGCCACCATCAGCCAGGTGAAGCAAATCTGTGTGCCATCCCTTCTGCCAGAGCAGGTCTCTTTGTCCAATGCCACCATTCTTTTATAAGTGTAAGAAAACAAAAACTCAGACTATAGACACACCCTCATGCTTCCAAGAGATGGAGACTCATGTCTGTTTCCTTAAAAATCTTGTTTCTGCCTTTCTATTTCACTCATCACTTTGATAAATAAATGTAAAGGTACATATAAACATCCTATAATATATAAATGTATATTTAAAATATTCATATATATGCAAGAGATTACTACAAACTTTTTACATTTTAGGGTTCACTTATTTTGCAATTGATGGCTGTGCTTGCAATGTGTTTCTGAGCTTGTCAACTTTCCTTGCAAAGTATTTCAAGTTACAGGAAGGAAAAGGTGTTTAAAATTGTTAATAGGATTTGCAGCACAAGGAAATTAGAAATTCTTCTGCCCAACTGTCTGATATTCAAAATGAGGAAACTGAAGCTGAGCAAGGCTAAGTGAGTGCCCAGAGTACTACAGGTAGTAAGAAGCGAAGCCAGAAGAGAAAAATCAGGCTTTCTGTTTCCTTGTTCAAGTTGATCTTTCGTTCCAGTAATTAAAACTGGTGTGCAGTAATGAGGCAAAAGCAGCTTCGTCAAATCAGCTTTTTTCTCCAACTTCCTATGGTATTGTGGGTCAGTTGACCTCACGAATTTCCACACAATTCTATATGTCAGTGAAGTAGATTATTTAGACATTCTCTTCTGTATATATTATTTGGATTATGTAGAAATTACCCGTAAGAAACCAAGACTTTTCAACACGAACCTCATGACTTCCACATTCTATTTTTGATACCTTAACCTAAAGTAATTTCACACTCTCATAAAACCTTTGAAAATGGAGCATCCACAGATGATATTTTGCACTTACCAAATTCCTTTTTCAAAAAAAAACCCTCTAAATGTTACATTATATTGTTGTATTTGCAAATTATATCCTCCAGTCATCCTCTGTAATTTTTTTTCAAAGAAAGTAAAACACAGAAGATAGGAAGAACATAGGGAGAAATGACACAGAAAAAGCCTCAACATCTAACAAACATGAATGTCTGTTGACAGCGTTGTTCTGACTGCAGACAGAAAAATATTGGGGAGTACCTCACTTCTGTTCAGACAGTCCCTTTTGGGTGAGAAAAAGCTTAATCTGTCAGCCAAACATAAAACAAAAACTATTTGTAATAAGAAGTTACTGAATGCCCTAACTTTTTTACCACAAATGAAATAGGAGGAAAGCTGAAGGTAACATATCACCTAAATGCAAAGAGTTTGCAATCTAATTGAGAGAGTAAAACATATGTGAATGAAATAACTTAGCGATAAAAATAAAACATATCAACAACAATGTAATACAATCTGAATGCTTAAATGCCAAGAAAGCAAATAAGCAAGTGATCAGAATATGATTCTAAAAGTCTTCCTAGTAGAGACATGCTTAAATATGTTTTTGAGTAGCATGATTGGCATAAATGTGGCAATAAAAATAGTAGTAATATAAGTGCAAAACAACTCAAATGTGTGTGGCCATAAGGATACATGAGCAGGTAAATTGACCTCTAAGCCCTGAATGGATGCTATCTGCTTTATCATCTTTTAACTTTTTTTTTGTTAATAGATTTTTCAAACCAGATTTAGGTTTAAAAAACTGATCAGAATCACCACTGGGGCCTGTCAGGGGGTGGGGAGAAAGGGGAGGAAGAGCATTAGGACAAATACCTAATGCATGCAGGGCTTAAAACCTAGATGATGGGTTGATAGGTGCAGCAAACCACCATGGCATATGTATACCTATGTAACAAACCTGCACGCTCAGCACGTGTATTCATGTATCCCAGAACTTAAAAAAAAAGAAAAAAAAAGATCGGAGACTTCCCATATACTTCCTCTCCACCCACCACATACACACAATTTCTCCTATCATTAAAATCTTGTGTTGGTGTGGTATATTTGTTGTAACTTATGAGCCAATATTGAGACATTAATTAAAGTCCATAGTTTACATTAGGCTTCACTCTTTACACTGTACATTCTATGGATTTTGACCAATGTGTAATGACATGTAACCACCATTATAGTGTCAGAGAATAGTTTTTTACTACCCTAAAAATCTGCTGTGTTCCACCTTTTCATTCCTCCCTCCCTCCCCAAAACCTCTGCAACCACTGTTCTTTTTCTGTCTCCAAAGTTTTGCCTTTTCCAGGATGTCAGGTGCTTGGAATCATATAGTATACAGCGATTTTAGATTGGCCTCTTTCACCTGGCGATATGCATTTAAGATTCTTCTTGTTCTTTTATGGTTTGATAGCTTATTTCTTTTTATTGCTAAACTATATTCCGTTGTATGGATATACCACAGCTGTTTATCCATTCATTATCCATTCATTTATCAGAGGACATCTAGAATCTTTAACTTAAAAACAAAAATTTTTAAACTTAAGTTTTTAACCAACATATTTCTCAGGTAGAAAATATGGTTCTCAGAACACATATACTTTTTACCTTGAGACTTCCTTGTCTGAGGCAATACGTTGTGATTTTTTGGAACACAATACTAAACTATCATTTGTGTTCTTAAACTTGAATCAAAGTCCACTTCACCTTCTTGCTTCTGTTCTTAGGCAACGTGAGAGCAATTAATTTTAGAATATAGAACAAAAAGATGAGAATTACAAAATTAAGTTGTGAATTTTCAAATGAATGTGGTTACTATCAAACATCTACTAGAGGTCATGTCTTTCTTTTTCTCTGCAACTACAACACTATGTTGTCTTCACAGTGAATCAGAATATAATTCCAAATTTGAAATTATGCCTTTTTCTCTCTTCTTTGGTTACACTGTTAATTATGTCCAAAAAGCAATTTTATGATCTTTTCAAAAGTGACATCCTAAGCTGTTGTTGATTCTCTAAGTGGAAACAAATGTCACCTGGCCCACCTATGTCTTTGTTTTTGATGTCAAATAACATTGATAACTAAATCACTCTAATATAGGGGGAAAGAAAAGCTGCCCTGCCATTTGAAGGGAATTTGCAATGAAATTTTACTTGGCCCCACGATTATGTATACCTACTGGTTTTAAGACAGCACACAGGAGGCTTTGCCAAGAAAATTTTAAAGTTCAAGCAGAAAAAATAATCACAATATCTTTCAGTCATTTGCTGCGTGTATTTGTTTCCTTAAAATGCACAGCTAAATGCTCTCTACACACAGATATCACTTGGTAGGCGGAGTATATCTTATTACTGGGTTATTTTCCAGTACATTTGGCATAGTTAAGGTAAAGTGTATTAACTTTCTCTCAAAATAAAGATGAAAACAGAGTTGTAGCGGCCGTGAATGCTTCAGCCATTGTCAGGAAGTTAAAAACTGACAGGAGGCCCAAATAATCAACTCAGCCTGCTGCATATACCATAGTTTTCCCCTGGGATATCTGGTCTAATCCAACAATGTATCTGACTGGCATGAATGTAGAATTACTTTCAATAAAGATTTTATTTCAAGCTTGGATGATTTCCCCCAAAACATCTTGTCACTAAGGCAAAGTATATCATAGAATATCTGATTTTTTTTTTCCCCCTACAAGTCAGCTTTTGAGAGGGGGAAAAAAATACACATTACAACTCAAGTACTCAACTCAGGTCAATTCACTGTAAAAAATCACATTTTAACATATCTACACTGATTAAAGATTTGCTGTGTTAAAGAAGTCAGGGTGCTGTCAAAGAGAGCTTACCCTAAAGTCTGGAAATGTAAAAAATAAGTACCACACTTGCTCCACTCCAGTCTGCATTCTGCCTGCAGTGGCCTCCAATCGAAGGGCAGGCAGGACAGATGAGTCCACCAGCTAACACCCGGCTCCGAGAATATTTGTCTTTTTGCAAGTAAGGAACATTTCAAGGTCACATCTTCCAATAAGTATGAAATTGTTTCCAGGCTATAAGAGAAATATGAATGGCCTGGTCATGATCACACGAAAACGATCTTCATTTCTCTATGCATCCTTCTCTCTCTCTTTATTCCATTCTCTTCCTTCATGATGCCACATTAAGTCAGCATGTTCAAGATAGGGGAACAGTAGGTAACAGTTCATTACTCTATTTTGAATTCCCTTAAACGTTTCATTTAGTACTTGCGTACATTATTTCAGCCTTGGTGTCACATTGTTTAATTTATGCTTGGTTCATATAATCTTAAAAATAGCTTGTGTTACCTACAGAGTTTCACCCCTTACTAAAAGCACACAAATCATATGATTTAGTGCTAATGGGATAGGAGTAATTATTTTAACATTTAATAATCATAACACATTATATTTATATGTTTTAAATTCAAAATCCCTTTTATCTCTATTATTATATTTTATGATTAACATACAATGTTACAATAAGTATGTACACGAAAGAGCACTCAGCATGGATAATAGTAGATAAAACTCTAGAGAAGCATGGAAAGGGCTAGAGTTGAGTCCCTGGTTCTTTGACTTTATTAGCACTGTGTAACCTTTGGACAGATCATTAACCAAGAAGTCCCTAACCCTGGCTGCACACCAGGCTCATCTGTGAAGCTTTTTAGCAACTCTGAGTCCCGGGTCTCAACCCTGAACTACCAAATCAGAATCTCTGTGCAATTCCTTTCCTTTATTAAAAGCCTGAGCCAGAGTGGAAAACCAGTGAGTTCTAATCTCCCTTTCCATGTTTATAAAACAATTGACAGAAAGAAATGTAATCACATATAATAAAAATTAATGTTTCTGGCTGGGCGTGGTGGCTCACACCTATGATCCCAGCACTTTGGAAGGCCGAGGTAGGCAGATCACCTGAGGTCAGGAGTTCGAGACCAGCCTGGCCAACATGGTGAAACCCCATCTCTATTAAAAATCCAAAGAATTAGTGGGGCATGATGGCGCATGCCTATAATCCCAGCCACTCAGGAGGCTAAGGCAGGAGAACTGCTTGAACCAGGGAGGCAGAGGTTGCAGTGAGCCGGGACAGTGCCATTGCACTCCGGCACAGGCAGCAAAAACGTAAATCAGTCTCAAGAAAAAAAAAATGTTTCTCTAGCTTGCAAAGGGTTTTCACATACATTTTTAAATTTAATCTTCAAAACAACCTATGAGATCAGTTTTGCCATTAACTTCACTTTCTAAATGAAGAATCTGAGGCTCAGAGAAATGGTAGGGCCCATCTAAGATCACAGTCAGTACCTATAGAACTAGCACTTAAGATTTTGAGCTTCCAGATCAAGAGCAATGGTTCTTTCCCTCCAGTTAGAAGAGAATCACATGCAGAGCGTTTAAAATGTACCCAGGCCTAACTGCAAGCCGTTTGCAACAGATTTTATGTGGATGGGTCCCAGAGGTTAATATGGTTTTGAATGTTCCACAGATGATATTAATATGCAGTCTGGATAGAGAATTTCTGCCCTAGAATGATCAGAACAAGTTTGGAAAATATAAAGTACTATACAGATATAGCGTGATGATTTTATCTCAGTTTTGCTGATAATTAAGCATGAATTCAAAGGGGGAGGGAAATGATGCGTGAACACAAGGCTGTTCAGATCTAGGCTCCACATTAGATGTCAGGTCTTCCCTTTCATGAGCCAGCTCTATTTCTATTGGAACTTCTCTGACTCCCCAGAGCTCATGGTTGCTGTCACAGGTTAGATTTAACATGGCGCCAGTTACCTATTAACACCAACAGAAGTAAAGATGGAGCAGCATGGGGTAGAAAGAGAAGTCAAACTATGACATTGGGCCGGACAAAGCCTGGCTACCCACAGAAGGTCTGGGGCATCCAGGGCCCATCACAGTTGTCTCCGGGAGGATGAAGATGGCTTGGCCTTGATACACTCACTGTGATCAGTCATTGGCCGTGGGCTGTCTCCAAGAGTCCCCTGGGGTGAGGTGGCTCTCTTCAGCTGAGGCAAACCCTGCAGGGGCTGACAGCTGAAGCTGCCTGCGGACTTGACACTTGGAAACTGGGCAACAAGTCTTTCCTCAAAGAGAGACCTGGGTAGCACATCAAGGGTCCAGCACAGTCCACCCTTTGTGGTGCTCGGAGTGTGTTCTTCATGTTCATTTGAGAAGCAGCTCCCCCAGGACTCTCAGGGAGAGAGGAGATCTTTGAAGGGGAATCTTTAGAAGGATGAACTACAAGCTCTGCAGCTACAGCTGGACCTGAGCCCAGCTCATTGTCTCCATCCTCCACTCTCTATTCGAGACTCCCCTCATCCTCAACAATGGCGTCTGCTGGTCGTGGTGGCTGCCCTAATGTAATGTCCCAGACCCTCATCCATGGGAGATCCAAGCTCCTACATACCATGTCTTCTCAGACAAGAATTTCTGCCCTGTTAATGCCCCATCACAACTGGGCAACAGAGAACTTGGAAGCCCTATGTGGATCATCTGGGTGCCACTCTGTCCCCCTGGTGTAACAGCAACCTTGCCTCCGCCCTTTGATCACAGTTAATTATACCTGCCTAGATGGTGACTCTTTGCCTTGACTGCTGGTGCCTGGACCCAAGAAGCTCCACCTGGCAAGAAAGCAACAGTAGCTTAGAAGACAGTGATTTGATATATCATTCAAATACAATGATATACAGAGAATAGCATCCTTCCTGACTGCCCATTTATTTTGTTCCAGAGGATGCTATGTTCTAGCGACCATCTCATAATTCTCTGAGTCGGGCCCCCTTGGCTGCCCCTCAACCCTGCCACTTGTTATTAAAATTGCATCTACCTGGCTTCTAGTAATTAAGCCCCACCAGCTGGCCTCTATTACCAGTGTCTCAGCATCCCCATTACAATCAGTGAGCCTAGTTCTGTAATGGACTCTCCTATAGTCAACCCTCATTTACAGAGTAAAGGCCCCTATAATCACATACAACTTTTCTGTAGAATATCAACGATGCTTAGCAACAGCTCTTCAATTCATTGACCTTGGAGTTACTATCCACAACCTCCCACTATTATTTCTAAATGCCTCATACTTTACACCAGCTAGTCTCCTCCACAGATCTAATGTCCTAATTCACCACCAGGGTGAGTTTTCACAATTGGGCTGCCACCTTGTGCCAGGACCCGCCTGCATTCCACCTGCCACCATCGATGGACTCCTCATTGCCAGTCAGGCTGCGAGTGACCCAGCTCCAAATCTCCATCTTATTGCTGGCTTTCTGGGACCACTCATAGAACTAATAATCATGGGTTCAGTTCTCCAGAAGGAGCCCCTGAAACAGAGTTTGGCATCCAGGGCATTGTTAAAGGTTAACCCCTGTGGAAGGAAGGAGGTGGGCAACAGGATTGGGCAGAGGAATAAGCTGAACTGAAGTGCAGACCCAAGAAAGCTTCAGCCAGACCCACAGGAAGCTCTGGGGCACATAGAGCCTGTCAAAGTCGTCCCACAGTGGGCAGAAATAGTCCAGGCTTTATACTGACTGACTGAGTAGGGGCCAGAGCAGTGGCTCACACCTGTAATCCCAGCACTTCAGGAGGCTGAGGCAGGAAGATCACCTGAGGCCAGGAGTTCGAGACCAGCCTGGGAAACATAGTGAGACCCCATCTCTACAAAACAAAAAAATTTTTTTTAATTAGCCGGGCATGGTGGCACACACCTGTAGTCCTAGCTACTCAGCAGGTCGAGGCGGGAAGATCGCTTGACCCAAGGAGTTAGAGGTTACAATGAGCTATGATTGTGCCACTGCACTCTAGCCTGGGCGACAGAATAAGCTCGTCTCTTAAATACATACATAACATAAAATATATGTTGACAGATCAGTCAGTGTCCTTGAGCAAGGAGGCTTATTGCAATTGAGGCAAACCGTGAAGAAGATAGCTGGCAGCCATCAGCTATCCCTGCAGCTATGCAGGTAGTCCTTCCTTGAAAGGAGATCTAAGTGGCCCATCTCTGCAAGCAAAGCAGCCACCATAATTATCAAATTGACAAATGTACGAATGGCCCCTTAACAGACTAAGAGCCTTCTGTTATAAAGCTTAATATAATGCTTGATAGTGGTCCCTAAAAGATGAGGCATTTCATGTAGAAATTCTTAGAACAGGTGATCACAGTTCTACGTACCGGACGATAGAATCATGAGTTAGCCCAGCATCCGTATTTACAGGGACATATGCAGAAACTGGCACAATCCATTCCTTCAACGTAGTACAGATGATAAATTTATATGTGTAAATGCAAAATAAATTATTTTCTATCTTTGAGCAAAGTATTACATACATTTTGAAAGGGTTTATATTCCTGCAGATGCATCGAGCATTTTACCAAAAATAAAATTATATGGTCAAATTTTAGATGGCCAAAAAAATGGCATCATTATCTTTAGCTTCAATCCAACCATAGCATAAAACAGATAAAAATTACTCTCTATTCTAAATTCCTCTCACCAGTTTTGTTCAAATTAGGTACATGTTTGGAAACTCATTGTCAGATAATATATGCGAAGGAAAGACACACTGAACAATTACAGGCCCTTAAGTTCTCAAACAGTTGCGCTTTTTATTTTTGCCTTCATCTTCTTGTCCTCTCATACATTACACCAACTAGTCTCCTCCACAGATCTAATGTTCTAATTCACCATCAGGGTGAAATTTAGGTGTGCAGGAAATGTAATTATTGTGCCAACATTAAAATTAATTTATTTTTCAGGCCCTATTCTTCTAAATGACTTGAATTTGGTCAGTTAAGACTGTCTTCCAGATTTTTTCTGGTGATGTTGTTAGTTCTGGAGGGCTATGTAAAGCCGAAGCATTTGGTGGAGGGGCAGAAAGGATATCCATTAATACAGCGTTTCAACAAATACTTGTTGAGTACTTAATACCATGAGCCAAATACTAATCTTAGTCTATGGATACAGCACTAAGCAAAAACAGATAAAGTCCTTGTGCTTACGGCATTTATATTCTGCTGGAGAAAGATAATAAAGCAGATTAGCAGCAGAGAAAGTATCTAGTTTTTCCCACCTCTGCAGGCTGGTCTTCATTCCCTTTTCATTTGCAGTCATCATCCCCAACTTCCAATCCCAGGTCTGGATCTCAGTCACTCTTCACAGAGTACTCTGTGAGCTATCTTTGGCCACCCTGCCTAGATATACAAAGCAGCAATTTCTACTTAACTGCTCCTGATATACTAGGTGTAGGCAGCTCTGGAATCCTGCCATACTACTAGGTCTTCCCCAAAGAGAAGAATACAGATCTGTCTGATTCTCAGGATCCTCAAGCCTTCTAACAGCCTGCACTCCCAGGGAACGGGATTAGCAAGGACCAGGGCCTGGGCCACTTACGTGGGACCTCATCAAAGTCTCACCTTTCCTAGACCCTCCCTCCCCAAGTCCAGAAAATCTTTCTCTAGCCTGGCAGCAAAGCAGCCTGGCTCTTTATCTACCTTCCAATCTACTGATCAGGCCATCCATATTTTGGCTGCAGCTCTGAGGCCTTTGGCACTTAGGCTTTTGAAACTCAAAAACACAGTCCTTTGCAACTCAACTGCCTTGCCTTGCAAAAATTAAAAGGACTTCTGCTTTTCTGCATCACCCCTGAACTGAGGGCACAGTGTTGCTGACTGAACATTGGGGAAAGACCCAATGTACAAGGAAGGGTAGAGAAGAAGGCTCAGTCATTATCTACTATCTCATCTTATCCCCAGATGATACTTTGACTTTCCCAGAATGCTCACTCTTTCATCATTAATCCGGCAGCCCAAACCACACTTCAAAGATTGTTCAACCTTCCATCCAATACAGGAATCTCAAACATCCTGCCTGAATACTTCTCTTGATGGGGAACTCATAGCCTTTTTTGGTATAAAATCTTTAATATCTTTAATAGGTGCTCCCAATGCTTTGCCAGCATATATGGGGGGGGGGGATCTATACCAAATATCAATAGTGGTAATATCTAAGTAGTAGAATTATGAGGGATTCTTATTGTATCTTTGTCTGCATTTTCTAAATTTTCTGCAGTACATGTAAATGCATTACTGTTTTGAAGCAGTCTTTTCTATTTTTACAACACTAATTCTTCATACAAAGGTAAAATCCATCTCTGGGCCAATTCCAGTAACTGGATTACAAGAGGAAAGTTTATTCTTTCTTTCACATCATGGCTTTTTGCATTGAGTCATGACTTCCCTAAATATTCTTTCCCCCCTGCTAACCAAACACCTTCAGTTCCTGCGCTCTTCCATTTAGAAGCCACTCTCTGGGCACATTCACCTTGGTGCTCACTAGTTTTACTGTGTCCCTCTTAAAGTCACTGCAGAAAGTGTCTAAAACTGGCCAGGTGTGGTGGCTCACACCTGTAATCCCAGCACTTTGGAGGGCCAGGCAGATTACCTGAGGTAGGGAGTTTGAGATCAGCCTGACCAACATGGTGAAACCCTGTCTAAAAATACAAAAACTAGCTGGGTGTGGTAGCGGGTGCCTGTAATCCTAGCTACTTGGGAGGCTGAGGCAGGAGAATTACTTGAAACTGGGAGGCAGAGGTTGCAGCGAGCTGAGATCTTGCCACTGCACTCCAGCCTGGGTAACAGAGTGAGACTCCATCTCAAAAAAAAAAACTCTAAAACTTATTTTTCCTCAGAAAGTAAAATTAAGCGCATACAAACTGAATGATGATACCCAAATTGCAACTGATTCTCCTTTGACTATTTTTCAGTCATTTAAACAAGGAGACAATTTTCAAGAAAACTGCTAAAGATTTTATGTAGGCGCCCTCAATGAAAAGTAAAGTTGCTCTTCTCTTCACCTATATAAAAAGGAAAAACAAAAGAGAAGTTGAGGAATACTTTGCATACTGAAAATATTCCTTTTATGTTTATCTAACGTCACAAGGCAAATATTTAAGTACTATATACTCCACTAATAACTTATAATTAGGTGCATTATTCTGCTTGGCTTAATTAATGCTGATCCATGCACAACACTCAAAGTTCTGTCTAAAATATTACTAGCACATACTAGTTTTTAAATAGCTATATTGGACTAATTCAGGTAGAAAATAATGACAGTCTTATAATTTTTTTATTGCTTAAAGTACTCCCAACATAATATATTTGCTAGCCTTTCTCCCCTAAATGCAGAGCGATGCCTTCCCAGGATGTTGATATTATCAGTGGTTATTGGTGTATCAGCAGAGCTCAGGGAATAAAGATTAAGAATTCTTTTACTGCTGAGACAGTTAAATGCAAATGGCTAAAACCATTTTAAAAGCATGAGGAAAAACACCTAAAAAAAAAAATAACTGAAATAATCATTGTGCTAATAGGGCATTTCCATTTACAATGAGATATGAATGCTTTCAGAAGTTTTTAAATCTGTGTGAATATGGAAAAAAGGTAATACATGTTAATTTGGTTTTTCTTCCATCTGAACACCCTTCTTATCTGTGCAGATATATCCTTGGATGTGAATTAGGTGATTAAAAAATCAAAATATGTCACCCAAGACTTCTTGTTGACTCTGACTCACTTTTTTCCCAAGTCTTCCTCAGGTCTCAGGCCTCTCCATTAAGAAGTCTCTTGATGTCAAATTCAAAATTCTTGGATCTTAGCTACTTGCAGAAAATACATTTATATCACAGAGTAATAAAGATCTGCATCTTAATCTAGGCTCTGCCACTTACTGCCTGTGTGGCTTGGATCAAATTTTCAGTCTTTCTCAGGGTCATTTTGTTCATCTGAAAAAGTTCACCTGAAAATTTTCTCTTACGTCTAAACAAAAGAAAAAAAAAATGGGAAGAGAAATATCCCAATATACAGTAAAGTTACAGTGATTTAAACAGCAGAGTACTGAATCAAAATACACACAGAGGCTGGGCACAGTGGCTCACGCCTGTAATCCCGGCACTGTGGGAGGCTGAGATGGGCAGATCACTTTAGATCAGGAGTTTGAGACCAGCCTGGCCAATATAGGGAAACCCCGTCTCTACTAAAAATACAAAAAATTAGCCAGGCATGGTAACGCGTGACTGTAATCCCAGCTACTTGGGAGGCTGAGGCATGAGAGTCGCTTCAACTTGGCAGGTGGAGATTTCATTGAGCCGAGACAATGCGACTACATTCCAGCCTGGGTGACAGAGTGAGACTCTGTCTCAAAAAGAAAATATATATATATATACACATACATACATACATAGAGATTATCAGCACAGTACCGTATACCAGGGTGTGTGGCTGACTGCAGGCAATCTGCACAAAAAAGGCAGTACCACAAATCAATGGAGAGTGGTGGTTTATTCAACAAATGTCATAGGGAAAATCAGCTGGTTTCCAGAAAAAAAGTAAATTCAGAGTACCATCAAATTTCACACAACAAAAATATTTACAATGAATTAGATGATATGCTTTTAAAATCTAAAATCATTTTTAAAAACAAGACTTTGATAATAGTTATCTGATCTCTTTAAATGGTTGGATTTTATAATAATAAAAACAAAGATAAAATCCAAAAGAAATAGTACTAGATATGACTACATAAGAACTTAAGTAAATAAAATTAAGAAACACAAGAATTGGGAGAATGTATGTGCCACAAAAGTAATGAAAAGTTACTCTTAAGACATAAAGAAACTTAGAAATCTACATATGCAAGGATTTCACTGTAGCATTGTCTGTAATAGCAAAGAATTAGAAGAAGCAACCTAAAAACCAACCAGCAGAGAAATGGTTAGATAAATTAAGGTATTTCCATACTATGAAATATAACAACTTTTTTAAAAGAATGAGGTATTTTTATATGTACTGACTTGGAAACATGCCCGTGATATATAGTTAAGGGGGGAAAAGCAAATTATAGCACATTATGTATTTTTTATTTCATCTTTTCTAAAAAGGAAAAAAATTATTTATATACAAGTGTGTGTGTATATATATATAAATATATATAAAATAGGTAGATGGATAGATGAGTAGAAAAACATCCAGAAGGAACACCCATCTGTTAATTATAGTTATGAAGAAATTTGACTAGGAAACAGGGGAGGTTTTTACTTTTTACTTTTCAATAGTTCTGATTAGTACTTTTTTTTTCCCAAAAGACCATGTATTAGTTTTGCTGTACAAAATAAAATGGGTTAAACAAACAAACATAAAAGTATACACTCTAAATAGGAAAGAGGGCAGGAGATATTCACAGGAGAGGAAACACACGACTGCTTGTTTGCTTTATTAACTTCTTCCCCATTTCCTAAATTCAAAGAATCCTAAGTTCAAAGAATGACAGACTATTTTTCATGTATGGCAGTTATTTTTAAAAAGAATAATACCAAATTATAATACTGCTAACAGGACTAATAGGCCCTCCCACATGTTATGTTTTAAGGAAAAAAGAGCCATAACTTGATAATCTGGTGCTGGTTCTCAAGATGTGGTTCCCAACCAGACCAGCAGTACTGTTACCACTTGGGAACTTGACAGGAATGCTGTTTATCAAGCCTCTCCCCAGACTTGCTGAATCAGAAATCTGGAGGTGGAGCCCAGCAACCTGCCTTTTAATACCTTCCAAATTATCTTCATGAAGGGTAAAGTTTGAGAACCACGGATCGAATTGTTACATTTCTATTATTTTACACTAAGGCAGAGGTCTTCATCTGCAGCTTTATTGCCATTTGGGGCTAGATAATTCTTTGTCATCAGAGCTGCCTGTGCATTACAAAATGTTTAGCAGGATCCTTTGCCTCTACCCATTAGACACCAGTAGCAATTTCCCACCCCACCTGCTCATGACAATCAAAACTGTCTCCAGATATTGCCAAATCTCTCATAGGTGGAGGGGTGGGGCTTGGGACAGGGTACAATATTGCTCCTAAATGGGGAACCACTGCCTAAAAAAATACTCCAAAATGTGGAGGAAGAGTACATGGGAAGGTTTTATTTATTTATCTCACTTATACCACGAAAGCATATGGCACAATTCATTCTCTTCCATATAAGGTAATGATGAAGTGATATATATTACATATATAAGTCATAGGAATTATTCCTGTTAGAAGTGAAAAATGCCAGATACAGAATTATATAAAGTGCATTTTCTCAAAGTTGTATGTAGATACATTATACAAACATTTCTATCATCTCTAAATGCCAACAGTGTCATTCTCCTGCTCGAACCCAAAGAAATGATTTCCATCACCCTTAGAAATAAGTCCCAGATTTTTACCATGACCCCTAAGTCCCTCCGCAGCATTTCCTACCTCTTTCCCTTTGCTCCCTGGCCTCCAGCCAGACTATGCTCTGCATTCCTCACCACCAGGGTATTGTACCTACCATTCCCCGCCCAGAACACTTGTTCCCCTGATATGTGCACCTCGACAGGACTCTGCTCAAATCTCCCTTCCTTAGAGAGGGCTTCCCTGAGCACTCCGTCTAATACACGTAGCACTTCTTACCACTCTCTGCTCATTAGTATTACCTGGGGGCTATTCAAAAATGAAGGCAGCCTGGCCTTGCCCAATATTCAATAAAAGAGAATCTCTGGGAATGGATTCCAAGCCATCAGGGTTTTTTTAAAGTTCCCTAGGGTCAGTGGAAGAACCATTACTTCTCTTTTTCTTAGCTTTTCTTGAAGTACTTCAGGGCCTGAAGTCACATTGTATATTGCTTAGTGTATGGTTTGTTGTCTGTTTTCCCCACTAGATTTTAAGCTTCATCTGAGCAGGGATTTTGTCTGTTTTACTCATTGCACTATCCCTAATATCCAGAATAGTGTCAAACACATAGTAAGTACGCAATAGATTTTTATGAACTAATAAATGGTTACATCGAGTTCCCAGTGTTTATTATACTCTTCTAAACTTTTCAAATTTTCTCTAATAGAATGCGTTTATCATCAAAAAAAGAAATTAAAGCTGATTTTAAAATCTGCCTTTAAAATTTGTGATATATTTGAAGCACAGTGATTAGCACATAGAAGGTATTAATAGTAACAAACAGTAACTACTGTAAATGTTTCTTTTTGGTATTATCTACTATGTCAGGGTTTTGGTTCTGATATTCCATTTTATCTGTGGTTGTTATCACCTTACAGAACATATATTCTAATAAGAAATAAATTATAAATTGAAGCCTGTGGGCCATTCATTTTTTTACTTTTTAGTTCTCACATCTTATTAAATATTCTAAATATTGCTTTAGAGATACTTTAGAATATCACTGTAATGCCCAATCAATAAAAATATGAAACAAGTGAATTGAAAATGTTTCAATCTTCTGCATTGAAATTCATGCAGAGGTTCAATAAATGCAAATAATCTGGCCATGTTAGCTATCAAAATTCAACTGCCATATAACGCTCCTTTGCTATAATGTACTAAGAATTATATACACCTAACTTTAAAGCTAATTTTTTGCTTTTATTCAAAAGCAAAAATGTCAGAATATAGCAATAATTCCTATTTAGGATGATAGTTGTTTTGGAAAATAAGAATGACATGATGTTTAGATATAAAATTGAAGACTTTTCAATTTGTTTAAGCTAATGGATATGTAAACTGGCATATAAAAAATGGCTGAATTATCTTTGAGTGACCACCTCGAAACACACTAATGTTAAATGCAAAAACACTTGTGAATGCTCCCCTGCTTTTCCAATACTTGAGAATGTTTCTGGCATACAACTATAACTTTAAAGAAGAAGGTGGAATTTCTGCTAAGTCCTCAATCTTATAAAAAGGCCAGTGTAGATAGCAGTACAGTTTGTGCAAATTGAGGGTAGGCAAGCATATGGTTAGCATAGATCCCCCCCGAAATAGTTATAGCACATAGGAAACATAAGTTGAGCATATTGAAAATTTATTCTATTTTTAACAGCCTCTCTTTAGTTAAGTGGTCAAAGTCACAATTAACATTTCACATGCAGTGGCTGAGCTATATTTTGCAAGCCAGGTGTGACCTGATGGCAGGAATACATTTACCACCACACTCTCCTTACTCCGTAAAACTATCCTAAAGTTATGTGTGTTGGAAAATCATGGCATTCCACAGATAGAGAAGGGAACATTTCTAATACACCTTCATAACTGGAGAGTTGTCCTCCAGGCAATTATGTGACTTTCAACACACTTTGCAAGTCACTATAGTAACAGCAAAGCACAAACTTAAAAGAAAGTTCACATCCATAAATCTGTTTGGAGCTGAACTATTATTAAAGGCTTTGGTCTTCTTAATTCAGCATTAATTTTTGGTTGTATATTAAAGTTTTCTTTCAGTTCGAGTCATTTGGCTGTGATTTTATGTGACTAAGAAATTTCTTTGAATTAGCAATTCAGCTCATTTTGGGAAAAACTTACCCAGCATAAGGCTTTTTTGAGAGGATTTCTTTTCCGGGGGTCCAACATCTGTAGCACTGGATTATAAATTATTTCTAAAATAAACTTAAGTTGATGGATCATTGTTCTTCCCATTTGGGCCTGACAAAAGGTAGCACTCACATTTCCTTTTTTTAATGCTGTAAACTGTGTATCACTTCTCAGCTCCTGTTAGAAAACTGAATTCTTACTCATTCTAAGATTTTATAAACTTGAATTTTACTTAGTGGTATAAGAAATGCTTTTACTAGGAATACATACAAAGTGCTATTTCATGAACAAATTCATAAAATCATATTTTTGTCAGGCTATTTAAAACTAAGCAGTATAAATAAATAGCCTTTTTCAAGAATTGCAGTTTGGGGCCTTTTTTTCTGTTAGTTAAGCATTCAGAGGCACTAAACTTTGAGCTCTTCATGTTGCTTAGAATCAGGTATCTTTGCTATGATTTCTTGGGAGTAAATTAATGATGAGTCAACATACATCAAGAGGAATTCCCAAATATTGACATAAGGTCTAAATATTTTGGGGCCTCCTTGCCCACTATCATGCTAATGTCTCAACCACGTGTTTTCCTTACCTTTCTCATTCAGATTAGTTCTTTTGCCTTTTGGCCTTTGTTTTGTCATAAAAGGGGAGTTTCTTTCATTTCTTTGCTAAAAACAGGTTAAATGGTAGCTCAAACTTTACAACACAGTTAAGGAATTTAAGGGCCTAATGAAACCTAAGCCCTACCAGAGGGGTGGAACTAGCCGGAATGACCAGAATCTGACTTCTGAGTTAGCTGCTACAGAGCTGTGAAGCCAGGGTGGCATAGGAGGATAAAATTCCTAACATTTTCAGACTTGTATATGGTAGGTCCTTAGCAAAACACATAGAACAGCATTTCTTCATATACACTCTTCAGTGTTACTCAAAAAAGAGAACCTATGTACAAGATTCAAGTAATTTAGGGAGGACACAAGTTAAAGATTGGCAAGGATTTTTTTTTTCTGCAGGACTTTTCAGAGCCTTTATTATGCTTTTATGCATTGTGAATATCCAAGAAGAAAAAGTGGCACTCAATTTTCTCCAAAACTTTTACTTTGGAATGCCATTTTTCGTGAAGCATATCAGAGAAATGGTGTTTTACAGAACCCACTTTATTGAAAGATATTGCCAAATCCATGGTAAAAATGTATATGGTTTCTGGATCAGATCCACCCCTCCAACAATACAACTCAACTAAAGCTCAAGCTACTTGAAGTACACCTGACTGTTTTTGAGAGTTTTCCATCTAAGATACTAAATTGAGTTATATTATTCCATGAAAGCCTTTTATTTCTTCCAGCAGCCTATATTTCTTTTCTACATATGTTTTACTAGTTGAAACCTTCAGAAATAATCTCTAGCTGGTCCCCACAGTAGGAGTGAAATTATGGTTTCTATTGATGTGAGGTTAAAAAAAAATAGGTAATAATTAGATGTAAAAAGAGAGACATATAATAATATAATTTTGCAGGATAGTATTCTAACTGTATATTTGAAATTGTGGTTGATTTCCTCTGTAATCCTAAATCAACCACTTAACTATTTAGGAGTCCAGCATGGTAGGGAATACGTAAGCTTCCATTTGAATCATGACATTTATAACAGCATTAATACATTTTCCCAGACATTCCCAGTTTGGGGGCCTTCTTTGCTGGAAATGTCTATCCCCACATAATTTAAACTTTAATATGAGAATGTATTAGTCAACATGAATTATATAGTTCAGTATTTGATGACTTCTACCCCAAATTGATCTTTACCTTCACCTTTTCTAACCTAAAGACAGTGATTTCTTCACACATGAACTACTGTTTGGTTGATATTTGGAAAATAAATTGCATATATATATCTTAATAAATTGCATATATATAAATAATAAATTGCATATATATGCAAATTGCATATATATAAATTGCATATATATGCAAATTGCATATGTATATGTATGTGTATGTATATGTGTATGTATATGTATGTATATGTATATGTATGTATATGTATATGTATGTATATAAATATATTTATATACATATAAATTTTATGTATATATTTATATAGATTACATATATACACATACATACATATTTTGAAATAGTAAATAAGCCAGATAGCCTGTGTTCTATATAATACTATATCTAACTTTCTTTCTTAATGACTCTTAATTTTTTTTAAAGTTACTACAAGTAACTTGATTTTCCTAACTCAGGAAAAAAATTTCAAGCTGCTGAAAAAATTTAACCTGCAATAATGCAAATATAACAGGAATACAAAACTATGTGTTATTTTTTAAATTTATTTTAAAAATTTATTTTTTAAATGAGATTATTTAAAACGTGCATAAGTTTTATTAAAAGCAAATGGAAAACGTGCAGGGAAATGGACATAAAGGATAGAGGTTTGAGGCAGAATGAATATTTTATATTGACACATGCATAAAAGCACAAAATGAACATTTTTCCACAGGAAATTTAGGTAATTTGCATTCGCAGAAATTCATTACAGGAGTCCCCCACGGTGGCCCAGTGGCTGAGAAGCCTTCTCCCAAGGGAGACTCAGACATGCAGGCACATGGCTTTCCCCAAGGAGGTACTCAGACACGCAGCTCTAGCCTCCAACTCTTCCTTCTATAACTGTATCTTCAATCGTCTACTTTTACATAATCTCTTTCCCCTTTCAAACTTCCTTGGTTCACTCCCCCACATTTGGCCCTGCTCTGGTTTCCAAGACCAGGTCTTTTGCTGAGCAGGGAAAATAAAAAGAATGCTGCAGAAATAGTAAATAGTCCAGCCCCGTTTCAGTTTTCCTGCTCTCCCTTCAATGCCTGAGTCCCCTTTGAGAGCTGAGTTATCCCTCCACCCACCCAAGCTCCTCCAAAGCTATAGACCCCTTCCAGCTTCCACTCCCATAGCCTCAGACTATCCCTCCACTAATGAGCTCTTTCATCTCCCTTGATTTTTAGCCTCACCTTTGTGGGTCTCAGTTTTGGCTCCCAGATACCTTAATCTCACTGTCTCTGCACCAACTAAAACTATAGCCATAATTAAATAGGTAACTCTATCTTCAATCCTGTCAATGTTTACATCATCCTTTTGCCCTTTCAGATTTCCTGGACTCCAAGTCCTAATGTTCTACTACCCTGTTGGCCAAGATGCCCCATTCACCTTTGTACCTTCAATACAGTCTTGCTTTTGCTTCTACCTTCTCCATGGCCCATGACCTCTGAGCCCTGTTCTCTGCTAGATAAATCTTATCAATTTAGGCATTTGCTACCAATGGGTAAAGTTATTAAAAGAACTTTTACCTAATAAGTACTCAATTGATTATTTATCTTATCTATCTCCATATTTGCCTCTAAAATATGTGTGTGTGTGTGTGTGTGTGTGTGTGTGTGTGTGTGGTAAAATTAATGAAGGAGTTCCCATCATAAAAAGGTATTAATTTAAAACCAAATTGGGAAAAACCTGCATTGCCTGTATTGTGAGTCTTACTAATGGCTTTTATAATAGGCATATCTGGGAGAGGCTCAGGAGAGATCTTAAACTGAGGTAGATGGGCATGTTAAAGAGAAGCAAAGGTCCATTCCACTTGCCCTCTACAGACAGGAGGATGCTTAATTCACTCAATAGGATTTTGGCAAATGAAATAACAAAGTGGCATAGCTTCTTATGTTCCAAAAGAAACTTTAAATTTGAAGTCTCAGATAACTCACACTCTAAAAATATGAGGATCCCTTCCAGAAATGTAGCCATGCCAACAGTGCTCACAGGTACAAATGCTATCTGCTTAAAGCAGAAGAAAAGGGAAAATGGGAAGCAGAATATCCTGAATATTCAGTCTAAATTTGAGTGATTTTGGCCACAAGAAATCTACTATCACCAGGCTGTCCATTACAATTCTAAGAGTAAAAAACGAAAATTCAGACCTTCTTACGATGGATCGTATAGTCAGGTGGAAGGTGGCAGAGTGAAAAGCCGGCCCAGTTACTAGGGCCAGGAGTCATTACAGACACTGACAGTGATGCTTCCACAGGTACTGGACCCAGACTGCCTGGGCAGTCTGGGTCAGTGTCAGCTTGTGTGACACTGGCTGTCACACCACTCTATGCCTCAGTCTTCTCATTTGTTGAACAAGCTTAATAGAAGCTACTTCATGGGCTTGTTATGATGATGAAATGAGACAATAAAATTGCTTAGAACAGTAGTTGATTATTATTAATATTGGTCAGGTCAAATATGCTTTGCTGGCCACAGTATGTGCCATGAGCTTGCTTGGTGGTGGGCAAGTACCAGGCAGTACACACATGGCTTAGGCCCTGCTCAAACTCTTTCAAGAGATGGACGGCATGGCCTCTTGGTCACAAAAGTGGTTCTTCAGAGAATCAGGTTTGTGAAGGGAAAAAAAAAATGCAGCAGTCCCCCTTATCTGTGGTTTCACTTTCCACGGTTTCAGTTATCCAAAGTCAACCATAGTCTGAAAGTATGAAATGGAAAATTCCAGAAATATGCAATTAATAAGTGGCACACCATTCTGAGTAGCATGATGAGTTCTCCCAACCAGGACGTAACTCCTCCCTTTGTCCAGAGTCTCCAAGCTGTCTCCTCTGGTGCCATTATTCAGAGAGTAGCCTTCCTAGTTATCAGATCAATGTTGTGGCATCACAGTGCTTGTGTTTGAGGATTCCTTATTTTACTTCACAATGGCCCCCAACGTGCAAGAGTAGGTGATGCTGGCAATTCACACATGCCAAAGAGAAGCCATAACGTGCTTCCATTCAGTGGAAAGGTGGAAGGTCTCAACTTAATAAGGAAAGAATAAAAACTGTATGCTGAGGTTGCTATGATTTATGTTAAGAATGAATCTTCCATCTGTGAAATTGTCAAGTAGGAAAAATAAATTTGTGCTAGTTTTGCTGTTGTGCCTCAGACTGCAAAAGTTATGGCCGCAGTGCATGATGAGTGCTGAGTTAAGATGGAAAAGGCATTACATCTGTGGATGGAAGAGAAACATGTTCCAATAGATGGCAATCTGGTTCGGTACTATCCAAGGTCTCAGGCATCCACTGGCGGCGGGATGGGGTTTCTGGAGAATATCCCCCGAAGATAAGCAGGGACTACTATAATACCAGTCTTTCTGCCACCTGTAATTCAGAGATATGTAGGCCCACTTAGGCCAAACAAAGAGAGGCCTCTAAAGTCCAACCACCTCAACAATGTTCCACACGGAGCTCTGAAGCCAGAGACCCCACTGTCCTGTAAAAAAGTGTTCCTTTGCTTTGCTTTATTTTCTACACTCTTATTTCCCTTGGGTTTGGATGTCTGGTAGAATGAAGAGTTTGATATTTCTTAGCACTCTTTCTTTCCATATGCTTTCCTTATTTCCTTATCACTAAAACCCCACTCTTCTGAATTTTAATATAAAATCAAGTAGGCTTCAGCTGTCAGAATAGCATTACTTTTTTAATTATCAGTTTCTAGGATGGGGCTTTATTTTCTTTTTAGGAGTCCTGTGTTGGAACAGGCAAGTCATTACCATTAATAAAACCAAATCCTAGTGTTTCATTGGTATTCCAGCTCTCCATAGGGTCCTCACACAAGCAAATACATATTTGATTCCAATGGGGCTCTTTTCCTGTGCAAATGCTACAGGATTCTGCATTTTATTGTGGCATTAAGCTAAATTGGCTGTCCAAATGAATGGAGACACTTAGAATTTTACCATATACCAAACTGTCTCAGAGCTTATCTCCTCTACAAAACATATTCCAGTTAGCATTTGCCAGGAATACTTTACTCAACACTAATCAGGAAAAACTTAATTTTTTTCAGGCTACTAATTGTGCAGACATTGTTCTGGTTATTTCATTTGGGTTCTTATATATATATTTTTTTGCATGCCTCTCACCTGTTTCCTCAATTGTCTCTAAGCATTTTAAAGGCTGAATCTTATTAATTTCACAGTCATTTTTGCTGTTTAATATACTCATTCATTTCACAAATATTTGTTGAGTACCCACAATGCTCAGCTATTATGGGGGTAAAAAGTTGGACAAGGCAATGTATCCTTTCCCCAAAACTCATAGGTTCTACTTCCATACAGTAAAGTATGTAGGGTAGAAGATTAAATAATGTTATAATGCAGTTACTTTTCCTGAATGAGAAACCTTTTTTAATCACTCCAAAGTAGCCATAACTTCACTTCAAACTCCAGTGAAATTATTTTTTTTTCTCTCTCTCCACAGGATAGTGGCCAAAGCCTCCAAGAACCTCATGTCCACGCAAAGCTTGGGGATTGTATTTGGACCTACCCTTCTGCGAGCTGAAAATGAAACAGGAAACATGGCGATCCACATGGTCTACCAGAACCAGATAGCTGAGCTCATGCTGAGTGAGTACAGTAAGATCTTCGGCTCAGAGGAAGACTGACAGACAAGACAAGCTACTGAATACGTTCACATCTGTCTTGATGCCTAATATTTTTACATTTCTGTAAACATATTTCTGAAATATTTTTTGCCTTTCAAGCGACAGATGCCTCATTTTGTGAAAACTTAATGATGATTTTGTGTTTAAGTTCCAAACATTTGAATAAAATAATTGACAATATTTGCCTCTATGTGTTCTACATTAACCCCTTTGGTGCTATGCCTTCTAGCACTTCTAGGAGCACATCATGCATGCCTCATGCTATTAAATAATATGCAAAGACTAGCACATATTCAAAAAATGGCCTTAATGCTGCTCCAGGGAATTGGGTGTGTGGTTGTGTATGTGGAGATGTGAGTGAGTGTGGTTGGGAGTAGGGGTGCATGTGCACACATGTGCTTTCCCAAGATCCAGGCTGCCTTAAACATGACTCCATACTGTTACTTGGACACGGATAGAACACAAAGAGGTAGGAAGGCAGAAGCTATTAATTTGTAAATTGAACGAAGGAGATCAGGTTCACAACCAAAACATATATATTTCATCTTTCCAGAACATTTTTGTATATATAAATATAGTCCAGCTATTTTCAATGCTATACAGTGAAATTTATAAATATAACATGTTGAATGGCAATTTTTCTCAAGAAAAATGACAGTTCAAAGCATTTGCCATTGAATTTTTTATAAATACAAATGTAGTCCCATAAACACACTATCTTATAAATTAGAAGCAAAATTAGTGCCCTGCAATTTTGATCTTTATATTACACAGGAATTGCATGACTGCTCATTTTTAATGCTAACATCCATTTTGAATCTTCATCAAACTGTATATCTTCCTTTTCCCTGGCTATGTCATTTTATGTAGAATTTTTATTATACTTCTGAGGATGCTTTATTGGTGAATTACATTAAATCCATCTAGAAAGAACTTTTTTAAAGCCTTTTTTTTCATATGCCCTAAGGATTACTTGACTAGACTTAGATTGCTTTATCCATTTGATAGTTTCAGTTGTCATGGATAAACAAAAGGGTAACTGTCTAGAATATATCAAACATTGTTTTATTTTGAAAAGTATGTTCTAGTTGAACACATCTCATACTGGTTTTATGAAAGTATTCTGCTGATAAAAATGTAGACTTACGTTTGACAGCTTTTTAATCAAATTCAAACAGAATAAATAAAACTAATCCAGTGTGATAAAGAGTAAGTATAGTTATCGATTTGTTCATAAAATGAAAAATAAAACATGTAAATAAAACGGGTGAAGCACAGATCCAGAGCAAACACTTAGGGCAATAATGAGCTCCACGGCATAGGCTGTCTGTTTAGATGGGGTATTCAGGAGACGGGGAGAGTCTGCTCAAGAGATAGCCAGATGTGCAGGCAGCTCCAACATCCATGGAGCTGCCTGAGGAAGCAGAGGACTCCCTTGTCCCTTTTGAATGTCTTCATTTTAGCAATGGCGCCAGTAAGTGGGCTTGTAGCCAAGAACAGAGAAGCCACCACAATAAGTGCTGAAGTGCAGTTTCATCCAGTGGGATGTATACACATACAAAAAGCTGAAAAAAAGTCGCATGAAGCAGAACTCCATGATCTGAAGTCACCAGTAACAGTGGGCTGGCAGACTTGCTAGCTTTAAGTGATTCTTATAAGTAAAATTGTAATTATGCCTTTCAGAAAAACATGGAGACATGAAACAAGAGTTTCTGGCATTCTATTTCAAGTCGTTCTCATTTCCATGCCATTCCGTATTCTCAATTAGGTCTTTCCCAAGACTTTGATTACTTCCCTTTTTGAAGCGTTGGGGGAGAGTAGATTTAGTGGTTCTAGCATTAAAATCTTATCCCTTCACACGTATCCATCTTTAAAGTTATTCTGGAAGCATCAGCCAGAGAGAACCAGCACTGAAAGCCAAAGAGAAGTGGCACTACCTGCTTTGGGCAGGGACTCACAGCCCCTTGTCTCTGTTGCTTTCCAGATTTATAATCTTCAAAAGCACCAGCTTCTTGATTTCCAATCTGATGGGATTTAGCCTGATTCAAACCCCAGCTGTGTCCTGTCCCTGCCTGCTAAGGGCATTTAATCAGAGAATGTGTTTCCTCTCTGGGAAAAGGCCATTCCAACGTGCTGAGCCAAAGTGCCCATCACAGGATCTGACCTAACACACTAAAGGCATAAAAAGGGTTACACCAAAAAGTTATTATTAGATTCCGTAACATCTCAAATACAGTGATGACGGCCATATCAAGTCTTCCATGTTTAGAAGCTGAGATTATAAGTATACTAGGTTGACTAAAAGGTTAGATTTCATATAACTGGTCAATATTCTCCAGCAAGAAGTCATGAAACACCAGTGAGCATTTCCTTATCTCCTAGTTTGAACCAGGCAAAATTCTAGGCACTGGTGACACAAATATTAAATAAGACAAATATTTCTACCCTCTGTAGTTTCAGCCCAGTGAGGGAGACTATCCCTAACAATTAATTACAGTTCAATACAAGATCAGGTGCCTTAGCCATCTTGGTAAGCGTGTAGACCCAGGATTCGGCACCTATACTTAAAGATGCTCAAAATGTATTGTTGAATGAATGGGCAAACAGAACAGAAGCTATTCCAGACATATTAACAATGCTCAGTGGCTGACAAATACCAAAAGACTCAGTTACAGGCAGTAACTGTCCTCTGACTCTGTTACAGAGTTAGATGTGGCTTCATTGGGAAGGTAACCTTTTCTATCTAATCTTGACCAATGAACAAGATTTACCAAAGAAAAATGCAGAAAACACACCAGGAAACAGGAATGGCACGAACAGAGTCATGAAAGACCTGACATTCTCCAAAGAAAAGTGAGAAGTTCAGTGAATAAAGGGTGAAGTGCATGCCTAGCAATTTTGGAATATAAAGCTAGAGAAAGATGTTGGGATCAGATATCAGCCATGATAACATATTCAGATTTTATCCTGTAGGCAAAAGGGATCCCATAGAGGCTGTAAAGCCAGAAAGCTATAGAGAAACTTTGTTTCTTAGAGAATCTCTAAATTCACCAATGGGCAGGAAAAAAATTAATTTGAGGAGACCAGCATTTTCTCATGTATGTGTTTGTGTGTGAAATAAAATTATAATCTTATATTCTTAGGGTCAGTTCTAGTTATGATGATGAAACATTTTAAGAAATTGTAACTTAGTCTGTAGAATGGAAACACAAGTCCCTAGAAAATCAAGCTAGTTATTATGTCCCATTTCAGCACGCCTTTACCTACCCAGGATATCAGAGGTTTCCCCTCTTTCTTATTGACACAGAAAGCTGCTTGGAGATGGTATATATTTCATCTTATATGTTGACAGTCTGACTTTCTTAGCATGTGCCATATGACAGGATCACCATGCCACAACTAGTAATTGAAAGCCATATGATGGTTCTCCCTATCCAATTAGAAAACAAACGATCCAATTAAGAAAAATTTTAAAAGCTGTTAAAAGGAAGCAATCACTTGCCAATAGTGCTGTCCTTACAGTTTAACACAGCTAGAAATTGACCTGTACTTCTCTTTTCCACATTTATTTTTGTGAATTATAAGTTAATCACCCTGTCAATTCCTAATTAAAAGGCCCTGCAAAGATTTTCATCCAAAAAGGACTGTTGCTAAGGGTTCTGGGTCAAATTGCTCTGTTGTCAAAAATGAGGAATAAAACCAAAACAACATCAACTCTCTCCCAGGAAACTTACATCTTAATACCAAAAAATGAGGACTTTCTGGAAATATAATAATCACATTTTATATTTTCAACCCTGTTTGATCTTATCTTTAGAACACAGATGTCTCCTTTTTTCTCTTTCTTTAAAACAAGGGTTGCAAATTCAGATGCCTAGTGGGGCCGGGCAGTGATAGAAACGAGTCAAGAGGAGCAGGCAGCAGGCGTATGAAGCAGCAGCTGTGGAAAAGTCAAGCTTAACGCCTGGCCAAAAGGGTCGGCTTCTACTCAGCTGGAGCCGATGTTGCTTATGTGGGAATGTGGGCACAATGTTGCCAGACCTTCAGCTCTTTCATGAAAAGCCAGAAATTCAGGATCTTGTGTGAAATCTGTTTTTTAAGGGCACCAAATAAAACACAGCTCTGTGGACTCAGCCCAAGGACCTCAGTGTCACAAAGTTTGCTCCCCAGAAAGTGGCCGCACACGGAGCAGATTGTGGGGATGAGGAGCCCGAGCAATGGGAAAGAGCAGAAAACGTGTACACTTTGCACTTAGGAGAACTTGCTGTGTCGACCCTGAGCAAATTACTCACTCAAGCTGGGTATCTGTTTTCTACTTGTCTTATTTTGCCTTTCAGGGCTATGTAATGGAATCATATGAAGGAAATTAAAACAGGTAATACACCATGAAATTCCAAGTTATTCCTAAAAGATGTGGATGATGGATTTCCAGTTTATTAACTAATAATAACTTTATGTTCTGAAAACAATGAGAAGGAAGGTTGGGACCAGACTCAAAAAAAAATCCTGAATGCCGTACTAAGATGTGTTATCCTAAGTTTCTAGTCAATTTTGAGACCCTGAAGGTCTTTTTTTAGCGGGGAAGTAACTTTATCAAAGCTGTAAAGATTCTCATGGCAACATTATGGAGTGGAATTTGAAGCAGGAAGAAATCATAGGCACCATTGCCAGACAGAAGATTATTGCTATAAGACTGTTAATGCAAGTCTAAATTCAGAGAGCAGCAGCAGATAGAGAAATTGATATTATGGTGCATCATACTATTAAACTTCTTCAGGGCCTTACCTGCCATCTCTTCATTATGACTGCTAAGTGCAAAGACCATCTCTTGTTATGCAGAACTCCCATACCAGGCCCGTTTCTGACTTACTCACTGGGTTGCGATGGAGGTTAATTCTAGATTCTGAAAGTGATTTGGCATTTGACAGTAACCATTTTGGCCAAGTCATGCCCAAGTCAATGAGTGTGCATGCTACCAGCATCATCCCCAGATGATCGTAGGGTCACTTCTATCATACCTGGCTCTGACCTCTCCCTCCTTTTTCTTGAGCCAATATTGCTCCTCTGGCCACCCAGAGGATCATCAAGAAATTAGTCCTGGGAAGATTAATTTTGATTAGCTAACATTTATAGAGCACTTGTTATATGCCATGAACTGCAATTGATATATATTGTTTTATTTAATCTTGATAACTCTACGAAGGAAGACACTATTATCCCTGATTTATACTTGAGGAAATTGAGAGCAAAAAAATACTGAAATTACCAAGTTCATGTAAGTAGTATATGCCAGATCAATATTTGAATCTAAGTAATATGGCGCAGAGGCACCTGCCTTAACCACTGTACCATATGATCACTTAATTAGGAAAAGATGCTGAAAAAAATGTAAGTGCATAAACATCCCCAGGTATTTCTACTTGTGTGGGTGCCTGGTCATTCTGTTAAAACACCTGATGAAAGTTTTACTTTCATATGAATTTTCATAAAAGAATAAGGGGGATATTACACAATTTTTTCAAAGAAATACAGAGTACCTCTGTTCTTATGAGTAGATGGTTAATCTCATGCATGTTATTTCTATAATTTTAATATTTGTGTAGCATTTTGTTTGCCTACATGTTTTGCAGACATTGTACTAATTTTTTACTGCATTATGGAAAGGACAGAACAGAAGCCTCTTTACCCATCTTTACAGGTACCTGTTGGGGTAGCTTCAACCCCATGTTATGTTGTATTATGCTGTGTTGGATCATATTTGTCAGTGTCCTGTTATCATCTATCATACCTTACTATCTAATATTGTATTGAACTTAAATCTGGCCCTTTAGGGGTCCTGTGAAAGATGAAAAATGTGGGTCCCAGCAGCCTTCCTCTTAAATATAATTGAAAAAGAGGCAGGCATCAAGACATGTCATGTCTCATGCTGCCAGAAAGTGATCTTGAATCATTTAAATGATGAGAATACAGTGAACATTTTGTACAAAAAGATGACAATTTTCTGTAGTAGTGTTGTCCAGATGAAAATGCCTAGCTGTCTTGGTAAGAGACCTGAAGAAGGATATACACACACACACACTCCTTATAGACTTATACAACTGATTTTTGCTATTTTATGCTTGAAGCAAAGTATGCAGGGTCCACAAAACTCTTAAGCCATCAGTAGGATTCTATACAACACTCCCCATTCAATAAGGAGAGCGCTAAGAAAGCAGTAAGTGAGAGTGGCAACACCATGCCCGTGCTTGGGGCTCTGTGCACACTTGATGGATCAGTGAACCAAGACAAAAACCCAGAACACTAGCAACATTAAATACAAATATGATCCACCGTCAGGTTTCCTATCAAGTTAAATGTAGCGTCTTATGTGCAGCCAAATCAGTGGTATTTGTGTTGACTCTTAGTCCCACCTAAACAAGGGCCATCAAACAGACATTCCTTCAGCTACCTCTCTTGAAGTGCAAGTCCCTAAGAAATGCTTACTAAATCACAGAAGCAGTGGAGAGATGGTAAGATTCACCAATCTAACCCATGCAAGTCTGACAGCAAATTTTGATGTCCCGGTTCAAGTCAGCTGGGAGGAGGAGGGGGTCTTAGGCATCTGTGACACCCAGCAGCATCTTCCACTAACCTTCTCTCCACTTATCAATGTGTGGTTTACATGTCAGACAAATGTTATAAGGCATAGGCATTCTGACCAACATATGAAAATCTCAAAAGCCAAGGAATCTGGAAAATACAAGGCAGTGGCCTGAAAATCCTCACTTTCCTCTGGCACTATTTTCGCTAACAAGTTTACTTGACACACATGCACACACACACACACATGCACACACACACTGGAATTTTAAGAGCAGGAATGTAACCATTGTGCTAACCATTCTCACATCACTCGCAAAATGTGTTCTAAGTCCATATTGTGCAGCATACTTGAAGACATGTGGATTTTTCCACATCATTTGGTGACATTTTACACAGTTTAATTTCTGCTCTTTCTTGCTAGACCCTACCTTTTTTTTCTCTCACAAACATTCCACCAATGGGATTTTCTTGAGCATTTTATCCTGCGCTCAGATTCCTCCCTTTTCTTCAGCATCTACTTGTATCGCTGCTGCACAACTTTGCCATGATGTGTCTGTCAAATTTCAGCCTCCCAGATTGAAAAGAAGGGGACACAGGTGTTCAACTGCCAAGGAGAGAAACCAGGTTAATGGAGTAGGGGCCGGCCTATGGGGCCGGCCTAAAGGGAAACCTCACAACCACAGGCAGAGGCCAACATGGAAGACTCCAGAGAAACGTGGTCCAGCTCGGGATGTTCCATTCCTCCATTCTCCTCACCAGACCAGGTGAAAGGCAGCTTTTAAAGTTGGAAGGAGTGAGGAATACAATTGAAACCAAAATTGGTTTGAGCTCACTATTTTTCTAGCTATCAGTTCTGAGGTCACAGTCACTAAAACTGGAAACTTAAAAATGACTTCAAAAAGGCAAACGCTAACTAGATTTCACACTGGATTTCATTTTACTTGGCATTACAGAAAGAATGCAGGTATTAAATACACTGTTTCCTGTATACAATAAGGTTAATTAGTAGTGAGGGATGGAAAATCAGTGTAGACATAACTCTTTTCGACAGGTATCAAAAATAATCCCCTGATCCCTACAGACCCCAGCTGCATTGAAAGAGGAGTAATATAAAAGATTCTTTAAGCACAAAATTTTCAAACATTCTCCAGGTGTCCCCAGCACCAGTTAAATAGGCCCTGAACCCCCTGTGCATGGGCTGGCTCCCGCTCCATTCCCTGGCTCTAACTTAAAGGCGCAGCTACTCACATTGAATTTTCAGGTGCTGCGTAAAAGCTCTCCATACAAAGCGGCTGGGATTGCAAACGGAGACAGACAGGAGAACAAAAAGAAGAATATATTGCGCCCTGCCTGGGTCTTCCCTAAGCTCCTTATCAATAAGGTTAATAAGGGTCTATGCAATTTACTGATCACTATGATGCAACAACCCTCCTTGTGCTCCAAATCTCCACGTAGGCGCTGGCTTTTAATGCTTTTCTCAGCCAATCACATAAAAGCGCTTTTGCCCGCACCCCAGAGAATAAACTCCGGTTCACGATCCTGGCCTCTGTAAAATCTCTGGTCCGTTATTACACTTCTACCTGCCCTAGTTAAGCAGATTAACAGTTATTTCCTAGAATTTGATCTATGAGGTTCTTTGTAATTGAAGCTGGAGTACTCAGATATTACTAAAAAATGTATTTCTGAAAAACGCATTCCTTTTTTCTCTGGTTTAATTTTGTTATCCTCAATCATATGCATGATATTAAAAAAATCCAAATTTCTATCTCCTCTATAAAATACATGTCATATCAAAAAGGTGACAAGAGGGGGGAAAAGTAATTAGTGAGTTCACGGAGTTCAGTAGAAAAGTTAAAATGGAGTAACACATTACTTTTTATGTTAAGATTTCACAAGACAAGTCTTGCCTGTGTTTTAATTGCATGTGACCCTGGCAGTCCTACTCTGAAATGAAGTGCCGTAAAATTAAAGATGACAGACGCTCAAAACAAGTCTTGTGATCTTGATTAAACTACAAAGACCACACTCTCTCTCTGCTGCAACTCAGATATCATGGGCTGTTTTATTTGGGGAATTGCTTCATTAATGCCTTCTTTGACTAGACATGTTTATTATATTAAAAAAACTGAATATGGTGATATCTCGCATAGCTAAATAATTCCCCCTAAAATGCAAGTTACAAATGAAGAGTGTTTAAATATCCTGCAGACCTAATGCTTTTATAAATGCTCACAATTATATATCTATATATCATATGTATGTGTGTGTATGCATGTGTGTGTGTGTATATATATATATACCACAATCATGAATAATTGAATATGGGCATGTATGGATATATATGACCATATTCATCCTTGAAACATGAATTACCTATGCTAACCTAGGAATCTCTACTATAGTCTGAGAAGCAGAGCAATTATTCTACTATATTTTCTTAGCCATGTAAAATTTCCCAGGCCAACAGAATGTAAAGAATTTTACATTATCCTATACAGACAACTTCTGAGAAAACACTGGAATTTTAAAGTTCCCAGGTATAGTCTGAGAAGAGAACTGGATTTGATTCACACCTGATTTTTCAAAATTATTATCAAGACATTCCATCTAAGTTATATAAAACATAGAATAGATGCTTTTAAATCCTGCTTCTTCCCCTGGGTGGGAGTGGGAAAAAAAGCAGAGTTGAGAGCAAGTCCTTATTTCATTCTGCTGTTAGTGTCTCTCCCATATGTCTCCACTCACCAGGTCTTGTTCAAATCTCAAGCCCTCTGGGACAAGTCCTTGTCCTCAACAAGGACCTTAACAAGTAGGTGAGATTATTCATGTCTAGGGTCTCCTACATTCTAAAGTTCTACGATCCTGTTATTTTGTCCCATTTCAAGAACACTATTTTTAATTCATGTTCCAATTCGTCAATTTTATTTCATTTTAAGAAACAAGAAGACACTATATTTGTAATATACACTGGCTATGTGGGTGTTAATATCTAACAGGGATATATGGATTCACCTGAGAATCAGAGCTGGGAAATCTGGTTTCCAGAATTCACTTTTTCCTGGAGTATTCATCATTCCAGATAAGTCTCCATACACATGTCTCAATTTCTTCATGTTCAAAACACATATGGCAGTTTTTGCCCTACCTAACAAAAAGGGTTGTTGTGAAAATAAAATACAATACTATATATTAAAAACTCTTTGAAAAAAAGTATGACTGATGCTTCCCAATCAGTATTATTTTTACAATTTTTCTACCAATGGCCTTCAGTAAACACAAAAGCTTTTGCATTTACAAGCCAACTGACCCTTTAACTTACACTGTTCTTTTAAAAATCTTCATGCTTGCCTTTAAAATGAAATGCTTGTTCCTGTATGTTTTTTCAACACTGTCAAAAATCCTCAGGTGAAAGATATATCATGTCTTTCATATGGGAGATTTTTATTTGACAGAATAACTCAAGATTCTGGACATAAGAAAGTGTTTATTAGAACCTAATTATGTATAGCATTGCGAGATTATGTTCGGCTAAGAGAACTGCAGTTACATCTACTTTCAGCCTCTCAGTCTCTCTCTACTTCCGAGTCTACTCTCTTCCGTGGCTCTTTTATCTTTTTCTATCTTGGTGCCTCCTTCTCTGTTTCTCTGTGTCTCTTTATTCCCACTCCATACCCTGACATTCAGTACAGGAATTTTAACATAGGTTTCGTGGGTCCCTGGACCCCTGGACTTCAACAGATGCAGGAAATCTCAAAACCTTCATGCTAGATTTTTGGCACATTTTTCTGGAGTCCAAGTCTGGAGTTTTCATCATATTCTCAAAGAGGTCTGTAACTAGGAATTACTGTTCTAGATCCATTTCCCAGCCTATCAATACTGCTATCTTTTGTCTAAATTGAACTGTAGATGGGTCACTGTCAATCAAATCCCAAGTTCTAACAGGCCATGAGGAGTCTCCACGGCTTTCTGTCCAACTGCCTGACAGTACAACCAAGTCCAAGGAGCTAACTATAGATCCAACAAAATCAATTAGTACATATCAAAAAAAAAATATTCAATCCTTAGAGCAATTCCCATTTATAATTGATAAAAATAATAAATAGGGTGCACCCATGAAATTAAGATACTTTGCCTGTTATTCAACAGAGGATATTTAGAGTTTTAAGAATAAATCCAACAGTAACACAAGTGGTCCATTTTCACAATGCCCAAGTGAAAACTGTGCCAGACACATGTCCTGTGCCTGCGTGGTACTTCTACACCATTAGCTGCCACAAATCAAAGAGAATGTCATTGCTTTTAATAGGATTACATAGAACCCAGTAACAAGCAGGAAGACTAGCATTAGACTGAGTAACTGGCCAGTAATTTGGATGTTTAACCAACTGATTGGCTGCCAAATTGACAGGTCATCCACACTGAACTAGCCACTATTCCATGAATTTTCATGACTAAGATCACAATGGTTCATTTGCATGTGTGAAATTCCGCTGTGAAGCTGGCTTTTGAACTGGCTAGCTCAGCCAAAGACGTGTTTCACAGCACCATGCATTAGTGCCCCAGAAATACCATCGCATGAGGGGAGCATAGATCTTCCCAGCCCCTTGTATGTAAACACAATCTATAACTAGGAGGGCCAATCAACACAGATGGTAACAACCAGAAGGTAAAGAATACAGAGGAAAATTGGAACATTAGAAAACTAAGATTAGCAACAAAAATGAGCATTTGGATGAGAAAAGTTTAAAGTCTTCGGGTCTCCAGAAAAGTTTCAAATTTGCATGCGAGTGCTGCTAAGGGTAACTTCTTACACAGCAAGTATCCGGCGCATATCTGGGCATCCTTGTCATTATCAACAAACAGTTGTTAGCCACCACTTATGCACAATACAGTGGGACAGACATGAGGACAACAAGCACAGACCCCATAAAACAAAGCCTTTTCCTTAAGGGATTTATTATGTAGTCATAGAAGAAGAGAGGTGAGGCAAAAACAAAAATCATAATATCCCACACTTACTACCAACTTACCACATGGTAGTTATCTTGCAACAAACAATTCCGTGATGTAGGCAGTAAGGTAATGAATATTTCAAAGATGAGAAAATGTAAGCTTAGAAAAGTTACATCATTGCCGAAGGGAATAGAGCTAGGAAGTGACTTTGAGCCAGGTATTTCTACCTTTTGACAAATATTCTTAGCTCCTCTGTACCAAAAAGATAAGCAGTGTTAGAGTATTACCCCAAATATATTTACTTTAACATTATTATAATAGAAAAATAATATAAATATATAGTAATATAAAATCAAATAATTACACAAAGGAACATTTATATGATGAAATATTATGGAGACATTTAAAATCAGTTGTGTTTAAATACTATTGACAGGAGAAATTTGCTCATAGAAAGGAGCAGGTTATAAAATCATAGGTACAATATGCTATTGTTTATATGCTGTAATATGTGCGTACACACACAACAAAATATTAGCAGTGGTGATCCTCTGGTTGTGAGATTGTCAGTAATTAATTTTCTCCCATTGCTCCTGGCACATCTTCAAGTTTTTACTTTTGGCATTTGTTACTTTTATAATTAGAAAAAGCCCAAGTATAATTTTAAAATATATAAGTGGTAATTTAAGGCTATATATGGTAATTGATACAGACAAAAAGTTCTGAAGAATTTCAAATGAGATCATGTTAAACAAGGGCCTGGATAAACCAGGAGAGGCTCCATGACAGCAAGAGAGTCTTGACTCAAGGAAAAAAGGAAGTCATCAAGGCAGAGGTGTGACACAAGCAAAGGCCCAGAGGTGAAATTGACAAGATATATTTATAAGACCAGTTTGAGTGTTCCACCAGAGAAGTCAGAGGGACAATTGGCTTTGCATCTTTTATGGATCACCTTTTAAAAGGGGGCACTGAAGAAAACAAGGTTGGCCAGGTGCAGTGGCTCACACCTCTAATCCTGGCACTTTGGGAGGCCGAGGCTGACGGATCACCTGAGGTCAGGAGTTCAAGACCAGCTTGGCCAACATGGTGAAACCCTGTCTCTATTAAAAACACAAAGTTAGCCGGGCGTGGTGGCAGGCGCCTGTAATCCCAGCTACTCAGGAGGCTGAGACAGGAGAATCACTTGAACCTGGGAGGCAGAGGTTGCAGTGAGCCAAGATGATGCCATTGCACTCCAGCATGGGCAACAAGAGCGAAAATCCACCTCAAAAAAAAAAAAAAAAAAAAAAAAAGGAAAACAAGGGTGCCCTTAATGTGACAAAATTTCTGGAACACAAAAGCATAGAGCACCAGACGTGTCATTTGGTGTAGAAGCTCAGTTCATGAGCCAGCTTCACAGTGGAATTTCACACATGAGAAGATAGGTAAGGGCCAAATTTTGGAAGCCCTAAAATGCCAAGCAGTAGAGTTGGACTTTATCCTGTAGGCAGTGGGGGACCTTTGAAGTTTTAAGCAGGGGGGTAATGACAGCAAAAATGTTTTTGTAAAATTAATCTGGCAATACCAGGTGGGTGGATTGAAAGGCAAACAGCTACATGTGTCTTTTCATAGACTTCTCCATGTTGGAAAAAATATTTTTTTTCTATGGACATCCTATCTTTCTCAATTAGGATTATAAATCCTTGAGAAGAAAAACCATGTCTTATATTTCCTTGTATCTCTAACATTTCTGAGCAATGGAGAAAGTATCAAACCATTGTTGAAGATGCCAGCTTTGGATTCAGAGCTTTCTGTGTGACTCCTAGCTCCTTAAAGAAGCAGCCTGACCTCTCCAAACCTCAGTGTGCTCACCTGTAAAATGACAACAGTAACATTCACTTCATAAGATTGTGGTAAGGATTAAGTGAGATGATGAGATTTTATATGTGGAGCCTGGGGGGAAATGTGCACTAATTGGTAACTATAGTTTTAGCAATCACTGTCATGCCGAAAAAAGTTATTAAGACAAGTTAACTGGCGATGATGTTGATGTTTGCATTTGACTCTTTTAGACACTAAGTGGACAAGCATGAACCAAATATAACTTAGAAGCCAGTTATTCTTCAGGCAAAGTTGGACACTGGTAAAATTCAAGTCCACTGAACCTAGTACATACAGAACCCAGCAGGACAGGTGTTTGGAAGCCAAAATAAATCTTGAGCAAGTAAAAAGAGCTAGCTGGCTGGTACAGCCCAGTTGTAATATTAAGTAGTATCTGTGCAAGGACTGGGCCACATCCCCAGTCATGAGAACAAATGTCTGGCAGCAGCTCTTCCAAAGAAACCTTTCCATTAAATTTCTGTTAACCAATATTATCACAATGTAACCTTACTTCACAATGTGCCCTACGTGTAGTTTGAACAGGTAGACATCTCTGTGGCATGGATTAAAATGCCCGAGCTCTTGGAGAAATAACAGATTCTTGTTCTTGGATAGGAAATGTACAAGGTGCCTCTGGAGCAGCTCATCGTGCCAAAAGACAAGGGAGGCACCAAAGAGTAATAGAACCGGGTCAAAAGGTGCCAAAAGCAACCTGAAGAGACTTCCACTGGCATAAGATGCCATAAACTGAGCAGCCCAATGTGTAATAACTACAGTAGATTGAAAGATATCAAAAATGTTTCCTAAATCCAGGTAACAATACTAACAAAAGAAAGGAAATGCAAATTCACTGCTCACCAAAAAAGAGTGCTAAGAAAACAAAGAAGTAAAAAAGGCTGAGTGCTGTGGCTCACACCTGTAATCCCAGCACTTTGGGAGGCCGAGGCGGGTGGATCGCCTGAGGTCGGGAGATCCAGACCAGCCTGACCAACACGGAGAAACCCTGTCTCTACTAAAAATACAAAATTAGCCAAGCGTGGTGGTACATGCCTGTAATCCCAGCTACTCAGGAGGCTGAGGCAGGAGAATCGCTTGAACCTGGGAGGCGGAGGTGGTGGTGAGCCGAGGTCATGCCATTGCACCCCAGCCTGGGCAACAAGAGCAAAACTCCATCTCAAAAAAAAAAACCCGAAAACAAAGACTGAAAATTGATATAGAAAGAAAACAAACAAACAAAAAAATACATAAGTATCCATAAAAAAAAAAAAAAAAAAAAACAAGCATTTATTCTGACTCTCTTATATGAATAGTATTTCAGGATAACCAAATAGTTGATTAGGAGAAATTTTTTATAGAATTTCAGCTAAGAAATGCAAAAGGAAAATTGTACACATACTGAAAAGTAGGTAGGATAATGGAACAAAGCTCTAGATATTCGTTGCCCAGCTTTAACAAGTACTAACATTTTTCTAATCTTATCTCATCTGTCTACCACTTTTTTTTGTTTGAATGTTTTAAAGCAAATTTGAGCCATTATCTCATTTCACCTGTAAGTTTGTTTAAAAGGTACCTGAAAAGGTACTCTGTTATATAGTCAGAAATTATACTGCAGGTAAAATAAAACTAGATCGGATAGAAGTGACTTTTCATGAGTTATCTCACCTAACCATCTGTATTAGTCCATTCTCACACAACAATAAAGACATACCTGAGACTGGGTTATTTATAAAGAAAAGAGGTTTAATTGACTCACAGTTCCACAGGCTGTACAGGAAGCATGGCTGGAAGATCACAGGAAACTTACAATCATGGTGGAAGATGAAGGGGAGGCAATTACATCTTACCATGGCAGACCAGGAGAGAGCGAGCTAAGGGGGAAGCACTACACACTTTTAAACCATGAGATCTCATGAGAACTCACTCACTATCATGAGAACAGCACAGGGAAACCTGCCCCCATGATCCCATCACCTCCACCAGGCCCCTCCCCCTCCGACATTGAAGATTACAAATCGACATGAGATGTGGGTGGGGACAGAGCCAAACCATGTCACCATCCAATCAACTTACAGAGCCTTGAAGAAATTTAAAAGACAAATTCATTTTCATGAGCAAGATGGGGGAAGGGTACAACAACTGACCACTGCTCTCAAAATGGACATAGAGCCCAAGAAGCAATTGAGACCAATAAAAATTGTTATTACGGCCTGCAGTTACCAGGCCGTAGTGCATTTCAACTTGACAATAAAAAGCAGCTTTATTTACCTTTCTAAGTAAATCTTGGGCCTGGGACTATTCCTGCCATCCCCACCACAAGGTGATTCTCAAGTATATCTATGAAGGAATCAAAACAAAAGGTCACAAAGGAGACCTATTTGATCTCAGAAATTTTCCTTTATATGATCTAATCTCTTCTTTCCCCTTAGATGAGTTATTTAAAACTTCTACAAATAAATCCACTCTCCCAGGTGAGCACAAAGTGACTAGTATAACTGCCCTCTATATCCAAGAAATTGATTTTTTGTTAGCGTTTAAATTCTTCAGAATCCAGAGGAAGGCTGCAAAGAAGCTTGTGGCATTATAGTTGCTGTTATCACTGTTATCCTGGCCAATGTAAGTATGTTTTAAAGCCCACAGGTTGACATTCCGATGAATTCAACAAAATGATTTCACAGCAACAAATTAGAGAAAACATGCATCTATACATGTTAATGTAAAATTTTATTTTTCCAAGGACTCAAGCTCAGGACTTTTATGTCTCGATTTTTTTTTAATTTCCTCTCATATTTTCAATATCATGGCTAAAACTTTTTTATAAATCCTTTTTCACCCACTCTTATTTAATTCTAAATGATATTCTCCATTTGCCTTCATTACAGAAATCTCTAGTCCCCAATCTGAAAGAGAAAAACTATCTACATAATTCCAGAAAAAGAAGTTTCACTCTTTTATTTGTACCCTGTTAGTATCCTACCTGGTATGAATACTAGAATTATAACACAGAAAAACAAAAGGGCAGCAATATATCTTCTTTGAGACACATAGAAGGATCATTTCCCCAAAAATATTTTTTCTATTTTTATACCATAATTCTTGAAATTCACAGTCACTTGTGGGGGGTAAGTGAATGCTATGGTTTGAGCGTCTTCTCTCAAAACACATGTTGAAACTTGGTCCCCAATGTGGCAATGCTAAGAGGGAGGGCCTTTAAGAGGTGATTGAATCACAAGGGCTCTGCCCTCATAAATGGATCAATCTATTTATGTATTCATGGATACATAGATCAGTGGGTTATCATGGGAGGGGTAGTGGTGGTTTTATCAGGAGAGGAAGAAAGGCTTGAGTTAGCATGTTAGCACACTCAGCCCCCTCACCATGTGATACCCTGCCACTCTTCAGAGAGTCCTCACCAGCAAGCAGGCTCTTACCAGATATGGACTTCTCAGCCTCCATACATTGCTTTCCTTTATCAATTACCCAGTTTCAAGTATTCTGTTATTAGCAGCAGAAAATGGACTAAGACAGTGAAAAAGACATTTTAAAAGGAAAATGTATTACTTATATGAACAGTTTATCAGCCATTTTACATTCATGAACACAGTAGCCCAGATGGGCCTTTCCGTCCAGCAGGCAACAAGGCAGATTCATCTCTCGTGGGCTGTTGGTGTGGTGGGAGCTCCTAGGAGTGGCACCCGGGGTGAGTCCTAGAGGGTGCAGGCTCTGGCACACCAGAACAACATGCAAAAACTCAGGTGAGAGGCAGGGCCCCGTGTAGGGGATGGATGTCTAAATGCACATCACCCATTTGACAAATTCATTCCAAAGACACTGCTCTAGCTGCTTTGAGGAACATAAAAATGAAATGAATCCTGAGGCTGGGTGTGGTGGCTCACACCTGTAATTCCAGCACTTTGGGAGGACAAGGCAGGCAGATCACCTGAGGTCAGGAGCTCGAGACCAGCCTGGCCAACATGGTGAAACCCAGTCTCTACAAAAAATACAAAACTTAGCCAGGTGTGGTGGCATGTGCCTGTAATCCCAGCTACTCGAGAGGCTGAGGCGGAAGAATCTCTTGAACCCAGGAGGTGGAGGTTACAGTGAGCCAGGATCTTGCCACTGCACTCCAGCCTGGGTGACAGACCAAGACTCTGTCTCAAAGAAAAGAAAAGAAAGAAATGAATCTTGAGATAATAAATCTTGAGTACTTCACACAGCACAGCATTGGTTAACTCAAATTCAAAATTTTAGGAGTACAGTTCTTAATATTACTTATTTTTGCTTCTTTCTTTACTTTCACGTGGTATCTTATGTCAAACTCTTTTAAGACATACATATATACGTTTTGTTGAGAAGTGGTTAGTACATATATGTATATACTTTGTGTGTGTATGTGTGTGCATATATGTCTTTTTTACCCATAAAATTCCAGTTTGTGATAGGAATGCTGGACACTAAGTCATGTGACTATCAGTTTCTTAGACTTGAAACTCAGCTCAGTTTAAGTCATCTTTCATGAAAGATATAGATCATTGACCAAAAGTGTGGGTGAAAGGGAGGCAGCTTTAAATCCAAAGCAAAGCCTGAAATGAACATTCTAGAAGTTAAAGAGGCACTTTGGGGTCAGAGTGCAATAGGCAAAGTAGTATAATAGAAACCCACCAGCTTTAGGGTCAAATAAACTTAGCTTTGACTCCTGCCTCTGTTGCGTCTACTAGCTGTGTGGCCTAGTATAAGTTACCTCAAAGTCTCAGCCTTCTCACCTATAAAACGGGGATAATAATACCCACCTAATGCCGTTGTTGTGAGTAGTGAATGCAATAATGTACAGAGAGTCCCAAACATGTAAAATGTCCTGAACAAACGACATTTGTTGCTTTTGCTACTCTTATGTCAGAAAACAAAACAAAACAATCACACAAACAAAGACCCTGGAGGAACAGTGGAGATATTTGAGTTAGTGCACAGATGTTTTCCCTCCTATTTCCACATTCCACACCACTTCAGTCTGACCCAAAAACACAGACGCCAGCCAAAAGGGAGCCCACCCAAGAATCACACAGATAGATGCCAAATTGAATTAGTTAACCCTTGATTTAAATATAAGGACATTATATTTTATGAATCAGTTCCTAAAGTCCCCCTCAGGCCACAGGTATATAATAGCCCTTAACTTTTTTTCAATGCTAAAGTACAGTAATTATAAATAAAAATATAATAAACACACATCAACCCACCCCCCCACCCAACTGCAGAATGATAGCACTTCATCAAACATGCTTCAGACTTTTTAAATAACAGAAACGAAACTTTGCAGATAAAATTGAAGTGTCTTTTGTTCCCTGCCTGAAGTTCATTCCCTTCCCACCTCAGAAGTAACCACTGTAATGAATATGGCATGGATTCTTCTGGAAAAAAAATCAATGTTTTAGACTTTTACCACATAAGTTACATGTATAAACAATATATGTATTATGTAGTTTTGCATTTTTATACAAGGATACTCTGTGTATCATTTCAAAACTTACTTTTTTACTTTCATGTTGTTTTTAACATTGGGACAATCTGGTATATAGATGTAGTTCACTGGTTTTAAATGCTATGTAGTAATTAATTTTTTTTAACCAAGGTAATACTACTTTAAAAAGGAAAAATTTAAGCCAACACTTTTCTCCAGGCTCCATGCGACATACATTTACCATTCCAGAATTGCTTCTGTCTCCTGCCTTCTTTAGGCATCTTTCCTTTTACCTATGAGTTTCTTCGTGGCATTAATGATTATAATTCATTCATTCATTCATTCATTCACCCTATATTTACTGTGAGCCTTGCTTAGGTAAGGTACCGTTTTAGGTTATGGGGATACAGAATTGATTGAATCCGACCAGGTCCCTGCCTTCAAGTAGTTTATATTCTACTGGAAGCAGCAAACAACACATAATTAATCAAATAAACAATATAGTCTCAGCTTATGATAACTTCTCTCAGAGAATGAAGACAATTATACTATGAGGATGAGGAGTGGTGGTGAGACATCCACTTTAGGTAGGGCAGGGTCCACTTCAGAAGGCCTTTCTGAGAGGTGCTTACATTTCACCGGAAATTGTAGGAACAAATACGAAAGGAGGCAGCACATGATGAGACCAGAAATCAACATTCCAGGGAAAGAACTGGGTTCTATGCCCAGTCCAACCAAAGGGCATAGACAAGCTCGCTCATGCAGTTATCACACAGAAGAGAGAGCAGCACAGTGGGAAAATAGTGAGGCAGGGAGTGAGTATTACATGATGACATCAGACAGAGCAGAGGGAGCCCTGTGGGGAATTACAAGGTGTTCAGGTTTCATTCTAAGTGATACTGGCAGCCTAAAATCATTGTAGTCAGGGGAGCTACATGATCTAACTGATTATTGTAGCTTCTGGGTAGAGAAGGATTACAACAGTTGTAGAATGGAAGCAGGGAGACCAAGCAACAGACAATGATGTGGACAAGATGAAAGCAGTGGAGATGGAAATACCTTTTGAAAAAATGATCAAGAAGACACATGGATGAATCGATCTTAGAGAGTGAAGGGGAGGAGAAGGAATCAGGGAGCTTTCCCCAGCTTTCCATCAAAGATGCTGGATATCAGTGCCATTTATTGAAATGGTAAAGTGTGGAGAGCAAAGATAGTTTGGTCAAGGGATAAATCAAGACTTCTTTCTTAAACACATTAAGTTTGCAATGACTAGATGTCTACCACATATCCAAAAGGATGCCTTGAGTAGACAATAAGTATTTTGGGCCTCATGGGAGAAGTTATAGCCAGAGACATAAATATAAACATGTAGGTATTATTTACAGCCATGAGCTAGATAAGGTCAGCTAGGGAGAGAAGGTAGATGGAGATAAGATGGTCTAGGACTGGTCTCAGGTCGCTCCAACATTTAGAGGAGGAATATGGGAGAAATTGCCACCAAAAAATGACTGGGAAACAGTAATTAAAAGGTAGGGGGAAACTATGGAGAAATCCAGGGTAATGTGGTGTAAAGGCAACTAAGGAAAGCTGTGCCTCATGGCAAGACTTTTAATGGAGTAGAGAAGATGGATCCAGCATGGAGACCATGAAGAGTGAAAAAGAGGTGATAACATTGACAGACAGAGTTTAACAAATTTTTAGGGAAATTTTGCTTTGAAGCACAGGAAAGGACTGTGGGGTCAGCAGAGGTTTGTTGTTTTGGTGTGTTCTGTTTTGTTTTGTTTTGTTTTGTTTTAATGTGAAAGATACTTGTTCTGGCATGCTTATATGGTAGTGGGATCCAGATCAGAGAAGAAAACTGATGATTTAAGGGAACAAAGTCCTCAAGAAGGCAGCACAAGAGAAGAAATGGGTACAAAAAAACGCATTTCTTTCTGGTAAATGGAACGAAGATAGATGGGTACATGTACAGTTGGGCATGTTAGGAGGTGGGAACATAAAAATGTACATCTCTGATTAGTTTCTTTTTTTCTATGGCTGGGTGACTAGCTAAGAATAGTGGGGGAAGCAGCTGGGCACAATGGCTCACGCCTGTAATCCCAGCACTTTGGGAGGCCGAGGAGGGCAGATCACGAGGTCAGGAGATTGAGACCATCCTGGCTAAAACAGTGAAACCCTGTCTCTACTGAAAATACAAAAAATTAGCTGGGCGTGGTAGCAGGCATCTGTAGTCCCAGCTACTCAGGAGGCTGAGGCAGGAGAGTGGTGGGAACCCGGGAGGCGGAGCTTACAATGAGCCGAGATCGTGTCACTGCACTCCAGCCTGTGGGACAGAGCGAGACTCCGTCTCAAAAAAAAAAGAACAGTGGGGGAAGCATGTGGAATGTTCTAGGTTGAGAAGAAATAAAGAAAAAATGTTTTTAAGAAGGTAAAAAGAGAAGTCTCTAAGAAAATTTAGCAATGTTGAGTGTAAGTTTTATGAAGGCAAGGAACTTTGTTTCCTTTGTCCACTGTTCTATCTAGCTCTGAGCACAGTGGGCATTCCATGAAAAATGTATTGGATGAACAAATTAATAAATGAATGGGGACAAGAGATGATGGACGTTTGAGTTATATCAGGGTTAATTTTGCCATAGTATTATGGTGGAGAAAGACAAGAGCAATTTTGTTGAGATAAGATGAGTACAATGATAGATCTTTACATGTAATGGATTTTGCAGGGGCCAAGGGAAAACTTCTTCTTTGCCCACTGAAGGTTCGCTTCAAATCTACTGACAAAAGACAGATTCCTAGAAGAAAGGCATACAAATTTATTAGTGCACATGAGGGAATATCAGAGTGATGACTCCATCCACTACGTAGTGGGATACCAACGGTTATATACATCTTCACAGGGGAAAGGGAGATGGGGAAGTGTGGATGATTTCAGGGGGGTAGTAAATGATTTTTAGAGGGGATTCAATTGGCTTGAAGGATGTACAATGGCCTGGGACAACATCTGTTGGGACCACAGAGCAGGCAACGGTTTGTGACATAAGCCGGTCCAGGTGCATTGATAGGCTTCAGTCTTTCTTCCTGTGATATGAATTTAGTTAATGAAAACTCAGGGAAGAAACAAAAGGCAATGGTTCTCTTCTTTGGCAGGTTGGTACTTTAGGCAGATAATGGAACTCCGGAGAACAACTTCATCCTGTGCTTCGGGAGAAACAGAGGTTGAGAGACAGGAGCAGGGAAGCTCAGAGAGACCTTGAGACTCCTTCAGCTCAGCATGTCAAAGTGCCACATTTTGGGGTACTGACATTATCGAACTGGGTGAAGATCAAGGAAAAGGATGATTTATTTAGCCAGTGAAGTTGTGTTTCTCACCAAAAAAGCTTCCATAAATGTAATACATTAAATGGGCTAAAACACAAGAGGTGGCAGGCAACAGGATGATTACATTAAGACTTTGGAGGTGACGCAGGTGTGAGTGATGAACAGGTCTTGGATTAATTATGGATGAAGCCAAGTGAGAAAATAATTATTAGGAACAAGAGAGTCTAGGAACCATGAGGCCAAGGTATAGAATGGGTCATCCATGTGGTTGGTTGAAGTCTCAGCACATTGTTATAGAAATGGGAGAGGAGAAGAAAGATAATGGAGCAGGGGTGGTAGCAGATGGCATGACCCTCAAAACATGGCCTTCAGCAGGGAAAGCAACAGTCTAAAAGTGGCAATAGACAGCAAGGAAGCATATCTTCTAGCTCCTGCTCCTGAGCTAGGTGAAGCTGGGGGGGGAAAAAAACCACCTTCACTTAAGAGAGGAGCAGGGAAAGTATCCTCAAGGAAGATGTGTTTCAGTTGAGGAATGGAGACAAAGAACACATTCAGAGGAGAGACAGCCACTGCAGGAGGCATCACTATCCCCAATTAGGAGCTCCAGACACTCCCAGAACCAGTCTAGGGAAGAATTCAGCTACCTCTGGGAGGAGCAGGCTGAATAGAAATGAGAATCTGGGGCCAATGATGGATTGAGGTAACTTGGACCTTAGTGAAATCAGGGATGGAGTCTAATGGAACTAATTCTGACTGTCTCTTGAGAGGAAGAAAAGAAGGATTCGACTGCAGTCCACATTCTTAGCAGGACTATTTCTCACTTTTGCCTTTCTCCTCAAACCCCCACTTTCTCCTCATTCTCAATGGATGCCTCTTCATACTTTACTAAGAAAACAAATACTTTCCCTTCAGCCATTTATATCTCTAATCCCATATAACACTTCCCCCTCTTCCCAGCTTCTAATAAAGTTGCTTTGACACAATAAAAGATATCCTTCTTTTTCTCAGAGTTAATTCTTGGAGTTAAACACTGAACAAAATATAAAGATTAAAATGGGGAGATTTTTCAGAAAATCAGACAAAATTCTTTAAGAGTGCTTGTTTGTCAAGAAAGCATACATGTATTTAGTCCCAGCATTTTACCTGTGCATGTGCACCATTAAAGACAGCTTGAAATATGTCTACAGTATGTTATTCAGGATGAATTCTGAGGAACACCAAAAACTGAAATCTTTTGCCTAAAGACAGAGTCTCACTCTGTCACCCAGGCTGGAATGCAGTGATGCAATCATAGCTCACTGCAGCCTGGACCTAATGGGCCCAAGCGATCCTCCCACCCCAGCCTCCCAAGTAGCTGCGACTACAGGTGGTCACCACCATGCCCAGCTAAATTCTTTTATGATTTGTAGAGATAGGGTCTTGCCATGTTGCCCAGGCTTGTCTCAAACTCCTGGGTTCAAGCCATCCTCTCACCTTGGCCTCCCAAAGTGCTGGGATTACAGACATGAGTCACCACACTTGGCCCCAAGATGATCTTTATATCCTCTCTGTGGCTTGCCCATGAGTGTTTCCATTGCATCCATTCTGTCATTTAGAATTCAGGCTACTGAACAAGAATCAACAACTATAATCTAATCCAGTGATTCTCCAAATATAGTCCCCAAACCAGAAAAATCAGCATCACCTGGAAACTTGCTGGAAAGGCAAATTTGAGAACTACTGTCTCTCCCAACTTTTAACATCAATTAATAATCAAAAGTTCTTGGAGATTATGCTAGCAGTAGAAGAACCATAGTTTTATGACATCTACAAACCTTGAGAATGGTGCAAATCTATAATCACTGCCTTAGAAGATGTGGGATGTAGAAAGAGCTATACGGATCCAATCTTTCCATTTTGCAGATGAGAAATGTGATTCCTAGACAGACTATTAATTTGCATAAGGCCACAGAGCTACCAAGGACAGAGCAAGATCCTTAAGGAAAAAATCAAAACCCAAACTAATTTTAAACATTACTATTTTTCTCTTAGGACACTTAAAGATTATATGTGAGAGACCAAAATGGCCTAAAATACTATTTAAAGCTAGAAAATCCCATTTGCAAACATTTTGAATGGACTGTCCTCTGTTTTCCGTCCTCAAGGAAGTTGCAGTTATACTCTTTTAATATTCACATTATTTTAAGGCCTCCCCATGTGATTGATCCTAATTCCATGGCTTCTGTACAGTTGGGGCTCTGTCGTCACCACCATGTAGTATTGGCACCGGACAATAGAAAGTACCAATAACTGGCCTGTTTGATCTTTTGCAGTTCTCAGTCTTTCTAACAGCAATAATCAGGCAGAAGGATGAAAAGACTGATTTTCAGGGAATTAGCATGATAAGCAAGAACACAAAATCAATCCCAATCCTTGTGAGGCCGCCTCTGATTGCTTTGAACTGTCAAAAAATGGCAGAATCAAATTGAAAGTGCTTGAGGTTACGGGAGTGATTTGTTCAAGAAGAGATCGCTAGAGCAATTGACACAGCTCTTGAGACAATAATTGGGTTATCAAAGAGAAAACAGTTCAAGTACCACAGGGGTGAAGGCTTATTTGCATTGGATTTTCATACAGCCAGGCTCACCTCAGTTTGAAAGCCTCCATTTTTATATACTTGAAGATTAAAAGGACTCAAAATTGCATCATTATCATTGGAAACTTTGGTTCTTAGAATATTGCTTTTTATTAAACCAGTAAAACTTTCAGACCATTTTCTAAAATATACATATAGCCAACTTAAAAATCAGAATCATTTTTTTAAAAAGTCAGGTTCTTGTGCATATTATTCTATCTCCTTTGGTTCTGAAACCAAAGAAAAAGACAAATTTACCTCCATCAAATACCTCTGCCTACGAATGTGTTTTTGACACCATCAAGTCGTCCTGCCTCCAAAGGTACTGAAACCCTGAACTGGTTCCTTCCGCCCTCAATCTTCTTTTAAAATTTCACCAAGGAGTAAATGCCTCATCCTTACTTCCCATATTACAATATTTATATAGTTAAGCCTTTTCATGTTCAGGAATCCCATGGTGAAACTATTTAAGACCAATGGGCTTAGAGAAGTTTTCAGCCAATGGAAGCTCATGCTGAGCGCTTTTCTCTGGCTCATCTCTGTGTTGAGAGCTGAGAAAGAGCCAAATCAGTGAGAAGATCCTGGCACGACTTCTTTGCCACCATGGTTACCTTGTAACACGCAGTACATCACTTTGTGCATTTTCTCTTCCTTGAGTCTCTGGGGGGTGTGAGTGATCCTGTGGGGTGGGGTACTGTGATTCTTCTGCTCTGCTATTTTCTCTCTTCCTGGCAAATTAGGGTTGCACTGTGCTCAAAATACAGAGCATCATTCACAGTGTGCTGACTCTTCTGAGCATATGCCTTCTCCTTAGCATCTAAGCACTTCTGGGCAAAAAAAAAAAAAAAAAAAAAAAAAACGCCGAGCTAAATTAGAGTTTTGTGTTTAATTCCCGGCCACTGAGATGTGAGTAAGGTGACGTAAATGTGTATTTTGTTTCCTCGTTTGTTGCAAAGGGAAAAATACAAAGTAACCATATTCTTCCAAACAGTGGAAAAGATTTCATCAAGGTTGGTGGGATCCTGTTACTCCAGAAAGGCTGCAGTTTGCAGAGTGTAGGGAAAACCTTGGTTTTGCCATTACCGTGGATTTCATAAACTATCTTTGATACACATTTAAAGAAGCAAATCTGAACCCCCATTATTTAGTATTATATAAGCAAGTTAAATTAGATGCTGGTTACATTAAAAATTCCAAGTAAGTTTAACCCAGCTCAAGAGTTTTTGATCATTACATTCGCCAACAAAAGATGATCTTGCTGATTTGCTTACATCATCCTGCTATAATAAGAAGTGCAAAAAAATTTTTTCTCCAATAACAAGACATATTGTTAGACAAACAGAACACAGAAACACACACATATAGGAGACATGAATGAGCACGGAATCTATTAAAAGACTTAATTTTATTTGATGAAATAACTTAAAATTCATTTTTCTTTAAAAATATCAGTGTTACCTTGGGAAAGTCATTGCTTTTGCTAATGTCAATATTAAAAAGAACCACCGGCTGGGCATGGTGGCTCACGCCTGTAATCCCAGCACTTTGGGAGGCTGAGGTGGGTGGATCACGAGGTCAGGAGTTCGAGACCATCCTGGCCAACATGGTGAAACCCCATCTCAACTAAAAATACAAAAATTAGGCCAGGCCGCAGTGGCTCATGCCTATAATCCCAGCACTTTGGGAGGCTGAGGTGGGCAGATCACCTGAGGTCAGGAGTTCGAAACCATCCTGGCCAACATGGTGAAACCCCATCTCTACCAAAAATACAAAAATTAGGCCGGGCACAGTGGCTCACGCCTATAATCCCAGCACTTTAGGAGGCCGAGGAGGGTGGATCACAAGGTCAGGATTTCAAGACCAGCCTTGATAATATGGTGAAACCCCATCTCTACTAAAAATACAAAAATTAGCCAGATGTGTGGTGCACGCCTGTAATCCCAGCTACTCTGGAGGCTGAGGCAGAAGAATCACTTGAACCTGGGAGATGGAGGTTGCAGTGAGCTGAGATCGTGCCACTGCACTCCAGCCTGGACAACAGAGAGAGACTCTGTTTCAAATAAATAAATAATAATAATTAGCTGGGTGTGGCAGTGCCTGCCGTAATCCCAGCTACTCAGGAGACTGAGGCAGGAGAATTGCTTGAACCTGGGAGGCGGAGGTTGCAGTGAGCCGAGATCATGCCACTGCACTCCAGCCTGGCCAAAGATCTAGACTCCGTCCCAAAAAATAAATAAAAATAAAAAAACCACCACCTCCAAAAACTAAGTAAATGAAATAGGAAGTATTTAATAAGCAAAATCAGATGAAAATTAATCAAGGTAGTGTGTTGCTGGCTACATGACTATTCTCGAATCACAAATACTACCTAAGGACCTGCTCCAGCTGCATGGAACTCTCACAGCTGGTGGCTCAATCGACCACTTAAACACTCCAGCTGCAGAACCTACACACAATTCTTGAGGGGAAATCACCCACCTTCTCCAGCTGCAGAATGCCTAATTGGGCATTCCAAGCTTCACACTTGGCAGTTTGACTTGATCCAACATTGCTTATATAATAGCTGAGTTGTTGACAGTGTCCTAGAAAAAAATCCCTTGAGAGGGCTTAAAACAGTCCCTAGGGAATCATGAACATGCCCCATATTTGTTGAATAATGTTGGAAGTGTTTTTAACTGGATGGAATAGATAATACATAGATGCTTTGTTGCTACAAGGACAAGGGGATTTATAGAAATTTTAACTATCTTTGTAAAGTTTTGGTGAACAATGACTCACTATCACAGACTAAGATACTTGACATACAAACACAACGGCTCCTCCTTTAACTCAATCAATTTCATTTTCTTCTCACTTCATTTTTAGTTTTGTGAATACATGTACATAAACAGTCTGTAAAATAGATTCCTAATTCATTTTAATTTGGTGTCCCCATTACTTGAAACTCATCATAGAGTAGCTGTAGCCACTAAGGTAGAAATACAATTTCAACAGTGCTCTCAGAACTTGGGATCTTCTTAGAGCTGAAAACTGTAGACTTTAAGTAAAGAAAGGCACAGTTATGTGGAAGATCCCAAAAATGAATTCTTAGATATTTACCTCCCTATGAAAATACTCCCTATTGGTAAAGATAAAAAGGGGAATTTGTTCATGGAAAATAAGCACGGTTCTTGCTCTGGTTTGAATGCATGTGTTCCTCCAAAATTCACATGTGGAAAACTAGTACCCAATGTGATAGCATTAAGAGGTGGGGCCTTTGGTGAAGTGATTAAGTCACTCCCATTTCCATGAAAGGGATTAGTGCTTTTACAAAAGAGGCTTCAGAGAGCTGCCTGGCCCTTCCACTGTTTCCACCCTGTGGAGAACACAGCATTCATCTTTTTACCCTTCTGCCTTTTTTGCCCAATGCTGCCAGATGATGCCCTCACCAGCCACTGAATCTGCTGGCACTGTGGTCTTGGAATTTGCAGCTTCCAAAACTGTGAAAAATAAATTTCTATTGTTTATAAATTACTCGTCTCAGGTATTTTGCTACAACAGTATCAACAGACTAGGACAGTTGTGTTTAAAAAAAAAAAAAGAAGTATGAAAAGGAAGAGAAAAGAAAGTAATATTAAACGTATTATTTGCCATGTATTTTGCATGTATTATTTTATTAATTCTATACAGCAAGTCTTAGATATAAACTGGATTATTCCCATTACATAGAGAGGGAAAGTTGAGGCTTATGGAGGTTAAGCAATTAAAATAACAAAATCAGTAAGTGGTAGGGTCAGAAAGCAAAGCCATACCTATCACCCTCAAATACCCATATTCTTTCTCCTCCATCTACCTGCCAATTAGAATTAAGATGATAATGAAGAATGTGATATAAAAATCATCACCATTTAACCCCCCATATAATCTGACATATCATTCCAATTCTATAGTTATGTCTAATAAATTTAATCAAAGCAGGGCCAAATAAATATCTCAGAGAAACAACTGGGGAATATGCATACTCCATTTATCAGCTGTGCAATCATAAGGTGCTTCGTAATTCAAGGCAAATTTTTCAGCGTTCCCAAGTTCCACTTCACAGACAAAAGTGTGTGCAACAGAATTGGGGAAGAGACCCCCTACTTCAACAAAGTCAACAAAAGCATTACATAGAGATAAAAACTCTGTCTTCAAACCACAGTTCATTCACTGGGACTGGCCAATTCCCTCTAAGGATTTAATTTCACTTTCTTTTTTGTTTTTTCCAACTCTATGGATCTATGTTAGAAAAAATATTACATGCTTATCCCTTAACACATGGATGAAGATCCACATTGATTAATACATGGAGTTGGTCATGTCCATCCCACTAGAGGTGCCAGCATCAGCAGCTCTGACTCCATGTTAGCCAGGCGGCTCAGCTCTCTCTCACTGCATGAACAGTGCTCTTATCTGCAACTGTCTGGCAAGCTCATGCCCTTATGCCAGGGAATAGATGGTTAGCCCAAACCTGCCATCAGCTCAAATGCAAATGAAGGTAAGTTGATCGTACTGTCTTTATAAACAAAGAGGATGTCAATTTTCATAATATCATTTTCTATTTCCAATATGAACATCTCAGTAATCTTTAATCAAGTCGTAATTTCTGAGTTCATTCCAGTCTCATGGGCCTCAGAACTGTGCTTCAGGGCAGAAGAGAGAATGGCTGGAATAATGTGCTAGAGGATACGGGCAGCTACGCAGCAGACACTGCTATGGGCACCCTTGGCTCCTCCATTCCCACCCTTCCTACCTCCTCCTCTTCCCCAAAGATTGGGTTAGTGGCTTGGGTAACCTTCTGTTTCCCAATTTCCCGAGCAATATTTTATCAGGAGCTTGATACTCATTTTACTAATTGCTAATTAACCAAGACCAATCCCTTAAGAATTTTTGACAATGTAAGTAAAAAAAAAAAAAAAAAAAAAAAAAAAAAAACCTACTTCCACTTCTTGTATGAAGTGTAGGACAAATGCCTTACTTCAATGTAGAGCTGAAGGTTATACGTAAGAGATGTATGTAACTCAGATGTCATGATGGCTCCTGAGCACTAAGGGAACAATTAAGATTCTCTATTAAGAGTCCATGGCCTACTGAAAATTTTAGAACCTCTCTCTGACATACAAAAGTGCTAACAATAGCTGAATTAAAGGTTACGTACCATCTAACCACAAGCTTTCAAGCTTTCAACAAATTATTGCAGAAATAAAGAACAACCAGTTAGGATCTAAAACTTGAATAAATAAAACAGACACTAAGTTCCTCTAGCAAGTAGGTCAGTGAATATTATAAAATGTTACCGTTTCTACCAGTTTGGGAAGGGGAAAAAAGGTTTATGCCGTACATTCAAAATATTCAATTCATAGTAAAGCTCAGTTATTGGTAACATACATGGTAATCATCAGTTAGGAAATCAAAATTGAATTGAACGAAACCCTCTATCATGGAAGACATATTTTGGGGCAGAGCATGGTTAATCTAGCAATTAGATCAACTGAGCCACAAGGAGTTTCATGTTATTTAGGGTCGAAATCTGATTAAAGATTGCTTCAGAGCAGAGAAGGGAAAAGGAAACCAACATGGTGAACATGTTTTTTTAAAATATACAATTCTGGACATTTTAGATCTATCATCTAAATATATCCCCTCAACAAAGGCACTGAATATGTGTGTTTCTATTATTATTGGCAGGGGAAACATAGTAATGTGGAAAAAAATCTATTTTATCCAAAGTGTTGTTAATCAAGTTCTAGAAGCCCTCGCTATAAGATGGCCTCATCTACAGGGCAGCCCCATGGCATGGAACCAAGGGGCAATGTTTTGGCACAGCCTTACAGTATTTTGTAAGGTTAATACAAAACATTCTTTGCTTTCCAGATGATACAACAAATTTGTAAAGCTCCAGTGAGTCACAACCAAAATGTGCTTATGAGTATTTTATATCAACACGATCCATTTTCAATGGTTTCTCAGTTTTTTAAAAATGGGGTGACTGTGTCTGGTCAGTATCCATAACCTTCCTATGAAGATGTAAAAGAAGCAGATGTCTGCATCCCCATTGGGCCAAAAAGGAAGACACAGAACACAGCATGCACGTATTTTAAACTCGGGCGCGGTGGCTCACGCCTGTAATCCCAGCACTTTGGAAGGCCGAGGCAGGCGGATCACGAGGTCAGGAGATGGAGGCCACCCTGGCTATCACGGTGAAATCCCGTCTCTACTAAAAATACAAAAAATTAGCCAGGCGTGGTGGCAGGCGCCTGTAGTCCCAGCTACTCGGGAGGCTGAGGCAGGAGAATGGCGTGAACCCGGGAGGCGGAGCTTGCAGCGAGCCGAGAGAGCGCCACTGCACTCCAGCCTGGATGACAGAGCGAGACTCAGTCTCAAGGAAAAAAAAAAAAAGAATGCCAGTCATCTTTTTCTTACAACCTCTAAAAACTTTGAGATTCAATAAATCAATGTATACATAGTCTACCTCGTCTACCCACTCCTTGAAGACACAGAAAGATGTTATTGGAAACGATCCCAAGATGGAAGACATCTTGCTCTCAAGAAGTCTTAAGTACAACTGAGCTTGCTAGCAAAACTAACCCAGGTTTTCCTCATTTGTCTTTGGAATGCACCCCAAAGGCTAAGACTATTTATTTTATCACATTATAAGGGAGCGAGCTTACGAGTCAGGTAAGTCCGTTTATTATAATGACCAAACCTTCTTGAAATACTTTAAAAACGGTGCTGTGTGCTAAGTCAAATCAAAATCTCGCAGAGGAAAAAAATAATAGGAAAGGCTTCTGATGTTTTATTAATGACCTTCTATCTAACCAGTCCCTGAAAAAAAAAGAGAAACCATTTCTATAACCATGGAATCTAGCAAGCAGGCATCATGAACTTGCATGCCAGGGAGAAGATATGATGAACTCCAGCGCAGAATCATATTGAATCAGGTTCAATTCAGGACATAAAATGAAATGAGAAGCCCAAACTAATTAGATTGTAATGAGCAGTTCATATGCCTTATGTCGTTTTATCACGTGCAGTAGGTGCTGTATCCCTACAGTGAATGACTTCAAGCAAGTCATCAGCTTGTACTGTGTTCAAGAATGCTAATCAGAAGGAAAAGGGTCTTTTTATGACATGCTTGAAGAAAACAAGATTGATTGTAGCTTCTTGATCATAGCAGCACCAGTGGAATGGTTTTATCTCTATTAAACTTCACTTGTGTTTCTGGAAAGCATGGAGTGTCCTAATGAGACAGGCAGAAATAAAGGAGTTCATTAGTATGAAATTGCTAAAGTTGAAATGTGATATAACAAGTTGGGAGCTGATATTCTGAAGAATGTTCAGAGTATGGGTCTGAAACTTCAAATGTGAGCCACAGGTACCATTTTGGTTTCCTTGGCCTCTGCTTCTCCCCTCTCAGCTACCACATTATTGTTCAGTGAATTTTCAGTGCTGTGGCCCAGGGGGAGTTTAATTGTATCATAAATACCTCATAGAAAAGCATTTTTTGAAAATTCACCCTTTTCATAAGGTCCCAAAGTGACTTTCAGTGTACCATGACCTTGAGGGAATAAGATCAAACTAAGTAAAGAGAAACACAGACTAATAAAGGCAGTTTCCTTTTCTGTGTGCAAGTTATTTGCCCGTTTGCTCTTGATCCATGAGGCACCCTTCACCGGCTCTGCTCTGTATCTCTGGGAACCACATTTCCTAGGATCCCTTGCCAATTGAACTTTGGTTTAATCAAGAGGAGGTACTGGCAGAATCCTGAAAGAAGAAAAATAGAGATGATTCTGGCTATTTTTTCTGCTCTTTCTCTGCTTTGATCTGTGCCTCTGGCAATGACTATCTTCACTATAATTCTGGCTCTCATTAAAGGAGCCCCTCCCTCAGTGGTCACAGCTCCTGCAGGAAAGTCCCCACCATGGTTCTAGTTCCCGAAGGGTGGTCCGTATTTCCGACCTCATTTCCCCCTGTAGGGGTGGTTACAGCTTCTTTTTTTTTTTTTTTTTTTTTTTTTTTTTTTTTTTTTAAAGAGACAGAGTTTCACTCTTGTTGCCCAGGCTGGAGTGCAACGGCGCGCTCTCAGCTCACTGCAACCTCTGCCTCCTGGGTTTAAGCAATTCTCCTGCCTCAGCCCCCCAAGTAGCTGGGATTACAGGCATGCACCAACACACTCAGCTAATTTTGTATTTTTAGTAGAGACGGGGTTTCTCCATGTTGGTCAGGCTGGTCTCAAACTCCCGACCTCAGGTGATCCACCCACCTCGGCCTCCCAAAGTGCTGGGATTACAGGAGTAGCTGAGATTACAGGCATGCACCAACACACTCAGCTAATTTTGTATTTTTAGTAGAGACGGGGTTTCTCCATGTTGGTCAGGCTGGTCTCAAACTCCCGACCTCAGGTGATCCACCCACCTCGGCCTCCCAAAGTGCTGGGATTACAGGAGTAGCTGAGATTACAGGCATGCACCAACACACTCAGCTAATTTTGTATTTTTAGTAGAGACGGGGTTTCTCCATGTTGGTCAGGCTGGTCTTGAACTCCCAACCTCAGGGGATCCACCCACCTCGGCCTCCCAAAGTGCTGGGATTACAGGAGTGAGCCACCACGCCTGGCCTACAGCTTCCTATTGTTTCTAATTTCTGGGTTGCCTCACCATCACTTCATTAACACTTCTGTCATCTGTGTAACCAACTCCCTGTACTCAATTGCCTCTGTTTGAAAAACCTAGAGTGGCTTCTGTTTTCCTGCCTGGACCATGATTGACAGAATGATCTTGTTTAAAACTTCCTTCTCATGAACAGCATCCCTTTGAAAATATCCTCATGAGAAAATGACCACAGGAAATAGAAAAGAATTCCTGAAAGAAAAAGCTTTACACAAAGCTTTGACTATTCTCCCCCAATATGGCTATTTCTTTGTAAGTCTGCTACAAGGTTCTTTTAAAGTGACAATTAGAAGTCCTTGAACATTTAAATAGCTGCAACCTTCTAATCTACAAATTTTCTCTAAGTGATTTATGTTCTATTTAATTTGCTGCTAAAATTATATTTTTCATGTTCGTATTTAACATATCTTTGATAGTTTTGATGCAACACATACAAATTTCATCAGCAGTTTAGTATGGTAAAATAATTGTGTAACAAATTTTAAGGTTAAAAAAATGAATGGGGGCTATATTTTATGCCTGTGTGAGTTAAGAGATATATTTTGGATAGGAAAGGAAAGACATTCCCCCCACTCTCATTTTTTTCTATCCCTTCTTCTATCAGAAAACATGAACCAACCAGAATAGTCTTATTTGTAATTTGAAAAGAAGAGAACTGGGTAAATATTTAGCCTATCCTTAATTATCCTTTCTAATACTGAATATTTACATTTCTACATAGTTGGAATTTTCTCTCAGTGATTTGGCAACTATAAATTATCCTTGCCCTTCAGACTCCCGGGTTCCACCAGCAACACGTTAACAGTTGAGTCAGAAGTCTGCAGTTTCGTTATTAACAATGAAAACTGGTTTTAAACATGAATACCCTGACTTGCTGTTACCGCAGTTACTTTATATTTACATTTAAAAATATTAATACAAGAAGCCCTTTGTTGCTTGCTGATGCCAAAGTATCCAAGTTCCAAAAGCCCATTTTGAAAATCTCTTACCAAAATTCATTTAATACATCAGAAGTGCCCAACAGAGGGACATCATGGAAAATTGCCCATAGTTTTTAAGAAGTGAAAATACAGGCAGTCCTCATTTTTAATATGGAGGGTTGGCCAATCAACCATGGCTTTCCTCAAACAGTGACTTGATCGGACTCCATCTCACTAATAGGAAGCACCACAATTAGTGTTTCTAGCTTAATTTTTGCTCATCACCTTTCTTCCAGTGTATGTCCAAATAATATTTTGAATTTAATCCATGCCTGACAAAATCAGCCTGAGGTGAAGGACCTGGTCCATAGGGGTTTTCCCTGGGGCTAGAAAGATCTAAGAACTACTTCAGATAAAAGCCTCAGCTTCAAAGAAGCTGAGCAATCTAACTAGCAGTCCTGACACCTTCCCTTTGAAAAAGAGTGAGTGTTTTAGTTTGCTAGGGCTATCATAACAGAATACAACAGACTTGGTGGCTTAAACAACAGAATTTCATTTCCTCACAGTTCTGCAGGCTGGGAAATCCAAGGTCAAAGCGTAAGCAGGGTCGTCTTCTCCCTGTGTCGTCACGTGGTCATCCCTCAATCTGTGTTGTTTGTGTTTAATCACCTCTTCTTATAAGGACAAAAATGGATTAGAAGCTACCCTCATGACTTGATTTTACTTACTTACGTCTTCAAAGACCCTGTTGTCTTCAAATATAGTCACATTCTGAGGTACTAGGGGTTAGGGCTCAAACATATGAATTTCAAGAAGACACAGTTCAGCCCATAAAAGTGAGGTTGGAGAAATTTGTCTTTGCTGCCCTCATACTTGCCTTGTTGCAAACTTTTCCTCCCCTAGTGGTTCACTCACCCAGTAGTTTCATTCTTAAAGATCTTTTACTTTCAGTTCTACCAAAACTTTTGAATAGGATATGAAAAGCTCATGTTATATTATGACTTAAGTGACAACTAAATTTTATGTATTAACTTTTTCAAGTAGATTTGCTTTGAAATAGGAGGCTAAGTGCTAATCAAAAAAAAAAAAAAATGCATTTCTGAAATTTCAGGCACCAGCAAACCAAACCAAGGTGGTGTGGTATGTTGTGTCCTTCCCCTTGCCTTTGAAAACACATCACATAGGAAGCCATCTCAGTCACCTACTTGTAAAGGCAACTATGGTCCTTGCTTCCCTATGCTAACTGTCATCGTAATCATTCAAGCCTACCTAACATATTTTCTTTATTGCATTTATTGAGTGCCAGTGGGATGCTACATCCAAAGAAGCTGGTAAAAGTTGGTAAGTAGTGCTCAAACACAAATCTCCAACTCAGAGCTATTAGAAATTATGTTTATGATTCAATAAATGGGTTGTTGTTTTCTTTTTTAACTATTGCCCAAACTGTGCCCCAGCATGACCCGGCTGGACTAATCCAGATAGAGGTACTATTTTGGGATGCCATCAATATAAGCTTCTGGCTATTTCTAGTCATTAAACATCCCATGGAACTTTTCATAACACTGAGGTTTTTAATCTTCAGCTTCTGGCCAAATTCCAACTGGAAACATTACGTTCTGCTTACTGTACCTAAACCCTCTCATATGGAAGCATGAGGGAGCTCTTTTATTGTATCATCTCCACAATTAAACTGCAATCTATAGATGTCTGTGTCGTTTTTAACATGGTAGAATGCAAGTTTATATAATTCTATAAGTTGCATTCCTGATCAAACAATTCAGTCATTACATTTCTTCAGGGTCTTTGGCATAAGCTGTGTGCTAACATGCATTTGATAAGTGCTAAATGTTATGTCGTCTTGAATCACAGGGAGTAGAACCCAGGAGTTCACCATAAAATTCTCTTTTCTAACAACAGGAAAATAGAACCTTTCTGCCTGAATTTCATTATTGCTCACATAGTTGTTTAGGAATTTGGTTTCAACTCAGAAACACACAAAATGTTACAGGCAACTTGAATTCATTAGGTTCTTTTGATTATATGGGAAGTTCAGAAGAATGAAAGCCCGGTCTTCCAATACACCATATCAAAATGAGTGGAGTTTCCAGTTTATAGTTATAAGGGGAAAAGAATATCAGTTTTTCAAAGGTCTGGTCACCTAACAATCAAAAGTTAAGCAAAATGATCTCACTGAGGAGGCCTTTACATGGGCCCAAAGTAATAGCTGTTCTCACCAGAGAAGGGATTTGGCAGGCATCTAGTCTCAAACCTAGGATGGGGAACTAGAAACACTGGGCACCAAACTAGGGCAAGAGTGGAGGGCACTGGGATGGAGCCTGCCAGCTTTTGCCAGTCTCAGCTTCATGGATGAAAAGGGTTCAAAGTTGTCTGCATAAGAGAGCAATTGAGGTGAGTGAGCCAGGTAGGCGGCCTTTTGTTCCATTTCTGTTCAAGTAGCCTGACATCTCTTGGGCAGTACGGGTTGGGTAATGAATCATTTTACAGCTGAGGCATATAAAATTTTCTTTGCAAAACACCTAGACTTATTCTTTCCTTGTGATTCCCGCTCAAATGATTTCAGGAGGTTCATGTGTCTATAACTATCACAGGTGAGGTCTGCGTCTGCACAATCCCACAAGGACAGAGCAGCCAAACTCATAGAAAAGCTTCTCCAGGACCAAATTCAATGGTGTCCCTTTGTAACCCTTTTTAAACTCTTATATCAAGAATACAGAATTCATATAGCCAACCTGCAATCCCTCACCATATTTGGAGCCCTGATTCCCTTTTTCCATGTACAGGGACAATGAGGAACAGCAATCCTGCAGCTTCAAGATCCAGTTCATTTACAAAGATATTTTTCTCCTATGTAACTTTGTTTTATTACTATCAAAATAGCACTTTTATGTGACTGAACAGATCTTCAAATGGAATCGAGCTTCAAGTATTAGACGGATTTCCTTCTGGTCAATAGGACAGTAAATAATGTGGCTTGCCAAATTCAGATGCAAGACAGACTTGATCTAAACTAAGATAGCTTAGAAAAAATAGAGATACAAAGCTTTAAAGAACGAGTATATACGTGGTATTTTATTGTACATTTAATTCCAAGAATTTTCACTCCTTCTCAAGAAGATATAACAAACTGGAAAACTATGAAAATGTATTTGGTGAAAGCCTAGGAGTGATATTCTCATTTAAGCTGTTTCCATTTTTTTCCCTCTTCAGATTTTGAAGCACTGTCTTTAAAACTGTAACATACCCAGAAGGGTTGGCAGAATTGGGACTGGAATAAAATAGGATACAATTTGTAAAATCATCTTCATATATTTGAATAAGGTATGCTTCCCCCTCTCAAACTTACTCTGTAAAATGGCTCTTATAGCAGTTGTTAACACCATAGTGTGAATATGAGGCAATGTGCTATCTCTCTGAGTAATATTTGCATTTTGGATCTCATTTCTAATTGTGGAATGAAATAATCTGTTCCAGATAAAAGAATTTTAAGTTTAAGCCCAGAAATTATTTTTAAGCTCTACTTGATCACCTTTTTTTGGTAGCTTGAAGGGAAGACTCACAGAAAAGTATTTTTTCTTGAGAGAATATTCTCTTCCTGCCAATTTTGCTTTACAAAACTACATTGTTTTACATTATGTATGTTAATCAATGCACTTGGAGACTGTAGGGAGCTGGAAGGACTTAGAGCTGGAAGGACTTTAAAGTTTATCGAATTCAATACCCTCATCCAGAGTTTTTAAAATAATAAATCTACAGCTGTCTTTAAACTAATCTTTGATACAAACTGCTATTTCATAATCGTCTTTCCCCAGACGAATCTCCATCAGTGACATGATTAGTAACTGTCTCTGGTGGTGCATGTCTTTACATCCAGACATGTCCATTTTGCACAACCACAGATACACTCGAGGCGATGTTACCGAACTGCCCTCCATGGATTATGTGCTATGAGTTGTTTTCCTCAATGTGATGATGCTTTTGCTTTAAGCAATGGATGATCTCTAGTTACTTCTCCTTATTGGCCAGTAGTGAACATGTGTGTGGCAGCAGGTTGGGGTCAGATATGAAACTCATGACCCATAAAAGAGAGATGTTGACAGGGCCCCATGAGGAGCACCTAATATGGGTTTCATTAACCAGGTGTTCTAACCAAGGAGTTAACCAGCTGCAGATACAGACAAATAGACACATACCCTTTTTTTTTTTTTTTTTTTTTTTTTTTGAGATGGAGTCTCGCTGTCGCCCAGGCTGGAGTGCAGTGGTGCGATCTCAGCTCACTGCAACCTCTGCCTCGCAGGTTCAAGTGATTCTCCTGCCTCAGCCTCCCGAGTAGCTGGGACTACAAGTGCATGCCACCATGCCTGGCTAATTTTTGTATTTTTAGTAGAGACGGGGTTTCACCATATTGGCCAGGCTGGTCTCGAACTCTTGACCTCACGATCCATCTGATTTGGCCTCCCAAAGTGCTGGGATTACAGGCGTGATCCACCACACGCGGCTGCACATACCCATTTTAAGATGAAATCGTTTTACCATCATTGGCCCACTTTTCAGCAAATGAATGCTAACACATTATCAAGTTTCCAAGCAATTATTCAAATCAGTGGAATGTACAAGATTTCTCTTTTTCTATTACTAAAGATTGTGTTGAGTTGTTAACTGGTGATGTGAATGAACAACCTAAAGAGTAGGGTAGAATTTATTCTTATGATTAATAACAGATATCATGTGGGCTCTGGCATGCTCTGCAAGGCTTCACATTCCAAAGCAAGAGATCACAAGTTACCCATGACATGATGGCATTTGGTTTTTAATGAGTGTATTTCATCTTAACTCATGTTGTCATGTGAAGCCATGATGTCACCTAAATGTAGTTAAGTCAGAAAAGGTGTCCTATTCTCCTAGTAAAATATTATTAGCATTTTACTAGTCTCTCGTATCCTATAATACAAGGCAAAGAGGGAATCCAAATGTCTATTATTTTTCTATGGTAGAAATGAACTTAGCATATTTTCAAGAAAAGACTACAGCTGTATGATTATATAACAAAGGCAATATTGTTCAGGATTTAGAATGAAGGAATTCAGAAAATAAAATGCAAGCAATACATAAATGTCTATATCTTAGAGAGTTTAAAACTTACCTAGTTTATGTGTAAATCAAATATATCCAGTAATACTGTGTCTTGAGGAAGTACATGAAAGGTTATCCCCAACCCTGAGGAACACTGATGTCCCAACCTTGTTTTCAACTGCAGCACATTTGCCTAACAGGGACATATTACGCAACATTGCACATAACACAGGAGGAGGATGCCAGTAGCTTGCCAGAGGTCCAGAGCCCACCCCCTTTCACAAGGTCTGATCCAAAGCAACACTGAACAGAGTACAGTGTCATTTGAGGGGAATAGGGCTGATCTAAGACCTTCAATAAGCTTCAAACCCACAGAAAAGTGACCCAGATCTTCACTGCAGTGTATCTGTTTAGAGGGAATGTGACGCCGACGAACCATTCTGGAGGATAATTTCCATGCTCCAGAATTTCCATGTGTTCCCTATGTCACCGGCAACAGCAGGTATCATAGTGTAGGACCGCATGTTACCACAGGGTCTAGACCATGACCTTACATGAGGTAGGTGCCTGACAAAGTTTGTTTATTTACAAATTTTGCATGTATAGCAACTTGGTTGACATTATCACCATCTTCATTCACTTTTATTCCAACTGCAGCCAAGAACCCAGCAGGAGCTGAATGGGAGGGGGACACTTTTGCAACAAAGTGCTTAATTAGTTCCCTCAGTTAAGAAATAGAGTGAGTCACAGGGTAGGATTAGAAAGAGAATGCAGATCTGTTTGGGCTAGTATGCTAAATTTAGCTAATGGTTAATTTGGTCCATCCTCAAGATAAGATGGAAGAAAGATATATTAATAAGTTGAACAGGTATGAAAAAGATGGGCTAGGGACACTCAACAGCTTTTAAGTTCTCTTGAAATTCACTTCCATAAAAACAGTTTCATTGTTTATAACTATTTGACAGAAGATTACCTCTAGCTCCAAAAGGACCAATTTTTAGTGAAAGCAAAATACTAACATCCATTAATGCAGATAACTAAAATCCAACCACTATGCAAATGATGGTGTTTAATTTATCTGCCATGCCCAATTTTTGCTGAAATTATTCTGTCCACATTTCCCTGCATGAGAGCTAGCACTAGGCTGCTTTGTGCATAAGGATGTCCACTGATTCAACCAGCAATGAAGACAACAAGCCCACCAGGAACCAGGGAGCTCCTTTCTGAGAGAGGTGGTTGTGATCCCTCATGGATCATAAATAGAGTCAGAATAGGGACCATGTTGGATCATGCCCAGAACTGCTCAGCTGAGAAAGCCTCTCAAGTAAGAGCCTGCTCTACTTTGAGTGGATGTTTTCATGAAGTCAAAATGCCTTGATGAGAGAAGAGCATGCTCTATAGTTTCCATGTGTTCAATCCTCAAAGTGCTTAAACTTTTAAAGAAAATGTTTCTGGGTAAGGAAATGATAAAAGGCCTTAGGTGTGGAGAGATAAAGATGAATTTTGAAATTCAGAAATAAATTAAGTCGAAAAAATTGAAAAAAAATCAAATTTATTTTGTCTTTGTTTGCCCTAAACACATGAATAGATATAATCTGATGAAAGCAGTGCCAAGTACTCCAGCAATAGCACCACCACCATAAAGAAATGACATCTAATTCTGTAAGTTATTTGGGTTTTTAATTTATGTAAACACTATCTGTTAGTATACTTCACCTTGAACTATAATTTATTGAACAATTAAAAATGCCAAGATACTAGTCAAGGAGATCTGGAGTAGAAGTTCTAGTAGACCCCTCTAGCTATGCTGGAGATAGTTGCAATGCCATTGAAATGATGTGCACATGATTTTGCAGAAGTAGCATCAGCACCAGGCATTTGCAAATGTGCTAAATTCTCCAGAACTTCAATGCAGGCAAAATGTTTAAGGACAGAAATAGAAAACTATGCTATAAACTAAAAGCAGCCTTGCAAGTAATTACATGCCCACTTCTCAGGGTGATAAATTACACTTGCTCATGCTTTTTATACTTTTTCTATGATTTATGAGAAGATTATAGGTAATCTTTTTCTTTCCATTGATACTAGTAAAGTTGCATCAAGGCCATACATGTCAGTCTGGAATAAAAAACTGAGTATGATCTGTAGCCAAAACAGGTGGTGAAAGAATGTAGTAGCTAGGATGTGAGACTGAAAAATAAGCAGGGTGGGGGGGGTGGGGACTATTGAATCATTGAACACCAGTTTATGCCACTGGTAGTGCAGCTGTGAGAAATAAAACTCAACTGTGTTCACAATTGCAATTGACAACCTGAAGACAAATGGAAGACCAGAGACAGACAGCTCCTAGAGATGGCTTGGCACCCATGAGTTTAGCCAGAACACTGTGCAAGGAAAATAGAATGCAGATGGGGAGAGAGGCAGCTGAGACATAAGGGAAGAGACTATAGGTATCAAGTCCATCAGGTGAACTTCAAGGCCAGGTGGTGGGCATGGGGCTGTGTCTGCTGTAGATGCTCAGAAATGGTCTCCTGGGAATTAGGCACAACCATGAGTTTCTCCCATAGCTACAGAATTTCCATGCCTGTAATATTTTCACCACTTTCCCAGGTGAATTGCAGTTTACTCCAAGACAACTCATCCCAGTCCAAAGTTTTTCTGTGGTCATGTGCTCTTTCATAGTGACCATGCCACCGTGAACTCTCCAGGCAAATGATCACTTTTGCCAAGTCACCCAAATATGAACTTCATTGATATTTCTCTCACAATTCACAATTTTTTGAAGGAGTGGGGGCTGTCTTTTCATTGCCAGGACTTCTACCTTAGTCCATACCTTTTTAACATAAAGTTATTCCAATGACTTCTCAGAGGTTTTTTTTTTTTTTCCATTTCAGAATCTCAAATTTTAAAGAGTTGTTTGTGTCCAACCTCCTCCTGCTGTAGGAAACCCTTCTAAAGCAATCTTGGTCACTCAGACTCTATTTACTGTCCTCTGAATGAGAGAGAGGTCTTGCTAGAAAGTTTTTATAATATTGATTCACAAATAGTTCTAATTGTCCTACTTCTATTTGTTGACTGAACAAACATATGCCTTTTCTTTATAATAGCCTTACATACATATAAAGATGACATTTATTTCTCTAATCATCTCCTCTACAGGTTAAATCATCCTGGTTCCTTCTCTCATTTAACTCATAAAATAATTTCTGTATTTCACCATCCTGGCCATCCTTTTCTGTGCAGACTCCATTCTGCCATGATTCTCTTCAAATGGGTACCCAGACATAATATCCTGGCATAGTCCAAGCCATACTAAGAGCCCGGGCATTGTAATTTCTCACAAGATAATTTCAATCTATGCAGCCTAAGATATTTCTAGCTTTTTAATTGTTACTTTATGCTCTTGGCTTAAATTTAGTATGTCATCAATGAAACCCTCCAACTCCTTTATCTCTGCTACATGATCAATAGTATTACTTTTCATTCTTCTGAAGATATCCATGTGGATGAAAGATTACGACTTAATGTTCAAACATGACCCAAAAAAGAAGTACAAAACTAGCAGATGGACCAATGCTGAACCTAAAAATTTAATTAATGATAGCCATCCTTTGCCAAAGAATGCTAGATATTTGTTCAGCTTATTTCCCTCTCACTGGGGCAGAGATAGTCTGGGGTTGGGTGGAGGAGGGGTAGAATGGCATGAACCTGAGTTCAAGTCACCAAAGAAATTGAATGTGTCCAACACATGGCAAGGCTTTCAGCTAGATAGAATGTAATCCATTGGGATTAGTAGAAAATAAATCTAGAAAGGCAAACTTAGAAAATATTACAGAGGATCTTAAAAGCTAGACAGTGACATTTTGTCTTTATTCAGTAGGCATCAGGAGAACTTAAAGATACTTTACCAAGTCAGTGACAAAATAAGATGAACAACTAATATCCATATAGCAACCAGATATTATAAAGTAATTCTTGCAGACATCATGTATTAGAACCCCACTCTAGAAAGGTTGGTCCAATGGTGACATGGAACATGGAGTCAAAGCAGGTACAGGAATAACTCAGAGCCAGGAGAAACCATGCAAGAAAATGTGGCTTTCAACTAAGAGAGTATGAAGTCTTTAACCAGAATAAAGGAAAGCCAAGATACAATTGACAATGAAAAGGAAGTGACTGGATGTGGTGACTGATAGGATGTAAAAAGCAGCAAAATCAATCATGACCACAAAATTTTAACTAGAAAAATGGTAGTTTTTAGAATAGTAGGGAGAAAACAGCAAGAGAAACTGGTTTTTTATGGTGTTGGAAAATGGTGGATTGATTGGGTGAATTAATATGCATGTGTCTCTTGGACATCTATTTTAAAAAGCTCAAGAGTAGAGAGTTGTAAATGTATGTGTAGCCCTTGGCAGTCATATTGACATTAGTGGTATTGGACATGTGAAATATCTAAGTTACAGGAATAAATGAGAATTCCAAATGAGAGAAAGTAAAAAGACAAGAGAGAATATTATGAACAACCAAAGAAATAAGACCACCACCAGGAACACAGGAAGAGAACTTACATTGGGTTGTCATTCAAGGCAATGAGGGAGAAAAGATGGGTGGGGCCAGAGTGTGGGAGTAGCAGCAGGATTTAATGCTTACAGAGTCTGCAATTGATAAAGTCTGCAATTGATAGGCCCAGGCATGGACCAGTTAAACACATTAGCATAAGCCATCTAGAAGAAACTGGGATCTGGAATTTGACCTCTCCCTAGCACTAGGAGGACAAACCTATTTGCTGGGAGGAAGTTTACTAGAGCAACAGAACATTGGCGTGGTTCAGAGATGTAGCTGGCACTCTTCAGAATTAAGTGATCTGCTGGAGAATCCAAGAGCAAGTGATAATGAGAGACTCAAAAAGGTAGAGCTAGTGGAGGCACATCCCAGTTATTCATCAACCAGGGGTTAGGAGAATCTCAGTCGCCAGGCTGGAATGCAGGGGTGGGATTCTGCTTTCTAGTGAAAGTGGCAATGCCCCAGGAAACTAGATGATATGGGATTCTAGGCAGATTCCAAAACAGATTCCAGTACAAGAAGTAAAACTGGGAGGCAGAAATTGGACAATATAAGAATTTGGAAGAAAGTCAAGGCAAAAAGGACAACATGGATAACTAGTTGTATAGTCTCAGAGCATGGGGCTAGAGACCCAAAAATTTCTGCCTAAGGTTAGGAATCTGAGTTTAAACCTGCAGGGGCTTCTAGCAGCTGCAGCTGTGAAAACTTTTTGAACTGTAGAGACTGAATTTGACAAAGAGACTGTATCTTTAAGAATGAGTTTCAACTAGGGTATATGGAAGCTGGTGTGAAAGTCAAATTGCAAGACGTGAAGGAATGAGTGAGTGAAAAAGAATGCAATGCATGGAGGCCGGCCGCGGTGGCTCACGCCTATAATCCCAGCACTTTGGGAGGCCAAGGCAGACGGATCACAAGGTCAGGAATTAGAGACCAGCCTGGCCAATATGGTGAAACCCTGTCTCTACTAAAAACACAAAAATTAGCTGGGCATGGTGGCATGCACCTGTAGTCCCAGCTACTCAGGAGGCTGAGGCAGAAGAATCGCTTTAACCCAAGAAGCAGAGGTTGCAGTGAGCCGAGATCGTACCATTGCACTCCAGCTTGGGCGACAGAGCAAGACTCCACCTCAAAAAAAAAAAAAAAAAAAAAAAAAAAAAAAAAAAAACCATAGTGCATGGAAACAACTAACTGATGAAATTTTGCACCGAGAGAGGGAGAAAGAGAGGCAGAAAATGAGCAAAGACAAGAGAGAGCTTTCTGTTTTTATCTCTTGGTAATGAAAATAAAAACTTATGTAAACAGGTTGGGTGGGGTGGCTCTCCCATTTAATCCAGCAATTTGGGAGGCATAGGCAGGTGGGTCTCCTGAGGCTAGGAGTTCGATACCAGCGTGGCCAACATGGCGAAACCCCGTCTCTATTAAAAAAAAAATACAAAAAAATTAGCCAGGCATGGTGGCACCCACCTGTAATCCCAGCTACTCAGGAGGCTGAGGCAGGAGAACTGCTTGAACCGAGGAGGTGGAGGCTGCAGTGAGTCAAGATTGCACCATTGCACTCTGGCCTGAGTGACAAGAGTGAAACTCCATCTCAGGAAAAAAAAAAAAAAAAAAAACTTCTGTAAACAGAGAGAAGGAACCAATGGAAAAAGGAATCATTCATTAAACTATGGGACTGCAAGATAGAAGGAAGAGAAGGGCAAAGGAGTACACAAAGGGTATCTTGGCCAAGAGCCCATTTGAAAGTGCAGCCTCTAGGAAGCAGCCCTGGGCAGTAAGATCACGGAGGATCCAAGGCCTGTGTTTTAGTCCTCATTTAGCTTCTACTCCACCACGGAAGCCTGGACAAGTGCTTCTTCTCTCTGGGTCTCTATGTGCTCAGGAATAAGGGAGACAGCCTAGATCTTCTGGCTTATAACTAATTACAAACAGGTAGATCACAGATGTGTGGAAGGGAAGAAGAAGGGCGATTGGAAAGGAAGATGTGAGCAGCTTCCGTGTTCTCAGTAAGTTAGGAAGCAGCATAACCTGGTGATGGCTATGGCTGGTGGTGGAGGGTGTCACCTAGACTACTAGAATCAGATGAGAATCAGTTTAAGGGATGGCAGAGAACAGAAAGGCCATGAGAGACTGCAGGGCACAGTGGCTGAACTCTTAGCCAGGCCACTTCTGAATGCATCCTCAGTTACTCACACAAGTCTAAGTTATGAGACCTTAGACAAACTACTTAATTTCTCTAGACATGTTTCCTCATCTGTAAAATGGGAGTAATTGTTCCCTCATTATTTTCTTAAGGAATAATGAACACATTCAATAAGATAATGCATGTATAGCATTTCGTATATTGCCAGACCTGTCAGTGTGCTCACACAAGCTAATGGTAGTTGAGACCAAAAAGAGGAAAACAAAGCCGATAGGAAATGATAGAAATTCATAGTGATTTCCAAGATTAGAGTTTTGTAACTTGCCCTTCTACTACCATTGTCTTGAAGTGAGTGTAGACAAGCAGTTAATGAATTCATAGCATGGCGGAAGAAGGGGAGGAAGTGAAGTGTTTCTGGAGGGCAGGTAGGTGGGTGACTGAAAGACTGATCAGACAGGCAGAGAAGAAAAATGGAAGGGCCATTTGATGACTAAGAAGAGAGAGGGTGACAGTCCCAGGGCCAAAGGCCTGGGGAATGTGGTTCTAGGTCAGAAGGAATTGGGTGAAGCAGGAGCTTTGGACCATGTGGTCAAAGAAATGAAACACAAAGCTTAAAGAATTGAAAGGAGTCATCCAGAAAAGTTTTTTTAGAAGAGAGAAAAATGAAAAGCAAGAGGCAAAGAAAATTTCTAGAACGAGGGACAAAATGCTGTGTTTTCTGGCAAAGAAGGAATTAGGGGTGGGGAGAGACAATGTCATTATGTATTTTATATTTGTTTACTATTTTGCCACCTATATATCTTATTAGTTAAATCAAGACATTGAATAAAGAGGAAGTAGTAATAAAACAAACACGAATAGAGGCCCTGGAAAGGAAATGGCTCAAAGGATGGCTTGGCCCTCTGAATCGTACTAATGGCTGAAGAGAGGGGAAGTCAAGGTCACTAGAGACTCAGAAGCTAAGGTTATGAACCCTGCACTGGGTGTTTTTGTCTTCCTTATAAAGTTATAGAGGCATTTCACAACTATTTATAGTGAGGATGTTAGGCTAACCGTAGAACTAAGCCTAGTGAAAATCACCGTCAAGATTCACAAGCAATTGCCTCAATTATCATAACTTACAGGGTGCTTACTCAAGTGCCAGGCACTGTTCAACACAATCTTATTTAATCCCCACCATAAGACCCTATGAGACTATAGTTTTGCACATCTTACAGATAAACTGAAGCTCAGAGATGTGATTTCACTTACCTAAGGTCACTGTATTAGTCTGTTTTCATGCTGCTGATAAAGACATACCTGAGACTGGGAAGAAAAAGAGATTTAATTGGACTTACAGTTCCACAAGGCTGAGGAGGCCTCAGAATCTTGGTGGGAGGCAAAAGGCACTTCTTACATGATGACAGCAAGAGAAAAATAAGGAAGAAGCAGAAGTGGAAACCCCTGATAAATCATCAGATCTCCTGAAACTTATTCACTATCACGAGAACAGCACGGGAAAGACCACCCCCCCACCCCACCCCCCGCCCCATGATTCAATTGCCTTCCCCTGGGTCCTTCCCACAACACGTGGGAATTAAGGGAAATACAATTGAAGTTGAGATTTGGGTGGGAACACAGTCAAACCGTCACACCATATCAATCACTGAGGTGGTCAGTGGCAGAGTCAAGATTTAACTCCTCGAGCACTTTCTCATATTATAGATAAATTTCAAAGTGGAGGCAAGTTGTCAGACAATAGTTTATATTTTTCATTCAAAAGAAGATGCATGAATCACAATTATTTTTCTCTTAGTAATCCACTTTGTGAACTTCTATAATCCATTCTTCCCTGAATAACTTCCTATATTAGCTTGCCATTTTAGAATGTTCTCTGGAAAAATGTGTTTGGAGGTCCAATGTGGGAAAATTAAAATAGTAACTTCAAAGTATGGAACAAAAGTTGTACAAAATCTCAGTTTTCTGAGCATAGCAAGTATTAAAAAACTTAGCAATAAAGTCCTAAAAAATGTAATTGTTGCTTGGTGGCACTGTTAAATATGAATACTGTGGTCTTTTTGACAATTGTATTAATCCCTTTACAAAGCCTTCAGAAGTTCCATCACAGAAGCATGGATGCTGTTTTGATCTATTTATTACTCTTAAGTGTTCAGAGAACTGTCCCTATTTTCTAATTAACACTTTTAAAGATAAAAAGCCATGTATTAAATCAATCTGAATGATGCTTGTTTGTGAATCCCACAAGATAAGGCAATTTGCATGTTCACTTTGTACTTCCAAACTAAATCTGCACATCTCCAAAGCAGCCCCTTATAATGTAAACCTTTTGTGAGTATTTGTAACTTGAAAGAAAGTTTGGCCTACTACAGAAGCAGTGCCAATTATCTAAAGGGCTTCATTACCAAACATGATTAAGATACAAATATATTGGGTTGTTATTTTATATTGTTTGCTGTGGAGTTCGAGGAAACGACTTTTAAAGCATCCAGGATTATAGATTATTACCTTTTTATAGGGGACTAACACAACTCATTTCCCCCAACAGTTAACAGCTTTCAAAAGTAGCCAGTTGCCACTCATTTGGGGTAGAATTCCTTTGATATGAATTAAATTCCTTGCTGATGAAATGCACCTTTCAGCGACCTGTTTGAGTTTCAGCTGATGCTGTAGCATGCTTCGTGATCTGAATTCTAGCACCGGTGCTAAATCACAGTGGTGATTTATTATTGGATTTTCAGGACTGATGAGTCAGCACTGTAAGATGTTTACAAAATTAGGCTTTCAAGAACAATGGCACTTCTCTCATTAAATAGAAACCTTTGTTGCCCATACAGGCTATTGTTTCCACATGGTTGTGGTGTGATGTGTTCACACTTTGGGTTCACATCAGCTAGGACTTCTTTGCATTTGCAGAATCTGCCTTCATTGGACTTAAAGTGTTCAATCAACTTTGAAACCATGTGTAAAGGCTCCAGTCCTCCAAATTCAAGAAAGAATCCATTATCTTTTCTAAACAGTTCAACCTGTGCTTTCCCTTTGCCAAATAATTCAAGAAACCAGAAATATCACGTTGGCTGGTGAAGTTGTATCAGATTTTTCTTTTTTTTCTAAAGAAATAGAAACCAATGCCTTATATCTGTTGATCTCTTGTGAATGGCTCTGTAAAAGTTAAGACCTGGAAAAAGCTGTGAGGCAGTGGATGAGATGGCGGAAATGTGATGCTGACTTTTTCTGGGGAAAAGCAGAGGGGTTTTTTGTTTTGTTTTGTTTTTTCTTCATTCAACAAATGTTTGTTGACCTTCTGTTGAATAACAGGTGCTGATATATTATTATAGGTGCTATCAAAATGAACATAAACATGACATCCTTGTCTTCATGGAGTTTACTTTCTAGAAAAGAAAATGGACATAAAACAAACTCAAAAACACATAAAACAATATCAGCTCATAATTTCTATAAGCATTAGGCACATCCCCTAAAATTGAAATACTTTAAACTTCAGCAAATGCAAGCAAACTAAGGCCTGCTTATTCCCAAAACAATTTTGAGCTTATTTTAATAAGCAGCAGCTTCCTGGCCGGGCACTGTGGCTCACACCTGTAATCCCAGCACTTTGGGAGGCCGAGGCGGGCAGATCACCTGAGGTCAGAAGTTCAAGACCAGCCTGGCCAACATGGTGGAACCCCGTCTCTACTAAAAATACAAAAAATTAGCCGCGCGTGGTGGTGGGCGCCTGTAATCCCAGCTACTCAGGAGGCTGAGGCAGGAGAACTGCTTGAACCTGGGAGGTGCAGTGAGTCAAGATCACGCCATTGCACTCCAGCCTGTGTGACAAAGTGAAACTCTGTCTCAAAAAAAAAAACAAAACAAAAAACAGCTCCCTTTATAACACAGCTTTTATACAGCAACTGCTTCTTAAGAGCCCATGCACAGTTTTCATACTTTAGGTTCCATTGCTGACTATTCTGGGCATGTTTAGTATGACCCAACCCACAGAAAGAGCAACTTGACGACCTTTTGATGCCTCCTCTATCACTATTATTAGATAATTAACATGATCATAATTTTTGCTGTATTGTGTATCGATTATAATGAGACTAAGTATGGACAAATAAAACATATCAACTCAAATCCTAAAGCAATGGATTTCAGCATTTGGCTCTTGTTCCTACGACAAAACACAAGGCAAATGATGTTCACACGTGGGACATAGTTCCATGGACGTGTCAGGATGTGTGCAATCCTCAGGACGTTAGCGATACCTCCAGCCTTTTCTCATTCACTCAAGAATGCAAAAGGGAATATCAGTGAGTGAGAATGAAATCATTGTACAAATAACCTTGACTCCTCTGCTCCCATTTATTTTTGAGTAAATCAGTTGAAAACTATTCTTTTCTTTTTTTTTTTTTTTTTCTTTTCTTTTTGAGACGGAGTCTTGCTCTGTCACCCAGGCTGGGGTGCAGTGGCACGATCTCGGCTCACTGCAAGCTCCGCCTCCCGGGTTCACGCCATTCTCCTGCCTCAGGCTCCCAAGTAGCTGGGACTACAGGCGCCCGCCGCCACGCCCGGCTAATTTTTTGTATTTTTAGTAGAGACGGTGTTTCACCGTGTTAGCCAGGATGATCTCAATCTCCTGACCTCGTGATCCGCCCGCCTCAGCCTCCCAAAGTGCTGGGATTACAGGCGTGAGCCACCACGCCCCCGGCTGAAAACTATTCTTAATCCCAAATTACTTGTGAACCTCCTACAAAGAATCACAACAAATGTATGTGCCACAACAGTGCACTTAGAACCACTGACCACAAGGAACTAAATTGTTCTAAAATTAGATAATCATATGTGCTCTTTTTAGAAATTCATTATATAATTATAAAAAAATTTTTAGAAATTCATTATATAGTTACCAATAACCAAAGCCAATCACTGCCATAATTGAAACACTTAATTTGCTTTATAACTATAAACTTCTCCTTTCTCTCTTCAGTACTAAAGATTTGGTGGTAGAAGGGGGAGGGAGCTCTTAGCTCTTCCTAAAGCAGGTACTTCCTTTTCTCTACAGCCTGTGTGTCTTTCAGATCTCCACTGACAAGGTGTTGATATGTGGAAGTAGTTACCTCGGGTCAAGTGTTCCTGCAGCCAGGCTGCAAGTACTCACTTCAATGGAAAGCTCTGAGGTCCCTGCCAGCCCCTCTGGTCTACAGATGTCTTGGGATGCAGCCCCACCCTTTCTTAGTCACAGCAGTGGGATTTGCAAATGAGCAACACACCAGAGTTGTAACCAACCTTAAGGTGGACTTCAGCAGAAGGTAGGAAACTTGTTGGCTTCATAAAAGTACTTTTTAATGTTTGATATACTTCACACAAAATTTACAAGAATTCCTTCATTGTCAGTTCAGGTGGGACACTTTGTTCTTTCTGTGAATGAGTCCTTTGCTTATTTTTGGGAAAATGTGGTTTTACATATCCTACGTTTAACGATAAATCCTTCTGAAATGCAAACTGAAAGCACACTTTCCTTCTCATTAAATTCCATTATACCAAAAAAAAAGATCTAAGTATAACTAACAGCATCTACACAGGGCTGTAAACCAGAAGTACAGGACTGCCTTGTAAACAGTGCTACATAGGAAACTTGGGAAGGTCTGCCTCTCCGTTGTGACTCGACAGGCGATCGCTATGTGAAAGCAGATCTATGCATTAGACTAGATTCTTAAACCCAAATTTTATGACCGTATAGCCTTGTAGGAGTTTTATTTTTATCATTGTGAAACAGGAAACATGCCTGATAGAAAATGAAAACAATAAATATCATTTCTATAGAATAATGTGACTGCTTTTTGATAGGCAGCATCCTTGGAGCTTTGTTTTTCTGCATTTTAGTGAATGAATGAAAACTTTGTCAAATTTAGGACTTCCATGGGCATGATAAAAAAGGCAGATTTTAAAAATTCAACAAGGAGAAGGAAAATATAAGAGAAGAAAAGGAAAAATAAAGGAAAAGAAGGGAGGACAAAGACATCGGGTGGAAGAAGCAAAAACTGGACAAGGAGAGAAGAAAGAAAGAGTAAGGAATGAAAGGAGAAAGGAAAGAAGGGGGAGTAAGGGAAGGGTAAAATAAAATATGGCACTTAGGTACACTAGCAATATGGTTATTTAAACACACTGAATTATCACAGTGGATCAGCAAAAAGTTAGAAAGCACAGGTGTCTCTGTAATTGTGATACGTTGGGAAAATTCACACTGTTAAATGAGCCTCAAATTCTTACTTGTACCTGAGTGATACAGAAATATACTGTGAGTACACTGGGCCATAATCCAAAAGATACCAAAACCAGTGCGCGAGGATGGAAGACTTGCAAAATTCTTCTGTCTTGTGCTCCCCTAGTATCAAATCAGAATTTGTACGTTTATGTTTTATATGCTCCTTAGTAAGGCACATTTGTTGCATGTTTGGATTGAATAATTTTAAGAACACGCCACTATTTTTATAAGAAAAATATCCTTAAAACCTGATAAAGATTCAGTGTTAATTTTTTTCATAGAGACATGGTTTAAATCAAGTTCACAATCCTGGGGGTTGGAAGTCAGCAAAATGCTGAGAAAATGATGCAGAACTAGTAAAAAGAAAACGATTTGCATGAAGGCTAAAATACAGCTCTTGGAAGGACAGCCTGGGATACTAAAGAAGAAGACATAAAACAAAAGAAGATATTTGGTCTCCCTTTTCCAATGTAGATGTAAAACAACAAACCTAACATCATGCTTCAGATTAACTCTATTATAGAGGCATTTGCTGTATGAAATTTCTGTTTACAAAAAGACATGCTATATCTGAATGCACAAATCATTCTATTAATTACCAACTTACTTTGTACTGAAAAATTTTCGTTCTGCTGTAAATGTTTTTGTTAATGGAGATAACATCAGTGAAAACTTTTCCATCTCCATAATATTTGTTTAAATTGACCACATGGTTAGAAATGAGAAATCTAAGATTTTTGTCAAACACATATACAAATTTCAATTTCTACAACTATCAAGTATTTATTCTTTTGGTTCTTGGTTCTCCATTCATCAATCTCTAAATGCACAAAATGTATATATTATGGATTTGCTTGTCTGCACTCTATTATGGAGCAATCCTTGCCCACATTTAAAGATGTATTTAAAGAGAATTTAAATTTAAACAGATTCATATGCACGTGCATACATAATGAAAGAAAGGAAAAGGGAGGAAATGTTATGGAATTTCCTTTCTATTTTTTTCTGCAAAACACCACTTCTTACATGTGTAGGTTTTGGGGTATTCTTTCTTAAACAGATATTCTTTCTTTCCTCTTATCAGGGTAGGGTACTGAGAGCAAATGATGTGGTATTTATAATATTCAGGACTTTTTTCTTGGTTTTTATTCCTGCTCAACCACAAAGTTACTATTGTAGCAACATGTTGGCCGATCACACTGTCCAAAAGTAGTTAAGTCTAAATTTCCAAAGGAAATATAAATTTAAGACACAGATGGATGTTGTTGTATGAGGGGCCCTGGTCTGGGTTTCCAGGGTGGTAGGGAGAGAAAGAGAGGGAAGTGATGCTTTGCCTCTTTTAACCTAGTTTGTTAATGCATCTTTGCACAATTAGTTCATGTCTAATATTTAAATGCATTTATAAATCCTCTGAGGGTTAAGTAATGTCATTATTGTTTTGTGGTACATTACTGTTGTGCATCTATACCAGTTTTGCCCCAAATTCCTCATTACTCTCCTTCATTAAATAACAACAAACGGTGAAGGTTAGTTCTGCATCAGCATTTCAATTTCCTCATGAAAAATTGGCCTTGTTTCTTTTTGGTTTGTGAGCACCCGGGCTGATATCACTCATGCCATGTTATATAACAAAAGGTAAAAAGGCAACTTGAGCAATCGTCTGGTGTCACTCGCTTATTTTGGATGCCATTTTGATCCACACAACTCAGACTATGGACATTGTTTCCTTGTGCCCCTATAAATGGCAGAACAAGGCAACCGAATACACCAATCTCCTAGTTCTAGCTCTTTGCCAAGTCCACTCTGAGATTTAGCCAAATATCCTCATCAGTTTATAGTATGACATATTCCCTTGCTAAGAAAATTCTTACTGCCCCATTGAGTCTCATTCTCTTTTAAACCTATATACAAATCACAGCCAGCTTATGGACATAGTAAGGGTTTTCTTGTGCGTGTCAAAGATCAGTGGGTTTGCGGTTGCTTCTCTGAAGGGCATCACTGGCATCCCAGGTACTTCCCTGGGGAGAGTTACAGAAGTCTGGCTACAATCAGCACCGTGTCCTAATCCTGCATATGAGTATCATATCTCTCGAACAGGTGCTGGAACCAAAGACCGAGACCAGCTATAACTCCAGCAGCCTTTTTCATGAGATAATAAGATTTTAGGCAGGTTTCACAAAAATGTTGAGATTCACTGAATCGATAAATGTCAAATAAATAGGGAAAGTAACTGAGTGGTATACGCGTTGATCTGTCATCAATAGAGCTGTAGATCAGATGGCGATGTGATCATTTTTAGCGCAGCTCTTCCCATCCTCTGCTCAAATGCACCAAATGAAGCGCCCATTTGCTGACTAGAAATTCACAGTTGAGGTCGACTGATGATGCAGTGCAAAGAAGCCTGTTCTGTTCCTCTGCTCACAAATAAGCCATGCCAACCTTCACCTTTAAATAGCTATGTATTTAATTATGCGATATTTAGAAATAAAGTTCAGTCACAATTCACTAATAATTTGTACCCGCTTAAGAGAGAGAGAGTTAGCAATCAGCAACTCAAAAAAAAAAAAAAAAAAAAAAAAGACAGCTCAATGCCAGGTTGCAATATAAAATAAAGCATTTATTTAAGGGCAAATTATAATAAATTAAACTGGACTGTAACAAAAATACCCTGGATTTTTTAAAGGGTGATATTATTTTTCTATTTCACCATAAAACCTTAGGAAGTTATGAATTAGCTTAAGCAAACAGAACAATAACTGAACCCAAGAAAGGTATAAGAGCTACTTTCTTGAAAACAAAACAATCTTTTCGTTCCTGCCATTTGTCAGAATTCTTCCTCCGGGCAAGCTGGACAGCTGCACTAGTAGGTTTTTCAGTCATGGGTTGTAAGCCCCACCTGGCTAGATTTGTTTAGCAGACAGCTGGCAGAATTAAATAAAAAGAATGGGACACAAAATGCTTCCAAAAAAAAAAAAAAGGCTGAGAGAATACTTTTTGGATGTTTTAGCCTTTTGGAGGTTTATGGTTTCCCTTTCTACTTTTTCTTGCCTATATCCACATACTACTATATGTGAACATATCTCGCGGATATTTTCTCTCAATTATAACTCCATAGCTGAGGTAAGAATGCAGCATAAATGAAAACATCAAGTAAGCATGTCTTAAATGACTTTTTTTTTAGTTAGAAATACCAATTTGCAGTTTATAAGTCCCCAAGAATGACATCAGTTTTAAATTACCATTTTTTATTTCTGCATTTTCTTTGCTATTTTTTAAAGCCAATAAAATAGATTTTCTTCATCTGGAATGTTCTTTCTAGCTTAAAGATAAGAAGGAGTCTAAATTGTGGGAATGGCATCCTTCTGCATCTGTTTCTCTCACAAACCTATCAAATATCTAATTTTTGGCATGACTGCTGACTCCGACAGGAGGATGACATAAACCAGCTTTGTGGTTACATGTTTCACTTTTAATCTCATGGAAATGAAGATCAGCACTGAAGTGTCCCTTTACATGTGACAATTTGGGACTCTTTTCCAAAAGCCCAGGCAGAGGGGCGTTAACCTGGTTAAATTTAACACACAGCATATGCAGAAGTGTCATGGATTTTTATGCTAAGGCACAAGGCAAACCTGCCTTCAGCAGAGCCTTGTTCCCCTCTGAAGCACAAGCCACAAACAATGGGAACTGTATAACTCAGTGGCAACAGGGTACCAAAGAATGATGGAAAATGCATACAAGAATGGGGAGATGAAGTAGCTCGCTCAAGAGCCACACATTTTCTGTTTATTTTATCTCTTTCCATAAATGCGACGGACTAGTGGAATATTTCATCCATCCTAGATTCACTACTTAGCATGGGGAGAATCCAGACTTTTCATTAAACATTGTAAATATAATACGGAAGGTTCAAAAAAACCAAAATGGTTTGGATATGATCCTGATTGGAAGAACTCCATGAAAATAGATTCCAACTGCTTATAAATGAGCAAGGGGGAAGGGCATGCTTATTTTAAAGGCAGCATGGCAGAGAAACATTAATGCTGATAGCCCAGCTAGTATCTATGAGATGACCATGAACGGCCTCAACAGCCAGTGTAGAACTACTCAGAAGTTCATCACATTTCCATAGCCCATGGAAATGTATCGAATATTAAGGGCCATGCTAGGAAACAAACTCTTTAGTTCATTACCTAATACTTGCTTTCCAGAGCAAAGGCCTGACTTGGCCCTTCTCCACCTAGCCTATACATCTCTCCATGCAATGTAGACTTTATGGAGCCAGGCATGATCTGCTCATTGCAGAGGCCTGATTCTCTCTAAGCACTGATATCAATATCATACATTTCAAATACAAGGGAGGCCTGGGCAGGCTTAATCCCCCGAGCCCAAGTAAACTGAACATGGTCTCTAGGGAGGCTGTTGGCATAGAACAAAAAGACAGCGTTACTGTTTATGCTTTTACATGGTTAGCAGAATGGGTCGCCATCAAAGACTAAGAAAACAGGCATGGTGAGAAGGGAGGAGTGAGGTCACTCTAGGTTTCTGTCTGACCCTTATATACAATCTAATCTTGGCTGTCATCTAACAGTGTTGTATTTAGTTTGATAGATACAATTACATCTATCTAGCCAGATAATTACAGTACTGTGCATCTTCCATGCATCCATGGCTTAGCTGAATTATAAACTAGAAAATCTTTTTGTATGTGCTATGGGCTTTCCTCTTCTTCCTTAATACAGATTTCCTTTCCTCCTCTCCCTCCTGCCCAAGAAAAAGAAAAGGAAAAGAATTCCCTGTAAATTGTGTATTCCGATTCTGAATTATTTTGTTAATGTTTCATGTGAATCCATCAAGTCTACCCTAGATCAGCTTGCATCTCAGCCAACTTCTTTACTAAAGAAAATTGATTCTTGTTTACTTCTTTCAGGAAGGAGAATCATGATGAATTTTAATAGGATAACCCCCTACTGTTAGGGGCTTATCCCCCTACTGTTAGGAGCCAACCCCCTCCGTTGGCTACAGGAGCTTTGAAATTCGAAAGTCAGAAGTAAGCCTGGATTTTTTAAAAATTTTTTTTAGACAAGAAAAAAGATTTCTACAAGTTTCAAGCTCAACCTTAATAATTGCTCAACAGCCATATTCTTTCCTGTTTTCATCACCCCAATGAGCAGGACGTTATTCTGATACTTTGTTAAAAGACCCTTTAATTGCGAATTTACTTTCAATTTTTAACAGAATTGCCCACCACCAAGCAGTATTTTATTTCTGGATGAAAATTAATATCATTCTTTTCTATTTTAGCACACATAAGCATTTAATTGGGGATAGTGTAGACTACTTATCAAAGTAAATATTCCCAGGAGAAAAAAAGTAGTTTTCTAAATGTTAATTCTACTCATTGAAATCTACTAGAGAAAGAATTTATTATTTTGGATAGAGGCAAACATATTACTATAAATATATAGCAAAAATCCCATAGACATCATTGAATACATCATCACAGAATCTCATATTTGGCAACAGAAAATGTACTCTATTATTTGTTGGGTCAAAAGAAACTACATATCCTTGAGAAGATTTTTTTTAATTTCTAGAGTTAAATTTATAGCATAACAGAAAATTACTAACTTCTTCCACTACCTAGAGTTTCAAGTCACTAATTTTACTAATCCATTAAATGTATGTTTTCTACGCTTAAGAAACCAAAGAAACCTGCAGATTCTATATATTTACCCAGGGATCACTTTCCTGGTGGTGAAATGTAACCAGCTCTTTTGCAGAATGGAACAATCACTGGGTGCCAGTAACACTATGCTACGATGTGCAGAGAGGGAAATGAAGGCTAGCTCATCCGAAGGAAACTACAGGGGAATTTTAGATCAGCAGAATGCAATTATCCAAGTTGGAATTGTTCCAGAACACCAAAGAGAACTCTAAAGGTGGGTAAATTGAATAGCATTTCTCCTCAATTGCAGGACAAACAACTCCATCTCACAAGACTGGTGCTTGTTCTGTTTATTTGTCTTTATGTTGTGAGCACTACTGGACACGTGCTGGCCACTGTCACAGGAGATGAAGGGTGTAGAACACTTGATCAGAATCAGGGGCATCAGATCAATAATAGGCACCCTATACTCTTCTGCTATCCAAAAAGTGAAAGATGTTTTTAGAATCTGTTTCGACGTACAATTTATTTATCAACTGGGTACTCAGGGAGACTCTATTTTCCAGTTCCTCTTGCATCTACGTGTGACCACATGACTGAGTTCTGGCCAATGGAATGTAGGTGGAAATATATACTTGACTTTGAGCTTGGTCATAAAATAAATACACCACTTGGCCCCCTTCTCTGCCTTTCTCTCTCTCTGTCTCTCCACACACACACACACACACACACACACACACACACACACACTTATGCATCCAGAAGTGCAGCACTCAGAGATCTCAGAGACAATAGATTAAAAGAGTTCAAATCCCCAAGTCCCTGCTTAGAGGGTTGCTATCCAGAAGAGTGGCTTGAGCTACATCAGACCATGACATGAACAACAACAACAAAAAAACTTTACTGTGTTAAGATTTGGAAGTTTTTGTTCTACCAGCTAGAGAGATCTTGACTAATGTGATGTCCACGATAGAAATGAAATTCCTCCAAATTCCAGAATTGAGAAAGTTGAAAAAAGTTACTACAAAAAGCAAGGACATAGTAAGACTTAACTTCCATTCATTGCTTATGGGAGTGTAAAACTTTTACTAGTGTTCTAAAGGGAAAAAATCTGCAAAAAATATTAAGCTGTAATGGCTTTGTATCTTCTTATGCTTCAACCTAGTAAACTCTACATCTAGACTCTATCCTGAAGAAAAATCAAAACTAGTAACCAAGATCTTTGTTCCTGAGAACACTGGTTATGTTAATAAAAATATCATGTCACATAAGCATGAAAAGGGATAGTTAACTAAATTCTGGTTACACCTCTATTAGGAAATACTATTCAATCATCAAAAATTATATACCCAGTGGATATTTTAGTCATTTATTTATTCAATAAACTAATGTTTATTTAGTATCTATTACGGCCAGGACTTACTCTAGATGCTGGGGATATAACAATGAACAACAATAAAATGTGTCTGTTCTGATGATGTGTATTTTGTGGTGGATAAGACAAACAATATATAACAGACAAATAAATCAATAAATGGATACTCACAATGAACTGGAAAAATGCTCCACTGAGAATATTTAAGAATGTAACATGCAGGAACTGTATATACATTGTGCATACACAGGCATACAAACACATACATACAACACCCCACATACAGAGTTAGAGAGAAAAAGGCTAGAGAGAAAAATAATAAAATTCTAACATATGCATATGTAACTTTTCTAATCATGAGCAACTCAAAGTTCATAAAACATACAAATTAGTTGCATTGCTGATGTATGAATTTGAGATGTTAAGTGTATAGCTCTGGTGTGGAGGGATGATCAATTTACATAGAGTAACAGGGCAGGCAATGAGCAGCCGCTTGTCAGAAGGATTTTATTATTACAAAATCAAGTAACACTCGGCAAAGTGACTTAAATTATTTAAAAGAAAACACGATATCTTTTTCAAAAAAAATCTTAAAAAGGAAAAAAAGAGGGCGATGAGTTCGGATAGAACCCAACCAGCCAGTGCTGATCATGGAAGTGGAGAGACTGTGGCAGGAGCAGAACAGCGATGGAGGGATGGTTCTTATGGAAGTTGGGAACCTGATGAATGAGTTCACCATTTTTTCTACCCTGAAAGTGACAAAAACTAACTCATGAAGCTTTTTCTGCCTGTATTCCAGAGAATGCAAAAATTACTCATCAAGTAAAAAATTAAAAGGAATTTTTAGTGCTCTGAAGTGGGCACTTAAATTTTCCACTATAATTTACTCTATTTTCAGAGGTGACTTATAGGCTATGGTGGGATGGGTGAATGTGTCCATTTTTCATGTGCTCAGTATGTCCACTCACAAGTTTCAAGTGTCTGCTGTATGCCACAGTGTTAGCAGTGAATGTTTCTAGGCTGGGGGATGTAGAATTATTTTTGTTTCAGTGTTCATATATTTCTACTTTCTTAAAATTTTTCTAAAGAGTATATGGCTTGCTTTAAAACTTAAAAACAAAAATAAATATGTACATATATAAAAACAAAAGTGTATGGCTGTCTCTTTACTCATCAGGCTTGTCAGTAGGACTTTTTAGCCATGAGTGGGGTACCCACTTCCATGATAAACTTACATTGCATCTGCACAGCTGTAACTGCCATCAACAGTGTCCAGTTGTTGGCCCAAGTCCATGATGATCCCTCTAGGCCATCATCTGGCAGGGGAGCTTAGGTAATGCCTTTGGGCTCTGTGCCACACCCCTTAAAGATGCACAAATCAAGATGCTTAGCCCCCTGAAAGAGTGACCTCTCCAAAAAATCCATGAGTGTTCATCCATTCATCATTTCTGATTAGACCCACACCCTCAAATGAAGTCTGCAAATAGCATTTCAGAAGCCGCCTATTTCCATACAGATGGAAAAGGGAGCTTATTCTTCACTAAACTCAACGAAAAATCTTGGGGCACTATGCACACATGCAGAAGGGGCTGCAGTCCTGGACGTATCCCACCAAAACTCACTCTGTTGGCAACAGAGTAGGGCTCTGAATCAGAGGGTTGGAAGGAATCTAAGTAAGACATCTAGTCCATCACCCTGCCTCCAGGCAATTTTCCAGGCAGATGGGTATTTATCCTGTTCTTAAAGCTCTCCACTGATCTGAGGGAAAAAGACAAGGGTATTTATATCCATGATGTTTTCTAACCAAATGTGTAATATTTGCCACCTACACCATCTGCAGCAGTTCAAAATGTAGTAAGATTGAAAGTTAAACTCATTGATCTCAGCAGAGATAATGAAATAAAAATGTTTTGTATTATATACTATAATTTTTCCCAAAGCTTTTGAAGAAGAATTCATAAAATGGCATCAGTAGTTTAGGGCAAAGAAGAAAGAATTTGTTTGACGATTGACAATCAGTACAGTTTCCAGAAATCAGATAGGAAAAGCTCAGTTGCTAGTTATTGCTCTTAGCACAGTTGTGTGCAAACTAACACCGTGGTCCTAGGCTTACTCTCTGGGGAATTCATTTAGCTGTGTTTTGTCCCATGGCTTTTCACCACAGCTCACCTGTCTCTCAAATGTGTATCCTTAATCCCAAATAGTTTAAGAGAGAAGAAATTATCAAAAATTCATGTTTTGCAGTGGGGGCAAGGACATCCTTTCTCTGCCCCTCCAATTATGAGCACAATTATTTTTAACATAAAATAAACATAATTCTTTGTTTAGTGTTTGGATACAGAAACGAAATTTGAAGATCTGGCCAGATTTTATAAAGAACTGCCCAAACTCCAATCCCTTAATCCTCTTATTCACACAACCTGCTTCTTCAGATTTTGGAACTTGAGCTATTTAAGATTCAGTAGGTCACTTTCTCTGATGCCTGATATACTGATGATGGTGCTTAGCAACCTCTAATGATTTTATTGCTGCTTGGCCAATCCTAGGTTTACTCATCAAGTATCCTAGTTCTTTAACTGGACTCAGCATACCAAGCCAACATTCAGGTATTTATCGTTGACATTTGCTGGTGAGCAATGATATCGTCTCCACCCAGACAGGGTTCAGAGCCCCCAGAGATCACAGTTGGCCCCAGTTTCTGTGCAGGAGCACGGTCAAGCCAATCAATGTGAGGTACATCTGTGAGAAACCCCACTATATGGACAAGCCTACAGGCAAACCAGAGAAAACCCTCTCTCCAGCATCCAGCCCTTAGTTCCAGGTGTCATATAACTGGCCTGGAATGGTCCTTACATTTTCTCTGGGCTCATTACTAGAGGCATTAGAGACAATAAAGTCTCTTTATTTAGGAAAACTCTTTCTCAAAAGCTCTTCTCTACTGGGAGTGAGTCTGGCATTCAGAGGTTACCCTAGAAAACTTCAGCCTACATTTTATTGAAGGAACCATGATTTCAGACATGAGTCACTGAGAAGAGTCAGTTTTATAGGATTTAGTCTCCCTAATACAGACAGTTGGTGAAAATGGCCAAACTTAGTTATACACTTAGTGTGCATAAAATGGCCAGAAAAAAACCTATGGCAAAACTTTTCTGTATGAGTTATCTTTCCTTCCCAGTAAGCAAGACAGAAATGTAATAATTGTGTATCAAGTATAGTAGCATAGTGGAAAGAGAATCACCCTGGTAGTCTAGAGACCAGAGTTCTAGGCATCTCCTGCCACTTGACACTGATATAAGTATGTATAAATTTATTCACATATAAGACACAGTTCTGGAATATTTCCAAGATAATCAAAATGCAAGGAGCCCTGGCCATGTAGCAAACCAGGAGTTCCTATCTGGCAGCATAGAGTGAACCAAGACAGGCGAGGTAGTAGCTGGGACATTCTATACCCAGTCGACTGAGATAGTAAATGCAAGGCCAGATCAAGCCAGTGTGAATATCTAAAAGTTATTATCAGAGAGTGAGACACAGTAGCACCTTTTCTAGGGGAAAGTGGTTTTCAACATCTAGCTGTACCTGAGTTGTCACTCGAAGAGGATGATGGACAAAGTAGTAGAAGTAGGACCAGGCCTAGCCCACTGGCTGGCAGGGCCTAAGGAAAGAGGAAAGAGCATGGCCCAGCTGATAGGGGTGGAAGACAAGCTGGCCTCTAGTTCCAGAGAGGATTGACTAAGGGAACCAGAGCCAAGGAACCAACCCAGGTCACAGCCAGATTAGAAAGCAAGTCACCCTTGGAGGGTGATAGGTAGAGAGGCTGAGGCCTGCCTGCTTCCTATGTGTTGTTAGAGAACACCAGTTGCTGTATCCCCACTGGACACCCACTGTGCTAGGCAGTAGCACCAGCACACCCCATTCCTTTGTTGTAATAACTCTCAGAGGTAGCCTTTGCCATACACACTAGAGGAAAACAATTAGCAAGTATAACATTTCCCAAAAAATGTTCCATGGACTAAGAGCTCTAAGGCTAAATAGATAGCTTGGGAAATGTATGCTTTAGCCTTTCCTTTATACTTTTAGAGAATCACAGTGTACATTAAAAGCTCTAAGATGTCCCGTGTTAAAGAAATCATTTTTCATTAGCCCAGAATTTCCAATAAAACCACCTCTCTACCACCCCAACAAATAGGCACACATACTTGTTCTTTCAGAAACATTTACATCTTTCTGACCTAGTGTTTTAAGGAATAGACTCTGAAAATGTATGAGAAACGTGTGTGCTTTGTAATACAAAGCATTAAACAAGTGTAAATCTAAGTACCGTGGTCGATTTATGCTGATGGAAATGAGGAAAGTGGTGGTATTAGAAGCCATGAATGAAGCAGCCGCTCTTGAGCGTCTGATTCGGTGTACATCCACCAAGACATTCATCTTGTGTAGCTGAACATCTAAATTTCTGGCATGATACAGACCACAGATGGGGGATATATTTGGGTTTATAAAAAATATACAAAATGAATGAATGAATGGGAAAAAGTAGAAACAATATCATATTCCATCCGTGTAGAATAAATTTTATTTGGGCGGGGGGACAATAAACTCCTCCCGTACTACACTCAAAGAGTGGTACAGTTGTACCAGAATGGGTCTCCCATCATAATCATGTGTTCACAGAGTTCTCTGCCAGCCCCTTCCAAGCTGACAATGCCTCCTTACAGGGACTCACTGATTTTCTCCTTTCTATCCATCTCCAAATCAGTAACTGCTCTGGGGCTATTGCCTCTGCAGGAGACTTAGCTCCTAGGCAGCTGGGTGTATGCATTTGCTGGGGTGAAGGAGGAGGGAAGGTGGTCTCAAAGGAAATTCTGGATTAAAAAATAAATAAATAAAAAGGTTGTTTTAATAAGGAGCTTCTCAGAGCCTTTAATGTGCTAATGTGCACTGTGGTTTTCTAAGAACTGGCTGAGGAGGACAGGACATACTGTATAGAATCTTCTAAGCTATATATTTTTCCATAAAATTCTTTGTCCATGAAGCATTTGTTGTGGGTGGGGGGAGCTGCACTGGCTTCTTTAACTTTCCTTAGTGTGCTTAGCCATAGCTACCTCTAAGGGTTATTTTAAGGAATGAATGAGACAATGGGAATGATATTGCCCAGCACAATCATACATAGCACAGTGTCAACAAATAACGTTCCTTAATAACTTGCAGGTATTGGGAGGCATTATTATCCCCATTTTGTGAGTGGGGAAACTGAGGTTCACAAGAGTTCAGTGACATGACTTCCTTCAGTAAACAGCCAGGCTTAGGGCTTCTGCCTCCAAATCCTAAAAGCATTCTCCTTGCCACTCCATGTGGCTCCGAGCAGCTTTTACCTGGTAACTATATCGTTACCTTTCAGGATGTCACATCCACCCAGAAATCGACTTCCCGTGAAGCACTCTGAGTAAAGCCAGTGGGAGCCTCGCGTCTGTGGATTCTATTCTTTTGAAGGCGTGTGATCAGCAGACATATGCTGTCCAATGCTTCCCACACATGCCACTTCTGAGCTGGCCTATCACTGGGGGCCTGTGCAGTGTGGTCTGTTTGAGGCCAATAATCATATCACCATTGTAATGAGTGGCAAATCCTATGTAATTTACACATTAAAAGGAGGCTGAGATGCATGGAAAAACCCAGCCCCCATTTGTCTAATGAAATTAAAGCTCTTAGCCAAATACTGGTACTGAAAAGAGATGTTTGGGAAGGGCTCTCCCACCCCTGCCTCTGAAGAAGAGGGTGAGTGTTCTTTATTCATGATCCTGCCTCTACCTAAATCACTTCCACAATGGGACCTCTAAACCAAGGGGCCCTGTCTGGGAGCATGATTTACGCATAGCTGAGACCGGGCAAGGCTTACAAAGGCATTATGACTAGTTATTTTCAATGACAATTGAAGGAAAAAATAAAGCAGCAAAGATATTCTGTGTTTTGGAAGGCGAAGCACTAAACTGCCCTCTGCCTCCTCCACCAACTGACACAAAAGAAGGTTTTGAGCCATACCTGATAAAGCAATTATTTTAAGATATTTTCATATTCAGTGGTAACTGGACAGTATCATGAAACGAGTATGAATGATACGGCCCTTGGAGCAACTGGGCTGAGCATAAGCTCTGGAATAACCATTGGTCCCATGATAAGGTAAGAAGAGGTGATAGGCTCTTGCCTTCAATGGCTGCCCGAATACTTATGCGTTCCTCCTTGGCTTTGAAACTGCCTGAAGTCATGTTGAGTGAGATAAACCAAAACACGCCAAATATAATTGGATTTAAGTGTGAAAATCAAGAATCTACCATGATTAAGCTGGTTAGCATACAGGATGCTCTTGTTTCATCCATGAATGGCAAATACATAGACATACTGTGAAGTATTTGGGTCTAAGAATATGAGTGGAGGCATTGAGGCAATAATCCGTGTATAGGAATAGCCAGAGCATATAGAAAAATAACTAACAGCCTTTATCCCTGGGTTAAACAACTCCTCAAAGGCAAGCACATTTGAAAAATATAATGCAGTGTGCACACACGTACTCACACCCACACCCCTGAACCAGAAAAAGAAGGGTGTGTTGAGAAGTATCTTTGTCCATTTTCCTTACACTGTGTAAAACTTTGCACAACCCAGTCACTGCCTGATTTCAACCTCATTTCCTACCAGTCTCCCTCGCTCTCTCCTTATTCACTGGCCGCATCTTTCTTTTTCTTCCTCAGTCACATGGAATTCATTTTTCTGTTTCGAGGCATTCTCTGCTTGTAATAGTCCTCCCCAAGATTTTCACACAACTAGCTCTTTCCCATCTAACAAGATTCTTGTGGGTTCTAAGCACATCAGATCAAACCTATTAAAATATACTCACATTGCATATTGAGTAGAATTTATATAAAATGATAACAGTTGAGTTGCAGTTGATTAGTTACAATTGACATTTTGTATGCATTTAAATAAATATTGTTGGTTTCAATTTTGCTGTATTCTTTTCATAAATTAATGCCAGTAATATTTTTCCAGGCCTGAAACACTTTCCCAGGTGCTGAAAAACTCTTAGTCACAGGCATTATGCTTATAATTCCTAGTAGATAAAATAGTCCTGCTTTCATCATTCCAGTTCTGGTCAAATGTCATCAGTTGCTCAGAAAAGGTATTTTCTAATTATCTGTTACAAAACACACACACACACACACACACACACACACACAAAGAAAACCGCTCATTCCATGCTCAATCACTCTTTACCATCACTTTATCTCTTTCCTGCTGTTCGTCATTCATTCAACTGATATTTATAGAATGCCTACTATATGTCGGCTCATTCATTCATTCAACTGATATTTATTGAATGTCTACTATGCTAGGTCATTCATTTATTCAACTGATATCTATTGACTGTCTTCTGTACGCCAGGCACTCTTCTAGGCAATGAGGATGCGATAGTGAAAAAAAGTTATTTGTGTCTCTGTTCTCACTAAGTTTACCTTCTAGCAGCAGGAAACTCATGGTAAACATTCAATACCGGATAGCTTCAGATTATGAAAAGTATTTTTTTAAAAATAATGGTAGGCAATAACAGCATGCAGTGAGTGGTTATTTTGGACAGAGTCCAAATTTAGTAACAAAAGCTTTTAAGTATAAATTAGATGCCTTGATGCAGATCATGGGACAGAAGAATTTGGAATTCACCCATGAAGCTCCAGATGAGAGAAGTGTGTATCACCAGCCCTGAGGAAGAGAAACAGGAGACCCATATGAGAGCCTATCATGGCAACTCATTTTTACATTCAACTTACATGCAACTCTCATTATACAGCCTGAGCTTTAATCACTCTCAAGAAATCATTTCGTCCTTCTAAAATCTTTGAACAACATCTCCTGGTGTTATGATAGACAGAGAGATACCTAGGCCAAATTAATCTTATGAAATTGTGAGTTATGATTCTTGAATCCAGAATAGTTCAACTCAGCCATTGCATAACGCTGACTTACATAGTTTGTGTGTGATATGTTAGTTATCTTCACTGATTTTCTCAGGAACTTCATGATGTAAGTAAGAAATATATTATCCCTGTTTTGTGATGAAGAAACAGATACTCAGAGAGATTACTTACCTATTTTAGATAGGCTTAGTTGGACTCATGGTACAGTAGAAAGCAACTCCTAAAGAAAGAAACAAATTTTGTTTCTCTATCACACAAAGTTCACCGCAGGTTAGCTACCTTCCAAGGCAGTTGTTTTCCTTGCAGAGTGTGTGATGGTTAATTTTGTGTCAACTTGACTGGATTAAGTCAACTTGATGCAGATAGCTGGTAGAAATTATTTCTAAGCGTTATCTTTGGGGGTGTTTCTGGAAGAGATTAGTATTTGAATAAGCAGACCCAATAAAGAAAAGAAGATCCAAACTCTCTCTCCACCCCCCCTCTCTCTCTCTCTCACTCTCTCTCGAGCTGGGACATCCATCTTCTCTTGCCCTCAGACATGGGAGCTCCTGTCTCTTAGCTTTTGGACTCCAGACTTACACCAGCAGCCCCAACCTGGTTCTCAGGACTTCAGCTGTGGACTGGGACTTACACTGTCAGCTCCCCTGGTTCTAAGGTCTTCGGTTGGAATTACACCACTGGCTTTCCTGGTTCTCCAGCTTGCAGACAACATCATAAAACTTCTTGGCTTCTATAATTATGTGAGCCAATCCCCATGTTAAATCTCTTATTTTATGTCATCTTTTATATCCTCTTGGTTGTGTTTCTCTGAAGAACCCTGACTAATACACAGGGACTCAGCAATCCAGGCTGTTTCTATCTTATGGCTCTACCACCCCAACATGAGGCCTCCTTGTGGGCAAGAGAGGACTGAAGTAGTACATAGGAAATTTACTGGCTTAGCCCAGAAGTGACACACATAATTTCTACACACAATTCATTGTCCAGGACTACTCATACAGCCCTATTTAAATGCAAGGGATTTGGGAAGTATAGCTGTCCATGTTCCCAAGAAGAAAAGATCTGAAATGAAATTTGCCTCTGCCACAGTGCCCAAAATCAAATAACAAAGAAAATTTAAAAACTAAGATGTACTTCAACCTGATGTCAACCCCAGTACTTTTCTGTGTGTGTGTAAATAGAATCAGGGTCTATTTATGTTGCCTAGACTAGTCTTCAACTCCTTGCCTCAAGTGAATCCTCCTGCCCTGGACTCCCTAAGTGCTGAAATTACTGACTTGATGTCACGCCTGACCAAGCCCAGTACTCTTTTCATGATTCTATCTAAGCTAGAAGGTAAGGATTAATTTTGTTTGTTCTTATTTCCAGGGCCCAGGCCAGAATATCACTGACATATGGAAGATGTTCAAACAGGGAGAGAGGGAGAGAGGCAGAGAGGGACAGAGAAGGAAGGAGGGAAGGAAGGAAGGGAGGGAGGGAGGGAGGGAGGGAGGAAGGAAGGAAGGAAGGAAGGAAGGGAGGGAGGGAGGGAGGGAGGGAGGGAGGGAGGGAGGGAGGGAAGGAAGGGAGGGAGGGAGGGAGGGAGGGAGGGAGGAAGGAAGGAAGGGAAGGAGGGAGGGAGGTGAGAGAAAGGGAGGAAGTTATTACTTCTTAACTTCAAGATTGATTGATTCTTTAATGCACAGTAAAGGATAGATATAATAGAGTCATTAGTTTCCATCCACACAGTGTCTTTTGGCATTATTAAAATGAAAAAGTGAAAATGTAAAGACCAGTGTAGCCATCTTCTAGTCTTTAACCCTATACATACTACAAATATCTTTATCTATGAAAGAGGAAAGAAGATTCAGAAAAGTTTACATGGTTCTCATGAAGAGGAAATAGAGACAAAAAGGAATCCATTTGGAACTAGATTGGTGTGTATAATTTGCCATGAGTTCTTTGGCAGAGGTGATATGCAAAGTAAATGCTACAGCAAAATTATTGAATAATAAGAGTACTGTATTTCTTTCTCCCTACACAATTTACAGTAGAATCAAAGCAGCATGCTTTACACAGCGCTTACAGGAAAAGCAAGACAGAGACAAGCAGAAATAAATTAAGTATCTGCCATTGATTGTCATGGATAGCACCAGCTTATTGAGCTAAAACTTTATTAGTGTGCTATAGTTGGGATGATGATGGTCTTTTTATTGTTTTTGTGGTAACTCTTTATTTTAAGTATCTTATCATTATGAATTCATTTAGTATTGATTCCAATAGCACTGATCATAAAGAATTAATTTGGCATTACCATGGATGTCATATGCACTTACACAAGACTTCAGCTGTGTTCAAAATTAATTAATATGGTAAAGTGTTATTGCTTTTGCAATTTTGCAATTCTTATAATGTAGCTAAGGTATTTTTTTTCTAGCAGGTGGATCCTAGCAGAAAATCTATGCAGGCATTCTCCTTTGGAGGGGAATTTCATTTAGTGATAAACAGGAAATTTCCTCTTGTTTAAAAAAACATTATTTTCATGTCAAAACATTTGGGATTCTAGTCCCAGGATTCAGGGTTATGGAAAACCAAAAGCCTTGAGTCCTGGAAAATGATCTTGTGTACTGGGTGTTCTCACTTGCTTGGCACAGCTGGGATGAGCTGCATAATTGAGAGTTCATCTTCCTCAACATCTTCTGTCTCTCACCAAGAATGATTTGTCCCTGTTAGAGCAAAAGGCCTCCAGCAAAGGAACTCCATTTACTTATAATGATATGGAATTACCAGAAGGTACAATTCAGGACACACTTCCAGCAAGTTGAGATTGTTCAACATAGGCATTAGTGGGAATCCAGCAAGAAGAATCGGGGTCTAAATCAAATGGCACGTGTCTGGAATGCCCGTCTGTCGTCTTTAGTTAAAATCCACTCCGCCATCCCCTGCTGCTGCTGCCATTCTGCCCTACACGGGGGCATGCATAGACACATTGGGCTATCATGCTGTAGATAGATAGCTGATCCTACACATATGTGGATTAGGGTATTTCTCAAGGGATGCTACAAAAAACACCAGTGTCTAAATGTCCTCCCTTGATCCCCAGTATAGAGAAAATCTTTGCAGCTTCTCACCATTCCTATTATAAGATGCAAATGTTATGTAGTTGCAATAGAATAATTCATTAATTCACCAGGGATTCATCGTTAGGCAATCCGACACATAGAATTGCTCTGACTGAATAAAATATTGGAGCTTTAATAGAGAGGTGGGTTCTAAGGGACAATCTGGAACCTGGGATTGCCCAATGCCAGTATGGGAGGTTCCAGAATCCCAGGAACCATGGCAGTGACTGACAGGAGGCAGAAGAGCACATAGAACTGAAATGGAATCTGGAAAAAAAAAACAATTGACAAAGAACAGTGGAAGATCAGCCAAAGAAGCAGGCCAGAGACCAGCTAAGGCGGGTTAGCCCAGGTGGAGTCAACGAAGAGTAGCTGGGTGCTAGGAAATTCACAGGACCCTGACAACAACCGACAGCTACCTATTCTTAGTGGCGATTCTTACCAAAAATGAAATTAGAATACAAAGTAGAAGGTTGGCAGCAAAAATTGATAGGCCTTTGCCTTCTAATGACTTAGCTAGTATCTAGGCAGGCAGGAAGGCCCCTGGTCAGAGCCCAGAGCCAGGTCAGCAGATATGGGCAAGGCAAGATGGTCAGAAACTCATAGTTGAGCTGTTTGTGTCATCCCCAAAATAAGGCGCCCTGTCATGAAGTGAGCTGTGGATATCAGATATAAAGAGACCAGTTCCAGAGTGGTCAGGGATTTCTGGGCTATTATACAGAAATTTTTCTTAGGATACCTAAATTTGCTTTATTAAAAGCACCTTTAGAAATATTAAAAGTCAGTTTCCTCATGTCAAATACATACCACTTGTAGTTTTAAAGGTATCCCTCAAGGAAACCCAGGCTCAGAGTCAAAGCCACTTTCAGACAGCTCCTCCAAGCTGTCATCCCTCTGTCCTAACTTCCACTGTGCTTTGCCCTGGGGAAGTCATAAAAATAGCGAGAAGGAACAGCATTCACTGGCCAAACCCTTTTTTACGGTTGTGTGGAAATGCTATTATCACCCTTGTCTTAAGTAGTAAATACCAGAAATTTTTTAGTTGGTATAACAACAAAGATGTTCTACTGTTTCTGTCTGATACCAAAAGGGTATCTAAAAGTCTATTCTTATCTTTCTAATTACTGATATTTTCTTTGTGACAGTTAATAACACGCTGGAAATCAGATCATACAGCTGCAGAACAGAAAAATCTAAAGTCCAGAATTTGCCTGTCCCACCAATTGGTTAAAGACTTCAGAAAAAGAGAAGACTGAAGCTCACTGAAGTAATTTGGTTCTTAATACCTGAAATTAGCCTGTTCCTTGATTATAGGTGTTTCAGGGTGTCTTCAGTGTCAGCGACACTCCACTTGCTGACAAACACAAGTTCAGCAGCTCGCAGCGCCAGTGGGAGAATATGCATTCACCCTTTAAAATGAGTAGAGGATGTCAGGGAGGTAAGAGGGTATTCTTTATTTGTGCTATGGGAAGCAATAATGGAGATTTACAGTTCTCCAATATAGCATAGGATTTCCCAGAATGCTGACTAACTGAACCACTTGGAGGTTTATTGATGTAATGCCATATTGAAAACACAGGTTTATTAATAAATAGCTTCATGAGAGTGGAAGAAGCAAAAGCAGGTAGCAAATGACTAGCTGGCCTGCAAAACAGGAAGACCATGTGAAAAAGCATGTGGCTTGAGGCATGGGACCAGGAGATTAACTGTAGGGATCACCTAAGAAACTTAAGCATTCAGGGAAAACATTCAAGTGGAATCTATGCGAACAGAGCCTTTTCCTTCTGTTTGCAGGTTTTAATAGCCACAAATGTCTAGCATTTCCCTCCCTTAGGAAGACAATATCAGAGTGCTGGCACCGATTTCTCAAAATTATACTGGCAAAAGATAAACAAAGCTTAAGATATAGAAATATATTTTACACCAAAAAAAAGGAAAAAAGAAAAACACACTGAAACCAAATCCTCATATTTCTTGGCTCACAGTAGCAGGCTGACTAGTTACCCAAAATGAGCTTACTGCAAAATCACTCTGTTCTCACCACAGGCACAATTTACCAACTGGGTGCAGCAGACACCAGGCTGGCTCCTGAACTTCTCTCCTCCAATTAAGCTGCACAACCTGTTACCATTTTACCAATGGATTCTATTCACTTAGGTTCTGCATAACTTGCCAAGTGCTCACTCTGTGGAATTCCCAGCAAAGAGAAAGGAACAATTGGGGGAAATTTTTGTTAACATCCTTTCTTTTAACTTTCCATAGCAGAGGGGAATGCATCAACATGGAGCAGATGCGCTGAGACCAAATGCTCTCTTTCTCATGATTACAGTTGGTTATACCTGTGGATAGGCAAGCTAATTCCACTGCAAATGTGCAAGAGAGGGTAGTACTAACGTACAATGTGGGGTCCTGGAGGCTTTGTTCCCACGTAATACGGTGCTTCGTTTCACAAGACCTGGCACACAGAGAAGAACACTGAAGCAGACAGCCTCGTGCAGTTGAAACCGTGGTCTCTCTGTACTGCTTAGAGAATGCCCTGGTTCTCAGCATTGTTGACACAAATATCGTGGAATGTCTTTGTTGGAGTTGGAAAGTAATAATTCTTTCTGCTTAGTGTGTTCAGTGACTCCTTACCCTATTGTTTTCTGCCACTTGAAAATGCCCGAGGATGTCATTATAACTACATGTATCAATATTAAACCTTTACAAACGGTTGACTAAATGAGCATTATTATCTTTGTTTCTGAAAGGAGTGTACCTTTTTACTTCATTTATCAGTAACTAGGTGTAGTCGATTGCACTCTGGTATTGATCCCAATATCTATACCCGTCACAGACTACCTTTCCTCAAGGTCATTGCGAGGTCAGGTTATGATCAATATGAATTGACTGTCTGCAAATAAATTTATATAGCTGACATAATTGCAAGTAATACCTTTTTCAAATTAAGGTGGACCATTTTATGAAGCATATGTGTTTGAAACATTAGCTGCAACATCATCCAACTCTGCATAATGAACCAATCTCACTAGAATTTACAAGTCCTCTTTGTGTAACCGAAAGCTGTGTAAGCTCCCCGATAACCATTTCTAAATAACACCTGCAGAATTTCAAGCTTCGGGTTTAGCGTAGATGCTAATTATGTTTTCCAAGCAATGGCATTTTCCTATGTAGCCCTTACATGCAATTTTATTTCCAATTTTCAAGTCTCATTTCTATCAATGCTGTTTCAAAGTTCAGGGTGGAATGTTTAGTCAACCTAATCAGAGGGCCACATTTGGTAAAACCAACTTTCTTCAGTAGAAACAACAATTATCAAATGCAGAGCGGTTTCCAGTGCCATCTCTATCTCTGTACCATGGGCCCCTCACACTGCAGGGAGATGCACTTGTGATCAGCTTGCTAGCCACTGGATGTCACTGACGCTTACATAAATGGAGCTTAAGGGGCATTTATCTGACTGTAAAAATCATGACTTCAGTAGAAAGCAGTTTAGCTAAAAACATTTCACTCAGGCAATTTCTAATTTCAGAAAAATAGGCTCATAAAGCTCACAAAGGCGATACCCAACTTCAAGCGTGATTAGTTTCAGTTGTTTGTTTCAGCTTTAACTGGGATATGAATAAACAGCAAGTTTTAGGGGTGCATTCCATTTTGACAGCAGCTGCCAGTCTGCTTTTAAAGGGACACTACCCAATCAGGTTTGCGATGTCCTGAAATGCTTATCGGCAAGTTCAAATCATAAAACAATAACGTAGAATATCTTTTTAATTCTACAATTATTCTTTTTTGTTTAACAGCATTTAACTGTTTTCATGAAAACATACTCTTAACCAAAAAAATCCAAGGTTATTTCAAGCACTTAACATGCATTTCTTTTGGTACAAATAATTCGGATTCAGATTTTAAATAAGAAGTGGGACTTTGTATAGCATAATTAATGATGACAAGTGTCAGAAAAACATCATTGAATGTACTGTAAAATGGCTTCCACCATAAAATTCATTCTCAAATCAGATTATGGCAGAAGAATATAATTTTCCTTGACAATTTCATGAATTCTTTTTCCAGGACTTATCAGGGAAGCCAATCAGACCTATCAGTAGATAGTGCAGTGTAAATATGAAAAGATGCAATAGATTGGAAAGTTCAAACAAAATGAGGATTTATCTTTTGTCTTGAATATAGACACAAAGCAAATGTAGTATGTGAGTGGCTTGGAGAAAAGGCACTATATAAGAGCAAAGAATTATGACAAATGACATTGCAACAGACATGCTGCCATCCCAGAGCTTGAGCCATTTGAGAAGCTATTTTGAATTAATAACGCATGCCATCGTGATTACATTTGCTTAGCAGAAACATTTTAAGAAATAACAGTCTGCAAAAGGAAACTGAAACAATGGTTCTCTATCCTGATATAACATACAATTGCCATGCTTCTTCAGAGAGAAAAGGTTCAAAATTCTTAGTAACCAAAGCCCATACCTATTCTTGTTTTTAAGTGACTATATATTCGTATATGCAGCAAAATCAACTTAATATGCCCCCCGAAATAAAGTATTATATGACTGGAAATATACATTTATGGGAACTAGATCCACCACTGGTATCTTACATTGTTAGAATTGAAGTTGCTATAGGGGAAGTGAAGTAATTAAATTCAATCAACTTTTTGTACAAGTTACCAAGAGAAGGCTAAAGCTGCAATCCTACCCAATCCATCATTCCCCTTCTCTCTTCCCAAAAAAGCCAAAATCATGAAAATGCATTATGTGCATTTGGGAAATGTTATCTGTTGCTAACTTGATTAAAAAGCAAAGCTCTCCACTCAAATAATGAAGGCCAAGCAAATATGACGCAAATTGCTCACAGTTCAGGTAGCTGGGAACACCTGGAATCCCACCTTTAGGCAATTTGGTGCTTGGCAAAAGACAGAAGGTAACATTGTAGGGAGTTCCCTCACTCTCTCTTAAACTATATTTCCACCTTAAATAAATTAAAGCATGCAGCAGCAGTAGGTAAGGTGGTCAATGCAATTAAATTCAAAACCTGAATGTATTGAACTTTCTGCAATTATACATGGGTCATCTCTGGACAATATGTTGGCCATCTGGTAGCATCTGTGCCGTTCCCTCTAATAGAGTTCCTGCTGTGGCTCGAGGCCATGGCAGGCAGCGCTAAGCAGGTCACATGTTGTGTCTTTCAGCCATATTTAGGTCACAATTTGGGGTGGGAGGAGGCAGGAATTATCTTTTTGTACAAAGGCAATAAAAATGAATAATCCCTTGTAGGTATCTTGTGTTTTGTTAAATAGATAGGGGGTAAATTTTACAGTTTCATTCCATGCTTCCCAAGTTGTACAAAAGATAAAGAAAAATATCATATGCTGAATACTAAATGTTTGTCTGTAAGTTTCCTTTTCCCAAAAAAAGAAATGTATCTTTTTAAATAGTGGTATATCTGTTGTTGCTGTGGTTGTTTTTGTTGTTGTTTTAACCAAAGGGAGGGATGGAAGAGGAAATTGGAAATCTATTAATTAGACTTTAGATACTGGAGGGTCCTGAAGAGCCTAGAAAGCTGGGTATATTATAGAAAAGTTTTTTGGGGAGAGGGGAGGTGATCAAAATATCAAAAATATATAAAAATATATCTGCTTGTCTTTCAAATAGGGGTCATTGCAAAGTATATACACATATTTTACCTTCCTCTAGATAGCTATTGAAAGCTTACATCCTTATATTAGTTGACTCACAAAATATTAAAACTGATATATGCAAGCCTTAAATGTGTACAAAAAATTCAGCAACACTGAGACAGAATGCTTTTTTTCCAAAGTAAAATCATTCTAGACATATGAATATAAAACTACAAGTCCTATTCCTTGTGACATCAGTATAAAGTTTCAACCTGGCATATTTACTGATTATCCCCACAAAAAACAATTACAACGAGGCACATTTTAAAAGTGTGAACCTTACATGTATTATCCAAGTTTGCTTGATATAGATTTTAAAATGCAATATGGACAAGACTCAAGTACGACATAAGCAATTCCAGTTTGACATCAATTAGTGAGTAGCTTTTACTCTTATAGACATATTTATAATGGAAAGGAGTGCATTTAGACTTTAAGGTCCTGCCAACTAATCAATTTGATGAACTAATTGATAATAAATGTTAATTGACAACTAACAGCAGTCAATTAATTGCATTTCAAATGCAGCTCCAGGAAGCTGAGTTGAACATTATTCTACCTCAAGCTACTCAAATAATAGCTCAGCAATGACTTTGCAACAGGCTATAAAGGTCAAAATGGGCTAGCCTTTTCCTTATTATGGGATCAAGGATCCCAGGGCATTGGTTTACAAAAACAGCAGCAGCTCATGACCAAGTCTCCTCTGACTGCGTCAGTCCTGAGTCTCGTTCTGTGAGACTGTTTGCCGGCTTCATAAAGATCTCCTGTGGCATTCCCTTTGGGTTACGATGTGGAAAGTCAGCACTGAGCTCCAAAGAACAGTTGGTTCTGCCGGTTACATAAACTTCGTCTATGACAGAACCACTTAACTAAAAGCTAAACCTAGATTTTTAGGATGGTTCTGTTTAGTTATGAAATTTCCACATTCAAATATGATTCTCTCTACTGTGTCTTTGTAGCAAGAAGGCTATGCCCCACTTCCTAGATTTTTCGTAATGAAAGCCAATGAACAAGTGAAAGGTAAAACTAGTGAATCTGGCACAAACCAGTCCTAAAAGTGTTGTCTGTTAGAATTCAAGTGTTCTTGATTTTAGTTAGTTGATTCATAGTTGAAGAAAAAAAAAAACCTCACAGCGTAATTCAAAAGCTATGCCTGTATTCTCAAAATGAAACTCATTTGTATTCCTACCCACTTGAGGGTCTTTGCACTTTCCGTTCACTTTGCCTGCAATGTTCTTTCCTAGATGATCGCATGGGTCACTCCTTTAGTTCATTCAGACCTCTGCTCAAATGTTACCTCCTCAAAGAGGTCCACCCTGGCCATTCTACCCCGAACCCACATACCCATGATAGTTAACTTTAGGCGTCAACTTGACTGGATTAAAGAATACCTAAAGAACTGGTCAAGCATTATTTCTGGGTGTGTCTGTGAAGGTGTTTCCAAAGGAGATTGGTGTATGACTCAAAGGACTGAGTAGGGAAGATCATCTCAATGGGACTGGGCACCATCTGATAGGCTAAGGGCCCAGATAGGGGGAAAAAAAGGCAAAGAAAGGCAATTTCCTTTCTCTCTGCTGGAGCTGGGATATTATTCTTTTGCCCTTGAACAGCAGAACTCCAGGCTCTCCAGCCTTTGGACTCCAGGACTTACGCTTTTGGCTCCCCTGGTTCTGAGGCTTTCAGGCTTGGACTGAACCGCACTATGGGCATCCCATTGTCTGAAGCTTGCAGGCAGTCTGGGGTGGAACTTCTCAGCCACCATAGTCAAATGAGCCAATTCCTGTCATCTCTTCCTATCTCTCTCTCTCTCTCTCTCTCCCTCTCTCTCTCTCCCTCTCTCTCCAGTCTCTCTCTCTCTCTCTCTCTCTCTCTATATATATATATATATATATATATATATATATAGAGAGAGAGAGAGAGAGAGAGAGAGAGAGAGAGACTGGAGAGAGAGAGAGATATCCTATTGGTTCTGTCTCTCTGGAGAACCCTGACTAATATACAGAACCCTGACTAATATACACCAACCCAATTGTTCACTCTCTATTCTCTTCTATTTCTTATATCTCTTCATTTGTCCTCACAGCTCATACCACTACCTGGCATTCCAGATTCCCTTGTTTATTTGTCATTGATCTCCTTCACTTTAATGTAAGCTCCATGAGAGAGGGACATGGGACTATTTAATGAGCATCCCTACTGCCTAACCAGTGGCCATAGTGGGTCCCATTAATAGCTATTGAATGAATGAAATCATTCCAGAAACCATTCCAAGTGAACTGCTATGTCTCATCACTCCTGGTTCAAAGCAAACATCTAGGAAAAGCAGTATGGTGGAATGGAAAGAAAATTGGAAAGTGAGTGAGAAAATCCAACTCCAGCCTCAGCTGCATGATGCATGTCACTTTGGAAAAATAACTCCAACTCCCTGGGATTCAGTTTCCTCATTATCAAATGAGGGTCTTTGACAAGACGATTTTTAAAAATTCCTTCTCACTCTAAGATGTCTATGTTTTTGTTATTAATTTGTCCTATTTGAAATAAAACAGTTCTTCATTGTTCTTTTCTGGCTGTGTTCTCCTTTGGAAAAAAAAATAAAAATACAATAGAATCATGTGTGTTTCATAAAAGATTGTTACCTCAGAAGACTTTATGGAGTTAGAAAATGTCACTATAAAGTTAAATAAATGGCAGCCAAGGGAGAAACAAGTAGGGAGAGGCTAGAGATTTTAAATGAAATTTCAAGTGAGATGTGAGATTTGAGGAGACAGCTGGACCAAAGAAGACCTCTGACAAGGATGAGGGGAATTGGGGGTCAAAGTACTGACAGGGGAAAATATAAAGGTAAAATGGGCAAAATATTGGAGAACTTCTTAAAATTTTGGATTTCAAGCAACTCAATGTCAAGAAGTGGTTTAATTTTAAGTAAAGGGAAACAACCATAATTCTGAAAGAGATGGTGAAATGGTCCCCTGTGGGAGTGTGGGGTGAACTGCAGAGGTGACGTGAGTGGTGTGAACAATAATCCCACATTCTCAGACAACTGTGAGCTCTTCCAGTGCATCAGAGAATAAATAAATGTAGCTGAAATCAAAGCTTCTGGCTCTGATGACATGGATTTTTATGTCCTTGTTGCTCTTTCTTGGATCAGACCCAAGCCAAACTCCCTAAATCCCTAATATTCTGACCAGAAAAGATGTGGTGCCTTTCAAAAATGACTATGAGGTATAAAACTCACATTCTTCCCCAAAACAGGTTAATCAAAAAGCTTAAACTTACTTGCCTTAGAAGGCTGTTCCCTCAGCTCTTCCCAAATTTTCTTTACCAGTTTCCTTCACTTGCTTTCATCTGTGTTTTTGTTTTTGAGAAAAAAAAAAAAAAAAAAAAAAACATTGTGAGAGAAGCTGGTATAGTGACCAAAAGTCCTGCTTTCATTTCTTCTGAATGTTGAAATGATACACAGATACCCTGGGGTAAGGTGGGAAATCCTGTTCCCCATGGGATAGAGCCATAAACTCATGGAATGTCATTGTCATGGACAAATTCAGATATTATTTCAATAAACTCCTTTGAGCAACCTAATCTATGAGTTTATTAAAAGACCCTCAGGTTTATTTGGTGGACTATAAATAATCTATATGCTCTTTCAAACAAAAACATTCAAATGGCACAGCAAAGGCATTAAGTTTTCCCATCAAGTACATTAGGAGTGGATCCGTTTGCTGCCAGTGCAGCCTCCTGATACGTTAGCAGGGGCTGGATCAGGTCCTAATGGAGCTCTAAGAGAACAACAACTGCATCTGGATTTCCCACAGCCTCTGAATTAGTGGAGGGTGCACCAAGGTTCAGAAGCACACAAATAAGCTGAGGCTATTTCTTTTCACCTCATCAAAGGGAGCAAGTGAATTTCATTTGCTCCTCCTTCATGCTCCTCCACAGAACTCTTCCTGACCTTCTCAAGTTCCATTTGCTATTGAACAACTTGGGTTTTCTTCCAGTCTCTACTTCAGCTCTACCCACCCCCCTCACTCTCTCTCTTGCTCCCTGTTTCCCTCTGTCATTCTCTCTCTGCATCCTCCTTCCCTCTTTTCTCACTCACACACACCTTTAGATTCTAGCGAATTGAATAATTATTAGGCCAAGTGCGGTGGGCCCAGGCCAGCACTTTGGGAGGCAGCGGTGGGAGGATTTCTTGAGGCCAGGAGTTCGAGACCAGCCTGAGCAACATAGCAAAACCCCATTTCTACCAAAAAAAAATAAATAAATAAAAATTAGCCAGGTGTGATGTCTGGAACATACCTCTAGCCCTAGCTATCTGGGAGGCTCCTGTAAACCCAGGAGTTCAAGGCTGAGAGCTATGATAGTACCACTGCACTCCAGCCTGGGCAATTCAGTGAGATTCTGTCTCTAAAACAATAATAATAATAAAAATCAATAAAATCTGCTAATTTCCCACTAGAATGCAAGATAATATATTTATCCTCTACGGAAATTTTATATACTCTAAGACACATTCTAGCCTCCCCCCAAAAATCTGAGATTTCATTCAAAAGCCAGCCCAGATTCAAAGATGTTTCCTCAAAAATGTTCTCTGATGAAATGTTTAGGAAAACAGGAATCTGACTCATTTATCTTCAAATTTTTCACCTAGCCTAGCCTATATTTTACATCAGCACAGATTGAAGCAAGTGAATGAATAAACTCAATGTGTGTCTTTGGGGATAATTTGAGTGTAATGACAGAACATAAATACATTAGTAAATAATGCAGGGGTAACATCAGTATATAAGTAAGTGAATAAAAACTGAAAACAATACATTCAAAAAGTAGTTAATTATAAGCAATAAAGAAAACACTTGGTACTAAAAGTCTAGAAGTCTTTGGGGAAGAGGAGTGACATATGGCAACAACTTACCCAAATCAACTCTATTAGAAAGGACGATGCAGCAGAGGAGACAGTTGGAGCAGATATCCAGAGTATTAAATAAAAAGAGATGGAGAATTCAAACAGAGGGCCATTAGAAAAATATTAACTTTGAAAATAACATAATTGCATAGCAAAAGAAAGATTTAGACCTACTTTTTCCCAAAGCAGTTTGTCCTTTTCTAATTAGGATCCAGTGCAGTTACTGCTAATGTATCCTAATTCATTAGTAGTAAATGGGCCTGATTTTAAAGTAACTCTTCTCAATAGCATTAGAATAGAATTCTTGAGGCAGAATAGGATATTCTAAGACGAAAGCTAAGAGTCTACTTCTGAAAAACTAAGGAGTTAAATGTTGGTGAATATAAATTCACCAGCATTAATATATACGTATCTGCATGTGTTTAGGTACATGGCCAACTACAGAATACTTTCATTGTACTCTGGCTTTAGGTGGTTTTTTTTTTGTGTTTTTTTTTGTTTTTTTTTTTAGTATTACTTATCCCAAGTATAATTTATGGGAGCTCTTGTTTTCATTGTCAACCTATTTTTTCCCCACACAATTTGATTTAAAAAAATGCTATATCTTTCATGAACTTCTTTTATAAATCTAACTAACAACAGACCAATACCTGTTAAGGAAAATCTCAAATATCAGTCTCTTTTAAAGGAATTACTCAACTTATAGGACTGATTTTTAGATGATATTGAGCCGAGTCCTTCAAATGATAAGAAAAGGGGACACATAAAAAAATATGAAAAACAAGGTATTTGCCTAGTCCCAAAGTATTATTGATTACTACGGAAAAAAAAAAAACCAGTAAATTTACCATGGAAAAACCCAGAAAAATACTATTCTAACCAAGTGATTAAGGTTAACACCATGAGTAATGAGTCATATCAACATTAAGTACCCCCCACTGTGATAACTGAGGATACACCATTACTTCTGTGGTATTCTTACCAAAATGCATTTCAATCTATTCATTGCAAAATATTAGTAAAATCCAAATTGAGAGACATTCTACAATACAACTGCTCATCGAAATGTTATTTTTTTAAATTTCAACATCACAGAACACGTAGGCTGAAGAACTGTCACAGACTGAAAAACCTAAGATGACACAGCAGTTAAACACAGTGTAGGATCTTGGACCAGATCAGGAAACAGAAAAAGAATATTTGTGGAAAAACTGGTGATATGCAAATATGAATTATAATTCAGAAAAAAGTATCAATGTTAATTTCCTCATTTTAATCATTGTACTTTGATTATGTTACATTGTTAACATTAGAGGAAGCTGAATAAAAAGTGAACTCTTATCTTTATTTTTGCAATTTTTCTGTACACTTAAAATCATTTCAAAATAAGAAGTTTTAAAAAGGAGTATAAGGTCTAATGCAGGTAAACTTGCATAAATGTTTGAAAGGAGTAATTGGGAAGACACACAAAAAAAGTGCATGTGAGCCAGAATTTAAAAACCCACTGAATTTTTTTATTAAGGAAAACTTTGCTTTGGGATATAGAATGGTATTAATAAATATTTGTTATTAATCTCCATCTCTGCTGGCAGACAAATTAAGAAGTAGGTTTTAATTGAAGAGAGTAACAATATAGACACTGTTATAGGTTTTGGAAAGAAGTTGTCAGATTCTCTTCTTTCTCAAGCTTTAAGGGAAAACACTTCTTGCATGGCAGTTTGAGAAGCTAATCTTTCTGTCACTAGTTCAGATTTGTATTCCTTGTCCTCAGAGCAGTGACTGGCAAACAGGGGTGTTCTGTGAATGTCTGTTGTGTAAAGAAAGGAATTAATATTTTCAGAACGAATTCTGAAATTTTTGTCTTACATACCTGCCAAATCACTGGGACCTATCCACATATCAGTCCAATCTTCAACACTCCCCTGCCCTAAATAAATGATTTTTTCTTCATTAATTACAGACTATAAGCTGTTCCCCCACGAACTAATATGCCAGAAGTCCAAAAGTCTTTTCAGTAATAGTAAAAATTATCCTGATAAAATCAGTCTATTCATAAAAAAAGCATCAAACAAATCCCCATCGAAGGACATTCTACAAAATACTTAACCAGTACTTCTTAAAACTGTCAAGGTTGTCAAAAACAAGGAAAATCTGAGAAACTGTAACAGCCAAGAGGAACTTAAGGAGACATGACAACTAAATATCGTAGTATTTTAATAAGATTCACAGAAAAAAAGACAGTAGGAAAAAACTGGGGAAATCTGAATAAGCTATGGACTTTAATAATGTATTAATACTGTTTCATTAACTATAACAAATGTGCCATAGTAGTGTAAGATGTTAATAATAGGTGAAACTGAGTATGGGGGATATGGCAACTTTTGTATTCCCTTTGCAATATTTTTGTAGATCTACAACTGTTCTAAAAACTAAATTTCCCTTTGAAAAATTCAATGTCAGTAAAAATGTTTATATATAATTCAGTTTTGTTATATTTTGTTTATTTATTTATTAGAGACAGGGTCTCACTCTGTCACCCAGGCTGAAGTGCAGTGGAGCCATCATAGCTTACTGCAACATCGAACCCCTGGGTTCGAGCGATCCTCCCACCTCAGCCTCCCAAGAAACTGGGACTACAGACATGCACCACCACGCCTGGCTAATTTGTTTATTTTTTATTGGGATGGAGTCCCACTTATGTTGCCCAGGCTCATAATTCAATCTCATAGAAACCTTTTTAAAGTCTGTAACAAGTATCTCTACTTTCTTAAACAATACTTTCAAGCATAATTCCATTTTTTCTGTAAAACTGAAGTACATTATGAACATGTTTTCATCCCTTGTAAGTATACAATTATTCTTCCTCTCTGACAATCTGATGCCAGTATGCATTTTAGCAAAATCTTCCTTTAGCAAAATCTCCTCTGTTAGTACATAGGAAGCCTTTAGAACCGTGCCTGGAAAATAGAATGTTTATGGAACATTATATGAAGATAACTGTCACTCACTCACTGTAAACAGAGTATAAGGATTGGATAGTTCTAGTAACAATGATGAACTAGTTGTAGTCCATCTCTGCTTGTTCGCTTGTTGCTGTTATGACCAAATATGAAAATTGTTAAATGGTCAGTCAAGGTCATGAATTAGGTCTTTGACCATGGAAGGTGCTAAATGACCCACCCAGCAATGGACTGTACCTCTGTTTTAGATCCCATTGACTCCACCAAACAAGCACGGAGGCTCCCATATGTCCCTTCCCCACCGTATCACATATACACCATCTTCTGTCTCTCGACTCTTTATTGGCTTGCCTCCATCCTCCAGATCAAAATTGACTAATGATACTAAAGAAGACAGACACCAGTGGCAAAGTACTAAAGTGAGCTAACAGCTTGTTTGGGAAGGTGACTGTACACTTCTGCCTTCCCACAGTCTGTTTCCAGCTTTCAAATGTCATGACCTAAAGCCCTTGAGCATGGAACATGGAGGAAGCCACGGGTGACTGGTCCGGGTCACTCTCAGACAACATTGTACTTGGAAACTTCTTGCAACGCACTTACAGCAACCCCCTGCCTGGCTCTAGTCCTGCCAATCAAAACCGAGGCAGGCATCCCCTTTTGGCAGGTGGCCAGAGGAGGGTGCTCTATTGTTAGGAGAAGACCCTGCAGGAAGACAGAGACAAACAGGGATTCTCTTTCTTTTCCATCTCCCTTCAAACCTGCAAGTGAAGCTGTGGTGGTGTTTCTTCTTTTTTGTCTCATCCTGTCACTCTCTAGTCTTTGAACAATAGAGGCAACAATGGTCTTGTCTAAATGATTTCACAGGCTATTATTCAGACACTCAACTTTTAACATTTCAATTTTGTCATTCTGTTTCCACACAAAAGGTACACTTCTACAGTATAATGTTCTCAGAATTATGTCAATGAGCAGTAATGGCTTTTAACATTAAGTTGATCATTAACAACTACATTATCTGAGGCATAATCAGTACTTCAGCCTTTTGTGTGATTATGACACTACAGAATTGAAGCTAATAGGAGGATTCACTCATAACAACATAGGAAAATATTTGTACAGTAATAAAAGGTTAGTGAAAAGCAAACAGTCTTAAACAGTAAAATGAATAAAAATACTAACATTTTATTTACAAAAAGTGGGCTTCTAAAGGAGAAAAATAGGTAAACAATATTGCTATGATCAAATTTCTTTGTCATAAAGGTCTTCACATTGGATCCAAACTTTCTATATAGAAGTCATTATAAGCTTTATAAGGGCACATTCCAAAAAGTGTATATTTTAGGAACAGAAAATAAAATGGCAGATTCTCTGTCCTAAGTGTTACTGTATCTCCTTACATTTTCAAGGTATTGGCAAAGAATATTGATTGCTAATCTTGGATATTGCTTTAAAATTGTTTTACTCTGCCCCTCCCACCTCTTGAGTGGGAAATCACTCAGGAAAAAACTGTGTCTATTTGGTCATAATCCAATGGTTGCAACCCACAATACTTGCAATGGCTTTCAGGATGCAGATTCAACAACGTGGTGACACCAAGTTCAGAAGTCTGGAGAGAAGCTCAAGTCTTTTTTGTTTGTTTGTTTTGAGACATGCTCTCATTATGTCACCTAGACTGAGTGCAGTGGCACAATCACAGTTCACTGCAGTTTTAACCTCCCGGGCTCAATCCATCCTCTAGCCTCAACCTTCTGAGTAGCTGGGACTACAGGTATGCACCACCACACCTAGCTAATTTTTGTATTTTTTGTAGCGATGGGGTTTCACCATGTTGCCCAGGCTGGTCTCGAACTCCTGGGCTCAAGAAATCCACCTAGTTTGGCCTCCCAAAGTACTGGGATTATAGGCATGAGCCACCACACACAACCTAAACCAGAGTCTTAACAGACCATGTCTTTTATATGATTTTAGATCTTGATTAGAGTATATGAATTGTAAAGAGAAAATATACCTCATCAAAGAATCAAGTCAATGCTCATATAATCATACTATTCTTATCCTTTGATGAAATAATCAAATGTCCAGAAATGTATCCTTTAAGAAAATCCTAAATTCAGAAAAAACATGGAGAAATTAATCATGTTATTAATAGAAGTGAATATCAGATCATTCTAAATACCCAAAATGACAGAGATGGTTAAGTAACCAAGGGCTACATTTTCACACACAGTGAGAGATAGCATAGCCATTTTTTGTGGTTTACAAAAAAATTAATAAATAATATAATGTTAAGTGGAAAAAAGAAAAATTCAAAATCACTTGGAGTATTTGTGCTTTGTTGTGTGTGTGTTGCATGTAAAGACCAACACACAGAAAATAAGGGAGAGGGGGCAGGAAGAAGAAAATACATCAAATCAATAATGAGGTTTTGTTCAGCATTGTTTTTTTTCTTCTTAATTTTACTTCTTACTTTTCTGTTTTTCCAAATTTTCTTCAAAGGGGATACATTATTTTACAATTTTAAAAAGGATGCCTATTTAATTCTGTCATTCAATTCTCCTGACTGGAAGATACTGAGGCAAATACACATATAACAAGGACAATCTGCCACTCACCATGGTTTCTACTCTTCAAACACCGAAAGGTACTCCTTTGATTGGAAAATACAGAAACTTTGTGTAGAACCCATGGGCCATTTGTGTGACTTCATCCTGGCCCCAAATCTTCCATCCTCTGATTGGCCCCACCCGCACTGATAAACCACTATTATTTCCAGGTGTGCCTCACCTTGACCAGAGAGTTTTGCCTCAGCGCACTCTGTTAGGAGCTTCCTCAGCATAGTTTGCATGTATCTTTCCCAATCCCACCTCCAAATATCAATCCGAGAGTTTTTATGTAGGGAATGGATGCAGTACATTTTAAGGACGGGTGGAAGGCTTCTATTGCCTCATTCCAGGAAGCAGGGGAAACATGTAAAAGAATGCATGGATTCTCATTTGGGGAGTGAATCTGACAGGACAACCTGCGGCGTGAGAAGGCGTATGGGCGAGTGGTGTTTGTTCAGCACACTCTCTGCTCCAGTCAACTGGAGCAGAGACCTTTGAATGTGTCTCGTTCTGTCTGTCCCACTTTCCCGACACCTCATATGTTATTTGTCCCTCTTGAAGTACTCTCACTAATGCTGTCTATTCTTCCTCAAGCTATGCTTCTATTGCTTTCTAAATTAGCCCATTTAAAAACAATACATGTGAACTTCAGACACATAGCTTACTTAAAATTCTGCTTTTGATCACAAAGCATTCTTCCAAAATGTTCCAACTAGAGACCACTTCAACTCTGTAATTTTTCTTGTTATTTTCCATTCCACAATTATATACTGGAAAAAATACTGATCTACAGAAGCATCATGCCAAAATCGTATTAATAAAATATGGTTAGGGTTCATTCTGTTGGATATCTTTTTCAATTCTTCAAAGATATAGGGAAATATTGTGAACTATAAAACACAGGACAGCAATTTGAGTTTATGACTATTTTTGAATTTGCTAAGAGTTTCTCATGTGAGTGCTCTTTTCTGATTTCCACTGCTATTTCTTTAAAATACTTAGAAAAAAAAGTAGGCGTATCTTTGATTTGAAGAAAGAATAAATGTACTGAGAGTATACACGAAGAAAGTAGCCCTGAATCCATGGGTAGCCATCCTAGCAGATCATAAATCACTGAGCAGAGACCAGGGCTTTCTTTGAAGAGCAAATCAGTTTTCCTACAGACCAGTTTAATCACTTTCTATGAAAGAAGAAAAAACAATGTGTACAAATAGGAAGTCTTTGATACAATCTTTGTAGTCTTCAGGATGCTTTTGGTTTCTCAATTCTACAGTACAGGTCAGGGTTATCAATGGTCTTGTCCCGTTGTCAAAAGGTGACCATCTACACTATCCGAGTGGTCTGTCTTTGCATGAAGACCATGCTGCTTCTGCACCCGGCATCCCACCCCCCCACTACATTATGCTTCCTGGCACTCGGGATGTTTGTTCAACCTCCATTCCAAGAAGCCATGCAATGAGAAGGCTCTTCAATGACTATGACATCATGGCCTTCTTTCTTTCATGTATTACTGAACTGTGAGTCAGGTACTATACTGCATGAGATGCATTAGTGAAACAGACATAAACACTGCCCTCAGGTTACCTCCAGCATTGCCTCTGTATTATTTATCTATTGCTATGTAACAAATGACCGCAAAACTTAACAGCTTCAAACAATAATACATATTTTTTAAATCTCACAGTTCCTGTGGGGCAGGAATCAGGAACCACTTGGATGGTTTAAGCCTGAGGTCTCTTATGAGGCTGCAGTTGTCTGAAGGCTTGATTAGGGCTGGAGAAGCCACTTCCACACCTGCCCTCAGTTTCTCTCCACGTGGGCCTCTTCAGAAGGCTGGTCAGCATGGAGGCCAACTCTCTCCAAAAAAGTGATCTGAGAGAACGAAGTAGAAGCTGCAATGCCTCTTATGACCTTGCCTGGGAAGTCACGGACCCTTGTATTGGTTACACAGGTCAGGCCTGTGGAAGGGGACTCTACATGGCATGCTCACAGAAGGTAAAGATCACAAGAGGCCATCTGGGTCATCTTGCCATTGTGTGTGACACCCTCCACCACGATGCAGAATTCACTCTTAAACAAATTTGAATCCACACTGGCCTGTGACTGCTTTGACCAATTGAATACAGTAGAAATACTATGCTAGTTCCAACTGAAGAGTCCTTCAAGAGGACTGAAAGTTTTGATTTCCTGTCTTTTAAAGCCCTGAGCCACTGTGTAAGATGTTCAGGCTGCTGTGCTGAAAGGAATGTGTGCTACATGGAGGTGTGTTGACATATCATGCCTGTGTGCAAAACAGGCCATGTTGGTGGATGATTCAGATGACTTCAGTATCTGCTACTGCAACCACATGAGAGATTCTGAGAGACTCCCCAAGTGAGCCCAGCCAACTCCTAAAACCAGGAGACATAATAAATTATCATCTTTAGCCACTAAATTTTGAGCTGGTTTGCTATGCAATGTCAGAAAACTAGGATGATAGTTATGCAAAATTTTTTATGTATTCTTGGTACTTTATGTATAACTTTTGCATTACAACATAGGTTCCACAAGTGCAGGGATTTCTATACCAAAGGCCTAGAACAGTACCTGGATCACTACAATGGCCTCCTAACCAGTTCTTCACATTCCTTTTCCCTCCTACCTTCCATTGTCCAAATAGCAGTCAGAATGACTATCGTCAAAACTTGTATCAAAGTCTTCCCTTATCCTGACTAGGCTCTATCTGTATTATGCATTATCATTGCAGTATACATATCTTTTCCATAGCACTTATTGAACTGGATATTTATATTGAAATGGATATTTAATCATAATTTGTAGAAATTATTATTTTATTAATTTATTTATTAATTAATTTATTTTTTGAGATGCAGTCTCGCTCTGTCGCCCAGGCTGGAGTGCAGTGGTGCGATCTCAGCTCACTGCAAGCTCCGCCTCCCAGGTTCACGCCATTTTCCTGCCTCAGCCTCCTGAGTAGCTGGGACTACAGGTGCCCGCCACCGCGCCCGGCTAATTTTTTGTATTTTTAGTAGAGATGGGGTTTCACCATGTTAGCCAGGATGTTCTCGATCTCCTGACCTCATGATCCACCCACCTCGGCCTCCCAAAGTGCTGGGATTACAGGCGTGAGCTACCACGCCCAGCCAGAAATTACTTTGTAATGTGTGTCTCTCTGACTAGATCCTAATCTCCAATAGGCAAGGCATATCTTCTTCATTGGCCTATCCCCAGTTTCAAACACAGAACCTAGTACATGGTAGGTGTTCAATAAATATTTGGCCAGGAATAATTTCTCAAAATGTCTTTTGCATTTCACTTGATTTTGTAATAGAAACTTATTTCTTACTGCTTTTAGTCTGCCTCTTTGGGCTATTTCCAGTTGCAAAGAAAAAGTAAAACCAATTAATGTTTTAGCTCATTTTTCACAGGCTTCTGGAAATTAGCTGTGAAAATACACATCAAAATTTGACATATACTCATCTCTTTAGATTAACTTTGGATTCTCTTATAAAAAGCAAAGATTTATTGAGACTAGACCCTCAGATTTTATCTTGTTCATCAATGCAAGATAAAAAGCAATAATTATACTCCTCCCCTTTCTCAGTTCTCATTTTACTTTTTTAGAGATGAGGTCTTGCTTTGTTGCCCAGACTGGTCTCAAACCCCTGGGTTCAAGCGATCTTCCCCCCTCAGCCTCCCAAGTAACTAGGACTAGAAGCAAGCACCACCACACCTAACTTACTTTCTAAATTTACTGTAATACTAGGTTTTATTTAAAAACTGACTGCATTCTCTGTCATATATGTATTAACTTATTTATACTATGAATAAAAGTTTCTCCAACTCCCTCTTTTAGAGACCTTGGAAAGCATAAAGCCATGGTTAATGTAATAATACCAATCCTCGAAAAACAAAATCACTACCACAAACTCTTCTACACTAATAAAAAAATGGAGCCAGACAGGCTGTTAGGTAAAGCATATGCTAACAAAGCACAGAAGTGGTTAAACACAAGGACATTTTTCTTATATAGGAGACCAAAGGCCCAAATATTCAATAACAAAAATTTTAGCCATATGTGCACTTATGTAGAACAGATTATTAACTGCTCTCCTTCATAAATATAAGAACTCAATTACAATAAATCTGAATAATTTTAAATTATTTTTTCTGAAATCACAGGCATTAAGCAGTGATGATCATTCAGTGGAAATACTCCTCAAGATACATGTATGACAGAAATATCAAGTTCATTTTGCAGTGTCAAATGGAGGCAAATTCTGCAAATGCTTATATTCAAAAACATTTTTAGAGTAATTACTTTTTTTGGACAACACTTTCAGTATTCTTTTTCTTTTTTTTCTTACATATGCTTCTAAATCTGTGTTTGGAATCCAAATTTTAAATTTAATTACAAGCAGAGGAATATGCCTACTTAACATCCATGTAGGCCTAGATTACTCTAACATTCATAGATACTCATGTAAGTTTCCAGTTAGAAGTTTTCTAAAGTTTATTAATGTATATTAGATTCACCTAAAGAGCTTACGAAAATACAGATTGCTGAGTTCCACTTTCAGAGCTTCGGAGTTGGGCTGAGGCCCAAGAATTTGCTTCTTAATGAGTTCTCAGATCATATTAATGTTACTGGTCCAGGGACCAGACTTGGAGGATCACTTATCTAACCTACAACCTACTTACGTTTTACAGACAAAGAAATAAAGGCCCAGAAAAATTGAAAGACTGATCCAATGTTTCTGCCACAGTCAATGGCAAAAATGACAAGACAAGGTAGGACTAGAATCGAGCTTTTCTGATTCTAAGTAGCATTTTCTTTGACTTGACTGACCCTGTCTGAGGTGTATTCAGTACCATATGAGGTGTTAATGAATAAGCTATAGAAAAAAATAAGTCACAGCCGGAGGAAAGAGATGGCAACATAAACATCCTCTCTCCCAGTTGACAAAATTAAAGACATGCAGAACCACACCAAAAATTGTATGATTCAGGTATTTCTTTGTGGCCACTACCCCTTTTGAAGTTTATTTGCCTCTAAACATCTAAGGACTTACTTTGCATTCTTACATTGCAACGTCTTTGTTGATAACTTTTCAGTAATTCCATTACAGCAAATCACAGGGTTGTCAAATCTTCAAGGATCAGAAGATCATGAGTTGACAAGCAGCAGATGCACAGAAAGAAGTTTTAAATAAAGTGTATTCATTCCCCATGTGGAGCAAAGTAGAATACCTATTACTCGATGATAGTAAAACCAGCCGGCAAGTAACAAAGAATGTAGTTATGACACGATATTTACCGTTTCTACCACTTTTATTCAGTAAAGAATCAAAGAATTCAGAAGAAAGAAAACTCTTAGCTTTTCTAACAAGCTGTTTCTGTTTAAGGACAGAAGTTTCTGTTAAAATTTAGTATAATTTTGATGTCACTGAGCACAGTGAAAGCTGCAGGCAAGCAGAACATTCTCATTGTAATACCACGACTGTAGGCATATTTGAAACACTATCACTTCTTCAGACTATAATTATAACTGTTTGTTGCTTCTGTGGTTTCAAAGATAATAGAAGTTGTTCACAAAATTTACACAACACTGATGTGTTGCATATAAAATATAGACAGTCACGTGCAAAATATCCCATTATACATTTTCTCATAGAGAGAAACAGCTGAGAAACCTACAGACCATCAAATTATGACTCCAGTGTTTCATTACAAGCAATTAGACTCTGGAACTCAAAGGTACAACCAAAATGCTCAGTGTAATTTGGTTAATACCATTTAAGAGCTGGGCCACAGGTGCTTAAATCTACAGAACAGAAAAATTCTAGCGACTATATAGGGTCCTATTACTTTATGGGTAATTACTTGTATAGCTAGAGCCTCAAAGGTGGACTCAGGAGAAAATACATGTGAAGTGAGGAGAAAGACTGAAAATTACACATATTCATTCCACAAGCAATGACTGTGAATGGCTACCCTGTGTCAGGCACAGTTCCTCTCAAGGAACTCAAACCCCAACAGGAAAGATGGGCATAAATTCTTTCCTGGGGGAGGAGCCAAGATGGCCGAATAGGAACAGCTCCGGTCTACAGCTCCCAGCGTGAGCGACGCAGAAGACGGGTGATTACTGCATTTCCATCTGAGGTACCGGGTTCATCTCACTAGGGAGTGCCAGACAGTGGGCGCAGGCCAGTGTGTGTGCGCACCGTGCGCGAGCCAAAGCAGGGCGAGGCATTGCCTCACCTGGGAAGCGCAAGGGGTCAGGGAGTTCCCTTTCCGAGTCAAAGAAAGGGGTGACGGACGCACCTGGAAAATCGGGTCACTCCCACCCGAATATTGCGCTTTTCAGACCGGCTTAAGAAACGGCGCACCACGAGACTATATCCCACACCTGGCTCAGAGGGTCCTACGCCCACGGAATCTCGCTGATTGCTAGCACAGCAGTCTGAGATCAAACTGCAAGGCGGCAACGAGGCTGGGGGAGGGGCGCCCGCCATTGCCCAGGCTTGCTTAGGTAAACAAAGCAGCCGGGAAGCTCGAACTGGGTGGAGCCCACCACAGCTCAAGGAGGCCTGCCTGCCTCTGTAGGCTCCACCTCTGGGGGCAGGGCACAGACAAACAAAAAGACAGCAGTAACCTCTACAGACTTAAGTGTCCCTGTCTGACAGCTTTGAAGAGAGCAGTGGTTCTCCCAGCACGCAGCTGGAGATCTGAGAACCGGCAGACTGCCTCCTCAAGTGGGTCCCTGACCCCTGACCCCCGAGCAGCCTAACTGGGAGGCACCCCCCAGCAGGGGCACACTGACACCTCACACGGCAGGGTATTCCAACAGACCTGCAGCTGAGGGTCCTGTCTGTTAGAAGGAAAACTAACAACCAGAAAGGACATCTACACCGAAAACCCATCTGTACATCACCATCATCAAAGACCAAAAGTAGATAAAACCACAAAGATGGGGAAAAAACAGAACAGAAAAACTGGAAACTCTAAAACGCAGAGCGTCTCTCCTCCTCCAAAGGAACGCAGTTCCTCACCAGCAACAGAACAAAGCTGGATGGAGAATGACTTTGACGAGCTAAGAGAAGAAGGCTTCAGACGATCAAATTACTCTGAGCTACGGGAGGACATTCAAACCAAAGGCAAAGAAGTTGAAAACTTTGAAAAAAATTTAGAAGAATGTATAACTAGAATAACCAATACAGAGAAGTGCTTAAAGGAGCTGATGGAGCTGAAAACCAAGGCTCGAGAACTACGTGAAGAATGCAGAAGCCTCAGGAGCCGATGCGATCAACTGGAAGAAAGGGTATCAGCAATGGAAGATGAAATGAATGAAATGAAGTGAGAAGGGAAGTTTAGAGAAAAAAGAATAAAAAGAAATGAGCAAAGCCTCCAAGAAATATGGGACTATGTGAAAAGACCAAATCTACGTCTGATTGGTGTACCTGAAAGTGATGTGGAGAATGGAACCAAGTTGGAAAACACTCTGCAGGATATTATCCAGGAGAACTTCCCCAATCTAGCAAGGCAGGCCAACGTTCAGATTCAGGAAATACAGAGAACGCCACAAAGATACTCCTCGAGAAGAGCAACTCCAAGACACATAATGGTCAGATTCACCAAAGTTGAAATGAAGGAAAAAATGTTAAGGGCAGCCAGAGAGAAAGGTCGGGTTACCCTCAAAGGAAAGCCCATCAGACTAACAGCGGATCTCTCGGCAGAAACCCTACAAGCCAGAAGAGAGTGGGGGCCAATATTCAACATTCTTAAAGAAAAGAATTTTCAACCCAGAATTTCATATCCAGCCAAACTAAGCTTCATAAGTGAAGGAGAAATAAAATACTTTATAGACAAGCAAATGCTGAGAGATTTTGTCACCACCAGGCCTGCCCTAAAAGAGCTCCTGAAGGAAGCGCTAAACATGGAAAGGAACAACCGGTACCAGCCGCTGCAAAATCATGCCAAAATGTAAAGACCATCGAGACTAGGAAGAAACTGCATCAACTAATGAGCAAAATCACCAGCTAACATCATAATGACAGGATCAAATTCACACATAACAATATTAACTTTAAATATAAATGGACTAAATTCTGCAATTAAAAGACACAGACTGGCAAGTTGGATAAAGAGTCAAGACCCATCAGTGTGCTGTATTCAGGAAACCCATCTCACGTGCAGAGACACACATAGGCTCAAAATAAAAGGATGGAGGAAGATCTACCAAGCCAATGGAAAACAAAAAAAGGCAGGGGTTGCAATCCTAGTCTCTGATAAAACAGACTTTAAACCAACAAAGATCAAAAGAGACAAAGAAGGCCATTACATCATGGTAAAGGGATCAATTCAACAAGAGGAGCTAACTATCCTAAATATTTATGCACCCAATACAGGAGCACCCAGATTCATAAAGCAAGTCCTCAGTGACCTACAAAGAGACTTAGACTCCCACACATTAATAATGGGAGACTTTAACACCCCACTGTCAACATTAGACAGATCAATGAGACAGAAAGTCAACAAGGATACCCAGGAATTGAACTCAGCTCTGCACCAAGCAGCCCTAATAGACATCTACAGAACTTTCCACCCCAAATCAACAGAATATACATTTTTTTCAGCACCACACCACACCTATTCCAAAATTGACCACATAGTTGGAAGTAAAGCTCTCCTCAACAAATGTAAAAGAACAGAAATTATAACAAACTATCTCTCAGACCACAGTGCAATCAAACTAGAACTCAGGATTAAGAATCTCACTCAAAGCCGCTCAACTACATGGAAACTGAACAACCTGCTCCTGAATGACTACTGGGTACATAACGAAATGAAGGCAGAAATAAAGATGTTCTTTGAAACCAACGAGAACAAAGACACCACATACCAGAATCTCTGGGACGCATTCAAAGCAGTGTGTAGAGGGAAATTTATTGCACTAAATGCCTACAAGAGAAAGCAGGAAAGATCCAAAATTGACACCCTAACATCACAATTAAAAGAACTAGAAAAGCAAGAGCAAACACATTCAAAAGCTAGCAGAAGGCAAGAAATAACTAAAATCAGAGCAGAACTGAAGGAAATAGAGACACAAAAAACCCTTCAAAAAATCAATGAATCCAGGAGCTGGTTTTTTGAAAGGATCAACAAAATTGATAGACCGCTAGCAAGACTAATAAAGAAAAAAAGAGAGAAGAATCAAATAGACCAATAAAAAATGATAAAGGGGATATCACCACCGATCCCACAGAAATACAAACTACCATCAGAGAATACTACAAACACCTCTACGCAAATAAACTAGAAAATCTAGAAGAAATGGATACATTCCTCGACACATACACTCTCCCAAGACTAAACCAGGAAGAAGTTGAATCTCTGAATAGACCAATAACAGGCTCTGAAATTGTGGCAATAATCAATAGTTTACCAACCAAAAAGAGTCCAGGACCAGATGGATTCACAGCCGAATTCTACCAGAGGTACAAGGAGGAACTGGTACCATTCCTTCTGAAACTATTCCAATCAATAGAAAAAGAGGGAATCCTCCCTAACTCATTTTATGAGGCCAGCATCATTCTGATACCAAAGCCGGGCAGAGACACAACCAAAAAAGAGAATTTTAGACCAATATCCTTGATGAACATTGATGCAAAAATCCTCAATAAAATACTGGCAAACCGAATCCAGCAGCACATCAAAAAGCTTATCCACCATGATCAAGTGGGCTTCATCCCTGGGATGCAAGGCTGGTTCAATATACGCAAATCAATAAATGTAATCCAGCATATAAACAGAGCCAAAGACAAAAACCACATGATTATCTCAATAGATGCAGAAAAAGCCTTTGACAAAATTCAACAACCCTTCATGCTAAAAACTCTCAATAAATTAGGTATTGATGGGATGTATTTCAAAATAATAAGAGCTATCTATGACAAACCCACAGCCAATATCATACTGAATGGGCAAAAACTGGAAGCATTCCCTTTGAAAACTGGCACAAGACAGGGATGCCCTCTCTCACCGCTCCTATTCAACATAGTGTTGGAAGTTCTGGCCAGGGCAATCAGGCAGGAGAAGGAAATAAAGGGTATTCAATTAGGAAAAGAGGAAGTCAAATTGTCCCTGTTTGCAGACGACATGTTTGTTTATCTAGAAAACCCCACTGTCTCAGCCCAAAATCTCCTTAAGCTGATAAGCAACTTCAGCAAAGTCTCAGGATACAAAATCAATGTACAAAAATCACAGGCATTCTTATACACCAATAACAGACAAACAGAGAGCCAAATCATGGGTGAACTCCCATTCACAATTGCTTCAAAGAGAATAAAATACCTAGGAATCCAACTTACAAGGGATGTGAAGGACCTCTTCAAGGAGAACTACAAACCACTGCTCAAGGAAATAAAAGAGGACACAAACAAATGGAAGAACATTCCATGCTCATGGGTAGGAAGAATCAATATCGTGAAAATGGCCATACTGCCCAAGGTAATTTACAGATTCAATGCCATCCCCATCAAGCTACCAATGACTTTCTTCACAGAATTGGAAAAAACTACTTTAAAGTTCATATGGAACCAAAAAAGAGCCCGCATTGCCAAGTCAATCCTAAGCCAAAAGAACAAAGCTGGAGGCATCACACTACCTGACTTCAAACTATACTACAAGGCTACAGTAACCAAAACAGCATGGTACTGGTACCAAAACAGAGATATAGATCAATGGAACAGAACACAGCCCTCAGAAATAATGCCGCATATCTACAACTATCTGATCTTTGACAAACCTGAGAAAAACAAGCAATGGGGAAAGGATTCCCTATTTAATAAATGGTGCTGGGAAAACTGGCTATCCATATGTAGAAAGCTGAAACTGGATCCCTTCCTTACACCTTATACAAAAATCAATTCAAGATGGATTAAAGATTTAAACATTAAACCTAAAACCATAAAAACCCTAGAAGAAAACCTAGGCATTACCATTCAGGACATAGGCGTGGGCAAGGACTTCATGTCCAAAACACCAAAAGCAATGGCAACAAAAGCCAAAATTGACAAATGGGATCTAATTAAACTCAAGAGCTTCTGCACAGCAAAAGAAACTACCATCAGAGTGAACAGGCAACCTACAACATGGGAGAAAATTTTCGCAACCTACTCATCTGACAAAGGGCTAATATCCAGAATCTACAATGAACTCAAACAAATTTACAAGAAAAAAACAAACAACCCCATCAAAAAGTGGGCGAAGGACATGAACAGACACTTCTCAAAAGAAGACATTTATGCAGCCAAAAAACACATGAAGAAATGCTCATCATCACTGGCCATCAGAGAAATGCAAATCAAAACCACTATGAGATATCATCTCACACCAGTTAGAATGGCAATCATTAAAAAGTCAGGAAACAACAGGTGCTAGAGAGGATGCGGAGAAATAGGAACACTTTTACACTGTTGGTGGGACTGTAAACTAGTTCAACCATTGTGGAAGTCAGTGTGGCGATTCCTCAGGGATCTAGAACTAGAAATACCATTTGACCCAGCCATCCCATTACTGGGTATATACCCAAATGAGTATAAATCATGCTGCTATAAAGACACATGCACACGTATGTTTATTGTGGCACTATTCACAATAGCAAAGACTTGGAACCAACCCAAATGTCCAACAATGATAGACTGGATTAAGAAAATGTGGCACATATACACCATGGAATACTATGCAGCCATAAAAAATGATGAGTTCATATCCTTTGTAGGGACATGGATGAAATTGGAAACCATCATTCTCAGTAAACTATCGCAAGAACAAAAAACCAAACACCGCATATTCTCACTCATAGGTGGGAATTGAACAATGAGATCACATGGACACAGGAAGGGGAATATCACACTCTGGGGACTGTGGTGGGGTCGGGGGAGGGGGGAGGGATAGCATTGGGAGATATACCTAATGCTAGATGACACATTAGTGGGTGCAGCGCACCAGCATGGCACATGTATACATATGTAACTAACCTGCACAATGTGCACATGTACCCTAAAACTTAGAGTATAATATAAAAAAAAAAATAAAATAAAATAAATTCTTTCCTTCAGCAAACACTGAATAGTGCTGTAAGAAAGAAATATCTATATGACCTGTTAGTAATGTTGTAGAACAGAGTGCTTATGTATTCAAACACTTAGGAAGTTATCACTAATAAATGACATTGATCTGTGTATAGAATTAAAAGGAAGTTTCCATGTGGAAAAGGGCATCACCTGACAGGAAAGACAGCCAGGAAAGGCAAGTTGAGGTGAGAGCCCTTAAAAATTATGGAATTTGGACATGGTTTCTAGATACTAAGAATCATGGAGGGTATTTGAGGGTCACCAGGCAGGGTCATTTCTGAGAAACCTCTTCTAGGAAGCACATCCAAAAACGGTAGGCAAAATATAAAAGATGCCACTTTGCAATGCCTAGATGAGCTTCTGTAATCATAAAGGAGTCTCTAGAAACCAATGACAAAAAACTCAAGAAGTTAAAGAGATTTGGAATAGACTTTTGCCTTGTAGTATCTACTAATTCGTGGTGGCCTAGAATGTCAATTTCACAGTCATGCTTTAGTGACTGGACACAAACCTGAGGCCAAGGCAGAAATGGGATCAACACAACAAGGCAAATGGAAGTAAACAGTGAAGTACAAGGATGAAATAACTAAATGAAAATTAAAGATACAAGACAGAGCATCAATACAGCTAAAAGTTGGTTCTATGATGAAACTAGTAAAAAATATATCTCTGACAAAAATAAGAAGAGAGAGAGAAAGCAAAATATACAATGTGAGGAATGAAAGGGGTACTTAATTAGTGATGCAACACATACTAAAGAGATGGTAGGAGAATATTATATCAACTTAAAAACAGTACATGTGAATGATTCACTGAAAGGAACACATTTCTAGAAAAAATGTTATCAAAACATACAAAAACCTAGAAATTCTAAACCACCTTAGAACTCACTCAAGAAACTAAAAACATGGATTGAAATTTTCTGCAAAGAAAAACACTTTATTGAAATATTTCTTTTGATGCATTCTATCAAGGAGTTAAGGATCAAATTATTTCATTCTTTTAGAAAAGAGGAAAAGAGGACTTGCTCTCTAATATATTGGATGAGGCTGGCACATCCTTTACAACAAAACCACACAGAGTCAATGTGAAACATAATTATAAGTCAATTTCACAGGATAAATGAAAAATGCTAACCTACGTTAACAAAGTAAATCCAGGGATATATGAAAAAGATAATACATTATCACCAAATGGTGATTATTCCAGAAATGCAAAGTTGATTCAACATTAGAAAATTACAAAATTAATTCATTACATTAAAAGATTAAAGGAGAAAATCAAAATCACCCCCATAGATGCAGTAAGAGCATTCAATAAAACTCAATACCCATTTAATAAAACTCTGCAAACTAGGAATAGAAGAAATTTTCTTTATTCTGGTGAAGAGTAACTGCAAAAGCACATACAGCAATCATAAGATTATCTTTAAGTTCAAGAATGTGACAAAATTGCTTTCTGTCACTACTTCTATTCAGCATTGCACTAAAGAGTCTTACAATAAGACAAGAAAGAGTAATAAAAATTACACGAAAGGAAATAAAAGGAAAAAATACCATTATCATGATTCAAAAACAATATTACTGTCTACATTTTAAAACTCTAAAGACAAATTGTTAGAATATATAAGAAAATGTAATGAAGTTAATATATACAAGTGGAACATGAATTAAACTACAATCTATACATCCCAACACAAGATAATTTTTAAAATACTATTGACAATAACATCTGAAAACATAAAGTACCTAAGGAATAAATCCAACAAGATATGTAAGATATTTGAGTAGGATATTATAAAACTTTACTGAAGAAATATAATAAAGGCTTAAAAGCAAAGGCATACTATGTTCATGGTTAATCATAAAGATTTTTATTCTGCCAAATTGATTTTTAGATTCATTATGATTCACAACAAACCCCAACCAGAACATATTCCTGCTTTTGGTAAAATAGAGTGGCTGTACTTTTTGCTCTAAATGCAGTACAACTAAAAACCCGAAACACACACACACACACACACACACACACAACCAGAACACTCTAGGGGTGGAGAGAAGGCAGACTGGCCAAGAAACACAGGACCTGAGGTATAATATGGTGATAAGATCCTTGGGTTTTCTTTTTGCTCATGTATCCCAAACTTGGAACTGAAGAAGCCAACAAAATAGTAAAGTCAGTGGTCACAGACCAAAAATGTCTCCAAAATGCCTACTGGTCCAAGGACAAAGGAGCAGCCTAGCAAGACAGAAAACTTTTGAACATTAACCACTGTACTTCTGACAAACAATGCAGAAAAATTGGTAACCCCACCCCCACCCCACCAGCAAAGGCCAAGCTAATAACTTGAACTTCTACTTTTGCCAAGCTGTAAATAGGTACCTAACATCCTGCTGGGTTAATGTCAGAGAAGAACAAGTAGGCCTTCATAGAAGGCCACATTTTTCCCACTGGCTGGATTAGATTTCCCCAGTGTGCTGACAGTGGAGACTACATGGGGAGAGCCTGGACTTGTATCCCTACCATCCTCTCCCCACTGAGGTGGTATCTGAAGATGTCCACTGGAAATTCAGAACTTTCACCATTGCCCCACTCTGGACACAGTTTGGCAGTTTCTTAAGAAACTAAGTGATGGTATGCAGTTACCATACAACCCAGCAATTTCTCTGCTGAGCATTTATCTGGTCATAAATGAAGACATATGTTCACACAAAAACCTGCACACAAGTGTTTACAACAGTGTTATTTGTAGTAGACCCAAACTAGAAACAACCCACATGTCCTTCAAAGGGTGAATGTTAAACAAACTATGATACATCTGTACCAATAAATAAATAATAATTAAACAATAAAAAATTGTTATACCTGGAACAACTTCAATAAATTCCCAGACAATTATGCTGAGTTAAAAAAGAAATCCCAAAATGTTATATACTGTATGGTTCCATTTGTATAACAGTCTTGAAATAACAAGATTATAGAAATGGAAAAAGAAAAAGAAAAAAGAAAACACTCAGAGAGACTTAAAACTAGTTTAGAAAATTCACTGAACAAGCTAACAACAACAACCCACACCAAGCAGGAAAAATAAGCCTCAAGGAAGAGGAAAGAATCTGATTTTCAGACTTGCCACATTTTAATATTCAAAATATCTAGTACTCAACAAAATAAATTATGAAGCATGAAAAGAAATAAGAGAGTATGGCCCATTCACAGGGCCATTTCTATTAATTAAAAAATTAATAGAAACTGTTCACGGAGATACCCAGCCATTAGACCTATTGGAAGAAGGCTTTAAATAAACTGTATTACATAAGCTTAAAGAAGTAAAGGAAGCATAAAAAATAACTTAAGGAAATGAGATAAATGCTGTCTCAACAAATAGAGAATAGCATGACACACAGCTGTAGTCCCAGCTACTTGGAAGACTGAGACAGGAGGACTGCTTGAGACCAAGAGTTTGAGGCTGCAGCGCACTATAATCATGCCTGTGAATAACCACTGCATTCCAACCTGGACAACATAGTGAGGCCTCATCTCAAAAAGAGAGAGACAGAGAGAGAGAGAATGTGTCAATAAAGATATAAAAAATGTAAAAGGAAATCACATCGAGATTCTGGAGTTGAAAAATTCACTAGAGGTTTTCAACAACAGATATGAGCAGACAGAAGAATTGATTAACTTAAATATAAGTCAACTGAGATGATCCAATAAGAGAACCAGAAAGAATGAAGAAAAATGAGCATAGCCTAACAAACTATGGGGCACCAACAAGAAACTAACTACACATAATGGTAATCCCAGAGGGGAGGGGAAGAGAGAAAGGGGCAGAGAGAAATCTCGAAGAAAGTGTGGCTGAATATATTCCAAATTTAATGAAAGACATGAACCTACACATCCAAGAAGCTCAATGAACTCTATGCCTATGGAAGATAAATGCAAAGAGATTCACACCAAGGCATATGATAGCTAATATTTCAAAAGATGAAGGCAGAATTTTGGACCAGCAAAAGAGAAGCAACTCATCCCATACAAGGAATCCTTCATAAGACCATAAGCTGATTTCTCTTCAAAAGTCAGTGAGGCCAGAAGGAATGGAATGACATGGTTACATATTTAAAGTGCTGAAAGAAAAAAAAAAAATCTGTCAACCAAGAATTCGATACCTGGTAAAACCATCCTTTAAAAATGAAGGGAAAATCAAGATATCAGATTTTAAAAACCTGAGGGAATTTGTCACTAGACTTGCCCTACAAGAAATGCTAAAGGAAGTTCTCTAAGCTGAAATGAAAGGACACTAGAAAGTAACTTGAAACCATATGAAAAAATAAAGAACAACAGTAAAGAAAGCCATATAGTAAACACAAAAGCCAGCAGTGTGGAGATAAACCCTAGACCAGTGGAACAGGACAGAGATCCCAGAATCAGATCTATGCACCTAGACGGAAACCTGATAAATGAAAGAACTAGCATTACAAATCGGTGGCAATGGGACAAATTTATCAATAAACTATGCTGGGACAATTGATCATACATATGGAAAAAAATGTAGTAGTATCTTCCACCCTGTAAACAATTAATTCTAGATGGATCAATAAATAAGAAAAGAAAGACTTTAAAAGGGAACATAAGAAAACATATTTTTCACTTCAGGGTAATAAATAATTTTAAAGTAAACAAAAAGCATAAACCAAAACAGAAAAGATTGATAAGGAATTACTATCTGAAATCAGTTTTTAAATCCCATGAATTAAAATTTAAAAGTCAAACAGCCTGCTGGGTGCAGTGGCTCATGTCTGTAATCCTAGCATTTGGGGAGGTAAAAGCAGGCAGATTGCTTGAGCTCAGGAGTTCAAGACCAGCCAGGCCAACATGGGGAAAACCTGTCTCTACAAAAAGTACAAAAATTAGCCAGGAAAAAATATTCAAACATTTTTCTTACTAAAAATGAAAAAAAGATACAATGAATAGTTTTTCACAGGAGATAAATAGAGAGTAAACATGAGAAATTTCTCAATGTCAATTGTGATCAAGGAAATGTGTATTAATTCTACCATGAAATACAATGTCACATCCAAATAGACCGCAAAAATTAAAGTCTAACAATGCCAGGTATTGGTAAGATTGGTAGGTTGGTGCAAAAGTCATTGCAGTTTTTAACCATTACTTTTAATGTCAAAAACCACAATTAGCTTTGCACCAACCTAATATATAGACCAAGGAAAACTCCCATACACTGCTTGTATAGAGTAAATTGGTAAAATCACATTGGAAAACAAGTTGGAATTATTTGGAAATAGTGAATTTGTGCATACCTAGCAATACCACTTCTAGGTATACATCTTAGAAAAACACTTAAATACATGAACATGAGGAAACCTATGCAAGAACATTTATAGTAACATGTTTGTGATAATAAATCAATCCAAATACCCAATAAAAGAAGAATAAAAAAATTAATTGGGATGCATTCTTGAAATGGAATACTATGCAAGAGTGAAAATACACAAATTACCGACATATGCATCAAGATAAATAAATTCTCAAAAACATATGAGTGAAAATAGCAAGTTGTAGAATAATACATTATAATTTCTTTTATACGAAGTTCAAAAACAGGCAAAATGAAACAACACTGTAACACATATTTTTATTTAAAAATACGCATATCATCTCTACATAGATTAATATATATACATATATGGTAAACTTTAAGGGAAACGAGGAAATAAACCTAACTCCAGATGCCAATTACCTTTAGATAAAGGAGAGAGGATGTAATGGGATAGAGGAAGGGGGTGCAATTGGGCAGGACCTCACAAAACAAAGGCTTTCAAAAGTAAAAGTAGTATTTTATTTCTTAAGCTGAATTGTGAGCAGTGATCATTTTATTATGTTTAGATGCTACTTACATATCATATATATATTCTTCTAGTATGCTGTATTTCACAAAAGAAATTCTTATATTCACAATAAAATATTAAGCATTTTATTTATAATAAAAAGTGAAAACAAAATCTGAGTTGGGAAAATTGATCAAGTCTATGTTTTAGAAAGATTATTCTGATTGACATAAAGAAGAGAGACTACTATCTAGAAGGGAGAAAATAAGATTCTAATCTGGGCAATGCCAAACACAGATTTAAAGAGAAACCTGCGAACAAGTAATTGACAGAATTGCTGATAGAATGGATGCAATGACACTGATGTAATTTGTGCCTGGCATATTATTAGGAGGATGGTTATGATGACGAAAGAGAACTGTAGGAAAGTCCCTAATTGAGAGGTGGGAAGAGAAATAGGAGCAAGCAATGGAAAGGTAGAAAGATACCCACAAGAGAACAGCATCCCAAAAGCCAAGTGAGGATTAAGAAGCTAGAGTTTGGACTGGATAACTTCAATCACTGAGAAGTATGTTTTGAGGTCCTCTGCTGATACAAAATGTACAGGAATAGTTTTCTGAACTTGAGAACAATGGAAAAGGTTTGGAATAGCAGCTGTGGGAAATACAGTAGGGAAAAAAACAGAGACTAAAAGGCTGTTCCATAGCAAGGAGGGTCCATAGCTGAGGTCGGATGGCATGAATTTGTAGAAGAAGCCAGCTGGCAGCATTCATGACCTACTCCAACAACCTTGGCTACCATGAAGCAGCTATCAAGGTTGTAAACATCATCACATGTAAGACCTACAGATACACAGGTTTAGGCTAACTAGTCAGAAGTCTATTAAAAACCTTAGGCAAAATAAAGGTATAAAGGTAAAATCCTTTATACCAGGAAATATCATTTCTATGGATAACTAAATATTTCCACTTAGGCATAGCTTTTTCAGGATTCTGGTTGGTCGGCATTTTCAGCAAAACTTTGCAAGAGGAAGGTTACATGGGACAGACTACAGCCCCCACTGCAGCAGTTGACTTCAAGGCAATAGCTGACATTCATCCTCTCTCCTTAAAATCACCCATCTCAGTCCATTTTGCATTGCTATGAAGGAATATTTGAGGCTGGGTAATTTATAAAGAATAGAGGTTTATTTGGCTCCTGGTTCTGCAGGCTGCACAGGAAGCATAGCACAAGCATCCGCTTCTGCTGAGGGCATCAGGCTGCTTGCACTCATGGTGGAAAGCAAGGGGAGCAGATGCCACATGACAAGAGAGAGGGGAGGCAGGTGCCAGGCTCTTTTTAACAATAAGTTGTCATGGGAACAAACGGAGCGAGAACTCACTCATTATCATGAGGATGACACTAAGCCATTCATAAGGGATCCACCCCCATGACACAGACACCTCCAACTAGGCCCCATCTCCAGCATCTCCAACACTGGGGATCAAATGATATTTGGAGGGGATAAATACCCAAACCATAGCACCACTCATGGTAGAGTCTCTATTTCGGTTAGCACTTTTGCTGGTAGGTGCTTCTTGCCTGGTGCATTGATCCAGGTTCTCATCTCTAGGATCTGTTTCCATGTCCTTCTCAGACCTAGTTACTGTGATTGCTCTTTTACAGTCACAATGGACCTGAGAAGCAACATATTCCACATTCTGTAGCAGCAGCCCTGCTTCTAAGATTATTCTGCTCAATTACACCTGCCAAACAGAGAAGACTGACGTACCTCAGGGCAACTGCTGCCGCAGGGGCTGCAGTCTCCTCTGCCTGCCATTATGACCTTGTCACCTGGTGTGGTAATTCTGTACTTTGCTTCTGACACTTAAGTGCTGCCGCCTGGCTTCTGCTCTTCAAGGATCCAATCATCCCCATTGCTAGTAGGGAGCTCAGTTCTCTTACAGAATCTCCTACCATTAGTCCCCGCCTACAAAGAACATTCCACCACTGAGCTTCTTGAAAACTCTGGTATCTTAAAAAGCAATGCATCCCTGTTATTTTGACAAGCAATTTTAAAAATATGATCAGAATTCTTCTGGCCCTGGAGAAATGAATAGCATTTCTTGCTTCCAACACTTGACTCCGTAATCTTTTCAGAGGCAGCAGAGGACTTGCTCTGAAGGAGGTGTTTCAAAACCGAGGCAGCTCCCGCCCCTTGCAGTCCATCCATTTTCTCATCCTCGTGCAGGAAAACTTGTTGAGGTCAGTGCCTTCATCCTTTTGGATGTTTGGTGGTTTGCCTTTTCAAGACTTTTCTATTTCAAGTCTTTTCTGTTCCTCCTTTTCTTTCTTTCACGTCTTTTTCTCTAGCCTGCTTCCAGTCTGTCCCAGGAGTTCCATGTCAATTTTCATCCCAGCTGCACTTGCTTGTCCGCTTATTACTACCTTTGGCAGAATACTCCACTACAGTCAAACTGTCGTTGGTCTCCACTGCCATAAACATGACTGACTTTAGAAAGCAAGGGTGCTCTGATAGAAGGAGAGAAATTAAAAGATGGCTCTCCATTGCCACAGTGAAAGGTACAATTAGTGACAGGGACAGTCATAATGATGGCAAAGGCACCAACCTGAGCACCGTACTGGTTCTTGGAGAAATCAATCAATGTGCACATATCACATTCACGCATTCACACACACATGCCATATGACTATACTGTTTGTCTTTTTCCTAACTGAACAAAGAAAAGGCAACAATACCTTTCAAAGGGTTTGTTCTTTCTGAGTAAAATTTTGTAAGACTGCGATCAAGGAAGGTTTGTATATGAGAGACAAAGACCAAAAAAGAAATCACTTGCTCCGAGAATTTGCTAAACGATTTCGTATCACTGAATTTCACCCATTAACACGTGTATTTAGATCCTAACAATGACTGACAGACATTTGGAAAGCAAAAGTAAAAGTTGACCTGCACACAGTTCAAATTTGCCATATGCTTGCTGTCACTGTTAACAGTTTGTGGACCATCCTAATTTATTCTTCAGCTGACTAAGCCAATGTATTTTAAAGAAAACGAATACCTGTTCCTTTTTCAAACATGACATTTTATTCTTCCTTATTACTCATAAGTATGGACAGCAAAATAAATGATTAACAGCCAATCTCAGGTAGTTTTAGGGGGAAAGAATGGGTTTTCCCCAGGACCTATCACAAATGTTTTCCATTTAAATGATTGCCTCACTGAGGAAATTCTCAAACAATATTCATCAGTTACAATTTCAGAAAAAAACATTATTTCCTTGAACATAACCTAACAGAATTTTTAAAGGGAATTTATTAGTGCTCAGAAATCACCACAATTTAAAGTGTGTGTGTGTGTGTGTGTGTGTGTGTGTGTGTGTGTAAACATAAGGCTAAAAATACTTTTTTAATCTCTCTAATTTTTTACTTAAAAAAAATTCATTATTCTCTTTTGTCAAGTGTGTTTAAGTAATCACATATCCCGTTAACTGGTGGCCCTGTCCTTTTCTTTCTTAAAACTTCCTTTCTTAGGCAATTTTATGGATGGAAGGAATTTTTGATGGAAGGGAAAAGAGGAAGAAGTTAGTGTTTGTTTTAAATTTTGACACAATACAAACCTACTCACCCTTTTATCTTCGTGTATTTAAGGATAGGTCTTCAACTTTTCCAGTTTCAATCAGATAGCTCAAATGGTCAAGCTTATTTATAGTAAAAAATGTCATTAAAACCCGAGTAAATAAAATAATTAAGATATTTGCTAATTAATTTTTAAATATTCTAGATTATGAGCAAGGGCTATGGGTTGTGTTATACAATCTTTGTCCCTCATACTTTAACATAGTGCTTGGCCTGTGGGGTGGGACTCCATAAATGAATTTTAATTGGCCAGTTAGTAAGTCACTAATATTTATAAGTTATAATGTGTATTCTGCTTTTAAGAGTGCCATATTTATGTCAAAATGGAAAACAAACCAAACATCTAAGACATTTATGACCATTAATTATTTTAGAATAAAATATTTTATTGCTTCCATTTTAGCAAACTTTACTTTTCTTCAAATATCTCTTCTGAGGACTTTTAAGACATGAATCATGATAATAATAAAAAATTTGCAGTAGGTTCTAGAAATTCAACCTAAAAATAGAATTAAAATGGTTTCGTTGCAGGCATGTGCTCATTTTCATACTGATGGACAAAGCCCTTGGGGAATATTCGAAAGATGATCTACGACTCGCCCAACACCATCTCACAGGTTTTTCACAGCAGGTCCTCGTTGTCCTTTAAATTCTCAGACAGAGGAGGATGGGACGACGCACGGCTTCAGCTGAAGCCCCCACAAGACTCTCCGCTCATCTGCAGAAGCGAAGGCCTGGGCAGCTGGCACCCTTCCACAGGGAGCTACAAACACCACTTCGCCACATTGCAAGTTTCCCCAGGCAGCAGATGTCTTGTAGCTGCCGTTCAGGTCTGCAACTCTACCAAGCCACCTGTACAACATATTTAATGTACTGACAATGATTTTGTTGCTACTTAGAAAAGATTTTTTTTAATTTAATTTTTCTCTAAACTCCTGTATGGCCAGTGGGATTATTAGATAAAATCAGGCCTCATGTTGCGAAACTTTGTATTCAAATACGGGAAAAAAAAAAAACAAATCAAACCCTCCACATTTTTCCCTTTCACACAACTTCCCCCAGATGATTCAGAAAAATGCATTCACCTTCTATACTATCATAACTAAATTTTGTGCCTTAAAAAAAAATTGACGTTTCCAACAAGTAGTTTTGCCGAAGCACTGCACAGAAAAGTTCAACAACTAACTGTTAAATTGCTCACCCTTTTGCGTTACTCTGACACACCAAACTTTAACGTGCCTCTACCAAAACTTTAAACTGTGAGTGCAATCCTCTTAGAACATTATAAGGAAAACATTCTGACTTTTTCGGCTGCTAAAGTGATACTTACAGTACCATTGTGTCTGTTTGGTTTAAAAATGAGGTTGATAATGATAATGTTTTTCCATAAGATGATCTTCTACTTTTTAATGATACCCGTTGTTTCCCCTACATAAATGACTAAATCCTTACAGAATCTCTGTCTTGATTAGCACTCCTGCTAGTAAAATTTCACATACTAAATCAGCACCAGCTGTAGCAAGAAAGAAAGAAAAAGGCAAGTGTAAATGTTCCATATGCCCCACCAAATTGGCATCTGTGTCAGTAACCCTTTTTTTCAAAACTATTGTATACATACATTCTCTTAAGTGTTTTGTTCACAGAATACTGCTAACAAAATTCTCTCTGTTGGCATATCAAGGAAAGAGCCTGTCCTTGGTACCATTCAACTGCACAAATACAATTGCTTCTTCTCCTCTTGTGGTCACAGACATACCTGAAGGTTCTATTTATGTAAGTTGCTTCAAATTAGTGAACCTTTATTTTGACATCTGTTCTTTGTAATGTGACACTGCAGTGTTCTTACAAAGCTGCTTTACAGCAGGAGTTTAATTGGTAGCAACACCAAACAATGTCAGAGAGACAAGAGAATTTATTTTGGTCACCTAGAAGGTATCTCAGAGACCAGGCTCAAAACAAATAACCTGGAATGTGATGGTGGTGGTGGTGGTGGTGGTGGTGGTAGAAAGTATTTGTGATCACTGTCATCTTGTCACCTGTATTTTCTTCAAATGATGAAGTGCCTCTCTACAGATAAAGATTTATAGATACAGATATATCAGAAATAGTCCCAAAGATATAAATGCTATGTTATGGTAGTTTAGGTGATTTTCAACAGTTTCCCCATTGAGACCTTATGAATTGTTGGAAATCTAGTAGAGATTGTTCTCCAGGAACATATTCAAACTATCACTATGAATCCTAAAATATCCATGGGAAAGCTACAGAGAAGAACATCCTAATTAAATGATCTACCTACAAGGATCTACATACAGGCTATGTCCCAGAGATGCCTGCCTCATAGGTTAAAGAAAATTATTTTCTCCTCTCATCAGAACATGATTATCTTGGCCAAGGCCAGTGCACATGGAAAAAGATAACTGGCCGCACCTTTCTTGGTGGTGCCCATCCATTCCTGCTCATGCCCTCTCGCAAGTGTTTACAACACTGTGTTGCTCTTATTTGCTTACATTTCTACCATTCTTCATTGGACTCTAAGCTCCTTGAGAGTTGTGATAGTAGGCCTTTATCTATTCCAAGACAGATTTCAGTAGATACTCAATAAAATGTTTACCCAAGTCAAAATTGTTAAAAAAAAAAAAAATGCAGAAAGTTTGTGTTATAAGCTAAATGAAGTGATTAGTGAACAACTTACCAACTGGGTTCAAAAGACCAAAATAAATGAGGACAAGGGGAAATGGATGAAAATTTCCTTTGCTACCCTTAAGTTTTTCTGCTATATAAATACCCTTTCGTGGTGGGACGCTGTGGCTCATGCCTGTAATCCCAGCACTTTGGGAGCCCGAGGAGGGCAGATCACGAGGTCAGGAGATTGAGACCATCCTGGCTAACACGGTGAAACCCCATCTCTAGCGAAAATACAAAAAATTAGCCAGGCGTGGTGGCGGGTGCCTGTAGTCCCAGCTTCTCGGGAGGCTGAGGCAGGAGAATCGCTTGAACCTGGAAGACGGAGGTTGCAGTGAGCCGAGATCGCGCCACTGCACTCCAGCCTGGGCAGCAGAGTGAGGCTCCGTCTCTAAATAAATAAATAAATAAATGCCCTTTCAACAGATGTAATCCTATGGCTATTGAGATTTAGTGAAAGTTACACTTGATAACTCTTTCCTATTTAAGGATCAAAATCAGAAGACATTTTGGTTATAGGTTAAAAATCTCTTGGATCTGAAGAGGCAGTTTACCTAAATTCATAGTAAATGGTTTAGAGAAGAGCATGTAGGGAAAATCCACAATTATAGAATATCTTGCAAACTGCTTTTTAAAAATATGAACATTCTTTTAATTAAAAACATGTAGCTTCCTTTATGAGGCAATAGCCCCTCTCCCAAGTATTGTGAATAGTCAAATCTGCTAACCTCCTCTCAGGGAAGCTGTGATAGGAATTCCTGCACGGGGAAGTTTGGAGGAGACGATCCGTTATTTATATACATGAAATTCAACTATGCTTACCGACTCTATAGTGATCTCACAGCTGTTAAAATAATTATAATGGGGGAGAGATGAAAAAGGTTGGTTAATGGGTCCAAATATACAGTTCAATTGAAGAAATAAGCTCTAATGTTTCATATTAGAATAAGGGATGATTATAGTTAACCACAATGTATTGTATATTTCAGAATAGCTAGAAAAGAGGGCATGAAATGTTCCCAACAAATAGAAATGATAAGTACCTGAGGTGGTGGATATTCCAGATACCCTGACTTGATCATTACATATTCTGTGCATGTAACAAAATATCACATGTACCCCATAAATGTGTCCAAATATTACATATCAATACAAAAAGTTATAACAACTTATTCTTAAAACATTTGGACACATTATATTTGATAGTAGCGGTGGTGAAATGTGTATTTTTACTCATCTAGATGTTCCCTAAGTAAATACATTCTTTTTATCTGTATTCCCAAGGATAAGCACAGTAAATACATACACAGAGAGTACGTATTTCAAAATGACTATTAAATACATGAAAATTTTATTTTGAACAACTGATTCTTTACTTGTTTGCCTGCTTATTTTTCAGTCCCTACTCCCAGGTCTGTAATTAGCATGCTTATTTTAATACAGTTGTATGGATGATAAATTACACACTGATATGGGATTTCCCCAAATGACAGACTATAAAAATGAACATGGGGAATCAATCAATCAGGAAGTCCTTTGTTTACAGTCCTACTATACTTCCTAGTTTAAAGTCATCAACCGAAAAGAAGGGGGGCAATGGCTGGACCAGCCAGGATGGTGTTACAAACTAGCATTCTGGTTGGTCTTGACCTGTGCCATGCTGATGATTACTTATTTTGAACATCAACTTTGGTTTCTGTTCTAAGGCAATTTGTGATCCTGATGAGAAGACACCATGTAATTATAATTTTAAAATAATTAGACAATAGAGAGTACATGAAAGACATGGGATTTTATACAATGGCTACAAGGCATTTGCAGAAAATGGTCATATTTAGGAGGCAAATTTCAGGAAGAGGTAACTCACGGGATTTTCATTTGGAGCACTGGCCTTTGTGTTCTGAGGTGATTCCCAGTGTTAGTTTGGATTAATACAATCTGTGTATCGGGACAGGTGGCACCAGCCATCATTGCCTTTTCTACTTCCATAGGCTTTGTTCACCCAAAGCCACCTCACTCTCTAGAGATGCACGCCAGGGTAGTTTGCGTGTGGTGGTTGCTTCTCAAAAGGCCACAGCTAGGTCACACATTATTTAAAGCACTACTTTATTTAAGACAACTTTCAAGTGTTTCTTCCCCCTTTGCTATCTATGATTGCCCCATTTCAGTTTGCCATAGAGCAGCTGTTTCGATATCCAGCATTTATCCGTTCTCCACATGCATCCAGCCCAGAGGGATTGTTAAGCAGATCATTGTTTTAATTCTGGCTACATTCCAGGTCCCCATTATTAGTGATCCTGTCTTAACATTTACTGTTCAGTTTGGCTCACAGGTGATGTTGATTAAATTGGATATACCATCTGGGGTGGGTTTTTGTCTTGTAGGCACACTCCAAGCTGAGCACACCTATGGCTTCATTTTGGTCTGAAGTTTCATGCCACATTGGATGGCATTCTGGACATGATTTTCCACCACCTGGGCGTGATTCTTGGCTAATTCATTTCGTAGCTGTGTTGAAATGAAGCAATTCACTTCACTATTAGGGTCTTGGTTTCCTAACAAATAAACCAAATAATAATCATTCATTCATTCCTTCACTTAGTTCCTTGTTCATTTTTTAACCATTTATTGGCCAGCCACTTTGTGTCTGATACTCTACGAGCATGCAGAAATCAGAGACAAACAGGGAGTCCAAGCAGAGGCGGTAGGACGCACAGACAGAAAGGCAAGAACACCACATGTACTGTTCACAGAGCAGTGCTCTCTACCAACAGATGGGAGCGAAGAGCTCTGGAGCCTGCAGGACATGATCACTGAACTGGATCTTAAAGATCGAGAGCTCCGAACTCTGCTTTCATGCATCTCATCAATTAAAATATCCATGTGAGGGTAACACATAACAATTTTATCCTATTATTGGGGGAAATAAATCAAACATATATGAATTACTTATTTTCTTATTATTTCATTATTTAAATACACAAAGCAGACTTGAATACGTGTGCTTCATACCACATGGGGTTGTTCTGAGAATCAAATGGCATGATGTGTGAACAAACACCTTCTAAAGTGCTGCAGAAGGCTCTTTTGAGCATGTGGGTGATGCTGCCTGCCCTGCCTGTCCCACTAAGCTGTCACAAGGACTGAATTAGAAAAGGAATGTGAAAAAATGTTGGAAATGTAAAGCACTGATAATAATAAGAGCAGTAACAACTAACACTTACCTAGCTCTTACGATGCGCTAGACATGGTTCTAAGTGTTTTACTTGTATTAGCTTATTTAATCCACATGACAACAAATACGGTATGGCTTAGAGGTGAGCCATATGAAAGTGTTAATATTTGGTCATTTCTGACCTGCCAAAATGACAGTTTCATATGGTTCAATCTGTTATTACTTTCCTATTTTACAGATGAAGAAATGAGATGCAAAGAGTTAAGCCATTTACCCAGGGTCACAGAGTTAGTAAAAGCATCTTGTTTTTCCCATTATTTATGGACATTCTGAATCTGTTGGTGTTCCTGGGTTCCAAGAATAAAAATCCAAAATGTCTAGCTTTAAAAAGAAAAATAGAAAGTACATGGAGTTTCTGGTAGAGTCAAAGGAAAGCTGATAAACAGAACATAGCCATCCCTCTGTACACTCAGGGGATTGGTTCCAGGACCCCCATGTATACTCAAATCCATGCATACTCAAGTCCTGCTGTGGCCCTGTGGAACCATGTATACCAAAATTCAGCCTTCTGTATAGAAATATATATTCTATTTCTCACCCCTCCATCTGTGTTTGGTTGAAAAAAATCCGTGTATAAATGGACCCACGCAGTTCAGACCCATGTTGTTCAAAGGTCAACTGCATTTCCAGAATCCCACTGTTTCTCATCACCTCAAGGTCTGCCACTCTGTTCCAAGCCACTGTCATCCCTCACCTGGATGAATGTGGGAGCTTCCTAACTGGTCCCTCCACTTCTGCCCCAGCCCTTCTTCGGGCTATTTTCAACCTAATGGAGATAGATCGTGTTTAAAAGTTGGTCAAGTAATGTCATGGTTCCACTGAAACCTATCAGCGGCTCTCATCTCTTGCAGAGGTGAAGCTCATATCTTCACTCTGTCCTATGTGGCCCTATGTGATCTGCCCCCAGCCCCAGACCTCTCTGACCTTGCTGCCTGCTAGCATTCCTCCTTCCCTCTGTTCCACTCACACATGCCTGGTGCACCTCAGACCTCTGCGTTTCCAGAGCTTTCCCCAGATCTCTGTATGGCTCACTCCTACAACCCCTTCTGGTCTTTTCTCACACGTCACCTTCTCAGAGAGGCCTTCACTGATGTCTACTTAAAATGTCAATCCTAACCCAACAATGAACTTATCTTCCTGCCTTCCTTTATTTTTTCTCCTTTGCACTTAACGATTGTCTCGTAGACTTTATGCTTGCTGATTTGTATTTATAATGGGCTGTCTCCAGTAGAATATTAGGACAAGGATATTTTACTATTTTGCCAAGTACTGGGCATAAATAAATACTTGTTGAATAAGTGAATGACAAGGCCTTGGAAAAGTTAAAATACAAATAAACAGAACAAAACAAAACTAGGCTTCCGGAGATGTAAGAAGCTCTAATTATTCCCTGTGTAATTGTGTACAAAAGTTCAGTTCTTAGTAGAAATTCATGGATGTAGCTTCAGTCCCATGTCTACCCACTGGCCAGAATAGAGCAGGGCCCACTGAACCACTAAAATATGGGAAGCAGCTGGCATTATTATGTCTATTACCAGAAGAAGGGGAAACAGAATCCAGGCAGGTAAAAATCTATAGCTGTGCTACCCACTACACACACTGACCTTCTTGATTGGGTTCTCTACTTTTTACTGCATTTTCTTGTCATTTGATACATCATCTAGTATTCTCCAGAAATAGGAAACTTCCACGAAAATTTGGATATAAAACCAGACTTCCCAATGCAGACCATGATTACTTCCATTTTCTTTGTCTTCTCTTTTCTTTTTTCAGATGGAGTCTCGCTCTGTTGCCCAGGCTGGAGTGCAGTGGCGAGATCTCGGCTCACTGCAACCTCCACCTCCCGGGTTCAAGCAATTCTCCTCCCTCAGCCTCCTGAGTAGCTGGGACTACAGGTGCGCACCACCACGCCCAGCTAATTTTTGTATTTTTAATAGAGATGGGGTTTCACCATATTGGTCAGGCTGGTCTTGAACTCCTGATCTCGTGATCTGCCTGCCTCAGCCTCCTAAAGTGCTGGGATTACAGGCGTGAGCCACCACACGTGGCCGATTGCCTCCAATTTCCTTAGGTTGATTGTTTTCCCATAAAGGTAGACTTCAATATGTATATTAGAAGAATCTACGCATCTTCTATAGATTTTTGAATTCTTGTATTAGGATTTTATTTTAAAGAAAATAGAGGAATTATTAGCTTCTAATGTTTCTTTTATTCTTCTCAGAATGAAATAATTATACTGCTTTTGCTGATAAGAAGGTAATTTAAAAAAATTGAACAATGCCGAAGTATATAATGTTCAGCTGCCTCAACCAGGCCACTCTCCTTGTTTCCATTGTATCCTACAAATGTAATCTCTTTTTAACATTAGGAATATGTACTTCCAGCATTTACTATTTATGATATTTTTATCATAAAAGGCTTTTATATATACACTAGATAGAATAATAATATGCACTTCTCTATGAGCTGCACATTAGACAAATTAATACTGTGCAAACTGTTCTACAACCTGCATTCTTTATTTTACATTGTATCAAGAATAGCTTTTCATGCCACATTGGTCTGCCTTATCTAATTCAAAGACTGCATAGTGTTCCATTATATGAATATATTATAACTTATTCTATCAGTCCTTTAATGATGGATATTGGTACTAAAAACAAGGCTGTAATTGATATCCTTATATGTAAACATCCACTTGTATTTTCAGGATAAAGTCCAAAAAGTACAGTTACTGAGTCAAAGTGTAGATATATTTTACATTTTGGTGCACATAACTAGATTGTACTACAGAAAATTTATAGCAATGTACAGCCCCATCAACAGTCTATGACAATGCTCACTTACTAAAACCTACCATCATCTTTGGCATTCTAATAGAAGGCACAGAATCTGTTAGCATGTTCGTGAACTCTAAACTCTATATAGCAGATATTATACAATGCCATCTTCAATGATGATTGGAGATGAGTCCAACAAATTAGTGTAAGTCTGACCTAAATGAACACAGCTCCAAAAATAGCAACCAACTGCTGCACAATAGAACGGTACTTATTGGATCAAGGGTATGGCATTAGATGGGTTTCACCATTTTCAACAGGACTGGACCCTAACCAAGGTAGATGCTGTGGTTAATATTCTGAAACACAGGGTTAGCCAGCGATGGGCAACGATGTGATACACCAGGCTTTACTCCCCACTCTCTGGCCCCTGGCAGACAAAGAGAATTCCAATGAACTCAGTCACCACCTCTGAGTCCTTCACAACACAGTGCCCTCAGCAGCCACTGCAAACTCATTGGGTAGGTACATCAGGCACAACCTGAGATACACAGTGATTTTCCTAGACAAATGAAATTCAGAAGATATAGAGTTTTCAGCAGGGTATAATTTAGGGGAAAGGGGAAAGTATAGGTGGCATCTGATCAGGACCTTTAAATCAATTTTCCCAGCATTTGTTAGTATTGAAGATGGAAACAGGTTGAAGTCTGAAGGCCTGTTGTGATTTGTGGGTGTGCCTAGTGGAAAACATTAACTAATAGTCAATTTAGAAAGATTCTGACCAGAATCTTGCTGCGGGAGACAAAAGTGATCCAATGATAGCAACTACATTAGACTTCTTAAGATGATTAGGCAAATGGAAATTCTGTATTTTTGAATAGTATTTCTTAAACAGTATGTATATTTCAATAGACAAAACTTAGGTTGCTGTCAAAAATTCTTAAAATTTTTTTCTTAGTATTATGTTTGTAAAGACAATTAATGTTATCTGCTGTAACAAACAATCCCCAAATTTCAGTAGATTCACAATAAAGTTTATTTTTTGCTTCCCCCAAAATCAGAGAGTTTTTCTGAATTCTTCTTTCAGGTGATACCTATAAAACTCAGGCTCTTCGTGTCATACGATTTCAATACATGGCCTCCATTGTTGCTATTGAAGGAGAAGAAAGATTACGAAAAATCACACAGTTTTCTAGCCAGTCCTAGAACTGTTGTACATCATTTCCATCCACTTCCAATTGGCCAGGACTTAATCACATGGCCCATCCTGAAGGAGCCTGGAAAATGGAGTCTCCCTGTGTGCCCCAGAAGAGGAAATGGGATTGGTGAGCATCCAGACAACCAGTCTTCGAGTACACAGCCAGGCTTGGGAATTTTATTATTCTTTGTAAATCTGGTAGCAATAGTCACTTCTTTAAAAATTTGGAGGGAGAACTACTTTGTTATATTTCAATGGGTTCTCTAAACCATATAATTCTTCATTCTTTAGATATAATCATAAGTACAACCTGAATTCATAGTTTGATATTGCAAAACACATATATTTTCTTCAACCTCATTTCCTGACATACAACTCCTAAAATCCTTAGAATCTCCAAAGTATGTTATTGAGTTTACTGGGGCTGGCTGCCTCCAGGTAGCTTCAGGATGGGGCTGGTCACAGGAAAGACCAAGGCAAGATTAGAGGATTGGAGCTTTCAGCCCCACTCCCCCTCAACCTTTGGGGAGTGAAGAGGGCCAAAGGTTAAGTTGATCCCCAATGGCCAATGGACATTCGTTTAATCCATCATGCCTAGGTAATGAAGCCACCATAACAACTCAAAACTAAAGGGTTGAGAAAGCTTCCAGATAGCTGAACACATGAAGGTTCCTGGAGGCTGGTGTCCCTGGACAAGGCATGGACGCTGCACACCCCAACCCCATACTTTACCTTATGCCTGTCTTTATCTGTGTTATTTATAATATCCTTTCTTATAAACCAGTGAATGAAGTAAAGTGTTTCCTGAGTCCTGTGAGCCACTCTAGCAAATTAATTGAATCCAAGGAGGGGGTTGTAGGAACCCCAATTTATAGCCAGTGGCTCTGAAGCACAGGTAAAATAACCTGGGGCTTGCAGTTGGCATCGGAAGTGGCCGCAGTCTTGTGGGAGCACCCTATGGGATCTGTCACTAACTTCAGGTCGACAGTGCTGGGATTGAATTGAATTAGAGGACATCCGGCTGATGTCCCCTGTAGAACTGATGGCTTGCTTAGTGTAGAGGGGTGAGGGGGAACCCTACACACATTTGGTCACAGAAGTCATCTGTGGTGATTGTTGTGGTGTGACAGCAGAGAAGAAACAGTCTACTTTTTTCCACTCAGACACAGACACTCAGCTCTGAAAGCTGAATGTGATCTCAAGGGACTCCCTGGTTAAATCCACCTCTGAAGGCAGGTAGTAGACTCTTCAGTGACTCCCAACCCCTTTTAACCACCAAGAATTCCTTTAATTATTTTTTCTTTAAAGACCCTATGTTTAGAAATAATTTGTCGACTAACCCACATTTATAGAGCAACAAGCATTCATTTTTCCCATATGTTGTTAATCATAAACATAAAAAATTTCAAATCAGAACTCTGATCAGAATGTGGAGATGATTCTTACACTGAGTTGATCTAAAGCTGGCCAGAAGCAGAGATTCAGGGCTCCAGTGAGCCTGTGGGTTTATGTCAGTGTTATAAACTGAATTGTACCCTACAAAATGCGTATATTGAAGCTCTAACTCCCAATGTCTCTGTATTTGGAGATAGGTCCTGAATGAGGGTAATTAAGGTTAAGTGAGGTCATTTGGGTGGGACCCTAATCCAATGGGACCACTGTCCTTATAAGAGAGGAAGAGACACACCAGAGATATTCCCTGTGCTCACACGAGACAAGGCCATGTAACAGCACAGCGAGAATGTGCTGTCTTCAAACCAGGAGTGCTTAGACCTCCTGCCTCCAGACTGTGAGGAAATAGATTTCTGCTGATTAAGTCACCCAGTCCAAGATATTTTATTATGGCAGCCATAGATGACTAATACCCTCAGTGAAAGGTAAAATTTCTATCGTAGATCTTTAAAACATGAAAATAGACAAATGTTCACATTGTCTTAGTAAATCCAATTAGGAACAACTGTATTATCATCTTTGTGCAAAAGAGCTTCATTTATGAAGGGTAATATTATTTGTTTGGGTTTTTTTTAATTGAGATGGGGTCTCACTCTGTCAGGCTGGAGTGCAGTGACTCAATCACAGCTCACTGCAGCCTCAACTACCTGGGCTCAGATGATCCTCCCCCCTTAGCCTCCCTAGTAGCTGGAACTACAGGCGTGCATCACCACACTGGCTAATATTTGTATTTTTTTGTAGAGATGGGGTCTCACCACATTGCCCAGGCTGGTCTTAAACTCCTAGGCTCAAGGAATCCACCTGCCTCAGCCTCCCAAAGTGCTGGGATTTCAGGTGTGAGTCACCATGGGAAACATCAAGGGAAATATCAGCTTCATCTCATTTCCAACAGGTGAGGTTTTGTACATCAAGTGCTATGTATCAAAAAGCCCTGGCTGAAGGAAGAATTTGCTTCATAAACAAAATTCTATATGATTTGACATGTGTTTGCTTTTTACTATAATGTCTCACCTACTGGAGGTTCAAGTTCTATCGTCAATATTCTTTTAGGCAATTTTTGCATACAATCATACATGTACACTAAATGCTGTTGAAACTGTCAACCCCAGTTATTATTTTTAGATTAGTGCAGAGGATGGGATAAAGGAATCATGACATTGAATAAAACTTATTCAGATCTGCCACCAACACATCATTTCCCCATCCCTCTTCAAGGCAAGAATCAGTACTTGTAAGTGCAGGAAAAGTTATTGAGGCAAAATGCCGGGGTCATTTTTAAAATGCTCAGAAACTTATTTTGCGAAGAGTCACTGCCCATGGGTGTTTGTCGTTGCACTGGCTCCCTCACCTTCATGTATGACTTTCACACACACACATCATGATTCTGCTTCTCTATGACCAGTACAGACTTAAAGAACGTGAAGACTGTTCGAAAGCAGGATTTAGCATCCCCATTTTAATAATAAATACAAACACACACTTACCCAGTACGTTTTACGCCTGCCTGCAACAAAAACAGCTGAACAGATTGTGATGAAATTCAGAGACTGACAGTCTGACAAAAAAATCCCTTTTTGTCTAAAATCTGGCTTCCATAGGTTTGTGCAAATCTAAATATTTGATTTTGCACTGGAAAAGGAGCCAGTCTTATGTACAATTTATAAAATAAATGTGTAGATACATGTTTTAAAATCTCCAAATTTTGTCAACACATACTGTCCAAATTTAAAGACTTTTCTCCCCCATTTTTTTTCCTATGACTTGGGTGTATTTTCCCCCTGCTTTTTAAGGCTTTAACTATATTTATCTAATAAGAACTCTTTTGCAAACCAGTGTTTCAATAACGATTTAACAGTAGTTTCAGTGTCAAATTGCCCTTTCCTCAGCAGGGAGTTTTAAGCCTTGCTGTATTATACTTCCAAGACACTCAGGAGCTGGAGTTGGGAGATATAATATTTTCTTTGAAGTTTGCCTTCACAACACACTGGGATGCAAACAAGCTTCAGTTACTCAGCAGTCAAACAATTCCATCACACAGCGACCAGGGCTAAATATTGTACCCAATTTTCTAATTATATCTTTGTGATATTGACTACACGAGGTTAGGTGAAAACAGACTGGAATCACTATAAAATGCCTTGTCTAAACAGGAAATCTGGACTTTGAAATATTTCGCTTGTTGGCTTCAAATCCCCGTTTGGCAAGTCATAATAAAAATAAAAATAATTTAATTGATGAAAAAATTTATGGCATAAATTCTTCACATATATGTGAAGAATAAACACCTAATAAGGTATTTATTAGGCCAGAGATATATATGACCCACTATATATGCATGTGAAGTTCTAGGTTAAGCAAATACATTTTACTGTTCTACACATTATTACACTGCCTTTATGGTTTATACATCATAGCAATTCAGCTGCCTCAATACTATTTCTTTAAGGGATTTTTTAAACGTTTCAGATCCTGGAAGTGGGACTTTCTCCTTTTGTAAGTTTTCTAAAGTTTATGCATGATGCAATCATTAATTTATAGCAGCATCTAGAGTGATCTGTATTTCAGAAAAGAAAATTCAGGGGTTTCAGAAAGTTATCTAGGGTCTCACAGATAACTAGCGCTATCGTGGAGAAGCGGGAGAGAGGGCCTGACTCATTAAAAGTTGCCACCAGCACCATTTCCTTAAGGACAGCCTTAGCTCAGAGCACACCAGACCACCTCCCTGCCTTCAATGAGCTGATACTTAAAAGTAATAACAGATGGGAAAAGGGGATGAGAAAGAATACATACTAAAAATTATTACCTGGCAGTCATCTCGGGGAACTGGGACTCAAGGATTTTTATTCTCTTCTTTTTGCGTATTTATATTTTTCTAATGTTAAATGACATTTAGGGGAGACCATTGTTTTGAACGGAGCTCCTGCACTAGGTCCTAGCAGACCAGAGCAAACCAGAATAGAGTCACTCATGCTAGGTGCCACACAATCAAACTGAAATTTTAAAGGGGCCAGTTTAAAACACACACACACTCACACAAGCAAAAAAACAGCAGCTTCACAGCAACCAATCAGAATGAACCTAATTTACCTGAGCCAGCATGATAAGAACATGCCCTCCGTTTCAGCACTAAGGAAAGTAACTTTGAAATGACCAACCCATTCTGGTTCTGTGTCTGCTTTCTTCAGCCCTTTTCTGTGTATAAAGCCAACTTCCTCTGCTTGGGGCGCCTTTTCTAAATATTTAGATGGAATGCGGCTGGATTAATGAATGACTAATGAAAGCCAATTTGATCTCTAAATTTGTTATAATTTTGTCTTTTGACACTAAAATTATAAAAATGAGCAGGTATGAATTGTGTCATCAAAAAAGCACAAATAACTAAGTCAGGATGAAGAAATTTCATATGCTTTGGGGAAAATCATAAGCATTGTCGTGTCCTGTATCTCTTGTATCTAGTAACTTTTGACATAGACCAACTTGTCCTCCTCTGCAATCTCGTACAAAGAAAAAGTCAGCTATGTGTCGTTAAACACCTCCTGAGGATAAAAAAGGTGAATGCTCAAAGGAAGTCAACCACACGTTAGTGTTTATTCAGAGAAGTCTATAACTATAAAAATAAATATTACTCAAGCCATATTTAGAAGAATTACAAAGATGCACAGAAAACTCAGTCTCCAAGAAATTGCACAAATTAAGTCATTGACCCGCATTGAGTTGAACACCAAACAAGGTGCCCCATCTTCTAAAGTAATGAGTATTCTTCAAACAGCAAGGGAGCACAGGCTGCTGTTTGATGCTGATGACACTGAAAATTTAGGAGAACAGAAATCCCATCATTTTTCATTTGTATGCAAATTTGTCTGTTCCAGAAATTAACCCCTGGACCCCATGTCAGTTTTCATCTCTAGGAATTTTCTTTGCCTGCACCACACGGTGTAGTCTTGTCACTATCCTAAGGTCACTAGGCTTCCCCAGTTTAAAAATAACAACTAGCACCACCAAAGTCATAATGGTGCTTTGTTTATCCTCATTACTGGAGGCTAAAGAGCACTAGAGGAGAGGCCTGTTGTAAAACGCGCATCTTCAATGGCCGGCCCTGCGTGCTAGTGGCATTGAAATGCAAACTACATCCTACTTTGGCCAGGCGGCATTCATGGACCACTTCTCCTAGTGTTAAGGTAAACCTGGGACAATAGATCAATCTGATTACCCTTCTTTTCAGCCAGGTCTTCAACGGGTAAAAAGTTTCTTTGTTACTTCCCACCTTAGACAAATGTCATCATCTACATGTGAAGGGGAGAGAGGTGATTGAGGTTTTTAATTGATGTGGACTTAATTATGCTAATTTAGACAGCTGCAATGCATTTCAGGATAGCTGCATAATAGGGTGAGCAAATACAGGTGCCCTTCTCCGTAGGGGCTTAATTTTTAACCTAGGTAGGTTTAAAAGGGAAAGGGAGTTCAAAAGTGTAGACAAGTTAAGATTTGTAAAGGGAAGTTCACCCGCCCTCCGAAATATTTAGCAGGCTTTACATGCACCTAAGACAGAGCCGGTTAAAAGCCTCAGATTGGTCTCTAATTAGAATAGACCATTTTAAATGATGGGTTTATCAAGAGTTGATTCGAGATAACACTAAACTAGAATTTTGGAATTAAAAATGACCTTTACTTCCATCTCTGGAAAAAAAAATCACACAATGGAAATGGTGATTTTAAAAAAAAAAGTAGCAAGAAAGTTTTAAAATATTTTCTTAAAAAGGAAGGGGATTTTGACTTTTGAACTTTAACGACAAGGTGAGTTTCCCTCACCATGTACAGGACATGACTTTCATTCCGCTGCTAGCAACGTGGAGACATGATACTCAGTGTCATCAGTGGGAAAAGGGTATTTGCTTTTTTTTTTTTTTTAATTGCTGCCTAATACCAGTTTTTTGATGAGTATTGCCCACACCCTATTTCAGTTGTTCTGGTCTTTTTTTTGTTTTGTTTTTTTGAGACGGAGTCTCGCTCTGTCGCCCAGGCTGGAGGGCAGTGGCGCGCGGTCTCTGCTCACTGCAAGCTCCGCCTCCCGGGTCCACGCTATTCTCCTGCCTCAGCCTCCCGAGTAGCTGGGACCACAGGCGCCCGCCACCATGCCCGGCTAATTTTTTGTATCTTTAGTAGAGACGGAGTTTCACCGTGTTAGCCAGGATGGTCTCGATCTCCTGACCTCGTGATTCACCCGCCTCGGCCTCCCAAAGTGCTGTTCTGGTCTTAAACAAGATGTGACACAGAGTCCTATGCACCCCTCAGAGGCTCAAGAAACCCTGGCTGGTTAATATGCTGCTCTCAAAAGAGGCGGGGTCTGACAGGGCAATACTGGACAGGCCAGTATGCAATGCTGTGAGTGAAGAGGAAGAAATCTGAAGGGCTTTTATGACTTTTTTTTGTGGCTTGCTGAGGTAGGGAGGTCTGAAAAGGCTGCACCTCTTCTGTTCCCTTTTGCCTCTGGGTGACACTTTCTTCAAGGCCCGACTTGTCTCCATAGACACAGATTTTCTTCCTAGGAGGCCTATTGCCTTTCTAGAGGACAAAGAACTTAGAAATGAATCATCTTCCTTTCTCCCAGCCATTCCCTTCTCACCCCTGTCAGGCTTCTCTTCTGTGCATTTTCCTTTGTCCCACACTAATCAGAGATGTAATTAGCTGGCAAAGATAAGAAGAAAGAAGTAGGGCATCTGGCCTCCGCTCCAGCGAGGGTGCAGAGTGACCTTTCCAAGCCCGCCCTAGTTTTTGGTGAAAGCACACAGATTTGGGGTGAATTTTGGCTCTGGTTTTTACTGACTCTTCAGATCTTGGATGAGTTATTTCACTTATCTGACTTAATTGATTTACCAAATGGAATACTTATTCACAGTCCATGCATTTGTTGAAGCTACACTGGAAGTAAGGTTGAAAAGTGCCTAGGACTACGTACATCCAGCACCCAGTAGGCACCAAGGATGCTGTTCCGCTATTTCTTCATCACCCCCAATGCGCTCACTTTCCCTATCCAGCACCTCCGGCCCCTTTCTCTTTGCATTGACCCATAGCTTCTTTATTCATGCCCTTTTGGGATACCATCATTGTATTTTCTCTTCTCTTTAATCTTTTAAAATTTCTTTCCTTCTGCCAATTTATAACTTTTTTTTTCTGTTGTTTCTCACAGATTCTTTTACTGTCTTCCTTTCACCTCTTCCAATCTGGGGGCTATAACAGGAGAAGAAAAGGGTGGATGCAGGTAAAATTAAAATAGGAATCATAAAGGAATGAAGAAAAATAAATATTCAAAAACTCTATAGCTAAAATTCTGACATTGTTTTGGTCAAAGGAATTCAAAATAGTGTGTGATGGATATCAATTTATAAAAGCTATTTCTTTCCATCTGTATGCCATGAGTTTAATCTAAGTATGAAACCCAGTCATCAAAAACAATATGGAAATGTTGCAACTTGGATTAGCTGTGGATTTGATCCCAGAAATCATATGATTCTGTTCTTAAAAATCACCTAAAAATGACAAGAATAGTAAGAATTGCAGCAGTCTTTTAATAAATAGTGCTTTGGTCAAATTAATACATAACAATAATAATAATGAGCTTTTTGTTTCTAGCAACACAGCAAGCCAAACTAACACAAACAACTTTCTCCTCTAACTCATGGAAATGCTGGATGAAATATGACAAAAAGAAATGGAATACATAGTTGAGTTTGAAAGACAGAATAAAGTTGCCTGCATCAGAAATAAAGAAAAAGTATGGTTAGAGTAGTGAGCACATGAAAGGACATAGTAAATGTGAGAAATATTACTTCAAGTAAGCAACAAGGAAATTTGTTTCTGCTCGCTACAAAAGAAGAAAAAAATCAGCAAATATTAAAACTCCCTCAGATGCACCTCATGCACATAGAGAGTACGCATTTATAGTCCTGAGTTACTTTAAAATCTCAAATAAAGAATCTAATGTACAAATAAAGGAAATAAACTTGACAAAAGCAAACCCCAAAACCTATGTTTACGGTCACTGACACAACCTGGTGTGTCCAAGAATCCCACAGAGGAAGAAAAGTTCAAAATAAAAAAAGGCAAGCCACACAAGCAATTTTTCGTAAGGGAAAGTCAGAAGACTCAAGAAACAGGAGGATTAGAACCCTAATAACTTAATGTCATAAAACAGTCTGAGAGACACCATAAAATAAGTATGCTTAGAATGATAAAATAGATAAAAGACAGAATCACCATAAAAATGAAAGAACAGAACACAATGAAAAAAGGAAAGGCAAATTTGAAAAATAGCCAAATAAAACTTGCCGAAGTGAGAAGTATGTTTATTAAAATTAAAATCCTTAATGGACAGGCTAATCAGTAGCTAAAGAACTAACGTGTGAACTGGAAGGTAGATCTAAATAAATTACTTCCAATTAGTACAGAATAAATAAATAAACACATATATAATTTTTTTAAATGCTAAAAACTCGGCATATTGGCTCATATCTGTAATCCCAGCTACTTAAGAGGCTGAGGCAGGAGGATCACTTGTGCCCAGGAATTCGAGACCAGCTTAAGCAACACAGTGAGACACCCATCTCAAATTTAAAAAAAAAAAAAAATGCTAAGAGACATGAAGGAAAGAATAAGATGGTCAAACATTATCCAATGAGAGTTATACAGACATGAAATAAATGAAAATAAATTCATAGCTAAAGACATCATAGTAAACATAAATAATACTAAAGTTAAAAATACACATATATATTAAAAACAACCACAAAGAAAACTCAGATTATCTGAAGAACAAGTTAGACTGAAACAGAATTTTTGTCAGCAAAAACAGAACCAGCAGGAAACAGAATAATATCCTCAAAGTGCTATGAAAAAACAAAAATCTTAGAATTGTATATCCAACTAAATTAAAGATTAAGAATATGATAAAGAGATTTTTGAATAAAGACTGGTAGAGTTTATCGTCTTCAGATTCCTCAGTGAAAGAACCACCAACGGTATACTTCAGTAAGAACACTGAACCAGAAGAAAGGAAAGGTACAAATTACAATGATCAAAGAAATTAGAAAACATTCAAGTAAATACTGAAGTAAAAATAATAATGGCTTAGTACAGAGGGTAAAAAAATGAAAAGTGAAATAATATATTGATAGTGGAAGACTGTAATGATTAGACATTAAAACAAACGAGTCATGTGCGCTTGTTAAAAACCTGTGAGAAACCATTGAAAATAGAAACAAAATATATAACTTCCATTTAAAAACAAAGAACATGAAAAATAATTAAATAAGACTGGGGGAAAAAACAAAGTAAAACATGGTAAATAGAAATTATGAACCCAATTTAAAATCGTAGAATGTCACATTTTCATTAATTACAGCAAAGATACGTGGAATTAGAACTAATATGTATTGCTCTTGCTGCCACTTGTCACAGCTAAAAAAAAAAGAACTAACACTTATTGAAATCGTATTAGCTTACATTTATATTTCTGTAACCAACTGTAAGGAAGGGTTGGAAATACTAATTTTGGGGATTCCAGTTGGAGAATGTGGGATTCTGAATGTGGGGAACACCTACAGAGAGGGAATTCAGTGGAGCCACAATTCCAAATCTCCACTCTAGACAAATTATGCAGGACCAAGAGGCCAACAATAAAAAGAGACAGTGTGGTACACAAAAAAAGTCCTGGCCTGAATCAGGAAATTTGTGGGTTTGTTCTAGATCTGCCACTAACTAATTTTATAATCTTGATGACTGATTTATGCTCTCTAGTTGTCTATTTCATCATGAATAAAATGGGGGGTTATAGTAAGCAACTGCCAAGGTTTCTTCCACCAACAATAAAAACCCAGATTCTTTGACATGGTAACAGAGAAGAGAAAGAGACATGCTAGGACCTCCCTTGTCACACCGTCATCTAGCCTCTGCACCTGGATGATGGGACTTCACTAATTGGCAGGGACATCAATCAAAACAAGGTTTGTTTTCAAAGGTATCTGGGGAAAGCATCATTCATTGACTCTCCAATATCCGTTTTCTTCCTCCTTCCTTCACAAAATGAATACCTGGTTTGAGGTTGGGTGCAGTGGCTCACACCTGTAATCCTAGCACTTTGGGAAGCCGAGGCAGGAGGATCACCTGAGGTCAGGAGTTCAAAACCAGCCTGGCCAACATGTTGAAACCCCATCTACTAAAAATACAAAAAAATTAGCCAGGCTTGGTGTTGCACACCTGTAATCCTAGCTACTTGGGAGGCTGAGGCATGAGAATTGCCTGAACCTGTGAGATGGAGTTTGCAGTGAGCCAAGATGGCACCACTGCACTCCAGTCTAGGTGACAGAGTAAGACTCTGTCTCAAAAAAAAAAAAAAAAAAAAAAAATTCTGGTTTGAGTGTAGTAGTATTTACAACTAATTAATCACAACCAGTTACAGATTTCTTTGTTCCTTCTCTTTTCCTACTGTTACATTTGACTGATCTTAAATATAATAAATAAATAAATAAATAAATAAAAGTGAAAGAATACCAATTTTGATGAGAAGAACAATACACTCATCTCAATACTTTCCTGATTCCTTTGATGCTAGGAATGGCCGTGTGACACAGATGCATGCAGTGAGGTATGGTGGGAAGGATAATATGGATTTCTTGAGTCTGGAAGTATAGCAGCCATCTTGCTGCCATGAGACAATATGGCCAAGGGATGAGCCAAGAGAATTGTATTGACAACTGTCCTGACATTGTTAGACTATTTATCCAAGGAGCTATCTACCCCCAGTCATTTTGCTAAGGGAAATAAGGAAACTCTTTATTTAATGCATGTTTTAAGCTTTTCTGTTACTTACAGCTGAGCACATTCCTAACTGACAAAGAATTATCTATTAAGGATTAATTAGGTTTGTACAGAACACATACTTAGGCTAGACCAATTAAAATATGAATTTGGAAAAGCAAAACTGAATTTTGAGTTCCATCTGAATTTTGTGCATCGTCAGTTTTGTTTTTTGTATTGTTTTTATCAAGAGACTGGGTCTTACTATGTCGCACAGGCTGGAGTGTAGGGACTATTTGCAGGCACAATAATAGCACAGTTTAGCCTCAAACTCCTGGCTTCAAGTGATCTTCTAGCCTCAGCCTCCCAAGTAGCTGGGACCAGAGATATGTGCCAGATCAACACACCCAGGTAAGATCTTTTAAATGTGTTACTGGAAAATTTAACATATATATGCTGGGTTACCAAGATACTGAGAATATAAACTTAAAACTGAACCTTTAATACATGAATACTGTTCGAGGTTACCTGATAAGTTTGAAATACATGCTACAGTGTGGTGAAACATGTAGTGCTTAAACTTTCCAAAATCTGGAAAACGCTTTAGTAAATGGGCAAGGCAAATAAAAAGTATAGAAGATGTGATCTTTGATTGTATACACTTTGATGTTTAGCTTTGCACTTTCTCCTGGAGAACCAAAAACACCAGCAGAATTAAGGTATTAAAAACCCATGTTCCGTCAGGTGCAGTGGCTCACGCCTGTAATCCCAACACTTTTGGAGGCTGAGGCGGGTGGATCACCTGAGGTCAGGAGTTCGAGATTAGCCTGGTCTACATGGCAAAACCCTGTCTCTACTAAAAATACAAAATCAGGCGGACGTGGTGGCACACACCTGTAATCCCAGTTACTTGGGAGGCTGAGGCAGGAGAATCACTTTCACCCTGGAGGAGAGATTTCAGTGAGCTGAGATCATGCCACTGCACTCTAGCCTGGGCAACAAGAGTGAAACTCCGTCTCAAAGAAAAAAACAAACAAACAAACAACAACAACAACAACAACAAAAACCCATGTCACTGAGATGCAATCTGACATTGAATAGTGTGAATATTTTATTTCCTACAAGATATATTTACATGACATTCATAATCAATAAACATGGATTACTGGAATTTTGATATGTTTGGTTCGAGTGCTTTAAATATACAGGTTCAACTAATGTTCTCACTCAGGCTCATTAAGGACATTTCCATATATCTGCGTGTTTCTAATTCTTCTTGAACTAATCACTCTTTATTCAAAGATATATTTGAGGTACCTGTTTTAATGATTCTTTTAAAGCCGTTACCCTAGATCAAGAAAAATCACTGTCACACATTTTGTATATATGTTTTAAAACCTGGTTTGCTGGGGTAAAACAGAAGAAGAGAAAAGCCAGATCACATTCTAAGGTTTTGTGCCTGAGAAGATAAATTCCACTGATAATAAAATAACATTGAGGTACTGTTTAAAGAATGGGGGCTTCTTTTTAGTGTTTGAATTGGGATAGAGCTTAGAATAAAAGGTCAGGTGCTTTCCTATTTCTTTTCAAAAAAGTCAGAAATCTTTAAGTGTTTACTTGAAAGAATCAAAAAGCAATATGATCCAATGGAAAAGAGCATGAGTTTTGCCCTCAGACATACTTGATTTCAAATTCATTTAAATGTATTTATTCAACATATATTTATTGAGTCACTACCATGCTCTAAGTAGTACACTAGGCCCTGGAGATACAATGATAAAAAAAATAGATGCAGTTCCCTGTTTTCATGCAACTTACAGTCTATTGTAGAGATTTAATTTAAAAAGTAATCGCCCACAAACACATAATGACATGTGCTATGAAGGAAAAAAAAGTGCTAGGGGCTTGGAGAGCAAAAATAAGGGGTCCTGAGCCAGCCTGGATGAGAACAGAAAATGAGTTCTTGAAGAGAGTGTTCAGGCCCCTATTTAAGAGATGAGGAAGCATGAACTAGGGGCAGCTGTCCACACTGAGGGCATAATAACATGTACAGAAGCTCTGCGGCAAGGGCAAGGCAACAAACAAGCAAAGAGCAACTTTGAGGTATCCATAGTCACAAAGAAAGTCCATCACTCACTTTCTAAGGAAATCAGTTGCAAGTTACTTGATCCCCTTACATTTCAGGCTCTGACAAAGCAGGATATTATAATAATTAAATGAGTTCAGGTACACAAAAGGGCCTGATATCTAGTAGATGCTGAATAAAACTAAGATCCCCATCCCTGTCACTAGCTGAATTTCTACTAAGCCATCCTCCTTGTTTTTCTGTCGCTGGAAGCACCAGCTTTAGATATAATGGAACTTTTCTTATGATTGACTGTCTGATACTCCATGTGCCAACTCAAAGCAATCTCATGTTTATTTATTTAAGGTATTCTTAGTCTTGTCACTCATTTCTCAGATCAACTAGTTAGTTTTCATTCTTATCGCTTCTCATTATATTGAACACAATGCGTTTTCTTATCAAAGGTCACTATCTTCATGAACCTACTACCCTGGTCTATTAGTCAGGATTCTCCAGGGAAACAGAACCAACAGGATATATGGGTGTGTATATATGTGTGTATATATGCGTGTTTGTGGGTGTGGGTCCGTGTGTGGAGAAAGAGAGAGAGAGACAGAGACAGATTTAAGGAATTGGCTCATGCAATTGTGGGGGCTAGCAAGTCTGAAATCTTCAGGGCAAGCCAAAGGCTGGAGACCCAAGAAAGAGTTGGTATTATATCTTGAGCCTGAAGACAGTCTGGAGGCTGAATTCCCTCTTTCCCAGGAGACCTCAGTCTTTTCTCTTCAGGCCTTCGACTGATTGGAGGAGAACTCCATACTCCCATTATGGAGGGTAATCGGCTTTACTCAAAGTCTACTAACTTAGATGTTAATCACGTTTAAAAAACAGCTTCACAGAAACATCTAGACTGATGTTTAACCAAAAACTAGCTATCATGGCCTAGCCAAGTTGACATAGAAAAGTAACCGTCACACCCGGCCATGCCAATTCTACATGACCTCAGCTTTACTCAAAGACTGATGCCTCCTGAGGGCCTGGGTCTCTGACGTGTCCTGGAGACAGAGTCACTTGACAGAGAGACAGAGACATGAGCACAGTGTATGTGATCCCCAAGCCTGTTTCCAAGGCATATGAATGTGAGGCATCAGGGTAGGCAATGGCAAGGAGCAGCGTTCCTACAAGAGCAGGGACGGAGAACCTCACGAGGATAGTGACAATCAAGAAAGGACAACTGCAAACCCTGGCTGTGAGGAGACCGGGGGAGAAAGGGGTGATCCCTTTCCTCACTCCCCTAAGGGTCACGGCCAACACTCCTATGATAAAGACAGGTTCACGAGAGAAAAGCATAGCAAATTTATTTTATCAAAGTTTTACATGATGCAGGAGCCTTCAGAATGAAGACCCAAGACCCAGGGAAAAGTGTCAATTTTTAATCTTAGATTCCATGAAGAGTGGACAGCCATGTTGAAATGCAATTGGATAAAAAATGAATAACCTAACAGTAACAGACAGAGGGGGAACCCAGCAAGGCCTGTGTGTTCAGATTCTTGGCTCCTTTGTGTAGCGTTCTTTCCTCCTGGGTATCAGGCAGGAGCCCTCTGGAATGAGGTCTTACGACTATTGGACATATTAGGTCAGAAAATCTCTTCTGACCAGATCCTAGACAGAAAGGTGGAGAAGATTCAAGTCATATTTCTACATGTTGTGGTTTGCTTAGAGGAAAGAGGTTCTCCTTTCTATGACTCACCTTAAGGAAGGAGGAATTCTAGTTTCTGTGACTCATTTTAGAAGAGAAAGAGGAGCGGGAGACAGAAAGGCAAGAGAAAGTCAGAGAGAGACTTTGCTTCTGAGGCTGTTTCTGAGGCATTCCAATTTCCATAGTTCAAGGTACTTATCACACCAAAGTGCCATATTTTGGGGGTCTCAATTTCTTGGCCCCCAACAGGACAAAAAGTGAACTGAGTTCCTAGAGATACACTCTTAGCCGAATGATATCCCAGTTCTCAACTAAGTCCTAAATATGCAGCTGTGGTTATGCCTGAAGAATGTGCCAAGACTTCAAGATTTATGACCATAAGGTTCCTGTTTTTTCATATGATTATATGTCCTTATATGAAGTCTCTGAGCCAGATTTTCTGAGTGCAGACCTCGGCTTGCCTCCCTACTAATTTTGGACAATTAATTTGTCAATGTGAGCCCTAGTTTTCATATCTATAAAATGGAAAAAATAGTATTACCTACTTTAAGTTTGTAGTGAAAATCAAGTAAGATAATCAATACATCTAAAGCATTGTGCATGGCCAGTAGAAATTGTTTAATGAATGCTAGCAGTTATCATAAATTCTAGCCATCTCTTCCATAACTTCCATCTGGAAAGTTAACCCCTGGCCACAACAAATGCCTCTTATGTCTGCATATGTACATGATACTTTCCAAAGTTATTTATATGTTAGTATATTTCTATTATATTTCATTTGTATTTGTCCTGTACCTTCCATAGCTCCCATTAAAAGGTAAGAACTGATGGAAAGGGGGAGATATTGGTCAAAGGGTACAAACTTGCAGTTCTAAGATGCATAGGTTCTGGATACCTAATGTACAGCATGGTGACTGTAGTTTAAATAATAATGTATTGTGTGCTTGAAATTTGCTAAGAGAATAAACCTCTAGTGTCTCACCATACACACATAAAGGTAACTATGTGAAGTGATGGATTTGTTCATTAGCTTGATTGTGGTAATCATTTCATAATGTGTACATACATCAAAACATTATATTGTATACTTTAAATATATATTATTATGTGCCGATTATACCTCAATAAAGCTGGTAGAAAATTAAAAACATTTAAAAACCCATCTTCAAAAAAGTAAAAATAAGCAAGTAAATAAATGATAAGAAATTATAATGTCTTTCACACTCCCCATAATGTCTCACAATTCCTAGTGACTATTCAGGTTAACAAGCATTTATTGAGAATGTATCAGGTTTAGGGTCCCATACCAGGTGCCACTCACTACAGTGGACTAATGTGTGTATCAATAAGGGATATTTTCCTAAAGTAATTATGCCAAATCTCAGCACCAAAGTGACGGTGCAATAATATAAATCTGGAGGTCATACAACAGGCTGATTATTTGGGGAGGGATATAGACTGCAAAGGCAAGTTCAATATTCAGCAAACAACACTCATTTTTCAACATTTATGAAATGCCTGCTCTAGGCATGCAGGATACTCTGCTAGGTCCAGACTCCTTAGCTGCAAAGGTGTCATTAGACTTGCTATAAAGATGTATTCTCTGTTTATTCATTTTTGTTTGGGGAGGTGATCTCATGATTATAAATTTTTATTAGTTACTAATAGCATTCTTGACACTAAACAAACACAGTGAGTTGCTAATCACAGAAAGGGTCATTTATTTTCTATTTTGGGTCACTTATTTTCTCTGTTGAGGGAAAGGAACATGACAGCTCTCTGTTAATAATGCCAAATTCAAAAATCCTTTTTCTTCTTAAAATCTGAGTATTACGTCCCTTCTGACCACATCTCCCCTTTTAAAGTTATATTGACATCTCACCTCATATTTTGCAACACCTTGCTTAGCAACCAAAACATGCCACTTGCAGAAATGAAACCAAAAAGCTAAAGGAAAACTGAACAACCACAACCAGCTTCTATGGGCAGAGGGGTAGATTCTGCTTGCAGAGTTGCAACATGCATTCTCCCTGGGCCCTCCTTCCCTACAGAACCTAGAAGCAGAACAATATATCTTTCCATGAATATATTATCAGGACTCACTTGACGATCTTGCTGTTGACAATATTGGTTGTACTTCACTTCACTCTCCTCCTGTGGTCCAAAACCAGATTCAATACCCCTGGGCCCCTACCGAGGCTGTACAGCAGCTGAAGGGCCAACTGCCAATGGGTCTGGCACAGAGTCTTTCCAGCCTCGGCACCTGACTTACCGGCTGCCTCCCTTTCAGTCTCATTGGTTGATGAGGCAGCTGTGATTCTGACAATGAGCTTGGTGTTGGGTCAAGTTTTCTGTTTGGCTGACATACTCCCTTAGATGCCATTTTCCTTGACTCACCCTTGATTACAGGGAATGTTCTCTATTACCTTTTAAAATAATATGATATCCATAAGCAAAGCTTTGGATTAGCATTTTTGATAGCATTACCCATCACTGATTTTTTTTTCAATGCTGAAATGCATAAAGTAGGGCTAGAGCCAGCCTAAACCTAGTGCTTAGCCCAGTAGTGTATTAATTATCTTTTGTAACTTCAGAATAAAATGCAGAATTTCCCTCCCTAGGAACCTGGAATGCAATGTTTGCCCATGTAAGCAGTTTATAAGTGCAAATGTGAGTAAGTGTTTTTATATATTAGAAAGGTTGAGAGAATCCTCTTTCCACAAAAAATAAAAAGCTTTAAAAGAATAAATATTCATGTTCTAATACAGGGAATGTGAAATAAAAATAAGTTTAACTCTATTGATAAAAAGTACTTTTATTCAATAGTTAAAAGACAAATCACTTGCAAAATTTGCTTATATAGGAAAAAACTCTCAGTGTTGTAGCTTTCTTTATCATAGAACACCAGCCTCCCTCAAACACCAACTGTGATAATTAATGTCCATATTATGAACATTCTATGTGATACAATTTGTTTCTGCTTTGTTAAAAAAAAAAAAGGCCAAACTGACTGCCAGCACTTGAGATTCTGAAAATAATACTACATATGTTGATAAAATAATTCACTGCTGTTATTAATTTTCCAATTATATTTTGATATTTTAAAAAACTATTGTTATCATATACTTTTATAACATATCTAAATATTACAGATACATAAAACAGAATTGGAGACTCCCACCCACAGAAACTCTCATATAAACAACCTGGTGAATAATTCTTCAGATTTCCTCTCCAAGTGTTCTAATATGTATATAACTTTTACCAAAATGACACCATACTATACCTTCTGTTTGTGACTTCATTTTTTTTATGTCTAATAATTCTTGGACATCTTTTCCATTTGAAGCCGTCAAAACTGCCTCATTCTTGGAATCTCTATGGGCATCATAGTAGAAGGGATAAGATCGTGGGCTTTGGGACCAAATGGCTTAGCTGCATTTGAATCCTAGCCCCAGCATTAGTAATTCTGTGACTTTGACAAGTTACTTAATTTATCTGTGCTTTGCTTTCTAAACCCATAAATGTCAAATTAATAACATCTACTCAAAGTGGTTGCCGTGTCCATTAACTAGTTGCTTCTTGACATTTCGTAGGCATGAGACCACAATAGTACTGTTACCAAGGATATCTGATATCTTATTAACAATCTCACATTGATGGACATTTAGATTGACCATGATTTTTTATTCTCACACATAATGCTCTAATGAACATTCTTCTAAGTACAGCTATACCAATTTTGTGAGTATCCCTAGAGGCTAAATTTTTGAAAGTGTCATGTTTTTAATCAAAGGTGATCTATATTTTTAAAATGATAAATATTGCAAGACTATCTCCAAAATTGTAACTATTTATACTATGAATAAGAGTGATGAGGGTAAATTTTGGATTATGAGAAATACTTTGTTAAACCTTTTGCCCACACATTAAAAATGCATAGTTTTTGTTTGTTTCTTTGTTTGTTTTTACAAAGGAGCAGAGTATTACTGGAACACAACATATCTTAAGTAACATTTGTATTATGTTATCCATAAAAATCCAAATTTTTTTCATAATTTCCCCCATTCTCACAGTTCTGCAAGTCTTTGAGCCCTATTTCTCCAGAGAAAGAATTCATATCACCTTATCTTCATATAATCAGTTATTATTAAATGCAGAAAATAACATTCCACTAGGCAGCTACTCATAAAGATCTACAAATGAGATGTGTAACAAATGTTTATGGAAATTAGTAAATCAAGATATGAAACAATTATGTCATGTTCTACAGGTATGGTAACGTTAGTCCTCAAACCCAGACTGAAAACATTCTCTGACAACTCTACCACATGTTCAGAATTGAGATTGTTCAAGACTGGTTTTCTGTAGTTACACGAGAGCCCAAAGGGGTGAAACCACCCTGAGATGGATGAACCTCTGAGGTCTAGTAATATGTGGCGCATGTACAGTGTGAGAGAATATGTCCTCGAATCACAGTGGAACTAAATGGCAAACATTTTACAACTTCTGGAAACACATTTCTTTCTGGTTCTTTGATGTAAAGCTAACTTGAGGCTTTGTCCCAGATAGTAACATCCGATACAAAGAAGTAACATAGGAATAAGTTGATTTCTATTTATCAACATAGAATTTAAATAATTTTTTAATAATGAAGAGGCTTTACATCAGGTTAATAGAAAGGCAAAGATAAATGTTTACACAGGAGAAGTGGTGCATAGCTACATCTGTTCTCCCCACACACAGCAGCAAATATTGTGTTCTTTATGAAGTTTTATTTGCTTTTCATGCTTACTGTTGTTTACATGTTCTAAAATCTCTGCACGATGGAGTTTTCAAATGAAATAAAGATATCTAAATACTATAATTGGGAATTTTCTTAGAATTATTTTACCCTTTCTAAAAATAGGTTAATATTTGGCATTAACGTTTTTCAACTTAAAATACAAAATTGTTCTAAAACTGGGAGTTGAGGGTTAAATAGAAAATTAATGCGTATTTGCATTTTTAAAAAGATTTCCAGAAACAGTATTTGTTTTATCTAGTTTTATATTTAACACCTTTTGAGCATGAATCAATTCTCTACTTCTCTCTTTACTTGATCTTTTAAACTAAGATTTTTCTGTAATAACATAAGCCTAATTCTTTGGAAATAATATTCAGTTAGCATAATTGACATTATAGAGTTTTAAAGTACATTATAGAATATTCTGTCACTAGACACTAAATTGAAATTTTAAAGAAAATGATGGAAATTGCTGTAAGGGAAAAAAAGTAGCCTTTTAAATCTAATTTGTTATGCACTGCAGTAGGGTAATGGATGCAATGAAAGTTCTTTTATAGAGTTCCCATGTCCAAAAGGTATTTAGGTAGCAAAGGATGTTAAGCAGACCCCTGCTATCCCCCTTTAACTGAAGATAGCAGGAAACAAGGTATATAGGTCTGTGTCCTCCTGATTTTTATTTCCTCAGGAGTACAACTTCTGCAAAGGACACCTTAGGCTGCTTAGCGATCACAAAGGGTACACTAGAACCCCTCGCTGTCTGCTTGAATAGCACGATCTGAAGGGTGGCTGAAGCCATACAGGGAGTTAAATCCTTCAGGTGGGTCTTTTCAAATTCCAATAGTGAGGAGTTACTGGAGAATTGGTAAGGATTTCACTAGGCCCCAGCAGGTTTGAGATCAAAAGCTTCAGTTAAATAAAAGCCTATTGGGAAATCTTAAAACCTCTTTGTAATGTAACTTTAAAAAGTTAATACAAAGAAACCTTAGACTGAAGCCAGTAACAGCATGAACAAAGAGTATATCAAAACTGATTCCATTAAGAGAAAGCGGACATACAAATTCACTTACTTTAAAGAGCAATCCAGTTATATTACTGTGCGAGAGAATAGAACTTACACCATACCATCCAGCCCATTTAGATGTGCTCATTTCTTGCTACATATGCCAGACTGTATTCTTTGTCATTCTGATATGCTTTTTAAACAACATATATATTCATTTTCTGAAAGAAGAAAGAGTGATGTGCATCTAAACTCACTCCTAAAGAAGATCCTTTTAAAACAAATTAAAATTAAACTTGATGGAGACCCATCAGTCAGCTGGTTATCTCTTTCTCATGGTGTCAAACTGCTAATTGCCCATCCTCCTTAAAATAATAGACCTTCAATTGATATTGATTGGTAGATCATTAATGAGTGCATTAATTATAATGTAATTTTTATAATGAATACTAATCCATTCCTTGGCAAGTCACACCCTTTTATTAACTGAAGTCATTCATTAATGGTTTAGTGGGGGAAAAATGAACTTTATTTGGTTCTGAGGTCTGAATTTTGCATTGGTTTTGAATTTTTCAGAACACTTGTACTGAAATGTCTCATGTACTCAATGTCTCTTACACTTTCACATTAGGCGTGTGAGACGGGTAGCTCACATCTCCTTTTTTCAACAAATAGGGATACTGGAACACACTTAGGACATATAATGTGATCCAGATTGCACAGTCATTTAACGAAAGCTTGGACTACATAGACCCTCTACAGCTTGATTTAAGCCTAGAGACTTTTCAACTGGACAATGTCTCACTGGTCTCACAGATTGCAGAATGTAATTCGAGCTAAGTTGCACATAGCCGTATTCATCCCAAAGAACTCTTTTTCCAAGTAGTCATTACTAACAACGAATGTCCTGACATTTTCATAGTGATAGATGAAGAAACGGAGGCACTTGTACTCACATTCAAAATTTCAGCTCCTTTCTCTCTTCTGTTCTTCAGTTGTCTTGTCTTTTACTTCTCTTCTTCCACCTAATTTTCTTTCCTTTGTTTTTTTTTTTTGTTTGTTTGTTTAATAGAGACATGGTCTGGCTATGTTGCCCAGGCTGGTCTCAAACTCCTGGCCTCAAGTGATCCTCCCATCTCAGCCTCTCAAAGTGCTGGGATTACAGTCATACCTCTTTTCTTCACTCAGTGTGTCATCTGATTGATGACAGGAAAATGAGAACAGGAGAGTGGGAGTTCTACCATTCTCCGTGCATAAGATATGAAAACCTTTACAAAAGGGGCAAGTACTTCCTGAATAAACTATTCCAATAATTTTTTTTCCAAGTACCATCATCACTTCAAAAATATGAACAGGCCTGGGGTGGTGCCTCACGCCTGTAATCCCAGTACTTTGGGAGGCCGAGGTGGGCAGATCACCTGAGGTCGGGAGTTGGAGACCAGCCTGACCAACATGGAGAAACCCCCTCTCTACTAAAAATACAAAATCAGCTGGGCGTGGTGGCGCATGCCTGTAATCCTAGCTACTCGGGAGGTTGAGGCAGGAGAATCATTTGAACCTGGCAGGTCGAGGTTGCGGTGAGCTGAGATGGTGCCATTGCACTCTACTCTGGGCAACAAGAGCAAAACTCCGTCTCAAAAAAGAAAAGAAAAGAAAAGAAAAAATACGAACAAAGATACCAACTAACTGGCTCCACTGAAAGTGTTGCAGTAGGTAGTCAGGCAGAAATGAGCAGAGCAGGAGACGCTGCTGCCCTCCCAGGAATGTCAGGTGACGGCCACGCAGTTGTTAAGCTGTCTCACTAAAATAATAATTGGTTGCAGCTGGTGCCAGGGAACGGTCCTCTCCTATCAGACAGAAACACCTGAAACTGGTGATGAGCAGCTTCCCGATAAGATCTCAGGAGTTGGACGAGTGGGCTTAAGCATGCACACTAAGAGGCAAAATGGCAGAGTTTAACTGGTATATGACCTTCCTCTAGGAACACCAGACTGGTAAGGGAAAAATGCCTCAAGTCACTAAGAGGCAAAATGGCAGAGTTTAAACACTCAACTGGTAAGGGAAAAACACCTCAAGTGAGCATGCGCACAACTCTAGTAAACACACTGCAAACGCAGCCCCTCCCAAGTGCTGGCAGGCCACTGTGCATGCAGACAGCCCACCCCAAGGGAAGAATCAGGGGAGAAGGGACGCACCCCCCGAAGCATGCCAATGTATAAAACCCCAAGTCAGAGGTCAAACCACACACTTGACCGTCTCAAGTCGCCCGTTTGGCCCTCTTCTAAGTGTACTTTACTTCCTATTATTCCTGCTCAAAAAATTTTTTAACAAACTTACACTCCTGCCCTAAAACTTGCCTTGGTCTCTCACTCTGCCTTATGCCCCTCGGTCAAACTTCTTCTGAGGAAGAGGCAATAACTCAGACTGCCGCAGACCTGTACAGATTCGCTGCTGCTAACAAAACAAATAGATGCAATACGTTTGCGACAATTCTGCTTCTGCACATAGTCTCTGGTAAAACACCCTTTAGTGGTGTGCACTCCACCCTGTAGGGGTGTGCCGTCAAACGTTGGGAATTAGCTTTTATTGGTGTCTGCTCTGATGAAATGTTGACTTGGATAGTTGCTCTTTCATCCAATTTGCTGTCTGTGGTAAGTAAAAAAACGTCAAAGCAGTAATAAAAGGTGCATGTGGTTACTAAATCTTTGCTTCCCGGATATGCATGTACGAGTATGCATTCTGTAAGTGTATTTACACATATATTCTATATGAATTACATATGTGTTCCTACAAATATAGTTAACCTACGAGTGTTATTATAATATAAACATTTTACTCTTAACACTGACTGAGTGCTCAGGGGGAACTATGTGACTAGCTTATCTTGGATACTTTATAAACACACAAAGAACTTATTATGCCTGAAGTTATTACTTACTTGTTTAGTGTGCTTCGAATTTTTAAATCCATTCCAATGTACCACTGCATATTCTAGTATTTGAATGTGAGTCTTAAATTCCAAAAGTTCGAAAAGCACTACTCCAGCAATGACTATCTTGATTGAATGCCAAGGTATTTTTTTGAATACTTGGCACACCATCAGCTAGACTCTGGGCCTTATGGAGATGATATTAAAAGTATATGCCATAAAATCAGTTTCAAGATATTTGTAATTTTGTAGTGGATGGAATACCTGCAAAAATGACACACATATTCATGAATTGTTTCATAATTTTAAATTGATCACTCTCTTCTGTGACCCCCACCTTATCTTGCATCTACTCTAACAGAGCATCTGTAAACCTTATTTCATGTGAAATTCACGTCTTCTTCATTTGAGTCAGAGATTGTCTCATTTATCTGTTTCTTTAGTGACAACCACAGTGCTAAACACATGATAGGTGCTTAATAAATGCTAACTGATCTAAGAAATAAAAAATAGATGAGCCACTGGAGGACAAAATGAAACAGATGATTACACGTTGAATTTTTTTCAGTGTCCAAAAGAGAAAAGACAAAAATTAATATCTAGAATTTTTTCAAAGTGAAAATAGCTATTTTCTGACTAATAAATAATACATGCTTGCTGCAAAATATTCAAATATCTCACAATAATTTCTCTGTTAGAGAAAACCAGTTTTAATGATTTGGTGTAGGTGTATGCTCTCAGTAGTTCGCCCATGATTACATAGGGTTGTCATTTTTTTAAACAAGGTTGGAGCCATAGTGTGTGTGTGTGTGTGTGTGTGTGTGTGTGTGTGTAGTTAATACTAACTAAAAATTAATAATAGATTGCTGATACCACTCTTTGGCACAAATGTTTCTCATTAACTGGTTATTGTAGCCTTTATTTTGTATAATTCATAATGTATTTAAATCTATTGACAGATATTTAGATTGCATAAATTTTTTATTCTTATAAACAGTGATTTCATAAACATCTTTTAACATCTTTGCAAGTTCAGATTTATTTTCTTGGCATAAATTCCTAGACATGAAATGGACTTACAGTGTTGAAGTAGTTTGTCAAATTGCTCTCCAAGACAGTTGTGCCAATTTACACTCCCACCAACTGTGCATGAGCCATTTTCCTTATAATCTAAACGGAGTATAATTCTTTTTAAAAATATTTGTTAATCTAATAAAAAGGTAGTTTTTTCATTATTGTTTTAAATCCTAGTGTACTTGGGAACTTTCAAATAAATCAATTCTTGATAAATCACACCTGGCCCACCCAGGGACCATGTCCGGTACCAAACTGACTTCCTTCTGCCAGCCAGCTCCTGACTGAGTTGTCTCTACACCAGCAGAGCTATGAATCAATGAAACAGTACACTCGTAATATTAGGTTAAAAACACTCAGCAGAGATTTAATACATGTATTAAATCTCAAAATAAAAAGTGTTTGATTATTGACTGTTGTAAATACTTTTCATCACTGGTGGCCTCTATAAATGTGGACAAATTGAGTAAATAATAAAATATTTCACAAATTATATAACCCTGTTGTAATACCTATTCTTCAAATCATCACAGAAGACAATCTACCTCTCATTTTTTCAAGCTTCTAGTAGAATTGTCAAAAATTCTACCCCAAAGCCTAGAATTCAATAAGCTGCCAACATAATGTGAGGATGTGAGAAAGAATCTATAAAGCAAGACAGGTGTGTCTGTGTAGCACTGGTGACATTAATACATACCATGTGATATTTCCACAGTCCCAGTATGTCAAAACTTGCATTGGAAAAAGAAAGGACAGCTTTATACTTCAACACTTTACAATCCTAACCCAAAGTGTAAACACTGGTCAATATTCTTACCCATGAATGATGGTAGGATCTTTACTGGAAGGTCATAGAGACTGCACATAGGTCTTTGTGGACCTGGTCAGCATTTCCACAAAACCTGCCAGTAGTATGAAACCTTCCATATTTTGAAGGCTCAAATGTGATGATGCCTACCCCCCTGCACTATTTTACTCGTCACTACAAAAGAAGCTGCGCAGTTGGCCCTCCACACCTGCGGGTTCCACATCTGTGAACTCAACCAGCCAAGGATAGAAAATACTCAGTAAATAAATAAGTAAATAAAAATAATACAACAATAAAAATACAAATTTTAAAAACCAACACAGTGTAACAACTATATCCATAGCATTTACATTGTATTAGGTATTATCAGTAATCTAGAGATGTGCACAGGTTATATGCAAATACTACCGCATTTTATTATACAAAGGGACTTGACCATCAGTGGATTTTGGTATCTGCATGGGTTCTGGAATCAATCCCCTTGATACCGAGGGACAACTGAAGGTGTGTTAGTTGTCCCAAATAAACCCAAAGTTTAGTGGCTTAAAACCACAAACATGTATTACTCCACAGACTCTGTGGATTTGGAATCCGGGCACAACTTAGCAGGGTCCTCTGCTTTAGAATCCGGGCATAGCTTAGCAGGGTCCTCTGCTTTAGGGTCTCCTACAAGGCTGCAATTCAGATATCAGCTGGTGGCACAGTCACATCAAAGTTCAACTGAGACAGGATCCCCTTCCAAGCTTACTCAGTGGTAGCTGAGCAGGATTCTGTTCCTCATAGGTGACTGGAAAGAGGGTCTCAGTTCCTCGCTGGCTGTTGGCCAGGGGCTTCCCTCAGATTCTTGCCATGTGGGGCTTTCTAACATGGAAATGCACTTTATCAAAGCCAGCAAGAGAGAAAGGGACTCTGCTAGCAAGACTGAAGTCACAGTCTTTTATAACCTAATTTTGGAAGTGGCATCCAATAAATCTGGCCATATTCTATGCAGTAGAAAGAAGTCACTAGGACTAGTCCTCATTCAAAGGGAGGGGATTCCATAAGATCAGGAATACCAGAAGACAGAAAACATTGGGGCCATTTTAGAAGTCTATCACAGCAATAACTGCTCAGTTCATAAAGGAGTAAAGGACACTAGAAAAGTAGGAAGGATGCCAAGAGACATGATGAGTGAGGAAGTCCTGGGGAAAAGGTTCATAATACTCTGGTGATATAGACAATCAGCAAACATGGTTGAATCTGGTATTAGTCTCCTTGGGAAAGTGTGTGAAGTCTCAGGTCAAGGTCGTAAAATCATGTATTACTAGGTGATGATGGCAAAACCTGAGACCAAGACAATAACAAATAATAAATATCTTCAAACGAGGGAAATAATTTCATAGCCGAAGTGAAAATAGATCACAATTCTTATTTCCTCAAAATGCTGTGTCCATGAACCTTGACAATGTGAAATTAATGACATTCCAAAGACTGATTTTATATTTACCACATGTAAACATGTCCACATGCCATTATTTGTCATTTGTCAAGCTTAAATTTTGAGTTTTGTTGAGACCACAAACCTGGTGATAATCTAATGTTTGTCCTTACTTTCCACCTATCTCTCACTATGATAAGATAGTTGGTTCAAACCAGATGTATATTTGGGATCATCAAACAAAACACGGAAAAGATAGCTTAGTGATCCATACAGAGGGGCTCACACAATATTTTTATTAGCATGGCTGTTCTAACAAGTTCAGCTAATCAGCTGAGTGTATGCATGTATGGGTTATATACATGATTTTATGATAACAAAAATGAACAGAGATATAGAAGATACATTGTCTTGACAGGTTTTGCTTGGTTTTAGTGCAAAAACTTACTAATTAATGCAAGTGTTGCAATCATTTTTATGACATTCCCCAAAGATGGCACTTTAAGGGTTATGCCATATGCTGATTGACAGCAGCCATAATTCCATACAATGAGACTGTATCATATTGTTTGAAGTGAGGTGATATTCATCTCTTGAAACTGATCAAACATACGATTGCATCAAACAGTATTACAATATAATCATGCTGTATGTGGGGACTGCCAAGGTTGATCAGCATGTTGTACTCTTTTCCCTTGGACTTCTCTAATCGCAGTTGTGACACACCATTGCATTCACATTTTCCTTTAAGAGCTGCAGAATCTAAGACAGAGAAAAAAATCTGCATAAAATTGTGGTTTGGTTATGCTATGTGAGTGTACATTTGTAGACTGCTTTAGAATTACACATTTGCTCCCACTAAGATCTCCCTAAGTACACAAATAAAAACCAAGAAAGACCAAGATAAAAATATAAGATTCCAAACAGGGCAGAAAATAATTCCAATGCCCTTTATTTTTCTTCAATAAAAAGCAAACTTGGAAGACACATCTTCTTTTAAACACTTGTCAGTTTCTGAAGCTCCCAACGATTTTTTTTTTTCTCATGTGCCGTTTGGCAAAGCCACTTGCTTATTGACTGACCTTGGGACTATTCCAGCTGCAGAACGATAAAGGATATAAGAACCTATTCTTTTCCCACCCTTCATTGCTGCTATCTTGGAAAGCAGTATGAAGATGGGCACGAGAGAATGAGGGTCGTTTGGCTTTCCACTAGGTGGCTTTCCACTAGGTGGCTTTCCCAGGTGAAGTCCTGAAACATAGTTGCTTTTAAATTGATGTACTTTAGGGATTTCCCTTTTATTATTCATTTGTCCACCCATCCGTCCATCCATCCATCCGTTCATCCATCCATCCATCCATCCATGCGTCTCATAACTTATAAAAGAGCCATTGGGTTATTTTTAGAACTCTGTTGAAGGTAGCTTATGGAGGAACAAGGGGACAAGTCATCATCTCTTCACGCTGACATAAACAGAGATATAGTGCCCATTCTGGTCCCCCAGTGTCAATTCAAGCAAGTCTCCGAGATGCTACCATCCTATCTAAACCCACCCTAACCCTAACCTTACTATACCCACTATGAGGCCTCTTAGGCCAAATCCCGCTCAGCATTTTTTGGCCTACAGAAGCTATGTGACTTGTTCGGAGACCCATTGGGATGTCGAGAATGCAGAAGCGTTCTCAGACTGGTTACCTGAACACCCCACATAATCACCTCTCTCCTACTGCTCCTTTGCTATGGCGAGCATGGAGGAATTGGAACTGGTGAGGCTGAAGGCCTCCTTGGCCTCCGAAGATATAAGACCACAGAGTTTTTTGCCGCCAGATTCTCCTGCCCTATGGGCATTTCTCCCAACTTGGGTGAGAGGGTCAGGGCACAAAGTCCCTTCACGGAGATGCCACCAACATCAAAGCTCTGTTCTCTGTGCTTTCCTTCTTTTGTCCATGAAATTAATGTCATGTCTTGAGATCTTTAGGGCCTTCCCGTGTAATACACAAATGCCAAGGGGCTTGAAATTCAAAAAGCTGAGAACTGACTCTTTTTTCCTCTTTCTGCTGTAGCATCCATTTTTTACACAAGTAAAGAAGAAAGCCTTAGCTACTGCCCAAAGGTGAATAAAGGTCATCACTTATCCTCTCTCTTGTTTCTTTGTCTTCTAGTTCATTAATTTTGTTGTTTGGCATTTTAATTTCCTTTTCTTAGAGTTTATAATTTTTTCCCTAACATATTGACTAGAACAGTTAATTCACTACTTTGCTTCCTTCCTTTCTTTCTTTGAGACAGGACCTCATTATGTTGTTTAGGCTGGAGTGCAGTGGCTATTCACAGGTGTGATTATAGTGCACTACTGCCTGGAACTCCCGCCCAGGCTCAAGCAATCCTCCTCAGCCTTTCTAGTGAGTGGGACATGCCACCTCATCTAGCTCTAATTTTCATCTTTCTTCTTTTTAATTATAAATTGTGAAGGCTGTACATTTACCTCTTGGTACAACTTAAACCACATCATGCATTATAAAATTTTGCTATTGGATGTTTTCTTTAAATTTTGAAACAATAAAAATTTACAAAAAAGTTGTACATATAGTACAAATATTTTGTTTTTCCTTGTAAATTAACCCCATGGTTCATTAGCCCCCAAACACTTTCATGTGTGTTTTCTACTAATAAGAATTTATTATCTGCAAAACAACCAATAAAATCAGATAGGAACTTGGATACAATTCTCTTCAGTCTACAGACCACATTCCAGGTTCACCAATTAATGCAATGATATTTTTTGAAATAAAAGGATCCAGTTCAGAATCACACAATGCATTTAGCTAATATATCTTTTTAGTCTGTTTCAGCCTAGAATATTCTTCAGTCCGTGGTTGACTTTTATGACTTCAATGCTTTTGAGGATGAGTTTAGTTACTTTATAGAATTTCCCACAGTTAAGTTTGTCTGATGTTTCCTTATGATAGATTCAGGTTATAATATCATAGCAGTGATGCTGTGTTCTTCTCAATGCATTTTACCAGGTCATGAGTGCTTTCAGTAACTGATACTCACTTTGACCATTTCATGAAAGAGATGTCTGCTAGGCTCCTCCACCATAAAGTTACCTTTATCCCCCTTTGGAGGAAGGTACTTCTTTGAAACTATGTGTCTTAGTCTGTTCATGCTGCTAAAACACTGGAGACTGGGTAACTTACAAGCAATAGAAATTTATGTCTCCCAGTTCCGGAGGCGGGGAAGTCTAAGACTGAGGTGGTAGCAGATTTGGTGTCTGATGACAGCTGCTCTCTGATTCCAAAATGGCACCTTGTTTCTAAGTCCTCAAGGGCAGAAGGCAGAAGGACAAAAAGAGGCAAAAACTCACTAGGCTTCCTTCAACCTCTTTTATAAGAACACTAATCCATTCTTGAGGGCAGAGCCCTCATGACATAACCACTTCTTAATAGTTACAAACTGAGTGTTTGTTAGTTTCTAACATGAATTTTGGAGGAACACATACATTTAAACCATAGTACTATGTAAATATCTCACTCCTCATCACATTGTAATTTGCTCATTTATTTATGTTTGTAAGGCCTCATATTTTACTTAATATCATAAGTTACTATCACTGATACTATCAGTATCAATTTTGGCACTCAAATTATGGCCAATTTGGTCAGTAAGAACCCTTTTAAGTTGGCTTCTAAATCATTTTGACATACTTTTATCATTATAAAAATACTTCCTTGCTTCTGGCACAATAAGTTCCAGGCTTTCTTGAATTTTTTTTCTCCTCTAGGCCCAGAATCAGCCATTTCCCCAAGTCCTATTTCCTTTTATGTAAAATGGTACCTCAAAGCCAAGATGTGGGTGCTGTACATGCTCCTGTTGGAGCGTTGCTACTTCCAGGTCCTATCCCAGCTAGGTATATGTGTGTGTATACCACATATTTACATCTAAATTAATTTCTATGTCTATCTCTATATATTGAATACCATGAGTCCATGCTGACACCTGCAATTTCACATGTTCATTCTAGTTTTCTCTCTTGCTATATATGTAGATCCCTTCTCTACTGGTGAGAAAGCTAGCTTCCATAATTTTTCTGATATTTACTTATGCAATCAACCCCACTTTATGCAATCTATCTCCATCCCCACTATGAACCCTTGGCCTACACAGATGTCCTCCTCTCCCTGTTTGGACTCTGACTTCCCCAACCACATCAACGGCCTGTGTGAATATTTCCTCACCCTGTTAAGGCTGATTCCCCATGCGAGGATGCCTGCCATCCCAGAGTGATGTTCTTATTGTCCATGGGCTCTGATACCACCTCTGGACACTGCAGCTCCTCCTATCTTGGTCTATTCCACCTAGTGGCTTCAGGACTGAATTTTTCAGGAAGTAGAAGGAATATCACTCAAGTTTTGCCATTTAATATTTTCATCTCCTGAAATTCTTCAAGTCATAACTTACTTTATATATATTTTACATTTCAAATATGTTGAGGATTTTTGTTTTTATTTCTAATTTAGTAACATTGTGTTGAGATCTACTTTCTAATTTCTAAATTAATAATATTCAGATCACCTCTTATATTTGTTGAGGTTTTCTTTAAAGCCCAATTAGTGATTGTATTAGTCAGGGTTCTCCATAGAGACAGAACCAATGAATACACACACACACACACAGAAAGAGATATAGATATATGCGAGGGGACATATTAGGGATAGTGGCTTATGTGCTTACGGAGGTTGAGAAATCCCACAGTAGGCCATTGCAAGATGGAGAACCAGGAAAGCCAGTAGCATGGCTTGGTCCAAGTCCAAAAGCCTAAGAACTAGGGAAGCCAATGGTGTAACTCTCAGTCTGAGGCCAAAGACCCTAGAACCTGGTGGGTGCAGGGGGTAGCCACTGAGGTAAGTCTTGGAGTCCAAAGACTAGAGAATCTGGAGTTCTGGTGTCCAAGGGCAGAAGAAGGGTATCCTACCTCCAGAAGAGAGAGAAAGAAAAAGATTTCACTTTTTGATATGGTTTGGCTGTGTCCCCACCCAGTCTCATCTTGAATTGTAACTCCCACAATTCTCATGTTTTGTGGGACAAACCTGGTGGGAGGTAATTGAACCATGGGGGTGGGTCTTTCCCATGCTGTTCTCATGATAGTGAATAAGTCTTATGAAATCTAATAGTTTTAAAAATGGGATTTTCCTGGCACAAGCTCACTCTCTCTTTGCCTGCTGCCATCCATGTAAGATGTGAATTGCTCCTCCACCATGATTATGAGTCCTCCCCAGTGACATGGAACTGTAAGTCCATTAAATGCCTTTCTTTTGTAAATTGCTCAGTCTCAGGTATGTCTTTATCAACAGTAAGAAAACAAACTTATACAATAAATTGGTACCAGGAGTGGGGTTCTACTGAAAAGATACCCAAAAATGTTGAAGTGACTTTGAAACTGGGTAACAGGCAGTGGTTGGAAGTTTGGAGGACTCAAAAACTAAGACAGGAAAATGTGGGAAAGTTTAGAACTTCCTAAAGACTTATTGAATGGCTTTGCCCAAAACGCTGATAGCAATAAGGACAATAAAGTCCGGGCTGAGGTGGTGTCAGATGGAAATGAGGAACTTGTTGAGAACTGGAGCAAAGGTGACTCTTGTTATATTTTAGCAAAGAGACTGGTGGTATTTTGCCCCTGCCCTAGAGATTTGTGGAACTTTGAACTTGAGCGAGATGATTTAGGATATCTGGTGGAGGAAATTTCTAAGCAGCAAAGCATTCGAGAGGCAACTTGGGTGCTGTTAAAGGCATTCACTTTTAGAAGGGAAGCAGAGCACAAAAGTTCAGAAAATTTGCAGCCTATGTGATTGAAAAGAAAACATCATTTTCTGAGGAGAAATTCAAGCCAGCTGCAGAAATTTGCATAAGTAATAAGGAGCTGAATATTAATGACCAAGACAATGGGGAAAATGTCTCTAGAGCATATCAGAGGTCTTTACAGCAGCCCCTCCCATCACAGGCCTGGAGGCTTAGAAGGAAAAAGTGGTTTCATGGGTGAGGTCCAGAGTCCCTGTGCTGTGTGCAGCCTGGGGACTTGGTGCCCTGTGTCCCAGCTGCTCCAGCTGTGGCTGAAAGGGGCCCACACAGAACTCAGGCTGCAGCTTCAGAGGGTGTAAGCCACAAGCCTTGGCAGCTTCCATGTGGTGTTGAGCCTGATAGTGCTCAAGAAGTCAAGAATTGGGTATTGGGAACCTCCACCTAGATTTCAAAGGATGTATAGAAATGCCTGGATGTCCAGAGAGAAGTTTGCTGCAGGGGTGGGAACTTCATTGAGAACCTCTGCTAGGGCAGTACAGAGGGAAATGTGGGGTCAGAGCCCCCATGCAGACACCCTACTGGGGCACTGCCTAGTGGAGCTGTGAGAAGATGGCCACCATCCTTCAGACCCCAGAATGGTAGATCCACTGACGGCTTGCGCTGTGCACCTGGAAAACCCACAGACACTCAATGCCAGCCATGAAAGCAGCTGTGAGGGAGGCTGTACCCTGCAAAGGACCTGGTAGAGCTGTCCAATACCCTGGGAACCCACCTCTTGCATCAGTGTGACCTGCATGTGAGATGTGGAGTCAAAGGATGTAATTTTGGAGCTTTAAGATTTGACTGTCCTGCTGGATATCGGACTTGCATGGGGCCTGTAGCTCTTTTGTTTTAGCCAGTTTCTCCCATTTGGAACAGCTGTATTTACCCAATGCCTTTACCCTCATTGTATCTAGGAAGTACTTAACTTGCTTTTGATTTTACAAGCACATAGGCAGAAGGGACTTGTCTTGTCTCACATAAGTCTTTGGACTTTGAACTTTTGAGTTAATGCTGAAATGAGTTAAGACTTTGGGGGACTGTTGAGAAGGCATGATTGGTTTTGAAATGTGAGGACATGAGATTTGAGAAGGGCCAGGGGTGGGATGATATGGTTTGTCTCTGTCCCCACTCAAATTTCATCCCAAATTTCATCTTAATTGTAACTCCCACAATTTCCACATTTTGTGGGAGGAACATGGTGGGAGGTAATTGAATCTCGGGGGTGGGTGTTTCCTGTGCTGTTCTCATGATAGTAAGTCTCACAAGATCTGATGGTTTGAAAAACGGGAGTTTCTCTGTACAAGCTCTCTCTCTTTTTGCCTGTTGCCATCCTTGTAAGATATGGCTTGCTCCTCCACCATGATTATGAGGCCTCCCGAGCCACGTGGAACTGTAAGTCCATTAAACCTCTTTCTTTTGAAAATTGCCCAGTCTTGGATATAGTCTTTATCAGCAGCATAAAAACAAACTAATACAGCTTTCCTCTGCCTTTTTGTTCTATTTGGGCCCTCAGCTGACTGGATGGTGTCCACCACACTGAGTAAGGGCAGATCTTTCTTACTCAATCCACTGATTCAAACACTAATCACTTCTGTAAATGCCCTCACAGACGTACTCAGAAATAATGCTTTACCAGCTGTCCGGGTATCCCTTAATCTGGTCAAGTTGACACCTAAAATTAACCATCATAGTGGTCAATTTGGTAAACGCTTCAAGTGTACTTGAAAATTTTCATATTCTCAAACTGTTGGGTTCAAGATTCAATATATATCCATCATATTAAACTTAAAATTTGTATGTTCAAATCCTCTATATCCTAAGATTTTGTCTGCTTGATCTACCAATTAGTGAGAGAAGAGTGTTAAAAATTTTCCACTATGGTTGTAGATTTTTAAATTTTCCCTCACAATTTGATCAATTTCTGTGTCACATATTTGAATGTATGTTATTTGGTGAATACAAGTTTAGAATTGCTATGTCTTTCAGGTGACTTATACTTTTCTAAATTATGCACTAGCCACTGTTATTCTCTTTTTTTTTTTTATTTTATTATTATTTTTATTGATCATTCTTGGGTGTTTCTCACAGAGGGGGATTTGGCAGGGTCATAGGACAATAGTGGAGGGAAGGTCAGCAGATAAACAAGTGAACAAAGGTCTCTGGTTTTCCTAGGCAGAGGACCCTGAGGCCTTCCGCAGTGTTTGTGTCCCTGGGTACTTGAGATTAGGGAGTGGTGATGACTCTTAACGAGCATGCTGCCTTCAAGCATCTGTTTAACAAAGCACATCTTGCACTGCCCTTAATCCATTTAACCCTGAGTGGGCACAGCACATGTTTCAGAGAGCACAGGGTTGCGGGGTAAGGTCACAGATCAACAGGATCCCCAGGCAGAAGAATTTTTCTTAGTACAGAACAAAATGAAAAGTCTCCCATGTCTACTTCTTTCCACACAGACACGGCAACCATCCGATTTCTCAATCTTTTCCCCACCTTTCCCCACTTTCTATTCCACAAAACCACCATTGTCATCATGGCCCGTTCTCAATGAGCTGTTGGGCACACCTCCCAGATGGGGTGGTGGCCGGGCAGAGGGGCTCCTCACTTCCCAGTAGGGGCGGCCGGGCAGAGGCACCCCTCACCTCCCGGGTGGGGCGGCTGGCCGGGCGGGGGGCTGACCCCCCCACCTCCCTCCCGGACGGGGCGGCTGGCCAGGCGGGGGGCTGACCCCCCCACCTCCCTCCCGGATGGGGTGGCTGGCCGGGCGGGGGGCTGACCCCCCCACCTCCCTCCCGGATGGGGTGGCTGGCCAGGCAGAGGGGCTCCTCACTTCCCAGTAGGGGCGGCCGGGCACAGGCGCCCCTCACCTCCCGGACGAGGCGGCTGGCCGGGCGGGGGGCTGACCCCCCCACCTCCCTCCCGGACGGGGCGGCTGGCCGGGCGGGGGGCTGACCCCCCCACCTCCCTCCCGGACGGGGCGGCTGGCCGGGCGGGGGGCTGACCCCCCCCACCTCCCTCCCGGACGGGGCGGCTGGCCGGGCGGGGGCTGACCCCCCCACCTCCCTCCCGGACGGGGTGGCTGCCGGGTGGAGACGCTCCTCACTTCCCAGATGGGGTGGCTGCCGGGCGGAGGGGCTCCTCACTTCCCAGACGGGGCGGCTGCCAGGCGGAGGGTCTCCTCACTTCTCAGACGGGGCGGTTGCCAGGCGGAGGGTCTCCTCCCTTCTCAGATGGGGCGGCTGGGCAGAGACACTCCTCACCTCCCAGACGGGGTCGCGACCGGGCAGAGGCGCTCCTCACATCCCAGACGGGGCGGCGGGGCAAAGGCACTCCCCACATCTCAGACGATGGCCGGCCGGGCAGAGACGCTCCCCACTTCCTAGATGGGATGGCGGCCGGGAAGAGGCGCTCCTCACTTCCTAGATGGGATGGTGGCCGGGCAGAGACGCTCCTCACTTTCCAGACTGGGCAGCCAGGCAGAGGGGCTCCTAACATCTGGGCGGCCAGGCAGAGACGCTCCTCACCTCCCAGACGGGGTGGCGGCCGGGCGGAGGCTGCAATCTCGGCACTTTACCACTGTTATTCTTAACAATGTTTCAATAATGGTTTTTGCCTTAAAGTCTATTTTTCTAATATTAATGTAAGACTTTCCTTTTCCAGTTAGTACTTGCTGGTTTTTCTTTTCCTAGAATTTTGCTTCCAATCTTTCTATGCCCTTAAGGTTTGGATGTGTCTTTAGTAAACACCATTTACCTGAATTTTTAAAATTCAATCTTTCAATATCTGTTTTAGCTGGCAACATTAGAGTGTTTAATTTATTGTAATGCTTTGTGTATTTGGACTTATCTTCACCATTATATTTTGTGTTTCTACTTGCTGCCCTTATGTTTTCCTGCTTTCTTGTTCATCTGGGGGCCAATTAAGTTTTTTTCTTAATTTCTTCTTGTTTGGAAATAACATATTTTATTTCTGTTCTTTTACCCTAGCTTTGTAAGGCTTAGAGTTAATGAATATGTCTACTCTTCATCTAAACTATACAAGAATATAAAGACACTTAAAGTCTGATTATTCCCTACCTGTCTTAAATGTTACTATCTTTCAGACCTTTGTATCCACTGAACTTAAAAAAAAAAAGCCATTTATTTATTTCTAAATTTCTTATGGTATATTTAAGACAAAAAGAAATAAAGACTTATAGAATCATAGCCTCTGTTTCACCCTTCAACTTAAGAAATAAAACATTACTCATAGGGTTGACCTGCCCAGTTTTGCCTTCCTCCCCTCAGAAATAACTACTGTAAAGTTAAAAAATGTTCCATTTTGTTTTTATTCAGAAATACTTGCTTAGATTTATCTACATATTTGCTATTTTATTTTGTCACTATTGCTTCTTTTACATTATTCTTTTCTGGATTCAATTTCTTTCTATTGAAGAACATTCTGACTTGGTTTTCAACAAAGTTCTGTGAATCATAGCCTCTCATTTATTATCTGGAAATAAATATTTGTATTGGATCTAATTCTTGAATAACATATACATACGATATAAAATATATATGGATATAGAACTGCTGATTGGTAGCTACTTTCTCTCAACATTTTGCAGATGTTATTTTATTTTTTCTATTATGTTGCTATTAAGAAGTCTCTTGTCAATCTTATTATTATTCATTCAAAGGTAATCTGATTTGATATGCAAAGTTTCTCTAATTCCCTCTACAGAGTCTTTATGAAATTCCTATTCAGAAATTTCTTTATTCTAACCTTTATGTATATATCTGTGTATGTATGTATTTAGAAAGAAATTTATATACACATTGGATAGACTAGATGCCTTATATGTACATGTAGTGTGTGTGTATATATATGTCTTTATATATGTATGCCTTAATAACCTTAGATTTATTTTCTAGTTTATGAATTTCCTCTAAGCTGTAACTAATATGCCCTTAAAACTATTTAATGTACTTCAAAAGCTTTATTTTACATTTCTAGAATTTCTAATTGATTCTTTTTCAAATCTATCTGAATCTTATTTATTAATACTTTTTATTTCTCCTCAGTTTTAATCATTTTAAACTTTAGGTATCTTATAATCCACCTTTGGTAGTTCTATTATCTCAAATTCCTTGGGGGTATGATTCTGCTGTTTTTATTCTTTTCTAAGTCTCTCAAGGTGGATTGTTTCCCTGTCTGTTTTGTAATTTTGAATGGTGAGCTCATCTTTAATAGGCTTCATCTGGAGGAATCATGTGTGGCCTGGGATGATGTTTTATCACACCAGATTTGTTCTCCATTTGCTTCTGCTGGGAAAATGTTGACATCTGAACATGAGATTTTTCGGGGCATGAAATCTGGACACTGAGCTCGTAGGAGGTACATGTCTGTGATTACAAATTCTCTGGAGAGGCTTATTTTCCACTCTCTACCCAGACCTAGATAGACAAGCTTCCTTGTTTTCTCTTTGTGCTTGTGTATATATTATTTTAATCTTACCAATTCACTGAAGGGATAGCCCTTAAATGATCCTGGATTTACATAAGAGGTTCAGGCTCAACACCCCACCCCACCTCCCTCCAGAATTTCCAAGGCCTTGTCTTCTGTCTCTGTGAGTTTGAAAATGAATGAAAACCTCTAGATTTATTTATTTTATTTTTTTTGAGACAGAGTCTGCCTGTGTAGCCCAGACTGGAGTGCAGTGGTGTGATCTCGGCTCACTGCAAACTCCGCCTCCTGGGTTCACACCATTCTCCTGCCTCAGCCTCCCGAGTAGCTGGGACTACAGGCACTCGCCACCACGCACAGTTAATTTTTTTTGTATTTTTAGTAGAGACGGGGTTTCACCGTGTTAGCCAGGATGGTCTTGATCTCCTGACCTCATGATCCACCAGCCTCGGCCTCCCAAAGTGCTGGGATTACAGGCATGAGCCACTGCGCCCGGCCGAAAACCTCTAGACTTCTGAGACCAAAACAACCTCCCAAGCCCACGCCAGCCATACTCCTGCCATGTGAGCTTATGCAACAGCTGTTTGGGTTCTCAGTTCTCTCTTCCTTTTGGCAACCCTGATGATTTCTCTTTCTTCCAAACTCAGCTATTAAGATTATTTATTTTATGGTATCTAGCATTCTAGCACTTGTAGTGGGAGAATATTCAGGGTATCTAGACCACTATAGTCCTATAACTGGAAGTTGCTTCAAACACAGTTTGTCCCAAACCACACTGGTGAGCCTCTTCCCAAATCTAGTCCTACTCCATGTTTCCTGTTTTACAAACCAGAATGTCATCTTGATGGCCTCTTCACCTTCCTTGTCTAATCAATCACCAAGCCTGGTTGGTAGATACATTATCTACTGAATGTATGTATCTTCAACCAATCCACTTGTCTCCATCTCCACTGCCTCACCTTGGTCTAAGACACCATCATGTTCCCCTGGACTACTGTGACAACCTCCTCCTGCTCCCCCTTTCCAACCCATTTCTATTGCAGCCAGAGAAATCTTCCTGATATCTAAATCTGGTCAATTCACATTCTACTATGTATGGGCACCATACTTAGACCCGGGCATACTGTGTTTATTAGTTTCTGAGAGCTTCCCTAACAAAATACTACAGACTGGGTGCCTTAGACAACAAATTGATTTTTTATAGTTCTGGAAGCTAGAAGTCCAAGATCAAGGTGTTGGCAGGGCTGATGTCTTCTGAGGCCTTTCTCCTTTTGAATGGCTGTCTTCTCTCTGTGTCTTCACAAGGTCTTTCCTCTGGGTGTCCTAATCTCCTCTTCCTATAAAGATACCAGTCTTGGATTTAGGCTCACCCACATGACCTCATTTTACCTTAATTACCTCTCTGCAGGCCTTATCTCCAAACAGTCACATTCCAAGGTGTAGGAGGTAGGGCTTCAACATGTGAATCTATGGGGAGACACAGTTCAGCCTATCACACAGAGTGAAACTGAGCCTCATCAACTTCTCTTCTGTCATTTGCCTGATTTCTCTCTGCTTTCCGGATACTTCTCAGTATACAGTGAGCTCTTTTTTTGCCTCAAGGGCTTTGCAAAAACTGCTCCCTTCAGATAGAATGCTCCCCATCCTCCAACCTTGTTTAGCCAAAGGCTAGATCTCAGCTTCAACGTTACTTCCTCAGAAAAACCTTTCCTGACTCTCAGATTGGGTTACGTCTCTGTGTTTTGTGTGTTTTGCCCCTTCTCATACCACTTCTCATAATTCTAATTAAATGATTACCCATGTAATTACTGAATTTCCTTCATCCTACAATGCTATGAATTGTTAGATATACCATCAATTTCAAAACACTTACAGGGAGAGGGAAAAAATACTAGTCTCTCAGTCAGCTATTGCTACAATAATGCTACATAAAAAACCACCCCAACATTTAGTAGCTTAAAACAGCAAGCATTAATGCCTCCCTCACAGATCTGTGAGATGCTGCAGTTTGCTTAAACAAAACTCAACTTCAGGTTCCCAGCTCTGGGCTCCAGGCTGAGTTGGATTTAGGTTGGGTTCATGTATCTTCAAATTTTCCATGGGCCAGTGGCTACCTAGGCTATGGTATTATCATGATGGATGATAGAAGTTGAAGAGACTTGCAGTGCCCGTTAAGGCCTCAGCTTGAAACAGGAACACTGTCCTTCAACCCAGTTCCAAAGGTTACAGCAAGTCTATGGTCAAGCCTGACGTAATGGATTGGGAAAGTACTATGCTTTCTCTAGAGGAAGCACAAAGTCACATGGAAATGGCCATAAATATAAAACGCACAATTCTAGAACAAGGAGGAATAAGGAACAATCATTCAATCTACTATAACTATAGTAAACCGTATGTACACAGTTTTTTATTTTGTTTACTTACAATAGATTATTCAATTATGTTTACTATACGATATACCACTTTCTTCCATAGTCTGAGCAAAGTCTTATAGAGCTTCAAGTATCTTCTTAGGCACTTTTGATCATCAACAGTTATGCACATCATCCTAGTGACCTGTCCTTCCTCAAACCAAGGCTTATGACCTTGACCTCTTTAACACCTCAGAACCAATACGTATTTTTTAGGCATATGAAATAATACCAGGGTTCTATTTGCACTCCCACTCTGGTTAAACTCAGACATGTCCCCCCGCCCCCGCCATAACTGACTCTCTTATCCTTGGAAATGAAAAACGTTTCACAGAAATCCACAACTAGTTTTTAACAGATACTTGACACCTGAACTATAGTCCACAATGCACTAAGTGCTCATACCGACCTCTGTAGCTTAGAAATTCTACAATCTCTTTTTAATGTCTCTAATTGTACTGTTTGGTATGTAACAGGGAATTATTTTGAGCATGTCTCATTAACAAAAGATTTATCTCCTACTAAGCATCTTCCCTTCTTAGGAAGTCTGCAAAGGACTTGAATGTTTCTAGATGAGGTTTAAGTTTAAGTCCATCATTTTTCCAAGGGGAGAACATTTGCTTCACTTATTGTGACTTTGTTTGCAGCTCTATTCCCATGTTCTTTTTTCTGCATATCCAATAGCTTTCATTTCAAATCTACCTTGGAGTCTAGTCCTTTGGAAGACATTTAGAAAGACCACTACAGATCTATATTTAAGTTAAAATTCAACCCCATATGGTGATAGTAGTGGAAATAACTCAGTGAAGAAGAGAGACTTGTTTAACAAGAGATACAATGTGAACTACAGCACAACTTATTCCTCTGTCTACAGCTGGAAAGTTTCTTTTAACCTGGATTGAAGGATCCATTCCAATGTAACACTGAAGTGGTCATCTGAAATTATGTCTTCCTTAGTTTCCCTAATCCCCCACCACAAGTGTAAAAAAGTGACCCAAGCAGGGTGAATAAATGCCCTTTTGCCAGAGTCTGATTTGGATGCTGGATGTGAGAGTTTCTCTTTTCTGAGTCTGTAAGAATCATAGGTAACACACACAAGTTAACTTTCCTACCACATCAACATAGCCTTCTAGAGAAAGAAATCAATATAGAGGGGAGAAAGGAGAGAGAAGGAGGGAGGGAGAGGGAGGGAAAGTAGCGGGGGAGAAGGGGAGAGAGAGAGAAAGAGAGAGAGAGAAAAAAGGGAGAGAGAGAGAAAAGGAGAGAGAAAGAGAGAGAGAAATGGAGAGAGAGAGAAAGGGAGAGAGAGAGAAAAATGGAGAGAGAAAGAAAAATGGACAGAGAGAAAGGGAGAGAGAGACAGAAAGGGTGAGAGAAAAAGGGACAGAGAGTATGGTGGTGCTTGAGCACTGGGTCCTCATATTCCCAAAGATCATCTCCTAGGACTTTTCAACACATAAGCCAAATTTAATGCCTGAATAGTGTGAGTTAATTTCTGTCACTTGCAATTCAATAGAGCCCTGGATACTACAAAGTAATAACCCATATGAACAACATCATGATTAAAACAACAAATAAAAAAAACCCCACCACAGTGCAGCAACTAAAAATAATTTCAAAGTGACTCAAGTTCTTCATTTATTTTCTTGAACACTATGAAGGGCACAGAGTCCATAGCTATTCTTAAAAATCCCCCTCTGCCTCCCCCATCTAGTGGTTCACACACAGCAGCTGCTGCTTCTCCTTTATATCTGTCTTCAAATTCCACTCTCACGTCAAGATAACCTCCTCCTCCAAATTTAATCTTTTGAACTTTTGTTCTTTCTCCCTTTCCTCCCTATTCTCATCCCTAAAGCCCAAAAAGAACTTGTCTGTCAAGGCAAGACTCACCTCAGAACAAAAAGAATGGAGAAAGCCAAGGAGGCAAAGCAGGGAAATTTGTTAGCAAGAAGAGAAGGCTGGGAACATCCACAGGTTCCTCCTTTTTGTCCCATTGCTCCCCTTTTAAAAATGTTACAAAGTGAAAATAAATGTACCTTCATTTGAGGTTCTACAAATGTTTTAACATTTTTTTTCTTTCTAATCCAATGTCTTCCACATACATATCAGGTTCCTAATAATAATTTTTGAATAAACAAAGAAGAAGTTAATGACTATATGAATTACAGAATGAACAAAAAAGGGACACATGAATAAATGTCAAAGTAAGACATTAAACATATTTAGAAACTTATTATTGAAAAAATTTGTTATGGCCAATATATGCTGCACATCTAGAAGAGTAAAAAAATAATATTTCTAAAACCCAAGTCATCTTTTCACATACATTAAATGAATAAATAAAAAAAGTAAAAAATAACTTTGACAGTAAAAGCAAATTATATCTCTATTTATCAAAAGTTATCTAAAATTTAAATAATCTCAGTAATGTCAGTTATCTCAGTAGTAGCTATAACTGAGGATATTAATCTGGATTATCTGCAAACAACAAAAACTCAATCTGACTAAACTAGACACGAATGTATTTATTGGGAGAAGTTGCAGTATGGATTAGCTACCAAATAGTCATTTCCTCTCTTTTGTCTTTGTGTACTTCATTCTAATTTTTTTAATGGTCTATTCATCCCTCTACTCCTATATGGCTCAGGGTTAGGGTCTAATTGATAGATCCAATTCCCATTCCCCCTGCAGTTTATGCATATATGATGCAATGAGGTTATGTGGGGGATTCTCTTAGTGGGCTTCTGGCAAACTCTTCTTGACTGCAGAAAGAGAGACAAGAAAATAAAAACAAAAACAAAAAAACCCTCTCCTGCATCTGGAAATAGACACATGGTGAGGACGTGATGGCTGCATTGCTGCAGCCTTCTTGTGACCATAAGGGGTCAGCTGAAGAAAGGCTAACACGTCAGGATGGGAGAGTGGAAAGATGTAGCCACTCTACATCCACCCTTCTTGCTATCTGAAATAATTTTTCCTTGCTGAACAAGTCAGTTGAACCAGGGCCTTCGGTTTTCTGCACCTGACAGAATCCTAGTGGATAGAGAACAATATCAAAGGGAGGGAGGCTGGACTTTTGAGCTTGGGACTCGTAGAAACCCCAGCAGCTGCGGAGGTTAGGAAACAGACCCCACCCGCCATCTTTTGGTGGAAATAGTCTGAGTGGGTTCCTCCACGCAGGAAGGACTGGAATACAGACGTTATCTTTTTGTTCCTCTCTTCAAGTCAAGATTCCATTTCCAGGATTGATAATATCAGAAATAATTATTTCCGGGGCCAGGCGTGGTGGCTCACGCCTGTAATCCCAGCACTTTGGGAGGCCGAGGGGGGTGGATCACGAGGTCAGGAGATCAAGACCATCTTGGCTAACACGGTGAAACCCCGTCTCTATTAAAAATACAAAAATTATACAAAATTACAAAAAATTACAAAAAATACAAAAAATTAGGCGCGGTTGCGGGCGCCTGTAGTCCCAGCTACTCGGGAGGCTGAGGCAGGAGAATGGCATGAACCCGGGAGGCGGAGCTTGCAGTGAGCTGAGATCGCGCCACTGCACTCCAGTCTGGGCAACAGAGCGAGACTCCGTCTCAAAAAAAAAAAAAAAAAAAAAAAAAAAAGAAATAATTATTTCCTCACATAGAATTTCAGATTCTGACAGAAGGATAGGTAGATACTGAATAGCCAAAAATGTCCAAGTGTCCACAACATCAACAATCAGCTGCCTGGTTTTCTCCAAGACCTCCTGCATTATGGGTTTCCTTGTGTCTTAGCGTTCATCCTCAGAGGGCTTCCATTTCTCCTAATTATCTCCTGTCCCTATTTTCCACTTCCATAACATTCTCTGTCTTTAGTATATTTCATTTTTTAGAGATAGGGTCTTGCTCTGTTGCCTTGGCTAGAATGCAGTGGTGCAATCATAGCTCAATGCAATCTTGAATTCCTGGACTCAAGTGATCCTCCCACTTCAGCCTCCCAAGTAGCTGGAATGACAGGCACGTGCCACCACAGCTAATTTGTAAAGATTTTTGTACAGATAGGGTCTCACTATGTTGCCCAGGCTGGTCTCAAACTTCTGGCCTCAAGTGATCCTCCCACCCCGGCCTCTCAAAGTGCTAGGATTACAGGAGTCAGCCACCACACCTGGCCTTGTCTTTATTTTAAATAATTTCTTCCACAGTGTCACCTTTGTCCACCCTCCTTGTACCTTCATTCCCCAAATGTGGAACTAAAGCAAGCGAGTTTTAGTGTAGCTGGCTTTCAGTGGAAGCTTGGGATTACAGGTAGAGATGACATTGGGCCACATGCTTAAAACAGTGTAATCCATCCCTTGAATAAAAAGAATATAGTAATCCATTCTATCCCACTACAGGTTGCTGCTGGATATGTTACTTTTAAGTCCTTGCTTATGTCCTTCTATTCTGTGACCATTTTCTTTTCCTCTCTACAAGGTTTTTTTTTTTCTTCAGTCTTCCCAAATTCCTATTCATTTCTTAAGCAGAGTTGTTCTTCACCTTTTATTCCAAATCCAGCTTGTGGCCAACTCATGCATATCCCAGAATCCATTAAGGAGCTCTGGCAATGGATTATCGACTTCAGATTTCTATCTGTTAAAGCACACTGCTCCATGATAGCTTTGGAATTCATTTTTCCTTTCCTGGTTACAAATTTTAGGAAGTGCTTCCCTCCTGACTAATCTTGGTAAGCAGAGAGGGAGTTATTTAAAAACTTAAGACTTATCCTTCTCCAGTTCACAGAAAAGCCCGAAGAGATTTATTTTCTTTCCTTTCTTTTTCCCTTCAGCTCCTCCTCTTTTCCTTCTTCTCCCCACCCAATACAAAGATGGTAATTGTAATGTATTCACATACTCACAATCCAAATGAAGAGCAAAGTATGAAACCCAGTCTAAGGGGAAGGAGCACACTGGGTGCCATGTGCTATCACCTGTAGTCCCAGTTCTGCAATGTCCTAGCAGTATGATTTTGAGTTGCTCCTTCTGACATTTGTGACGAAAGCTATGGTTTATCTATGTCACAAGGGCGTTCTAAAGACTAAATCAGAGGACAGATGAAGAAGCGCATCTTAAATTATAAAGAGCTACCCAAGTATAATAGAGTGAATACCAGATGGCAGATTCCATCAGTAGAAGGTCCAAGAGAACGAGGCAAGAACCCAGCTGCTGCTGATCTCTTAATAGAGGCAAGAATTCCATCAAAGAGCAAAGACTCCAGGGCCTGAGATTTTTGGGGCCCCAAGGTCGGGGGGGTGGGGGGCCAACAACAAGACTGGAGCTTGAGTTGGAGAGCTAGTGGGAATCCTTTTATTTATTTTGTAGAGGCCGATTTGATCTCTGTGGTTGCTGCAGATCTAAACTTAAAAGAAATCTTACTCTACTCGCTCTTTTCTATGGCTAAAGGAGCAAAGAGTTAATTACCTTGTTACATTCATCTCTCCTTCCAAATTTTCCAGGAGCTTTTCCCTTCATTAGCCATCAGATGAAACTGAAGAATATTTATTATTTATTGTGTGTGTTAAATTTTATGTCTTTTCTTCTTAATGTTTAAAATGCATGAGTTTACTACTTTCTGTATTCTCTCCTTAAAAAAGCAATATTTTTGTTGTTGTTGTTTTTATTGTTTGTTTACCTGCAGTCCTCAAATGACTTTTCTTAGGGTCAATAATTCTTCATAAAAAGCAAAATGAAAAGATACTTCTGGCATGCTTTAGATTAATCGCAAGAAGCAAATAGTTTCCCATACATTTTTCTTATTCTTAATTCCTTTCTTTTATCTTTTATCCGATTTAAATATAATACCTATAAATGGCCACTCAGTAATGGTTAAGTTATATGGTTTTACTTCAGGGCTCAATAGTAACTTATTAAAGTATATTTTATAAAATGATTTGGCTGTCAAGATAACGGGACTATAGCAATGACTTATGTGCACACTGTGGGTCACTGCTATGGCTCTAAGTCGGTTCTAAAGGGAACATGATATGCACACCTACATGCCAATTTCAATCTTGATTATCTACTGCAATTTATTAGACTAGAGGAGTTCCGAAGAGTTTATTCATTTTAAGCCTTGTTTAACTTGCCTAGAAATGAACTGCTAGATAAAGTATCAGTAGGAAAGCATGTCGAATAATTCCTCCACTGAAAATCATCATTATTTTTGCACTTACAATAGGCAAAATATAAGAGTGCATTATACATAGTCTTGTTCATTTTATGTATTTATGGCTTATTTCTATATTGTAAATGCCTTAAACACAGAAAATGCCTCTACTTCTCTGTCTCCCACAATGGGAATATGGATATCTTTTAGTACTTGCTTCACTTAAGAATGCTGGGCTTGAATAAAAAAACTAGTTCACATGTATCACAAAGGTTTACTTAAAAGTTTCCCCTAGTTGTTTAATATCTGAATGCAAAAATCTAGGTTTGATTTGGAAATGATGATGCTTGTAATGATTATGTCTTATCTCCTCCAAGCAATTTGGAAAGCTTTGTCTGATAAACCTCTTTTATCCCAGTTCTATCTTCTGCTATTCTTACCTCCCTTCCCCCTCCACTTTTTCCAATCTCCTTCCTCTTTATCCCTAACATTATTATTATTTTTTGGATTCACTCTTATACTCTGTACACACTTGAGCAATTACGTAGGAAAAAGGAGTCTGGCATTTTCTTATTGTAACCCAAAGAAAAACAAGCTTAAGCATATCTTGATAACATAAAAAGCCAATGGATTCATTTTTGGGGGAAAAAAATCTGACCAGAAAGAAAACAAATAGACTTTCAAAATATAACATTTAGATTGAAAAAAAAAAAGTATAATGGGTCAGTTTGTTTACTTAGAGAAGGTATTCTTAATGTTCTTAATTATGTATGAGTACATAATCTAGGTTGGTACAATTTTAGATGAAGCTGCTAAAACTAAAATGTTTGAGAAAACAGATATTGCTAAATAGTACAGAGAAACCACTTTATACAGCACCATTTTTTCATTGAACACTCAACTGAGAAGTAAAACATCCAGAACATGCCCAGTTTATTGGGAGTTTGTTTTCATATTTCTGCATGTGTTTATAAAAGCATTTCAAGATGTAGCTTTTTACTGATTCTACCTTGTTAAAAAATCAATCAAGCAACCATCATTTGCTAATAAATGTTTTTATCACAGCTTTCAAACCTTTTTCAAGACATCTGAGCTCATCTTCACTTCCTCCTTCTTGAAAAAGAGACCCCATGGTGTGACACTCTAAAACCACCTCTGGATTTAAAACTATGGCTGCCTGGAATTGAAGGCCCAGTTGCTGAGATTCCCTGATTTGCAAAGCAAGGGAGAGTTCCTAACTGAATAACTTGAGTTTGTAACTAAAAACAAAAACAAAAACCTGCTCATCTATTGCAAGTAAGTATACTCCCTTTGTTACATGGTATGCAATTAGATGCCTTTGAAATAAAAGGTAAGTTAAATCAGAAGTCTCGGGGACAAGAAAATACTATTTTAAAACAGGGAGTGTCAGATGTTTTTCAATTCAGTACCAAAGGGTATTTCACAGGTAATTTCTCAGGGCTGATGTTAGCTAATTATTAGCTACCATATCCTGCCTGCCATTCTTAGTGACTATCTCCTGGCAGAAAGACACAGCTAGGAGTGTTTTGTTTCATTTGTCCTTGGAGTTTTTATCAGCATCAAGAAGGTGGACTGAGCCAAAGTTAGAAGAATTCTGGAGCTAAGCAAAAAGCGACACGTTTAACAGCCCCCATTAATTGGGGCTGTTACATGATTAATTTGAGAAAAACAGAAGAGACCGATTTCTTTACAACTCACAGTTGGATGCAACGCACTAAAAGTAATCCTGTAAATTACATTTTAAATCTCCAACATATTCCGAGCAGATAAAATAGTGGCATGATTGACCAAACTCCTTTTAAAAGTACACATATTACGATGCATCATAGTTATAAACAGATGGTATTTGGCCTCCTTCCTATTCTCAACATTTGGAATTTCTAAACTATGTGAATTAAACAATAATATTTTATAAACATACAAGGGATTTTGCTCACTGCTTTGTTAACATAGAAATTATACAATGCTGACATTTATTTAAATTTTAAAAAGTAAACAACAGTGTGCATCGAAATAAAGCAAACTAAAATCAACATAGAGAAGTATGTTCTGTGTGCGTACTACCTACAATGGCACTGGCCTTTTAAAGGGAAGACATAATGGGTTGAAGAACAAATTGTAGCATAGATCGGCCTAATCCCTTGTACTCCAAGGCTCATTTAACACCTCTCTGTAAACAACGGATATTTATACCATAATTGGCTATTTGACCATCAGTGTTCATTTACTATGTAACCTGCTATTATGGAGTTAAAAGAAGCTCCCCTTCATTGGCTCGTCAGCTTTCAGAGTAGCGAAAGTGTCCTCGCAGTTTTAAAAACACTTACACAAACGGGAATCAGTCTGACACTTGTACTCAGAATGAGAAACATTATCATGATATCAATAAGTATATATTTATTCTTTGGGGGATATTATTGCCAGAAAGAAAAGGAAATATATTAGATCTGAGTGTCATTTCCTAAGATTCTTTTCTAAAATTATAGCTTTAACCCTTTAGCCGCAGTTTGGAAGGGAGACCCATCTGCTGATTTGATGTACTAAATAGAAGGCACTTGGTTTCCAAACACTATTCTCAGATTCGCAAAGTTGCGCTGTGATGAATAAATAATGAATCAGATATTTCAATCCGTTTTATGATTTTTGAAAGCCCTGATTATCATTGTTTACAGTCTCTTCTTAATGCACTTCCCATGCGTTCTTGTTCAGCCTTCCAAGAGTTGGTTTATGTAGGCCACCCTCTCCCAACCTCGCTTTACTTTTGGACTGCTCTCACGTGTTAACCCACCCGCTCACACCTTTAAACCAGTTTGGGGAATATTTCAAATCTGAGGGGGGAAATCTTGAGCGACAGATGACAAGGAGTATTCGCAAACACTCCAGGCTAATGTTGCTTGTATTTGGTCACAGGTGTGCCCTGCTTTTGCGTACTATAATATCTCTATTGGTGAGAAAGAGGGAGAAAATTATGCTAAAACCACATGGATAGAAAGGAAAACGGCACTGCTGAAATCAGGAAGGATCAGCATTCCTTTTCTCCTATACATACGTGTGTATACTCAGATAAATAATGATAAATCACGGCAGTGTGAGGGAGGCTTTTAACAAAATACAAGCTTCAAAATAGGAATATCTTCACAAGTTTTCAAAAAGCTAATCAGAGCAAATGAGTGACAAATCAATGTAATGCTTCTAAATATTCTCCTGCCCCAATATTGCTTAACTCCTCTTCTCCACTCCTCCTAAATAACCAGTTGGTGGTGAGGAGGAGAAATGAGGTTTGTATTTCAATATACAGGTGTGAAGTGAAAAAGAAAGCGTCCGGGGGGTGAGATTTAAATCACATATCCGAACATACCAGAGACAGGAGTTATTCTAAACTGTGTAGATAAAATCCCTTTCGGAGAGTCCCCGTGCCCATCCCCACTCCCCTTCGCGGGATTGCTGAGGGCAAGTTATGTTTTTTGAAAAGGTAGTAGGCATCGGTGTTTCTGGTTTTGCTTAGTGCGTCTTCATCGTATTCCCTCGCTGAGGACTGAGCCTGGCCGACTCAGGGAACCGAGTTCAATGAAATCCTCAGACGCATAAAGCACAGGGTGCCGGCCCACCGAGCTGCGCTCCCTTCCCGGGGGTGCCCGAGAGAGAGCACGCGAGCCCGGCGCAGCCAAACCCGGGCAGGGGTGGGTCCCCACCGCGTGTGCGTGTGCCAGCCTGGGAGTGTCGGCGCGAGCGTGGCGGGTGCGTGCCGGTGTGTGTGCGTGACAGCGCGCGCGTGGCAGGGAGTTCGCGCGCCAGGGTGCGCGTGCCAGCGCGGGTGTGCGAGGGAGTGCGCGCGGGTGGGAGCGCCAGGGGCTGGCGGGGCCCGCGCCCTGGGACGAGCCCCTCGTGCTCCGGCTCTGCGCTCCCGCAGCGCCCACGCAGCCGAGAGGAGTGGGTGATGACTTCGTGACCTCAACGTCCTCCCCCGTCCCTCGACATGTTCCCGCGCCTGAAAGGTGCAGAAAACTCCCCCCACCGCTCTGGACGAGACTGAGCTAGGCGTCGAGGGCGGGCGCCGCCGCAGACCGGAGCTCGGGCTCGCTGGCCGCTCAGGCGCAGCGGTGTGGAGGGAACGGACGCGCGGCAAGGCGACCCGCTCTGGGCAACGCGGGCGCAGCTGCCCCGACGCAAGGCACTAGCTGGTCGGGGGCTCGGGCGAGCCGGGGCCGGCGTGCCGGGGCGTGCGCTCTCTCGGCAGGCGAGCGCCGGGCTCCGCGGAGGTCCCTGCGCCCACTGCCTGCTTCTCCGCCCGGCGACCCGGAGTCCCCAGGCTGCGGTGCGCCAGGCCAGACCTGACCGAGGGCGGAAGACCCGAGCGGCAGGGAGGCAGAAAGAAAAGAGGTAGCAAGCCCCAGACAAGGGATCCTTAATTACAGATAAAAGGCAAACAAAACCGTACACCACATTTTCCACGTGTCAGCTGACGGCCGCGACAAAAGGAAACAGAACGCTGGGGGGTGGGGGGGAGGCCCCTTCTTAGCTGCCCCCCACCCCTTGACAATGTGTGCAAATGTAAAATGCATTAGGTAGTAACTCTGGATAGGTGGTGCCCGGGGCCAAATTGCAGCTGCACGCTCCATCGTGTAGGACAGTTTGCTGATGCACCCAGAGGTCTGGGGAACCTCTTACAAAAAAGGGACTACAAATACTCCGCTTGAGCACATTTTGCTTCTTAAAACTTCATTACTCATACATTTTAAGTTAAAAATTTTGTGCTTAAAGTGTTGCAATTATCTTCAGTAAAATTCTAATACACACACACATACACACAATTTTGTTTTGCAGTTTTGTAGATTCCATTTTATTGGCCTGGTATCACAGCATTAGAAATACAAGGGGAAAAGCCAAGACGATGAAAGCCAGGGAACATAGCTGCAAGCACCAGAGAGCACAAGTTCCCCTCCATGGCTCTGCGGCTCAAATGGAAAAAGGAGAGATGTCTGCTTTGATTTCTTTCCTTTTAATTAATCAGGATCACAAAGCAATCTCCACCCTGTCCCTGGGATTTAAGATACTGGTTAAACTCCACCGTGTCCCGAATTCTCCACAGAAGGTGGAGGAGTGTTCAGAATCTGAAGTCCACCCGCGGACCATTAAAAACCTCTAGGTCTGTGCCCTCATTTTTAACACTCAAATTAAAGGATCACCCTGAGCCACCACGCAGTGCACTCTTCTCTATTTTCTCCCTCTTGTTGCTGGGCCGGTTTTGGAAATTAGAAGGGGTGGTCTCTTTGTTAGCAATCTGTTTACTTTCTTCTGATACAATGAAGCATCAGGTCGAAGGTGACAAGGCTTCTTTGCTTAGTCATTTTTACCCATCTCTTTGTAGATGATGTTTTTTTCCATTTTCAATTTTTTTTTTCATCAATGCCATCTCCCCAACAGCATTTCAAAAATAAAATTTCCAAGTCCTTTTTTTAAATGTGGTTCCAGTCAAATGATTTACCCACACCCCAAATAATATTATTTACATCCAGTATTAATAGCTGCATATCAGTAATTCTTAGAGATCTTCTGATCCATATTTAACAATTTAAATGATGGCTAACATTATTGCCAGGCAAATGCCTGAACCAATAGTTTGTGGACTAGTTGCCAGCCAGATGACAGCCAGGTATACACAGGGTAAGAACATAATTAAGTTTCTGCCCTAGTCTCTTCAATTGCAGAAGGCAGACAACACTCTTTCTCACCTTCCAGGGAAGTAGATTAGCAGATTAACAAAATGATGTAAATCACATAAGCTTTACATCCCCCTTCCCCTTCTAATACCTATTTAGGAACACTTTAAAATTTTTCCTTTAGGCATCTAGTCTTTCTGTGGTTTAGCCACATGCTCTCCCCTTTTTGGCTTTCTCCTTCTGTAAAATAAGTAAGGTGAAAGAGCAGATTAGGAGTTTTTCTTTTTCTTACAGCTTTCCTGTGTTTGAGTGGATCATCCTGTTGCCATCGTTTTAGTCCAGTTGTTGTTAATTCATGTTCTTACCACCCACCAAAGAATAGCACAGGATTAAGTTTATATTAATAAATGATGTTCATGAGTAGGTTTTTAAATGCCAGAGTTATGATTTATTTTTTTAAATGGGTGGAGAAAGGAGAGCGGCAATAACTAGCTCCCAAGTCATTCAAAATCCTGGCATCACACATCTATGTGGGTTTTTCTTTCTTTGTTTTGGTCTTTAAGTTTTTTGGACACACCTCTTATTTCCCTTTTAGTCCTATATCATGGAATAAATGCTTTTTTTGACTATCTTTGTCCATAGCTTGAAACCCTGTTTATTACAGTTAAATTTATAGAAAGTATTATATGGTCCTCTTTTCTTCTTCTTAAGAGCTTATAATTGTCCCTGTTTATCTCCCCACCCATTAAGAATTCTGTAATAAATCCCTGCACCAAATAAATTAAAATCTGCAACTTCAGACACCCGAGGAAGAGGACATTAATCCACTTAGTAAAATACTCAAGACCTCCCCCTCTCAATTTCAGCTCTTCTTAATGTAACATTCAGTAATTACAGCTGGCTCCTTATACTTCCCTCCCTCCCTTTTATTCTGAATTATATTGGCCTTGCTTAACCTTCATTTCCTTTTCTACCCCCCACATTTGTCCACATACTTTTCTTTGACCATGTTTGTCTCTTTCTCTTTCTTTCTGCTGTGTGGATTGAGGGCAACAAATGAAGCTTTCCAAGAGCTTAATACTTGCCCGTAAAATCCCATCCTACCTCCCCATTCCACTATTAACGTTTTGTACAATTTTTATGCATCCTTCAGTTGTGTAGTTACTGCTCTATATTTTTCTGATTGATCATTAAGTTATGCTGGCTTTTCAGAACTGTCTCCATAATCCTGAAGCAAAGCCTTTTTACTTGGCATGCTCTCTGCCTTTGGAATGCCTTTCCTGGCAAGGACAGACGCTTTGGTTTGACTACGATTCTTAAGTTACAATTCAAAGCTAATTTGTTCAGTTAGGTTTCTACTATGAGCAGCTCTGTTTCTCACCGTTAAGTGCTCCATGATGCTGCTTAGTTGAAGGGTGTGTTGTAAGTGCAAGATGTAATATACTTATATTGTACTTGATTATCAGTTTTCAAAAACAGCTGCATGCTTTGATATCTGTGTAAGGAAATATCGAAAGATAATATACCATTGGTATTTATTACTCTATAATTAAGGATGTGTCAGTGTTTCCCTTCCAAAAAAGCCCCTTATTTTCAGAAATTCATATCTCAGGCATAAATTTCCCTATGAATTACAGTCTAATACCATATTAGAAGTTTCTCCTTTTTAAGTTATCCCTCCCCTTCCTTTTCTTTCTGAGGAAGTAAGTCTCAGGATGTAATTTCTGGGTTATTGCTTTGGGATGAGGGGGAGCAGGCCCAGTGATGCACAGTTCAAGGTGCTGCCACATTGCCACCTGCTCCCTCTGCTCTTCTGCCCTGTGTGGGGAGACACTGGGGGCTGCCTTTCTGATGAAGGGTCAGCTTTATACACACATGGGTGAGCAGCTTTGCCACTGTATGATTCGAAAGGCAATAGAGAAGAGTCAGTTGTCCAGAAATATCACAAGTGCCACAGAGTCTGAACTTTTAGTACAGAAATCAATTCTTCCGCATTCCTCTCCTTATGGTCATTGAGAATACAAGCACTGGCTGGTGTAACATGAAATACACCTAGAGTAAGGTATTAGCAACTTATTAACACGTTTCTTCTTACAGTGAGAGGCAGAAGGAAGAAAGAGGAGAAAGAGAAGACAAATGTTTTTCCCTTCTTGAAGAGGTGGTCTTGACTACTGCTCAACCACAGCCTACTGAAAGAGCCCTGGAAAATCTGAGTTCTAGATCTGCCTGTACCACTGTGGGACCCAAGGCAAGTCAACTTCTCCTCAGGCCCCAGTTTCCTACATCTCAAATACAGGAGGTTACAAAAATAAGTGATTCTCAGGAGGGCCAGGGAAGTTACCTAAATGTATGAATTCAGCAGAGTGTAAGACCACAGGGAGTGGTGGGGGCCTGTGACAGATGGGGTATACTCACTGAATGCCTCCCTAAAGGGAGAACCAGAGCAATAATAAAAACACTTAAAATAATGGCCATATTCCGGGCATGGTGGCTTACACCTGTAATCCCAGCACTTTGGGAGGCCGAGACAGGTGGATCACGAGGTCAGGAGATTGAGACCACCCTGGCTAACATGGTGAAACCCCGTCTCTACTAAAAATACAAAAAAATTAGCCGGGCGTGGTGGTGGGCACCTGTAGTCCCAGCTACTCGGGAGGCTGAGGCAGGAGAATGGCGTGAACCCGGGAGGTGGAGCTTGCAGTGAGCCGAGATGGTGCCACTGCACTCCAGCCTGGGCGACAGAGCCAGACTCTCTCTCTCAAAAAAAAAAAAAAAAAAATTGGCCACACTACATAGTCTCTTATGTCCCTTTTAATGGCAGAAATGTGGGCCACAAAATAACCACCTCCACTGTCCTTTGCTGTCTCCTGCCAGCTGGAGAAATAGAAGGGAACTAGGGGTCCAACTGAGTCACGCATACTGCACTTGGTGCTTCCTGAAAGGCACATAGGTGACAATGATAACATCCCATGTAGGGAAAGGCTTATACAAAAAAACTTTGTTTCTGTAACACACTTCAGCTCCTAAATATGTCACTATATGTGCCTTAATTTTCTCATCTGTGAAATGATATTGAAGACATTAAATTTTCAGATCTAAAGGACTTCAAATTGCTTGAGAAAGGTCATACCAATATTCCTAGGGGTCACATCTTCTCGCACCCCACCTTAGACCTGCTATTTAAATGCAGTAAATGCAGTAATAGGAAAGTAATATAACCATTTAAAATTATCTTCCAAGAATCACCAATTCCTTCTGTCAGTTTATAAAAACAATTAAGATCCTCTCCTTGGGGTTGGGAGAGGATAAGGAATAACTCAGATAATGATAGATGATGGTGGGACACCTGAAGAAACCGATCGCAAATTCCAATTTAGAAAAATGGACTGCAGAGTGAGTGAGGATCCTGGTCCCTGAAGCCATTTGTGCCTCACATGCAGCAAGGGCATCCCACAGATACCCGGGAGAACTCTTCCCCTGGGATAGATTGCAGTGAAAGCACAAAGACCACGATTCGCTCCTGCGTCTTAAAGAGGAAAGGGGAGAGGCAACACTATGGGGAGTGGGCAGTGTGGTTGGGAGCTCTGAGAGCTCTTGTGCTCTAACAGGCAGCTCTGAATTTTTTGAGATGAGAAAGACTGGGCTCATTTAACATCTGCCTTCCTCTTCCTTTCCTTACCCTTCAGAAGGGAGTTTAGAGCTATAGTTTTCCATCTTGTGTTTGCAATGCCACAGGCATCTGTTAGAAATGGTGATTAGCAGCCCCAAGAAACAGGAACCTGTGGCCAGTTGAGTCTGACTTTCTCCACAGCATGAGGGTTGAGGTGAAGCCCCTGGCTCCTGTTAAGCAGAGGAAAGTCTTCTCAAGCAACATTGGCAGTAGAGTAGTTTGTATCACTGTCTGAGGCAAGCAGTTTTCTGACTCAATCAATAATTGAGAAAACCAAGAAATGTTAAGGATAGCCTGATAGCAAAACTAGTAACATGCTTCCTGAAGTATTTATATCTCCTATCAAAAGATATATGCAATAAATACACTGAAGACACATGAAATGTCACAAAGAGTGGCAAGAAGCCTTTGTGTATCACGACTCAGCTTAAGAAACAGACTTCTCATCATGCAACGAATGCACCTTTCCCTACTTCTATGTCCTTTTTTTTCTCTACCATGGCCCCTCTGACATAACCATTATTGTAAGTTTGGTTAATTCCCAGGTTTTCTGTAATACTGTACTTTAATCACACATGTCTGTATCTTTGAGCAGCATGTAGAATTGCTCGCATGTTTTTCAAACTTCCCCAGTTATATTTTAATGAATAGCTTTGAAGAGAGGGCATAGGATAGGAGCATTAGTTGTCTGTATCACAACTCAAATTTTAAAATGAAACATGTTCAAGTCAGTGGTTTATAATATACTCTCTTCATTGTTAAACATAAGATCTAATATTAAATAGTCCCAAATTTTCCACTGAAAAAGAAAGGCAGTTGGGTCAATAGTCAATAGAAGAATAAGACCCACAGTGTATGTCAGCATTAAAAGACAGCATGGACTATCATTTGAAAACTGATTCTATCATCCACAGAAAGTATCTTGAGACTTCAGTAAAATTTCTTTTGTGGCTCATAATATTTCTGGGTAGCAGATGCTTTCTCAAAAACAGATTTTACTTTTAAAAATATCAAATATAATTAACACCTTCAACATAAAATGAAATCTTTGCTTCCAGATGCATTTCAAGGTGTTGAAATTAATCTCTGCAGCCCTCTATGGCTAAGAGTTTCCATTGACTTATGGATTCTGCCTGCCATATTGATGTCTGAAGGACTGAGAACAGGAGCAGGGCATTTAAACTTAACTGTATTTGAAGGATGCTTATTAAACCAGGAGCATTTTTAAAAAGGTATTTGCATCTATTTCTGTCAACACAGTATAAATGAGAAGGTTAAGAACCAGGTGCCCTGATATTTGTTATAGAAACACCTAGCCAGAAGCATAGATTAAGTTTAGGGCAAGCTGTATTTCAAGACACTGTGTCAAAGTCTTGATAATGGATGGACTTTTAAAGACATTTAAAATTAAAATTGACTTTATTTTAAAAGAAAAAAACAATCGAGTGTTAAAAAAAAAGAGGAAGACTAAGTTTTCCATCAAACATACTCAAAACAATAAATGATGGGGGTGGTTGATAAGGGAAACTGAATTAATGAGTCAACGTGTAGTACTAATTATCTGCTGAGATTTCAACAAAATACTGATTAACTTATTTAATAACACTCCATTCCACTAGGTCGTGGGTGTTGAGAAGCATGAATGTGCGTGTGCACACACACACACACACACACACTCCTACATATTTTTAAATGTTAAGAATTACACATTTACAAAACTTTTTATTGCTTATGTGAACTAGTAGCAACTCTGACATTACAGTCTTTATAAGGTTTTTCTTTAAACTCCAAATCTCGGTATCATGCAAATAAGTGACACCTTTAATGTAATTTTTTTAAAATTTATTTTAAATTTATTTATTTATTTATTTTTTGAGACAGAGTCTCGCTCTGTCGCCCAGGCTGGAGTGCAGTGGCACGATCTCGGCTCACTGCAAGCTCCGCCTCCTGGGTTCACGCCATTCTCCTGCCTCAGCCTCCCCAGTAGCTGGGACTACAGGCACCCGCCACCATGCCTGGCTAATTTTTTTTGTATTTTTAGTAGAGATGGGGTTTCACCGTGTTAGCCAGGATGGTCTCGATCTCCTGACCTCATGATCCACCCGTCTCGGCCTCCCAAAGTGCTGGGATTACAGGCGTGCGCCACCGCACCCGGCCTAATGTAAGCTTTTGTCCTGGAAGGAATGTTGGCCACAGCTAATGGCAAAATTTGATTTGCATTTATGAGTGTAGAAAAAAATGCCCACATACAGGTAACTTTCAATATTATATTTGCCTAAATCAGGAAAATACGTAAATGTTTCAGATGTACTCTCTGAAAGGTGTTTAATGCTTTTTTTTTTTTTTTCCTATCAGTGAGAAAAGATCTATGGGTACTAGTTGTGTGTGGAGTATCTTAGCCACTATGAAGCGTAAGCCCATTTAGTTTCAGGATAGAAAAACACAGTAAACGAAGCGCTATTTCTTGGCTGTGAGATAATATTATTTTGAGAAGATGTCATCTGTGACACAGCAACTGACAGAAGCAAACTGACTCATCTGGTTTATCTCAGTAGATGGCATAAAGTATAACCTTGCCCAGGAGAAGTGGCAAAGAATTTCTTATTCATATTTATATCTTTAGTTTTGCTATCCAAAGGAACACACCTGCTAGATTCTGAGTTCCATAGTCTTAGACTGGAAGGAACTTCCAAAATAGTTCCTGAGCTCTTTGTTTTCTGGGTGACGAGGTAATTTGTTCACTGGCTTCCCTGTAAAAGTCTAGAAGCCAGTGCTGTGGTGGCCCATCACACACTGTGGGTCTCATGAAGGTTGGAGAGAGGAGTCTGTTCAGATGGAGCTTCTTGTTTCTGCTTCTTACTCTTCCTGCTTTTAAATTCCCAGGCCTCATAGACTCTGAACTGCTTGCTTCGATCTGCAATACTGCCTCTCTTCCAAGGGCTTTGTCTGGCTCCCTAACCTTGATCTATTTCGTGCTTTCGATTTTGCTACCGGTCAAATGGGCCCTACTGGACTTCCGAATCATTGCTTTCTTTATCTTAGATGCCTGCTAGGCCACTCGATCCTTCCAGAAGCTAGAAAGCCTGGCTTGCCCCTTGTCTAGCCACCTTTCCCAGGCTGTGCCTCACTTTGTGGTGTATAGAAGTTACTCATTTCAAAAGCTAGGGAAAGTTACAATTTACCTGTCAGTAAACAGAAGATGGTTTATCAACAGACTTTACCTTAATGACTACAAATGTTTACCTCCTGCTTTCCAGAATGCAAAGAAAATCTTGGAAATGTCATAATATCTTACAAACATTTGCAAAACAGATCCTTGTTCATCCGGAAAAGAAACAATTGTATTTGTTGTCTCTGTCACAAGGAAAACGTTCAGTGAGAAACACATAGGTAGATGTATACATCTATATGTAAATGAATATGCTAATTAAAAATTGCAGTGGGTACTTTATTAAGAATTTATTTTACCATCTAGCCATTCAAAACATCTTTACATCAACAAACACAGCAGTTTGACTATTGAAATCATAAGCGATTTATCTTGAAAAGGTTATATTTGTAGGTGGATGCAAGTATATTGGAGAAATATTTCTATCAAAATCACTGGTTTTGTTAGGAGTATTTTGATTTTTCTATTTTTACGCTGGGAAAAAAATTAAAACAAGTATGTCAGTGTTCATTTTATGGGATAGTTGGCTTCACTGTGTTTGTCATGTTTGTCCGAATTACAGCTGTTTATCTTGCAACTTTAAGATTAATTAAATGCAAATGTAACTCTGTGAATCATGGGAATACCTGCCAGACCTCTTATTAATACCTTCACTTAAAACCCCCTGTGCCTGAGAGTCATTAATTTGCTAAAAGAAAAGTGCTAAAGCAGCCCTTTGCCCACAAACAATTCTGCGATGGCTGCCCAATTAATCCCAAAGCATTCTGATCCTCCTTTCAGGCCTCGTGGCCCTTTGAGGACACAAGAAGGCTCCGATGATAACCTGGCAACCTAGGTAGAAACCCAGCCAAGTGTGAGCGTTTGAAGCTGCAGTTTGGCTGCCATCGTGTCGGCGAAAAGAAAGAATTCAGGCACCATGTCATCCAGTACAAAGGATAAAAACGGATTCAACCGGAAATTCAATGTGGCACCACATATGGGATACATGAGTGCGGTTATACAACAGGCCACATATTTTTTTTGAACAGTCTCCTACATGTGATGCCGAGGACATGTGTAACCATCATAACGTCTCTAGGAATCTGTATTTAATTTGAGTTGGGGTGGTGGCAGGGATTGGAGATCTGAAGCCGCCACAGGTTTGTGGCAGATGGCTCTGTGTCAGCTATGACAAGCAGCCAGGCTCAGCTTCCTCTGCAGATTTTCTTTTCTCTCTGATCAGGTAAATATGGGCACACTCTGGAAAGTTCTTCAGATTCTGCCTTAGGCTGCAAGTTTGTGACTTAGCCCCATCTGTCACAAATCTTCCCTAGGTTCTGTTGTAAGCAGAGACCTGAATTTACCATGTAGGGCTGCCCAAGAAAACGGAGCGATTTCACCCTGCAACGAGGAGGAGGGAGAGAAGAGAAAGAAGTGAAGAGCATTAATGACTAAAAGATGAAAGTATGCTGAAAATTTATATTGCAAATTTGCATCACTTACGTCAATTACATTTCAAAAAGCCACCAAGTAAATGGTTCTTGAGTTTCATCACCTCAGGAAATCTCAGTTTCTGATTGGTCTAAAGTGTCGTTGTATTTCCAACCAGAGAAGAAGGCTACTGTTTTCTGCAAATGGGTATATTCTGCTGCACACATATTTCTTGGTTTATGTTATGAATGACAACCATTCATAGTTGGATGATGAAAGTTCATCATCCAACTTTTAACTTATATAAACACAAGACACGTAACACTGTACATACAAGTTTCTGCCGTGAATTTTACTTTTAAATGATGAAGACACAAAGATAAATGCCATTACTATTATGTGAAATTTAAAAAGTGCTTCATATTTATAACAGGTTTATATTCATTATTTCATTATACCAGTACTTCAGGGGTACATTGATATTTAAAAAAATATTCTTCCAGGTTTACAGATGAATCACATAGAGGCCAAGAAGATCACCTAGAATCAGGTTGCAAATGAGTAGCAGAGAAGGACAAAACCTCTAACTGATCTTAATCAGCCAAAGCATATCTGTGATGCTAAAAGGTTTTTTCCTTTTATTTTATTTAGACAAATCAGAGGAAAGCCAGACCAAATAAAATTGCAGGAGGAGGTGAAGAAGGAAGGAAGGAAGGAAGAGAGGGAAGAAGAAAGGGAAGGGAGGGAAAGGCAGAGGAGGGAGAGAGAGAAAGAGTGAGAGACTGAGACTGAGACTGAGAATTTGCCTTAATTGTGCTGGTGCAGTTGAGAGCTTTTAGAAGTTCTTAGAACATCACAAACATTTCATGTTTAAGGAAAAAGTAAGGACTCTGGAGCAGTATTAAAACTAGTGAGCAACACCTTATTCAAATCTAGAGTTTAAGCTCAAATTAAAAGGGGACTATAAGGTGACCAGTTTCTTGAAGGAAACAAAGTAGCTTGTCTGTGGTTCAGGTACATATAGCTTGACATAATCAAGATAACCACAAATGGCTTTTCTGGGCAATGAGTGTGAATTGTAAGCTTAATTATTGTTTGGAATTAGTTTCCGGCAGAACTCTAAAATTCTTCTCCCTTCCAAATAATAGAAGATTATAAAAGTTTTGTCAATGTTGAAGAACTTGAAGAGGAAAACAAAAAAATCAGGAGCTATCACCTGAAAAATCTTAAGAAACTACAAGTCACTCTCAAAAAGCAAGAATGGCATCTCTCTCTCTTTTTAAACCAGAGAATACCATTCAATTTATAAATAAAACTAAATGAAAAATAGGATGGGAATGAAAATCTCTTCTGTCAGTCTGGATAATGTCTACCTTACACAACTGCCCTATTTGTACTCTTATATTCATTTCTATACTGGTAATGAGGGAATAGCTATAAAATGTCTTTCAACAGCATTTAAAAATATAATGATCAGGGTTCTCTAAAAGCATGAAATACTAATCTCAAATAATTGTTGAGAATTTTCCATAAGTAAATTCACATAATATAATAAAAGTGAGGCCAAAAAAATACAACTTCACAGTATTAGACTTGCTTGGGTTAGAAAGGAAGAACTATTGTTAGTTTAAGGAGTCAATCCTTAGCTGATTCTTTTATGATTACTTCTAGAAACTTGTGTTCAAGTTAGGCTTAGGAGTCATCGAAGAGCTCCCTGTTTTATCTCTGTGAGAAGTATGTGTCCAGTGCATCTGCCTGACCTGAAAAAGTACATGTCTCGACAATACAAGTTTATAGTCAATGACTCAACTGTAGACATAAACTTTGTAAGAAGTGATTTTATATTTCCTTAAATTAAGAAAAATGGTTTTAGGTTTTTTAAAATTATTAAGAAACATTTAATTTTTGCATGTATTGGATTTCTCTAACAATCCTAAGCCAAGTGTACGTGTGTGTGTGTGTGTGTATAAGAGAGAAAGAGACTGAGCGAGTACACACATACATGCAAATGAGGAATTTAAACATTTCAGGTCTGAAACTATTTCAGGTGGGAAGTCATGGACACAAGTGTTCTGCGATAGAAGGAGTCACTTTAAGAAAAAAAGTAAATTCTGTTTCTGCTTTTCACTTACTAGCATTCTGTTTCAAATCCTGCTTCAAGTTATACCCCAAACTCTCACTCATATTGAAAGTATAATGTCTGATGTGAGAAGAAAGCCAAGTGTTAGTAGCCTTATTCTAGTCATTAAATTTCTAAGTGTGAATCCATATGAAAAATCCTATCCTAAAGTGAACTCTATATGATAAGAAGTTGAAATGATTTTAAAATGTAAACTTTTAACAACAAAAAAAGAGTAAGGTGTAAAAATGTAAAAGGAACAAATTAAAGAATTCAGTGACATTCTATCCTTTTAGATCTTAGAAGCATATGTTTTATAAAAGCAAAACAGCACTGTCCAATGAAATAAATCTAAAAATAACTCCCAACATTCTTTTCACAGTACTCACAAAAGATCCTCTCCGACTGCATAAGAAAAGTAGGTAAAAGCTAAAATGCTAATTCTCTAGTATTTAGTAAAAGCAAATGTTACCTGAAAATGTGTCTATTTATAAAACACAAGATAAAAAATTACAATAACTTGTTGTATCATTATTATAAAGGTTTAGAAGGCATTTTTTTTTCTGTTTTAGCTTTAAATCCTATAACAACACACAAACTAAATCTGTGGTCCTTCCTGTGCTTTTAACTCTATACCTTGCAACATGCCAGTTTTTCCTAATAATTGTATCATAAAGCTCTTGATTACTTAAAATTTGACTAATTTATTAATTTTTGAAATTAATTTTTAGACAATATCACTAAGCACTATGGATGAAGGCAAATGTGAAAATGTGTTACAGATTTATAAGAGAAAAATCCATGGTAGACGATGCTTAAAAATGAATTATATAAATAAGCTCTTATAAATGCTTTTGCATGAATTACTAATTTATAAAACTTTGAGATGCAGGTTTTTATGGTGTATGAACTAAAATATATTTAAGTACTAACATGTAACAGCTCAATGAAATAACATTTAAGATATAGGTTATCATTTAAACTGTGTGAGGAACAATTTGGTATATTAACAACATACCACTAAGCTGCCATTCTTTTTTTCAGAAGCTGTTTGTAAAATAAATAATTATAGCTATGTTATGGCAGTAGCTGAATGAAAATATTTCAACTGGACATCTGCTTTCTTTTCTTACTAGAGGCAACTTTTTGCAGTGACTTTTGAAATGGTTAAAAATTTGCAGAGGTTTAAAATTTGCAGATGCAGAATAACAGGGTTAAGCAATGTTACAAACTGATAAATTTTGATGGTGGAAACACATTTACAAATACTTTACCAAAAATTCATCCAAAGAGGGAAAAAATCAATAATCTGACAGAGAACTCACTGAAAATAGCTTTGTGTCATATATAAAAAATTAATTCATTTGTACTAATACTTATATTTCCTCAATTTTCATTATCTGCATATTTTGACAGTCTATCACATGGGAAACTATTTGATTGATATTTCATACAAACAAAACTACTACTGAACTTTAAAAATTAGGAAATATTGAGGTAAATCTTGAACGACTGTTTTCTCTGTGGAGCTTCCCATGTATACAATACAATACTATTGACTCAAGGAGTAATACTGAAGCTGGAACTGTTCAGTCAGCATTTTAAACTATTATGAGCTACCTTCTGAACCATTGCCAAGTTAATAGACAATGAAAGATAATGAGCTTGAAATTGGGTGTTAAATTGCATTTTTGGTTCTCTCTCTTTTTCTTGAAGTTTAACTGTTTCCTGTAGAAACAAAGTCATGTTTTGATGTATCACTATGTAAATATGTATTTTAGGCTACGAACAGGGAAGGGAGAAAAAAAAAGGCAGAGAACTGTATTTCATGTAGAAGGTTATATATTAACATAGGAAAATTAAAATATGTTAGATTATAAAACTGCTAGATGTAAACTATACTGGAGTTATGTAAAATGAAGATGCTACATTCGAAGAATATAAAAAGGTATATTACTTATGGCCTAGAGCCACCTTCAAAACTCATAAAGCAGATTTATCCTAGTTCAATTACTTAGACTTTTAGTAGGGCCTCTTTGTGTTGTTATTTCAACAATGTAAAATTCTTGATTCAAATAAAGAAAAGAAGATAACGAATGAGGGTAGTGAATGATGATGCTGTTTACACTATTTTCCCTTTGCCATTCAGAGATGAGACTGACATTCTTATTCTAAAGAAACTGAGGATTTTTTATGTCATTTTTATTAAACTGGACGCGAGAAATATTCAATTCTTAAAAATCACCTTTCAAGTAGTTCAAAAATGAACACCAAACTTCACTAATGTCATTCACCTGAATTTTTGAGGACTAAAGATTTCATTATGATGGGAAGAAAGGCTTATCCTCATTAGTATAATTGTAGAATCTTTCCTTTACTTCCTTTTAAACTAATGAGTTACATTAATTCAGGTTCATTTTTATAAGCCTCTAGGGGCTAAATGTAAAGGACAGTCATCTTAGAAAACAGTAAATTTTAAAAAAGCATGTACTGTGCATTAAGTGCACGTATTTCATAAGACCTAGGTTAATACAACTGGCATCCAGTTTAATTAATCCTTGTTAGTGTAACAACTAATATCCCTCCCTAGCATGTTTCCTTTAAACATTAGTATGTTAATTAAATGTTTTTTTTTAAGATTTTTCTTTGTACTTCAATATGGCATTTATACCATGTAAATCTCTTCTCAATAACTACCTTATAGAGATGTTTTCTTATAATATCTGGTCTCTTGCAGAAATTCTGGAGCCTTTTTGAAAGCTGTTCAGGTGTAGAATACAGATATTCAGCTGCAGGAAAAACAGATACATTTTTAATGAAACAAAAACCTCAAAGCACACACTCGATATTAGTCACTTTACTAATTAAAAATGCATATTGCTCTGTGCCGCCTCGTGTTTTACATTATTTAAGCATGATTTTATAAGGTTACCTCAGCTCACAAGGATGTTTAATGCTAAATAAGACTGTGTAGTTGTGCTGTTTAGACATCTCCTTTGGGTGATTAAAATACATTATTCTAATGTAACACAATGCATATGTGATATACTTAGTGATGAGATTTTTTTCAAAGAACTGGTACTATAGCCTTATGTACCCGTACAACAGTTGCATATTATTAACTAGTCAATTGTTTAAATAATTTGGTGTGACTTTCAGTCCCTGATTTTTCTGTGTGTATCATTAAAAAAAATCTGTAAGCAATTGCAGCAACACTGACCTGCTTATAAAAATCCATCATTATGGGATGTGTATGCTAACAATGAAGAATGTTATTTGAAAACTTGCTTTTTTGTTATCTTAAAAGAACAGATGGTAAATATAAGCTTACTCTAATGTATTAAAACACATAAAATTTTCCTTAACACTAACATGTTGACTTGCCAAATAAACAATTGCTCCTGCCTAAGTTTATTTTCAAACTTTCTAATTTAGCATGAATCATATATTAAATCTCAATAAAGATGAATGTACATTAAAGCAGCTACCTGGAAATATTTCGGGATAAACCAAATCTTTAGGACAAAGTGGGTAACACCCACAGTACACAGCTTCCAACCTAGAAAAATTTTAGAAAGAGGGTAAGAATATATTAAAAAGACATTACCATCATAGCCAGAAAGTGGTTTTGTTTGCCTAAGTTAACTGAATGAGCCCAGAGTTAACTGGGACAAAAAACATGGTCGGCAGTATAATTCTAAAAGCCAAAGTTGCTCTTTTAAAAGATTTTATTGATCATATATGAATTTCATAGAACAGAACCAACAGCATATGTTTTGTTCACTGAATTAATCAAAGCGCAGCTCTGCATTTTTTTTTGTTTTTAAAATACTGTTTAACACATTTTATAATCAGCAGATAAACACATGTAACAACATGGTAAAGTATGGACAGCTTTTCTTAATAATGCTGCAAAGCCTCAGAATGTTCATTTTTCAAAAATGTTTAAATAAAATAGCAAATACTTAACTTTAGCACTGTCGCTGTAGAAAAGATTGAGGAACTTTTAAAAGCATCAGAAAAAAATTTACAATCTGTTGTAATGGGGCATTTTCATTTTAAGCTCATGCTTCAAAACAATTTGTTATTATGCAGAATGTAAAACTCTTCCCCCTTTTGTTGAAAAACTCTCATGAAGATTACTTTAATGAACATTTTGCTTTCTTGACTAAAAATTCAGCTCACTTTCCATTTTATCAGCAAAGAATGCTTGTATTATTAAACAAACAAACATGAAAGTTTCACTTTGTGAGAGGATTTCCCCATTGACCCACCTATGGGAAGTTTTTCTTTACGTCACAGTAGAAGGGTTAAGCAGAAGGAAGGTATTGCATCTTCCTTCTGTGTTAGCCCTGCATAATAGCTATTGATCTGACATATAATCAACTTTAAAGATACCACTGTCATTTCTGTTGGCTAGAAATTATGCAGTGAAATTCAAAACACTCTTTAAAATATGTTTATTTTATGAGAAACTTTGAATTGCATCCAAAATGTTGACCAAAGGGGAAATTTATTTTGAACTGCAGATTTTTTTCAACCCAAGAGTACTCTGAAGTCATGTCAGTGTTTACCTTGTTTATTTACAGTGACGAAGTACATGAAACTTAAGCTGTTTTTAAGTGGCTGATGTTTTCCCTATTTTCCTATGTTAAGTGAAATTAAATGAAAAGTATTTACTTTGAGCTGCAAATTTTGGAAAAATACTTAGTTCAAAGTTTTGCTTGAGAACTGATAGAAGTTACAAAATAATCTAGTGGGAAGGCACAGGTTCTGGTTACCAATTATTAATTTCAGAATGCAAACTAATACCTCATATTTTTTGATACATAGGGTACACACAGAAATTCTTATTATAAGCACAGCTATAAACTACACTGTGACTGTATTATAAAACACTTACAAAAGTTCTGAGTTTATAAACCAGTGATACTCTTTATGGACCAAAAGAAAATATGCACTTTATCTAAAGACATTCAGTTTTTAAATGCTGTGCCAATCGAAAAGCAAATACATATGAACATTCTCTTATAATTACATAAAATCAAAAGAGTGAAGTCATAGGCATTTCAGAGAGTGCACATGTTATCTGCTTTTTAATAATGGATTTGAATTAGAGTATTCTGTTCCCCGAAAGAAAATTGCAGGCCAAGTTACATTTTGAGTCATCGTATGAATATGTACCATGCCGTTTCCAAAAAACCTCTGCTAATTAAAATACAGTAAGATAGAAATGGCATTATTTGATTTAGGAAGAAAAAATTTACAAATTTTGGATTTCAACTTCTATTTGTAAATTATGTTAGTCATGGTTATATTTCTAATTCATCAAGGAAAAAACCACCATCTCTTTTGGTTCTATTTTTGACTTGTTATGATATACATTACTTAGATGAGGACTATGTTTTAAAATATATTAAATAGGCCATAGTATTTTAAAACCAATTTATAAAATTCATTTCCATAAGTTTCTCATTTTATTTTTTTTAAATTATCTCATGACAATAATACAATTATTCATCACTTCAATTCTTAGGCACTACCAGTTAAATAACAGAGTTCCAACTGATCTATTGTTAAAAAGACTAGTAAATGACCTTTTTATTCCAATTAACAAATCATCTGCCAAATCTATGAATCTTAATATTCAGATCTATTCACTTCAATTCATACAATTTATCTGCAAATAGTTGTTGGGCTTTTGATTCTAAATATAATTAGCTGATAATTTTGCTTGGCTGAATTACTTTTCTGGAGGGCCTGCAAAGGCTCTCAGTCGCATTATCTAGCAATAATGAATCTGATAGGTGAAATTTTTTACTGTAATGAGGATGAGACACAGTTGTGACACCTGAGTCTACTAATAACAGAAGACTGCTAATTATCGACAGCACTTTTTTGTGTGATGCAAGGAGAAAAAAAATCCCTCATTATTAAAAAATAAAAAGTTACAATTATAAGTGACACCGGAGGAGAGTAAATAAAATGGAGTGATTAAAACATTGCTGCTTTAAGGGTGTTTTTAATTAAGTGGAAATGCTAATGTTGTCATACTTAGCAGATGGGATTAAAATTAGTTATTGTAAGTAACTCATATTTTATGTTATGGTTTCCACAGCATGTCTACAAGATCTAAGAAAGTGATACATTCCATAAGACATTTTAAAAATGAAATTCTCATACTCTTTACAACTCATAATAATGAACATCATGAATAAACTATTGAAAAAAATCCTGCCAAGGATTTTACCATAGTGACTTAACTAGCAAGGAATGTAACCATAATGTACTGGACTGTTACAATCTCACTGATGGTATGCCTTTTGCTTTGCTGATTGTTGCATTCCCTATTTCAATCACACTCAACAAAAACAAAAGTTTGGTACTTGGGCATTTAGCCAACATCAAATGTGGTGTCAAGAAGGTAGGGCCTGGATACAAGAAAAGATCATGACCACCCACTAAGGTGATGTTCTAAACTAAAACAGAGGATGCATCACATAACTGCAGATAAAAACCTAATTGCACACTTTCTCCTACTTTATTTGTGTAAAATTTTCCATCTGCTACATCTAAAGATGTCTAAACTGTTAGTATCAAACCTGCATTCAGCTGCCAGCTGTGCACATTAAGGATTGCAAAACACTAAGTAAATGAGCCAGCGTGAAGCCGAGTGGTAGTGGTCCATCTGCCCAGGGCTGTGGGGAGGGACCCTGGTACCTGGTCCTTTTCAGAGCCTGTGTTTGCTTCAGTGGATAAGAAAGAAAATTAGCCACATTTCTAAGTGTCTCCATTTACAATACCCAATTTATCTGCATTTTCCTGGATAACTTCTGTGTATCTGATGAGTATTCTTCTAGAGCAAGTTAATGGAATTCATCTCTTTTTGAAAGTTCTTTGGATACATTTTAATAAGGCCTCTTTAGAAATTATCTTGAATAGTTTGGCTGACAAGATTCTAACAATTTTTGGTGATATTCTGAAGGAGATTTTAAAGTAATCCTTTGTGAAATTTATTTCTAAAGGGTATAGAGTAAGTCAAATGGCTTTGACTCAATGATGCATGCTTTAAAGTCAGAAGACAAAGACTTAGAGGTGTTCTGCTTTCTCTCAAACATATACAGAAACACTTAGATATATCTGTATATGTATATTATATGCTATATATATATTACACATATACACATATTTGCTAGGAAAATGGAGGCCTATTTTTAATATATATGTGCTTGTTTTATGTCAATCTATTTAAAATTATTAGAAATGATTCAATTTTTGTCAGATTCAGTAAGGAAAAAGACCATTATGTTATTATGCTTTACATTCAGAAATTTTTTAGCAGCTACTCCCATCCACCTGAAGTCCATTAGACAGTGCTCATTTTATTCATTTATCTGGGGCCTTGCTATTCCTCATGTCCTCCTCCATGATGATAGGGAGGACATGATCGACTGTTCATGTGCACAAGACATTAACATCCATCATGCATTAATTTAATCATTTTTTTTTCCCAAAACCATATTAGATTCAGGATTTTGTCTTGATTGGCAGGTAATATATATGGGAGTTATAAGAATCCACACAGTATGTTCCAAGGGAGGAGGTTCTAATAAAAATTATGAATTCATTCACATCTCCACAACAGAAAGTTTAATTCAGGCTCTTGAGAAGACATCTGAAAGGCTGGCCCTTATGCCTTTATACGATTGTATGTGGGGGGAAAAATGAAACAAGTTCTTTGGATTACCTTAACAATCACCAAAAAGTATAGTACAGACAAAATAGGTGATAGTCAATTGAATTCCTTTTGATCACTGAATTTTAATGTATTATTTGAAATAACAGCGAACACACATAGTAAAACTGATTAGAGATTGCTTTATCACATATCACAAACAGAAAGAACTTACATTGCCACTCCAAAGAATTCATGCTTAGCTGTTGAGATGACAACATCAGCCATGCACAGTACTTGGAAATAGTCATCTTTGCTGGGTAAGTAGCCCCAGTGTAAGACAGAAGATCCCAATGCCTTTTTGGCCTCTGAAAAAATATCTTTTAAAAACAAGAAAAAGATATTCATCTATTTAATATAGTGTAAAATGATATGAGATGTCAGCAGTGTCTCATCTGAAGTTCAGGTTAATTAGCTGCTGCTTATTTTAACGAACTTCTTGGAGTTGTTTGCTTTTATAATCAAGGCACAGAAGCAGAACCAAATGTTAAGGTGCCAAAAAAAGCTGACAAAAGCAAAGGCCCGCCTCGCCACCCTCCCCCTAAATGAAAAGCCAACTGTCTGCTTCATAAAACTCGCTTAGCAGACACTGAAACAAAATGGACTGTAAAGTTCGTTAGATGAAAATATTAAAAAAGAATTAAGCTAATGGAGATAAAATTAAAAGAAATGAGGCAACAAACACATCACACCAAAAATGGCATTGCAGTGACAGCTAAGATTCCTAATGACGGACTGCATTCGGAAAAATTAAATGGCATTCCGTGCTTAAATTTCTTTGGAAAGTAATGATCCATGAATGATGCTCACTCCAGGCACTTAGAAGGAGTGAAAAAAGCAAAGTGTTCTGAAATAACAAAGAAATATGTGTCGCTGAGTGAAGGGAGGTTTAGACAATGCCACGGGAGGTCTTCTGAAAGAAGAGAGAGAAAGCCCCTCACTGTCAAAATGATACCTGCTCATCAGCCCTTTGAATGAAAATAAATGCACCAGTAATGTAATTTCACTTAAGCAAATCTTAATATTCCTTCTTAATCTAATTTTCAAGGATAAGGTGAAATTCCTACCCAAGGGCAAAGTTCAAATATTTAGAAGATAGTATTTTGGGCAGACTACTATTTAGAGTTCCTTTTGGGGGCTCTAATTGGCTTAGTTCAAAGGAAATCTGAAATAAATATTTCATGTGTCATCTATAATTTCCACTTTCTAAGTAATGTAGACATAACTATCAACGGGGATTTATTTTTTCATATCCTGAAAATGAGAGTTTAGGCAATAAATCCAAGAAAAGCTAACAAGCCTAGAAGAAATAAAGGCAAGCAGCAGTTAAGAAGAGCTTGGTCCTGGTTAATTTTAGAAATTGTAAAATACAAAGTTTTCAAGATATGAAAACATGAAATTACAACTAGGAAGGAAGGTGTATGCATGCGTGTAAAACCATAGAGAAAGACACTCATTTTTGTGAGACTCACCAGTCGACAAGGTCTTGGGTAAGATAATTCAACCTAAATTGAGTGCAGTCATCTATAGTGTAAAAGCAGCAATTATGGGGGAAATGTAATTACCAGATAAATTCCCCCCTTAAATAGTTGCTAGAACCTAAAGAGTACTGTCACTTTCAGTAAATGCCCCTTTAACCTTCTTTGTGCTATGGTTGAGCCCTCTCATCCTACAGGAGTGTGGACATTCTTCCATACACAGAACTTTTATGACAAAAACATTTTATAGAGAGAGAGTTTGGGTGATTTTTATTTCTTTCTTTCTTTTTTTTTTTTTTTTTTTTTACGTTTCCACCTGACTCAAAGGTGACTGTATCTTGAATCTATTCAACACTTAAATCTTGCTGACTCACTTTATAATCAATGGGATAAAGTTAAATACCAATTCTTAAATCAGGTCTGTCTGGGCAACACCTTATCATCAATTGTGCAGTGGAAAGAGGCTATGAGAATAACAAAGCCAAGGGAAATCTTTTTTCCCCTTTAAGTAGTAGTTTCCTCATCTAAATCCAACATTTAGGGTTAATATCCCTTTACTAGTTTAATCAATCAATAAGCAATTATCGAACACCAACTATGTCCTTAGTATCTAGCTAGACACTAAACGTTCTATTTTTCTAGAATCAATGTAACTTTTAAGATATGATAAAATGAACTGTAAAGCATTATTTTCTGTTATATTTTTCAGTTAATGAAGTTCATAAAATGAACATCAAGAAACTTAACTCATCAGTTGGTACAACTTTCATTCTCAACACCATCAGTCTGACATTTTTTATAAGCACTGAACACAGTTAAAATGTACTGTGGAAAAAAAAAACACTTGCTAAATTACAAGGAGCTTTGTGGGAAGAAAGATAATAAAACCAAATCAGAATTCCTGATTTTAGTTTATTGCTAAGAATTTTCACTGAGTAAAATGGTACAGTTTGATTTGGCATTCTTATAAAGTGGAGATAATATCTGATCCTGGAGGAATGTCACAGAGTTAAAGGAAATGTATATGAAGCACCTAGCACAATGTGTGGAACATACTCAGCATTCAATAAACAGCAATTTTATGGTATGTCAAATACATTAATCTCAGGAGTTTTGTCATTACAGTGATAATTATCGTACAGCTAAATATCTTCATCTTCTTACTTTAAAAATACATAAAAATGAACTGCATTTGCTTTTTCAGATCATGTAAAATTAAAACCAAAGCAGCAATACTTTGAGGTTATAAAATATTTTTTTGGTAAAGTTAAAATCTAAATAAATATATCAAAATGGATATATTTTATATATTCACAAATCAGTAATATTTCTATAATGATTTTGGAAAAAGCCGAGTCAATTTAATTAAATGTGTACAACAGTATACCTACTTTGTGCAGTGTGCTATATTATGGTGTTTTTTACAATTGTGGCTAATGGTTGTGAAATCAATTTAGAGCAGCATAAAAAGAAATTAAATCAGAAAAAGAAAACATCAGAGTGCGTCAAATGTAGTAAGAATATGTATTATAAAAGCCTTGTTTCAATTATAAATATGTCTACATTAATAGGTATACTGAGCCACAATGTAAATATATATCTTGATGTGGATCATGGTCAAAAGTTTGAAAACACAGCTGTACTAGGATCTTTGGGTCATATCAGGTTGTGTCAGATACAACTGCCATTATTCTCAAGAGCCTTCTATTATTGAAGTATGTATGATAAGTACACTGCAAAATGCCAACAAAATCTCATGGACATTCAAAGAGAGGAGGTAGTACATGTGTTTGAGAGGCCTGGGAAAGTGGGTGAGATGACTCTTGGAAGATGGGTTGAGCTTTGACAAATAAAGGAGGAGGGAGGGGCACTGGATGGTGAGATATGAGCCATCTTCAGGGAACACTGACTAATCTAGGCTACAGTCCAGGATATAATGTTCAAGGATTGAAGTAAGGCTAGGAAGGTAGCTGAAACCATATCAGGAAAGTCAGAACAATGAGGCTGTACTTAATGTGATAAGATCAGAAGAGAAGGTGAGATACATGGGCTCATCTTTAGGAGTGTTTTTAGTCAGCCTCACAAAGACCTAAAGATAAACTCAACAAGAAAGAATAAAAGCTCCCATAGGATACTTGAAGGTGAAGAACGAGTGAGAGGCAATGACAGGATAAAAAACACACACCAGGGTAGCTGGAATAATTGCTGTTGGCAGCACAGGTAGACATCAGAACGGTGAGGAATAAAAAGTGTTTTCAATATACCTTTTTAACAAATCTGCACATGTAACCCCCTGAACCTATGATAAAAGTGAAAAAAAAAATACAGGTAGAAAACAAAGTGTATTGAAAAAGTATAATTATTATGCTTACGGGTTTCATAATACACATTTCAGAAAGCGTCACTAAGTAAAATCCCCTTGCGGGTGGGAATTTTAAGTCTGCATTTTAAAAGCTGAGAAATCTCCAAGGTCCCTTCTAGTTCTATCTTCTTTGGAATGACTTTATTTTACAGATGAGTAAAGTAAGGCTGAAAGAGGTGACATGGCTAATCAATGGCAGAGCTGGAACTAGACCCTGAGCCTTATAAATTCCAGGACAGTGTTCATTTCATGGCAGCATATATCTGATGGTTTCCATTTCACAAATGTAACAATTTAGCCAAGGAGAGATATAGCTGGAAAAACTCACTAGTTGGATCCAGATATTCATACTCATTCCCTGTTGTGCTGCTTTCTGTCAGAGACTCCTGTTCTGATAGGCATTGCAGGAAACAGGAATATTAAAACAAGCAGGCCTTCCCCCATAGTCTTTTACTGGGGAAATATTATTTTGACCATACCACACTCCAAATCATGACCATATACAACTATAGGAACTGAAAACCAAGTATAGCAACTACATCCTAAGAGCTCCCATCAACCCTAAATCTCATATGCCTTTACAGGCTTTCAAAATTAAGGTCTGTTTCCAATTTCCTATTTGTCTAGTAATGTCGATCTTTTCCATTAATTAATTTATTTTCCTGTGTCTTTCCCAAGTACACATTTCTCAAACTTTGAGGACAGCTTATGAAAATGACAGAGCATTTTCCCTCAGTGATGTTTTCATATTTATAATTTTTGAGAACAATTTCTTGAGAGATGTTTTGGGAGCTGTATTCCAGAACTCATTATCTTCATGGTCTTCCCTGGTAGGATGGATAAATGATCTTGCCTTAAGAGTGGCAATGGATCTTCTGGTTTCAGTAGAAAAGATTATTCTACTTACAGAAGCTGCAGGAGTAGACTTTAAGCCCAGGGACTGGCATGCCTGGGAGTGATCCTAGAAAAAAATGGATTCTCACAGGACACATTGAGGAATGAGAGTGAGTTGTTACCAGTTACTTGCAGCTGGTGAATGTTCTGAGCATTTGGGAGGGAAGGGTATCAGCCCAGTTAATAAGCCTTTCCTGAGAAAGGAAAAGATAGCTTCACAGGTACTGAATGGGAACCTCATCCTTGTTAGGGTATCAATAAAAGCTGGGCCAGGATAGCACTCCCACCAGGAGTGCTGCAGACTCCTCTTCTGTGGGGCTGTTTCAAAAGTTCTACTCTTCACCTACAAAGTGCCTTCCAGTCAGTTATACCATGGCCCTATTATGGCAGCCAAGTGATAAGTGATATATATATCACTATGGTGCAGTGTGATACATGCTTTGCAACTGATGGAATGAGTATAGATGCCATGAAACAATAGGAAGGAAAGAGAAGAGGAAGGTATAGAGTTGGGATTTTGCCAGGTGGAGAAAGGGTTTGACTGTGTCTACATGGGGAGGAAGAAAGGAATTTAAGCAACAAATAACACAAGACATAGAGGTGGGTAAGGGCACAGCTGTATTCAGGAAATGGCAAAGATAACTGGAATTCATGAGGAACTAGCCTAGGGTGAGATTTTGAAGAACCTCCCCCGCTATAAAGGAAATTAAGTTCATCCTGCAGAAAATCTGACACAAACACTTATTATTGTTATACTATTATGATTATCTTCTTGGATGTTCTAGGTTTAGAAAGAACACTGATAATAGCAAGTGGATGAACTCAGTGTCAAGGTATCCAGAGTCTGGGAGACTAATCTGAAGCCTTTGTAGGAGTCAAGGGCCCAGAAGAAAAGGGCAAGAACTGGAAAAGAGCCAACAGAATCAGAAGGAGGCATGGGATCAAGAAAGAATAGGATCTTAGTTACCTGTTCACTATGGGACAGTAGAGAAGAGAAAGAGGCAAGAACAACTTTTGTCATTTGTTTTTTTCCTTCTTGGAATTATTTCCATGGGATACATTTCCTGTGAAATGTCTGAGTTAAACAAAGGGTAGAGTAATATAGTTCAGGAAAAATAATGTGCATCACCATCACCATACATGCAGATGTTGCCCCACAAGTGGGCTAGTCTTAGTTACAAGTCTTTACTTTTATTGTTTTGTTCAATGCAACTGCTCGGTCATAATTTTTTTTGTATTTATATGTACTTCATTACTGGTAAAATTAGAGAGTTTTCCCCCCTAAAATTTGATTTAGTATTTATTTCTTCTGATATTATCACCTCTTTTGTTTATTAGCTGTGTGACCTCAGGCAAGTTATTTAACTAAAGCCTTAGTGTCCTCACCTATACATAGGGGAAAGTAATTATACTTATTAAGGGGATTGTTGTCATACAAAATGAGATATCAGAGTAAAAGCCTAGCCCTGGCTTGGTGCAGAGTAAGAATTCAGTAGATTACTGTACTTATAATAATGTGTTGATGCTATTGCAAACCTTTACTTATAAATGTATAATTTGTTGTTTTATCATATAAACATTTATTTTATTCAATTAACTGATTTCACTAAGAAAAAATACTCTGTTTTTGAGCTGGGATAAGTGTATTAGTAAATTGTGTTATCATAAGTTTGTGGGCTCTTAAATGTATATACAAGTTGTATTTCTGCTTCTCCATTTCTGCCTAGTTTTTTTTTTTTACTTTCATATTTTAAATCTCTATGGTACTCTTTGAAAAGTTCTCACTTCATACATGTTCTGAATTTGGTAGGACATGTTTTCCTTCATGATTCCTTTGCTAGTTTGCCCTTTCATTTACTTATTTTGTTCAGATTTTAGAACCACTTTGTGAGGATATGTAAAGTAATATTCTGGCACCCTAATTGGAGTCTTGTTAAATTCATAAATTATCTTAAGAGATACCATCATTTCTATTTAGCATGTATTCTTTTTCTGTCAGGAGCTTATATGCCTACCTTTAATTGAATCTTCCTTACTTTTCCCATTATGTTTTGTTGTTTTCTTTATTTCAGCAAAGGACTGGGAGACAGAAGCCTTCAGTTTGAATTTCAGATTCTTGAAGACTAACTTTCTCAATCATATTCTCGGGAAAGTAACTATGTGTTCATTTCTAAGAATCATGTGAAGATGGCTCTGTCTACTGAGAATCGACTTCAAATGCATGCTACTAAAATGGAGCTAATATGCGTCATTTCCTCAGCTATAATTTGGGGAGGTTAATACTTGTTAAATCACTAGACTGCTATAAGGTTTGCCCATAAACATTGTAAATAATGTATTCAAAATTATTAAAATGTTACAATATAAACAAGAATGTGATATAATAAAATGTAATTATATAAACATTTTTGTTTTCTAATGAGCCAGTAAGATTCCAGAGGGGAGGAACCATGTCTTCATCTCTTGGTATCCACAATACTTTACATGGTGCTAGACCATAACAGGAACTCAGTAAGTAATTATATGTTAGGGAATGAATAATGATAAAAAAATTATAAGGAAAAGGAATAGGTTTAGGGAATGGTATGGTCTGGAGAAAAATGAGTTTATTCAATCTTACTAGTACATTAACTTCATCTCAATGTATTTATCTTTTGTTGTTTTTTTGAGACAACAAGGTCTCTCTCTGCCACTGTGCCTGGCCTAATCTTCTTATAATTCAACATTTATCAATACATTAGTAGCTTTCCTTTTGCTAGGCTCTCCTTGTGACAAAATTTTACAACTTTATATTAGTGTGATGTATGTTATTTGTGTCCTAGAACCTTTCTAGTATTTCCCCCTTAGTATAGCTGCTCTGATGAAAATGAGACAGGAGCTGGGAGCTGAGTGAAGGAGAAGATGGAAGTGGAGGGAAATGTTATATAATTATCCAACATTTGACTCCAGAGCCAAGAACCAGAAATATGCCAAGATCATAGTAATAACCATTGTCATACCAGATACTAACCAGAAGCTTTCCATATACTGTTCTTAACCTCAAATTAAAGGTGAAACAGAAAGACTTCTGTCTGCGAAAACCATAGTTCAGGTTTTTGGTTTCCTTGTAACCTTTCTGGCTGCCCTAATGTCTAAAGCTAAAACTCCTTTTCCCACCATGTCTGCAGCATGGAAAGAAGAACGCTTGTTTAAGTCTTTGGCAGTTCACAGAAAATAATATTTTGTTTAGAATTACCATTTGTGGGAAATTATTAAGTACACAAACACATTCCACTTATTTGATATCTTAAGCATTTTGTTCTTCTTCTTTTTTTTTTTTTAATAATCTCAAGGGCTAACAATGTGACCTTATCATGAGAATTGGCCAAAACTCAAATATTTGCATTGAGGAGCTTCTAGGCTTTTTGGTTCATTTGTAATATGGAGTCTGATGCAGATGCTTTATGTAGCAGAATGACCTTTCCAATTTTCTGAATAAAAACAAAATGAACTTTTAAGGTACAGGATCATTCATGTCTCCTATGGATCCAAAATGTATTAAAAACTCATTCCATGTACAAACTCTGGAGGCAAGTCCATGAGTCCTATAATAAAATCTGCATAGTAGTTTAGATAGCACTTTCCCTCAAATTATCTAATTGTGCTGAAATCCTCATTATAACTCACTGAAGTTGATAGGGCAGGTGATTTTATTATTATTTCCCTTTCCCATCTCCTCCTTTTCATTGCACAGATGGATGAACATGAATTAACTTAGAAAGCTTCAAGAGACCCAGTCCCAAGCCTGGTTTGCTGAGTTCAATTCCCACAAATCAGAGTTTCTCAATCTAGGCACTATTGACATTTTAGGTTGGATAATTATTTGCCGTGGGGGCTGTCTGGTGTACCACAGAATGTTTAGCAGCACCTCTGGCCTCTACCTACTAGACGCCAGGAGCACCACCCCATTGCACAACAGTTGTGACAGCCAAAAATGTCTCCAGACATTGCCAAATGTCCCTGGAGGTGGAGGTGGGAATCTCTGGTTGAAAACCACTAAAAGCTTTTCAAAATGCCAAGTCACCTGCAAGTGATAAGTAACTCCATTTCTACAGAGACTACCTCCACTTCATATCTGCTGTGCTTTCCAGGACATAGTTGCTAGATGCGTCTTCAGATACCAGCTGGGTTGTTTCCAGCAAGAAGATTACAGGCAATGAAATAGTTGTCCCTTATCCACAGGGGATGAATTGCAAGACCTCTATTGCATGCCTGAAACTGTAGGTAGTACTGAACCCTATATTTACTGTTTTTTTTTCCTATTCATTTCACATGAGTGGCCAGGAATTTCTCACCGTTATCAACTCCTGCTTTCTTACCTGTAAAACAGGGATGATTCTGTGAATTTCCCTGTAGAGCACAGGCTGAGCACTTGCCTTTGAGGTAGACTGATTGGGTGGTTTCAGGCGAGTGACTTAACCTCCCTGTGCCTTACTTTTTTCAGCTGTAAATGGTAATTCCAACAGTGCCAATTCACAGGGCTATTGTGAAGACTACATAAGGCAATGCATAAAGGGCTGAGAACGGCATCTAGCACATGCTATGTGCTCAAGAAATGTCAGTTCTATCATTTTTAAGGAATGTTCTATTAAGTGATGAACAAAGCACTGGAGTGGGACTATAAGTTTCAAATGTCACAGAACATGTCTACTTCATTCACCATTGCATCCTAAATGTTCAACAGTGCCTGGAACAAAGAACGTATTTTAAAAACATTTATTGAAAAAATGTAGCAGTGACTAGGGCTGAGGAAAACGGACTCCCAGGTTCTACTCCAAACCCTGCCACTATCTACTGCCCATCTCACCCACTGCGCCCAGCAGTGAGGCCTTGGGAAAGTCACTGATTCTAGATCTCTCATCTCCTGTAAAATGAAGGGATGATGCAAAAGATCTATAAACTGTAGCACTATAAATTGTAACTGACACTCTTAATTCTACTATACATTTTAGGAAAAAGATTACAAAAACTTTGTAACAACATAATTTTTGCTTGAAAACAATCAACAGTATAGAGACTCTACAAAGTTGCTGAGTTATAGTTTTCAAAAGAAATTTAGTGATGATTGTTTGCTTCATCAGAAAGGGCAGTAAAACTTGGCACTAATGCCATCACTCAGTGGTGTGCCACTTTCCTCCCAAGAGTTCTGTAGAGAGGGAAAGAAAACAAAGCTGAAAACAGAGTAATCAATGGTCCTGCAGTGATACATTAAGCCTTTCTTGGTTTTCCAATCCTTCTGGCTTGTATGTGAAAGAGAAATGCTTGACTCACTTATAGGCAATGTAATCAAAGTGACTTAAGCTTTCAGAGTCTGTTTCCCTACCTATAAAATGGGATAGGGTAATACCTACCCTCAATGGGAGTATCATGAGCATTACATAAAATAATCAGGCAAATGGCCAAGAAAGAAGCACACTTTCAATTAATGGAAGTTATTAATAGCATAATAATAATTGCAATTATTTGCAAGAGAACCATATCCCTACAAATGTTAACAGCGTTAAGAGTAATTCTTCTGGCTAGGTATCACATAGTATATAATTTTTTTTTTTTTTTGAGACAGAGTCTCACTCTGTTGTCCAGGCTGGAGTGCAATGGCATGATCTTGGCTCACTGCAACCTGTGCCTCCCAGGTTCAAGTGATTCTCCAGCCTCAGCCTCCCAAGTTGCTGGGATTACCCGCGTGCACTACCATGCCTGGCTAATTTTTGTATTTTCAGTAAAGATGGGGTTTCACCATGTTGGCCAGGCTGGTCTTGAGCTCCTGACCTCAGGTGATCCACCCACCTCGGCCTCCCAAGGTGCTGGGATTACAGGTGTGAGCCACTGCACCTGGCCAGAAATGATAATGTAGTACCCAAAGAGACATCAGACAAAGAAATGCATGCCAGCTAGGTAATCCTTTTTGTGGAAGCGCTAGATAAGAGATTACGAATGCTGAATGGTGAGCTGGGGAAAAATTAATGTTTAAAGTTAGAGAAACAGTTGGGTCAGAAAAAAAGAACATGAAAAAGCAGTATACCTCAGTGGCTAAAGCACTACCTAGCTGAGTGGCCTATTTGTTTCTCCACCTGGGAAAAAATGGAGGTAGCAATACTGAACAGGATTGTTATAAAGGATTACAGAGTTAATATTCATGAACAGCTTAGAACACCTGGAATACAGTAAATGCTATCTAAGAACCTGTTACATAAACTAGAGGGGTGACAATAATGGCTGAAGTGATACAGAATGGCCTGTTAGGAAGCCTTTGTTGTAGAGACCAGCAAAGCGGCCTTCTAAGGGCACAACCTGGAAAGTTACCAGCTCTTTCATCCATTCCACACCTGGGCTCCTCCTCTGTGCAAGATGAAGTGCCATGGCCGTGAAGACTCAATTCACATTTGAAATGGTAGAGATGAACCAGTGGCTGAGGCAGAAAAAAATCTCTGTTGCTACTAGGAGTAACAGAAGCACGTGTATAGACAATATGCTATCCCTTCCTGTGGGCTTCCACAGTACTCTCTGTGTATTTCACAGCATCCCAGTTAGACAGAGATCCCTGAGGGGGAAACTGAGTGCTGTTCACTGTGGAATCCCCCCTCCACAGTGCTCAGTAAGTATGTGTGGAAGCGAAGCCAAAGTGAGCAATAATTACTCACCTGTAATTACTGAGCACTAAGTACTTGGACCCCTAACTGCTCCACACCCTATTTTCAACCCTCCATATTGCTCTAAATAACTCAAGGTCAATGTGTGGGAGAGGAGAGATGTAATCCCAGAACTTAGGCTTTTGAGTAAAAACCGAGTCTTCTTTGTAGTGGTGGCCTGAAAGTACGCAGTGGTAAGACCAGCTAAGAAGCCTTCTGATGGGGGGAATTTCCTCCAGCATCGTTTCTCAATCCATCCACAAACACCTCAAGGCTGGTACAAACAAAACTGAACTTATGAGCTTTGCAAATGAGCTGATCTTTTCTTTCCTTCCTTCTGTATAGCCACCCATCTATCAAATTCTCTTCTGTGCTTTCCTTGAGAACATCCCTCTCATACAGCCCTCTCACTAATCTCTCTGCCAGCACCTTACAGGATCACACTGGGATTACTACCAGAGGGTCTTACTGTGATTCTGTCTACATATCGTTGCGAGACACAGCTTCCTAAAATACAGGTTTCATCATATTTCTTTCCTGTTCAAGATCTAGGCTCCCTATTCCTTATCTTTACCCAATCTACTTTGGTTATCAAGCTCCTCCATATTTGGGCCCTACCCTACCTGTGTAATGCACATACCAACTTACTTACTAAGTCTGCATGTAGAATGTCCTGTTCTGTTTAATGACCTCACAGCACTCATCATTGAGGTTTTTCTCTCATTTAATCACATTTTCTAAAATGTTGGCTTCTTGTGCTTTGCCCATGTTGTTTCCCCTTTTGGAATAACTTAATCCTTCTTTTCTGGCTATTCAAGTACCAGCCCTTCAATTAACACTCGAAACCACCTGTGTGGCTTAGATAATGTATAATTATATTATCTTGTGTTTCACCCTCTGTTGCCTATGTGTAGACATAAGTGTTCCCTTCTCAAAAAAAAATTATAAATTTCTTGAGAGCAGGGAGTTTGCATTATTTTTACTTATTTGTCCAATAAATATTCACTGAGCTCCATCATTGTGTCAAGCACTGCAATGGGCTTTGGGGTACAATGATGAACACAACAGATACAGTACCTGTCCTCATAGCATTTACATTCCAGTGTGTATGGGCCATGTGTGCTTGTGTGCATACGCGTGAAAGAGATGAAAAAATTTACACATAGATAAATTAAAAACTGAGGTAAGTACCATGAAGATGAAGTATGGGGTGCTGAGAAATCATGACAAAGCTTTACAGCGAAAGAAAATGCCCCTGAGCTGAGATCAAAAGGATAAAATAGAAATAAACAGGCAAACGTCCAAAGGTCTCAAGAAGCCTGGTGTCTTAGGAGAACTGGGAAAAGGTCAGTATCCACAGCTGCAGCGGGCAAAAGATGAGCCATATGAGACAAGGCTACTGAGATGCAGGCTGGGTGTAGTTCTTGACACTGTACTAGAATCAAGAAGCACTTGCTAAGTGAAAGTAAACTTTAGGTGTTCCTTAGGAGTCATAATGCACAATGGCAAAGGTTATTTCTGAAATATTGTTGCTTGTACATTTGATTTTTCAAATAATGCTGAACACCCAAAGCTTAAAAGACATGAATACTTGTATAACTTGTGTGCTTATGAATCCTCATTTTACTGACCCAAATGTGAACTGTGAGGATGCAGGGTGAAGGAAATGGCTCTTTGAAAAGGCTCCGTGTGGCATTAATAAAGAGAGGATCTGCTGCTATCAGCTTCCGATTTTTGTCTTTCTCAAGTTCAATAAACAAGGCATGGACCAACGACAACTATGACATGGACTATAGTCCATTCCACATTACAAGTTAGATGCCAAAATGCTTTACATAGGCCACCTAACAGATGGTAATATATTTCAGCCAATACCAATGTGAGCAGGATTCAAACCAGTGACCCCAGAGGTGAGAGGTTGTATATCCAATTACAAATTCCCACTTTCCTTAAGTGTTAAGATGCCTAAAGCAATATATTTTATTTACATCAAGATGCACTGTATAAACTATATTTGATCAAAGAGATGACTTCACGTTCTCAACTTAAATCAAAGAATGCTTACTTAAGTATTTTTTTAATTGAATCAGACTTTAATGCCATCGTATAATCTTTTGGTTAACAGTGCTCATCTTGATTATTCTAACAAAGGGAAACATGGAAATTAATACTTACGTTGTAGAGCTTATGTCATCTATAAAAATACACATTAGAAAATTCAACAGAGGTACCTGGGACATCTGTGAAGGTTTCTCCAAGTACAGACACGTGGAAATTGAGTCCTAAGTCTTTAAGATGCATTAATACCTTAAAAAAGCTTTCTGGATCTTTATCATGCTCCCTGGAAATAAACACACAAAATATAACTTGTGTTACCTTAGGGCATGTGTTAGGAAAAGTGGTTTCACTTCCTACAGTATCAATTTTTTTCATGGTCTACTGCTGGTTGGGGAGCCTCTGGTATCCAAGTGGAGATTTCTTCCTATAACTTCACACTATAGCATCAGCAATATTTTCATGTCCACAAACTTGTCTCTTATGATCAGAACCTAGTCCTATTGAAGTTTTAAGGCTCTGCAGCCTTAAAGGACAAATCTGTCTTTTCACATCTTAAGGCTGGACTACAGAAAGTATAGTGTATTTACTCTTCCCTAAAATGGTTAATTTTCTACTTAACAAAGGTTAAAAATAAACTTTTTTTTTTTTTTAATGTAAGAAAAGACCAATCTTCAAAGGCTGACTCTCCAATGATCATGAGAATGTACCAAAGATGCTTTTCATTTCCATAGGTCTGAATACCTTCCTCTCACATTTACTGAGCTCCTTTGTGCCCACAAGGAACGCACAATTTAGGGAGATTAGAGACCCTCTCACTAATCTCTCATTTTAAGTAATTGAATGGAGAATTATAAATACATCAAAAGGAGGTAGGTCTGGGTCTATGTCCGCTGAGTATTAACTTAGGAGTGGAGTTATGCCCATATAAAAGAATAGTAATAAAGATAATTCTTTCATTTAGTAGAGGCTTTGGAACACATGGATTATTTTTTTTTGTTTAGCTTGTCAGTCTTCTTTGTAAATGATAGAATGAGAGGCTAAAGGACACTAACATTTTTAAAAACTCTACAATTAAACAAATCACATCAAAATGAAATGAGTTTTTTTTAACATCCTAAGGTGTGAATATTTCAGTATTTCTTGCATTTAATTACACTGTTTTAAATTATCTTATTTCAGACAGATGTGGACCAGATGTCTTCAAAATATTTGTTTTTTATTTATAATTCAGAATTTTAGCTTCTTTTTTACATTATGAAAAAATAGTTATATATCAGCAATTGAATTTCTCATTTACTAATTATGTAAAATAAATCTGTAAATTGATCAAACTGCTATATGAAATATGAAAATTACATCATTCAGGAAATCTCATGAAAAATGACATCTGCAACCCTAAATGTGTTAATTCACAATTCAGTCAATATTTTCAGTATCATGAATTAAAACAAATGTATCTTCTAATTAACATTTTAAAACAGCATTTATAATCTTATGAAATTGTAATATCTTACAGAATTAGAGTTCTATAGCCATTTAAGTTCTATATCTCTCAGTTTGATTTAGTTCAAATAATAAAGAATGCAATGGTGAAATGTTCATTGCTTTTTAAGATGATGTATTTTACATACATGTACCATTGGGAAGTTTCTGGATAGTTCTCACAGGTACTACTGCTACAGGCAAGAACAAAGACTCAAAACAGTTTGAAAGTAAAGAATATGCCATATGCCATCTTCAACCATATCAATCAAATAGCTGCCACCTAATCTATACAATGTTCTTTTAGTCTGATTCTCTAGGAAATACTTAGATGAAAAGATTGGAAACAATATAATATATCTTAAAGTGATAGTATCACCATAGGGAAATCTAGCCATTCAGTTCTCTAAATTTTTCATTTTGAGTTCCAAAATTTTGGCTATGGATACCTAAGAGATCTTATATTTTAAATATGGCTGGGTTTTTTTTTTAATTTTTATTTTTGGTATTAAAGTAAAAGTAGATGAGGTTTGGAGTTGGGAGGAGGTTTAATCGGGTAGAGCTGTAGTTCTTAAAAGATTCCAATGTGAATATTTTCAAAGCAGCAGGCTTTATAAACCTCAATTCTCAGTGTTTTTATACAAGATAAATGCATTACAATCCTGCCGTATTCTTTAGCTATTTCCTATAGGTGGACAAAAGCTTTCATATTCAATAGTTACTTTGCATAAGAACACAAAAGAGATTTGTGTGAATCCCCTCTTTTTGTTTAAACTGTAATATATGGCCAAATGTAAGGTGAGATTTTTTCATTCCCAAAGTTATCTGTCAGAAAAAGAGGCATTTTATACTAAAGTCCTTATAAAGTCTCTCTTATTAATACCAGGCACTGTCTCAATTATTTTATTTTAAACAAAGTACTGTTTAGGGAACATAGATTAGCCTGAAACAACTGATGAGAGTTTTGGATGGTTTTAGCAATCATTCACTTGCTGGGACTGGTAAAAACAGAAGCAAACGAATTTAATATTGAGTTGGTAATTATTTTAGGAGACATGACCTAACAATTCTAAGTGCTGGATGTTGCTGAAAACAAGTATTTTAAAGATCACTCAAAAAAGTAACAGTTAAGTGGTTACTGGAGATAAGTAGTAAGTGGGTTTTTTTTTCTTTTTTTGTAGTTGGGGAAAAGATTTCCATCATACACAGTTTCACAAAGTCCTGCACCCCAAGCTACTTAAACTCGATTCCAGATGACAGGTAGTGAAAACAGGCCAGCTGCCTGAAGAGGTGCCACCATTATGAACTCAAGAATGCATGGAAGGGGGAATTGGACCAAAACTCCCTCATGAAATTTAAGAGTGGGAAAAGAGCAATACTTCTAAAAATTATTACTTATAGTATGCTTTTAAAGTATTATTTATGTCTAAATTAGTAAATTACATATTATAAATATACAAGTTTATTTCATCTATGTCATGCAAACTTTAATATAATCAATTTAGTTGAAAAAATTTGGGGTTTTCTTTTTAGAAAAATGAGAAATTGGCCGGGCGCGGTGGCTCACGCCTGTAATCCCAGCACTTTGGGAGGCCGAGACGGGCGGATCACGAGGTCAGGAAATCGAGACCATCCTGGCTAACACGGTGAAACCCCGTCTCTACTAAAAATATAAAAATTAGCCGGGCATGGTGGCGCACGCTTGTAGTCCCAGCTACACGGGAGGCTGAGGCAGGAGAATGGCATGAACCCGGGAGGCGGAGCTTGCAGTGAGTCGAGATCGCGCCACTGCACTCCAGCCTGGGCGACAGAGCGAAACTCCGTCTCAAAAAAAAAAAAAAGAAAAATGAGAAATTGCCTAATATTCAATTATTAAAGATGTACACAAATATTTGGCTACAGCCACATATCAAGGCACGGATGACATTCAATGGCAGAGCTCAATATATTTTGTTTAGTAAAGAACTCATTCTAGCTATCTAATGGATCATCCATAGATTTTACCCCAGAGCCTATGACATTAATGAACCCATTTAGCATACTATGTGAATCTGTCTTAAATTCCTTTCTAGAAAATTTAATGTGAAACTCTCATACATATGATTTTAGAATAAAGCATTAAATACATAGAATGTAGGATTTAAAGATAATATACTGAGTGCCCCTTTCTGCTAACAGCTATCAATATTAAACATATGTACGGTAGTATGCCCAATTTGCTACAACCATATTTGCAGATTTATGGGCTCCTAAACACTCTTATTCTCATCCACTGCTGGTAGGAATATAAATTGAAACAATCTTTTAAAGGGTAATTTGATAATGTAAATAATAAGCCTTAAAATATAAATAACTTTTACCCAAGTATTGCAATTTAGGAAAGTTATTCTATAAAATAATTAAAGATGTGCACAGAAATTCAGCTAGAGTATGTTCATAGCAGCATTGTTTATAATGGCAACCATCTGTAAATGACCTAATGGAATGATAAGTAAATGTATTCTGACACACATATATGATGCAATACCATGCAGCCATTAAAAAAATGTTGCATAAATATACTTCTTGAAGTAGAAAAATATTCAAGAAATACTGTAAAGTAAAAGAGAGATGACAGAGTGGCATGATCTGTGTAATCTGTTTTTCTAAGACAAATGAATGTGTATGTCTAGGAAAGTTTGGCATAGGTATACCGAAAGTTAATGGAAATTATCTTTAGGGGTTGTTATGTTTCTTTCTTTCTTTTTGTTTTTTTTTGCATGTTTTCTATTGTTTCTTTAATAAACATTTTTATAGAAATCACTTTAATGCTTTTAAGAAATTATCCATCACTAATATTCTACCATAAAATTACTAGATTTTTTTGCTTAGCCCTGTAACATTTTCAGTATTTACAGCAGCATAATTCCTTCTTTCCTATAATCCCTATACATTTGACAGCTGCCAATCAAGACAACTTAAGTCTTCACAAAATATTCCAGAAGATAAGTCAGGGTCCAAGCTTCCCAACAAATTTCCATACTCTTGAGTAGGTAAGAATGAAACAGTCTGGCTGGGAATTCATTCCTCTGCACCACCACTATGGCAGAAGAGACCAACGCAGAAATATTTCAAGCTTACTGGAAGCAGTAGATACAGCAAGAACAGCTTTTATTCCCAAATATTATTCAGAACATTTGAAAAGCATAAACTGTTTCCATGTGTTTTTTATTCCTATATCTGTTCTCTCTCTCTGTTGCCTTTCCAGTTTAGTTTCTTAGAGCTAAATTTCTTCTTATTCGTCACTTAACATTCATTCAGTAAATATTTATTGAGGATTTCTAAGATCTCCATACTTGTCACTTACACTGAACTGTTATCCTTTCCTATTTTTCCACATAACTTCATACATATTGAATACAATCTCCTTAGTCTCTTCCCTTGCTTGGGCAGAACACTAGTTCTTTATGAATGCTATAGTGTTCCCAGGAGCATGTCACTCTGGCCTGAGGGCTCCATCAGGAAAGGATAAATGTTACTTGTTTTGTTTACTACTAAGGACCCAGTACCTAGCCAAGCAGTGGTAGATAATATTTGTGTTCATCAATATCCACTCATCCTCTCTTTCTGAGCACACAGAAGACTCCATCTTCATCTTCTTCCAGTAGTATAAGGACATTGGACTACTTCTGGCCAATGGAGTGATGTATGCCACTTTCAGACGAAAGTATCTAAAAGCAATTCTGGCTACATCTTTCTCTGCTGTGGTGGACCTTAAGATGTCTTGTGTTAAGAGGATTAATTTTAAAGAGTGATGCAGTCTGGGTTGCCACATGGAGGAGAGTTGCCCTGTAAAGCCACCTAAACATGCAGCAGACTTTGAGTAGGTGAGAGAAATATAGTTGGGTTGGGTTTAAGCAACTGAGATTTGGGGTGGGGGAGTGTCTTCATTACTGCAGCATAATGTGGCCTATCCTAACACATTATCTGTGGCATAAAATTAGCTCCTCTATAAATATTTGTTGAATAAATGAAGGTGTAGGAAAAGCAAGTTACATTTATAGAGCTCCTGTTACATTCCAGATTCCATGTTAAGCACCTGATCATAATCTTACTTAAGCCTCTCAACCAAGTGGTCATACAAATATAACTATTCCTTCAAGATCACACAGAAGAGACTGGGTCTGCATCTGAAATTACATCTAATCCTATGAAGTCATTTTCTTTTAGGCAGTTTTTGACTTTTTTTTTTCCTTCCCACATATAATCAGAGGAAAAACAGAGTTGGTGCCTTCAGCCCATAGTAACATTTCCAGATCATTAAATCATAAACATTCCTTAGTTTCTTGTTACTTGGGGTTCAAACTCATCGGATAATAGATGGCAATAAGGATATGGAGAAGCAATAAGGAATTATGGTCTCTCCAAAACAATGGTATCAAATTTCTTCACCTTTCTAATATTCTGCTAACCTTCATCTTTACTTCCCATTATGAAATAGCACTTCACTTCCAAATCCAGTGATGTGCTCCTTATTCAAAAACATGAGGCTTCTATTTACCACCCTGTCCTAGCTGTTAGAATTACCGACTTCTCCACTATGCTTTCGAGGGCCACACACTCTTCACTCCTCTCTGCATGCCTGACACACAAGGGATCAGCTTTGGTTTCCCTCCACGCCTGCAGCTTCTACTTCCCACGTGGTGTGTCATAGTGCTTTGAACGTTAATTCAGACAGTAGTCTCATTAGCCACTGATTTCTCAACTTCTCTGTCTGTTTTGCTCCTGCTCTTCTTTTCTCTCTTTTGGCTACTACCAGTGCTTTCTCTAACCCTACAGGTGCTCCTCACCATCATTTACTTAAGAGTTGACAAAGACCAACAACATCCATGTGGCTTTCTGCAAATGCTCACACTGCATTCCACCCTTTAACTTTGCTTTTTGAGGGAGGGTGGAAAGGACAGTCCAGAAAGAACTGGCTCTGCCTCTGTCTAGCAGTAGGCCAGTAAGACCAGCAGATACATTATATAACCGTGTGCAACCTCAGTTTCTTCATCCTTAAAATGGGGTAACAGTAACTACATTTAAAGAGTCTGTTGTGAGGAATGAAGAAATGTCTGGCACCCTGAATACAATACGCTCTCATTCTCTCCATCTTTTGTATTTGTAGTTATTTTAATGTTATAAATTTTAATCAATTTATTCCAAGTCTACTCCCGTGAATCCAAAGACATTCAAGATGGTAAGATGTTTTATTTTCATTGCTTCAGGAAAGACATGGGCTGGAGGAGAGGGGGAGGAAGTCCCTCAACCAAAAAAAAGGAGCAGTCTTCTTGGTGTTTACAGAAGCTAAAACCCCTTCAAACAGGTACAAATAAGTAGGCAAAATGCTATGAGAGTGTAGCATACACCCTCCTACACCGTGTCTCCACTCCACTTCCAGGCAAGAAACGCAAGAGACTGATGGAGAGGAGCAGAGGAGAACAGAGCTCTGAGAGTCCCAGAGGCCATGCACTATGCTTCTGGAGAAAGAAGCACGACTCCACAGAGTGAATGTCTGAGTCTATGTCACTACTAGGCAGACAGTACTGGAAAGAGCCTCGAGAGATTCCTGAGCCATGGTAGGCATAAAAGCGGAAGTGTGGCTTCTGTGAGTGTCACAGAAGGATCATAGAGCTGTAGGCAGACAGACAGAAGCAAGGGATCCATCAGCAATGGCCCATGAGGAATGGGGACCAGGAAAATGGAAGACGGAGAATTTGAACTGCTTGAGATTTCTATCATCATATTGAAATGGGCCATGATACAGAAATTAAGTTATCAAAAAATTAAATTCTATGTGTATCAGGGTTTCATGCCATCTGCACATTCATATTCTCAACTTTCTTTTTAATAGAAGGAGAGGTGTCTGTCTTTCAAAACTCAAAGTCCATGAGCACTCTAAGATCTTCCATTTTGCTTTTTTCTCATATTCAGTTTCCTTCCTAAAGTCTGTGATCCTACTCTTACTCCACAATTCGCCATTCATGTATTTGGCATCTTCAAAATACTCCTTTACCTGATAATACTTATTGACAAGAAAGTTTTCAATAATGTACTGTTTCTGGGTGACTTTTCACAAATCATTTCACCTTAGCTATGTTCCTCTTTCCTCATCTGGTTTTCTCTACAGCTTTGCTATTCCCATTCTCATTTTCTTGGATGAAAGTGCTCTCTAATAAAACCAATTCCCACCTTTGCCCTGCTTCATTCTCATGCTTGTTATGCTCTCTCCTACTTTTGACAACACTGACTGTAATGTTTGCTTAGATGTGATCCTTGCTTGGTTTCCAAATACTGTATTACAATGACATCCTAATGACCTTTTCCCCAGTTAAATCTTCCCACTCATTCCATCCTGAAGGCCACCCAGTGAGAACCATATTCACTAAATCATTTTTTCCCACTAGGTCCACTCCACAACAGATTTCTTCTAAATCCCTCCACTGCTAAAAGCTTAGACTCCCCAGGTTGTTTCTTTTCAGCAGTGATTTCCAATCTCACTGGATATTGTACACAGTCATTTTTATTCAGCTGTCTAACTTGCCAATGAATTCCCTTTCTCTGCAACTCTGGCCAGTAAGCCTGTAGAAACCCATGCCTCAAAGAACTGGTGGGCCATGAAGTGTCTTAAGACGAATTGAGTCTTCCCTACTCCTGGGATGTTACTTAAGCAGCAGTCACCATCCCACATAATTTAAAAACAGCACAATGTATGTAATTACTTCCTCTCAGACTGGGGAGACTCTATGGAACTAAACTTTCCTCTCTCCAAGTTCATTATTAAGTCTTTCCATTTTCTGTAATCAAGTTTCTTCTTGTCAAATGTGGTAATTGGGGCTGTAAATTCAAACTGACTAATCATTTGGATTTAACATTGTTTTCCTCCAAGAAACATGTAGGAAATACATTCAAAACGCTTACTAGTTATCCTGAGAGCTGCCCCAGCAGTCCAGTCCACCTCCTCTAGTTAGAAATTTCCCCAAGGTCCAGTTTAAGAGACTCTTTGATGTTTGCAAGAATTGTTGTATTTCTACCTCTTGGATAGAAAGATGTATAATTCTTATTTCCTGCTTTACTCTGACAACCAGGGAGCTTAAAACCATGTTCTAAAGTGTTCAATCTCAGCAAGTATTACATGGAAATCACAGCTCTGAAAAATACAGTAATGTAACAGAATTAAAAAAAAAAACAAAACCCTCACTGGATGGGCTCAGTGGTAGAGAAAGGATTATACAGGATAGAATCAGTGATCTTGAGAGTAATAGAATTTATACAATGTGATCAACAGAAAGAAAACAGACTTTAAAAAAAGAAGAACCAAACTTCAGGGACCTATGGGATAAAAACAGAAGACCCAATATATGTATTATCAGAGTACCAGAGGGGACTCTCATTTTTACAGCTGCACGTGAATCTATAATTATTTAATAAATATTTCAATTTTAACAAAATGCGTGTCCATTGTAATAAAATCCAAATAATTGAGAAATACATGAAATAAGCACTCAAAGCTCTCACTCCTCACCCTACCTGATCCCATTCCTCAAGTGTAACCGCTGCCAACTACTGTTTGGCGAGTAGGCTTCCAGACCTATTTCTATGCATATGCAAACATATAGATTTGTATAAGCATATTTTTACAATACCTTCCTCATTTTATAAACGAGATCAACGTCAGTCATGTAAATTGCATTTTCACCAAATATATAACAGAACATCTATCTACATCAGCACATATAGATATCTCATTTTAAAATAGTTCTAATACATTTCACAGTTTTTATATAAAGTAATTATCCTACTAATGGACATTTAAATTGTTTCCAATTTTTTGATGTTTCAAACAATACTAAAAGTGACATCTAGCTCTTTCTGTAACATTCAGACTTCTCTTTTCTGGAGTTTCTGTTTTTCCTGTTATCTAATAAATATAGCCATTCCAAATCTCTTAGCGAGGCCTCTTTTTTCCATTCCTATTGTGTTGATCCTCCTCTGGAACTAATCCATTTTCTTTCTTCTTTTTTTTCAGCAAAACAAGGTGCTTTGTTTTTCAAATTTTAAGTTCAGGGGTACGTGTGCAGGATGTACAGGTTTGTCACATAGGTTAACGTGTTGCCATGGTGTTCTGCTACACAGATCATCCCATCACCTAGGTATTAATCCCGGCATCCATTAGCTATTCTACCTGATGCTCTCCCTCCTCCCCCACCAACCCTCTGACAGGCCCCAGTGTGTGTTGTTTCCCCCCGTGTCCATGTGTTCTCATTGTTCAGCTCTCACTTGTAAGTGAGAACATGCAATGTCTGGTTTTCTGTTCCTGCCTTAGTTTGCTGAGGAAAATGGCCTCCAGCTCCATCCATGTCTGTGCAAAGGACATGATCTCTTGGAACTAACCCATTTTTAAAGTTTTACCTATTCATGTCTGTTACATTGTAAGTTCCTCGAGGGCAGAGGTCATGTTGTTGTTTAACCTCTGGTTCCCCTATCACATAGTCTAAAAAGTTAGTAAATTGAATTGACTCTAAATCTAGATCAAGTCTCTGTGGGTCTCATCTTTGTATTCCTTCCTCCTGTGTGTATTTTGCTATTTGTGTAATCAGATGAATATAGAGAATCTTCACTTGATGTCAATGACAACTCATTTATAACACTTAAAAACTAAACTGCTGTCCCTAATCAATTTATCACCAACCTAGCCATTTCTTCTTTCATAAATAAAGATTTGTTTGCTCAACTCCATTTTTATAGTACAATGTTTTCACGTCATATCTTAACATCGCTGAGCTTACGACTCCCTCTGCCAATCCAGCTTCCAAAAGACTGTTACATTATCCTTTCCAACATGATTTTCCTTCGATATCTCTTAACTCTACACTAACTAGAAACCATTAAAGTGAAATTAAGCTGCCCTATCCAACTTGAAGTATTTCCATCATTCTCATCCTCTCCCTCTGTGCTGTTTGCAACCCCATGCTCCTTTGCCCACAATTCTTGTGTTTGAAACACATTCTCTTTTCTTCTCTGCCACTCCTTGTCCACTACTTACTTTAAATTTGTTACTTGCAGTCATCCCTGAGAAATCCCATATCACTCTGATTTGCTCCTGCACTAACATTCATATACTACTGATGATTTCATGAATGTGTTCTTGTATATTATTTCATATTTATTTGTATGCTGTCTCTTTATAATTCGTCTGAAAGACCGACACATCAGAGAAACCCTCTGACTCCAGAAGTTGGCAGGTATTCAAAATACGGCTTTAGAATGAATGAATGAATGATAGCTGAATAGAGACATTTATATTTTTAAAACTATAGTAGGATAGGTCTATGAAATGACATGAAGAACCATGTTTTTTTTTTTCTTAAATGGAGAATTAAACATGGTTTGGAATTATGATATGCCGTTCATCAAAATGCATTTCAATTCTTAATAACAGGTTTTCATATTCAGTTGTGGACATTTTGTCATGTCTAGAAATGACAAGGTCTTCAATCAGATGGGAAAGAATCTTAATTTGAGAAGAAAAACCCATTCCGAAACTTGTTTCTGATTTTAAAAATGTTAAAATAGAAATGGACAAAGTCATTAATAAGAAATCCCTCCAACGTAAAGAAAAATGCTGACATTCTGTTTATGTTTTATGTCTTGTTTCTAGACCCATATGAGACTGCTGTGTTTTTTTGGCTGACACAGAGATCTCATAGAAGAGACAGTCTCCCTTACTCAGCAGCAACTGCTAAGTATACCAGATTGTCATGGCAAATGATTGTGGACAAGGGTGAACACAATATGGAATGTCTGTTCTATAAAGACCTGCTCAGAATGACATGTTCTTGTTGCTACATATGTTGTATTTTTTTTCATTTTATAAACAGAATTAATTACATGTCTCCTCTCTTCTGTATTCTTACAAATGGGATAAATCTCTATTACTCTACTGAGTCCCTTTCATGATATCAAAAAGAAAAAGTTCAGCCCCAAACCTTGTTACCCCAGTTTTTTTGTGGCTCCTTATTTCAGGTTATTAAGAACTAATCACATTAGGTTCTGAAGGTAGACTAAATACTTACATGGAAAAGAATAAGGAATTCTGAATATTCTAATAACATCACGTGCTATAAATTAACTACACTGCTCGAGAAAAGGTTCTCCAGAATGAGAAGCCTCATGAAACAAAGTCTTAATTAATTAAATATACTTACTGCTAGTGAGTATCGAACAATTTCTTTTCTTTTTTCTTTCTTTCTCTTTTTTTTTTTGAGACAGTGTTTCACTCTTGTTGCCCAGACTGGAGTGCAATGGCGTGATCTCAGCTCACTACAACCTCTGCCTCCCAGGTTCAAGCAATTCTCCTGTCTCAGCTTACCAAGTATCTGGGATTACAGGCATGCACCACTACGCCCAGCTAATTTTTTGTATTTTTAGTAGAGACGGGGTTTCACCATGTTGGCCAGGCTGGTTTCGAACTCCTGACCACCTCAGGTGATCCACCTGCCTTGGCCTCCCAAAGTGCTGGGATTACAGGCATGAGCCACCATGCCTGGCCACCAGAACAATTTATTTATAGCAAAGAAAAGAATAGATAGCAGAGGCTGAGTGCGGTGGCTCATGCCTGTAATCCCAGTACTTTGGCAGGCTGAGGCAGGTGGATTACTTGAGGTCACGAGTTCGAGAGCAGCCTGGCCAACATGGTGAAACGCCCTCACCTCTAAAAATATAAAAATTAGCTGGGCATGGTATTATGCTCCTGTAATCCTAGCTACTCAGGAGGCTGACACAGGAGAACCTCCGTGTGGTGGAGGTTGCAGCGAGCTGAGATCATGCTATCGCACTCCAGCCTGTGGGGCTGAGCAAGACTCTGTCTCAAAAAAAAAAAAAAAAAAAAAGAATAGATAATAATAGATAATAGAGAATAACCAATTACTTTAGATAGTGTATTTAGTGAGAGATCATTTTAACAAAATTGGCTTGCTTTAGAGATGTATATAAACCAACAGGTAGAAAAGAAGCTATTCAAAACCAATAATAAATTCACATATGACAATTTTAAATGTATATTTTTAAATCAGAATAATTGAAGTAAAATAGTTTACATGAACAATAAAGCTTAGTTGAAAGAGGGTTCAAATCCTAGTTCTCATATTTAGTATCTGTACTTGAGGGCAAACTACCAAATCAGTCTGAGACTTAATTTCCTCATCTGTAGCAATCTAATAACATTCACTTCAAGGAACAGTTGAGGGGATTAAGTGAAATGATGTATGTGAAACAATTTGCAGTGCCAGGCAAACAGTAAATATACAATAAAGAAAGGCTGTTATTATTATTATCATAATTGTTATTTTATTCTTCATTTACTGAATTGGAAATTTAAGAATCTTCTAGTGAGTTTTATAGCCACGATAACTGGTTAAAAAGTAAAGTTTGCTATACTTTATAATCAGTTATCTATAATAAACTGAAATGTGTCATTTTTGAGGTTTTTTTTTTTTTTTTTTTTTTGAGATGGAGTCTTGCTCTGTCGCCCAGGCTGGAGTGCAGTGGCGTGATCTCGGCTCACTGCAAGCTTCGCCTCCCGGGTTCACGCCATTCTCCTGCCTCAGCCTCCCTAGTAGCTGGGACTACAGGTCCCCTGCCACCATGCCCGGCTAATTTTTTGTATTTTTAGTAGAGACGGGGTTTCACCGTGTTAGCCATGATGGTCTGGATCTCCTGACCTCGTGATCCGCCTGCCTCGGCCTCCCAAAGTGCTAGGATTACAGGCGTGAGCCACCACGCCCAGCCGAGGTTTTAATGTTTACCTTGAATTATACATACTGGCATCTAAAGTATCAAGAGTTACATATGCAAATTACGTAGTGAACACTCAGTAAATCGCCATTTTTATTTATAACACAGTTACAAATATCATTTAAAGTAAAACTTTTATTTGTGTAAAAACATACATATGTCCATAACTGAATTTTTCTTCTCAGGATTGCACCTCTAATCTTGTCAAATGCCACCATTAATCCAGCCACCAAGCCATGATTAACGCAGTCACCCTCATATTAATCATCAATACTTGACCCAAATGTTAATTACCACCAAATATGTCTTTCTTTTCCTGATAAGGATGTTCATTATTCCTTCTCATGATATTTATAACATTGTACCAAGTCACCTTCATAGAAAAGTGACAACTGAAATTGGGGGAGTAAACTGTTATTTTCCCCTTCTCTTAGGACTTACCTCGAAGCAACAAAAACTAGAAATAGAAGTACAAACATCATCTTTCAGAACACTAAGATATCAAAAACCCTAAATCACACAAGAGGTGAAAAAGCTGCCAAAGATAATGAAGAACAAATAGATGTGCAGGTGGAAGTGGAGAGATGATACCCTTAGATTTTCAGAGAAGGTCAGCAGATGGTTCTCTAAGGGGAAGGGTACTCCTTGAGTGCAAGACCAAAAATCCTTCCTTAGCAGAGAATCAACAGGGATTGCAGGTTGCTGGTGCTAAGAGTTTCCCTGTGCCTGTGATATGGACAGGAGGCAGGGAAATACTGGGTAGAATAGGATGGTGTCCCTGTCAAGGGCTCCACCCTCAAGCCTGGACCTGTGGCCCAAAGTAAGAACTACCCCTGTTTTCCCACCTGAATGTTGCCTTTTGGCTCACCCTGCTCCCTATCCTGTGCCCCTAAGAACCCCAGACCCTAAACTCAGTGGACACACACACACAGAAGGGAGAAGTGTCTGAACATCGAGAGGAGAAGCAGCAGCTGGACGTTGGAGACTATGGTCAGAGAGGAGTTTGGCTGGGGATGGCTGAGCTCCAGGGAGAGATTACCTTCCTTTTCCACCCACTTTCCAGCTCCCCTTCCCACTGAGAGCCACTTCCACAACTCAATAAAGTCCTCCACATTTACCACTCTTTAATTCATTCAGGTTACCTGATTCTTCCTGGACGCTGGACAAGAACTTGGGTACCAAGAGGGCAGGGTGTAAAAGGCTGTCACCCTGACTCTCTATTGAGCTGGTTAACCTTAGCCATCTGCAGATGGCAAATGCTAAAAGAGCACTGATTGTAACACATGCCCTCTGGTGCTCTGGGGGTCACAGACACCTCCTCCTGGACAGCAGAGCTAAAAGAGCATTGTAACATGCTTGGATGCTGCCATGGGGCCTGAACAGAGCCTGACTCCCCAAGAAAGAAGCAACCGGCTGGTTCCAGTGTTCATTCACTCCAGTTCCCACACCCCCTGGCTTGTGTGCTCCCTCCCATAAGGGACTGAGCACAGCGGCTGAGTAAATGAGCCAGCCCTGTTGCAAGTCCCACAAAAGGGTCAAGGGAACTCTCCCATTTTACCTGTTTCAGTCTTGAGGAACAGAGCATGAAGTACTAAGGAAATAATCAGAAAGATAAGCCATTTTTTGCAAGAAGTAATAATCATGTTTTCCAGGAGCATTACACAAGTACATTGGCTGGTACAAGAAATAATTTTCTTTTGACTATGCAGTTCATTCATGTTCATGGAATAAAGTGGCACTGGAAGTTGAATTTCCCATATAAATCTTAAAATAAAAGTAATCTTTTAAAAGGTTTTAGAAACCAGAAGGGTTTAACTCAAATTTCATGACAATATATTTTCTTTTTTAAAAATGGAAACTGTACCATGCTTTCTAAATGAGAAACTTTATTCCAAGATTCAGTATCATGTGTATATTATATTAATTTACAATGCTATTTTCTTTAGCGAAATGCTCACATATAGAGAGCAGTATGTATTTAAGGAGCAGAACTAAGAAATTAATTGTTCATTTTTTAAGCATAGAGTTTCTTCAGTATTTATTCTACTTTTCCTTTATATCTTCATAGTTTTAATATTTTTAAAAAGTTATTTAAACTTAAAAGCTAGTGCATAGGTTAGTACATTTTAGATTTGGGAAGTATTTAAATGAGGTACAATTTTAACCATTTAAATTAAAGAAATTAGTAGTTTAATATCTTTGTTGCATTTATAGTACCAGTAAGTATTAAATGCCTCATATTGAGTGTTTTCATCTGCTAATTGGGTTCTCAGTAATAAATCCACACCAACTAGAGGTTTTAAGGGGTCTCCTCTTTACTTGAGTATCAATTACCTTTAGGAAGGATGCCAGGCAGACCAATTTTATATTCAAAACAATCTCTAACAAAACATTATGGTATAGCTCAAGGGTCCATTTAATTGGAATTATTTTTTACAGTGTATTATTTAAAATGTAAAAATTCAGGACAACACAAAAATCTCTTACCTCGTCAGAATTTTTGGCCTCAAAAAAATATATTCTTACCTGAAGTCAGGAATTCATTCGATGGAGGAGAGCTGAGCACCTCATGTGCCAGACAGGCTTTGTACAAGATATTGGAATACGTTCATAATTAATGAGAACAGGAGACGCTCCCCTCAAGGAATCTAAATTCTAATCAAGGAGAGAGGCTGCTCCCCTCTTCCACCACCTTCTATGATGTTAGAGCTAAGGAAAGTCAATTGTTCACCAAATCACATCTATTACTATTTACAGTGTCTGAAATTCTTTCAGTCTGGAGCCTTTTCTAGGTATAAGTAGTACCATCTTAGCAAGGTACTTAGTTCAAAGCAGGTTCATCCTAAATATTATTTGATGGATAGATGGTTAGATGGATAGGTGAAAATTCCCTTTTTGGGTTTCATTTTGGAAAAGCAGGACCTCTTTCAAAATGCATAAACCCTTGGGGACATAACACATTAAGATATTAGCAAAAATTTACACATTACTGTGCTTTAATCTAAAAATATACACATGTATGTGTGTATCTCCTATTCTTTTGGGACTAATTAACAGACCACTAAGAGAATGTAAGTTCAGATGGTTAAAGGAAGATCAGGAGGGGAAAATTTTGCAAAGCGATGAGTGTATATGGAGGGTAAGAATTGTGTGAAATATCAAACAAAAGGAAGTTTTGGGCACCTGGACTAGAGGTAAAGGGCTCACACCAAAAAGAGGGTAAATAATAAATAAAAGTGCAACTGGGCAGTGCCTGCTATGGAAAAACTTCCTCCATTTCACATTTGCTGAAGGCTGGTTCTTAAAATGAGGATTAGGTCTGCAACAGGTTACACATTTAAAATGGCCTCCAGTTGTGAGTCCTGGGCTCTGGCACAAGAGATGAGAGCTCTTTCTATGACCTCAAGTAGGGTCTAGGGATATCAAGGTGCCACCAACTTCACTGCAGCCCAAGTGTAGCCCCAAACACCAGGGATCATGTACACCAGACTATTCATCTCGATTTTAGAGTTGCAAATGGAAACATAAAGACAAACACTATTTCCATTTCTAGCTGAGTCTTTCTAGACTCCGTGAATACAGGTTCACATTCAGATTAAATCACTATTCTCCTTTGCAACATATGTGGCTCAGGAACTGGGAAGTAACATGTCTAATGGAATCCCTCTTTCAATTATCCTCACTTCCTCAGTGAAGCGTTGCCTGACTTTTCCAGGCAGAATTAGTTCTTCCTCTTCTGGGTTTTCACTTATTATGTTGTACTGCAATGACTGGGGAGTTCTCTGAGGCAGAAGTCTCAAAAGAAGTTATATCAATACATGTGTAGAAGGATAATATTTGAAGTATTAATTTGTTTAATGTGCTTCCTCTCTTGGTATTTCCTACTTTGCACATCCATTCCTCCCTTGCTTCCCAGCAATAAGGGCAAGGATATTGTATAGTCTCTGCGCTTAAGGTAGGGTTATTAAACAGAAATGCAATGAGAAGACAAACAATTATTTATTTCTACTTTAAAATCCTGAGGCTGAGTTCTAAACAACAGTTTTGAAGAGTAATACCAAATAGGTTTTTTCTCAACACTCTTCCTAACCCTCCCAACTTCCCGCAACCCCAAAAAACACAAAAAATCTGTGGGCTGGGAAAGGTGAGTTGGAGAGGTTATCGATACTCTTGATTGGACACCCAAGGCTGAAAACTGGGAAAAACAGGGTGGCGGAGAATCAGTTTGATGGAAGAGTGACCATGGCTTGTATCTTTTCCTCTAGAACCCAAGGAGGTAGCAGCTTTGCAGGCACTCCTGTGGCCACCAAGGCATGGGAACAATTGAGGAACATAAATAGCCTGGGTCAGGGAGTACTAAAAGCAAGCTTGCTGTTTTCTCAGGTCTATGGAAACAGGAGAGGAACCACATTTTCCAAGCCCTTGGGTGAGATAAAGGAGTTACCTGATAGAGCCAGCATGACATAGGTGGTGCTGCGTCATGCTGAGGAGTCCCTGCAGTGCACACTGGCATGAATCATGCAACCTGTGGGCAGATGGGAACTTACAAGAAGACACCAACACTATGAGGTGATCACCAAGAATCAGGCAGGGCAATATTCTTTTTAGAGGATACCAATGTGGCCATATGCCATTTGAGACCAAGACATCTTCCTTGATGCTCCTAAGCATTCTTAGAACTTAAGTTGAGTTAAAGAAACACAGATTAATAATAGCAGCAAATATGTATACAGGATAGCTCTGATATGAATCAGGAACTGCTCTAAGACCAGTGGTTAGATTAAATCATTTCATCTTTACAACAACTCTACGAGGTAGATATCATTCTTCTACTTAATTTATAGAAGAAGAAACTAAAGCTTAGTGAGGGTGAGCAACTTGCCTACACTGATTGCTTAAGGTGTTCAGTGGTAAAGGACGGAACTGGGATTCAAACTGGGCAGTCTAGCTGCACAGAATGTGCTCAAACACTACAATCTGGCATATATGGGCACTGGGGAGGCCAACCTCCTTACCCCTTGTAAATATGTGTTGTGAACAACTGAATGAGTGAATGGTTATGGCTTGGGTTCCTTGTATTTGGTACTATAGTTGAAATTCATTTACCATGGTTCTTATGCTAAATTAAAAATATTAATTCTTTCATCTTTCAGATGCCCTTTTAGGGTCACAGTACTTGAACATGTTTTGAAATAAATGACTTGTATATAAAATATCTTAGGGAATGAGTGTGGCTTGCTTTTGCTATAATTTAACTTAAGACATTCCTACTGATTCACCTCTCCCCAGCCCAAATCTGATTTTGAGATATTCTGTTTTATTTTTCTTTACCTCTTATTTACATCATTTACTATAATTATCTTAGTCAACCTTGGTGTTTTTAATCCTTACATATCTAAATCCACATACTTAAGACTTTCTAGTTCCGACTCTATCTCCTATATTATATAAAAATTTTAATGTAATATAATTTAATATAATTTTTTAAATGTAATAAATCCATTCATAGAACTGAGTGGTGATAATCATAAAGCTAAAATACTAAAAAATTTGATTATATAAAGCTTTGTTTTATTTAACTCCCAAAGAAGTATGGTCAAGATAAACAGATACTCAAGGAAGCAGGTTTACGTAAGACAGAAAGGGACATACAGGGTAAGTCCCCTTCCCAAAACATCCATCTCCTCCAATCACCAGCCCTCAAATGTCATGGCAGAGAAAGCATGAGTGGTCCTTAAAGAATGAGGATGATTAGGCAGACATGGAGGAGGGACGGCATTGCAGGTAAGGAGCAGAACGTGAATAAACGCACTGAGCTGGGGAAGAAAAAGGTAAACATACCCTCATACTTCCTGGCTGGAGATACCCACACATATACATGCATATATACATATATATACACACACATACACACACGTACACATATATGAATATTTTTCAAGAATTCTTGAGATTTGACTAGAAGAGTGAGATGTGGCTATACTGCAGAGCAGGAGTTGCCAAGTGATGGTCATGTTTCATAATCAGTAAAAGTTCAGTAGGGCTGCATGCCCCTCATGGAGTGGTGGTGCTCTCCAGTTTACCATAGTTCCCATCTAGCCCCCTTCTCTCACTACCAGCCTGGTTCCTGGAAGCCTGTGAATCTATTATCCCTGAATCGATTATCCTTATTCTCAACCCTGTGTGTTGCAAATCTTACAAAACTGTTAAAAATACCAATACACACTGGGTTTCATTTCAGACCAAATGAATCAGAATCTCTCAGTGTGGGGGGCTTGCACATGGGTATTTACTATGTGCAGCCAGGGTTACGCACCACTGTCCTATAAAGTCTTATCTGCTAGATTACGGTAATTCCTTAAAAAAAAAAAAATTCTCCTGCTGACCAGTAGTTCTCAATCCTGGCTGCACAGTAGAGTTGTTCAGGATGTTTTTTAAAAAAGGATGCAAGAGCCTGCTCTCAGAAGTTCTAGTTTAATTGGTATAAGGTAGACAGACATTCTTAATTTGGGAAAAATTCTACATATTAATGGGCAGCCAGGGTTGAGACCACTGATAAAGAGAGTGAAGGCCACAGAAGGACTCTGAACAAAATGACATGAAGAAGGTAATGGGTTGGGATAGTTACCCTAGATATGAATTAGAGGGTGCCAAGGTCAGAGAAGAGAAAATTAGAAGGCTATTAAGTAGTTTAAGTTTGCACTGAGAAAGACTGGAACCAGGAGAATGGGGCATCAGTAGGATGGAAAGAAAAGAATGCATGGGAGAGATGTGAGGATGGCTGTTATTGCTACAGATTAATAAAATTCTCCTGTAATTTCCTAATCTCACACTGGGCTGGTAGCTTCCTTAAGCACCTGACAGAGGCAACCACACATCCCCTCAGGAGAAATCCAGATACAATTCAGGCAGGTCTCAAAGAATTTCCCATGATAAAATTCCAAAAAATATAGGCTCGTGATCAAAATTTAAAAAACACATAGGAAATAAAGTCCCATAAGCAAAGAGAAACAAGGCAGCAGACCCACAAAGCTCTCGAATACTAAAATTATCAAACATGGGATACAAAAGTAGTATGTTTTAAGTGTTTAAAGAAATAAGAGACTAAATATGTAAAGAGCAAGGCACTATTAAAAGTGACCGAAAAGTTCTGAAAAAGTCACAGAAAGAAATTTGAGAAATTTAAAAAAATCATTAAAGTCAAGGGATACAATTAAAAGCAGGTTCAACAAAGCTTAAGAGAGGATTAGTAAACTCAAAGATAAACCTGAAAAAATTATCCAGAATCCAGAATATATTATAAAAAGACATGAAAAATATGAAAAAAAGCTTAAAAATATGATAATAAGAAATATCCAGATCCAGATTCCAAAAGGAGAGAAGAGAGCGAATGAGGCAGAGGAAATACCTGAAGATATTATGGTAAATGTTTTCCAGGATGGATGAAAGATCCAACTTAAAGATTTAAGAAGTCTGACAAATTCCAAGTAAGATTAAAAGAAGTGGATTTCTAAACATTATCACAGTGAAGGTGAAGAACACCAAAGACAAAGACAAGATCTTTAAAGTAGCTAGAGAGAAAACCCTTTTTAAATAACTTCTCGGTGGGGGGTCAGCCCCCCGCCCGGCCAGCTGCCCCGTCCGGGAGGGAGGTGGGGGGGTCAGCCCCCCACCCGGCCAGCCGCCCCGTCCGGGAGGTGAGGGGCGCCTCTGCCCGGCCACCCCTACTGGGAAGTGAGGAGCCCCTCTGCCCGGCCAGCCGCCCCGTCCGGGAGGGAGGTGGGGGGGTCAGCCCCCCGCCCGACCAGCCGCCTCGTCCGGGAGGTGAGGGGCGCCTCTGCCCGGCCGCCCCTACTGGGAAGTGAGGAGCCCCTCTGCCCAGCCAGCCGCCCCGTCTGGGAGGGAGGTGGGGGGTCAGCCCGCCGCCCGGCCAGTCGCCCCGTCCGGGAGGGAGGTGGGGGGGTCAGCCCCCCGCCCCGCCAGCCGCCCCGTCTGGGAGGGAGGTGGGGGGTCAGCCCCCTGCCCGGCCAGCCGCCTCGTCCGGGAGGTGAGGGGCACCTCTGCCCGGCCGCCCCTACTGGGAAGTGAGGAGACCCTCTGCCTGGCCAGCCACCCCGTCCGGGAGGGAGGTGGGGGGGTCAGCCCCCCGCCCGGCCAGCCACCTCTTCCGGGAGGTGAGGGGCGCCTCTGCCCGGCCGCCCCTACTGGGAAGTGAGGAGCCCCTCTGCCCAGCCACCACCCCGTCTGGAAGGTGTGCCCAACAGCTCATTGAGAACGGGCCATGATGACAATGGTGGTTTTGTGGAATAGAAAGCGGGGAAAGGTGGGGAAAAGATTGAGAAATCGGATGGTTGCCGTGTCTGTGTGGAAAGAAGTAGACATGGGAGACTTTTCATTTTGTTCTGTACTAAGAAAAATTCTTCTGCCTGGGGATCCTGTTGATCTGTGACCTTACCCCGCAACCCTGTGCTCTCTGAAACATGTGCTGTGCCCACTCAGGGTTAAATGGATTAAGGGCAGTGCAAGATGTGCTTTGTTAAACAGATGCTTGAAGGCAGCATGCTCGTTAAGAGTCATCACCACTCCCTAATCTCAAGTACCCAGGGACACAAACACTGCGGAAGGCCTCAGGGTCCTCTGCCTAGGAAAACCAGAGACCTTTGTTCACTTGTTTATCTGCTGACCTTCCCTCCACTATTGTCCTATGACCCTGCCAAATCCCCCTCTGTGAGAAACACCCAAGAATGATCAATAAAAAAATAAATAAATAAATAAATAAAAATAAAATAAATAACTTCTCAATAGCAAAACAAAGCTGAGAGACTATAGTCTCAACCTACAGCTATAAACTCAGCAAAAATATACTCAAACAATAACTGGGAGATAAAAGATACTTTCAGATGAGACTGCCACCAACAATCCCTCACTAAAAGCAATTCTTAAGGATGTTCTTCGGGCAGAAGAAAAGGCCTAATATGTAAGAGGCAATCATAACCAAAGAAAGAGGTAGATATGTGGGTAAGTTTGTATATTAAAATCATTTGGGTAATTACTTAAAAAATCAAAATAGTGTTTAAGTTCCAAACAGGAATATGGAATGAAACACACGGTAATTATTTATCAAGAATAGTAATGATTTCCACCTTGAATTCCTAACTGGAAAAAAGAAAAAAATGAAAAGATATTAACAACAACAACAACAGAATAGTAATTACTTATGCATGGTAGATACCTGCAGTGAGTTTTAAAAATTTCTTTATGTGAACTTTTCTGTATTTTTAAAAGCCTTGATAATGAACATTATTAATGTTTATGTGAAAAGTTACTTATTCTATTTCTCCTTCATAACATTTATCACGGCAAATTTTTATTTGATTAATAGGTACTGTAAGCTCCAAGTGAACAGAGACTGTGTGTGTGATTTTTCCTCATCATTACATCTTCAGTGCTTGATTCACTTCCTGATGGTAGTATATACTCAAAAAGTATAAAATGAATGAACGAACAAATGAATAACTTCATAGTGATTGCACATGGTGCTTGCATAAGCTTGAAAAATGGCCCCCCAAAAGACATCTGCATCTTAATCCTTGGAACTCATGAATGTTACCTATTACATGGCAAGCAAAAAAAAAAAGGGGGGGGGACTTTGCAGATATGATTAAGCATCCTGACACAGGGAGATTATCTTCGAACATCTGGGTGGGCCCTCAATCCAATTGCATGTATTCTTATAAGAGGGAAGCACAGGGAGATTTGACACAGACCAAAGAGGAGAAAGCAATGTGACTGGAGGCAGTGAATGGAGTGATGCAGTCACAAACTGCAGATTGATTGGTGGCAGCTATCAGAAACTGAGCCTCTGGAAGGAGTGAGGCCAAGCTAACACCTTGATTTCAGCCTGGGGATACTGAATTCTGACTTCTGGCCTCCAGAACTGTAAGAGAACAAATTTCTGTTGTTTTAGGCTGCCAAGTTGGTGGTAATTTGTTACAGCAGCCATAGGAAGCAAATATAGTGTTCAAGTGAAGAGGAATCAAACAAGGTAATAATTTGGAGCTGAATGTGAGGGAATAAATGTACCACTCATAAACAGGAGTATAAAAGAGTTTAGGGGAAAAAAAGCAGGGGTTTGCATTTAGATGTGTTTTATTTTAGAAAATGGCAAGGACACTGGAAGTATATGGAGGCCATATACCCATCTCTCTTCCTGTACTATGGGCTCCTAAAGGTTATACATTTTATCTTTGAATTCCTGGTAGCTCCCCAACATAGAGCCATTCAATACATGTTTGGGATAACAGGCCAATTAAGATTGACTTTTTATGCTGAAGACACTTGAAAGAATGCCCTATATCAGGTTTATGGATAACAAGGAGATTTTACACATCCAGACTACATTTAATTCTGATTATGGTGGATAATCAAGAGTTGACTATATCTAGTACACAGTACGGTGCCTGGCTTTAGAAGAAGTAGCTCAATAAACATTTTTAAATGAATGAATGAATCTAAGAAAAAATTAGTAGGTATTTAAAATGTGATCTGCCTGTTTTTAAAAAACTTAAACATGTATTTATTAGATAACTCAGTGATTCCACTGCTAGGTATCTAACCCCCCCAAAGTGAAAATATATGTCCACATAAAGACTTATATGCAAATGTACCAAGAGCATTATTCTTAACAGCTAAAAAAGTGAAAACAATCCAAATGTCCATCATATGACAAATGAATAAGCAATAGGTGTTATACCCATATAATGGAATATTATTCAGCATTAGAAAGGAAAGGACTACTGATACCTGCTACAACATGGAAGATCCTCAAAAACACTATTCTAAGTGATAGAAACCAGACGTAAAAGACCACATATTGTATGAATCAATTTACATGAATATTCAGAAAAGGCAAATCTATAGTGAAAGCAAGTAGATTAGTGGTTTCCTGGGTCAGGGGTGAAAACAGGGTTTGACCTTAATAGGGCAGGAGAATTCCTTCTAAGGTGATGGAAATGTTCTAAAACTGGACTGTGGGATAGTTGTGCAACTCTGTAAATTTACTAAAAATCGCTGAATTGTATATTTAAAGTGGGTAAATTTTTTGACATATAAATTATACCCCATTAAAGCTGTTTTTAAAACAGTAATGTGCTTAAAAATATGACAATTATACAGGCAGAAAGTGCTTTTTACCAAATCATATCTTTAAAACTATATCACTCCTGCTAAAATCTTTAGTGAAGGCTCATGGCAGCCATCTTGTTAAAAACGGAAATAATTTGTGATATTTACAGTGTGGGTGCTTGATGTAAGAGCCTCAAAAAAAATTCCATCCAGGTTTAGTAATACTCTAACTAACAATCATAAAAATGTGAAGGGACATTTGGTAGCCTTTTATAGACTTCATTTACAAGGCAGATGCTGCTCCTTAGAAGTGTTTGCTCTGTAGTTTAATTCCATTTTTCTGTACAGTATGTACTTGTTTTGGGTAGGCTGAAAATGAAGATGAAAAAAGATGACTTTATTTAGCTATTTCTTTTCTTTTTTTCTAGGAGAGTTAAGAAAAAATTGATTTTAACCAATAAGAGACAGTGGGCAAAAGTGAGAGTCCCGTGTGAGCTAATGAAGTACTCTATATTATTTGCTACTAAGAATAGCTAATGTTTAGTAAGTGCTTACTCTGTGCCAGGAACTGTGCTAACGCAATTACATATATCATCTTCTTTAATCCTCAGAACAATTCTGTAATGTAGTTAACATTATTCCCATCATATAAAGAAGAAAACTGAAGTTAGAGAGTAGATAACTTGACTGAAGGCACAAGGCTGGTAACTGTGACAGCCAGGACTTACACAGAGACTCAGAACCTACTATGCTATAACTATAACTAGGCTATAATTGCTGCCTATAGAATTAGTAGAAATATAATGTTTAAAATCAGGAAGCTTAAAATATATTTTAAACCTGTTTTAAAGGAATTGTACATATCTACGCTGATAACTCCCAAATTTCTGTCTTTAGTGTTGACTGCTCATCTAAATAACAGACTTGAATATCAGCTTCCAACTTGAAATCTCCACGTGTCTAGAAGATCTCTAACTTAGTATGTCCAAATGCAAACTTTAAAAATCGAACTCCCCAAGTGTTCTCCATCTCAGTAAACAGCACCTTCATTTATCCACTTACTCAGGCCAAAATCTTCAAAATATATCCTGACCACTTATGATCACCACTGCTACTACCCCAGTCAAACCACCACTATATTGTCTGGATTATAATAGCAGCTTTCCACATCCACTAAGGTAGGTTCACTACATTAAATGGGTTAAAAAAATGTAAAAGGCTCATGTAAGAGTACTAGGCAGGTGGGGAGATCAGAAGGGCAGTCCTCTTCCACATAGCTGTTTAAGGTCCCAAGCCAAAGGAGAAACTGTCATCTTCAACAAGTGCATTCTATGTCTGTCCAGCGAGGAGGAAGAAAGAACATGGGAGAAAGTGGGTGAGAAATTCTTATGGACCAGGCCTGGAAGTGGCCCACATCACTTTTTTCTATTACATTTATTGGCTAAGAACCAGTCACGCAGCCACCCCAAGCAAACAGCAATACAGGCTGGAAAATGTGGTCTGTGTTCCTAAGAAAAAGAGAGAAATTTGGGGGGATAGCTAACAGTTTCTTCCATATCTCCTCATGCTAGGACTCTGGCTCTTGGGCAATGATTCTGAAACTGGGGAAACAATTTCTCCATTAAAACTGTTCTTGTTAAAATCAAGAATTGACTATGGTAGGTGAAGAGGGGCAGTTACATAAGGCTCACGTCTAATTTTAGACTGGAAACAAATGCTTCTCTAAGGAAGGTGAGTGGTGCCACCTAATACAGTAATTTTCTGCCAAGTTTGAGGGTAAGTGGCAATATATATGATACTAACAGAGGTTTACTAGAGTTGCATTTTCTAAGGAAGTATCAGAGGGCCTGGTTTCACTTATATAACAGGACAATGATTTTTGAGGGGTGAAAACATATACACCGAACCACTAATCAGTTAAAGGAGAGTTGCACATTTCTTTTGGTGGGGAAAGAAATGACAAGAGTTCCATACTAAGTCTCTGGGGTCAATCAATTAATTTTACATGATTAGGAATAGTTTATATAGCATGTAGGTGGAGGGAGGAAAATTTTAATGATTTAGTTTTTCAGTTGAAGAGACACAGTATTTTAGGGGATGAAGTTGGTAAGAGCACCTTTTTGCTTTTGTTCATGTTTACAAAGTTACCACAAGTGAAAAAACTGGTAAGAAGTGGTTTCAATGGAGGCAGTACAGTAATGAAGATAAAACAGGATTCTGGGCAATAAATCTTTTTCTACTCTGTAAATACCCCCCTTTCAACATAAAGGCTCTTTAAAGAAGTAAGAAAACAAAGCTTTCAGAAGGGGCTTGATACATTATTTATGAACTTATCAAGTGAAAAAAGCACCCACTCAGACATTTTAATAAAAACTTTCAACGAATGTATCTAATTTTATTGGTATTTTTAAAAGCCAATTATGAAGTGGAAAGTTATTGTTTGTTAAACTGCTATACGGCTTTCTGCAAATAGAATGTTTACAAATCACTTGGAATCACTTTTCCAAAGTTTCAGTTTCTGAAGGTCAAATAACTATGTAACTGCTTAATAAAGAAGCAAAGAAATACCTCTAAATGTCTCTCAGCTCTGATGGGCTTATACTCCGCTCCTTAGGTGAGGTATTAGCAAAGCTTATTTATTTTCATTTCCAAGGCTTTTATTTGCTCATTCCCTTGTGGTAAAGCTGATTTCCATGATGATTCCCTTCTTAATTTTAATACCCTTTTTACTCATCATATAGACATAAGAATTTTCCATAAAATAATGAAATCCTTGCAAAGGAAATGAAGACAACTCAGAGAGTAAAGTAAACTAGCTCTTTTTTCAATTAATTGATCCACTGTCATGTGCATATAAGATTTTTTTAAACCTAGGAAAATAAGGTTAATTAACATAAAAAAGCCTCACTCATCTAGATGCTGAATTTTGTATTTTACCCATGCTACCTTAAGTGCCTTGATTTCCCAGTAATGACCTAGTTCTCCTAATGAGGAACATTAACCCCTGGCTGTAGCTGTCCAGGACTTAATTGTCAACTGCAGCTGAAATAGGGGAGTTTGCCGATCAGCAGGTATGCGGTATATCAACTCATGTCATTTCAACCCCTAATAAATAAATCTGTTGCTAAGGCAACAGGAAGATCAGCTATATCAGTATTCTTCCCTCCCTGTAACCAGCTCCCCACCGCCTCTTTTGGAGGAAACTGCCTTTCACACCAAGCTTAAGAAAAAAGAAGGAAATTAACTACATGTAACCATAATTAGAAGTAACATCAATTCTCATCTCAGAAACATATCTAAATTAATAAAAAAGGACAGCAAAAAGAGAAATGCTTTTGACTAAGATCACAATAAATTATTTCCTTCAACAGGACACAGGGACTATGAGTATACATCTGAGTAAGAACAAACCTTAAACATTTTGTTTCTCTGTTTCTGAATTTTCCCTTCTTTTGTTTAACCAACAAATGATGCTAGGCCAAATAATGCTGAAATAGCTAATGAGTTGCATAGCCAATAAAGACGACAGAAGGGGGGGGAAAGCTTACATAATTTGTAGTAGTTACTGCTGTGCTACCTTGGAATTTTTTGGTATGACTGACCGAGTAAAAAAAAAAAAAATAAATGAAAACCTTCCTGGGTAATCTAGAAAAGCTATTGGATCTCATTCACTTAGGATTTCACATAAGAGTTTAAAAAGTGATTTCAATGGATTGTTTCAAAACGACTTAACACCTGGATTATGGTGGAGGGGTAGGTTAAAAAATAATCTACAGGGATCTTCACTTCTGGATTTATTTTTCCATAATAACTTAGAAATTACTTTGGTTTTAACCAGTTTGAGCTTTTCTTCCTAACCATTACCACTCTTCTGTTAAAATGCATTATTCTATTTTAACAAAATCTTGAAGGCTTTGTATTTACAACGCCTATAAATGCATTTCATAAAAGAAAACAAACCAAGAAACCATAGGCTTTGTAAAAGCAATGCTGATCACATGACCGTGTCTATCTGTCATTCGATAAACTGAATTCTTCCCACGAAGAGAGACATAACCTCAACTGGACTTACTGAGCAGGTGAAGGTCAATTACCAAACAGTCACCCTATAATTCATTAACATTAAGTAACATTGACTAAGTACCCCTAATTGCCAGGCACTCTGGTTAGATGCATGGAAAAAATTCCCCCTAAACAAAAAAGTTTCTGTCTCTGTCCTGAAAAACCTTAGAACCTAAAACAAATGCCACCATTGAAAACATGAAATGAGTAGGGCTAGGAGGCATGTGGAAAGTGCAAAGTTCTGTTACATGTTTATGTGGTACACTGCACCGCACAGTGCCTTCGGTGCGTGGACATTCACAGTCAGGGGGATTAACACTTCACCAGAATTTAAATCAGGGAAGATGTCTGTGGAAGGCAGAGGACTACAAGGCATCACTAGAGAAATATAATGATGACTACCATCATGGAAAGGCAGGTAACACCACACATTAAGAGAAACAGGAGGAATATTAGCCTTAAAAAAAAAAGTAGAAAGGAGTAGGCTAATTAAAGAGAAGTTAGGTCTACTAGGATGGTGTGGAAAAAGGCTTAGTGACCGGAAAGGAGAAATATATTTAAATTCACACACAATCATGTATATAACATAAAAATATATAGCAAAGAAACAGATGATCTACCAATCCACCTATCCACCTGTCCATCCATCCATTCATCCCTCCATCCATATCACCTAGCTATCTACTTCCCAACTCACCCACCCCTGACTATGATGTTAAGTGAAGTCCACTGTAAGAATCTGATCAAAAGAATGGTGACAGAGGATGCAAAGGCAGATGTGGGTCCTGAGCAGTTGAAGATGACTGTCATAAGCATACCATAATGAAACAGCGTCTTTTGCAACAATTAGTATGTTTACAAAACAAATCATGCTTAGTGAACTTTTTAACCATGTTGGGCAGGAAAAGGGCAACAAGAGCTTTAGTTTATGATATTCTATTATAACAGTACCAAGATTGTGACTGCTATAGGTAGAAGTTCTTTATGCTGACATGGTGTGTTAAAATGTTAAAAACAATCCAAGAGGCAATGAGAAACTAAATGTTGAATCTATATTTATTTTCCATATGTTCAATGATTTGGAAAACAGTCAACAAGGCACCAAAAATGGAATTTTGGAAATCATAAATGGGATTCTGGTGAGGCTCTTTCTTTGGCCATGGATTTCTTAGTATCTATTTTCTTACCACTAATTCAAAATCCTGAAATAGATTCCCATAGATTAATCTAATAGTGCTATGTCAGAGGATAAAATAAAACTGTAAGTCATATAGCACATGGTAATTTTAGCCAGATATTTGATTATAATTTTTCCCTAAAATTCTAGTAAAATTCTTTAGAGAGCTTTTTGTTTTTTAAATGTCAGAATTCATTTTCTTTAAAGACAAAATTCTTTAAAGACAAAAACCAACCAAACAAACTAACCAACAAATTTCCCCAAACACTCTAGGCATGAAAAATGTAACTAAAGAAAACTTATCACCAAATTGAGAATGACTATAAATAATTAGAACCTTATTATTTCATGTGAGCTTTGACTAATTGATGGATAAACACAGAACTGGTTGAATGATCCCTTTCAAAGAGCTATTGGTCATTATTCCTACTCAATCTGAGAACTAGCTACTTACAATAATTATAAGGAATATTTGTCTTATAACCTTATAAGGGTTACTTAACTGTGAAAACGAATAGTGCTAATGGAAAGCATCTATGGAATCATCTTTTTTAGAGATCAGAACACGTAAGATGGATTCTCACAGGCATGAGGAAGTTTTGGTGGAGTATGCTGAAAAGCAGATGGCCAGAGCACGTGAACATCTTTTCCAGAACCATTATTCTGTGACGATCATTCTTCTCTTAGAAAAACAGATTTACACATAACATTGAAATAGAACAAAGAACATTAGTGTCCAAAAATTAGCACTTTGCCCTTCTGTTCACAGCCTAGCATGGCACCTGAAGACTGATTTCCAAAAGTACTATTCACCCCACACCATCCTCTGTCCTTCCCAAAGTATTCTATTATAAGGTAATGACCAGTAAAGGCTGAAAGATTTAAGATGGCTTACTCACCATACTTTTCCTAAGTTATTTCAGCAATGAGAAAACAAAGGTAAGTTTATTCTGACCTGAAAAGCATATCATTCTAATCATCCAAAACACATCTTTTCAGAAGACTAGTCATTGATTGTGTTTTTGAAGTTATATTTTTAAACCTCAGAGAGTCAAAGGGTGAAACAGAGTAATTTATTTTAGTACCAAGTAATAAAGCATAATTTTCCATTTTATATCAATCATATATTTTGTTAGAAATTGCCAAAGTTTCTTGAAATATAGATGTCAAAGTCGTTCAATCTTATGGTACATGTTTTACTTCAGTGACTCACCTAAGTATGTTTCAAAACTGCTTTTAGTTCTCAATGATTGGACTTTTTCCTTTCTGAATTCACACTCTTTATATCAACTTTGCATAAGCTGATTTATCATTATTTTATGGAAAATGCTGCAAATACCGTATAGCTCATAAAAAGTCATTCTACTTTAAGTGAAGAGCTTTGATAATTTCCCTATATCCCAAATGATGAGGTCATGGTAGAACTTATAACTGTAGCTACTCTAATAATTTCAAACTTTTTAACATGCCTCATGGCCCACTCCTTATTCTTCTTAACAAGAATGCATCCAATTATGGGCCAATTACAGGGGTTTTATGATCAGAGCAGAATTTCTTATATCATAGATCTGTATCCTAGGGCTTCCTAGCTACTTAGCCCATGTTGAGGCAAATTGTGTTTGGTCTGAGAGAGTTGACTTATATAAGATAAACACTTGTTCACTGTCAAGTTTTAAGCCAAAAAAAAAAAATTAATATTCAGGGGAAAAAAATTTAGTCTATGAGAACTACAAATTAGGCAATTCCAATGGCTGGTGGCAGCCATATTTACCTACGTCACATCGATTCCATTTGACAGTAGTTTTCAAAGAGTAGTCTGAATTCCTGGGTGTATTCAAGACTTTTTCAAGGAGGCTGCAAAGTAAAACTATTTTCATAAGGATAACTAAAGATGTAATTTGCCTTTTTCACTGTGTTGACATAGGCCCTGATAGTGCAAGAACAATGGTGAATAAAGCTGCTGTTGCCTTAACACAATTCAAGGCAATGGCACAAACAAGTCTGTTTTACTTAAGCATGTCATTGAAGAAGCAGTAAAATTTATTAATTTTATTTAAGTTCATCCCCTCGATAGATATCTTTTAATAATCTGTGTAATAAAATGAGAAACACACATGCATACCAAGATACAATAGCTGTCCTGAGGAAAAGTATTTGTATGCTTGTTTGAGTTGTAAGCTAAACTAGTTGTCTTTTCATGAAACAGTGAGTTTATTTCAAAGAACAACTGACAGATAAACCACAGTTAATCAGACTTCACTATTTGGCAGACATTTTCTCAAACATGAACCATGTGAACTTGTCACTCAAGGAGAAACAAGTGATAATATTTGTTGCAAAGATAAATTTAAGCTTTTAAGGGAACATTAGAATTTTGAAAAATTGCATTTAAAATCTTAGCTTGACAGCTTCTCATTATTCAAAAATGTCTATGAGATCAATGGTGATATTAACAAATATGATTTTTTAAAATTGTATAATGAACTGTGTCAACATTTAGAAGATCTTCAATTTGGTGAACCTGTGTTTCCCAAATCACCAATGCATGATGCTACAAAATCCATTCAAACTGCAGGTAATGGAGCATGAAGAAATCATTTATGTGGTTTCATATTCCACATTACAGCAAACCTTTAAGGAACTCCTACTTGTCAAGTTTTGGTATAGTATCAAAGAAGAATATCTACAATAATCTGAAGAAATCATTAAACATTCAACTTTTCCAGCTATATTTCTTTGTGAGGCAGAATTTCTTCATAAACTTCTACCAAAAGAAGATATTGCAACAAATTAAACACTTAAGCAGTTATAAGAATCCAAATATCTTCTACTTAGACATTATAGATTTTTTAAAATGTAATGTTGCTATTCTCACTGATTTTTTTGGGAGAATATAGTTAATTTTCATAAAAATACATTATTTATGTTAACATATATTTGGTTCTTTGTTATTTTAAAGGCTATAATGTAGATTTTAAAACTTTTTCCTCAGTTTTAATTTCTAATACAGTAAACATTGATAGGTATAATCCCAACAAACAAGAGCTCTTTGGTATCCCAATAATTTTTAAGAGTATGAAGGAGTCTTGAGACCAAAGAGTTTGAGAACTGTGGCCTTGAGAGAGTGATCTTTCAATATAGTCTAAACTTGTTTTTTTTGGTCCTTCCAGCAGTGTGTCTTTTATGCCCTTTATAATAATTATTAGAGAATGCTTACATAAAGGTTGGAACCTGGATTAATATTACAACATTTGTATAGTATTTGGAAAGAAAATAGTTAAAAAAAAAAAAACCAAGCAGTGCCAATTGCAGCCTGTTTTTTACAGGTCTTTCTCTATAAGTTATTTCTACTAACCGTGCCTTGCTATAGATGTTTATAACAAAACATTAAAGACTGGGTAGAAAGGAGAAAACAAATTACTCTGCAGAGAACCCAGCAACTCTGCTAAAATACTGTCAGTTATTTATCTACTGTCAGCAGATGTTGCACACTATAATCCTTGACAAGCTCAGTTTGAGAAAGAATGAGGAGAGGGGCAAGCATTGCATTTAAGGGCCTGTTCTCATGCACAGACATTTTAACACAGATTTAAAGCCAGAATGTGTCTTCTAGAAAATGTCACTTTTGATTTTGATACATATTCTAGCAAGTAGGCTCTACATTTGGTTGGCTTAGTACGAGATATGTTAGAGGCTGACACTATATTTTAGACCATTCATGATCCCAGTGTGGAACTAACACAATGAGGTCAGCATCACTTCATTTTTAGAGTTGGCTACTGCAACTGCATGATTTCATGGGCATATTTTTTTATGATAGAGGAGGGTTTTATTTTTGTTTTGTTAGGCAAGGTAATGACAAGATCTAAGAATCCAAATTGCCCTCTCCAGTGTTCCTTTCTCCTTTAGGTTTACATGGAAACAATCATCAATGCCTTCTCTCTGGTAAAGATACATGGCCAAGGTGAAAATGCAACAGACTTCCTGCTTCTAAAGAGCTTCCTGCAGGCTACTGTAAAGAAAACCCCCCTTTTCAAGCAGGGAGTTAAAGCAGCTCAAAATACTGACAAGAATATGTAAAGTACAAGGATGGGGGAGGCTCAAACTAAGGGGGTTGAACAAGAAACACAACCCTGGTCATTTGTAGTAGAAACCATAGTTTCCTTCTGAATACCATTCATTTTGACTGGTCAATTATACGATTTCCACCCATACGATCAGGGGTCTAAATAAATGTGTGCTTGTAGCTGGGGATGTTTGATGAATGCTGAACCAGAATCTTAATTTTCTAATTCATATTCACCAATTAAAAATAAACTGTATTTTTATGAGCAAATTTACATAAATCAGATGATAAAGCATCTACCACTAAAGGGTAGGAGTTCAGCTCACAACATTTGCATAAATTCTCCTAAAGAAAATATAGGCGTTTTAGATTTTCATTGAAGAGTCTTGCTGCGATGGAACTCTAATGGGCTTAGAACAGTAAATTTTGAAGAAACTGATTGCTACCCCTGTAGCTAGTAAATGTCTGCCTAGACCCAGTGGCATTTGAAAAAAGTGTTTTATCATAAAATTATCCCAGCAGAGTCCATTCTGCAAGATAACATCATCATCATCATCATCAGTACTCCATGCAGGACCCAACAGCTCTGGCACAATATTGCCAGTCATTTATCTGTTGTCAGCACAGGTTACACACTGTAATCCTTGACTGCCTCGGAATTAGAATGTCTTTGATGTCCCCACAAGAGTTTTTTGCCCGAAGGCTTTACCAATGCTCGGCGGCTCAGTGTTTATTCCTCGTAATCTTCCTCTCATCTCCAGGCTAGCAGTGACAGATGGTTATGGGCACACAATAGTATTAAGAGTTTGATATTTTTTTTATGCTGTGCTCTCTGTACAACAAATAGCTATCAGACGCGGGCCAGAGAGCTGACATGGCTCGCTTAGGTAATGGCAAACAAACAGCTCGGGTTGATGCTTTCTGTCATTTCCCCTCCTAACCCTGCTTGTTTTCATTGTATACTCTCAAAGGTAAACTATATTAACCTTATAGACTGTTATTAAAAAGATATATCTATATGAGCATAAAGTGCTTTTCTTTTCTCTTTTTCTTACTCTTTTGATTATGAAAGTAATACTCCTGACATATTGAACAAATATCGAATGTCAACATAAATTTTTAGTGTGTGATAATATCCCCCTTCATATAGCTGTGTGTCAGGCGGGAACCTGCGGATGATGCATAGCAGTAAATAACCCAAACAAAATTAGTTCTCTTGTCAGCTTCTACCTTGTATGTCCCCAGGCATCAGTAAAATTGACTGCACGCTAGATTTTCAAAATTAGCCCTAATGTTAGCTATGTGTCTGGCAACCTCCAAGTTTCCAATGTTCTACTATATTACCCGTAAGGATGAATGTGTTACTTTTATATTTTGGCATTTACTCTTGTTGATGCGGCTTTTTTCCCTCTTCTCCAAATTAAAAATAATTTAGCTTTAACAATAAGAATATGCACAAACATAATGCTGCATCTCTTTAAGCAACTAACTTTAGGCAATTAAATTAAATTAAAGCAAAAATATACAAAGGAAGACAGGGAATTATTCAATTTAGTATTGTTAATTTTATTAACATAGCTCTGTCTTATTTTGTGCAAAGTATTGAATAACATGGTTTTCACTCTTTCCTCCATATTGCTGTTTTGTAAAAGCAGACTAGAAATTATTTAATTTAACATTTTCATGATACCCTGGAACCAACTTTTAGAACTGATTTTCCTGCAATAAATAGTACTTCAGAGACAACCAAAGGTTAATGGAATAAAAGAAAAAGCTTTTCAGAAGGGAGTAAATGATGACATCTATTTTACCTTGAAACAGGTTAATCTCATCTAGACCCACTGCATTTTAAAATCACATTAAATAATATTGAACTCTGTCACATTCGAAGTAAAATATGATTTAAATATACCTGTCACTACCTTAGAAAGGCTATGCTGGAAGTATGAAGTTGCACAAACAAATTCAAAAACACATTCCACATCAACTTTCAATCCCTACATTTTACGTTCATACATTTAGAATTAAAGATGAAAATCCCTTTAGGTACCAGATGCTGCAGATCAACTGGGAGAGCTTCTAGAGTTTTAATGTGCTGGAAGGCAAATCCTCGGCAAAGGCGCTTTGCCCGGCCGGTGTGGTGCTCTTATTACTTCACCTGCAAACGGTTGCTCTCAGAAAATCGGACCTAATGATCAGCCTAGCATCTCTGCAATAAAGAGACCATAATCTGTGGGGGAAGTGTACTCTAATCAGGCCACATGCAGATTAAACTAACTGGGAGGAATAAAAACTAGATTAAAATGTTCATGCCTAATACCAGAAGATTATCAGGACATTTTACTTCTTTAAATCCTAATTTATAGGAGCCAGGGTTAAGTTTGAGTTTTTATTTGGTGAGATCACATACTGCAGTTGATTTTCCTCTGTTTAGAAAAGACTTGGCTAGAAAGTATTTTGCTTAGCACAATACAGAGGCATCTGAGTGAAGGGAATGGTTTCAAATGTACTGATATACATCTTATGACAAGTAAAATGAAGCCACCCTGTTGAAACTGGTCAAGGTAGTAAATAATGGAAATTATTCTTGCTTTAATGGTAATATTGCTGTATCAGTGTGTATATATGAAATAGTTTTGTGATAACTGTGTGTGTGTGTGCATAAAATGGAATCTGATTCTTATATTTTGAAACTTTCTGAACAAGACTTGATATGCTAGAAGTGCCTACCCACTACTGTTAGTTGAGCAAATTGCAGCAAATAATTACCTGTAATTCAAATTTAATCTAAGCACATGACCATTCATGTGAAGATATTTAGTAGTACCACCTTGGCAGATCATTAGTAATACCACCACATTAAAATAATCTTTTTCTAAAGCAATAAGAAGAACAAATTATTATGTCAATCAACAGAATATATTTTCTTTTACCAGTTCTACAACTCTTACTAAATTGGCATGCCTTGACTTACCACCTGTGAGGCCAGACAATGTGTAGCAGTCTTTGCTGATTATCAACTCCACCCAAAATGTCACAGGGATCAACAGTCAGATTTTGTTTATTTTCACCATGATGAGAGCTTGAATTATCTGACGAGGTGGATTTTTTCAAGTCTGATTCCTGTCTTAATGAGTTACCCAAATATTCTTGTCGTGCAGTATCAAGGCCACAGTGTGTATCACACTCTGAATTAAAATTCTTCAATAAATCCTCTGAATCTCTCTGCTCTGGCTGAAAAGGAAGGGCCATGGACAGAACCGCACCGCCATTTCCTTTAAGGCCGAGCATCTTCTTTAAATGGGTTGTTTTGTGCTTGGGCATGAATCTGTTACAAAAAAAGAATGCAATATACTTTTAGTGGAAAAAAATATGTAAAATTTGTCCTTTACCTTCCTGTAAGTACATAATGATTATATATAAAACTGAGAAAAAATAAAGATGTTATACAAAAATTCCAGAAAAAGTGTAAAAAGTAGTAGCCACTAAGAGAAGTTCAAAAGTTTGAAATTGGACTGGGCTGTCTTTGAATAGTTTCCAAAGAGTTTCTATGGCTATAAAACTTGCACTGCACATACCATAAAACATAAGATTACAGAGATGGTTTATCACTCTTCCCTCACTCATCCTTCTGGATTTCCATTTTGTGTTTTCCAATCACCACATGGCCCAGTGCTTATTTTCAGGCCATACTTGTTCATTAACCTACAAAAATGTTTGAAACTTCCTTGATTAACACTGGTCATTTCTGCTCATGACTGTTCTGTATTCCTGGGCATCTGAATATACTTTGTATTAAATTGACTTGGCTAATGTTTCCTGAAGTATATTTTAATATCTTTTTTATTATCATTTCTCTCCTATCTTTCCAGGACACTTTATCACAAAGAGTTCAATGTCTGTTACTTATCGATAGAGAATCAAAATAAAATGAAACCTTAAAAAATTATAGCTTAAAACCTGTAAGCCACATAATACAAATAGAGGGGCTATCCTCAAGGAGCTCACCGTCTATTGGAAAGCAAACCATTAGTGCTTAGAGAAGAGTAGGAGACAGACACAAGAACAGCCAACTAACCTACGCTGGAACATACTATACATACAATGGCCATTCCAGTTTTTTTTTAATGGAGGGGAAGAGATTAATGCTGACTTGGGGCTCAATAAAGGCTTAAAGAAGGCTTTAGGTAAAGCATTTTGCAAGACAGAGTCAGGGAAGCTCTGGAGTCAGAGAATATGAGATCAAAGGAAAAAGGGGTGAAGAAATACAACTCCTCAGGAAATAACATGCAACCCAAAGAGACTGGGATGCAGGTCTGGATGTAAGGTCTAGAGGGGTAGACTGGGCCAGACTACCAAGTCCTTTCTCAGAGTTCCTGAGCCCCATCCAGAAACTTGGCCTCCCTGAATTGTTGTGTAGGGGAAGAAATGGGTTTCAGAGGTAGGTGAAAAAGAAAAACCATGGAAGGAGAGCAGAAGGGAACATCTGGAAGAGTAGGAAGAGAATCCAAGAGAGTAATATCACATTATTGAAATGAATCAAGAACCCTCAAAGAACGTGTAAAATGGGGCATAAAACACTGCAGAGGTGCTACAAAGCAGAAACAAGAAGCTTTTGGCCTTGTCACATCATAGGTCACTGGCTACTTCGACAGGCCACTCTCTGCTCCTGCTGAAAGAGTGGTGTGGGCAGAAATCAGACTGCAGGAGGCTAGGGTTTGTGTATGAAAGAGAGAGGCAGAGAAAAGGAGGTAGAGAGAAGGGAGGGGAAGGCAAGGTTGGACTTTTAAAAATGAGGCACATGGGCACAGTGTTATTCACTTGGGAATACTTGCTAGGGAAGGAAGCGGGATCCTGAAGAAACAGAAAAATCTTATAAGATGGAAGGAGAAAAACATTATAACATGGTGATCATAGTGTAGGGGAAAAGCAAGCAGGGTCTTGTAAAGATAGTGAACCTCGCTTTCTTGCAAAGCTGAGGGAAAAAGAGAGAAATGAAGCTGAAAAAACAAAACAGCTTTAGGTGGCAGGTGTAGAATCTAAGGAGTTGCCTCATTAAAGCACTAGGTCAGTTCATCTATTTCAGTGAGGTGAACAGAGGTGGAGATAGGCTTTCAGAAACTCACTGAGGCCTCAGGACAGTCACTGTGGAGACAGGGAGAGGGCGTTAAATAGGGCTGAAAGCAAGGGCTGATAGGCAACACTAAGAAACAATGGAGGAGTCACAGGAGCTAGAAACAAGGTCTTTGGCTGTAGGACCCTATGTACATTCCAGAACCAGAAAGCTTGTTTTGGGGGCTTCTATGTTTGTTTCATAAAGATCTTTAAATTTCTATTCTAATTTCAAATGCCTTGAGGAAACTCAAACAAATACATAAGAACTCCCCAAGTAATAAAGAGATGATTGTATACAGAAAGACAAAACACAAAGAATGGTACTAACCCCTTAAATATGCCCTAATAAAATAGTAAATTTAGTCCTTGATTTAAAATGGAAAGAAACCTGGGCATTTACAGACTATAGTTTCAAACTGCATAGGCCCCAAATTATGGTGGGAACCAATCAACTTCTTCTGGAAACAAATTCAAAATACTGAAGAGATTCTAGAAACTAAAACACAACATAAAAAATTGCCATTGATCACCAGAAAAGGTAAAAAAATAGAATGACTATGACACTATCTTCAATTCTCCTAAAGAAATGGAACAAATGGTAAGAGAAGGAACATCTGTACATATCTGGAGAACAATAAAGCAATTGAAGTAACCTATTTGTTTATGTCAGATAAAGAGTGCCAGGCAAGCTTAATAAGGATTTTAACAGAATCACAAACTTAGCTCATGAAGGATTCACCAAAAAAAAAAAAAAAAGAAAAAAAAAATCTATGGGATTCAAACAACATATTTTCATTTTAGAAAACAGTATCATGACCCATCTTACTCATAAAATTCATTTATATTGGCCAGCATGTGAGCAAAATTGCAAATTAAAAGAGATGGGAGATTGGCTAAAGGGTTGTAAACAACAGGAATTGGTAACTGACAAGGAATTTAGCTGTGGGCAAGGGTGTGAGGCCTACTTTTATTCAACACCTTCCCTAAATGTTCTCAAGGATGAATAGAATCCCATGTTAAGACAAGTTGCAGATGACTGACTTGATAGGTCATAGTGAATAGGGACATGGAAAGATGCAGAATATAAATAGGGGCAGCAATCAAAACAGCTTACAAATCTCACAAAATTGAAACAAATCAAAATAAACCTTGAATGGAGGTAGGGCACATAGAAAACACCATTTAGACCATGCTGAATTGGACAAGATGAGCAAGAGCTGATTTGATTCAGCGAACTGATGCCATTTAGTTCTGGATCTTGTTGTACAGGGAAGGAAGACACTAAGTCTGTCAGGATAGAACCCTGTGCAAATGCTGATGTCATCTGGGGCACCTGAGAACTGTATATGTTTGAAAATTAGAGAGTGTTTAGAAGAGCAATAATAATAATTAAGGCAATGGAAGAATTGATTTATGAGGACAGATTAAAGGAGCTAACTATGAATAGCCTGGTTAAGTGACAAACAGAAGGGTACATAATAAGAGTCTCTAAGGAAAAAGAATAATTATTTAGCTTGGTACAAGGGGGTATAACCAGGAGTAACGGGATGAAATTAAGAATGGGAAAATTTAAGCTGAATTTCAAGAAAAACTCCCTGACGGTGTAATTTATTAGCTCATGGAATCAATTCCCTATGGAAATGCTACAGCTAGGAAACCTTAATAATAGAACTGGACAAGCTACCAATAAATAATATAGATAACAATCCGGTACTTGAAAGAAGGTAGTTACAAGCTACGGTTTCCTTGTTTATAGTATCTTTTCAAATTTTTCTTATAATCTATTCATTATAGTGATTGTCACCAAAAGAAGTATTTAGGCAATTAGCCAAATCTAACAGGATATATCCTTTAGTTGGGGAAAGTTAAAAACACTTTAGTTTTCATACACTCTGTGGTAAGAATGAAGGCAGAAGCTGAAACACTTTTGTACTACTTTGTTACAATAAAGCTAGTCTTGAATTAGGCTGAACAAATGTATTAATAATACTAAAAACAAAACAAAACCAACCACATCCACCATCCCACACAATCTATTCTGATTCTGTGTCATGAAACTCATATTTTCATAGACATGTTTAATATAAACAATTTATTGCTATAATAGAAATCAAAAAAACTTTATTTCAGCTTTTCTAAATGTAGCTCTATGGTCAATTACTTCACATCAATACCAAGATCAAATAGGCATAATACTAACAAGCAGTTTGCTTAATAATAGTCACCACACTAATTAACCCATCCAGAACATTCTTAATCAGACACTATTTATAATGTACAGTTAAGAGAAGCCTGGCAATAAACTGTTCTATGCTAGTAAAAAAAAAAAAAAAAGGAAATAATACCTTACTGATGGGGTGAAACTGGCTTTTCTATAGAACTGGACAGAATGTTTGTGCTGTCCTGGCATTAATTCAATGACGTGACTATGCAAATAGGCACATGTCTGAACACTTCCTTTCTCTTTCCCAGTTCCAACTCTGGTGGAGGTGCTAATGAGAAGAGAAAAGGTCCCGAGGTAAGAAGTGAAAGAGAGAAAAGAAAGGGTCAGAAGAAAAACAGTAATCCACATATGTCAGGTTTCCCATTTAATAATTTCCCCATTTTTCTTAAGTAAATTCTACTGCCCATCTTACAGAATGCTTCTTCCTGTTTCCAAATCTCTTAGAAACTCCATCAGAACCTATTTCTAACTTTAGAAATATTCGGATTGCCATAATCATTTCCAATCTGTTATTAGCCATGGGATCTCCACCCCCAACTCCTTTCCAACCAATAGCCAATATGTGAAACAGAAACAGAGCCCCTCTCCTGCTGCCCATCCCCTCAGACTCCTTTCCTTCCCACCTCTGTCCGCCAGTATGGTTCCAGAAGCATTGCCACAAAACCCCAGTACTATGTTGGGCAATGTTTAAAGACACAGCTGGAACAAGCACTTTCTAGATCTAAATGTATACCCCTCACCACAGTCCCCATGTCCAAACACAAACCTAAGATCGACCTGTAGGAATAACCAAAGGCCTTTGCCTTTTTCATATCAGCCGGGAAAAGACTAGATTTGAGAGCAGTTTTAAATGCCACTAAGATTGATGGTAAGCAAAAGAAGTGCTCTGGGCACCTTAGCTTATTTCTGCTATAGTCGAGAGGCTAGAGTACTTGCAGTTGACTCACAGAGGTAGTCAGAAGGCAGGCAATAAGGTTAACACAAAACAAGTCAACTTTGGACATTCATGTTGATTCATGTGCCGTTGAATAGAATATCATGGCTGAAACACATGCCATGGTGGAATACACTCCTCACAACTGTCTTTTTGAGAGATTTTAATAAAAAGTACTTACTATGGTAAGTTCAACCTACAGAATCTCATAAATAAATGCCCAAGGGTAAAAGTCCATATGACAGAGATTATTAGTCATCCTGTTTCTCAAAACACATTTGGAAGATAGCAGGTGAAAATTAATTAATTAGTGTATGATTAAAGAGAAAGAGAGAGCGTGTATAACTGATACAAGATTATTCCATATTTGAGCCAGTGAAGAGATATGAGGGTGTTAGTAAGTGGAATAAGGAAACTGGCCTACATATGGGGCAGACAAGGAGAGAGGGAGTTGATGAAGTTCAGCGTGTCTCACATTCTAGCTCGGGTTTGGGGGAGGGAGGAGTAGTAGAGCCACAGCGTTGTATCCCTCAGGCTGGTGTTTCACAGGTGTGTTTTGTGCAACACTGATTCCATGGGACACATGTAGATGTTGCACCAGAGATGGTTTTGTGGGAAAACAAGTTTGGAAAATGCTAAGTTAAATAAAGTTAAACATTTCTTTACTATTAACTTCCCAAAGTACATGTTACTATATATTATAAATATGTTCATTCATTAACTCATTCATTCAGTAAGTACCTATTGAGTACCTAATATGTGATGGGGATGTGATAATTGTTTCCCAAGCTTACTGGAGTAAGAAACCTGTCCACCTCCTCCTCACCTACCCCTGCAGGACACAGCTTAAGAATTAATGGTCAACAAAGGATACTCTGGGAAATACTACTTGAGGCCCTAGGAGGTGCACAGCCAGAGTCTGAGAAGCATGGGGCAGCCAGATGGGCGGTGGCATATTTTATATAATAGAGATTGCAAAAAGAATGAGAAATACATTTATGTGGGAAAATGATGAAATCCAAACTTGAAGCCATACACCAATGTGACATATCAGTAGACAAAAGGACGTCTAAAAGAAAGCAGGAGAATCAGTGAAAAAGTGACAGAAGATATGGTTCAAGGCTAATATGGATGACAGCAGAAAAAATATCAACAGTTTTTATCAAAATGATTTCTGTAGATCCCTGGATAGAAACCAAATTGAGGAGAAGGAAAATAGAAATTAAAATAAATAAGTTTTCCAAAACTAATTGGGAAGGCACATTGAGGCAGTTCAGCGATCTAAGGCCTTGGGTGATTTACAACAAAAACTATTCCTTGTTGCCAAACAATGTGGTGGAAATTAATTATAAAATTAACATTTTTAGAATCTAGCCACATAAGCAAATATCAAAGATAATTAAAAAATCATGCTACCCTACATGTGTCCAATATATCACTTATATGATGAGCAGATTTATATAACCTGTAAAGTATAAAAGTAAAAATTTTGATATGGCATTCTCATGCGTACACAGACACCCCCATTCCTCCGTCACACTATCTTCACTAAATAATGGAATCAAAAGCAAGGAAACCCATCCCAATTTAAAATGAGATGTTTGGAGACCACAACATTAAACAGAAAGACACACTTATCCTTGGCTGGTCGGCTGCAGTATGGCTGCATGCTCTTCTTTACCGGTAATGGCTAACAGCTAATATTCATAAAATAGGTGGCACATGTCTATGAAGGATGTTTCAGTAAGGAACTCTGGCAGAACATTATTTAAATAAACTTGAATCACAGATGAGCCAATCATGATGCACACTGCACAAATGCTCTGGGGGAATACCCGCTAGCCCAACCGTGGCTGTGAGGCTATGTTGTTAAGTATTCAATGCTTGATGCCTGAAATTTTGCTTCTCATGGTACAAACTTTTAAAGCCAACATGAAATACAGCATTCTGTGAGAGGATACTGAGCAAGACTGTCTTGCTTGAACTATGAGGAATCTGCGATAAGATAGGAAAAACAGGATCCACAGAGACTAGCTATAAGTCAAAATTAACAAGCAAACCCTACTTATTGGCCTGAGTAATACATGCTGAAATGGAAAGAAAATTTCTAGTTATCAGACTGACCTCATTAGCCATGTCTGGTCCCAGGGATATGACACTCAGCAAAGACAGCATCTTCCATTGAAAAGAGAATCTTCCATTGTTAAAAAGAGAAGCTTTAGCTTTCTCTTCTCTGCTTTAAAAGGTGCATCATTTCCTGATGTCTGTCCTTTCAATAGCTGGGATATATATGGGCTGTTATAAGGAAAAGATGGTTCTATTTCCAGCAGCCTATTCTTTTATATTTTTATTTCCCACTACCATTTCTATGAGTCATTTCTGAAAATCTAACACTTTCCAGATAACCTTATTTATACCATTTGCTTATATGGCCTCTTCTGGCAACACCACTTATGTGATTAGCATTATTTAACTTAAATAATTATGCCTAAATTCCCCATTCTCTTTTAATTTCAAAGTGTTTAGATTGTATACATTGCTAATTTAACTGCCTACTAGTATGAGCAGTTTGTCTTATTCAATTTTATAAAATCCCTTTAGGATATATTCCTCCCACGCAGAAAATTTAAGGTCCTTATGAATGTATGAGAATAAGAAAAGCTACCTTACATGTTGCCAGAACAAATGTTTATCAAACCCAGAGCCATCCTTGCTAACATATGTACACTCACTTCTCACGATCCCCACTCCCCCCTAAAAAGAGCTCTCTAAGAACAACAACAAAACTCTCTCGTTTACACAAGGTTTACTCTAGTAATTCAACACAGTTTGGCAGAGCCCTAGGCTAAACTGAAAACAGGAAATCTTTATTTTCCTACCTCCACTTTAAAGCATTCTCTGCCCACTGGTGGTCAATTTCCTAAGGTCTTTATACTACTTTCTCAGTGCCCAGGTAACTCCCCATACCCACCCTCCCCTCACCCACCACTGCCACTATGGGTCTCCTTGCAGCCTACCTTGAAACTATGTCCCATTTTGGATCCAGCTCTGAATCATGCTGGGCTCTCTGTTATTGGTCTTGTTGGAAACTAATCTTAAATTGTTACAATGCACTCATCATATTTTGTGCTCAATGCATTATACCTTTCAACAGAGGCAATACCTTAATTCAATGGAAGTAATCACAAATGGGGTATGTTCAGGTACCACAGTAAGCCTGTGAAGAAGATTATTTTGGGGGACAGGTAAAGAAATCTCTGTGAAGCACCTCAAGTTACTCCACTCAAGCAACAGGTTATGTTGAAGTGGTGAGAATCCAGGCTGTGTTGGTACAGAGACTGTACTGGCACTTCCTCAATTTTGGAGTTTATTCAAATCAGTTAATTTCTCTGAACCTCAGTTTTCTAATCTGTAAAATAGGATAGTAATATCTGTGCTTGTAAATTTCTTGAGAGCATTAAAAAGGAGAACATGTGTCGGGCGTGACGTGTAGTAGGAGCTGACTAAATCTAAGTAAACTTGCCATTCCTTGCTCCCCTACATGATGTCCATATTTAAGCCACGTTGAGTAACACTACATTCCCTAGTCAGTCAGTGAACGATTCACTGTGTTGACTCAGTTAGCAAATATTCATTCAAAAAATATTTAAGATCCTTCTATGTGCAAGAGGTTGTATCTGCACAATGAAGCTTTCAGTACGTATAGTGACATTTCATACATACTGATTTTGGTCTGTTAACCCCCCAAATTGTAAATTACCCATATAATCTTTAAACTAAACTGTGTTTACTAAAGTATGTTATCTCTATCACTCAAATGACCTAACTTTTTTCAAACTTAATAATTTGTTCATCATTTTTTCAATTTGAAACTCAGAAGCCAAGTTTCAAAAGCTTCTATTTATTCACCTCACTTAATATGATGATAGTATAGGACAATAAAATATTTTCCCAATATGGATCAGAAGTTATCTCTTCCAAGCAAGAGGAAATAGCTGTTTCCCACGTACATTTGCTCTTTCTGTGTAAGAATTTACCTTGTTCACAAGTGTTCTCATTACCTTTGGAATTAAATGTCTCCTATAGTATCAATAAAGCATTGATGGAAACCCTAAAAATGGTCTCTAATCATGTGTTCTATTCCAAGATATTTTAGGGGAAGCCATCATTTGCAGGTTGAAAATAGGATGGGAAAACGTACTGCTGTTGAAGAAAGGATTACTTTCTTCTTTCCAAACAAATATAAGAATTCCCCTAGGACAGTGTTTCCAATTACAGAGTCTCCTTTGGAATATGACATGATTTTACTGAATACTATGGCGGAAAAAGGGCAATGGGACAACACTATGATGGGTCAAATTTCCTGAACAGAGTATCAGAAAAGTAACAGAGAAGGAGATACTATATTTATGTTGATAGTGACAAAAATATACTATTTTGAAAGATGAACAAGCTATCAAAACTGACGAGAAAATTTGGGGAATAAAAAGGAGAAAATGTATGTGAACTTTATTCTAAAGCCAAATGTTACTTTTTTTTTTTTGAGACAGAGTCTCACTCTGTCGCCAGGCTGGAGCACAGTGGCACGATCCCAGCTCACTGCAACTTCTGCCTCCCGGGTTCAAGCAATTCTCCTGCCTCAGCCTCCTGAGTAGCTGGGATTACAGGCATGCACCACCACGTCCAGCTAATTTTTGTATTTTTAGTAGAGACGGGGTTTCACCATGTTGGCCAGGATGGTCTCGATCTCTTGACCTTGTGATCCACCCACCTCGGCCTCCCAAAGTGCTGGGATTACAGGTGTGAGCCACTGTGCCTGGCCCAAATGTTACTTTTTAAAAAATTAAAATGAATAAAAAAATTTAAAGATTTGTGTTTCAGGAAAGGAGTTTTTCTTTAAAATTTGGTTGTGAATAAAGTCATTTAATTTTTCTAAACCTGAGTTTTCTCATCTGTACAGTAAGAATGAGGCTAGTCCTGGACTTCTCACAGAGGTAAGGATTAAGCATCTAATCAAGTCTAATGATTATCTTATTGTTATGAGGCAAAATGGCATAAAGGGGTCTAGGCATATTGACTGGTTGTAAATTAAGGGCTCTGTCACTTTTTAGCTGACCTGAGAAAAGTCTTTTCTATAAGAATCAATTATGTCATCTGTAAAATGGGGATAATAGTAACAATGCCTTGCAGAATTATGTTTCCATGTTGCTTGGCACATATTAAGAACTCAGTTATTACTGGCCATTATTTTTTATATTGATAATAGTGGTGAAGGTCATCATGGCATTTAATCGTTACTAGAGAAACATTCAACATTCTAAAAACTCTAGTCCAAGACTCCATTGGCCCTTTCATAATTGAGCCTATTTTATAAACTAGAGACCCATGCTTTCTTCAAGACATATTTTTCTTATTAGTTCTTATACTTTAGCCATCCACTTAAGGCAGGTACTTTTAATGTTATCTTCTTTTCTTTTGTATACTAATCAAAGAATTGTATTCACGCCTAGAGATACATTAACTGTAAAAAGGTCCAATGTTATTAATTAAATTAATATATTCCTCCATTTCTATTATGTCTTTCCTATGATACTGTTTTCCACCTTTTACTTTTCCTTGTCTTTACTTATATTCCTTCATTTTTCTGAGAGATTCTGTCATTTTCCTTCTTAAAACTGCATAAACCAGGAAAATAAAACCAGGAAATTTAAAACTTCAGTTTCCAGATCTCTGAAGCATGAACAGATGGACATAAAAAATCTAGTCTTTTTTTCTTTTTCATTTGCCTATCCACAACCTGAATATATCAAAATTACCAGCAAAGCCAACTTTCAACATAACCACTTTTTTTTTTCTTTTGGCTCCCATATTAAATGTTCGGACAGTAAGTATTGATTCAATTCAAATTGATTATATTGCTATCTAATTTTTAAGCCACAGAAACTGACCTCATCCAGAATTAATATTGGAAGACATAATTTTGTTAATTTTACATTTGAAATAAAACCTGTAAGTATACAAAATGAGGTATAAACACTTCTACTTACTTCAGCTTTTCTACACATTTTAGTATTTCTTAGTTCAGAAAAAGGGAGTAAAAATAAAACAGATGGATAAATTTGAAATATCTGACTTGCTGGGCCATTACTCATTACTACAATATAAGCAAGGCTTGAAGGCAAAGACAGCAAATACTCAGTGAAAACACTGAGTGAAAAAGGTTCAGAGAAAGAAACAGTCATTCCTCATTCAACAAAAATTAGAGTGCCTATTATGTGCCAGGTAAATTAGCTAAGATGTCCTCATGGAACATATAATGTGGTAGGTGCTTCAATCAGGAAAGAATTAGGTGATACAAGATGAGAACCCAGCCCTAGAAAGGGAGTTAGTGCCAGGGAAGGCTCTCTAGAGAAGCTGATCTTCAGCTGTGACCTCCATGATAACTACAAGTTAGCCAGGTATGGGAGCAAGAGCTGGGATGTGCTAAGAGTAACAGCATGTGCATAAAGCCCAGGGCAAGAGAGAATATGGTCCAGAGATAAAAATCAAAACATGGCCAGAGCATTGACTGGGCAGAGATAGATGGGAAGGTGTGGGGAGGGGAGGGACAAAAGATGAGGCCTGAAAAATAAGCAGGGAGAGGCCTTTCTGCCCTTAATGACACAAGTGAGGGGTCAGATTGGGTCTGAATAAACATTCCAGATACGGCTTGAATGGACTGGGGCAAACATGCTAGAGCAAACACCAATGTTCAATCCTCCCTTGCCTTTTCAATTCCTACTAAAATAATGGTAGGGAATTTATTTAAAAGGCATAGGCATACAAGGATAAAATGAAAAACTGGGAAGGACTGCAATGGAAAAGAATGTGAACCAAATTTCAGAAGATGGAAAGCAGATGGATGAGCGGTGGTTGAGCAGAGAGGGGGAGGCAGAATGTGTCCATAAGCATGCAGGTGTGTGTGTGTGTGTGTGTGTGTGTGTGTGTGTGTGTGTGTGTGTGTATGTAGTTTTAGACAAGAAGAAGGTTGCGTGTTCCACAGAAACTCGGAAAGGCTCAGGAATTTATCAGTCCAGGTTCCTCTATATAGAGGTACACTTGTGGAGCGAAACTGAAAACAGAAGAATTGATAGTGATTTTACATAGAGAGAAATCAACCCCCTTGATAACTTCTCTAAGCCTATGCAGCTCCCACTTCAACACCAGAAAGGATGCTTCCTAACTTGAGGGGTTAAACCAGAGACCAGGGGAGGCCAAAGGCAAGGGTGAGTGAAGTGAAAGTACACCCATTCATTGGTGATGTTTCTCCAGAACCTTTCACCTATTTGGCTCCCAGAGAGCTGGAGATTCACCTTCTAGGAAATTATAAGAGCCTTTCTCTGGAAACTAACTAAACTGACTTAGTGAAACTGAAATGTGGGGATGCCACAACAAAATAATTGAATTTGTTTGTTCATTCCATGAGAAAGGTCACCAGTCAACAAGCGCTGTCTCTGAACAGAGAACTTCTAATCATCCGTCGCAGTTCTTGCTCTCTGATATGAATGGACAGCCAGGAACCAGCAGACATTTGAGGAAAACTCGTAACATGAAATAAACAAGACAAAGCATAAGAAAGGAACTTGTGATATGCAAGTGCTGGAAAGGGAAGAGCATGGTCCCTTTAAATGATAGGGAATGGGGGAAGGGAAGTGCTGGGTAGGGGAGGGTGGGGTCCCTGGCTAGGGCTCCACCCCCATGGACCTAGGTGAAGACAGGCATTTCCTGCCTAAATGCTGCATTTCCCAAGACACCCTGGCCTGCCACGCCCCTATCCTGGGCCTATAAAAACCCTGAGACCCCAGCAGGCAGACACACAGGCGGCTGAATATTGAAAGAAGCACATCAGGGGAGGAACACACGGGTGGCTGGACATCCAGAGGAATGTACTGACAGGCACTGGGTATGATCCGATTCTTCCGGTACACCAAGGAAAGAACCCAGGATACAGAAAACCCTCTGTCCTTGTGACAAGGTAGAGGTTTAATTGAGCTGGTTAAAACAAGGCACCTATAGACAGCAAAACTAAAAGAGCACCCTGTAACACATGCCCATTGGGGCTTCAGCTGTAAACATTCATGCCTAGATACTGCCATGGGGTCAGACCCCCACAGTCTCCCTGTCTGTATGCTCCCCTAGAGGTTTGAGCAGTGGGGCGCTGAAGCAGCAAGTCACACCCCCATCACACACCCTGGGAGGGGAACAAGGGAACTTTTCCTGTTTCACTTGGAAGAAACTGAGACAATGTAGAGAACAGGAAAAAACTTAAAAAAAAACCTATAAGAAATATTCACATTGATAATTGCATCCATGGCAGAAAAGACAAATGCAGTAAGAAAGGACATCCAAGAACAATAAAGAGTGCTTGCAATTAAAAATATAACTAAAAAAAAAATAAATAAATAATCGATGGAAGGGCTGAATGATAAAGTGGAGAAAATCTTGTAGAAAGCAGAACAAAAACAAAAACAAAAATAAGGAGGATGGGAAAAGAGATAAAATAAGGTCAATTTAGGAGTTGAAGAAAGTGAACACCGAGAAAATAGTGTGGGAAGAAAATCAAAGAAAAAAATATAAGAAATTTATTTGTACTGATGTATTGAGTTCCTAGAATAATAAAGGAACCAAAATTCAATCCAAGTAGAATCATTATAGAATTTCAGAATACCAGAGGTAAACCAGAAAGTCCTAATACCTTTCAGGTGAGAGAGCAAGGGAAGTCACATGCAAGGAGTCAGAAAAGTCTAAAAAGCAGAAAACAATGGAACATGACCTCAAGCTTTTGAAATAAATGATTTTTAAATAAGAGTTCAATACTTGGTCCAATATCAATCAAATGTGAGGTAGGCTAGAGGCATTTTCAGGCAATCAAGTCTCTTACGTACCCTTTTTCTTGAGAAGATACTGGTGGATGTGCTCCCTATAAGAAAAAAGTAAACCAAGGAAGAGAAAGACACAGAATCCAGGACATAGTTGACCCAAGGGCCCAAAGAGCAAATAGAACAAACGGGAGCAAGAGAATTGAGGCCTCCAGGAAGGTAGCATCCAAGAAAAAAATGGAAATGATAGGTTTCCTAATGTGGCCAACACTGAGCAGATGAATTAGTGACAGTGACAGAGCTTGAGAATGGATTTGTTGATAGTGACACAGAAACTAAGCAAATAAACCCAATGTAATAATTAGCTCCAGGAAAAAATGAAGAGTTATTTGGGAAAGGAAATCTAATCATAGAACACAATGAGGCTCAGCAGGGAACACTTTTTACATAGTAATAATGCTGTAAACACAGAATATTTATTTAACCAAAAGTTGAGATATACTCATATTGGAAAAATAGGGTGAGGGAAAATGTGCGTGTGCGTCCATGCTTATAAAAGAGAGCTAACACAATCATTTCCAAAGGCAGGAAAGTCAACAGATCTCTCACATTTAAAAAAAAATCAAGAAATAGCAAGATAAGAAATTACTACAATTTTGTCAGAGTGTAGCCTCTGAGGAAGGTATGGGGCAGGGGGGTAGGGAGGACTGAGGAAGAAGATTTTGCTTTTTATTATAAACCTTTTGTTGTACTCTCTCATGTTTTAAAACTAAATACATGAATTATCTTGGGGATTCATTATTTTTGTAATCTCTGGAAATATTGTGCAAAAATCTCTCTGAATATTGCCTCTTAAAATTTTTTCTAATTTTTCCATCTGGAACTCCTATTAGACATATGTTGGATTCTCATCTTTTAAGATCTTAATATCTCTTTCCTATTTTCTTTTTTTTTAATTTGTATATATATATGATGGGGTCTTACTCTGTTGCCCGGGCTGGAGTGCAGTGGTATGATCACAGCTCAATGAAGCCTCCAATTTCTAGGCACAAGCAATTCTCTCACCTCAGTCTCCCAAGTAGCTGGGACTGCAGATTCATGCCACTATGCCCAACATCTTTCCTATTTTCAATTTCTTTCTCCATTTTGCTACATTCTTTTAAGTTTTTACTATCTAGCTTCTAGGTTGCCAATTCTCATTCTATCTCTCTCTCTCTCTCTCTTTTTTTTTTTTTTTTTTTTTTGAGATGTAGTCTTGCTCTGTCGCCACGCTGGAGTGCAGTGGCACGATCTCGGCTCATTGCAACTTCCGCCTCCCAGGTATAAGCAATTCTCCTGCCTCAGCCTCCCAAGTAGCTGGGACTACAGACGCACGCCACTGCGTCCAGCTAATTTTTTTATTTTTAGTAGAAACGGGATTTCACCATGTTGGCCACGATGGTCTTGATCTCCTGACCTTGTGATCTGCCCTCCTCGGCCTCCCAAAGTGTTGGGATTACAGGCATGAGAATGTAATCCTCTCTTTATCAATTCTCTCTTTATCAATGTGTAATACTTAGCATGTCCACTGAGTTAATTTTGATAAATATATAAAAATCCTATTTAGTCCTTCAAAAAATATGCATTTTTTATGGTCTATTTTTTATTTCTCATGTTTTCAATTTATTTCTTATACCATTATTTTAAAACCTACTTTATCTTCTCTATCCAGAAGTCCTAGTATCTGAAGTTCGTGAGAATCTAATCCTATAGGAAGTTGTTAGAGCCAGTTTCTGACCTGCTAAAAGTCAGAAACTTTTGGACTAGAAAATGGATAGGACACATCAGAACAGAAGGTTTTGTGAATAGGTGAGGAAGGTGACAAGTTCACTTTTAGGCATTACTCAGCATGACTTGGAAGAGCTATTGATGCACCAAAGTGAGCCAATGGAAAGAGGTTTGAATCCAGGTTTTATTCTTCCTTAAAAAGGAAAAAAAAAGAAAAGAAAAGAAGTAGTTTTCTAAAGTCTAAGATATTTACTTAAGCTCTTAGGCAACCTGAGGTATTTACAGAGTGCCCATGCAAACTCAAATCTCTGCTCTTATGGGAAAAATAATTAGAAGAAAAATCAGACCTTTTAACATTCTATGGCCAAATTCCCCTCTTCTGAGCTTTAAAAAAATTTTGCACATTGGTTGTTTACAGATCACAACAATCCATGGTCTTCTTTCAGAATATAGTGAACATTATTGTGAGGTTCAACATTATTTGCAGAAGAGTTTTTTACTTTCCACCTTGAAATATTTTTTCTTTGAAAAGTAAGTTCATGAAAATGGGCAAATACTCTCAGTAGAGACTTAATATGAATTCAGAGTTTGTGTTAATATTATTGTGGGTCATAGCCACAAAGATGCACAAACATCTCTATAAATACTAAAACAGATATAAATGAAAACTGTATACCTTTAATCATATAATAAATATTCTAGAAAAGGTATTATTCAATGGAGTTCTCATAGAAAATAAAAAAAAATTTCTTGTAACTGAAAAAGGTAATTATTCCATTATTTAGATGTATTGAGAGTCTGCATGGGCTATCTTAAAGTATAGTGTATATCATCTGAACTGTCAATACATGCTGTACTTTATACACATTTAACACTTCAGTAATGTATGCCAGGGTATAACTGAGTCCTCATAGTGTCAAAAGCCAGATTATTCTAGAACTAGATATTAGTTTGGGAATACAGACAGCAAATGGCCAGATGGCCCTGCAGTAAACTGCTGAAGGCCATTTAAAACCAATCCATGTGTAGATGTATTCCAACAGAGAATTATGGGCAACAAATCAATGAGATACCAAAAATTGTGTTACAATATCTTTGTTAAGCCAGAAATAACATTCCAATTTTATAGGACTCGAATTAAAACAAATCTTATTCTTTACTTCCCTGTGGTAAATAAATGAGCAAAATCAACTCTGTTGTCTAGCAGGTTTATGGCCCACAGTACATGCTCGCTATACAGTTGCTGAATGAATGAATGCCTTGGTATGATGAAGTGGAAAAGGTTATGTATACACTATTCTATGCTTTTCTGGGTCCTGGATGCTTCTGTATACTGCTGTGTGGTTTGGGAGTTTGAGTATGTTTTATTTAGGTGGTTTGCATATGTGAAGTGGAAAGAGGTAAGGTTGGTTGAAGGGTAATTATTTCTTGATGGAAGAATATAAAAAGTATAAACAGATCAGCTATTGCTTAAGCAAACTCAGCTCTTCATTCCTGATCTACAATGCAAATGGTATACAAAATAAGGTTTCATTAAAGAGTGACTGTCACATCAACAGGGAAGAGAATGAAGACCTGCTATGCAGTATTATTAGATATATTGAATTTGTTGTCACTAAGATCAACAAAATACTGCTTTGAAGGACTACACACTGTGACACAGAAATAGCTTTGCTACATAGAACACTCCTTTGATATAATTTTTTTTCATTTTATTGTAATGGGGTTATACTTCTAGAAGAAATGAATATCAATTTATTGATGACTTGGACTACTATTTAAAAAGTAATATGCCAATTAGAAAGCATCTGTGATAACTAACAATCTATTTTGAAAGAAAAAAATTAGAATCCTTCTATCACATGATATCCCCATCACACGAAATAACTCCATTATCGTAGGATGTGGAATGGGACTTTTCCTATCATCCTGGCATTTCAGCTGAGGCTCTAATGCTGAGGATTAATACCTGCAAACGCTAAACAGAGGTGCTAGGCACACCTCTGCAGGACTTGCTAAAGACAGAAATATTATCTGTAAAATACTCTTACCCCATCACTCTCTAACAGCCTATATAAGAAAAGGGTAGAGACTGGGATATCTGCCAGGAGAGGGGCTGGCATCTCTTTCCCCAAGCTGGATGGCTGCCAAACAGCCAAAACTCAACACCTGCCTCCTTCTACTCCTAGTACAGAGCACAGAATTCTTGGGAGAACCTACTGCATGCCCCCTAAAATATGGGGCATAGATCATGGTGATGGCCCTGATTTGAGATTCTGAAGGTAGGATACTGACCAAAGTTGTCAACATGGCAGGTCAAGGAGAAAGGCAAGCAATGGAAGTAGTGTCTATTTTTACCGTTTGTAAGGAAGAAGATGCCTGATGTGTTTTCCTGTGGGCCTAGTGGTGCGGGGAGGGAGCTAGGCTTACACAGTATTGAAAGGACTATGCTTAAGAAGACTGGGCCTGTAGGGCAAGGTACATGCAAGTAGGGTATGACCTGAGAATAGGAGGTGATTAGAAGTCACCCAGATACGGTCTTATCCATGACAGGTGTACTACCTCTGTGTATGAGGTCTCCACAGGTATGTCTCAAAAGAACATAACTAAGTGCCACACAAAAGACCCAACCACAGGCATCTGACACCTAAGAGAGGCCCTCAAACAGTACCAGCTATGTAACTAGCGTACTCCCCTTTTCTCTCATCCCTCCTCCCAGTCCAGTCCCTACTTCAGGAGCCTGAAGGAGAGGGGAGAAGGCATGAACAGATGTATAAGTAACCGGTCTATTGAACAGGTTGGACTTTATAGGGTATAATGAGGGAGTCGTTTTAGTTTCCCTTCCACCATTGCCTTCAATCACATTCTCAGATCTTCTTCTTGTGGGTGACAACTTGGGAAGATACTATGGCTTTCTGGCTTGTGGCTAATTTCTTCTGGTACTGTTAGCATATTTTTCTCCTTCCTACATTATAATCTAGGGTTAGAAGAGGCCTTTTCAAACATGGTGCTAAAGGTAGAAACCACAAAAGAAAAGAACGGACTTGGTTGGGAGCGGTGGCTCACACCTGCAATCCCAGCACTTTGGGAGGCCGAGGCAGGTGAATCACCTGAGGTCAGGAGTTTGAGACCAGCCTGGCCAACATGGTGAAACCCCGTCTCTACTAAAAATACAAAAAATTAGCCAGGCATGGTGGCACATACCTGTAATCCCAGCTACTTGGCAGGCTGAAGCAGAAGAATCGCTTGAACCCAGGAGGTGGAGGTTGCAGTGAGCCGAGACTGCACCACTGCACTCCAGCCTGGGTGACAGAAATTCCATCTCAAAAATAAATAAATAAATAAAAAAGAATGGACTCATCTGTCATCTGTGTAAATAAAGTATCACAAATTTCATAAATACAACTGAAAGACAACCCACAAGACTGTAAGAAATATTTGTAACATATACAACAGAGTTAATCAGTTAATGCTTGGAAATCAGTGGGGGCTCACTGTCAGGTTCAATTAGTTCCCTCTACTAGATGACCTAGTAGCTGTGTGACTTCAGATGATTCACTTAACATCTCTGGGCTTCAGTTTCCTCTTCTACAAAGGGGGATTAATACCATTACTGACATTACTGGGTTGTGGGGAGGATTAAATAAGCTAATTTATGTAAAGCACTTAGCACAGCATCCAGGCAAGAATATGTACTCAAATAAACTTCAGCCTTTTATCCTCATTACCATCATCAAATTTCCAAGCGGCAAGTGATGGGTAGTAAAAATTGATTTGTAAGCATTCTTCCCCTATTTTGTCTGTATCAGCATAGTATTCCAGAATAAGCATGTGTTACTTTGGTAGGGAAAATACACAAACTATTTCAATTAAAAAATAAGAATAAAGTCATTTGTGATCCTCTGCCAACTTTACAAAGTAGAGAAAAGCAGCTGCAGTTTCTTACTTGGGCTAGAGATGATCCTCCTGTTCAGTTTGTTATACATAATGTCCCTGAGCTATTGGATAGGCAAGATGGTTCTCCTCCAATGGAGGCAAGAGCCATCTGGTCATTCATTGACAGAAATAAATATCTGATTACCAATTACGTTTCCACTGATCAGTATATATACACACAAGACAAGCAAAAGATATAAGGGCCTTAGAAAACAGTCACAGGAATAGAATCAAACATTTTGTATCACAGCATTATATTACGTTGTCACATCGGGTTTTACTTGTATATCATATCACCTCATTTACCCTAATGAAAAATTACTCCTCGGACTCAGGTTCCTTTACTGGCCTCACCATTCATTCTGGGCACAATTTTATAAAAATAAGGCAAATGGAAAGATACTGATGTCACTTGTCAGATGAAGCAAAACCACATGAGAGGCCCTGGCTCTGGTGCTCATTTAGGTTAGGTTGAAGTAAGAGGGAAGAAGTTCTGGGATGTATGTGTCACAGTATTTGAAATGGCTGCCTTCCGCAAACAAGCTCAATTTACAAGAGAAGCACACATAAGGTAGAGGAGGGTTTCAAGTTTTAAACTATGTTACTAAGTACACATTTGCTTCTAAACTTTAAAGCAGTGCTGAATTGCATTTGGATAGAGTTATAGCATTGCTTTAAACACACACGCACACCCAGAGACACACACCATGGAGGTAATCCAGTTACTCCTGCAGCACAGATGTGCACAAGAATGCTCTAAGTGATTAAGATAGGGCTTTAAAGTTAGTTAATTAGAAACATTTCTTTTTCTATGATCAACACTGATATCAGCTCGAGTTCTGGTTGGTGGAATTTAAATTTCAATCTAGATTTAAATGTTAAGATGCACTTTGGACTTGCTCTCGTGCTGTAGAATTGGCTTAGTGTGGGGGCCGTTAGTATCTAAACTCCTTCGACCACTTCTAACAGTTTTAAAAACAGAATTCTGTTTACCTCATATTATTAAACAGAGCTTCTTATAAATAGCACTTATCCTTCCTTGGAAGGAAGGATAACAAAAGTCATAAATGTAATATTATAAAACCTATTTTCATAGAAAAGAAATCATTTGTCATTAACAGAGCAACCACACCACTCTGCTCTGATTACTGGCATGATCCTTTCTAAAAAGAACATAGACTGTTGAGAGGGTAAAGTATAACAACGTATAGGAAAGTGTTCAGCATAGTGGTTGGCACAAATACTTGCTTAACAAAGTTTAGTGTTGCAAAATGAAGGTTATTGCCAGAGAAAGTGAACCTAGAGAGTTATAATAAACATGCACTTATTTTTACAAGTCCAAATTTTATTTTCACAAGACTTAAATATCAAACTCTCAACCTATAGATGTTATATTGGAAAAATATTTCTGCTATTGGAGATTTTTAAAGTTACAGTCACATTAAAGTCCCAAAGAACAAATGAGGCTGCTTCCTACTGGCCTTACATTCCTTAACCCAAGCCACATGCAAGAGAACACAAGGTCATTCCTGGCCTCCTGGAGCCATGTTGATGAGACCACGCTTCCACCGATGAGCAGAACAATCCAATTTTCCTGGATTACTAAAGAATAGATCAATTAGGTCATCTTCTAAAAAATATATATTGTTCTTCTACTGGAAAACAATGTGGATATACTCTTTGAAAGAGATATACGTGATCATTCCTGTCTGCTAGGATAAATGAATCTGTTGGTGTTAATGGCAAAGAAACTTGTTTGCAAAAGAATGGCCCTTTCATTTTGTTTTACTTGTATTTTGCTTGCAACACTAGAGTGGTTGGTAACTATGCCAGTTAAATTTCCCTCTCACTAAAGTGGTCACATATGTCTGAGAAACAGGACTGGGAGGGGATTTGTAGGGTGTCTGTGTAAAAATTCATCAGTAGGAGAGTGAGAGTAGCAAAATACCTTTAGAATCAAATTGCCTTGGACTAAAATTTCAGGGTCACCATCTAATAGGTAAGTAACCCTGGGCCAATATGATAACCTAGCTGAGCCTTTTATTTTTCACTTATCAAATGAGAACAACTTCCTAAGGATGTTTTAAGGATTAGTTGAAACGTTGTATGGCTAATGAATGCATCTCTTATTAGAGGGAGACTATGTCTCAATAAATTCATTTCACACTGAGACTAACTTCCCCAGAAAGACAGTACACCTGCTTAGCCTAGACAAAGTGGTTGCTGATGTTTTGGGTTATCATTATTAGAGGGAGACTCCTGGAAAAGTCCCAGAATTGTTTGATGAATTTATATATTTTCTTATATTTATTTTTATGTCTGCTCTAAATAGCCCCATTGAATTTCTCACCTTGCACTGTTGGCTACTGTTCATGGTAGGGTTCTAAAAACTTTCCAGACACCTGAGTTGTGAGGATGGCAAACAACAATGATGACAACCACTACCCGCCTTCCCTTGTAATTTGTTCTCTTCTTCCATTATTTCTGATTGGTTTAGTTGCACTAAGAACTCAAAGAAAATAATGAATAAATAGGAAAGACTTGTTTGAGGAATATTATTCAAATTGGTTAAGTGCAGATGCTTGAGAACCAGCTTTAAAAAAACATGCTAGCAAAGCTCAGGGAGGGGAGACAAGAAAAAGAAAAAATCTATAACTAGACACCAGTATCAAAATTTTCATTCTTAAGATTGCTTTCCTTTTTTTTCACTTTCTCTTAGTCAAAACACTATCAAGTCATAACTTATACTAAGAGTACTGAAAAGCTTTCAAATAGGTAGGCAGATATTATCTTCCTAATGTGTTATTACAATTATATTATGTTAAAGGTTCAATTCTATAACCTGTATATAATTATACAGCATAGCGTGAGTGTGAGTGTGTGTGTACCCATCTGCATTTATTTGCATTTTTCTAGAAAGGAGCTCATAGATTTCACCTAATTTCTAAAGAGATTCATGACATCTCTATGAGGTTGAGAAGAATTCATTCATTCCATGAATATATTTTGTACAAATACTTTGTTAGGTACTATGGTAAGCAAAGGAACACACGGAAGACAGTGTTTGGCCTTTGCAGTTTAGAGTGTAGCAAATGATTTGAATAAGGGGGTTGGGGTGAGGTGAAAGTATTAATCTTACCACCTTACTAATTACTCTTCTCTCCTAATTCCACCCTACCCCATCTAAATCTTCTTTCCCAAGTCTCACAATCTCCTTGGGACAAATTCTCCATATTAAGCAGTATTAATATAGTGCTTAATAATCAGCTTCATTGATGTTGTTCAAGCAACCTGCAGTGGCCTCTCTACTTTATCCTGAAAGGTTCAGTTCAATGTCTACCTTCCCTAAGACACTTTTTCTGAAACTCCTGAATATTGTTGACTACTTATCAACCATGACTGCTGGTTTCATGTCCCTTTGTTTTTTCTTCCTAACTAAAAGTAAGCTCTAGGAAGCAGGAATCATGTCTTACATATAATATTTTTGTTTGTGTTCCTGCCTAGCTTGGGCCTACTCTAAATGATTGTTTCCTGCTAAAGAAGATGAATAGACTTAAGGCTGGTTCTCTAACCTAGATTCAAACGAAGGAAGAAGGAAGTCTTCTTAGAAGGAAATTTAAAAAAAAAGATGTGGAGAGTGTAGAGGAAAATAAATGACAAGAGAAGAGTCAGTAAAATAATATGTGTCAAGAGAGACAGGGAGAAAGATATGCAATTGGAAGTATACAAGAGGTGCTGGGCTCTCTATCGAGGGTGATTACAGGGGCACTACAAAGCTCTGGGAGTATTCTCAGACCTGCGGAGGGAGGCACAATGCTGTTAATAATTGCAGTCAGAAAAGAAACCTCATGGAACTTGTTCATTTCTGTGAACGAAGCTGTAGCCAAGCTAAGAGGCATGTTGTCTTCCTACAGCATGAATCTTGGTGTGAGATGGAGCTTGCCAAGACTCATAAAATGTACCCACTTCTGTTCGTTCGAGTGGGAACAAACGTTCCTGCCAGACAAAGCTCATAATGCTAATGGATCTTACTATAGTTGCACATCAGAAGTTTTAAAATACTGGGGAATTTGAAGATACTATTGATGTCTAAAACCTATTTCCAAAGACTGATTCACAATTGATCTGGGATGGGGCCTGACAACTGTTATTTTTTTTTTTTAATACCAGGTGGTTCTAAGTTGCCACCAGAATTGAAAACTGCTCTAATTGCCATCTAGGACGAAAATTCAAGGGCTTGGGTATAGTGACAGGATACCCTTTGGTACTAATCCTTTTCAAAAGTGAAGGCCATAACCTCAGAAGAGAAAATTGGATATAAAGAGCAAACAGGTGGCTACATAGATAGTGCTAAGAGTTGCTCTTGTAGACTCGAACAAGAAAAAGTACACAGAAAAAGTGTTTTTCATGAAGCCAGGAAAGAATGTCCCTAATTTGCCAACATCACCAAGAAGCTTTTAAACTGAATTTTGGAAGGAAGAGCGGGAGAAAAATACTCAGATACAATCATAAAACCTGAAGCCATGGAGGATAAAACAAAGCAGCAAGTGGTAAAAGTACCCAAAGAATTTTAGGAAAAAATTAAAGGGAAGCCAGCAGTGATGAAAACTTTAAGCCTAAGTCTGTACATCAAAGTTTGAATAAGCAGCCAATTTACTTTGGAATTTTTATGCAGTTTATGAAATTTTTATGCTCTTAGGGGGTATGATTACTTCTTCTTCTTCTTTTTTTCTTGAGACAGAATCTCACTCTGTCACCCAGGCTGGAGTCAGAGGTGCGATCTTGGCTCACTGCAACCTCTGCCTCCTGGGTTCAAGCGAGTCTCCTGCCTCAGCCTCCCGAGCAGCTGGGACTACAGGCATGCGCCACACGTTTAGGTGTGTGGCTAAAAACATTAGCGCCGGCTACTTTTTTTGTATTTTTAGTGGCGACGGGGTTTCATCACATTGGCCAGGCTGGTCTCAAATTCCTGACCTCATGATCTGCCCACCTCAGCCTCCCAAAGTGCTGGGATTACAGGCATGAGCCACCGCTCCGGGCCTGGGGGTATGATTATTTTTAAGATGTTGCAAGGCAATGAGAGATAGGAAGCACTGTAATGATTAAAAGTGCAAGCTTTGGAATGTGACAGTTCTGGGTTCAAATCCTAACCTTATCACTTACTAATGGTGTAGGTTTTGGTAAGCTACTTAACTTCCCCAAGCCTCAGTTTCCTCATAGGCAAAATGGGGAGAATTATATCTACATCATAGGAATTACCGTTAGCATTAATATAGTTAGTGCCAAATGAACTTGAAGATGTTAATAACCCAGCACCAAATGTGGAACATAGTCTTTACTTAATAAATATTTGCTTTTGAATAGTAGTGCTATTGTTAAGAATAAACCCTAGCCAAAATGAAAACTTTGTTCCAAAGGATAAAAGATTTGCTCAAAAGAAAGAGCCATGTACGTCATGAAAATCATAGTATCCGTCTTGCATATTATAAGCCCAAGGGTGGAGACATCTTGGGAAAAAGAGAGAAAGTGGTGGTGGTATTTGTTGGAAAATGCACTCTGGACTACCAGACCAGGTAGAGGATGTGGTTTGGTAACAGACATTGCAAAACTGGAGAAGAAGTACATAAAGTGGTGGTGGGGGACTTCAACCATGAGGACACCATCTGGAAGTGTTGCTTGGCAAAAACACAACATTGGATAAATTCTTGACTTACTTTCCTAAGAGTTTAAGCTCAAAGAAGGCAGATGATGCAAGTAGAGAAACTACTTTTCTGGACTTAAATCAGACAAACTGGGATAAAGGGTGAGTGCAGGATGTGGAAATGATCAGGAACTTGAAAGAAAAGTGGCCACTTAGCATTGTGAAACTCAAGGGGGAAAAAAATAGGGACTAGATAGAATTTGGTATATGTTTAGATTACAGAAAAATTTCAAAAACAAGAGACAGAAGGTAACTATTATCCCATGGAAAAGATGATGTGAAAAGTATAAAAAATATTTTGGCTTATAAAATAATGGCTACTTCCAGAGAAATACTAAAAGAAAAACAAACACTGTTTTACTATACACTTTCAACACTTCTGACACCAAATGTGTGTTTTTTCTCCACAATGACCAATTCTCTAACACCAACAAGGTATTCTACAATTCAGTTTAATTCTGAGACTATGTACTGCAGTTAAGGGTTAAGTACTACAAGAGTGTCCTACTTTAGATGCCAAGTCTGAGCCTTAAATACTTCTGACCAACAGCTATAAATTGGTATTCCCACAACCCCTCTTTGGGTTTGATAATTTGCTAGAACAGCTCACAGAACTCAGGAAAATAGTTTACTTACTAGATGACTGGTTTATTGTAAAAGGATACATCTCAGGAACAGTCCAATGGAAGAGATGCATAGGACAAACCACAGGGAAAGGGGCATGGAGCATCTATGCCCTCTCCAGGTGCACCCCCCTCCCAACACCTTCATGTGGTCATCAACCTGAAAGCTTTCCAAACCCTGTCCTTTTGGGTTTATAGGGAGGTTCCATTATGTAGGTATGACTGATTACATCATTGGCCATTGCTGACTGAACTCAATCTCTATCCAGTCCCTCTTTCTTATCATAAGGTCAGAGTGTGGGTGGGGCCAAAAGTTCCAACCCTCTAATCACATGGTTGGTCCCTCGGTCAACCAGCCCCTCCTCCTTAGGGGCTTTCCAAAAGTCACATGGGCATGAACCTAAACTCAGGTGTGGTTGAAAGAGACTTACTATGAACAACAAAAGACACTCCTTTCAACTTTATAGCTCCTATCACTCAGGAAACTCCATGCATTTTAGGAATTCTGTATCAGGAACCTGAAGCAAAGATCAAATACGTATTTCGTATTATATCATTGTATCACAAACACACAAGAAAGCAGTGGGGCTGCATGGGATGAGTGGATGCAGCAATGTGGGTGCAGAATAAAGCTGAGAAGAGTAAGTCTTCGAATATCCAGGATTCTTACACTGTCAAGGAGTCCCCTTGTTCTCTGCTGTTTGTTCTCTGTTCGAGGAGAACCAACTAGGGTGAATGGGTGTAAGTGAGGGAATCACATTTTGGAGGTAAAACGTATGAACAATCAGAGCCATTCCCCTGAATGACCAGTAAGATACCAGCTAATACAAAATTCTGGGATAATTTTTTTAGATCTCTAGGTTAGAACAGAGTCCTGGACATAGTAATGCAAGACTAGCTTCCAGGCTTCAGCTTAATAGCCACCACCAGGAAAGCTAGGTGTTTCATCCATGTGTACACACACCACCACACAATCCTCTCGCACTTGTTATTATTTGTCTGCCTGCTATCCCAGCCTTTATGCCATAGGGATGATTCTATCCTATTCGCTTTCGTACTGCAACACCTAGCACTAATCCTGGCACTAAAACACTTATTTGTTTGCTTTATATTGGAATTTAGACACGTTAGTGTCTTAGGCTTCATTTAAAAAATGAGATTGCAAGAGAATGAGAGATGGAGGGTTGCCAGTTACCACACTTGGATTTACAATCCATCTCTAGTTTATTTTCTCAGGATATTCCATTTGAAAATGAAAAAAAAAAATCTTAAGTTTTTAAACTGAATTTGCCAATGTTCCTCCTTCCACATTACTAGAAGTATTACAGTATATACGTTTCATTCTTGAGTGGAGTTCAATTAAAGTCAATGTCAGTTTGAAAATTTCTCCATCTCCTTCAAATTACCTGGTGCCTGATCTTCTGTTTTATTTTGTCATGTTTTATCTTGTTTTAAGGAGTGGAGGGTTGGGAATGACCACTTTAGTGACAGCCCAAAACACATTAAATTTTCTCAAGGTTTAGTCTCTCAGGCAGGTTCCCAACACTCATGGAAAAGAAAACTTAACCATCTTGATGTATTGCTTAGCCATATCCTCTAGTAATCTGAGAAAACAGATAGCATGGCAACTAATATAGTTTGGAAATTTGTCCCCGCCCAAATCTCATGTTGAATTGTAATCCCAAATGCTGGAGGTAGAGCCTGGTGGAAGATGTTTGGGTTATGGGGGCAAATCTGTCATGGCCTGGTGCTGTCTTTGTGATAATGAGTTCTTGTCCTACTTGGTCATTTAAAAGTGTGTGTCGTCTCCCCTGCCCTCTTCTTCCTGCTTCAGTCATGTAGGATGTGCCTGCTTCCCCTTCTACTTCTGCCATGATTGTAAGTTTCCTGAGGCCTCCCCAGCCATGCTTCCTGTACAGTCTATGGAACCATGAGCCAATGAAACCTCTTTTCTTTATAAACTACCCAGTCTCAGGTAGTTCTTTACAGCAATGCAAGAATGAACTAATAGAGCAACCTTCAACAGAAATGGTTTTTAAGCTCAAGTATAACAAAAATATTGTACTCTTCTTAAAAGCATGCATGAGATAGCACTCATTTCCTTATTCAACAGGCTATGTGCTTTGAGAAAGCATTATATTTTTAATCAGTGTTACAATTTAAATTTATAAAAAGACCATAGTTATTTTATAAAAGTAACTATCATCACAGAATCTGTATGTCAAATGCAAAAAAAAATGGTTATCAATTCACAAGGGAATTTAACATTTGACAGATGTGTAGAAACTTTGAGGCACACATCTGTCAAGTTTCAAACAGTCAAATAATAATGGTGTAAGCAAAAGAAAAGTTTAAACATTTTTTCCATTTCAACAGTTTTGAGAACAGAATTGGCTTATAATCTAGTTAGAAATATACCTCAAAAAATGAAATATCACATCAATTTAGTTAGAGCATATTTACTCTGAAAATTCAGGTCCTTTCCTATCCTTTTAGGCTTTTTCAGTGTGGTGTTGCTAGATGAAGCTGCAAAGAAATGGGCATTTGAAAGCAAACAGGGCACCCTAAATCACCTATCCCTTCCTTATTTCACTGTATCTTTCTATTAAACTAATCCCAGGATACCAGAGCATGTAATTTCCTGGTTGGTGGAAATCCCTCTAATCAGGATATTCAGAATTGATGTCTCCTTTAACTGGGCTCCTTTTGTACTGTATACAATACAGAGGGAAATGCTATCATAACACTTCAATAGTTAACTGACTTTATGAGAAAAATAGTTCCAAATGTTTCCTAAAACCTTCCAAACCGCACCAAAGACCATTATTGTAATATTATGTTTCCCTATTGCCTCCATTATTTAAGCTTGCCTCTCTTGAAATGATACTTGGATGAGAAAGTTAGGTTTATATAATGTATAAATTGTTTCCAAAGGAAAAGCCTTGGCTGCATAATTATTACATATGTAGAGATGCCAGATAATTTGTTTTCAATAGTTCTTCTTTATTAATTGACAAAAGAATATATTTAAAGCTTTTGGTTACTGAAGCTTTTGGAGAGAACTAATATTTTTTGTCTCTAAACTAAGCTATCTAAGTAGGCTTTGTGTAATTCTATTAAATTTAATACTGAACACAAACAAGATTATATATCATATTACATTTAAAAACACTTCCTTACTATCTGTGTGTCTGTAACACCATGTTGTACACCTTAAATAGACCTGATACAATTTATTTTTTTAAAAAGAAGGTACCTACATATTTGGTACCATATACATAACCCATATACACTCTGTATCATTAAAGTCCATTTACAGTAACATTATATTTTAAAGGATCCAGTTTCAAAAAGAACCTTAATGGCAGGTTGGCATTGGATTCATTCCTGTGGTGCTCCTGTTGCAACTTTAAGTGTCTCATTTCAAGTGCTTTTGCAACAGGAATTTTTTTGGGGGTAATCAAAGGTAGTATGTTCAATAAATAGTCTGAAGATAGAAATAGCCCAAATGTCCCTTCATAGATAAATGAATAAACCAATTGTGGCATATACATACTATAGATTATTCAGCCATAAAAAGGAATGAACTACTGCTACATGCTAAAATATGAATGAACCTTGAAAAATTATGCTAAGGCAAAGAAACAAGATGCAAACAGTCACATATTTTATGATTCAATTTATACGAATACATAAATCCAAGGAGATAGAACACAGACTGATGGTTGCCAGGGGTAGGGAGAAGTAGGAATGAGGAGACACTATTTAATAGGTAAGCAGTTTTCCTTTGGAGTGATGGAAATATTTTATGTTTTAGAACTAAATAGAAGTGTTTTAGAACTAAATAGAAATAGTGCTTGAACAACAACGTGAATGAACTAAACACCACTGAATTCTTTACTTTAAAATGGTTAATTTTACACTAGGTGGATTTCACTTCAATACATTTTTGTACAACAATTAAGTGGTAAATATTTTACTGTCCACCCATAATGAGATGTCATTTAGTACTGACTAAGAACATGGATGAACTTCATGTGCTGTAGTCTCCATCAACCCTCACCTAATGCCACCTTGTATCCAGACTTGGGAGGAGGGATGTACACCCTAAGCAGAGGGACCTAGTTGTGGCAGCTCATGAGCACGTGTGTCACAAAAGCCAGAGGAGATGCTGAAGGGCATGGGGGCAGGGACAGAAAACAAACAAATAAATAACCTGAGAACGCTCTGTTCTATTTTGAAATTTAAATAATAATCCTTCTTAAATGTGATGTAAAACATTTCTACAAAGAAACATCTTTCAGATAATTATCTCAAAATATAGTAAAGTACTCATCAATGCCTAAGAAAAACAATTTTCTATTTTATGATCAAACTCTTTAGATACATATAAATATGCAGGCAGAAAAAGAAAACGGACTCTGGAATTCTAGAATTTGAGAAAATGGATATAAAAAGCTCCTCATAACAACTCAATAGTACGATCTCATTAAAACTCTTTTTGCAATATAGCATTTCAATAGCTAGATGATTATAGGAGAAAAATAATTCCTTTGGTTACATTTTAGAAAGAAGGTAGACATGAAATTACAAGCACTTGGTTCAAATCTCAGCTCTGCCACTTATTGTGTGACTTTGATCAAAATATCAATCTCTCTGAGCCTCTGTATCTTCATCAAGAGAATGCTGATAATAGTGCTTGCAATTTAATGAATTAAATTATAATGGCTATGCCTGTCAGGGCAAGTGCTCGAGAAATGTTTTTCCTTAACTCCACTTGCCTCTTTTCCCTGATAAAAAAAATTTATTCATAATCATTCATTGCTGTGAATGTCCATATAAAATCACTAACCAAGAATGTTTTTCCTGTGTTGAGTGTCTTCATTAAGTTGTACATACTTTGGGACTTACTTCACAGTGTTTGAGACATACAGACATATATATAACATATATATTACATATACATTACACATACATATACATATATTACATATGTGTGTTATATATACGTTTGTCTCATATCTTAATGCCAATTCTAAAAAGTTTTGCTTTTTGAACTGTTGAAAAACAATGATACAATTCTATCCCTGTAGAATCTTCAAAAGACATGAGAACAAATGTGGTTTCCTTTTAAACAGTTTATTCACTATTGAGTACTTTCACAAAAACAAGAAGCAACTACGGTATACCCAATATTGTATGCAATAAAACATTCCAAAATAACTCAGAGAATTGTTCCTGCTGTCTGAGGAGCTTACAATGTGAGTAGGAAAGGGGAATAACAACAATAGCAGCAATCATGAAATCTTGTGAAACAAAATCTTATTTTTTTCCTGTGGACTTACCACATACACAGTTGTATTAAATTGATGTTGTATATGAAATTTAATGTGGATCCTACCCCTCAATAGAGATTAAATTTAAATTTAAGATTAAAATTAAGGGATGGCATGTGGATTTTAAGTTATTTTATGAAGAAGCATGAAATAGTTTATAATATTAAACACAACATGTAGAAGAACCTTTGTTTTTTCCTACTTTCTGTCAGAAAAAACATCCTTTTTGCTGGCTTTTATGTACATTTTGTGACTGGCGAATACACAACTGAGATTTTATACCAACCATAGAATTTGAGACCTGCTAGGGACCAGGGAAATTACTTAGTTTTAGCCCATTTTTCAGGTGTGGAGTCAAAGGTCTAGAAAGCACCATTTCCCAAAGTGTGTTCTCAAAAATACTTCTGCAGGATTTTAATAAGCATTCCATTAAAAAAAATTCTTCCCTTAAATAAGTTTTAGACATACTACATTAAATGAAATTTGACAGGCTCACTTACTGCAGAATTCTCAAAGACTTGAATATGCGAACGTGCTTTGTGAATATTCATTCACAGGGAGATAAAGTGTGTGATGCGTCTCCCCCTCCCCCCTGCTCCTTTTATTAAAGAGGGCATTCCATGGGACTACATGTATAGAACCCATTTTAGGGAACACTGCTCTAGGAAACTTAACTCACAGATATGACCAAGTGAGCTCTCACTTGGTGAACGTTAGGATGAGAACCATGTCTTCTGGTTTCTAGGCGGGGGAGTTTTCTACTAAAATTTACTGAAAACCCCTTGAAAGGATAAAAACAAGTTTGAGGTTTCCTCCAAAATAAACAACTTTGGTGAACTATATTCTGTGGCAAATCCTTTATTTTGTTCAGTAATGGAAGATAAAAATGCATTTTCTGAGCAATATCCACAAATTGAACATGCCATTCACTTAGGGTCCCTGGGAGTAATGCCATCGCTTTGATATCATCTCACATAGGCACAACCTTTTCCTGACTTCTGTTTGAGTCACTCCTATTTTTAAGTAGAGGTTTACAGGGACCAGAAAGGCACAAGGGCAACAGTGAAAGCTGTACCATCCATCTCCAACACACTGACCAGCCCTGGCCTTGGCTTTCTTAAATTTCTTTCAATTGACACTGTTTCTTTTTAAAGGTGATCCAGTGGGCTGAAGGTTTAGGAACCTGTACACTGGAAATTGCTTGACAAAATGTCATTGAAGCTATTTGTATACTTGTGAAAAGCTACAGCCAGCTTGCTAAGAACCTACTCTGCTTTAAGAAATATGTGTCACTTTGTCAGAGTAATAAAAACAGGGGCTATGTATTCTCAGTTTTTAATAGCAAAGGGTCATGCAAGTAATGTGCCCCTTTGCTTCCATTGACTGTCTTTTTCTTTAAATGTTCCACAAAAGAAAGCAATGGAAGTTGACTTTAATACTTTTAAATTATCTTTAAAATTCAAAGCAGAAAATGCCCAGTATTTAGTTTTAATTTTTATATGCTTGCTTGTAGAAGCATACATGAATATGAGCGTGAGAGCAGACAATAAGATCTCTACCACGCTTAGCATACAACAAAACCTCATGACTGTTGTTTTAAAGAAACTGTACCCTCATGATTGTCTTACTTTATTATCACTTGCTTCTGCTTGAGTTAACTTGTGCTTGACTCTCTTAATTTATTTCACCAGATCTATATCATCTTCTAAAAGAATAAAAAATGCTCAAAATTGTTTTTCTCTGTTTGCCCTACTTGGAGGTCTAGGACTATAAGTTTGTTTTTTAAGGACATTCTTCTCTTGCCTACTGTGCACACGAAAGGGATCTATGCTAGTGAGCTATATACGTCGCTAAGACCCTAAAAGTTCATGGCCATGAAGATAAGAGGATCTTGCAGTAAGGTGTCAGAAAATCCAATAACTGGAACGAAAGAAAAGAAACAGAAAGGAAGATGGGATGGAACAAAATAACAGTTTATGAGGAAAGGAGCTTAAGTAGGTGAAAGTCTAGAATCCCAAGGGTGGGAGACTAAAAAGGGAGACTTCAAAGAAATAACTCAGTTATCAGATGATGAGAAGAACTCAAACCCAAATACTGACACACCTGTCAATGACTCAAAGCTTCTTACTCAACACAGAAAATGCAGGGCATGTCTATTAGACAAAGAGGTGGATTTATTATCATTATTTTTTCATTTTGCTTAAAGAAAGACACTGAAATAACTTCTCTTCCAGAGTGTACTCCAATTATACTAATATCATTGAAAATATTTTAGTATATTTTTGGATTTATCTTCAGAGTTTGTCAAATAGTTCATTCATTCATTCATCCATTCATTCATTCACTCACTATGTCTTTAAGGAAAATTTACTATGTCAGATTGCATGTCAGACACTTTCATTGCGCTTGAGAATTTCACAATCCTATATGCTAAATATATTCAAAATTTCTAAATTTTGGGGTCAAGCGATTTTTAACACATAACCAGAAGTTAAGAGTTCAAAAGAGGAAAACTGTGATAACCAAGCTGAATAACAACATCTTGGGTCACAATAAGTAATAAAATTGACTTTTCTTTGCTGGTTCCTACACAATCGGGGAAGGAAATGTACCAAAATATTTTAAGAAATGGCGTCATCACTGAAATCAGTGTAATTTTATGAAAGCACTGTTTAAAGGCCAATCCTCTTCTGAGTGAATAATTCAAGGGAAAAATACCCAGTGAATATCTGTCACATACCAGTACCTGTAATGTACAATACACTCTCAGGGTCAATATGTATGAAGTGCAGCCTTTGCTGTTAGGAAACTTATGTCCTAATAGAAAATAATTATAGTTAATCATAATATAGGACAAATTTAAGCACCACATCTATTCTTACTATTAGCAAATCTCATTAAGTAGTTTGTTTCTGGCATTGTTCTGTGGACGCACTGATAAAATGTGTCCTGTGACTTCAAGGAACTCATACTATAGTGAAGGCACAAAAAAGTAAAAAACACAATCTCCATGCTGTGTGTTGAGGGCCAGTTCAGAGCATGCTGCAAGCTTGTAGGAGAGGAACAGGAGCCAGTCCAGGGGAAGCTTCTTAGAGGAGCTCTGAAAGAGAATGAGAGCAAGCCCTGTGGTAGGAAGGGCACATTTCAGGCAGATGAGTGAATAAAGGAGTAGAGAGGAAGGTCTGTTTGAGGAGCTGGTATAGCAGGGGCAGGATTTTACTATTTTGTGTGTATATGTGGAGAGGGGACAAAAGCACTAGGAGAGAAGAGGAGAGACTGCAGAGATAACCAGGTACCAAGTCATGAAGGTCCCACAGGCCCTGATGTGGAGTCCAGCCTTTGTCAGGCTGGCAAAAATGCTATAGACAATTCTCTATGGGAGTTCCACAGAGGAATGACTTTCAGTTGCTGTGGGTTCTTTTTGTTTTAGGGGAACTTTTGCCAGTATGATTGATATTTAACTTTAAGATAGGCAGGCCTGCTGGGTGCAGAGGGAAAAAACACAAAGGACTAGGCTGCATTTAGGCACAGAAACTAAAGGTAGTAACTGGTTGGAAAGAAGTGAGAGAAAGCAAGAGATTATGGGCAGGCAGGCTAAGGGGCTAAAAGTTATTCCATTGTCAATTAAGAGAGCTTGAACCTGGAAGAACAGAAAACTAGTAGCGTCACTGACAGGAAAAACAAAATAAAACAGAAAACAAACACAAAAATGACAAAAGCAGAGATAAGAAAGAGGAGAGGAATAAAAGCTCCCTTTAGAAAGAACAATGAAGGCCGGGCGTGGTGGTTCACACCTATAATCCCAGCACTTTGGGAGGCTGAGGCGGGCAGATCACGAGGTCAGGAGATCCAGACCATCCTGGCTAACACCATGAAACCCAGTTTCTACAAAAAACAAACAAACAAAAAATTAGCTGGCGTGGTGGTACACGCCTGTAATCAATCCCAGCTACTCAGGAGGCTGAGGCAGGAGAATGGCGTGAACCCGGAAGGCGGAGCTTGCAGTGAGCCGAGACTGCACCACTGCACTCCAGCCTGGGCGACAGAGTGAGACTCTGTCTCAAAAAAAAAAAAAAAAAAAGATAATACAAATAAATAAACAATGAAGAGTTCATTTGTGGTCTTGTCCACAGGTACTAGGATTCATGACCACAGGTACTAGGATGGTAAGTACTGAAAACGTAATGCTAGCTTACCACCTCCTTTTGATGTGTTTTGCATGCCTGCCAGTTTGTAGAAAAAGCCATCTGTCCACTAAGAGATCTATTCAGAGCACCAAAGAGTTTCATAAAGGCTAATTTGGGTTATCAGCTTCCAAGCACAATCAACCCAAGCTAAGCCTTCTTACATCACCTGAGGAAGACAGCATCTGTCCCCACAACCCTCCTCACAACACCTTTTTTTCCCCGCAATGGGAAACATCTGAACACCATAGTCATTCATTCTGAAATGACCGCAGTTTGGAGTAGTTAATTTCTATATTGATCAGAGTTTTTACAGCAGACGAATATGTATATGTGTGAATTTGTGTGTGTGTGTGTGTGTGTGTGTGTTTAACCAAGTAGGGGTTGGTTAAACATATATATATATATGTGTTGGGAAATTTCCACCCAAAAATATAAAACAAACAGGTCCTTTAAAAATGTAGCTTAGGCTGGGCACAGTGGCTCACGCCTGTAATCCCAGCACTTTAGGAGGCTGAGGTGGGTGGATCACCAGGTCAGGAGTTCAAGATCAGCTTGGTCAGCATGGTGAAACCCCATCTCTATTAAAAATACAAAAATTAGCCCAGCGTGGTGACGGGTGCCTGTAATCCCACCTACTAGGGAGGCTGAGGCAGAGAATTCCTTGAACCCGGGAGGCAGAGGTTGGAGTGAGCTGAGATCACGCCACTGCACTCCAGTCTGGGCAATAGAATAAGACTCCGTCGCAAAAAAAAAAAAAGCAGTTTAGCTCTGTTGGTAAGGTAAACTCATGCCAACATCTTTTCACTGTCACTTTTGGCTAACTGACCAACAGTCCTAAATAATCTATTAAGTTATTAGTGAACAGAAAAGCAAGTCATTTGAGAGAGGTTGCTTAAAATTAACTGAACTTGCCTTGATTTTTGTAGATGGTAAAAAGCCACATTTATGCAGCAATATCTGGAATTATGCTGCTTCAGAAAAAAGGAAAATGGCTGTGAAAACCTTAGTGTACCCTATGTGTTACATCTGTGAACCCAGCCACAGTATCATATCGGTTTTGTTAGAGCAGTGGTATTTGCTAAATTGGAGCAGGAGACAGGTTATTATTTTTCCCTCCTTTTTGGCTACTTAGATCAAAAGAAAGGTGTACACTTTATTTTTAATCCTATTACTTCACATGAGCTCAGACAGAACATCAAAGACAAGGTGGGCAGGTTTAACCATTAGCATCAACATATTCTAAAGTTGAAAATCTCTTCCAGATAGCTACCTCACTTTGAAACAGACCACATTTGTGTTGCTCAGAGTCAATATTACTCTCTACTGTATTTTAATTTTTACCATGCTTAAAAAAAATACATACATATATATATACACATAAGATATGTGATTTTGCCCTATAGCATGCAAGCATACTTTTGTAGGACAATCTAATATTATTAGAATAAAATGTAATTCACATATACTTTTTTTTTCAGTTGGCTCAGCCGTCCATCTCAATTTCATAAAAGGGAGGAAAGTGAATCAAATGCAGTTGCAAATCTTATTTGAGGAGGGCCATGCTTCCCCACATCTGAAGTCTATTGAAAGCTCATGAGTAAGAACTTGGGGAGCAAATCCCTTCTGTTCAAAAGACGTGTCAGTGGAGAAATTCTCACAAAATAGCACACAATTCATCAAAAATCATGTATTTTTTTCCCCAAGCCAGGTAATAAAAGTTACAGTTCTGAATTCTTTTTCTAAGAGGAACTAAATCTAAGTATGTAAAGTAATTCATAAAGATTTTGCATTAGAAAACATACCATATGCAGTAGAGATATCAAAAATATCTAATAACTAGATAACCCAGGCACCAGATAATCAGAATGAACAAAGGCAAAATAAATGATACAGATGTACTGGTGTACAGTCCTGGCTTTAAGAATGTCCAAAATTCTTAAATGAAATAAAGCTGGTTTTGTGGAAGTATGTGGTGGTTGACTTGAGATTTCCTGGTGACATAATTATCATCAAGACACTAGAGCAAGTACAAATGTTTATTAGGTTTCTAACACTTGCATTGCATTTGTCATTAGTCTGTGGAGATACAAGGAGTTATATATGTATGAGACAGCAACTGTGCCTTCATGACTCCTCCACAGGCAAGTCAGACTGTAGTTATACTCAAATACTTGAACATATATAAAAGTAACCCATGCTTACTGCTAAAGAGGGGCACAACCCACAAATGCTAGAGAAATTTTAAAGACGAAGTTCCACTTCAGCACTAGGGAAAAATGGACTTATTTTATGGAGATGGGAGAAGTTGAATTCACACTTAAAGTACAGTCTGGTCTTAAGTAAGAACTGAGGAGAGGATGGCATTTCAGGAAAAATAGAATGTTGAATGTCTACATCGGAAGTGTGTGTGTGGTATGAAATCAAATTACCTACATTTAACCTTCGCAGGAAATGTCTTTGACTTTTATTTTGCCAATAAGAAAATTAAGGCTCAAGGAGATTAAATAACCTGTTTAACACCACACATCTAACGAAGCAGAAGATGCAAGATTTGAATCCAGATGTAGTCCATTTAAGTTCATGTTCTTTCCACAATATCCCGGTGCATCAACTAGAAGGCATAATGCAGGGAGCAAAGCAGAAAGTTAGAAAGAAATGTGGATAACATACTTGGAGAGTCATGAATGTATCCACTGGAGTTTGGGGGTTGGGGGAATATGAGAGAGGAGGCAGGCAGGGAGGGACTACCACTTTTCCTGGCTGACCGAGTAGTGTGGCTTTCATTTATAAGTATTAGTTGTAACTAACAAACAACTTAATGTAACAGGGCTATACTAAGTGGTGTTTTCAGAAGGTTGATTTAGCCATAATGCATAGGAAGGACTAAGTGTGCAGGAAGAGAGAGGAAGGAGGTCAAGGCTGGAAACAGCAAACAGAGAAGATCCTTACACTACTCCAAAAGTAAGGCAAAGGGGGTTTTTGTCATGTTAGCTCCAGCAAAAATTGAAGAGAGAGCCAAATGTGAGTTCCATTTTCTACATGGCTACAATATATAGTTGCTGTTGATCTTAGAACTTTGAAATAATCAAATCTGATGCTGCTATGAACTATTAGATTTAACAACTTCATACAAGCTAAAGGAGACTATCTCCCAAACACAGAAATAAGTGAAGGCCTGTCCTCTAGAGTTACATAAGGAGAATCATAACCAATTTCTACTATCAGGCTCTCTGCAGGAACATAAATAAACAGGCAACTTACTAACACTATCAAATAACAACATTTAAGACTCAGGATGAATAGATTTGATATTGAATAATGAGAAATGATGCTAATATTATCAGATCAAAAGGCCACGTTAATTTTACAGAGAGATGACAGTTTCATATTTGGACAAAAGGAAATAGCTAAATAAGAAATAGTAAAGGTTAATAAACTAAGGACTTTTTTGTTATGTTTTTCATTATTGTTTTTAATAAAAGGTTAGATATGATCCACTATTTTGTTTTTGTTTGAGATGGGGCTTTGTTCTGTCATACAGACCATAAGCGCAGTGGTGTGATCAGAGCTCACTGCAGCCTCAAACCCCTGGGCTCAAGCAATCCTCTTGAATAGCTGGAACTATGGGCGCATGCCACCATGGCTGGCTCATATAGGATCCACTATTGTATCAAAAATCTACATCTACTTCTGCAGCACTATTAAATGAGATACAACATAAAACCATTTTTCTAAATAAGTATATTAAGATTATATAATATGATACAGTATGATTTTAAGAAGTCATCTAAAACAAGTTCAGTGACTACTTAATTCCACATTGAGTAGAGCAGTTTTCTGATAACTAGTGTCATTGTTGTCTCTTTACATTTCTAACAAAATATTCTATGATCTCACATAATTTCCAGCATTATTTTTTGTCAAATATTTAATATTTATTTCATTATGAAGATTAACGGTACTTATGAAGAAAGGATAATTTGTTCAGAAAACCACATGTGGAGTATTGGATAATCTGGACTCATCTTGCTTATGCATATCACATTAGCTAATTGAACACTAAAGTGGCTTTCTGTCACCCTATATAGATTAAGATTTTGGACCGGGCGTGGTGGCTCACACCTGTAATCCCAGCACTTTGGGAGTCTGAGGCAGGGACTTCACCTGAGGTTGGGAGTTCCAAACCAGCCTGGCCAACATGGCAAAACCCTATCTCTACTAAAAATACAAAAATTAGCCAGGCACGGTGGTGTGTGCCTGTAATCCCAGCTACTCAGGAGGCTGAGGCAGGAGAATTGCTTGAGCCCAAGAGGTGGAGGTTGCAGTGAGCTGAGATTGCACCACTGTCCTCCAGCCTGGGTGACAGAGTAAGGCTCCATCTCAAAAGAGATAAAAAAATAAAAAAAGACTATTCGCCATTTGTGAAGCTATCCATCTATTTGTCCCAAACTAACTTTCTTGGTAGAGACACGGTAAGGCATCTAATCCTTTTACTCAAAACACAACATGAAAGTAATAAGATAAAAAGAAAAAAGTTAACTACTTAACTGAAAATTGTAGTTCTTGGTTAACTTAGAAAATTTTAGTGACAAGGCATCAGGATTCCTTTTGCATATATACTGTACAGCTGACCCTATCTCTGTGTATACCTAAATGAAGCTCTCTCTACCTACCTACCTACCTCTCTAATTCAGATGAGAAATCAAGCAGTCAGACCAGATTAACATGCTTTCTAAAGTAACTATTAACTATGACAGCAACACGTGCAAGTGGATATTTGCTGCTATCTAATCATATTTTATGGTAGCGCCCTTCAAGAGTTTATTATTCTTATCTATTCTTACCAGTACATTACTATTATGGTTAGAAAGAGACAATTATAAGGAAATTGACATTTGCTTTTCATTTTGAAAACATACTTCACATTGTTGAAGTTAACCTGATGTGCCATCAAGAGATGGAAAAACAACCCATTATCAACCACACAACAATGTAAAGCAATTGTAACTTGCAAAAAGTTATTATTTAACTATTGAAGAAATTACCAAATCATTCTTTGCCATTTGATTAATTGCTGGGAAGCTCACTGAGTCTTTGAAGAAAGAAATAGGCTAGTGTTCCAAACCAGATGATAGAATGCTATTTCTCACATTGGTTTGAAATCTGTTTTAACAGAGTGAAGACACAAAGTACGTACTAAGTGTCCAGTGGATTGCCTCACCAGATTAGCTGCTGAAAAGAAATAATACAGAGGACCCAGGGTGGGGGTGGTCAACAAATTCATGTGGAGCTAGATGCCCATACCTCAAACAACTAGGGAGTAACATTATACATAATACAGCCAAGTGATCAGCTCAGCAATTAATATACATGGACTATAGGAATTCAGAGAAGGGAAAGAACAATGTAGGATGGAGTAGCTCGTGACAATTACATGCCAAATGTAGAAAACAGGCTTTCCTCTGTCCTTTTTCTTTCAGATATTCACCCACTTAACAAATATTTACTGAGATCATACTACAAGCTAGGAGCAGAGGTAAAACAGGTAGAAAGGTCTCTACAGTGTCTATAGGCTATCAGAGAGTGGTGGGGCTGTGTGGATGGTGATTAAAACAATAATTACACAAATAAATTATTAAAATTGAGATTATATAAAAAGAGTATCACATTTGTAGAGAGAAAAAATGCAGCTTTAATGTATATATCATGGATAACATCATGCTCCTATAAAATAAACCAAATGGTTGAAAAGTCCTACTATGATTTAACTTTACTTCATTAGGTATCGACCTATGATCCTAGATCAGTGGTACAAAGGAGTGCCACGGCCCTGAACTCCCTTCATCTACTCCCTCCCACTACCTTATCTCCCCAACCCCCACCAACCCTGCTCCCCCGCATGCACATGCTTGTGTGCGCACACACATGCATACACACACACACACACACACACAGAGGTCTTATCTGTGATAAACATTTTCACATAGGAACATCTATGGTATAGCTCATAGTTAAAGTGATGAGGTAGCTAAATCTTCAGAAGAAAGTGGAGAGACAGTTTGCCTACTGGTGATAGCATTTGCTGTAGCTATTCCTGGCATTGGGCAACACATGTTTTTAATAAACTTGTAAAAACAGTGTAGATCTAGCTGTAAATATGTTTTGCTTGGTAATGTATGCTGAATATAATGATTAGATTGACAGTTGTTGGGTTTTTCTCCCCTAAAAAAATCACTATACAATACAAAGAGAAATAGTTTGAATGATGAGGCCCAAAACAGTATCATGATACCAATACTGTGTTGATAATTACTGTTTATGACAAGTCAATTTACACCAAAAACATGCTGCTGTTTTCCTTGTTCACAGCATTACACGTTTTGTTTAGTCTCATAGAAATATCTAACTCCATGTGAAGTAGCCTATATCTATAATTAGAACTAAGCCTCACACAATCGGATGCCTGTCAATATTGTGGCAAGCAGCTTAAAAATAGAACAAAAACTGAAGTTACTGATACGAGTTGTGGAAACTACTTTTAGAGCAATATATTTATTTTAATTTTCACTATTATCAATAAAATGCAATGGCCAGAAAAAGATATGTAAATAATTGGTAAAAATAAGGAAATGGAATAAAATAATGAGCATTATCTACTAATAGAACCCTAACCTTTAGTGAGCAAAATCCAAACTTGGCATGTCTTTGAAAAACTTTACATACACATTCAACAGCAACTTTCTGAGATTTTAAACTTTGCTTCCTAGTACTAATAGACATAGTCTATACAAACCCATTACTTGTCAAAATGGCTCTTTTTTGTTAGGCTGAAGAATTATTGCGGGGTTCCCATTCAGAATAGAGTCATACATAATGTCAGCAGCCTAATAATGTCTCATGTAAACATCAGAGACCAATATTTCTTAGATTTGGAATGTCTGAGCTAAATACTATATTAGTTTTACTAAGATAAATCTATTATGTTTACATTTCTAGATATAATTAAGCCACCTATTTAGTAAAGATATAGCAGGCACATAGTAAGTTTATAATTGGTATTGCAGACGTGGGAAAGAAGGAAGAAATAAAGAGTTATAAAACAAATTTCTGTCTTCCGGAAGCCCACAATCTAGAGCATTTACATAGAACAACAAATCTATATATTTTATTATCAAATAATAATACCTAGATTTCAAATTAAGTCCTCCTCAAAATTAATACAAATTAATTCCAAAGGCTTTGTATTTCTTCCATTGTCGTATTTTTGTTTCTCTGCTGACAAAACAGAACTAAGAGATCTTTCATTAAATTAACTCTATGTAGACAATAAGGTAAATTGTTAGAGCATGACAACTACCTTGAAATTTTAGATGGGATGTCAAAAGAAAAATGTCCTATATGTTGCCAAAGGGCAGCGGCAGGAACGGTGAAAAAAAAAACAATAAAAAGAGAGATTTTGGCTCCAGGGAAAAATGAATTCTAATAATCAGAGTTGCCCAAAAATAAATCAGCTGCCTTACTAGGTAATGAGTTTCCAACTACTAAATGAGGCAAGTTTTAGCTGGGCATCTACTTGGTGGGGCTGGTGTAGAGAGTATTAAAAGAGTTGAGAGGAGTTGCTTTTATGATACAATGGATTAAATGTTAGCAATAATGATAACAGTAATGGTAACAGATTTATAAGGCATACAATTTGAAATCAGACACAAAAAGGGCAATTGATTTTTTTCTAAATTCATTTTTTCCTTCATTCTTGTTTTAAATGACAATAACTGAGGCTTAACAGTTTACCTAATTCTTATAGAAATCTGTAAGTCTTTCCAAAAATAGATTTAAACCTTTTGTCAGTAGTCAGCTGTGTTGGTGAAGTTGGTTTATTTTCCTTTCAGTCAGCACACACACACACACACACACATTTATTGCTATGTAAATAGTTGTTATACTATATTTTTTAGGGAATTATGACAAGAAAAAAGTCTGTACATGTTCAGTACAGACGCACTTTTTTAATGGAATATTTTTGATCTGTAGTTGGTTGAATCATGAATGCAGAACACACAAATATAAAGGGTTAACTATATCTTTAGGAAAGTCAACTGTAAATGTGATTATTAAGTTGTAGAACATGCACATTACAAATTTTGTTAGAAGCTGCCTAGTTGTCCAATGATAGTTGTATCATTATATTGAGTATGAAAATACCCATTTATTTCCTCATGACCTTACCAACATTAGGTGTTATTGCTCTTATTATTTTATTGATCTAATAGTTAAGATATATATGCATATTACTTACATACGGTTTATATAGTTTTTGGGGTGTGTGTGTGTGTGTGTATGCACATATATATAAGCTTTGTAGCCAGGTGTGTTGGCTCATACCTATAACCCTAGCACTTCGGGAGGCCAAAGTAGGAGGACTACTTGAGGCCAAGAGTTTGAGACCAACCTGGTCATTATGGTGAGACCTCATCTCTACAAACATTTTTTTTTTTAAATAAGCCAGGTATGGTTGTACGCATCTTTACTACCAGCTACTCTGGATGGCTTGAGCCCAGGAGTTCAAGGCTGTAGTGAACGATGATCATGCTACTAAACTCCAGCCTGAGTGACAGTGAGACTTTGTCTCTAACAACAATAACAACAACAACTTTGCATTTTCCTGATCGCTACTATGTACAAGGTATCACGAATAGAGCATGAGAGTTGCAAAAGAGAACATACGTTACTCCTGATAATCCAGTTGATGAGATTAAAAATACACATAAAAAGAGGGTGGATGATACAAAGCAGAGTAAGAGTCGAATTGAGAGAGAAAATGCTTCATGAAGAAGTAGAAAGCACTGTGAGCTGAAATGGCTGCAGATTTGGGAGAGCAGGAAGGATCTGAACGAAACTACAAGAATGGGCAAGACACTGAAGGGCAAAGAAAAGGCGGAGGGGCAGTCTAGATGGGAAGGAATGGCTACCATGCTGGTGCTAGAGCAGTTTTGCTAAAGTGGAAGATGGAAGTAGGAGAAACAGGTTCAACTTTACTCTCTCTTACATTGCTTTATTTTTCTTCAGATCACTTTTAATTAACCCCAAATTATATAATTATACTTATACATTATATGGGTACACATTTCCTTGTTTATTGCCTGTGTTCTTACTGCCCCAAATGGGGCGACTGAGTTGTCTTGTTCACTGCTGTAACTCCAGAAACCGAACAGTGCCAGCACATTGTAGGCCCCCAGTAAAGGGTTTGCTGAAGAAATGAATGTTATTCTGAGGACGCTCAGGAGTCAGAAATGTTAAAGAGTCTGGATTTATGGAATTTATATGGAAACTTGGAAATGATAACAGGATAAAACTGGGGCTGTGAGGTGATGAAATACAAGGGTGTTTGTGAGAATTTAGTCTGGTTGTGCTATGCAGGATGAAGTAATCTACTGGCAAAACCAGAAGGCCAGCAAGGAGATTACTGCAATATTGCGGGGTTAAGAAAACTAAGTGAAGAGACGAGCAAAAAGACCTGGTAACTAATTGACTAATAGTAGTTAGCATAAATTAGTCCTTAATATGTGCTTGCTTTGTAACAAGTACTGCACATACATTTATTTAGTCTTGTGAGATAGGTATTATCATTCCAGTTTTTAAAATGAGGAAACTGAGACACAGAAAGGTTAAGTAACTCACCTAAAGCCACATAGCTAGTAAATCATCCAGCAGGAATCATTTTTGATTCTGTGTCTGTAAAGTCTGTGTGCTTTCCTTCATTTATTTATTTTTTATTTTTTTGAGATGGAGTTTCGCTTTTGTTGCCCAGACTGGAGTGCGGTGGCACGATCTTAGCTCACCGCAACCTCTGCCTCCTGGGTTCAAGCGATTCTCCTGTCTCAATCTCCTAAGTAGCTGGGATTACAGGCATGCGCCACCACACCCGACTAATTTTATATTTTTAGTAGAGACAGGGTTTCTCCATTGGTCAGGCTGGTCTCAAACTCCAGACCTCAGGTGATCCATCCACCTTGGCCTCCCAAAGTGCTGGGATTACAGGCGTGAGCCACCACGCCCGGCCTATTTTAAAGGAATATTTTGGGTTATGGATACACAGGAGGTGATCCTGGTCATGCACTGATACTCCACATACATATCGATGTCCAAACTGGTATTCCCAAGAAAAAAGAAAATGATCAAGCATGTGCTAGGTCAGTGTTTTCATGACCAATTAATGGATCATAAAATCAATTTAGTGAGTCATGATCAGCATTTTAAAAAGAAATGAAATAAATAAGAGGAAAAGAAAACATTAAAAAGAACTACCCATAGTACTATTTCATGAAACTTTTGTTTCAGATAAATGTACATATATGTACCAGATCACAGTGTTAAATGTACTGTGGGTTGGAGTAAAAAAACAAACTTTGAAAGTCACTGTGCCAGATCATCTATTGCCAATCTTATGTAAAAATAAAAATTTAGCTGGTTATCTGCAAAGGGGTAGAGGACTAGAACATAAAATCATAAGATACTCTTAGGTTTGGTAAAATAATGGCACAAACCTATATACACACACTTTTTATTATTCAGTATATTATTATATCCTCAGCTGCTATGACAATAATAAGCATGTTTTGTTGAACGCTTAGAAACTTAGTAACAGTACCTTCTACCTGAATGAAGCATCAGTGAGTTTATCAAGTACTTCACAAATCACATCCTTATAACATCCTGATATTGTTTCCATGCTTATTCTCAGAATAAATCATTTGTGGTTCAGAGTGGCAGAGACAGGACTTGAAACCAGAGTTTCTGCCTCCAACTCCACTCTCCTCCTTCCAGCACAGCAGACCTGCTGCTTCTGGACGTCATTTAGCCAAGGCCAGATTGAGGGTCTACAAACATTTCGCCTTTCAGCATATTCAGGAGCCTTAAGTCACCCCACTCTGCATCAAGGAATTAGAAACAAACAAACAATGTTAGGCAGATCTGTACCCTAGCCACTCCACCAAAAAACAATGTTAAAACAAAACCTGGCCGGGCGTGGTGGCTCACGCCTGTAATCCCAGCACTTTGGGAGGCCGAGGCAGGCAGATCATGAGGTCAGGAGATCGAGATCATCCTGGCTAACACGGTGAAACCCCGTCTCTACTAAAAAATACAAAAAATTAGCCGGGCGGGGTGGTGGGCGCCTGTAGTCCCAGCTACTCGGGAGGCTGAGGCAGGAGAATGGCTCGAACCTGGGAGGCGGAGCTGGCAGTGAGCAGAGATTGAGCCACTGCACTCTAGCCTGGGCGACAGAGTGAGACTCTGTCTCAAAAAAAAATTTAAAAACCAAAAAAACAAAACCTTCCCACACAGGTTCAGGTCCTTAGAACAAAAGAGAAAGACTGAATAATAATCTGAAGACAGCACAACAAAGGTTCTTTGCTCACTCTAATAAAAATGATTATAAAAAGAGAACTACAAACAGAATTCTACTTTCCCATAGACCTCTGTAGCCCCCAGAATGTAAGAGCTGGTAGATACCTTGCGGATCATTTAGCCCAGCTTCTCATTTGTAGAAGAGGTAACGGAAGCCCACAGAGGTTAAGTGGGTGAGCCTGAAGTCACATGAGTAGCAGAACCCCTAAAGACAAAATCTTGTTAACATGTATATTTTTAGATAAATCACAGTTTACTCAAGAAATGTTAAAGAGATGTGATTTAGTGTCAAAAAGGAGTTGGTTGTAAGGGTTCTGCCTTGGGTTACATGAAGGATGATGAACCCCTGACCTGGCCTGGATGATGGGGCTGACATAGCCTTTGAACTTCAACTAGGCCTGACTCCTGCCCACCAGCACTGCTCTGAGGCCAACTGTTCTGGGATCAGCACTCCTAATCCCTGCCCGAGATGCCCTCCAGAGACAGAATGCAACTCCTTACTATAATGCTAGTAATGCCTTTCTTTTCCCCTTCCTTGCTTGGCTTTTTTCTGAAGCAAAATTCTTTCATTAGCTCCTAATGTTGACAAGTGTGATATCCACTGATCAAACAGGTTGAAAATAATATGCACTTTAAAGATATGGTTTTATAATATGTATCTGACTCTGGGGGCTGTTGTTTAATAAGATTGCAAAATCCAAAATTGGCCCCTAAAAGCTTGAAAGCACATCCAACTTATGTTTGATGCTCTGTAACTAAGAAACAATTTTTGAAAAGGAAGAAGAAGATAAAAAATGAACTTAGGCTAGCGGAGTAGATGCCAAATTTCAGTCCCTTGAGCTGGAAAAACCTTCCAATCAGTCTGTAAATGAGTTGAAGGAGACTCATGCACTCCTAAATATTTATTGTTGCTAAGTTTTATTGCTGTTAATATTCAGGTAATGGATTACTTTTTGTCCTTTGAAGTCAAATACCACCACTTAAGTGGTGACAAGTATTCACCTCCCTGAAATGGAACACACACACACACAGACACACAGACACACACACACACACACACACACACACACACACCCCTCTGAGAGTTTTACCTTCTAAAACGGATTCAAGTGGAGTTTTTTTTTTTAGGTAATTAAAAAAGGAAGAAGGAAAAGATCATTAGCCTTCATATTTCACCCTATGATGAATATTCAATTCAGTCAAATGCATGGTTTTTTGAGGCTTTTTGTTCTTATCTCAGGATTTGTGAAGGCATGAAGGTAATCGCGTGGTGCAAAGAAGGAAAGAGGAGGCAGAACTGAGGCATCCACCAGAACTGCTCACACGGGTGGGCAGCATTACAGAAATGGATTTAGCTAGAGGGGGCAGGAGTCACTGAGTGCAGCTAGAAGGGCACAATAGTGGGAGGTGGCAAGTACCCTATTTCCCTGTCCCCTCGAGTTCCAGAGAAGGATCCACTAAGAAGGTCCATCTACAAGTTTAGGCTCCCTCTAGATCCTGGGGCAGTCATGCCTGGATCATGACAGAGACCTAGAACCTGACCATCAGGTAGAAACAAATGAAGTTCATCAAGCGGCAAAGTGGAAGAAGGTATATATACAATGGTTAGAATTGGACTTGGAACCTAGACCTTCTAGGATTAAATATTGGCCGCACCACTTACTAGTTTTGTGACCTTGGTGACCTTACCTCACCTCTCTGTGACTCAATGTAGCACCTGCTTCGGATGGTTATTTTGAAGATTATATTAGCTAATACATGTCAAGTTCTTAGTATGACTTCTGATACACAGTGAGCTATGCTATATTTTACTATATATAGGTATACTTTACTGTACTCTAGCTTTATGATGTCATATTTAAAGAAGCAGCCAGTACTAAACTTTAGCCAATGCTGGAATGCTGCCACATATTTAGGTTTTTCAGTAAAATCTAGAAATTGAGAATTTATGTGAAATGTCAAGACTTTTAAATGTGAAATGTCATGACTAAATTAAATGAACTAACTCAGGTCTGGTTTATTTTTAAAGAACTATGTGTGGTCTGAACAAAACATGTCTGCAGGATGAATGCACCCTGAAGGTTGAAGTTTATGATTGTGGCAATCAAACCTTTGACTAAAACTTCAGGGTCACGAGCCCCTCTCTTGCTTCATTCTTTGCTCCAGCACTTCTCACCATCTGACACACACTGTACTTGTTTGTCATCTGTCTTTCCTCCCTCCAATCACCACACAAGAATGAAGCTTCTTGGGGGCAAAGATTTTTGTTTTGCATACTGCGATATTCCTATATCCCAGAACAGGGCATGGGATACAGTAAACACTCAAAAGGTGCTGAATGAATAGTCATACTCAATCTTCACTCTCTCCTTCTAGGACTGCCCCAGTCTACACAAATCCCTTCCTTCTAGCAGACTGAGTCACACAAGAATAAGGAGAGTGAAGTCTACATGTTGGGGACTAGAGTGAATCGAAGCTTTTCTGGAAGGAGCTCCGTGAACCTGGCTTTGAGAATCTATAAAAAACAAGCCAAGTAAAATGTCCAAGAGGTAGTGGTGCTGAAGAATCCAAGAACTTTTCGAAATACTTAACAAAACTATCACAAATGTATTCCAATAAAACATTTTGCGATAGCAAAACTATCTCTCTCAAAAAATTTTTGACAGTGTGAATCTCTGTATATTAAGATAATTTTACTTCCATTTGGAGATCCATCCAAAATTGCACCTTTGTGTAATACCTGAACAAAGGCAATCAGAGTTAATTTCTAATAATGGCTCTAAAGTACCCACACTGCCTACAAATTATTTTGAAATATCAAGGTGGCCAAGACGTTGAACTTCCCTGTATGACCAGAAAAAGATAAAATGTGTGTATGTTGTCACTTAAGGCAAATTAATTGGCTCCATGGCAACTAAGCTGGTAGACAATAATAAATTATAAAACTCACTTTTAATACATTGGAAAACTTTCTTGAACAACTCTATCTCCTTCCATCCAACCATCCATTTATTCATCCATTATATGCTCTCAAAACTACTATCCTTGATGGTTTAAACTTGTTATTTATCAAGTTACTGAGAGACCAAGATATATATGCAAGAGGTAAAGTGCTAAAGGTGAAGACATGCAATTCTTGCCTTCATGAAGCTCCCAGTCTCTTATGGGTACCAATCATTAAATAAATCCTCAAAAAATCATGATGATCCTGACCACTTATCTCTCATATGACCTGGTCTCGGTCCCCAGAAATGGCAATCTGACCTTCAACTATGTGTGCTAATGTTTCCTGCTCTGATTTTCAATTTGACCATAGTGGGTTTCTTCTAATCATGTGTCTATGTTGATTTTTAAAGCTTTAATTATTGCAGGAGAATTATAATACCTCTTCCAAGTATTTATGATTTCTCAACTGAATCTCTTTTTTCAAGATTCAGTATTTGAAAAACCTCCAAATTTCCCAAGAAATAATGTGAAGAAACTCCCACATGGAAACATTATCCACGGACCATGGTATGAATAACCAGGATCCAGGGTTTAGAAAGATCTTTTCTTTTTCACTTTTCAGAGTAAGGGTCTCACTTATGTTGCACAGGCTGGCCTTGAACTCCTGGGCTCAAATCTTCCCACCTCAGTCTCCCAAGTAGCTGCTGGGACTACAGTTGTGCATCACCACAGCTGGCTATATGGGAGAACTTTTCTAACATAAACAACATAGATTGGTTAGTCCAGAGAAAGCAAGGTAACAAAAGTCATTGCGAAGATTGCAAAAAGTCTGCAGAGAAAAACCAGAAGGAAAAAAAAAAGAAAGAAAGAACCCCCCTCCCCCACCCCGCTAAACACACACACACACACACACACACACACACACACACAAAGAAACTTTTGGAGATGTGCTTTCTCTCTTTCTCTTTGGGATTTTCCTCTTCCCCTGTCCAATCTTTCCTTGAACTCTGATGTTCCACAAGGCTTGATCCTTTTCTGCTTTCACTCTATGCATTCTGCTAAGGGCTGCAAACTCAAATATCAATAGGAACTAAGTAATATAAGCAGATGAAGTGAGTTGGTTGGTACTCTGGCAAAAAATAAAATAAAATAAATTTAAGAGTGCCCAATCTATTGGTACTGCCTTTTTCTTAACCCAGCATATTGTCACTTTCTTGGAATTTAGGCATAATATCACTAGGTCTATTAATAGGTTATTATATAAAATCCATGAATTTTTTAAAAAGCAAAATAAATGAAGCAAATTTTAGAGACTGATATAGCCTAAGGAATACCAATTTCTGGCTTCTAATTTATACTGTATCAAGTTTAAAATCTTTATCTTTAGATCTAACACTCTCAGGAGTTCTAGAGACATGTATTAAACTTCCAACAGGATATATCCAGGGACGCTCCAAACTCCTAGTTCCAATTCTTGAGCTCAAAACTGTGTCCTATAATCCTGCTCATTTCTCTGGACTTTTTTATCCTGTTGAATGGTACCATCTGTTACACTGGGTTCTGCCTTCTTCCCTTCTTCTTAGCCATCCCCATCTAATCAACCCCCAAGTTTCAAAGAGTCTCCTCAATTCCTTGTCCTTGTCCCTTTAGCTCATTCAGTCCAGACAATTAGTGCCTCATTTCAATGATTACAATAACCTGATAGTTTTCTCCAATTTAATGTTATGAACTCCATCACAGTTAAATATATAACAAGGAAAGCTGGTATTGTTTCTACTCTGCTCAAATGTCTTTGCTGGCTCCCAGTATCCTACAGGATAACATTTGCCTCTTTAGTGCAGCAAGCATAGCCCTCAGATTCTGGCCTCTGACTGCTCATCCAGCCTCATCTCCACTCATTCCAAACATATATCATAGCTTTGCAGAACTACTTGTTTTATTCCAGAACATGCCATAGTTTTTGTGCCTCTAGTTTTTTATATTTTCTCTTCTCTTTGCCTGATATACTCTCATGCTAGTCCCCTTCTCCATACAGTCAACTCCTACACATCCTTTAAGCCTCAGTTCAAGCCATTCCTTTCTTCCCTGTGAAGATTTAGGCTCTCTTTTGAATACAACTGTACCCAAGCAAACACAGACTAATCATTAAGGATAGGAAAAGGATAGCATCATTCATCCTTATAACAGAGCATTTAGTACACCATCTGGCACACTGTGTTGGCTTCATAAATATCTGTTAAATAAAGGATGAGTGAGCTGTGGGTTTTCAGAAGAAAGAATGCACAGTTGGGGAAAAGAAAGAAAGAAATGAGGGATTTGGATTTGAATGATCTCTGGTATAGACTACTGCCAGAGCCTTCTACCTAGTCTACGAATTAATCAAATCATGCCTCACCCCTATCCAACCCTCCAATGGCTTCCTATTGAACTCAGAATGAACAAATGCAAACTCATCACTAAGACAAGGCCATCCCCACCTTAACAGCTTTGCCTCCTATACCTCTCCCCTTCTTCCCTGGGCTTATTTCCACTCTTAGAATGTGCCACATGTTACTTCTGCTGGAATGCTCGTCCCCCTATTGGCCTTCACTTCTTGTCAATCAGGTGTTAGCCAAAATTTCATCTCTCAGGGACGCCTTCCCAGGTCACCTCATCTAGCTACCACACCACCTTCCTCCTACTCACCCCTCTTTTTTCATTACCTTATCTTCTTTACTTCACAGCTCTTAACTATATCTGAAATTATTTTAACTTATTTGCAGTCTCCACCACCAGAATGTAAATTTCATTCACCTCTCTGTGCTTGTCTTTGTTTTTCCTGGAATAATATCTACCTTCTCTGGTCAGTTCTTAAGAAGTTCTAGGAAAGAATCCCATCAAACTTTTGATGTATAGAGTTTGGCTCCACTAAAAAAAAAAGTCTGAGTACAATGAATATATGTACCATACAAATACAGATTATGTAGGTTAACCTACATAATCTATCCTATGTAGGATAACCTAATCCAAGCATCTTAATTTTTTTTTTTCTTTTTTTTGAGACCGAGTTTTGCTCTTTCGCCCAGGCTAGAGTGCAATGGCACGATCTCGGCTCACTGCAACCTCCGCCTCCCTGGTTCAAGCGATTCTCCTGCCTCAGCCTCCTGAGTAGCTGGGATTATAGGCGCCTGGCACCACGCCCAGCTAATTTTTGTATTTTTAGTAGAGACAGGGTTTCGCCATGTTGGCCAGGCTGGTCTCAAACTCCTGACCTCAGGTGATCCACTCACCTCGGCCAACCAAAGTGCTAAAATTACAGGTGTGAGACATCGTGCCCAGCCCAAGCATCTTAATCTTAAACAAAAGGATAAACTGCTATCAGATCTTTATATCCTCATAATCATGGCTTTCTCTACAACCAAAATTTGTAGTCTCCTCTTGTAGGCAGGAGCTATTTTGCTAGGCTATAATTTTTACATCATTCTCAAATGCATATATCTGCATGGAGAAATTGTATGACTTGTCTTCAAAGAAAATTATTGAAAATTAAGCTTTCAAAAATACTGACTCCAAAATAACTGTTAATGTCCAAGCATGTAAACAGAAATTAACAATTACCATTTCACAGCCCTCCAAATGTTTATAAACATAAAGCCTACTTCTTTCTAAAAGTATGAATATCGAGTTTCCTTTTTTCATTTTAATAATGGTCTGAACTAACTTTAGGTAAATCATTATGGAAAAATAATTTTAGAGAATCATGTCATCATATAATTTTTTTTTTAGTGAACTGTTCTTTTTATCACCTTGAAATTATAGTTCCCAATACAGTGTCCTTGTTAAGTATGAATATTTTGAATTTAAATATTTGTAGTCTATGGCTCAGGAAAAGTAGGGAAAATAAACACAAATAAATATTTGTGTAACCTGAAAAAACAGGACCAAAATATCTTCTGAAATCATGACTTCATTTTTTTATAGCTTGGAAGTTCGAGAAAACAAAATATTTATTTTGTCCAGGAACTCTCCTCTCCTCTTATAATTAATATTTGATAAGGAATAAGATTTCCATCAATGTATGAAAATTTGACTGAACATTCACTGTGGTTCTCTTCTGGGCAAAGCTACTTTTACAGCTTACAAGTTCCCTCCATTATTGCATTTTCTTTGAATTGCTTTATTAATTAGATAGCATGGAAAATAAGTCTCCAATTTGTAAAACTATATATAATTGAAACCTAAATATAAATTACTGTGGCATCACTCTGTTGACTTTATTAGCAGGTAATAATGGCTGATGAAGATAATAATATGTAACAAAAACTCTTCCTCCTCTACTAACATTTATTGAGTACTTATGACCTAGGTGCTGACATGTTTTACCTTCACTGTAAAGTAAATTGTATGAAGTAGGTACTATTAATGCTGCTGATACAGAAGGGCTGGGCTCCTGGCTAAACCCCACCCTCAAGCCTGGACCCGTGGCCCTAAATGAGAACAGGCATTCCTGTTTTTGTGCCCAAATGTTACCATTTGGCCTGCCACACCCCCCATCCTGTGCCCATATAAACCCCAAACCCCAGGCTCCAAGAGCAGAAGAGTGGCAGAGTGGCAGAGCAGAGAAGGAGGGAAGAGAGGAAGCGTCTGAACATCGAGAGGAGTTCGACTGGGGACAGTTAGAGAGGAGATTGGCTGCGGGATTGCCGAACTCCAGGGGAAGATTATCTTCCCACCCCATCCCCTCTCCAGCTTTCCATCCTGCTGAGAGCCACCTCCATCATTCAGTAAAATCCCCGCGTTCACCATCCTTGAAGTCCATGTGACCTGATTCTTCCTGGATGCCAGACAAGAATTTGGGATGCACTAGGTGGAGGAACCCAAAAAGGCTGTCACACTGACTCTTCACTAGCTGTTTAACACTTAAGCCATCCCCAGATGTTAGGACTAAAAGAGCACTGTAACACCCCTAGACCCTGCCATGGGGCTGGAGCCCAAAAGCACTCACCCCGCCTCCTGCACCTGTTCATCTGTGTGCTCCCCTTCCCGTAAGGCGTTTGAGCACACAGTGGCCGAGTAAACAAGACACCCATCACAATACCCACAAAGAGGTCCAGGGAATTCTCCTGTCTCACTGCCATTGGACAGATGAGGAAACTGAGGCATAAAGGGGTTAAGTAGTTGCCCTAGGTCTCAGGTCTGGGTCCAAACCCAGGCAGTGTGACTCTAGAACCCTTGCTCATAAATATTACCTTTAGTAAGTGAATAAATACATGAGAAGCTTTTAAAATAGAGCCTGACATGGGTGAGTTCTTAATGTTAGCAGCTATTACGCTGTTTCTAAGCTTACTCATCAATTCTACCATTAGATCACAAAAAACCTGCATTTTACTAAGGGCTTTCTAATTTGTCTCTATGAAACCGAAATATAAACTACTATGGTATCATTCTGTCGACTTTATTAACAACAGACTTTATTTATTATAACTACCATGAAAAAATTACATTTCAATGCAATAACTAGGTATTATTTTTCGTTTTGAGATAGGTAGAGATCAGTAGCCTCAATTTCCATAGAAGACCTGAAGTTAGAAGAAAGCTGAGTAACTTTTTCATGGTTCTACTCTTAATAACAGAATCTCTCCTTTGTACGAGAAATTCATTCTTTGTGGCTCAGGACTACCTGACCAGAACCAGTTCCTGTACCCTCCCCTTCAAGAAGGGGATGAGAAAGGCTCAGAAAGGTCATGTGAGGCCAAACAAGTAACCATCCAGCCCCAGGCTAGAGTAATTGATTCAGAGATGTTTGGCCAATTAGAGTCATTTTGAGATATTTTTGTCAGGCAGGTCTATGGGAAAAAACTCTCTATTTATGAGGCTACCCTGCTGTTACGATGTAAGACTGGAACAAGAGGCCATCTTGTCTAGCATGCAGAAAAACTAACCCTGAGAGAAATGGAGAAACACAGTTCTGATGACAGGGCTGGATTAAGTCCCTTAATCCAGCTATGTATGACCCAATGATAACCCTAGGTAGCTCATATCATAAATTACAGCTCCCTCCACTTAAAAATTCGATTGATCTGAGTCAATTGATTGAGTCAACTGATTCAACTGATTGAGTCAGTTGAAATTAGGTTTCTGTCACTTGCAACTTTCTATCATCAAAGACTCTTGTTATTTTTCTTCATGGTCTTTGTGTTTTTAAAAACATTATATAACAAATGCCTCAATTACTTAAAAATCAACTTGACTTATCAAGAGAAAACATGGATTAATAAAGTTCTTTGGAATTTTATCAATGGAATTCTTATGTCTAAGATGAGTAAGTGTACAATTTATGTTGCTTAAAAAATTGTTTCTGAATATTAAAAATATCTAAGAGTAGGTCATTTTTGCTTTAAAGGCCCATCAAAAGCTAAAGAACTGCTATTTTAGAAGCTAAGTAACAAAATAAAACAAAGAAAAATACTTGACAGTTCTTGAGGAGTTGAAACTATTTCTATACTTTCAAAAAATCCCTTGAACTCACCACTCCCTAACAACAAAATTCTTCAAGGAAGAGAATCAGTGTGCTTTAGTAATCTGAATAAAACATTCAAGTGCCATGAAAATTAGCATCTAAGCTCCAAATTCTGGGTGTGCCTAATGAAAATCAGGCAGAGAAGCTAATGGGAAATTTAACACAGGCCAAGTGTCATTATTGTTGTAAGAAAAATACTATAATTAAAACGTTTCTGAGTCCTGGTCAATGACCTACAGTAATAATGCTTTGTTGACCTTATTATAGAAATAATTTTTCATTACTAATTCAGTAAAAGAGTCCCTTTTTCAGTCTTCGAGCATAAATAATAAAGGAAAAATCAGCACCTGATTTTTCATTGAAGCATAAGAAGCAATGCAAAGTCACTGACTAGTTAAGAAGGAAACCAAATTCCAAAGCCACAGTGAACAGGAAGGCAAGAAAATAAAAACAGACACATTTTATAGAAGAAAGAATAAAAGCAGTAGATCTAGCTGATTCTGGCAAAAGATAAAGGAGAAATGGTGGAAGCATTCGATTTCATTCATTCTACATTACCTACATTCTGAGAAGCTCAGGGGCTGTGGTCTGTACATTAGAAGTCAGATTGATTACATTCAATCTGCATGGAAAGAATATTTCTTTCAAATTATTATTGTGTCTTAAACTTATTTAGAAAATTACTCTCTAGAATGACATTTGAGTATTATAAGATAATATACAGCCTCCCTGGAGGTCCCTGTACTGGGATTTCACCTGTGAGCTCTGCCTGCCGTTTCTCTTCTCTTCTGGCTAGTTATCCACAGGAACCTGCGTTTGAGGAGAACTCAAAGTGTGCTGTGCTCTGGGAAGATGAACATATTCTCTTTATTTAGCAATATAGAAGTAGGGAATGCTCACAGCAATGGCCAAATAGAAATGATTAGGGCAAGCTTTATATAAAAAATGCCATGTATGTTGTTTGAGAGGCAAAAAACAAAGTCATATCATTTGAAATTTGTCAGGGGCAGAGAGAACTGTGGCAAAAATTCCATAAAGATTCTTTTAAAATTCTACCATGTTACTATGTTACCCCAAGGAAAATGACACATTAAGCCTTTAACAATCATTTTCCTAACAACATAGATTGACTACATTCCCTCAAGGAAAACTGGCTCCTATGAAAATGGGAGCCCAGAATAGATCAAATGTGATAAGGGACTGAGGAGGAGAGGGGGGCAGAGTCCAGAGCAAGGGCCAACACATGAAATGACCTTGGGGTGAGGAAGATAACAAGAATGCACTGACATGATGGCCGAACATATCAGAATGTGGTGGGCTAAGGCCAAAGCTGGGAGCTTATGTCCCATCCAAAGGCATTCAAAGCTTAATTTTTAGAAAAGCAAAACTGCTTGGCTAGGCAAGCACAATAGCTGCAGTGGCCCCCATTTTATGACCTGTGCTCTACCGAACACTAATGTCCCTGAAGATGTTCTCAGGTGTCAAATCAAATCAAGACCAAACAAACCTACAAACAAACCAAAAGTGAGGTCTAATGAGAAAAACATTTGGGAAACATAAAGTACACTGGAGTATCTTCTGTCTGCCTCTATAGATTCACTCTCTACCTTTCTTGGCCCTGCTCTGTGCCCTAGCAGGTTGACCCAAATGGACTGCATTAAAGGGCTCCCTTGTCCTCTGGTTCTGGTTGGTTTCAGCCAACTGCAGATACATGTAGGAGATTTTTTAGGTATTCATTCTGCTGCTCCTTCTTGCAAATAAGTTGGCTGTATCTTTCTAACAATGGGCATACTCAGTTGGCTCTCTTTAAGTTCTAGTAGCCACTCCTTCCACTTGCCCTTTCAGACCCAGGGGTGGTAACACTGTTACTAGATCCAGAGCATTGTACTATCCCTTGGTACCTTCCTTAAACTTTGCCCATATCTTTGTAAGAAGTCCTCCTATTAAAGTTTCCTCAAGTTATAAGTTTAAGTGTGCTGTATGTTTCTTGCCATGTCTCTGACATTGGGTAAAAGAAAATAACTTTTTTTTTTTTTTTTTGCAAGACTTCTCAGAGTCCTTAAAATACTAGTGTGTAGTGTGAATATTCAAGAGTGGTATAAAATAATACTGTCCATTAGACTCCAATCCAGAAAGAGAGACATGTCAGAGTGGGTAGTGGTTGAGATGTCCCAGGAATCAAAGATAACCAAAGCTTAAAAGGCGGTGGCCATGAGAGCAGGGTGTTGAGAAGACCAGCTTCTCTAATGCATGATTTCTCAAGTTTAAAGTTAGGGGAGGTAAGTTCTGGGAAGAGTATTGGGTAATGGTAATCTTAAAAGTTGAAAAAAATATCTTCTGCATGCTGTGGATTCTTGTAGACTCCTTTCAAGGTTCTTTTTTTCCCTTTTTCTTTCCTCTCATTCTTTCTTCCTTTTCTTTTTTTTTCTTTTTTTATTATAAGCATTTCATTCAGGATCTTTGAACCAATAAAGCTAGGGGAAGTGTTTGGTACTTCCTTTCTGCTTTTTACTGTACTTTCTGGACTACATACTAGGATATCATATTGCTCAATAAAAATGTTCATATAAAAACTTTGCTTCAACTAGTGAAATGAACCTGAAAACAGAACTAGAAACACTGAGGATAATAAAATACATTTAAATCTCTCCTCCACAAACCTTTAAAGTAATGTCAGCAACAAAACATTACATTTAGCCAATTTTTCAGCACTTCAAAATGGTGTCCCCTATTCTTCAAATGCAATTTGGGAATTCTGAGTCCATCTAGCCTGCCTAAGAAATGACCAAGCACTGGCCAGGCGCAGCGGCTTACGCCTGTAATCCCAGCACTTTGGGAGGCCGAGGTGGGTGGACCACCTGAGGTCAGGAGTTCGAGACCAGCCTGGTCAACATAATGAAACCCTGTCTGTACTAAAAATACAAAAATGAGCCAGGTGTGGTGGCACATGCCTGTAATTCCAGCTACTTGGGAGGCTGAGGCAGGAGAATTGCTTGAACCTGGGAGGCGGAAGTTGCAGTGAGCTGAGATCTCGCCACTGCACTCCAGCCTAGGTGACTGCACAAAATAGTTTCCAATCAGAGCAAACTGCTTTCTCTATGTCTAAAAAGTACTTTAAACTCAGTATGCCTGAATCCAATCCCTCCAAATCTGTTTCTACCATGGTCTTCTCTATCCTTCAAGTTGCTCAGGCCAAAACTTTGGCTCTCGTCTTTGACGCCTATTTATTTTCTCACACCCCACAACTAATTCATCAGCATATTCGGTCTGTTCTACCTTCAAAATATATCCTGAATTCGACCACTTTTCACTAATTCCACTGCTACCACCTTGGCTAGATGCTTTTACACTCATTATTTTATTTATGTCTCACAACCTCTTGATGGTCTTTTTAATCTCCATTTAACAGATGAGGAAACTGAGGCTTCAGAAAGACATAATATCTTGCCAAAATGGCATGCTTAGGAAATGGAAGGACTAGGATTTAAAACTATGCCTGGCAAATTCCAAGCTTTTGCTATTTCTAATACAGTACATCAGGACAAAATTTAAGGTTTTTTAAATTGGCTCTTAAAAATTAATATATAATGATTTGTTTCTAAGAAATTATTTCCCCTCATCTGATTTAGGAGAATCAAAAGGTTTACCTGGTTTGCTCTTCATAAGCTTTACAAGGAGGTGTGTGCATGCACACATACTTCTATAGCATTTAGCGAGGACAATAAGAAATTTGATGGTTATGCCACTCACTGCACACTTAGGGACATCATAGCATATAAAAGAAATCCAATTAAGAGTTGTTTGGAGGTGACTAGTAGAAAAAGGATTATTTATCCCATCACATTATAAATAGCCAGGAGCCAGGCAGAGAAGCAGCTGGGTGCAAGGAAGCATTAGGGAGCTGTGTCTAGGGTACCGCCAGAGAAGAAGGTGGCAGCTGGGAGTGGGGAGGGTTTCAGCATCCAACATTTAAAATGATTCAAACAGGAAAATGCCAGCTGGAAGAAGGGGGTGCTAGGCATCCAGTAACCTTCTGGTAAAACCAATTTTCTGTCTGGTATAACAGAAAGCACATGCCACACGTTAGTATCTCAGGTTTTGAGGTGGGGGAAGTGCTTTTTCCCCAACAATTATCTTGTTCATGTGGTGAGTGCCACCCCCAAAGGGAAAGCACCAGGGAGGATGACCTGTTATTAAGTCAGCACATTTTGGCCTATGTCAACATTAGGACAGTTCTTCTGGGTACCAGGATAATATGCCAAAGAGACCTTTAAACATTTTATATGTTCCCTAATTTAAACTGGGAATATGATGGTCCCTTAAGATGATTCTCTTTTTAAAGGGTATATCATTAAAAGGGTTATATGAGTTGATTCCACTAAAACATACACACATACACACACACATACTTGTGCACGCACACATGAAATGAGACATCTACTTCAAGTATGTATGACAGGCATCTAAAGACTGCGGGTTTAAACCCTCACTTTATCAGCTCTAAAGGCCTAATTTTGCAATCAGCTAAACCTACAGTACATTTTCATCAAGTGCTGCAAATCAGCAAAATATTAAATGAAACTTGAAAAAAATGATTATGAATCCACAGTTCTGTTTGACTGTATAATTCTATTTAAGATTAAAATTACTATCATAAAAAGGCCACTTTCTGAATGTAATTCCACAAAAACATCATCACAAAAGCTTTTACTGCTATTTATGTCAGAATGTATTTTAAACAGTTCTAATCATTTACCTTTGTGGACACTTAATTAAAATTACAAAACCAATTTTAATCTGTAGTCCAATTAATATGCAAATATATGCAAATGTGGTAAATCAAGGTGGTGATTAAGTTAAGGACACTCTATTTCATGTCTGCTTTAAGTGTGAAAACAAACAATCTTTTTTGTAATTGTACTGATGGATTGTGATGTTTATAGGGTTAGTATGGGGTACAAATGTTTATGCATCAACATTATGCCAAAACAAAGATTTTATACTCTGGAGTGATTTAGCATCCAGCATACATTCAGATGCAACAAAGTCATTTTGCAGTCATCTTGTGAATTAGAATAAGGTCAAAGCAAAGTTAAATTTCTATGTCATCCATTTGTATGGCTATTTAAAATTCAACAATCACTTTCTGATGTGTTAGGTAAGAGCCAAGAAGTCTCAAGAATGGCATATTATCGCCCTTTATCATTTAGTATTCCTAATATAGCGGTTTATCTTTGATACTGTTACTGCAACCGTTCTCTCATTAGGGTACAAAGATATTCAGCCTTTTTAACCCCTCTTTTTCACAAGTTTTAAATATGGAAAGTACGGCTAAAATCCAAGTGACCACCACAGTTTAAGTATAGAAATGCTCAACACATCCTGACATCCAATTCTTTCCTCTTTCTTTTCTCCTGTTATTGCATAGATGGTACTGATGACAAAATTTTTCTGAAGAAAAACTGGCTGCGGGAACACTGTTTTAAAAAGGGCATATGCTTACCTTCGACAGGATTTGGTTTCTTAAATTTGTGGTCAGTCTTATGGGAATCTTTTACAAAAAAAAAAAAAAAACACCTACAACTTCCTTCTAACCAATGACTTCTCCATTCTCAAACACATCTCTATTTTCTGAAATAAATACATTTCTGAAATGTATATCTTGCAGAGATGAAGAAACAGGGTCATTTTTTGAAAAAGAAATAGTGTGACCTAAAAATCCCAGTCACATTATGTCATATCCTAGGGAAAAAAATAATCTCAAAGCTTTGTTCTTGATGAAATATCCATGAGTGATCACATAACACATTTATGTCAGAAAAACATTAAGAATAACAGGTTTGATCATACTGTTTTTGTGCAAATGTGACTGATTTCCTTTTTTCAAGCCTGAAGAAGCCAGAGCTGCTCAAATAAATTTTGAAATGATTATAAGAAGATATTTGGGTACAGTACCTTTATGCTCCAAATATTTCATGCTTTTGAAATATTCTTTCCAACGTTAAACATTTAGATATTGACAAATAAGAACTTCAGCAACACAGCATTAATCATTAGCATTTTGCACACATTTCTCATTGGACACTTATTTTTTGCAGCTGCATTATTTAAAATAATCTTTTCCATTCTTAATTGAAGATATATTCATATATATTTCCCCATTTCACTTAGAAAAATGAGGAAAATGGATTTGAAATTGCTGTCATCCCATCATTTTTAACGCTATACATTAAAAAATATTATTGCTCTGTGAAGGCAGATAATTTAATAAAAAGCAATACACTTTATAGTTATGTTTACTAAAGTAGGTAATGTGTCCTTAACGTGCTTCTGGAAACTTATTTCTCCCTCTCAATCTAATCTAATTTTACCACCCATATTTTGAAATTCTCAAAAATATCTAACTTTCTAAGAACAAAGATCCTAATAAATGTTGAATGTAATTGCTACATATATTTTTCCTTTAACTGTTCCACTGTTACCATCATTACTTTGCACTCTACATATTCTTACAAATAAGTCATTCTTCTAAAATATTTTTAAATGAAACTGTATACAACAAACCATTAAGTTCATCTCTCTCTGTGAGTAGGTGTTTAGGGACTCTAATTTTCTAAATGTATCTAGTACCAACATATTCAATTATGAAACAGTCTTCATGTGATGATGCACCTAAGACAGCAGTTTACATTTATATTAACAAACTCTATCTTCATTATAGTACAAGGACAAAGCAGGATTCCCTTCCCCAATTTAGATCCAGCAGTGAAATACATAACACAATACAACATAAAATGAAATAAAAGGAAGAACATAAAATGCACTGCATTAAATATTAGCAAAAAAATACCAAGCACAAAACTGCAGAACCAGCAGCACAGTGAGCTGTGTTAACACAATAGACCATCTCAGGGAGAGCAAATGGAGTAAAAATGTTTTGGAAGTTAGATAATCAATGTATTAAAGTCAATCTTTTTCTACTATATAACATGACTTTTGTTAAAGATTATTTCTTAAAATTATACGTTTCCAGTATTATGTAATTTAACCCATATATCAATCTGGAAATTATGTCAAGCAATATATCAGAAACCCTGAGCCAAACCGGGACTCCTCTGGTCCAGCTCTTGTAGGAATATGTCACAAAACTGTATTAGTGAGTAAACCGTACCATGACATGACACTAGAAAACAAAGCATTAATGAATAGGAACACAGATCAAAATATCATCTAATTAAGAGGTAGTCATGATGGGATGTCCTGCTGGCTTTAAATGAGAAAAGAGGGTTGTTATTTACAGGGCTTTGTGAAAGTGCTTAGCTTAAAGCTATATAGTTTCATTTAATAGCAGGTATGGGACAGAGGATCAAAAATCTACAATAAAACAAATAAAACATTGTTAAAAGGACATAAAATGCTTTAAAAAACCTTACTAAAATAAACATACTGCCACTGTTTTTTTTTTTTTTCTTACTCCATTGGAATAAATAACATGGGAACATTTTGCCCTTTGAAGGAATATCAGTCTTAGGAACAAAATAGAGTTTCGAGGGGGATAGGGGTTGGGGATGTTTATCTCAACAATACGCTAATTTTTAAAAGAAAACTTGGTTTTTTTATTGTGTAAATTATGTGATGAATTATTTAAAATTAATCCCGATTATGCAAAAACACATGGAATTTTATATTTCACAACCACTACCCTTTTTTAGATTGGGCACATGGTTTCAGAAAAGGCTAAAGTTAACAGAAATGGATACTCGCTTTTCTTTTCATGTAGTTTACTGATAATCATGCCTAAATAAACTGATTTGACCTTGGGAATGTCTCACGTTCCACGAAGCAGCCCTTTTGAATCATCTCCAAAACCTACACATCTGAGATGATTTTGGACCTCCTCCCAGGAAAAGCCTTCATCTCAATGGCCATCTAGCGGAGATGAAAGGCCCAACATCTTCTCTAAATTTCTGGGAGGCTGAATGTTGCCTATGTCAAATTCTATACTCTGTCCTCCTGCCTTGGATGGTGGCAAGTTAATAAAATGAATCATACAAGATAATATGGCAATATTCTCTGGGCATACTTTCTTCTAATCAAACAAATCTTTTTCAGACATATCACACTCTTAAATCTTAGAAGTGCACAAAAAAGGGAGGGGTGAGGAGAACAGCAAGAATCTAGGCCTCTTGTAGACAAGAATAAAGCCAACTCAAAAATTAAGGCCAGAAAAAGCTTTGCATCTGTTTGCCATTCTAAACCTAGCCCCAGAGTAAATCATCTCAGAGATTCTACTAAATCTACAATTTTCTACAACCTTTTTAGTATGTTTATTTCTTTGCTCACACGAAAAGCCATGCATCCAAAAACTCTGGATCAGAGAGCAAGCAACTTCAATCCAAGTTCAAGCTGTGAATGATCAAGAATGAGACTTAGTATTTACTTTGCTTATGCTCAGTCAGTTTTATGTGGAGGAAAAATAGGAATCCGATGCCCAGAAAAAAAGCAGAAAAGAGGTGTATTTCACATTTTCCCTATAACTTATATCTCTAATTTTTTTGGTTTCACTGTAGCAAATCCCAGTGTAAAGGAGTGTCAGAGTGTATGTGTCTGTGTAAAGACAATCTTACTTTCTTACCAGCACAATTCAAAAGATAGGATACATATTTTCAGTTACATAGGCTATCTTGAAGACTCACAGAATTTTAAAACTAGATTCGAGCACTTAGTCCGTCTTCTCATTTACTAAGACTCAGAGAGTTTTAGTAACTTGACTTGTCCAAGGTCATTCAACCAGTTGATGTCAACTGCAAGGCAGAACACAGTTCTAAGTCAGGCAGGGCAGCAAGAAGCAAGTCTGTTTAGAAGCTAAGCAGGAATTGCACCACTCCTTGAGAAAGGGGCCTGTCCTCAAAACCTTGACAGAAATCCACAACACAGAATCAGACAACAGAGAGCCAGGCCAAACGCCTTCACAAGGTTCCTTTAACTTGAGAGTGCTCAGCATGTACATGACAGGCTTAGGGTCTTTGTCTGGCTTAATAACAGGCTTTTCATTCTAGAAAATACTTTCGTAGAGTTTAAAAGAGTTAAAGACAAGACTTAAATTTAGTGAGCATAGACTACACTTACACTTTATTATTCCTGCAAAGATCTTGACTCCTAAGGAGCTTAAAACTTAGTTGGGACATCTTGAAGCAGACACAGGGGGATTTTATGTTACAAGTTTTGCTCTGTGGCCATATTTCTCTACCTTTGCTTAGACTCAAATGAGTAGCCATTAAAACTGATTTCCCTGGGTGAGGTCTGTGAGAGGGATAACCTTTATTCACGTCAAACAGCACTGTATGCATAAATTATCTGATCTTTTTAAGCTAATTGGAAATTGCAACTTGATAACAACATAGCCAATCAAAATGGACAGCTATATATTGTCACCCAACATACTTCTCACTCACTATAAAAATGTGAACTAAGACCTTTAAGGATTAAACATATATATATTTTATATATTTATATATATATCATATATATTTATTTATTTCTGTAAACTGAATATCCTGGCAATTATAACAAAAATGCTGATTAACATAGATTTGGCAAGCAATCTGTTTTACTCTCCTGTGAAAGAAAGGTGATGCAATGGAATTATATTCCAGCCCAAGTCATATCATGACAAGAAGTTTTGGATCAACTTCAAGGGAGTCATTCTAAATATTCATTATGTCCTTTTGAACAAATAATTTTGTGCAATTATGGATCCACGATCGTTTTCAAAAAGTTTGTTTACAGAGCCCAAGAAGTTCTGCATAGCCCTTTCTGGGTTTACAGAAAGACATGAGTGGGCAGGAGAAAGCAACCTGGTAGGGTCTCCCCTCCTGCTCCAACAAAATCAGCTCTACTTCTGATAACATAACGTTTGAAAAAATGTTTGCTTAGCTAAATAACGGTTCAAAAGCTACCATCTTATTTGGAGGGAGAAATTAAAGTTAACATACAAAAAAGACTGCCAAACAATTATTTCCTTCGAATCATATCCCCCAACTCCCAACCTTGATGGGGAGAACTTAGGACAAAAATTCCACAACTCAGTTGTGTTGAGTGAAACGTACATTTATTAAACTCATGGACTCCGCAAGGCATTGTGCCCTATGCAGGAAGAGGGTATATCATCCCATTCTACAAATGAGGAGGCTGAAGCTCCATTACTGATTAAATACTTTATCCAGTCACATGGGTAGTTAATAGCAGAGCTGGGAAGTAACCAGGTCCCTGCCACCTAGTCCAGGACTCACTCTTGAGTATACCAAATAGCAATAAAGAGAACATGCTCCTATTTGATTTGTTGAACAACCAACCACACAATGATGAATTATGAGCCAAAAGGGGATATGAATCTCTTATTTCAATGTAAATATAAACAATTATAAAATTGCATGAGTTAAAATACTGACATGATTGATTTTAAGAATTTAGGAGCAGGGTTGAGAAGGAGGGGTCACACCTATTTTTAATTTTGGCTACAGATAACTAATTACAAAACTAATGTTACATAATAACACACTGAAATATGTAATTTACATGAAGATTTTTTGAAAAGCAAAAGTTAAAAATCATATTAACCTGTGACTGATTTTATTAAATCTACTTTCCTCTCTCTTCTGTTCTAGCTATGCAAACTAAAGAACACAGAGCACTTTCCAAGCTCATTTAAAAATCATTTTTCTAAAACTGAAAAATATTTGAGCTTTACTACTTGGGATGATTAAAGATAAACAATAACTTTTGGACTTCATATATTTTCTAATCTTGCGTAACTGTGATAAAGCCAAGCTTCTAATTAGAAATATAAAATGACAGAATTTTGAAACTTAGAGGAACTTGAGATATAATCCAGCTCAATGATTTCATTTTACAGATTCAGACACTAAGGCCGTAAAAGGTTAAATGAGGGGCTTGACCACACGCAGACAGTTAGTAACACTGCTGCAACTCCAACCACCAGGCTGGAGATCTTTTCACTATAGCAAACACTTTAGATTATATCCAGAGTATTAGTAATGTTCTCCAAAAATGTGTCAGAGGCTACAGATGAGCACAGAACCAGCCATCATAAATGATGATCATTACCTCAATAAAAAAGACGTTTAACTCTCTGTGACACAACTAAATTATCCAATCACTTCTGCCTTAGTTTCCTCCTTGAAGTACAGCTATTTTTGACATATGCTATGTTGCAAAGAGTGAAAAGCTCAAGTTTTGCCAACATTTGAGGTTGGAAAGCGCAATTAACTTTTGAGGAGGTAAGCAATACGGAATAAGTTTTGTAATTAGTATTATAATTGATAGTTACAATCTAGAGCTTTCTCACTGATTCTACCTTACTCATCTAAGCAGAAAAAATTCTACATGAAACTTGTGAAAGGTAATAAAGTTTACGGGAAATGAAGTCACCAAAGATGCTGGATGTATGGGAAGTCAGAACATGTGTACATATTAGGAGAAATCGAGAATAAGAAAGGGTGAATTTTTAAGAGAATGCTACATAGCTAATCTGGGTCGTAACACGCACTCACATGTTAAAAGCGTCACTTTTTCTGATTACATGACAAGATATACTTCTATATCCAACTCATTCTACTTTAATTAAGCATGGGAATAACCCAAATTTAATGTTTAATTTCTTTTCAAGGTCTCAAGTATTGGCTCCTTGGATGTGTTTTGATCTTATAAGGCACTTTCAGAAGTTTTATTTAATGGATTCCTTTTTTAATATAGATGTTTGTGGAAAAGAAAGAGAAACACAAAGGGAACTTGAGGTCACTGTAGCCCTTACAAAGAAGTAGTGATAGGACTCTATAAACTGTGTTTAATGGCCCCAATTGCATAGAACCATGGCTAAGAGAGAAGTGCTGTTTTCACCTTTTATTCAATTCATTCACACATTTAATTCTACTGCCAAAACTGTTGATGTGTTTTATGTTTTTGCAATCAGCTAACAGCAGCATTTTAGATTTCCAACCTCAGACAGTACTGTTTTCGGCAAGAGCTCATCTTTTCAACAAACATAGCCAAATGTCCATAGGTAGCAGTGATTTGAGACAGAACCAGAAATGAAGTGCTACTGGACAGTTGTGTCAGTCCTGAATATATTGTGTGCACTTCTTGAACATAAATGATAGGCAACTGCTCTGTCAAATAATGCACTGTTCAATTGAATGTCTTATGTATGCCGGGTGCAGTGGCTCACGCCTGTAATCCCAGCACTTTGGGAGGATGAGGCGGGTGGATCACGAGGTCAGGAGATCAAGACCATCCTGGCCAACATGGTGAAACCCCGTCTCTACTAAAAATACAAAAATTAGCTGGGCGTGGTGGCGCGTGCCTGTAGTCCCAGCTACTTGGGAGGCTGAGGCAGGAGAATCGCTTGAACCTGGGAGGTGGAGGTTGCAGTGAGCCAAGATTGCGCCACTGCACTCCAGGCTGGGCAACAGAGTGAGACTCCACCTCAAAAGAAAAAAGAAAAGAAAGAATGCCTTATGAACACCACATCAGGGCACTACACAAATCACTGCACTGGAAAACAAACTCCTAGGCTGTGCCTTCTTGAGATAGGCAAGTGGTGTTCACCTGAGGTGCACAGTCCCAAACTGAAGGGATTTTTAAATGGGTCACTTAGAAATAAACTTCCACAAGGAAAAAGAGCAAGCAAATGCCACATACCTGGTCACATTAAGGACATATGGAATGATAAATTGATGCCACAGGACAGACAGAAAATTATTAATATCATTCCAGGCTACCAACATGATTTCTGCAGACTCGAGAGTGTTCAGAACCCCTCTGGGTAAAGGCAAACAGTCTGCTCACTTAATAGGTGAAAACAACACGGGACAATGCAAATTTTTCACATTACTTTGGGGAAAAAAGTGTATCTTTTTTGACACCAATTCTTAGAAAAAGAGAAAAACAGGAATTATAAAATTTAAAACCAATCATAATCCTAAACTTTATACAAGTTAGCAGCACTGTCACAACCACTGTTTTATACTGTGCTATCAAGGTAGGAAGTTTTTTCTTTCTCACATAGCAAAACCACAGGCCGGGCACAGTGGCTCAGGCCACTAATCCCAGCACTTTGAGATGCTGAGGCAGGAGGATCACTTGGGCCGAGGAGTTCAAGACCAACCTGGGCAGCAAGGTGAGACTCGGTCTATTAAAAAAAAATAATAAACTACAAAAATAAAATAAAATAAAAACCAGGTAATATAAACAATAGATTAAAAAACTAAGAATCTTAGAATTCAAAAAGCCAAAAAAAAAAAAAAGAGAGATTAAGAATCCTATATATTTACAAATTTGCACTTTCACAACTTGAGACCTTTATGTTACCTCACTAAATGTATTTCACTACTTCAAACCAGTGCCATGTAGGGCAAGATGGAAATAAGTGGGTGGCTTTTGTGATACACAATGACTCCCAAGGCAGTTTTCAACTGAAAAAATATAGGTCAGAAAAAGTCTCTGTCCCAGTACCCATTCTGCACATTGCAAAGCAAAGTTTACAATAAAATTTCAATTAAACTCCAAAAGTTAGATAGACCCAAATCAAACTTACAAATAAGCCACATAAATTTCATCTGTGGTAAAATGCAAAAGACATGAAAATACTCACCATCCATCCTTTATAACAGGCTACTAGCCACTTAGCATCCATTATCTATACCTCCAGATACTGATCTATAAATCTGTTTTTACCTAAACATTTCTCCCATGTGCACATTTCATGCTCTATTATTTTGATATTATATTATCCTATGTGCTATCCTCATTCTGTTTATAAATCAGCAATTGCTTTTTCAGAAATTGTATTAACTAAAAAATTAATATATATGTATGGTTGTGTCTATCTACACAAATATATATGTATGTGCCTGTGTGTTGTGTGTGTAGGCATAGCTCAGACACAAAGGCAAAAGAATGATTGTTATCTTACTAGCTCTGTCCTGGCTGTTGTATTTTAAACTGTTTATAAAAAGACACAAAGTCTGAAACATTATTTTAATTTTTACAACCATAGTAAGCAATTTTAACAATGATTTTCTTTGCAAATTTTTATCTGAATGGGAAAAAAGTTTTCTTTGATCGTCTGCAATATGCTTATTGTTTTACGTATCTGAAGTGCAAGGATTTATGCAACAGTAGAAAAAATGAGGATCTAAAAAATTTTTAAAGTCAAAGATAGCATATAAAAATGCCATTTGACAAAAATTATTTAATGTTTATTTTAAGGTATTTTCCAGCACAATTTGGCACTTTAAATTTTAAAGCTCAGGCTCAATTAGTCCCTGAAAGGAAAGCATGCTATAGCACTCTAAACAGCCTACTGCATTCATTTATTGTTCAGTTCACAGTCTCTGAATACAACACAATCCACCAACAGAGTCAGCTTTCATAATTCAGCAGTACAAAGTCTGCAAACACATGTAACCTAGATCCATATTTCCCAGTGACAGCATATGATAGCAGAATGTGAAGTATTAATGCTGGTGTCACTATAGTCCTACACTCTACTGCACTTTAAGAGAAAGCAGCTGCTGAGATGAAATGTGTGCCAACTGTCTGAAGACAGAAACATAAGAAACATTCCTTCTGTTACAAAGGGAGAGACACACACAAACAGACTTGCTTTTAGATGCAACAAGCACAAAGTTTCTTACTTTTGCCTTTTAAATTTCTCAAAAACACTCAGCAATTCTGCATAAGCAGAAAGATATGCATTTAAGAAAATCTCAACTTCCTTCTCATGAAAGTAAACCCAAAAAGACATTATGATTTTATCTGCAAGTCAAAGGGTAGAAAAACCACCTCTTACAATTCATAGTAAATAGCCAATGAGTCCACACACCTAGGGAAATATAATTGCTATCTATGGAACAGATAATATTGACCAGCTGAGCATTTTCATACTAACAACATATAGTCCTTAGGCCTTCCAATGAATACTTCCTTTGGCATCTTCATAAAAATATTATCTTGAAATAATCCTATTAAATCTTTGTTCTAACACATTTACATAGAAACCAGGCTGTCTCTGCAAACCAAGAACCTGTCAATTTCAGCAACCCCCTTCCCAAGGGGTGAAGTCTATACATCTCAAAGTGGCATTTTTCTTTTTTCTCGATATAAAGATTGGCGATTTGTTGAAGAACCACACTATCCTGATTTGTACAGGATATATTCTTGATGTAACAGTGCAAAGTGAACCAAAGTACTGTACTGCTATCTTTTAAACACAGCTCTACCATAACAATAAGAGTGTGACATAATCTGAACTGTTTGGTTATAATTCACTTAAAAAACTAGCAAACCTCATTGACCCCCTTATCAAACAATTTATTGTGCATTTGCAGACTGGACAATGAAATAGAGGAGGCAAAGTATTAACGGTGACATTATTTGGCAAGCACATAGTGCAGTTCATTCAAAAGGCAATTTTAAAATTGAATGAAGAGGTTTGACTAGGCAATAAAAACAGCCACAATGCCAGTGAACAGTACTTAGGAGGAAAGCCTCTAATTATCCTATTTATAAATCAACAGCAATTTTACTGATGATTTCTTTGCAAAGTTGATTAAAATAACTTCAAAATATGTTAAACTAGATCATATGCATTTTATTAAACTATAATTTAAAAATATTATAGATTGTTTGAAAATGATAAAAACTTGAGAGCAAGAATGAGACAGCATTTCTGAAGAAAAACATTCCTACAATGCTCTGCAACATAATTATAGCACTGCCCTTGGGGAAGGGGATTTTATTTTATAATGAGAATGTTTACACTGTTATGGGGTTCACTCTATCTGGGAGGAAAGGTTAAACTTCTTTCCATTAAAGACAGCCTTATAATGAAAAGCTCTGAAAGGAGAATGGAGTCTAATATAGTAGATGTAATGGCCTATTAAATGATTCACACAAAAAAATGAATCAAGTTCATTGTATCTTACTGCTGTTTTATGACAAAATTGTTGAAAAATAAAACTATGGTCAAGATAATTGCATATTACATAGACTGTATTACTGTAAGCAGTACTCTTATTGGATGACCTAGAGTCTAATTTTTAGGTACATTAACAGGACATTACATTTTAAATACTTTACATTATTGGAATGTTTTAAAAGAATTCCACTTTTACTCTGTTGGCAAAATCAATTTAGACTTAAAGTCATGCTTCAATTGTGCATCACTCTTTCTCAATTAAAATTTTCCATACATCCTTTATGATGTCATTCTTACATTCCTGCAACAGATGCTTGTTTATATACCAATTTACTAAACTGCTGCTGTATTGGTAATACACAATTTTAGATGTAACCTCTCTGTCTAGTTTACATTCCCAGATCTCCTCTCAATAAATGTATATTTTCAAAATAATTTGCCTCTTTAACAATAATCTCTAATTACCAAACAATCTCCTCTACTGAAAAAACACAAGCAAAATGTCTCTATATTTTTAGAGTGTACAATTAAATACACATTTCTGGAAAGAATGACATCCTTAACATTTTAAGAAAGGGGTATTTCCATGAATGCGTTTAAGCACAGTTTAAAAGTGTATTTTAGGAGGCATAACTCCAAAGAAGATCCATTAATTCTGTCCTCTGAGAACCTGAGCAATCTCTCAGATTAGCTATATACCATGGCTGTCTATTACCTGGAGCTTCAGCAATATATAACATCATATTCATTTTTAAAGTAATAACATAACAATGTTAACTAAACCATATGTATACTTTATCAGCATTGTTATTATGTCTCCGTAAGGTTTCAAAATAGAACAATCAAAGCCTCACACAGATTAAAATGTTGCTCACTGAATTAAAGAAATCTATTTGGAGAAAAATATATAAAAATGCATACTGATTTCAGATTTGTGGGTGAACATAGACTAAAAACTACTTTTTGCAAGTCACCAGTACTTAATTTGAGTAAAGTGATGCTGTGATTCTGTTAAAGGAAGCTCTTCCTTTTAAAAACATTTATCTCTGAATATATATGTGTGAAATTCTGGCAGAGAAACTTTCATAAGAATCTTGAAGGAAAATTGTCATGTTGGATCAAACACTAAGCAGTATCACCTCTTTTTCAAAAATAATTTTCTGTTACAACTGAAAATATTTTTGTCCCACATATAAACAAATTTACTCTAATTTTACAACCTCATATTTATCAGGGGATTGCCTGTTGTTAGCAAATTTTGCAGCCTCAAGTTACTGAAATTACTAAATATTTTGCTTTAAAAGAAAAAATACCTCTATTGAAAAACCTTTAACTGCTTACTATTGCCAATTATGTTTAATATTCATTTAGTCTCCTTCTCTATCAAGTCAGGCTTTTGTAAAATCTGCAGAGGGGAGTATCTGTGAGTGCATTTCTTCCCATTTCTTCCATCTTTCAGGTGGGTACTGAAGGAAAAGTTGAGCTTTCTAGAGAGGTTGTCCTGAGGGTTAAGATAAGGTAAGGCGTGGGAAGGGGGAAAGGAACAAAAATCAGAAATATAGGTGGGGAAACAAAGCTTTTTCCAACACCTAATTCTGTGGCAATTGCTTAACTTTTTCTCCTTCTTCCACAAGAGTCCAAAGTTAACTGTATGATTTGGCAGGGCATCAAAAAGGTCCAAATAAGTTCTGGAAAAGGCAGTAGCTGACTTGAGTACAGCTGCATTTTGTTGGGTTAGGTTGAAACTAGGGAAATCTGACAGGAGCGCTGGAGAAAACCTTCAGGGAAAAACACAGAACAGTTCACAGGGCTTGTACACTATGGAAATACTCAGCCTCTACCTCTCTCCTCCCCCTAATAAACCTTGAAGGAAAAGGGAAGGACGAAGTGGGGAAAGGAAAAGGGAAGGTGGGGAGGAAAGAGGAGGGAAAGGGAAGAGGGAAGACCTGCGGGGAACAGGAGGGAGACAGCTACTGTTGGGAATCTGTTCTTGTCACACATCTCCATACCTTCGCAAAACAATTTCTCTGAAAGAAGCCTGGGTCATTGTGGCAACATTATTCTTGACTGGGGATTCAAGAGGTCCAGAGAGAGCCTATCACTATCATTTACGGGTATATACTGTTAACATACTTTAGGGGTTATTCAAAGATGGATTTTTTTTTAAGACAGAGTCTCACTCCTGTCACCCAGGCTAAAGTGCAGTGGCACAATCTGGGCTCACTGCAGCCTTGACTTCCTAGGCTCTGGTGATTCTCCCACCTCAGCCTCCCGAGTACCTGGAACTAGAGGCTCACATCACCACACCTCGCTAATTTTTTAGAAAATTTTTTGTAAGGACGAGGTTTTGCCATGTTGCCTGGGCTGGTCTTGAACTCCTGGGCTTAGGATCCCTCCCATCACTGCCTTGGCCTCCCAAAATGCTGGGATTACAGGCGTGAGTCACTCACTCAGCCAAAGATGGATTTTTAAAACACAACAAAAAGCCCCTTCTGCTGATATTATATTTCTTTATGGAAGAAGACTTACAAAGAAAAAAGAGCAAACATATAAGGGAGCTCAGTGCTCGTGTGGATGCATTCTTAGCCCAGCACAACATTTGGCTACCAAAAGCCTGATGTCATTCAAAGAAAGGTAGTAAACAAAAAGCAATACTAACACTGCCATTAGGTAAATCAGCAAATATTTGCTCTGAAGAACTGTATTAAAATCAAAGCACTGGGGGGAAGGGGGTGTATACCATTTTGTTAAGATTTCTAACCACACTGAATCCTTCCTCTATCTCTACCATTTTCTTGGTTTCAGGGTGGTAGAAAGTAAAGCAGAAGTACAAAAAGGTTGAACATACCCATATAGTTAAAAAAAAAATGATGATTATAGGCACATATACCATAGCCCTTAGCAGTGATTTTGTATAACCCTCTTATGTTACAGATGAAGAAATTAAGGCTCAGATAAATTGACCTGCCAATGATGTCACATAGCAAGGAAGTGGCAGAGTAGGGAACTGAACCCAGGTTTCTTGCTCTCAGTCACGGGCTCTGTAGACTGTGCCATCTAACCTTTAGTCACAAAACATTTTTATCTGAATTTTCTATGACATTCATCAAGCTTGAGGGGTTATCATCTAAAAGGAATTAAAATACACACGCACACACACACACACACACATGCACAGGCACATGATCACACTCCTCAGGTTGGAGACAGCTATGTTTGCCTTTGGTTTTTAAGGAGTTTCTAAGTATGGATTGGCAAAGAAGGTGGGAAGTTCTCACTCTCCCTCTCTAGAGGCCGGCAGTTGCCTTACAAAGTAAGCACTAGGTAAAAAGAAGTGTAGAATAATGCCTTAGGCTTGGATCTACACACAGAACCTGACTAAATGACAAGAATGGCAAGACCTATCCCCACAGACCCAACTAGGAATGTGGTCTGCGGACATGGACCCAAAGACTGGTTGCCTACTGGCTTGGTTAGAAAAGGCCACGCAGCTTCCATCTGCCTCTCTTGAAATACCTTCTTTGGGATCTTAAGCCATCATGTAAAAAAGTATTCTGGCTAACAGTCCCAGCTATGCCTAGACTTTAGCCATTCCTGCTGAGGGACCAGCCATGTAAGAAGAGCCTCTGGGACTCTCCAGACCTCCTCATCCACCAGCTGAGGAGCACTGAGTCACCACTGCCAGTGCCACAGGGAAGAGTCACTCAGCCAGTCCTACCCAAATTCTTGACTCACAGAATTCCTGAAGTATAAAAATATAATTGTTTAAGAACACTCAATTTTGGAGTAGTTTGTTATGCAATAGAACAAAGCCTTAATTTTCTCAGCTGTAAAACTGAAGAAATATTACTGGAGGAGGATAGGAAGGATTAAATGAAAATGTATGCAGTGATCCATAAAGGAGAGCTACCAACAATATAATAATGATGATTCTGAAATCTTTTTCCAACATTGAAGACATTGTGCCTATCCCAGGTGGACATCAGATGATGGAAGCTATGGTTCCGCCACTGGTGAGCTGTGTACTCTGGATACATCAAGGAACCTCGCCTCACCCAGCCCGAAGTTTCTATACAGGCACAAAAGGCAAAATGAGTGAAAAGACTGAAGTAAGAGAGAAGCTTATGTGGTATTTCAAACAATTTTAAAACACAAAACTCATAAGCATATTTTTCAATTTCACATAGAAATATAATTTCTACCTTTGAATAAACATGTGGTCTGCTTGTTATGCTTTTATTTTTTACTTCTGATAATAATACATGTGAAGAGAAATATTTCTCAACTATAAGAGAATCGCAAAACAATTCAAGGGTCAAAATAGAGCAGCGGGAAATTGTGTGAACTAGAGAGAACTTATTCCAGTCAAAGGTCCAAACAACACTGACCTCAAAGCCAACTTATGCCATGTGCCACGAGGACCAGTATTCTTTGATCTTCTAACATTCCTGAGAACCAGAAAGGTTCAGCCCATGGGCAACCAGCTGGTATATCCAGGATATCATCCAGAAGCTAGCTCTCTTAAGCTATCTTTCTTTTGCTTTGGTTAGCCATGTGACCTTAAGCAAATTGTTTAACTATTTTTCATCTGAGTTTCCCTTCTTATAAAATTGGGAAGTAAAAGCAATAGTTTTGAAGGCTCTTCCAATACAGAATTATGGAATTCCTTTAATTCCTCACAGTGGATCTGGAAAATAGACACTTACCATGTATGTACATTTATGCATTATTTTATAAAAATTTAAAATAGTTTGTTTTTATTCCTCCTAAATGTTGGTTGTGACTCACCAAATACAGTTCAAGACTCAGGAATGAATCAGAACCCATGATGCTTGTCCGCAAAAGTCATCTCCTTCTCAGATTTTACAACTATTTCTCTGGAATTCACCTTTTTAATTGTTCTTCAAACATCCTATGTCTCCCCCAAGTAAATGATAACTTCCTACATGACAGTAACATATTGTCTTACAAAAAATTTGAAGCATTAAACAAGAAAAGCAAACATAAAGTTTCTTCTCTTGGCACTCTATTTTCTAGATGGGACATAAGGCTAGTTTATTTGTGGTAAACATGACATTTATACATAGTATTGCTTTCAGGTCAATTTTTCTTTTCACTAAGCCATTGGAAGCAAAACTTTAGTGTGCATTAAACATCACCTAAAACATGTGTTAAACATTCAGATTCTCAGGTTCCATCCCAAGAGATTTTGACTAAGTGGGTCCCTGGTAGCCTCCAGGAATCTACATTTTTAAACAATCTCCTTAGTGAATTTTGACCTGTATGAACATTTGACCGCTCTTTGAGTTTCTGCTCTAAAGCTTAAAAGGCTGAGAACAGGGGTCAGCAAACTTTTTCTGTAAAGAACTAGATTATAAATATTTTAGACTTGTGAGTCAAAGGTTCTGTATTGTAACTACTCAACTCTTTCTTTGTAGTGTGAAAGCATTTACAGAAAATAAATGGGTGTGGCTGTGTTTCAATAAAATGTTATTTACAAAAAACAAGTGGCCAGCCCCTGGCCATAGTTTTCCGAACTCTGTCCTAGGACATGCACTAAAAGTCAGTTTTATTATGTAAGCAGCATAATAAGATTCATTGGTACTGGATGCCTTGTCAAACGGGATGACAAGTAGACTGAAGTCACAACCAGGCTCTTTGGAATAGTGTGCTTTTGCTAGTCAGTAACATCAACAAGAGTGCTAAATGGGAGAGTGGTAGATGTGAGCTTTTATTTTGACCTTCAAGGCTTAGCTTAGAGGGTAAGAAAAGGAAGAAGCAGCACTTTTGTTCAGAGAATCCAAAAGTGGAGTAGCTTATAATCTTGTTATGTAATTCAACTATACATGTCCTACTAGAGGGAAAATTGAGAATCTAGACAGTGAGAACACTTCCACCAACCATTTCATCCAATACACCCAAGAGATGAGGGGGATGTGAACCAGGTACTGCTCCAGAATGGCTCAGTTCTCAGGTGTTTCTTATTCAGTGAGGCTTTGAATCGGAGCCTAGTACTTAAAGACACACTTATAAATTTTGTATGACACCAGTTTTTAACTCAAGACAGCTACATCTTCAGGTGCTCAGAGAAAAATAATTTCAAAACTGAAGGAAAACAACTAGTTTTTGAGATGTATTAGATAAAAGGACCTAAGAAGTCTCCATTTCAGTACCTTCCAATGGGGGTTTTCACAAGTAATTTAATACCATGAGATTTCCAACTCAAATTCATTGACTTGAGAACCTAATTTCCAACATAATTTGTGGCTCTACTATATATTATTTATTGACTGAGCATCACATACATTTACAAAGGCCCCATAACTCTATATATTTTTGCTAAAAATCACCTCAACAGGCATGCAAGTTTATTGGTTTTCTTGCTGTTAAAAAAAGAACTATAGCAGAGCTGAGGTTAAAGAGCTCCTAGTTCTCTTTGCTTCTCCTGCCACTGGCTAACATTTTGCTCTTAGCATTTTGAGTACAGGGCAGCCAGGGAGTAGGAATGACAGGGTGAGTGGTAATGGAGATGTAGCTGGAATTGGATGAGAGTCTACTATGTACCAATAATTTTTTAATGTTTTATTTTTTGAGATAGGGTCTCGCTGTGTTACTCAGGCTGGTCTCGAACTCTGGGGCTCAAGTAATCTTCCCGCCTTGGCAAGTGTCGTGATTACAAGTGTGAGACACCATTCCCACCCTCAATAATTTTATGTATGCTACTTCATTCAAATTCTCACAATATGAGTATTGATATTTCCATTTTACAGGTAAGGACCTTGATTCAGTGAAGCTGAGTAAGTTGCCTGACAGCCATAATTCTTGGGTTTAAATTAAGAACCCTCTCATTTCAAAGGCCCAATTTTACCTTACCATACTGACTTCCAAGAAAAACTCAAAGTTTCCAAACTACTACGAGGCTCATTTTGAGTAAAGAAGTCAGCTGGATAAAATAGGATTTGAAATTTATTCATACATTTTCTTTACTGAAATAATTTGTTGTTCAGATTATCAAACATCAAGATAAGACTGGATTCAAACACTGTGGGAACAGTCATTCAAATGGTGGAATAGAAAGAATGCTTCTTGGTTCCTCATTTGTTCCTTTTCTCCTTTTTGGAGTCCTTTTATCTACCCAGACACTATATCTATGGGAAAATTCCCTGATTCCCAGAATCTCCCTGTGTCTGTGCTCTCCAGGAAGCACCAGATCACTTTCATTTCTATTTGTTCTAATAAACCATCCTAATTTGAGATCCTATCATTTAAATCATTAAGTGACAACAGTAACCTTATAACATAAAAGCTGGTTCTTTAATAAGATCAATAAAATTGATAAAATTTTACTGAGTATGAGTAGTAAAAAAGAGAGAAGTACCAAATTATGAGTATCAAGAATGAGTCATTATAACCTCAAATGCAAAACAAACTAAAGGACAATGAGGAAATACTATGAACAGCTTTCCATAAATGTAATGACTGAAATGAAGTAGACAAATTTCTTGAGAAAAACCAACTCAAAGCTTACTCAGCAAGCAACACTTGAATATCCAATATTCAAAATTAGTTTGTAGTTAAAAACATTCCCACAAATAAATCATTAGGCCTAGATAGTTTAACTGTTAATTCTATCAAACATTTAAGGGATAAATAATAACAATTCTATACAAACTCTTCCACAAAACTGAAGAGAAAGGAAACTTCCTAACTCATTCTATGAGGCCAGCATCCCCATGATACCAAAACCAGACAAAGACACAATGACAACAACAAAAAAACTACAGGACAATATCCCTGATGAACACAGATAGATGCAAAAATCCTCAACAAAATACTAGCAAACTGAATCCAACAGCACATCAAAAAGGATTTATACCTTCAAGAAGGATTTATACAATCAAGAAGGATTTATACCAGAAATCAATAAACATCATATATCACATCAACAACAACAAAAAACTATATAATCACCTCGACAGACGCAGAAGATACATTTAATAAAATTCAAAGTCCTTTCATTATAAAAACTCACCAATCTAGGCATAGAAGGGACATACCCCCAAAATAATAAAGTCATATACAACAAATCCACAGCTCACTTCATAGTGAATAGAGAAAAGCTGAAAGAAAGCCTTTCCTTTAATAACTGGAACAAGACAAGGACACCCAATTTCTCCATTCTTATTCAACATAGTACTAGTCCTGGAAGTTCCAGCCAGAGCAGTCAGACAATAGGAAAAAATAAAAGGCATCCAAACCAGAAAGAGGCAGTGAAATTGTCCCTCTTTGCTGATATGATCTTATGTGTAGAAAACCTAAAGACTTTACCAAAAACCTCTATTAGATAAATGAATTCAGTAAAGTTGCAGGACACAAAATCAATGTACCAAAATTAGTAGTCTTTCTTTACACCAAGAATTATCTAGCCAAGAAAAAAAATCAAGAAAGCAATCCCATTTATAACTGCTACAAAAACAAACAAACAAACAAAAAACCCTAAGAATAAATTTAACTATTTGACCAAGGAAGTGAAAGATCTCTACAAGGATAACTACAAAACACTGATAAAAGAGGTGTGAAGATAAAACAGACAGATGGAAAAACATCCCACACTTATGGATTGGAAGAATTAATATTGATAAAATGACCACATAGCCCAAAGCAGTCTACATATTAAATGCAATCCCTATCCAAATACCAATGTCATTCTTCACAGAATTAGAAAAAACAATTCTAAATTTATATGGAACTAAAAAAGAGCCTAAATAGCCAAAACATTCCTAGGCAAAAACAATAAAGCTGGTGGCATCACACTATCTGATTTCAATACATATTACAAGTCTACAGTAAACAGAACAGCATGGTATTGGTATAAAAATTGGCATATAGATCAATGGAATAGAATTGAGAACCCAGAAATAAAGCCACATATTCATAGCCAACTGGTCTTCAACAAAGCTGACAAGAACTTACATTGGGGAAAGGACATTCTCTTCAATAAATGATGCTGAGAAAACTGGATAGCTACAGGCAGAAAAATAAAACTAGATGACTATCTCTCAACATACACAAAAATCAAGACAAAATGGATTAAAGATTTAAACATAAGACCTGAAACTATAAAAATATTAGGAGTAAGCCTAGGAAAAACTCTCCTGGACACTGGCCAAGGCAAAAATTTATGGCTAAGACCTAAAAAGCACAAGCAATTAAAACAAAAATAGGACTTACTTAAACTAAAAAACTTCTACACAGCAAAAGAAATATTCAACAGTGTGAAGAGACAACCTGTTGAATGAGAGAAAATATCTGCAACCTATTCATCTGACAGGAGACTAATATCCAGAATATACAAGGAACTCAAGCAACTCAACAGGAAAAAAGTAATAATCCTATTAAAAAGTAGGCAAAGGACATGAGTAGACATTTCTCAAAAGAAGACATGCAACAGGTCAACAGGTATGTGAAAAATGATGAACATCATCAAGCATCAGAGGAATGCAAAAAGCTACCTACCCCAGTCAGAATGGCTATTATTAAAAAGACAAAAAATAAGTGAAGTTGGCAAGGAAGCAGAGAAAAGGGAACTCCTATACACTATTGGTAGGAATGTAAACTAGTACAGCCACTAAAGAAAGCCCTATGGAGATTTCTCAAAAAACTAAACATAGAATTACCATTTAATTGAGCATTCCCACTACTAGGTATCTACCTAGAGTAAAAACTCAATATCAAAGCAATAACTGTACTGGCAGGTTTATTGCAGCACTACTTCACCATGGCAAAGATACGGAGTCAACTTAAGTGTTCATCAAGAGATGAATATATAAAGAAAATGTGGTGTATATTCACAATGAGATACTATTTGGTCATAAAAAAAGAATATGTCATTTGCAACAACATACATGGAACTGGAGGTCTCTCTCCAGGCACAAAAAGACAAATATTGCATGTTTTTACTTATATGTGGGAAGTAAAAAGTTTGATCACATGGAGGTGGACAGTTGAAAGATAACAAAGACTGGGAAGGGAGAGTGGGGGAGAGGGGAGGATGAACAGAAGTGGGTTACAGAGTACAAACATATGGTAAGATAGAAGGAATAAATTCAATGTTTGAAACCAGAGTAGGGCTATATACTTAACAAGAATATACTGTAGTCAGTTCATGGACACACTAAATACAATGACTTGATCACTACGCAGTATATACATGTAACAAAATTTCACATATACCCCGTAAATTTGTACAAATAAAAAATTTAAAAAATATATGTCCAAGTGTGACTTATTTCGGGAATGAAAGGATAGTTAACATTAAAAAAGCAATCGATGTAATCCACCATCATCACCATCTAATAGAGAAACAAACAAGCAAAGGTAAGATTATCTCTAGATGCAAAAAAAAGGATTTGATGACATCCAATATCCACTCCTGATAAAACTCTCAGTGCACTAGGCATAAAAGGGAATTTCCTCAATCCGGTAAGGGACACATAAGAAAAATCTAAGCCCTAATGTCATGCTTAACAGTGAAAGACTAAATGCTTTCCCTCTAAAATCAGGAAAAGGCAAAAACGTCTGCTCTTACTATTTCTATTCAACGTGATACTAGAGGAATTACCCCATGTAATAAGAAAATTAAAATAAATAAAAGGCATTGATATTGGAAAGGAAGAAGTAAAACTATTTCTATTTTGGCATGACATTATTAACTATGTAGAAAATCTGATAAAATCTACAAAAAAAAGTTATTTTTAAGTTACTTTAAAAATGCGAAACTGATGGATACAAGATAAAAATATAAAAGTTAATTGTATTTCCCTGTCCGGGCAAGGAACAGTCAGAAACTGAAAGTATCAAAGGAAACCATAACAGCATCAAAAAAAGGTAAATATTGAAGTATACATCAAACAAAAGATGTATTAAATATATCTTATACATCTTTTGTATATATTGATGTATATGTTAATGGAAATATATAGTATATTCATGGATCAGAAGATTCAATACTGTTAATACGTCGTGTCTCTTCAATTGAGTTACCATTTCAAACCAATCCCATTCAAAATCTCAGAGGGCTTTTTTTTCCCCTAGGAAACTGACAACCTTATTCTAAAATTCAGCTGGAAATGCAAAGAACTTAGAATAGCCAAAGCAAAGTTAAAAAGAAAAAATTTGGGGGACTCACACTACCTGCCTTCAAGACTTATTATAACTAGAATAATCATCATCAGTGTAGTATTGACATCAAAAAAGACAAATAGATCAACGGAACAGAATAAAGAGTTGAGAAACAGACACACACACACACACTCCATTGATTTTCAACAAAGTTCTAAAGGTAATTAAGTAGAGGCGACTAGCCTGAGAAAATATAGTTTTGTTCCAACATATGGTGCTGGAACAATTGGATATCTATATGTTAAAAAAAAAAATTTGGATTCATACCTCCCACCATATATAAAAATGAATTCAAAATGGATCATAAATCTAAATGTAAAACCTAATTCTAAATTGTAAAACCTAAATCTAAATGTAAAACCTAATTCTAAATTGTGAAAATCTAAATGTAAAACATCTAGGAAAAACCTGGGAGAAAATGTGTATGGCCTTGGGTTATATAAAGGTTACTCAGATACAATAATGTGATGTATAAAATAAAATGAATGAATGAATTGAACTTCATCAGAATTAAGAACTTATTTTCTTCAAAAGGTACTATTAAAGACAAGGCAAAGAATAGAGGAAAATGTTATACACATCTATCTAAAATTAGAAAAGATTGACCTTATCAAGTGCTGGTGAGGATGTGGAGAAACTAGAACTCTCATGTACTGCAGGTGGGAATGCAAAGTAATAGAACTGCTTTGGCAGACTTTGGTGATTTATTTAAAAAATAAAGACACAAATCTACCATATGATCCCGCTATTCCACTCCTAGGTATTTACCCAAGGGGAATGAAGGCATTATGACCATACAAAGACTTGCATGCAAATGTTCACAGTAACTTAATTGGTAATATTTAAAAACTAAAACTGACTCAAATGCTCATCAACACGTGGATAAACAAATTGTGGTATATCCATACAACGACATACTAATCAGCAATAAAAAAAAGAATGGACTATTAGACACCAAACAAAACTGGATCTAAAATAATTATGCTGAGTGAAAGAAGTCAGATAAAAAGAAGTGCATACTATATGTTTTTGTTTAGATGAAGTTATATATAAAAAAAACTAACTGATAGTGACAGAAAGCTTATCAGCAGTGCCAGAGAATGTGAATTGGGATAGAAGTAGGGAAGTGAGGATTGATGGAGAACAATTACAGGAATCATAAGGAAGCTTTTAGAGTGATGGATATGTTCATTATCTTGTCTGTGGTGATGGTTACACAGGTGTATACATACGTCAACATTTATAAAATTGTACATCTTTTTTTTTTTTTTCTGAGACAGAGTCTTACTCTGTCACCCAGGCTGGAGTGCAGTGGCATGATCTCGGCTCACTGCAAGCTCCGCCTCCCAGGTTCACGCCATTCTCCTGCCTCAGCCTCTCAAGTAGCTGGGACTACAGGCGCCCACCACCGTGCCTGGCTAATTTTTTGTACTTTTAGTAGAGACAGGGTTTCACTGTGTTAACCAGGATGGTCTTGATCTCCTGACCTTGTGATCCGCCCACCTCGGCCTCCCAAAGTGCTGGGATTACAGGCATGAGCCACCACGCCTGGCCAAAACTGTACATCTTATATGTAGTTTACTGTCTACCAATTTACCTCAATAAAGCTGTTAAAAACATAATCTAACAAAAGAATGTGGTTTTACATTGTATGAGGTTAACAAAAGCAATAGTTTTAGTCATTTTGAACTGTTGGAAAAACAGAAAAGTTGAGAGTACAAGTTATTTTTCACACAACTAACCATATACTGGGGAAGGAGAAGGGAGTCTAAGTGATCTTGAGGTAGTAGTTTCCTAACCAAAACCCATATCTGCCACAAGATCCTAATTTTAGCCACTCATAGGTCATACAAATTCTTATCACAAACATATTATATATCATAGGGCTTTATGGTACTTAAAGAACACTATCTATAAATAAAAGACAAGTTGAATAAATAAACTTTTGGGGTGTGTGTGTGTGTGTGTGTGTGTGTGTGTGTGTGTGTGTAGGAAACACTGAGTATCTGGGGAAAACCACCAGGAATAAACAACATATGAAAGTCCTATTCTAGTAGCTATTGGACATAAAGTGAAGAAAAATTATTTGGGACAGCAAGGAAAAAAATCAAGTTATTTATATGGTGGAAAAAATTACATGACCGCATTTTTCTTTAACACATTCAACACTAGACAACATGAAGAGATTGATGAGAAAGCATGCTGGTCATAATGGATTTACAGGACTCTGAAATCTCGTGTTTTCAGAGATGATTTTTATCTATATGATTACTTTAGAAAGAGTTCTAAAGTTCTAAGATGAAGGAATAATGCATACAATCAAGAGCAGCAAAGGGAACTGCCTGGCTAAAGCCGAGATACCCACAAATACTCTTGACATGAATACACCTGCTGTGACATAAAAGAGTAGCAAATTTTTAAAATCAAATGAACTTTTTTAAAAAGGTAGCAAACTTGAAGGTGTATACCCCATGAAGGGCTGACATTTGCAAAGCAATCAATCATCTTGGGAATTGGTGTTCTTATTGTTTCCAAAATGGGCTTCACTACCAAGTTAAGTGCAACCAAGTAATAACTAAAGTTAAAAAACAAACAAACAAACAAATCATACGACTGTATTATAATCGTAGAATATCCTGTCCTTCAGAATCCAAAACTTGGCTACACATGGTATATTTGGCTAATTCTCAAAATTAAATATACTTTTTAAAGAACAAAGTTCTGCTAATAACTACTGACATAAAAATAAGTTACATGGACCTGAAAGTAGTTAGTAAACAAGAGCTGCAGAAGGGTCAGGGGAGTTGTTATCATGGATGAAGAAAGTCAGTGGATTGCTCTAAGGGAAGCAATATTTATGTGGATATGTTGGTGTGTGTGTTACTGTCCATCCTTTATATCCAGTACCCTACCCAGTGCTTGGTACACAACCTACACTCTACTAATCTTTGAAATGGTGAATATATATACACATTTATAAGCAGGATATTATTTTAGAATGCAATGTAATTATCTTATTTGAGAAGGCATGACCAATCTCCAAACAAGGTTTAAAGGATGTTTCCCATTTCAAGTGTAGAGCCATAATCTCTCAAAATATCCTAAAATGTTAGTAAGAAATGGTGATGATCTACGTTGTAATTCATATCTCAATGAGTTAAGAAACATCGGGACTGTACAATGGTAACTTTTGATCAATTATACAATAAACTGCGCATTAAATGTCAAGATGTGATTTTGGTTTAGTTTTTCAAAAAACAGATTAAGAAAATATTAGAGAAGTGAGAAGAGCTTTGCAAGTAAGGAAATACTTTTTGATCAATAATCAAACAATTAAACATTACAAATTCAGTTAACTAATTTGGAATTTCAGATAATGTAGCCTGATAATAGGTTGAAATTTATCTTCTCGGTATTTACATTAAAATGGGAAAATACTAAGCAAATATATTTGTCATTCATTCACTCACTGGTATTAGTCCGTTCTCATACTGCTACGAAGAAATATCCAAGACTGAGTAATTTCTTTTAAGAAGAGGTTTAATTGACTCACAGTTCCACTTAACCGGGGAGGCCTCAGGAAACTTATAATCATGGCAGAAGGCACTTCTTCACAGCACAGCAGGAGGGAGAATAAGTGCAAGCAGGGGAAATACCAGACACATATATAACCATCAGATCTCATGAAACTCACTCATTATCACAAGAACAGCATGAGTGAAACCACCCCCGTGATTCAATGATCTTCACCTGGTCCTGCCCTTGACATGTGAAGATTATGGAGATTACAGTTCAAGGTGAGATTTGGGTGGGGACACACAGCCAAACCATATCATTCACCATATTAACCCAAAGTATATATCGAAACAAATGAACAGCAAACAGAATGTCAATGAATTATTCATAATTTTAAGAGTCAAAGTTGCCCCTTGGCAAGATGAACTGGGTGCATGAGACATAGTGGGGCAGTCTCGTTCTCATAATATTTTGGTGGAAATTTTTTACCCTTGAGGACAGGATCACATCTTATTCACTTTGTAAACCTAGCACCTAGTATGACACAGCACAACAGTCATCCAATGATGCTGTGCATGTGGCTTTCCCCACTCTCCCACAACACTACCTTCCATACTCCCAAAAGTTAAACTCCTTTTTAAAAGCCCCAGCCCCTTTACTTCAGATGCTTGTCATTCTCCCCTATCCTTCCCTATCTAGCTTTCCCATGTCCTACTCAGGGTGAATTATTTTCACCTTCTCCTATATTTCCAATGAAACTTGTTTGTTTCTCTACACTTGTCTTGCCCAGTCTCACTTTTATATGTCCATTACATTAGAAATTCTTAAAACAGAATTTTATTTAGTATTGCATTTTTTATAATACCATGAACATTCTTGGCACATAGTAGGGACTCTGTAAGTATGCACTGAATTGTCTAACTGAATTCAACACATACTTATTTGCACACCTATATTCTCACACACAGCACACTCTAAGTCATTCTAATGAGCTACTTTAGGAGGTTGGTCTCAATAATAATAAACAATAATAAAGTTAAACCATATTTATTGAGTGCCTAGCACCTGCCACACAATCTGTTAGATGCATCATGACATCATTTTAATCCTTGTCATAACTCCTATCTCTTGAAAATGAGGAAATCAAGACTCAGAAAAATTAGGTATAATACCCAGAGGGAAAACGCTGGTATGCTTTTGAGCATAGATTCAAATCTAGGTATTCCTGGTTAAAAAGATCTTAAATCTGATTCCTTATATATTTTCCTTTTAATTTCTTTCCCTCCCACTTCCGCCAGCATTGCAATTATGAAATCAATCTATTGCTCGGTTTTATGGTTTTTCTAATTTAATCTATTTTCAAGATTCTAGGCTACCTATAATGCTTTATTAATATTAAAGATAGTCTAAGGATTTTGCCTACTCTGATATTTTTAAACCAATCTCCAACCAAATAACTTGTGTTACATACACAAGTTTCAGAATGTGGTAGAAGTACTTGGAATAAAATGTCACTCTCCCTTGAAGCAGTCTGAAATACATAAAAATCTTATACAAGCAAAACCAGAACCTCAAAAGCTCAATCTACACAAGAACAAGATACTCTCTAAAACAAACTCTCTCAGCCCTTTCTTTGTGACAAACTCCATTATTATAGATGTTTGTAAAATTTCCCATTCTTGAAGAATATTTCTTTGCTTTAAATAACAGATCTTTTGAACAGAGGAGTCATAACTAATGGATTATAATATTTCTACCTTTAAAATTTGAATTTCTTATGAGTAAAACAAACCACAAATGAAAGTACTTGTACTAAGCACACTGAATCCTTTTTCTTCTATTAGCATATTGGTCTACAATCATATCTAGATCAATAGTGAAGATATCCACTTAAAAGAGAGCCACGCTTTCTTTTGTCAGAAATTCATTACTTTTTATTAGGGTCATTGCTTGAAAACTTCAAAACACCATATGGACCTAATTGTGGTTTATTTTGGCAAAAAGGAAGACACTGTAGAACAATTGAGGCATTACATTCTACAATTCCATTACTTTCATCCCTCTCAGTTTTATTACTGTGTCATTAAAGGCAACTTGAGTGAGTGAAGAATTATAGTGTCATGTGTACAGGCTAGTAGATTAATAACAAAACACACTCAAGTTTAAAGGTATCTAACAGCTGTTTTCATTATTTTGTGTAAATACGCTTGAAGCATATCTATCTGATTAGTGGAGAGAGTGCTCTTCTCTGTCACATGCCATGGGCACTGCTATGTGCAAGCAATCAAAGTGCTCAGAAAATGAGTTTACATTGTTCACTGCTGAAATACACAAATGTCAGAGAGTGACTGCGCATCAAAGCTTAGTCAAATCATCTGCTGTAAACAAACAGATTCCAATGCACATTTCAGTTTAAAACATTCCACAGCAGTGCACTGACTGAGTTGGACTTATTGTCAGCCAAAATGAAGTGATGTGCAGAGAATAGTAAGTTTCTTTAGAGAGAATAAACGAATTCAAAATCAGTTTTGTTCATACAGATACATAATCATCTATATAATTTCCAATACAGCCAACATCTAAAGTTGTATTATTTTATCCTAGGAATATGAATTACCTTTTACATGCTTTTAAGTGTGAATTGATAAGGAAATATGCCACTTGTTCTTATTTTAGCCCTATACACACATACAATCCACACATTACTTGAGATTTCTAATGCAATGATTCCTAATTCTATGCTCACAGGATTTTCCTTTCTCTGTTCACAGTATTATGTTCTATCTGCTAACACATTTACTTCGAATTCCAATACTCAAATTACTTACTACTTAAAGCATTTCAAAAATATTTATTCCCATTCATCCACCCTTGTTCTTCTACAGATTCTCTTCACTTGACCTCTGGTATTCTTTAACCATAGAAATACTTGACTCCTACTCCATGAGGAGTTGACAGGTTCAGCTACTGCAGTTACTGACCACTCAGTGGGGGTTTTCACTTCATCACCCTCTTTCTGCTTAACTGTCTCTGTGGTTTCTTGTCCCCAGTGTGTCTGTTTGAGTTTGAAGTTCCAACTCACGCACTTGTTTTCAAACCTATTCGGAATTCCTCCCATCACTGAGGGCTGGAGGGTGGGAAGGGGAGGGAACGATCTTGATGTCATACACATGTGCAACCACTGCAATAATATAGGTGCTGAATACTCTCAATAGGGTGATGAGTGCAACTTCCTTCTGGTTTTAAAAATACTCTCCCCACTGCCCCCAGCTTTAAGTCCTCTGTCAAGAAACTCTGATTTTGACATATCTGGCTTCCTCAGCAATGCTTTTAAACCACTTTATGCTTGCTCCTCCAGTCACAGAAACACTTGTTTCAAATTTGTCTGTCTACCTCTTCCAAGTTCCTCATCTTTTCCTTCAATTTCATCCACTTGGTCTTTGGGGATGTTTACACTGAAGCTTATATTTCAAGACTCTCTAGTTTTCTCTCAAGCATCTCTAAGTCCTCCATGCGGTCTGAAGGCTTGCCTTGTCATCTGTATACTCTGTCTCTCTGCACTTCAGTTTCCTTCCTCTCTGACAAGAAGCTGCAGCACTCACAAGGCTGAGGCTCTAGTAGCACTAATGTGAGCCAGACCTGGCTGCGGAGGTGCTATGTAAGCTTCTCCACACTGAATTGACAATGAGTTTCTACACTGACCTTCAAGTTCCAAGTTTATTCTGAGGCATTCTGTAAGCAAGGCTCACAACCAATACGTCAAAATTTTCAGTTAAGGGTCCAAGCTAGGTTTTCAAAAGTTTAGACAGTAATTACATAAGCCACACCCAATACTTCCATGTCACCTTTCGAAGAGATAAACCTCATTTGTTAATGTGCTAACATAGCTCAACAATGTGAGTAAAGTACATAGAAGGACGCTGATTCTATCCAGGTTCAATCTAACCATACATTTGCCAACTGTTTTTTAAAGTTCCTTTAACAGTAAGGAGTCAAGGCCGGGTGCAGTGGCTCATGCCTGTAATCCTAGCATTTTGGGAGGCCGAGGCGGGCAGATTGTCTAAGCTCAGAAATTCGAGACCAGCCTGGGCAACACGGTGAAACCCCATCTCTACTAAAATACAAAAAATTAGCCAGATGTGGCGGCATGCACCTGTAGTCCCAGCTACTCGGGAGGCTGAGGCAGGAGAATCGCTTGAACCTGGGAGGCGGACGTTGCAGTGAGCCGAGATCGCACCACTGCACTCCAGCCTGGGCAACAGAGCAAGACTCTGTCTCAAAAAAAAAAAAAAGTAAGGAGTCAAAATGTAACTCTGACTTTCTCACTTTAGAGAAATTATTCCCTAAGGTAAACGGCACTTAACATAAACAAGATAGATGATGAGGAGAAATTACAACCTATTTCTCTTAGAAAAAAAAAAAAAAACTGACTTAAGCTGAGTGCTAAGCCAAGCTTAGTGATGGTGCTACAGCTCCGCACTGATTTCCCTTTCCAGTGTTTTACACATTGCTTGCTCCCTAATAATATTTACTGAAAATCAAGAAAGGAGTGATGTTGATGCTGTAGAGTGTTAAAAAGGCATCAAAGACAGAATCTCCATATATAAGCACCTAACAATCAAATGGCTGAATATACATAAGTCAACTGACAATAGGCATGCATATACATGACATATGCATCTGCATTTATAATTCTATATTTAATTTAAAAGCTTCCCCTATACATCTGTCTGGGACAGCAGTAAAGTAAGCAATGGAGACATAAAACAAAGACAGTATCTCACCACAATGTATCATATAAAATAAATGACTCAGTAGTCTAATACAAGTGATATTATTCACAACACTTTTTGAAGAGTATGGTACTTTTCAAAAACCAGTAAGTACTGTTTTTCTTAAAGATGCAAATGTAGTAAATAGAAGACAGAATGTTATTCTAGATCTAAGTAGGAAGAGAGTTGGAAAACAACAGGGATAAAAGATGCAAAGTCTTATAATCAAAAAGGAGAGTCATGTACTCTCTGTCCAGAGTAACGAAAGGACTAGGGTATGAGGGAAAAACAAGTATTCAAGCAAGGAAATGTGGGTTGTTTTTTCCACTACTGATAACGCACTGGACACCTGAATAAACTTGGCAGACTGCATTTCAAGCCGTAATTGTGTACGTCTCCTTCTTTCCACATTGTATGCTTCATTAAATCTTCCATGTATCCTGTACCTTGATCTTCCTCAAGCCCTTTCCACATCAAAACTCACCAAAATGGTCTAGCTCCTTATTTCCAGTTGGAATTTCCTCTCTGGTTGGGGTACACTTCTGTGACCACATCTTTTAAGCTGCATCTTATGATTCTTCAATAAAAATAGACTCAATTCCCTTCAAGGAAACTGGTACCAGAAACATTTCTGCCTCACAGAATCTATCACCTACAGGTAGGAATGTTCTGCTCTCTTAAGAGCTTTGTAAACTAGAACATGGTATACAAGTGTAAGCCGTGACTCAGCTGCTGTTATTAGTCACTTTACCCTTCAGAGTTGCTTATATCTAAAATAGTCTGTCTCACTCTTAACGTCGTGTGTAGAGAGCAAGTGGAATGCGAGTTTAACATATTTTATGCAGCACCTGGTACACCACATGCAAAAAGGCTTGTTGCTGATGACGCTAATGCTCCCTGAAATTAAAGTCTATCTTCTCATGATCACATAATAACTGGCAATCACCTTGAAATGGGAGTGTATTAAGCTCTATAAAACACAGCTAGTACTTCTGGCCCAAGTTCTGCTCTCAGTGAAACTAGAGAGCAGCAGCTCAGTGCTCCCCTCAGAATACACGTGTTTCAAAGCATTTAACCTTTCCATCATTCCCAAGAATATTCACAGTTACACCAGCCAGATTATTCAAATGACTCACCAAGTTTTCTTGCTTGTGTATGCCACTCAAATAAGAAAGATTAAATACAGCCCTGTTCACAGTAAATTAAGTAACACTAGAATAAGCATAGAAAAATGATTTATTCTTGATTCTTGTAAGTCATATACATCACCAAATCACTTTGGCTGTTATTCAACTAATAATTGAATTGAATTGGGGCTAAAATAACCATTGGAACTTAAATTTTCTTCCTTATACAGGAAGTTCCTGAAATTCCTCCTCCTCTAAAATACACATTTTAGAAACAGGATAATATCCAATGTTATCAATATATTCTGAATTTATACTTGGAGACATCCAGTATTAATCTTACTGATTTCTATATGCACATCGTGTTGACTTACTTATACAGGTAGGCTATCAGAGAATTAATTAGACATGAACTTAGAAATTAACTTGCTTAATGTCTCATCTATTCAGGAATTCCTTGAAAAGACTTGGCTACAATATTTCACATACTGATTGCTAATTCACTTTCATTTAGTCTTTCTTTCTTTTTTTTTTTTTTTTTTTTTTTTTTTTGAGATGGAGTCCTGCTCTGTCGCCCAGGCTGGACTGCAGTGGCACAATCTCAGCTCACTGCAAGCTCCGCCTCCCGGGTTGATGCCATTCTCCTGCCTCAGCCTCCCCAGTAGCTGGGACTACAGGCACCTGCCACCACGCTGGCTAATTTTTTGTATTTTTAGTACAGATGGGGTTTCACCATGTTAGCCAGGATGGTCTCGATCTCCTGACCTCGTGATCCGCCCGCCTTGGCCTCCCACAGTGCTGGGATTACAGGCTTGAGCCACCGTGCCCGGCCCATTTAGTCTTCTTTCTGTGAAAGGGTGCAAAGAATATTTGCAACAGGGGAGTTCAAGACATTTTCCAAAGTTTTATTCAGGAGTTGCCAAATCAGGTGAAATGTGACATCTCCCCCACCTCTAAATCCCATGGACCTTTGTACCTTAGCCACCTCTGACACAAGAATCTCTACAACTTGATCAGTAATATCCAACATATTTATTCAAATCATGTCTATCTCTCTCTCACACACACACACACACACACTACTTTACTGTGAAATGTATCTAATTGTTAAAAAGATAGCCTTATAGTGAAATGATATGCTTACCCCACGCTTCTCATGTTCATGTTAGGATTCTTTACTTGGGAACAAGACCACACATTTATACTCACACTGGCACATAACAATCTTTCAAACTCCAAGGTTCTATGATTCTATAATGTGAATACAGCTATTCTGCCTCCCCACAGAATTCTCCAGGTTAAGTACCTCAAGACTCTTCAAGTATGTTTAGAAGTTTTGTTTTACACATATAAATAAATATATATAATATCAATAAATGTTATATATATATTCCCTTTTTGAATGTAAAAATTAACATTATTCTGTCAAATACCATTTTATACATTTCAGCCACTACCTTGGTCTGTCAAAATAAACATTTTGGTTTTGAAATGTCATGCTTATCACTCATTATTCTTTCAATCATCTTTTGTTCTGTGTCATTCAAAATTCTAGGACATTTGCTTCAGGTTTTTGTTTATGGCACCCCACCAGACTGAAAGAAGGAAAGTTTCTTGAGCATCTACCATATGTGAAGCACCTTGATTAGTACCTCACACTTACTGTTTCCCATAATTTAATTCTCACAAAACCCCTTGTGATCACCTAGTTTATAACTGAGGAAATAAACAATACTAAGTGAGACTTAAACAACTGAGTAACTGGCTCAATGGTCTGGTAAATGACAGAGCTTGGTCTTTAAATAAAGTTTCTCTGAATCCAGAGCTATGTTTTTTCCATTACAATATGGGATCTGTCTTTAGGATAAAAGCAATTCCTGAGTACCTATCAGTCCGGGAAAGATGGTTAGCTAATTACAAATCTACCTACCCATCTTCGTTGTAAGGCTATTACGAAGTTGGTTTGTGAAATGCCCTGCTGATGTCATCAAATACTTTCTATAAAGTAAATAGATACAGTGTATATGCATGTTTGAGGCTTACAGGTATACTAGGCATTTTGTGTTTAAAAAAAGTTTTATTTAAGTAACTTTATGGGGTTGTTTTACTTTTGACGTTTTACAGCTGAGGACACTGACGCCCACAGCACTCAAGTGACTGTTCCAGGTCAAATAGCTGGTAAGTGATCCAGCCCCACCCTATCCACTAACCTAGCAGCTCTGTTACAAAGGATGCTGAGGTTGCTTTGACATGTCATGACATGTGCACTGTTGGATATGCTGGCTTCCAGACAGCAGCACATTCATTTTAAGGACTGTACAAATTATCTGCTTAAGAATACACTCTGAAATGTGGTCAGTGATTTTTCTCTTCTTTTCCTTGTCACTGTCATCTGTGCATTTACAAGAAAAGAGCTATATTCATCTTGTACTCTCTAGCACCCAGCACATTGCTTACAGTGTTTCTTTCGAAAAACAAAATTAAGCAGTAGAATCCTTTTGAAAATAAAATTTACCCGAAATACAAATATATAAAACAAATAAAGGCACAGCTTATTTGGCAAAAGAGGTAAGGAAAACCATGAGGGGAGTGCAGCTTCATTATCTCTCCATATCTGTCCCTCCCTCCCACCACTTTTCCCCAAACCCCACCAAACTTTCACTATCACCTGAGAAAATTCTGAGAGTCCTAATGATCCTTTGGAAGAAAATCTGAAAACCAGTCGTTATAGGGGAATATATTGGATGGTGGTGATGATGAAGATGATGACAATAATAACAACTAGCATTTACTGAATGCTTACCATAAGGCTAATATAGAAACCCCTTACTAACACATTTTTGATAGGTTCCCCATTGGACATAACAGGTTTACACAAACTAGTGTATTAGATAACTGGCTGCCATTTTGTTAGTAGATGGAGACGTGGGGAATACAATGCTATGTAAAACTGGAGGCCGGGGGCCACTGGAGCACAAGAGGGAGGATCGCCATGTGAAACTGACTCAAAGGACAGTGAGTATCTGTTCATCTGTTCATGCATTCATGCAACAAATAATTCTGGAGTGCCTTCTAGGTGCCCTGCATAGAGCTTACCTTCTAATAGAACATCTGAGGTGCAGCAAGAGGAAAAGGAGAATGAAATGTATCACAGACCAACTCTATTTACATAACAATTTTTAGAATTCTAGCCACACTGCTACAGTAAAAACTGGTTAGTGAGGGCTACAGTAATTTTTCTAAGTTCCCTTAGTTGTAAGGACATCATTATCAGTAAATGGTATTTATAGCTACCAAAATTAAAATAAAATAAAATAAAACAAAATAAAATAAAACCTTGAAATGCTGATACTCAATTTGTAGAAACAATTTAGAAATGGTAATCTGAAGGAAAATATCAAAAATACAAATTTTGTCACTGTCCAAAAATTCTATTAATATACAGTTAGGTCTTATTAAAACTACATAATAGGGCCAGGCAGGGTGGCTCACACCTGTAATCCCAGCACTTTGGGAGGTGGAGGTGGGTGGATCACTTGAGGTCAGGAGCTCAAGAGCAGCCTGGCCAACATGGCAAAACCCTGTCTCTACTAAAAATTAAAAAATTAGCCAGGTGTGGTGGTGCACACCTGTAATCCCAGTGACTCAGGAGGCTGAGGCACGAGAAATGCTTGAACCTGGGAAGCAGGGGTTGCAGTGAGCCAAGACAGCACCACTGCACTCCAGTCTGGGCAACAGAGCAAGACTCCATCTCAAAAAATAAATAAATAAAGCCGGGGGAGGGGCGGTGGCGGTTCCAAGATGGCCAAATAGGAATAGGTCCAGTCTACAGCTCCCAGCGTGAGCAATGCAGAAGATGGGTGATTTCTGCATTTCCAACTGAGGTACTGGGTTCATCTAACTGGGGCTTGTCGGACAGTGGGGGCAGAACAGTGGGTGCAGCCCACCAAGCATGAGCCGAAGCAGGGCGAGGCATCCCCTCACCTGGGAAGTGCAAGGGGTCAGGGAATTCCCTTTCCTAGCCAAGGGAAGCGGTGATGGATGGCACCTGGAAAATCGGGTCACTCCCACCCTAACGCTGCACTTTTCCAAAGGTCTTAGCAAACGGCACACCAGGAGATTATATCCTGCGCCTGGCTTGGAGGGTCCCACGCTCACGGAGCCTTGCTCATTGCTAGCACAGCAGTCTGAGATCAAACTGTAAGGTGGCAGTGAGGCTGGGGGAGGGGCGCCCACAATTGCTGAGGCTTGACAAGGTAAACAAAGCAGCCAGGAAGCTCGAACTGGGTGGAGCCCAAGGCAGCTCAAGGAGGCCTGCCTGCCTCTGTAGACTCCACCTCTGGGGGCAGGGCATAGCCAAACAAAAGGCAGAAGAAACCTCTGCAGACATAAATGTCCCTGTCTAACAGCTTTGAAGAGAGTAGTGGTTCTCCAACCATGGAGTTTGAGATCTGAGAACGGACAGACTGCCTCCTCAAGTGGGTCCCTGATCCCCGAGTAGCCTAACTGGGAGGCACCCCCCAGTAGGGGCAGACTGACACCTCACATGGCCAGGTAACCCTCTGAGACGAAGCTTCCAGGGGAACGATCAGGCAGCAACCTTTGCTGTTCAGCAATATTCGCTGCTCTGCAGCCTCCACTGCTGATACCAAGGCAAACAGAGTCTGGAGTGGACCTCCAGCAAACTCCAACCGACCTGCAGCTGAGGGTCCTGACTGTTAGAAGGAAAACTAACAAACAGAAAGGACATCCACAGCAAAACACCACCTGTACATTACCATCATCAAAGATCGAAGGTAGATAAAACCACAGAGATGGGAAAAACAGAGCAGAAAAGCTGAAAATTCTAAAAATCAGAGCGCCTCTCCCCCTCCAAAGGAACGCAGCTCCTCGCCAGCAACAGAGCAAAGCTGGACGGAGAATGACTTTGAAGAGCTGAGAGAAGAAGGCTTCAGATGATCAAACTTCTCCGAGCTAAAGGAGGAAGTTCAAACCCATTGCAAAGAAGCTAAAAACTTGAAAAAAGATTAGACGAATGGCTAACTAGAATAACCAGTGTAGAGAAGTCCTTAAATGACCTGATGCAGCTAAAAACCATGGCACGAGAACTACGTGATGAATGCACACGTTTCAGTAGCCGATTCAATCAACTGGAAGAAAGGGTATCAGTGATTGAAGATCAAATGAATGAAATGAAGAGAGAAGAGAAGTTCAGAGAAAAATGAATCAAAAGAAATGAGCAAAGCCTCCAAGAAATATAAGACTATGTGAAAAGACCAAATCGACATCTGATTGGTGTACCTGGAAGTGACAGGGAGAATGGAACCAAGTTGGAAAACACTCTGCAGGATATTATCCAGGAGAACTTCCCCAATCTAGCAAGACAGGGCAACATTCAAATTCAGGAAATATAGAGAATGCCACAAAGATACTCCTCGAGAAGAGTAACTCCAAGACACATAATTGTCAGATTCACCAAAGTTGAAATGAAGGAAAAAATGTTAAGGGCAGCCAGAGAGAAAGGTCAGGTTAACCACAAAGGGAAGCCCATTAGACTAACAGTGAATCTCTTGGCAGAAACTCTACAATCCAGAAGAGAGTGGGGGGCCAATATTCAACATTTTTAAAGAAAATAATTTTCAACCCAGAATTTCATATCCAGCCAAACTAAGCTTCATAAGTGAAGGAGAAATAAAATCCTTTACAGACAAGCAAATGCTGAGAGATTTTGTCACCACCAGGCCTGCCCTAAAAGAGCTCCTGAAGGAAGCACTATACATGGAAAGGAACAACCGGTATCAGCCACTGCAAAAACATGCCAAATTGTAAAGACCATCGATGCTAGGAAGAAACTGCATCAACTAACAAGCAAAATCACCAGCTAACATCATAATGACAGGATCAAATTCACACATAACAATATTAACCTTAAATGTAAATGGGCTAAATGCTCCAATTAAAAGACACAGACTGGCAAATCGGACAAAGAGTCAAGACCCATCAGTGTGCTGCATTCAGGAGACCCATCTCACATGCAGAGACACACATAGGCTCAAAATAAAGGGATGGAGGAAGATCTACCAAGCAAATGGAAAACAAAAAAAGGCAGGGGTTGCAATCCTAGTCTCTGATAAAACAGACTTTAAACCTACAAAGATCAAAAGAGACAAAGAAGGCTATTACATAATGGTAAAGGGATCAATTCAACAAGAAGAGCTAACTATCCTAAACATATATGCACCCAATACAGGAGCACCCAGATTCATAAAGCAAATCCTTACAGACCTACAAAGAGACTTAGACTCCCACACAATAATAATGGAAGACATTAACACCCCACTGTCAACATTAGACAGATCAACGAGACAGAAAGTTAACAAGGATATCCAGCAATTGAACTCAGCTCTGCACCAAGTGGACCTAATAGACATCTACAGAACTCTCCACCCCAAATCAACAGAATATACATTCTTCTCAGCACCATATCACACTTATTCCAAAATTGACCACAGAGTTGGAAGTAAAGCTCTCCTCAGCAAATGTAAAAGAACAGAAATTATAACAAACTGTCTCTCAGACCACAGTGCAATCAAACTAGAAATCAGGATTAAGAAACTCACTCAAAACCTCTCTACTACATGGAAACTGAACAACCTGCTCCTGAATGACTACTGGGTACATAACAAAATGAAGGCAGAAATAAAGATGTTCTTTGAAACCAATGAGAACAAAGACACAACATACCAGAATCTCTGGGACACATTTAAAGCAGTGTGTAAAGGGAAACTTATAGCACTAAATGCCCACAAGAGAAAGCAGGAAAGATCTAAAATTGACACCCTAACATCACAATTAAAATAACGAGAGAAGCAAGAGCAAACACGTTCAAAAGCTGGCAGAAGGCAAGAAATAACTAAGATCAGAGCAGAACTGAAGGAAATAGAGACACAAAAAACCCTTCAAAAAATCAATGAATGCAGGAGATGGTTTTTTGAAAACATCAACAAAATTGATATACTGCTAGCAAGACTAATAAAGAAGAAGAGAGAAGAATCAAATAGACACAATAAAAAATGATAAAGGGGATATCACCACCGATCCCACAGAAATACAAACTACCATCAGAGAATACTACAAACAACTCTATGAAAATAAACTAGAAAATCTAGAAGAAATGGATAAATTCCTGGACACATACACCCCCTCAAGACTAAACCAGAAGAAGTTGAATCTCTGAATAGACCAATAACAGGCTCTGAAATTGAGGCAATAATTCATAGCTTACCAACCCAAAAAAGTCCAGGACCAGATGGATTCACAGCCGAATTCTACCAGAGGTACAAGGAGGAGCTGGTACCATTCCTTCTGAAACTATTCTAAGCAATAGAAAAAGAGGTATTCCTCCCTAACTCATTTTATGAGGCCAGCATCATCCTGATACCAAAGCCTGACAGAGACACAACAAAAAAAGAGAATTTTAGGTCAATATCCCTGATGAACATTGATGCAAAAATCCTCAATAAAATACTGGCAAACCGAATCCAGCAGCACATCAAAAGTCTTATCCCCCATGATCAAGTGGGCTTCATCCCTGGGATGCAAAGCTGGTTCAACATACGCAAATCAATAAACGTAATCCAGCATATAAACAGAACCAAAGACACAAACCACATGATTATCTCAATAGATGCAGAAAAGGCCTTTGACAAAATTCAACAGCCCTTCATGCTAAAAACTCTCGATAAATTAGGTATTGACGGGATGTATATCAAAATCATAAGAGCTATTTATGACAAACCCACAGCCAATATCATACTGAATGGGCAAAAACTGGAAGCATTCCCTTTGAAAACTGGCACAAGATAGGGATACCCTCTCTCACCACTCCTATTCAACATAGTGTTGGAAGTTCTGGCCAGGGCAATCAGGCAGGAGAAAGAAATAAAGGGTATTCAATTAGGAAAAGAGGAAGTCAAATTGTTCCTGTTTGCAGATGACATGATTGTATATTTAGAAAACCCCGGCCAGGCACAGTTGCTCATGCCTGTAATCCCAGCACTTTGGGAGACCAAGGCGGGCAGATCCCGAGGTCAGGAAATGGAGACCACCTTGGCTAACATGGTGAAACCCTGTCTCTACTAAAAATACAAAAAATTAGCCAGAGTGGTGGCAGGTGCCTGTAGTCCCAGCTACTGGAGAGGCTGAGGCAGGAGAATAGCATGAACCTGGGAGGCGGAGCTTGGAGTGAGCCGAGATCTCGCCACTGCCCTCCAGCCTGGGCGACAGAGCAAGACTCTGTCTCAATTAAAAAAAAAAAAAAGAAAACCCCATCATCTCAGCCGAAAATCTCCTTAAGCTGATAAGCAACTTCAGCAAAGTCTCAGGATACAAAATCAATGTGCAAAAATCACAAGCATGCTTATACACCAATAACAGACTAACAGAGAGCCAAATCATGAGTGAACTCCTATTCACAATTGCTTCAAAGAGAATAAAATACCTAGGAATCCAACTTACAAGGGATGTGAAGGACCTCTTCAAGAAAAACTACAAACCACTACTCAAAGAAATAAAAGAGGACAAAAACTAATGGAAGAACATTCCATGCTCATGGATAGGAAGAATCAACATCATGAAAATGGTCGTACTGCCCAAGGTAATTTATAGATTCAATGCCATCCCCATCAAGCTACCAATGACTTTCTTCACAGAATTGGAAAAAACTACTTTAAAGTTCGTATGGAACCAAAAGACAATCCTATGCCAAAAGAACAAATCTGGAGGCATCATGCTACCTGACTTCAAACTATACTACAAGGCTACAGTAACCAAAACAGCATGGTACTGGTACCAAAACAGAGAAATAGACCAATGTAATAGAACAGAGCCCTCAGAAATAATACCACACATCTACAACCATCTGATCTTTGACAAACCTGACAAAAACAAGAAATGGGGAAAGGATTCCCTATTTAATAAATGGTGCTGGGAAAACTGGCTAGCCATATGTAGAAAGCTGAAACTGGATCCCTTCCTTATACCTTACACAAAAATTAATTCAAGATGGATTAAAGACTTAAATGTTAGACCTAAAAACCATAAAAACCCTAGAAGAAAACCTAGGCAATACCATTCAGGACATAGGCATGGGCAAGGACTTCATGTTCAGAACACCAAAAGCAATGGCAACAAAAGCCAAAATTGACAAATGGGATCTAATTAAACTAAAGAGCTTCTGCACAGCAAAAGAAATCACCATCAGAGTGAACAGGCAACCTACAGAATGGGAGAAAATTTTTGCAATCTACTCATCTGACAAAGGGCTAATATCCAGAATCTACAATAACTCAAATTTACAAGAAAAAAAAAACAACCCCACCAAAAAGTAGGCAAAGGATATGAACAGACACTTCTCAAAAGAAGACATTTATGCAGCCAAAAGACACATGAAAAAATGATCATCATCACTGGCCATCAGAGAAATGCAAATCAAAACCACAGTGAGATACCATCTCACACCAGTTAGAATGGTGATCATTAAAAGGTCAGGAAACAACTGGTGCTGGAGAGGATGTGGAGAAATAGGAACACTTTTACACTGTTGGTGGGACTGTAAACTAGTTCAACCATTGTGGAAGACAGTGTGGCGATTCCTCAAGGATCTAGAACTAGAAATAGCATTTGACCCAGCCATCCCATTACTGGGTATATACCCAGAGGATTATAAATCACGCTGCTATAAAGACACATGCACACGTATGTTTATTGAGGCACTATTCACAATAGCAAAGACTTGGAACCAACCCAGATGTCCAACAATGATAGACTGGATTAAGAAAATGTGGCACATATATACCATGGAATACTATGCAGCCATAAAAAAGGATGAGTTCATGTCCTTTGTAGGGACATGGATGAAGCTGGAAACCATCATTCTCAGCAAACTATTGCAAGGACAAAAAACCGAACACCGCATGTTCTCACTCATAGGTGGGAACTGAACAATGAGAACACTTGGACACAGGAAGGGGAACATCACACAATGGGGCCTGTCATAGGGTGAGGGGAGGGGGGAAGGATAGCATTAGGAGATATACCTAATGTAAATGGCGAGTTAATAGGTGCAGCACACCAACATGGCACATGTATACATATGTAACAAACCTGCACGTTGTGCACATGCACCCTAGAACTTAAAGTGTTATAAAAAATAAAAAATAAATAAATAAATAATATAAAACTACATAATAGGACTGTCCCAATATTCATGGACTTGTTCTCCTATATTCAGTTTCCTAATAAGGAAGGACTATTCTTCTCCACATAACAGAAGAGAAAAATCGACCCCCCCCCAAAAAAAAAAAACCTTGTGCAAATATATAATGAAATCTTACATTACGAAATTATGTAGCACTTTTAAACTCTTTGCAACTTATTTCCATTCAAAACCATCATGTAAGGCAGCAGGAGTGATATCATCTTTCCCATCTTACTTAGATGAAGTAGGGACACTTGCCTGCAGTCTCCCTCTGGCACCTGATCTTAAGTCTCTGATTCTCACATCAGGGCCTTTCCAGTGCACTCGCATTATTGTGAATACAATTGCTTGGATTCCTAGGGGAACTATTTCCTACATTAAGAAAATTCCCTAAAATTCCCAGTTGTCTTTTGACTCTATTAATATAGGAAAAGTGCAAAAAATCCAAAGAAAATCAGCCAAGAGCAGTTTCTTCACCCTACTGTGTTATGTACCAAATTGATTCTTGGCATAAATTTGCACCCTCTATGGCCTGGCTCATCTACAGCTTCGTACTGAGAGCCTGTCATACCCAAAACCACGGCAGGCCCATGGAGAGCCCAAGTGAGATATATCTGTGAAGTGAATAAGGTAAGAAGGTAGGCTTTGATTCCCACATCTAGAGCATGTCCATGAGAAGCCCTGGCTATAACCATCCTAACTGCTGTTTCTTCCCCTGTACCCTTATTTCACCGGGTTCACACCTCTGGGGCCATTCCACCCAACAGGCCTTTTCCATGGATCTCTGGCTCCAACTCATTTCCAAATACAACTATAGCAGTAAATTGGGCTCTAAAACATAGGTAAGGTAGTGATAGCACTGATGTTCACATATGGATCTTTTGAGACCCCTTTCCTAGGACTGAATTTCCTTCTGACACAGACCTATGGGAACTCTGCTAGACTCCACTGGTCTGAACACTGACACTTGGAAGCCTTATAACTGCATCTGTCCAGCTTCAGACAGAGTGCCTGATCAGATGTGAGTTCCCTACATCTCCGGAAGCTGGTGATTCAGACTGCCAGACATTCTCTGGGCAGGCCAGCATTTGTTATCTTTAAATCTCTTTCTTGCTCTCTCTCCTGACTCTCTTCCAACATTAAGAGTTCTCAGCATGTTATACAGTTGGATCCCTGCTATATAATACTGGACAGAGGAACCGCTCTTATATAGTTTCTATTAATTCTACTGGAATTCAGATGCTCGGCCTGCTTAAAAAACAATGAAATGTTTTCAAAATGATAAGTACCAATAAGCAAAATAATCATGATGGATATCTTCTAAACTACCCAAATATTCATCACTAAGGAGTGAAGTATTTTACTCGGGTTTGTTAATACACTTTCCATCTTAAAGAGGTCAACACATGAAAAGCTTACTATTTGTCAATTATGTTTAAATGAAGAATAACCTAATTGGTTCTTTATTCCTAGAAAGTATTACATTGGTATAATATTGCACTAGGTTGAAAAGAATAATCCCTAGGATTCTTGCACAAAGCTTTCCAGTTCAAAATAGTTAAGCAATTTAACAAATGACACAAAATATCTAGAAAGTCTGCTATATTTTGAGACACAAGTACCAAGAGCTCCAACTACAGAATCTAACTGAGGGAAATAATACAGATGTACTTGTCTCTCTTTCTCCCACTAAGTAACAACGAAAAACACTGGACATTATCTATAAAAATCAAACATGAGAAAATTCTAATAAGTGGAGACAAGAAGGCAGATTAGCTAGAGAACTTTGAACCTAAGGAATGATACAGTAATTAGTTCCCTGGCTTTCTTTCTGACTGATACAGCCCAGGCTGGATATTAAAGAAGTCAGCAACCTGGAAACATCAATGGGCAAAGCCAAAGAACAGCCCCTAGAAAAATCTATTCTCTCTAGCCAAAGGACAAGCAAAGGGATGGTAACAGCAAGACAGAAAGCTTTAGTTATTATCTAAACACTTCTACTCTGCCCAACACCATGGCGAAAACCACGCCCTAACCCTTCCAGCAAAGGCCTAAGCAGAGAACCTAGATTTCCAGCTTTGCCGTGCTGTATCAAGGTATTTCTCCACCCCCACCAGTGCCAAAGAAGGCACAGACTGAGAACTGGGACTTCCATTCCAACCAGGCAGTAATGAGGTATCCCTCCCTTTTTCCAGTGGGCGATGTCAGAGAGGACTTAATGGAGAGTTGAGACTTTTACCATAGCTCAGTGGTAATAAGTTCCCAAGGAGCCAACCCCTTGACTCTGGTCAGTAAAGGCCTACAGAAGAACTCAGACGTCCACCCCCATCTCACAATAATAAGGCAGCACCCCCTTCACACATCAGAGCAATACATATCAAAGGAGGCCTGTAAAAAAACCCTCAAAACCCAAGATTTAAGTAGGATCCAGAGTCTCATAACATAAGATCCCAAATGTCCAGATTTCAATAGACAATCACTCATCATACGAAGAACCACAATACCAAACTGAATTAGAAAAGGCAATCGACAGATGCCAACTAAGATTACCTAGATGAGAGAATCACAACGAATTCAAGCAGCCAACATAAAATGATTCAAGAAATAAACATATCTGAAACAAGTGAAACAGAAAGTTTCAGAAAAAAAGAGGGAAAAAAAATAAGAAAGGATAAGTAAAGACAAACCAAATAGAAATTTTAGAACTAAAAAGTAGAATATACACAATGAATGAGCTCAACTGTAGAATGGAGGAGATAACAAAAAGAATCGGTGACCCTGAACAGAGAACAAGAAAAATTAGCCAATTTGAACAACAGTGGAAAAAAAAAAAGATGGGGGAAAAATGACCAATGTTTCAGAAATGTATGGGACTATAACAAAAGCTCTAACATTTGTGTCATTACACTCCCAGAAGAACAGAAGAAGGTGATGATGAAAAAATATTCAAAGAAATGCTGGCTGAAAATTTCCCAAATTTGGCAAAAGCCAAGATCTGTAGATTGAAGAAACTGAGAAAACTCTAAACCAGGTAAATCCCCCAGAATCCATGCCAACACACATCATATTCAGACTTCTGAAAACTAAAGACAGAAAAATTCTTGAAAGCAGGCAGAGACAAGATTTATTAACTGCAGAGAGGAAAACAGTTTGAACAGTGGATTTCTCATCAGAATCTGTTTGCCTTTTTCATTGCCTTAATAATTTCTAAAGCACCTCTGTCTGCACTTCATTCAAAATTTTATCTGCCTCACTTTTTCTTTAAATAAAAATCTAGGTAAATAGTAGACCACAACACATAGTTCTCACCTATGTTTTAAATTGAAAAACATCAATGTGGAGTAGTATTTTCAAAGATGAGTGCCCCTAAAGTGTTAATGTTCTTCTCTACTTGGGAGAGGGTTTCAGGCTTGGTGCCACAGGATTTGCCCTTTGTGGCTTCTCACATCCCAGACTTAGAAAATATGAGCTGTGATACAGAGAAAGGTAAGAAGCTCAGCAGAGCCCCTTAATGATAAATGAGTTTGCATCATCTGTCATTAGAACTTCCTGCCAACTGGGTCATTCCCTATTAAATTACCACTTGTCAATGTTTAAAATACTGATTGATAAATGACTGTGCCAAAACTGATAACACAACAGCTTTTATTTTCTAATAATCTTAGTTACTACAGCCTGCTTGTCAAGGCACAGACACCATACTTTTTTTCCGTTTTTAAACGACTTTACCAAAAGACAATTTAATCTAATGCAGTGCTATCAGGTATACTGTCTGGCCCCTTATATGTCACATACATGCTGGCTCCACTTGCCAAAATAAACCTACTGGCGATTTAGTGATATGGGGTGCTCCAAGTTACACATTTCATCAAATGCTAGTAATCTGTTTTATCAATATAAACTGTAATTTAATGAAAAAATTCTTTTCTTCAGTACACTTCACTTTCAATGCCCTTGAGTATAATAATTTGCTCATGCTGTAGAACAAGAGCGTGTTTTACAAGACCTTAACTCTCAGGAGAAATTTCCCTATAAATACAAAATTTGAGTTTTATGGGAGTGTGTTGTATGCACATGAGTAGTGCCCACACTACAAAACAAAACAAAACAAAACAAAACAAAACAAAACAAGAGGTTGCACTTAGATTTCAGCTTAAATATCCTTCTGAGATATTGTATAACGGACTTGTTATTAGAACAAAGCTTAGATGAGCAACTAGAAGATAGGTTAATAAAATGGCATTTGTATCCCAGAGGTCTCTGAATCAAAATACACCAGAACATACTGCAGGCATATGTTAAGGCAGAATCAATCATTGGAATTCACAGCAGTTTTAAAAATCTGAAAATTCAGGCCAGGCATGGTGACTCATGATTGTAATCCCAGCACTTTGGGAGGTCAAGGTGGGTGGATCACTTTAAGTCAGGAGTTTGAGACTAGCCTGGCCAACATTGTGAAACCCCCTCTCTACTAAAAATACAAAAAAATTAGCCAGCTGTGGTGGCACACAACTGTACTCCCAGCTACTCTGGAGGCTGAGGCACAAGAATTGCTTGAACCCAGGAGGCGGAGGTTGCAGTAAGCCGAGATCACACCACGGAACTCCAGCCTGGGTGACAGAGCGAGACCCTGTCTAAAAACAACAACAACAACAACAACAACAACAACAAAAACTGAAATCTCTACGGTGGTTGTCTCTTTCTTAGTGATTCAAAGTAAGAATGCTCTGGCTAAGTTTAAGCAAGGTTTTGTACAGCCAAAATTGCATACAAATTTATATGAAAGTTGGCCAATCTTGATTCTCTGTAAAACCATTCAAGGCTCCTCTTTCCTAGTGAGGTTGCCTCCCAAAAAATTAACTGTGGCATCATTTGTTTCTACTTCTTTCACACTTACTACTAAATGTAGGCAAGGGCCAGTTTGGCAGTTGGAAGAGTGATGATCCACCAGGACATCGCTCCCTGTGGTTTCACACACCTATGTTTTGGTCATTATCACTATTTTTGTTTTCTCCAAGCACTTTTTTGTTCATTCAAAGTGCTTGGTGGCAATGTCACTGGAAAAAATAATGAAAACAACAGAAACATGGGACCAATAATTTCTTACCTGTGCCATTCCTTTCTGCAGCACTTTTGTCTTATTTGTCTTCTCTGTTATACACAGGTCATAACTGAGTGGCTATCATGTCTTTCTCCAGGATTTGTGTGTTACAATACTACATGGTCAAAGTTGAGCAAAAGTTTAATAATAAATGCAAGCAAATGGTATTCAGAGAAATTCTTTCACTAGAGATGGCAGGGCAAACTGCTCCAGGGCAGGGCAAAAGAAATCAGGAACTGCAGTAACTCACAGGCAGGGAGATAAAATGTATTACCCTGCAAGTCTGTTTCTTCTAGTTGCTACTACCAAGCAGGGAAGAGCAGAAATCTCCTGAGTAACTGTCCAGGGAGAGTGAGTAATAAGTTGTATGAGTAGTACGTTGAATTAGTAAAATATATCCATGCAAAACACAGCTCTTTACATAAATATGTACACCATAACATTCTATGGTGTCAGCAATTTCTGCCAAGTGTTTTATCTACTAGTAAATTTAAAAAAAAATCTGTATTTGCTTATATATTAGTCAACCTTAACCCAGCAAGTAAGGCAAACTGTGAGTTGCCAAAATAAAGTTTCCATATGAGATTTTTATGTGTGTGTTGGGGTGGGGGGGTGGGGGGGAGTAGATTTATGTGAGGGGTGTGTGTGTGTGCATGTGTGTGTGTGTGTGGTAGAAAACACATTTTTTAATCATCCTAATTCCACCATTCAGATGTAGTTCCAGATCATGGTTTGTTTCTACCCTTCTAAAAATGTTTTTCCATTAGTAAATTTATGTAATCTGTGCACATCTTAAAATGTGGGGCTTATTCACAGGCAATAGATTACAAAAATAGAACTCCCGTACACAATGCCTTCAAGGACCAGTGGACTGCCATACCCTATGTCTATGAAGTGGGTTCAAATGAGCTAAAACAGAACCATTTCAGCTGTTCCACTCAACCTGAGAGAGAGAGCACATGCAAGAGAAATATACTCGAGCAATCTACTCCTGATTTTTTGTATCTTCATATCACTGTAGATTGTGCATTTCTTCATAATTTTTAAATCCCTTTCATACAAATTACAATCCCATGAGGCTAATAGGGAAAACATTATTGTTTCCGTTTTACAGATAAGAAAAGGGAGCCCAACTGTAGTTTAGAGCAGCGAGTCAGAACAAGAGCTCAGGTCTTACTTGAGATTCAGGGCTGCCTTCAAAGTTTATTCCCAAATGGTCTATGCTATTGAGGGTCCTGGGTTTTTGGGGTTTTGTCACTCTAGGGACTACCAGCACACTCTAGAATAGTTTTCAAGATCTCATGTGAAGCAGTCAGTGAGTAAATGTCAAAAAAGTGAAGCCTGGTGAATACCGGTCTCTATTTAAAAGAAGTTCTCCTATGGACAGCACCCCGCATACCACCTGACAGTCAGTAATAAATGCCCATTCCTTCCTTCTATATATTTAACAGGTGAGCAGGGCCTACCTATCCTGACTCTCCAGCAAATGTTCTTCACTCCGATCTGCACTGTTTTCACGCTGACAGTAGATTAGCATTTTCCACTTTCATGTAATCAGCTAGCACCTGATCCACACAGCTCATATCCTCTCCTTTTTTCAAATTCAACCTCACAGAAGCACCAAGTGAAATCATCAATACCTCATTTTTCCATTTCCACTTCCTCAGTCTGTCAACTCTAGCCATTTCCTAGCTCTCTTATCTGTGAGTCCCTTTTCTTATTTTTTAATCTTCATAACTCAGCCCATATAACTCCTCTAGGAAAAAATTATAAAACATAAAAACTTTCAGACTCCGAAATTAACACGGCAATGCATAATTTTCTAAGCACATTAAGTTTCTAACAATAATAAATAATTACATCATTAAATAGCATAAAATACTAAAGTTTGAGTGATAAACATTGTAATTCTTTTGCTAGTGTCTTGTTTGCCTTATGATAAATAACTGACTTTGACTTTTAAATAGGTCAGTGTGAGCTGAGTTTTTATTTGACAGGTTGATAAGTTAGTGTTTTCTGTGTAAAATGTGAGTTTCAAATGTCAATTTTCCATGCATATACATAAAATGTTAATGCATATATAATGTGAAGTATTTTAAAGTACTTGAGATTTATCTAAAACCTATAGTATACTAATTTATTTATTCATTTATTTATTTATTTATTTTTGAGACAGAGTCTCACTCTGTTGCCCAGGCTGGAGTGCAGTGGCGCCCTCTTGGCTCGCTATAAGCTCCACCTCCTGGGTTCACACCATTCTCCTGCCTCAGCCTCCCAAGTAGCTGGGACTACAGGTGCCCGCCACCACGCCCGGCTAATTTTTTTGTATTTTTAGTAGAGAGGGGGTTTCAACGTGTTAGCCAGGATGGTCTCAATCTCCTGACCTTGTGATCTGCCCACCTCGGCCTCCCAAAGTGCTGGGATTACAAGCATGAGCCACCGTGCAGTACACTAACATTTTTAAAACAACACCTGTCTCCTAACAATCTGGTATTTCATATGACTTGAAATGTGTTATTGTCTTTCAACATTTGTATCAGCAAGTAGTATCAACTAATATTTTCTCATCTGTCTTCAACTCTGTAGCATGCTATAAAAATGCCATGGCATCTGAAAAGTTACAGTAAGCAACTACTACATCAATCAGTTCCCCTTATGAGTTCCACCTTAAAATTCAACTATGAACTGTTGAATGTAAAGATTTATCCATATTCCAAAAAGCTAAGTATCTCTCTGGCTATTACCGAGATTAAAAACTAAAAATATTTTTAAAACACAGGATATGTCTTATACCAGTTCCGGCTGTAAACAAACATTCATAAAAACACAAATATCAATTTTTCAAGTTTGGCAAAAACTATGCTCTATGATGTTGAATTTGCATTAGCCATAGAAATACGGATTGTGGGCCAGGCGCAGTGGCTCACGCCTGTAATCCCAGCACTTTGGGAGGCCGAGGTGGGTGGATCACGAGGTCACGAGATCAAGACCATCCTGGCTAACATGGAAACCCCGTCTCTGCTAAAAATACAAAAAATTAGCCGGGCATGGTGGCGGATGCCTGTAGTCCCAGCTACTTGGGAGGCTGAGGCAGGAGAATGGTGTGAACCTGGGAGGCGAAGCTTGCAGTGAGCCGAGATCGCACCACTGCACTCCAGCCTGGGCGACAGAGCAAGACTTCATCTCAAAATAAATAAATAAATAAATAAAATTTAAAAATATGGATCGTGAAAATTCCTGGGTAGCAAAGGACTCAGCAACTTTGGGTCCCCAGAACTTACTCAGGGTCTGGATGCCTTGTTGGCCCAAATAAAGGTTTCACAGATTAATCCTTGCAATTATACACTAGGTAAGAATCTTAATGTTTAAATACAGGGCTGGTAATGTCTGGGCAAGAGACCAGATAGATGAATAGTAGGAACTATGGGTTAGGTTTAGGGTTCAGGAAGAAAATTAATTCCTAATTAATGCAGGATTAATTCCCAGAGTTCATTTGTTTACATAACTACAAAGAATTAAAATTAAGAGGTATTGAGAGGCAGCAAGGAATTCAGATTACGTGAATCTGATTTCTAACTTTGCACTAACCATGTGCACAAACCCTGAGATAGTCACACCCCAAGCTACTGCTATGAGGAACTATTGCCTTTCTAAAATACAAGTCAGGCCATGTCTTAGAGTATTCCCTGAGATGAAAATACCTTCCTGCTCCTGTTAGATAGGCAAAGGAACTCTTTTCCATCCTCCAAGGCACAGCTCCAATGTCGTCTTCTCTGCAATCCCTGTCCTAACTCTACTTCTGGTGTACCTCATACAGATTGTGCACATTACATGGTACAATGACCAGGGAAGCAAAACCAGAAGACTGGTGAAATGTGAAGGTTCTCCAATCCAAGGGCCAAGGCCAGAGGCCAGCCTTGCCATCTGACTGCCTGTAGGACCTCTGGCAAGGTGCTTAGGATTTCTACACTTTGGATTTTCTACTGTAAAATAAGACAGAGTACCTGCTTCATGGGGCTGTCTCAAGAAACAAAGAAAATCACAAATATAAGGAGTCTACTGTCTAAAGCTGAGTGCTCTTGCTGTTCATACTCTTCTCTTCTTTTTTCTTCACTAGATCCTGTGCCTCTAGAATATAAGCACCCTGCGTTTGCCCATATTAAAAACAAAACAAAACAAAACAAAAAACAAAAAAAACTAACACCTGCCCTAGAAACTACAGTGTTAAAATATAAAATTAATTCATAAACTGAAGTGGTATTGAATAGTTTTAAAGGCAGTAATGTGACAAAGTTACTGTTATTATATATCATTAGGATATTAGAGAGCAGAGATAGTGAAGGGTTGGAAAGAAGTCATGATAAATCTTCAGAAATTTTATGAAAGAATGCAAAAGAAAAAATATGAGATTTGTGGTATATAATAAATATCTATTGGGAATGCAATTCCAATTTCCCCTAGTATGAGATGATCTAAAAGTTGTGAAAAATATCTTAAGACTTTGCTGCCTTTCAACCTTCTTATGCACGTCACCTTTTCTATCTTCTGACCCACCTCACTTGCTGAGCCTTCCATACCTACTACCATCATGCTAGCCTCTAGGTAGGTACTTAAAATCTGTAGTGCCTCACTCAAGTCCAACTGCCCCAATATCTGTATTACCCTTTACTCTAAACTCCCTCACCTTCTGGGTTCCTGGGAAAGAACAAAAGATTTGGGGGTCAGAACATCCAAGTTATAGTTTTGGATCTAGAGGTTAATTCCTCATCTTTGTAAGATAACCAGAAGGAAATAACTATGAATAAATTATAAGCTAAAATTATATGATGGACATCTGCTTTTAAGAATATCTTTATGGATACATAAAGCTATGATGACAGTTATGAATCTTCTCAAAAAGCACACACATTTACACACATTCCCACGAAATTTTATATATAATTTCAGGAGTTATCTGGCAACCTTCAACTATAAAAAGGGATTTCGGTAAGAACTGCTTCTTAACTGGTGACAGAACTTCAGGAAGTATTAGGGAGATGCTTGGAGGAGAGTTTGAAACTTCTGAGCTACCCCTTAAATCATACCATTTCAAGAGCTGCCTAAACCGAAAACAAAACAAAACAAAAAAACAAACAAAACTGGCTCTGCCTTTTATTGATTATAATAGTGTTTCATCTTCGTTACATCCAAACCAACTCACTTTCTCTACATTTTCTGATACTACCTTGCCCTGTTTCAAAGGGTAACGGGATCAGCATCTCAGTAATAATAGTTTCCATATTTAAATATAACCATTGAAGACCATATTTTCTTTCCTTTCAATCATTTAAAGGGAACAGCTAAGACTCAGTGTAAGCTGTCTTTACCTGTTGTGCCAAACCCCTATCAAGGCCAATGGGGATGGCACTATGTTCAAGGGGTTGAAGAAGAGACTCAGAGCCATTGAATGAGACATGGGGTTTTACCAGGGGCTTACATACAGAGGGGAGAGTCTAGGGATAGTGGACTGGGCAGGAGAAGCACTGGTCTGGTGGCGGCACACTGGTCAGGAGAATCACTACCCTCGCACAGTATGCAGTTTATATAGCATTTTCATTTAGCATCTTCCCACTAACTACCTCCACCTGGCAAACTTCATTTAACCCAAGACAAAGGGCCTTGATCCCCTGTACATGAGGGACAGACCAGGGGCTCAGATGTTCTTCACTGATAAGGAATGAATTTCTGGGTTGGCCACTCCCAGACTCCTTAGCTCAGAACGCTGAACACATTCAGTATGTCTGCCATACAGTCATTCTCAGGGTATGCTTAAGTTGTTGCTGTCAGGTGCATCTACCATACACTACCCTCTGGTCAAAGACACTACCATTGCAATGGGAACAAAAGTATGAAGAAGGGAGGCACTGTGAAAGGAATACTATTAAATAACTCCAAAAGAATTCCTCCTAGAATACAGACTCTGCTTTATAGGACCTAAGACCATTTTAACAAAATACATTTATTGTGAAATGTCTATAAAATCCTGTAAGGAAATATTTGCGGGGCTGTGCCAGCATGAAGCCCTAAAGTTACTCATTCCATCTACTTTGGGGTGTTTTCAAATACCCATGCCAAAGAGGCCCAATATTTATTTCCATAATTGTCTAAGTCCTTTTTGATACTCATTCCCCCTTCATCTTCACCTTTAAAAAAAAGATGATGGTGATGAATAAAAGTTATTTGGTATTCCTAATTCAATTTATGGAGAGAGCCCAGTAGGTAAAAAATAACAGCATTTGAGGAAAAAATTATTCCCTAAAAATATGTTTATACAGTGTTGTAAAATAAAGGGATTTGTAAAAATAGAGATGACTCTTTTTTAATTACAATAATAATGAAAATAGTAGAGGAACCAAAGAGCCTAGAATTAAAATTAATGGCACTATTGTTTAAAATAAGAGAACAGAAATAGATTCCATGTAAATCAGGTTTCTTTAAGCTTCTAATTCCATTTAGCTTGGAAAGACAAGGAGAAAGAGAAGATAAAGCTACACATTTAAAACTGACAAAGGGCAGTACTTCTATGCAATTTATAATTAATCTATGGGACCATGTGTCAGTAGAATTTATTGAGAAAAATAGTTTAGTGCTATTTTATAAGGGTAAGACATTAGAAGAAAAAGTATTGCTATTGAAGTTACACTAGCTAAGAAAATATTATAAGAGCTATTAATCATCAAGATTCAGGTCATAAGTTGGCTAGCAGCTGGAGTCAAGAAAAAACACTGCACAAATGGCCAGGTGAATTGCGGGTGTTTTACATCTTTCTTCAGGTGTTTCACTTAAGTCACTGCTAATGGAAAGGATACTAAATGAAAGTCTCTTTCAGCCTAAAGTTTTACAGTATTATGTTCTATCTGGTCATCCTATTTCAATAAGCAACCTACCACAACCCTCCAAAAAACTCTCCTCTGTATTAGGAGAAGGAAAATTTTCGTTCATCTTCTCCATGCAATTATCTACATGTGTACAAGCTGTAAATACTTTACTAAGTATTCACGTATTTTATCAGTGGTCCTTAACCTGGGAAGCTTAAAGATGTATTGATATCTCAGTTCTATTATTGGAAATTCAGATTTATTTTGTCTAGGTTGCTACCTGGGCATAAAGATTTTTGAAACTTCCACAAGATTCTCATATGCAGCTGGGGTTGCAAGCCCAATGTGAAAGGCAATAGAACTGCCTCAAAGTACCCAAAATGAAGGTGCACACACGTGCAGACACATGGACACACACATACACACACGCACCCCTCTTAACAATAATATCCTATAAAAGAAAGACAAATATGACCTGCATAATAAATGATTTATATGTCTTTTTACACACCATATAATTAGATTACTTATCAATTACTTTTTAAAAATTGTTAAATTACCTATCTATAAGGATTTAAAAGCCATATAAGTAGAATTTGATACACTATCATTATATCTTAACTACAAGCCATGGAAAAACAGTGTCCAGCTACTCACCATACCATACTATACCAAATTTTCCCAATCATATTATCACATATTGTTCTTAGAATATTACTTTTTCTGTCATAAAGGTACAGTAATAGATAACTTACACAGACTTCAAAAGTGACAGTAGCATTACCATGATTAAAAGTCTGTCAGTCCTTTTTCACTCTAAGGCATTTTTTGGAGTCTTATAACCTGAACATTTGAGCGTGCTTCAGGCATAAACTTGACTTACCAGACCACAGGTGTAAACTTGAGTATCTATTCCTGATATATAGGTATGAAAATTATTTTATAACACAGATAACTAAATAAAGTTTGTTTTTTCCACATGGCCCATCATCAAATGAAAAGATGATTTTATCATCCTACTTAGAACTTTAGATGATTACTTAGACCAAGGCTGTTTTAAGTCGGACAACTAATCTTTTTTGGTTTAGAGTTCCTCTTTGGATATATCTAAGAATATAAGGAAAACCAACTTCTCAGAAAAGTAAGAACACAGCACTATAGATTGAAATATGATCCATAATTTTTCAGTCCTTGTCTTTTTAATCTTAGAGTCATAGATCCAACTAAAAGCAAGCTTATGGTTTCATATTCTCTAAATTAGAGTGCAAGAAGATCTTTTACACCCATTGATACCAGTGCGTAATAAGAGGAAATAAAATAGGGAATAAGACAAAGATATAGGATCTAGAATCAAAATATCACAAGTTTAAAGTAATTTACAGATTACTTTAACCAAACTTGTAAGAATACAGGAATTCCCTCTAAACAAACTAAAACATTGTTTTCTAGTCAAATAACTTGGATCCTATCAAAAGGACTACAAGAAACTGTCTCTGAGTTCTAACAACTCTATCCATAATGATTCTGGAAGACAGAAGAACATACAAATTATCCACACCCTAGACTGCTAGTAGAAGCGTTCTAAATTTCCTCCTCAACTATGCTTTAAACCCCCAGAATGTTCCTATAGCCACTTTAGTTTATAAGAAGCAAGTGCCATACCAGTGATCTCAGTCTCATGTAACTTTGTGGTACAGTTATTAAGAACACACGCTTTGAAGCCAGACACATCAAAGTTTAACTTATGGTGTCATCATTCATTTGAAATGGGACTACAGGCAAATTACTTAACTTTATCTTCTCATATGTAAATGTGAGTTATAATACCTAACATATTAGGTCATACGAATTAAATAAGATATGCAAAATGAATTTTACAGTACCTCGCTTATAAACTTATTTCTAATATTAACATTAGCAGGATGAAAGGGTCCATTTTCCTGATTTTATAGGCATTACTAAGCCACAGAGTGGAAGCTCTAGATAGAGGGTCAGTCTGAATGGGAAAGAACTGAAGAGCCATGGAGAAGCCACCATCACTGGGAGCTATCCCTGGTGCAGGTTTCAGAGCCAGGGCCCTATTATTCTATGTACCAAAGTTTATTCCTCAAACAAACCAAATTCCGGTGTTCAGTTCTCACCTTGATTTAGTAACAGGTTTCTGCTACCTTGTGTTCCTAAACTTAATTACCATTTGCTTCTCTCAGATGTTGATTTATTTTTCCAAATGAAAACCCAATCTGACACCATTTGCTTCCTTTGCTAGACATTTTTGCATTGAAATTTTTGACATAAGGTTATATCTTTTTATCTCTAACCCCAACAATGACAGTTACTAAAAAACGGTCAATGTTCTTTTCCCCTAAACTTTTCTTAGGAAAACTTACATATGTCTGGAAGAGTAATTAAAATTAATCCAAAGGTTTGAAAAGAATTCAGAGTATTGCTAAGTCATCCCAGGAAACTAGCAGCCAAGTCTTGGAGCTAGAAAATATAGCACAGGTATAAGCACTACTTTTGCCATGCCCATGGCAGACATTACTAATCTATCATAGAATTCGTTTTTAATTCTGAACATCTTAGAATCCTCGACAAGCTCCAGCCATTAAGAGCCAAAAATGCCATGCAAATAGAAGCCTATCATCCCCGAGTTAGTATGAACATGTGAGTTTTTTTAAAAGAAGGCTTTTTTTTTTCTTTTTAAGTCTCAACTGGAACACTGAGCATACATTTATGATTTGAAGAGGCTAGAAGCACCCTTACATTTTAGTTACATAGCATGTAATACATGGTTATTAAAGAATCAGAGCTTCTCTTCTAAGACTGGAGGTGTTAGCCTTATGTCCTGGATAAATTCCAACTTAGGTAATTACATTCTGCTTACCTCAACCCCCTAGCAATTTTTTCAAGTGAATCCACTATTATCCTTCACTTCGTACCCTAACCTGCTGTGTAGTGTTGTGATGAGCTGTTAAACAGCTGCCATGCTTCACTCTACAATGGTGACTGTGCTGCACTGTATAATTTGTAACCATTCTCAGTGTGCTTTGGAATCTTTCAGGATGAAAGTGTTACCCTAAAATGCAAGATATCATCATCATTTTAAAGACATACAGTACAACTGCTTATTTCAGTTAAATTCAGCATAACATATTTAGAAAATACCTTATTTCATGAAAAACCATAAAACTAGGTTAAAATACCCATGAAACATGCTACAAAGATTATATGAAAAGGTATTTAAAGAAAGCAAACTATTTATCAACTATATGAATATTCTGCCAAAGAAAGGAATAGTAGGAAGAACAAATGCTTAAGACATTTTTATTTGAAAATACATCTGCCTTATCAGATGGTAAAAATTCCCAATGTCACCCAAGAAAAACAGTGAAGAGAAAAATTGAACGTTAAGTCAATGGGAAATGGAGGAATGCCAACACGTATGGAGAAAGAGATCAAGGATAAATACAATTTTTAACATTTTCTTATTTTTCATCAGGATAGCCAGAAAATTATACAAATTCATTTTCTTGGAGACATAATTTTTTACTATAGATTGCCTGAGGACACTTGCAGACAGGAATATAATTTTGGCAATACTGAAAATGGTGTCATGATGCAACCAAGAGAGGCTACTGAAGGTATGTGGACCTTCCACAGTTTGTAATTTGGTAGAACTGCTTTCAGTCAGTGGCTCTCAACCTTGGTTTCACAGTAGAATAACTTGTGAACTTAAAAAAAAAAACAATAACAACAAGAAACAAACAAACAAACACCTGGTTCCAACCCCAGATATTCTGACTTAACAGACTCAGAGATCAGGACTTTTTAAAGCTCTCCAGGTGATTATGATGTCCACTTAACATAGAAAAACCACTGCTATGAGCTATATTTTACCAACCTGGTTATGATTGTGGTTTGACTGGCTTTTACTTAAGGCAGAAAAACCAATCACAGTATGTATTTGAGGGGATGCATACAGTCATACACTAAGTCCTCACTTAACGGCTTCAATAGGTTCTTGGAAAGTACAATTTTAAGTGAAACAATACACAAAATCATTTTTTTCCCTCATCAACTTTAAAACAAAACAACATTGAATAAAATGGTATTATTTGAGGACCAGCTGTATGTTGTTTCACTTAAAGTCACAGTTTCCAAGAACCTACTGATAATGTTAAGTGGGGGTTTACTGTACTTCATTAATACAGGCCACACAACTAGACCCCAAAGGCATGTTTCGTGGAGTGATACTTCATCAACTGGGAGGAGAAAGGCTCTATCACCTAAGGACTATATTTTTGAAGGGTCAAAATTCTAATGTAATCTTTTTGGTAATAACTAGAAGGCTTTTTGAACCCGACACAAGTTAGCTCTGGGTATATTATTTGTGCTAAACTGTAAAATCTTATACTAACTTTTTTTCTGACAAATACATCTAAGACATACTCTCTCTTTTTAGAACACACACAAAAAATCTATTAACACATTAACGCTTACCTGCATATTAATCATCTACCTACAGTTAGAAGTAATGCACCCTCAACCCAACCCGCACATTCAGGACATATAAAAGAAATACTTACAAGCATGAAGAGAAACAGGTTTTCAATCAGAGTCAAGTACTCAAAGATTACATATAATGATATGAATAGCTGATTGTTATTGATCATAACAGCCCTCTTCCACAGTGCTAATGCTGAATAACAGCCACTAAATAAAACATAACAAACACACACAAAAAAAATGTAAACAAAACAGAGCAGGTGAAACCTACCCATAAGCAGCAGGAAAGGGTCATGAGTATCCCAAGTTCTATAAAAGGACTAGACTTACATTGCAAAAAGTTGCTGAAAATGACTAGGACTTACATTGTAAAAAGTTATTGAATTGAATTAAGTTAGTCATGAGGGAAGAGATGGAAGAACACACTGACAAAACATGGTAGTGGTATGTGGATTATCCATACAATAGCAAATTGAGTCATATACTTTAATAATCCCTCAAAGCATCAGAAATTGAGGTAGCAACAAAAAGAGGTCAGTTTAGATGCCTGTGAGTGGCGATTAAAGTTGATAAAGTGAAACAGAGGAGTAGGTGTGACCTTATACATGGGAAGGGCAGAGAGATGTGCAGGGAATATATTCCACACTTTACCTATGTTCTCTCTCACATGATCCTCACTTGATCTCTAGGACTTAATGTTAGAGAATCTAAGAGTCTGAACAGGTGACATAAGTTGACCAAGATACACATCTAGAAAGTGGCTAAGACTGGAACCCAAGTCTGACTCCTAAGTTTATGTTCTTCCCCCTGTACCACATTATAACACATGAAACTCTCCCTTACCCTATCCCATACTCTGAACTGACCAGAACATCAGCCCACGCCTCATGACGTCAGCCAGCTATCCCAACAGGACTCAGGGATAAAAAGAAGGATTCACCTGATAGCCACAGGAAGAGGCAGAACAGGAGTGTTGCTACAGCCACCCTGCAATGGAAAATTTAAATAGGCTCTGAAGACAAACCTGGAGGGAGAGCTTAGGAAAAAAATTTATTCATAAAAGATAAATAATTTATATAAAACTTGCAAAGAGAAAGCATTAAAAATTTTGATGGTTGTACATAATACTGATTCACTCAGGATCTGTGGTATCAAATCTCAGAAAAGAGAGACAAGAAAATAACTTACAGGTTCTGAGTTTCAAATGCTGGAAACTCTTATTCCTCACTCTTCAAATAAGTTTTATATGAGTAGCCCAGTGTTTACTGGAAGAACAAAATACGCTATCAGCAAGTGGAGTTCACTGAGTCATATGCATTTTCATCTCAAAATGAGTTACAGATCAGAGAAATAAAATTATTTTCAGTGAAAAATAGCCACAAGTTGTGATGCAACTGAAATATTTGAGACTCTTCTAAGAAATTTCTGAATACCATCTATTCCTGAAGAAATGGATCTATTTTGTCAATGTTGACTAATCCTATTCTACTAACTACTAATGCAGTGAATGACTCTAGTACCACATTTCTAACAATTTCATGAAGTTTTTTCTCTTTGCTTCTAAATTCTGATTCTGCTGCCATAGTGCTCTAACAATCTCAGGTAAACACCTCTCTACTGTAGTTTCCCCAGCTATCAGATAACAGATTTGGATGGGAAGATTTCTAAAGTTTTTATTTCATAGATACCCTTCCAGTTCTGAAAAGTTCTAATTCTATTCTTTCATTAAAACAAAATCGACTGTCTAAAACTGAAAAGAGAATGAACCTGTCTACAGTGGAAATGTAGTTGACATTTTTGTCTGATTTTTCTATTTTAGTTAATAATACAAGAATTTTCAAAAACTTATGAATTGTTTTGAGTTCACTCACCCCCCACCCCTTGTCTTCTCCTTGTCTTTTGTTTCCAACAGAATTTATCACTCAATCCTGGGCATTCTACTGTCCCACTGTCTCTTTTAATTCCATTCTCACAGCATGAGACAGAAGTTCCCTCTTCAATTAATGGAAAATAATTATAATATGCACTTAAGGATTCCGTATTATAAAATAAGTTTTGATATTATAAAAATGAAATATAGTAGCTTTGAATAGACCCATCTTTTACTCATAGATGACTTGGTCTGCTCAAGGTGTCAGTAGTTAGTCAATAAGGCAGATTTGCACTGGATTTGAAATAGGTGGGTGTCCAAAACAGATAAATCAGCTCTCTAAATGTAAATAAATTTAGAGGTACAGGCCAGACTCATGAACTCAAGAGCTGATGACAGGAACAGGAAGCACATTCCCAACTAGGGACTGAATTTCAAATGAGGACTATATTTCCATGGACACATGAAAATATACAGGAGAGAAGAGGTGCTAAAATGTTATTTCTTCTCTTGATGCCCACTAATTATAGGTAAATTTTAGTGTGTGACCAAGGAAGAAATAAGGAAGAACTTCTACAATTTTCATTTCATGGCTATTTAAGAAACAGGACCAAGATTCCAGTTTGGAACAACAGGCAAGAAAATATGAATTTACTGAAGGAGGGCCAAGTATTTAAACATTTCCCAGCATTCTAAAATACAACACTAAACAATCAGAATTAATTCTGTACTGATCAATCCACTTACCATCATTCATCACCCATGTGGAATGTATGAATATCATTTGTGCAGCTAGTGAGCTCACCTTAATTAAAAAGAATTATAACTAGATATCCTATATGAAGTTCTCACTGTTATTTTTACAAAATGTTTTAAAGTACCACATTTAATAGTACTGATAAACAGAAATCTTCCAAACACAGAGAAAAATATTTTATAACTAGTTTCATGAGAACACTTACTAATAAAAATAAATTCGTAGACAACATTGAGTCAAATATAGTAAGAACAAAACAACCAAACTTAAGGAAAGCATATCATTTCTTTTTGTAAATGGATTTGAGACATCATTTATTGAAAAATAACATAGTAGGAAGGCTTTCTTTTTCAATATCTTCAAAGTTAATTTTTTGAATCTCATGATACAGGGCTGACTAATTTCTGGAAAAAAAAAAAAAAAAAGAATAAACCTGTAATAGTAATTTACACTTTTCCCAGCCACCCCCACAGGGGAAAGCCTATCTTTTCTAATCACTCACAGAAGCACCTCTATAGATAGCTGGTAATGATATAAACCTTACAGAGGTAAGAAAGTTCTGTAATTCACCTCCTATTAGGCCAAAAGTGCAGAAGACCCTCAAAACATACAACAGAAGTGCACACATAGAAAAGTACTTGGATCTAATATTCTTAGCAATGTTTCTAAGAAGAATTTTGGCACTCAGTACAGCATAGTAAGGTAGTTAGTACTAGAGAAAGCAACTGTTAATCAAAAAACACAAAACACTAAGTTGACATAAAGTAAACATCATATGATACTCCTAAAAATACTGAAGTTGAGCTGGATTACAATTTGTGGCAGAGCTCTGGCTCTACAGAAAATTAAAGACATTACATATAGGTTAATGAAAGAACAATATCATTTTGTGAACACACAAATTAAAAATAATAACAACAATCATTTATTTAGTGCTTACTATAGCTCAAGAATTTTGCCAAGTATCTTACACACAATACCTCATTTAATTCTCACAACAATGTAACATGACTGAAATTACTCCCCCTACTTGACCAGTAAGAGAAAAAAATGAGGTGGCAAAGGTCAAGCAACTTTATTAACAGCAGCCACTGGTTATCAGAAGACATGGTATTGAAACAGCTCTGTCTGACATCAAAGTCAGTTTTCTTAGGCACTACACCACACTGTCTTATCAACATACAGTACTTCATCTCATGATTCTCTATCCAAAGTGACCAAAAGCAATTATGTTATTGAACTCTGAGAAGACAAAGAGAAGAGTAATTCAATATACTCCTGCTTACCCAGAAATAAAGAGTTGAAAAGATCTGATGGTTTTACAAATTTTGCACTCAGTTTTTATCAATCAGTAATAAATGATAAGAAACAATTATATTTATTTGAAAAAAATAATTTGAGCAGTATCAAGTATGTCAAACGAAAGGGCAAATCCAACCAAACCTTCTGCAAATGCAGGTCAATATAACAAATCACACTTCCTGCAGGTCAGCTCCATCTAAACGAGGCTCTGACTCATCTCTGACTCAATATATACAACGTTGAATTCACCATCTTTATATCAGCAAATCTGTTTCTCAATTCCAATAGCACAGATCTTCCCCCAGTCACTATAATCAATACTTCGAAATCTCCCGGACACTCCTCCATCAAGTTGTCACATCAACTTGCCAAGTGTATGACCAGTTTATTTGTGTGCTTCCTCCTTTTCATTGTTATGCCAGTTCTCCAGTTCATCTCCAATAACCTATTCTAGTAGTTTTTTCACTTGTTTCTCTGTTTCTTATCTCCTTTTCCATCAATATTCTACTCATGGATACCAAGTTATCCATGCTGTAGTGTAACAGTGGCTACCAAATGACTATAGGCCAAAGTCTAAATTCCTTAGTCTTAATCCCATCTATAGTCTTACCACCTCCTCACACAACTAAGTCAAAGATAATTAATCTTCTCTAGATCCAATGACCATTTACTTTCACAATTCTGTGTACCTATATTCTGTCTTCATAATGTGCCCTCTCACTCACTCTAACTCACCTCCATTCCCTAACAGCAAGAAATAACATGGCATTAATAGAAGTAAGTATTAGAGTAAGACAGTTTGGGTAGCTAAGCAATTTCAGGCAAGCTTAACCTTCTGAACCTCGGTTTCCTCACTTGCAAAATGAGGTTAATACTACCTAGCTTCCAGGGGATTGGTAAAGATGAAAAGTAATGTACATAAAGTGTGTGCCCAGAAAAGGCACTTGATAAAGGATATCCATTATGATTATGCCCAAAGCTTGGTGAGTCTTAGTGCCCAGCTCAAATGCCATAAAAATCACATCGTTTTTACTATCTGAACATGCCTGAATATTCAGGTGAATATATTCAGGTGAATATTCACCTGAATATGCCTATTATTTCTACAAAGATCTTAACCTGAAGATTAAAAACTCTGTCTTATTTATCCTTATATCCCAGAATATCTTGTATTTAGCACATAAATAACAAACTTTTAATAGATGTTGGGTGAACAAGGGCATATATAAAACCTCAAAGAATTAAATTACTGGGAAGTAAATTTCATTACACCTAATTTTTTGAGGCATATTTTAAAAGAATTTTCTACATAACAAAATCTTTTATCAGGAATTTATTAGGGAATGAGCCACTCTGGCTAAGAGATTATTCTGGTAGCTTACTTTTCAATGGTATGTTCCAAATTGTTTATTTTTTAATGGAAAACTTCACAGAACATTTCCCAGCATTCTAAAATAGAATACTAAACAACTAGAATTACTTCTGTACTGATCAATCCACTCATCATCATTCATCACCCATGTGGAATGTATGAATATCATAGCCGCTGGGCAGATGTCACAGAACAGCTGTACATGTGACCTTTCATGTCACATGACACAGTACTCACATTGCTAAGTTACAACATTTGGCTGCCGTCATATGGGTTGGTAGAATATAAGACAGTCTCTATCTTTTTATTTACTTGAATTAGTGATAAACTTTAGATCTACAGAATTACTAGAGTTTTCAGAATTTTGTTCCCCTTTGCTTTTCAGGTTGGAGTCATGTTGAATGGACAAACTTGCCAAAAAGCCGATCAATAGATAACAAAAATGGTGATAATGAAAGTACTAATAAAGCTACTAAAATCTGCCAAAAAGTTGTAGGTTGTAGTCAGCACATTACAAAAATCATCTCAATCCTCATAACACACCTAAGGTGGGGGGCTGCTATTTCAATTTTCAGTTTACAAATTCAATATTCAATTTTCAGTTTACAAATGAGAAAACTGAGGCTCTGGAAGGTTTAGTGATTTGCCCTAGGCTGAACAGTGGTAGTTAGAGGTAGAACGCAAACTGGAAACCCTGTATACTGTACTACTGATTTACATCTTTTAATACAGCATTACCCAAAATGGAATGACTGGTAATATATATATATATATATATATATATATATATATAATATAATATAATATATATATAAATATATATAATATAAATTTATATATATATATTTATATATACATATATAAATATATATTTATATTTATATATAAATATATATAAATATATATAAATATATATTTATATATACATATATAAATATATATGTTCATATAAATATATATGTATATATACATATATAAATATATATTATATATGTATATATATAATATAATATATAATAATAATATAATATATATTATATAAATATAATATATTATATATAATATATATAATATATAATATATAATATATAATATATAATATATATTATATATTATATAATATATAAAATATATATTATATAATATATATACATAATATATATAAATAAATATATATAAAGATATAAAGATATAAATATAAATATTATAATAAAAATAAATATAAATACAAATATATATATATATGACTGACAACCAAACTCTCTTTTAACAAAGATAATTAAGAGGAAAATGGTTACAACCTAACACAGCATGAAAGATTTATATTAGATATAAAGGAGATTTCTTGACAGTGAGTAGTGTTATACATTAGAATAATCTATCAAAAGTTTTTTTACACAATAATTCTATAAATTTTTTAATGACATTCAAAAGAAACACGTTTTTGCAATTATTCTGAAGAGCCAAAATAATTGTTAGCAAATATGGTTAAGTTTAAATTTGTAAAGTTAAAGCTTTTCTTCTACTTTAGCTTCAGATTAATATTCAAGAAGACAGTGCCCATTTCATTATTTCACAGAGCAAAGGCAGTAGTTTTACTAGTATGTCCAACATTAATACTGTCTCAAAATATCTGAGAAGTATGACCACATGTGGTAAGAAGATTAAGGTGTTTTCCGGCAACTTCCCTAAAAGCAGAACTCTTGATGGCAGAAAACAAAAAGTTTTCCGTGGGGAGCCACGGGGGCTGCCTTCTGTCCTATCAATCCACAAATTCTCGAATTACAAATCTGCTGTTGTTTTCTGACACATCTGCTTTGCAATGTAAAATAGTGTTTTTTTTTAATAAGAATTCTTCAAAAAGCCCTTAGGCGCCTCGCCTTTGTTTGCACAGCCTGGGAGTTTTCATTTAAAGTTTTCACACTGTTTTTAAAATTCCCTATTTCTGTTTCTAAATTAGTTAGGCAAAGTCCACAAACCTCTGTTTTGGGTTCTCATTTCAGCTACATAGAAATGATGAAGAGAAATGTGCAGAGAAATTTGTAAGGTTTTGATAAATGAGATTACCCCAAATGACCAACATCCTTTTTCCCTCTTCAATGTCAAAAATGTAGGAAGTAGGAAAGCAGAAATGCTCTTTATATAATCCCTATTCCAGGGATGTAAAATCTACTACAAATTGAGGAAATTCACAGGAAAAACCCACTGTTGTTTACTCTGTGGCAACTCTGACAATCCAATGTGGTGGGAAATAGGAACAGACAGTGAAATGATCGTGAAAATATATGAAATTCTGTTGTAGTGATCATAGCAAGGTTGACATTGGATATACTCTGTGACAACTAAGTTGGACCTGAAACCCAGATAAAGTATATATTTCTGAATCTAAAGTATATTTGCTTTAATTTACTCAAAATCTAAACTTAAACTCCTAAGGATATAGCATCCATTCATCTCCTCATTAAAAAATAAACAAGTGGGTGTTTTTTTAAGATCTCCACAGGAAACATAAACATTTGATCTTTTTATATTAATTATATGCAACCATAATGAAAAAAATTTTAACTTTTTCCATAATGGGACAGAGAAAGCAGACAATTGATAAATATATACAAATATCAGCCTGACAACCTGAGCATTTGTCTCGCTTCACGTTTAATCCAGCTGAATATGATTTGAAGAAGATGATACCCATTTTGATACACTCTATTCATGACTCCCTCATGGAATTCCTTGGGAGGAGTTGGTCTTTTTCAAGGATGAGAAATGCTACTTTGTAATTTGCTGTAAGTCTATAACACATTCTTATATGATCCAATTTGTTGGAAGTGAAGACAATCTACTGACATGAAAATCATGGATACTCCTTCAGTAGAGAATCTTGTAGGGGGACAGACGGAAGAAGTTGGATGCTGCGCAGATGCAGCCTGCTCCATCCTTAACATCTAATGTGATGGGCTGGGCACTGCCCTATAAGACATGTTTCATGCTATAAGCTAAGTTGTGAGGCAAGAGAGTTTGTATAAATGAGACATAACTTCAGAAATAAAATTAAAAAAAAGATGTTTTCTTACACATGAAATCACAGCCTGAGCCCACAGCTGTTTCTTTGAAGTATTCCTCCTATTCTGCTTCTTTAGGACCATTTTCATTTTTTCTATCAAAATTCTTTCTTAAAATTTCTCATTCCTGTTGATGTATCTTCTTTTTCAGAACTTCAACCTTTTAAAAATATGCTTTCAAAAGCCTTGAGCGCTTTCTCTTATAATGTTACCATGACATACTCACTTTCATTCAAATTTTCTGTCAGTTCATTTTTATAAATCATTTGTTCTTTACTGGTCAAAGTCAAGTACTAGAGACCAGAGTTTCTCTTTGTGAGACAGGTAGTTACAACAAAATTGTTAAGAGTTTGGGTTCTAAAACAGTATTAAAAAGTATCTGGTTTCCAGGTATACCTTTACTATCTATATGTGTGATCACTGGCAAAAAGTTACTTACGTTTTCTATGCCTGAGTTTCTTCAACAAGAAATGTCTTTCAGAGTTGTAAAGATATTAAATGATAAGATATGTATGATAAATGCATTTAGTACAATACAGAGCATAGAGTAATAATCAATAAGGGTTAGTTGTTATGGCTAGTTCTACCATCTAAAGATGACACTGTCAGAAAGCAAGATGTGAGGCCAGGCAAGGTGGCTCATGGTTGTAAACCCAGCACTTTGGGAGGTCAAGGTGGGCAGACTGCTTGAGCCCAGGAGTTGGAAACCAGCCTGGGCAACATGGTGAAACGCCATCTCTACAAAAAAATTAAAAAATTAGCTGGATGTGGAGATACCCACCTGCAGTCCCAGCTATCAGTAGGGTAAGATGGGAGAGTCACTTGAGCCCAGGAGGTCAAGGATGAAATGGGTCATGATCACATCATTGCACTCCAGCCTGGGCGACAGAGAGAGACCCTGTCAAAAGAGGGGAGGGGAGGGGAGCGGAGGGGAGGGAACAGAGAAAAGGAAAAGGAAAAGGAAAAGGAAAAGGAAAAGGAAAGGAAAGGAAAGGAAAGGAAAGGAAAGGAAAGGAAAAGAAAGGAAAGGAGAAAGGAGGAAGGAGAAAGGAGAAAAGAGAAAAGAGAAAGGAAAAGAGACGGGAAAGGAAGATGTAATTCTTCAGATGTTTGGATTTCATAAGACTGAGACTTGCAGAAAGGTCTGGATATTTAAAATTTCCCTACTTCTGCTAGGCCTTGCCTTTATGACAATTACATGACCTAAAGTATGAAAATATTGGCTTCCTTTAGCATCTAGTTTAGTAGGTTGCAAGATTACTCCCTTTTTTCTCTGCCTCTCCATCACATACTCAGCACCATGGAGTTCCACGGGAAATCTGTCTTCTTGAAACACACTGCAAAATTGCTTGACTTTTCAATCTAATCTATATCCTTTAACACAAAATAGTCTTTTGCAATACATTCCAGTAGTAATTCTCATCTCACCAAGTCTCAGGATCATATTTATCTTCTGGTATTAATATTACAAAATCTGTTTTGTTGACCACCAATCATCTTGCAGGCCTGGAAGCCTTCAGTATGGAAGGAGCCAGTGTTTGCAACCCAGCAGAAATGGGAAATTTGGTCAATGGCAAAGCTGTAATCAGGGAGATTTTAAAAAGATAGCTTAATAACATGTCTCCTGGTCACTGAAAACTGAAGGATATTACAACTGCACAAGAAAGGCTTTAGATGTTTATTGTCTTCCTTTAGGGGAACACAGCTCATGCACATCTTAAAGTAAGGTATAATGTTTAATTCCATTTGCTGTCATTTATAACTTCTGCCAAAAGTGGATTATGCATTTTCCTACATTCTTAAAATGAAACTTACTGATTACCATTTAATCTCTCTTAATAAATCACAGTCATCCTTTTGATGTACAAGCTGTACAATCATGGAGAAATGTCTGCAGGGGTTATTTGATGTGCAGAGTTGCCTGCCCTGCCATAGAATGGCTCCAGGCTGCTATGTTTCTTTTTTTTTTAACTTCCCATATATTTTTTTCAAAATGGTTTATCTCTCTCCTCCCCTGTTGTCAAGCTGTCAGTCAGCTGTCACTTTTTACTGCTGTCAGTGAGACTGCCTTTATCACACCCCCAATTTGATGCTGCTAATCTGCTGTCAGCTGAAAAATCAGATAATCAAGACTTCCGAAATTGCATTTACAATAAGTGGTGGGCTGAACACTGGATGAAGATTTTGAGATACCAGTTCTAGTTCCTGCTCTGCCTATATCTAGCTGTGTGATTACCAGAAGACATATAACTTCTCTGGGCCTTGGCGCCTTTATCCATAAAATAAGAAGAGGAGAGAGAGAAAGAGAGAGAGAGAGTACATGCGCGTCAGAGACAGACAGAGAGAGATCTCATCCAGACCTGAATCCTAAGTTTCTTTGGCTATGACAATACACATGAAACTTTTTTGTGACTTAATAGAATGCAGGGTGGATGCCACTGACCTTTTAATGGTCAAATTCAAGGACGCTTTTTAGTCATCACTTTACTTAACCTCGCTGCTGTGAATTCACTAATGATTATCTCCTTAGAACTCTCTCCCCTTTGTTCCACAGGATAATTATCTCAGTGTTGACCTCCTGACTCTTACTTTGTCTTCTCACTTCAATCTTGGGCTCTTCCTCCACCAACCCCTTAAGTGTCAAGAATGCCAAAGTGGCTCCAATGTTAAAAGGTCAGGATGATGATGAGGAACCCAGCAAAGGAGCCTGAGAAGCAGCAGTCTGTGTGAAAATCAGGGGACTATGTGCCCTAGACAACTGAAGAATGTGTCATGGTGTGTCAAATGCTGCTGCTATGGTAAATAAGATGTGGACTACGAACTGACCACAGGATTTAGAGGCAGTGGTGACCCTGACTAAAACTATTTCAGTGGAATAGTTTTAACTCAGAACAGGAGGAAGGAACTTAGAAGGAACAAGTATAAACAACTCTTTTAAGGTTTTGCTACTAAGAGAAGGAGAGAAATGAGGTAGTAGAAGGGGGAAGTGGAATAAGGAGAAAAAAAAATTTTAAGATGTAAGAAATAATTTTTTTATGTTAATAGAAATAATTCAGATAAAAGGAAAATAGGAATAATTCAGAAGAAAGGAAAATTGATGATGTAGAATAGACCAGAAAAAATTGTTAGGACAATAGTCCTTGAGTATGTGGGATGGATGAGTTCTGGAAAAGAAGTGTAGATGGGGCCTTACACAGAAGCAAGGTTGTTCATCCCCAGTAACAGGTGAGAAGATGGAGAATATGCACCCAGAAGAAGCACATAATTGGGTGGACCTGGTAGTATCAATAAATTAAAGTTGTCTTCTGATTGCTCCTATTTCCTCACTCATCAGCTGAGAATGAAGATAGAAGATTTGGTATTGGAGTGTTCTAAAAAAAGGAGAAGGCATAATTATCTAGAAGAAGGGAAATGCTTGCCAGGTAGTCAAAGGGCCCATCTGAATCTTATGAATCACACATTTAGAACATGCTAATAAGTATGACATGCTTTTCTCCAGTTATGTTTAGTCCATGATTATAGGAAGACAGTATATGAACAAATAGATTTAAACAGACGAGGGGTTTTGCCAATCAAATATGAAACAAAAGGTGTAAATGATTTGAGAGGATATGCAAGAGAGTAAACATAATGACGGAATAAGAAAGTTAAGCTGGACAAAGAAAGAGAAAATAGGACAAGAGTGAAATTAAGTTGGCTCAATCAATGGATGGTAGGGTCTGGTAAGGCCAAAGGATTGTTTGACTCAAGGTGATAAAGTAAATAAATAAAACCAATCTCCTTATTTATATTAGATTCAGCTTTTAGGAGAGTAGTTCTCTATTTTCATGTGTCGATTATAGGACTGTGAGAGGCAGAGGGAAGATAGTCCTCTATATTCAGATGCCAATAAATATGCTAGGTTATAAATTAATGGGAGCGGGGCGGGTAACAAGATAAAATAACCTTTTGTTGTGGGTCTACTGTATGCTAAGCACTATCCTAGGTACATGGTATACATTATTTCATTTAATCACTGCATCATCCCTATGAGATGGTTTAATCACAACCATTAACAAACTTAAGTGCAAGGTCATTCCACAAGTACAGATCACAGAACTAGTAAGTGGTGGTCAAAACTCAAATACATGTATACATGACTACGGCGTCTAAGAGCTTTCCCATCCCAAAATATTCAATACATATAATGAAATGTTTTCAAGAGAATACACTCTCATGCTACTATTTATCTGGTCATTGCGAGTGAGGCAGGAGATAAGTGAGGAAGGCAAGAGGTAGCAGTAGGTGCTGTGAGTCTAATATTAGCGAAACTGCTGAGGTGACAGACATGCTCTGAGTTTTAACAGATAGAAACTCTAAAAATCTTCATTTATTTTGTTGGAAATATGGCTTTTCTCCCCTCCCTAATTAATATCCATTATATTATATAGCGCAATGACTAATAATTTAACTGTATCTTCTGCTTTGTTTTCAGTTAAATTCATTTTTCCCATGACCAAATAATATTTGGATTGGGAGAAAGATACAAGCATTCAAAAATATTTTTTAATCACCTTGGTTATTTTGCCTTTGGAATTACTAAATACTTTTCAACATCTCAACAAAATAATACAGTTTTGAAACTGCAGGCGTTAGAATGATTGTCATTCATGCAAATAATCACTTACTTACACTATATGAGTTTGGGTTGCATAAAGCAAATTACCATTTGAAAATAATTCAAATAACATTCTAGGCTAAGACCTTGCTTATGAATGTTATCTTGGCCACAATATTTCTTAACCTTTTTCTATTTAGCTAGATTCCTTTATGGTAATATCATCCAAATTAATAAACTACTCAACTGCCACAGGTATATTAAACATATGATGTTGCAGAAATACATCGGATGTAAATGAATTTTAAAACATTTATTTAGAATTCTATAGCAGTAATAATTAAGAGGAGCTATAACCATCTACTCACTTAGAGATATACATTTTGCCTATATGTGATATTAAAAAAACTTAAAACGTCAAAATATAAGGTTCATATTTTGAAAAATTCAGATATATAACTGTTCTAGTTAATCACAGGCAAAGTATAACTATCACATTTTTCAAAAGTTGTAGTTCTCTCATCACACATAAGAAAACTATGTCTACAAATACATAGATAATATACGTAATTACATATATATTCTGAAAATTGCTTTGTGATCGTGGCTCCACTTAGCTTTATAGTTTTCAAAACAGCAAATAAATCATTAACTGTTTTTGACAAATGACCTGTAATGACAGGATGCTTGAATGGTAAGTAGAAATTGAAATCAGAAGTCATAAGGCCTAAATATTAATCCAGTCTGTGACAACGACAAGGTGAATACAAGCCAGTCTCTACTTCTCTGGGCCTCTGTTTTCTGCACTTTATATAAAGATTGGGCAAGATGGTCTAACTTAAATTTTATGATTCACTAACTTGATTTTGTATGGGGCAGATTTTTCTTCGATGAAATATTAACAAATAAGACACTCAAATAAATCAGCAATGGGGTGCAGATGAGGACTACCGTTTCTACAGCAAAATATGGGTGAACTCAGTAAGTGTAGAACACAGAAGTTAATGCTGACCTCTTGCATAGCATGTATGGATATTAAATCATTTCCTGCCTTCATTTCAGGGATGAGGAAGAAACAGCTGTTCCTGAACTCTTTTAAGAAAGCAGTCAGTAAAAAACAGCAGCGTCTCCTGCTAGTGTGAGTCCCACTGAAGTACACTTTCTGTTCACAAGGGAGAAATATTCCTAGTGGTAGTAAAAACAGTTTTGCTAGGTTTAATCAAAAGTGAAAAGGAATTCCAGAATGTTCCCTTTGAGCCACATCATCCATTGCTAATTCAAGGTGGGCCCAGCAGCAAGGGTAATAAAAAAAATGTCCTTAGTAACTAAGAAAGAGAAATGGCAATTAGGTACATTTGTAAACCAATATAGAAGACTTAACTCTTTATTAAGATAATATAAATAATTAAAAATAAAGAAAAAATAAAAGAAAATAGCATGAGAAATGAACTAATCCAAGCAGTGAGACTTAACATTGACTTATCTAGACCAGTTCTTATTGTATATATAAATCAATGGGCATAAGCTGAATGCAAAGGTTGAGAAATATGCTTGACAATGACTTCTGTAACAAAAAAAAAAAAAAGAAAGAAAGAAAGAAACAAAACACCGGGCTGCTTTGGCAAACAAATAAATAAAAGAAAAGAAAAGAAAAGAAGGACTCAATATCTGAACTAACTAGTGATGGGTTAGACACATGATGATTTAAAATCTTTGTAAATCACAGCATGGTGAGATAGAACTTAATTCTCTAACTAACCATACTTATGCTAAAAAGTTAAAACTGGCATGAAGAACATCAATTTTTATACATTTGAGGAATAATTTATGACACAATATTGAGAACAGAGTCAAACATACTGACCTGCTCACATCAGGAAACCTGATGGGAAAGTAAATAACTTGGCACTTGGGTCTGATGATGCTTTCCAGATCCTTGGGTCTGTGATCAGGAATCAGCTTCATAAATTTTCCCATGGAAGTGAGAAATGATTCCATATTAAAAACTGAGTTGAATACAACCACATCAGCCACCAGGCTGTAAAGGTAAAAGACAAATGCAAATGATGAGCCCAGACTCATTCAGAGTAATTTTTATCAACCTAAGACCTCTATGGATTAATCAGAGTTTATACTACACCTTAGGTTTGCAAAGAACTCTTCACTTCATATCAGTATCTACCAAAATGTCTCTAAGAGCTAAGTTGGTTTCATTAGTGTTATATCACAGGGAGTTGATTGGTGGCATCAGATTTGAAAGGCAACAGGGAAATAGAATGATTTAATGGGATCGCATGAGACTCCAAACCAAAGCATATTTTTCCACAATGCCAGGAACTTTCTATATTATCAACAACACTACGTACAGCAATTCCTTTTTCTTCGTGGCCCAGCTACCCATGTTGAATTTCTGTCAGTGATGTGCATCATTTTACACCATACTACCGAGAACAGAGCATCTGTCACACTTCTCACTAACTTCAAGAAGACTAATTCAGATAAAACTACTTTCATACTAAGGCACGATACCTTCGGCACTATTTGGTTAAAGTCTACTTCTTGCTGTAGCTTTTACTTCAAGAAACTGTGTTAAGTTTTTAAAAGTTCTGGGACTACACAGAAAGGATTATGGTATCCCAAAATAACTTGTTTCACTATCATATTATATTATATTGGGCTAGCCAGAGAAATAGAAGAAACTGGTAGAAATGCATCCGGAAATCCAGATCACTAGGTCCTAACTGATTACATAAAGGTACATATAAATTATAAAGCGCCGCAACACCATGATCTTCGAATTCAATGAAATAAATGTGGTAATACCAGTCCGCAACAACAATGGTTCAAACTTAAGATTTTTTAAATTTCACAATGGTGAAAATGTAATATATATTCAATTGAAACCATACTTCGAATACTGAATTTTGATCTTTTCCTGGGCTAATGGTATGTGCACAATATTCTCTCACGATGCTAGGCAGCAGCAGTGAGGCACAAATCTCAGTCAGCCACATGATCACAAGGGTAAACAACCAATACTCTACAGTGGCCTGTGCTGCCAGATGATTTTGCCCAACTGTAGGCTAATGTAAGTATTCTGAATATGTTGAAGGTAGGTTAGGCTAAGCTATGATGTCTGATAGGTTAGTTGTATTAAATGCATTTCAACTTATCATATTCTCAACTCACAATAATGGGTTTACCAGGCTGTAATCCTATCGTAAGTTGAGGAACATCTGTATACAAGATTAAAGGGATAAAGCAATTGGTTTTATTCCACCCTAAAAATGATAGATCAATACTACTGGAAAGAAGACATGTTATGTCCACAGGACTGCAGAACACCACAGAATAAGTAGAGCTTATAGAATAGGAATGCCGTAGCCAAACGTCAGTTTAGTTTAAGTCATATTTGCTGAGACAGCCAAATTTACTATTACAATGTTAATATCTAGCAGAATAAAAAATGAACAAAAAGAGTGTTGGCCTGCTACTTCCGTGCATCCCTTGAAAAAAACTGATTTTCTATACAAGTATTGTTTATTAGTTGCTACCTAGTGCAAATTTGGGGGGTGTGGGTGATTACAACACGAACAATACAAAGGAATGTCACAGAAGTGCTGACACAACACTAAGCAATAAGGAAGCTAATATAATAATATACCAAAAGTTGAAGGATGTTTTACAGCTAGTCTTGTTTTCACCATATGTCACATATTGTAATAGTGACCTACAGGTCATAATATATAGTTGTGACATGTGTTCATAAGTCAGAGGGTTAGTGAAATCACTGTTTAAGGTGAGTGCTTATGTCAGTCATCTTTAAAGTCCTTAACTGCCACACAGTCCAGAAAGAAATCTGACAGTGCCAAAAAAAGCAGAAGTCAGCAAGAAAACTAAAGAAACATTTGAGGAAGCAGGAGTCATACTTTTCAAAGAGAATCTGAACAGGACTGCCTTTTGACACTCTTATTTTTCCTCTGGACAACTGTGAACCATTTTTTCCCCATTAAGAAGCCAACTGATGATGAAGTACACTTCTCTCTCTCCAAGCTTGTCTATAAGTTTACCCTCTTGAGAAAAGCAATGCTGAAAAATCATGTACAAAACTTTTATAGTCTCATTCCCTATCAGCAAAAACAATGTTTTATGAAAGTGAGGAGGAATCGAGAGCTGAATTGTTTTTAGATAGCTTCCCTCAAACGGCATGTGACCCAATGACTTACATTCTTAAAAATCCAGTCTATGCTAAATTAAAGATCCAAGATAGTTTACAGAAATATCCTTTTTGGTACATTTCCTCCCTGATATGAGTGGATGTAACTTCCATTAACTTTAAAGCCACCCATAAAGGAAAAAATAGACTTAGTTTTTTTCCCAATGATTTCTCAGGGGTAATAAACACACTATCTGAGGAAAAGAATGATGCTAATTCAAGAAATCAAAAGAATATTACAAATGTTTTCCATATTGATAAAGCACAAAATGATTTTATTTTCATTTTTAAAACATATTTTCCTTCTCTGTTTCAATATAAAGTATTTTAATTTTATTATGAAATTTTAAAACGGCTGCTTTTTTTATGAGACATTTGACGTGAAGCAGTTGCACTCTATTTTGATAGCACTGCTACTTCACAATTGAAGCAGCTTGTAAAAATGATTGTAGGAAAACATTCACAAAATGCACACAACACAGAATTATTACTATATAGCCATTTTTCTATGTCAACTAAACTATGAAACATTCTTGCAAGAATTGCGGGTCTGTTCAAATACATCATCAAACCCAGTTGCTAATAGCTGTTAATAAAGATAAATAAAATGTACAAAATCACTGACAAACAGATTCCGTTTGACTGTTGCAGTTATGTGAATAGGATCCAATAGCAAAGCCATTTCAGAATTGTTATTAACTTCTTTCATTAACTAAGCTTCAGGAGATACACTTTGTCGAAGTAACAATAGAGGACCATCACCTTTAAAATGTCATGGTATTTTAAGGCTGTGCCATTTCAGAAGACTCAACGAAGGAAAAAAGAAAACACTACCTAAGGATTCATTGTCCATAGTCTTCTCTGTCTTACAATTTAAAAAAAAAAAAAAAAAAAAGGCGGGGGAGACAAAACCCCAAGTTGCTCCATTATGCTTTAATTTTTACTTCTCTGTAAAACTCTATTTTGATTTTAGCTGAATACAGTGATCGTGATTAATAAGTAAGAGTTGACTAACTGCACTTTCTAAATGCCTTAAGCAATAGATCATGAAATCAAGGGGTGAAGGTCCCTGCCAACCTTTTAATTCTATTTTGAATGTTGTGAAAAATAGATAATTAGCTCAACATATAATTAGATTGTTACATATATGTATTTTTATAAAATGATTAGTTGTGATCTTACATATACTGCAGAAGGAAGAATTGTTTAAATATTTGCACCTACCTTATGGTGTTTTAAAAAAAGGTGTACAATAGTAGGTCTCCAGATTTAAAACGTAACCACCTACAAAGAAAAAGGTAGCAAAGGGCCAAATATAATGATACAATCCATACCTACCATGAAAGAATTTGGTTGTATCCATATTGGAAATCCCTCTCCTGACATTTCTTGACAGGATATATCAACTGGTTCTCGTGAAAATACAGAATCTTTTTCAGTTTCCCAAGGTCAGGCCGAAGGGCAGCCAGTTCGGTCAGGTTAAGCACTGAACTTGCAAAGAGGGTCCTAGGAAACAAGAAAATTGGGGTTTACTGTCCCAAGTATGTTTGAAGGGATCATGCTTTGCTCTTCTCTCCTCTTTCCTCTTCCCACCCCAAGAAAAACACATCCCCTATAGGGACACATCAATAGTTGAGGCTTAATACCATGTAGCAGCATTCTAAGTTTTGATCTCTTAAAAAGCAGCTGCTTAGAACTATAAAGTCCCCGAATCTCACTGGTCTTCTCAGTGCAGTTACTGAGAAATGTTAAAAAAAAAAAAAAAAAAAAAAAAAAAAAAAAAAAGCCGGATGGATTTTATTGAAAAAGGCAAGAAAAGCTCTATCTGAAGGACAAATGGAACAAAGATAAGACTGACTGCGGAATACTTTGCTTGCCAGTTTCATTACACTTTCCTTCTTTATGCAACCAACTACTGAAATTCAATGTATGAGCAGGAATGGCACATGTTCATGTTATGACATAAACTCTTTTGATTTATGCAATAGACTTATCTAGTATGGTCTTTTTCTCTTGGCATGTTTTCTTACCCTCCCCTCACTTGTAAAGTATCTTACAATACTTGTATTTTTAAAAACATCTTTTCTTCTCCATTACTGGACTGCTAATGGTACCAGATGCATCATCTGTAAAATCCCTTAAAAAGCACAAATATAAAAATTTTATGAAAGGCTGATTCCTCATTTTTAAGGGAAAAAGGGAAACTGAAAGCTTGCCTATCCATGTTTATAAATGAAAAAAGTGTCAATTTACTCTCTCATTCCACATACATTTACTAAATGCCTACTATGTGCCAGGGTCTAACCAGGAAGAACAGAAAAGATGAACAAGACAGCTCAGCAGGATAAATGCTGCCTGTAATAGAGACATACACAAAACATTAGAGAAACAAACAGAAAGCAATACTAATTGTCTGGGACAACCTGGAAATGTTTCCCTAATAAGGTGCCTATTACATACGGACACAAAAGAGGGACAAAGTACAGGACTTGAGCAGCTGAGGACATTTAGATGACACAATTTTGATAGAATGCCACCTTTATAACATAATGTAACATCATTTTACCTTTATGGCTTTAATTCCCTTTCTAAAAAATCAGGTTCAAGAAGGTTAAGAGTTTTTCTAGGATCACACTGGTAGAAAGTTGCAAAGCAGAGAGACTGCTGGTCTTCTAAGGGCTCAAACTGCTTTTCATTACACCACAGATATGAATTGGTTGCAGACCACTTACATTGCAAGTGCTTTTTTCTGTACTTAATAAATACAAAATATCATCCTTGTTATTACCATGATTACAACTACTATAAATCCTCCCTTGCTGACAAGCCAAATGGCTAACTTCAGGTGTTTATATGATCTGCCGCACTAGCCTTTCACATAAGAAGGATTACATAATAAGTGCATATATCACAAGTAGGAATTCAAGTGTCTTCTTCACGGGCTAAAAGAGGCACACAAGACCAAAAGCCAGCAATCCCTCTTCAAACCTACATTGCTATATTAATGTTATAATTTATCTCTTTAAGGTTAAAAAAAAAAAATCTTACCAAGGAGATGCACTTATTTTTTAAACCTGTCTGTCTATACCCAAATAAAAAAAAAATTATGACCAAACAATGCCCCATTTTGTCCAAACATATTCCCCACACCACTACCACATATAAGCCTCTCTAAAACTTACACTGAAAATTCTGAAACATGAAGATATTTGTTTACCTAAAAATCTGATCTTTAGCAGAGGAAACAACAAAATATTAATTTCAAACAATATTTTCCTTAAAAGGGAATACATGGCAACTTCTAGGTCTAGTTATTGCGTAATCCTCCTCTCCTTCTATTCTTTCTTACTATGCCCATCCCTGACCATACATACTATTGCAAGCAATGACGCCCATTCTTAATCATTATCACCTGGGCAAGCATAATGTTTTTCACACACAAGGCAGAAAAATGCATTAAAAGTAGCCTTCATATGAGTTATTAATTACAAAAAATATACCTTTTATGATGGGGAAATCTGGTAGAAACCAATGTAATCAAGTGATCAAACTTACTGTGACCAATAATGGGACAAAGTGATATTATGTATTTCCAAATGTGATACACTGAGAAAGATACAAATCATCAGTATAGTATTCCTGCCAAAAATGCCTAAGCTGAATTTGGTAAGGAATAACCAGACAAATATTCTGCAAAATAATTTGCTGGATCTCCAAAAATGTCATGTCATAAAAGAAAAAAATCTAGACTAAAGGAAATAAAGACACTCAAAACAAAATCCAGTATATGATCCTTTAGTGGACACTGGAAGGGAAAAGAACACCTATTAAGGACATTATTAGGACAATAGGAAAAATTTGAATATGGGCTAATTATAAGACTGCAAGTTTTTATCAATCTTTAATTTCTTAAATACAATAATTTTATTGCAGTTATGTAGGAGAATATTCCTATTGTTAGGAGATTCATGTCAAATTATTTAGATGTGAAATGCCATGATGTCTGCAATAAATTATTAAATAGTTCAGCCAAATGCTACTACTAATAATAAATATTAATATGTATATATTTACAGAGAGAGAAAAATAAAAAATGTGCAAACACATTAACAGTTGATTAATCTATGTGAACAGGTGTGTAGTAATTCATAGCTTCAGGGGATGGGGAGAGTCTATCAAACAGATTTCATGGAGCAAGGCATTGTCGTACTGCAAATTTTGGGTAAGTTATACATTTATAAAACTATACATTTGAAGTAACAGGCATTAAATGGCAGTAAGTAGAAGAAAAAATTCTATATTCCATAAACAATAAACCCATCATATCTGTATTTCTAGCCATATTCCAACTGTTAATTTCTACATGAGGATTATCCTCAGGGTGGACTATCTATAGCTAATGTTTAACCGAAAGGAGCCCTTCACTCTATTTCTACCACATGTCCCCCTACCCACCAGCTTATCCGTAACCAAAGAATTCAACCCTAAAGTTCAGCCTTCCAAAGAAAACCTCCCAAATAAAAGAAGGCAATATATTCATATGAGAAACAACAATAATTTTCATAATATTCCCCATTTGAGACTGCCCACGCCAACACTTCTTTCAGTTTGTTTAATCATTAAAAGAAAATTCACTGTATTTGTATAATTAATCTTGAAATAGCCCTCACTAGTTTTAAATAGTGGAAATTATCTCCATCATCTCTTTGCTTTTCTTGCTCGTAAAACGGTAAAGTGGTCAATAAGCAATTTCTCAAATATTTAGCTCAACAACACCCAAAAAGAAGTAATGAATATGCCCACAAAAGGAATGCAGGTGATCCATAGGCAATTTTTACTCTGCTCCCTACTATCAATTTTTAAAAATTGATAATAATACAATGAATGACATCACTTGATCAGCAGCTAATCCCTGGGCTACAAATGCTCATCCTGCCTCAGGTATTATTTAACCAATAAATCCTAACAAGGTGCATTTTATCATCCCACAGTGTGTCTCTAGCAGGAAAGGACACAAGGTGATAGCAAAAACCACTAGGAACAAGATAATTCCTGACAGCTGCTGCTTGAGCACAAGTTAAATTGAACAGTTTATCTCAGCATGAAGATGTTATAAGGTTTTATGTTTAATATTTTTAAATTAACATAAAACCCAGAGAAAGCAGTTGAGCAATCTTTCACAAACATGACATACTACAATCACTGTATAAGCTGGATTAGTACTTATTACCATGCTACTACAGAATTAAGCTGTTTTTAGACCACCAAAGAGCTTTAAATTGCAACTTTTGTCTCTGTAAGAGAAACCTATATTTAAAATGTCTGCTAAATTCAAATTAACAGCTACATCATTAGCTTACCATTTCACCAAAAGTACAAGTAAGCTGCTACTATAATCATCTAACCAAAACGGCTCTATGCTGCAAGCACATTAACACCATTCCATGTATTTGGGAAAAGGACCTGTACACGTTTCGATTGTTTCCAATACACATTGTATCTACATTTCAAGTCATATATGTTTAAAGAATCCGAAACAGTTAAACACAATGAAATTCGAGATTAAAGATTTTATTATTTTCTGCTCAATTTAAATAAATCAGTTGTTTGCCTTTTACCCTATTTACTTAATATGTAAAAAGAAAAGCTGAAATATACCTAAGGGCAGTAGTAGTGTGACCATTACCATTAAGATGCACACTTTTATATCTTAAATGGTACAGAAGGGAAGTGAAATGAGTAACAGAAGGCAGGCATTCAATATTCCAGCCACTGCCCATACATTTTAGTAATGATTCTTCATGGGCTAGGTCACCTCACTCTTGCCCCATGAAATCTTTTCAGTAGGCCCCTCTCCTCTCCTGAAGCTATTTATGACATAATGAGATAGTGTATACAATTTAACACAGACACCAGTTTGGGCTGTGTTACCACTCATACACAATTTCTTGCATGGCTTCAGGAGGCCTTTGACAAAAGAGTAAATTCTTCTAGCTGTGTCACTTTGCTCAATACCTAAACTCCTGGTCTAGATTCATGTTGCTAAGACTCATTACCTAAGCCTTGGTTCTTTTCTTCCCTCTCATGCATTCCTGTTCCTTGATATCTACTCTCTAGGATCCTGTATTTTCTGTGATGCAGTATTTTCTATGATGATGAAAATGTTCTATATCTGTACTGTCCACATATGACTAGCTACATATGGCTATCGAGCACTTGAAATGTAGCTAGTACTCCTGAGGAACTAACTTTTAAATTTAATTTGATTAAATTTAAATTTAAATCGACTAGCCATATGTGGTTAGTGGCTACTGTATTGGAAAGCACAGTTCTGGATGAACCAGCTTTCCCTAACCTGACACCCATGTTTCCTGAATACAATTACCTGCTTAACTGATTTTCCTGAACAGACCCTTGACCCGCTTGTGATAACCTAATTTCCATGTTCCTCCTGCCTAGATGAATTTCACCTACCCAGCTCTCCAGTTCTGGAATGGCATTATTTTTTCTTTTCCTTCTGAGAATTAGAAAATACACATTCACTATGGAAAATGTTTTAAGCACAAAAAATACAAATAAAGTGAATATCACCCATAACTATTCCAAAGAGAGATAGCTACTATTTGCATTTTGGTGCTCTAAGCATGTGCTGAGCACCTATTATTTGCAAGGCACTATGCTAAATTACAGACATAAAATGGAAAACAAAGTAGCTGAGGCAAGAAGAAGAATGACAGGTTGAGGAACTGAACGAAGACCAAGGAGGTTGGAGCCAATGGGAGAGTGGCCAAAAATAAGGGTGAAGATTCAAAGGTAAGACATGAAAATAATCTTGGTTTTGTGGTAAGAACAATAGGAAGAGCTGGAAGGATTTTAAGCAGGGAAGTGACAAAATCTTATATGTACATTAGGTATATTTTATTTTATTCTTTCCACTTTGTAACAGAAATACATTATTGCATACTTTCATTTCTTGCTTTTAACACCATGTTGTTTTGCCATGTTAAAAATTATTTCTAAAAGGTATGATTTTTTATTACGCTTCATGATATGGTAAGTCATAATATCTCCAACTAGGGCATGATTTTTATACTCATGTCCATAAAGTTTTGAAATCTTCTCTGTATTAATCTCTTATATTTCTTTTGTTTATGTAATTCATGCATATTTAAATTACTTTTTAATACCAGAAAACTTTACTCTGACTACCATATGGAAAGCAGACTGCAAGGAGTCATGAGTGGAAGAAGACAGCAAGAAGAAAAAAAATGACACTGTCTTGGGCTAAGATGCTAATATTGTGAGAGTGTTACCAAGTGGCCTGACTGGGTGTACTGATAACTGTCAGGGTTTGCTGATAAAACTGGATATGAGAAGCGAAAGAGAGGACAGCTATTGCTTTCTTCCCTTTATCACTTCCAAAGCACCTTGACAGAGTTTTAATTACAACAGAAACTCAATGATACATACACACATAAATGAAAATTACTCCCAAGCATTTCAAAAGTCTTTGGTTTCAACATATTTTTTAATTCATAAAACTTGTGTAGAGAGATAACTGAGTTCTAATATTCATTAATCATCAATATACAAAATTCATTTTAACACAATTTGCTTTAGTTGTCAGCTACTTAATCTTAATTGGACCATTTCTACTGCATGTTTAAATGCTATGGATATTCAAAAACTTACAAGAACACTGCCTAACAAAATGTTTCCCTTTGCTGAAACAATTAAAAATACAAGATGGAAGTCTTATCTGAAGGAAAAGGAAACACAGTCATTTAATCTCCCAGGTTCTTGTGGTGGTAATTTACAGGCTGTTTATAAATAGAGTAGCCAGTTTCCCAAAAGCTGTCTCATCATGTGGCATCAATCGGACAGTTTTACTTTCTTCCATCATGTAATTTTCCTTTCCTGTGCTTATCACGATGGCCAGGAGAGCACTGTATACAAAAAAGCACTATATACAGAACACCTGTCAAGAAGGTAGGGAATCAAAGACTGTAGGCACAACCTGCCACTGAGCAGTATCTCCAACATAAGGCTGTTTTCTTAACATCTATCCTTGCTGCCATCATCAGCACTCTGAACTGTCTTACGGATGTTTAAGGAAACAAATTCCATAATGCCTATTGAGCTTCTTTAGCTAAAGGTGTCACTTAAATTCAGGTGTCTCTTAAATTATTCCTGCAAACGCTGAGTCTTTTAACTCTTGGTATCTGGCACAGTGCTTAATCCATAAAAGACACTTTGTAATTATGTTTCTAACAAGAAAGGAAGATACAAGAAGAGAGGGTGAGCCTACTATTTTAAAAAATCTATAAATACATTGAAATTTTTATTGCATACATTTAAACATTTTTTCATGTATGTGTTTATTTCTTTTGGGACTGGAGTTCATTATTAAGAGTATTCTTACAAGGTCCAAGGTAATATGAACCAGAACATTTGTAGATATATCTGTTTTTAGACATTCTATCAATAAGTCAACAAATCAGAACACTGTAAAATCTTTTGACTTGGCAATTTAAGAAGTATAAGATATCACCCCGTTCTAAAAGAACTGACAATATAATTGGTGAAATAAGCCGTAAATACAGGAAACATTAAATAACAATAAAAAAGATAAGTAACTGCTCTCTCCTGCACAAGAAATGTCACAAAGCAGTGTGAGATTGATTACGAATGAAGGCAGAGGCACTAAGTGCTATGGCCACTCAGTGGAAGAAAAGAGAACTAAGAGCAGTGAAAAACCAGGAAGTCTCAGAATTATCAGGGGTGGCAGAAGAGGCCCAGGTCCTGAGTTCTCGGGACTAAAAGGATCAGTGCTATTTGAATTAGTCAGAGAGGGCTAGCAGTTAGCGTTTGGAAAAAAATGAATAATCAGATAAAACTGAAACGGTGGCCCTCCTCAGACCCAGAAGTATCCAGATGCAGGATAAGAAGTTTGTACTTTATCTTTCAGCAATTTGGTGACTCACTGCATGTTCATTATTATACTAACAATCTTTTATTTTTTCTTATTCTTAATTAACTCAGTTTTTAATGCTTATTGGCCAAGAAAAAGATGGTTGTAAAGTGAGAAGATAAAGAAATAAATAAAGTACCACTATAAATCACTATTATTCTCAAAATAAGGAAGATTACTCTAAATATAACCAAATACAGAAGATATAAAACCAGTTCCTTTAGGCTGGGCACGGTGGCTCATGCCTGTAATCCCAGCACTCTGGGAGGCTGAGGCGGGCGGATCACGAGGTCAGGAGATCGAGACCATCTTGGCTAACACTAAAAATACGAAAAAATTTGCCAGGCATGGTGGCAGGTGCCTGTAGTCCCAGTTACTTGGGAGGCTGAGGCAGGAGAATGGCGTGAACCCAGGAGGCACAGCTTGCAGTGAGCCGAGATCGCACCACTGCACTCCAGCCTGGGCGACAGAGAGAGACTCCGTCTCAAAGAAAACAAAAACAAAAACAAAAACAAAACAGTTCATTTAAATCCATGGCTTTCCATGATCACTTTTTGATAATGGAATCCTTTAATCACCATAATATTGTAATGTTGATGGTAATATTTTAAAGGAAGATAGAAAACCACGTATCGTGCAAGGTTCTCTACACACATCACTACCACCACCCCTAAGAGATACGACTTATTATCCTCATTTTACTGGTTAAGAAATTAAAGCACAAGAGGTTTGGTTAAATGCTGAGACAACAGCAGTTACTAAGAGGTAAAGATGAGTTTCAAATTCAAGTTGATCTGGGCCTAAAGCCTCTACTTTTTCACTTACTCCACACTGATTTTGAATCATCTTAAGATTAGTATGTGACTCAGTGTTTTTGTGTTAATTGTACTTATTAGAATCTGTGTTGGAAATATAAAAGAATATAAGTGGTACAAAGAAGAACTATACAAAAGTGAATAGTTTTATTTCAACCCTTTATCCATCACATATTTACTGAGTGGCCAGACTGCTCTGGCTATACAAATTGTGGAGAGGTAATGACCATCAGTAAAGGCTTTCCTAAGGAGATGCACTCTAGGAAGCATCCTAAATAACATGCAGGAGCGAGCCTCCTGGAATAACAAGGAGGAGGTCAGGGCACTGGAATAGAGAGAGTGGCTAACATTAAGGGTGATGAAAGAAATGTCCGGCTTGGTTATTAAAAGTAAGAGGCTAAAGGTTTCTAGCTTACATAATCAGATAGTGATGGTGTAATACTCCTTAACACAAGAGGAAAAAAATCCTGGTTTGGAGGAGAAATAAAGAGACATGTTTTGCAAATACTGAATATAAGTAGAGTGCCCAGTAGGTAACTGAAGATTACAGATAATAGGGTAATGAGAGGAAATACACTGGAGAGTTGATTTAAATAAAGAACTTGCCTGATCACCAAATATGTTTGTTAAAAATGTGGGATCTAGTCTGTTATATAATTTTACATAACTATTCTATGTGGTTCTCCAATATTTAATATATTATCCCGTTTCTTCACACTGAAGTATATATTCCTTGATAAGATAAATTAGATCTGCTGTTCTTTTCTTTAGTATCCTAGAGTTTTCCTAACTTGGCAGCTATCACTCTGGATTTTAAAGTTCCATTAGGACAGGTCCTACATCTGTCTTATTCCCCATCCTAGCCACGTGCTTAACAAATATTTTCAAATAAGTGAATGAATAAATGGAGTGAATGGATCATTCATTCCCTCAACGACTGTGAGAAAATAAAACTGGTTAACTTTCCATTTATACAGAAGTGTTCAATACAATATTCACTCCTACCATTAAAACAAGCTGGGAAGCATCCATGCCCATGGGTGCTTACATTCCCCATGCCCCATGGATGTGAACACCCAACACGATTCTATGATGTGTTATTTGATGTCATTTTTTATTGAGCTCATTAGTTTTTCCTGGGGTCCCTAATAGTATTTCAGGCACTGTTCTCTGCTTCACCATCGTAAAGTATTCAAGACAGGATCCAAACAAAAGGAACTCAAGAGGAAAGGTAGATGTCAACCTGGTACAAAGATCAGCAATGTACAATATCTTGATAATAATTTTTGTCACCTTCAGGGATTCATGATCATTAGCCTTGAAGAAGTAAGTCAATTAACATGCAAAGAGCATCTAACTTGCTGAGTGTGCTGGGAACACTTCATATGGTGTTTTATCACCATAAACTAATATAATTAGTATGTGAAATATTTATAATTCATCTCATGATTAATCTATCGTACAAGACTATTCCTTAAAAGCAGCATATCATTTTACATTGGAATGTTCTTTGCCCTTTATTTCATGCCACTCATGAGTCTCTGGAGTTCCCTTCTAAATACTATAAAGTTTGAAGACTGGAGACCCAAGGTAATGGATGTAAGTTCTATCATCACTGCAATCCGACCCTATCAGTGTAGTCTAAAATTATACACATTTAAGGACCTACTGACCAGTCAAGCCAGAGCACTATCCACAAGTAAATTCAGAAAACTCTCTTGAGGCGCAAGCCTGAGAAACAAACCACAGGCAAGTACAGAGTGGCTTTTGGACAGTATCATGATTTAGGCTTGAATATTATGACACTATAATAATTAAAGTAATCATGACAATAACAATAATAATATCTGCTTCGTGACAACTAAGCTGTTCCTGACAACCATGAAAAAAAAAAAAGTATTTTGTGCCCAAATAACAAATAAGCTAACCAGGAAAAATATAGGGACTTGCTATTTCTACTGAGTCCTATCTACTGATAAAACTATCAAAATAAAATATATCCTAAATATTCAGTCTTTCAGTAATCAGTAATAACATCTAATTTTTTTGGTGCTTATGAGTATTTGCTTCAAGTTTGCTTCCCAGTTTGCTTTACTCTATTGAGTTACTCGTTTTATCATTTGATTTGTTATGCTTCTCATAGAAATTATGTCTGTGTTTTGATTATTCCTCCAATGTTTGTTTTGGCAAGTTCACGACAGTTCTTTGAAATCCTCCTTAAATTTGGTGCTTAATATACCATTTGGAGAAATACCTCCCCACAAATAACTTAGTATCCCCAATGTTTTGCTATTTAATTACAAGGGTACCACTGAATAATTAATTATAAACATCAAAACTAGCAAACTGTACTATGTACAGTAGGCATTCAAGAAATGTTTGAGAGAGAGTGAAATGTTTAATAATGTTGTACATCTGCAACAGAAAAAGAATCAAAGGTGAGTCTTAGGACTGAGTCCTGGTCCTTTATACACTTATTTTAAAGGTAAGACTTTTCACAAACACTGATTTGCTAAATCCTGTGTGTGAGAATTCTCATTTTAATATTAATTACCCCATATATCACAGAGGGGAAACATTTAAAAGCCACTTTTTTAAAGATCAAATGGAGTAAAACAAAAATTAAAAATTCTGTACACAGCTAAATTTAACAAACAAAAACATTGGTTTTCAAAAAACAAACAAAAAAAATGCTTCCGTTGATCACAACTGCCCTCTTTAAGTTATATATTAGATTATCTAAAATGAAGTACTGGAGTCATTCAACACAACCTACATCACATGCTAACTTTCTGAGACACACTTTTCTGGGTCTCACCTAGCATGAAACATGATATGTAGGACTCATCTAACACTACAGAAAGAAGGACCTTAAAATTTCCTAGGCCACACTTCTTTACCAGGTGACTGAAGAGCAGAAAATGAGGTCATCTGCCCCACGTTAGCCAGTAAGAGGCAAAAATAGAACCAGTGTGAAATCAGTAATAAAAAGAAAGTCACAGTTGCTGCTTGTGAGCCTGGACTCATGATTCCAATAGTAAAAGCAACTTTTTCAAGTTAGACGTTTCAATGAAAATGCTCTCTAGTTACATGGGGGAAAGTTTACTCACCAAGAAAAAAAGTTTGAAAAACTTTATTTACAGTGTTTGTTTATTTTCTGTTTCATCCCTTCTCTCCACACAACGTAGACAAAGTACTTGAACTTTTGGTATAAATATGCAGTAGAGACTAATACAGATATCCACCTGACTCTTAATGATATCCGAATTTTCTATTGCCTACATTTGAGGGTCACATGTCTGAGGGTCACATATCTGAAGATCACATGTCATAGATCACATAATGGCAGTCAAAAGCCTCTCTCAGCCATAAAAGACATTTACACATAGGCCATGGAATGGAGGCTTCCCTTCTGACTCAGAGCTGTCCCTTCTTCCTTTTTCTCTGCTTGTACATAACAATGGTCTAGAAATGCCAAGAAATACATAGAATGCCATAAGCGAAGTGAGAAGGGAACCTCAGATATGGCCCAGGAAAGCCAGAAAAAAGGCTTTAGAAAAGGAGAAAACACTTGCGATGGCTATTAAAAGATGAGCAGAATGTCCAATTATTTTTGTGTTGAAGGCAGGGATTGGAAAGGGAAGAGATTATGGAGTTTCTATTCATACTGAACAGGAAAGGTAAATACTTGAGACCACAAATATCCACATTCTATTCAATTAAGCAAATATTTAACATATAAACATATATGTATAACACATATATAACTATATATATGTATGGTGTATATATATGATATCTATATGGTATCTATATAGTACATGCAAGATTCTGTCTAGTTGATAAGGAGTAAAAAAATAAACTAGATGGCATCCTGCTCCTTTGCATTTTGGCAGTTGAAATATAAATGGCTGACGTTCTATGAGAGTCAAATATCTAATATTTCAAATGTTGAAATATCACCATGTTTGTTTAATCCCCATATTTACATATACTGCTATTATTATTCCTTTTTAAGATGATGCCAACTCATTGTAAATGAATTTCATGATAAATTCCTCCCTTACTAGGTTCCCAAAGTTAAAAACACTCAGATGGGACATTCTAGTAACTTTTTTATAACAACTCCTTGTCTTGAAAAACACTTTCAAAGAAATGTTAGTATTTTACCACTCCATAGGAATCAGTAACAAGGCGAGATTCTCCCAAGAATATTCCAACAGTCCTTGAAAAACTAAGACTGTCACAAAACCTGAGCATCTGGCAACTCTGCCACCATGAAGTATCCATATGGAAGAGACCAAAATGTGTCAAAGTACCCAAAATGATTTTGGATAGTGTAGAAGATAGAATAAATAATTCAGTATCGTCAACACTTTCAACAGCAGGTAGTGGATATGCTACCTGCTTCTATAATGTGCCAGAATGTAACATAAGTGTGTGAGGCTGTGTGTGGATGTGTGTGTGAGAAAGAAAGGCAGAGAGAATATCAGCATACATGAGGCTAAAAACTATTTTTATACAGAAATATTCCTAGGTAGTTCGCTGTAGGGACATCAGATCTTTACAAGCATAGGTTTATTGATATAAAGAAGGAAAAAAATTGAGCCAATGAAAACTTATTTTTAAGATAAACATTGCAACAGATACATTACTTCAGAGTCAATGAAAAAAGCCTGCATTAACAACATTATGTTTGAAATTGTATGTGCAAAAAAAGTCAGAAAATCCAAAATTATGGTTCCCTCAGCAACTATAACTGTGTCCTCATGCATATAGAGGTATTGTGCATTACTGTAATGATGATACATTTCAGCCTTAATATCAGTTTATGCAATGTGACTGAATTAGGATTCTTCTGGGAACTATAACTTTGAATTTCTGGACTTTTTTGAATGTAAAATCTTAACCATAAAATTACATTAATATAGGGTGGGGTTTTTGCATTTTACTTTCTGGCATTTAAAATAACAATAAAGAGTGAATGGCTGACAACATTAAAGTAGCAAAAGATTGGTTGATTTGCAATAATACAAAAAGGATTTGATACAGAGCTTAATGCCTTAAAATAGGGATGCACAAACTGCAGATCATAAAAAATAATCCCTTTGAAGATTAATCAAGACAAGAACAGGTGAGACATCTTTCTAGGAGTAAGTAAATTTACTTGTTCTATAAAATTTTAGTTTCTGATTGGAAGATACTTTCATTTAACTATATTTTAACATGGATATAAATAAAAATGCCTGAAATAATTCTTTCAACACATATTCCTGCATGTTATCAAGAAAAAAAATAGTGTTAAAACGGTCCCCCATATTTTCAATAGTGTAAAGCTGGTTGGGAGCCACTTTTCCTTCTTGTACTTGCAACATGGTAGGACATAAACTGTAAGATGAAACTGCATTACCGTCACCAACCACTTTCTCATCATGGGGCCGAGGCTGATTCAAATATGGTTCACAAATGGAAAGAAACAGATACACAGTGATCAAGTTCAACTAAAGAAATAGTTAAGTGTATTTTATGCCGTTACTTAGGTATTATACAAGCATGGAATAGCTGAGATGAAGTAAAGAACAGTGAGATAGTGAGTTCAGAAGAGAAGAGCCATAATCACATGTGTTTGAGGAATATTACAAATACTTTCATGGAGGTGGCATTTTCAATAGGCCAGACTGGATCTGTAGTTTTTCAACAAAGAGAAGACATTCCAGACAGAGAGCTTACAGAAATAAAAGTGGTCAATACTCAATTTGAAAACAAAAAGGTTGGCTGAAGGGGTTGGCTCATGAAAAAGTTGTAATAAGAAAAGCTGCAAATGCAGATTAAGTATATATTGTAGAGGACCTTGAATGCAAGGCTTACAAGTGAGCCAATGTGTACACAGTGCGGGGATGCTGAAGTTTCAGGCTATATTTTTTTAGGAGTAGAGAAACAAAAGGCAAAAATAACAAAACAAAAACAAAAAAATAAAAATTCCATAACAGTACACGTAAAGACTAAAGAAAAAGGGACCAGTTATGAGATGATTAGAGCAATACAGACAAGTTGCAAAGAAAGTCTGAAGAAATGTAGTAACATTTCTCCTCTAAAGGAGGAGAAGGCACTAAAAATGTACCTTCAAGATTTTGAAATGTAATGACTATCGGAAAGATCATGCCATCATAAAAATATAAAATCAAGGACAGTGTCTCATGCAAGAAAAAAGAGTGACTGAACACTATTTAGTAAATCTTAAGTTTAAGGTGTCAGGGTCTGTACAAACAAGCATTTCCTACAAAAATGTTGAGATATGGTCCTAAAGTTACTGATTACAGCAATAAAAATAATATTATCCTTTATACTTATATAAGCTTGTACCTTTCACTGTCTTTTTATCCTTCTAGTGTTGGTAATTACATCAGTTGTACAAATAAGAAAACTGAGGCTCAGAAAGGATGACTTATCAAATCTCACATGAGTATTACATGGCAAAGTGAGACTGGAGACAGATTTTGGAACTTTTGGTATAGAAGTCACTTTGAAGTTGTAAGATTATCAAGAAAATGTGGAAAGAAAACATGGTAACTTATGCGCAGAACCAGAGGGAAAACTTAAGACTGTAACGCAGTGATCATTCAATACCTCAGTAGATGATCAAGATGCCTAACAAAGCATTACAGGGCCTGGCAGTCAACAGGTATTCAATGAATAGCTGTCACATCAACGGTTAGAGGGGAGACAGCACCAAATCGTGTCTTTCTATCTGTGATGGACAGAGGAAATAGCTCTCAGACTAATTTAAGGCAGCCACTTTCTCAAATGAATTCTTACACACAACTGGTACGTAAAATACACAAAAACACCTTTGAGTAAAGCAGGAATAGATGGTCTGGAAATTCACCTAACTCAACCTTTTTTCACTTCCTTTGACAACATGTCCTTTGTATATATTAATATATAGAAATCTCTGAGACAACTCCACGCAACCCAAGAAAATGCTGGAAATCCTCTATGTTAGTCAGTCATAAGAGTGATAATAATTTGGGACATCTGAGTATGGCACGAAAGAAAAGGTAACATGTGGTCTGAAGAGATCATACTGAAATCGAGTACCAGCCTGTCTACACTTGATGGTTAAACAGACACTCCATTGTCATGTTCTACTAGCTGGGATCCTTCATTACTTCTTTCTTGTATTTATTTATGACCAAAAGCTTCCTATGATTATGACTCATATCATCAGATCACTTGGACATCACAACTGTATACAATGGAAATGATATATTTAATCGAGTCAATTCCCTGTGGCTGTCTTGTTCCAGTACCCTGTTGCAGAACCTCCCCACCCACTTACATCTTGTAAGAAACTGGCCATGCCACATTATTCCACATAGAAGCCAGAGAGGAAAAGAACAGCATAATGTCAGAAGGTTAAAATTAAATGTGAATGCCCAAATTTCATATCTTACCAGAAAGAAGTTTTGTGATCTAATCATGTTACTGATAGGACCAGTTACATGTATGACTAGGGAGGAAAGGATATGAATGTCCCTACAGTTGAAAAAAACGAAAGAATGATTGAGTCCTTTCTAACAGTAGACTTGACAATGTTGTTCCATTTTAATATAAATTGTAAATGAAAAATCCAGTCCAAATGGAGAGTAAAAACAGTAATCATTATTTTAAAATCCAGCCCAAGTAAGTAGTAAAAAACAGTAATCACTATAAGATTTTATTATGGCAATACCTGTGTACAAATATGAAGAAATATGTAAAGAAAATCACAGGCTAATTCTTGGATAATTTATTCAAGGAGTAAGTTATGAAAATTCATCAATAAGTAGAATAAATGGGGTAAGGCAAAGAGAGCTTACCATAGATTCTATTTATGCAACTACAGTTTTAATTTAGTTTGCATTGATGGACTCTTATTTCATGTGTTACAGTGATGTTAAACCTAGACACAACATGCCTTGCATCTCAAGTTTTCATAGTACAAAGACATTTGGACGTGGCATAGACAGTTGCTCCTTTTGCTTCAAGTGATAAATGGTTCAGCTGTAAAAAGGATCTGAATAGACCTAACAAAAATCAGTGAGTGAATTTAGAAGAGTAACTACATGCATTAAAATTTTTATTTTGCTCTCCTGATTTTTACACGGTAATTTGCCTTCAGGAGAAACCATGCTGACACTGTCCTGGGTGTTTTCAGGCCTTTGCAAATGAGGCTGAGACCTGGTTCCAGGAACGAATATACTTCAAAGGAAACAGTACCACCTACAACACCTGTCATCAAAAAAGACAGTGGGCCAATCAAAAAACCTAGGTCAAAAGAGCATAACTTGGGCAAGATGCTGGTTAAATTCAATGAATAAAGCAGAAGAGTAAAGATTTCAAGGAGAAGTCTTGCTCAGAATTTAGGAAGTGACTCTGGAAAATCTTGTACAGATGTCAAGCTTGACTGGGATTATGCAGCGGACAGAACTGGCAGGAACTAAGGAAGAAGTATCAAAGCCCCAGAAGGTGCCTATAGAATAAAGCAGAATATATCAGGGGAAAAAAACAAAGAGAGAAAAATCTGGCCAAGTTAGCTAAAGGTGGCAGTTGAAAGGTGAGGAGAGATAAGGGAAAGAGCAGCAAAGTAAAGGCCTAGGGCTGATCTCATGGCAACTGGCAACAAGAGAGACCTAGGGGTGAATGTCAGCTGGAAGAACGTAGGAGCCCAAACAGCTGTGCGGACGAATTCCAGGTCTTGGATGGATAAAACTATAAGTCACATCAACGAGCAGGTGTGCATCTGAAGCTAAGGATGTGTCTATCAGCTGACTCAGGTAAGAATGGCTCAGGTACTGTGCAAGACTGAGTTTGCAGATAGGGGGCATCAGTGGACCTGACTGTGCCCAGCTAGGGAAAGCCAAAGGCACAGAAACAAAAAGAGGGTGAAGAGACAGCAGTAAATAGAATAACACAAAACTGTTTCTGAATTATAATATGTGTACTTGGTAGAGACTACAAAACAAACCCGGAATATGAAAATGTGGATTTATCCAAAAGACAAAATTTTATTGTATTTTTACCCAAAAAAGATCCCTAATAATATTAACAATAAATTTAAAACTTCCTAAAGTACAAAATTATAAATATACTATTATTAAAGCAATGTAAGACTAGATACATAGGAAAAGACCATAAGGAAGTAAAACAGGTTATTACAGATTCTGGGTTTATGAATTTTCATATTTTATCTCCAAAGTTCTATTATACAATTATATATTACTTTTAAAATTTAAAAAATAAAAAATATTAACAATAAAACTTGTAATAGTAAGCATGCCTATTACCTTTTGAATTATTTGATTTAAAGTAATTTCTACTTATAAAATATTCTTAGGTAAAGAGCAAGGTATGTACATAGGCTTTTACCTATTGAAGTCCTTATAAAATCTCCTAAAGTTAGTAATCCCTACATCTAATTTATCCATAACTATAAGGTACAGTTTAAACTAAGGAGATCATCTCAAGTTTTCTTTTTATAAAAATCCCTTTATTTGTAAATACATAAGGAATATATGCTAACATTGCCTTTTCACAGTAGTAGGAAAAGGTTAAATCAAAGGAATCATTGTGGTGTGCGTGCAATGCAAATTATATGGCAAACAGTGCCAGAGACTGGTTTTAAAGGGCAAAAAATCATGTCATCTCCATATTTGTTTAAAACCCCACAATGCATAGATACACTATTTAACAACTGCATTCATTAATGTTTAAACTAGAACTGTGGTTAAGGTCATGTACTCCAAAGGTGGGCCACCTGGGTGTACCATGGACTATGAAGGCAGACTACCCAGGTCTACCATGGATTCTAAGGGAAGACTGCCTGCTTTGCTAACTACTAGCTATGCGATTTAGGGAAAGTTTGTTTGTTTGTTTGTTTGTTTGAGACAGAGTATTGCTCTGTCACCAGGCTGGAGTGCAGTGACACAATCTGGGCTCACTGCACCTCCGCCTCCTGAGTTCAAGCGATTCTCCTGCCTCAGCCACCCAAGTAGCTGGGACCACAGGTGTGCGCCACTATGCCTGGCTAATTTTTGTATTTTTATTAGAGATGGGGGTTTCACCATATTGGCCAGGCTGGTCTCGAACTCATGACCTCAGGTGATCCAACCACCTCTGCCTCCCAAAGTGCTGGGATTACAGCTGTGAGCCACTGCACCTGGCCAAGTTTTGTTTTTTGCATTTTTTGTTTTTGGTCTTCTGTTTGTTTCTATTTCCTCATGTGATAAATGGGCCTATGAGAGTACTCCTCTTATAGGGTGGTGTGAGATGTGTAAGGTGCTTAGACCACTGCTTGGTACATTGTAGGCATGATGTAAGCATTTTGAGACTGTTTACCATTATTATTATTAAATTGTTTTGGCAATGAAATCCAAATTAAATGATGAATCAAATTTCAAAATGTTGCAATATCTGAGAATTGTTTTATTTGCCATTCTATAGTTTCTACTCTTACTATTCTTGTTTTCATCATACAAAATGTTACTTATCAAAATTATTAGAAAATTCTTCTACACATGAACAGTATGTGACTTAATTACTCCAGATCTTTACGCAATAACCATTTTCCAGAGCCACTGCACTTAAGTAATTCCTATACCTTAGAATCTACTGAAAGAACATTCTGTCAGTCTTTTTTCCAAACACAGTGCAGTGTGCAATGATCCAATTTGGTTAAATTTTGGGTTGTTGGCAATTGTAAGCTCATTTGGAAGTAATTTTTCTCCCTAGATCACTTGTGCTTGAGCTGAGAGAAGAAAAAATGAAATTATTATTATTGCCAAAATTATACAGACTGCCTTTGAAGTCCTGAACTGACTACAGTGTCCTGTATACACTAGTCACCCAATTCTAAGAATCCAAATAGATGATCTATCAATTCAGTGCAAATGATATTTTGATATGCTGCTTTGGTGCTACAATTAAATTTTTTGGAAAAACACATGATGTTTTAAAAAGACTTTGGTTGGGTTCATAGCTCACTTTGTTAAAGAAGGTTCCTGTTCAAAATTAAGCAAGTTAGGGAAGGCTGGCCAGGTGCGGTGGCTCACGACTGTAATCCCAGCACTTTGGTAGGCCGAGGCGGGTGGATCACGAGGTCAGGAGATTGAGACCATACTGGCCAACATGATGAAACACTATCTCTACTAAAAATACAAACATTAGCCAGGCATGGTAGCATATGCCTGTAGTCCCAGCTACTCAGGAGGCTGAGGCTGGAGAATCGCTTGAACCCAGGAGGCAGAGGTTGCACTGAACCAAGATCGCGCCACTGCACTCTCGCTCCGGGTGACAGAGTGAGACTCCGTCTCAAAAAAATAAATAAATAAATATAAATAAATAAATAAATAAATAGGCAAGGCTAAGCAGAGTTCATTTCAAATTTTGGTTCTTGGGTCAAGTTTTCTCAGTACATACTTGGCATATTCACTACCATTATGAACATAATTCTGACACTAAAGAGATGCTCACTCTTAGGCTTTCAGTATTATTTACATGCTCATGGCTCCTGTATCTGGATTTCAAACCTAGACTTCTCACCCAACCTTCAGACATTCCCTGTTGGAAACCTTCACTTGGATAGCCTACTGGCAGCTTAAATACAAAAGGCCTAAAACAGAATTCTTCATCTAATTCAATAAATATGCTCTTATGCTGAATTTATTGTTGTAGCTGCAGGCACAACCACTTACCAAACCAGAAACCTGAGAGTCATCTCCTTTGACTCACTCTCCCTGAATTTCCATTAAGAACCTATTAATGAATCCTGTGCACTTTACTTCCTAAATATTTCTCAAATATGTCCCTTCAACGTCATCCTTATTCATAAACTTTTACATAGTGAAGGCTGGACTGCTGCAAAAAACACCTAACTAATCTTATTTCAAAGTCTACCTTCCCAACAAGTTTATCCCACATCTAGCTACAGAATCATGCATCTAGAATGCAGATCTGGCCAGGTCACTCTCCTGCATAAAACCAAGTCCCTTAAGTATGTGAAATGTCAACCTGTGCTGGTCTCCACCCAGCTCTACAAGCTCATCTCCTGCCTCATCTATTTCACAATTGGAGCTTCAAGTATAATGAAATGACTATGACTATGATTCCAATATGGTATACACACCAGGTTGCCTTTTATCTCCATGCTACTGCTATCTAATTTGCATTGTATGCCACTATTCCATGCTCCCTTCCCTCAAATCAACCCAACCACAAACTTGTCTGCATCATTTAAGAATCGGTTGTCATTACCCCTGCAAGAAGGCTTTCCAGGTCCCTCCACTAACATCCAAGTTGGATTACATATTCTCTTGGGTGTCCCCATATCTTTGTACTTACCCTACTAGTATACATAAACACTTATTGTCCATTTTCAATTAATCGACAAAGGTATTGAAGGTAGAGCATTATCTTACTCACTCATCTTTGTAACCCCAATACCTGGCTCTTAACAATTAATATGTTGAGCAAATGAATGCATATACACACACATACACATATATATATGCAATCTTTGGCAACTTAACTTTGGTCACATTGTCATTTATCAAATCCCAAAATAAAAATGAATATAAATTCATACCAGTAAAATATACCCCACATTATTGTGATAGTATTTGCTTGACAGAATAGAAAACCTAAGAATTTTCCATTATTTCCTGTTCTATTTATTCATGTTAAAGTCAAACTGTTGATTTTGTCTTCTATTTCAATAATGACTCTAACATTCTTCAGACTCCACAAATGAGTTCCTAGTTCCCACATATCTGAACCAAATCCCCTGTTATTCTCTTCACTCTATAACCTATGCTTCAGCCACACCAGACTCTCACCAATGCCCCAAGCACATGTGACTGTGCCTCTTCCTCTGCATGAAATACCACTCCATCCTATTCTCTGGGGAAACTCATAGTACCAAAAAACTTCAGGCCTCCTGCCCTGGGTACCATGAGTCATTTTTTCAAGTTTCTACTTTCATGAATCTTTGTACATTATCTCTGCTTAGCATTCCCTTTGTGTTAAAGTAGGTCTCCCATTCAATTCAGTATGCTCTCATTCCCTTTTCCATGCAAAATGCCTGTGACATAGATGTTTGATAAGTATTAATTTAATGTATTATAGATTGATGCTTTTATATTCCTGTTCCCATCCAACTATCAGAAGGGTTTGTCTTTAGCCACACACTCTTCTCCTTAAACAAATATTCCTTATGAAAACTCAATCATCCTCACAGCTTCATGAAAAATCTTCAAATGTAGATCTCCAGCTTCTATGCATCACCCGAATACTAGTCCTCTATTTCCAGTGGCCAACCAGAAGTAACTACTTGGATGCCATGCTATTACTTTTAACCCAGTACACTAATTGATACGGTTTGGCTCCCTGTCCCCACCCAAATCTCACCTTGAATTGTAATCTTCATAATCCCCACATGTCAAGGGTGGGACCAGGTGGAGGTAATTGAATCACGGGGATGGTTTCCCCCATGCTGTTCTCGTGATAATGAGTGAGTCCAAGGAGATCTGATGGTTTTATGAGTATCTGGCCATTTCCTCTGCTTGCACTTACTCCTTCCTGCCGCCCTGTGAAGAAGGTGACTGTTTCTCCTTTGCCTTCTGCCATAATTGTAAGTTTCCTGAGGTCTCCCTAGCAATGTGGAACTGTGAGTCAATTATACTGCTTTCCCTTCTAAATTACCCAGCCTTCGGTATTTCTTCATAGCAGTGTGAGAACAGACTAATACACTAATATTGGACAAATTCATTTTCTTCCCTTTTCAACTTCACCCTCTGCCATATGTTAGAGATAAGTCATGCAAATTTTTACTATAGCAAAAATGCTAAAGTTTGTCTTTTCTCTTACCCTCCAACCCTGGATTTTTATCAGCTCGGGCCACAAAGATTGAGTATCTTCTTAAAAAACTTTCCTGTCTTCAACTCCTTTCTAACATATTGCCTTCATGATAATTTTACCAAAACTGCTATGATTAATGCCAAATCCTTACGGAAACTAACTGGCTCTAAACAAAATGACAATGGAGACTAATGTAGGTTAATCAAAAGCAAAACAATGGGTAATTCTAATCCTCCATATCTTCCAAATTACGGCCTGTTTAATGGGTAGAACTCTGGGTTTCTTAGACTTCAGTCTACTTATTTCATCATCTAAACTGATGGAGTTACTTTACGAGAAATGTCTTGGCCCTGCCAGCAGATCCTTCTGCAGCTCAAGGATATAAGCCAGACTCTTTACTTTTATAAAACAACACCATCTTTGGCAACTAGAGAATTGGGAGCTATAGCATATGGATCTCCTTTCAGTCAACACAGAATACTGATACTTCAGATATGTGTTAATGACCTGAAGATTATTTTCTCTAATATGTACTAAAATATTTATAGATGAAATGATAGAAGATTTGCTTCAAAATAATCCGGTAGAGGGGGGTTAAAATGGGACGAGGATACAGAAGAAATAAGATTGGTCATAGGTTGATAATTACTGAAGATAAATAATCAGTACATAGAGACTACGATACTTGTATATGTTTGAAATTTTTACAATAAAAATTTAAATAAATTTGAAATCAAGTACTGTAAAAGGTTATTAGTATTTACCATGAATAATGGACCCTTGGCTGATTATTTTCTTTTTTCTCTATACATCCTTTTTAGTTGTCTAAAATGAGCAAGAATTACTTTAAGAAAGTTATAAAATGTTAAATTATTTTTAAAAACTATCCCATCTGTACATCTTAGGCTTCTTGTTAACTCACATGTGAAAGGAATATCTTAGTTATTCATCCCTTAGAATCACTGAAACTTCATCATTAAGTAAAAAAACCATTAAGCTATGTATCTAACATTATTTTATTATCGTTCTCCGTAGAATTATTTTTATTAAAAAAATAGGCTAGTCTCACTTTTTACTGAGGGATGATCCATGAGCCAACATAATGTAAACCTTATTTTTTTAAAGAAATGCTATAAAAAATATCCATTAGGTTCAATGTCCCTTATAATAAAGATATACCTAGCAGTTTCCTCTTAGAACTTTAGTTTTCAATGTAAGCTACACATTATAATCACCTGAGAGATTTAGAAAATCCTAATGCCTAAGGCACACCCAAGACCATTTAATGGTCCAAGCATCAGTAGTTCTTAAAGCTCCCAAGAGATATCTATGTGCAGCCATGGTTGAGAGGCATAGTCTTAGAACTATATAAATCAGAGACAATTTGTTTATTTTCTACTATGGAAATTTTCAAGTATATACAAAAACTGACAGCATAATATACACAACTTCAACATCTATCAATAGTTTTGCCAAAGTTGGTTCACCTGTCTCTCCCACTTAATTAAAAAATATTTTTTTGCTGTAATATTTTAAAGCAAATTCCAGATATCAGATCATTTCATCTTTCAGTACTTCAGTATCTAAATATTACCTCTTATGGATCATGGATTTAATTCTTTTTTATTAGACAATGAGAGGCTTTGCTTAGCTTTTTTATTGTTATTCAAATGGATTTTCCTTACATTAGAATTTCTAAAATATCTGTGTTCTTATACTTCTGTTATAACTTGGATTTCTTATTTTTGTTTTTGCTTCAATGGTCTTCAGTTATATTGTGTATGTACATTTTAATAAAAAATAGATCTTTGATTGCATGGGTTTTAAATGTATCCTTATATTACTGTCCTCTCAAGATTATATACAATATCTACTCTGCCCATTACACTATATCAAATCCCTCAGCTTGACTTCATTAATAATGTGTACTTTTCCTTCTTATAAAAGTAATGTATTTTCATTATAGGATAATTTGGAAATACAGAAATAGAAAAGAAAAAATCACTTATAATTCTACAAATGATATGCAACAATTTGTTCATTTTGAATATCTTACCCCAGTTTTTTTCCTATACATGCAAACATATTTTATACAACTGAGATTGTACTATATACATTATTTTCATAATATAATTTTGATTTAACACTTTTGTAAGTAAATTTCCAAGTCTTTAAATTTTTACAAACATAATATTTAAGGTCTGCAGAATTAATATTTCACTATATGAATATACTATCATTTACAAAACTAGTCCCTTATTATTGGCCAGTGGTGTTACTTTCCAATTACCATATATAATGCTTTATTAATAATTCTAAACATTCCTTTGTCAATAACTGTGAAGAGTCTGAGATTCTGCCCTACTTACAAGCAAGTTAGCCTGCCACAGTGTCCTGGATGCTGGCAGCAGACATAACATTTCAAGGTCAAAGACAAAGCACTTATTACTCAGAACACAGTAAGCAGCATGAGCATCATTTTCATGCTAGTTCCCCTTGGTCTCCAAGGCCCACAGAGGTGATGTGGAGTGGCCCAGATGGATGATGCAAAGGGAGTGGGTTTGCATCATAGCTGAGGAACCCTGCGCTCTAAGAAACTCAGATCTTTTATAGTAGCTGCAAGCAAACTTGCCAAACCTTTACTCCAAAGGGAGATATTATCTGTAGTATACTGGATAGCAAATAAATGGGCTATCTGACAGGAAGGGAGATACTATCTCTATATTCCAATGTTGTGTGTTACCCAAACCTCCTTGAGCAAGTAGTCCAGAACAAAAAGGTGTTTGATGCCTCTCTGCTTGCGAGACATACAGATTCAAGAGACCTATGGATAACTATCTCCCTACATTCTTTAGGACAAATACATACAGTGTGATTACTGAGATTCTTGATACAATATAGTACCAAATTACGTCCTAGAAAGACTGAACTACTTGATATTCACATTGATAACATATGAATGCTTCTGCCTCCCTTTCAAAAGTTTCCATGACTTCAACTTTCCTTAACTTCATCTGTCCTACTGTCCTCCCAAAATATAGCACAGTAACTAGAGGAAGAAAACACAGTGACAGAGACTGAGGCTGAAAGGGCTGAATTAAATAGCAGTACCACTGTTCACTAGCTGTGAGACCTGGAGGCAGTCACTCAACAAATTTTCATCCCAGTTTCTTCATCTTGAAAGTGAAGATAATCACCTTATTAATTAATATAATAATGAAATGTGCTGATATATGAAGAGAGCTTAAAACCATGTCTGGCAAATAGTAAATGCTATGTAACTATATGCTATTATTATCACGTCTGGCTGCTCCTCTATGTCCAACCCAATCCTACCCATACTTCAAAGCTATGTCAGATACCACAGCTTCAATGAAGACAGACTTCTCCTGCTCCGAAATCCCAATTGTACTCTGGACCTTTTACCTTTTCATTATATACTGTGTAAAGAGGTCTGAAATGACCATATGTCTTTTGTTTCTAATGCTTCACAACTTTCACCTCCGTGACAGTATTAAAAGGCTTTCTAGCATCTACAAAAATTTTTTAACTTCCTTGATCCTACTGGTGTCAAAATAATGCTGCCCAAATTCAAATTACTGTAAATGAAAATCTTTATATTTTAATTATGTGAAAAACTGAAGTGATTTTTTAAGAAGTAAATCAATAATTTTCTGTGGGTTGATAAGAGTCAATGAAACAGTACTGGACATTTCAATATTTGGAGGAAATATTTTTTAACAAACTGTAAATTATAAATTATACACCAAAAGAGTAGAAACCACAGACTCTCAAACCCCTAGAGCAATAACGGAATTCACCATGATAAAGGTAGCACCAAACTGATCCAGGACTAAAATAAATAAAATAGAAGCCCAAATAATTTATGGAACGAAGCCATTAGACTAGAATAATAACCAGGTTACAAATAGAGAAAACTTGGAATTTCCTAAAATACACACATGTACTTCAAAAAAATATCTTCACTGTAGTGGGCATTTTGAAAATCAGAAGTATAGTTATTTTTGACACAAAATGAAAATTATGCTGTAATTCTAAAAAATACGCTTCACATTTTATGTGTTCTCAGAGTTTTCAAAGTATTTTCATGACATAATATGAAATTAAATATTATAAAAATCTTATGACATAAAAAGTATAGATATTTTTTGTTCCACTTACAGATAAGGAAATTGGAGTTGAGATCCGCCATAGCAAAATAAAAATATTTTTGTTGCTAAAACATAGCAGTATTTAGATTTTTTAAAAGCATGCTAAATATTATTTTAAATAATTTAAATTGCTTAAATTGAATTTAAATAATTTGTTTCAATTATTAAGATTTAAACGACTTAAATATTTTAACATACTACTCTCAATTAAATATCAAACCTCAAATAACTATCTGGATAAAAGATTTCTTAAGGGCCAGGCACGGAAGTTCACACCCATAATCTCAACACTTTGGGAGGCTGAGATGGGCAGATCACTTGAGCCCAGGAGTTTGAGACCAGCCTGGCCAACATGGCAAAACCCTGTATCTACTAAAAATACAAAAAAAATTAGCAGGGCATAGTGGCACACACCTATTATCCCAGCTACTCAGATGGCTGAGGCAAGAGAATTGCTTTAACCTGGGAGCCGTAAGTTGCAGTGAGGCAAGATTGTGCCACTACACTCCAGCCTGGGTGACAGAACAAGACTCTGTCAAAAAAAAAAAAAAAAAAAAAAAGACTTCTTAAGAAGCTTAACTTAGGAAGCTCACTGCCCTTTTAGAAAGTTATTTTATAAAGAAAAACACAGTAGATAAAATTATTCAAAAATACTAAGATAAATATTTTCACTTGATTCTAATTGCCACCACCTACTAGTAGAGATGCCTCACCTAAGATTATGCCTTACCTAAGATATATGCCTCACCTAAGATTATGACCAAGGAAGAATCACAGAATTAATGAAGGTAGTGGCGTTGCGGGGTGGGGGGTAACCTAATGCTCCAAATGAAGCCAAATGAAGCTTCTTGCTTCTTTTCAACTCTATCTTCTTGTGTTTTTTTTCTTCTTTCAGTCAAAAGCCCCATTTTACTTTTGTTTTTGAGTAATATTTTTGCTAGACACAGAATTCTAGGTGGATAGCTTTTTTCTTTCAGCGTTTTGAAGGTGTTGCTTCACTACCCCTTAAAATGTTTCCTAAGAGAAATCTGTTGCTGTGCTTAACTCTGTTCTTCTGGTGAATGTTTTCTTCTTATTTTAAAAAATCCAGCTGTTTTTAAGATACTCTCCTCATCTCTGGTGTAAAAAAGAAACCCTAAGGTAGCCCCATGCTTCCATCTCCTTGTATTCATGCCCTGTGTAATCCCTCCCTTTGAGTGTGGACAAGAATAGGTCCTTGCTTCTAAACTGTAGAATACAGAAAAGGTGACAAAATGTATGTGATTACATTACATAAGATTATATCACCTTGCCAAGCAAGGAGATTCTCTCCCTTTGCTGGCTTTGAGGATGTAGGCAGACATATTGGAAAGGTTCACGTGGCAAGAAATGAGGGTGGCCTCTGGGCAACAACAAGTCAGAAACTAAAGCCTTTAGTCCAACAGCCCATAAAGAACAACATGCTACTAACAACCGTGTGAGCTTGACAGCAAATTCCTCCCCAACTGACCCTCAGTTAAGACCACAGCCCTGACATAATCATGATGTTTCTCCAGTAGGCTGGTGGGAACAGGTACTATTTCTGGCCTTTTGTGAGCAATGGGCATGATTTCCTTTGTTACAATTTGGATATGGTTTATTTGACTCCACTAAGTCTCACATTGATATCTGATCCCCAATGTTGGATGGGGGTTCTCGTGAGAGGTGTTTGGATTGTGTGGCAAATCCTTCATGAATGGCACCAAGCTACTCGCATGGGAGTGAAGGAGTTTTCACTCTTAGTTCTCACAAGAACTGGCTGTTGAAAGAGCCTGTCACCTTCCTCCCCTCCTTCTCTTGCTCTTCTCTCAACATGTGATCTCCATAGTCCAGCTCACTTCACTTTTCACCATGAGTGGAAGGAACCCAAGTCCCTCACCAGAAGCAGATGTTGGGGGAATACTTCTTATACTGCCTTCAGAACCATGACCCAAATAAAACCCTTTTATACAGAAATTACCCAGCCTCAGGTATACCTTAATAGCAACACTAACAAAGATACCTTCAAACCTTCTTAGATGGTTCTTTCTCCAGCATGTGTTAATCTGAATAATCAGGTGAAACCCTCTACAGACATCCAGAATTCTCTCTTGGAGCAGCTTTCTTCATTCCAGTATTCTGTCCTTTATGTACCCAGATGCTTACCTCCATCTCCGCAAATCAAGAGGTCTGCCAGACCACTCTGGATTCCTCCTCCTTGCACCAAGATCTAGAAACTATTTCAAGGATTTAAGCTGGGGATGTCATAGCCTCCCCCCTCATTTGGTTCCCTTCTGTCAGGAATCGATGTCCCTCATTGCTAAATGTCCAGTGTCTCGAAAATCATATTTTCATAGATTTTGTCCATTTTTTTTGTCTGTTTCAGATGAAAATGTAAATTCAGTTCCTGTTACTTCATATTGGTTGGAACCAGAAGGCTTCCAACAAATGCATTTAACCACTGATATGCTTTGGCTGTGTCCCTACCCAAATTTCATCTTCAATTGTAGCTCCTATAATCCCCACGTGTTGTGGGAGGGACCCAGTGGGAGGTAACCAAATCACTGGGGCAGGATTTTCCCATGCTATTCTCATGACAGTGAATAAGTCTCATGAGATCTGATGGTCTTATAAAGGGCAGTTCCCTAACACACACTCTCTTGCCTGGTGCCATGTAAGGCGTGTCTTTACTCCTCTTCCTTCACCTTCCGTCATGATTATGTGGCCTCCCCAGCCATGTGGAACTGTGAGTCCATTAAACCTCTTTTTCTTTATAAATTACCCAGTCTCAGGTATTTCTTCATAGGAGTATGAAAATGGACTAATACAACCACAGCAGTAAAACCAAAAACAGTGAGGGAATCAGGATAATAAAAGACAACATAAAAGGTATTTGCTGTGACCATGTAGATATAATCCAACTGGGTAGGGGACCAGGAAGTAAAATAAATTTTGGAGACAGAGTAGACTTACCTATGGCATTAACCATATAATATAGGTGGGAGTCTTTGGATACAATTTAAAACTGAACAAATCAAGGAAGAGAAGTATACTCATATTTAAAGAGAATACAGGTAAGAAAAAAATATATGAAAGATAATGTTGATTAAAATAAGATGGCAGCAAAGGAACAAAGAACAAGAAAGTGAGAACACATTAATCTTACCACTCTGTTCATTAGATAGAACTAATAGATACTACCTCAAGCAATAGAGAACCTAGGTTGTAACTATAGAAGTAATCAATAGGGGGAAAAAGTAAACCTTCCTAACATCAAAAGAACTATACTTAGACACACAAAAGTCTGCCAAAAAAAATTTTTTTACATGCCTATCTCAGAGGAAGTAGAGAATCTAAAACAGTAGAGTTCCATAACAGATACAGAGAATGCTTCTGCCCACAAAGGGAACTACCATCACCACCACTATCCCTACCCTCCAAATAAGGCACTAAATTCACATGGCATCACAAAGGAATTCTACCAAATGTTTAAAGGGCAGATAAGTCTCCTTCCTTCCTTCCTTTCTATATAAAGATATATATAGAGAGATATTTATCTGTATCTATTTATCTATATATATATATTTACAGAGAGAGAGAGAGAGAGAGACTTGCTCTGTCATCCATGCTGGAGTGCAGTGGCAGTGATCTCGGCTCACTGCAACCTCCACCTCCTGGGTTCAAGCAATTCTCCTGCCTCAGCCTCCCAAGTAGCTGGGATCACAGAGGCCCACCACCATGTTCGGCTAGTTTTTGCATTTTTAGCAGAAACGTGGTTTCACCAGGTTGGCCAGGCTGGTCTTGGAACTCCTGACCTCAAGTGATCCACCTGCCTCAGCTCTGAAAGTGCTGAGATTACAGGTGTGAGCCACCATGCTCGGCCTAGATAAGTACATTTCTACTTAAACTGGTATAGTGAAATATGGGGTGATGAGAACTTCAATATTATTTTATTGTTATAAAGTAAGTATAACAAGACCAATACACAACAAGATAATCTCACTTATAATTAGATGCCAAAATCTTAAATAAATATTATCAAACAGAATCTAGCAGGAAATGAAAACAGAGTAAGACATCATAAACAAGTTATCCTTTTCTCAAAAATACAATTACGGTTCATTATTAATAAAACAATTTATAAATTTCATCATTTTAATAGCTCTGAAGAGAAAAACAATCACATGATCATGAGAAGGCATTTAACCAAATGTAACAGCTACTCATGATTTTTTAAGTGAACAAAATTTTTATTCTTAAAATATGAAGATGAACTTTTTTTACTCTAATAAAATATGTACAGTTCAACTCAAAAGCCAGTATCATACTTGGGAAGAAATATTAAAGTCAGCTACAAGACAAAAAGTCTATCACCACTATAATTCAGCATTGTACTGCAATTACTAGACAACAAAATTAGGCAAGTGAAAAAAACCAAAGGTATAAAAACTGGAAAGAAATATGTAAAATTATCAGTATTTTTAGATAATATTAGAAAGCTCAACACCATCATCCAAAAAAATCATTTATTACAATTAGAGAATTTGGTAGGCTGATAGTGCACACAATTAATATGTTATATATATTTATGTATGTATGTCAGCATTTAAAGAAAGATTACATAAATAAATTTTTAAAATGGACAAGGCCTGTATGAAGAAAATGTTAAACTACTACTGAAGGAATCACAAAGATGACTTGACTAAATGGAAAGCTGTACCATCTCCTTGGACACTGTACTAGTCTGTTCTCACATTGCTATAAAGAAATACCCAAGACTGGGTAATTTATAAAGAAAAGTGGTTTAATTGGCTCACAGTTCCACAGGCTATACAGGAAGCATGGCTGGGGAGGCCTCAGGAAACTTACAATCACCGCAGACGGTAAAGGGGAAGCAGGTATGTCTTACATGGTCAGAGCAGGACAAAGAGAGAGAGTGGTGGGAGGTGCCAGACACTTTAAAACAGCCAGATTTCATAAGAATTCTATCACAAGGACAGCACCAAAGGGGAAATCCACCTCCATGATCCAATCACCTCCCACCAGGCCTCACCTGCAACATTGGTGATTATAATTCTGCATGAGATTTGGGCAAGGCATAAATCCAAACCATATCCAGACATGAAGAGTCAACATGTGAAGACATCAATCCTCTTTATCTTGATCCCAATAAAAAAAAAAAAAACATTGTTTTTGTTTATTTTAAACTAGACAAACTGATTCTAATTTTCATAGCCGAAGACTATGAAAAACAATAGCCAAGTAAACTCTGTGGGGTTTGGGGGTAGTCAATTGGAGATGAAGACCAACCCTACTAGACATTAAAGAATATTTTAAAATCTCAAAAATATAAAGTATAATACTAGTTCAAATATTAACATGCCTATACGACAGCAAAGTCTAGAAATAGATACAAATGCATACGAGGAGTTGGCATATGGTAAAGGTGGCCTCCCAAATCAGAGATGAACAACTCAACTGAGTTGTTGAGTCAACTTGGTAGACATCTGGAGGAAAAACAAACTGGGATCTAAGCAGGCATGCACCCAGGCAAATTTCAAATTATCCAAATGCTTCAATGTAAAAAATATAACCAAAGAAGTACTAAAAGGATTAATGTGCCCTAGAAAATCAGTTCCATATATGTCATAGCTTGCTATCCAATGCAAATGAGTGAGCCACAAATGTGAACAATATATGCAATTTTCAATTTTCTGGTAGCCAGTGAAATTTTCTAGTAGCCATTAAAAAATAAAACTGAAACAGGTAAGATTAGAATTTTAACATTATCAACATAATATAAAAATAATGTTTTACATTCTTTATTTGAAATCTTTTAAATTTAGGATATATTTTACAATTATAATACATCTAGTTCAGACTAGCCCCATTTCAAGTGTGCCCAATAACCCCATACTAATCAGCACAGTCCTAAGAAGTGCAGACTAAGTTCCACAAAGGTAGGGAACAGGGCTATGTTGTTCACCACCGTTTATCCAGTGCTCGTACAGTTCCTGGATATATTTTCATGACAGCGAGGAGGAAAGAAGTGAGGAATGCATCCTGTTTGAGAAACAAAGCCATTTCCTATATTAGAAGCCTAGGGTTCAAGTTTTGACTCTAAAATTTCCTAGTGGGTAACTTGGTCAAATCATTTTTCTGAACCTGATCCGTAAAAGGAGATTCTTCACGCTTATCCACCATTTTGGGTTGCTATCAGGATCAAATGAGATGACACACACATAAGCAATCAGTGAGGCACTTTATAAACGTTACCTGTCATTACTAATACAAAGATCTCTGTCTCTGTGGTCACTATTTCCAGAGGATGCTATGTTTCTGTTTTGATTACTATAGTCCATCCATCCTTCACCCATGAAAATGCAGGTTGACACTGTATCATGTTGGTCCATGCTCTATCCTATCCCTGGAAGACTGTTATTTTGATTTGTAAATTTGTGCTCAATACTTCTTTCTCTATTTCAGCTGCCTCCAAATGGAAACCTCTCTCCTTTAACTTGACAAAGGGAGGCTTTCCCTAGGCATCTCACACTCTTGTATCCTGCTGGTCTCCATATGGTCTGCAGCACCTACCCTATACCATAATGCTATTCATCCCCTCAGGTAGGCCAGGAACTAGTTACAACGAAAGCCAGAAAAGAAACTCCAGGATGTTCCTCAGAGAGATTTAGAGAAAGTAAAAAGGGTTGGATACTAGAAATAATCAACTGATGCCGGAAGAAAAAGAGTCACCAAGGAGCTTCTTTTCAGGAAGCTGGATCCAGGCTTCTTGCATTTTCAATGTTGACCTGCTTCATACCAAAAGGTTAACATTCCATTCTCATCTCTCCTGTTTCCTAATTTGTAATTTCTGATTGCCTGGTAAAAACGAGAGTTAGAGAAACTCGTTACTTTCCCATAAAACTTCTTTGATTATTTAAATTATTACGGCTAGCATTTTGAGTATGTGAGTTAAAAAATAGGAATACTTACATATAGTCAAGTCTTTCAGATTACCCTCAACTAGAATTGAGTCCCTGAGATAAAATAAAAACCTCCTTGATTGAGGTCACTTAGACAGCAAGAGTACTTGTGTAATTTCTGAGTGAAACAATTCTCTCATCTGCAGATGAAATGGGATATTCCTTTACTGACAGTAGAGTAGAAGGAGCATAAACCTGGGTTTTTCTACTGCCTAACACTGAAAAGTGGCCAAACTTTGCACAAATAACTTAATCTCTCAGTATATTTCCACATGTTAATTGAAAATAATTATGCTTTGCTTGCTCAATTGTTTTGAAAATATTCACTGCCACTTTCTATGCAGGCTAAAACATTGAATGCCAACCCTCCAGATATTTTCATGTTCAACCTTGATTTCCTAATGTGATTTAGATATATTTTTCAACACCGAGTGCATGATACAATTAAGCCCAATGTTCCTAAAAGTAGCCAATAGTAGAAACATGAACCATCCTTCACTCTGTGCATTTAGGAGCACAGAGGAAACTGGTTCTGAACGTCTTCATAAGTTGGGACTATGATACCGGGCTCACCTCAAAGGTGAAGTAGTCCTGATGCAAACAGAAAGGCCTAAGATCCACTAGACAAGAGTTGCCTACAAAACTCAAGAAGTATAGTTAGGTCACAGCTACTTAGTTTTCCACATTTATTGAAAGGGCTAAATTTTAATAAATAAGGGTCTCAGTGCTGTTTCTGCAACTTGCATACAGGTTTCCTGGATAAAACTCCTAAGATGGACTTAGTACTTAAGTTTCCTGTGAAGAAGGTCTTTGTTTCTACCAAGTTCTTAAGAATAATTTTAAAGCAAGAAGAATAATGTCATATGGAATTTTGTAGTTTGTTGTTGTAAAGGTGTATCCCTATGTTTCTTTGGGAAAATAATTTCTTTTACTGTTCTCATTCACAAGAACTGTAACATTCCCAGTGTTTGGCTAGTGGAGCATGAAGTTAGGAACATTACTCAGTAGATGTATTCCAATGAAGATGAAAACATACAGTGGAACAAACAGAAAAAACAGGTAATCTTAAGGCCACAGATAAATGACCATACCTAAGTCAGAATTCCTTAAGGGAAGCCAAAAATGCACTGAACGCTCACTGTTTGTTTCATTTTTTCTTTACTTTTTTTTTCCTCTTCAGTTAAAAGATACGCAATTTGATTGATGGTATTTTTTCCACATTGGTGACATTTTAAATGGAAACCAAGATTTTTTGGGAGTGGTTGTAATAGCTCGATGAAATCTTTCACATGTGCCAAAATGTTTCATTAATGTAAGTCAGCCAAATAATCTTCTTGCTTTGTAAAAATATTTCTCCTTTAAAAAATGCTTTCTGAACTGTTAAAAAAAATTAGAGTATTCAGAGTTTAGCTACCAATATATGTGTATTATACTTACTAACACTTTTTCCCTATTTCCTCAAACAGTAAAGATGGTATTTTTGATGAAGCTAAATAGGAAGTTCTCAAAATTTTTGTGTCAAATAATTACAATTTTAAATCCAATAATTTTAAGTTTGATCAAGTTGATGTGTTTCACATTTTTAAAAAACTGCTTGTACCTTTGATAAGGGCCAGGTGGCTGCTGCCTTTAAGTTTGTTGTATTTAGGTCCCATTGGCCAATGACTAGTATGGATTCTCTTTTAGTCCGTATATTGGTTTTCCTAGTTAAAGTGAGGAGGTAGTTCATGTATGAAGTGTTTGATCAGTGATAGCAAATGTATGATAAAGTAGAAAAATTGTCTTTCATTCAACAGAAAATAACATATTTATCATTAAAACAGAAAACTATAGTGATGTACTGGAGGTGACAAATGGGGGAACTTAAACTAAATTAAAGGGAAATTTCCATAACAGATTCACTAGTAATACTGATTTAATAACCATTTCCTGTCATGAGCTATATTTATCATATACCACCTCTCTGACATGACATTGTATTTAATGTTTTTGAGACCCATGTTTTAATCAGATTAAACTCAAGGAAACAGATAGGTATCTGTTTGGCTCTAAGCTTTAGCTTCTGTTTCTTATTTAGTCACAAGACTATTACTGCTGGAATCTTTATAAACACATTTGCTGGGACTGCAACAGGAGTCCAGCTTATGTTGTGAAGTCAGAAAAATATGTGCCAGTGGTTTTCATGATCTATGCACACAGTGCATTACAGAATTATTTAATAAATTAAAGACAACTAATGCAAAATGTGTTCCTTTCCCCCACGGGATTAAGCATCTAAAAATACAATTTAGTTTTAGATTCAAATACTAGTTTTTTAGGAACTAAGTAACCAAGAAAAATGTTCAAAGAAAAGTTGGTACAATATTATTCATTATTCAAATGTATTTACATAAAACTAAGATCACTAATAAGCTCAATGTTCTTAAAACTAATTTAACTGGTAAGAAATAATAATTTTAATAACTTGGCCAGGCATGGTGTCTCATGCCTGTAATCTCAGCACTTTGAAATACTGAGGTGTGTGAATCACTTTGAGCCCAGGAGTTCGAGAACCTGGGCAACATGGTGAAACTTCATCTCCGCTAAAAATACAAAAATGAGCTGGGTGTGGTGGTGCATGCCTGTAGTGTCAGCTTCTTGGGAGGCTGAGGAAGGAGGATCAGTTGAGCCCGGGAGATGGAGGCCGCAGTGAGCTTAGATCATGCCACTGCACTCTAGCCTGGGCAACAGAGTGACACCCTATCTCAAAAATAAAAATCAATCAATAAATAAAAAATAACTTATGTGACAGTTATGACATTACATTATTTAAAATGCAACATTCTAATAGCATTAGTGAACATATCCAATTAAACACATGAAGAGCTCTGTGGGTCAAATATGCCCTCCTTCAAATTCAGACTCTGAAAAAAGCGCTCTGTGGCCCAAGATCTCCCATGGCAGATAAGCTAGCAACAACCCAAAAGTGCCAAACTTAGCATTATGTAAGGGTTAAGTCATACATTAAAATTCAATAAATGTTAAAAGTGGAAACTAGGAAATAAAAGAGAATAAAAAAAAAGTAAAAACTGGCCTTTAACATTTCAGTCCACAGCACAATGAAAAATATTCTCAGACTTAAATTGACTACATGGTACATTCAACATGCAAAACCATTTTAGTGTAGATATAATAATACATAGTTTTTTAATCCATATAAATTGTCTACCTTTTCTTAAAATAGATAATTATAGAACAATTTCCTCAGTAGGTATGTGTGACTTAAAAGCTTCCTCTTTAGAATACCTTAGAAGTGGACGGGCATTGTGGCTCAAGCCTGTAATCCCAGCACTTTGGGAGGCCGAAGTGTGTGGATCATCTGAGGTCAAGAGTACAAGACCAGCCTGGCCAACATGGTGAAACTCTGTCTCTACTAAAAATACAAAAGAAATTAGTCAGGCATGGCGGTGCACATCTGTAATCCCACCTACTTGGGAGGCTGAGGCAGGAGAATCACTTGAACCAGGGAGGCGGAGTTTGCAGTGAGCCAAGATCGCACCATTGCACTCCAGGCTGGACAACACAGTGAGACTCCGTCTCAAAAAAAAAAAAAAAAAAAAAGGAATACCTTAAAAGTGCTGCAGGGCATGCCTGATAGGCACTGATTAGTTAGTAGGCTGTAATCAGGTGAACTAGTACTAAAGACTATTGAGTAGCATCCACAGCAAGTTATCAGGTACATTATATATATATATTATATATATAATATATATATTATATATATAATATATATATATTATATATATATTTTATATATAATATATATATATTATATATATATTTTATATATATATATATTATATATATATATAAAATATGAGAAAAGAGAATATTCTTCAATTGTCCATACATAAGAACAGGAAATATTTGAAACAATTATTAAGCAATACTTTAAAAGATTTCTATAGAAGGTTTTCTTGTAAGCATTATAATATCATATCTGAGTCTAAGAAGCCTAAGAAAAATTAGTCCCTCTTATTAGTGAGATTCATTTTAATATTTCTGAGTTTAGATATAGTTTCAGCCTACACTCTTTTTGGTTAATATTGATACAATATTTTATTAACAATTTAGAGGTTGGGTTTCAGGTGAGCAGAATAAATACACTATGTTTATAAGCATAAGATATACTTTTAAACCAACTTTTAAAATTTCACTGGATCTTTCAACATTTGTTTGAAATCCTTACAAGATATTCATCTATTTGTGGCATCATATAGGTCTGTCTCCCCATCTGTCTATGTTTTTCATGAAGACTAGTATCTGGTACATGTTTTTTTTCCTTCTCCACTTTAGTAGCTATTCATTGGCCCACTACTATGCCATTTCTGTAATACTTGTCCAACAGTTTTCATCAATCATTTTTTAATAAAATACAAGCTTTCTTTTACAGGACAAGGGGACATGTAATCAATGTATTTAATTTAATTCTGACTAAATTTCATTCTATATGGCTAGAAATTTAATGTCATCAAAATCTATTATTGTCACAATAAATAATCACATTAAAGCATCATACTAAAATCTATAGGGCTGAATTTTTTAAGAGCAACATATACACGGTTATTCATCTAGCCTTTTAGTCTTATCTTCCCAAATGTAACTTTCTTACATTACATGGCCAGATTTGTTAAGGAATTCACATCCTGCATGTGCGGACATCTTGAAGAATCCTTTTTTAACAGGATATCCTAACAACACCTCCCCACCCCCAACCAACTTGGTAGCCTGACTCTAGCACACACTCATCTGGTTTGACTAAAATCATTGCATTACTTGGCAGTGGTTTCCTCATACGTGGCGCTTAGAGCTCATTGAAGCTCAAACAGTACAGGAAATGCAAATCATGCAAACCACCCTCATGATGGCTACGTACAGTGGCGTGATTGAGCGGCAATACGCACGGCTCGTGGGCTGACCACATGAAAGGAGACATTTAAAGACCAGATGAGCAAAAGCTGGGATAAGTTAGAGAGTATGTGTGAGCTTCAAAGCTGGGAGAATAGCATCCTTATTTAAAATAGGAGTTTTTTATTATTTTTTTTTATTAATAACACCTGCCTAAGTTCTTTACACTGAGGGAAGTACATGGAGGTAGAGCAAGTCAAACATGCACTATACTGAATATAAGTGGGCCAATCCTTCTTTTTTTAATAGCCAGGTATGGCAGAAGAGTGGAATACTTTCCATCTATTTTTTTCACAAGATTTTCTACAAGTGTTAACAATTATGAGAAATATTTTCTTTTAGAGAGCTTAAAAGAAAGATAATCTAGCAAATGCTACAATATTTGCTCATAATTCCTTAAGTGTCAGTTTCATTGCCACGTTAATAAAATTAGTTCCTCCAACAAAAAAATAAGGAGCTATAATGCTTAGGAATTCTTCAACAAAAGGCTTAGAAACAATATGGAATTTTCTATTAAAAGAATATTTGAACACGGTTAATACAGTAATGAGAGTGGAAAAATGGCTATAGGAAGTATTTCTTTTCCTTTTTGGAAATGATTTTTTTTAGATGCTTCCAATTTACTACCAATTACAGAAGGGACTAAATATAATAAATTAACCAAAAAAATCATTCAATTTTATGTTTCCTTAGCACTTAAAATTATTTTCCAAAGCCCTTTAAGTATCTGTTATTTCATTTGCATACAGGGATGAGGGCATCAGGAATTCTATTAAAGCACTGGCTCCCTATATAGGTATAACTCCATATACCTATATAGTTAGAAGCTTAAATAAGTAAATTTTAAAAATAAGAGTTTAAATAAAGGAGGGAAAAGTCTAATGCTCTAGATGAGGAATCAGAAAACCTAACCGTAAATAGCTATATGATACGGGACTTACCACTCTGAAACTTAGCTTTTTCAACTGTAAAAAAGGTGCTATTACCAAACTCTTACCATCTTTCCTGACCACTTCTTAATTTGAAAGATCAAATGATACGGTATGTGAGAAAATTACACAGTGCTATACAAACAGAAAAAATATTGCACTATTTATGAGGCACTCACATTGTGCCAGCCACTATGTCAGGCTCCAAAAATATATTATCTCATTTGGATTAACTTCACCTTCACAATAATACTGTAAGGTAGGTATTATTAGTCCCATTTTAAAAGACAAGAAAACTGAAGCTCAGAAAAGTTAAGCAATTTCTCCAAAACCTTATAGCTACTAAATGGCAACACTGAGGGTAACTACATTAGGCCATACAAGGATCTGTTCTCCTATGTTTCACAGTCATCTACTGTGGGTCTGCATAACTCTTAGTTAGTTATGATTTTAACAGCAACTCAATGCTACCCTCTAAGAAGTAGATTTCAGTAATGCAGAGGTTCTCTAACGTTCCATTGGACGCACCAGCTGGAAAGCTGATGCACTTGTTATTTTGAATTGGCCCATATTAATTCATCAACGTCTACTTCTTCCTTAATTTATCCTAAATATAGGCAAAGATTACCATGTTTGATAACCAGAAAGAGTACTAGTAACCATAATCTTCTTTGAAGTCTCGAGAGCTACTGCCTTGAAATTTTAAACAAGGGCTGGTTAAGAATTTCTGACGAGATGCAACAGGACTTTCTGAGTGACAACTGTCTTCCTTTCCAAGCCAAGGAAGGCAATTGGATGTACAGCCACTAGCAAGCAGGAGTTAGCTGTTTTCTGTTTTGTTTTTAGATAGCTTGTAAAAGTCTGTAGGAGAAAAGAAGTTAGATTATTTTTAAACAAAATAAAACAAAAATCAATGAGCAGAAATTGCTTAAATTTGTCAAAAAGGAAAGCTATAGACATAGGAAAGATAGTTTGTAGAAAAGATTATAAAGTCGTACACAAATGGCAGGCAGGCAATGTATGTTTGCCTGTATAATAACAGAGCAACTGGCAAATGAAGAAAAGTCAGTGCAGAAGCTACCCAACAGGATGATTCAGATCAGTTGAGACATGGTATTCATTTACAGCTAGACAGTCCATCAGGTAACTGAAGCCAGGACAATGCCCAGAAGAGTATGGGTCAATATATCTACTAGGAATACTGAGTTTCTCCTTCTGCCTTCATCTCTTGAAAGATATCAAGGATCCTATTAGAGGTACACACCTTAATCCATCTATAGGAAGTCTGAGGTAGGAATATTATGCTACAATCTGAAGGTCAGAGATTTGAAAGCCATTAGTTACATCATGCCCTGTTTTATAAGAGAAACAGATATAAAAATCAGGCACTGAAGAGCCACAAGTTCAAAGATTTCAGAGATTATGTTGTAGAGGGTGGAAGTCCCTCCCTGTAAATTAGATTTGCATTCTGAGGAGGAAGTAATAATGTAGACTGGAAATAAATATGCAAACTAATGGGTTTTTTAAAATTTGAAATTTCCAGGTAAGACAAAACTAATACATAGATGTATGTGGGTTTTATTTTCGTTTTGTTTTGGATAAGAGTTCATTCCTCTTCAAATTCTCCATGACAATTCTCAACAGTCCCACTGTCACACTTTCTAGCTGAAAAACAAAGCAGAATCTGCTTGATGATTGAGCCTGTTTCTATTTGCCTTCAGTGGTAAGAGAAAAATATTATTAATTTAGTCATCCTTTACTTTTGTGTTTAAATTATTTCAAATTCTTTCAGTATTTATTTTCAAACCTGTTATTGATTTTCTTCAGTGTCCTCTAGGTAATATCAAATTTGCCACATTAGGTTCATGTTATAGAATTCAATACCAAACACTCAAAATCCACCCAGAAATGTCATCACCTAACTCTCCTTTTCAGTAACTCACTTAACCTCTCAAGACCTCCCTTTCCTCAGCTGCAAAATGACAGCAGTTTGATTAGAATAACTCTAAAGCCATAACTGTGTTAATATTTGTCATGTCATCTTAGTGTCAGGTATTAATATCTTAAGATGCTTAATCTTAATAAGAAAAAACAAAGTGACATCACAGAAAATATTATATAATAGCAGACAAATAACACCTTATTCATACTACTCTGTGGACAATCATCTACGTGATTATTGTCAAGTCACTGATACCACTTTGTGGTTGTCTTGTCTGTTTTTTGTTGCTGTAACAGAATACCTGAGACTGAATAATTTTTAAAGAACAGAAGTTTATTTAGCTCATGGTTCTGCAAGCTAGAAAATATAAGGGCATGGCCCTGGCTTCTGGTGACATAACATGGCTGAGGTCAAAGAAGAATCAGACACGAGTGAAGAAATAAAACCGAAGAAGCATCCTGGCCTTTTAACAACCTGCTCTTTCCAAAACTAATTCATTTCCACAGGAACTAATCCAGTCTTGCGAGAGCCAGAACTCACTTACTCCAATATGGCACCAAGCTACTCATGAGCCATCCAGCCCCATGACCTAAACACCTCCCACTGAGGCCCACTTTCCACGCTACCACATTGGGGATCTAATTTCAACATGAGTTTTGATGGGTACAAACTCAAACCCTAACAATTGCCTTATTGACAAACTGAAGATAAAATATCTTACAGCGTCTTCTGGTTTCAGAATTAATGACTATTTTACAGCTTATTATTTATACATGATGATACCAGACAGAGTCCTTTATTTAACGGTAACAACAAAAACTGAAGGCACAGAAAATGACAGGCATATTACACTGAATTCTGGGATGATGATGATGTAGTGGGTTGAAATGTATCCCCCAAAAAGATACATGCAAGTCCTAACCCATAGTACCTGTGAATGTGACCCCATTCAAAATGTCTGTGCTGATTTAATCAAATTTAGATGAGGTCATGCTAGATTAGTGTGGGCCCTAAATCCAATGATGTTTTTCCTTATAAAAAAGGACACACACACACAGAGGAAGGTCATGTGACAACAGAGGTAGAGACTGGAGTGATGCAGCTTACAAGCCAAAAAGAATGTCAAGGATTTGGAGGAGCCACAAGAAGCCAGAAAGAGGCAAGGAAGGATTCATCCCTAGAGCCTCAGAGGGAGTGTGGCCCTGCTGGCCCTGATATTGGACTTCTGGCCTCAGAACTGTGAGAGAATAAATTCTGGTGTTACAGCACCCTTAGGAAACTAATACAGATGGTCAAATCAGTGCAAGAAGAGATAGCCAGGCAAATAAAAAAATTATTAGAAGAACTCCAAGAAATATGTTCTCTTAGTGAAACTAAAAGACAAGTAGCACCAATTTTTTTTTTTAATTTAAGCTTTCACAACATTGAAAAGTAGTGCCTTTGAACGGGATAAAACACAGACTACATCTTAACCATCTACCACTAATTTCCCCTTTGAAAATAGAGAAACCAACTGACTTTTGAACATATCAGTTTCTTTTCCTAAAAAGTGAGATTTAACAAACTAATCAGCCATGCAAGAGTGCAAAGAAAATTAATGACATTATGCTGAGTCCTTTTGCAATCGGATGGATGGATGGATGGATGGATGGATGGATGGATGGATGGACTGATGGAAGGATGGATGGATGGATGGGTGATGGACATTTTAGTGATAGGTAAGGCATGGATAGGGATTGAGAATTATAAAACTTTCTGACACTTCAAAAAAATAATTATATCTTGTCTCTGTCGCACCTAGAGACCAAAGCATGATCAACTATCTCAAAAATAAATTTCATCTGAATATTTAAATCCCTCAAATAATGAGAAAAATAAGTATAAAATAGCATTCTTTTAAAAATATTTTTAGCTCTGATTAAAAAATAATGAAAATTACTAATATAAAACAACAATCTGTCCAATTAGTGTTTTCTTTAATTAGCAAGAACATTTAACCTCTTCAATAAGCTTCTATGTGGACAAAATGTTTCATACTACTATAATTATCCCTTCAAAGTAGCAAAACAAGAGGAAAGGAAATAGCCGGCAAGTAAAACAAAACAAACAGAATTATTAGTTATATTTATACTTACAATCTACAACTGGTGAAGGTAAAATGAAACAGATAATACTATTATTTGTACTAGGCCCAGACTGTACACTTTAGACAATATTCTCAACCTTGGATGCACATTAGAAAGACCTGCAGGGTACATATATGTGTGTATGCATACATATATGCATTTTGAGACAAGGTCTGGATATGTTGCCCAGGCTGGTCTAGACTCCTGAGCTCAAGCAATCCCCTAGTCTGAGCCTCCCAAGTAACTGGGATTACAAGTGTGCACCACTGTGCCCCACTTATGCAGAGTATTTAAATATAAATACTGATGCCCAAGGCCCTCCTGCAGGGCAGGGCTATCCCCTAAGGCAGTACACAGGGTTTGCTCTGTGCCATTCAGTGGCCACCATTCACTCAATACAGTGCAATCTGTAAGATGGAAGAATAACAACTAAGTGACTACAGAGCATTAAAGATATTGAGCCACTAAAAGAACACTGATTAATAATTTCTCAAATAAGCAGCACCATACTTCAGCTCTGGGCAATTGGTCGCTTTTATTGAGCAACCGTTGCCTACAGGACATTATAAGTATGTTCTGTTCCCTGGGAGACTGCCTTCTCTTTTCTTTTTCTTTTTTTTTTCTCTGAGACAGAGTTTCACTCTGTCACCGAGGCTGCTGGAGTCCAGCGGTGCGATCTCGGCTCCCTGCAACCTCCGCCTCCCGGGTTCAAGCAATTCTCCCGCCTCAGCCTCCCAAGTAGCTGGGATTACAGGCACTCGCCACCAGGTCTGGCTAATTTTTTTGTATTTTTAGTAGAGATGGGGTTTCACCATGTTGGCCATGCTGGTCATGAACTCCTGACCTCAGGTGATCCACCCAACTCAGCCTCCCAAAGTGCTGGGATTACAGGTGTGAGCCACCATGCCTGGCCACCTTCTCTTTTCTTCACTGCATAATAGGGTCTTATTATTCATTTAGTATTTTATAGTAAATGTATTTTAACATTGGATATACTTCATAACATTAAGGAATTACTTGGGGTTTTATCAGGGTGGTAATGATATTACAATTATGTTTTATTTTTAAAGAAATTTTATCTTTTATTGGTATTCAATATAATATATAGAGCCATGAATGGAATGTCTAGAATTTGCTTCAATCTAATCTGGGGTGGAAAACAACTAGGCAGAGTTCTGATAAATCAAGATTGGCTATTTATTTACACTTGTTAAAAGGTAAAAAGGTTCATTATCTGTTCCCTCTATTTTGTATATGGTTAAAGTTTCCCATAATGTCCTTGCTCACTCGTTCAAATCACAACAGGAAACTTGATGTACCTCCAATAAGCAAGTTATATTAACCAGAAAATAAAAAAATATACTTACAATGGATAGGACTATCCTGAGGAAAGGACCAGGTAGTCATGCTTTAACTATGTGAATAAGAATTTATTTATTAGAAAAATAACTGGCTGTCACTGAAATCTTTTGATAACTGAATCAAGGTGATATCTAAAATGCTTTTACTCATGAAAATTGCTGGGAGATGGCTGAAGCAAAGGAAACCAAGTGCCTTTTATAACATATCAAACAACAACAAAAAAGGGGACTTTATCTTAGCTGGGATTATACAATAAGTCTCTAATAATCACTGATGCCTAAATAACAATTCGGTAAAATCGATATCATTTCCAAGAAATATTCAATGATAAAAGCAAAATTTTTAATGATGTAGAAGGAGTATAGTAAAAATCTAAGTTACAAAGGAAGACTTAGGAGGGTATGATTCTAAGGGATGGTGGAAAACCTTCAAAAGCGCTACAAAGGTCAAGCAATACAACCTGAAAAGAAACTGTGATACACTGTTCCTACAAAGCAGACCATGTAAATTTGCATCATTGGCAAGTCAACAGCTAGACCCCCATTATAAAACCACTATGTTCCTCCACTGTCCTCTTTTCACATCAAAATCCTTACATTTCCAGAAAGGCACTGAGTTTTAACACTGCATAGAAAGTTCGTGTCTAATGAAACCATTTTTCCTGCTGCATTTATATTCCTCAAACCAGAGCTTCTCTGCCAATGAACTAACAAATGGTAACAGTTTTATGCATATTGCCACTGTGTCATGGAAAAAGAGAAGTCTCAGCACTCTGTCTTGTAGATCCTATTTGTCACTTTAAATTCTACCTAATGTGCTTTAAATTCATTATATCTATCTTTTGCTGCTTGAAAAAGAATCCAAACGAGAAAAGTGAAAACCACCAATAGCCACCTTATTCTCTGTACTGAACAGGTAACTAATTATACAACAAGAAAAAAGTATTTCTACTAAAATAAAGCATACTATTTGTGCAAGCATTTTAAAAAGTATTAAGCCATTACTATATGCGGGCAGGGTTGTGCAATGTGCAGAACAAGGAAGAAAGAAAAGGAAAATAGAAAGTAGAATCTTGCAAAGCAATTGCTGAATAATGGAGTATTAGAAAATCGCCTATCATTGTTTTCCTATTTAGGTCTTATCTGGATATAAACACAATTAGAATACTGGATACAGCAAAAGAATACATTATAAATTTTGATTGATATTTCTTAGTATAATCATTATTTATTCATTCATCCAACAAATATTTACTGAACACTAAGAATTAGACCCTGAGAATGGTGGTAAGAAAGACAAAGTCTCTGCCCTCACGGAACTTAGATATAATAAAATATTTCTGAGGCAAATCTATGATGATCTTTGCTTATAAAAGTTCAAGAAAAGGGCAGTATTAAATATAAAATACCAAAATAACCCTAAAGTATACTTTGTATATTTGCTTTTGAATTTCAATTGCTCAAGAATCCATAAGTTAATTATCTAATACTTTATAACTTTCTCTTTTCCTCTACTGACTGACCACTCCTCTACCACAACTAATATTGTACAAAAATAATAGAATACTGTTTTGCAATGACAAACGTAAAAACATTATTAACAGCTATTCAAAACTGTTTGCTAGTGAGCTTCTCTGGTAAAATACTTGAAGTAAAGGGTGAAAGAAATGAATGAAAAGATTTAGAAATATTTTGGAGGAGATAGGGTTGTGAAAAGTTAGAGGTGTTTATCTTAACTCCTTTTTTTTTTTCTTTTTGAGTGAGTCTCCCTCTGTTGCCCAGACTGAAGTACAGTGGTGCAATCTCAGCTCATTGCAACCTCTGCCTCTCAGGTTCAAGTGATTCTCCTGCCTCAGCCTCCCAAGTAGCTGGGATAACAGGAACCTAACACCATGCCTGGCTAATTTTTATATTTTTAGTAGAGACAGGGTTTTGTCATGTTGGCCAGGCTGGTTTCGAACTCCTGACCTCCAGTGATCCACCTGCCTCAGCCTCCCAAAGTACTGGGATTACAAACATAAGCCAATGCACCTGGCCTAGTTTAACTCTTTAACCAGTTATAAGAAAGAGTTAAATAGACTGTCAAAAAAGTAGGGAGGTCCAATGAGCAGGTTAGGTATCACCTGCTGCAACAAGTTGGTCAAATATATTTCTCCATCTCTCCTGCAGCATATTTACCTTCAGTCTCAAGTAGCAAAAGTAAAAATGTGTTCCAAGACTTTTGAAAGAAATAAAAAGGAAAATTTATTTCTATAGGAAAAAAATGCAAAACTAATTTACATAAGATCTCTTTGTAAGTTTTACCTACTAAGACAATGCTTTCAGCATATTTGTAAGTTTCAAAGATATGTTCAAGCTAGATAATTTGCACTAATGGATGACCAGTGACACAGCTGACCTGAAATGACCAATTACTATTCGATTCACAATTTCTCTTGTGAACAAGAAACGTTTATTATGTTTACTAAAGCCGGTATCAATTTGAAGAATGTACATTAGAACATTTATTTTCATTTATCTAATTTTTTTTGGCAGCTATGATGTTCAGCTGTTATTCTTTTATTAAAATTAATGTGAGAAATATCATCATGTGCAGACATTCACATAATTCTTTTCCTTGGGGCTTAAGCAAAGAGATGATGTATAAATGTGAAATAACTACTTTGTATTAGAAAGTCAGTCTCATTCCACCACAGGTATGAAATATTGCTTTTCCTTAAAAAGGCTACAGACATCATCAAACCTTCAGATATGAGACAACTATACACCTTTTATTTCTTTAAGAATTCTTCAGTGTTTACTAGATAAGAGAGCAATTCAACCACTTTCCATATTATCTTTTTCATACTGATAATTCTTACAGACATTTCTGAATCAAGTACCTAGTAGCAAAGTGTCTTATAAAATAGGAGGCATTAGATAAATGTTAACTGAAGAAAATGAATTATTCTTAATTTATTTTTCTAATTACAAAAACATAAAATGACATAAAATGACCCCTATTTTAATCCATTACTACACCTATTATATATACATTACATTATATATTATGTTATATATAATATATATTATGTATATATAATGCATATATATGTTATGTATATATTATGTTATATATACACATAATATATATTACGTGTGTGTGTGTGTGTGTATGTGTGTGTGTAAAGAGAGAAGGTCTCGCTCTGTCACCTAGGCTGGAGTGCAATGACAGGATCGTAGCTCATTATAACCTCAAATTCCTGGGCTCAAGTGATCGTCCCACCACAGCCTCCCAAGTAACTGGAACTACAGGTGCACACCACAACACCTGGCTAATAATTTTTTTAAATTTTTTTGTAACAACAGAGTCTTGCTATGTTGCCAAGAAAGGTCTCAAACTCCTGGCCTCAAGCAATCCTTCTGCCTCAGCCTCCCAAAACACTGTTATTAGAGACATGAGCTACTGTGCCCAGCACCCCCAAATATTTGATTGCTGATATTTAGCTACAATTCAAAATTGATACCAGAACTGAAATAGTTAAAAGAGAGAATAAAAATCTGCAAATAATATTCCCTCTATTATTTCTTCCCGCTCTATCACTGTGCCTATCAAACCACCTATATCTGAGGAATAAAAGAAGTACATTATGGTTTCGGGCCAAACACTCTTTAAGCACTACGTTTTTTAAAAAGTATTAATTCTATGTCATCTCTCCTACTCACATTTTAAAATAAACAGAGACTAGAGATTAAATAATTTTTTTAAAAAAATTCAGAGCAAATCAGTCACTTAGGGGAACAGTACAAATTCTAACTAAAACATTTCCAACTTTAAAACATTATTTAATCCAGTTTACAAAATACTCCTGGAAGATTATTATCTCATTTGATCCTCACAAATCTTGAAGATAAAAGGGAAGAGTATTATTTTTATTTTCACCATTTAGCAGATGAAGATACAGAATGACAGTGATTTGTACTTTTAAAGGTGAGTGGCTGAATTGGGCTTGCATTTAGCTCCCCTGACTTCTAGTCCAAGGCCCTTTCCTCGTCCCTCTGGGCTCCTATGTAATAAAATGCCTAATAGGTACAAGAGAGAACATCAAAAACCATCATATGTTCCTAGGAATGCCCAAACATTGAAGAAATTCACACTGCGTGGGCTAATATTTGTAAGTTGGGATTAGTCAGTACATATGTGCCTAATTTGTGGTTTGGAGTTGTGAACAAATACATCAGTCGGTAAGACAAAATAAGAACAAATACATTAGTCGGTAAGACAAAATAAGTGAGAGAACAATTAACAATCAATGTCTATGAAAAACGGAAGGCATTCTTGGTTAGATGTGCTTATTAGCTAAAAGAGGATTATATGGCAAATTTAAAAATAAAACAGAAATGTAGATAAATGTTGATGAGTACAAACTGAATATCCAAAATTGCAAATATGGAAATACTGATTCAGATGGCACCATTTCATTATACTCTATTAGAAGAAAGACTTCAGGTGACTCATAGATAAATCTGGAGTGAAGGGATTTCCCCACCACTACCCCTCCACATTTTAAAAAGTAAAACTAAAGTACCAAACAAAACCAGGTTGCAACATAATATTTCAGATTTTTCTACCAGCTTTCTAAAATATAAGGCATATCAAAAGTTTGTAACTATTCATGCCCCATCTAAAGCCTAAATATTTAAACAAGTAAAAAAAGGTATTACCTTTTTTCCTGTAAAACAGGTGATAATAGAACATAAATATCCTGAATTCTCCCAAGTTTTGACATCATCAACATCTGAAGGTTTATCATCAAAACTCACAATATCTAGTAGAAACCCTAGAACACAATAGCTGAGAAGCATTGATAATGCAAATTCCTTCGTTTCTGGAACAGGAGAAGGCTGAAAGATGTCACAGCAAAAAAGAAACTCCTGTTCATCAAAACTGTATTTTTTAATAATTCTAAGAGGCTGGTACTCACCACAACTCCTCTCAGATTTAGACATCTAATTAGGACCTGCATTTTTAATACTCATTAATAGATGTAAAACATATGCATGCTGAACATATTAAAGAACAAAAGTTTCTGGGAGCTTTTTTCCATGGAAAAAATAAAGAAAACTCAACTGTGTTCAAGTAGATCACTACCATCTGCCAGCATTTTATCTAAAATAAAACTGATTGAAAGAAGACAAATATTAAGTTCATGTTTCCAAAAGCCTGAAGGTTTCTCAGGCAGTTCAATTCTAAAACTGCCACTGTTTCTATGTCTTATGTGTATGTGTACGTATGTGCATTTTCCTTTTTCTACTCCTAGTTCTAAATACCAAAATCAAAGAAATGGTTACTTTCGTAAAGTCTACTGACATATTAAACAGGATTCAAATTTCAGAGCAAATAAGACCTCAATTCTTAACCTCTGCTTCTCTTTCAAAAAAGACTGCAAATAAAATATGAATGTCATTAAATATCTTTGAAGACTTGGAAAAATAATAATATTGCTACTAAAATAACTGCATAATCCTAAAATCACTCTTTATAAACTTAAAAGTTATCATCTCTTCATTCCCATCAATTATAATAAAATAGTAAGTCAAGGATTCTTAAATCTTTGCAGTAATGGCATTGAGCTATTGCTTGGTTTCCTAGCAGTGATCCTCTTACAAAATAGTATAGAAAAATACTTTTCATTAAAAGTGAGTTCATTTTTTCTGTTTTAAAAAATTAAAAATTCCCTTTGAAAATCCTGAGGCTTTTTCTAATACTAAGCAATGATACAAAATGAAAGCTAAGAATCATTACATTTGAATGAGAAACTCCATAATACAATTGTCACATGTGCACGTGCATGCACACATAGCCACACACACACACACACACACACACACACACACGAAATATATATATAATATATGCTTTGAATTATATTGGCTTTTATGAAAATATTTCTCATTGTATTTAAATTTACGATAAAGGAAAAAATAATGACAAAAACTAATTCACATTCTTATCTACTTTAATTTTATAAAAATCTTGGAACCACCAAAACAGTCTGAATACAAATAAATATCTGTATCAATACTGGATATACAGAGAAACTATGAGCTAAAATCCCCCCATGCCCTACATTTTAGATCCCTACTATAGTGAAAGATAGGTTACCAAGTATGGGAAATTTTCTTAGAAACATATTAGTAAATGACCCTTTCAGAATGCTGACTCAAGTGAACATTGTTCAAATGGTACCAAAGTCAACAAACAAAAAAACCTCGAAACTATATTCAAAAGAAGACATTTACTTCCTAAAGCATATTGCCTTATTCACCTTTATATCATTTGTGCCTAGCACGTAATGAGTGTTCATCAAATGTATGCCTGCTATTCCAGATCACTGAGGAGGAAACTGGCTTTTCTGAACTATATATCAAGTATAGTGACGAGCAGAAACTTTACTCATTCATTTTCACTCTGAGATCTAGCATAATACATGAACTCTACAGATGCACTTAATACTTTACTTTTTGGCAGGGGGGATAGTGATAAGTTTGACAAGTTAATGCCAAATAATGGATCACTTATTGATTGTGTGTATTTATATATACAGTCATACATTGCTTGATGATGATACCTTCTGAGAAAGGTGCCATTAGGCAATTTTCTTATTGTGTGAGCATCACAGAGTGTACTTACCCAAATCTAGACAGTATAGCCTACTACACCCCCATGCTATATTTGCATAGCCTATTGCTCCTAGGTTACAAATCTGTACAGCATGTTACTGTATTTAATATCGTAGGCAACTATAACACAATGGTATTTGTGTATCTAAGCACAGAAAAGGTAAATTCTGTAGTAAAAACAGGCAATTATAATCTTATGGGACCACCATTGCACATGCAATCTATCGTTGACCAAAATGTTATGTGGCACATGACTGTATATTTGTGTGTGTGTGTGTGTGTGTGTGTATATATATATATATGTAGATATATGTATGTGTGTATATGTATATATGTAATTGTATTTAAGTGGAAGAAAGCAGTATTACATTAGATTTTTAAAGAAAAATTTTAGAACATTTACGTGCATGGAGTAACTTAAAATGCTGCCAAAACAAACTTACTGAGCCAATGTAATGAGTAAATATGAAAAATTTATTATTAGCATTATCTAGTTTTTAAAATAATTATAACCACTAAAGTAGTTTAATTGTGACCTCTGTAATTTTGACTAAATTAATTTATATCCCAAATCCTTTTCACATAGATAGGACAAAGTTAAATTTCAGTTCCGTTCCAGACAAATTTCTTAACTAGTAAAAAGCAAATAACACAACTTTCATCCATATTGCTAGTTCCTTTCCTGCCTTCCATTCCTACTATTAATGTTCTCATTTAGAATCTCACTATTTTTCTATTAGATATTTAGAATCCAATGATCATCTCCTATACTCATCAATAGTCTCCATCCAATACTGCTGTAATAATCATCCTATCCAGTTTTCCTTGCCTCACTCTCATGTTCTATTATAGCACTCGTTGGTGTTTTTGTCTGAAAAAGCATCATTTCCCCTTATTTAAATCCCAGCAATGGGTCACACACAGTGGCTCATGCCTGTAATTCCTGAACTTCAGGAGGCCAAGGTGGGAGGATAACTTGAGGCTAAGAGTTCAAGGCCAATCTGGGCAACACAGCAAGACACTGTCTCTGCAAAATAAAACTAAAAAGTATCTGGGCATGGTTGCACACACCTGTACTAGCTAGTACGGGAGGCTGAGGTGGGAGGATCATTTGAGCTGAGGAGTTCAAGACTGCAGTGAGCTATGACTGTACTACTATACTCCAATAGAGCAAGACTTTGTTTAAAAAAAAAAAACAAAATACCAGCAATGTAATGTAATTTTCCTTTTGCTCTCTTGTACTCAATTCACGTGGTTTGAATGGGGTTGACTCCACTTCCTGATTCCAAAGTGATGATGTAATATAGGCCTTGCCAAACATGATATCAGATGCCTTTTGCTTCATTAACAAGTCCAAAGGCCACATGATACAAAAAGGTACAGTTGGTTCATCTCAAGACTTTGTTAGAGCTTCTGAAAAAAGAGGTACTCGCAGATAATGCAACTAAGCTGGTGGAATATAAGCTTAGCTCTGGGAGTGATCCATATGGTAAGAGCCTGTTCCAGCATACAGCCAAAACACAGGAAAGAAGAGTCAAGGACGCAGGAGAACAAATGACATCTCGGGATCCAGCTTGCCAATAGCCAACCACCCTAAAACTTTCAGTTACACGACTCAATTACATTTGCTTTCATGTTTATGTGATTTTGAATTGAGTTTGTATCGCACAAAAGAGTCCAGAGCAACAGAGCTTTCCAATGCTGCCCATCACCTATAGTAAAAGCTCTACAAATTCTTAATCTTGAATTTAAGAATGCATATGAACTAGAAAAAAATTTGTCTGTCACTCAACCTGATCTCCCATAACTCCTCCTAACTCAGAATATGTTCATGCTAAACTAAGCTTTTAAAGTTTCCAAACATTTCTCTATTTTTCCTGTGAACTTTTGTTCACAATACTTCCTTTTCCTACAGTGCTCTTCCATTTCATCTCTATTTACCAAAATCTTTAACATCCCCTTAGATCTATGTCAGAATTTGCTAAGCAAGAATTAAACCCACTTCTCTGTACTGTACTTTTTTTTTTTTTTTGAGATGGAGTTTCACTCTTGTTGCGCAGGCTAGAGTGCAATGACACAAGCTCGACTCACTGCAACTTCCACCTCCCAGGTTCAAACGATTCTCCTATCTCAGCCTCCTCAGTAGCTGGGATTACAGGTGCCCACCACTACGCCCGGCTAATTTTTGGTATTTTTAGTACAGGCAGGGTTTCACCATGTTGGCCAGGCTGGTCTCGAACTCCTGACCCCAGGTGATCCGCCCGCCTCGGATTCCCAAAGTATTGGGATTACAGGCGTGAGCCACCGTGCTCAGCCTTCTACTGAACTTCTTTAGTGAATACTGCCCTCCTGTAGAACTGAGTATTCTGTGTGAGTTCTACAGTAATATCATGAGTATATAGTATACATACATGTCCTATGTCCCATGTCCTGTAGAGAGAGATAGCTAACATGACAGTCAAATGCCTTCTCTTTGAAAAGGCAAATAATCATGAAGGGCTGAGGCTGAAAAAGGAAATCTGAACAAATAAGAAGTCATATTAGAGTGACTCTGAAGATAGAAGCACTGTTAACACTTATTCCCCAAAAATCTCTAGCTCTAAAAATTAAAGTTGAATATATATATATTTTAATTCAAGGAGATGTACAAATAAGCCTAGGAAAAAGTTAAGTTAAATGAAGCAGTGAATGAGCTGACAAAGTTGAATGAGAGACATGACAAATTCCTTAAATCTTGATCTTGATGTTAATTCTTTGTTCATGACATCATAAAACTTAGGAACAGATAAATCATAAACCTTCAGTTACAAATGAAAAAAATAATATTACATACTCAAAAGTTAATACTAATACTCCAAAGTGATTTTTTTCAGGCCAAATAATTAATGGCAGAGCTGAGATTAAAACCCAGGACTGCTGATTCTCCTACCATAGTATGTTGTTTCTTTCAAACACAAGTGATTATTATTCTTTTGGTAAACTCTTTTATGTATATATACAATTTAAAATATTTTATTAAAGATCAGTTAAAGATTCATTTTTGTGGGGCAGATTCTAAGCCAGGGGCTACAAACACAAAGGCCTAAATGGGCCAGTTAAGCAACATAAATGTGAAAAGTAGGCTGTTATAAAATAATGGTGACCAGTAGTATTTGTGACCAAAATGAAGAATGTCTATCTGTCTAAAAGCATTAATTTAAAAAAAAGTTTAAACAATTGCAGTATCCAAGCAAAATACCTCTTTGGGCCAAATTCTAATCTGTCATTTATTCTGATAGTGTCTCTTCCATAAATTTAAAAGTCATTGTTCATGGGTGGCCACTGTCAAAACTAAAAAGCCTTAAAATACAATCACATGAAATTTTACACAATATCACAGGCATGTTCTAGACCAGTGGTGTCCAATCTTTGGCTTCTCTCAGCCATGTTGGAAAAACAGTTGTCTTGGGCCACACATAAAATACACGAACAATAACAATAGCTGATGAGCTTAAAAAGAAATCTCATAATGTTTTAAGAAAGTTAGAAAATGTAAGAATTTGTGTTGGGCCGCATTCAAAGCTGTCCTGGGCCAAAGGCTAGACAAGCTTGTTCTAGACTAATGTTTCCTGAACTAAGAAACTTTTTTTCTAGAAATACTTTTATACAAGGGAAATTCCAGAAAATCATATTTTCTTTTGTCAAAATTTACATAACAGAAAATGGCAGCTTTCATAGTCTGATTAATATAACCCATGAAAGTGAAAAAAATGTGTATGGAATTCTTTGGTTTAATCCAGTAAAACTGAGTAACACCAGCCCTTAAGTGACTTGTTTCTGTGTTTCTATGTAGAAGAGATGATATCTTTAGGCAGAGGATACCGGTAGTGCGCAGAGCAGGAAAAAAGTAAGTAAATTAACAAAGTGAATGGCAACCATATTTTTCAAACTCTAATAACTCATTCCTTCGACCACATTTTCTAAGCAGCTATTATCTGCTAGGTGGCATACTAGGTATTAGGGATAAAACGATAAACAAGATAGATATGACTCTTGTCATCATAAAGCTTAGAATAAAATGGGGAGAAAAAAATCAAGCAAACAAAATTATTACAGGTTATATAAAATGTTATTACAGAGGCAGAAAAAGAGTGCTAAAATAGAGGTCTCATTTTAGATCGGGTGCTCAGGAAAGGACTCTCTGAAATGACGAAACTTTAGCTGACTTGAGAAAGCCATGAAGAACAAGGGGTGTGGGTTGGGGGCATGAGTAAGTATTGCCAACAAAGGGACCAGCAAGCAGTAATAGGACTTGAGGCAGGAAAAAGCTTGATGTTTCAAAGTGAGTAAACAAGGCCAGTGCTGCCACAGCACATTAACGAGAAGACAGGGGAGGAGATGATGTTGCAGAGGCAGACAGCGCCCAGATTGCGTGGACCACAGCAACCCTGTGCATACTCTGGATTTTACATAGGCAATAGGAAATCACGGATGGCTTTCAATCAGGGATTATTTAATCAAGGTTACAAGTATCAGCAAATGGATATAGGCACTAAGCTTTCTTTCAATCAACAAAGGGTTCACTAAGTGCTTGCTGTGTGCTAGCGCCATATGTCCATGTTTGTCAAGTTTGGCTTTGTATCACCAGTGCTAGCATAGGCACTGGCTTTTAACATAAAAGCTCTTAATAAATACTAATGATGGAAAAGAATAATGAAAACAAGCTTAGAAAAGAACCAAAAGATAACTAGTCTGGAGGAATTTTGACCAAGCCATCCCACCCCTCAATGCTCTCTCAACTACACATATTCAACCAGGAATTTCTCCTAAAGAAGGGGAGTGTTACATTTTTATTATCAGCATGAGATGGTGAACAAAGGAAAACATAGCAGAGACTTTAGGAAAAAATTCACTGAAATACAGAATTAAGTTCTTTAGAAAGACATAAGGATGAAATGACTGCACTTTTGTGAGCAGCATCTGTGACTCAGCTCCTACTCTCCCCTTGCAGTCATCTTTGTGGGATGGCAGCTCAGAAGACCAGCAGGTCCATGATGTGAACAAACACCAGGGCCTGAACAACAGAATAGTATAAATAAAGGAAAGATGAACAAGAATTAGTCATTAATGGAAAGGACAATGTGCCCCAAAGAGGGTAGTTGGCCAAATGTGACCCCAAGAAAACAAGAAAGCATGAAAGCTGCCTAAAGAAAGGATAAGGAAAGGAAAGGGCAACAGAGTATCTGCATCGTAGCTCTAGAGGCCCCATGTACAGGAAATCAGAGACAGTAGCAAAAGTAAACATATTGACTAAGACCTTAATAAAAGCAGAAAATCTTTCTCCTATAAACAAATAAATGTTGGAGATGAAAGTAGAATTAAATACATCTTTTATTTTTCTAATTTTTTTCCTGTCATATGGAGAACTAACCATGAAGACACTAAACACTTAAAAGCAACTAGGTAAGAAGTGCTCTAAAATCAGACTAATAGTCTCAATCATTATGTTAAAAACAAGCACATTAATTACAAAAGCAAAACTATGATGCTCCTTATTCTATAGTCAGAGGTCTTTTATATAGCATATTTTGCATCCATTTGGGGATGAGTTTTTTTCCCCGTTTATTTTCCATTCCATTCATTAAAAATAATGATTGTCTTCCCTCTGTAAAAGTATAATAAACATCCAGCTTGTCTTTTAAAACACAGTTGTCGAACTTTAAAGGGCAAATATACAGGAGATTTATCCTAGAGGTCTTTAAAGCAGAGTCTGTTAGGAATAATGTCTTGTATCCAGGGAGCCATATAGAACCTTACGTGTAATATTTTATTTTTTAAAATAAGCTAGAAAGGATATTAAAAGTGTCTACTTGAAGTTGCACTGAAGCGCTTAACTCCTGGGAAACAGTGGTTTCACAGTGCATGCTACTAACTACACAAACACTTTTGAATTGGCAACCTGTGGTAAGAATAAACTATAAACTCCATAACAAGAAAACTTTGTTCCCCTTCTAACTGGAATATTTTCATCTTGAAAACACTGACAAAGGAACACAAAGAAACATGGAAAAGATGAAGCCTAGAAACCATCCTTTAGGGACAATGATGACAGGTTTAAGTTCTAGTTTTACAATGAAGAGTGTGTGTGTGTGTGTGTGTGTGTGTGTGTGTGTGTGTGTGCACGTGCGCACGCACACATGTATGCGCATATGAGAAACAGAAGAGTGGGGGAGAGAGCAAAGAGACAGAAAGAGGCAGGGACTGACCAAATGGTTGGTTATTTGGTTTGCAGGATTATCCTATTTCAGTAGATTTGTGGTCAGCTACATTTTCAACATAAAGTCAGCATGCCTAAATTAAACAATCCTGTCAATCAGAAGAAACTCCAGTGAGATGAAATACTGTGGAAGAAGCCCTAAGGGCCATGCAAGTCTAGAACTAGGCCGCGGTGTGTGCTGGCTAGACAGGACAGCAAGACTGGTACAGAAACAAACCAAAAGAAGACCCACAACAAGGCAGTACAGGATGGCGAAGCTAGTAGGCTGAATGATACAAAGACCTCAAAAGAGGAAAATTCAAATGAACTGTGACTTCTGAAGATTAAGAGAACATCACAGATTCACAGACCCAGAAAAGCACCTGGTGTCTGGCCCTCCAGCCTCCAACAAGAATCAAGAACTGTAATATGTCTCAAGACTGGGAGAAGTACCATACCTACTTCTAATTGTAAAATATAATAATATATATTTTAATCAAGACATATTTAGGTTTAATTTAATTAAATAATTTACCATGTTTTAACTGGAATGAAGACAGAATAGTTGTTAAGACAATGGGCTTAAGAAGAACGAATAGACAAACCTGACAAAAACAAGAAATGGGGAAAGGATTCCCTATTTAATAAATGGTGCTGGGAAAACTGGCTAGCCATATGTAGAAAGCTGAAACTGGATCCCTTCCTTACACCTTATACAAAAATTAATTCAAGATGGATTAAAGACTTAAATGTTAGACCTAAAACCATAAAAACCCCAGAAGAAAACCTAGGCAATACCATTCAGGACATAGGCATGGGCAAGGACTTCATGTCTAAAACACCAAAAGCAATGGCAACAAAAGCCAAAATTGACAAATGGGATCTAATTAAACTAAAGAGCTTCTGCACAGCAAAAGAAATCACCATCAGAGTGAACAGGCAACCTAAAGAATGGGAGAAAATTTTTGCAATCTGGTCATCTGACAAAGAGCTAATAACCAGAATCTACAATGAACTCAAACAAATTTACAAGAAAAAAACAACCCCATCAACAAGTAGGCGAAGGATATGAACAGACACTTCTTAAAAGAAGACATTTATGCAGCCAACAGACACGTGAAAAAATTCTCATCATCACTGGCCATCAGAGAAATGCAAATCAAAACCACAATGAGATACCATCTCACACCAGTTAGAATGATGATCATTAAAAAGTCAGAAAACAACAGGTGCTGGAGAGGATGTGGAGAAATAGGAACACTTTTACACTGTTGTTGGGACTGTAAGCTAGTTCAACCATTGTGGAAGTCAGCGTGGCAATTCCTCAAGGATCTAGAACTAGAAATACCATTTGACCCAGCCATCTCATTACTGGGTATATGCCCAAAGGATTATAAATCATGCTGGTATAAAGACACATGCACACGTATGTTTATTGTGGCACTATTCACAATAGCAAAGACTTGGAACCAGCCCAAATGTCCAAAAACGATAGACTGGATTAAGAAAATGTGGCACACATACACCATGGAATACTATGCAGCCATAAAAAATGATGAGTTCATGTCCTTTGTAGGGACATGGATGAAGCTGGAAACCATCATTCTCAGCAAACTATTGCAAGGACAAAAAATCAAACACTGCATGTTCTCACTCATAGGTGGGAATTGAACAATGAGAACACATGGACACAGGAAGGGGAACATCACACACCGGGGCCTGTTGTGGGGTGGGGGGAGGGGGGAGGGATAGCATTAAGAGATATACCTAATGTTAAACGACGAGTTAATGGGTACAGCACACCAACATGGCACATGTATACATATGTAACAAACCTGCACATTGTGCACATGTACCCTAAAACTTAAAAGTATAATTAAAAAAAGAAGAAGAAGAACGAATAGTATATAGTCTTTGCAGGTGGCCAGACTTGAACTCAAATCACATATCCACCACTAATCCAGGCACTTTGCAGCCTCCCATCAGCCATTTATGGCAATCCAGGGGTTCTGTCCTCATGCTTGTACTTCATGGTTGCGGACATCACAACCAGTCAAATGTAGGAAAGGGGAGTTGGCCTTCTTCTTTTATAAGTAAAATTTAAAATCAAACCACTTTGCTGGAAGAACTCCCAGAAGTCACCCACTTAACTCTAATTTGCCACAACTTGGAGACTGATCAACCCAAGCTGCAAGGAGAGTAGGGAAAATTTGGCAAAGGAGAATGGGATCATCCTAACTAATTTAAGTCAATGTTGCTTCACTCCCAAGGGCTGGATACCTATCCATCCTAAAGAAAACTGTGATTCTGTTAACAAGGAAGAAGGGCCGTTAAGTGGGCAATGATCAGTATCTGTCACAATACCTCAGATGAAACAAAAAATGTAATTGTAAGCACCTGAGGGTGAAAAAATGATTTCTAAATAACAGAGATTCTTTCACTTCACTAAAGACACTACAGAATGAAAAGTGAATAAAATATCCTCGATACCTAGTTTAGGGTGCAGTCTAAGAAAGTAGAAATGCTTCATCCTGGAACGAATGATTAACATTTCATAACCCAAAAGTTAATGCCTTCCCTCAAGCTCCACATTCAAAACTTTTTTCTGTATCCTGTGAAGTTTCTAAGGCAAAGCTATAATATAATCTAAGAATAACAATAACTATTGACTACTTTTGACAAAATAACTTGTTGAGCTTTCGTAATCTATAATAAAACTAAACAGCTCTAACATGAATCATGATATATTCTTTTAGTTGTCAAGATAAAGCAGAATCAAACTGATTAATTAGGCTGAAGCATTTATTCTTTTAATAATAAAATACTTTTCAGAGAGTAAGCTTATAATAGCAACAATACATGTTCAGAAGCTGAGAAAAACACCAATATGTATCTACATTCAAAGTCTTTCTCATCAGACACACTCGTATTTGTTCAGAGTATTTTGCATAGTAGGCAATATTGGTGCTTAATCATTTTACCTTTATGAGTTTAATGATTTCATGCACTAAATATACAAAAAGAGTAACAACTGGAAAGCAAAAATTTTTCATATCTTTAAAAATCTCCACAGAGCTCAGACTTATTTAGTGTAGCAAAAGGTTACTCTTGCACTTCAATCTAGGATTGAATGCACGCATTTGTAAACTTAGTATCATGCTATCAAGTTTTCATGCTACTGCTATTTTTCTAAAAGTATTCAAAAAAGTTACTTGGTAAAGAGTAGAGAAGTTATCATTGCTCAAATATAAGTTAAACTGGTGAGGCATGTCTTTGGGTTAAAGACTGATTAGATTAGTATAGTTAACTGCAAAGGCTAAATGGCATACCTTGAGAGATGACAGATACCATTGTTAGGCGGTGGAGGTTATGGCTATCGCAGAGTAAGGCTTTATATCACCATCTTTCAGATATCCACCTCCCAAATAACTTATCCTCAAATGCTGTGACACTTACCCTCAAATGCTTCAGGCTTCAAAGAGAGTAGGGAAGCCATATGCACAGAAGTGTTTGCATGCTATCACACACATATATTTGTGATACAATAATGTAATTCTGAAAAACTGCATAATCAAAATGAAATCAAACAACAGATATAGAAATGGCTCATTTTAATGTTCAAATCACTGTAGAAATTTATTATACTGAATGGCACTGTTAAATGAAAAAGTGCCATAAAGTCAACTGGATTACTTGACCTTAAGTAATATAATACAATTGGTGCTGCAAAAACACAATTAAATGAGATGTGAAAGCAACCATAAACAGTCATATTTTAACACAGCAATAGTCTTATCATTGCCTTTACAACTTTTATATCATCATGTTCATTGAAATTCCTCATACTATTAGTGAATCAACAATATTCACTTAGTGATATCGGAATATAAAACATTAAATCATGTAAAGAAGGATACACTTTAAATTCGAAAAAAATACAAAATTCTGAATACGCACTAAAACAGCATTTTACCTTTAAAATCCTAAGCCATGTAACTGGAATGCTCACTGCTATTCCATCTGACACTATGCATTCTCAGAGACGATACATAATTTTCATACAGAAAATCGTTACTCTCTGAATCCCTCAAGTTCCTACTAGGAACAGCAAGCTACATTTAAGTCACAAGCTGCTATGTCTCCTGTGGCCACTTTAGAAGCAGCAGATGGGTAGAGGTACTGGAGGCAAGATGGGCATTGGAGCTTCCAACATGCCCTTCCTCTAAGAACCTATCTGCTCTAACTCCATTCATTATCAGCCCAGAACTGTTCATTCCTGCCCAAACCAATGCAGTCCTACACACAGGCTTATCCCATTATTTAAAAAAGTATATAACACTTAAAGTTTTATATCATTTGTGTTAATAAACGGCAAGAACATCAGCTATGTTAACCACCATAGGATAGTCTTCCACGATTTAACCATCAGGAGAATACACAGGAATACATACAAATGGAGAATAAGGAGGAAGAGATGTTCAAGGGGATTCCATCCTACCTGTTCCCTCAGTAAAAATGTAATGAGTATTTACCTCCATCTTTTCAGTGTGTCCCATAAGACTCTTTTATTTTCTAAATTATTATTATTATTATTGTTATTATTATTAGGGATGGGGGTCTCACTCTATTGCCCAGGCTGGAGTGCAGTGGCTGGCTCACTGCAGCCTTGAACTCCCAGGCTCAAGCAATCCTCCCACCTCAGCCTCCTGAGTAACTGAGACCAGAGGCACATGCCACTGGCCCAGCTCATGAGACGCTTTCTAATAGGTCCTCCTAGTTCCTACTTCCTAACAAACCAGAATTCAGAATTGAGTTCTGTGCCCCTCAAATCTACTCACCCTTCAAGAATAAGTCAAAGGTTACCAACTCTACAAAGCCACTTCCAGTTTGTCACAATCCAAATCAACCTCTCCATCTTTCACCTCTCATTGCACTTGCCTATCTCTACCTCAACAGACTTTAAAGCCTTGGACGTATCCACCTTTCAACTCTGGTTCCTAGTACAGAGCAGATACAATGAACCAAACTAGAAGATCTACTGTTCTCTCAGGCCAAAAATTGTTACCCATACCCATACCCCTATACATAATGAAATCACAAGACAATGAGAAAACACATATGGTTGGTTCTAAATGAAGCTTCTTTCCTACTGACCAGGTGTCCTTAGAGGATGAGTATACTCCACTGCTCTGCTCTCTCTAAAGAAATATCTACTATAGTCATAATAACCAATTCCATAGTTGGAGAAATTCTCAAAGATACTGATGGAGAAGCAACATCCTCATAACAGGTACTTTTTAAAAAACGCTGAAAATGCATCCTGAGCTCTAATTACCTGTAATGCTCACTGATGGGAATGGTCTGAGAGAAATATAAAGCAGATGTCCGGGCTCTCCAATGCCATTTCTTTGCAGGAAGGGTATAAACGACACAGTCTCCTAACTCTTCTTGAAGAAGATCCACCAGCTGTTTATGGGAGCCTCCATAGAATGCTTCAATGATGAGGATACTCATTGGCCCATTCAAACCTTCAGATCCTAAATAACAACCAAAAAATGTATATTTTTTCCATTACATACATGTATAAAATTTTTAATAAAAATAAGTTCAAATTTCATACTCAGAAAATACAAATAATTTAGCAATGTGTTATTTTTCAAAATAGGCTTATCCCATTATTTAAATAAGTATATAACACTTAAAGTTTTATATCATTTGTGTTAATAAGAAGAAATAAAGGTGTCTTTATTTTTCTGATTTGTTTTCCTCATGTCATAAGATTGTCTCCACTATGACTCTTAGTTTTTTCTCCAACATCAGAAAGCTGAAAGCCCTCACCTGCTGTGATCACTCACTTCCTGGTTTGTTCGGCTGTAAGCCTAACTCAGTAATCTCAGAAACTACTTGACTTAGAGCTCTAGTCTTGGACAGTCACTGAACTCATCTTCTAATGACGACTTTCACTTCAAGAGTCCTTCATTTATAAGGCCCTTTCTGGTTCAGAAATTCTGTGATTCTGTAACTCTTGTATTACTCCATCTTTAAATTCATCAGGTATAACTGCCCCTAGTGAATACGTATTTAAAAGAAGGCATATCAACCAAATGCAAATCTCTATTTTCTAGTGTTAAAAACTTTAGGAAGCAATTTCTTGAGACACTACACATACTTTGATCACTTCCCCACACTTGTCAATGTATCACCCCAAAATGGAACACCAAAACAATGTGGTAAAGTTGTATGTGTGTGAACCAGTAAGGTTTCTACAACCTTTCTTTAGACAAGCAACCTATTAAGAGGGATAAAGTAGCAATAATGGGGTTACTAAAGACATGATAAAATTTCATCACAGAGAATTAGCTATCAAGCCATTTTTCATTTGAATATAATTTTTGTTAATGTGCTCAGTGAAATAAAAAGATATCTATGAACATAAAATCTCTAATATACATCTCAAATTATATGTTATTTCCTGTAAGACATAGGGGAAAAACATCATTCCATGCATAAATGCTATATTGCTTAAAAAATATTCCAGATGTTTGAATTTTCCTTTATGACTTAAGTAAATATCACTCATTAAATAGCATAATGCTTTTCTTAATAATGTTGTTCCACAAAATTATTAGTCTCAATGACTCAATGATGTTCTTCACTAATAAAACTACACTTTGTTCAAAGTAATGGCTACTTAAATTGCATTTCAAAGCAAAAAGGCTTCCTTTTGATGTCTAAATTTTCCAATGAGCATTTGGGAGGATGGGGGAATATAAATCTATATATTATGTGGGCGGGGGGGGGCTGTGGGGGACTGTGTGTGTATATTTCATTTATATGCAAAATAAGAATCAGTGGTCGTCCTCAGATGGAAAAGGCATGAATCCTAGGATCAAGGACATACATGTTTGAACCTCAGCTCTGTCACTTCCAAGCTGTATGACCTTGGACAAGTTACCTAATTTTGTAGGACTTAGTCTCATCATCTCCAAAATAGAGACAACAGTACTAACCTCAGACATGTGTTAAGATAAAATTAGAAAATGCATGTGAAGCACAGTAGACTACAAATAGCAAGAAGGTATTTAGCCCATCCCACCATTAGTATAAATCACTCTACTTAAGTAGAAAGGATCGCTTCAAATTTTCTACCATTTTAAGTTCAGTAATTTTCAATCATGATCCCCTACCCACCAGGAATAGATGAGGAAAGTGGATATACATATGTGTTTGAAATTGCAGTGGATGTTTACCCATTCCTTGTCAGTAGCTTGCATTTTAAACATTAATTTGAGAGCCCTGCAGGTTTTGTGAGTAAGAGGTAAGTTCAGAGTCCCAGCCATGCAGAGTTCATGGTCCACTGGAGACTTCTGCTCTAATAAGGTAGTGTTCAATAAGTTCACAGACACCCTCTAGGTTCAACAAAGTGGTAGCCATTAATCCTTCAAATGATGGAAATTGCTAGAAAGTAACTGAAAGAACAATAAAAGGCAATTTTGAAAATTATACCAAGGGTTTCAAGACAGAATATAAGCAGTTTAACATTAATTTGCTTACTTGATCACATCGTAGATATCTACCATCTTGCTTTATTTCCTCTGACTTACTCAGAGGAAATGCTAAGGTGTATTAAATATATGCCCTGTATGTACTTAAAAGGTCTCTAAAAGGCTCTTGTAAAAATGACCTATTTCCCCAAGTGATGAAATGTGATATAAACCACTCTAAAGAATATCTCACTCATCTAACCTCAAAGAAAGCAATATAAATATTGGAAAAGAAAACTGCTTTCTGATTCTTCATCATCTTGTCCTTTTCCATGATTAATCTAAAGTACATATCATGATGTTTCTTATGGGTCTGGTTCACGAGTTATCTGCAAATTATCAGCCACTATGGAGGCAGTACATGTAGATGCTCCTATAGATTCAAGACGCTCAGTAGGCAGAACTGAACACTAAGCATGTGGGAGGCTGAAAAACAGAAAAGGGGAAAAAAAGATTATAGCTATAGTAGATTTCCACCCCTCTGACAGCTCAGTAAGAAGAGTGAAATGTACAGGTTTGAACTAGCATTTACGTGAGCATTTTTTCTGCTGGCCAATGGGTGTGCCTGCATTTGGGGTGTTTTTCTAGGGAAAATAACTATGTCCTACCATCTCTGAAAACTATACTTAGTGGCTTTGATTCACGGAAATTTGTTCTGCTTGTTTTGTGGAGACAGACATATCCTGGCAGTTCCCCCACTTACTTCTATTGCAACTTTTGCAGCAAGATGAAAATGCGTTCTTCCCTATGGTCTTCTTGAAGCACAATCTGGAAGAAAGATGATTCCTATTAGATACAAGTAAATGGGGAGAAGCTGGTATTTAAATATATGATTCAAACCAAATGGCATATAGCACATTAAAGAACAGTTCAAATACTTTGGCTGAGCTTGAGTTTTGTTTTAGAAAACTGCTTGAAACAAATAAGCATGAGGTTGAAAAAAGAAAAAGAAAAAAAAAACCACTTCACTGCTATGGTGGAATTTGCTAAAATATAAAGGGAATATACTAGTTGCCCATTTCAGCAATAGTCAAAGAAAGCTACAAGTGGTCACCTTGATACTACAGATGTTCAGAAGAAGCATGTAGGGTGAATACAGACATTTTTGCACCACTAGCAAAGGCTAATAAGGAGTGAGTACTTGGAAGCAGCAGTAATAGGGCCTCACTGTTGAAAGTGCTAACTCCAAACCAAGGACAGGGTTTCCTTTGTAGAAGGAGGCTGTGGTCAAGTGTTTGCTAGAAGATGGCAGAGAGCCAAATGTCTCCTATTGGTGCCTGAGTTTATGAACCTCTTAAAGCATTATCACAAGTACTACCAGAAACCTTAAATTATGAAACATTTAAACTGATCACGAATACCAGAATTAGGCTGGGTACGGTGGCTCACGCCTGTAATCCCAGCACGCTGGGAGGTTGAGGTAGGTGGATCACCTGAGGTCAGGAGTTCGAAACCAGATTGGCCAACACGGTGAAAGCCTGTCTCTATGAAAAATACAAAATTAGCCAGGCATGGTGAGGCATGCCCGTAATCCCAGCTACTTGGGAGGCTGAAGCAGGAGAATTGCTTGAACCTGGGAGGCAGAGGTTGCAGTGAGCCGAGATGACACCATTGCACTCCAGCCTGAGCAACAAGAGCAAAACTCCATCTCAAAACAACAACAAGAACAACAAAAACAACAACGAAAGAATACCCGAATTAGGGATGTGGCACTTTAAAAGGAAGAAACAACAAAAAACTTAGTTTGGAAAACAAATACCAAACAGAAAACCCATGTCCTTTCTGCATGGCGCTCAGAATAGTATTATATGACATTAAGAAAAGAGTAAATGGCCACTCCATGCTTGCTCCCTGAAAGAGCATATAAAATATTTCAGATAAATTTTAATCAATTTTTAAGTTTTTCTGCTTAAACAAGCTTCAGTTAAAGAAAAACTCACTTCTTCAGCACAATTTATTCCCCAATGACACCAGATGAATGAAAACCTACTATACTATTAAAGCTTTTTGAAAGTTTAATTCATTATCAATACTATGATTTAATGATACATGGTTAAATGCTAAACATCAAATTTGGCAATATAAAATAAGTCAAAGTGATAGCTGTGACATAGAAATTTCATACCACTTCAAATTCTATTTAAGATCACCAGAAGTCAAAATGATCTATTTAAAAATTGTCTACCTTTTCAAAAATGCATATTCATAATCGAAAGGGGATACAATGTGAAAATATCAATAGTATTTCATACAAACATTTTGACCAAAATGAAAAATCACCATTAGCATCATCCCAATTAAAAACTAATAATGCATTGATAAGATCACAGAGAACAAAAGTAGCCTGAAACCAACGCTATGAATATTTTTAAATTTTTATTAAAACTTTTTGTCACTGTACCTGCAATTATTTTAGACTTGACCCAATTTCTTTATTCCCTAAGCCATGATCATTTTCAAGGTGAACTACATTTTTGTCTACCTCCTTTAGCATTTAGAACTGCTGTGGTAGTTGAAATGTTTTTAACAGTATAGATATTAAAAATCTGCAATATGCCAGTGATTTACTGAAAAGTATATGCTAAATATTAAGTATATCATGTCAATTAAAAAAATAAATTTTAGTCACACTGAAACCTATAATTAGCTTTCATATATGACGTCAATTTAGTTACCTATAATATTCAAATCATTTTCCAACCAAACACCCAGTAATAATTTTAAATCAGAGGAATTGTTGTATTAATATATTCCATAGACACCTTTCTGTTATTAGTTAGTTGTAGGAAGGTATAGTTTCAGTGATGATGGTTTTAACGGTTTTGATCCCACACACATGAGAAATTGATTCCACAGGCTAATCCACATATGGCTTGATACCTTAAAACTTCAATCAATTGTTGAAAATATAGTTTTGATTTACCTATATGCAATATTTGGAAACTTAAGCTTGTTAAAGCAAAAAACAATGGGCTTAAACACTAAATGGTTTACTTTGGGGAAAGTGAAACTTGAGCGGTATTTCTCAGTAGGTCATCACAAGTTTACCTGGTATTTTCTTACTGACCCTTTCTCTTCCTTCCCTTCTGCACCTCCACCCACCAACACACCCAGGTTCTATATAAAAAGCAACCAACAACCCAGCAGAGTAAAATAGGGCAGGGGTGAGAAAAGTTAGTATTACCTTCCAGCCCACTCACTTATTTTAATGATTCATCACGGAAACCCCAAGTTGTTAAAATATACCTGAAATCTCATTAAATAGTAAAAATAAGCATGAAAAGATCTCTGCTTTAAAACATGTGACCAGTGATTCCCCTAACAGAATCTATTAAGAGTGTGAAGTAAAAATACATTTTGCTAAACAACTTTCCTCAAAGTAATGTACTACAATCAATTATCATATGGGAAAAAAGAGACAAGATAAATATATTCTACAAAAAAGTTATTTTTTTAAATTCTTCTATAAAAATCAGGCATAGCAAATTCATCTTAACCTCTAAAACCTGAATATAACCTCTAAAAACTGAAATATAATCTGGTATCAAATGCAAAGTAATAATTTTGCAGTCATAAAACTCTATGCACTGAAAATATTCTACATAAATTTAAACAAAGTTTGGCTAATAGAAATGAATCTGCTTCCGGAGCATTAGTCTGAACTGCAGATAACTAACACTTGATGGATACTGATCATTATTCCATTATTTGGTTAGGAGACATACAGTCTAATATTTATGTTGTAGTTGTGTACTACCATATGTACTTAAATAGCAACATTTCGCTTTAATTCTGGGTTCAAACTGACAAAGATGTGGTAAGCTAATAATGTATACCCCCCTCAATGCCATGGATATGCTAATCTCTTCCTCTGATTTTTGTGTCTTGTTGTAGAGACTAAGAACTGAGAATTCATGCATCGAAACCAAGATTTGGTAGGAAAACTCATACGCCATACTTTCTGTGAGAAAATTTAAAGCTATTTTCAAATGTGCTTTTCCAATTATATGAATTGCAATGATCTTTTAAATATATGCTCTTTGCAAAGTTAGCATCTTATATGTATTTGTGATAATTTAATTTTCCCTAAAAAACATTTCTTTTTTTGTTGGTTTGGAATTCAACTTTCTGCTTAAAAGTATCAGTCATGGCTGGGTGCACTGGCTCATGCCTGTAATCCTAGCACTTTGGGAGGCTGAGGTAGGAGAACTGCTTGAACCAAGGAGTTTGAAACCAGCCTGGGCTGTTGTGAGGCTCCATCTCTACAAAAAATTTTAAAAATTAGCTGAGTGTGGTAGTGTGTGCCTATAATGCTAGCTTCTCCAGAGGCTAAGGCAAGAGAATCACTTGAGCCCAGGAGTTTGAAGTTACAGTGAGCCATGATTGTGCTACTGTATTCCAGCCTGAGTGACAGAGTGAGGTCCTGTCTTTATTTTTTAAAAAAAAAAAAATATATATATATACACACACACACACACACACACACATATATATATATACACACACACACACATATATTAGTAACTTATTCCAGGACTTGAATTAGTAAAGTGTCTTGGTTAAAACTCCACAAGCATCAAATGCAAACTCAGCAAATAGTTACTGAGTACTTAGCATGTACTAAGCACGTCATGTACTTGTTTTCAAATATGCACAATTTCCACAAATAACTGGATAAGTATATATTAAAAGTTCAATATATTATTGTGAGGTTATATTCCACATTATATTAAAAAATTACAAGATTTTTCTTTCTGTGAGAAGCTGAGTGGTTTAATTCCACTGACAAAATATTAACCCTCTTTCAATTTTTTAATGCTATTAATTCCATGAATGATTTCAAACTATAAAAGCAGCAATGAATTCGTTCTACTGAATACTACAAATATTTTTAATTTGCCAACATTCACAAATGTGGCAGCATATTTATGAATCAATAGAAAGTTTTGCACTGGAATATCATCTCACCACTCATTTAAAGTATCGCATTGCCCTTTTAAGTAGGTCTCCATGCTACCATACAATCTTGTTCCCACCACACCATTCTCCTTAAGCTAATCACAAATAATCTTTCCAAAATGGAAATGTGACCATAAAATGACATGCTCAAAAACCTTAAATCACCTAAGGGTAAAATCCAAGGCCCAACACATGGCAATTAAGACTCATTTCCTGGCCCCTTCCTTTCTCTTCACTACAGCCACATTTGGCCTTCTCCCACTTCAATTCCTTTTCCCCAACTTCCCCAGACTCTACTTGGTAGCAATACCAAACACCCACACTCCCAGAGCTGTTTTAGACTCTTATAACTTCACACATTTATCTCACCTCCATCAGCCTTCTCTCTCTGTTCAACTAATGAACTTTTGTTAAAATTTCTGCTCATGAATCACCATTTCTATGAAGCCTTTCCCTGAACTCCTCCTAAATATGACTTCCTTTATACTCTGTATAGTAGAATTATACTTGTTTCACTGTAGTCACACGTTCTGCTTCTGCATGCAGCTGTGAAAATCTGAAAACTGGGAGCTATGCTATTATTTTCCTGAAAGTTGTCTCAGGACCTGACACACAGCAGACAAACTAGGTTTTTCTGGAGCTGAAGTGAAAATCAGGGGGACACAGGAAGTTGCTTTCTTCTGCCTTGAAAGTAACACTGGTTTCACTTAACACAGGTTCTCAGCAACAAGTGTCAGACAGCACTGTACTTGATACTAATGATTTCCTATTATTCCTGAAGTCTAAACTAAATCAAGCAGCAAGTATATCTGGACACATTTTATTATGTTCTCTTTCAAATACTGATTCTTTTTTATTGTTGACAGAAGCAGAATTTATGGGAAATAATAATTTTTTCCATATAGATATGTGTTTATTTTAACCTACCAATACAAGAGAAGTAACACCGATTAAAGAGATGGGAGAAACAGAATAAGCAATTGAATTCTAGGCCAAAGTGCATTTAATGGCCTAAGAGAATATTTGTAAATTTCATAAATTTTGAAAATCATCTGCAGTTTCTTATTCTGTTTGATCTATTATCATCCTAGTTTAATTTGAGAAGTGGAAGTAGGATAAGAAGCCAATTCCCTCACCATCAATCTAGAGAGCCCATTCCACATTTAGTAATTAGGCTTTTATTTAACAGAGAAGAAAAAAAGACATTTTTAAATACTTTCTGCCAACAATTATTCTTTTTATAAAAGTTTGACAAGATGAATAATGTATTTCCTTCTCAAAGATGGCTTTTCTCCAGAAGTCTTCCACCTTCTTGAAATGGGCTGTAAACCAGCTCAGTGGGAGAAAACTGGGCTCCCTGACCCATTCGGATACGAATGCCCAAGCAGAGAAGTCAAGGTGTGTTCAGAATAATAGGTGCAAGGAGTGCTGATACCATTGTTGAACCACTTTTCTTTTACAGAATACAAAATATAAAGAATATCGGCATCATAGAGTAAGTGACAGCAAGACTAAAATCCAGGTCTTCCAACTCCATATTCACATGGCATCCCATTATACTTCACTGCAGGCACAGGATACAATATAAGTTAAAAAAAACCCTCCATTTTCTAGTCTTTGAGTTTTAGGATTAAATAAAAATGTTTAATAATTATTAATATTTAAATGATATATATATAACACGGTATATGTTTTATATGCTTGTGGAATATAAATGTCACTATAAATTAATATATTAATTGCATACAATATTTAATAATGCCTCCTCACTTGTAAAACCAAGACATCAATAATATAAGTAACTGAATATCATATAGTGAAATACTTCAATTTTTTTGTTAGAATCTCTTGGGATTCCTCCCAGAGTCCAACATAATCATAACTCCTCTGAAGATATAACCCTTATTCTTTACCCCTCAGCACTGGACAGTCACCTTTTTGATAGAATAATAGGTCTTAAGAACTAGGACTGGAGGGGGAAAAAAAAACAATACTGAAGATTCACATGCCAATAAAGGTTTGGAGTAGAAGGTGAAGAAGTCAGCCACGTAGCCGCATTCAGTCTAGCTCAAAAATTTACTACTGTTACCATCAAGCAAAGTCAAGGTTCTCTTGACAAAACAATCTGTAGTATTTCTGTGTACTTATCACACGTAGGATATATTTATACAAGTAATTATTTAATGTCAATATCTCCACTGGACATTAAGTTCCACGGAGACACTTGACTAGGTCTGTTTTGCTTACCATTGTTATCTCTAGCACTCAGCAAACAGAAAGTGTTCAATAAATGTGTGTTGAGTCAATGAACCGTAAAACCCTTTAGCAATGGCCGTGACGATTTCTTCCTAATTCATTCAAGAGTTGTACTATTATCAGACATAAAAAATTACTTCTTCCTATCACTCATTACTATTTACTCTCATAGGCAGAATTTTATGTACAGATTGTATTACCATGTAAATATAATAGGTGGCATCTAATTCTATTTAAAATTTCACCCCTCAATCTAAGGAAAATTGTCTGCCCTGCTGAGGGATTTAGAAACTATGTTCCATGCCATGGCAAAGCATCTTCCCCAACCTGACTGGAGTCTACAAGAATGTTTAATTCAAAAATAATCATGTCTATGACCTGGAAGGAGTCCACTGGCTTAATCATTACACTGGCATTTTTTATTGGACAGAAACATTATCTTGCTACCCTACACTGGCTTCTATGCCAACATTTAACTCAGACTGAGTTTGTGCAGGGTAATTATAAATATACACACCAAATGAGTTTAAAATAAGATGACTAACATATTCTTAACTATACTGATTAAGAATACTCAAACATGTTTTAATAACTTAATCCATATTAACTACAAAAGTTATTGAGAAGTTTCCCTCCCCAAGTGGGAGACACATTTTCAGTTAATTTTGAAACAGAAATAGCAGTGTTACTCTAACATACAAATATTCTCAACGTCCTATTTGAAGTACAGTAACACAAGCAAACATGGGTGGCATTCCCTTGATGAGATGAAATAAATGTCACTGAGTATAAGGTACTGGATTTAGACTGGATTTAGTCACTTCTAATGAAAAATGAAAAGGCCATAATCTCACAATTCAATTTGATTTATCTATGAGGGAAAGTATCTAAAAAAAAAAAAAAAAAAAAAAGCAAAATCCTAGCATCTCAGGAGGTGAAAGAATATCAGGTAAACATTTGGGAGAAGAAAGAGGAATTTCCATAAGAGACTGAAGAACTAGAAATAGATATCCTTAAATGGATCAACCTTAGACACATTTGATGTTTTTAATATTCATTTTATATCAGTGAAAAATCACTTTGCAGTAACAGACCTTTTTTTTAATTCTTCTTCTTCTTTTGAGATGGAGTTTCACTCTTGTTGCCCAGGCTGGAGTGCAATGGCACCATCTCGGCTCACTGCAACCTCCACCTACTAGGTTCAAGTGATTCTGCTGCCTCACCCTCCCAAGTAGCTGGGATTGCAGGCACGCACCACCATGCTTGGCTAATTTTTGTGTTTTTAGTAGAGACGGGATTTCACCATGTTGGCCAGGCTGGTCTCGAACTCCTGACCTCAGGTGATCCACCCATCTCGGCCTCCCAAAGTGCTGGGATTACAGGCGTAAGCCACTGTGCCCGGCCTACAGTAACAGACTTTTTAAATAGTGTTAGGAAGTGTGAGGTGAAGCCAGTATTAGAAACTGTCCTTTAACATCCAAATCAACAAAACCATGTTTTAAAGCTGTATCAGACCAGGCACAATGGCTCATGCCTGTAATCCCAGCACTTTGGGAGGCCAAGGTAGGCGGATTGCTTGAGTCCAGGAGTTTGAGAGCAGCCTGGGCAACATAGCAAAACCCCCGTCTCTACAAAAATACAAATAATTAGCTGGGTGTGGTGGCACATGCCTGTTGTCCCAGCTACTTGGAAGGCTGAGGTAGGAGGATCTCTTGAGCCTGGGAGGTGGAGGTTGCAGTGAGCCGAAATCATGCCACTGCACTCCAGCCTGGGTGACAGAGTGAGACCCTGTCTCAGAAAAAATAAATTTACAATAAAATAAAAGCTGCATCAGTTAACATATTTATTGATACTGCTCTCATCTCCAACATTCTACATGAATACAGATAGGTATTCAAAGTATTCAGTAAAAGTACATTTTCTTCTATTTATTTTTTGAAGGAGTTCTTTTTCTAGTCACTATATATATTTTTAATAATCTTCTGATTTGCTAATAGTTTAAGACACGTGCTGACAGTTTACAAAGGCAACACCAGAAAAACTGGACAGAGTCTAGAGATCTTTAATGCTAAAGTTTAAAAAGCTCAGAAACCCAGTTTAGACCAGGGCTGAGTAAATCTGGGACTAATAGATGTGGTAATGAGAGCTGTATCACTATTTTTAAATATCACAAGAGGCATATTATTAGCTACCCACTATTATAAGAAAAAGAGTCAGTCTGTTAATAATAGATTGGGATTTTTTTTTAATCCTGAAGATATTTAGGATTGAAACTATTAAATAAAGAAAAGGTATACATAGACAACTGTGTATAATTTCTAGAAGGTCTACTATTGTCCAAAGTTTCTGCAGAGGAAGCACGGGCTTTCCCATATCAACAGCTTGAAGTTTCCTGACTGGAACAAGCACTGTGACTTTTATCTATTTAGTGGCCTTGCCTATCTCTTTATCAACTGGTTTTTCAAGGAGACATTCCAATGATACAAATATTTTGTCTAATGAAGCAGAGACCCTATAGCCAGAGTATTCCTTACAAACTACCCAAAGCTGCACACTGCATCCTCACCATCTCTTAAAGTAATTTCACACTTTGCAAACAGTGTTTTCAAACAGAGTAAAGTTACTTAGGAGTTAGTTAATTCCCCCTTGCATCTCTCTCCAGCACATATATACACCATATATGGGATCATTAGTCTGTCTACTGGATTAATCAGCATTCACAGTTAACAAACAGCCTGAATTATTTTAGAGAGAATTTATAACTCAAACTACTAAAACTAGGCATATAATATCCTCTATTTTCTATAATAGTTGTTGAATTGATCTTGATAGAATTGAAGTATCCTATTATCCTCTTGCATTACCCTTGTTCAATGTACCCACCTTGTTTCCAAACTTCACTTGCAAGAATTAAATTTAAAATATCAGATAAACCACATCATATTTTTTGGAGTAAATGCCTGCTGGGGTACAATGTGTTACCTCTCCCAGGAGTACTTGTATGTTACAAGAGAACAACAGGTGATAGTGAAATTTCAACCATCTGTACAGTAGATGCAAAGAATAGTTTGTGAATTAAAAAAGGACTGTTCTCATGTCTCCAAAATGTAGACTGAAAGCTGCTACCCAATCGACTAATACATATGGTTAGCTTTGCTTTAAAGTATTAGAATATTCTATCACTTTTCATCATAATACAAAAAGCTTGAAAACTATGCATATCTTTTGATTCAGCAATACCACTTTTAAGGATTAACCCTGGAAGTTACCAAAAATCTTTACTGCAGTCTTTCCCCCAATTAAAAACAATCAAAATATCCTACAAAAAGGGATCTCATGATTAAATGATTAATGATCAAAAAATATAATGAATATATATTGCCATGGGAAAATGTTTACACTATTGCATGACTGCATGAAATGAATATATAAAAACATATTATGAAATGAATATATCATAATACGAGAGAAAGAGTACATGCACACACGCAAACATAAATGATCATTTGAGGTAAAACTGGGAATCATTTTGTTTTCCTCTTTGTGCTTCATTTTATTCTTCAAGTTATCTTCATTGAATATGTTTCAACTTCAATTAAAAGAAGCTACAACATTTTTCTTAACTTTAGGGAAGGAGGCCAAATTGTTTGATATAACAAACTACTTCCCAATTACTGAAGGCGTCCTCCCTTCCAGGAGCTTGCAAGTGTTTTTCAAATTATTATAACTACTATTGCTATAAGGAAATTCATTTAAAAACTAATCGACAAGGGTTAAAACTAATAGTGCTATAGCGATTCAAAACAGCATCATTTAGTTTGCAAATACTGCTTGTTTAAGTAATATATGAACTAAAAGTAATTCTCAATCTTAAAATGTACTTGTTTATTAAATAGTTGTAAACTGATCAAAGTCTCTACTTACATATAAGGAATCTGAGGCTGTACTTTGACAGTATGTTAGAAACTAAAATAATTATTTTGGTACTTACAGTTTTGAAATGGAACATGAAGAAGTAAAATATAAACTCAAAGTTTTTTGTTTTTTTTTTGAGACGGAGTCTTGCTCTGTCACCCAGGCTGGAGTGCAGTGGCGTGATCTCGGCTCACTGCAAACTCCGCCTCCCGGGTTTACACCATTCTCCTGCCTCAGCCTCCCAAGTAGCTGGGACAACAGGCGCCCGCCACCACGCCCGGCTAATTTTTTGTATTTTTAGTAGAGACGAGGTTTCACCACGTCAGCCAGGATGGTCTCGATCTCCTGACCTCATGGTCCGCCTGCCTCGGCCTCCCAAAGTGCTGGGATTACAGGCATGAGCCACCACGCCCAACCTAAACTCAAAGTTTTAAACTTCAAGTAAAATGCCAAAATGTTATGCTTTGATAATTAGGTATGGGTCTTGAAATAAGGGGAAATATTTAATTAAGGTGAAGGAAATTGAAAAGGACTTCTAGTTGCACACTTAATTTCTGAAGTGTCTTGTATTAAGAAAGCTGGAGGCTGGGCGTGGTGGCTCACACCTGTAATCCCAGCACTTTGAGAGGCCGAGGCGGGCGGATCACAAGGTCAGGAGATCAAGACCATCTTGGCTAACACGGTGAAATCCCGTCCCTACTAAAAATACAAAAAAAATTAGCCAGGCATGGTGGCAGGCACCTGTAGTCCCAGCTGCTCGGGAGGCTGAGGCAGGAGAATGGAGTGAACCCAGGAGGCAGAGCTTGCAGTGAGCTGAGATGGCGCCACTGCATTCCAGCCTAGGCGACAGAGCGAGACTCTGTCACAGAAAAAAGAAAAGAAAGCTGGAAAATGTTATTGTATAATCATCCATATGTATTGCACATGTTAAAAAACGGAGCGAGGACTGATTGGATAGTCAACTAAAAGAGAGAGAGATTTGCATTTTAAAAGACTTCTCATAACCACTCAGATTTGTCCTATATTTATATACACGTAATATGTGAATGGAAAATCAATAAATATTAACCAATGGCAACTCAGACTTAGTAGAGAAATATTTTTAAAGGGAATCTCCAAGCTCTAGTACTTTTTACAATCTAAACAACATGTTTCATTTTCAAATAATATGAAATCACTCTGTTCCTGGAATTGTTTTCCAACACAACCATTTCATCACATTTCATTTTTAAACCACCCATTCCAAAAAACCTAACTTACAAATCTAGCAAGAAATCAAACTACTAAAAGTATACAAATAATTAAGAAGTTATTTCTAGAAAACAAAAAAAAACTAATAAAATATGAAATATATAAATACAAAAACTAGACACAATCTTATTTTATCTATTTAGATGGGTATGAAGACTATGCTTATCGACATATAATTTCCCATATTTTAAAATAAGCACAAACTTGATATGAAAAAGAAATCCTCCTCTTAGGAAAGCACCATGTGGCATTTTTTAACTTTACTACCACTTTGTTGACTCTTTGTCCCAGAGCAGATCACCTCCAACATTAGTACTCTGACCTTCTAGAAAACTGACAGATAAAGTTTATAGTGAGAAAAAATGAGCTTTTATGGGTTTCCAAAAGGGAATTCTTATGACACTAAAAGCCATATAACAATATTGATTTGATAACCAACTTTTTTACTGCCCAATTATAGACTTAAGATTTCTAGAAAAATATCCAAGTGAAACTTGACATAAAATACAGTAAAAAATAGTCTTGAGCTCATGACAGTCTGGAATCTCTTTACAAACTTTAAATATACATATAAAACGATTTTTAAAATCAGGTCTTCTTTAAAGTGTTGAGAATCCCAAGATTTACCTTTCACCTTGGGCCTGACTGACCCTCCTCCTGATACTTTTGTCAAAAATCAATTCAGTTATAGCTTGTACCTTTCTGAGCAAATAATTTCCAGGCCTGTTTCTAGTTTCCTTCCATCCTAAAGGCAAATGTACAACGTACAGCAACAAGGATTATTTTCTTGTAAAACCATCTTCAAAAATCAATTAGAATACTCAAAATATTCTATTTTCACAAATGAAAATAAGTTGCTTACTGGAATGACAGTCTTCCATTTCACTGCCTTAAAAATTAAGCTGGCATGGATAATAAAAGTGTTTTCTGACTGGATATGCTTGGCATTCAAATGTTTTTAAAACAAATACTAATCCTTAATTAGATTTCACAGGCACAAGCTATAGAAAATAGAATTCTTTTTTATTTTCTGAGAGAAATATTAATGATTTGATATCATAAAAGTTATAACAACAATGCCATGGCTTGGATAAACTTATAAACAAACCTGTACGTGAATGTTTTGTATCCTTTTCAGCCTAATCTCTACCATTCATTCATTCAACAAATACTTATTGTGCCTACTAAGTGTCTGCTCATCATTGTTCCGCATGCTTGGGGATAAATTAGGTAACAAAGCAAATGGGACTCTTATCACAAACAATTTCTTTCTAATTGGAGTAAAAAGACCAGCATCAAATTAAATGTATGTCAGATGAGGGCACCTATAAAGAAAAATAACACATGGTAACAGAGGATAGGAGCTACTGAGGGCTGGTGTGAGGAGGTTATTTTATACAGGGTTGTGAGGAAACACCTTGCTGATAATGAGATGACATCTAAACAGAAATCAGAAGAAGGGGCGAGGGGATTGGGGAGTATGTAGATCTGGATCTAAGCAACAGGCACAGCAAGACCCTGATAAGACACATGCTTGGTATGTGCAAAAAGTAGGAAGCTCTGTGCGACCACAAAACATAAACAAATTTGCTTTATTCAACAAGCATTTATTAATTATTACATTCTAAAAATTAAAGTAACTGTTTTGTGATATTATCATGACCCAAATATAGTCTCGGGTCTCAGGCCTGGATATAACTTTAATACAGAATGATAAATGTAGAACATTTGAGCAGGGTCTCAAAGAGGGACCAATAGCAAGTTATACGAATAGTTCAAGAAGGTGAACCAAGAGCCCAGGAAATACAGAGTTGAGGAAATGTGGCAGACATCATTAGCTCACATAACTATTCAAATTCTCCTTTTGCTTCCTTCTAGAATTCAAGCTAAAATATTTGCAATATTTGATCTCCCAGGTGCAGCAAGTGGGAGCATGTTCCACAGACCACCAAAATGGTATAGGTAGAAGGAAGACTCAAAATTGGAAAGCACCTTCTACTGGGAGCCAGTACACTGCTGCACACCTCTAAGCAAATCAACAGGCCACAGGGCATCTGACCCACCCCAGGCCTCTGGTATCAGACCTTCTTTCCAAGCTCTGCTGCCTCCAGCCTCCCTTATCATCTTCAACATGAGCTATTCATCAGCCTTCTAACTCATCTCCCTACCTATAGCTACATTTAACATCTTCCATTCTTCCTCTGAAATTTATAGATATCTTGATGTCACTTTTCCACTCAAAAACCTATACTTTTTCTAAGAAATAAAGAAAATTATTTAACAAGAAATAAGACCCCTTACAATTTGGTTCCAAGCTCCATTCTAGCCTCAATTTCTGTCACTCCCACAGACACACTATTACTCGAAATACTAAAACCATTCTATTTTATCAAACACTCCATACACATTCCTACCTGCAAATACTGCTCCTGCTGTTTCTCCTCTCTGAAACCTTTTGCCTTCATGACCTGTCAAATTCCTACATATAGACATATAGTTCAAGACTCTATTCAAATTTCATCTCATCCGTGAAGACTTAGTCAATTACTCACCCATATTCAGCTAGTCGGAAGTAATTACGCTTTCCTCTGTAGTGCCCTAAATTTTGCTTTTACCCCATTTACAGCAGTCACCACAATCCCTCTTATACTATAGTTATACAGTATATGTGTGTGTGTGTCTCCCAATCAGATCTCAATTCCTTGGCAGCAAAGTTTATGTACAATTCATGTTTGTAACTACTCATAACCCAGCAAAGTGCTTTGTACACAATATTCAGTTAATGTATTCTGAATTCTCATCAATAGGCTATAATTAGATCACTATCTTATGAGGAATAAAACAAAAGAGGTATTCCTGAATTTGAAAATTACAGTGTCATCACAAAATGAATTGTTCAGGTATTACTATGGTATTCAGATCTTCAAATAAATCCTAAATCATGGTCAATATCATTGAATAGAAAGATAAAGACAGTAAAAAATAAAGTGTGAGTGTTTATTGGACAGCATGAAATACAGAGGAATGGAGAAATGCAAAGCATAAAGCTACCCATGTTAGAAGCATTATCAAGGGATACTTACAATTTATTTAACAAACATTTATCAAGTGCATACTGTGAGCCAGATACTATACTGATCACTGAGAATAAAGGTAAAAATAATGAGGGAGGGCTAATATTTTACATGCACTTTTTTAAGTGCAAAGTGTTGACCTTCATTACTTCCAAAAGTATGACCAAAAGGTCTGCTTAAGGGCCAAATAAAACTACCAATACCCAATTCTGAGTTCAAATTTAGGAAATTATTTTGCCTACATTGTGATTATGTAAGAACCCTTCTCCTAGTACTGCTTTTGAATATTAAAAGGGCTTCCTTTATTCTTAGTGACTATAAACTGCTCAGATAGAAAATTTGAGTTCCAGACACTTGAATACATTCCCTGCTTTGAATTAAGTTCTATCCATGCACAGACTGTTTTAGTAATTAAGGTACAAACAACCCTGCCATCATCAATGAAAAGAGAGGAATTTATTAAAATAGGGTTATATAGGGGATGTTGTATGGGAGATAGTAGACAGTTGTTCATTTTGTCCTCTGAGGTTAAAATAACAGAAACTGAATGGAAATACAATAAAGAGAATTTAACTTAGACACTGGAGGAGTTGTAAGATACTGATTCCTACCAAGTCTGAGCCATTCCTTCTGCAGATTTTAAATGAAGAGGTAGTCTCCATCCTTCTAAGACAGTCAAGGGCAAAACAAGCAGATGTAAAGATGACCTCTTAAGATTTCTTTTGGACATGAAATTCTATAGTACATAATTGTTTGCTTGTGTATTAAAAAGTATAAAGCTGCCCGTCTAAGAATTTAAAAACATATATACTCAAATGTCAACTAATGCAAAATCTGCTTTAATATGTCTTTAGCCATATGACGCTTCCAAGGACCTGTAAATCAGCATCAGCAATATAAATTATCAAATGACCTGTTTGCCTTTTGAATAAATAAATTCCGATTGCCTATTTCTTTAAAAACTGAGATCTTAACATATAAGTACTACAAAATATCTTTGTTTAAACAATAGTCTATGCATAGAGTTAAAAGCAATCACATTTCTTATTTACTCATGGAATACCCAGCCCCCAACAAACATTGGTACTAAACCATTTTGAGGACTTACCTTTTTTTCAAAACAACTTGGACATTATTACACTGATGTCCCCTTAGCAATAACAAACAATTCCACAAAATTTAGTCCACAAACCCTCACAAATTAAAAATATTTTAAATGTATAAATGATTTATACCCATAATATTAACAAATATATTTCTTAATATCCATTCATTCATTCAAGAAGGGATTATTGAGGTTCAACATGTAGGCACTGTGCTAAGCGTAAAGACACCAAGATGACCCAATTACAGTTCCTGTCCTCAGACATGGAAACATAACAATACCAACACATATGCACTAACTGTTCAAAAGACAACCAATAGCAAGTTACTATATAAACCAAGTATCCAGAGAGTTTCAAAAGTCCAAACAACTAACTGTACATAGGAATTAAGGAAGTACAGCAGATAACTTTAGAATGGCTCATTCAACACTCATTCTAATTCCCATTCTCCTTGCCTTCCTCCAAAAGAGGCTACAAAGCTAAAACACTCATTATCTCACTCTAGGGGCTAGAAAGCGAAAACATTTGTTACCTCATTCTAGAGGTGGTTATATGGGACATACTTTTGACCAATGAGAATTAGACAGAAGTCCCTGTGAGTAAACATCCCTTTCTAAAGAAAAAGAGAAAGTATCCATGGGAAGGAAGTTTCTGAGCTCTCCCTTTGTTCTTCCTGCTTGAAAGTGAAATAAGAGGCAAAAGTAACATGCTAAGGATGGTGGGGAAGCAAGACATTACCTGGATCCCTGATAGTATCAGTTACCTGTGAACTAACTGCCTTCTGATTCTTATGAGACAAATAAAACACTAACTCATTTAAATTAATGTCAGTAAGATTTTCTACTACTTGGAGCCAGAGGCATTTTTACCGTTAAAACAGAGATACTTGAGTTAGACTCTTTATGGTTCCTCCTTTCTTAAGCTATAATCCAGTCCTTACTAGCTAGAAAAAAAAGAATTTTGAATGTACACTTTTACAATTTTCTGTAATCTGAATTACTTCTATAAACATGGTCAAATTCCTCCATATAAATCCATTTGTTGCATAGTTATTACAAGATTTTTATTTTAAGTGGAACCTTCAATCCCTCAAATCTATTAAAATAACATTTTTCTATAGTATGGTATATAACATTCATATATATAATACACACATATAAGTAAATAGCTGAAGGTTAGGAAGAAAGGAGAAAAGAAGGAGAATGGGGGGAGAGAAAACGGGAGGGATCTAATTTGTGTGAAAGTGTAAACTATGCTTTTCAATTTTGTGGGCACCTTAGAAAGTGGCTTAAGAATAAATGAAAGGCCAGGCGCAGTGGCTCATGCCTGCAATCCCAGCACTTTGGGAGGCTGAGGCAGGCGGATCACCTGAGGTCAGGAGTTCGAGATGAGCCTGATCAACATGGAGAAACCCTGTCTCTACTAAAAATACAAAATTAGCCGGGCGTGATGGCATGTGCCTGTAATCCCAGCTACTCATGAGGCTGAGTCAAGAGAATTGCTTGAACCCGGGAGGCGGAGGTTGTGGTGAGCCAAGATCGCGCCACTGCACTCCAGCTTTGGTGACAAAGCAAGACTCCATCCAAAAAAAAAAGAATAAATGAGAGATTACAAAACAACAGTATTTTTTAAATAGGGAAGACTCCACACATACACTTGAAATCAATGGTTCTGTTTTAGAAAACTTTTTGAATTTGAAAAGTGTATATCCCAACAAATACTTTGTGTCTAATTTACCACTAGCATTATTGTATTATTTAATATTCCATCTATCTCTAGTCATCTCCCTAAGGTAATAATAACACAATAATCATTCTCTATGTATGTTTCTCTCAGACAAATTTTAAATGTGTACTATTCTTGGGATAATTCCTATTGTATAGTGCTGAAAAGATTCATTAATTTCAATCACCATCAACTCCGTACACTACATATACTTGTTCTGCCTTTTTTGTTGAAATATATTTCACTGTGGCAATTCAAAGGAAAATTACACATTCCAAAAACATTTGAGTTCCTCTCAGTTACCCTTTCAGTGGTTCAGGGTAATGATAGAGTAAAGAACCATGTTCTTCACAGGCTTTCCTTTTTATCCCCCAGTTTGGTAGGATTTCAACTTCAAATCTCTTATGCCAAAAAGCAGTGGGTAATGTCTAATGCTCTTCTCAAACAGTGGCTTACTTTGGAGGGAAGGAGAGTGAGAGTCAGGAGCAATCACTCATTCCTGCTTCTAAAGGATCTTAGCATATAGGATAAGCAATCTCTTACTCTATTTTCCTAAAATAGAATTATAGAAACATATTAAGTTAGGCGTGGGGGGAAGAAAGGAAAACAAATAAGAATTAGAAACCTTTCAACTCTGGGTATAGGTAATTCCTCACAGAATGAAATTACTGAGTTATCTAGCCTAAATTGTCACGAAGGTAAGTCAAAAAATCCACATATTCATAAAACCTGTAGTTTATATATTCCTTACCATCAGTCACAGGTAGAGGCTTCCTCTGTAAAACAGAACAATGCTACATTCTTTTTCCTGAAACCCTAAGAATGGGATAAATAAGCATAATAACTATAGTCACATAACATAAATGCTTTCATTTTAAAAGCAGTATTCAAAGACAATCTATGAAAATCCATGTGATATAAAAAAAATTCAGAGAATGACAAATCTCCCTTGTTTATAATATCATCTCAACTTCAATTTCATTTTCAGTTATCTCCTTTCAAAAATATATATCTGGGGTCCCTATATGATATGAAGTCCGTTTTCTCAGGCTCACTTTTATTTGGTTATCTTTTTAGGCGCACTAAAGATTGAGTTTACAATAAACTGAACAGACAGCGTACAAAAGGCTTTTAGAACTATACCATATGGTCCAGGGAAGGGAACAATCTGGACGATCCCCACTTCAATCTGCAGGCTTGTCCACCTCTATAACACATTATACCACTGTAATAAAATATTAAGATGAAAATGTAAAAGCTAAAATAGTCTATCTTTAGCATTACCAGGCAACCACACTTCCAAAAATTTACTGATAAACTTAATAAACATTTACTTTAATTTACATTCTGAGATTTTGGTATGCAACACCAGGCATACAAACCTAGGCCACCATTCAATAGAAACAATATTTCAGCAGGGCTATGTGTGGGTATTCAACTTATGCTTCAGAAATTTAGAAGGAAAAAAAAACACTTTTACAGGGGCATATTGGCAGAGGCTGATGTAACAGATGACACATTCTTGGAAATCAAATAAAAGCAATAGGGAAATACCCATTGTTGCCTGGTGAAGGCCTAATCACATGGACACAGCTGGAACCAATGTAGATCATTCATTAATAAAATTGTATTGTAGTAGCCACTTTTTGATGCATTTCAATTGCTGCTTTAGCCAAATCCCTGAATTTCTTTGTTCAATGTTAGTAAGATTGTTTTAATGGGAAATATGAGAAGATTTAGGACAGGGAAAAAAAACCTGTTCTCATGCTAAAAATGAAGCTAACTCAAAAAGCTAAATGTCACTTTACCTTGCAATCTACTTACACTATCAGCAGCTTAAAATATGCAGTGTAAACCTAAAAAAGAGGAACTCATATGGTACTATAGATAAAAAGTGAGCAGTGTGAGATGCCATAGAAAACATATGAAATACTTGTAAAAGTATTCTACAGAATAATATGTCAGAGGGTGGGAGAAATTAAAACGTATCAAAAATTAAGAGGAAAAATCAAACAACTGAATTAACATGTACTCTTTCATGCAATACTATCTATTGAATTTTGACACTAAAGTATGTACCATATGGTTAAGGGAAGATTACTCATTTTGACCACATAAACTTAAAAATCACTATTTGTTATTACATTACCAATATTTGATATCAAACAAGACATTCAAATCATCTCCCCAAGAGTCATGTTTGAAACCTATATTGACATTCAAATGAAATGAAGTACTAGTTATAATTATAAACTTGATACTTAATATAGTAAAATCCTAGTTAAAATAATCAACAGTGTTTATTCAATTTTGCTGTTATCTCTTAATAAATTTTTCTCCATGTTTTTACAAATATAATGATTAAGTTACTATATTATATTCCTAAAAAATATATAATGTCAAACTAAAAAGATAATAGCTTTGCTATGTGTTCTGAATTAAAACTATACAATTTATTGTCTATAAATTCTATTCTACAAAAATGAAAAACTCAACCGTATTTACCAAAAAACTGCTTAAACATTATGGCTCTTAAATATTTCTCCTATGCCTCTGTGTGTAGTTAGAATAAATAAATAGGACAATTCACATTGTCCTAAATCACTAAAAGATATATTCTTACCACAGAAAAAATAAAGGGTTTCACTGCAAATAAAAATTAAACCACTGCAGAAAGTGTATTTAAAGTCACTGAATAGTGGTTAATATGCAATAAACATTATTCACTATACACAGAATGAAAGAGGTGTGTGTGTGTGTGTGTGTGTGTGTGTGTGTGTGTGTGTGTGTGTGTGTTATCTTTACTCGCTAATGTTAACATTATCAGACCTTGGCACAGGGGATTCAAGACAGTCATGAACTTAACTGGATCAAGTGAAAAAAGTTTCGCTGGCATGCCTTCGCAAAACTGTCAGAATTCAGAAGTTTAAAATGTTGACCTAAAGATTTAATTCATATAACTTAACAGGCATCCCACCCAGATTCATTTTAGTAGCTCTGCATAAAAAAAGCCACTTTGCAAGTTTAAAAAGATAGCATTGGGAGCAATGGGGAACTGTAGCATTTATTACATGTGTATTATGCATACAAAGCAATTTGAATATTTGTTTGTTTTGCTAAAGTAGTGAACCAATATGTTGCTGAGCCTGTTCTGAATGAGAGAAAATAACAGGTGAGTTTATTTAATGCATACTGCTGATACACCTCTGTTTTACAAATCCTTTTAATAATTTTAAAGTGTTTTCTAAATTAAAAATAAATCCCCGCAAAAGAAACAACTGTTAGATTGCACAATTTTATCTTAAAGTACCCATAATAGATGTATTTCCCAGTATATATGGCATATAAAAATGTTTCACATTAATAATTCAAACATGAGCCACTGTTTACTTCCTTTTCAGTCACATTTGTTACACTGTTACAAAAATACATGAGTTTTTCTTCTCAAAGTAATTTTCTTATTGCCAAAAATCATTGACAATTTTTAAAATAAAGATCAGTCAAAATAATATCAATCTCCTTCTATAAAAACATATTCTGACTATTAACTGTTCTTATCTTGATTGCAAAACTAATTTTTAAAATAGATCACTCTAAAAAATCTAATTTTAAAAATAGATCACCTGAAAGTAAATCATTTGTTTTGCTTAATACAACAGAAAACATATTTACATTGTGAGGAACATTCTACGAAATTTCATCGAATGCTTGCTCATAGTGAAAATCTAGTCTCCTGCTCAAATCATCTCTTTAAAATTCATTATGCCACATTTTCACACTCCTAATGGTAGGGCACTAACTATAATTTTGCAAGAATTGGTAAACTTAAAAACACTTCTGTGTTTTACCTTGCATTTTTTATTTCAAAGGAAAAATATTTTAAATGCACATCCTTTATTTTAATGGAAGTTCACTTGCTTATCTACCAAGACTTATCAGACACTCTAAAAGTGAGTATTCAATTTGTAAAAGACATGAACTGACCCTGAATTTTAGACAAAAATAGAAAACAATGGCAGACATTTTGGTCTCAACAAGAGATACCTTGGCATAAAAATCCATATAATAAAGGCAAATATCACTCAAAAGTTTCCATTCAAATAATAAATTCTGAAGCAGACAAGATTCCAACCAATAAAAAATACTGTGTCAACATGACCAAAGTTAGCAATAGTAGCAAAAATGCAACTGTAAAGAAAATATCTAAGAGAGTGGAAAAGGCAAATTTAGCACCAACTTCTATAAGGAACAAAGCCACTTACTAAATGTGGAAGTTGTAAGGGGAATGATATTTCTATTTCAGAAAAAAATATTTCTTTTCACAATGGTGGTCTGTGTGAAGAAAGAGGAAGAGAAGAGGGGGAAATAATGGTGTAAGTGGGAAAGACTAAGGCTGCCTGCCTTCCTTCGGTGATGCTGTGAGGGTAGACCCTCTGCCTTACAAAAACCACTGCCAGAACCAAGCTACACAAAACATTTTGGCTGCAAGCCTATAACAGTGCCAGGCTGTTTTTCATTTTTGTGCTAGACTCGCTCAATTGAGACAGTGTAGGATTGTCACTTTGATGCACATAGAGAACAAAGAATGATATAGTTTGGGGGGGATTTTCTTGCCCCTTTAAAGTCAGGTTAGCATTTTGTTTTCTTTGACAGGTCTTGAAAAGACCCAAGAAACAAAGTTATGCCGAAGAATGCATTAACTGCCTAACAAAATTAATGTCAAGTACAATACTGTCAACAGTTTAAAAACCATGTGAGAGATTAACATTTTTTAAAAAACAGACTTAAAAAGGGTCCAAGTCATATAGTTACCTGTTTAAGAGGCCAGAGACCAAGAAATACATGATTCACAATCACATAATCTTATTTAAAAATCTGATGCCACAAAGGCAGACCATAAAATCCAGGCCAAAAAAAAAGAAGTATTATAATTTTTAGGTCACTATTCAGAGACAACTGTGTCAGCTGCTATTCTGACCTTGATTTCTCCAAAATTAAATAATCTGATGAAAAGATTATAACATTAGAATCTGAATACTTTAAGCCTTCACAGAGAAAGAGGTGATAAGTGATCAAAAATGTTTAAAGAATTAAACCACAAATCATCGAAAAAGTTGCCACAGACACAAACAGGAAAACCGTCTCTTCAATCCTATTCAATTCTGTACTAGAAGTGAAGCTAACACAAATGAGAAAGCCAAGTGTGTGCTGCTGCAACCTTCAACTAAATATACTATCTGAATCTGGTGACTAAAAGACACCAATAAGCCATTAGCTCCTAGATGTATGACCTTTTTTCTTTCTAATGCACAAGATAAGTAAAGGGAGAGGTCTATTTTCTACAAACCAAATGAAAAGAAAGAATGAACTGTGTCAGCTCAGATCCCATGCTGGCATATTTTACACTAAGCTCAGCATCATCTAGAAGCAGTATGCTTCTCCCTGCCAATCAGAAGGGAAAAAAGTTGTGCAACTAATACAGTGTTGATAAATAGAACCAAACGTCTACTAGTCCTTTCCTCCTGCACAATGCCATTGAATCAGCTGTTAAAAGAAGACCAATAGCTGTTATAGAAATAGCAAGAACTGAAGCACTTGCCTCAGATGTTATACATGGAGACATGGAGCATTTACCACCTGAGCCTATCTAATTTCCGGCAAAAGGATCCCCTGCCCAGTTTTGTTCACGGCCACAGAATCTGATAACAAGTCACGATCTGTGTTGAGAAAGGCAGTGGGGGAGTGAGAACATGGGGAAGGAATCAAGTGAGAACAGTGGGCAAACTTCAAACAATATACACGCTTCTCTTATTATTCAAATTAGTGCCCATGCACAGCACTTTAGGATGACAAAAGCTGTGTTAAAGGGCTCAGGTACAATGATTTACTTTGGCTGGTAAGGGTAAGTCTGCCATGTAATTAAAGAATGCATTATTTTGCTCCTCGCTGCTCGCCTTTTATATTTCTTTTTTCTCTAGGACATACTGCTGATGGTATTACTGCATGGGACACTGATAGTTGCAGGCAAGGCATTCATGTAGTGCCAAAGTAGTCCAGAGAATGATGTCTGGCTGGCCTTAGTTCAACAAGGAATATGAGGCAAAAACAGAAAACAAAAAGAATGAAAGGTGTAGAAGAAGCCAGGCAATAGACTGATTTTCTGTTTATTAATGGTACCATAAAACGAGGGGAAAATCTGGAAAAGGCAGCCAAGCTAACTCAATTACAAAGAAAGATTAAAGGAGTTAAATGTCTATAACTTGGCTGACAACCAAGGAACAATATGAGAGCTGTCCACAACTCTCCAAAGAATATACATTAAAAGAAAAGTAGAGAATTATTATCTACTATAGATGTATGAATACATGAAATAATAATGAGATAAAAATGAAGAAATCTGACTTTAAGCAGCAGGGAAATAATCTGGTGAAACTTAAAAAAGGCTGCTTCCTTCTCTTTAGAAATATCAATCATCTTACTGACCCACACTGCAGTAAACAAGACATGATAGAAAATGCCCGCATATTGCCACAGGACGGAATTGATGGAGATATAAAAATGAAGTCCCATCTGCTTACCTGATGATCCAGATATACTGATGTCCCTTTACATATGTCCAATCTGGCTAATGCAGAGATACCTGTAAGATCACAAAAGACATAGTTAGTAACTTCAAAATAAACCCAGCCTGAATTCTCAATCTTGAGCTGGTCAAGAGCTGATTCGGATGATCTAGTCTGGCTCTTGGATATTCCAAGATGGGAGAAGAACGTGCAAGAACAGAAATTTTCTGAGTGCTTCTAAGGTTATTCTTAATTAATAAGAGATTTTCAGTCTCTCCAGAGATTTTCCAAATCATCTGTAACTCAGTAATAATAATAATTATTATTATTATTACTATTCAGATTAGAGGTGTTTAACCTTGGTCACTGGATGGCCTTCAGGAATCTATGCACTCCTGAATGATATATGTAAAATTTGTGGGTTTATGTAAATAAGTATCTCTGGGAGAAGGTCAATAGTTTGTCAGATTTGCCAAAAGGTCTATAGTCCAAAAAACTGTCAAGAACCTCTGCTGAGGCTTGCCTAACATCTCAGAGGCAGGTTGGAATGCATATGGATGAGCATTCCAGGTTTGGGGGTTCCCTCCCAGAGAAACACAGACACTTGCAGATCTGGGGTAAATACCTTAAGAATACTACTTTCTGGGAGAGCAATACATCAGGTTTAAACTGTTGCTTAACTCACACAGTCCTGTGATCCCTGTAAGCCATGCACAGTCTTGAAGAGAACTAACATGTTACCATATATACCCAAGGGTGCCTATCATGACTTTTCCTGTTCTGTGTATATTAAAGTCAGGATTCCTAAGAATATCAATTCTGACAGGGTCAGAACTCACACAGTAACTCATCCAAAAAGGACCATTTATGACAAGGAAACTTTTCCTGTTCTGTGTATATTAAAGTCAGGATTCCTAAGAATATCAATTCTGACAGGGTCAGAACTCACACAGTAACTCATCCAAAAAGGACCATTTATGACAAGGAAAAAATAAGGTGTGATCAAATCAATAGGAAATGTGGCTCCCAAACAGTCTACATAACAAAAAAATTACAGAATTAGCCAAACATATCTCTTAAAAGAATTACTTTAAATAGTAATCCCAGAGTCAGAATAGGCTACATCAGAAAGAAACAAGGTTAGAGAACCTTCCAGGTACCAACTGTGAACAAGATGGGAAAGCATTCACAGCCACAGAGAACATCCTGAACTGAGATGCCACCAAAAAAAAGGGGTGGGGTATAAGAAAAAGGCTGAAAAGACAGAAATCAAGTAGAAGAAGGGAAAAATTACCTTTTGTGGTGTCCTGTTTCAAATAATAATCATGTCGTATATATTCTCAAAAAATAACATATTTAGACAATCACCTTCTGGGCATTTACCACGCACTGCACTCAGTGCTGAGGACTCAGCAGTGAACAGGTCAACAAAGCCCTATTCTGCTGAAGCTTTACTTTGGGGAATGGGAGAAGGATGCAGGGTGACAAACAAGTATATCAGCAATATTTCAATTTGTGATACATGATATGAAAAAATAAACAATAAGATGTGACCAAGACATGAGACAGCAGCCTATACCCACCCAGCATGTCACAGAAATCTTCACTCCAATCTCAGAGTATGTCAGGGTCTTAAAGAGTTGAGACCAGGAAATGACGTTAGGGACAGCTAGCCAGACCTGTGAATTTCAGAGATGAAGACAGAGTAGCTATTCTAGAAGACAGTATCACTACCTCATTATCTCTACACTTCAAAATACATATACCTAGATTGAATGATAATGTTACGATACAAGCTCTGCTTGTAGAATATAAACCTGACAACAAGTAAATGAACAGCGTTTCGTTATCTCTTTAAAACCTGGCTGACAATACTGCACACTGTGTACCCTTAATATAAAGAACCACGTTCTATCCAAATTCTTGTCAAGTTCCATTCTATTAAAAGAATTTCATTTTTTGCTTCCACAGATAAATCCGATCAACTTGTGCTGTCAAAGAAAGGGGAGAAGAGGGTACAGGTAGCCAGCCTCCAAGACAGCCCCCAATAATCCTCACCTCAAGGAATTCATGCCTTTGTGTAATCCCTTTGCTCATACCAGGGTTGGTCTGAGTGATCAACAGAATGCAGTGAAAGTGACAGTGTCTGTCCTAAAAGATATTACAGCTTCTTCCTTACTCTCTTGGATCTTCCTGGGGGAAGCCAGCTGCCAGCTGCCACGTTGTGAGGACACTCAAGCCATCCTAGGGAAAGGTACACAAGGCATCTTGCCAAATAGCCAGAATCAACATAACAGCCATGTGAGAGAGCCATTTTCTAAGCAGATCCTCCAGGCTAGTCTAACTTTCAAATGACTGTCACTCTGGCTGACATCTTGATTGCAGCTTATGAAAGACCAAGAGCCAGAATTACCCAGGCTGCACTCCAATCCCTTTCTAGCATGCACTCTAACTTCCTGTATTCACAAAGCTCAAGCTAAAAACATTTCTCAGATGCTCTTGCATCACGCCTTCCACAGGGAACCCAGGTTCAACCAAATCCATTCAAAATTTAGAAAGCAGAAATGAGCAAATCAAGGAAGTAGCCAACTACAAATGAGATCAAATTTTGTAGTGAAGGCATTTTGTTCTTCTGAAACAACTATGTAGATATGCTACTAAATGATCCCTAGTCTCATAGACTCTAAGTAGCAAATGGCAGTGGAGTTTTCTACTAGAATAGTATCATGGGGTGTTTCTCATGGCTTGTGCTGTTCCTAGCTATTCACAGTCAACTTTGGTTCCTTGGCACTTCTGCAAATTAAGTAGCATGTGATACATCTCTGTATGCAACTCAAACTAGCTGTTGCCTGCAACTAAGAACCCACTCTACATATGAAAATTCTCCTGTCTCATAACACTTTCATTCCTATCTCATGGTTGACCCTCTTTTCCATTATGAAACCCTCTACCTGTACAATGAATCCTATTCATTTATGCTGTTTCTAGGAACGTGCACTATCTGGTTTCTCCCTTTCTTCTCCACTGCTTTCTTCTCCTTCATCAATAACACAGTTCTTCCAACCCTACCAACTATCCCCATGAAAAAATAATAATATAAGCTCGTTGTTTTTGCTTCAACTTCCATTCAATGCTTGAATTACCATAACTTGGCTTCCTTAGCCATCACTCTACCAAAACCACTATTGCTAAGGCTGGCAAGAACCAATTACTTATTCTCATTCCTCACTCTACTAGACTGTGGCATTGGCACTCCTACCCACCACACCTCTTTGAAACTTTAATGATAACAAGATTATAAACCTCCAGCCTCAATGAAAGAATCTAGCATCCCACCTTCACACATCATCATCACCCATGCCCTCTGCACTTCTGCCACCAGAGACATACAACAAATAGGCATACAGAGACCATTTCAAATGCTAAGGCTATTCGAATATTCTATTTCTTGAGGGCCTAACTGCTTAGACAACCAAAAAGACAGATATACGCACTGTTAAAAAAAAGAAAAGAAAAAAAAGAAAAAAAAAAGAAAAGTGGATGCTACAAGCTATCAATATAGAAACGTATTTCATTATTTTCAGTTATTTAAGGAAAAATAAATGTTTGGAAGTCAGAGATTCCAAAAGAGCAATGCTACAAAACAAGTGTATAACCTCTTAAAACTAACTTCCCAAAGCTAAAAGTTCATTATTATTTGTTTAACACTTGCAAGCCAGAATATCTACAATTGCCAACCTAAGCTAGCATCCGTGAGTCCTCTTGTTTTGAATGTAAGGTTTTCTATGACATCTGTCATCTCACTAACCAGAAGTGATGCTGCTGACTTTGACTGGTGGGGGGTGGGAGGGGAGTTGACCCATTCCTTCCTCCCTGCTAAAGCTACAATCTCTCAAAAGGCTGGCCTCCCAGAATGATGTGAACTAAGCTTCTTTGGTTAGGGGTGTACCCAGCCCTTTTCTTTAAACTGCTCAGAAGACAGAACTTTTCAGAAAACCCACAAAAAAATGGCTTATTTTCATTAATTTGCTTTGTATTGCCATCATTCATTGTCTTCATTTTTAATTCAGTGATATTTATAGCCAAATGAAATGAAGTACAGTCAGTTTTCCTCAATCTGTCTCAGTCTACTCTTCATCTTCTGGGACCCAATTCATGTGATCCTTTAACAACTATTTATTTCACACCAAACTAGTTATCTCCCTAAAGCCTACCAATCTAGCCTCTGGGCATATTTCCTAAATAAAAGCATTAGATCTCTGTAAACCTAAAATTTGCATACTAAAGGAACAAATCAGCTATCAAAAGGCCTAGTAGTATATAGCAGTTGCTCACCGCTAAGCAGAGTTTAAAATTCATTTCAATTTATTATTTTTTAAAGAAACAGCAATTGACTTCTTCCCTTTGCAAAATGCAGTTTAATGGGCCTAGTTAAATTAGAGGTAATAGTGTAAAGCAAGTGTTTTAAATTGGTAAATTCTAAACCTTTTAATAAAAGTACATCAGTCAGAAGTTTTAATAAGACTCAGCAGGACAGAGAAGAATTAACAGTCTGTAGGAATCAAAAGGGGTGATAGGCAATGATAACCTTAAACATTTGCATAGGGATTTATAATTTCATTGCTTAAAGGTTAATGAAATTATGTGGTATTTTGCCCACTCTTATCCAGTAAATGATTTCATGCCTTGATTTGTATATATTTACCAACTGAATCCTATAAAGAAAAAATGACTCCTTTATCAATTAATCTACGACATTTTTACTTATACACTTCTGGGTGCACAATTATCATTACCTATTCTAACCAATAACTGGGTCCTCTAAAACACAATGTAAGGTTTCCAAAGCATCTCAGAAAAAAGAACAAAATCAGAATTCTGAAAGTACATTAAATTGTAATGTGACTGCTTTTTTAAAAACTAGATATATTCCTTTATTTACTTTATACTTCAAGTCTACTATTGCTAAATACTGGCTTTTGCCAAATATTAACATAAAATCCACCCTAGAGATTGATGAAGGCATTCAGGATACACTGAGGGTGAAGATGGAGAAATGCAAACAGTCCACACAAACAAGTAGAACAGGTTAAAACAGTAAAAGGATTCTAGGCCAAAGCAATTGTTTTAAAACATAACAGCATAAAAACGACACACTACTGAGGCCTTGCCTCACTGAGCACCCAGGAGGGTGCAGGGTCAGCTGCTTCACTTAATACCCAGTTCTAAGAAAAAAACTGCAAAGAGCCTCACTTAAGCAGAGTGGTGCTTCCTACCCTGGCTGCACGTTAGAATCCCCTGGATAGCTTAAAACAAAAACCTAAAAATCCACACTTAGGCCCCATAACCAGAGATTCTGGTTTCATCAATAATTTATAGACACTACTCAGGGTGATTTCTTGATTTCTTAGGTGCAACTAGGGTTGAGAAATATGCCAGAAAGCACTGGTTCTCGAAGTGTGGTCCCTGGACCAGTAGCAGCAGCAACAGCAACAGGAAACATGTTTGAAATGCAAATTCTCAGGCCTCACCCCAGACCTAGTGAACCAGAAACTCTGGAGTGGGGCCCAGTGTTTTAACAAGTCTTTCAGATAATTCTCAGATGCACTATGTTTGAAAAACACTGCTTTAGAGTAAGAATGGCCTGGTTTTCAATTTTCTCTCCACAATTTACTAGCTATATGACCCTTGGTCAGCTCTCTAAACTTCTTCCCTCACATGCAAAATAAAAGAGTTAGCTACCATTTCTTTAACGTCGAATGTGTGCCAGGGTATGCCAATAAGCACTTTATATACATTATATAATTTAACCCTTACAGGTTTGTCAGATAGATATCATTACCATTTTACACCAAAAGATGATGAACCTCATCCAATATCACAAACTAGTAAGCAGAATCAGAATTTAAACTCAAGTTTTTAAAATTCCACAATTACTGCTCTTTCCCTATTCCTCAAAATATTCTTGCTGATCTTTCTTTTTTATTCTTCTTTCCTTTCTTTTCTTCTGTTTTGTCTTCCTTTCTTTCTGTCCATCTTTCTTTCTGTCTTCCTTTCTTTAGGAGGAAGCTTATCTTGTTACTATAAAGCTAGATATTACCTAGTGTGTAAGTGTGTACAGTATTTACTATGTGACTACAAAGTACTTAGCATTCTACCACATGCCAGAAAGAAAAGAATTAAAATACAAAAAAAAAAATGAAAAGAAAGAAAGAAATCATAGTAACGAAGCTATGAGCTAGCTGGAGATAGATCCATTTTGCAAAACATAGGGACACATATGATTTCATTCTTAACTGGCAGGTGGAAAACAGAAATAACTCAGAAATTCATGAGATTGGAGCTCAGAGACCAAGGCATGACACCAGGAAGTGGAAGTTTGACTTGCTCTGAAACAAGGAGTAAAAAGTTTCTCCAGCACAGGAGGAGAAAAAACAGCTAGAGAATATAGCACAATAGAAAATAAAGCTAAAGTAGTTAAATGGGTCCAGATTGTGACTCAGAATAAGAAGAGCTTAACTTTAGTACAGTAAAAGTATAAAATGTTTTTTCACAGAATATTTTTGATGAACTGATAGTAAAGAGATAAAGTTAAAATCAAGTCATAGGAACTTATCCTAGAAAAAATATGAACCAAGGGTTATGCTGAAAAAAAAACAAGCAGGAGAAAAAGTTACTTCTATTATTAAAAGTGTTAAGTGTGATCCACTCTTTACTGTTTCCATGGGCTATTCATATCCATTACATAATATTTTCAATCATCCACTAATCCAACCAACACTGACTGATCACATTAAGCTAGGTATCAAGGATAAAAAGTAAGCTTCTGACTCAGGGCACATGGAGCAGCTTTACATAAGAAACAGACTGCCAAATGTTTTATGCAACATTAACATAAAGTTATTAGGAATTCCAAAGGCCACTATAGACAGACCAATTGTTAGCAATGACTGTTGTGAAATTCCCGAAAGTCAATGAAGTATAAGCTAGCCAAAATGTTATGCATATAAAATATAAGAGGCCAGGCGTGGTGGCTCACGCCTGTAATCCCAGCACTTTGGGAGGCCGAGGCAGGTGGATCACTTGAGGTCAGGAGTTCGAGACCAGCCTGGCCAAGATGGCAAAACCCCGTCTCTATTAAAAATATAAAAATTAGCTGGGCTTGGTGGCATATGGCTGCAGTCCCAGCACTTTGGGAGGCTGAGACATGAGAATCACCTGAACGCAGGTGGCAGAGGTTGCAGTGAGCCGAAATTGCACCACTGCACTCCAGCCTGGGCGACAGAGCAAGACTCTACTTAAAAAAAAAAAAAAAAAAAAAAAAAGAGTATTCTGCCTATACTACCGTACTAGCATCATAATCATCACCTCACAAATGGAGTAACCCCAGTTAATCCACATTTAGGCTTACATATGGCTAAAAAAGGCAGGCAAACATAAAATCTAGAGGTAAGCTTTAAATATTCACATCACTCATTCCATTTTGTGCTGAAGAGCTAATCAAAAACTACGCTCAGAAACTCACAGGAAGATTCTACCTATGTATTGAGGAAAAACTGCAAGGTACAATGGGATGACTGCATTTATTAGCATCTAAGGTTTCTAACTCTGTCAATGACAGTCCAATGCTGTATAACATCTTCTTCTTTAGTTTTACTGTAATCTGACAACTCCATAATGCCCATTTATCTCCAAGAACCAATTTAAGATGCATGTATGTATGGCCATCAGACTATGCTTGAATAACAAGGCACTACTAGGGTTATTTTTTCTCAGAATAAATGTGAATGGAATTTGCTATGATATTAGGAATGATAGCATTTTGCAAACAATATAATTTAAGAAACAGTAATGAAACTCTATTGAAGCTGTTTATTAATAACCTACACAAATATAATCAAAGAACTGAATCCCAGCTGTTAGAAACGACTTGAAAGGTCACTTGGTAAAATACTAGCTTTTATCCCTTATGGTATCTAGACCATATATAGTGTTAAAATTAAAACAATGATATCAAAAGGCATCCAAGTACTTTAAGTGATAATTTATCTGGCCCCAATATATCCAACTCATATATACTACTGTATTTTACTAAAGTTCAATCGCCTATCATCTCATTCTTTAATAATATAAACTATATATGACAATGTGGCAGGACTAAAAGATTGGTACTTGACTGGTTTAATTTCAATAAAAGTGATTGGTACAAAATCATCTTTTAAAATATTCAGACCATGCTATACAGATATTCACATGCACTTGGATCTATAAGCATTAAAGAACTTGTTTAGATTTACTGGCGCTATACCTGCTGTCAAGAAACAAAAAAGTTGTAAAGGGTGATCAAACACATCTTTGCCTCAAGTATCATGTGAATGTTTTCCACTAAGGCGGTCCTAAAAGTTAACAGTCAAAGTAATTCAAAGGTTTCTCTTTATTTCTATATTCAAATCATCACAAGTTTGATCAAGCATGCAAATCCCTTTGGGCTCAGGGTTCCCATCAAAATGTCTTATAGAAACATTAAAAATTGAATGGGCATAAACAACTCCAACAGTGCGGAGCTCATGACAGCACTGCTGTGATCTACGTGTTTCATGTACAACAACATTGGGGAAGTTTGCAAGGGAAGATGAGCAACTAATTACTGTCTTTTGCTTGAGGGCAGGTGTGCTGATCTCTACAGGTGTCTCTGCAGTGCTCTGCCTAATGTATTGCTTCTTGGAGACATTCACTGTAACAACTTGCTAAAGCCCTGCAAAACATCTGACAGAATACCAAACTGTTGGGTGTTCAGGAAGAAACATGTGTGACTTCTTAAAGTTAGCACTAAGGAGAAACAACAGTTGGGGGAGGCTTTGTATTTTTTGTGAAAGAATAATATAAAAAGTAAGTAACATAAAACTATATCAGTCACACACATTAAACTAGGATACTAATATTGTCTTAGTAAGTACAGAAAGTTTTTCAAAGAAAATTCGGCTATTCTCATTAAACAAGAATTTTTTTTAAACGCAAATAATAATCTTATAGTGGACCATCATTTTCATTTGTGAAAGCACAGTAGACAATGCACGGTGTTCAGTTTTATAAGGATCAAAAAAAAATCTGAGAAATTACTCACTATAAGAAATTAGTAAATTAGATGGTCATCTGATGATAGGACAGGTGAGAAATACCGTTCATATGTGATGCCACTACAGGATTAATATTCCTTAAGATCTTTCCTATAACGTGGAAAGAAGCAAGCTTAAGAATGAAGAGATACACAAAGCAAAGATAAACATTCCCTGCTTTGCTGCCTGCTACATGCATGATCTCAGACAAGAAATGTAACCTCTTTATGCTTCAATTTTCTCATCTAATAATAAACAACACCCACCCCAATAGGGTTATTATTAAATGAGACAGTGTCCCTTCACTATTTGGCACAGGGCTTGGCATGAGTAAGTGCTTAATAAATTGTAATTAGCATCATGAAAGTTTCCAAAAGACATTAGTCTCCTATCATTAGTGGAGCATCAGCCTGTCTAAAAGCATCTTGGAAAGTAAAGACTCATCAGTGGGATGTTATTTTCAAAATATGTGATATGTCATATGGTACATCTTTTTAAGTATAAATACATAGCCTGGCTTTTGAGAAATCCATCAGTGACAAACATGCAACAAAACCTTTAACTAGTTCTTTACTTTTTCTGAGTGATCATTCATCTTGGTGAAAAGTCTCTGTTTGTAATGTTGAAAATTTGTGGAAAAGTTCATTGTTTTCAAACAATAATGAAAAGTATCATACTATTTCAAACTTTATCTACTTAAGAAAGACTCTGGTAAAATCAAAGTTAACATTTTCAGGCAACGAATCTGCTCAGAATAAGAAAATGCTAGGAAATGACAATATAAGATATATACAAATTATTTTCATCTACAATTCTCTATTTGTGTTTTTCTTTAACCAAATAGAATTAAGATGGTATTTCATTCAGATCATCATTACTATTAATCATCAGCTGTGTAAACAAAACATCATTCAACTTTTAAAAAATCAATAAAGCAAGAGTTAAAATTGTTTCAGACTATTCTGGAATGGACCAAGAAGGGAAAAAATTTAAAGTAAGAAGTGTAATAAATATATAAAAATAACATAGCATTTCCAAAATTAAAAATAATTAGACTCATGGGAATAATCGGAATATAATTATTTGAAGTAGTATCCCTCCCTCTCCCAGTAGATTAGTTCATCATATGCTCATTTCTTCAAACCTAGGCATTGAAATAACCTTCTGTTCTCTCTCCTTTTAATCCTTTCTTCCTGGTATCCATTCTGCAGTTTTCAATGGCACCTCAACCACCAGGAATGTTAAGAACTGATCTACTGTACTTCCCTTAACACAGACCTAATTATGTCACTTCCTCCAACCCCAAAGATGTAGTCTAATGGGGGAGACAGGCATATAGATACATAAAAATGTGTGTGTACATATATGAGTACATATGCACATGGGCACATGTAAAGTATTAATACTAAGGGAGGATAAATCAGAAGCCAATTCATTTTGCCTGCCATAAGCCAAAGAAAGTTTCACATAGCTGATGATAGCTAGGTGAAATAATGCCTAGAAAACAAATTTAAAGGCCGGGCGCGGTGGCTCACGCCTGTAATCCCAGCACTTTGGGAGGCCGAGGCGGGTGGATCATGAGGTCAGGAGATCGAGACCATCCTGGCTAACAAGGTGAAACCCCGTCTCTACTAAAAATACAAAAAATTAGCCGGGCGCGGTGGCGGGCGCCTGTAGTCCCAGCTACTCGGGAGGCTGAGGCAGGAGAATGGCGTGAACCCGGGAAGCGGAGCTTGCCGTGAGCCGAGATTGCGCCACTGCAGTCCGCAGTCCGGCCTGGGCGACAGAGCGAGACTCCGTCTCAAAAAAAAAAAAAAAAAAAAAAAGAAAAGAAAAGAAAACAAATTTAAAGCTCCATATATGGGTCTCCAATATAGAGTCTCAATTTACTGTGTTCCAACTATATCCCACACTCTCCTCACATGGACATAGATGCCTTCATTCTCTTACCACAGTGGACAACCTGCTGTCACCTGGCTTTTCGAGTCCCTCTGCCTTGAATCTCCTCTTCATCCTCCTCATCTTTACAGTTTTTAAAATATGACATCCTTATACCCAGACATTCTTCTACTCAGTTTTCTTCTACAGTTAAAGGAATCAAAAATGCTTGGACTTTGCAAGAGCAAGCTGGAAGACAATGGAACATAAGCATTTCCTTCCAAAAACCTATAGGAAAGTTACTTCCAACTTAGAATTTAATTATTCAAGCAAATTATCAATCAAGTGAGAAAACTGAATAAAGATATTTTTTCTGTCACAAAACCTTTCTCAGGAATACTACAGGAAACATAAACAAAAATGTAAGAGTAAGACAAGAAGGAAAACACTATGAGATCCAAGAAAAGGCAAAGGAAGTTCCTAGGTTAAGAGCAAGGAAAAATCCCAGAAGAGGCAGGTCTAGAGAATGTAATGGGAGGAGAATGGAAGTGTGCTGGAAGAATGTCTTCAAGAAAAAAATTGAAATGTATTATCTGATGCAATTCCCTTTATGGAAAATTATAAGTAGTTCATAGAAGGTATAGGAAGAATTATTAAGAGGGACAAAAAGCAAAGCAAATGAAAAAACAAGGCATTATTAATTTCATGAAATACGAAAAGTCAGAAGCAAACTTTTCATCAGAATTAATTACAATATGCTCATCTATGAATAATAGCTACATAATATAATAATGCAACACTAAGCCAAAAATTGGAATCTAACTATACTGGGAATGTGAGGGAAAGAGATGGCTGTGTAATAGTGAAAAATCTTCAAAGACCATAACATAAAGTCAACAATGTCTAAAATAAATTAACTCAAAAGATAGCAATGTGTATATATGTAATTTAGCAATGTGGAGATATATAATGACTAGAGGAAACAGATAAAAGGCTGCCTCTAGAGAAAGGACCACAGTATTTTCCTTTCTTTTTTTTGACAGGGTCTCATTTTCATATCCCAGGCTGGAGAGCAGTGGCACAATTTCAGTTCACTGCAGCCTTGACTTCCCGGGCTCAGGAGATTCTCCCACCTCAGCCCCCACCCTAAGTAGTTGGGACTACAGGCACACGCCACCACACCTGACTAATTTTTTGTTTTTTGTTTTTGTTTCTTGGTAGAGATGGGGTTTCACCATACTGCCCAGGCTGGTCTCGCACTCTTAGGCTCAAATGATCCACCGGCCTTGGCCTCCCAAAGTAACAGGATTACAGATGTGCACCACTGAGCCCAGCCACCACTGTATTTTCTAATAGGCCTTTAACAACTATTCAAATGTTAAACTAGGTGAATGTATTACTTTGGCAAAATAAGTTTTAATTTAAAAGAAACAGTCATGTTCATGAAGATGTTTCTGACAGTGTTTTACGTAATAGTAAAACACAGAAACAATCTAAACGGTCAGCAATAGGTGACTAGTTAAATAAATTACATTTTATCTGTGATAGTTAAAAAGACTATGTAGTCATTTTAAATGATGCTGTAGAAAAATATTTAGTGGACATGGAGAAATGTTCATATTATAAAATAAAAAAATGACAGGTCAAAAACAGCTAAGAACAAAACAATGAAATATACATGAAAATATGAATGGTAATTTTAGAATTTTTTTCTCTCTGTGCTTTTCTGGTTTGCTGAATTTTCTAAAGTAAATGCAGCTTCAGAAACACAAAGAAAATAAATTAAAATTGTAATGCAACTCATCACTCATGGCGCTATTTAAATAGCGTCACCTAATGATGGCCAAGCTAGAATTAACTCCTCCCTCCCAATGCAGTTTACACATGCCACTATCAGCACAGCTGCACAACCTGCTTTGTATCGCAGGTAACTGTTTATGTCTGTTCTTGCATCTGACTTACCCTGCTGAAGACAGGACAGTGTCTAACCCACCATTCAGTGTAGGCTGAATGGGATATGTCTGTGCTTCTGAAGACAATCCCCTAAAATGAGGAAATTCCAAAAACAATCTGAGTAAAGTCTTTTTTTAACTTAAAAAAAAAAAACAGAGTATTGACTGATTAGTTTTGAGAGGGATAATAGTCATATAAAATATAAGATCTCAGGTTGGTCGCTCTGATTGTTCTTCAGTCTCATCTCACATATACTGTCTCTCAAACTGACTCCTGAAACATTTTGTCCTTTGTCTGAAGCCTTCAGTGGGGCAGTGTTCAAATGTAGACCTTCAGGATTTCTTAACAGATCCATGTTTATCACCCCAAAATGACATTTACTTAAGAATTCAGTTTTTAGAACATTACTTACCCACAGTTTGACTATAGATAAATTTGGATTAGGATTATTTCTCTTTATGTGAGTGTAGGATTTCCAAATGAAGTCGAAATTTAAATGTTTAGTGGAGCAAACATGACTTTCATAATGTTTGGTTTTTATTTAGATCTAGTTTCAAAATGATTAATAAATGACGCAGCACAAATTCTAGAAACAGAACTTTTCTGGGCAAAACCAGAAAACGCTCATTTTTGTATGCAAAGGATTAACTCTTTTCTGTATGAAGGTATGAACAATCAGTACATTTTATTTTAAAAATCATAAAAAGATTCTACTATCCCATCCTAGTGGGGCTGTTTTATCCATGAGATCAACAGCTACTTTTCAGCACGCTTTCAGAATAGACCATGCATGTGTAAGAGGAGTCACAGAGAACAGAATGTTATGAAGTAAAGAGCTATTTATCCACCCTCACTTTCCCATCCCCAGAGGTCTGAGCAGGAGGGCATAAGGACAAGGCAAATGGCCTTTTACAGATTGAGGTTACACTGTCTACTGAGTGACAATTATATGGAAAAAGGACTGAATTAAAGTCTATGAATACAATAGGATCTGTACACTTTTATTCTTCAAATTGTTAATCAACATTAAAAATAAACAAGGAGGGAGGTAACTGCAAAAGGATACCTTGCTTTACAATATAATGTGCCATCAGTTGGTTTTACATATTGTTATATGTAATCCAGATTTAAATTATTACAGAGAGTGGACAACGCAGAAAACTCAAAACCAAAAATGTCAGGGATAATACCAACTGAACTTTATATGAGCATCTTAGAAATTTTAAGATAATAAAACATAAGGTTTATTTTACAAAAATTCACTTTACCATCAATTTTCGAAAAATATATCCTCTACAGTAAGCAAAATACATTCTTAAGAATTCTAGAAAATGTAAACCAATCTAAAATATAGAAAGCAGATCAGCAATTGTCTGGGAACAGAGATGGGAGACTGATTTCAAGAGGACACAAGAGATCTCTCTGGGGTGACAGCAATAAACAAATCATAAATGTGGTGGTGGTTGTAAAGCTGTATTCTTTTATCAAAACTTATCACACTGCCGTGGTTTTTGTGTTTTTTTTTTTTGTTTGTTTTTGTTTTTGTGAGATGGAGTCTCGCTCTGTCGCCCAGGCTGGAGTGGAATGGAGCCATATTGGTATCTTGGCTCACCGCAGCCTCCACCTCCCAGGTTCCAGCGATTCTCCTGCCTCAGCCTCCCAAGTAGCTGGGTTTACAGGCATGCACCATCATGCCCAGCTAATTTTTGTATTTTTAGTAGAGACAGGGTTTTACCATGTTGACCAGGCTGGTCTTGCACTCCTGAACTCATGTGCCTGCCCACCTCAGCCTCCCAAAGTGCTGAGATTACAAGCACGAGCCACCATGCCTAGCCCACACTGCCATTTAAAATGGGTAGTTTAAGTAATTTAGACCTGGATAAAATTGATATAAAAATATATCATAACAGTTGATTATATCTGATAATCATTATAATTTCCTAAAAACTTTTATGTAAATTTGTTACGTTTCTGACACAAGGTTAAACATACCATGAGTAAAAACCAGCTGTGTGAAAGTATTACTTTACACTTACCAGACATACTAACCTCTTAGTGAGATCAACACACTGCCATCCACACTATGCTTACTACACATTACTTTATATTACTGGTTAATTTTCCTGAATTGCTCTTTAAGGCCGAAAAAAAAAAAAAAAAAAAAACCTGTGCCATGTATTTATTAGCATTCCCCAATATCTAGCTCAATTCATTTCACAAATGTGCTTATTAGACACTGACTTACACCACGCAACACTTCAGAAAAGTAGTTATCTTTTCTTTCTTAGTAAAAAAAAGCAGCAAGTTCCAAACAATATTATTTTAGAAGATTAAAAGAAACTTTTTAAACTGTCATTTAAGTTTTAAAAATGTAAAATTTTAAAAGTTAAAATTTTATAAGTTAAAACATTATAAGTTTAAAATGAACTTATAATGAGCCATTTTGAACCCAAAATGAGCCACTTTGTATAAAAGTAGTTCTTTTAAAGTGGAAATATTACCATTTTCTTTATTTCCATTGTGACACTGTTTCCGCTGCATACAAATTTTGCTAAAATAATTACAAATAATGTATTTTTTAAAAAACATCACATTATCTCATACTTAACAGAAATTGGCTTGAGATAACTTGTTTCTCAAATCTTAACACTTAGTTTACTAATTATTATTTTAAAAATTAATTACACAGTAATCAAGACAGTGGGTATGGTGAAACAGACAAATAGATCAATGGAACAGAAGAGAGAGCTCAGAAATAGACGCACACAAATATAGTCAACTGATACTTGACAAAGGAGCAAAGGCAATTCAATGGAGAAAGGAGAGTCTCCAATAAATGATGTTGGAACAACTGGACATCTACATGTAGAAAAAAATGAATCTAGATGAAGACCTTACAATATACTTTACAAAAATTAACAAAAAATAGATCATAATGAAGACCTTACAATATACTTTACAGAAATTAACTCAAAATAGATCATAAACCTAAACATAAAACATAAAACTATAAACCTACTAGAAGAGAAATAAAAGAAATTAGATGATCTTGGGTTTTGCAGTGACTTTTTAGATATAACACCAAAAACATGATCCATGACAAAAAAAAAGTTGTTAAGCTCAACTTCATTAAAATGAAAAACTTCTGCTCTGTGAAAGACACTCTCAAGAGAATAAGAAGACAAGTCACAGACTGAGAGAAAATATTTTCAAAATACATATCTGATAAAGGACTGTTAGCTAAAATATATTTTTTAAAACTCTTAAAACTCAATAATAAGTAAACAAGCAATTAAAAATGGGCAAGGCCAGGTGCACTGGCTCACACTTGTAATCCCAGCACTTTGGGAGGTGGAGGTGGAAGGACTGCTTGAGGGCAGGAGTTGGAGACCAGCCTAGGCAACACAGTGAGAACCTGCCTCTATGTTTTTTTTTTAATGTGTAACATTAAAAATACAATTATTTAATGGACATATAAGCAGGCCACAGTGGCTCAGACTTGTAATCCCAGAATTTTGGGAGGCCAAGGCAGGAGGAATGCTTGAAGTGAGAAGTCTAAGACAAGCCTGGGCAACAAAGCAAGACCCTGTCTCTACAAAGAATAAATTTGAAAAAAGATTAGCCAAGCACAATGACACACACCTGTAGTCCCAGTTATTGGGGAAGCAGAGGCAAAAGAATCACTGGAGCCCAGGAATTTGAGGCTGCAGTGAGCTAGAATCATGACACTGCACTCAGTCCAGCCTGGGTGAAAGAGCAAGACCCTGTGTCTTTTAAAATAAAATAAAATAAAATAAAAAGTAAGGGGGGGCAAAAGCTCTGAACAAACACTTCACCAAAGATGATACACAAATGACAAATAAGCATATGAAAAGATGCCCAAATATCACGTTAATAGGAAATCACAAAATGAAACACTGAGATAGCACTACATACTTATCAGAATAGCTAAAATCCAAAACAATAACAACTGACAACACCAATTACTAAAGACAATGTAGAGCAAAAAGAACATTGCTCACCACTGCTCCTTTTTGTTGAAACTACAAAATGGTATAGCCACTTTGGATAACAGTTTTGCAGTTCCTACAAAATTTAACATGCTCTTACCATGCAATCCAGCAACTGTGCTTCTTGATATTTATCCAAATGAGTAGAAAACTTACATACATGCAAAAACCTGCATGCAAATGTTTATATCAGTTTTACTCAGAACTGCCAAAACTTGGAAGTGGCCAAAATGTCCTCCAAAAAGTGAATGGATAAACAAACTGTGGTATATCCATACAATGGAATATTACTTAGTGCTAAAAAGAAATGAGCTCTCAAACCACAAAAAGACACGGAGAAATGATATGGTTTGGCTGTGCTCTCAACTAAATCTCATCTTGAATTATAGTTCCCATAATCCCCACATGTTGTGGGAGGAGCCTGGTGGGAGGTAATTGAATCATGGGAGTGGTCACCCCCATGCTGTTCTCATGATAGTGAGTTGTCAAAAGATCTAATGGTTTTATAAGGAGCTTTTCCCCCTTTGCTTGGCACTTCTCTCTCCTGCTGCCATGTGAAGGACATATTTGTTTCGCCTTCCGCCATAATGGTTCTCCTGAGGCCTCCCCAGCCATGCAGAACAGTGAGTCAATTAAATCTCTTTCCTTTATAAATTACCCAGTCTTGGGTATTTCTTCATAGCAGCATGAAAGCAAACTAATGCAGTAAATTAGTACCAGGATAGTGGGGTGCTGCTATAAAGACAGCAGAAAATGTGGAAACGACTTTGGAATTGGGTAACAAGCAGAGGTTGGAACAGTTTGGAGGGCTCAGAAGAAGACAGGAAAATGTGGGAAAGTTTGGAACTTCCTAGAGACTTGTTGAATGTCTTTGGCCAAAATGCTGATAGCGATACAGACAATGAAGTCCAGGTTGAGGTGGTCTCAGATGGAGATGAGGAACTTGTTGGGAAATAGAGTAAAGTTCACTCTTGCCATGCCAAGAGACTGGTAGCATTTTGTCCCTGCCCTAGACATCTGTGAGACTTAGAACTTGAGTGAGATGATCTGGGTATCTGGCAGAAGAAATTTCTAAGCACCAAAGCATTCAAGAGGTGACAGAGCATAAAAGTTTGGAAAATTTGCAGCCTAACAATGAAGTAGAAAAAAAAAAAAACATTTTCTAGGGAAAAATTCAAACCAGCTGCAGAAATTTTCGTAAGTAACAAGGAGCCAAATGCTAATAACCAAGACAGGGGAAAATGTCTCCAGGGCATGTTAGAGACCTTCTCAATAGCCCCTTCCATCACAGGCCCAGAGGCCTAGGAGGGAAAAATGGTTTCCTGGGCTGGGTCCAAACTCCTGCTCCCTGCTGTGTGCAGCCTCAAGAATTGGCGGCCTGTGTCCCAGCTGCTCCAGCCATGGCTAAAAGGGGCCAATGCACAGCTCAGGCTGTTGCTTCACAGGGTGCAAGCCCCAGCCTTGGTAGCTTCCACGTAATGTTGGTCCCATGGGTGCACAAAAGTCAAGAATTAACGTTTGAGGCCAGGTGCAGTGGCTCATGCCTGTAATCCCAGCACTTTGGGAGGCCAAGACGAGCAGATCACCTGAGGTCAGGAGTTCAAGACCAGCCTGGCCAAAGTGGTGAAACCCCATCTCTACTAAAAATACAAAAATTAGTTGGGTGTGGTTGTGGGCGCCTGTAATCCCAGCTACTTGGGAGGCTGAGGCAGGAGAATCGTTTGAATCCAGGAGGCAGAGGTTGCAGTGAGCTGAGATCATGCCATTGCACTCCAGCCTGGGTGACAGGGTGAGACTCTGTCTCTAAATAAATAAATAAATAAAATACAAAAAGGAATTAAGGTTTGGGAACCTCCACCTATATTTCAGAAGATGCATGGAAACACCTGGATGTCCAGGCAGAAGATTGCTGCAGGGGTGGAGCACTCATGGAGAACTTCTGCTTTGGCAGTGGGGAAGAGAAATATGGAATTGGAGGCCCACACAAAGTCCCCACTGGGGCACTGCCTAGTGGAGCTGTAAGAAGAGCACCACCATCCTCCAGACCCCACCCCAAAATGGGAGATCTAGCAACAGCTTGCACTGTGTACCTAGAAAAGCCACAGACACTAAACACGAGCCCATGGAAGCAGTCGGGAGGGAAGCTGTACCCTGCAAAGCCACAGGGGCAGAGCTGCCCAAGGCCACAGAAGCCCAGCTCTTGCATCAGTGTGACCTGGATGTGAGACATGGAGTCAAAGAGAATCATTTTGCAACTTTAAGGTTTAATGACTGCTCTATTGCATTTCAGACTTGCATGGGGCCTGTAGCCCCTTTGTTTTGGCCAGTTTCACCCATTTGGAATGGGTGTATTTACCCAATGCCTGTAACCCCACTGTAACTAGGAAGTAACTAACTTGCTTTTAATTTCATGGGCTCATAGGCAGACAGGACTTGCTTTGTCTCAGATGAGACTTTGGACTTGGACTTCTGAGTTAATGATGGAATGAGCTAAGACTTTGGTGGACTGTTGGAAAGGCATGATTGTGTTTTGAAATGTGAGGATAGAAGATTTGGGAGGGGCCAGGGGCAAAATGATATGATTTGGCTGTATCCCCACCCAAATCTCATCTTGAATTGTAGTTCTCATTATCCCTATGTGCCATGGGAGGGGCCTGGTGGGAGGTAATTGAATCATGAGGGCAGTTACCCCCATGCTGTTCTTATGATAGTGAGTGAGTTCTCAAAAGATCTGATGGTTTTATAAGGAGCTTTTCCCCCTTTGCTTGGCACTTCTCTCTTTGGCCGTGATGTGAAGGACAAGTTTGCTTTGGTTTCCGCCATGGTTGTTTTCCTGACGCCTCTCCAGCCATATGGAACTGTGAGTCAATTAAACCTCTTTCCTTTATAAATTACCCAGTCTCGGGTATTTCTTCATAGCAGCATGAGAGTGAACTAATACAAGAAACATATATTGCTAAGTGAAAGAAGTTAATCTGACAAGGTTGCAAAAGTTGTAAGATTGCAACTACAAAACATTCTGGAAAAGATAAAAGTATACAGACAGGATCAGTTGTTACCAGGGATTCTGAAGGAGGGAGAGAAGAAGGGATGAACAGGTAAACCACAGAGGATTTTTAGGGCATTAAAACTATGTTGTATGATACCACAAGGGTGAATACATGTCATTATACTGTTTGTCAAAATGCATAGAAGGTGTAACACAAAGAGCAAAACTGAATTTTAGGCCTTTGGTTGATAATGATGTATAAATATTGGTTCGTCTATTGTAACAAACACACACCACTGGGGTGGGGGAGGTTGATGGTTGGGGGAAGGCTGAAGGGGACTATCCTCTATATTTCCTATTCAGTTTTGCTCTGGACCTAAAACAGTTCTTAAAAAATAAAGTCTATTAATTATTTTTAAATTAATTACATATGATAAGTTATTTCTAAAATAAAGTCCAGGTTCTGGTGTGTGCAGTTTAATACTAAATGTAATGCAATGGTTCTCCTGCTCATATAACAACAACAAAAAAAAATGCACCTTTTCCTTAAAACATATCAGATTCTTTGAAAAATATAGTTCTCCAAGAGAAGCTGATCATATGTGATTTTATGAGAAATTCGACAGGCTTCCCATGTTGAGAAGCAGTTCTTATTGTCAAAATATGAAGTTTTACAATGTCACTTCACTTTTACAATGACGGTTTCAAAAGATTATGTCCCCAATGCCAATAAAGATACTTATACACCAAGCAGCCAATGTTCACCAATATGTATTAACTCTGCAGTTTTACCATATTACATATAATTGATTTCTTCATTCAATCTCTTGATATTTATTGCTTTTCTCTCCGAATATATTTTAAAAATTCATGCATAAAGACCTCTCAATATAAAAAATTATTAAGAGCTGCCATAAAAAAGAATGAGTTCATGTCCTTTGCAGGGACATGAATGAAGCTGGAAACCATCATCCTCAGCAAACTAACACAGGAATAGAAAACCAAACGTTGCATGTTCTCACTCATTAGTGGGAGTTGAACAAAAAGAACACATAGACACAGGGAGGGGAACATCACACACAGGGGCCCATCGGCGGGTGGAGGGAAAGGGGAGGAAAAGGGAGGGAAAGGCATTAGGAAAAATACCTAATGCATGCAGGGCTTAAAACCTAGATGACGGGTTGACAGATGCAGCAAACCACCATGGCACATGTACACCTATGTAACAAACCCACACATTCAGCACATGTATCCCAGAACTTAAAGTTAAAAAAAAAAATCTCTTTAAAAGGAGTTGCCAAGTTGTAAATACACTAAATATTAAATGAGCTTAATACAGACATCTTGTTTCAAAAACAAAAAGTAAAGTCTAATATCAGGATATTTTACTACTATGTTCTTAAGAATACAGTGATAGCAAATAAACTAAAAAAATTTTTTAAAGATGAGCAGAAGACAGTCTCTACTCCAGAAACAAACTGAAAAAAAAAAAAAACCAGAACAAAAGTAATGAGCACTTCATCAATAAAACAAAGACACAGCCATAACCACAAACCACAAACTATTTTTAAAAATCTGCCAAATTATGCAATATCTGGAATCAAAATGAGAAATAATCCTGAGAGCCTATCTGCACTCCCTAAGAACTCAAGCAGAATAAAGATTTCCCTAAAATTTGAATGGTTCTAAAGCCCATTCCAGTAAACTCTAATTGGAGTTATGATATTAAGTTTCTACCTAGGAGAGAATAGGAAAGGTTTCTCCAGAAAACATGTCTATACCACAGAAGGAGAGAGAAAAAAAAAACAAAACAAGACATTCTTATTGTCAATGACCTAGCTTCCTAGCTCAGAATGACTGCCAAAAGGGGTCAAAGAGAGGGACACAGCTATCACTAGACTACTTACTACATAGGCTCCTATGACTCGTGGGCCTCAATGGCACAGTGACCTTTACAGTACTACAAACTGAGGTGAGACATGTCCCTCAAAGAAAAGAAATATCTTGGGTGATGGAGTATTTGAGATAACCCAAATAGAAGTGCAAATTTATCACTTGCACTTCATTTAACCCCTCTCCCTAATACTCAATACATGCATCTAACATCACACTTTTTTCAGGCAATATCTGTCCTTAATGAAATTGATCCTATTCAAAAATGAGTAACAACCAGAAATAAATCAGCAAAGAAATTACACAGAACTACCAAAAACTGGGGTGGAGAAACATAGGCAAATGGCAGATTAAGAAAAAAACTGTCAACAGAGACAGAAAAATCATACAAATAATTTCCAGTCTAAAAGAAGTGATAAAGAATATAAGCTACTTCAAAGTAAAGGGGTTCAAAGAAAATTATGAAATATCTAAGAAAAGATAAGACAACTAAAGGAGATGAAAAGCGAGTTGGCAGGCTAAGGGTGAAGACTGGGAGGAAAAATCATAGATTAAAGCCACCAATGAAGTGACAACAACAAAACAGAATATTCAGTACTGAAACAGTCAGAAAAAGAAGGGACAGGCATTAAAAAAATGATGAAATGGAAATACAAAGATATATAAGAGATAAGTATAGAAGGTAAAAAGATACCCAGTTAATACATACTTAACATTCTTGCAAAAAAAAAACAAAAACAAAAAACAGCAGAACAAATGAAAGAGGAAAAAAAAGGAAAGATATAATAAAAGAAAACTTTTACTTAGGGAGAAGAAAGGAAATACTAACAAAAGAAACCATTCCAGAAAAACTGAATTCAAAGTAATTAACACTAAAACAAATTTTTCTGATGTTACGGAATTCAAGAGAGATAAAACATAAACATGAATTCCTTAGGTTATCAAGGTAAGAAAATCAATTCTGGCCTTAGACTTCTCTATATTACCATCAGTCACCATTATCTGGAGATGGTCAGGCAACGTCTTTCAGAGTTGTAAGGCAAAGATATGAAATCCAGTTATGTGATACCCAGCCAAATTGACCATAAAGCTTAAAAGCAACCTACAAACACTTTCAAGCATCCAATTACTCAGAAAATACAACATCCATAAGCTCTTCTTAAGAAGTGTATACACATAAGGACAGACATATAAGTATATAGATATAGACATAACCAAAAGGGAGAACTATCAAATTCAGCCAGCTAAGAAATGAATCAAACTAAAGAGTAAAAAAAAATAAAGAAATGGAGATATGTGTTAGTATAAAGACTAAATTTATTTTTGCAGGATGGACATAGAATAGCTTGTTTGTCCTCAGAATGAATGGTTTTTACAGAAAGTAATCATGACAGGGTATGAATAATAAACAAGGCTGCTTTAATGCTACCTCCCATTATCAAGTAAAAAGAAAAGAAGAATAAAAAGGTATACTAAATTCTAACAGAATAATTTAGGGAGAATTGTTCCTACAGCCACAGGTACCCCAAAGAAACAAGTTATTCCTTTTCTGATCATCCAGAGATAGGACAGTCAGTGGATGTCAGCAGGTACACCAGAAGTGACATTTCCAATAGTCTCTGAATGTCCTGTGAAATAGCAACTAGACCTCTTGCTTTTTTGTTTGTATTTTGTTTTGAGACAGAGTCTCACTGTGTCGCCCAGGCTGGAGTGCAGTGGCACAATCTCAGCTCACTGCAGCCTCTACCTCCTGGGTTCAAGTAATCCTCTCGCCTCAGCCTCCTCAGAAGCTGGGATTACAGACACACGTCACCTCACCTTGCTAATTTTTGTACTTTTGGTAGAGACGGGGTTTCATCATGTTAGCCAGGCTGGTCTCAAACTTCTGATCTCAAGTGATCCACCCACCTCAGCCTCTCAAAGTGCTGGGATTACAGGCATGAGCCACCCCGCCCAGTAGGATCTCTGCTTTTATGAAGCCAACTGGATTTATTACTTCCATGGCAAAAACCGCAATGACTTTTGCACCAACCTAACAGTAATGACTCTTTTGGCGAGCGACCAAGCATTCTGGGGTTTTGCTATTCAGGAACAAATAATCCGCCAATCTTTTAAAAAATATACAACTAAAAGAAAATAAAACTCTTACATCTGAAGGATTACACTTAAACTAAAACACAAAATTGTTATTTTATAATTAAGCTGCACAGGCCAATTTGATTTTACTCTACAGGAATTCAGGGTCTAAGAAAAGAAATTTATTTTTAAAAAACAAAAATAAAGTGGTATTTATTTGGGAGCATTGGTTCCCCAGACTGGAATTTTCTAAGTGACCACACCTCTCAGGATTTTAGGACAATTTTCCATTATAAAAGAGTAGTTAGTAAGCACTGAATGCTTTTAAATATAAAACTAAAACTAAATAACTGTGAAAATTAATTATAAAATAGAATGCAAATGTTGCACAGCGTGACAAGTTACAAATTTAATATAACTAATAAAAATTTGGAGGTGGGAGAAAGAAAGTCTGCTAATTTTTAACTTTTCACAGCAGGAAATAAACTGATGAGATAATATGTAGTTAACTTTTAAAATGAAATGATCCTAGTCTCTTTTTTCATAATTGTTTTTTTCAACTTTAGTGAAAACACTTAATGCGAATTCCTTATTGTAAAAAAATCACTTATTTAATTACTGTAATTCTTTTAATTTTCTTTCATTTCTGTTCAAATGAAATAACATCATTTTTATTTAAACAAAAATAGTATGTAGGATACTCCTGCTTCACCTTCATTTTTTTCTTAGTTCTCCCTCTATAAATATATGTATGTGTGTGGGTATTTGTGGGTGTGGGTATGCAGAAGAGGGAAAACATCTGAAGTGATGTTCCAAGATATAATGATTATTTATGTGTAGTAGAATTTGTTTAATTTTTTATCCTTAATGGTTGTAATTTTTATAGTGAGTACATAATCATTTAATGCAAATCTTTATTTTAAGAGCTTGATAGGGCAATATTATTTAAATCATAAATCTGACTCAGAAGAGCAAATCATACATGCCCCCACATATTTCTGTACTTATTCATTCATTCACTCATTTATTCAATCAGTAACTAATGCCCACTATGTAGAAGTAAAATAGACATTAAACTGTATTAAACTTAGGTGAGTGCCATTAGGCACTTAATAAGAGAAAGCTTATACTAGATAATTATAAACCATACATGAAACATGTTATGTTCTAAATGAAAAGCATTGTTCTCATAAAATATAAAACCTGGAAGAATAAATACAACATAAATACAACTAACAGAATTTAAACATTTAATTCATACTTAGTGAATGCTATAAATTTTTTTGTAATACAGTAGATATAAGATTTAAAAAAAAAAGAAAAAGGAGGTCATCTTATTCCAACCTTTAAACTAAAGCAAAATCTAAATAAATAAAAATGGCATCTCAACATAGTGGCATAGGTTTTGAGCCTTTCTAGTGAGAAAAAGGAACCATACTTCCCATTCTAGAAAAAACTGTTTTCTCTCACTCTGCTTTATTGTTATTCAATATCTTCTACTTCACGCTATTCTCCTGAGTTACCTCCCTCTGTACAGCCTACCAATCTAATAAGCTTTTTGGCATAAAGGGGAAAGTCTAATGCCTTCTTAGCATATTTTTCCCTAAGAACACATTTAATCAAATGCCTTATTTCTAATTCCTCATCTCATAACTGTGTTGCTCTTTTTAAGAAACAATCTTTAAGAATTAACTGAATGAATAAAGTGATGGGAACCACCAGATTAAATTATTTACCAGAAACATTCTAAATTTCGGGGAGGGGGGGATGATATTTAAGCAAAAATAATAACCAGCAAAACCTAAAAAGATTTTTTTTTTCAAAAATATGTATATCAATGCATGTCCTTGGTTTACACCTGGTTTTGCTCTGAAATGGGGGAAAGCCCAGATAACAACTCTTCAAAAACGTTAAATATAATTTCCTCCAGTTGCTTTTTGAAACCCACATACATAATGACATTTGTTAGCTGAGTCTCCACATATGCCCTGCAAAAAAGTGGTAAGCATTCTCAAAGGTGATGCAAACTGCAGGTATGCAACAGGAAATGCTAAAAAGTGTAGTATTTATACAGTGTTGAAAGTTCTCAGGGAGACGACTCAAAAGTATTTTTAAAACCATTCTTTGAAACTTGAAGTGCATTTAGCACCAAAACACAGATTTCATAAATATGAATGATAAACTTTATATAAGTTATGAATTGCATATATCTTGCCATTTTTGAAAATTGTTTTGCTGGAAGACAATGTGATTATGTATCACCTTCTTTTTATTTATTTATTTATTTATTTTTTGCCCTATGATTCTTCATATCAACATAGAAGAATTCAGAGGGGAAAAAATTAAAACTGATCCATTTAAGTAACTTTGATACAAGCATATCCAATTTTCTCTCCACACCCAGAGTAAAAAGGGTGGAGGCAGAAAGAGAAGAAAGGAGGAGCATTAACAAAATGGAAAGTAAGATTGTAGACAGAAGAAACACGTGGGCTTATAATATGGCTCTTCTCCCACAGAATGGAAATGGCAACAATGATATATACATAAAAGGTCAAAAAAATGAGCCATGAACTATGGTTAGAAAATGTAAGGTTATTTAGTGAGTCAGGCACTGCCACCCAGCTCCAGCACCAACATTTACCACCATTACCACAGACAATGGAAGATGGCTGCTGGAGTGCTCCTCATTAGGAAGTCCAGTGTAGTACCTGCTATTCAAGATGCTGTTCTTACCGGCTTTGGTCAAGGGCTGTAACAATGAAGCACAATTCAAAGAGTTCCAAACCAGCCTGGGCAACATAGCAAAACACTATCTCTAAAAAATTAAAAATTAAAAATTAAAAAATAAGCTGGGGGTGATGGGTCACACCTATAGCCTCAGCTACTCAAGAGGCTGAGGCAGGAGGATAGCTTGAGCCCAGGAGTTTGAGGCTGCAGTGAGCTACAATCATGCCACTGCACTCCAGCCTGGGTGACAGAGCAAGATGCTGTCTCAAAAAAAAAAAAAAAATGAAAGGGGAGAGAGGAGGGGAGGGGAGATAGGAGAGGAAGGGAGGGGAGGGAGAGGGGAGGGGAGATGGAATGGGAGGGGAGATGGGAGGAGAGGTGAGAGGGGAAGGGAAAGGTAGGGGAGGGAAGAGGGAGGGGAGGGGAGGGGATGGGAGGAGAGGGGAGGGGAGGGGAGGAGAGCAGAGATGGAATGGGAGGGGAGATGGGAGGAGAGGTGAGATGGGAGGAGAGGGGAGAGGGGAGCAGGGAGAGGGGAGCGGGGAAAGGGAAGAGGGGAGGGGAGAGGAGAAGGGAGGGGAGGGGAGATGGGAGGACAGGTGAGATGGGAGGAGAGGGGAGAGGGGAGAGGGAAGAGGGGAGGGGATAGGGGAAGGGAGGAGAGGGGAAGGGAGGAGAGGGGAGGGGAGGGGAAGGGAGGACAGAGGAGGGGAGGGGAGGGGAGGGAAGAATATGGTCTTCATAGGCCTGTAGACCATGGCTCACGACCCATATCTCCATAGTCGAGTTGACACATGTAAAGCACTTACTGCTTGGCAGGTACACAGCAAGTTTTCAGGATATGTGCTCCCTTCCCTATGTCCCTCTTTCATTTTTTTTTTTTTCACTCAAATTTTTACCTAACACAATAAGATCTAAGACATTTAAAACTATACTGTTCCTAGGACTAACAAGAAAGGCTGCCAATTTAAGTTTTAATACAGTGGTTTTGGATACTGTACACTGATATGGGTGACCTCTGATGGTCTCTTTTACACCTATGGAAAACATCGTTCAGGTGAATAGAGAAACAGTGTACCATAGTGCAAAGATGTCTGGACATGTTGTCACTATATTTGGGTCCTGGTCATGGCTCTACCAATCATGTGCTCTATGGCAAATTACAGCTGCTCTGAATCTTGGCTTCATGTGGGTGGATCACCTGAGGTCTGGAGTTCAAGACCAGCCTGGCCAACATGGTGAAACCCTGTCTCTACTAAAAATACAAAAATTAGCTAGGCATCTGATGGCAGACGCCTGTAATCCCAGCTACTTGGGAGGCTGAGGCAGGAGAATTGTTTGAACCAAGAGGAAGAGGTTGCAGTGAGCCGAGATTGTGCCATTGCACTCCTGCCTGGGTGACAGAGTGAGACTTTGTCTCCAAAAAAAGAGAAAATCAGAATACTGCACTAGACCAAGATACTTTCCAGCTTTAAAATTTTATTCTATTGTCTTAAGTATTGCTTGAAATTCAACTGGGCTAGGCACTATAAGAGGCAAAAAGAGTAAGTATGAGGTCCACCTAAATATAAAAAACTGACAAGCTACCTAGAGAGAAAAGAGACAGATACATGACAATTAATTAATGGGAGCTATTCATGTATAGAACATAAGCACTATGATAGAAACATTATATAATAATATAAAAAGATACACTATATAATAAAATAAAAATACCTTTTCTAAAACAAATGAGGGATAAAAGAAGCTGTAGAAATAGCCTGAACTAAGAAGAGAAGCAGAACTTAAGTCTGCAAGCCTTCGTACCTCATGTTTAAAATGCAGATAATAACACCTAATATTTATTTGTCAAAACACAAAGCGGATAAATTATATGATCTCCTAAGGGTCCACTGAGAGCCAATATCACATATTCTATAGTAGGATACAGATAACAAAAACTTAAAAGCTGAAAAGACAATCTTATTGTGGGGAAAAAAAACTAATTAGAGAGGTGAGGAGGAGAATTGAATTGAGAATACTTTGAAACTTTTAGTATGGCACCCAAAATCCTTCACCATCTGGTTCCAACTTTCCTTTCTAGCCTATTTCCCACATCCCACCACCACCAAATCTCATATTTTCAGGGGGCTATTTATCATGCCCTGATTTTGGTCCCAAGTAACTGAAAATAAGGAAATGTGACTTAAAATTAAAACCACATGGATCAAAACAGAGATACGAAAATTCCCCTGCTTCCTTAGCTCTTGAGACTTCCCTGTAACTTGACAGAATATTTAAACATATCTAAAAGGAGAATGCACCCATCCAGAAGCTATGGGAAATACGGGTGAGGCTAGTCAGGAACGAAATCCAAGAAGTCACCTAGGCAAATGCTGACAAGGTCAAGCTAAGCTACCATGAGAGGGAAAGTGGTGGCTGACTTGACTCCAATAACGGTTTCCTTGGCAAAGATATTCCTATAGTGGGTAAGACTGCCTCAAGCTAACTCAGGTGAGAGATACTTCTTAAAACAAATATCCTTCCTGGATCTCTTTCCATGCTCCAAATGTGGTCTTCCAGTAATGTGACTTCCCATGTATCTTGCCAGGAGAGAAGGAGCGCAATGGTCAGAAATGCTGGGTAAACTTGACAGCTGTATTTCTCAATCAATTGACCTCCATATTAATAACTTGGCTTCCCAAGAATCCTGTCTACAGGAAGACAGGGAGGCAGTGTACTGATTTGTCAAGATAAGCAATCCAATCTACTTGACAGTTGTATTTCTCATTGGAAATTAATAAACTGACACACTGACAAACATATATAAATATATAGATATCCATGTATCAGTTTCCAAGATCTTGGTTAATGCAAGCCCACTCCTAAGACAGACCCACTCCCAGTGGGCTCAGCAAATCAGGTGTCTGAAAGTATAAGGTCAAAGACCAGACCTTGAACTGGGATGATTCAACCAAGGGAAGTCCAGTCACTTGAGGCCTGTTGGCAGCAATACACCACTTTGCATGGCCTTGCAACAAATGCCTTTAACATTCACATTACAAAATATGGGAAACATATCTGTAACTTCATTCCTGTATTCATACAATATTTCCTCTTTCAAGAATACCCTCGGTCAGGCGCGGTGGCTCACACCTGTAATCCCAGCACTTTGGGAGGCTGAGGGGGGCAGATCACGAGGTCAGGAGATTGAGACCATCCTCGCTAATACGGTGAAACTCTGTCTCTAATAAAAATACAAAAAATTAGCCGGGGGTGGTGGCACGCACCTGTAATTCCAGCTACTCGGGAGGCTGAGCAAGAGAATCCCTTGAACCCGGGAGGCGGAGGTTGCAGTGAGCCGAGATCACACCATTGCACTCCAGCCTGGCAACAGGGCGAGACTCCGTCTCAACAAAAAAATAAAAATAAAAAAATAAGAATGCCCTCCTCCCACCCCTTCTCTAACTGAGGACCTCCTCCTCTTCCTTTAAGGTTACAGCTCAAATGTCCATTCTTACTCACATCTTCCTCAGTTACTCAGGTAAAATTAATCACATCCCTAGCAACCTAGGCACACCACCCTCTGCCAGCACTCTCAAATCAGAGTGGAGAATCCAGTTTGACTCCTTCCATCAACTGCTCACCTCTCCAACAAGGCCCACACATTCATCTATATTCACAGCTCCTACCATGGCACCCTGTATGCTCTAAGTGCTCACTAAGAGTTGAGAAGTAGAAGGTAAAGAGCTGGAATACGTAAAGAATTTGAGGTGAAATAATTCTATAAAGGGAGAAAATAACCAGCTAAGAAAGTGAGAAAGTAGGACTAGATGAGGTCATTGTGAGAAGAGAACAAGGTCAAGAGCAGAGTTCACTGTGGAGGGTTACTGGAGAAAATGATGGAAAGGAAACTTATGAACAAATTACTGAAGATACTAGAAGGTTAATAAAGGGGTGTAAATAGGATTAAGTAGCAAAATGAAGAAATAGTAAGTTCTTAGAAAGAGGGGTAACATCCAGAATTTGAAAAATGGCAAAAAGTGGTTGTAAAAAAGAATCAGAGCTTGGGAGCCAGGGTGGAAATCACTACCCCACAGCCCCATCACACTTAATGACTAGCAAGTTATTTAACTTCTGTAAGCCTCAATTTCCTTATCCATAAAATTTTCTTTACCTATAGATACAACAATATCTACTTTGCATGGTAGTTTTGAAGATTAGATGATATCTAGATCAGTGACTGAGACATTGTACCAATCGATAGTAGCTGCTACTGTGATTGGTTTTACAAACATTAATCTAGCAATGTAAGTAAAGTGAATTAAAGGAGGACTGGAAGTTGAAACATCTCTTAAGAGGAAACTGCAACAGTCACTTGCTTTGGGCACAGGTATAATCTTAAATTCACTTTACCTTGGCCTTAGTAATGGCTTTACCCTTAACCAGCAATGATAACTCAGGCAAGTCACTACTACTTTCGGTACATATGTCCCCATCTGCAGACTTATTTAATAAACTCTGACCTTCCTACTTCACAAATTTGTTGTATGGGTTATTTTAAATCAAGAAAAAAATACATTTGTAAGTGTTTCACAAACTATAAAGTACTTTGGGGAAAAGAAAGAAATGAAGAACATGGGGCAATTTTAGGAAACATTTTCAGGAAAGGCTCAAGGACATTAGAGGTATTGGAAGGTAAGGGACACAGCATAAAGGACACCACACTAAAAATGTCAAGGTATTAAGAGAATGCTTCTTTAAAAGAAATGCAGATATTTAGAGGAAAAAAAAATAATCTGAAGGAGATGATTTGGGATCTATTCTAAGATGAAAGTGCAGGACTAGAGTTTAGGTGATAGGCAATGATGTGAAATAGAACTCTGAGAATCACCGGCAATACCCATCAGAGTGTGAGAATTATGATTTATCTGTGATACAAATGCTAAACAAGAAGAACTAAAGTTATTATAAGATTCAAAATGGAATAAGTAAACGCCTAGCAAAGGAAAAGTACAAACCCACCCTAACACCTCAGAGACAGGTATTACAGGAAGAAGAGTAGGCAGCAGAGACTTCAAAGGAAAGTGCTCATGTAGCTGAAAAGCCAAGGTCATGTGACATTAGCATGTCAAGGAGATTGAGAACTGAGAAAAATAACCCTCTACATTTGGCTAGATGTGGTCACCAGTGACCTTCACGAGTGCAGTTCCAGTACAGAGGTGGGACAAAAGCCAGATTGCAAGGAGTTAATCATAATTCTATGATCCTAACACAAAAAAGCAGTTGCCAGTAAACTGAAGGTGAAATTCACAGATAAGAGAAAAGCACATTTAATAATTGAAAGGGGACAAACTTTATCTCAAGAAAGCTTCTTAGGATTTTTAACACTTCCACAGGAGAAATAGGACTTAGGTTTTTAAAAATCTCCTGAAAGTTATATTTAAGTAGTAAAACAGATGAAAATTTTCCTGCAACTGAAAGACAAAAAGAGAGAGAGGTGAGTTAGCCCTAATAGCGATCTAAACTTTTGATTACAATTCATTCACATGCTCTAAATAGGTATTTCAATACATTATACTTAATAACAACTGTAGTGCTATGGACTGAGTGTTTCTGTCTCCCAAAATTCCTATGTTAAAGCCTTATCCCCAGTGTGATGGTATTTGAAGGTGGGGCCAATGGGAGGTGATACAGTTTGAATATTAGTTCCCTCTAAACATCATGTTGAAATTTGATTTCCAATATTGGTAGTATTGGAGGTGTTGCAGGTGGGGCCTGATGGGAGGAGTTTGGATCAGGAAATCAGATCCCTCATGAATGGCTTGGGGGTGGCCATTCTCATGGTAATGAGTGAGTTCTCATTCTATAAATTCCCCACAAGAACTGATTGTTACAAACAGCCTAATGGTTTCCTCCCTTCTCTCTTCCTCCCTCTAATGCCTGCTCCCTTTCTTCTGCCATGAATGGTAGTTCCCTGAAGCCCTCACCAGAAGCAGATGCTGGTGCCATGTTTCTTGTACAGCCTGCAGAACCGTGGGCCAAATAAACCTCATTTCTTTCTAAATTACCCAGGCTCAGGTATTCCCTTATAGCAATGCACAATAGACTAAGGCAGGAGTATTTAAGATTTGAGGGAGGAGCCCTCATGAATGGGGCTAGTGCCCTTATAAAAGATGCCAAAGAATTTCCTTCCTCTCTGCTCTCTATGTGGCAATACAATGAGAAGGTGGCCATCTGCTAACCAGGAAGCAAGCCCTCACCAGACAAAGGATCTGCTAGCACTTTGATCTTGGATTTCCCAGTCTCCAGAACTGTAAGAAATAAATATCTGTTGTTTAAACCACCCAGTTGAGGATGTATTTGTTATAACAGCCTAAACTGACCAAAAAATACAGGCAAACCAAGGTATCCTTTGTGTGAATAAATTACATATTACTAAAAAGAGCAGTTAAATAACATTGCTATGTTATAATTATTAAGTAAACATTCCTTTCTAATGGCCCCAAATTTCCATTTTTTTTTGTTTTTTGACTCTCGCTCTGTCACCCAGGCTGGAGTGCAATGGCACGATCTCGGCTCACTGCAACCTCCACCTCCCAGGTTCAAGCGATCCTTCTGCCCCAGCCTCCCGAGTAGCTGGGATTACAGGCACCTGCCATCATGCCCACCTAATTTTTGTATTTTTGTAGAGATGAGGTTTCATCATGTTGGCCAGGGTGGTCCCGATCTCCTGACCTCAGGTGATCTGCCCGCCTCAGCCTCCCCAAGTGCTGGGATCACAGGCAGGAGCCACTGCACTCGGCCCCCAAGTTTCCATTTCTTAAAGCCTATATAAATCTACGTAAGATGTTACAAATGTCTTTTTGAGATTCCATTCATAATATACGCTAACTGATATTTGATTTAAATAAGTATTCACCGTTACTTTTAATTCATTTAAAAGTAAAATATAATCCCAAAAAATCATTTTTAAATAATAATAATTCTAAAAACCATAATGGGAGAAGCTGAGTAAAACTCCCCCAAGAATCTTAAGGGTCCTAGGATGTTGCTTGATGCAGTTCTTCAAAAGAAAAGAGGAGAGAAAGAGATTCTGCTTGTACCTCAATTGCCAAAACTTTTGTCCTAATTTCACAACTGTGAATGATATCGTTAATTTTTAACTTTTTTTATTTTTTGCATAGTAAAATGTTACACCAAAGAAATAATATATAAATACAGACATAATCCAAAAATATCATTTGGGTCAAGTTTTATCCTTCTCACCCCAAAAATCTATGGTCAAAGATACCAATTATAACTGATTTTATACAGTTGGTTCTTTTTTGCTTTCCAAGATATGGAAGGGGTTCTAATGAAACATTCCAAAATAAAATGACCTAAGAAAAAAATACAACGGGCCAGAAAAATCCAAATTTCCCTGATTCTGACTAAGATCCAGAAGGAAAGAACACTAAACTAGAAATTAGAAGCTCTAGTTTTAGTCCAGTCCACATGGAAAAACCCCATTTAATTACTATGCTATCCAACTTCCTCATTTAGTAAAAAAAAAAAACTCACCTATTCCACCTACTTCCAAAACCGTTATAATCATAAAATATAACAGCATATATAAGAAATATAAATTACATTTGTAACGCATTATAATACTAAGAGAGCTTCACAAATATAAGGCAATAACTATTGATCATTATTTTATAGTTTAGATGGGTTATTTTAATTAATCTATATACTATAAGCTTAACAGATTTTTTAATATTATAATACCACATTTTATTATTTCAATTATTCTCTGAACTCTAATGGACATATTTAGTTGTGAATGTCTATATAGTAAAATGTTGATTATCCAGTCAGTTAGGATTTCTACATTGTTTAGAAGGTGGTCTACCAGAAATAGGAATGCTTTTACACTGTTGGTGGGAGTGTAAATTAGTTCAACCACTGTGGAAGACAGTGTGGCAATTCCTCAAGGATCTAGAACCAGAAATACCATTTGACCCAGCAATCCCATTACTGGGTATATACCCAATGGATTTGAAATCATCCAACCGTAAAGATACATGCACACGTATGTTTATTGCAGCATTATTTACAATAGCAAAGACTTGGAACCAACCCAAATGCCCATCAATGATAGACTGGATAAAGAAAACGCGGCACATATAAACCATGGAATACTTTGCAGCCATAAAAAGAATGCGTTAATGTCCTTTGCAGGGACATGGATGAAGCTGGAAACTATCGTTCTCAGCAAACTAACACAGGAACAGAAAACCAAACACTGCATGTTCTCACTCATAAGTGGAAGTTGAACAATGAAAACACATGGACACAGGAAGGGGAACATCACATACTGGGGCCTGCCGGGGGTGGGGGGGCAAGGGGAGGGATAGCACTGGGAGAAATACCTAATGCATATGGGGCTTAAAACCTAGATGATGGGTTGATATAGGGCAACAAACCACCATGGCACATGTATACCTTTGTAACAAACCTGCACGTTCTGCCCATGTATCCCAGAACTTAAAGTAAAACAAAAAAATAAAAAGAAGGTGGTCTTCCAAGAAAAGATAATAACACTTAAATGCAAATTGGATGAAAGATATTTCTTAGCTACTCTTAAAAGATCTGGTAGGAAAGAGAGGTTTAAATAATAAACTTAAGATTACTACTATTTACTTATATTTCCTTGAGCGGGGTTCACTTTCTCTAAGTAAAGATTACAAGTACTTAATATTTTCTCTTCTTATGTCTAAAATCACTCCCATCTATTACACAACTAATTCTTATTAGTTTTTTCCCCCAGTAAAACAAAACTACATAAATGTACTTCTCTTTTTGGTCTTTCAACTAAATTTTCATAGGAAGGGTAAGTGTAAAGATTTCTTTATGTTTTTAAGCAGAAGTTTGGTCTATTCCTCAAATAAAGTAATTCCATGGAAATAGCTGTTACATAAAATCATCATGTCATAAAACATGACAGCAGTCACAAGCATTTGAAAAGCACTTGAAGTGTGACCCTATTTGCTCACACTCTAGAAATAAACATATAATCCATGCTGCTTTCTTAATCACTACAATCTAAATATTGAACAGCTTGGCTTCTGATATTCTTTCACCAGCATACAGAAGGAACCAGACTAGCCATTTGAGAATTAGTTTACGAATTATCCATTTCAGAGGACTGGGTCTCAGAGAACAGTCTTAAAGCCAAATGTAAATCTAGAGTAAAGAAATTTTACCTCTCAGTAACTTTCCTACATAAAGACTGAGAAATCACCTGTGAAATTCAGAGTAGACAATAATATAAATAATTACATGTAACCTAAGGCTGAAGGTAGTGAGCAAAACTGGGAAGAAGTTTAAAAAACATTTCAGTACCTTTTTCTACAGGGCTCTTTCCAGAATGCTCCCTGCTCCCCCACCACTATGGCTTCTCCCTCAATCTCTACCAGTTTACCCTCCTCCCTTTAAAAAACTGTACTGAGCAAGTCAGGTAATATCTATAGGGAAGGAAAATGAAACGAACTATTCCACTACCTTTGCCTCAACCTGAATCTCTTGTTTAAAGTCTCTGACAATCAATAATCTTAGTTGAAAGAGAAGTCTAAAAAACTTATAAATGAAGCTCCTACATACTCCTCCCTGATCCCATTTCCCTCCTTCTTTCCCAAAGGTAACCACTTTGCTGACATGTGTATCACTTCTACCACTATTTAAACATCCTCTATATGTGATTGCTTTTATAGAATGAAACTCCATAAGCCCACAGGCTGTGTCTGATATTGTTCTCTGTGTAGCATCTAGTAATCAGCGTACTGTAATCATTTAAATGCTACAAATAACTCCAAAGAAAAATTAATATTTAGTGAAACTAATTAAACAGAACCATATATTGTCACAATAGGGGGAAAAAAACAAATTTCTTCCCCATCTATCAAACTCAGTTATGCATCTATTGTATAAAGTTAATCCAAAAATTAAAATTGTTGAAAATGTGGGTTTTAATTTAAAATACTGATTGAATAAAATTTAAAATACCAAACAAAATTTAGGTTTGAAAAAAATACATCTTTCATCCAAACAATTCCCTATAAACTCAACAATTATAATTTATTCTGATTTTTGTTTCACTACATTAGATGTTATTTTTCCATATTCCCTAAGCAGCAACAAATAACACTATGCATGAGGACTGATCTAATTACATGCCAAAAAAGACAGACCAGCACCCTCACACTCCACACTCCCCTCTGTGGCTCCTTCATACCCCATATGTTGCTAATAAAACTGTTTGAATCATACCTAAGAGACAGTTTTACTGACACAGTATCAGGCCTCTGGGTTCTTCACAAGGCAAACTATACTACCAGAACTGTTACAAATGCTAATTTTAAGATTGAGGCAAATGGAAATCTACATTATGTGTGTGTGTGTATGTGTGTGTGTGCATGCATGCGTGTGTGTATGTGTGCAAATACAGGCACAGATATACTCTGGGGCATTAAAAACTTGCATTAAAATCACAATTTCATTATTTGATTCTTTAAAATCCCCATTTTAGCTATAAAGACATAGAAGGTTCTGACATCTGAACTGCATGAAATTTGAGAAACAGAAAGCCGCATATTTTTTATATTGTTAATATGATCAATTCAAAGATCTGACTGGTAGAAAATAATGACAGCAAGAATTCTTAGTAATAATTATTTAAAAACACTAAAAGGAAAGGAAAACAATGGAACATTGAAGCAACAATCAGAAATATACATACCTAATAAATTGATAAATAATCCAGTATTTATGTACCTTTCTACTTCAGAAAGCTCCAGCGCTTTCATCGCATGTATATTCAAATTCACCACATGAAATATTTTCTTATAAAATATGAATGCTGAAATGAAATGATTAACAAAAAGCTAAAAAAAAAAAGTCTGTAAATACTGATATTATAGGAAACGCTCAATTAGATCAAGACAAATGCATTCTCTTTTTTTTCTAGAAAACTTCTCCAGGGGACTCCTCCCTAAGATGTTATTCCAACATGATCTCAATTAATCCTCAGGGAACAAGACTCCTTTTAACAAGCTGGCTTATGTACAAAAGGGGTATGACAATTCCTAGTCTCCTCTAAGTTGTGACGGCAACAAATAAAAAACAGGAAACAAGGCTGCTGGTTCAAGTACTAACCTTTCATAGGACGGTCTGACCATTATCCCAGGACTCAAAAAGCCCAATCAACACCACCAGGCAGGGGAGGGAAAAGAACTCAAGTTCAGAAGGTTTGGAGGAGTACTCTAAGGACTGGTCTTATATGGAGTAAATTCATGATCAAGAACACACACCAATGCTGAAACATAATAGTTGTGCCTCTAAGTAAAACATATGACAAGGACATAAATTACTGGATGTAACCATTTATTGGAAGAGGATTTACTGAATTTAAATTATAGAATTCTGGAGTTGGCAGGAATTTGAGGGTCACAACCCTCTCCAAACAGAAGACTTCATATAACTTTCTTCTTAGGGACAATGGCCCAGTGTGACATTGTGATAAGAAATATATGGCCGGGCGCGGTGGCTCACGCCTGTAATCCCAGCACTTTGGGAGGCCAAGGTGGGCGGATCACAAGGTCAAGAGATCCAGACCAGCCTGGCCAACATGGTGAAACCCCATCTCTACTAAAAATACAAAAATGAGCTGGGCGTGATGGCACGCACCTGTAGACCTAGCTACTCAGGAGGCTGAGGCAGGAGAATCGCTTGAACCCGGGAGGCAGAGGTTGCAGTAGGCCGAGATCACGCCACTACACTCCAGCCTGGCAACACAGCGAGACTCCGTCTCAAAAAAAAAAGAAATATATATTTGTTCTCTAACCATGGTTCCTGGCATAGAGCTCCTAGAGCCCTTGTGATTTCCTAAGCAATAGGGGCACTAGGAGAATCTTGTTCTATTTGGTCTTCAACCTCAGTTCCTGACAGAGCTCCTAAGACGTTTGTAATTTCCTGAGTGATAGGAGAATCTGACACAGTTTCTAAATCTCTTGGAATTTCCTGTGTGATAGGAGCATCTATTGTTCTAATGAGGTGATTCTTACTAGGCTCCTGGATACCCTCAGGATGGGGGCTGGTTGCCAGGATACAAATCATGTAATTAGTGGGCTGGAACTTTCAGCCCCATCCCTGACCTTTTGGGAGGTGACAGGGTCTGAACGTTGATTGAGTTGATCACCAATGACCAATGATGTAATCAATCATGACATATAATGAACCTCCATAAAAACCCCAAAGGGGTTCAGTTCGAGGAGCTTCCAGGTTGCTGAATGCATAGAGGTACTGGGAAGGTGGTACGCCCAGAGAAGGAATGCAAGCTCTGCACCCCACCAGACTTGTCCTATGCATCTCTTTCCTCTGGCTGCCTGTCTGTACCTTTTGTAATATCCTTTATAATAACCCAGGAAACATAAGTGTTTCCCTGAGTTCTGTAAGCCCTCCTAGCAAATTAAACCTGAGGAGGAGGTCATGGGAACCCTGATTTATACCTTACACCCAGTCAATCAGAAGCACAGATCACAACCAGGGACTTGCAATTGGCATCTGAAGGTGGGTTGTAGGGAGCAGTACTGCGGGACTGAGCCCTTAGCTGTAGAATCTGACCCTATCTCCAGGTGGATGTTGTCAGAATTGAATTTAATTATAGGACACCCAGTTGGTGTCTACTGGAAAATCTGGTGTTAACAGTGTTGAGTGCTATATGAGAATAAGAAAAAAAAGTTTGTTTTTTCCTTTACACTCAGAATCTGGGAAAACTTACCATGATGGTGCAGTGGCTCACGTCTGTAATCCCAGCACTTTGGGAGGCCGAGGCAGGCAGATCACCAGATCCAGAGATTGAGACCATCCTGGCTAATACGGTGAAACCCTGTCTCTACTAAAAATACAAAAAATTAGCCAGGCGTGGTGGCAGGTGCCTGTAATCCCAGCTACTCGGGAGGCTGAGGCAGGGGAATCGCTTGAACCCGGGAGGTGGAGGTTGCAGTAAGCCGAGATTGCACCACTGCACTCCAGCCTGGGCAACAGAGTGAGACTAGGTCTCAAAAAAAAAAAAAAAGCCTTGAATATTAGTATGCTATTTCTGCCTAAGCCCTCTTCCCTGTCAGGGACATTGGCCTGTCTACTTAGACTTCAAAATCTGACCTATGCCATCAGACTCAGACTTTGACTTTGTCCACTAGACTCTTAAGTGTCCTCTTACATGTCAGACCTTCTAAATATAATTATGACCCTAGTCTGTTACCACCTCAGGTCAGTTCCCAGATCCATCTGCCCTCATCTATGAAACAGCACAAATACCACCATTCCCAACTCTGCCTACTGCTCAGTCTTAACAGCCCCATGATTGCAGGGAAGCTTAATGCTGAAGGAATCCATCCTGGCCTCACAAGTCCAACAACCTATTCCAATTCACGTATCTACACTAGCGTTTACTTGGCTGTTATTTTATCAAGACACAAGACCACCTGAGATTCTGATAAAAACTACAGATCTTCTCCTCTGAAGAAGGCCTGAATATATATATATATAATGTTGTAAATAATTTCACAGAGTTCCCATGAATCCTAAGAACTCTCGCTAACTATAACAGGGATTCTCATATTTAAAAACTTAAATACATATTCCTCACACACACATACACAGACACACATGCACACGTGAAATTTTATTTATGTCTATAGTGATATGTAAAGACATACTTTTTTCATTGTTTTTATTATTCTTTTTGTGTATGTCCCCAAGGGGTCCTGGTGATCAATCAAGTTTGAGAGTCAATGCTCCATAGATTTAGAGCACCGGTCTACAAAGAAAGGTGTCTACTCAAGGCAATTATTTGGAGTGCGTGGAAAATATTAAAATTCTGGTTTTTTTTAAAAAAAAAAGTTATAGAAATGGGGTCTTACGATGTTGCCCAGGCTTGTCTCCAACTTCTGACCTCAAGCAATCTTCTCCCCTCAGCCTCCCAAAGTGCATGGGATACAGGCATGAGCCACCACACCCAGCCTAAAACTCAGTATTATTTTTATTTTTATTTTTGTAGAGACAGGGTCTTGCTATGTTGCCAAGGCTGGTCTGGAACTCAAGTGATCCTCCCACCTCAGGCTCCCAAAGTGCTAGGATTACAGGCATGAGCCACCATACCAGGCCTCTATATTTGAGATTTTGTCAGTGTCCTCTTACACGTCAGACCTAATCTAACCTAATCCTTTTTTTGTTTCTAATACTTCTATTTGTTTCAGAATTGACATATTATTACAATCATACATGTACATTGTTTATAGGTAAATAAAAATATATATTGTATGTGCTTTAAAAAAATTTACTCATCAAAAATTTAGATACTTCTTCAGGGAAACGACAATGATAAACAGTGCTCTGGATACACCATCAAGAACTGGTTAAGTGGTAGGGATTAACTGCAATGGTCTACACTCGCATGGCCTAATACCTCCCATCAAAACCATGCCTGTAACAGTGTACCTCAGTATCATACTTCACACCCCTAAACTCTTAATAGTTCATACACTTACAGAACTTTCATAAAATACAGCAAGTCATTATATCAATACTTATAATTTGGGGAGTGGCACTGATTTACAATCATATTGTTATTTTTTAAAGTGTAAGCAGTAAGGTATTATCAAGATGTGGCACACAGTGAACATTTTATAAACATGCATATTGTATATTTCAGTACTTCTCAAATCAGAAAAGTTCTAGTATGAAGTAAGGCAGACAATAGGTGCCCACTAGCCACATGTAGCTTGAGTATATGAAATGTGGCTAGTACCACATGTTTAAATGATATTCTGGATATAATGGGTTAAATTAATCATATTAAAATTTATTTCATATATTTATTTTTACTTTTTTTAATGTGGCTACTAGAAAATTTAAAATTATACACATGGCTTGCATTATATTTCTATTAGGCAGTACTAGTCTACAGAACAGTAAAATAAATTAGACGCTATACTTTATGAAAACTTTACCTTAATCCCAACTCCACCCCCACCATAAATGTGTTCAAAGTAATATAAATTATTTACATTTACAAAATTTTTGCATGGGTCTAGGTTTTAAGATATCAATTCAACAAGAATATATACTTTTCTTCTGATTGGCAAAAATGAGCAAACCTGATAGCCTGACAGGAATGCTGTATCCACATACCCTAATGCAAAACTGTGAAGTTAAAAAAGAGTTACAAGACATTCTTAAAAATAAAATTTATATACTATAAGCTAAATAAACACAACAGGATCTATTTAGATTCTTACACTGCTTTAATAATTGGGCTTCACCTACAAAATTTTTTTTTTCTTTACTATAGAACTTACCTCCTATCAACATTACTGGATTGACATTTTCCCTTTCCTCTCTTGAAACTATCATCTATTTTAAGATAAGATTTTAAGACAGCAAAGGTGCTAAATCAATATGTCTCATGCCCCTTTCCTTTTTGAAAGCTGTGGCAGATATAGAAGATTTGTCCTCACCACCCACCCAATCCCATTCTAGCATGTCATACAATACCAAAATGGCTAGAAAGCTAAAGTATACTTTTGCTAGACCTCCTTGCAATTAGGATCTGCATATGCCCTGAGTTTCCCAAGGAGAAGCACTCCTAGGAAGCCAAAGGGAGAAAGAAAACAAGGAAAGATAGCATCAAACACAGGCAGATCCACCAATGATGGCAGGCGAGGTAATGATTCTTCTGGGGCCAGCAGCAAAAACTGAAGCTCTTCATTCAGTAGCTTCCAAATTTGAGCAGAGCATTAGGGTTCTGAGACCAGAACTGGCTGCAGCTCACTTAGTAAGACAGCTGAAAAGTGTGGTTCTAGCAGGAGTTGCATCTAGAAGCTCAGCCTACAGTCTTTTGCTTTTGCTCCCTCAAAGACCTAGTAAACGATTACACCTTAATAAATCCCCTTCTGCTTAAGCTAGCTCTAACATTTCTCTTGCAAGTAAGTTACTTAGACTCTTGGTTTAGCCTCATGATTTCTAAGTGCAAAGAGTGGAAGAATACTCAACATATATTAGGGATAACAGACACTAAAATTCTGTAGTATGAAAGGAAGGAAGGGGACAAGGCAACATTTATTACAAAAATTACCATGCACCTACTACGGGCCAAGAGCTTTACATGTAGTCTCACTTAATCTCCACAATAATCCATCAAAGTGAGTGTTTTCCTTCTTTTTTTTTTTTTTTTAGCTGATGAGAAATGGAAGAAGAGAAACTTGCCCAAGATGCACACCTCGTGACTTCTGGAGTAATGACAGATCAAGATCTGTCTGACTCCAAAGCCCTGGTTCTTTCTATACCACATCTTTTACTGAGCACCACAACCACAGTGCTCAGCATGCATGGGCTAATTAAATTATCCACCGTGATGGAATCATCACAGAGCCAGGAAAGCAATTCCTGAAAAGTGTCACCTAGACCGTTAATATAGTATGCCCTGTAGAGTCAAGTGTGATGTTCAAATACAGAAATAACTAGATGATGATTATAATGATAATAGCATCCAACTACCATTTACTGAGTGCCTATTATGTTTAAAGTGCTTCATATACATTATTTCATTTAATCCTTTGAACATCCCAGTAACAAATGCACAGTAGGTGCTGCTTTCATTTTACAATAGAAGAAAATGAGATGTAGGGAGATTAAGAACTCTGCCAAAGATTACTGCTCAAGTCAAGTTCAGTGGCACAATTTGAACCCAAGTCTCTATGATGTTCCAGCATGTGGGTGAGGATCACACCTTATATATATTTCCTCTTATCTTCTACAGGGCCAAACAACGACGTTATGCAAATAAATATTCAATAAGTCAGTGATTTTACTTTGAAATTAGGGACATCAGATGCACATCAAAAAGCTTATATAACTTCAGCAGTCCAGGCAGACAGTGAAAAGACATAAAGGCCAATGTTTTCCAGGAAGAGTGAAAGGATCAGACCCACCCCGCTTCCCTCACACTCTTCTAGCCTGCCCACCCTCTACTGCATCTCCTCACCGCAAGAAAAAAAAAAAAAAAAAAGAGCTACAAGCAAGTACTATAAGTTGCTCTATCAACACTACTACACTGTTAGAAATTTCATACCATGCTGTCCTTAGAGAACTGTATGAAAGCAAGGAAATGCTGCGGAACAGCCCTTCAGATACCTGCCTCAGATCATCTGGAGAGCTTGTTAAAACATTCCCTGGCCTCATCCTTAGGAATTCCAATTCAGCAGGTTTGCGCTGGGGCTTGAGAAATTTGCAAATCTAACAAGCTCTGATACTAACACTGGACCACACTAGTTTCAATTATCATCATCCTAAAACTTTTTGAACTTTGTCCACCAAGTTCGGCCACCAAAAAGTAACTCATGACAATTAGGAAGATGGTATTCACCTCCTCCTTGGTATATACCATCGCTTTGTAATGGAGATATAAGCAAGTCTGAAAACAGCCAAAATGTTCCCAGAGCAGGGGCTAGGGAGTATACATAGTCTATATCCAAATAATCAATGGGCCCTCAATGAGTCAAGTAGACATTTACAACTATCAGTGACACAATTATATGCATTTGTTAGAAGTTGTGGCAAGGGGGTGGGGCTGGGAGAAGGTAATAAAATTTGAAAAAATGTACTAAGTGTATGTGGGAACTCAGCACAAAGAGAAAATGTTGCCTTGGACTGGTACAAAACCTTACTTTTTGGTAATAAATGGCCGAAATTTTTAGTAAAATGACATTAACAAATATTTCCCAAATAAACACTAGTACTGTTAGCAGCATAAAAAGTATTCAGTGTATTTCTAGATGATGATACTGAGCTACAAAAGGCCAAGAAAACCCAAGACAACACATACCCAAAGATGGAGTCACTGTTCTCTTTTATTTACTAACAGACAATTAAACTTACTTATTTAAATATCATTATGACAAATCCACCCATATACAGAAATAGAAGCTTGTGTTGTTAAACAGCTCAAAATATGGTTCCAAACCACATGTGCTGCGTTACAGAAAAAGTTGTCTCCTAAAGCCAAAACACCACCATTTAAAATTACACACTAGCAAAATCAACAGCATAGATGCAGCCTTCCATTAAACAAAAGGCAGTGCAGGATTTTGGGGGTTTTTTTGTTGTAATTCGATTGACATCAGGGCACTTGAAGTCTACACTAAGAAACCATATCAAAAATAAAAACAGGAAAAGAAATCATAAAGAAAAAGAAACTGATAAATTTGCCATTAAAATTCAGAACTTATACAGAAAAGAAGACCTCATAAAGTGAATAACTCTACAAACTGGAAAAATGTATTTCGCCCACACATAACCAATAATGGTGTAAATGCAGATGCTAGGGAGAAAAAGTCTACAAATCAATAAGAAAAGGACAAATGACCCAAAAGAAACAGGTAAAAAACATGAACATGTAATCCACAGAGAAGGAAAACCTTAAATGATCAATAAATACATAAAAAGATGCTCAATGTTAACAATGAGCAGAAAAATGCATATTAAAACAACCCTATGAAATTCATGCCTATCAGAACTTTTTTTTTTAATTTTATTATTATTATACTTTAAGTTTTAGGGTACATGTGCACAACGTGCAGGTTTGTTACATACGTATACATGTGCCATGTTGATGTGCTGCACCCATTAACTCGTCATTTAGCATTAGGTATATCTCCTAATGCTATCCCTCCCCCCGCCCCCACCCCACAACAGTCCCCGGTGTGTGATGTTCCCCTTCCTGTGTCCATGTGTTCTCATTGTTCAATTCCCACCCAGAATATTTTTTTAAAGTCTAACAATATCAATGTTGCCTGGGAGAGAGTGAAACAAGAATTCTCTTACACTTTCAGAGAAGCGAAGAATTCTCTTCACTTCCAAATTGCTGAGCAACTTGGCAATATCAGCTAAAGCTCAGAGATTCTACTTGCTACAATCCAATAATTCTATCCCATTATATATCATCAGAATTAGAGAAATTCACAAGATATACAAAATATTTATACAAGACTCTCCATAGCAGCATTGTTATAGCAAAAAAAAAAAAAAAAAAAAAAACGGAAAATAACCTAAATGTCCAGCAACAGCACAAAAGATACAGTATAATCATACAACTGAATATAATATAGCCCTAAAATTTCACTGAACTATAGTAGTGGTGTTATGGGCTGAACTGTGTCCCTCCAAAATTCATATGTTGAAGCCCTAACCTCTAGCACCTCAGAATAACTGTATTTGGAGGCAGGGCCTTTAAAGAGGTGATTAAGTCAAAATGAGGCTATTAGAGTGGGTGGGTCCTAATCTAATCTGACTAGTGTCCTTATAAGAGGAAATGTCCTTATGAGAGGAACTTAGCATGCTTGCATATAGACCAGAGAGGACCATATGAGCAAGGTGAACAACTGCATAGCCAGGAAAGAGACCTCAGAAGAAAGCAAACCTGCCAACACATTGATCTTAGAATTTCAGCCTCCAGAACTCAGAAAATAATTTTTTTTTCTTAACTTTTATTTTAGGTTCAGGGGTACATGTGCAGGTTTGTAATTTCTGTTCTTTAAACCACCTCATCTGTGGTATTTTGTTATGGCAGCTGTAGAAAACTAACACAACTTAAACATTCAAAAGAATCACCCGGAAGGCTTGTTAAAACACAGATTGCTGGTCCTTACTCTGAGTTTCTATTCACTAGGTCAGGAGTGAGGTCTAGACAGGGCTAGCTTCACAGCTACCAAGCACGGAAGGACCCTGCACCTGGTTTAATGCTCTGCTGTCACCATCTTGACATTATTAATAGTTTCTAAACATGGGGCCCAGCATTCTCATTTTGTACTGGGTAGCACAATTTATTTATTCAGTCCTGGCCTGAGAAGCTGTATTTTTAATAAGTTCCCAAGTGATACTAAGATTGCTGGTCGGGGACCAAATTCTGAAAACCACTAAACTAGAGCAACACTTATTTTAACCTAAATAAGTTTAAAAATATAATATTGGTGAAATATTATATATTTCACCCATATATAATATTTATATATTATATATATGTAATATATTGGTGAATTATATATTGGTGAAAAAAGAATAAATTTCAGAGGGATAGGTACAGATATCATTTATATGGGCTTTTTATTATTGATACATGCATATTAAATAAATGTATAAAAACCTCTGAGGCTAGGGAAAGGAGAATGGAATTAGGCATCAGCATCACAGAGATCCTCACTTCCATCTATAAAGTTCTATTTAAGAAATAAACAGTTAAAAACTGAACTAAACATGGTGTGAATTAATAGGAAATATGTGTATTGGTCTCTGTCCCTGGTTCCTCACACAGAACTTCTAAATCCCTTGGAATTTCCTGGGTGATAGGAGCATCTTTTTTTCTAATGAGGCAACTCTTGGTGGGCTCCTGGATGATCACCAGAAAGACCAAGCCGTGATTAGAAGCTTGGAACCTTCAGTTCCACCCAACTCCCATCCTATGCGGAGGGGAAAGGGAATAGATAATGAGTTAATAATCAATCATGCCTACCTGATGAAGCCTCCAGAAAGATACCTGAACTAAGGGGTTCAGAGAGCTTCTGAGTTGGTGAATACATCCACGTGCTCAGAGTGGCACACCCCCAGTCCAGAGGGAAAGAAGTTGCTGCGCCCAGGACCCTTCCAGACCTCACCCTACACATCTCTTCATCTGGCTGATCTGGCCGTTCATTTGTATCCTTTATCATATCCTTTTTTAATAAACTGGTAAAAGTATTTCCCTGAGTTCTGTGAGCTGATCCCAAGAAGGTGCTGGTGGGCACCTCCAATTTGTAGCTAAGTTGGACAGAAATTGAGGATAGCCTACTACTTGAGATTGGTGTCTGAAGTGGGGGACAATCTTGTGGGATCAAGCTCTTAACCTGCAGGATCTGTCACTATCTCCAGGCAGATAATGTCAGAGCTAAGTTAAATTGTAGGATAACCAGTTGGTGTCAGACAACCAGTCAGTGAGGAAAAAACCCCATAAACATTTTGATGACCAGAGGTGAAGTATTCTGTGCTGAGTTTGAACATAGAAGAAAAAACAGTTGTTTTCTCCTATTATACACACGGCAAAAAAGGTTCAGATCTGACAGACCTCGGAGGGAGTGACATTGTATTGTACTTTTCTGTGAATTTAAAACACTTGAAAAAAATTTTAAAGGGAAATAAATAAATCTTAATTTTTATATAACCTGAATAAGGCCTAGTAAAATAGTCCATTTGAAATTAAAATTTTGCCAGTGAGAAGAATTTCATAAATTCTATTTATGAAAAAGTCCCTTCAGAATAACCAAAATATAGTTACTTGAAGTTTGACAAACATAATATTAAAAACTAAGTGTATATCCACTTTAAATGCACAACACACTCTAAAAATAACTAAAAGATGAAGAAAACTAAGTTACTAAAAATGAGAACTACCATCCATTGAAAAGAATAACTGTACCATGCAGGTTAGTGTGACTCTAGTATGTCTTTCATACAAAATGAAAAAAATAAATTTTAAACTGTTTATAAAGGAACAAAATATACTGGGTGATGAAATTTCTCCAAACCTGGAGAAAATATATGGAAAAAATTATGTCCCTAACATATAGAAAGTCTATTTGAATTAAAATGAAAGAAATAAATACTAAATATTAGAAAGAAAATTTTAATCTAAGATAGCATAAATGCAAATTTTACAAAGGATACTTTTAACTGTCAAATTAGGCAACTTTGTTTACAAAAACAAATAATCATACTGCTGTTCTACTTTAGTAGAGATATAAAATGGTAATACTTTGTGGAAAGAAATATAACAAATTAATCAAAGACCTTAAAAATATTCACATACTTTTATCCAGTAATTATCTTTCTAGAAATACCTCCCATGGAAAAAAATCAAAATAAAGACAAATAATATTCATGTGCAAATATATATTCATCACAACATTATGTCTAGCAGAAAAAAATCATAAAAATCTTAAAATGGTATGATACACCTACATGATATATAAAATTTAATGACATGTGAGAAATTATTATGATAATTAAGTAAAAAAGGAAAGTTATTAAGTTATACATTATGATCTTGACCATGGATGGCTATAATATTAAAAAAAACTGAAAGGAAAATGACAAAACATTAACAGTCTGCCTCTGAGTAATGGAATCATGGTGATTTGTTTCCTCAATTTCTTTTCTATAACATGTATGTCACTTCTACAATTATTATAGAAAAATAAAAATAAAAGAAAATTAGCATTTTCCACTAAATATAAAACATTTAAAACTAAGGTATTAAGGCATTTATTAAAGTACCTTAACTAACTGTTCATTATTTTAATAAATCTTTGAAACATTCATTTCCGTAAAAAGGTGTTAAGGGCCAGACACAGTGGTTCATGGCTGTAATGCCAACACTTTAGGACGCCGTGGAGTGAGGACTGCTTGAGCCCAGGAGTTCAAGATTAGCCTGGGCAACACGGCAAGACCTCATCTCTATAAAAAAATTTTAGGCCAAGCACAGAGGCTCACACCTATAATCCCGGCACTTTGGGAGGCCAAACTTTTTTTTTTTTTTTTTTTTTAATTAGCTGGATGTAGTGGAGCACTCCCGTAGTCCCAGATACTCAGGAGCTGAGGTGGTAGGATCACTTGAGCCCAAGAGGTCAAGGCTGCAGTAAGCCATGATCATGCCACTGCACTTCAACCTAGGCAAAAGAGCGAGACCCTGTCTCAAAAAATAAAGAAAACAAAGGAAAAAAAAAAGTTGATTGGTAGCTGGTAAGATATAATGTACCTTTCAAAATGGAAACATATTCTTCCAGAATTCCTTCTTAGGTTTTTCTCTACTCTAAATCCTTCCAGTCACATGCACCTATATTTGGTCTAACTTCTAAGTATCTAAATATCCTAAAAAAGTTTCTTAATTTTATCATTCTGGGTCATTATAAATTTAACATCTTAACTCATACACTTTCATCAACCTGCCTAATGATAATATCTGAGACCCCAGGACCTCCCATTCACTGAAAGGGTCCCTTTAAATGTATCTCTGTTTTACAAAACATATCTATAAGGAAGGGATCATCACCTTGACTTTGTAGATGAGTGAACTCAGAGAGGTTAAGTAACTGTCCCTCTGTCACACAGCTAGAAAGTGGCAGAACTGTGACTTGAACTCTGATGATTCAACTGTAATACATCACACCATTTTTCAGTACACCTAATGTAACATAAAATGCTGGGTTTTGCCATTTTAACCCTGCCCCCTAAGGGTTCCAGAGTTCCAGAAAAAGATACAATTACAAAGAAAATGTAATTGAAGGAGCTTTACATTAATCATAGGAAAATATTTTAATCTGTCTCCTACTTTCTACACTTAACTATTGAGCATTTTGGCCCCAGAAAACTGAATCAATCTGAGGCCGGAAATAAGAGAATATAGATAATCAGGTAAAATGATGTAGCCAACTATTTTCCAAAAACAACCACAGCAATATTCCCAGTCCCTCGTGCCCTTCTAGTAGCTTGTTACTCTCTCATCCAGAGGTGGAGACAATTTTCCCTCCAGCTTGAATTTAGCAGGCCTTTCTATCAAGTAATAAAATGTCTTGGAAGTAGTACTGTGTGACTTCCAAAAGTAAATTATAAATAGACAATACAGGTCTTCGCAGCTTCTCCCTCTCCTTCCTCTCACCCTTAGAAGACAGCCAACACACTAAGAAGATGCTCAGGCCACATATAAATGTTCTAACCAGTATCCAACCACCGTAGGTGTGCATGAGTAGCACTCAAATGATTCTGGCCCTCACCTTTGAGCCACATCATCTAACACAAAGTGTAGCAAAAACAAATTATGCCAAATGAACCCTTCCAAATTAGAGACTCATGAGCAAAATATATGTTGTCCTAGTTTTAAGCCACTGTTTTGCAGCAGTTTGTCAAATAGCAGTAAATAACTAAAGCAGGTATCTTAGGCTATACTCACAGTAAGTTAAAGAATTTAGTGGTTATTTCCAGTAAACTTATATGATAATTTTTCTGCAATTATCCTCCTTGTAAATTAGCTGAACCACAGCTTATAATGCCTTTGACTTTGGGTTGCTCTCTAAAGATTTAAGCATTCTGAGCTACTTCATTCCCCTTTTAGAGTCAAACTACACACCTTGTTGAAATTTAAAGATTAGCGTTAACATCTTTTCAAGGGTGAGTTCTAAGCAAGGATGCCAAGAAACTCCCTTCTAAAAGACAAAGTCATGGCATCTATGTTTTGGTTTATACTATAAAAGACACTTGTGGAAAGATGTGCAGTTACCAGTGTTCCCCCAGAATATATTTCCACAAAATATTTTAACAGAGAATGCAGAGTAAATGTGGGGGACAACTCCACAGATTTGAGTGAAGAAAGAAAAAAAATGGTATCACACTGCACTCCTAATGCAGACATCTGTACTCTGCAGATTTGTCCACTGGTTTAGGCCAGTGTACTGTTTACTGATTGCTTTGACTTTCATTATTTTTTTATAGCTTCACATGTAATTTCTAATCAACTTAGCTGAAAGAAGTGACAAATTCTCCTTTTTCATACAAATGTAACAATTTTCCCCTCTAGAAAACATTTCGATGATGAGGTTTGCATGAAGCCAACTTAAATGCAAATAGAACAGAAAAACTGAAAATAGTTCACTTTATAGCTTTCAGGAAGGAGTTTTAAGGTGGTAGTGGCCAATGTCATATTAAAAGTTAGCCAAGGTTGACTGCAGAGATTAATGATAAAATGGTATTGGCCGGGCACGGTGGCTCACGCCTGTAATCCCAGCACTTTGGGAGGCCAAAGCGGGCGGATCACAAGGTCAGGAGATCAAGACCATCCTGGCTAACAAAGTGAAACCCCGTCTCTACTAAAAATACAAAAATTAGCTGGGCGTGGTGGCGTGCGCCTGTAGTCCCAGCTACTGGGGAGGCTGAGGCAGGAGAATGGCGTGAACCCGGGAGGCAGAGCTTGCAGTGAGTGAGCCAAGATCGCGCCACTGCACTCCAGCCTGGGCGACAGAGCAAGACTCTGTCTCAAAAAAAAAAAAAAAACCTTATAAAATGGTATTGTATGAACATAATATGTTCTTTGATTGTAAAATACCTCAGGCTGGTAATCAAATAGAAATTATATAAAGATTAGAGGAAAAAAACACTTTGTTTCTTAGGCATGGTTTGCATTAGTGTAAGACCTTTTTGACAGCATAATGAAGACCAATCTGTTCCTTCCTACTAAACCTAGATCTATCTCAGCTTTAACCTCCCAATAAAGCCTTATTCAGGGTCACACAGGATAGAAGAGAGTAGTGTCCTCATCATTAGCAAAGTAAAATTCCTATATTCTCCTTAACTTTTTGAACATATAGTATATGTACACTAGGTTATTTGCTAAAATTGATGTCATTTATTATACAGTTAATTGACAACACAATTTATTTATGTATTCATTTTATTTTTATTTATTTATCTTTGACATGGAGTCTCGCTCTGTCGCCAGGCTGGAGTGCAGTGGTGCGATCTCGGCTCACTGCAACCTCCACTTACCGGGTTCAAGAGATTCTCCTGCCTCAGCCTCCCAAGTAGCTGGGATTACAGGCGCACACCACCACACCCAGATAATTTTTGTATTTTTAGTAGAGACGGGGTTTCACCATATTGGGGTTTCACTATGTTGGCCAGGATGGTCTCGATCTCTTGACCTCATCATCTGCCCACCTCGGCCTCCCAAAGTGCTGGGATTACAGGCGTGAGCCACCGAGTCCAGCAGCCAACACAATTTATATCCAATCCTTTGATGAAAATAATATTCTTGAAATACATCAACTTCAGATTAAAAAATGGAAAATGAATCCAAAAGTTTATCTGTTATCCCCCCTTCTTTGAAGGGGAACAAAAAAACTGTACCACAAAAATGACAATCTTTCTATATAAATTTAAAGAACAATGGAAACCCAAGTAAAGGCTTAAAAATATACTTTTTACGATTAAATGTTAGGGTGATTCTATCCTTTACAATTCATATCTGTTGTATAAACACTATGGAATCTAATACGTTTTCAGAGCTCATTTGAATTAATATGAAATAAACAGTTGAAAACACTAAAAACGTTAAAGCACACTGGTTCCAGGAGCATATTTTCAAGACAGGGAAAACTACACTACTCAAATCTCAACAAGGGAGTGGCAAGTGAGAGCTGGTTAAAGAAATTCCAACAATTCCTACTACAGAGAAATGTTTACATTAAAACAGAGGTCTTCCAAGGCCTGCAAACTTCTCTTTTTTGTTAATCTGAATGAGAATATCCCTGGAATTGTCTACAGATCCCACCACACCCTACTGTATACTACTTGGCTATTTCAATGTTCTATGAAGAATTTGAGTTAGCGAAATCTACTGCTGACCAAAGACTGAAGAAGAGACCATCTGTTCTATACACTACTACACCCCAAGCCCCTGGTGCAACTACATACATACAAAATATGTTTGTTGAATGAATTAGAGGGAGGGAAACAGATAGGGAGAAACAAAAAGGAAGGAAGAAAGAGAACAGATGCCCTGCTGTAAACATGAGTAAACAGAAGATTCAAACTATATTAAGAAAATATAATTGTTGGACAAGAAAATTCTTTTTTTTTTTTTTTTTTTTTTGACATGGAGTCTCGCTCTGTCGCCCAGTCTGGAGCGCAGTGGTGCGATCTCCACTCACTGCAAGCTCCGCCTCCCGGGTTCACGCCATTCTCCTGCCTCAGCCTCCTGAGTACCTGGGACTCCAGGCACCTGCCACCATACCCAGCTAGAGACAGGGTTTAATAGAGACGGGGTTTCACTGTGTTAGCCAGGATGGTCTCGATCTAACCTCGTGATCCGCCCGCCTCGGCCTCACAAAGTGCTGGAATTACAGGCGTGAGCCACTGTGCCCAGCCAAGAAAATTATTTTCAGTCATATTTCCTGACCATTAGTAAGTCAGAACCCTGGCATTATTTCCCTATGAAACTCATCTAGAAAACACTGAGCATAGGCTCAAAGTGCTGCTAGAAGCTCAAAGTGTAGAACATGAGAACATGTGCATAAAACAACTAAGAACAAAAAATATAGTAAATGAAACAAGAAAATTAAAATGGTACACTAGAAAATAGCTATTTACTGGTGTAAGAAGCATCCAGTGGGGATAGTGAGGGCCGGGGGAGAAAATAGCTGTTTAACCCAAAAGTCAGCAGTGATGGAGGAATAAAGAAAGACAAAAGAAATAAGACACACAGATTATAAGTAGCAAAATGGCAATTGTAAATCTTACCTTATCAGTAATTACATTAAAGGCTAATGGATTAAACACTATAACCAAAAGGCACATATTGGCAGAATGAATAAGAAAACACGATCCAACTATGTGCTATCTACAAGAGACACACTTTATTTTCAAAGACACAATAAGCTGAAAGTAAAAGAATGGGAAAAAAAATTGTTCTGTTAAAAAGTATAGCCTAAAGCTACCTCCTCACATATATTAAGTTCAGCCTAAAGGTTTCTCCATACGTAGTGAACTGTAACTCAACTGGATGTGTAAACAGACTGTAACCTACTCTTGCACCAATCACCAAGTTTCAGCCAATCAAAGACAGCCAACTGTTCAAACTGTGTTCAAATAAGGCACGCCAAGCTGTAACCAATCCAGCTGTTTCTGTACCTCACTTCCGTTTTCTTTTATGTTACTTTTTTTTTTTTCTGTTCATAAATTTTCTCCAATTCAGCAGCACAGAGTCACTCTGAACCTATTCTGGCTGGGGGCTAAGGGGATGGAACAGAGGGTCCTGCTCTATTCAGGAATCATTCTTTGCTCAATCAAACTCTGTTATATTCCAGTTGCTTAGTCCAAACTTTCTCTCATACCCCATATTCAATCTGTCATAATATCCCAATGTTCTACTAATAACATATATATCCAGTACTAGCCATTTCTTCTCACATATACTGCCACCCTCCTATCGAAACTTCTATCAGCTCTGGCTAATGCCTGGACCATTCCACAATCCTCCTTTCTGGTCTCTCTACCTTATCCCCATTGTCTATTTTCATCCCAAAGACCAAGATAATCCTTTTAAAGTGTAGATAAGATCACTCTGCTTAAAATCCTCTGGCTTTCCATATCAATGCATATAAGTCAGAAGGCTGTCAATGGTTTAGAAGGCCCTACCCAATCTGCCCATGTTCACTGTATGTCCTCTCAGACCTCATTTCCCAGGTCACCCCATTACAGACACACTGTCCTCTTTTTCCACCTAAATACATCAGAGGCACATGCCTTTGTCAGGAATGCTCTCCTGGCAAATATCCTCATGGCTTATTCCCTCACCTCCTTCAATTCTTTCCTCATTTTATCTGCTTCTTAGTGAGGCCTTTCCTGACCACCCTATTTAATACTGCAACCAGACCCCTATACCTCTCCCAATCCCCTATATATTGCTTTATTAATTTCCTAGGGCTGCTATAACAATGTACCACAAACTGGGTGGCTGATACAACAGAAATGTGTTATCTCATAATTCTGAAGGCTGGAAGTCAAAGATCAAGGTGTCGGCAGGGTTGATTCCTTAGAAGGGCTGTGAGGGAGAATCTGTTTCAAGTCTCTCTCTCATCTTCTAGTAGCCTCAGGCAATCCTTGACTTGTAAATACTGTTCTCTAGTTAATCTTCACATAGTCTTCCCTCTGTAAATATCTGTGTCTACATTTCCCCTTTTTATAAGGACACCAGTCATATTAGATTAGGGCCCACCCTAACAATCTAATGCTAATTTGATTATCTCCAAAACTAAGTTAAAGTCTGTGAAAATCTCATCTCCAAATAAGTTCACATTTTGGGGTACTAGGAGTTAGGACTTCTACATTTCTTTTTGGAAGGGGATACAGTTCAACCCATAACAGCTAGTACAACCACAGAGGAAGCTGAGAGGGAGCAAAACTTTGTACAAATGGACAACAGTCAGCACAGTCTCAGCCCATGATAATTGTTTTGCACCCTCACCCTTTATTCAGGTACTCCTTCCATACTCAGTTCACAGTCTACCCAAAATGTTAGGCTTTGCCTCTAGTTTTCAGCTCTGTGCTCATATGTTTAACCTGAAGCTAGAATGTGACTTTTATAGCTCACCCTTTAACTCTTCACAATCAAATCACTTTAACATTATATCACTTAATTCTGGATCCCTGGCAAGCCCCAGTCTCTCTTTTAAACCAGCTGGCTCTTAGCTCAGGTAAGCCAGCCACTGGGGACATCATTTTTCTACCACATAGGTTTGAAATAATGCATTCTTATTACCCGTACTTAATGACCCAGTCTTGACAATTCTCCTACCTTAATCTCATATGCAAACCCTTCTTTTCAGTCCTATTTTTACTACCACAAATTCAAGTTCATACTACCACTTGTCTGAATCATTAAAATAGTCTCCCAGTTGGCTACCATGCCTCTACAGTATTACTTTCTAATCCAAGAAACCAACTGCTTTGGAAACATTCCTGAAATTTAGCCTGATTGCCTTGTTCCCCCACTTAAAAGAGATGAAACATGCGGGTTCAAATGAACATTTGGTTTGAATTCTAGCTCTGACAACTAGTTGTCACAAGACCTTGGGCAAGTCATTTAGCTCCTCTGAGTGTTAGTTTTTCTCCAAAATGAGTACTGTAATATCTACTACAAACAACAAGAGTAGTTATCAATATATCAGAGGACACATTAAAGATGGTCTATTACCTTCTAAGGCTGTCCACTGCCTAACAAGTAAGATCTGCACACCCTTACAAGATCATCAAACCCAGTTTGGGACAGTCCAGTCTAATCACCAACAGCTCCCCCTCTGCTCCTATGTGAGACCACTACAGACTCTTCAATCATACAAGGCATTTAAGACTCTCTTTTCTTGTGTTATCTGCTCAGCCTAAAATACCCTTTTCCCAAATCTTCCCCCATCATTTTTCTAACAGTTACTTAAGGCCCAGCTCAAGTATCATATCTTTTAAGAACTAATACAATTTTTTTTTTCCAGCTGAGTTTTATTTGTGCTTCTCTTACACCATTTATTCAAGTTACTTACACACTAGTCTTTCTTTCTTATTAGGGCTAGGACTATGTGTTTTATCCACTATATTACTCGGTACCCTGTACTACAAACAGAAGCATTAAAGAAAAATAATAGTGACACTTAGAATTCTAAGATTAATTTCCAATACTATTTATAAAATTTATCCCAAAAAATTTATAGAGTCACCAATCCTATCTACATGCTTACAATGGAAATTGAGTATGTTCAATAAACTGGGACATGTCTAAAGGAAGCTATAACTTACTTAAATTATATAATTGAAACAGAAAGAAGAAATAAGACTTTTATGTCTGATTTATGGGGAATAATATGATTTTAATAACAGGTCCTATCAATTCAAAAGGATAAACCTTGTCACTTTATTTCATTTTAAAAGATAATACTCACAAATTATCAAGTAATTCAATTTCAGAAACACTCAAACATAACAAATGATCATATACATGTTCAAAATGTGGCACCAAGCTACATACCAATAAAATTTTGAAGATATTTTGTAAAAAATAATAATATTTGATCACTTCTGCCAGACTGGAGTATATATGTAATTCTTAAATAGTAAACAGGAGAAGAAATAAACAAGCAAATCATAAACTAAAAAAGAATGACCAAATAGTCGACTCTAGTATTCAAACATAAATTAACATTGAGTGCATAAAAAAGACTGCATTATGGATTTTTTGTCACACATCTATTTTAGAACATACAAAAAGAGAAAAACCATAGAGATGCATGTAGTATACAGATACAAGCAAGGCCATAGAGAAAGAATGGCTACAAAGATGAGAGAGAGTGGGAAGCACCTGCTTCCAATTTGTCTAATATACACTGTAAATAGTACCTGCTTCCTTGATTGGAAAAGCTCTAAGAGAAAAATTGCTCCACTGCATTAGAATGCATGCATATATATGCTTATACTCTCATGTAGCTGTACTGAAAGATATTATATGGGTCTCAAAATTCAGGTAGGGCAAATCTCAGTAACAAGATCACACTAATAACCTATCCATGGTAAGGCTCTAAAGACAAGGATAGATTTGAACATAACTCTAAACATTAAGTCCTCCCTGTGTCCACACAGCATGCATTTCAAACTGAACTAAGTAAAGACTCCAACACTGTCTAGAGAGAAAAGCAGTGTTTTTGCTGTGGGGATATCATCTCTCCAGGTATTGAATCCCTGACCTCTTAGCGTAATAACTAATTATCTCATATTTTAAAATACATAATCAATGCATATATATACATAAACAGATTTAAGCTAAAAGAAGAGTACAAATATTTTCTATGTACAATAATAAAGACTACATGCAGGCAAGTTTACTGAGTATCTGTCTCTTTTGGCTTTTTAACTCCCAAGAATGTTTGAGCTGACCATTAAGACTTTGCTACCAAGTCCAATTCTCAATGCTTCATCTCTTAATGGACTACACAATGGCTCTATTTTATAAGTACATATAAACATAAGATTTTACATGCCAATGGAGAATTTTTGTCTCAGAAGCTGACCTAATGTCTGAACTTTGGCTTACCTTGCTTACTTTCTCCAAAACCCTCTGGAAATCTATTTCTAGATCCTAAGTTTGTATACTAATTCCTCCCATTTCCACCACTTAGCAGGGTAAAATGCCCTCCCTGCGCTATTTCTTTATAATCCCATAATTCTCTTACAAGTTAAATGACTGTATGCATTATGCTGTATTATTTTAGTTGATTTCCTATCAACCAGAAGTGTTCACTCTGAACTCTTTTGCAGAAGCGCCCTGTTGCATCCTGCCACAAGGCCTTTGCACATGCTGCTCCCACTGGTGTGCCCTTCAGACAGCAGCTAAGGCTCACTTCCTAAGGGAAGCCTTTCCTACCTGACCAGAGCAGGTTCTTTTCTGATGCTCTCGGACATCATTATTTTAGTTTTTTTCTTCCCCACTGGAATGAGAGCTCCTTAAGGCCAGAAACTGTGTCAGGTCCCTTTCTATATCTCCAGCAAGTCCTAGGGCAAAAATGGTATTCATTAAGTATCCATCAATCAAAACCATAGGTTGATAATTATTGAAGCCAGGCAACTGGTACACGCAGAGTAGGGGAGGGAGGATGTTTCATTTTGTGTGTGTGTATGTGTGTGTGTATACTTGAAATTTGTTTAACATTGGGTGAAAAACTCTTTGTGGAAGAGACTTATAGCTATATATAAGTAATCTTCAATAAGTAAAAGAGTCTATAAACAAATTGGACTTGTTCAGTTTTGCCACTGAGAACTAGTATCAATGAGTAAAATCCAGAATTTTGGCTTCACATAAGAAAGAACTCTCCATTGCTTAAAAGTGTCTGGAAATAAAGCTGGTTCCAAAGAAGAAAGGGAGGACCCTGCCACTTGGGTAGTTATACTCAAGCAGTTGGATAATCAGTGGATTCCTAGTTAGGGGATTAAAGGACCAAATGGGAAAAATGAACTTGAAGAAATCTTCAAATCTTTTGAGTATCTGAAAACAAAGTTTATTGTCTTAAAATAGATATATAGAAGTCAATATGACACACAGAAGTCAATATAAAAATATTGATTTCATATTTCATATAAAGCATCTATAAAGAATGAAGTTTTTACTTAAAACCAATCTCCCTGAAAGCTTTATCTTGCAGGTGTTCACTCTGCACTCCAGCTTCTCTCAATGCGCCCTGTTGCATCCTGCCACGTGGCCTTTGCACATGCTGCTCCCACTGGTATGCTCTTCAGATAGCAGCTAAGGCTCACTTCCTAAGGGAAGCCTTTCCTACCTGACCAGAGCAGGTTCTTTTCTGATGCTCTCAGACAACCATATCCCTCTGCTAGAGATAGAGAGCACAGATGCCATATTTTCACTAACCACTGTATCCCCAGTGCCTGTCACAAAGCCTGGCATGTTGTAAGGGCTAAATAAATATTTGTTGAATGGATGTATGAACGCCAACACTCCCTATGAATCCAGCATTTTCATAAATTATAATCTAAACTGAACATGTCAACTTGCCAAAAGATAGTCAACCTATTTCTCTACCAGAAGTGATTCAGCTCTCATCCTAGAGGATGAGAACAATAAGAAAACAGTTAGCCAGCTCCCAAGGCAGCTTTTTTGTTTTTGTTTTTGTATTTTGAGACAGGGTCTCGCTCCATCACCCAGGCTGGAGTGCAGTGGCAAGACTGTGGCTCACTGCAGCCTCAATCTCCATGGCTCAACTAATCCTCCCACCTCAGCCTCTCGAGTAGCTGAGACTACAGGTATGTGGCACCATTCCTGACTAATTTTTAAATTTTTTTGTAGAGACGGGATCTCACTATGTTGCCCAGGCTGGTCTCAAACAATCCTCCCACCTCAGCCTCCCAAAGTGCTAGGATGACGGGCATGAACCACTGAGCCTGGCCCCAAGGCATTATTTTTATACTTTTTTTAACATGAAAATATAACATTTTCGGTAACTTTTAGCTACACAATACACAAAATAAATTTATTTTTCAGAACACTTTTAAGATTGTGACAAGCCAAATGATGCTGAGGTCAAACTGTGGTTTATTAAGCTGAAAGAATATATTGTATGGACATGAAGTTTAATGAGGATGTTTAGGTAACGAAGAAGTAATGAGAGACTCAGGACAGATGGACAAGCATCAGGTCATATAAACTATTTCCACATGTATGTCTGAAGGAAGATACGAAAATGCCCAAGATAGGAATAATTTGTGTTGCTAAGAAACACTAAGGTTGATGAGTAAACTGTCTCTCTTACAAAAACCAACTAAAATCATGTCATTTATCAGTGCAATGTGATTAATAATTATTCACTTTAGAAAACCTTTATAAGATAAACTAAACCAAAAGAAAGGCAAAAATTTTAACACTCAGAAATCACTAATGTATATAATGTATACAGGGACATTTAGTGTAGTATTTTATTGACTTCCATCAAAAGTGTTCATTTAGGACAAAGTTACAAGATTCTACCTTTGGCTATAAAATTATGACTGAAAAAAATATTAAAGTACAAAAAATATTCTATCCACACAAAAACAATCACTTACAGCTAATACACAAAGTATTTCAAATTCCAAAGAAATAAATTCTAACAAAGTTAAACAACACTGTTTCAGGACTACTTCATTTTTATTTCAATTTTGGAAAAATTACCCCGATTTCTGAATCAGAGACACACTCCAACACTGTACCATGTTGAAACCCCTCAGGCTCAATCCTATTTCTTATAAACTTTAGCTTTAATTTTGGTCCCAACATGAACTTTCACCCAGACTACACTTTCACCCAGGTCATCCTCACCACTATGAGGGCCAACCCTGGACTCGGTCTCTCCTGCACTTCAGAGACAAATGACAAACCAAGAAAAAGATGAAGAGAAGTCTTCAAAATGAGTATAAACTTCAAAGAATGATTGCTTTATAATGAAATAATAAAATTTATATTGGAGAGGTGTGAATTTGGAAAAGACTTAGCTTAGTTTGCCCTACATATGGAAAACTATTATTATTACTGTTTTAGTTTTATAAATTGATTTCCTCTGATACTAAGGAATGCATTACGTGATTTACTAACATTCCAAATCTACAAATTAGAAAACACAAAGAGTCAAAAAAATCATTTAACTTTTCATCATGAAAATCTTCAATTATACCCAACAGTAGGGAGAAAAGTTTAGTGAACCACCATCACCCAGCTTCAACAATTATCATTACTCTGTCAATTTTACCTACAAGAAATCTATTCTTGAATAATGCCAAGAGCATACTGAATTCAGACATTGTTTTAAAAGTGTGCCTGCCAGCTTGACCACGGAGAAACAATGGATTTCACGCAAAAACTTTCTTTTTGTCTCTTTCTGGTCTATTACACTTACTCAAGAATAAATCAACTCCTGGCCTATAGTAAAAATTCAAATAATCCTCATGACTTTTCTGGTCCCTCATAAGTAAGAGAAAATCATATAGTCAATTTAAATGGTAGGTCTCGGTTCAGTAATTCAAAATTACTAGTCTTGGCTGGGCGTGGTGTCTCATGCCTGTAATCCCAGACCTTTGGGAGCAGGATTCCGTCTTTTTTTTTTTTTTTTTTTTTGAGACAGAGTCTCTCTCTGTCTCCCAGACTGGAGTGCAGTGGCGCAATCTTGGCTCACTGCAATCTCCACCTCCCGGGTTCAAACGATTCTCCTACCTCAGCCTCCTAAGTAGCTGGGACTACAGGTGCGTGCCACCACACCTGGCTAATTTTTTGTATTTTTAGTATAGATGGGGTTTCACCATGTTAGCCAGGATGGTCTCCATCTCCTGACCTCGTGATCCACCCACCTCGGCCTCCCAAAGTGCTGGGATTACAGGTGTGAGCCACAGTGCCGGGCTGGATTCCATCTCTTAAAAAAGAAAAAAAAAGTCTTAGATCATTAGGGAAAATTGAATATAGACTGTATAGTATACATTATTATACCAATGGTAAAGACCTCGGTGTGGTAAAAGTATTACGACTACATAGAAGAATATTTTAATTTTTTTTTTTTTTGAGATGGAGTCTCGCTCTGTCGCCCAGGCTGGAGTGCAATGGCGCGATCTCGGCTCACTTCAAGCTGCGCCTCCCAGGTTCACGCCATTCTCCTGCCTCAGCCTCCCGAGTAGCTGGGACTACAGGCGCCTGCCACCACACCCAGCTAATTTTTTGTATTTTTAGTAGAGATGGGGTATCACTGTGTTAGCCAGGATGGTCTCGATCTCCTGACCTCATGATCCGCCTGCCTTGGCCTCCCAAAGTGCTGGATTTACAGGCGTGAGCCACCGCGCCCAGAGAGAGAATATTTTAATTCTTAAGATAAACAAGCTGAAGGGGTAAAACGTCACTTTTGAATGGTTCAGCCCCATCCCACTGCCCAAAAGAGTATAAATACAATATATACCGTGGCTAAATGTTAATAACTGGTAAAAGGTATGGGGTGTTTATTGTATTGTATTGTTTCAACATTCCAATAGGCTTGAAATTTTACAAAATAAAAAGACTAGACCCAAATAACAATCAAAACTCCAAAGTACATGTAACATTAAATCTATGTTCTTCACTCAGCTGGGGCCTGCCCAGCACCAGCCACTGTCAGTGAAGGAAGGAACAGGATCCTCCTCATCTCACCAAATTTCTCTTCCACCATCTTCCTGAGTTTTCTGAGCCCACCAGGATCAAGGTCAGGAAAGGGAGGAGAGGTCAGGCATATAAGACAGTTCTTGATTGCTATCTGTAGCAAAATGATCTAGGGCTATGGCAGAGGGGATATGGCAGAGTGTTTAACGCTAATTCTTCCTCTCTTGGGGAGCTTATGTGCACTCTTCCAATGGTATACTCCTCCAATTGCAAATATCCTGCCAGAGACACTGCTCTCTCTCTCTGCTAAAAGCTCTTAATGCCTCCTTAGCTTCTAACCCCTGGTGGTACACAAACAGCCCATTACTGCTGGGATCTTCTTGCCCTGGCAGGAGACTTTTTTTTCAGCAGGATCCCCTTAAAAATGAGAGCAGGTTGATTTCCCTGTTGACAGAGAAGAGTGCAATTACTTCTCAAACCCAGCACTACTGCTATAGAACACTTCAGCTTTCCCAGGTATGAGTCAAGCATCAATATCCTGTGACCCCAAGATAAAGTTTAGTTGAAACTTCTCTCACTAGACTTGACAAAAGATTCAGAGACCCCTAACTTGTGGGAGACAAGGGTAAAACATACAGCACTCTGATGACCTGCAGAAAAATTCATCTAACAAAATCTTCCCCCCCAACACCCCCACTTTGATAGCCTCTATGTGAGTAAAGGGATTCAAATGTCACAAAACCAGCTTTCTATAATTCTGTATATGGTCTAGCACTTCCTTTGGATATAGAAGCATGTGTTGAATACTGGTGCCTCAATTCAAAGTTCCAGTGTATCACTCTGTTATCCGAGGAACTCTATTAATGGCGTATTCTCTATATATATATTTTGGAAACCTGTTGTGAAGGCTAAAAGTTTCTCACATGTAAAACTTACAGAACAGCACTTGGGCTCACAGTAAGCCCTTACTTAATGCTAGCTACTACTGTAATATAGAGTTCTCTTTTTTAATTTTTTAAAAATTTAAAAACAAGTGTTGGTAAGAATATGGAGAAATTGAAATCCGTGTACACTGCTGGTGGGAATACAAAATGGTGCAGCCACTATGGAAAAGAGTATAGCAGTTCTTCAAAAAATAAAACTATGATCCAGCAATTCCACTTCTGGGTATACATCTCAAAAGAATTGAAATCAGGGACTTGAACAGATTATTTGTATACCTACATTCATAGTAGCATTGCTCACAACAGCCAAAAAGTAGAAGAGTCCATCAGTGGACGAATGGAGAAATAAAATGTGGTATATGTATATACAATGTAATATTATTCAGCCTTAAAAAGGAAAAACATTCTGACATATGCTACAACATGAATGAACCTTGAAGACATTATACTAAGTAAAATAAACTAGTCAATCAAAATGGCAAATGCCGTATGATTCAACTTATATGAGGTACCTAGAGTAGTCTCATTCATAAAGACAAAGTCTGCCACGGACTGCCAGGTTGCCTGGGGAGTGAGTACCCACTGCCTAATGGGTACAGTTTCAGTTGAGGAAGGTGAAAAGCTTTGGATAAAGATGGTAGAGATGGCTGCACAACAATGGGAATGTACCTAATGCCACTGACCTATACACTTAAAAATGGTAAAAATAGTAAATTTTATGTTAGGTCCATTTTACCACAGTAAAAACTATTTTTTTTAATTATCTATAATTAAATGGCCAAATGATATACAAATTGTATGAGAAAAATATAAATGAACAAGCGGGGAAAAATGCTATTGCAAGCCACTATCCTATATCCAACAATCCCACTCCTAAATACACAGCCCAAAGAACTTACACATAAAACTAGTATTAAAATTGTGTACAGATGTTTATCACAGCATTATGTCTAAGTGGTTTTAGAAGCAATCCATTCATCCATTACCTGGATAACTTACAAAGGAACCAAACTATGTTTAGAAGTATTTAGCTAGAGATATACACCATAACATGTCTAAACTAAAAACAGTGTCAAAAGTGAAAAAAGAAAGCTTGAGGTCTGAATTTAAGATATACATAATATACGAACTGTTCTGTATTTTTCAAAGATATGTGCCAATCCAAGGTAATATGCCAAACACATGCAAGTCAAGGTCTACTAAGGGAAGCTGGGATAGGGGTGGAAAACAGGGGTAGGGATAGGGGTTAAAGGAAAAAAAATAATAACTCAAAACGAGAAAATGGTCTTGTCCAGCCTCTTGATGATTATATGTTATCAGCTAAGGAGGATGAGTAATGCAAATTTGTGAACCAGAAGCCCCCAAAATTTTTTGGTATTAACTATATTTCCTTTCCCAAATATCTGCAAGTTTTTACTCTGAGGCACTTTCAATTATATAGCATTTAATCTGACCATCTGTTTACCAAAGGCTAGTACATTGAAAAAAAGAAAGAAAATGGGTTTTTTTCCTAGCCAATTGCAATGCCAATGTTTTAATCTTTATTTAAAAAAATCTGATTAAAACCAAAAATCCTTCCAATAAACCATTTTTTACATTTCAATTACCATTACACAAAATACCACAGCTATGCAACTTAGTAAAAAAGATGTACCTTTTTTGTTTTGTCTTGTTTTTTTGTTTGTTTGTTTGTTTTGAGACAGAATCTCGCTCTGTTACCCAGGCTGGAGTGCAGTAGCATGATCTCAGCTTACTGCAACCTCCGCTTCCCAGATGCAAGTGATTCTCCTGCCTCAGCCTCTTGAGTAGCTGGGACTACAGATGCGCACCACCACGCCCAGCTACTTTTTGTACTTTTAGTAGAGACAGAGTTTCGCCTAGTTGGCCTGGCTGGTCTCAAACTCCTGACCTCAGGTGATTCACCCATCTCGGCCTCCCAGAGTGCTGGGATTACAGGCATGAGCCACCGCACCAGGCCTTGTAGCTTCAAGAAAATTAACAAACTATGAATTTCCATGCTGGTATTTATTTCCTAAATAGCATTTCCAAAGATGCAAATATCACAACCTGAATTCACAGAAGAAACTGAATCATCCATCTTATTAAACACGGGATCATGTACAAAATACAGCCATAAGAGGCTCTTTTTAAAAGCACATCCACTACCAATGCCCACATGCTTTCTGGAGGAAATGCAAGTATTAAACGCCAGGTTCCACAAACAGTGGCCTCAAAGCACTAATCAAGACCTCTGAAGGCCACTGCCACTCCTCCAGGAGGCATGTCTTCTTTATCTTTTCAGTGCCAGCACGGGCACATCATGGGTCCTCAAGAAATATTTTTTGAAGGGATGACCTCAGTAAATGGCAGTAGGTATAAATAAGTGGAAGAGTGTATAAAATTAAGCAATGACAACTTTCATTATCTGAAGGACTATCTGAAAATAGACTGCTCAGTCAGTGAAAGTTGTGCTAGGCAAAGCACATTTGGCCCTCCCTGACTTACACACCTAGCTATAAGCCTCTGAGAACCTTAAGGGGCCACCACACATCCAAGTGCTCCTCCTCTACCTACAATGGCACTCATCTCCACACTTAGGGCATACAGAAAATATCTGTCTACCAAAGTCATTGAGGGCTTACTTGTGTTTACCCCATGCCACCACAAATACTGCTTTTCCTCAATTATATATATATATAATTATATACATATATATACTCACACATATATGTCTGTGGACTAAAAGATATTAAGCTAGAAGAGTCATAAAATAAGTAAAAAGAAAGATATCGATTACACTGGAGAACAAGTGGGGTAACCAATAGATTGCCCATAGCAATCTCCCTGTCTTTACTGAACACTACACAGATGAAATGAACAGACCCTTTATTTCTATCTGTTCCCTAACTTAGAATTACAGCCATACAGAAAGGTGTATCTTAGGAGAGCATGATACTTAGACAGTGCACTCGTACCATAAACTTATTACCTCAAAAAGCCACACGGAAGATCAGGATACACCTGCCAAATTTATCTATAATTTCTATTTTAAAGGCTGTTTCAGTCAATATTCAATAGGTATTTACAGAACATCAACTATGCGCCAACTTCTAGGCCAGTCAGAACACCGGCCTATGGCAGAATCAAAGATGAGTACAGCATTTGATGGGCTTACAAAGTAGTAAGGAGTATTTGACAAATATTCAAGAACTATAACCTAGTAAGAAAACTAGTATCTGTAACCAGTAACTAGATCCTAGTAAGAAAAGCACAGTGCCGGGCATGGTGGCTCAGGCCTGTAATCCTAGCACTTTGGGAGGCCGAGGCGGGGGGGATCACTTGAGGTCAGGAGTTCGAGACCAGCCTGGCCACCATGGTGAAACCCTGTCTGTACTAAAAATACAAAAATTAGCCAGGCATGGTTGTGCACACCTGTAATGCCAGCTACTCAGGAGGCTGAGGAAGGAGAATTGCTTGAACCCGGAAGGCGGAGGTTGCAGTGAGCAGAGATCGCACCATTGCATTCCAGCCTGGGTGACAGAGACAGAGCGAAACTCATCTCCAAAAAAAAAGAAAAGAAAAGCACCACAATAAAGAAATGAGAGACTTTGAAGAATGGTGAAGCTTTTCACAGAGAGCACTGAAGATAGGCTTTCAGCAAAGGAAACGGTATTACCAAAGAAACAGAGGCTAGTAAAGTAATGCTGGCCAAGGCAGTGAAGTACTATGTTAAGTATAAAAACGTAGAATATGCAGACAGGAGACTTACTGGACAGGCCCTTAAGTACCAAGGTTAAATATTAAAACCTCCTTTTGTGAATAATGAAGATGATTTATTTAAAAAAAGGTTGTTTCAGGGAATAAGGGAGCCACTGAAAACTGAAATTGGCCTCAATATGGACAAAATACTGGAGGAGGAAAAGATAAATTAGGAAAACTAGGAGAGGAGTATTTTCAAAAGTCTAAAGCACATAAGTCTGCATCATAAAATAATTAAAAGAGAAGTCATCAAGAAAAGGGTGGAAAATGTTCAACAATTTTTTGTGATGAGATATGTATAAATAAAACACTTAGATACATGCAAAAACTTTTATTTTTTTCTTAAATTTCAATACTAAAAAGGGAGTAACAGGGCATTTCCAATACTGGCTTTGATTAACTAGCACCAGGCTTGCCCACTTCATACCATAATCAACCAGAAAATTTGATAAACATACAAAACAATCATTTTCAGACAGTAGACAATAATGGCAGCAATGAACTATGATCCCTAAAAGAAAGGGAAACCCTATGATTGCACCAGCTTTCTGCCTGGAGGCACTCTCTGCATCATGGTGGGAGACACTAAGTACATGGTGGTTCAGCTGAATCGCGGGAACAGATATCAGAGTTTTAGGAAGCCTGAGGTAGCTTAAGTTTATAAGTGTACAGTACATACGTAAAAGGAGCTAAGAAGAGGGAAAGCACCACATGTCTACACAAGGGTTCCATGTGTACTCTTCTGAGGAATATTCTAAGATTCCATGAGACTGGTAAAAGAACAAATATGAGAGAACAATAACAACACTTCCAAAAGGTCACAGAAGCCTGGAAGACAGGCAGATTTGGAATAGAAGAGTAGACGGACTTCGTTGACCATGCACAGCATTCAGCAGAGGATAAAGAAGAATCACACCTTAGAAATAAGATTAATTTACCTCTGTATAGTTTACCTCCTCTATTAATTTACCTCCTCTATAGTAAAGGATACTCAAAACAATCCTAACAAACAAAACTAGCCCCAAAAAGATCAAGCTGATTCACAAAGAACGTAAACTGCCTGCTAAAACTGAAACTCTTTTTTAAAAGACAGTAAAATCAAGACATTCAATAATGCAACATTTACAATCCCCATCAGCAAACCAAAAATTACCAGACATACAAAGAAGAAAAATGTGACTCATAACTAAGACAAAAATCAGTCAATAAAAAATAGATCCAGAAATAACAGATATGATGGAACAAACATACCAGGATAGCAAGTACACTAAACAATGAATATACTAAAACAGTACTTGACAATGTATTTAATAATTATTTTAATAGAAACAGGATCTCACTATATTCGCCAGGCTGGTCTTGTACTCCTGGCCTCAAGTAGGCCTCCCACCTCAGCCTCCCAAAGTGCTGGGATTACAGAAGAATTTATTTCTAAATGTAACATAATAATAAATAAAAGCTATTTTAAAAAGTAGAACTTCCAGAGGTAAATATAAACTTTATTTATAATTTAAAATACAAAGACGCAGATGAGAAATTCTGATTTGACTTGCATTTCACAACAGTAAATGACACTGAGAGCATCTATGCATATGCCTACTGTCTGTTGGAAAATTTCTATTCAGATACTTTTCATATTTTTGAATTGTCTTGATTATTGAATTGTAACAGTTCTTTATATATTGTGGATACAAGTCCCTTATCACAAATATAACTGACAAATATGTTCTTGCATGTTGTGTGTTGGTTTTTTTCACTTTATTTTTGATAGTGTCTTTTAAAGTATAAAGTTTTTAATTTTGATGAAGTCCAACATATTTATTTTTTCTACTGTCACTTGTGCTTTTGGTGTCTTGTAAAAAGGCTTTGACTAACCCAAGAACAAGTAGACTTACTCTTATGTTTTCTTTTAAGAGTTTATAGTTTTAGTTCTTTCATTTGGGTCCATAATCCATTTGGCATTAATATTTTAATATATAGTACATGAAAGGGGTCCAACTTTATTCTTTTGCTAGTGGATACACAGTTATCCCAGCACCATCTGTTGAAAAGACTATTCTTTCTTTATTAAATTGTCATGACACCCTTTAAAAATCAATTGAACATAAAAGTCAGGGTTTAATTCTGGGCTTTCAATTATATTCCAGTGACCTATATGTCTATCATTATACCAGTATCGCCCTGTTTTGGGTACTGTAGCTTTGTATTAAGTTTTGAAATCAAGAACTGTGACTCCTTCACTTTTGTTGTTCTTTTTCAAAGCTGTTTTAAAAATTCTGACTACCCTGAATTTCCATGTAACTTTTAGGATCAGCTTTGCCTTTTCTGAAGAAGAAAAATGGCAGCTGAGATTGCCTTGAATCTGTAGATCATTTGGGATAATACTGACATCTTAACAATATTAAGTCATCTAGATCCATGAACATGGGATGTCTAATTCTTTAATTTCTTTCAATAATTTTTGGTAGGTTTCAGAGTACCATTTTTTTACCGCTTATTTTCTTAATTTCTAGATGCAATTATAAATGGAATTCTTAATTTCATTTTTGTTCACTGCTAATGTATAGAAATACAATTGATTTCTGTATATTGCTATTATACCTTGCAAGCTTGTTGATCTCATTTATGAATTCTAATACATTTTGGTGATTCCTTAGGATTTTCTATATAGAAGATCATGTCATCTACAAATAGAGATAGTTTTACTTCTTTCCCATCTGGATGCCTTTATTTCTTTTTCTCGACAAATTGTCTTGGCTAGAATGTCCAATACAAAACTGAATAGTGAAAGCAACATTCTTGCTCTGTTCCTCTTTCACCATTAAGATGTTGGCTGTGGTTTTTACATAGATGCCCTTTCCCATGTTGAGGAAATTTCCTTTTTATTCTTAGAGTATTTTATCACTAAAAAAAGTGTCAGATTTTGTCAAATGCTTTTTCTGCATCTACTGAAACAATCATGACCTTTATACCAAAATCTGACAAAGACATTACAACCCTACTCCCGGGTTAGTCAGCTCAGGTTTCTATAACAAAATACGATATAGACTGGGTGGCTCAAATAACAGGAATTTATTTCTCACAGTTCTGGAGGCTGGGATGATCGAAATGCCAGCCTATTCAGTTAGCTGGTGAGGGCCTTCTTCCTCACTTGTAGATGGCTGCCTTCTCACTGTACTCCCATCAAAGAGAAAGAGTGAACTCTAGTTTTTCCTTCTTCTTCTAAGAGGGCCCCACCCTCATGACCTCACCTAAACTTAATTACTTCTCAAAGGCCTCAGTTCTGAATACCATTGTGAGTTAGCACGTCAACCTAAAAATTTTGAGGGAACACACACAGTCCATAAGAGCCCCCCAGAAAAAAAAAGCTAATAGGTCTCATAAACACACATCCACAAATCAACAACGCAATTAAGCAAATCAAATTTTGCATAGTAAAAGAATATATCCTCCATAGATAACATAAAACTCCATGAAAAAATGGAGTTTATCATAAAAATGCAAAGACAGGTTTAAGATTCAAAATCTAATCAATTCAATTCACCATATTAACAAGTGTTAAAAGAAAATACAAATGGCTGGGCGCGGTGGCTCAGGCCTGTAATCCCAGCACTTTGGGAGGCTGAGGCGGGTGGATCACCAGGTCAGGAGTTCGAGACCAGCCTGACCAACATGGTGAAACCCCCGTCTCTACTAAAAACACAAAAATTAGCTGGGCGTGGTGGTGCACGCCTGTAGTCCCAGCTACTGGGGAGGCTGAGGCAGGGGAATCACTTGAACCCGGAAGGCAGAGATTGCAGTGAGCCGAGATCGTGCCACTGCACTCCAGCCTGGTGACAGAGCGAGACTCCGTCTTAAAAAAAAAAAAAAAAAAAAAAAACAATTAAAAAAAAAAAAAAGAAAATACAAATGATTCACCCTATAGATGGCAAAAAAAAATATGAAAACATTCAACATTCACATGCAATATAATAAAAGCTTTCAGTATACTTAAAATAAAAGGGAACTTGCTCTACCTGATATGGTACATCTGCAAAAAACTTAGAGCTAATATCACACGTAACAGTGAAAGTCTGAATGCTTCCTCCCTGGGATTAGAAACAAGGCAAGGATGTTCACTCTCACCGCTTCTATTTAACACTGCACTAGTCTGTGCAATGTAAACAGTGTCCTACTCTGTGCTTTAACACTGTCCTCATCTGTGCTGTAGAAAAAGAGAAGTAACAGACACTAATATTGGATAGGAGTAACTGTCTTTATTTGTGATTAACAAGATCATATATAGAGAGCATCCTGAGGAATTCACACAAAAAAAGTCAAAAGCATTAATGATTACATTATCAAGGTTCAATATGTAAAAATCAATTCTAGTTCTGTATAGAAACAATGACAAACTGTAAATTTTTTAAATAGCATTTTCAATGGCATTCAGAAATATAATTCACGTCCTATTCACCTAGGACAAATTTAATAAAAGACACAAGAGATTAGCACACTGAAAACTACAAAACATTACTCAGAGAAATGAAAGAATAACTAAATTGAGGTATACTATATTCATGGTTTAGAATAATTCAATCATTTAGATGTTAATGCTCCCCAACCAATCCACTGAATTCACACAATGGAAATTAAAATTCCCAGAAGTATTTTGTAGAAATGTACAAGCCGATTCTCTAATTGATATGGAAATAGAAAAGACTTAGAATAGTGAAAACAATTTCAAAAAAGAACAAAAAGAACTTAAACCATGTGATTTCAAGACTTACTACTGAACAAACAGTGTTATGTTGGCATGATAGACATATAGATCAATATAACAGCACCCAGGAAAAAACCCACACATATATGATTGGTTGTTTTTTTTTTTTTTTTTTTTTTGAGACAGAGTCTCGCACTGTCACCTGGGCTGGAGTGCAGTGGCACAATCTCAGCTCACCACAGCCTCTGCCTCCCAGGTTCAAGCGATTCTCCTGCCTCAGCCTCCCGAGTAGCTGGGATTACAGGTGCCCGCCACCACAGCAGGCTAATTTTTTGTATTTTTAGTACAGACGGGGTTTCACTATGTTAGCCAGGTTGGTCTTAACTCCTGACCTTGTGATCCACCCACCTCAGCCTCCCAAAGTGCTGGGATTACAGGCGTGAGCCACCATGCCTGGCCATGATTAGTTGATTTTTAACAAAATTTCAAGGTAATTCAAAGGAAAAGAACAGGTGGATATAGAAGAGAACAAACCTTGATCCTTACCGCACACTATATATAAAAATTAACTCAAAACAAATCAGAGACCTAATGTAAAAGCCAAAACTGTAAAACTCTTGGGAGAAAACACAGAAAATCTTTTACAACCTGGTATTAATCAAAGATTTCTTAGACATTTGCCGGACGCGGTGGCTCACGCCTGTAATCCCAGTCCTGACTGGGCAACAGAGCGAGACTTCATTTCAAAAAAACAACAACAACAATTTCTTAGATATTACCAAAAAAAAAGAAAGAAAGAAAGCACAGACCACCAAAGAAAATGTTGATAAACTACACTTACTCTACAGACCAAGAGAAAACATCTAACAAGAACTTGTATCTAGATATACAAAGATATAAAGAACTATTGTAACTGAATGACAAGAAACAATCCAACGTTTTTTAATGGACAAAAGATTTCATCAGCTATTTCACAAAAGAAGTTATATAAATGGCCAATGAATAAATGAAAATATCAACATCACTGGTAATCAGAAAAATGCAAATTAAAACCACAAAGAGATACCAGTATACACCCAATAGAGTGTCTGAATTTAAAAGAATTATACCAAGTGCTGGCCAGAATGTGGAGCAACTAGAATTTTTTCATATATTGCTAGTGAGTATGATACAATCACTGAAGAAAATAGTTCTTCAAAGCAATTTCTTACAAAGTTAAGCATAAACTTACCATATAAAACAGTAATTTTACTATTGAGTAATCAACCCAGAAAAATTAAAGCCTATTTCCACAAAGGCTCGCACCTTGAATGCTCATGGTAGTGTCATTCACTATAGGCAAAAAAACCTGTAAACGCCCCAAATGTTCATGAACAGATACATGGATAAGCAAATTGTGAGCACATTTATACAATAGAACACTATTCTTTACTGAAAGGAACAAACTAATGACACATACAATAACATAATAAGCCTCAAAAACATCATGCTCTAAAGAGTATATAATGTATAATTCTATTTATTTGAAACTCTGGAGCAGGCAAAACGAATTCACAGTGACAAAAATCAGATCATTAGTTGCCTGGAGATGAGAATGAGGGAGGAGTGACTACAAACAGACACAAGGAAACTTTTGAAGTGATGGAGATGTTCTGTACCTTGATTGTAGTAGTAGTTACATCAATGTGTAAATCTGTCAAAACATTAACTTGTACATTTAAAATAAGCACATTTTACTATATGCAAATTATACCAATAAATATGATTTAATTAAAAAGAAGTAACATTCAGCCATTTGGAAATAGCATCATTCCCCAAAGATACAATAAAAGACAAATCAACCTAACTACAGGTTTAACCCCTAGGTAATAAATCTTTCATTGTCTTTTATCATTCAATCAATTATGCATTAAGTGCCAACTGTGTGCCAGAAACGACTCCAAGTCTGATGGCACAGGAGTAAACAAAACATAAAATACTTTGCACTCATCAAGCTTTCATTCTGAAAGAAAAAGGTCATAAAAAGTAAAGCAAAATATACGTAAGTTCATCTGGCAAAGAGCAAATGAGAAACATAAAGTAGTTGCAGGGAGAGGGACATTTTAAATAAGATGGCCAAAGAAGGTCTCACTAGAGATGCAACATCTCAAGACCCAAGAAAGATTAGGGAATAAGTTAAGCAGTCACCTGGGGGATGAACATTACAGGCAGAGGGAACAGCAAGCGCAAAAGCCCCAAGGCCAGCTATTCCAGAAACAATATGGTGTCAAACAGGAATGGGGGGTAGTAAATGGAGTCAAAAACTGAGGTATGAATGAAGGTTAGGTAGAGAGTCCAAAAAAGAGGTTGCAAAGGGGGCAATATCATATACAGCCTTATAAGCTACTACAAAGACTTTACCTTTTACATTAAGTGAGAAAGAAAACAAATGAAGCTTTGAAGAACGACAGGATTTAACTTGTTTTAACCTAAATATTCTGGATACTGCATTGAGACCAGACTGATGTGCTGGGTTTCAGGTTGTGAGAAAAAGCTGAGAGACCAGTCAAGAGGCTACTAAAATAATCCAAGTAAGAAATGACAGTGGCTTTGGCCAGGTAGTAGTAGAGGGAGTGAAAGGTGATAAGATTCAAATTCTAAATATATTTTCATGGTAGAGTTAACATGAACTACTGAGACAAACTGTGAATGTGAAAGAAAAAGAAGAGTCAGGGATGACTCCAACGTTTTTGGTTTGAGTAACACCAATGGACTTAGATGGCGAAGATTAAAGATGAAACAAGTTTGGGTAAAAAGATCAGCTCAGTTTTAAGTATTTGAAGATTTATATTCCTTTAAATATCCATATGGAGATGTCATAAGACAGCTGGATATGTGTCTAGAGTTCAAAGAAATAAAGATTTTTTTTTTGGCAAGTAAATCACTGGATATGATGGTATGTGTGTACGTGAAATTTTTAGGAAATAATCCATATTTGATTTTAATATATCAGGGCTTCAGCACTGAGACTAATGGATTGTTTGTGTGTTTTCTGATTTACATAAATCCATACAAGTCTGCTAGGCACTTCACACCTTTATTTTCACTTTCACATCTGAAGTATAGCAATATGGATAGATAAGGTGTGTATTTAAGATAATAACATGAACAGACACATTCCTGGAGCCATAGCTATTTAAAAGTGACACTAGCATCAAGATACTCATTCTTATTCTAGAGAGAGCTTTAAAAAACAATCACTTGTTATGAAACTAATTGCTCTGCCAAGTGCTTCTTAGGATATGTAAAAATCATCATCTTCTCTACATTTTACTGTTTTAAATCAGGGAAAGTAATAGGCTTTGTGATTAGACTTAGAAGTTTGGTTTTGATGCTTATAACCATCCAGGTACTAAAGTGAGTAACGTTTCCAACTTGATAATGCACGCTATAGCTCATAAAGGAAGACACATTGCGCATCACTAGAGAACTGCAAAGATGACATAAAAATACCAAGATTCAACTGGAATTATAACATGGGCAAGCAAGCTTAATTGATGGTTGAAAGCATTATTTAAAAAGTAAAATTATCATTTTCCAGTGTGAATGAGAATTACTTCTCAGTCACCCATTTCCATGGCTTTGTTTATTCCCTCATGCCAGAATGCCTCTCTTCCTACTTGATATCCTTTTGTTCTTTCAAGATCCAGCCCAAAGTTGGCCTCCTCCACAGACTCCTCTGAACCCCAGTGGTATTCACTGTTCTTTCCAAATTCCCATAGTACTGCCACTTACACATTTAAAGTACCTATGTCATTCTGCCATGAATTAACTTCAGCTATTTACACTAAAGCAGAAGCTCCCTGAGGACAGAAAACACCACAGCCATCTTTGCCTTTCATGAAATGCCTAGAACAGTACCTTACATATTCTGTTTAAGCACTTACTAAAGGTTTATTCAACTGAACAAAAATCCTATTGAACTAAAAAACTGGTCAAGTGAACTGAACTCAATGGAATATATGCTTTCAAACATATTTCTCTGGATCTCACTTCCCCATCTCTCAAAACCCCAGATAAATTCCATTATTTCTCAGTCACTCTCAAGTGACTTCACAGCAGAGGGGTCATCAGTTACAGCAAGCAAAAAGGTGACCCTTCCATCTTTCATAGTCCCCTATTGTGGGAGTTACATTCTTTTTTTTTTTTTTTTTTTGAATAAAGACAAGAGTCTCACTATGTTGCCCAGGCTGGCCATAGACTCCTGGGCTCAAGTGATCCTCCTGCCTCAGCCTCCCAAAGTGCTGGAATTACAGGCATGCAGGCATGAGCCACTACACCCAGCTGGGAAATACACTCTTAGGCTAACCTCCCATTATCCCGCCCACAGTCCCTTCACATGGCAAGCAGCCCTCCTTGGCAGGATCCATCCAGATAACTCAAGTCTGGTTACCTCCCACCATGACCACTTGCACGACAAAAAAAGTCATGCCTTCTTAACCATACAAGATGGACACATGCAGACTCCTCTACCTACTGCTCTCTCACTCAACATGCCATCTCGACTGACGCCAGTCATTCTCCTCCCCTCCAGGAACAAGTCTATGTTCAAGTGTGCTCCCAACTCTCAGAAATGTTACGTGATATGGTTAGGCTTTGTGTCCCCACCCAAATCTCATTGTAATTGTAATCCCCAGGTGTCAAGGGAGGAACCCAGTGGGAGGTAACTGGATCACTGGGGTGGCTTCCCCCATGCTATTCTCATGATAGTGAGTGAGTTCTCCTGAGATCTGATGGTTTACAAGTGTTTGGCAAGTTCCTCCTTCACTCACCCTTCTCTCTCGCCAGCCACCATGTAAGATGTGCCTACTTCCCCTTCCACCATAACTGTAAGTTTCCTGAGGCCTCCCCAGCCATGCAGAACTGTGAGTCAATTAAACCTCTTTTCTTTATAAATTACCCAGTCTCAGGTATTTCTTTATAGCAGTGTGAAAATGGGACTATGATCACGTTTTCTCAAAAACTCTCTGGAAGGTGCCACTGCAGCACAAGGAAACAAGATTCTGCAGCTCATTAAACATCCAGACAAACTACATATCAATTTACACTTCTGGCAGACAAATCCAAATCCTGGGCTGGAAAAAAAAGGTCCATTTGGGGAGAAACAGGGAAATGTCACAAAACTAACTCCCCACTAGATTAACAGCTCCATCGGAATGACACTTTTAATCTCTCTTCTAATTTCTCCTATATGCGGGAAACAGGTGTTGAGGGTGAACCAAGTCTATTCTCTTTTACTAAGCCCCACATCCCTCTTTAGAAAGCAGGGTTACTTATTACCCTTTGGTTTCAGCTTTGGAGCTTTAGCAAAAATACTGAAACAAACAATTCCTAGTCATCATTCTATTATCAAAAGTGTATAATTCCCCTACATTTACCACTTACCTATTATGAGACCTCTCATTTTAAGCAACTCAATGTGAAATACAGATTTACAAAAAAATGAGGGGGAAAGCTACTGACTAAACATATCAAGGAAAAAGAAAAAAGGAGATTCTTCATCTGGTCATACAAATTTTACCTTAAAGATTAGTATTATTCATATTTAATTATATATACATTTCATGAAGAGCCAACTGTTTACAATGGAAAATGTCCACATTAGAATTTAGATTAAAACATGCTACCTGCAAAATGAAAATGAAAAATTCTGTGCAACCAACCAGGTCAATAACTGCATATCTACTTATCAATAATTTCATATATACTTAATCAATCTTATTATCATTAGAGTTTTTTTTTTTTAAATAGATATATCTTTAAAATATACTAGATTTCAGCTATTACATGAAGAATACTCCTACAGGCTCTCTGGCTTTGTAAAAATCATTTAGTACAAACCAATATTCTTGGTACAAAATACAGACATCTACAAACTTGAACTAACAATGCATGGTAGAAATGGGTATAACCATTTAGGAAAAGTTATACATATAAAGTTATATATATAATTATAAAATTAAAACATAGCAATCCTATCAAAGAATAATTTCACTCAGGTATTTAACACAGAGAAAATGGAATACATGTTCATAAAATGACTTATACAAAAATTCTGTTTATAGTGATATGATTTGCAAGAGCCAATAAATAGAAAAACAGTCAAATGCTCATTAACTGAAGAATGGTAAACAAATTACATAAAATAAAACACTGCTCAGCAACAAAACAGAATGAACCACTAATACATGCAACAACATGGATTAATCTCAAAAACATTATGTTGAGGAAAAGAAGTCAGATACAAAAGGGTATATACTCTATCATCTCATATATATGAAGCTCAAGAACAGGCTAACCTAATCTATGGAAATAGAAATCAGAACACTAGCTGTCTGTGGGGAGATGAGGAAAGGGAAGGCCTGATAGAAACAGTGCATTAAGGGGGCCAGACGCAGTGGCTGAAGCCTGTAATCCTAGCACTTTGGGAGGCCAAGGCTGGCGGATCATGAGGTCAGGAGATCGAGACCATCCTGGCTAACACAGTGAAACTCCGTCTCTACTAAAAAATACAAAAAATTAGCCGGGCATGGTGGTGGGCACCTGTAATCCCAGCTACTCAGGAGGCTGAGGCAGGAGAATGGCGTGAACCCGGGAGGCAAAGCTTGCAGTGAGTGGAGATAGTGCCACCGCACTCCAGCCTGGGTGACAGAGTAAGACTCCGTCTCAAATAAATAAATAAATAGAAACAGTGCGTAACGGAACTTTTAGGGATGATAAACTGTTCTATTTTTTGAAAGTGGGATAGTTAACATGGGTGTACACACATGTCAAAATTCACTTAAAAATTGGTTCACTTTATTGGACATAAATTATACTCCATAAAGTTAATTTTAATTTTTATGTATTTATTTATTTTGAGACAGGGTCTTGCTCTGTCGCCTAGGCTGGAGTGCAGTGGAGTGATCTCGGCTCACTGCAACCTCCACCTCCAGGGTTCAAGCGATCCTTGTGCCTCAGCTTCCCAAGTAGCTGGAATTACAGGCACGCACCACCATCCCCGGCTAATTTTGGTATTTTTAATAGAGATGGAGTTTCACCATTTTGGCCAGGCTGGTCTCAAACTCCGACCTCAGGTAATCCACCCGCTTCAGCCTCCCAAAGGGCTGAGATTACAGGCATGAGCCATCGCATCCGGCCCATAAAGTTAATTTTTAAAGTCACATCTGATACCTTACTTCTCGAGGATGGCAAGGATAGCCAGTTAAAGTGTAATCTCTTGCCCAAAAGCTGAAAATAATATGGATAATAATCATAACAAACTTATAGCCTAAGTCAGATTCTAAATCAGAAATCCAAGTCACCCAGTATCATAAGATACAAGGATAAGTCCAGCCTATAGAAATATCCATAAATGTTCCCAGAACAAATGGGAACAATCAGCATGTCTTTTCTTGGGAAGCCATTACCTGAACTAGCTGGTCACCTTTGACCACCATAAGATAGAAATACAACTTCATATTAAAGGTCACTTGTTCCTTCTTATCCAGTATTTTCTCTGTCTCCTGGCAGTCTTTGAGCAGCTCACTCACATATTTCAGTAACATCTATTTCTAAATCACTTTTCTGCTCTCTCTTTCCAAGTCGTCTCCCTCTTTGAGAAAAACTTTCTAGGACTATTGTACTCTTGAATAGCCCTCCTACTTCTCACCTCTGTCCAACTGTCTTATTTGTTTGCCTATGATCTGTTTGCCTTTTTACTTTTCTGTATTTTCAAACAATTAGAAAAGTATTTTTCACTCTAACATTTTGAGTTCATGATTTCATTCATTTTTACCTGTCCTGTCTTCATTACCACATCCCACACCAAGGTGCCACAGTACTCACATTTAAGCTCTGCCATGACACTATCACCTTGGCTGTGCTTTACTTCACTCCCCCTGGGGGACAAATAGCAAAGCCAAATATCCCACATCATTTTGCTCTATATCTCAAAAAACATAACCAGATCATCTGACTCCAACACCCTACTGCACAGTTGCCTTTTGTATTTAAAAATGCTAGCCTAGGCAACATGGCGAGACCTAATCTCTACAGAAACTAAAAAAATTAGCTGGGTATTATCACATGCCTGTGGTCCCAGCTTCTCATGAGGCTGGGACGAGAGGACTGCTTGAGCTCAGAGGTTGAGGCTGCAGTAAGCCATGTTCACATCACTGCACTCCAGCCTGGGCAGAGTGAAACCCTATCTCAAAAAAAAAAAACGCTGCTGCTAAGGCCTTGTTCCTAACCAAATGGGTCCTTTCCAAGAAGATGATATTTTGTTACAGAGCTGCATATATCTGCTTGTAAAGCCTGTAAACATTTACAGTTCTTATTTTAATGAGCTTCATGATACCATTATCCAGTTATCATCCCTGCATCCCAAAATGTTTGGTAGTCAGCTTTGTATCAGATGACTGCTTGAACCAGTCCTCTTTCAAGTACTTTTCTACAGATTCTATTTGGAGGTGATCCAATTCAGCTTATGATATATAGCAGTTTCTTTGGTAGCTCATGATCACCTGCCCTCCGTATATGAGTTTTGTACCATGGCATCACTTACACCTGAAAGTGCAGCTATACAATACTTTACTAATAATAAAGGCAACCCATTAGATGGTTGAGTTCTAGTGTCCAGATACAATATTCGCAAATATGTCACTGCTTCTCAAGAAGGCTCCAATGTCATTCTACAACACTAACATGAAGTCATTCGTGTTAAAAGCTGTTAATCTTAAAATCTCCCTACATGTATGCTGGCCTTTCAGATTTCTTTTCTATTCACTAATAACTTATCAGACAATCACCAGAAAGAAAAGGTCTCTGCACAAAATGAGCCACTAGCTGTATGATTCTCTATTTCAATTCTTACTCTAAGACTTTGTATACACCATTTAACTTGTTTCCTCATAAGGAAATTGGGATAGTTGCACCTGTTTCAAGATTTTGGAAAGACAGAATTTATGCAAAATGTCTTACTCAATGTCTGGCATACTGGAGACTTACTAAACAGTTCATAATGATAACAAGCCACTGTATTCCATTGATATACTTACTCTAGCACCCTTTTCAATCCAAAAATAGAGTGTTCATCTATGATCTTACTATCTATCACAACACATTTAGATCTCATTCTCCCTTTTATACTCCACTCATTTCCCAATGTCTGGAATAGCCTCACTTTCTCCATTCAAAAAATTACCTCTGACTCTCTTTAAAGAAAAGCATTTTAACCAGGGATTTTGAGGTTGGAGGGAAAGGTGGTTAGAAAGGGACCCATTTAAATAGTCACTGCTATACTAAAATGAATAAATTGGTATGCAACAAGATCTTCAAGGGGAAGGAAGGAAGGAAGGATGGAAGGAAGGAAGGAAGGAAGGAAGGAAGGAAGGAAGGAAGGAAGGAAGGGACAATAAAATGAATACAGCAATGTATACCTACTACACCCTTACCTTACATTAATTTTTCTCCAAAATGTTTTCTGGAGTCCACGAATGCCAGGATCACTGCCTTCCTCATATCCTATAAATATCACGACTAAATGGGTCCTTTGTAAAAAACACTGGAGAAAAAGATAAAACTGATGAATTCTCAAGGCTTTCCAAATCCCAATGTTTTGTCATTTCAGAAAGCAATTTATGAGAACTCATCAGACAAGGGAGTGGAGGAGAATAAAGCTAAATACTCTTCTGACCTGATACAAAACTAGTTTTAAACATCTGGATTTTTCTTCTTGATTATATTCAATAAATCAATTAATGGCTCAAGAACCATCTAAAAGATGCTTTTTTTTTGCAACTGTGTTCTCTAATTCAATTAAATGGCACTATGCACTCTAAAATGAACAACTTTTTTATACTCACTCTTATGAGATGGCTCTCAATTTTAATATAGACAGGTAAACTTAAAATAACTTCAAACTATCAATCTATATTTATGTATTCATTGGCATTATTATATTTTGAAAATGGTTTGCCTTAAAAGGAAAAACATAAACTGCAATCTACAGTGTTCTATTCATCGTCCCTTTCCCCTTATTGAAGGCCTCCAGAAAGGCCACAATGGACTTCTTAAATAGAATGGGATATCAATGTTAAAAACCACGTATTTCTTATTAAATTTACCTTATCTATAAGGTAAAAAGGTGCCTGCTGCTCTATTTAAATAAACACACACACACACACACACACACACACACACACACACAAATTGTGGTCCTTCCTAAAGTGACTTGTATTTGAAAATGGCAAAGCTTTCCAAATATTAATCACAGTAATTCCAAATTCAGTTCTCAAGGTAGTTCAATTATGGCACAATAAATGAATGATGGCATTTAATTCAAAATCTCTGAGTTTTAGAATCCAGAACATCCCTTTCATTCCAGATTCAAAAGAGTTTAAGGTATTCAAATGCTACAACACACCTGTCTTTCAGTTACAGGCATTGCTTCAATGAAAAAACAGCTTAAAAACCATGAAATGAAATCAATTCCACATAAAGCTATTGTAAGATTCTGATCTCTAATCTGACTTGTAAATTAGATGTGTGCAACTTCCACTATCCAGCAACCTGCAGATCTTTTTCCTAGCAGGATGGCGATGTTAGTTGCACTGCACTCTGACCAAAAACATGCAGTGGTGGCAGTGGCACACTGAAAAATTGAATAGTATATCCTTTGAATAAAGATTTCAAGGTAAGTCATGAAGGAAACTTTACTGTTTGTTGATGAACTGTATATGCTATATAAAAAGTAATCTATGGTTTATATCTAGGCTGTAGAGTTTTTGTTGAATGCTAAGATTTAAAAATGTTGAAGATTCACTGAGGGAAAAAAATGGGATTCAACATTGAGAGAATCCATGCACCTCATTTCCCAGCACTGCTTTCAAATACTCTATTACTGGTATAAATAGTATACCAAAAGTAAGGACTCTCAACCAAATAAAACATCAATTTGGTTCAGAGAATACTTTGATGTTCCAATTTCTTCTGATTCAATACTTCTAAAAAACAAAAATACATAGGTTTATTTTCAGTTCATACCTGCTTGCCAAATCATTTTAAGTGAATTTAATTTAGTTGATAGGTCTAAAAATATTAATTTATGAATTCAACTGTTCTATGGACACTAACACCATACAGTGTGACTCTTTACTATTGAAGAGTCCACTGAAAAGGATGTTTTCCTAGAAAATTCTGAGTATAATAGCTTTTTGCAAATAGAAACATTTTAAATACTCTAGATGAAGGCAAAATTTCAAGAATCCTCCAGGCAAACACTTCCACATGAAAATCATAGTCCTGAAATTAACCCTTTTAGTCAACAGATGTTTTTCTTTACTGTATTTCCCTTACAGTGAGATAACCCAATACTAAAAGGTGATAACTATATGAGTTTCATAGATATAAGATCTTTAAAGCTTGATTACCAAAGGAATTACATTATGGAATGATAATATAATACACATTCCCCAAGTAAAGCTCAAATTTACTTCAACCACACCAACCAATACCACCAAAATTTTTTTTCATTTATATATATATATATTTTTAGTCCTGAAGTCCTTGGAATCATAGTAGGGCTTGGTGCCATACTGGTGTCACACTCTGCCAGTCATCCAAAGAATATGCCACACTTCTTTTTCAACTCCTTTGTCTACCAGTGCATCACTGGACCCAGCAGGCGGCTCACCCAGACAATTTCAGTAACGGATTTTGGCTCTCTGTGCATAATAGATGGCAATCCTTAGGAAGTATCCAGTTTGTCTCATAGCTGAGAGATTTGAACCTGCTGCAGATGTCACATATAAATTCTTGGATGGATTTTTATCATCAGTGTCACCTATAAAATAAGACAGTGTCACCAACAGCATCGTCCTATAAAACATCTATTTCAGCACTGCTAAGCTTTCAGCATCATGACTGATAGTAATTTATTTGCCTGAAAAGGGTCAACAAACTATTGCCTGGGCACTAAAATCCGGCATGCAACCTGTTCTTGTATATCTATGATCTAAGAATGGGTTTATATTTGTAAATGGTTGAAAAACCAGATTTTTTAAGAAGACTAATATTTTGTGACATGTGAAGATTATATGAAGCTAAATTTCCACTTCCATAAATAAGGCTTTATTGGAACATGGCTATATTCTTTCATTTAGGTATGCTTCTACAGCTACTTTCAGGCTATAGTGGCCAACTTGAGTAGGTGCAACAGAGTCCATAGGGTCCATAAAGACTAAAATAGTTACTGCCTGGTCCTTCCAAGGAGAAGTTTGCAAACCCCTGGCCTAAATTATTTTTTTGGTGAGTAGGTAACATGATACCTAGTGTATGTCACATGAAGAACCTAAGTGGAAAGACTATAATGTTTCCCTGTCTTACTTCTATCCATTCAACTAACAAGTATTTGTTTGGCCAGACCTGTTACTACAATGCAGACAGCTCTAGTCACTTTGGTCTCCCTTTTGGCTCAGTTTTGCCTCAATCCAAGGGGTTAATATTGACTTTGGGCAGGAAGAGGACAAGGAGCTCACCTTCAGGTCAAATTCCAGTTCTCCAACTTTGGCCTGCTCCATGTCCCCAAACTCTCCTGGTTCTGAATTTCTGCTTTATATCAACCATTCTCTGTAATGGACTTCCTGTACTAGACATCAGTCTAGTCTGGCAGTATTTCCTGCCAAAGACATGTGGGCAAGGGGCTGAGTCACGGCATTCTTTGAACTATGCCAGCTGATCATCAGTTCTATGCCTGCTCTAACAGCCATCCTGCATGGTGGATTTGTTTTGGGCACCTTGTGAACAGTCTGCATATTCCAACACTCCTCTTGGCTTCCACTGTTCCTCCTGGTTATGATTGCCCCTGAAGTTCATCACTTTCATTTTACATTGAAACTTCTGGCCAAAGACTTGTTCAACATTCCCAACTGGCCTGTCTTTTTGTTATTTGAGTTCAGTTCATATAACAAGAGACCAAGAAAATTTTATCTATATAGATGGATTTCCCAACTTAGAAACACCCAACTTAAAACATCTCTTATGTTTTAGCATCTGCTCCAAAAGAGAATATATCACCCCCCACAACCAAGTAGTATCCAGAATATCCGTTTTTTCCCTCCAACACTGCTAGTTGGCCCAAAGTTTCTATACTTGCTTCATCTGAAAGCGTTACCTATCACCCACCACCCACGTGGGATGCCCAAGATATCTGTGTCTCTTGAGCATTGCTTCAAAACGCCTCTCTTGCTGTCACTAAAGCTTTAACAACCCTGTTTCTGTTGTGAGGGAAAAAGAAGAGTTTCCTGCCACTGCTGGACTGCAATGGAGGAATGTGTTTGGCTAGATTTCTAGAAGTCAAAAGTATAATTCCACACAAAAAGATGTTAATTAGTCCATAATGAGGCTGAAACACTCATACTATTAATGGCACTACAGAACCCATCTGTAATTCATATTACATTGTTGCAGATAGTTAATTCACAAACGCAGTCATAAATTGTAGATTGACGGTACTAGAAAATAGCTTTAAAAATGTCAGGACGGATTAGCGTATGGACTTCAAAGAAAATTGGTTTATTATTTGTTTATTTGATTAAGAGACAGAGTCTCACTCTGTCACCCAGGCTGAATACAGCAGCACAATCATAGCTCACTGCAGCCTCAAATTCCTGGGCTCAAGAAATCCTCCCACTTCAACCTCCCAAGTAGCTGGGACTACAGGTGTACACTACCACACCGGGCTAATTTTTTTTTTAAATTTTTTGTAGAGATGGGGTCTGGCTATGTTGACCAGGCTGGACTCGAATTCCTGGGCTTAAGCAATCCTCCTGCCTCTTCTGTAAAGTGAGAGTCACTACAACCCTGAAGTAATCTGCCATGGTGAACAGCTCCAAAACCACAGGTATACCTCACAACCAATAGAGTGGTATCAAGTGTGAACAGGCTGACAAGAATGACCATTAACTGTATCTCAATTTGGTATGGCAACCACATAGGTAGCATCCATTTTAAAAACAAAAACCTTCTTACCCTCTGAATATTTGGAAAATGTCACAGTAGTCCACTGATACATTCTTATAACCAGAAAAAGAAACTAGAGGCATGTTAAGTCCATATTCCAAAGGAATACCCAAATGATTAAAACTTCAGAACTTTGTTCATTTGATGAATCTGGCCTTCTTTCCTTAAAGAAAGAGTTTTCAATCTCTTTAGTCAGGACCACTTTGTGTTCTTAAAAATTAGTGAATACTCCCAAGAGCTTTTGTTTATGTGGCTTGTAATGATCAACATTCACCGTATTAGAAATTAAATGAGAAAAAGTTTAAGTATTTATCAATTTATTTTAAAAACTTAGTAAGATAACATATGTAATAAGACAATACATTTTAGGAAAACAAAATGTTTTCAAAACAGAAAAAAGCTTTCAAAAACAAAAAAGCTTTGTGTGAAAATTATGTTGTTATAAAAGCTTTGCAAATTTCTTTCATGCCTAGCTTAATAGAAAACAGCTGGATTCTCATATTGGTGTCTACATTCAATCTGTTGTGCTATGTTGTTTTGATTGAGCAACATGAAAAAAAAAATGGCCTCACACAAATATGTAGTGAAACGGAAGCACATGTATTAATAGCCCATTCAGATAATTGTAGATGTTCTTTTTTGATACTACACCAAAACTTGACAAGTAGGAGTTTCTTAAGGGTTAGTCGAAATATGGAATCTCATATATATGAACTCTTTGTATTCTGTTACTTGCTTTTTGAAAAGATCTTTCACCCATAATTTTGTAACACTGGTCCCTTTGAAAATATTGGCTCACTGAGTTATACAGATATTACAAATCTTGACACAATTCATCATATAATAGCAAAAACTCACATTCATAAAAATCACCACCCATCATCTCATCAGGAAAATCTTTTAAGTACTGGGAAGCTGACAATAGCACAGCAGGTAACACAAGCTTTCTAAAATTTTAATTTTCACTTGAAAGTTTGAATTTTATCATTGGCAACAAACTGTCAGTTGTTTTCCTTGAAGTGACAGGCTCACTTTGTTCATTTTCAAGAAAATGACTGCCAAATTTCTAAGTCTAAATAGTCACAGTTTGGTATTCATTCTTTCAAGTAAAAATGATGCTTCATGCAAAATTTGGCTAGTTTCACTAGCAACTCAAAAAGAAAAATCACATATGGATTTTTCCTCTAGACAGGCAATGTACTCTGGATATGCAGCAGAAATGCTTTTTGCACATTTCGTATCTCATCACAGCAAATATTAAAACAAAGTATGCTTAAGGGTCAAAATTTAATCAATTAGCAATTGTTATCACTTCTTCAAGGACATTCTTAAGTGAAAGTGGCTTTTTCTTTTTTTCTGTGAATGCACAGCTGTGAAGAATACCATGATTACTAGGTACAGTTGGGTCTTACTGCCATTTAATTTCTAGAATGCTTAGTTTCATCGATCATTGCTTTTACAACAGCAGGGCAAATGTCAAAGCAGTAGAAAAGGCAAAAAGTTAGCGTTACTATGATAATGGTTTTTACCTCATGGACACTCCTGAAAGGGTCTCAGTGATCCCTAGGGATTTGTACGCCACAATTTGTGAACTGTTATCTTAAGGAAACACTAAAAGCTATGAATAAGTCACCATCCCCAAATCCACAGTGAATATCCCCCATATAATAAATATACTAAATATGTGTATGAATTCTTGAACTCAAAAATTGGTCTAATTTGTTTATATAACAACAGCAATTAATATTTAGTGAGCACTTACATGTATTATCTCATTTAATCCTCACCCTAAACCTATTAGTTAGCTGTATACTTATGCTACAGATAAGGAAACCTGTGATGAAGAAAGGTGAAGTTACTTGTCCAAGGTCACAACAGCAACTATCAGTATTTATTGGGTTCAGGCATAACCAAGCATTTTGCATACCTTCCTCTTAAGTCTTCACAACCACCTTTTTATTGTCCTTATTACCCTTTATTGTTCTTTACATCTCTATTCTTTAAATCTTCATTAGTAGTTTTACAGACTAAAACTTTGAATCAAATAGGTAAAGTATCCTGCCCAAGGTTACCGAAGTGGAAAGTGATGAATCATCCAATACAAGTCTGTCTGACTACAGAATACAATACATACTCTGCCTTGCTATACCACGCAGGAGTGTATTATTTGTATATAAATAAACTGATAACTACAAGAGTCTTATACAGTTTTAAAGTCAATTGAGTAAGACCTCTATTTGGAAAGATTTTTACTAATTTGATTACCTCTGTCTTTAAATAGTACAAAACCTACTTCCTTTTAAAATGATATGCTCTAGATAGTTCATTAATTCACACCATTTGAATACGACAACAGATTAATACAACTAAGTTACTAAAAAAAAGATAACACTAAAAAAGACTAATCCCCCCCATCAGATAGGAGAAAACTGAAACTCGGAGCAGTTACTAACTCCCCGCAAAGGCTTGCTGCTCATAAATGGCCCAGAGTCAAAATCAATCTGGACTGACTGTGAAACCCAAAATCTGCAGTCACATTACCTGCATATATTTAAGAAGGCCTCAGGCAATGACCTAGGAATTGCTCACAAGGTCCGGACACAGAGCTTGCTGATATCATACCCACCTACCCAAGGTAATCAAGATATGAATCACCTTGTATCTTAAAGACCAAGAGGTGAAAAGGAAGCTGGTGCACACTGAAAATAAAGAGCCATGTTTTCAGGTGCTTTGAGTAAAGAAAAAAGTAAATTCACTTATAAGGTGTCAGTACACATCTCTGTGGCTGAGACATGCTTGCTTCCATTTAAAAAAAAAAAAAAAGCCTAGAAGACAAACGTCATCACACCTAACAGGCTCTCCACAGATTATACAATAGCTTTCAGATGCCAGGAGCCCAGGAATGCTGCAAACCTTAGTAATTTGCAGCAGATAATCATTCTCCTAAAACTCTAATCAATCCATAAAATTTTCATTTCAAGTTAGGATCTATAAAGGCTAGGCATCATGCCCCAACCCTTTGTTTCTATTTTAAGGGCCTACACTACAAGATAGCTGCTTAATATTTAAACCCAAAGGAGGACAGAGAAGGAATCACGGTTCATCTACCTCAATCCCATATCTTTTATAACCTGCTGTAACTCAACTTTTAGGAATTATAAACATCTTGAGATTGGACAGAGGAGTGTGGCTTTAATTTCAAACAACTTGTATTCTTAAGGAGTCACACACACTTTTGACAGGAAGGTGACAAAATGGAAGGCTGTGGTGTACCACCTAAAACAGCAGGCAGTGCAGGGGAGAGATGAGCAATTATACTCGTCACAGAATACCACACTCTGGATTCCTGTGTAGCAAAGAAAAAACAAAACTATAGAGCAACTTTGCCTCCCCCATCAATGATTCCTAACATGACCTAAAAGAATCACAATCTCGTAAGCAGCTAACAGATATATAGAAAAAGAAAAAAGGAAAAAAAAAAAATCAAGATTGAGGTCATGTACCTTGACATGCATCATTTACACCAAAGATTCCCCCACTTATCTGAATTAATTTCATGTACCTCATTTCATTCAGATAATTGAAGTTTTCCTTTTAGAGTTGTAAAGTGTTTACCTCAACATAATTAGTAAACTGTCCACTTAAAAATACCACTGCAAAAATTACCACCCCCTCGCCTCTACACATATACACACACTCCACTACCATTAAAAGTATAAGATTTTGGCCTTCATGAGAAACTTAATTCAAAAGTCCTCTTTAAAAAATTAGCACAAGAAATTTTACAAAAACAGTTGCAGTCATTGCATTTTTAATACGGAGTGTTTGCATTACTTGTTACAGACATGGTAATTTGGGTGTTCAATACATGACTACTGTTCTGAAACCAAATTAAAGGTTTAGACTACTAAAGAGTTTGATGACTTGCCTCAAAACAATAACTGGGATTGTATAGAGAACAAAATCAGAGGTCTGTCTTCTTTATGAGCAGGCATTTAAAGGCCTTTTAATGAGAATTTACTCTTTAGTATACAATTACTAATGAACAAAAATAGGGCCATTAAACTCACTTCTTCATAATAAAACTAATTGTAAGAAATATATACATATTAATCAAATTCATGAAAAACTGAAATCTCCAATGCCTTACAAGGCAACATAGTGAAAATTATATAACTTTTCTTCTTAATTAAATGTCCTGTCAGGTGACTGATGCCATTTTTTACATGGATATGCCTACAATTTAAAATACACAGACTCAGCCAGGAACGGTGGCTCACGCCTGTAATCCCAGCACTTTGGGAGGGTGAGGCGGGCGGATCATGAGGTCAGTAGATTGAGACCATCCTGGCTAACACGGTGAAACCCCGTCTCTACTAAAACTACAAAAAATAAGCCGGGCATGGTGGTGGGTGCCTGTAGTCCCAGCTACTCGGGAGGCTGAGGCAGGAGAATGGCGTGAACCCGGGAGGTGGAGCTTGCAGTGAGCCGAGATTGCGCCACTGCACTCCAGCCTGGGCAACAGAGTGAGACTCCATCTCAAAAAAAAAAAAAAAAAAAAACACAGACTCTCCAGTACTAACGATGGCAATGAAACGTCTAAGCTTCTTGAATTAATTTTAAACTTCTATATGAACACTGGCTTCCCACACTGATAACAGAACTTATTGTTGGGAGAAATTTATATCTAATCTATATGTATCACCTGCTATATGTACTGAGTGCTAAGGACACCTCCAGGGAACTGGACAGATTCAGTTCCAACCCTGGGGTACACATGATCTAGATGTAAAGACAGATAATGACCTTGCTTGAGGAATGTGTAATAGATACCTGTGATGTTATTTTATATATACCACACAGAGAGAGAGCAAGATGAGAGAGAGAGGAAGATTCCATGCATGGTTCCTGGCTCATAACTACCACAGCCCTTGATCCAGTCTTTTGCTACGACGTGGGTGTGTTAGGCCTCAGGGAAAGCCTCTGACCTTCTCCTGCCCCAAGACAGACACGCCCTGCCCCCAACCCACAGAGGATCCCATTCTATACCCTGGAGGAAGGAATGCTGTCATAAAGTTTTCACAAAAACCCAAAAGAACTGAGTTCAGAGAGCTTCCAGGTAACTGAACACATGGAGGTTCCTGGAGAGAGATGCACTCAGAGATCACATGGAAGGTCTGCACCCCTTCCCCCATACCCCACCCCACACGTCTCTTCATCTGTTTGCCTTTGCAATATCCATTATAATAAACAAGTAAATGTGTTTCCCTGAGTTCTGTCACTCCAGCAAATTAATAGAACCTAAACACGGGGTGGTGAGAACCCCAATACCTGAACAAATGAAAGCTCAAAACTAAGAGAAGAAAAAGGCAGAAAATTAAACACTTGAAAAATAACGAGCTACCATTGAACTGCATAAAAATCACCGATTTATGGGAGACATCCTTAAGTGTCTCCACTAAGAAAGCAAAGAATCCAACAGCTGGCTAGTCAGGAAAGGCGTTCTAACTCATGACTGGATGAATCCAGGGTGTCCTAGAGTCCCTCATGCAAATGAAAAGCTGACCCTCAAAAAAGTTCAAATTATAGCAGCCATGGAGCCTAGATCTCAGTATCTAAAGGGTCAATCTGGTGATGTGAGTCCAGAAAACAGTATCACAGGATCTTGGCTCTGCAAGACCCCAACCACCTACCTATGGATAAGAATAGGTCCCAGCCCCCTAAAGGTAGGGGAGATAGCAAGGAGAGGGAGATCAAGCTGTTAGGATGCCTAAACATGCTTAAGACAAGGTTCCAGTTCCACAAAGGACCTGGAATACAAAAATAAACCACCCAAGAAACATAAATTCTATGGACTATTTATAAGTTACTAAGAAAAGACTGTGGAATTGCTTCTCTGGTTATTTATTTATTTATTTATTTTGGAGATGGAGTCCCACTCTGTCACCCAGGCCGGCGTGCAGTGGTGCCATCTCGGCTCACTGCAACCTCCACCGCCCAGGTTCAAGCCATTCTCCTGCCTCAGCCTCCGAGTAGCTGGGAATGCAGGCACGTGCCACCATGCCCGGTTAATTTTTGTATTTTTAGTAGAGATGGGGTTTCACCATGTTGGCCATGTTGGTCTCGAACTCCTTACCTCAGGTGATCCACCAGTCTTGGCCTCCCAAAGTGCTGAGATTACAAGCATGAGCCACCACATCTGGCTCTGGTTATTTTTTAAACACTCAAAAAAAATTATCGTCTGTTTAAATGACTTGTGTGATCCTACACAGCATAGGGGAAAAGCACTAGATATTCTTACTAATTGTCTGATTCTATATCCTAACTCCATCTATAACTATTTTGAAATATTCTAGATGCCTCACACACACTTAGTTAAGGTGTTTGTCATTATTTCAAAACTCCTTATGAGAAAAGTGCTTTAAAAATGAAAATCTTGCAGGCAAACTGAGTACATCCAAAGGATATAGTGAGACAGCATACCTTTGTGAGCAATGGATGCTCAGGGCACCAGAATAATTCCAGATCCTTCCCGTTGTAGGTGACAGAGGTCTTAAAATATCTTCGGTCTGAATAGAAGAAACTGATCTGGCAGTGAGTAGGCCAGGCAGACTAGGACTGACATCAGAACCAGCAATTACAGATGTGAGCTGATTTGCTTCCTATAAATTAAACACCATCCTACTCTACCGTACAACTGCTTTCAGTAATATTAGTAGAAAGAAAAAAAAAGAAAGTAGTTCAAAGACGTCCCTATGAAAGCTATTACCTCTATGACTCTACATGTTCAACTAGGAATCAGCCTATGGAATTGGCTCTGCATCTGCTCAGCCCAAATTTTACTCCGGAGATTCAAAGAATGGAGTGTTGGTTTGTACTTCCAAGAGAAATACTTGAAAATTTTCCTCAGTTTTTTTTTAAAAAATAACCAGGCAGGGCACAGAGGCTCACGTTTATAATCCCAACACTTTGGGAAGCCAAGGCGGGCGATCGAGACCAGCTTGGCCAACATGGTGAAACCCCATCAGTACTAAAAACACAAAAAATATTACCTAGGCATGGTGGCGCATTCCTGTAATCCCAGCTACTCAGGAGGCTGAGGCAGGAAACCACTTGAACCAGAGAGGCGGAGGCTGCAGTGAGCTGCTATCACACCATTGCAATCCAGCCCGGGTGACAGAGTGTGACTCTGCCTCAAAAAAAAATAAAAATAAAAAACATGCTATTATTCTGATATTAAAAAAAAAAGAAGAGGTAAGAATATAAGTAAAAGAATACACAGTGTTCTTCATGTAATACCAACAAGAAGCATAACATATCAAATACAACCTAAAACTATTTAAAATATCATTTGGGACAATTTGCCAAGGTAGTCCAAACTCTGAAGTAAAGTTACGTTCCTTATAAAGGTCTATATGCTGAAAAACATATCCTTATAAAATAAAACCAAAATTGTAAAACGTGGCCTATGGTAACAGTCAGAGGGTCACTCAATTCAGGTTGTCACACTTTGCTCTCATGGAAACATTGTATTATTTTAGCTCACCTAAGGTGTTCTATTACTAAAATAATGTTCTTTCCCAATATCAGAGTGACTAACATAAGTTACAGAACAAAATTAGCAGTGTGAAGTTTCTTCTCCCAATTTTTCTAAAGTATCTGACACCTGCTACCTCTTTCAATATTGGAATTCAACCTAACAGCGTACCTGGTTCAACACAAAAAAGGAACTGAGTTAGTTCAAGTTTACTATATCATGATTCAGGACTTCCAGGCACTCTGCTACCTTCAAAAATTAGATTAAGCCCAACAAGATCATAAGCATTTAAAGAGTACCCACTACACATGATAACAGGTATACACAGATGAGTAGGACATAGCCGAACTTTCACGAAGCGCCTACCAGGAAAGTGCGCACAGGCCAACAAGTATTTACTAAATGTCTACACTAAACACTGTACTCTGGGATGTAAAAAATTCATCGCACCACAGCAAGAACTTCAGGACTCATGCACTTGAGGTCCACTTTGAAATGCGAGATTGGGCGTGCTGGAATTAGATTATTACATGTGATAGGATTTCCCTTCCTAAGTGATAGTCATGCATCACATGACATTTCAGTCAACAAAACATCGAATATACAACTGTGGTCCCATAAGATTATAATACCGTATTTTTACTGTACCCTTTCTAAGTTTAGGTGTGTTTAGGCACAGTATTCAGTACGGTAACATGCTGAACAGGGATGTAGCCCAGGACTAATAAGCTATATACCATATAGCCTAGGTGTGAAGTAGGCTATACCATGTAGGTTTGTGTGAGTACATTCTATGATGCTCCCACAAGTACACATTTCTCAGAACATACCTGTCATTAAATGACACATGACTAAACCACGGTTTATATACACCATAACTCTAAGACTCTTAAAATACCAATCTGCTGGAAGTGACGTAGGCTATCCGAATCAAAAATATGAATCGATTCTTGAAGCGCAAGATAATTGCTAATTCAAAAACACTGGAAAGTAATGTTTAAACTCACAGAATGTAAATACTTCCTAACTATGTACAATTCATGGCATTTTAATCTAATGGGTCCAAATCATAAATTAAGGAAAAAAATTTCATTTAATTACTTGGCTTTTTAAGATACCATAATCAAACAAACTTTAGTACCATAATCAAACAAACTTTAGTACAAGAGGTCTGAATTACCTAGTTAAGTGTTTAGTTAATGAAGACTACTAGTTCTATTCAGCTCCTGCTAAATCTCATCAAGAAACTGTCTTCGATTCTTAATTTCTCTATAAAATAATGGGATTGGATTATACTGTTAATGTTCCTTAAACATCGAAAATTCTGTATTTCTGTGATGCATAAGATTAAAATGCCAACACAATTTTCAAATCAAGACTAAAGAAGCCATCTTAACCTTTGCAAACTGGTGATGTTAAAAAATTTACTATTTCCTACCTTATTGCAAGTATCATGCTTCAGATTTTACCTATTCATTGTTTTCAAGCATGTCAAAGAAAGTTTCGTGATTCAAGAGGTACTCCTCTAATCCTCAATACTAAAACTGTTTCATTAAATACAGTACAGGACCCTAAGGAAAATGTATACCAAAAGGGAGTGGGAGCCGAGAAGAATCTAATCCAAGTCAGACCTGGAACGCACTAATTAAAATTCAATATTTCACTTGGTATGTGGGTTCCTACATGAAACTCCTGTCATGGTTAAAGCTTAAGGTTAAACACGTTAATAGAAGCCAATAGAATGGCTCTATTGAATTGTACTGAACTTCTTTTTCAGCAGCTCCTTTACCTAACCACTATTTTAAGCTTTAAAATCAACTTCAGGGGTAGGCACCAAATAACCAAGTGAGCCACGGCAGCCGGGGCTGCAAACTGAAATCCATCTCGTATGGAAAATCATCATCAACTCACGTTTTCCATTTCAAACTGCGATACAGGTGGAAGAAAAGCTGTAAAAGCCTTCTCTTTGAAACTCCCATCACACGGCCTCAAGGCATTAACTTAAGAATCTCAAGATAACCTAAAGCAGCACAGTTGTCAGAAGACTCTAAAAGTTGTATGTGCGAGAGAAGGCAAAAAAACTACTTCGGGACTAAAGGTTAAATTTCGCTGCTGCATTCCCAAGACTTAAATTCAGAGAATCTTTCCACCTGGACAGAATGGGATTGTCTGGATCCCGATGAAAATGGGAAGTTATGTGCTTAATCCTCAGACGAGGGATTCCGGGGTGGGGGGCACAGTGAGGGTCTTCACACTCGGCTGGCAGAGAGGAGTGGGGCGCTGGGGAGGTCTGGTAACTGAGGGCGACTAGGAGCCAGAAGCGAAGCTTTCCGTCAGGAAGGCCTGGGGCTCGCACTGCAAGGGGCCAAGCGCCGGGCAGCCTGGTGGTCGGCGAAGCACCCCAGCCAACTCAGGCCAACCCGGACGCCCGGCCTCCCTTCTCCCGCGCGAGGGCGACGTGCCCCCACCCGTCCTCTCAGCCTGCGCGAGGAAGAAGCGGAGCGCCGGGCCGCAGAAAACCAGCACGCACGACATGTAGGCACCAAAAAAACGCAATTCGAACACGACCAGTTTGCAGAAGGCACAAAATGCCACGGCGTGACGCCCCATTCCGAGCGCGGTGCGGACGGCGGCGCAGGGAGCGCAGCGCGTGCGCCCGGGAAGCGCGCGGCTCTCAGCTCCGCCTCCCCCACACCCCCCGCCCCCGGCTCCCCGCGCCGCAGCCGCCGCTGCTGCCCCTCTGGGATCTCCGCGCAGCGCGGCCCCGCGAGGCGGGCGCCGGGGAGGGGAGGGGAGGGGCCGCGCTCCCCGCCTCCCCGCTGGCCCGCGCGGCTCCCCAGCCCGGAGCCTACTCACCTCCTCCTCCTCCTCCTCCTTGTCTCTCCCTCCTGGCCACCGGCGCGGCCCAGCCGGCGACGCGCTGACGCCGTGCCCCTCCCCCGCGGCCGCCGCGGATGCCGCCGCCCCTCCCGGCCCGCGGCCGCCTCGGCCTCCGGGCGCGTCAGGCGCTGGTCCCGCCCCTCGGCCCGCCCGCGCAATCGAGGCTCCGCCTCTCTGCGCCGCCCGGACTCCGCTGGCGCGAGGTCCCTGAGTCAGCGGCGCTCCCGCCCGCGCGAATCGCTCCGCCCCAGCCCGCGGGCTCGGCTCCTCGCACCTGCCCACTGTCCCCCGGCCTCGCACTGCTCCCCACCTCCCTGTGCGCCCTTTCCCATCTCGTCAGCACCCTGTCCGCCCTTTCAGCTTTTTCGTACTCTTTCCCCAACCTCCTAGTCCTGTTCTAAGCTCGCATAGTCACCTTCTCTTTCCTTCTGGAAGGTCTGTGCTGTTCATTAGGTCGACCTCGGATTCCCCGTGCAGTTTTCCAGCCGGCCCGTTGCATCTCCTTTCCTGGTCCACTCCCCGGCCTACTAGAGCCTCAGGGCCCCTGTGCGGGTTCCTGGCTCCCTTGCCGACACCTCTACCTGCTCTGCAGCCCGGAGCTCCTCCACAGCTGCTTTGCCAATGCCTCTTAATATCCCTCCTTCTGGACCTCCTCGATTCCCTCCTGGCAAGGCTCATGCTTTCCTTTATCTCCATTTTTCCCGTCCTTTCGGTTCTGACTACTCCACACACTTCTGATGCAGTTTGAGTATTCAATAATTGCATATTCGCGGTCCCATTTACACGAGGAGAGTCACATTGAGTAATTAAAAATCACAAAGCAAAGCGACAGCAGTGGAGACCATCATTTGACTTGCATAGTTCCATCTATATTTTCCTTATGCAATAATATTCTCATTGCCACTTGAATTTCAAGGAATGGGATTTTCTGTTGGGGCTTAAAATTCACAAATGTTGGATGTTTTTTCGCTGCGACCTAATTTCACTTTAGCTCTTTTATTTATAGAATACATAGTAGAAAGAGTACCAGGAAGTCCCAGGTGTTCTTGACTGTAAAGTGAGGAATGTGTCCCTTCGTTAAATTCCTTTATGAAGTAAAGGATCCTTTCTAAAGTAAAGGTTTTTGTATCTGGAAGGAGGTTGTAGGTTAAATGACTCTGGTGAAGGCAAAACATGCAAATATAACTGGATGTCTGGTTTATTAAGTAACTTCATTTTTAAAACTGCAACTCGGAAGAGTTAGGCTGTGATGTGGAAATGAATTAGGAAACATACCAAAATAAAGGAAATCGATTAGGTCTTTGTACTTATATCCACAAGTTGCTTTAAGTTATGTGAGTAAACATTCTTATCCTTAAATTGAAGCGTCGAAACTATCTTCCGTTCCAAACAAAATCCAGCTCTGTGTGGACATTCAAAGTTTAAAACCATTGTTGAATTGAACAACAGCATTGTAAGCATTTGAAAGCCTAATAAACCATCTGTCCATCCACTTTCACACAAATTGAGAAACAGAAAAGAGTAAATGCCAAAACCTGAAAGTGAGTGTTCTGACTACACATGAAACTAGTAAATCCTATTACACAGAATAAAATACAAAATGCTTCTCCACTTACGATGGGGTTACTTCCCAATAAACACAATGTAGGTTAAAAATATTGTAAGCCAAAATTGCATTTAATGCTAGCAACACAGCAGATGGTCCTCGACTTCCAATATTTTCAACTTTAGGATGGTATGAAATGTATGTGCATTCAGTAGAAACCATAACCCCATCATAAGTCATAAGAAGCTGCTCAACTTACCATGGGGTTACATCCAGATAAACCCATTGTAAAATGGAAAAATTCTAAATCGAACCACAATATCTGAAAAATCCTAAAGTTTATGGCTGCCATTTCATTGTTTTAAAAATAGAATTACATAATTTTATAATTAAACTGGTTCTTAAAATAATTGGGAGTCTAATCCTTTCATTTTAAAATGAAAAAAATTTTTAAATCTTTTTTAATCTGATTAAGAACTGAAGCCCAGAGAGGGTAAGTTGTTTACCCAATATTACCCAGCTTAATTGGAAACAAAGCCAGGGTTCAAACTCAGACTTTCTGTCTCACATACCTGCCAGCATCTGGCTCATGTTAATATTTAACACTTATATAAAGCTATTCAACATCAAAATTCCTTGACTTTGCAGCTTTGCCTACATGGTCTGAGTGATGTATAAAATTGCACTTGGCATTAGCTAGGAAGGTATTTCTGTCGAAGCTGTTTTGTCCCACTGGTTTCAAGGATTCCTGTTGCACAACTTTCATCTCAGTCAGGGTTCATCTGCATGATCCAGGCAATTCTGGCCAGACCTCCGGAGCCATGAACCAACCAAATGCATTCATCCTCGGTGGTGACAAGGTCTTTGCCTAATTGTAAGAATTATTAAGACCCTATTGCCAAGAAAATTACAGCATCACCGGGAAGGTAAAATATGAAACACAAAATGATAATTCAACACTACTAACGAAGGATTCGATTGTAAATTACCAATTTTAAGATGGAAAATAATCCATGTAAATTAAGGGAAGACTTCTTAACAATAACAACAAAAAAGGACAAAAAGTGAAATTTAGAATTTAGGTTGCCTTATGGAGAAAAAAGGTAAAGGAAATTGCTTAAATAAAGAAGTTAAGAAGAAAATAAGCACATCAATAACCAAGAAAAAGATAGGAGATCAGCTGAGGTAAAACAGGAGATTCATTTTAGAAACAACAGAAAACTAGCTGAAATAATAGAGTAGGATCATTGATAAGGGGCCTAAATTTGAGCCTGAGATATTTATTCTAATAGGAAATCATCTGGGTGGACTTGCAATGGGGAAAGGAGGACAAGACAGGGGGACCATAGCCTTGTCCAGTTCTGATGAAGCAAATAGAATTTAAAAGAATCGTTGGTCGTAAATGCAACTAAGGAAAGACTTGGGTTCACTGAGTATATGTAAGAATCAAAGATGAGAATGAAGTCCAAGATGACTTTAGGATTGTAGCAGGAGTCAATAACAGGACATACAGAACTTGGCACCTTAGAGTTGGAAGATGATCAACACTCACTGGTACAGCCTCTAAATTGATAGACAAGGAAGCCAGACATTTTCCCAAGGTAGACCCTCATCGTCACAAACTCATTCCAGAAAACTGTAGTTTACTGTTTAAATAGAATTAGAAGGTAAAAAAGGAAATGCTCACCCTGCTCCTGTCCCTGCTGGTGTTTTATGGTCAGCTAATTTTTATTTCTACTTCAGCCCCACTGATATAAAAGTGCTCAGTAATCCAGCATATAATATTACAATAGGAAATAAATCAATAAGTGTTTGTTAAATAAGTACCAAATGCACTTTGGTATGTTTCTACTCAGAACTCTGCTAGGTGTGGAAGCCTAGAAAAGTATAAAAAGGGAAGGGCCTCTGCCTTTCAGAAGCTTACAATCTGGTTGAAGAAAAAAGTTCAAAGCACCTGACACAATAGAGAGTAAATTCCATGGACGGTAAGAACAACATATGTGGACTGGAAGGTATGTTTATATAGAAACAGGGAGGAATACTGTTGAATGGATTGGAAGTGATATGATCTATAAAGTTCATTATTCAGCACATTTTTGTTAATCTTTAAGCACCATTCTAGGTATTGGAGATAAAGTAGTAAAATAAAAAGCTCCTATTCCTATTGAGGTTACATTCTGTTCAGGAGGGACAGAGAAGAACAAGTAGATATACAACTATAAGAGTAACAGGTGCTCTGGGCCGGGCGCAGTGGCTCACACCTGTAATCCCAGCACTTTGGGAGGCCGAGGCAGGCGGATCACGAGGTCAGAAGATCGAGACCATCCTGGCTAACACGGTGAAACCCCATCTCTACTAAAAATACAAAAAATTAGCTGGGCGTGGTGGAGGGCGCCTGTAGTCCCAGCTACTCGGGAGGCTGAGGCAGGAGAATGGTGTGAACCCAGGAGGCGGAGTTTGCAGTGAGCCGAGATCACACCACTGCACTCTAGCCTGGGTGACACAGAGCGAGACTCTGTCTCAAAAAAAAAAAAAAAAAGGTGCTCTGAAGAAAATAAAGGGCAAAGGTGTCAGAATGCATGTGTAGGGAGTAGGACTGACCTTTCTGAGGAACACTTAAACTATCACTTGAATGAAAGAAACAACCAGTCTTGGATGATCCAGAGAGGAGTAGTTCAGGCAGACAGTAAGCCAGTGTAGAGCCCTAAGAAGGGGTTAAACTCTGTGCATTTAACACTATAACAAAGCCAAGTGTGTCTGGAGTGTACGGAGCTAGGAGGAACGTGAAGGAAAGGAAGCAGGGGAGGTAAGTAAGGCCTCTGGGTAAGAAGGAATTTTGAGGTCAGGTTAAAATATGGATATTTGGGCCGGGCGCAGTGATTCACGCCTGTAATCCCAGCACTTTGGGAGGCCGAGGTGGGCAGATCACCTGAGGTCAGGAGTTCAAGACCAGCCTGGCCTACATGGTGAAACTGTCTCTACAAAAACACAAAAATTAACCAGGCATGATGGCGCATGCCTGTAATCCCAGCTACTCAGGAGGCTGAGGCAGGAGAATCGCTTGAGTTTGCAGTGAGCCAAGACTGTGCCATTGCACTCCAGCCTGGGCGACAGAGCAAGACTCCATCTCAAAAAAAAAAAAAAATTCTATATATCTATATATAGATATATAGATATTTGGAAGATTAGTCACTTTGGCATTCTGGATTCAAGGAAGGAGAAATTAGGACCTGGAAGACCAGATGGAAGCCTGCATAATAATCCAGGCAGGTGGCGATGTGAGGTAGGCAAGGTTGATGGCAAGGCTAGCAAGGAAGATAAAAATGTCAAAATTGAGTATTGGGTATTTCAGAGGAGTGGTAGGCAGTATTGGTTGGAAAGAGTCCATAGTGTCAAATGTAGGAGAAAGGTCAAGGAGAATTTGTATCAAAGTTCACATGTGAACTCCAAGAGAAGAGTTTCCATAGAATGAGGAGGTAAGAAGTGAGGAAAGGGAAGCAGTGAACTTTCTGACTATAAAAACCAGTACAACTCAAAGTGTGCAAAAGGATATGCGTATTTTATTTGCCTTTTAAGGCCATTTATATTTTGAAATACTATTGAATTTTTTTTTTCTTTTTGGAGTTTGGCTCTGTTGCCCAGGCTGGAGTGCAGTGGTGCAATCTCGGCTCACTGCAACCTCCGCCTCCTGGGTTCAAGCGATTCTCCTGCCTCAGCCTCTCAAGTAGCTGGGACTACAGGTGTGTGCCACCATGCCTGTCTAAATTTTTTTTTGTATTTTTACAAAAAGAGACGGGGTTTCACCATGCTAGCCAGGATGGTCTTGATCTCCTGACCTCATGATCTGCCTGCCTTGGCCTCCTGAAGTGCTGGGATTACAGGCGTGAACCACCTCACCCAGCCCAAATACTGTTGAATTTCTAAATCCATTTAAATGCTCCCATCAAGTCTAACTTTTTGTCTCTATACTGAGGGGAAAACAAATGTGTTACAGATGTATCTGATATGCTTTTCTGGGCCAAAATGCAGTCACATCAATGACTCCTTGCTCTAAATGTAATTACAGAAAGTTTACTTTTATTCCTGAGATATGGCAAGAAGCTAACCATAGAAACACCGAGGCAAAGGTAGTATCAGCCATATCAGTTATGGCTCCATTATTGCCATTTGTTAAGTCTAAACCATGTGGGCTGTGGGTTGGACCTTGGACACATCATATATTGTCACTGAATTCCAGGTTTTCATTAATAAAGAAGGGGAATCACCCAGACATTAGGCTTATAAAGAGAAACTAATACCATTCTGTGAGATGCACATATACAGATACCATGACTCCAAGTGCAACTCTTGCAGTCTGGAAGAAGACAACTCAGTTGAACTAGATGTTCTTTTGCCCAGCAAACTGCAAGACAATGAGTACTTCTCTTTCCTAGAAACAGACGAAACTAGTTTGGCAGAGTGAAAGGAGAAACCTAAGGCCCCTCCATTTGTAGCAATGCAATTGAGCACCTCAAGGAAAGCAAGCCTGCCTCTGGCTAAGCTGTGTCCACACATGCATGTGCATGCCTTCTCCCGATTGTATGATGTCGGTGGGTAGAGTGTGTTAATTTGTTAGGTGTTATTGAAAAATGAAATGCTATTAGCACTCTTTTTTATTTGGAATATGCTTCATTTTAAGATCCATTGGGGCCAGTTAATCTCTTGGGATGGTTTGGAAAACTTCATTAAATTCAATGAAGGAAAAATAAGTGTAAGTGATTCTAAAAATAATCATGAAATTTACTATGTTTAATTTGCCGGCTCAAATGCTTCTCAAGTCATAGTGACCAAGGATCCTTAGCATTAATGAACAATTACCATATTGCTGAAATCAACACCATATTTAGCCTTAAAAGCCTTCTTGTTATTGGTGCTGAAAGAGGCCAAAAACATCAGTAGCCCAGGAAGCATAAAATGTACTCTCTGTTGATGAAATGATCTCTTTAAATTAGAGTTTAGCTATTCCAACACTATAATGCAAGAGAATTTGCTTTGTCATTGTTACCTTGTGGCCTAGAGACAGAAGCATTTCATACTGTGGTTCATCCTGTACCTTTTATCAAGGATAAATTCATGTTTTCGTTTAAAACCAGAGAAAGCTTACATAATCTCTCCTCATGATTAGCCCTTCCAGCAATTATCTGTTGCTTGGAATCAGTGTCAGCCAACCAAGTTCAGATGGCAAAAAAAAAAAAAAAATTGTTTGATCTGCCGTGATGTGATTTAGAAGACTGTGTGCATGGAAGGTACAGCTATGCACATACAGAGAACATATTTATCTAATTTGACTGCCAGTGATTTAATTAGTGTTTGTCAAGCACTTTGAACATGAAAAGAACTATCTGAAAGCTGAGAGCTATTACTCATAATCATTTTTCCTATTTGTTGAACTAAAATTAACATACAAATGTGATACTTTTATGGTATCTTTGAGAGAGATGCTCCTATTCTAACAAATTCATTGGACCACACTTTAAAGAAAGTCTCATTAAAACTTCAAGTCTCTGGTTTTTGAAAGTCAAGCTTCAAGCTGGTTGGGTATCATCCATCAGTAGATTTTGAAGCATACAGGCTAAATAAACACCAGTGACAGCTTGGGGAAGTGTATGCACCTGTTTATTGAGAAAAAGTTAACAGGGGCACATCTAAAATAAGAACACAGACCGCAACCTGATTTTTAAGAAGTTTTTGTGCATGCCTACACTTAAAATTACCCATATTATCATCTAATTTTTTTCTTCTAATTTTCTCTCCAAAGAATAACTACTAATGAGCACGATGCCTTGGTAACAATCTGAGAGGAAAAGAAAAATAGGGAAAGACCCTATTTTACAGCTTTGAGAAGAAGCAGACATCATGTTTTCCATTATTGCTTTTTCTCCAAGTCAAGTAGAAGAGCAAATGGCAAAAGAAGAAGACATCTTGATGAGAAAGTAAGAAGCCTGGACAAGGGCCCTGGTCTATCATTATTTTCCACATAGAGATTTTAGCAGTATTGCATTCATACCTGCAAAGGACTGGTGGGATATTTGTTGAACTTTCCAGGACGATGGGGCAGAATGGACTCCCTGTGGAACAGAAGGTTGACTCTGACTTTCCCAGGAGACTTGTTTTTGAATTTTAGTTTCATTTTCTTTACATTCTAGTCCCCTAAAGATAATTTTTATGTTGCATCTCAATGTGGTATCTTCTTTCTGTGTGTACCATGCAGCACACACATCTTAATAGGATATGGCTGATTAAAACACTAGTCCCATCTCAACCCTATTAAACTGAACTATACATACGGGCCTGGAAATGTACCCTTTCTACAAGCTCCTCCATGATTTTATGCTTTCTACAGTTCAAGAAAGAACTCTAGAGGAGGTATTGCTTGCCATGTCTGGCCATTCTCAGCACAGATCTTACTTGTAGTAATCAGATGCCACAGGAACAGTGGTGTCCACCAAATATTATGTGGCTCCCTTACAGTTTCCACCCTCTCATGTCATTAGCTTGGGGCCATGTAACTAGTAGTAACCAATGGGCTTGTGGAAAAATGAAGAGTGATGCCTCCAGCTCTATGTTCTTTTTTTTTTTTTTTTTGAAACAGAGTCTCCCCCTATCAACCAGACAGTCGTGCAGTGGCCCAATCTCAGCTCACTGCAACCTCCTCCTCCTACGTTCAAGTCATTCTCAGTGCCTCCCGAGTACCTGGAACTACAGGAGCACACCACATGCCCGGCTAATTTTTGTGTATTTACTAGATACGCAGTTTTGCCATGTTGGCCAGGTTGGTCTTGAACTCCGGACCTCAACAGATCCGCCTGCTCAGGCCTCACAAAGTGCTGGGATTGCAGGCATGAGCTACAGTGCCCGGCCAGCTGTAGGTTCTTAAGAGCACTCCCCCTTTCCTCACCTCTGTGTTCCTGGAAGCCCCATTTTCCAGATGGTGTAGCTGTAAGAAAGAAGTGGCCCTGCATCCCTGGGAGTGGGCCTGGAGAGCAACTAGACCCCTCAAGAGACTTCTGATGAGTGAAAAGTAAACCTTTAACAGTTTAAGAGCTCAGGTGTCATTCGCTACACTAGCATTGTGGAACCTATCCTGGCAAACACAACCTGATTTAGCTGTTTCTCTTTCACAACTGCAGAAACATTTTTTAACTTTGCAGTGTAAACAGGTAGCAAAGGATAATAGAAGGAACAATGTAATTTACTAAATAAATCATTTAAGTACAAATCGATATACAGAAATCACAAATAGTATATTGTATGATACGAAAAGAAATGCTCTTTATGTAGTTCAGGTCTGCCTTTACTTTCCAAACCTCGCTTAAAGTAAAGAATTAGTAAAATCTTTAGCCTACTGTATCTAGATAAAATATCTTTGTCCTTGCCATGCCTAAATCCTCTTCTTTTCTCCAACATGGCTGTGTATCATTAACATTCCATCATCTGGGTTCTCAGATGGATATGGTTCCCATGTCCATTGCCAATCAGAAGTGGATTAATTACTTATTTTTATTTGTTGCTTAAAATGTACTTCTTAAGTGCATCAACTAAATTTCTGTGACATTATTCACTAATTCTTTCCATTTGTTACTGCACAGATGTGTGCAATGCTGAAACAAAGAGATTTCCTCTTCTGTGTGCTTTGGGCTCTGCCCTCACACACCTGAGTCCAGCACCTATGGGAAGGATGAATCACAAAGCTTTGATGGAGGGGATGAGTGATGGAAAAACAACTTCTGTAGAGGCCGTACACTTGGCAGAAGTCACTGATCTATACTGTTTGCTGGTCTACCCCTGAAGCATTCTCTCTGACTGCAGAAGGCCAGTTTTTGCTATTGAACCATTTCAAAATCACTGTTTGAAAGCTACATATGCATGTAAAGAAAGGGCAGGGAACATTTTCTTTTCATGGGTTCTCAGGCACTACAGAGACTGTTTTGTCAGTTACTACGTCCATACTAACCAATCTTATAGCGGCCTCAAATCTTTTTTAGAAACAATACATAAGCTAGCTACAGTTTGCTTCTCCCATGGGTAGAGTATAGTTAATAACATTTCTTATGTTTTAACACATCACCTTTCCCTTAATTCATAGACCAAATAGAAAAAAATAATGTACTGTATTCTTTTTCCTGTTGCTTTTTCAATAATTCACTGAACAAATTCACATAACGTTCCTGGAGTCGGGTGGAAGAACCATATGAAATGCACCCATTGAAATCTTTTTGAGTTCTATTTAGTATTTATTTGTCCCCATTTTGAAATTAGGCCATGCTGCTTTTGTTCCTATAGAAAAGAAGTTATGATTTAAGAAAACTTTACAAAAGGGAAGCTGATCTTGATGTTATCAAGCTTCCCTCTTTTCTTTTAGTAGAATATTTGAGAAAATGCCAATTGGTGTAGGCTATCATCAGAACTTTTCAAGATCTGATTGCTTTTGAAAATTAACTTGCATAAAACTATCTGACCCTCTTTAACAGATATTATATTCCCCTCTGAAAGATTTGCACCCACATTTGTCTCTATGTACTGAAAGAGTAAGACCATATCAAATGTTTTAGATGAAATGATGCCATAACTATCATGTTCTCCCTTTTTGGGGGTGGGCAAGCATTGGTATAAACTCAGGCATTCTGCTGGGCACAGTGGCTCACACCTGTAATCCCAGCACTTTGGGAGGTCAAGGCGGGTGGATCACCTAAGGTCAGGAGTTTAAGACCAGCCTGGCCAACGTGGTGAAACCCCATCTCTACTAAAAATGCAAAAATTAGCCAGGCATGGTGGCGTGCCCCTGTAATCCCAGCTACTCAAGAGGCTGAGGTGGGAGAATTGCTTGAACCCGGGAGGTGGAGGCTGCAGTGAGCCAAGACCCCACCACTTCACTCCAGCTTGGGTGACAGAGTGAGACTCCCTCTCAAAAATAAATAAATAAATAAATAAATAAATAAGTAACCTAAACTCAGGCACCCATATTCTTTCATGGTGAATGTTAACCAGAATGCCATTTTTGTTCAGAACGTCACTGGATGTTTTTATAATTAGAAGATTCACTTTAAAATGAAAGTCTGAGGTTGATGAGGCAGAACCAGCTATTTTTAAAGGAAAATTCTTATTAGTACAAAATATTGGAAGACAAACAAAATGAATTTTTACAGGCAGATTAACCAAATTGTTCATTATTATAGTAAACATTGCAAAAATCAAGAGGATGGACTATATTAGCCATATTATGGACTATATTAGCCATACCCAAGCTAGAGAATGAAACACTATGTACTAATTTATGTACAATAATTGTTCATACTAGCATTTTCATAGTTTGGGCAGTGACTCATTTCGTTCCATGTGACCTTTGTTCTCCAGGATTGGTTGCTATAGAAAATAGAAGCAATAAAAATAAAATAGGATTTTACTAGGCTAGCTTTGGGTTTTTAAAAATACTTGAATATCAAGGGTAAAGCAGAAGACTACTTTTAGGGAATCTGGTCCCTTACATCTTTACAGTAATTTGGATATTTGAAAAGTAATATTGTTTCTTTTCGTTTTTATAAAGGACATTTAGTAAGGTATATTTCAGTGGCATATCATTTTAGCATTTAAAAAGAATGACCATGAAAATCAAGTTAGGTAAGCATAGTCTTTTACCTTTTTTTTATTTTGCATTTCTAACATTTGGTTTTCCTTTGAATGTAGATGGGTATGTTAAAGGAGGGGTATATTTCAAAGAAAGAGCTTAATAAAGTAATTTACGGACAGCAGGTCGCCAATAATAAGCAAATATTTTATAAATCATGAGACTGAGTAGATTATAAAAGAAGGGATGAAAACCGCTGCCAAAAGACACAATTTTCAAGGAGTTTTCAAAGCTAATGAAAGGATCTAAATGTCAATGGTACACATACACAGAATAATTCACTTCCTAAAGGTGCTTCACTAGGTATTTTTAAACTTGTTATTTTGAAAATTCGCAAACATGCACCAAAGTAAGAAGACTGTTATTACTAAAAGGGGTCCCCGTGAAGTTATCACCATGTTTGTTACACTTGATTTAGGTCCCATTCCCTTCTTTGACGCTGTTTTTATGACTGGGATATTTTAAAGAAAATCCTTATATCATGTTATTTTACACCTAAATACAATAGTATCTTATGTTAATTGCAATGCAATTATCACACCTATGTGTGTTCAAAATGTCTATTTTCATATCCTTAAGTCATTGCTAGTGATTAACATTTTCTTATTTGATTTTTATATTTACTTTATTCCTTCCTCCTTTATAGTCACCTTCTCAATTAGCAAAAGAAATCCTACACCTTGATTAGATTATTTTTACCATATTCCTTGGGCCCTTCCCATGCCTTTCTCTGGCGTGATGTGTATTCAGAATCTTAATACCATTTCCAAATTCTGCATTGCAATTGCCATGACACAAGAAAATTAAATTTAAATTTTGCTCAGCTAGGCACAGTGGCTCACACCTGTAATCCCAGCACTTTAGAAGGCCAAGGCGGGCGGATCATGAAGTCAAGAGATTGAGACCATCCTGGCCAACATGGTATGACCCCGTCTCTACTAAAAATACAAAAATTAGCTGGGCGTGGTGGTGCGCACCTCTAGTCCTAGCTACTCAGGAGGCTGAGGCAGGAGAACCACTTGAACCCGGGAGGTGGAGGCTACAGTGAGCTGAGATCGTGCCACTGCACTCCAGCCTGACAACAGAGCAAGTCTCCATCTCAAAAAAAAACAAACGAACAAAAAAAATTGCTCAAATTTCAAAGTTTATGGAGTGTAAAAACACTGTAATTTATTTTTTTAAATGAAACAAATCCATAACCTAGCTGTGACTGCATTGAGTAATCTGCTAGGTAATTTCTAGGATGTTTCTCCTGGGATCCTTTGCAAATATAGAAAGACGATTTTGGCTAAATGAAGCCAGTAAACAAACACATAAAATTAAAAAGTAAATGACTGGAAGATAAGGTTTAAATCCTAGCCTGAAAGAGGACAGGAATCCAACACACTGGTTGAAGAGAGTTCTATGGAAAAGAAACTCGTGGGCAGTCTCTTGAGAACACTGCCATCAGGATATACGGGCTCCAAGCATTCTCCAACATTGACTGTATCACCCTTCTCTGCTCATGGCTAGTCAATGGCATGTGCTACCCTTGAAGGGATAGCAGGACCCCTTCAAACTTGGTGCAGTCTTACCAAGACCACACACAGTGAGGCAGAGGTGGTTTCCCAAAGGAAGATCAACTGAGGACACCAAAAAAGAGAAAATGAGTGTATGGTAGGCAAATTCCACAGAAGGGCAGAATGAGAATGTAGAAACTCTTCTTGCTCTCATCCGTGACTCTCTGTTCTTTAGCTCTTACTGATGGGTCACTGAGAAAACCAGTCTTTCTCAACAGCTCTGGCTTTGTTCATGTATATATATCTGTATGTATATTAAATACTATTAGAAACTACTAGTTTACTAGAACCCCTTTCTTCATGTCCCCTTTGTTAGAATACCACGATTTTCTAGTTCTCTAACTTCTTCTCCTTATCCTTTGCAAGCAATTTTTCTTCTACCTGTATACAGTCATTCCTCCCTCGGTATCCAAGGGTGATTGGTTCCAGGACCCCCAAGGATACTAAGATTCATGGATGCTCAAGTTTCTGTTATAAAATGGTATAGTATTTGCAATATAACCTACATACACCCTCCTTTATACTTCAAATCATCTCTAGATTACTTACAATACAAATACTATATAAGGCCGGGTGCGGTGGCTCATTCCTGTAATCCCAGCACTTTGGGAGGTCGAGAAGGGCAGATCGCTTGAGCTCAGGAGTTCAAGACCAGCCTGGGCAACAGCATGGTGAACCCTGTCTCTAAAAAAAAAAAAAAAAATGTACTTTTTTGTTTTATTGCTATTTTTGTTTTCAGAATAATTTTGATCTGGGGTTGGTTGAACCTGTGGCCACAGAACCTACAAAGTGCTAACTGCGTTCTCATATTCTGAACCCAGAAGTGCCTGAGAGAGGCCTCGACCAATTTAGAAAGTTTATTTTGCCAAGGTTAAGCTGTGATACAGCCTCAGGAAGTCCTGATTACACGTGCCCAAGGTGGTGGGGGTACAGCTTGGTTTTATACATTTTAGGGAGACATGAGACATCAATATACATGAGTAAGATGTACATTGGTTCGGTCTGGAAAGGAAGGACAACTCAAAGGTGGGGTTGGGAGGCTTCTGGTTCGTAGGTAGAAAGGAGACAAAAGGTTGCGTTGCATTCTTTTAAGTCTTTGATCAGCCTTTCACCGAATACACAATTTACATGTTGGGGGTGGGTAGAGGAATAGTCACTTTTACCTTAGCCTGGCTCAGTGAATCTGCATTTTTACATAAAACAATAGGACAGAAGAAGCAATCAGATATGCATCTGTCTCAAGTGAGCAGAGGGATGACTGAGTTCTGTCCTTTCTCCTGCACCAGTGGAGATAAGCTATCAATTTATGTTGCCAAGGTGAAATTCAACAGAACTGTTTTTGGATCACCTGAGCTTGGGAAGTCAAGGCTGCAGTGAGCCATGATTGGGCCACTGCACACCAGCATGGGTGACAGAGTAAGACCCTGTCTCCAAAATAAAAAATAAAAATAAATACAAAATCTTGAGGCCCACAAGGAAATTCCTTGTGGGCAAATCGTGAGGGAGGTATGTAGCATTTTTATTTTTGCAGCTATCTTATTCAGGAATAAAATGGGAGACAGGTTTTCCTGACACAGTTCATAGCTTGACTTTTCCTTTTGATTTAGTGATTTTGGAGGTCCTGAGATTTATTTTCCTTTCACACCTTCTTCAGGGTTTGGTTGTTACCCTCTTTCTTTCACATACACATTCTCTTTAATTGACCTCCACTGGTTATCTTATCCGGGGAAATCTACCTTCTTTTTTTTTTCTTACTAGGTTCTTATCATCAGAGTCTTTGTTCAGGGTCTCATCATTTCTCTCCTGCACAATTGCAACAGCCTCCTAATGTGTTTCCTTCCTGAAAATCAGGCCTTTGCCTTATTACTTCTACAGAGAAATCTTTCCAGGATATAAATCTGTTCAGATCACTGCTCTAGCTAAGCCATTCCAAAGTCTCTGTAGTACCCACAGGACAAAATTTCAAATATTTAACATGGCAAATGCTGGTGTCAATAGCCTATCTGACCTCTGTCTCTATCTCTCTCCCGCAGCACATATATACCTTCAGGCCCAGGCGTAACAAAAATACTTAAATGTCCCTAATATGCCTTCCTGTTTTATAATTATGAGCCCTTGGCTATGTAGCTCCACATGTTGACCCTCTCTTGTCTACCAGGTGACACTAAGTCACTCCTCCAGCAACACCAGAGCCACCTCCTTTGCAAAGGCTTCCATGATTTCACCTGACCATACATTGCCTTGGTGCTCTTGTAGTAACCAGTCAATACATTTATTATAGCACTTCTTATATTGCTATTGCTCTCTGCTGATATGCCCATTTTTCTCACTGGAGTAGAAGCTGCTCACATAAAAGGACTGTAGTATCTTTGCTTTAGTATTCCTGGCAACTAGTACAGAACTTGGGATATTATGGGCCTTGTTGCTTAAATTAGTGAGTACATGAATGGAGAGAAACTATTCTACAAGTGTAAAAATCTATTAAGCCCGAGAACACAAAAACAGAGAGCTAGTAGGGACTTTTCTGTTTGCAAATCACATAAATGCAACTTAAATTAGCTTAGGATAAAAGAGGAGGATTTATTGGAAAGACACTGGAATATCTCAGGTAATTGAAAAAAGACTCCGTCAACAGAACAATGAGAAAAAAGTCTGGAAGCAGTTCGCCCCGTGGAATACCTAAAACAAGGGTTAATTTGCCACCAGTGTGTGTTTCTGTGTGTCTCCTCTGGCCCTCTCTTCTGCATGACCCTGTTCTTTCTCACTGTAAACTTTTTTCCAGTTCAGTAATTCTCATCACTAGCTGCACATTAGAATCACCTGGGGGAGTTTTAAAGAAATATTGACACCTGGGTCCCATCCCAGACCAAGCGGATTAGAATTTCTGGGGGTTGGTGCCAAGGCATTTTTTGAAAAGTTCCCAAGGTAATTCTACTGTGCAGCTGGGGTAGAGATCTACTGTTCCATGGGGTTGGAAACAAAGTAGCCAGAAGCTCCGGTTTCAGGTCCCACCCTCATAGCTTCCGCCTGAACAAAAATGGATTCACTGTCAGTTCTCATTCAAAAATTCCCAGGGAAGGAATTTTTTTGGCTTAGGTTGGGTCTGGTGCCTGTCCCTGGATCCACTGATAATGGTCATGTGTTGGGGGGTCAATTAAATATGGCAGCTCATACTGGCTGGTCAGCTGGATGGTGTACATTTGAAACAGAAATCATTCCAAAGAATGGAGATGATGTTTCTAGAAGGAGGGCGCTGAACCTATAAAACAATGTCTAATGCATGCATAATCAAATTATATTTACAACAAAATTTAAAGTTCATTGGGCAACAAACGTTTGCTTGTGGGATAAATGAATAACACATAACAAATGGCAGAGTTTGTTAATATCGTCTACCTTAGGATTTAGATATAAATAATAACTGTTTCACAGAAATAATATAGTTCATATTACTACTACATAACCCTAGTAAGTTTTTTTTTTCCTCTCAGTTCTCTAGTATCTGTAAACAATGTCAATGTTGTTAAGTTCTGTTTGTTTGCTTGTTCGGTTAATGCTGGTTCAGCTTACTCCTTTGTATACACAGAAACAAACATGGGCCTAATTTCACCGTATGACCCAAAATGTAAAGTCCCAGACCAAGGAAAAAAAAAAAAAGGACGGAGGATGAGAATGAACTCTGAAGACTGGCATTTGAGCATCTAAGTAATAGTTGGAGTTAACACGAAGGGGAAGACATTTTCACTTGTGTTTAGCCTGTAAAACAAAAAACAAGGACAAGCTAGAGGGAAGGAATTTGCCAGCAGGCAGATCTATACTTGGGCAGAGAAGGTGCCACATTCCAGGGCTGATATTAGAAAAAGCCCAGAGGTGTCTAGACACTCATGTCTGCCCCTAAAAAACTCCCTGGGGAGTGGGGAACTGAGAAGGGTCTGGAAGACAGACAACAGTATATACTATCTGCTCAACATCTTCAATATTTCATTTTATATTTAAAATTTTAAATATCAGAAACAAATGCAGAGATTAAGGAATAAAGAAAAAATATAAGAACATCTAAAAAGAAATAAAAGAAGATAATTTATTTAAAAAATAAAAATAATTTTCAATAATACTCTGGGAGCTGTGAATGGTAGTTGCCTCTAAGAAAAAAAATTGGAGGAAGCTTTCACTTTTTGCTTTGTCTCTGTATTTTTACTGTTTTATAATCACTGGGGTATTACATCTTTTAAACAAATAAAATATAAATAAAAGTTTTTAAAATAAAAAATACATTATAGCAGGAATGGCAGAGTATAAAATTTTTACACATCTTAAAAGTGAGAGAAATTACCTTGGTTTTAAAAAAAATACCTGATACAGTTGTTATCTTGATGAAATAGAACACATTGATTCTATACTGGTAGGAAAAAGAAAACCCTCTGGGAGAGGGACCTGATACGATTTTGATTTTCTGTGGGAGGAGACTCCAGGAGACAGGAGGAAAGGGCACGTGAATCAGGAGAGGAAGGCATTAAAGGGAGAAGTCTGGGGGTGGAATTCCAGCTTGTACATCTTTGTTTTTCCTAAAGCCAGTGGAGTGGCCCTTGTTACCTCCAACCTAGCTCAGAAAAAATAAAAGCTGTTTAGGTATTTCATGCAGTTTACAAGGAACACTGGATTTCAGTCCCTTGTGTTGAGTTCCCTGGGGATAAAAACAGAACTTTCTCAGTGAAAGACTGGCACGTTAGAAATTCATTCCTGCCTCCTTGCTTACGGCTCTCTCCTGGACATGGGCATAGGGTAAGATAGACTGTTATTATTTCTCCTGTAATGCAGGAGATCCACTGTGGGAATTTAAATTCTACTGCGTATTTTAAAAATGATTATTAAAAGGCATTCAGGTACAGCAGGCCTTGTGCTTCTTTTATAAAGGTTTAAGCAAATAAGCAAACAAACGACCGGGCTGTTGTTATTTAACCTGTGTCCCCAAGGCCCAATACTTCCTTTGAGTACATACATATGAGCTCCTTGGCTTCAAGGGAATCATGACTCACAACCGAGGGCAGAATTTGGCCCTTTGAATTCCTGCGATGGGGCTTTCAGAAAAAAAAGAAAAAACACAAATAAGGGGGGTTGGGGGACGGGGGATCTTGAATTTTATTCAAGCCTAAGCTACTGAGGTCTGTAAGTCCTTGTGTCTGCTTAGTCATCTAGCCCAAGAAGGTGCTTCTGGCCCACCTCCACCCAAGTGGAAACCATATTGATGAAAGTTCCGTATCTGATGCAGATGATTTAGCAAACACCTTCCCACAGATATTTTTAAGATACTTGTCTCCTTCTTTATGAGTAAAGTTTTCTTTCCAGCTGCTCTCCTTTTTGTCAGAGTGCCAGTGCGACTTCCAGTATTGTTCTGCTTAGGTTGCTGGGAGGCAAATGAGAGGCAGGGGAAATACAGTCCTGGGAGAGGAAGAAGGGGTCAGGGGGCAAGTAAAGCCTGGAGAGGGAGGAGATGGACTTAGAAAACCTGGAGGAAAACAGTGGAAAGAGAGATAAAGTAAGAACATTAAGGAGAAGGGCTTGCAGAGATAAGGAGTTCAAGGCAGAAACTCGAATGCAGAAAAACAAGAATGAAAGAATATATAGATGACTAAACACAAAAAAGGAAAATTGTTTCATTGCATTTTAGAAAAAAAGGTATTACAAGATCTGTTTCCCCCCAATTTTCTCTTGAGCAATTTTTATTGACTCTTGTTTGGCAGTGTTACAACTTGTTAACAAATATGGTCATCAGCTTCATGTTTTTTCTGGATCCAAATGTTTTATTTTCCATGTTTGTTCTAATAATATAATAAAGAAGGGTTGAGTAGAAGGAGAAATGTTATAAAAATTAATTCTCATTTGCTTTAAAGTACTTTATACCAGTTATAACTAAATCTACCATTTCATAATAATCTTTAAAGAGTATTAAGGTACAGTTACTACATTTTCAAAATCTGGGCTTTCAGATTTAAAATAGGCACTCTTCTTCAAGACAACCCCATCAAAATACAGTTTATTCATTTATTCTTTCATTTAACTAATATTTGTTCTTTGTTCTAAATATTAAAAATACAAAGTAGAAAAAGACAGCAAGAAGTTTACAATTTAGGGAGAGGAGAAAAATCAATCCATGTTGGAGCAGATGATACTTGAGGTAGATGTATAAGAATGATAAAAGTTGGTATTACAAAGAAGGTGTAAAGGTAGGAAAAGTAGGGGAAGGTGAGACAGGTATTTCAAGAAGAAGAAATTAAGTGTGTAAACACAGGGAAGATGAGATGGAAGAGAGGGTGGGAGAATGAAGCTGAGAGATAAACGGGACAAAAACTAAGAAACGCTTATTGAGCTAAGTCAAGGTACCTATCACTAATACTATTGAATAGTATAGAAACCTTAACACCATCATCTTCTTCATTGTGACTACTACTATTATGATGAGAGAGATGTAAGCATGTTTATATGGAAAGAGTAAGTAGAATTGGAGGGACTAGAGATTCAAGGAATGGAGAGAATGACGGTTGGAACAAAATTCCTCATAATAAAGAGGGAAATACGTATTTTGCTAACATCCTGTATGAGTCGTGGGGGCCCAATTCATGTTGCATTCCTCATGAATTTAGCCACCCAGAGTACAACTCTAGGAGGCACCATTTATATAGACCACAACATGAAAGGGACCTCCGGAGTAGTGCATGGCTGGCAATCCTGAAAATGCAAAGCATGCGTGGAGGAATTGCCCATTTCATTCATGTCCTCTTCTCTGAGTGACAATGTGAACTGCCTCTAATCCACTGAGGCTCTTTACACTGAAATCAAGGTTAACTATAAGTATCCACACTCCTATTTGAACAACTACAATCAAGAGAGAAATATAGCTAAGTATTCCATTTTGCCAACCTGATTCTCTTCTAATTGTCATTCAACACGTATTTATTGAGCACTTCTTATGCCTCACTAAATGCTAGGCTAGGCTTTGAGAAATGCAAAAAGATGCTAAGCAATCAGTAGCTTCCAGTGGATTATAATCTGGTTTGAGAGACAAGACATATCTACTCACACAAAGCTGTTAGGAGATGCTGCAAAATAATACGTGAGAGAAACACATTTTAAAAATTAACAGCGTTTCATATAATTTAGAGAAAAAGAAATTTAAGGTCATCTTGTTTACTAGTTTTCAAACTGTGCTTTCTGGAACCCTGGGAACTGTGACAATGCTTCAGGAGTTCTATAAAGATCAGTGTATTCTCTGCCAAACAATGACGATTTAAATTGATCCAGGAGACTTACCAAGACAATGTGTGTAATAACAAAAACTTAGAAACAACCTAAATGTCTCTCAACAGGGGCCTGTCTAAATGAATTATGGGGCCTTCATACAATGGAATATTAAATAGCTGTTTTTTAAAGGAAAAATGAATCTGTGTGTGTTGTTAGAGAAATACCTTTAAGATCTATAATTAAGGGGAAAATGTAAGCTGCAAAAAATGTGCATAGCATAATCTCATTTATGTAAAAAAAGTGGATGTGTGTGTATTACATGGGCATGTGTGTTTGTATATGGCTTATATACACATTAATTATTATTTCTGGAAGGATACAATTTCTGGAAAGTGTTTTTTCTCTTGGTAGTGGGACTAGGAGTGGTATAGGGAAGAAATGGGAAATTACTGATCTAGTCCAACCTCTCATTTTATTGACAGATAACTGAGATTCAGGAATAATATGACTGACTTACCCTAAGCCATGTAGCTAGCATTAGCCAAAAACCTGAAACACAAATCCAGTCTGTTTTTTTTTTTTTTTTTTTTTTGAGACAGAGTCTTGCTCTGTTACCCAGGTTGGAGTGCAGTGGCACGATCTCAGCTCACTACAACCTCCGCCTCCCAGGTTCAAGCGATTCTCCTGCCTCAGCCTCCCTAGTAGCTGGGATTACAGGCGCAGGCCACCATGCCCAGCTAATTTTTGTATTTTTAGTAGAAGCGGGGTTTCACCATGTTGGCCAGCCTGGCAGTTTCTTAATCTCTTGTTTGTTTCTCTTCATACCTCAGGGAAAAATCACAATGGATAGAACTCTTTGCAGAAGCAGTCGATCTTTCTTGCTTCTGTCTTCCACAATGCCTGCCATCCATTTTCCTTACCATAGATCATCTCTCACTCTCTTTCTCCCTATCCTGTCACAGCTATCATTTCTCTTTACCTAATATGTAAACATGTTTCACTCATCAGTCAATGGTTTTCAAAACTTCTATTAATGGTCGTACTGAATAGGATTAATTACTCCTTGAAGGACAGAGTCTATCCCCATCTAGGGCAGTAGGACAGCTCCTGGGAGACACACTCAGTGAACAGTGGTTCAGTTGAAATGCTTGTTGACTTCGTAGGTTTTCTGGGGGGCAGTTGTCCCCACACTTGTAAATAGGAATAATTACTTGAGTCTCTCATCTTAGTCTGGTTTGCTGTGAGAATAGAATGTCATAATGGATGTAAGGGCACTAAATAGTTCTTAACCACTTTAAGGGAGGAGTATATTTCAGAGAAGTCAAAATCTAGGCTCTGTCGCTTACTGGTGTGTGACCTTGTTCAAACTGTGTGCTTCAGCCTCTGTAATTATGTTTCTTTATCTGCTCAATGAGAAGAAGAATAACACCTAACTCCTGGGGTTATTATCAGGTATAAATAAGATATGAATGTAAAATGCTTATAGCTCAGTGTTTGGCATACAAAACATTCATAGTTGTTACTGTTTTTCTTGCTATATTTTCAAATAAAATATTTGTGTGTGTTCAGGTCTATTGGTGGTAAGTCACTCTAGCACTCTCTTATTTTAGCCAAATTAATATAATTTCAGATTCTCCTTGGAACTTTGAGCAAACCAAGAAATCCATTTTATATCAAGAAAACAAGCTGTCACTTCTGTACATTTGTACACTTTTTTTTTTTGAGGCGAAGTCTCGTTCTTGTCTCCCAGGCTGGAGTGCAATAGCGCAATCTTGGCTCACTGCAACCTCTGCCTCCTGGATTCAAGTGATTCTCCTGCCTCAGCCTCCCCGAGTAGCTGGGATTACAGATGCCTGCCACCACGCCCAGGTAATTTTTGTATTTTTATTAGAGATGGGGTTTCACCATGTTGGTCAGGCTGGTCTCGAATTCCTGGCCTCAGGTGATCCAGCCACCTCGGTGTCCCAAATTGCTGGGATTACAGGCCTGAGCCACCGTGCCCGGCCCCACTTTTTTTTTTTTTAATTGAGCAACTACCATGTCCAAGGCTCTGGGCTAAGTATTGGGGCACAGGGATGAAAATGACACAGTCCCTGTGCTCAAGGTGCTTAGAGTCCAATGGGCTGTCCTGTCATTCTCAATCTCAAGAGACAGTTCTTGGCACATGAGAAACTAATCACATTCATTGTATTTATGGGGTAAAGTGTAGGCAGTGGCAGAATAACTGATTTGCAGGCTTGGAGAGGTAGAGCAAATCACAGCTCAGGTGTTCTCAAACTTTTTGGTCTCAGGATCCTTTTACATTCTTAAAAGGTATTGAGGATCCTAACAAGCTTTTAAAAATATACATTATAGCTATTGTTAATTGTATTTGAAATTAAAGCAGAGAAATTTGGAAAACATTTGTTTAAAATTAAGAATAAACATGCTAACATAAAAAATATTTTTTGGAAAAATAATTATATGGTTATGGTATAGAATAGATGATTGCTTCCTGAGTTTTAACTTACCTTTGGAGAAGGAGAAAGTGAAAATGAGCTATTCCATGATGGTGAGTATGTTCTTACAATAGTGGTTTTAGAATGCTCATCTATGACGCATGGTTCAGTCAGACATATGCCCATGTGTGGCTTGGGATCTTGAGGCCATCAACTTTACCCCAATCTCCCTCTGCCCTTGAGAACTGCCTGTCCAAGGATGTTCCTCGGTGATAAAGGTTGTATGTTGTGCAACCAGGAAAGGACTGCTTGCAAACTCTGACGTTTGGGTTCTCCAGCCAAAGACCTTGGACAGGCATCATTAGGAGCAATAAATAAATGCAGCATCAGGACAGAGAGAGTGTGGATTTGCACCATCAGGAACAAAAGAGGAATTAACTTCCTGAAACTCCACTTTGTTTGTTTGTTTTTCAGATGAGGTCTCACTCTGTTGCTCAGGCTGGAGTGTGGTGGCACAATCATGGATCACTGCAGCCTCGACCTCCCCAGGCTCAGGTGATCCTCCCACCTCAGCCTCCTGAGTAGCTGGGACTATAGGCACATGCCACCATGCTCAGCTAATTGTTGTATTTTTATTTTTATTTTTTATAGAGACGGGGTCTGTGTCACCCAGGCTGGTCTAGAACTCCTGCCCTCATGCCAAATCTCCTTTCTGAAATATATTTTCTTCTATATTTCCCAATGTCTATGTAGAGTATCATTGTTTTTCCAGCCATCAAGGATAGAAAATGTGGTCATCTTTGATTTTTTTGGTTCTCCTCTATCTACCAATTCTGCTTTAACAAAAAGCCTGAACTCAGCAAGGTAGAAACAAGTAATGATTTTGCAGCTCCCCATCACTGTTTTCAATCATGTGCTGTTGAATTTCCTCTCTCTGTTCCTTAATACATCTTCAGCAGATCACAGAGCTTGTAGTTACTTTCTGTAGTCCAGATTAAGACTCATGTTCGTTTATTTAAAAGTCTAGTCCAGGTAAAATCAAATCTTTTCTTTGGTTTCCAGTTCAAAGCGTGTGACCTTATTCCATTGTGCAGGTTTCCTCCAGATCTGCAGTGACCTGAATTGGAGGCCCATCCCAGGTCAGGGGTCCCCCACTGTGGCTTACGAGTGGAGTCTTAGGATTTCACTGACCCATAGATTGTGGTGTGTCTCCTCTTCATCCTTTCCCATGTGGAAGTGTTTAGTGAGGTTATCTTGCTCCTATTCTGTCATTGCACATTGGTTGTGAAGGGGGTTAATAGCTTGTTATTTAATTTACAGTTATTTGGATCAAAATGAACCACTATCCAGACCTAATCCAGAGACTATCACAAGATCCTGAACTATAAGCTTAGTCCCATGAGTAAATAGGAATTTGGGATTATCTCTTTTGAGGAAAGAGTGAATAAATTGTGCAAAAGTAGGGAGTAGTATTATGTGACCAAGAGGGCAGATGGTGACAGATTGCATTCTTGTTCAGAATGTTTGTTACTCCTCCCTAAGGGGAACTAAACGCCCTCCCCCATGGACATCAGGCTTGCCCATGTGACTAACTTTGGCTAACAAAATGAGGGCAAAAGTGATAACTTTCCACTTCCCAGCAGAAGCTTTAAGGGGCTTTCCCTTTTGTCATGCCATAGCAGTGTCCAAGATGGAGTAGTTCCTTCACCCTGGACTCCAGAGTGAAGAGAACTCCAGACAGCCCCAGCAGACCTGCAGCCAACATGCAATGTGAACAAGGAATGACCTTTGTTTTCATAAATCACTAAGACTTGAGGGCTTTTTGTTACCACAGAATAACCTAGCCTAAGATTGCTATTAATTCTTAAATCGTTTTGCATGCCTCGTGTTTTCCTCTCCTCCTCAACCTTTGCTTATGCAAGACTGCATGGTTAAAGCTAGCTGGGCTTTGCTTCTAATCCTGACTCTACCATTTTTTACGTGTGTTACTTTGGGTAAGTCACTTGATCTCTCATCAGTTCATCTTAAAAATAAAGCAAATGGTACTAGGATATGAATGCCTAGCATAATATAAGCACTTGATAAAAGTTTTCTACTAAATTTTGTTCCTCACAGGAGATGTTGGTATGAAGGACTAGTTATTTACTTGAATTTTTGTTCTTGTTGTTCAGTAATTTCCCAGTAATACTTCTAGCTCCTATTTCTTCCTTCAAAGATTTAAGAAATCTGAAAAAGATCCTTACATACGTTCTACTCTCCTCTAATAGGAGACTTAACTTACGTTATTTTCTTTGTCTACCTCTGAAATCTCTATGTACTATATTTACAATTTCATAATTTACTAATGTTACGGACTTCTGTATTCATGCCTCATCCTCATCTTCATACGCCTTACTATTTTTTTTTTGAGATGGAGTTTTGCTCTTGTTACCTAGGCTGCAGTGCAACGGCGTGATCTCCGCTCACTGCAAGCTCCGCCTCCCGGGTTCAAGTGATTCTCCTGCCTCAGCCTCCTGAGTAGCTGAGACTACAGGCACGTGCCACCACGCCCAGCTGATTTTTTTGTGTTTTTAGTGGAGATGGGGTTTCACCATGTTAGCCAGGCTGGTCTCGAACTTCTGACCTCAGGTGATCCGCCTGCCTCGGCCTCCCAAAGTGCTGGGATTACAGGCGTGAGCGCCTGCCCCCAGCCACCATACTCTTAACTTTTGTGAGGACAGGGACTATATCTTATTCATCTTTATAACTCTTTAGGACTTAGCTCACAATTATGTATGACAGTTAATAGATGAAATATTTACCCTTTTCTAGATAACAAAATGATGAAATTATTTTTCAAGCTATCCTAATGAAGGGAATTTTACATGAATATGTGCCCCCCTGGTCTATCATAATCAGAGGTTTACGCCTTAATCTTCCAAAGACAGACCTGCTTAGAAGATGCCTGACCAGTCCCCTTTGACAAATTGGAATGGTCTGAAATGAGGCATGCAGAGCTAAAGATCTCATTTAAAATATTTTCCCAGGGTTAGAAAATATCATTTGGAAACTTGAAAGCCAAAGGCTCTGTTTTTAAAAAATAAATTAAAAATTTGGAATTGTATGTTGTCTTTGTTTTTAGCAAGACTCAAGTTCCTAGCTGACTTCTGTTTGTTTGTTTTCTCTGGGAACCAAGTAGCCGCACTACACCCAAGCATGTATCATTTCACGACAATGACTCAGAAAGCAGTGCAGATGTCATGGCTTACCTAGTCCCTAAAAAATGCCTACCATGCAGGAAATGAAATAAGGTTCTTGGACTCAGCAGAAATGGGGTGAGGATAAAGAGGCTGCTTTGAATTTGTGGGCTTTCCCGGACTGCTTTGGAAACATCTCATGCAAATCCAAACAGTATCTGGGTCACAGATAGTTTTTGACCAGTAATTTCTGAATATACTTCTGGTCTTCTAGTATACTTAGAGGTAGTAGGTCTATTTGGAAAAATAAAACAATTTGAATAATTTAGATAGTTTGATACACTTCTACCAGTGAGGATCTTTTTCTTTTTCGTAACAGTCTGCCATTCCTGGAACCATTTCCAAGGCCTAAAATTTTATTATACCGAGCAACAGATAGAATCCAGTCATCTAGTGCTTCTACCAACAACTTAAATATGCATGATCCGTTGTTTCTGAGTATGGCTTTTTTGTGGCTCTCTCTCTATATATAAATTTAGTCCAGCTTTTTAACCAAGAGACAGCTTGCTAGAAACATGAATTGTATCATTGTATTTGACTAAACATTTAGTCTGTAACTCTTATGACTTTAGAAGCCTGTCAGATGCTATTTGGAAACTTTCTCTTTAGTCTTGGTTATAATAAACCAAAAGTACCTAGAATTCTATGGGACATAGACTGTCAGGAAATGTTGAGTGTATCATTTTTGGGGAAAAGCAGACACTTTTACAAGAAGACTTCAATATGCAAATAAGAAAAGATTTAAGAATATGCAAATAGAAAAACATTTAAGAATGAGGAAGGATTTAAGAAGAATAGAACCATCAAGATGTAAAGCAAATCATTTCATACTTACTTTGAGATCCAGGCTTGTATACTATTCTAAAATGGGGGCTGTTACATTTCTGCCATGACAGAGAAGTTTTTGGGGGGAAATCCCAACGATGACCACAGCCTAAAAATGCACAGCTTAGAGGGGAGTTTCCAATGGACTTGGTCTTCAGCCAAGCCCCAGGTCATTCATTCAAAGTGCCCCTGCAGTATAACTAAATGCTTGTCCTGATCTAGCATCAGCATTTATGCATAGATAATAGGAGTTAGTACTAAGAATCCTCAGGGGGAGAGATGTACTGTGAAGATGTGAGCTGCGTTACATTCAAGGACATCAGCTAGCACAGTGTTGAAGACAATCAGCCCTGACTGAATCTGTGTGTCAGTGTTACGGCTTGCTCAGTTAGGACTCCAGTGAAAACCAGCAACAACAAATGACTACGACATTACTCAGCAAAAAATATAGTTTTGTCTCTTTTCCTAGTTTGTGATGAAGGCAAAGAACCCTCAGTAGGCATCTTTTGTTTAAGCAATAGACAAACAGAAAGAAAAAAAAAAGCATTTTAGACTATCCATCATGGCATTTGAATATTGAGTATTTTACTGACATTTCAGTTCCCACCATCACACTCTAAATAGTGTAAGAATGTTTTATTCGGCAACAAGAAGGAGACAGTGGAGCAAGAATAGAGTTTGGAGTCTCATAGACTTCAGCATAAATGCTGCCTCTGTCATGGGACAAGTTGTTTAAACTTACTGAGTTCCAGTTTCTTCTCTTTCAGTTATTGTCAGATTGAATGATATGGATTAGAGAACTAGACCATGCTTCTTGCAGGTACAGACCGTGACCCATTCTTCTTGGTATTCCTGGTGCTTGGCAAACAGTGTTTATTGATTGAATTAATGAATGAACAAATGATATACTGATGCATTAGCAAGTATGAGCCTGGCTCAATAAATGTAAGTGGTCAATAAATGTTCATTTCCTCTGGGTAAAGTAGCTGTGGGATTATCCTCAGAGTCAGTCTGGGGTGTTAACAGCTCCCTCCTTTTATACCAGGATTGAATTTTGGCCTACACCAGGACTTGAATTTTGATGAGGATAAGTGGGGATACATTGCCAACTGTAGGAATTACATTTATTGGTCCACTTCCAAAAAGAGTGAAATGGAGAAAACATGTAGGGAAGAACAAACCTGATCTTGACAAAATCTTTTTCATGGGCGAAATGTCACTTTGCTTGCATGAATTCTGCAGTTCAGCCATGGGGATACAATTGAATTCTTTTAGTAATTATTTATTCTTTTAGATGAATGCCTAATCTTTTTGGAGAATTTAGTCAAGGTAAACAGACCTCAAACATTCTTCTGAATTAGACTCTTATTTACCTCATTTTTCATATGAAAAGTCTGAACAGGTTGTTAAATTGAAGTCACATATGTGTCGTTCAATATTTTAGCAATTTATACATTGTGTAATTTTTTATTTTATTTTATTTATTTATTTTTTATTTTGAGATGGAGTCTCGCTCTGTTACCGGGGTTGGAATGCAGTAGGCGTGAACTTGGCTCACTGCAACCTCCGCCTCTCAGGTTCAAGCGATTCTCCTGCCTCAGCCTCCTGAGTTGCTGGGATTACAGGTGCCCGCCACCTCACCTGGCTAATTTTTGTACTTTTTAGTAGAGACAGGGTTTCACCATGTTGGCTAGGCTGGTCTCAAACTCCTGACCTCAAGTGATCCTCCTGCCTTGGCCTCCCAAAGGGCTGAAATTATAGGCATGAGCCACCACACTGGGTCGGCATTGTATAATTTAAATAAATACTTAAAGGAACATTTCCATATATATGATTATTGTGTTATAAATAATGAGCTTTATTATATTGTTGTTGTTGCACTGTAAAAGATACCATTATTATAACTGAAGCCATGTGGGGCTTTTTTTTTTTTTTTCTAGTCAGTAGAAACACTGACATAACACTTCCAATGCACATCAGAATTACTTTGAATGTTTGCTTATAAATTATTGAAAGAATAAGAGTGTAAACTGTAGCATATAAATGATATAAAAAGAAATGAATGCATGAATTATATTCCAGTTAAAGAAGGTTTCTTTTCAAATAATCAGCACAGGAAAGGATGAGCTAATGTCATTTTCCTGAAGTTACTTTCATCCTTGAAGACACACCTTGTGTTAGCAATCTGGGGGCTTGCTTTTTAGCAAGTCAAGACGTCACTGGAGTAATCATAAATCTTCACATATAATGGAAATTTTGAGTTAATTGGCAGCACAAATTCTCGGTGTGATAACTCAGGGTTGGCATTGATTAGTATGACTTTTTCAAGACCGACAAGCAAAGACCATAAGAATGAATTGTATATCCAAGATATAAACCCTTGTGCTCTGACTACAAAATTCAAATGTTACTGAATTCATGGAAAGTTTCTGAAGGAACCTAAATGGGAAGTGGAGGTAGATTGAAAAGGGGAGAAAGGGGACCACACCTTTTTTTTTGGAGACTGAGTCTTGCTCTGTCACCCAGGCTGGGGTGCAGTTGTGTGATCTTGGCTCACTGCAACCTCGGCCTCCTGGGTTCCAGCGATTCTCCTGCCTTGGCCTCCTCAGTAGCTGGGATTACAGGCGCACACTGCCACACCAGGCAAATTTTTTGTATTTTTAGTGGAGACGGGGTTTCACTGTGTTGGTCAGGATGGTCTCGAACTCCTGAGCTCAGGCCATCCACCTGGCTTGGCCTTCCAAAGTGCTGGGATTGCCGGCGTGAGCCACTGCACCTGGCCTACACTTTTTAATTTGACTACTAAACCTCAAATTCAGCAGGAAAATGTTAATTATTTTGAGGGAAATAGTGGCAAAGAACAAGGTTATAGCCCTTTCCAGTGGAGAGGCAAATGGGCAGCTACAAGGAATCAGCTTCTTTTCCTCATATAGAGAAAACTCTAAATGACCATTTCAGCTCCCCCTGTAGGATCAGCTGTAGACTCAAATGCAACCAAATTGCAGACCAGTTTCTCCTTCCACCTAGTCTCTCCTTCCTTCCTTCCTTCCTTCTTTCCTTCCTTCCTTCCTTCCTTCCTTCTTTCCTTCCCTCCCTCCCTCCCTTCCTCCCTCCCTCCTTCCTTCCTTCCTTCCTTCCTTCCTTCCTTCCTTCCTTCCTTCCTTCCTTCCATGCAGGTCTGTCTGCTGAGATCACATCCCAGTGAACATTTTGCACACCACTGTCAGACTCAGAGTCTATTCCCAGATAATCCAATTTAAGCTAGCTACAATTGATTATAACTATTATCACTTCTTGGAGACGTTTGATATTATGCCTATTACCCATCAGACCCCAAAGCATCCAAGTTATTCTGAACTGACAGAGGGTCCTGTGGAGTCAGCACTTCATTCTCTTGGCCCTGGCTCTGTCCATTCTCTACATCTTCCCCTTTCCCATAGCCCAGTCCTCAGGTTCTGTGGATTGAAAGCGGAGTCTGCTGTATTCAATACTCTAGTGAGACACAATTGCTTGTTAACACCAAATCCCACTGTAGTGCAATGGTTTGCAGCTTTAGTGTTCCCAGACACTTTGGATTCTAGAATATTTGGTGGCTCACTCAGAGAGATTCCTTTGCATCTATAAATATAACCTTTAATAACCTGTCAGTGTTACATCACTGGTTGCATAGAGTTGTTTGTTGTCTTTTCAGGATTCTTGAAAATATTTCCAAGGCAAGGTCCTTGAGTGTTTCAGAAAATATGTAACTTTCAGAGATTACAGGCTGCTCTCATGCTACTTTTGAAACTTTATCTGTTGCTTACCTAGTGCTCTGCACTGCAATATGTAACCTACCTAGCTCAATATTGCTTCTGGAATATATAGTAAAATCAGCAAAATCATTTATTGTAGCAAAAATAAAAAATGACCCATTGATCATTGAATTTGGTAGCACACAATCAAAAGACGTGATGGCTGGGTGTAGCGGCTTACGCCTGTAATCCCAGCACTTTGGGAGGCTGAGGTGGGCGGATCACAAGGACAGGAGTTTGAGACCAGCCTCACCAACATGGAGAAACCCCATCTCTACTAAAAACACAAAAATTAGCCAGGTGTGGTGGCACACACCCGTAATCCCAGCTACTCAGGAGGCTGAGGCAGAAGAATTGCTTGAACCCGAGAGGCGGAGGTTGCAGTGAGCCGAGATCTGGTCATTGCATTCCAGCCTGGGCAACAGAGTGAGACTACGTCTCAAAAAAAAAAAAAGGTGTTGTGATATACTTGTTGAAAACTACTTCTGAAACTCGGAACTTTATTAGTCATTGCAGTGTACAATATACTTCCAGCGCACTGTATGTATCTGTTTTTTTTTTTTTTTTTTTTTTTTGAGATGGAGTCTCGCTCTGTCGCCCAGGCGGGAGTGCAGTGGCGCAATCTCAGCTCACTGCAAGCTCCGACTCCCGGGTTCACGCCATTCTCCTGCCTCAGCCTCCCCAGCAGCTGGGACTACAGGTGCCCGCCACCACGCCCAGCTAATTTTTGTATTTTTAGTAGAGACGGGGTTCCACCATGTTAGCCAGGAGAGTCTCGATCTTCTGACCTCGTGATCTGCCTACCTCAGCCTCCAAAAGTGCTGGGATTAAAGGCGTGAGCCACTGCGCCCGGCCGCATCTGTATTTTGTAACTCCCCAGTCCATTCTACAGTGAGTTATTTGAACCTGAACCAACATTTAAAATCAGAGTCATGTTGTTCAGAGTGTGTAAACCAAAATGGGTAGACCTCTACAGAATGATATGTGAAGAGGGCTGACATTTGACTGCACGCAGTCTAAGTCCAGTACCCTGTACTATGGGACATTTATACTGTCACAACTGATGAATCAATTGGCCCCAGGTAGTACACGCCATTGTTTCTAAGTGTATGAGTAACACTGGAATCAGAATCACCTGGAATCCATGAAAAAATGCACATTCCCAGGTCCCACCCCAAACCTTTGAAATCAGGATTTGGAGGCATCATGCCCAGAAGGTATGCTTTTAGCAAGCTTCCCATGTAGTTTTTCTTTTTCTTTTCTTTTCTTTCTTTCTTTTTTTTTTTTTTTTTTTTTTTGAGACAAAGTCTCACTCTGTCACCCAGGCTGGAGTGCAGTGGCATGGTCTCAGCTCACTATAACCTCTGCCTCCTGGGTTCAAGCAATTCTTGTGCCTCGGCCTCCTGAGTAACTGGGATTACAGGCATGCACCACAACATCCAACTAATTTTTGTATTTTTAGTGGTGATGAGGTTTCACTACATTGGCCAAGCTGGTCTCGAACTCCTGGCCTCAAGTGATCCACCCACCTCAGCCTCACAAAGTGCTGGGATTACAGGCATGAGCCACTGCGGCCGGCCTTCCTTCCTTCCTTCCTTCCTTCCTTCCTTCCTTCCTTCCTTCCTTCCTTCTTCCTTTCCTTCCTCTCTCCCTCCCTCTCTCTTTCTCTCTTTCTTTCTTGACACGGGGTCTCACTCTGTTGCCCAGGTTGGAGCATGGTGGTGGCCTGAACATAACTACAACTCCACTACAGCCTTGACCTTCCCAGGCTCAGGTGATCCTCCCACCAAAGGATCCTGAGTGGCTGGGACTACAGACGTGCGCCACCACACCCAGCTAATTTTTTCATTTTTTGTAGAGGCAGGGTTTTGCCGTGTTACCCAGGCTGGCCTTGAACTCCTGGGTTCAGGCAGTCTACCTGCCTCAGCCTCCCAGTGTGCTGGGGTTACAGGTGTGAGCCACCGGTCCTGGCCTTTCCTTCTTTCTAAGAAAGAAAATTTTTAAGGAGAGGAATACCAAATGGCACACTAATCCTTCTGCCCTTTTGAACACAAGCTAATCCTCTGTACTATATTTACTTTTTAAAAACCTTTTATTATGGTTTTCAAAATGTCTTCTTTTCTCTACTTCTGAGCCCAGCATTTCTCTGAAAGCTCTATATTTTTTCACAATGACACTCTTGGAGGCAATAGTGAGGGTTCAGACAGGCTGCAGGCAGAAACTGATGGGGTTGGGGATTGGGGCCTTATCTACTAATATTGTCTTTCCTTATATATTGTTTCTATTTATCTAACTACTTCAGTGATGTGTAACCCCTCCTCCCCAGACTGGTCACTGTGTAGTGTCATGTTCAGGGAAACTCCAGTCTGGCCACAGGGTCCAGAAGAATAATGAACCTATTTACTATGAGTAAAGAGGTGAAACAGGGGTTTTGTAACATGTACCACACAGAAAGCTTCTGAACAATATTTAGGCTTCTCTGTTTCTCCCTAAAATTTCCCCTGCTGGAATCGTGTCTCTCCCATTTCTCCACCATATAGCTCCCTCACTGTTTTGCTATCTTAGGTCCACCTCTTTCTCACAATGCATCCTCATACATCATACTTCCCAGGTGGGCCTGCCCCTCCTGACACTCTGGAAAGAGACATCTGTTTTTTTACTCTGTCTTTTTTCTTATGAGACTCTGCATCTCTTCCTCTCCCTGAAATTCTGCTGAATAACATCCCATTCCTTACAGACAATTAGCTGACCTGTTGAATCCTCCACAGGGGACAATACCACAGGAATCCGAAAGGCAAAAATGATCATGTTCCGCTCCAGAACCAAGCACTTAGCTCTTCTTCTCTGGAGGCATGTGAGTCATAAACTGGAAGAAAAGAGAAAGAGGAGAGAGAAAGGGAGAGAGTTCCAATTTTACCAGCGCTCTTTGTGGAGACTGAGGATGCCCTTTTCTTTTTTTGCAAAAAAATCCCCACCAGGTTTTCCCATTTCCTTGTAAAACATCAGACACATAGTAGATAGGCACTTCATGTTGGTTATTAAATGTCATTCCACAAAGTAGACAAAAATGAAGTTTTCCAGCTAACACCAAATTGGTTTTATATCAATTTTTTGAAGTCTTGTGAATTTTCTTAAAACTTATCCTGAATCAAGTATAATTACAGATAAGCATTCAAATATGAAAACATGAGGAAGTCTAGGATTATCTGCCACCTTGTATTATTTTGCTATTGCTACTCTCTAGTTATGAGTTGACTGTACCAATAAAAATCTAAATTATATCTAAGATCAAAATCAAGATAGAGGAAGAAGAATAACATTAATATATGCTAAGGACAGTTGCTGTCTGCATGTATCACTTCATTTGTTTTTGCAATAATCCTATAAATGAGATGTTGCTAACCCATTTTATGAATGAGAAAACTAACAGAGGCTCAGAGTGATAAATAACTTGCTCAAGGCCATAAGAACAAAAAAAGTAAAACCAGGATTTGCACTCAGATTTGTCAGGCCCTCGAGTCTGTAATCTTTATTCACCACTACGACATGCTGTCTTTTTCTTTTTTTTTTTTTTTTTGAGATGGAGTCTTATTCCATCACCCAGGCTGGAGTGCAGTGGTGCAATCTCAGCTCACTACAATCTCTGCTTTCCGGGTTGAAGTGCTTCTTGTGCCTCAGTCATTTGAATAGCTGGTATTACAGGTGTGCACCACTACACCCAGTAATTTTTATATTTTTTTCATAGAGACAGGGTTTCGCCGTGTTGGCCAGGCTGGTCTCGAACTCCTGACCTCAGGTGATCCACCCAACTCGGCCTCCCACAGTGATAGGATTACAGGCGTGAGCCACCACGCCCGGCCAACATGCTGCCTTTTAATCCTGAATTTTATTCCACTTTGGGGAGTTGTCTTGGGCTTACTCTAGCTATTTTGTAAATGATGAAGAATCATTTCTGTCTAGTTAAGCTTTAAACACCAAAGAACAAAGTGCATCATATTTCTACATATGAAAAGTCATTTGGAGTGTTGTATAGAGGATTGTCGTTTTGAAGCACTCTCACACATAGTAATTGCTGACCCAGTACAAGAATCTAACACAATTTGCCAGAGTCTTATTTATTATTTTGTACTAAAGCCAGAGAACCTAGAAATCCAGTTCAGTATTGGCTTTCCAACTCCTGAGCTGAAAGAGAGCCAGGTAGAGCAAACTGCCTTTCTCACTGTCTTTTTTCCAGAGGCCCCAAGCTAAAGGCATCAATCACATTTGCCCCCATATTCCAACTTTAGTAGTTGAGTGTGACAGTGTGATTCAGCCGCTTTTGTTCAATGTCTCTTATTTTATTCTACTACCTCATTCTTTTTTTTTCCTTTTTGTTCCACTTTTAGCTCAAGTTTCTGGGCATATAAAAATAAAATGTAAAATGTGATAGGTGCATGTGTTAGTGATTTACAGAGGTGGATTCCAGCTTCCTTTTAAGGCCAGAACTATGGATATTGCTTTTGTTTTATTGTTCCTTATCTATCCAACTGTGCTGTAAGTTTCCTTTAGGACAGAATCCAGGTTTCATTCATTTTTGTAGCCTCCTTTCTCCCTGCGATGCTTATCCCGGTGTCTTGCACATTGGAGGCCTTCAATAAATGCTTATTGAAATACATATGTAAATACATATGGATGATAAAGGCAATGGAATTCTATATACGTCCAGCATCAAAGAAAGTAACCTCAATGTCTCAATGGTTTAAAAACTTTTGTTGTAGTCTAAATGAGTTTGAAATGTTTAATTCAAAACTGGCAAAGGCCTCTGTGTCATTTAGGATGCTTTTGGCTGCAAGTAACAGAATAACCAACTAAAAGTGGCTTCAAGAGTAAGGTTAAATGAGATGATATGACAGGAGGTCTGGGGGAAGATAGTTTCAAAGTTGGTGTGGTGCCCAAACAATATAATCAAGGACGTGGGCTCTTGGCATCCTTTGTTCTTTCTTCCTGAGTGTCTCATGGTTGCCAGATGGATGCTTCATATCTAAGTAATCTTGTCTTCCCAGAACTTATTTCAAAGGTAGGAAAAAAGAGGCTAGGGAGGGTTTTGTTACACATCTTTCTCCTTTTATCAGAGAGGAAATTTTTCCAAGAGGTCTTTCAGAATACTTTCCCTTTCCTTTTGATGGCTTGAAAGGGTTACCCCTATGTCACTGGCATCTGGCGAATGGAATTATCATGCACTGTGATTGGCTTAGACCACTCACAGTTCATCCACTTGGAGTAGAACAGAGTTCTACCTTTTGAAAAGTCTCCTTAAATTAGCTCCCTGCGGTCTCCTACTTGAACAACATCAGGATTCTGGCCATAGGAAGAAATGGGGAAGAGCTGTTGGGGAGGAAAACAGCAGCATCTGTTAACTCCTATGTGAAATAATTTGTTGCAAGCAGTTTCTACCAGAGATATGAGCTAGTTTGTGAGATACTTAGACCCCAAAACAGGGGTCAGAGCTCATGTTTATTTATTGCGTGCCTATTACCAACATATCTGACATTATTTAATCCATGCACCATCAATCTAGATGAGGATACTAAGGCCCAAGAAGGCAAAAAAATTGCTCAAATCTGCACATAAGTTTGAGGCAGGCTTGAGATTGAGATCTATGTCCTTGTGACTCTAAAACCTATGCTCTTTTCTCCATGTTTTAGGGAGAATTTCTTTTCAGTTTGGGATATTTTTACTCTTAAGAGAACTCCTAACCAATTCTTGAAGTTCTGTGACCCAGCAAAAAACATCCTAGTATACCACAACCTGCTCAGGCCTAGAGAAGCTTGACTCTAGAGCAGCAGTTCTTCACCACTGTGGAGAAGCATCTTGATGTGTTTCAATCAATTATGAACCAGAGCAAAAGGTATCCATTATCTATAAGAGTTAAATATTGGAGTTTGACAATACTATTTTTAGTTTATAAAGGAGGGGGTGGAAATCCTCACTTTGACTCACTTGCCTTCCAGTATAAAGCAAAGCCTTGGGTGCGAAAGAAATGCCAGCAATTTCATATGACCTGTAACCTAACTTACTAGGGTATGGTAAATGCCTTCTACATAGTTATCCTGTGCAACATGGGTGTCCTGACACACACACACACACAAATGTGGAGAATCATTAGATACCATAAATCTACTCCTGGCTTCACATTTTTGGAAAGAACATCTTCTCAGGTTGTAGCTGCTATTTCTGGAGGCTGGGATATTATATTTTTTAATGTTTCTTTCTTGAAAGGAGCAAAATAGTTCTACCGTAAGTATAATCATATGAATCTGTAATTGCCTCCTCAGTGTCTATCCCCACTTCTCCTCACAGTAACCTAATTTTTCCCAGAAAATATCTCACCCCTATTCCCAGCCATATGGTTAAAATGGGATGGATCCCACTCCAGGGAGTGAATCATGATTGGCCAGAGCTTATCATTCTTTTGCTTCCTTAAATTTAGACCTTTCACACGTTTAACTAAATGAGATCATAATATAGTCATTTTATATATGTGAGTGTTACAAACATTAGTTTATAAACAATTTTAAAATATTAAAATTTGTATAAATCCTGTTTTGGCATATTTTGTCCAAATTTTAATATAATGGAAGAGGCCTAGGCTTCTCTTGTCATCTGAGAGCTCTGATCTAGACCACTGATTCCAGACCAGTGACCTCTTCACTAGCTTGGTTCTTCACTAGCTGCAGTTCTCAACTGAGGCATCTGAGTCCCACAGAGAATAGATCACCTGCAAGCTCTGTTGGATCCTGTGGCCCCACTGTGCTGTATCTGCCCATTTATACACCTCTGCACCCACCCCTGTTAAAATTAAAGAAATTGAACTCTCTCTCTCTCTCTCTCTCCCTCTCTCTCTCTCTCTCCCTCTCTCTCTCTCTCTCTTTCTCTCCTTTCTCTGTTTTAACTTTAGGCCTTGGTCTAAAGGTCTGGCTCTAAGAGGGATCTGAAAGGAACACTCTTTAACCTTGACTTTAAACTCACTCTTTCATCAAAACACTGATTCTCTGACACCTCTAATAACTTTAGTATATCTTTACTGCCTCAAATTATATCTAAAAGAAAATCTGAAATAGTATTTATACCTTTATTTGGAAGGAGAAGGAAAATTGAAAAAAATTATTTTAAAAATAAGGATAGCTTTTTATTTTTTAAGGAAGTAACTAAGCTGGATGTTACATGTTAATCCAGTCTTAGAATGTAAGATAATTCTTTACATTCCTAAGCCCTCAGGATATTCCTGCCAGGTACATTCTTAAATTTGAGAACACAGAACTTTGAGATGGAGAGTAGCTCTTACTCATTGTGTCCTGGTGATGTTGGTTTCTTAAGAACAAAGCATACAAAGCCTGGTTTTCTCAAAACCTTCTGTACTGGGGACTTCCTTATCATATAAAGGTATCCTGATGGTACTTTTTCCTAGCTGAAGTTTTCAGATGAAAAGAATAGTACCCTGAAAGAGTAATTGGTCCATCTTTAGTCCATATTGAAGAAAAGGAAAAGAAAACAAAGGAGGAGAAGGGGGAAAGAGAAGAAGAGGAAGGAGAAGAAGCAGCTGAGGACAATGCATTGCTTTATCTTTGACTTTGGACTTTGCCAAAGGCATCTGGATATAGTTTCCTGGCTAATGCCACTTTCACTGGTGTCCATTATCTAAAATTGTTCAGTATCCACATCATGCGATTCAGCACTCTGGAACACTATGACACCTACGGAGCCTCAACAGATCTAAGCCAATACAGAGAAGATTACACTCCGGTAAAGGTTAAACTAAAACCAAATAAGGTAATATGAAAGAACATGCAAATATCCATTCTTTACATTGACCAATTATAGCACCTTTTAATAAAATGAATTAGATTAAAAAATAATGTTGATTTGGGAGGATGTGTTCATTCTGTAGTCTCATACAATGTTATAATGATCAACTCTACAGGATCATTACACTACGATAATATAAAATAGATATTTCTAATCGAAGCAGTTATTTTGTTAAACCACAGATGGCATAAATATCCTTATACATGATGCAATTGGAATTGGTAATAAATTTATTTTTCTCCCCATTTATGGCAGAAGACCTGTTAAGTGTGTGCCTGAGGGGCTAAAATTAAGAATGAGGGAAAACACTGCTTAATAAAGTTGGGATCAGGCATTTTAAAAGAATGCTTATGTTCAAAACAGCTAGAGAGCTGACCCGTTTATAGGAAATAGTTCTGCCAGAATTAGAAGTGGAAATAAGGAGACGATAATGAAATACAGTTTAACCAGTAAAGGGCAGTGAACATATGTATCACTCCACACCACACAAATATGCTGCCTGTTTAGATAAAGTTGTGGTTTCTTTTGTCAAGCTATTCTATTTCCTGTTAGAAAGGCTAACTTTGAAATACCACTTTCAGGAATGGGAGATAGAATAAAAACTTTATTAAATTGCTTAAATTATTTCCTCAAATTTCTTTCATGTTGTTTGCAATAATGAGATGAAATATCCTCATAAGTTTCCCATTTATACATAGCTTATGGGAAATAAGGATTCAGTCTTAACTGCTTGCTAATGGTCAAGCATTTACATCTGGATGTCACTAGAAGGTGTTTTTTTTAGGTGAAAGGTCAAAGTCCAAGTGGCAATGACCTATCAATCAGGCACTTGCCTCGTGTATGGTTACATTCCAGCCATATTTACCTATATTGGGCAGAGGGCGACTCAAGTGGTTTTCTTTCCTCTTCCCCCTATGATGCAAGGAGGCTGTACATTAGCAACATAGGTCATGCCTAATATTGCTATTTGCTCTGAGTTCTTAATTAACAATTGTGAGAAATAAGTAATTAATACTGATGAGTGTAGATATAATTTAATTTATCATAGTATGGATTTTTTATTTTATAGTTTAAATATAAAGTCAATTTTTGGTCCCCTTCAAAGGCGTTTATAGCTAAAAGTCAAGGAATCTCGTGAGCTCATCATTTTCTTAGCATGCCCCACTCCTCACGTTTCCACGCCTTTGAGCATTGCTCTCTGTTTTCAACCTGATAAATAAACTCCCATGATTCTTCTTCAAATAACCCCTTTTCTCTGAAAGCTGCCCTAGGTCCCCTAGGCAGAGATCTCATAGAGCAACTCAAGGCTGCTTCCTCTCTGCTCCTCCTGTAATAATCTGTTTGCATATGGACTTCCACATATTATTCCACATCTATTCCTGTTGTCTAGCACAATGACTGGCATTTACTGGTAATCAGTAATTATTTGTTTACAAATGACCTTTTTAAAAAGTTTGACTGGAGATGTATCCTGCCATTAGAGTATAAAAATATATCAAGACATACCACCTATTAGGTTATTAGAGGAATAAAAAGTAAGTAAACAGGAAGGTAAGAGTTAACATAATTCTAATCCATTTTGATTAACTGTAAACCTTAATATTCTTTCTATCTATCTGTTAATCAATCAAATCTTTTCATTTTTACAGTGGGAATGGTCTTTCAGGTTGCCATCTACATATATTTTTCAAGCCAATTTTCATGGAAACTTGTTTACATGAGCTATCATAGTGTTGTTTTCACAGAGGCTTCAGAAATATTTGGCTGAACAATACAGCTGAAAAAAAAAAAGATTTGAGGAACAAAAAGTACTAAAGAAAACCTTGTGTTCATCAGAATTAAAATTAGCTGAAGGAAAACAGTAATCATAAACTAAAAACCTTTTCCTGCTATTTGGATCTTCAGCTTTCATCTCTAGCAGCTTCCCCTCCTGAGCCTCCCGAGTTACGTAACAGGTCCCCATATGGGCCGATGAATCTGCCAGGCAAGGCTATCTCACGATTTAAAAGTCTCTCTTTAAAATATGCAAAAAGGCTAACGGAAGGTTCAATTTGTGAGCCCTGCCTCGGCTGCCTCCCATACGAAGCTTCACCCTGTGACTACTTCATTATCACTCTGGATTATCTGCTTAGAGTGGTACAGCAACCACATACCTAGAATCACGCAGAACAACCTCCTCATTTCTCATGCTCTGAGGCTCTTCCTTGGACTGATAATTGTCAAGCATTCCTTCCCCTTTGAGCAATCCTAGGCTAACGCCCACCAGGAAACAAAGGGTCTCTTTGAGGATGAAAATTGAGACTGTCCTGGCCCCCGAAAAATTACATGCTGGAAAATTTCTATGTACTGAAATGATTGTGTTCCTTTTAGAGAACTCTCTGTGGACCTAACTATAGGAGTAGGTTATCAAAGGGCAGCTTCCCTCAAACCCAAAAGGGAAGAAAGAAAGGACAACTGTGGGAGGAAGTCAGAGGAGAATCAATGAAATAAATGAACTCTCAATACTTTTGCCCCATAACAAGTGCCTGGGATGCTGGCTATTTGCAAACTATTTGCCATATATTGTCTCATTTGATTCTCACAACCATCTTGGGAAATAGTTATTGATATTGCTCCTATTTTAAAGATAAGTAAATTGAGGTTTAAGGATGTAACTTAGCCAAGGTCATACAGCTAGGGAGGGACAGAGCTGGGACTCCAACCAGGTCTTTTCACTAGAAAGCCTAGGCTCTTACTTCACAACTCTAAGAACTTCTTTTGTGTTAAACAAAGAAAGTGCTCTTAAACAGAATCTGCCCCGTATCATGGACTTTTTGGGAAGGAATCTAAGAATCCTTTACAACCTCTCATTTGATTGACAAGGAAACTATACCAGAATCCTCGGTTTAAATGTTCTGGTTTTGGTGTACTTGGCATTATGAGAAAAAAGCAAAATCACGAGAGTACCAGTCCATCTTACCAATTTTGCAAGAGTGGAGAAAAGCAGCTTCCAAGGAAAGCCTGTGTTCAGTGCACACTCAATCCTGTACAGTGAGAAGTGAAGCTTGTGATACTGACCCAGAGGAACTGCAAAGTTCTCCATCAACCCAGCTAGGGCCTTTGGGATCTGTAAACTTCATGCTCTGTGACAAAGGAGGCTGATAAAATTTACCAGGTACTGTCACAACAGCTGGAGAAAAAAGTTTGGTAATTGTGTCTGTGACTTAAGAAGTTCAGTTTATTTGTATATCTTAGTTTACAGAGGATTCCTGTTGGCAAAAGGGCTATTGTGTCTATGACCTTCCATTTGTTTGTCTTAACTTCATTTAAATAATTGTACACTGTCCAAAGCAAGAATAGTATCTGCTACCTCTTTTGTAATTATGCACAGTTCTCTAAACACAGAGGGTACTCAGAGTATGTTCTGGCATAAACATTTCAGTTACAAACACAGTGCATCTTCTAGTCTATCTCTTATGCGGAACTTCTGTAGCATCTATGGTGGAGTCGTTAATTTAAAAAGCCACTTAGGACTTAAGGAAGTAGTTACATTTCATGAGAAAAAACAGATGAGGACAGCATAATCACCTGCCATATAATAGATGCATATGCCTTTCGTTTTGTTTAAAAATTGCTAATAGAAAACCATACCTTTTCTCAGGCCTCCCACTGTCCTTCATTGCAGGATATATTACTCATGTCAGACCCAAATTTACCTCTGGCCCACACAAACCTGCTCTTATCTTGCTGATTGTTACCGTAAATTACTGACATCAGCAAAGCTTTGTCAGGAAACTGAGGTAATTGAAAACTCCAGAGAATTTGAAGAAAAGGCATCCCGGATTATTTTGGGCTTCTTCCTCTTTCATACAGTTCATGTTCCTTATCTGAGTCATTGCTTAAATAGCTTAACGGCTATGCTCGAACTCAGTATTACATAGAAGACCTGTTTATTCACATTTCCCTTTAACCTACCTCACTCAGATTGTGGTGCTCTTTGCCTCACTAATTTTACAAATCAATCAGCATCTGGATGTCAGCAGTGGAGGCTGATGCTGCTACACGCAGTTAGTGGTTATGTGAGAGACGAAATTGTTAATTTATGTGGGTTAACGTTGTGCCTCACTCTAGCCTTGTAAATCATTTTAAACATCTTCAGGTGCATTAAATTATGAATTTCTGGTTTACATTGGGGTGTGCCCATAGTCCCTTATGTTTACATCCCTCACTCCCCATGCTATTTTCTGTCTTGTCACTGAATTGTCCTTCTACTTGGCTAATGACCTAATTCAGTGGGGAACTAGGTGCTGCCGCCAGCCTGTTTCCAGAGGACCCACACATTATCTTGGTTCTTCTAGGGTTTCAGGCTTTGAGCTGGGCACTGGAGTCGGCACGCTCGTGGTGTCTTCCTTTCAGGAACACGTTGTCTTTGGGAAACGAACCCTTGGAGAAGTGCATGAATGAAGCATGTAGAGGATCTTTGCAGAAGCCCAGAGAAGGGGCATTTCTAAAATTAGGGTTTTAGGGAGGATCATCTTAGGGATGTGACCCTTGAGGTATGTTCTGATGGACAAAAAGAAAATAGAGCTGGGTGCAGTGGCTCACACCTGCCATCCCAGCACTTTGGGAGGCTGAGGTGGGAGGATCACTTGAGCTCAGGAGTTTAAGACCATCCTGGACAACATAAGGAGACCCCCATCTCTACTCTTTTTTTTTTTTTTTAATTAGCTGGGTGTGGTTGTGCACACCTGTAATCCCAGCTACTTGGGAGGCTGAGGTGGGAGGATTGCTTGAGCTCAGGAAGTCAAGGTTGAAATGAGCTATGATTGCACCAGTGAACTCCAGTCTGGGTGACAGAGCAAGACTCTGTCTTAAAAAGAGAGAGAGAGGGGCCGGGAGTGGTGGGTCACGCCTGTAATCCCAGCACTTTGGGAGGCCAAGGCAGGTGGATCACAAGGTCAGGAGTTCAAGACCAGCCTGGCCAATATGTTGGAACCCCGTCTCTACTAAAAATACAAAAATTAGCCAGGCATGGTGGCAGGCACCTATAGTCCCAGCTACTCAGGAGGCTGAGGCAGAAGAATCGCTTGAACCTGGAGGCGGAGGTTGCAGTGAGCTGAAATTGCACCGCTCCGCTGCACTCCAGCCTGGGTGACAGAGTGAGACTCCATCTCAACAAAAAAAAAAAAGAGAGAGAGAGAGGAGAGAGAGAGAAGAGAGAGAGAGAAAGAAAGAAAAGAAAGAAAGAGAAGAAAGAAAGAAAGAAAGAAAAAGAAGAAAGAAAGAAGAAAGAAAGAAAGAGAAAGAAAAAAAGAAAGAAAGAAAGAAAGAAAGAAAGAAAGAAAGAAAGAAAGAAAGAAAGAAAGAAAGAAAGAAAATAGAGGGTGGTATGCCCAGGCAGATGCAATTGGAAGAACAGTGAGAGACGATGGAAAGGAAAGCAAGGAGGGGTCAACTCCTGAAGGCCACACTAAGGAATATGAACTATATTTTGGATGCTATGGAGAACCACACAGTGATTTTGATGTAGGGCTTCAGCATGATCAAATTTGTACTCGTTAATTAATTCAGTGAACATTCATTGAATATCTACTTGGTGGCAGTAAGTCACAGAAGTGGGACTACAAAGACAACACATTCCCTGACTTTAAGGATCTTACAGGTTTAGGAGGTTTCTGTAGGAGAAGATAGACATGAAGGTAAAAAAAGTACCAAAAGAGCACTTTGGGCTAACGTAAAAATGTGGAATGAATTAGAAGGTGATGAGACCAAAAGTATAGTGAAGGGTGTCAAGGGGGTGAGAGGAGACCAGTTGTTTCTCTTGAGCACATTATTTTTAATCTTTTTAAAGGAAATACATAAACATAACAGTTGTTAAGACTGTGATGGAATAGTGTTAAAGTAATGCCTGTATAAAGAATATCAAGAAATATCTTTAAAGGACCTAAAAGATGGCATGCTTTTGTCTGCTAGCCCTCCACCAACTATCAGTGTTAGCTCCATTCCCTGCCACATTAGAGCCAAGCAGCACCTTGGGTGAGATCAGAGCCAGTGTGGCGAGTTAAGAGGCTATTAGGCAATTCCTGGGATGTGATGCTTGCCTGAAATAAGGAAGTGACAATGGTGATGGAGGAAGAAAGACAGGAAGAAGAGCTAATAGGGAGCCTGATGTACAAAACTCGGCAACTCACATAGAGATCCAGCAGGATGACTCTCATGACTTTCACCTGAGTGACCTGGTGGGTGACATTCACCAGATTTTGTAGGGGGAAGGGAGAAGGGTACTGCCATGTCCATTTTGTAAAGGTCAGGCTTGAGGTGCCTATGAGACCATCGGGCAGCGAGGCTCAGTATTCATTTGGATGTGCAGGTCTAGTGGCCAGGAGGAAGTCTGACCGGGGCAATGCATTTGCATTTTTGCATTTTTGAGTCTTGGCATATAGGTAGGAGTTGAAGCTGAAGCTGTGGGTGTTGAAAAAGTCAGTGATTGGAATGAGGAGAGCAGAGATCCCCAGAGGGGCCCTGGCAAATGCTACCATTTAAGGGCTGAGTGGAAAAAGTAGATCTTGGTCAGTGGGTAGAAGGAAAACCAAGAAGAATGTGGTTAGGAATTTAAAAGAGTACTTTTAAGGAGGAAGTTATCAATGGAATTAAAAGCTGCCTCTTCTATGTGTAAAGATGTGCTATGAGTTTCAAAACAAATTAAATACATTAGGTGGGACTGTTATTGCTAGTAACATGTAATAACTGACTAATGGCATATAAAAAATACCACAAAGCTTAGAGAAAAAGCAATTTAAACTAGGCTTTCAAGACGGTATACTATCTTCTAGAAGGAAAATATAAAGGATGGCATGCCGGCCCTCTGTGAAGAAGACATAGGGTTGGGTTTGTTTTTCTAGCAAAGAGATGAGAGATGTTTAGTGAACCATCCCCTCGCTTTCTTACCTGTGTTTTCTGTTGTCCACTCATGGGTGGGCGGGCAGTGGCAGGCATGGACTAATGGGGCAGAAAAGAGCTCATGGGCACACATGAGAACTCGTCCTAGCACCTGGTCTCACCGTTTCCCACCTTTAAGCACCTGGCTGCCAGAGCAATATTTCAAAACGCACATCACTTGCCTTACTCCCCTCTGGCCTTACCCATGGAACTCCCAAAACCCTTCCCAAATCATGGTGACCTAAGTATATTATGGGAATTATTAGTCAATTTCACCAGAAACCTGGAGCTGAAAAAGTTGAAGATCATACTGAAGTAATGAATCTAGAGGAATGGGTACATCCCACTAGTTTCTATGATCAAATTCAAACTTAAAAAAAAAAATCTGCTTAGATCTTCCCTGCCCCTTAATTTTAAATGTTATTCTATTTTTCTCTGACATTTCCTACCTGAAGCAACGTTTTGGTTCCCACACAACACCCTTTTCCTTTGCCTTCTGGTTCTTCCATTATCTTGGCCTGCCCTCTGACATGGTTTCCCAATTCATGTTTTCCTTTCTCATTTCCCTCTTCTCAGCACTGACATGAGCCACAAACCTGTAACCATAATGTCTGACTCACTGGGTGCTTCTTCTGTTCATGGACACCATGTGGAACAGGAGATAGGAAAATACTCTTTACAGGAAATCAGACGATAATGCTTGCACTTTGGTGCCCTTTGTAATAAGAATTTAATTATCCTAATTAAAAGGATTACCTTATAGAGGACATTTGGGGAAAAGAGCAGGCAGTGTGTCTTTTTCCTGATGATATGCATCTCAAAACCAAAAGGGATATTCCTGCTGATATTTGTTCTATCTGTTAAAGCCCCAGCACCAAGAGAATGATGAGATCAGAAATTGATCTTGAGTTTTTGACCTAGCCAGAGAGTGAATGCTAAAGGGCCTGGCTGTGGGTTGTTTTGGGAGTGTGTGAGTTTCCTAGGGTTGCTGTAACAGAGCCCCACAAATGGGCTGGCTGGAAACAACCAAGCCTTTCTCACAGTTCCGGAAGCCAGAAGTCCAAAATCAAGGTGTTAGTTTCTTCCGGGGGACAGTTTCTTCCAGGGGACCTGAGGAAGAATGTGTCCCGTTTTTCACTCCTAGCTTCTGGTAACAGCTGGCAATCCTTGGCCTTCTTTGGTGTGCAGATGAATCACTCTAATTTCTGCCTCTGTCTTCACATGGCCATCTCCCTGTGCATATCCGTGTCCAAATTTCCCTCTCATAAGGACATCCGTCATATTGGATTAGGGCCCACCCTAATGACCTCATATTAACTTGATTACATCTTCAAAAACCCTATTTCCAGATAAGTCATGTCACAGATATCAGGGGTTAGAACTTCAACATATATTTTGGTGGAGCACAGAAGTCAGTCCAAACAGAGGGTTAAGATCACCATCCCCCCTTCTTTCCCATTTTTCCCTCCACCTCTACCTGTCTTTCATTCCTGAATGTTTCTATCTCTTTATTTTTTCAGGGACCTCTGAGTGCACCATTTTCTGGGACAGTATCTGAAATTCAGACCTTCCTTTCTCTTCATCTGATAAAAGCAAACTTGCTTATGCTCCACTCCCTCAGGGTTCAACTCTCAGCTATAGAATTGATAAATTAAGCCAAGGGAAGATGATAATAGGTGATAATAGGCAAATATCACCCCTCCCAGGTATTTGCATTTGACAGATGACTATATGGAGATAGCACTTTAACCTCAAGATGCTGGTGGAAATTTTGCATTGGGTAACATTTTCTTTTTCAGTACATAGGTCTGTCTGTGACCCTGTAATCATGGCTGTCTCCTCAATCTGGGAAAAGGATGGGCCCTGTCTATCTATTACTCTTTTAAGGAAAAGTTATTGCTACAGACAATTTGATCTATCTTTGAATTGCTCGCATTGATTCATTTCATGATTTTAAGTGCACTACGGGAGGAGATTTGTCCCTCACAAAGAAGTCCATCAAGCGAAAGAATTTTATTTCAGAAAATGCCAACCTGGGGAGAAAGCATGTGGACTATAAGCCCATTTTAAACAGTGGATAATTTTCAAAGAGTGAACACGAGCGTGGAAGGGAATTCAGTTGCTAGGAAAATAAAATAAAATAAACATAATCTTCCTCCCTCTTGTTTTTTTTCGTTTTGGGGTGGGCTGTGCTTCCCAGTCTTGCTGGAGAATGTTTGTCCCTCCCACCTCAGTGGTGACAGACTCACAGTGATGCCTGCGTGTCTGTCTCACAGGTGTGGGTTCTGAGACTTGCCAGCTTAGCGAGACTTTGGAGGAATCTCCCACCGTGGTTGTAAAGAGAAAAGGAGAGAGATAATAGTACACTGGCATCAATAATCTACTTCCTCCAACTGGCTGAGTGTTAGAATAATAGCCTCGGCACTTGCCCTCCCACACCCCCTCCCCTGGCTCCGCCGCTGTCAGATTCTCTTCCCTTCTCCACAACTGGGAACTCTAGGGAGCAGATTGTTTTGGCTGGAATTAGCCGGGCACAGATGGTACCACCTGCTGCATGTTCCTTACTTCTTATTGGCTTCTCTCTCAGCTCTGTGAGTTTTTGTATTTTTTAGGAGTTCAGAGGAAGGGGAAATGGCCGAGGCTCTTGCTCATGCCTGATTCTAGCACAGCTGTTTGGAGCAAACTGGCAACTGCGGGGATAGTGCTGGGACATGTTGATTGGGGAAGGTGCTTCCAGGGTAACGTACCACCGTGGCGTCCTGTTTGCTGTATCTAGTGCTTTCGTTTCCAAAATACAAACTTTCTTTGAGCCAAACAATTTCTGTTTTCCAGGCTGACGGATCTGCCTGTGACCAGACACAAGGCAGGTGGTCTTGCGTGAGTCTGAAAAATGAGATTCCTCTCATTCTAAAATCAGAAGGGCATAGAATGTCATGTTACTGTTCTTTTTATAGGGGAGGTAATTATGAATAGGCCACAAACAGGTTGCTGTGCTCATTTCTGGACAAGTCACTGAGAAGAATAACTCAGGAGGCCTCGGGCTCCCACGGAGCGAACCTCATAGATTTATAAACTGTTTTCTCGCCTATGGAAACATGACATTGGATCAAAGGACCTAAGAGGTTCTATTCCTCCAGATCCTCTGAATTCCGTGGAGTTGGTCCTAAGTACTAGATCACACTATAAACCCTTCCCATGACCTGGGAACTGTTTTCTCTACTTCTCTGACATCATCTTCCACCCTTCTCCCTTGTCTACCATGCTTTGTTAGGCTGGCCTTCTTTTTATTCTCCAAAAAAGCCAAACTCATTCCAGCCTCATGTATTTGCACCTGCTGTTTCTTCTTCTGGAACTCTCACTGCACAATCTTCCCATGGCTGACCTCTTTACAACCTTCAGGCTCAAGTCAATCACCACTGCCCTCAAGGGCTTTTGTGGATCTGCACCCACCCCCAGCTGACTGTCCGCTACTTCCATCTCATTTACAATCACATCACCTTCTTTTACCTGCAACAAAACAGCACTATCTGAAGTGATCCATAAAATGGTTCTGTTTTCTACTTTCCCCACTAGAATGTACATCCCTGAAGGTGAGGATATTGTCTATTCACCGCTGTATCCCCAGGACATGCAAAGTGCTTCTCATATAGTATCACTCACTAATATACATATTATTGAGAGAAAGGTGTCATTTTGTGTTTAAATAGAGGAAGCAGCAGGGTACAGAAGGGAACATGGTTGAGACTTCCACATTAGTCCCTTCCTAAGGCACTTGGAACTTGGTATTATCCTTATTTGTGTATGTCTGCCTCTGCCAGATTGTAAGAAGCCTGAGGTCAGTAATCCTGCCATGTTCATTTTTGGGTAGCCCATAGTACCTAGTATTGTGCCTTACACACGCTAGGTACTCAGTACATTGAACTATTATTGATGTTGCAACTATTGTTATTTATTAGTATTATTTGTAGGCCCACTAAATATAATAAAATGAAAGCATCATACAAGTAGTAGAAGTATCAATAGAAGCAATAAAAACATCTATGCCATAACTGGAGATCTGGCTTCTGGTCCCAGCTCTGCCAGTAACTATGGAGTGATCTAGGGTTTTATTTCCTCAGAACACCAGAATTTGAAAAGCCAGGGCTTTGGATGAGAGAGCATCTAAGATTCCTTCACACTCTAACCTTTTGGTCTGTTTCTGTCTGTTCCAATTTTCCCATTGCAGATTTATGAATTCCTACTGCTCCTCTTACTGTGTACACCTGCTGCCTTGTTTCCTCCTCAGACCACGTCAGGATCATTCAGTGCATTCAGGGTTCAGAAAGGTCATGAGCAGAGAAAGAATGGTACTGAGGACTCATAAAGTGGGCTCAGGCTGAAAACTGTGGGTAGAGAGGTTGGATGGAGCCACCACTCTCCAATGGCCATGAGCACTGTCAAGAGTCTTCAACATAATGAGTGGGTAACATGTAGCAACAGCAGTTAGTAATTTTTAAAGAGCATTTTTCAAAACTGAGCATGTCTCTGGCTCTTAGTTAAAACAGACTCTAGCCCACAAGCGATTAATAGTCCTGAGATGATGATGTGACATCTTAGAGTTAACAAAGGGTTTCTAAAGTAGATTATTTTCATTGCACTCTTGCATGGAAGAGTTCTTGTAGACCAGAACGAACTTCTTGTAGGAAGTAGAGAAACTAACTCATTCCTTCTAATGTTTCCATAGCCATTTGAAGAAGAGTTTTACTGTGACATGTTGGAAAGAACACTAAACAATGATGCAGAAGACTGAGATTCTGACAATCTATGCTTAACTGTTTTCTAGAGACCATTGTGGGACGGAAACAAACAGCCTATGTGGTCTCAAGGATCTGTAGACTTCAGTTTCCTCATCTATAAAATGCAGGTAGTAGATTAATAATTAACTGCTTTTATTTTTCCAAAAGTTACAAACATAAAGATTTTCTTCTTACTAAACTCACATGAAAATTTTACTGAAGAATGAGAACATGAGTTTTGACAATTTTAAGGTAGACGCGAAGTGTGTTATAATTTGGTCAAGCCATAAAGGAGTTAACACAGGCCAGTTCGTAAATGAAGGTATCTGACATGAGGGGCCATGACAATTCCTGGGAAAGTTTTTGTACAAATCATTATTCTGATTTTCATTTAAAAGGTCAAGGAAGTACATATTAAGCAGCTCTTGTGGTTAGAACTCTTGTTCTCAGAAGATTTTGTGGATGGTTCCATCCACATTTATTTTAAAGTGAGTGAAACTTCCCTTGTCATGGAATTGTCTTTGATAATACAAAAGCACTTTACTCTGCAGAAAAGGGAAAGAAAAGGCTCTACTTGGGTGTTTGGCTGATTATTTCTAAGCCTACTTTTCTCTCCAGTACTAGTGTGTTAAGGGTTAAAGCAAGTTGGGCAGGGTGGTTAGTACTTCTCTTTTTCCCCTCTTGCTTAGATGTACCTTCAACCGGAAACCTATGAGCTCACACTTTCTAAGCATGTTCAATAATGAAGTGGTAGACCTCCACAGAATGTTTCAGGACTCAGGAAGTGGTTGAGGGTTATTCAATAGTTGGTGTTCTCCCTTTATGTCTGCACCAATCCTGGTCTGCACTACAGGGTTGGGAAATGTTGTTTGTGTTGGAAGTGGTGTCTTTCAGAAGAGATGTAAAAACCAAGGTCTGGGTTGCTTGTGGTCACTAAATATACCGTAATGTTTTCGGTGAGCATAGGGTTGTTCTTGAGTTTCCTTTCTAAATTTACATTCTTTTATTCATCCACATTTTTTTCAAGTAATTTGAAGGCTGTATTTCTCTTTTCTTAAACAAAACTAGAATGGGTATAACCGTACTTCTTCCCCCTATAATAATACCGTTTTAGGAATGAATAAACGTGATTTTTTCATGTTTAAGGAAAGGTCATTAACTAAAATCTAAGTTTCCCATAAAATGAGTAAAGATAATTTAATATTTTCTCAATTTTGTTGTTGGCATATCTTATAAATTATATAGTTTTTTTTTGGTGAGGCTGTCTTCGGAACCTTTTATTTTTCCAGTATCAACATTTTAAATGTCTTCGATGTAAGATAACAAAATGTAAAATGTCTGAAAAGCACTTCTTTTCAGACTTTTTCCATGTCTTGAGTATTTTTTTTAAGAAACACAGCTATTCAAATGTACACACACAAACTTAGCAAACCTGCACACACGCACACATGCGCACACCCACATACACTTTACTTCCCTTTGACTGCTCTGAAAATGGTCAGAACAGGATCATAATGCACAAATCTTTCTCTGAATGTTTCCTTATGTTAGATCAATTCCTTCTGAGTTCTGTGCTTGCCAATGCTAAATTTCCTGCCAGGGCAGTAGTCTATTTTTAACATTTTGGGGGCTTATCCTTCGTTCCAAATCTAACAGGCATATTCCATGGAGTGAAAGAGAGAAAGCTGACTGGGTGCACTTACAAATCAGGATAATCAGGATTTGCAATTTCTGTGGAATCAAAGCTATGAATGAGAAAGACCAATTAGAATACTTAAAAGATCATTTGTCATCACTTTAATCTTCATGTATTTTTTACTCATCATTTTCTTTGACTAAAATTATTAGAATCTTTGTCATATTAATCTCAAGACCAAATCGGAACAGTAGTGTTCATTTTCTATTTTCAGTATTTTGGAGCATTTTAACATGTCATGCTAGATTATAGGTAGTAGGCGACTCGTTTAATAGAGAAAGTTTTAGCTTGTGGCATATTCAGCATCATATTATCTCGGTGCCATTTCTCTGACTAATTCCACATTTCAGATACAAATGAAGACTGAAGGATTTATTTCTGTTATTTAATAGCATTTGTTTAATTCCGAGATTAATATATCATCTTCAACCCTGAAACAGAGGCCCTCTGAAACATCAGACCCAAAAAATTGGACACAGCCTACTAGCCCAAAAAGAACATGTTGCCAATTATCTCCATGTTTATTTAAATATTTTGCTCTAAAGGAAGCAATCATTCCTTTATACTTCTTTAAATTTAGTATTGACATTTTTATTTTGGGAAAGGAGGTCTTTTTTTTTTTTAACATGGATACAGGAAAAGAAAACTCTCCAATAAAAATATTGTCTAAAAAGTTTGTTTTGTCTGCATGATTTACTAAATATGTACAATTTCAATTCACAGCGAAGGTAACAAAGATTTAAACAGCCAACATCACAAATGTCTCAAGTTCTAAAAAAAAATCACTGTGCACAGTTTAACAATTTAATTGAAAAAACCAAAGCTAAGCCTTCAGTCTGAATCTTTTTTTATGATGGGCACAAGCCATGTATTTTCTTCATCTTTGTTACACGATGCATATTTCAGTGACTAAAAGCCCCTTCCCATTTTAGTATATTAGGTTATGTCAGTACATACTTAAGAGAGGCATAAATTGCCTCTTGGTACACCAATATGATTTGTGATGTGTTCACATATATGTCATAATATTTATTAATATATAGAATGATCAGATGAGTCACCTGTGATTTTTCTTAATGTCTTCAAATGTAGGAATGTTTTGTTGCATGTATAAAATTTTTCAGAATTTATAGGAGTGCTTATATAAGCGATAATAATTGGACCAGTGTCCCTTGATGTAAGGTGTCTAGAAAGAACTCTTCTGCTCTTGAAATATAGAGATTTCACATCTCTACACAATACAGGTTTATAAAGTTTGCTATTATATGATCAAGTGAGTGAACCAATTAATCATTAGAAACAAATGTCATTGAATACAGAATAGTTGAGTTACAGTTAAGAAGGGAGCCATAACCTCAGCTGCCCTATAAAATCTATAATAAGGTGGTTTTCATATATATATTTTTTCCCCATGTGAATTCTTTGGTGTTTTTTCCCCCTCTTTTTTTAGTGCTATGATTGATGAACATGCAATGTGAGATTCAAATAATTGCATTGAGCATGTTTATTTGAATAATTGCCCCATTGCACAATAAATAAATCCGCTGAGTGTGTTTGTTTGAATGTTTTTACATGTACATGGGATCACATAGTCAAATAAATGCAGCTGTGTTTATTACAATGTGTGGGGCTCCAGATATACACACACTTGTTTGTGTGTATATCCAGGGCCCTACAGCCCCTGAATGGCCTCACACATCTTGGAGCAAAAGCATGGTTAACAATTTTTCAGTTCAAATACATGTAAACTTATTATTGGGCAGTCTCCTCAAATTTGTGACTAAGATTTGCTTTTATTAAGGCTTACATTATTAGAAAGATAAAAAATGACCTTTTTAAAAGTTATCTGATTGTGAAAAGTATCTAATACATTTATTCATATTTATTCAAATATAGTCCCTTCTTTCCCCTTTCCTCCAAGCCCTCCCACTCCGCCCCCAGTCCAATTCATGCTAAGGAAGATGTATGTTTTGTTTAGCTCTTGCGGAGAAATTCTGATACGCATCTCTCTTCCCAGTTATTTCAGGCCTAAGCTTACAGTGTCATGTGAAGAAAAAAGAAAAGATTGCACAGATATGCTAGAATACAAAAGGCTCTTGGAGAAAATGGGCAGGGGTGTTCAGTTGTTCCAGTGTTTCCTCATCCTCCCCTGCCCCCTATTCGAGGGGGGAAAGGTTAGATTTAGAACTAAGCGTGTGGGAAGAGTAAGTAGTTGATAAAACAGAAGAACACATCTGATGTTACTAAAATGCACATCTCTTGGTTGTGGAGGGGAATTTCTTGTTTGCGACCTTGGAGAAGAATCTTAAGACAAATCAAAAGTTTTTATTTTTCCCTAGAGTTAGAGGATTATGCAGCCCTAATGTGCAATCGTGTCCAGCGGATAAATAGCATTAAAAAAAACTCCTCAGATATGGGACATTGTAGTGATTGTCACAATTCACAAGTGTTATCCTGATATTTTCAGACTCAGGTATTCTGAGCCTGCCTATGAAATGGAGTTAGGAACAAATGACAGAGAAGGGGGTAACAGGAGGGGCAAGGCAGGGTCTGCCCACCCTCCTCTACTTCGTGCACACTTTCTTCTTTCCAAGGAGAAAGAGTTAGGTTGCACATTCATTGTTTGTTGGTCCTATCTCTTGTGGATTGGGACACAGATATGCCCCATGGGCAACAGAGACCTACATTGCTTTAAAAGAGGCCACAGGGATTTATTCTACCCGGACAAAATTTAATGGCTTGATATTTTCAGGTTGAATTAATAAAGTTATCGCCTAGAGCCTTTCAAACCAGAAAAATTTATGTAGTGTATTTATTTGTGCCATTCAAAGAAGGAGAAACGAGGATAGAATTTTCTAAACTTTCCAAATATAAAAACTCTAGGCTGTGGATAACAGGAGGCATAGCATTTTGATGCCACTCCTCCCCCTGCCCCCCCCACCCCCTCTGCCAGAAAGTTTGAAGATAGAGCTAAAAACATGTTTTTCTAAAAAGGTCTGCTCAACTATTACTGTATCTTCATTACATCCTTTCTGTGTATGTGTGTGTGTGTATATATATATATATATACACACACACACATACACACTTTCTATTGAGTTTCAAGTTGCAAAGAATGACTTTTGTGAAATTTAGGAAAGTGGTATTATGGCTAAGGAATAAATATAAATATGTTGTTCTTGCCAACTGGAAATATCATACTCAAAATTTTAGCAAATTTAATAGCAAAATGATGCTTTTCTTCTTTGATTCTAAAGTAGAAAAAATACATGGACAGCTACTATATTATAGTTCTGTATATTCAAGAGCTGTAAATTTGATAAGGTAATCTGTTTTTTCTGTTATTCTTCACTTGGCAATTAGATTTAAGAAGCAGAATCTAGTTTCTTGATAAAAGTCATTATGTAAAACCTACGAATACATTCATATTCTGAATATTAGGGTCATCTTGTAAAAACTGAAAAACTGTCTTAGAAAATCACGGTTATTTTTGTTAGCATTTGCTTTTAGCTTTTCCTCTCCCACCCACGCCTTCTAGTTTCAGATAAACGGTAAACTACTGTCTGCATTTCAAAAAGTGAGATAAACTATCCCAATCCTTTAAAAAAGGTTACATATTATAAATAACACTGAATAATAGCTGTCTTTTTGAAATTAGACTTTTTTTTGAATAAATCACAAAGACCCCTTGGACAGAGAAGTGAATTTTTAACACATAATCTCTAAATACTCGTAATGCAAAAGTAGAAATGTCTGTAAAGTAAATAGACTAAATTTGAATAATATAACCTCACATAAAAATACACAATCTGGAATCAGGATCAGTTGAGAAAAGCTGTAAAATTGCTGTACATAGGTATGGAATTTTAAAAAACAGTTATTGGTACCAGTCAAAATTATTGCTAAACTAAAATTATATGAAAAAAACATAATTAGCATTATTATAAGCATAAAGCATGTTACATGTTAATGGTCATTGAAGGAAAACTCTCTAAAAGTACAGAACTCATTAACTACATTCTTAGTTTGGCTACATTTTTATTCGAGCATGGTCATTTTCAAAAGAAATTACAAATTGAAAATTCAATAATACTTTTACAAAGACAATTCAGGAAAGATTTTTGTCATGGTATCATACATTGTATTTAACAGTCCCTCTTTTTAGCTAAAAAACAAGATGAAGAAAGTGGAATTTTCAGTCGAAAATACAGTGTTTTCACAAGATCGTATCAAAAGTTCCCAAATTTGGAATTTCCAGTAATTGGAAAAAAACAAAAATAAAATAATAAAATTGAAAAATCCCATCTCACAATTAATGTTCCAAAACACAATAAATGCTCTTCTCTTTACGTAAAATTTGCCCAAATGATCAACGTCATGTTCCTTTTTTACTAAAATATATCTATATATTGAAGAACTATAATACTGTACACTACAGTATGAAATAAATAAAATTAGGAAATATAAAATGAGCCACATAAATAAAATGTTATTTGACCTAAAATTAAATGAATGCAAAAAAAATTTTTTTGTTGCAAAAACAGTTTGGTGTAATACTGACAAAATTAATGAACAAAAAAGTACAGAAAATAATTGCACAAACATATGTAAACTAAGGAACTGCTGCCTATTCTTCTAATACTGACATGGGTGCTTCAAAGAACAGGGTGAGCTTAACACTGAAGCTGGTGCAAAGGTAACCCATGTTACCCTCTTAACACTGTACAAGGATGGCACTTGCAGAAACACAGATTAAAAGGTTTGCATATAAGGCTTTTAAAACCACCTTACAAAGGCTTTCTTTATTTCTCATCTTACTTTTTCCTTCACGTCCAGGTCACTTTAAGACTTCGGTATCTTAAATTCACACATGCATCACTTCAAGTTCCTTCACAGAAAAAAAAAAAAATTGAGGCCTAAAATTGTGTGGTTACTTAAGCTGAAAAAAAAAATGGGAAATTGATGAATAGCGAAAGGAAAGTACAGAGGAATCATAATACTGATGCATTGTAGTGCGAGCACATTAAATTAAAAAGGAATAACAATAATAATAATAAAAATACTGATGTATGGTAGTGCGGGCACCTTTTTAAAATGTATTAATATAAATTAGACATAGTTTTTTAAAGTTTGTAGTGATACATAAGTAGAGTGCAATTCTTACAATTTTCTAGTTGTGCTTAAAGTATAAATGCTATTAAACACAGGAATTAGTCTCTGAACCACACAGTTTTTAGGCCTTAACACTGTACAAAATTTTTGCATAATGCAGTTTTTAACAATACCCAGCTCCAACTCCGTCTACATCTGTCTTGGCTGAACCGCCCCTTCTGTCCCTCTCTACAGCTTCCTGGAAGCGTCAGGCACGTGCATGAACAGCTTAACACAGCAGTGTTTTCAAGCAGGTAACAATACTACTGGAAAAAAAAATAGGAAGCTTAAAATGCAGTAGTTTATTACATGCCATCTTCCATATTGTCTTCCTCGTGGTCTGATTTGGTTTCCATTTTCCCATCCTCCGAACTATCGTCCATGGAGTGATCTCCAGTCTCTTCTTCATCTCGTATCGTTTCGGGATCCGTATCCATACTTTTATTTTCACTTTCTTCCTCTTCCTCCTCGAACTCCTCGTCGCCATCCTGTCTGCCCAGCTTCCCGTAGCCATCCTCGCCTTCTTTCTCGTGCTCCTTCTCGCTCTCGCCATCCCTCGGCATACTCTCCCTCTCCTCCGAGTCAGAGTACCCCTGAGGGGTAATGCTCTGCAAGTAAGCCCGGTTCATCAGCAGCTCGGTGGGTTCCAAGTGCCCTTTCTCGCGCGCCTCGCGCTCCGCCGCTTCCCGCTCCTCCGCCTCCCGCTTGCAGTAGGAATACCTGTGATTCATGTGCTGCGAGTACGAGCCCGAGTGTGAGAAGCGCTTGCCACATTTATCACACTGATAGGGCTTCTCGCCCGAGTGAAGCCTTGAGTGCTCGATAAGGTGGTGCTTGTGTTTAAACGCTTTCTTACAAATCTGACACTGATGTGGTCTTTTTCCTGGGAGAAAGAACAAGATGACAGGGTGATTAGTGTCTTTGCATGAAGTCTCTTTCCACTAATTCTGTACGCGAGTCCAGACTCAGGCATAAGCGTGTGTACTTATGCCTGAAAGATCAACACACCCCGGTCTAATCGATGGAGAGTTAGGAAGATGCATTTCCATCCCACAATTTGGTTTTCTAATGCTTGCTGATGCAATGTAGTTAATAAACAAGAAGAACTTAGAAAGCTGCTGGAGGAAAATTCTCAGACAGGAAGCTTTCCATTGCTAATTGTCTCATTTTAAAACTTGGAAAAATGTTCTATTCAACAAGACATTTCTAGTGATCTAGCACATGTTTTCATCAGGTAATTCTCTTCCTTACATTTTTAAAACAAAGACTTGTACAAAAGTGATAAAGATGGCATCATCGCTGGCATTGGCATGTATATCCTCTGCTTGTTATATCATGAGATAGTTGCTTTGAAAGGGGATCTTAGGTCTTAAATGGGAGCAAACTGCCAAGTTAGGAGGGAGTGGAAGAAACAGAGGAAAGAGGATGTCAAGACTGTCTTATCAGTCATAGGAGTCTAAGAATAAAAATCAGAGAAGAAACCATTAGAAAATACAAATTAGGAGGGTGTATATCATGGAGGCTGAACTGATTCCAAATAGTGTTTTCCCTCTAAAGTTTTCCATAAGATGTCAGCCACTTGTTGAGTGTTAAAATACTCTTCAGCTAGGGAATGCTGTATTTCCTTTGGCATTCCAGGCAGTTTCTAACCAGTGTTTGGAACTTAAAGCCAGTGCCAAGCCTAAACACATCTGGTTGATTCCAGGCCACAAATAGCACTGGAATGCCTTCAACACCTTCCATAGCTGCCATACTTGAAAGTTTATTTCCAAAATAGAACTGATAAAAAAAAATTATCAGCCTGATGCTCCAGAGTTAAAGTCAGAAATGTGTCATGTAGAGTGCCATGGATCACTGTAACATATATGAAGTTGTATGCTTTATTTCCTAATACAAACTTGCATTTCAGCAAATTAAATTAAAACCCAACAAAGTAGATCCAATCCCATTTTCGTTTGCTAAGTGTCATGTTATAAGTTTAGGGACCCATTCTATACACTTTAGGTATTCAGTTATATGGTGATATAAAATCTCAATCAGTAATTAAATATCTTTAATAATGTTATTGAATGCCTCCAGGGCATGCCACTATTCGGAAAGTGCTGTAGACTGCTATATGTCATTTCATTAATGGTCTTTATTTAACTGGAATGTCCACTAGAAATTTAGTGATGATAAATGTAGTAAGGTATAATATTAGAGTAGAAAGAAGTTATTTAACTGGAAGAGTGGAAATCAGAAAGATATTTGTTGGTGACTACTAGTTATATGGGAAATAAAGACAGTTCTAATAACCTACTTCAAGGTAGCTCATACTCTGAAGAAAGCAAGTATAATTCAAACCACACAAGAACCATTCCTTAACTTTTGGAAAAGATGTTTTGAATGAGGTAAACTGGATAACAGAGAATCCCAATGGAGTGCCAAGAGTCTGCAAAGATAGCATGCTTTTCCATTTGGAAAGACACCGTGGTAGGAAGGTAATTTAAGAGGAAGCAGACGTGTATTTGGGAAAAAGACAAGAGGTTTTGTCTCCCGGGAAACTTCATGTCATTATGTTATGAATTTGGTCTCACTTGTGTGGACTTGGACCTTAAAGGAAAGGATGCTGTCAGGAGAAAGGATAAGACGTTTCTAGTCGCAGCAATTCATCCATAGGGGCAGTGTTAAATGAATATGATTATCTGGGTTCACATCCATCATTTATGACAGGCTGTGCATTCTCAGGCATGTTAACTTCTCTCAGGATCAGTAGGTAAAAGGAAGATCATTTGGGGACCTAACTCATGGACTGGGCATAAAGAATAAGGAAGACAACTTATATAAAGCATTTAGTACAAGGATTGCACATAGTAGGCAGTCAGTTAATGTTAGATCATGTTATTCTTATTCATTAATACATGTTCAATAATTTCTCAAGTTCTAAGTAGGACGCATGCAGCAGGAGCAGAGTACATGGAAGTAATAAATCTGAATAGAGAGAAGAGAAATTATAGATGAAAATTTTCTTGATGCTCTAGTTGCTACGGCGTGTATGGGCAAACTGTCCTACAACCTCTTTTGGATACTAATGTCTCATTAGCTCAGGAGCACAAAAAGGTCAACTACTTAGGTAACTTCTGGAAGAGACTGTATGAATAATTTTGAATGAACATTATGATATGGCTTTCTTTTCCAAAGCAACAAAACACAGAGCAGTGTCCAGAGAGAGCAAGCATCCTCTGTTATAGGTTTCAAGGCCCGTTAGCAATGCTTCGGGCATGCCCACTAAACTGCAGTCTGTCTTAGAGATATGCCTTGGTTATAGACATTCAATTTTCAGAGAACTCATTCGATAATAAACAGTATGCTTATAATACGCATATATTAATCCTGCATTATGAATTGACAACCTGAAAAAATAAAATGTTCAGTTATGATACCATGCAAAGGATAGAATCTGGGAGCAGGTGAGAGTTTTGACATATACCTTACACTAAATAGTCTACTGATCTCCAGAAGTTTCAGTGGTAAGCATTTAATAAATTCAATTTAAATAGTAACTGACTTGGACATTCATCTCTTTTTAACTTGTTTTGCTGGTTTACCTGATTCAAATCAAGATGTCCTAGAATTAAATTTCCACATGACCAAGATTCAGAACATCCAAATTGATACTGAGTGAATCAAGCTTTCTTAGGGTAAATATTTTCTCTAATATCTAGATTTGTGATTCACCTGACAGCTAGAATGGTAACTGAACTTAATAATAAATGAAAGGTTTGTGGTATGAAAAAAATTACCATATAACTGAGAAACAAGATTGACTGGTAAATTTATTTAAAACTTAGACTTATCTACTCAAAAGTAGAAACATTTGTATTACTTTTCTAAATAAGGTGGGTTTCAAAAGCACCTACCATGATGTCTCAACAGAGAAAGCACTCAATAAAGGTCAGATTTAAATTTTAGAATACAAATGAGTTCTTGACAGTGCCTAACAGGAGTTTCAGAGTTTTTAATTTCACAGTCCTTGTTTGTGACAATTAATTCTGTTGAAGTCAACATTTACATAGTGTTTCCCTCCTCTGTCCCAGTCCCAGGTCCCAGGAAAAGCAAGCAAGCAATAAGCCATTGGTAAGAAAAATGAAGCATGATGACTTTGGTATCTGCCTAGGAAATAAATTGAGGCAAAAAAAGCACTGGGTCTCAAGAATAAGTAGCTCATAATTTCCTTCTTAAGTTAAACGATTCTATATGTAAAATTGTAGACAGACATCACAAACACACTTTACCAAGGACACATTCATAATCAATGCATAATGAAATGATGATTCAATTTTATTTCCCGACCTTAGAATCAGTCAGTCCCAAGACAGTTCTCACTTATAATTTTCATCTTAGTGCATTCTCAAAATATTACTAGTGCTTAATGTAAACAAATGAAAGGCTAGTGGGATAGGAACTATCCCACAGGTTCAATTGGGATAGGAACATGGACTAAATTTCCACATACATCACATCAATAGAAAATCCATGAAGAACTTGATTTGAATAGAACCTAATACACTGACAGTAGTAATGTCATGAGATGTTTGGTCAAGTGACCAAAAAGTTAACATGCTGGAAACTTGACAAGTTGGAAAGCCAACAGGAAGATAATTAATCACAAGTTTAGAGCAACCATTGAATGATTAGCATCTTGTTGCTAGGCAATGTTTCGAGGCAGCAGCTCTCACATCTTGAAGGAGCAGAATAGTTTATTTTTACTTTAAAAAACAAAGTTTGTTTGTTTATTTATTTATTTATTTATTTGAGATGGAGTCTCACACTGTCGGCCAGGCTGGAGTGCAGTGGCCTTATCTTGGCTCACTGCAACCTCCGCCTCCCGGGTTCAAGTGATTCTCCTGCCTTAGCCTCCCAAGTAGCTGGGATTACAGGCATGCACCACCACACCCAGCTAATTTTGTATTTTTAGTAGAGACGGGGTTTCTCCATGTTGGTCAGGCTGGTCTTGAACTCCCGCTCTCAGGTGATCCACCTGCCTCTGCCTCCAAAAGTGCTGGGATTATAGGCATGAGCCACCGCATCAGGCCTGAAGTTTATTTTTCAAATAAATTATGCATATTTGTGTTTGTCAACTTTTGGGCCTCTCAACTATCTACAGACCTATGAAGGTTACAATTCTCTAATTTATAAGAAGTAAATATATTGACTGGATGTCAATGTGTATGACAGCCCTCACTAAAATAAAAGTTGTACACTCACCGTGTAGTAAATGATAGAGTTTGCATATGGTCATATAATAAAACCAATCAGAGAGGGAAAGATGCCTTCAGTGATGTGCCTATTGTAGCTGAATAATGGAATACAAAATATATTTAAGGTTGATTAAAATATTAAAATTAAAGTAAAATTTAGGTATGAAAATATCTTTACTTTGTAAATGCTTAAGTAGCACTTAGTACTAAAGAAAATATCTACACTAAAAGAAAATTTTGATGTTTCAAACATTGAATTATATAACACAAGTATAAAAGCTGTTTGGATTTAGATTGGGTTGTCTTTAAGGTATCATTAAACTTTTAAAATAATAACAATGAATATCAGACAGCTAAAGAAAAAGAAAACTGTATTGGTTGGAGTAAGAACCCTGTTATTTATCAACCTTGTTGCTTCACAAAAACCCTCCCCACACTATCAGGCTGATGCTGGTCACTTGAGCTGCCTCCAGCATGTGCCCAGTGAGGAATAATAGCCGATGATGAGTACGAGTACTTCCCAAGGACAGTTTTCAGTGACAGAAAAGAGTGCCTTGTATCTAGGTAGTCAAAATATGACAGGAAGTATTCACCTTCCCTTCGCTTTTTTTTTTTTTTTTTTTTTTTTGAGATAGGGTCTCACTCTGTTGCTCAGGCTGAGGTGCAGTGGCACAATCATGGCTCACTGCAGCATCGACCTCTTGGGCTCAAGCCATCCTCCTACCTCAGCCTCCCAAGTAGCTGGGACTACAGGCTTGAGCTACCACATCCAGCTAATTTTTAAAAAATATTTTGTAGAGTCAAGGTCTCACTATGTTGTGCAGGCTGGTCTCAAACTCTTGGGCTCAAGCAGTCTTCCTGCCTTGGTCTTTCAAAGTGCTGGGATTACAGGCGTGAGCTGCTGCGCCTGGCTCATATTCCCTTTTCTGTCTTCCTTCTTTTTCTTTTGTGCCTCATCATCGCTTTTCCCCCAAAAAGCTTTCCCCCCAAAGTGCTAGTTTTTTTTCCTCCATATTGAAATGTTTGATACTAGACTTCCTGGTTTAGAATGAGTTGTTTTCCTATACTCCCCTATTTTTTTTGTTCCCTCGTGCCAAAATTTTGACTGAGATCCTACACTTTTTCCCCCCCGATCCAGGGCTAATAGAGCATGCCAAATTTCCAGTGGAGAAGAATTGGAGATGGGCTAGGGGTAGGGATGAGGTTCAGCTACCTTATTGTTCAGGGAGGTGGGGATGGAGCCAGGGAGGAAACACAAGTGGAGCTCAACCATAGAGCTGCAGATCTTGGATTGTGGGAAGTAATATTAAATTACATATGGTACTTCATCTTTCTTTTCAAAAATTAACCCACTATCTCTCTACTCATAGTGAAGAATTAGGCTGTTTTCTTGTCAACTCTTTGTAATTGTTCCTAATTAGTAATGCATGAATTGGAAATATACTAATTAAAATTTAGAAAGTTTTATTTCAATCTTCCAAATATAGGTGGTTTCAAGTAGCTCATCTGATCTATTACTTTTCTTTTATGACACTAATGCCTTTAGTTCTTTCAAAATGTGGCGAATTTAAAAAAAAAAGGCAAACAAAATTACCCCTAAATTATGGCTTTCTTGGTGTTTTGGATGATGAAACTAATGTATTACTGTCTGAATTTCTTATTAGATTTTTACATATATAGGTTCATCTTAAGCTTTGAAACTTAAGAATTTGAAGGTATTTTCAATAACTGGCTGTGTCATGCCATTTCATTGCCCTGGCCATCTGACTGTCCCTTTGACATAATTTCTAAATTTGGTTTACAGAATAACTGGAAAGATATTAAGACAAGCACACTCATAAAGACATGAATGATCCAATAAACAGGCAACAAAAAAGTCCTACTGAGCTCGGCAAAAGCATTATTTCTTCCTTGTTGAAGGTATCAGCATATGTTACATCTTATGTTGCACAAGTGTGCTCATTAAATATTATGAAATGTACAGCAGGACGGGAAGCTCTAACCAGTTAGGCAAAGTCACTCATACCTGTGTGTTCGTATTTATGTCGCAGAAGGGAACTGCTTTTCTGGAATGTCTTGTCACATAAGTCACATGCATACATGCCACTCTCTGTCTTCTTGATCTTTTTGCGAGACAGACAGGAGTCGGAGTCTGTCATATCATCTAGGCCTGACATGTAGTCTTGTGCTCCATCAAGCAATTCTCCCTGCGATAGAATCACACAGTTCAATACAGTGGCTTCTCTTTGTGCTCACACCAAACAACTTCACATAGGGGGACATTTGGAGAACCTCAAAATTGCTTGCTACTAATTGATTGAGTTAAACATTTTTTTTTCCATGAACAATATATGAGGTCTCAATATGCAGTATATGCAACAATATACGCAACAAAAATATAAACTTCTCTGCCCTGGAAGGTAGATCTCACTGTTTTTTAAGGACAGGAAATGGTCAACTCTGAAGGTGAGAGAAACAAATTTTTCTAAAATCCTTCATTTCCTTTATACCAAGAAATACCCATAAGTGAAAATTTAACATTGAAATTTGTGTATTTTCCAGTATGCTTAACTTTAGAAATGATCTGTAGCTGTAGAAACCCGATTTTAATTGAATTTTATATTTAGGTACAAAATGTTATTATTATGCAATCTATTTAAATGTATGTCTACCAACTAAAGGCCTCAAGCTATATTTTTATATTTAATTTTCTAATTTGAAATAGGGAATATTAATAACACTTTTTATCAATGTTCTATGTTAAAACAGCCTTCAGCATTGAACATTAATGAATGTGGATCAGTAAATTATTAAATTTCTTGATATTTATTTTGTCTTGATCCAAAGGAGTGCAAACTTGCATGATAACATACATTTCCATTTGCTAGCCCACAGTTCAGTTTTCTTAGACTATGTTTGTACTAATTAATATTAGAGAAGATTAAATAGGCTTAAATACATTTACAAAGAGGGCAGATGTACTGTAAATTGGAATACTGGAACAGCTGTTACAGAGGTGCACTGCTACTTATGCTCCTATTTTGCAAACAAAGATTATATGCTGCATAATGTTAAAATATAACTGCTTTCCTATTTGATAAAGCATAATTATTAACTACTTTGAAGATTTGGTAAGAAGTCATGTGAAATATGGAAGATATTTTTAAGAATACTCTTCAAAATAAACCATTCTCTGTAAAACAAATGTACCTATTAAAATGTGTATATACATTATTGCAAGTTGTGCACATCTTTATATTTATTTATTTATTTAAGACAGAGTCTTGCTCTGTCTCTCAGGCTGGAGTGCTGTGGCACGATCTCTGCTCAGTGCAACCTCAGCCTCCTGGGTTCAAGTGATTCTTCTGCCTCAGCCTTTCAAGTAGCTGGGATTACAGGCACCCAGCACTACACCCAGCTAATTTTTGTATTTTTAGGACAGATGGTGTTTTACCATGTTGGCCAGGCTGGTCTCAAACTCCTGACCTCAAGTGATCCACCCTCGTTGGCCTCCCAAAGTGCTGGGATTACAGGCATGAGCCATCACACCTGTCCTGTGTACATCTTTAAAAGCACGTGACGGTTATAAACTTTAACTTCTAGCACCTAGGTAAGTCCTACCAAATATTTTCACCAAAGTTTAATTTTAAAAGCAGATGAGTCCATCTAAATACATCTCAAAATAAATATTAATTTCTTCTTTATCCTTTTTGTTTTTAAAGCAAATGTGCTTAGAGTACAGTGATCCACTGTTTCATCCATTGTTCTAGCCCACTGATGGTTTTAGGTTCATGTTAAAGCAAACTCTTCTGTTTCTGCTGAGTTTTTTCACTAAGATTTTTTTTTCCTACATGCACATAATCAAAATAATTGCCACCTCTTTTCTTCATAGCAGAAAAACATTTGTCTCTTTACCTGAAATCCTTGTTTCCGCTGGTACTTTCTCCTTTGCTGCATATCAGCAAAAGTAGCTGCTCCAGTTGGGTAGGTGTAGGCCATATGTGGTAGGAAGCTCATCTGATCCAGTCCTGGGTATGGTCGTAGCCCAGGAATACTGGTCTGGACTGGTGGCATGAAAGTAGCAGGGGGAAATGCGCTTTGAGGTGGAAGAGCTGTGTATAAAGGTTTGGCACTAAATGGGTTCATGCTGAACACTGGGTTAGTGCTTTTGTTGTCCAGATTATTTGAATTTGAAAATTCCTTCTTGATAAAAGTCAAGTTCAGAGGCTCATCTGAGTTTTCAGATGAGGAAGAAACACTGTTATGATCTAAACTGATGCTACTAGCTTTTGTTTTGTTCTTTGTGGCTATAATACTTTTGGGTTCTTTCATTTGTTTTGGTAATGACAAGTCTAAAGGCTCAGCCTGGAGCTCCTCAGAAGAGAAGCTGTTTGGAGTGTATGAACTACTGTGGGAGTTTTTAGAAGATGTGGAGGAAAGATTTAAGGGAGAAGGAGTATTACTCCTGGAGTGGTCCAATTTTTCAACTGGTTTAATATTGGTAAAATGGGAAGGTTTTGTTAGCCTGAGAGGAGGATCACAATTCGTAACACTGTTGTGGAGTTCTGCTATAGATGGTGATGTTATGGAGTCCATAGGTTTTACAGGAGACCTGGGTAATAAAGAGTCTTTTGTGGGAGGGTTACTGTTGGGAGCTAACGGCTTGGAGCTTCTTTCCAGGGATGGGGACCTGGAATTTGAGTACTGGTAGACTTTTCGTTGTTCAAACCATTCCTTCACAAATTCCTGAGGAAGGCCCACAGCAATGGAAATTTTCAGCAGTTCATCGGAGTTGGGCTCCATGTTCATAGCATAGTATGCTTTGAGTACAGACATGTGGTCCTTGTATGGGTTGATGGGGCTTGTCATTCCTTTCTCAGAAAGTACAGATGACAAGAGGAGGGCTTTATTATCAACAAAAACTCCGGCTTTGTTGGGGACTATGTTTTCATGAGGCTGCAGGACCGCCTTGATCTCTTCATTCATCTTACAAAGGTAACGTTCATGCTGATGCAAAGGGATGGGGCCAGGAAAACTTTCTTTACAGAACTGGCATGAAAATGGAGTGGATATGTTGTGGTTCTCAATCATTTTGTCATCAGTGACCAAATCTATTAAAGTACGTAGCTTCTCTTTCTTTATATTACTGATCTGTCTCCTTGAGTCAGTAGTCAAGCTCTGGAGGCAAGCTTTGGCTTCATTGACTTTTTCCAACGTATAGTCAATAATACTTTTAGTGGCACCATTATGACTCACTACCGGAAGACCGACAGGCGGAATATTAGGAGAAGTAACTCCTTGTTCCTCAGGTTGAGAGCATGGATCCTTCATGTGATAACCTTTCAACTTTGAAATTTCTTCAGCCTTGCAGTCCATTTTTTGCCTGGAAACAGTATTGTCCACAATCTGTAGAACCTTTTGTACCTCACTTAAATTACTATTCATGGTGGGAAACCCAAGTAAAGGGGCTTCCATCCCTACACCTAAGTGCTGCATTGGACTCTGAGCAGATGGATGAACTCCTAAAGGGCTGGTGGCTCCAAGCCCACCATTCATAAAGGGACTAGTGCCACTAAACCCGTGTGTAGCCATAAGAACTTTATAGTCATTGAAGTCTAGTGGTTCTGTTTTAATTTTAAGTAAGCCTGTCTGTTCAGACATACTAAGTGGTTTTCCATTCTCCAACTTGTTTCTTAACTGGGTAATGGCTGAATTAGTAGGAGAAGAAGAAACAGAATTAGGGGAAGAACCCGTCTTGATATTGTTTCTCATTCGGCCATTTACAGAGATTAAACCAATACATTTCTTGCTGCTGATGTGCGAACTGTAGGAACCAGAATGGGAGAAACGTTTCTTGCAGTTTGGGCACTCGTAAGGTTTTTCACCTAAAATGATAATTAAAATTACCGTTACATTTCCTTGATTAGATAACAATTGCAATTGTCTACCAAGAGAAGAATCTGTGAAACCAAACAAAAGGAACACAATGGGGTACCTCTACATTCTAGGTACTTAGATTAGAATTATGTGACCATAACCATTTCTGAACTTTATCTGCCCTGGGAGGACATAATTCAAGATGTTCACAGTGGAAGGTAAGGGCTATCTATGCCTTTTTCAGCTGAGATCCCAAATCTTGTCTGCCATCGGCAGCCTCCTATTTAAACAGAGTGTCAGACTAATGTGTGGTCAATAGCACAATAAAGATGTCACAGTATTTAAAGGCAAGTGTAGCCATGGCTTTAATAAACTTTGTGGAGATTCCATTGATTCTACCAATCCAACTAGTCCTTTGAATAGCATCCAACTTGGTAATAAAATGCTTGGCAGAGCTATCAAACTAGTTATAAAGAGGAAATCTCAGTGGTAGGATTCTGTTCTGTGATCCACGGCCCTCAGGAATCAGGGAGTATTTATCATACATAGCTCTTATCCAAAATTCTTCACCCTTTTTTTCATGGGTAGGTCTCAAAAATTAATATCTTTCAGAATTTGCCAGTTGAGTTTCCTCAGGTCAGAAATATTTATTCTGGAGAAGCGGTTTTAAAAGGACAAAAAGGAGCCTCTAGATTTTGTAATAAATCAAAGCATTTGTAATTTTTAAGACATGTAAGCATTCTGCTTCTTTTTATAAGACAGTGCTACTGGTTGTACCATAAGTCTCATGAACACAAATCAGGCACACAGAGTTGATGAAATAAATAGATAGTTCCAAAAAGCTACAAATAGGACTGTGTAAATTTTAAACAATCTTTTAAAACTCCCCTAATTAAGTAAAATGCAAATGCGAGCTCCAGCACCTCTGCTACTCACCACTGTGAATTCGCAGGTGTTCTTTCAGATGGTGTTTATATTTGAAGGCCTTGCCACACTCTGTGCATTTGAACTTGCGATTACCTGCTCCTTGGGTTAGCATTTGGTGCTATAAAAGGAGAAAGACTGACATCAGTTTTGTGCAGGAGGAACAAAGAAAATTTGTTACAAATATTTTTAAAAGGCCTCTGTTTTTCAGACAGGCCAAAAGGTTTGAGTGCATGCTTATTTATCTGCTCAGTCTTTCAGAGTTGCAATAAAAGTGATAATGTTGGTAATAAAATTGGAACAAATAAAAAAAAGTGCTTTCACATGCGCATCCAACACTTGCTTTAGAATTATTTCTGTAGTGTCTTTTCCAAAATGTTTCTTTGAACCTTTGGGGACGAGGAAGTATAACTGTAAAGATATTTGTTGTTTTTCGTGTTTACCACAAATTCTAAAATATGAACATTCTCTGCTAGAATGTGACAATTCTGTCAAGAAAAAAATATTTTCCTGAAAATTCTGAATAGTCTCAAGAAAAACCACCCCCACACAACAAAAGTTATCAATTTTTTTGTATCAGCATAAAAGTATATCTTATACTGAAGCAATCTAAAATTTAAAAAAGAAAAAAAACCCAATCCCAAACCAAAAACACACAAACAAAAAAACCTTGACTATAAATATTTCATTACATGATGAGCATGTTTAAATATCCTATTCATTGTGCTAGTAGCAAATATAAGCCCAGTTTTTCCTGAGGTGTCGCCTATCAGATTTGATTCATTATCAAACGTAAGAGACAACATCTTGGGTTATAGCTGCTTGAGCAGTTTTATCACAGGCCAGTAGGAAAGACTTCAACGACTTTTCATTTTCCTTTTTAGTAGTGTGCTAGGGAGTAGGGACAAAAAAGGAAAAAAAGTTTCCTGAAAAGACAAGTTAAAAGCAGCAAAGATATAATCAAACACAGCTGACCTTTTTGAACAAGGGGAAAAAAGCAGTGTGACTTAGAATTCTGGAAAAAAAATGCAGTCATCCACTCTGGATGCTCAAGGTAGGAGGTCAGCCTTTTTCTAGCAGCAATGACACAAAAGCCTTTTGCAAAAAGACAGCACAGAAACGGTATGACAACTGCTAGGGTGTGCTGAATCTTCCCACATTCCTAGTGAGACAGATGGTGTTACATGGGACACAGGGAGGTTTGTTCAAACAGCAGCAACCTTCAAAGATCAAGCAGAGCCCAGCCCGCCGAGCGCCATTGAGGGACCAGCGCTCATATGTTGCTGAGTTGCATAAACAAACAGCAACAGCTGCTTTGTCTCCCCCCACAGCCCTCAGAGGACTACTATAAACTTTAGTTGTGCCACTGTTAATATGATACAATCATTTTAATTTACTAATTGTAAATGCCATGAGCAAATGAGGGGACTTTTCAACACCAAAGCTACCATTCATAATGCGCCAACACAATCACACTTCTGCATGTGAAATTTAAAGCGGTTATGCTAGATAAATATCTAGGCACTTTTTTTTTCCTTGAGTTTTTGTGCATATAAGCAAGGGGAGATAAACTGTTACATAAGTGCAACTATGCAAGCATATTTTTTATAACTCATCTTTGAAAAGCATTCAGGTGACAAGCCCAATCAGATATAAATGGAATAATTTACATGAGCTGTTCTCCTAAAATAGTAAAATTCCATAATCTAGTCTTATCACCATTATTGACTGTGTTTGCTTATCCTCATTTTCCTTATTCGAAGAAAATGAAGGTTATAAGGAAAACCTAAGAATTTTGAATACAATATCATGTTCAATAATTTTAAAAACAGACATGGTGTCAAGACTTAAATTAAGTGATTCCGGATCTGTAGGGCCAGTTATTGTGACTTAAGGCACACCACTTCTGTCCATGCAAACATATCATAATATCAATTTGCAGAGTCAATCCTCCCAGTGGGAAAGAGGAGTTTTGATGTAACATTTAAGGAACACTGTGAATCAATCCTATTCAGTTGTTTTAAAGATTTAAGAAGCTATACTTAACTGTTGAAGACAGAGTTTTTATTTTTGAGACAAGTAAGCAAAAAGAGGGGGAGTAATTTTAACATTTAGCTACAAATATGTATATTAAGGGATCATTTTTAATGTACATCCAACGTTTTAGTACTAATCCAATTTATTTTATATATTATATATACACAGATAATATATGCCTTTTTGATTTTCCTTAAAACACTTAATCAGATTTCATAAACTAGTAGCAGCTTATAAAAATACTCTAAGTAATTGAAGGTGTTATATGAAAAATGAAAGAAATACACACTTCTTTTTCTATGACTTAGATCCTATATGAAAAGAAAATTTCTAAGTAAAGCGAGGTGAAAAATGGAATTAAAATTGCTGAGATGTTTAATAATGTATAATTAAAATGCTACAATTTCATTCACTTTTTGTGGAACATAAAAATGAAACTAAAGTCAAGTTAAAGTGCAAATAAAATTTCTAAATTAGAAATTAACACACTCATTCGATCGTGAACATAAGACTATTAAATCATATTAGAAGAGACCATCAAAAAATCATTTAGACCTCAATTAAAGCTATTACCATTAAAAGATCTGCATCTTCAAAATGCCATGAAAAATTAATAATGATTGCCAATCAAAGCAATATCGTTTCTCTAAGGGGTTATTATAGAAAGAAATCACTTAAAACCATCCCCCCACCTGATCTGTCCCTGGCTTGTGTGTCACCATATGCCGCTCGAGCTGGGTGCGGTAGGCAAACGTGTAGCTACAGAGAGGGCAGGAAAAGTTCTCTTCATTCTTCTCGTGGCGGTACTTGATGTGCTCCTTCAGTGATGTCAAGCGCTTGTAGCCCCGGTCGCAGTAGGGGCAGGTCAGCAGTTGGGCAAAAGCATCTGGAGTTCCAGGTGGCAGGTCTGTAGCCGAGAGACAGAGAGAGAGAGAAGCGGGCCAAAAGGTCAGTAAATCAATGGCAGCTAATGGGCTGACTGCCCGGGATGGTATGACAGGAATCACTGCAATCTGCTCCACAGAGTGCCATCATTGCACCCGGCCCCCTCGCACACCAGTCCCCTCGCATGCCCAGGACAGACTTGTCGGAATCAGCTCACACTGTGCTCAAAAATTAATTAATTACTTCAGGTTTTTTTTTTTTGGGGGGGTGGGGGGGACTTAAACAGCTGATAAATGAGGAAATTCTCTTTAGGTGACTGACAGTTCCTATGAAACCTGTAGCCACAGATTACTCAGGAACTCACAGTGTGAAGGGGCGTTTCAGGTGTCGGTGGAGAAGAACAAAAGGTGAGGGAGTGTCGGTCTCAACTTTTTTTTCCTCAAAAGTAAAATATTTCAGAAAGATAGGAATACATTTAGATATTTTTATCTCTTAGAAATGGGCTCTAATTGTTCTTGTTCTTTATTGGATGTACAAATGACACAAATTTGCTGACAAAAAAATTTCACAATACCCTAAAATTACAGTTCTAATCTTTGCTCATGAAATTCCATGCCTCTGCAGCTGTTCTTCAAATTTTAAGGTAAACACCCAGGCATGTAGTGCATTTGTAATTGTAACAGCTGCAGAGGTCAGTGCAGTGGCTAAAAATGATTTACAGCCTCACCATTTTCTTCTTGCCCATTGGCCTCTGGCGTGCCAAGGCGAGACAGCTCCTCAGGGGCTTCTGGGTAAATAATGGCTGTGTCACTGCGCTGAAGGTACTCCTCGATGCTGACTGCATGACCATCGCGTTCCTCCAGTTTTCTTTTGGCAAAGTATTCCTCAAAATCTGATGTGCAATTTGCATTCTTCACTGAAATCATAAAAGGAGAAGAAATGTTGTTTCCGGGCCTTCTTCCTAGGATCCCAAGTCCATCTCCATCATAGCCAGTGAGAAATGCTGACTTGCAATAGACTACAAAACCTAGTTTATTTGTAAGAAGTGTTGAAGATGACCGATTATTGACTGAATGCTTATTCTTGCAATATATGCAAGAAGGCGGGCACTTTCCTTCAAGTTAAATAAGCACATTTTATTTTATTTTTTCTTCCTGGAATATTAGTCTGTATATACAAAGAATGAAAGAAATTTAAAATGTTTTTCATAAATTTTTTTTAAAAAGCCAACAACTGCATTCTAAGATCCATAAACATTAAAGATAATATAAGATTAAGCCTATTTTAATAGTCTATCTGAAATTTCATTTTCTTCTAAGAAAGGTATATTTAATTTTTCATTGTCCACTAGACTGAGCGTCCCTAACCACAGATACATCCTGTTGCTAAATATAAGTTTTTAACCCTCCACCCTCTGAATGTCACAGACAGCCAGGACTACATAGTCTGAGACAGATGCAAAAGGAAAGATATTCCTAGACAGATAATAATGCAACTTTGTTAAAAAAAAAAAAGCACCAGAATGTGGCATTTTATCTTTCCCTATAATTTTAATCTTTAGTTCCGTATTTTAAAGCTGCTGAAAATAAAATTAAGCTCACAGCTGATAGAAATAAAATAAAAAGTAACAGAGGGAGTTAAGAAACTGGTGTGTGATTTTGATGTGACTTTAACTTTTGTAATTATGACTCTATTCCTGTGAAATGAATAACAGTTGTAACTCAATTTTAGCAACTTGTGTCATAAGATTTTGTATATTTGAAACCTCTAGATGTGTTTCTGAAATAAGATGTGGCTTAGCTATCATAAATAATATTTTTATGCTAACAAAGTTGGGAGAGTAGCTGTTATATTATTCTTTATCCTAAGTAGGTGAAAAAAGTGCTTTGCTGGTACAATTAATGGTGGAATCCTATTATCATAGTTTTTGAAAGCAGTTAACCTTGGTGCCACGAGATTCTTCACCTTGTCTTCTCTACCATAAACAATATTATAGTATTTGACATACTAATTCTCTTTGGCAACTGTGGCAGGGTGATGCGCAAGCAAGCTAGGCAATTTTTTTTTTTTGCTTTCATGATTATGAACTTGGATTTTTTATGAGGGGAATAGAAAGTGGAACTATCCATTAATTCAACAAGTATTTTCTGAATGCCTAGTGTGTGATAGGCATCATGTCCTGCTCTGGTGAGCAGAAAACAGTTCTAGGCTCATCCTTCGGGAAGCCATGAGAGAGATTAATACAACTGATATTATCTCCAAAGTAAACACATCATTACAAACTCAGATAAGTATTATGAAAGAAAGTTATATGGTGGTATAAAAAAAGTAACACAGGAACCTGATGGCAGCTAGAAGATCAGGAAGGTCTTAACTGAAGAAGCATGAAGTTAACTAAATGTAGAAGCTGGAGAAGAGCAGCATGTGCAATGTGGTGACTGAAACAAGCATGGGACATCTCAGGATGTTAAAAAAAAAGGACAGTGCTGGAGTGCAGAGGATGAAAGGGGAACCACGTGATGTAAGGGTGGAGAGTAAGGCGGGAGCCAGGCCATGCAGCAGGTAAGAGCTTGTTTAAGGATTTGGGTTTTTACTCTAAAAGAAGCAGGAAGCTATTGAAGAGTATTAAGCAAGGAGGATGGCTGGATGAAACTATGATTATTTGCATTTTTAGATGACATCCTTGGCTATAGTATGATAGGGATTGGAGAAAGAGAAAAGTAGGTCCTGGGAATCCGGTTAGGAGGTTCCTGTCCTAGGCCAGGCAAAAGATACTGTTAAGGAATTGATGATGGAGATGAAGGAAGTGTCTGGATTTGAGAAATACCTAAGATCCAAAATTCCTCAGATTCATCTGGGAAAGAATTCAGTTTGTCAAGTTGGGAGATGCTAAGGTACCTCCCTCAGGTTTATACTTTCCAAATTTGATGGATGGTAGGTGACATTCATCAAAGCAAAGAACACTAGAATTCTAAAAAGACTTGAAACTATAAACAAATATATGGGACCAAATAAAAGGAAGTGGGAGAATTACACTATGTGGACCACTAAACTAAGCGCCAGTAATCCTGAATGCTGTGATCTCAAACCTTTCTTTTTTGCCTCTGTAACTTCTAATAAGGTTAACAAGAACAACGGTCTATTCCAAGACCGTATTTCCCTCAAAAATAGATTTGGAATGTACAGTAGTGGATTAAGATTTTATACCTTGAAATTTTGCTTAAATCTGTTATTAGCTGGACTTAATAAAGAATATGGGCTTTAGATAAGATCACTTTCCCCTTGCTGTATGCACAATGTCATGGATGCTTTCCAATGGATACTTATTGGTGGTGACTGTGATGATGTCATTTCACTTGCATCACTGAGCCCCTATGGAGTATGTAGAAACTGTCAACTTGCATAAAGTATTTGCTCATTGTTTTGGATCATCAAAATAACATCAGATCTATCAAAAAATCACCTTTTACTTTTGATGGGAAGAAAGGATAAAAGGGGCAAAATGGCAGAGCCATGATGAATGTCTTTTGAGTAACTTCACTGATTTTATCAGTGACTGACTTCTTTTTCAGTACTATGACAGCACAAAGTAACGTAATAGCTCCTTTCTGAATTCGTATCTACTTGAGGGTTGTCAATGGTTTATGTTAAGGGTTAAGACATGGTTTAAGTTTTTTGAGAATATTGTCCTACTTGATGACCTTAGTGTAACCTAGTAAACATAGATGGATGTACATTTAATATCCTAATTTTATCTTGATATTTCAGCAACTATTTGAATGATCTGGCTATCTTTGCATGAATTTTCATTTGCATATGAATGTTTCCATCAGAAATGTAATCATATGCAAATTCAATTGGATTTGCATTAATAGCCTTTTGGCTTAAAAGGGAGGAAAATTCTGATTTTTCTGGATAGGCAAACAAAACTGCATCTAGATACACTACTGTTGTTTGGAGAGGTAATTCAATTGCTAGATCAAATTTGGCTATGCTAGATTTCTATGTCAAGTGTGATGGGGACAAAATACATCAAATCATGCGCTCTCTTTAAGGATTCATCTTTGATCATCTTTGTATCCTGGGCATTGAATATATTGCCTAGAAATTAGTAGGCTCTCAAGAATCATTTATGGGATGAATGTGGAATAAATTATGTCCTTAACACTAATCTTGGTGTAGAGGTCTTTTGGTAAAAGGAAGCATAAAATAAGATACCTGCAGCTGAGCTAGGAACTTAGACCTAATACTCAGGCAACTGTAGAATAATTATTTGATAAACTGTGTAGTAGTGGTCATAAATACTTGAAAGAGTTTGATAGGGCTCAGATAAGTATTCAAAAAGGGTTTCATGAAGATGTCACTCAATCATTTAAATCCATTTGCTCCATCTGGATATTTCTTCATGCTGTATAGATATTCTGTTGTTTATATATCTCACATACCTAGGGTCACTTAAGTGGGCTAGAGTTAAACCTCCCAGAAACTAGGTATCACCAGCATGAATCTAATGTAGTTTTTCCATGAGGTGCAATAGGTGCTAGTAATATACAGTTTTTCTGCCCAGTACTTCAACATTCACCTTGTCCTAGGAATGCTTCTCCATTTCCTGATTGCCAAGGCTTATGGTACCCAAGGAGCTGCTGTGTTACCATGTGATCCTGCTCCCCTAGCCACAATTGATCTCTGTTGCTCAGGTGAGCCAATCTCAGTCCTCTCTTCTCCAGGCCAACTTGTTGATTGGTCCAGGGTAGCCAATAGATCCAATTAAATTCAATAAATCCCTTCCCTATGATTTTAGGACTTTGTTCCAGAAAAAGCATCAAGGCAGTTTTTTTTTTCTGCCAAGTGACTGTAGCTATAAAATGTGGAATGAAGGAATTGTTATTTTCCATCTAGAAAAAGAAGATTTATGAAGAGAGAATAAAGCAGACATACAGAGAAAAGCAGACAAGATTGCATGTTCTGACAGTTCATTTCTAGCTCTTCTCGTTCCTGAGGCCGAGGTGCACCTTGCAGTGGTTCGGTTGACCACCTTCCTTAAATTCCGTGAGCCAAGAAACTTCCTTTTCTGCTTGAAGGTATGTTGTGTTTCAGTCTCTTAAAACTAAAATCACCCTAACAGTTACAATACTAGGACAAATGATGGGATTCAATTTTGGTTACTCTCAGAATTGTTGGGAAGAATGAAGTTTTGATTGTATCTGAAAGTTTGTATGTTTGTTTTTAGAAAGATTATGCAATAATGTGTACTGGACACAGGAATGAGGTACAAAAGTAGCTGAAAGGTTGTAGAATTCTTCACTGCATTTTTCTAGTGTAAAATCAACCTCATTTTCCTTCTTTCTGTAATCCTCTTCACTCCCTGGTCTCTTTGGAAGAACTGCCAAAACACACTGACAAAGGATATTTGCATGGTATTTATGATCAAACCATAACAAAAATTCACAAGAAGGCTCAAGTAATTTCTTCCCATACCTTCTCCAGAGATTTTGCATTTAGTCCTAAAATTTACCCTAATGTCTTGCAAATATCTCTCAATCTTCTCTAAGGTTAGATAACCTTTTCTCTATCCAAAAAAAGAATATCTAGCTTGGGCAACAAATCTCGTCTCTATAGAAAGTAAAAGAATTAGCCTGGCATGGTGGTGCGTGCCTGTGGTCCCTGCTACTGGGGAGGCAGAGGTAGCAGAAACGCTTGAGCTTGGGAGGTTGAGGCTGCAGAGAGCTGTGATCGCACCACTGCATTCCAGCCTGAGTGACAAAGTGAGACCCCTGTCTCAAAAAAACCAAAAAAAAGTTGTTGTTTTTTTTTTTTTTTTGAGACAGAGTCTTGCTCTGTCGCCCAGGCTAAAGTGCAGTAGTGCAATCTCGGCTCACTGCCAGCTCCGTCTCCCAGGTTCACACTATTCTCCTGCCTCGGCCTCCTGTGTAGCTGGGACTACAGGTGCCTGCCACCACGCCCGGCTAATTTTTCGTATTTTTAGTAGAGACAGGGTTTCACCGTTAGCCAGGATGGTCTCGATCTCCTGACCTCGTGATCCACCCACCTCGGCCTCCCAAAGTGCTGGGATTACAGGCGTGAGCCACCGCGCCCAGCCATAAAAAAGAATGTTAATTAAAAATGTTTCCTCATGACCATGTGTATTTTAATACTGTTAGATTGTTAGGGTGAATTTTCAGGTCCCTTTTTGTCAGGAAAGCCTCAGTTCTCTTGGCAATATGTTGGCCACTCTTACTAATGTTGCTTATTAATGACACTTTTATAGATATCTTTATGGCTGCGTTAGATAGATAATTGATTTTTCAGACAGATAATAATAAATATCAACATAGACTGGCCTTAAAAATTATTGCCTAAAATTCAAGCGATGTTAACAGAACTCTAAATAAAAGAGAAATATTGGTCCCCAAATTAGTCAGCCCCCATAATCAAGTTGCTTTAGAATACTTTCTCAAAGATACTTAAAAGTGGGCTTTGCTTAGTGTTTACAGGTAATGAAATATAGACCAGATACTTATTCTTTATCATTTTCTGTTTCCCTTTGGCATTCATTTTCTTTATTTGTAGCAAGCCTGTGTTCACAGTGGAAGACAGGTACTCTATTATCACTGGTTTAGTGTCCTGCATGCTTTTAATTTTCATAAAAAATGGAAGAAAATTGAATATTATGTTAAGCCATTTAAGTAAACATCAAAATGAATAAATAATTCTTTTTAAAAAGAAAATATCTTGGAAGGTACAGAGGAGTTGCAGCAAGTATATGTAAAAAACTGAGTAGAATCATCCATCCATCCCCTTGTTTAATAACTGTTTATTGAGTGCCTACTAGTGCCAGTGTTCTTGGAAATGAGGACATGAGTGGTAAATTTTTTTCCTACTTCTGTGATTCACCCGTTTGGAGATATATACACATAATGGTTGTGATTCTGCAATATACAGACATGTCTATATATATATATATATATATATATATATATATATATATATATGTATAATAGGGCATCTCATATATACACACACACACACACACACACACACGCTTCCCCAGTGTAATGTAATGTATATAACATAAATTATGTATTTATCATATAATCTGGCTTTTGCTTACTTCACTATGAAAGGCAAAGGGACCTGAAGAAGCAATTACAAATCTAGGTAACTGTATTTATCATCTTTTTGAAAAACAGCCTTTTTGTTAACATCTCAGATGATAAGAAAACACGAAAATTATTTTGAATGTAGTCATTTGTATTGAGTTTTTTAGTTTAAGGAAGCACATATTCAGCATTTGTTGAGGTCTATAGATTCTCATGGCTACTTTGTTTAAAGTTGACTAATTAATAAATGTAAGCTTTTCATCATTAAAAGTGCATGTATGCGTTTTTGCAGAAGGTTTCCAAAAGACATATTGGCACTAGTTACCTAAAAACAACCGTGAGGGAAGAGGATGATCTTTTTCTCATTACACAGCTACATGGGCGGCCTCGCAGAGCCTCCAGCTGGTACAGAGGCATGGATAAAGCCAGGTCGTCAAGAGCAACAGAAAAGTTTTCTGCTCTTCCTGGGAATTAGTACAGCATCTTGGCCGCTCTCTCCACCCCTGCTCTGAACATGGCTTTCTCCAGGGAACACATGTTCAGATGCCAATGAGAGTTTCTCATGTAAGAGAGCTTCAGGAGAGCGAGGTGAAGAGTGGACAAGGAATGGGAATCTGTAGTAGTCTGCAGTATCAAATATCTCCCTAAACAGCAGGAGATCTTACATTAGGGGATTTTGAATATCAAGATGTAGAGACTGCTAACACTCAACGATTTTGATTGCTGTGTATTGGCACAGAATGATAGAGTCCATTACTTTTTTAAAAATTCCCAAGATAGGCCGGGCACGGTGGCTTACGCCTGTAATCCCAGCACTTTGGGAGGCCGAGGTGGGCGGATCACCTGAGGTCAGGAGTTCAAGACCAGCCTGACCAACATGGAGAAACACCATCTCTACTAAAAATACAAAATTAGCCGGGTGTGGTGGCACATGCCTATAATCCCAGCTACTAGGGAGGCTGAGGCAGGAGAATCACTTGAACCTGGGAGGCGGAGGTTGCGGTGAGCCGAGATCGTGCCACTGCACTCCAGCCTGGGCAACAAGAGTGAAACTCCATCTCACACACACAAAGAAAAATTCCCAATATAGACAATATGCACTTGTCTTTCACATTACTGTGTAACCTAAAAATTTGGAATTGGCATATTACCAAAAAGATAGACTAGTTTATTATAATTTAGAGGAGTTGATGAAGTAAGGTGATTTTGCCCAGCAATTCAATGCTCTTTTCTTATGCTTTATGTAGAGACACGTGAAACCTAAGAATGCTCAGGACAGTCAGTGATTTTCAAAAGTCAGTGGCATCCGTATCATCTGGGAGCTTGCTTGAAATGCAAATTATTGGGGCCCATCCAAACCTATGGAACCAGCAATCTGTGTTTTAACAAGTCTTTCACGAAATTCTGACCCTTGTCCAATTTAAGAACTCTACAAATTCAATCCTCTGCCTCGCATGGCTAAATGAGACATTCATAACATGATTTTGGAGAGAAGCACAATTGGTCCCATATTATTATTATTAGGTAGCTTTCCTGACTATCTCAGCCTGAGTTCACATAGACTTCCTTCTTCACTTACTGAATGTCATCTGTGTGTCTCAATCATTGAATTGATCACATCCCATCGTAATCTTTCTCTTACGTGTCTGTGAGCTGATAAAAGAATGAACCATATGTTATTCAGCTTTGTGTCACCAGCACCTAGCATAGTGCCTGGGTCACAGTTATTATGCAATAATTGAATGATTAGGCAAGGTTCAGGGTCCTTGGACTCCTCATTTTGGCTCAGTTATTTCATGTTTTTGAATTTCAATTTCCTCATCTGTAAAATGAGCCAGGGTGTGCTTTCTGGGGTGTCCTCAAAGTTCCAGAATTCCATAATTTCAATTAATTAATTACTTTAATCAGTTTGCTTTTTCTTTACTGGCTAGGCCTAGAGAATTTTATCTGTATTCTTTTCAATTAAAAACTCAAAACAACACAGCTTTCTGATGGGGAAAACAAACATGCAGATTAAGAGAAAATATTTTGGAAGTGCCTGGAAACCCCAGACAACATCACAAGCAAAACAGCGCTTATTAAATATTTGTTGAATGAATGAAGGAGGCACTCAAGAAGCTTGAAATATCAGTTATTTCTTGTGGGAACACTTGCTGTGAAGTGAAGATAGCTGCTCCTAATCGCAAACAAAGCTAATAAAACAACAGCATTCATTAGCCAGGAAGTGAACAGGCTCTTCTTGGCGTTCACTGATTATAGTCTGAAAATCATCCCCCGTCTCACCTGCCAAGCACTACTTCTATTTTTCTCTCCTCCAAACCTATCTCTTTCTCCACCTTATTTTTAAAAACTCAATGTATGAAGTTAACTAAGAAATTAAAAAATAATGACTTCCCTGACAGATGTCTGACTGGCAGACAAAACTCTTCCAACCTATAAAAATGTGATAGATACAACCAAGAAGAATATGACATACTTTGTAATAGTATGATTCCCTCCTTGTTAAGTATTTAGGTACTAACTGAATTATCTGATAAACTGATTTTGTACAATTGATTAACATTATATATCCACTCAACTCTTGCAGAGAAATACGTTATAATCAAACTTGTATCGCTTCTGTTACTGATATAAGAAAGCTAACTAATTTAAAAGTTTTAATTTAAGCTCCATGTTAAGAGGAACAGGAGAAATTGAGAGTTATTAAACCAAGAGGATAGTGAAAGTAAAAAAAGTTCTTCTTTCCCCCACTTTCCCCTATGCTAACGATGCGATGCACAGAATTGATGGTTAAAGAGACTTAATTGCTGGCTAGGCTGCCAACCTTATACTAATATTATCAGTTTAGGGGAGTTACACCTGGCACCACTGTATTTCTTGCTGAGGCAAGATTTTCAGTCTAGATCTGGATCTTTACTTGGGGTTCAATTGCTCTGGAGACACCCAAAGAAGGATCCTGTAAACTTAGACCTAACTGGCATTTCTGTTCAATACTTGAAGCAGTGCCTCTCTGATTCCACCACTTCCCATCCTAGCTTGTACTCTGCTATTCTTCTCATGTATTTTGTGAGACATGAACAGGACTGGCTATATGGTTGGTGGGGCCCAGTGTAAAATGAAAATGTTGGGCCCCTCATTCAAAAATTGTCAAGAGCTTCAAGACAGCAACTGCAGAGCCAACCAAGCAGCCCTTCTCAGTGCTGGGCCCTGTGCGACTGTGCAGGTCCCAGACCCAGGAAGCTGGCCCTGTGTATGTTATCGTGAGGCAGGGCCCCCGAGAGCCTCCCATCCCATGACGGCTAGTGCGGTCCAGTAATTTTTTTGTTCATGCTTCCAGTAAAATTTCATTAGAAGAAAGGGCAGGGTGGGGTGGAGTTCAAAATTTCTAGCCTGATTTCCTCATTTAACAGATGTTACAACTAAGGTACAGTGAGGTTAGTGATTCATACAAAGTTGCACAAGTAATTTCTGGAAGAGCTGTATGTAGGATTTATGTATCCTGACTCTTCACCCACTGCTCTTTCTACTGCACCATAATGACTCAACATGAGAGAAAGAGGCAAGAAAAGAGAGAACCTCATCTTTTTAGTTTTTCATCATGCCTGACTTGGTACCATTTGAACAGGCCCTACATACTGAAACGATCACAATGACATTATAAGCAATTCTAAATAGCAACATTATTACACCATACAATGAATATGGGGGGAAGTCAGTTAAAATGCCCACTTCAGAGTGTATGTGTGTGTGTGTGTGTGTTTGTATATGTGTGTGTAGAAAATTTTTACTTTTTTTCTTTTTTTTTTTTAAATGTCCCCATTCCTCTGAATCCTAGACACTTGTTTTATTCTTACATTTTTTTTTTTAACTGGGTAATCCAGAGCTGGGTCTAGTGGGGCAAAGAGAACACATAAAAGTTTTTCAAATTCTCTGTTCAAGATGCTTATTTAAAATTTCCATTTAATATTTAAGGATTGTATTTCCTAATTTGACTGTTTCTAATTTGTAATCAAGTTTCTAAAGGCGCTCAATAAAGAATAACTTTCCATAGCACCTTGCAAAGGTGAATTTTTATTAGGTATTATTTTAACATCTGTTAAAATAGCAGGTATTAGTTATTAGTTAGCAGATATTAGATATTTTGTGGTTATAGTAAACAAGAAATGCCTCAAGCTTAACTTTGGACTAGAAACCAAAAAAGAACTTTATTCCCGGTTCATTTTGCTTTCCCATTTCACATATTACTCGTTATTTTCCTCCCATGCTTAATTATATCCTCCTACATGTGTTCCACTTCTTCAGACTAAATGAAACTGTGTCATCCCCTGATAATAACCCATCCCTTACAGACCTTTTCCACAGGGCCATTCCTGCTTTCATTTGTTATGACTCACAGAACAAAGAGGAAGGGTCAACAAACTCCTTAATTCACGCTACTGCTTCCAATCAATGTTCCTGTTTCGTCAACTCACTCATCATTTATTTCTTTGTTTATTTATTCATTAATTCAACAAATACCCTGGTTATGAACCATTAACACTGTATAAACCACTGCATCCTCTGAGAGGGATTATGGAGAAGAGCAGACCTAACCTCTACCCTCAAATTGTTTCCACTCTGTAGCTGTAATGGTTTGAAGTCGAAGTCGAAAGTCATCCATTTTCACCGTCATGTTTTAGGACATTGCCTGTATACTGCAAGCAAAATGACGCCTGTCCCATGATTACATTTCCCACAGGATGCCATTGCATTCTGGGAAACTTCATCACTTAATAGATAGTCCATGCAGAACCTGGCTTCACAGTGCTTAGGCTTTCTCTAATCCAGCAACATGGATGGCCACACTTGCTCCTGGGCTAACCCTGGGACAAGAACCAGAACCGCGAACTTTCGCTCTCTGATTTCTACTTTCTCCCCTTGCCTATCATCCAGTTTCTCATTCCCTTGAAACGTGTACTTCAATGTGACAATCAGGCCCTGAAAAGTTTCCTAGTCCCTTTTACCCATTCTGATTTTATTTACCTCAGTTCACCTTGGAACTTGAAATCATCACTTCCATCTCTGTCCCTTACACTTGTATCATTCTTACCCTGCTGAACTACGATCCAGTCCAATTTCTGGAGTATCAAACGTATCTTAAAAAAATCTTAAATAATAGTATAGTCTTGTTGCAGACTATGTTTTCAAAATGGGATATTCCTTCCTAATAATTGAATCTCCACGCATTGTCCACAGCAATTATTCTACATGTCCATGTCTCAAGATTCCAACTGTATTCCTATTCCCTTACTGCTGACTGATAGTCTCTTTTTCCTATTGACTTCAAAGAGTGCAACCCATACAGTGTGTATTCCTTGGATCATCTTAAATTGACTACATTCTCTCCTATCATCATTCTGTCTTCTTCTTCTGATCTTACTGCTAAAAAATAAACATTATTGTGGCTATCATCTAAAATTATTCTCTTACAACTCGTTTGATAACCCACTCCATCTTTCACCCAGTCTCCTTTTACATTTCAGCCTTTCTCTCTTTCTCTCTTGTGCACAGAGGCATACCCAGCAAGTCTTTGTCTTGAAGAAAGTCTTCCCTGAAATTTGCAATTTCTTTAAGGCACCTCTCTTGTCCTATCTCCAATATTTGACCCTATACTGTCAGAAACCCTCTACAATACTGAACACTTTGCATTTGAACTTACATAGCTTGCTGTATTTCAAATAAAACGTCTTAATCCAGATGATATTATAATCAATAATAATGGCTAGAAATGATAGCGCATTTATTATGCGCTAACGTTGCACTAAATATTTTACATGCATTTCGTATTCGTCTACCACTGTTTTATTCACCCGGATGAATGTAGGTCCTTAATGACAGTGACTCTTCTTTTCTCACTGTATCTTTTGTGATGACTAACAAAATGCCTTGCACTTAGTAGGGTCCCAATAAGTGACCATTGAGTTGAATAACTAATGAGGCTATAATTATTTATTTGTAAATTTTCTCTTCTTGTCATTATGATTTTTTTTTATCAACACCCCTAAAATTTTATGTTGCTTAGTGGAAGGAACTCACCCTTCTATTTCCTTAAAGTTTCCTCAAGCCTCAGTTCAAATTCTACATACAACAAACACTCTGAATGTATGTATTTTAGTGGTTGTTAACAATGGGCAAATGCTTCGTTTTTGTTTATTGGTTGTTATCCAGGGTAAGAAGAAAAAAATATATATGATTTTTCTCCACTTCCATGAGAACAGCTTTTTAGATTCCACATATGAGTGAGGTCAAGTGATATTTATGTTTCTGTGCTTGGCTTATTTCACTCAGCATAATGTCCTCCAGGTTTATCCATGTTGCTGCAAATGACATGATTTCATTATTTTTTATGGCTAAATAGTATTCCATTGGGTATATATACCATTCATTATCCATTCATCTGTTGATGGACATTTAGGCTGATTCCAGAAGATGAGGAGAGTAGGGGGAAGGGTGAACAATGAGAGATTTCTCAATGGGTACAAAACTACAGTTAGATAGGAGAAATAGTTATGTTGGTCTATTATGTGACTGGAGCTCACAAAAATGTAGTGCATATTTCAGAATAGCTAGAACGGGGGTTCTCGAATGTCCTTATCACAAAGAAATGATAAATGTTTAAGGAGATGGATATGCTAATCACCTTGATTTGATCATTAATTTATACATGTATCAAAACATCATGTTGCACCTCACGAATATTAATATGTAAAATTGTTATGTGTCAATAATAAATTTTTAAAAAGAATACGATTCCTGATGTGAGTCAGTTGTCAAAGAAAGGAAAAGTCTGACAGCTTTCATCATTATTATACGTAATCATTATAAATACTACTAAATCCTCCTCCTACACAGTTAAAGAAGGGATGCTACATAAAAATGAAATCAGATATAAAACGAAACTAGTTCTTAACCTTCATATTTTAGCCTCAAATGCCAGAGTACTGAAAATAATGTGTCCTACAACTTGTCTGTGTAGTTTTCCAGAATGTCAAAAGAACTTAAATGTCAAAGCCTCTCAAAATTGGTTAGTTCTTTCATTACAAATTTGTTAAAATTGTATTTTTGTTTCCTAGAGAAAAAGTTAAGGAGGAACCAGTATGAATGGAGAAAACCGTTTACGATGTATTCATTTCTTAATGAACAAAAATAGTTTGAAGTTGGCCAGGCCTGGTGGCTCATGCCTGTAATCCCAGCACTTTGGGAGGCTGAGGCGGGGGGACACCTGAGGTCAGGAGTTCAAGATCAGCCTGGCCAACATGACAAAACCCCATCTCTACTAAAAGTACAAAAATTAGCCGGGCGTGGTGGCGCATGCCTGTAATCCCAGCTACTCAGGAGGCTGAGGCAGGAGAATTGCTTGAACCCAGGAGGCGGAGGTTGCAGTGAGCCGAAATTGCACCATTGCACTCCAGCCCGGGCAAAAAGAGCGAGACTCCATCTCAAAAAAAAACAAACAAACAAAAAAAAAAAAAAACTGGCAAAACAAAACAGGGTGAGCATCTAGTCTATGTTAGTTGTTGTACTGGGTGCTTTAAAAATGGCATGCCATGAGAATGACACAATGGACTTTGGGGAAATGGTGGGAGGGTGATGAGGGAAAAAAAACTACACATTGGGCACGGTGTACACTGCTTGGGTGATGGGTGCGCCAAAACCTCAGAAATCACTACTAAAGAGCTTATTCATGTAACCAAACATCACCTGTTCCCCAAAACCTATTGAAATAAAAAAAGAAAGAAAATAAAAATAAAGTTAAAAAATAAATAAATAAAAATGTCATGCCATTTAATCCCTACAGCGAGGCCTTGTACATAAGGAATCATGATTTCCACTTTACCGATGTAGAAATGAAGGCTTATCAATTACACACTCAAGTTAATGTAACTAGTAATTGGTAGAGATAAAATTCAAGTGTAGGTAATTGGTCTCTAGAATCTGGAGCCTCCCAAAACAATTGCCTCTCATATGTGAAATAATTTATGTATTATTCTTAGAATACTGGAAACAAGTTTGACTATAGTTAGAGTCTATAAAGTTAGTTCTTAGACAAGAAATTTATTGTGTTGTGTAAGATTAAGAACTGATGCCTAAATTGGCCTTGCCCAGTTTCTGGATGTAAGGTACCTCTTCCCCCTCTTAGCAAAGGAAGCGCAGATGCAGGTGGTTATTAATAGCCCTTTATAACTAGAGGTACTAGATTGTCTGAGTAAATATAACTTTCACACATTCAAAGAGTAAAACATCAGGGCCCTATTTGGATATTGATATGCACGTGGAACTGCATTAATGCTAATGATCACCATGCACCTAAGATAGCTCCTTGTTACTACTAGCACGTAGGCAAACTCATGTGTATAATGCTTCCAAGTTTTTCCATTTCTCTACTCTTCTTAGAAAATGGTTCATTCACACACTTAAAAATTTTACCTAATAATTTCATTTTGAATTTAAATCCTATTAATATCTGAAAGTTGTAAGGCTCTTTGTTAGAAGATATTCTTTATCTTACGTGTGAAAGCATTACAATTTTGTTCCTTTTTTAAAAAAAAATAAAAACTGGTGAACTTATGCAATGTGGAAAGTTATTAATATAAATCCAGGTTTGCACTGTTTTATGTGTTATAGATCAATTTTGCCATTCAGTTAATCTAACTTTGTTGTTAAAAAAAAAATGTAGTGATACTCTAGGCTATTCTTCTTTGCCTTTAACAAGGCAAAATCCTTCAGGGACTTAGATCCTAGTTTCACTCTCTGAAGATACTTAGTCTCCTCCACAGAGAATGTTTTCCCCTACTGTGGCTTCCTTTATCAGAATCCATTTCTTCTCCACCAAATATTCATTCATTGATTCATTCATTCATTTCACCAGTTGTAATATCTGCCATGTGTGCTCCCTGCTATAACTGGGCTTGTTGAGGCAAATGGAATAGTCCTTTCCTTAGGGCAAACATTTTTTTAGTCACTTACTAATATCGACATATACATTCTGATTATTACTATTTTTGAGATAGGGTCTTGCTCTGTCACCCAGGCTGGAGTGCAGTGGATTATGGCTCACTGTAGCCTCCAACTCCTGGACTGAAGCCATCCTCCAGCCTCGACCTCCTGAGTAGCTGAGATTATGGGCCAGACCACCACAACTGGCTTCATTATTTATTTAATTACCTCAGTAATTATTTATTTAATTACTGGCTAGAGAACAAGGTCAGCCAATGAGGTAGATACCAGGATGATCCACCCTCATTTTTCAGCTGAAGAAACCTCTTGTCTTCATGAAATTGACTACATGAAATAAGGGCAAACAATATAAGGAGGAACGATGAAACATGCTGAAGTTAGCCACATACACCTTAGGGTTGTGGGATTTCAGAACCCCACAAGGGTTCTGAAGAGATTGCTGTCGTTTGGGGTGTTCAGAGATGACCACATTAAGGAAATGGGATGTGACCTGGACTTGAAGAACAGAAGGATGGGGAGAATTTGGATGACTGGAAGAAAGGAGCTGGGGGATTAGGGTCTGAAGGGATAGCATGGGCAGAGATTCAGAGGTTGGTATAAATGTGGTTCTTTTTTGTTGTCACCAAGGGATTTGGTCTGACAAGAATGGAGCGCCATTGGTATACAATGGATGGCACTTATTATCGGACTGAAGAACGTCCTGTAGGTGCTAAGGGGCAATTCAGGATTCTAAGAAGGGAATTTGGACATTGAGGAAACTGTTATAGGAAAGATGTGGGCTGACTAAATAGAGGAGGACATGAGGGACAGAGAACAGTCAAATATAACTAAGGCTTTCAAGTTTGGATGACTGGAATAATGGAGAGATGAAAATGTCTGGTTGGTTACTTCAGGCCAGGGCTCAAAAATATGTTAACCTGAAAATACAAAAGGGAAGTCCAAGTGCTGTTTGTCTCCCATTCACTCGCTCATTTCTTCAGACACACTTTGTGATGGAGACCATTCCAGGATCCATGGCGATAAAGCAGCCCAAACCCCACAGGCTCATTGGAGGGAGACATTCTAGTGTGGAATGGCTAGAGAAGAAATTCAGCCAATAGCAGGAGCTTGATGAGCAAGACTTGGGAGCAGAGGAAGATAGTCTTTTAGATGCAATTTCAACCAGAAAAGATGTATTATTTCTAAAACCACATGTATTTAGCATCCAAAGAGATGTCAGGGAGAAGAAGTGGTAAACTTGTAGCTAGGAAGAAAGAATATGTACTTATTCTCTCAAAGGGCAGAGTTGTAAGCTGAAGATCACTAGTAAATTTCTAATTAACTAAGTCCAGTGTATTTGCTCAGCTTTCTTTCAAGGGTAGTTATTTGAAGCTTTTAACTGAGTTCTCACCTTTACGAAATTCTCTTTCTTTGCTTCTGAATGTTTAATTTTTTTCTCTTGTGTCATAATCTTTTTTTTTTTTTTTCAAAAGAAAATCTTTGTTGATTTTCCTCCCCACCCACCAGGAGCCCTGGCCTCAGCTTTCTACTTGCTTCAACAAATACACTCAGTTGTAAATCTCATAGTCCTGTGTGATCTTGAACATGATCTGAGTATATTTGCATAACTCTCAAATCTCTATCTCCAGCCCTGACTTCTTGGGTTTCAATTCCTCATTTCCAAAGGACATTCCTATATTCCCATATCTATATATCTTTTATATGAAAATACTTGTGTCTAAAGGCTGGTTCAAGATCTTCTCAAAATTAGATCCTTCTTCTGTAAATCTAGAAATAGCAAGTACTGCTATATGCTAAACATGCAGATCTGTAATTTTGAAGCCATTTTGCCTCCATCATTCAGAGAATCAATTGTTTGTTAAGAAGTCATGTTGCTAATTTCATCACTGTCTCCACCTTAGGACAAGATTTTTATCACTTCACACCTGGATAACTACAGTGACTTCCAGTTGGTCTCTCAGAGTCTGGTTTTCACCCACAGAAATCATGGTAGCATAACATGACCCAGACTCTTCTGTCTGGTGCTTTATATTCTCCACCATCTGGCTTTAACTTAAATGTCCAGCTTTATTTCCCAGAAATTGCCTCCTAGGACTCTCTGATTCAGCCAAAACCCTTTACTCACTATCCTCTGAATAGATGTCACACTTTCCCTTCTTGGCTCACAGACTCCTCTTCAATTAGAAAGCCCTTCCTCACTCCTCCATGACTATTGAAAATGTATTTAGTTCGAATTCTACCTCCTTCACAAAACCTGATGTGAATGCCCATTCCATAGACTCTCTCTCACTTCTGTAATTCAAATAATTATAGGCCAGGCGCAGTGGCACATGCCTGTAATCCCGGCACTTCGGGAGGCCGAGGTGGGAGGATCACCTGAGGTCATGAGTTCGAGACCAGCCTGGCCAACATGGTGAAACCCCGTCTCTACTAGAAATACAAAAATTAGCCGGGCATGGTGGTGCATGCCTGAAATCCCAGCTACTAGGGAGGCTGAGGCAGGAGAATCGCTTGAACCTGGGAGGGAGAGGTTGCAGTGAGCCGAGATTGCACCACTGCACTCCAGCCTGGGTGACAAAGTGACACTCTTGTCTCAAACAAAACAAAACAAATCAAAACAAAACAACAAAAAACTAAATAATTATGGCTCCTACCATTTGTTGCAGGTTTATCACATATTTTCACTTATTCTTCATCATTATTTTTTCAGGTGTATTAGTCTCATCTTCCAAATGAAATGATAACCATGTTTTAGTCTTCCTGACCCATCTTCTACCACATATGCACACAGCAGTGACTATATAGAACACACTCAATGAACACTTATTGATTTATTTATTGACTGAATACATATGAACTACAAGGTACAGCAGGTATTATGAGAAAAAAGGGGTGTTTAAAGCCTGGTGAAAAGACATTCAAGATTGATTTTTAAACCTTCTGAATAGAAGCAATTTTTATTAACCTCACTTTAAACTCTAGGTGTATACAACAGCTAGTAAATTGTTACTTTGTGGGGTAAATTTTCTTTTGTGACACTTTAAGTGCTTATAAGGGTAATCAAAATCAGCTTTTATTTATGCTGGAGGCTGAAATTTAACATTTATCTTTAAAAGGAACTTGAAGCCATTTTTGATCCCATGAGTTGGGACATTATAGAAAGTATCTAATTCATGATATCGCTTTATTTTTGTTTTAATATGAAGTTATTTTATCTTGTTTCTATTTTTACATGGTGATAATACCCATGCAACATAAAATATTAAAACTAGAAGTATTATTATCAAGAAACTAGTTGAATCTATTCGTTTTGCAGTTGTGGGAACTGAGTTCCAAAGAGGAAAACTGACTTGCCCAAGGGTTACAATCTAGTCATTGTCAGGGCTGTGTGTAAAAATTAGGATTCTTGGTGCTTGATTCTATACTTTTTCTAGAATCATCTATTGTACAGCTTTATTTTTATACCTTAAATTGACATTATTCGAATGAATAGAATGACAATAGGTTTTTATTATTTCTCTTATTTTATACCCAGGAAAGTGAATTCATGCTTTTAAGTTATTAATAAGCACATTTTAAACAGAAACACAACATGAGCAGTCTATCATGATGTGTATCAACATAAGGGTGATGTAAAATCATCTTAGTTTTTTACATTTCATAAAACTTCAAGTTATTTTTCATGGATGAGTTGAGTAGAAGTAGTTACATTTTTTTTTTGTTTTATTTTGGAAGATAATTTTATGGTGGACACTATGCTAATATTTGTGATGGTAGTGTAGAGGACTGTTTGCAACACCCCTCCCCTCCACAAAATAAATAGTCTCATCTAGGAAAAGAGAGATGGAACATGTAAATTTGTGTTGGTGATGTAAGAATGTGAGAGAAGATGCCATTCAGTGTTTGGGAAAAAACATGGAATATCACAGTTGTCCTGAAACTCCATTCTATTGCAGTAGCAGAGTAAAACAAAACACCACTCAGTATCTTCCCACTGTAATTTTTTAGCTTCATTAAAAATAAGTAAACTTGTCAATTCTTCTCTAAAACTGCCTGGAAAAAATTATTTAAAAGGGCTCAAGGATGCAGAGAATTACAAGTAAAGAAAGGATTAAAAGGAACTGAGATGATTAATTATTGAGAGAAATGTTCGTGGAAATTTGTCTTTCTGAAAAAAAAATTTTACAGTCTAAATTACACCTTATCATTTGAATTCTCAACGACTGATATCAAGTGGTGGCTAGCAGAGGTATATCATATCCTAATTTTAAAATAATTTTTTGCAGTCTTTTAAAATAAAAGTTACTACTAGAAATTCACCCAACTCATGCACTGAAAGGATCCATTCATAGAGTTCAGTATTCTTGAGCGTCACAGGTAAATTAGGGGTGTGAGAATGAAAGATGTATTTGCTTAGTAAAATACCAAAATGTAGGAAATTTTGATTTGAAACAAAACCAGAGACCTGTAAAGTTGACTACTTGTTAAGTCATGGAGATACAAATGGATGTGTCACTGTTTCCTTCCCTGCCTCACTAAACCCACATGACACAGGACAAATGTGATCTGAGCGTGGCCAACATAACTCACCTGTACCATTGTTAATTGCGGTCTGGATCGTGGCTTCTGGCCCCATAGTGTCATAGTCTTCCTTCATTTCTTCTGTGGGGGAAAATTATCTTTAGCATTTGAGAATTGTAGAAAGGCTTACTATACTAAGCATGCCAAGCACAGGAACAAGGAAGATTCTTTTAAAGGAAACAGAGAAAAGGCTTGTTGTAGACCTCTAAACAATAGCTTTGTTCAGGCAATTGAATGAATCCAATAGTGCTAGCTGCACAAGAACTTATTTACTTTAAGCATTACTGCAAGCTGTGAAAAACAGAAGTGCTTATTTGGAGCAAATGAAGGGCTTTTCTTCTGGTGGCAGTTCTAGTGACAAATGGGGGAAAGATATTATTTTTTCAATAAGAGTCAAAAGCAACTAAGTATTTGCACTCATGAAGAGGCATGCTGGCTGCTATGCCTCTGGAAACTCTGGATGCTTAGTGGCAAGTCAGAATTTCACATTTTGTTTTCATGCTTTTCTTTCCCCTTGGGGTGGCTATAATGGTGCTAATCTATGCAAGCATACTTTTTGAAAACCTAATTCTACATATCAAAACTTGGAATGCCCAGTTTGTACAACAAATATCCCAGAAGTAACAACAATACCTGTTTCACTGCTTGATACAAACTTCTAAAACGTACCTGCCTTATTCCTATCCCAACTACTCCATAAATGTCTTGTCCTCATCATGATTTATGCCCCTGTAGGTAATCATAATCATTTTCTGGGGAAACATATATAACAACAGCTCAGTGTTCTGATGAAGGTGAATATATATAATGTTGAAGTTAAAAATTCATAAACAATTAAAGGTCATTGTCAAAAACTGCAATATTTTAAAATAAGGGAGAATTTGAAAAATAGGGGCACTCTCAAATTTTCTGCCTACCAGATTGTAGAGGACGTAGGAGGACAGAGCAGGATAGCTGATAGTTAAAAATCTCTTAAGTAAATTAAACGTGAAGTTTAAAAATTTTTATTTTTACTATGACAATACTAATGAGACCAAATATGCTCCAGGATGAATATCTCTCTGTGATAATCATTTTACTTAAAACAAGGGAAACTTTGTAACTAGGACTCTACGAATTTCCAAATCTGTCCTGGTCATTCTTTGCTTATCATATTCTAATCTACTTTCATGAAAGAACAGGTTCTAGAAAATGTTACAGCAAAAATAAAATAAAATATATTTTACAAGCAGTGCAGCAAATCTCTTTATGGAATCAGAACTGAAAAATCATGATCCTCTTAAGGTAAAATACACAGATATACCTGGATGCTAATTTAATCTCACTCCTCATAATAATCAGATAATTTGAATGATATTTGTTTAAGCTGTACAACCACTTAAATTCATTCCTGAGCAAGGAATTTTCCTTTATTTAAAAAATATTTTCAGAGAGACATTTTACATTAAACATTTAGAAGTTTAATATATAGCAATATTGTATTGTCAATTGTAATCATTGATCATTTGAAAGTCTCCCTCATCTGATATTTTTATCAGTCTCTGCAAGGAATCATATTAAGGTATTTCTGAGAAGTTCAGGGCTAGATATAAATATAGCTTTTGTGTCTTTCTTCCTTGCTCATCTCATGTGATTTCGGGTAGCCAAGAGTCACAAGAATCATAAGTTTTCCATCTGAGAGCACATCAAGTCACTGAGGGGAAAACAGTTAACAGCATTTTTTTTTTTTTTGCATAATAGTGGTAATGTTCAAGATTTCTGCTGCACTTCCTTCCTCATTGTCATTTTCTTATGAAAAAGTAAAGAGAAGTTACAGTAGTTGGTTGCTTCCCAAATTAATAAATGCTGGGTATACAAATGTGTAGTCAGCACATTGTGTAAATTGCATTTTGTAGTATTATTTAGTTATAACCCTTTTTATCCAAAGACTGTGCAACTGAGATCTTTCAGAGACATTGGATGAGATGGTGTCACTTTTACCTAGAAAGTACTTTGCTTTGATTCACTGAGCATCAATCTTTTTCTTTTTTGAATATCAAGCTCAATGTGTGAAAATGAAACACTACTAAGCCTTTTCAGGTATGTATTTGAAATGTTATGTATATGCCTATTTAATTAAGTTTCAAGTGAATCCATATTCAGAAGGACATAATGATACACAGTTTAGGAATATTGCCTCCGAATTAAAGGCAATCTGGCTGTCTTTCTGCCTTATGTCTAACCTTAAACATTCTCTAAGACACCTCTGACTCAGCATACTGTGTCTAAAACCACATAGTATATTTATTTTTAAAACACTTGTAAAAGTTTGCGTCTTCCAGTCACCCCTGGGATGAAGATTTGTAAAAATAAAGAGCACTTTCTTCCTTAAGATGAAGAATCCTTGAATAAGCAGAAAGAGGCCAAGATGCAGGTGATTTATTTAAGTCTGTGTCAATGATAATGATGTCATGGTTTCCAGCACACTGTGTCCACCCCATTGTGGGACGAAAGAATGTCAAGGACAATTCCAAACACAAAACTTTGATTGTGCTGGAACCGGAAAGGCACAGTAAGAACTCCACTGCGCTCTTCAGTTCAAAACCTGCATCCTGCAGACAAACTCCAGAAAGCATGGGAGAAAGAGCAAAGGAGAGAGGGCTTATCTCAGAGTAAAGCTATGTGCTGAGGTATGACTGTAGACAGCCAGGCACCGGGGATAAAACACTACTAAATAAAACTGCACCAGAATTAGAGTTATTGTCTATATTGTGTGTTTTGAACAATAAATAAGAAAAATATTTTATCAGAAGAAAAATGTGTTATCTCAGAGTCAGGATAAACAATGAGTAGCTTTTTAAGACCAATTTCTTTTCATTAGACATCAAGGCACCACATCAGAGCACTTTTAGAACAATAAAAAAAAAGAACAATAAATCATTAGTAATCATTAGAACTAGACAGGTAATAGCCGGGTAAGTTTCTTGGTCCAAATAGCCAAATGAGATTAGGGATTTACATTTTATTTAATTATTGTGACTCCAGAATGCTGGTTTATTTACCATAAAGGTAAGAGCAAAGAACAGCCTGTTCACTTGTATCACAGGCACCATTAACTACAGGTGATAACAGGGTCTGCAATGCATTCATATGGATTACTGTATATTAAAACGTTTAGAATTATGATCCATGACCAACACAAAAAGCTGCCACAATCACAAACTACTACAGCTTGACATTGCTGTTTGGCTGTTTTTCAACTATTGATATTAAATTTTTTAAATTAAACTTTTTTAAAAGAGGTTTGGGGCTGTACATTTGTTACATTGTTATTAATTATTCTTCTAAGGGTGGAAATTCTAGTAATTGGTCCTTACCCTTGATTTCTAGATATTAAAATTTAAAGCATCAGAACATTCATTCTTATAGCCCTGCATATCTAGTTCATTAACAAATATGAATAGCTAACACCAGCTCATTTAAATAGTATGTCTTACATGAGTTCTCGCCACACTCTGTTTCTGTCACACTGCTCCCAAGAATCATTGGCTCTTATTATACATGTAAATGGCTATCATAAAAATAAAAATTTCATTTAAGATTGTTAATGACTTCTGCAGCAGTCAGACTTCCTTTAATGATCATCCTCTGCCCCTAATTAAACGTATTTATCTTTCAAGCATCTTTGGCTGAGTTCTCCCTCATAGTTGAAAATCTAAAACCTTAAGGCTTAATGGATATAACGATAAATGTTTATGTGTGGGATTGCTGAGATTCGAGAAACCTTCACCGAAAGCAAAATTGGAAACGGAAAGAGTAGAAAACTTGGCACAGTATGTTAGGAAAACGAAAAACAAATACACTGTACTCAAATTGCCATCAGTCTTTTTTCTTTTTCTTTCATCTCACATTTAATTTTCTTTCGTAGTGGAAGTGCTTTTATTATCCTCCTTCCAGTATACCAAACAATTATTCTGCCTATGTTTGATGGTTTATAGTCTGCGACATCACAACAGCATATAGGTAGACTCCTTCCCAGCCACTTCACCTATTTATAAAAATGCTTTTGTTGCTTATGTTGTCAAAGAAAAAACAAGGTGGGGTAAACAATGATAACTCTCAGTGGGTCCTGGGAATAGAGATGAAGGTGACATGAGGTCTGAATTAGAGAGGTCATTTAAACAAATTTTCCAGGCCACTTTACCATGTAAAGATGAGCAGAGAAAGTTCACAGGAATAAGATTTCTTGTATTTTGTTAAACATTTCATACCTTAGCGATTCTCCGTCATAAGTGAATTTTAGACCAAGACATTTCCCGTTTGCACAGTGTTGTCGGAAGTTTTAGTTTGAATATAATTTACCTTAGTTTTATTATAGTTGGCCTGGGACCATTTTTACTTCCCTTGAGAGTCCCACCAAACAGCAGGAATCATTATCAAGTACTTAGCTGATAAATAATAAGAAAGCTACCTGACCAGGTAAAAGTGTGAAATCACATTCACACTTAACAAAAGGGAATCATTAAACGATTGAATTCCAATAGGAGGTGTCAGACAGACACTGAAGCTACATTAAACTGACAGTTATTTGGTTTGAAATGCTACATAATTTCCACACAAAATATTTTTATATACATATATATGTTGTGAGTTTTTACATTTGCTTCCATTTCCTATCATGAAAGTATAGATCTTGATCATGTTACATAATTTGCACATTGTAAATGTGGTGCAAATACCTCATGTTATGTGTTGAAAGTGTGGTTCATGTTTGACTTGCATCAAAACTGAAATATAATCCCTTCCTAAGATGTAACTGCCGCAATGTGATAACATTACTATCACTTCATAATCTGTCACCAGCTTTGGTATCTCTATTCTGCAAGGGCTCAATGGAAAGAAATATTTTAATTATTTGGTTGTGGGCGATCTGCTAGGTGGAACAGATTAGTTGAAGATGTGAAGATGGTACAGGAAGAGGCCAAGTGATTTTAGACACTTACCTGGACCATCTACAGAGGCTTGTAGAATCTCGTTGTTGTGCCAGGGGTGTTCCACTCCACCCTCCCTTATTTCATCTTCCTCTTCCTCTCTTGGCAACAGAGCTTGGCTCACGTGTGGGGAGGACTCATGGTTGGGCACACTAGCTGGACTCGTCTCCTGGTCCAGAGGGTTGGCAATACCGTCATCCTCAGCAATATGAAGCTTGTCTTCCTCATCTGTTTCAGAACCTGTGTCCACTACATTGTCATAGTTCACCACTGCAGAAGAAGCACAAAACACACTCTCTAAACACTCTGTTGAGAAACATCAGCCACCCCTAATTGTTTAGTTAAATGGAAAATAATTAATATTTTCATAACTGAATTACTCAACCATGTCAGGAAAATATAATTAATATCCTTCAGGTTTTAGCATTTTTATTCTTTTTCAATTATAGCTGGGTGCTCTTTCTGATTTTAAACAATTTTTTCCTAAAAATGATGGGAAATTCTAAAAAGCAACAGAAACATAGACACACAAACTATGCCTATACTGCATATGTAAAGAGACGTATTGCAATATGTACTTTCGATACTCCACAAAAACTTATAAAATAGATCTACAATAGACAATTTTATTAGCTTAGAGACATGAAGTATTTACTATATAATGTTGTACTATAAATACGAGATGACTTCACTATATTAACTGTGGTTTTTTCCCTAGAAACAGTAGACACACACACACACGTCCATCTATTTACCCAAATACACAAACACATACACAAACCTGCTCCATCTGAATTTTCACTCTTTCTTCTATGTCAACCGTCATGTGCTAAGGCCATTTATATCCTAATCTTTTAAGCAGAAAATGAGGAAAAGCCATATCTTCTGGGCCATTAATACTACTATTGAGATGTCTTCATAGTGTCATAATTACAGAAGATTTCAAAGTGACACAGGCAAGACCAACACAAATGTTAAAATAACTCACAAGAACCGGCGGGCTGCTTTTGCAGCCCTCAGTCCCAGCAATGCTCAGTAGCTTTTCTTAAAATAGACAGCCTGTAAATAAGGTCTGTGAACTCAATTGAAGGTGGCTGTTTCTGAATTAGTCAGCCCTCACAGGCTCTCGGCCTACATGCTAGTACATAAATTGTCCACTTTACCACCAGACAAGAAAGATTAGAGTAATAAACACGGGGCATTAGCTCAGCTAGAGAAACACACCAGCCGTTACGCACACACAGGATTGCCAAGAACTGTTAACCCAACTCTCCAGAAACACACACAAAAAAACAAGTTAGAACCATGACATCATGGGAACAAGAGGGAGAGAGAAAGGGGGAAAAAAGGCTGTGGAAAAAAAAAGCGCAAACAATTTTCAGGTTCATTTTGATTTCTCTGCGCCTAATAAAGCAATCCTCCGCTAAGTTATCAACTGAGCTATCTCAAGTGGCTCTTGCCAGCTATCGGATTATACAAAAGTGGCAGAAAAGGAGGAAAAAAATGAAAAGGATTGTGTGTCAGGTTCATAATGCTTTTGGAGAATTCTGGAAACATGTCTAGTTACAAATTTTAGTCAGTCATATCTGTTTGCTTTGACAGGTTCCCAGGGAGTAAAAAAGGAACAAAAAGAGAGAGATTTTTTTTTTTTGTCATGTGAAGCTGGGGACAAAAAGATTACACCGTGCATATCTGCTCATAATATGATCTTTGTATAATCCGCGGGTCTGCACTTGCCTTCCGAACAACTGCACAACAGGTGCAAATTAAAATGAAAACGGCAGCGGAGCCGGGCAAACAGAATCTGCTGACCTGGTTTGAATACCAATTGACGGGGGAAACAAAACCTTTTCAAGAGGTGTGACCACAAGGGCTTAGGCAAGTTCAGGCTGGGTAATGCCCTCAGATCTACAAAAAGAGAGATATTCTAACATCTCTGCTCTAGCTGTGTGGTCCAGATATACCTTAGTACAATCAATAATGTGCTTCTTTTTTTTTTTCCTGGTGACTGAGATTTAACTATTTCTTAGCAACAAGCAGAAGATTCTTTACAAATTTTCAGAATGCTGGGGGTAGGGGGGAGTGGGAATGGGGGGGCTACAACAAAAGCTCCTAAGGCCTGGGAAGCTTTCAACCCACCTCCTAAAAACTGATCTCTGGGCACAGGAGGAATAAAGAAAGGTCCAGAAGGAGTGAATAAAATTATCTAAGGCTGGACAGGCATTAAAAGGCCTTTATCCTGGAAAAAAAAAAAAAAAAACCCATGCCTTTTAAGGTCTTTTTCTGCATGGACCACAATATCCCGTGTGACACGTGAGTGTTCCTGCAGCAATACAATTGAAATATTTTCTTGTGGAAAAAAAAGAGAGATAAATGATTTATGAACAGCCCTTGAGGAGTCCCAAATATCAGAACAATCTAAACAAGCAATGAAGTCATGTCTCACCATATAGGGTCAGGAGTACAGCATCCATCACCTTCACAGGACAACAATACTTCACAACCTTTAGGGTTTGTGCTCACAAATAGTAGTAAATACTTTTAAACTAAATAAATAACTGCTGTCAAATTCACTTACAGAGGCAGTATGCCATCTTTTCTAGCGCTGTGTTAACTAGGATATGCATTTCCATATGCCATTATGCTGGTGTGCCACTCTCCCAACCCCTTTTTAAATCCAGGTACAACAATTCATAACATAGTTTTTATATCTGAATTCAAATGAGACAATCTCATTCTGCTCTTTCTGGTTGACCATCTGACAATCAAAATTAAATGCACTGAGATGGACTTTGCACTTCCTGATCCCTACCCCATGCCCCGACTTCTAAATCCCAGGATTTTCCTTTAAAATGTTCCCTCACGTCTAGTCAGTGGATTTGCCTAGTACAAGTACTGTGGAAATTTTCACCATAAAATATTCTTACTCTAGAATGGCCAATACTTGATGGGTTTAGCCGCACTTACATTATGAAATAAAAATAAGCTCATTTTCCCATTTGGACCTGTTTTGATGTTTGCCCACCATCATCACCACTGGCAGAAGAGATCTTAATAATGTAGCTTTGTCTCTGCAAAGAAGAGATTCAATTTTGTATAATAACCAACGTATACTGGTTTTAAATGAGGTTCATTGGGCAGAATATATTAGGCCAGTGTCTGTTTTTGAACTTATGATATATATCTTTTTATTCAGCATTTAAAAGCCTGGAAGTTCCCATATAACGTAGCAAAGTTCTATTCAGTCCTTACAGGTCAAATAAGCCACCCTTTGCATGAGTCTCAGCAAAATTTTAGACATGTATTGGAGCTACATGGCTGGCACAAAAACAGACAGTTACTTCAAAACCACAAAGAAGTGGGAGCCCAAAGAATTCCTTTCTGCAATTCAATAAACAAGAGGAAAGATGTACTGTTTGCTGGCTCAAAATAGACACTAATTTTACATCTGTCTCTGAGGCATAGCAAAAAGCCAACTAAAGAGCAGTAATAAATGTCCAAAAACAGCATCAGTATCCAAAACTCTCACAGTAGTCTTCAGAGGAATTAATTACAATTCTGTGTAACAGTTGCATTGGCAAAATGCACCTATAATTATATACAGGTACTGTACTGTATTACAGGGAAATTTGCCATGTGATACTATGTTTACATGATAATTGATGGATAAGATAAAACTATTTGCATATGAAGGGCATAAGAATTACTGGCATGGCTCACCATTTTATGTGGAATCATATTAAAGTTTCATTTTCTCTAAAACTGTATGTATAATATGGGGTTACCAAAGGGCATAAAGCTGATACTTAAATTTGCTTTATAGCAAATGGGCCTGGAAAGATATATCTGCATATGCATTACTAAAAGCCTATATTTAAAAGGCTTTATAGTTTATCTATAATAAGCATTATTTTCACTTCACCAGATTACATTATATTAAATCCTCTCTACTCTTCCTTCCAAGTAAACAATACTCTAAATTATATCACTATGCCAATTAATTTTACAGTCATATGCAAAACAAATAATGGTTTCTCTTCCTTGCCTATACATATAACTTTTATTTTCAGATTTTTGTGTTCTGGTGACATGTAATAGAATAGTAGCAAAATTTGACATTTTTATAACGTCCATACCTGCTGGAAAATTTCAGCATTTGCAAAAATGGCCTATCATAGCATTTAAACATTGCTGATAATTAGCTTGACATTTGAAATAGCAGAACTGTTGTTTTGAAGATGCCCTATACAATGTTACCTTACTAACCCCTTTTCCTACTTATATGCTTTCTCTACATTATTCTGTCAGTTACAGTACAAATAAGATATCAGTTGCTAATGTATTAACATACAGAAGAACTGATGTGAAGGGGCAATACTTCGTCTTCACCAGAAGCAGAAACTCTATTGATGTAAAGGAAAATTACATATGCAGCTTATAGACAGCTAATTGTTAATAAGGCAGCCAATAATGATTTCCTATAACTCTACTCAAGCGTGCCAATAAATCGTTCAATGCCATCATCAAACATTTATTAAATACCCACAATGTGGCAAATCCAGAAGATAGAAGGAAGTGCCATTCTCACCTCAGGAAGCTTACAATTTATTTGGAGAAATATAATCACAAAATTGTAGTTCCAGAAGGACACTTGAAGTCAACTCTTTGACAAAGGAGGTAATACAGGCACAGTGAGGTCAAATGGCTTGTCAAAGGCCGTACAGCTAGTTGGTAGCAAAGCCGGTACCAGAAAGCATGTCTTTAGGTGTACAACAGCCAAACAAAAACATACATGATAATACAAATTCCCAGTGCAGAATGCAATCTAAGTTTAAACCCCACATGACCAGAGTAAGGGATGGAAATCCCTGGGACTTTTTGGGATTTTCATGCCACAAAAATGGAGATTGTTGCTTAATTTTAAATTGTTTTGATGATTGTTACTTTCATGGATCCCCTTAATTTGAGTTATAGAAGCCTACCAATTTGATCAATTACCAGAATCTAACAATACACCCATGTTTCCTGCAATAGTTTGGAAACAATAGAGATAAAGAGGCAGTTCACAGAATTATGAGCTTGAAGACTTGCCTTGTCCCAGAACCAACGTGTAACCAGCTGTGTGGCCTTGGCCTATCATCCAAGGAAGCTTGGTAGAAATGAGTAAAAATCATGATAATGGTTCCCTGTTTATGAGGTTGTCATAGGAGCCTACAAAGTTGTATGTGCAATGGCACTGTGTGATGTATAAAACAGTAACATGGAAATGCAAGGTGATGTAACTGGTATAATCACTGAAATACCATTGTTTCAGTGTCTGTTGTCTTTTCTCTGGTGCTGCAATGTGTGGTGGCTACGAGGAAAAAGGAAGATTTGAACTTGTGCCAGTCACAATTTTTGTGTTGGCCCTTCACTTAGAAATTTATTTGCAAATGCTTCCTCAAGTAGGAAGGCCATGATGAGAGAGACCATGCCTAATCCTTCAGCTTAGACGTGACACAGACATGTAACTTCATTTTAAAAATGTCTCTGCTGGTAATATGACTTCAAATTTAAAATAAGTCCTTTTGGCCAGGTATGGTGGCTCACACCTGTAATCCCAACACTTTGGGAGGCCAAGCAGGGAGAATTTCTTGAGGTCAGGAGTTTGTGATCAGCCTGGGCAAGACCCCATCTCTACAAGAAATAAAAAATCAGTCAGGTATGGTGTTGCATGCCAATAGTCCCAGTCACTCAGGAGGTTGAGGTAGGAGGATTGTTTGAGTTTGGGAGGTCGAGGCTGTAGTGAGCTATGATCACACCACTGCACTCCAGCCTGGGCAACAGAATGAGACCCTGTCTTTAAAAAAAAAAAAAAAAAAGAAGTGTTTTGGAATTTTATGAATCATTTGGTTTCCTAAATCTCTTATGCTTACATGCTTAGAGATCATTTATGTTTGAGCCAGTGGATTAAAGGCCTTGTGGGCCTGCTTTCTTACAACGTCTTTACATGTGGCAAGTGTCGGGAAGACCTTCTAAGACTTTTCTCCTGAACCTTAGCCTTTATTCCTCCTTGTCTTCCCCACAAAATTTCAATTTCCAAGTATGTGCTACTGAGGAGAGGATGCAGCTATTTTTCAATAATTTTTGTCCAGTGACTCTTGCCCATCCGGGGGGATTTATCATTGACTTTTTTTTTTTTTTTAAATCACAGTTACCTTGTTACCTCCGTGCTTGGGTGGGTAAAGATCATAGGACTAAATGCAAGGTTCAATTTCTTATTTAATAATGGAGGCCTAGTGACAAATACGTATTACAAGGCAAAGACAAACTCAAACAGAGATTTTCTTCTGAATTTGAACATCTGTCACTGAAATGCATGAATCTTGATTTCTCCATTTAAAAATGGGAATAACTTTATTACTTGGGGATGCAAGATGAATGAATTAATGCCAGTTAGAAGGGACCATGCCAATTTGAAATATTCAGATGGAATGTGCTATCCAATACAAAATATTGTTATAAATAATTATTGTTAACATACTATAGTCAGCCTTTATACAAACTAGCTTGGCCACTTTAATTTTTTATCCCAGGAACATTCGAAGGCATTAAACCTGCATTATAAATTAATGAGTTGTAAAATGTCAGCTGATAAAACAAAAGCAGTTCTCAGTATAGGGATAAAAATGTTTCCATTTCAGATTAGCTATGTAAAAAAATACGCATATTAAATAAAATGAGAGCAGAATTTCTGCAATGCCATGGTTGCAGTGGAGAGAGGCCAGTTCTGAGGCTCCTCCAACTTCCTGGTTACAGGAGCATCTTGGGAAGATGGCAGCCACTCATTCCCTCTGGAAATATTAGCAGGTTCCCTGGTACCTGGGAGAGGTTTTCAAATTTCAGTATGCTGGTGATTTTCAAAAAGGTTCAAATTTCCATACATTTGTTGAGGTTCTGGATAGGCTCCAACATGCAGGTAATAACATCTTAGATATGTAATTTTCCCCTCCAAACCTCTTCCTTAATATCAAAAATATAAACATAATGGCAAATAAGAATAAAAGCAAGGACCCTCCCTTTGTCAAGCTATCCTAAAAACAGATATTGGTCGAAGAATTTGTAACAGTAAATTCACTTTCTTTCAAGAAGACACGGTATTTCTAGGTCACAGTGTTCTCAGTGAAATTTATGATTTCCCAAAGACTTGACATCTGTTTATTTTTTTACAAAAGTAAACATATTCGGGTTTTCCTGTATATCTAGGACTCATAATGGTTTTGATTACCTTACTTAACTCCTACCAAAGGAAACTAGTCATTGTATTGATGTTTCAAACATACAGGCCCCTGACCGCTCCTTTCATTTAGTGAGTTTTTGTAGTTATTTCTATCCTTTAGAAATTTTTTCAGCTTCACTTTCTGTCAACATCTATAATATGCTTACAATCCAAGGACATAATACTTAGCTATATTCCAGAACACAAGTCAATAATGCCCTTTGATGGCTAAAAAGTCTAACAGCACCTTCATCAGCAAGCCTAGCATGATGGCATGCTGAGGGAAGACCCCCAAAACAACTGCTATACACAAATAATTTCATATATATTGTACATCTACTGCCAATAATTCCACAGACTTTCATAAATACATCAAGTGACTATATGTCTTCCAACAATATGTCAAAAGGAAAAAAAGATTTTAGAAGACTCTCTCTAATTATTGGAATCCACGATCATTCAACAACTTGCTCTATACAAACCATCAGAAGGAAAGTATTAAGGGGCTTTACAGAAAAAATATGCTCACTATCATGCCTGAAGGATATTCAAGAGGAATGTGAAAATAACTGTAATTTATTTAGGACCTGGAAGTATGAAAAAATAAGCTTCTGAGCCATCAAAATTGTTTTGGTATTTTTTTTTATCTGACATGAGGGCAGACCTTGTCTAGCTTTAAGTTTTATAGTAATAAGACCTTGGAAATAAAACCTTGAATAAACGGAATATAAAGAAAGGGGAAATGTGTCCTTGTGTAAATAGATATTGTGTCTATCACCTTCCTCTGAAAAGGTTACACAACTTTCAAAGCCCATAAAAGGTGTAAAGTCAGTAACTGCCAGAGTACGTTGGAATGTGCTGTAAAAAATAAACACGAAATAGAAAAACTATAAAAATTTTCTCTGATTGTTTTAGTTGCCCCACCCTAAACCTTGTCTGTAACTGTACATTTTTCTAAGATACAGATATAACTGAAATACACTTTTAGCTATTGTAGTCCCACGAAATTAAACCACCTCCCCTCAAAAACCTTAGCATGAACCCATACCTTCATCTGAAGTAGCAACAGCTTGTCTCTTAAAGAAATATTTTTCTTGCAAAAGGCATTCCATGCTTCCATGAAAAAGGAGACTGGAGTTCTAGCCTATCCATAAAAATAATTGCTTTCAAATATTTGTCCATCCAACAGACCTATTTGGTGACTTTCTTGGTTTTCTGCAGTTTACTGAAGTCAATAATAATTCTTGAGTCTAAGGAATGTTACATGGAGGTACCGTAATGCTTCTACTCCATCAGCTGAAATAATGGGAAAGAACAGCTCTTCCAGAGGAAAACAATTACCTTCAAGGTAGCAAGAGGTGTGGCTCATCTTAATAGATCTTAGTGGATGGGGAGAAGTGAAATCATTGAGGGGGAAATAGAGTCATAGGTCTTTAGAAGAGATGTGGCTCGAAGTAGGGGGGCTGGAGATCTGCTTGTGGTAGAGGTTTCATCAGTAGCTTTCTCCTGATCGCTGTGGCTTAAAGTATGGGTCGTTACAAACTTGATCACATGCAAAAAATTCTAATCTCAGTCAATCTTGCCTCTTACCCCAAAGAAATGCCTGAAAGGGGATCATGCAATGGAGTCCAATTCTTCATACTGCCCTGACCAGATTTATCTTTGAAATCTCAGTTTTAAGCTACATCTAATACCTGAGAAAGGCATGTAAAGTTCACTTCCCTACCCAAAGGATTTCTCTTAAGGCTTAGCAGTAGATTCAGGTCTATTGGGCTAATGACATTATTTACTGTGTAGTATGTTTAAAACTGCAGCCACCCTACTCACATAGCAACACCCTGACTAGGACCCTGTTTTCAAAACAGCATCATTGCACCTCACAATTGACAAAACCAGACAACGGTGAAAGGGACAGTGACATGGCAGACACAAAAGCTCAACACATTATGGCCACTCTAAACAGAGTACAAAAGGAAGGGAGTCAGTGATGTGTAAACCAAACAATGTGAGGGGAAAAATATTGAATAATTTCTGTCATGAGGCACTGACTACAGCCAGGCTCTAATTGAATTAAACTCCCATTTATTTGCTCAGGCCTAAACAACAGGCTGGGAGGAAGAAAAAAAAAAAAAAAAAAAAACTTAAGGTTTGCTCAACTGTTCTGAGGTACCACCTTTCCTCACCCCTGTATAAATCCACCATCTGTGCTCACAAGCACACATGTTCCCTCTCTCAACAAATGCATGGAGACCCTACCAGGCACAGAAGCCAAAAAAGCACAAGGCACACAAAAGCTCCCCAGGCTGCCCCAGGTCTAAAGGAGCAAAAGGGGTAGAAAAGATCTTTTGCTCATTGCCCAGGTGAGACGGCCTGGTGCGTCCTCTCAGCCTCGACACGCGTCAAGTAAAAGAAAGGTTAAAATTAGAAAATTCAATTTATTTGATAATTTCCCAGAATAATTAGAGTTAATATGGGTTAATTAATATGCAAATCTCTCAGCAGATGTTCTGCAGCAGGGCCTGTGTGAGAAAACAGCCTTTGCTTTCTCCTACGTGATTTTGGCTGTCAGTTATTGGGTATAATTACTGTAACTAACCGAATACACACAAAACCTTTGGAATATAAAATTGTTACAGTTCTAGCTCTGCACAAGCTGCTACTTTTCTGCAATAAAAGCGAACAATTTCTTTCAGAAAATAGGAGCCTTTTTGTTCCTTTCTTGATTTAAAAAGAAGAAATGAATCAAGTAAATGGCTTATCTTTTTCTATGCATAATTAGGTCAGTATTATATGAACATTCCAATGAGCAGTGGTACAAACGTACATATAAAATGATAGCTCAAACCACCTGCAAAATCACATAAAATTGTTTTATTCAGAATCTTTTTTTTCCTTCCCCACCAGAACTTTGAAATGCTGAATGTCTTTCTTTCCAACATTGCCAACATTTTCTAAATTCAAAAGGATCCTACAACTTTATTAATTTTTTTTCTCTTCAAAGACACAAAAGAATAAAGTGGCTAAATGTTTTTAAAGGTACATAAAAGGGTGGACTCTTTTGTAAAAGAACTTGTGTGGAGTTTTAAACTTTTAAAAATGCTTGCACTTTGAATGGCTATTTATTTACATGTTTGGGCTGTTCACCAGCCTATGAAATGCACAAAGGTTCAGGGAGGCTGGAACTCAGACTCATGAGAGATAGGCTGCTTTGCATATGTCAAACTCATGAATACTTCTAAATGTTGTAATCATTTACTTAAGAGACGCTTGGTATATTTCTATACTTTGTACAATTGATCATTTTATTGAAACTGCTTTATCCTCATGTATTTGTAAACTTCTAAAGGTATACTCAAAGGCAGTGGAGAAATTTTAGGCCTGCTCTATACATTTACATTATTTGTTAAATACTTAAATCCATTTTATGGAATTATCCCCGACCAATTGTTCAACCTCAGTACCCAAAAGCAGTATATATATATATATATATATATATATATATTTTTTTTTTTTTTTTTTTTTTTTTTTAACTAGTGGTTAACTTTTGTAAAGTCCAGTAATCACCAAGCATCTATGAAATAAAATTATTCATCCCATTTTTTGGCCAGAACAATTGAGTCACACGCATGGTGTGCCTTGTCCAAATTTTCTACTTTAGTACAGGGAGGGGCAGGAGTGGGTGGCTGGGGGGACCCTTTACCCTTTAAATTTTTAGTTGACTAATTTAGTGTCAAGTCTCATTTTACAAAAGGATCCTGAGGCTTATATTGGTGGTGTAAATTGCCAACAAGGTCAATGAACTAGAGAAAATAATGTCACGATTCAGAGTAAGAGAAAGAAAAATGGATGGATTGATGTCTTAACCTTCAGAATGTTCAAATAATTGGGGGTTGGATGACATGGCATATGGTTAAGTCTTCTTGCAGCTGATGTCACCCAGACTTTCCCCTTTTTTTGCCACCCAAACTGCATGTAAACAAACAGTCCAACAACAAGTGTCCTCAAGCAGGGCGCTCCATGCTTGGAGCAATCTAGTTTGCCGCCACCAGACACGGCTCTGCTTGGACACCACAGCGCCTAACTCCAGACTTGCCCCTAAAGTCGTTCAATGATCACCCTCTTTTCCTTCCTTCTCTTCCTTTAGCTGCACGAGAGAGAGAGAGAGAGAGAGAGAGAGAGAGAGAGAGAGAGAGAACCTCATGCCTCCCTAGTATGCTTCAACTGCTTCTCCCCATGCCTCAATTCCCCTTCCCTGCCGCCTTCTGTCATTTTCAGGTAGTGGAATTTGCTGACCCTGGCCGCTTGGCGGCCTAAGCCTGGACGTGGCAAAAGTCAGATAGTCACAGTGCACTATTGAGTTCATCTGTGTCACAAAAGGGCTTTTGCTTTAGATCTCTAGTTTGGTTCAGTAATTTCCATGGACTTCCTTCCTTCACTGAAAAGAGAGGCCAAATCATATGCTTCTTCCTCATTTTACCTCAAGGAACAGGTTACACAAGTTAAACAATCACACCAGCATTAATTTTCTAAAAAAAAAAAAAAAAAAGGAGTAAATTTTCACTTTCTGAGGTGGCAAGGAAAATTCCTCAAACAAAGAGACCACTCTTTTACTGTAAACAAATGTACTTACAATTTTTTTACTCCCTAATTCTTTGGGAAATAATTTTTTAAGTCCTTCCTAAGTGTTTTAGACTAAGCCACCTTTTTCTCTGTTAGCTTCTTTTTACTCATCAAGATTATCTGTTGGCAGACAGCTGCATGATCTATGACCCACACCCTAAAAAAAGGGAGCAGTTTGAAAGTGACTATAAATTTTATTCATTCTCTGGCCAAAGTTATCTTATGAAGTATTGATAACACATTATCTTACAGAGCAGAATAATACTGCACAAAATGATACTAAGAGGTTTAAGACTCCTGCCTTACTGAAAGTTATTATTCAGAAGTTTACATAGTCTGCAAACACTTATCAGAAGCCCTGGGCAGAAAGAACAGAACCTCCGTTTCATTAAGATACAGTGGAATGTTAGAGGTTTAGGACAGATAAAGGCCAATTCTCAAAAGTTCAAAATCTTCCTTGATGATAAACAACGACATAAATTAAAATGAATGTCTCTTGGAGGTGAAGACCTGAATATGGGTATTCATACATGACTATAAAGTTTTACCAAGACCTGCCTTTCTCAATTTATTATGGTGGAAAATCACAGAATCACTGTACAAATCACTTTTGTATTGAGCCCAAAGAGGTCACACTGTTGCATATATGCTCTTTTAGTGAAGAAATTCCTGATACAAGCAATATCAAAATATTCAGTTAAATTATTTAAAAAATTTAGTTTCATATCATCAGAACTACCCAGAATCTATATAAGTTCATGAATATGCTTTACATAATGTAACTCACTAACATAGGAAAAGAAAGCTATGTACTGTTAGGCTCACTCAATTTTCAAGCCAAGGAACATATTTATTGTTAAGACTTATAAGAATAAGAAATCACTCTTCCCTTATTCTTCAAATATTTTTTGCAAAATAAATTAATCAATACCTACAGGAACACCTAATTTACTATTTTTGAAAGAGGTAAAATAAAGATTTAAGTGATGAGTTTATTCAAAATTTCAAATTGCCTGACAAGTTAAGATATAGTAAACATATATTTTATGAAGACATCTTGATTTTTTTTGGTGAATAATTTACCTTTCCTTACAAAGCATGTATATTTTAATAGAAAGACACTTTAGGTATATTTTTCTCAATACTATTTTTGAACTTACAACACTGATATCAGTTTAAGTTTTTTTAAAAAATCTGCACTCGCCTTTTTTCTGCACATACATTGCGTGGCACAGAAAGCATTTTGGAGTATTGTAACATAGTTGCACTTAGAAATAATGGCAAAATTCTCATGTGCTGTCCCATTTTTACTGGACTTTTCAAAGAGTAAAATTTCATTATTTTTCAATGATATTTAATTTTCACATGACACTTTCTGAAATGTTAATGCAGTCCCTTATCAATGTAGATATTTTTCAAGGCCTGTGTTTTTATTCAAACTTAGATCCTTGGGGAAAAGTAGGCTAATGACAATAGGGAAATAAATATTACAGTTTCAAAAAATAGATCATTGAAATAAGAGTTAAAAAAGTATTTTAAAGAATATAATTTAAAAATAAATCTTAAGAGAAAGAATTATCTTAAAGGGAAGATATATGGCATTTCAAAATGTTTAGAAATGTTTTTAGCTAAAGAATCCACAAAGTTTTTTAGCTAAAGGGCCATATGCCCTATTTTAATAAAAAGGAATCCATAAAAAATAAATTACTTTCACTAAGTATATGCAAATTCCAATGTAAGCAATCAGTGCAAAATTAATTTTGCCAGAACTGATTAAAAGCATTAATAAATCTATATGCAGTATTGCTTCAATCTGATACTGTAAATTTATTATACTTCCTGTAAGATTAATTATAATGCTACAATAACATATTACGATGCCAGAACATATTACTGTACATTCTGTTAATAACAGTTAAGCGTAACCTGAGTTGTAATTATGGACTGTAACAAAGTAATTTGATAGTGATTGTTTTCTTTAACTGTTAATGTTAGATGGGAAATAAAATGTGTATGTGCTTGTGTTCATTATATTTTTCTCTTTAATACAATACCTAATTAAAATCATGAAACACCACAGTATTTGTTCTCACAGATTCCTTTCACTTTTCGCTCCCCACCAAAACTGTCAGGCTGCCTGAGATAAGGGAAGGTTAAAAACAAAGTTATTCAAGGTTGTTGTGCATTCTTGTCCTGAACGAAAGCAAGCTTTCTTGAAAATGTATTTAAAAAAAAAAAAACAGTTTGTACTGTTCAGGACTCATCATTTGAGGTCTTCAGATGACATAGCAATTTTTCCATGTTATTCACACATCCCACAAATAAGTAACAAAATGCTTGAGAGATCATGGTGACAGCAGCCATTCCAGGTAGCAAAACAAAGACGCTGAAAATCCTTTATGAAGAGCAAAAGAGGCCAAACAGAAACTTTTCTTTTTGGTAGCTTCATCCAAACTTTCTATTGTCTTTGCACTCTAACATTCTGACTGCATCTACCACAATACTAAGCTCATCTGATCTGATAGTCGTAGAAACATAAGACTTTGATGACATCTATAACTTATGGTCCTTTCCATTTTGTTGTCCTTTTTCGAAAGCTGAAGCAGCTACGTATGCACATAACTTTAAGAACACAAAATCTGAGGCCCTTTAGAATACTATACACAAACTTCGAGTGGCAAACAGGTTTCTGGAGAAGTACCAAAAGAAATTATTCAAGTTAAGCTTTTTTTGGATATATTCCTGATTAAGCCTGAACACAATGAAAAAAACAGTGTGAAGCACAATTCTGAATGGCATCTGTGCTTGGAGCTTCAGAGGACTGCTGACTGTCATAAAACTCTGTGTGTCACCAGCTGGGGGTCGGGGATTTAAAGATGTCAGGGGGACCTGGCCTCTCAGATGGGATAAAGATCAGAAGGAAAGCTGTCCAGGTGATGCCCAGGCCCCTGAACAGGCCTATCTGCACTTTCATTCAAATGATAATGAGTGTGTAAATCACATCTGTTCCCCCTCTGTGCCTGTATCCTTGTCACCTGAATAGCATCCCCACCAGGTATCAAATGAGCTACAGGAAATAGGTTTTCTTTTTATCCAACTTCACTCTGAAATGAGAAAATGAGCACCCTGACAAGGAAGCCCACAAACCAACAGGGATTCCAAGCCCAGATTTCATCATAATAAAGAATGTTTAATTGTTAGATGAAGGTTCAGTCGGTGAGGGGGAACACCAAGGTTTTGATACAAAGGTAGCTCTCTGGCTCCTCACTGCCCAATTCTTGAATAGCCTCAGAAAAGTAGCCTGATAATTAGTAGTCACTGACTTTTAATGATCTGATCTCATTCTAATGGCACAACCCCAAAATCTCAGGCAAGACCAGCAATTCTCACCTCTCTGTGTTCTTTTAAGTATGGAAACAAGGGCTGATGAGATGGAAGCACTCCTGGAAGCCTGACAGTAAGTAATATTTTGCAATTAAAACATTTGCAAATATTTAATTGTCTAAAACAACAATGGCAAGATGGAGAAGACCCCTTATTTATACTTTCATATGTAAAGGAAATTTTGATCTAAGAATGTATTTCTCCTCTGGGTTCATCATCCCCTGCTTCTATCATTTCTTTCCTCCTCTTTTTTTTTTTTTTTTTTTTTTGATCAGAGGCATGAAAGTGAGTAAGTGTGAATGCTTAGGTACCTGGGGTATGGAAAGGTGGTAATTAGCACAGCGGGATAATTGATGTGTAGATTGCAGCATGAACAAATGCTTTGACTTGTTTGTTCTTCTCACTCTTCCACATTCATTCTCTCTCTCTTCCTCTCACTCTCCCTCTCTCTCTCTTTGAAAACCCTGCCTAGCTAATGAACACCTTACCTGCTTAGTTAAGCTGATTACAGATACACATTTATCTAAAGGAAGCACCCTAGTCTCACAGAAGATGCTTAGGTGGTACCTTTTGCTCTCAGTTGCAAACCAAGAATGCCTTTCCTCCCTCCAGAGCTTCCATTTCACAACCCCTAACTGAGACGCAACAATACCACCCAACCACACACAAAATGACAGAAATGCACCCCTCATTTTTTGGGGGAAAATGGTGAAGATGATCGAAAATTTTAGAAATAGAAATCAGAATCAGAGAAAATTCCTAAAGAATTTTACCTGAACAGCAAATGCACTGTCATTTCAGGCAGTATTCCTAGGACTTTCCACTTTGGGGAATCTCAGAATTATAATTACTAGAAGCTCTGCTGTGTCAATGGTTTCAGTCTCAGACAGTTATTAAATTGAACTCTTTAGAAATAAATTGAAAACGTATCCATACTTTGGCTTTTCAGTCGCATTTGTTGCATCAGCCTTTCAGAAGAGGTAAGACATGTGGGGATACTCTACCTGCAGTGCCGTCTCCCTTCTTCTCTCTCCCCCTTCCTTCCTTCCTTCCCTGAACTTAAGTGCTCAAATTCTAACCTTCATAAGGCAGTTAAACTTGGGAATCCCTAGTTCAGAGTTAGCCCACCTATCTTAAAACATACCTAAATGCACTTGCACTGTGTGGGCAATAACATTTTCAAACATTCATATGATGCTTTCAGGAGACTCCATGCACCATCGTCTACTTCCCCAAATAGGCCATATGTTAGTAGTCAAAGGATATTGAATCATCCTTTCCCCTCTTTCCGTCCTTCCACATCCTTCCTTCCTCCCTTCTTTTCTCCCTCCCTTCCTTGCTTCCTCCCTCTATCCTTCCTTCCTTCTTTCCTTCCTTCCCTCCTTCTTCCCTCTCCACATCCCCTCTGCTCCCCTTTCTCAGCCTAGTAAGTGAGCAATTAAGTCACGTAGTCAATATGGAAAAGATACACCTTTCATCTTCAGGACTCCATTTTCACAAAACATGTTACATGTATATATTATCTTCAGCAAGGTCCAGGCTCTTTAGACCAATTATCTATCCAGTGCCTGGTGCTCTTTACTATGGGTATTCGTAGATCCCAGGCTATTTTTAATAGTCATTAATCAATCTACTCTCATTTTTTTTTCTTCTTTCAAAAACTTCCACATATGAGTTTGATGACTCATGGGCACCGTACCAAAGACTAACAATTGGCTGGACGCGGTGGCTCACACCTGTAATCCCAGCACTTTGGGAGGCTGAGGCAGGCGGATTACCTGAGGTCAGGAGTTCGAGACCAGCCTGGCCAACATGGTGAAACCCCATCTCTACCAAAAATTACAAAAATTAGCCGGGCATGGTGGCCTGCACCTGTAGTCCCAACTACTGGGGAGGCTGAGGTGGGAGAATTGCTTGAACCCAAGAGATGGAGGTTGCAGTGAGCTGAGATCGCGCCACGGCACTCCAGCCTGGGTGACAGAGTGAGACACTGTTTCAAAAAAAAAAAAAAAAAAGAATTAAGTTTAATAACTGTAAATTTCAGTCAACTGATTTTAAAGTTTTTAAAAAGTTGGAGCACTTTAGTACATACCAGTGATCATATTTCTTTAAATGACATATTCTAAGTTCTTCAGATCCCAGTTCTGTTTTACACGCAAGATTTCTCTGGCTGCTAAGTACTTGGTCGGTAATAGCCTTTACTGTATAAATAAGAGGGTTCTGACTGCACTGGCTTCCTCTGCTTTATGCAGTGGTAGCAATGGAAAAATGACTGGGGTAATCAATAAGTAGTTCATAAAAAAGTAGAGAAAATTTGCATAACTGGTTCTTCTTAGCTTACCCATAAAATGTATTATGATATTTCTCATATGTCTAACATGCCTATATATGTTCTTCCTTCCATCACTAGATTTTGTTGAGGGCCTACAAATATGCTCTTTATTATTTATTATTATCCCTTACCACATCCCCCAGTTACTCCCATCTTGTCCATTCATCACAACTACAGGAGAATTTTTGACTAGAAAACAACACATTTTCTCACAACTCTAAATTCTCCCAACTTATCTTCAATTAAAGATAAATTAATGAGCCATAAAAACTGTACCATGGTACTGGACTACCTAAACATGCTGAGGCCATTTCCCCTTTGAAGCATGATGGTCCCTAACTCGTAGCTGAGTAAGGGACTGCAGCTTCGCATGCCCTTCTGACGGGCCCATCTAGCCGCTTTCAGGGCCCAACTTCAAATAGGAAGTGCAAAGAGAGGAAACAACCTTGCCTAGAAGCTGGGGCAGCTCAGCCATGTGAATGCTCCTGCCTGATAGACATTTTATATTTCTGTAGGTTCTGGGATCAGGATGCTTCAATTTGAATCCAGCTGACTAACTTCCTAACTTGTGACTTTTGTTAAGTTATCTAACCTGCCTCCATGTCCTCCTTTATTAAGTGGAGGACAAGAATATCTATCCACTGGGTCAGTGGATGGTTGTGAAGGTTACATGTAAAGCACCTAGAGACCAGCTCCCAGAAAGTGCTTAGTAATAAATGCTAGGTATTATTATAATTATTAGCCAAGTCTAGGGACAGTTTTTTGGTGACAGTGAGTTCCGTATCATTCTTTCACATGCTAATTTTGTGACAATCCTATTGTGACTTACAGTGGTAAGATTTTATTTTTACTCCGTTTCTAAGTTGGATAAAGGGCAATGCAGGGCATTGAAAGGTCATGACATTTAAGCATGAAATATATAATTTAGGAGTTTGGGGGCACCTGCTGTGGAAAGGGGGCATCCCAGACACTAAACTAGGTTCCATGCTGCCACCCTATGAGGTAGGCAGCCGGACTCCATTTTACAGAAGAAAATGCTAAACGTTCAAGATGATAAAGGACTTACTGAAAGTTCACGCAGCTAAGTGGTGAAATTGAGTTTTCCACTTTTCATCTGTCTCACCTCAAAATGCAACATCTCTCTGAACGCTGCATCACACTTTTCAAACTGTGCATGCAAGGTACATGCTAAAAAGGGCCTTTATGGTTTTTGACATTTACGTTGCACACATTCAGAAGAGATAAAAATAGACTCCATGCTGCTGATATAATTACTAGAGGCTATAAAAGCCATGCAAAATCTGGAGAGGGGGCGTGGGAATAGTCAAGGAAAGAACATAAACAAGGGAGCAGTGACATAAACTAGGACTTCATGCCATCCTTAATTCCTTCACAGAGCTCCACACAGTCCTACAGCGTTCCACCATGTAAAATCAGGCCTTCATTTTGAACTTGGAAATCTCCCCACTCGCAGGCAGTGGCAATGCCAGCAAGCCACAGGTGGGCACCACATGAGCAGGTGAGAAATGCCACTAGTAAGGGGAGGTTGAGGATCTGGTGCCTCTAAAAGAGCACATCAATCCTAATTATCCTGCGTGGGTGTACCACTTATGTCGTACTTAGGTACTTATTTTTTTTGTCAGGCAGTTTAAGAGAGTTTTAGGCAAATGAACGTCCGTGCCTTGGAAATCCCTGAGAAGACGTGAAGCAGCCTCAGAAAGAGAAACTGGCTGAGCTTTCAGCCTGCGCACGCTGGGGCAAGGAAGCTGCACTACACTGAGCTGGCATAACTGCCCTTGGCCTGGCCGGCAGCATCTCGTCCTGCAAACTGAGAGAAACCTGAGAATGAACTTCTACACTGCACCTCAGAAGGGAGCAGGCGGGAGAGGAAGCCGGGTTGGGAAGTCAGAGTAGAATCTGAACACAGAAGACAGGGGGAGCTATTCAGGAAAATGTGCTTTGTTATTTCCTTCTGGCACCTTGCTCATTACCATTCTAATTTTTAAAATGCAAACTGAAACCCATACTAACTTTAACATCCTAAATGACAAACTAAAAGCAACACAGCTCCCCCTTCCACTCCAGTAACACCCCTCATCCCTAAAAAACAACAATGCTAACAAAACCCATGAACACCTATAACAAGTACAGCTTTAAAATCCAAATCCTTGCTTTTCTTGGCTTTTAGGTTGAAAGGTAGTGGAAAGTGGCTGAGTAAGACCCCGTCAGATTCAGTGCAAGGTGAAGACTGGTCTTGAAACTTTGTATCTTCCCTTCTTGATTAGAATGAAGGTAGATGCCTTGACTCAGAATTGGTGGCTGTTTTAAAAGCTGGCCTTGCTTTGGACCATTGTTGGGACTGTCTTCTTCAGCAAACAGTGATCATGAAACCAAATTCAGCTTTCTTCAGGAAAAGGACAAAAACTGGGGTGAGATGATTTGCTAGCGGTTACCAACTGAGTCGGGGCAGTGTAAATATTAAAACCTGCAGCCCTTAAGATGTCCAGCTTAGTACAGTATAGGACTCACACAACTCGGATTCAGAAAAGTTGCCAAAACTTTTAATGCTTTAAGAAAGAGGATGAGTGACTTTTGGGTGTTTCAGACATACAGCCTTTCTGATTAGCTATTTTAGATGGCGTGTAATAGACTTGAGTAGTAAGCTATGTTGTATTTATTGTATTAATTCCAGTGGTAGGTATACCTGGAATTAATACATTGTATTACCACTGGAATTGTATTACCACTGGAATTAATACAATAAATACAACATAGCTTAGTACTTAATAAATTGTATTAATTCCAGGTATACCACTGGATCTACTATGGAAAAGTGTTTGAGTGATGCCCACCTAATATAGAAGAACTTGTCATAGCTCTGATGCAGCGACAATTGACCACTTGCTTTTACATAAACACTAGGAAGAAAGGCATGGCATCAAGTGTTTTGAGAGCTGAATTACATCAATATTTCCTTTTCAGAAAATCTAAAATTATTTCAATGCACAAAAGGTACATACTGAATGTAATTATAACTCTTCAAAAAAATCAATCTCTTTCTCTTTTTAAACTTACATAAAAATAAATTATCTGACTATTTTACCTTTGGATTATTCTCTCTAATCAACACTCTGATTTAGAATAATGCAAGAAAGTAACGCCTTAGTGTCTTAGTACCATTTATTAATTCCAGGTATACCACTGGAATTAGTACAACAAACAAATACGAATTCTACTTTCCAATCTTTAAAATAAGAATCATGCAAAGAAGTGTGTGGCTTACAACTGCATGTTACTTATAGCAGCTCTGAGTATGGTGCTTTTTTTGTTTTGTTTTGTTTTTGAGCTGGAGTCTCACTCAGTCACCCAGGCTGGAGTGCAGTGGCATGACCTTGGTTCACTGCAACCTCCGCCTCCCGGGTTCAAGCAATTCTCCTGCCTCAGCTTCCCGAGTAGCTGGGATTACAGGCGCCCACCACCACGCCTGGTTAATTTTTGTATTCTTAGTAGAGATGGGGTTTCACCATGTGTTGGCCAGGCTGGTCTCAAACTCCTGACCTCAGGTGATCCGCCTGCCTTGGCCTCCCAAAGCGCTGGGATTACAGGCATGAGCCACTGTGACCAGCCTGGTTTATTTTTTTTAAAGTTAGCTCCTTCTCTAGGCAGTGCCCCTGGGTCTCCGGAGTGGACAAGTGATTTTAGAAACTGAGAGTGGGGGAGTCATAAAAAAGGAAGAGATTGGGAAAATACGGAGGGATAGAATATGTAAAAGAAAACACATTTAAATTTATTACTACACATGAGATCATATTTCTGGCACTTTGTAGAGGTCCTATAGAAGCTGTTAGTTCCCATATAGAAATACTAGAGTGAATAAATTGGTGTTAAATTTAAATCTACTTAGGAAGTAAAAGTCTATCTCCATTCCTGGTAAGATTCTCTTAGGTAAATCTGGAAAAGAGAGGTCCAGTGCAGAAAAGATTTTTCTAGTATTTCATCCACTGTTTTTTCGGTATAAATGAATTTGTGCTTAGGAAAATAAATATCCAGAAGGGACCTGCACATTGTATTGACTTAGCGTCTCTTAAATTGGTAAGTTAAAGGTGTTATTAGGCCTCATTAAGAAAAATTAGTATTTATTTTTCTTAGGTGTAGAAATGATTTGAAGGTGTACTAGGAAAACTTGGAAATTTTGGTTTTTCCATAGATGAATATTTACATTTTAAAACTTGGAAATCCTAAAGGATAAGCATCTTGAATGATGCAACTTCCCCTTCTGTGGTTCATTTGGGAAGCTAGCAATACTCTTACCTCCCATTGCAGTTTCAACAGTGACACCTGGAAACCTTTGTCCAATCTTTGTTATTTTGCTGTATTGCGAGAAAGTTTATATTCAAATAAGCCTTCTATTTAATTTGGAAAGAAGTTGTTGTCTTTTTGCAGAAACTTTTAACTCTTGGGTTTTCTATTTGTCCATATGGACACATCGGTACGCATGCCTATTACATATGCATTACATGTGCCTGGACCATATTTTACAAGGTCCATGAAGCTCATTTTGATTAATTTCTTTGTCAAGCTTTTTAAACATAACTATTTTTTTTCTCCAAATAACATCTTCCTATGTGTTTGATAGTTGTGGGAGAGATGAGGAAGTTATGAAGACTGCGTGGTCACCTCTCAGCAAACCCCCCTTTGACATATCTGGGGTCCACGGCTAGTTTCTAATGAGCTCCACTCACTCGTACTGTATCTTTGCTGACTAAAGCCTTTTAATGTTATTTATTCACAATCACCTCTGCATTTAGTCAGATTCAGAAACTTCAAATGCCACTTTGGACCTGATATTTTCTTGTGAAAAATGCCTAGACGGGTAGGAAATATGCTTTTGAATGTGCCACAAGTTTCCGATAACTTTTCTGTACCACATGCCACAAATCTGTATGATAATTCTCTCCTATACGCGGCTGAAGTAAGGGGGGAAGCTCTGACTTAATGCCAAGAAGAAGAGGGTGAACCAAGGAAAAGGAAAAAAAAAGTCAAGGGGTGCTTCTAAGGAGAGGAAACAAATAGTGATGCAGCACAGATATTATAGATAAAGTAAATACAGCATCACCACAAAAGGCTAAACACTTGTTAAACTGTCTGGTTTTAGAACATTTCAGCCATACAACATTATTCAACTACTCATCACTGTGAGAACAGGCAATCAGGAAAGCTAATTTCTTAATTAGCTCTGCTCCGGCGGTAATGATTGCAGATCGTGTCAACTAAAATCTGTTTGGATTTCTGTAAATTGGAGTCCGACAAGCCTGCAGTTCCGTCGCCAACCTGATAACTCTCACCCCCCTGTCTTTTGTTTTTCCTTCCAGCCTTTTTCCTGTCGCCATCTCGGTATTTAATCTGACACCGCCAGGCAGCGAGAAGGGCTTACTCTTCCCCTTAAAGAGAAAGAGAGAGAGGAGGAAAAGCAAAACATTTACGTGGGGACAGGGGGGCTGGCTACACAGGAAACCTGGTCCCAACCTAAACTACTGACAAAAGCCTTTAATCTTTCCCACATTCCTCAAGGCATTCTCCTTCTGTAATAAGACATATTCCTTTCAAGTAAATCCTGATAAGGGAATTCATTTTTTTTTACAGGAAATGTATATCCTTGTAAGTCTATCATCTTATTTAGTTTCTATATTATAGGTCCTAACTAATCCAAAACCATTTCCTTATCATCTGGCATGCTAACGGCGCAGTCATCAAAACAAACAATCTGTTAATACAACTAAGGTTAAGCAAAGCCAAGCAGTTCGTGCTATATTTAATACGCATACAACACAGCTTAGCTTTCTTAAACTGCTTGCTGGTCAGAAAGGACCAATTTGTTAGCTACCAAAGGATGTGAGTTGCCTCACAGACTCTGTGAAGCACTCAAGTCTGGATGAAGCACTAAAACATATATGCAAAAGTCCCCATTTGTCTGATCTGGACACTTGTGGCTACCATGAGGCCCACTTGGACCCAGGGCAGGTCTCTGATGATCAAATCATATTCTTTGTCTCCTTTCCCCTTACCTTCTTTTGCAGTGTTTCATCTCAAATAATTTTTCACTGACAGGATTTCAGAGTCAGAAAGTTTTAGCAAACACAAAGGTGGAAAAAGAAATCATTTTTATGCAGACTCATTAGCTTGGAGTCTAGCTTCACTGTCACTTTAAATAAATTAAAATGAGATTTAGAAAAACACAAAGGGCCTGGTCTGTAAATCATTCTATTAGTATGTCTGAGTGCACTTAGGTGATTACCTGATGTCTGTGTGATTAATACTAACCAGAGGTGTGGGTCAAACTCCGGCACCCCCTCACCCCTTTTGTGGCGACAAAGCAAGGAGGAAGGGCAATCAGTGTGGAACTCTAAGTTGACATCACTCAACAAAAAACAAAAGAAGTTTAGGGAGCACAGAACTGTTATTTTCAAAGAACTATTCTTTTTAATAGCTAATGAGAGAGAGGTCCAAAGGTATCTGCCATTTAGGGAATACAACTAAAGAATTTAGCAAAAGTATTGCTCATAATAGTGGTGACATTTAGACAAAAGTCTTGATGACAGCGCAATGCCGTGTTAGAATATATTAGTACATACCTAGGAATGTTGTGCTCACATCTGAAAAATGAAGATTCAGTATTTGTGACTTTTTTACTCTTCGTCAATTACCACAAATCTCTGTTGTTTTAAACTAGGATTTATAAACAAAGTATATTATGTTCATCACAAAATAAGGAGTATTACTAGTATGACCTTAAAGATGGTGTTTCCTCTTTGCAAAGTAAGAGGTCTGGGAATAAAAGATGTTGCTTCGTATTTGGGAAATACAGTTTATTTTACATTGCTGTAATAGGATTAGAAACTATGAAACATTATCCGATAGTAACTTTTTAAAAAACTCACCGACTGCTTAAAAACTAAAAGTTGAACTACTGAAACTCAGGATTTCCAGAGCAATTACAAACTATAAACAGAAGGATAAACCTGATCCTAATTGTGTAGTCACTATTAAGATTCCATCAAAAGCGAACAAGAAGCACAAGATAAACCTGGAATTTCCCATGCCACGTTTTTTGTTTTATCATCCAGAGGACGCTTGCTATCACTAGAACCCCTCCCTATTCAAAATTTACACACAAACCTGGATGAGATCAAGGATTAACTTATTTTACCTAAATCTCTTGCTTTGAATGCAGCTGCCCTTTGATGAATACTTTTGTGAAAACCATGCTCAGTGAGTATCTATTGTGTTTTGATTAATATTGCAGTTCAAACTCTTTTGAAACAGGATGTCCTTATATGAAGGCTCATTATTCTGACACCCACATGACTGTCTCCACTTATAGTTTATTCTAAAAGCTTCAACCCTGCTCAGAATGTAGGGATTTTGTTTGAACCCAGGATTTTCAAAGTTGGGAGAGAATCCATGAAATGATCCCTCGTTCCTGTAAATGTACACACATGGGTGTGCCTGCCTACACCATCAGAGCATCACACACACACACCCTGCACACACATCACCACACACACCCTCTATGCTAAATCTGCCTTCAATTAACCAAAAGCACAATTTTGCCCTGACAGAGAAGATTTCATTTGGTCCACATATGACTAGGGAGCCGATTTCATTTCCTGTAAAAAACCCCCTCAAACGCTGCAAAGTTACCTGACTCAGCTGCTTGTAGAAATCAAATTCAGTCAGAGATAACAGCTAATCATTTGTCACAGTAAGAAGCAATTCCCTGAAATCGGAAGGGAAAACCTGCCGCTTCAATCCGCAGGTCTGTCAGATTGCTAGAAATTACATTCTGCTCTGACTAACCTCTGCACTTGGATTGCTAACAACAAGCAGCCTGCTCTATCAAAAGAGAATATCATACAACCAGGAACCGCTTTTGATTCGTTCTGTTCCAATAACCTGAGAAAAGTTTATGGACATGCCTTGCTGCCTGGACCTCAATTTCCACCAACCTGCACACTGTTTTGAATTTATAGCACTGCAGCTCCATAGTAATGTAGGTAAAATTTACAAGCTGACTATCTGCTACTTCATTGAAAGAAAATTAAGAGTTGATTTTATAACCACACGACTGATATTTGCCTTCTGATACTTTGAGGAAGCATACGGTTTGGAAGCTTCAATTAAAATGCCAAAAGAGAAAAAACAAATTGATTAACTCTCAAAATACAATTTATATTTTTTAGAAATGCTTCCCGGGAGGGAATTAACTTTATACTCTTCTATGTAAACACTATTTGTGCAGCATAAGTTTAATAAAAATGATACATCACCTCTCTGTTAGGTTTATAATTTGCATAGCAATAGTGAATATGGAATTTTGGTCAAAATGTTTCTCTCGTCTCTCTCTCTTTCTCTTTCTCTCCCTCCCCACATCTCTCCTGCAATAGTACAGGATCGTTGGAAATGGGTAAGTTTAATATCTTTCCTAATCCCAAGAAGCCATTATTATTACTTAAAGTATATCTCAAGGTAGGTTATTAACCCCCAAGAAGTTACAGCTTTGAGTTAGAATCACATAATCTTAAAAAAGGACAACATATTTTCCAAGCAGTACTTAACCAAATACTCTTCTTTAACTCTGACTAGATTTATGATGAATACAGATATTGCAACTCTTATAAGAACTTAAAGATGGCGAACTCAGAGATTCAGCATTTAAGAAGGCTGCCTCTAAGACTAAGACTAAATCCATCCCAAGTTTGTTCCATTGTTTTTTTTTTTTAAAGCATTTTATTTTCCACAGTTGGAATCAGCTGAGGATACAGTGTGAGCAGTGACTCTGAATTTCCTTTGCTTTTGTCAAACTGTGTCACAACCATAAAGTTATTTTAACTGAGTTTATTTGCCTAGGCATTTCCTTTCTCTTGTAGTAGTGTAAGAGAAAGGAAAACAACCATTTAAAATGTAAGTACAGTTGAGTGGATATAAGGGACTCTTCCAGCTCCTATCGTAAGCAGACAATTCGATGATAAGTATGTGGGCTTTTTAAGCTTTAAAAAATATTCATAAATCCCTTTTTGGATTCTTTCATTTCAATTTTCTTCAAGCAATGAGAATTAGACAAGTTTATAAATTCTCATTTCTACCTTTCTTGGGCCAGTCCTGATTACTCTTATCATGGTTAATACTGGTTCACATGGGGGACTTCCACAAATTCTTTAATATACTGTGTATCTGGTGTAAAAAAAATTATGTAAAATACAATAATTGATGCTATTAATGTATTTGGTGAGATAATCTAATAGATTTCCTTGAAGTAACTCTAATAAATTTTTCTTCCTTAGTAAAAACAACCCCTTGGTCTTAGATTCTGCTCTTGTACAGTCATCCGTACAGTGGCCAGGGCTTAAGCTCTGGTACTGTATGAGTATGCAAACAAGCAGATTTCACAATCAGATGACACTGAGACTTAGGCTTACTGTGCCAGACTCTCTTTGGTGACTGTTCTCTCATCTTGGGCCAGCCTAGGGATCTGAGAACCTGCTGTAGTTAGAAAGAAGTCACCTGACCTCGAAGTTTCCCTCCTGTCTTTTCTCAATCGTTCCAGCTCTCACACTCAAGAGTCAGAGCTCTCCACCACTGTCCTGGCCAGAGCAGCACCCCCCAAAGGTCTGCATGTACCTCTGGCAAGATAAATGCATATAGAAGACAATGCATTTTTAGTCCCTATAGACTTTCTATAACGTCTACGTTTCCAGAATCTCATGTGTGCCTTAAAAACCCTTTTCTTCTACATTTAAAAGGACAGTTTGATTATATAATAATACCTGGATTTATGCATTAATCCACTGACAGCAGAGCCCGTTAATAGACATTTTTCCACTTGCTCCTCATAACAAACCTTTGAAGGGGGGAGCAATTATTATGAGGATGATTTTATAGATGAGTAAATTGAATCTCAGAAATTTTAACTGACTTTTTCCCACATCACCTCGTGTTAGAATCTGGATCTGATTCCTGACTCCAGAAACTATTTGTCTCTAGATTCTATCTGTGCTCTCTTCATCACCTTGGGTGTACAAATCTAAGTGAGCAAACAAAAGCCAAAATAGGATTTTTAACTATTTAACAGAGTATGGTGGTGTCAGTATGAAATCTTGTTCATCTGGTTTAGTGGACATAACTGTGCCTGGGCAGAAGAGAGAAGGAGGAGAGAAGAACAAAGGCAAGGTCAAGAGCAACTACACTGAAATTGGGAGAAAAAGCAAGTTAGATATAAGGAAGAGGACCTGGTATGTAACAGGTATTAATGGGATCAGTGACATCCATCATTTGTGAATGGAACAGGTTTTATTTTGCTTGGAAGGTTTTTTAAATTTTTATTTTTTCATGAAAACTCAACAAATTTACATGCCAATCTCCCCCCATATTTACTCTCATCTCCCAATTTCTCTGAACATAAAATTCAAATGGATTCTACAAATGAACAGACAGCTGTATACTAAATAACTCACATAAGTACTTTTTTGTTGACATTTTGTCCTGTCCCAATTAATGTTTCTTTCAGGATTTGAGGTTAGGTATTCAATTAAAAATACCATTCTTTTCTTGGTCATAAGAATGTACTTGGAGCATTTATACTAAGGCGAATTTAGAGATCAGATACATAATGTGGTACATTCTGTAATATACATGCCTTATGCTACAGAAACTTGAAATTGGGCCTCAATTGCCTATATTTCTGGGCTGTTTTCATTGCTACTTTAATATTATCTATCTTATACACACACATACACACACAAACACACACACACCCCAACCACCACCACCACCACACAACTTCACACTTTTCTGGTATTTTTATTTGCTGAAGTAAAGGTAAATTTAAAAAGCAAATTAAAAATGTCAACAAAGTTTTCATAACATCTTAAAATTACCTAACTTTCTACTTTTAAAACTGAAATACCAACTCTGGATGACTAGAAATTGAATCGGAAATGCCCCCCAGTCTTTAGGTTGGCACTAGGGAAAGACCTATAACAAGTTGCCTGATTTTCCTAAGAATACATTGAGAGAGGGTTTGCAGTTCTCGCCAGCTGGAGGAGTCTTCCTGGTATTGATTGATTATCACAGTATTCACCTTGGAATGATATAGATATACTGGATATTATGAAGCTTGGAATTTTAAAAAAATTACCATTTTGTAATTTTGTTCACATTCCAACTGACAGAAGACACAAGAGATACTTCAATTTTCTAAGAGAATGAAAAAAAAATCTTGCCCATTCTTCTGAAATTTAAGTAGGCAGCCCTTGAAAGATCACTGGGAAAAGTCTGTATTTTCTCAGGTTTAACTAAATAATTTATGCATACTTTCACTTTGGCATGATGAAGCAATTTTAGCCTTTAAAACCCACAACTACTCAGGAGGGAAAAGGTCTGGTTCCTGCAACTTAAATAATTTAAACATCCAGGTGGAAATGCTTTCAGCAGTTTCCCTTTTTGAGACAAAGGACGAAGACCAGAATTTTGAGATACCAAGAATAAAGAATTGATAAAAGACGTAAGCTCGGATGTATTTAATTTAGAATGGGAATCTTGCAATATTTTTTGAATGATAGAGACCAGAGTGAGGTGTGAGGTGAAACGTCTGCTTGCCTGCTGTTTATAATAAATGAACACATAGAAAATAACATGTCAGTATAGCCCTAAGCCACACATATATGTATTACATATATAAACATAGCATACACAAATAGAAATATCTATAAAGCTACTATAACCCCATAACCCACGTCAGCCCAAGCTTTAAGCATTAGGTAGCTACTGGAGATCTTAGAGGAAGCTGTGTTAAGAAATATTGTGCTTTAATCCCTGGCTTCTTGGGTTATATAAATGTGTATATCTTTTGATATACAACTAAGGAGAGTAAGATAAATGAAAATGGAACAAAATGTCACTTCTGTAGGACACGGGGCTGCAAAAAGGACAGAAGGAACTACTAAAATACTAGAGGAGATTTTGATATGTAGGTACCCAGCACAATCAGCCCTCTCAGTCCATGGCCTCTTAGCCTGAAGTCAGATTTCAGAACTGCCATGGGGAAATTTACCTTCTCACTTGCAGGTCTGTAATGATATACTTGTAAAGGAGTGTGGGACTTGGAACACTGCCCGTGTAAATTTAGAGCACAGCTTATAATCAGAAAGTTTTGAGGGTTAAAAAATTTCCTGCTGTCTTATCAACATACTAAAAAAATGCATAGGGCACTTTGTGTTGTAATTTCTTGTGGGAGAGAAAAACACTTCACAACTCATAAAGCACTGGTCGTTATTATTTCTAAAAAATCTTTGTCACATCCATATCTGATGCTCATGTAAAGATGACAATCAGCTAAGGTACGAAATAAGGTAACAGAGCTAAAGAGAATTGGTTTCCTTTAGAGTTAAGCATAACCAAAATTATACAGGAAGGGTAAAAAGAGATCTTGCTACGTATGTATTCTTTAAAATGAGTGCAGGCTTCATTCTCTCATAGAGGAAAACAGGCTCGTAGATTTTAACACTCCGAAACTTTTGGCCCTGTGCATCATAGGCATGCAACATACTGGGTCCCGTAAGGAGAGATCCTGAAGAAAATATGAAGAAAGGTTACCCTCCGAGCCAACAGGAAAGGTTAAGGTTGGCCAGGGCTGCATAAGACAGGGTTGCTGAAACCCAAAGGTCACATCCTGAACAAGGTTGCTATGTTATGATGATTTCATTCTGAATGCAATTCTGGCTTTGTTTTTGTTGTGGTGCTGTGGGTGAGGGCCACCCAAGTGACGTAGGTTAGAGATGTGGACTGGGGAAGAGTGATTAAACCATGGACACGTCAGTGTTGTTAAGGGATTTAAGAAATATTATTCTTGATCTATGTAAAGAGCTTGAACATCAACGGCTAAGGTATACAATGTGAAGTGAGGCCTAGAAAGAGACTGATATGGGGTGGGTGGTTGTTCTTTCATTTTCTTTTCTTTCTCTCTCTCTCTATTTATTTATTTATTTTTTGGTCATCCATTGACTTTAATTAAGCCCAGCCAGCCTTATAAGCATGGGAAACTTGGAGAACTTTTTTGTTTAAAGTGACCTTGTTCCCAGGATTTGCCCTACAACTTCTCTCAGCTCCACTGCAAGGATGAATATTCACATTGCTGCTCTGAATCTTAGAACGGGGCACCTGGCGTAAAAAAGAAAATTTCAATCTCATCTTAAGTGTAACACTGAGAGCACTGTTTTTTTTTAAGGAAAAAGAAACCTTTCTCCATAATCCTGCTGGTTATACTTCTTAACTGTATTATTTTAAGTCAATTAATTCAAATTTAAAAATAATGAAATTACTAGCAGAGACTCTAAACTTCTTTTAGTATATTAAATTGGGCAGATTGCTTCTCTCCTTCTAATTATGAATGTTGCAGTTACAAAAGAAACTGTCATTTTGATAGAGCAAAAGACAATCTGTCTGCCAAAAATGTCCAACCATAATTCTAAAAAAAAGTCATCGGCATCAAGAACATGCTACTTTGTTTGATGTACTGTCTTATTGGAAACCTGATTTGCTTTCAACCTCTGAGACAACACATAACATAAGTTTGTGTGACTAATTTTTCTTGGAAATATGAGTAATTAGAATTAGGGGCCATTTTCATAGCGGGAGTGGACAGGTTTTCAAAAAATTCAAAGTAAGTGCTATAGTTATTTTCTTTTCTTTTTCTTTTTTTTTTTTATCACACTCCTAAAACCAAGTAGAAGGGGAATGCTGGGCTTTGTACTGGATAATGTGAGTCCCCATGTAAATTGTGAGCGATTGCAAAGTACGGAAAGGTTTATTACCTAAGGTGAGCCCTCCCAGAGCTCCCGGAGTATAAAAGCATTAAGCGCATGTTCTAACAAACTCATAAAAATCAATAAACAGGAACCCCCCACCTGTGCAATGGCCCCAGTGTTAAGTTTTATACGTGTAGTAATAGTGCATATCAATTTTCACCACCCTTCCTACGCTAGCTATTACAGGGCCTACCACCACCGGAGGGACAGCGAGAGCCGCACCATTCATCCATCCCACAGAGTTGTCTACATGCCAGGCCCATTGCATCATTGTCAGTTTTATTCTATCTGCAACTGGACAAGGCTGCAGCCCTAGCTTCTATACACCCACTCAGTACCGCAACAATTGCAACTGTGTGCCTCTGTTTAAAGAGTTTACAAGTCCTTCTGAAAGAAAAACAGAACCGTTGCATATTAATGCCCCCAGGCCCTGGACGATCACACAATGGAAAGAGGAAAGACATGTCACTTCCATCGATATGTGACCTTGTCCAACTGCTGCAGTCTGTGGCTTCTCCACCAAGGTTTAAAAAATAATAATGCATTCTTGATAAGCATCTGGATGACCAGGTTTCTACAGCAACTAGTTATAATCAGAGTGCTCCTTAACAGCCAAAAGATTCGGAGAGCGCAGATCACCGTTTTATTACACACGTGGTAACATATGCTAAAAATTAGGCCTGAAATATGCAGCATTTTCACCAGGTTACAGAAATAACTACTAACATCACACTTATTTCATAATTAAAGGAAATCCTCCACCCACCTCCCCATTTTTACCAATAAAAGCAGAAAATATCACTGAATATGTAACCTTTGTACCACAGCCACTCTTTGCCATCCTTTCCTCTGTACAGGGTAAGGAGGGGGGACAGGCTTATTAAAATCCCAGCACTTGTTAGTAAAGAGGTGCAATAACTTTGGGAGGAATACTTCACTTGAGGCATTCTGGGAAAAAAGAAGAATAAAAGAAAAAAAAGAAGCCTCGTTTTAATTATAATCCAAATATAACTGCTCTGGAGTAATGAGGAGCATTTGAGAAGACAGCCTTCATTCAGACACGGAACTTGGGTGATGTTTTTCTTCCTTTTAAATGGTTCTGTTGGTTATACAGTTTTAACATGCCTGAAAAACAAAAGAAGGCCCTTGGTGATGACTCCGCTTCTCCCCTCCCCAGCAAAAACAAAACAAAAACAAAACAAAAAACAAAAGAAAACAAAAAACCAGGAGTTTTATCCATCTGAGGTTGCCTTTGATAGCACTCACAGCACGGAAGTGCCACTCACGGGTACTTAGAGCTGCGTCATTTAGGAGCATAAAAATAGAATAAAGTTGTGCAGCAAATGAGAAATTATGATATAACTCAAGTGCTATGGCATGAAACCGGCAAAATGAGCCATCTAAACATTTTTCAGAACCAAAAAATTAAAGAAAATGGAAACTGCAACTCTAGCATGATTTCTGTGAAGGTGTGTTTGAAGTCTTACTAACTTCAATGCCCTCCATGAGAATAGTTGCTATGGATATTATGAGAAAATTAGACATTTCTAGCACTGCAAAGAAAGTGAAGCAGTGCAGTTGTGAACAGCTGGCATACAATAGATAATTTAAGGGAAAGTGGCCCTCATGTATAATTTTTAACTGAAGAACTGTCAGGCCCCATTAGTTCCAACAGGGCCTGCCAGGACCAAGATCAGTTTATAGGAGTATTGTATTAGCACAGTTTCTGAAAGAGCAGTGTGAAAACATAATATGGGGATTTGGTAAATTCAGCATTTTAAAAAATTGTACACATTATTTGTTATACTGACACCATTGCTCTCTGCTTATGGGTTCTGAATGCAAACCCCAATAGGGTAGCAACTGCCACGGTAAACAATTTGTGAAAAAGCCCTTCTGAGCAGTTGGACTATGGTCAGAAGTAACCCCCAAAGTTAAAAGGGCAAAGCAAATGGTGGCTATCGTACGCCGTGGTGCTGAATGCTTCTGACTCAAAGGCCTTGAAAGAAATAGGGCAAAGGACAGAAAAACTATATAATATAAACTCAGTCAACCGAAGTTCTTGTTAGAAGTATGGAAATTTTTGGACAGCCTGTGAAGGATGTAACGAGATCTAATTGGGAATATAACATGTATGTTTCAAAACTAATAGCCAAAGCAAATCATAAGAAAAAAAAAGAAAAGAGGTTACCTATTCTCCGTCACATTGGCTATTTAAGCAAATATTGAAGCTTTCTTGGCACCTGGTTATCTCATTTAAACACATGGTGAAATAAAATAATATACACGTGACATGCCATAGTTTCAAATAGCACCATCTTTATTGAAAACATGGGCTGGGTGCAGTGGCTCACACTTGTAATCCCAGCACTTTGGGAGGCTGAGGTGGGAGAATCACTTGAGCCCAGGAATTCAAGACCAGTTTGGGTGACATAGTGAGACCCCGTCTCTACAAAAAATAAAAAAAAAAATTATCTGGGCATGGTGGTGCATGCCTGTGGTCCAAGCTACTTGGGAGGCTAATGCAGGAGGATGGTTTGAGCCTGTGAGGTCAAGGCTGCAGTGAACCATGATTGTGCCACTGCACTCCAGCCTGGGTGCCAGAGTGAGACCCTGTCTCAAAAAACAAAAAACAAAAAACAAAAAACAAAAAAAGAAAGACAGAGAGAGAAAGAAAGAAAGAGCAAGCGAGAGAGAGAGAAAAGAAAGAAAGAAAAGAAAAAGTAAAAGAAAAATGGATTCATGGTACAGGAAAGAGTGGATACTGAGGCTCAGGGAAGGCTTCATGGGGAAAGAGGTCATGGAGGTAATATGGAGCTAATATGTATACAAAACACTTACTTAGTCTAGAACCTTGTAGCTCGATAAATGGCTGTGTTTAGCATCTGGTGGAACACATTGTCCTTAATTTTACTGTGTGATATTGTGCAGTTTAAAATCATGTTTGCCTTACCTCTCTATCCTTAGGGAGAGCTGCTTGATATTGTCTTGTTGGTATTCCTTGGCGTAAATGTTTTGAGGAAATTTCAGACACTTATATCCCAAATTAATGGGATTCTTGGCATCCTCTCTCCCTTTTAATGTTGCACTGATGTGGAATTAATCTCTCTATTTAGGTGGTTTGTCTTTGCTACAAATATTAAATAATCAAGTCAACATCTTTATATATTTAAATCTACCATTTGGTTATTTAGAAAGGCAACTATTCAATTCCATAATTACAGCCACTTAAATCAAAGTCTACTAATTAGATAACATAGCTGGGCTTTACAGGTATTATAGAATATTCTTTACCAGACACTATATTACAAGCAATCATTAGCTCAGCTATAAAAGGGTTTAAATACTAATGGTTTTTTTTAATTTGTTTTATAACCTAAACAAGCAATCAATGTACATTAATAAGCATAATTGTTTTTTTGGCATCTGTCCATTCATTTGGTCCACCTTGACAGCTCTAGCAAATGTGTCAGCAAAACTCAGTACACACAGTACACAAGTAGGAATCACCAGTGACATCTTCTCAAATACATATTATGCATTAAATTATTTTGATATTGAAAGATTAAAACCTCTGCAGTGTCCATGAAATCCCTTTTACATACATTCCAGACAAAGACTGTGACAGGTACTTCTACCTCAAACATGACATCGAAGTGGCCATAAAACAAGCCTTAATGAGGCGATAAATGTGTTTACCTTTGATTAGGTGAGCTTCTTGATAAGATAACATGGAGAAGCACTTTCCAAGAGTAAATATGTACAGAAATTGCTGGCCACTACTGTTCTGTTGAGATTCCACATGCAACAGAAACACCTCACTTGTCCAACTCACCTTTCCGCCAGCTAATTTGGCTTTGGCAATGGAAAGAGTAGCTCGTATAAGAAATCTTTACCCCGTTTGTAGACCCCAACAGTTCTCAGAAAACCCTTTCCTGGATTCTAAACTCTGTGCTATTATACAACTCAATCATAACTCTTTATATGTTGTAGTGTAACTGTTTTCTTATTTGTCTGTTCCTCAGTAAACTATGAGCACTGAGATTTTACTTCCCTCATGTTTGTCTCCTCCAAAGCTAGGATGGTGCCTGGTCCATGGTGGACAGTAACTGGTCTGTTTTGAATGCATGAATTTTCATCGTAGTTTTTGTGATTGTGTTTATGAAGACACTGGAGCAACAATGTTCTGCAATTCTAGAGATCTTGATGTGGTGGCAGCCTTGTATCCAGTCCTATGTATGTACATTTTGATATCTTACTGCCTTTTGCCAAATAGGGCAATAAACACCCCCCAAGAGCGCTATCCAATCATATACTCTGTATTTGTTTCAGGTGAGCTTCCTGCAGGGCAACTTTGGCATATTCTCAGCAAACACAGAGTTGTTGGATTTCACATAAGGAGACTGTTATCATTTGGTCCTTGACAACTTTCATAAACAGTCACTCTTAGCTTAACAAGCAAGTGTGTAACAGTTAAAATTGGAAGAAAAATAAGGCCAAAATGGCAGCTTACTACACAACTTGCATGCATTCTAAAATAAAGGAAATATGAATAAAAGGTAACTTATTCAGTGTCACTCGTACATATTTATAGTTTAAAAATTAGTCAAAGTTTATGTCCTGAGGTTGTACCTACAGGAAGCCAGATGTGCCTTCTGCACGTGACCTAAGACAGGCCTAGAGCAACTACTAGATAATTTCTCGCTCATCCTCTACACCGTCGATTGCGGCGGCTTTCTGAGGTGAGAGAAACTGACAGCACTAACTCTCCAGGGCAGAACTTTCCAGTCAAGTGGATCAACGGACTGAAAATCTCTTATGAATAGTCATTAGGCCTTCACTACAAACCCCTCAAAACCCAGTTCTCTTTTCGCAACCAAATGCCTTTTGTCATCTTCACAAGGTGCATCATTTAATTACCAATTGATTTCTTTATATATGACAACATGTCAGATAGCAAAATACAGTGTATCTCCCTTAGGGGGGAAAAGTCTGTTAACTATCACTATGCCAGATTATGGAATTATCTGAAAAATAGGCATCGTGCATACTGTTTCTTCATTTTCACTACTTTTTCTAACGTCAGAGTTTCTTTTTGTTGAGAAAAGCCAATAAAAGAAAAAGAAGAAAAAAGCTAATGAGAATCATGATGGAGTCCTCCCATACCCTGAAACACTTTTCAAATTAGTGAGAACACATTTTAAGCTTTCTTTATATGAAAAACGAATACTCAACAACATATAGGGAATATAGAGTGAATTCCAAAATGCAACTATATAGAGAACTACCATGGCCCATCTTTCTACATAAAAAAATGTCAAACAATTGTTCTCATTATACCAAGAATTTACTCAGCTTCTGACTTAGCTAATGCACTGAATCTTCCGCTGTGCAACTGCAGCCTGATAATCAAGTCAGTACTGTATTAATAAGCTGAATAATAAGGGAATTTCAAAAATGTACAGGACTATTATACCGTAACAATAAAACCTCAAACGGAGTAAACCAGGGCAGTGCTGAAGGTAGGCGTCAGAAAATAATGAAACCAGTGTTGCAGCAATGCACTCCATTGTGTGGTAGTGTAAATGCCTGCTTCTTTCATACACAGAAGCCACATTACATGAGTCCGAAATGTTCTCAGAGCGTCACTGTGACTGGTTGTGCTAGAACCTGGCACCGACAGGCACTGAAAGCTGACATTATGCTGTAGGATGTGCTGCAGGTGTGCAGGCCTGGGAACGTGCTCTAATTACATATTTTCCTGCCGCGCAACAATTAAGGTCGCCAAAATAATTGCCAGTTTCTTAATCCCTCCCTAACAAGACTGACATAAGGAATGGTTTATTTTTCTCTGGTTGTTTTGAAAGTGTTCCTCAAGATTTTGGTTTTCTATGGAACTGCATAAAACTAATTCTTATGTTCAGATGTGTGATTATACCCATTGTTAAATAAAAAAAAAAAGGCCTGTCTTTGAATTGTGGTAAAACTAAAATAATTTTTAAAATGTGAATTGTATAACCTGGTAGGTGGTTTAAACATTTTTCCTCTTAAAGAAGGTAAATTTTGCCTTTAAAACCCTACGTTTCTACTCTCTGAACTGCTCAAATCATGTGGAATGTTAAAATGGGCTGGGAAAAAAAGCAGACCACATGAAAACATAGACCAAATAGGTGTCTTCACTTATAGCAATGATTCTTCACCTTTTTGGAGGCGGATAGTGGGGAGACATAGAGCCTTTTAAGAATCTGCTTAAACGTATGGACCCACTGCCCAGGAAAAAAATGCATCAATATACTAAATGTTACATACAATTTCTGGTGGTTTGCAGAGTCTTTAAAAAATCCATTAATGAATTCCAGGGAAAGAATCCCAGTCAACTAATAAATATTGCAATTATTGACACACTCTCCTTCATTCATCCACTTCTGCATTCTCTGAGCCATCTGACCACCATATGAAGCATACAGTATCTACCACAGGCATCAGGAACCAAGTTTGTGGGATTTATATTCACAACTAAAACCCATTTCTTTCATTATTATTAGTTGTCAATTTCCCACTTTGGTTGTGCTAATTGGGCAGAGCTGAATCACTCAGAGAATTCTGAGCCAGCTTACTCAGTCTTGCCCCCTTTCCTACAAATCAGAAGATAGCAATGCGTGCTGATTGAGTACTTAGCAGACAAACTGAAGTTATGTCAAGCGCATTACGATTTAACACAGGCTGAATGGTAGGGGCAGCAGATGTAACTAATGGGGTTAGGGAGAGAAGAAACTGGAGCAGTGAGAGAGGGGATGGAAGGGAAACAAAAGTGATTGTATCGGTAATAGAGACTTCAAAGGGGAGTAGTTTGGAAGATCTGGGTTGGGGGGATCTGGCAAATGGAAAAAGAGGCACATCTGCCTATAGAGTAACTGATAGAGGAGACAGGAAGAGCCTGCCGGGAGAGAAAGCAGAGTGGGAAATCAAAGGCAAGAAAATGTATAGCTGCAGAAGAAGGGAAGCTCGATTCCATTTATAGAGGTAATGACACAAGGCCTCCTACAGTTGGAACTGTCCCAAATTGGCCTGTTTTGAGTGTCCCATCCATGACTTGTTGCTAAGTTGGACACAAAAAGCAAACTTTAATAATTTGATAAAACCATTTCATCTTGATGTTTGAAAAATCCTTTCATTACAAGAATAGTGGGTGATTTAAATATTACCTGTTCCTCTTTCCAGTTTTTCTTATGTGTCTGATGCTTAAGGACAATGTTTGGTCAAAAAACTGAGGTCTCATGATAGACAACTCAAATGTGAGTTTTATGGATACAAGTAAGGAACAGGCATGCCATTTCCTTTTTTTAGGAGATGCTTTGATTCTTGAAGGGGTGGACAGTCGAATTCCAACGATGGAGTTAGCACATGTGTGTGTGCATGTGTGTGTACATGCACACACATGTTTGCGTGTATTACAGTACAACAGGGGGTGAGGACAGAAGGGCAAAGACCAAATTCTTAAAGTGGCTTTGAGGCATGCAGGGGTCAGAAATGGGCTGTGCTGCTAAAACTCAGAGCATATTCTGGGATGCTGTTTCTACCACCAGTGGCTCATTCCTGTTCATTATTCACATGCTACATGCCACTCAGGTGTTTTTTTAAGGCCAGCTCAAGCATGTCCTTTCTGACCTGTTCAGGGAGGGAAACTCTTAGTTCCTCCTTGTACATATATCAAATCGAGGACTTACCTTGATCATCCCTCAATTCATTCTATCAGTCACTCAACAAACATTTCTTGAATACTCACAATGTGTCACACTCTTACCCTTGCCAAGCAGTTCTTTCTGACACTAATCTGTAAGGCTCTGTGAGGACTCACTTTTGAACCTTTGGTGCTGGCACATGGTAAGTAGCTAATATTTGTCAAATACAATAAATGAATTGAGTGACTATAAAATAGCTTCCCAAACAAATCAAAGGCAGGCTTATAGTAAAATGTTTCAAAATAGTTGTAAGGTTTTTTAAAAATGATTTTTCTATACAGAAGTACACTTATTAGTAAAATAAATTTTTAAAACATTGCAGTTCAGTTCTTGGTTTAGTCACAATCATAGTACTACTGGTAGCTTTCTCCTGGTCACGGCCAATTCACCAACTAACACACTGCCTTCGTAGAGCACGCAAAGATGTATCCAGCTTCATTTTTGACTGATATAAATACCATCAGCCAGTACTGAGCATTGCACACACTGATCTGAGTGCTACAGACTCCCAATTAGTCACTATTCATACAATTCTACACCTAGCCCATAACAGGCTTTTTTTCCCTTAACCCAATTTCCTTGACCTGTGTTTTCCTTCTAACCAGAGTTCAGAGACAAAGGCAGAGCAGTAAATCATTTTCTTAGAAAAACACCATCAGGCTGCTTTAGTCCTTTGGGCTGTTATTTATATGCTGTACCTGAAAAAGTTATTTTGGGATAGTGTAGCTCACTAAATTATATTTTCCTCATTATCATTATTACTTCAAAATGATCATTAATTTGCTCTTTGGCTTTCTAAGAGGGAAAACATCAAAGAAACAAGAGTTCCCCCTAATTTAACTTTTCTTGAAAGGTAACTGATTTACAAACAAATTACTTGTGCCTTTTAAGGAAGAGCCAAGTGCATCTGCTCATTTGATACATTTTCAAGGGTTACAGTGTGGAAATGAAGCTCTAAGAAGCTCCTGTGTGATCCACAAACAACTTCACGCTGTATTACACGTGCATCAGATACAGAGACCAAACCCTCTGAGTTGCAAGCAACCTGTGATGCAGAATGCTTGCTTGGCAGTGCCTGAAACAGCTTATTTAAATTGCAAACTTTGCAGTCACCACTTACAGGTGATTTTGAAAGTTCATTATATAAACTAAACAGCTTAATCTCCATACTTTGTTTTTAAAATCATACATATATTATCTCTGAAAGATGCTATTTAATCTCTCTCTCTCAAAAACTCATCAACTCTGTTAAGAAATTGCCTTAGAGAGTAAAAATGTATTTAAAACACGCATGAATCTTAAACAAATGTTTCAACTTGAGGGCAAATAATGTTAGAGACACAGGTAGGAATTGCCAGGATGAAGTTTGCCTTGAATAGAGATCACATGAGAAAAAATTTGAAGTCATAACTTTATAGTACAAGATGATCAAAGCCAAGTATTAATACTTTTTTATCAGCTCACCTTCTAAACAATATTTCAGTAGATTTCCTTTCACACAGTGATATTTGTAATAAATGTTCTGCCTTTGTTTTAAAGTCAGTCTGTAGAAAGATGACATCAGCTTAGCAAACAATAAAGTGCCTGTAATATTGTCTCCAGAGGGCTGTTACATTTACTTTGTAGCAGTAAAATTCAATTTTCAAAAAACACTACATGAATGATGTTAGGTTATTAACCCTATCACCACCGTAAAACATCATTATTGTGTGCAGAATGTAGGTCACTATCTAGAAGCCATAAGTTGCTTTTTTGTTAAATAATCCACTTAAGCTTCTTTTCTTTCCTAGAGCCTGGGTTGTGTCCCTTCTTTTGGGAAAAAAATATTCCAGCATCTAGTCAGCAGACTGGAACAAGACCCCTACACTTTTCATTCTAAGGCTCTCTTTCTTTGTTGCCATTCAGTTATGTACCCCAGTTCTGAAGTAACCCTTTGCATTTACTTATTACCAAAGCCTGTTGTTCTTCAATGAAAAATTAGTATATCATCATGTTTTTTCAAGTGGCAGAGTCATAACTCTCACATGTTTCGGTTCTAGGACAAAAAGAAAATAAGGATGTGTCTCATTGCAAAGCCTGAATCACTCTCACATTTGAAGACCTTGAACACAAATGCTTTATTTCTGGACCTTAATATGTTTCACTTGCTATGCCTGCATAACAGCGGTAGTTACCTGATATAAGTGATTAAAATCCTTCCTGTTTAGAAAGAAGAAGAATATTTAGCGACAGGACATCAGCATGCAAAGAGTTAACTAGTTAAACTTCTACAAACCCCCAGAGTAACTTTCCAAAAGCTGACAATAAGTAAAAGAAGTGCTGGTTATCCATTTTTTAAAGGGATGGGATTGGTTTTAGAAGAAAGGGAAAGAGGATCAAACACCTCAATGCAACAAAAGGTTGTGTCAGAGGGCCCTCAATCACAAACCTCCTTCAACAACAGATATTCCAACCTTCCAGAGCAGTTACCCAGGCAGCACAGCTAAAAAGTTCCATGACATGAAAAGAACAAAAACCTAAGGGACAGAGGTAGTTATTGTCATGCACACTCTTCTCTCTCTCTCTCTTTCTTTTTTTTTTTTGGCTTGGGTTTTTCCCTCCCCCACAAAACTTTTGCATAAGCTGTTAGAGAAAAGTAATGGTGTGGCTTTCTAAAAAGAAATCCCCTATTTGTAAGCCACCTCCTAGGTAGTGAGGTAGCCCAGTGGACTTTCTGTAAGAAACACCTGGTAAGTGGAGAGATCATTTACACGAATATTTCAAAAGAGACATCTAAAATTAATAAGCACAATTACAGCCCTGTAAATGTGGTCAACATTCCCTTGAAATCACTTGTGTTTTTTTTTTTTAATTGATGTTATTTTCTTTTCAGACAAATTTTCTTCAGTGCACAGTGGATATATGTTATTTGCATTTTCTGTGTTGGGTCTTAGAGGTATCTTAACAGCTTGTATGAATTTTCCACCAAAACGTAAATTATTAACAAGTCAGAGTTTTCATTTGTTTTATCTCCTGATGTGAGATCTAAATAAGTATGTAGAACACTTAAAATTCTTGCCATTTCTCTGCTTTCTGAAAAATAAATCTCATGCATACTGCACAATATATGTTCTTATGCATAACATGTTTCCATTTAATGGGAAAAAAAAACTAATTTCAGGAGGAATACTGTATGTTTCCTGGACACTTCGTTTTATAAGCAGAGTATTAACCCAAAGAAGCATTTGGTCATGTTTTCTTCATCATCATCATCATCATCATCATCATCATATCATCATCATTCTTATCATAATGTTCTTTATAATCATCCTCAAAAAGCATTTAAAGTCTTCATCTTTACCTGGTTTGATATTAGGTATCTTCGATTAACTTTGCCCTGATTTCTAAGACATAAACTACTGTTAGAACCAGATTTTTAAAACCCAGTTATGTGGTCCTCAAAATTTACATGCAAGGATAATATGGCATACAGCATGATGGTGATTGAAGCGGGGTGTGATTGGGGAGTCCTATGAGATATGATAATAATACTAATAGCAAACATGTTAACAGTGCTTACTGTGTGCCAGCAGTGCTCTAAATAAATGATCTTATTACTCATCACAACAATCCATTTTACAGATGAGGAAGCTGAGGTGAAGTGCTGTCAGGTAACTGCCCAATGTCATAGGTAGCAAGTGGTGGAAATGGAAGTTTTGAACCTGGGCGTGCTCACAAAGAGGACACTTTGCTACATCAGAAAGGAAGCACGGATGGACTACCGAAAGAAAGTGTCAGAATCTGCCCTTGAGTGGTGTGTACCAGGAACATGTATACCATGAGAAGAGTTTCTGAAGAAGTGTGAGAACGATAAAAAAAGAAGTACCAGAAGAGCTTACCTCCAAAAAGAAAGAAAAAAAGATTGGAACAATTAGGAGGTAGCTGGATGAAGAGGTGACATGTATGAAGTGAACATTAGAAGCCAGTCCAGAGAGCAGCTGGCAGTCTCAATGGAGCTCAGAGAGAATGAATGGACCAAAAACATAGACAAGAGAAAAAAAAATTTGTCAGTGTTATTAAATAAAGTAAGCTGGAATTTGATATGTGAATGTGGTGGGAGAGGGGAAAGAAGGCTGCAAAGTCCCCATGGGCCAAGGCCAAAGCCTAGACTAAGACCACAACTATGAGAATGGAAAGGAAAGGGGTGGATTCAGGAAACATTGGCAAAGAAAAAGTAGCAACGGTTGGTAACAGACTGGTTGTGGGGAGTGAGAAAGACAGCAGTGAGACAAAAATAACCATGGGGTTCCTGGTTGGGAGGTCCACGATAGGGTGGTATTTCCCACTGCAATGGAAAACTAGGCAGATAGGGAAAATGAGTAGTTTTATGTCATGGTATTGAATTTGCCAAAGCCAGTGTCATTAAGTTTTGAGGTCTCTTGTGGGAAGAGTGCTATGTGGTCCTAAAACGTGGCTGGCTTAACTGGTGCATACCTTGATTCTTTTTTTGGTAGAGACAGGGTCCCACTATGTTGCTCAGGCTGGTCTTAAATTCTTGGGCTCAAGCCATCCTACCACCCTGGCCTCCCAAAGTGCTGGGATTGCAGGCATGTACAATAGAGGTCAGTAGTCTAGTAGCTGAAATAGCAAGCAAGAGGCTGTCAGGTGTGCAGGAATCTGATGAGGCGGCATGGATAAGGGACTGCTAGAGAACAGGATGTGCACATGAGGAATGCCAAGAAGATGATCTAGAAGCAGAGGTGTAGGGTTGTTACAGAGGTGCAGGGAAATTGAACATGTAGCGTGGAGGAGAGTGAAGTGGCCGAAGAAAATACTTCAGGCTAAGTCATGGTGAATGCCTCACACCCAGGCTTTATCTACTTTGGGTATAACAGCAGACCAATTCATGGTTTAAATTCAAGGCAAGGACATTTTCTTTAAAAAATAAGATGTACGTATGCAAAGTAATGTAGCATCAGTCTTTCGCTTTCTGGGGTCAATTATTTGTCTAATGATTCATCCGGTTTTCTCAAGTACTGTTTCTAGGAGAGCAGAGTTTATAGAGAATTTAAAGAAAGTTTTCTCCAGTGTCTAATCCTGGGTCATCGTTTGCAAATACACAGGCTCATTAATTGGCCTTGTCCGGGCAGTCCTGAGCAGCGCCCCTCCTGAAGACAGCACTGAGGAAAGAAGGGTATTATTTCAGCTGGGAGAGGAGCAGAGCCCTGGGATGAGACTGATTGATTCAGACCAGATGGATGGCCTCACATAGGTGTGACAAAAATAGTAACACATTGCAGACATTCCAGGAACTGTCCTCTTCTCCTGGCCTGGAGGTGGGTCGCCTGTGTTGTCTCCTTATCTACCTCTTATGTGCTTCCGAATCAAAGAATGTCAATGATGCTAACTCTTTTCCATGTTAGCACCTGGTCACAAGGCATCAGACTTGAAGTTCCATTAAAAAAGTCTAATGACCATTGCCCAAGTTTCCCTGTAGGTAAAGCCAAAGCAAATCATTTTGCCTACTGCCTAAATATGTTGTTATTGTTTCAATTTCCTCTTGCACATGAAGAGTTCTAAGGTGTCAGAAACTGATCTCTGCTACCCTAGAAGAGAAGGGTACATTAATAAATGATACCAGTGTTGTAATCATTGATTATAACTTAATTCACGGGTCTTAAAAGAGTACTACGTAATAACTGAGGATTCTGATCTGGTTATAGGCACTTTAACCCTAAATTGTCTGAGCCTGAGGACTCTCTATTAAAAAGAGATAGGACCTTACATTAGATCATCACCATCCATAACCATGACCATTCATTCATTACCCTCGTTATTATTTGATGTTTAAGATTTCTTTTTGAGTATTTCGGTTCTCATTTCAATACATTAGTAAATTTTGACTTTATAAACTAAGGTAAGGGTTTATTAACTTGATAACATTGGAAGAAAGAAATATAACATTTTTATTTATTACAAGAATTACTTTCTTACTTGAAAGGAAACTCAACAAGCATGGGAAATTTTCTGTCATTCAAAGCTGAAGTGCAGAAATTATGCACAAATTTGAATGTTTATCAAAATTAAAGGAAACTCCAAAAGCTTTTTGTAAGATAATATAAAACCTAGAGAAATGGTGAGCATTTAATAACAACCCAGTGACATTTCAACAAGTATGGGAGAGGCTTTGTCATAATAAAAGTATGGTTTTCTCACTCTCTACCTCAAATGTCCTGCCCTGTTTTGTCCCAGCATGAAGTTTTAGTTTATGCGTTCTCACATAGGCCTGAAACTGTTATCTACTTGTTATAAACCATCTCAGATTTCACTGCTGTGGGTTAATCTGTAGGTTCTGATTGACATCCTTGACTGTCTCTCACACTCACTATGCAGCTCACATGTAACTGCCACCTGAAGGGCAAGGTTGACTATTGTTTTCACTTTGATCTCTATTCGCAACTAAAAAAGTAATTCCTTAGATATAATTGTGAACCTATTACACATGGAAGAAATTATTATTCAAGTTTAAAAGCCATATATATACATATACATATGTGCGTGTATATATATATGTATGTATATATGTCATTTTTCTTTCCACAATATTGCTGGCACATTGCTGTCAGGACACCCATCTGGAATTAAGATTCCACAGCAGACTTTTCTCATAGAAGTATTTATTCATTATTGCATGTCATAATTCCTAGAAGTAATGTACTACTGATAGCTCTTGAATTTGCTCTGCCAGTAGACTGCCTCCTTAAAAAAAATTATTCCTGTGCAGGTGGAGATTAGCATATGAAAAATGCTTTTAATTTGTCCACTCTTGGACTTACCTATCTGTCAAACCCATACATGTGACAGCTGTTGGATTCAACTTATCTCTACCACCTCAGTAGCAGGTTTTAAATAGTCCAGGGGCTGTTAATTATTTGTAAGCTGAGTTTATTTAACTCGCTTTCTCAAAAACAAACCAAATAAAATAAATAGACACCAAACTGTTGGTTCCGTTTCTGAATATCAGAAACAAAGATGATCATGTCCAAGGATCTGTAAAAACCTACTTCCTTCTGACATAAGGAAATAAAACAGCCAGTGCAAACTGTTTCTTGATATCTACTTCTCGAGATCTGGTGGTTCTTTCAGTGTGGAACTTAGTTTACTTACTGCTCCTGTGTACTAATATTTTACACTGGCTATTTTTTCTACTACTTATCTTTTTTTTTTCTTGCGAAATTTAACCTGCCTAATTTTGTAGTTCTCATTTGCGCCATTTGATTTCTGCAAACCACAGCACCAAAGGCTTCAGGGAATTAATCGAAATGAGATGCCCCAATGGTGGTATGGCTGTGGATCTATTATGGCTTCATGCTTCACTAAATGACAGGATTCCCACAGGGCAGTACCTATCATGAAGTGGGCCTCAAGGGGTTAACATGGGCTGAGTCTCAAAATAGACTTGAAGCTCAGCACACCTACTCACTTAAAAAGAATGAGCAGTAAATATGTGCATGCAAATTCAATTTCAAAGGACACTTAAGTGATGGTGGAAAGGTAGAATGCTCTTTCTCATCATTCAAACTAGAAGATCAGGAACACTGGGCACCTTGCACTCTTCAAAGGGACTAGCTGAGGGCAGCACCTGAAACAACTTTTCCCTACCACCTACAGCCATGAGATTGGAACAGGAAGAAACTTCTCATAGGAAAATAAACTAGCTCAGGCTTCTCACAAATTAGCTTACTTCTCTATATTTTTATTGTTTCACTAAGTTCCTGGGTGTTCAGCTTTTGCAATTCAGAAGATGCTCCCAAAGTTCTACAATTTTATGTACTGAAAATAAACATTCCTTACTATGTTAATCAGATGCCCTAATGAATGGGCAGGCATGGGGGTTCCATGTTTCATGTATCACTTGCTGATTTCGCACTGCCTTGACATCATCAAAATCCTCCTGTTTTGAACAGTGAGTGGACAACAGCCAAATGCAACTTTCAAACTTAATCTATTCTGATCATTTAAAAACATTCATGGGGCAATGAAACAAAATTTATATATTATCTATTATCTCAAATAAATATTGTTCTTAATAATAAACTGTCTGGTAGATGTATGAAACCTGTTCACTCTCCTATTGATGTTTTACTGGCAATAAGAGCTGAGGCCCTACCCTATTTTAAATTTAACTCTATGAAAATGGGCACTACCCAAGAAAATGCTAGCACAATTCCAGATAAAATATAATGTTGTGAGGCTGAAAAGTGCATGCAAAGCAAGCTGCATTATTAGAATGTTTAAATATTAATTATACCACTGTATAGTAAAGATGATCAAGTATGAGTGTCAACTAATTTTCTAAAAGCTGCAACATTTACTTTCATCTAAACTTCCTTTGTTAAAAGTAAAACTAAAAGCCCAGCAAGTTTAGTCTACTTGAGTGTGTTTATTTTTATTGGTTTCTGCATAATTTTTTTTCTACCATAAACCAACTTTAACCCCTTTACTGTAATCTCTGCCAGTATAACTCCAACAGCACATCATAAAATTCCTATAATTCTTCAAAGCCACGAAGTTGGAAAGGAAAAGCTTGGGTACTTTGTAACAAACACCAGCTATAAGCTTCAGCCAGTTACATTTAACTCTTACAAACCCTCTTTTTGTGTGTGTGGATAAACTTACAGATTGATGCTCTATGGTCACTTTCATTTCCATTGTAAGTATTCTTCAGCTACTTTTGAGTTTGAAGCCTGCTCCATTTCGTGTGAATACCGTGGTGGAGGTAGCACCTAGCTCTAATAGCTCAGGATGCTGGGCTGACAGATGGGGAGACAGATGTACAGAACCATGTAAAATGAGAGAGACTTATTACCTTACAAGGAAGCCTTTGCTGATGGAGATGAGGAGGCCTGAAAAGTGGGCATTTCCAATAATCTCTGGTGATGAAGGGGTTAAGCGGAATCACTGTCACTTTCCCTGTCTCTTTTCCTAGAATCTATTGCTTTTTTTTAATGCTTAAAACAACTACTAGAATCAGGCAGGAACATTCTTAGGTAGAGACAAAGGAAGAGCATGTGTGTGAAGGAGACGCTCGGGTTTCATCCCGTCACCCATGGATGCCCAGCCAGGGTTTCCCACCTGAGACAGATTGCGACACATGTTCGGCTCACTCATGCACAAGAAGCAATACACAAGTTCAGTGTAAAGCCACTTTAAAAGCTCATCGGGTGCATACTTTACTTGTACAAAATACCTTATTCATGACGGAGCAGTGAGGGCCTAGGTAATTACTTGAATCAAGGTGGCCTCAGAAGTGTTTAAATCTACAAGGACACTTAGAGCATGAATAATGCAAAATAATTTGCATCTAAATTTTTTAAGTGTTCTTTATTCAAAAACTAAAATGCAGTTCCGATTAAAGTTTGATGAGTGAAAGCTGAGCACTTCGTACCCACTGTGAAATGTCTCTTATGTGGAAATTATTTCAGACAGTGGTGAAGGGACAAAAGAGTTGTATATGTGTGTGTATGCGTGTGTGTTAAAATCTAAATTGTGATTAAGTTGCACTTCTAAGCCTAACTTTCTTTAGGTTTTGTGGTGGCTACCAAGTTAATTCCTGAGCTTGCTTATCAGGTACAAGTCCAAATTTCAATCCAGCCCTTTAGGAAACACAATGAAAACACTTTCTTAGGTCCAGTAATTTGCCAAACAAAATAGCATTTGTATTCAACGCCAATGCAATGAAACTTTCTTTTTCTCTCACCTACATTTTTAAATTCAAATTATTCTTTCTTTGAAATCATTAGATGCAAAATATCTATGCTCTCTGTTACTGCTAAAGCTTAGAACACTCTATTTCATTTCCTTGATATTATATTTATACTCCTGTGTGAATATACATTATCTACTATGTCACTGGGAAATCTTTAGTGTAAAGCTAAGAAGTATCAATATGTTAGCCCATGTTTTTATGAAAACAAGATTGAAAAGCTAAAAATCAATTGAAGAACCCAAAGGCAACTTTGCTACAGTAACGTATAAAAATGTTTATCATTACCTTTGAATAACTTTTCTTCATCTGGTTTTCTAAAGTAAAACATATTAAAGATTATTCCAAATGAGTGCTACAATAAAATCAAACGTCATTTCCAACTTATACGTGTTTTTGTCAGGGATTGAAAAACAAAGTAAATCATAGTTTAAAAATAATTTTTACTTTTCTTTTGCTAAATTTTTATGATCTATTACCACTTGGGCTGCATTACCATTCCTGGAATTTCACAATGCTTGCATTTCATTTGAACTTGTGAGTATTTGAGAAACCACAATTCAAGAAACTGCCATTGTTTCCCCGGATTCTTTTGCCATGTGTTAAGAGAGTGCTCCTGGCCCTTCTCTTCTACCTGAGATACCAGTAAAGCTCAATTAGAAACTAGGCCTTTCTTGTCTAGTTCACAGGCACCCCTCACGGCTGTGTGGAGGTGGCCTGCTGGAATGCAGGGAGAAAAGGCTGTGCGGGTCCTGCCAGGCTAGCAATAGGCTTGACCTTGCAAGTGAATTTTCAAGGTAGGCCACACTGCAATCCGCAGCACCTAAACTTTAAAGGCCCTTGCAAAGGGAAATTATTCTCCTGCTGTAGCCCTTATAAAGACTCCCAATTTATGGCATGCTCCAAAGCAGGCTTCTGCTTTATTGGAATTTTAGATGAGTGTGTTTGCCATACTCTTAGTGAGTGTGTATGCTACTTTTTTTTGGGGGGGGGGGCGGGGGGTGGACTTTGAACAATGAAAACATTTTTAAACTCATTGAACAAAGATTTCCCCAGCAACAGACCCCCTGCTCAGCAGGTCACCTATCTTTGCGACAGTTTTTCTTTTCCCACGCTAACCCCAGGGCTCATTTGCATAAGGTCTCTGTTGTGACAATTAGTTTCAGGTGAGCTGATTTCTATGCAGCTTGCCCAAGACGATGCACAAGCCCCGGGCCTCCCTGATCCTGGTCCTAATTGCGACTGACTGGCACCAGACACAATCATCCTCTTGATTCAGCAAATTGTCCTGCTAGTAGCTTGTTGTGACCCCGCAAAGCACAAATCATATCATGTCAGTCCAGTCTAGTAAACAACGAATAAAATACACTCTGAATGAGCATGATAATATCTTTTCCGTATTTTAGGCATAGTTGACTAAATAAATGCAAATGAAAGCAATAGTCTTTTATTTGATTTGATTTCTGCTTGGGAGTGATATTATGGCTCCCCATAAAAACTTTTTAGAAAATAGGACGGCCCCCATATTTAAATTCCATGGTTCCATAGCCCCATCACCTGGGAGAAATTCCCCAGGTAAAATAACTGGCTCCTTTCAAATTTCTCTTAGCTTTGTTGTTGTGGAAATAAGTAATATGCTCTTTCATCATCTGTGAAGCTACAGGGTACATCAATATGCACATTAGCAGGGTTCCCAGTAGTCCCTACTAGACAGAAAAGCATTTGGAGCCAATGAAATTTCACATCTCTGCATAGCAACCCAAGTTAGGAAAGAACTTTTCTTAACTCTAGGAAGCAAGTGGGAAACAAAGATGAGTGACTTAGCATTACAAGAATGTTTAAGGACAATTGTTCTTAAAATGTTGCTTGGCCCTACTCTGTTTGCAATTCTTAACTTAGCTCTATTACGCTATAAGTGGCAGCTCCCTTATAAATTCTTTCTGCCCTGATAGGAATGCTGTCTGCCATCCTGTCACCTTACTTAGCCACCTACCTGTCATCTCTATTTTCTCTCTATACTAAAAGTTAAAAAAAAAAAAAAGAAAAAAAAGGACAAGGCTAATAAATGTTCCCAAAGCTATTTGGCTAGTTTCCCTACTCATATAAAATAGGCAATGTCACTACTGTGATAGTTTGTTTCTTTTTTTAAAGGTGATTGCATGTAAGCATCTGCTTTCACGATATGAAAGATACAGTCATTCACATACTCTCTAGAAGTAGAAAAGATTTTCATACAGATAGCTGCTTTTGAGAATTTTTGTATCTTGCTTCAATCTGTTTTTTTCTAATAATTATAGCATTATTTGTTAGTACCACAATACATTGATTTTGTTTTTCTTTCCTGGCATCTACACCTTTGAGTTGAAGATCTTAGACAAAGGCCAGCATTTATAGAGGAAAAGAGAAGAAAGAGGAGAAACGAAGAGGAAAGAAAGGAAGGAGGAAAAGATTAAATTTATTATTGAAGAGAACTAATTGCTTCAGGCGCTTATGAAAAAATGTTTGCATTTGTGGCAGAGGGATTGTCTACCACCTTCAGTAAATTAATCCTCTATGTGCCCTGACCTCAAGTGTGCCCCGGGTTACACAGCCCACTCCGGAGGGCTGCATGCTGTATGTGGCCCGAGCACATGGCCCGGGTGTGACTGAAAGTACACAATTCTCATTTCCTCCTGTTTCTTGTGCCTGTTATGACTTTTAACCCCATTTTTATAGCAACATGGAAATTGTATTTCTAAAGCCATTATATTAACTCAATTGAAAAGGTAGACTAGAAATAGTTGGGGAAGGGAGACTTCTAAATTCTAGAGCCCCAAGGGGTACACTTTTAGAACATTCAGGGCAAGGAAGTATTTTAATCTAGATAAATGAGTATACACAGCATCAAGGTAAAGAATTATTGAGGAGTCTACACATCTTAATTACAAAATAGAATCTACAAAAAATTTTTGATGTGAAAAATCTGTAAATCAAACTTTTTGAAAACTCAAGAGATCTTCAGTATAAGCAATATAAATTAATATCTAGAGTATGTTTTGCCATAAATGTGTGCACGAGTTACTTTATATGCATTATGAATTTGTTGAAAGAACAATTTCAAAACTGATGATTACCTCTGGCCTCATTCTCACATGCCACTATAGTGCGTCACCCTTCAGACAGATAACCATCAAGTTTACCTCCCCTTTTGAAACATTTCTAAAGTAAAAAATTGCTCATCCTTGTACTTTTCCATGTGAATTTATTATAATAGTGTTATAGAAAAATGAGAAATAAGGGAGAGGATCCGGTTTTAGAAAAGGGACGCCAATACCCATATGCTTAAATGAATAATTCCAACAGAATGCCTCATTCCTTTCAATGCTGTACGCTCCATAACTTTGATTTGCTGTTTTCTCTTTCCCCTAGTTTTCCCCCTTCTCCCCGTTCATTTTCTCTTTTTGCAGAATGTAACCTCTTGCTTTCTCACCTTGCTGGGGTGGGTTCCCTCCAAATACATCTTAAGGTTTCTTTTTATTTGCAGGTTCCCTGAAGAATAGCTTCTCCGTCTTCATCACTGCAGTGTGCGGCGGTCCCAGTCATGATCTTCCCTGACGCATTTCATTTTTCACCTCCACCTACCATAGGTTCTCATCTCATTCTACTTTCCACCCATGCCTTCTTTCCTTTTAATATCATTTCTCCTCCTCTCCATTGACATCCAAAGATTTCTCTTACTAATTTTTATTCTTTCGTTCTAACCATGTTAATTTCCTTTCTCATAATCCAAATGTGTTGAGCCTGTCGTCATGGGGTGTTGTGATGAAAATTTACTTTCCTCTCAATGTCTGAATCCCTTAAAACATCCCTTTCAATGTTTCACATTTACCATCATCCTCTCTCAAGTCTTTGCTCAGATTTCTGGCCTGCAGGTTTTTCTTCCACACTTCCTAGTTGTTACTTCCTCTCCAGTGTTTCCCATTTCTCTCCTACCTCTGTCCTAAAAGTTTTCACTTCTTAAATTACTACGGAGTCTTCTTGCTGTTTATTTCTCTTTATATTTCTGATATTTCTTTTTTTTTTCAACGGTTCTATCTTCTACCTTTTTACTTTTACAGTTAGACTCTTCCCTCACCACCTTATTTTTCCAGAAACCTCTACCTGCCTGTTTTATGACTTTTTATTGCCCCTCCTCCATTTGTCTATATCATTATTCCTTGCACTATGCTTCCATGGATTGTGCTTTTATATATGGAGGGTGCTTTTAAATATCTGTTAGCTTCCCTTAATAAAAATCCAGCATTCACTTAAGAATAGCTACCAAAAAAGATTCTTCATTCAACTTAGAAAACATTGAGACAATTCATGAGACAATTCCCATTTAACCTCTCAATTCTTGTTCATGACAGAGAGAGAGAAAAAGTCAGTGTTTAGGTAAGACACACACACACACACACACACACACACACACACACACACACACACATACCCTAAGACACTGGAAGCATACTGATGGCATGGAAAACATTAAATATGGAGCCAAAAGCTGTAGATTTGAATCCCGGCTCTTTTTCACATTAAGCAAGTAATAGGTCAATTTTCCAATAGTCATCCAACTTTTCTGGGTCTCAGACTCCTCATTTGTATTAAATGTCTTCTCTGTCTAGCTCCTACAATTGTTGTAAAGATCAAATGAGATATTTTTGTCAATGCACCTTGTACAATATTAAACACTCTATAACCATGAGTCGCAAATGTTACCTTTTGTGTTTAAAGTGGATACATTTGGAAACATGATTTACAAAAATATAACTTTTAAAATCAATGTAGTTCCTTTACTTTTGAAGAAGATCAAACAGTTCCCAGGCCAATATAATTTGTTTGCAATTACATGAACAGAAAAAGTTCATGATCTCAATATTTATGAAGATGTTAGTTTAGAGTGGGAGATGTGAAAAAATGTTAACTGAAGGGCCTTGTATTATTTGATTTGGGTTTTAAAGAATCTACTTTTGGATAATTTGCAAAATACACAGTTCGCTGTGTAGGTAATAGTGAGTCAGGAGCCAAACCATCTTTCTTGTAACTACCTCAAAGGCTATCTTTGCTGAACTATTCCTGCCTCCCATTATCAAATTTCAAAGTCAGCATTTGTTCTAAATGGGGCTGATTTATTTGGCCTAAGATAGTTCCAACTTTTACCTGATGCTGATTGTATAAACAAATACCTTAGCATTCTGCCGTGAATATAGAAACCACTATGGATTAAGTATATTTCTTATGGTCAAGCAAATCATATTTGGAATTCTAAAACTAGAGCTTCAAAGGAGTCTTGGAGAGAATTGGGGTCCCACACTCAAATGTCTACACAGGCCAAGCAGGTGAGGGAAGTTGATTGATTTTTCTTACGGAACTCAAAGTTGTTCCCACATGGTCTTTCCATGCAGCTATGTGGGCCCGAAACACCAGATCATCTGAGTTCTCCAGGGGAGCTGGAAATCTGGATTTGTGTGTGTGTGTGTGTGTGTGTGTGTGAAATAGCCCAATTTTTAAATATTGGCAACCAATTCAAATGTGTTTAAAATACTGTGTGGGACAAATCAAACATCTGTCAGCCACCAGTTTGCAATCTCTGTCCAGTCCCTGCATTTTATCATTAGGAATGTGAGGCCCAGAGAGGTTAAGGATGTGTCCAAGGCCATGCTGAGATTGGAAGGCAGGGCTGGGTGGGCCAGGAGCCCAAATTTCCTGAATCAAATGTGTAGGACTCTTCTTGTTATACTGAGTCATGATCCCAGATCTTCACAGATCGGTCAGCCCACTCTGATGGAAACTAGTGGAAGACACATGGCCTAATCAGGAATGGCTTCTTCTGTATTTCTCCCACCCAAACCTTTTCCTATTTGCCATGGCCACTGCTTGTGAAGCTAAAGGTGGTGAAGGCAGACACAGGCAATGGGGCCAGGAGCATATGCCTTTCAATTCCTTCCTGGCAACCTTCCTGTCTTCTCCTCCACTGACTCTTCCCTCTCATCACCCTCTCTATGGTGCCAAAATAGGCTTAGTGGAATGCGACTGAAGTGGGAACCCACTTATTGCCAGGGGAATGTCAGTACACGGTGGAACATTTCCTGAACTCTCTGCCCAGCCTGTACAGAAATTATGAAGAAAAAAAAAAGCAACTGTCAAAAAACACAGGAGCAGTAAAACCAAAGAACGTGGAGTTCAGAACATGCAGCTCCATAAGTCTAAAAACTCACCACCCGGGCATACTGAATTTTCTGGTCCTGGGTCCCTTCACTCTTGGCATACATGGCAATTATAACCTGGCCCTTCAGAGTAAAGAGTCACTTAGCATGAAAATAAGACTATGGATCTTGGGGCCACAATATCAAAACCAATAAAAATAATTAACATACAAAACTGCATCTTGTCCCTGATTTGGAGTCAAAAGGCTGGTATTCAAATCCTGGTTCTGTCAGTTCTGTTTCAATTTCTACCCAATGGGAAAAGTCTGTGGATGAGTATAGTTGAAATCCTGGTTCCTTCCAAGTTCTAAAATTACATGAATGCTCTCTAGGGAAAATGATTTAGAAAATTAAATATAAATGCCAGATTATGCAATGATTTTAAAATAGAAAAGGATGTATAGGTAAATGCTAATTAGTATTATCATTTAATTCCAAAAATCAAAATTTTTAGAAATTTGGGTTGGGATATTTTTTATAGAAGCAAAAAATCTGCAGGGATTCTTTTAAAAAATATATTTGGGCTAGATGAAATATGTGTCCTCACTTACCTATGCTAGTGTTTGGATGAGCAGAAACATTTACATACTTGGAAAACTAAGGAGTTGGGGAGTTATTTCTTTATGCCATAAACTGTTTCACGAAGCCATAACATCAGCCATCTAATGCTGCCTTCTCTCTTCCTTTTCTTTTATTTCTTTATTTATTTTTGCATCAGAGTCTCACGCTGTCACCTGAGCTGGGGTGCAACGGCATGATCTCGGCTCACTGCAACCTTCGCCTCTGGGTTCAAGCTGTTCTCCTGCCTCAGCCTCCCAAGTAGCTAGGATTACAGGCACTCGCCACCACGCCCGGCTAATTTTTGTATTTTTAGTAGATACGGGGTTTCACCATGTTGGCCAGACTAGTCTCCAACTCCTGACCTCAGGCAATCCACCTGTCTCGGCCTCCCAAAGTGCTGGGATTACAGGTGTGAGCCACTGCGCCTGGCCTCTCTCTTCCTTTTCTTCTTAGCTTAAGAAAGTAAAAAGGAATCGGTGATTTTAAACCCTCTCCTTGGATATACAAGATATTTTTGAGTTAGTGTTATTTGCCAAAACCTCTGCATTTTTAAGGCTTCAGTGTATTTTATACCAATAGTGACATATATTTTTACCTATGATATGAGTGATACTCTAGATGAATCCAGAAGTCTGATTGTGAAGTGTGAGGTGCCTTACCTGAGTTTACAAAATTTTATATTTGGCTGAAAAGCACTCTTGCAAACAAAAACAAACACATCTTTTCTTGAAAAGATTCCTTCATTGTATTTATATCTCTCTTCTGACTAAATTTTTCACCTTGATCACAAAAATGTGTATTTCTACATTTTTTTGGTCGACCTGAAAAAATAGGTAATTCAACGAACATGGAGAAAGAAAATGTCAAATAAGGTACTAGAAGGTTTTTTTTTTTTTTAAAGAAAGAATATAATGTACTTAACTGTATTTTCATAAAATAAAAGAATGGTCATTCAAGTGGAACTCGGCAATTAATTTTATCCTCTCCTTATTTCCATGTGTATTCTTTTTAAAACTAAGACTACCTTGATCATGGTTTTGATTACAAATCCCGAAAACAATTATGGAAATGATCTTTAATATAATAATATATTTTACTGAAATGTCTCAGCTTTTTCATTCCAACAACTGAAACAGAGACAATTCTTTGCATGTTGAAATGTGTAATTATCATGTATCCAAAAGGGAGGGTGTAATTTTCACATCTGATTACAAGGGAAGGGTGTAAGTGAAGCTGCCTGGGTAAACTTACACTTGTTTACAAAGAGCAGTACCTTTGATATTAAAAACTCAAAACATGCAAAACACTGGGAAAAATCAAGATTAACAAGCACAAAACTAAACAAAAACCTAAGAATTTTTCTTGGCCCCATTACAAAAATAAAGTCAATTCTTCTGAACTGGTATTGGTCTACATATTTCTGATGATTTTGGGGCTCAAACATTATTTTATTTTGCAGGTGTATTGGTGATGGTATTATTAAATGTTAGGAAGCTCAAACACTGTACTTAATTTGATAGGAAACTTCAAATCCTTATTATGCATATAAACTTCCGTGATCAGTTTAAACTAGAAAATGATTTTCATTTCAATAGAACACACTTCTCCCAAATTCAACATCATTGCTTGCAAGATGTACATTTTTGATGTTTTTATCTCTCTGCTTTTTTTTTTAACTTCTGATTTACCTTTGATAAGAACAACTTCTGCTCATGTGAACTTAAGTTTTGGACATGCAGGAAGATATGCTATCAAGGAAAGCCAGTGTTGTGATGGTAGCTATCACTTAGCAAGAAGAGATTAAAGATAGGTACAAAGGCACACAACAGGTAGGAAAAAGAAACTGCCCCAACAGCCAGCACATATCAGGAACAATTTTGAATGATATATACTTATGATTGGTAAGTGATTGTGGTAGATTTTTGAAAAGCTTAAAAAGATTGACACTGAATATTAAGTATGCTTGCCATAAAACAGGCAAAAAAGGAGAAAAAAAGAAGAGAAAAAGGGAAAGGTAAAGAAATTGATTTAGGAATAGAAGATACAAACTTATTCATACTAAAAGGAATCCACTAAAAATATTCAGTTATCTATTTAACTTTACAATTATATAGAAAGCAATGAATTTGTTAGAAAGCTTACTAGGTTTTCAAATGCAGTACCAATGGCAAAGCTGATTTTGGTATACTTTAAAAATCAGGTTGGCTTTTGTTTTTGTTTTTTTGTAATTTGCTAAAACAAACTTGACAAGTAAGATCTCTGAAAAAGAATTCAAGCTACCAAATGATTAAAATTTAAGGATAATTACGGTAAAAAGTTATTCTGTGAAAAAGAACTAGGGCCTGCATTCTTTATTACCTAAAGCATTTCAGCAATACTCAAAGTTGAACTTTTATAAAATCTTAGCTTTTTTTCTTTATATAGGATTTCACTGTGAGCCTTACATGCTGTTTTCCATTAAATCAAAAAGCAAAACACCTGACATGAATCTCCTTCCCCTTCTAATTCAATGGGGGTATCTGAGCTGCTGTCTCCATGAACGGGTGGGAGATCACATGGATGTATCTAAAGCCAGGGGAGCTTTGGAGGAGAGTGGCAGTTTCCAGGTAGTTCAGAGGCCCACCCAGCTTCATATATCTGTGTCCACAGCATACCAATCAATGCTTAGTGCACAGCACATTTTTCACTGTGTTGTTAGAGTACATTTGCTTATATTTTGCACAATTTTAATTTAACCATATTGATCAAACTGAACACTCAATAAGACCCTAGGCACCTTAGGCTTATTAAAATTAGTCAACATGGAGCAAGTGAGCTAAGGAAGTAATGGAAACTGTTTGGAGATTTAAATACAGTGGAACCCACTTAAATAAATACCTGTTAATGAAATAAATCTATTAAATGAATTTATTTTCTCTGAACCAAATCAAAACACATAGAGTAATACTCAAGGGGACCTTTAAATGAATACTGCTTAAATGAATAAGCATCTTAAATGGACATGCTTCTCTTGAAAGGCAAACAGTATTTTCATGTTCTCTAAGTTTAATTAAAGGAAGAAAATCCATGACTTTTTTTTTTGGATGTATTGTCATTCTTTGGAATTAAGCAGGAAAAGTTGCTTAAATAACACTTTAAGTGCTATAAATATTATTTTTCTTAAGGATAATTGCTCGTGTGTGAGTGTGTGTGTGTGTGTGTGTGTGTGTGTGTGTGATGGGCATTGGCTCATGGGAGACAAACTCTTGAAACAACTGAGCTCATCCATTTGTTAGGCATCTTACCTACGGTAAATGAAGTTAGAAAAACATTAAAGTTTCTAAAGTGCCTGCCACAACCCTATGAGACAGAGAAATGGACTGGTTACTTTTAACATATAGTTTATTTGCCTCTTTAGAAAGTGTTGTTCTTTCTCCAGCATGGTTGACTAAAAGCATCAACTCCCTTAATCTAACGATGATTTGTAATAAGAGGCTCCTTTGCACATACTGGGTACTCAAAATAATGTTTTTAAAAAGGCATGAATGTTCTTTTTTATTGTGATAAAACATACAAGATGAAATCTACTCTATTATTGCTAACTATGGGTGTATTGTTGTTCAGCAGATCTCTAGAATTTACACGAGTGCTATTTAACATAAAGTTTATGTTGGGCCACATCTTTAACTGATCAGTCCCTCTTTTCTCAGAAGGGGTGACCTATGGTGGTATGTTATTACAATGAAAGAAAAAATGCAGCACATGTTGAAGTCTTAAAGTAATAATATCTTTTTAAATACAGTGGGCACACAATCCACAGAGATTTTTTCAGACCCCCTTTATTTAGTGTTGCCTTTAGAGGGCCTTGTTTATTCATGTTTCTTTTTCTTTTTTTCCTCTGGCCTAATAAAACATATTAGCTCTTTTCCCTAAGCAAAAACACTCCTATCATGAATCAGGCAACTAGTGGGAGACTGCTGGCCAGGTTTCACCCCACTAAAATTCTAATCTATACTTTGTCTTTTAGAATTAAGGAGAAAATGCATATCAGCAGAATCTCCTCTCTACTTTATTTCATTTATAAATTACTAGAATGATGCTATTATATATTATTAATTTCTGCTGTTCTCCAACTCTGCTGCAGCAGTGAGCTGCGGATGTTGGAACGGTGTAATTATGTTCTAGTAGGGTAGCCATCCGTTTCCTTTCAAAAATTTACAGGATTCTTAATCACGCTGCTCATTTGGGTGCGCAGCAGCGAGGATGGCGAAACACAAACAGGGCACGTTCGTTTACATAGGAACACCTGCTTAGCATGATAGCAGATGTCAGTCAGTAAGCAGAACACAAAAGGAAAAAAAATATCAACAACAGCAAACTCGAACCATTTTGATTTGGTGCAAGGAAATCTTTTCAGGACTGATGGCAACAGTGGACATTCCTTCTGAAACACAAACGGAGGCTCTGAAATTCCCATGTCTTGTTTGTGGTTAACATGTTGTCAGAGAGAAAGGCTGTTTTTGCCTCTTGTTGCTTTCTGGTATTCATTCTGACTCTCTTTATTATTTGGGGGAATTACTAAAATTACCCTGCCTCAGTTTCCTGATCAGTAAGCAGACAATGGGTTGGGATATTCTAATTAAACACCTAGTTCCCTGAAAGTGATGATCATTAGAGGCAATGCAATGGTAAGAGCATGACTCTCCCCAGATATAGTTCAAATCCCACCACTGTCACTTAGTGGTTGCATGACATCAGTCAAGTTATTTAACTTTGCTAAGCCACAGTTTCCTGATTTGTCACATCTGCTGAGAAAATTAAATGAGATAATGTATACAAATGCCTGCCACATAATAATGATACAATAAATGGGAGCTGTACTATTATTATTAATATCACCACTGTCATTTTCATTATTATTTGGATCCTCACAGAACCTTTCCTACTCAACGTATTATTTATTAGAAGTCTAGAATGACTACCAACAGAAATCTCTTGCAGAGATCATGATAAAATGTGGTATTTTTGATGTGCAGAGTTCTATAACGTTATTATAATGACACTTACTACTAACACTACTGTTATTTTACAGTTAGAGATCCTGCCATCATTTCTACTACGTTTTCTAGGATTTACATCTGAGCCATAAAAAAGTTTTCTTGGCTGTACCCTGCCTAAAAAGAGCCTCGATGAAAGTGAAGTGCTTTCTGCAACTTTGACACAATAAAATGAAGCTATGGAAAGGAAAAAATGACAAGTTCATCATCTTCCTATGTCCACTCCACCCTTCCACTTTTCGCACTCATTTTTTAAGGGCTTTTCGGACTATACTGGTATTTCCCATTCTCTTCCTTTTCCCAAAATGGTTAAAATTCAAAATGGAAAACAGCTATCACACATGGGCAATGACTAATTTTCCTAAGGAATTTTAGTATTCGGAATGTGTCTGCTCGTGCAGGCCTCTGCGATAAAGCCTCCCTGAGTAGGCATTGACTTGATACCCAATAATGGCTGCTAAGGAGCCGTTATGTAGTGCCGTGTCAGTGATCCGTGCGTTGAGGACTCCCCGAGTACGCATTGACACGATAGACCGGAACAGCTCAGAAGAAGCTGTTATGGTCTATCATGCCAGTGATGTGCGGATATTGGCAGGGCCTCTGGCCCTTCTGTGGAAATGATGGAGTCTCTGAAGGAGCTGGGGTGGGCGCCATGTGGGCGCCATCAGTTGAGCCTAGCAGCAGCTCCATTTTCCCTTTGCCTTGGGTTTACTTCAGAAGAGTCAGCTCGGAAAAGTTGTCCAATTACTTCAGTGGTCCCAATATTACACCACCAAAACGTGAGCAAAAGTGAAAGATATTCTTGCCACTTCGTCTTTCGTTTCTTCTCAAGAGAAAAAAAAAAAAAAAAACGACCTAATACTGTTAATGAAAAAAGGGGGCACAAAAGTGAAGGTAACAGTTTGTCATGTTTTTATAAGTTTCAGATTATAAATATATCTTTTCTGCTTTAGGAATTTCATCATGTACATGTAGATGGTGCCGGGCAGACTTTTTGTTGTGGTGGTGGTGATTTTCAGAGATTGAAACATTTAATCCATGCAAAGAAAACTACCTTCTTCATATGTCCTCAGTAGTTAAATAGGTACTCAGAACTCAGCATATAGGAAATGGTTCAAAAAACCTTGGGAAGAGAAGTGCAAGTTCAAGAATAAAGTTTGGATTCACACATGCTTTACCAACTTAAGGCAGTAATTAATTCACTTATGGTATTTACATGCCCCTCTTCAGATACTTATGGAGAACATGGGAATTTTAAATTCACAATTCAGTGCAAGATTTAAAATGATCTTCATTAGAATTTGAAGCTATACTCTAAACTGCTTTATATACTACCAACAGGGAGCCTCATTATGTAGTACTATATTTGGACTACCTTCTTTACATTTTGTAGCTGTAGATTTTGAATGTATTTCTGGTATGCTTAAGCAGAATCAAACAAAGTGTTTTAATCAACTCTATTAACTAACCAATCCACACAGTTGTGTGGCAAACGTATAGTCAAGAGACCTTGTGCTTCTTCTTTTCTGATGTCTTCAAAGGATCGGGGGAGAAGAGAGATCTGAGATACCCAAGCACAGAATGATAGCAAAGGATTGCAGAAACACCAAAGTGCTTCACTAAAAAAGATGATGGGAACAAAGAAACCGTCAGATTAAGCGGAAAATAGCTAAAATGATTGTGATTCTAAGTACAGAAGGTACTTCTGCATGCTCATTTCCTTGAGTAGAAAATAGCCCAATTTTCATAATGAAATTTGGAACAGGGGTAAGATATCTACCCATGGTATGTATTAAATGTTGATTGACTTGTTGACGGGCAGAAGGAGCTCACTAAATGCCAACCCAAAGTGAATGCTCAAGTGACAAAGAAGAGTGGAGGAAGGGGACAGAACATTAATCACCTACTATGTGCTTGGCACTTTACCTGTTACCAGTATTTCTTCCCAACTGCCCTATAACATGAGTATTATTATGAGAAGCAGAGATGCAGTTAGACTGAACAACTTGCTACAGGTCTTATGGCTTGTATGAAAGTAGAAACCAAATTTGAGCCCAGATGTCCAAAGCCTACACTCTTCCGAGCACCCACACTGCCTCTCTGCCTCCCTGACTCCCAAGTCTCAAAGGTGTCATTGAGAAAGGCAGAGAGCCAGTTGATTTAAATACAAACTAAAAACAAAAACAAAAACAAAAAGCAAACCCACTCAAGTATTCAAAATAACATAGCTGTCACAAAGTGAATTTCAAAAAGTTATTAATATGGTGGTAGGGAATCTGACATAAAGTTACCCAAAGCTTTTTTCTACATATGATAATGTATACTGAATCTTTAATATACCCGCTGTATTCATTATACCTTTGCTTTAACGAAACAATTTTTGTATGTCATGGCCTGAGCTGAGATGGGCAAGACTGCCCTCAAGCCATTTACACATTTGTGGGGAGACAAATAGGAATCAGATATTTTAAGTGCTGTGACAAAAGTCATCTCAGAATGTATTCTTTTTGGAGGAGATGCTGTTTCTATAAGAAAAAGTACCATGTATATTTCCTGGAAATGTAGAGGTAGAATAGCATGCCAATCACTATGACTATTTCTTTTTTCTTCTTTTTTTAAGTACTCTCCAAAGAGTAAAAAAAAAAGGAACGAATATCTCAGGCTACGGTTATTGTTTCCTCTTTTCAAGAATGTTTCAGCAAGGCCCAGAAACTGAAGTGCCTCCATCGTAGGGTTCCTGGCATCCTGATTAGTCACACCTTGAAACAGTCATAATCAGAATTTAGTGAGCGTTTTCTAGGCTCCAGACACTGTCTTTAGAATTTTGTGTAATACTCCCAAAGATTCTATAAAACAAATACTGCTCCCCATTTTTAAGCATTAAGAACCGAAGTTCAGAGTGGTTAAGAAACGCACCCAGGGGCACATGGCATGGAGAGTAAATGGCAGAATCAGAATGTGGACACAAATTTGTTTGGGTCTGAATCCTGTGTTCTTTTCATTATATCGAGTGTCTGGCCTCCTTGGGGAGGGAGGAGAACTGGGCTCCATTTGTTACAAGTGAATAGATCTAGAGATGTTATTGGAGCAGGAGTCTGGGTGGTGGAGATTGGAACATGAAACAGTGAAGCAGCTCGCCTTGCAGCCTCTAGCAGACAGCACATGCAGAGTATGTGGACCAATTCATAGCTTCTAACTTTCATCCTTAGTTGTGTAACCTCTTTGTGATATTAAAATAGTATCTTAAATTCCCATCCCATTCACCTCTCTTATGGCTGCTGTCCAAATCCTATTATTTAGGAACTTAATAATTTAAAATAGCTTGGTCTTTTTAGATTGTCAAAAACGGCCAGGCGCAGTGGCTCACGCCTGTAATCCCAGCACTTTGGGAGGCCGAGGCGGGCGGATCACGAGGTCAGGAGATCGAGACCGTCCTGGCTAACACAGTGAAACCCTGTCTCTACTAAAAATACAAAAAATTAGCCGGGCGTGGTTGCAGGCACCTGTAGTCCCAGCTACTCGGGAGGCTGAGGCAGGAGAATGGCCTGAACCCGGGAGGCGGAGCTTGCAGTGAGCCGAGATCGCGCCACTCCACTCCAGCCTGGGCGACAGAGCGAGACTCCGTCTCAAAAAAAAAAAAAAAAAAAAAAAAATAGATTGTCAAAAACTCTAATAAAACAGGAATATTTCACACATGCACAGACCCAATTCTGTGGGACACCCAAAGGCTAGCTCTTAAACTATGTCCTATCATCAGTGAAGAGGTAAAATCTAGACTGTTGAAAAGCACAATGCAAATATGAATTCCAATGAATCCTTGACAGTGCAACCTATGTGAAAATCACTATTCTGCTTATTATCTGTATCTATTAATAGACTTCAATTGTAATGATAAGGCAGACATTTCAATCAAATTTTTAGGTTGATAACTGACATAATGTTAAATTGTTGTTCTCTTTGGACAATGTAAATTCATTTCTGAAAAGGTACACATCTCTAAGTTCATTTCCTTAAATTCTAGGGCCTTTAAGAAAGGTAGACAACGTAGGAATATGCAGCTGTAATTTTTTTTAAGGCTACTGTTCCTTTAATGCCCAGCTGGTTCTGAGATGTAATAAAATTGACATATTGATTCCTTTGAATTTACAAATGCCTGTTTCATAAACTCCATCTCCAAAGCCTAGGCATCTTTAGAGCACTGTCATTTTTTTTCTCCAAATGGATCAATTATGTGCCCACGTAATCCTGTTACCTGTGAAATCCATGCATACTTCTCCCATTTGCTGCAGTTCCCAGGCGGACAAACTTGCATTATGTACGCATAAACAAACAGCGCATTTTCCTGATATTAGAGATTGTTTTCAAAGTGAAAGACAATCTCTGGGGTCCTTTACTCAGAAAAAGAAAAGAAAGAAAAAGCAAAAAGAAAGGAAAAAATGCCTATTTCTTCAAGAAGTAACCTCAGTGTATACACACACACATATACTATCTCTTGTCTACATGTGTATTTATGTTGACCACTCTGAATATTTCATTTAAATCACACAGTTTTGCTATGTTCGGTCCTTGAACTGCTCCAAGCAAGGAAATTCTTCATTTTAGTTAAACTAGTCTATGCAGGTTTATCACATTTTTTATTGCTATTTTTTCTCCTTTGTTGATAACTAGTTATTTAAGGGCAAATCATTCCCAAGACACCTTGAAACAATTGAGAAATGAAAACCCAGAGTGAACTGGGTTATAAAGTTTGCAGCTGTCTTATGGAAAGAAAAATCTTCAGTATTTTTCACTGCAGCACTTGACACTCTGGCTCTGAGTCTTCCTTAAACACACACAGAGTCCTTTATTAAAACAATTGTAGAAAACAAAAAGATTCTGCTTCTACTACATTAGGAGGGAAACGCCTCAGTGAACTAGGAGGCCTTTCCCGTGTCTTAAATCAGCAACAGCAAATTGTCTTCTCATATAAGCATGTTTACATGTTCACATGTAGACACACCTACCAGTACAAAATGCAGAAAGAAAGCTTACGTGCAAATATATACGCCTAGACTGTGGCTATAGAATCCCCTGAAAATAACCCACAAGCAAACATGCTTTTGTCTATGTGTGAACTCTCTGTGTGAGCAAAGTACTGTGCATGTTCTGCACAGAGATATGAATTCTTGCTTCATTCTTTCAGCCTGTGCTGTATCTGATTTTCCTCACTTCACTGGGCACCCAGCAGTCCAGTTACACTGCACTTGCACTCTACAATTTGTCTCTAAGAGATTCCCCAAATCACAAAATGTCTTGTCTGCTGTCCAACGTGCTCCCTATATGCAGAAAAGATGGTCTGAAAAATTGGGTTGTGCTTAGAGCCCTGTGGCTTGGCCCACCTCTGCCATTGTGCAGGAGTGGTTTTAAAGATAAATGGCTGCATGTTAACCAGATTTGACATGCTGTACAAAGGCAGGCACCTTTGGTCCCATGACACAGCCAAACAGAAAACACAACAAGCAAGCCTGGCAAAGATGTCCGACCTGAATAAAAGCACAACAATTTGTCACATAGTTGTTACAAAATGTTAGCAGCTTTAGGACTTGCCATGGGATGGCAGAGATAAGGCAGTGTGGAGAATTTAGAAGTTTGAGAATTGGTGAGTCTTAGGCAATGGAAGAGTTAAATCAGAAAAGGGGGAAAATAGTCATCGCAAAAGGATTATTTTCATCTGCTTCCTCATAAGGCCGAGGAAGGCCTTAATGTCATGAATTAGATCAGCAAGAACAGTGTTCCAGGGTTTACCAAATTCCACTGTTTTGAAGGGTTGTATGTTAACTGTCTCTTTCCAAACTCTCAAAGATGTAGCACATTCTAGGATTAGTTTCTTCAGGATCAACAACCATTTTTTATTTTCTTTTTCAAACTGACATAGTAATGAAAGAAAAAATAAATTTTGAGGATGAAACATCCTTACACCCCACTTAGTCTCACTATTCACTCAGAGAAACAGAATCAAACTGCCTCACTCTTTTTCAAACGCTGGGTTTTCTTTTCCAAATGTCCTTCTAGTCAATGATCATTATTGCCTGTGTTGCTTGTAATTCTAGAAATTCCATGATTACAGTAACATGTAACCGTAGACTTTCTTCCTGACTCCAGGCTCATGCCCTTTCTAAACCTTAATTTCCTCATCAGTAAAAATAGTATGAAAATAATAGTACCCATTTCACAGCATTATTGTTGGGGCGAGATCAGATGACATAGGCAAAATTCTTAGCACGGGTCCCAGCACATTGTTAAGTACTCAACAAATGTTAGATGATAATATCTTTCGTACAGTTGCCAGAGACGTGTCACTGAAACGCAAATATAATTATGTCACTCTTCTATAAAACATGGTTCGCAAGCTCACCATCACCTATTTACTGGATACAAGCCAAAAATATGGGATAGGACATTCTTCTGCTCCCTGACCACCTTTGCAGACTCAAATCAAGCCCATCCTCTTTGCTCATGCCCTGTGTTTCAGACATCTCAGTTGGCTGACAATGCCTGCGCTGTTCACCCTTTCTCCTGGCTTGTACATGCCATCCTCTCAGCCCAGCGTGCTGTGCCCTCACTTGCTGGTGAAATCCATGTTATATGACAACAGTCTCCTCAAAAGTCACCTCTGCCATGAAGTGACCCCTCACCACCTTCTCCCAGATCTAGTTGTGCCATCCTCTGTACTCTCTCTGTATTGGGTAGAAAGTTCTTTGTGGCACTTGCCACATTTTCATCATATCTTAAATGCACCCCCATTTCCCACTAGACAGCAAGCTCCTCAGGGGCCCAGGCTCTAGCATCCATTTTTTGATCCACAGACCTCAGCCAGAGCCTGCACATAGTAGGTGTGTAATTAATGCAAAATGAACAAACACTGTAGTTTTCTGCTGACATACCACAGGAAGACCTAGAAAGGACCTGATGACATACTTTTCAATTATTGTACAATGAGAAAATTTTTCTTTTTTTACAATTCAAAGCTCTGATCACTCTCAGGAATAAAGGTGAAAGAAGCCCTCAGTAGAAAAAGAAAATGCGCATTTTTCTTTCATGAATCTGATAACAGCTTCAAAGAGGTGATGCTTGTAATAATAGCAGAATGAACTGAGTTAAGCTCACATGGCAAACTTTGAAACAAAAAAGGACTTAAAAAATACCAATCTAGTGCTGGGACAGGCATGTAGTCCAGGCCTTTTCTGACAATCTTGATGACCCTGTAAGAGTACAGAGATGATACTTGGTGGAGGGAGCTTGTATAAAAAGACACTGTCATTCTCAACATATATATATATATGTCATTCTCAACATATATATATATATGTCATTCTCAACATATATATATATGTCATTCTCAACATATATATTATATATTATATAATATATATTAATATTATATATTATATAATATATATTAATATTATATATTATATAATATATTAATATTATATATTATATAATATATTAATATTATATATTATATAATATATATTAATATTATATATTATATAATATATATTAATATTATATATTATATAATATATATTAATATTATATATTATATAATATATATTAATATTATATATTATATAATATACTATATATATATATGAAACATTGGTGGCATCTCACAAGTAACTCCACATTGCCCTGCTAAGCTCATAGGGCACTACGAACCAAACGTAAAGAGGTAAGATTTCTACTGCAAATATTTCAAGGGGTAGGAAGGTCCTCGCGCTCTATTGACATCTGTGATTCTCTAACCCTTGTGACCCCTTGTAAACTCAGAACCAGTGCAGCCTGGAGCACGTCATAATACCTCCTCCATCCCACCACTCTGCTGAAATTTGAGCCAAGCCCCATGTGGTTGCGGATCTTATGTTCACAGGTCCTGAAGGAAATCCAGGAAGCCATTCTTTGATGAAGTCTGCACCCACCCTCGCTGAAAGTGAACTGACTGCTGGAATATGAAATCGTCATCATCACAGTTAGTGGGAGGCAAGAGCTGGTGAAAGGAGAGGGATCATGGAGTTAACTGGTGACCTTTCAGTTTCCTCCATTTAGAGGTCTCATTTTATTTCTACTTGTAATATTAAATGGGAAACAGATTTAAATATGAGAGAAACGATGGCATGCCACTTGGAACAACCAGCTGAGCTGTCACCTCTAAATTGCACTTTTCATTTGTGTCCTAAAAATGATCAGGAAGGGTCATGAGGGAAGGCCCGAAACTAGGCCTGAAATCAGAGGATAGAAAGATACTCCCAGAGATCCCTTGAGCCCAGGAATCTCAGCTGCTGTGAGCTAGGATGGTGCCACTGCACTCTAGTCTGAACCACAGAGTGAGACCCTGTCTCTAAAAATGAATGAATGAATGAATAAAGATGACACTCCCAGAGATACAGTATTTCTTATTTTTCACCTTTCTCCCGAAAATGTCCGTATTACCACAAAACATAACTTCAGAGTGAAGTGAAATTATTGATTTCTGCCTGAAACAGCAAAAAACACGTAGAATATTTTACATGAGAGAATTTGATCATCAGATTGATCTGCCACAATTAAATAAGCATATTCTTAGGATGAGCTTTATATGGAGAGATCATTTTGCAGAATGCCAAACACAGAAGAGGATGCTTAAAAAGCCCCACAAAGTCTCTTAACTCCAGTGGTATCAAGCCAGATACTCAAACCCCATATTCTCAATTCATTATTAAAATATTTTAAATTCATATTGTTCAGAGGGTCAGAATAAGCACATGAAAGTTAAATTTCTTCCATTAAAAGATTTTAAAAGTCTAGCGGTTTAATAGTAAAAATACAGCGTAAATAGAAATAATTTTTAACCAGTATCTAATCTATAGAATCCACTCATTTGCCAATAGAACGCTTGAAATATAGTAAGTTGATAGCATAATGTTTTGTAGAAAGTTGCATCTTTGTTGAAAGGAAAGATGACATTGAAAAACAGTTAATTTCTGTAAACGCTTTTTCTAGTGATAACTTTATTAACTGGTTTTAGATGTTTCTAGATGGAATAACAAAGTTACGGTTCAAGATTCTAAGAAAAATATCAGCCTTATTATAAATTTTCTGTTTCTTTCTTAAACTTTAAAAATTTAATCTCAAGTATTTATTGGATTGGTTAATAGTCATTCTGTTTGTACCACCTACACCATGGACAGATTTCCCCCCATGTCTCTATTTTATTGATGGGAGCATTTCACAGCCAACCAAATCTCCATTAGTCAGAAGTTCAGGTGTACAATTTTGACCCGTGTAACAATTTTAGGCTTGCAATTTGTGTTGTTATATTTCTTAATCTAGGTCTAAAATATGTGCAGCATTACTTTTAGAAAGTAAAAAACTGATGGATTGTGCCATCTATGGCAGCATTTGTTCAGCATTTGGTACAAATGGGAGAAAAAAGATACAGAATGCATGGATTGATTTTCAAATTACCTCAATATTTTGAAAACATTTTCACCTGCATGCTGAGAATGCTAAGAATGGCAAGGAAGGCAATTGTGCATTTGCACAGCCTCCACTGCATTCATTTATAAATTACCTCATCACTGACTGAAATTAACACTGATTCTTACAGGCAATTTCTCAATTTCCAATGCTAATTACATTTTTTTTACTTTTAAATTCTGTACCACCTGTTTTGGGCAAGACATCTTAGGCAGCGCGACCGCATTTAATCACAATTTTAATTAACCGCCCTGTAGATGTGAAAAAGAAGCAATTATAATGTAGATGAATGATGATTTTTCTGCATTAAATTGTTTTGTTTCCCTGGTATGTTGATTGTAACACAGCACACAAATACAGTAACTGTACAATTTTTTTCTATTGTAATTTAGTAATTGTTTTTGGAAAACCAGTTTGGGAATGAGTGACTTCATCTGTTTACAAATTGATTGATACTGTTCACTCACTGATTGCTGCGGCGTATATTTTGGTATTGCACAGCCTAGCATAAAATATAATTAGAGATGCACAGGCTTTGCAGCACCATTTTGGAATCTGAAAATCAACTGTAACTGAAGTATGTTTTCCTTGAGCATACTAGTATCAGTTGGGGCTGATGAAATGATAATCAAAACAATGGGCTTTCCAATTCCACCACAGTAGAAACCCTTGGTTTCAATCTGATAGTCTAATATGGTAAGTTTATGAATTACTCTGTACTAGGCCTGGGAGCTGGGGGCTGGCAAGTCTGAAGCTTGCACAACTCACTCAGATCTGTATCACAAGGAGCATACAAGTGAGGTAAAGAAACAATGATGAAAAATAAAGAGTTGCTGCTTTGGAAATGGAAGGATTGCTCCCGACACCCAGGCACAATGCACTGGTGTGCTGTAGCGCTAGCCTATCTCATCTCTACACTATGATACAATAAGATCACATTCATGCTCCTGGCTTGCAGATACAGATCATTAAAGCTGTACCTCATTGCAGATAAATTCAAAGATCGTATTTATATGAAGCAGAGCCTGTTCCTCACTCAGCTAGAAATTGGATGGGGGGGTAGCGGGGGGAAAGAGCCATCATTACCTGTTTATGAAACCTTACGCTAACTGATAGCTAGAAGATCTACACTTAATATTCTCACATGAATTAGAGCCCTTCAGGAATACCCTAGCCTAATGTCACACCCACTCCCAATCTCAGGAACTTTCTCCATTAATACACTGCATTGGTATCGTAGGGCTTGTGTCTCCCTCCAATCATCCAATGAGTCATTCTGAAATGTGCTCACTTGAATGAGTCCTGGGCTAGGCCATTTCTGCCAGCCTGGAAAAAAGGGGAAAAGGCCATGTAAGCAATTGTGGATGTTCAAAGGAAACTATTTACGAGACCTCTTCATCTCCTGCTTTGCTTCTTTTTACACTCTATTCCTTAGAAGATCCTAAAGTAGAACAGTTCATTAAAAGGTGAGAAGTCATGTTGGTCCTAGCCATGGACTTGTTACAAAACATAACTAGAATTATGACTTCATTTAGAGTAATTTAAAGATAGAATGTTATAAGCTGACAGGACAAAGCAGTTAATACCAAGATAGGGGTTGGGGGTTGGGGAAGGAGGACTATTTGGATGAACTGCTGTTTGTCTCTTCCATAAACAGTTGCTAACAAAGTATTAATAGGAAACCCCAAACTGATGCCAAAATTCACTTTATATATTAAGTAAGAATCTGCCCTATTAATATATTAAAAGCTCTCTTCTTTTCCAGGTTGGAGATTACATGTCTAAATCTTGTTCACACCTATGGGATTGGACAAAATTTTCTCATGAAACTAAGAGAACAGGCCACAGAGTGTCTTGCAATCTATGCTGTTAGCAAGTGTCTTTCTCATGCCTGATGTTATACAAAAACTAGCAATAAAGGCTTATTCTTTCCTAGCCACCCCGACCTGTATCACTCTTTCTGGCTGTGGGAATTATTTGGCATAAGTGAACATGGAGAAAAACTACCACTGAAAAGAAATGGACAATTCATCTCAGTCACTGCTAAGAAAGCACGCTTAGGGCAGGTAGAAATGTGGATGTGTTTTACCCCGGAGATTCCATTTCAGATTCTTAGTGCAGTCTCACCGGTTATTAGCAGCAGCAATACTTTTAGGCTGCTGAGTATTTTTCTCTCCTTTGCCACCTTCCTCACCTAACTCGTAACAGCTCTCAAGAAAGATGCTGTTTTATGAATGGAGGTAAAAATAACCTTGAATATCTCAAATTATAGCCTCTTTACATAATGAAAAAGGAGTATTCTGGCAGCAGATTTTTTTTTTCATAAAGTTATTCCAGCAATAATGCTTGTTTGGAAGTTTCTAAAAGTGGTAACATCTGTGCTCCTGCTGGCAGATGCCATCCCACCAACCTTTCTATGGGCGGTTTGTCTTTGAGAGAAAATAAAGTACCTGATCCCAGGCCTTAGTCAGTCTTAGCTCCCTGTATCTTCTCACTCTGACCCACTGCGCGTTCCTTCAAGCAGAGAGCTGCCTCCCATGGCTACCTCCTCAATATAAACTTGCTAACTAATCTCTTAGCAAACACTTGAAGAAAACCTGAAGAGTGGAAAGAGAGGCAGAGGGGGAACAAAAACCCAGCGTAGATAAAGCTCAAGACACATTCAACGGGACGCTGGAATCTAAATTTAGTACCAAACTTAAGATTTCTTTAGATAGGCGAGCTGTTGCCTCTGGAACAGGGATTTTCATAACAATTATTTTGTTTTTAAGTCTCAATCTTAATTCTTCTGCTATCTCTTAAATAGGGCTCACTTTAACATAAACTCCCTTGATTTTTTTTTTTCTCTCAGTGGTGATGTGCCTACCCTTATAGGTATTCTTATAGGCTTTCTTTTATTACTGAATATCTCTTTAATAATTTGTCATTTTAAAAAGTCTACTCTGACTGCACTGAGTACACACAAGGTAACTCTTCCTTAGGAATTTATGTGACAATCCAGTGTTGGAAATAAATAATGACTTTCAACCAATGATCAAAGAAAAATAAATCTTTTATCCTAATAAGACTTTTAAAGACTGGAATCCCATTTTTAAATGGATAACAGCTAAGAGGCTACTGGCAATCTATTTATTTCCAAAGCTGTGTTTTAATGTTGGCTACACAGAAACTGGATGAGCAAATGGACCCTAGGGTCCTCAAAGTTAAAGCTTTTAAAATAAAGTTGGTATGTAGTATTTGAAAACATATTGTTCAGAATTTAAGTTTTAATATCTAGGAATAAACAGAGCATTAAATCAAGCAAAACTGTGACAAGGCCAATATGCACATGGATGATGCCAGCAAGGCATCTTCAGCCCTTTGTTCACAGCTTAACAAAACTGTGCCGTCACACCACTTTAGTTCAACAGTGCCTGTCGAATGGGCATCAGCAGATCAGCCAATGCCTGTCATACACAGAGCTAGAAAACGGTTTGAAAGCAAGGGCTTATTCGACCCCCAAGTCTAGTTGGAAAGTAAGGAGGATTTTAAATCATCTAGTAAAAACACCAGCCCCCTCCCACTCCAAAGTTAGAAGAGACGGGGAAGGATGACAATTTTTTTTTTTAAGACATCAAGGAGAAAAAATGTTCTCAGGCAAAGGAAACACTTTTCATATTTGTTTTCTTTGTAAAAGCAATTATACAAGTTTTGCAATCATAGAATTTTTCTTAAAGTGACCTTGTTGAGAGTAAAAGTTGAGTATCTTAGACATCTTAAGGTTTTGCCATGTTTTTTGACCTTTTAAACAACTTAATACGTGTTCTCATATTACCAGGATAGTAGGGCATTATTTGACAGAGAACTTGCAAACCCATGTCATTCAAAGGAGTATCTCTTCAAATATAATTTTTGCTACTTGTACTGGCTTTTTGTTAGCCAAAATGCATTAGCTTTTGAATGGACAGTCCCCTGAGCTCTAGTCTCTGTGAACATTTAATCTACTCAGAAGAGAACCCCCAAGAAAACAAACCTGGTAAAGAGAGGGATTGTTCACTTTCCTACAAGTTAACAATTAGAAAAAAAAAAAAAAACAACAAAAAAAACAAACCACCTTAATTTCCTCCTATAACACTGATCATGAGATTTGGCTTTCAAGCTTTAATAAGTGCTGGGGAGGTGCCTCAGAACTTTCCTTCCGTTTAATTAAGTGTGCCCACTCCTCTTTAGGCATCCAATCAGATTAAGTGAGAGCAAACCCCCGGAGCAAGGCTGGTGAGCCCTAGTGGTAAGAATTAGCTGAAGGTGTTCTGAATCTCAACCTTTCAAGCTCCTTCAGGATATGGTGCTGCTGAGATCAGTACAGGAGGAGCTGAGATTTCCCGCACACTAAAGTTGAAAAGCTCTCGCTCTCAACCTCCCCCCACCCCTCTGTCTTTCACTCTGCTGCTGTCAGTTTGCTGCCTGTACTTTGGCTGTCTCTTTTCCAGTCTCTACCCTGTGAGTTTCTGGCCTGCCAATTTCAACTTGAAGCTTGACTGGGCTGATTTGATGCAAATACCTCCAGGGAAAACCCTGAAACTGATGAACAGTTATGTCAAGTCGATTTTGCACCATCGGGAAAAGGTAACCTCTGCGAGAAAAAAAACAACAAGGTTAAAGAGACAAGGGCTTTTCACGTGTAATACCTCTGCTGCACATCTCGTTCACTGTTTACCATCCCTCAGAAATTGTAACTGTCAGAATTAGTCCTAATTGCAGATGCGAAAGCTGCCATTATAATAAAAACAGAGGCAGTGCAGGCATTAAATGTAGCAGCCTAATTTGTGAGACTACAGAAAAGGTAGAGTAAATGAATATTTCATTACTTTAATTACCAGGGACTACTCTTTTCTTGCTGTCTTATGATAAGTGTTGCTGTAACTAGCAACAGCAAACATCCACTAAAACATAAAGTGCAATAATCGTCCTGCTGTCAGGATCACCACTTTAAAATACGAGCAGGGAAAAAATATAATGGTTTATCTATTTCTTAGAGATTGCAGAAGTAGAAGATGGAAATTCATTTAATGTCAGGGGGAAAAAACGCACACACAAAGGCACCAGTAAACAGGTTTTAGTCAGAGAATAATGGCTCCAAGAGAGAGAAGAAAAAAAAAAAAAGACCAGTTGACTATACATTTGAAATGTTAGCCCTAAAAGAATGCTAGAAAGTGAAAAGTAAGAGGTAATAGTGTTTGGATTTTTTAAGGCAAAATTTTGTCTGTGTTGCACAATGTAATAGCTTGAACATTAGAAAATAAAAAGCGACTGGGGGAAAGACAAGGAAAGCAAGTGGTTTTCAAGTGATTAAGCAAAGGTGGAAAAAGTTCAAGTTGGCAAAAGTTTAGAAGCTCAGTCCAGTTCCATTTAAAAAGACTAGATAAAGCCTGCCAGAAAAAGGACTTTGCCTGCAGTTTCAGAGTACTGATTCATAAGATTTGGGGAGTATCAACAATTACTCACCACTGACACCTTAAAAAATCCTGGGCACCTCTATATAAATGTCAATTTCAGGTAAAGGGGCAAAGTGGAGTGGGAGGTGGCTGGATTGTAGGAGGTAGGAGGTGGGCTGGGAGTGGGGGGTGTGGTTGAGGAGGTTGCTGAGACTGGTTGAAGCCAGCCTGTCTCTGCATTTATCACTCTGTCCCAGAGGAGGTGTTTGTTCAACATAGCAGTTTGACAGCACAAAAACACTGTGGCCAGAAGCCCTATCAAAGAACCTACTGACACGTATCATTTGTGGTCTTGGTTTCACAGGGCAAGGCTACCTCACACTTATCTGCACAAGTATAAAACTCCACACATTTCTAAGTGTTCGGTATGGTTTTAAATCTCCCCCACCCTTTTTTATTCTGTATATTGTAAACACTAGTTTAAAATACCATCTTTATTCAGGACTCCAGAATGCTGTTTTAAAAACCATAATAATTTGCAATCAGTTTAGGATAATCTGTGTTAAGATTGGTAATACTGAAGGAAAATGGGAGAAAACAGTACAAAAGCAGAAAGCTAGTAATTTATCCTAAATAATACACTTAAAGCTTAGATTAATAGGTGTAAGTTTCGTAAGAATCATGTGGCATAGGGAACACATTTCCCCCCTACAATAAATCCTACTAAACAAGAATCTACATTAATTCTTCGCCTCTACTATTTTTGTTTAAGTGTATTTCATTCACAAGCTAGATGACTGTAGTGAAAGTTAAAGAGGAAAATTCTCAGAGTTTGGATCCTAGGGTGCATTTGTGTTTGTGTGCATGTGGGAATGTGTGCACATGGGCTGTATTTAGTTTTCAAATTCCCATCAGCAGAGCAAAGGTGATGGGAAATCTTTAGAGGACAACCATTTTGCTCAGAGATATTTCCCTCTTAATGGGTCTATTTATTATGAAAACACAGCTTACTGAGTTCCTTATATATAAACCTCACCTCTTAAAACTGAGAATTCTCATGATGTGAAACACTTCCATTGATGTGCATGGTGTCTAAAATAGAAACTTAGGTACTTCCAAGAATAGGCAATTGCAATTTCCTTGATTACAGTTACTTGGATATACAAGACAATAAATACTTTCTTAAACTAAGAAACATTGAAAGCAATATATTACATTTATAGATCACTTGGGCACTGAATTCCTTGAAATTTACTCATCCATTTGAGAGAAAGAAAAAAACCTCAGATTTTATATAGCACAATATTTTAATCTGTTCATCTATTACTGATTATTTCATATTTGGGAGGAGGGGGTGGCTATCATCTTGTCAGGAGTACCTTTCCTTGAGTTATTATAAAAAAATAAGAAACAGTATATAAAGAACAAAAATCACTATGTTGTCTATGGGCAACGTAACTATTAAAGAGAAATCCATTACAGTTTTTTTAATGTAGAATACATTTTAGGAAATCATTAATGACAGTTACCTATTCCCAGGAATGTGGTCATCTACCTCTCTCACCTGAGATTATTTTTAAATGTTCCCACCTTAGTTTATCCTGAAGATTTAAAAGTATACCTTCATATATTTGTGATATATAAAGGTGGCCAACTGACCAGTTCTGTGTTTACTGTTTGATTAAAAGAACATCTTCTTTTACACAGGATTTAAAATTTTAACTTCAAAAGATTCAACTGTAGAATTAGACCTCTTCTAGTTTATAGTAAAGTGTTGTGTGGGTTTAAGATGAAATCATACACAGCAAACAAGAAAAATTTACAACTTAAAAATGGATTAGATACAATAGAGTATGACATTTAATCCCACAGATTATAGGAAAAGTTATTTGGAGTCTTAATTTTATAGCAGCGTTAAAAAGAAAGAAAGAATGAAAGGTAACCTGAATATGCACACTAACAGCTCCGTATCGTCTTCTAGTTCTAACCACTACTTCAAATCTCAATCCCTGGACCCAGCTCAGTGATAGAACTAAATTTGTAAATAATCATGAATCATTATGATGATTACATTCCTCAATTGAAAAAATGAAAGCAAAGTACAATCAGACCCTTCTTGAAACGTTTGCTCCCCTTACACTCTTAATGTGTCTGTGCTGCCTGCTCTTCCAAAGTCTGGTTTTTAGAAACCCATATTAATTTCTAACCAAGGCTGCAGCAGCCACTGTAAACGTACATGGCTTTATCAGCTCTCATAGTTTCTTGGGTCACAAATGTACCATATCTGATGACACAGTGATCATCTTCCTTCTCCTTTCTCTTTTCAGATCCTCTAACTTTCCTGTCAGAAGCCTGAAAAAATATGCGCAGTTACTGTTGCTGAGGGGAGACAAAGTTTAACTTCTGGGTTGGCAATCGGAGAATAATTCATGAGCAGATTTCTAGCAAATGATATGATTTGCTAAATTTTGGTCTTTGATTTATATTTATGTACTCCTGCTACTGCTAAGGTTTTGCCAACCTCAATTAGATCATGAATGAGATCATTTTAATTCAGCCCCCAAACTGTGACCTGACCATGGTCTGAAAGTGTTCAAAAAGTAATTTTAAGCCTCCCTTTGATTTGAAAAGGAATACTGCATGCTTGGTCGTTCATACAAATAACATAAAACTTAATTATTGGATGATTTGGCAGAGGACCTTCTTGCCAAACAACAGTCAATGCCAGCTACTGTGATGCTGGCGCTGCCCGGGCCCCCGAGCCCACAGCCTCCTTGTATACGGGCGTTTGTTCATTGTGTCTCAGGGCAAGATGCTTTCAAATAGGATTCACGGATCTGGGAGGCAGGGTGCAACTCGAAGGGTGTACCATATTTATAACTCAAGTTTAAAAATGCTGTCTCACCTAGAAGGGAAGTAGATCTGCGCTGTCAAATCACCAGGAGGCTGTGACAAAGGGAGCTTGCAGCCTGACACACGGTGTAACAACATAGCAAACACCTTTAATTCCGTCATGTCTCATACCCTTTACTTTCTCACACATTTGTGGCTGCTCGAATGTTGACACCTACACTCTTTTTCGAAACTAAATAAGGCAATCTTATTTAAGCCCAAATGCAACACCTGTAAAGTTATTCTTGTGCCCAGCAAAAAATAACCATTAACTCCTTCCTCATAAATGCCTCTCTGCTTGCTTTGGAAAGTCTCAAGTTGGTAACGGCCAGCCTGAGGCCCTGACTCTGAGGTTCACATGACCTCCCAGGTTTGGACAGATAGGCAGTACTTCCCCCTTGAAAAGATGCGAAGGCTGAGATCATATCACTGTCCGAACTGGCCTCTCATAGCTTTTCAAGTTGAAGCCCCTTTCTTCATCACAAACTTCTGGTGTCTTTTATAGGAAGGAGAGAGGCCCCAGCTGCTTCATTCCCTCTAGCTACCGTAGTCTAATATTTTAAAAGCTAGAAATGAAAATAGCTTTTCTAAAGATATTTCCTGGAATTTTTAATGTGCTGCCTTGATTCCTTTTTTCTATCTTTTTTTTTTCCCTTGCCAATTATAAACCACCATTTGGAGGGCTTATGAGCAATGTAAGTCCACCTCATCTAATTAAACCACATTGTTTTAAAAGCTTGAACAGTTTTCATGCCTATAAGACTTGTCTGAATAATAAACTGCTAGAGCCAGAATTCTGAGTGTCTTTGGAGAGCCAGGATTTTATCTGCTGAGCGCAAGGGGCCAGGCACTCAAAGAGTTAAAGAGTGTTCCCGCATTGCTGGGTAGGTTAATATCACAGCTGCCTGGTAAAGCATTATCCCCGTACCTCACTTAACAAAAGCCTCCTTTTGCAAACAGACTCCCACTTTCCCCGCAAGTGTCCAAAGGTGTTTACTGAAGTAAATCTGCCTAAATCCTTCATTGCTTGGGTCATGGGGGTGGATAGGAGGGGTGGAAGGTGTAGGGATAATCTCTTTTTGTAAATTCTGTAAATCTTCTGGGAAAAAGAAAAAAAAATCAGGAATCTGTGTCACATGTTCGCACAACTTCTAATATATCCGTTAGTTTTGCTCTTATAAGTGAAATCTTCCACAAGGGTTATTGGAAAAGCCCCCGTTTCAAATCATTCACTCTGCTGTTGGAAGAGATTGCACTTCCAAAGTTTGTGTGTGTGTTTGTGTGTGTGAATGTGTGTGTGTGTGGTGCATGTGTGTGAGCGCATTGTATCCTTAATCTAATTGTTGGGAGAAAATTATTGGTATCTCAAAAGTGGTTTCAGAAAGGGGAAGAAAAAGACAAGACAGTCTAGGAGCAAGATAATGTCGCTGAAAAGTTGTCACGAGAGGTTTCTGCTCTTGCTGTGGTCTCATTCCAATACCATTAACTGCATGTTACTTTTGCATGTTGAAAATGGTGGCAAATAACACAGTAAAACCTGACAGGTCTGCCTGCGAGGGTTTAAACAGTTCCCAGGAAGGAGGCCTTTAGGCACAAACTTTCTCTCACAAGAGAACGTGAATACCACCAACCCCTCCCCTACAAATCCTGAAGCATCCAGTTTGAGATACAAAAAGGCTGTCATCTCACAAATGTTAAACATACTAAAAAAATCTGAAAAAAAAGTATGGAGAAGGTGTGAAAAACGTGGCACTTTACAGCCCTCAAAGCTTTTTAAAATAGCACAACTTTTCCCCCTAAAATTCTTTTCAGAGAATTTTTTTTTTCCTTTTTGGCTCATTTGAGAGTTTCTTCTTGGCTTTTTTCCCCTTTCATTTGAAAATATGAATTATCATAAAAAGTCAGGGGGAAAAATGGGAAAGTCTTTTCCAGTTTTCCTGAGGATTTATCAGTGTGTTCAGGCTGGGTGTGAGGACCCGTCACTGAAACCAGACCAGGGGCCCAGTCTCCAGCTCGCCCGTCCCTCCCACCCCCAGGGCCCTCACCTCTCTGGTCCGCTGGTAAACAATCAGACTTATTAAAGCCAAATCGTAGGCAGCACTTAAGGGCGGGAAGTCCACACACCTGACCCCAAATCTAACAGGCTTCTGGGGGAGAATTCGATCCCCTCCTGACACTTTTTACCTCAAGTGTTGAGCGGGTGGCCATGAATAGTACAGACATGCCATCTTGTAACACTATATGCCTGTCAGGAGGGACAGGGCCTGGTGGAGCATCAGCTATATAAGGCTGGTAACTAGGGGAAGCCCAACAAACAGCCACAAACACCTAAGTTATTTTACTCAGCTACTACCCTGTGCCTCTCTCTCTCTCTCTCTCTCTCTCTCTCTTTCTCTCTCTCTTTCTTTTCATCTTGGCTTTCTGTGGCAGAATGCAAATGGAGCCTGCCGGCGGTGAAAGGGCTGAATTGTGATTAAGAAGAAGAAGAGCTCCTTTCTTTGTTCTCCCCTCAGGGGATGTTTACTGGGAGAGACACAGCGGATCAGATATGAAAGGCATTCAGGTCAGCATTGATGTGAGCGAAAGTGAAATCATACCTAAGGCATTCAAAAGACCGCCGTGTCAGGGGTTCAGCTAACGGTGCAGCTACTGGGTGTGTGTGTGTCTTCCCGGAGAGGCAAAAATCTTTTCACAGACTGGCAGTTTTTTTCCCCTCTCTAATTTACTACAAAATTATAAAAGTTTTTCCCCCATTTGCCTCCCACCAGATGACACAAGAGTTGGTATTTTCTGTCTTCATGGACCACACGCGAAATCAGACCAACTTCTAATAACTGTTGTTTCCTAAATGAACCAGCAAGGCACCATCTGAACTGTGATTTTCTTTTAAACAGGTGTATTCATGTGGGCTACATATATGCATAATATGTAGGAGAGAACGGAAAGAAGAGAAAAGCCAAAAGATACACGCATGGATGGCTTTTCTTCTTACCTCCTCAGAGGAAACACAAGACAAAACACACACATGCACATACACAGCATAAAAACACTACAGAACACCTTAAAATGAAATCCTTTATTTACTTTGTAACTACTAGTTACACTTTTCCTGAGAGATTTCACTCTGACATGACTGTCACACAAGATAAAAGTATTTGGCACATAGCTATTAAGGCAAAGGCTTCCATGGAGCCTACTGATTATTATCGTTTTCCTTTTAAAAACTGCTTGATGAAGAAATACTTGGATCTTACTTTTTAAAAGTTTACCCTCCCCACAGCCCAAATAGTCATTCAATAGATTTTCCAAGTGGTAAGCTGATGCTGTTGGCATAAACAGAGCTATGTAAATATATACAAAATTCACAAATCACAGCAAACATACAAATAATGAGGAGGTGCCTGGATGTTTCAAGGCTTAAAAATGAAAAGGAAAATTACATTTCATCTTCTGATTGCTAAAGACAGAAAAGAAGTAAAGAGGGGGAATAGGGCTATATTTATTGGTTTAAATCATCCTTCCCTCTGCTCTGAATTATTTTTTTCAACCTTCACATCTTGGCTAAAAAGCATATTTGGGCTTATGTTAACATCTGCTTTTGTGGTGACATTTAATTCTGTATATTTTCAACTAGTGTTTCTGCATCACAGATTTTCCTCCTTTATCTCTTTGCTCTGAAAAGACAACCAAAGAGCAATCAAAAAGGTGTCTGACTTGGCCATTCAGACAATTGCCCCCTTGTGGGAATGCGGGAATGAATGGTACAGTGGACACCCCAGCACCATTGACGTTATAAACATGTAAATGAAACACATTAGGGCAGACAATCAATTGTCTGTGAGCATTGCAAACCTGCACTCCCTCTCTCTGTGACAGGCACAAAATAGTGTCTACCTTGGGAAGCCACGGTGCTGAGAGGAAAAGGACAAAGAATTTCCTTTCACACAGAAGAAAATGCACCTTAAAAGCCTTGGAAGAATGCAGATGACAAAAACTGTTGCAAGGAAAAGAATCTCCCACATCTTAGAATAAACGCGGCACTGCTAGAGGCTAGCAACGCCCTCCTTTCCTACCTTCAGGGTAGACATACATTTTTCCCAGGAAATATTCTTAATATGGCATCAAGGTCTTTAATAACCTCTTGGAATTTTCTTTAAGCAAATTAAGAAGGAAGGGAAACACTGAAACCTATGACATAGCAGTTGAGCAGGGAACTTTAATCTTGGTTTTACCCTATTTGAAAACAAATGGTGGAAGACGTGAATTTATTTGTATCTGGTAACAGAGAAACAATGTAAAGTTTAAAATCCTCAGCCCACCCTTAGTCCTGGTGGACTGTCACTCTATGGACACCAGCAGCCTACTGGCTCTGCTACGAAGGAAAGCATGTTTCTACCCCAATTGGCTTAGTTTTTCCAGACCAAAATAAAACAAATAGATCAGCCTAGATACATAGCCCCCAGCCTTGTGTGTGTGCAGCGTGACAAAACTTGCAGAAGATCTCCACAGAGAAAAAAGGATGGAGATGGATATCTTTGGAGCGCCCTCAGAACTGGTACCTGCCACACAACCTGCCCCAGTGCTTTGAAAGTCAGCAAAACAGGCTCCCTAGAAGCTCATCAACTTTACGAAGAAAGCTACTTGCCAAAGATTTCCACACTTTGCAAAGATAACCAAGTCTGGACTGACAGTGATCCGAAGGAAACTTCCTTGTCTAAGTGTGTATGACTCTCGTTGCCCCATCCCAACTTCACCTCTCAGGGAGGAGAGCTAGGAGGCACCTCCTGGAGAAGGGGTTGACTGCATTTTCTTTCCTTTTCATTTAAGCATCTCTGAAACGGGAGCAACTTCTCCGTCCCTCATTGCCTCTAACCATCACTACCAGCACCTCCACTCCTTTAAGGAAGTGGTAAAGAGTGAGGGCTTATTTTAAACAGGGATAACCATTTCTGCTCTTCTGATTGTTTCTCCTCTAGGATCCAAAGCCCTGAGAACATTCAACTTGATCCCTGTTCTTTGCCACTGAAGTTCAGAGACCAAAGGCATTTGTAAAAAGCTCCCCTTCTCCTTCACACTGTCCCCAACCCTTTAGTGGAAACTCTGGAGAAAAATCAAATTTAACTTTTCCTTTCTTCTCCTATTTCCCTTTTCTCTCCTCCTAATTCAGTTTTTCTTTAAAAGACAACTTCATTTCTTTCTCTGAAACAAGCAGTTTCCGGATTTGATTTTTGCTACAACGTGCATGTCTCTGTGAGATTTTTCAGAGGCTGATGCTGGAAGGTGGCGGGATGGGGAGGCAGACCCTCTTCCCGGGCTCCGTGGGAGGCAGGAGGGAAGCAGGAGCATCCCAGGACCCGCTGCCCGAATCAGGGGCAAAAGCAACAAACTTTGCAAGTTACAAACGGGCCGCACCGGTGGCAAGCAGCAGCAGGGCATCTCCCGCTCCGAGTGCTCATTTCTGACTCCAAGGCTGTGTGGAGATAGTGGGGTATAATCAGGGGAAAGAAAAAGGGGGGCTGGGTTTTCCCCCTCCTCTCCAGCGTCAGTGAAAGTGTTACAAAGTGAGTCAGGCGACTGAGGATCATCTGACTGAACTTTCTTGAAACCGACACACATTCTTGTCTGCGGGCAACTCGCTTTTTGCCTCCTTCCCCCTCACCCCACTCCCTCTTTCCTCCTGCACATCTTATTTTCTGGGAAGAGATTTCATCCTTTCCATGTGGGGGAAAGGAGACTGACTGCCCGCTATGGGTTAACTTGGCCCTGGCACTGCCTCTGCCAGGCATCTTGCTAGCCTGAGAATCTGGAAGGTTGTATTTCAGATACTTGTTTCTCTCTTTGTACATTTATTTTTCTTCAACTGCCTCCTTCTCCTTTGCTTTTTATTAAATGTACATAGCATTGTCTTCTAACTCACGTTCTTGACCAGCCTTTAAAACACACACACTGCTTTACACGTTTTATCTCCTTGTCGCCTTAGTCTATATATACACTGTTGACTTCATTAAAATTATATAAAGTGCCATTCTAGGTTCCTGGATGACCATCTTTTTTTCCCTTCCAGCTTCTACTTATACGATTATTATTGCCATTATTTCTTTCCAGGAATTTCTATATGATTTTGATAAGCATCATCATATTTAGTGTTATCAGCAAAGACACAAGCTCAAAAGTGACATCTTTTCCATGAATCCAGGAAAGAAGAAAAATCCACTCAGTTCAGATAAATCCTAGCAATTCCCAAAGGGAAAGGCATTGGATATGTGTTTGATGAGAAAGAAAATGAAAAAGGGGTGGGGTGGTAGTACTCTTCTACCTGCTTCTCAAAACCAGAACATTGCTCGGTCAGATTAAACCCAGTGAAAAACACTTACAATAACCAGTATACAGCATGTTTTCCCACAGCTTATTTGGAAAAAAAGACAGGTAACAGTCAAAGTTAGAGAAGCTGTAAGCAATGGACAGGCTTGATATTAAGTGTGCAGGATCTGGGCTAAATGCCTTAAAATGTGCAATTCAACTTTCCACTTCTGAATGTGGAGGCTTCTCCCAAGTTAGTGGCTGGGTGGAGGGGAAATACTTGCAGTGTCCATGACTGCGGACATCTCTGGCACTCCATTCCACCTGCGAAGCGCCCAACGGGCCTCCCTCTCTGCCAGGTCTCCTAGGGGTTCCCAGGAAGCCAGGATCCCTCTATTTCCTTAGACCTGGGCTCTGGCCTGACCTCACTGCTAGGGCCAGGCTGGTCAACGGTGGCAAAATCCCGAAGGAGGTGGAAGGAGGAAGGCAAGAAGAAATGCACACTTTAAATAGTCTTCCCTGCAAAAGAACACTTCTGGGAGCCTTGTTTTAAATCTCATTCTCTTTTTCTCTCAAAAAAAAAAAATGACTGTTTAACAGAAGAGGGAAAAAAGCCTCCTTGACACAAAGCTTTTGTTATCCAGTTGATCAGCAACGTGCTTTAGATACTTGTAAGAGGGGGAAAAAAGCCCCACAACAGACATTGATTTTAGAAAATCAATAACCAACATTTAATAAAAGGAACAGAGGAAACACAAGAGAGGAGAGGGGGACATTAGGTGTAATTTTAGTGTCTACTAAATTACTCAGAGATGGGGAAGGGGAGGTCTCCTGTGTAAGGACCACCTTAAATAATGCCAGACACCAGAGTGAAAAAAAAATTAAATTAAGAGAGAGAGAGAGGGAGAAAGAGAGAGGGAGAGACTTAAAAAGAAGCAGCCTGAACTGAATCTTGGGGAAGCAGCTCGGAATATATTATTGTACTTGTTTTTCTGTAATACTAAGCCAAGCAAATAGATCAAAGACAGCACAAAGGGGAAAGGCAGGATAACGTAACGAACAGTTTCTGACTAAAATTCCTCTATCACTCCCCCATATGGCTCGACACCTCCACCACAACAAGCAAAAGACACACACACGCACACACACGCGTACACACACACAAAACCTAGAGAGAGAGAGAGAGAGAGAGAAAAGCATCATTTGTCTCTAATCAAAATTCTCTCGTCTTTGTGTTTTGCTCCTTCCAGCACCTCACACTGCGCCCCCAGCCGCCCCCTCCCCGCGCCGCGCAGCTCTGGGGCAGGCCGGGGGCGCGCACAATTGTCTTCTCTAGAGGAAAGTTGCTCCAAGTGGGCCCGGGCGGTCCCCGCGAGGCGCGGGCTGGGGCTGCGGAGGCCGGGAGGCCGGGTGGGCGCTGCGTCCCAGCGCCTGCCTCGGGAGCGTCTACGCGGCCCCGCGCCGGGTGATCGGGCTGAGAGCGAGGGGAGCGAGAAGTTTCCTTTCCGAGTCTGGGCTGGCGCTCGTTCGCTTGTTTGTTTTCGGGGGTTGGTTTCTTTCTTTTTAAACTCAGTTATCCTCCGTCAGCTCCCCCACCCCCCCCCGGCACCCTCGCTAGTCCCCAGCCCTCTCCCCTCCCCCAGGCGCCTTCCGCGCTCTTGCCAATCACTTTTCTCTTTTATTCCCACGATTTTGTTTGGGGTAATACCTAGGGGGTCTCTCTCTCACTCTCTTCCTCTCTCTCTGTTTCTCTCTGTCCCCCCGCGTCCCTTCTCTGGCTGTCTCCAAAACGGACCTACCAAACTCTCACCCCCCCCTTTAATATCCCACCTCTGATCTGCGTGTGCCCCTCGAACCCCCATCTCCTTTCTCCTTCCTCCTTCCTGACTCAGCCTGGATAACGGGCTCCTCCAGACCATGTAGAAACTGCCGGGAAAAGTCTCGCTGCGCCCTGCGACTCCTTCAGTCCCCGGCCTGGGGGCAGAGCCTGCTGGAGAGGAGTCATCCGTCCCCGAGCCATCATCGACCCCACCGGACCCCGCGCGGGGCCGGCCGACTCCCTCCCACCCCGGGGTCTGGGCGCGATGGGCCGGGCCCCGCTGCCCGCGGACCGTTACTTGGCGCACCGAGAAGCGGCCGGGCGACTCCGGCAAGAAACTTTAAGCCTCGCTGAGGCGCAGACCCGGTTCCCCTCTCCTGCCTTCGCAGTCTCTCTGCCACCCCCGCCCCCGCCCCGGGATCCTGCGCGATCCAGCGCCTGGGCCCCCGCCCTGCCCCAGGCGGACGCTCCCGAAGCCCGGCCGGAGACCCGGCGGGCCGGGCGCGAGCGGAGCGGGAGGCGGAGGCGGAGGGAGGGCGGAGGCAGGGGCTCGAGGGGGGCAGCGGGGCTGGGGGCGCGGGGCCCCGGCCGGACCCCCGCGCTCGGACCCCCGGGTGCCTGACGCTCACTTTGCCCGGCACTTCCCCAACACCCCCCGGTCCAGCCGCCGCGCGCGCCGGGCTCCGGCGCCGGCCGCGGAGGGAGGCTCGCCCTAGAGCCCTGGGCGCCGCCGCCGCCGCCGCCTCGGTTCCTTTTCCCTTTCCCCCTCCTTCTCCCTGGGTCTCGAGCCGCGTAGTGGCCCGGAAAAGTTTGGTTCGGGCTGCTTCTTACCGTTTTTCCTCCTGGGATTGGCTTGTTTGCGCCTCTTGCACCGGGGGCCATCCGCCATGATCGGCTGCTTCATTGATAAGAGCGGATCAGATGGCAGTTCGCATGGACTCGGCGCCCTGCTTCGGCAGCACGCAGGCTCGATCTAGCAACCAAACACAGCGACAATGTGGGCATCGCCCGCGCCCATTGAAACGCGCGCGGGCCGCCCAGGGGAGCCGGGCCAGGGCCCCGGCGAGCACCCATCCGCGCCCCCCAACGCCAAAGCGAAACTTCGGCGGCCCCCTCCCCGCCCCCCACCCCCAGCCTTGGCCCCGAGGCGCTTTGTGTTTGTTACTGTTTGGTGTGTTGCACCCGCGAGGGGATCAGAGAGACAAGAATTACATCTTCAAAATGAGTCATAACTCCTGACCGTATGAGGGAATGCACACGGCGGTACAGTAAGACCGCTTGACTCAGGGCTAGGCGGACCCTTTCCTTCGAAAAGTCCTCAGCCCCCGGCTCGGGAACTTGGGGTGAGGCGAGGTTTTCTTTTCGTTCTCATCTTTTCTCATCCCCCCACCCCCCAATTCCCAGAGGAAACAAACAAACAAACAACGCGAAACAGCCCCTGGATGAAGCACACTCGGGCAAATTGATAATAGTAATTATAGGAAGCCCACTCGCCCAGCGCCCCCTCCCCTCCCCTTTTGGAGTTTATCGAGGCACTGTCTCTTCCTCCCCCCACCCTCGCCCCCAAATTAAGATTTCCCGTTTTACGCCGCAATGATAAATATAATTATAAGCCTCTTTGGACACTGTCCTTTACCCCACCCCCCCTCGCCACTTTGACAATATTTACTTAAGTATTTCCCCCCACCTCACTCACACACATGCTCCCCCACACTGGTTCCCTTAAATAGTTCCAGTAGAATTTTTTTTTTCCCTTAAGAAAGGAAAGAGAAAGTCCAACCACTACGGCAATACTTTTAAGCTCTACTAAATGATCGTATCCTTTCTGGCTTCGAAACTTTTGTACCTAAAAATCGAGAGAGGCGCTGCATTTTTTCAGTTGAAACTGTCAAAACTTGGAGAAGGGGGACCTCGGAGGCAGGCAGGAGAGGAGGAGAATCCTGAAAACTCGGTGGAGGTTGGGAAGATGCTGTGCCTCGAGGATTAGTTTAAACAGGGGGCTATAAAAGATGTAACAGATGCAAACTGTAACACAAGGGCCATTAACCCTTTCTCTGCCGGGCACACTCAGTCCCCACGCCCCACACCTATTGTCTCCTGTGCTAGAAGCTTTGCAGAAAACCTGGAAAGTGAGTATCAGTTTCCACACATTTGCTGAGAGGGGTGAAGGGAGGGGGGCAGAGAGAAGGGGAAGTGGATATTTTAGAAAGCACCTTAAATTTACCTAGGCATACATAGTAGGAGACTTTTAAGTTTGACATATTTTATCATTTCTTTCCTTGTCCTATTGATTTGAAATTGTTAGGGGAAATCCTGAAATAAAGAAATGGTCACACAAGTGTCTGGGATGAAACAGCTGGCCTGTCTATATTCATCCTGAGACACACGACTGCATATAAATACATGTTTAATAAAGTAAGTTGCTAGTTTTATGGGCATGTGTGTGTGTGAGAGAGAGAGACAGGGCATTTGTGCTGTAAACTTTATCTTTGCCTGTTACTCCTAAGTCTGGAGTTAGTAATCTTGCCTTCATCATTACAGGGGGAGCATGTAAAATATATCAGTAGGTGGGAGATAAACACATTCATGTTAGCCGGGCTCATCACTGTTCCTGGGAACTCCTGCTATCTCTCTCTCGACTTTTCAGTGCCAAAGTATGGAATGGGATATATGTGTGTATGTGTCTTCTATTAAATCCATGTCTATATTACTTTGCCACTAAAAATACAATTTTAAAAGTTATCCTAATTTAAAACCCTGATATCCTGACAGCAGTTTTCTTCCCAGCTGTAGTGCCCCCCCCTCCACTTTGGTAAACGACTCAAGTTCCATGAGGACTTTCACTTCTTTATTTATAATCACAGAAGTGAGGTGTTACTTCACACACATACACACACAAAGAATGAAATAAAGAAATGAAACTCGCTAAGCAGACAAAAACAGACAACTTTCTGCTTAGAAAACAGCCTTCTCGGTGGGAGAGGATGAACTGCCATGTCTAAGAGAAAGACTTGCCCCCGAATTTGTAGGTCTGTAACTGACCAAGTTTTGTAATTATTAACAGGTATTTGCCAAGTCCTAATTGCTGAATATAATGAATTGGAACTAGATGCGAAAATAGAGCAGGACCTCTCCCCTTGATGAGTTTTTATTCCAGCCATATAATTCTCAATAAAACTTTTCCTGGGCTGGATAGCAAAGGACACCTTTGGTTACCTGAATGAACAGGTACAGGGGAAATTATTTGGGGGAGGGAAAAAGGAGAGAAAAGCAAGGAGAGAGAGTGTGAGTGTAAGAGAAAGCGAAGAAGCCACTCTTGAGAAAAGCTTGCCATAAAGGAGCTAAACCCACCTGAAATTCCTACCCACGGACACCCCTTCTCACTTCAGACTCACATCCCCACTCAAAATGAGAAAATTAGAAAAGGAGGATGGAGGACGAGCACACCAAAAAGGGATAAAAAGAGAGAAAAGGGGAGGAAAAAAAACCTACCTGCGAAGTCTTGTTTGTAGTTTTGGCCAGAAATGGTGAGAAGAAAAAGCATGAAGAAGCCGCGAAGTGTGGGGGAGAAAAAGGTGGAAGCGAAGAAACAGCTCCCGGAGCAAACTGTACAAAAACCTCGCCAAGAGTGTCGGGAGGCAGGACCGTTATTCCTGCAGAGCAGGTTAGAACTGATCTCTTTCGGCCACTCCAGGAAACACAAACCTGGGGACGGACTGACGTGTTACGCCTCTTCTAATGACATTTTTTTCTTTTTCTTTTCTGTAGGAGAGAGACGAGAGACCCTGAAACACGCGCCACCTATCTTTGTGGGGAGGGATAATTGAAGCGCCCTGAGCGTGAGCATCATGTGAAAACGTGATCGCCAAGTTTCTCTCTGGGAAAGGATCTGGGATAGATTATACCTTGAAGTCTCCGCAAACGCTTTAGTGGAAGAAATGAAATTCCACCTCCCTCCCTTCCTCCTCTCCCTCCCTTTCGCCTTCGCCTCCCTCCCCCCTCCCTCCCTTCTCCCCCCCTCCACCCCCCCCTCCCCGCCCGTCAAGCCTTTGGCATCATTATCCTCATCACTAAATCCTACAGAGTACAGGGCGGAAAACGGTGCACACCATTCACAGAACTGGAGAACTCCAAGGGGCGAAAGTTAAAGGGAAAGATCCCGGGTCCTCAATCCAGATAGTCTCTTCTTATACAGATATCTCTAATGACCAGATTTGAGATGCACATCAAATTGTGTAGGTATCTCAGTACAGCTTCTGGAACAAAGTTCTCTGCCCTTTCTCTTATTGTTATTTTTTTCTTTTTAGGTACCAGAGCCAGAAAAAAAAATGCTGCATGGGAGCTGCATCTTAGGGCATGTGTATTAGGGTGTGTGCATGATGAATTTCTGGACTGGATCCCAATATTAAAAAGTAGTTTGGCATTTTAATAAAGGGTCTCTAAGTAAATTAAAATAGAACACTCGGTTGGCCGATCTCTGAATCTCTCTACACCTCGGGGAGACCTCACTACAAAGTAAGGGAGAGTGTGTAGGGAGGCAGGAGGAGAAACGAGAAAGGCCATAGAGAAACTTAGCAGGGAAGGGAGAGCATGATATTAAACGGCATGGGGTCTAAGTTTTGGAGTATATATTTTTTGATATTACAATTAAAGTAAGATTAAAAAGAAAAGACTCCACCTTTGCTCTGAAGGGATTGGTTATGCAAATATGGAAGGGATTTCCTGGAGAATACAGCTTTCTACTGTATGGTTAATTAAATAATCACTCAAAAGCTTCCAACGTGACGCTTCTGTCGTAATCCAATCAGGTTACATAGGTCCTAAACAAGAAAGATATTTTCCACATCTGGAAGTCAGCAATTTAGCAAGTACTGCACATTATTAACCAATTCAGAGCCCACTTCCCAGGGGAATTTTTTTGAAGTTTAAGTGTTCTTAACCAATGCTCTGCTGTTTTGTTAATCAAAAAGCTGGTTTACACTGCACATAATTGGAACTAATATAGAAGTAAATAAAGACAGCCAAATTTGAGGATGCTGAGCACAGGCATTTATCGGAAAAGGAAGAAATCTCCTATCCTCGGATGGTTCAGGCTCAATTTCTTAAATAACTGTGAGACTTTTTTTTTTTTCCTAAAGAGTGAAAGTGCTTGAGAACCTCAGAGCACAAATAAACTTCTAGCCTCACAGCATTTAGGATTCTTCGGAAAGGTAAAGGTGGAGGTGTTAAGAGGACCAGAGAGCTGCCTCACACCAATTTTTAAGCTTTAATATTGTTAAATATGTTACACCCTCCTGTTTCCAGTCTGATGAAATCTGAAACAAATAATACCCTGATCCAACACTATATTAAGATAAACTGCTTTGAACTGTGCTTTGAATGTGTGCCTAAAGCAAGACTTTGAATGCAAGAGTCACTGGCAATTGCACTCAAAGGAGGGACAAGCCACCACATGGGTTGCCACATCCACACTCCCAGAGGTATACGTCTTTGTATTTTGTATTTTTTTTTGCGGGGCGGGGGAGTGGGGTGGGGGTGGTTAATAGCTACCTAGCACGACCACAGCTAGATCTTGTTCTAGGATGCAAGAAAGTAGATTTTCACAGTTGGTTACTCACCTCTTTCCTAATTTAAGTATTTATTATAATGAAAATAGCTGCTGGATAAATTAACTCTCTCCCCCCACCCCATCACAGATAAAGTGTCTATAGAAGAAAGGCATTCAGGATCTTCAGCTTAAAAATTATTAATAAATAAAATCAAAGATTTTCAACATGGGTCAGGCACATTCTTAATTTTATATTTTACATTTCTTTCATTATTATATATCTATACTAAATATATGTGTGACTTATCAAGTTCCTCTTCTGAGATTTAGCACCACTGTTCATGTCCATTTTTCTTCCTCTTCCTTTTTTTCCTCTTTTTTAATTTAAAAGATTGGAATCCAGCTTTCTCTAGACGTTTGCTTTACAGCCACCCTTCCACCACTCCTAAGGAAGAAGGAGCCCTTTGCATAGAGTTATTACAGGCAAGACTCCTCTTCAGGCACCCAGGTAGCCATTGGAGGCTTACAGACCAGACACACACACAAGCATAACCTCAGGTCAAAGGATCCAATCGAATAGCTAACAAAACACTTGTCTTTATTATGTATATTAAATGTCAGGTTACTTAGGATCTGACTTAAAAAAAAAAAAAAAAACCCTAAGTATTTCCATTAAAAACACCTAATCATCTGATTACCCTGGACTCAGGAATTGCTCAAGTGGCAGGAGGCAGTCCCCAACATTTATCACTGGGAGTTCCGACTAGCCAGTATTTGATTTGGGGTGAAAAAGCAGTCTTCCAGGTTCCCATGAAGGTAGATATTTGGATGGTGGCACGGGAAGGGTCTCCGCGAGGGGTGAGCGCTGCGGCTAGGTTGCCTTGCCCCTGGTTCCTGACTGGCACGCCCCTCCCCAGGCATTTGGCCGAGAGAGTTCCCAACGTGGCAGAGGTGATGGGGTCGGGAGGAAGCCGGAATATAAATTTGTTCCGAACACTCCCTCAGTCCGAGGGCCAGTTCGGGGACAATGGGGATCGTGGGATCAGGAGGATGCAGGAGCACAGGACGCAGAGAAAAGTCGAGAGAGGACTGGGGGCTGCTGGCTTTCGGCTCCTCACACAGCAAAATAAGTCCTGCAAATGAATCTCTCCTTCTCTGTCTTCCCCATTAATAATCCACTTCGAGATTAGCGCAGACGAAAGAGATTAAAACAACAGATACACGGAAATGTGAAATAATATTGCAATCAACATTGAAGGGGGAAAAATAATTCTTTGGGGTTTCCATGGGCAAAACAAACTACCTCCCTCAGGATTCCCTCCACCCAGGCAGGGTGAGAAGGATGCACTTTTGTTTTCCAATTCCCTCCAGCCAGGACCTGGTGCCTGTCCCCCCATTCACCTCTCAGTCTGTCAATTTCCTCAACTTTCACAGCCGCTCCCCCCTCCCCCCGCTCAGCTTGGCGGCCCAGATGCCCGAAGAGATACAATGTTTCTGCCCTTGAACACACAGGCTGTAGAAGGAATTCGAATTTGGCCACAGCTAATGATTTTTTTTAAAGCAAATTCTGTTTATTTTGTACCATGTGGAGAAAATAAAAAAAGGAACCTATTCTCGTTTTGAAATGAAACTGATCTTTCATCTAGAGGAATTATTCGACCTTGTGTTGTGACTCAGGAGGTGGGCAACTTCTTTTGGAGTTGCAAGCAAAGGGTGATAAAGGGGACCCCTGGACTGGGTGTGTGTGGAGGAGGTGGGGGGCGGCAGGGGTCCAAGCCAAGCCAAACGGTTTTCTCACGTGCAGACTCGCAATCCAATCCATTCGGAGTTGAGCCTAGGATAGGAGGGGAAAGTCTATTAAAAAAAAAAAAAATCAGGAGCATCTCTCTGAGAAGCCCTTTCAAACAAAACCAAAACAGGACCAGAGAAGCTCAGACCGTCCCTAACATCCCTGCTGCGAGACCCGCAGGCTGTGGAATCTCGCACGTCACCTGGCCCCAGCAGGGCGGCCAGCTGAGGGGTTGATTTTATTTTATTTTTTTGAAGTAAAGGCTGAATCTCGGCTTCAGGGCTTTTGCCAACGTCTCCACTGACAGGAACCAGCAAACTTCAGGACCCAAATGAGCATCTTAATTTATTGATGCTAAACAGGTCTGGTTGTTGTCCCCAATTTTCCGCGCGCTCTGCCACTCCCCCCCCCACACACCCCGCCCCAACCCCCGCCGCCAGCTTCGGTCCCTGCATTTGATCTCCAGGAAGGGCCCCGCTGCACAGGCGGAGGAGCGCGTCGCGGGGGGGGGCGGTGTTCGGCCCCCTCCCACCAGACCGCCCTCCCCCAGACCTGTCCCCGCCCGGGATCCTGCGACCCCCGCCCGCCGCCCGGTCAGCTGACCTGGCTCGCTCGCCTGCTCCCCGCCCGCCGCCCTGTTTCCGGTCCCCGGGGTCCGCGAGCCGCGCTCCGAGCGGGCGCAGCCGCGGCCGGGAGGTGATGCCGGGGGCTGATTACCATGAGAAAGGCTGTGCCTGGAAAAGCCTCCTCCACGCGACTGTCAATCTCACTAAGGCTTGGGGGGCGGGGAGCGGGGGGGGGGACGGAAAGGGGCCCTGTAGGAGTCACCAGAAAACTTGGAGTAAGTTGGATGCGACGCAGGCCCGAGGAGGTGGCTTTCGCCTCAACTTGGAAGGCTGGGGCGTTGAGGGCGCGGACGCCAGCAGCCTCACCAGGGAATTGAAAACCAAAAATCTCCCTCCTGCTTTTCCTCCCTCTGGCCCTCCTTTCAGCCCTCCCTGCCCTTTATCCTTATTTTCTTGAAATTCTTTCCCAGTTGCATTTCCTACGTTCTCCTTTCTATCTGATATCTCCCTTTTGCAATTTCTTGTTTTGTTTCTTAACATCCACTCTTCTCCCTCGCTGTGATTCTTTTTGTGCCTCTTTTATGTGTCCAGATTTATCATTTCGTTTTGAAAACAGAACGTTTAATGTGTAATTAATCTACCAGCAGGAGGGCAGGGACACCCTGACTAAAATAACTCCCCGGGTCTCAGAGACGACAAGTTCACCAGGTGTCAGTGAAAAGTAAAATAATAATAATAAAAATAAAATAAATCAATATTTCAGTGACCATAATGGTTTATTCTTCTATATTATCACATCAGCTCAGACTGATAATTTTAAAAGACAAGATATAATAGATATAGTCTTCCTGGAAAAAATGCATAATGCTTGGCATAGGGGCATTCTTTAGAATTAAGGCAATGTGAAAAAGTTTGTTTACAGCCATATTTTAGTAGTACTTAATTTGTTAACAGACTTTAGACATTACAATAGGTAATTTTATGAAACTTAAACTGCGCTTTTCTTCTGATGACTATTTGCAAAGGGTAAAAAATTCCCAAAGCACTCCTCCTGAACCCCAACAAAGATTGATCAATTCAGAGAGAAACATCATCATGTCACGTAGTTTGCACATTACTAAGCAAATTCACAACTTGGGTTGTTGGGTTATTTTCTTGACTAGGCTAGGTTACTGTCCGTTACCTAGCAGGTGAGTGAGCATGAGGCGGCATATGTCATGAACATAACTGTTTTTGTTTTGTTTTCTTTATTATTATTTTTTGCTCTTCCCTTCACTTTGGGCATATTTGTTGTTCTCATTAAAATTCAGAGTTTTCACTTGTTTACAATTTGTTTACTTTGTTGAATTTTAAAAACTTGATAGAAGTCAATTGAACATGTATATTTAGCCCTTTTTAGGCCAAGAAAAATAAAGATGTATTAGAAAGATGCCTTTTCTGCTTCATAATTATTAATTGACATTTTATGATGAATAATTAATCATTTGAATAATTTTAGTATCTCTGATCTGAACACATATTTGCATATCTAATGCTTGATTTTAAATGTGTTTTTTAAAAATTCATTCTCTCAGGATGAAGAAACAAAGTCACATTTTAATGCAAAATTTCTCTTCTACACTTGTAAAAGTTTATTTATTGAGCTGTAATATTCTTTCTAGATATCCATAAACTTCTTAACAATTTGTAAACCATTTATGAGGCATTCACATACAAATATGTGGCACACTACAATTAATTAGGAAAAACAATACTCTATGTAAAATCAAGTCACTCTCCTCCCCAAATCCAGAGATGTGCACTAATTATGCACTATGTTTTCTTATTGGAATTTTGTCATTTAAATTTTTAGTTATGTCTATTAATTCAAGTCTAAAAGTGGAAAATTGCAGCAATTGACAAATAACTCAGGCCTGGTATTTAGGATCATTTTTTATCTTTTACTTACTAACATATGGGCTGATTTAAATTATTAAAAATGATTAAGTAAGTGTATCCCTGATATTTTTATTCTCCTGTGCCAGTTAAAGTCCAAAGTATTAATATCTATTTTGAATACTAGCCCTGCAAATGACTACCTGTGTGATTATAAGCAGTCTCCTATAAGCTTGTTTTATTTTTAATCTCCAATGTGGGTACACTAATAATGCTATCCCTTGGGATTTTATTGAGAATTAAATGAAGTAATGCATAAAACTTCACTATATTGTAGCTTTATTATTATAATGAAAGGTTAAACAAATATACAGATCAACTAAAGATGGTACAAATTAATTTTGATTATTAAAAATAACAACTATTTACAGTATATTTTTTATTGAAAAATCAGTGCTGTGTTATTACGTGAAGAAAGAAAATGAAAAGCATTTTAGGATTTATGGCTGGTTTATGATTTTTTCGAACTGTTCAAAGGATGCGTAGCCACAGAAGTGAAAATAAATACAGTATTTCCTTTCTGTTAGTTCAGCAGTTAATTTAGTGTATTCAATATGGTCATAATTTGGTTATAAATATTAGACTGCTTTTGAAAAGGAATTTAGTCCAAATGTATGAACTTGAAGTTTCCCATGCTCTTTAGTAACATATTGTCTTTTAGTGTAAGGGTTAAATGTGCAAAAGCTCAGAAGCGGTCTTGAGTAAGACTTGTGAAAAAAAGGGCAAACTTACAAATTTGAAGACCAGGAATTTGGCTGTCAGAGCACTGTTTGCTTTAAGACCATTCATAATGAACTGAGCATTCCCTTTTGGAATTGTAGCTGTCCTGGGGTTTGCGCTAATTTCAAGTACCTAGAGTGGTGAAGAAAATCAGTGTATTAAGTGGAAAATGAAATTCCCTAGTCTCTTAAATGTCCACAAGGCCAGATTTTCTTTTTGATGTAAAACTGAAAAATCAATGCAAATGCCAGGGGGAAAAACTATCGTGATGTAATACTAACACTGATAGTTTTTGGTTGTTCTTGTTTTCTTTAAGACTTCTCAAAACACTTATATCTGTAGTTCTTAAAGGGTCTGTTAATTGTTTCTATTTTGAAAGCATCCATTCCATGCTCCTTTTAGGTCAAAACTACCAAACCAGACATTTGGACATCAGCGTAGGGGACTGGGTGTGACCTGTACCTTTTTTCTCCCTCTGACAATGGGACTAGAAATGGTTTGCACCTGCAAATTGTCTAGTGACCTGGAAATTACTTCATGCTTGCTTCAAGGTCTTCTTTAATACTCTTTATTCTGTTAAAAGGCTCAAACTATAAACTTTGTTCTGTACTCAGTTTTAATTTTGTACCATTCTAAGGGTGAATTTTTTTTTTCAGGGTTCTTTCAGGTACTTAAATGTAAAAACTTTACTCTCAAAATTTATTATCATCTCCATGGCAATCACAAATATAAAGTAATAATAGCTAAGGAAAAAAAACCCCTGCTTTTCTAGGCTTGGCACTATGCTAAATCCTTTCACGTATCATTTAATTCTGATAGCAGATCTGAAGGGGTTACAACTGGGTCCATTTTATTAGCTGAGAAAATTGTGGCTTAGGGAGAGTCAGTGACTCCCCACAATTCAAGCATCTGGTTCTTGGTGTGCTTTTGAATCTGCCACGTCCACCCCCAGGGCCAACACCATATTCATGTGACATCCAACATCTTTTTACCTTTCCCAGATGTGTTTCTGACCCACTTGTGCCCACCCGCTCTGCACATTGTGACCCATTTCCAGGCCTCCTGGATGCTGTGATTGGCCCTTGTTTTTCCATGTATGGCTTATTTTGCCTTTTGGACCTAACACTTAGGCTCATTTTTCCAGTTACAATATTGGCTCAAGTCCTTGAGCCAAAGTTTCTCTGGCTTTGGTGCCTCTGGCTTCCCAGATAAAGTGTATTTTCTGGTCCAGTCTCTTCTCCCAGGCACCCGACTTAGGAAAAGCTCCCATGGGAGGTTCTTGCTAGCTCAACTGGCTCCAACATTGGGCCCAGGCACAGGACAAGTTAGTGATGAAGGAGACATCATGGTCCAGAGATGTCGTGGAATAGTTTTTATTTCTTATACAACTTCTGTTAGCACTTGTTGACTGGAAACTGGACATTAGTATATTTGACACTAGATCCTCAATGTTAGCATATTATAGTGACAAAGATACAGGTTTTGGAATTAGATAAACTGGATGTGGCTCCCTGCTTGGTAAATACTAATTGTGTATTGAGGACAAGTTATTTTACCCATGTGAAATTATTTTTAAAGTAGGCAAAGGAGCTGGGTGCAGTGGCTCACGCCTGTAATCCCAGCACCTTTGGAAGACCGAGGAGGGTGGATCACCAGGTCGAGAGTTCAAGACCATCCTGGCCAGCATGGTGAAACCCCATCTCTACTAAAAATACAAAAATCAGCCAGCCCGGCGTGGTGGTGCATGCCTATAATCCTAGCTACTCGGGAGGCTGAGGAAGAGAATTGCTTGAACCCAGGAGGCAGAGGTTGCAGTGAGCCGAGATGGTGCCACTGCACTCCATGCACTCCAGCCCGGGCAACAGAGCGAGACCCTGTCTCAAAAAAAAAAAAAAAAAAAAAAAAAATTGGTAAAGGAGTACTTAGATTCAAGCTGGTTGTGGTAAAGAAAATATGACTGTATACAAAATGTCTGGCACAGAGCAGGTGTATCAATAAATAGTAATTCCTACTATCATGAATTACCTGAAAAATACATGAAGTTAAATTATGGAAAACCAGAGTGGATGTAACATGTCTTTTAGGTGTTGTTTATTTTATTTTATTTTTATTTTTTATTTATTTATTTTGAGACGGAGTCTCGCTCTGTCACCCAGGCTGGAGTGCAGTGGCACAGTCTTGGCTCACTGCCAGCTCCGCCTCCCAGGTTCAAGTGATTCTCCTGCCTCAGCCTCCCGAGTAGCTGGGATTACAGGCACCTGCCACCACACCCAGCTAATTTTTTGTATTTTTAGTAGAGACGGAGTTTCACCATGTTGGCCAGGCCGGTCTCGAATTCCTGACCTCAGGTGATCCACCCACCTCGGCCTCCCAAAGTGCTGGGATTACAGGCATGAGCCACTGCACCCGGCCAGAAATTATTTAACTGGTTTCTGCATTATACAGAAATCAGTGTTTACTGATAAAGTTGGAAAAGTAATATGGTCATAGAATTTCTTAAGTTGTAGAAAACCTGGCGTGCTCATGATTATAAATATGATGTCAACAGCTGAGATGAGGACATATGCACACTTTAAAATTTGGTGATCTATTTTATACTTTCATTTGCAATTGTAAGGAAAAAACCTTTCTTCAGCGAATTCTCCCGATATGACTTGCTATAGGAGGAAGCACTCTTGCAGGCAGCTGAGTGTGGTCAAGAAGTGTCAAAGATCCTATTTGTTCAAGGTAAATATAAGAGGGTCTCAATATTGTTCAAAACTCTTTACCTAGTCTTGCCATAACTTCAGAGGTGTGAAGGAGTGGGGAGACATAGAGGGATGGAATAGCACTGAGAAAGTTTGCCTGCACTATCTTTTTCCACCCCCCAACCCCTCTTGCCCCCAGTTGAATGCTGAAACAGCTACTTTAAAAAAGAAAAGAAAAAAGTAAGACTATGTATAGAGTACAGACATTGCTTCACTCTCCTGCCTGCAAATTTGGGAGTAGGGTTGTGTCAGCAGGTCCTGGCATGATCTACTGTGTATGTGACTCTGCTACCCTATGCCCTAGAAAGGAGGGTGTCCGGGGAGGATTGGGCTGTGGACACAGGGAGCATATTGTTCCAATGGTTCTGCTACAGTGCAAACCAGGCTTCTTTCTCTCTCTCTGGAACTAACTTTGCTACACATGCAAAAAAATCTGTTCCTATTAGGTTTTTCCCTGGCCATTGTGGAAGCATAAGTATGGCTCCTGTGGCAAAGGCATAATTTCTCTGTGTTGAGGGAAGCTGGCTTACCTGTTGTTCTTGGCACTCAGCTAGCACCCTTCTAGACAAGAGGGAAAGAACAAAGCTGAAAGTTCACAGAAAATATTTGGTGTTTTAAAACAAGAAGGAAAAATTAAAACCCCATTCTTTTAAAGCTTAATTTATCTATCTTCTAAGAATTTGGAATTTCAGTTTAGAGAAATCAGTATAGTCCTGAGTTATATTATTACCTAATGTCACATAGCTCTATGGGATATTGAAATATTATTTGTTACAGCCTAAAGATGATCTATATTCAAGTTTTGCTTCTCCCAAGGAGGATTCTTGCATGGTTGAAGAAAACATTCAGGGTTAGGTGAAATATGCTTGTGAATGACATTTGAAATCACCTTGGACTTTGAATTTGAGGGACAGTAATGCTTTTATGATATTAACGCAAAGCACCGTCACTTGGAAAATTTTAAACTATTGCTTCATTTATGATCTCCAAATAGTAATTTATTTGACAAAGGAAGGTGATTTATCACGGATGTCTCTTTTGCAACCCCCTGGAACAGTGCCTATTATATAGTAATATTTGTTGCTGTTTGTGGAATCCGTCATTCATTTAGAAGCTTTAGGGAGATACAAACTGATCTCCTACTGAAAACTTACAACTTGAGATAAGAATGAGGACAGATGAGGGTAGCAGGCAGGGACCATGGGTACTTAAGACCCTACACGCTCCTTTTTACAGACTTATGTACTTGATTACATTGTTTAACACAAACTGTTTTATTCCTCTTTTTTTGTGTCACTTTTATACACAGCCTAAAAAAGAATTGAAGGAGCAAAAACAGAGCTGCATGTGTATGTTTGTCTCATTCTTTAAATAGATGACTCAGATGAGCCTTCTTGTAGTTTGTTTTTAAGTAAACACATGAAAATATAATAGGTTTTCTCTGATAAAGGAAAGAAATAATAAGGAGAGAATGGAATGAACTAGAAGAGGTGTGTTGCTTAGGAAGGCAAGGTGAAGTAGTAATTTAGGATAAATGATCCCTTTCCCCTCCAATCCCACACAATAACTAAAGAAGGAAAACAGAGAAGATGAGTTTTGTTTTGTTTTTCCTTCTATAAGTAAATGGACAGGCTCTACAGATAATGGGTTCGATGATTTTCTTGCTAGCAGCTTCATTTTCATGTAGAACAACTGGTTGCCCAAAGGTATTAAGGGGAAAGTTTGAGCCCTGATTTTAATGCTTTCTCCAATACCCTTCCCGCCCTCTTTTTGCTCCCCCCTGTTTTCGGCCTTATTTCTTGGGGCCCTCACCTCTTCTTACCTTTCTTTTGATACTCTGTATTTAGAGGGAATATGCTTTCAATGCTAGGCTTGTTCACAGCCTTCAACATGCTTAGCCTTTAAATAATAAGATATGACCCTAAGATTTGAAAATTTCATTGTGCTACAGAATATTGCCTAGAGGAAATGGAATGTTTACCTGAACTATGTTATGACAAAGGACAGTTCAATACTATTATTACATGCCCAGTACCTACCATAGTGCTTGGTTCATGAGAGGAGCTGTGTAAATGTCTGATGAATGAGTGAATGAATGTACGTATGCATAAATGCTATAAAAAAAGCCAGACTTAAGATAACAGATACCATTTGTTCTACATGGCAAATTAAAGTTAAAAGGTATGAATGCAGGTGCAAGAATCACCTGTGGGTACAAACGGAATTCTGATATTATTTTTGAATTCTGGGTATGATATTTTATTTCCGAAATGAAATACCTAAATCATTTAAAAAGCAATATAGATATATAACAGTTCCTCATTCGCTCACTTGCAAAGGAAATTTTCAATACAAATAAAGTCATACATATTTATACTAGGGTAATTCAAAATAACTTCCTCACATAAGCACTGCTACGTTCAAATAAAATCTTGCCAACACTTCTGAGTACATTGGTTTAAGAAAAAAATGCTCCCCGTAGCGTCCGAACTATTTAAAAATCTCACAGGCTTCTTCAACATACATCAGTTATCTCTCTTCAAATCACTGACAATAATTTAAAAACTGCTTCATCAGAACAAATGCTACCCTTTCTCCTACTCTAGTTAGAACCTGATCTTCTAAAAAGGACCATATTTACAGCTTCTTTTGAAATTTTAAAACCATTTGGCTGATATGTTTTTGCTACATTTTTTCCTGATTTAATTACTGGGACATTTGCATGAAAACAGGAAAATAGGGACATAAGATTTTTGTCTTGTGAGTTCATCTGTTTCTGATGCTTACTCTCCACCTGAGATCCATATCTGTTTTGTTACAACTGGGAGACCAGGAGCTAGATTTGAATTGATAAAGATATTGTTAGAGGTGAAATGAAGTTCAAAACTAGGGACTCAGGAGGCTAAGAGATTGATGGATGATATGATAATTAATTTTCTTCTAGGTTATTTATTTATGAGCAGTCCATATTGTCAGTGACACATGGCATTGCTATTGAAAAGCTTAAAATCCAGGGAATGATACAGAACTAGAGTGTCAAGACTTCTCTGAGAAAACCACACCCAGGTAGTTACTGCTTGTCATGGATTGACAGATGTCGGAGAAAACAGTGAAGGAGCTGAGTCTAGGTCATGTATGAACTCAAGATGGCCACTGAAAGTTGGAAAGAAAAGAAGCAAAATGCCCATCTAATTCTGATTACCTTCCAAATGCCTGTGATTTTTCACTAGGAGAATCAGAGAAGGCTATCAGGATAAATTCTCAGCATCTTCACCTGGAGTTCCATGGCATGTAGAAATTTACATTTTCAAAGCTAAAGTCATAATCTTGTTCTAACTTTTTATTTCTCCAATATACTCCAACTTGTTCAGTGGCACCAGAGTCTCGCCAGTCTTCTAAACTCCAACTCTAGGTTTATCCATGACTCCTCTCTTTTCCTTTACTTCCACATTCAAGCACTCCATATGGCTAAGCAGCATACCTCTGCCTGTTTCTTAAAGCATTGCTGTCCTCCAACACTCCCTACCCTACTTTAGCTACTCATCATTTCTTTCCTGGAAGGCTGTGCCCGCCACCTAACTGGCCTTCCTGTTTTCACTCTTTCCTCCTCACATCTATTCTCCACGCCATCACCAGAGTGAGTGATTGCTCTAAAACAAAGGTCCCTAACCCCCAGGCCACGGACCCGTGAGGAACCAGGCCACACAGCAGGAGGTGAGTGGGAGGCAGGCAAGCGAAGCTTCATCTGTATTTACACCTGCTCCCCAAGGCTCACATTACTGCCTGAGCTCCGCCTCCTGTCAGATCAGCAGTGACAGTAGATTCTCATAGGAGCGTGAACACTATTGTGAACTGCACATGTGAGGGATCTAGGTGGTGAGCTCCTTATGAGAATCTAATGCCTGATGATCTGTCACTATCTCCCATCACCCCCAGATGGGACCATTTAGTTGCAGGAATACCAGCTCAGGGGTCCCACTGATTCTACATTACGGTGAGTTGTATAATTATCTAATTGTATATTACAATGTAATAATAAGAGAAATAAAGTGCACAGTAAATGTAATGCTCTTGAATCATCCCAAAACCATTCCCTCAATCCCTGCATCTGTGGAAACATTGTCTTCCATGAAACTGACCCCTGGTGCCAAAAAGGTTGGGGACCACTGCTCTAAAACATATTTCTGCTCATGCCACTGCTGACAATAAAACCATCAGTGGTTCTCCATTTCATACCTGCTGTGTTTCTCAAATCTTTCCTCAAAGTAACTATAAGGATGGGTATTTTAATGTTTACAAAGATTGTTTTGAATCAATAGTTCTTCAACGTCAACCTTGTTTATCTCCCATACTGTTGGGCAAAATCAAGAATCCAAGAAGCTGGGTCATGTTAATCCTGTTTGTCCCTAGAGTTTGATTTGCACAGTGTGAGAAGCAGAGAGCCAACCGGAGAAACTATAGGTTCTTTAGCAAAGCATATGAGTCACCTCACCTTTTTTTTTTAGCCTTGAAATAGTGTTTTTATAAAATTATTTTTAATGTTTTTCATTTCAATAGTTTTTGGGGTACAGGTGGTTTTTGATTACATGGATTGGCTCTTTGGTGGTGAATTCTGAGATTTTAGTGCACCTGCTACCCAAGCAATGGACATGGTACCCAGTATGTAGTCTTTTATCCCTCACTCACCTCCCAACCTCCCACCCTGCATCCCCAAAGTACATTATATCACTCTGTATGTTTTTGCATCCTTACACCTTAGCTCCCACTTATAAGTGAGAACATACAGTATTTGGTTTTCCATTCCTGAGTTATTTCCTTTAGATTAATGATGAGGCTCTTTTAGGTGGAACATTTTCATTTCTTCAACCTCCTCTCCCACGATTCTTCAAATGGCTTATACGACTTCTGTAATATTGTTTATATTTTTTCATGAACAATGCATGTTGTTTCCAGTGTTAGGGACCTTTCCTATCCTATTTACTCTACCCGGAATGTTCTTTCCTTCTCCCTTCATGTGACTGACTTCTGTTCACTGCTTAACTCAGGTCATATGCCATCTTCCCCTGGTTCCCAGGCTGGCTTTCTGTGTCCAATTATTTGTTTATATATCTTCTTTTTACTAGAATATGACCTTCTCTGAGGATAGAGACATTGTCAGTTTCATCAGTATGCCCCCAATTCCTAGCAAGTATCTGGCACATAGTGGACACTTAAAAACACTTTTTGAACTGAGTATGAATACCATGGTACAAATTAATTTTCATCACTGAACAAGGAACTCCACATGCAGGCATGTTTTACTGACAATGCATTCAGCCACAGGAAGGCTATAGCATTCCCTCACTTCATATTAATAGGAGTACCAAAAGTTGGAACTGTCTCATTGGATTTTTGAATAATTTGCATTTAGTTTAGACATACATTTGCAAAAGTATTGAAATAAAAATACCTTTTACATGTGAAACATTTTAGAATTTCAAAGCTTTTTCACATGCATGATCTCACTTAATCCTTAAAATAAACCCTCAAGGTTGGCAGATATTATTTTGCCCAGTTTGGAAAAAAAGGGGATTTAAGATTTTGATGGAGTAAGACAAAATAATCAAACCCATTTTGGAAGTCTCAAGTATGTTTCAGATGTGGAGGCATCTTTGTGAAACCGATAAAGGGTAAATATTATGGGACAGGTAAGGAAACAGTGCTGAAAGGACTGGATCAGTCATTCGGGGCCACTGTCTAAGTAAAAATTGAACCCAGAGTCCTATGACTCAGTTTAGTCCTGACACAGTTCCTTATGCAGAGAAATCATGTGTGAATACATAATAGAAAGGAAGCCTTGGTTTTAGGAGAGCAACCTGAAGAAATTATTTTTTTTCTTTTCTTTCTCATAACTGGTTTGTTACTTGTCCTAGGTACACAAAGATACCAAACTATAAATAGAGTTGTTCAAGAGAGTAGTTTGGTAGTGAAATTGGAAAACTATTTGGGTTTATTTGGGAATAAGAGAGTAGGGCAGCAGGGATCCTATAGAGACTGAACGTTAAAAAAATAATGTGTCATTTTTGTGATATATTAATTAAATTCTTTTAGGTTTAAGTAAGCATAATGAGACTATCTGAATGCGTTACAGTAATTTTCTTTCTTTCTTTCTTTCTTTCTTTCTTTCTTTCTTTCTTTCTTCTTTCTTTCTTTCTTTCTTTCTTTCTTTCTTTCTTTCTTTCTTTCTTTTTTTTTTTTTTTTGAGACAGAGACTCACTCTGTCGCCCAGGCTAGGGTGCAGTGGCATGATCTCAGCTCACTGCAACCTCTGCCTCCTAGTTCAAGCAATTCTCCTGCCTCAGCCTCCTGAGTAGCTGACATTACAGGCATGTGCCACCATGCCTGGCTAATTTTTGTATTTTTAGTAGAGATGGGGTTTCACTGTGTTAGCCAGCTCAAACTCCTGACCCTGTGATCCGCCCACCTTGGCCTCACAAAGTGCTGGGATTACAGGTGTGGGCCACAGTGCCCGGCCGTTACAGTAATTTTCTGGAATTTTTTCTGATAAATGTTAGTCCCCCCCAAAACATATTTTTTTGTAGTTCTGTTGTTGAATGTAACACTACCCCCAGTAAAAGGCTTTTACTTCACTTTACTCAGAATTTTGTAAAACAAATTTAGCAAATGCTCTTTTGAAGGGAGAAAAATTTCACAGAAGTGAAATAGTAGGTAAAAACATTATTTAACATAATTGTGCTTTAATTCACTCTTGAGAGGGCAGAGATGCAAAATAAATTCTGTATATACTGTAAAGCAACAACTGAATGGAAAGATACTTATAATCTTCTTTTCTATCCCTGGAAGTTGGTTAAACAGTTTTTCAAAATATGCTTCTATGCATAAATATTTTGAAGTTTAAGTAAATGTGTTGGCTAATGCATTGGTATTATCAGCCAATTAATAAATTCAAGTATGTGATGGGACTAACTTTCCCAAGCTAGTGGTTACTTGACAATTGCACATGTGTATCATATATTTATCCATCCAGCAAGAGCTTGTTCATTCCTTTCTATGTGCTGGCTTCCTTGCTGGGAATAGCATAAAACAGTAATCAAGACAGACTGGGTCCTTGCAGGCTAGTAGGGAAGACAGACTGTGTATGATGAATGCTGTTGGGAGTATAGAAGGCAGGCTCATCAGTCAAATGATAGCTACAAAATAAAGTGAAGGTGAGAGTAGATCTTCCTAATGCACAGGAGGTCAGGTCCTTGAAATCCATCAACCACCACTGAAATTAGTTTAAATCACCTGTGATGTGTTATAACCCTTCTAGGCTGGGGTAAAGGCATATTGGGACCTCAGAGTAGGCTGGAAGAGAGAGAGGATAAAGCCTGGTATCAGAGCTACAAGGAGAAAGGCCAATGTTTCAATGATAATAGCTAAAGGGCTTTGGTGAACAAAGCTCTCAAGAAGCTGACCTCAGTACCCAAGGGCTCATATTGGTGGGCAGGAGGCTTGCCAGTATTAGGCAATGTCTTGTATTTGCTGCAGGGCCTCCCTCAGTTGGAATACGACCCCAGTCAGCTGTGGAGGGGGGTCTCATGAACAGGCTGTGACTCTTGATAGAAGATTGGCAAGGACTAGACAGATTATCCGGGGAGCAGCCTCAAACTGGGTGGGGTTCAGGCCAGGGCATAATTCCATGAGAGAATCAGAGTGCAAAATGGGCCCCACAGCAGATACAATGAGTATGTCGGAAGGGATTGGGGGTTTGGGGCTGCTCCTTAGGGGCTTTAGGGTCCCTGACATCTTCTTAGATGTCAGGCTCAGTGCAGCAGTCTCTTTCTCACTCCTCATCCCCCTCTTCCTGCCACCACTGCCCCTCTTTCTATCATGTTCGTATCCTGGTTCTGTTATGCCCAAATATTGAATAAGGCTTCTGTTGGCAACAAGCGCTATTAATAGCTTTTGAATGTGAATTTGACTTTTGTTGGGAGAATATTATTTTCAGTAACTGTCAGCTCATTAAAATATATTATAGGTGGGGTCTGAGTTTCTGCTGTGAAAGGTTATGACGCTTAAAATTAAAATAAACAAATAACTTCAGTATTTTGATTTACTTATTGACTCTAGTATTTGTACATTTTTGTAACCAAAATGCAAAAGTGATAACAGAACTATAAAGAAGTCATTAACTAGTGACTATATTAATTTTTTTCTTAATCATCTTTACTACTTTTTCTTTTTCTTTTTCTTTTTTTTTTTTGAGATAGGGTCTTACTCTGTTGTGCAGGCTGTAGTGCAGTGGTGCAATCACAGTTCACTGCAGCCTTGGCCCCTGGGCTCAAGCGATCCTCCCATCTTCGCCTCTGGAGTAGCTGGGACTACAGGCAAATGCCACCACACCCAGCTAATTTTTGTATTTTTTGTAGAGATCAAGTTTCCCCATGATGCCCAAGCTGGTCTCGAAGACCTGGGCTCAAGCAATCCACTCACCTCAGCCTCCCGAAGTGCTGGGACTATAGGCGTGAGCCACTGTGCCCAGCATCATCTTTACTATTTTCTTTTCTTTTTTTTTTTTTCCGAGACAGAGTCTCACTCTGTCGCCTAGGCTGGAGTGTAGTGGTGCAATCTCGGCTCACTGCAACCTCCGCCCCCCGGGTTCAAGCAATTCTCCTGCCTCAGCTTCCTGAGTAGCTGGGATTACAGGCCCACACCACCATGCCCGGCTAATTTTTGTATTTTTAGTAGAGATGGGGTTTCACCATGTTGGTCAGGCTGGTCTTGAACTCCTGACCTTGTGATCCACCCCCCCCTCGGCCTCCCAAAGTGCTGGGATTACAGGCTTGAGCCACCGCGCCTGGCATCTTTACTATTTTCTTAAAAGAACTAAATAGCATACATGCCTATGTTCTTACTGTGTAATGGATTGGGGGTGTTTCGAAATGGACCTAATAGACATAAGATCATTGTTTACCTTTTTGCCCAACTTTATTTTAAAAAGTCATATAAAAATGGAAATTTATTCACTCTCATATCTGTGTTCTCAGGTGTATTTTAATAAAGATGGAGCCAGGCAGTTTTAACTTGGCCACTTATCACTTGAGCAAGTAAATGTGGCTAAGTCACTTAGCTTCTGTGGGCCTCAGTTTCTAATCTATAAGTAAAAGATAATAGTGCCAACCTAATAGGTTTGTGATTTAGAGCAAATGAGACAGTGGGGATCCAAGTGCTTGTTAGTTGTAAAGTGCTAATGCAGGTGTTGGGTATTTATATTCAGATGCAGGTTATGCCCACATCATATAAATTAAATGTGAATGCGTTCAAAAGCTCAACCAGCTCCTGAGGCAAGAAATGTAAAATGGCAACAACTAAAAGGGTCAGTGAAACTCTTGGCGTCTAACCAGTCCTCTCCAAAATATTTTCTGATGGTATATTTCAAAATATGAGAAAAGATAAAGGAATGAAAAGAACTGACCTTTTTCTCTAACCCTTAAAACATTTTCTCTCTGAAGAAACTCTGCCATAGAAACTTCAGGCCTGACTCAGTACTAAAGGTGACCATTGAAAGGACAGTTTAGAATGTTGTATTTATGCAAGTGAGGTGCCATGAACATGTACTTGTCCGAGGTGGACATGATCAGAACAAGCTTGTTCACAAAGCCCTTCCCTCATCCTTGGCCATGAGTCACAAAAATCTAACATCTGGACATAAAATACTTCCCTGAACAAAAGTTGAAACTTTTGCATATATGTGTTTGTGTATCGAATATATAAAGGAAGAAAAAAATGGAGACAACAGACTCTTTCGTTGACTCAAATTTACGGCCAAATTTTAATAACACAGCTGTCCATATGTGAGACACTAATGAGAACATAAGGAATTCCTGGATAGAAAAGGGATGGTTGGCCCAATGGCCTGTCCCCTTCAAGTTTATTGCAACACACCTCTTTGTGTTGTCAGCATATCTTCCAACCCCTTTTGCCTACATAAACATGTCTAGCTGTCTCTTAAACTCATTTTTACTTTATGTTTCACTCAATGGACTTATTTGGTAATTCACAGTATTTCCCATATGCCTGTAGTTCTCTGGATGAAGTAGTCCTACATTATCACTACTTCTTAATTAATTATGTAGAAATACTTTATAATAAAGTATTTACAGCAGACATAATTAGAAATTTGGAAGTAATTAACTGAGAAAACAAATATACCTACAGTGAATATAGAAACAACTGTTCTTTTGCTAATCTATATTCCAATTTTTCATAAAGATATGAAGAAGTAGGTGGATAGTGATTAAGGTGGGTAAATATAAAAACTTTCCTTTTATGATATTAGTCTTATTAGCACATCTCTTAGCAAGGAGAAAATGCTAAGCCTAATTGATGTAATAAAGAAGATGATCTGATGTTTTTATTTAGGTTGGGTTAAAGCCATATTCCAGAAAATATTTTTATTTCCTTAATCATATCAATGTTGCAGGTTAATGTAAATTTGATGTGAATTATTAAAAAAGAATATAGGAATGATTTTACATGAAAATTTATTTTTAAAAAAACTTTCCAAATGGTGGTGGGCCAGTGGGCTTGGGGTGAGTTCTTAGGTTGACTCTGGGTCCTTCTGATTAAAAAATACACCTGAAAACTTCCTTTAATTTGATTGGCATCAAGGAATTGGAAATAATTAAAGAATGCTAGGGAGAACTGATAAATAATTAATGTATAATTTAGCTGAATATTTTGCATTTTAATTTTTTGAATGGTATTATTTTAAAATTATTTCAATATATATATGGTGATCTGATGTGTGTGATGACATTACACATCAGTTCTCGTCTTTTATTGACAAACACCAAGAGTGACCAACTTGCCCTCTACTCACCCTGAACTTTACCGGTTTTAGCCCCAGGAATCCCATGTCTTGTGAATCTGCTCAGCTCCAGGAAAACAGGTACAAACACATACTTAAAAATACAAATAATTTGCCTCTGAAATGTGCTTGGCTTTTTGGTCTGCATACTCTTCAGACCCTGGGAACACAAACATTGTAAGTGTTACATCAGCATTAAGAATTTTGCTTTGTTGTTCTAAAAGCCCATGTTCGGGTGTCACCACCTTGGTGACTACGGAGAAATATAACCCATGCGTTGTTTTTTTTCTTTTAAATTGTTTCCAAGCTCAGATGCTTGATGGTTTATGTATGTATGTATGTATTTATTTATTTAAAAAAGCTGAAAAAGCTTTGAAAATCAAACCTATTTTCTTCTAAACGTTTTTCTCTCAAGTACTTGCTCTCCAGACACACAGTAAGATACATCCTGAATCTGGCACCTTGAGTGCTCCCCCAAATCTCTGAAGCCTAAGCCATATCTATTGTCCAGTCTATGGTAGAAAAAAAGTGAACTACACTGAGTTATTGTAGTCTTGTTTGTCTCACAATTAGAAGAATTCTGCAGGTATTTTGTTAGTTTTAAATTTGCGGACTGTGACTTCTGAACTCTTTCGAGGAGGAGGTCTCAATAAAGAGCATGCTTCAGTCTACTCCTTAATGATTTTTAGCTTCAATGAAGCAATTTGCAAGACTCCTCTTCCTAACAACTGCTCTGCCAAGCATTGTATAAAATAACATTCTTTATGGTTAGATGATTCCATGGAAGATGACCAAAAGGTTTTAAATACAGAGGAATGTACAGAAAAACACTGTACCCTTTAACTGTCACATCTCCCCTATTCCATCCCTTCATCTCCTTCATACAGGATTTCTGCATTTTTTTCATATGCATGCTACATCTCTGTGGTAGCACCTTGTTCTCTGTGTGTGTGTATGCAGGAATGTGTGTGTGTGCATGAATGTGTGTAAACATGTACTATTTTTAGCTGTAGAACATGACACAAATTTCTTTCCTCATCACCATGATGCATGACTGATCCATTTCATATGATGTGTTTAGTATGGTTCATTGCCCACTGGTCTTATTATTTAACAATTTGCATTAAATTAAATTTTCTGTTTACAGGTGTAAATGGAAATTTTGGCTTCTGAGAATTTATTTACTGGATAGAATGTTCTTGGTTGAATTAGCTCTGCCAATATTGGATTGCTTATACCTGGAATAAAGTCTGGGATATTTAATTAGAATATCATAGCAAGAGAAACTTATTATTTTTATGGCTAAGCTTAAGCTACTGAGGCCAGTATCATTAGTCTAGGAGACATTTACTATAATTCTCCAGAGATTTTTTAAAAAAAAACCACGCGTATGTCTTGACGGATGAGAGGTAGTTAAATTAGTGGTAATGTGTACAAATTACTCAAAAGTTCAAAAAGCTTGAAACCTTTATCATCTGCTATAACATTTTGTTGATAAGTGGAAATTTCTCATTTTAAACTCTTTTGGCTTCCAACAGGCTCAAAGAGCTAATATTTATTGACTGCATACTGTTTGCCAGGTTCTACATTATTTGCTTTACCTGTATTGCTTCATTACATCCTTACAGTGTCTTGTGAGGTGGGTATAATGTTTATTCCCATTTTACAGAGAATATCCATTTATATAATGTCATGAACATATATCCAATGACATAATTTGCCTGCAAATGTACCCAGTGAGTGGCAGAGTCATCCTGAAGCCTGCTTTCCAGGCCCCGCGTATATTCTAGGTAAGTGATTCCAAACTCCATAGTGGCTTGTATCTAGCCTTGTTCTCCTGACATGTTCCCTGTGTTCCAACTTCCTCTCAACTTCTCCATGTCATAGAGGATGTGAAAGCCAAGCACTGCCTCCTAGGCTTTGTGCATAGTTTCCCATTCTTTCCTTTTCTGTCTGTGACACTCCCAGTTTTGTTTTGTTTTCAGCTCTAGCATTGGAGTGGCACTTATGGCCACTATCCATACTGGATCTAGCAGGAGTTTGGCTAAGCTCCTAAGACATTAACTTTATTTATTTATTTATTTTTAATTTCTAGCTTCTCATTTTGAAAAAAAATTTAAAAAAACAGCTTTAATGAGATACAATTTACATACATATAATTCACCTATTCGAAGCCTATAAAGCAATGGTTTTTAATATGTTCACAGATACATGGACAATCATTGACATAATTTTAGAATACTTTCATCACCACAAAGAGAAACACTATACCCTTCAGCTGTCACAACTCCCCTCTTGCATCCCTTCATCTCCTTCAGCTCCAATCAACCACTAATCTACTTTCTGCCTTTGTAAATTTGCCTATTCTGGACATTTTACATAAATGGAATAACATAATACATGATCTTTTATGACTAGCTTCTTTCACTTAACTCAGTGTTCTCAAAGTTCATTCATGTTTTATCATGCCTCAGTACTGCCTTCCTTTTTATGGCTCAAAACTATTCTATTGTATAGATAGACTACCTTTTGTCTATCCACTCATCTGCTGATGGACAGGTGGGTTGTTTCCACCTTTTGGCAATTGTGAATGGTGCTGCTATGAACATTTGTGTGCAAGTTTTTGTTTGAATACCTGCTGTCACTTCTTTTGGGTATATACACAAGAGTGGAATTGCTGGGTCTTAATTCTGCTTCACTTTTTGAGAAACTGCCAACTTGTTTTCCACAGTAGCTGCAATGTTTTTAATTTCCATCAGTAATGTAGAATCAGGGTGGTTCCAATTTCTCCACATTCTTGCCAACACTTGTTATTTGCTGTTTTGTTTTGTTTTATGTTTTGGTTATAACCTTCCTAGAGGGTTAAGTGGCCTAATTAATTTTTTTTTTTTTTTTTGAGACAGAGTTTGACTCTTGTTGCCCAGGCTGGAGTGCAATGGTGTGATCTTGGCTCACTGCAACCTCTGCCTCCCAGGTTCAAGTGATTCTCCTGCCTCAGCCTCCCTAGTAGCTGGGATTACAGGCATGTGCCACCACACCCAGCTAATTTTGTATTTTTAGTAGAGACGGGGTTTCTCCCTGTTGGTCAGGTTGGTCTTGAACTCCCGACCTCAGGTGATCCGCCCACCTCGGCCTCCCAAATTGCTGGGATTACAGGCATGAGCCACCACGCCCGGCCGGCCTAATTAATTTTTAAGATCTTTAAAGACTCTAAAAGAAGGCTTTATTTTTTCCTCTTCTGTGCTCCCAAGCACTGGTTTAAATCTGTCTTGAAGTATTTGTCACCAAATCCTTTAATCTCTCTTTCTCTCTATCTTTCTCCTCTCATCCCTTTCTGGAAACCAGGATGGACATTCTTATTCCTTTTGTGTTCCCAGGACACAGTGCCCAGGGCTCAGTACATTAAATGAATGAAGAGGCATGAGTAGGGAGCTGTGGGGACAAGGAATGTTGGGAATGAACGTTTATTATCCCTCCCATTGTGCCAGGCACTGTGTAGCACTAATATATATTATCTCATTTAATTTTCATAATAGCAGTTAAGAATCAGGTGTTATGGTATTCATTTTGCAGAAGAAGAAATTGAAACCAGAGAAATTCTCTTGGCACCAAACCACTGAGAGTAGAGTCTGGCTTCAAACCAAACTCTCTGAACTCAAAACCTATGTTAATTTCACGACAACATGTGTCAATCAAAGAAAAGATAAGGACCATCACTATTCTTACTACCACTACTAGACTATCCCAACTTATTGGATGTTTTCTGTGTGCTGTACGCCATGACAGCTAGTTTTTGGATGCTATCTAATTTGATCATTTAAAAATTTAGTGAGTCAGACATTATTATTCCAATTATTCAGACAATGAAATAATCCCTGAGAAAAGTAATTTGCCCAAGAACAACAACTAATAAGCAATGAGTTCAAAACCAGGTCTGTTTAATTATAAAATTTCTGTACTCCTATCAATGTGGGAAAATACATTAGAGATCTCAAAGTTTACCTGGTTATCCGACAGTGTGGGGAAGTTTGCCAGGTAACCAGACAACCAGACTGCCCAGCAATTTTTTCCCAAGTACTTTTGCTTTCTCAGCTGCTTCCAGTCATAATTTTGGTAGCATAGATAACTTGGCTAATTCTATATGTTATGAAAAAGGCACACTGTGACCCACAAGAGAAAGAATGTTCTGTTCAACTGGCTTATTGTGTTTCTATTTATTTATTTATTTATTTATTTATTTATTTATTCATTCAGAGACAGGGTCTGACTTTGGAGTGCAATGGCGCGATCTCAGCTCACTGCAACCTCCGCCTCCCAAGCTCCAGCAATTCTCCTGCCTCAGCCTCCAGAGTAGCTGGGACTACAGGCATGTGCCACGGTGCCTGGCTAATTTTTGTATTTTTAGTAGAGACGGAGTTTTGCCATGTTGCCCAGGGTAGTCTTGGACTCCTGAGCTCGGGTGATCCGCCTGTCTCAGCCTTCCAAAGTGCTCGGATTACAGGCATATTGTGTTTTTAATAATTTTACCTATAATATATGTAAAGCATCCTACATCTGACTGGACAACTTTTTAAATACAGTAATTATCTGGTTACCCCTGCTTTTAACAGTTTGGCCATTCATTTGTTAATTTAATATTTATGTCATGAAGCTATCTTTTCTCTTACTACATAAAATCTACCTTAGCACTAAATGAAATGCTGGTAAGAATCCACAATAAAGATAAACAAAAAAATCATAACTAGAATAGAAGATTTTTAAATATATTTCAATTTTATGTTCTGATTTAGATACTCTGATTTTAGAGTATTTTTCCAGCATTTATGGTAGTTTGTTAAATATTGGGAAACCTCAGCATGGCTATGTTTTGGAGGCAGGTATAATGGGAAGGCAGAGGCATCAGATGCCTTTAAACACCAAGTACTTAATCAATATATTTCCTTATTCCTAATATCTGCTTTAGATATTTCATTCTTCTTCTTGTCATGTTTTTCATTGCTCTTCATGCCTTTTTTAGAGGCTTTTTTGTTTTTGGTTTTTTTTTTTTAAATAGAAGCCGATGTTACCATTTGGCATATGTCTCCCTTGGCAGTGACATCTTGAAAATTAAAAAAAATAATACCTCCCTCGCATGCATCCATTCAGGCTGCCTGTAACTGCACTGTACTTCGAAATGTGTCACCTTAGGAAATTCTGCAAATTGTTCATAACATTGTCTCTATAAATGTTTTGGAAGGGCTTTACTGTCAGGTCAGCTTTCTAAGGGCTAGAAATATGTCAAACTGGCAGCTTTACCTTTATTTAAGAGCCAAAATACAAATAAGTAGATTACAAAGCAATCAATCAATATAGCATTGCAGGATGTCATGGTTGGCATTGACCTCAGAGTTCGGCCCTGTCATTTTACAGATGAGTAAACTTGTCCGTAAACTCTGCAGGAGACAGGGTTTTGTCCTGACTCAGTTACAGCCAATCAGGTAACCTTGGACATGCTGCTGTGCCTCAGTTTCCTCATCTGAAACAGATGAGATTTCCCTCTGTTAGATCATCTCTGAGGCATTTTCCCAGATGTCAATTTGTAAGGTGTCATGACAAATTTGATATATTGTATTTGATATATTTCCAGTCCTTAAAAAACTTCTGACCTCACATAAAAGATCGCTCTAATCTTTTATGTGGTCTCCTTATATATTCTTTAAAAGTTGGAAGCACTATCAATTTATAGTTATTGGCAGAATCATAACTTTTATTCACTGTTGAAAGAATAAACAAATGAAGATCTTTTTCCCAGTCAGAGCATTTCTTCACTTTTTTTTCCCTCCCTGGTTTGTTGTTGTAGGGTTGCTTGGGGATATTAGGTTACTGACCTTTGTTTTCCTTTCTACAAGAAGCTTTCACTAAAGTATTTTTGAGGGGGGTCTTATAGGAAACAATGACTCTCACATGCAAGTAATTAAATGGAAAGAAAAAATGGCACACATTTGACTTGATTAATTTTCTTTCTTTCTGTAAACCTGTGGATCCTAACCTGAAAGTTGTGTGCAAGAGTCCACAGTCTCACTGAGATATTTTATCTTTTGCATTACACTAAAGTCTCCAGGTGAATTTAGTACTCCTGTAAGGCCTGGGCAGGCTAGTTTGGCAAACAATGTAATATGACATGATGCACGCTTTTTTACTCAACTGTAAATATCTATTTCATTCAGATATCACCTGCTATTCTTAAGGCAAGTCTTTGGAATAGAGACCCTAAATGTGTCAAAAGTATGTAATGTGTTTGTGATAGAAATAAATAGAGACCAGGGTGACTTAACACACGGGGTTTCACATGTGCGGGCCAGCACTTGCAGAATTCTAAAGTAGGTTATGTTAGCCTTCCCACTTTCAATGCCTTTATGGATGTGGTGTTTATATATCCTAGATTTTCCAGGGCAACTCTGGGTTGTAAATATTCTGTCCTGTTGTTCCCATAAGCACAATCATACTTGTCAAGCTACGTGTCACGAGTTTTGGTTTGGAAAATATGGACTCCGTATGTACATCAGAGCCTGTTTTTTCTGGCCCGATGCCCTGTGCTATTCCTCTACTCTGCCCTACCCCTAGCCCACTTCCCATTCTCATCAAAGCCTTGTTTCTGTTACAGTTCACTTGCTCATGTTGTCTATGCCTAGTGTCTAGGGGGCAAAGTGAACAGTAAACTAATCTGTGCTAACGGGCAAGTGGAGAAAATCGGGGTCAGGAGAATCCGCACATCCAGAGTGCTCTGTCTCCTCTCAGGTAGCATAAGTTGTTCTCTGGAAATAAGGCCGTAGTTTCATTTATCTCTAAGACAAAGAGTCTTTCTATGGTTGGTTGACTGAGGCAGATTTCTTGGAGGAGGCAAGGGTCCTCTGCATTTCATCACAAAGATGGCAATTTCTCCGTCAATACCTTGGACCAGCTTTGCAGATGTGTCCTCGACGTGATTAGTCCCCTGTAGTGGTAGGAAAGGAATAAAAGCCCAGTGTGCCAGCTTTACTCCTCGACCGACAACAATTTCTTCTGGTATGTGTACACTGCTCAAATGCTCTTTTTACAAAGTTGGAAAGCAAGATTGCTTCATGACAATATTTGCTGAGACAGCAAGACAATCTATGCCTCTCCATTGTTAAATCCCTGAGCCCTACCCAATCTGACTTTAAAAAAAATTATTCTTTCATCAGGAGGCTGTGTTTAACATTTGTAAAAAGACGTTTAGGATTATTTGAAATATTTTGTAGATTTCAAGTTCATTGTCTGTCATTTTCCTTTTAGCCTAACCTTGTTATTTCTGTTTATTGTATGTGATTTTATTACATAAACATATACAGATTTCCACTAATTGTTTAAACATCTTGCTTTAAAAATCTCTGCTTAAGCACTTTTATTTGTATCACTTTTTTTCTTGTCTTGATTTGGTTCTTAACTGTGATAAATTTCAATGGAATCTCCTCTAACTCTTTAAGAAATAACTCCTCATTTTTCTGTGTTAAGCAGTTTACCTTTTAGAAATTTAATCAGCATTCCTTTTGGCACTTTGTATTATCTTAAAAAGCAACATTAGTACCTTGGCTTTTCAGTCCTGAGAGCATTTGCTGAACCAGATGGTTTCAATATCGTCTATTATTTTTAATCATACATGGTTAAGTCTCAAGAACCAGTCTCTTGAGACTGTTGACTATTTAGGAAGCTAGAAGAGCAAGCACACATCTTTAGAAACAGGATGTACATTTAGTATCATTATTATCCTAACCAATATCTGAGTAATTGAGCCACCTTATTATCAGATTCAGGCTTTTCTAACAGTCTATTATCAGTTTCTTTTTCTGAACTTTTATGTCTACATTTGGGGAATTTAATGCTATTATAGACTCACTGGTCACTTTTGTAAACTATAATCTCCCATAGCAATAATTGTTTTTAATTCCAGGCATAGTACATACCAAGCATATTAACTTCTAAAATCTTTTTTTTTTTTTTTTTTTGAGCCAGGGTCTCACTCTGTCACCTAGCCTGACTAATTTTAAAAAATTTTGTAGAGATAGGGATCTCACTAAGTTGCCCAGCCTGGTCTGAACTCCTGGGCTCAAGCAATCCCCCTGCCTCAGCATCTCAAATTGCTGAGACTACAGGTGTGAGCCACTGCACTTGGCCAACTTCTAAAATCTTAATGACAAAACAAAAAGATTAGTATTATTATCTCCATTTTACAGATGGGAAAATAGGTTTCAAAAAGGTAAACTATATTTTTTTCCATTTCATGACCAATAAGAATGAGGCTTACATTCAAGTCTAGTCTCTGTCTATTTTGATCATTTCTAAGTCTGTCTGACTTAGAAACCCCCACTTCTAACCACTGTGCCATAGCACTTCCTGCTAACCCTGAATAAAGGTGTCTGTTATGTAAATCAACATATTCATTGACAATGGACTTCCTTTTTGTGTACTGCAATATGCATATATAAAAGCATTCAATATTAGCCTTGTCTGGTTTCTTTTTTATTTGAAAAATACCAACCCCCCCACATAATAATAGTTATAAAATTATATAAAATAAGAAGCCAAAAACTTTCCTGACCCTCCAAGGTCATACTTTAAAAGTTCTCCTAGGCATATCTAGATGTGACTCCATATACATTTTCTTTTTAATTTTTAAAGTCTTATCTTGAGGTTTATTACCAAAATTACTACACCTTATCACTTTCTGCTTGCATAGCGAACATAGAAAAATTTATTTTTCTGGAAAATACTGTGACGTATCTTCATGGTTTTTTACTTTTTTCCCTTTTTTAAAAAATAAGGATTTTGAGAACCAGAGTCTGCAAGCTGTGAAATGGTCAGGCAAATAGTTTGAAAATACTGACTCTCCACTTTTCACCTGATATTTGCCTATTGTTAGACTGCAGGAAGGGGGATTTAGTGAAATAAAATATTTAATATTTCATACTTTTTTTTTCCTATGTGGATGGTTGGAGATTCTTACAGATAATTTCTTCTTTTAGATCAGAAACTCCTGTTAAAAACAGACATTTAGCATAGGCTTTTCTAGGCTTCCGTCTTCTATTAAAAAGTAGGGGCATATTCATAATGAAAAAGTTGGGGAGATGAGAATGAAAGGGCTATAGGAAAGGGCATCATCATTAAAGAAGTTATAGGAACACTTTTTCAGCTCCTTTGAATCGACCAGAGTTGATCTTAGACAAAATTCCATGGAAGGCAGAGTTTACCTTCATTCTTGTCTTCACTGGGGCCACTGCCTTCTCTCCTTCGGGCTCCAACCGAAGCCTATAAATCTATTACATTTCTGTTTACATGGCAGGACCTTTGTTTTGATCTCTGCTGGACTGTAAGCTATGAGGGACCTTGTTTTTGTAACTATCCCAGTGCCTGATTAGTGCTTAAAAGACAGGTATGAGACGAAGACAAACACATTCATGAGTGATTGGATGACAATAATTACTGCTGTTTGGGGTCCTCAGAGTAAATAGTATGCAAATTTTCAATAGGGCATTAACATCAGTGTGAGAGGCAGAATGTACCACTGGATGGAGCACAGGTTTAGGGGTAATTTCTCTCCCAAACCCTCCACTTACTAGGAGTATGATCTTTCTTTGCCAAATTCTGAGGATTTTTTTTTTTTTGGTCTCAGTTGTTCCATCTGTGTTATGGGCATATTATCACTCATGGCCTTGTGCTACTGTCAAGGTTCAATGATAAGGCCGGGGCGCGGTGGCTTACACCTGTTATCCCAGCACTTTGGGAGGCCGAGTTGGGTGGATCACTTGAGGCCAGGAGTTCGAGATCAGCCTGTCCAAAATGGTGAAACCCCGTCTCTACTAAAATAATAATAATAATAATAATAATAATACAAAAATTAGCCTGATGTGGTAGTGCACACCTGTAGTCCCAGAACCTGAGAGGCGGAGGTTGCAATGAGCCAAGATTGCACAACTGCACTCCATCCTGGGCGACAGAGTGAGACTCCGTCTCAAAAACAAACAAACAAAAAGATTCAATGATAAAATGATGCAATGTGCTTAGCTCTGATCTTTAGACTACATAGACTATAGATAGCGATAGTAATACGATTACTACTACTATTAATGAGAATTCAGTAAATGCATAATTATTTGTGGAGCCTTGTTTGTGCCAGACCCCACTCCGGACATTAGTAATTCAGTAGAAGACAAAAACAGACAAAAATCCCTCCTCCCAAAAAGCTTACATTTGAATAAGACATGAAAAATGAATAAGCTAAATATAGAATATATTAGGAATGATAAGTGTGATGGAGATGCCTAAAGTGTAGAAAGAGGATAGTGAGGTGGAAGGGTCTGGAACTTTAGATCGGATGGCCAGGAAAATCCTCACTGAGAAGTGTGTAGAGGCTTGAACAAAGTGGGGGAGCAAGCTTTAGGAGGGAAGAGCAGTCCACAGGACAAGTCACCCTAACCACTTAATTATTAAAATCCTTCTCTGCTGAGGTCACCCTTTGGTAAGCATTCACATGGGACACACATAACTTTACGGTTTTTCCCATTCAGAAAGGCCTATCCTCTTACTCAAATTTCCTTGACACCAATTTTCCAGTCATGTTTCTTCCACATCCCTGACCATCCAGCAAAATCATTGTCTATGGCCCGTAAATTGGTATATCATTGTGGTCTGGCTGTATCTCCTTCTAAGCAAAATGCACAACCAGGTGCATTGTCTAAAGTTTTGCCCACTGGGAGAATTTCCCTTCACCACTGTTTTTCAGGGATGTTTTAGAGAGGGCTTGTGGTGCTGTAGTTGTCCACTTTTGTGTGGTGCCTGAATCTCATACAGAACCACCTGTAAACCAGCCCTGAGTCTTCTATTTTCTGGTAAACTGGTTTGTAGAGAATTCCCTGTGAGGTCACAGGTGCATGCTGGAAGAGAGAAGGTAGAATAGCAGCAGTGGGGGCCATGGACATTCGGGCCATTTCATGTTACTTACTTATGCTTCCAGGGCCTGCTCAGGCCTCATGATGTTGTGTGCCACTTCTATGTGATGATGGAGTGTTGTGGTGCATTCCCAACTTTATGGCTTGATGGCTCAGCTGAAACCCAGTTCGTGATGGGTAGCTCAGGTCTTCTGGTAACTTGATGGCCCAAGGTCTAGCATTCAGTTTCCTTTAAGGCCAAGGGCTCTCTCTCTCAAAGGAGAGTAGTTATCTGCAGATGATGGCAGGGCCTTGCTCCAAAATCCTAAAAGCTTGATCCTTGATTCCCCTATGGGGGTTTGCCAAAGGCTCAAACAGCATCTCTATCTGCCACTGACATTTTAAGTACCATTAGATCTTCCAGATCACATAGTCCAAGTGTCAGAGGAGCTTGAATGGCAGCCTAAATCTCTTGCAGAGCCTTCTCTTATTCTGGGTCTCACTCAACACTACCAGCTTTTCGGGTTACTCAGTAAATGGGCTAGAGTAATAACATACCCAAATGAGAAATCTATTGCCTCCAAAATCCAAATAGGCCCAATAAATGTTGTGCCTTTTTCTCGGTTGTAGTAGGGGCCAGATGCAACAACTTATTCTTTACCTTAGAAGGGATATCTTGGCATGCTCCCTACCACTGGATGCCTAGATATTTCATTAAGGGAGAATGTCCCTGATTTTTAATTGGATTTATTTCCCACCTTCTGAGATGCGAATGTCTTACCAGTAAGTAGTCGTTACTTTTCCCTCACTAGGTCCAGTCAGTGTAATACCATCAATATAGTGGATCAGTGTGCTATCTTGTAGAAGGGAAAGGCAATCAAGATCCCTGTAAACTAAATTCTGATATAGGGCTGGAGAGTTGATATACCAGAATAACATTTACTTAGCATTTGCTATATGCTGAACACTGTGCTAGTTCATGGGACATACAGTTAAATAAAAATGTAATCAGTACTAAGGAACTTGTACTATAGCTGGGAGAGTTCAGACTCTCTTGTGTAGTTCAGGGAAATACTCAAGGCAAATATGCTTGGTGCTCTGGAATTTGTATCAAGTAAGTGTCATCCATTACCTTAAAGGAAGGGTGGCGAGGCAGGAGGATCACTTGAGCCCAGCAGTTTGAGACCAGCCTGGGCAACGCTGGGAGATCTTGTCTCTATAAAAAATTAGCCTGACATGGTGTCATGTGCCTGTGGTCCCAGCTACTTGGGAGGCTGAGGTAGGACAATTGCTAGACCAGGTATTTGAGCCTTCAGTGAGCTATGATTGTGCCAGTGCACACATTCTAGCATGGGTGACAGAGTATAACTCTGAAAAAAAAAAAAGAAAGAAAAGAAAGAAGGAAAAAAAGAAAAAAGAAAAAAGAAAGAAAGGAAGAAAGAGAGAGAGAAAGAAAGAAAGGGAAAAGAAAGGAAGGAAGGAAGGAAAGTAAAGGAAGGAAGGAAGAAAGAAAGAAAAGTAGCCATATAGTTTATCATCCAAATTGGAAGACTTTTGAGCTGGAACAGAGGCATTATTAATTGCTTCAGGTAAAGAGACTCAAATCAAGACTGTCCCAGGCAAACTTGGACCCAAGGTCTTTCTATTCTGAGGTCCACTTCAATAGTAGTTTTGAATACAGGTGGTGAGAAAGGAGAATAACATGTCACCAACTTTTCAATTTTTTGATGAATTATTATGTTTTACCTATCAAAATATGTATTGCCTGAAAATTAGGAATAACATAAAGTCAAAATAAAGGAATATTAATCACAGGAGCAAGATGTTTGTATGTTTAATAAGTAGATGATTTGCCATACGTTATGTGAATGTGCGTCCATGAGTGTTCTTATGAAGAATGTTCTGTTCTGAGTCCCTGTTTGAGGAGCATGATTAAGTGAAATTTGACCTGACGTCTTATACAAAGCATAGAGAAAGCTCCCCATGTCTTTCTTTCCTTGGATGGTTTTATTTTGACTCATCATGTTTTGCTTCTTGGAAAGTGTTTGTTATTCTTACTAAGTGACTTAAGGGTTTTTAGACATCACTCATATTTGGACCAATGAGGCAAAAGCATGTGAAGGATTTACAGCTTGCATGCAAGTTTCATGTGCTGGAGGTACAGTATGTATAGACCCTACCTTTGGAAAGAGACTATTTTCTGCTGGTGAAACAGGCCTGAGGCTTTTTGGTCATTGCAGTGAGAGTGTTAGTGACTAAATACAGATGCATTTTAGTGCACTGTAATGTGATTTTAAAAATTGTTCTAACAATCAATTTACTGTTGTCATCACATCTCCTCTGATTTTCAAGTGCAAATGTAACACCATTGTTCTTATTAACAATTACAAAAAAGTTTTACCCCTTAAGTTTCCATTATAAGGGATGCATTCCTGAAGTCATGGTTACATTAAAATTCTTACTACAAATGAAGCCAGCTAAAAATGTTTACCAACTTGAATTGAGCTCATCATGTTTTGTTTGCTGAATAGTGTTTTGTGATTTTACCAACATAAGAATGAGTCTCCAAACTATTTTTAAAAGTAGAGCTTTTACTCTAAAGAAGTGCTTGCCTCATTTTCTTCGTGCTACTCCAAACAAGATGTTGTTTATTACTTTGAAACACTATATGTAAACCCCAGGAATATGTTAAATATGATTGAAGTCTTGGCTGTCTTTAACAAATTGAAGTTTCCAGAAATTTAGCTGTGTTTAAAAACCAAAGCCATGTTTTCAGGAAAGATTTCTATTTCCAAATATGTGGTTGCCCAAACCTTTTATGTTTTCATGTCAAATTCAGCTGCCAAATAACACACACTGTACCTTAGCTATAATAAAAAAAAAACACAAACCAACACATAGACTTCAGATTTTAAAAAGCACTGCAAGAACAACTATGATCATATTTCTTGAACTTATGCTATTCATATGCATATAAGCATGTTTTAGAGTAAGTTCTGTGAGGCATCGGTCACTTCCACTGGTACAAATTGACATGCACAGCACAAGATTGGCACTATGCAACAGCCGATCTGGGAAAATACAGGAATTCCTAGCCAGACCAAAATATGAGGTCAAGGAAGTTGCTTTTATAATAATAGTGGTTATCTGTTTAATGTGTGATCTGGCAGTGATATGATGTTGACCATAGGCAATTATGCATATTTCTAAACTGGTTGTATGCAAGCCTGGAGTAAGAGAAATCCCCCAGTTTGTGATAAAAGGCTATTTATTGCCCTTTTATTTCCTTCAAATGCTTTACTTAATCATTTATAAAAGACAAATTAGTAGTGAATACCAATTTCATTTTGTGTTTTATTCTGTATTCATTCCTACACGTTTGGGATATCTATTAATATGAGCTCTTAATAGTTTTGGCACAAGTTCAATGTCAACGAATGAATGATGTACACATTTTATAGTCTTCTTAAGGGATAATAATGTGGTTCAGTGACAGTGTGTCTTGATTTCTTTGGGGGCAGGGCACTCTGATATGAGTCATAAGGGATAAAGACTATTAGTTATTTTTCCCTCAGCTAGCGCAGTGATGCAAAATTTTTCTTCCATTATAGAACATTTTCTTAGAATATCAGGTTTAGTGTATAGATTAATGCTTAAGAAACTGGCTGATCACATGGGACTATCTTTTGCTTTATCCTTTCAATGTGACTGAAAATTTATATTCCATATTTTCATATCAATGACAATGTGATGACACGGCAAAGGAGTTATACTGGCTTGTTGCACACATCAAATGTAATATTCTTTTCTTTGCAGAAAAAATATGTTTATTTTGAACAAGAGAAAAGAACTTGAGCATTTCAAGTATCAGGAAAGCTATCTGGGAGAGAATAGTGACTGGCTGCTATTTACCTACTCTGAGGGCAGAACAAAAAGCAATGGGATTGGGTTGTAGTAAAATAGGCTTAAATTAGTCTTGCAGAAGCACATAAATAAAACACTACAATGGGTCACAATAGTTGCCCTTTTTGTTCCCAGGGACTGGGTCTACTGTACTCACCAGGATTCAACAATGGTCCCTGGCACAGACAGGTGCTCAACCAATATTAAATGCATAAAGTGAGAGACTGGATTAGGGAGATGCTTATAGAGGCAAAGCATGAGATCCCAATGTAAGGTATAGATTTTAAGGATTAATGGTGCCATTGCTTTAGAAATTCAGTGTCATCCACAAGGAAATTAGAATTGTAAATATTGAAAAATCTCCATGGAATTTTAAATTATATGCATATGCCGTAATTACTCCCACAATTTTCCAAATTTTCCAGACATTTCACCATTAAAGTGGTACAGTAGAAAGGATGGGAGTCTATAGCATTGGAAGTGGTGGACTAGGAGAGTTCTGGCCCCAGCATAATTCACTACTGGTGGGGATCCAGGGCTACTAGCTGCAGTAGTTGCCTTTGAGAAGCCTCTAAAGACTGAATATGAGATGTTAAGAGCTATGCATTGTATCTATTCTGAAGACTATTTCCTCTGAGTGCTTTGTGTGTGTGTGTGTGTGTGTCTGTGTGTGTGTGTGTGTGTGTGTGTGTATGTGTGAATGAAAGGGAATGTGGTCAGTTACATATTATTCCTCTAATGTCCAACTGGACCTCGAAAGGACTTTATTTAAAAGATGTAAAAAAAAAAATTCCAAACAAGCAGCCAAATGTAGCTACCAGGCATTGAGGAGTTTGGAGGGCTTAGAGAAAGTATCACTTCCATCCGCATGTGGCCCACTTGACAGAAGACTAGCCAGCACCAGATTTCAACCAGAGAAGACAAGGCAGTATTTCACAGTGCCCACCGCTGGGTTGGGTTTTTGGTGGCTCAGTCTCCAGAGACTTTTGGACCAGGTCTCTGGTGAAAATGATATGTGGGGCTGATGTGGGTGGGGCCATGTCATCATTAAGAAGAAAAGCACTCCAGAGTTTATAGGTTTCATGGACTTAGGAAAATATTTAAGACCTGATTATAATTATATTGGTTGCAAATGACAAAAACTACAAAACTCAGATTAACAAATATAAACAAATGCAATGTTGTGTCAGCTTCATTCATTGTCAAAAAGATTGCTCATAAAAATTGTCATTACATTTGAAAACAGTTCAAATGTGCATGTTGATTGCATAGAAATCACAGCTCATTGTAAATTTGGTGTATTACTTGAGGCCTAAGTATTTCAGAAACAAAAAATGGTTTTAAAAACAAAAATTCTTTCCAAAGTTTTTCAGCAAAATGATTGTGTTTAATATGTGATATGGGTGTATTTTAATGTTTGATATAATTGGTCTCCAGGAATAATGATGCCTGGAGAGCATTGAAATAGCCTTGAATCCAGGAAACTAAGTGGGAAGAGGTAAGAGATTAGGCATATTTTAAAGGGTGCTAAAAGAGCATTACACAGGTACCACACTACTTTAGCAAGTGAGGTATCCAATGAGCCCTTTACTTTCTTTGTTTCTTTTTCTTTTTTTGAGACAGTCTTGCTCTGTCACCCAGGCTGTAGTGCAGTGGCGTGATCATAGCTCACTGCACCCTTGAACTCCTGGACTCAAGGAATCCTTTCACCTCAGCGTCCCAAGTAGCTGGGACTATAGTTGTATACCTCTATGCCTGGTAATATTTTAATTTTTGTTTTATTTTACTTTTTTATTTCAATAGATTTTTGAGGAACAGGTGGTGTTTAGTTACATGAATAAGTTCTTTAGTGGTGATTTCTGAGATTTTGGTGCACCTATCACCTAAGCAATGTACACTGTACCCAATGTGTAGTCTTTTATCTCTTGCCACCCCCTCACCCTTTCCCCATAGTCCTCAAAGTCCAATATGTCATTCTTATGCCTTTGCATCCTTATAGCTTAGCTCCCACATATGAATGAGAACATACGATATTTGGTTTTCCATTCCTGAGTTACTTCACTTAGAATAATAGTTTCCAATTCCATCCAGGTTTCTGCAAATGCCATTATTTCATTCTTTTTTATGACTAAGTAGTATTCCATGGTGTGTGTGTGTGTGTGTGTGTGTGTGTGTGTGTGTGTGTGTATAAAAAACATTTTCTGTATCCTCTCATTGATTGATGCACATTTGGGCTGGTTCCATATTTTTGCAATTGCAAATGATGCTGCTAGAAACATGAGTGTGCGAGTATTTTTTTTGTGTAATGACTTCTTTTCCTCTGGGTAGATACCTAGTAGTAGGATTATTTTTTGTGGAGATGGGGTCTTGCTATGGTGCCTGGGCTAGTCTCACACTCCTGGCCCCAAGTGATCCTCCTGCCTTGGCCTCCCAAAGCCCTGGGATTACAGGCATAAGCACCACAACTGGCTCCCCTTTACTTTCAATCAAATTGTTTATGACGTGCAATCAGATAACTTTGAAGATGAAGAATTCCATTCTTAAATATGTAGTGCTTGTTAACCAATCTAGAAAAGGAAAAGGTAAGAATCCGACCTCAGGCAAATAATGCTGTGCAGTGCATCTTGTGATACGTGCTTTATGTAAAAATGCTTAAAATTGGTTTAATCTCTACAGTCACGACAACTGCTCATTGTTTTCAGTTGGCTACGTTTCTTTGGTGTAACAAGAACCAGTGAGTTGGGGAAGGGAGATGATAGTTCCAGTTTCAGTTAAAGAAATTGCAGGTGAAGAAGGCACAACCCTTTCTGGAACAGTTATTTCTTAGCATGCTCTGAACTTCGCTTGATGATGTGAAATGACTATTTTAAATTGTATTTTATTCCTTATACATAAACACATTGTTTGTACATCAACAGGTAAGGGTTCACTGGTGGTTCTATTTTAGCCTACACTTAGTTATGGTTTTAGTATTCTAGAAGGACTATATTTGTAATTTGGTGAGTCCTTCCATGCAAGACATTAAATGTTATTAATTAATATAGTTGTCTAGTATTTAGATAGAATAAATTGCTCATTTTTATTTCATTATCTTGTATTTTTAACATGTTTCTAACTGTGACAGACACTCAGGTACAATTATTATGTGTAATAACTTTAAGGTCCATTTTATCAATGTGCACACTTTTTGGAGATAATACTTCTAGAATGTTTGTAGCTTTCACATCTTACTCTTATTTTTGCTGTCATAAAACACTATGAAGTGTTTGTTTTAGGTATTAGTTTCCTTCTTGATAGACGAAGCAACTGGAAGGCATGGACTATTGAAATGAAGAGCAAGGTCACGGTCTTTAGTTAATCTCTAAAGAAGGGCTGCTCTCCCAATTTCCAGAAAAACTTTCCTATGGCCTTTTATGAAAAAACGGCAGGATCAGCTGGGCGTGGTGGCTCATGCTTCTAATCCCAGCACTTTGGGAGGCCATGGTTGACGGATCACGAGGTCAGGAGATCGAGACCATCCTGGCTAACACGGTGAAAACTCATCTCTACTAAAAACACAAAAACAGCCGGACATGGTGGTGGCCACCTGTAGTCCCAGCTACTCAGGAAGCTGAGGCAGGAGAATTGCTTGAACCAGGGAGGTGGAGGTTGCAGTGAGCCAAGATTGCACCACTGCACTCCAGCCTGGGCGACAGAGCGAGACTCCGTCAAAAATAATAATAATAAAATTTAAAAAAAAAGCAGGATCTCCTTAATCCTTAATTACTTCTCCAGCTCTCTTCTACCTCCTCAAGTTGTCCCAATTAAGAACATCTTCAGGTAAAGGCTCCATTAGGAAAGGGCCACTTGTGTCTTGTCTACCTGTGTATCCCCAGCATGTAACCTTAATACTTACTAAAGTATTTATGGACTCAGTAAATGAGTGAATAAGTGAACGAGTGTAAAGTCTTGTAGCAGAGGTTTGTTTGTGGTCACTGGGGCTCTTTGCTGAGCTTGAGTGGTGGAGCCCCTATCTGACACACTGCACTGTCACCATCTTTGAGCACACTGTTGTTGAAGTGGCTCTCCTGGCCTCACCTTGCCTACTTTGCCCACTTCATCACTTTCCTCAGGTCAATTTGATATTTGGGTTTGGTGCAGGAGCTACTGGTTTTGATCTGTTCCTCCTTGGCATTAGGGGAGATTAGGAAGAGTGAATCCAAACAGGATTGGACAAAGTAAGTGGAAAGAGGCTCAATGACTCATAAACTGAGATGGGTTGGTGGTGTTCTAGTGAAGGTGTTAAGGAGGTTAGCTTAGTGTTGTGTTTGTGTGAGACTTCCACACCGTGTCTATGTTGTTTCAGCATCCTTCCCATTCAACACAGTTCTCTTCCTTCCCGTTCCTGGAGACAACTAGCATGCTGTTCTCCAAGAAGTGCCATTGCTGAATTCTGCCCCAGGGCAAGGCTGCTGCACTAATGAACGGTACAATAAACAGCCCTACACAATGTGTTGTTCTGTGTGCTGTGAGGATATTGTTGAGGCCTCTGTTCTCTGCTTTATACTGTGCCTTCTCAAGGAGGGCCACAGGGACAAATTTCTCTATGGTCTCATAACCAGGAATAATGATGTCTCTCCTGGACAAATGGCTTGTTCTTTGTTTTAGGGATGCTGCAGTTCATGTAATGGATCATGTTTCCCTCTTCATGTAGCCAGTCTGAAAGCTCAGATTCAAATTTATAGCCTACCTCTGGCAAGTGTATCAGGCTTCTTTGCAAGAATTTTGTCTCTTTTACATCACTGCATTTTCTCCTGGACTCATTTTATTTACCTACTTTAAGTTTATTTTATTTTATTGTATTGGATGCATTTAAAAAATAATACTACTTAAACCCTTTTGGGAAAAAAAAGAAGTTATAAAGAAATAAAGTTAAAGACCAGTGTGTTTATGTAACATATTTATTTTAGTTTTTAAAATAAATTCCCTGGGCCTTAATTTCACAACTTCCTCTTCTCTAATCTCAAAATCAGTCCATTGCTGTCTCACTGTCTAGTGTCATAATCCTTCCTGGATTAGCTCCCCTACCCTCCCCTTCCCTCCCCTCTCCTCGCCTCTCCTCCCTTCCCCTCTCCTTCCCTTCCTTTTCCTTTCCTTCCCTTCCCTTCCCTTCCCTTCCCATTTCATTGAAAGTAAGGTGTTAATAGCAGATCTTTGCTACTGACACTTTCTAACTATGTGAACTTTGCTAAATTATTTAATCTGTTTCATTTGTAGAAAGAGTAATAATCTTTATCTTATGTGAAGGTTGTGAGGATTACATGAAATACTGTATGTAAAGTGTCCAGTAAATTATTTGGATTTTTGTTGAAGACAGTCTTATAAGTAGAAATGCACTGTACTTGGAGTTTAAAGTCTCCACTTTTTCACTTGTTGGCTTATGCCCTTGGGCAAACCACTGGACCTCTTTGGACCACATTTTTGTCATATGTAATTTTATGGCATAGTCTAGAGAGTTTTTAGGGTTCCAGTTCCACTATTCTTGGATTCTAAGACTAGCCCCAATAACCTCTTGTGGGTGCGTCCCCACTCTGTATTCATTAGGAAAGGCACAAATATACCCACTTGGGCATAGAAAGGTGTGAGGAAAGGGAAAGGAAGGTCTGAGGCAGGAAAATGGAAAGGCCCATTGTGCTAGTCTTTATGTTCTTCACTGGTGTTGTGGCATTTGCAGTGGGTATTAGTGTCTTCTGGAATACCCTAAATTACTAATGATGATAGCCTTGACTTCAAGGAAATTTCAAAATTCATGCCTTTGTGGATGTTGCTATATGTAGTAAATGGTCTGTAAGCTCGTTGCCTGATGACCACACACCCCATAAAAGTGAGTTATGCACTGGTGCCCGTGAGGTAGCAGTGGAACAAAGGGAGCTGCTGCTGGCAGTCAATGACCATGTTGGTTAATGACCATATTTAGTTCAATCATAGCGTCAATCAAAACAAGTGACTGTGTCCAAGATATCATTTCTATTCAGAAGCTACTGGGCAATAGAATATCCCAAAAGTGAGAGGGAGCTCAGTTATCAAGAAGATAAGTAAAGAAGCGTTTTTAATGGATGAGGTGGAAAAATAATCTACATTGACATGAAGCTACACTTATGACAATTCATCAAGATGCAGCAAAGCTTCGTGGTTAAGAGCATGGCATTTTTTTTAGTGTGCAATTTTGGCCAAGTTATTTAATTTCCTCATATCTCAGAGAGATATAGATACTAAACTCACATGATTGTTCTAAGGAAATGATATAATTGCCTGAGAGATGTTGTCAGAGGTAACTGTTATTATTAAAACTATTAGTATTATTACAAAACTCAAATTCACACCAGCCCTCAAGGTTCTGCTACCCCTAATCTAATAAGCTATGTAGACTGTAAGAATAAATGTTAAAAACAAATGATTAAGTCACAGAATGATTGAAGTGAAGTGGGAATACAGAAAAAAAATTTGTAATAAATTTTTGAATCAGTGTACCATGTCTGTTAGCTTTTATTCTATCATTCTATCCCTGGGATCTTACATTAAAAAGGAAACTATCTGCTTTTGCTGTTGACTGATTTCATTCTGTGTATATGAAGCAGGATTATAAAGACATTAGTTTCCATAAGCTACTCTGGTCCCATTTTGTCTACTTCTTTTGAAGCTTCTGTGTCCTAACTTTGTGTGGGACAAATATAAATTTGATCAGCTTGTTAAAAAAAAAAAGCATTATGACCCTGAATCCTGAAAAGTCTTTATTGTATAATATAACTTTTTAAAAAACTGTAAAAAAATCTATCAAGTTAAAATATTAAAGACAAAAAATCAGCAACCCTAAAGAAAATGAGCGGTAAGGTTCTGTGGAACTTCTGTTACAAAAATGGAGAAACCACTGAAAACTAGTTTGGTTTGAGCTCAAGTATTTTTGTCTCAATGAGCTTCAACTTTTGCTTGGTCCTCTGAAGAGTCAGTGAAATTTTGAGTTTCTAAATGATAATAGTGTATGGTAGTTGCAGCCTTAGAGCAGAGCACCTGGGAGTGGTGGTTTTCTTGTGCTTCACTCTTCGAATCTTTCAGAAGAGAAGTGAAATTGTATAATCGGAGTCTCATTAATTTACTTAGTTTTGACCTGTATTTTTTTTTTTTTTTTTTTTTTTTGAGACGGAGTCTCGCTCTGTTACCAGGCTGGAGTGCAATGGCTCGATCTCTGTTCACTGCACCTCCTCCTCTGGGGTTCAAGCAATTCTCCTGCCTCAGCCTCCCGAGTAGCTGGGACTACAGGCAAGCGCCACCACACCCAGCTGATTTCTGTATTTTTAGTAGAGATAGGGTTTCACCATGTTGGCCAGGATGGTCTCAATCTCTTGACCTTGTGATCCGCCCGCCTCGGCCTGCCAAAGTACTGGGATTACAGGCGTGAGCCACCGCGCCCGGCCTGACCTATATTTTCATGTGCAATTTATCCTACGTCAAGTCAGATGTTAGTTCATTTGGAACTGAAAACTATAGAGACAATTTCCCAGGCAACATTTTTATAGGAAAGAAATTAGGAATGAGACATAGGATCTTGGCTGCCTAACACTTAAAAAACAGGATATGAGTTTTTTTAAAAGCAGTTTGACTACATTATTTAGTTTTTTTATTTAAAAAATTGTGGTTCAAAATACAAAATTTACCATCTTAACCATTTTTTGAGTGTATAGTTTGGTAGAGTTGAGTATGTGCATATTGCTGTGCAAAAGATCTTCAGAACCTTTACATTTTGCAAAGCTGAGACTCCAAAAATTAGACAATAACTCCCTATTTCTTCCTCCTTCCCAGCCTCTGCTTAATTCCATTTAAAGTGAAGGTATGCGTATGTTTTGTGATACAACATGATGAGGACAGAGGCCATTTAGGTTTGCAAACCGTTTAGATTGCAAACCATAGGGATAGTGTGTACTTGCTTGAAATGTATGGACAAGTGGCAGGAACGAGTGCCCATAGTCAGCATTTATATTAGTTGAACTATATGAGGCTTGTTACTGGCACACTTGAAGTACCTGAAAGACAGATATTACTGATAGTTTTGAGTAGTAAGGTTTATAATTAAAATCAAAACCAGAAATGGGATAAGGTGGAAAACCCTGATACTGAAGGAGGATAAACTTTCAAATACATAATTGAGAAAAGTCATAAAATTATTTTCCATTGGGATTTTTTTTTAAGGCAAATATTCGCCTTGATATTGTGGTACTACCAGAATGCTAAAGAATATGCTAAACAGGTCTCAAGCTAGTTCCTTTCCTAGACCTTTCAAAGCTGTGCTTAAGGAATCTGGCTTGCCATAGTACAAGGCAAAATCTAAAAGCAGGAGATGTTGAAACGTGGACTGATATTTTAGAGCCTTTATTTGCTTAAATGAAAGTACATTAAAAATGCTCAGGGTCCTGAACGGGAAATATAAACATCATGGAAAAGATTTATGTGCCAGAGAGAATATAGTAAGTTTCTGACATCCTGGTGCACTTCATTTCCACCCACTTAAAAATACAAGATGATGAGATGTCATCTTATTGGCTACCTACCATTATAATTTTAATAGCTATCCTGTACTAATATGTTGGGTGAAATATGGTATAATAATGATGATGATGTTCACATGGTGGTGGTGACGAGAATGGTGATCACCTGAACTCCTAACTGATCCATCCTTCTATCTGATCTCTTGCCTGGTATGTCGCAAAGTTTGTAAACTTGGTGCCCAATGATACTCCCTAAGCTTTCACAGGGTTTACTTTATTTATAGACCTTATAACCTAGAGTTGCTCGAGAGGTGGTATTATTAGTGTGTTTCAGATACAGTTTACATTAAACTTGTTTTTATGTGTCAATCTGGGAACTTAATGATTATTTATAAATTTGTTTCCTTAGTAAAGGAACAAATTTTGAACACAAATTTTGTATTTTGAACCCGAATCAAATAAATAAAATTTTAAAGAAATGACCCTTTTTAAGTAGGAAATTATTTTGATTTGTACTTGTAATTCTATATCAGCATGTAAGAAAATATTTTAATTTGTTTTTGGAATGAAAACTATAGCTTAATTTTAATAATGGAGAACAGTAGGGCAGCTAAAAAATTAACAATATTGCATATATTAATTTCTTGATATATATTGTTTGAATTAATTAAACACAAAGTCATTTATACTTAGTTATTGTGCTCTATAATGATGTTTCTTCTTTTCTTTTCTTTTTTTTTTTTTGACAGAGTTTCACTCTTGTTGCCCAGGCTAGAGTGCAATGACACAATCTTGGCTCACTACAACCTCCGCCTCCCGGGTTCAAGCAATTCTCCAGACTCAGCCTTCCAAGTAGCTGGGATTACAGGCATGTGCCACCATGCCTAGATAATTTTGGTATTTTTAGTAGAGACAGGGTTTCACCATGTTGGTCAGGCTGGTCTTGAACTGCTGATCTCAGCTGATCCACCCTTCTCAGCCTCCTAAAGTGTTGGGATTACAGACATGAGCCACCGCGCCTAGCCTGATGTTCTTTCTTATTTTGTTTTTAAAGTTAATTTTTATGACTCTGAACTCACATATTTTGTCTACTCTGGATTTATTCTGAGTGGTCGGGAGAGTTAACCTAAAATTAAAATTTTAAATTAAAAAAATTTAAAATATATTTCAAGTATTCTACAAATTAGTTGGCCCAAGCACAGATAATCGGGTATTACATGTTGATAGGTTACCGAAAAATGTGACAGAGAGGAATAAATAGTTGTTGTGAACTATTTAACTAGATCTGGGTTTCTCCTGAGGGTTGTTTATTTTGTTTGTTTTTAAGGTCTTTCCTATCATGGGGTATATAGAGATAACTCCATTATTAATTGTAACATACTGCCATATGAAGAAAAACCATATGTGACATTTCTCTCCATCTCTCGCCTCACTGATTGCCTGGATTGATCAGCTGATTTGGACTCTACGCCTGAGTTCTATTTCCTTTTCACATTCCCATCTGGTTTTCTCCCATGTGGTTGATGAGGACAGCCTTCCTGGCTGGAGGAAGATTGTTTTTAAGACAAGCGCTGCACTCCTCTATGAGGACCAGAGCTAATTCAGTGAGCACACTCTGACCAGAATTGTCATCTACCACTTGGGAACACCAAACAATGTAGAAAGGTCCCAGGGGACAGAAGAAGTGGCACCAGATTAGAGCCCTAGAGATGTGGTGAATGGGTTCAATGAAACCATAATAATTTCATCAATAATTACCAACAGTGAAACATTCTCTATGTGCCAGATGCTTTATGCAGCATCTTGTTTAACTGTCATGAAAACGTATAAGATAAAATCTTATGATTAATCCCATTTCAAAATGAAAAAACAGAGATTTGGAGATGAGAAATCATGTTCCTCAAGCTTATGCAGATGGTAAAATAAACTTGGAATTCACCCAAAGATTATCAGACCCCAACACAAATACGTCACTTATTCACAAATATGTCAGTTATTCTGCTAGTACTTGCCTCAGTTGTGGTGGGGATATGAGACATGGTTGTCATTCTTTGGGTGACCATTTCACCCAGTTTTGCCAATTAGTTAAATGTGAATTATTTAAAATAACTCTCCTTTGTTCTATTTCTTTCTTTTTTTTTTTTCACCTTTGGTTACTTTCTTCCACTTATCATATCAATCTCACATTAGAAGCAAAGGCCATGATTCCTGCCCATTCTCTGCCCTCACCACAAAACCTGGATTAATTAGGACATAACAGCCAGAAATATGATGACCAGTCAGTTACACTTTCTATGCTCTCTAGCCCAGCCATCAGGATGAATTTAGATTAGACATACTCAAGAATATCCATGAGTGATAACTATAAGCTTTGTCACAGATAACTGTATTGGCTGTGCTTAAATGTACAACTCTGTTTTTCTATTATTATGTGATATTTCATGTTGACTTGTCAAACTGAAAAATACCCATATTGATTTTGCAGAAAGCTTCACATGTGAGATAAATGCACTCAAAGATTCCTCACAAGTAGCTCTTTGGAGCTTCAGATGTGAAATGGATCATTCCTCAATCTGTAATAGACCCTTCTGTGAAGCTCTTCAATCAAACCAGAGAATTCAAGGTGAAATTGAGGGGAGGATTGGAAACCCCTACAGGGGGATTTGAGTGAACTAGCTGAGAAAGGAACCTGAGGTATTTGCCACGTGCTGCCTCTTTTTTCAGTTCTTTTCTTTAGCATGGGAAGGCTGTCAATCAATGTGTGACCTTACACGCTGTAGGTGCATAATACCTGGGTACAACAAGACAAGCTGTAAGGGGAGTATCAAATACATCTTTGATTTCTTTCCATTTGTCATTTTTCTGACAACCCTTAGGCTATTTTTAAAGTAGCTATTTTATACAGATTTGTTATTAGATATTTCTCTCTATTGAATTATTAATTATATCGTTATAATTGATAGGATGAAATTATATATCTTTTGAAAAAACATTAGTATTCTTTTTAAAAAGTTAGTGATATATGGTAACTACCTTAGTTAGAAAGAATTGATATATTTTATAAAGTAATGATCCTCATAGTTACATCTTATTTAGGGATTATGTTTGTAGATCATGTAATGAGTTTTAATAAGTTTGTTTCCAGTAAAGCAGTAAGACAGAGTTACCTCTGGTAAGGAAAAAATAAAGAAGATCTATTCTGAAATTAGTTTTTGTGTCACATTTTTAATTGATTTGGTGCCACATTTCCAGTTGGACATTTCTAGGTTAATTTTTTTTTATTATACTTGAAGTTTTAGGGTACACGTGCACAACGTGCAGGTTACATATGTATACATGTGCCATGTTGGTGTGCTGCACCCATTAACTCGTCATTTAACATTAGGTATATCTCTCTAGTTTAATTTTTAAGAAACTCTAGAATTTTCAATGGGCTATTTAGTTTGGAGAAGCAGTGAATCCTGACACCAAACCAAGTAATCAAAACTGTGCTTTAGAATTTATGCTGAAATATGGAGTATGTTTGACAATAGTTTTTGATGCTCAAGCTGCTATGAAATGATTGCTATCCCATAACAGTGTTATAGTTTTCCTAAGCCATGGAGATGGTGTTGTTTGTAAAGCTCAATTATTAGTATAATCTTAAGAGCACATTAATTATGTATTTGTTCTGCACATGTGATTAAAGATCATGGCAGCTTATACAGCATAATTTTAGAGATGACAAAAATGACTATTGTAATACTTGCTACTCTCAGTTTCCTCTACAGCAATGCCCTTACACCTTTCTTTTGCGGGCTTTTTGTAGCATCCTAAACAGAAGGATATTGCAGGGAGCTGATTCTGCTTTGATCCTTGTGCTTGTTGTCAAAGCGCTTGGGATTGAAGAGACTGTTGGCTACAATTGACTGTGACAATTAGGAGATGATCAGAGCCCTAGAGTGGAGCACTTAAAGGGTAATTTACATGTCAGTTTGTCGAATAAAAAAAAAGATATTCAGCTAAGATTTTTTTTCCCCCTCAGAGCCTTGTAAACTGCAATTTGTGCTCTGGTAAGAAAAACCTGGCAGAGGAGTTAGGCTAGCCATTACCATTTGAAAAGAAGCAATCATAAGGCCGCTGCTGAGTCCTTTGTCCACTAAAAATGCTGATTTGCAGGCAGCGAGTGAAAAAGTGGAACCATCACTAAATAAAACCGTGAGCTAGGTAACTACCCTTCACCCCGATCCTTGGTGGCTTTTTAGTGTTGGTTAAAGGTGCTTTTTTTTTTTTAAATGTATCATAAATCCTACATTACTATCATTACAACCCTGTTATTGGTTATGAATGTCTTGTCCTATAAATAAATAACTAAAATGGTCACACTGAGGAAGTGGTGGTGGAATATAAGCCAACAGTCAATTGAAAGGCTAAAGCTGACTATCACTTGTATTAGATTTTTCCTTATTCTTTTTCCTTCTGTACACCATCAAAATTTCCATCCTTTGCACTATGCTATTGTTTTTCTCTGTTGTATCGATGTGTTCCTAGATTTTTTCATTTATATTTATACTCCGATGTTAAAATGGGAACCGTATTTCTAACTTTCATGTGATTGGTTGGCCTATTTGGGTGTACTTGGCTAAAAATGTAACATAGCATTAGTCCATGTGCTATTCACATGTGGTCATCTCTATATTCTTATATTAGCTAATCCATATGTACAAGTAAAAAACATAGCTAGAAAGCTAACAGAAGGTAATTGCCAGTAAATATATGGTGGTAGTAGTTACACATCATCTGTTTAATCATCAAATAGAATAAGAAAAATTAGAATTTATTTCAAAGATCTTTTACGTCTTTTTTCCCTGGAAATCATCACTACTACCTCTACTACTAGGATAAGCTGCAAGATTTTCACTTGTATGGTTGTCTGAAAAAAGTAATGTATCAACACAATCATCTTTGCGAAGATACCTAAATTTGGTGTATACTTAATTCAGGGTTAGGTATTAACCTTCAGTTGCAGGTACATTTTACGTTCCATTTCTTTGATACTTGGCTATGGTAAAGGGCATTTGCAGAGAGGCAGCATAGGTCTCAAGACGAGTTTGTCTTTATCGATAAGAGTGAAGAGTATTTGTGGCCTTCAAAAGCCAGAGGCTCCAACTCTGAGGAGGTATCTGGTCATCGCTGTTCCCCGAGGTCTGTCACCTGGACACTGTGTCTGGGTTTAAAGGCTGCCCTTTCAGTAAATAATTTACTACCTTAGATTTCCAAATAAGAGGGCTTTTATTTCTCTTCATTTGATTCTAATATCTTAATATTTTAACAAACTTTTTTTCCCCAATGAATGCCTTATGAAAGAAGTTGTATTCTATTTTGGGGGGTTTCTGAAAATCATAATAATCAGGTTATGATTAATTGAGGGAAGACAGCAATTCATAGATAGATATTGGTGCCTTCTCTGACTGCTTTGCAGTAAAGTCCTTAGCTTCTTTATAAGGTTTTAAAATTCTAATTTTGTGTGTGTGTATAGGCCTACCTTGCAAAGAAGAGCACACAAGCAATAATAAAATAAGAATGAATAAGGTTATTAAGTGCAAAGAAGATAATGAGAGAGGGAGCCAAAGAAGGTCTGGGTTTCCTTGGCATGTGTGTGTAGGATACAGGCAATTGTAAATCTGTATCAAAAATCAAGCACAGCAGGAGGTGTTCGTCTCCCAGGTAATGGGTAAATGATGAGCAGATGAGCCATCCTTCTATTGATTTAAGCATTTTGTTTCAGCCAGTCACAATTAACTTTGATTTGTTTTTACTTTCCTCTTAAAGGTTTGCATTTAAAACACTCTTGGAGCACTAATTGTATAAAATTCTGGTAACTGCACATTCTCGTTTTAGAGAGGTAATGAGTGAATGAATGAAAAGGCAGGGATTATTTGCTATTCTGAGTGAGGATTGTCAGAGCATTTCTACTTGACTGAAATTGTTTTGGAAGGTGAGCTGGAACAGGAATCTTGCAACTAAAATGATGTGACTCTCCATGTGGTTTTTGGATGTTTCTTTATCAAAGAATTTTGCGGTATGGTTCTGGGACTTACAAGTTGATTAATAACTTTATTTATTTATGAGAGAATATTTAAGTGAATAATATGAAAACATTTTAAGGTATGCTTACTTGACTGAAGTAAATGAGAGTCTCTTGAAAGTTCATTTGAAAGGATTTGAAATGGGATTTTCCTCTTACCATCACAATATTTTTTCAAGATACAAATGGCCATGTTGTGACAAAATACATTATTGAAATGCTTTGAAAAGTTTTTAAAAACATGCCTAAGAAAACAATATGTAGACCATTACAGTTAATTCAGATATCAATTTATTAATATTGCTGCTACTGGAAAGTCCTAAAACGTACGGGACATCATTCCAAAACACTTGGGGTCTGTTTTAATAAGCAGCTCTTTCTCTGTTCTTGTTTGGAAGGGGCACTAGGGTTGCCAGATTTAGTAAACAAAAATAAAGATTGCCCGGTTAAATCTGAATGTCTAATAACTAATGAATTTTTTTAGGATAAGAATGTCCCATGCAATGTTTGTATTTTATCTGGCAACCTTAGGTAGTACTTTGGTTGGATAGAAATTACAGCCATGCATTGAATATGTGACTGAATACTGAGAAATTATTATTTTAAAATGATTTTACCTTTTACTGTCAGACCAGATAGGCCAACCAGCTTGCCCCCTTCAAATAGAAACCAAAAGCTTTTTAGCTCCTTAATGCTGAGTTTAATTTCCCGTATCATGTTCCTAGGGTAAGTTGTGACTTGTCATTTTCAGTATACTGTGACATCAGCCTGACTAATATAGAGACATTAGAGAAGATGGAAGAGTGTAGCTTACATCGATCAGGCTTTGACTAGAATGTTCGGTGATTATAGGTGTAGAGAATTGAATGATGCAATGATATATTATGTTAGTGAAGCCACATCTTTTTTGTGGCAGTATTTTGACTATATAGGTAGCCAAGTTTAAAATCCTTGTGATTCTAACCCTGGTAAGAACTTCTGGGAGGGGAAAGATTCTATGTCCTTGCACTTTTATTTTGTTTCATTTAACTTTGGTTACAATAATCTAGTGGCTAGATTAATAATAATCTAGAAACTAAGCCAAAGCTTCCAGAAAACCAAATATCTGATTTATCTTTGGGGCCAGCATTCACTTTTGCTAGTAGCATTTTTCACTTTCTGATGCTTTCCATGGCTTATCAGGAGGCCTATTTGTAGAAGAGAAGTTTGGAGCCCCATGCCCCCTACTGATTTCACTATAGCTTTAGAGGACAGTTCCTAGGAAACCTAGGCTGGGCCTGGGTGGTCCCACCTCTAGAACACTTTGTGAATCATCCCAATTTCTGCCTCAGAGCCTTCTCCCAGGCTGCAGAAGCCTGCTTCATGATTCCTCCCTCAGGCCTAGCATGGAAATATAGGGGGAATTAACACCTGCCAGGGCAATCTTTGTGATAAGTATTCCCGCCAACGATTTTTTGAACAGGCAATTCTGAAAAGCACTAGGCATTCTCAGAGGTCCTATTTTCAACAGCAGGAATCTTAGGTACCCTTTAGGAACATTATTTGGCTTTTCCTCCAGCCCTTCCTTATTCCCGCTATTCCCGCCCTCTCATTTCTAGGGAAAACTAACATGCATCTTATTCCTTGTTTCAGGCTCTGCTTTTAGTGGAACCCTAGCTAAGATACTCCTGATGCTCTTTTCTCCCCAGCACCACGGTTCTCTCCTTGCTCTAGATCTAGATATTTTGCTTCCTGTGGTTCCATCAAGATTTACATTTTTTTCCCTTATCAGTGGAAGAGAGTTCTGCCACTGTATCTACTGGTACTTCTAAGTCATATTGGTTACCAAATGCATCATGCACATTTTCCTCACCCAAACTCTCCTCTTTATAATGAAAACAATTATTGAATGCCCACTACATGTGAGAATATATGCTAAAGGTTCCATGCAGATTGTTTCATTTTATCCTCATGACGTCACCAAAAAAATAAGTATTTCTACCTTACAGATGAAAAAACTGAGGTTCAGGGTGATTAAGGGATTTTTACCAATATCACAAAGCTAGTAAGTGGCAGAAGCAGCATTGCATTCTGACATATCTGACACCAAAGACCATTGTTTTAACCATGACATCATAAATTCCACCATATAAAGATGTTAGAAATGAGTTTCTTTGTCAAATACTAATATGCATGGCTAAAGAGATAATTGAGTAGAAGGCTGGGATGAGAGAGCTTGTATCAAATACAGCAAACTTTTTTTGTTTTTTAAAAAAAGGTCTTCATATCTGCTTATAATTGAACACAAGTTCTGAAGTATTGGTTCCATCATGAGACCTGGAACTCCATAAACCTATGTCTGTTCTGGTTCACAGTGCCTTATACATGGTAGGACTTAATAAATATGCACTGAATGAACTAATTGGAGTATCACAGAATATAGCTTAAAATGACCTCAGTGAGCTCAAAGTTTCAGTGATTCACTTTATTAAACAATTGACTGTAACCTCTTTCAAGATGATCTGTTACTTGGAAATTTAAAATCCCAGTAGTGTCTTATGTAATGTAAGACAAAGTGTTTAGAACAATGTTATAATGTGGCTCTCAATTAAATATGTTAACTTCAGCTAATTTAAAACTATTGGGAGCAAAGGGAGGCAGAAAGATTCCATCTGATGTTACAATAGGCACATACTTAGAGAGGTCTGGGAGTGCTGGGTGCAGAGGTCAAATGTAGTAAACGTGAACTTCTGTGGAGACAGGGAGAGGCTACCCAGTAGTCAAAAGAAGATCTGGTCTCCACGTGGAAAACAGTGGCAGAGTTAGTAACCCTTCTTTATGATTTAGCTTGGCAAAGTGAGGACCCATGACAGCTCTTTCTGTCTGATTCTCCCTATTTTGACAAAATTAATGTATTTCATAAATATTAAAATTCTGAAGTCCTTAGGAACTGACTGCAGCTACATTTTTAGATCAATTCTCTAAATCTAGCATATTTATCTAATTGCATCCCTTGAAGTAGAGTCAGAGGTTCACCATGCAAATCTTCCCTGACATTTTATTGATAGAACCACTATTCTCTTCAAACTGCCATGATGTTAGAGGTCTGACTCTATGACATCTTCTGAAACTTTCATGAGGTTGTTAGTTTTGAACAATAAAGAAAGATGAGCATATGCAATTTCTACTTGTGCTTTGTGGGTTACTCTTGGGTTTCATAGGCAACTTTAGTAACTAGTTAGCCCCTTAAGAGTGAAAGCAGAAACTGTAGCAGCCCTATGTAATTGTCACTAGAAGAATTGACACCACCAGTGAAAAATAAGAAAGTCAGATGTAACTTGATCTTTTCAGGGTCACCAATAGGAGCTAGGTAACAAACAAAAGTAGGTTTTGTTTGTTGCATTACAAGATAGTAAACGAGAGCTCTGATGGTCTGCAATTCAACATGCTGGATGGGAAAATACTTTTAGGCAGATTCGATATGAACTAAAAAAATCTTAACATGTCTGTAATGCTAAAATTCTACTCAGAGGATTTTTTTTAGTTGGTTGTGCAAGTGAACCAAATTTGTCTTCGCCTACAGATGAAATTATTTTGATTAGCTGAATCCTAATGAATAATTTAAAATGTAAACAATAGAAAATAATACAATTGTTATATGTTTATTTATATAGCAGCTACTATGTATGGATCTTAATTAGGATTAGGATTTATAAATTAGTGCAGCTGAGATGAGAATGAATATAAATTACACAACTGATCCTGCTGGAAAAATTAAGATTCACATATACCTTTACATATCTAATGCTAACAGTGGGAACAGACTCCATTCAGAATGTTTCTCTGATCAAACTTAGAAAAGTCTAGGGCATTTTCTCTCAAAATGCCTGAAATCATATCTAATAGTCAATGCCTTGGTCTGTGTATAAGCTTAAATTACATAAAAATAATAAAATTTATAATCTTAAATTACATAAAAATTATAACTTTAAATTATATAAAATTATAAAAATTCAATTATCTTAAATTATAAACATGCATATGTGAACTAAGACGTATTCAATATCTTCATTAGGCAGACTTTTGTGGCTTTTAACTTTCACTGACGGAAGCATTCTCTTCTTTGTATTAATGCCAAACACCATTTGAACCAGAATTCTTTTTGGTTTTTGGATCCAAAAAGACAGAGTCTGATGAAGCCACATCCTTTTATAGCTGGGAGAAACATATTTTCTTCTTACACATATATTGTCTGTAACTGTTGGCAGGGTTGGAACTACTATCAGAAGTTAGGAATAGAGGTGTTATAGATCCCCATCAGCCACTATTCTAATACCAATGAGGCCTTGGGATATAGCCTGACATACATGTGAGATAGCCATCCCTTCTCACCTTTAAACCTGAGGCTCAGGAAAATTGCTTCAACCCTGTCAAGTAAGGATGACCTTACTTGAGAATATTGGCTCTTCTATCCATTTAGAAGCATATTGAGGCCAGGTGTGGTGGCACACACCTACTGTAATCCCAGCAGTTTGGGAGGCTGAGGTGGGAGGATGGCTTGAGCTCCTGAGGTTGAAGCTTCAATGAGCCCTGATTGTGCCACTGCACTCCAACCTGGGTGACTCAAAACAAACAAACAAACAAACAAACAAACAAACAAACAGAGCATATGGAGAATAGTGGACTCTTTCATGATCTTCAATCTTTATAAACGACTTTTTGTTGCCCTTTTGACTACTTTGCAAGTCAAGATTGACTTTGATGTAGAAAAGTATCCAGCTCTTCCTCATTTGAATGATAAGTGGCATAGTCCTACACATCAATAGGTTCCATTAATTATTTCACAATTTCTGTTATAATTGTCTCTTTCTTTTCAGTTCCACTAACACCACCCATCCTAATTTATTTTTACTGTATAACTGGATGATTTAAATGGTTTTCTGACTGAACTCTCTGCTTCCACTTCCTTTCACTTGCACGGTTAGTTGGATCTTTCTAAACATAAGTTTTGGTTCATCACACCTCTGCTCGAAACTGTCAAAGACTTGCCTTTCCTGAAAGGTATCATTGAAACTTTCTTACTTAGCTCATCAGCTTTCAAAATCTACTCCCAATCTCAGAATGGTAGGAGCATGCATGGTACATTCATAAAAATTATAACATCCATTAAATATAATGATTCTGGCACAGCCATTTATTCAACAAGTATTTATCAAGTTTCTACTGTGCACCTGCCACTGTGCTAGGTGTTCAGAATACCAAGGCTCCTGTCCACAGAGCTTTGAGTCTAGAGAAGGAAATAGTAAAGAAACAATCATATTAATGAATGTGCACTTAAAACAAAAGGAGATAGCAGGTCTGAGAGAAAGGCCTATTGTTCCATAAAAGCGCATAGCAAAGGATTCAGACTTTTGTTTTTTTTGAAACGGAATCTCGCTTTGTTGCCAGGCTGGAGTGCAGTGGCGCGATTTCGGCTCACTGCAACCTCCGCCTCCCAGGTTCAAGTGATTCCCCTGATTCAGCCTCCCGAGTAGCTGGGACTACAGGCGCGTGCCACCACGCCTGGGTAATTTTCTTTTTTTTGTATTTTAGTAGAGATGGGGTTTCACCATGTTGGCCAGGATGATCTCGATCTCCTGACCTCGTGATCTGCCTGCCTCGGCCTCCCAAAGTGCTGGGATTATAGGCGTGAGCCACCGTGCCCGGCCAACACCTCTGAGAAGGTGATTCTTCAAATGGAATTTGAAGGATGAATTGAAGTCACCTAAGCAAAAGGTGGGGAGATGGATAGATGAAGAACATTATCAGACAGACGAAACAGCATGGGCAAACATCTTGTGCAGGACAGAGCAGATAAATTTAGGCTATTTAAAAGGAACCTGTGTGGTTGAAGAAGACAAAGAGCAAGAGGAAGAGTCAAGTCAGACGATGCTAGAGAGGCAGGGAGGGTCCATATTAGCATGCAGGGTCCTGTGTGCTATCCTGTGGATTTTGGTTGTTGGCATAGACCAGTGGTTTTCAACTGGGGGTAATTATGTCCCCCAGGGGACATTTGGCACTGTCTGGAGACATTTTTGATTGTCACAACTGGTGAGGGTCCTATTGGCATCTAGTAGGTAGAGGCTAGTGGTGCTGCTAAACATCCTACAATACACAGGTCAGCTCTCCATAACACATAATTATTTGGTCCATGCCAGGCCCAGTGGCTCGTGCCTGTATTCCCAGAACTTTGGGGTGCTGAGGTGAGAGAATTGCTTGAGGCCAGGAGTTCGAGACCAGCCTGCACAACATGGTGAAATCCTGTCTTTACCAAGAATACAAAAATTAGCCCAGTATGGTGGTGCGCGCCTGTGTTCCCAGCTACTCGGAAGGCCCAGGTGGGAGGATCGCTTTAGCCTGGGAGGCGAAGGTTGCAGTGAGCCGAGATTTTGCCACTGCACTTCAGCCTGGGTGACAGCAAAACCCTGTCTCAAAAAAAAAAAAAAAAAAAAAGAGGAAGAAGAATTATCTGGTCCAAAATGTCACTAGTGCTCAGGTTCGAGAAATTCTGTTATAGACAAATAAAATGTTTTAAGAAGGTGAGAGGGAATGACATAACCAGAGTTGCATTTGAATAGCTCATTTTGGCTGTAATGCAGAAAGTCATCTGGAGAGGTGGTCAGAAGTGAGTTAGTATGGTTTTCGAACAGAGGAGGTGAGAGATGATGGTGGCTTGGACTATTTTGATGGCAAAAAGATGATCTGTTTTTATTGCCAGGGAAAGTAATTCACAATGCATTCTTAGGGAGCAAAAGTCAGATCAAAAGATGCTTTGCATAGCATGACCTCATCTTTGTGATAAAATATTTATGTGTGCATATTTGCACAGGTAAAACTCTGAAAAGCTAGATACTAACATGGTATCATGAGAAGCAAGATTTTAGGTTATATATCTATTTATCTATCTACTTACTTTTTGCTTATCTTTATAATTTTTTCTATAATAAACATGCCACTTTTTAAGATAAAAAATTAAGTAAAAATTTCTGACCCCAATCTACCTCTTCAAAAAAAATTATAGATCAATTCTACAGACAACTGTGATGCTATATACACTTACCATATTTTCCTTCTAACATTTTCGTAATAAATATGACAGACTATAAAAATAGAAACCAGGGAAAGGCTTAAAAAGGAAATCAAGTTTCAAAAGCATGATATGCAGTTGTATTAACTGGTATTTACCCTTTTACTTTGATAGAGGAGTGTGATCTTTTTGTATACCTGCTGATCAGGTAAAATTATCGTTTCTCCAGAGTGACTATTCTTATTCTTGCAATGGTATAATGCCTAACCCCCAAAGTGAAGGGTCTGCTCATTTTTTTCCATAAGATAAATTGGTGTTAGTTATTATAGACTTGACACAAAATCTGCTTGTTAAATAAATGCTGTAATCCTGTACTTCTTGTTTCTAGATATATCTAACTACCTGTTTGATCTTGGCAAATCACTTAATCTCCACAGTTTCTTCATCTGTTTTGGTTCAGAAAGCATACCTTATGATTCTCTAGCTTTAATTTTTAAATATTTGGATGGTAAACAATGTCATAGCAATGATGTAGTTGAATAGCCAGTATGTTAATACTGTAAGGTAGAGCAATATAATTGAGGCAGAAAGTCCCTTTATTTAAGCTCTTCCTTGGTCAACAGCATCTTTACAAGTTACATAATCTCTGCTTGTCAGCAGGGACCCAGTTGTATTATCACATTATTAACTCATTCACTAATAGCCTAATGACCTTAAAGAGGAGACAGACACCTTACATCCAGGCAACATCTTAGGTGCTGGGAGAATCTAGATGATTAACTTTTTTTTATTATTCACTTATCCTTTTAGTGTAATATTCTCCCAACATGATTATTATAATACTGGATATAGTACTTAGAAAATGTGATTAGTGACATAAAATTAGTCCACTATAATCATTACAAAATATTCAAACAGAATGTTCTGAAGCAAGCTTCTGAAAGCAATTTCTGCACTCTTGTTATGTGAACTTGAATATTACCTTTCAGACCTTCTTTCTCTAACATTTAAAATAAGAGAATTGAAACAAATGATCTCTAATTTTTTCCAGCTCTATATTCTATGTATTTATAAAATGATGATTAACAACGTAACTATGTAAGAAGTGCTATAACTGGAAAGCTATATGTTCATTTTTTGACTATTTCAAAGTTTAATACGTTTAAGTAGAGTACTAATATTTTTTGTGAAACTCTAAAACTAAATGAAGGCTTTGACTAAAACTTATTTTTTGATGTATAGGCAAAAAATAATTAAGGATTTCTGAAATGTTTTGGCCTTATTCATATGTGTCAAAAATCCAGTAATAAAAATCAAGACTTGCTTTCTTTGGAGAAGTTTACACAGGCTTTTGTTAGTACCAGGATGATAACAAGGTGTTAGGATCATAGAATGGGGAACCACAGATTGATGTTTGGTACTCTGCCAGAAAACGAAGGGTAGCAAGAACATGCTGATTTATGCATATTGTCAGGATTTTGTTATCCAGTCTCAGGCTGTTTGATCATTTGCCTGGATTCATATTCTATTTTTAATTCTTAACCTCAGACCAGTTCTTAGAATAAAAATATTATTCACTAAAGTCAGCTGTGGAATTCAGTAGGTCATGAATACAGATGGTAAGAAAGGTAAAACTTCAGGAAAAATTAGTTTGTTTGATCAATAGTAAGAAAATAATTAATTTTAATGTTACTATGTTATATCTTATTTGGAACACTTAAAAATATTCACCAAGTATGAAAATGTGTTCAGAATATGTTAAATACTGCACAAATCAAACTATTAATTTTCATATTTCACATCCATACCTTTATTATTTTTTTGATCTGTGTATCTTTGAAGTGGATCACTTTAGTCAATATTTCACATCTGAAGTGGCAAATTAATATTACTGATGTGGCAATAAATTAAGACTTGATGATTCTGATATCTTCTGTTAAGGAAGCAAAGTTTACAAACAATGTTATTAATTATGTTCTTTGGCACTTAAATGTTTTTGATTATCTTATAAATACATATCCTATATATATTGTGCCTTTCCATGTTATCTTAATTCATATTTATAACTATGAAATATTTATCACTATAATGTATCAACAATAAGCCAATAAATAGAATTAATCTAACTTGAAGTGTTTGCATTTTCCAGAGTTTCCAACACCTAAGAGTGGTATTTGGCAAATGGTGGGCCAAAGGAATAAAGAAGGCATGCAAAACTCTTGACAGAAGACATTCAGAAATTGATTTGATATCAGATACAAGGAGAAAATATGCCAGTAAGAAAATGCATTTTTCAAGATTAAATTCGGCATTTGTTACTTAATAGCATTTGTCATATTCCAATTTTTCATATGTAGTAAATTCATTTCAAATCATTTCGCTCTTCCAAGTGCCTTTGTGTATTGTATTTCTTTTTTCACATCCTTTTGGATAACATTTGAGAAAAAAATAAGACTACAACAGTCAATGATTACATTCAGGATGGAAGACGGTTGTAAGACGAAGGAACAGGTGGAGTATGTACGATGGGAATATTCACTTTTTGTGCCACCATTTTGTAGCTCCTCAAAAAAAAAAATTAGCAAATGGTGGATATTGTTTCTTTACAAAAAATGGTTCTGTACTGGATCCATCTGTGAAGTATAAACATGTCATCAGCACTCATTTTCCATCTCCAAAAAACATTCCTCATGTCCATATTTGATTTTCAAGTGCATCTGTGCACGGATGGAAACCCTCCCAACATGCTGCTACACAATTGCAGAACCCACACATTTCTGTCTTTGAATCAAGCTTTCATGAGAGCCTGGCCTCCCCTGGGTAGAAGCTTGTTTCGAGGTTGCAAAGGTCCTCTGGGTGACCCCAATAAAAAGAACTTCAATGCCCATGGTAAGGTTAAGTTATTCCTTTTAGGGAGGTGATATTGTCCATAAAGTTTTTCTACTTCATTCAGAAAATTATGTGTGTGTGTCTTAGAATTTTTCTTTTATTCCCCATGCTACACTTAACTAATTATTATTACTTGTACTGTTAAGTTTCTCAATGACTAGACTCACATTTGAGAAACAAAGTGAAGATCTCGATATTAGGTTATTCAGAAAATTTAAGTAGAAAAAGCAGGGAGTTCATCTCAGAAAGTTGAAAGGGAAGCATCTTGAATTCTAGGAGTTCCTAACATTATTGATAATCACATAGCCTGAAAGAATGTAAAACATTGCTAAAAACAATTTTCATCACTTAGTAAACACACATTCAGAAATGAACTCCGTGGTAAAGGAGGAAATTTCATTTTACCTCATTATTTTCCCTCCACAGTGCCAGAGTTACCTTCACTATAGGGCAAGGAGTAAGCTTTGCCTGTCATTTTTAATCAGGTTGTTGTAGGTAATTTTTGTTATGCCCCTCATTACTGAATTGTTTATCAATAGGTGCAGCAAGTGTCACTAGCTTTTCTCATCAAACCAGGTCTGACAAAGCAGCACAGTGCATGGGAAAGAGGCAGCTAGGTGAAACTAATGCCATAGATGTTTGATTCATTAGGAGCTTATTGTTAACGGGGATGTCTGATTGTAAAGGCTCAGTCAAGCAAAAGAGTGCAGAGTAATCAGTCGGATTTATAGTTTGCAGGGCTCAGAAAAAAAATCAACATAAACCTTTGGATATAGCAGAAACAGAAAAATCCCCTTTGGGCAGCCCTAACCTGGAACCAGCCAAATAAGGTCATGCTACATGAAGGTTTCCTGTTAGGTGATGGGAGATAGGGACGGATTAGAGCCATATGGCATGGCCTATCTTACCTTCTGACTTAAGATAACAAAGCCAAGCTTTGTGCTTAGCTGTTTTTGACTGACATCATCAATTTTATTTTATGTTGGTCACCTCCGGTAACAGGAAAAAATGGCCTAGGGTTGATAACACATGCTTTTTTTTTCTTTTAGTATTAAGATGCCTAGAAGCTAGTTTTGTGCTGTTAAAAATTTCAAAGAATTAGTAGCTTCCTCTTCTATCACCCATCCTCCAGCAACTGTCAGCCCCCCTCCCCCTTGTTTTCAGTTTGTACCTTGCAAATGAGAGGCAGCCTTATTCAGAACCAGATGTAAGGCTCCTAGAGAATGAGCATAAGCTGGTGTACTTTAAGCCTAATGGGAAGTTTTATATGCAAGGGCCTTGAACTGATTAGTATAATTCCCTCTTTAATACAGCTGTCCCTCCAGATTAAGGTAAACCAAATGTTGCAATCAGAGATTAGTGTACCTTGCCAGTTATTAACATCCCCGGGTGCTCAGCAAGCACGTCAGACGCTAATGCTGTGTATTTATTTGCTACTTCCCCACTGTAACTTGAACTTCTGCACCTGTCAAAGCATTCCAGTGAAGAGAGGGGCATTATTGGAAAGCAAAAGTTTTATACCTGTACACCTGTTTTGTTTTGTCACAGCTAAGACTTTCTTTTGGCGTGCCAAGACTGCCAGGTGCTTTAATCTGCTACTTTTCTGGTTTTGTAAAGAAAGACTTTGTGTGCTAAATTGCATTTGTTACTTTCACATGCTTCCTTTTATGCAACTAGAGAGCTGCTCACCTAAACTTTGTGTGTGTGTGTGTGTGTGTGTGTGTGTGTGTGTGTGTGTGTGTGTATGTGTTTTCTTTTACAGAGGAGGTATCTGTAGAGGGTGAGGTTTCTTTGCCAGAAAACGCCTCACCTCTGTCTCTTGTGTTCCTCAGCCTCGGCTGAGTCTTAATCACAAGGTGGGTCTCACAGCTGTAATATATTTGGCAGGATATCCTGCCTTCTTGCAACCCAGATGTCAAGAAAGACAAAGTCCTGGCTATCTTAGAAAGATCTGGCTGCGTTTCTTTCCCTCTGCAGCCCCAACAGAGGCTTGGAATGTAGGCCTGAATCTATGCAACAAGCACACTGGAGAAGTTAGGAATGGCAGTTTGGGTTGTCTTTAGGCACGTCACGTTGGTCCAGGCTCTGCACTCCCTGAGTCCTTCTCATCAGTGTGGCACATGTGCCAACCACTAAGGAAAATAATGGGAAGTTTGAGGACTAGCCCTCACATTTGTAGAATAAAGTGCCTTTGTGATTTTTATCAACATCTTTTATTACTCAGAGATTGAGGATCAAAAGGTGCTTTCTGTGAAAAATGCCTAGTTTGGTAAGTAACCACCAGGGTCACTTCAGGGGCTGATTTTATTTCGCTTTTTAAATATGCAGGTTTAAAGCAGGTAGCTATGCTCTTACAGAGGTTTCACCTGATGCCAGCAGCAGTGGGGCAACACCAGACCCCCGCTCCCTCATTTCGTCACGAACAGGAAAGAGCCACAATTTTCTAGCTGACCTGTGACTCTGCAAGCAGCCACTGGTTCAGGTTGTTATCAATGCTGGGGGAACATTTCTTTTGTTTGCCCTCCTTACCCCAATTCCATCTTGGTATTTGCACATTGATTGCCTGGTGCAGAGTTTCTACATATTATAGCTTAATTGCAGATTTTTAAAAAAGACAAAAATATGTTCATATCTTAGGAATTATGTCTTGCAGCCTACTAAATATGCTAATGCAGCACTAAGCAGGGATAAAGTTCTTGCCATACCCCCCAACAGTTGCGTGGAACCTGCTGCCAAGTGATTGTTAATTGTGAAGCACAAGCAGGCTTTGCAATCCATCTTAATTGTCATACTTACTTCAGGTTTCGTGATAAGGCTCAATGTTCTGTTTAAAGTGACAATGTTGACAAGGGGAAAGGGTGTGGGCCTGAGCCTGTGGTTCTGAAGGGGTTGCGTGCTCTGACCTGCCGAAGGTTGATATGGACGGTCTGCGAGGGGATTTTAGTTGTCATGGGGTCCCCAGGCGGTTGAATGGAGAGACTGTCTGTCCTGCTTTTTCCTGTTAGGATCCTGACACGTGGAGCATTGATGAACTCAGCACAACGTTGAATGGGAGCTTTTTGGCAGCTGAGACACTGGGGCTAAGCTGCAGGTCAGAGATAACACCAGTGCGGATCTCCTCCTGCACAGAGCTCCTAGCATGCTTTCTTCCCTCCTGAGTGCAGGAAATGGCTCATGTTAAATATGTTCACTTTTCAGTTTTCCTTTCTTCTAAAAAGGAGCTTGACAGATTGGACTTTTCAGCTCCCTCTTTTTTCACCACCTCTGCTTTCTACCTCAGAAATACTCTTCAGGAAGCAGGAGTTAATCTTGGTGAGGAAACGATAAGGTGATGCTTGATTTTCACGGCAAAGCAGAAGGATATGGCTGCCTTCTTGCTGTTCATAAACTTAGAGCTCCCCACCTGTGAGGCTTTCCTTAGCTTTTCCCTTCACATCCCTTCAAAATAGGCCAGAAGAGTAAGAGAGTCAAGCGTCTACTGCCCAGACGAATGTAGGAGAGCAACATGTAGCATTATGCAATCTTGAGAAAAGGAATCACCGAGTTGGGAGGTAATGCTGACTTTTAAACAGTGTTTTCTCCAATACTTATGTGGCCCTCTACCCAAAGGGTGCATCACTGCCCACACCAAAATGCTTCTGCTTTGTTTTACGTGCAGCTGAGTTTAGCAGGTTTCCGAGATGTGGAGAACAAAGAGAAACTGCCAGCAAAGAGCTACTCTAATAATCTTTTGCCAACATCCTGTATTCACAAAAGCGATGCAGAAAGAATTCTTTCTAGTTTTAGTGTCTGCCCTAAACATGGGCTGTCAAAGCTCCATTTAAAAGAAAGGTATTTGAAATGGATTCTTGTGTGGTATTGATTAGTGACTGTGAAACTAATACATTGAAACCACTCCCAAACAAGTCAAATTCTGACTTGAGGTACATACATATGGCTTCGGTGAGATATGAATGTTTTCTTTTCACTCTATTGAGTATATGATACCCATATCCTTTGAAGCAAAAGGGATGTGTGTGAGTATGAGAGTGGGGTGTGTGTGTGTGTGTGCGAATGTGTATGTAGGTAGAGGGGATGAGATAGGGAAAGAGAAATGGAATGAAGAAGAGGGGATGGGAATGTGGAAAGTTTTTGGTCGAGGTTCCATAAGCATCAGAAAATAAAAGCATTGTGGGTAGAGATGAGAGTAACAGGACAGTCCCGGGGCTTACACCTTGGAACAAGTAGGGTAATGCTGCCCTTTGATCTCTGTCACCTCTCACCAATTTCATGCACCCTTTCTGTCTCAGGAGGGTATGCAGCAAAGCTGAGAGAAAGAGAGAATGAGCAAGTGATATGTCAAAGAGCCAAATATGGTGAGTCAACAACCCTGAGGAGAATGATTCAGGCTTGGAACTCCATTAGAATTTGCTCTGATGCAAGATAGTGGTGCCAGACCTTCCATAATAAAAATATAATTTTTCAGTTCTCCCCATCCAATTGTACCATGGAGTCTTCATCCTCTTTGAGTGATCAGGACTAGGTAATTCCTGGTCTTAGTCTAGATACCTCTCTGGTTACTATTAGGGGTGGGCGAGGCGGCAGAGATTTCCAAGGACCTCTGAGTTTGCCCAACTTTAACTTCAGGGAGAATAGCTAGAACTAGATAGCCTAAGGACCTCAGAGAAATAAAGGATGTAAAATGTTCAGTACAGTAGTCATCACATAGTAAGTGCTCGGTGAATCCTTACTATTCCTTTCTGAAGATTGAAGCCACTTGAATTTCTTGTTGAATACTTCTTTTGGTTGTGTTTGTCAGGTGTAGCACTGCCTGAGAAAAGAGAAAAGTTTGATAGCAGTTCCTATTCTAAATGTAAGATTTAGATTTTTATTATGTGTTTTCTATCTGCTTGGTGCAGACCCAGTGTGAAAGGGCGAAGGCTTGAATTGGCCTGAACCATTCTAATTCTAGATACATGTGGTCACATGTCCTTGTCATGATATCAAAGGGAGATAGCCACCTATGCAATGAGATTTGAAGAGCCTGGAAAACACCGCATGTCCTCCAAGTGTCTTCTTAATTAACCAAGGCATCTGACATTCTTGACATTTCTGTTGGTAAAGCAATTCCTCTAAGTAAAAGTATGATTTCTTGATATTCCTACTTGTGGTACAATCATGATACTTGAAGGTGGCCATCTTTATTATGTAGATGATGTTTATTTCTTGCTTATTACCCCTGTGACAACTCGGAAGAGAGAAACTGAATGTAAATGGTAGCTAAATGGAAGTTTTTAAAAGTATACAGTACAACTTCTTGACCGTGAAATGCATCAAGGAGGTTGCAGAGTTGGGGTTTGCACACTCCCAAATAATTTTGGATATAACAAAATATATAGACATTAGGAAAGCTTCTAGTTAGCTTTGTGGGACAGAGCTTAAATTGAGGTCTCTTGGTTCTTTTCAAAAAGACTTTTCATTTCTGATCACCCTACCCCAGCCTACAAGAGAAACTGCTTTTGCCCATCTTGTCTTGTGGCAATCCAGGGTCCTTCACCTTGAAGACCCTGGGTTAGGGATTCTCAAATATTTTTCTACCCTAGAATATATATGTTCACACATAGGATACTTCCATGGGTATACCTAAATTATGGTACCCTAGGAATTCTATTATAATCTTTATTTTAAACATGTCTCCTTTTAATAACACACCTCTTCCTGAGATTCTGCAATGTCCTCTTGAGAAGGCAAACCCCTTTGTCCTTTTTCATGTTCTCCATCTTCATATCCCACCATGAGAGTTGCTGCCTTAAGCAATACTCTAATTATCTGGGTGTTTTTTCTTTTGTCTTTTGCCTAGCTTTTGTGCCCTTTGCCCTTTCTCTATGAGGCTTACTTCCTGTAACTATGTGTATGTATGTATGTATGTATCTATCTATCTATCTATCTATATTTATAAAAATGAGAAATAAACCCATTCTATGTGTTTTCTATAGTTTTGGGTCCATGGTTGTTTTAAGCAATGAAGATTGTTAAATTATCCACGAGCCTTCTCTTCTTTGGCTTTATAATCTTAATCCTTTAAGTTTTCTTCATATATCATATGATTTTTACCCTTGGCTCTTTTCTTCGTTTAAAAATTGTGTGTATTATTTTCATTCTGACTGTACTAGTCTTACATACATATTGTACTTGGACATAAAGAAAATTATGGTTGAGAATAAACTTACCTATAATTCCACCATCTAGAGTTAGTTATTGTTTGAATTTGGTTGTATTTTTCTATCTCTTGGCTTATTGTTTTATGTATTGAGACTGCATGGGTCACTTTATAATTTTAAAATTATTTTTGCCTCCCATTTAGCATTTCTCCTCTCCAAGTTCTCCCCATTCCTTTCATGTTGATGGGTCCCAAGTGAGACCAATATAATACTTCAGTATCTAAAGCAAGATTTGGCTTGTGTTCTGGGAAGGCTAGCTCACAGCCTCTACATACTATATTTTGATCTTCTTAATATGCATTTTCCTGCTCTGAATCAGTGATTTATTTTTTTGATCTCTGTTAATACTTCTTTTCAAGCTGGAAACAAAGGAAATTATCTAAAAATAACCGAAGACTATTATCCAAGACTTTAAAGGAGCATGAGCCAATAGGTTGACACCTTTGATCCTTAGGTAAAAAGTTAAAGTTCTTTTGTTGGCTTTCTGCAAAAGGAGGAAGTAGGGGCAAATTACACAGTTGATGCTATTTTATACATGAAGGAACCAACTTTTGACAGCTGGTAAACAAGTTTCAACTTTTTTTGGGTAAGGTAGTTTATTCATTGAACACTTATTTATTGAGCTAACCCCTACTATGTGGCAGGCGCTGTTCTAGGCCTGGGGATTCAGTAGTAAACAAAATACTCTAAAATCTACCTTTGTGGGAGCTTACTATTTAAGAATAAAGTAGTTAAACTTTTTAACTTTCTACTTAAATTTCCATTTTAAAAACTAATTGTACTTTATTTTCTAAATTCTGAATCGGTTTTGAAGTATGTGGGGAAAGATCCCTATTATTGTAATGTTACTTTGGTATCAAATAATGTCTTTATTCTCAGTGACCTCTCTCCCTCATTACTCTCCAAATTGCAGCTTTTGGTAGATAAAAAGGCAAACAAATGCAATGGCCAAGACCAATTTTGATGAATTAAAAATAAATGTCTTCAATTTTAATATACTTTTTTTTAGGAGGAGGAAAAAGAAACAAGGGTAGTAAGAGTGGATATATTCTTATAACTATGTTGAAGAGCAAATACCAGATGCAAAATTGGGAGAGATCCTTTAGTTTCAAATAGAGCTAAACAGTTTTTTTTTTTTTTTTTTTTTTGAGGTTATGGGCTTTGCCACTTAGCTAATTTGAACAGTAATGGAGAAATAAATATCAGTAGCTAAGCAGATAATCTATCCATAAGGCAGAAAGACAAAAACCAAAAATTTATTTAATTCAAACATGTAATTCCTATAGGCTCTACTAGACATGAGGTCACTAAAGGTATAAAGAAGTATGCAGAAATTAAGAAACAGAACAGACAATGGTTATCTCAGTGGTTTTATCACCAACTTGTTTCAGTTTGAGTGTTTGAGGTACTTTGTCAATCAGACATCAAGAAAGATGAATTTTACAGATAGAATTGGACAAGTTTCTTTTTTTTTAATCAAATTTCAGGATATGCCATAGGCGGTTAGATTGTGGCTTGGAAATATTGAACACTTAATAGATGATGCTACATGAAAAATTATCCTGAATTCTTGAGTTGGTTTGTAAGAATGGAGCCTTTGTTACTTTTTTTAGAGGTTGATGAAAAAAGTATGTGTTATAACTCAACCGAGAAAAGAAGAGTGTGTATTGGAGAAAAGAACTTGTGCAGTTAAATAACTCAGTCTGTAGAATTGAATATAGCTGCTGACTACGGCCTGAGGATGTGGACTCTCAGCTATAGGAGTTGACCAAATTATTCACAAATGCTGGACAACTCAGGAGAAGAAGAAGGAAGGGAAGAAATGAAGGTCAGAAGGGCAAAAACAGAGAGAAAAAGCCCAAGTGAACAAAGGAGAGCGACAAAAGATTATATTACATCAAATTATTCTGGAGTTTTGATACCAGTTCATCACTAGAGAAAAATGATATCCTTTAGGCAGAGTTGTATGATTTACATCTATAATTATTTGGGTGTGGGATAACCTAGAAACGAAGAGTATAACAAAATTATATTTAATGGAAATGATAACAAAACCTTTTGAGCTTAAGTGATACTTTGTGAAAAAAAGATGTAGAAAATCCAAGTTTATCTTTTAATCTGGTTTTTTTCCCTATTTTAGCGTGTTGCGTTTAATTAAAAACAAAACGCAAGCTACAATCAACTTTGATTTAGTTTCAAATCTACAGTCTTTTTCTTTATTTCTCCACTAGGTTCTGTCCGTGTCATATCTCAAAGCCAGTCAAGATCTACCTGCTCATTGAAGGTTTCATTTCTTACATGATGAGATACAATATTATTCATAAACCTATAGAAACACGTATGTTTTTTATTATTTATTGTGGTCGTGAACTCTGTTTTTCTCCACATGTAAGAAAGCAGGGATAGTGTCTTCATATTTAAAAAATGTGTGCAAAACACACGGCATAGTGTGCCGCATCCACGCTTTTTCCAATAAATGTTAATTGATGTTGATGAGAGAGCACATGTCACTAACAAGAACCTCCTGCCTAACTCTGGGTTTCAGAGGCCTGAAGATTCTTGTGAGCTGGAATGATGCCCTATTGTTGCAATTCCTTATGTTTAGGATAAATGAAGAGATAGTTTCCCTCTTTAAAAGCAGTTTCATTGGTCAATTTAGCATGATATGTGCATTGCTTGTATTGATTGCTCAAGAGTTACTCAATTCAGAAAATTAAAAATATACACCCTATAGTATACAGTATATACTACATAGATGCTGTGTATACTAAAGATACTGGGTATCCGTAGTATGTAGTATATGTAGTATACACAGTATCTATGTAGTATACACTATGTAGTATATACTACATATACACAGTGTCTATGTACGGTATACACACACTACACACACTACATAGATGCATATTGGGCAATATGGAATTTTAAAACAAGAAACAAAAAGATAGTATTTCTACTTTGAGGAAAACCAACATATTTGTGTAAAAGAAATAAAACTCTTTAAAATTAGCTGTTTTAGATTTGACATTTATTCATCAATAAATATTTACAAAATATCTACCAAATACAGAGATGAAGAAGGCACCATGATGCCCTCCGAGAGCTGTTAATGTAATGGGTTTAAGACAACCACAATAGAATGAAGAACTTTATTTTTCACAAGACAGCCAAAGAATGCTGAAATGAAAATGACAAAAACATCTAACGTTGAAGAGTCCTTCTTACGGGCCAGGTGATATATGGTCTATTTTAGGTGTGTTGCCTCCCGTAATTTGCACAATGACTTCATAAGGCAGGTACTCTTACTTCCTCTGCCTTGTTTCAACCTGGCCTTCCCAGATGAAGCAACCAGGAGCGATAAGTTGTAGTAAGTTGCTGGAGGGCACACAGCTAGCACATGGCAGTGGCGGGCATGTGAATGGGGGCAGTATGACCGTACAGCTGAAGATGCCAACCATTATACTCCACTGCCTCCTAGGGGGTGGGGAAGGAGAAATCATGTTTGATTGGGGAGCGGTCAAAAATGGTTTCTTTTCTTTTTCTTTTCTTCTTCTTCTTCTTTTTTTTTTTTTTTAGACAGAGTTTTGCTCTTGTTGCCCAGGCTAGAGTACACTGGCGCGATCTCGGTTCACTGCAACCTCCGACTCCCGGGTTCAAGCGATTCTCTTGCCTCTGCCTCCTGAGTAGCTGAAATTACAGGCGCCCGCCACCATGCCCGGCTAATTTTTTGTATTTTTAGTAGAGATGGGGTTTCACCATGTTGACCAGGCTGGTTCGAACTCCTGACCTCAGGAGATCTGCCCACCTCGACCTCCAAAAGTGCTAGGATTACAGGCCTGAGCCACCATGCCCGGCCATAAATGGTTTCTTGAGAAGGGGACGTTTCATTCTGGGTCTTAAAGGATTGACAGGAACTTGTGGCAGGTAGAGCTATTGGGAGAGAATGCCAGTTTGGTTGTGCAGGGGCCGAGCTCAGGACTGGGTAAACAGACCTCAGTGGGGCACCGGATATATGCAAGGGGTGCAGTTGGGAGGTGGGGCAGTTAGGGCTGAAAAAGGGAGGGAGGTGCAGGAATTTGGTCTAAATTCAGTAGAAGCAGAATATAAAATAGAGTAAAAGATGTGTAATAAAAAAAAACCTGAAAGATGGATATTAACGAGAACAATCACTATGCAGAGAGTTTCAATTGACAGACTTCTTAGATAAACTGGATTTTGCCGGGCGCGGTGGCTCAAGCCTGGAATCCCAGCACTTTGGGAGGCCGAGGCGGGCGGATCACGAGCTCAGGAAATCGAGACCGTCCTGGCTAACACAGTGAAACCCCGTCTGTACTAAAAATACAAAAAATTAGCCGGGCCTGGTGGCGGGCGCCTATAGTCCCAGCTGCTCAGGAGGCTGAGGCAGAAGAATGGCGTGAACCCGGGAGGCGGAGCTTGCAGTAAGCCGAGATAGTGCCACTGCAGTCCAGCCTGGGCGACAGAGTGAGACTCCGTCTCAAAAAAAAAAAATAAAATAAAAAAATAAACTGGATTTTGAGCTAGGGTTTGAAGTTTATGGGAATGGAATTGAAAAGCACGCAAGCAACCCAGAACACTGTGATTTACACAGGAGACAAGAACATAAGAAAATTGAGGAGCGCTGAAAAAAGGCCATTTTTCATGAGTTCAAGGACTTCTGAGGGATTAGGTGGAATAAGTGAATTTCTAATCCCAGGAGGCTTCTATTCCTCCTAGTCATCTCCATCTCAGCTAATGGCCCACCATCCTCTCAATGTCCAGCTCAAAAACATGACGGTTTTTTTTTATCCCTTTTTCCATCTCATTCTAAAAGATAGCCTGAATCTTCCCTGCTTCAATTCTTCATTAGATCCCCAGCAAGCAGACACTTTGCTATTTGAAAGCCTCAGTCAGATCAAGTTGCTTAATATTCCCCCAAAGGCTGCCCATTGCATTTGGAATAAATTCCAACCTGCAAGTCCCTCAAATTCCCAGCCTAACCTCATTTGGCATTTTCATTATGCATCAGCCTTCCCGCCTCCTTTCTTTTCCGTGGACTCACCAAGCTCATTGTCACCTAAGAGCATTTTTACTAATTTTTTTTGGTCCCTCTCTTCCAATAAAAAATCAGCTGAAATATCCCAGCTTTAGAGAGCCCTTCCCTGGACTAGCAGCCTAAAGCGTTGTGCCCATGAGTATTTTCTCCTCTCATTTGTGAAGAAGCAGGTCACTGTCTTTATATTTATTTTTCAAATCAATCTTTACTCCTCTATCCAATTATATTTCCTTTATAGTTCTTGTACTTTTTTGAAATTATTTTAAAACAATATTATTTGTTATCTTGCTATCTCTCTCTGGGAGAATTTCAGCTCTAGACATTCGGCCTAGAAATTCAGGACTTGCTTTATCTTATCCAGTGCTACAAACTCAGTGATCAGCAAAGTGCTTTGAACATAGTTGGTGCTCAATAAATACCTGTTAAATGGATGAAGATGAATGAAAAGAATGAGGGTGAGGATGGCTTGAGGAATGGGTAGAAGCTTGCATTTTATCTAATACATGACAGAGATTGTAGAATAAATTGGCTATGTTTTTCTACACTCTGTTTCAATAGTCAACTAAGTTGCTTTCTTCTTGCATACCAGCTTATTGATGGTGGGTAGGTGGACTAAAAGCCTTTTGTGTTGCAGGGGGAAAACAAGCCTGAGGTTTAAAGGAAAAAAATGGTCTTAGTGAATCCGCAGGGTGGGTGAGAGCTCAGCCAATATGCTCTTTGGAATCCAGACAATTCAGTGACAGTAACACTAGCGTACAAGTGCTGGGGAGGTCAGATGAGTTGAGTTTGTGACATGTGCAATCACTCTGGATGTGTTTGATTTTCCTACGGTATTTCATGGTGACTTTTAAATTTGAAAGGGAAATGACCTTGTTTCCAGTTCCTTTCCTAGCCAGTATTGCTCCTTCAACAAATTTTGGTATGTTTTATAAGTAGAGTTCTCGAGTATCTTAACAGATGGAGTTTACAAGTTTATTTTCTAGTAGAAATGGTGATTTCAAGACAAGGAAGAAGTTGTAGGAGCTATTTATTTTTACTTTGTAAAAGGAATACCTTCCTGGCAAATATACAAGTCAATAAGCAAGCAGACCCAACAGCTTTCTTGGAAGGAGCCAGCCACTGTAGGTATGGGAGAATTCCTTTGGCTAGCCTTAGCTTCCCTGTGCTTCTCTTGCACTTGTGTTGGCATAGTTGGTGGATGTTATTACTAGCGGTGTGTCCTACACGCCATTCATTCATGGAATATGGCCCTGGGAGAGGAATCTTAATGTGAAAATAAAATTGTCATTGTTTTTCATTGGCTTAGGGGACATCTCACATAATGGAAGCACATCCCTAAATAGAAAGACCTCAATTCAGGAAAAAAAAAAAAATACAAAGAAAAGGTGAGGAGAGAGAGATGTTCTCAGTGCAATCAGCCGGAACTGAAAAATTAAGATTTTGTTTTGTGCAATGCTAGTTGCCTTGCCAGTCTCAAGCTGGCACTGTGGGCTTGCTGGAGCTGCTGAGCCTGAACTGAGGAAAGGAGACAGTTTGCTTCGGGTTTATTACCCAGCCTCACCATGCGTATCAATATGTTTTTGATTTTGTATTTCAAAAATAAGGTGAATGATCTCGAAAGGAAATCATTGCAGGCGATTTTATTTTTTGCTTTTTCTAATGGACAATTAAAAAGCAATCCTGGTCCTATTCCAGAGATTTTCTCATTTCTCAGTACAACTGTAATTTAGGCACACTGAATAGTGTAATGGTGTTATTAGATATTATCGTGTTTATTTTATTCATGAAAATATGTGACACACCTTATTTGTATTCTCCTCCAGGAAATGTCCTGGAATGGGTTTTGTCCTAGTTCCTTTTTGTGCCTGTCATAAGGTGTATGTTAGAGTTTCAGTTCCTAAAAATAAAATAGAATTTCTTTCTTTCTTTCTTTTTTTTTTTTTTTGGAGAGCATAATGATTTTGAGCTTCGAGGAGTTTCAATAGACTATTGTTGTTTGTTTTCTTACAAGGATCCAGCCCACCAAGTCGCACTATGACACACTTCCTATGTCCATGGCAGATATTTATATTTATATTTCAAATTAAAACAAGTATAATTTTCTTCTGAAATTTTTTTGGAATTTTGTTTTTCGTGATCTGTAAGGTAATTGGAGATACCCCAGGCTGTCACAAAACCAGAGCTGGGAATCACTGCTTTAGTGATTAGCACTTTGTAAGCTTTCAAAAAATATTAAAACCAGGATAGGTTGTCTAATTTCTAATGGGTGGATTCACTTTAGTATAATGTAATGTGTTAACAAATGCTCAGAGAGGAGGTTGTGGATCCAGAAAGATGGCTTTTGCAGAAGGCTTTTATCCAAATTAATTCAAAAAATAACAGGAACAGTTGTGTATTGAGGCAGAAGGAATAAGGTGACTCAATTAAATGACAGAGAAATCTCCAGGAAAAAAAACTGTCTTAAGTCAACCCAACCCTAACAGTACAATTTTCATCACTGGAGTCAATAATCCTGTAATAAATGCATAATAACTTTTAAAAAAGGATTCTTTTATTAAGTACTTTTGTATGGTTGGCTATGAACCAAATATTGAAACCAAATATTGCTTTTCTTTACTTTAAAATTGATAAAGCTATCTTCTATGTCTCTAAAGAGAATCTTAAGTGAGAAAGATAAAAAAAGTAATTTGCAAATAAATTCACCTGCTGCATTTGTGCCTGAAGCATCCTATATTTACCTAATTCATTTTTGGCCCTTGCTTAGCTCTAGCCATGGCGACACACTGAGAAATTAATGCCAAGTCCTCCCGGCTTTCTGGAACATTTGCACAGGCAGCAGTGAATAAGCATGGGTACAGAAGCCTTAAGGTTTGGGTCCTACTCAGGAGGGGTCTTCAGAGCTGGTCTTCAGCAGTTTCTGAAGAACCATTGTGCAGTCTGGCTAATTGGTACTGTTAGCCTGTTGCCATTTAGGGAAAGCAATTTGGTCCCTGCCCACATTTAGAGTTGGGCTCAACACACTGGTAGTCCTGGATTGAGAGAGCTCAGAATCTGTCAAGTTGATACTAAAACCTAAATCTGCTTTGTGGGTTTCTGAGACAGATTTTGGAAATTTTTGTGGTGATCATGGATATGCAATTCACAGATCTACTACTGTATACAGAGTTTGAAAAGAAAGTCGAGTAAATTAACAGGTAGACTGAGAGAAGTTATGTTATCCTGAAAACACTTCTGTTTTCTAGTTTGAGCATCTTTTAGTAGGGATGTCTGGTTTGGGTTTCATGAGTTTTTTGCCTGGTGGTCTGCAGGGTAATTTACATTCCAAAAGATAGGCTAGGCTGTCTTCCTCCTGCTCCTGAAAGCTCTGGAAGGTGTTCTCATACCTTCCACATAGTTGTTTCCACAGCCTGTTTTGGGAAGATAATCCTCTATCACTTGATCAGTACAGGTAGCATCTACCTAATACTCCAGTGGTTTTGATTATATTTTTACTATAACTTTTTCCAAGGAATAAAATCGTCTACTGTCTTTAAAAGAGGATATTTAATATTATTTGGAAAACAGTCTCTTTCCTTGTTAACTTTTCCTCATCTTTACCATCTAGATTTGCAGGTACAAACACAAGTGAAGAACCACTTCATACCAGCGGTGATGCTGTGGTCCTGAAGGTGCCAGCTCCTGTATACTTCCCCCTCATTTATTTTTTTTCTTAAAATTAAATTTTCATTTATGTAGTTTACTTCTTAGCTCTCTGCTATTTTTATATTATATCTCACAATTTAGGATTTGCTTGGAATGTAAAATACATTTCAAGCTTGAGGAAGAACAAGACTAGATAAATTCATAACAATTAGCCCTTCTTTTCTTTTCCAGAATGATTGAGAAGGGGAGGAATTGATCCCATTCTACTTGGGGGCAATTAGGCTTTCAGTCTGTGGCTCAGTTCACAAGCATCTGATGCCAGTGGTGCCAAGGTCAAGGGTTTGATCCTCATGTGGGTCAGTTTGCTGCGTGTTTTCTCAACAGATTGTGTGGAAAGTGTGCAGTCACTGGGAAATGCCGGTCATTAAGGGGACTGGTGAACAGATGGGTGGTAGGTGAAAATCTAGCCTCACTCCTGGAAAAACAAAGCCCGTGCCATACTGTCTTTTTTTTTTGTTTTTTTCATCTGGACAGAATGCACCACTTAAAATGTGAGCTTGTTACTCAACCTTCCTTCATCTCTGTTTCCTCATCTGTAGAACGGAGATAAGATTTGCTCCCTTTCTACCTCACCAGGATCTGTGAAGATTAGATAATGGCTGTAAAGTCCTTATACAAAGGTACATACATTACCATAAACAAAGAGATTAGCTGACAAATAAAAAAGAAAATATTGAAAGGACCCCCCAAAGTGTATTGCCTAATACTTTTGCATTAGTATCAGTAGTTTGCAGTGCAATCCATTTGGAGTTTGGTTTGGCTGAAAAAAGTTAGGTGTGAGTTGTATAACCTCTCTATTAGTAAGGATAAAAAAATGGTTTGATAGTGAACATTTGTATTAATAAAAACAAAGTGGGCTTTGAATCTGAAACAGGTTTCATTTGAAAAGGAGGTGAAGGCAAAGGTCTCTAGGAACATATGTGCCACTGAGCAATATTTGCATATATTTGATCTGCAAGCACGCTTCAGTGATTTTCACAGTATACCTTGGAGTTTAGGTTGTAGCAAAGAGCCGTTACCATTGCTCAGCAGCACGATCTACTCTCTCCAGCTTTATTATGGCATACAGCGACAACTTCATTTTTAGTGTTAAAAAAAATCCTCTTCACTTAATTCAGACAGTGACCTGCAGGCCTCATTCTGACTGAAGGAGCCATTCAGAATACTTCCAGACAAAAGCAGGGCTTTTTCCTAGCAACCAGATCAAAGCCAAATCTCCCAGAATAGCTCCCTCCCAGGTTTCCTTTGGCGCATAGGTTCACAAGGATTGTAAGGCTCGTGGTATCCAGTTCAAACTTCTCTTTCACACTGCAATGGAAAGGAAAACTCCTGAGGAATTTTCACAGACTCTGAAAGCTGGCGAGCCTTGCAAAGAGCACTTAATCCTGGGAGAACATGGTGGTCATTGGGAGCATCCCTAACTTTGTTATCGCCTGCATCTGCATGTACATTCTGTCGGACTCTCAGAGAATGAGGTCTCTGTTTCCTTTCTGCCAGTACCTAATATCAGCTATGCCCAGGAGCCGGCTGATGAAGACTTCCTGTTTGTTTTGAGTCACTGTTAGAGTGATAAATATACTTTAGCTTTCTGCTTCGAGAGGAAAGAAACCAGCTGCCCTGAACTGAAGAGAAAAATGCAGAAATTCCACTGAATGGCCCTGTTATCATGGAGTTTCAAGGGCAGCATAAAAATGAAAACTATAAGCCTGGGCAAAATGAATAATTTCCATATTAAAGCATTTTGCTGCATGCATAGACCTAAGTTGTTTGTCTTTAATCATTTAGGCGAACCATGCATTTTTCACTCTTCTAAGACTAACTCAGCGTTTAGAAATTTTTAAAAAATGTAAACTTACACTACAGAGTAATGGTAAGTTATATAAATAAACAATTACAGTTGTGGTTTTTTGATCTGACCACAAGCTTTTAATGCCACTTTTTTTTTTTGCATGAACATATAATGCTTCTGGATAAACAATAATGTTTACATTGTCAGGGCATCTACTGTTGTATTGAGTCATTTACATACATGATTATTTGGATATAGAGTAACCCAAGAACAAAAGAATATTATAAAATTATTTAAAACCAGAATGACAGGAAATCCTTTACAGCTTAAATAGCACTTCTTAAATGAACTCATAGACTTTCTAAGTTGTGTTTATATCTCATTTTTGTCCTTTTATTTTGAATAAAATAAAAGGATGTTGGATTTGATGACCAGTGTCCTTTGAGTGGAAATTACTATGTTAACTCTGACCTGGAAGACAGTGAATTTAGAATGCTTGTTAATGTGAATGTCGTGATCACTGCATTCGGCGGGCTTTTCTTTTTTAGGCTTGGTATAGACTTGACTTCTAGAAGTTGCGAGTTGGAAAACATGGCAACAATTTGCATGTGCTTGGAGTGGGTATGAGTTGCTTATTTCCTCCCAGTAGGTATGGTCTCATTAAAACTATTTCTAATAGTAGAAGATGAGTAATTTGCTAATAATCTATGATAAATCTTTCTGTCCAGGATAAAAGAAATGTTTAATTAGGAAATTCAAAATAAAATTAGCATTAACACTTTCATGCTGTCAAATTAGTGATGTAGACAGGGAGGCAGGATGGTGTGCATCGGCCTTATGTCAATGTATCTGGATGCATTTGTAAATTAAGACTTAAAAATGCACATGATTAGCTGTATGTAAAAAGGTTCCTCAACATACTAAAGTCAATGATTGGGCCATCAACACAGCGGCTTCCTAGATGGGAGAATTCCAGCGCCAAAGGCTTAATGGAGAATGGGTCCTTAGCCTTTAAAATCTCACATCAAAGGAAAATCATGTGAAAGCGGCAACCCATAAAGGAGGACATGCATTTAGAGATGCTCTGCACATTAGTTAAAACAAAGCCAATTATGCTAAATATTGTTTTTACATTATAAATATGTTGTATGTACTGTGTGTCTTTTTTATATTCTCACTTTACTGACAGAGGGAGGAGGAGAAGGAAGTATTTTTAAAACATGACTAAGGATGGAAGGATTAAAGGACCGAATAATATATTTTCTTGTCATAATGGAGACCTGTAAGTACATGAACTTAGAAATAATAGAACCAGAGAATGGATGGTATTAGGAGGAGAGGAAAACAAATAGCAAAGCCAATATTTTCTGTGGGTAGGAAAGAAGGGTATAAAATTTATTAGATAAGTGTATTGCAAAGCCAAGTATGGCAGGGAACAATTTTAGTGGATATATCTGCTTCTGTACTTTTAAGAGGAGGTTAGAATTTGACATAAATAGATGAGATGGGGTTTAGGTGAGGTGTTTTTGGTAAAATCTATCATTTAAAATAAAATGGAACTTTAATTGGGTGGGACCTATCACTTACCAAATGTAAAAAGGTGTGATAAAACCGCGCTTTACTTTTTTCAGCACTAATGAATGTCAAATACCTAGTGCTGAAGTGAAACTATTATGGTCAAATTGACGCTACACATGTCAAATCGTCATTCTTCTCAGCAACAGTAATTGCTTAGATTGTTTAAAACTAGCTTTGGTTGTGATGGTACATTTGTGATCCAGCCTTAAGGAATGAAAAAGCTGTAGGAATTCTCCCCACTTATAACCAACATCCATTTCTACATGATTGAATAAGAACATAATAATCACTTCTTATGTTTGCAGATTACACTACAATTTACGAAATGCTTTCACTTGTAACACTTTGAGTGATCCTTGGTTGTGTCTGGTTCTGGTTGTAAATGGGAACAGTAACAGGTAGTCCTCTGTCCTATGCCAGTGGCCATGATGCCAGCAATGTGGTTCCTTTTTAGGGGGCAGCCATGTCCCCCACCCTGCCTAACAACATTTCAGGAGCATCTTCCTATGAAGCAGATGCTGGAAAATGAGTATTTTTGAGTGTAGTCACTTGTAGAAAAGTGAAATCAAAATGTGTTCCATAGCAATTAACCCCATATTTCCCTAAACTTATCGTGACACCACATTCCTGATCACAAGAGTTTTAGACTGTTCTTTTGAAGAAGGTGAGGAATAGGCAGGGGAATAACGACTACGAGATATTTAGAATCATTTACTGTGTGAGTGAAGGCTTTTAAAAAAGAATTCATTTACTGGAAGTAATGAGGATGAGGAGGGGTTTTTCACACCTGTTTTCACACTTATGAGGTGATAAGTCCAGCCCTCACGAATAAAATGGCAGGTTTCACACTAAACCCACCCAGGCATACTCCTCTAGTCTCCTAACTCATTTATTCTTTGAGAATAAAGAGTCAGAGGCAAGATCGCTTGCTCAAATGAGTGTCGGAGAGTAGTTCCTGTCATTCTTGCTTTGCCATGCTGTCTTCCAGATAGATGTATATGCCATGATCTGCATATCATGTATGGATCTCCAGACCACCATTGCTAGTCTCCAACGACTTTCACTCTAGACCAACAACCTTCTTCTTTGTACTATTACTCTTGATCTTTATATTCAGTGAATTAGACAACTGCATTTATAAATTTTACCAACTGGACTCACACAGTTTTTACATGTCTTGGGTCCTCTTGACCACCATTTCTATCCTGCTTCAGGTACTCATTGACATGAATGTAATTTAATTCACACCATATTTCACCTCTCAAAATGCCTATGTGGTCACAATCTAGAGTCATGGAATGTTTCTTCAAGTGGAATCAACCTCAGAGATTATGTAGGGCAATATCTAAAAACCAACGAACAGAACTCTTGTTTACTGACTCTCAGGCTCATTCTTTAGCATTTTTCATCAGGTCAGGAAATGCCACCCTCATCTACACAGTTGTTGAAAAGAAAAACTCCCAGGACTCCTGCTTGATTCTTATGACCTTCACCACCCTCTATCTAGTCATCAGTCAATCTTATCTTCTTGCTATCTTGAATCTATCCAATTCATTTTCAAGAGCCAGCCATCATCTCTCACCTTGATATGGTAAAAGCTTAAAATGCACCTCCTTGCTGCATATTCTCTCACATTTTCCTGTGTTATTTTCTACATATCACTTTCTGAAACTTTGTTTGTGGATTTGCTTCCTTTGTGATTTTCTGGCTTTGCTACCTCTTAGTAGGATATCAGTTCCAGGAGAGTGGATACACTGAGTATAGAGTGCAACATCAGAGGCACTCAATGAATATTTGTTGAGTAAATGAATTCCTACTACACAGACTAGAAATATGGGTCACAAAGAAGTTAAGTGCATTTCTAAGGCTCACAAGATTAGTTAGTAAATCTACAGCTAGAATTTAGGACTCGATTCTCTGTCTAAAGCTCTTGTCATTTACCATATTGTGGCTACTATTATTATTACCTTGTAAGACTGTATTATATAGATTTAGGAATGCTGTCCTCAGAGCTTCTGGCTTGCACTGTGGGGCTGTCTGGAAAGTGAGTGCAACTAATTATAAGATCAGTAACTAAGTGGCTGGCTAAAGTCCAAGACAGACCTGTTGCAATAAATTCTACTCTTTAGCAAAATTTTAGCATACTGTCCAATGTAGGTAAGTAGCTTTAAAGACCTCTGCAAACTTCAACCTTCTAGGTGATCATCCAATATTATTTTAGTTGTAATGTCACTTTTAAATATAAAACCATTTAATCTTTCTTTCCTTCTTTCTTTTTCCTTTTTTTCTTTCTTTCTTTTTCTCTCCTTCCTTCCTTTCCTCCCTCCCTCCCTTCCTTCCTTTTCTTTATTGATGGAGTCTTGCTATGTTGCCCAGGGTGGAGTGCAGTGGCTATTCACAGGAATGATCTTAGTGTACTACAGTCTCAAATACCAGGCCTCAAGCGATCTTCCTGCCTAAGCCTCCCAAGTGGCTGGGACCACAGGTGCATGCCACCACACCCAGCTATTTAATTTTTAATGTAGTTTTTCCTTCTGTCTCTGGGAAGTACATTTCCACCTTTTAAGGCATATCTTTCTTTCTGTGCTTGTGTTTTGAGTCCAATTTTTCAGCCTCTTTTGAGATTTTGTTTACTCATGCAGTGGTAGCCTCTTTCCTACAACCCTGCCTTTCCCTCTTCACTGCCTTCATTTGTAAGCTACAGTGCATGGGCATTAGAGTCTGGACCTCAGCTGAACCCAGGCTTTCCCACTTACAAGATTTTTGGCAGCGGACAGGTTACTTTATTCTTCTGAACCTTGATTTCCTTGCACATAAAATGGGGATAAGGGAGGGCAATTGTGTCAATTAAGTAAAAAACATGTTAACTTCCTGACATATAATATGCACCTAATGATAGCTATAAACATTATAAAAACAATCAGATTTCGCTTATCTGAAAAAAGCATTAACAGAAATGAAGACAACGCCAACATTCTCTTAGCTCTGTTCTCCCTGATTATTAATGCTTTGCTGCCTATCAATTATGTTCATGGGCAAAATTCTTGACAAATAAGCTCTATATTTATATTTTTCCCTTTCTGTTATCAGATATAACAGATATAATACTGTTATCAGATATAACAGATATAATACTGTTATCAGATATAACAGATATAATACTGTTATATCTGGACAGACTAGAAACATGTGCTGTTCAGTGTCAAATGTAACATTCTTGATTTTTCTAGGCAACCTATGGTTATTATCAGAAATTTCGTATTTCTCATGTGTCTATGTTCTTATGTTGTATTGTGAATCCCAGTCAATTAGGAGAATGAGGCAAAGTTCACTAAGCTAGCCTTGTGGTTCAAGACAGCTGGAATTTTCTACTGCAGGAGAAATATTCCATAGTCTTCTAGAGACCATCAGAAGAACCATGTGGCATCAAGTACCCTGCCTAACTGGGTCGTGGGTTCATGGATAGAGTTCTAGTCAAGATTAACATATTTAAGAATAAAGAAGCCGGCCGCGGTGGCTCACGCCTGTAATCCCAGCACTTTGGGAGGCCAAGGCAGGCGGATCACGAGGTCAGGAGATTGAGACCATCCTGGCTAACACAGTGAAGCCCCATCTCTACTAAAAATACAAAAAATTAGCTGGGTGTGGTGGCGGGTGCCTGTAGTCCCAGTTAATCAAGAGGCTGAGGCAGGAGAATAGCTTGAACCCGGGAGGTGGAGGTTGCAGTGAGCTGAAATTACACCACTGCACTCCAGCCTGGGCAACAGAGCGACACTCCATCTCAGAAAAAAAAAAAAAAGAATAAAGAGAGGTGTGCCATTACTTGGAGGAGATAAAAACAGAAATTTAGAGGGGATTAAATTGCCAATATAGGAAACATGTCTCTTTAGGTGATTCTCCCCAGGGTGATGCACCATTTTTTAGAGATAAACCGCTGGAAGGTGCAGCTGAAGATGGAACTTCATAGGAAGTTAGATAGAACTTTACAGAAATGATGACCCATTCACCATAGCAGATCTACTCTTGGGAAAGGTGAGACGTGAGTGGTATTCTCAGAACTGCCAGAAAAATCTTGTCATAGATTGTGTAGATCTGTCTATGGAGACAGACTTCATCTGAGGATCATGATGAACATTGGGTAGCTGCTCAGTTGGCCTGTAAATAATAATGACTTATTAGGTTATTTGACTTTCTTTTTTCTTTTTCTTTTCTTTTCTTTTCTTTTTTTTTTTTAAATTAAATGTCCTTCTGCTACACAAAGTAACCAGAGTTCTTGCAATTGTAGTTTCCAAGTATCTGCTGTGGGGCTCCAAACCAAAGACATGGAAAGCATCTAGAAAGTTACCTAGGTGTCAGCGCCGCACTCTTCTCTGGAAGAAAAGAGGCTTCTCCTATATAGAACTTGAGCAGCAACCCAGGTTGCACTCATTCTTATTTTTCTGTCCCCTAATGCGCATTACCCTACCTGGCCAAATACAAACTACCGGTTCCATGCTGACCTAACCCATCTTAAGGAATAAAATACCTACCACATATTTTCTCCTAACAGCTAAAATTATTTGAGCCAAGAGTTTCAAATGTTTTATTTTAGTTGGAATACTACAAACAGCCAGTTACTGAAGATTAAATTGGGTCAACCTTAATAGAAATGTGTTATATTCTGGTCTTATGTGAAGTACCATAGGCATTTTGAGGCCTCTGCGGTGCCTCTTCTTATGTGGTCCCTCAAGGGTTTTACTGGCAACAAGGACGAGTTTGCTTGAATAGAGAGCAAATCTATCTCCTTTTATTGTTTTGTATTATATTTATCATCATCTTATCTTCACTGTGTGCCAAACAGTTTTCCATGGAATGATTTATTCTAATAATTAAAGGAAGGCAATATTCTTTTGGTGGATGACTGTTTTGTCTGAGTTATAAAATATAATTTGCCTTTTTCTTTGTACCATTGTTCCAGAAAAGATTCATCTTTAATTAGTTTGAGGTGTACTGTGGCTTACCTTTGTCTCCAAGTAAAAGATTTTTCTTTCTCAAAAACAGATGAATTCTAAGTTGACAAGGTAAAAAATCTGCAGCAAGATTAAAAATGCTAAGATTTCCCATTAAGAAGTTGCTTCTAAGTTGCTACAATTGAGCATTAGGTATTGAACACCTATTAAAGAAATACTTGTTTGCATTATGTTAGATGTAAATTAGGTGACTCATTTTCTTCATCTCTTTCTGTACATTTATTTTTAAACCTATTCTGAAGCAGGAACTAGGACCAAATGAAACTAAAGCATCTTTTCGGTTTGATTGGCCTCATATTCTTCAAAGAGCTGAGTATGACCCAGAGCCTGTCGCCTTTTATTAGTAATTAAAGTGAGACACCAAAAGATTTTATAAGCTCATAATAGCAGATTAAATATCAAGACTATAGCCCACTGAACAACACTGCTATGTTTAAACTGATCCTGTTGAATATTGCCCTCAGACCATTTTAATACTTAATATTATAGGATGGCCACAGAAAAGTAGAGTAATGAAAAACAAGCATTATGTTTTGTTGCTTTCACTTTTGTTGGGAAGGGGTTTTCGCTTTGAATGGAAAAGAACCTGAGATAAATAATGGCCTTATAGCATCTATTGCTTTTGTTGCATTGACAAATGCTCCTGTAGAATGGTGGTGGCCATTCCTTTCTACTGAAAAAATCTACTTTGTTTTTCTCTTAACTAAAGCAATTCATGAACATTACATGAATTTAGGAGGCGCAGATAAATAACATGAAGAAAATTAGAAACCATGCTCAATCTCACAACTTAAAAACATCACCATCGTTAACATTTTGGTGCACATCCTTTTAGATATGTCACCCATGCATGTTTATGCACACATTTAAAAATAGTGCAAATCTTACTGTAACCTTTAAAGTTTCTATTTACATAAGAATGTATGTTGGATACATTTCAGTGTCATTAAATAGTCTTTCATAACGCTCTTTGTCTTGGCCGTGCCATTATTTATTTAATCAGTCCCCTAGTGTTGAGCATTAAGGTTGTTTCCAGTCTTTTCAAGATTATAAATATGGTTGGCATAAGTGTTCCATGTAGCCAAATATTTGCCCACATGCCTGATTATTTCCTTAGAGCATATTTCTAGAAGTGGAATTGCTGAGTCAAACATGTAATGAATTTTAGACTTTTTAGTATCTTTTTCTTTAGAAATATTATATTATTCACATACTAATTTGTTTGTAGCTTATCAGTTTGGTATTTTCAAACCTCATAGTTACTTCTTTTGTAAAATTTAAACATAGTAACTGTGTGGTGCTCCAAACTGGTAATAATAGGGTCCAAAGGAATTGGCTAAATTCTACAATGCCGTGACTCAGTTGTATTAATTTGGCATAATTCTTTTCCTGCCTGCTTTTAGCTAGCTGTATTTGGATCCATCATATGTTTTACTATTCTTCCACAAAAAGTTTCTAAGAAATTGAAAAAGAGAGCCCAAAAGTTGCAGTCTTACATGGAGTATTAACCTTCAATCCAAATTCAGCCAAATGTCATCCATTAATCATAGGCCAATGTAAAAAGGAAGAATCATAATAATATTAACCAGTAAAAGGTTCAAGGATAACTCTGAAGCAGAACATGTAACCCATTCACCCAGGAGGGTATAATACAAATTAATGTGCTCACTACTGACAAACTTTCCCAAGCTCATCCAGGTTTTCTGCTCAGATGACATCTGTAGGAAAAATGCCTAGACATAATTTCATCCTTTAATCTTGCCTTTTCCAAACTGTTATTTTTTTCCTTTGCAAAATTTAATATGGAGTGCGGTAGATATTATGTATTTTTTACACTTTTAGATTTCAAATTGTAAAAAAATTATAATACATTTTGATATTCTCAATTATGTCTATAAACCTCTTTATAAGGTATAAAATCTATTTGTGAGACATGTACCAGCAGAGAAAAACAATTAAAATGTCAACCTCTCAATCAAATCTTTCTCCGCTTCCACCACTAAAAAAGTTTCTAGCCTCAAAAAGGAACTTGATTCTCGGCAATTTCGGCCTAAAATGCTTCTTCAGCTTTTCTTAGACTTTGGCCATCTCAAAACGCAAGTGAAGACAAAATTGGCCCGTAAGATTAATCTTTGGCGAATGAACTTATATCTTAAAAACTAAGCTGTTTCACTTCCTCATGAAAAAGCAAATTTCTTGAAGATAGGTTTCCATTTCATGTTTGTAATCCTGAAGTGCCTAATCTTTGATACATATTTGGGTGGAATGAATGAAAATATCCTACCTCCCCACAAAAGCAAGATATTTTTATTACTGGCTACATATTGTAGTGGAGAGATTGCCTAAGATAGGAAAGGGTCAAAATGTCCAGTTTCTCCTTCCTGTGGTACAAGCTACTAGTCATTAGTCAAGTTACTAAATCTCGCTGAATTTTAGTATTTATAGTTATAAAATGATGAAACAAATAAATTTTCTCCTTAGAGAACAGGTGCTTTGAGATCAAGAACAATGAAATAATAAAATATTGCATAGCCTGGTCAGTACATTACAAATGGAAATTATTATTATTTTGAAGATGTGTTACTGTTTTCTCTATTAAGATTCTTATTTTCCTGTGTTTGGGCTGGAATGATAACCTGTCAACCTTCTTAGTAGATAGTATTTAATTTTATTTTAAATTTAATATCTAAGGATTTTTTTTAAATAGAAGTGGCAATTATATGTGCACACAATTTTAAAACTGCATTTAATTATTTTTCTTTCTTTTGCTTCCCTCTTTTTTTAATGGAAGGGTAATATACTTGCAGAAAAGTGCCCAAATCATTGGTGAAGAAGCTCATATAAACAGCAACTTGATCAAGAGGTCAGCATGTCAGAGATTCCCTCACGCCCTTTCTAATCACTACCCAACTCCCTCCACCTGAGAGGGGACCAGGGTCCGGGCTTCCAATACTATCACTTAGTTTTCCAAAATATCATGTCAAAATGGAGTGGAATCAGGGCATCTGCTAAGATGTGTGACAGCAAATTCGCCTCTGGGCAATTCGTCTCTGGGTTTTAATTGTGTACTTTAAAACTAAGGAGGCTAAACCTTTAAGTTTCTTTTCCATCTCAGCATTTAATGATTCTGCTAAAAGACAATCTGTGTGTTTAAGTTAGCACTATTTTTATACAACATCTACTGTGGTTTTTCATCTCAGGTGGAAGTTCACAGGAGGCATGTGCTAAATGAAAGGTGGCCAGTTAACTGTATCCTCTACCATGAATAAAACCAAACTCCTAATCCAACATGGGCCCAAGAGGAGTAGGTGAATGAGGACTGATGAACTGAGGGAACTGAGGGCATTCCACCTCTCCCACAGTCCTGGAAACATTGCCTCAAAGCACTCTCTTCTGCTTGGTGCCTTGGGCAACAGCACTGTACACAAAGAGCAGAAAATCCCCTGTAATTTGATCATTTTAGATGTAGCATTCAATTGTGGGATGAATATAAACTTCTGCCATTTAGCAATTAAAATACTGTTTGGGTAGCAATGTAGACTACATAAGTAATTAAGATCTCCTTTTTGTCTTACTGGTATCTAGAAGGAACCCATCATTCTATGACTTCTGTCCTCAGAAGCTGAGTGAGATGAGGAAGAACAAATTAGGATAACTTCCTCCAAAAGTCAAAACAATAAGCCCTGCTGCCTTCCTCCAGTCTGTGGCACATGCTGTGCCATGGTTTGAGTTTTCTGTAGTTGTAGGAGTCTTTTTATCATGAGGAATGTATTTAAATGGTTTTACTCTATAATCTCTCCTGAACGATTTCTTCACATGGAAGGATTCATTTTTAAGGTGACCAAAGAGATAAGTGAGTGAGAACCTACTTTCCAATATGCCCAGGACCCCGAGACACTAAGTCCCCAAGGGAAACTACACAAATCTCCAGGACTCGAGGGGACATATTACTCCAATACTTCCTGTTCCGGGCCTGAACCAGGACACGAGTCTTGACCCCTGTCCCAAAGTAATCTCTTCCCCAAGATGTTCATGTGGAGAAGTAGAACTCAAGTCTCTTTTCCTTGGGAAACACTGCATAGAACCGCATGGCCCACGGAAACAACAAAAACTTGATTGCTCCCAGTCGTGGTGCCTCAAAGTCTGTTTTCAGTTCCTGGTCATGGCTGCCCAGGTTGGGGGCATGGTGAACCACAGGTTCACACGATATTATGTGCCACAGCTTGATCCAACGTTAGGAAGGGCAAGAGACACACACATATCCTCCTCTGGTCAGTTATGGAAGGTGTCTTTCCACTCCTGCAGGGGAATCCGTATTCAACTGAGAATGAGCAGTTGTCTCCCCTGTAGCCTTGTTGGTTGAGGAGAATGCTTTCTGCTTACCTTTGTGAAAATTGCTTAAATACAATTACACTCCCAACCAGCATTTCCCCTGTCTCTTCCAATGTCCAACAAGAAACCCAACCCCCAAATCTAAACACCAGACAAGTAGCTAGAAAAATGAAAATAAATGTTCAAATCCAAAAGCTGTGTGCTTCTGTGATTGAAAATCTTTTTCTTAGCGAGTGGGAGTTGCTTTCATCATTGCTGGTCATATGTTTTTGTTTTTCATTTTCTGGTGGAGAAGTTTTCTAGGGTATTTTTCAAACTTTCCAGCTTAGCAAAGCGTTGGCTAAAATTGAAAAGAGAACTAGGCGTCAAGTCGGAGGCAGCATTAGGTTTGTTCTTGTGGGGGGGGCAGGTTGCTGACACAGCGAAAATAAGACAAAACATTTGAAACTTCTGGCTTTGTACTTCTCAAATGCCTCTTTTAGAAATCGCTTAAGTCGTTATTAACATCCACCACCCACCTTCCCTTTTTGGTCCTGACATTGGGTAATAATAGATAATGTTGACATATGTTCCCTGCTGGTCAGAAATACTATACTTCTGTGAAAGGTAACATTTTCAAGCTATGACAAAATGTATTTTACTTGGACAGAACATTAGTTATTGGACTAATCTCAGAATGTGGGCTGTGGGGTAAAAGTTTTAACATTTTAGTTGTGGGAGAAAGTTTGTTGAGAGAGTAAAAGCATCAGTATGGGGTTTGTTTAGCTTTCACCATTTCCAAAGGTATTGGCTTGCTGTCAAACTCTCATGTCCTTAGGAATGTAAAGGAAACATTCTCAGTATGTATGAAGAACAGCTGTCCATGGACGCAGCAACTTTCAAAAATGATTACACCCAACTTTCCTGCAGTATGGATTATGGAATCAAAAAATATTTTTTCACTGTGTACCAAAGAATTCCGTTTTACAGGCCAGTTTTGAAGCTTTTAACTGCATGAGACATATGCTGCAGTTCTGTTGTTTGTTCTCCATGTGATGTACTATGAAATGTGTTTTTTAAAAAGGGGGAGAAAAAGAGGAGAAAGGGAGAGAGTGAGAGAGAGGAAAGTGTGCAAATTCTTCTGATCAAATGTGGTCTTCAAAACTACTTTTGAAACTAATTTAGGGGATGAGTTAGGAAATGCCCCAGCTGGCTTCCATGCTACCGAAGTCTGAACAGCCCTTTGCAAAGCTGGAAAAATTGATTTTGTTTTGAAGGCTCACACAGACTTTAGTGTTGTGGAAGTTGGACAGAGTTTTTATTGAATCTGGTCCTTTGTGTTTTATGACAGTCTGAATGGGTATTAAGATTCCACGAATAAATCCCCTGCCATTTCTGAGATTTCTGATATAAACATGAGCTCCGTCAATTTGTTCTCTGTACAAATGTCTTTCAGAATGTTAACAAACATGGTGCATTGATGAATGGGCTGGCCTATGGAGTGCAGTCTGCTTTACTTGGTAGGGCATGTTGCTATGATTTTTCTTTTGTTTCTCAATGCTATGGCCACCCAGAAATGGGGGCTGTTGAGGGGTGGTGAACTTCAAGACTTGAGGACAGGGGAGAGTTAGCTCAAGGCTGGTTGGAGAAGTGGTGTTAATGGCCTTCAATTGAAAGTCTGGCCAGACACCACATCAAGGGGATTGTGGATTGGCCCTCAGGAAATGTATTAAGTCTTTTCTTAAGTGCCTCAGGTGAATTACTTAGAGGAACACAGGTAGCAAAGAAGAGAATATATTTTTAAGATATAATCTTTCTATATTCTGCATAAGTTTGTATTTTTTCAGTGTACTTTAAACTCAAATGTCAAATTGATAATACCCTAAAATTAGTTTCCAACTAAATACTATAATTTAAAGCAAGCAAGCCAAAAAAATTAAGTCTCAGTTTTTATGATAAAAATTAGGTCATGTATAATATAAACACTTTTGAAGGAGAATTATGATAGAGTTTCAGGAAATGTTATGTTCCACAATTAATGGTAGTAAAAAGTTGTATATTGTATAATTTGAAGTTCTGTAATGTGTAACTATCATTTTAGGTATAATTCTGAACTTAGCATTGGGTTTTCATTTTGAAGCACAAGCCCAAATCTTAGTGGCCTAATCTTATTCTTCAGATATTTAATGCCCAGACGGGAGCTGTAATGGCTCCTAAGAATTTCTTATGTGGTTAAACTGCCCAGCAGTGTCCAGCTCTTTACTTAGCTTTTACATAATTGCCTTCTAGGGTGGTTATCTGGTATATGGAGCCGTTCCCTAGCCATATTCTCCTCTACACATTGCCCTTCCTGGGGACTTAGTACAGAACCTGGGTAATCAGTTTGGGGTTCAATTCACATTCATGATGCAATCGATGCATTAATGGGGATGTTTCATGGGAGATTTTAATACACTCTGTTATTGGCGTTATAAATTGGGCCAGTTAACTTGATGTACTTCTCTTTGTGGTCCAAATTCTGCCCTCTGTTTCTTACTTGAAATTCCCATTGAAGTAGTAATTACCAAGTGGAAGAATACTAAAAATGTTCAGCCAAATTCTGTTCTATGTTGCTATCATGTAACTCCCGATGAAGTTAATTACGACTTAGTCAGAACTAGTGCTACATCTTAAGGGCTTTGGAACTCTGTGATCTGCCATCCAAGACACCAGGCCAGCAGCCTGCCTTTAAATATCTCATTTTAAGAGGTAAATTGACCCTGTTGAAGGTAAGAAATGGCTATTGCCAGTAACTATATGTGTAATGGGGCTTAAATAGTAGAACTTAACATATTTGAACCTCAGGAAGTTTGATCTTTTTGTAGTTTTCCTCTTTGGGGAAGCCTGTTTCACAGAAGCTTTAATTCTCTTTAGTGCACTGAGTCTATTGATATGAGTTACCTCCTGTCCCATTCTCCCAAGCATCCCTTAACTGTAACAGTATATAATTTTTATTTCCATTAATTATATAACATTTGCTTAAGTCATCACTACTTAGCTATTATTTCCTGGAGCTAAACCATTATCTTCCTTAAATACAGATGTTTATATTATGCATAATATAATTTCTTTCATAAGAATTCATTATAACTTTTCAAAATACTTTGGCTCTCATTTAGCCTATGTCTCAGTTTAGCTTTTTTTTTTTTTTTAATGGAAAAAAGGGCCCCATGACCTATTGGATAACGATACAATATGTGCCATACTTGTAGGATTTTGTCATTGTGCAAATAGGGTTTCAGGGGAAAGGGCAGAACATTACCCATGGTTTGGTGTGAGTGCAGCTCACAATTAGGACCATCTGCTGAGTGGTCCCAGAGTAAGACTTTTTTGGAAGTTGGCATGTGGGGCTGCCCAGCCTCTGGGATCCTCTGGTTAAAAAAAATTCTGAGGACACTGGTGGCCCAGAGACTATCTTGATGTATGTATTGGGAACCCAGCAGTTCAGAGATGGTGAAGGATAGTGACTCTTGAGGGAGTTCAAAGTCAGGAGAGATTGGATTCACTTTAAAAGGCTTTCTAGGTCAGTGCCATAAAACAATCAACTCATCGTTGGAGTAGACTGGGTTTGGCAAGGACTGATTTTACTGCCTTGGGGGTTGCCCAAGAGTTCAAAGCTACTTTCCTGTATGCTGCTAACAAAGCTACTGGGGGCGAAAGAGGCTCTGAAAATTCAGTTTCAAAATCAGAAGGATCTCAGGGCTAGGAGGAACTTCTTTTCTTCTCCCTTCTTTCTCTCCTTTCTTTCCTACTATCCTCTCTTGCTCCCTCTTTCCCCTTTTCCTTCTCTACATAAGGATTTATTGACCTCCTAGTATTTTCCAGGCATTGTAATGGCCACCAGGTATAAAAAAGGAAAGACATAGTTCCTGTGCAGGAGGAATTCACATTCTAGTTGAGGTGATTCTCAAGAAAAGCAGCAGTTATAGAGGTGATCTTGCATATGGGAGCACTAAGGAGGGGAGCCAGAGTGTGCAAGATTTTTCAGGCCTTGCCCACTGAAAAGATTATGTTGTTTTCCTTTGTAATTAAACATAAAAACAATGTTAAATCCTAAAGTCAGTGCAATGAAGACCAACAAAGTTTTGGTTTTGCCCCAGATATTTTGTTGTTTTCAAATGTTTTCTTGTTTTCAAAAAAATCTTTTTAGATAAAATGATTTTTTGCATTTGTTTTTGTGTTTTTGAGATGAAGTCTCACACTGTTGCCCAGGATGGAGTGCAATGGCACGATCTTGGCTCACGGCAACCCGTGCCTCCTAAGGCGATTTCTAGTGATTCCCTTGTCTCAGCCTCCGGAGTAGCTGGGATTACAGGTACCTGCCACCACACCTGGCTAATTTTTTTTATTTTTAGTAGAGACAGGGTTTTACCATGTTGGCCAGGCTGGAACTCCTGACCTCAAGTGATCCACCCACCTCGGCTTCCCAAAGTGCTGGGATTATAGGCATGAGCCACTGCACCCAGACCAATGAAATGATTTCAAATTAATTTTTTTCTCAGCTTTTTGATCATTTAGCACTGAAGACCTATTTGATCATCTAGCGTTGAAGACCCCTGATCCACGTTGGGCTTTCGGAGAAGACTTCTAAGAGGCAATGATAGAGTTGAAACTTGCAAAACTTGAGTTATATAGGTCATGATGGAGTTGGTAAAGTGTCCTGGCTGGAGTGGTGGGGAGGGGAGGATTTTGTGGGTGGCGTATGCCATAGGGCAGGTAAAGTTCTCTGTGCAAATGCATTGAGAAAAAAAAAAACTAGTGCCCATGGTTTGGTGTGGTTGTAATATAGAATTGGAATTTATGGAAATTAGGACTTGTTATGACATGTTGAAAGCTTTGGATGCTATCTGCAACAAATGAGAAAACACTGAGAATTTTGAGTAAGATAACAATATTTTAGAATAATAATTCACCTAACAGGGTAGAGAAGAGACTTGGGGATGGAGTTGAGGCTGGTGGTGGCTAGTCCAATTGGGAGGCTATTGTAGCATTCCCAGCAAATAGTGGGAGAGCCTCAACAGGGCATGTGAAATTTAAATGTTGGGGATGAGAGAGGGGAAGGCTCTGAGAATGGCATTTATGTTTCTGACTTTTTGGCTCGGTGGTGAGTGATTTCATTCACTGAAATTTGAAAATTAGGCAAAGAAACATGTCTAGAAGGGACATGGTATATTCTGTGTTTCACATCGTGGATTTGATGTGTTTCTGAGACTTCAAGTGGTGAGCTCTGTTGGCTTAGCCTAAGAGAAACACTGTATGTACATCTTGGAGCCAGGAAGTTGAGGCTGAAGGGGGTTGTGAGGGCTCCTTCTGTGCCATAATAATATATTGGAATTTATTTTTGTCCTCTATTTCATTTATTCATGCCTGACTCAATTTGCTCAGTATTTGCAAATTGTTGCTGATGTATGTGCTTGTGTGTTAGCTAGTGTGAATCACTGTTGACTATGGAATACTCTTTATCAGCCACTAACATTGAGTCTTACATTGAGCCAATCAAATCTTTTAATTTTCTGTGGCAATAATTCACCGTGATCCAAGTCCTCTGCTGTCAGGTGAATACAGAGAAATTCTGCTTTGCCTCTCACCTATGACCTGCTAGGGTAGCAGGGGCTAGAGGTCGGTCAGTTGTGGAAATTGAACCAGGAGCAAATGATAATTTTCTAGGCCAATGCAGGCTCAGCTCTGTGAAATCTCCAGACACTGAACATTTCACTGAAATCAGAAATAGGAGCTTGAGGATATAATATAATGGTGAACTAACCTGTTCTTAAACAACAGGTGCTTAGCTGTGGTCCGTGATCTGCCAGAGCTGGATTGCCTGGTAGGGAATGTTTAAGAACACAGGATCAGCCCTTGGGATCAGTCCACGTTGGAGTCCCAGCTCTAACATTCAGCAGCTGTTAAAAACAAAACAAAACAAACAAACAAAAACTTCCTGCAATGAAATTTCCTTATATGCAAACAGGGATGATAATAATATTCACCTTACAGGGTTGTGGCTTGGATGAAATAAGATGGAGCATGATATAGTGCTTAACAAATGGCTTGGCACTTTGCAGTATGCCATAAAATTAGCTAGCATAAGTTTTATGAATGAATTTCAGGGAGTTTGTGAACACCTGAGTTGTATATATTATTTTGTAAGAATGTGTGGAAGTACATATTATTTTTTCTCTGTGAGAGAATATGGCATATGGCTTTCATTGGAGTCTCAAAGTAGTCTGTAACTTAAAAACAACAACGATAACAAGAATCCCCCACACAAACAACAAAACCAAAAACAAAGTAAAGGTTAATAAGAAAGGCCATCATAGACAAAGTGGTTAAACAGTTGCTTTCTTTTTAATAGACTTAAGATTTTTTTACCATTTTCGGTTTACAGCCAAATTGAAAGGAAAGTATAGAGTTCCCACACACCTTCTGCCCCAAACACTCAGAGCCCTCCCCACTACCTTCATCTCACCCCAGAGTGATACATTTATTATAATCCATGAACCTACATTGACACACCATTATCAGCCAAATTCCAGAGTTTACATTAGGGCTCACTCTTGGAGTAGTACATTCTATGGGCTTGGCAAATGTATAATGATATGTATTCACCTTTGTAGTATCATACAGAATAGTTTCACTGCCTAAAATATTCTCTGTGCTCCTCCTATTCATCCCACCTTCCCCCTTAACTTCTGGCAACAACTGATCTTTCTACTATCTCCAAATATTGGCATTTGCCTTTTCCAGAATGTCATGTAACTGGAATCATACAGTACATAGCCTTTTCATATTGGTTTCTTTCACTTAGTATTATGTATTTAAATTTCCTCCATGGCTTTTCATGGCTTGCTAGCTTATTTCTTTTTAGTGCTGTATAATATTCCATTGTCTGGATGTACCATAGTTTATTCATTCACCTACTTAATGACATCTTGGTTGCTTTTCCAAGTTGTGGCAATTGTGCATAAATGTGCTATAAACATTTTTTTTTTTTGAGACAGGGTTTTACCTGTTGCCCAGGCTGGAGTGCAGTGGCATGGTCACAGCTCACTGCAGCCTTGACGTCCCTGGGCTCAGGTGATCCTCTCCCACCTCAGCCTCCTGAGTAGCTGGGACCACAGGTGTGAGCCACCATGCCTAGCTAATTTTTGTATTTTTTTTTTGTAGAGATGGGGTTTCAACAATTTTTGTATTTTTTGTAGAGATGGGGTTTTGGCATGTTTCCCAGGTTGGTCTCAAACTCTTGGACTCAAGCAATCCACCTTCATTGGCCTCCCAAAGTTCTGGGATTACAGGTGTGAGCTACTGCATCTGGCCTAACATCTTTATGCAGGATTTTGCATGGACATAAGTTTTCAACTCATTTGGGTAAACACCAAGGAGCATGATCAATGTTTTTCTCCCTGTATTTTATAACTCTTTCCAATTATCCTTTCTTCTGCAAACATTCCTCATACCATCTGTCCTGCCTGAATAAGTTTACTTTATGCTATCATCCACCACCAATCTTGCCTGGATAAATTTATGTTAACATCGTTTCATCTTCTCCTTCCTCAACCAGGCGACAGGATCATCCCATTATCCACAGCAGCCTACAGTCTCTACTGGCATCCAATCTCCCTAAGAAAGACTCCACACTGAATACTTTTCATCCTTTATTCTCTACCCAACTCACTTTCTGCCCTAGGTCCTATTCTCTGTAGGCCCAGATTTTTGTTAGGAAATGGAGAAATAAATTCTTCCTACTGAGTTGATGACTGATATTGTTATACCTCCAAGTTACGATATTTACATTTTGACAGGTCAGAACTTTTCAAGGCAATGCTTTAGATGGGGTGGGAAGGTTGGAGTGGAGATTCAGGCCACCTGGCCAACTAATAACGGAGATATTTTTGGGTCTGGAGGCCTTTATATACTGCTGAAATCCCACTTTATGATTGACTGTTTCCTCTAACTTGAATAAGAACTACACCTGTGAATTTTCATCCTCCTACAGCAGCTAAGACTTTAGTAAGCCCCAGGAAAGTCATAAATTTGCTTTACCTCAGTTATTCTTTCGGCAAAATGGGAATGGCATTAGACTTTTGTTGAAGGCACCTGGAAGATGAAAACTGCCAAGTGTTGTGACTTTTGGTATGAGACTTAAAATACAAAATATCATTGCATAATGATAAAACAGATTTTTCAAGAAATCCCTTTGGGAAGTTTATACTTCATTTATACAGTGAAAGTAATATTTATCTTGCCCTTTAATGTTATTTTGTAAAATCTACCTAAAAATAACACAAACAGCAAATATTTCTTCTTTAAGAGGCACTTTTTAAAGGGAGTGAAAACATAGTTGTAACGTTACTTTTTGTGTGGCATGTGAAAAGAAAATCCTGAAAACACATGTTTATTTTTTTCAGTTCCTGACCACTGTGTTTGGAAAAACTGCCAAGTGTGACTTAAAACTAGCAAATACAGTAACTTGCTTTGAAATTTGGACCCATAACGTCTTGGGCTGTTTTTTTGTAGAAAATGAATTGTTATGTTAACTTTGACTTCTTCTGATCACTTTGCTTCCCTGAAATCAGTTGCATGCAGATTAACAACGGATTCCAATGAATGAATACACTAAATGTAACTGACAGTCCTTAATATACAAATACTGAAAGTGGGACATTATCAGTTCTCCAAAGAAGTACTCTTTATGCTTTTATACAAGTGCTTAAGAACAGACTTTGAAAAAGGACGTTGAAAACTTGCCAGAACTTCTTTGTATTTTGAAAGCCCACATCAAGAAGGGGTAGTAAATAGTCGTTGAGTATAGGAAAAAGGAAACTATTAGCATTGTTTTCTTTTAAAGATAAAAAGAGAGTCCCAAGGAAAAGCTTTATAATCTTTGAAATATTTATATGTTGTTTAATCAGTTTAAACAAATGACAACTTAAAATTTATGCTTTTGTATAGCTAGACAAAATAACTAATTACCTGCTAATTAAAAAAAAAAGGGTAACTGACTGTTTTATTGAGGGCATATTTCAGGACAACCATTTCTAATTTACGTCATTTGGCAAATTGCAGGCAGAGTGGGATAGACATTAGTTTTGAATTTTCGAAGTTAAGAAAGAATATATATATATTATATATAGTCTAAATACATCTGTTTGTTTTTCAAAATACAGTAGCCAGTCTGAACTTTTCCTTCTCAGCTCCTTATTTTTATCTCATAGAAACTGGCCTGTTAAGTATTAACATATTAAAAGGTTTTCATCTTATTTCCAGACAGACATCACTGCTGCACATTTTTGACCAGCATGATAATATAAAAATATTTGTAAAATTCTCTGTGATACAGTAATGGCAGTCAATATGCTGAATTTCTAAAACTCAAGGGGTTGCTGATATATAGGCTTTCTCTATGTAACAAGAATGAACTTTAAAAAAATTTATTTTTATTTTAAGTTCTGGGGTACATGTGCAGGATGTGCAGGTTTGTTACATAGGTAAATGTGTGTCATGGTGGTTTGCTGCACCTATTAATCCATCACCTACGTATTAAGCTTAGCAGGCATTAGCTATTTTTTAAATGCTCTCCCTCCCCCCACCACACCCCCTGACAGATTCCAGTGTGTGTTGTTCCCCCCGCGGTGTCCGTGTGTTCTCGTTGTTCAGTTCCCACTTATAAGTGAGACTATACGGTGTTTGGTTTTCTGTTCCTGTGTTAGTTTGCTGAGAATACTGGCTTCCAGGTCCATCCATGCCCCTGCAAAGGACTCAATCTCGTTCCTTTTCATGGCTGCATAGTATTCCATGGTGTATAAGTACCACATTTTCTTTATCCAGTCTATCATTGATGGGCATTTAGGTTGATTCCATGTCTTTGCTATTGTGAATAGTGCTACAAATAATTCTTCATAGTTTACTAAGGACTTTGATGTGTATTACCTCATTGGAGTTTAACAAGAGCCCATATAGTAGATGTTATTATTCCCTTTTTACAGATGAGGAAAGGAAATAAAGAAATTAAGGGAGTAGGTAGAGATTAATTCTCTCTCTCTCCAAGTTCCTGCTGCCTTTAACAAGCAAAACCAAAAACAAACACACAAAAAACAAGCAAATAAACTATATTTTTATTGTTTATTTATTTTAATAGCTTTTGGGAGAACAGGTGGTTTTTGGTTACATGGATAAGTTCTTTAGTGGTCATTTCTGACATTTTAGTGCACTCGTCACTGAGCATTGTACACTGTACCCAATATGTAGTCTTTTATCCGTCACCCCCTTCCCACGTATCCTCCATGAGTCCCTGAAGTCCATTGTATCATTCCTATGCCTTTGTGTCCTCATAGCTTAGCTTCCACTTCTAAGTGAGAATATATATTTTGTTTCCCATTCCTGAGTTACTTCACTTAGAATAATGGCCTTCAACTCCATCCAAGTTGCTGCAAAAGACATTATTTCATTTCTACTTATGGCTGAGTAGTATTCCATGGTGTATGTATACCACATTTTCTTTGTCCACTTATTGGTTGATGGGTACTTAGGTTGGTTCCATATCTTTACAGTTGCTAATTGTGCTGCCATAAACATGCATGTTCACGTGTCTTTTTCGTATAATGACTTCTTTTCCTTTGGGTAGATACCTAGTAGTGGCATTGCTGGATCGAATGGTAGTTCTACTTTTAGTTCTTTCAGAAATCTCCATACTGCAAACTCATATTTTAAATCACCACTTCTGTTCTTTCTTGGGAGATTTCAGAATGAGGAGACTGCCCTGTCTCTTCATATTACTGGCGCCTAATAATGGAAGGAACAGGCATTTGTCTGACTGCTAATATGGCAACTCTGATACCCATTGGTCCACATATCTGTGGTGGGGTTGATGTGTTTAAGTTTATTTGACATGTGTTCTTGAAACTGTAAAATGCTTATGGATCACCTAGGGATCTTATGAAAATGCAGATTGTGATTCAGTAGGTTTGGAATGGGGCCTGAGTTTGCAATTCTAAGAATCTCCCAGGTGCTGATGGTCTCGGTCCAAGGATGACACTTTGAGTAATGAAGTCCTAGTATGTCTTGCATCCTTTTCATAGAGCTGCCCCCTTCATGCAATGTTCTACCTATTTCATCCCTGTATAAAAGGTCTGTGATTTTCTAGGTCCTCTCCCTGTGATGCATTAGGGAGTTGGTTTCAGGGGTGGGTAGTAAGAAAGAGGTAGAGTTCCCATTTTGCCTGGGATGGATGCAGCCTTTAGAGAAAGAAGGCAAACAAATGTATTAGTGCTTCTTTTGATGTCTGATCCCATTTCTCAGTTGGTTCAGAACCGGGAGGGAAGAGGATTGGGTTATAGTCAGACCAGCAGTGTATTTCTCAAGAATCTGATTTTCTGCCCTTGTGGAGTTTACCTTCTAAAAGAGAGACACAAATAGTAAACAAATAAATAAAATATATGATACATTAGATGGGGGGTTTGATTTTTTTTAGGGTGCATAAGGAAAACCTCACTGAGCAAGGGATAACTGAAGAATATGTAAGATAATATGATCGAAAGAGGCTAGTGCCTGATGAAGGGCAGGTGCTGAAAATATAAGTAGTTTTCCTTCCCTCTGCACACCTGAAGGTGTGGCCTGTTTGGTTTTTTTTTTTAAATGTTCAGGTCAGGGAAGAGAGTTTCCCTATTTGTGGGAGCTTTTGTGTGCTGTGTCTCCTAGGTTGTATCTTGGGAGTTCAATGGCAGTTGGGAAAAATCCTGCACTGAGACCTTATCAGGTCCCCTGCCCTTTTAGTTCCTATAGGACACAAGAGTTTCCATATGAGTCTGTCATCAGTGTCACCCAGAAGGAAATTCACCCATTCTGTCAAATAATTAAAAGGAAAATACATGAGGGTATATTGTTAAACAGGTCAGGAAAAAGGCTTCCAGCTCCTTCATTGATAGACATTCTCCTGGACTCCTCGTGTTCTCCAAGTTGAGAGAATGGGTTCTAGAGATTCGTGGATGAGTAATTTGATGGAGTGCATAGCACAGGACGCAGCACATGAAAGGTTCTTAGTAATTATTTTTGAATAAATAGAAGGGTGGATAATTGAATACCAAATAGGCATTCTCTAATGAGCTAGACACTTAAACTTCCTCTCTCATCCTGGGCTAGTCTGTCTAAGGATGTTGTTTAGGAAAATATAGTGCTGGTGCTGCAGGGAAATAGGTTTCCGATTTAAATGAGTGATGTGCAGTTGTTACGATCATCACTGTCAGTATCAGTTTATTAGTGTGTATACCTTAGTCTTAAGTGCAGAGCCTCTTCTCATTTTCTGTAATTGTACACTAGATTAGGCTTCTCACACTTACATGGGAGTTTCACAGAGTCATCAACTAGTCACCAAAGAACTAATTCTGAAAACCGCTGTAATAGCTATTTGTTTTAGGATTGACTCTGCTATTTGAATGTCTTTCACTTTGCTTTCATTATAAATGTATTACACATATTTTTAGGTCAACACTAATCATGTATAACTAACTGAGCTAATTTGGCACCCTGACATATAATGTTCTAAAATGGATGCATTCTGAATTTCTTCTTCCCAGATTTGAAATGTTTTGAACTGAATTTGAACTGAAATTCTATTGACTTTCTCTTTGATTTCTTCACCTATAAACTGGGCATAGTGTTTTATTCTTACAGAGGAGGCTGCAACCATCAATTAGGTATTTGTTGTAAGGGGCTTTGATAGCTTGAAAAAATGACCTTTTATAGAAACAGGATACATTGTATTTATCCTTACAGTATTTTCTTGATTCTAATTATAACTCATTTTTTCTTCTCACCATAGGAGGAGAATGGACAAGGGAAAATGTGAGTACAGAAAGTGGCACTGATTTCCACCACAAAAGAGATTCTACAAAGCTATGGAGGATAGTCACATCACAGCATAGGATGACCCTGGGTGGAGCTTGTATTAAATTTAAATGCTGCCTTGAAGTGAGACAGCAGGAACTCCTTCAGAGTCTTTCTAAAACCAGGGGAAAAAATCAACAGTTGATGTATGATTTTATATTTGTAAACAAAAATCCACAAGTTGTCATAATTAGAAGAGGCTTCATAAATCTTTTACTTTAACCTCATCCTTTCACAGATGAGAAAATGGAGTTTTAAAAGTTTATGTAACTTGCCCCGAGCTATTATTCTCCTGATCTCAGTCTAGTTATCTTCACTTTGTGCATGACAGACTTGATAAATGTCATATTCAAAAGGCCTAATAATATTAAGATAAATTCTAGTAAGCCACCTTAAGACTTTGGGATCTATTTTACTGTGGCATGTGACTATGAGTTGTTTGGTCTCAGTTTCTTTCAGCGAATTTCCATCTGTGTTATCAGTGCTTGGGGTCCCTGTATCTCTCTATGTTCTTGGATTTCAGAAATGGACTCTGGCTAACCTAAATACAAATAAACAAAAATAAATACATACATAAATACAGCAAAGATGTTATTGGAAAGACATAATATGGCCCAAAGAAGAAAAGAAGAAGCTAAACAACCATGGCTCAGAAAGCTCCAGGCCAGCATAGCTACAGGAATTCGTGTAGCAGAACCTAGGGGAGAGCCCACTTACAGTCCCAGGGGTGAATGGAATAGCTCAAGCCATTTATCCTGCATCTTGTCATCCCTGAAAAGCTTCATATTTCAGGGCCAGAACATCTGACTAGTCTAGCTAGGGTAACAGGCCTACACCTTGGCCAGGCATAAAGGTGGGTGGATAGGGAGCAAATGGAACATTTTGATGGACAGACTGCCAAGACTAGATGCATAGAGAAATGGTTATTCCCAAAAGGGAGGAAATTGAGTCACATTTACCAAAAAAGGGAAGCATGAATTTAGGGCAGAAACAAGTATATGTCGTGAAACCTTTGCATTACCATAGATACAGAAGAGTTCCATGTGTACATTTTTTACTTCGTAAAATAACTTTAAAAATTCAGATATGGGCATTCAGTCTTAGTTGATACTTTTTACCTTTTCATTTCTCTAAGTCCAGTTATATTTAGATTTTCGTATCCCATTCAGTTCAATTAGAAAAAATACCACAACTATAATAAGGATTTTGTTCAGTTTGGTTACAAGTGTTCATTCATTCATTCACTTGGACAATTCATTTATTCTACTTTTTTTAAAATTTAACTTTTATTTTAAGTTCAGGGGTACATGTGCAGGTTTGCTATATAGGTAAACTCGTATCGTGGGGGTCTGTTGTACAGATTATTTCATCATCCAGATCATAACCCTATTACCCATTAGTTATTTTTCCTGATCCTCTCCCCACTTCTAGTCTCCACTCTCTGGTAGCCCCCAGTGTGTGTTATTCCCCTCTATGTGTCCATATGTTCTCATCATTTAGCTCCTACTTATAAGTGAGAACAGGTGGTATTTAGTTTTCTGTTTCTGCATTAGTTTGCTGAGGATAATTACCTCTAGCTCCATCCATGTTCCTGCAAAGGACATGATCTCATTCTTTTTATGGCTGCATATTATTCCATGGTCTATATGTACCACATTTTCTTTAGCCAGTCTATCACTGACGGGCATTTAGGTTGAATCCATGTCTTTGCTGTTGCGAATAGTGCTACAGTGAACATACAAATGCTGTGTCTTTATGATAGAACAATTTATATTCTTTTGGGTATATTTCCAGTAAGGGGATTGCTGGGTCAAATGGTAATTCTGCCTTTAGGTCATTAAGGAATTGCCACACCGTCTTCCACAATGATTAAACTAATTTACACTCCTACCAACATTGTGTAAGTGTCCCTTTTTGTGTGTAACTTTGCCACCATCTGATTTTTTTTTCTTTCAATAACAGCCATTCTGACTGGTGTGAGATGATATCTCATTGTGGTTTTGATTTGCATTTCTCTAATGATCAGTGATGATGAGCTTTTTTTCATATGCATGTTGGCCACGTGTAGGTCTTCTTTTGAAAAGTGTCTGTTCATGTCATTTGCCCACTTTTTTATGGGGTTGTCTTTTTTTCCCTCATAAATTTGCTTAAGTTTCTGATAGATGCTGGATCTTAGACCTTTGTCAGATGCATACTTTGCAAAAATTTTCTCCCACTCTGCAGGCTGTCTGTTTACTCTTTTGATAGTTTCTTTTGCTGTGCAGAAGCTCTTTAATTTAATTAGATCCCATTTGTCAATTTTTGCTTTTGTTGCAATTGCTTTTTGCATCTTCATCACGAAATCTTTGCCCATTCCTATTTCCAGAAGGGATTGCCTAGGTTTTCTTCCAGGGTTTTTATAGTTTTGGATTTTACATTTAAGTCTTTAATTCATCTTGAGTTAATTTTTGTATGTGGTGTAAGGGAGGGTCCCAGTTTCAATCTTTTGCATATGGCTAGCCAGTTATCCCAGCACCATTTATTGATTATGGAGTGCTTTTCCCATTGCTTGTTTTTGTGAGGTTTGTGGAAGATTAGATAGTTGTAGGTGTGTGGCTTTATTTCTGGGTTCTCTGTTCTGTTTTATTGGTCTATGTGTCTGTTCTTGTACTAGAACCATGCTGTTTTGGTAACTGTAGCCCTGTAAATAGTTTGAAGTCAGATAGTGTGATGCCTCCAGCTTTGTTCTTTTTGCTTAGGATTGCCTTGCCTATTCGAGCTCTTTTTGGTTCCATATGAATTTTAAAATAGTTTTTTCTAGTTCTGTCAACACATATTTAAAATTGACTTTCTCATAGTATAGAGCTCAATTTCTGACACTCAGTTGGCAGAAGGGAGAAGTAGAGATTTTCTTTTTATTAAAATACATATTTACATGACAGAATAAGCCATTGGCTTTTAAACAGTGCTCTAGAGTGGCTGAGAGTTTCCAGTGGTCTTTGTCAGACAGTGGGTAGGGACTTAGTGGCTGGACTTCAGTTTCTCTGTGCTTCTGCCCCTTCTCACCTGCTTTTCCCTATCTCTCACCTCACCTTCTCCAGCTACTTCAGTCAAAAGAGCTTCACTTTCATTTGTGGGGTTTCTCAGCAAGATTCTGTTTTATGAAAAAAGAGTTTGAAAATTGCTGGCCTCAACAACATGTAAATGTTATATTAACTGTTAGCATACCTGTTTGATTTATTACACCAGTATCTTCTTAGTCCTAACACCAGATAACGGAACATGTCTATCAAGGCAATCTCATCTTCTTGATTAAAAAAAAATGTTTGAACCAATCTGGAATAAACAAATAGAGAATGCTCACTGTGGATGAGGCTCTGTATGCTACATTGTTTGAGGGAATAATAAAACAGATAAAATACAGCTCCTTAGCTTCACTTAGTTGGAAAGATAAAACAAACATATACAATAATGAAAAGTCAACAGAAGAACTGTTTCACTAGGCGGTATCCGATAATCGTGAACTAGATCACTGCATGCCAGTCTAGAAGGAGTTAGAGGAGAGAAAGTTCATGTCTGATCCATCCTCTAGAAGGCAGAGAGGGCCTTCTAGCTGATGGCGCATTATGTTTGGGTTTCAAGTTCTATGAGTCTAAGGATTAAAAAAAAGTCAGAAAGTCCTTTTATGTTATGAATTATTTCTGCATCTTTGAATTATCCAAATTCCTAAGTGCCTTTGTAGAACTTTTGGGAAAATACAAAAAGAGTTTTAAAAATAATCTCATATTCTTTTTCCTCCTTTAATCTGATATCACCAGGTCTGAAACGAAAAGCAAAGTCACAGAATTTTATTTTTGTATGTGGAGGGTAAAATGCTTTTATTTGGACTGTTGCACTAAGCAGATGCGCTGTTAAATTAATACATAACAAGTTGCACAGAAAACTGGAGTTTTTGTGTCTACGTGTTTTACTTTGATTTTGGTCCCTGTCATTGCCTGCTAGGTAAAGTTTGATTCTATGTTTTTCATTATGTCTGGTTTGAAGGCCTTAGTTCTATTCTTCCTTCATGTAAAACACTCTTAAAGCCATTTTTCAGTGAAATCCCACCTGGTGAATTGACTCACATCGAAAGGAATTCCAGAAATAAGAATAGACATGCCCTTTCTGTCATTGATGTAATGGTGTTTTTCAGCATCCTTTAATAGTCATGAGTGGTGTTTTGGAAATCCTAGATATCTGACTGCGTTACGGACCGCTACCTTCTAAGGGGGTCTCAGGGGAAAGAACATTATTTTAGGAATATTATTTATTTTTTAACTTGAGAATGTCATTTGTTACCACAATGGTAATTTAAAAAGTTTAAGATTTTTAAAAGTGTTTCTGAGGAATATAACAAAATATATTCAACACGCTCGTTCTAAAACAGATTCCTGAAAGTAGACTGGTATAAGCATTTTGATAACTCTTCAGCTCATCTTTTTACAGTAGCTTAAAATTGAGGGATTATTAAAATAGTTACCATCTAAAGTGGCAGTGTTAACTTGAAGATCTACACTTACAAATCCACCTTGCTTTTATGTAATTTTTTTCTAGAAATTATTTCTTCCTACAAATTGAGCTAAAACTCTTAATTTTGTTTTGTTTCACATTACAGATGATTTGTATAGCTCTCCCTCTCTTCATTTTGCATACTTTGGAATTCTTCCTAGGAACTCTTTTCATCTAGATGTTTCTTCTAGGTAACATGAAACTAAGTATCTTAGATTATAAACTTACCTATGTTCAGCTCAGTTAATTAACTTAGCTTCTTCCTTAGGCAAAAACTGTCCCTTGGCCTAGAAGTTCAGTAAGCTTCACACGTGGTTGCACGTGAATTGGGTTTGTGTAAAACCAGATTGTTTTAGTTAAAGTAGTCAGTGTACTCAGTGTTCTACCTGGATGTTTGGCAGAATTGGCAAGACAGTCCCCAACATTCCATTCAGAGGCGGAGTCTATGAAGCTGTCAGGTTTTGTTTTGTTTTGTTTTGCCTGTTTGCCTTTGCCACAGTTCTAAATTTCTCTTCATTATTAGGAAATCAACTCTAGTCTTCTAGTTTCATATTTTATGCTAGTTTTAGTTTTAAAATTAGTCTTTTTTGGAAAGTTTTTTTTTTCAAGAGAAACAGACATTAATTATAACTATGGTTTCATTACAATTGATTAAAAGGTGAATAATCCCATTTTTGGTCAGTGTCTAAGCTAAAGTGCTCTACGTATTTTATCAGCCATAAAAACTGAAATACTTGCCCTAGAGGCAGGCAGCAAGTATCTGACCGAGAGTTAAAAGATAGTAATCATCTGAGCAGTAATTACCATAAGGAATGTTAAACTACCTGAAAATAGTCCATTGTCTTGATCAAAAACAAATTACAAGCTCGTTCATAATAGGTCATCGTCAGCTGTTTTTAATGGAGCATAGTGTTTAAAAGCAGAAACTCTGGAGGCAGAAAATTCCGGATCAAATCTCTTACTGCCCCTGACTGGCCATGTGATACTGAAATAGATACTTCAGCTTTTAAAAACCCCAGCTTCCTCATCTAAAATGTAATGATACCTACTTCATAGATGGATTAAAGTATTTAGTGTTATACCTGGTTCGAATCAGAGTTCATTAAATGTCAGCTCTTATTATGACTACATTCAGTTTATTTTGCATTATTATATAAACGTATTTCACCATCTAAAAACCTTTTGTTCAAAAATGCTTTGTCTAATGATCACATCAGTTAAGAACATGGTGGCCATTGCCAGCTGAATATTTTGATATATTAGGAGTTACCCATAAAATGGCTTCTAATTCTATAATCAGAAGTAATCACCATTAACATATTTGCAAATTTCATCTTATTTTTTTCTATGAATATATTATGGATTTATTGTTTGAAGAGGGCGGCTTATATTAGTTTTCAGTGTTATGTTGTGAAAATGATTTCTTTAAATGGTCTTCAAAAACACAATTTTAAGTGACTAAATAATGTTCTATTATATAGAATAATAAGAATGTAACTGATTTAAATATTTCCCTATTGTTGGATATTTAAATTGCTTGCAATTTTATTCATTATGAATAACATTGCCATGAACATCCTTCTACATATGTATTTAAAAGTATAATAAATACATTCTAATATATGAATATTTTAAAGGAATTTGACATATCCTAAAGTGCTTTGCTGGAAATTTGTAGCAATTTATCTATTCTTTAGTACTGCCTCATAGATTTGTGAACCCCAAATGAAGACTATCTTTTTTTCTTTTTCATTTTGATTTGTTACTCCTACGTAATAAATGAGTGAATTTTTGCTAATTTTCCCCAGAGTTAATGCACACACAAAATCTGCCCTAGCTTATTTGACATTTAGCTGCATATCTCAAATCACGTGGAAGTTTCAATAGTTATAATTCATTTCTGAAGGAATTTTAAGTGCAACGGAAAAAGGTATCGAGAAGAGAATTATATTACTGAGTCTAAGAGATACAGGGATTTAAAAATGGCTAATCATTACAAAGAACAGAAAGGCTGGGCTACAGTTATTTGTATTTTCTGTCCCATTTTCAAAGGTGAAGGGCAACCAGAACGAGAAAACGGATGATCATTATTGGTCCAACTGCTTTGTCCTTTGTGTGAGGTATATTTTCTTTGCATTGTAATTCAAAACTATCTTTTCAGCCAAAGTATGTTTACTGGATGTCAGATTTAATGGGCATATGGTCAGTGGAGTTTATATGAGAGTGCACATTACACATATAGCCTGTGTGTGGGATTCAATCATTCATTCTTCAAATATTCACTGAGTACCAACTGGGTGCTGGGCCCCACTGTGAGCACGTCCATGAAATAAAAAGAAAAAAACCTTTGTTCCCCTGGAATTTATATTTTGGTGGAAGAAGACAATAATACACAAAATCAATACATTCTATAGTATGTTTGGAAGTAGTAAGTGCCACAGAGTGAACTAAGACAGAGAAGAGCAATAAGAATCTTGGGGTAGGAGTGGGGGTTAACACTCTTGAATGGGTGGTCAGAAAAGGCTTCCCCGACAAGGTGGTTTTTTGAGCTAAACTTGAAGGAGGTGACGAAATGAGCTATGCAGATGCCTGGGGCAAGTGTTTCCACTGTGTTCACTGCTGGGGGTCCAGGCATGTTTGGTTGGCTGGTGTATCGGCCTCACAAAAGCCTTTTTGAAGCAGGTCCAAGAAATCTGAAAGAAAATGGATGCTAAGAGAAGAAATCTTTACATAAAATGAGGTTGATCCATGTGCCACTGAAGAGGTGGATGAGAAATCCTGATGGTGGCTCTTATTTAAATCTGGTTCTGGATATGTCTAGAAATAACTTTGCTGCCCATGCACCATTAGTGCAGAGTGTATCACAATAGAAGAAGACCCATGTGGCGCTTGAACTGTGGATACTGGTGGGGCTTGATGGATCTTGGGGGATAAGGACCACCACCAGTGATGAACTACTTCTCTGCATGAAGAGAGATGGAGCAGCCAAGTGATTATGGTGGCAGGAATCCTGAGCTAAAGATAGCACATAGCAGAGCACAGTAGGTTCCAAAGGAAGGGAGGACATAGGAAATACCCTTTGGGAACTTGCAGAGATGCATGGGTGTGGGGGCTTTATAGGCATAGAGGTTCTGTCAGGGTAATTTGCATACGAAATTTACTTACACCTAGTATGTCTGCAAATGCAAATACATAGATTATTGGATAATGTCTTAGCCTATTTCAATGTTGAACCAACATTTTGATAATAATAATAATAATTTTTTCTTTCTTTAGCCCAAGGATATTGAAGACCAGCTCACCAAGTTGGCAACAGGAAAGATCAACAGTAAAAACCAGTACTAATCTCCATAGCAGAGGAGTGGTGACTAACAGCACAAATCTGTAACTTAGCAAACTCACTTAGAAAAGCTGAATGTGAATGATCACAGCTCTTATACACTGCAGTTTTTACCTAGTTTTTGAAGACCAGTTCATCAAGAGAGACCTAGGTCAGGGGCAAAAGACTTTGTTGCTAACAGGAGCAAACAGCTGGAGCATTAGCATATTTGATGTCCTATCTCCTCACTCTTCCTGGGTCACCAGGTGATACCTGCATATGCAGTAAGCTGTGTTGCAGGATAGAAATCCTGCACTTAGGGGACCTGAAGATTTCATACAGGACAAGAAGCATGCAGGCCCATTGTCTGAGACAGAGACTCTATCTTCCATGACTGTTCACAACACAAACATCCCCCATGACTGCTTACTATGCAAACATCCTTGCAAAGGTAGTTTGGAACAAAAGCAGTTGATGAGTCTACTTGCAAGATATGCAGAAAAGTGAGAGACAACAATATACCCCACTGATTTTAAGAAAATCAGTCAATTGTGCACAACACACTTTAAAATTTTCTTCTTTTCAAGATTACACCTTGCCTGGAAGAAACTCTGCCACAACAAGTTGCCACATGGCAAATTCTCAATTTGGCATGCCCTTGGGACTGTTAGCTACATATATCAGGGCATTGTGTCTTTTCTGAGACAGCCCCTGTGAGCAAGTATTGCCAAAGTTCTTCAGCTACAGTCATTATAGCCGAACAACTTCTCCTTGTTTATTATTTTCTTTCATATACTCTGCTTCATATTCTGTAGGACTGAAGGCATTTGATCCTAAATAAGTAGATCTAGCTATCTGGTTACCCAGTGTTCTGGGGTAGAGCCTGAGATGAGGAAGAAGAGATTGCTGGAAAGGGCGTCTGACACAATGGCCAAATCATAAACCATAACTCCATTATGTCCTATTTTCATATTGAATAGGCAATGAAATTGTATTACCTGTCTCTACAATGGAAAGAAAAATCAATATTTGCTGTTTTTTCATTTAATGAATGTTCTTCTTGATCCTCCCTGCTGATGCTACCCCCAACACTTTACATTAGCATGATAGGAAACAGTGGAAATTGTGAGATGGGCCTGGGTCTTTAGAAGGTGATTTCTCATATCAGTCAGTGAATATAGTTTTTAAACCAGTCATTTGTCATTATGGCTAAAAAAAAAGTGCATCATCAGGTTAAAGCAACATTATGTTATTGAACAAAGATTTCTTCTACCACCTCCAAGGTTTCTGGGAGTTGTAGTTAAGCATGTATTGTGTAATGGAAAAAGTGCTAGATCTGGAATTCACTTCAGCTCTGCATGAATTACTTACATGGTCTTGATTAAGCCACTTAATGTCTCTGACTGGCAGATGTTGATATTTTAAATAAGGGAAATAATCTTTGTTCTGTTAACCTCACAAATTCATGATGATTGTTAAAATGAACAATAACCTTCTTATATACATAAGAAGGTGCTTTGGTAATCAAGTCAGATATAATTGTAAAATGGTATTACAATTACAGTCATATTTAAACAAAGTAGGACCTTTTCTTAATATTGATATTGAGGAACAGGTTTAATATGTCCTCAAATTTCAGTCTTTTGCAACATAGGAAGCATAATCTGATCCATAAAAGACAAAATCCATGTAAGAATGAGTAGCATTCTAGAGTATGCTAGGAGAATCTAAGTAACAACTGGACAATGTTGCTCTCACTTTTCAATAACATGTTTTTCTTAGTTGCATAATCCCCAAATGTAACCAAGAGTGGTGACTGAATAGTCTTCAAATTTCCTGGAATGTCCTCTGCAGTCTCTTCATCTGAACCTTCTGAGATAATATCACCCCTCAGTTTATGACTCTAATCATAACACTAATGTTTTTTCTTTTTAACAATTGGAAAAGCTTAATAGGAATCAACAAATATACTTGGGGTGGGTTGTAGAAAAAAGGGCTTTGTCTCTCTACATGCAACTAGAACAATTCATGGAAACCATGACCTGCAAAGCAACCTACAATATCTGCTGTTGTTTTAAACTTAAAGATAAAACATACATCCACAGTTGATTCCTTGGATTCTAGTAACTAACACGGAGAATTGGTACTATATACACAAGTACTGATTTTTAAAAAGTAATTAATTCACCACTTACTTATGTAAGTTCTCATCTTGAAACTAGTGATGGCTGACACAGACATATTTCTAGGACCAAAACTGAAAGCAGGTAGATGCCGTGGTTGTGTAACTAAGAATATCAAATCTGCTTGAGTTGAAGATGTGTTGAGGTTGCTGAGATTTGGTTCATTGAACAACTGGGTGAAGTAAATATAGTTTAGATATGACTTCACACTTGGAATTTCTTTCAGCAGCTCAATGGGTGCTGTGTGTGTGTGTGTGTGTGTGTGTGTGCTACATGCCTATTTTATAACTCAGGTGTTAGTTCTTTCCTTGGACACCAGGAACCAGTGGTCTCACTAGAATGGTATTAACTAAATTTGAGGGAACAAGTGAGAATGATACAGAAGGTAAAAGGAAGCTCAGTGAAGCAAATACATTGAGTCCTGTTTCCTGGATAAATTTAGATCAGTCAAAGCATCTCAGCATATCTGGAATGCTGGCTAATATCCAACTTGGGGAGGTCAGAGTCACCTTTTGGACATTATTCAATGCCTAGACTAAGTATTCCCAAGGCCACTAGCTTTCCTGAGTGATGCAAACCCATGATGGAACAGGCATAACTCATTTTATTGTACTCTGATTTATTGTGCCTCACAGATAATGCTTTTTCAAAAAAAAGAAAAAACAAGTTGAAGGTTTGTGGCAACCCTGTGTCACGCAAGTCTATTGGTGCCATTTTCCCAATAGCACATGCTCAGTTTGTGTCTCTGTCACATTTTGGTAACTCTCACACCATTTCAAACTTTTTCATGATTATCATATCTGTTACAGTGATCTGTAATCAGTGATTTTTGATGTTACTATTTTAATTGTTTTGGGGTACCAAAAATCGCAAACTGAATTGATAAATTTTGTATGTGTTCTGATTGCTCCACCAATTGGTTGTTCCACTATCTTACTCCCTCCCTTTGGGCCTCCCTTTACCCTGAGACACAACAATTTTGAAATTAGGCCAATTAATAACCCTACAATGTCCTCCAGGTGTTCAAGTAAAAGCAAGAGTTGTAAGTCTCTCATTTTAAATCAAAAGCTAAAAATGATTAAGCTCAATGAAGAAGGCATTTCAAAAGCCAAGATAGGCCAAAAGCTACGGCTCTAGTAGTAAACAGACAAGTTGTAAATGTAAAGGATAAGTTCTTTAAGGATATTAAAAGTCCTACTCAAGTGAACACACAAATGATAAGAAAGTGAAACAGTCTTCTTGCTGATATGGAGAAAGTCTGAGTGGTCTGGATAGAAGATCAAACTAGCCACAACATTCCTTTAAGCCAAAACCTAATCCAGAGCAAAGTCCTAATGCTCTTCAATTCTATGAAGGCTGAGAGAGGAGAGGAAGCTTCAGAAGAAAAGTTGAAAGCTAGCAGATGTTGGTTCATGAGGTTTAAGGAATGCAGCCATTTCCCTAACATAAAAGTACAAAGTCAAGCAACAAGTGCTAATGTAGAAGCTTCAGAAAATTTTCAAGAAGATTTAGCTGAGATAATTGATGAAGGTGGCTACACTAAACAATAGATTTTCAGTGTAGGCAAAACAGCCTTCTGTTGGAAGAAGAGGACCTTTAGGACTTCCACAGCTAGAGAAGAGAAGTCAATGGCTGGCTTCAAAGCTTCAAAGGACAGGCTGACTCTTTTGTTAGGGACTAATACAGCTGGAGCGAATGCTCATTTACCATTTTAAAAATCTTAGGGCCCTTAAGAATTATGCTAAATCTACTCTGCCTGTACTGTATGAATGGAGCAACAAGGCCTGGATGACAGCTCATCTGTTTACAGCATGGTTTACTAAATATTTTAAGCCTGCTATAGAGACCTACTGCTCAGAAAAAAAAAAAAAAAAAAAAAAGAAAGCATTACTGCTCATTGACAATATACCTAGTCACCCAAGAGCTCTGATGAAGAAATACAGGAAATTAAAGTTGATTTTTATGCCTAACACAGCATCCATTTTGCAGCCCATGAATCAAAGATGAATTTGAATTCCAAGTCTTATTATTTAAGAAATATTAATACATTTCATAAGGCTATACCTGCCATTGATATTGATTCTTCTCATGGATCTGGACAGAGTAAGTTGGAAACCTTCTGGAAAAAATTCACAGTTCTAGTTGCCATTAAGAATATTTGTGATTCATGAGATGAAGTCAAAGTATCAACATTAATGAAAGTTTTTGGAAGAAGTTAATTCCAATCCTCACATATGACTTTGAGGGATTCAAAACTCCAGTGGAGTTTTGAAAACTTGAAAAGGTGAGGAGTTGCTTCTTATGGATGAGAATATAAAGTAGTTTCTTGAGATGGAAACTACTCCTGGTGATGATGTTGTGAACATTGTTGAAGCGAAAAGAGGATTTAGAATATTATGTAAACTTAGTTGGTAAAGCAGTGGCAGGATTTGGGAGGACTGACTGTAATTTTGAAAGAAGTTCTACTGTGGGTAAAATGCTATCAAACAGCGTCATGTGCTACAGAGAAATCTTACATAAGAGGAAGAGTCAATCAATGTGGCAAACTTCATTGTTGTCTTATTTTAAGAAATTGCCACAGCCACTCCAAACTTCAGCAAGCACCACTCTGCCCAGTAGCCATCAGCATCCAAGAAAGACCCTCCACTAATAAGCTTATGACTTGCTAATAGCATTTTTTTCAGCAACAAAGTATTTTCTTTCTTCATTTTTTTATTATGCTTTATGTTCTGGAATACATGTGTAGAATGTGCAGGTTTGTTACATAGGTATACACATGCCATGGTGGTTTGCTGCACCCATCAACCCATCATCTACATTAGGTATGTCTCCTAATGCAATCCCTCCCCTAGCCTCCCACCTTCTGACAGGCCCCAGTGTGTGATGTTCCCCTCCCTGTGTCCATGTGTTCTCATTGTTCAACTCCCACTTATGAGTGAGAACATGCGGTGTTTGGTTTTCTGTCCCTGTGTTAGTTTGCTGAGAATGATGGTTTCCAGCTTCATCCATGTCCCTGCAAAGGACGTTAACTAATCCTTTTGTATGGCTGCATAGTATTCCATGGTGTATACGTGCCACATTCTCTTTATCCAGTCTGTCATTGATGGGCATTTGGGTTGGTTCCAAGTCTTTGCTATTGTGAATAGTGCTGCAATAAACATATGGTTGCATGTGTCTTTATAGTAGAATAATTTATAATCCTTTGGGTACATATCCAGTAATGGGAGTGCTGGGTCAAATGGTATTTTCAGTTCTAGATCCTTGAGGAATAGCCACACTATCTTCCACAATGGCTGAACTAATTTACACTCCCACTAAGAGCATAAAAGCGTTCCTATTTCTCCACATCCTCTCCAGCATCTGTTGTTTCCTGACTTTTTAATGATCACCATTCTAACTGGCATGAGTTGGTATCTCATTGTGGTTTTGATTTGCATTTCTCTAATGACCAGTGATGATGAGCTTTTGTTCATATGTTTGTTGGCCACATAAATGTCTTCTTTTGAGAAGCATCTGTTCATATCTTTCACCCACTTTTTGATGGGGTTGTTTTTTTCTTGTAAATTTGTTTAAGTTCCTTGTAGATTCTGGATATTAGCCCTTTGTCAGATGGATAGATTACAAAAATTTTCTCCCATTCTGTAGGTTACCTGTTCACTCTGATGATAGTTTCTTTTGCTGTGCAGAAGCTCTTTAAGTAGATCCCATTTGTCTATTTTGGCTTTTATTGCCATTTCTTTTGGTGTTTTAGTCATGAAGTCTTTGCCCATGCCTATGTCCTGAATGGTATCACCTAGGTTTTCTTCTAGGGTGTTATAGTTTTAGGTCTTATGTTTAAGTCTTTAATCCATCTTGAGTTAATTTTTGTATAAGGTGTAAGGAAGGGGTCTGGTTTCAGTTTTCTGCATATGTCTAGCCAGTTTTCCAAACACCATTTATTAAATAGGGAATCCTTTCCCCATTGCTTGTTTTTGCCAGGTTTGTCAAAGATCAGATTGTTGTAGATGTGTGGGGATTTTGGGCTAAGATGATGGGGTTTTCTAAATATACAATCATGTCATCTGCAAACAGATACAATTTAGCTTCCTCTCTTCCTATTTGAATACGCTTTATTTCTTTCTCTTGCATGATTGCCCTGGCCAGAACTTCCAATACAATGTTGAAAAGGATTTGTGATAGAGGGCATCCTTTTCTTGTGCTGGTTTTCAAAGGGAATGCTTCCAGCTTTTTCCCATTCAATATGATATTGGCTGTGGGTTTGTCATAAATAGCTCTTATTATTTTGAGATATGTTCCATCAATACCTGGTTTATTGAGAGTTTTTAGCACGAAGGAGTGTTGAATTTTATTGAAGGCCTTTTCTGCATCTATTGAGATAATCATGTGGCTTTTGTCATTGGTTCTGTTTATTTGATGGATTACGTTTATTGATTTGCATATGTTGAACCAGCCTTGCATACCAGGGATGAAGCTGACTTGATCATGGTGGAAAAGCTTTTTGATATGCTGCTGGATTCAGTTTGCCAGTAATTTATTGAGGATTTTCACATCGATGTTCATCAGGAATATTGGCCTGAAATTTTTTTTTGTTGTGTCTCTGGCAGGTTTTGGTATCAGGTTGATGCTGGCCTCTTAAACGAGTTAGGGAGGAGTCCCTCTTTTTCTATTGGTTGGAATAGTTTCAGAAGGAATGGTATCAGCTCCTCTTTTTACCTCTGGTAGAATTTGTCTATGAATCTGTCTGGTCCTGGGCGTTTTTTGGTTGGTAGGCTATTAATTACTGCCTCAATTTCAGAACTTGTTATTGGTCTGTTCAGGGATTTGACTTCTTCCTGGTTTAGTCTTGGGAGGGTGTATGTGTCCAGGAATTTATCTATTTCTTCTAGATTTTCTAGTTTATTTGCATAGAGGAGTTTATAGTATTCTCTGATGGTAGTTTGTATTTCTGTGGGATCAGTGGTGGTATCTGCTTTGTCATTTTTTATTGTGTCTACTTGATTCTTCTCTCCTTTCTTCTTTATTAGTCTGGCTAGCAGTCTGTCTATTTTGTCAATCTTCAAAAAACCAGCTCCTGGATTCATTGATTTTTTGAAGGGTTTTTCATGTCTCTATCTCCTTCAGTTCTGCTCTGATCTTAGTTATTTCTTGTCTTCTGCTAGCTTTTGAGTGTGTTTGCTCTTGCTTCTCTAGTTCTTTTAATTGTGATGTTGGGGTGTCGATTTTAGATCTTTTCTGCTTTCTCCTGTGGGCATTTAGTGCTATAAATTTCCCTCTAAACACTGCTTTAGCTGTGTCTCACAGATTCTGGTAGTTTTATCTTTGTTCTCATTGGTTTCAAAGAACTTACTTATTTCTGACTTAATTTCATTATTTATCCAGTAGTCATTCAGGAGCAGGTTATTCAGTTTCCATGTAGTTGTGCAGTTTTGATCGCGTTTCTTAATCCTGAGTTCTAATTCGATTGCACTGTGGTCTGAGAGAATGTTTGTTATGATTTCTGTTCTTTCCATTTGCTAAGAAGTGTTCCACTTCCAATTATGTGGTCAATTTTAGATAAGTGCAATGTGGTGCTGAGAAGAATGTATATTCTGTTGATTTGAGGTGGAGAGTTCTGTACATGTCTATTAGGTCCGCTTGGTCAAAGGCCGAGTTCAAGTCCTGAATATCTTTGTTAATTTTGTGTCTCGTTGATCTGTCTAATATTGACAGTGTGGTGTTAACATCTCCCACTATTATTGTGTGGGAGTCTAAGTCTCTTTGTAGGTCTCTAAGAACTTGCTTTATGAATCTGGGTGCTCCTGTAGTTGGTGCATATATATTTAGGATAGTTAACTCTTCTTGTTGCATTGACTCCTTTACCATTATGTAATGCCCTTCTTTGTCTTCTTTGATCTTTGTTGGTTTAAAGTCTGTTTTTATCAGAGACTAGGATTGCAACCCCTGCTTTTTTTTTTTTTTTTTTGCATTTCATTTGTCTGGTAAATATTCCTCCATCCCTTTATTTCGAGCCTATGTGTGTCTTTGCCTGTGAGATGGGTCTCCTGAATACAGCACACCAATGGGTCTTGACTCTTTATCCAATTTGCCAGTCTGTGTCTTCTAATTGGGGCATTTAGCCTGTTTACATTTAAGGTTAATATTGTTATGTGTGAATTTTATCCTGTCATGATGATGTTAGCTGGTTATTTTGCCCATTAGTTGATGCAGTTTCTTCATAGTGTCAATGGTCTTGAGAATTTGGTATGTTTTTGCAGTGGTTGGTTCTGGTTTTTCCTTTCCAGATTTATTACTTCCTTCAGGAGCTCTTGTAAGGCAGGCCTTGTGGTGACAAAAATCTCTCAGCATTTGCTTTTCTATAAAGGATTTTATTTCTCCTTCACTTATGAAGCTTAGTTTGGCTGGATATGAAATTCTGGGTTGAAAATTCTTTTCTTTAAGAATGTTGAATATTGGTCCCCAGTCTCTTCTGTGAGAGAAGAAGAGAGGCTTGTAGGGTTTCCACTGTTAGTCTGATGGGTTTCCCTTTGTGGTTAACCTGACTTTTCTCTCTTTCTGCCCTTAACATTTTTTGCCTTCATTTCAACCTTGGTGAATTTGATGATTATGTGTCTTGGGGTTTCTCTTCTCGAGGTGTATCTTTGTGGTGTTCTCTGTATTTCCTGAGTTTGAATATTGGCCTGATTTGCTAGGTTGGGGAAGTTCTCCTGGATAATATCCTGAAGAGTGTTTTCCAACTTGGTTCCATTCTCCCTGTCCCTTTCAGGTACACCAATCAAATGTTGGTTTGGTCTGTTCACATAGTCCCATATTTCTTGGGGGCTTTGTTTGTTTCTTTTCATTCTTTTTTCTCTAATCTTGTCTTCACACTTATTTCATTAAGTTGATCTTCAATCTCTGATATCCTTTCTTTCGTTTGATTGATTCAGTTATTGGTACTTGGGTATGCTTCATGAAGTTCTCATGCTGTGTTTTTCAGCTCCATCAGGTCATTTATGTTCTTCTCTAAACTGGTTATTCTAGTTAGTAAGTCCTGTAACCTTTTATCAATGTTCTTAGCTTCCTCGCATTGGGTTAGAACATGCTCCTTTAGCTCAGAGGAGTTTGTTATTAACCACCTTCCGAAGCCTACTTCTGTCAATATGTCAAACTCATTCTCCGTCCAGTGCTGTTCTCTTGCTGGCGAGGAGTTGTGACCTTTGGAGGAGAAGACACGTTCTGGGTTTTGGAATATTTAGCCTTTTTGTGCTGGTTTTTTTTCATCTGCCTGAATTATCTACCTTTGGTCTTTGATGTTGGTGACCTTTGGATGGGGTTGTTGCATGGACGTTCTTTTTGTTGATGTTGATGCTACTCCTTTCTGTTTGTTAGTTTTCCTTCTAACAGTCAGGCCCCTCTGCTGCAGGTCTCCTGGAGTTTGCTGGAGGTCCACTCCAGAGATTGTTTGCCAGGGCATCACCAGTGGAGGCTGCAGAATAGCAAAGATTGCTGCCTGTTCCTTCCTCTGGAAGTTTTGCCCGAGAGAGACACCTGCCAGATGCCAGCCAGAGCTCTCCTGATTGAGGTGTCTGTTGACCCCTGCTGGGAGATGTCTCCCAGTGAGGAGTCATGGGGGTCAGGGACCCACTTGAGGAGGCAATCTGTCTCTTAGCAGAGCTCAAGTGTTGTTCTGGGAGATTTCTTGGTCTTTTCAGAGTTGGCAGGAAGGATCATTTAAGTCTGCTGAAGCTTGCCCACAGCCACCCCTTCCCCCAGGTGCTCTGTCCCAGGGAGATGGGAGTTCTATCTTAGGCCCCTGACTGGGTCCGCTATCTTTCTTTCAGAGATGCCCTGCCCAGAGAGGAGGAATTTAGAGAGGCAGTCTGGCTGCAGTGGCTTTGAGGAGCTGTGGTGTGCTCCACCCAGTCCGAACTTCCCGTCGGCTTTGTTTACACTGTGAGGGGAAAACCACCTAGTCAAGCCTCAGTTATGATGGACACCCCTCCCCCCACCACCTTGAGCATCCCAGATCAACTTCAGACTGCTGTCCTGGCAGTGAGAATTTCAAGCCAGTGGATCTTAGCTTGCTGGACTCTGTGGGGGTGGGATCCACAGAGTAGACCATTTGGCTGCCTGGCTTCAGCCCCCTTTTCAGGAGAATGAATGGTTCTGTCTCACTGGCATTCCAGGCACCACTGGGGTATGAAAAAAAAAAAAAAAAAAAAACTCCTGCAGCTAGCTCTGTGTCTGCCCAAACAGCCACCCAGTTTTGTGCTTGAAACCATGGGCCCTGGTGGTATAGGCACCAGAGGGAATCTCCTGGTCTGAGGGTTGTGAATACCATGGGAAAAGCATAGTATCTGGGCTGGAATGAACCATTCCTCAAGGCAGAGTCCCTCACGGCTTTCTTTGTCTAGAGGAGGGAGTTCCCGACCCCTTGTACTTGCCGGGTGAGGCGACACCCCACCCTGCTTCTGCTTGCCCTACTTGGACTGCACCCACTGTCTAACCAGTCTCAATGAGATAAGCTGGTACCTCAGTTGGAAATGCAGAAACACCTGCCTTCTGCATTGATCTTGCTGGGAGCTGCAGACCAGAGCTGTTCCTATTCAGCCATCTTGCCAGCCACTTCAGCATTTTCAATTTTACTTTTAATTGGTTTATTTTTAGAAAATGGTATGAGTATTTTTTTTCACTTTTATTGAAGCCCAATTTACACAGAGCAAAATTCACCCATTTTGATATACAGACCTGCAAGTTTTGGCAAAGGAATACAGTTGTTTAACCACCACCACTGCGTTCAAGATATAGTACAGTTCCATCACCCCCAAATATTTCTCATGCCCCTCTTTGTAGTCAATCCTTCCTCCCAACCCTAGACCCTGATAACAACTGATCCGTTTTCTGCTTCAGTAGGTTCATCTCTTCCAGAATGCCATATGAATGAAGTTACTCAGTATACGTAGCCTTTTGAATATAGCATGTTTCACTTAACATGATGCGTCTGAGATTCTGTTGCATGTATCAGCAGTTGCTTTCTTTCTGTTGCTGAACAGAATTTCACTGAATGGAGGTGCCATAATATTTCTGTTCATTCCCCAGTTAAAGGACATATGATTTTTTTCAAGATTTTAGCAATTTTGAATAAAGATACCATAAATATTCACATATAGGTTTTTGTGTGAACATAAATTTTCATTTCACACAGTTAAATATCTAGGAGTTGAATTGCTGGGTCATATGGTTAGTTCATGTTTAATTTTACAAGAAGCTTCCGAACATCTTCCAATGAGATTTATCAATTTGCATTCCCACCAATAATGGATGAAGGATTCCAGTTTCTCTGCATTCTCGCCAGCAACTGGTAATGTTAGTTTTTTAAAAAGCCATTTTAATGCCTGTAATCCCAACACTTTGGGAGGCTGAGGTGGGTGGATCACTTGGGGTCAGGAGTATGAGATCACCCTGGCCAACATGGTACAACCGTGTCTCCACTAAAAAAATACAAAAAATTAGCTGGGCCTGGTGGTGCATGTCTGTAATCCCAGCTACCTGGGAGGCTGAGACAGGAGAATTGCTTGAACCTGGGAGGTGGAGGTTGCAGTGAGCCGAGATCACCCCATTGCACTCCAGGCTGAGCAACAGAGCAAGACTCTGTCAAAAAAAAAAAAAAAAAGCCATTTTAATAGGTGTGTAGTAGTATCTCATTATAAGAGAACTAGACTTTGCAACAAAATATTTTTGCAACAAAGTATTTTAAAATTAAAGTATGTACATTATTGTTTTAGACAAAATACTATTGCATACTTAATAGACCATAGTATAGTGTGAACATAAGTCTTACAGACACCAGAAAACCAAAAAGCAAACCAAAACAAACTACAAAACTGCATGACTCTCTTTATTGCATCGGTCTGGATTAAACCTGCAATATCTCTGAGGTATGCCTGTATATGTGAATGTTCTGATTTAGCATGTATTAGAACCACCTGGAGAGCCTTTAAAACACAGATTGCTTGGCCCATCCAAAGATTTTCTGTTCAGAAGGTCAGGGGCAGAGCCTGAGAATTTGTATTTGTAACAGGTTCCCAGGTGATGCATATATTGCTGATTGGGAGAATCACACTTTGAGATGGAGAGCCCTGAGGCAGGAGTTGGTTGGAGTGGGGAGAGGGAACCAAAATCTCTCTTTCGTTGTATGCAAATTTTGAAACATTTATTTGACATACAAGTGGAGTCATCAAGTAACAGTTGAGTCTAGAATTGTGAGGAATGGTCAGGTTTAGGAGAGAGATTTGGGATTTGTTAGCATCTGGATGGTGCTCTTTTTCCAACAGTGGATGAGCTCACTAGTGAGAGGGCTTAGATAGAGAAGAAGGCTAGGAATGAGCTGGGCACTACCAGGTTTGGAAGCCTGTTAAAAGGAAGAGTCAGCAAATGAGAGTGAACATAGGACATGACAGCCTTGTGTTAGAGAAGCAAAGAGGGGTGTTTTGAAAAAAAAAAAAAGCAATCAGTTGTGCTGAATGGTTCTGAGAAGTTGAGAAAAATAGGAATAGAGAAGAGAATATTGAATTTGGCAACATGAAAGTCAGCAGTGACTGGCCAGAGCAGTATCAAAATGTTGGGAATGGATGCCTTTAAGAGTAGAGAGATTTTGAGGTGAGTACAGACAATGCTTACAGACGAATTTTTCAGCTTCTGGGAGGTAATATAGTTTGGCTTATTTGATTTATGCTCAGAAACCAATGATCTCTCTTGATTTCTCCTTCTGCCATAGCCAAATTCCTAACTCTGTCCTTCCAGATACTTGGAGTACAACGTACAAAAGCTCCTAGCCATTGTCTTTGAGAAGGTCATAATCTAATGACAGAGAGATGCACATAAATAATTACAATGTTCTGATAACTCTATATTAGAATTACAGGGGATTATAGATTGAGAAGAGAGTTAACATTTTTGCTTATGTTATGCTAGGCACATTGCATATGCTACCTGAGTTAATCGTCATTGCATTCCTGAGGTTATCCCAATTTTTCTGATGGGGAAATGGAAGCTCAGGACTCATTGTTGTCAGAACTAGTAAATAATGAAGCTAGAATTTGATCCCATGTTTGCTGACCCCTGTGCCATAACCTTCACTATACTGTAACATTGCTTTTCATGGTTGAAGAGGGGATAAAAATTATGCTTACTAGACTGTGATTGATACTTCACGAATTGCAATATAATTCCTTACTGTATTAATACAGTAGAGTTGTATCTTATTCAGTGTTTAGATTCTAAAGCCAGTTTACAGGTGTAACATTTCAATTGGTGAAAATTATCCTAAAAATTCTGTCATATCACTCATACATCCCTGAGAAATTTTCACACAATTGAGCCACGTAGGAGCTGAGGCCCAAAGAAGAAATGTCAGACTTGTGTCTCCCCTCTCTTTCAGGGAAATACAATCATTAAGGGGACTCATCTGCAATACTATCATTACTATTATTATTTAGTTAACATGTTAAATCAACAGAGCATGAGAATCTAATAATAGCTAACATCAACTGAAAACTTACTGTGTATAGTCAGTGTACCAGGGACATTACATTCATGGCTTTATTCAAATTTTAATCCCTACACTAATCCTGTGAGGGAGGTATTTTTATCCCCATTTTGCTGATGGGAAGCCTGACTCGTCTAAGCTCACAGACCTGGTAAGCTGGAGAATTGCTTTCCCAGTTCCAAATGACTCCACCGTGGGCACTGCCTTTCACTAAGCACATGGTCTTCCTGGCTTGCAATCTCAGGACCAGCCAAGCAGATCCTTCCTGTTAGTTAACTCTCAGGGTTCCTTAACCCTGTGGACTGCCCATTCTTCATCATCACAGCTTTCTCCTTAATCTCTGTCTCATACTTTCCCTCCTTCCTTTACTAAGGCTCCCTGAGGCTTACTTTCCTTCCTAAGACCCTGCTGGATCTCATCAGTATCTGTGGATCAGCTAGGGAATTTGCATAACTGTAAATAGGAAACTAATTCCTACCTCAGAAGCCATTTAGGACCATGTGACCTGTTTTAATGTAAACACAATAAATACATCTCTGTCAAAGTAAAAATTAGCTCTTTACCATTCAAAGTTGTCAGAGCAACTATTTAAAGAGTTTTAATATTTGCAAGTACTACCTAAAAGGCTCAATAAACATACTGCTTAGCTCAGGTCAGATATAATTTGACATTTTTATTAACATATACCCTTTAAAGGTTATTTACCACTTTTTTTGGGTTGTTTTCAATCCTCCTAAATGACTCTGGATAGTGCCCTATTTCTGTAGATGGCTAATGGGCATTTGCTCCTGTGCCTGCTTGGATAATGCAAATCTGAATTTTAGGGTTTTATCGATGGGATTTTCCCCACTCTTTGACTCTGGCCTGCTTTTGAATGTTAATTCTCTCTTTCTGGAAAATGTCTTGAGCCTTATGAGCAACCATTGTCTTCCAAGTCTCTCTCTTGGTGGAAAAGAACAGCCTGTGATATTACTTAATTCACTTCTTTCAAGATTACAGTATAAGACTCAAGGGAGTCAATGATGAAGAGCAAAATCAGAGCTTGGCCGGCAGTCTGGAGTGACTTCTGCATCTTCACTGGCTCCCTGGAAGAAGGCAGTAATGACAATTATATATGGGTGTCCATCTAATGAGATTTGGATTGGAAATTAATTCTTTTTTTTTCTTTTTTTGAGACAGGGTTTTGCTTTGTCACCCCAGCTGGAGTGCAGTGGCACGATCATAGCTCACTGCAGCCTTGAACTCCTGGGTTCAAGTGATCCTCCTGCCTCAGCCTCCTGAGTAGCTAGGACTACAGGCATGAGCCACCATGCCCAGCTAATTTTTTCATTTTTTGTAGAGAGACAGGGTTTCATTATGTTGCCTAGGTCTCGAACTCCTAGCCTCAAGTGATCTCCCTGCCTTGGCCTCTTAAAGCGCTGGGATTACAGGCGTAAACTATCATTCCCTACCCTGGAAATCGATTCTGAGACACTGTGTTAAATCAGATAGGCTAACTAATGTTGTACTAACAAAAAACATGAACATCTCCATGGTTAACCGAAACAGTATATTTTTAGTCATGCAAAGCTTCTGCTGGCCCAGGAATCTCTCCAGGGGTTCTCTGTGTGGGGATCCAGCATTCCAGTTGCTTCCGTCTCATGGCACTTTTCTCTCAGCATGGGGCTTCAGGGTTTGTCTGAGCAGAGCAGGAGCGCATTGAGGATTACATATTGGCTCTTAAGTACTTCCTCACGAAAGTGCCCCAATCCACTGGTCAGACTTAGTCATAGTCTCACCCAACTATGAAGGGGTCTAGGAAATATAGTTTTCTGTGTGTGTAGGAGGGGTTGGAAAACCAAGGTGGGCATTAGTAATGTCTATTACAGACACCTTTGGAAAGTGTTCCTTCCAGCCGTATGTTATTGGACATTCAGATGCCTGGGGTGCATGGTGTATGACTGGAGGTGGAGGAGTATGTAGGGAGAAATGTGAGGCATTTGTTCCATCTTGAAGACAATAACTAATGTCTTTATCTACAAGCCTAGATGATAAACTTCTAAAATGTTTCTTGTATGCCACCTTGGCACAGAGACAACTAAAGGAAAACAGACTAATCTTATAGGCCTGAGTAAATAAATACACTTTTACGAGATATTTTATAAGGTAGCCAAGGACTTTATATTAAGGGCTTAGTTAGATCTGGATACTACTACTAGGTACAAAATAGACAAGTGAAGATTTATATATATTGAAATTCTGCTTCATCCAAGGTTTGTTTTAGGAATTAAAAATTAAAATGGAGTTCAGGCAGCAATGATGAATCAGAAAGGGAATGTAGAAAGCTTGGACACATATGTGATGGATAAACTGTAAATCTGTGAGCCTTCTCTAAGAGACAGGAATGGAATCGTTCATTTAACAGTTTGTTATCCTAGGAGCAAGTTTGGTATCAGTTTCTCATTATGGGAATGGCGATCAGGCCCTACTGGCTTACAAACATCATATATGTGTGTATACAGTCTCACCTCTAAATTTTCAAGGTAGTAGAAAGTAATCTAATTATGTGGATAATTAAAAACAACCAAAGTGCAAGTTTAAAACTTGTACTTTTATGACTGCAAAGCAGGCTATCAAAATGACAGGGTGTCTGGATGGGATCGTAGCACGCACCCAGATTAAATGGGTGCATTAGTTGATTGTTTCTGGTATGAAGATAAGCAGAGAAAAGTATAATAATGCTGGCATTTAAGTGGACCTAATTAGGCTTCAAGTTTAACACTCCATTAAGATGAATGGGAAAGGGTCACCCCCATTCAAGCTGTGGCACTGTCTTAGTGTGTCTGGATATTGCCTCTGAAGACAACAGTCTGTCAGCGCACATTCTCACAGTCACCCCTGTAAAGCAGACTGGAAATTTAATTCTTTTAAAATTAAATCTCAGGTTCTGGAGGCCACAGTAAAATCCATGGGGAGATCTTAAATCCTCAAGTTCTGCAGCTGTATTAGTCAGAAACAACAACAATAATAAGAATAATACATTCCCACGTCCACAGGAACTTTCAAGTACAGACTTCAGTGTTTTTTGAATATGATCTGGTGAAACTAACAAACGCCAGTTTACCACTGAAGGTCCTTGTTCATAGAGGGTGAATGACTTGACTACAGTTACAGAGCATGTCACTGGGAAAGCCAGAAATAACATGGAGGGACTATTCAGTTTTTGTTGCAGTAGTCTGTCATCCCTCAGGGAAAGAGAGTAAAGAATAATGATCTCATCTACTAAACAGAGTGCACATGCATTTGAAAGAAAATCCAAGAATCAAAGGCAGCATGATATAGTAGACATGTTTGCAGAGAGATGACTGGGTAAATCCTGCCATCCTGCCATATGGAAATGTAGCTCAGTAGTGTGTGAGTGGGAAAAGAGTTTAGTTGTGGCAATGGCCAAGGTGCATGGATGTGGCCTTAAAGTTATGTGACTCTGGAACCACATTGACAGTCATCACCCAAAGAGCCACAGGGTCATCCTATGCCTTTTAGGATGAGATTCAGAAACTAGATGTCTGGAGATTGCATAAGGAGACATGTGGTGACTGCATATTGAGAAACCACAAACGGCTTGAAATGAGTGTTTGGATGATGGTTGTCATGATTTTCTGACTCTTTGGAAGGTAATATGGCTACATCTCCAATTGCAGTCTTGGGACTAGTAACTTCTCCAGTTGCCTATTTTTAAAATTAATAAGGTGAAATATGGTATGCTTATCAAAATCCTAGGTTTTGTGACTGTGTTATTCGGCAAGATTGCATAAAGAAAGTTTTGGTGTACAACTGGTGCCGACATAGACTCATTACGATGTCTTGTCCAACTCCTTCCTAAATAGCTCTACTTGTAAAATTATTACAACTTTTAGAACTCCTTGAGTGAGTCCAATTTTGATAAGATAATGCCAGTATTTTTCTTTATTAAAAATAGACCATGTATGAAATCACTGATCTTAGGATTTTGGAGTTAGATGGAAGAAAATGTAGTTCTTGGAGCCAACTTCCTACTAAGTGCTGGGATTCTTATTACAGATCCCTAACTCATGATATACCATAGCTTTTGGAGCATTTCTGATAATGGAGAGTTGAGAATGGGATATTCTTTCTCAGTATGGGTCATATTGGGTTGTTGGTTCTTTTCATTCTGTCTTGTAATATTCTATACCAATTGATATTAAATCTTGATTCTGAGCATGGAATGTCTATTCCTTCTGCTATTTGATAGCCTTTAGATATCTTAAGCAAGTGGTAATGCTAATCCCTTTGTTTTCTCTTTTTCATTCATTATAGGGCATACAGAAGTTTTCAGAAACTTCACTGCTTCAAAGGCTTCCCTCAGGCTTTAAAATTACATGAGAATTCAATTTAGCTTTACAAATGTCCTGTGTCATATCATTTTTATTTACTTATTCCCATTAATTGAGAACAAATAAGTTAGTATTTGGAATGTGTTCTTTTTCACCGTATATTTCACCTTTTAAATTATTTTTGTCTTAGGAAAAACTCAAATTAATTTGGGTTTATTCCAATTAATTTTAATATTTATTTATAGCTTGCTTTATTCTAGAATCAGTCATTGAATGCTACTTTCAATAATACACGGACAAGATAAAAAATATGGAAATGGCAAAGGGAAAAAAGAGGAAGAAAAGATTAAGCTGGGTAAAGTTCATTACATAAAATACATTTATGAGGTTATTACATAGTTATTTGTGGTAAGTCTCAAATTCAATTTGAACTTGCTAGCAGCCAACTCAAAGAGAGAAACAAGATCAGTTACATGTCTAATAGCATCTGAAACATTTTTAAAACCCAATTAATTGGAAGAAATTCAATAATTTTTAATCCTGAGTCCTGAGAGTATTTTTTTCCATAAGTTCTCATAGTGAGGACGCTGTATGACAAAATAAAGAATATCTTCAGTAATATTCTCTATTTAAAATTTTTTATTATTACTGGCTGGGTGTGGTGGCTCATGCCTGTTATCCCAGCACTTTGGGAGGCCAAGGCAGGCAGATCACTTGAGGTCAGTAGTTTAAGACCAGCTTGGCCAACATGGTGAAACCCCGTCTCTACTAAAAATATGAAAAAAAAAAATTAGTGGGTGGTGGTGGAAGCCTGTAATCCCAGCTACTCTGGGGGCTGAGGCACAAATCCCTTCAACCCGAGAGGCAGAGGTTGCAGTGAGCCGAGACAGTGTCACTGCACTGCAGCCTAAGCGACGGAGTGAGACTCTGTCTCAAAAAAACAAAACAAAAACAAAAACAAAAACAAAAAATTATTATTACTTACTTATATTTTTAAAAAATTGATAGATAAGTTCAGCAACATTCTTGTAGTGAATTCCACAGCAGACTTTATGGGATTTTTTTTAAATGAAAAAATGCCCAAGTACAAGTGGCTGATACTTAGTAAGTGCTTGTTGTGAGTTTGTGTCCACCCAAAAGATGTTGGAGTCCTGACCCCTGGTACCTGTGAATGTGACTTAATTCAAAAATCAGGTCATTGCATATGTAATCAGGTTAAGATGAGGTCATAATGAATTAGGGCGTACCCTAATCCAATGTGACTAGTCTAGTGTCTTTATAAAAAGAGGAGACACAGGCAGACACACAGGGAAGACAGGAGACGATGAAGGCCGAGATTGGAGTTATGCTGCCTCATGCTAAGGAATTCCTGGGGCTATCAGAGGCTGGAAGAGACAAGAACGTGTCCTCCCGTAGAGGTTTTGGAGGGAACGGAGACCTGCCAACACACTGATTTTGAATTTCTAGCTTCTGGTAGTGTGAGAGGATAAATTTTTGCCATTTTAAGCCACTCAATTTGTGGTACTTCATTATGGCAGCCCTAGGAAACATATTGCTCAATAAATATCTATTAAGTATATGGATGAATTTTATATACCAATTGACTGGTGAGAAGGGGCTCCTCAGAAATTTACAGACAATGCTGTGATCACTCAAGAAAACAATTGGACATAAATAATCCCACTAGATATATTTATATCCATTTCTATTTTTACCGAAGTCAGTATTTCTGTATGGAAGATTGATTTATTGTGGAGTTTGTAATTACTAACCCATGATCAGGAGGTCTGGTGTGTAGATTCAGCCACTACTATGAACTATTTCCAGTGAAATTCAACTCTTCTAAGAACCTAGTGTAGTAACTAGCCTTTAAGTAGATGTTCAGTAAATGTTTATAGAAATAAGATGTATGGTAAATTCTATTATTACATGATTCACTTATCATGAGGGTAGGGGATGGTCCTGTCTCAAAATGCCATCAGTATAAAGGGGGCACATTACTCTTAACAGATTTTAATTTGCTGTGCCACAGGACTGCCATAATCTTCCCTTGTGAATGTTACATATGAATGTTCCTGCTTCTTTTGCATGAGTCCGGTTCTCAAATACATACCATGACTTCAATCCTGATCATCGGTACTCTCCTTCAATGACTCCTTGAACATGGAGAAGGAAAGAAAACCAAAAATGAGTCAAGAGGAAAAACAGTGTTCTGATTCTGCTTGGAACACAGTCTACCAATGTTGTGGCAAGACCAGTTTCAGCCTCTTCAGTACCGGCTTCCTCTCCTACTCTATCCTCAAGGCAGTCAATTGGTTATGATAAGATAAAGGCAGCAAGTCATGGGTTATATACCCACCACAAATTAGGAAAACCCGAAAGGTCTCCAAACAGATAAATAATCATGCATGATGAGCTGGTTTGGAAAAAAAAATTCATGTTCTTCTCAATAACCTAATATTTTATTTGAACTAATAAAACTTTCAATAATCATTTAACTACTATGAAAGATGAGACCTTCAATTTAAAAAACAGAAATGAAGTCTCTCAGGTATCATTCTGGACCAGAAACGAAAAAGAAAAAAAAACCCAAACTTAAGCAAACAAATTAAACAAACAAAAACCCCGAAGCATGGCCAGCACTCTCTAGCGGACCCACGGAAATATGGAAGGCCTCAGTGTTCACATGTCTGCAAGAAGTTCTGCTCTATTCATCTTTCTTTCCTAGGTTCATCCCACCGGCAGTTCTACCCCTGTCAGAAATATAATGGCTCACAGTTGCGAAGCTGCCCTGTGCTTGTAGGTTCTCTCTCTCCCAAAATTTGAGCTGTGGCACTTTTCCTTTCTAAAGAGCAGCATCTGGCCTCTTCGTGCGCTCATTTGCATGCCAATACTCGATTGCTCTCCCAGCGCACAGCTATTTAATAGTGGTGCTGGTGTCCGAGCTCTGGGAACAAACCAAATGGTTTGGGTGTGCTTTTGTGTGCAGTGCGGGTCGTTGCTACAGTGTGCTTATTAAGAATAGTACACATTCATTATAACAAGATTGCTCTTTTGCTCAGGGGCCATCACAGCGCATTCTGTAAATGAATTAACAGTAGCATGCATTTGTGTATTATGGGCCCAGAAGATGCATTTGTTTATTAAATAAATCTGCAACACAGAAAGTATAGTTGAAAAAATATCTAGAAAATAATCAGAGTGCGCATGTACAGTAGGTATTTTTTTTTCTTTGAAACCTCAACGTCTTGGCGAGTTTTCCTCCTTTGTTTCCTTTAAAATAACCAGAGATCACAGGCCACATTATAGATTAACAGCCTCCAGAAACTGATGTAAAAAAAAAAATAGAAACTGAATTTAAGTTACAGAAGCACAAAACATTTCCAGAAGTGGTATTGTAAATAATCCCATACCTTTAAAATAATTTAATATTATGATTCTTTTGCTTTTCTTTAAATTCTTTTGTTTTTCTTAAAATAGTTTTTCACTAAAAACTGTTCTTATTTTTTTTAATTTAATTTTATTTTTAGCTAAAATTCAGTTTGCATCATATACGTAATTTTTCCCATTGAACTTTGTTTTCTTTTGAAATGCAAGCTTTGCTTTGGGGGCATTCAGCTAATATTGATTCATTTATTTCTAACCTTTTTGTCCAGATATGGCTGGTATGAGAATATTAATAAATGTGAGTCAGTCTGTTGGATTTTATTCTAGTTAACTAATGACTTTTTTAAAGCCCAATGGCAGTTCACAAGTGTACTGAGAACTCAGAACGTGTTGTTAATGTGCCTGTTGTCTATTTCTCTCCATTTATATTTTGTATCTTGCTGTCTTTACGTGTAATCTACTACGTTGAACACAAAGTATAATGGAAAAAAATGGAATATTTTAAAACAGGAAATGCTGAAAGAGTCTAAAGCCATACCAGGGATAGCAGGAAGTCTATTAAAATGAACCAAGGAAACAAGGAAAGAAGAAATAGCACAAAATTTTTGAAATTCTTATGTTATTAACAGAACGAATGATTTTTAAAAAGATAAATTGATTTTGTATTTGATTTCCTGAAATCTTTCTATGAGATCCTGGGGCACTAAGTGAAATCTGCTGAAATATTTTAAAAGAGAAAGCCTGGTAGAATGAGGGGATTAGGACTTCATAGATTTCTAGCTTAGAAAAGATCTATGACACTATTAAAAAATACTCAGCTAATTAGTACGTATACAATATGGAAAAATATGTTTTATAAGAAACATAGCAGGACTTATAAAGATATTCCATATGCAGTAAAAACACATAACTAATCGAAGCAGGATTACACTTTTCTCCCACATAGAATCTCAAATACTCACTGTTTTGTTTTTAAAGAAGTAATATTCAGCTCTGCTATTTATTAAAAAAAAATCACCATGCTACTATCGATTTAATAATTACGGAAAGGAAAAGAAAATATTTAAAATCCCTTTCTTTTCTTTCATCTTTTTTTTTTTTTTGTAAAAAGCTCTATTTTTTCAGAGCATTTTATTTATTCCGCTGCAGCTTTTAGAGAGGCCAGCCAATCAGAAAGTCTGTGAAGGCCCAGGCCCAGGCTCAGTGTTGAGCTCCAAACGCGATTCCAGTCCTGACAGGGGGATTATAGGAAACAGATGACTTACGCTTCTAATTTGTGGCCTTAAATTGCAAACAGAATTTCAGGAGTCGAGCAGAGTAATAAATGGCAATAGAAAAAGCCACACACAGCCAAATCAGTATGTGGTGGTTGTAGGTTAAACTAAATGGGAAGAGACAGGTTATGATGGTTCAGTGTATTACAGAGAAGAAAGTCTTAAATTACTAGTGCTGAGAGGTATTGCTCCATGGCAGACAGTATTGCATTGTGTAGTCCACGGACATCACAAGCAGAACAATAAAAAAGCAGGTTTAACATAGAACCTGTTGCTAGAGGAATTGTGTTTTTTTTCTCTCTGTCTTTTAGAAATGGAAGCGGTGTTTTATGTTTGTTTTGACCTCTGCTGTATACTTGGCCCCTTAACATCTGTTTTCTACCGTTGCCGTTTTTCACACCAAATTAAATGTCGAGGAGTCAGATAAAATAAGTTCAAAATATGTCCAAATTATTTTTGTTGACTTCCAACAAATGTCTCAGTAACTCTTCTCACACGGAATGATACCATTTAAATGCCAACTTGGAAAATTATTTTCCTTTCAAGATCTTAAGAGCTAAAGAAAGGAATTTTGAGGTGTACTTAAACTTGGGAAATATTGTATTGGCCTTTTTGGTAACTTGTATGACTGTTTCAGACTTGCTTTAAGGCTATTCCATTATATAAAGTTCTGTGTATTTGTTAGATAAAAATTCCAGAAAAATTTAACAACCGTATATAAAAAAGCCATTATTCAGAGCTGCTTCATACCATAAATACCAGGTAGACTCAAAAGAGATCCACTGTTTATTAGGTGGAATCCAATATGTATTTCTTTTCCTTTCTAATCTTTATATGTATGTGTTTCTGTGTGCCTGTGTGTGTGTGAAACACACTGTAATTAAGAGATAAGATGATAATGACACAAATTTCCACTGCCATAAGAAATCTAGCCATCATAAGTGTGTGGTATGAAAATTTAAACATGGCATTGCATTTTCAACTTCCTATGCAATAAATGTTTTAGTAAAAACAGTCTTTCCTTGAGAAGAATACTGCCTTCTTTTAAGAGCCAACAGATTTGTGTATCTGGGATTAACAACTAATTCATGATAAAGAATGACTAAAAAATAATTACCCCATCCTGTATTATTTATTGCCAGTATACCAAAATAACACTTTCTTAACAAATGATAGAAACAGGGCTAACTTTAGTCCAGAATGCTGTGCTTGAAGTGGGGCCATCTAGAATCTCCAGTTTTTCTTCTACTTTCTTTATGAACAAGAAATCTCTCACACTAAAATTCAGATCTTCTAAACTACTATGTTAACTTTAAACTTGAACCTTTTGTTTTACACGCTGAGGAAAACCTATTATGTGATGGATAATGCGGGGAAAAATAAATGATTTTCATTGTGATATTAAGCAAGTCTGTTGATAATCATTGAAGATGACTGGCTAAATAGATTTTGATTAATCACTTGCAAAAATTATGCTTGTTAGAACCACTTTATATTCTGTGTCATGGTGATATCAATGTAGGTTATAGCTATTTCTTTGTAGATGGTGCGTTTTTTGTTTTTAAATCACCTGGCAAAAAGAGAAAACAAACCTTAGTTGAAAGCTTTTGTCTCTAACACAGAAACCTCTTTTCATGCCTGTCTTTTTTTTTTTTAAAGAAATGCTCAATTATTATTTGTGTCATAGTGGGAAGACTGGGTCTCTATAGGGCCTGAACCTTTTCAAAGAGGAGATAGCTTTTGTTTTTGTACCCCATCAACACCGATCACCTAATTAAATCTGATATCTCTGGCTGAAGCAAAATGATTTGTAATAGTTCTTTGGAGTTTACTTAATTAGTTTCGATGTCTTTTGTGTGGTAAACATGGTGATATTTTGTAAAATGGGGCTGAAAAAAGAGAAGGAAAAATGTAGTCTTGCAAGGGATGGGAGAGAGGAGAGGTGACAGGGAGGCCAAGCCAGTTTGACCAAACCTTAAAGCAAGGTGTAGTTCCAACGCAAGGGTTTGCAGACCGGAGTCATTCATTAGTTGAGATCATCAAGCAGATCTGAACTGGAAAAAGGCTTCCTGTCAAATGTAGGCCTGGGCGTCTGTCAGGGCCCCAGATTCTACACCTTGATCAGCCCAAGACACTGACACCATTTTCTTTAACAAACACCAACAGCCTTTTTTCTCCTTCATTTTAACATTTCTCAGGGGTTGGATTCCCTTTCTTCTCCCTCTCTGTAGAGAGTAAAAGGAGCTTGTTAACTTGCTTAGATATTTTGACTGTGGATGCTCTTTGGCCACTTGCCTGTGGTAACAATGTCAAAGCATAACTTGGTATAATTGCTATATTTGCAGTCAGAAGAGTGTTCTGTCTTTATGTTCAAGCTGCTGAATAAAAAGGAAGTGTCATTTTGGAAAATTCTGTAAATTATCCTCAAAGTTCAGGCAACATACAATGCAAGACATACCTGGTATGTCTTGTGTTCATTGCCAAGACATGGAAGAGTACAATAATGTGATTTTAACTATGTCAATTAAAACCTGGTAAATTTCTGTGTTTCTTATGCGGAGATTGAATAACAATAAAATAAAATTAAACTTAAAACGAAAGCAGCAGAACTGGGCTCTTTATAATTTAAAAAGTAACTGGAAAGCATTAAAATTTTTAATTATCCATTGTGTCACAATTTATATAAAATATGGATCAGAAATGACCATTTTTGATGGACTTCCATATAACAGAGACATGCATAATTTACAGACATTAGTAATACCCATTCTGCAAGTGGAAATTAAGATTGTAATGGAACTTTATCTTATTGATAGATAATAATATATGGCAACCTAAAATCATGTTCTTTATAAAATACACATTTAATGTGATAGAGTTGTTTCACTGCGTATTTAGTATGTTTTCAAAGAATTGTTATAGCAGGAAAAACCTGCAAAATGGAACTTGTGGCTTTTTTTCCCCCTTAATATATAGCAATATGAAATTTGAGGTGATGAATGACAGAAAACTATGGATATTCCTCTGGCCTTTCCCACGCAAGATGCGTGTGTGCACATCCTCAAGAATGATTTTGACAGAGGGAGTACCAGCTACACGCTACATCACACTGGTGGGCACAGAGCTGCCAATGCTGGCATTCTTTAGTGTGAGAAAAATGATCCTTCCAGTTAAGTAGAGCCTCCCTGTGTCTCACAAACTGTACAAAACTGTGTGCTGCTGGCAGGTAATGACTTGCAATTAGCATGGCAGGCAGGTAATGACTTCAAAGCACCTGCCAATTGTTTCTGAGTGTTTGCTGTGTTTCAAAACTCTGGATGAGGAGGAAAGTCATAAGGGGCAGGGGCTATAAAGATGCAAGCAGAGAAAAGGGCAGGGACACAACCCAGGAATCTCTCAACAGAATGTCTCCCTACTTAGTTCTTATTTTACTCCCAGGTCTTTCCTGAGCAGCTCCAAAGAGGCATTGAGAATTGGCAGGTTGCTTTACCTGCCTGCCACTCCTACTGGGAGAGATGGTGCCTGTTGAGAAATTCTGCATTGTTTTGGAATCAAACCAACCTCCCTAGAGTCAGCCTCTACACTAGGAAATTGGGCTTGAGAGAGCAATCACGGTTCAGCTTATTTTAAAAAAAAAAACCCACGAAAAGCTTAAAGCCAGATTTTACTTCCCTGTTACAACCTACTTCTTTCTCTTTCATGAGCATGCCCCAACTTCAAGCAAAACTGTTGGTGTTGAAGCAAGAAAAATTGGGCAAAAAACCTGTGCAAAACTGAGGCTGGACCGCTTCTCTGAAGATCCCCACAAATGTTTTAGAGTAGTATTCACACACAAAAAGGCATATAGGGGCCAAGTAACATTGAACACACAGACGGTGCCTGACTTTCTATGGTTTAACTTAAGATGTTTCGACTTTACACTGGTGCAAAGACAATCCACATTCCGTAGAAGCCATACTTCGGGGTTTGGAACTTGATCTTTTCCTAGGCTAATGATAGGCAGTGCGACAATACCTCGAGATGCTAGGCGGCGGCCATGAGCCCCAAGTCCCTGTCAGTCAGCCATGCGATCACTAGGGTAAATAACTAATACTCGAGAGTGTACCCAGGCAACCGTTTTGTTTTTCACTTTCAATACAGTATTTGATAAATTACATGAGATATTCAATACTTTGCTATAAAATAGGCTTTGCGTTAGATGATTTTGCCCAACTGTAGGCTAATGTAAGCCTCTTCTGGATATGTTTAATAGGCTAGGCTAAGCTATGATGTTTGGTAGGTTAGGTGTATTAAATACATTTTTTGACTCGTGATATTTTCAATTTATGGGTTTTTTCAGGCCACAGCTCTTTTGTAAGTCAAGGAGCATCTGTATGGGAGGTGGGTAGGGAGGGTGGAAGTAGTGGCCAGCTGGACGGTAGGTGTCCTTTCTAAACTTGAACGACATCTATTCTGCTCCAGGCAATTGCTAGAATATAGGTATAGGGTGGCCAGATTTCCTAAATTCTTGAAATGAACTATAAATATGGAATTTTATGTAAAAATATTCTGATTAGCATTGAAAAGTGATTGAAAAAACATTAAATCTTAGTGTGGGTGAAACAAAACCAGTGGCTTGATTTAGGCTACAGTCTGCTAGAGGATGACAATCTCTCTTTTAAATTGTATTGTTCTATTTTCTCTCACCTTTTCTTTTTGTAATCTTTTTAGACCAGTAAAGAGAAAACAAAAACAAAAACAGAAAAACAAACAAAACAGAGAAAGACTTATACACGTAACAAGTGTTACTGGGCCTTTATGCTTCTTGAGATTGTTATGTCCAAAAGCTTGGAAAAAGATCTCTTAGGAAATTGTCCTCCATAATGTCTGCTTGGCTTTGAGTTTTCCCTAAATACTGAGGGCTTTCTTGGGCCAATATTGTGGGGTCCTTTCAAAACCTACTTTTAAAGAAGAACCTCTCCGGACAGGGACTGATTGAGTCTAACAGGTCATTGTTCAGGGGAATCAGCTGACCTGGGCTTCTCTTAGATTAGCAGTCCCATAGGCTCCAAAGAACACAGTTTAGGAGCCAGAAAGGCCTGGATTTCATTCAATTTGGGTTCTGCCTACTTACTACCACTGTGACCTTGGGCAAGACACTCCATCCAACTAAACCTCCATTTCCTCACTGGTAAAATAAGAGCAATGTACCCATCTTGTAGGTCTGTGACCAGAATTAGAGAAAAATGCTTAAGTTATGTCTTTTATTCATCTTCCATATAACACAGAAGAATAGATTGCAGTCATGGGACTCAATACTCAGATACATACTTTACATTGGTTAAAATCCAAATCATAAATACATTTTATGTTTATGTGAATTCAAACCCTCCTATGCTTTTCCAGAATTATTTGAAATGTTAGTAAGCCTTCTTTGTAAAGCTCATTTTCAGTTTAAACAGCGTCAAATAAAATCGTATTTTGACATCTGGAACACTAACACAACTAGACGATAAGTTTTTAAAAAAATGTTCAAAATTTAAATAGAGAAAAATAAATCTAGCTCCTCAATGTAAAATCTGAAGGGAAAACTTTGCCATCCTCTGATTTTTGGGCTTGGTCTATTGGACAAAATGATGAGAGTAATTTTTTAAATAATCAGGTTATTATTTTTTCACATACAGATAAGAAATCATTTAGCAGATGAAGGTTAGTAGGGGTTAGTCATGCATAAAGGAAATTTCTTAGGTTTGTATGGGAGTGGCAGCAATAAGTGAGGTTGGTCATTCTGCATGTGCCAAGGACTGGAACAAAAAGAATAGATGTCTTCCAGTAAGAGGGCCAAATTTCTAAGGTGGCTTCAAAGCATTCTAAAAAATAATTATGGCTACACTTTAGATTTTCTTTCTATGCAATTACAGCAATTTTAGAGGAGAGGTTTCTAGTTACATTACATCAAACTGAAAAGTTTTTTTTTTTTCTTTTTTCTTTTTTTGAGACGGAGTTTCACTCTTGTCATCCAGGCTGGAGTGCAATGGTGCGATCTTGGCTCATTGCAACCTCCGCCTCCCAGGTTCAAGCGATTCTCCTGCCTCAGCTTCCTAAGTAGCTGGGATTACAGGCGCTCGCCACCATGCCCGGCTAATTTTTGTATTTTTAGTAGAGATGGGGTTTTGCCATGTTGGTCAGACTGGTCTCGAACTTCTGACCTCAGGTGATCTGCCCACCTCAGCCTCCCAAAGTGCTGGGATTACAGGTGTGAGCCACCATGCCCAGTCCATAATTGTTTGTTTTTCCTTAGTTGGCTCACCTCAACCCTCCTCCCCCACCACAGAAGGCAGGTAGTAGAAAAATCAAAAACTGTTCTCTCAAACTGACAGAGAAAATTGAATCTATATGAAGGCAAAGGTGCAACTGGCCAAATTTGTCCTTCTTTCCAAATAAATTTTATGTATAGATGATTAAGCAGTGTATGGACACCTTTATCCTCTTTCTACCTGCCATCAATTTCTTATAATAAATTCTCTCTAAAAATAAGGATATTAAAATCAGTGTTACATTCAGCTGCTGGCTTTCAGTTTTTAGACTTTGATTGTTCAGTTGTATGCTAATTAAGACAAACTTCTAGCCATAAAGTTCTTTGACATATCTTTTCTCAGGGTAAAATGAATGTGGCACCTAAATAGTTTGAAAATCCAGTTTAATTTAGAAAAGGCAAAACCAAACCATAGGTATAGAGAGCTATAAGTATTATCTAGATTTATCAGTTGAATTACTTGTGCTATTTAAAGACCAGAGAAGTTCCGTTTTTAATACATTATTGTTATTTTTCTGAAATATCTGACTGTAACAGAAGGGACTTATAATAATATATTATGATTTGCTCATAGTCTGATGGCTACAGATCCTGAGATATTACTCATCTTCTTCATCTGTTTGCTTTTATGTATGTTCATCTCAGTATTAAATAGAATATTAAATGATAGATTTTTCATAAAGTAGGACTCTAATAGAATTTAAACAGGGAAATCCAAACATACATTATGAATAATTGCATATAAAAATTGCAATTCTTATGTAGTTTATCAGGATGAAAATGAAATAATAGCTCATCATCACTGTGTAAAGCCATCAGGTTTATGTGATGTTAGGAAAAATCCTCTTAAGGTCAGATAATTATTTTGTGAAATAAGCAGAATTCCCTATTATAATTTGTGAAAACTTTAAAACTAGATGAATTGATATTATGCTTCTAAAATATTTTTTTCAATTATTTGCACCCAGAGTCTTATGACTCCTTAGTCAGATTTTGTGCATTTTCTCCAAGTACATTATTTTCTTTTAAAAAGCTAGCCTCAGTGGGGCTGAGAGAACTCAAGAGGCACATACATAAATTGTCTTAATTTCTGAGAAGTGTGGGTCTGACAATCACTTAAAACAATATAGTTGATATGGCTGTCAGGACAGACTCTTTTCAAAAGAATGTTTTTATAGAATATCATCATGACACTTTGCTCAGATGGATGTCTTTAACAGTATTTGATTAATGTAACGTAATAAAAGAGATGCACACCAAAGTGTCTGTACATGTCTTGTTAAGTATGTTTGATTCATTATATGTGGTTCTCAGTTCTTTCCTCTTTCCACAGTTCACTTTTTATCATTTCAATAATATATCTATAAATATGAAAAAGTTGGCCCTTTCAAAGTCTTTGACATATATAGCTATTAATTCATAACTCTAAAAAATCGTATCTTTCAACCTGTCATTTTAAAGCTTGTAGAGTTTATTACAGCAAGTAACCTGTGTTAGAAATTAGATTTTGAACTTTAGCAAGAAGATAAATAAGCTCATGTACCTAAATGTTAAAGAAAAGATACCTAGACATAGTTCTAAGTTAGAATGATATGAAAAGATCACTTATTAAAGATTATAATTTTAAACTCCCTGAAGATAATATTAAAGTTTATATTGTTTACCAGTTTCCCACTTATTTTGTTTTCCATCTCCAGATATCAATCATTGAGCAAGCTTGTTATAAACAAAGCTCTCCAATTACAGTTCCATGATCATCTTTGTTGCAATGAGTTGATGAGTTCAACTTCATGGTTTATATACCAATGACATAGAAGGTTTTAAGTAAAAGTATTCTGATGGCATACTAATAGTAGTACAATTGAGTATCCCTAATTTGAATGTCTGAAATCTGAAATGCTCCAGATTCTGAAACTTTTGAGCACTGATAGGACACTGAAAGGAAATGCTCATTGAAACATTTCAGATTTTCAATTTTTGGATTAGGGATGCTGAACCAGCATAATGCAATAAAGGAAAAAAAAAAAAGGTCCAAAATCTGAAACTCTTCTGGTTCTAAGCATTTTGGATAAGGGATACTCAACCTGCCTTTATTTATATACACATTTTAGGTGTTACTGTTTTAACAGGGGTAAGCCCTGTATGGTAGATGCTCTTTTACTTGCATTTCACTGATGAGGAAGCTGAGGCAGAAATCACATGCCCCAGATCATACAGATGCTAAGGGGCCGAGCTGGGCTTAAAATTCAGCAGTCTGGCTCTGAAGCTCTTGAACTCCTTGAGAGAGCGCTAAACTTGGAATGTTTTCTTCGTGGTGCCTTTGGTCCTGCTTCATATTCTTTAATGCATAGGTAACAGCTTGGCTCCCTCACTTCCCACGCTCCTTTTCTTGGTTCAATTAAGCAAATCATGGCCCAACATCAGGGTAGCAAGCCTGCAGTGTTCCACGTAATGAGCTGTGACTCATGGATGATTTGGGGGTTTTGGGTGCCAGGCTAGCACATCATGTGTGAATAAGCTTGTGGCAGGGGCTGAGGGTGAGGCCTGAGGACATGGTTTATGTTGGAGCCTCGCGGTGTTCTGGGTGACTCATGTACACTCAACCGCAGAGTCATGAACCGCTTGCACACACCCAATGTCAGGTTCACTCCGAGGCTGTTCTCCCACAGCCATTTTACAACTCTATCTGTGAAAAGCACAGAACGTATTTTGACCTTTTCACCGTGGGATCCTGAAGGGGACTTAAAGAACAGCCTTCAGGTCCTGCTGGTCCCTTCCTGGGAAGACTTTTATTCCCTCGGAGCTAAGAAAGACACCTAGATGGTGCCTTCCTCTCTCTTGTGCTGCTTGGAAGGCATGGGCTTTGGGGTCAGCTAGACCCTGGGCTAGCTCTTGGTTATGTTCCCAACACCTCTGAGACCTTGGGCAACTGACTTATTGTTCTTGGACATGGCTTTCTTTGAAAACCATAAAACTTATAGAATGGGATGGGAGCATTTTAAAATACATTTATGGGAAATTAACACAGAAGACCTTGTTTAAACATTATTTTTAGTGGTCAGCCAATGGCTTCAGCTTAGGAATGACTGAGGCAAAAGCACTAATTAAGGATGGTAATTTTATTCATCTTTGTATCTGTTTAGTGTCAAGTTGTAGGAAGAGAGGGTTTAAAATATGAGCTAGTAACCCCCCCACACCCCGAGACTCTTTAAAACTATGAATAAAGTTAAGAAAACTGTGCAAGAACTAAGAGAAGGTCAAAGGAAAAGAAGCGATGGACATTGTAGGTTCGAAGCACACCAGGCACCTTCCAGGAGAGGAGAAAGTTCAGGAATGTGGCCCTCCCTGCACTGCAAATCCCTTTGTGGCCCCTTCAAGCCTCTAAGCTCTTTTACCTCAGCTCATCATTAATGCTGATCTCCCCAGGTAGGGGAGAGGAGGTGGACTTAGGAGGCTTAACTACATTGCTTAGGATTGTATATTTCAGAGACACTGACTGATGTGAGTCACACAATTATAGTTCTGAGTCCTCCTCTGTTCTTGAGTATAGAGATTGGAGAGGAAAGCTGTGTTTGTGATTTTAGAGTGCCCGGGTCAGGCACTTCCTTTTTGTATGTGTTTTGGGCAAGCCCCTTACCTTTTGGAGCCTAACTTACCACCCCTGGGAAGTGAGGGAACTGAACTTAGTGCTCTCTAAGGCCCTGTTTGAGTTTGCATGCCATTGACTCTGGACTTTTCTAAATAAACAAGTAAACTTACAGTTACCATGGAGAATGTCTGTGTCCTTGCTGATCATTGTAAATGTCCCTGATGTCAAAATGCAGGATGATAAAAAGTGAAGTTGAAAAATGAGGAAGGAGTGTGACAGGGAGTGATCTTAATCGTTTTGCAGGGTGTGCACTTTTTAGGCTGCCTAAGGGCAGAATTGAAATATATGCCTTCTGCCAGCATATTTCAGAGTCAGCCGAACTACATTTTGGTTAGGAACTACCTTGTCCAGAAAGAGAGGGGATGATAATCAAAGCAAGGGCAGTCCCAGAGCTCAGATGATCCCTTTTTCCTGGTGAAGGATATCCTTGGATGGTTGATTTTCTATTGAGCCTTTAAAAGAGAACGCTAGGCTTAACAAAGGGTCAAGAGTCCACAGCTGAGGAGGCCGAGAGGAGCCAGGGAAAGGAAGTGGTTTAAAAGACTTACTGCTATTATATTAGTAATAAATTTTTTCGAATTTATTATTGAAATTTATATATATATTTCAAAAATATACCAAAATAGAGTGAAGTGTATGATGGATCTCTACATTCCTATCAAGAGTCAACCATCAATTCATGGCCAATCTAGTCTAACCTGTATCTTCATTTAATCTTGTTTTAACAAAATTCTTTTGAGACAAATCTTGTTCAATTTCATCTGCAAATATTTCCAAAGGTATTTCTAAAATTAAGGGCCTTTTTAATTTAAAAGGCAAATGCAATAATGTTAAAACATCTAAAAATTAACAAAAAATTTTTAATTGTATTCACTAGCAAGTCAATGTTTAAATTTCTCCAATTGCCTCATATACATATTTTTTTAAAAATTTGTCTGAATCTCGATCCTAATAAGGTCCATAGAAAGCTATTGGGGAATATGTGTCTTAAGTCTCTTTTACTCTACAGGTTTCCTTCCATCTTTCTTTCTTTCTTTCTTTCTTTCTTTCTTTCTTTCTTTCTTTCTTTCTTTCTTGTGAAGAAACTAGGCCATTTTTTCCTGTGAATTTTCTGATTTTGATGATTAAATTTCTGTGTTATCTTTTGATATGTTCCTCAGTCTTTTCTATTTCCTGTAAATTGATATCTAAATGTATGATTAGATTCAATGAGTTTTTTTTGGCAAATATATTTCATACATGTGTCATGTATTCTATTAGGAGACAAACAATGCTTGATAGTCTCTTTTTTGTGGTATCAGTAGCCATTATTAATCATTGTCCAGATCCCTTAATTCATTAGAGGCTGCAATACAATATATTCATTCTATGAATATAATTCCTTTTAATCTAGTAGTTGTAATATTTCTAGAAGAAACTTTTCCTGTTTGATTACACTGAGGAAATATATGTTCATTATATTATCTGTATGTAAAACCCAGGCTAAATACTGGATTTAACCCCTCATTTCCAGTTTCAGCCTATTTTGCAGCCTTCTTCAGAAGTGACCAATGATAGCTGTGTGTGTTTTAAATTGTATTTTTTTGAATGCATGGACTTAAAAATATTTAGCCTGGAAATTTTCGAGTCAGATGAATATAGGTTTGAGCTCTGGCCCTGCCTGTTACCTCAGAGAGTCTTTCCCTTTCTTCTCATGGCTAAAGCCTAGTCACTTTGGGCTCTCATGGGTCTTCTGTAGGGAAGCTTTCCTTAACTTTCCTGAGAAGGGCAAATGAATCTCTCTGAGACTCAGTTTTCTCATCTATAAAATAGGGGCCATACTACTGATGCCATCTGACATAGTTGTGAAGATTAAGTGAGATAGTGAGTACAGAACCATCCATTATAGGCATTCAAAGTTCTCCACTTTTATTGTTATTTTGTATCTAACAACTTTGGACACTTAACTCCTGTGGTGAATTGTTTTGCTATTATCTCTATCTTGAAAGTATTGTTGGAGAAACAATCATGAAAAAATATTTTTCTACTTCTGTTTATGAAGATGCAAAGTCACATGGCAAATTATCAATATTTTTTATGAAGATGCAAAGTCACATGGCAAATTATCAATATCTAAAATGTTCTGAAAGGTGGAAGAGAAAGAAACAGTATTCAAGAGTCTTGTCCCAAGGTGTTGTGGGGGAGACAAGGTAATAATTGAGAACTATATATAAAAATAAGTACAAAGAATTATATGAAGCAATTAAATCTGATGGGCTGGATGGACTTACTTACGTTAGGGAAGGGTGTCTAGGTACATTGGATTCAAAAGCGGAGGAAGAAACTACTTTGGAGGAGTCTTTGTGAGTGGAAGGGAAATCCTGAAGTTAGGGTTGGTCTCCTTCTCAAAAAAAGGAAGTTGTTGCTTTAGGAGGGTTGACTAAATACCCTGACAATACTCACTTGACTAAAAATATCTCTTCCATGGGCTTGAAGTCCTAAAGCCAGAACCAGAAGCGTAGCTTGTTCCTGCTGCACACCGTTCTGTGTTCCACCTCCGGAATCTTGCCCAGGCTTATCCTTCCTCGGGAATGTCCTTCTTGTTTGCCTTCTTCACCTGCTTACTCCCACTTATTTTACACGATGCCAGGAGTCAGGGCTTTAGAGGGTCTTTCTCAGTCCCTTCCTTTACTGCACCATTGGGGTAGGGCCTCAGTGACGTTTTCCCATCTTATCCTGTACACGTTCCCATCACAGCATTCATCATACTGCTCATATCCACTGACTTCTCTGGACTCCAAGCACCACAAGGGTAGAGACTCTCTTAATCTTCTCTGTAACCTCAGCACAGTGGCCAGCACATATGTGTGCTTAAGAAATAATAAATACAATAAATTTGTAGCTGGGTGCAGTGGCTCTTGCCTATAATCCCAGCACTTTGGGATACTGAGGCAGGAGGAGTGCTTGAGCTCAGAAGTTTGAGAGCAGCCTGGGCAACATAGCAGGACCCCATCTCTACTAAAAATAAAAAAAAATCAGCTAGGCATTGTGGCCCGTGCCTGTAGTCCCAGCTACTTGGGAGGCTGAGGCAGGAGGATCACTTGAGTCCAGGAGTTGAAGGCTGCAGTGATCTATGATTGTGACACTGTACTCCCCCTGGGCAGCAGAGGGAGACCCTGTCTAAAAAAAGAAAGAAAGAAAGAAAGAAAGAATAAATGGGTGATTGAAGTTTTACCCGTTTATTTGTAAATTTAAATTTGGACAAGTTACCCGGAAGTGTAGACCAGTAATGTGTTAACACATGAACCTAAATGAGTTATCTGGTTGACTCCTTTATAGGAGCAGGAACAGGGTGGTGGTGAGTTAGCATGGGCCAGCAAGCTGGTTTGGGGGCAGGTAGGCAGAACAGGCTGGCTTTCAGTCCTGGCTGAGGCAGGTTTGAAAGAGCAAAGGTGAATGGCCTGGATTGTATTATTCTTATTCTTGTTTTCCTAGTACTGCCCTTGGGTGAAAAGTGGGAGAAAGTAAGAAGTGTTTAGGGAACAGCAATTAGCCTTTTGGATTTTCTTGGCTAGATTGTGGAAACTGAGCAGATGCAAACCATATAGAGGTTAGATGGGCCTGGATGATTGCTGGGGAGCTTTGGAAACACAGCCATGTGACAAGGTTACATGTAGACATGTCCATCTTAGGAATGCATAGTAGTCTGTCCAAGAAAAAGCCATTTGATATTAGTGGGGTGTTTTGTATATTTGCACAGAAAACTTGCTCATTTATCGTTCTTAAAGCACTCAGTTATTTGCCTAAGGAAGATGCCTTTTCACATAAACAACGGTCTACCTGGTATCAGAATTTCTCAACAGATAAGACACCCTTGTGCTCAGGAAGTAACTTCTGCAGGCAGATAGCATACCAAACTTTTATTGTTAATATGGGAAGAAAGGCATGCATCAGAATAACAGGAAAACCTGCTCTTGTGTGTTTGCACCTGAGGAGGGGGAGGGGACACCATTTTTATCAGGCACACTAAAAGCAGCCGTTCATTCTTGCAAGATGGACTGTTCTAGATTTTGTTGCTTTATGAAATTTTTGGTACACAATTTAAGTAAGTTTTTGGCACAATTTAAGTAAAACCCAGGATTATTTCAGACAGTTAGAAATGAACAATAGCATGTTTATCATTAGAATCGGACTCTCCTTGTTATATTTCATAGGGTTTAGCACTTGTCTGTTAATACCCATCTCACTAAATGTCTCCATTCATAACATAGGTTTTCTTCCCCTGGGTGAAGGGATGGGGAGGAGTGAATCTTTTTCTAATTTCTTTTTCTTCCATCATGTTTATATGTATAAAATTTCACAGACCAACATTTTCTAGAACCTCTGTATTCGCGGAACAAGTTCCTTTAAATACAAAGATTTCTAAGTGACATTTTGACTTCTGATTTACATGAATCTTAGTAAGTTATGCCAAATAAACTCTTAAATTATACTGAGTAAGAAGTCTGATTAAGAAGTTTTTCTTCTCAAAAGGAAAATAAATGTTTTCAATTCTTTTTAAAATAAGTTTTTGTGTTTGGCAGTGCCTTGGTCTCACAGCAGTAAAGAGATTAAGTAAAATGCTAACTTGTAGTAACTCTATATTTTTAAATTTCTTATCCTAAAAACTAATACAGAGATAATTCCTGAGAAACCTCATTTCCCTGGCAAGTCAATAGCTTACTTTGCTTCTTGTTATTTGCTTTTAACAGTGACAGGGATTTTTATTCTTTTTTTTTCCTTTTCTTTAATTTGCAGAGTCAATTAAACTGCTTAACCAAATAGATCTTAATAGTGTTGATAGATTCTTATTATATTCCTGTCATAATTATTTTTTAAAACTGGCAGGAAGCCTTCAGTATTCAACATCATTTACGACCTCAGTGAATGGTCATGTAAATGGACAATTTGCAGAAATTCCAGCTGGGGTTAACCTTAGAACAGGGTTGTTCCAATATAAAGCTGCTGGCTTCCTTTACATTATTATGGATTTCTGTTTGTTTTCTTTTTATTTTTGGGCAGGCTTCCCCTGAGAAGTTTAGATGGACGATTTAAGGGAGGTGTGTTTTTAGGAGGACTTAGTGGTGATATTGGAAAAATCTTAGTGAAATGACAGCCGAGGTCATTATAACATGGCCTTGAGTCTCATAACTCGGGAGGAAGTAGGTAGGAGGTGGTGGCAGAAAGGCAAAGATACTGAGGTGTTTCTAACACGGGCACAGGAATATGAGGCAATAATAGAACATTACTAAAGTTCTCCTCTAGAATGAGTCATTGACAAATATAATTTGAGGCTTTAGGCAGCCCCAAGAAAATATCAATTTCTATGATTTTTATAAACTTACACTTTGGAAAGGTTGGCAAATTGATAGACAATGAATAAACGCATTTAGAATTCAAAGTTGACATTCATATTATGGCCTCAATTTAGCTAGGTGAGATATTTAGTGACACTTGGATGTCTTTCCAAGGGTCAGATTTGTTAAAACATTATGCTAAAACAATTTGAGAGATAACTTTAAGTATTCTAGGCTTAACTAGAAAGCAAATTTTGCATTACAGTTCAGGAGTAGATAGTAACTTTGCAAACCCAAATCAAGAAATCTAACCACATTAAAGAAATGGATTTTGTTGTAAAACTAAAATGATTACATACTATATTTCTTAACTTAATGAGGGAGAAATGTACCTCTGGTCTAATAAGCTCCATATTGTTAAATGTCAGTGTTAGCATCTCTCTTCATCAGTGTTATCCAAAATTTAATGCTAATATTATTTTACTGAATCTGTGAAGAGATTGTACTATTTTTCTTTTCTTTCTTTCTATTTTTGGAGGTTGGGGTGTGTGGAGGGATGGTGTTTCAAAGTTTGGTGTTGAGATTGTATGTATTTCCAAAGAGTAATACTGAAATAGGTTGTGAAATTATAACCAGAGTTCTACATCCTCAACTCTTTATATTCAAGAAGTTTTGCCATTTCAAAGAAAGATGAGAAGTTTTAAAAAAAAAAATTATGACAGGACTGTAGTAAGAGTCTATCAACACTATTAATATCTATTTGGGTAAACAGAGAGGCAGATACCTTTTCCCACATGAACTATTTTTTGATCAGTATAAAGTATGATAAAATATGAAAAAAAGCAAAATTCAGGATACTTTTGTAGGTAGACACGTCAGATATTATATAAAATTAGCTTAAATATTCAAACACTGTAAAATGAGAGGCAGATAGGATATCGTCTCCAAAGAGGACATGGTGAAAACGATACTTTGAAATGATAAATAGTCAAATATGGGCATAACTTTTTCATATTAGAGAAAACTTATTGCCTAGACAAATGTAGTAGTAGTGTGTATTTTACTTCTAAGAATTTAGTGACTAAAGTACAATGCCCTCCCCATCATGTTCTCATAATAAAAGCTCATATTCTGTGAACATTTTACACTTTTTTTGAGATGGAGTCTCCCTCTGGCACCCAGACTGGAGTGCAGTTGTGCCATCTCGGCTCGCTGTAACCTCTGCCTGCTGAGTTCAAGCAATTCTCCTGCCTCAGCCTCCTGAGCAGCTGGCATTACAGGCACCTGCCGCCACGCCCAGCTAATTTTTGTATTTTTAGTAGAGACAGGCTTTCACCATGTTGGCCAGGCTGGTCTCAAACTCTTGACCTCAAGTAATCTGCTGGCCTCGGCCTCTCAAAGTGTTGAGATTACAGGCGTGAGCCACTGCGTCTGGCCTACACTTTTTAATTCTCTGATTTCATGAAGAGTTCTTAACTCCCCCCAGCTAATGCTAAAAATGTGTCCTGGTTCTTACACGGCACTGCTAGTAACGTGGCAACCTGAGACTGTTCCCAGGCTCAATTCACAGGAGCCCATGTTCAGCGGTTATTTAATAGCTTTGAAATGCCATTCACCTGTGGCCCATTTCAAGTTTCCCATGATTCTTAGGAAGACCCTGGCCTCCATCTTGAAAACGGAAAATAAAAACAGCAGACCTATGAAGGTCGAAGGGGAAGAAAAGCTGTATCGATTGTTGAGATCTGGCGACTTGTTTAAATTTCATCAGCCTCACTTCTATGAACTCTCAGGTAAGCACTCTATTGATTTGTAATTTTCCTGCAAACTTTATAAAGCAGAGGAAAATGGCCGACATGGCGAAGTGCTTGGTTAGAGTCCAAGCTGCGTGTTGGTAATTAGCTCAGGGAGGGGGGGAAAAGGAGAGTCAGGCAGTTTGCTGGAAGTTTGAGTGCAAATTTGACAAGGCAAGGAAAATGGATTGCACTCCAGTGAGAGCTAGCTTAATACTTGAATTCAGAAAACTCCAGAGTTCCTCCTTGTTGAGTCCTGCAAATAAAGAGGAGGGTAAGAAAGAAGCGATTCTGAAAGGGAGGGGGGTCGGAGAGTAAACTGAAAATTTCCATGGAAATAGCCGGTTTTTTTTTTTTTATGACTTTTTAAAGCCACTTTTAAGCTATTGCTTTCAGTTTACTTCAATGCACTCACTGAAGTAAGCTGAGAAAGAAATCTTTGATATGCCAGATCAACCAAAAGTTTTAAAATATTCTTTTGTGTCTCCATTTATAATGCAAATAGTAAGTTGGTGTTTTGGGTCCATTTCACCATGGTCTCTGAAGTGGGTTAACATACACAGAATGAGGAAGTGGAGGGAGTCCCAAAGAGAGCACATCTTTGATAGTTCAATAATAATAAAAAAATGTATTTAGGTCTTTTCTAAATACCTTTCACCTCCTAAGAATATAAAACATGAGAGGAAGTTCTAAGAAGAATAAATTGTGGTTGCCCTCTATGTTAGCTGAGTGACTAAAGATATCGTATTGTTCTATGAATTATCCACTACTTAAATATTCCTTAAGTCTAGCCTTTATGAGCTCATAAAAAGACTTTGCTTATGTGTCTAGGAAAGCCAGTATCTTTATATGCTGTCAGAACTGAATTTAACATACTGTTTCAATATAACTTTGAAAACCAGCAGATATTTTGTTATAGGAAAGCAAGCTAGGCAAGCACCTTAAACCCATGTTTACATTTTAGTTTTATCAAACATAAATATTTCCTAGTTGGAATAGTTTTAAAAAGTGGTAATCTATGCTTGAGAATGATGGAAGGAGACGGAATTCTGGTTGAAATAGTATTGCCACTGTAGTGTTTTATTCATGAGAATCTCCAATCTTTTTTCATATATGCTAAAAAAGCCAAAATTAATTAATGTCAGAAACACAAATGAGGATTGGCAATGATCATCCATCCATGCTGGGGGAGGCAAGGCTGGGCGTTCTGTATGGTATAAACTCCAGATTCCGCTTCCTCACTGAGCACCTCTGTAAAGCCTCCCGTGCATTTGGAAGCTTCAGAATTTCTTCTGGGCAACCAAAGTCAAATATAATTTTTGACAAATACCAACTCCTCCCTCAATGCAACCAAGAGCAATAATGTTTCAGGAAGCTCCAGCTGAAGTGTTAGTAATAACCATCAAATAAACAGAAGTTTTACCATCTTCTGTTTCATGATTGAGCTTTTTCAAATGTAAACAATTTATAAGGAAAAAAGTGGGCCATGTCGGATATGAGAAACAGAGAAAAGTTTGGTGGGAAAAATCAGAGGCATTCTTTATCAGGAGATAGAGTTAGGACATGCCTATGATTGCACACTGTTTGGGTATATTCTTGTATTCATCCTTCCTCTCGGGTTATAAGTACCACTTTTTCTTCCCCTTCCTTCCCTTCTCATTCTCTCTTGGGCATGGGCATGACTTCTCTTACCTTTGCCTTTCTCTGGGACCTCAGTTGACAGCTCTGTCACACTCACCTTCTCTTCTGCCCAAGCTGCTCCCCCTACCCTTCTCCCACTTGGGCTTGCTGAGGAAACCACTGCTCCCCAGGCGCCCTGAGTGCCTCAGCTTTACCTAGGTACCTCCGGTGTATATTTCTTAATGGCTATATTTTAGGAGCGAAAAAGTTTCCCAGTGACCCCCTTTCATTTGTTGTCTGACCTGAATTAAGCTGCACAACTCTGATTAGAGACAAATCTTTCTTTTTCCACACTGTTGCTCTTTCTGCTGTCTCATTTAACACAGCTGGTATAAAATGCTAGAACTATTTAGCATAACAAGACCTATTTGCAAAAATGATGAGAAAATACCATAAAAAAGGCCAGAAATATATCCCCTGTAGGAGATGCTATTGTTACCCTGCTTAGATACGCTTCAGTGGCTGGTACTTGCTTCCCCCCTGCCTCCTGCCCAAGCTGCTTTGAGTGTGGCTGGTGACCTCATAGCTGCCTTCTTCCCTGGAGACTTGTCCTGTGGCCAATGACTGACAGGGATAGGGGTCAAGGTAGGGGGGAGCTGACAAAATGCTAGCCTCTTTACCTCAAGGTAGACCTAATGCTGTGGTGTGATTTGTGCTCCAGAACTTCCGGATCAACTGATGCTAGCCTCCAGCTGAGCCCACACTTGGTCAACATTCTTTCCCTCTCATCTCCTCCCCTTCTCCTTAGAACACTCCCTCAGTAAATCACTTGAACCAAAATTTTTACCTCGGGCCCTGTTTCTAAGGAATCTCACCCAAGACATATATTTTTTTTAAATTAAAAAGAAAACCTTGGAATTATTTGGCTAAATCTTAATATACATGAAGTGACCAAAGATGGAATTGGTATTGATCCAAAACACTAGATTTGGCAAAAATGGCACAAAAACTTAAGATATTTCATAGCAAAACTTAAGAACTAAAGAGATATTATCTTTTGCCTCATTAGAAAGGGAATACTTTTTGAGGAGTTGCAAATATTTAAAATGTTATTAGCCTGGAGAAAATCCATGAGTAGGACTGCAGCAGTCTCCTTATTACTTACATTATGACTGGTTTTATAGTTTCCAAAGTAAGTTTCAATTTCATGACCCTGAGTCAATCTCATGACAATAATGACAAACAGGGATACTTATTAGCTGCATTTTCCACATATCAAGATTTTGTCCCAGAAAGCTTAAATGGCTTGATTATGTCTCACAGTTATTAAGTACCTAGCCCGTAGTTGGTGCTCAAACCCAGGTTTCTGTGAGAAATATGAGGGAAGATTTGCTGATTAATTTAAACCAAATTCTTACCTTTATCTTAGATGGAGTTTTCATAATTCTGTTATTAAGTCTATTAGGGTTGCACTTGTGATATACCTACTGATCTAGACTTAATCTTGGTCAAAGTTGTCATTTTCCTATTAAATGTGTGTATTAGTTATCCATTGTTGCATAACAAATTATCTTAAAACTTAGCAGTTTAAGACAACGAGCACTTATTATCTCATAATTTCTGTGGGTCCAGAATCAATAGGTAGTTTAAGTGCCTCTATCTCAAGGAATCTCACACAGCTACAATCAAGGTGTTGGCCAGGGTTGTGGTCTCATTTAAAGCCTTAGCTGAGGAGAGACTAGCTTCTAGCTCAGTCAGTCAGTTGTTAGAAGGATTTGATTCCTTGGGAGCTTTTGGACTGCAGGCTCCATTTCCTCACTGGTTACTGGCCAGAGGCCTTCCTCAGTTCCCTGGCATGTGACTCTTTCCATAGGACAGCTCACAGTATGGCAGCTGACATTCTACAGAGTGAGCAGGTGAAGGAAAGAAAGAAAAGGTAAGGTGGAATTCAAAGCGTTTTTGTTACTTGATCTTGGAAGTGAGAGCCCGTCAATTTTGCTGTATTCTCTTGGTAAGAAGTGAGTCACTAGGTCCAGCCCACACTCAATGGGAGCGTATTACACATGGACATGCATACCAGGAGCCAGGGTGTCCTGGGAGCCATTTTAGAGGCTGCCTATTGCAGTGTGTCTCTTGGCTTCCTCATCTACAGGGCCCTGCAACTTGATCCAACCACTGTTTTCTGTATAAGGAAGTACTGGATTATTTTCAATATGTTAATTTCATGGGTTTAGGCATATGTGCTGTAGTTTAATGCGCTTCTCACTTGTTCTTCCTCCCACCCACTCTTCAATTTCTCTTCTCCTTTTGCTCTTCCTTTCTTGCTTCCTCTGTCCTCCTGCTTCTAACTCTACTCACTTCTCTTTCAAGCTCCCTGTTTTCTCTCTCCTCCCTTCTCATGCTCTCATGGTCACCTTCCTTTCAGAATCCAAATTCTCTGTGTCTGTTCCTGCTACCATGGCCCTTGTTGCTCCTCCATCTGCTCACAGGGACCATGGCCAACCGGCAATTTTAGATGCTGGCTCTTAAGTTTCTAAAGAAAATGATTCAATTCAACTCTTGGGTCTAGTCTTTCTACCAAGTTCCTCTAGGAAGATGACACCATGATGAAGTGAGACAAAGTGTTTTTTATAGAACATTGAAAATCCTGTTTTAGAAGTTGGGGGGAGGATTTTTTTTTCTGTATTTCTCTATGCATAATGTCAGATCTGAATTATATCTAGTGTTGTCTTGTGTGTTTTATGTTAAATTATTTTAAAAGATAAGATGATGAGAATGATGATGATGATGCAGGCTAAAGTACACCATCATATCACTTATCTAAAATTAGTTGTTTAATCCTGATGGTAGTGACTGCAACTTTTATCTCTATTTCCAGTATCTAGAATCATCTGAATGAATAAATGAATGAATGAATGAAGCACTATAGCAGAACTAAGTAGATTGGATAGGTTGGCTATTTTAGCCATTGAAGGTAGAGTAGAAATGGTTTTCCCAAATCTTATGTGAAATCCAGGGAAAATATTACTAGTATCTCTATTTGTATTTTTCAGCAATAGAAGATGCTGTCAAAGAAAGAAGACAAATTTGACCCAGCAGAGAGCACATTTCATATGTGGGATTAATGTGCAGTAATTAGCCTGTTTTGGTCTAGGATGACTGATAGTGATTCCATGGCCCATTTTCCTGATATTAGGCAAAGGTTCTTGGGGCAAAAATGTGATTAGAATATGTTCAACTTGATGACATGTATGTTAAAGCTATCGGCACATACCAACCAATTTTATTGCATGACCTATTGCTAGAAAACATCAAAAGTGGAGGTCAAATCATTTGAAGAATAGTTGTTTAGTGAGTTAGAATGAATGAAGTCTTTAGTGAATGCTGGCATCAAATTCTGTCCTAGTTTGTTGCTTGTCATGCCCTATTCTCCATCTGGGATGCCCCAGGCACTCTTTTTGGGGACACTTGACCTACCAGTCATATTTCAGAAACTACTGATTTGGTGCTTGCTGATTGAGTTTAGACTCCAAGGAGTCCGATTGCTGGATTACATACAGACTAATGACCCATCAGTCGCTAAAGGCAAAAGCTTAAAGTGCACTAGTGAATTAAGCCATAGCATTGTCGGAAAGGAAGAATTTATTATGTCATTAAACTTGATTCAGTAAGTTTTGCTTCTTTAGATACACTTCACTGAGGGAAATGTAAGAAATTAATTAGAAACGAGTGTTATCGTTTTTCTTCCACTTTCCCAGGTAAAGGATATTCACGTGAAATTAAGAGACAGAGTATTTCATTGGGATGAAAAGAGAGCCATTAAAAGGAATAATAAATTGTGAAAACTGGGCATGACTGCCCAGCCAGCCATGTACTTGTAAGTTCAGAGACTGTGCGTCAGCTGGTAAACACAGAGGAAAACCAGGCTTGCCTAATTTGATGACACCCTGGGTGAAGTTTTCAGGACTTTGCATACAATCTCAGAGACTCATTGATATAAAGATGTCAGCAGTAATCATGGTTGATGCTTAGAATTAAATGTGAAACTTAGAATGGGCACAAAATGGAGATCACAATGGAGGTTTTCTGCTTCAAATTTAGGAATTATAATGATACACAGAATATTCTCTTAATGTGAAGATTACCATAAGACATAAAAATGTAAGCCATTTGTTGTTGAATCTTTCTACACATACCTCATGGTTGCTTTATAGCAATAGATAAAATGTTTATAAATGGTAACGAGGATAATTGAGAAAATTGTGGAGTGTTTGTACCTTTTGTAATTTATCAGAGTACTCTGACAATCCTCTCAGGCATTCTAAAATGAATCTCTGTTATAGAGGTAAATGGTAAAAAAAAAAAAAAAAGAATACATCATATCTATAGTGTCAGTTCTAATAATGGAGGGACTTTTAGTATTTATATTCTAGGGAACAAAATATACTTTCTGTTAGTAATTATGCAGTGGGATTAAAGAACAGATACTGGTCATTGTTTTAACTGAATACATTCCATAGCATATGACTTATGTCAAATAAAAGAAAATGAACTACAAGGGAGGTCTGTGTCCAAGGGACTATTTTAGTTTCATTAGAATTCTGTCCTATCACAGGATATGCAATATTCTATGCTCCAGATGAACATAGAAACAATAAGCAAAGCAGATTTTTTTTCTTTCATTCACTCCTAAAAGGTGATGGCTTTTTACAATTTTACAAAGTAAGGATTTTAAAGTCCATCTGATTTGGAATTTTCTCTTTTTTTCCTTCTTTCCTGCCTCCCTCTCACCCCATTTTCCTTTCTCCCTCCCACTCTCTTTCGTCCCCCCTCTTGCTTGCTCTCTCATGATGGAGTCACAAAGGTTATTTTTATTTTATTAGTAAAATTATTTTAATCTTGAACCATTACTAAGAATAACAGACCAAAACATCTCCCCTTCTAGTTATTCAATATTCTTAGTAATGCAAAGAATATATATAATATTAGCTTTTCCTTAGGATGTTCCCAAATTTAAGGTAAGACATACTTTGGGAGGAAAGAAAAGCTGAGGCGGAAAATTTGTCTGCTCTTGGTAGAGCTCCAATCTCCCCCAGAGATACTCCTTCACCCTCTCCCCAACCCCCCGCCCTGTGCCATAATTCCAGGATGAACATCTGGCTTGATTTCTGTGTCAACTACTTCTTTGCCAAGAATAGAAGGTTATAAAAAGAGGTTACAGACCAAAGTTACCATGGCTGCCCACAGAGATTTCCTAAAGAACCACTAGGGCCTACTAGGGAGTGTCAAAAAGGAAAACAGTTTCCACTCATAAATACCATTTAAACATCTTCATGTATTAGAGAAACTAGGTTTTAATTCATATGTTTACACTTGTGTTCTTTATACCTACCTCGCTGAATTTATTGTGGGGGTTAATTGCATAAATGCATATAAGCTCTTAGAAGAGTGCAGGGAAAACCACTCTATATTCTCTTTCTTTTTTCCCTTCTCCTTCCCTCCCTTCCTTCCTTTATTCTAAGTTCAGTGCTTCTCAAATTTTAATGTTCATAAGACTGATCTGGGGATCTTGTTAAAATGCAGATATTAAGCCAGTAGGTCTGGGGTGGGCTCCGAGATGCTGGATTTCTAACAAGCACCCAGGAGACCTCACCCATGAATGGCAACCATTTAGGTAGTGACTTACCTGGTGGTTTAGTTACAACAGTGTCATTAAGTCTGTAAGGTTTTAGTTATGATTGGGTTATGGTTGTCTTTTACTAATGGTCTAGAGGCCTATGTACGAAAAGTTGCACAATATTATTTTATATGTTTCTTGACCGTAAACTCATTTGCAATCTTAAGGATTATGTGATGCAGCATAGGAATAACTGTAAAGTGTAATCCATGATGTAAAGTCTACCCCATAACTCCTCCAACCCTCCAGGTGATTCTTATTATCCTTTGGGAACCATTGAGGTACTTGGGAGAAATGGGTGCTCTGTGAGAGTAAAAGTTTGTTTTGTAAATTCAAAAAACATATTCGGTTTTGGCAAATTCAAAAACATATCTGGTTTTATTAAAAGAAAGTGTTCACAATGAAGCCTAATTGGTACCTCTCTGAGAAACCTCTTAAGGATTTTACTGCAGGGAAGGTATTTAGTGAAATCCAGGTGCTCTCCTTGATCAGCAATAGGTAGCTGCTGGAACATTGATTGCACTGTTATTCATCCTGGCACAAGCTGTGACCTGCCAACCAGTGTTGCCTGTACTGTTTATTTCAGGTACTCGGTTGTGAATATTATGCACAAGCCTTTTCCCTTTACAAGATTTTCATCCGTTTTTCTTACTATGTTGCACATATCCTTAGATATCAGTAGGAACTTATCACTCTGATTTAGCATCTTTTCTTGCATTGCACTTTGTCTTTCACTTGATTCTCTGTAGCCCCAGCTTGACTGTACTGGTTGCTAATATAGGGACAACTTAATTTGGAAAAGCAAACCAAATAAAACTTGTGAAACAACAGCATTTTTTGGTCTGATCCTGCCTCTCTAATGATCAGTGACTATAGAGAAAATCCATGTGGAAATTAAGATTTCAGAATGATTCCCTTCTGGAAAAACAAACAAGCAAACAAACTAGCATTGCAAAGATAAAGAGAAAAAATCCATCAGCTCTACTACCTTTTTTCTGAGTGTCATATCCTTAAATTTGCCTTAAGTATATTATTCTATGGCCAATCCCCCTACCAGCTAATTATTTCAAATGACCGTGATGGAGATATGGATTTTCCTATCATCTGTGTATTTTTCACTATGCTAACAGCTCACTTATCCCGGGATGTGGATCAAATATAATCAGAAGATTGTCGTAAATAAGGAAGCAGCTACAATGCATATGTCTCGTGCATGTAATAGACTTACGTACCTCGTTCATTGACAGCAACCATAGACCTTCACTCATTAAGAGTTTAGTTTTCTAGCTTGGGTATCTGGTTTCCTGGCTAACATTATCGTAGAAGCAACAAGTTGGAAGAGAATAAAGATTGCTTTTAGAATAGCTTGCTTTATGAGTAACATGGCAGCTTCTGGGAAGGGAGAAGATTTTTTGAAAAGCCTGCAAAAAGACACAAAAATGGAAAAAGAAATTGTAATCTTAAGTATTTGCTCTGGAGGCAAATGGCTGGCTATATATCGGGGCTATATTACAATGCAGTTCAATCATTAATGGCCATAATAGTGTTCTAGAATAATTAAGACAGGCTAAACTTGTCCATGATTTATTCCTATTTTGGGAACTAGGACATTTACTATATAGTCTTAAAACACTTCTATACAAATTGTTTTTAAAATGTGATAGAGGGTTTATTTTTTAAAGAAATGGATCTTTTTTTGATGCTGCCAGATAAATCAAGCATTAATGTGTTTTTAATTTAAATTTTTTTCAATATAAAGAATAGAATGGATTATGAGTGAAAGACGTTTAGAAGATTCAGTTCCACGAGCGTTTCAGTTTTTTATTTATATTCAAACTTTTGTGGAAAAGTAAATCTTATTCTTATCCTGGGAATGGAGAAAAATGGAATTAGGGAGGAATTCTGACTCAAAGTTGGAGTTTTCAAACCCACACATCAGCAAACCTGACAGGATTTGTGAGTTAATATTTATCCTGCACCTTGATACCTTCGGATGAAAAGTACTACGCAAATACCAAGCCCTGTAGACTCTGTGGAATTTTCAATCCTTACAATTTTCTAACAGCAAACCACCCAAGGGCTTGTTGGAGAGGTGGCTTCTTGTGCAGAATCACAACAGCATTGGTTTATGCTGGTGACAGTTCTTACCTGTTTTCTTTCTCAGACTATAGCTGAAGTTTTAGATCACCAGTGATGTAAACTATTTTTTTTCTTCAGAATATTTTGGCAGAAACTTCAGGTATGAATAGCCTGAGTAAAAAATTATTTGTAGTCAAGTCCCATGAATTCTATAAATAGAGTCTATACCACCTGGCATTGGTTACATAAAACTCAAGGTTTGGTCTTGCCACTAGTGCCTGACTCTAGCAGTAGCTGCCTCTCTGCGGTGGGTCTCTGAGATGTGCACTAGGCCTTTCTTTACCTGTCGAGCTCAGGCAAGGGGAGGCTGCTCTAAAGAATCTTTATAAGCTGGTGCTATTATGGAAAGAGGTGTTTATTTATTTACATTGTTTTTGTTTAACTGGAAGATAATCCATAATATACAAGCGCAGCTCAGAAGGCAAAATAGTACAGAAGAAATCTTTCTTACTTCTGCAACAGTTGCATTAGTTATGGTCTATTATATGTTTTCAGAAATCCAGCATTTTAATGACCACAGTTCAACAGTTTAGGAAGTAGCCCATCAAACACTGAAGCAGTGAATTTTGTTAGCTCTCTCATAGAAATAGGATGTAGAATTACCCACTTCAGTAAGTAAAAAATAAACTAATAACATTCTCTCTTTCTCTGTCTCCCTCACACACACACACAGTCTTACACATTCACAAACATACTGGTTCTTGCCCCAAACTTCCGTAGAAAACAAAGTTTAAAATTCTTATGAGAAGGGACTAATTTTTTAAAAGTTAGATTAAGACAATAATGAGCTGATATTAATAAGTAATTGATAAGTTAATAGTGCTTGCATAGATACAGAGGTTTAAAGACTTTCCCAAAAATGTAAATACCAATTCCAACTGTGTCCCTGTTTCAGGCATTGCACTCTTCTCCCCACCCCATGTCAGAAACAGAATTATTTTCTCCTTCAGACAAAAAGAGTTTCTATACATGTCAAAATACAAGAAATAGATATTGGGAAGCTTCAGGAAACCAGGAAGAATAATTGTTATAACAGTTAACCTAATGTGTAGTATATGGCAAATACTGCCCCAGTCTCCCCCTCACACCTCCTCATCCTGTCCCTCACCCCACCTGGAATCATACACACAAATGCAGAGTATTTTTGTTGTCTTTGCTTGAGGGTACCCACAGATCATGATCCTTTTTCTGACTACAACTTTTGAAGTGTTTTACTTTCTCCCTGAAGATTTTTTTCCCCCAACACTATTTGCATATAGAGCAGTTGGTCTTTCAGGCTGTACTCTATATTGTTGTCTCTGAATCTTTCTAACATTGCAATGCTAGTTGCTGAAGCTTGGAGTTGCCCAGGTGGTAGTTATTAACTGACGTGTCATGGTTCATGGTGAACAAGCTAGGTCAACAAACTTGTTTTTCATCATGGCTGGTTTTAATTTGAAAGGAAGCTTGTTACCTATTTGATAATGCTTCACTGAAGTTCACCTATTTCAGGTAGATTAATAGCTTGTTCAGGGATGAGGAGCCCAGGGGCCCTGTTGTAACCATGTGCTGTAAGTTCAAGGTTCAAACTTCAGAAAGTATAAAAGTCCTTGTTTTTCATCTACCTATTTGCCAGTGCATGCCTCAGTGAACTTTTATACTTGGTAACACTTGAACAATCACAGGTTTGGTACCTTATAGTCATATTAGAAGCTGTGTTATATAATTAAGAAAGAGATGTGCCCTGTTAGTACTTTCCAGATTGGAAGACTTTTCAATTTTGAAGAACATGGAGTTGGTGGGGGTTTAAAAATTATATATATATTCCTGATCATTCACTAGGAAGAAGATTAAATTCTCTCTAAGGTGAAATGTTAAATTCCAGACAAATTTATAAACACTATAGGTAAATATTAGATTGAAGCAAATAGATGAGAAAAGGCTGTTCATGTCTGGGCCAATTCACAATGGTGACAGATCAATAATTCCTAAAAATGAATGTCTATAAAACACATTTATACTACATTTTAAAATTTGTAGTATTTACTGAAAAATTTTCTTCTTTTTAGAAAGGGGAGTTTTATCACATTTGTTTCCTTTAAGTCATTGATGCAATAGATCAGTGGGCATGAAAGGCATATCATCTGGCTCTATCCATCTGAAGAAGAAAAAAATTCAACCTTATAGTGTGATTCTTATGAATTTCAATGTAGCTGAAGTTCCCACTCAGATTTTGCTCCTGAAGCATTTAAATTCAACTCTACTATTTGAAGATTAGACCATTAGACCACAATGGAAATATGATGTCTCTGTACTGAGAGCAGGTTGGCAGTCTTTTAAATTGATAGGTTTCTAAAGAAACTCTCCATTTAAAATAAGGAGCTGATATTTGGATCTCCTAACCAGTCTGAAATGTAGTTTACCTACATAGATTGGCTATCTAGGAGCTTGTAAACAAATTCATAAATTTGTCATGCTGATTATAGTGTTGGCAAACACAATGGCTGATCATGTTATAAATGTTTATCAACACCCGCGCTCACCCACCTGCTAAGAGGTGCTACGCTTTAATGAAATTGTTTGAATATCACGGCTGGTTGCTAAGATACAATGTTCTTGTTACCAGGGATGTGATGCTTGCAGATTTCTGTTATCAAATAATGATTAGAGATTTGCTAACCTCAAGGTGCTCAGTGCAGTGAAAGGTTTACTGAGCTACAAATTAGTAAACTGTCTGCTTGAGCAGGCACTGGCAGAAGAAACATGTGCCTCATCCATACACGACTGGCATTTTAAAAGAAGACAAGAGAGGACAGGGAGTGCGGCCATAAACGATGGATCCTTGAAAGTTTGCCATGGAAATGTTTTACCTACTCCATTGCCCAGCATGATATATCTTTAGCCAACTGGGGAATTTGTTGAAATCCATTGCAAATAACTCCTTTCTTATGAAAAATCTCTTCTTCACATTTCTGTTAATTGGTTGTTATGGAATTATTAACATTAAACGTGTCACATCTTTTCTTGAGAAATAAAAGTAAATAAAAGTGTAATCCCACAGACTGGAAATGTATTTTAACACAAACACATTTTCAAAGATGACACCAGGTTTAAAAAACCTGTTGGTATAACTGTCATCTTTTGTGTGATGCATTCTGCCAATAATGATCATAAAATGTCATGTAATTTTTTATGTTGAGAATTTAGTCCTCCAGAAGATTTAGTATATCAAATATCAATATGTGAGTGTTGGAATGTTTCTTTTTGTTTTCATCTTATCTCAGATAGTACAATGGTGATGACTAAAGCCATATTGCCACATTGGTCTGATAGTTCATCTCATTGAATTAGGACCTGAATTGCAGTATTACACTTATACTGGGAGACTTTGAACACAACACTTTCACATTGAAAAAAATCTATGTGATTTTATGACAGTCCCTGTAATTCCTGAGTGTTCTACTCATAACCAGTAATATTTCAGAAATGTGTGGGTAGCTATACTTCTAGTGTCATGTATAACTTTTGTTACTTTGTAAGAAATTTCAATTACTAGGATCATAGATCTAATGGTTAGTAAATTGACTCTTGAAAGTTCCCCTAATAAAAATGGAAATTGTAGGTATATTTTAAAAATGAAAGTGTTAAAATCGAATGATTTCAGCTGTAACATCTGGCCTTCCAGTAGATCATGAATCTTGGGAAGAGCGGAGACTGAGTCTGTTTTTGCTCATCACTGTCTGGTCATTCCCCAGAAGAATGCCTACACAAAAGAGATGTCCTGTGAATGACTGAATGATACCTACCTCTAGGAAAATTTCACTGATATCCATAGCAGATACTTGGGAGTTTTGTCAGTTAAACTCTCCTGCCTTTTTTATAGAGTATGAAAAGATCTGAAGGAAAATATGACACTATTTTATCTTTATGAAATAGATTTTATATATGTCAATTTTATAGATAAGGAAATTGAAAGAATAAGCTAATGAATTTCACAATAGCACACAACCAAAGTAAGGCAAAGCTGGATGCAAAACTCAGGTCTTTTGCAAGTCTAGTCCTGTTTTCAGGAACCCCACCTGCCTTTCTGTTATTGTCAGAGCTGAGTGGAGAAGATGGGGCTAACAATTATGTAGCCATGGATGAGAACACATTTAAATTCAGCAAACATTGTGTATCTACTTGGTATCAAACACATAGGTAGTCATGTAAAAATTAAAGAGAAATAATTTATAAAGTCTTTGTCCATAAGAAGTTTTCAGTTTATTTGTGGAGATATCATAGGTTGACTTTAAAAGAACCAGTGGACCAAATATGAGTGCTAGGGAAAATACGTTTAGCCTGAACTCAGTGTGGGTGAGGTTAGGTGAAACCAGTTTAAAGGATAGGTATTTGGTTGAAAGATGTGGCTCTGTTACCAGTGAGATCTAGCTTTGAATTCTTGTTCTCCCACACACTGGCTATGTAAATTCAGCCAAATTTCTTAACCCCTGAAAGCTTTTCTCTTTTTGTTACAATTTTCTCATGGATCACATTAGGTCAGGCAGATAATGTGCTTCACACATAGTAAGCAGTCAATACACGTAATTCATTTCTAAGGCACACTCATCGTTTGTGCCTTACAGAATTGAGCTTTCTTACACTTTCTCTAGCCCCAAAATGACTTCTGAAGCTTAAGTTTCTCCTCTTTAATGAGATACTTCATTTGTTTTTATACTGTCCAAAATTGAGTTCGATGGAACAGATTCATATTTATTGATGAATACAAAAGAGACATTGTAAAAATATTTCCATGTTCTTCTTATCATATGACATTTACACTTCAAACAGATTTATGAGCTAGTGCGTGGTTAATTATAGCTATGCAGAGATGGATATGTAAGCGTTGCCTGGGCGGGTTTGTGCTGTCATGGTGGGAGTGACCAGAGCTGGGTGGGGTTATCTGAGAGAGACTTGTTCTTTGCCTACTCATGGAACACTTCTGAGGCTTTAATGAGAAGCTAGATCTAAATGTCAGAAGTGGATCCAAAGTCAAGATAATTCAAGTTACAATGTGACACCCTATTTCAAGGAAGAAGGAATAAGCAAACAAACAACCCAACAAACATCTTAAAGTTTTCAGGACTATTGTGCTTGCCAGTGATGCCACATGTACTGACTTGTCTTGGAAATTAACCATTGTTGATTTTAGCAGCACATTTCTCTACTTTCTCTGATTTCTTGTTTTATCATAATTCAATGGTGTTTTCTTTCTTCTGGGCCTTCTCAGTGCTGTACTTGCAGAGTATTTTATCTTTTGTCTAAATAAGAACACTAAATATTTGGCCCACTGGCTCAGAAGCCAGTTTCTCTAAGCCAAAAATTGTCTCTACTGTCTAATTTTTAAGGCTGTATTTTAAAATGCTTCTTATTCACTAGTGAGAAAATTACAAAATGCACTATTAAAAAAACATGAGGTTTGTGCCACTTAGAGAATGTATTCTATGCACCAAAACACCCATTGTTCATATTTAGAGATGCCCCTAAATATAGATGTACTGAACTACCTACATATAATTCAGATCATGTCAAAGCACAAACCCCTCTCAGTGTGGGGTAGTGTGGGCATTTTGTTATCTACAGCAGCTGTTGCCTCATTTTGAGGGTAAAAAACCTACTCCTGTTTAAATTTATGTTGCATTGAGCAAGTTGTATTGCTTGCGATTATATGTGGCTCAGCTGTGTCACGTGGCGTGACCTGCTATAACCTGCCTTAATGCAGTCCACATGTTGTACTGAATGACACACATTAAAACATTCCACTTCTCCATGGAACTGTGTGAGCAGGTGATTTCTCTAAATGGCAGACACTCGCATGCTTGTATTTTAAACCTCCACCAGTTTAGCTAAAAATATCTTCAAAAGCCCACCCAAAACATTTCCCATGGTTATTTTTGCAAATCGTTGGGTGACTTACAAAGAGCAGGGAGGGATGCATAAGAGGAAGTTTTAAATTATTTACATAATTTGATAGAACGGTGCCTCCTTTAAAAAATCTACTTTGTGGAAGTCACAAAAAAGAACTTTACTTCACATAATCAGAGTCCTAGGGAGGGGACCCAGTCATATGATTATTAGCTTGCTGCTGCTTGGATTCCAGCAAGTTGATGATTATATTTCTCATCAAGCTAAATGTAAAAATAATGAAAAATTACTGTGTCCCAGCAAACAACCCTCATAGGAATGCACACTATTTTTACCAATATTTTTATCCCTCCTGTGTGAGAACAGAGGGCACCATTTGTCCTGAATTCACCTTGAAGTGTTTGGTCATCAGTGATAAAATTTTGTATTGAGCCACTGGTTCATTCGGTGACCAAAGGAACACATTGGTAGCACAATTTGGAGCAGAATTCTTCTTTGTTATTAAGCAAAGTAACCTAAACAAGATCTAACATATATATAGTCCCAGTTTCTCCAGCATCATGCTCTTACCAAGTGAGGCAATTAGCCAGTTGTATGGCATGGAAAAGAGATCTGAGCACCGTGAGCAAGCACAAGTCTGGGAGTTGAGCATACTGCTCAAATCCCAGTTGTAGTTCCAGCATGTAGTAGCTGGGCAACCCGGTGCAAATCACTTAACCTCTCTGAGCTTTCTCCTCTTCTAAAAAATGAAACGATAACATTATGCATACTGTAGGATGGCTGTAAAGAGGAAGTTAGCTAAATTATGTGAAATGCCCTGTAGAATGCTTGATATATAGGAGGCATTCAAAGTGAGTTGCCATTAGCTTTGTTAAGTTCAAATACAGAAAGCTAAAACCAACAACTCCTCTCAAGTAATCTGAGTAAAATAAATCTACACATTTACAAGAGACTCCAAGATCTCCTTTGCTTCTTTTTTTCTAGACATGTTTGAGGCCCCAGTGTATCATTTAAGTCAGTTCTGGGCACTTATTTTCTGAGAAATCTTGTTTTGGGTTTTAGAGCCTTTGTTTCCATTTTCCTTTATTTTTATCTAAAGTATTTGAAAATGTGAAAGACTAGAAGACAAAGTGCTGCAGCAAAGAGAAGAAATAAAGCATTTGCTTACTTGAGACATTAATTTTCACGATGTAACGTATACAGTTTTAGCCTAGTGTTGCCAAGATCTCCAATACTGTTTGGCTCACTGAAGACAAAATACTAGGTTAATTGAGCCTATCAAGAAAGGTAATTATTTCTCAGTAGAGTACCTATTAATGATTAAGTAATTATCATTTGGAAAGTGCATTTGTACCAAGATATGTCCATATTGGGTGGGGCATAGATGTAACACAGCAAAAACACAAATCTGGTGGGTTGGATTTGGTTGATATTTAACATAAAGTTGAATGGGAAAATGGTTACTGTATTGGAAAATTTACTCTTTGCCCCTAAAAAAAAATAAGATATAACTAACTTAACAGTTATGGTTCTTTCCTTCTAGTAAGAGTATAAGAGTAAAGGTGATATGGAATGTTTTTCAGTCATTTCTGAGGCTGTAACTTTATCATTATTACCAACCATTATTTTCTTATGTGCAGATGAAGTTCACATCTTCTCTGCTCTTAGTAGTTTTCTTCTTTTTTCCCTTTGACTTTTGGGGGACTTTTCTCAAGTTAAATATAAGGTTTTTCTGCTTTCTCTCCATATTTACGTTTTCTTTGAGCTGCTTTTTGTTTTTTTGTTTGTTTGTTTGTTTGTTTTTACCTTTTATGTAGTATGTTTTAGAAACAAAATAGTTTACTGCACTTCATCTAATATGACAAAATTGGAACTAAGCAGCTGGCTTGGTAGCTGATTCATAGTAGATATTCAGTAACTTCGTATTGAATGGATGAACGGATGAGAAAATGAAGCAATGAATTAAGGAAAGCAGTATGAAAGAAAAATATGGTTTGTAACGAATGCTGTATGCCATTGTAATTGTTATATTTCTCACAGTTATTGTTATGCTGCTTTTTGAGTTTTTATTGTGACATGTAGCCTTCCATTAATATATGTATTTCCTAGATTAATAATAAACCTGATAAAAGCCTTCACTTAAAAAATTTGAATTTTGCCGGGCATGAGAGCTCACTCCTGTAATCCCAGCACTTTGGGAGGCCGAGGAGAGTGGATCGCTTGAGCCCAGGAGTTCAAGACTAGCCTGGGCAACATGGTAAAACCCTGTCTCTATAAAAAATTAGCTGGCCCAGCACTTTGGGGGGACGAGGTGGGAGGATCACGAGGTCAGGAGTTCGAGACCAGTCTGGCTAACATGGTGAAACCCTGTCTCTACTAAAAGTACAAAAATTAGCTGGATATGGTGGCAGGCGGCTGTAATCCCACCTACATGGGAGGCTGAGGCAGGAAAATTGCTTGAACCCGGGAGGCGGAGGTTGCAGTGAGCCAAGATCACACCTCTGCACTCCAGCCTGGGCAGACAGGGCAAGACTCCATCCTGGGGTGGGGGGGAAGGGGCGGAGAAATTAGCTGGGCATGGTCTTGAATGCCTGTAGTCCCAGCTACCTGGGAGGCTGAGGTGGGAGGATCATCTGAGCCCAGGAGGTCGAGTCTGCAGTGAGCCATGATCGTGCCACTGCATTGCAGATGGAGCAAGACCATATCTCAAAACAAACAAAACAAGAAGGAAAAGGAAAGACAGGATAGTTGGTGAGATGGAAGTGACTGGCCTGAGTTTTACATGTAAACATGTTATTGTACTCCTGGAATGTTATGCACAGGTGGTAGTCTGAGTTTCATAATAGGGAACACTATGATTTTCACTAATAAATCACCTTTACAGAAGCACATGTGTTAAATATATGAGGGTAGGAGGTTGACAGTTTGGTTTGGGAAACTGGCTGTAATTTGAAAAGAGCTTCCTGTTAATGTCTATGTTTTATATAATACATCTACTAGACCTTATCAATGAAGTGGGAGACACAGAGGGGAGAATTGTTTTTGAAGGGGGAAACTTTGGTAAACCTGGCTACAAAAGTGCATGGCTACAATTATAATTTCTTTTTTTCAGAAATGCAATTTAAAATAAATAAGGATAAGCATTCTGTTTATGTATCATCTAGTCTGAGCCCTTTCTTTTACAGGTGAGGAGAGTGAGGTGTAAGGAAGTTCTACTACTTGCCCAAAATAGCACTAATGGTTTATGGCATAAAATGTCAACTGAGGTCTTCTGACTCCCAGTCCAGTGCAACTTTCAGTACATGACATTTCCTCTCAGTTTATTATGAAATAGTCAAATGATAGCATTCTCAATAGCAAGATAGCCTTTGTGCTATACTTATTACTTGTCAACACTGTGAAGAAGGAGGACTGGGAAACTAAAGGAAAACTAAAATAAAAGAATTTATAATGTGACTGAGATTGAAATAATACTCCAGTTAGAAAGCAGTACAAGAAAGGACGTACTCCAAACTAACTTATGTTCACAGAAACCAAATTGTGCAATTCACATTGAGAAAGGAAAGGGCTGGTGGGGAAGTGAGACTTAATGTAGAAAATGGCTTTTGAAGGGACAGTAATGTTTGCATAGTTGGGGAGGAAGAAGGATATCCAATTAGGGGGAAAAACCTGATGTGAAAGTATGTATACTGTAAATGGGCCTATTGCACTGCTGGCTGGGCAGTAGCCAGGGGTTCGGAAAAGGGAAAACAGGTTTTGATGTGTAGAGACAAGTGAGATTGACCTATGTGGTGTGTTGGGAAGATCATAGACTTCAGAGCCAGATACACCTGAGTTTAAAGCTGCATCCATCATTTAACAATTTGGCAACTTTGCACAAGTTACTAAACACTCTGAGCTTTGGTTTCCTCTTCTGTATAATGAACATTATACCCACAGAGCTGTGTCAAGATAACATATAAAGTGTTCAGAGGGCCTCCCGCATAATAGGGGCACAGTAAACATGCCTCTTTACCTTCTCCCTTCCATTGGTTTCTCTCTAATGCATGGCATACAGTTCTAAGAAATATATATCAAATATGAAGTATATATTGAATAATATATATGAGATATATTAACAAATATATGTCAACTATATAAGATGAGACAATCACTATATTGGTTCTGGGACTATTACAGAAACAGTGCAGAGAACTGTCCAAGATCAGAAGTATATTCTGTAGCAGCACTAAAGAGTGAGAATGACTGGGCCATCTAGCTAGAAGTATACAAGCTTCACCAAGTTAATTTTTGGTCCAAAGAACTAGACTAAGTGTTGTGGAGAGAGATGTTTGATTGATCTTTTATTTTAGCCAAAAATCATTTGCAGAGCATGACACAAGTACTTAGCCAAGATCTATCTGCAGAGCATGCCATAAGTACTACATTATGTATCCAGAAGGTGAAATTTAATGATTCCAAGTACATGGATTACTTTTATAGAATAGTCAGCTTTATGAGCACTTAACGTCTATGAAGTATATGTATGAGTATTCTGTGGTTGATATGCTAATTCTTGCTTCTTGCTAATTGGAAAAGTGTGCATAAGGACATATGAATTGTGGGAAGGGTCCTATTTACTCTCAAACTTTAAGGAACTTGTATAGAAAAACACTGATTCAATTCAAATGGATTATGGTAATGGGAACAGTTTTGGGTGAATTTTAGGTTTTCCATAATTCCACAAATTAGCCCAGTCTCTCTTTTTTGGCTGATCAATATCAGTCTGTATTTTATTGTCGACGGCAATTCTGTGGGGACAATCACTGCAAATACGCATTGGTCACATCATACATAATTATAGGACAGTTTAAAGATTTTAAATGACACCTGTGGCTTGTTCATATATATAAAACAGTTTTCCCATGGATCTTGAAAATAGTAGGTTTTAGGTACTTTCACTCATTCTCATCCACGGCTGTGAACCTAGGATTTTTTATAAACCAGGGGCTATTATGGAATCCTCCCCCTATTTGGAATAATGAAAATATTTGAACGAATGTCATCAAATATGTATCAATGCAATTCTGCCAAACTGACTTCTTATATCAAAAGGCCTACATTTAACAAAGGTATAAATGCAACTTACTTAAAAAATATGAGAATTAAGCATTGTAAGAAAAGTAAATTAAAACAAGTAAGAATAATTTCAGTTTAGAAAACCTTAACATGGCGAGTTTCTTTTGTCCCTATTATTCAGTTTTCCCAACATTTTCTGTAACACATGAGTCCCTGAGGGTGAGGCATACCTGTCTGGAGTTCTTTTGGCTCTGTTCTGTGTATACATATTCCATACTTTCCAGAAGTTACAATGTGATTCTGTGTTTGATAATCTGGTATAATAGGCATTGTTGTGGTAAAGAGCTTTCCCTTTATGGAAAGTAATGAGACCACATTTGTTCCTTTTTCACTTTTTCATTTCGACGATGTAAATGCAGGTGGTGCCTGGTGTTCTTGGGGCCATCTCCCTCTGGCTTTATATGTCGAAGAAGTCATATCGGATTTCAGTGTCAACTTTTCAATTTTATTCAAATATTTTGACATTCAGGCACATGGCAGACATATCTTGTCTTTGCAGAGGTTGTTTTTTAAAATAGGGAAGAGGTGAACTGATGAGAAAAAGTGTAAAGAAAAAACAGTTAATAGATGCACTATTGAAATTTATAATTTTTTTCTTTTAAGATTGTGCATGGTGATAATTCCTGATCATGAGGCAGAGAAGAAGTTTACCATTTTTTTTGATGCATACACTTTTTTTTTGCTCAGTAGTGTTTTTAAGATACACATTTTTCATGTTTTTTTCTTTTTCTCAAAACCCTCTGTATATATTTTCTCTTCGCTTTCTAATATATTTTCTACCAGACACCATATGGTTACTTCCCAGACTGTGGGCTTCACAATTTTATTTAGTTTACCTTTACTGCAAAATCATTATAATTAAGAAAAAAAAAAAAACTTAGGGATTTCCTGTGTCCCAGTAAAAGAAGGATCAGCTAGGCTGTGCTGTTTAGCAAAAACCTTCACAGTTCTCATGTCTTAAATTACAAGGTTGGCTGGGCGTGGTGACTCATGCTTGTAATCCCAGCACTTTGGGAGGCCGAGGCAGACAGATCACGAGGTTAGGAGTTCGAGAGTAGCCTGGTCAACATGGTGCAACCCTGTCTCTACTAAAAATACAAAAATTAGCTGGGCGTGGTGGCGTGCCTGTAGTCCCAGCTACTCGGAGGCTGAGGCAGAAGAATCGCTTGAACCCGGGAGGCGGAGGTTGCAGTGAGCTGAGATCATGCCACTGCACTCCAGCCTGGGCGACAGAGCGAGACTCTGTCTCAAAAAAGAAAAAGAAAAAGAAAAACAAAAACAAAAAACAAGGTTTTGTTGTCACTTATGCTCCTTGCCAGTCATAGATCAGCAGAGGTGTTCTGCTCATTGTAATCACTCAGGATCCCATACTCATCCTGAACATTTTCAGGCTTCCTACAAGAGGAAAAAAGAGAATTCTGAGAGGTTCTGAACTAGAAATTATATGGTCCACCCTATAAGTGGCACAGCTCATATTTACAACACATTACACAGAACTACTCACATATTCCTGTATAACTCAGGAGATCCAGGAAGTACAGTTCTGCCATGTGCTTGGATCGGGGTGGGCTGGAACTGCATGAAGTGCTATAGCAGGGAGATTGCTGTGGTACCTTGATGCTACTTAGAGGTCCTGAGTCTCAGATGGAAGCCTAGCGAGAGTCTTGGCTTTGTTCGGCAGCTGTGAAGATGACTGGCATCCGATAGAGTCTACCCTATAGCCAGTGAAGCTCCACCATGCCTTGCACTTGTGGTTTGGACTCCAAGCATGCAGTAGTGTTTTGGCTCCATTCTAAGAGTGGAGATAGCATCACCTAATGATGTTAAATACAGGCTTTTGAGCTAGAGAGTCCTGGATTTGAAGCCTCAAATCTACCATTTACTGTCCAAGTCTTCTTTGGAGGGTTATCTAATTCTCTGAATATTAATTTCTTCATCTTTAAATTGGGGATAATTAGAATATCAATAAATATCATGTTTATTGTTCACTCCTTTCTCCATATTGACAAAAGTGTAAGCTTTATGAAGACAGGGATTTTTGTCTATTTTTGCCACTGATTAATTGCTAAGTTGTTAGAACATTGCCTAATACATAAAAGGTACTTAATTTTTGTTGAATAAATAAATAAAAGCAGAGGGCTTTTATGAGCATCAAATGAGGTCATATATCTGAAATCCATTACAGTGACTGGTACATATTTAGGGATCAATAGATAGTAGCTATTAGTTTTTACAATTCTGGAAGAAAATGAAGAGATAGGTTGAGGTTTGCAGATAATAGGAGAAATCTTTCCTAGGTCTGTTTATAGCAACATATATTGCAGGGAAAAGCCAAAGTTAAGTAAACTGTGTGGTGTGTTTGGAGGTCCAATTTGATTTCAAATTCAAGAAATATATTTGTATCCTAGAGAACTTCCAGAAATCTTGGACATTCTTGTGACTGGCATTGTTTTGCAACTGTCCGGCATAATTTGTTGTTTTTCTTGCTGTCAGGACAAACTGCAACAGAGTCACATCGAGTTGAGACTTCTCCAAGGGCCATGGGGTTGACATCTGTATTCTCAGGTTTGATAACTTCTTCTTAAATCATCTGACCATCCATCTATCCATCCATTGAATTCAATATTCAATAAATATTTATCAAATACCTACATTGTTCCAGGGAGTGAAACTTTCCTCCAAAGTTTCTTCTTATTGTGATTTTATTTTCTGGTAGGATAACAGAGATTTTAACTTTAGTATTTGAAGTAATGACAAAGATCCATAGTTCAGATTACCATAGAACCCTTCTGGCAACCCAAGTGCCCTATTATATGACAGTGCGTTCTTTCCCATAGAATGATTATATATTTTGCACAGCTTTGTGGGTGAACTAAACTGAACTAGAAATCCAGCGAATATTCTAGCAGATTGAGTGATGATGATGCTCACCCTTCTGTTGTCATCACTTGTGGACAAGAGCTCTGCCCTGATTAGCACCACCACTACATTTTTGGTGCTAAGTGTAGTTAAATGTCATATCAAGAGTTTAAAACTTGAGAAATTGTTGGAACACATTTTTATTTTGAGAATTTGTAAATGGTTCAGCATAAATACAAAAAAAATTTATCTGCTGTATTTATTTATGATACTTCTCTGTTGAGAAACAATAATCTTTCTGCTTCTTAATCTAAATTGAACTGCAGTGTACCAATAAAACAAGTCACAACATAAAAGTAAATTTTCTCCATATAAATAATTAACTCTTGAAGATTTATTGGCCTTTCTCTATTTCCCCTTTTCTCTGAGTGGTGTAATCCAAATAAAATGTTGCATTTATTCTTGTCTGATAAAATATTCATAAAAGAAACCACTACCTTTGAATTTGGATTAAGAAACTGTGAAGAAAACATGATTATGAAAGTTGACCCTTGTGGTAACTACTACCTAAAGCCCATTAGCTGAAACCAACTGTCTGCAGGGAATCAACTTTTACTTTACCTTTATTTTTGTTCCTTGGTTCTTATTAAAATTTTTATTGCCTTTAAACTACTACATGATTTTGAAACAAACAAAAGCAAGTGATTAGTTTGTGTTTTCATCATATATAGGCTATAATAAGTAAGCCAGGACTTTGCTAAAAAATCATCTTGAATGATCTGAGTGACTTTGGAAATAATGAAGACAATCAGGAAAGATTTCTCAGTCCCACATAAGCAGATTTTGCTGCTGTTTAAGTAATATTTAGAGTTGAGATTTTGATATTTTATGGTTGTTTGGTGCTCTTTGTCATATGGAGGAAAATGTATCTGAATCGATGCTCAAGGCACACTCGCTGCCCTGCCCGTTGTTTCTTCATGGGTTCATGTTCATGTGTAGAACAGCAGGTTTATCTTGGCTTTAGCTCTTATCCAGGCTAGAGGATTCCAGCAAGACTAATAATATTCTGGTGCCCAGTTAGGAAACTGAGTTTACTGTGAGAAAAGTTCTATTGTTAGCATTCTAAAAACTCCAAAGTCTGTAATGATGGACAGAACACAGTAAGTGTTCTTAAGAAAGGTAGATCTCGATCTATGATGCTGTTTTTGCCCTTTACAAAAGATCTAAAATGGATGATTATATAACCAATCGCTTGATTGTTCTTTGGAGTATGTCGGTTGGAGGAACAAATAATCCTTTGTGCTTTGGCTCGTTTTATAATAAGTTTTTAATTTTATGATAATCCTCAGTTCAAAAATGAAACCACCTTTCACCTGCAAGGGAAAGCCTAGCAGAAGAATCACTGGGTCGCCTCTGTTTGCTGATAACATTTTCAGTGGATAGTGTTACGCCTATGTTTTAGTGTGTGGTTGACACGTTATTTTTCTTGAGAAGCTGAATATTTTGCTTTGAGATCATGCTCTTTTTAATTTTTTTCATATAACAATGTGGTTTCTTTTATAAAATAATGATGAGAATAGAAGGTGGCAAAGTAAAGTTTTTTGCCATGTAGGTCCCTTATTTTTTGCTTGAAATAGGTCAATTCACAAAATTTAAAAGTCTAGGAACCAGTGAACTGAACAACATTAAACCTGGAAAGAGGCCTTCTATTCCAAGTGCAGCCAGATTCCTCCCTTCTAATTTCGGGGGTTGATTGTCGTGGTGAGGCTAAGTATCATCATCTGTCCTATCCCAGCGTAGTCAAATGGTATTGCAAGGGTTAGGGTTCATATGTAGTATTTTAAAGGAAAAAAAGAAAAGAGTTAAATTTGACCAGAACAGCAAGCCCAAAGAGGATCTGAACCAACAGGAACTGACATGGTTTTTGTAGCTGAAGTGTCAGCATTTGACTGCCTTGTTGTAGGGTAGACACATTTTAGTGTTAGTGTCAGGGTTTTGAGTAATTCTTATTTCCTGACGTGAATGAGTCCCTGAGTATTTCAAGACAGTTTTCCTTTACGTATTATCCTGTGGTTGAGTATTATTGGATGAGTTATTTCATTTTACTTATGAAATGATTACACTTACTGCTTAGACTTAATAAACCCTGGAGAAAGATGTAAAACTCTGCATATATATTTGCATTACATATTTTAAATTAGATGTCTAATGAGAAAATTTAGAAACAAGTGAAAAATAAAATGAAGAGTTTACACTCCTATTCCAAGAAATGACAACTGTTAATGTTTTGTTACACACTCTTCTGGTCTACTTTGTGTATCTGTTTAAACACTTGGGATCATACTGTATATAACATTTTGTAATCTGATCTATTTTTGCTATTTAACAACATGTAGTGAATATTGCTTTATATCCTTTATCGATCTCCAGCAACAAGAGTTTTAATGGTTGCATAATATTCTTTCTTGTGTTTCCATCTTTTTGGATATTTAGTTTGTTTCCAGTGTTTCATACTAGCAAATAATGCTTTAATGAGTATCCTCATATTCACACTTGATTTTTTTTCTCTTAGAATGGCTTCCAAGAAGTGTAATGAATATCCTACTTCTGGGTTGAAGGGTATGCATGTTTTAAAGAGCTAGAGAAATCTTTAAACATTTTATGAGAGGGAACAATAAAATTAAGATCCTGTTTTTGAGGCATAAATCACAATCCAGATTAAATGGATGGCCAGAAAACATTTATATTTTCTGCTGGAAATCCTAGGAGTCCAAGAAAAGGAATTATGTGGGGGAAAGAATAAAAAACTGAGCTGTAACATCAGTGTGACGAGATAGGAATGTGGGAGAGCAGAAGAATATTGACTTGCTAGTGCTTGCAGTGAGGTTGGAAAATGTTGACATACACGATCATACTTGGTGGTACTATCTATATTTACAGGATTAAGAACTACTCCAGAATAAATAGAGTAGTCCAACAAAGTGGACACAAGATTAGTTACATAGTATTAATTACATGGCATTAAATTTATCTATGCCTAAGAAATTTCAGGTTGCACCTGCTGAGTTTTTGTGTGTTTCACAGAAAATATGAAGTTTTGTGGTGTTGGTGGAGGCAGTTTTTCACTCTGAGTTCAGTTGATGAGGAAGGCTCTATTAAAAGAGTGGGGATGAAATGCATGTCAAGTATCAGGTTTCAAGTAATTTATGTCTTATTTTGTTGTGTGATTTTGACCTGCAGTTTTTCTACTTATACCTTTGCTGGTGAAACATGATGAGTCAAACATGCTGTGTAAGCACCATTACACCATTTACTGCTCCATGTGCAATCCGATCACACCTCCAGCTCTGTAAGATGTAGCCATGGCTTTCAATTAAATTACCACACTGACATAAATCTGATTTTGGACTGGATTTCATGTGTTTAAAATATTAAAGCACTATTTACCAATCCCTAATGAGAAGTAATCAAATAATTCAAACAGCAGTACAAATACTTATATTTAACTATAGATAGAGCCAAATTAAATAGAAGTACATCTTTCTTTATGAGAAAATATGTTCAAACATACCTCAGAAATACTCACTCTGTTCTATTCAGTTAAAAAGAGGAAAAGTTATAATTTATTTTAGACACCTTTATTTGGGACATTGTCCAATTTGAAAACTAAAGTTATCACTTACATGATACAAACTCCCCCGGAAGAGCGTGTTCTTTTGATGGTTTCCTACATCACAAGGAATAGATAGTCATTCACTTCTCCATCTGGCCTCAGTACCCTATGTGTAGCATTAGCGCTGTTTATCATTTGTTTACTGTCTGCAGGTATTCCTTTCCAATGAGGTTGTGGACTTGGCAAAGTCTGGCTCTGAGTCTTAGCTGTCCCTATTTTCTAAGCTCTTGGTACAAATAGATATTTGAAACTTGCTTATTTAATGCATGCTACATACAGAGGTTTGCAATTTAGTAAACTGTCAAGCTATCTAAATGCACCTGATTTCCCAAAAAATGCTCTGTGGTTATTTAGTTTTTATTTTTAATTTCTTGTCTATTTTCAAAGACGGCAAATACAATACCCCATTTCTCAAAATTTCAATAAGATGCACTACAATTTGTAGGTTAAATGAGAATGTTCCATGCCTGGAACTGAGGAAAGAAAATAATGAATACTACCATTAATAATACTTACTGGAACCTTTTGATGGTGCAGTGCAGTTTGCTCGCCCCTTAACATACAAGTAAGAGAACAGCCCTTAAGGAATGAAGAGTCTAAGAGAAAAAAGTACAGCATTTCCTAAATTGTGTTAAGGGATTGTGCTGTTTTATCTGGTAGCCACATCAACAGCATTATATGTCTTTGGGGGTTGCTGGGGCACAAAAAGGTAGAGCATAGAGATATCAAATAAAGTCTTAACACCCTCATTCTGAAAGTGACATGTTACTTCCACTCATAGCTCATTGGCCAGAAGTGGTCACATGGCTTCAACCAGAGTTAAGTGAGAATGAGAAGTCTTTCATGTGCCAAAGAAGGACGAGTCCTGAAGTTGGTGAACATTAATAACTTCAAAGACTAAAAATGAAAAAATAACTTTAAATGAATTAACAATTTAAATTATGAAAGTGATAAATGGATAAATGATGATGTTAAAAAATTCAAACAGTATAAAAGAGTATAAAGTGATTCATAAAAATCCTTCCCCTAATTCAGATATCCCGAATATAGCTACTTTTAACAGTTTTTATGTATCATTCTGGAAATTTTCTATTTTAATTATGTATAAACACATATTATGCACACATGTATAATCATACTATAGATGATACAAAAATAGAATTATGCCATAGATTTTTTCCGGAACATTCACTATTCAAATAAAGTATAATGAGCATCTTTCTCTATTAGCATATATTGATATGTCTTATTATTTTTTTATGACTCCTAACTGCATGGTTTTCCATTTTTAAAGACATAAAATTATATAGAGAGTATTGGTCTAAAAGTGATGATGATGATAATGATGATGATGTGGAGGAGGAGCAGTTGGAGAAGAAGAAAGCAGGTGATGTCTGATATCAGACCAGTGCTATTGCTGTGGGCCAGGCTCTGTACTAAGCACTTTATGAGCAGTATCCTTTTCACTCCTCACAACTTTAGGATGTGCAAGTTAGGTACTATTATTATCACCATTTCCCAGAGAAGGAAACTGAGGCATAGTGAGGTTAAAAAAATTGCTCAAAATTGCATAGCAAGGAGGTGACAGAACAGGATATGAAAGATATATTTCATCTCCAGGGTATGAGACTTAAGTTTAAAAAAAGCTTTATTTATTTCTAAATATAATTTCAACTTTTATTTTAGATTTAGGGGGTACACATACAGGCTTGTTACATGTATTTCATTTTTATTTATGGCTGTGTAGTAGTCCATGGTATATATACACCAAATTTTCTTTTTCCAGTTCACCACGGATGGGCATCTACATTGATACCATGTCTTTGCTACTGTGAATGGTGCTATGATGATCATGCAAGTGTACGTGTCTTTTTGGTAGAATGATTTGTCTTCTTTTGGATATATATCGAATAAAACATGTCACATAGTATATTGTGTGGTGCTGAGCTTTGGTGTATGATTGATTCCATCACCCAAGTAGTGGGCATAGTACCCAATAGGTAGTTTTTCAGCCCTTGCTGCCTTCCCTCCCTCTTGCCTCTAGTAGTTCCCAGTGTCTGTCATCACCATCTTTATGTCCATGAGTACCCAGTATTTAGCTCTCACTTATAAGTCAGAACATGTGGTATTTGGTTTTCTGTTCCTGTATTAATTTACCTAGGATAATTACCTCCAGCAGCATCCACGTTGCTGCAAAGAATGTGATTTCACTCTTATTCATGGCTGTGTAGTATTCCATGATGTATATGTAATGTACTACATTTTCTTTATCCAATCCACCATTGATGGGCACCTAGATTGATTCCATGTCTTTGCTATTGTGAGTAGTGCTGCAGTGACCGTGCAAGTGCATGTGTCTTTTTGGTAGAATGATTTGCTTTCTTTTGAATACATATCCAGTAATGGGATTGCTGGATCAAATGGCAGTTCCATTTTAATGTCTTCGAGGAATGTCCAAACTGCTTTCCACAATGGCTGCACTAATTTACATTCCCACCAACAGTGTATAAACATTCCCTTGTTTTCCCCCAGCCTCACCAGCATCTATTATTTTTTGACTTTTTAGTTAATAGCCGTTCTGATTGGTGTGAGATGGTATCTCATTGTAGTTTTGATGTGTATTTCTCTGCTGATTAGTGATGTTGAGCATTTTTTTCATATTTCTTAGCTCCTTACATGCCTTCTTTTGAGTAGTGAGACTTTAAATTTTGATGCATATTTCAAAAGTCCTCTCCAAAATTTTGACACCATAATATGATGAAGAGTGCCTGTTTCCCTACACCTTAATCAAACTTGAGGTGGTTTAAACTCTGTCATCTTGACATGTGAAAAATTCTCCTTTTAAATGCTGTGTTGGTTTGTGAGTACCTCCAGAGCTATGAATTGGAACATGAAGCAAGAAAGATGCTAGACACTTCTGGTACATTCTACTTGTTTTACAAGAATTGCTTACATTCATACTAAGGGAAAGGATTTGACAAGGTGATTAATTTGTCTTTTCTCTTACCTAATTGTTCATTTACCACTCATTTGAAGCAGAGTTCCTTTCCAGTGTCAGCATCAACACCATTGTTGACCATTTGGTTATCTTTCGCTTTGAAGATTTAGCAAGGAATAAGAAATATCATTTCCCTGGATTCTGAAAAGTGTTAATTATGAAAGTAGATATTCAGGGTTATGGGTTGCTCTGTGCTGTGGGCTGTATCCTGAAAGCCACACAGCAAAGGCATGATCTATTCATTTCTGTGTGTGTGTGCGGGTGGTTGAGTGGGTGGGTGGATGGTACGGAGGGAGCATTTAAAGAAGAGGATCATGGCAAGGGCCCATCTTAACCAAGTCTGAGGGCAGTGCTGAAGTTAACAATTATTTATTGAGCAACTACTGTATACCAGATCCTATGCTGAACACTAGAAATACAATGAGAACTAAAAGAAGCACTGTCTCTACTCTCACAGAGCTTATAGTTTGATGAAAGGGACAGAACATAATTAAATTAACGTACAAGCAAGTGTCAGCTGAGCCAAGAGACAAGCGGGAATAGTACATGATATTGTAAGAGCCTATGAATAGTCATAAATTTCTTCCACAAGGGAATGATATTTGCATTAAGGCCTGAATGATGAGGAATCCTTAAAAAGTTTCCTTTCAGAGAGGATCACATTTGTTACCCATAGACGACCTGCCTGAAGACATGACAGTTAGTGCTGGGAGTGTTATTGTCATGGTCTGGAGAGAGACAGTAATTGCTGAGGTTCAGGTGTTGGTAATAGAAATAAAGGGGAACACAGTCAAGAAATGTTTAGGAGAGTAAGTCAACAGGACTTGATGGCATTGATTTGGGTGGTAAGGAAAGGAGCAGTGTCAAAGATGACTCCAGGTCCCTGGCCTATATTCTTGGTGGTGCCATTCTCAGTTACGGGATAGAACTGCATTTGGGCGATGGGCATTATGAGTTTGGTTTTGGACAAATTTAACTTTCAGTGTCTTTGAGACACCAAGAAGACAGGAACCTTATCTTGTCACTCAATGCCTAGAGTGGTGTCCTGCATTTCAATAGGTACTAAATTAACACATTTTAAAAGTAATTAAATGAAGATCTTTCTTAATAGCATTTGACATTTTACTCAAGTAGGTTTTACACAGTTCATATTTTTTTTTCTATATTGTTTCATCTCTTTTGTTGATCAAATGGGATTCCACTCCTCATCACATTCTCTAATGGGTTATTATTCATTATTTATTTTAAATTACTGCAATGAGCTACTTAATATTCATATTTTTCTAATGGATTTTCAATCCTCTAGATTCTTACAGATTTCATTATTTGAAAATAAAGATAAACTTGCCTCATTACTTTTTATTAAAAATACTTTTGAACATATATAATTTAATCATTCCCGTGACTAAAGTTCAAACATTCTGATGAACTTCTTTCCCTAGGTAAACCAGCATATAACTTTGTAGTAGAACAAAGTTACATTCCATTTCGTTATAAATTCCTTTAGAAAGACAAGTTTCAAAAATTATTTCTCTCAAAGTGTATCATTGTGACACCACATTAAGAAAAATCAAAGATAAATAATAGGACTATGGATCCTGCAAATTTTGCCAATGCCTGAAGACATATTCATACATTCATTCATTCATAAATATTTATTGAGGGCCTGGTACATACCAGGAACTATTTTCTATGTTCTGGGGATATAGCAGTAAAACAACAACAACAAAAAAACATATAAACTCTCTCCCATGATGGAACTTATATTTTAGTGCGGAAGAACAGAAAATAACTAAGACAAATAAAGAAAACATATGATTTGTTAGATACTGATAGTTGCTAAGGATGAAAAGATAGTAGGGGAGGGGAATATAAATTGTCAGGGAGGAATGACAACATTTTAGATGGGATGGCAAGTGAAGGCCTCAATGAAAAGATAACAGTTTATTTGTTATCTTTGATAACAATGAAAAGATAACAGGTTAGATAAGATGAGGGACACACCATCTGGCCTTCTGGGAGGCAATTCCAGGTAAGGGGGCATGTTCAATGCAATGGCAAGAAGGATCTGGTCTGTTCTAGGAATGTGCTGTGGTCTGTGTGCTTGGAACAGAGAGATGGGTGAGTAATCAAAGAACTCAGAGATGTAATGAATATGGGTGGTGAGGTTGGGGACAGATAATTCAAGGCCTTGGGTCATAGTAAGGACATTGGCCTTTCCTCTGAGTGATATCAAAAGCCATAAGTAGAATTGAAGGAATAATAGGATGTAACTTATGACTGAAGAGGGTCACTCTGCCTGCTGTATTAAGAATGGACTGCAGGAGGGCAAGGATATCTGTTAAGACCTGTTTTAATAGACCAAACAAGAGATAATGGTGGCTCAGGTCAAGTTGGTAGCAGTGGACATGATGAGAAGTGGTTAGACTATATATGTATTTTGAAGGTAGAATCAACAGGATTTCCTAAATGATTAAATATGAAATATGAGAAAAGAAGTTAAGTTAATGATGCACCAAGGTTTTTGGCTTGAGTAACAAAGGATAGAACTGCCCTTAAGCAAGATGGGGTAGACAGTGGGATAAATGGTATTTTTATTTTGGATGGAGGGGTTGGTTATTAAGAGCTCAGTAGTAAAATTAGAGCAGTAGAACTTTAAGGATGGGCAGATGAGTCTTACAGGGGTTTACCACTCCATTCATTCCTCAGTCCTTACCCTTAAGACCCCCATGATGGCAATCCACTGATGACTGGGTAGCATTGAAGGAAAATGTCAAAATGGTCAGGGGAAAGGAAAGACAGCCTAGCCATCTGCTTCTGTGTAAAAGATTTAGCTAAATTTACTTATCATGATGGCATTTGTTGCCGAATTGCAGAATGTGTTATTATTCACAGATAAACCCTTTATAAAGACTAAGCTTTAGTCACCATTTTATTTATTTATACAATAAATGCTTACCAACTATCTAATCTGGGCCAATTTCTGTGCCAGGAATTGGGGTTAACAGAGAAGTATAAGATTTGGTCCTTGGCCTAAAGCAGTTCACAGCCTGGAGGGCAGAGATACATAAATAAAAGATGAGAGGTATTATTACAAGAGCATGGTCCCAAACTATAAGATTAGAGAATAGAGGGCAATGAACTATCAGGTGGGCTGGGCTGTGTATTTCTCCTTTTCTATTTAATTCTGAGATTCTGTTTTATTGGTATTCTTATTTTTCTTTGTGAATCAGAGGTTTAACTACTAAGAGTTTGCAGGGTAATGTATCATAAGACTCTATGTTGCCTGAGCTGAATTTCCTTCAGGACTTGCAAAATCTTGGGTCATGGGATTCCAACCTAAGATTAAAAAAAAGTCCAAAGTTTCTGTTCCTTGTTTGTAATTCTCTTAAATACGATTATCTAACTTCTTCTCTAAGTGCCATGACAAGGCAAACTTTTCTAAAAAAGGGGTACCTATGTGTAACTTGAAGGTACTGTTTGTGTTCTTTGTAACTGGGTACTTGAGAAGTATGACTAGTAATTTGCAGCAGTGAGCAGTTACAAGAACTTTTTCTGTTGGCGAAGAGTTGAAGATACCTGCATATATTGTATTTTGTTGTTTATCCTTTTGAAGGGCTCCATAAGCACCATCATTCATTCTGTGGAGCATGCACTTTGTACCTGTAGCAATTTCCTTTTCTGTTTTTGGTGTAGACTAGACATCCAACAAGGTTCAGCAGACTTGACTGTTGGTTGTTATAGGGTGGTGATAAACTTCTTAGGTTTGGTAGTAAAAGATTCACTGAAAGAGACAGTCCGTCTTTCTGCCTTTAAATTTATACAGCTATAGCAATTGCTTCTGATTCATAAAGGACAGCTTGTAAATTGTCTACTGAGCCTAAGATTGTCTCATCTTTGAGCTATTTTCTTTTCAGAGTCTTCTGATTTCTGAAAAATAGAGTGTAAGGAAAAGAAGGAAATTCATGGGAAAATAAAATGATAAGTGATATTTATTAATTTATTTGTATGATTTTTAAGTAGCTATGCGAGTCATTTTTCATGGTTGATTTGTGGGGACCAACCATTAGGTTTGTGTCTGGGGCAGGTTAAAAGGAGACTTCACCCCACTGAGTTTGTGTTTGGGGAAGTGTGACTTTGCTTCAGTGCTCCACCACCCTTACCAAGCCCACACCCCTGCAGCTACCAAGAATTATAGAAGTAGTGGCTTAGTGTTCTTCCTATCCAAAGTTCTCCTCCCACCACCTCCCCATCTGGAGCTACCCTATGACTTCTGCTCCATTATCCACTCAATCTACCTAGTTTGGCTAGAGTCACATGCTTAAGATTAGTTTGTGATGACTTCTAATGAAATAATTTTGCATTGATAACAAAGAAGCTTCTTTAAACACTGAAGAGAGCAAGAAAAGGTTAGATCAAGAAATCAGGTATTTAAAAATATGTAATGATATTCTTTTTTTTTTCCTGATTGCTTGTGAACCTGGGGTATAGTATAAATTAAACCAGATCATGCTTGCCCCTGGACTATTTTTATAATAAACTCAATTTAAAATCTTCAACTTTTTATTTCCAATTTTGAATTTTAGTTATATTCAGCAAGATGACATGATTGAAACATGGCACTTGTCCTGCAGGAACTCATGCTTCAGTGAAGCACATTGGTGTGCAATGGTAACAACTATCATAGAAGTCACCATGTTTTAGGTTTTCATTAAGTGCCAGGCACTCTACTTGAGTTTTTTTTTTTTTTTGACTTTTAGCCGCTCCTCACAATACTTGTGCAAGGTTGTAAATGGTTTTCAAATTTAAGATGAGAAAACTGAGGTTCATGGAGGTCTAGTCACTGGCTCAAGATGACAGGCAGTAAGTGGCAAATTAGGGTCTAATATTCAGATTATCACATTCCATGTCTTGTGCTCTTGTGACACATTGCTTTCAAATACAAAGAAAATCCGTATTTCTGGAGCAATGTGAAATGGGTTGATGTGCTTTTGTGTTTATTTGGGTGCCATAAATTAGGAAAAAAATTTCTACACAGTATCCTGATTATATTGTTTTGATTGTTGTTTAACACGGGATAAAATAAGTTGAGTTCAGTTTTCTAGGAAACTGAAATAGGAGGGCAAATAATATTATATAATTTTAGCAAGCATCTGAAACTTACCGAAAGATGTCATCTTCTCCAGGGTAGTCATGTTGGGAAAACTACATTTAACCCAGTGATATTTGCCACTGTTCAAAACTTTTTGTCCCTTTTTATTGTAATTTTCTTTGGATTTATTCTTTTATTCTTCACATAACTAAATTTTATTGTTTTGTGATCAAAATTATTTTTATTTAAAAGAAGACTTGGTCGATTTAACATCAAACTTGGCTCTGAATAAACTTTGGATGTTTACAAAAATAAAATCCACCATTTAAAGAGGACTAATGGCTATATTTGACATTTAAAACAACATGAGGAAGGCTCTGATGGCAATTCCATAAAAATTTCTTGAGCAATCAGTAGAATCAATGTAAGGTTTTCCAAAGTCACTACTTGGAAGTGGGCAACACTTGCTTATTGGTTTGCGTTCTTATATTTTCAGTGAGTGATTGATTATATTATGTATCATCCAGGCAGATTTCCTGCAAGGCGGTAACAACTTGAAGTGTTCACAACTGAAGTGTTCTGGTGTGTGTATGTGTGCGTGTATGTGTGTGCTTCTTTCAGTGTCACCTCTCATAATCCTGGTCCAGTAGCACCTTCCAAAAGATCAGGACTCATTACCAAAAAAAAAAAAAAAAAAAAAAAGAAAAAAAGGGAGCAAGTGAGAGCAAGAGCAAGAGAGGGAGAAAGAGAAATCATCAAAATGAGGAAGTAATTCCTCTAATTATCAGAAACAGGAGCAAAGTAACAATGGCTGCAAGTTACCTCCCCACGGGGGAATGAATCATCAAAATAACTGGTGGAAAACAAGGTTGTGCAACCTTGACTAGTGTGTGTCACCGGCTGGTGGAATTTTTAGAAAGGAGCAGTTTGGGTTCATCACTGTGGTTCGTGATTGCACACACCTGTTTGGGGCATGGATTTTGCAACCCCCCAAAAAGGGGAAACTGAACTTGCTGCTCCTCCTGAGCTGTGTAAAAAAGCAGAAAACCACAGCTGCTTGAGCAGTTAACAGATATCAGTAAAATACCCATGTTACATAATTAAGGATAACGTTCTTGAAGCATATGGGCCGGAGGTATTATACTCTCATTAAAACTTTAGGTAACAAACAATTTAGCATATTCTCACACATTTCTAGGGTTGAATTCTATAATAAATGTTTGTAATTAGATATGCTTTAAGCAGTTTATTAAATAATACATGAAGAAAATGGTTGATGAAATATAGACGATTCTGAGGTCTGTGTACAAGTGACATAGAGGCATTGAGATGAGACATAAAAAATTTCTTCTCAATGACTTGATAACTAGTCACTTTGGGCAGCTTAAGTAAGACTCATTCTTCAGGCCAGCCTGTCTGTAATGTTAAATAAATAGGAATTAATGACTTTGGATTTTTTCTTTTCTTTTAAAGTACATTATATGTAGCAGTCTTCTTTGAACTGCTACTCCTAAATAGGAGGAGGTGCTTTTGACCAGAGCGTTACAAAAATCTCATGCACTTTATTCTGGCAGGAATAGATCAGCTTGATAGGGAATAAAAGGGATGGATACAACCAAACATGACCTAAATCGACATTTAAAAAATCATACCTTAGCCAACAGGTTCTGTTATTTATAAGTTTGAGAGGAATAAGGAAGAGAAGTCTCTTGAGAAAAACCAAGGCAGGTGTTTGCTCCCTGGGGAAGTGATAGGAAACAGGCCTCTAAGATGATATTACATGCAGGAAAGAAATTCTTTCAGTTCTGTGTCTCTGTTTGATATTCAAGACAGCTAATAAATGATCAACAATTCTACCTGCATGAGGAGCGTGTGATCTATGGAAAATGAACTTGGATAATCCTAGAAAGTACCCAAGGAAAGAACGCCCATTTCCTTAAGCCATTGAGGTCATCTAGATATTTTGTTTTTCAATGCACACAAATAAAAAAGCCGGTAACAGAACAAACATGAAATTTGGAATGCCTTCTAGAACATACATGGGGAAACTGGCAAGGTTGACATAGCTTTTACTGATTTGTCTGTTTTAGTAGGTAAATGGGGCTGCCAGTCTGGCAGTTTGCATTGGCAATAAATCACCACTAGACATTTTATTTAAAAATTGGCACTGGCTTGGCGGAGGTAAGGGATTGTCAATTTGTTTTTATTTTGAGGCCAGGCACAATCATAACATACACAGGCCACCTGGAAACTTCAGCCCACATGGAGAAGCATGGCTCATGTCTCTGTGGCTATATTTTTGCATGCTTGGAGAGTGCAGAGTTAGATCAGAGTCTGAAGAGTCTAACCAGAAAGATCCTGGCAGACTGGTACAGCCTGGAGACATCCCTGTTGGAAACCAGGTTTGTTCTAGAATTACTATGTAGGAAGGGTATCATAGATATGATATTGGAGAGAACATTTGGTGGTTTTCACTTTTATTGAGTGTGGAGGGAGACCCACAGAGCTCATGCAGAGCACACAATGTGTGCATTCCAAAAATCACTCGAATATTAAAGGATTGGGTAGCTCGCTCTTTTTTTTTTTTTTCCTGACTTATTTTGCTTGGAAGTTCAGATTCAAACTTGTGATAAATTGAGTCATGGTTTTGAGAGGAAAAAATATACTGAAGTAGGGGATGATGCAACCACTGTCCTCATGTAAGCAATGATAGATGTTCTTTCTTTGAAAATCAGTATAATTAAAAGATAGTAAGATGGAGAGAAGAAAAAGATTACCTTAGACACTTGTAACTACTCCAGTGGAAATAGTTGGGAGGAATCCCCTAGTTTTCCTCTGATTCTTGATTTTCTGAATATCCTTCAAGGCTTCACAATATTGTTGAACAATTTTTTTTGTTTATCCATTTTGAAAATATGAGAATTATTGCATCAGGAAAATTATTTTGCAAATATATTGATTTACCGAATTACCAATCTTTTTGTCTCTGTTGACATATATTTATAAATCTTAATTGTACTTTATATTGTTACTATGCAAACTGCTAGAAAGGATCTGGTTAAGATAGAGATGTGCTGACTTAACCAGAGCCTCATGAATAATTAAATTTGCTCACTTTCTGGAAATACCCAATTTGCTCTTGATACACAAATATTTGAATTGGATTCAACTTGTCTCTCAGATTTTTTCCCCCTCCTGGATTTCATATATATAATTTTGATGACACTGTCTATCAAAAAAATAGGAAAAATATACGCTACGGTTTCTGCTTGGTAAAGTCATTCAAAGTGATATAAAATGTCAATAGCAAACAAGGACATCATTCCAATGATATGTCGAGACACCTGGCAGATTTCCTGGTATTTGGGACATGGGAGTATTTAAAGATACGTGGCATTAATTAGTCACAAACAGTTGAAGCATCAAATATCTAACTTAATAAGATTTTTCTTTGTTTGTTTTCAAATATGTAATGTTAGACTCTTTAGCAAATATTTCCAAATTTCTATTGTGAATGCAGTGAGATCTGCATATCTTACACCACAATGTCCCACCAGTTGCCTGCCTGTAATTGACAACATTCATGAAATTAAAAAAAGAAAAGTAGAAAACTGAGAAATCCCCCAAAGCAGTCACTTGAAAAAAATCCCACAATTCTGCCAGTTTGAGCACATTCGATGCCTGTACTAAATGTCGTATCGGCAAATCTTCACTCAAAGAGATCAAGATGCAGCGTATACAAGACTGAGGATGAAGCAAAGTGTTGAAATAGCTTGGGTAGCCTCCAAAGCAATGTAGGTAATTAGCAGGTGTTTATATTTTTCATGTTGATTTGCCCACAGATAATGTTTTGAAAATAGTAATGTAGGGCTGGGCATGGTGGCTCATGCCTGTAATCCTAGCACTTTGGGAAGCTGAGGCGGGCAGATCACGAGGTCAGGAGTTCGAGACCAGCCTGGCCAACATGGTGAAACCCTGTCTCTACTAAAAATACAAAAATTAGCCGGGTGTGGTGGCGCACACTTGTAGTCCCAGCTGTTTGGGAGGCTGAGGCAGGAGAATCGCTTGAACCTGGGAAGTGGAGGTTGCAGTGAGCTGAGATCGTGCCATTGCACTCTAGCCTGGGCGACAGAGCAACACTTTGTCTCAAAAAAAAAAAAAAAAAAAAGTGATGTAAAAGTTTTCATCTTGGCTTGTATTTCTAACATTTGCTTGGATTTAATATACACATTAACTTGGATTGAAGTGTTCTGATCTGGATTTTTCAAACTTTGATAGCCTTTAAAGCTAATATGTGAACATTTACAGGGTCTTGGGGTTTTCAGGTTAACCTGTTGATTTCAGGATATTAAGCTTCTAGTCTTTACCTTGATCTTTTTCTCTTCCTGTGTTATTGTGGGGCAGAAATTGCATGTGTGTGTGTATGTGTGAAGAAAGTGTTAACTCACTTTGTGACTTGTAGTTCTAATCTTATTTTCACTGTTTAGTTAAAAAAAAAATCCCTTTCTTCCTCCAGAAGTTTTGAAGTGGATAACATAGTTTGTTTAAATGAAATTAATGAGATATGAGATATACTAGGGATAAAAATGATTCAGAGGAAAGTAATATATTTTTAAAAAGATATCTTATTCTGCAAGAAAATAAAATGTCACTAACATTCATTGAGTTTTTTAAACACAAAAGGGCACATCCATGCACATACATTCTCGCACTCGCTTGCTCGCTAACTTAAGCAAAAATAGTCTCTGAGGGAAAGAACTGCAAGAATGGTGCCAACTTCCCCAACATACCCAAGACTTACTTTATTTAGAACCTCCCATGTGCTATTTTTTTTTTTTTTTTAAATCTCTGGAATCTCAGGGATTTTCCCATCCCTGTACATGCTTGAGACGTTTCAGAGCATGGTAACCCCCTGTTGGAATCTAACTCTAACTCTTCTGTTTTATTTTTAAAATGTGGGCAGTATTAGTATACAGGGAAGTGACTGTTCCTATGACAAAGGAGGGTGAGATTCCTAGCGTGCATGGGAATACCGCTAAAGATCACTGTCGGGTAGAGAAGCTGACACCGTGACTCACCAAGGCCTCCTTCAAAATCAAGAGATTTTAATCGAGATTTTAAGTCAAGAGCTTTCTGAGAAGGTGGGCAGAGCCATATATCACAGCATCAATAGAAAACTTAGTTCTATTTCATAGAATATTCATAAGTAACAGTAGATCTTTGCCAAGAGCCCAAGATACAATAGATGTCTAGTCTTTTTCTGTCTTTCAAGTTTTAATAGATTCAGCAGACCTGAATTTTGATAATATATTTGTTTTTAACACAAGTAATAGCAACTTGGCTCTTTTTGTGCCAATCTGTGATAATCTCTGAAGCAATTATCCTCGTATTGTTCCTTTGCATTGTATGCATGAAACCAGTAATATATATTTAAAAGAATATCATATTTACATATTGTGTTTCTGATATAGCACACTGCTGCCTTTACAATAAAGCACAATGTGCAATTGCAGAAAACTCCTTTTCACTTATGAACGTCTGAGTCTGAGATTCACACAAACCACACTTTTGTTAGACTCCAAAATGTGGGTGCCAAATGAATCTACTGCACTAGGCTTATGAACACTACTGCAACTGTGCAGCCACTATTTCTCTACTGGGAGAATTGTTTCAGCAGATAAACCATCTGGCTTGAAACACAGCCCTCTTTGAAAATATTCCCCATTATGTTAGCTCCGAAACAATGTGTACAACTATGCTCCAGTGGAGGACATGGTTAACAGAGATTCAATGTCAAACAATATCTGCTCTGTAATCTCTTGCTAAATGTAAAAAAGGAGGTAATCAAAATGCAAGATTTTAATTCTTTAAAGAGTCATTGTGAATGTGGCATAAGATGAAAAAATTCAGGAAAATATTTAATAAGAAACTATAATAGAGTGTTTAATATAGCAACTTTTTCCTTTAAGGATCATCCATGGAAAATGTGGTTCCTTTTGCTATAAATATCATGAAGAAGGCACATTAATGCTTGTGTTCATTAATTTCCTTTTTAGTAAGGGTTTTCAAATATGAGTTGATTTTGTATGGTGAGAGAATTGTTGGGAGCCGGTATTTGTAGTTAGAGATCCTAAGTGAGCTTGGGTGACTTAGTTTGACTTATGAGTCAGGAACATTATTAAAAAACTGAAACAAATGATATCAGGTAGAGAAAATTAGTATGCAGTGGCAACAGGTAATATCTGTAAACCAGCTGAAGACAGTTTGCTAGAATAGATTTTAAGAATCCAAGCCAACAATGTTACTGTTTGGGAAAGGGAAAAGAGAAAAAGGGGTTTAAAAAATACATTATCTAGATTTGAATCTATTTAGAGTGATATTAAAAGAGATTGCTTGAATTAAGTCATAAGAAAGTTATTGCAAAATTGAGCACATCTGAATCTATCAAACCAGAGAAATCCATGGGGGAAGTGTTTGAGCCATTGGCTGGGGTGATTATAGGGAGTAGCATATTACTGAAATGAAATGAAATTTGGTTAAATCCTGGAAATTACTACAAAGTATATATAGTGAGAAAAAGCTAAGAAACTGAGCTACTTAGTCAGTTGATGGGAAAGATTGATGCCATATGATGATAATTCCCATGAGGCAAAAAAGAAAGTGGTAGTACATGGAGAGGAAACACTGAGTTTTTCCTTCATCTCAAAATTGCCTTGTGCATCAACGATTTTCAGTGTTTTGTCTTAATTTTTATTAGATGGAATTTAGTCTTGATTACTTTGTCATTTCTTCACTCTGGGCTTAGCTATGCAAACGCACATTTCATAACAAACATCTCAACTTTAGACTTACAAGGAACTATGCTGTTACTTTTTAGTAGTACTTTTGCAGATGAGAGAACTGAAGTCCATAGAGTTAAATCACTTTTTCTTTCCTTTTATAATTTTATTGTACTGCATAACCAAGAACTTGTATTAATCAAAGGCCTCATTGCACATGCTGTGATTTCTGAGTAATGATGATTCCTGAGTAATGGTTTCCAATATAGGGGCCTGGTGAGCCATGTGAGTTTACTAAAGGACCCAGGAAGATTTCTGTGGAGGCCTCACCTATAAGATGTTGTGTATACAGGGAGGAGAACAGAGGTCTGTCCCTGAGTGGAAGAAAGGCTCTTTTGAGGGTTAGGATAGCAAGCAGGGAAAAACAAACAAACAAATATTGGGTCCTCATAATATAATTAAGTGGTGCATAGTGAGTGGAGTATATGTTAATCTGTCATTATTTATTTCTCACCGCAATAACTTTAGAAAAATTTTCAACTGCCTACCACATTGGTACCAACTCAGTGACTTACAGAAAACAGAACCCACAGAAACTTAGTCCAGTCTGGTTCTACCATTGTTTCCTTGTTGAAAAGGAGGGATACATAGAGTCTCTCTGTATCCTGGGAAATACACTATACAGTCCTGGAAGCTCTGGGATTTTCAGTGCATTGACGGCCATTAGCCAGAGCAGGCACTCTATTAAGTTATATTGTGTCTATGTTTATGACTAGGAAGTGAACTCTGGATTATGTCTCTAGCAGGAAAAGAACAATCAGCAAATTAATGTATTGGACTTCTATGAAGTCTTCTTTGGTAAAGGTTAATTATCACTCTGATACTGTAAGGTCTGCTGCCGTGAGGAGAGTACTTAACACATGAGCTGTGTTTGCATGTCCCAGTTTCTTTTTCCTCACCAGTGAGCGAGACATACTGCCACATGGAAAGGACAGATCTTTGTTGGAGAGGAAATTGAGTTATTGTTAGACATTAAGAGCCATTTAAATTTTTAAAAACTGTCTAACCCTTCTCCTGAAATTTTATAGATTATCTCTATGTATGTGTTTATTAAATGGCCAAGGCTCTGACAAGTTTTAAAGGTTCACCAAAAATATTTAGATATCAAATAGGATTAATCTTTACTTTTTAAAAGATAAACTCCAAGTAATTTTCATTGTAAAACAGAAAGAATGGAGGATGACTAGAATCTGGAGAGACAAATATTTGATGCTACATACATAAAATTGAACTTCTCTATGTTTTGGGTTAGCATTTTGATTGCACAACTTTTAGAATGGACAAGACAGTTATGCCCACTGATCACAGAACCAAGAATGGGATTCTGAGAAAATCTGAGTTCTTTTCCCCATAGAGCTAGGTAAGGGGGCAATGGTGAATGATGTACTTCTTGCTGCCTTGCATATTTCTTCAGGTAGATGGTGTCTCCTGACCCTTCTAAACATGACAAAGAAAAGTCAATGCTGCAGATTCCAGTAGATTACCTCCTATCTTAGATGAAAGAACAAGAAACTCCCTGTAATCTAAAACAGACTGTATAATCTGATGGTTATCACTGTTTATCCAAGTAAATTAAGCAATTGTTGAAGTAAAAAAAAAAAAAAGAAAGAAACAAAAACCGGCCCCACTAACTGCACTGAGGTGCCAGTGTTCAGGGCAGGTAAAGTAGATTAATAACAGGCCACTCCTGAGAAGGTTTAGGCTCTTACTGTCAGATAGTAATAATTAATGATCAACTGTTAATGGAGATACTGGGCTGTTGATGTCATTAATTCAGCTCAGTGGAGCCAGTTCTGCCCAGGACCTGCCACAGCTGTCACTGCATTTGCTTAATTATTCCAGTGCCTTCAGGCTCTTTTTCTTTCATTTTTTTTCCTTTACGCTTTTTTCCCTTACTAACTATAGGACATTATGTTTTCACTGACGCAGAATTATGAAGAGCATGCTGCTTTCTGGGCAGTGCCAAGCCTAAAATACGTGAAAACCCAAAGGCAACAGAGGAGACCGTCACTTTTTACTTAGATGAAATGATGGAAAATGCTGAAGAAAGGCCATCTTTAAATAGCTTGATTGTGCTGATATAATTTTTGAGTTCTTTAAGGATTTGGATGTCGAAAGTGAACTCTGAGCTGTGTAAAATGTCAAAGTGCTCACCCTCTCCCACAATCAAACAAAGAGAATATAGAAAAAGTGGCGCAAGAGTGTTGGTAAAACACAAGGCCGTACAATCATTCATCCAAGAGGGAACCAGAAAGTTAGCTTTGCTGGGAAGATTGAGGCAAGGAAAACCATGGTGAGGGAAATGCCACTACTGTTAAAATTCAGCTGTAGGAGTACATGAATTTGCCTGCTGTGCTTTCAGAACCTTCTTGCATTTCTTTAGCTTTGTGTCTCTTTTATCTATCACACTGCTTTTAGTTTTAAGAAAACCACTCTTTGCTTTGTAAACATCATTTGAATCTTTCTCCCCTGGCTTGACCTGGTAATCACTATACTGTTTTCTAATTGGAATGAGGTGTTTATTTGGCTTTTCAAAGACCACCCCCCCCCAACCCCTGCAGCCCTGCCACCTTTCAAGAACTTAATTTTTAAAAACTAGTTCCTTGGTTTTTAGGTATATATTTCTAGTTCTGATGTGTTAAACTAGTCCAATGTGTCTTGAGCTTCCATGCTGGAATGCTGCTTGACTCTCTTCCAAACTGAAGTGCTTAAAAAATGTGAGGCACTACAACTATTTTAAATCTCTCTCTACGCTGCACATGGTGATTTAAAATAATTGAAGCTCTTCAAATTTTTATATGCTCTCAAATTTGGAAGTGATTGGTTCTGAGCATGTGCAGTACACAATGATTTAAGGTTATTAGAGTCTCTCAAATTTATCATGAGTGTTTCAGCTTGTGAGTGATAGGGGAACCTGGACTTTGGCAGCTAAAAATAATTTAAAAATTATCATTACACTCTGATGTTATAGAGGTGATCAGAATTCTGGACACTTGTGTACATTTTAAAGCTCACTGTTAAAATGACTCCTTTTTTAGATGCAAAAGGTAGTATTAGCCCACCAGAAGATGCATTTAAATAAACCACCTAAAATGCACCATAACAGAATTTTACTTTCACTGACATATTCCCCATTGATGACCTGAATAGGATCATGATTTTAAAGCCAAATGCTCAAATTTGGCAAGAAAAAGAACTGTTGTCTTCTAGCCCAATCATAACAAAGATATGTATTCAGTAAAAATACCTGACACGTTCTGGTGACAACACATAGAACCTATAGTCTGTCCTCATAAATTATACCATTTTTTGCTTTAAAGGACAAGGGGCTTTTGAACTACTACATAAATGATCACTTCTAATACATGGCTAAATTAGTTTTTTATTTAAATATTCCAAATAAAGTGCTTTTATTAAAGGTTATTAAACTTAAAAATGTGTATTTTATCCTCTCTTAGATGAAATATATGTGTTCATTTCTTAAGCCTTCTGTTTGCTTTGGTGGATGTTGAACCAAGCACAAAGAAAGGTACTTACTTATGAAATGTACAAGATAGAATACTCAGATGATTTACTTGGTCACTTGATGGTCACTTAACATTCCTTAGATCTTTTACCAAAGGATATTCTCTGAGCGGGAGCAGGAATATTTAAACTTTTGCTGAGTGCCCTGATGCCAGGATTCTAACATGTAAGGTAGATTTATGGTTCAAAGATAATATTATATAAGAAGAAATCCAGTCATTAAGAAGTCAGCTAAAATTCTTAACATGTTTTGTTTGTACCTTTGAAAGCCACATGGATGCTCTTTTACTTGATTTAAATGAAAGTGACAAAGGTGAAATTCCAGCACATTTCTCAGTCACTTCCCTTCCTCAGTAAATGTTTTCATTTTGATAAAAATTAGGATAAGTTGATTATGGATTTTATTTTTTTTAACCAAAACCTGGAGTTGGAGTTTGAAGTATTCTGGCACATGAAAACCATCTGATCTTATAAACTAGCTTTATAAATCCCCATATTTTTAATAGGGCAGAAATTTAACAGGATTAGAAATAGAAAATGCTAATAATAGAAACTATGTTGTATTTGGGATTTCTGTAACCCTGGGGATTTAGGGCTGTGAACTATGTAAAGTTCCACATTTGGTATAGCAGTCAACCTTTGCCCTCCAATTTATTATTAGTTTTTAAAGTTTGAAAAATTTTCTTATGTTTATGTATTTTTAGTCTCCAGTATTACTTTGCTCGTTTGTGCTGAATTTTGACAGGCAGAAAAACAATCTAGGCGAGCTTGTTCAATTTTTTGTGGCTGTGCTAAATTAAGAACATGTCATGTCAGTGGACTAGCGTTATGCTATTAAATAATTGAATTAATCTTTATTTAGGTCACAGGTAGAATGAGTATAATCTTTGCTGAACACGGAAGAATGCCTGGAAATTGCCTACTCCCAAAACATAGTTACACCAAAACGAAGTTTGTGCTTTTAGCTCTATCAGTTTGAAGTCCTTGGAAATGGGAAAAGTTACTTGGAAAGACTAACCTACGTTTGAGAGTTAGTTCAGTAGACCAATTCAAGTAAACATCTTGTATGTATTGATATGACTTTAAAAATAAAGAATGCCATTATTCCATATTTTAGTATTGCCTGCAGGGATAGCTGTTATAGTTTCTGAAACAATAAGAACATGAGTTACCATTAAAAAAAATAGCACACAGAATACACAACCCTTGGCCTTGAGAGACTGTTAAGGAGGTTTCTCAGGTTAAAACTCAATGTCCTTTTCAATTGCTTTGCAGTTTTATAGAAAGATCAGCTTAGTAAATCTTTTTCTATCACATATAAAATAGATCCCAGGAAGAACAAAAGGGATAATTAAAAACACCCTGAAACATAAAACTCGAAGCATGATATATGTGTTTGTTGTGTAGGTGTAAAAATATTTTTAATTTAAAAATTCTAAGAGAAATGATTAATACATTTGATTTCAAAGCAGTGAAGAGAAAAAGCCACTTCTGTACATCAAAAATAGCAAAATTGAAATACAAACAATAAGAAATATTTCTATAGATATCACAGCTGAGTTAATATCTATAATACAAAAATATCTAAATATATATAAAAGAATTAACACCTTAGTAGATAAAGAGGAAGGGGTAAAAAATGGTGAAAATAAAAATAGTTAAATTTATGAAAATAAGATATAATGAAATGGACTGTATTTAATATAAAATGAATAGGTTGAGATTAATATAATTATAAAATTTCTTAATTACAAGCTGTAAACATTTAAAGAAGGCCGTCATTTATTAGGTACATGTTTTTGAGTCTCTGCCAGGTACTGTACTAGGTTCTGAGGATATAGCTGTGAGCAAGATGTAAATAGTATACAGCCTGGAGAAGCTTGAATCTCTGGTTGGATTACAGAAAGTTAACAGGCAAATACAGGATGGTGTGATGATCACTTTACACCCAATCCAGACTTGGGGAGTCAGAAAAAGCCTCTCAAGGGAAGGAAGACATGGGTCCAAATGATTAGCATCATCCTTGTCTCTGCTTTTTCCCACAACCCTCATCCAAATCCCTCAGCAGACTTCTCATAACTACTTTTGAGATACACCGAGAGTCTGACCACTTTTGCATTCTTTAGTCCTATTATTCTGCCCAAGCTGCCATCACCCCTCTCCTGGATTATTGTTATAGCTTCCCACTTGGTCTCCTGCTTCCATTCTCCCAAACTATTCTGTTTTTGACACAGCCACCACTTCTGCATTCTTTAGTCCTATTATTCTGCCCAAACTGCCCTCACTCTTCTCCTGGAACATTGTTATAGCTTCCCATTTGGTCTCCCTGCTTCCATTCTCCCAAACTATTCTGTTTTTGACACAGCCACCAGGCACTTATAACCTGTGCCTTCTCACAATCCTGCAGAATTTCACAAGAAGACCCAGAGCCTTCTCTGATCTTCTCAACCCTTCATGATCCACCCCAGGAGCTTGTCTTATCTGAACCATGCTATTATCATCCTCTTTCTTCTCTTCCCCAAATGCACTAAGTTATTTTATCACTTCATGAGTTTGTACTTGCTGTCCTCTAGACTAGGAAAGCTTTTCTCTCAAATACGTGTATGACATTGCTTACTCACTCTGTCCATGTTTCTGCCCAAAGATTACATCATCAGAAGCCTTCCTTGACACCCTGTGTAAAATGGCGGTCCATGTCTTGCTCTGTGCTTTCACTTTACTTAGCTTTTCCTTATATTATTTATCACGTCTTGACATATTTACTATTCATTATCTGTCCCTAATGTAAGATTATTGAGATCAGGGACTGTCTCACTGAGGGTTCAACCAAAGAAACAGAATCAATAGGAGTCTGCCTATGTATGTATATATGTATGTATGTATGTATGTATGTATGTATGTATGTATGTATGTTTCTATCATCTATCTATCTATCTATCTATCTATCTATCTATCTATCTAAGAACTGAATTGTATGATTGAGGAAGCTAGTTAAGCAAGTCTAAAATCCAAAGGGCAGCCCTTCTGAAAGAGAAGATTATGGGCTGGCTGAAACTCACAGGCAAAGGCCTATGCTGCTGCCCACAGGCAGAATTTTTTTTCCAGGAAGCTCAGTTTTGCTTTTAAGGCTTTCTGATGAACCACATTGGCCACCCAGATTATCTGAGATGTTTTTTCTTACCTAAATTAAGTGATTATGGATTTTACTTATATCTGCAAACTCCCTTTACATCAGCATCTAAATTAGTGTTAGATCTAGATTAGTGTTGGTTAAATAACTGGAGACTCTATGCTTGCCAAACTGACCCATCAGAAAAACCATCACATTGGAAAAACTTTATCTGCGAATCAATAGAGCCCCAGACACACAGAGGGAATTTAACTTATTCAGAAGCATTTCTGCATAGGTCTCTGCTAGGTGCTCAGAGAATATTTGGGAAAAAGGAAGAGAACTGGAGAGAGTCCCCTCAATGCTTTAGGTGTGAAGGAGGTGATTGGCTGCCAGGAGTAGGGAGATATAAATCTCCTTTCCTGGACACTTTTCTTCTATGAAGAAAAGAACCTGTCAAGGGAAAAGCAGTAAAGCCCCTCTTTCAGGTTCAAGTATTTCTTCTGAGGAGAAGAGGAAGCAAAATTTGTCTGCTTCTTGCGGAGGGGACAGGAGAACGGAGGGATAGGAGATGATCTCTTAGGAAACAAGCAAAATTCCATTGCTGTTAGAAATGATGAGATAGTGGAAACAAACAAACATAAAACATCCTATCCCCAGGAGAGCAGCAGAAACCCGCCTTGGGCTCAGAATCCAGTATATATAACAATCAGAGATCTGCTACTTTTAGGGGAGAGATGGAAAACTCCCACCCAACTACAGATAAAAGGTAGAGTATTGCTGCCATGAATAGGTGGGGCAGTAATGCTGAGAGGGCCCAGGCATGGGCCTAAGACTGAGGCTGGACTGGGACAAGAGAAAACTTCCTTATCCCCATCACAGCTTGGTGCTGAATAACAAGGGACAAAACAGTTTACTACTGAGGGAGGGAACAAGGGCAGGGAGAGAAACCCATATGTGGTGTAGGTCTTCACCATAGGCTGAAAGTTAATGAGAGAACAGAATCACCCAAACTCTAGTCACATCTTGACTAGATTGGCCGAAATTCCCCACACTAATCACTTTGTAGCAGAAGGAGGATGCATGCTTCCAAACATAAACCTTATTAACTACACTCTTTACTATTATTCTTGATACAATGTTTGACATTCAATAAAAAAAAAATTACAGGACACACACAAAAAAGCAAGAAAAAGCAACCCATTGTCAAGAGAGAAAACAATTGACAGAACTGGAATTAGGTATAACACAGATGTTTGAACTATCAGAAAGGGATTTGAAAATAATGACAATATGTCAGAAGCCTTGTAGAAAACATGGAGAATATGCATGAATAGTTGAGAACTTTAGCAGAGAAAATGAAACTATCGAAAATAAGGTCAAATGAGAATGCTAAAAAAAGAGAGCAAAAGAAAACAAAAAAACAAACCAGACACATGGTATTCAAGATGAAAAGTGGCTTTGATGGACTTATCTTTAGACTGGACCTAGCTAAGGGAGGACACACTGAAGTTGAAGAAGGGACAACAGAAGGTATTCAAAATGAAGCATAAAGAGAAAAAGGAATGAATAATAAACTTAGCATCTAAAGTCTGCACAACATCAAGTGGTGTAATGTATGTGTAATTGTAATCTTGGAGAACAGAGAAGGAATGAGGAAGGAGGTATATTTGAAAAGATAATGGCTAAGAATTCTTTTTTAAAAAAGTAAGAGATCAAACCACAAATAGAAAAGCTTAAATAATGCCTAGGAGGGTACATACCAAAACAGAATGAAACTAAACCAAACCACATCCAGACACATTATAGTGAATGTGCCTAAAGCCAAAGAGTAAATCTTGACAGAAGCTAGAGAGAAAAGAAATATTACATTGAGAGGAACAAAGATAAGGATTACACCAGAATATCTGTCAGAAACTATGGAAACCAAAAGCCAATGGATTAACATCTTTAAAGTACTAATTTAAAAACACCCACAAAACTGTCAACCCAGAATTTTATACCCAGAGAAGATATCATTCAAAAATGGAGGTGAAATAAAGACACTTTCAGATAAGATGAAGTTCAGGAATTTATTGCCAACATGCCAGTACTACCAGAAATGTATAGAAGTTCTCTAAGAGTATGATACCAAATGGAAACTTGTGTCTACACAAAAAAATAACAGAAGCAATGATAGAAACCAAGGTAAATTTAAAAGATTTTAAAAATATCTGTTCACTTTAGAAGATAATTGACTGCCTATAGTAATGATTTAAAAATGTATTGTGGATTCATAAGTTATGTAAAAATCAGGTGTCTGACAAATGTAACACAAAGAATGGGAAGGAGGAATTGAAAGTATATTGCCGTAAGTTTCTTACACTAAAAATAAAATGGTATGTTATTACTTAAAAGTAGATAGTGATGAGTTTGAAATTTATATTGATATTCTATGGCAACTCCTAAAAAAGGCATGATAAATAATTTGAGATTAAATAAAATTATGAAAAATAATTTGCTAATACAAAAAAGCAGGAAGAGAGAGAAAAGGGAAACAAAGAACAATTTGGACAAACAATGCAACTAACAAAATGACACTTTTTAAACTAACCATATCAATAATTATATCAAAAGAAAATCCTCTAAGCACTCCATTAAAAGACATTGTTAAAACAGCAGGACTCAGTTATATGCTTTCTATTAGAAACTCACTTTAATTATAAAGACACAAATAATTTAAAAGTTAAAGAATTGAAAAATACTATGAAAAACCCAATCAAAAGAAAGATGCAGTGGCTATAATAATATCAGATAAAGTATTTTTCTCTTTTTTTGTGGTTTTGAACTTCCGTTTATATCTTTTATTTTATTTTATTTTATTATTATTATACTTTAAGTTTTACGGTACATGTGCACATTGTTCAGGTTAGTTACATATGTATACATGTGCCATGCTGGTGTGCTGCACCCATTAACTCGTCATTTAGCATTAGGTATATCTCCTAAAGCTATCCCTCCTCCCTCCCCCAACCCCACAACAGTCCGCAGAGTGTGATGTTCCCATTCCTGTATCCATGTGTTCTCATTGTTCAATTCCCACCTATGAGTGAGAATATGCGGTGTTTGGTTTTTTGTTCTTGCGATAGTTTACTGAGAATGATGATTTCCAATTTCATCCATGTCCCTACAAAGGACAGGAACTCATCATTTTTTTATGGCTGCATAGTATTCCATGGTGTATATGTGCCACATTGTCTTAATCCAGTCTATCATTGTTGGACATTTGGGTTGGTTCCAAGTCTTTGCTATTGTGAATAGTGCCGCAGTAAACATACGTGTGCATGTGTCTTTATAGCAGCATGATTTATAGTCCTTTGGGTATACACCCAGTAATGGGATGGCTGGGTCAAATGGTATTTCTAGTTCTAGATTCCTGAGGAATCGCCACACTGACTTCCACAATGGTTGAACTAGTTTACAGTCCCACCAACAGTGTAAAAGCATTCCTATTTCTCCACATCCTCTCCAGCACCTGTTGTTTCCTGACTTTTTAATGATTGCCATTCTTACTGGTGTGAGATGATATCTCATTGTGGTTTTGATTTGCATTTCTCTGATGGCCAGTGAAGATGAGCATTTTTTCATGTGTCTTTTGGCTGCATAAATGTCTTCTTTTGAGAAGTGTCTGTTCATATCCTTTGCCCACTTTTTGATGGGGTTGTTTTTTTCTTGTAAATTTGAGTTCATTGTAGATTCTGGATATTAGCCCTTTGTCAGATGAGTAGGTTGCGAAAATTTTCTCCCATTTTGTAGGTTGCCTGTTCACTCTGATGGTAGTTTCTTTTGCTGTGCAGAAGCTCTTTAGTTTAATGAGATCCCATTTGTCAATTTTGTCTTTTGTTGCCATTGCTTTTGGTGTTTTAGACATGAAGTCCTTGCTCATGCCTATGTCCTGAATGGTAATGCCTAGGTTTTCTTCTAGGGTTTTTGTGGTTTTAGGTCTAACGTTTAAGTCTTTAATCCATCTTGAATTAATTTGTGTATAAGGTGTAAGGAAGGGATCCAGTTTCAGCTTTCTACATGTGGCTAGCCAGTTTTCCCAGCACCATTTATTAAATAGGGAATCCTTTCCCCATTGCTTGTTTTTCTCAGGTTTGTCAAAGAGCAGATAGTTGTAGATATGTGGCGTTATTTCTGAGGGCTCTGTTCTGTTCCATTGGTCTATATCTCTGTTTTGGTACCAGTACCATGCTGTTTTGGTTACTGTAGACTTGTAGTATAGTTTGAAGTCAGGTAGCATGATGCCTCCAGCTTTGTTCTTTTGGCTTAGGATTGACTTGGTGATGCGGGCTCTTTTTTGGTTCCATATGAACTTTAAAGTAGTTTTTTCCAATTCTGTGAAGAAAGTCCTTGGTAGCTTGATGGGGATGGCATTGAATCTATAAATTACCTTGGGCAGTATGGCCATTTTCATGATATTGATTCTTCCTACCCATGAGCATGGAATGTTCTTCCGTTTGTTTGTATCCTCTTTTATTTCCTTGAGCAGTGGTTTGTAGTTCTCCTTGAAGAGGTCCTTCACGTCCCTTGTCACTTGGATTCCTAGCTATTTTATTCTCTTTGAAGCAATTGTGAATGGGAGTTCACTCATGATTTGGCTTTCTGTTTGTCTGTTATTGGTGTATAAGAATGCTTGTGATTTTTGTACATTGATTTTGTATCCTGAGACTTTGCTGAAGTTGCTTATCAGCTTAAGGAGATTTTGTGCTGAGACAATGGGGTTTTCTAGATATACAATCATGTCATCTGCAAACAGGGACAATTTGACTTCCTCTTTTCCTAATTGAATACCCTTTATTTCCTTCTCCTGCCTAATTGCCCTGGCCAGAACTTCCAACACTATGTTGAATAGGAGTGGTGAGAGAGGGCATCCCTGTCTTGTGCCAGTTTTCAAAGGGAATGCTTCCAGTTTTTGCCCATTCAGTATGATATTGACTGTGGGTTTGTCATAGATAGCTCTTATTATTTTGAGATATGTCCCATCAATACATGGAGGAAGATCTACCAAGCAAATGGAAAACAAAAAAAGGCAGGGGTTGCAATCCTAGTCTCTGATACAACAGACTTTAAACCAACAAAGATCAAAAGAGACAAAGAAGGCCATTACATAATGGTAAAGGGATCAATTCAACAAGGAGAGCTAACTGTCCTAAATATATATGCACCTAATACAGGAGCACCCAGATTCATAAAGCAAGTCCTGAGTGACCTACAAAGAGACTTAGACTCCCACACAATAATAATGGGAGACTTTAACACCCCACTGTCAATATTAGACAGATCAACGAGAAAGAAAGTTAACAAGGATACCCAGGAATTGAACTCAGCTCTGCACTAAGTGGACCTAATAGACATCTACAGAACTCTCCACCCCAAATCAACAGAATATACATTTTTTTAAGCACCACACCACATCTATTCCAAAATTGACCACATACTTGGAAGTAAAGCTCTCCTCAGCAAATGTAAAAGATCAGAAATTATAACAAACTGTCTCTCAGACCACAGTGCAATCAAACTAGAACTCAGGATTAAGAAACTCACTCAAAACTGCTCAACTACATGGAAACTGAACAACCTGATCCTGAATGACTACTGGGTACATAATGAAATGAAGGCAGAAATAAAGATGTTCTTTGAAGCCAACGAGAACAAAGACACAACATACCAGAATCTCTGGGACACATTCAAAGCAGTGTGTAGAGGGAAATTTATAGCACTAAATGCCCACAAGAGAAAGCAGGAAAAATCCAAAATTGACACCCTAACATAACAATTAAAAGAACTAGAAAAGCAAGAGCAAACACATTCAAAAGCTAGCAGAAGGCAAGAAATAACTAAGATCAGAGCAGAACTGAAGGAAATAGAGACACAAAAAACCCTTCAAAAAATTAATGAATCCAGGAGCAGGTTTTTTGAAAGGATCAACAAAATTGATAGACCGCTAGCAAGACTAATAAAGAAGAAAAGATAGAAGACTCAAATAGACACAATAAAAAATGATAAAGGGGATATCACCACCAATCCCACAGAAATACAAACTACCATCAGAGAATACTACAAACACCTCTACACAAATAAACTAGAAAATCTAGAAGAAATGGATAAATTCCTCGACACATACACCCTCCCAAGACTAAACCAGGAAGAAGTTGACTCTCTGAATAGACCAGTAACGGGCTCTGAAATTGTGGCAATAGTCAATAGCTTACCAACCAAAAAGAGTCCAGGACCAGATGGATTCACAGCCGAATTCTACCAGAGGTACAAGAAGGAACTGGCACCATTCCTTCTGAAACTATTCCAATCAATAGAAAAAGAGGGAATCCTCCCTAACTCATTTTATGAGGCCAGCATCATCCTGATACCAAAGCTGGTCAGAGACACAACCAAAAAAGAGAATTTTAGACCAATATCCTTGATGAACATTGATGCAAAAATCCTCAATAAAATACTGTCAAACCGAATCCAGCAGCACATCAAAAAGCTTATCCACCATGATAAAGTGGGCTTCATCCCTGGGATGCAAGGCTGGTTCAATATATGCAAATCAATAAATGTAATCCAGCATATAAACAGAACCAAAGACAAAAACCACATGGTTACCTCAATAGATGCAGAAAAGGCCTTTGACAAAATTCAACAACACTTCATGCTAAAAACTCTTGATAAAGTATTTTTCAAGGCAGGGAATATTATCAGGGATTAAAAGAAACATTGTATAATGGTAAAGGGATCAATTCATTAAGAAGACATCACCATTCTCTATATACATTTACCTAATAGTAGAGCTTCTAAACATATGAAGGAAAAACTGATAGACTTGAAAGGAGAAATAAAAAAATACTCAATTCATTTGGAGATGTCAATACTCTTTCCCCAATAATTGATAGAAAAATAGGGTATCAATAAAGAGAAGACATTAGGAACACTATCAACCAATTTGGCTTAATAGTCATTTTTGAACATTGTACCTAATAACAGCAGAATATGCATTATTTACAACTGGATGTATAGACCATATTGTGGGCCATAAAACAAATTTTAATCCATTTAAAAGAGCTGAAATTACACAGAGTTGATTCTGTGACCACAGTGGAATTAAACTAGAAATCAGCAAGAGAATGTTAGATAGAATATTCCCCAAGTATTTGAAAATTAAACACCACATGTCTAAATAAATGTCTTAAAGAGGAACTCACAAGGGAAATTAGAAAATATTATGAATTGAATGAAAATTAAAACAGAACATGTCAAAATCTGTGGGACAGAACCAAAGCAGTGATAAGAAGGAAACATGGTTTTTAAAGGCTTGGATTAGAGACTAGGAGAAGTTTCATAACAAAAATGTAAGCCTGACCTAAAGAAACTAGGAAGAGAAGAGCAGATTAATCCTAAAGTTAGCAGAAGAAAGAAAATAATAAAGATAAGAACAGAAAAGTAATAAAGAATGCCAATAAACTGAAGAGCTGGTTTTCTGAAAAGGTGAACAAATATTATAAACCTGTAGGCAGACTTATCAAGAAATATAGAGACAAGACAAAAATTACCAATAATAGGAATGAGAGAACATCACTATAGATAATTTAGACTTTAAGAGGACAGCAAGGGATATTATGAACAATTTTATGTCAAGAAGTTTGTTAATTTAAATAAAATGATAAAATGTACAAAGTTTTCAAAGACGTTAACTGCCAAAGTTTACTTGAGAAGAAAGAGATAATTTTGATGTGTCTGTTAACTATTAAAGAAATTAAATTTATTGCTAAAACTACCCCCAAAATAAAATGTCAATTTCTGATAGTTTTGTTGGTGAGGTCTACTGTATTAGTCCATTTTTATTCTGCTATGAAGAAATACCCAAGACTGGGTAATTTACAAAGAAAAAGAGGTTTAATGGACTCAGTTCCACGTGGCTGGGGAGGCCTCATAATCATGGTGGAAGACAAAGGAGGAGCAAAGGCACGTCTTACATGGTGGGAGGCAAGATAGAATATGCAGGGGAACTCCCCTTTATAAAGCATTAGATCTCATGATACTTATTCACTATCATGAAAACAGCATGGGAAAAACCTGCCTCCATGATTCAATTCAAATACCTCCCACTGTGTCCCTCCCATGACATGTGGGGATTATGGGAGCTACAGTTCAAGATGAGATTTGGGTGTGGACACAGCCAAACTATCATCTTCTAAACATTTTAGGAAGACATAATACAATGTTTACTTAAAAATTTTGAGAAAATTTAAGAATGGGAAGACCTCCCAAATCATTTTGTGGGGCCAGCATTATCTTTGACAATAATACTTGAAAAGGACGAAACAAGAAAACACACGACTACAGAATATATCATATATCAACATAAACACAGAAGTCCTTAACAAAACTTGGAAATTAAATCTAGCCACACATAAAAAAGATAATATATCGTGATCCAGTAGGAAGCAAGTTCATTTCACATTTCAAACATCAATCAATTTACCATATCAACAGCCTGAAAAATAGAAACAGTCTGATCATCTCAATAGATACAGATACTTAGATCTCAATAGATACTAAGTTCAACATTTCACACATTATAAAACCCTCAGGAAACTGGGAATAGAATGACATGTCTTCAATCTCTTAAAGAACATCTATGAAAAACTACAGTTAATATAATACCTAATAATGAAAGACTGAATTCTTTACCCTTAAGTTCAGAAATAAGTTAAGGATGCCCATTTTTATTACTCATATTCAACATGGTACTGTAATTCCTAGCCAGTGCAATAAAGCAAGTAAAAGAAATAATATGTAGATTAAATAAGAAGAAATACTGTTCAAATAAAAAAACTCAGTTCTCAATTAGTCTACCAAAAACACTCCCAACCATGAAAACTAATCTGTGAGTTTAGCAAGGTGTCAGAATACAAAAATTTATTGTATTTCTTTATACCCTCAAGAAAAAGTTAGAAATTACAAATTTTAAAAAGCAGTACCATTTACAGTAATGTTGACAACCATGAAAATTTATGGATAAAACTAAAACACATTTATTTGCGTGCTGAAAATTACAATACAGTTGAGAAAATTTAAACAAGATAGAAATAAATGGAGAGTTGTAGCATGCTCATAGATGGAAGGCTTCATATTGTTATCATGTCATTCTCCCCAACTTGCTCTAATGGCTCAATGCAATCCTAATAAAAACCTTAACAGGAATTTGTATAAAGATAACAGGTTGATTCTAAAATGGATATGAAAAGGTAAAGGACTTAGAATAGTCAAAGCAGTTTTGAATAAGTTATGAACTGAATGAAAATGAAAACAACATATCAGAATTTATGGAACAGAACCAAAGCAGTGATAAGAGGGAAATATGTAGCCTTAAATGCTTGGATTAGAAATCAAGAGACATTTCAAAACAAAAATGTAAGCTTCACCTAAAGGAACTAGGAAAAGAAGAGCAAATCAAACCCAAGTTAACAGAAGAAATAGTAAAGATAAGAACAGAGAAACAATAAAGAAAGTCAATAAACCTAAAAGCTGAATAACTCTTACTTCCTCACTTAAAATCTAACTATAATGCTATAGGAATTAGCAAGTATGGTTTTGTTGAAAAGTCAGACATATAGATCAATTGAACACTATGGAGACTCCAGAAATAGGCTCATATATATATATATATATATATATATATATATATATATATATGACCATATATATGTGTGTGTTTGTGTATATATATATATATATACACAAACACACACACACACACACACATATATATATATAGTCAATTGTTTGTAGACATAGGTGTCAAGATAATGCAATGGAGAAAGGATAGTCTTTTTAATACATGGCACTGGAACACCCCATAAAGTGCTGGAAATTAATGTTAACCCATTCCTTACCTCATTTATAGAAATTAACTAGACATGATTCTAGACCTAAGAGCATAATCCAAATTTCTAGAAGAAAACATAGAAAAAAAATCTTTGTGATGCTGGGCAAAGTAAATGTATCTTTTGTACATATATATACTATATATATATATGTATATTTTATATTTATAATGGGGTCTCGCTATGTTGCCCGGGCTGGTCTTGAACTCCTTCCACCTTGGTCTCCCAAAGTGCTTGGGATTACAGACATGAACCACTGCACCCAACCAAATATTTCTTAGACAATACCCAAAAGGCAGAAATCATAAAAGCTAAAAACTTTTGCTGTTCAAAAAATGATGTTAAGGCAGAGGTTTAACATTATAAGAAAATGGAAAAATTTTATAAGAAGCTCCAAAGTGGGTATATGTTAAATGGGTATATGTTAAAATGATGTTAAGAAAATGAAAAGACAAGTCACACATTGAGAAAAAGTTACTTGAAAAACTCTTATTTAGTAATGGGTTTGTATCCAGAACTCTCATGTACAAGAACTCTCACAACTCAATAATTTAAAAATCAACCAAATAAAATAAAAACAGGCAAATGATTTGAACAATTCACCAAAGAAGCAATACAGATGGTAAATGCACATACACATATGAATAGATGTTCAGCATCATTAGTCAATAGGCAAATGCAAAGTAAGACCACAGTGATATACCACTATATGCCTATTAAAGAAGGATAAGAGTTAAAAAATATTATACTGATGCTTACAAGGATGTAGAACAATTGGAACTCTAATACATAGCTTGTAGGAATGCAAAATGTTATACCCAATTTGGAGTTTCTTGTAAAATTTTTGCATTTCTTTATAATGTTAAACCTCTGCCTGTTACTTGACTTAGCAATCCCACTCCAAGGTATTTACCCCAAAGAAACAGAAATATATGTTTACACAAAACTCTATGTGAATATTTAGAGTAGCTTCATTCATAACTCTCCCAAACTGTAAACTACCTAAATGTCTATTAACTGCTGAAGTATGAATAAACTGTGGTACAACCATACAAGGAAATACTGCACAGCGAAAAAGAGAACAAACTGCCAATTCATGCAACAACGTGGATGAATCTCAAAAGCATCATGTCCAGTGAAAAAAGCCAGATCCAAAAGCAAACATACTGTATTATTACACTAACATAATATTCAGGAGAGAAAAATCTGTTGAGACAAATATCACTGAGGGGTATGCTTGGGGTTGGGAACAGAGGAAGACGTTGATTATGAAGGAGGCACAAGGAAACTTATGGGGTAGTGGAAATATTTTATATTTTCAATTCTGTTATAGTTAACATAAGTGTAACTCATAAAAGTTACACCTAAAAACCTTGTTGAAAAACACAACACAGTTGCAAATTTTAAAACCACATGAACCTAAGCAAATTTTAAGGCACTGTCATATCTACAATAACATCTCTTCTCTCTCTTCTCTTCCTTGAAATTCAGATGGTAATGAACTGCCAGTTTTGTAAGAGACAACTTTAGTATGCCTTTCTGATAGAGATGTTGACACATAGAGAAATCCATATTTTCCATTTAAATTTTTTGGAGGACAATCGCATTGGTTTCTGAAACACTGACAGAACTAGGGGTTTAGCTGTGTGCATTTCAGGTAAAAGTAAACATCTGTATACTAACTGTTGAAGGATTGGTCCACCCACAAAATGGGAGCTCAGAGCTCTCCAACAATAAAGATTAGCTTGAACTTGACTTTTTAGTAGGCTGTTTTCTGTATGTGGTTCACAGCCTACTTTCATGAACATAAAGAATTTAGTGATAGCAGAAAAGCAGCAGTATCTGTTATCTTTATAAGAAATACATAAAACAGCAAGAATACCTGGAGTTCAAGCAAAAACTAATCAATTTTAGAAATTTAGTTTTCTTCAATTGTCAGTGTCCAGGTGTCCTTGAAATTGCATCTGTTTGGTTCATTCTGCCAACTTCTCACTTTCTTTGCAGCCATTGATTTGAAAGGGGTAACAAGAGAACAGAAAATAATGTGCATTTTTGTAAGTGACAATTAAAAGTATTCATCAAATGGGACCCCATAATTCAGTTCTTTCTACTGGAGTATAACCTGTTAGAGTCAGCAAAAGAGGATCATTACAATCACTTCTGGCCAAGATGGGAAATTAAAAAAAACCCACATTTTGTTAATCTATACACTATTAATAATAAAACTCTATTATTTCTTGTCAGGTGCTTCGTTCACATTATCTTATTTCTCACAACTACTCTACGTAGTAGGTATTTCTAGCCTGTTTTACAGATGAGGAAATAAAGACTTCAAAGGGATGGTGTGACTTTTAACTGAATCCACAATTTATGTTTTTTTCCATTATATAATGCTTTGATCACTCCCTGTTAGTTGACTATGTTGACCTTTGACACTCTGGTGACATGTCCTGCTCTACTGGCTTTGGTGACTGCTAGCATACCATCCCAGTTCCTAATCACCTTATGCTTGTAATTCTGCAATAACACCCTAGTTCATTATCCTTCTTCAGGTGTTTCTTTACTGTAATCTGTTCCACATACTTGTACCTCTACACTATTCTAAAACATCATTCCATCATAACATTTCTGAACTCAAAACCTGTCATCTTCTTCTGTTACCTTATTTCGTACCTTTTCTACTCAGCTTTCTTTTCTGTAATTTCACCTTTTATTTTAGATTCAGGGGGTACATGTGCAACTTTGCTACATGAGTATATTGTACGGTGCTGAGATTAGGGGTATAAGTGATTCTATCAGGTGGTGAGTATAACACCCAATAGGTCGTTTTTCAGCCCTTGCTCTCCTCTCTCTCTTCTCCCTCTAGTTGTCCCAAGTATCTGTTGTGCCCATCTTTATGTCCCTGTGTACCCAGTGTTTAGCTCCCACTTGTAAGTGAGAACACATGGTATTTGGTTTTCTGTTTCTGCATTAATTCGCTTAGGATAATGGCCTCTAGCTGCATCCATGTTGTTGCAAGGGACATGATTTCATTTTTTAAATGGCTACATAGTATTCCATGGTGTATGTGTACTACTACTACATTTTCTCTGTCCAGTCTACTGTTAATGGGTACCTAGGTTGACTTCATATCTTTGCTATTGTGAATAGTGCTCTGATGATCATATGTGTGCATATACCTTTTTAGTAGAAGGACTTTATTTTCCTTTGGTTATATACCCAGTAATGGGATTGCTAGGTCAAATGATAGTTCTGTTTTAAGTTCTTTGATAAATCTGACAACTACTTTCCTCAGTGGCTGAACTAATTTACATTCCCACCAACAGCGAGTAATCCACTCAGCTTCAAAGACCTTATATAGTCTGCTTACAATTTATTCATCCTTATATCTCACAGATTCCCCAAAAGCACCCTTCACCCTGGTCAGGTTAATCTCTCTCCCCACAGCAAGCTCAATCTTGTGCTTTGATTCTTGTCTTCACACTTTGTCCTGTGTCTTATTTTCTTTTTCATCTTTTTGCCTCTCCAAATCCTACCCATCTCTCAAGGCCTACTCTTCTTGCTGTACATCTTCCTAATCCCACTTGCACTGACCCTTTACTTTATCAGCTACAAATGCATTTAGTATTTGTTTTGGGATTTGACAGTTAGTTGTTTTAAAATATTTTAATGGTGTCAGATTAGGTAAAATGCCAAATTATTTCTAAGGGTTACCCCAAACAATTATTATTGCAGACATACCTTCTGACCTACAAAATGCTTTTTGTGCATGGAAAATTTGATATCCAAGTGTGTTCTAAGTGAAGGTTTGTATTACTGGTCTTTTGTGCTGGGAAGTTATTATGTTTTCTTTGGTTATTGTTTTTTAAATCAGTTTTTGCTGGGTAAACTCTTTGGACCCCATGTTCATGAAAAGAATTCCTGCAGTCACAAGCATTTTGTGGAATGATTGGCACAGAAGTAGGCAAGAGTCCATGGCCTTTTGTTTCTGTATCACTGTTTTTAAACTCCTGAAACTATTTTCTAATAATTACAGATTATTCTAGCAGGATAGGTACATTTAAAATCATTTGGAACACTAGAGAAAGAATTTAACTTTGATTGTAAGTCCGAAGTTCAAAGTCATTTCTGTCACACTGATTATTTCTAAGGGCAAGTCAACTCATAAGAAAAACCATATCTTTATATTAAGATGCTTTTGCTATGATCATTTATTCCTGCAACTCCTGTATTCCCAGGATTTCCCAGTACCTAAGGACATTGTGGATGCAGTCCATGGTTGATCCCAGAGTTCTTTCTTGAATCATAGTGACACTAGATCTGAGGAATGTATACCCACCAGGCTCTAGTAATGAACAGTTTATTAATCCAAAAGGAAGATGTGCCAACACACCCACGTTTTAAGCTCATTAAGAATCTCCAGTTATTTTACAAACGGTTTGTTTCCAATAAAATCCCAAATGCTTTCTATCTCAAGTATTTCTCCTCCCTTAATTATTTTTAAATGATGTCAAGTAAATTTTATCCATATGTACTTGCTTTCAATATATTTATTGGGTCAATTATTATTTGTAAAGTTCATATAATATTGTCCCTTTTCAAAAGCAGGGCCCCAAATGTGCTTTTAAAATGTATTTTCCCCTGTTAAATGGGAAGTTAATTTCTATTCGGGGTAATCTCCCTTGTAAACCAAAGTTTGGGTTATAGTCAAAACTAGCACTTCTGAATTAGCTTTGAGTTTCTTCTTTATTCCTCTGTGTTCCTCTGTGTCATTTCCATCTGGATATATATAAGTATAAAACTAGAAACATGTTCAGATTAGGAATGGCCTTAAGTAACCCACTCCTGATTATTTCACTCTTTCACAAACCAGTTACGAGGTCAATTACAACTGGAGTAAACATTCTCCTAATGTACTCCTTATATTGTCCTTATTCCTGTGCCTTTAAGTTCCCTGAAAGTCCCTATGCACAGTTAGGCCAATATATTGTATAGAATGCATGAGAATGTAAGTAAATTATTTAAAGTTGTTACTCTAGACTTGGAACTCTAAAATATTCTTTTATTTGAACTGTTAAACTCTATCTATTAAGTAGTTATTGTGTGAAATGTAAAAAGGAAGAGGTTTTTACTGTGAAATATGTCTATTTAAAATTATAAATTTATTTAAATATGTCAAAGGAGAAAAAGTTAAGTAGTTCATGTTCATGATAGATAAGGCTTAGTTATCCACTTAAATTATTCTAGGTAAATGAAATCATTTTTATCTTTTTCATCTTCTAAATATTGAAAATGCATTTTTCTTTTGACATTTACATTAATATAATAAAAGGCCTGAAATTATATGTATAGTGGTTTTTGCGTTTCAAGATTGTGGAACTTGTTAAACTTGGTCAAAACTTGCTCTTTAAGCTCAAAACTATCTCAGAAGACAACTGACAGCTGACTAGTGGCCTATAGGGAGACCTTTTATTTAGAACTTTTCCAAGGAAGAGAGCATCCCAGATGTTTTTGCCATGAATGACTAGTGACCTGATACTATAGAAAATTAGAGAATATCTAAAGGTGCTAAATATGATGATGGGTCACTAAAGGAATATCTGATTTTGAAATTGCAATTTGATTTCTGCCTGCACTGAGGAAGGGCTTTGCATAAAGATTTTTGTTATGCCAAAATTTCAAAATATATTCTAAATATCTATACACAAATTATACAGATATTTAGATTGGTGAAATCATTATAACCTACTAGGTAAATAGCATTACTTAGAATATCCAATTTGTATTTTAAAGGCAGATTCTAATATTCCAAAATAAAATATATAAGTATATTTTAAGTATAAACAATTGGATCAATAATATGTTTCAAAGTCCTTGATGAGTATTTGTATGATCTGGATTTCAAAAAGTCCACAAATAAGTATTTACACATCTTTAGAACCTTTACAGTCTATCATCCCATCTTCTTTACACTTCTATGAGGAATTTCTTCCATTAAAAAAAAAATCTGTTATAAAAGGAAATTAACAACTTCTAAATAATACTCTTAGAGAAACCTCCAAAGCTGGGAAACTAAAAGTGAAGGCTAGCACTTAATTCCTCACTTTTTCTGCTTATTCCTATGTGTTGGAGGGATCTCAGATCAGTATGGTACAAGCCATATGTGCTGTAATAACAAGACACAATGGAACAAGTTGTATATGGATTGTGTCAGCTTGCCATCTCCCCTCCCCAGATTCCTCCCTTTCCTCCATTTAGTGCAAACACAGAAGAAAAAGTGCTTCTGAGGTGTATATCTATTGTATTTTCTGGTGCATTACAATCCCAGTTGCCATAGTCATAGTATCAGATGACTTAAAAAGCTCTGCCTACAAAATAAAATACAGCTCATTCATCTGAGGAGTTAGCATGCGATTGCATTACCTGGTTAAACATGTTCAGCTGAATTATTAATTTTATGTCTTGTTAAGTACTGGATTCATGGCTGGAAGTGAAAATGCATGCAATGTAAAAATATGCTGGAAAACAGTTGTAAAACCATCATTAGGTCTCAGTATTGCATGACTTCTTGTGAGACAGAGTGACACATTTCTTAAAACAGGATCAGCTGTCATTTTCACAAGTTTATCCAAATAGTTTATATGGTAAATTATATATTCTAAAAATGTAGGTGACAGAAGGTAAGATAATTATATACCTGAGCCCAATTTTGAGCCTAATATCTCAGAGAAATGAATATTGTAATGGACTATTGGTCAGAGTTGGAGAAATCTTTTCTGACATGGAAAAAGCGTAATAACCATTAGAGTTTATTTTATATCAAGAAATCATGGCTTCAGTTTATTAGTACTTATACAGCTTTACTGTACGGTAGCTCTGCCATAGAAAGTGTAAGAGGTCTATGAAGGTGAGTGTATAAGAAAATAATAATTATTATTTGTGGTGGTTTATTTTATTGGTACATTCTATATTGTTGCAGGATGTTTTGCATTTATATTTTTAGTTTATTTTGGAATATGAAAACATTTATTAGAGTTATGTAAAATAGTCATGATAAATTCACCTTTCCTTTGTAGAAGGTCTATTATGAAAGTTTGTGCAGTCCTATTTTCTACACCAGGAGTACAATTTCTATTTTAATGTTGTTAAAAAATTAAACCTCTTTTATTTGCTGTTGTTGTTTTTCATTTTTTGTTTTGTTTAACCTGAGCAAGAAGTTAGTAATGTTTTTAGAGAGAACACTGTAGCAAGAAAGCAAAAATTTAAGTCAACTGACTACTTTAGTTTTCTGGACACATTGCATTCTAAATTAATACGTTTTCAATTCCAAAAAAGCAAAGTTTCACTTACTGATTATGAGCAACCATGGACTTAACTTATGGAAGTGTTTGTTAATAAGCTTGTTGTTATAAAGCTGGCAATTTTCCCCAAGGGCATTAAATATATAAAGTTTGGCATTATTGGATTGAAAGAAAGTTAGAAATACATTTCTACCTCACAGATAAAAATAATAAAAACATACTTGAGAGGGTCATTACATTTTAATGATAGTAATTGCACACATCACCTTCATCTCTGAATTTTAAAGGGGACAGAAATATTTACTTTTTAGGCTATTATGAGGATTACATTGACACTTAGTCCATGTGTCAAGCAAAGCTCATTGAGTATTAGCTAATATCACCATTATCATAAGCATTATCATTGTCCCTATCTTCACTTTAATTGTTGTCAACATCATTAGCCTCATTGTTTATGAATGTCAGGGTCTATGGTCATCTAAGTAGTAGTTCTTTGGCTGATCAATATTTTCAGTGAGTATCTACATTTAGTAAGAGTTTCCAGAATATGCCATTAATTAATTAATTAATTAATTAATTCTACTGTTGATTTAACACCTATAATAAACTGAAGCAGGAATACCATGGTGAGTAAAATAGACCCTTCAGTGGAACTTATTGCTTGGGTACACAAATCTGATGACTGCATAGATAACTTTCATATTATAACTGTAGTAAGTGCCACAAATTAGAGGTACAGGGAGTTATGAGATCACGTTATGGGGAATTTGGCCTAGTCAGAAAATTCACAGAAGGCTTCTCTGAGGAAGTGACATTGGAGGTGAGATTAGGAAGAACTGATAGAGGCATGAGGGAAAAACTGTTCAACAGAGGGAGCATCATGTGAAGCAAGAGGGAACATGGCATGTTAGAGGAACTAAAAAAAAAGGCAGGCATGGCAGAAGCAGACAGTAGGAGAGGGAACATGCAGGAGACATACTAATGAAGTGTGTAGTGGAGAAACCATGAAAAGCCTTGGTCTTCATCTAAGAGCCAGACTGCTGAAGTGTTTTATGCACTGGGTGATATTAGCACATTTATTTATTTATTTACTTATTTACTTACTTTACTGTGGTTTTAGTGGGGCTTTAGTTTGGATGTTGCAAGTTTTGAAGTGAAAAGCTCAATTTTGAGACTATTTTAATGGTCCATATACCATAAAATAGTAGCTTGAATGAGGGTAGTGACATCAGAGATGAACTGAAATGGATGAATTCAGTGAAAAATTGGGGGAAATCTTATAGGAGTTTCTGATGGATTGATTAAGTAGGGAAAAACTGGTGAAGAGAACGGTTAAAAATGGCTCCTACATTTCTAGCTTGCACAACTGGGTCAATGTGGTGCCATCAGGAAGCATTTGGAGAAAACCAAATTCAGGATTGAGAAAATGAGATCAGTTCTGCATATCTTAAACATGTAATTCTGTAAGATAGCCAAGTGAAAATTTCAAGGCAGTTGGTGACCTGAAATGGGAGGTCTGGACTGAACAGTAAAGTTTGTGATTAATCTTTTTAAAAATTGCAAGAGCTTTGAAGAGATTGTCTAGGAAAAGAATATATAGTAAAAAGAGAAGGTGATGTAACTTTGACACTAATGCCCAGGGAGAAGAGAATCAGCCAGCAAAGAGTGGCCAGAGTAGAAGGGAAACCAAGAAAGTGACGTGTTAGGGAATCCAAGGGAAGTAAATGTTTCAAGAAGAGAATAGTAAAAAGTTGCTTATGGTGTTTTTAGAGGCCAAGTAAGATGAGGACTAAAAATGTGCCAATTATATTTAGTGTCATTTTTCTCATTGATAACCTCAGTGGAAACTGCTTCCACATACTATGTGTGTTTGTGTGTGTGTTGGGGAGGGGAAGAGGGGCTGCAAAAGACAGACTGGGCTGGGCTGATGGCTGAGGAGAGTGAGGTGAGAAAAAAGAAATTACTATTTTATACAATGGTTTAGAGAAATTTAGAGCTGCCTTCAATGTGTATAAGGTTTTGTTTCTTTACTGTTAGATTTAAAAAAAAATTTGAGTTGGAATTTGATTAGTTTTTCTCCCTCTTTTCAAAGACTTTCCTATTGTGAAGCCTACTGTAATAATTTACACTTTAATATTACACTGTAATATTATACTGTAATAATTTGGCAGGATTTTCATTTTTTAAAATTGTGATTGTCTCTAATAATAGATGTCTCTAGGGTTGCCACTGTACTGGCAATGTAATGACTGGCTCAGGGTAATGACTTGGAATTGGTCAAATCAATTACAGTATCTTTACTGGGTACTTTCTTTTAGACACACACAAGAGACTTTCTTACATGTTGATATAGTTTTTATATTTTGCAAAAATCAAACAACAAACAAAAATTATAGAAACACTTGAAATGAATGATGACTCTTTCTTAAAACTTCTATAACCTATTTTTTTTTCAAATTTTGGGCTTTATGAAATTGAGATTTCTATATTTTCAAGTTCATAACACATTTCTCCTCCTAAACTGAGTCATTGTTTTTCAAGAGACATTTAATTTACAAATAGGTTTCTCCCTTGACTAAATAGAAACCTAGGTTATATAAACAATTCATGTTCTTGTTTAAAAGTAATTAATATTCTGCTTCTGGTCTACCAGGCCTACAAGAGGAATAAAATACAAGAACAATGATTTGCTGCTCAAACTTCTGTGGTGCTCAGAGCAAACAGAATGTCAGAGTTTAAACTTAAGAGTAGAACCCATTTTTGAATGGGTTCTCTCCAGCTCCTTCCCCTCCCTGGCAGTGCTAAAATATGATGATGCAGTCTCCAACGCTGTTAAATCAGCAGGGATAATCTGTAGCTAATGGTTAAGCTTTCTTCTTCTACATTTTGCCTAAGTAAATGGGTTATACTGTCAGTTCTAATGAGTTTGGAAAAGACAGGCAAGCTCTTAGTCCTCTCATGAAGTGTTATGTTAGATCTCACCATATGAAACAAATATCTTGATCTGTACTTCAAACCGTGGCAATGCACGCTTGCAAAATTCCAGCAGAAGACCAAAATGTCCCACATATTGTGGCAAATTTCCCATAATGTCCTGCAAATTGCAACAGAGCTATGGGAAAAGTAGGAGGAAATTATCTTCTTGCATAGGGATAGCTCATGTGGGAAGGCTAATCCACAGGTTCCCACAAGAATGGAGGAATACATCTGGTACATTTTTGAAGCACATCACGGAATGGTTATTTTGTATCAGTGTTACACATTGGGAGAAGTATTTGGAACAAATGAATTTCTAATAGATGACTCTAGATTATGTGTTTATACATTGCACCTTTTTGCTATTAAAAAAGTTGCTTCCCAAAAGAATGGATATGGCCTCTGCAATACAGAAATATGGTCATTTTTCCAAACTTTAGGTTCTTAAAGCAATTAGCATTGACATCACAAGTAGATGGCAAGCAAGCCCTGAATGCATCAGCTTTTAAAAGGGCGTTTCCCAACAACTTAATTGGAAAGTATTAGTATAAATTAAAGCATGTGGAGAGGCAGTATGTTTACACTTTCTTCCAAGGCAATAGAGAGTCAAGTATGCTAGCGAGTAAGTGAATTTTCTATGGAATTTTATTATTCCTCCATATACTTCTTTCATACCAGGTGGAAATCAGGTTTCTAAGAGTAGTTTTATTTCTATGCCTGTATAATAACTTTATCATTTTACAAGTAGAATAAATATGATAAGTAATCATTTATCCTTTTTGTGCTTTTCCTTCTCAACAAGGGCAACTGCTCTCCACTGAACATTTTACCCTCCCAAGCGGAGTTTGACATAATTACCACACTGGAGCTAAGATTCATAAGCAGATTGCTAATGTCAATGGAAATGAAAGCTTTCATGAAAAACAAAACCTGTTAAGTATACTCAAGGCTCAGCATCAATCCCACTCATGAGTAATTAAAATATCAATTTATGATGCATTTGTCTTTTACCGGTAAATCTGGAAATCCTATGGTTTTTTTTTCTTCAGACATAGATGCTTGAAGGAGAATAAATTCCAAGGACAGTTAATACAGCTTCAAACTTTGGATCAGAATCCAATTCCAGAAATAATACTTTGGAGTACCTACTATGTGTGAGATAGTCTAAATTAAACTGAAATCATTTTACAGTATTTTAGATTTTCTTAGTCCTAAGTAACAGGAATCTTTGCAATTTACACTGGTTGAATTTTTGTTGATTTTTTTTAACTGTATCTGGGAATATGGTTCAAAGTTTTCCTTAAAGAGGGTAAAAAGCTAGTTTCTTTCGTCCTAGGCTGTGTGCTGTTAACTGTCTACTTACATTGCCTATTTATTCTCTGCACCAACCCTATGGGTAGACATTATTATCTTCATTTTAAAGAAGAACCTCAAAAACATGGAGTGACTTGTCCAACCCACAGAGTCATTCAATAATAGAATGGGGTACACAGGAAAGCACAGACAGGGTCTGTACAATACCTGGTTAGGAAGGAAATAGACTGTACTCAAAGAAATTCACGACCTTGCCAGGTTTTAGCAGTAGGAGATTATGTAGCACATATAAGTAGCTTCAAAAAGTATTGAGTCAAGGAGGAAAAATATAAGATTGTATTGGGATAAATTTATCTATATGTTGCATTTACTTGAGTTTTAGATGTAATGTGTTGGGTCAACCATCTGGGAATGATGTAAAAATAGTGAGTAGAAGACTAGACTCAATGGTCATCTAGAGTCAATGATGAATAAATGCTGGAGCCTCCCTGGAATATTTTAGTGAAAGAAGTCCTAAGATCAGAGAAATATAAACGTTGGGATGCATCTATTACATATAATTCATTCAGCCACCCACTACACATGTCCCTGAGAAGAAACTCCCTTCACCTGAGCATTCAGAAATGTATTGGTTTGGAAAAACAACAGCATTTGCAATGGCTGTTCTTTGCATGCTGAGATGATAGTAGGAGATAATGCATTGGCACTGGAGTCCTAGATTTCAATGGAATAATGGGATCACAGAGTGGTAGAGGCCACATGTCACTGCTTAACCAGCAGAAACAAGATGAGTGCAATTATCTTAATAAGCTGCAATGATGGAGTGGTAATCAGAGTGTTTGACCCACAGGGACTTGTGGCAATGACTCATTGATCATGGAATCCCTACAGATGAAAATGGATGTGCAGTTTAGTGAGGTGTTGCTTCTCATGTGTGGAAAAAGTCTATGTTTAGTGGGCAGAAATCTGACTTGAGTTGCCAAAGTGAGCATTAACGGCCTCATATTCAATTCCTAGACCTAATCCAACTCACAGATCCAGAGTCCCTTATTGAGAGTGGGGCAGCAGATCCCTTGAGGAAGTAACCTGCAATGCTGATATAAGGATATATGGTGAATCTGCCTCTGTATTTTCTTTACTCTGGGAAGTGGGATTGCTATACTACAACATGTGGCATGTGCTTAAATGTTTCCATGAATATGTGGTGCTGTCTTTCTCATAGCCAAAATGTGTGCTTCCAGGAGCCAAGGAGCAGAAGTGGAAATGGTTTCTCTCTCTCTCTCTCTCTCTCTCTCTCTCTCTCTCATACCTAATAAAGTCATTTGAAAAATTTTTGTTCATGATCCATAAACTTGAGCTGGGTAGCTTTGGAGGTCCCAATCCTTATGAAATAAATACTTCTTCCAGGCACCACAGTCATGGTTTCGTTAAGTTAGAAAAAGATTTCTCACTGGCATTTTGGCAAAGAGTGTGTTCACTTTAGTATCAGGGAAGATTGGTCCCGGTTACCCAGAGAAAATCAGGTTGCTGCTGCACAAGAGAGGGAAAAGAGCATCATGTCTGCAACTTAGATGATTCACTGGGATACTTTATGATCCTTCCATGTCCAATAATACTGTTCAATGGGAAATTGTGGCAATTCAGTAAAGAAAACAATACTAAGAACACAGATTATGTCGGAGTTAAGGGTTGGGTCCTCCATCAGGAAAATTCTGGAGTAGTCCAGTTGCTGGCAGAAGGAACAATGGTGGCAAATGAAGGAAGCCGTGATTATCAACTTTGTCACAAGGCTCTGGCAGCAGCTATATTTTTTAAAATTTATTTTTTAGTTTTTAGTTTTTAAAATTTAATTTAATTTAATTTTAAGTTCCAGGATACACTTGCAGGACGTGCAAGTGTGTTACATGGGTAGATGTATGCCTTGGTGGTTTGCTGCACCTATCAACCCGTCACTTAGGTATTAAGCCCTGCATGCATTAGCTATTTATCCTGGTGCTCTCCTTCTCCCCACAACCCTCCCACCCTGACAGGACCCAGTGTGTGTTGTTCCCCTCCCTGTGTCCATGTCTTCTCATTGTTCAGTTCCCACTTGTAAGTGAGAATATGCAGTGTTTGGTTTTCTGTTCTTGCATTAGTTTGCTGAGGATAATGGCTTCCAGCTCCATCCATGTCCCTGCAAAAGATGTGATCTCATTCCTTTTTATGGCTGGATAGTATTCCATGTGTATGTGTACCACATTTTCTTTATCCAGTCTATCATTGATGGGCATTTGGGTTGATTCCATGTCTTTGCTATTGTGAATAGTGCCAGCAGCTATATTTTATATTAATTATTTGTTTATCCCCAACTTTTTCTCTACTGCTATATAAGTTTTAGGTTTTTGTTGGGCATATGGCTGAATTGACATAATCCTCTAATAGTATGGCAATAGATAGGACTTTGTGTGTGGGTCCCCTATGTTAATGAAATGTTTTTCATTTGCACAAAGGACAATAGTGGATGGTGAAGGTCAAACAAGAAGACCTATCCAGTAGGATATTATTTGTCCCTTCATACTCGCTCTTCACCCTTTTTCACCCGCCTTTGTGTCCCAGAAGGCTAAACTCAGTGGGTTGCATGAATAAGGCTCACTCTCTTGCTATGTGACTTCTGGTTGGATTCAGCCAATTTATGGCCAGGAGGAGAGAGGCTGGGAAAATATTCACTTCCCCTGTTCCTTCCTTGCTGATTGTGAACAATGGATATATTCCTCTCTACAGTGTCATGTAGAGGGAGAACTTCTCTTAAAGCAATTGTTCTTTTGGAATTCTAGTAGCCACTTCTTTCTTTTAACAATTTAGTCTCAGGGCTTTGGACTATTATGACTCTACAAATGTTTCTCTATCCTTTGTAGGAAACTTGCTCATATATTTGTAAATAATCCCTGTCAAACTCTCTTCAGTTACTCTTTGTAATGTAACTGATGCATACAACTAGAATCAATCTTAATTAAACTTTTCAGAATTTTTCTGGTAAAGGGTACACATAATAAAGTTCTCCAAATATGCCGATGATAGGAACTTTTTTATTTTATTTTATTTTATTTGAGACAGAGTCTTGCTCTGTCACCCAGGCTGGAGTGCAGTGGTGTGATCTCGGCTCACTGCAAGCTCCGCCTCCTGGCTTCACGCCATTCTCCTGCCTCAGCCTCCCAAGTAGCTGGGACTACAGGTGCCTGCCAGCACGCCCGGCTAATTTTTTGTATTTTTAGTAGAGATGGGGTTTCACTGTGTTAGCCAGGATGGTCTCAATCTCCTGATCTCGTGATCTGCCTGCCTCAGACTCCCAAAGTGCTGGGATTACAGTTGTGAGCCACCACACCCAGCCGATAGGAAACTTTTAAACTGTAGCAGGCTGACTAATGCCCCCACCAAAGATGTTCACATCCTAATTATTGGAACCTGTGAATATGTTACATTATATGCAAAGGAAGGATGATTGAGTTAAAAATCTTGAGACAGGGATATTATCTTGGAATATCTGGTGGACCCAATGTAATCACGAGGTTTCTTGTAGAAAGAAGGCAGAAGGGCAGAAAAGATGAGTCTGTGGAAGCAGAAATTAGGGTGATGTACTTTGAAGATGGAGGTACGGCCCATGAATCAAGGAGTGCAGGCAGCCTCTAGAAGTGAGAAAAAGAAAGGAAATGGGGTTCCCCCTGGAGCTTCCAGAAGGAACCAACCAGCCCTGATGACATTTTGATTTTAGCCCAGTGAGGCTGATTTTGGACTTCTGACCTCCAGAACTTTAAGATGACAAATTGGCATTACGTGAAGCCATTAAGGGTGTAGCAGTTTGTTATAGGAGCAGTAGGACCACACAGTGGCAAAATGCAAAGCTGTAAAGGAAATGGGTGAGAGGCCTTGCTTGGCTGTTTAAGTTGGCAGAAAAGTGACCGATTAATTTCACTGCCCACAAATACAAGGGTGTACATATCATTTAAAACTACAAAATCTCTACCTTGAAAGATGAAATTTGAGCATTCACTTATAATTAAGGATAGGAATTGAGAATTGCTCTATTGCCACTTCTCTGAAAGATGAGTGTAAGCTGTCTGTGCTATAAAAAGCTTAAAAAGGCCGCACGCGGTAGCTCATGCCTGTAATCCCAGCCCTTTGGGAGGCTGAGGTGGGCAGATCATGAGGTCAGGAGATCGAGACCATCCTGGCTAACATGGTGAAACCCCGTCTCTACTAAAAAATACAAAAAAATTAGCTGGGCGTGGTGGCGGGTGCTTGTAGTCCCAGCTACTCGGGAGGCTGAGGCAGGAGAATGGCGTGAACCCAGGAGGTAGAGCTTGTAGTGAGCCAAGATCGCGCCACTGCACTCAAACCTGGGTGATAGAGCAAGACTCTGTCTCGGGGGAAAAAAAAAAAAAAAAAAAAGCTTAAAAAAAGGGCTGCTCTGATTCATAGAAAATAGTGTGGTCCACTAGGGGAAGGGTGTCCTCTTTTTTGCTTTTTTAATTTTTTATTGATTTTATATTTTTTAAAATCAATCCTTACTTCTCCCAAAAGATTAGTCAGTTTCAAGAAGTCAAAACCGATTCTAAGACAGAACCCTAAGGCCATCCCTGGGCAAATATCTGTCATTTTACTTCTCCCATTTTGCAGCTGTTTTTGCAGTTGGAAACCTTCTTTTCTGCCACAAAACAGACAGCTCCCTGGATTTTGTCTTGGCCTAGGAATATTTAGGTGGGTGGCTAAATCTTGGGACAAATACTCTTACTTTTGCTTTCAGAAAAGAAAGCGGGGCTCTGAACCAGCTGGTGTACTCAGGGGTAAAATCTGAGATGTTAGTATGGGTTTAGAAAAAATTGTAGGTCACTCAGTATGCTTTGTTTATGCCTCTATTTTGCTTTTAACTAGGACAAAGGAGTTTTTTTTACTGGTCCAGTCAACTACAGTTCTGGTTCTGCTTAGGTATTGCGACCAAAGTCCAAGTTAATAATGATGGTTAATTTGCCTTGCTCTGACATTTTTATTTATACTTATTTTCCACGGGGATTTTGTGGAGATGAGAGGTGGCTTGGCCAAGACAAGATGTATGTATACTGTCTCTTAATACTGTTTCTTGAAAGCCCTCCTCCCCACAACATCTAGAGATGGTATACAAAATAAAAGTTTTACTTTATCCTTAGTATCTAACGGGAGTACTATGGACTTGATTCTAGCTTGCCCATTTTAAGAAAGAGATAATGAAAGAGAAACCATGTGCACAAACATGGGATAACTTTCAAATTTGCAAATCGAGTCATTTATTGAAAATAGTCCCATAGACGTGAATGGGGCTTTAGTTGGTTTACCACTTAAATATGCTTCTAAGATTAATTCCTAATGAATAGGTATTTCTAATCATTATTTCCTTTATATAAAATTATGAGATGTAGATATATAAACATCTAGATACATTTGATAGCTTCTCATTCATATTTAGGTCAAAACATTTTTTTTCTTTTTCTTTTTTATTTTTTTGAGACAGAGTCTTGCTCTGTCGCCCAGGCTGGAGTGCAGTGGTGTGATCTCGGCTCACTGCAAGCTCCACCTCCTGGGTTCACACCATTCTCCTGCCTCAGCCTCCCGAGTAGCTGAGACTAGAGGCGCCTGCCACCGCACCCGGCTAATTTTTTGTATTTTTAGTAGAGATGGGGTTTCACCGTGTTAGCCAGGATGGTCTCAATCTCCTGACCTCGTGATCTGCCTGCCTCAGCCTCCCAAAGTGCTGGGATTACAGGCGTGAGCCCAGCAAAACTTTTCTTAAAGTTAAAACTCCTCTGCTCTCAGCCTATTGGAATTGAACACAAAAATCTAGGGTGACATTTAATAAATGCAAGCCGCACCCTTGCCCCAAGGTTATGTTTTGCTTTGTTATTCAATTTAGTAACCCCTGATAATTTCTTTCTTTTAGTCTTTGTGGGCACATAGCAGCTCTATATATTTATGGGATTGAGGTATCAAAATAGTCACATCAAAATATCAAAATAATCACATCAGGGTAAATGGGGTACCCATTACTTCAAGCATTTATCCTTTTTGTTACAAACAATCCAATTATACTCTTTTACTTATTTTAAAATGTACAATTAAATTATCATTGACTATAGTCACCCTGTTGTACTATCAAATACTAGATCTCATTCTTTCTTTCTATGTTTTTGTATGCATTAACCATCCCTACTCCCTGCCCTCACTACCCTTCCCAGCCTCTGGTAACCATCCTTCTACTCTCTTATGTCTGTGAGTTCAATTGTTTTCATTTTTAGCTCCCACAAATAAGTGAGAACATGTGAAGCTTGTCTTTCTGTGCCTGGCTTATTTCACTTAACATAATGGCCTCTAGTTCCATTCATGTTGTTGCAAATAACAGGGTGTTGTTCTTTTTTATGGCGGAATAGTACTCCATTGTGTATATGTACCACATTTTCTTTATCTGTTTGTTGATGGACACTTAGGTTGTTTACAAATCTTGGCTATTGTGAATAGTGCTGCAGTAGACATGGGAGTGCAAATATGTCTTTGATATACTGATTTATTTGGGTATATACCTAGCACTGGGATTACTGGATTGTATAGTGGTTCTATTTTTAGTTTTTTGAGAAACCTCCAAACTATCCTCCATAGTGTTTGTGCTAATTTACATTTCCACCAACAGTGGACAAGGGTTCCCTTTTCTCCACATCCTCACCAGCATTTGTTATTGCCTATCTGTTGGATAAAAACCATTTTAACTGGGGTGAGATGATATCTCACTGTAGTTTTGATTTGCATTTGAAATTTACTTCTCGAAAACTTTTTCAAGGAAGGATTTTCCCACCCCAAACCTCAGGGTTTTCAGCACAAACATTTCATTAAATTTTAGCCTTTTTATTTTTTAAAAACAAAAGTTATATTTCTGCCCTACTTGGTGGCAGAAACTATGGTGAAGATTGTGACTTCTACATGTGAACTTAGGAGTACCTTTTCTTCTCCACTTGGTGGCAAAAGTTATGTGAAGAGGAAATGACTTCTACATTTTGGCTTGCTCACAATGGTCTTTTTCCCAGACAAAGGAAACAATTTGTCAAATTTAAAGAAGGTGACTTTGATACGAGAGTGCTGAGAGGGGAATAGCGTGGTTCCTTTAAATGATGTGGAAGGAGGGGAGGGAAGTGCTGGGTAGAGGAAGGCATAGTTTCTGGCTAGGGCTCCATACCCATGGACCTAGGTGAGGACAGGCGCTTCTGCCTTTGTTCCCAAATGTTGCATTTTCCAAGACCACCCTGGCCCACCACACCCTCACCCTCTCTGCCTATAAAAACCCGAGACCCTAGCAGGCACACACACACAAGTGACTGGACGTCGTGAGGAACACATCAGTGGAAGAAGACACAAGTGGCTGGTCATCCAGAGCTTGTGGGAGGAAGAGCACGCTGACAGGCACCAACAGACACTGGCATGCTGGCAGGCTGTCGGTTGGGATGAGGCAGACTTTGGTGGGGCAGTTGGAGGAGAGCCGGGGCCTCCAAGTAGCCCAACTCCAGGGGAAAACCATCTCACTTCTGGCTCCCCCATCAGCAGAGAGCTACTTTCCACTCAATAAAACTTTGCACTCATTCCCAAAGCCCACATGTGGTCTGATTCTTCCAGTACACCAAGGCAAGCACCCAAGATACAGAAAGCCCTCTGTCCTTGCGGCACGGTAGAGAACCTAATTTAGCTGGTTATCACAAGCTGCTTATAGATGGCAAACTAACAGCGCACTCTGTAACTCATGCCCACTAGGGCTTCAGAAGCTGTAAACATTCACCCCTAGACACTGACATGGAGTTGGAGCCCCACAGCCTGCCTGTCTGTATGCTTCCTTAGAGGTTTGAGCAGGGGGGCATGGAGGAAGTGAGCCACACTGCCATCACACACCCTGTGAGGGGGACAATGGAACCTTTCCTGTTTCAACTTTATCTCCCTTCAGTCAGGTGTTTGATATTAATGTCTGATTTTCTATTATTTCTCTCTTCTTCTCTCCCTCTTGGATCCTTTCTTCCTTTTTTCCTACCTCCCTTCCTTCCTTTCCAGTTTCGTTATCTTTCTTGTTTTTTTCACTCTTTCGTTTTTCTTTTTCACCTCTTTCCTTCTCTCTCTTTCTTCTCTTTCTTTCTTGATTCCTTCCTTTTCTGTCTTCCTTCTTTTCTTTTCATTTTTAGAGGCAGAGTGTCACTTTGCCACCCACCTGGCATGCAGTTGTGTGAACACAGCTTACTGCAGCCTCCACCTCCTGGGCTCAAGCAATCCTCCCACCTCAGCCTCCTGAGTGGCTGGGACTATAGGCAGAAGCCACCATGCCCAGCTAATTTTTGTATTTTTTGTAGAGATGGGGTTTTGCCATGTTGCCCAGGCTGGTCTCAAACTCCTGGGTTCAAGTGATCCATCTGCTTCAGCCTCCCAGAGTGCTGGGACTACAGGCCTGAGACAAAGCACCCAGCCCCTTCTTATTTTTTAGTACTCTTTCTTTATTTCTCTTTCACCTCTCTCCTCTCCTTCTTCCTTTCTTTTCTCTTCTTCCTTTTTTTCTTCTTTCCTTTCTCTCTTTCCTTCTTTCTCTCCTTCACTCCATCCCTTTCTTCCTTTCTCTTTTCTTCTTTTCTTTATTAATCTGTTTTTAACACTTATCCAGACAAGCTTTTTATGTAGACTAATTATAAAGTAACAGTGCTATTTATAAGCTTAATTTAAAAAAAACCCACTCAAAGATTCCAGTTCTGGGTAAAATGGGGTAAGTACACTCCAATCTGTCATTCTCACTGAATGCATCTATAAAACCTAATCAGAATGATGGAACAGTTATTTGAGGACTCTTGAGTAGAATTTGAAGTATCACTGAATGGATAGCGCATTTACCATTTTCTGGTGTCTACCCCAGCCTGGGTTCAAGTAGTGCAAAATATGGAAGTAAGCATCAACACAGAGAGACAACTTGGAGAAAAGCCTTTTAGTTCTTGTTCCATGAGCTGTTGCAGGAAGTCAGGGACCCTGAACGGAGGGACTGGCTGAAGCCATGGCAGAAGAACATAAATTGTGAAGATTTCATGGACATTTATTAGTTCCCCAAATTAATACTTTTATAATTTCTTATGCCTGTCTTTACTGCAGTCTCTGAACATAAATTGTGAAGATTTCATGGACACTTATTACTTCCCCAATCAATACTCTTGTGATTTCCTATGCCTGTCTTTACTTTAATCTCTTAATCCTGTCATCTTCGTAAGCTGAAGATGAATGTCGCCTCAGGACCCTGTGATGATTGCGTTAACTGCACAAATTGTTTAAACAATATGAAATCTGGACACCTTGAAAAAAGAACAGGATAACAGTGATGTTCAGGGAACAAGGGAGATAAGCTTAAAGTCTGGCTGCCGGTGGGTCGGGCGGAACAGAGCCGTATTTCTTTTCTTTCAAAAGCAAATAGGAGAAATATCGCTGAATTCTTTTTCTCAGCAAGGAACGTCACTGAGAAGGAGTATGCATTCCCAAGGGGAGGTCTCTATAATGGCCGCTTAGGGCCATTTATGGTTGTCGATAAGGGATGAAACAAACCCTGGTCTCCCGTAGGGCTCCCAGGCTTATTAGGATGAGGAAATTCCTGCCTGATAAATTTTGGTCAGACCGGTTGTCTGCTCTCAAACCCTGTCTCCTGATAAGACGTTATCAATGACAATGCGTGCCTGAAGATCATTAGCAATTTTAATTTCGTCCTCTTCCTGTGATCTCGCCCTGCTTCCATTTGCCTTGTGATATTTTATTACTGTGTGAAGCATGTGATCTCTGTGACCCACACCCTATTCGTACATTCCCCTTTTGAAAATCCCTAATTAAAAACTTGCCGGTTTTGCAGCTTGGGGGGTATCACGGAACCTGCCTACACGTGACGTCTCCCCTGGACACCCAGCTTTAAAATTTCTCTTTTTTACTCTTTCCCTTTATTTCTCAGACTGGCCGACACTTAGGGAAAATAGAAAAGGACCCACGTTGAATACTGGGGGCTGGTTTCCCCCGATAATGAGCAGTAGTATACAGAACTTCTGGTAGCAACAGTTGTGGCAGCAGGAACCTATAATGTGCTTTAAACTTTGAGAAATAAGGACATCTAATGGTTTTTTTTTTTCTTTCTATGTACTCCTTTTGCTTGGTCCTGGATGCATATGCATTCATGGGAAGTGTGTGTCAGGATAGCATAGCTAAAGACCATGCTTTCTGGGGAACTGAAAAGGAAACCAGAAAGGGAGATAATGGAGGCATAGGAACTTGAGAAACCAATTCCATAAAATTGTTTATAAACTCCTGGATTCACCCTTGAGCTGCAAGTGCGTGGATCTAATCCTAAACATATACCATGTATTTTGAGAATGAAACTTTGAGATGGGCTTCAGCCCACTTCCTGGACTACCCACTGGGTGACAAACACACAAGGCAGATGTGAATAGCACTGTAAAGGCATTGAATACTGAAATGTACATCGAAACCACAACCACAGAAGGCTGGTCAGGATGCGGGAACGGAATCCAACTGGGCTGATTGCTAAAGCAAAATATCAACATTTTCTATAGGGTTTAAACAGGACTCATTGTCTCATAAGAAAGTATTCAAAGCATCCAGAAGACAATACGTAGTTAATTGACAAGCAAGAACCAAGGAAAACCTCAACTCATATTGGTAAAGACAAAAAATAAACTCCGATATTGAACTGTTGGAATTATCTGACAAAGATTTAAGCAGTTATTGTAAAAATGTTCGAAGTATGCACACTCTTGAAACAAATGTAAAGAAAATCTAAGCAAATAATTAAAAGATATAAAGAAGTATTAAGTGGAAATTCTATAACTAAAAATATAACTTCTACACTCTCCAAAAATAAGCAAACAAAAAGAAAAACTCTAAGCAAACAAACACAACCTTTACTACTGGATGGACGCAGTAGTATATTGGAGATGAAAGAGAAAAGAGTCAATGAATCTGAGGATAAATTAATGGAAGTTAATCCAAAGAACAGAGAAAAAAGAGACAAAATAAACAGCTTTAGAAACTTCTTGGGCTATACCAACAGGTCTAATTTTCATGGCATGGGAGTCCCAGAAGGTCACAATAAGAGTGTAGTACAGAAAAAAAAAAATGAAGAAATAATAGCTGAAAATTTCTCAAATATGATGAAAGATATAAACCTACAAATTCAAGAAGTTTGGTAGGCCCTAAAAGGATAAACACTTAAATCCCAACTCAGAAATGTCATAATCAAATTACAAACACTAACAACAAAGAAAAAAACCTTAAAAACAACCAGAAAAAAATACGTTTTTAATAGGATATTCAAATAACTGCAGTTTTCTCACCCAAAATCATGGAGGCCAAGTGGTAAAATATTGAGTCTAAGCAGTTAAAAGTTAAATATGTATTATAATGCCTAGAGCAACCACTAAACACCAAACAAGCAAAACATACAAAGAGTAATAGTTCAAAAAATCAATTTCAGTGAAATACTAAAAAATCAAATAATAATTAAGAAAACAGAAAAAGGACAACTGAGAATTAAAAAAACAGAGGGAAGAAAACAGAAAGCAAATAATATAATGGTAGAACCTAAACCTAAATATATCAATAATAAATGTAAAAGCTCTCATATCAATTAAAAGACAGATTTTCAGAATTAATTAAAAATGACACAAATATGTGTTGCATATGAAAAACTCATGTCAAATATAATAATATTGGTATGAGAAAAATAAGAGGGTAAAAACAGATACACTATGCAAACACTAATCAAAAGAAAGAAACCAGGAGTTACTATGTTAATGTCACAAAAAGTAGACTTCAGGGCAAAGAAAATTATCTAGAATAAAGAGGCACAGTGCATGATTATAGAGGGGTAAATCAACATAGAAGACACAACCATCTTAAAATGTGTCGGCAAACAACAGCACTTCAAAAGATAAAGTAAAATTGACAGAACTGAAAGAGAGATAGACAGATCCACACTTGTAGTGGAGTCTCCAACACTCCTTTCTTAGAATCAGAAGTAGTGATAGAATCAGCAACACTAATAGAATCAGCAAGGATTTTTATCATGAATTAACTGGATCTAATTGAAATAAACAGAGCACTCCCCCAAACAACAGAAGAGCACAGTTTCTCTTCAAGTATAACATACAAAATTCACAAAGATAGGCATATCCCGAGTCATAAAACAAACTTTAACAAATTTGAACTAATTGAAATCACACAAAGTATGTTCTCTGAAAACAATGGAATTAAATTAGAAAATTAATAACATAAAAATAACAAGAAAATCTCAACACTTGGAAATTAAACACTACATGCCCATAAAATCTTTTTGTTGAAGAGAAAGTCTCAAGAGAAATTTGTAAATATTTTGAACTCAAGGAAAATAAATATATCATGTTGAAATGTGTGGGATGCACTTAATGCAATGCTCAGAGGAAGATTTATAGCATTAAATGCTTATATTGGAAAACAAAGGTTTCAAATCAACAACATGAGTTTCCATCTTAAGAAAATAGAAAAAGTACAAAGTAGACTGGACCAAATAGAAATAAAAAGCAATAAATATAAGAGCACAAATCAATGAAACTGAAAACAGAAAACAGAAAAATCAATAAAACCAAAAGGCAAAATTATCAAAATGATAAGTAAAACTAATATACCTTTGGCAGAAAAAGAGGGCAGATACAGTGATCAATATCAAGGATAAAAAATGGGTATCACCCCATTCTCTGTAGATATAAAAAGGATAAAATGGATATTATGAATAAATCTATGTATAATACATAATTCAGTAGGTTAGGTGAAATGAACGATTATTCCAAAACCAAAAACCTCTAAAAACTCTTTTAGGGTGAAATAGATAACCTTAATAGTTTAGTAATGATTAAACTTCCTAACCCATTATTGAAATCTTGTGAAAAAGAAATTTCCGGGACTAGATGACCTTAGTGCTAAAATTTACCATACATGTAAAGAAGAAATAAACTCAAGTCTACACCATCTGTTGAAAAGGAGAGAACATTTCATACATCATTTTATGAGATGAGCATTACTGTGACAAGAAGAAAATACCCCAGAACTTCAGATCAATATCACTCATGAACATAAATGCAGAATCATCAAAATACTAGCAAATCGAATCTGGCAATGTATAAAAGAATAGTATAATGTGACCAAGTAGTATTCATCTAATGAGTGAAAGGTTGGCTTAGTATTTGACAATCAATCAATAAAATATAACTGATAGTCTAAAGAAGAAAAATTATATAATATCAATACAAAAAAGTATTTAAAAATATTTAATATTCATACATAATGAAAACTCTCAGCAAATTAGGAATTGAAGGAAAGTTCTTCAGCCTGATAAAGGACATCTACAAGCTAATATAATACTTAATAGTGAAAGATAGTAATATACATTAATTAGAATGGCTATATTGACAATATCAAGTGCTGACAAGGAAGTGGAGCAACTGGAACACTCATACATCACTGATGGCAATACCAAATATGACAGCCATTTTGAAAACAGTTTGGCAGTTTATTGTAAAGCTAAACATGTCCTTATTACATGACCCAGCAATTCCTTTCATGGTATTTTTTTTTTTTTTTTTTTTTTTTTTTTTTTTAGTAAAGTGAAAACCTGTGTTTTCACAAAACCTGTACGTGAATGTTTATAGCATCTTTAATTACATTGGCCCCAAATTGGAAATAACCCAGTGTTTTTCAATAAGTGAATGGAAAAACAAATCATGGTATAACTATACAGTGAAATATTATTCAGTAACACAAAGAAATAAATTATTGATAACAGAACAATTTGGATAATTCTCATAAGTATTATGCCATGTTAAAAAATTCAGTCTCAACAGTTTACATATTGTTTGATTCCGTCTACATGACATTCTCAAAAAGCAAAAGAATAATAACAACAGAACTGTGTGACATTCTCAAAAAGCAAAAGAATAACAAGAACAGAACTGCAGTTATCGGGGATTAGGAGTCAAGGGGAGGGGACTACAAAGAGGAAGCATGGGAGTTTTTTTAAGAGTTGGAACTGTTCTGTATCCTGATTGTGATGGTGTTTACACTAATCTGTTCATGTCTTAATATTCATAGCAATATACATCTCCAAAAAGTCAATTTTAATTTATATTAATTTAAAAAATGAAATAGAGCCAAAAATAAGCACACAAAGTAATAGTCTTAAAAATCAAATGATAGATTGATTTTTTCATCAAGTTGCTGAAATCATAGCATTGGTAGGCAACTCTTCAAATGAACGTAAAATTTTACACAATTTTAAGTGGAACAATAAAAATAAAAAGGGGATTTGACCAAATTGAAAAAAATAATTTGTCAAATCCCAGTACATGAGACACAATGGAGTACTATTCCACCATTTAAAAAAAAAAGTTAGAGTTGTTTGCAGAATTTATTGTGCTCTTTGTTAGTTTTTTTGTGTACTTTTGCTACTAAAAAATTTCTTCAGGTTTTCCTTGTGAATCCATTAAACATTTCCATTTTATCTTGCTTAAAGTCTACTATATTTTTGGAAGTATATAAATATACTAGTTAACATATGAAATAAAGCAGTTGGCAGTGTTTCTTTGACTAATTTGTTGTTTTCTATTAAAAAAGAGAAAATGAGCGAAACAATGCAACAAGATAGCAATTACATGACCCTTGTCCTCCTGTCTCTAGCAAAGAAAAATATTAAGTTTGTTGCATTTTATTTTCTGTAAAGGTATTAGGCCTTTGCCTCAAAGGTGTATGGTCAGAATAACAAGACATCCTCTTTTGACTTAGCTCTGACCTTCTCTGCATTCTACTCATCCTTTACGGCAAGTCAGCTAAATACACTGCTGGATATTGTTCCCCTTTAGGAAATTCTTCCTGGAATCCTGTAGTAAACTTTCAGAGGAAAAAGGCAAATAAAGTTAAATTTCCTTGAGGAATGCTGAATATAAAAAAAAAGTTAGTATCACTTTTGACTTTTTTCCCAGAAGTTTATCATCAACTGATGTAGACAGATTATGCTGTCTTGATTTAAATTGTCAATTGTCTTCAATTATTCCTAGTTTGAGCTGAATAGTTTTAACCAGACTCCTTTAAAACAGAAAGAATGCTCTTATCTCAAGAAGAACTAATTCTAATACCCTTTTAGTTTATTGTCTTTATAGCTGAATTATCAAAGTAATTAGTGATCATAAGTGATTTGATAGTTTATCATGTGATGTTAATAAAAAATAAGCGAAAATGTGAGAGAATAACTTATCTGCCGTTGAGTAGCAATATTTTTGTGCTGTGGTTACAATGTTAAGCAAACTAAAATAAGCAAATCTTCATGCCAGGGTCTTAGTTAATGTCATTTTGCTTGGCTGAGAAAATCTGAAACTTCTCTGAGCAGACATATTTTAAGAGAGCATTAGGACATGCATATTTTAGGATGCTAATAGAGCCTCTCACCCTTTTTGGTTTTAGCTGCCAGAAATTATGATTCATAGTTCTTGATAGCATAGAATAGAAAACATTGTAAAGGGAAAGAAATTCTAACAGATTGCTCAGGAATGATTTCGGAGTGTCAGTTAATCAAACATTTCTCTTTCATCCCTTTAGGAAAATGCACACTTCTGTTTTGAAAAATAGATCTAGAAAAATCTTTACTTTTGCTTTGGAATGGCCCATAATTATTGATGAACTCTTACTGGTATTAGAAAACTGATTGGTGAAAGAATATATAGCATAATAATAACTTGTAACAGCAAAAATGACACAGCTGAAAAGTTGCCCGTGAAGACTGTTTCAAAAGAACAAAGGATGTGCTTTGTCATTGCTGTTTTTAAGATTCTGAAGAATATAGTGATATTATTATATTGTATTACTCTATTTGTGCTATTGTTCTGGAAAGAAAGTTTAGCCACTTAAAGAAGTACCTTTAATAGATTTTTAAAAATTATTAGAATGTAGAATTTTAAAATTCACGATAACATTCTGAAGCAGTTGTATTATTCTAGAAAGCTCTGGCATAATTTAGATTTAAGGTTGAATAGGAGTTACTTTTTATCATTATAGTTAATGGGCAAAGTATTCTGCACTGAATAACAACTCTTGTAGAAATCCAAACGTATACATGGCTTTGATTGTGATAATACATTTTCTGATGATGCTGGTTCTTGATTAATGTTGACTTTCCCACTTGTGACATGGTTTTCTCTCAAATTCTAGTTGTCTCAGCTAGAATTACCTGTTTAGCTCAATAGATTTCTACATCCTGTTTTTCATTAATAATATTTATTTTAAAGATCACTTTTAATTGTAACAAATATAAAGTCATCAGTGTTTTCCGAATTGTCAATAATGCTTTAAGTAAAAAATACATTAGTAAAATGTAAGTTATATTGTATTATAATATCTTCTACAGTTAATACCATGAACATACACACCATATACCAGAAAAGCTTATGCATTATTGGAAGTGAAAAGAAATGTGATATAACTGCTATATTGTCTGATTATAAATTCATGCTTTGGTCAGTTCTCTTCTTCAGGGATGACATTTACTTGTACTTTGTTGTTGAGGAACCTGAATTGGATGTCACAAATTCTGCTGCATTTGCGTGTTAGTGCTATCATGGTTCTCTGTGTACAGGGAAGGTATGATTTCACCAGTTACAAGTGAGACACAGGAAGTGTTGATGGGGGCCATGCTGTCTTTCTACTCTTGGATGTGTCTTGAAGCTCCTTGGCAAATTTCTGAATAGCACTGTGACAGACCAGTTGGATGTCTGATGTTTGCATGTTTCTCTTTTCTACTCCTTTCTGTCAACAGTGCATGATGTAAGGAAGTACCAGAAAGAGGACCAGTAGCTACTGCTGAGGACACAGCCAGTATAATTAAGAAATCCACGTACTTGTCTGCTTTTCAGACAGTCATTTTGAAAAGAGTTTGTACTCTCCATCATCACTAAAATTCCCCCTCCACGAATCACTTCTGGATAGGTGGCCACTTGCTTTGTTTTATCAACCAAATGAATTTTTGCACCAGTCAATGTAAAACGGAATATACAATTTTTTAGCACATGTTATTACAGGCTCCATTTCTTGACTGCATCTCAATGAATTCTATGGATTTTCAACATCTTGTAATCAAGAAGAAAATGGGACATTGGCACCAATCCTGATGAAAATGTCCCCCTTTGGGCCATTAATAGGAAGCAGAACCATGCTGCCCTATCTAGGGCCAATGTGATGTTTATGGCATTCAGTCCTCTGGCCACAGCACATTTTTCTCCACCCTGACAAAGTTTCCAAGAACCTTTCTGGCCAATATTTCTTACACATTTATATTTTTAATGAAGATTTCTGCTTGATATGGCAACAGGAAGTCCTCTGTTGACATTATATTATCCAATTATGCCTTGCAGTCTCAAAGGTGCACCTATTATAGGCAATTATATCAATGGTAGTTGGTTTCTCCACATTTTCAGTTGTTGGAGAGCCATAAGGACTCTCTCACTATATGGTGTTCTTTGGATGAATAGGAGCCATCCAGGTCTTTCTGAATAACCCTTTCAATTTGTTTTAAATGCTTTGGGATCATCACTAATCTCACCAGGTTTTGGTGAGGTGGAAATTTCTCCTAAAATAGTCATTCCAAAGCATACACCAAAAGGACACTTACAGATGTGTATGCATTCTGATCAGAGTGCACCTTAGAGAAAATAATGAATACTGTCATCAAGAATGTGACAACCATCACAGGCTCATCCCGCGTGTCCCCTGAACTTGTCCTATGCAAGCACAGGGGTCTGCAGGGTACCATCACCAGGGCAATTGCATTATTGGGCTGACGAGGCCAGTAGTCCTCAAATCTTCCCTCCCCTCCCTTCTTTCCTCGCAGCTTGGCTAGTTCTACTCTTTTCTTATTAGAGCACATTTTGTTGTACACAGAAATGCAAAGAGAACACAGTTGCCACTGAGAGCTTTGTAGTGTGATGCTTATTTAGCTTTTGAATGGGCTTTCACACAAAAATTCCTGCTTTGTGGAAATTTTCAGGTATGAGAAAACATCTTACAAAGTAATCCCCTGTTATCCAACTGATCAGTCAGTATTAAAAAAATGCATGTGGAGGATATTGCAGATTGAAGTGTGCAAAGCATTTGTGTTTTAATTAAAATCTTAGAGGAAAAACTCATTCACATGAATTAATAGCAACATTTTTAGCAGGTTGCATAAATGGTGACAAAATTTACATCTTTGTATTCAAGAAGAGTATAGAGTTACTTGGTGAAGATCACTACATATGTTAAATCCTTTCAACATGTGCTATAAATAATAGCACATATTAAAGATCTGTGGCTATTAAATTACGTGAGAGCAAATGACTCATGAGTAATTACAAATACCTGTTCTGCTTCTACTTATCACTTATTTTCTAAAAAGCAGCATGGAAATGAAATGCAAATATAACATAAAAGAGTATAACTTCCTGTTAAATGATGCTTTATCATATAATGGAATATTACAGCCTAATTCAATGCAGGACTAAACGAAGATTGGAAGAAAATGAGAACTCTGGAAGCCAGAAGCCTCAGTCTTCAGAAAGCTCCATACTCTGCATGCTGTTTACATATCTCTTTGTGTTTATGTGGGTTTTTTTCCTAACTATTCCTGTGAAATAGCAAAAGACTTTAGATTAAAATGGATTTTACTAATCATAGAAGTCAAAAAAGCAAGTAAATATGAAAAAAATAGCACAAAGTTGTACAGAAACCATCCATATAACTAAGGAATGAAATGAAGCAAATTTAGCTCTGTTAGAGCTTTTATTATCAATCAAATATATCCTTGATAGTCCTCATCTTTTTGTCTTTTGGGGGGTCCCCCTCCCCCCACCTGTTTGCATTTTGACTTTTTCACCTGACATGGATGAACAATGGGTGTGTTCCTTCTAATACCCTGTCAAAGGGAAAAACCACCGTCTAGGTCTTTGGGCACACAGTCACTTTGTTCCCCAGAAGTGATTGTGTAGCAGCCACAGCATCTTACAATGTTGGAAAGGAAGAGACTGTGTTGCTTGGAGTCTTAAGATACTCTCTGAGGGTCCTTGGAACTCCAGGCTTCCCAATAGGTATCTCGGTGTGAGTGGGTTTTACATATTGACCTTCCAACTCAGATAGCATCTGGAGAAAGGATGTCACTTCTGAGAAAAAGACTGAAGATATCTAACTGAAATAGTGCCTGGAAGTTTGAATGACCTAGGGAAGGGCAGCAAGATGCTCAAGTGCCTCAGACTTCCCAAGGTACACAAAGTGGGAAGCAGCACTGGTAAACTCTTTAGGAAGAATACAACTCACACCTTTTACAGTTTCCATCACATTTCCTTTTAATGATCATTCGTGATCCCTAGCAGGGATTCAGCCATTCCCCAGAATCACACAGCACATGAGTGGTGGGACCAGAAGAGATTTCTGGTCATTTTAAAGTTTAATTTAATTTTTAACTTTTATTTTTGGTTCAGGGGTACATGTGCAGGTGCAAGTTTGTTATATAAGTAAATTACCTGCCATGGGGGTTTGATGTGCAGATTATTTTACCATCAGGTAATAAACACAGTACCTGATAGGTAGTTTTTTGATAATCACCCTCCTTCTTCCCCACACCCTGAAGTCGGCTCTGGTGTCTGTTGTTCCCTTCATTGTGTCCATATATACTTAATGTTTGCTCCCACTTACGAGTGAGAACATGTGGTATTTGCTTTTCTGTTCCTGTGTCAGTTCACTTAGGATAATGGCCTCCAGCTCTATCCACATTGCTGCAAAGGACAGCTCTCATTCTTGTTTATGGCTGCATAGTATTCTGTGGTGTATATGTACCATGTTTTCTTTATCCAGTCTACTGTTGATGGGCATTTAGGTTGATTCTATGTCTTTGCTATTGTGAATAGTGCTGTGATGAAGCTATGTCTTGTGTGCCTGTGTCTTTATGATAGAATGATTTGTATTCCTTTGGGTATATACCCAGTAATGGGATTGCTGGGTTGAATGGAAATTTTGCTGTGAGTTCTTTGAGAAATTGCCAAACTGCTTTTCACAATGACTGAACCAATTTACATTCCCACCAGCAGTGTATAAGCATTCTCTTTTCTCCACAACCTCTCCAGCATCTGTTATTTTTTGACTTTTTTAGTAATGGCCATTCTGACTGGTGTGAGATGGTATCTCATTGTGGTTTTGGTTTGCATTTCTTTAATGATTAGTGATGTTGAGCATTTTTCCATATGCTTGTTGGCCACATGTATGTCTTCTTTTGAAGTGTCTGTACATGTCCTTTGCCCACTTTTTAATGGGACTGTATCTTTTTTTGCTTTTGTATTTGCTTAAGTTCCTTATAGACTCTGGATATTAGACCTTTGTCAGATGCATAGTTTGCAAATATTTTCTCCCATTCTGTAGGTTGTCTGTTTACTTTGTTGATAGTTTTATTTTGCTATGCAGAAGTTCTGTAGTTGAATTAGGTCCCATTTGTCAATTTTCATTGCTATTGCAATTGCTTTTGGGATCTTCATCATGAAATCTTTGCCAGGCCATATGTCCAGATGATATTTCATAAGTTATCTTCCAGGGTTTTTGTTGTTTTTGGTTTTACATTTAAGTCTTTAATCCATCTTGAGTTAGGGTTAGGGTTAGAGTTATTTTGAATCTTGGTTCTCATTCATTGCTGCTCCCAGTAAGCAGAGTGCAGCATATTCACAACTATCCCTGGAGCAGGAGCAAGCTCCCTTCTGTGGTGTCACAAGGATCTGACCTTCATTGGTACTTTTTTCCCAACTGAATGGAGCAAAATTATAAGATGCTCAGCAGCGGGATTCTCTGCTTCCTTGTTCCCCTTGGGCTAGTACAAGAATCCTGGGTAGGCTGGTCTCATTTTAAAACCTATACTTTTCCTCCACTGGACTTTGCTAAGGCTAGAATGGGGGAGGCAAGAAAGGTAGTGGGTAGGGTATGTTAGGTAGCCTTTGACCACAGATCTTGAGGCCTTGTTTTCAAATCAACCTTACCTATTCCAGGATAGCTGTCTTTTTTGGGAGGTGGTGGTCGTGGTGCTGGGGTTTATTTTTTAATTGGTTCTAAACCAAGGGGGACAAAGAGCAACTGCTTATTTAACTGTATAGAAACCTCAAATTAATATTATTTCAGCATGATAAGAATGGGAAAGAGTCCTTAAAGAACTAGGCAATGCCAGTACTACCCCAATCTGCTTTTCAAGTTTATGGCCTATTTCTGGCCTATTTCTGAAGGTGACAGGAACTCAAACTAGGAATATTTCTATTAAGAGAAACCAGCTTTTTACTGGTTTGCCCAATCAAGTACAATGTGTTTGGGTCTACCTAAGCGAAGACCTGCAGGTGTCCCTTCAACCCTTGCATGGTTCAAATCTGATACCTGGGTTGGGGGGGTCATTCCTGCCATTGCTGACTTCCTCATCCTTACACCTAATTGAATAACCAACTCCTGTTAATTCTGTCTTCAAAAGAGCTTTGGAACCCATCTGTATCTCTCCATCATCACCACTATTACTCTATGCTAATCAGTTATCTTTTTTTTTTTCTCCTGTGGAGTTTATCACCACTGGGATAAATTCCTATTGGTCTTCCTGTTTATTGTCTCCTCATAAATTCATTCCTCACATAGCAGCCACAGTGATTAAATCATGTTTGTCTCCTGCTTAAATTCTTTCAGTGGTTTCTTATCATGCAGACAGTAAAATCTAAGCCCCTTGCCATGGTCCATATGGCCTTTTATGCTGTGACACCTATCCATATCCTCCTACTGCATCTTGACCACTCTCATCAATGACTACACCTCATCCATCCTGCTTGTCTTTTAATTCCCTGATGACCTATACTAAGTTCCTTGACTGGGCTGAGTTTTTGCCTGCGTTAGAACCTTCTTACATCTCTCCTGTCTAGAATTTTTTTCCTCCTGCTCTTCCTTTGAGCTTTTATTAAAGACCAACTCTGTTCTAGGCACCATGTGATAGGCATTAAAATATAATGCTGATCCAAGAAAAGTGAAACAAAACATGTCTCCTTGGCAGAAGGAGAGAGTTGAGCTTTACTTTTTAGTAAAAATTTTTATATCTTTGTAAAAGATGTATTAAAACCTTATATCACTAAAAGTTTCAAAATGAGAAAAATAATGCTTATGATTAATAGTGTCTTTTTCCCCAAGTTGTCTCAACAGTAAGTAAGTCCTTGGTGAATTGAACATAGTCTAGCTGGGTCCTCATCTTCCCGCTCTCAGAAGTTTGATTTCAATTGTATACCAAGAGTGAATCCATTTTTCAGTGTGACTGATGTGGACAGTTATAATGCCATTTTATTAATTTAGAGTAAAAAATGCAACTCATAGTCTGATAAACACATTCACTCACTCTGGCCAGATCATACACAGGCACCTAATTTATTAACAGAAGTATGCTTGGTGATCCTAGAATAAGAAGAGGAATATGATGAATCAAATAGTAAATGGGTTGAGGTTGTTGTATCCACCTTCACAATAGAAATGTGATCACCACATAAACAGAATTAAAAACAAAAATCACATTATCATCTCAATAGATGCAGAAAAAGCATTCAACAAAATCCAGCGTTCCTTTATGATTAAAACTCTCAGCAAAATAGGCATACAAGGGACATACCTTAATGTAATAAAAGCCATCTATGACAAACCCATAGCCAAAATTATACTGAATGGGGAAAAGTTGAAAGCATTCCCTCTGAGAACTGGAACAAGACGAGGATGCCCACTCTCACCACTCCTCTTCAACATAATACTGGAACTCCTAGCCAGAGCAATGAGACAAGAGAAAGAAATGAGGGGCATCCAAAACAGTAGGAAGTGAAACTGTCACTGCTTGCCGACAATATGATCATTTACCTTGAAAACCCTTAGGACTCCTCTAGAAAGCTCCTAGAGCTGATAAAATAATTCAGCAAAGTTTCCAAATACAAGATTAATGTACACAAATCAGTAGCTCTTCTATACATCAACAGCAACCAAGCAGAGAATCAAATCAAGAACTCAACCTCTTTTACAATAGCTGCAAAAAAATAAAATACTTAGAAATATATCAAACAAAGGAATCTACAAGGAAAACTACAAAGCACTGCTGAAAGAAGTCATAGATGACACAAACAAATGGAAACACATCTCATGCTCATGGATGGGTAGAATCAGTATTGTGAAAATGACCATACTGCCAAAAGCAACCTGCAAATTCAATACTATCCCCATCAGAATCCATCAGAATACCACTGTCATTCTTCATAGAATAAGAAAAAAGTTCTAAAATTCATATGGAGCCAAAAAAGACTAGCATAGACAAAGCAAGACCAAGCAAAAAGAACAAACCTGGAGGCACCACTTAACCTGATTTCAAACTATGCTATAAGGTCATAGTCACCAAAACAATGTGGTATTGATATAAAACTAGGCACATAGACCAATGGAACACAGTAGAGAACCCAGAAATAAACCCAAATACAGCCAACTGATCTTCAACAAAGCAAACAAAAACATAAAGTGGGGAAAGAACACCCTTTTCAAAAAATGGTACTGGGATAATTGGCTAGCCACATGTAGGAGAATGAAACTGGATCCTCATCCCTCACCTTATACAAAAGTCAACTCAAGATGAATTAAGGACTTAAGACCTGAAACTATAAAAATTCTAGAAGATTACATTGGAAAAACTTTTTTTGACATTGCCTTAGGCAAGGATTTCATGACCAAGAACCCAAAAGCAAATGCAGTAAAAACAAAGATAAGATTGTGGTTCCAAGATGGCTGAATAATAACAGCTCCAGTCTACAGCTCCCAGCATGAGCGACGCAGAAGATGGGTGATTTCTCTATTTCCAACTGAGCTTTGAAGAGAGTAGTGATTCTCCCAGCATGGAGTTTGAGATCTGAGAACGGACAGACTGCCTCCTCAAGTGGGTCCCTGACCCCCGAGTAGCCTAACTGGGAGGCACCCCCCAGTAGGGGCAGAGTCGGTTAGCTCTACTAATATGTGTCTTTGTGACTTTTTTCTTTAAATCATTCAGTGGCTCATTTTTGAATGCACGCATGTTTTTTTAAATTTATTTCTGTTAATACAGTTATTTCAAGACAATCAAATCTTGCAGAACTTGAAAGAACATTTCTTCTTTTAGATGACTATATATGTCTTCTCTCATACACTGTGTGATTAATTAAATTTCTCAAAACGAAATCTGCATTTCAAATATTGAAAATAATTTGCTTAAAAATACTGCATGAATCAACATTCAATTATTCTTTGTAGGCTAGCTCGCTAAAATTGCATTTCAGCCAATCACAGAAGTAAGGAATGTTGGGAGTAACAACTGGGATAGAAGAAAAAGCGTAGAGAGAACTCTAAACATAAATACCATTCTGAAGGTGCCTCTATTTGAGGCACATTGATGCTTGTTGGCTTGATTCCTATTTAGTGTGGACAGTAGAGAGGGTCTGCAATTATTTGAACATTTATGCCCTATCCAAAATTCACAATAAAACTTAAATCCCCTATGCAGTAGTATTAAGAGGTGGGGTCTTTGGGAAATAATTAGACCCTGAGGGTTCTGCCCTCATGGATGGAATTGGTGCCTTATAAAAGGGTTAGAGGGAATTAGCCCTTTTTGCCCTTCCAGCTTTCCACAAGATATGGAGCAGAGTTTGTCCCTTCCAGAGGACCCAGTAACAAGGTGCCATTGTGGAAGCAGAGAGCAAGCCCTTACCAGACTCCAAACCTGCTGGTACCTTGATCTTGGATTTCCTAGCCTTCAGAACTGTGAAAAATAAAGTTTTGTTTTTCATAAATTACCCAGTCTCAGATACTTTTTTATAGCAGCACAAATGGACAAAGACAAGGTCTTTGTTTACTAAAAAATTTTAAACCTGGGCTACTCTTTTTCCAGGTGAAGTGTCTTACTACAAAGCCTTTGATTTGGATTTCAAATAAAAAATTTTAAATTGACTGATTCAATTTTAATTTTAATTATGTATTTATTCATAATTTTTGTGTTGCAGCTAGCTAAAGCACCTTAAATTCAAATATTATTTATTTTTGATTGCATAGTTCTTTCTTTTGCCTATTCAGGGTCCTCGTAAGAACTTCCATTTTATGTTCTTGTCTTCTCATCAGTTTGAGTTGTGTCTTTAACATTGGAGAGAAAAACAACTTGCAAGATTTTCTTTCAGTATGAACCATTCTGAGGTCCTTCAATTCTTTGTAAGTGGTTTCAGAGAAGTTAAAGTTCAAGATCACCATGAATATGGGGCATTGAAAATTCGGGGACATTCTCTTGTGTGTTTGCACCGTCATCCCCTGAAATGCATCTATGGGTTTGTGATTATGATTGAAAAAGAGCAGAAAGAGATCAATTAAGAAAGAAATATTTAGTAACAGACCAATAAAGCTATATTTTCTCTTTACCAAAGATGAGAGTACTGTTAATAAAAAATGGAAATAAATTTAAAAAGGAAATAAATGAAAAACTAAAATAAAAAGTTGATTTACAATTAAGTTAGTTAATTTACAGTTAACTTAAAATCTGTAGTTGGATGTTCTCAATTTTTTAAATGAAATCAGATGACTGGTTTCCAGACTTTTGAAATAAAGTATTTGCTTTGGAATAAACAATCTGAATGTCATTGTAATAACAGAAAACAGGATCATTGGGTAATTTTACAGATATCCTGCCCAGTTTGGGAAGAAAATTTCTTTATGTAGTACTAAATTTATCTCAATCGTGGTAGATCAGTCTTACAATGTAGTGACTTTAGAAAATGAATAAGATAATTTTTATTCCTATTGTCCTGAATATCGAGTAATAAATGTTTTTATAAGATAAAAGCATTTTGCCATACTTTAGCTAAATCTATAAAATCACATACGATATGGAAAACTGTAAGCTTACAAGACTGGCAGGCTGTAAGTTCTTTTTCTGATTCACAGGAATCAGGTTCTTTGAGTTGCTGCCTAAGCTTTTACTTGAAACAAAGGAACATAACTGTGACTTCATATACATTGTAATATTTGAGAAAAGCAACTGTTTTACTGTTTGCCAATGTTATTGCAAGCTCTGGTAGAACTGTGAGTTCTAAACTGGATGGAGAAATACTCCTTCCAGATTTGTCATGAATATGCTAGTTGCCCTTTAAAAGGACCAGAAGGGAACCTCTGCCCAGGTATGAATGAGATTACAGGCAGAATTTTTTGGGAAACTAGGCAAGAGTCTAGATGAATACCATCAGAACAGTGGCTCCAGAGTACCAGTCAGTGGACACAGGCCGATCTGTGATGACATTTTCACTGGATTGAAGTGAAGTGAGATATTCAAGAAAATGATACAAATTTCATTAAGTATACTATTTTTACTGAATTATCCTTTATTGACAGATTCTATACTTCCTACTCTTTTAGTGTTATATGATATAATGATGTAATGGCAATAGTGGATCTGGTTTTATTCTTACCATTTAATGTCCTTCCTTGGCAATTTTTTTTTAAATGGTAACTTTTGTTTTACTTTCTAACATTTTTGGAGATGTTTTACTGGTTCGTAAAATCCCAAAGCATAGAGAGTCCGGGATTAAAAGAATGTTAGCCTACAGTATACACACGTTCTTATTCATCTTTTTGCTTAATGTGACATTATGATCATTAAAATTGATAACTCTGGCCTGATTTAATCTGAGATTAGAAACCAGATACAAGGGAAGTTATAAAGCTATTTAACGTTACCCGAAGCTTCAGATTTTTTCTTTTTTTTGGAAAATTTGGCCAATATAGTTATGGCCTAAATATTGTTAACAGAGGGCCACTGTCAGATTCTGGAAGTGTCTCATAAACAAGTATTACATTTTATACTGGCACAATTTGTTTGTTTGTACATTGTTTATGCTTAACTCTGACAAGTGATAGAAACAGTGGATTCTGCACCTTTAGAAAACATGTTGCCCAGTTAACAAGAACATTTTTGTAGTTTATATGCCAGAGCTAATCTGGGTTTCCATACCTTGTAAGCATACCTCTAAAGACTAAGCCCAGCCCTTCCTTCTTTCGGTAGCTGTCCTGCATACAGCACAAGCCTAGCTTAGCCACTGCTGCCTAAATTGTGTGAATGCACTCAAAAACAGTGACTTGTGCTGCTTACTAAGATGGCTGAAAGGGAAACATAGTTATGAAATTATTGACAATTTAGGTGAAGGAGACTTTAGAGTTCCTTTAAGTCAACATTGCTTGTATTTCAAATTCCTAGACTATCTAAGTTCTCTACAATAGACCCCAAGCATGGGCTAGAAGAGAAAAAAGAGGATGTGGGTGGGAGGGAGCAGCTGGAATAAAAATTTTGCCTCATTATTCTGATCCAAGCTCTATCTGTCTATAAAGACCTTGCTATATTTCTAGGTGGCTCATTTTATTATTAAGCATTAAAAAATCTTCTATATTTTATTCAAAAATAGATATTATCAAACCCTAAATATCTACCTTTATTTTTAAAAGACTTTAAAGCTATAGCTATAGATTATTATAATAAATTATTGACAATGATTTATCGAAAACAAAACATTGCTGAGAATTTTTTTTTACTAAGGGATGATTGGCACATAACTCATAATCATATGTCTAAATATATATTTATTACTTATGACCATGGCTGCATGTTAGTATCAAATGGGGAGTTTGAAACCATACTGATGCTTGGGCTCACCCCAGAGGTTTTAGTTTAATTGGTCTGCTTTGGGCCTGTACCTGACAGTTTTTTTAAAGCTCCCCAGGTGATTCTAATGACCCCGCAAATATACATGTTCTATCTTAAAGCAGGTGCTTTGGAAAAAAAAGTAACTTTACAATGAAACAGCTTTCTTATGTATTATTTGTCCTTATGAAATTTCATTCTAAAGATTAAATTTTAGGTGTGTTTGTTTCTAGAGGATTGAGTTTTAGTGAAAGAAATATTAGAAAGAAGATAACTTTGAAGGGAATCTTGTTCCTTAGTTTTTACCACATCTTTACAATTTCGTCTTCATATATCATCTTTTATTTACTTCCTTCCATCTCTTCTAGAGCTGATTACCAACTCCTACCACTGTTAACCCTCATCCAGGAACAAGCTTATGTCTTTAACATTCTGAGTGGGCTTCAGCATCCTTGCATATGTTCAATTCTTAAAAACCTGTTGAAATAAAAGATCAGGAGACATAGGAAGGATGCCAGAAGAGAGCGTGGTAAGTGGGGGAGAATCTTTCCCCAAGGGATTGGAGGTATTTCAGGATTAGACTATGTATATCTATAAGCATGCATATATATTTATGCCTGTGGTACACATGCGTACCATGTATGTTGTGTTGTGTTCCAGGAATGTGGGAAAAAACACTGCACTGCGTGCTGCTTAAGATTAGGGATCTTGATGTCTTGTTTTGTATACTCATCTTCACACAATGGCAGCATATTGATGCTCAGTAAATGTCAATAAAACAAATGCATGTTAAAAAGAGTAAAGGATGAAGAAAGGTAGAAAGATGTAATTAAGTTGGTTTTCCACATGACAGGACAGAGAGGAAGTAGTTTAGATGTTTTCAGTTGTGCTAGTAACTATCCTCTGCACAGGTAGGGGAATGCTTGGCAGGGTCAGGAAGGTGAGAAAGGAAGCAGTTCAGCAGAAACTGGCCCTTGAGGTTGCATACATAAAGCCTATCTCTATATGACCCATGACCTGGGATCCCTTGTGTCTCCAAAGGAGCCTCGCCCATTGACATAGGAGGCAAGGAAGGCTGAATCATGAATGGACAATAGAAATCTAGATCTCAGCCTCACTGTTGTGGAAATAGGTTTTCAGTGTCTCTCATTCCCCACCAACTAGAAAATGGTACTTCTATATTTCTAGGCGTCTTCTTCCTAAGATTGTTTAGAAGGTAGGGTGAGAAATAGCAGTTTGTCCGAAGAAAAAGGCTTTGTCTCTAAAATGGTCCAGAGAGCGGTTAGATTCAGGGGATCCATGGATTCTAGCTTCTAAGGGTTAACACATTTTCCAGGGCTGCATTGCAGAGTACAATAGGAAAATAAAAAGAACCGTGCCTCAATCCTTTTTTTCCCCTTGGTTACCTGTCTCTCCTCTCCCCCTCTCCCCCTTTTTTCCTCCTCATTCTCTTACTTTTCCTCATATATTATAATACCTTAACTGGATAGATTCTATTTCTCAATAGTAGAGAAATTGAGGCTGATTGCACAGTGTTCAAAGTTATCTATAATTTTATGTATTCTTATATTTTATTATAATTTTGTATATCTTAATAGTTTTATAATTTGATTTCTATTTTTCTTTTGAAAATAATTCAGTATATGGGTGTATACATATGCATTTTTTAAAATCCCAGAGTATTGTCAAATGTTCTATCTGAAAAATACACCTTTTTTTGTTTGTTTGTTTGTTTTCTGTTAAGGTTATTAACATTTTATAAAATGTTAATCAATGTGTCTTCTCCACTATTAAATATTAAAAGCTCTGTACTGGTTATCTTATGACTGCACTTCCAGTCCACTCTCTGCCAGGGAGACTGATTCCAGGTACTGCCCTCTGCTTTCTGATTGGTCTCTGTCAAGACTGACAATGGTAGAGCAGAGGGTTCTGTGAAGAGAGTGGGATTGGGATGTTGATTCCTCGATTCTCTCTCTGGTGAGTGGCTGTAGGGTGGCTGGGGTGCTCTAGCAAAGCCACAGTCCCTATTGAGTAAGTCATCCTCTGCACACACACTCTCAGGGATATGGTAACCATTCTTTCCTTTGACCCTTCAGGCCTCACGTGTACCAGCTCTCTGCTCTCCTTTGCCTTGGGACGTTCCATCCCTGGAAGTTTCCCTGCCCACATCTTTGTAGAGAGTCCATTCTCCAAGCTTCAGTGTGTCATCTGTGAGGACCGTGACCCACCTGGTACATCGCCTCAGGGCATTCATTTCAGGCTCCTTCTAAATGGCCAAGGTACAGTTGACTAAATACCGTACTTCATTTCTGGTATGTTTGGAGAGACATCTGTTTTTTGCATTTGGTCTTTCACTCTTTGTTTTTCTCCGGGAGGATTATACTTTGTTTGTTCCTCTCAAACTTTACCCAACTGAGAGTGCTATAGAGTGCTGTGATTTAAATATCAACAGATTTCTAGGGACATATGCACTCTCAGAAATATGTGCGTTCTCAGACCTGAGTACCCTGGTGTGGGCTTCGTGGTATTTTAGGAAGCATGAATTGAGATCTGAGGGCACTAGGTTTATCTTGAAAGCAGATGTAGGTAAATTGTCTCGGCTCTGCTGTGATCTCTAAGATTATGAAGGTATCTGGAACTCAGGGGAAAAAACATCTATTTTATCACATCATTGAAAGTAGTTTCTTACCATTTATTAAACATTGGCTTAAAATAATGATTTTGCCATTTTTTTCCTGTCACATTGCAAATGCTTATCTATTGCTTTGACTAAGTTTGCATGCCTGCATTTCACCCTTGAAAAAGTAAAGTGTTCAGTTTTTTCTTTTTGTAGATAGTATTTAGATCACCTTTATCAATCTTAAAATAAGAAACCTAATAAAAATAACTCCAAATTGCAAGGCATCTCTTTAATACATAGATACTTTGTATCTTCATTTTAGTTGAAAAGTTAAAATTATCTGTAGAGAAAGCATAAGACTAGATGATACCTTTTAATCTATTGTGAGAGATATGTAACATGTCAGCAGATGACAAAAGTAGGAACTGTTTTATAAACCTCCAATCATCAAATAAGTGACATGTTTGAGTCAATCAATTTAAGAGGTTCCCAGTCCACTGATGAAACCATTTGAAGAAAATGTGCTGTTTGATGTTACAGAAGCCAAAAGCTGTATAAATGTGTCATCTGTTTTTCATTTTAATTCACTGTTTCAGAAGTATTTACTGTGTATTAAAAAATCTTTTTACCCTTTCAAATCTTTTGGACAACCTGGAAAAATTGAGAACAGTTTAAGATCTATCCATAAAAGCACATTCTCAGCTGAGTTATCTTGTTCCTATGTGGTGATATTAATCATATTACATATGAACTTTTAAAATCAAGTAAGAAGGCTGTCATTTGACTAAGTAGCTGCTGATTTTTAAACAGAATCTGTAAATATATATCTATATGCTGAAAGCTTTTAGTTCAATCAAAAATTAAAGGTTTTTTTAATACAGTATAAATCTGAAAGGTATTTCTAGGTTCAGACAAAAATATCTGGAAGGATGTTGCCTTTAAAAATAAAGCCTTTTTTGTAGGACAATCTCTGTTTTAAGAAATGAGATTATTTCATATTGTTGTCCATGAGAAAATATTACTAGACTGAGAGATTCTTCTTATTTAATTCTCCCTCCAACGCCATCCTTCCCTTGCAATGAACGCCCAATCACCGTTACTTTTTTTCTCACTATTTAAAAACCTCTCTCTTGCCCACAGAGTTGCTTTTTTAAAAGATCCCTCTCTTTTCCTAGATGCTCTTCTTTCCTCTTTTCTCTGCCCTCACCCTGGCCACACCCTCCTGCCTGGGTCCATCCGGTCCTACCTCTTGACAATGCTAATTTCCTCTTCTCAGTTTGGCTACTAAATTTTACACTATGCCATAAACAGGCTACTTGTGATGCCTCTGGTTATTCGTAATGCATAGCCAAAAATACACTAAGTGCCACCACTCCTTAATTCACTGATTTCTAGCCAGAAGCAGGGAGAGAGGAAAAATATCAGTGCTTTACTTTAAAGCCATTGTCTTCCATTGGTTTTCATTAAAGGGACAGGAGAATTATATGTAAAATGTAATAATCTTCAGGTTTTCCTGAGCGTTTTAACAAGCCACGTTCAGGCAGTAGGGTTGGAAAGTGATGAGGGAAAACGACAAGGGTGTTGAAAGTCCCTAAACGGGATCCTGTAATTTCTAGAAAAGAAATGGTTCTGCAAACAGGAGACATGATTACATAGGCTTAATTAACAGTTCAAAGTATTGGGGAGGACTTATCATGGTAGCACGCATGTTTCTCGTTCTTTAATGAGTAAATGACCCATTTGAGTGCATGAGCACATATCAGAAGCACATGGCGATGAAGAAGTGTGGTGGTGGTAGATCTGATCAAAGGTTTTCAAAACTGACTCCAAGTATTTGATGAAGAAGATTAACATGGAGACAATTTACCAAACAAATACAGCATAAAGAGCCAAGAGACCTTCTAAGGGACTTCAAGGCTCCAGCTTGCCCACATAAAGAATATCATTAAACAGAAAGAAAACAAAGACCAGAATAAATATCTTGTATACTGAGTCCATAGAGTAACAGAACTGTCGATTGATGATTTTTTTTTTGCTTTATTTTTTAATATACACACTAGAGGATGTTTTCAGTTTTTAAATGCAAAACAAAGCAATGCAGTTGACCTGGGTTCTAACTGGGTAACTCTCTTAAGTGTTCTAAAAGATTTCTGGACCAGAATTGGTTAATTAGTGCTTTGTGTTGCACTGTGTTACATATGACCTAACCAGAGATAAAAAGGTTTAAAGGTCTCTTGTAACCCTGCAATGCCATTTGTAACACAAAAATAACCCCTTTTCATTACTGGCATGCCACTGTAGCACGCAGGTTATTTTTTCCCTTCACTGCAATAAGGGCAGCTTTCGCATCAGAAGAATTCTTGGCAAATTAATGCGCTACCTCTTGGGCTAATTAAATTAGAAAGGATCAAAAATACAGAGCGGCTTTTGTGGTGGACACAATGTCGTGCTTCATGCATCTTGCTCAGAGAGGAATTTCTGCCATTTAGCCCCCTTTTGCCTCTAGCAGTGTTCTGGACTCTCTAACACAGTCAAGTTCCTAATTTGCCTCAATGAGAGAAAATTATTAACTGATAATAAGAAAAGGAGCATTCACAGCTTCAGGCTGGGCTATGTGGAAAAGGGTGATCTACCCAGCACCTGAAGCGCATGCAATTTTTATTAATTCCTGCCTAAAACAATGCATTCAGGAGTAAAATTGCTGTGCAGATGACAAAAACAATTACGCCTTTGATTCGTTCATTCTAAAAATGTGAACTACTTTAGCTCAAATATAACCAGATTAAACAACTAAAGCAGTTGCTCACCTCTCTTTAAATCCAGTTTGGATTGCAGCAAGTGTGTTTTATGTTGAGAAGTTGCCACTGCCACTTAAACTGATTGTTCCTATTGAAATCACTGAGTGCACAAGTGATTTTGACAATAATTAATATTGTTCTCTCTATACTGTGGTCCTTTGTTTGAAGATGACACTGATGATGGTGTTGCTATCTTTATGGGCATTAATCCCAGAAAGAGAGATGGAAGCTCCTGCAGTAAATCCTTGCATGACTATTTGCTTCCGTAGACTTTCTGTGATTTGCTGCTGTTCATAGAGTTTTTAGTTTACAGGTCTGTCTCTTTGCGTTTTAGATATCATGGTAGCTTTGATCAAAACAAGATACCTTCATTTCTACGTTCTGCAACATCACTAATGGCCTGTTGCTTCCCAGATAGTGTTAGTTCACAACAACTAGAGATTCTTCGGTTGTTGTTTGCTGAGTTTCTTCTACTGTTTTTTTTGGGGGGATAACTATAGTTATCGCAAATTAGTGAATTAGTTGGTTATGCCGTTTTCCAAGTTCCATATGTTCGCAGTTAATAGAGTTTGGACTAACTTATATCTGTAACAACGTGAAGTTGAGTGTATTTATTGATGTATTAATATGAGTGACAAATATGTGTTTCTAAAAAAAGATGTAAAAAGTGTTGTCGATTGTACTATGTCAAACTTCTTATGTCGATCATCAAGTTGGTCATAATTTTTATTTTGCATTTCAAAATGAAAAAAATCCTCATAATGTGGTTGTTTTGTGTGTGTTTTATTAATTTCTGAGTTTCCTTTCAATGTAATAGGAATTAGTGGTTGTTTTGGATATTCTGTTAGGATCTTTGTTTTTTTCTGAGATTTTCTTAGTATATACAAATGCATGATCTTGATCTGCTTTGAAACTTCCAGGTTAAATTTCAATCTTTGCACTATGATCAGAAATCCTTTCCCTGTGTGTAGGTTGGACTAGAACCCAATTCACTGGTGAAAAATTCAAGGGCCATTGTTGATATATGCAAAGTGTCAAACCAGTGGTTTCCCTGAAAGCTCTCTGGAGTCTATTCTAATGTCATTTTCAAAATGTCCTGTTTGAATTCCAAAACATAATGGACATCCAATTTGTTATATTTGAATATGTCACTCTGCTTTTTAAAAATCATTATTTGGGTGCTAAACATTGTTCTAAGCTAGGATTGTCTATTTTGCGCTCATTGGTCATTTAACCATGCAGCTGTAACTTTAACCTGGAACTTCATTCATTCTATGTAATCCATACCTCCTCTTTAAATATTCATCTCAAGCACCACCCACATAAATTTTTCTCAGATTATTTCATATCACACTCATAACATTTTCCCTTCATCCTTCTAGAATTTGATTCATGGAATAGAAAGATTCATGATTGTTATGTACTAAAAAAATCTTGGTCTGGTCTCTGCAATTTTATACATGCATGATCTTTTAATTACTTGAGGATTGATATCATGTAGTTAGTTTTCTTTTATTGCCCATAGCATCTAGCTTGGCATACTGTAGATACTCATTAAAGTCTTTTTGTTTTGCCAATTGCTTTCTTTAATGGGTACCAGGGATCGGTTCTCTTGGCAATGTTAAATGTTTGTGTAAAAAAAAAAGATGTATAGAGGCACTTATATTATATATATGGCTGGGACCTAATTTCTAAAGTCTGGATACAAGAAGAAAATTGTATTTAGACAAAATTACCTTAAGAATCCTTCCTTAGAAAGCTGTCACATTGGAGACCATGGATTCTATTTCCTTAATACGCCCAAAACAGCAAGGTTTTCTCCCAATATTGGAATAGATTGGTGTTTTTTGCTTTAATGTAAATAAAGTAATTAGGCTTGCAGTTAGGGTCATGCGGTAGAAAAGAATGGTTACCTCTATACACTAGACTCATCCTCAGTGCTGGAAACTGTTTAATATATGAGAGGTACATGAGAACCGGGACTGACTGAATGAAGAGTGGCTTCATGTCTCTTATTTCAGGCTAATTCTGTAGAAATATCTGGCAGAATTGCCTTGATACATACATAGTTTTTTTCTGTTTATTTATTTATCTTTTTGGCCAAGTTATGTATAGTTGTGATCATATAACTTAAATGTACATTATGACATGTCTTCATTGTTCAATTGCTTCTTGTTCCAGGAAAATTCTCTCTGCTACATTTTGAACAAGATGTATTCAGTGCATGAACTTCACTTGTAAATGCAGCCTTGGGGGTCTTCTTTTAACCTGGCACCTACTTTGCACTCTTTTGTCTTCATTATGACTGTTTCATGTGTTGGTCAAGACACATCTGACATATAATCCTTTATATGGAAAGGATGTCACTCCTTTAAATTCCAATGTTGTCAAGGAAAGCGCACTTTAGGGAGATGGATATCTGCCAGATTGGGAAAAACCATTAATAACCTTTCTTGCTGCCCCCACTGAATCCTGTAGGATTTTCTCATTGTTCTGCAGGACACATACACACACACACACACACACACACACACACACACACACACACACACACGAGCCAGGTATGTGCTCAACCTCCTTGTTGCATGCTGAACTTTCAGCTTTGCTGTTATGATTTGCCTGAATTTTTCATTAGAAAGCTGACATCTTAAAAGTTTGGAAAAGACTTGCAGTGGGAGGGGCTATTAGTCCTTACTTGGCAGTTCCTTATCTTTAGAAAACGGACTTTCAGGTTAGATTTGCAGGATTTATGGCAGTCTTTACCTTGAAGATCATTTCCTATAACTTAGGGTTGGCTTAAACATAAGATTATATTGATATTAATAAACAGGTCAAACTATTCAGTACTTTTTCTTTGAAAAAGGGTTTTTTTTTTTATCATAACATAGTTTTAGATGGTTGAGATTTGTCTACAACCTCTCATCCTCACATAGTGATTGGATGATTGTAAAAAGTGTTTCACATCCAATCCACTTTTAACAATGGAATGCACATGCTGTCATAAACTTTCATATTAGGAAGGACTGCATAAAAGATGTTATTTCTTTTCTAAATGACAGTTGCAACACCTTAAAGTAGTTCTACAATCTCTTCTTGGTCCTCGCTACTTTTAAGCTTGTATTTTCCCTGAACGTGTATTGGACCCAGAGAAACAGAACATGCCTGACTACTTTCCTTCTGGTATGAGAATGCTGTGCTTAAAAATATCATCTGTATGTGCTTTATTTTTATTTCAACCATACGTGCTTTTATAAGTATTTGAAAAGAAAATATTTTAAAGATTTGAAATAGAAGGAAGGGCTATATGTGAATTACAGCAGCCTCAGGGTAACAGTATCTCACACACTAATGATTCACATGGAGTTTATGTGTCTATTTATGTTGTCATTTATTTAGGGGAGGGGTGGCTAGAGAAAGAAAGCAGTATATAGCATATTACCTAAATACCAGTGGTTTCTGAAAAAAGTAAAAAGAACACCCTGAACATTATCCTCATTTAATTAGAAGCAATCATTACATAATTATTCATATTAATTCAGTTTCTTACAACAGTGTTACATTTATTGGCACTTCCTCTTTTTTTTCTTCTTTGTTCTAAAAGAAGGGAGAATTGTTCTTTATTATTTGAAAGGGAAAAGGAAAGTGGTTTTATTTCCTGATAAAGCATTTACAAAAATGTCCACATTTGATGTGGCTCCTGGGGTCACATGGTGTCTGAATGTTCAACATGATCCTGGATCTTTCTGTAATTATTTCAGACTCATTAATAATGGTATCTTTATAGGAACCAGGAAACTTGAACTCATATCTTTGTCATGAATGCAGGATTTATGTTACCAGAGTCTAGTTTCTGACCTTGAGGAAAGGGCTGAAGCATCTAAGCTGTAAGTGATGACATAAAATTAAAAGTGCATAGGGGAACATAGTTAGTGTAGCCTATTATTGATGAGCAAAAGGTGGTATAAATGGGTGAAATATTATTGTCAGCATACCAGGTAGATATTTTTGCCCAGATTACTTATTCACATAGTTTGTTCAAAAACTTAGCTTCCTCAGAGAAGTTATAGGAAATAAAAGAGTTGTCTTCATTTTCATGTGTCTTAATACAGTCCAGATAATTATTATTGCTTAGTGTTAAGCACATAGATTCATTTTTGCCATCATCACAAGCCTGAAAGAAAGGGCAGATGAGTCTGAACAAATTTTCTGAGGTCACTTGTGTGTGTGTATGAATGTGAGATATCCAAAGGAGTAAAGAGTAAAAGTTGGGGAAATTAATTGAAAAATTATTAGTTCTTAAAATGCAGAGGCAAGAATAAATTAAAGCAGATGCACGTTGGGAACTTTCCTTTCTGCTTTACCCACACATCCATTTTTTGTGTGTGTTTTGCAAATGAATAGAAAAGAAGGAGAAAACTATTTCCAGGTGTCTTCACTCAGTCTCTCAGTTTCAGAAATATTGATATATGACTTTACTACTGACAGAGAACAGAGAAAGAGAAGCTCATCTCTTTGACTGCTGTGTTACAAATATAGTTACAAAATGTTGTAGAATAGTCCTTTTGAGTTTCAGATTTGCGACTACAAAAATTAGGCATTTCTTTCTTTCTCCCTTTGCTTGAAAATCAAGTCCACCCTGTCTCGACCACATAAATAGAACAATTTTCCTCTGTGAACTGCTTGATGAGGCTGTGGCCAGATTCATATAAATGTCATAAAAACAGAGTACAGAATGGATTATTTTATGATTAAGATCTGTATGGATCTTTGTATGAATGCAACGTGCTTTGGCAGGGTTCTGCTGCACGCACACTAGTTTTAGTGTGTGTGGTGGAAAAAATGGCCTGCCACATTGTCACTTTAATATCTTTCTGAAAAGCAACAAAAATCACTGGGCTCCACCAAAGGTTACAGCATCGTACAAAGGTTTGGTCTGCTAACCAGTACAGTGTGTTCTATTTCTCATTGAAATAATAACGAGAGTAAGATTCAGTAAAATGCCACAATATTTCTCAGCACTGTCATTAAATGACATGTTGATATCTAATTGTAATCATAGGTGAAACTTTCCTGTTCTCTAATTTATGTAATAAGATTCAATTTTCTTTCTGTATCTTTGATTGTGTCTATGAGCTGAAATCTTTCTCCCTATGTATCTTTCTCTTTCTTTCTTCGGTTCAGGTCTTTTGGGGGAAAGAGATGCTTCATTTAGATTTATTTTTTTGAGACACCAGACAAGCTGCTATCAGTACATGGGTGCCAAGATGGTCCTTTAATAAAGAATTGTGGTTTAAGAATTTCAACCAAAGGATTAATGTATTAAACTGAATAATAGCATCCAGACAGTAGCAAAGATGATGATCAGAGTTGGTGAAAGAAAGATTATTGATCATCTGGCTCTATCAGTCACAAACAGGGAAGAAGAAAACAAAAAGGAGGAAAAGGAGATTAAAGAAACAAAAAATAGTTTAGTAATGCCAGCTGATTCTGTTGCTAATTATAAATCTTTGGCAAGAAGCCTTAGCTATACAGTAACTCTCCAGTTATCTGGTGGTCAGATTTCCAGCAATCTTTACCACTCAGAACACAGATGAGATCCTGGAATTGTATCTCTCATAGCCCTGGCTGCATAGGAACAACTTTCTTTTCTGGATGCATTCAGCTATTCCCTGGAAGGTTTATTAAACTGATTATGCATATACATTTAAGATTGCTTATTTAATATATCTGTTTGTCTGGATTTTTAAAGCCCCTTTAAGTTCTTCTCCAGGTTATGGAGGGAAGTGGAAATAGGGAGGGGGTAAAATGCACTGGGGATGGGGGAAGGACGTGCAGGTTAGCAGGCTATAAAATAAATAAAATAGACATGAATAACTATTATTTTGCAGACAATGAGTATTCAAGAGAGAGATTGCTCAATTGTCTTGATACTTAGAAGAAGGAAAGATAGCTCTTAGCTGTGGAATCCAAGAAAGTCTTCATGGAGAGGGGACATTGTTGTCGGGCCTAGGGGTTATCTAGGATTGAAAAAGGTGGGAACTGGGAGATGGACATTCGAGAAGCCTTGGGGTAATGACCCAGGGATAATAATATTAGGAATCATTAATGAAGTGCTGAAAATTTGGTTGAAGCATAAGGTGAATCTATGAGAGTCATGGAAAATATGGCTGAAGTAGAAATAAAGACCAGGCTATGGAGACTTTTGAACGCCAAACTCAAGTTTTCAGACTTCATTGTAGGCCATTAGAGCTACTGAAAGCATTTGATCAGGGGAGTTGGGATGCTAGGGTTGTTTTGCCAGGGTTGGGACAAGCATATTGGGAGAGTGGAGACAGTAGAGTGGGCAATGTACTACTTGAACTTAGGAGCATTCAGCAGATGACTAGCCCATTGTGGGGGATCACAGGAGAGGCTGGAGAGAGATTTGGAGTCAACTAAGTAGGGGCTAAAAGCAATAGTTAAATTCAAAGATCAGATGAGATTATTGAGGGAAAGAATGTAAATAATGAAAGAACGAGGAATGACAGATCCTTGGAATCTCTATTAGAACAGTACTGGAGGAGTTTGAGAAGTTATATATAGAGAGTATAACAATTAGGAAGGAGGAACATAGACTGCAGTGTTGTAGAAAAGGAAGAGTAGAAGAGGAAGGAGCAAAGAACTAACACACATTGAGTATCAACTCTATATCCAGATCCAGATGTATGCAATGTTATTTAATCTTTCCATGCATCCTATTAGAGATATATTCTTACCCTAATTTTACAAAGGAAGAAATTGATGTTCAGAGGGGTTAGGTTACATGTCCAAAGCCACCAAATAGCAAGTAGCTGAACTGTGATTTATGCTCAAGTTTATTTGATTCCAAAGCCTATGCTTTTGCACTGTTAAATGCTGCCAACAGGTTGAAGCATCTAAGAGAAGAGAAAGGGTTGTTTGACTGGTTTACCTCAGGAGAGTTGTGAGAGCAGAAGCCATATTTCACAATAATAAGAGATAAATGGGTGATGGATTCAATTTAGTTCACATACTGTTTATTGGGCATCTGATGTGTAATGAGGAAATTTTCCAGCTACTGGAAGTCCAAAAACCAATAGAGCTGAGTCCTTGCTCTCAAGGAGTATGAAATTTGGGAGGGACAAAACACACACATAGATCATTTCAATATAATATGGTGTCTGCTTTGAGAACACAGTTTGTCCTTTCAAGAAACAGAATAAAAATTTAATAAAAAGAGCAGAGTAAAGAGTTTTTACATTTTTAAGATAATGTGAACTTGAAGATGTTTGTAGATTGATTGGATGGTGCATTGGTGAAGGGGCCAGTGAAGATGTTAAAATAAGAGCAGATAAGAGGAGAATGGCAGACATATGGGATTGGGAGGGTGGGCAGTAGACTTGAGAAAAAAACAGAATAATCTGATAATATTCATGGATATATTTAATAGATGCCCATTACTATCTTTGCATATTCTATGGAAAAGTAACTGACCTGAGAACATTAACTTAATATTTTGTTTTGGATCAATATTGTTTGTTAGGCAGGCTACTCTGCCACCTTTGGCCACCCTTGGTGTTCCATTTATAGCGGGCATAAACTCTGAGCAGTCAAGTTCAAGGTCGAAAAAGTCCTTTTAATGTATTTGTGCTTAGGAAGCAAAAGTTGAAAACCACATCTGGGGCAGATAGAAGAGTCTAAAGATGATTATATGAGTTTCAAATTCTGGCCAATTTTTAAACATAAGGCAAACAAACAGATACACAAATTATATAGAAGTATCTATTTTGTTTAATCATTCTAATTTTAAAGGGTAAATAATTAAAGTACATTTCAATACTGTGATTAGAGGCCACAAAAACTTTGTCCAAAAAACAGTGCTTATTTCTCATCAGAAACATCTAAGAGGAAAAGAAAATGTTGTGTTCTTATATTAGAACAGCTTTGCTTAAATGATATGGTTGTCATCTCATTGTTTAATGGGAATAGAAAGTAACCAGAAATCTTGTGTTCATAGTGTTCCCTATAAGCTGTTTGCCTTTTTGAGTTGTAGTGTCTTTTCCCTATGTTCCTATGTATTTACAATTTTTCTTGCAGAATTCAGGATATGATCTATGATGATGTAGCCTCTCCCTGCCCCCACCCCTCATCTCTCTCTTTCTCTCTATATATTTTCATACATTATTATTTCTTATTAGCAACTGTAGTTCTGAAAATAAAATTTAATAATGTATTTTGCTAGAGCAATAAATGCCATTATGTGCTTAAAATGGAAAGATGGATGTGAAACTCAATGATACCCTAGTATTAATACAAAAAAGGCACCTAGAAAGAATGATCTGTGTCTGCTAATGTTTGACACAGCAGATATTAAATAAATCATTTCTGCTTCTCAAGAGTAAAAGTTTTTTAAATCATTTCAATTCTGGTAACAATGCAAAAATACTTGAACAGTTCTTTTTTTTAAACCATACAATAATAGTCATATGGTCTGTAATACCAATAATCACAAGTTTGTTAATTTACTAGAAACAATTATGACTTTCTTTAGAGCAATGTTAAGTGGAGTAAGCTCTGGACTTGATGAGCGTAATTTAGTTGTTCAACTCTCAGTAGCACTACTGGGACTCTGTGATGGAAGATTCCCTCATGGAATTGAGACGAAAAGCATCCATAAATCTGGTGTCAAGAGAAAAGTCTGCTATTGTGTAAGAGATATAACAGTATCTTTGTTACCTCAGGATTATGAAGATTATAATCTTTGATCATTCATGTTATTGTCTTTCTTTATCACCAGCAGTATCTTAACTATATCGATCAATGCTATATGGATTTGCTTCTGGATATATGGAAAAAAGAGACTAAGAGACCACCACTGATTTTCAAAAGCAACAATAATCTAACAGCAAATTTCAAAAATAGCAATAACATTTTATTTAGTTTTTGAAATGTATGTTTTATAATGCTTTCTATTTCAATTTCTAATAAGGTTAAAGCCCTAACCCAGCCCAAAATGACCTACAGCCCACAAGTTTTATCTCATGTTTTGAGAATCTCATAATGACTTTGGTCTTTTTTACTGAATCGTAAAACTGTGGTCCACTCACATTTTATCCTAGTATTATAATGCTATAATTCAACAGGATGCTATAGTATTCTATAATCTTATATCATATATAATAGTTTTCTTCCTTCCTTTTCAGTTTCAGGGTTGTTTATGTAATTGGGATTTTTTCTCTCATTTTCTTTTTTTCAGTTTTCTCCACAGTCTTATCAAATTACCTCTTTTTAAGTCTCTTTTTCTTTTTTTTTTAAAAAAAGCCATTTCTTTCACCCCTATTTATTCATATTATGTTCTTTAATGACATTTTATTTTATACTGATCTAGGAATACCGTAATCATGGGGCAGTTCTCAAAGGGATTCGAGAGAATACGCATAAAAATCACTTGTCTACTACTGTATTGGTTGCTGGTGCTAAAATTTTTACCCTCATTGTTTATAAGTATCTGTTCCTAGGTGAAGACAAATATCTCAAAATAAACTGTTTCTTTTCAGAGGTGATTAGAACTCTAACAAATGTTTCAGGACCATACTAAGAGGCTGTAACCATTGACTGTGGTGGACGTATCAGATTGAAGCCCTGGGGCATGGCCACATCATTATGACAATAGTTTAAGTTGTTAAGAAGCTCAAGGACCAACAAGTGAGAATGTAATTCTCTATCAAGATTGCCAGCTGTTTTTAAGTGTTTGGAGACCAAGATGAAGACCACAAGAATCAGTGGCAGATTGTCAAAGCAATGATGCAGAAGCCTACCATTACCATTATGAGCCACAAGAGGTACAATTGTGTTTTCTGCGATGATGAAATCCTCGTTGAGCTCATTGAAAGCCTGGGTATAATTAGTTTGTAAACATTTCTGGAATTCAAAACTTTTTTTTTTTTTTAAGGAAAAGAATGATCTGAATATATAGCAAATGAAATAGTGCCTATGTTTGTGAGAGGAAACTGGGAAAGAAAGTCATTTGCACAGTTATTTTACTGACTTAAACATTCTTAATTAGATTTGTGGATTTTATATGAGAATGTGTAAAGGGGCATACTGCTAAACTTTTGCTCTAAAAGCTTTTTTTGGAGCTCAATGTAGATATATGCTTTTCTACTGGGAAAATGTAACGAGAGAAACATCTATCAGAATTCTTGTATTTAAATCTACCTCCATTCAAGACAGTTTCAAAGATTATAACAATAATCTGGAACTTGAAATATATGCAAATCTAGGTTTGGAATAGTTATGCTAATTCTGGGAGGGAGATGATATCACTTTTATTCATCTTCCTTTTAGTGTCTTTTAGTGAATTAGTCCCCTTTTATTAAATAATAAAACTCTTACTTTCAACATGACAGATAGAATCCTGGCTTCAGGGTGATGGCTATTAAAATAACCCACGCCTAAACCCAGAATTACACATATTCCTTCCTACTTTATGCTTCGAAAATAGCCTTTCTGTATGCTAGTAGAGGACCCAATATATGGCCTCAACAGGTGTGTTATACATAAGGCAGTATTTAAGACTATAGATTTAGACAGAAATTGGATCAAATAATGAGACCTTAGAAAAAGTGTATGGTCATCTTCTTATGCAAAATATGAGTAATGTTATCTAATATCTAGGATTATTGAGAAAATTACACATGATAATACCCATACATTTATTGACACACTACCTGACATTTCATAAATATTCAACAAATAATAGCTATCACAGTTAGAATTGTCTTAAATTATCCTGGCCCCCCATGGTTCACACAAAGTCTTTTTTTTAACCACACATTTACCACTTGGTGAGGTCGAGGCAATTTGGTATACCTCTCTTTGAAGTGGTTGGTTAAATTTACCATGAATAGTTAAACATAGTAGGTTTAAAATGGCTATCATTGTGCAACATTAGATAGTGATCCATTTAGAATGTGTAATTATGTTTTTCATATGATATAATCCTTTTTTAGATTTTTTTAATAAGCTGTTTGCAGTCAGCGTTTACTGTATTTGGTAGTCAGTGTTTACCGTAGTTTGGAAAGCATATTGTACGTGGTAGAAAGACATACTGGTGTAAGAATAGGATTGAATATAAGTGATGAGTTGGATGTTTTCACTTGGGACATACAGGATCAGCTTGTACAAACTTCTTGTTTAGTAGGTGATATAACTGAGGTTCAGGGGAGTAAAATGATTTGCTAAAATAGCTAGAGCCATAACTGGAACCCAAGGCTCTTGACTTCTGGTACTGTGGTACACTGCTTCTCTTTACAATTCTTACTTATTTGAAGAATGCTTAGCACATCTATTTAAATATGCCCCATATAAGATTTTTCTTATATCAAATACTATTTTCAAATAGTGTATGCACTCTAGTCTTATTTGAGGCCCTTTAGAAAATGTTCACAGGTATTAGAAACAAGTTTTAGACTCTATAAATTCATATCCAGATGAGGTTTAATGCTTAGTAATGAATAATAATGAAGAGTCTTTCCCACAGCCTTGATGCTGCTATCTCAATTTTTCATGACTTATTTGTCTCGTTTCAGCTTACCTTTTAAATAATTCTTGGTTACTCATTACTTAGGGCATGGTAAATGTCTTGAGGGTACCATTCAAGTATGGTTCCAGCAGTATAGCTACAGGTGGTCCAAAACCCCAGCCCACTATGAAAATACCATTACATTATCGCCCAGGCTCTATCTCCCTAGCATAAATAGTGAACTTCAGTTTCTGTTACTGGATGTGTAGTGCCTAAAATGAATTAAGACACCTTTCTTATTCCTAGAGTTGAAAAGTGATGGAAAAAAACATTAAGTTGTCAGATGCTGAAAACAAGAGGTCTATACTTAGGCTGAATACACATTTCTGGAATTTTGCTAGAAGTTATGCAATCAATTTTGGCTTCAGTTATATTCTTTCATGGTGATGTGATATCAAAAAGATTGGGTTGATTAAGTGAAAAATATAAATCAGTATACCTATTTACCCAGGGAATATAACTGTGAGTAGCATGCTGCATGGTTATGTAATACAAAATGTTGAAACCACACAGATGATTTAAGTTGGATTAATATCTTGAAACTACATTTTTTGGTCACATATTGGGAACATGAATTATTTTGCGCATCTTAGTGATCTGCAAGATTATCAGCAACTATGACAGTAAAATGGGAACATTTCTTTGTTAAGATTGTAGAAAATGAGTTAAATTATTTTAGTTCTATTGATGTCAATAACTTTTGAGTCTTTATGTATATTGTCAAGTAGGTTTGCATTACTTCATATTAGCTGAGATTTTGGAATGTTTTCAGTGCTGCACAGGTTTCACATGGCACATTGCATTCAACGAAAATGTGTCTCTCCATTTCAGGACCAAGAAGTCGACATAAAAGCTCCATTATTCATAGAAAAAACTGTTGTAAGCAGTCTCACAGTGGCTTAGGTATTATTCATGATACTGAGTTTTATTATTTGAGGCCCTTCAAGTCCTTACTTCTTCCAGGAAAAGGCACTGTCATATATTGTCATCAACACTTCAAATATAGGCATACTTTTTAGAGCTATTGCTTGTTTGGTTCCAGACCACTGCAATAAAGCAAATTTCACAATAAAGCCAGTCATGAATGTTTTGGTTTCTCAATGCATATAAAAGTTGTGTTTACACTATACTGTGGTCTATTAAGTGTGCAACAGCATTGTGTCTAAAAACAATGTACATACCTTAATTAAAAGATACTTTATTGCCAGAAAAACTGCTAATAATCATCCAAGCCTTCAGTGAGTAATAATCTTTTTTTTGCTGGTGGAGGGTCTTGCCTTGATATAGATGGCTGCTGACTGATCAGGGTAGTGGTTGCTGAAGGTTAGGATGGCTGTGGCAGCTTCTTAAAATAAGACAATGAAGTTTGCACATCAGTTGACTCTTCCTTTCACCAAAGATGTCTCTGTAGTACATGATGCAGCTTGCCAGTATTTTACTCACAGTAGAACTTCTTTCAAAACTGTAGTCAATCCTTTCAAACCCTGCTCTGCTTTATCAACTAAGTGTATGAAATATTCTAAATCCTTTATTGTCATTTTAACAGTGTGCACAGCATCTTCACTTGGAATAGATTCCATCTCAAGAAACCACTTTCTTTGCTCATCAATAAGAAGTAACCCCTAATCTGTTCAAGTTTGATTATGAGATTACAGCAATTCAGTCACATCTTCAGGCTCCACTTCTAATTCTATTTCTCCTACTGTTTCTACCACATATGCAATTACTTCCCCCACTGAGGACTTGAACCCCCCAAGTCATTCACGAGTATTGGAATCAACTTCTTCCAAGCTCCTGTTAATGTTGACATCTTGACCTACTACCACAAATTACAAATGTCCTTAATGGCATCTAGAATGGTGAATTCTTTCGAGAAGATTTTCAATTGAGTTTGCTCAGATCCATCAGAGGAATCACTATTTATGGTAGCTATAGCCTTATAAAATATATTTCTTAAATAATAAGACTTGAGGATGTGGCTGATAAGATGGCTAAATAGGAACAGCTCGGGTCTGCAGCTCCCAGAGAGATCAGTGCAGAAGGTGGGTGATTTCTGCATTTCTAGCTGAGGTACCCAGCTCATCTTATTGGGACTGGTTAGACAGTGGGTGCAGCCCAGGGAGAGTGAGCTGAAGCAGGGTGGGATGTCGCCTCACCCTGGAATCACAAGGGGTCAGGGAACTCCCTCCCCTAGCCAAGGGAAGCCATGAGGGATGGTGCTGTGAGGAATGGTGCATTCTGGACCAGATAATATGTTTTTTTCCGCTGTCTTCACAACCTCCAGACCAGGAGATACCCTTGGGTGCCTACGGCACCAGGGCACTGGGTTTCAAGCATAAAACTGGGCGGCCATTTGGGCAAACACCAAGCTAGCTGCAGGAGTTTTTGTTCATACCCCAGTGGTGCCTGGAATGCCAGTGAGACAGAACTGTTTGCTCCCCTGGAAAGGGGGCCGAAGCCAGGGAGCCAAGTGGTCTAGCTCAGCAGATCCAATCCCCATGGAGCCCAGCAGGCTAAAATCCACTGGCTTGAAATTCTTGGTGCCAGCACAGCAGTCTGAAGTTGACCTGGGATGCTCAGGCTTGCTGGAGGGAGGGGCGTCCACCATTACTGAGGCTTGAGTAGGCAGTTTTCCCCTCACAGTGTAAACAAAGCTGCTGGGAAGTTTGAACTGGACAGAGCCCACCAAAATTCCGCAAAGCCACTGTACCCAGACTTCCTCTCTAGATTTCTCCTCTCTGGGCAGGGCATCTCTGAAAGAAAGGCAGCAGCCCCAATCCGGGGCTTATAGATAAAACTCCCATCTCCCTAGGACAGAGCACCTGGGGAAAGGGTCAGCATGTGGCGCAGCTTCAGCAGACTTAAACATTTCTGTATGCCAGCTCTGAACAGAGCCATGGATCTCCCAGCATGTGCTCGAGCACTGCTAAGGGACAGACTGCCTCCCCAAGTGGGTCCTGGACTCCCATGCCTCCTGACTGGGAGACACCTCCCAGCAAGGGTTGACAGACACCTCATACAGGAGAGCTCTGGTTGGAATCTGGCAAGTGCCCCTCTGGGATGAAGCTTCCAGAGGAAGGAATAGGCAGCAATCTTTGCTGTTCTGCAGCAACCACTGGTGATACCCAGGCAAACAGGGTCTGGAGTGGACCTCCAGCAAACTCCAGGAGATGTGCAGCAGAGGGGCCTGACTGTTAGAAGGAAAACTAACAAACAGGAATAGCATCAACATCAACAAAAAGGATGTCCGCACAACAACCCCATCTGAGGTCACCAACAACAAAGACCAAAGGTAGGTAAATCCACAAAGATGAGGAAAAACCAGCACAAAAAGGCTGAAAGTTACAAAAACCAGAATGCCTCTTCTCCAAAGGATCACAACTCCTTGCCAGCAAGGGAACAAAACTGGATGGAGAATGAGTTTGACGAATTGACAGAAGTAGGCTTCAGAAGGTGGGTAATAACAAACTCCTCTGGGCTAGAGGAACATGTCCTAACCACTGCAAGGAAGCTAAGAACCTTGAAAAAAGCTTAGAGGAATTGCTAACTAGAATAACCAGTTTAGAGAAGAACATAAATGACCTGATGGAGCCGAAAAACATAGCACAAGAACTTCGTGAAGCATACACAAGTATCAATAGCCGAATCGATCAAGTGGAAGAAAGGATATCAGAGGTTGAAGATCAACTTAATGAAATAAAGTGTGAAGACAAGATTAGAGAAAAAAGAATGAGAAGGAACAAACAGAGCCTCCAAGAAATATGGGATTGTGTGAAAAGACCAAATCTATGTTTGATTGGTGTACCTGAAAGTGATGGGGAGAATGGAACCAAGTTGGAAAACACTCTTCAGGATATTATCCAGGAGAACTTCCCCAACCTAGCATGACAGGCCAACATTCAAATTCAGGAAATACAGAGAACACCACAAAGATACTCCTCAAGAAGAGCAACCCCAAGACACATAACTGTCAGATTCACCAAGGTTGAAATGAAGGAAAAAATGTTAAGGGCAGAAAGAGAGAAAGGTCGAGTTACCCACAAAGGGAAGCCCGTCAGACTAACAGTGGATCTCTCTGCAGAAACCCTATAAGCCAGAAGAGAGTGGGGGCCAATATCCAACATTCTTAAAGAATTTTCAACCCAGAATTTCATATCCAGCCAAACTAAACTTCGTAAGTGAAGGAGAAATAAAATCCTTTACAGACAAGCAAATGCTGAGAGATTTTGTCACCACCAGTCCTGCCCTAAAAGAGCTCCTGAAGGAAGCACTAAACATGGAAAGAAACAACCAGTACCAGCCACTACAAAAACATACCAAATTGTATAGGCCATCGACACTATGAAGAAACTGCATCAACTAATGGACTAAATAACCAGCTAGCATCATAATGACAGGATCAAATTCACACATAACAATATTAACCTTAAATGTAAATGGGCTAAGTGGCCCAATTAAAAGACACAGATTGGAAAATTGGATAAAGAGTCAAGACCCATCAGTGTGCTGTATTCAGGAGACCCATCTTACATGCAAAGATACACATAGGCTCAAAATAAAGGGATGGAGGAATATTTACCAAGCAAATTGAAAGCAGAAAAGAAAAAGCAGGGGTTGCAATCGTAGTCTCGGATAAAACAGACTTTAAACCAACGAAGATCAAAAGAGACAAAGAAGGGCATTACATAATGGTAAAGGGATCAATGCAACAAGAGCTAACTATCCTAAATATATATGCAACCACTACAGGAGCACCCACATTCATAAAGCAAGTTCTTAGAGACCTACAAAGAGACTTAGACTCCCACACAATAGTAGTGGGAGACTTTAACACCCAACTGTCAATATTAGATCAACAAGACAGAAGGTTAACAAGGATATTCAGGACTTGAACTCAGCTCTTGACCAAGCAGACATCTACAGAACTCTCTACCCCAGATTAACAGAATATACATTTTTCTCAGCACCACATCGCACTTATTCTAAAATTGACCACATAATTGGAAGTAAAACAATACTCAGCAAATGCAAAATAATGTAAATCATAACAAATAGTCTCCCAGACCACAGTGCAATCAAATTAGAACTCAGGATTAAAAAACTCAATCAAAACCACACAACTACATGGAAACTGAACAACCTGTTCCTGAATGACTACTGGGTAAATAACAAAATTAAGGGAGAAATAAACAAGTTCTTTGATACCAGTGAGAACAAAGATACAATGTACCAGACACAGCTAAAGCCCTGTTTAAAGGGAAACCTATAGCACTAAATGCCCACAGGAGAAAGCAGGAAAGATGTAAAATTGACACCCTAACATCACAATTAAAAGAATTAGAGAAGCAAGAGCAAACAAATTCAAAAGCAAGCAGAAGGTAAGAAATAACTAAAATCAGAGCAGAACTGAATGAGATAGAGACACAAAAAAACCCTTAAAAAATCAGTGAATCCAGGAGCTGCTTTTTGAAAAGATTAACAAAATATATAGACCACTAGGCAGACTAATAAAGAAGAAAAGAGAGAAGAATCAAATAGACACAATGAAAAATGATAAAGGGAATATCACCACTGATCCCACAGAAATATAAACTACCATCAGAGACTACTATAAACACCTCTATGCAAATAAACTAGAAAATTCAGAAGAAATGTATAAATTCCTGGACACATACACCCACCTGAGACTAAACCAGGAAGAAGTTGAATCCCTGAATAGACCAATAACAAGTTCTGAAATTGAGGCAGTAATTAATAGTCTAACAACCAAAAAAAGCCCAGGACCAGATGGATTCACAGCCAAATTCTACCAGAGGTACAAAGAGGAGCTGGTACCATTCCTTCTGAAACTATTCAAACAATAGAAAAAGAGGGACTCCTCCCTAACTCATCTTATGAGCCCAGCATCATCCTGAAACCAAAAGCTGGCAGAGATACAACAAAAAAAGAAAATTTCAGGTCAATATCCCTGATGAACATCAGTGCAAAAATCCTCAATAAAATACTGGCAAACTGAATCCAGCAGCACATCAAAAAGTTTATCCACCACGATCAAGTCAGCTTCATCCCTGGGATGCAAGGCTGGTTCAACATATGCAAATCAATAAACATAATCTATCATATAAACAGAACCAATGACAAAAATCACATGATTATCTCAATAGATGCAGAAAAGACCTTCGATAAAATTCAACACCCCCTTCATACTAAAAACTCTCAATAGACTAGGTATTGATGGAACATATCTCAAAATAATTAGAGCCGTTTATGACAAACCCACAGCCAATATCATACTGAATGGGCAAAATCTGGAAGCATTCCCTTTGACAACTGGCATAAGACATGGATGCCCTATCTCACCCCTCCAATTCAACATAGTATTGGAAGTTCTGGCCAGGACAATCAGGCAAGAGAAAAAAATAAAGGGTATTCAAATAGGAAGAAAGGAAGTCAAATTGTCTCTCTTTGCAGATGACATGATTGTGTATTTAGAAAACCCCATCATCTCAGCCCCAAAACTCCTTAAGCTGATAAGCAACTTCAGCAAAGTCTCAGGATACAAAATCAATGTGCAAAAATTACAAGTACTCCTCTACACCAATAATAGACAAACAGAGAGCCAAATCATGAGTGAACTCCCATTCACAATTGCTACAAAGAGAATAAAATACCTAGGAATACAACTTACAAGGGATGTGAAGGACCTCTTCAAGGAGAACTACACACCACTTCTCAAGGAAATAAGAAAAGACACAAACAAATTGAAAAACATTCCATGCTCATGTATAGGAAGAATCAATATTGTGAAAATGGCCATATTGCCCAAGGTAATTTATAGATTCAATGCTATCCCCATCAAGCTACCATTGACTTTCTTCACAGAATTAGAAAAATCTACTTTAAATTTCATGTGGAACCAAAAAAAGCCTGTATAGCCAAGACAATCCTAAGCAAAAGAACAAAGCTGGAGGCATCATGCTACTTTACTTCAAACTACACTACAAGGCTACAGTAATCAAAACAGCATGGTACTGGTACCAAAACAGATATATAGACCAATGGAACAGGGCAGAGGCCTCAAAAATAATGCCACACATCTACAACCATCTGACCTTTCACAAACCTGACAAAAACTAGCAACGAGGAAAGGATTCCCTATTTAATAAATGGCATTGAGTAATTGGCTAGCCTTATGCAGAAAACTGAAACTGGACCCCTTCCTTACACCTTATACAAAAATTGACTCAAGATGGATTAAAGACTTAAACGTAAGACCTAAAACCATAAAATCCCTAGAAGAAAACCTAGGCAATACCATTCAGGACATAGGCATGGGCAAAGACTTCATGACTAAAACACCAAAAAGCAGTGGCAACAAAAGCCACAATTGACAAATGGGATCTAATTAAACTAAAGAGCTTCTGCACAGCAAAAGAAACTATCATCTGAGTGAACAGGCAACCTACAGAATGGGAGAAAGTTTTTGCAATCTATCCATCTGACAAAGGGCTAATATCCAGAATCTACAAGGAACTTAAACAAATTTACAAGAAAAAAACACCATCAAAAAGTGGGCAAAGGATATGAACAGACTCTTATCAAAAGAAGACATTTATGTGGCCAACAAACATATGAATAAAAGCTCATCATCACTGGTCATTAGAGAAATGCAAATCAAACTCACAATGAGATATCAATTTACACCAGTTACTAGAGAGGATGTGGGGACATAGGAACGCTTTTACATTGTTGGTAGGAGAGTCTAGCTATGAAAGTCCTAGATGACATCTTCTAATAGAAGACTATTTAATCTACATTGGAAATCTGTTGTTTAGGGTAACCACCTTCATCAGTAATCTTAGCTAGATCTTCTGGATAACTTCTCCATCAGCTCTTGCTGCTTCACCTTGCACTTTTATGTTATAGAGACTGCTTCTTTCCTTCAACCTCATGAACCAACCTCTGATAGGTACTGACTTTTCTTCTGCTGTTTCTTTGAGAGCCTCATAGAATTGAAGAGTGTTAGGGGCTTGCTTTAGCTTATGAGTATGTTGTGGCTGGTTTAATCTTCCCAGATCACTAAAACTTTCACCATGTCACCAATAAGGCTGTTTTGCTTTTTTTGTAATTCACCTGTTTATTGGAATAGCACTTTAGTTGCCTTTAAGAGCTTTACCTTTAAATACAGAACTTGGCTGTTTGGTGCAAGAAGCCAGTTTAGCCTCTCTCAGCTTTCGACATACCTTTCTCACTAAGCTTAAACATTTGTAGCTTTTGATTTAAAGTGAGAAATATGTGACTCTTCCTTTCACTTGAACACTTAGAGGCAATTGTAGAATTATTAATTGGCCTAATTTTAATAATGTTGTGTCTCGGGGAATAGGGAGGCCCAAGGAGAGGGAGAGAGGTGGGGGAATGGCTGTTTAGTAGACCAGTCAGAACATACACAAAATTTGTGGATTAAGTTTGCCGTCTTACATTGGTGTGGTTCATGGTCCCCACGACAATTAAAATAGTAACTTTAGAGATCACTGATACCAGATCACCATACCAGATATCATAATGAAAAATTTGAAATATTGTGAGAACTGCCAAAATATGACACAGAGACAAGAGCTCATGCTATTGAAAAAAATGGCTCTGATAGACTTGGCTTGATGCAGGGTTGCACAAAACCTTCAATTTGTAAGAGACATGGTTATCTGTGAAGCTCAATAAAGCACAATACAATAAAACAAGGTATGCCTGTATGAATTCCTTTAATATAATCCTCATAATAATCTAACAAGGTAGACATTATGCCCATTTGATAGAACTAGGAAATTGAGGCATAACAAGGTTAAGCAAATTGCACAAAATCACTTGCTTTGTAAACGGCATGATCAGGAACCAAACTAGGCCAGCCTGATGCCAAAACTTGTTCTTAATGCACTAAATTGATTGGTTTCAAGACTTAACTCCTGCTGCATTTAAAAGTCTTCCTATCTCATTGGTTCCCTTTATTCTCACTTCTAATGGGCATTTTGGGCAAACTTTCACGATTTAGCTTCCTTGAAATAGCAGGTAGATTTCTTACCTTTGAGCCTCGCTCTGACCCCTTCCCGGTAGAAGACTCATGAACCATAGGTTGAAGGTGCCTTCTACTTGCAGGGTATTTTGGTTTAGCTGGATGGGGGAGGGATGTTGATCCCTTTTTTGATTGATTTACATTTGGTGGCTCAGCATGATAAAGTAGAAAGAGTATTGATGGAGTAAGATTCAGTAGATCCAAATCCCAGATCCAGTGCTTGCAGCAGCATCACTTCAGGAAAACTTGAAGAGTTTTTCTGAGTCTTCCTATCACAGATTATAGGATTTCTATAAATATTTAGTTGGAATATATAACAAAATAATTAGGAAAGTTAGTTTTCTTTCTACTTAATTGGCTTAAAGCAATTCTGTAATTTTATTCTTATCAGTTTAAAAATATCTCCTCCGCTATTTAACATTTGATATTATATTACTTCTAGCACTAAATGCATAATCAATGTTGTGGTGTGTTTGAACCAGGGAATTTATCAGTTTCTGAGGATGTTAGAAATTTAAGTGCCTAATGTAAGAACCATGCCCAGTTTGGCAGAGAAATTTTCAGTTCAGAGACAATTCAAGTACCCTCCCACATTTCCCACTCCTCTAGAAGTTAGGCAATCCCGTCTAACTACTTCTGGCCAGTGGGCTGAGATGGGAAGTAATGTGAGTCTCTTCCAGGCAAAATGCATTTATGAGCTGGTGTGTGGTGCTTCAGCTCTCTTTTTCCCTAATGCAGCAACCTTGAAGTTGAATATTCCTGTTGACATAGTTAGAAGATATAAGTAGTCTGAATCCCTGTGACATCACTTGGAAGCCAGCAAACCCACAGAGGACTTTGCATGAGCAATCACTAAATCTTTATGAATTATACTGTGATTTGGGGGATTTGTTTGTTATTGTATTATAGCCTAATCTAACTTGACTAATATACATAGCCTTTGGAGGTGTGTGGTTTTTGCTTGGTAAGGATATAGGTAACTAAAAAATACTAAGAAGAGTTGCAGCAGACACCCAAATCTAAGTAGACTCCTAATCAAAAGGTCATTGTTACCAATAACTAGTTCTGTGGTTCTATAGATAGAGAAAAATTTTTTTCGTAACATTTTCAAAGCAAACATTTTGTCACACACAATTTTCTTGGCGAATTAGACGTTTATTCAGACCAGCCTATGCACAATATAAAACCCTTCAATATGAATGACAACAAAAACAAAAAAGTAATCATGACATACCAGGTTAAATTAATGCTATCTTAGCTAAGATTTACCTCTCTTGTATCAAAAATAAATATTTTGAAGCAAGAGTGGAAACTCCAGAGTAGAACTGTTCACTATATGACAATTGTCTATAAAGATAATTCAATTTATTAAAAAACTATAGAAGTTTCACAATTCACTTATTTTACTTAATATAATGACAAAATCAGATCATTGACCCTGCAATCCAATCAGCATCACAGTATCTTAGTAAATGTTCTGTAATTGGTTGGATAACTTGCATGGCTATTATGACAAATAGGCCAGTTACAAGACTGGAATGCCTTTACCTCCACAGACTTCATTTACTGATCTGCTGAAAATATTTGTATTTGGCACATTGGAGACACAGAAGTGAACTGAAGTTTTGATTTCATGATCTGTATGACTTGATTTAGCATTTTGGTTAATGAGCAATTGATATTTAAAATATATATGAGATCCTTATTGATTATGTTAAATTGATAAAGTTTTTGTTTTAACTGGAAAGGCAAAAAAATGATATTTCAAAAATGATTCTTTAATCATGCATTGCTATGCCTGGAGCTGTAGTTTTTTTTTTGTTAGTGATTGCATGATAAATGAGTGGATCATGGCAAGACTGGCCAGAATGCCTGTTTGGCTGGAAATCAGGAGTTCTGTGGTTGACTCAAGGTTTTATTACAAATGCATTGGTTACCTGAGTGACCCTGGGCTGGTCACAGAACTATTTAGGGCTTTACTTTTCTTACCTGTAGAGTGAAGATACCAATACCTTTCAGTGGTTAAAGCATTGGTATAAGAATCAGATGAGCTAAAAAGCATGTGAAAATGGCTTAATGACACACAATGTTATATATATTTATTTAAACTTATGGATAGATATGTGAACAAATAATGTTTTATTTGGCCAAGCCTATTCTCTTGGTTCTTTGTCTTCCAACTTGAAACACTAAGTCTGTCCCCAGTCTCCTGTGGAGACATTTCCTGACCTTTCACCCTATGCCTAAATCTTGGCCAAATGCTCCTTATCTATGTTCCAGAGAACCTCTGCATAACTGCATTATAGTGCTTACCAAATTACATTGATAGAATTTGTCTCTGCCTGTCTCCTCCATTAGACAGTGAGCTTCTTGAGAGCAGTGGCAATATAGTTTTTATTTTTGTATCTGCCATTTCCAGCATAATGCTTGGCACATTGTAGATGCTCCTAAATGTTTACCAGACTGATCATAAAGCTTGGAGACACTATGGTGACTACTGTATTTTAAAACAAATATCCCCATTTAAAAATATTCCACTTGGCTGGGTTGACAATATACAATAAATATGACTTTGCAATTTCTAATCGCAAACCTTTTAATTTCTTAATTAGCTGCCTATAATTTGTTACATCCAATAGAAAGCAATAAGAGAGTAATTATTTTTTCTGCTTCTAATATTACTAGGAATATTTTTGCAAAACACAAAAATTTTTTGCAACTTTTTCCCTTTAAAGTTCTACTGAGCAGTTTACGGAATGGCACCCTGCCAAATGGTGATCCATTTTCTCAAAACATCGTTTGAGACCACGTTAACCATGCACACTAAGCTTATCTACTGCATCATAGTACAGTCACATACTTCATGCAAAATTATGTTTGACATTAAGTTATAAACCCTTAACGTAATAATAAAAAAATAAATAACCCTAAAAGCAAATTAAAAATATGTTTTCACTGGAGCAGGTTATTAGCGCACTGGAAACTTGATCTGTAGTAGTCAATCCATGGGCATGCTTCCATTTCTGGAGGGGTTTGAAATTTCTCTCTGTGCAGAGAAAAATCCCTAATTCATGAGAGGAAAATTAGCTAATAAAATAATTTTTTCCTCCTGAACTGCTCTGTTGATGAAAACATGTCCACTGCAATCATAGAAATGAGTGACTTTTCAAATAAAGTAGTTGGTGTTGCCATAAACAGAAGGATGGTAAGCCATTGCTTTTCTTTGCCAAGGGAAAGAGTAGCCAGCTGTGTCTAGCTTTTTTTTTCTACTGCAATATTTATATAAATAGGCATTTTTTTGGGACTGGAGTAGTCCAAATGAGAGGCCATCTAAGAGAGTCTGAGTTTCCTCTGAGTTTGTGCATTCTGAAGCCTCAGTCCTTAGTAAAAAATTTTCTAAAAATCCAGGAAAACAAAAAAGAAAACCCTTAAAATGATGAAAAAAAAAACAACTTCTACTTGATTACACCTGGTATTTCAACCATTGTGACTATTACCATGTCCCAAGTAGTTTTCTCATTTGTTGACACACCTGCAAATTATAGAGTTAGATTGTGATGGTGTTTAGTGAGTCCTAGGTTCTGATATGCAAATCCAGAAATTTATATTCTGGTTAAAGCACATTAATTCATTGCAGTCCTGGCTGCCCTTAAGCTGAGATTAAATTATTGCATAGGTATCTCCCATGATGAACCACAGTAACAACCATGCAATAATGACAAAATTTACGTCCAACTTATTTATTTACATGATTTTTCATTTGTTTTCATATGAGCAAAATGTTTGTCCTAGCTTACTTGTAGTAAAAATTAGTATTACTGTTCTCATAGTTAAAATATATTTTAATATCTATATAAATGTTGTATTCTTTTATAATGGGTATATTTAATGTAATGATAAGTAAAGTCCACGAATCAGACAGACTGGGTCTGTGAGGCAGATACAAGAGTACATTTTACCCAAGATAACATTTCAAAATGATTGCCAGGTAACCTGCAAAATTGTAATGTGTTGTGCTGCCAAATTCATTTTAGCATTGGGAATTAATTTTCTAACGTGTTTTTGGAAGAGGTGAATTAATTATTGCAGGCAATGTGATATCTTTGGAAGTTTGAAGTTAGACAGTGATTCAGATGAACATGGAATCAGTAATATAATTGGACTCAGTTCCTTTATCTTTCAAGGGCTCTTTTACATGACAACACAATATACACACTGCTCCAAGGGATACCTTTGGCACTTCTACAATTCCAATTTCTTTCCACACTCTCATTCATTGTTGATTCTTGGAACCTATGCAGGATAGAGGGGGATGGAGCACAGCTCTGTGTCCGTCTGCCTTCTTCAAGCAAGCTTCAAAGTCTCTTGTTTGTTCAAAGAACATTTGGAAAAGTTTTTCCAGAGAGAGCAATTGCTCTTCTTAGCTGGGAATGAAAAGCTTTGCTAGGCATTTCAGTGGGATTCCTGGCCCAAAAGGGGTCTGAAGGTGAACGGTACTCACCGGCGTGCTGGGATTGATCACGCACAGTCTCGTGGAGGAGTTGCACATTTAGGCTTGCCATGTGCCACGACATTCAACCAGGAGCTTGAGGCAGAATCAGGGGGTTTAAATCTGCTCTCACAGATGAGTTTAGAATGCTGTCAAGTAATACATGTTTGCTCTTGATATCAGAGATCCAAAAGACTATTTCAGCGGTGGAAAGAAGTCTCAGGCCCCTAGAAAAGAATAAAATGACATTAGCTTGTAAGGCAGTGTTAATCTGTCTCTGCTGGCAGTTACATTTCCTCAGTGTTTCCCTCCTTGCCTCAGTTTTTTCGTGTTTTTTTCCCACTAACAAATTATTTTCAGAGCAGAACTAGATCAGTAAACATATCGTATTAAAGTTTATCTGGTAATAATTGCTAAGAGGTTCACATTCTGTCATAAGTTTCTTTTTGTTTCCTCCTCTTTTCATATTAATGGGTGTAAAAGGAACTTCAGCTGGTAAGGCAGTGATCACAAAAAAAAAAGTAGTAGCTTAAATAGTGCAGATGGTTTTTTTGTGGGGGTCAACAGGCTTCCTCAGCTGCAAGTCCACGCTGTCAAAGGCTCATTGGTTATGAGTTAGCTGCGCTTATATTTTGGCCTTGGAGTTCCAGATTGAACATCTCTCCTCTGGCTGAGTTTTATTACCATGTAATAAAATAAAATCCAAGGTACTTAAACTCTTTTTAATGAGGACTACCAAAATATTTTTAAAGTTATCCTGTGGCTCTCCCTTTGTCCTGTCCATATTTTAATGAGACATGGAGAAAAAAAGAAAGAACGTTTCGACAAAGTCTATGTAACATTAATATAATGATGGGGGCATAAAAATTCCAGTAGACAGTCATTTTGTTTGTTTGAATGTGAAAGAAAATGACCAGGATTTTCTTTTTTCCTGCTGAATTGATTAGATTAACTAGGAAACACCTAGGCAAACAGCCTCAGAATTAAGGCAGTTACAGCTGGTTTCAAAAAGAAAACAAGATGACTTGCGTGCCACTTCTCTAGTTGCCCTTTTCTTTTCATTTACCTTAACTGTTTGTTTATTTTAATCTTGAATGTGGACCCCAACATTCTGTTAAAACAATAAGCAAACAACAAACCCAAATTGGCGCTTCTATTATAGTATTTTTTTTAAAGATTGTTTTTTTCAAACTGAGGAACTGACATTTTAAAGTGTAAGACTAAATTTATCTAGAACACAAGGTTCGAATGTGTTTTGCTGATATACTGACAAAACTATTGAATATATGTACAGAGAACCATAATGCTCATTTAAAAAGGACTGTAAGCAGCAAGTTTCTTTTTTGTTTATATCACTTTGACTATTTGACTACGTGGTTAATATTCTGTTGTAGTCTTCCTTTCTGCTATGAAAATAAAATAGACAACTAGAGCAATACCATGGCTAAATCACGGTAAAATTACTGCAACTGAATTGTTGAAGTGAATTTTTTTTTAATGACTTACTCTTGACTTTTTCAATGAGAAGCAATATGGTCTTCTCTTCAGGCATTCTGCATGTAGTTATTTGAAGTTGCACTAATTCTGTATCAGATAAAGAAAATTACACATATCTTCCCTAACCAACACACACAGCAGAGCACACTGGCTATGTCTCTTGCTAGCATATGGTGTTCATCATTAGCAGTAGCGGCAGCAGCCACCTCTTTTAGTTCACTGGTGGAAAATAGAGCTCCAACTCAAATCTCTGTCTGCTCGCCATAGCTCTTTCCAGTTAAATTGGTACCACAATCTGTATGGTTTCACCACTCCATTGGCAGTTTAATATAAACATCTGTTTCCAGTCTTTTATATCCTATCTGAGACTTATTCAGTCCCTCTGAGTTATCTGTCCTTTTCTCCTTCCCCATTTATTTCCCTTGACTTAGAAATGATATTATATTTTCCAATATTTCCTTGATCTTTTGCTCAGATGTGTGAATCATTAAATGTATTTAATTATCTTTTTTCTTTTCTTCTAAGCCTGTACTGTTTGTTTATAATCTCTTCTAGCCTTATGCATTATTAAGCTCTTTACCCTCACAGTTCAACTTTCCTTGAAAAAAGTAATGCGACTCCAGGTTTCTACGATGGAGGTCATTATTTCATTGTGATTGGCATCAAGATCAAACTGTGAAGAATCTGATTCAAGTTAATTGATTTTGTCTACTCTCCATCCATATTTTGCATTTACCACTGTAAAATGCAAAGATCTGAAGATTCTGGTGCTCAGGATTCATATTATTCTACTTTCTCTTTCATTAAATTTGTAATGTTGGAAAGTAAGGGTATTTCCTGAGAGGTAATAATCTCTGGTAGAAGCAGAGACCCTGAATCAAAGACAGTGGAGTCTTTTAATTCAACTGTTGGTTAAATGTCAGGAAATGTCCGGCCCAGAGGTCATTATTATTAAGTCAAATAGAACACTTTTATTTTCCTATCTCCTTTTTATTTTGGAAGCTGTTCATAAAGATTGATGCTGTGTAAGTCGCTAACTACAGGGAAATGGTGGAATTCTGTAAACAATTGGCAAGCAGAACTTTGTTCTTATTGTCCCATTAAGCTTAATATGAGGTGTTAAATTTAATGAAATGTGGTGAGTGAAGTGTTATTTTCCTATTGGTTACTGTAACAGTCATTAACAAGTAGGACACGACTAGTACTGAAAATAGAATACTGTATCCATGACAACATAGAGTTCAGCTTTTCCGTTTTCAGCAAATAGGGCAGCAATTACTTAATATTTCCTTGATTTATTAATTTCCTTATAAGTGGGAGTAACAAGAAGACTCTTGAACTGGGGATTTAATAATCCAAATTAGCCAAAGTTTTTTTGCTACATCATGTATGTAATTAGTCAATCATTTACATGTTCCCATGAACATTTGTTGAGATTCTAATGTATGGTAGACACTAAACATACAGAAATAAGTGAGACGTAGTTCCTGCCTACAAGTTGTTCATGGTCTAATTTATGCTGTGGTTTGCAAAGTGGTATCACCAGACAAGCAGCATGGGCATCACTGGGAGCTTGAGAGAAGTGCAGGTTTTCTGAGCCCATTCTGGACCTGCTCCATCAGACACATCGGGGTGAGGCCCACTGACCTGTGTTTGAGAACCACCAGTTGAGTGGAGAAATTAAACTCTTTTCAACTAATATCTTGCTTAATGTTCAAAATGAATATAAAAGAAGATACTTTCATTTAAGAGAGTTGTAATTCTTTCAGAGGTTCCACAGATATTTATTCTTTAGGTTTTTGGGCAAGAAACATAGGCCATGGACTAACTACACATGATTTACTAAAGCTTAAGGAAATAAAAATATTCCTAATGGAACCCTTACAAATTCCATGAGTCTTTGTTTTATCTCCTTAGTGAACGCATTGTCTCATGAATAGTAAAGAACCATCCTTAAAATAGAATTGCATAAGATACTTGAAGGAAGGACCACTGTTCTATTTATTTTACAGTCCTCGGTCTACCACAATGCTAGACAGATAAATGTTCCATAAATGCCCAGCCCACATATGGATTTAAACCCTGAAAAAGATTATTTAACCTCTCCACTTATATTTTTTCTTTTACAAAATGAGAGTGGAATTAAACATTGGGAGATAGGATGCTATCTCATGTCTCTTCCAATCTGAATATTTTATTATTCTATCTTTGGAAGTCTGTGTTTATTAATAAAGAGCTCTCTCTCTCTCTCACACACACGTGTATATAACTGATTTTACCTCATGTATTTATCCCCCCTATTGCTTATTAAATCTTGATTCTTAGTACAATTATATCTTGGTTTTTCAGTACACTCATGGCCTTGAATCTTCATCCACTCAGAGCTCCATGTGTATTCTTCCAAGCCATTGCTCTATACCCGGAACCGCCTTTTCTTGAACACACCACAGGATACCTCACCCATCTGTTCTGTGAAGCATTCCAATGACAATAACCACCTACCATTTTGTGCTATTATACAGTTATCTCCTTCCCCTTCATCCTGTTGGTATTGTGTATATTACTTAAGATGAGCACTCTAGTTCTTTATTTGCTTGTAAATTATAAGTGGTGGTGTGGTTTATAAACTCATGAAAATTATATTTCACTTGGGATGAAACTGGTAGAACCATTTATAATAACATCATGTTGTTATGTGGTATATATATTATATATAGGTATATATATACACCAATATGAAGAGTGAATTACATTGTAGGTAGGGTAATAGATTAGCTCAATTGTTTAGTATAACGTCAAGCTATTTGTGGTTCAGGTGTGAGCCCCATAGGACTAGTTACCTTACTATTTGCTATAGTTGAAAACTATAGCTCTACAATAAGCGGCTGTTTTAAGATGAAGATGGTGTTACACGTAGTATGGCAGAGACAGAGTGATATACTCTAAGGAACATTGTTCAGCTAATCAGACCTGGGTTCAAATTCCATCACCACTGTTTACTTGCTGTGTGCTTCCAAACAAACCCTGTAAATCTGTTTTCTAAAATAAAAAGTTATGAACACATAATCTCATGTTTTGGGATTGCTATGAAGGTTAAATAAAGTAAGGAATATTCGGGACAATCTATCACAGGGCCTGACACAAACTAGTTCAACATATGTCTTTGTCTGTAATCTAAATCTCTACCAAGAAATTTAAAAACTCGAATTGCTCCATGTGAATTTTACCCCAAGCTCTTGGTTTCAACATGCTGAAAAATTAACTCATTTTCCTCCCAAACCTCTTTCTCCTGTATTCTGTCATTGGATGAATGGCATTTCTACTCACACATTACATATCCAACCAAGCATTAATACCAAATGGTTTTTGCCTCTCATATTCATCCCTACAGTTAATTCCTTAATGAAGACTCAAAACACCTGCTTGGATCACAGTATAGTCTCTAAATCAGCCTCCCAGTTCTCACTCTAGGATGATGCAATTCATATTTCTTACACTGCTACCAGGGGTTGTTTTAAAATAAGAATCTTGATTGTATTATTCTCCTGTTTTAAACCATTCAGTGGTTATAACATTTTTAGATAAAAATGCGAACTTTCTGGCATGATATTATACACAATGCTCTCTTTAGTTTCAAAGATAACTATCCTTTCTCATACACTCTGACCTCTCTTGTTACTACCAAATATTTTACTATAGTTACCCTGAATAAATTACGTTTTGTCTTAATTTGGATTCTACTGAAAGCAGAGCCTGAGGCAAGGACTTGGTGGCAGGGAGTACATTTGGGTGGGTATATAAGGAAGTAGGACCAGAGATACAGGGTGTGTTTTTGTTAGCATGTGTTTTTGAAGTCCCTATAATGGGCAATAAGCCGTCATTCCTTGAAACATCTGAGAAACCTATAATACTCCCAGAATTGTCAGAAGGACAGAGGGCTGAGTCATTGATCCACCATTTCCTGTGCCTCACTGGTTGGTTGAAGAATGCCTTTGGCTGCATTTGTGCAGGAGCTAAATGGGCTTCCTGAGAAGTCCTTGAAATGGGAAATGCTTGAAGGGGATGCTAGCTCTGAGTTTGCACAGTACTGTGCAGCTATAGCAGAAATCACAGATGAGCCAAGGAACATGACACTGGGGGTCAGAGAGGGGGCTCCATTGTGCTCTGCCGCTGTGCTTTTGCATGAATAATTCTCATGTACCTAAAAAGTCTTCATTGCTGCTTCTTTTTCAAGTTTATATCGTTTACTCATACTTATCCTTCTCCTGGGATTTTTTTCCCCTGATCACAAGTATTATCTGAAAGTAATTCTTCTCTACATCCACATTATTTAGGATGCAGTGCTGCACCATCCACATATCACAATAAATGGCACTTGTTGTCTTACTTTTGTCCCTAGAATAAAAAGCACATTGAGTATGGGAAATGCTTGTCTTTCCTCTGGTTCATAGGACAATCAATGCCTGGATATTCTAGGACTCGAATCAGTGTTTGTTGGATAAATGAGGGCATACATGAATAGGAGAAAAATCTCCCAGTAATCATTTTAAAATGACATTTTTTATCATGTCATCTCTCTCATCAAAATTATCACTGACTCTACCCTCTCTACATGTAATGGCTAAATTATTTAACTTGGCTTCTCATGTCTATGATATAATCCCAAACTGCTTTTCTAACCTGACTGACCATTTCTCTCATTTTTTAATCTTTCACTCCAGCCATGCCACTCATTGTCCTTTACGTAGTCTCCTAAGTCTCCATCCTCATGTCTTGGCCACACTCTTCTGTATTTTAAAAAAATGTATATCTGATTCTTACACATATTTTGAGGTGTAGTTGTTAAATCATCTTTTCCTAAAAGGAAAAAAAAAAAACATTTCTCTGACAATTAGCCTGTAGTGGTCATTTTCTCTTCTTTGAATTCCTGCATATTTTATTGTTTCAATGGGTATGAATGGCAGTGCCATGTGTATGGTGTATGTTTTCTGCATGCATTACCTCTCTTCAGTTAGACTCTTATGTTCTTTGAGATCAGGTTCTCTGTCTTGTACATACTTTCGGATGAGGTTGTAATTCTTAGTGTCTAATCTAGTGCCCAGATGGATTCTGGCATACATTGCAAGCTCAGTGTTTTTTCTTTATGGACAAACTGTTTAGATGTTTACTTTCATATCAGTGATTTCAACACCACCTGTGATTCTGGATACCAGAGTAGAACTGCATGTTATAAAGAACAACAGCATTGACCTGACTGATTGGGGCAAAGCAGATAAACATTTGCTTAAAACTTGAGCAAGGGGAGAGGAAGAATTGTTTAGAAGTGGAAGTGTTAAAAAAAAAAAAAAGGAAATTATAGAGAGGGATTATCGATTATCTAACAAAGCAATTCAAGAATATCTACTAGAACAATGGAAATTTGCCAAATATAAAAATAACCAGAGAATGTAAGTTCACTTTTGAAACAATTAAAACCACACTGATATTCCTAATCTGATCTTTATTTTTTATAAACATTTGTTTGACTTTATAATGTTTTAGTGAGGGAAAGTGAGGTATGGTTGAATGATCTTAAATATACCTAGCTATTAATTATGACTATTTCATTTTATAAATTACTAATATTTAAAAGATGTGGCTGTTCTTTTCCATTTATTTGTCGAAAGTCTTGAGCTTCAAGAGATATGGCCTTTTAATTTGGGAAGAATTTAAAAAATTGGAAAGAGGGACTTTTTTATTTTTGTTTTTTGTAGAGGAGAACTGGGAGGCTGAGGATTGGAGATGGGATGCAGATTTTCACTGTAGTACCTTTTCTAAAAAACATTAAAAACCCACTACTATGTATTATTTAATAAAAAATACAAAATATTGAAAAATATCTTCCTTGATTTTAATTCTTTCAATAAATGAAGCATGAATATGGAGCATGACAATATTGGCACGTTAACTTTTTGCTCTGTGTGAGTATCATTTAATATTGGACCAATTACAAAATACGGAAATTATACACGTTTAAATAGACATTGGTTAAATCAATCAATGAAGCTGAACTAAGAGACTACATTGAATGATAGGAAAATCATTTGTTAACATTTAATGAATTGAACAGATAGACCTTTGTTTAAGTGATATTTATAAGCTTTGATTATAATAGAATTCAGACTTCCCAGCACAATATTGTTTTCAGGTTAATTCTGTGGGTTTACTTTTTAAAAATGTGATTAATTTAAGCAGGAGGTTTGCTTATTGTGTGATAGAAAAAGAAAAAAGAAAGGATTAAGAACAGTCTCTCCCTCCCCCCACTTGGCTACCTTCCTTCTAATTCTTCCAACATTAATACAATGTTGCTGACGATGTTATGTTGTTACTAGGTTGTGTCAAATCAAGAGAATAATTGGACATTAAGATTCATCTCTGAATACATTAATTAGATGATTTCTTTATTTCTGTCTTAAGTTACTAATGATTTCCTCTCCATAACTGGGGAAACTCTGTAAGAACTCATTATCCTTTTGGGATTCTATAGCTACTTTAAGATGATTTTTGGTAACAGTAGACTGTATATTAAGTTCCCAAAATTAAAATTTCAAATAGCAAGGGTACTATTTAGATCTAAAATGTGTGCCCTTCAGGGAGTTATTTCTTTTCAGATGAAATATGTTCTATGACAATGGTACCTATGGAGAGACATGAGGACCCCATGAATACTAATATGTTCATCAAGATGATTGTTGATAAGGCACATTTTCTCTAAATGCTGAGATTCTGCAAATATCTCCTCTACAAGTGGAAAACATGGCCATAATTCTCAGCTCAGAGATGATGTGCCTTACTGCACTAGCAACTCATTGCGAGTAGGTTATCAATTTTTCTGTGTTCCTAGTGCCTTGCCTAGTGCAGATTATAAGAGACACTCAGTAAATATGTTATTAGCTAATTAATAAAATAACCAAACCTCTCAGAGTACACAGATGCTAAGCTAGAAATTATCTGAGGATTACTCCTGTTGTAATATTCTGTGAACTTTGCATAGGTATGATTTTGTAGGTGGTAAAACTTTACAAAATATTTCATCAAAATATCTCAAATTGTTATAATTTGATGACATATTCCATAAAGTTACACTTCAAAATGATAAGAAATTAATCAGATACTTTATATTCTTCAATACATCAATACATATGGCTAAAATTCACCAAATCTTAATGCCAGGGAACATGAATGGGGGTGATGAGTTAAAGAATTACCAATATGGAGTTCAGGGCTGGTAATGCCGGGGAGGAACTCCAAAGAAAAACTCAGCTTCATTCACTATTTAGTCCTTAAAGCACTATTTTTCCCTGCCACCTTTTGCCCAGTATGCTTCGGTGCCATCTTCTCTTTGACACAATGGATATTATTCCAAAATCTTTAGTGTAAATCAAATTTTTATAAATTAGACCACAGCATTCAGTAGAGTTGCTGTACTATAGCACATACTGTGTTCCAGGCTATGCAGGTAGGGCCAGATCTTGTCCTCACAGATCTATAATCCAGTGAGAGAAACACACAGACACATAAATGATAATAACATGAGACAGAGTACCACTGAGAGGAAGAGAAGAAGCATTCTGCCTGGGCCTAGCATGGAATGCTGTAGGTAAAGGTGCCCTGTGAAATGCCCTAGGGCTCAACAACAAAATGAAGTAGGTTACGAATGCTCTTCAAAGTTCTTTTGTTTTCAAATAATACATCCTGAAATGTATCAGTAATGTATTTAAGTTTTCTATATGCTTACTTTTTTTTTTTGGGTAATAGGTTTTGCCAAAGAACTGAAATCAAATGACTCTTTAAAATTGGTAACGCGGTAAGTTCTTTTACTGCCTCCACTCGCTGCTGCCCACATAGAATTGTTTGTGCTCCTGAAAGCTGCCAAATGTACTTTCAATTTTTATATAACTGTTATAGGTAAAGGCAGGATTATGGATTTCTTTCAGTGCCTTCCTTGAATTGACAATCAGTATCCCTCTTTGGCAAGGAGATGGAGTTGTTGCTTTTCTGTTCATTGTAAGTTACAACCTTATAAGTGTTACAGTGATTTGTTAACAAGCAGAAGCGATTCTAATATTTTGATTTTAATCTTGCTCCATTCTGTTGTTTTACCTGCTTAGTTTGGCTAATGAAAATGACATGCTACAATAACTCAAGGCAGGCTAAAATTGAACTACTGGATGAATTCTTTTGACAAAATTGTTGACTATATATTATATTCTAGGCCTTATGTAGAACTCTGAAAATAGAGATAAGGACCAAAACAAACTCAGTTCCTGCTCTAAGAATGAGGTTTAAGGTCTGTTAGGGAAGACACACGTTAATCAGATAATCACACAATAAATGTAGACTGACAGATTTAGGTAGTAATAATAATAGCACTAGAGCCATAAAACTCAATTGAATGGTTTTAGGTGTGTGTGTGTGTGTGTGTGTGTGTGTGTGTGTGTATGTGTGTTCTCATGTGATCATATTAACTTTTATGAAGGATTCTGTCTGCGGTGTAATTGGTATTGCCAACAGTGGATACGAGCAAACCAGTCAGGAAGTCCAGAAAAGACAGCAATGCTATTTTATACTAAACAGTAGTGACGATGAGAGAAGTAGACAGATGACCCAATTACTACTTCAGTAAAGGATTTAGAGGAATTTAAGCATTAATATTTATCAAGTGCCTATAATGTGCCAAATATTCTTTTAGGTACTAAGCATACAAAAATGAATACATTAAAAATCCCTTTCCTTAGGAAGCTCTCTGTCTACTCTGACATTCCCAAGAATGGTCAACTATGCATTCATGTAAGAGAAGAGTAACACAAAGCAACTGATGTCAGGGGATTCGTATTCACTTACCCTTTTGACTTTGGGGTATAATATGTGACTTTTTGCTTTTAGAAATCCTTAAGAATCAACAGAAACAATGCATTTGAAAATACTCAAAATATAAACACAAATAGAATGTCATATTAATTTTCTTCTTTATAGCTTTCCAATTATACCTAGCATAGGCTAATATTTAAATAGATTTTTGTTACTTGAGCACACAGAAATTGAGGAAGCCTCCAGAGCATGCTAACCAGTGACAAAACGATGTCCATTGAAATTTGCTTTTGGTAACAAGAAGGTGATAGAAAAGCATTTGGATTACCAAATAACTTGTAGCAGTATCACCACTGCGGTACCTGCACTGCCTCTGTCCCCATCCCTCACAACTGAAATCAAACTAAAATGGATATATTAGATTAGTAGATTGCATCAACTAAGTTAGAAACAAATTAGAGTTGCTATTATTTTATGTGTTTGAATTCAGGATTTTTGAAACCATCAAATCATTATTTATTGTTTATTATAAAAAATTTTAAACATAAACAAATGTGGGCAGAATAGTAATAATAATGATTGCCCTATTCCCATAATCACTTTCAACAATGATCAGGAGTTTAACCATCTGATTTCATTTATTTCACACTTTTTTATTTTTTGGTTTTGCTGCAGTATTTTTAAACTATTCCAGGTAAAATAATGTCATTTAATCCATTAAACTTCAGTATGAATTTTACCCAATAAGACTTTTTTTTTTTTTTTTTTTTTTTTTTGACAGTGTCTGGCTCTGTTGCCCAGGCTGGAGTGCAGTGGCATGATCTTGGCTCACTGCAGCCCGGACCTACCTCCTGGGGTCAAGCCATCCTCCCACCTCTGCCTCCTGAGTAGCTGGACTACAGACCTGCACCCCCACATACACCTAATTTTTTAATGTTTTGTAGATATGGGGTCTCCCTGTGTTGCCCAGGCTGGTCTCAAGCACTTGGGCTCAAGTGATCCTCCCATCTCTGCCTCCCGAAGTGCTGGGATTACAGGCATGAGCCACTGTGCCCAGCCTAGTTTCAGGTTTTTGCTTTAAATTTTTCAGGTTAGAACATTTCATAAGTGATTCTGTGTATGCTTTTTGTACAAGGCATGCTCGAATGGTGATGTCAGCGTTTAATGTTCCCTAACAAATTTTCAACTACTGACTTTACATTCATTTCATGTCTATGTTCATCATTTCTTTCAGGATTACAAAATGGTGATTTTTTTTTCTAATTCCACCATCCTTTATGTATTTAGTAGTTGGCATTCTTCTAAAAGAAAATTTTTCTTTCATTAACTACTTAGTTGCCTTAAAATGTAGTTTATATGGAACTGACAGGATAAATTCTTGATACTTTTCTCTCTAACTCCTTTAAAATTCAATTTTCGGGATAATGAATTGCTGCCCTGACCACCTCCAAGGCAATTCATGGAATCTTATTAGCTTCTTCTAAACAATAGGACAGCATTACCATGCTATTAAAAATAGTGGTGGGATGGGGAATATTTTTGTTGTTGTTGATGTTCACATTATTAACAAATTATCAGGCTCTCATATTAGTAAAGGGGAATATTGGCAGAGCAGGATGAGTAGATAATTCAGCAGCAGGCAGGAGACAAAGCAAAAATCAGCCTGATTGTAGTGCAAAGTGGGTCAATGGAGTATGGCAGGTGATGGTCTCTATATTGGCAAAATCACAAAAGAGTTACTTGCATAGATTAAGAGATTTGAAACCCCAGATTTATGCTACATAGGTGCATTTTAGAGCTCTTAATTTTCAAAATGGGAACCTGGTCCTTTTTAGTCCTATTTTCCAAAAATGTGTTATTAGAAATGTTTAAGCCTGTGGTGCCAAATTAAGTTGCAAGCTAACCAGCTAATTTGTCTCACAGCTAACTAGTGGGACCTGCCCACTCCAGTTAGCCTGGGACTTTCCAGTTTGAATACTAACAGTCCTGAATCCTGGGAACCCCTTCAAATCTTGAGCAAAATGAATGATTGATCACCTTAGCTAAGAGAAATTTTTTACTTACAAGATACTCATACCCAATGTTCAGTTCTACAATTGAAAAGTATATGTACAATTTGCTTTGTTTGCTGGCCCATCCAATCATTTCATTCCCGTTTGTGACCACCTGCCCATGTTTACAAGAGGCTATGAAGGAAAGGCTACATTCAAGGAACTGAGAAAGTGAGGTCACCAGGCCATATGAGAATCAAAACGTTGCTGTTGGTTTTACTATCACCTGTTTTAAGTTTATCTGAAAATGAGGGTTGGAAATAATGATTTCTGCATAATTGTTTTTGTAGTTTTGTTAGTTACATCTTGCTTGGAAAAAGTAATCTGAAAAATTATTATTACTATTTTTGTAGTTTTGAAATGGAATTGCCAGCATGCTAAAGATACACCATTCAGTTCTCATCCCACTTTGCATAGCTTGGAATCTATGATCCTGCAAATATCTTTTAACTGCATTTTGGTAAATATTTTATTCTATAATATTTTTATATAATTAGGTAGCCCCAATTGGTGAGGGTCAATTATTCATGTGTATACAAATTTTTATCTCACCCTCTGAATACCTATTTATGGGATCAAAGTTCTATTTCATATTCTCAAAATACATTTTATCTAGTTATTCTCCTCTATGCTGTTGTCCTACTCCAATATAGTGTAACCAGACAGATGTATTGCTATCCATTGAAACTAGCCAAATGTTGGGATTTTATTCCCATCAGATCAAGCATATCCACAGATGGGATGAAGAGAATGATTCAGCTGCTTCTCAAAATCCCTACCTCATTGGCAAGGACTTTTCAACTGTGGCTGCGCCTAAGACAATTTTAGCAAAAACCATGTGGGAAAAATGTAGGAAATTGTTAGTGCCCAATATACAGACGATAGCAATACAAGGTGCAATCTAAAAAGGAAGATAATTAACAGCCATATGGGTAACTTCAGTTCATATTTTTGCAAAGAACTTTGGGAATATTGACTCATGGAAATGGAGCCTGTGTAAGACACAAATGATACTTTTGAACATCTGCCAGCAAGTATGTCAACTACCTGTCCAAGAAAATAAAGAACTATTGTTGCTCCAGCTCAAGTCTTTGTCTTCATTTGTATTTCTTTTTTGATGGCACAAATATAAATAATGCCATTTAAAAATGTCAGAGTTGTTTCCAATTTGGACTAAGGAGAGTTTAGATTCTTAGCCTGGGGAGCCAGGGGCAAAACAAAAAACAAAAAACACTCCTCTGAACCTGGGCATCGTCATCTTTAAATGGGTGACAGCGATGAATCTTCAGTCTACCTCACAATCTCCTTATCAGAATAAAAGGAGATAATGTAGGAAAAAGTGATTTTAAAATAATATACCCCAGTTAAATGTTAGTTATAATTATAGAACTATGTTTTTCTAGTATTTGAGAGGGTACTTTCTATTTATTGATATATTTCTTATAAAAATTTCAAAAGTTAAAACATGCTCAACAGCATATTATGTAATGATTGGTACCTACTAGACATTCATAAATATATTCTTTCTTAATTTATTGGATCAGACAGCATCATGTGTATTTCATTCTAGAAAGAAACTTATTAAGATTTGTCTCGCGTTTTTCCTCATCTGCACTTCAACTCTGGCTGGGGTTTTCAAATGCTCTATCTATAGATATTCTTTTATTTCATACTCAGCTATTTTAGGAGAGAAAAGAGACCTTGTTTATTTCTAATAATACAAGTTTTACTGCATAAAATATATCCCAGTTACTGTCTTTACTGTTTTAAACATTTTCCCAGGGAAAAAATTTTCATCGTGTATTAAACTAGATGTCTAACTGGATTGATTCTCACCCTGAAGTCACTGAAACAACATTTTAATGCCACTTTCAAAATATAAATTTTGATGTAGTTTTCAAAGGTGAAATGAATAAAAATTTTGAAGCTAAAAATAAATAAAAGAATGTGACAGTCATCTTACCACCAAAAATACAGGCATCAGCACTCCATTTGCTCTTTTCTAATTTAAATAATTAGAAAAGACATCAACAATATATTTTTGTCAGGTTTTATTGTGCAGAAGACAATTATCAGACTCTTTTGGAATGGCCATTTAAGGCCTTCTGATATATCTCCTTAAATTTGCTGTAAGTGCTCCCAGTCATATTTGATTTCTTTAATTTTACAGGATCAGAGGGAAACAGACCATTTTCTATTGTGACAAAGAGAGAACCCAGGAAAGGGGCAGTGTTTTTCCCCTCACAGGTGATGGAGTTTTTATAAAGAATGCAGCGGATAATGGCAGGCTTGTCCTCTGAACAGATGGTGATGGTCTTGTTGCTAGGATGAGGCCTCAAGAATTTAGTTTTTAATTCCACATTATTTGCCTCAGTGCCATGAATATCCCTAGGTTTCCTGAGGCAAAAATACAGAAAAAAAATCCACAGAAAGAGTGACACACAGAGAGAGAAAGAGCAAGAGATGGGGCAACTGAGCAGAGACTGGAGCCCGGTCAAGAGAGGCTTTGGGGAAAATGCCTGCTCAGCTGTCTGCAATCACCTGGGTTTAAAGCAGGCAGGAAGGAAGATTGGTTTGGCAGGAGAACTGGCCCTTTGATGCCTTCGATACCACAGAGAAAAATTCCCATTTCTTCCCATTAGAAGTCTGTTTACTTTCCTAATTAAGATAAACATGTTTCTGAAGGAGTTAGCTCTTATAGCATGACATTTATAAAATCAACTATATATACACACAAGAATGTTTGCCAGGAATTTGGGCTGATGGTGATTGTATGAAGCATTTTATAGAAATATTTTTAAATAGTTGCCTTATTTAAAAATGAGCGACTTTCATTCCCTCCAGTCAATTAAATATCTAATTTCAACTCTCGGAGATAATAACTGAAGTAGTTTTTTTAATAAATGAATGAACAGTTAGAAAACTGTTAAACACATAGCCCTGAAGCATGAAAAATATATTCGTTGAACAGCTTTATTCTTTTATTGTTAATTTACTTCAGAGAATATCCACTCGTGTAATTTTCAATAAAGTACTCTTATTTTGAAGTCTCCTTTATTGAATATAAGAGTGATGTATGTGATTATAGGCCAGTAGGCTAAAGAAGTTAGAGATTCTGAACACAAGGGTGAATGAGGGTGTAACTAGGTATCAGAACAGGATTACCTACCAGAATTGTCAGACCACCTGCCTGAATTAGTCACTTGAGTCAAACAATTACGTTCCATGCCACCCCTCCAACACATACACCGTAACTGACATTAATCACTTGTCTCAGAATTATCTGAATGCAACTTTAATAATTCAGTAATTGACCACCTGAATTTTTTGGCATAATGTGACTGATGGCATTGTACACAAGTCTCACACTTAAGCTGTGTCTCACTGTAAAATGTTCACGTGTTTGCCGAGTCTTACACTATGGTTCAGACGAAGATCAGGTACCTGCTAGTGATGAGAAATCTATCCCTCGCTCAAAATGGTTATTAGTAATTCACAGTGGAGAGCTGTCACTGAAGCCTGTATTATTTAGCCTAGAAGCATAAATCACCTACTATTACTGTGTTTCAAAAGCTGTCAGTCACACTCAGGTTTTATATTAGTTGGTTTGGAGGGAAATGATGCCATAGGTTTTCATTCCTCCACGTCTCCTCTAACCGTATATGGATGACTCTCCACAATTCTTCCTCCCCTGACTAACTGTCCAGTGTTTTAGGGGTCCTTCTTGCAAAATGACCCAACATTTGTGTTTTTTAAATGCCTACTGTCATCAAAATTACCTGTTTGCTATTATACACACCTTGGGCTCTTAAGAAAACTGTATGGTCTGATTGATTTAATTCCAGGTAAGGTGCTAATGACTTATTAATGGCTTCCTAGGTAACGTGTTTGCTTTTTGGTAAAGATTTTTAATGATGTGAAAAAAAATAATGACTAGTGATTAGAATTCTAAATGCTACAAGAAAAATGATAATACACACCTGGGGAATGTCATGGGGAATGGGACAGATATTTTTGGCAAGGACACTCTCCAGTGTTTCTCAATGCACATCTACTAAATATCTATTAAATATCTGACCAGCCCTGTTTTAGAGAATTTTTGCCATATTCAACTGTGTATGCATCTGAAGATGTGACAGACGCTGTAATCTGGCTCTTTATTTCTACTGAAACATGCTATAAAATGTGTCCTCCAAAAAAGTAGACTTGATTTATAAGCAATTATTTTAAAAATGCTCAATTACTAAACTATTCATTTAGCCAAATTTATTTTAAAACATTATTTCCAAACTTAATTTGCAAGGATATTCAGTCATATTTTATCTTAAATTAATTCAAGCTTTCTACCATAAAACATTGGATAAGCATTCATCGAAAAAATGCATGCATGAGTTTTACCTAATTGTGTAAGTCACAAGTGATTTTGATATATTCCTCTGCTTTTTGGTATTGTGTCCAACTTTAATAAATTGACAAGCATTACTTTATAATTTTATATAAAGAAAACCTCAAATATTTTCAGATAAAAATACTGTACTTATATGTCCTTTAAATTTAAATGGTTTACATTTTAGGATATTTTACTTTGAAAGTATCTCACTTTATGTTTGTTATTGCCAATATTTAAGGGCATATATGTATATCTGCATCTGCTTTATATTTGGATGGCCAGATTAAAAAACAAACAAACAAAAAAAACACACCATATTTCAGAGTTACCAGATTACCAGAGAGCTGAATTTAATAACTGTGAAGCCCTGTTGAGTGTGGTCTTAAATTCTGCGCCCCCCACCTCCTTTTAAATATGGAGTGTTCGTGCTGGTAGCAGACTTTAAAATGATGATTTATGACTACTCCCACTTAACACTTTCATGATTTGAATGACCATTCAGTCAGCTTTGAAACCAAAAAGAAAAAGTGAAAGGTCATGGCTGAGTTAAGAAATCATATTGGGTTTTGTGGGTCCCGTTACTTCTGACTGAGACATTTTCACTGGCCAAGCTCATCAGAGACCATTAGGTGATGAATTTTGTTAAGAGATCTGGGAGGAAGAGGAAAAATATTATGGATGGAAAAAATAATCATGTGCTTTTTAAAAACAAAACCAAACCTTGTTTTCTTCACATGAACCCCCTGTATTTGTTGATTTTTAGTGTTGTGTATTTATTTCCTGACAAATCACAAAAGCTATGTGATAAGGAGAGAAATGCAATTGTATTATTGGTTGATTTCCTGTGGTAGCACTTCAGGGGCTCCGGGCATTCACTACAAAGTTCAGTAATTGTACTATCTAGCTTGGTGGGTAAGTTATACAAAAGGGAACAAACTGTGAAAATGGTGTGTGCTATTTTTCAGTGAGGATGTTATCAATCTGTTTAAGTAAACTTTGGTATTACCCAGAAGATTGTTCTCTGCTTATTACATTGCTTATGCTGTGTTCAAATTGTGTGATTGTTCTGTCTTAAATGAACTCCACTGCATGTAGATTTTGCAGGGATCTCTAAACAGTGGGTAGTTTCATTACACATGACAGCTATGGATATTTTACATGCAGCCAAATGCGTTAAAGACAAAAGTTATTTTTTAGCATTATTTATTTGTTCAGAGGCCATTACAGTTTAACGAAAGGAGTATATTTGTATACAAATGTGAAATGTATAGAGAAAAAGTGAGGTATTGTATGGTTTTATATCTGAATGTAAAATCACCCTGGTGCTTTATGTCTTGGCAATCCCAAAAGAGCTTACCCTGTGTAGAGTAGACTCGATATTTGCCAAATAAAATAAATGAATGATTGATATGATGGATAGTAGTGAGTTACATACAATTAGAGTCCAACTCTATGTTTCAAGTTTGAAAAATAAAGGGAGTAGGTTTAGGAAAATTGTTTGCGAAGAATTTAGGATTAGAATAAAAGCAGGAAGCCCAATTAAGAAAGCATTTTATTCCACATCAAAATTCCAATTTGTGGGAGGTGGACTAGCTGAAGAGAAAGAATGAACAGAGATAAGGTGAAGGAACATGTTGTTTGTTTCTGGAGTCTGGAATTCATTGACTTAGATAGGATTTGAGAGTAATTGAGAGAGTCATTTGCACCTAAGCAGAACTTTTGAGATTATAAATAAGTAAGCTGGATTCTGTATTTGAAGCTTCTCCCTGAAGTTGTGAAAAAGGAGTAGTTCTTCCAATTGTCCAAATTGACAATTTCTTTGGTACATAGGGAATCTGGCTCAATACAGTACAGGCAGTACACGCCCTTCCTGAAAAGTTATCTGAACTATATGTTCCCTACTATTCTCGGTACTATTTTTGAAGGTTACAGAGATTGATTCACCCTCTATCTTGTAATGCTTTTATCTTATTTTTGGAAAAATTCATGTATTGCTAAGTATATATGTTACTATATTCTGCATGTAAAAATATAAGATCATTTTTAATGCTTTAAGAGGATGGATTATTTTTATTTCAATATCTGCAGACCATTTTTTGTGACATGCTCTTTCTATTTCATTTCAACAAATGATTTTGCTCTTTACCCTGAGTTCAATACCATAGAGTTAAGAATGAGGGAAGTGGCAAAATAGAAAGGAAATACACACATATGTACCTTCTAGAAGAATACACTTAAGATTCTAAACGTATTATCCATGTTGATGTAAAGCCTGATTTACTCAAATGAGAGCCAGCCTTATTCAGTGCTCTTTCTCTAAGTCTTAGAATTTGGCTATGAAGATTACGATATTTGGTAACTCATTTCAATAATACCCAAAGGGGCTTTTTATACTTCGTTCTTTTTGCAGAGAGCAAAGGTGGACAAATGTGAGAAGGAAATAACATTTAGCACATAGTTATTTGCCAGGCACTGTCATAAGTACTTTTTAATGTCTTTTCTTTTTCTGTAAAATTTAATTTTTACAGAAGCTGTCCAAAATAGCTACCATGATCCTGATTTATCATGTAAGAAAACAGATTCAGGGATAATAAATAACCTGCCCAAGTTCACAAATGGCAGGGACATGTCTGTCTTTTCTCTCTCTCTCTCTCTCTCTCTGTCACTCCTCTCCTCTCCCTCTCTCACTCCTCTCCTCTCCCTCTCTCACTCCTCTCCTCTCCCTCTCTCACTCCTCCCCTCTGTGTGCCTAGCAGGGGCTGGCACTTCACTAGTGCTCATTAAGCATATGTTTCAGTTGACATTGAATCTGGTTCCAAAGCCAGTGCTTTTCTCACTATTATTACAGCATCCATACTATGAAATAAACTAAAAGCAATTACCGAATTGTGTTAGCTTTGGCTGTATATTATGTATAGTTGGTGCTATATGTTCGTATACTTCAGTTAGCCAATGTGGTTTTGGTGATAGCTATAAGACATTCCTCATTAGAAAATTGATGAAACCTTTATCCAATAATTGTCTCTGTGGCTCATATCCAAGCTCCATTCCATCTGTTCAAAATAAACCACCATCCAAGCCTAGGCTACCCCTCAACACCACAGGATCAAGAGAATATGGTCAGCAGATCAGAAAATACTTTGGCTGGCCACTTTGACATCCATTCTCAATATTTCCCCCACATCTCCATTACTCAACACAGGTCAGTATGGGTGTCAGTTCCCCAAATTTTCCTAAGAAGGAGCTAGGCTACCCAGCTATTCTTCATATTCTGAGATCTCTTATGTACACAAAGTTTATTCATTTTTTCCTTTTCATTAGCCTCTGAATTTCTTACCAGCAACAATCATATTAGAATTATTTATTACTGATTGGCAGCATCTAACACAGCACCCAGTCTGTAGTGTTCTGGATGAATGGGTAAATGCCTTTCTCACTGGCTACTGTTTACTGATGGAAAATTCTGAGTATGTCCTGTTACTTCATTTAAACTTAACAGTTATATGTTACCACTCTTCTCGTATGTATTTGTTTGCTTGGGCTGCCGTAACAAAATACCACAGGTAGCTTAAACAACAGAAATTTATTTTCTTCCAGTTTTAGAGGCTAGAAGTCCAAGATCAAGGGCTTGGTTTGGTTTCTTCTGAAGGCTTTCTCTTTGGCTTGCTTTCTCACTGTGGGTAGCTGCTTTCTCACTGTGTATTCACATGGTCATCCCTTGGTCTGCGGCCTAATCTCCTTTTCCTAAGGCTTCCAGTCATAGTGGATTAGGGTCCATCCATATGACCTCACTTTACCCTAATTACCTGTATTTCTAAATACAGTCAAATGCTGAGGTACTGGGAGTTAGGGCTTCAACGTATGATTTTTTGTGGGACATGACTTAGCTCAAAACATCATAGGACAGTGTGAGGAGCAGAGAGAACTGAAAATGCCCTCTCCCCTATTAATTTTCTTTTCTAGGGAGTGGAGTGGAAATTCCTCCCCATGTAAAAATATGAGAATTGAGGAACCAGTATATGTCCCCCCAAATCTTACTTATCACAAATGTATGAAATGCAAAGCCTCCAGCAAATGAATCTCCCTTTTGATGTTAGTATGTTCTATAAATGCCCCTCACAACATACCTGCAACTTCCCTATGAAAAGATGTTATTAGTCAAATAATGATTTGTCCCTGCAAATGCCCACAAAATCTATAAATCTAAGATGAAGAGCTTTTATGGACATTCCTACTTTTAAGTACGACAAAAATATATTCTAAGTTGTTTGTTGCATGAATTATATCCTGGATGTCACTCATAAAGTAAACTTTTTTGAATTTTGTATTAGGTTGGGCATGAGTACCCTACTAATTTCATCACTGGCCGGTAATATCATATGAGCAAGAAATAAAATTTAATTGGGTTTATTTGTTTTTACTGTTTGCCTCACCTAATTAAAATTGAAATAAGTATCTTGAAGTATATTGCTTTCACATCAAAAATTTAAAATGTGGGGCATTGACTTCTAGTGGTTGGCAGGAGGAAGCAAGGAAACAAATATTGGGGGGTGAAAATATATTGGAGATCTATATTATATAGTGATAAAGATTTGGTAAAACTATTGTGTACAACAACCTGAAAGGCAATAATACTGAGCCTGCCAGTCTAGGAAAAGTTGTTAGAAAGAGCCAGAATAACTTGGAACCAACCCAAATGCTTGTCAATGATAGACTGTATAAAGAAAATGTGGCACATATACACCATGGAATACTATGCCGCCACAAAAAAGAATGAGTTCATGTCCTTTGCAGGGACATGGATGAAGCTGGAAGCCATCATTCTCAGCAAACCAACACAGGAACAGAAAACCAGACACCACATGTTCTCACTCATAAGTGGGAGTTGAACAGTGAGAACACATGGACACAGGGAGGGGAACATCACACACTGGGGCCTGTCGGAGGGTGGGAGGCAAGGGGAGGGAAAGCATTAGGATAAATGCCTAATGCATGCGGGGCTTAAAAGCTAGATGATGGGTTGATAGGTGCAGTAAACCACTGTGGCACATGTATACCTATGTAACAAAGCTGCACGTTCTGAACATGTATCCCAGAACTTAAAGTAAAATAGAAAAATAAAAGAAAGAACCAGAATATTCGTGTATTGCTCTCTGTTGCAATTAGCCAGATATTACAAGAATGAGATAATTTCAAGAACGAGTATGCTGATTTGTGAGTACAAATTCCTTTCTAGAAATGTAAAGGCTATTGCTTCTGTACACCAAAGAGTAGGCAAAAAGGCTGAAAAAACCTTTGACTGCCAAAGTCCCAAGAAAACTCCTCAATTAAAGAAACTAACTCAACAATATAGCAAAGATAAAATTAAGGGAGTTGGGAGTTCTACTTCTGGAGTGATAGTATGAGGAGTTCTGCAGGCCTCCTCCTCATTTAAACTGGTAAACTTTTTTTTTTTTTTTTTAAAGTAAGGTCTCTGAAAGAAGCCCTATGGACATACAGCACAAGAATAAATATTTAAACATTTACTAAAATTAGGCAAGGAATGGGAAAGTCTGTGGTATTTGAACCTCAGTTCAATAGAGACCTGGATTCTCCCTCCCCCTCTTAGCTTAGGGAGACAGAAATTCCACTCCAAATGGGCTTAACCAAAAACACAGGGCTCCCTTTTTCTTTCAGCTCCCAGTTGGTGGGCTCTCTTCCTGGTAGGGGCAGGACATCAGTATTCCTCATCCTGTCTCAGCTACTTATTGTTGAGTCTAAATTCTGGGGAAGTATGGCTAATTGAGTCTTCTTCTACTCAGCTCCCACTCATGGGAAAGAGCTCTGCCTTGAGTGTGGCATTGCTGAGAGTATTGGGGCCTTGGTTGCCCTTGCTCCAGATCAACGGCTAGGAATTCCACACTGAGAGAAGCAAAATGAGGAGACCTGGGGCTAATGACCTCCTTGCTCCCTCCACAATCTACTGAGGGCTAAGCTTCTGAAGTGGGGTTATCACTCAGGGAGAAATGTGCCATTGTCCTTGCCTCTCCTAGCTATGGCTCAGAGATTTTTCTGGGGTTGGCAGCAGAAAGAGAAGAGGAGGTAGGCCAATGGACTAATATGAACCTATATATCCAAATTTCTCCTCAAAGTAACTTATTTTATTTGCAAGAGTGTGAAGAAGTTCAAGGCTAAGGGCACTCTCAAAAAGAGTAGCAGTTGTGGTGAAAGGAATTTGATAGAGAAGTGGAAATGGACACAGTTGGGAAGAGACCTCCTGGAGTCAGGGGCAAATCTCAAATACTTCTCTAGAAACTGTCCCTGAAGAAGCCTGACCTTGATTGGATTAGTCTGTGAAGCAAATTATGCCCCAAGGTATTGGTGAAAACAGCAGAGCAAAAAAAGCCCTGTCCAAACCACTGTCATCCCATGGGTATACACAATATACTCAAGGCTGTACCTCCTGAAGAGCAACAATAGAGGGTTTATGCTGTGGGGGTGGGGGTAGGAGAATAGACTTCACTAAAATAATCCAGCCAGTCACTAAACAAGTAAATAAGAAACAACAACAAGAGTTTCTGGAATATATTATCTAAAATGTACAGTTACTGACAAAAATGATAAGTAAGTCATGCAAAGAAACAAGAAACTATGATGCATACACCAGAAAAAAGCAGGTGATAGAAACTGTAAGAACAAAATGTTGAATTTAATAGACAAATATTTCAAAATAGTTATTAAAAATATGTTCAAAGAATTAAGGAAACTTTAAAAAGTAAAAGATGCTGCATCAAATACAGAATATAAATAAAGAGATAGAAATGATGAAAAGGACCAAATTTAAATTCTGGAATTGAAAAGTGTAATAACTGAGAAATTAAAAAAATTACTAGAGGGACTCAGTGGTAGATTTGAACTGGCAGAAGAAATAATTTGCAAACTTTAAGATACATTGATAGAGATTATGCAATCCAAAGAATAGTAAAATATCAAAAAATAAAAAAAAGTAGTGCCTCAGAGAAGTGTAAAACACCATTAGTGCAACAGCATAAACCAGTGGAAGCATCAGATGGAGCAGGGAAGGAGATGGAGAGAGAAGCAGAAAAATATTCAAAGAAATACTGGCTGAAAACTTCCAAAATTTATTGGCAGATATGAACCTAATGATGAAGGAAGTTCAAAGAACTCTAATTATGATAAACACAGAGAAATAACTACTAGCAGACACATTACACTAAAAATGCCGAAAGGCAAAGACAAGGAAAACATCTTGTAAGCTTCAAGACAAAAATGACTCATGACTTACAGAGAACACCAATAAGATTTACAGCTGACTTCTCATAAGAAAATATAGATGCCAAAAAGGGTGAAACAACATATTTTAAGTGCTCAACCTCCTGAGTAGCTGCGATTACAGGCACCCACCACCACTCCTGGCTAATTTTTGTATTTTTAGTAGAGATGGGGTGTCACCATGTTGGCCAGGCTGGTCTCAAACTGACCACAGGTGATCTGTCCGCCTTGGCCTCCCAAAATGCTGAGATTACAGGTGTGAGCCACTGCACCTGGCCTTATTTGTCTGTTTTCATGTCAGTACCATGCTGTTTTGGTTACTACAGCTTTGTGGTATAATTGACGTCAGATAATGTGATGCCTCCAGCTTTGTTCTTTTCTATCAGGATTGCTTTGGCTATTCTGAGTCTTTTGTGGTTCCATACAAATTTTAGGATTTTTTTCTCTACTTCTGTGAGGAATGTCATTGATATTTTGATAGTGATTACATTGAATCTGAAGATCACTTAAATAAGACATAAAAATGGTCAACAGTTATATAAAAATGGTCAATCACTATCAGAGAATGCAGTTATATAAAATGGTGCAATCAGAGAAATGCACATCAAAACCATAGCGTGATATCAACTCAATCTAGTTGAAATGGCTTTTACCAAAGAAACAAAAAGTAATGGATGCTGGCAAGATTGTGGAGAAAGGGAAATGCTCATGCACTATTTGTAGGAATGTAGATTAGTACAGCCACTGTGGAAAATGGTATGAAGGTTCCTCAAAACACTAAAAATAGAATTATTATATAACCCAGCAATCCCATTGCTTAGTATATATACAAAAGAAAGGAAATCACTATATTGAAGGGATAGCTGCACTCCCGTATTTATTGCAGCACTATTCACAGTAGCCAAGGTATGGAATCGATATGTGTTCATCAACAAATGAATGGATAAAGAAAATGAGGTATGTATACACAGTGGAATATTATTCAGCTATTAAAAAGAATGGAATTCCATCATTTGCAACAACATGGATGGAACAAGAGGACATTATGTAAAGTGAAATGATCCAGGCACAAAAAGACAAACATTGCATGTTCCCATTCATATGTGAGAGCTAAAAAAATTGATCTCATGGAGATAGAGAGTAGCATGGTGGTTACCAAAGGCTTGGAAGGATAGTAGAAGGGGTGATAAAGAGGGGTTAATGGGTACAGAGATGCAGTTAGATAGAAGGAATAAGATCTAGTGTTTAGTGGCATAATAGGGCAACTATAGTTAACAATGAATATTGTATATTTCAGAATAACCAGAGGCATGAAATTTGAATATTCCTAACACAAAGAAATGATAAATGTTTGAGGTCATATACCAATTACCCTGATTTGATCATTACACATTATGTGCTTATATCAAAACATCACATGTATCCCATACATATGTACAACTATTGTGTATCCATAAAAATTAATACAAAAAGAAACAGTATTTGGGAAACTTAAAAATATGTAAAAATTAAACACTCACACTCCTAAGTAATCACAGGGTAAAAAAAGAAATAAAAAGGAAAATTAGAAAATATTTTAAGATGAATGACTGTTAGACACAAAATACCAAAACTTATGGATTGCAGGTAATGCAGTCCTTAGAGGGAACTTTATAGCTTGTAAGTACCTATATTTATATAGAAGTAAGTTCTCAAATTAAGCATGTAACCTTGTACCATAAGACAATGGAAAAAGAAGAGCAACTACACAAGGATAATAAAGACTCAAGTGGAAATTAATAGAAAAGAGATTATCAATAGAGAAAATCAGTAAAATGAAAACCTGGTTATTGGAAAAGACTAAAAAATTGGCAAACCTTTGCTAGATCAAGAGGAAAAAAAGAGCAAAATTACATGAATCACAAATGGAAGAGGGCACATTACTACTGACCTTAGAGAAATAAAAAGGATTATAAAGGAATACTATGAACAATTGAATGCCAACAAATTATACAACTTTGATGAAATGGACAAATTCCAAGGAAAACCCAAACTACCAAAGCAACTAAAAAAGAAATAGATAATCTGAATAGACCCATTAGCAGGAAGAGAGATTGAATATTTACATAAGAATACCAAATCTTCACAAATTCATTAAAAACATAAAAAAGTGGGAACAATTTTCAGCTCATTCCATGAGGCCAATATTACCCTGCTAACAAAACTAAACAAAGCCATAACAAGAAAACTACAGACCAATATCTCTTATGAACATCAATACAAAAATCTTCAACAAAAAACTAGCAAACTGAATCCAGCAGTGTATAAAAGAATTATAACGTAAACAAGTGAGACATTGTAGGAACAATGTTGGTTTAACATCTGAAAATCAATTAATGTATTATATCATATCAATTTAATAAAAAACCAAAAAGCCCCACATGAAGATCTCAATAGATGCAGGAAAAGCATTTGACAAATTCAACACCATTTCATGGTAAACACACTCAACCTACTAGAAATAGAATGAAACTTCCTTAATCTGATGAAGGGCATCTGTAAAAAATTCACAGCTGACATCATACTTTATGGAGAAAGACAATACTTTCCCTCTAAAATCAGGAACAACACAAAGATACCCACTCTCACTATTTTTATTTAACAGGTTTTAGCTAGGGCAATTAGTCAACAAATAAAAGGTATCCAAATTGGAAAGGAAGAGGTAAAACTGTATTCACAGAATACATGATCTTATATGTAGAAAATCTTAAAGAGTTGACTAAAAAACTATTAGAATGAAGAAATGCATTCAACAAAGTTGTGAAAACACAAAATCAATACTCAAATATTGTATTTCTATACACTGTCCATAAATAGTATAAAATAAAAATTTTAAAAAATTTTATTTACAATAGCATCAAAAAGAATGAAGTATTTACGAATAAACACAACAAAGTAGAAAACTTACACTCTTAAACCTAAAATACGTTACTTAAAGAAATTAAAGAACATACAAGTAAATTGAAGAATACTCATGTTTTGCATCGGTAGACTTAATATTGTTAAGATACCTGTAATCTCCTAATCGCTCTACAGATTCAATGCAATCCTTGTCAGAATAGCAGCTGGCTTCTTTGTAGAAATTAAAAGTCTGATCCTAAAATCTGTATTGAATTTTGAAACACCAATATAAAACAATCTTTAAAAAGGAGAACAAAGTTGGAGGACTCACACTTCCCAATTTTGAAACAGAATATAAAACAAAAGTAATCAAGAAAGTGTGATACTAGCATCAAGATAGACATATACATCTATGGGGCAGGATAAAGAGTCCAGAAATAAACACATGGCTTCTATGGTTTACTGACTTTTGGCAAGGGTATTGAGGCTATCCAATGGGAAAAGAATACTTTGTTTAACAAATAGTGGTGGAACAACTGGATAGCCATAGGCAATACAATAAAATTACACTTTTACTTCATACTTTATTCAAAAATTAACTCAAAATTAGTCAAACATCTAACTGCTAAAACCATAAAACTCTTAGAAGAAAGCATAGAGGTAAATGGCCATGACTTAGATTTAGCAATGAATTTTTAGATATGACACCAAAAGCATAAGCAAAGGCAAAAATAATTGATAAATTAGACTTCATAAAAATTCACATTCAAGAAAGTGAAAAGACAAAGCCCAGAATAGGAAAAAATATTTGTAAATCATATATTTGTTAAGGGACTCATATCCAGAATATATAAAGAATCGTTACAACTCAATAATAAAAAGACCCAATTGACAAATGGTTAAAGAGGCTTAACAGATATTTCTCCAAAGAAGATATACAAATGGCCAATAAGCACATGAAACTTTCTTGACATCATTTGTCATCAGGGAAGTGAAAATCAAAACCACAATGAAATACCACTTCACACCCAGTAGGATGGCTATAATAAAAAAGTCAGATAATGGCATTGGTTGGTGAGGATGTGCAGAAACTGGAATTCTCATACACTGCTGGCAGTAATGTAAATTATTGCCACTAGTATGAAAAACAGTCTGGTGATTCTTCAAATGATTAAACATATAGTTACCATATAACTCAACAATTTCACATTTAGATATGTATCCAAGACAAATGGAAACATGTTTCTAGAAAAAAATGGGCATGAATGTTTACAGTAGCATTATTCATAATAGCCAAAAGGTAGAAAAGTCTCAAATACTTATTCTCTGATGAATGGAGAAACAAAATGTGGTATATCGATGCAATGGAATATGATTCAGCCATTGAAAGCAATGAATGCAGTGCTGATACATGCTTTAACATGAATGAACTTTGAAAACATGCTGAGTGACAGAAGTCAGTTACAAAAGATCCCTTGTTTTATGATTCAGTTTTTCTGAAGTGTCCAGAAAAGGCAACTCTGTAGAGATGGAAAGTAGTAGATTGCCCACGTTGGGAGGATGGAGAAGTAGATATGTGGTAGGTAAAGGTCGCAGGGTTCCTTGTGATGTGATGAAAATGTTCTAAAATTGACTGTGATGGTGACTGCAAATATCTGTAAATGTACTAAAAACCATCGAATTGCGGACTTTAAATGGGTGAATTGTATGTTATGTAAGTTATATCCCAAAGTCGACACAAAAAATGAAGTGGGTTACCTTCCCACCCAAGTCTATTGTTTTAGATGACCTAAAGTAGCTACCATTAGGTTGAGAGAGGTACATGAGCTCTAGAAAGCAAAAGATAATAAACAGACAATTAAACAAGCCAATGCAAGAGGTGTAAGTTTTAAATCTGAAAAAAGAATTTAGTAGATGATTACTGACTCGAGGAACTGAGTGGAAACAAATAGATCAGAAGCTATGAGTTTAAGGGAAGCACATTTCCAGTAAAATAATAATTGCAGTTTTACAAAACTCCGTGATTATGAAACACCCCTTGGTTCCCCAAACTTACATAGGCAGAAAATGGACAGCAATGGTTTTGATATCTGAAAGTTGTCGCTGAAAGTGTGCTCACTGAAAAATGTACTTACTTCAGATATGGTCATGTAGGATAATGGACAAGAAAAAAAAAACAAAACAAACCTTTTAACCAAAACAGCATCCCAGAGGGTAGAGTCAGAGCAATGGAGAAGAATGGACATAGTAGATTCTCCTGAAGAGTTGAATCAGGGACTTAGAACTTGCTGAACTCTGATGAATTGGGGTTTCACTCTTCCTGCCTAGCAGGATTTCATAATTGGAATGGATCTATGATTGCTGTATGTCTACCCTTTTCCTCTTTTCACAGTTGGGAACTTTGTGAGAGTTATCTTGTTTCTGCTTTACCATTGATGTAGAAGTATACATAGAGGAGGGAAAGAACTTGTCTTCTTAGTTCACAGGTCATGGGATCACAAGAAGCCACCTCAAGCTTGAATAGAAAGAAATAGAATAACTCTGTGACCCATGGTCTTTGAGCCAGATGCAATAAGTAGACTGTCTCTTTTTAGGATATTCTTAAATGTGTTCTATGTGTGGGAAGAAATAACATGATTATGGTGGCCAATAGGGCAGACAGTGGCAGAGACTGATACCCATTAAAAAAAGAATCCAGTCTTGTCTTCTTCATGATCACACAACTACATTTCCCAGCCTCTCTCACATTTACTTGTGGTCATGTGACAAGGTCCAACTAATAGAATGTGAGAAGAGATGTATATCACATCCAGGCCTGGCTCATTAAAACCCACTGCAAGCACTTCTCCATTTTCTTCTCTCTTACTTGCTGTCTTGGAAAGAGCCAATCTCCACGGTGACTATGAAAGCCATGTGTTGAATATGGCAGAGCCTGCATTAGCCTCACTCGAGTGACTACATGGAGGAAGGTCTATCAACATGTTTATCCACTCAGTACCATTATTTAAATAGCAAAAATTCTCTTTCATTTGCACCATTACCCATTATTTTCAGTCTGGTATTTTTTTAAAAAGCAATTAGCCGCCCCTAACTAATATAACTCTTATCATTGAATGCCTTTCTTGTGCCCACTGAGTTTAATAAATTGTTCTCACTGGGTATTTTTATCTTTTTTTCCTCTGATTTATGTACACTCTAGGAGGTGGTTTCAATGACTACTTAGGCTACTTACATTCTCTATAAAGTGATTTTTTCCCCTCTTGAGTTTTGTATCTTTCTCCTTGTTGGTAGTTTCCTTCCTATAATTCTAGTTTTATGCATGATATATCTGTAATATGATTTGAAATAAAATGGGAAACATAAGGAATTTTACCCCAGAAAATTAAAACAGAGTGAATATAGACTGGATAAACACATATTATGGCCTTTCCGCTTGTCTTCCCCACTCTGTACACCGGAAAGATAAGATTTTAAAAAATATTACATTAGGGGTAAAATAGTTCTGGGGTGTGAAGAAGATAAATGTAGGTCCGGAACAATCAGTCTAGACTTTTAGACCTTTTTAACAGCTAATTTGGATTACTATTCAATAAATTTGGTTGATGACTGTGCAAGCAATGTATACTATGACCCAACAGTTTGGATGGACTATGATTGTGCTATACACATCTTTTAATTTGGTTCTTGTTTCATCTTGATAGTATACTATGTTTTTTTCATCCTTTTCAACTTGCAATGCTGAAAAAAATTTCTAGAAAGTAGCATATTAAAAAAAGCCAGAGTGTTACTCATTTAAATAATTTATTTTTCAATCAGGGACATCAGTTTGATGATTAATACTCTGCATTCGTTTTCTCCTTTTAAGAAACCTGAAACAAACAGGCTTGCGCAGTGTATATATAATTCATTTAGGTGTTGAAGTCTGAGCCTACATTTGTAAGAGAAAATTTCAAACGAGCCATAATTAATATGTCACTTTAGGAGGAGCAGTGGGATGAGGGGGTGGAAGTAAATGGATCTACCTGATGTTCTTGCAGTGTATGCGTGGAAAGGAGAAATTAAAGTTAATGCACAAAGAAAGGATCAGCTTTGCAAGCTCATTTCTTTGAGTTCATGCCAAAGTAAATAGGTATATCTGTGGTATCTCCTTCTGGAGGTGTGGAAAGTGTAGGTTAAGTGTGATGGACTGCAGCACATTTCAGGAGAGGAAGCTTGAACAGTGTATTAATCTAGAAGGCCAACCTTGTTTTTTTCTTAGCTCCACTGCCATTTACTGGGTGAAATGTAAAAAAGCTATTTAGCAACTCCAGCTCCCAATTCTTTCTTGAATAAAGAAAACCAACAGATCTTTTTCTACCTCATCTGTTAATATGAAGTGAAAAATTGAAGCAGAGATGCATTATAAACATATATCACACTATTTGCTTATGTACATCTTCCTTGAAATTTTGATTCCGTCATCACTGGGATAGAAATTTGGTATGTCAATCCAGGTAAAAAGATTCTCTGGCAGTCCTTTAAGATGAATCTTCAAGTATTTCCAGTGAAATTTGGTGAATTCAATTCTTTTCCCCATAGATAGGGTGAGGAAGGGCTTCTGTTCTATCACTGTGATGAAATTTGTCTGGGCCACTCCAGACAGAAAACACCACTTCTTTCTTTATTTCTGGTTGATTTCAAGACCATCACTCAAGGATTGTGAATATGGCAAGTGATACATCTTCTAGCTAATCTTAGAATGTGACTGACATGTCTTTACACATAATGTTAGAACTTTGAGATGAAAGAGATTGGAGCTAAGAATCAGGAGACTTACTATTCTTGGTGATCAAATCCTTATGGAGGGTTGTGCCTAGTTAAGATCCTCTTGGAAGAGATGTCCTTCCTTAAGAAATCTCTTAAAGTCCCCTTAAGGAGATCCTTGGAAGACCAGTGGGCCCAGGGGAAGAAGAAAAGACAGTGAGCGAACTTGCAAGAACAGTGAGTCCCCTGTTTTTTGAGGAACTGTGGTTGGAAATGAGGATGTTTAGTCTGGAAATGAGATGCTTTATGGGAGCCATGATAGCACAGTTATAGTGTATTCTTCCAGAGAAGAAAAACAAAAATCAGAAGATGAAGAAAACCAACACAGAACTGGTAGTATACATTACAGAATTAAAATTCAGTTGAATGTAATGGAAATAAACATTCTAATAACTGTTGTTGTTAAATAATGGTAGTGAGGTTCATATCACTGACATTGTTTTAATAGATATTAGTACTACATTTATTAAATGTGTTGGCAAACTTTGGGAAATAAGTTATATCATTTGAATTTCAAAGTATAGGGTTAGGATAAGAGTGTAGACACAGAAATCAGATGAATTGAAATTTCATCCTGGATTCTGTCATTTACTATGTGGATGTCTTTGATATTTTATATCTTCAAGCCTAATTTTCTCTTCTATGAAATACAAATGATCACAGTATTTATCTGATTGGGTTGCTGTCTGTATTAAATAAGACAATATATTTAAAGCATTCAATACAGTTCTGGAATACAGGAGGTGATCAACAAATGAATAGTATTTATTCATTATTATTATTATTACTACTCTATGACTTTCAACCTGAAGAATTGTGTATGATGTGTTCTTAAATCATTGTAACAGATATTTTTCTGTGGAAGAATATCTTAATATAGCTAATACTTCAATTTTTTACCCATAGTTAGAAATATTGCAAAAAGTGTTATTAAGAAATCATTAAAATTTGCGTCTTATTCATAAGATTGCTGTTAATATTATGCCACATTCTGTGTTTGTGTGGAAAGTCCATATAACCCTTCCTTAATAAAAAGGACATTCACAAAGTAAGTGCTACTGATGAGCAAAATGGAGACTATCTGGAGGAAAATCAAGTAACTTTTCTACCTTTTTATAATATATCTGATATTTGCATATAGATTGAGATTTCCCTTACCCTACACTCCAAGTTTCTCTCTGCTGTTGTAGGAAAATTTTATGACAGTGGCTTTTTGGAAATTAATTATGTCATCAGTTACTTGTTCATTAATAAGTCATGGAGAGTTTGAGGAAGAAATGAAATGAACACAGGTTTTTATTGTTGTCTTTGGGGTTGTGAAGGTTTATATCCCATCTTGTCAAAAATTAGAACAAGTAGCTAGAGAATTTAGACAAAAAATTATCCAGGGGAAATTCACATTAATAGCCTTAAGTGTCTAATTAATTTAATGCTATTTCTTGCATTTACATAAACAGGTTTAATTTTATAGGAGTTTGCAATCTGTGATATAGGAGTTGCAATTTCTGTGAGCTCCTTGAAAACTCTTTCTATGTTCTCATCTATTCTCCTCTCCTTTCATAAATTTTGGTGTTAGAAAACTGTTAGTCATAAAAAGGCATTTATAGTTCAATATAATTTTCCTTCTTTTTCTTTTATTTTCTTTAAAATGCAGTTTTAAAAGTAATAAAATCCTTCCTTCTGTAAATCTTCAATCTTTTTTTCCTAAGGGAAGATTAATTTGTAAATATGCTAATGGATTTGTATAATATTAAACTTTCCCAAGAAAAATTACATTACTTCATATGAATGAACACATCTATCTTATTCAATTTATAAACTAATGGCTGAAAACCCCAAAACTGTTTCCTACTATGTGTCTTATAACTAAAATGACTGCAGGCACAGCCACAAACTTGGCATTTCACAGCAAATTTATTGGATGAATTTTTTTTTCAGCCCCTTTATTGAGTTTTCCTCATTTAGCTGTATTTGGATTGTAACTAATAAAATGCAATTCCCCTTACAAAAAGGTGAAAAAGTAAACATGCCGCTTAAAATAGAAGCGATTTCTAAACAGGAAGTAGACTAAAAAGAACAAATGCGTAGTTTAAAAGTGCTATCAGGAGTCGGGATGCTGTGATGGAGATGTTCCCACAGCTAACTTTCATTAAAACAGCAGAGTGACTGCCTGGGTTAGGCAGTGAGCTAAGGACCTGGTGGTTCAGTTAGGTAGCTCTTCAGATATTGTGCATGAGAAACTTAACCCCTCCTCATCTTGGTTGTTTCTTTATTACTTATTTTCACCAGCTAGATCCTTCCATTGCATAAATTATTTCCTGGAGTCAGGAATTAATACCTTGGTGCCCTGCTAGTATCCTGAGATGACCTTAAGATACTCCAAATTCTGAGGTGACGTTTGCATTACTTATGCATCTCCCTCTGAGGGACACAGTGAGAGCTGGCTGGACTCATAGGAGAAATATGCAGGAGGAGAAGGGGCTCTAAATTGAGAATTAACACGAATAGTTCCATAGCAGATCTAGAAAGGAACTTCTTGGAATTCTGAGAATTCTTCCCAATAATTAGATACTCTGTTTTCATAAAGGCTCTTTGCTAGTCACTTGAAATAATCTTCATTCGAGGGAAGATTGCAGTGAAGGGCAATTATGATGGTCATCTCACTTCTTGTATTTTACAGAAGAGCATATTAGGAGGCTCCCGTGCAATGGTGAAGAGAAACAGGGTCTGGTGAGCAGTCCCCACAAAGGTCAAGGAATAGTTGTAGAAAATAATTTATAATGATGTGACTCTTCAACTTATTTTTTTCTTTAAAACTGGGCCTTTGCTTTCTGTATTTTTGTTGACTTTTGTGACATGATTTAGGGAACGTGATTTAAGTTCTTCTTGCGTGGGTTTTGTTAAATGGGACCCACTGACTTCCTCCATGCATGCCAGTGGTGTGGATTGCATTTGCCAGGTTGTTCTGATTGCTTATAATAGAAATCCAACTTAAACTAGTTTAAGCTGGGTGGTGGGTGGAAAGGAAGAATGTATTGGCTTGGCTAATTGAAAGTCTCAGGAATATAGCTAGAATCAGACATCGTTGCATCCTGGGGCTCACATTATGCCACTAGGGGCTGGTTGGCTTCCATCTCCCAACTCAACTTCCCTTGGTTTGGTTTTATTTTTAGTCAATTACCTGTGGCCACCAACTTGTCCAGTCATACATTGAGTTTCTCTTTTGCACCGATCCTAGAAAATCCTAGGGCTGTCACTATCCATCTTCAACCATGTGCCCACCCTTGGAGCTAGCCTGTGAGGGTCAGTTTCTCTCTACTCACAAAGAGTCTGAGTGGGAGAATAATTCTTCAGAGCAAAGTAGAACAACTCATTCTAGATACAGGAGGAATGTGTGCTGTGCAGTCAAAAAGGACATGTCTCTACCACCATTATGAATGAATGAAGAGGCATGACATAATAAACAGCTAGGAAAAGGGACCCAAATGACAAGACCATAACAAAAGGGACATCTTGCTATCACATGAAGACTGCCTAGGTCATTCTTTGTTGGGCTCATGCCATTCAAAGTGATGTGGTTGATTGAAATGTTATCTAAGCGGGTCTAGATGTAGCTGGGAAATAAGGCATATCCTTGGCTTATGAGCAGCTTTATAATGTTCTGTGTTTTGTGTCTTCCAACTAGAATACAACTTTTCCAAAAACAGGCACTGTATTATACTCTACTGTACTTCTCTAAGAACATAGCACAGTGCTGGCCACAGAGCAAACATTAAGTACAGACTTCTGATGGATTCATTTCAGCTGTTTGTAATGCTTATCACACAAGGATTTCTCTCAAAAACCATCCTCACTGACAGCTACTTTTGCTTCCCATTTTTCCATATTACTTGAGGAGTCTGAATATGTCCTTTTAATGTGCCTCCAGGTTTCTGTGCTTTCTCTCACACCACCAACGCTCTGTCTGGCAGAAGCTGAGACCACGGCTGCTGTCTTTCTTCCCATACTGAAAGGCTGTGCTGCACAAAGTATTGCTTCATGCTGCTTTCCTGATCCACTTTGCATAACTGCCTCGAAGAAAGCACTTTTATGGATAATCCAAAGAGGGAAATATATTGAACATTACTTTACTTTAGCATATTTTATGGGTTAAATCCATTAAAAATACTATTACAGTGAAATTCTCTATAGAGCAAGCATTTCTCCAATTCTAACAGTGTTCAACTAGTTTTAAAGCATATTTCATACCTTGTAATTAGAAAACAACCAAATCATTAAGATAGTTTCCTAAGAACATAGATTGTAGAGGTCTGTCAGAGTTCTTGATTCAGTTTATGGAAGGGGCCTTAGAGATAATATAATCCTGGATAAGAAATAGATTCATCTTGTGTGCCAGATTTGATCAGTTGATGGTGGCTGCCTGGAGAGCTGTGTTAAGAAATAATATATGGCTAAGTCCAGACTCAGTGGAAAAAAGTGCCGGGGTTGATTTTTTTAAATGTCTACCACAGTTAAAGAAGGGAAGAGTAGCACCATATGTACCACCTATTTGCCGACTGGGCACAGTCTCTTATTTTACAAAATTAGAGAAATTAGTCCAAGATTACATTACTAGTTAGTAGCAGAGCCCAGTCTTTTTAGCTCAGTCTCTCAATATTCCCTCAAAGGCTCTTTTCAAATGTGTTAACTGAGAGAGGCCTGCAAAAGTAGTCAAATGGAGCTTGGTATATCATCTAACTCCTGTAACTATTAGCTAAATGTGACATTTAATTAAATTATATATTCCTTTATTAACCAAAGAATTAACAAATATTTATTGACCACATACTATGTACAAAGCAGACATGGTGCTTGGCACAGTTGATGAAGATGACATCTCAATTTGTTCTTCAGTGGTTGATCATTTTTTATACCAGAAAGGAGGAGCTAGATTGTGTCATGATTCATCTCTGGCTATGTTGTTTTGCTTTCATTCAGTACTAATTTGGTTCCCTCTTTGAATCTTGTAGTCTACCACCCATAGATAAAGGAGAAGTGTTTCACTAATATCCTGTGTATATTGTCTACTTTGCTAAAAAAGTACTACCCTTTGGACTCTATGATAAATCTTGTAAAAATGGAATTATATTCAAGGGAATTAGCAGCACATTGTGGACCTAGTTTTTAATAACAGGTGTCTAATGTGTGCATGTGACATGCAAAATACGCTGATGCAAATGGATGATTGCATGTGCAAAAATATGCAGATTAATGTGCAAACAGATGTTCAAATAATTTCCCATTATTGCATGCCATTACCCTTTTTGAATGCACAACTGCATATTTTGTATACAGATATGTTTGCATTGTTTATATTTCATGTGTGCAATTTATACACATCTTTTCAAGGACTAGTCTCCATCATGTCCCTAATTGGGAAGCCTTAACCTTCCAATGCATTTTCCATTCCCTGAGAGAGTTCTCCGCACAAAAAGGAAAATACTATGATTTACCATTAGAAAGCTCAATATTACCAGAAGATAAATGCTAATTTTTATCTGTCTCTCTTTGTTAGAAATGTGGTCCTTTCCTATCAATACAGCTTTTGATGTCAGTGTAATAAAATGTAAAATCTGTGCAGATTCTCAAACTGTCAAAACAACAGTATGCACTTAACGAAACTTATCTAGCTCTTGGTAAGTATTTAATTTTTTTTTTGTTTTGTTAGTTTTTCTTACATCTTCATTCCTGCAGTTATCAGTGCTCAGAGATAGCCCCATGAAATATATCTTTGATTTTGAGGTAAAAGAAATCTTGGCTTACGATGGACTCTTTTAGGGATTATTTTTCTGGACAATTTTAGATATGAGATCAAAAAATGGAAAATAAAATAAGGTTATAATCTCATTTTTATGCCAAGCATTTTAGATGATTGGCTGTAAATAGCTATATTTCATTACTAAGTTGGTTTAGTGCAATTCATATATATCATTTGAAAACTAAAATCACAGAGGCTTTATATCTTTCTCTGGTAGTTGTTCCTAACATGATATTTTCAAATACTCCAAAGTATATATTTCTAGAATATTTCACCATATCACCGTTTTCGTCAAGCTGAGTTTTGGCATTAATTGATTCAACATTTTCATGTATTACTTCATTAATAGGACACTTTATTCTGCTATCATTTTTTTTCAAATTATCCCCTCCTCAAAACGCTGAAACGCATACTGCCCCACCCCCACCAGAATGGAGAGGTATCCATATCTATGTTTAAACAGCACTTAAATAATAGTTCAGGCAAGTTGGGGGAGGTAGTGGTGGGGGAGTGGAAAGAAGAAAACACAGATGATTCTATAGAGAATTACTCCTCTGTTTTATAAAGAAAAATTATGGTGAATCATCTATTATTATGCAACTGGTAAGGTAACTATTAAAATACAGTCTCATATATTGCTACAATTTAAAAAAGTAAATGTGGTGGGGGAATTCAGTATGGTTGTTATTACTCTAAATATAGACATAGAGGTTGTGTTGGAAAGTAATATTTAAGATATAGCATCTCATTCGTGATCTCTGAAGAAAAAGTTGAACATGTTTTCCACGCTGAAACCCGAAGCAAAGCGGAGACAAGAGTTAAATGTTTGTTGGCTTTTGAGGTGCCCCTCCTCCGATGCCACTTATTATTATGAGTTCTGAGGCATTAAATCTAAAGGCCCATCAACTCACATCTTCCAGCCCTGACTGTCTGTGGACAGGACCCTGTCTGTCTGTTTCCTCTATTGCACTATTTTGTTTGTACTACTGTAATCATTTTGCTGGCCCAGATCTGTGTGGGTGTGCTGGCAGCTTTACAACAAAGTTACATGGGAACAGAGTTAAGGTTGAATATTTATTAGAAGAAGCCATCTGGCGTCAGGCTGTCTGTACAGGGGGGCTCGTTTCTTTAGTAGGCTCTCCTCTTTCTCTAGAGCTCTTCCTCCCTTTCTCTGTCCCGTGCTCTCTCCCCCTGCTCCTCATTTCACAGTTCTGAAGAAGTTGAATGTGCCTCTCTAACCCATTAATTTTGTCCTTTGCATTTATGCTCTTACAAAAAAATCGCCAGATCGTTCTGTTTCTTTTAAATTTGTTCTTGTTTCTTGGAGGCAGCTTGTTGCTTGTTTCCATGCTGACAGTGCCCACTGAGGGACACCAATAGAAGGCAGCAGGTCCCCAACAGCAGAATAGTGGCTTCACAGGTGGGCTTACAAGTTGCCCTAAACATCCATTTTCTGTTTCTGGTTTTCTTTTCCTTTTTTCTTTTTCTTTCTTTTCTTTTTTTTTTTTCCTTTTTTTCCTCAAGTGGGCAAACTGTATAAAAGCATCTCTCTCTGGAGCCAGGTTAATGTCCACACAGGCAATAAGATGCATTCCTAGAGGATAAGTCATTTCCTCAGCCTTTGCCATCTTGCTGCACCTCAGCATCTTAATTGATTACCAACTTGTCTTTGAGGTGTTTAGTTCCTTCATTTACCATTTTTGTATGAGTCAGTTGTTTGTTTTCCTTTTCTGTGAATGTTCCTTTCTTTCCTTTTTTTTTTTGTTGTAGCTACAACTCCCTCTGCCTCTGTGTGTTCTTCACCACTCCCCCAACAGCATCTGCTGAGAGCCTTCCTCAGCTCATGTAGCTTGTCCCATAGCTGTAAGTGTGCTTCACAAGATGCCATTATCACCAACTTGATTGAGTGATGCCTATTTTAAAATACACAGGGTATGTAACTCATGCAGCCAGACAGAGGGAGGCTCATGAGCCCAGCATCACCACTACACTTGAAAATCCATTCAGATGTGGCAATAAGTATTTTGTGAATGCAAAGGGGGCCTGTCATTCCTGTTTTGCTTCTTGTGGGATGACAGCCAAATTCTAGGTTAGCTTCAGTTACGTCCCCGTAAGTGAACTTCTCCCCCCTTACTCTGCATTGTGGGAAACCGCCCAGAGAGAGATTCCATGGGGAGACTGCACTATGGAAAAGACGATTTCTGTAAGATCTGGTAAATCTGTAGTAATGCATTTATTCTGGTATTGGAAGAGTGGCGATTTGTTTACTCAGTTCTTTATCTTTTCCAGAGTATAGGAGTTATCACAGCAATCAGAGGGGAGAAATTAAAAGATTAGTGCAGCACTGAAAACCTCCAGTGCGGATGGGCTATTAGGAATCTAAAGAGTTCAACAAGCCTAAATCTAAGTCAGCTTCGTAACTGCTGTCTCTGCTTCATTGTAGGGCTGGATTTTTTTTTTCTTTTCCTGAGCACAGTTTTTCATCATTTTCTCAGGTGGGCTATGGACTAGCCAGTCACTTGAGTAGAGAGCCCTTATTTCAGGCAGCTTCAAATGCCTCATCATTTCTCAATGAGTTCCAGCTCCAGGAGATTTCAGTGCTGGAAGAATTGCAATAAGCTATGAAACTTTATCCCTTCTCAAGACTCTTCCGAGTCACTGGGGAACTCTGGCTTCCACGGGTAATGGTAATCGCTCCACTCACTTAGAGAAGGAAGGTACCACCTCGGGGGTCACATGACAATACCAAAGAGGTTAAATCAACTTCCAGCTGAGGTTTTACAGATACTTTTGGGATCTTGGAATGATATTACCATATTATTGTGCTTTTACTCTTGTTTCTTTTGGCTCAGGACTGAGGGAATAGTCTTGTGTAATAGATTTACCCAGGGAAGGCTTCACCTGATGCAGGCAAGACTGGCCTCTGGCGTCACCCCGTTTTGGTTTAACAAATAAGAAGGGTCTCAAAGAGAAATGTTGTTGGTACTCTGAGACTTGTATTTATCTTTAATTTCTGGAAGACTTAGGATAAGAATGCAACACAGTATCTCTGGGGAGATGAGTATGGGATGAGAGTAATAGCTATTAAAATAAGAGAGGCGTTCAGGGAAATGACTGGTCATTTGATGCTTTTTTTTTTTCCCTTCAAAAATCTGCCTAAAAGAGTTACCTGATTCATATACCACTGAGATATCTAATTGTGCCTATTTTTAAGAACTTATGCATCTACCTATGTTTTCCTGCAAAGACTTAATTGGATAAAGAAATAGCTTTAACCCTAATGGTCACACTAATCATCAAGATTGAATTATGGGTTAATCACTGACAACCATAAGGAAAAAATAACTTTTTAAAAATTCTATATACCTCCTTCTAAAGAAAACAAGGCAAGGGTATAATACCTGGTGAAATTTTTTTCTATATAGCAGATTTTCTAGACTTTCTTAAAGAATGGATTATCTATTATTAAGGATGAATAAGATTCCTGTTCTGAAGGATTTAACAATCTTACACAGGAGACCAGCAAACCAATTACTAGCAGAAATACATAAATACAATAATGACCAAAAAGTATTAGTTTTCTGCCTGTAAATTTATCGATGCATTTTTCAGTATCTGGATATTGGAAATATGCCACATACTATCCTGTGTATTCTAAGCTAATTTAATACAGCCTTTCTCCTCCAGGACCTTACAGTATAGCTTGGGAGAAGGGCATTTTCATTCCTTTTAACCAATAGAATAGAGTAATTGCCATAAAGGTGAGGAAAATAAGAAGCTAGAGGGCATGGCCAGGGAGGGCTCCACTGTTAGGTGATAATTACTCCGGGTGTTTTAGGGAGGCTTTTTTTTTTAAATCAGTTTCCAAAAGGGCAGCCCATATATAGAACATGATCCATCTTAGAGCGTAAGACACCTTACAGTAGTAGAAAAAAAAAGAAGGCCAGGACTGGATTGCAGAGGATCTCGAATGCTAAGGTAAAGAGCATTTACTTAATTTGAGGGATATTGGGCATATTTGAGTAGATAGTGATGAAATCATAGTCGTGTTGCACCACTAGTGGCCAGGATTTGGGCATCAGGACAGTGTGAAAGAAGTTAAACCAGAGTTTTATGTCTTTAGAAGCAGATTAAGGTAGGGGTAGTTATATAACAGTTGGAAAGAATGAGAAAGGAAATGAAAGCCCATATATAAAAAAAAGATTGACCAACCTCAGACAGCTTACTGGATGAGGAGGGAAAATACAAAGATGCAGTCTAGAATTCTGAGTCTGGCAAGCATTAAAGCTTTGGGAAAATTAAATAGATATCAGGAAGTCACATGAGGAAAGAAATTGCAAGGGTAAGTTGAATATTTTGATTTTAGAAGTATTGAGCTTGAGATGTCTGGCCATTATTCAGGTGGCCAGACATCCCAAGCAAACTCAACCCACACAGCTGAAGAAAAGGAGGGGATATAGTTCAAGAGAGAATCAGCATGAAAACCAGAGATTTATGAGTTAAATGCATCCAGGTAATAGTTAAAGATGTGAAAGTATGTGAAAGTTTCAAGGAAAAGAATATAGGACATCAGAAGAGAGGGTGGCTCAGGATAGTATATGCAGAAAAACATTGATTTAAAGAATGAGAGGAAAAAAAACAACAACAAACGAAGTAAGTATTGATTAAAAAATGATGAAAAGATGACCAAAGTCAAACAACACAGACAAAGCAAGAGTATAGCAAGGATGAAGAAAATAAAAAATAAATGAATTTATCACTTATCCGAGATAGAGCAGGCTCAGTCATTGGTGAAAAGTATTCAAGTAAAAAGCCATTCTGAAAAAGATGCATGGATGGTGACAAAGTGAGAAAGGAAAGGTTGACTGTTTGTTCAAGAAATCTGGCAGCAACAACAGGTAGGAAATATATGCCCAGCTCAAGGGAACAGGAGAAAGTAATTTTTAAATTAGAGAAGCCTAAGCCAATTTGTTAGTAGAAGAAAGATTAAAAATCCAAGAGAGAAGATATAATGATAGAGCAATGTCCAAAAGCTGCCTTTGAGGCCTTTGCGTATTTTCAGGGGAATAATGTCTTTCCTTATTATTTCATAGGATTTAAAAATAGTATTTCTTTTGATGATAAAAGTAACACATTTCTCAGTGAAAGCAATACAGAAAAGAAAATAAGAACAACTTTTAATTTTCCATCCAGTGATAACCCATCTTAATCTTTGAGGGATGTATGTTTGTGTGTGTGTGTGTTTGTGTGTGTGTGTATCACAAAATTATGATTATACTATATGCAGTATGCAATCCCATTATTTTCAGGTTCTTAAAATTTATTGAAACATTTGATTTTCATGAAGAATGTATATACAATGAATCTATGTAGAGGTAAACATTTATTTAGTCATTCTTAATTTGGGGCTTTTAGGTGAGTCTGAACTTTGTGGTATTAAAATTATGATAAATATCTTTTTACATGTATATTTTTGCTCACCATTGCTTATTTCTTTAGGATAATAATTGGTAGAAGTAATTTCAGGAATAAAAAAGATAAACATTTAGAAAACGTTTGATATAAAATTTTCAGTTAAAAAACTTCTTACAAAAAGTAAATGCTCATAAAATATTTGCCAAATGGATAGATAAGTGAACAAATAAGAACACGTACTAACTTACCCTCTAAACAGCAGCGTATTCATTTAAACCCCAACAAACATGGAATATTATATTACACTATTTCTTTCTAATTTTGACAGAGTATCTTACAGTTCTTTTTCTTTTGTAATTAATAAATCTGCACATTGTTTTTCACATTCTTATTACCACTTTGTACTCCTATTGTAACTTGATTATGTAATTAGGCTTTTAGGCTTTACTTAGTGATTTGCGTGAGGGATTTACATGCTAGGACTATAATAAATCTGTAAAATATTTTCATGGCCTATTGCTTGCATTTTAATCGTGTTATTTGATGTGAGAATTTCCTTTTAATATTTTGCAGTCAAGTTTTTATAGGATAGACATGTAATTTAGTTTTAAAAGTTCTAAATAGTGAATTAATTATTAACTAATATTTCCCACTAATAGATTAGGTCACTTTTCTTACATTTGATACTTTTATGTATGAATTATGATTTGTTCCTGAGGTATTTATTGTATTCCATTTTCTGTCTGCTGATTTGAGGAAAGTTCCATGCTATTTTAATTATTGTGCTTCTATGATGCCTTTTAATATGTGATAGGAAAAGTTTCCCATCACATGCTTGTACTTTTCAGACTTCCACATCTATTCTCACCTATATATTCTTTCAGATACATTGTGTCATTGTTTTTAAGTTCAAAACAAATCCCATTGGGGATTTGTTCTGAATTCAGTATATTCTGGATATTACAATATTCAGGAAAAGGGCCTACATTTTAATTTATTCTAAACTTTATATCCTTTGGCAAACCTTAATTTCTTTCTTTATATACATTCAATATTTTCCTTGTCAAATTTTTCCTTTGTGTTTTACATTTTTTTGGTGATTATGAATGAAATCTCTTTATCTCTAAATCGTCATTACATAACATAGAAACACTGGATTTTTGTAAATATAATTGTACTTAGGCTATCAGTTTCTATTAATTATAATTTAAAATTTATTATAAAACTGGACTTTCCAGTTATACAATAATAAAATCTGCATGAAGGGATAAATATTACTGTTCAATTAAAATAGTTATACCACTTATTTTTATTCCATATTATGTTGCATTAATTGAACCTTCAGGAAGTTAAATATATATATATATATATGTATGTATATGTATGTATATATACTTCATAACAACACTTTTCAGCTATATACCTTTAGAATCTGCCATTTTGCTAGCCGTAAAGCTTATTATATACTTAAGCACAGTGTTAGATGCTTAATCTGCCATTTCTTATTTCATCTTCAAACTAGTACATGAAGAAGGTATTCCTCATTTTACAGCTGAGCAAACTGAATGGCAGAAAGATTAAGAAACTTGACTGTGCTTGGGTAGCTAGAAAATGACAGATCAGGTATTATAACCTACCTCTCACTTTAAACTACATGTAATACATGTATACTCAGTAGGTATTTGTTGACTGACCAAGCAAGCAAATGACTGAATGAATGGACGACTGAATGAACAAAAGATGTGGGATCAAATAGGACAAAGCACAAGAGATAGAAGTAAATTTTAGAAATCTCTTATACTTTTTCCCCTAAAAATGAAGGGATGGAAGCAAGCGAGAAAGTTTGTCCTAGCAGTAGTTTTGAGATGGAGGAAATGGAATTTAAGGACAAATATCACATGACTTTATTCTTCTCAGTGAACAAAGAAATGAAGTTGGAGTAAGGAGAATGAAGTGATTTGATGAGGGGTTGAAGACTAAAGACAGGAGAGATTGTTTGGAAAGCTACCATGGGAATGTTATTAGCAGTAAAGAAGAGATTAATAGAAGGATATCTGAATAGATGTGAGGATCCAGCAGGTGAAGTTTCAGAGTCTTATTCAGTCTGGGGATCAGTTGGTGGTGCTTTGTCAATGAGCCAAAAATCACATGTTGACTAAGGAGCTAGGCAAAGGTTCAAAGATATTAAGAGGAGAAAATAACATGAAATATGGAGTGCCTATATTATACATCCCTGAATCTGGGAACATATGCTTTGCTCCATTTTAAGCCCTATTTATCTTTTTCTTTTCTTTTTTCTTTTTAAGAAAGGAATAGAAAAATTTGCCTAATGGACCATAAATAGTATAAAACAAACTATACCCTTAGTTATTTAATATATATGACAAATAACTAGATATATATATTTATACATATGATATATAAAAAACATATCTTCCCTTGTTTACCCTTTTCAGGGAAAAGTAATATATAACTTTTCCCCATAGTCAATATGATATCTCAATCATTGGCTAGTTACCTTTCAACAGGATTATTACTTATCTTGTCTGTCAGTCATTACTTAATATGTCTGCTAGTTATTTAAGTTAGATTATAATCCAGTAACATGGAAAACATTTTAAAATTAAGTAGTGGTATAAAATTTTATTAGTATCAATTTACATTTTAATAGCAGTGATAGTCTATAATGCCTATATTATTTTAATCATTAGTATAAATGTATATCTAGTCTTTTATTCAATCTTTTTATTCTCTCTCCCTTGATTTCAGTTTTTGTCTTAAAGCAGGCTATTATGTTCTGCAAACAACAGAAAGGGTAATAGCAAAACCTCAAATTAAGAAAAGTTAAAGCAGATGACTAGGTTTTATGAAGCAGCCCCACATAGGCTATTGTTAGGACAGAAGCCACATGCCCAATGACACAATATGGCAGGATAAAGAATCATTGGTTGGGCGATATGGACACTGAGAATGTTCTGATATTTCTGAGCGAATAGCATAGTGTCTGTTTAGAAAATTCTGGGAATGTGTCAATTAAGTGAATTAGCCACTTACTCAATTTTCTCCCCTGATGTATGCCTAGGAAAGATGATTCTGAAGCTGTCAGCGTGATGACTATCCAATGGTCAATTGGGAAGACTACCATGAAACTGCAGTTGCAAAATTTAATACGAATTGACTCTTTCTTGTTTCAGGAGGTTAAAATGTGTCAATCAAAGAGTGTGATGAGTGGTTCCTGTGTGTATGTTGTGCTATTATTTTTGGTCCTCAGTTCACAACAGAGATTATAATTTGCTTCTTGGTTTCATTAGAATTTTGCACATATACTAACTTCTAATGCATGTACATGTTATACAAACCATCTATATTTTGAGGTATTTCATGTTAACTAGCATTGTTCTTTACCAGTTGTTTTATAAAATATTCACCAGTATTGCCAAAAATGGCATGTTGAAGATATGATGCATGCATTAGAAGGATTTAAGTTGATTCCTCAACTACTCAGAAAAATATTCCAGCTGTTTAAATCAGACAGAATCAAACCTAATTTACAAATTAGTGCATCATTTAAACCAAACCATTTTTGGTGTTTTTTACTCAAACAAAATATTTTTGTTTTTCTTGACTTTTTCTTCTAAGCACTAATTTCTTCAGGCTGTTGTTAGTTCACCCAGAAGGCAAACAACTTGCTTTAGCAGGAATTTCAGTAAACAATGAGCAGATACTTTAATGTCTAATGATAAAAATGCTCAAGTATTTTATAATGATATTATATGTGATTAAGATCATTGGAATAAAGTAAATAATACTTATATTATGATGCATTTAAAATTATTAAATGGGCTTAAGCATTAAGAATTGAGAACTAATTTGATACTTATATCAGTTATTCTGTAGAAATTGCATCTATATTCATTTTTCACAAAATATGGCTGTATTTTAATAAAATATGGATGCCTTGCTGTTTTAGGTTTATGTTCGGAAATTATGAATATTTCCTATTTCTTTTGAGGCTGTTACTAGCACTTAGAAACATAATAAATTATCAATTATTTGGAAGTAATAATTTAAGAAAAAAGTCTTATAAAGCTATAATTAGCTAAGATAAAAATATGTTACTTTTGTTTTTGAATAATATAAAATGGACTTAAATTTGATAATAAAAGCTTGATTCTGTAACATTTGTATATTGAGAGTATATTTGGTTCAAACTGATAATGATGATCTTCCATATCTTTGAAAATACATTGTTACATTTTCATAATATAGCAATTTTGTTACTCTTCAATAAGAGAAAAAATATCTCCTTCAATAATTTTTCAAGATAATATAGGTTTTTGTCCGTTTGGATCATATAAAGCAAAAAAAAAAAAAAAAGAAAAGAAAAAAAGAATGGGGGTGGAGGATTTCTTTGACTTTGAATTTGAAAATAAATAGGGCAATACTTGATTAAAGACAAAATTTTGGTGATTCAGAATGTCCCAGGAATGATACCATGATGTTTGTGGGCTTTATCATTTGCATACGATGTGTGCTCTGGTTGGGCTTCATGGCCTGTTTTTACTTTTAGCTTTTGCATTCCACAGGACTAAAACGTCAGCAGGGACAGTGCTAATTAATTTATAATGTTGTTTTGTGTTTCTGAACAAGGTACCTCAGTAATTAAGTGAAATATTTATGGTGAATATAAAACAAAGCAAATTTATTTGTTTGCCTGAAAGCTAACTTGTTATTTATTTAGATTGATCTTTTGAAGGATTCTTTAAATTGAATCATAGAATGAGGATGCATGATATTTAAAACAGAGATGGAGATAATGCTATGGATTAATGCATTAGAATATATTATGTTACACTGTAAGTCAGACAAAGGGTAATCACAAAAACTTTGACCAAATTGATAAGTTCTTAGTTTCGCTTGAGGAAGAGAATAAACTATAGTGAGAGTGGATCAATAATAAATTGCAAAAGGAAAATGTATAACTTACATATACTCTATAGTGCTCAGCACAGTCCCGTGGTTTAAAATTGTGTGTGTGACATTATAGAAGTATAGAAAAGTCATAGCTCTGTGTGCTGTTTTGTAATAAACTGTGTGACCATTTTTCTTTATACAATATATACTTAATCTGGACTTATCTCAGTCTATATTAAATGACAAGGCTGCTCTACTTTTAATGACAGCAACTAAACTATACTTATTCTCCCAGAGGGAGAATTTCATTATTCAATAAAATATCTTCATAATCACAGGTAGAGGATTGAAACACTTACTTTCCTTGGAAACAAGGCCACATTTTTCTCATCTTTCAAGAAACAACTTTAAATGAACATTTGCAAACTTAAAAAATTTAGTTAATACCACTCTTTTTTTTTATGATAATGATCATCAAAGTTGCAATGGAAATATTGCAAAACCAAAAGAAAACAATAAAAACTTTTATGTCAAACTGGAGGAAGAAAAAGTTGTTCCAGCCAATGGGTTGCCGGTTTTCAAAGAAAAAAAAAATCCTCTGGAGCTGCTAGGTAGGAAATGCACTAGTCATACTGACTACATTATTCTTCGTTATGGGATTATTATACAGTTTCTCACATTATGATACCTGGTATTGGAGATTGTATGTTGACAATGAATAGCATGGTATTAGAGATTATATGCTCGCAAATAATAATTACAGCTAACATTTATTATGTGTCAGGCATAAATCCTCATCATAATCCTATAGGAGTAACTACTTTAACTTTGCCAATGGGAAAATTGAGGCAAAGAAAAGTTAAGTACAAAGTCCAATCTCAAATCCCTTCCAAATGAAGAAGCCAGATATATTAGTCTATTCTCATGATTCCAATAAAGACATACCAGAGAGTCGGTAATTTATAAAGAAAAGAGGTTTAATGGACTCACAGTTCCACATGGCTGGGGAGGCCTCACAATCATGGTGGAAAACAAAGAAGGAACAAAGTCATGTCTCACATAGAGGCAAGCAAAGAGAGCACGTGCAGGGGAACTCTATTTTATAATACCATCAGATCTCGTGACACTTATTCACCATCATGAGAACAGCATGGGAAAGACCTGCCCCCATGATTCAATTACCCCCTACTGGTTCCCTCCCATGACATGTAGGAATTATGGGAGCTACAATTCAAGATGAGATTTGGGTGGGGACATAGCCAAACCATACCTCCAGATTAGAATCCAAGTAATATGCCCCATAGCTTTATTATCTGTCACAAGACATCATTTGAAAAAATAAATCTGTTTCAGGACTATATCAAAACAAAGTAATGGGACAATTGCTAGCCTAGGCCTACCTGGTAACCTCTAGCCACACAAGGCTATTTAAGCTTAAATTTGTGTTAATTAAAAAGAAATAAAATTAAACAGTTGTTTTCTTAATCACACTAGCCAAAGTTCAAGTTCTTAATAGCCACATATGAGCAATGACTACTTTTTTGGATAATACAGATATAGAACATTTCTAACAATGCAGAAATTTCTACTGGACAGCACTAGCTGAGGCTAAGGACTTTGAAATTTACTTAAAAAGTATGTTTTCTTTGGTGAGATGTAAAAGAGTTCATGCAACTTTCTAAGACTGATTGTTGAACAATTTATCACATCTTTTGAGACTTTTAGCTTGTTAAATATTAAAACAACCCATTATTAATCCATTCCTATTAAAATTATTTGTTATTATGAGAAATCTGATCCTGTTTGACCATGAAGAATATCAAGATAGTATTAGTCTCCCATTTAGTCAGTGGTTGAATTGACAATTTTCTATTGTGTAACTCCATTGTATAAGTACATTTTCTGCTGTATATAGCCCATTTTCAATATGCCTCCCAATACCCCACTCCTGGTATTGATACCTTTGTACATACCACTCTCCCATTGTACCAGTATTGGTCTGACCAATAGAATACCACAGAAGTGATGGAAGTGACTTTTGAAATTAAGTTAAAAACACATTGGAGTTTCTATCTTGTTCTCTCTCAGAGAATCTGTTTTCTCTCTTGGGCCACTCACTCTGGGAGAAATAATTTTCTAAGTTACGGGATGCTATACAGTGAGGCCCACAGAGAAACTAACTGAGGTCTCCAGTGAAAAGCCAACAAGAAACTCAAGGTTCCACAAGCATCCAGGTAGATAAACTTGGCAGCAGATCCTTTAGGCCTCCTCACACCTTCCAAAGACTGTAGTCCTGCCCACAGTTTTCATGAGTGATGGAATCAGAAATACTAGTTAAGTTGCTCCCATAATTCGTATCCTCAGAAATTTTATGAGATAAGACATTTTTGTGGTTTAAAGTCTGAGTTTTGGGGTAATTTGCTATATAGAAATAGATAACCAATAAAATTCCTGATCAGAAGTTATAATGTAATAAATTATAATTTTTCAGATACATTATTGGTAACTTGCAGAGGGTATGATAATGGGGAAAAACAACCCCTGTCATCAAGGTACTTACCAATGATTATAGTACAAGTATAATAAGGTAAGTAACGTAAGTGAAGGGAAAGATTTTTGAGTATTTCCAGTATGTATGTGGGATAGGGGATTACCTCTAGAGGAGTGGAGAAAGAAAGCCATCCTTAGGTGGGTAGTCACTAAGTCTTGAAGGAAGAGTAGGATATTTCCAGGTGGTGTAAGAATATAAGATGCAAGCATTCCACTCGTTGGGGACAGTGTTTAAAAAGGTCTGAGCTGAGAAATTGCAGGTGTGTTTGGTAACAGCACATGGTTCAAATGGATGAATAAAAGTGAAATTGATCCAAAGAAGGTGGCTGAGACCATTTTGGAGAACACTTAGAATATTTGGTGAGGAGTTAATTTTAACCAGAGTCCACTGGGGATTTCAAACTCATCTAGTAGGAAGCTGGGCTTCTAGCCTCAGCAATAGGCAGGTTCTTTTCCTGCCTTGTTTTCTTTATGGGCATCTCGTGACTAGGACTTCTTCACACACACACACACACACACACACACACACAATTGACAGTTCAAGTCCTGGGAGTCATCAAAGTTTAAACTTTGACTGGCCCCTGTGCGAATAATGGATTCAAGGAAGAGAGATAAGTATCCAAGTGATCTATCAGAAGATTATGCTAGACATCCAGAGAGAGAAAGCCTGAACTAATGCCAGTATTAACAATATGACAGAGAGAGACAGAGAGAGAAAATGGGAGAGGGAGAGGGAGGGTGAGGGGAGAGGGAGGGGAAAGAGGAGGGGGAGAGGAAGGGAGAGAGGGAGAGAGAGGGGAGGGGGAGGGGGAGAGAGAAAAGGAGAAGGAGAGGATCCAATATTAAGGACCTTGCAGAGGAAAAGTGTGACTTAGCATCATCATTAAATTGAATGATGTTCAGGGGGAAAACACAGCCTTCTAAAGCAGAGATATGGTTCTATCAATTTTTTACTTAAACGGTTGTCATCTATCACCGTAAACATGGTCAAAATTCCTTTGCATTTCCTGCAAGAGCCTTCACCCCATCCCTGTCTTTTTGGCCTTGACTTCATTCTCTCTGTTCTGAATATAGCGGGATATTTTACAATTTCTGGGACTTGCCAAGCTTTCTCATACTCTGCTTTTAGTTCTTCCACTTAGATTTTTCTTTTCTGCCTGGCAGACTCTTCCTCTGCTTGAAGACCCGCCTAAAATGTGACCCTCTATTCATAGTCATATTTATTGCATCTTTATTTGTCGCACACTGTATTCATATTTTCTCTGTCAAATTTTGTGTTGCTTTGCAATTGTTATTTTATTAAGGTTTATTGTCTCTTTCCCTTGCCCGACTGTGAAGAGCTGAGAGATCTTAGTGCTTAGCACAAAGTAAGCACTCAAATATTGTTCAATTGCACTGAAACAGGAATAAAAAATACCTGAGAATTGAAACCTGCAGATTGAAAAACAAAGTTGACAATGAATCCTGTTGCTGATGTTCCCTGATGCTTCCTCTTTTATTGCCCTTCCATGAAATACCTCTGTCTGTCTGAGGGCTCCATCCTTAATCTCCCTCTGTGTTTTATTGTTAAGTGCCACATGAGATAAGCCAGGGACCGCAGGCTTGTCTGAGTTCAAAGCCAGGGTTTGTAACCACCGGACTCCACCACTGTATCTCTAGCTTGCCACCACTTGACTTGAACTTGGTTGGAACTGACCTATTCTAAGTCTGCTCACCAACCTATCAGCTATGTACATTAAGGGGTGAATGCTGGTGATTAAAATGAGGTTACATTGTGGTTCTGTAGCCACTGCTCATTTGTCTTCTACTTTCTCCCCTGAGATCTTGAATTATAAAAGTCATTTTGTTTAACTTGACAGTAGCCCTTAGTCATAAAAATGACATTGTGCGTCTAAAGCACTGTCCCATTTAGGTGAGACCTGGGTTGGGTTTGTAATACTGAGAACAGGAAAAAAAATCCATAGGATAAATCATTTTAAGATTATAGTTTATTTAGGAAATATTTTTACAGAGAAGGATTTCTGGAAACGTTTTACAGATTTAGTTAGGAAGGAACAATTAAGAAGATTTTTTGGGCGGTAGGTATAGGTTAATGAACTAAAATGCCTAATCTACTTAGAACTCTGAATTTGGTGTTGGGTAGAAGTCTTTGCTTTTGCTATATATTTTTTTCTTTTCTTATTGTTGTTCTCATGTCAGATATAGCTAAAAAGAAATGAGAACCTCTTGATGCAAAGTTGAGAGTAGCTTCACAATTCACCAGCTTCTTTGAGCGGGAACTAGGTACCAAGCTCTAGTCCAAGTGCTATTGAGAGGGACCTCCAAATAGGAGTAAAATAAGATTCCTGCTTTGGCTAAACTTACAGCCTGTTGAGGGAGCCGTTCTTTCCCTGAATCTTAAAACAACAAATAATTGTGAGGGCATGCATATAGCTTAAATGAAACCAATATTTATTCTTTAACTTTAGTCTTTACCATATGCTAAAATTTTAAAGAGGAGGTCACACTGTGGGGATGTGGCTAAAAGAACTAGAAACAGGACTTAATACTTGCAAGGACTCTCACCAGAGAAGAGAATGCTAATTGAGAATGACACAGGGTATTCTGTTCTCTTTTTGTTTGTTCATTTTATTTTTAACCGAGATTCTCTTGCCAGCACCCCACATGTTTAGACGTAGGGAGCAGGTAAAAAGATGACTGTGAATTTGGGGATGGCAGTTTTACATGTGCAATGCTCCAAAAAAGCTTTTATTCCCTTGCTTTATGCTTACAGATATGGATGTCCATCAGTTTTCAATTAGTCAATATGCAAACCTCTGCCAAGTGGACCAAAGTTCACAGTGTGCTCTGATGTAGTGTTACTAGGCAGGCCAGATTCCGCCCATCATGGGCAAAGGTGCCCCACATCTCAGGAGCAAGAGCAGCAAAATAGCACTGTGTATTCTGGGAAAGGTTGCAGCCTGCTTTGCATTCAGAAATTGAAGCTTTGCACTTGGGGGAAAAGATTCAAAGGAAACAAAACAGAATGAAATGGAAGCAAAATGTTGGCAAAACTCAAATTGCATTGGATTTATACTTATTGGATTTTTGAAGTAAGCTGACAAGAAAAATTACCTTCATTGCAAATCACTGAAGGGCTTTTCTATAGAATAAACACACTCACAGAGAAGAGCTAATTCAAAGGAAGCTTCAATATGTTAATATAATAATTAAGCAGTAAGGCACAACAGGCGGCCCATTTCCAAGGAGCGCAGCCTGCCTCAGGTGGAGTATAAGGTACCAGGCTGAAGGCTAAATGACTTTAACCACCTGAGATTGCCTATAATCATTTTAAAATATGATATGAGGTGTTGGAAGGTATTTACCCATGCAAATAAGGGGAAAGAACCAAATTCTCTGTATATTGTGGGTAGTCTTTAGGAGTTGAATTATTGGAATCAGCCTGAAAACTTGGAAACTTAAGTGCCTTTAATTGGAGTCTACATTTTCCCATGTTCTTGGTGGTCTTTTTTCTTTTCTGTGTATCTCATTCTCTCATCCTTTTATTTGAAACTTCCTCAGGCCAAAATTATATTTTGTTTGAAAAACTTGTGCAATGCCATTTGGTTTATTAGTTGTGTGTGTGCATTTAAAGTGTTTTTTTTTTTTTTTTTCCTTAAGTAGCTAATCAGCCTAGTACTTGGGTAGCTTCATTTATCATGAAGTAGATTAGAACCATCTTTCACAAACTTTACTAGGCACAGAATCGTCTGGGATCTTGTTAAGATGCAGACTGATTCAGTAAGTCTGGGGTGGAGCCTGAGATCTTGCATTTCTAAAAAGCTCCCAGGAGATTACAACGTAAACAGCAAAGTCTATTGTGTCTTTTAAATATCAGGGAGCCCTGTAATGATAGGAATAGGGCTGTTAGATAGGAACAGAAGGGAGGTGAAAAGACCAATGTTTTCAAGCAGTTGACTTTATTTTCTGCTTTTTGATGATTGATCTTATAAGGAAGAAATGACAGAACATGAACCATGACCTTGCTGGGGATTTATAGATAAACATATTTGTCTTATTTTGGGTCTAGTTGATATAGTTGAAGACAAGAGAATTCCATTTTGATACACATGTCATCAGAGTGTCATAAGCCAGTGGTGTATTATTGCTTTGGAGCTTTGTTGGCAGTTCAAGTTTTGTTCAGGTAAGTGTTGATTAGAAATAGATCAAGAGAAAGTGAAACCTCTGGTTTTAACTAAATGGGCAGAATGGATTTTGTGCATGGCTGGTGTCTGTAGACACCTGATGCTCTCCTCCTGCATTGTGGTGCTCTGTTATAGCTGTGGATTTCTTTGGACTCTAAAGGTAATGTGAACGTGAGTTCTAGAAATCCATAGTAAATGAAACTGGTAAGAAAAACAAGACAAATACTACTTTCCTGAATTCCTCGTAAATGGAAACAAATGATGTTTCCCTTTGTCAGTTTATTTTGTCTTGTTTTTGTTTTTCCAAATAAGAAATGTCCGGGAGGGGAAGTGCTAAGTATCCTGAGCCCTCAATGGGAAGCACACTGCATCTCCAGCTTCTTACTGCAGCAATGTGGAATCCTGAATATTTAGCACTAATAATGGGCTTGTCAACGTAAAGTCCTAAGGAGGAATGATTCTTTCCTGAGATGCTTTTAAAAATTTAATTGGCTTCTATTTTCAAGTTGACTCCAACTCAATTGTGTTTCCTTAAAGCAGCAACAAGTATCTGAGAAACTAAAGTGTGGTCTCCCATAAATTTGCTAACTGACTCAGAAATATTTCTAGGTGCTGGTACCTGCTCTTCATCCTCTTTGCATCTGCTTGGTTAAGTTCCTTGTTATTTTTCCTCCTGTGGGCTATTGTCCTCGCAAGTGGTGGAGAATTCCATGGAATGTTGTTCCCACAGTAGTCCATGAAAATGGCACTCTCATGGAATTGTGCAGTGCACAGCCTCTGTAGCCCTACACAAGGGCACTCTCTCTAATGGTGGCCTTTGCCCCTTTAGGAGTGACCCTTGAACACTTTCCCCAAAGTTGTTATTATAAAAATTACATAAATTAATGCTTAATTAGCTCTCTATTCCCTTCAGGCCAAAACCTTCACATCACAGGCCATCCTAGTCCTAATTACACCTGCAGTTTCATCTTCTGTCACCCTACCCAAGTCTAAGGCACTGGTTGTCTAACCTGGCCCACACCTCTTCCTTTGCAAGTCGTTTCTCCTGCCTGGAACTTTAATCAGATGTCTCTTCCTCTAGGATCTTTCTCTAATGTTGTTGAACAAATTTAGTTGCCCATTTTGTTAGTTCTTCCATACTCTCACCTATTTATACCTATATGTCTGATTACATTGTGTTGAAGTTATATTTGTGGCTATTATCCCTACAAAACAGTTCTATCTTTAATTTCTTATTTGTATAGCCCCAGAAGACAATTTGGCTTTGATATCTGACTTCTGAAGGTTGACTTCACTAATCCTGCCAGTTAGGGTGGTGTCCCCTTCCTTACTTGACACTTCTGCATGTGACATTCTCTTATCCTGCATGATGGGGTGCTGATGGCAGCTTTCTCAGAGAGAGGACAAAAAACAGGATACAGGACTGCCGTGACCCATTAACACAGCCTCCCCCTAAATCTTTCAAATCCTCAAGTGTCATGTGACTTGGTACATTCCACATAATCACTATTATTGATTATTTTTACAAGAATAAAAATGCTAACACTTACTGAAGATAAGTTGTTAATACCAGGTGTTAAGTATTTTTATGCATGATCTTCTTTAATCCTCATCCATCCCCAGAGGCAGATATACCATGAAGCTAATGAAGTTTAAATTTCAAGGCTATTTACTTACAAGGACCCCTCCCAATGCTGTTTTTTAAGTTCTCATTAAGAAAAAAAGAAATGTAATTCTGTTTCTCATTCTAAATGAGCATTCTCTTCCATACCTAATTTCCTATTAATAATTTTGTATATACCTGTATTTTTTTCCTAAAAAGGCCCCCCAAATTGCATAAGCCCCAAGTCCTACAAAACCAGATTTACCTTGCTTGGCTCTGTATACAGAGGTCCCCAAACCCCAGGCCATGGGCTAGTACCAGTCTGTGGCCTGGTAGGAAGCAGGCTGCACAGCAGGAGGTGACCAGAGGTGGGTAGGCATTACCGCCTGAGCTCCACCTCATGTCAGACCGCGGCTGCATTAGATTCTCATAGAAGTGCAAACCCTATTGTGAACTGCACATGTGAGGAATCTAGGGTACACATTCCTTATGAGAATCTAATGTCTGATGATCTTCTGAGGTGGAACAGTGTCATCCTGAAATCATCCTCCCTGGTCCATGGAAAAATCATCTTCTACGAAACTGTCCCTGGTGCCAAAATGGTTGGGGACCACTGCTCTATGAGGTAGGTACTGTAAAACACCTCTAAAATACCAAAAGTGTGTCTAGAAAAATTAATCACAGAAAATGCAGGGTTGTATTATTGCAAAATCAATGAAAATAATGTTTTTTACTTGGCCTATTCTATCACAAAAAGCACAAAACTTGAGATGTTGAGATTTATATTAGAACAAGTGACCATATACTGACCTGAAAGAGTCCCACATGACGACAAGCAATCACTTATGCAACCCCAATCCTGTTTGGCCAGCCTTCATTTGAGGATGGGAACTGGGTGAAGACTGATAGCTAGTCACCTACAAACGTAATCAAATATGATTTTTCATTTTACCAGGGTTTTACTTAGTATGTGTGCTTATTTCATATATAATAACTAAGAATCAGAGAAGTTAACTAACTTATCAAAAATTACATAGTGATTGAGCTCAGATAAACACATATCTCTGGCATCCAAATTGAAGTCTATCTCTATGTTTGCAGGTTGATTTAATATCTAAAATACAAGTGAATAGAGAACATAATGATTGACTTCCTTCCAATCCCTTTTGTTGCTCCCTCTAGAATGTCCTTATGTGAACTTTTTCCCCATGGCCCCAGAGAGGAGTGAGGCCTGTTGAAGGTCATGATGAAAATGTTGAGGCCTGTCCTGCTTCTTTTTTTTACTCCTGAAATCCTGTTTTTGACTGCCATTAAGACTTTGGAATTGGTCTGGCTCATTTATTTAATTATTGTAAGTCGAATTTCCAAAATTTCTTAAAAATAAGACTTTGACCCATCTGGACTCCGGCCTCCCCTGTTCTGACTCTTGATTATTTTGCTTTCTATTGTTTAGTTTGGGACCTTTGGTCCTTTCTGTTTCCCTCTTCTACTTTTCACCCTAGCTTGGCTTTGTAGGTTCTTTCCACAAGTAATTTATTTGACCTGGGCTCTGGAATATGACCCTGAAACCTCTTCTTACCCAGACACACATCACTCTCTGGTATCCTCATGGATATCCCTTAACAGGCAGGAACTAGCAGAATTCATCTTATGTAAGATCTGTGACACAAATTAGGCACACATCGTAATATATAGGATTTTACCAGGGATAAGGCATTCCCTTTATTGGTTTCTTTTCTAAACTATAAATGAAACAGCCACCAGTGAAATAAAATATTCCTACTCAACCTTGTCTTGGAAAATCTAACATGTATGTCAGCACAGAGGCATTTTTTCAGACAAACATTAGTTGTCTTGAATTTGGAAAATTTGATCTTCTGATGGAAATAATCCTCAAATGTTATTTCTTTTCTGTCTTCTTTGATGTGCTACACTGAAGAAACTCTTCTAACGATTTCCTGGTGACTCGGGATCATCATAGTCAACATCAGCTATCTTGTTTGGCAAAAACTTCGTGATACCCTCACTAAAGGCATCTCTATTTAATGCAGAACAAAATATTTGTCACTCATATTTATTGTAGTGGTGTTCACACTTAGGCTAGTGATTGAAGCTCCTACACTAAATGACCCTAGAATGCTATGCAACTGATTGTTATCACTATTTTGTTTCATTTCTTCGTCTTTTCTGAAGCTGTCAGCTATTGTTTCTTGCTTTCTTCTGTAAGCCAGCCTTTAACAAAGGTTAGTGCTCTGCATCTAGAACAACAGTTAACAGGAGCAATTTTGCCCCTCAGGGCACACTTCGTAAGTATGGAGACATTTTTAATTGTCACTATTTAACAGCGGGGAGGACATTACTGGCATCTAGTGGGTGGAGGTCAGGAATGTTGCTAAACCTCTTATAATGCACAAGATAGACCTCCACAACAAAGATTATCTGGGTCAAAATGACAGTATTGTCCAGGTTGAGAAATGCCGTTCTAGGATTGTGGAAAAGTAAGTAAGTTCTAAAGGCAGACCCAAGAGGTTTGTTTAATGCTATTTTTAAAAAGTGTATAATGGTGGCCCATGGTCATTGTTAAGGTCAGGGTCTAGCTTCATTTACTTCTTAAGAACAAACATGTCCTTGTGGATTGAGGTCCTTTGACCTCCAGCTGAGTGAACCATTAGTATTTGCCCTTAAGTTAACATATTCAATACCTGTGTGCGCACACAAACTACTTTCCTTTAAAGAAGAGTAGTTTGCTTTTTTTTTTCTCTTCTGTAGTTAGGTGGCTCAAATGTCATTGCTACATTAAAAAATATATCATTCCAGTTTAAACACCATAGTGTGTATATAGTATATTTTAAATATCTATTTAAAACTACTTTTATGCTGACAGCAACCTAATTGTTTAAATCATAAGTTTTTTTTTTCTGCTGTGATTTGATAGTATTACAAAAATTGGTGGACTACTGACCAAATCCTCCCTACTTTTTTATTTTTTACTTTATTTATTTATTTATTTTTTTGGAGATGGGGTCTCGCTCTGTCGTCCAGGCTGGAATGCAGCGGCACGATCTCGGCTCACTGTGAGCTCTACTTCCCAGGTTCACGCCATTCTCCTGCCTCAGCCTCCCGAGTAGATGGGACTACAGGCGCCCGCCACCACGCCCGGCTAATTTTTTGTATTTTTAGTAGAGACGGGGTTTCACCATGTTAGCCAGGATGGTCTCGATCTCCTGACCTCGTGATCCACCCGCCTTGGCCTCACAAAGTGCTGGGATTACAGGCGTAAGCCACTGTGTCCGGCCAATCCTCCCTACTTTTTTAAACCACATTCTTTGGGAAACATTATTTTGACCCACAAAAGTGTAAAATGTCTATAGTGACATAGCTATTTTTAAAGTTTATTCAAATGAAAGTTAATTGGTTGTAATCTTTTTATTCTTCATCCTTTCTCATAGCTTTTCCAATAGTTAGAGGTCACTGACCCCAAGGAGAATCTTGCCACCTAGGGTTTGGGCCTGCCTGAACCCTACAAAGTGCACGAGTTCTGACCTGCTCACTTAATGGTGCTCAACTTAGGACATCATTTTTTTCTTTTCAGTTGTAGAATAAAGACAAATTGCATTTTCTCAACTCCAGTCTAAACTCAGTGAAGGTTTATTCTGCTTTACTAGATTGGGAAGTATAATTATTTTATTTAAATTATTTTACACAGATATGTAAATCATTTTCTATAATAATATATAGCATATATCTTACCAGATATCAATATATAGCAACGCATAAGATAGGGAAATACTTTTTTTTAACAATGCATATTTGGCTAATTTGACTTAATTCCCATGCATTTTATCAATTATGTACATTTATTTAGTGCATGAAAAGTGTAACAATTAATATTGAAGTGTAAATGAGTATGCATGTTCTTCCACTGTTTTATTCAAATGTGATGTGTCAAAATCAATTTGATATGAAAATCAGAGTGATAGATGAGAGTGATAAATTTAAGGGATGCACAGTACAATATGGAATTTTGTCAATCTCTAAGTAGCATTTCAAAAGAAAAAGTATTACTTTTAATTATAGCGATTTCTTTCTGATCTTGATGCACATGAAATTGATCAGATATATAAATGGGGGTGATACATTCAGAGAGAAAACTTAACCTATATAAACTGTGACTTTTGTGCAAATATTCATGCCATTTTTCTTGTTCATATAAAATTTAAAGAAATTCTGAAAGTAAAGTGATCCAATAAAACTTCAAATAATTTTTGAGAATTCTTGCTAGTTTTTAAAAGTTGCTGTTTCATAAGCATATTTTCTAAGTTTTTATTTTCCTTTGGAAAGTTACCATAAAATTTTGCTCATGTTTAAGATTTTTAAAGGCTGCCTCAGTATTTTTGCATATTGTTTATTGTCATTTTTAAATGAAAAGTATTCTTTATGTGTCTGTTGTGACATTTGTAATTTTAAAATAAGAAAAAAATTATGTTTCTTGAGGTCTTAGAAATCATACTGTTAAATATAATAATCCCATTGTTGAGTCCTCCAAGAACTAAGCAAAAGTAGGGAAAGGGCACAAGATCGTTCAGTATGATCTGTCCTCTGCTTTACAGGTCAACTTGCAGTTGCATATTAATACAGTATTTTTAACTTAGAAAATATAAAGGTTTTACTTAAAAAGAAAAATGTCATTGTTGTCTGCTGAAAATATTTCTGAAGATGAAGTTTTCAGAAAAGATTAAAGAAGGATAAAAATAATTGATGATTCTCTTATTCATTTTTGGAGAAAAAATACATAGTTATTGTCTCACATAAAAGTTTTTCTTAGAAAACTGCACTTACATCTCAAAAATTATTGTCGTATGGAAACATTAACATATGAAGTATTAATACATGTAAAGTTTTCTTGTAGTTGGAAAGCTAAGTCTATTTTAAATAACTTTTCTTAACATCCCTCCCATCTTTATATATACATTTTTAAACAGTCATAAACAAGGCAATATTTCCTGGAACAAAGCTAGAATACAGCTAGTTAAACACAGCTCATATTGTGAATTAGACTTCTTCCTAAAGTGTCAAAATACAAAGTGCTGATATTTTAATGTGATGGTCAAAACCTTCAATAATCATTTGGCTTTTATATTCCCTTTTTCCTGATACATGTCTCTTTAACCACATATTTTACCAGTTTTTACACAGGAAAAAAAAAGTTGTTTTTACTAACCCTTCACTGTCACCAAGAAAGATGTACCTAAATTTAACATAGTTAGAAAATATTGATATCAAATTAAAATACCATATTCTCTATGCATTCAAGTGATTTAGAACTTTCTCATTTTCTCGTTACACTTAGATTTCATATCAGATCGATGGAGAAGTCAATCTCTTTTAATTGTTCCCTTCAGTACTATGAGACGCAGATTCTCTGATAAGTTTTGAGCATGTGTTTTCACACAGGGCTTACCAAAAGTTTAAGATTCAGCCTAAAGAGTACAAATTTAGATGCCCTTATTCACTGTAGCTGCAAATTGCACTATGTAAAGTGAGTGCATTGCACATCTAGAAAAATCTGCTCTGAGCTTCCCTAAGACGATGCTGAAATGCTGCATTATAAATTCTAAAATGAATTAATGAAGAACAACACTGGAGATGAAATGTATATGTGTGTGTATCACAGCTAACATGGCAACTGGAATACAAAGCCTTTTTTTCTCACATTTTGCCAGCCGTAGCATAAGCTTCCCACAGAGGATGGGGATTAACAGCCTGTCTCCTCTGAGGTGGAGGAAGTTTTGAGTCGAATAAAATGTAGAATCTGCAAATGGAGCTCTGAAATGATGTAGTTAACGTTACATATGTAGTCTATTATGGTAACTGGGAACATGTGTGTCATAATGTTGGGCAAACCTATTCTAAAAATGGCAGAGAACAGAACAAAAACTGACCCCCAAATTCTGCTCAAGACCCATCATCCGAATGAGACACACTTTTAGGAAAGATTTGATGGAGCACCATTTTCCCCCTGTCCACCAAGCTTATCCCTACCTTTTCTACCCATCCTCACTTACCCCTCCTATTTTTTAGGTATATTTTTCATTTTTCAATTTGAATGACTAATTTTCCCTATCATGCTGGAGTGCCAGTGTGTCTTTAAGTACTAGGCATTTCTGAACCCACGGATATCTTTAAATATCATGAACTTGAAATATCTCCCAAGAAAAAATAAAGGAAATGTTCTGACACAAGGACCTGAAAGAATCTAGGGGACTGGCAGACGTCAAGGCTTTTAGACTTAAGGAGACCCCGACCATGCATTTGGCACCTTGATCACTTATATCACTGGTTAAAACCTCTGATGCTGTTTGTGCTCAGGTATTTGTAGGCCTTTCTGAAATCATTTGAAAGAGAACATAATGAGAAAAGGGGAGTAAGTACAAATGTGGAAATGATAGCTCGATTGCATCTAAGGAATGAGTAAGTGCAGAGTAGAAAATAAGTGCTGAAAAATTAGAGCATATAAAATAATTAGACCAAGTACCAAGAAAAGGAAAGAAGCAAACATTTTAAAATGTGAGTGGGATAAAACATGGCAGATTGTACAGATTCTGAGTACAGATGCATTGATGTAATAAAGTTAATTTGAAATTTGTCCAAATTTTTTGATTCTTTTGGGGTCTTCTATTTTTTCTTCTCATTGTTTTGATGACTTTTGCTTGTTTAGACTTTTATTGATTTCTATTTATTATTCATCCTAGGATGTGAACCTGTCTTGATACAATATACTTAAAAAAATTGTCAGTAACCTCTTATTGGTGCTTTTGTAAATAGCTGTGTTTTAACCTCAGTTTTTGGGTACACCACCCCTATTCATTTTCTAGGGATTCCAGAATGCTGGCTCATCAGCAGAGATGTTTTTGAATTGAGAGGAGTGGGGTGGCAAAAATATAATCTGTAGTCAGTGTATAGGTAGAAATTTAGGTGGAGGGTGAGCACATGATACTCGGGGATTGTTCACGCTGTCACATGCTCCTCAAAAAGATAGACAAGAATAGGCAAATCACTACCTCCCCTCCTTCCTTACATTGCTACCCCAATAGCTCTAACAGACATGGAAATTTACAGGATAAATGCCAGGTAATACTTGCCAAGGGAAAAAATAGAATTTCTAACTTTAAATCCAACTGGTTACTATGCCTTGCCAATCGTTTCTCTGAAATATCTTTACAGCATTCTTTATCTCTGTCATTCTTGTAGCTAAGTGCAGTCCTCCTTTCTACTTGCCATTTCCACTGCTTCTTTCTGCTACGTTTTCTTTGCTGCTTTTGTCCCTTCTCATTTCAATTCACTTTATGAACATTTGCCAATTTAATATTCCCATGAAACCTCTCCTGCAATGTAAAATGTCATATCCTTTCTCAAAAATTTCAGAAACTTTAACCAAACGTCTTTAGTGGATACTCTCAATGCACTCTCCTGATATGGTTCTACTTTTTCTTTTTCTTTTTTTTTAAACAAACTTGCCTCCTAATGCGTAGTTTTAGGTTCCCTTCCTCTAGTCAAATGGTCCCACTCTTGTCCAAACTCAATTCATAGTGTGCCTCTCTCCCGCCTTTGCTTTTTCTGGTCCTGGGCCTAATAAACCTGCCTCCTCCACTGTCTTGCATTCCGTGGGGCCATGATGTTCCATGACCGTTTATTCCATGTAGTCTTCCCTGATCCTTCCACTGAAATAATATTGAAATTTTTATATTTGCACTTTTTTTTTTTTTTTTTTTTGAGGCAAGGTCTCACTCTGTCATCCAGGCTGAAGTGCAGTGGTGCGATTATGGCTCACTGCATTCCTGACCTACAGGGCTCAAGTCATCCTCCCACGTAGCTGAGACCACAGTGTTGTGCTACCATGCCTGGCTAATTTTTAAATTTTGTTTAGAGACAAAGTCTTCCTATATTGCTCAGGCTAGTCTCAAACTCATGGATTCAAGCATTCCTCCCGCCTCGGCCTCTCAAAGTGATGGGATTTCAGGATGAGCCTCTGTGCCCAGCCTGAACTCCTATCTTATAGCATAGTTCACATATACAGCTATGTGTGAGTCTGCATCTTTATCTGCATCTATATCTGATGCGTCTTTCTTAGCTCCGTTATTCAATCCATGATCCTTAAGTGCATGGTCTGGCTAATATTTATCCTTATATTCATATAGCTCCTAGCACACCGTGTGACTCATAAAAACACTCAAATATCTGTAGCATGGATTAATAAATATGCTTAAGGGTTGTCATCAATTGTTAGAGGTGAAATTAATTTGTTACTTGCAGTTGTATGTAAGAATAAGAGAAACAACTTGTCATTTTGATATCATGTAGATGAAAAAATTAAAAAAGTAAAGAAAGTATTTATACCATGTAATCACACAAGATATTTATAGCTAGTAGGTACTCAAATAATTGTGGACCAATGAATTTTGGCTTGAGTTAGCTGACTTAACACCACTCTTCTCTTCTTATATAAACTGAGACTAAAATTTTCATTCGTAATTTTTATAAATTGTAATCATTTTGTCCTATTGAAAACATATTTGAGTCTATGCTTGTCAAAATGAATGTTTGAAAAATGTTTTTAAAAATGAGGCAATGATGTCTTTTTTTTTTTTTTTTTTTTTTTTTGAGATGGAGTCTTGCTCTGTCGCCCAGGCTGGAGTGCAGTGGTGTGATCTTGGCTCACTGCAACATCCTCCTCCAGGTTTCAAGTGATTCTCCTGCCTCAGCCTCCCGAGTAGGTGGGATTACAGGTGCCCGCCACCAAGCCCAGCTAATTTTTGTATTTTTAGTAGAGACAGGGTTTCTCCATATTAGCCAGGATGGTCTCCATCTCCTGACCTCATGATCCACCCGCCTCGGCCTCCCAAACTGCTGGGATTACAAGCGTGAGCCATTGTGCTCGGCCCGGCAATGATATCTTTCACATAAATACATGTCAAAAAACTGATTTGGCCAATTTTGTGATCTATTTCATAGCTTCAAAACTATTTTCATGTACATTTGTTGATTAATTTTTTCAATTAACCCCATGAGATGAGTGAAATTAATTTATTTTACAAGCCGAGTACAGTGGTTCACACCTGTAATCCCAGCACTTTAGGAGGCTGAGGTGGGTTGATCACCTGAGGTCAGGAGTTTGAGACTAGCCTGGCCAATATGGTGAAACCCTGTCTCTACTAAAAATACAAAAAATTAGCCAGGCGTGGTGGTAGGCACCTGTAATCCCAGCTACTCAAGAGACTGAAGCAGGAGAATTACTGGAACTTGGGAGGCGGAGGTGAGTATAATCTTTTAGAAAGTGGATGTATCTAGCACAGAGTTATATTTCATGAGTGAATAGCAGTAGACTAAATTATGTTATGATTATGTAGACTCTGACTCTCAAAATAAAATGTAGAATTACCTAAAGGCTTTTCTTCATACAAATCTTGTATTCTGTATGACATTCTTTTGAATGATTCTGATACAGGTCCCTATTGGACCCGATAATCTTTATAGATCTTTTTACTTCTAATATTGAGAATATGCTATTGAAATGATGGTTAGAGTTGTTATAGGTATATGACTGATAAATTCATAAATTTTCTAAGATAAATTTGAACGATAACACTGCAGCGGTAACACTCTAACGGTAACACTGAAGTAATTAATGATTCCTGATTTGCTGTCAATTATGTGATAATTTGTTAATCTTCATATCTAAATGATTCCCTTACTCTTTTGTGTATGTTTAATTTTAAAATAGCAGTGAAAACACTCTGGGCTATGCATTTCGGCATGTTTATTACACCTCACAGGTGGTTAAATCTACTTTAACTGCCTTTATCTCTGGATTCCATAGCTTACCCACAGTTTTGACCATGTTAACTTTTAAATTCAGGGGTTTTATTGAATTTTAATTAAGGGCAATGTTAAGATATTGCTGCTCTAAATTTAGCAAACTAGAATGACATTCATGTTTTAACAAAATAATTAAAAACATCTCTGGAGGGTAGCACAGAATGCAGGTCACAAACTGAACATTTATTTACAAATATTGATTAAATTTCTAGTATGTTTCAGGAGCTGAACTCTGAGTGGAAAGCCAAGAAGCAGTTTTCAGTTATGTGTATGATTTTATTTTCTCTTAAAACCAGGAAAAATAGTCATTCAGTGTCTTGGATTTCATATTTACAAAAGGGAAATAACTAAGTAGGTGAGTTTTAAGCACATGGTGTATTTTATAGGTGTTGTAACACTTTTCTATTAATAGGCATATATAACTACTTTTTCCCTTGCTTAGAAGTACATTTCATTCATTAAGTTTGTGAAAACTCTTTAGTTTTATAGGTATTAGCATTTTTAAGAATGAAGCTCTCTTTCCAATATAACAAAATTTTCTAGGTCATAACGTGTTGATAGTTGTACTTCTGTTATCTGTTGATTGAAATAATCCATAGTAGTAAAAGACGATTATCATTTACTAGTAGTGAATTTATATTTTATCAAACCTAACACATTCTGCATATATTTGAAAAATAGCTAATATGTATGAGTGCTATACCATTTATTTTATCCATAGTGTTTTGTTCCCAGCAGCCCACTGAAATAATGGGCTTTTCAATGGAGGTGAATATGCTGATTGTCACTACTGTAGGAAATATAGTTCATTGTCTCACTTTTTGGGAGGATTAAAGCTCTTTTGGTTGAAAACAGTTTGGCCTGAAGGTCACATTGGAATCACACAAACCTGGGTTCTGGTTTTGGTCAAGCAGTTACTGGCTGCATAATAAATGACAAGTAATTTAACTTCCCTAAGTCTCAATTTTCTCATCTGTAAATTGGGAATATTGACAACACCTACTTCAGAGGGTTGATGCGAAGGTCAAGTTATGTTATAAATGTGTAAAATAATGTGTATGCTTCCCGGCGCAGACTATGCATTTAGGGATGTTATTGTTGTTATTATTATTATTGCTGTTCTTGTGTTATTCAAGACATAAACTCCACTATACAATAGTGTTGTCCTACTATGATAAGGGTTGGTATATATACTAGTTATTCAATGAGATTGTATGCCTATAATATGCTGAAAACATGAAAAGGTGTATAATTCAGTTAGTTAAAGTGTTTACTGAGCTCCCTTTGTGCTTTTTTTATTATGCAGTTTTCAAGATTGTTTTGGCTCTAGCAAAACAAGTTGGAACATTCACATCATCCAGTAAGTTAGAATTCATTCAACATTTTTAAGCATATGCCATATGATAATTTTAGGAAAGAACAATAGTGCATCTAAAATTAACCTAGCAGTGAAAGACTGAAGTCTTTTCTGAGAACATTAGAGAGTGCATATTTAAGAGATATTAACCAACCTATAGATTATTTTCCCTCACTGAATTGATACATTTCTCAAAGGCTACTGCTTATAGAGTTATAAGGTTTATACTTTTAAATTATATTAAGTTGGTCTAAAGTAGTATTTGTGCCTTTTTATATATATGCCTAGCTTGCCATGGAGCTGGATGAGCCAAATAGGACTCAGATGGAAACAATTAATTCTACAAATAACTGTGGAAGTGGCCTAATTAACTCTGGACCAATGTCCTTCATTTTACAATTGATGAAACTCAGCATATACAGTGTCCGTAGGATAACTTTAATGGTGGTTTTGAAGGAGAGCTGATATTTCTGGGTCTATAGCGTGTTTTGGCCATGCTTTCAAGTGTAGGAAATAAGGGGGCTTGTATCCTGTCTGCTGTGGCTGTGCTGACATAAACCCATCAGGAGAACACAGGAAAGCACCAAGTCCAGCATTAGGAAACATGTTGATTTGATAAATTAATAATGGTGACCACAAAAATTGGAATTCTCATACACTGCTGGTGGGCATGCGAAATGAGACAGCCACTTTGGAAACTGGCTGGTAGTTTCTCAAAAGGTTTAACATAGAGCTACCATAGGACCCGGCAATTATCTATGTAACACTCTTAGGTGTATACACAAAAGAAATGGAAACATATGTCTGCAGAAAAACTAGTGCACAAATGTTCATGGCAGCATTATTCATCATAGCCAAAAATGGAAACAACACAAATGTTCATCAAACGATGAATGAATGAATTAAATGTGATATATTCATACAGTGGAATATTATATAGTCATAAAAACAAATGAAGTGATGATACATACTACCATGTAGATAAACCTTAAAATATTATTCCAAGTGAAAGAAGCCAGTCACAAGAGACCATATACTGTATGGTTCCATTTATGTGAAATATCCAGAATAAGTAAACTCATAAAGACAGAAAACAAATTAGACATTACCTAGGGCTGGGATAGGATGAGGTGGGAGGAAATGGAGAATGACTTCTGGTGGATACAGAGTTTCTTTTTGGGATGATGGAAAAGTTCTAAAACTGATGTAGTGCTGGTTTCACAACTCCGTGAATATACTAAAAAACATTGAATTATGTGCTTTAAATGGCTAAATTGTATTATAAGTAAATTGGATTTCAATAAGGCTGTTATATGAGAAGACAGTGAGTATCCCATCTTGTTTGCCCACAAATCTTATGATCAGTTTCATAAACCAGACTATCCTGAGTATTTTTCAGGTTTCAAGTTCAGAATAGTCGAAACAGGCCTTTTCAAGAACAGTATTCATTGAAATGCATCAAAGCGTAAGTGCAGTCCCTTAAGAAACACTTTAACTCATGAGCTTAAATAATAACCGAATTTAATTCATTCCAGGTACAGTCTCATTAAAGAAACTGCTGGCCAAAATGTTGAAATAAACATTTAGCTACTAAGCGAACAAATTAAACTCCTTTATGATTTAATTGCACCAGTGAGTATTTCTTTTTGGAATGTGTTTCTGCTTTGATACATTGCAATACACATCATGAATTATGTTGAATGATGGCATTTCAGAATGTGTGTGAGTATGTATATGCATATGTATTTTCAAAATGCATCTAAAATGTTATTTAAAATATGTATGCATGTGTACATATGAACATTCCAATTTCTATGTTTATGTGTATGTATACAATACAGAAAGACATATTCCCGTAAGTCCCAAGCAATGTAGTCATATTGTGGGGTATATATTTGCCAACTAGTTGCAAGCATTAACAGAAATATTCTCTCTGCCTCCTCTTCTCTCTACTCTATATACATATGTGAATGTACAATATGTGAATGTACAAATATTTGATAATGTTTATTTATCATGTGATAGACCCACAGTATTTATAGGTGGATATTTTGATCATCATGCATATTTTGAACCACTGGAGCTATTTCGAGGAATTTTTAGAGCTTTGAAAATATACAGCATTTCACTGGTAGATGCATGCAGATTCATGGCAGTGATTATAGAAAGGAATGACTATAAAAAAAAAAACAAAACAAAACAGAATTCAGCCCAAATCTTTTCATACTCCTTCAAATCTCAGTGCTATGCTTTTCAGCTAGTAGCTTCTTTCTCACTGAATTCTTTCATAGTGTTAATTTGAAAAGTCAAACATTTCTCCTCTCCTGTTGATAATCTAATGAGAAATGAGAATTTTCCTTCCAAAAGAGTATTTACTTGAAAAGTATCTGAAGTATTAAAAATTTATTTTCTTTGTGGACTCACACACACACACACACACACACACACACACACAGAATAGTACCTCTATATTTTTTTTTCTTAGCTGATTTTAGCCCTAACCAACCTGGCGGTATATTTATTAACTATATTAAAAATGGTCTGAAGACTCATATCGCCACCTCTTTTTCCTATAGTTGAAAATCACCATTTTGATTATTTTCCTCTCTTACCTCTCCTGAAACAGCACTTACCTCTGCTACTCACAAACCACTCAGAGATAATTATTGTAATTATTCACTTTCCCACAAACGTGTGCATGCATCACTTTCCTATACCTTTGAGTAGGACATGACTATAATTGTGAAATGGTAAAAGATGCTGCTGAAATATGCAGTGAGGTAGGATTTTTTAAATAGCGTTTAAGCAGAAATGTGGTGGCAGTCCTCTTTCTGGCTCATAGGAGTTCTGTTTTCAGCTCAGTTTGTGCCACACAGAGCACAAAGAGACAAAATGCAGATTAGAAAAAAAGAGAGTCTACCTTGTCAAAGGGAGGCACAGAAAGTCAGCCTGAGCAAGTAGGTACATTACACAGACTCCAAGCTGAGGAGCCACAGGTGGTTCAAAGAGAAGGACGCTGTCCTGGGAGCCAATTAATTTACAGAATGTATTGGAGGAAAGTTGAGCTCATTAAATACACCATGGTGGACTTGGTATTTAATAAAATGTGACCACTAGAAAGTATACAAATTTCCTATAAATAACAACAAATGATACACAAGAACAATGCATACTAGTGAGGGTCAAGAATAGTAGCCAGTGGCAGGGCGCAGTGGCTCATGCCTGTAATCACAGCACTTTGGGAGGCTGAGGTGCTGAGGTGGGCGGATCACTTGAGGCCAGGAGTTCGAGACCAGCCTGACCAACATGGTGAAACCCTGTCTCTACTAAAAATACAAAAATTAGCCGGGTATGGCAGCACAGGCCTGTAGTCCCAGCTACTTGGGAGGCTGAGGAAGTAGAATTGCTTGAACCCAGGAGTCGGAGGTTGCCATGAGCTGAGATTGCACCATGCCACTGCACTGCAGCCTGGGTGACATAGGGAGACTCTGTCTTAAAAAAAAAAATGTAGCAGGCTCATAGAGGAGGATCCACAATGGTTGAATCTGGAGAAGCAGAGATGTCCAGCTTGGAAGAGCAATGAGTCTCACAGCTTTCATGCCCAACACTCAGACTATCACTTAGAGATTGCTGAATAGAACTATGATTGGGAGAATTGTATATATTTTTCTGGTTACATAGAGTTGCTTCAGTCTTTTTCATCTGCTATGTTATGGTCTTCATAAAGTGCTGCAACTCCTCATGGAATGATATCGGGCCTTAAATTGGTCGTATATAATTATCTCTTGTTAAGTTTTTGGTTCCTGGGGTGAACAAAATCAGAAAACATGATACTGCCAAATATTGTTTGTGCTACACCATTTGTAGTACAATAGGATGTCTTTTTGCACTTCTCCTACCTGAAAAACTTGTATTCATTTCCTTAAGCTCAAGTGAAATGCCACTTCCTTTATGAAGTCTTCTTTGATGCTTTAGCTGAATTAACTTTGTCTTCCACCATGAACCTGTAACTCTGTAATTCTCTGAAAGCAGTTAACACTGTTTCATAGATATTTAGTAGGACCTGAGATTCATTAAAGGGGCCTCATAGTATTTAGTTTGATATCTGTAGTCATTAGTGAACTTCCTGAACATGGTACATAGACATGGAACCAATAAGTAGAATCTGCTGATTGTTCTGTTTGAGCTTAGGATACAGTGTTCCTTGAGAAATTGCCTAGATTTGCCCAATTCATTTAGTCCCAACTAGTGCTCATTTTGCCATCACTTCTGATCTTTACTTAGAACAGAATATGAGGACATAGCACCTGAAAGTCTAAGGATTCATCCAATAACAAATATTGATATCTTAGAGAAAACTAATAATGTCAGAACTCCCTTTCACTTTTGACATAGGTCAGAGAGAATTACTTACACATCCCTTGTTGTGACCCTTGCTGCTTCCTAGTCTTCTCCATTCACAGGGGAGTTCTCTCATATCTTAAAATCAGCGGTTGTGAGGCATATTTAGCTCATACTTACCTTTTTGTGGTACATTCTTCATGACATTGCCTATGAGATACCCGTCAACTGACAAGTTTTCCAGAAATTTCCCTCCACTCACTCCCTCTCTTCCACATGGCTGCAGCTCAATAGTGGACTAGTCCAGGGATAAGAACTTGTAGTAAGAAATCCCCATCTGGAGATTTGGATTTGGAGCCTCGGGTGGCTGGACCACTATGGCATACGATTCCTCCATTGTCATAAAGGTAGACCATATGGTCTAGGAAGCAGAGGACAGCTCAGAAACAGAGAAGAACTGAACATATGTGCAAAGAAGAGAGGAGAGATGGGACAGAGAAGACAGACCTCATCTTTATAAGTTCTTGATTGCATCTTTTCCCTGAGACCTGGCCACATCCCTAGCCCTAGACTTCATGAGACAGCCCAGTATCTTTAAAATAAATTTTCTTTCTGCACAATGTCACTAAGTTTATATTTCTAGTAGTTGATTATAATGATTTAACTAATTTGCCTTTGTGTAACTTAATGAAGTGGTTAGGAAATGATCATACCTTTCCTTTTCAATCTATCCAGTATGCATATCCCATACTTCTGTGACTGTTTTCTTAGTATAGTCACTCAAAAGCTCTGAGAAATCTGGTTACCACTGCTCAGTGTGCCTGGTCTCTTGATGTCTTATAGGAGACTTAGACTTTGTGACCAATGTCCAGAAGCAGATGAGCATCTAACTGGCATGTACCATGAGCTGACAGCATTATTTCAGTGTTAAAGGGAGTGAGCAATAGATGTATCGTGTATATAAATGTCATCCTCTTTATTCTAAGAGAGATAGCAGTTGGGGTAATTAGTGATATCTTCACTACTGGCACATACCATGGAAGTTTTACCTTAGGGAGTTGGAGACGTTATTTAGGCCCAGAAGAGCTATGGAAGTACCTGAAGACAGAAGTGAGGAAAGAAAGCCAGTGAAGTAATATGGGCTCTGGTAAGGAAGGTGACATATGATACAGGTGTAGCAAAAGGTCAAAATCACAGGAGTGAGTGGTTGAGCAGAAGCTGATAAGTGTGTGCTTGAGAGGAGAAGACCTTGGACTAAGGCAAAGACATTTATCAAGTGTTTTCCTAGCACTGTGATATGTACAGGATAAGAAGTGTGTTTTTATTTCCTGTTATAAGTAAACAACTGTGAACATTTGTCATTTTAACTATTTATTTGTTCAGGGTGTTTTATGAGTACCTGCTGTATACTGGGCCCTGTCTTAACACTATTGTAGAAACACACACAATCCTAACTCCTGTGAGGCTCAGTCTAGTAGGTGATAAATAACGAGTAGAAGTACTGGAGGAAACAAATATTTGATCACACATTATGATGACTGCTGTGAGCACGTGTCTTGAGTCCCCCACATCATAATGCCATCCACTGTTTCCTTTTGGAGTCAAGTATTTTCAGTTCAGAGATGAGATTAAATACTTTGTAAAGAACACCCGGTATCAGTTCACAAAGTTCAAAAGATAACTTCTAAAATAATGTGCATCACTTTTCCTAATAAGTAAACCCAGTAAGACTTCATATATTCACTTGCTTCTGAGTGATTCAGGTTGAAGGGGACAAGAGATACCCTCTGGGTGCAGGAGTGAGCTGGTCTGGCCAATATAAAGAGGATCAGGGACTTGACTCCTGCCTTCTAGAAGTTCAGGCATCTCAGCAATGTCAGAAAGAGGAGAGGGTATTGTGCCTGTCAGGACTGGCCATTTTAAGAAACCCGTATTAGAATGTGATGTCATAAGTTATGTCAAGTCTTATGGCTTAATTTTCCCAGTGGGGATTAATGGGAATGGAGAGACGAATTATTCTGAAGTTAGGGGTTTCAGGTGGGAGGCAAGGACAAAGTGTGTCACTTCCACCGTTGCCCCAGTCCCGACCCTCACCTTTGGCACCAGCACAGTCCTGCAATTACCATCCTAGATTCACCAGGATGGACTTCACATCCTGCAAGATGCTTTCTCAGAAAATTTTTTCTGTAAAGGGCCAGATAATAAATGTTTTAGTTTTTTCAAGCTGTATAATCTTTGTGCCAATGACTCAACTTTGTTATTGGGATACAAAAAAAGTCAAAGATAATATGTAAATAAATGGGTGTGGCTGTCTCCAATAAAACTTTATTTATGGTTACTAAAATTTGAATTTCAAATAATTTTTATGTTTCACAGAATGTTAGTCTTCTTTTGTTTTTTTGCAACCATTTTAAAACATAAAAAACTGTTCTTGGTTCACAAGCCATATAAAAATAGTCAGTGGGCCAGATTTGGCTAGTGGGCCATAGTCTGCTGATCTCTGCCCTAAGCAGTCAATACACATGGTTGTCTGGTTGACTGGCTAGATAATTGTGAGAAATTAGTTGCTATTTAGGCTGAACACATGATGAGGGTATGCATGTGATAAAATAAAAGCCTGTGTAATGACATTCAATTTCCAATATAGAAATAATTATAAAGGACAGAAAAAGTACTTCTAAGGTAGTAATTAATAGGCAAAGCCAAAATGACGCAGAACTACATAATTAATATCAAACTAAAAGATTTCTGAATAAATTCATAGTGCATGTAGACTCACACAATATAAACCATAGCAGTCTGTCCTCACCAAATGGCAGGGACTTTGGTGGCCTGTTAGCTGCTTCTGTGATATCTTGCTCTCCATCCTGATTGATCTGGCTTTGGGAAACAAGGAGCTTCTATTCCCATGTCTGGTTCTCACTCTCTGCTCCCCCACCCAGGCTCATATCCAATTATTTAATTATTTGAGCACATTGGCTGCTATGCTTTCATGTGACTCTTTAGGCAGATGGGATGTCTTTTGCAAATAATTGTATTGTGCTCTGGCATTTTTCATGTTACTATTTTAGGGTTGAAAGAAATTTTTAGCTTGTGATGAGAAAGCATCTTGCAGGACGTGAAGTCATCCTGGTGAATCTAGGATGGTAATTGCAGGACTGTGCTGGTGCCAAAGGTGAGCATCGGGACTGGGGCAATGGTGGAAGTGACACACTTTGTCCTTGCCTCCCACCTGAAACCCCTAATTTCAGAACAAATCATCTCTCCATTCCCATTAATCTCCACTGAGAAAATTAAGCCATAAGACTTGACTTTACTTATGACATCACATTCTAATACGGGTTTCTTAAAATGGCCAGTCCTGACAGGCACAATACCCTCTCCTCTTTCTGACATTGCTGAGATGCCTGAACTTCTAGAAGGCAAGAGTCAAGTCCCTGATCCTCTTCATATTGGCCAGACCAGCTCACTCCTGCACCCAGAGGGTATCTCTTGTCCCCTTCAACCTGAATCACTCAGAAGCAAGTGAATATATGAAGTCTTATTGGGTTTACTTATTAGGAAAAGTGATGCACATTATTTTAGAAGTTATCTTTTGAACTTTGTGAACTGATACCGGGTGTTCTTTACAAAGTATTTAATCTCATCTCTGAACTGAAAATACGTGACTCCAAAAGGAAACAGTGGATGGCATTATGATGTGGGGGACTCAAGACACGTGCTCACAGCAGTCATCATAATGTGTGATCAAATATTTGTTTCCTCCAGTTCTTCTACTTGTTATTTATCACCTACTAGACTGAGCCTCACAGGAGTTAGGATTGTGTGTGTTTCTACAATAGTGTAAGACAGGGCCCAGTATACAGCAGGTACTCATAAAACACCCTGAACAAATAAATAGTCAAAATGACAAATGTTCATAGTTGTTTACTTATAACAGGAAATAAAAACACACTTCTTATCCTGTACATAGCACAGTGCTAGGAAAACACTCGATAAATGTCTCTGCCTTAGTCCACGGTCTTCTCCTCTCAAGCACACACTTATCAGCTTCTGCTCAACTACTCACTCCTGTGATTTTGACCTTTTGCTACACCTGTATCATATGTCACCTTCCTTAACCGGAGCCCATATTACTTCACTGGCTTTCTTTCCTCACTTCTGTCTTCAGGTACTTCCATAGCTCTTCTGGGCCTAAATAATGTCTCCAGTTCCCTAAGGTAATGCTCAGAACGATATGCTTATATCTGGGGATAGAGAGAAAAATGGCAGAAGCCTTGCCACTCAGCAACTCACAGATTAGTACTCTGAATGGCATGATCTCAAAGTGCTACGGGATCCAAAACCCAAATTGGAAGGATCATGGAAAACTCTCAGGATCAAAGGACATATCTGAAAGATGCACAATTCATTGATACCCATTTGGAAGTGCATTTGTTTGTTTCCCAGAAAAAAAAATCTTTTAAACTTCCCCAACTGTATCTTTGGTCATATCTTGGTAGAGTTTTAATATAGTCTTGGATTATTAGTTGAAAGATTGAACATAAAGATTTTTTTTGTTCTCACTGAGCTACTATTTAAACGTTTTATTATTGATGCTTGTGGAAAATGGCAGCAATGGAAAAGCTTGTTCTGATGCCATTCAATCAGTGTCGGGTGGTTCATTTTGAATCAAAATTGAATCAAACCAATAATGATACTAATGAGGGGGATATCAATAGTTCAGATCACATAATTCCTAGTGGTGTTAATACTTTATTTGGGTAGCCAACATGAAAAGGTTTTCAAAACATCTGCAGCTCCCTTTCTGTTTGAATCTTCTATATAGAGCAGTGGTTAGAAAAGTGACCTTTAGAGTCACACAGACCTAGATTCTAGTTCTTACTTGTTCATCACTTGCTGTCTGACCATTGTACATTACTCCCTAACAAAAAATGTCTTCATCTCTGAAGAGGAAAGAATACATTTTCTTCTGTTTTGTAGGATTGTTGGGATACAAGCGTACAAGGTGGTTAGCTTAGTGCCTGGCATACAGTAACATTGAGTATGTATTAGCCATAGTTATTAATAAAAATAGCCAACATTAAAAAAAGACAAAGATGTAAATGAAATATAAAGAATACTTATGTATCCTAATGTCCAGTCCCCCAACAGGAACTTTCTGCATAAAGTCCACTAATCTGCAGTTTCCCTCAAATCTGGCTGCTTATAGAAACCAACTAGACATTTAAAAAAAAACACAGATTCTCTACCTTTATTCTGATCTTTTGAATACGAAACCTTGGCAGTGGCTCTGGGAATTTTCATTAAAAAAAACCCACCAACAACAAAGAAATACCTCCCCAGGTGTGGAAATCACTAAAGTCCTTAGAAATGAGACGATGGTGAAATCTCTCAAAGCATATATAAAACATTTGTCCTTCAGAACATAACACTATTTTGGAAAATGTGGGAAATATATAATATGAACAGAATAAATAAAGGTATTCATGGTAAGGCAACACTTCAGAAAATAGTCTTGTGGTGCCTCTATGTAATTTATGTAAGGCAAGCCTCTCAGTACATAGTCTATATTATCTTTCTTCTGATTAAAACCAGAATTAACCTTTCAACATATTATAATAGGGTTTTGTTTTAGTCAAAATTGTAATTTCTTTTTATGCTTTTCTCAAGTGTTCTATTTTTCCCTCATCAAAGCATCCGCTTTTATTTTACTTTAGACATAAGTCCCAATGTTTCATAGACATGAGCTAAGAACAGTCTTATTGAGAAGAGAGAAACATTGAGAATAATAGGAGTTGTTACACACACAGTAACAAATGAAATACATCTTTTGTAAATAACTCCCACCAGAAATCTTATATTTCCAGGCATCTATGCATATACCTTCATATAACAACTTTTGCGTTCGTAAAACATTCATGGAAGGCAGCTCTGCAGTTTTATAGAAAAACAACGTGCCAGGGATGCAAGAATCTTGCCAGTTCTGTGAAAAATGACACCAATTAAAGCTTAAATTGCTTGTTTTCTCATAAGGTACATATTTTCATAACTTTGAAATCAAATAATTGCTGCTTTTATATTAAATACAATAAAACAAAAAGGATGCTAGTTTAGAGGAACTGCTACAAGCATTTTAATATAATTTTCCCACCATTTAAAGTCACAAAATATGGAAAACAAGTCAAGTATGCAAAGTTCCAAGGAGATAGAGAAACTCCTTCAGATTATTACATCATTTGTCTTTTGTGTCAGGAAATGTGTATATGATTTCATTGTTTGATTAAATGCCAAAAAAAGGCACATTGCTCTTATCTAACTGATTACAGATTTTATTCATATGAAAAAGTATTTGTTAATGCTTTACCATTAGAAGATGTTTTTATTTTTTTTTCTTTCTTAAGTTCTAAACATGCATTTCCAAAAAAAATAATCTTCTAACTTCCCAGGCTTTATTTCTTTATTTTGCGTTAACAGTACATGATACTCAAATTTCCCGTAGTGAAATCCAGTCCCTAATGATTTCATATCTGCAAACTGAACAAACAGTTCCTTTCTGACTGGGTAGAGTGAGTGTGTCTGCATGTATGTGTGTGTGTGTGTGTGTGTGTGTGTGTGTGTGTGCAAGCTCTGAAATATGTCAATTTTAAAAAACATTAGAGAAAATAGTTTTAACATATTGAGGTACCTAAAAATAAAAGGTTTTTGATATGTGTGTCTGGGGCATTACTCTGGGGCATAGTCAGAGAGACAAATACGATTTAAAATCTAAATCAAGTGTTGTAATATGTTTTAATACTTTTATATAGTAATTTTTAAATATACATATGTAAAGCTGCCATTGAGCAGATGAATTATAATTTTCTTAGGCAACATAAAATACTGATTACTAAACTTGTGATATTTAGTAAAAATATGTAAAAGTGTAAAACTGTTGTCACATTGATGGCTTTTATTTGAATCTGCGGGTGCCTGAGTGACAGCTATGGTTTTGGAGAGAGAGATACCATGTGCTTTTCATGGTATAAACTAGCTGTCTGCATTAATAATAAGCTTGTGCTGAAGCCAATTTGAGGCTACATCGAGGGATTTCAAGGTCATTTGCCAATGGCCTGGCCTCCATTAACTTCTTCAGTAAAAGTCCCAATGATCCTTATTTTGGCCTTGAGTGTGGGTTATCAAAATCATCCCTCTTAATATTTCCACATAAATAGCTTGTTTCCTTAAATAGTCATTATGTTCAGTGGGGACAGTTTCTGAAAGCTTCTCAGTTCAATAGAAAAATGCATTTGGAAAAATCTGTTATATTAAAGTATATCTGTATTTGGAGAAAGAAGACTTTAAGAATGCTTTGTGTATTTAATTAGAAGACATTAAGGACAGCTAAATGTTCCCCTTGTCATGGAGAGCATGAAGTGATATAAAACAGTGAGATTTCCAAAATACTGGGACTGTCAGTTTGCTAAAAGACAGGAAAGTGGGGCAAGTAATTATGTAACATTTACATACATATGTTTTTTTTAAAAAAGTATTTCGATTGCTTAACATGTTAAGTACTGAATTTTGATATTAACCCCTTGAGCTTCTTCCTTTACCATGCTCTTTTGGGAGTCTCTGCACCCCTCCAAAAAAGTTGTCATTTACATTAGAATGTGTAGACAATGAAGCACTTTAACAAAGAGGTCTTGGAAGAGATTAGTAAGAAAGACTAAAGAGAAATCGAGTTCTTATTTATTGTGTTATTTAAACCTGAGTTACATTACACCATCTTCCATTTAAGAGGCAGCCTGCTAATGCAAGCAAGGGTGTCTCCTGCAACGAGACAAAGATTAATGCCATGTGTACTGATGATGCTCTACCACAATTCAGAATTCTGTGGCGCCATGACGCCCCTGTTTTATATGGTGGTTTGCCAAGAGAAAATTACTTAAACCAATTGTGAATGCATTCCTTTTTTACTTTTTATACAACCACATTTATGTAAGTAAATAGTAGAATGAATATTTTTGAAATGATCCATCATTTTGAATTCACCTAGTTTGTATAAAATGCAATGTACAGTTTTTTTTTTCTCTTGAAAGAAAGACTTTCACATGGGAATGTTCAATTATTCCCCCTATGAAAAAGATTTCTCATAGACAACCAACCACAACTGGAATAGATTCTTTTAAACATATTGTAATGTGAGAATTTTCTTCAGCTGGAGGGTGTTTTATTCTTTAAATTGAAAGCCGTTGTTCCTCAGAACTGGTATGACATGGTAATGCATGATGTGCTAGTCACTCTTTATATGCAGAAATTGATATGCTTAGAATACATATTAAATATTGAAATGTTATGTGATATTTGAAACTCCTTCAGTGTTTCAGGTTTGTGGACTCTGTAACTGGAGTTACCTGTTGCACATAAATGTGGGGATTGCAAAGTGTGTACAGCACTGCACATTGAGAACCATATCTGTTTCTTCTAGATTCAGCCTAACCTGTTGGTTAAAGATGATGAATTTAACAACTAATAATTTTGGGGCAGTAATATATATATCATAAAATCATCACTTCTCACATTCAACAATTAGCCCAATTTATTCATGAACAGCACCAAAAGACAGTGAATGTTGAAAGTAAAGCTTATTTCATTTCTCCTTGGAGAGTAGTTTCTTCCAAAACAGACCTGAGATCATTTATAGGAGGTTTTGGTGAAACAATTTTCTGGATTCGTTCATTATATTTTTCCAAAGGGGGATTTAGTTTTATCATCCAATGGAAATGTGTATACATGTGCAAACATGCACGCACATTCCTAAAGTAAGCACGTTGCTGGTTGTGATTTCTGGTGAAAGTGTTAAATTAATATGTCAACATTTGAAGGAGGATTTAATTTCTGGTGCTTTTTATCTCTGACCCAAGCAACACTTTGTTTCACTTTTTTCTGTTTCTTTTGAATGATTTGCTTTTTACACTTACTGCTCTGTTTTCTTATCTGTAGAATAAATACTAGTATCTAATTTATAGGGTTGTTTGTAGAATCAAATAAGACTTTTGTATAAAGGACCTAGTGCAGTGCTTAACATAGTAAGTCCTCCATGAAGTTGTTTTCACTCATTTTATTCTTCTTCATCACTCACCCCTTGTTCTAGATATATAAATGATGAATGATGACTTCATATTGGGTCTGAGCCATATGGATTATGCTGTTCCTCTCATGGGTCATGGCCAAACTACCTGATATTCGAGGTCCTTTGTACTTACCATTTTGCCCTAGAGAGAAACTAACAACTAATTCATTAACCCATTAAACAGATATTTAAAGGGTGCTATGTGTACTCATGATTCTAGGTCCTGGAGACAGTGGTGTGCATAGAGACATAGCTCAGGATTTTTGCCCTTCCATTTCTTAGTTTTCAATTAGTTTTTTGTTGATTTTCCAAAACTTCAAGCATATTTCAAATAAGAAATGAGTAAGAAAAAGGTTACATTTCACTACCCTGTGGTTTTCAGTTTCTAAAGACTTCATTCCAAAATTAGAAACAAAGATTAAAAAGACATTTAGTTACTGATACACAGTGACCCCAAATGAAGCTACCTATTCTGTTCACGGGACATAATTTTAAAGTTTTCAAGAGTATAATTATTTAGGAAGAAACCTGAATACTTCCTGAGCACTAGGTTATCATATGGTCTACCCGGTGTCAGAGGCATCCAAATGTATGGCGAGTTACTGTGATTCTCCGACAGCCTCTGCATCCTGAAAGACTCAACGCTGAATCAGCGAATAGTACTGCAAAGGAAATGAGAAAGAGAGCAGTACTAAATATTTGTTTCGTGGCCCTTCTGTATCTGCCCTCCATCTTTTAAAATTCCGCTCTGTGCCTTGGGAAGTGACAAGTGTGAATGGTGTCAACAAACTCCTTGGCTTCACAGCTTCTGATTGAATTTACCAGCAGAGTATATCAAAGACCAGAGAGTGAGACTAAGGTATTTATTCCTGTATCCACTGCGTGATTCCAGATGGCTGAGCATTGATTGTGTTCTTCTACTGCACACATCTCTGGTGTCTACAAATATGCCTGGGACATAGTAGGCTCTCAATAATTATATGTATCCACTTGTCAATCACTCCCTACTTCTTCCTTCTCTTTATCCACACAAATGTATGCCCTCATTCATACCTTCTTCACCACGCATATACATCTTTCAGATGATTGATAACCCCTTTTTAATATCTATTTTTTTACAGGCTGCATGGGGTGCTTTTTAATTGGATGACATATAGAAACAATTGTTGGCATGGGGCTTTGGGCACACTGTCTGATTGCCCTATTACCTAGGCCCTTCAGGTTCCCTTGAAATATTCCTTGACTAAGGCAATGCATCAATAAATTATGTCACTAACATGAAGTGCTTCATTCCCAAGGAGGGAACTGGGCATTGGGGAGAAATGGTCTCAATCACTGATTTATTCAGCCTATTTTTATTTCTTTAAATAAAAAGTGGTACATCAATAGAAAGTTTAGGGCTAATGATAGAACACTTAATATTAAGTGAAAGAAAAACCAAGGAGATGTGGATGAGATTTGAAATGCTTTGAAGTCCGGATGAGGCGGGATTTGGTCTTTTGCCTTCTACCTAGAATACATAATTAAGATGACTTTGGCTCCAGCGGGACACATGGGGACTGTGGATGGATTGAGCATTTTAAGGATTTAGAACATGTCTACAGTTGTCTCTGCCTTAATTACATCAGGGGAAAGCTTTTATTTTAACTTTGGCCAAGGAAACCCTAGTCTTGAAACTGTTTTCATTTGACGAAATGTTTATTCTCACAGGAAAGAGGCAGGGCTGTGCACAGTTGACGAGCCAACACTGATGTGGTTATAAATGAGGGGAGGGAGAGATCCAAGGAATGGGCATGGAAAAGTTGCCAAAATTATCATGACATTGGGTTCATAGATCTAACCCATGACCTTCTTGCAAATCTTGGGAAATTTGTGTTTACAAAATGCATGGCACCATCATGAAACTTCTAAAGACATTCTTCAAACAGTCATGTATTCCAAACTGCTAAATTGTATATCACCATGAATAAAATGTTAATATTTCAAAGACTTTAAAAGCAAACATTCTCATATATGCAAATTTCAGTTATAGAGAAACCCTTTTTCTAAATCAACTGTGCATACCTTTTCTTTGCACAAATATAGCCAAACTGCCAGGCAGCTGAAAGATAAAGACAAACACTGAGAACAAAGCACAACACTAGAGTTAAGAGAGATTTGATTCATGTTCTAAGGGTCCATGCTACTTCTGACTGCCATGAGATGTTTACTGCTCATTGATTATGAGCTCACTTGAAAGTCTCTCATACCCAGTAAACTGTGTTGCATTTAGGAGGTCTGGTAAGGAATGGCTGAGACCATCCCGTCAGAACGACTGATCTGGAAGTTCTGACATAATCCTGCCTAGCCCCAGAGATTATTACTTGATCAATAAAAACTTCATTTTGCAATGCTAGAATGATGAAGATAAATAATACATGCACAATTAATAACTGTGGCAGGGGTCTGGAATTCAGCAGCCTTGAAGACTAGTCTCAGTCCCTCCACTGTTTTACTGTGAAATCAAGGGGATTGAGCTCTTCTTCCTTCTCTGACTCAATTCCATTTACCTACTGTGTACAAGCCACTCTACTAGAAGATGGGAGATCCCAAGATGAATAAGAAATTTTACATGCAATAAAGATTCTAGCCTGGTCACAGTAAGATAAATTAATACCTACAGCATGGAAGACATTAGGATTAAAAAGTCATGAATGTAAAGAGTCACAAAGTAGAGCTGTGTGAAAACAAACAATTCATATATACAAATCTGTGTTGAGCTCATGGATGATAGTATAAATTAGAATATATATTATTTTACTTTTGATTTGTATTTGTTGATTGCTCACATACGCTTGACACTTTAGTGAAGGCTCAGTTTTCATCATTATACCAATTTAATTCTAACTAGGACTCAACTTGGATTTTGATGACATGCAAACTACACCAATTCTGCATAAAAAAAATGGTTCAGGGACGAAATTGTGAAATTGTATAGCAAACAGCATTCTTATGCAACCTTGTCAATTGCTACCATGGCATGGCAGTCAGAGATTTACATTGATGTATTAAGAATGTCTAGGCTGGGTGCGGTGGCTCACGCCTGTAATCCCAGCACTTTGGGAGGCTGAGGTGGGTGGCTTACGGGGTCAGGAGTTCAAGACCAGCCTGGCCAAAATGGTGAAACCCCGTCTCTACTAAAAATACAAAAATTAGCCTGGTGTGATGGCGGGCACCTGTAATCCCAGCTACTCTGGAGGCTGAGGCAGGAGAATTACTTGAACCCGAGAGGCGGAGGTTGCAGTGAGCTGAGATTGCACCACTATACTCTAGCCTGGGTGACAGAGCAAGACTCCATTTCAAAAAAGAAAAAAAATGTCTAGCAGTGAAAACCAAATATGCTGGATGCTCAGAAAACCTTTTCAGCATTGTTGGATTCTCCTATGAACCTACATCCACCAGTGTAATCTCTGGTTAAAATGAAAGCAAGAAAAGGTGTTAAATTAAGTCAAAAGAATACTGATGAACAGGGAAGGGGAAATTAATTAAATTAAGACATTATTTTCTTCTCAAATTCCATTTTGGATTGAGCCTCATGGGGGGGTACGTCCATTCATTTAATAATGCTCTGATGCCTACTCAGCAGCAAAACATACAAAGGAAGAGTGGATTAATCTGATCAGGCTGCCATAGCAAAATACCACAGACCAGTGGCTTAAACAATAGAAATTTGTTTTCTCACAGTTCTGGAGGGTAGAAGTCCAAGATCGTGATGCTGTCAGAATTTGGTTCTGGTAAGCCTTCTCTTCCTGACTCTTCCTGACTTGTGGAAGGCCACCTTCTGGCTGTAATTTCACATGGACTTTCCTCAGTGAGTATGGAGGGATAGAGATGAGAAAGAGAGGGAAGAGTCACTCTGGTGACTCTTCCTCTTCTTATAAGGACACCAATGCTATCCGATGATTTGGGCCCCATGCTATATGATTTCATTTCACCTTAATTACCTCCCCAAAGGCTGTGTCTCCACATTGGGGGTTAGGTCTTCCGCATAAGAATTTCAGGGAGATGCGTTTCAGTCTCTGACAAAAAAGAATCCTGTTTTAGTTAACACTAGGGCTAAGTAACTAGGGCTTAGGCCTGTCATAACAAAACACTGCAGAGTGAGTGACTTAAACAACAAAATTATTTTCTCACAGTACCAGAGGCTGGAAGTCCAAAATCAAGCTGTCCGAAGGATTGCTTCTTCTGAGGCCTGTCTCCTTGACCTGTAAATAGCTGTTTTCTTTCAGTGTTTTCACATGGTGCCTCTTTATGTTGTCTATATTCTCATTTTCTATTCTTGTAAGAACACTAGTCATATTAGATTAGGGCCCACCTTAATAATCCCATTGTAATGTAACTATTTCTATAAAGGTCTTATCTCCAAATGGTCACATTTTCAGGTACGGGGTGTTAAGGCTTCAATATATGATTTTGGGGCTATAGAACTCAGTCTGTAGCAAACACTATAGGACACATCTGTTGAAAGAATATTTCAAATTGGAATTTGAGAAGGATCATGATTTTGACCATCCCACCACCATATTTGTTGAAAGCCACAGGCAAGGAAAGGAAGTGAGGTACAGAAAAAAAGAACCCACTTGGCACCAACATTCCACCTACGCTGTTGCTCCAGAGCAACAGCTTCTAATTCCTTGATCATTGAACAGCAGCAGTCCAGCTTCTCCACCTTCCCACCCTCCACACTTTCAACTTTGTGCAACTTACTATTTCAACTTTTGGTTTGCTGTGAACAATAAAACATGGAAAATGGTTACACTATGAGACTTTCTCATATCTGGCTGGACTCACTCAGCCATTTGACTTCAGCCTCAGCAAACTACCACTAAATCTTGGTGAGGTTAGTGCACTGAGGGAGGTTTAAAAACCAACCAACCAAATAATTCGCTACAAAAAAGTTGGACTTAATTTGTGTCAGCAGGAAATGTGACTACTTTTCAAGAATGGGTTCCCAGTGGTGCCATTAAATGATTACATAGTTAACAGTTCAAGGCTTATTTTGGGAAGGTATGGTGTTATACCTGATGGAGCATGCTTTCTACATTTTGGTAGGAGGGGGCACTCATTTTCAGTATTTATTGTGATTGAATGAAAATCTTCCTGCCAAAATGTGTTTAAAGAACCGTTTATCACAACTGGTCAGAGAACAACAGTGTGAAGTATGTTGGAAAATGACTAACAACTGGCTCTCTTGTGGGGGAGGGGGTGATTTTTAGCTTTTGCCAATTTCCGTGGTGTAAATACTCCTGTCATGGATGATTTCAAGCTACCACCATGACGTTGCTGGTTTCAGGTTTGGGAAGAAATTACATTAGCTCTGGCAAATGGATCAAGCCAACTGCAGCATACTACTGACGGTAGGTGGGACCAAGATGCAGAACCGTCCAATTAAAGATACACTTTATTCATTCTAGGTGTCACCACAGGCACAAGCAATCTGCATAGCATATTCAGGGCAGTTTAGTCCTATGTAGAATTTTGCTGATGACTACTGCAATAATGCAATTGATAAAAGCCATTCATTGGGCAAATGAATGAAGACAGGAGAAGGATTTTTTTTTTTTTTTTAAGTAACAATGCTAACTTAAGGAAAGGAGCAAATTATATGGTATAAAAACTGAGCAACATAGTGAAAGGATTCATACTAGTCTGGTCAAAAATGTTTTGCTAGTCACAAAATATTTTTTTCTTCTTTCTTTTTTGGAGAGGCAGGGGAAGAGGCATTGGTTTTTTAATTTTTTTTGTGAACAGACAATGGGATCAGAACCCACTCTGTGTTCTTTGAAGTGTGTAAGTATGTATAGTTAACTATGTACCTTTCTCATTACAGGGGTGGGCCTGATTATTCCCAGCAAGCCATTTTCTTATCTAGATATAAAGAGTCCATCTGGATGATGTTGAATAAGGCTACTTGGATCAAATTGACTCTGCCTGCCTGCAAAGGCAAAGCAAAACTAAAGCCACTCCTGACTCCTAGTAGCCTCATTTGAAATGCTTTTTCCTTGTCAGCTTGTATTACATATAGTATTGGAAAGTCCCGTCCTCTGAGTTACTAAATACCGGAAGCCATCATTTTTCCAGTTTATTATGAGCATGACCCTTTGGAAGTCCTTGATGGAGAGGCTTGGATACAGCGGTGGTGGTTCTGCATGGGAAGACAGATGGCTGCTCTCGGTACTTCTTTTGCAGCTCAAGCCCCCCTCCCACGTGTCTATTGTGTGCTCTGCCACATGGACTGGCTTCAGTGATGGGCTTCAAGGATATGCCTCTGCCTCGATTTCTCATAGTACCTGCTGCTGCCTCTACCCACTGACTTCTAGCAGATGACAATTTGTCATCTAGAGTAATTATTTTTATTCATTTATTCAGTTCCATTTTAAATAATAAGATTCAAATCAGTAAAGTAAGTGTCATAGACAGTAATAAACATGTTTTAACTTCCGCTCTATAAATCCCAAACTGCTAGGATGCTATATAATATCTTCAGAAACTTGATTAAACTGAATTTCTTGTTAAAATAGATATATACTTTTTGTGCTGAAACATATATATATATATAAAACTATATTTGTATAGTTTTTACAGATTATAAAGTATTTACAGATATGTTAGATTATTTTATCAAAACAATAACCTGGGGATATTGATAGAGATCTTTCCATTCATCCCATTTGTTGATTAAAAAATTAAATTTCAGAAAAATTAAGTAATTTTTCTAAGTAAGTGAGAGAATAGAAACTTGAACCTGTATCTTCTGACTGTAAATCATGGTAATCCATGTTATTTTTAAAATATACAAGGGATTAACATATTTGACTTGAAACATCTCTCAGAATTTTTACTTTAGTATTTTAGTCAGAGACCCTTTAAAATCTCATTTATTCTGTGTGTTTTTCGTCTTCTGATGTTTTTTATGTATATCTATCTACTAAGAAGAAAGTTGATTATTTCTCAAAAATGTCTGCTTAAGCCTTGACCCAGGCTGGTATTCTTTTCAAGAAAAAAAAAGTCTTGAGGTGTTAGAATTGTACAAAACACTTAAAAAACACTAAAATGGTTATTTGCTTCCTAGTTAGAAGTTTTTATCATTTTCAGATTATGAAACAACTCACCTACAATGTGTTTTTAGTGCTTTACTCCCTTCTTTCTCCCTCTTTTCCTACCTTTTTTAGGATTATTGATCCATTTTGAATTATCTGGTACTTGCTGTACCTAAAGTATGGATCTAGTATTTTGTTTTAGATGGTTATTCAGGGGTCCCAAGATGTTTATAAAATAATTTACCTTTCTCCACTGATTTGGGATGACATCCTTATTGTACACAAAATTTCTGTTTATATTAGACACACTTTTGGATTTGTTATAATATTTTATTAGTCTATTGGTATTAATGTGATATTAACATACTATTAATTATTACGAATTTAGAATAAATTTTAATATGTTAGAGCCAATCTACCTCTATTGCTTTTCTATATCAGGGTTTTCTTGGATATTATTGTAGGTATGTTTTTTTTCCATACAAATTTTTCAATTATCTTGTCTAGTTCTTAAAATGAGAAAAAGCAAAATAAACAAAAACAACACAAAAACTCATTGTAATTTTTGGGAGGGCTGTATAAAAAATGTATGAGATAATTTCAAACAAATTGTCCTCTTTATGATGTTGGGTCTTCTAGTCCGAGGTAGGTTTTCCCATTAATTCAAGTCTTCATTTTTGTCCTTCAGTAGCATTTACAATGGTTTCTTCACATGGGTCTTGCACTTTTTTTTTTTGTTTTAGTTATGCCTAGGTACGTTTTTAACTCTCATTTTCATTCTCTTATATTTCTCTTGGTTAGTACCTTTTATATAATGTTAACAATAGTGTTGGCATTGGACATTCTTCTTTTTTCTTACATCCAGTGTATTCCAAATAAGTATGATGCTAGATCTGGGAATGAGAGAGATATTTTTTCATCATATTGAGGTGCTCATATGTTTTTATTTTATTGATCTTTTAAAAGCCAAAACCATATTAATAAATTTGACTCATGAAAAGCTAAGAAAAAATTGTGTATGGCCAAAAACTATATAAAAGTCAAAAGATAAACCAAAATCTGGGAAAATTCCTCACAACTCATACTTTATAAAAAGTTCTAATGTAATAAAAATCTTCTAGAAATCAATAATTTAAAAAGACCGATAATTAAAAAAATATATAGACAAAAGTTTTAAAAAGATAACATACCTTTGGCTCTTAAATACATGAAAACAGGCACAGTAATACCCTTAGTTAGAGAAACATTAATTGAACTATATCATAATACCATAGTTTTTTACTTAAAGATTGTGAAAAGTCAAGAAGTTAAATAAAATTCTTAGGCTGTGGGGAAGTAGAAATTAGTATGACACTATGAAAGCCATTTAGATATATCCATTAAAATTATAAATGCAGTACATTCTACTTCATCAATTTAACTTCTGGCAATTTTTCCTACATATATACTGCATATGTGCAAAATGGAATATTACCAGGTTATTCATTGCCACATTATTTGTAACAGTAAAAGACTCAAAACAACCTAAGTGTCTATGTTAAATGACTGGTTAAATAAGTACACATATGCAATGGAATACTATTCAACTCTAAAAGACAGGAGAAATCTCTGCACATAGTTAGATGGGAAAATACAGGGTTCAGAGCAGTGTGCTACATTTTGCTTAAAAAGGGGAGAAACGAGAACATATTTCTGTGTGTGCTTATATGCTCATTATAAAATTCTGAAGGAATGGCAAGAAATTGATGACAATAATTACATTCATGGGTTGTGGGTATGGTACTAAACTGAAGTGGGACTGACCTAGGAATGAAAGTTTCACTGTTTGCTTTTGAAATATACTTTTAAAATTGTTGAGCCATGTTAATGATGTGTGCTCTATTTAAAATTATATTTAAAGAGATAAATCTACTTTTGCTACATTTATTTCTGAGACTATAGCTTTAGTAAAGGTTTCCTTTCTTACCTAGGTTGTTCTTAGGCTCTTTTGGCTACATGAAAGATAAAAAGAAAAAAATCTACACATTATTATCAAAGTTTCTCGGAAGAGGGTAAATGAAGGAAGACATTGTAAGATATTATAGGAAAGCATTCAAGATAGAATTCAGGATTTTTTATTTTTAAGATTCTTTGAGAGAAATCTAATTGAATTTGAAGTTATTAGATTTTCTCATTGATTTTAATTGAATGTGACAATTATTTCTATACATGTAGGAATTTTAATAAATGCATAAATAGTACATACAGTTTTATTTGTTTTAAGTCATCACTTGGGAGTTAATATGCTTTCAATGGGATTCTTGTTGTGTTTTCCAAAGCAAAGGTCCTATAAAGGCAGAGGAAATCCTCAGGTTTCCCATTCCTACCTTGTAGACTGTGTTCCTCTGGGAGTGCAAGCCCATGGGCAGAGAATGCCTCTGAAGGATGCAGGGCCTGGGGGAGGACCTCGGGTTCAGCAGCAGTTCTGGGGCTTGTTCTGATGTGCTAATCCTGTGACTGATTCTTGGCTTTGCCCATGGCCTTGGCTCCAACTCTTGGCTTAGATCTTGGGCCTTGGCTTGGTTAACTCTGTGACTTCTGGTTCTGAACACTGGCTGTGACCCCAGAATAAATACTTGCAGCAAACTCATTAGAACTTCTGGTCTGCGGTTCGATCCTGGTTTCCTGGCCCTAGGCTGCTTCTCTAAAGCCAGCTCACAGACTGAAGACTTTGTCCAGAGCTGTATGAAAAAGAATTTTAAGTAAACTATGATGAGCTATATAAATGTATAAGATTAGTAATATTATTTTAATATTACATTAATAATATTCAACCTTCTGGCAAAGGCAGTAATAAGGAATGCTAGTGTACAGTGATAAGGGGAAAAGACATGCAAAGCCTTTGATTATACATATCAAAGACTGAACTAGAGACTCTTTACTCCTGGGTTCATATTTGAAAGAATTAGCTTCATATATGTACAATGTATTCATCCCATTGAGGAAAATATTATCTCTGAAATTAATCTACTGTAATTGCTTCTCTCTTGTGTTTCAGACCCATATAGCCAACTTCCCTCTGGGCCCCTCCCTGTGGGTGCCCAGCAGGCAACACAGGTAAAGCATGGGTAGAACTGAGCTCATCCTATTCTTTCTCCAGCTCTGGTTCCTCAGCCTGCTCCTTCTTCTGTGCTTCCCAGCTCAAGGAATGGTAACACCATGTCCGAGGTGGATACCTTGGCAGCAGCCTCAGTTCTCCTGGCCTCATTCCTAACTAACAATAATTCTGTTAATCTCTTTCGATTTCTTCTGTTTCTCCTCTGTTGTGGCCAACATCACCTCTTGAAGGTACAACTGCTATTGTCTTCTGGTTGGTCTCCTTGCTTCTAATCCAGCCCTCATTGAAGTACTTTATGAAAAAGAGTGGTATTTTGAAAACACACATCTGAGTGTGTTGCTTTTTGGATGCTATTTCTTTGAATAATCATTCTTCCATATCCCAGTAAGTTGATAGCCCCTCGCTCTTCACATTCAAGCCTAGATATCAAAACCTCCAGGAGTGTTTCCTCAAGAACCAACTCTTTTAGGACTAACTTACATGTCTCTTCTTTTTATTCTCACAGAACTCTTCTGTGATCAAAGCATTTATCACATTCTATTATCATTGGCAGGTTACCTGTCTATTTTCTCCAAAAACTGTAAGGCATGTGGGGTAGGGGCAGCATATGTTTTGTTAATTGTCATATTCTTAGTACCTAACATGATCCAGGAATACAGTAAGTATTCAGTATTTGTATTTTAAGTAATTAATTGAATGCATGAACATTTAACATGAAATGTAAAATAATTCAATTACTAAAGCCAGAAAAATACCTGTTTAGTTATTCAGAATGGCCAATTGAGTGAAAGAGACAGCTAAAGAACAACAAGAAAATACTCAGAGTAAAACACAAAGAGATTAACAAATATAAAGACAAAGATGAGAACTTTGCTAGTTCTACTAGGTAATGCAGAAAATGAGATACAGAGAGAAGGATGTGACCTCCACCTATATTCTCCGAGACACAAGGTGGGGGGGAGGGAAGAGAGAGAGAGAGAGAGAGAGAGACAGACAGATACCAATACACAAAGATAAATAGATTTTTTAGACTTACCAACTCCCACATGGCAAAGAGGATGCAATAGATATCCTTGAAACTTATTACTATACTTCTTTGAATCTCTGATAGGCACAAAGAATGAATGTTTTACTAAAGTTTTGCAGTACTTTTCATAAGTGGAGTGTTGACTTTTAGCACTCTCTCCATGGGTTACCTACAATTAGGTTGTTCATGGGAGGTTTCCCAAACACTAGCCCTCTAATAAAGGAGATTTTACCATCAAACAAATGCTAGCTTGTATTAAACTACTGAGCACGGCATTTTCAAACTAGACCTTGGAATACTGGCAAGAAGGCTAGGATGCAAACTTTCAATAATTCTGCTTTATTATGATTCATCCTTATCTGGTTAAAAATTCTTATACATGAACTGGGTATTTTTTATTTATTTGAAATATATTATAAATTTACTATGTACAAAGTTATTGGATATTATTTTTCTACTCAAGACCCTTGAGCAAAGAGAATTTTGGTCTTAGCCGGTCTTAACTGATCTCAAGCTGTGAAGTAGCCATGGTAGTTATTGGGGTTTCAGAAATGCCATGGCGGTATAAATATAGCTTTTCTAAACTTAATCTCACCTACTATTATATTCTTTATTTCTTTTAATGAGGAAGTTGTTAATTCTACTCTAAGAAAATAATGGAAACAACTATTTATACCTTCATCCACAAAAGTATGCTCAACAACAAAAGTCTTCCAACAACCCCCTTATGTAGTTTTTGTCCTATGTCTACATCTAAAGTCATATTGTTTAGTTAGATACAAATAGTGAAACTGTTGCCTTTCAAAACAGTGGGAAAGAAAAACCACTATTAAGAAATTTGTATTAAAATTACTCTTCACTCTCTGACTCACGCACTACTGTGTAGGGCAGGGTCTCTCAGTCCAGGCATGATCGATGTTTGAGACTGGATAATTATTTGTGGTGGAGGCTGTCCTGTGCGTTATAAGATGTTTAGCATCATTCTTTGCCTCTACCCAGTAGATACCAGCAGCACCTTGCCCCCCGCCCGCCAACTATGACAAATAAAACTGTGTTTAGACTTTGCTAAATGTCCCCTGGGAGGTGAAATTGACCCTCATTGAGGACCACTGCCCTGGGTTTTGTAGTTTGTTTCTGTTTTATACATACAGTCCACGCTATATTGTGGCTACTCAAAACTGTCTTTTTAAATGAATAAATAAAAGCCGTCTATCCTCCTTCTGTTCTAAATAGGTGTCGACCACAACAACAAAAGTTTCAGGAGACTTACTATGTGCTCAACATTGTATTAGGTATTATGGTTGACCCTAAAGAAGCATCAGCTTGGCTTTGCACCAAAGAAGTTTTTAGTCAAGTTGGAGAGAGATCACTACTCAAAGAACGCAAGAGACTAATGGAAGACAGAATATATTGGCAGCAGACTAAAAGGCAGAATGGTCACACTTCAAAATGTTTGGTACAAGCTATGGTGATGTTATTGATCTTCTGATTTGATGTTCCTGTGAAGGTTCTATGACCTATTTTGATATGTAGACAGTGGTAAAATGCTCAAAGCTCTTTGCTACGATATGTAATAACAAAGGGAACAGTAAAAAATATTCTGTTTAAATAAGCCAGATCACTTTTACATGTGATGGCCAAGCCATGCAGGGGAGGAGGTGCTGAGCCTGGTTCTGTTAGTAACTGAGTGGTAGCTGAAGAAGACAAATCTAACCAGGCATGGCAAGTCCGTGGATGCCATGAGAGCCTGTGCATTTAGAACTAGGGCACACTAACAGAGATCAAACTAAGTTTTTCCACTAACATCAGACCTTTGCAATTTAATGATTATAAAACTTTCCTAACATTTGCAAGTTTCTAAACATTTATTTTCTTTTATTCTGTGCAATTCCTATTACCATTGAAATTATTTAGGTCACATATTTTTGTGTTATTTAAGTAACACTCAAAGACAAAACCAAGAAATTCTTTTTCTACTTTTAACCATCCTGATTGGATAGTTTATATTTATATCAAGTTCTAATCTCCTAAAATTTTTAGTGTGTTTAATAATGAATCTTTGAAGAATATGATACACTTGTGTAATAGCTTTTTCATATAATAAAATTTTCCAAAGTAAATAACCTGACAAATTAAAAAAAACTCATACATTAAATGTAAAGTACTATTTTGTTATAATCATAGAATTTAATAAATTAAAAGGATTTTAGAGAATATTAAGTTGATGGAAGTTACTATAACTCACAAATATTTTGGTACTCCCACCTTCTGGGCTTATAGCAGAATTGCACTTCTATACTGACTTGAAGCCAGGTGTGGACATATGACATGCTTTAGCCAATTAAACATGATCGTGTGTTATTACCAGGCAAAAGCTTTAAGAAGCAGTGGGTGGTTTTCCTGTGTCATTGTGACCAGTGATATTCCAGGCAGTGGTAGCTCTGTTATCTTGAATCTTGGAGTGAGGATGATGACAAAGCAGGAACATGATCCCAGCTGACCTGCATAGAACATCTAGAGGGAAGGAGAAATAAAATTTTTGGTTTAAACTACAAATACAGTCAGCAAACACAAATACAGTCAGTAAGATTTGGTGATTGTAACCACAGCCTAACTTAGATCACCCTGTTTGATACAAAATCCACATTCCCCATTGTCAAATAGTTATTTAAGGCACAGAGAAATTGCAGCACTTGACTGTGGTTGCAAATGAGGTTGACAAAATCTTTTCCAGAATCAATATCTGCTGCCTAGAGTAGTATATTTTTCCACTTTACCAATGTTCTCCCAAATTTTGCATGTGTACCAACATTGAATATGAGGTGATTTTGTGATATAAATATTACTTTAAATGATAATGTATCACTTGGGCAGAAAGTTAATGTCTCTTCAGTTGTCTTTCACTCTTTCCGATTAATGAAAGGAAGAATTCTCTATTTGGTGTTAGCATGTCTATAACTGTGGATATTTAGCTGCCTTCTAACCATTCCTTTAAAAAAAAAAAAAAAAAGAATGAGAGAACAGGACTCAGGCTCTGAGCCTTCCTTAGGCACCAGACAGAATTCAATAAGTGTTTGATTTTCACTGAGATAAATTTTACAGTTACTTTTTGTTGTTGTTGTTGTGGAGACAGAATCTCTCTCTGTCGCCCAGGCTGGAGTGCAGTGGCGTGATCTCGGCTCACTGCAAGCTTCACCTCCCAGGATCAAGTGATTCTCCTGTCTCAGCCTCCTGAGTAGCTGGGACTACAGGCACATGCCACCACACCCAGCTAATTTTTGTATTTTTAGTAAAGACAGGTTTTCTCCATGCTGGCCCGACTGGTCTCAAACTCCTGACCTCAGGTGATCCGCCCACCTTGGCCTCCCAAAGTTCTGGGATTATAGGCATGAGCCCCTGTTCCTGGCCACAGTCACTTCTTTTATAAGGTTTTCCATTTTCGTAGTGACATAACATTTACCTTAAAGATATATTTGTTCAAGAACCAAAAGTTAAAGAAAAATATTAGCTAAATTACAAGGCAGATGCTATGCAGATATGGCAGAAATTGCAAGAGTAATTAATACACAGTGGTGAGTGGTGAGGTGAAAATAACTGGTGCTGGGTAAAGAAATTCTACCATGTCGAAGTACTGACATCAGATCCTCTCTTTTCATAAAAAACAGAAAAATAGGGAAATATATATTCATTTATTCTATGAGTTTCTATTCAATTCTGTTAGCAAAACCCATTCCTTTGACATCTACCAAAGAGAATTTGCTAGGTCCTTGGTGGCACAAAGATGTGTACAGTCTTTTCTCTAATCCTCAAAGACTGAATGTCACATATAACTGGAAAAAAACTCTTTTAATATAAGAAAACAAAAAAATCAGCAATTTTACTCACCTTCTGTGATCACATTTGAATCTTGTCTACACTTGTAGGCTTAATAATCTATTTAAATAATGCTTATATAAATTGATTTCAAAAGTACTTTCTATTGTTATTGTTTTTTAATTTCAGATCTCTAAATAGTGTCCCTAACTGACATTTCTTTTGTATGTGGGTAGGTAAAATTGATTTTGTCTCAATTAGATAGCACCTATCTCTTTGTTGGCCTGGTCAGGGTGAGGAGCAAGTGAATGCTTTCTATATTTAGAATAACAGTGGAGAATGACATAATTAACAAAAAGTAAGCAACATAGAAGGAAGAGCAGGTTTCAAAACAGTATACTGGGTACAGTTTTGAACAGTGATTCCATTAAACTTACAGCGAGCAGAGAAGCCACAATATTGAGCTACGTTAATCAACTTTCAACAGAATCTCAAAATTAAGATTTAGCAAATTTCAATATCATGTAGGACCATGGGAATCACCTATTTTTTACTAGATGCATGGCTGTGGTATAATTTATTAGACGCATATGTGTGCATATCAGTTTTTAGTATCCAGGGTCAAACTCCATTTAAAGCCACAATGGCCTTACAATGTCTTTGTTTTATACTGTTCTACACTTTACTCTCTGCTACCTTAGCAGTCAAAGACTATATTATCAGAGTGGTATATTGCAATGGCTCCTCTGGCATTTTCACCAAACAACATGTGTTGAATGCTATTATATTAAATGCGGTTGGAGAAAGGGCTTCCAGGTATGCTACTGAATAGTCGTTGCTCTTAAGAAATTTAAATTTAGATAAAACAGATTTTTTTAAGGGTGTAAGAATCATGCAAACTGTACCAGGATGATTCTGTATTGATCAGCCTGAGATTTATATTGTATTTCTATTTCATTGTGTTGGAAGATGATAGAGACAGCCTTGCTGTGATGCTCACATTGAAAATATGAATTTGTTCCAATGTGACTATCAGGGAGCAATTTGCATAACATAAATTTTGCACTTGTTTATGTACAATTGTGTCTGGAGAAATGCAAGATGAACATACAAAACTGCACTCAGTAGAACTGCACTACTTAGGAATATACAAAATGCACACGTGCACATACTTCAAACATCTACCAGCTACCCTGTTCACGGTATGTGTTATGAGCCACACCTATCCACATCTGGTATTACAGCTTGCTGTATAATTTCATGTAGCCCTCCATCCACCCCTGTACATTAACTTACGAGCTTTTATCTTGCTGAGGCTCACTTCCACAAGCACACTTCAGGTCTTTTTCAAGGTAAGGTGACACGTTCTGTAGCATTTATGCAATTCTTAACCATTTATCGTTATGTAAAACTATGCTATGATTTTTATTAGGTATCTAGCTTTTTTTAATGAGTCACTGACAAAGTTTTTGAGTGTTGCATCCCAACACCATTTTTTTCCCACAAGCCCTGTTGTTTTATTTCATGATTTTGCATATCTAATTATTGCAGATATATATGCAATATGTATCTGCATACTGACTGTACATATGTCTGCTTATTTTGGTCCAGTATTAATAGAGCTAATAACTGGCAGTGTTAAATCTATGACACTGTGGGAGTTGTATAGAAACTTAAAACTATAGCAGGATCCTGTATTTCAATCTGGTACAGAAATCTCTAGAATTTTTGAAACATTGCACTTGCCTCATATAAAAAAAATTTAGACACATCTGTAACTATGATAGTATCTGTTGCAAGAAGCAATTGTTTCCCAAATATATGGCAACTATCTCATCTGGCAAAGATAGGTCTTCTTGGATTATCAGTAGGTTCTCAGTTTAACAGGGCCAATTATTTCCCTTTCAGCAAACAGGGGAATAGGGAATGAGGCCCAGTTTCCCAATGTATTCCTTTATCGATATTTTTGGCAAAATTTTATTGAGCAACTACTGTGTATTAGACATAGTGGATATTGTGGTAAGATAAACCAAATCCTTGCCCTCAACTTACATTTGCTATCAAAATTATAGATATGCAATCACATGAGTAATCAAAGAGAATTAATAGTAGCTTTCTTCTGTTTTTAGTTTTAAAATGAGTTTGTGAGTAGCAATCCTTCAGATTAATTTTTAGTTTCAACTGGTCTCTGACAAATTAGATTTAGGTAGTCATTCTCTCAGAAGGGAAGGCCAAAGACAAATATGCTAGAAAACATGCTCTCCAAAAGAAATCGCTTGCTATTAGAATGATCAACAACCTTGAGCAGGCCAGGTTGTGAATGTGTGGCCTGGTGCTATGTCCCAGGGGTGGGTATGTGGTAGAAAGTTGCAAGAAAGACTGGTTTGGCTTCCAGTGGTTTCTAAATTGAATTAGCCAAGCAAACATTTCAACTATTCACTACCAGTTGGAAACATTAACTATTCACATTAGACTATTACAATTTTTGACTATGTTTTAGTTTTGAATATAAAATTTAGTAGAACTCATTTAGTCTCATAGGAAGAGGGTTAACTTCTCTGGTTTCTTCTAAATATAAACTTGCTTCCTTAGTCCAGGACCCTCCCCAGTTCTTCTGGCTCGCCCTCTCTCTTCCTGATCACCTTTTGTTTTGCAGAGGACTCCCTGCCTTGGGTGAGGCTCTGAACTACAATGCTGGAGGATGGGGGCCTTTGTGGTCTGTTTCGAGCCCTGCGAAAATGCATCGGACAAGTTTTACTTTCTTAGAGTGCTATACAATGATTTTTTTTAAATGTGTCTAAGAAATGGAAACATTTTGTCTCATATAAAAAAGAAATATTTTTATACTGTGCTCCACTCACAGACCACATCAGAGGTATTCTAAGAATAGAATAGATCAAATATATTTTATGGAAATATAATGAGAAAAGGATGTGTTCCCAAAACTCACTCTGAACAAAGGAATGCAGCATAGTCAGGAATACTTTAATGCTCCTAACAATTTTCTCATGTGAAAGGCTGAGGAACGGCCCTGGTTTGAAGAAATCTCCCACTTCTCCCCAGGCTCCGTGAACTTGAAATCAGAACTAGGAAATCTATACATTGAAAAAAAGAAAACGTGTGGAAAAAGTGACTTAGGGCATTAACCAAAAAGGCATTTTTGGAAGAAGAAAACATCAATATGAAACATTTTGTCATATTTCATTTCATTGATCATATATTTATTTTATGTATTCCAGAGTACTGAAGCTTAGAAGTAACTGAATTTCTGGGGATTCGTATTAGATTTGTCAGTCTGTGTTTGAGGGAACTTACTGGGAAACAAAATATATTGCAATCATTCACTTTTATCATGCTGTTCTGTCATGTATACAAAGAACAGTAAGACTAAATACACTGAACGTATATCTTTTCTGAAAAACAAAGTACATCAGGGACTGAATATATCATCAAATAATATTCTTTTCACAATTATAACTTACAGGTATTCAAAACACTGCATGTGCTGGCTTATTGAAATCACTTGACTAGAGGTAGATTTTCTTCTAATCGTATTACATAATGCATCTTAGCAATATGTTTGCTTTTTTGACTTTTAAATTTTAGCTGTTACACGAATGCATAAGTGTGATTTTCTTGCTTTTTCAAGACTCTGTGTTCCAGTTTATATACTCATGTTGATTCTTCTGCTGGATTCAATGTTGCCACCAAATGTCCGATTGTCTTCCTGAGTGTATTTGGCTTAATAATTTTACATTTTGAAATATTCTACATTAGGCAATAATATTCAGCTCCCTTCAATTCTATTTTGTGTTTTCTCAAAAAAATATATGCATTCTCAATAGATTACTGTTTATTTACTGTATATGCTGTAATAAAGTCTGAAGGGACTACAGAGTCCCATGAAAGGAAAATCATCATAATATTTATGCATTAAACACACATATTCATGCACATATATCTATTTTTTGAAAAACCCAAAATGCATATGCTATCATGGCCCCCAAGGTAGCAATAACATATGCAGAGAAAATTTATGCAGTTCCAGGCTGTGAACAGGATTTCTAAGAGCTACTTCCAGAAAACATTACCCCCCTCCTCGTTCTTCAATCTGTCCACTTACTTCACTCTGAAGACCTCCTTCTTTTTCTAAATTGACTAGTGAGCTGGGTGAGTTAGTCTAATCATTTAGGTTTGCTGTTTTGTGACTTTTGCAGGGTAACAAAAACATTTTTAGATGTGTGTGTTTGTGTGTGTGTATGTGTGTGTGTGTATGTTACCATGTTTTTTCCCCCTTATAAAGAATTTGCAGGATAGATAGGCTCCTTAAACATAGGGAATAGTTTTATTTTAAAAAGTCAAAATAGTATTGAGGTTGCATTTTTGTCAGCTCGAATTCTCCTTCGTATTTTCAACTAGAAAAATGGATGGTAATTGTGTGGCTCTTAAAAATAATTTTTAAACTTTTCAGTAGATAAATCTAAAAATGTTTACATTTAAAAATTCCCTCAATGAGGAATGAATATATGCCCTGGAAATCTTACTGCTTTCACTATTGAACAGGAAATGTTGATGGAGGGTTAAAAACTGTCAAAAGCAAAATCATGCTCAGTTTTGAATGACATACATTCACAATGTCTGTGATATAACATTTAAAATACTATGTTTTGTATTCATTTACTTTATAGTTTTGAATATGTAGTCTATAGTTTATATGTTATACTTAATATAATATAATTGTGTATTTTTAATAAATTAAAACATTATGTATCATAAATATGAACTATAACTACAATTTTGTTATTTGGAAACTGTTTCTCTAGGTTTTGACAGGACATGAGGCTCATCATTAGAATTCTGTATTAGAATATAATAAAATGAAAAGGACTTATGAAATCTTGAAATCTCATTTCATTTGCATTTTTTATTTTCTGCCTCTCTTTTTCTATAAAGAAATTGGACATGGCTTATGGATGTATATTCAAGGTACCTTTCATAGTTATAAATTAGGATCAGGTGGCCCATTCTATATTTCAGTTGATGTTAATCCCTGGTAATATTATTAATATAGAGTCAAATTTTGCCTCTTAAAATATTCTTTTTTTTTTTTCTGCGTCAAATGAGCAGCTTCTTCTTTTTTTTTTATTATACTTTAAGATTTAGGGTACATGTGCACATTGTGCAGGTTAGTTGCATATGTATACATGTGCCATGCTGGTGCACTGCACCCACTAACTCGTCATCTAGCATTAGGTATATCTCCCAATGCTGTCCCTCCCCCCTCCCCCCACCCCACAACAGTCCCCAGAGTGTGATATTCCCCGTCCTGTGTCCATGTGATCTCATTGTTCAATTCCCACATATGAGTGAGGATATGCGGTGTTTGTTTTTTTGTTCTTGCAATAGTTTACTGAGAATGATGTTTTCCAATTTCATCCATGTCCCTACAAAGGACATGAACTCATCATTTTTATGGCTGCATAGTATTCCATGGTGTATATGAGCCACATTTTCTTAATCCAGTCTATCATTGTTGGACATTTGGGTTGGTTCCAAGTCTTTGCTATTGTGAATAATGCCTCAATAAACATACGTGTGCATGTGTCTTTATAGCAGCATGGTTTATAGTCCTTTGGGTATATACCCAGTAATGGGATGGCTGGGTCAAATGGTATTTCTAGTTCTAGATCCCTGAGGAATCGCCACACTGACTTCCACAATGGTCGAACTAGTTTACAGTCCCACCAACAGTGTAAAAGTGTTCCTATTTCTCCACATCCTCTCCAGCACCTGTTGTTTCCTGACTTTTTAATGATTGCCATTCTAACTGGTGTGAGATGGTATCTCATTGTGGTTTTGATTTGCATTTCTCTGATGGCCAGTGATGATGAGCATTTATTCATGTGTTTTTTGGCTGCATAAATGTCTTCTTTTGAGAAGTGTCTGTTCATGTCCTTCGCCCACTTTTTGATGGGGTTGTTTGTTTTTGTCTTGTAAATTTGTTTGAGTTCATTGTAGATTCTGGATATTAGCCGTCAGATGAGTAGGTTGTGAAAATTTTCTCCCATTTTGTAGGTTGCCTGTTCACTCTGATGGTAGTTTCTTTTGCTGTGCAGAAGCTCTTTAGTTTAATGAGATCCCATTTGTCAATTTTGTCTTTTGTTGCCATTGCTTTTGGTGTTTTAGACATGAAGTCCTTGCCCATGCCTGTGTCCTGAATGGTAATGCCTAGGTTTTCTTCTAGGGTTTTTATGGTTTTAGGTCTAACGTTTAAGTCTTTAATCCATCTTGAATTGATTTTTGTATAAGGTGTAAGGAAGGGATCCAGTTTCAGCTTTCTACATATGGCTAGCCAGTTTTCCCAGCACTATTTATTAATTAGGGAATCCTTTCCCCATTGCTTGTTTTTCTCAGGTTTGTCAAAGATCAGATAGTTGTAGATATGCGGCGTTATTTCTGAGGGCTCTGTTCTGTTCCATTGATCTATTATCTCTGTTTTGGTACCAGTACCATGCTGTTTTGGTTACTGTAGCCTTGTAGTATAGTTTGAAGTCAGGTAGTGTGATGCCTCCAGCTTTGTTCTTTTGGCTTCGGATTGACTTGGCGATGCAGGCTCTTTTTTGGTTCCATATGAACTTTAAAGTAGTTTTTTCCAATTCTGTGAAGAAAGTCATTGGTAGCTTGATGGGGATGGCATTGAATCTGTAAATTACCTTGGGCAGTATGGCCATTTTCACGATATTGATTCTTCCTACCCATGAGCATGGAATGTTCTTCCATTTGTTTGTATCCTCTTTTATTTCCTTGAGCAGTGGTTTGTAGTTCTCCTTGAAGAGGTCCTTCACATCCCTTGTAAGTTGGATTCCTAGGTATTTTATTCTTTTTGAAGCAATTGTGAATGGGAGTTCACTCATGATTTGGCTCTCTGTTTGTCTGTTGTTGGTGTATAAGAATGCTTGTGATTTTTGTACATTGATTTTGTATCCTGAGACTTTGCTGAAGTTGCTTATCAGCTTAAGGAGATTTTGGGCTGAGACAGTGGGGTTTTCTAGATATACAATCATGTCGTCTGCAAACAGGGACAATTTGACTTCCTCTTTTCCTAATTGAATACCCTTTATTTCCTTCTCCTGCCTAATTGCCCTGGCCAGAACTTCCAACACTATGTTGAATAGGAGTGGTGAGAGAGGGCATCCCTGTCTTGTGCCAGTTTTCAAAGGGAATGCTTCCAGTTTTTGCCCGTTTAGTATGATATTGGCTGTGGGTTTGTCATAGATAGCCCTTATTATTTTGAAATATGTCCCATCAATACCTAATTTATTGAGAGTTTTTAGCATGAAGGGTTGTTGAATTTTGTCAAAGGCTTTTTCTGCATCTATTGAGATAATCATGTGGTTTTTGTCTTTGGCTCTGTTTATATGCTGGATTACATTTATTGATTTGCGTATTATTGAACCAGCCTTGCATCCCAGGGATGAAGCCCACTTGATCATGGTGGATAAGCTTTTTGATGTGCTGCTGGATTCGTTTTGCCAGTATTTTATTGAGGATTTTTGCATCAATGTTCATCAAGGATATTGGTCTAAAATTCTCTTTTTTTGTTGTGTCTCTGCCTAGCTTTGGTATCAGAATGATGCTGGCCTCATAAAATGAGTTAGGGAGGATTCCCTCTTTTTCTATTGACCGGAATAGTTTCAGAAGGAATGGTACCAGTTCCTCCTTGTACCTCTGGTAGAATTCAGCTGTGAATCCATCTGGTCCTGGACTCTTTTTGGTTGGTAAGCTATTGAGTATTGCCACAATTTCAGCTCCTGTTATTGGTCTATTCAGAGATTCAACTTCTTCCTGGTTTAGTCTTGGGAGAGTGTATGTGTCGAGGAATTTATCCATTTCTTCTAGATTTTCTAGTTTATTTGCATAGAGGTGTTTGTAGTATTTATTCTCTGATGGTAATTTGTATTTCTGTGGGATCGGTGGAGATATCCCCTTTATCAGTTTTTATTGCGTCTATTAGATTCTTCTCTCTTTTTTTCTTTATTAGTCTTGCTAGCAGTCTATCAATTTTGTTGATCCTTTCAAAAAACCAGCTCCTGGATTCATTAATTTTTTGAAGGGTTTTTTGTGTCTCTATTTCCTTCAGTTCTGCTCTGATTTTAGTTATTTCTTGCCTTCTGCTAGCTTTTGAATGTGTTTGCTCTTGCCTTTCTAGTTCTTTTAATTGTGATGTTAGGGTGTCAATTTTGTATCTTTCCTGCTTTCTCTTGTGGGCATTTAGTGCTATAAATTTCCCTCTACACTGCTTTGAATGCGTCCCAGAGATTCTGGTATGTTGTGTCTTTGTTCTCATTGGTTTCAAAGAACATCTTTATTTCTGCCTTCATTTCGTTATGTACCCAGTAGTCATTCAGGAGCAGGTTGTTCAGTTTCCATTTGGTTGAGCGGTTTTGAGTGAGATTCTTAATCCTGAGTTCTAGTTTGATTGCACTGTGGTCTGAGAGATAGTTTGTTATAATTTCTGTTCTTTTACATTTGCTGAGGAGAGCTTTACTTCCAAATATGTGGTCGATTTTGGAATAGGTTTGGTGCTAAAAAAAAATGTATATTCTGTTGATTTGGGGTGGAGAGTTCTGTAGATGTCTATTAGGTCTGCTTGGTGCAGAGCTGAGTTCAATTCCTGGGTATCCTTGTTAACTTTCTGTCTCGTTGATCTGTCTAATGTTGACAGTGGGGTGTTAAAGTCTCTCATTATTAATGTGTGGGAGTCTAAGTCTCTTTGCAGGTCACTCAGGACTTGCTTTATGAATCTTGATGCTCCTGTATTGGGTGCATATATATTTAGGTTAGTTAGCTCTTCTTGTTGAACTGATCCCTTTACCATTATGTAATGGCCTTCTTTGTCTCTTTTGATCTTTGTTGGTTTAAAGTCTGTTTTATCAGAGACTAGTATTGCAACCCCTGCCTTTTTTTATTTTCCATTTGCTTGGTAGATCTTCCTCCATCCTTTTATTTTGAGCCTATGTGTGTCTCTGCACGTGAGATGGGTTTCCTGAATACAGCACACTGATGGGTCTTGACTCTTTATCCAATTTGCCAGTCTGTGTCTTTTAATTGGAGCATTTAGTCCATTTACATTTAATATTGTTATGTGTGAATTTGATCCTGTCATTATGATGTTAGCTGGTTATTTTGCTCGTTAGTTGATGCAGTTTCTTACTAGTCTTGATGGTCTTTACATTTTGGCATGATTTTGCAGCGGCTGGTACCGGTTGTTCCTTTCCATGTTTAGTGCTTCCTTCAGGAGCTCTTTTAGGGCAGGCCTGGTGGTGACAAAATCTCTCAGCATATGCTTGTCTGTAAAGTATTTTATTTCTCCTTCGCTTATGAAGCTTAGTTTGGCTGGATATGAAATTCTGGGTTGAAAATTCTTGTCTTAAGAATGTTGAATATTGGCCCCCACTCTCTTCTGGCTTGTGGGGTTTCTGCCGAGAGATCCGCTGTTAGTCTGATGGGCTTCCCTTTGAGGGTAACCCGACCTTTCTCTCTGGCTGCCCTTAACATTTTTTCCTTCATTTCAACTTTGGTGAATCTGACAATTATGTGTCTTGGAGTTGCTCTTCTCGAGGAGTATCTTTGTGGCGTTCTCTATATTTACTGAATCTGAACGTTGGCCTGCCTTGCTAGATTGGGGAAGTTCTCCTGGATAATATTCTGCAGAGTGTTTTCCAACTTGGTTCCATTCTCCCCATCACTTTCAGGTACACCAATCAGACGTAGATTTGGTCTTTTCACATAGTCCCATATTTCTTGGAGGTGTAGCTCATTTCTTTTTATTCTTTTTTCTCTAAACTTCCCTTCTCGCTTCATTTCATTCATTTCATCTTCCATTGCTGATACCCTTTCTTCCAGTTGATCGCATCGGCTCCTGAGGCTTCTGCATTCTTCACGTAGTTCTTGAGCTTTGGTTTTCAGCTCCGTCAGCTCCTTTAAGCACTTCTCTGTATTGGTTATTCTAGTTATACATTCTTCTAAAATTTTTTCAAAGTTTTCAACTTCTTTGCCTTTGGTTTGAATGTCCTCCCGTAGCTCAGAGTAATTTGATCGTCTGAAGCCTTCTCTCAGCTCGTCAAAGTCATTCTCCATCCAGCTTTGTTCCGTTGCTGGTGAGGAACTGCGTTCCTTTGGAGGAGGAGAGGTGCTCTGCTTTTTAGAGTTTTCAGTTTTTCTGTTCTGTTTTTTCCCCATCTTTGTGGTTTTATCTACTTTTGGTCTTTGATGATGGTGATGTACAGATGGGTTTTATGTGTGGATGTCCTTTCTGTTTGTTAGTTTTCCTTCTAACAGACAGGACCCTCAGCTGCAGGTCTGTTGTAGTACTGGGCCCTGTGAGTTGTCAGTCTGCCCCTGCTGGGGGGTGCCTCCCAGTTAGGCTGCTCGGGGGTCAGGGGTCAGGGACCCACTTGAGGAGGCAGTCTGCTGGTTCTCAGATCTCCAGCTGTGTGCTGAGAGAACCACTGCTCTCTTCAAAGCTGTCAGACAGGGACATTTAAGTCTGCAGAGGTTACTGCTGTCTTTTTTTTGTCTGTGCCCTGCCCCCAGAGGTGGAGCCTACAGAGGCAGGCAGGCCTCCTTGAGCTGAGGTGGGCTCCACCCAGTTCGAGCTTCCCGGCTGCTTTGTTTACCTAAGCAAGCCTGGGCAATGGCGGGCGCCCCTCCCCCAGCCTCGCTGCAGCCTTGCAGTTTGATCACAGACTGCTGTGCTAGCAATTAGTGAGACTCCGTGGGCGTAGGACCCTCTGAGCCAGGTGTGGGATATAATCTCGTGGTGCCGTTTTTTAAGCTCGTCGGAAAAGCGCAGTATTCGGTTGGGAGTGGTCCGATTTTCCAGGTGCCATCCGTCACCCCTTTCTTTGACTCGGAAAGGGAACTCCCTGACCCCTTGCGCTTCCCAAGTGAGGCAATGCCTCGCCCTGCTTCGGCTCGTGCACGGTGCGCGCACCCACTGACCTGCGCCCACTGTCTGGCACTCCCTAGTGAGATGAACCCGGTACCTCAGATGGAAATGCAGAAATCACCGTCTTCTGCGTCGCTCACGCTGGGAGCTGTAGACCGGAGCTGTTCCTATTCGGCCATCTTGGCCAATTTTCTACTCTTTGGATCATACCGATTTTAATGCAGCCTCATCTACTTACTCATTTTAGAGACAACACCAACATTTTTGTAATGGCCTGCAAGGCCTTCCGAGATCTACCTCCTGCAACTCAGCTTCTCCTGTGCTCTCCTTCTGGACTCACTCTGCCTCAGCAACACTGGTCCCTGTTGCCCCACCAATATGCCAGGTAATCTCTATCCTGTGGTAGTGTATTTGCTTTAGTGTTTTCTCTGCCTAGAACATTCTTCTCCTGATATCCAGTTGATTGATTCCCTTATTCCCTTCCATTCTTTGATCCCTTCAATAAGGTCAACCTCATCACAGTATTAACCCTGCAACTAATCACCTCACCCTCTTCCCGGCACCCCAGATCCTCTTTTGATTGTTCAACATTTTTTTCCATATTTATTATTTATTATTACCTTCTAATGTTCTACATGGTTTACTTATTTATTATAATATTATCTGTTATTCTTTAAAGAATGTAAGGTACATGAGACAGGTATCATTGTCTATTTTATTTGCTGATATTCCCAAGTGTCCACGTTTGTGCCAGGTATAATACACTCAGTCATACTCAATAAATGGATTGAATGTGTGAAGGAATGAATACAATATAGCTGTTTTCAGTGATTGTAACAGTTTACCAATTCCCCTCATTCTAATATCTGTTCTCTGAGTATTCTCCAATGTATTGGCATTCCTGTAAAAGTAGTATCCCACAGTTTTCTTGATATAGTTGGATCAATTTGAAGTATAAAGGGGAAGGCATTGCAGTGATTTGGGGCACTATACTCAAGTGTTTCTGTCTTGAGGCAGTCATGCTGTTGACTCACCTGGAAATTGTAATTAACTAAAATTCTGAAGTACACTTTTATATGAGCTGCCCTTAAGCTTCATGCTCCCCATTCTGCACATGGGTAGTTGGTTTTATGGATATAAATGTTGGAATTTGCACTTATTCATTTTACATTAGATTTTGTTATATTTGACATAATTATTACAGGTTATTGAGATCTTCACCCTTTCATTCATTTAGACGTTGAGTAAGTATTACTTAAATGTCTACCATGCACTAGGCATGGATGTGGAATGACGAACAAGAAAACAAGTATGCTGGCAGCTCTTCTGTAACTTACAACCTTGGAGGAGGGGATAGACATTAACACATAATCACAACACACATTAGGAGCTGCCACAGGAGGCTCTCCCACCATAAGAACTTGTAACAGGGGACTTGATCTGTCTCTAAGAAATGACATCTGTGTTGAGAGCTGAAAGATGATTTCACTAATAAAAAGGTGAAGGCAGAAGTTTCCAACAGAGATAACAGAGTAGAGAAAGTGCTTGTGCATAAAGCGGCATGATATACATAAGTGTCTGAAAGAACACCAAGGTGTCAAAGTCAAGGACGTGTAGGGAAATGGGGTGAAGTGGGATGCAGGTAAGTAGGGGCCTGATCTCGTAGGGTCAGGAAGCTTGGGTCTCTTAGCTGCCTGATATTTAGAGGTTCTCAGATGCAAAAGAGATTTTGTCCACTCTATCAAAGAATTGTACTAATGTGGAGTGGTTGTGTTTTAGCTACCTTGGAGAACTACAATATTCCATATAAGATTTATTTCAGTTAAGATGCAATCACAGTCTTCAAGTATATGGAGCCAGGGGAATAAGAATATGGAGGTTGAGGAAAGTTCGGTAATAAACAGTTCTTCTTTATCACCTCTGAGGATAGCACAGTTGGGAGTAGTTTTAAAATACAGCACAAAGTTGTGTAGAGCCTGGAGGCAGCACATGGATTCCTTGCTGTCTTGGCTTAGATTTATAGGGTCAGGGAGAAGACTTGTTATAAACCTTCTTCTATTTAGAATTGGTTTATCAAATGTATACGATAAATCTTTGTAAATTCAGAGTTCTAGCATCTTTTAAAAAAAATCTCATCCTGAACATAAAGGGCAAATATAAAAATTGTTAAACAAATGACAAAATACTAACTAGATATTCGTTTAATGCAAACTGAATGTCCTTCTTTAATATCTCAGAGTACAAAGCTGGCAATAATTTCCTTATTTCAGCGCATCACTCCACCCGCACATTTGCTTATTAGCAGGAAGTCTACTACAGGGAGAAGTCTCCTCCTTACTCTAGAATTGTTCTGAGACTCCAGAAGCTTGGCTAATATGAACGTAGTGTAGGTAGGTGTCCTGCTTTCCAGAGTTTGTTGTTCAGAGAGCTGGAAATTCTAAGGCTTTTCCCTGCTATTTCTTGAGCCCCCTGTTTGTCCGAGCCCTGCACAGCTCACAGAGGGGCTGAATGCTGGGATTCAGAGCTATAGCTATCTTACTTCACATGTGTGTATACAGCCATTGCTCCCCAAGGCAAAACTCCATATTATGGGAGCTGGAACGTGAAGAGCTTTGTTTGCTCTACACACTCTGTCAGAATCAGTTCTTCCCACAATACTGGTGGTCTTCTCACAGAGATTCAAATCCAGTTGACCCAAACTTCTACATTGTTCCTGGTGACATCACTCTTGTTTACTGATGTCACTTTCTGTCTGTAAACTTTGGTCCTGGCCACCTTGTTCTCACTGCCAAATTTCTTTAGCCCTAAGCCTTTAGTAACTAGAGTCAGGGTTTTTCATTCAGAAGACCGTTGATCTCCTTCTGCCACTCACTCCACTCCTCCAGTAGACAGGGATCTACTGTCTTTAAGTCACTTGAAGAAAGCAAGTTCTTTCTTATACATTTCTCATACATTTCAGAATGAAGAGAAGCCCTTTAAATGACCTTGAAAAGCTTAAAATCCACTTCATGATGACACTGTTCTACTAACTGGAAGTGAGAATTTTTGGCTTGCTTATTTGACCAACGCAGAGGAAATAATTGCCAATCAGAAATTGGGTTGCAGGATGGCAGGATTTGTATCTGTTCCATATACTGCTATATCTTCAGAACCTAAGCATGGTATACAGAGGGTGTACATGTACTTATGGAATTAGTAACTGAATGGTTATCATTTCTGGTACAGTTGATAAGTTTATGATAGAACTGTGGGCACAAAGTGCCTCACCAAGAACAATGTGGATATGACTGTCTGAAAGTTAAAATTTAAATCTATTTTATACATATTTGGAATAGGAAATAAATGGAGATGATATGATGATAAGGCTGGGGTGTGAGACTGCGTAAAATGACTAAACTGTTTTTCAGAAGCATATTGCAATAAAAATTTTACCTTTATAAATTACTTAATTCTGTAATAATGTCATGTTAGTAAGGAAATAAAGTTTTCATGTTAACATGAAGCAAATAGTTTTTTCCTCCATTCTTCATACCCATGCAAACATTCTTATTACACAAACACGCCACTCCTATTACATGTCTTTCATATTAAAATATATTCTTAAATTAAATTAGATTAAAATTAATAATAAAAAGTAAAATTTGATAAAACCACACCCCGAATGTTACTATTTATCCTTTTATGAAAAATAAAGCAGGAATATTCAGGATAACCACTTATGTACTCCATAGGTTTTATATATGTGATTTTATTACACAAAGTGTATGACTTATTAGGTAATTTGTATCCTAACCTCCAAAGAAGGCATTCTGGTTTCTTGGCTACATAAGGGAGGATTAAAAAACAAAAAACAAAAAAACAAAAAAACAAAAAACAAAAAAAAAACCCTTCCTAATCATGTAATTATCTATCAAACCAACATGTTGGGAACTTAATATAAACCACTAAGGTTTCTCATTTAAATGATTGCATCCTCCAATATTACATTCTAATACCTTTGTTTCCTTCAGTTGAAAGCCATATTTACTTATGTAATAAAGGGGAAAGGTACAAACATGTAAATTCACTTATGTCTGTCACCTAAACTTAAATTCCATCATGTAATTAACTTAGGAAAAGATTGAATGAGATGACACTGTTTTTTGTTTGTTTGTTTGTTTGTTTGGAGACGGAGTCTTGCACTGTCTCCCAGTCTGGAGTACAGTGGCACCATCTCAGCTCACTGCAAGCTCCGCCTCCCGGGTTCACGCCATTCTCCTGCCTCAGCCTCCAGAGTAGCTGGGAGCCTGCCACCATGCCTGGCTAATTTTTGTATTTTTAGTAGAGACAAGGTTTCACCGTGTTGGTCAGGATGGTCTCAATCTCCTGACTTTGTGATCTGCCTGCCTCAGCCTCCCAAAGTGCTGGGATTACAGGCATCAGCCACCATGCCCGGCCGAGATGACACTGTTTTAAAATTCGATATACATCTGACATTCCTTTGTCTCAGATCATTCATTCTTTATTTTCTTCCTGAAGTAATATCTAATGTCTACATTAACTTTGAATTTCTTGTTTTGTAGTCTCATTAAAAGAATCTGCTCTTAAATTAATTTTTATTTACATAATTTAAAGTCACTTTTTTTCAAAGAACAATTCTTGTTCTAATTCCCAGTTAAAATGTCTGGTTTTCTCTTGTTTGAACGACAACTTTAACTTCAGTTCTGCATAATTTCTAGGAGTTTCTTCTCATCTAAGTGATTCCCAAGTATGAACTGTGATGTTTCTTAGTAGGAAAAGAATTACAATTATGATGTTTTTCTTAGGAAATTTATAGTGTAGAAACACCATAATCACAAGTTAGGATTATCTTGAAATGAAATTCTGAAAATATAATACCATTTGATCCAGAACAGCAGAGGAAATTAAAAATTATATTAGCCCATATGCAGTTTTTACTTGCAGGCATTTGGGAAAAAAGTGTTCTAGATCAAGTAAGATACTTCTTAAAAAGCTACCTGAAAGCCAAGAAAATAAGGTAGCATTGGCCTGGCGTGGTGGCTCATGCCTGTAATTCCAGCACTTTCGGAGGCCGAGGTGGGCGGATCACCTGAGGTCAGGAGACCAGCCTGGCCAACATGATGAAACCCTGTCTCTACTAAAAATACAAAAATTAGCTGGGCATGGTGTTGGGCGCCTGTAATCCCAGCTATTCTGGAGGTTGAGGCAGGAGAATCACTTGAATCTGGAAGGCGGAGGTAGCAGTGAGTCAAGATCGCACCATCGCATTCCAGCCTCGGCGACAGAACGACTCCGTCTCAAAAAAAAAAAAAAAAAAAAAAAAAAAAGAAAAGAAAAGAAGGTAGCATTTTTTTTAAATACCCAAAAGTTATTTATTTTTTGTTATAGATAGACAAGTTATAATTGTATAAAGTTATGGGGTAAAAAGTGATGTTATAATTTGTGTACATAATACGAAATAATTACATAAAGCTCATTAACGTTATCTATCACTTCAAATACTTAACTTTTTTGAGGGGGAAACATTTGAAATTTGCTCTTTCCAATTTTGAAATGTATAATCCTCTATTATTGACTGTATTCATCATACTGTGTAATAAAACTAAAACCCATATTACTCCTAAGATTTTGTAACTTTGGACCATTATCTCTTCATTCCCCCACTTTCCAGTCTTTGTAACCGTCATTCTACTCTCTGCTCCTATGAGTTTGATTGTTCTCATTTCCGCAGATAAGACAGAATATGCAATATTTGTCTTTCTGTGCCTGACTTATTTTAGCATAATGTTCTCCAGTTCCATCTATGTTGTCGCAAATGACAGAATTTCTTTCTTTTTAAAGGCTGAATAGTATTCCATTGTGTGCATATACTGTATCTGTCAGAATGGCTTTTATCAAAAAGACAAAAGGTGACAAGTGTTGGCAAGATGTGGAGAAAAGGAAGCCATTGTACACTATTGGTAGGAATGTAAATTAGTGCAGCCATATGCAGAATACTATGAAGGCTTCTCAAAAAACTAAAAATAGAACTACCATATGATCCGGAAATCTCACTTCTGGGGATGTACCCAAAAATCTTGAAATTTGTTTGTCAGAGAGCTATCTGCACCCCCATATTTATTGCAGCAGTTTTCACAATAGCCACATTATAAAATCAACCTGTGTACATCAACAGATAAATGGATAAAGAATGTTCTTTAGAAATATTTATGGACAACTTTCTTGATTGCATATACATGGTTCATCAAAGTAACCAATCTATTTGGCTTACTAAGTGCCATTTAGCACAGTAGCCAGTATGGCGTTTCTCTTGTCTAAAGATGATCAGAACCACCATGATTGGTTGAAAATATTGGCTAAATTTTGACTCAGAGGAAATCAGAATATTTAAATCTCAAGCGACTTTCTCAATTTTTACTTTGGAACAGTAATTAGACACTCAAATTCCAGCCATTGCCTGAGTTATCTTTTAAGGATAATTTGCTTAATCTGCTCAAATTGTGAGCATTTTGGTAGCAGGTTTTGCGCATTGTATATCTTTGGATCCCTTAATAGCAGTACATACTGTGGTTAAGAACATCTGTATTAAAGCAGATGAAAATAGACTTAACTCCTGACCTTGTCTCTTACTAGCTTTGGGACTGTGGGCAAGTTCGTCAACCTCTCTAAGCCTCTAAAATGGAAATACTAGCAGTGTGCGGTTGTAGGTAGGATTAAATGAGATAATAAACTTATGAAAGTGCCTGGCATATTGTAAGTAGCAGATGTTATTAGTAAAAAAAATTATGTATTGATATAATAATTATTGTTTTCTACTTAATAGAATACCATGTTTTGCTGGCACTCTATAAATGTTTGAATGGTTGGTTATGATGCTTACTCAGGCAAATACAAGATTTGGAATGTAAAGTGAGAAAGGAACCATAGTCATCACTACACTAAATTATTTTATTCCTATATCCTGGAAATAAGAGATACTAGCAGGATATTATATAAATAGTATATAGATATGGCTGAACCATTCAGTTCTTGTCCTATTCCCATTTTGAAGGAGGCTTCAGCCCATCACTGCATCCATCCCAAACTAAGTTATATTCTACAGTGCTTTGGGATGAAATATGGAATTTTACTGATGATTTCATGGTGGGTGGGGGGGTTGGAAAGATGATTTTTATCTGACAGCATCAGGCAGCGTGTGAAAAAAAATGCACAGTAGACATGTATGTTCTTCCCAGAAAGATAGCTTCCCTGTCTCCTTTCAGCATTGAACCTCCGTTTCTCTCAAATCTCCTTTCTCGTGAGAAATTCATCTCTTTCTTCAAGTTTGCTTGCCTGCCACCCACAAAGCCTGCAATGAAAAGAACCTACCCGCCTTAGAAAGCAGTTTATAGATTATCTGTTGCTTTTCCAAATATGCCCCCTTGTGGGTCTCACAATTCTCTTATGGACGCCTCATCCCAATTAGCTCAGCAAAGTATTCCCTCCACTAAGATTGGGCTCTTCTTGTAAGGAGATTCTGATATTAAGAAAATTGAAATTTCCTCCACGTCATTACCTATTCAGGATATTAAGTCTGAAAATATTTAATTCATTTCAATTTATCTAATATTTATTGAGCACTTACTCTGTAACAAGCACTGGGTAGGTGAAGTGGGAGGACAGGAAGAGGACCAACGTCTGTGTCCTTCTGTCTGAGGAGAGACAGACACATGACTAAGTAGTAACACCGACAAAGGGTAGATTTCACTAACTACATTAACAGAACTTTGGGCTGATATGTGGATGCAGAAGACAGAGAAATGAATTTTAACTGGGTGGTACCACAGTAATTCTGATGGAAATTTTATCTCCATCTTTACAAGATGGATCAAATTTTGATTGGTGAATATTAGAATAAAAGTTTATTAAAATAACTAATAACGAGAGTGCTATTTAAGAAAAGGCAAGGTGTGGGTAAGGAGTTGTGTCAGAGGAACTGCAGGGGTATTGGCTTGTGGCTGGTAGACTGGAGAAATGAGAGAGGGTAAAATGGGAAAGTAGATCTGGAAAAAACTTGAGATGAACTCATGGAAGCTTGAGGAAACTGAGTCCTTAAGAGAAGTCATGAAAAGTTTTTGAACAGGGACTGCTTTATAGCAAATGGTTGGGGAAGAATCTAGGGTCAAAAATTCAGCTTAATAATATAATAATCACTTTTTGGCTGAATAATTACTGTGTTATTTAAACTTTTTTTGTAGATTTTGGGGGTACAAGTACCATTTTATTGCTTGGATATATCACGTAGTGGTGAAGTCTGGACTTTTCATGTACCCATTGCCCAAACAGTCAATGTCTTACCTAATGGATACTTTTTCAACCCTCACTCCCCTTCTACCCTCCCACCTTTTGGAGTCTCCAGTGTCTATTCATCCACTCTGTATGCCCATGTGTTCCCATTGTTTCTAAGTGAGAATATGCAGTACTTGACTTTCTGTTTTTGAGTTATTTCACTTAGGATAATGGCCTTTAGTTCCATCCACTGCTGCAAAAAACATGATTTCATTTTTTTAAATGAGTAGTATTTATGTGTGTGTGTGTGTGTTATATGCATGTGATATATATGTATATATAACACATTTTTAATCCAATCATCTGTTTATGGACACTTAGGTTGATTCCATGACTTTGCTACTGTGAATAGTGCTGCAATAATCATACAGGTACAGATGTCTTTTTCATATAGTGATTTCTTTTCCTTTGGGTACATACCCAGTAGTTGGACTGCTGGGTCACATGGTAGCTCTACTTTTAGTTCTTTGAGAAACCTCCATACTGTTTTCCATAGAGGTTGTACAAATTACATTTCCATCAATGGTGTATACGTGTTTCCTTTTCTCCACATCCTCTCCAACATCTGTTGGTTTTGGACTTTTTTAGTAGTAGCCAATGAGATAGTATCTCATTGTGGTTTTATTTGCATTTCTCTAATGCTTGGTGATGTTAAGCATTTTTTTCATGTTTCTTGATCACTTGTGTGTGTTCTTTTGAAAAATGTCTGTTCATGTCCTTTGTCCACTTTTTAATAAGGTTATTTGTCTTTTTTTCTTGTTGAGTTTCTTGTAGATTCCAGATATTAGCCTTTTGTTCGATGCATAGTTGGCAAATATTTTCTCCCATTCTGTGGGTTGTCTGTTTACCCTGTTGATTATTTCTTTTGCTATGCAGAAGTATTTTAGTTCAAGTCCCATTTGTTAGTTTTAATTTTTGTTGCATTTGCTTTTGAGGACTTAGTTATAAACTATTTGCCTGGGCCAATGTCCAGAAGAAATTTTTCTAGGTTTTCTTCTAGGATTTTTATAGTTTCAGGTCTCAAGTTTAAATCTTTAATATACCTTGAGTTAATTTTTGTATATGGTGAGAGACATGGGTCTGGTTTTATTCTTTTGCATATGGCTGTTTAATTTTCCCAGCACCATTTATTGAATAGGTAATATTCCCCTATTTATAGGGGAATTCCCCTTTCTGCACTTTATGTTTTTGTTGACTTTGTCAAAGATCAGTGGCTTGTCAGTATGTGGCTTTATTTCTGGGTTCTCTATTCTGTTCCATTGATCTATGTATTTATTTATATACCAGTACCATGCTGTTTTGGTTACTGTAGCCTTGTAACATAATTTGAAGTCAGGAAATGTGATGCCGCCAGCTTTGTTCTTTTTGTTTAGGATTACTTTTGCTATCTGGGCTCTTTTTTGGTTCCATATAAATATAAGGACAGTTTTTTCTAATTCTGTGAAAAATGTTCTTGGTATTCTGATAGGAATTGCATCGAACCTGTAGATTGCTTTGGGCAGTATGGCCATTTAAACAATATTGATTCTTCCAATCCATGAGCATGAGATGTTTTTCCATTTGTTTGTGTCATCAGTGGTTTTTATTATCAGTGTTTTGTAGTTCTCGTTGTAGAGATCTTTCGCCTCCTTGGTTAAATATGTTTCAAGGTATTTTATTTGTAGTTTTTTTTTATGCTATTATAAATTGGATTGAGTTCCTGGTTTGGCATTATGGTGTTACTATACCATACCTATGATTTTATTTCATCTTCACAATAGCACTGTATTATTTTTTCACATTACTGAAAAGAAAAGTGAGGTGTAGGAAGATAAAGTAATTTGCTCCGGAGCACATGGTAAGTGCCTGAGCTATAGTTCAAATTTGGGGCCTTCTAACTCTAATTTCTGTGTTATTAATTTTTCCCTTATTGCAAAGGAATTGCAATTAATGAGGCAGAAGTAATGTGATTCTTCATTTGGACAACTGAAATCAGAAAGGACAGGGAGAACGATTTTTAAAATAGCGTAAAAGGAAATTCGATGTTTTCACAAGATTGGCTAGATGGAAAGGGCACGAGAAAGACAGAGGTCTATGGACAGAAGGGACAAGCGGTAGAGCTACATTTCCATGTGTGCCCCAAATCAGGAGGAACATCTTGGCTAGAAATATAAACCTGGAATTCATCCTTAGGAGGGGAAGATTTAAATGATTTGAGTGAATAATGTCATAGGATGAAACTACATGAGAAGAATGCATGGAGGAAGAGAATTAACAGAAGGAGAAGGAGACAGCACCTCTTAGAGCTAGAAACAAAACCAAGTAAGATAGGCAGAGGCAAGAACACATCTAGGAAGAAATGAAAATAGAAAATATACAAAATGCTGCAAGGTGGCCAGTTCTTACTAACTGGACAACCACAGGAAAATCATTTCTTGAACCTGCTATTTCTTTTAAGTTGCTGTTAAAAAATTGTTGTTAAAGGAAAATGTTGTGAGAATGAATGTGCTAACACATGCAAAATGCTTGGCCCAATGCCAGGCATATAGTTTGTGCTCAGTAAAGTCAGCTATCAGAATGATTGCTATTATTATCATCATCATCATTATCATTGGTAAGCGTTGAAAGAGGCCCTTGGATTTGATGACTCATAGGTTTTTATTGACATTTATGTAATTAGTTACAATACTTTTGTGGGGCAGGAACAGATAACAAGAGAGTGAGAGATGTCAAAGAAGTAGGGAAAGATAACCTAAAATATTTTTCAAAAAGCTTGGCAGTACTTGGAAGGGCAGAGGGCAGTAATTCAAGAAGGATTAGTCTGGGGTTGAGTATATTTTTACTCTGAGAGGACAGGACAGAGGTGGTAGAAAGGGAGAAGGTGGGAATGACTGGCAGAGGAATAGTTTTCAAATGGATGTGCAGGAAGTGGTCCAGGAATATGCTTTCAAATGAACATGCAGGAAGTGGTTCTTTTGAAGGCCTGTCAAATTTAGCAACCTCATAATAAAATTATCTGACAATATGTGTTTTTCATGCACAGGTGGAATGAGTTACAGAGAGGATTATGGTGGGGCGTAGCCTCATTCAGTGATTCATTTGTACAACTCAATTCCCATCGTGAAAATTATTTGAGAGTAAGTTCCACAACTAAAGCTGTGACTGCAGTTTTTCCATTCTTTAAATATTAGTGATGCTGAGGCTGGATCTCAAGGAATGCAATTTAGACTCCTGATGGATCTTGCAGGAACATCACTGATTTTACTGTTAGAGAGAAAGAGTGAGTGAGAGAGAGAGAGAGAGAGAGAGAGAAGAAACATCTCATTTTTCCTTTTGTGCCAAAGGACATAAGAATGAGTAAATCTTCACAGGGTATGAGATTGCAATAAAGATGTGTGCAAATTTAGATGGAAATTAGGCATGTTCCCAGGGCTCCTGGAAAATTGCCAGCATAGTGCTCAAGACATTGCCTTTATAGACTATGTATATATTTATTTCTTTGTAAATCCAGTCTATAGAGTTTTCTGTTTATTATTGTTCCCAAGGACATTCTTTCTCCAAGCATTTCTCTCAGCAGAAACTAACTCAAAGCCAGTTTTTCAACCCTATCAAATGTAACCAGCATTTTCTGTGAAATTCTCTCTCATTGATATTACTGTTCTGCTCCTTACAATTTCTGTTGTGAAACAATCATAGTGAAAACTTATCAAAGATGCATAGGGGTGTGTGTGTGTATGAAGGACAGTCCCAAACATAGGGAATTAACAGTATTAATTATTATTTCTCATGCCCTTTAAACACACTTTGAATATATATTTGAAATATTTTCTGTTTTGTAATACAGTTTAATTCCTAAAAGTCCTCCACAGCTTGTTTTTGTAAATCATAATATGATAGTGTAAGTTGAAAAGTAGGATATCAATTGCTGAAAAAAATTAAAGCTATTAATTTGAAATAGCTGATTGGTGCAAAGTAATGTGGTTTTTACTATTATAGCAAAAACCGCATTACTTTTGCACCAACCTAATACTTAATCATGTCGATTTTTCTTATGTTTTCATTTTACTAATTTCAAAAAGCATGTGCTAAGGTAAAGAATATGAAACCATTCTGAGTTAAAGAAGTCTAACATGAATTATAGTTTCCGTGAAAGACACACATATGCTTAAATCAGTGGCTTATGTGCTTTTCTATCTTTATGCATAATTTGAAGTTTCTTTAAAGTAATGCAGTTCTGAATATAAAGATTTATTATCCAGAAAAGAAATCATTCAAAGACTCAATAGTTGTAAAATGAGAAAATATATATTGTTGGACGTATATTTAAACTCTCATAACTTTACTAAATAAATGAAGTGAAATACAGGACCCACTTAATCGATGATTTTTTTTCTTCTTTGCACTTCGATAATACTCAGAATGAAATCTGAGTGGAAATGGTACAGTTATTTACTAATTTTTATTTCGTGTTGATTTTGTTAATATTTATACTACTATTAATCTTATAGCTTTTCATAAAATAAAACAGATGTCCTTCACAAGCATTTTATTTTTATTTTTAGAATTAATCTATTAATTTTATTAATTGACACACTTTAATTGTACCTATTTATGGGGTACAGTCTGATGTTTTGATACATACATGTTGCTTAATGACCAATCAGAGTATTTAGTGTATCCATCACCCCATGCATTTACCATTTCTTGGTGGTGAGAACATTCAAAAGCCTCTCTTCTAGCAATTTTTAAATACACAATACCTTTATGTTAACCAATGTCACCTTACTGTGCAATAGAACACCAGAACTTATTCCTCCTATCTAACTTTGTACCTGTTGACCAACCTCTCCCCATCCTCCTCACCTCAACCTCTGGTAACATCTGTTCTGCTCCGCGCAAATGTTTTATATTGCTGTTTTCTGAGCTTGCAGCACACTTTTGAGAATAAAGAAAGAATCGTGGTTGAAGATTTGGAGAAAGGCCTATTTTTGATCCAGGGGATCTATTTTGGGATGGAAGTCAGACTGTTGGTTCTTCATCTGGCTCCCATGACCAGCCAAGGGCCTCAGGCAAGGCTGGGAAACCATCTCGAGGTGGGCAGAGGAATGTCTGATCCTATCCTCAATTTCAAAGGATTGCCCTCGGAACTCAGCAAGACTTGACAAAAGTAATACATACATTTCTTTTTTACTCAAATAACATTTTCTTGTGTTTTTCTAATTATGCTTTTGAAATAGTGCCATTACTTCAATTTTCTAGATATTTTTCTAGATATTTTTCTAGATATTTTTCAATTTTCTAGATATTTTTAAATGAAGATTAGGCCCACCTACACTGAAGAAAACAAACCACTTCCAGCTTCTGAGATATTAGAGCTACCTTCTTCTCTCAAGAACAAGGTTTGAGGCTTTTTAGATCCAAACTGTAATGAGCTGGATTTCTATTTCACTATTTTTTGGTACGAATTTAACCAAGCAATTTGTTAGCCATTATATGCAGTTTAAAGGCAGAGAATTCAGTAAGAGTTGTAATAATAGATATTTTAAATGGATGCCTTAGAACCTGTTCATGGTTCCCATTGTAGCACATGGAGGTACGTTGAGATGACTCCTGGTGTTAAAGTTATGTTGTTAAGAGATTTAGAAGGTGGCTGGCGACAAAATTTGGCTTAATAAAAAACCTAAAACTGAAGAAAATAGGGGTTATTGAAAAAGCAAACAGAAGCAAAGACTTAGATTAGCATTTTGGCAGTTGGGTTGGTGCATCTCTGCTGGCATGACTTCCTTTCTTCTGTTCCTCAGGGGTACTCTTTCTCTTCCTTGAAAACTCAAGTCAACAACGTTCTTCCTGAGGGTGGCTTTCCTTTCCCATGTCTTTTACTCTCTGATTTTTATTTCCATTTGTGATACATAGGTGTATATAATTTAAAGCATCAAATAGTTCAAATTTGCTAAGGATGTTTTGGCCCACTTCTCTAATTTCTTCTCCTAGAAGCAATGACTTTCAACTCTATCATCTCTGTATTCTAAACATGGATGTATTTCTATCTTGAAAATGTTTAGCTCTAGGTGCTAGCTCTTCAGTGACTTCTGGAAATAGGATTTAGTTCTCTTTCTGACCTGTCTTTTCTTTCCTGTCACACAAAAACCTTGGTCCTTCCTAGCTCCTTATTCTCGAATTTTATAATATTTTGGGTCAGCTCAGTATATATTATAGTGTTTATATGATTATGGTTATGCAAACACTACCCACATCTGAGCCGCATTTTTATATTATATCTTTTATGTATACATATATATAAGTTTTCATTTTCTGCACAGATTATATTTTCTCTTCTTTTTCTTCTGCTGAGTTATTTATTTATTTTTCTAATAAGTGTTTATCACTTTTTCTATCCAAACTTACCTCCAGTTGATGAAATCTCTTCCCAATATATTGGAAGAATCAGGTGTATTATTAGTGTCATTTCTTAGAGGCTTCTAACCTTTTCCAGTCTGGACAGGTTGCCCTCTGTGCCTGGTGCAGAGGTGTTAGTCTTTGCTCATCTCATTGTGTCTATTTTCTCTTTTCAGTGCCCATGTCATTTTTTTGTGTTTTGAGACAGGGTCTCACTCTGTCGCCCAGACTGGAGTGTGGTGGCAGGAACATGGCTCACTGCAGCCTCGACCTCCTGAGCCCAAGCGATCCTCCTGCCTCAGCCTTCCATGCAGCTGAGACCACAGTTGCATGCTACCACATCGGGCTAATTATTTTACTTTTTGGTAGAGACAGGGTCTCACTTTGTTGCCCAGGCTGGTCTCAAACTCCTGAGCTCAAGCAATCCCCCTGCCTTAGCTTTCCAAAGTGCTAGAATTACAGGCATGAGCCACCACACCTGGCCTACCCATGTCTTTCTCTGTCAATGTATTTCTTCATTTTGTTGGAGCCAGCCACTAAGAACTTTCTGAGAAAAAAATGCAAGGGAGGAGATGGTGTTTGAGACTAATCATGTATAAAAATGTCTTTATGTGAGTAATATTTTGATATAAAATTCCACCTTGGAAAGTCATTTTCTTCTATCTTCTAGTGTCGCTATTGATCCAAAGTCATTTTAAGCTGCTTTGTTTTTTCCTTTTAGAAGCTTGTAAGAACTCCCTTTGCTCTCCATATGCTGATACTTCACAGTGGTTTGCCTTACTGTATATTTAATGACATTCACTATAGTGGGTGCTTAGTGGATTCTTTCAACTTGGAAGTTCATGTCTTCCATTGCTGAAAATTTTCTTAAGTTATTTTGTAAATGATTTCCTTTTCTTTATTCTAGTCCCCCCACCCCCCCGCATCTGTCGCCGAAGATACTTGGATAGTGGACATCCTGGACTGACTCTCTAGTTTTCTTATTTTTCTCTCCTATTTTCTGTTTTTTATTTTTCTCTATTTTTCTGAGAAATTTTCTTAACATTATCTTCTAAATTATTTTGAGTTTTTATTTCTGTTAGCATATTTTTAATTTTCAAGAGAACTGTTTTTCTCTGAATGTTCCTTTATAATAGTTACTTATTCTTGTTTAATGAATATAATGTCTACTTTTATCTCTTTAAAAATATTTATTAGCTCTTCTTTCTTTGGATGTTTTTCCCCCTCCTTCATGAAATCTGTTTCCTCAAGTATTTCCACCTACCTCCTCTTCAGCTATTTTGGACTTTATTTCTCATGTTAGACTCTTTCTTTACACGCTCAAATATCCTTAATTATCTGCTACCATCTAAGTGTGGGGCACTAAAAAGTTTCTAGGAGACTATGAGCACATGAATAGGACTTGTTGACTGTGGTACCCTCTGTAACATTATCTAACAAGGATATTTCATTGGATAACCTTTGAGTCTTCTCATGGGTTGGCATATTTCCCAGAGATATAATTTCTAGTCTCCTGCCTGGAGATTCTAGGAGTGACTGCCAGCATTTAGGGAAGCAGAAAGCCTACAAAAAGTAAAAGAAAAAAGCAGTTTGTCATTTTACTCAAATCACCTCTTTTTCTCTGTTGTCCCTTAATAGCATTATAATTCTCCCAATCATCCAGGCTAAAAACCTTGAATCACTCTTAAAATATGTATTAATCTTTTATTCATAAATCCAAATTAATAGCCACATCTTATCTTCCTACTATACTGCAAGATATTTGTTCATGGGACCCAAGAGTCAAAGCAACATGGTAGAATGGTTCAGTGCGTAGAATGCAGGCCTGAGCTTGAATCTTGATTCTGTCATTTGCAAGCTGAATGACATTTGCATTTACAAGGCTCAGGTTTCAGTAACTCCCAGGATTTCTTCAAACCCCAAATTAACATCACAGTATTTTTCTGCACAGGGAACTTTTTCGCTATAATATTACAATTTTTTTATATATCTGATTCCTATTATTATATTTTAAAATGTAGTCAGATTTTTTTGTGTGTGTGTGACGGAGTTTCACTTGTCACCCAGGCTACGGTGCAATGGCACAATCTTGGCCCATTGCAACCCCTGCCTCCTGGGTTCAAGCAATTCTCCTGCCTCAGCCTCCCGAGCAGCTGGGATTACAGGCGTGTGCCACCGCACCCGGCTAATTTTTGTATTATTAGTAGAGATGGGGTTTCAAAGCCAGGCTGGTCTCAAACTCCTGACCTCAGGTGATCCACCTGCCTCGACCTCCCAAAGTGCTGGGATTACAGGCACGAGCCACCGTGCCCAGCCAAAATCTAGTCAGTTTTATAAACAAAGCATAATTTAGAAATTTATCTTCCATTTTGATGTGCCACAAATTGTTTTTCCTCCTCAGTACTTGCACTTAACAATACTTTTTAAAAAAAAATTTGGAATTTACAGTCTGTCTCCCTTCATGAATTACTCAGCCTTTGCTTCTATATATCCTAATCACTGATGGATATTTCTCTGAGTTTCCAGGGTCTTTATGAACTACTCATCTTTCCATTCACTTTGAAAATGTTTTTCTTTGGGCTGCATTTATCTCCTAGAACTTTTCTTTTATTAGTGACCTACATAATGGAGTTTTTTACATGGTCAATACTTATTCATTTTACTCTTCCTTAACAACTCTGAAAACCTTCCTGATGAATGGATGTGTAGGAAGTGGTGTCTAGTATGCATATAAATTTTAGCTGTTCCATTCATCAGCAGTGTAAAGTAACAGTAATTAGAGTGAAATTGCAGGCTATGGGAAAGTGTTAGGTGTGGCCCGTCATTAATGAAGGCAGTATGATGTAGTGTCAAGTGTGAGGGAAGCTGTGTAGAGAGAATGTTATGTGTCTGGGAAAGATTGAAGAACTGGTTACCATGCTCTATTTCTATTGTAAATAGGCCATATTGAAAGAAGATAGCATAATGTAAAAGCATTTAAGAGCAGACTGCTCAAGAATGAATTGAGGCTGAGGGATTGCTTCCACAATAGCACAAGTAAAAAGGCCCTTTTCATTTGAGTAAATGGGAGTTTGAAATATGTTAAGACAAATCTTCCTTTTTAATGGCAAGTTGGACACTATAATATTATTTGTTTCTTGGTGTTTTACAGCATTATGGGAGTTGGTGGTTTTAAAAGCCTCTCTCCAAAGATAGCTAAGATGATCTGGATTTGACTGTGGTCAGGGAAAGTTTTCTGAGGTTATGTTACTATTTAAAAATATCCTTTCAGCTTTATTTAAAAAAACTTCCACTTGCTTTGTAAATAAGTTTTTGGAATTATATCTTAAGTGCTTTAAAATTCATTTGCTAATTGACGCTGTCTATGGAAACATAGGACTTTAGCTCTTTTTTACTTACGGTTAAAATGTGAAGAGCTTATGCTCAATAGTACAGATAATTTGGTTCCTCTTACCTGTGATTTAAAAACATTTTGCTTTTCCAGAGACAAAGCAACCATCACATATTTGAAAGCTCTTCATTTTGTGTTGTCATTTCTTGTTTGCCTAAGCATACATTTTCTAGCTCTAGCAATTTTCCTATGCATCAAATGTGCTTTACTCTAAAAATCATATTGACATAAAATGACAGAGGCTATCACTTCATAAACCAAAACACATTGGAGTGATTTAGCATAAATAAATACAAGAAATTATGGGGAACAATTGTCTGGCAAAAGTGTAACGTGCTCAGTTGTGCCACAGGTCTCTCACCCATATTACTTGGAGATGATTCTGTCCCTCAGTAAGTTCTAGGCTCAATGCCATGCACTCATGGGATTTATGGTTTGTGTCTTTCTGTTTAAGAGAGTTCCTCACTAGGAATAGCCGCAGGACTGACAAGAGTGGTAGGAACAGTGACTTTTTTTATTTTAGGTTCAGGAGGCTTATCATAATACGTTTTTGTTTTATTTTGGTCCATCTTTTCATATATCTCTATGTGTGTATACATATGGACACAAATATAGGTAGACATAGGCAGGTAAATGGCTCTATGTAACTACGTATATCTACATATTGAAAATGATATCCATGTCTCTCCATTTTTTACAGGTACACTTTGTTTACTGCATTAAGTAGTGCATTTTTTTTTTTTAAACAAATTGAAGGTTTGTGCCAATCCTGTACCAAATGGGTCTATTCGTGCCAACAGCACGTGCTCACATGTCACATTCTGGTGATTCTTGCAACATTTCAAACTTTTCACTATTCTAATATCTGTTGTGGTGATCCATGATCAGTCAATTATTGTAATTGTTTTGGGGACCCACAAACCCCACCCATAATTAATAAATTTTGTGTATGTTCTGACTGTTCCACCGACCATTCCCAAATCTCTCTCACTCTTCTTGGGAATACCTATTCCCTTAAAAAGAACAATATTGAAATTAGGTCAATCAGTAACCTTACAATGGCTGTTAAGTTCTCAAGTGAAATGAAGAGTCACATATCTTTCACTTTAAATCAAAAGCTAGAAATGATTAAGCTCAGCGAGGAAGGCTTGTCAAAAGCCAAGACAGGCCAAAAGCTAAGCTTCTTGCATCAAGCAGTTAGTCAAATTGTGAATACAAAGGAAAAGTTCTGGAAGGAAATTAAAAGTGCTACTCCAGTGAAAACACAGATGATCAGAAACGAAAACAGCCTTCTTGGTCATATGGGCAAAGTTTTAGTGGTCTGCATAAAAGATCAAACCAGCCACAACATTCACTTAAGCCAAAGCCTAATTAAGAGCAAAGCCCTAACTTTCTTTAATTCTATGAAGGCTGAGAGAGGTGAAGGAGCTGCAGAAAAAGGTTTGAAGCTAGCAGAAGTTGGTTCATGAAGTTGTGGAAAAGAAGCTCTCTCTATAACATAAAAGTGCAAGATGAAGCAGGAAGTGCTGATGGGGAAGTTGCAGTAAGTTACTCAGAAGATCTAGCTAAGATCATTGATGAAGGTAGCTACACTAAACAACAGATTTTTAATGTAGACAGAACACCGTTATATAGGAAGAAGATGTCATCTGGAACTTCCATAGCTAAAGAGGAGAAGTCATTTCTTGAATTAAAACTTCAAAGGACAGGCTGACTCTCTTATTGGGGCTAATGCAGCTGGTGACTTGAAGTTGAAGCCAGTGCTCATTTACCATTTTGAAAATTCCAGGTACCTTCCTGATTATGGTATATCTACTTAGCCTGTGCTCTGTAAGTGTAACAGCAAAGCCTGGATAACAACATGTCTAATTACAGCATAATTCACTAAATATTTTAAGCCTGTTTTTGAGACCTACTGCATAGAAAAAGAAATTTCTTTCAAAATACTCCTACTTGTTGACAATGTGCCTTGTCACCCAAGAATTCTGGAAGAAATGTACAAGGAGATTCATGTTGTTTTCGTGCCTGACAACACAACATCCATTTTGCAGCCCATGGATTAAAGAAAAATTTTGACTTTCTAGCCTTATTATTTAAAAAAATACATTTGTAAGGTTATCACCGTCATAGATAGTGATTCATCTGATGGATCTTGACAAAGTCAATTGAAAACCTTCTGGAAAGGATTCACCATTCTAGATGCCATGAAGAACATTCATGATTCATGGGAGGAGGTCAAAATATCAATACTAAAAGGAGTTTGGAAGAAGTTAATTCCACGCCTCATAACTTGAAGGTGTTCAAGATTTTAGTGGATGAAGTAACTGCACATAGAGTGGAAAGAGAACTAGAATTAGAAGGGGAGCCTGAGGATGTGACTGAATTGCTAAAACCTCATGATCATACTTAAATGAACGAGGAGCTGCTTCTTATGAAAGAGTAAAGAAAGTGGTCTCTTGAGATGGAATCTATTCCTGGTTAAGATGTTATGAACATTGTTGGAGTGACTGCATAGGATTTAGAATACTTTATAAACTTAGTTAATAAAGCAGAGTCAAGTTTTGAGAGGATCGACTCCAATTTTGAAAGAAGTTCTACTCTGGGTAAATTGCTATAAAAACAGCATTGCTACAGAGAAATCTTTTCTAAAAGGAAGAGTCAATCAATATGACAAACTTCATTGTTGTTTTATTTTAAGGGATTTCCCCAGCCACCCAACCTTCAGCAACCACCACTCTGATCAGTTAGTGGCCATCAACATCAAGACCCTCCATCAGTAAATACATTATTACTTGCTGAAGACTCAGATTAACATTAGCATTTTTAAGCAATTAAGTGTTTAAATTAAGGTATATGTACTTTTTTTTAGACATAATGCTATTGCACACTTAATAGACTATTTGAAAAACCAAAAGATTTATGACTTACTTTATTCTGCTATATGCTTTATTATGATGCTCTGGAACCAGGCCCACAATATCTCTGAGGTATGGTTCAGGCATATCTTGTTTTATTGTGTTTCACTTTATCGCACTTTGGAAATATTGTGTATTATTATTATTATTTACAAATTGAAGGTTTGTGGCAACTCTGTGTCCAGCAAGTCTATTGGCACCATTTTTCTTATAGCATGTGCTTACTTTGTGTCTCTGTGTCAGCATTTTTAACGTCTTTGACATTAATTTATATACATGGTTTTCTAGATATAATGCCATTGCACACTTAATAAACTACGGTATATTGTAAACATTAACTTTTGTATGAGCTGGGAAGCAAAAAAAAAGTGACTTTATTGTAATGCTTGCTTTCTTGTGATGGTGTGGAACTGAACCCACAATATCTCTGAGGTATGCCTGTACAGACATGATGGGATGTTACATCTGAGATTAGGTTACAAAAAGGCTCAGGTTTTCTACTTGGGTGCCCTCTCTTGCTCACTGGTATTGTTCACCCTGTGAGCAGTCAGCTGCAGTGTCATGAGGCAGCTCTGTGAAGAGGCCCATGAATGAGGAATTGAAGCCTGCCAAAATCCATGTGAGTGAACTTGGAAGTAGATCTCCCATCCCTAATTGAGACTTCCTGAGTCTGTGGAGGATGACAGATTTATTGCAATTTTATGAGAGATCTAGAGCAAGAGAAACCTAGCCAAGGCACTCCTGAATACCTGACCCACAGAAATTGTGAGAAAATATATGTTTGTTATTATAATCTTCTAAATTTTGGGGATAAAGTTGCATTGTCTTAAAGCAATAGATAATTACTGCATATAGGTTTCTTAGATTTTTCTCATCAGTTTGTGACTGCTACATTATGATTCTCTACCTACTAACTTTCATATTCTTGGCAGCTATTTTTCCAACTCTAATATTTTAATAATGACTTTACAATAACTTCTGCAATGTAATTCAAAATAAGTTTGTACAGTCAAATATTTTATTTTTTTCCATTTCAAAACTTTCAGCTTAACACTAAAGACATAATTTTCTAATTTTTTTTTGATTTTTATTGTTTCATATTTTATACTTAACTCTCTAATTCATACGGAATTCATTTTATAAGGCTTAGTATGTTTTACCTTCTGAAGAAGTCCTCTAGTTTTTTCACTTTTTCTTTCTGATTTCCATGTGTGCCTTTTTGCTCTGTGTTTTGAGATATTTCTTCTACTTAATCTCTCAGGATATTTATTCAGATCTCATCAGCAATATACTTGCTTTCAAGTTCTATATTGAACTTTGAAACTCAATAGCTATGTTTCCTAGTTAGATTTTTTTCTTCCTAGTTAGGTATTTTTTTTAACCAATGTTGTCATTGAAAAATTTTCAATGCCACTTCAAGTTCGGTTTTTGGTAGATAAAGTCATTAGTCTCCATATGCAATTCTGCTTTACAAGGAGCTGAATACTCTGAGTGTTCTGCTTGCTCTCTTCTTCTAGCTGCCGATTTCTAAGGGGCTCTTCCCTGCTCCCAACCCCCATCCCCTTATCTTATTGTTCTCTTAACTTTTTGGTGCCAGCTAAACTTCTGTCTGGCTGTGCAATGAAAATTCCCCACGTGGTGGAAGACATCGTGGTTCACATCTGCAAGCTTGTGGTATTCTGCTGGTGAATGCTGGTCTCCTTTAGGGCAGTGAATGGAAGCCTCTTCATTCCTAGTGTTCTATGTAGCGAAAGTTTGAACTTTTAATCTCAGTGGTAGGGAGAACTTAGTTTACCAGCTCTTGGCTTCTGTTTGTCATGGACAATGACCAGCTTGCCATAAAAGACTTTTTTTCCCTAGAGTACAAGATCTCGTATACCTGCAGAAGTGATAAGCCTGCTGGGCCCAGCAGCTACTCAGCTCCAGAGAAGTAGTTGATAATGTGATTAGAGTTGGGGAAAGACCACAACAAAAATGCATGCTGTGTGTCTTCAGCTTTTCTCCCCACCTCAGTTCTAATTCACGTAATATAATTCTCATGTAGTTTTAGATGTATAGTCAGTATTAATTACTGAGGTGTCCAAAGTTCTAAAACAGATGTTTAAGATAAGCATAAAAACTGATGAAGACATGTAATTTGCCAGCCATTGAATGTGGAAAACTAAAATGCCAAGTGTATGGTCTATTGAACTGGAGAAGGAAGCCTAGATTTGGTAATTAGAACTAAAAAACATAGCCTTCTTTCACAAATGTAAATTATGATATCAACTGAAAGAATGTTTGGTGTGTGTTTTTTTTGTTTGGTTCTTATTGGTTTTAATTTATTGATTAGTTTTAGTCATTGGGAAGAGCTTTTAGTGAGTATGCTTAAAGAGAAGAAACAGTGAAACCACATGTAAGGTAATTTTTCCAAGAAGTTTAAGGAAAATCCAATAGAACGTGAACAAATCTATTAAAGATGACAATGAATAATAAAGCAAATTTAACTGCATAAAGCAAAATTTAACTGAAGGTGAACTTCACTGAAAATAATTTTTACTTATCCTCTCAACTGGCAATTCATCTGAATTGGAATTTTTCAGCAACAACCGAATTTTATCTTCTATTTTATTTATATTTGATTCATATTAATCTACTTGTTTGAATTCTGCTAACAAGTATAGGATGATGCCGAACTAATGATACTCAATATTTGTATGTAGGTTTATGATTATCAATGCAATTAAGTGTAAAAAGATCATAATTAATAAATGTAACAAATTTTATGGCATGTTTTCCACTTGAAACACTTTTGAAACAACCCAGGAATATCATGAATCAAAAAAATCCAGGTCGTCAAAGTCAATCTGCGTTTTGGGCGTATTTACTTACCCAATTCGTAATACTCTAGGGTAGAAAATTATGTGGGGCTGGGTGATGTCTCTGTCTGTGGAAAAAATTGGGACTTGAGACTCAACAAACAAACAAAAAACAAAACAAAACAGAGATGCTGCTATTATAAATAGTCCTCCTTTTGCAGAACTACACAAAAGCATAGCCACCTGAGCTCTCTTTTGATTACTATTTGTATAGAATATCTTTTTTCATCCTGTTACTTTCAACCTATTGGTGTCTTTGTATTTAAAGTGAATCTCTTAGAAAATAACTGGAACATGCTTTTAAAAAATTCATTATGCCAACCTCTGCCTTTTAATTGGTTAGTTTAATCCATTTACATTTAAAGTAATTATATGAAAGGATTTGCTTCTGCCATTTTGCTGTTTTCTACATGTCTTGTATCTTTTTTCTTCTTCAATTCCTACATTACTGCTTTCTTTTCTGTTTAGTGGGTTTTTTCTAGTATAGTGTTTGATTCCCTCCTCACTTCCTTTTCTGTATTTCTTTTCGTTATGGTCTTAGCAGTTACCCTTGGGATTACAGTTAACATTTTAAATGTATAACAATCTGTTTGAATTGATACCAACTTAGCTTCAATAGTATACAAAAACTCTGTTTCTATACAGTCATTTCCCCCATCCTTTTATGTTACTGTTGTCATCACAAAGTATATCTTTATGTATTATGTGTTCATTAATATAGATTTATAATAATTGTTTTATATATTTTTCTTTTAAGTCATATATGAAAAAAGGAGGTATTAGAAACCAAAAATGTAATAATACTGGCTTTTATATTTACTTACACAGTTAGATTTACTGGCATTTTTACAGTTGTATTTACTGGTATTTTTACTGCTTTGAGTTTTTGTCTAATGTTCTTTAATTTCAGCCTGAGGGACCTCCTTTAGCGTTTCTTATAGTGAATATATACTAGTGAACAGCTCTTTCAGTTTCTGTCTACCTGAGAATATCTTAATTTCTTCTTCAGTTTTGAAGAATTGTTTTGCTAGACAGAGAATTCTTGGTTGATAGACTTTTTTTTTCATCCCTTTGCCCTCTGACCTCCATGGTTTTTGATGAGAAATTAACTGTTAATCTTAATAAAGATTCCTTGTACATGATGCATTACATCTCTCTTGCTGCTTTGAAGATTCTTTGTCTTTAAATAGTTCGATTAGAATGTGTTTCAAGGCATAGATCTCTTTGAGTTTCTTTTATTTCGAGTTAGTGGAGCTTTTTGGATGTTAAGATTCATGTTTTTCATCAAACTAGAGATATTTTCAACCATTATTTCCTTAAATATTCTTTCTGCCTCTTTATTTCCTTCTCTTTCTCAGGCTTCTATATTGGATATATCAATATGCCTTATGGTAACCCACTGCAATTTAGAATCTGATAAATTTTTCTTCATTCCTTTTTCTTTCTGTTTCTAAGACTGTATAATTTCAATGGACATATCTTTAATTTCATACCTTCAATTTCAGCAGGATGAAATTCTTTATCCTGCTTAAATCTGTATTGAACTCCTCTAGTGAATTTTCATTTTTGTGATTTTACTTTTCAGCTCTAAAATTTCTATTTGGATTCTTTCTATGATCTCGATCATCAATTTACTGATACTCTGTATTTGTTGAGGCTTCTTTCACCTGATTTCCTTTAGCCATTTGTTTTTGAGTTCCTTTAGCTTTCTGAGCATATTTAATGTGGTTGATTTAAAATGTTTGTCTAGTATTTCTACTAATGGCTGGACTCTCTTGGGTATAATTTCTGTCATTTTTTCCCTATAAATATGCCATACTTTCATGTTTCTTTCTTTTTTTTTTTTTTTTTTTTTTGGTGGAGTCTCACTCTGTCACCCAGGCTAGAGCTCAGTGGCACAATGTCGGCTCACTCACTGCAACCTCCGCCTCCCGGGTTCAAGTGATTCTTCTGCCTCGGCCTCCTGAGTAGCTGGGACTACAGGCATGCACCACCACTCCTGGCTAATTTTTTATATTTTTAGTAGAGACAGGGTTTCACCATGTTGGCCAGGATGGTCTCAAACTCCTGACCTCGTGATCCACCCTCCTCAGCCTCCCGAAGTGCTGGGATTACAGGCGTGAGCCATTGCACCCAGTGTCACTCTGTTGCCCAGGCTGGAGTGCAGTGGTGCGATCTCAGCTCACTGCAACCTTCTGCCTCCCGGGTTCAAGTGATTCTCCTGCCTCAGCCGCCTGAGTAGCTGAGATTACAGGCGCGTACGACCACACCAAGCTAGTTTTTGTATTTTTAGTAGAGATGGGGTTTCACCATGTTGGTCAGGCTGGTCTCGAACTCCTGACCTCGTGACCCTCCTGCCTCGGCCTCCCAAAGTGCTGGGATTACAGGTGTGAGCCACTGCGCCCGGCCCTCCTGTTTCTTTTCATGTCTCATATTTTTTGTTGAAAACTGAACATTTCGATTATTATATTATGATAACTCTGGAAACCAAATATGTCACCTTCCCCAAACTTTGCTGTTGCCACTTTTTGTGGTTGCAGTTGTCTATATGTTTGTGACTTTTCCAAATTATTCTTATAGACTGTAATTTTTGTCATGCATGGCCACTGAAGTCTCTGTTGAATTCTACCAGCAGTCAGCCAGTGGCCTGACAGATTTTCTTAAAAATGCCAAAATTTAGCAGACTATTTTCTTATTAAACATTCCCCTGTTGGTGTTAAGCCATTGATTAGTTTCCAGAGTTCCAAAACAGTTGATTTTGCCAGCTTAATGGTTGCTTCAGCAGAGAGACCAGATCTATGAAGCTCCCTGCTCTGCCATTTTGTTGATGTCACTCCTTGTCAATAGTTATTTTTATTCACTTTGTGGGAAAATAAATTAGGTGCAGGGATTTTTTTTTTTTTTTTTACTCGTATCTATCTATCTGTGTATCTATCTACCTACCTACCAGTTTTTTTGAGATGGAGTTTCACTCTTGTTGCTCAGGCTAGAGTGCATTGGTGCGATCTCAGCTCACTGCTACCTCCGCCTCCCAGGTTCAAGCAATTCTCCTGCCTCAGCCTCCTGAGTAGCTGGGATTAGAGGTGCCTGCCATCACGCCTGGCTAATTTTTTTGTATTTTTATTTTTTATTTTTTTTAGTAGAGACGGGGTTTCATCATGTTGGCCAGGCTGGTTTCAAACTCCCGACCTCAGCTGATCCACTCACCTCGGCCTCCCAAAGTGCTGGGATTATAGGTGTGAGCCACCACACCTGGCCTACTTCTATATTTTTTTGTTTCTTCCTGTATAAGTCTTCAGAAACTTTGTCTCTTATGATTTCCATAAACATAGGCTCAGAACCAACATTTAGATGATAAATAAATACTTTGAATTCTGTAAAGTTATTGTTCTTTCTAAAGACTCTATATTTAAGTGTATTAGAAATGAGGTAGCAGAAACTGACTCAAGGTTAAAAGTGTTTTGTCTTCCATTAACAAAGACATAATTTGGAATCATATATGGGAAAAGATCTTAGGATCAATTTTTTTCTGCTTATTGTTTTGAAAAATTTATAGTCTTATAGTTTTAGGCTAGTTTTATTGAACTCTTCATTTACCTATCAAATTGGTTTATTTACAATAATTGAGCTAAGTAATATAAATTTTGTTGTTGATGTTTCAATAGTCTTAATAATTATGTAGTTAAATATTTTCTATACACTGTAGTTCTATAATTTATGAAACTAAAGAAATTGACTAACATGATTGTCAAAATTAAAGGAAGAGCTTTGCAAAATGTCTCATGGAAATTGTGAGGTTTATGATATAATAGTTCTTTTTCTAAAAATGTTCAAATATAATACATAATATGCACATTTCTTAGTGTATAAAAACTGATGACAAACTTATTTTTAAACAAAAATCTATCAAATTATTTTATAATATTTAAAATTAAAATAAGGAACACTTTTTATATATATTTTTCCCAGCTTTATTGAAGTATATACGTGACAAATAAAAATTGTATATATTTAAGGTATACAATGTAATGTTTTGATATATGTGTACATTGTGAACTTATTACCCCAAGCTAATTATTACCCCAAGATAATTAACATATATACATAACCTCACAAAGTCATGATTTTTTGTGTATGTTGAGAGCACTTAAGATTAATCTTCTTAGGAAATTTTAAGTATATGGCACAGTATTAGTAACTTTAGTCACCATGTTATATATTAGATCTCCAGCAGTTATTCATCCCACATAACTGAACCCTCAGACACTTTGACCATCATCTCCCTATATTCACCCCTAACCTCAGCCCCTGGCAATCACTATTCCATTCTCTGCTTTTGGGAGTGGCTGCTTTAGATTTCACATGTAAGTGAGATCATGCAGTATTTCTCTGTGTCTGGCTTATTTTGCATAGCTTAATGTCTTCCGCATTCATCTACATTGTTGCAAATGGTGGGATTTCCTTCTTTTTAAAGGCTGAATAATATTCTGTTGTATATCTGTATCCATTTATCCACCAATGAACACATAGGTTGTTCTTATACCTTGGTTATTGTAAATAATGCTGCAGTGAATATGGTATTATGGATATCTCTTGAAAACATGTAATATTTATAAAAAGTGAGTTTAAATCAGTAAAAGAAAATAAAGAAATCTTTTTATTTATTGTCTACCATAAAATCCCTTAGGGGAAGTTAATTTAATTTCAAATAGTTGAATTTATTTTATTTTTATACACATCAATGATGTTATAGTTAAATATGGAAATATGGTAATGATGAATAAACTGGCATGAAATACTCTGCCTGTGCTTCTGAATAGTATGTCTTTAATGTGGCTACTCTTAACAGTTAAGGAAACTTTGACAGTTAAGTAATCCCTTCACCACTTAAGTACAACAGGGTTTTATTATTAAGTACACTGCCTGGAAATGGTGTGCTTTTTTCATTCACACTATAAACAGTTTTGTTAGATTGGTAATCCTGCTTGTCAGATTTGTTCACTGTTTGATATTAATCAGTAGGTTTATAAAAGGTGCAGCACTGGACAGAAATGAACAGAAAATACATTATAAATAAGGTTTCCATAAATCACAGAGGGCCATGCATCTCCAACTCTGAGGTGTACAGAATATTTTGACATTCTGTGGGTGGTTTGATAGCTTGCTACTAGCCCAAAAGTTTAACAGCAGAAGCTACTGTCCATTTCATTACATGTACATAGAATTGGCTCTCCCAGTGTAAATTTGTTAAAAGTTCATGGAACTTTTTTTTTTTGGTATTTTAATACTTAATTTTCTTTAAAGACTTCATTTTTTTTTAAAGAGCAGTTTTGGGTTCAGAGCAATCTCCCCACACATATGCATGGCCTCCTCAATTGTCGACACCCCCCACCAGAGTGGTACATTTGTTCAATTTTATGAATGTGCACTGACACATTATCACCCAAAGTCCATAATTTACATTAGGGTTCATTCTTGGTGTTGCACATTCTATGGGTTTAAGCAAATGTATAATGACACGTATCCACCATTATAGTATCACACCCAGTATTTTCACCGCCCTAAAAATCCTCTGTGCTCTGCCTATTCATCTCTTCCCTCTTCCCAACCCCTGGCAACCACTGATCTCTTTATTGTCTCCTCAGCTTTATCTTTTTTGAGTGTCATATAATTGGAATCATACAGTATGTAGCCTTTTCAGACTGGCTTTCTTCACTTAGTAATGTGCATCTAAGTTTCCATCATGTCTTTTTCTGGCTTGATAGTTTACTTGTTTTTAGCACTGAATAATATTCCATTGTCTGGATGTACCGGTCTTTTTTATCCATTCACCTACTGAAGGACATCTTGGTTGCCTCCAAGTTTTGGCAATTATGAATAAAGCTGCTATAAACATCTATGTGTAGCTTTTTGTGTGGACATAAGTTTTCAACTCCTTTGCATAAACACCAAGGAGTACGATTGCTGGATTGTATGGCAAAAGTATGTTTAGTTTTGTACAAAATTGCCAAATTGTCTTCCAAAGTGACTAGCATTTTGCATTCCCACCAGCATGAATATGCGTTCCTGTTGTTGCACATCCTCTCAGCATTCGTTGTTGTCAGTGTTCTGAATTATGGGCACTCTAATAGGTGTATAGTGGTATCTTACTGTTAATGCTTAAATTGTAAGTCTTGCATTCTTCTAGAATATGCACAAAAAATGCTGTGATTACACCATGAATTATAGAATTCAAAGTCATGAGCAATTGTGTTGCATGTGTCTTCATCTTCTTTACAGATGCTCCTATATTTTGGAAAACATTCATGTATTACTTTACTTAAATACTCCATTATGTAATCAGCAGTTTATCCACCCAAATATGAATTGTTTCTCTAACTTGGAAATGTTGGAATTGATTTGGAAGTGGGTTTTAAATTATTTTAGAAACTCCAGGGTTTACAATATGTATCCAAGGATCTGTTACATAAGTCATTAAAGTAACAACTAGGTTAGCATAAGATGTTGTAAAGTGACTCGTGATCATCAGGTGTAATTCCTGGATGAACATATAGGTATCTTTGTTAGTTTTGTGAATAGTTGTTCATCTTCAAAATGTATGATTACAGAAATGAATATGTAGGTATTGTCCAAAAGTGATTCAGCCTAAAATGTGTTACCCTAACAGTGTTCAATGGGCTGTTTCCAAGTCTTTCCGCTTTCAGTTTTAAGGTGATAGTAAATTTTAAACATTTTCCATGCTAAGTCAGTGTTTCCAAATTGTACACGAGTATTTTTCTCTCCTATTCACTCCCTCACTGTTTCCTTCTTTGGCCCCTACGTCTTGATATTTTCCTTTCTTGATTATTTTCCTCCCTGATGAGGCTTTGCTGTGCATTGGCCACATCTCAGAAATTGCCAGAGGGTTGTGGGAAACCCAGAGAGACAAGGAGAACAAGATAAGAAATAATTCTGTCCTTTTATAACAGGAGAAGAAAGTAGTTAGTCCTGAATCTACAGCAGGACTGAATTCCTTCAAATCTATTGTTTAATGTTCATTATAATCCTTACGTTACTAGCATATAGGTAGGAATGAAACGTAGCCTTTCAGGACTTCCATATTCCAACCATTTCATTACCTACTGACAGACAACTGAAGACATTTTTTAAATAAACCTGTTTTCATTGTATTTTCCTGGCTTTTCTTTTTATGAGTGTGTAATTACTCATAAAAATGAAGCCAAGCAACAGGTATTTCAGTCTGTTCAGAAAAGGCAGTTGCACAAAGATGTGAACTCAGAGTCCATGGGTGGAGAGGCCTGCATTGCAGGGTGCACTGGGCCATGACAGCAGTTTACATCCTCACATTCATTGTGGAGCCATCACATATATGATGAACTGTGGGCCGGAGCACCTCTCTTCTAGTCATGGTTGCACCATTACTTACCTACAGGACTCCACAAGTTTCTAAAACCTCTGAGCTTCAATTTCTTTATTATTAAAAAATGGTTGCTCTCCATCGTTTCTCAAGTCCCTTTCTTCTTTAATAGCTATGATGATACTGAATGCGGTATGTCTTCATGATAGATGCCAATAAAAGGAAAAGTTAAACTGAAATGAGGAGAGGAGGAGGGAAGCAACTATTCTTTTATCGAAAAAACATACCACATATTATGCATAATGATAGAAAGGGGAATAAAGAAAATAATAGGGCAATTACTTTTCTTAGTGAACAAATGTTTGCAGTTTTTAAGTTTATTCCTGAGTAAAATAAAGAAGTAAAATTCCAGGACTTCTTTTTTAGGCTTTATGCATGACATGAAACTCTTTAGAAATTTGATGATTTAGTTTGCCTTTCCTTGGGGATTTTTTTTTTTAAGATCAAGACTGTTATTGATATTAATCCATTACTGGACATTTTTATTCAAAGGTTTAAAAAGTATACTGAAGCATTATCTGGGGTAGACTTGTTTTTAGGAGAAAACATAAACACGGAGAAACCATAATCCTGGTGTAATGTAGGAAACTAATTGAGACTAATGAGGCAACATTAAATTTAATGTATGATGCATTTTATATGTCTCACCATTAGAGCTGCAGCAAGCTGTTCGTCAGAGTCATCTTTGGTGACTATCTGCCTACAGGCATTCCTTTGCACTCTGGGTGTAGCCCTCAGTGCTGGGCTTACAAAGAAGACGACACAAAAGCAACCATGAAAAGTAAGTAGAGTTGCAGTCATTTACTGGCGAACTCAGCTGGCCAATAAACCCAAACATGTTTATGCGGCAGAAAAGTTTCTCTTAGATTACAAAGCCTGGCTTTTGAATTTAGGGACACCAAGGCTGATAGTCAGTGACCAAAGAAATTAGTCCCATCGAGAAGAGAAACAGGACAGAGCAAGTAGCAGAGAGATGAACAGGAGATGATGGCTTTACTGGATTACTAAAAAGATTTAGGGCCATTATGATGAGGAGGAATTAGGGAAGACCTGAAGAAATAAAACTCATACTGGAATTTGTAACAGAGTTTAGCTGATGTGGGTATAGGCACAAGAAAAGAGGAACTGGTCACTAGGAATCAGGAATTAAGAAGGTTACACATGACATGATAAACCTCTGCAATGATATCTACCACAACAAATTACAACAGTTAATGTTTATTGTGGGTTTTGTGTGTGCTAGTCAGTGATTTAGGGACTCAATGCTTACTATATCACTTAGTCCTTAAAATAACCCCATGAGGTAATTGAGATTATTATCCCCATTTCACGTGAAAGAAACGGAAGCACAGAAAGATAAACTAAGCAGTTGCACAGTTAGCCAGCAGTACAGTAGAATTAGAACACAGAAATCTGAATTGCAGCTAGCACCCCTAAGACTAGAGAGATGGGCTTATATTTTCTCAGGAGTCTGAGAGGCTGTGAATCCACATGGACTAAAATCAGACCTATACCCTATGTTGCAAAAATGACAACTCCTTTGCTTATTTTAAATTTTAAAATTAATGATGGGTTGATAGGTGCAGCAAACCACCATGGCACACGTTTACCTATATAACAAGCCTGCACGTCATGCACATGTATCCCGGAACGTAAAATAAAATAAAAATTTAAATCAAATGTCTATTGTGATTTGGTGCTTTAAATAGAAACCTGAAGTCCTCTGAGCTTGGGTCATGCTGCCCCAAAACTTTTATAAATGGCTTCTAAAATTACAACCTTTCTAGATGTGGAATGTTCCTGCTTTAAAGAGTGATGGTTCATCCTTGCTAATTATTTCTGTTTGTTGACATACATGCTTTGTGCAAAGTTTCTGAAAGTTTGAATTCACAGTCTCCTGGATCTTGCTGCTCCCAGGAGACAGTGATTCAGATTTGATGGTTCAGGGAGAGGACAAGCCATGTATGTCCATAGAAGGCCACCGCCAAAACTCACTCATTCACGAACTAAATAATTCACTCACGAACTAAATAACTCACTCACTAACTAACTGGAGTTCAGCATTGCGGGAATTATAGGGTTGGCACCCAAAGGAGGAAGAGAAAACACTTCTTGTTGCTTTCAATCATTCCTTGTCTATATGCTTTATTTTTCTCTTGCCTTAGTCTAGTCACAAAAACTACAACTTTGAATTAGTAAGGAGCAGAGCTGTGAGTTAAACCTATGCAGTGTGGCTTACGGTACCCACATTCTTAACTACTCACTCTAGAGCCTGTGAACCTGAGAGAGTTACTTTCTTTTGGTAAACTTCAAAAAAATTCCATCTCAATTGCTTTGGCAACTATTAACCTGAAACTTTCTTACATGCAAGGCAAGTTGAAAAATGTGGTTAGCTTTAAGGTAAAGGGATCTTTTCAGGACAAAACTACACATTGATGGAGTTCTAGGTCACAGTTTTCAATGATATGCATATATACAGATAAGATCCAACCCTTAAGTGGCTGTGAATTATGGATTAGCTCAAGCATGTGCAATTCTATTTAAGATCTATAACAAAAGATCTTTTCTTTATGACTTATGTAGCTGGAGGCATTTGCACACTGTAGTGAGACAGTGTGGAATCAGTTGGTCCAAATCAGTTGGTCAATTCACTTTGAGCATGCTAATGCAGAACTAGAAAGATGCACCACTTTGCTTAAAAAACCCCAATGTCTAAAGCATCTCTTGACAATTAGGGGTGGGTTACCTGCCTGCCCTTTCAAAGCAGTGCTTACGTAAGTGACTGTCCAGTGATTTTACAAAGGTTTCTTAGATGACATCTATCTCCCTCCTTTCTTGGATTGATAATTTCATTAAAAGCCATTCTACTATTGTCATTTTGCTATCTCCACTTTAATGTGGTCTGTGGTGTTCATTAGATCCAGCATGTTAATGGCATCAGCTGGGTTTAGGTTTGATTGCAGCTGAACCTCACCCTTGCTAATCACTTAGCTAACATATGCCAATATCATGGTACCTAATGACTCCTTCAGCAGAGACTCCTTTATATTCCTGTATCTGCGCCTCTAAAAGACCAGAGTAACATGGATTATCCGTGTGAACTGCAGGATGGGGAGAGTACCGATGGCTTTCTCTCTTTTGGATAACAACATGTGTACTGGGTTCAGAATCTTTTAGCTTGGTTGGCCTTTTTCAGGGATCCTTTTAAATCTCTTCCTTTTCCTTAATGAGGTTGTCACATGCGGCAAAAATCACAGGCTTGCAAGTCCAAAAGAGGAGAGACTTTTTCATTTTGCTGCTTAATTTGTGAATCCATTTCTAGGCCTTAAAGTGGAATATCTCAGAGTAATCTTCGTTTGCTTTCTGCAATCTCATTGTTCCCTGGGGACACAGAGTGAGTCCAAGAGCCAGTGGGAAAACATTGCAGATCTACTGAGAACAGTACACTGCTCTTTCGAATCGTTGGTATTCTGAGATAATTTTGAGTTTTATATCTTGTTTTTGGTTTCCTTTGATATCTGAGACCTGAATAAAAGGCACTGTTCGATCTCTTTCTTTCTCCCTTTTCCCCAAATGTCATTACAGAGGGAAAGATGAGGGCCTAATATTGAGGGCCTGCTGGCTTGGGGAGTGTGGGGGAACAGCAGAGTGTGATGGCAGAGAGTAATTCTGCTTCAGGGAGGATACTGCCCAATTTTTTAAACTTAATAGGATTAGTCATGGGAACTATTTTTAGCAGAAGTTCAACTTTATCCATGTATTTTAATGTGGGAAAATTGTGTCCTTTTCCCTCTGCTAATGTTTGATGTATTCCAGCCCTCCTGTGAGCATGTTTGAGTATCTTAGGGGATCTGGAGTGGAGGAGAACTTCCTCTCGGATTCTCTCTGTTTTCTTTCGTGAAAATGACATTCCAAAGCTGTTTCACTTTCTGACAGGAAATGGAGCCTTGCCAAAAATGATTAAAGTCCAAGAAAGCATAACAGTTCCAAAGCTACAGCAGTTCTTTAGGAGTCCTGAGTTTGACATTGTGTCAAACAAATGTGAAATATTGTTTAATAAATTTGAATAATACAGAGATAGGAAAAAATCATTCTTGGCTTATAGCAGTAGTGGTTTGTATTAAGTATGGAAAAGACTACCTACATCTAATAAGTTGAAATACATACGTAAATATACTTGTATAAGGTTAACTCAGCTTATGACTTTATTCCACTGTATACTAGATATATGTGTGAGACAAAAGTCTTATTTGAAATACATGTAAGTTTAAAAATATGTGTGTTTCTCAAATGTTGAAGGTAAACAACCTCTGGTTATGTGATCTAACCCATTCATAATAGATTACTATTTTTAAATATTTCACAATGAATTCAATAAATTCATCAGTAAAGTCACTTAGACCCAAATAGTTTTATTTAAAAGGGTGAAACAATAATTGAAAACTTTAGTCAATACTGAAATCATAAGCTTAAAAGGCTTTTTATATGAAAAGAGTCTCAATTATTTCACTGACAAACCCAGTTGTTTTTATTTTTCCACCAGAGAATTATGCATTTATGTAGATAATTATGTACCCTTCAGCAAAATAAAACTGGACAAGAAAAAAATCTCTCTCCAATCAATAAAATATAGCACTTCTCTGAAAAAAAATCTTTGCGTGAAACACTTTTAAAATTTTGTTTTTAAAACACCTTTAAAAATTATTTAAACAAACCAATTTCATCACTCATTTCTCTCACTTTTTTGGTCTATATTTGGAATATATGTTTTTAGTACAAGAAGTTCAATCTTTTTTGTATTCACTGACATTTGATGAATACCACAATTCATGACCACTTTTTAGACAAGTTAAATTGATTAGAGAAGTCATTCATTGTCACTGAGTACCATTTGTCACTTCATAAACAGCTACAATCTGCTGCCTACAAATGCAGAGAGACCGCCAAATAAATCACATCAAACGGTGGGAGTAGATACTATCCCTTCATCTGTAATTGGTACAGCCCTCTCCTGTCACATTTGTTCATTCTTGTGATTCTGGTGTGGATTGACACTGACACAGACCGGGCAGCCACTGTCTCAGACGATAGAGAGTCTGTGCTTTGGTGATGTACATGCTAATAGATACCCATCAGAATATTACATTAACATCACCAGTGTATCAAACGTACAACTTAACCATCTAGATATCTGATGAGATGCCCATATAGACCTATTCTAACAGGAGATAAGCTCTGTGGCTTTGAAAAGAAATTGATAGATGCCAAAGGAAACACATGATTAACAGATATGCAAGAAAACAAACAAGCGTAGTTTGCATGTCTGTTTCATTGGACAAAATTGTCAAGCTCTAAAGTTTAATTTCAGTCACATTTTTATAAAATATGATAAATATATACACCGTGGTTTTGCTAATTTCAGAACATCTTTCATTTTAAGAATTATTTTTATTTCCATATCGAACAAAAATGGCACTGTTACAGTTAACACTTGATATTATCTTCTAGATTGAAGCTTTAATGAAAATCTGCTTTCTTAGGGTCAGGACTCTTTCACCCTGCATATTTGTGCTTGTGAACGTGTGTGTGTTTACACAAGTTTCCCTATATATTATAGCATATGCAACACTAACATTAAAAATTAACATAAATTAATGAAGACAATATACTTCCATAATGTCAAATCTTTAAACACTGTAGACTCCAGGGAAATGGAAATGGACTTCAGTTGTTGCTGAAACGTCTCTAATATATTGTATTCCACTCTGCAGAGATAATGGCCATGTCTACATGACAAACTGCAAAATTCAGTATCATATCAGATCTAGATTTTTTAATGGATTTTTTACTAGTTGCCAGAAATTTTGCATATATTATCTCATTCCACTTTTGCAGCAAGTGAGAGAGGTGGGTATTTTATTCCCATTTCATAGATGAGGAAATAAGGCACCAAGAAGATAAATGATGTGCACAGAATCACCCAGAAAGAAAAAGAACTAAGATCCTGAGCTCAGGACTGTCTGGCTCTAAACCCCTTTATGTTATGATATGTTCTCAAAACAAATATTTGAGAAGTGAACACAAGAATAATGACAACCAAGCCAATAATAGCTCCTCTGAAAATGTTTCCCCTTCTCTGAAATATGGTATTACAGGATCTTGGAAGCAGAGGGATCTGCAGAAGTGCTTGCAACACTTTCAGCCTTAACCAGCATCAGAGACAAAAATCCTTTCTGGAATGAGGTGGGTAGGCATGGGACTGTTGGAGGGGCACATGAAGATTCTATTCACCGCAGGTACACAAACAAGTCAGTCATGGAGATGAAAGGTTCAAATCTTACTATTTAGCCAAAATCTACCATAATTTTTTGACCTTTGTGTTAGTCCATTCTCATGGTGCTATAAGGGCATACCCAAACTGGGTAATTCATAAAGGAAAGAAGTTTAATTGACTCACAGTTCCGCAGGGCTAGGGAGACCTTAGGAAACATAATCATGGCAGAAAGGGAAGCAAACACATCCTTCTTCACGTGATGTCAGCAAGGAGAAGAACGAGTACTCAGTGAAGGGGGATGTCCCTGATAAAACCATCAGATTTCATGAGAACTAACTCACTATCATGAGAACAGGATGGGGGAAAACGCCCTGATTCTATTATCTCCACCTGATCCCTTCCATGACCTGTCGGGAGACTACAATTCAAGATGAGATTTGGGTGGGGACACAGCCAAACCATATCACCTTCTATAAAGAAAATAAGCCCTAGGAAAAAATGCAGGAATATTTCTTTTACTGATGAATGGAACTTATAAACAACATCTAGAAGAACTTTTCAAAGAGTCTGCTACACCCTTCTTGGGATCTTATTCCCTAGAAAAAGTCGGATTCAATTGGGGATATGGAGATGTGCAAAGCATTAGAAACAAGTGACTGCAACTTTTTCCAAAAGATTCATAAATAGTAAATGACATTTTTTTCTGTAGGTTGACTCATTTAAGTTCTACCTGATATGTGTTTGTTAACATGGAGTATGCTTTAAAAAGGTGCAGTAAACCTATTGTTCTTTCCTATTAGATAGTTAAAAGGAAACATACATGAATTCATTTGAAAATAGGTTTAGGTAAATACATGGCACAAAGTAATTCTAGTTATTTGATCTAAGTTATGAAAAATGGTATGCTCCTACTGACAACACAGAATTGACCAATATCCAAAGCAGGCAGCTTTCATGGGACTGTGCTCATTGTCAACAAATGTTGGGAAAAGGTCAATGGTTAATTAAATAATCCATCACCTCAGGATAGAGAGTAGTTCTCAACTCTGACAATCAGTGACAGAAATATTAAAAGGTCAAAAAATGAGTTACAATATATTCTTGTTTGTTATTATGTATTATAAAGATGTGGCTCGATGCAAGAAGTAGAGGATACCAAAGGTTCACATCATTCTAGAAACAGGCTTCCAAGTAAATGCAGTTTGGATTATTTACTGGTATGAACAGCGTGAATTCCTCTGGAGCCATAGGCTTCTTTTGATTTGCACACTTTTTGAATAATACGCTTATGGACAAAGAACGTTTTGTCTCCATACTTGAGAAACCATGTGATGAGGGTGGAGTGGGGGTTCAGGGGAGAAGCTTCTTTTTTTGAGAATTGCTTTCCCTGGGGTCTGGTGATTTCAAGTTGCTATTTGCACTGTAAAAGAAGGTCTTTGCAAACGTGGTAGCTTTCATCTGCTGAGTGTACTTTCTTCTTATACTGTATAACTCTGTCATTCTCAGAGCATAGTAACATCTCCAGTTTCCTTACATCAAGTCCAGAATAACCCTTCTGTGAATTAAAAGCGCCATGCAAACTTGATATATTGATTTGACCTAATTTCCTTTTCCCAGCATTGGTTTATTCATTATGCTTTCCAGACTTTAGCTTTTGTTTTGTTTTTTATTCAATGGGAATTATTATTTAATTTGGGCTGCCTTATCTAGCAAAAATTCTTTCTCTATTACCCTCCCTCATTCCTTCTTCCTGCCCCAGAGTGCCGGTGATTCATTCTGAGTTTTTCAGTCTCAAGTGGAAGCATTTTTTTTCTTCTGTGCTATAGGTTGACTAAAAGAAATACCACTCACTTTGGGCTTCCTACTCTCCTTTCTCTTTTACCTTTTGGGTCCAAAATATGGAACACGGTCAATGAAAAGAGGTGGCCCAGAATAACTGCTTTCCAGGAAGCCATAAATCATGTGTGATTAAAGTAATTGGCAACAATAGAAAGAAAACATGTTCCTGCTTTGACTCTTTCATTTGCACATGAGAGGAAGCTGGTCACCATTTGAGATCACCATAGGTTTATGAGAGATAATGCTTTATTTGAATAGAAAAATGAAGCCTCTTACTTGTCCCTTGAGAATGTGGGGCTCAGCAAGTGATATTATATGGCCACGTCACCCTGCTGAAATGTTCGTTTATATGGCTTCTAAACGAGGGGTGCTTCGCCAGGGACTTTGACCCATGACTGTGCACATAGCTTTACCCCCTTGCCGTCTGGGTGATTGTGGCTATTTCCAATATGGGCAAGTGTTATATGATTATTTTATCTCTTACTGTAAAGCGTTTTGAGAGCCTTTGTATGAGAGGCAATATAAAAATAAATTGAATTGAACTATGGCTTCACCTCCTCACTTTTTAGTGCAGAAACCTTTAGAGCAAAAAGTGCAGAGCTGTGACAAAGGACAAGATTAAGACGATGTCAGGAAAATGGTTAGCTCTGGAGAGCCCTGACCCTGCAGGAGGAGTTTGAGACAGAGAGAGACAGAGAGAGACAGACAGAAAGAGAGAGAGAGAGTGAGAGAGTGTGTTTGTGTGTTTGTCACACTTTGGCTATGTGTTATTTAATGTCTCTGCACAACTAGAGAAAATCACATTTGTATTTTTATTAAGTTAGTCATTTTGAATCATGAGAGATACAGAATCTACCTGAAGCTAATGCATTTCTACTAAGACAAGGCTTGTTAATTATACAAATATATCTTTTACATAACATATTACGGTGCATTAAAAGCTGCCTGGTTAGTCTCTGAAGGGCCAAGGTCGGAACCACATCATCTAACTTTCAGAATCGACAACTGTAATAATTTTTCTTTTAAAATAAAATAATCTTGGCTTAGGGTAATAGGTTTTTCCTGCAGAAATATGATTTTGTGTTTTATGACACTGCATCAATACATTATTTTAATAAATGGCTCTTGGTTCACCAGAAGTGCTGTATTTTGACAATATCAGCCAACCTTTTCATTTGTTTAAGCAGGAAAAGTAGGGTGCCAAAATAAAGCTACTCCAGAAGAACATCTCAAGAATGTTTATGAAAACTGTTACAGCTACACTTATTAGAGTTAAAGCATAGTTCTAATTTGTCATGCAGAATTCCAGGGAAGTGAGTAATTTCTATATTTCTCTAAATGCCAGTGTTTCATATTTTGAGGTAACAATTTTGCTTGTAAATATGAAACTAGCAACATAGACTGCAATGTGACAAAATATATCAGAGATTCGTCATTATCTGGCAATAGTTGTTGGATGTGTTTGCTGCCATGCCACGAGGTTTCTTAGGAAAGTAAGTTGGGGAATGGAAAGATTTATCACCCCAAGTTATCTGACAATAGGCTTAATTTTAAAAAATTATTCAAATTATAATATTTCTCAGTGGTTAGGTCTTTGGGGGATGGCTTCCCCCACCCACTCCTCACAACCCAGAGCCTTCTCTAGCTTTCCTTGTTCCTGTCTCCATGGAGGCATTCTGAGACTCTGTAGCATTTTCATCCATAGAAGTTCAGGCTGATTTCAAGATTGTAACCACACTGACTGTTAAATTACCAAAATACAGAGAGAAAATATCTTCCTGTACCCGGAGTCTTGCTTACAACATTGCAGAGGGTGCTTTCCTCTGTAGATTTGTTGTTTATTACTCCTTTTTATCTAAAGCTCTCATCAATATTTTTGCATAGTGAGTCAGATTCTCCCAGGTATCCTGGGGATACATGGGAACATTATTATCTCCAGGCAGTAAATGGTCCCTCTGGGGCCTGAAACAATGAATACCCCTTCAAAGGTGCTTATTATCTTAGGATGGCATGGAGACACTAACAGTCATTCATTTTTGTGTCCATTCTGCTTTGTGGAACAATATGCTCTGGTTCAGAGAAGGGATGCTTCCCCACCCCAGAAAAAAGACAACAGATGAGTGTGTGTATATAATAGAATATATATATATGCATTTCTTTTTCAAGTGACTCATTTTTATACAGAATGCAGTTTAAACACAGAAGCAGGCAAAGAGCTCAGGAATGAGACGGGGGAGCGGCGTATTTTGCAATTTACTAAGTTATAGGTCCTAACAAGGCATTTGTATTTCCTCCCCCAGAATTGTATTTATTTCCTCTGTAGACCATGACTCCATTTCTTTCTTTCTTTTTTTTTTTTTTTGAGACAGAGTTCTTGCTCTGTCGCCCAGACTAGGGTGCAGAGGTGCGAACTCGGCTCACTGCAACCTCTGCTTCCCAGGTTCAAGCGATTCTCCTGCCTCAGCCTCCCGAATAGCTGGGATTACACGTCACCACACCTGGCTAATTTTTGTATTTTTAGTAGAGGCAGAGTTTCACAGTGTTAGCTAGGATGGTCTCGAGCTCCTGACCTTGTGATCCGCCTACCTCGGCCTCCCAAAGTGCTGGTATTACAGGTGTGAGCCACCGCGCCCGGCCCATGACTCCATTTCTAAATGCGTTGATCCACAGGTAAAGTTATAGTCTGAGGCTTTGCTCTATCACCTTTGTTCTCTTTCCTCCTCCTCTGCACTTACCCAGTGACTTCCTACTACCATGCTCACACCTCCTAGGTACCAGGCACATGACCATTTACTTTTGCTCAAATATGCCAGGTGTTTTCATGCCTTTGGGTCTCTGTTCATGCTGATCTCTAGGACTGAAATCACTTTAATCATCTCCGAGTATTGAAAACTCACTCATCTTCAAGTCTTTCCCCATTCAAAGTAGCAGAAATGAGCCTCAGGTTTCCATTTGCAAAATGGGAAATATATAATATCCCCTTCCTACAGTGGCTATGACAATAAAATGAAAGCGTGTGTTTGACACTGTCTAGTAAAATGCCCTGGTGTTCTTTTAATAAATCACTGCTTCCCTGAGAACCAGGAGCACTTTGTACTTAAAACGCTTTTCCTCTGCGTACACAGACAGATGGAAATATCTTTTTCTATCCCTTGTAGGCCTCGAGGAAACACTAGCATTATTTATCTATAAGTAAATAATACTTATATATTTGAGCATATAGACCTGTGGGAACTTAGTAAATATTTGATAAAATGTTCAGTGTCACAACTATCCCAAATGTTCCAGTGTATATTCTTGGGCAATTTAAATCAGTACCAATTGAACTTGAAGTTAGTCCAAGTCACTAAGTTTGTTCTTACCCCAATGACTGTTCTTTGAACAGACTCTGACAGAGAGGCATGGTATATGACATACACCTGTGCAATTTTTTGCTGCTGCATGATTTTCTCACAGAAACACAGCTCAGTGATGAATTGTTGTATGCCTAGAAATGGAACTTCACTTACAGGATCTTCTGGTATTGTGGGCCCCACCTTTACTGCTTCATTTGTGGCAGTCTTTGAGCTGGTCTGACTATATTTTCAGATAGCAGTGCCATGAGCAAAAGGTTAAAGCTGCATAGTGTGAGTGGCCCTTTACTTCAAGTAGCTTCCCTGCATGTAATAATTACGACACAGAGGAAGAAGGCAGCAATTAAAACAGGTCACTTTAGTATTGCCACATGGCAGCTGGCTGAGCATAACATGATATGCACACATGCACAAGACTTCCAGAGGTGTGGTAGGCTCCTTTAACAGAATTTCAAGACTGGTCAGTATAACTGTCTTTGCTCATTAATGGAGCCATCTGATCCATTCACAAAGATGAGGCCCAGAGACTCAGGTTTTTCTCCATGTTACTTAAGCATCCTGTGTGATATCAACTGACCAGCTGGTGGAACACAAAAAACAAAACAAAACAAAAAAGATTTCTGTCTTTCAAAAATCTGTCTAAAAACACCTCTTGATTTGTTTTCTAAATTTTGCATATTTATAAACACCCTTGTTCTTCCCCCCCTCAGGGGAGCTGACTTCTTCAAAATGTGTGTGGAAAGCTCAATTTTTGTATTGGCAGCTTCATGTCCAGCCCAAAAACCACATCCCACAAACCATTGAGAGAGGCAGGATAACCCTCAGGATGCCGTCTTTAGATTGAGATCACCTGGCTCTGAAAAAGCCTGCTCTGGACCTAGTCATTTTAGGTTTAAACCTTGCGAAACTCAGTTTCCCCAAATTGCACATACCCGTATCTCTCACCTCTGCCAATCAAACCCACAAATTTAAAAAGGGTTTGAAGGAAGGAAAAGACCACCAAATCCTTCCAAAGATCCATGGGAGTGAGTCTGTCTGTCTTTCTTTCTTTGTCTTTCTTTCTTTCTTTCCTCCTTTCCTTTCTCCTTCCTTCCTTCCTTCCTTCCTTCCTTTCCTTTCCCTTCCCTTCCCTTCCTTTCCTTTCCGTTTCCTTCCTTCCTTCCTTCCTTCCTTCCTTCCTTCCTTCCTTCCTCCTTTCCTTCCTTCTTTCTTTTTTTCTCTTTCTTTCTTTCTTTCTTTCTTTCTTTCTTTCTTTCTTTCTTTCTTTCTTTCTTTCTTTTTCTTTCTTTCAAAATAAAACAAAACAAACATTGAATTACAGTTAGATTCCCAGGCCAGGGGTTTTCAAGTTCTCACATGTCTCAATGAAAGTCAGCCTAATTGGTATAAATCGGACTTTTGTATTATAGATATCCAAGTATGATGAGTTATATTATGATACATTTCAGTGAGTCAGATACACTCTATTCAATGGTATGTTTAAGAAAAAAATAAACCTGCTTCATTTCTTCATTAGAGGATGCTTATTTATAGTGCAATATATATCTACCTCCACTGTAACATTAACGTTTTGACTGCTTTTTAACTATAAAATTTGATATTGTTGTGGCAGCTGCACTATTCAAATGATAGCTGTAGTACAGCTGTTATCAGTGAGGGAAATTTATAGCTTCCTTACACAGATAAAGATATGTGCATATTTACTTTTAGTTTTACTGCTGGTGTCCTATATTTTAATGACACGAGGTGAGATAAAAGAATATTATAATGAAGAAGTTCTTTAATTCTGCAAATACAAACTCCACACTTCATATGAAACCCTGTTGTAACTTTCTATAAATTCCCAGTCTTTTCCTTCAGTGAAACAGCCTATATCCATAAAGATCTTATATCCCGTAAGTTTACAAAGTTTGTTTTTGGCATTTCTTTTACATCAAAGGCTGGATAGAAGAAAAAGGGAAGGAGAAGGAGAGAAAAAAGTGGAGAGAGAAAGAGGGAAATGAGTGAGTAACCTAAAAGCAGTTACAACAGTTTTTAAATTTTGGTACCTAATTCCTCAAGGAAGTTAGTTGATTTGAAATTTTAGATTCAACTTCAAGTCAGTTTGGAAGCATACAGCTTGCCATTCAGTAGACAGTAAAGAAAAGGAGCAGAAAGTTGAAAACATTGTTTTCTCCAACTGACTATGTCTCTTGTTCTGTGTCTTACTATTGTCTTGAACCAATAACCTCATGACAGATGGGCAGAATCAAGAGCTCTTGGCAGTTTGGATCAGATCTGATAAGCATTCAGGTCTGTTTGGTATTGAAACAGAGTTGGAAATCACATGAAGACAGGCGTTCTCAGAAAAGTCCCATTACTGGGTATTTTCTGAAGGGTTGAAAGTATTGCTAGAAGGGTCTTTGGAGTATTTGGGGTTTCATGATTGATATCAGGCAATACATAGGTGCCCAGTGCACTTTCAAAAGTATTAATCACACTCTTTAAAACAGAGGAAAGTTTGATCTGTTATTTCATTATCTCAAAGCCCAGAAGTATCGCATATACTCATACCCTCCTCTCAGTTTTCTGTTCAGACTTGTGGCTTTAAAATGCATTATTTCTATTTACATATGAATAAACCTGTGAACTTAGCAAATACCAGTGCCCTATGGCATATGGGGTTTAAGGGAACATATCTAAATCTCCCAATTACCAGATAAGTATTTTACAGCTCTCAAAATTTCATCACATACATATTAGAAAATAAATTGGCAATTCAAAAGTTATTCAGTAAGCAGATCAGGTAATTTTACCTGTATTTATAGAAAATGAAAGCAGAAATCCTCATTATCTGTTCCTTCTATGGCTCAGTAATTGGATGGAAGCTTTGTTAGTATTTTAAGCTAATTTAATGTAGTAGGGATTGACTTTTGCACTAGAGTCTTATCTAGTTATTGTTCTTCATTCTTCAGTCATATGCAAACCACATTTCTACTAAATATGTATCAAACTGCAACTTCTAAAAAGTTCATAGGTGTCTTCTTAATAAAGTCCAAATTGCTGCCTTTCTGAATTAGACAAGACAGTTCTGGTATATGAATTATCGTTCCTGTAATAATTGCCTGCAACTGAGTAACACATGGAGAACATCTTCAGTAAATATAGAAATATCTGAGTTTGCTAAATAGTCTTTGCACTGTTTCATGATAAAGCTATGCCAGTCAATTAATTCAGCTCTCGGGGATGTGAACACATAGTACAGCATATACTGAAACGAGGGAATTGGGATCTGCAACTTAGAACAAATTAGACATCTTTAGGAGTCAAGCAGATATTCAATTGCCATCTTATTTCTCCACGCAATAAATGTCTTGGTTTAAAAATATTTATCAAGAATATGAATAAAACTTCAAGATAAGTATTTTTTACCACCCCAAACCCCACCATCTTGCTTCACCATTCCCCACTTCCCACCAATATGGCCTGGCAACCTGTGTCAAAGGTTTTTTTTTTTTTTTTTTGAGACAGAGTCTCGCTCTGTCACCCAGGCTGGAGTGCGGTGGCATGATCTCTGCTCACCACAAGCTCCGCCTCCCGGGTTCACACTGTTCTCCTGCCTCAGCCTCCCTAGTAGCTGGGACCCGCCACCAAGCCCGGCTAATTTTTGTATTTTTAGTAGAGACAGGGTTTCATCATGTTAACCAGGATGGTCTCGATCTCCTAACCTCGTGAACCGCCCGCCTCGGCCTCCCAAAGGGGTTTTTGGTTTTAATTAATATTTTACCAGAGTCCATTTTAAAGACTATGGACATATGGGTTCTATTTTCAGGTGTTTTCTAAATAAATTTTCAGTGTGTATGGGTGCTTATGGTAATTTAGTTTTCTTGTTTATGTGAAAAAACCCTATAAAAATGCCAAATATCACACATTTCTATCCCAAATTTTAATATCAAACCTTAGAACTGACAGCACTTATCAAAAGTATGAAATTTTCCTTAGAGTAATACAGATGAGAAAACTTCTGGTGAAGAAAAAATCACCACATGAATAAGATCATAAATATATTTAAATTATTTTTGTCAGGTGCTTAACTGTATTTCATCCTAAAATGAGTCCTGTCAATGGATTAAAAGTAATGACATCTTTGCTGTTATAAATCCAACATGAAACATACAATCATGTAGGTTTATTTAGAATTTGAGTTTAACAATTTGAGTGCTAATTTATTTGCTTTTATTTTTATTTATTTGTTTATTTTTTTGAGATGGAGTTTTGCTTTTGTTGCCCAGGCTGGAGTGCAGTGGCACGATCTCGGCTCACTGCAACCTCTGCCTCCTGGGTTCAAGTGATTCTCCCACATCAGCCTCTCGAGTAGCTGGGATTACAGGCATGCGCCACCACGCCCAGCTAGTTTTGTATTTTTAGTAGAGATGGGGTTTCTTCATGCTGGTCAGGCTGGTCTCAAACTCCTGACCTCAGGTGATCTGCCCGCATCAGCCTCCCAAAGTGCTGGGGTAATAGGCGTGAGCCACCGTGCTCGGCCTTGTTTTTATTTTCTAGAAATTCTACTGCCTAAAGTTCTGCAAGTACTTGATTGATTGATTGATTTCAATGTAATCTATACTTTCTCCACTCAGTTGGGTCAATCTTTTTTTTTTCTTTTTTCTTTTTCTTTTCTTTTTTTTTTTTTTTTTTGAGACGGAGTCTCAATCTGTTGCCCAGTCTGGAGTGCAGTGGTGCAATCTTGGCTACTGCAACCTCCACCTCCTGGGTTCTAGCCATTCGCCTGTCTCAGCCTCCTGAGTAGCTGGGATTACAGGTGCCCACCACCATGCCTGGCTAATTTTTGTATTTTTAGTAGAGACATAGTTTCACCATGTTGGCCAGACTGGTTTGGAACACCTCACCTCAGGCGATCTGCCTGCCTCAGCCTTCCAAAGTGCTGGGGTTACAGGCATGAGCCACTATGCCCGGCCAATCATTTTTAATTGGATCATCTGATCACTGGCTATTTATTAACTGCAACTTAAGTAAACTAGCATTTATCCAATTTCAATGTTTGAAGGAGTTTGTAAATGGTCTCCATATAAAGCAGGCAGGAAAAGTTGAAGGATTGACATTTTTTCAAATGCATTTTCAGTTAGAGTGAGTTGTCTCTTTTCTCACAAAGAATGGCTGCATTATTCTTTGCTTCCAGGTTGTGACTGCATTTGAGGATGAGTCAGTGGGGAGTGGTGGTGTGAAAAGATCATTGAGAAACCCTGGTTCTCTCCTGGGAATTTGAAAGCATCATAGTATGCAATTCCTACAGCAAGCCTAGAAAATAGTAGAATTGGGCATGCTGGGTAACTAAAGATTAGAGAAGCTAGGTAATTTTATGTATTGCTATCTAGCTTATAAGATACACAGTGAAAATTCAGGAGCTACCAGAGATTCATTGAGACTTTAGAGAAATGCTCTCTGGTAGACAGATGTCAGCCACAAATACAAGCGAGCCAAATATGTAATGTTAAGTTTTCTAGTCACATTCAAAAGAGTAAAGGGAATCAGGTGAAATTAATTTTGATACTATACTTTATTGAATATACCTACTTTTAATTTCAACATATAAGAATAAAAATTATTAATGAGATATTTCTATTATTTTTTTCATGCTAAGTCTTCATAGTTCAGTGTGTATTTTCACTTATAGCATATCTTGGTTTCGAGCCAGTCACATGTCAAGTGCTCAATGTGGCTAGTGGCCCTCGTATCAGACAGCATAACCTTAGAGTCCTTGAGAGGCCAAAAGTAGCACAGATAGTATTGTTATTGATTGACTAGTGATCATTGTACTAAATAGCCAAGAATTCCAGAGAAAAATGGACCTACTGGCATAGGCATTCCCTTTGGGCTATGTAGTGAAGGGCTGGTCTTATTAGGGAAGAAAATAAGTGTTCTAAGGGAACATGCTACTTAAATAAATTGGAGCAAGGTAAGCACAGAAAGAGTATACAAGTTTGCTGGCTGCTGGTGCTTGGGAGACATAGTTTCCCAGCTTCATAATCTTATTAATGTATTCAACAAACATTGTTAAGTGCTATTGTGCCTGAACTGTACTATATACTGGAAATAAAATATAGTGCCTGTCTAGCCCATTGGCCCAAGAGACCTGTCTCCTAGTCCATAATGTACCATCATGCACATTCAGAGATAGAATGACAAGTTGCTATAAAACTGGAGATCAACAACTATACTATGGGACTGATAGACCATACCAGCTATACAAGCTAGCTCTATTCCAGAGATACTACATATACATATGTTACATGTATATATCACACACACACACACACACACACACACACACACACACACACACACACAGAGCATTCAATTCAGCAAGGAAAAGAAAAACAGTAAAAATATTGACCAGGACCACTTGGCTTCCATAGCTGGGGAGATTTTAGACACCGAGAAGAGGGACTGACAGTAAAATATGTTCACACTTGTGGAGGATATAGGTATTTTATGGCTAGTGTAATTAATTAGTAACTCTGCATATAATTTAACCATAGTGGTTTTTAACTTCTCTTCCAATAATTTGTTTTTTAAGGCTTTCCTCACCAATAAAATGAAATAAGATGCACCTACCTCCTAGGGTTGCTGTAAAAATAAATGAATTAAGAGCACACCTCTGGTGTCTAACAGCCGGGGTTCAAACCCTGGATCTGCCTCTTATTCTCTATCTTATTTGGGTCAAGTTACTGGGGGTTCAAATCCTGAATCTGCCTCTTATTCTCTATGTTATTTGGGTCAAATTACTGGCCCTCTGTGTTCTTGAGTTACATCTACTGTGAAATGAGGATAATGATGCTTCTTACTCACAGGTTTTAGTGAGGATTAAATTAATGGATATTTTCAGAGGGATTAGAACATTGCCTAGCTCTTAGTTTCAATGGATATTAGTTATTATCATTAAAGTTACCTGGGGGAACTTTTAAATAATACACACCTTAATTCTTTCTTATATCTCCTGAATTAGCCTCTCAGGAACCTCTAGTGTTTGTGAAGTTCCTCAGGAAATCTGAGGACAAGTGAGTTTGGAAATGACACTGAGGGATGGGGAAACAGGACTGCTGATGAAGCTGACCATCCTCAAGGTGAGCTGTCAATCATAACAGCAGTGGCTCTCATTTGAGCCCCACACTAGTATCATCTGGGAATTTTAAACATCTGGTTGCCCAGGCAGCACCCGGACCAATTAAATCAGAATAGTTGGAGGTGGCTCCCAGGCATCAGCATTTTAAAAACTATCCACGTGGTAGCTGTGTGTAAATAAGGTAGAACACCTCTGATCTGAAGTATGTTTAAATTCTACATCCTAACATTTTTTTTAAAGAAAAATGCTTCTAAGGTTTTAGATGATGGCAAATTGACATAAAAATAGCACATTAAGAAGAACATTGTGAAAAGGGTGCTTAACTGACCCAGTGTTATCTTTCCCTGCCCTTTTTTATATGGATGAATAAAGACAGATAGTAGTTAATTGCTCTTCAGCTAGACCAAGGTCAGTCTTTTGTACTGCAGTCTTAGAACTAGGTTAAACAGGAAGGTATTACTTGTATCACTGTACTTAACCTTGACTTGGGTCATTTAATGCAGTTTTCTAAACTTGCGCATCAGAATCACCTGGAGAGCAATTTAAAACAGATTTCTCAGCCTTGCCTTCGAGGATTTTGATTTGGTGAGTTTAAGATGGGATCCGGAAATCTGAGTCACTTGAAAACTTTTCAAGTAATCCTAATGGCATAATTATAATTTGCTATTTGCATCTAGTCAAGGTACTAATTGTGGCAAAACTGATGCTAATGTTAGTAATCAGAAAATATTGACATAATAAAGTAAAAACAATGGTTAATTGTTTCATTTCTGGCGTGTAATAAGCTAAATAGACTTGCCCAGTCCATGACTTACATAGAAGATGACTTTATCCTATAGCATTTGGTGCTTAGTAACCAGTGGCATTAAATATCATGAATGACGTATTAACAACAAAGATAGTCTTTTATTGAGCAATTTCTAGGCACCTTGATGGAGAATTAATCCTCCTAACAATCCTGTGGGATAAAAATTATTACTTCTGTCTTACAAATTAGGAAACAGAAGCCTCAAGTGGTTAAATAACTTAGTTACGTTCACACAACGGGTAAAAACAATGGGAGCTGAATTAGAAGCCAGGTCTATGCCACTTCAAATCTAAGCTCATACCATTAGCAACCCTCAAAATTCCAGTGAATGCTGCTTTTAGCAAGAATCAGTCGCAGACAAAAACACCTTGACCAAGTGCAAATGTCTTGATATGTGTTTATTTTAAGAAATGAAACGTCATTTTCCTATTATGTATGAACTCTGAGTGGTAAAAAAAAATAATTAAAACAATTTTTTTCTAAGTAGTTTGGTTTGAGAAGCTCTTTAGACTGATTCCCATAATTTCATGCATGTATAATGAATAGGATCATCACAGGAAACCAAGACAAACCTCTGTGGTGAAGATCTGACTTCTTTAATAAGGTGCTCCAAATGACTATTGTATAAGTCCTTGAGGAACAGTCATTTAAACCCTCAGGCCAGTTGGCATTAATCTTAGAGAACACAGAAGGAAAATATCTAAAAGACCCTTAACATGCCTGTAAACTTAAGACAACCTAGACCAACTTTGATGTACCAATGAAGTTCAAAGGGCAAAATGTTCTCCAAGTGACAGTGAGAAGGAATGGTATTGAAAGTTTTGTGATGTGATTTTTTTTTTCTTTTTACTTAATGTTTGTTTCTTTGGACACTTTGAGTCTAATTAGGCATAAATTTGGTTTGTGGCCCCGGGATTCACTCTTCCTGTGGTGCGTCAGATCCTTCTTCTTTGTGCCCCAAACAGAAACTTGCACATTGGCTGGTTGTGACACTCACTACTTTCTACCATCAGTGTTGGCCTGTAATTGTGCATTTTCTGTCTAGGCCTGGTCATTTTCATCTGTGTCTAGATTGGAAGCTGACATCTGGTTGGTTCTCAGTAAGTGTTTCTTAGAATAATTAATTGATAGAATTAGTGGAATGAGGAGCTTGGATGTATGAAACTGAGCCATTAGTTTAAAATATAATTATTTACTCAGCATAAAAGGAGTTATTTGAACCTTGCTTCCAATCACCTAGTAGCTCATGGAATTACTACAACCTATCATAACGCCTCTTTTTTTTTTTTTTCCTCAGAAGTGTATTCAAATGCTCTCAGGTGAATGAAATTATGGCTAGGCCTGAAAATACTTTCAGTCAAAAATATATATCTATTACTCTGGCTTTTGATAAGAAGTTAAAAACATACCAAAACAGAATACTGCAGTTGAAGTCACCGTAAACAGTTTAAGTAGGGAAATGCAGGATTTTGCATCAGAGCACAGCATTGCTACTTCATGGGCTAAAAATTGAAGAGCAATAGTGGCATATGATGTATTAAAAAAGATTTAAAAATTGTATTTTTTTCCACTAAATGGTATAAATTAAGGTAAGCTGTCAAACTGACAGTACAATAATGCTGTCTTCACAGTAGCACATACTGTACCACAATGAAAATTGTATCAGTTTCATAGAAAAATTAGAGATGAGATCTGAGGAAAAATAGCTCAAAATGCTATTCTTTGCAATTTAGAATCATCATTACTTGCTAGAATCCACTCCAAACATAACCACAAGAATAACCATAATAAATCATGATAATTTATATCACAGCTTATTTTGGGGAAGTAGAATCAGATACACTTCATTCTGCTCAAACTATAATTATTTTCATTAAACTATAAAATTGCTTACAGCAGATTTACTCTAAACACATAAAATCATATCCTTAACAATGAGCACAACTAGACCACAAGTGTTCAAAATAACTGAAGTCAAGTATAAAATAGCAGTCCTTGATTTATACTTTTTTAAATTACATATCTTTGTAGACACAATCAATGTACTTTTGTGGGTTTATAATATATTCCTTTTTATTTTGTTGAAACATCCGACAGGCTTATTCAGGCTCTATCCTGTTGATTAAAAGGTAGTGTCAAAAGAAACTTGTGAAAATGATGTCAGGTGCCTATTAACACAAACTCCCAAGTAGTTGGTGTCTGTCAAGAGTAAAGATTATTCCACAAATGAGGGATCTGGGAGAAAAGTTAATGGGTTTTGTGTTTTTTGAAATGGGAGGTGATAAGAAAGGTGGCTGAATAATCATAAAGAATAGAGGATACTTAAACTATTGATCTGCAATGAGTGATATATTTCACACTACGTGGGAAAAAAGGTAGGATACTGAAAGCAGTCCATTTGAAATTGTATACTTTCCAATATTTTTGCTATTACCAAACAAATGTTTAACAGATATCTCAATGTCTTTATTTTTTTGTTTACTTCTACCTTTGCCTATCCAAAAAATGTTTATCTTTGAATACTTGGTGCCACACTAGGATATCCAAGAATTTCATTTAAGGAATGTAGAACTGGAATCCATGTATTATTTCAACACTTCAGGGGTCTTCACAAAGCTTGTGACTATTGACAACACCAAACATGTATCTGTTTTCCTAGTTGAATATGGTTTTATTGTCTTAAATGCAGATATGAGATTGTTTACAAATATAACAAATTATTTATTTAAATATTTGGAACATGAAAGAAGATTTTAATCTTGTAACGGTTATAGGTTTTAGTGAGATTCTTACTAATACTTTGATTAGTTACCTGTGTATACATCCTCCAGAAATGTAGAGAACAAACTTTTAAAAAATTTTACTCAGATTTAATTATTTAGTTTGGCTGTATTTTAAAATTCATATTAATGTAGCAAATCTCCACTTATCTCGTTTCTATATAGATACTACCCAAATCCAAATCAGTGTAGCATTAGAAAAACCTATCATGATATAGTAATTAAGGAAATACTAGTCCAGTTTTTTTTTTTTTTAATTCAGGGCAAGAAGTGTCTCTCATATCCAAACACTGAACAAAAATCTTTTTTATTTTATTTATTTATTTATTTTTTGAGATGGAGTCTCGCACTGTCACCCAGGCTGGTGTGCAGTGGCATGGTCTCGGCTAACTGCAACCTCCGCCTCCCGGGTACAAGCAATTCTCCTGCCTCAGCTTCCTGAGTAGCTGGCATTACAGGTGCGTGCCACCACACCTGACTAATTTTTTGTATGTTTAGTAGAGACAGCGTTTCTCCATGTTGGCCAGGCTGGTCTCCAACTCCTGACCTCATGATCCACCCGCCTCAGCCTCCCAAAGTGCTGGGATTACAGGCGTGAGCCACTGTGTCTGGCCAAAAATCTTAAGTTTACTCCGATTGAATCAAGCAAGACACCTGCCCCCAGTAACAGGTCACTGGGAGCAGAGAAGTCTGCATCCTTGAATGGCTGAGATGGGTTCCAGTGACTTCTGAGCTCTACCTGTGGGAAGCAGGGAGAGTGGTTTCAGTTATACTACTGGGTTCAGGCTAATCAGGACCCACCGCTAGAATTGAGGTTTGGTATGCTGGCATCCAAATTGCATAACTGGAAAATTCTGAATCTTAGAAAACAAGACAGTTGTTGTTGTTTGATAATCTTAACACAGAGGCTATAAGCAAAAGCCTTTAATTATAACAGGAAAGCTAATCTACTCATTTAAAGTGTTCAAAATTACCTGTGGTGTGTTTTTTGACTTGAGAAGAATGTAATAATTGATGGCAAGAAAAATGATGTTTCTTGGAGAAATGCTTATGTCAGTTGGCTATTTTTGCTGAGAATCCTACTCATTGCTTTGTACTTTGATATATATATTGATTCTCAATTTAAAAGAGTATCAGGCTTATTAGAATAATTTTAAACCATTCATGTTAAATTGGTTTGTTCCTTGGTCACAATGTGTCCCTTATTTGAAAGCTACGATTTCCAATGCATTCTTTCTAAGGAATGGACATCAAATTCAGAAAAAAAAAAAACTCTGTTAGTGCAACTCTAATGGATGCATAAAAATTAACATTAATGTAGCTTAAATATCAAGGGCACAGCAATTTTCTTCACTAATGGTGGTGATGAAATCTATGCAAGTTAAGTATGAATAAGAAACAGTAGTACATTTGTATACATTTGGTAAATTTTGGGGAGAATTTGATGATATATCTAGCCTTTTTTGACAGATATTGGCTATTTTGACATTTTAGATTATATTTTACATAATATAATAATTCCAGTTTATTTTATATTATTTAATATAATTTAATTTGGATTTGTATGACTTTAACGTGACTCATTGTGTATAATTCTATCTTGAAAGATACAAAAGGTCAGTCTGGATCATGAGTGACTTTCCAATCATACCCATGAAATCAGTATCAGATTATAATGCTTAACATGTCTCAGATTAGCCAGATAAATTGATTTTCAGAAAGAACAATTGTGATATTTGAGTATTCTGATTACAACTCTCACTTAAAAATTTAGAGATTTTTTAAAAAGGCATTACTACTCTATCCCTGTATGTGAGCTTCATTTGCTGGAGTGTAAAATTCAGAGAAATAACTATTTGAATAAAATTTTGCTTTCTGCCCCTTCCCCCACTTATGTTATTCTCACTCTTAATAGAATAAAGGGAACAGTGCTGCATGGATATGACACAGGTATTAAATTCATCTGAGTCAGATGTTTTCAGGTATTTGGGTAAAATAGAATGTCTCAGTCTAAAATTTTGCCAGAAATGCATTATCATAAGAGTACAATAAATTCCCACTATAGATAGCAATGATATTGTAGGCCCTAGGAGTGACTATAGAGTGACTATAGAGACTAAGTCAATCAGTAGTATCTTTTTATGTAGTCACCTGGAGATGTACATGAGTAAAACTCTTTCTGCAAGTGACAGAGTGGAATCCATTTACTCTCATAACCAAAAAGTCCGGAGTACATTTGGCTTCAAGTTTTATTTTGATCCGGGTGTTCAAACCAATTTCTAGGACCTACTATCTCTTAATCCCTTACTTAGCCCTTGCTAGTCTCTGTGTTATGATTTCATGTACAGGTTCCATTTTGCAGCAAGCTGGTGCTTCCAGCCATAATCTCACTACCTCACAATTCCGTGTTCTGTGAAAACAGCATCTCTTGTCTGAAAGTGCTTACAAGAGTACCAAGGCTGATTCACTCTGGTTGGACAAGCTTTAGTCATGTGTCCATCTCTGAACCAGTCACTGTGGCCATCGAATGAGTGCGTCAGTCACTTAGTGCTTGGTCGCATGCCCATCACATGGTCCTAGCAAGAGCTTCACTCAGATCACATCAAGCTCGGTGTCCCTAAGAGAAAACAGAGCATGTTGCTGGAAGAAAAAAAAGGAAATGCTTAGGAAGGGAATGTTTGCTATGGGAGTCTATTTAGGCATTATGGGATGTTAACTCAAGATGTTTTGGGAACTGTTGCCTTAGTATGGAAAGCTTATGACTCACTCCCCACAAAATAGTCTAATTATTTTATATCTCCAGTAAACTTTTTATTGGATATGGTTTTACAAAATTTACTTAGCCATCTTACTTAGCCCTGCAATAACTGACTTTTGACTGGTTCCAAAACAGAAATTGTCTTCATAGGAAAAGGATTTGCTCTTGTTGTGAATATTTCAAAGAGTGCTCTAGATATGCTCATGTAAATTCCAGAACCTCAGGTCTAAAAATATTCTGGAAAAATACCCGATCATTGGCATAAATGTGTAATATCCTAAGATGACTGATTTGAAAGAGTGTACACTCATTTGGGTGTATAAATTCTGGTTTATTTGTGCACAAAACATCCCTCTACAGGAAGGTAATTATGATCGTAAGCTTTGGAGCTTGACTACCTGGGCTTGAATCTCAGGTAGTCACCATGCTACCTTGAAAAAGTTATTTAAGTCTTTTCTGTCTCAGAAACTTAATATGTAAAATTATAATGATGGTTGTAATAGTACCTATTTCATTGGATTGAGATGCAAGTGTATTAATATACATTTCCTAATAAATGATAGTTCTTATTAATATTATTTAAAAATGCATCTAAAATTACTATTTTATATGTGAGGAAATAAGTACACTATAAGTCAGCTTGAGAGAACTATCAAGCCTATGGTTAATCAAAAGTACGAAATATGATATAGGTACAGGTAGCACGGAAACAAATGGAGAGCCAGGGAAACTAGGTTTTGACCCTGATTTTTCCCCAAGTAATGATAATCATGGGCATATATACATCTGTGGGCCTTTTATAGCAATGAAATTAAATAATTCTATAGGTAAACATGAAATCCACAATCAAAGAGTAATCAGAATTGGCTTGGAGTTAATTATGTCTTGCTTAATTAATACTTCAAAACTATGTTGCAAATATATGTCTACTAGGATAGCAATATATGTCTACTGGGATAGTAGACATATATTTGCAACACAGTTTCGAAGTATATTAGAGGACAAGATTAGCGGAGAAAAAAGAAAATAATAAGAGGCCTTATTTGGGTGAGGGTAAGTAGAGGACTGCAGCAGTTGAAGCATAGAGGTAGAGCTTATCAAACAATTTGGAAGGACTATAATTTGCTTTGGTTAGTGTGTAGGAGCACATGGGTGAAATAATAATAGTTAAATACACAGAGGCAAGAAGCAGTCATTTAATACACAGTATTTAGGGCTAAGCTTAAGTTTTTTAAGCATTAAGAAGTTATCTTAAATTCCTGAGTAGGGAAGCATGTGGTATTTGAGAAAATGACAAACATTTTGAAACAAGGCCTAGTGCAGCAAGTTACACATAGTAGTATTTCAAGAAATGTGTGTTGCTTTGAAATTCACTGACAGCTTAAAAATAGACACTTCTGGTTGGAGCACTAAGCTACATGGTCCTCATGGTGTTCTCTTTATAAACCATTTTATTTTAATCATACGAATCTGCAAAAGTTGTCCATCTCCCATACTTGAACTGAATCCTAGGAGGCACATGTACTTCTCTTAAAGTGTTATCAACTTATTCTCTTTTAGAAGATGTTGTCTTCTATTGGAGAAGGACAGACTTAGACACAATTTAATTACCAATAGGCCCTAGCATAATAAGATAGCTCAGTAAATATCCAGGGAATTAAGGGGACCCTTTATTATACTATGCTCTCATCTATAGGATTCACAAGAAATGAGGTTACTTCTAGCTGAACAGAGGTTTTCCCTGGATATTAACATTTTTCTTTCAGAATCCTTTTTGTTTGTTTTCTTTTAATCTCTTCTCAAGGAAGTAGGTGCCCATTACTTATTCCAATGCAAATTCCTCTATTCGATTTGTTCCCGTCTATAACAAGTGAGATCTATGAACTTAAGAGTCCAACTTCTGCTGTGCCTCTCCACCAGTCTCTTAAAGAAAGATCACCTTCCTTAAAGAAAACCAACATTTCTATCAGACAGTAATTGATATTAAGACATGATGGTAATTCCAGTTAAGACGTTAATTGTATAAGATGTATAACTGAAAATTCAGGCAAATTGCAGCATGTTTTTAAGTAGTCAGTAGAATATAAAAGAGGAAATCTAATTCCTGTGAGCAGCACAGGACAGTAGGTAGTGGAGAGAAGTTTAAGAAACACAGAAAATACTAACTGTAGTGCACTACTTCGCTCTATAGTGTAAAATATTTATATACTCGTATTAGTAAGGAGGTAGGTGATGCTATAGTAACAAATACACCCCAAATTTCAGAGGGTGGAAAGAAGTTTTCTTTCTCACTCACACTGAATATGATTTCCAAAGTTGATGGAGCCTCAGCTCTGTGTGGTCCTCACTCTGGTGGCCCAGATAAGAGAGAACAGCCATTCTCTGAAACAGTCTTGTTAGGGAGAAATATGGAGAACACATTACTTATCTTGCTCTGGCTCTTAAAGCTTCCACATGTTACTTCCATTCTCATTTTGTAATTCAAAGAAATTGACATGGCCATGTCAATTCCAAGGTGGGAGAGAAATGCAACTTTACTTTCTGCCTAGAAAGGCACTGCAAGTATTTGGTGAAAAACAACAATGTAACAAGTTCATAAAAAAGCAAAATAATTTTCAAAACTTTTTTAAAATTACTTTTCAGCTTTAAGAATCGACTTATAAGTAAAGCATGGAAGACAATTTTGGAATGTAAATGTTAGCATTGCCAAAAATGCTAAATCAAAAAACCTTTGTTTCTATCCCATAGCCTCTTAAATAAGATTCCATTTCCATAGAAACTGGCACCTCCCTACAGCCTTTTTGTCACTACCCTCCTATACAAATATTATCGTAAAATGGTGCTGAATGGAACTTCTCTCAACGCTTCAGAATTTTGACTGAAGATCCAAAGCTGAGGGGAACAGGCAACAGGTGGCTTATATTCCATAAAAAGACATGCTCCCCCACCTCATCCAGCTGATGTAAGCAGAAAACTAGAACATATTTGAATGCATTGAATGAGTGAGCTGCAGGCATAGAGGGAGAGTGTTTTGCATTCTTTCTTCTCTCTCCTTTCAAGCCTACCAAGAAGGACTGTCAGAGAATTATTCATATACATTGGAGTATGTATTGAAAAGGAAGACTGGCATCTTCCTATACTGAGGAAATCTTACTGAGCCATAGGAGTTCATTAGCCCCATGCTGGTCCAGACAGCAGAGTAGAAGAAGACAGGACAGCTCTAGGGAGAGTTTCACATATATCTCAAGGAGTTCGTTTGGAGTTATGCAAACATGGGGACTGGTCCCTCTTCTCTCTGAGTGAGAAATAGCTGGAGCATCTGCGACACAGAGCAAGATGACACAGTAGTAGTGGCACAGCCTACAACATCCACATTTTGTATGACAAAGATATGTGAGTGTTTTGTGGATCAAATGGAAGCCTTGGAAGCCTCCCGTGTCATGGGAACTGCACCCCTAAGAAACTGTTGAGTAGTCAGCCAGGGGTGGGAGATGAGAGAGAGGAGAGGTCAGCTGTAGAAGGCACCATCCATCTCAGAAAGCCTCCGGGAGATGGGGGCCTCTGAGGAGCCCATAAAAAGTGCAGAATCAGCATTTGGATGACTGCCACACAGACTTTCACCCCACCCCAGCCCCTTTGAGAGCCCAAAAATGCTGAGACCCAAGGGAAACCCAGAATAGCAGAAAGAAAGGCAGAGAGGGAGTGACAGGGCAAAAGAAAGAAAAAGGAATAAGTAAAGCAAAGCATGCCTCACTTCCACATTGCAGGACCCAAGCCACAAGCCAAGGTTCAGATGGAAAAAGAGGAGATACTTTAATTTTCATGTGAAATTAATGTTTTGTTCTAGACTAGATTTTAAATGCTGAGGATAAAAAAATCTGTGGAATTTGTCTTCAAAGAACAGGGAAAGGAAGAATTGCAGAGTACATTAGATGAGCCAATTAATGCAACAAAATAAAGAATGTTCACGTTGGGACCATTCCTAAATACATTTGTCTATTTCTCATGTCCTTCTTTCTCCTACAATGTTTGAAGAATATGGATCTGGGCAGAGGGGCTGAGCAACATGGGCCTGACATGAATGGCACTGAGCTGACCTTCAGGCAAGGAGCCCAGACTCCAGGTGATCTAATAGACTATTTTCGTGGATGGAACCAAAATTGAAAGCCTGGCAAGCAGTCTAATGGAAGCGTCAATCCAAAGGAGACAGAGACAGAGTCTAACTGGAGGGCACAGGATAAGAAATGGGAACATTGATCTGGCAGAAATTCAGAGAGAAGACATGAGATAGGTCATGGAGATATTTCTGGTTATTGGAGCGCTGTTTCAGGCACATTTTACACTGAGTCCAACTGGCTTTACTGTTCTGAACCATGTTAGATACCACCTAGAAAACCTTCTTTCTATTTCTGGCATTGAAATTCTACCCATTCTGCTAGGATACCTATAAAGCCACCATCTTCACAAGATATGCTTACCTGCCCTTTCTGTACTACCTAGCTGGAAATCATCTCCCTGCCCCTAGATTCCAATATAATGGTGATATTTTCTCTTACATATAATTGTGTCCCTATGTCCACCAATACTGGATGTGAAAATCAGGCAAGATATCAGTTATTTATACACAGGACATATTTAGGAAGTATTTGTTAGATGAATGTTGCTGTGAAAATAAATTCACAACTTAAAATAAATTTGAGTCTTAATAAGGTTTGGCTGTGTCCCCACTAAAATCTTATCTTGAATTGTAGTTCCCATAATCCCCATGTGTCAAGGGCAGGACTAGGTGGAGATAACTGAATCATTGTGGTGGTTATCTCCATGCTGTTCTCATGATAGTGAGTGAGTTCTCAGGGGATCTGATGGATTTATAAAGGGCTTTTCCCCTTTTGCTCATTCTTCTCCTTCCTGCTGCCATGTGAAGAAAGACATGTTTGCTTCCCCTTCTGGGATGTTTTTAAGTTTCCTGAACCTGCCCCAGCCAGGCTGAACTGTGAGTCAATTAAATCTCTTTCCTTTACAAATTACCCAGTCTCAGTATGTCTTTATTAGCAGCGTGAGAACAGACAAATTCAGTAAATTGGTACCAGATAGTGGGGTGCTGCTGTAAAGATACCCTAGAGTGTGGAAGCAACTTTGGAACTGGGAAATAGGCAGAAGTTGAAACAGCTTGGAAGGCTCAGAAGAAGATAGGAAACGTGGGAAAGTTTGAAACTTCCTAGAGACTTGGAGGGTTCAGAGACAGGAAGATGTAAGAAAATTTGGAACTTCCCAAAGACTTGTTAAATGGCTTTGACCAAAATGCTAATAGTGATAGGGACAATAAAGTCCAGGCTGAGGTGGCCTCAGATGGAGAAAAGGAACTTTTTGGGAACCGGAATAAAGGTCACTCTTGCTATACAGAGACTGGTGGCATTTTGCCCCTGCCCTAGAGATATGTGGAACTTTGTACTTTAGAGAGATGATTTAGGTTACCTGGTAGAAGACATTTCTAAGTGGAAAAGCATTCAAGAGGAAGCAGAGCATAAAAGTTTGGAAAATTTGCAGCCTGATCATGTGATAGAAAAGAAATTCACATTTTCTGGGAGAAATTCAAGCCTGCTGCAGCAATTTGCATAAGTAACAAGGAGCCAAATGTTAATCACAAAGACAATGAGGGGAGTGTCTCCAGGGCACGTCAGAGGCTTTCACGGCAGCCCCTCCCATCACAGGCCTGGAGGCCCAGGAAGCAAAAATGGTTTTCTGAGCTGGGCTGAGGGCCCCCCTGCTCTACATAGCCTTTGGAGCATCCCAGCTGCTTCAGCTCCAGCTGTGGCTAAAAGGGGCCAATATACAGCTCAGGCCATTGCTTCAGAGAGAACAAGCCCCAAGTCTTGGCGGCTTTCATGTGGTATTGAAGTTAAGAATTGATGTTTGGAAACCTTCGCCTAGATTTTAGAGGATGTATGGAAATGTCTGGATGTCCAGACAGAAGTATGCTTTAGGGGCAGACCCTTCATGGATAACCTCTGCTAGGGCAGTGCAGAAGGGAAATGTGGGGACAGACCTCCACACAGAGCCCCCCTGGGACACTGCTTAGAGAAGCTGTGAGAAGAGGGCCACTGTCCTCCAGACCCCAGAATGGTAGATCCACCGATAGTTTGCTCCATGCACCTGGGAAAGCCATACACACTCAATGCCAGCCCACAAAAGCAGCTGGGACGGGGTCTGTACCCTGAAAAGCCACAGCCACAGGGGCTGAGCTGGCCAATGCTGTGGGTGCCCACTTCTTACAGCAACATAACCTGGATGTGAGACATGGAGTCAAGGAATATTATTTTGCAGCTTTAAGATTACTGCCTTGTTGCATTTCTTGCATGGGGCCTGTAGCCTCCCTTTTTTGGCCAATTTCTCCCATTTAAAACAGGTGTATTTACCCCGTGCCTGTACTCCCATTGTATCTAGGATGTAACCAACTTGCTTTTGATTTTACAGGCTCATAGGCAAAAGGGACTTGCCTTGTCTTAGATGAGACTTTGGACTTGGACTTTGAGTTAATGCTGGAATGAATTAAGACTTTGGAGGACGTTGGAAAGGCATGATTATGTTTTGAAATGTGAGGACATGAGATTTGGGAGGGGCCGGGGTGGAATGATATGGTTAGCCTTTGTGTCCCCACCCAAATCTCAACTTGAATTGTAGTTCCCATAATCCCCATGTGTCATGGATGAGACCTGGTGGGAGGTAATTGAGTCATGTGGGTGGTTACCTCCATGCTGTTCTCATGATAGTGAGTGAGTTCTTAGGCAATCTGATGGTTTTATAAGGGGCTTTTCCCCCTTTTACTCATTCTTCTCCTTCCTGCTACCATGTGAAGAAAGACATGTTTGCTTCCCCTTCTGCCATAATTGTAAGTTTTCTGAGGCCTTCCCAGCCATGCTGGACTGTGAGTCAATTAAATCCCTTTCCTTTATAAATTACTCAGTCTCAGTTATGTCTTTGTTAGCAGCAAAAGAAAGGACTAATACAAGCCTGATTTTTAAGTTGCAAAGGAAGTTGCAGATGAAGTCAACATCAATAAGTGGTATTTTTTAAGCAATCACATTTACATATTGATGTGATAAGCAGCATGCCAAATCAATTAAATAAATTGATCTCTACTTTCTGAGACAAACTTACAACCTTATGATTTTGTGACATCTACAAAAGTCTTGACTAGAAAGACGTGGAATTCTGTGAAGCCAAAAAAATAGTTTACAAGAGGAGCAGAATATTTGATGTGTCCAACAGTTAGGGGAAGATAAGATGATGGGTAGTAATAAAATAATTGATGGGATTATACATAAAAAATTATCATTTTTTCTTTTGGAACTACCACAAAACAGATAGTATTGAACTTGCAGGTAGAAGACATACTAGTCTTTTTCATGTTCTAATCTTATGAGTGTTGAATTTAGGCAAGTCCGTAACTTCTTTGAGTTTTCTTTTTTTCCTGGAAAATGAAAGTATTGAACTAGATGAGTGGGCTTCAATTATTTTTAAAATCAGTAAACATTTTTCCCAAATGGTTGTAGAGAATTGCAATGTAAAAAAGTATTTGGATTCTGTATTTTGCAATGGAAATTTTCTTACCTGCAGAGAGGAAAATATACTTCTCAATGAATTTTCTCAGTTAATGATTTTTTTTTTTTTTTAAAGAAGAAGATTAAGGCAAGTGTAATTCCTGGTCTAAAGATGTAGAAACCAAGGCATGGAAAGGTTCAGGGTATAAGCTGGCCCATTCACCATCCTGGATTTGTAAATAACTATACTACCTTACATTCCAGGGTTCATTTTGCCTGCTGAAACTTCCTGAGGATTTTATAAACTTTTCTTTTCCTTTTGGCTATATATTTATATAATGCTGAAACCTTAGAGACTTAGTGTTTAAAAATGGAAACATATAAGCCTTATGAGTATATATGCATTCTCAGGGATTCATATAAGCTATAAGAACAGCCAACAACTGTGTGTAGATCTACAATGTAGAGGAGAAAATGAGCAAATACTATTTAAAGTTAAGACACTGGGGTTCATTAGAGAAACTGAAGTGACCTCCTAGCTTACTCTCAAGAACTTTTGTACTGGAATGTAATAAGATTTTTACACAGGGCCTTTCATGCTCCAAAATGTTTGTTCCACTGTAAAACACCTAGTTATTCAAAAGAAAGGGCAAATAATGTGAGTAAAAGTCTTATTTGAAAAGATGGCCCATGCCTCCATTTGCTCAGGCTCTCAAGGAGAAGAATTTTAGAATCTTTAGAGCAGAAGAATGAACATGGACATTAATGCACTTCTCCCAAAGCAACCATTTGGAAAATCCTCAGTTTTGATTGACTACCACCAAAGACCATGCTTCTTCCTTCATGTTATTTTTCAAACACGACAGATCCCAGCTTTATGAAACCAAACACAGAAGAATAATACTTGTTCTCAAGCCAATTGGAGGAGGGTGTTCAAGTCATCACAAGTATTATCATAAACAGAAAAATAACACCATTTGCAACATCATTTGATCTTTGTGCCAAGGGTGAAATTGATGTCATATGCTCACCCTGATGGATCACTGAAAGTAAGTTTGCACAAAACATGCCTAAAAGCAATGGTATCTTCTTCTACTTATATTTTCCCTTATGACAAGTTGAGCAGCCCTCGTAAACATGCCTGTCTCCTTGAGGATTGAGAATAGAAGTCAGGAAGCTAAAAAATTAGTTTCATCTAGACATATTTTGTTCTTCCTTGAAAAACAAAGAGAGGAACAAACATAAACAAAACCTTTCAGAGATACGAATATTTTCAGTAGGCAAAAGCTTCTCTCATTCTCCCTGTATTAGTCTGTTTTCATGCTGCTGATAAAGACATACCTGAGACTGGACAATTTACAAAAGAAAGAGGTTTAATGGACTTACAGTTCCTCATAGCTGAGGAGGCTTCACAATCATGGTGTAAGGCAAGCAGGAGCAAGTCACATCTTACATGGAGCAGCAGGGAAAGAGACAGGATGAGTGCCAAGTGAAAGGGGTTTCCCCCTATAAAACCATCAGATCTCCTGAGACTTATTCGCTACCTACCACTCGAACATTATGGGAGAAACTGCCCCCATGATTCAATTATCTCTCATTGGATCCCTCCCACAACACATGGGAATTATGGGAGTAGAATTCGAGATTTGGTGGGGACATAGAGCCAAACCGTTTCATTTTGCCCCGGCCCCTTCCAAATCTAATTTCCTCACATTTCAAAACACAGTCATGCCTTCTCAATAGTCTCCCAAAGTCTTAACTCATTTTAGCATTATCTCAAAAGTCCACAGTTCAAAGTCTCATATGAGACAAGGCAAGTCCCTTTTGCCTATGAGCCTGTAAAAACAAAAGCAAGTTAGTTACTTCCTAGATATAATGGGGGTACGGACTTTGGATAAATACAGCCATTCCAAATGGGAGAAATTACCCAAAACAAAGGGGCTACAGGGCCCCATGCAAGTCCAAAATCCAGCAGGGCAGTCAAATCTTAAAGCTCCAAAATGATCTCCTTTGACTCCATGTCTCACATCCGGGACATGCTGATGCAAGACGTAGGTTCCCATGGTCTTGGGCAGCTCGGCTCCTGTGGCTTTGCAGGGTACAGCTTCCTCCCAGCTGCTTTCACAGGCTGGCATTGAGTGTCCATGGCTTTTTCAGGCATACAGTGCAAGCAGTTAGTGGATCTACCATTCTGGGGTAAGGAAGATGGTGGCCCTCTTGTCACAGCTCCACTAGGTGGTGCCCCAGTAGGGACTCTGTGTGGGAGCTCCAAGCCCACATTTCCCTTCTGCACTCCTCTATCAGAGGTTCTCCATGAGGGCCCCACCCCTGCAGCAAACATCTGCTTGGGCATCCAGGTGTTTCCATACAACCTCTGAAATCTAGGTGGAGGTTCCCAAACCCCAGTTGTTGACTTCTGTGCACACACAGGCTCAACACCACATGGAAGCTGCCAAGGCTTGGGGCTTGTACCTTCTGAAGCCACAGCCTGAGCTCTATGTTGACCCCCTTCAGCCACAGCTGGAGCGACTGGGACACAGGACACCAAGTCCCTAGGCTGCAAACAGCACAGGGACCCTGGGCCTGGCCCATGAAACCATTTGTTCCTCCTAGGGCTCTGGGCCTATGATGAGAGGGGCTGCCATGATGGCCTCTGACATGCCCTGGAGACATTTTCCCCATTGTCTTGGGGATTAACATTTGGCTCCTTGTTACTTATGCAAATTTCTGCAGCCAGTTGAATTTCTCCTCAGAAAATTGGATTTTCTTTTCTATCACATTGTCAGGCTGCAAATTTTCCAAACTTTTATGCTCTTCTTCTCTTATAAAACTGAATGCCTTTAACAGCACCCAAGTCACTCCTTGAATACTTTGCTGCTTAGAAATTTCTTCTGCCAGATACCCTAAATCATCTCTCTCAGGTTCAAAATTCCACAAATCTCTAGGGCAGGGGCAAAATGTCACCAGTTTCTTTGCTGAAACATAACAAGAGTCACCTTTGCTCCAGTTCCCAGCAAGTTCCTCATCTCCATCTGAGACCACCTCAGCCTGGACCTCATTGTCCATATTGCTGTCAGCATTTTTGGGCAAAGCCATTCAATAAGTCTCTAGGAAGTTCCAAACTTTCCCATATTTTCCTGTCTTCTTCTGAGCCCTCCAAACTGTTCCAACCCCTGCCTGCTACCTAGTTCCAAAGTTGCTTCCACATTTTCGAGTATCTTTTCAGCAGTGCCCTACTCTACTGGTACCAATTTGCTATATTAGTCCATTTTCATGCTGCTGATAAAGACATACTTGAGACTGGGAATAAAAGTAGGTTTAATGGACTTAAAGTTTCACATGGCTAGGGAGGCATCATGATCATGGCAGAAGGCAAGGAGGAGCAAGTCATGTCTTACATGGATGGCAGCAGGCAAAGAGAGAGAATGAGTGCCAAGTGAAAGGGGTGTCCTCTAATAAAACCATCAGATCTCGTGAGACTTACTCACTACCATGAGAACAGTATGGGAGAAACTGCTCCCATTATTCCATTATCTCCCACCAGGACCCTCCCACAACACATGGAAATTATGGGAGTATAATTCAAGATGAGATTTGGGTGGGGACACAGAGCCAAACCATATCACTCCAATCTCATGTGTCTCTCCCAACATCTACGTGAACTTATTTCATGTAGATGCTGGGAAAATATATTATGAGATGGGTCCTCAGAGGTTGGTCAGATCCAATACTGGAAAATGCTTACCGTTCTCAATCTGGGTGACTGTGCATTCATTATTGTCTTAGTGAAACTTCTCTACTTTTGGCTTGTTGGTTTGTTGTCCTTTAATACAGAGTTTAGTACCAAATTAACATACATACTTTTCCAGGTTATACATCTCCCCTTTAACTTGCATCTCATCAGCTCACCCAAAGACAAATAAAAGAGGTGTCGTGCGCTCCCAGGTTGGTTCAGCAAAGGCACACATACAGCTAAGTAAGATTTGCACATGTGAGCTTTTGATTTCATGTTTGCTTCCTGGCCAGGTAGAAGCCAAATTTGAGAGAGGAATCATTCATATTTCCATTTGAGAGAGCATGAGAAAAAGGAGGTGCTACACAATGTTATGGAGGTGTTGAGACTGTCAATGGAAAAATATATACCTGGGAATTTGTAAGAACCAGTGCTGATCAATCAAAAGGATGATTTATAGTGATTCATTATTGAGTTGGGTGGAAAGAGTTTTCTTCCAAGAGGCTTCGGTTATTTGTTTATTTGAAAACTAATCAGCCTGAATTTGAAAAATCGAGTGCCACTTTATGTCTAGCTATGGTGAATGTAAACTGATGAATTACATGACTGGGCTTGCATTTTATTTGTACTATGCATTAAAATAAGACTTCTCCTTACCTTTTTGAAGCATTTTATTATCTAATTCTAAAGTTATAAATTTTGTCATTTAAAAAATTTAATTGGTCACATTATTACAAAGGTGGTCTTTAGAAAAAAACAACAAATACCACTTTGGCAGTCCATGAGTTAGGACTGATAACCAAAGTTCTTTAATATGGCTCTCCATAAACATTGGCAGAGATTAGGAAGTTTTTGGAGTTGGAGGAATATCACTGGAGGCTTTGGGAGTTTCTTCTGAAGTCATTCTGAATTAGCAGCTAATGGGGAGCTTTCTTTGATAGTGCTATTATAATTAAATGCAGCTGGATCAAAATCAACCACAAAGGGAACTCGTTTGTTTATCATTACTTCTGACTTTGTTAGCAGATGTTTTTGAAGCACCATAGTAGCCAGCTTAATTTGTCTCTGTGTAATGTGAAGCAGGTAAACTTTGATTAATAAACTGACAAGTACACTCCTAATTTCTTTTCTGAAGTTTCCTTCTGTGACTCTTATATAGCACATATGTCAAATCCGGAAAGCACACGAATAAACATTCAGTTTCTTTCTATATATGTCAGGCCAGCTGAAATGGAGGTGTCAGTCGGCGGTGAGCTGGCTTGTCAAATGTTCATCTTGAAAGCTGCTGTAGTAGTATCGCATGGAAGTAGGCTAGTGAAAAAGATAAACACATATGGCATATAAGTCCCAGGCTGTAGAACAACAGCTCTTTAAGTTGTAATCACTATTGGTTTTCCATAAGGGACTCAATAATTTTCAGTAAATTGGATCCTTTATGAGTTTAAACATTAATTCAGCTATTTAAAAAGGGTAATTTTGACATATCCTTTGCTTATAATAAATGCCTCCTCCACTTCTTAACAGGCAGACTTCCTCACCACCCACTTTGTTCAATACACTCTAACTCCCGCCTGCATCTTCCTTCAGACTGCACTTTCTACCTGTCTTCCTTTCCAGTATTCCACCCTGTACCTCCCCCATCATTTGAAGAACTCTGGAAAATCACCACTGCCCCCACTCCCACCAAATCATTCCCCCATACCTGGAAAGAATGTGTTGTTGTTGTTGTTTTAAGTTGGCTCAACCAAGTTTAAGTATGCAGCATCCACAATTCACACTGCATCCATCAGTAATATACAAAATCCTGTGTCCTGTGAGTCTTTGTACCTTCAAAAACATAGTATTTGCTCAAGATAAAGTTGCACATGTGTCTGTATGTCCTTTTACTTTTGTGCCCATGTCTGTTACCGTTTCACATTGTGATATCTACATCTGTTTTTAATTGCCATAATGCCTAGCACAGTCCTGAATACTTATTATGCACTCGAAACTCAGATTTTGATTTTTGATGCTATCACATTGGCTATTCAGTTATTTAGTACTTCTGCAAATTTATTTCTAGACATATGTGTTGGAATGTGTGTATTTATGTCTACGTTAATGGTCTCACCTGTTTGCTGCACAGAATTCAACTGGGCTCAAGTTGGCAAAATATATGAAAAAAAAAAAAACTATGGTGAACTCTTAAGGTCTCTTTAGATAAGCCTGGGGAAATGTAATCTTTGGCACCATCCTACTTTCCTTTCTTTAAAGGTCTAATGGACTTTTTAAAGTGTTCTTCATGTAAGCAGAGGGAAATAGGAGGAGTGTGAACTTTGTGATTTCACAGATCTGGGTCTGGAAAGCAGTGCTCTTTAGCCTCAACTTTCTCATCTGTAAAATTAGGGACAATAATACCACCTTTTGAGAATTAGAATACATCTAAAGATCCTGGTACGTTATAGATCCTCCATATATATCAGCTAATATTATTAGAAATAAGTACTATGCTATTTTAGTAAATGAGAAAAAACTCAAAAATGGTCCCTCTTCTATGGAACAGTGTAAGTGGCCCTCTGTGCTGGTCTTCATGGATGATGTTCACAGTATGTACTAGCACAACAATTTAGGCATTATTACATGCCAAACTAACTTAAAACATTAAACTATAATGAAAAGATGATTGAAATTCATTAATGCCTGTAGAGTATTTCTTATAAAAAAAGAGGACACCTACCTGTGACCAGTTCCCAACTATCAATTGTCATTCGATTAAAAATAATCCATCTCTAGCAGGTCCTCTTCTAATTGGGGAGCTATGCAAGGAAGCTTCATTAAATGCCTACTTTCTGAAAAATATTTGGAAATAATTGCTCATATTAGAAGTGTCAGGATAATTAGTGAAATCACAATGTTACACTGCTATGTATCGAGGACCAAACGTATGTTGGCACCTTTATGTCACTTTAGAATATTGGAGAATTTTGCCTGGACTTTTCTAGCCTTTTAAGCTTTTTCTCTAATGGGAATCTATCTTTACTTTCTTTCTTTTGGGGTAAAGAGAGCAGGGTGAGAGTCGTGGTGTTTTAATAGAACTGCAGATAGCTAATTTTGAAAAAAAAATGCTTGTTAAGATGATTGCCCTTGAGGAAAATCCTTCATGTGTGAGTAACTATTCTTACTATTTCATCTACTTTGCTGCAGAATAGAATTACCTGATGTATTATTCTGTTCTCATGCTGTTATGATGAGATACCTGAGACTGGATAATTTATAAAGAAAAGAGTTTTGATTGACTCACAGTTCCACATGGTTGGGAGGGCCTCAGGCAACTTACAATCATGGTGGAAAGGGAAGCAAACACATCCTTCTTCACAAAGTGGCAGGAGAGGAAAGTGCTGAGCAAAGGGGGAAAAGCCCCTTATAAAATCATCAGATCTCATGAGAACTCACTCCCTATCATGAGAACAACAGGATGGGGGTAACCGCCCCCATGATTAATTACTTTCCACTGGGTCCCTCCCTCGACACATGGGGATTATGGAAACTACAATTCAAGATGAGATTTGAGTGGGGACACAGCCAAACCATATCACATGACAACATTTCAAAGGAGGATACCAGCTATGAAGAAGTGTGGCTCACAAACAATCTGTCATCTGCTTTCTAAGAAAGTTTGCATGATGAGAGGTCAGAGACAAGCATAGTAGTCAATCCATGTTACCCTTCTGCATTTTATCTCTTAAGATGACCACATTCATAGACTACATAAAAATAATATATCCAGTATCCACTTTATAGAATGCGGATAAGGAGTCCACAAGGTATTTTCCTTCACTTGAAAATAGCTGAGATTAAATCACTTGTGTCTTTCATGGACATCTATTGTGCTAGGGTGTGGGCTTTTTCTGAAATCTAGGGAAATCATGCCACATCTTGAAAACATTTACAAATAGTTTTCCATGTTCATTTGGATAGTGTGGGAGAAAATAAGACTCTATGATGTCAGGTAATTTGTGGGTATGATTGCTGAAATAATGCTACTTGAGCAGTTGAAGATAAAGTAGCATTATTTAAGCTGGATGACTGTTTTACTGTCACTGCATTGCTCCTTGATGAATTGTGAGATTAAGAATAGATATTACAGTTTCAGAGACCGTGTCATTTTTGTGTTGTGTGTTGAGTCGCTCAGGATAGTGTTACTTGGAATGTGCTTAGGGAGGCTTTGTAAGTAAAAGAAGTGAGATATCTAAAAATGTTGGTATAAGGAGAGCTAAGGCCAGGCATACAGTAGATTTCAAGGATCTTAGGAAAAGTCATATGCTATTTGTAATTAAGAAGAAGGTCTACCAGGCATAAGACATAAGAAGTAGATATCTTATGTCCATGATGTTTATTGTAATGTCTAGAATATGATGGGCTACTGGGCATGAATTAAGGAGAATTAGGGCAAGATGAATAGCAGTGTAGAAGTTGAGGTCTGCAAAGATGATAGGGATTCTGAGGAAGGTATTTGTTCAGTTCAGGCAAATCTGGCTGCAGGATGCTGTTGGAATGTGTACAACTCATTTTTTTGCGTTCAAGAGCAAAAAAAAAAAAGTGTCCAAATGTAAGGAGACCAATACAAAAACATATGTGAGTAGTGCTAGCTGTAATACTTCTGGTGATATGTGTCGGCTTTTATGTTTCCAGAAGCCCTGACCCTGACTTCAGTCCTAGCAGCTTATCTCTTAAGCTGTTTCGGGGTCTTCATTCTTTTGCTCCGAGCCTGCAGCACTCCAGGATACTCAGGCTGTGGTGAATCTGGCAGTGACCTTGTTGATACCTGAGAGTCCCACCTCTCTGCTGCTGAATAATCTGTCAAAGGACAGACCCTCCTAAGAACTACATCCCTTCTTGCAATTAAAGGGAGAGAAGGAGCTAATTTGAAGGATTGTTTCCCAGACTTTTAACTATTTCTGATTTTTACCCAGCATCTTTTGTGAAAAGTTCTATAGCAAGAGTCTGCAAAAGAAATAGAACAGATGATGGAAACTGATGACTAAAGTCAGCTGTTCCCTAAAAGCAGCAATAATGTCAGAGTGCTAACTGGATAATCTGTTCTGTTTTGGGCTGTCTCTATTTTTCTTCTATCTGAATTGTCACTGGTTGTCTCTTGTTTATACTGCAATGAATGGTTCACAATGTGTGTGTGTGTAGACATGTGAAAAGTAGCTGTATTGTAATATTTATCATTAAAGAGCTGCCTTTGTTTCATCTTACAAGCATCACATTGATGATTTGAATAATAAAGCTGACTAGCTTACTCACCGAAGGTTGCTTCCATAATGGAACAAATTTATGTACCGAGGTTCTCGTTTTCTTTATTAGGTAATTGGACAAAATGCTGAGAAACTGCTACTAATTGAGCACTCATTCCAGCTTTTGTCTATATTGAGGCTGGGCAGGTTTTCTGATGTTTGAAAAAGAATTAAATAGCCCCCAAACCTTGCAACAGCTTCTCTTATCCTGATATGTTTTCATTAACTTTAACTGAGTCCCTGGGCTTAAATGTGGTTTATCCCCGAATTTTAACATTCACCTTTTATAAGAATCACATATTGGAGGATGTTTTCATTTTAGGAAAAAAGTGTGATCAAAGACAGGTCATGTGTTTCCTGCTTTGAGGCAGCAGGGGCAAATGGGCAAGGTTCAGATCAAATGTTTTTGCTAGCATGACATTCAATAGGTAACAGTTGCCCTGAAGCAGGGCATGAAAGAGTTAGGGGAAAGAATAATAGAAACTGAAAAACCTTTGAAAATCCATATAATATTAGGTATTTTGAGAATCAGAAGTTGAAAAAATTTCATTTATAGGAACGCACAGTAAGGCATAAAATATGCTATTTCAATTGACCCCTTCCTTCCCCCTCCCACTGCTGCTGCTGCTCTGCTTTGAGTCCTAATAGTAGCTGTGTTTTAGGGTCGCTCCTTTAAATGATTCCGCCTCCACAAACTCTCACACTTCAAGTCCACCTTTCAGAGGACTTTCAGGTCAGTTAGCTTGAAGTACATTTCTGTTCCTGTTACTGTTATGTTAGAAAAATCAACAATTCACCAAATCTAAAATAATAAAGCTCTAACTTGTCAGCATAACGTTGTTGAAACCTGACCTACTTCAAAGACTTGTTTTCTGATATTTGTTATGCATTCATGTTTCCACCAGGCTGGAGTAACTTCTTGCTCTTCTCAAGCAAACCTCTATGTTTCTTTCCTCACTTCTGCATATAGGCTTATTCTTTTCCTGAAACCTGCACCCTCCAACTCTTTGTATTTCTATCAGCTGAGATTCTACCTACCCTTCAAGACAAATTGTGGGGCGTGGCCTCTGAGATGGCCCCAGTGATCTTACCTCTTGGTATTCATACCTTGTGTAATCCCTGCTCTTTGTCTGTAGGCTTTACAGAGTGCTCCTTCCTAATATATGCTGTACATAGTATGGCAAAAGGGATGGATGTCGCTCCTGAGATTAGATGCCATAAAGACTGTGACTTAGATCTTGTTCATGCGCACTTTCTTCTTTCTCTCTGAGGGAAGCCAGCTGCCATATTGGGAGCCATCCTTCAGAAAGGCCTACTTGGCCAGCAACTGAGGGAAGCTTCAAGCCAGTGGCCAATGAGAAACTAAGGCCCTCATGCCAACAGCTTGAGGATAATTGAATCCTGCCAGCCACCATATGAGAGACTTAGAAGTGGATCCTTCCCGGTAGCGCCTTCAGAAGACACTGCAACCTTGTGGGAAATCTCAGGCAGAGACATCCATCTAAGCTGCACCTGGATATGCATGTGACAGAAGATAATATGACAAATGTTGTTAAAGCCACTAAAATTTTAGAGTTATTTGTTGTGCAATAATAGATAACTTATACAGCTGTGGTGCCAGGAGTTGGGTTTGAAACCCCTGAAACTTTCTATATTTTCTACATTAAGAAGTAATATCTCTTACATGAGTTGAGAGTGCTTATTTGTTCCTATGATGCATTCTGTGTACTACTGTTTTGGCACTTTTCAAATTCTGCATTCTTTTATATCCACTTGTAGATAGCTTTTCTCCCCTATAAAATTGCAAAGTTCCCTGAGGTCAGATGCTATACCATATTAGACTTTGAACCCTTTCCCTGCCTCCAGGGTAGTTGATGATAGAATTTTTTTTTTTTTGAGATGGTGTCTCACTCTATTGCCAGGCTGGAGTGCAGTGGCACAATCTAAGCTTACTACAACCTCTGCCGCCCTGGTTCAAGCCATTCTCCTGCCTCAGCCTCCTGAATAGCTGGGATTACAGGCACGTGCCACCATGCCCAGCTAATTTTTGTATTTTTAGTAGAGACAGGGTTTCACCATGTTGGCAAAGATGGTCTCGATCTCTTGACCATGGCCTCCCAAAGTGCTGGGATTACAGGGCATGAGCCACCATGCCTGTCCTGATGATAGGTTTTATGTAGTAGGTGCTCAATACATATTTGTTGAATGAATTCACTAAATATATTTAATCATACTTCAATAAAACCAAGGTTGGTAAATGAGAACAATAGGCTAATCATGTCTAAAGATTGTACGGTTCTTCAGTTTTGTCAAGAATTACTGGGTACAAACTCTGGCGATATTTTGAGGGACATCTTACCAAATGTTTCATGATACCTAACATTATTTCTTATTTGGGGAGGAAGGGAATTAAAGGAAAAATGTGACTTTAATGACCTTCCTATTGATTTAAGTAATATTTCCCAAGGTTAAAATTTGATTAATCTTGAATTTTGTTATATGGTAGCAACTACTGGCATATCATAATTGTGAGGGTGTCTTAGACTGAAACACGACAGCCAGCTGAGTAACTTCCAGAATCCATTTCTCTTTAGGAGTTCTGTGTTCTTTACTAAATGGTCCAGTGTGGACATTGGCTGGCTACTCTATATAGTCATTGAGAACTCACAAATTCTTTGGAAATTTGGTACTGCCATACAGTAAAAAGAGAGATCGTTTTGGTTTGAAATTAAATTTTGGCTGAGCAACTTATTTGCTCTTTGACCTGGGGCAAGTTACTTCATCTCTCTGAGTATTTCGTTTGTGTTTAATGGAACAGTAAACCTCAGATTATGGGTTTTGAGAAATATTTAAAATTATATATATATAGTTTACTACAGTGTATGACAATTAGAAATTATTAAGTAAATGGTAGCTGAGTACTAGGCTATCTAGTTAATAATATCAAATAATCTCCTCCATCTATAATTTATATTCTCATGGAATTCAGGCATTCCTTCTCCTGTCTTTTGGTTAAGCTGACCCAAAGACTGAGGAAAGTCTCTGTCATCATATCTGTGATTTTACTAACTTACCATTGTTGTGAATGCATTTAATCTTTCCCTTTGTTTGGTCATTAATTCAACAAATATTATTGGGTTTCTACAAGAATGAAGGGACCCAGTATTATCATTTTCTCTGAATTCCTGGTGGATTTAATTACTTGAAGCAATCGCTCAGTATGTGCCATCTACTAGCCTTTACTCTTAGATATCACTTAAGGTGGAGGAAGATTGGCTATAAGCAGTCACTTTGTAGCTATACAATCACTTTGTAGCTATAAAATCTTGATTCAGTTTCCTGCTCCTTCCCTTGCTAGCTATGTGAGATTGGGTGAGTGACTTAATTTGATTGATTATCAGTTTCCTCAACCGTAAAATGGGGAAATAATGGTACTTCCTGGGGCTGCTGTATTGGTTAGATATAATTCATGGAACACACTGAGCACATTGTCTGGCATAGAGTGTTCATCAAAATTTAGCTAGAATACAAGTATCTTATGTATATATCCAGTTTTACCAGTTTCGCGTATTGAAAATAACATATATAAATATGCACCATAAATTTCAAATCTCTTTACAAGTGTGAGTGGTTATTTTTAATAGTATTCAGGATGGTCATTTTTTCTAATTCACAGGTCTAGGAAAAAAGCTGTGTAATCAATAGGCGATCAATGAAGGTTTGCTGTTGCATATGATAACGTGTTGATAAGACACCAGGCAAACCTCATTTAGCGCTGAACAAGGTAATTTCTTAAGGTATGAGTCAGCCAATAAAATACTCAATTACCCTCTTGGCCAATGAGCACTAGCCTCCCATAGCATTTGCTTTCCTTTGTTTATTTCTTCATGGCCTCTTGTTATACCAATAATATCCAATTTTGCCACCCAAGATCTTTTGATTTCCAACAAAGAGTTTGATTTTTTTCAGAAGGACAAACAAACACAAGATCCGTTTTATGATTAAAACATATATCAGACATTAAAGCAGATCAAGAGATCTAGCCTTAGATGGACGGGAGGATCATGGTGTAGGCCTACTCACTTCCAATTAGGGGAACTATAAAGTATGCTAAGATACTGTAAAGATATCATTCCACAGACCCTTGTCTCATGTTGATTTTATTTTATTATTTCTTTCTTTCTTTCTTTCTTTAAGAGATGATGTCTCTCTCTGTTGCCTAGGCTGGAGTGCAGAGGCAAAATCATGGCTCATTGCAGCCTTGTACTCCTGGGCTAAAGCTATCTTCTCCCCTCATCCTCCATAGTAGCTGAGACTACAGGTATGCACCACCATGCCTGGCCATGTTGATTTTAGATGTGACAGCCATGGAGATGCACAGTTCAGATCTCTTTCAGGGGAACCTGGAGCAGAGGTCTAGCAGCCCAGCTGGTTCCTCTGTGAACTTCCAGGCCACACTTCCCCTGGCTGCTCCCCGAATTCCTGAGATGGTGAGGGAACTAGAGTCAGCCTGCTTCTGTAAGACTCATGACTGCTCCCTTTAGCCTGACTGAGGGTTTCTCAGAACTGCACCATGGTCTGAAGTTCTTCCTTCCCAAATCTCCTTTTTCTCTATCTTCTTACAGGTATCAGACCAGACTTGTGATCTAAAAGCTGTTTCTGCCTACTCCTGTTCCCTTCCCTTTTACCCATAGAAAAGTTTAACTCCCCAGATCTCACATGTCAAACCCTGGTTTGGCATCTGCTTCTCAACGTCTGTGCTGACACACTTGGTATTAGGTTACCATATTGGAAGTACAGCTCCATTCAGAAAAGATGCCCAATATGATGCTATTCTATGCCATGCCCTTATGTCCAGGATTCCATGCCCTTGTATGGAACAGAATATGCCTGTAGTGTCTTTGGTGGAAGAACCTATACATTTATAGAGGAAAGAAGATGAACTTCTCACATTTCTTAATATAATCATGTACCATTTTATATGCTCAATTCAGACTTATAATTTGTATATTTGCATATGTTTATTTAATATGTCTACATGTTTGTATATACTAATTCTCTAATTAGCCTATTATCTCTCTGAAGGTAGTAGCTGTCTCCAATTTGTATCAATTTTTGTACTTTCATCTCTGACATTAAGTGTCTCTGGCTAGGTGTGGTGGCTCATGCCTGTAATCCCCAGCACTTTGGGAGGCCAAGGCGGGTGGATCACCTGAAGTCAGGAGTTAGAGACCAGCCTGGCCAACATGGTGAAACCCTGTCTGTACTAAAAATACAAAAATTAGCCAGGCACAGTGGTGGGCACCTGTAATCCCAGCTACTAGGGAGGCTGAGGCAGGAGAATCACCTGAACCTGAGAGGCAGAGGTTCCAGTGAGCCAAGATCATGCCATTGCACTCCAGCCTGGGCAACAGAGTGAGACTCCGTCTCAAAATAGAATAGAATAGAATAGAATAGAATAGAACAAAATAAAATCTTCAATACATATCAAGTAATATGTACAAAATTAATAATTCCATAATGGACCCAATAATGATCTTTCAACACTCAGATTTAGGTTTAAATCCCAAGTGTGCTGCATCTCAAGTGACACCTTGGCCATGTTACTTTTAACCTTTTTGAGCCTCAATTTTCTCATCTGCACAATGACTTTTGTGTAGATAAAGTGAGAAAGGATTGTGAATTTAGTTTTTTTATGCATAATTAACCACCTATACATGGTGTCAAGAGTTAATACACCTCATAGAAAATCAGTGCTATTTCTGTACATTGCAAGTTCTCCCGTAAGTATAGTGAACGATTCAAATTTATCAAATACAAATTTATTTAAATAACTTTTCAGAATTACAACTTTTAGGAAAACTAAATTAACCTCTGTACTGAACTCTGCCCCCTAGGTGCTTAATTTGCATGGTTATTCTACTAAAATAATATCAAAAGGAATTAGCATGATCTTGGATTATTTCAAAATACAAACAAGGTATAAGAAAGCTGTGTTCTCAGTTAAGTTTCTATAATATCAACATACATCTTTATAAATGCTTGCTTATCTTGATAGTCTTTGTAGACTTGGGTTAACCTGAGTGAAGAGTTCACAGTGATTTTCCCAAGGTCTGTTCTTGTGACTGTTACGAATCAGGAGGCAAAGCTTTTCCTTGGCTTACCTATCCCCATATCTTATCTTCTCAAGGCTGTGCCTCTCTGCCTTCCAAGGCTACAACTGGCTGATTGGAATATGTTATCCATGATGATACGTTAAAGGATAAGATTGAAGGCAGTTCCCAAGGTCTTTGTTGACTTACAGGGTAACATACAGTTTAGCAATGACCTCCAGAAGATGAGGACCTTGCTTTTGTTTTCTAACCAAAATATCCTAGGTAGCGAGAATTTTCACTCACGTAAGAGAAAACCTTTGGGGAATGTATTTGGGGTGTGTGACTACTTTTGTTAGCCCTGAATCATAGCAGAGGCAGCTACCTCTACTAGTCAGAACAGAGTGAGCCTGTAGTTTCTACCCTGATGATATCAAAGCATTTAATATTGCTAGGAAACATATCCAAACTCCTACAGAAACTGGGGCTTTTGATAACTGGATCAAAAGGTATGTGTGATTTCTGCCAAATATCCAGTCCTCTATTCTGCAATAGTGGAAATATGTTCTTCCTAAGTATCTATCATCTTTAACTTCTTCTGGTATATAAGCCTGAATTATCAAAGAATTAATTAAGATGTCCATGAGTGATAAGCCATAGCAAGGAAGATTCTGATTTAGGGGGTATTAAACCCACCATGTAAACATTTTGACAGCTGAGAAAAACACCAAACCAAGAGAAGTTGTTCCTGTATGTTCCCTGCATGGACACAGGATGAACCTTTAAACTACAGCAAACACAAATGATGACCTTCTCTGTTAACACATAGTTTTTAACAGCAACTATTAACAAAGTTCTTTCTGTTAGCTAACCTAACTACTTTATGGTACAGTTCAAGACCATTTTTCCTGTTTCAATACATTTTAAAGTACTTTTGATTTACAGCAGAAAGTATTTCATGATCTTTTACCAGCTGCTTTTAATTTGCTACTAGAATCTCTCTGCCTTCCGCTGATCGAATTCCACTCTCACAGAGCTGCTTTCCTCTGCCTCACCTCACAACCCTAGATTAACTTGTAGCTTTGCTTTCTGATACAGAAATGTTCATATGCATATGCTTGATAACTCTAACCATTCTGTCCAAACAACCATCAAACATTGATGATATAAACTCCTAGGTATTTTAAAATTCTGTCTGTATTTCTCCATCAGCAAAATCATTGCCCTAGAACATAGTTTTGTCACTCTTACCCAGAACAGTGGGATTTTTTTAGATTTTGTCAGTATCTGCATTGATAAACATTTATAAATGAACTGCTGTATTAGTTTGCTTTTTATTTATTTATTTATTTATTTTTTTGAGATTAGGTCTCACTCTGTCACCCAGGCTGGAGTGCAGTGGTGTGATCTCTGCTCACTGCAACCTTTGCTTCCCAGCCTCAAACGATCCTCCCACCTCAGCCTCCAGAGTATCTGGGACCACTGGCATGCTCCACCATAGCCAGCTAATTTTTTTGTATTTTTGGTAGAGATGGGGTTTGCCATGTTGCCCAGGATGGTCTCGAACTCCTGAGCTCAGATGATCCACCTGCCTTGGCCTCCCAAAGTACTGGGATTACAGGCATGAGCTGCCGTGCTTGGCCTGCTGTGTTAATTGATTATGTATATTATAAAAGGTATGGCAAAAGTTGAGAATTTTTGAAAGATGATATTAAACTAACTAGAAAGAGAATTTCAATTCCTTTTCTCTCCAAGTGAATTCCTTCTATTCTCCTTGGGAGAAATATATCCTATGCACCCTCTGAGGCAATAAAATATAATACTATTGCCACAGATACGGCAATAATATTTTAACTCATTTCCTTTCCTTTTAATTTGTTTCCTTAAATTCATCTGCACTTAGCTGCCAAGGTGATTTATATAAAATGTGTACTTGATTCTGCTACTCCCATGAATAAAATGATGCAAGAGTGGCCCCTCCCAGGATTAAGTTGCAGCCTTCCCATACAAAGCTTTTCACATCCTTTCCTCTAGCTGCCTTTTCTTCTTCATTTCTCTCTATTTTTTGCCTCATACATTCCATTTTTGTAACACAAAATAGCTTGTAGTATAGCTGTGGACATCTTGCTTTTGCATCACTTTATGCCTTTGCTCATTCTGTTCCTTTTGCATGGAATAACTCTTGCTCTTCTTGACTTGCTGTGTAGTGGCTAATCTTTCAAAAGCCATGCAAAACAGGTTCTCTAAAAATCCTTCCCTAAATATGTGTCACATATTTATTACATGCTTTACATCATGAGATCCCTATCCAAATATGTATTACATATTTTATTTAAAAAATAAACCTCAACAAAAAAATGTATGTAATACATTTCAACTACATTTATAAACATATTATAAAGCATTAAGTAGAACTTATTCATAAAACCTCAAGCATTATATACATCCTTACTCCAGTATAGCAGACTAGATTGATATAACAAAGTATTATTTTAAAATAACAAAATATACAAATAAAGAAAATTTAATGACACTATGAATAGTTATATGATCTTTTAAAAATAATCACTCTTACAGGATAAGATGTGTCATTCCTTGAGTTGCAAGTGTGTTTTTGTAAAAATTTTTTCAGTGGCTGAAAAAATTTTTCTGAATCTATACCAGTTGGAAAAATATGGAAGAAGTTGAAATAAACTAAAACCAATAATCCTCTGATTATTTCATTTCCAAATAATATCATTTCTTGTTTGATAAATTTAAGAGAACACTATGAACATTTTTTTTCCTGGAACTTCATCCAATTCTTTCATTGTTGGCTATGTGTATTTTTGTTTCAAAGAAAGCATTTATAGTTCATCTTTATTTTCAGTGTTTTCATCACATACAAATGGAGAATTCAATGTAGGGTTTCTGTATCAATGTCTATACTGGCATGCCCAAGTTTCATTCATTAAAGAAATTTTTTGTGTTAGAATAAGAATTATTTTGCATTAGCAGCTTTGCTTTGCCAACTCTCGTTTTCTGCCTCCTATGGAGTTTATGAGAGTTTAGAAGAATAGGTTTAAGTGAGAGCACCTTTATATGATTTGTAAAATTATATGCTGTATATAACCTCTGGGTAGTGATGATATTCATTCAGCAAGTGGTTTCATTGCACACTTGCAAGTTGTTATTGATCTTTATCTCAAGAGAGTTTTTTTATTTGTACACTTAACTACTAGAGAACTTTATATTTTTGTATGGCTTTGAATTACTGTCTAGCATCCTTTCATTTCAACTTGAAGGACTCCCTTTAGTGTTTATTGTAGGATTGGTCTAGTGATAATGAACTCTCTCAACTTTTGTGCATCTGGAAATATCTTAATTTCTCCCTCACTTTTGAAAGACAGTTTTGCCAGATATAGAATTCTTGGTTCACATTTTTTTTTCCAACACTTTAAATATGTCATCTCATTGTCTTCTGGCATGTGAGGTTTCTGCTGAGAAATCTGCTAACAGTTTTATTGAGGATCACTTTTATGCGATGAGTTGTTTTTATCTTGCTGCTTTCAAGGTTCTCTCTTTGTCATTGTCTTTTGAAATAGAATACATTTTTGTGTAGTCTCCTTAAATTTTCCTACTTGGAGTCCATTGAAGTTCTTGTATTTGTATATCAATATTTTTCCACCAATTTGGGAAGTTTTTGTCCATTATTTCGTTAAACAAATTTCTTTCCCTTTCTTCTCCTTCTAGAATTCCACAACTTCTATATTGGTTAGCTTGAGGATGTCCCATAAGTCCTTTGTCTCTGTTTACTTTTCTTCATCTTTTTTTTTTTTCTTTTCACTCTCAGGCTTATCTCAAATGGCATGTCTTTGCATGCAGTGATTCTTTCTTCTGCCTATTTGAGTCTGCTGTTGAACCCCTATCATGAATTTTTCAATTAAGTTATTCTATTTTTCAGATCCAGAATTTCTGTTTGGTGTTTCTAAAAAAGATGTAATTTCTGTCTCATTATTTTTATTCTCATTTTGTTCAAATATCATTTCCCTGATTCCCTTTAGTTTTTTCTGGTGTTTTCCTTTACATGTTTCAACATATTTAAGAAATTTTTAAAAGGTATTTGTCTAGTAGGTCTGAAGCCTGTGTTTCTTCAGGGGCAGTTTCTGAAGGTTTAGTTTGATCCTTCAAGTGGACAATATTTACTGTTTCTTTGTATGGCTTGTGGTCTTTTGTAGAAATTTGAGCATTTGAAAAAACATCCACTTCTCCCATTGTTTGCAGACTGGCTCCATGTTGAAGGAAAGACCTCACTAATAAGCTCAGAGTGAAGACTGAAAACCTTCTTAGGCATTTTCTTGATATGCATTTTCTTTGGGCTTGTCCTAGTGCTTTCTTCCCAATTTCCCAGTATACATGGATGCTTTCAAATGCCTTAATTTCACAAGGAGTCTCATCTCTGCTGCTTCTTAGAGCTTTAACTGTTCTATTGTATTCTCTTGTGCTTAATCTCTTGCACCCAGGCATCTTTGGGTCTGTAGTGCCCTTGTAGTTTTCACAGGCCATGCCCACTACTTTCCACAGTTTTTTCTAGTTTGAGGTCTGAGCCACTTTTGTCTATCTGAGCTCTGGGTTGTGTGATACATAGACTAGACCCTCGAGTAGTCCACAGACAGATAAGCAAATGGAAAATTTGACCCGCCCTGTTCTCCTTAGTTCATGAAAGGGACCTGGAGACTGACCAGGCTCCTGCTTCCCCTAAACTGAGTGAGGCAAGGGTAACTAAAAATGCATGAAATTTCCCACCATTTCAGATGTGGTTTTGTCTTGGTTGTTTGCTTGATTGTTATAGATCTTTCATTGATTTTCAGAGCTCCTATAGAATTATTTCAGTCAGGTTCTAGTTATTTATTTAGTGTTTCCATAGGAGAATGAGGGCCCAGAGCTTCCTAGTCTGCCATCCTGCTGATGTTTCTGCTTTCAGAATTAAATAAAATAACTTAATAGAGACTTCCTTGGCATACCACTGGTCTGGTTTCTCTGGCCTCTACTGGTATAGCTGCTTCCTTGATCTTGAATATCTTTTAGACCACTGCATGGCTGACTTCTTTGCTGTGGATTTTGATCCTGACTGAGTGAGGATTCAATAACTTCCTTCCATGCTTGACTCCTCTGACAGAAAATTTCAGGACAATTAAATTTTGGAACCTCCTCTCCTCTGACCAGAGTCTGTCTTGAGGCATTTTTATTTATCTTTTTGCAAAATGGAGAATGATGAACCTGTTCAAGCAGAAATCCACCTGCTTCAGATAATTCTTCCCTCCTGTTTGCCTCTTTTCTTTTGGAGTGGGGGTCAAGTGGGAGGAGTTGGGTGGGTGACAAAGTGAGGGGAGGAATTGCAGGAACAGAATAGGAAAAGTGTCCAAGTGGTCTTTAGTTGAAAGTTTTAGGGGTGGGGAATTGGGAAGAGTAGGGAAAAAGAAAAGATGAGCAAAGTCATTGATTTATGTTCAAAGTAATGTTATTTCCCCTATTCTCATCTCATATTAATATATAAAATAATCTGTTCTACCAAAATTACTGGACATTACTATGACATTTCTATGACTAGTACTGAACATGACTATACATATTAGTATGACTGCACATTTCCGATACTAGATGGCTGGTATCTAATTTATATTTGTAGTCCAAGCATCCACCAGTGTAATCAAGGACATAATTGGTGCTGAATACATTTTGTACTGATGCAACAATTACCTGGTCTTAAAAGAATGCTTCTGAATGTAGATCTTATAAAAAACTAGAGTTTTTAATTCCCAAATAGTGTCACATGAGGTGTCCTTACAAAAAATGACAACTATTTAAAGTTGAAGCATATAAAAATATTTAATCATATATGCTACTTTTAGCTCTGTGAAGTCTTGAAGGAGTTTATGCAGATAATGAATAAAATTTTTTCCTTGATATAAAATTTTCTAATTCTTCTCCTATTTTCTTTCTCTTTTTCTGAACCAATCAACTGGTTGTATTCATGATGTGTTGTTTGCTGAGGACTTTGCAAGGTGCTTTAAGACATATTTTAAGATGTCATAGTTTCTGGTTTTAGAAGAGCAATACAATACACCTGCTCTCCTCTTTCCACTCTCATTTGGCATTGAGTTCACTTCTTCTGTGCAGGGCTTTCTATTTTCTTCTATCTTCTGCCCGATTTTATTTCAGCTCTTTCTGAGTGAGCTGTGGAAGGAGATGGAACAATAACTTAATTTAATTTTCTTTTGAGAAATAGTGTTGTATATGGGAATACACCTTGGACTTGGCAGCAGATGTGAGTTCTAGGCTTCACTCTTTCACCTTTTACTAATGAGCCATTCATTGTTTAAAGAAATTTAACCTTTATTTCCTTCTCTATAAAATGAGGATACCATAGTGGCCTTACATAACCAACAGGATTTCCTTGGTGGGGGTGGGGAGGTCCATATGGGGCATGTGAGAAGCTGCTAGAAAATGTGAACTGTATTAGTGTTCTTTCCTTTGACCCTCTCTATTGTAGCACTGTCTTTGTTGGAGGAAATGGGACTTCAAGGACTGGAGGGTAGAAATTGGCAGTAACAAATGCTCAAGGAGAGAATGGGCTGCCAAACATCTTTGTGTTTTGGAAACAGGAACACAGGCATGTTTGGGGAGCATATGTGCATATGTGTGTGTGTGTGTGTGTGTGTGTGTGTGTGTGTGTGTGTGTGAGAGAGAGAGAGAGAGATTAGATCATGTCCTTTCCCTGCTCACAATCCCCCAGGGGCTTAACATAAAATTTAGCATAACATCTGATGTTCTTCCTATGGCTTTCAAGACCCTTTTCCTTGCTTCAAACTTATTTCCTTTCACACCTTTCTATTCCTACATCTTTGCTTTCTTACAAACACTCCAAGCCCATATCCTGCTCAGGAACTATGTATTTCTGTTTCTTTTCCTATAAGGCTCTCAATCCTGATAATTGCATGACTCCTACTCGCTCTTTATCCGGGTTTCTACTAAAAGGCCACTTCTTCTCAGAGGTCTTCCTTGATCATCTATTTAAAATAGTATTCTCTGTATCTCCTAGTCCCACAACTCCACTTTATTTTTTTCACCATACTTAATGCTACCTATCTTTGTTTTTTATATGCAATTTTAATTATGTGTACCCATCATGCCCCACTAGAATATAAACTCCAGGAAGGCAGGGGCTTTGCCTATTATATTTCCAGCTATCTGTTTAGTGACTAGCACATTATAGATTCTCAATAAATACTTATCGAAATAATAAATGACTGAGTAAATGAATAAACACAAGTATACATTCCATGAATTCTAAATAAAAATTGTAGCCAAGTCTATATCTGGGAATGTGTTATCTGTTGTAGATTAAACACCTGATCACAGTTAATAGCACTTAGCTTTTCTCACTTTTTATAGTAGCCCACTCTTTTGCTCTTACTTCAAAAGCTTGAATGGATCCTTTTAAGCCATTGCTTTGAAGGCATTTGTGTATTTTTCTAAAGATGTTTAATGAGTTGGAAATAACCATGCATGAAGCACTCTTAGTGTAACCTTTACAAAGTTAGCTTTTGCAATTTAGAATTCTTGTGAGATAACTTGCTGGAGGAAAGTGTATTCATTTCTATTAGATTGTTTCTGTCTCAGATGATTTCGAAGCTACTTTACAAGTAATTTAAAATATGAGGTTGTAGCAAAGTGAAGAGACACAGACCCTGGAAGACAGAAATCCAAACCGGGCTCATATGGAACTCTATGGACAGTTTTGCTGGCAACATCAGCAGGAGGCAGTTCAAGGCAGCTCTGGCTAAATGTGCAAACCAGTGGCTTGGCTGCTGGCACAGCTGCTTAGGTTGAGGAAAGCAAAACTAATTATAATTAGTGAGATTTCAAATTTTAATGTCCTAAACACTTATGAGGGTAGCTGCCCTATAAGCAGAGAAAAAAATAGAGAAAATAGGGAATTACAGAGACCTTAGCACAGTGTGTTAACTCTGACTTTGCTACCACAGCGGTGCTGAGTTTTGTATTACTGCAGTAATTTTTAGCTATAGGATGTGGCAAAGTGCTGAGATGCAAGGGTGAGGAACAAAGGAGATAAGTTTGTAATTCTTTAGTAGGTAGAGACTGAGTGTTCATAAAAATGCAGTTAAACAGATGCAACTGTGTTTGTTCCTTAGTTAAAAGTAAAACTATAGCACTGGCATCTGGAGCTTTTATAAAGGGTGAAATCACCTTCAAAATTATATTAAAATAGTGTGCAGAGTAAAAGCAGATGTATCATGCAAATAAATTTCTTTGTAATCTCTTTTACCATCTTCTTATAATTGACAAGTACAGTTTTCTCTCAGGTTTGGCTAGGAAAACATTTTACCCTAATTTTCTTTATTTCCTTATTTTAAAAAGGACAAAAAACTTGAAAAGGAACATTGGCCTGATACGCTAGGAAGTTACTTGCTGAGCACTGGTATGACAATGGAGAGCTTTGCTGTGAGCCAGTCAGGTGCTGCCTGTGGAGATGTTTTTGTTTGCAGCATTTTCACACATATTTATTCAATAAAGCTTTTGTTTTACTGACATTGGAAAACAGCATACTGCATTATGCTGTGATTTTGAAGTGACAGTGCCAGTGGGACTAGGCTAAAAGATTTGAAGTGAATTGAGGCTGAAAACTAAAGCTTTGTTTTTGTTTAGTTAAGAAGGAAAGTTAAATTTAAGACTTTTTTTTCAACTCCTGCTCCCATCACTGGAAAAACAATAACAGCAAAAACAGCAAGAACGATAATAAGAACAACAACCAAACCAAACCTGTGACATCCTTGCACTATTATTAGTGCGAGAATGTCATTCCAAATATATTTCTCTATATTTCTGGGGGGAAATACAATTGTTACAATTTCTTCTTATGATAGGCAATACATATTTAATACTCATTAAGTAATACAACTTTAGTTATAACTTGGCCTTCTGAAAAGTGTCTGTTTAGGATAAAATGATACTGTATTCGTCTGTTTTCGCACTGCTATAAAGAAATACCCAAGACTGGGTAATTTATAAAGGAAAGAGGTTTAATTGACTCACAGATCTGCATGGCTGAGGAGGTCTCAGGAAACTTACAGTCATGGTGGAAGGGGAAGCAGGCATGTCTTACAGGGTGGCAGGTGAGAAAGAGCCCGGGAAGGAGGAAACCATCAGATCTTGTGAGAACTCACTATCGTGAGAACAGCATGAGGGAACACCCCCTTCCAACCATGATCCAATGACCTCCCACTAGGTTCCTCCCTCAGCATGTGGGGATTATGGAGATTACAATTAGAGCTGAGATTTGGGTGGGGACACAGAGGTAAACCGTATCAGATACATATTAGTGAAAACTGTGTCTGTTATCAGGGTTCCTGCAAAAAATGCAAATCATAATAGATTTCTTTCTCACAGATGAATTTGATACTTAAAACTTAGATGTTGAAAGAGTATGATGACAAACCAATTGTCGTGCAAATGTGCTCTATCTCTGCCCCCAGTGTTCTGATTGACTTTGGTATTCCAGGGAACCTCTTCAGGCCTTTAATTTCTTCATCTAATAGAATGATGTCAATTGCAATATTTCTTGTGTGTTCTAACACCTCCATAATCACTTTGTTTCAGATAATATGTAATGAAATTTTGTTTCTCATGTTTTATTTTTGTGCAAATAGACTATAACCTGAAAGTTATTATTCAGTAAATTTGAGTGAAAACATTACTGACTTTTGTATTCATGGAAGGATGAATGAAAGTAGTTTTAACAATGCTTCCATAGTTCTGTGTTTTTCTATCATAACACTCATGTTATCTGCTGATCATTTTATATGCCGTTGTCCTTCTCTAAATTCTACTGATTGCTTCTATTAACAATATGTTAAAGTTTCTTCAATCTTTATAAATAATTGACACACAATAATCATCATCTTCTTTCACTATTTCCTTTCAAATCCAAGAGTAATATTTCATAGTGCTGCTTCACTTACCTTTCATATTTTTCTAATTATTAATCAATAGTCACTATTCATTTTCCAAAAATACTTCTTAATGGCATTTGACCTTGTCAACTATAACCTCCTACCTTCTTGAAATTTGTTCTCCATCATTTCATTCTCAGTATTCTTTGTTGGCTCCTCATCTTCCACTAAACATAAGACTTCAGTGTTTTAAGGAGTTGAGGCTGGTCCTATATGCTTTCTCCCAGGCTTCTCATTCATACACTTGAGTTCCGTAACTATCAGGTAACTTATATGGCCCAAATCATTACCTGTAATCAAATCATTGCTCCTAAGTCGTATCTGTCTTCTAGTCAACTCTACTCAGACCCCACACTGGCACTTCAGTCTTAACGTGTTTAAAACAGAACCCATAGTATCTCTTCCCCAACTTTGCAAGTTAGATATCTATAAGCTTCTCAAACTTTTATCTCCATATTACATGCCTAACCAAGTCACTAGCTGCTACTCTATTTCAACTCTTAGAATTTACCCTTTTCCCTCTCTTAACTTATTGATATTGCTTTAGTGTAGACTGATCACTCCTCACTGGAACTATTATATGGGCGTTTAATCAGGTTTCTGTATACAGTATTTCTCCTTTTATCTATTTATCACAATGCAGTGGGAGAAATTATTAAAAACTACAGATCTGATCATGTATTTTCTCTACTTAACTAAAACCTTTTAATGTTTCCTGTTACCTTCCAGGTAAGTCCAAAAAACAGGTCATGAAAGATCTTTTTCTCTCCCTACCTACTTTTCTAAATTTATCTATTGAACTTCCCCCACCTGCCCACAGAAGCATCACTGCAAGCCTACACAATATTTATAATTCTCTAGTCAGTAGGCATCCTGTTTTAGATCTCTATCCCTACACTGTTTCCTTTACCTTTAGTATTCTTCATCCATGATCAGCCCAATTAACTCCTATTCATCCTGCAAGCCCCAACTACATGAATCTTTTAATAATACTCCCATAAGCACAAATCATTGTTTTTTTCTTTGCATTTCCAGTGCGTGTTCCATGCTACCTTGTTTAGAACTTGTTTATCTTCTGTTATCAAACATCTTTTATTTCTGCCTCAATCCTTAGTGCCAAATACTGTTCCTGATAAACAGTAGCTATTCAATACATGTTGGGTAATCAACGTACCACAGAAGCATTCCAGCAAATAGTTGAGAAGTATGATTATTAATGCCACAATGTTTGCTGAGGATTTTGTGATCTTACCTTGTGGCCCTTTCTTCCTATAAAAACAATCTTTGAAGAAAATCAAATAGAAATAGATTGGTATTAAAATCCTGAGGGATGGCCGGACGCAGTGGCTCACGCTTGTAATCCCAGCACTTTGGGAGGCTGAGGCGGGCAGATTACGAGGTCAGGAGTGCAAGACCAGCCTGACCAACACGGTGAAACCCTGTCTCTACTAAAAATACAAAAAAATTGCCAGGCATGGTGGCGTACACCTGTAATCCCAGCTACTCAGGAGGCTGAGGCAGGAGAATTGTTTGAACCCGGAAGGCAGAGGTTGCAGTGAGCCGAGATCATGTCACTGCACTCCAGCCTGGGCGATGGAATGAGACTCCGTCTCAAAAAAAAAAAAAAAAGTCCCGAGGGATTACGTGGCTGTTGATGGGAAAAGATCAAGAGGAGGAAGCTGGAGTATTTTGGGTACTTCTAAAGGGGAGATGGAGACCATCTGGAGAGGAGGATGCTCAGGAGTGAGTGCCAGGACAGAGATAAAAGTGAATGGAAAGGAAATGGTGGCTGAACAACATCAAAGAGGCATCCCTACTGCAAAACTGAGCAAATAACTGTGTACTTGCTCTGGCAGAGATACAAGTAGGTGGCATTGGATAATCTATTCTGATGGGTATGACAAGGACTAAACAAAGAGGTCATAATTTGATATAAGACAGCTTCCTTCAGTGTAGCAGGGCTTATGTGCTTAGGAAAAGGTAACATAAACCAACAGGTTATTTTCTGAGTTTCAGTTTTTCTTTATGTGCAAACGTATTGAAGTTTGAGTTTCCTAGCTTAAAAAACACTAACAAACTATTAATGTAAAATAGCCCTCCCTGATTAACAAGTTTCACTCTTTACTTTTTCAGAAAGATCTGTCTAACTAATACAAGGACACCAAGAGCATTATCTAGGTGATATTTCCCCCTTTCTGAAAGCAATCATTTTTGTCTTCTGCCACAGATTTTTCTTAGCAAAGCTCAGGTAGACCTGCGTGTGGACAGGAAATTCATGTGATCAAAACAAGATACTGTATCTGTTTGGCTCAGGGAAAAAAAAAACATACATACAAACATGCTCTTCAACCATTTGTTTATAATTAATTGCTAATGATAAGTTGAAAGCTTTGAGAGCAACAGGAAGTGTAAATAATATAGGAAGAAAAAAGAAAAGAATAGTGTTAATAATAACAGTTGCAGATGGTTAGAGTTTTCCTTGGAAAAGTATTGGTTTAAATTTCTGTTAAATCTTGCCAGATTTCGGGAGATTGTTTGATCTTAAGTAGAACATGTTGCCACTATTTCAATGATAGAAAATGCTGCTGAAACATTTGCAAAATAAAGATCAATACGCTGGAAATGTATGAGCTTATATGTTTAGGTGATAAATCCCTAAGTGCCATAAAGAAGTTACTTTTGTGTGGCTACATTTTCAGAAAATTAAGTTGCATCCTTCAAAGTATTCATACAACATCCATGGTTTAAACTGTAAATCTTCTTGGATGGAATAAGCCTTAGGAATAAAGATTTTCAAAATGCATGTAGACATGTATATTTTCTCTTACATACCTGCAACTAATTCTTTCCCTTATTCTTTTCTTTTCTTTTTTTTTTTTTTTTGGAGACAGAGTCTTGCTCTGTCACCCAGGCTGGAGTGCAGTGGTGCGATCTCGGCTCACTGCAACCTCCGCCTCCCAGGTTCACGCCATCCTCCTGCCTCAGCCTCCCGAGTAGCTGGGACTACAGGCGCACACTGCCACGCCTGGCTAATTTTTTGTATTTTTAGTAGAGACGGGGTTTCACTGTGTTAGCCCGGATGGTCTTGATCTCCTGACCTTGTGATCTGCCCACCTCACCCTCCCAAAGTGCTGGGATTACAGGCATGAGCCACCACACCCGGCCTTTTCCCCTTATTCTTTAAACAATAAAAACAAAACCACAAAATGCAAGTCAGTAATTAATATTGGTAGTGATCTAGATAATGAGAGTTTTTTAGTATAGTTACAAACGAAATATTTGAGTATGCTCTGTAGATGCTTCGTTGGTTTATAGCTTGTTGTTTCACATAATTGTGAAATAGTGAAACATTTATCATTGTGTTAAAGTTAGAGCTATTTGGCTATTTAAGAAATTTTAGAAAATGATGAAATAACTGTCTCATTCCAACTTGAGAAGCAGTTACTCAATGAGAATATGATACTGAAACCAATGAAAGTTAATGTGTGAGTGGTGAGATAACAAAAAAAAAGAAAAAGAAAAAACACAAGCCGAACAACAACAAAATATTATCCAATAATGTTTTAGCTACCAATATAGATTTTTCTATTGATATGAGTAGAGGGTGGGCATTTAAAGTCACTTTCACTTTCAGATCAATCCTATTTTGGTTTATTTCCAAATCCAAATAAAAACAATAAGGTTCACCTATTGGCCAGTGATTTATTAAAGAATCTGACGATGTATCTAGAACAACTTAGAAGGCTGTTTTATAGGGAGTTATTCTAAAGAAATTATTTGGAAGTTGTCCGTCTTGAATTTACAGCCAAAATTTTTATTCCCTTTGTGATCTAAGTGGAATAGATCCATCTTCTGCTCCAATTACTGGTCAATATGTCAGTCAGATCAAATGCCACTAATAAGATGCTAAAAAGTGCTTTTGAGGAACATAGGGATTTCTTTAATAAGGCGTGAAGTATTTTTTAATCCGTTTCTTCCTTGTTAAAAGCCTATGATTCTCACAGATTGTTCTGTCATGATGTGGTTTTGATCCTTTATGAGAAGGAAAAACACATGGTGGAATTCTGAAATATAAAGTTAAAAATTGAGTCCAGGTAGCCTCCTCAATAGCAGCCCTACTTGAAATCTTGCGTAATAACACGATCCCTTCTGGAAGTACTGTGACGAGCAAAATGGGGAAGATTTTTAAGGAAGCCTGTGAAAATATGTGGAAAACTCTTTTCTTTATGAATTAAATTTTCAGTACTTGCTTTTGACTTATAAAGAATTAGGTTTCTCATATTCTGAATAAAGTCCACAAACTCCAGAATACCAAACCAATGAGTAATCATGGGAACTCTATAAAAAAACAAAGATAATGTTGCCCTGGAGAAGAAACTGCCTTTTTTAAAAAAATTTATTTAATGTGAAATATCATTGCTTCAGGGCATAAAAGCAAAATGACCAATCTCTGAATATTTCCAGTTCCCTCATTTATCTCATTATTTATCAGTCTTTCTTCCCATCTGAGCACAGCAATTAAAATAAATTTAATTCCATCATAGCTAAATGGAATAGGTACAACAGTGAGAAACATCCTAAGAGCAATAGCAAGGGATAGAGATAGGTAGTGGGTGGTGACAAGATCATAGCCATCTGCCCGCTGCATGGAAAATGAATTGGAGAAGGGTTGGGGTGGGGGGGTGAAACTAGAACAGATAATGTACTATCACGGGCCTCTACATGTGGCACAGTGGTGGCTTGGATTAGGGTGGTAGAATTGGTGATAGAATTGAAATTGAAAAATACTTCATGAGTAAAGGTGTAAGGCATTATGTTGGGTTGGATATAGGGCCGGAAGTCATGAGCATTGCTTTATATTCTTCAGTAGATGGGAGATAATACTGGAAGCAGGTCAGGTTGGAGTGAAGAAGATATAGGGATAATAATAACAAGCTGGTTTGGGACATTTGGAGCATACTAAATCTTTTTCTCCTTTCTGTTCCATATTCCATCCACATTGTCATGTCCCCATAAAAGGTAAATAAAGAACCACCGAGGGTGTGACCCATATCACTCTATTTAATCTCAGACTGGCAGAAATATTAAAATTATATTTCCTTTATGTGTGTATGTGTCTATAACACACAGATAGACACACCTAGCTATGTACATCCCTATTCTGTCTGTGTAGCATCATGATGAAAACAAAACAAAACAAAATTCCGTATTTCTCAACATCCCATCACTGTTATGTTAAAGCATTGAAAAATTTCATCGTGGTGCTTTTCTCAATTAATATTTATAGAGTTGATTTTATGACTCTCTCAACAAAGTGACCAAAATATTAGTTATATTTACAATAGTTATAAATAAGTGCTTAGATCCAAAATCACACAGGAAAAGTCTTTGTCTTATTTTGTGTCATATTCTCCTTCCTCCTTGTCATTAAATAAAAATCTCAATAACTGTCATTTAACTAATGGTTTATATAGGGAGCCTTCTTCTTAGAATTGCCAATAGTCAAATAGATCTTGATAGCACTTAATTTTGAGTATTTGGGTGCAAGAAGTTCCACAAATGGCTTTTCTACTCATATTTTTAAGGGTTTCCTTCTCTCTTCCAGAGACTGTTTCTTCTGCGTGAACTGTAAAAGGACCTCTTATGCTTTATCTTCAAGCCCAGCAATGAATGTAAGGTTCAGAAAATTTGACAGATATCCCCCTCCACGACTTATCTTTTAAATGAAAAATAAATTTAAGAGCAATACCAAATGATTTTGACCAAGTTTGGAAAAAAATGTACTTGTTTAGATCTGTCTTTGCTGGCAAAATGATGGAAATTTGTGGTAAATATTTGAATACCATTAAGAAAACCTAATTTGAAGATTCAGGCTCTCATTGTCTACTATATGATGTGCCTGCTCCTTGGCAGAGCATTTAAAGTGTTCCATAGCATACCACCAGGCTACTCTTCTATCTTTATCCTTGTCCATGAGACAAATGAAACTGCTTGTCATTCTCTACTTTTCCTAATTATGTTCTCTAGACCTGAAATCTTTTGCTGTCTTACCAGATCACTTTCTTTCTCACCTTTCGTTCAAAACTCTCGTATTCAACACTCTCCAAATTTTGATGACTTTTCTTTCAAGGCCTGTCTCAAATGCTATTTCCACCATAACAGTGTTTTGCTATTTTTCTTAAGGCATTTTTCATAATTTGCTACTTTAACTTTGTAAAACTCATGCTTATTCCTGTATTTGTTACTCTGCTTATTGTAGTGACTTGCACATGTCATGCAATCAGTAAATATTTTTTGAATTAAGTTGAATCACCCCTGCTGACAACTCCTATTTACGTAAGACATTGGGAAATTATTCAAATCACAGAATCATCTTGTTTGCATCGACAAAGGTAGTCTACCGGGCTCTCTCCATTATATTGCCTCATTAGGCCTCATTCACCAAACATGAGTTGAACACCTACTAATTGCAGCATGCTGTGTTGCTCTGTCCTGTAAACAGGACCACGTATAATTACATAATCATACATCAGGAAAAATATATAATTATGTGCATCTCACATATTCAAAATAACTTTCTAAAATAAAATAATTAGACTAACTTGATATCAATTAAATCTTGTCCAAATAAAGACTGAATATTCAGCTTTGTTCAATCTCTTGTGAATGCTGATAAAGAGAGTCAATCTTTCCACTTGAGAAAAACAATTATCACATATCTAACCCAGGCACTCATTTATTCAATAATTTTCTCTACCAAAATTCATACGTAAAGAAAAATGTGTTTCATCTCAGCACCTTGGTTGGTTTTCAAAGACGCTTATTAGGATTTGGTTTCACAGTCTCTGATTTTAGATAGGTCTCTTAGGATTGGTTATAAGAGCTGAAGCCTCGGAGGCAGCAAACAATTGTGGAAAATCTGTGAAGTAATGTTGTCCTTGCAACATTTTCCGGCCTACTTTTCAGGACCCATGGGATTCAGATAAGCACTAAGTGTGTGTCCAAAAAAAACCACTGAGGTTTTTAAGCCACTGTCCATCCTTAGTATAACTTTTTCATGAAAAATTAACTTAATAGAATACACTCTTTTTCCATGATTAAAAAACTTAAGAGATCAGGGACTACCTGGGCATGTGTGATCTGACAATTCACTGTTTTAATTTAAAATGTCCAGGCAGTATTGCATTCATAAAATGACCGCACTGATATGTAAGCCAAAAAGCATAAGAAGTGCATTATGGGTAAGAAGTTTATTTTTGTTATTCTTTTGAAATCTTCAGCTGGTATTAAAAACAGATCTTTTGAGCTAGAACAACAGTCGTACAGGTAGACTTCCTACTTTTGGAAAAGATCTGGTCTTTAGCTTATGGGAACCGAGCCGAAGCAGATGTGAAAAGTTCAACTAAAGGAAGAACAGATTAAATGCACTTTTGTGGTTGAAAAACCAAAACAGATGTTATTATTAAACCACAGAAACCTGGGTGCATTTAAGTAACACTAGGTGTCTGAATTTTACATTTGTATTTAAAATAATTAAGGCATTTTAAAGCCACAGAGGCTATTGTGTGCTATCAAACTCTTAATGTTCAAATCAAAAAGTTTGCATATTAAAAAACTCTCAGAAATATTGAGTGTCTGCCATTGTGTTTGTCATCATCTGAAAATGAGAAAGAAAGCATCTGACAATTAAAAACAAAACCTTTTGGTGATGTTTACATTATTTTTCAAAAGCATTTTGAAACCATTCATTTGTGTACTTTTGTTTTTTACATCTTTAGATAGCAAGCAACCCTGAAATGTCTAGATTACTGTTTTTACAATGTAAATCTTAGAGAGATTAAGTCACAGAACAGAATTAAGATGTTGCCAATATATGAATTCACAGGCCGTTGTTCCACTAACTGGAATACTTCCCTACTCATGACAGCCTCTACCATGGGATACAAAATGGTGTGGGAAAGCAAATACAAATCAAAATTGTCCCACACATTCATGCCTACACTTTGATATTTAATTTTGAATTTCTCCATAAATTTTGTTCTAATATGCCCTCTCTCTACTTCAATCCAAAGAGGTTAAAAGTCCAAATCAAAAGCTGTTGTCCTGTGAAAAATCCTGTACTAGAGAAAAGCCAACAGAGAGAGAGGGGGGGTGGAAAAAGGAAAGGTAATAGTGATTCATTTCATAGTTAGATGCCCTCAATCATTAATCTAGATATGTTCTACACACTGGGCCAAAAGGGATGCATTTAGATAAAATGGACCTTAAGGATGTAATCTTTTACCTCTATTTGGAAAAATAAGTGTTGCATAATGTGGGATGATTTATGAAAGAGCTGGGAGGATGCCAAGCTTCTATATTATGTAGTCTTTGAGTATTGGAAGTGGAAGAATTTTTATTAATTATCCATTCCCATTGGAAGAATTCTCTTTTCCACTCTGGATCTCAAATTAGGAAGGAAATGAGGGTGACTTATAAATTGTTTTGGATTTTTTTTTTTTTCAAATCACACATGCTTTTTATCTCTACATGCTCTTTTAGAAAGTTCTCTGAGATGATCCTGACTCCCACCCCTGGTTCTCGCATTCTGCCACCCCCTCCTTGAGAATCCCAGCTTTTTAACATTCAAGGTGGGACTGACTACTTCTTCAGCTGATCACTCTAAGCTATTAATGATATGGCCAGACTGCTACAACCCCCATAATTTATACAAGACTTTGTATCATCATTTTGGTTACATGTTGAACTCATAATATTTTAGATAAAATTTTGTTAATTAAATGTGCTCTCATAATTTCATGTTTCTTTTACATTTTAAAAATGTGACTACTAGAAAATTTAAAATGACTTATTTGGCTTACATTTGTGGCTTGTATTATATTTCTGTTGGACACCTCTGCTGTATCTGGTAAAGAAAAGGATAGTGAGAGAAATATGTGACTTCTAGGGGAAAATGATATAATGCATCACTTTACTCTGAGCCACACTCCACCATTGGTGGCAACAGTTTTTAATATGTGTGGAAAGCATTTAAAAACAAGTTAGGTAGTTAGCAATTCTTGGAAGAAATAATGGACAAGATCCCAGAGCAAGCATCTTTCAGTTGATCGGGCTAATCGTGATGGAGAGGAGAGATGGCAGTTCAGCAGGGATGCTGTGAGGGGAAGCCCCTGCCGGGCATCAGCACTGTGTGTAGGGACTAGTTACCTATGGATGGAGTAAGCTGCACCCCCCAAGGAAGGTGCATTCTAGTTAAGACTTAGATGTGGATAATCCAGTGTATGGAGTTCTTTTGAGAAACTGTAAAAGGGAGAAACAAGAATACAGGGGAGAGGTGAAACTTTCTAACAATTAGAAATCATTTATTAATGTTTAAATTTCATAAATATCCATTTAACCTCTTTTGAGGTCTATTTAAGCCTTTTTCTAGTCTGGGGAGGGAACAAGAGGGAAAATAAAAACTTCTCTCTATATCCATGATGTTTGCATTTAAAGAAAATAGAAAGATGGTAACAAGCAGACAAATTATGTCAGGTTTTTTTTTGTTTGTTTGTTTTGTTTTTGTAAAGAAAATAGAACAAAAAGATAAAGAGTGAGGGCATGTTGATTTGGAAAAGGTGGTTAGGAACCCCTTTTTGAGGCAGTGACCGTTAAGCACAGACCTGATGGAAGTGATAGAACAAATCAAGCAGATAACTGTGGAAGATATTCCTGGCAGGAGAGCAGCCACTCAAAGCCCCTGAAGCAGGAAACTGCCCTGAGTGTGTTTGAGGAATAACAAGGGACCAGTGATGCTATAGAGCAGTGAGTGACTGAGAGAGTGCCAGGAGGTGAGACTGCAGAGAGAATTGGGAATCTGACTTATCCTTGGAGAGATCGGGTCTCCAAGGATAAGCGATGGCCAGCCTCTGTAGGGCTTTGAGCATAGTACTGATATTATCTGGCTATGTTTGAAAGGATCCCTCTGACATTTAAGTGGAAACACAGATTCTAGGGAAGCAAGGGGGAAGAAGCACTGGTGAGGAAGCTGTTTGAATAGGCTCGGTGAAAGCTGGTCATAGTTTAGAGGGCTAGGAGTGGAGGTGGTTAGAAGTGGTTAAATTTAAAATAAAGGCGTTTCCGACTTACCATTGTTTGACTTACAATTTGCAAACTTTACGATGGTATAAAAGTGATACACATTCAGTAGAAACAGTATTTTTGAATTTTGATCTTCTCCCAGGCTAGAGAATGCAGTACTACACTCTCTTGCAAACCCACAGTTCCCAGTAAGCCATGTGATCACCAGGGGAAACAACTGATACTCTATAATGTGGAGATGCTCCTCAACTTACAATGGGGTTACATCCCAATAAACCCATCCTAAGTTGAAAATATCATAAGTTGAAAATGCATTTGATAAACCTAACCTACCGAGCATCACAGCTTAGCCTAGCCTACCTTAAATGTGCTCAGAACACTTATATTAGCCTATAGTTGGGCAAAACCATCAGGCAACACAGTGCACTCTAGAGTATCTGTTATTTACCCTAGTGGCCACATGGCTAGGAGCTGTGGCTCCCTGTTGCTGCCCAGCATCATGACAGAGTATTGCACTGAATTTTGCTAGTCTTGAAAAAGGTCAAAATTCAAAATTTAAAGTTCAGTTTCTGTTGAATGCCTATTGCTTTTGTACCACCATAATGTTGAAAAACCATTATAAGTCATGTACCATCTCTACTGCCAGATGATTTTTCCCAACTATAGGCTAATGTAAGTGTTCTGAGCACTTTTAAGGTAGGTTAGGCTAAGCTATGATAGTTTAGGTATACTAGGTACATTGTTGACTTACAATATTTTCAACTTAAGATGGATATCAAGACATAACCCCACTGTAAGTCAAGGAGCATCTGTATTTCATGAATTTGAGCCAAAGGCTTTTCTTGATGGGTTGCATTTATAGACGAGGGAATGAAAATAATCAAGAATAAACCCCAAATTTGGGCCTCTATAGCTATAAAAATGGAATCACCATTTATAAAGACAGAGAAATATGTAATAGATAGTAATAAACCAAAGATGCATATTGTAAATCACAGGATATTTGCTAAAGGGATAGCTAAAGAATGAATAGCTAAGAAGTTAATAAAGGAGAATACCAAACGATGAAAAATATTTGATTAATCAAAAAGAAAAAGCAAAAATGAGAAAAAGTCTAAAACAGGTGGATTAAATACAATAGAAAACAATATGGTACAGACTTAAATCCAAATATATGCAATTCCTTTAAATGGACAAAATATTCCATTTTAAAAATCTAAGCTGACAGAATGACTTCAAAATATAAATTGAGAAGGAAACTGTGGAGTAGGAACAGGTATAGATGAATGAAAACGAGTGTTCAGTTTGGAATGTATCAAGTGGAGAGGATTCCTTGACTGTGGAATATTGAATTCTGGAGTTCAAGAGAGAGGTCAAGGTTAAAAATGTCAATTTGAATCCCCAGAATTTTTGAACAGTTAAGAGTCAGCCTCTCGAATTTGTGTTTAGATAAACAGTGACTAGGTGACAAGTTAAATAACTATTTGGAAGACATGTTTCAAAACATTACTATTACTCGTATTAGCAAACTTGTCCAATTTCTTTCATTTTAAGATTCTATAAACGATCAAACAAGTATTTCACTGAGAGAGAATTCAGACCAGTTGGTGACTCCAGTTGTTGCCAAATTTGTAGTCTACCATTATAAGATGAGTCCATGATCCTTCCCGGTGAACTATCTCATTTCTTCAGAATAAAAATTTCTTTATTTTGTTTCATCTAAATCATATGAAACAACTCTAAAGCCTATTAGCCTTCAGCTCCTTTCAAGGGGCTCCAAATTGCCCTCAGACTCATTCATTTACTTTACTAAATGCCACTGAGACAGTCACTGATAAATTTTATTTTGTTAAGATTTTACTTTTGTTAAAAATATTTTAAGAGTTTTAAATATATATTATATATAAATATATAGTGTGTGTTTGTGTGTGAATAAACAAGGGGATTCAAATTTTTTAATCCCTGCCTTTTGTTTCTTCCTGATCACTATCTTTCTAAATGTATCATTAAAAGTAAAATGCGAAAATATTTTTCTACTGTGAAGTTGTTTTTGATTAGCATATGGATTATTATTATTATTCTAACATAGAGTTCTCACCACTATAGCTCTTGCTTTTTAATTCATATCCAACAGGTAGTCTTTTTTAAAAAACTTATTTAGGTATTTGCCCCTCTGAATGAACTAATATTTCAGACATAATTCTGCAACTTTTTACTTGACTCTATTAAATGTCATCTTCATTTGCAGCCACAATTCTAGATTCTCGAGATGTTTGTATATTAACTCTATATTCTGAAGCAATAGCTCTCTTTTAAGCTTTATGTTATGAAAAATAAATATGCTTCCTTCTGCATCTCTTAATCCAAGCCATTTACAAAAACTCTGTGCAGAAATGAGAGAACGGAAGCCCACATCATACCATATCAAGTATGCTTCTTCTCTAGTACACATTGATCAAATGTCTCTAGGTGCATTTCATTGGAGACACATTTATCTTACATGAATCACATCATGTATTCTCTGCAAATAGGAGCTGGAGAATTGAGAGAGGTAGAGAATAGGAGAGGACACTGTAAATAATAGAGGCTATTCTTCCCTACATTCTATTCAATTGATGCTTACCTTGTGATTTGGTTCTCATGAAATTACTATTTTTATATCGTTCTTAGTTTGATCATTTTGTCAAGCTGAGTGTGATTTTAGTTAAAATTTTTTTTGATATGCAATATAGCTCATAAACATGAGCCAAACTTCTTCATATAATGCTCAATCATAGAAAAAATGATTAGTTTCATAGCTGGAGGAAAAACTGCCTGTATTGTTCTTATTGGGACACATTAAAAACAATTTCAAGGGCAATTTTGACTGCACATTACTACTATGCTACAAATAAGATATGAAACCTTTAAGATATGACTCGTCTTAACTGTCCCATAATTTAACCTACAATCTCTATCTTATCAATAAAGATAGGATGTGTAATTTCTGATGGGAATCAAGAAGTATTATTTTGCTTTTTCTTAATCTCCCAAACTAGAAACATTCCTTTAAAATGAAGTTAGTGAAATGTTACTTGTTATCTGTAGTAACAGATAGCCTATCCTTTTCTATTTCTATGTGATCACAAATTTTATTTTGTAACCCATCTATCTTTTAATATATTCTAGAATTCCCTTAACATTGTGTAGATTTTCCCATGTTCAGATATTCTGGCTTGAATTCAGGGGGCAATAATAGATACTCCTTAAGTGTGGTTTTAGTTCTTATCCTGCAAAGTGCTTAGCACCAGTCTTTCCAATTTCTGCTCCTGCAGCTTCTCCTCTTCATAAACCAAATTTCATAGTGCCTTCAAGGTCCAGGCAAAGATTCAGCATTTTCATAACGTTTTCTCTGAATAGTAATGCCCTATGGTAAGAATTTCCTCTCATAATGTACTCATCATGTGTAAAATAATCATTCACTATTAAAACAAATGTTGTTTTATAATTGTTCCTGTATTTATTCAGTAAATATGCAGTGAACATTTACTATAATCCAAGCATGTTAGGTACTGTGATAGAACAGTAGCAAAATAAAGTCTCTTACAGTCTAGTCTAATTGTAATGGTAGTACATTTAAAATGTATCCACAGTCAAGTAAAGTGTGGTTTAATATAGAGAAGGCCTGGATTCCATAAGAGCATGCATATTGTTTTCTTTGATTCTACATTGGAATCACCCTAAAACGTTTTAAAACACACCAGTGCCTTGGTCTAATGTATGTATTCTTATTTACTTGGTGTAGAACAGACCTGAGACATGAGTATGATGAAGGTGCCCTAGGTAATTCTAATATACAGCTAGAGTTGAGAGCTACTGGGCCTCACTTCTGCTGAAGCCTGCTGCAGAGGCTTAGTTTACTGGATGCTCACACGTGCCCCTCTGGCCAACCATCAGTACCTTATTGGGCTTATTGGGCTTTTCCACCTTTCAGCAAAAATGGTAATAGTCAACGCCTTTTTTTTTTTTTTTTTTTTTTTTTTTTAAGATGGCTTGCTTTTATCCTCATTTTTTTGGTAGGATCTTTGGTACTACCAGTAAGGAATAAACCTGTGGATGCTCTGCTTCATAGCTGCCAGGAATAGCAGCCTTTGGAATTCTTCATTTATAAGTCATCTAATCAATTGAAGATCAGGCATCTGTAATCTTCATCCTCAGATAATGAATAACATCCATTTTATTTCTTTTACCAGCCCCTTTCAGTGTGATATGTTGGCCGTTAAGCTTTGTCTCCAGCTTTTCTCTAATTTTAAAGATGGTTTTCTGAGTCCAGCAATAATTTTTAATTTTTTTGAGTAAAAAATAAGAAATTCTGTGTGTATGATAGATAGAAAAGGATGAATAGTGTTGCTAATTAACCAGATCCACGCTACCAAAGAAAAAATTGGAGGCATTTATGCCAAGTCAGGCCAAAAATAATATTGTTTAAGGTACACAAGTAATTGAAGAATCAAGTTTTTCCTCCATCTGCCATGTATCTGGGTAATTGCCTTATTTCCCCACCATTTATCACACTTTCCTTTTAATTTTGCTGCATAAACATCATGGCCTTACCTTTTGTAGTATTGTTTTTTTCTTTAACTACATACTGATCAAAGGTTTAAAAAAACATGACTATAATCAGCATCATTACTTAAAAGGTAAAATTATTAAAATATAGTAATTCACTAGATAGGACAACGCAATTCAAAGCACCAAAAAGATAACAGGTTTAGCAAAACGGGCATATGTTAGTGATTATGCAATCATTTATTTCCCACAGATGTCTTTTTATAGGAAACTTCGGAAAATCCCAGAAGAACTGACCGAGTCATTTAAACCACAACAGGTTTCTTTCAACATCAAAACCATGGGTACGAGTGGGCGAGGAATTTTTTTTTTTTAAGGCAGGGACAGCCTGGTTCTGACCGTGCAAAGCTGTGGCTTTGCCTCCTATGGGCGCCTTGTGAGCAGCAGATCCGACTTCCTCCTCAAACCAAGTTATCCTGAAAACACCCAAGCAGAGGAAGCATTTTTTCACCATGACATGGGAAAGGGCCACAGGGATCCAAATGGAAACGGACATTTCATGTGAGTGACTGTGTCTACCCCACCTTGGCTTCTTGCCTAATGCAACAGACACTTAGGTGGCTGAAGAGGGAAATTTTTGTTAAAGTGAATCCAGCTCTGAGTTGGACACACAGCTTTTTGACTGGCGGCCGAGTTCCTTGTGCTAGCTGGCAAAATTAGCAAATTTTTCTTTTAGTTGTTGTTACTGGGTTTTTGAAAATGCCTCATTTCCTGGTAGCAGTTTTCTTTCTCTAGGAGATAAAGGGAAAGATCTCTTCTATCTACACCACATTAACACTTCTATCATCTTATAAACTATTTTCTCAACCAGGCATCCCCTGAAGACTCACTCTGGCAGTCCATGGCCTCGTGACAGCTGGCTTATAGCCATATGGTCTCAGAAAAGTCCTCCCTTCCTTGAGTGTGTGTGTTGATGGGAGTCTGTTTGCCATCATCAGAAGGTTCATTGTATGTGTATGACTATGGGGCTGTATGTGTGTGTATGTGTGTGTGTGTGCATAAGGGGTGTGCAGAGTGCCTAGTTGTAAGCTTTAAAGCATTCTCAAATAATACAATAGAGAAAACTAGACACTACAGTGACACTACTTCCCCTGTTGCTTCCTAGGGAGTAACATGTAATCTCTTGTGATGGGCCAACTATTATATTGATGTCATACACATCACTGTGTTAATATGAAATAGGCAGTCTTTTACACTGGTGGCAGAGTGAATTTACACAATCTTTCTGGATGGCATTGTAGTACTACAAGTCAAGAACTTTAAAATTGTCATATTAGGAATTGATTTTAAGGTCATGTTCGTAGGTGTACACTAAGATTCATTAGGTAAGATTTTTGTTGCCAGAGAAAAAGTGAAAACAACTTAAATGTCCAACAGCAGGAGAACAGTTAATCAGCTACAGCATGTTCATCTAATTAAAGATTTTGCAGTTGTGTTTTTAAAGAATATCCAATGATATGGGGATAAGGTTTTAACTAATGTAGAGTGAAGGGAAAAAAGAATAAGAAACTAACACAGTTTTGTGGCAACTTCCTTTAAATATATATGTATTCTTCTATAGAGTAAATCACTAACAGCAAATATACTAAAGTTGTAGCAGTGATTTTCTCTATAGATTGGCATTCCATGTAGGATGGACGGATAGATAGATAGATGACAGATAGGCTAGATAGATAGATATTATATAGAGAAAACTTTTTCTTGTAATGAGGAAAATGCAATTTATTAGACATATAAAAGAAAAATGTTTACCCAATCTATAAATATTTCAAAGTATGAACATATCTAATGTTAAAATATATTTAATAAAACATTTTTCTTTCATAGGTCTAACCACCACAGAAGAGAAATTGTTTAAACCCCAATAAGAAATCCTAGATAGGGCAGGCCAGGTGCAGTGGCTCACGCCTGTAATCCCAGCACTTTGGGAGGCTGAGGCCGGTGGATCACGAGATCAGGAGATCGAGACCATCCTGGCTAACACGGTGAAACCTCGTCTCTACTAAAAATACAAAAAATTAGCCTGGTGTGGTGGTGGGCGCCTGTAGTCCCAGCTACTCGGGAGGCTGAGTCAGGAGAGTGGTGTGAAGCCGGGAGGCGGAGCTTGCAGTGAGCTGAGATCACACCACTGCACTCCAGCTTGGGCTACAGAGTGAGACTCCATCTCAAAAAAAAAAAAAAAAAAAAAAAAAGAAATCCTAGGCAGGGCAGAGGTTTAGAGACCAACTAGTCACGCTCACTACTTTCACAGTAAAGAAACAAGAAGCACAGAGAGGTGATATTTCGTCTATTGTAGTTGTAGCTGGTTTATGATAAAGTCAGAACATGTCCTAGCACAAGTCCATTCCAAGAAACTGAATGCATATAATTCTTAATGTTGTTCTTTGTTTACATTAAGTCATTGATTTTGACTTGAGTTTTGATAATTTGGTTGGCATATTTACCCACCAAATGCTCAACTGTCTCTTGTATTGTGGTTCATTTAATCTTCTGAATTCAAAAAGATTAACACAACATTGACAGTAGCCTTACACTTTATGCGGACAATGTCTGACCAGCCTTGATATGTAGCAGGAGTTTCTGTGTTTGAACCTGTAGCTATTTATGCATTTGCGTTTTAACATGGATGATGTTGAATTACAGACTGCTTAATCAAAAATGCAAGGAAAATAAACCAAAATAAATGATTTTCGATCCAGTAAGACAAGTTCTTTTAGTAAGGTATTTTTTTTTCCTACACGAAGTACAGAACCTTGTAAGAATTCAATAAATACTTGTTGACTGCATTAATAAATGCATGATGTTTGGAAGCACTTCCCTGGTGGTATAGAATTATAATAGTTAGAATTGGCTGCAACATTTAAATAATTCTTTAAATTGATGGAATTGAGATGTCCTGAATTACAAGAATAGATTATTTTGGTTTAAACTCTTCTATTTCACAATATGTAGGTCTTATGTTACAAATATTAACTATGAAAACATTACATAATATTACCTGGTATTCCAACCTTCTCACAATTGAGACAGTGAATATTTACAATTTCTAAGTAGAGAATATTTAAGGTAATAAGTTCTGAATAATATTTATTAACTATATTTAAATGATCCATCTGTTTATTAAAAACTTAAGTCTTTTGGAAATCACTTTATAAATGCAATTTTAATTCTTTACCATATCCATAGACCACTGCTTTCTTAAGAAAAGAGATTAAATGATTCAGGTTTAGAGAAACAAATTACTGTGCTAATCTTCAGGTATTTCTCTTCTTGATGCAGCCGCTAATGTCTAATCGGAGCAGCACAGGCCCTATCACAGTAGTTTTTTCATTAGTGCTCCACTGACTTATTTGTACAGGATTTCAAATCTGGTGTAAGAGACATACTAACCTTTAGCATTCATACAAAGCTTTCAGAAACCCACTGGCTCTTCTAAAATAACCCACAGAATCGGCCTTCTGCAGACTTAGGTGGTGCCACCATTCAGAAAGACTCCAAATGTAATACTGGAGCGAATGGTGGCATTTATAGACTTGTTTTTAAGGTTCCTAGAAATAAAGAGCCAGGTTTCCCTATGACATGAACTATTGAGAAGCCCGGAGGAGGATGGGTGGATCTGTCCCACAGTGGTAAGGTGTTTAGCTCGACCTGATTTTTTTTTTCTTACAAAATTGGTAAGTATAACTTAAAAGCCAGGTTTCCAGCTTTCTTTGATAGTTGGAGATCTGACAAAACTGGGTTCTCTTCCTCTCTTGGCACTAACCTGCTCGTGCTGGGTAGAGGCTGCCTCTAGATGAGGCAGGTGCCCTTTAATTTGCCACACTCTGCCTCTGCCCTTGCCTGCTTCATGCATCTATTAATACATTTCCTGCTCTGTCAGTATGGACATTATTTTTTAACCTCTGTCAAAGAACGAAAGCATTGTTGGTGCTTCCTTCTGCTCTAGGTGTGTTTCATAACTTGACTCAACATTTAATTCCATATTGCATTAGAAAGTACACTGAAATTTCAATAGGTAAATTTCTTTTATATCTTTTTAAGTCTGAATTATTATAAATGTTCTGCATTTATTTTATATATTTTTTTCTGCTTTTAAGGAAACGATGAAAGTCTTCCTAACCAGTCTTTCTCGCTATTGCAGTCTTCGTTGCTCTCCCTGTTTTCTGAACTCTTATAGCATTTATTCTCTCTACCTAATAATTTAGCTCTTAAGATTGGCTCTATGATGTTCTAAAATTCTATTGAATGTGTTAAACCTTTTTCTCCATGACGGGCAGAGATAATGCCTTTTACTTTCCTGCTGTCGTAGAGCCTAGCAAAGTTCTGATACACAGCAGATCTGAAGTATGCTTATTGGTTAAGTATTTTCCAATTTCATACGATTTAACCTAAAACATTAATTTTCTTTAGCACAAAAATCATGTATATGGCAAGTCAAATAATACCAATTTCTTTTTCATGTCTTTAAAAAAGAAGTATTTCTAACAAATGCATAATGTAAAAATCTAAGTTCTTGCCCTGAATTTCTATTGCCTTATACATTTCTTCTTATCACTACTGAGGCAGTGTTGTCCTCTTTTAATTTCTCTATTAACTTTAATTAGGCTCATGAGTTTGCTGGCCAGGTGGGTTTTCCCCAAACAGTCACAACTCCATATTCCAGGCTAGCAATAGACTTACATTAAGCTGCAGATTTGAAGCAGAATCTAACATTATAAGCTGTAGAAGGTGCCAGTGCCACCACAGCTCATTTTGTCCACTGAGGATTTCAGCAGGCAGCACTTTTAATAAGCCAGGCTCGGCATTTTTCAAGGAATACTTTGGGATCCATTTTTGAAAGCAATATTGGTTATGATTCCATTGCTGGAAGATTTCCGAGAAAATAACGTTTGTCCTCTTGAAAGTATGCTTGGTTCATACAGCATGAAGAATACAAACAGTTCTGAGCAACGGGTTCTAAATTTTACCATAACATATCTCTCACAGGTAATTTTCCAACCGCATTGTAATGGGAGCATGATAGAGTAGTAAGAATTAGTTCCATTTTAATCTTTTATTTTATTTTATTTTGTCTTTTAAGAAACATATACTTGCCTACGTCACTTATATATTTTAGTGCATTAACATAGATGTTGTTTGTAAGTTTCTTATGAAAAATAGTTACAAAGAAACAAAACAGAACTGAAAAGCTTCCTGTGATTCTACAGGGCATTAGATCGTCTCAGGTACTGGCTGCTGGTTTAATAAAAGGATAGGATTTCCATTTACTCCAGGCAGGCTTAATGTATTGTTCTCGGAGTGAGACAGTCAGAATGAGTCAGGAGCCAAAGAATACACTTTATAGACACAAATAATCGTAAATTCAGAATGTCACCTTTAGGCAGAGGCATTTTTATTATTGTTAGTGGAGCTGCTGAGTAGGTTTGATGTTTTATTCTCTTGAGGACTCAATGTTCCCGAGTCCTGGAGCCCTGTCTTTATCAGGCTCGCAAGGAGGGAGCCCAGCCAAACTTGCTTCCTATACTTCTCTATGATTGATAGCAGATGGCATGCTTTAAAATAAACCTATCCATTAGCAGTCCTCAGTGTTTTTACTCAAGGCATTTACAACTGTCTCAAGCAGAAAACACATTCACTCCATGAGCTAGTTTCAGTCCACAACAGCTGTACAGGTGCAAATCTCTCATTAACTCTTAAATAGTAGTAAAATAAACAATGGCTTTTCTCTTACTTTCTTTAAGGGAGTATACTTCAAAGCTGCCGTGGAATTACTCTCCTCCACAATGGAGCTTCAATGGATGGAGGTTTATTAAAACTGAGCTATATTATGCAATGATATGCTTGTCCCAGGAATTCATATCTTATGTGCGTGTTACAGTTTAAAAGTTTCTTTCTATGCTCACAGATTTAGTGGTAAATTACCATTCTCACAGGGGTGTTTCTGAAGAGGCAGAAAAGAAAGGAAAACTCAGCAAGTGTCCCCAGCAGGGCTCAGGTGCCTGGTTTCATGCCTCTGAACTCAACATGTCATGGTGTCATCCTCCTCACCTCCCTCTTCCTGCTCGCAAAGAGAGTGTTCATGCTGAGCTTTTACCAGTATGATGAGTTAATGGTTTATTTTTAGGCAGCCAGTGGATTTCCTTGCATATTGGTAATTAGACAAAAGCAAAGTCATTTTCAAAATTAATTTTTTACCGATACTGAACACAGGTGAGAGGGTTGGCCTCAGGACTTTGATTTGCACTCAAGGGGAGGAAAAAAAGCTTTGTCATTTGAAGAGTATAATTGTTCAAACAGAACTTACCTTGTGCCAGGTGTTGTTCTACAGGCTTACAAAAGTTAACTTATTTAATTTTATCAATAACTCTTGAAGAAACTAGTGATAATCCTAGTTTTACAGTTGAGTAAGCCACTGTGTGCTGTTATCTTTGTTATAATAAAAAGTGAGACCCTAATCAGAGTATTTCCTGAAAGGGGGACTTAAGAGACTGGATTCAGAGGCTTTAGTGCTGGTTTTCAAATTCTTGCTTCAGCAGTTACTCCGTATGACTGTGACATAATAGCATAATATTGGACTGCCCTCTCTCTCAGGGTCCTCAGTTATTATTTTATAACCTTACTTTGGCCTAGAATTGGCCCTAATATGGCTGTTGTGATGATTGGATAAATTAGTGTTTGTATAATGCTTAGAACAGTACCTGGTACTCAGAATGTGCTATGTAAGTTTTAGCTTTTGTGTCATCATCACCATTATTATTCAAGATATTAGATTGACATTAAACACTTGGTGTAAATTAGTCTTGTCTGAAATTATCTTCTATGTCTGGGACTGTATGTTTTGAAAAAAATTAATGTCCAAACAAAACAATTCATTTGTTTTTATTTCACACTTTATTAATCAGACACATACATAGTTGCCAATCAGAGACTCTGATCAGCATGAGGTAATAAGAGTCTTCATAGGAAATTGATAAGATTTTGCCCCAAAGCAAAGTAATTTGACATTCTAGCTTTAGTAGCCTTATTATTGGTGAATGTGCTATTCCCTTAGGCCTTCTGAAATAATGAAACTGGTTAATGGAACCCCTCATTACAGCCTTCCATGGGTCCCCATGGGCCCATGCTGCCATGATAGGTAAACCTGAGCCAAAATATCTCTTCAATGGGCAGCTGGAGAGGCAAAGCCATAAAAGTCATAAAATATGTCTCATGACTGCCCTTCCCCATGCTATTTTTAAAAAGGTAGTCTGTGTTAAAACATTTTCAACAAAGACTCACATAATAGAGGCATGCCATTGATTTCCCAATGAAGAGTATAAATAGTTCTGGGAAATATGATGGAAGAATCCAAGTACGCATGAGGTACTTCCATTGTAATGATTGTCATGGTTCTCATGTGTTTCCTCATCAGAAACCTTTTTGTAGAGACAGTTGCTTTCTTATCTTGCAAATAAGTTTCAGAATAAATATATCTGAATAAAAGGTGAAAAAGGGTTAAGTGACAAGGGGAAATAATAGGTAAAGAATAACATCTATTAGGACTGGGATATTTTATATTGGATATCTAGTATAGATACTAGATATCCAGTGATTACAATTGCAACAACTACTTGGTTACCCGAAATATTTCATTTGGATTTCTAAAAAGTAATTCTGTATTGGTTGTGGTTATAGAAGGTAAATGCTGGGCCAATGGGTATTCCATACTTCTTGTAAGCTTCAAGGGAATGTGGCTAGTGATTTGAGATTACTCAAGGGCATTTTGGTGTGCAGTTTTAGGGGAAGTCGGTACATTAATGGTTCCTCTACACTTCATTACTAGTTTTAGTATTACACTGAATGGGATTAAGTCAGTTAGATTTCTAAACTCTCTAAACAGAAAGAGAGAAGCCTAAGGAAGGGGGCCTACGAAAAAGAGTATACTTGCAGAAGTAAATGTCCTACAGAGAGAAATTAAGTTTTAAGAAATGTTTTTTTTATTTTTTTTCAGAAAGGTAGATATTAGAAGCTTGCATCGATTTATGAATATGTTTAAACACTAAGAGGTTTTTGGTAGAACGAATTGATTCATTCCATCTAGGACCATATTATTGTCGAAGTGAACTGTGTTTTCAGTACATTCATTAGTTACACAGTTAGTTTTATTTTGTAAAATTTAAAATAATTAGTATTTGGAGAGCAATGGGGGAAAGAAAATGCAGGGAACTGAGTATCAAGATACCCGCATTCTACAAAAAAAGCAACTTTGCATCTGTCTACTCTTCAGCCAAGTCCTCTCTCTCTTTATTTCTAAGAGTAAGCTCCCTATGTCTCAATTCCTCAACTGTAGACTGAGAAAGATGGACTGAATCAGAAAATCAAATGACTGGCAGTTGGGCTTATACCCCTCTCCCTCCCTCTACCCTGGTCATGACAGGCAGCAATCACAGACCACAGACTCTCCCTGCTGAGCCAGTGTGAGGCCTCCGAATTCCCACTGCAGTGACCCAAGCAGCCTTCCTATGGTCCTCATCACTCAAACTGAACTTGAAACGAGACATGTTGGCTAGCCCCTAGTCTCTAAAATTCAAATGTTCTAAATAGTCCCACTTTGAGGTGATAGCTAGGTTTAATTGGGCAGATGTGTTAAATGGATAAATAGATAAATAGATAATTCATATTCTGGTAAATATGGCATAAATGTTGGTGTCTTTATATTGCCTTCAGTGACTGCATTCCTAGGAGGAATGCTTCCTAGTAGGAAAATTTTGACATTTTTCCGCATGAGTTGACGTATTTACTATTACATCTTTAGAAATGCTGAGCCTATTGTTTTCTTTGTGTTAGTCACTTGGCCTCTTATCCAAAATAACCTTAAAATACTTTCTGCTGGTTTGTACCCAGTCTGTGTTCTTCAAGTTTGATCAAAAAATTGTGTTGTCAATGTTCTCTTCAATAGCTATTTATCCCTTGAGCCCCTTTCTAGAAACCATTTGTTCTAGTTTTGTTAAAAACTTGAAATTACACATTTCTGAGTAGTGCATATCTGTCTCTATTCCTTTCCAGGCCCTGTTTCATTGGAAAGTTTTAGAAGTTGCAGTGTATTCCCGACTATGGGCCACAGTTGGGTTCCTGTGCATTGTTAGTCCTATGTCAGTATAGGCAAGAGTTACCCAGAGCTTTCTAATGTGAACAGCAGCCTTTTTAAAATCATAAAATTATATTTAGCTTATGAAATGTCACTGATAAATGTTTAACCTATTGAATTATCTAAAATGATAGCAATTTCTTAAACACATATTGAGTTTACCACCACTCCTTGCAATCATCCCTTTTAAATAGAGGAGCAGATGGAGAAAACCAACAAATCCACTTCTTCTTCTTTTTTTTTTTTTTTTTTTTCAGACAGAGTCCTGCTCTGTCACCCAGGCTGGAGTGCAGTGGCATGATCCTGTCTCATTGCAACCTCTGCCTCCCGGATTCAAGCGATTCTCGTGCGTCAGCCTCCCAAGTAGCTGGGATTACAGGCGTGAGCCCCTGTGCCCGCCCCCCCCACTTCTGGTATACCTTTGAATAACACTTTACATTTTGTGGGGTGCTTTTCTGTTCCAGTTGCCAGCATTAAGAAAATGTGGTCTTGTGAATATGATTGTGAGTTGGAACTTAGTAGACAGATTTTGGCTCTTCCCTGATTCTATCTCTATGACTTGAGTAACAATGACCAGTGGCCACAATCAAGGTTTCAACTCTGTAAAACAGGTGTGATGTTGCTAATTTTGTTTGTGTGTGTGGTAAAAATCAGTATTATCTCAGGCTATTTGCCTTAAGCTTTTTATAAGAAGAAAGCCATAAGTAGCATGCAAGAAGCTACTGGTGATGATCATCTAGGATGTTTGTTTCTCACTCTCATGTTCCCTGACTAACAAAGAAATAATGAAATTGTCCTTGAGCCAGAGGAATGGCTGGATGGTGGCCAAGGATTTGGGTTGAATCCCCAGTCATGTTTGACATTTGTGTTAATCAGTTGGGTTTCTTGTCACCTAGAGTAATGTTGACTTGGATATGTATTGTTCAGCACAATGAAACAAGTAAACATTTTTAAAATGTTGAACATTTAGCAAACTGACAGTTATAGGTCTTCATATCCAAAGGCAATGAAGCATTGTTATATGATTAAAAATAAACATAATTTGCATTGACAATAAATAAATATATACTTTAACTCATGGGAAATGTGAGTAAATCGATTAGCAGTAATTAACACATAGTACTTTAAATAATATTTTGATTGTTTAAAAAGCTAATTTTTCTATTGGACATTTACAGTGGGGCAACCAGGGCATTAATGAACCAGGTTCTGGATGGCTATCAGTTTTGATAAAAATCAGGTCAAAAGGCTTGCTCATACAATTTCCTCTTTGAGAAATTTCCTTGTGACTAATCCCAGGAAGATTAAAAAGGAAAAAAAAAACTTTTATAATAAACAAAATAGCAATATAACTTTATATGGAACCTTTATTTTCAAGGGATCCCAGAATGCTCATAAACTGTTATTCAAACCATGCACAGGACCACTGAAGCACAACCACACTTTGGAGCCAGAAGAGGAGCTGAAATGTCAATTGGAGAGGACTTTCCTGCTCTAAAAGGTGTGTGGTCTGCATGACCTAGTAGGGCTTTCCTGGCTCTGATTTCTGCACGGATCTGTGGGTAGAATGCCTCTGCTTTGGAGCTGCACAGGGCTAGGCTGTATTCCTGTGGAAGATGAAAAGTGAAGCAGAATATAATAGTGGAAAGAGGAGGCATGGAATAAGGACTGTTGATGTTCCAGTCACCAAATGGCAGTGACTACACCATAGTCAACAGTGGTTTGGGCTCCTTGCCCCTGAGGTAGAACAACTCTGGACCAGGTGCTATTTGAGCCAATTTCTCTTACGGAAATTTTTGCAGGAAAAAATGTAATGCCTGTAATAACAGATTAGACTAGTTCACGCATAGGACCCTAGAATGTTACAGAGGATGGAGCTTAGAGATTATTCAGTCAAAAACCTTCATTTTGTCTTTGAGTAAATTAGAATGCTCTGAGGGAAAGTGAGAGCTACCTTAGATCAGTATCAGAATCTTCTACAAAAAATTAGCTGGGCACGGTGGCACGCACCTGTAGTCCTAGCTACTTGGGAAGCAGAGGCAGGAGAATCGCTTGAACCTGGGAGGCGGAGGTTGCAGTGAGCCGAGATCATGCCACTGTACTCCAGGCTGGGCGACAGAGCGAGACTCTGTCTCAAAAAAAAAAAAAAAAAAAAAAGAACTTAGTGAGTCACTAGTTACATCTCCTGTGCAATTGGAGAATGAATTCTAAAATCTTTCTAAGAGTTCTTTCAGCAATTCTGTTGACTATGAGAGATTTATGCCCTCAAAAAGCAACTTGTCTTATTGTTGGAGGTCTCCCCTTAGGAACATTCTTCAGACTATTTATTCTTTCATTGCTTTAATATACATTTATTGAGTGTCAATTATTTGCCAGGAATTAAGCAAGGTGTTGAAACACAAAGGAGGATAAAAATAAAACAATAGCACCTCGCAGTTATTGACATCACATACACGTCAGTTAGTAGGTGCTTTACATATATTAATTCATTTACTCCTACAAGAAGTCTATGAAGTGGAAACTATTGTTTTTCCCATTACAGGTGAGGAAGACAGCACAAGTAACTTGCCAAAGATAAGTGGCTAATAAGTGGCAGAGCGAGGGTTTAAAGCAGGCATGAAGGTGCTGCAGCCCATGCACTTAGCCCCAACATCATGCTGCTCTCTGACTCACCAGCTAACCAAGTAAATAAACGACAGTGATGAGGTAAATAAACAGGATGAGGTAAATAAAGAGGCTTACACAGTGCTCTAAAAGGATGCTTTGAAGGAAGGGAAGATCCCAACGAACCAGCCATGAGAAGAACCCTTTACAGAGGGAATAACAAGTGGCAAAGCTTCCCAAGTGAGGGTGGGGAAGAACCTGATGGGTTTTGGAACTCAAAGTTTCTTCCTCTAACGTTCACCAATTTAATCTTTCCCTACATAGAGTAAATTGAGTTCCCCTGCTATTAACATTTGTTTTGTGGATAAGTTAGTCTTTTTCTTTTTAAGAGTATTATTTAAACCATTGATCACTAATTTCATAAGCAAACCTTTGCCTTTTAATAAAGCCTTTTGTAAAGACTATGAGTTTCGTCCTTCATCTCTGCTTCTTTTATTTTATTTTCTGTCACCTCAACTGATGCCTTCCTCTTTCAAATAATCATGTTTGCTAAAAATTATCACCACTGATTCTTGGCAAATTAAAGGAGAGAATGAAAATATATTTAGTGTCTACTATGTGTCAAGCATCATGGAGAACATTCTAATACTTTATCTCATTTAATTCTCACACTTAAGTAAGTTGTATCACTAAATCATTTTACACATGGAGGCCCTGAGGCCTAGGGAACTTAAATTTGCCTGAGGCCACCCAGCTGGTTAGTAGCTAACCCAAGATTTGAAAAATAGGGGTCAGGTCCAGTGGCTCACAACTGTAATCCCAGCACTTTGGGAGGCCGAGGCAGGCGGATCACCAGGTTAAGAGATCGAGACCATTCTGGACAACATGGTGAAACCCCGTATCTACTAAAAATACAAAACTTAGCTGGGTGTGGTGGCGTGTGCCTGTAGTCCTAGCTACTCAAGACACTGAGGCAGGAGAATTGCTTGAAACCGAGAGGTGGAGGTTGCAGTGAGCCGAGATTGCACCATTGCACTCCAGTCTGGCTACGGAGTGAGACTCCATCTTTAAAAAAGAAAAAAAAAAATTGTTTGCTTGATTGCAAAAATTGCTCAATTCTTTTCTATCTATAACTCACTTGAGACGATGTGTGATCTTACCTATGGCAGTGGTTTCCTAAGACAGGGCAGGATCCTCAGTGGAGTTGAGGGCCTGAGGAAGAGGCACACTTCTTCCTCAAGGACAATCCGTACGAAAAAACAGAGAATAGAAGTTTGAAAAGGTACCCCACTTTTCACAATCCCTGTCTCTCTTTTTCCAGTTGCGAATCACTGAACGCTACCACATTTCCTTATGATACTCAGTGTTTAAGCATTTATAACAGTAACAGCAAAAATTATATAGCTGCTAATATTTATTGAGGACCTCCTGTGTGTCTGGTGTGTTGGTTTTATTCAGTTATCCCAGAAACTCTATACCAGATGTTATTATATTCCTTAATTTACCAATAAACAATAAAGCACATAGGAGTTTGTTGAATTTTATGGTTCCTGCTTTTTCTCCCCGTATCTGTATCTATCTATCTTTATCTATCTATCTATCTATCTATCTATCTATCTATCTATCTATCTATCTATCTATCTATCCATCCATTCATCTCTGATATCAGGATATTTCCTACAATTAATGGCATCTTATAATCTCAGTCATAGCTTAGTTGTCATTGCCTATAGATGCATGCACTTGGTCATAGGTGATTGCAACATTTTACTTCAATTGTGTTATACATGCGTTGTTAGAACTATGTATGTTGAGTGTAATTACCTTTTAAAATATTTTTCTAATTGTTGTTTCAAAATTTTGTTGACTCGTTGTGATCAAAAAACGTAAAATCAAAACTTACAGAATAAATTTCTAATAATTTGGCTAAAAAATCCAACCTAGAGCCAATGGCATAGTACTCAAAGAAATGAAATGGCATCAGTGTTCTTGTTGGCACTCAGAATGATATTGTGTTAAAGAAAGCGAAGTGATAAGCAAGCATCATGTTATTATTTAATTAGCATTGCTTTTACTTCCTTACAAGTACATCAAATAAGCCTCAATGTTAGGATCGATGACATCTTAAATCTGACGAAATATGATGAACAACTTGACCAAATAAACATAGAAGATAACTGGTAATGCCTACAATCACAAGACTTGTGAAGGGTACACTAAGAGTTTAAACCTTGGTGATTCATGTCTCAGGCTCTTGATTACTGAACTATCCTGACTTTTAGTAGAGCAGTGAGAATTTTTTTTCTGTCACACATATCACAGATGGACCAACTTATTAAAATTATCAAAAATAAAAATATTTATCATGCATTACACCTAGACAAATACTATATAACTTAGAATATGGCATAATAAAAATACAAATTTTATCACAGTTGATTATGGTCTCAGAATAAGATAATATGCTTTCAAATAGTAATATTGATTTGACCTATTGTTAGTCTTCAAGGACAGTGATTAAAGATGGTTGCCATTTAAAAACAAAACAATGTGTCCATTCTACATGCTAGGTTCCCCTAACATTGTATTTCTTTTCCTAAGGGATGAAACTGGTGGTCCATCAGGTAGACATACCTAGGTTTGGCACATAAAAAGTAAGCCAAAATACTCCATTATCTTATAACAAGAACAAAAAATAGCAAACAAAACTACTTAAGGAAGAGATAAAGAGTTTTCTGATGGAGGACTAGCCTTGAAATTAAATATTTCCCTATGCAAGTTGACATTTAAGTTGTATGACTTAAGAGAGATAAGAAGAAATTGTGTGAAACATAACCTTAAATATTTTGGATCACATTTTTGTGAATTATGCAGCATTTGGCACAAGTTTTAGGAAACAGAAACACTCTGGGGTAATGATGAGTATTTGCACACACTTTATGTGAACATGTATGCACACTAACACGGTTATATTTATGGCATAATGCACCAGATATACAGAATATGTCTATGTAAAATTGTTTTATTTGTAACATTTCCATCCTGGGACTAAATGTTGGCTCTTTAAAATTTGTTTTTATGTATGCTTCCATGCCGAACTTACAGAATATAGTTGTTGTATAGCACAAATGTTCTAACTTTTCATGGGCACTCAAAAATGTCCTTTGAGAAGTCACCCTAGAGCATCCTTAGAAATGGCATGTTGTAGTCTGGACAGAACAAAGCAGCAAAAAGAAATAAGATGAAACTATGTTATCATTGGCTCTCCTTTAAACATACGAAAAACTCTCAGAAGAGATAATGTGCTGTAGGGAAAAGCTCTGTGTGGGCACAGGGTGTGCACAGTGACCTAATGGGCCTTTTCCATCTCTAATTCCTGTGATACTGCAGATCTAAGAGATGGAGCTGGTAATTGCTTACAACATAACAGATATGTAGAGATATGTACATATATTTTTTCCTCTTCCTCTCCTTCCCCCCACCTTCCCTGGAGTTCAGCTGAGAGTCTCTTTAAACAAACAAAAACTGTGAGAAACTAAGAGAAGTCAGAGACTGGCCTGCTTTTTAGAGGCAGAATGTGGAAAGTATGAAGATGCTAATTTGACTGCAAAGGCTGGAAAGCAAAGGGACCTGAGCCATTTATACTACAGGCAGTAGTTAAAAAGAGGGAAAAAAAAAAACCTTGAAAAAAATGGGTGTAACCCTGGGCTTTGATACAACTGGCCTTTCGGCCCCCACTTGAGATTTGCACATCCCCAAGGGAAGCTGTGGTTTGGAATAAGATGGTGCATTTAATTTCACTCAGAGAACTTATTGGACTTGGCACCAAAAGAAAGAATTTGAAGTATATTTTTTGTCATGATTAGTGGCCCCCTCACCACAACATTTGATTATTTTGGAAAGGGAAAAGTTAAATCCTTGTAAAGTTGTGATTTACAATTTGCAAGCATCCAGGTAGGGAGTTTGACTTCTGCCAGCTTGATCATGGGATCCACATTTGATTCTAGCTCATTGATGTTTACAAAACAGTTCTGTGGGGGGAAATAGAGTTGGAATTATATCCCTTGATTATCCTGGGTGATTTTCTCTCCACACTACATCTTTTCTCATTCACGATGATTTTGGTCTCTTCTGGAACTCATTGCAAGAAACTGGCATGTGGCTGGTTTGCTTTTTGTTTCTAATCTGCAGTATCTGGTATTTTTATCATGTGATTCCTTTGCCCTCACAGTTATGTAAATCTTGAGGCAAAGGAGTTAAAAGGAGTTTCTAATTTTATACCTGAAAATAGCTTTCACTGGATGTTTTTTCTCAAGCTTTATAATTAAGATTGGAGATCTCGTGGGTATTTTAATACGTACTCAAATATGTCCAAACAGCCAGAGGGGAAGTGAATGACCAACTGGGTAGGCTGATGAATATTTTCCTGGTAAATGCATAACTTTCCCCACAACTGTGATGCTTTATCCTTTGACATTAAGAATGCTGTTTGCAGAAGTAACATTCCTTTGAACACTCAGCTTTCTGAAATGGTGTCCCACCGCAAGGACTGGAGAAGGGTGAGTTTGAGCTCAACGCTGGAGTAACAGCCAGGCAAATTAGGTTCTGTCCTAATGTCTAACATGGAAGTATGGTCAGTCAGGTCTTGAAATAAATCTTAAGGTAGACTTAAAAATAATAAATTCCACCTTTTCTACTACTTTTGAATTTTTTGGGTCTATTTCTAGTTGAATTTGGGCTTGTTGGAAAACTGTCTCGAGTATTTGGGCAGTGAGTTTTCACCACGCTTCCTAAGTGAAAGCAGTTTGCTGAATAATGTCAATATAGCAATGTTAGTGGTATTGCTGGCAGAGGAAAAATGCTTTTTACTCTCATTCTGGACTTGAGCAGGAGATAAAGATAAATTCAAAAGTTTTATTGGTACTTCGGAAGTGCTATACTTGTCCTGATTTGAGCATGGTGGTCAGGCATGGATGATTGATGGCAAAGAGGCTAGGTTCCAGTCCCAGCTGGTGGTGAAACCTTGGGCAAATGATTGATCTTCCCTAAGCCTCAGTTTTCTCATCTGTAAGATGGAGTAAGTCTTCTGCAAGATGGAGTAAGTACTTCATTTAGTTGTTGAGGGAATGTAAATATATTATTAACTGTTGGCACATAGTACAGATTCAATAATTATTAGCTATTATTGCTGTTTGTTATTGACCTCATCAGCAGCATGTTTCCTGGCTATCTGTTCTGGTAAATTTAGATTCATATTCTCTGTGGAGGTGAAATATGAAATCAGCTTTCTCTTTCTACTCTCACTGAGTTAATGACAGTAAATCAACGACAGCTTTCTTATTCAACCCTACCTTTGCAAAGCTATTGAAAAATTTGAATTAAAAGCCAATTAATCCTGTATTAATGAGGTCTCTTTCAATTGACGGAGATAAAAAGTCAACTCAATCTCTCTTTTATATTTTCTTATGTTTCCAGGAATTCTGTCCTGTGGACTCTTTTCTTCCCTTGCCACATCTCTCCTCCCCTTGCTCGTTTTCCTCTCTCTCTCTCTCTCACACAGACACACACACACACACACACACACACACACACACACACACACACATATTTTTAATCTCTCTCCCTCCCTTTTCCAGGACTTACTTTCCTGTATGATGGATTCATTTTAAACAAGCTGTCTCCACATGATGGCAAATATCATGATGGCAAATATGATGCTGAATATCTGTAATGGATATACATTAACAGGTTACTACTGTGCCCTATTTTTTTCTACATGTACTATTCTTTATATGGGAATAATTTTTTTTTCCCAGTGAATATCTTTATTACTATTTTTCTTTATTTCTTGTAAAAAATGGGATACATGTGCAGAACATGCAGGTTTGTTACGTAGGTATACGTGTGCCATGGTGGTTTGCTGCACCTATTGACCCGTCCTCTAAGTTCCCTCCCCTCATCCCCCATCCCCCTGGTGTGTGATGTTCCCTTCCCTGTGTCCATGTGTTCTCAATGTTCAACTCCCACTTATGAGTGAGAATATGCAGTTTTTGATTTTCTATTTCTGTGTTAGATTACTGAGGATAATGGCTTCCAGCTTCATCCATGTCCCTGCAAAGGACATGATCTCATTCATTTTTATCGCTGCATGGTATTCCATGGAGTATATGTACCACATTTTCTTCATTCAATCTATCATTGATGGGCATTTGGGTTGGTTCCACGTCTTTGCGATTGTAAATAGTGCTGCAATAAATATATCTGTGCATGTGTCTTTATAGTAGAATGATTTATAATCCTTTGGGTATATACCCAGTAATGGGATTGCTGGGTCAAATGGTATTTCACATTCTAGATCCTTGAGGAATCACCATACTGTCTTCCACAGTGGTTGAAGTAATTTACATTTTATATGGGAATAATTTTGTAATGCACTTGCCTAAAATAATGTGACACTCCTGTCTCCTATAAACATATTTACCCCTTCCAAAGGAGAAATAAAGCTAAATCTTGCCCTGTTACTGCTTCTCAGGTGTATCTTCAGGATCTTTGAGGGGTATATATTTGCCTTGAGTTTGATTCTGATGTGGAAATTCCATGGTTCACTCACTGAGTGCTTAATGGTATTTTCTAGTATCCCCTCCATAGATGATAGAGCAGGAAGGAGAGGATAAATTTATTAAAACTACCATTTAGAAAAAGAGAGAAAGGGAAACAACTTACAATGGTCTGGAGTTTTTGGCATATATCATATTCTTTTGGACTGGAGTAGCAGGACTGCTCTCTTCCGGTAGTAGAGAGCTTTCCATGGTCCCCCAGTCTGGCTGCCCTAAGATCTGCTTTCTGAAAGATGTCTCTTGTCCATTGTGTCATAGCCTTATCTGAGAGGGACAAAGGTCCTTGTGCCATGACAAAGTGGCTTTAGCAGCTCATGTCATCCTCATAGGAGCCAGTAACTAGGGGACTGACTCAGGGGTTGGCAATTCCTAGCTCTTTGCCAGTTTTGAGTTTCTTTGATAAATACCTTTAAAAACCTAAGGAGTCTTCCTGCCTATTTTTTTTAACTTTAAGGGCTTCTACATATTATTGATTCTAAGACGCACATTTTCTTTTTTAAAAATTTATTTTTTATTCCAATAGGATTTTAGGGAGAAGGTGGTGTTTGGTTATATGCGTAAGTTCTCTAGTGGTGATTTCTGAGATTTTGGTGCACCCATCACCCAAGCAGTGTACACTGTACCCAAGTAGTGTTTTATTTCTCACCCACCTCCCACCCTTTGTCACGAGTCCCCAAAGTCCGTTGTATAAGATGTACATTTTCTTTTCACCTTTTAACATTTCTGAACTTGGGAAGTGTGTTACAATCAGTAGTGGCTTAGATAAGAAAAAGTAAATTAGTTCCTAAATCTAGTGAATGCTGGTGTCAAGGGCTAGATTCTAGACCCTGGTCTAGGTGTACCTTCTTTCAGTAAGAGCCTTGACATTTTGCTCACACCTTCCCTACCACCCGTGCTGGCAATGAATGCACTAAAAAGGGCAAAAGCCACTTGTATAAAATTCATTGGTTAGAGTGGCTAAGAAGTGGGTGGGACATGATAGGCAAAGTGAAACACATTAACGTACCTATGAATTACCTTCATGATATTTCATATTTAACTATTTACTGTTGTAAGTATTTCTGATATTCATCAATATCATTTACATTAGTATTGACATCATGTAGCATATTGGCTACATTCTCTTTCAAAACATCTCTTGATACCGCTCACATAAATACAATGAAGCTTGTATTCGATTCACGTGGTTATGATGGAACCTGACATTTGAAAAATTTCCACGTGCTAGTAAATTCACCAGTGTGGTCTCTCTTTATTTATAATCTCTATGGAAGTATTGTCATTTCTGTGTTTTTTTATTGTGTGTGCATTTGTTTTTGTTTTCTTTTAGTTAACATCAGCAAAATCCATGTAGTCTTTTGCAGATTCAGTCTATTCTCAGATGACTGTTGGATTTAGTATATCTCCAAAGCGCAGAGTTTAGACACGTTGCTGACAAAGGCAGCATCACATCAGTCTTCTTTTCATCCAGCCCTCTCAGTTCTGTATCTATTTACTGTGCCCACTTCCTTTCCAGTCTGCACTTCAGTAACTCAGTACCTTTCCATTCCTTAAAGGACACCGCTATCAAAACCCTCATCAAGAAGTAGGCCTGGCACTCATTACTGTCACTTTGAAATGAATTAATGTCAAGTCTAGTTGTGCTTTCATTTTACACTAAGACATTTAGGAAAACTATTTCTCAGTGAACAGATTGAAGGAGTAGACTTCACCCTTTTCCCCGGAAGTATGTCTAGTGAAAATACTACTTACACCGATTAAAAATAAAGTTGATCTTAGAAGATGGGTTAGGTGAAGACATAGATCAGTGCTTAGCAAGCTTAATCGTGAAAATTATCTTGAGCATTTAAAAAATGTAGTTTCCTGGGCCCAGTTCCAGACTCATCGGGTCAGCCTCTCAGGAATAAGGTCTTGAGAATGGTATTTTTAATGAGCTCCCCAGGCAGTTCTTGTGACCAGGCAAGTTGTTATAAAATAAGCCAATAACAGGAGAGGATGTAAACATAAGAGAACACAGTGGATGTCACAAGATACGACATGGCATGCAAAAGGGTAAAACTTTGATCTATGTTTTTCAAGCACATATATAGTTCGTATAATCACTGAAATTGTATTGCTTCTCTTAGAATTTATCTTTCCTATATCGTAAAACTTTAATACATCCAAGAGGTAGAAGGTTGCATGCATGCTGTTTGAAACCAGGGAGAATAAATAAGACTAAATCCCACAAGCTACAAATACAGAGATTCTATGGAATCCAGATATGCTGCTACATCCAGATACATAAACAAAATCCATTGACCTTGTTTTTCTCCTGCATAGTAACTTGACTCCAAATTTAGCATTTCTTTCCTTTCTTCATTTACTTGGGTCTTTCTAATATGAAGTTATTCCACAAGTGATTTTATTACTTTAGGGAAGGGCACTTTTATAGGTAAAATGATGAAAATCATAATCTCTAATAACTTTGTACTATTTAATATTTCTGTATTTAGGAACTAAATTAAAAGTGTTCCAACATCAATTTTTAAATTAAATTACCATCTATCCAGGTGATATTGAAATGATTAAAATGTATTTCTTTACACAATTTAGACAGTGCTGAGTTGCAAATATCTTGGCAGAGGGATAAAACTAGGATAATCAAAGGTGTTGACAAAAGATTTATTCTAAAGTATGATGGTCCCTTTTTAAACGAAACCTTTTTATGGCAAGTATTCATAACACTTGTCATTCATTCAACATTTCTGATGTAATTACTTAATTTGTTTTTAAATGTACACTAAGCTTAGGGGCATAAATTTTATATTCCATTTAGTCTCTGGTTTATAAATCTGTGGCCAGTTACTAGTGGCATTTTTGTTAGCCTGAAAAAAGAGACTGAACTGCTCAAGGTCTGAGATCATCTGTCCTATGGTTTTCCAGATCTCCTCGTGTAAGGATTTGTGAACCCAGCAAAGAGAAAGAGTTAAGCCTATTCTCCTAGTTGGCAGAAACTTTGTAGTTTAAAATTACATACTGACTCTGGTGTAGAGACACAAGAAATTATAGAGCAGACACTGTCCAGGACAACGTATAATTTAAAATGTACTAAGGAATGTATGCCGCATGGCAAAGTAAGTGAAGTGCTTCTTCAGATATAAGTGTTTTGCATAGAAAGGCAGTAATTATCCACTCCTAGGGAAATGTTTGCATTCATTCTAAATCAATATTTACTATTCATTTCTTGTGTTCAACAGAACAGGGATTTAACTTTTTTTAAATTTTAATGAAGCACTAAGACTGCAATAATTCTACAATGTAATTGTCTTGATATGAAATATTGCTAAATGGTGTTGCTATTTCGGGAAAGAGCAGTGTGAAATGGAAGGGTATCCCTGTTTGTGAAATGTTACTTTAGGAACATTCAATTCAAACTCAGCCGAGCAGGGCGACTCACCCGTTTTCAAAGATAACTTAAGCTGTCTCCTTGGTAAGGCCCTAAACTAGGTTCATTTAGATGAGTCTTTGCCTTTATATATATATTTTTTCTCCTAACACACTCTTTCCTCGTAATGATTCTGTTTCAATTCAACTGTTCCCTTTTGGGTGTGTGTGTGTGTGTGAGAGAGAAACTCCTCTATAAATTGGAACTTTTATTTTTTTTTTCCTGCAGAAAGAAAATATTTCTTGCCCCCTTCCCCTCCAAATTCCCCCTGGCTTTTTAGTTCAAAAGGACCTTAAAGAAAATGTTGGAGGAAAATATAAGAAAATAGGGCACATGAATACATATTCTGAGACAAGACTCAAGGTCTCCAGCACATTTTTATTTATGGAGCTTATGATCTGATCATTCTATGACTTTTCCTTAGAAAATGACTATAATTTTTTATTATGGAGTCCGAAAAAGAACTGGACAATATAACAATATGTTATATTACAACATGAATACTCCTTTTCTTGGCCACAGAAACAATAACGGCTTTGCCACTGAGTTTCAGTCAGGACAGAGCCCATCGTGCACGCTATTACATTACCAAATGCCACATAAATGCTCAGGTTTCTGTGAGCAAATATTTTTGTCTTCTACTTTTATGTGTAATTTTGAACTCATCGTTTTCTGTTCTTTTTCCTTTGCTTTTTCATTCCTGTTTTGGGTAAGGTCAAGGAAATGTCTCTTTGAAAATCTCACCATTCCCATGAGGTTTTTCAGATTTTTATATTGATCATCTATTTGATATTACAATTTAATACAAATTATATATTTTCAGATTCACAGATTCTATAGTGTCTCAATGTTAAAATGAGATTGAGAGTAGAGAAGGAGCCAAAAGTAAATGATATACCTTTACAATTTTATCACATAGTTCCTTTGGCTGCTCTGACTTTAAAATATTCGTAGAACAGCAGTGCAGATGGGTCTGCACTAACATTCCCTCTCTTTGCCTTCCTGCCATTCATAATTCATGTGAGCTCTTTGAGTGAATTACTCTTTGGTATGCACTCTGGGGACAAATAGTATCATTTATGTATTGTGATTGCTACTCTATTTTATCTTCCTTTTTATTGACAAGAAACAAGGGTGTTGCTTATAGTTATGAAAGTAAATTGGGTGCAGAAATTGTCCTTCTCTTTCTGAGAGAGGCACCTTCTTTCTGCAGGAAGTGCTATTGTAAACTGTACTGTTATAAATGGTGTGTTAGTTCTCAAGATATTCCTATCTCAGTGTATGAAGCAACAAAGTGTTGCTTTAGCATTCAGTAGAGAGAGCCAATGGAAAAGCAGGCCGTTAAGGACACGTTCCTAAAGTCTGGAAAATCAATGGGACACTAAAAAGGGAACTGAAGTGGACCGGAAGGAACCTCTTGAGGGTCATTTAAAGAACCAGAAACTGATTATGAACACAGCTTTTAACCAGGGAACTGGAGGGGGCCAGCAAACCCATTCTTCTGCACTCCAGTTAAATATCTAATAGTTGAGATGTTTTCTGCACAGCCCATAAAGGATAATGAGGAAGGCTTTGATAGCCTTAAAGAAAGTCACTCTGTGGCCTCTCACAAAAACATGATCTGAGTATGAGTGGCAAATGCATGCAGACCCCAAAATAAACAGAGGCAATACCAGCTAGGTAAGATAGTTACTTTGTTGATTTCATAGGAGAGGGGTCCTAATAGAACTTTGTGCCTGAAGAAAAATAAAAGTAAGGAATGTCAGAATGTAAAATCTGAGATCTCACTTACTTAAGCAGAGACCTTCTAGAGACCTTGAAATTTTCAGTAATTTTACCTCTACATGGTGACTATTTCATGTAGGTTAAATTAAGGATTAACCTGCATTCTTTATTTTATTATACTGTATTTTTGGGGTGAAGAATTATCCCTTATATTAAGGGATTAAATAATATTGGGGTTAAAATATTTTTATATTAGTCCTCTCAAATTGCAATCAGTTCTGAGTTAATCTTCTATAATTCCTATCTTTACCCTCTAGTTCCAGCAAAGATAGACTTTGTGAATAATTTTTTAAAAAGAAGAACATTTGTGTTGACACATTTATATTCTTTGATAATGAAAAAAATAGTTTTGTTAACTGTTCTTTTTATGATGCCTTTGCTACTCTTAGCAAAAGTCTATTAAAAAGAGAAACCTTAACATCCTCTCCTATGGCACTGAAGACACTTGCACTGACCTTGTATTCACTCTTTCAGAATGAGACATTTACATTGAATAAGAAAATAGTTGAATACTTTCATTCACAGATACAGTTTGTTACATTGTTAGTGGGCTAGTCCACCTAGAATGAAGCAATGCTGTCTCCTGGACTCCAGGCCATAATTGATCAGTCAGTCAATTACTTAACAGACATTGCACACCTTCTTGGCATGGCATTCCAAACAACTATTGAGAGTTAGCTGAAGCAGGACAGCTTCAAACAGAATAGAGAACCATCCGTGCTCCAAGACTCTCCTTATTTAACTCACACTTGACCAAAATCTACTGCATTATAGTGTTATGTCTGAAAATGTGGCCTTCCATAAGAATCAAATAATTATACTCTTTGAATAGATTCTGTAAGAAAGAAAAGGGCTCTGAAAGTGCAAGGAGTATCCTCAACTAATCATCGAAAGCCTAGTGCTTACATTTACATGAGTATACAGGCTGTGTATCCTGGTGCTGCAATCCTGGAAGACTGACACGCATATGGCAGGGAGGGTTACCAAATCAAACCTGGTCATCACTCACACCTGGGCATGTTTCAGTCCCCAGTGGGGTCCAGTGCAGTATCATTCATGGTTAGGTGCCTCCTTTTACAATTACTTCACTGTTTATGTCAGCACTTCTCAAACTTTTTGCTTTCAAGATCCTGTTACACTAAAAAGTTATTGAGAACATGTAATAATTATGTGTTATAGCTATCAATATTACCCTACTAGAAATTAAAACTGACATTGTAAACATTTACTTATTAATATATTCTCAAAATATCTCTTCCATGTTAACATAAGTGTGGTTTTATTTGATTAAAAAATAACCACATTTTTTCCAAGCCAAAAGTATTTAGTGAGAAGAGTAGCACTGTATTTATATAGTACTATTTTATAATGAGATTTTAGTAAATCTTATTAATTGTCTGGGTTCTTATATCTGCTTCTTCATTCAATTTATTGTCATATTGAATAGTATCTTGCGTCTGGAAAAACCTCCTTTGTACACCCATGGGAAAGTGAGGATGAAATAAACAAAATCATCTTAATATTACTATGCAAATAGTTCTGATCCTGCAGAATCTCCACAATGCTAATTTTATAAAACATTGAATCCACGTGCCTATCTACACTCCCCTGTATGATGGGTTCAGCATAACCTGACACTTAATAGGTACTTTCATGTAGAACTGTGTGATTATGGAGAACATTCTGTCACCCTGGATCTCTTCTCAGGACCACTTCTCTTTACCTTCAAAGAAGTTTAAGAAAGAAAAGAAGATAATAAAAATGAAAAAAATAGACTCGTGGGATCCTTATGAGGAACAAAATTATATTCCTGGGACTCTGGATTTCTGTAATCCTTCTGAAGTAGTCAACCTTAGTAGGTTCTAAAATGATTTCAGAAACATGTTAGTTTCAAAGAAAATAGGATATTGAAAGTGTGTTGTGTGGCATGGATGGGGCACGGCTAAACAACATATCTAGATCCTGCTGATGTTTTATCATATGATCATGGATGCAATATAGCACAGCTTATTAACGTAAGTGCCATAATTTTCAGATAGGTATAACTATCTGTGAATAGCCAAATTAATCTATTCAAAGTATTGTAAGCCTTGAAAAAGCAACAGAAGTATTTTCACAGTTTGAAATTGGTTTTTTGATAATGCGAGTTTAAGATCGACATTTCTCATCTATTTGTTTAGCTAATGCTTGTTGATCACCTACTGTGTAGTGTGGGAAAAACATACAAGGAGATATATCTTCTGCCTTCAAATATCTTACAGTCTAGTGAAATCTACCAGTAAAACACAACAGTTAATAATACAGAGTAATAAATGTTAGGGAGACCAAGATGACTTAAGAATGCATAAAAGAGGATATGGCCCAGTCTTGTAGGAAGAGTGAGGTTTCCTAGGAAAAGTAAAGGTATCTTAAGAATGAATGGAATTGGTCTGGTTGGAATTCATATGGAACAGGGAAGATATGCCGAGTAGCAGGCAAGTTGAGAGAGCATGCAATTTGTTTGCTGATGTGAGAGAATTTCTGATGGCTAGAGTGAGGAGCATGTGGGTCAATAAGAGAGGGATTAAAATGTGAAAAAAGAGAAGGGAAGTGACTTGAAAAAAGTTTGGACTTATTTTTGAGATAATTATGGAGTCCTCGAAGGGTTTTAATGAAAAGATAATCACAAATAAGCTTGCATTTTATCAAATTCACTTTGGCTTCAATTTAGACATAGAAGCCAAGACTAGTTAACAGACTGTTGTGCTGACCCTAGAAAAAGGGGTTGGAGGCCTACTTAGGGAAGCAGTTGAACTGATCATGGAAAGTGGAAAAATTCTAAATATATTGAGAAAGGTGAATAAACAGGCTTTAATGATTGGTACAGATGTGAGGACAGGGTGAAGAGCAATACTTAGTGTTTTCAGTAGGTTGCTGACGTAGCAATTGAATACTTTCATTGAAATAGGGAGTCCAGTAGGAGGAATATATTGGTGCAGGTGTGGGAGATAGGAAATGAATTCAGTACTTTTGAGATATCCAAGTTGATATCTCATGTTGAGTATTGCATGGCATCTGTGGAGTCCACTAGAATATGAAATCCATCAGATTGATGACTCATGACATTATGGAGTTCACAAAATTATGGAATCCACTTGACTAACTTCCATAAAATGGAAAACCTTATCACTTTGCTTCTTATTCTTATCTGTGTGTGTGTGTGTGTGTGTGTGTGTGTGTATCTGTATGTGTATCCTACTGTATTAGTCCATGCTGCTATAAAGACATACATAAGACTGGGAAGGAAAAGAGGTTTACTTGGACTTACAGTTCCATATGGCTGGGGAGGCCTCAGAACCATGGCAGGAGGCAAAAGGCACTTCTTACATGGCGGCAGCAAGAGAAAATGAGAAAGATGCAAAAGCGGAAACCCCTGATAAAACCATCAGATCTCGTGAGGCTTATTCACTACCACGAGAACAGTATGGGGGACACTGGCCCCATGATTCAAATTATCTCCCACCAGGTCCCTCCCACAACACATGGGAATTCTGTGTACAATTCAAGATGATATTTCAGTGGGGACACAGCCAAACCATATCTCCTACTATATATCTGATGAATAGTTAAAATTCAATAAATATTTATATAATAAATTAATTAAAAATAGCATCAATAAAAAATCTGAAGATCAGAGGAGAGACTTAGAATGACTTTATAGATTTGGAAGTCGTTAGCATATGGATGAGATTGAGGTCAAGGGAGTAGCTGCAATAAGCACAGGTAGATAATGTGGAGTGAAATGAGAAGGGACATTAAAAAGTATCTGGGGGAGTTGCAACTTATTAGTAGATAAGGAATAGACAGAGGAAACTTAAAAGTAACTTAAGAAACAGAGGAAAATGAACCTATAAACACTACAGAAAACAAGAGCCAGAAATAAATTATATCAATCAATGTTTTTATAAGAAACAGTGGCTGAGTATCTTATACAAATATAACTTTACTGAAGAATATCCGGAGATAACAGAAATAATGAGGATATGGAGAACTAGGTTTGGAAAATGGGTATGAATAAACCAAGCTCTGGAGAACTGGATAGCATAAAAGACAATAAATGCAATGCAGAAGGAATTGGGAGAGGGTTGTCACTGCCAGTAAATGAAAATGGTCTCTAACTATCCCTACATCTGGACTTGATCAAGCTTCAAGCCCTAGGAGAAAGTATCTGATTAACTGAGCCTTGCTTACAGCACTGCACCTTGTTCTAGGGAAAAGAGAAGGTTTTGTCCCTTCAGTTTCCATAAATGAGAAGCAACTGTCACCCACCAAAACTCCATACCAATGGAGCATTCCCCAAAAGGTAAGTAGAAATGACAATAGGAGGGGGAGGGTAGAGGTTGAGTTGAACAACAACAACAAAATGACAAAGGTCTTTATGAGACAAAAGATAGAAAACTGTGGCAATCTGGTAAATACAGATAAATTTGGGTAAGAGATAAAAGCAAATACTTATTCATTGGCAGTAGCAACAAGAGGATTATCGGTAACTTAGGTAAGTGCAGTACGAGTAGAGTGCTGGAAACCAGTAGTGCTAGAAACCAGGGAAGAATAAGTTGAGGTGTGAGAGTTGAGTGAGAGAGTAGAAATAAGGTAGACAACTCTTTTAAGAATTTTAGTTTGCAGTAAAACAAAACTTAATTTGTTTTATGTTTTGGAAAATTCAGAATGGTAGGGAAAACAATTCACTCTTAGGTAGGGATTTTTTAATTCTGATGGTCAGGGTAGGAGTTTTAAAGCTTGCAGGACCATAGATGGATACATTTCTGTATCTGGGCATTTGTCTATACACTGGAATCCTTTGCTCTTTTTGTAGGACACCAATAAGTTGCAGAACTCTTTAAGTGCCTTTGCCTTTGCCTCTTAAGGTCTTGGCTAATGATTTACCACTTTAATGCCTTAATGTACAGTGCTGTTATGCTTAATGTTGGTGTCTTCATAGTTAGAACCTACTAGCGTTGGCTACTTAAGAAGAATTAAAGAAGTCCAGAGCTCCAGCTACATAATTTTGTTTCTCATAAGGATCCCAAGAACTAGGATTTCAAGCACATTGAGGACAGGAGCTATTCCTCACAGTACTGACCACAGTATTGAGCACAAAATAGTGCCCATGCTTAGGAAATACTGATTGATTAGTTTATTGATTTTTGAGAACATTGACTAAAGTGACATTTACCTACAAATTTTCACAGAAGTTATTTTTGTTTTCTTTTTTGAAGTTTCATTTGATATATTTTTTACTCCCTTTATCAGCTCCCCTATGCAAAGCTGTTATGAAAAAGCATGATAAGGTGTGCATTTTTGCACTTTAAGAATAAATTTTTAGATTGGAAACATTGAAAACAAACTGAAACCAATGAAAAGTGTATTTTACTGACTTATATCTAAAAATGGCACTGCCCAATTTAAGCTATTTTTAAAACCTGTATATTCATGCAGCTTGCATACCAAAATGAAAATTGGTGAGCTATAAACCCTTGAAAAACAGGGTTTATAATGGAAACAGTAATTGACCCTTAAGTACAACATCAAAAATACAATACTATATAATACAAAGCCCAGGGCTTGGGATCCCATCTCTGTTCTAACCTCAGACTGGCACACTAACCCAACACCACAAAGCCAACTAATAGTTATATTTTGAGATGTTTTCTTCTTACATGGCAGAGAAAATGGATAAGCGATCCAATAGCCACATGCAGCTAAGTTTCACAGAACCAGCACCCTAAATATCTTTAATAAACTCACAACTCTTTTTCAGAGCCAATACCCAGTAAAATAATTGGACTTACTTGGAAAAACAATTTATTTATTGTTTTTAAATGGAAACTCCTACTCCTGAAGTCGTGCCATGTTGCATCATGGTCTTTGGGTATGTGACATTATACCACAGGATGCGGTGAAGCTAGAATGACCAGTTGTCAGGAAAGCTCATGGAATCACGGAACATACTCAGAATATTTAGAGTTGTCTTCAACTTTGCTCTAGTTCATAGTTGGTCCAGTTTTCCCATTTTCTAAACCACAACTACCCATTTTTATCAAGAGAAAATGTGATCTAAACTAAAGAGAAAAATGCAAGTATTAAACTTGATTAATGAGATCTGAAGGGTATATTCAGATTCCGGGTTTCAATTTCAACTTGGCTCTAGGCAAAGAGGGGTGTGTGCACACATACAAAGAATCTTAGCCGATACTCTTTTGTTGTTGCTGTTATGGTGTGGAGGGGAAGGGGTTAAGGGAGTTTATTGCTAAAGAAGGAAAGTTCAGAGATTCCTTTCATTTTAAGGTTGAAATATGTGAGCATTGCCAGCTTATTTTTTTAAGAAGCTTCCAAAGAATTTGTCAGCTGAAAATAGTCAAGATTTTGCCTTCTAAAATGTCATCTATTTACACAAATCGAGCAGGACTATTTGGTGTTTCCTTCTTGGGCATTCTGTTTCTGTTGCATGTATAACTTATGAACTTGTAAAATGAGTGAAATATTATTGATTTCATTTATCTACATAAAACCTCTTCGTCTATTCTGTGACCAAGACACTAACTGAGCTTTGGAGTAAGGACCGTGGGAGAGGTTGGAACTGGGACAGAGAAGGGTATTTTCTTTGTGAGAGTGTTCAGAGGATTTTAGAAGCGATGGTGTCTTTTCTAGGATTTAGCAGTTTTGCTAATTGTAATTAAAATGTTGTCTTTGTATGGTGATATGAATAGCTAATATGCATCTTAAAATTTCAGTGCTTAAAAATAAATACAAATCAATTCTGATGTTACAACAGAGCACTTTTATGGCATTTTTCATGCCTTTCTTTAAGTACTAAGATCTGTCTCAGATAACTTCAGGATATTATGATTTCTATTATTTACTGAATGTTAGATTTTTTTAAGCGCCCCCCACACACATATTTGAACACAAATACATACCTTCTTCCCTATTTTCTCTCTTATTCCCTATGTCCTTCCTTATAATTCATTCATATACTGTATTTGCTTCATCCTAATTTCTACTCTTCGTGAATTCTGTATTTTCTTTCAAGGCTTATTACGACTACACATAAATAATTATGTAGTGGGTTACGGTTTTGAAATGTTAGCTGATACATTACCTTTTATATCCTTATACCCTTAGTTCTTCCCCTAAAATTCAGGAAAGTAATAACGTGGTAAAATGCTAAGTAAAAATTGGTAAAGTCTTAGCTTTTGAGTTTCGAAAGCCTATTTTTCTGGGGAAGTAGAAAAACTCAGGGCATAGACAAAACATTTGAAAAACTACCCAATACATTCAGAGCCAAGCTGCCTTATTGCCATTAGTTAAAACCTTCTCAGCCTGGGGAGGTGTACAGAAAGTTGGAAAATAAACATTGAAAATTTAGAATGGGTGGGTCCCTGAGAAAAGAACAAGACCCTGCGTCCTTCTCTTTGGTTAGTCCTTGATGGGTGGGAAGAAGGATGTGTAAGGGAGAGGGAAAGTGGGGCAACAGTCACCCAAAACAGGATATGTCAAAGCACCGGGTCTCACGCAGAGCCAAGGCTTCAGGCAAGGACATCAAGTGTCAAGGTCACAGCCTGAATGGGAACCTCTGAGATGTCTGGTGTCCTGGTCTTCACCCACTAGTCCACACGGGCTGCTTCTGGATCCTGCCTGGCAAAACGGTTCAGGACTGGTGGTTTTTTCTTTTTCTCTTCCTTTCCAGGCCCCCTCTTGCATCTCTGAGCAAAATTCTGCCAGTCTCATGGTCTGCTGGGGTCACAGGAATCTCTGAGAGGCCTTTTGTCATATTTTTGGCTACGCTTAAGCACATGGGCATTATGCTACTGTCATGAGATGCAAACACTCTCTGAGCCAACTCAGATCCACCAGGCCTGACAGCCTGCAGCCTGCTGCTCCCACCCCCAAGTCTCCACGTGGGAAAGGAGCACCAGTCTCCTCACACTCAGCCAGCCAATCTAAGATTTCTATTTTTCCCTTGCCTGAACCTGACTAGGTAGAAGAGGAAGCAGATAGCCAGAAATCTTTCTTCAGGACTCACTCAACATGTACCCTATCATCCTCTAGGAAACTGAATACTTTATCTTGAAATATGATATCTTGGTTCTAACTCACTGATTAATACATTTTTTACAACCTGAGGTTTATTTCTTTGCTTCCTTTTGAGGACTAAGCTAAGAATAGACTTGTTTGTTTGAATTTTTTTTTTTAATTTAAGTTGTGGCATATTCCTTTCCTGAGGCAAAAGCATAGAAGATATTAATTGGCTAAATAAAGAAAGTCTAAGAAAATATATAGAAAATATATGAATTCACATTTCAAAATATCACCCTACCACAATTATTTGTGCAGTTATTCATTTAATACACATCTCTCCTGCTAAAATATAAGCTCTTTTGAAGGCAGTATCATTTTTGTGTTCATCACTCTATGCTCAGCAACTTGTACCATTGCCTGAAACATAGTAAGTGCTCAATAAATATTTATTGAATAAATGAATAATAACATAGTAAAAAAATGCCTAAAGCAATTCTTGTTACTACTAGGTGTTACTTCATCCATCCATAATGCAAAATTAGAATGAGGTAAGATACAGTGAGCCTTTTTGTTTTTTAACCATTGTTGATCTGAGTGAGATTTGAATAATCTGTTGAGAGAAAAATCATCATTTAGATTAATGTAGAATTTCTAGCAAATTGATTAACTTAGAGTAGTTAAAAATTCTTTTTAAGTATAACTCTGCAAGGTACACAAGGTTATAATGAGGAACACAAGACTCATGAAAACTTTGTTCCTAGTTCTGAGTATTAGTTATAAAGTAATTTTCCTTTTTAAAAAGAATGCTGTAAGGTTTTTATTTTATTCTTGGCTCAAAGCAAAATTTCAGGTGAATTCATCTTTGATTCTTTTTTGAGGTGCTCTCTAAAACTCTATTTCAATAACAATTACCTGCTAAAAATTCCTACTCCCTAGGCTGTTGTATCTGAATGTAGTTCTCATTGACCTAAATGGAGAGGAAAAGTGTGTTGCCGAAGGGAGATACTCCAGAGATTCTCTCTTCTGTTGTGTCACAGAAGTGTGTGTGTGTATTTGTGCACATATGTGCTCAAGAGTCACTAACCTACATGTTTTCACCCATGCAAGAAAAAAGAATTCAATTCTGGGAATTAAAAACTAGACTTAATGTATACTTCCAACTGTATAGAACATACAGATTAACAGAGGAGAATATTCCTATTCTACTCAATGATTCCATAGAGATAGACCTGGAAGTTTCTTAAACATTGTTGTGTATGTGTTTGTGTGTGTTTGTGTGTGTGTGTGTGTGTGTGCGCGCTAATCTGTGGGCAATGTGCATGATTAGAATGAATCAAAATATTATAGATAGTAGCAAAATGGAGAGGTCCATTTCCCATAGATCATCTATTGATGGATGGCTGTTTGCTCTGCTTTACTCTGGATCTAATTCATACATTCTTCCCTAGTCATTCAAGCCAACCTTCATTCAATAATGTAAAATGCAACTTTGAAAACACACAATACATATAGAACACACAATAGATAAAACTATAGCTAGTCAGCATGTATTAAGTACTTATGAACGCAGCATATTCTCACTTTTCTTTTTGACAGTTCCTTCATTTAGTTAAAAGTTTTTGTTCTAGAGAGAGAATCAGGTGGAATATGGGAAAGTGAGCTAATAAATTTAATTGGTTGAGGAAATCAATCAAGATGATTTGTCATTTGTAAAATAATTAATGTCTTCACTTCAGCCTAAGGAGATCAACAGAATTACCTTTCTAAATCTTTCTATTGATGTTTATATGTTAAAGATAATTCCGGAGACTTCTTCTTGGTGTTGAGAAAAGTCCATTTTGTTTGTTTTAAATTTTGTATTTTTTTCACATTGATCACTCAAAAGGGAAAAAGATACTAAATATTCATTCATATTTGGAATTTTTTAAATTGTAGAAGCAATCAGCAGTAGTTTAGTAAAAGAAATAAAAATGGATCTACGAATACCACTTCAGTCTTGTGCAATAGAGGAAAGTTTGAGTGATAAAGTTTGAATCTGTTGTGGACTGACATTTCTAAAGCAGTCACCATGAAGCATGACTCAAAAAGCAGATTTTAGCATAGACCACAAAATACATATTTATATTGTAGTTTTTTAAAAAACTATTTCTTATTGTTATGGGAACTTGTCCTGCCTTTGAAATTTTGAAAGAGAAAAAGTAGGAAGAAAGCAATCTTTTTTGAGGCATGTATTTTAGGTGTATGCAGAATTTTTTTTCTTAAATAAGGCTTGTTCCTTTCCTTCTTATATTTCTTTCTTTCATATTAATGTCTATAAGAGTCTTATTATTTCAGGAGTACAACAGAAACTTTTATTTTTTATTTTTAATTAATATATTTTTTTAAATTTTTATCTTTGAAACAGAGTCTTGCTCTGTCCCCCAGGCTGGAGTGCAGTGGTATGATCTTGGCTCACTACAACCTCTGCCTCCTGGGTTCAAGAGACTCTTCTGCCACAGCCTCCTGAGTAGCTAGGACTGCAGGTGCACACCACCACACTGGGCTAATTTTTATTTATTTATTTTTTTAATAAAAACGGGTTTTCACCATGTTGGCTAGGCTGGTCTTGAACTCCTGACCTCAAATCATCTCTCCATCTCGGCCTCCCAGAGTGCTGGGGTTACAGGCATGAGCTACCATGCCAAGCCCAATGGCAACTTTTATCACGACCTGAAAATTGTCACACTGTGGACTGGCTTTGTGAAAAATTAAGAAGATAGTGAATGAACTGGGCTCCTAGTCTTTCCCTTTTTCAGGACATAGGCCTTATCTCTGGAGGGGAACCTTGTCCAATGTTGCCATCAAGATCTGGTATGTCCAATGCTGCTAGTGGATTGAAATCTTGACCAGATTATTCATTACCTTGTTTTTTTCTTTCTACAACTTTTCCTTCTTCTTTCTTTCCTCATCTCTCCCCACCACACTTTCCTCTCCGATTCTACAGGTCTGCAACAACCAGAAACTTAGTCTTCACTAATTATGGCTCCAGGATTCTTGTGATTATTTTACTTTCCATTTAAATAGGATATAATTAATACCATTGAATATTCTGAGCATGTGGCTACTAATGGGTTTCTTTTTGCTCTTGAGAGAGAAACAAATATTGAAACCAGAAGCTGTTGGAGAGATTTGATCTTTTGAAAAAGATATAAAATTTGCTTACTCATATTTATAATTGTGACAAGACCTCTAGGAATCCATGCATTATGTCTTTTATGTGAGGAAAGCAGAGAATGTTTGTTTTGACTGCATTATAACCAAACACTATTAAACAAAGTTGAGTATATTCCTAGCTTCCCTATGCCAGACTAGGTAGTATCTTGTGGCCACTTGAAGGAATTTGGCCTTCACTTGAATGCAGTGGAAGTCACTGACATTTTACTGAGGAGAAGGGGGAAAAGACACAAGTGGTGAATATAGCTAGAATTTTCATTTTGGAAAGAGCAATCTGGATATGGTATGGAAAACCACATTGAATGTGAATGGCTACCTTTGATAGGAGGTTGCTGCAGTAGTCTAAGACAGAGAGGATGAGAGCTTGGACTGGGATGTCGGTAGAGGAAAGAAAAGAACAGAAAGGTGTCAATAAATGTTTTTCTATTATGGAATGGATATGGAGGAGTTTAAGAGAAGGCATGTGCAGAATGCCCCTGGCAACTGACTTGTGCATTGGTGTCCTGAGATGCCCTTCAATGGCGAAGGAGAGTGTTGCTGAGGAAGAAGGCCAGGATAGAAGGAAAACTGTGTGTTTCATTTTGACCTATTGCTTTTGAAATATCCAAGTGAAAGTATCCAGAGAGAAGTGGGATACAAGGCCTGGTGCTCAGAGGAGAGATCTAGACCACAGATATACAACAGTGAAACTTTGTGTGTGGTTCGTCATGGGGAATGAATAAGGCTGCCTAAGAAGAAGATAAAAGGAGGAGAAAAAAGCAACACAACCTGCCCAGGAAAATACAACATTGAAATGATGAAGAAGAAACAAATGTTGAAAAACGAAACCAATGGTCAGGGAGGCGGGAGGAAAAGAAGAAAGTATAATAGTATAAAAGTGGAGGAAAGAGAAGTTACAAGATGGAGGAAAATGAAAATAAAATGTATTACAGGCTCTGCTATCCTGAGGCAAAACTGATTTATATTTTTTGTTTCTTTGTGGGCTTTGTTAGAAGGACTTGCATATGCTACAAAAGCAAAAACAAAAAGCGAAAAAACTAAAATAAAAAAAACTAATGACATTATTCTAACGAGACAGATAAACAGAACTTGGTAGTGGAATCCAATGAGTAAGGCTTGTTCAGTGATTATTAGGTAATTGTGTCACAAATTAGCACCATGGATTTTTCCTTCAAAGCATTTAACATCAGTTGTAACTATAAATTTGCCTTCCTTTCTTCTTTCTCTCTTTTCCCCCTTCCCCTCCCCATGTTTTCTTTCATTGCAGGGACCTTGTCTGGTTTCTACCACTGTGTCCCCAGCATCTAGCATAGTGCCTGCAAAAGTATCCAGAAGGCATTCAATATTTGTAGAGAAACACACAAATGAATCTCAAATATGCAATAAAAAGAGAGAAGCTCTGGATTAGGGGGGAAAAAACAAAAACCTTATACTTCATCCTGCTCCGGATCATTTGGTTTTAAAATATCTAGGGCCTCTCTTTCTTAATACATAAAAGCATATGTCTTGACCAGAAGTATTCCAAGATAACTTCTGGATCCAAAGTTCCATGAGTCTATTTACCTAACTCTGCTAAAATGTTGGGGCAGATCTCTCTGAAAAAAGCTTCTTCTAAAAACATGTTGCCATCCAGGTTGGCTTTATGCTGTGCCAGCGATATTTGAAGAAGGCCAACCCCTTAGAGACATTGCATGATCTCATCCTCTGGCAGCTCACCTATTGGCCATTGCCCTGCCTTGAAGCCAGGAGCCGGTGAGCCTGATAATGTCCCACATCAGCTGTCTTGTTTCCTTTGCTTTTTGCCCCAGGCTTCTGTGCAGCTGCAGAATAAAAGGCCGGGCATGTGCCCCACTGGAAGTGTCTGGAATCCATGGCTTCAATAGACCTTTGACGAGTGGGAAGTTGGAACCATGATGAAATACTGCCCTCTAGACTGATCTCAGGAGGACAATTCTGGGGTGAATTCTATACGGTTTCTCAGAGGGTCCCCGGTAGCACTGAGCCCCCATTTCCACAGTCATATTCAGTTCAATAATATTTTTCCTCCTTTCCTGTTTTGCTTTCTCCAGCGCCCATTGCTAGTTGCTTCCTGGAGGAATTTCCCAAAATAAAAGTGCCTATCCACAAATCCTTCTCCTGAGGCTGCTTTTTTGGAGAATTCAAGTTAAGGAAGATTTCTATTGGATCAGTATATGTACATGAAGTTCACTTTACTCTTCATTCCCAGTGAAAATGCTTTGGCAATTTTGAGTACAATTTAAATATTTTCTTCATTATTTTGCATTTCAGTTTTAGACATGCTTTATCTTTATTCTGTTATAAAACTTTAATTAAGACTTCCAACTCTTATATACTACCTCAGATATCTTCTAGCTTTTATACCAGAGAGATGATAATCTGTAAATAAATATTTAAATGTACTAGAAATTCAGCTATTAAAGGACTATTATGAAGACGTAATCCTTTTGCTGGTAAAAGCAAACTTACTTACTGGCTAGTATATGTATTTTCATGTATTTTAACTCAGATTTTATTTGTGTTATTTCAGGTTTGTATGGATTTTAATCCCTATTGCTGGTGCACTTCACTTGGGCTTGGAAGCTTTTTTCCCATTTTCGTAGTAATGATCCATAAATACTTTGAATAGTATGTACACATAGATATTTCTCTTTTTATTGGGAAAAAAGAAAGTATTTTTCTTGCTGTTCCTGCAACTCATTAATCACAATGCTATATATGCTATTAATTATGCTTAAATGTAGTTTGCTTGTTTAATTTGTGAACCTCCAATAACTCAAGACTTTCAAATTATTTGTCTTCCATGTTGACATTTTGATTACTAAAACATTCCTAAAGCTAGAAGAAGGACTAATAATGTAGGATTAAAACTATGAATCACCTTTTGATTAAACACTCAGCAATCTTTGTTGCTAAATCTTCACTCAGAGACTAACTCTAAGTCTCATTTGAACTTATAGATGTTAATTCCATATTGATCACCATAGCCTGGTAGATGCAATGCATATTCACTCAGCTCATAGTTTTAATTTAAAGTGGATATTGATGCTTTGTAATGAGAACAGTGATCTCTAATCATGCAGCTTCAATAAATAAAGCTGAGGGAACAGTGGGCAGCATTGGTGACAGTGGCATTTGGTGACAATCTGTTCTAAATGTTGAATGTAACATATCTCTTGAGTTCACATGTTCACTCAACTCCATCTCTACTGAAGTAACCTAGACTTCCGTTTATATAGTCTTGATAGTGGTAATAATATATGTGTAAATATAAAGATGTTTATTTTGTAAAATAACTCACACATCTCATCTAATTTGACTTGAAAAATTATCTTTTGATGTGTATGAAACAGTTATAGATATTTCCATTTAGCGTCAGATAAATTGTGTTACTGGTGACCAAATTACAATAACTAACAAATGGGGAATGCAGAAACCAGGTGCTCTGGTTCCTGGGCCAGTGATATTCTAGATTTCCACTGTTCTCTGCTTTATGTTCTCACTACGCATTGTCTCCTCAACTAGTGTCTTCCATACACAAACTCACTCTCTCTCTCACATTCTTCCCTCCTCCACCTGTTTCAATAAATAGTAAGATACACACTGGGAACTAGAACAGCTGAATCTTTTGTATTTTTAGTCAACCTGAATTTTGGATATAATCTTGCTGTGATGGTTAATTTTATGTGTCAGCTTGGTGAGGCTATAGGACCCAGTTATTTAATCAAACATGGAGTGAGGCATTGTCAGATCATGGGTAACATCTATAATCAGTTGACTTTAAGTAAAGGAGACTACCGTGCATAACGTGGTTGGGTCTCATCCAATCATCTGAAGGCCCTAAAAAACCAAACACCACATGTTCTCACTCATAGGTAGGAATTGAACAATGAGAACACATGGACACAGGAAGGGGAATATCACACACCGGGGCCTGTTGTGGGGTGGGGGGAGGGGGGAGGGATAGCATTAGGAGATATACCTAATGTTAAATGACAAGTTAATAGGTGCAGCACACCAACATGGCACATGTATACATATGTAACAAATCTGCACATTGTGCACGTGTACCCTAAAACTTAAAGTATAATATTAAATAAAAAAGAGCAAAAACTGAAGTTTTCCAAAGAAGAAGACATTCTGCCTCAAGACAGTAACAGCAACTCGTGCCTGACTTTCCAACCTGTCAGCCTGCCCTATGGCTTTCAGACTTGCCGGCCTGCCAGCCTCTACAATCCTGTAAGCCAATTCCTTAAAATAAAGCTCCTGATATAACATAGGGTATATATATCCTATTGGTTCTGTTTCCCTGGAGAACTCTGACTGATGCACTTGCCTTACGTTTTCTGAGAATATCAATATAATACAATTTGTACACCACTGACATTGTTATGTTCCTTAAAGGGTCTCTGTACATCTGCTCTTGCCCCTTTCTACTGTCCTTACTCCTTGCCAAAATTTCAATTTTCAATTGTAGTTTTGATACTATAAATTCTCTTCATTTCTTGCATCCTGTCTTAGCAATATTTTCTGTCTTGAAAGTCTTTCTATTTTCTCTATTTTATCTCTAAATTAGTGAGCATGATCTTAATGGATAGAACAAAAAAAAAACTGCCATCAACTGGCTCCCTTCAATCTTCCTATTAATAAACTAAGTAGCACTTTACTTTATACTCAAAATATCTTACATTAGTCACACACACATACACACACACACACAAATACACATAAATGCACGTACACACTGAATTCTAAGGAATATATCTTATTTTTTCATTTGTATAGTGCAACCTATTTATAGTTTCACAGCAGAAGGCTGAGGAGCAAGGAATCACCTACTATAAACTCAATCACAAATACTGATGTTCATTATTAGGGTTTGAATACTTTGATACTTATGGCCTTTGCCTGCTAGTAATGAGGTAGTGAGGCATTTTGGTTGCCTACTGGAATTCTCCTGGATATTCTACATAGAACTGAAATTAAACCTGGTCAAAATTAACTCCCAACTTCTTTTTCCAAACTCTTTTTCTCTTTTATTGTATTCCCCATTGGGTTATTGGTAATATCATCCACTGTTTTCAGTGACTCTTGATTCTACATTTTTCTTCACTATATGTCTCCAATGGGACCCCAAATTCTGCTAATTCCATTCCCTGCTAAATGCACCATGATCTGTTCAGCTTCTATAACTTTTCACACTGATTCATTCAATTAATAAATGTTTATTGAATGTGTACTTTATGTCAGGCATGGTTGTAGGTGCCCACAATACATTAGGGAATAAGGCAAGGAAGTGTACCTTTGTGGAGTTTACGTGTCAAAAGGGTAAGACAGACAATTGACAGTTAATATAATTAATAAATTAATTATGTATGATAGAAGATTTTTTTTCATTAAAGAAAACAGAACAGGGCAAACACCCTGTGAACTGGCTGACTCAATATGTATTTAATAAACATTTTAAAAGTAACAGATTGACTGAAAGCATAGTGTGTTAACCTCTAGGTGTCTTGTGTTCAGTGTCCTAGAAGAAACAAGTTATACTTAAATAAGAACTTAAGTTCATTTATTTGCTTTGGGTGGGTGAAAGTTTTGTTTTGATTTGTTTGCTTTTTGTTTGTCTTTGGTAGAATAGATGAGCAGTCTCAGAAGATGCTGAAAGCATAAAATACCAACTGAGTTGTCTAAATAAGCACAATATTTTGCTTTAATCCTTCCTTCCTTCCTTCCTTCCTTCCTTCCTTCCTTCCTTCCTTCCTTCCTTCCTTCCTTCCTTCCATCCTTCCTTCCCTCCAATTTAGCAAGACTATGTGATTCCTACTGTGATACAGGAACTATGCCTGGCACTGGAGATACAAGGCTTATGAATAAAGAGCCACTGAACTTTAGGCTTTCACAGTCAGGTGGGGAAGCATGCATGTTAAGTCAATGGAAGTCATTAGAGCTCAGTGAGTGGGAGCTAGGGCCCTGGAACTATACTCTCAGGCTCAATTCTAAGTTACTCTGTTTCTGTGGGCCTCATGCTACTTTTCTGCAAAAAAGAAATAATAATAGGACCTACATTCGAAGGTTGTGTTAGGAATAAATTAGTTACAATTTATCAACTGCATAGAAAATACCTGGCATACAGTAATTATTTAATAAATTTTTCAATCTTTTTATTATAAATATAATAACATGAGGAATGTTCAGAGAGAGAAAAACATGCTTGGAGAATATGGAAGCCTATATATGGTTGAACTAAAAGTTAAAAGGTGATTTTATATTATCTTTAAAGGAAGAAGTGAAATCAGATTTCCAGAGTTGAGATGGGGATCAGGTTATTTATGGACTCAAAGATACAGTGAGTTTGGGAAGAGCCCTTGGTGATGAATAGAAGCAAGACATGTTGAAGAGCAAGAACTATGTTTGAAATTTCAAGATAAAACATATTAGAGAATAGAGACAAGGTGGAACTACCTGGGAAATATACATGGCAGGAAAACCAACTCTTTGTAAAGCCATAGAAAGATAGTTGAGTTTGGGCCAGGTGTGGTGGCTCATGCCTGTAATCCCAGCGCTTTGGGAGGCTGAGGGAGGTGGATCCACTTGAGGCCAGGAGTTCAGGATAAGCCTGGCCAACATGGCAAAACCCCATCTCTACTAAAGGTACAAAACATTAGCCAAGCATGGTGGCACACATCTGTCGTCTTAGCTACTCAGGAGGCTGAGGCAGGAGAATTGCTTGAACCTAGGAAGTGGAGGTTGCGGTGAGCCAAGATTGCACCACTTAACTCCTGCCTAGGTGACAGAGCAAGACTCTGTCTTAAAAAAAAGAAAGAAAGAAAGAAAGAAAAAAGTTGAGTTTTTACTTTAGTAGTTAAGCTAGAACTTCAGTATTAGTGGATTATTTTTGGCAAATAGTTGTTGTTTGCATCTTAAATTGTAACTGTTAACTTCAAAGTGCTAGTCATTGTTTGGGACTTGAGAAACTTGAAACTTTGTAATTTAAAAATTACACCATCCTTAGCAGATTTTTATGTTTATTCTATGTCCTATGTTTCCCTAAATATAAAATGAACTTGAGTACTATGAAATCATTTATATTCTCATCATTTTAATCTTCTTTCTAGTTAATATTTTAAACTACAGAATTTCATATGTTATGATTTTTGCTTGGCAGATTTTTTTTCAGGTTATACCTAAATATGAGTTCATGAACACTTTTATGTGATGTATACATGTTAACACTAATTTCAATTAGATAATATATTACATTGCTTCTCATTGTTAATGTGTAATGGAAAGATAATATTTTTTCCTAAAAATAAAAAGAATAGCAATTTACTTCCTGACATAAAGTAATCTTAATATATACTCATACACAAAGTCCATGAAGGTGTGTATTTATCTTCAAAGAAAAAAATGACTTAGAAAAAAGGGCAAACTTGCTTTAAAATATTGATTTTAAATCAATATTGCATGACATCTTTTTATCTACTGTCTGGAAGAAATAACACATTAAACTTTTTATTAAAAGTAAGTTAGAGTAACTGAGAACATTTTCAATTGCATAATAAAGATTTGTGTCAGACATAAACAATCACTTTCTGTGAGCTCTGCTCTGACATTGAACAAATTCAGAATGACATTCACTATCCAACAAGATTTTTCCTTCTGAAAACACAGCCCACTAAGAATCTCCAAACCACTCCGCCTCCTTGGTTTCTGTATAAAGCACCAGGCAAACTTGAAAAAAAATAAACTGACTGGCTAGGGCTTGGTAAGGAAGCCTGAACAATGGGGAGGCTTAAGCAGAATTTTCCGAGAAGCCTATAGCTGCCAAACCAGGCCTTCAGAACCTGCCCTTTTCTGGCCAGGATGGAGTAGCAGAGGAAGAGGATAATCCTAGAGCAAGCAGACCACATCCCCAAGCTCTACATAGTAGTGTAACAACATTCATTCACTCATTCATTCCACTTATGCAACAAATCTTTGCATGCTAGGCATTGTTCTTGGTGCTAGAATACGATGGTGTTCCTGCCCTCAGTCTAGCTCAGAAGACAGATAAAATAACTAATAAATACGTGACAAGTCAGGTAGCAATGTATCCTGTGGAAAAAGCTAAAATAGAAGGAGAAAAGGGAACATTGGGGTGGGTTTAGACTTGCCAGGTAAAATACAGGACACCCAGTTAAATCTGAATTCCAAATAAATCCAGGTAATTTTTTTAGTGTAAGTATGTCCAAAACATTATTTGGAGCATTCTTATATAAAAAATGGCATATTTGTTGTCCATCTGAAATTCAAATATAACTGGGCACCCTTCCTCCCACCCAGGACCCTACATCTGTGAATCTTATTTGGGTTAGAAGAGGGAGAAGGATTTTTATCTTTATATTGAGTAGTCAATGAGGTCTTCTGATGATATGATCAAAAGAAGGTACCTAAAATAAGTAAGGGAGTGATCCATGCAAATATTTGGAGGAGGAATATTCAGTAGAGGGAAAAGCATGCGAGTGAAAACACCCTGAAGCCTTGCAAGTTACAATTATAATTTAAGTTGTATTCACAGTTGTGTTCCCAAACAAAGCATGCATAAAGTCCGATTGTCAAACATCTAGTGTGGAGTCTAGATGTGGCTAAAGAGTTGATTTTTAGACCCATCAAGTCACCCAGAAATCCCCTTCTGATTCTGCAGAGTGTCTGTTCTTTAGCGAGAGGAACCACTGATGCTTGCAACTGACTTCTGAGTAACTACTCAGAGAAACTACTCAATGGAGTAGTTCTCAATGGAGTCCAGGCAAAAGGACTTTGCGAACTGTAAAAATACCACCTGTGTTGAGCCTGAAGACCTTTAGTGTCTGGGTTTTATTTTTTAAAAAAAGTCTGATGCTGAGTTGCTTATCTGTTTCTTTCCAAATGCCCAGAACCTCACAAGTTAGTCGGCAAAATTGGACGGAAAATTTGGCCAGAATTCTAGAACATCCAATCCTGGTGCTTGCCAGAAATATCAAAAGAGTAGTCTTTCTTGTGGTACTTAGGATCTTCTGACTTCAGGTCCAGTTAAATACCAGGCACTTTCTTTTTCCTTTCTGGGTGGGAGAGTATGAAAGGGTATGAAAAAACGCAATACCTAAGGTAGGTTCTGAGAAGAAAATATATCTCAGCATTTAAAATTTTTCCTATTTTTAGATCCTTGATTGAAAGTAATGTAAACTAATGAGTTTGAATGTTTTTCTTTTGAAGTAAAAAGAGCTGCATAGAAAAGAAAGTGGTGCCTATCTCTGTGCCAAGACCAAAGAGTAATTTTGTGTCCTGGCCATTCAAGTTGTGGGTTGCTTTTCCACAACTATGCCTCCACTGCTATTACTTAGTCTGCTCAGAGCTCTATGCTGACTGGTGCCCACATAATCTAATAATGATCCAGATGCTCCTGCCGTGTATGTACTCTTAGATGGTGACTTTGGAGGAGATTTAACTCTTTCATGATCCTAGGAGGCAATGGCATGGAAAAGACTAGACAGTTACCTAACATCCGGAAATTAATTCAGCTTGCAAACTACTCTATGTGCAAAAAGGAACGGAGTTAACAATAACAGAAAACCAAGAAAGAGTAGTGGCTTAGAAAGATTTCTTTTTTTAATGTTTTGGGGTACTGAAAATTATATTCAAATTATCAGGGATTTATTGGAGACCGTTAATTAAATAAAGACAACACAGTTTGTCAGAGATAAGATATCTCCATGTTGTGTGGAGTGATATGTATTCAGAGTTCAGTATCTAGTAGGAAATGTCACTTGGCTAGATGATGGCCCCAGGAACAAGGTTTTGCCTTTCGATTTTGAAGAATCTAAAAGGTATCCAAAATGATGTGTAACTAGACAATTCCTCTTTAACCAGACATCTGTGGACACCTCAGGAATAATAAGTATTCCAGAAATATAGAGAATGAATTATGCTTCAGGATTTTGCTCCAGATATGTCTTCTTAGGGTGTCAATGTTGGTTGAGCTTGTTTAATCATCACTCTTTGTGGAATCCAACTCATAATTATAGAAGGGAGAGTAGAAAGCTTCACTGTGAAAGATGGCAGATCCTTAGTTTGACAATTTACTTATTTGCTTATTTAAAATAGATTTTTATAATTTTAACAAAATATATGGAAATATTAGTGAGTATCCCTAAAATATATAGAATAAAATAAAAATGTATTCCCATTAACTATAGGTGACAACATTACTGATGTTTTTTAAGTTTTTTCTATCTTTTTAAAAAAACTGTACCTATATATTAATTAGTGCTTCATTTTCCTATAAAATTGCATAATCCTCTACATATAGTTTTGCTTTCTGCTCTTTTGCACTTCACGTTATACTTTGCATGGATTTCATGCTATTAAGTGTTCTTAAAAACCTGTTTTTCAGAGGTTACACATTATTCTGTTATATGATAAACCATAATTTATTAAATCATTTTATATTTCAGGTAGTAATGATGACTCCAAATTTCTACTATTATAAATGACTATTCAGCAAACAACATTATACATAAAATTTTACATAAATTTCTTGAAATTTATTTTAGAAGTTTTTTTTCTGATGTAATTCTCAGATCAAAATATGTAGTCAATTTTAAGATTTGTGCTACATATTGACAAATTGCTTTCCAGGAACATTTGTTCATTGCAAGATTTTATAGCAAGTAATCGTGTGTGTGCATTTTAAGCCTTTTTTCTAGTCTGTTTTCTTTGCTTTTTTCTTGTTGGGACTTTGATGTTTTATAAGGTTTGTATTTGTCTTCCAGTGATTAGCTTTAAAATTATGCCTCACTGTAAGACCCTTAGTCCCCTGTTCTTTTAGATGACATAGTGTGTACATATTTTTTATATACATTACTATGGATGCTCTGTTGTCCATTGATGCCTAAAAAGCGATCCTAAAACTTAGTGTCATAGAACAACAATATTTTATATCTCACAATTTAGGGAGTAAGAATTCAGATAGGGCTCAGCTGGGCAATTCTTCAGCTCCATATTTCATTAACTTATCACTTGTTGGTGTTCAGCTGCTAGCTTGGCTGGTCCAAAGGTTTCAAAATAGTTTAACTTGTATGTTGGTGGCTTGGTGGGGGCGGGCCAATAAATTAAGCTCAGCTGGGACCCTCTTCCTTCCCATGTGGTCTCAGGGCCTTTCCAGGTGGTATCTTCAGCAGGGTATTCAACCTTACCATATGGCAGCTCATGGCTCAAAAAGGGGTATTACAAGGAGACTGGGTGAGCTCTAAGGGGCTTCTTATGACCTAGCCTCAGCCTCAGAAGTAGTTGAATTTACTTGCATTTGATTCAGTAAGCAAACACTAGGGTCAGCCCTGATTTAAGTGGAGAGGAATTATACTTGAAAGAGAAGTCTAGAAAATAATTTGTGGCTATCTTTAATCTACACCTTCCATCTTCTGGCCATGAATTGTTTACTTTCTCTAACATATAAAATACTTTCATCTCCTCCCAAAGTCTGCAAAAGTTTCATTCTCTTATGGCATCAGCTGGTAGTCCAGAATTTTGTCAATTAAATCAGGACCATGTACTCTCTGCACTCTTGCTTCCCCCTGCCACAATATGCAGGGTTGGGATAGAGATAGAGTTATTACAACAAATAATCCAGTTGTATAAGGTTCACAGCAATTTCTGAAATCCAGCATGGTTTGGGGCTTGTTGACTCCCTAAAAATGATTCTCCATGAGTCTTGGCTATACCCTCTGGGTTCCTGATTCTTCCCTTTGAGTTATCCTTTCTTTTCCAATAGAAATTACCAATATTTACATCTACATGTTAATAGCTTTCTCAACCAGCTCTGTAGCTGTAGAAGTTTTGAGGTTCAAAGCCCTCTTATTTTGTACAATTTCTGTCCATTTTAGTCTAACCCAATGTAATTAATTTAAAAAGTTTTTGATTTTTTTTCTTTTTTAATTTTTTTGAAACAGGGTCTTGCCATATTGCCCAGGCTGGTCTTGAACTTGTGGCCTCAAGCAATTCTCCCACCTCAGCTTCTTGAGTAGCTGGGATTACAGGCCTCAGCTCCTGTTCCTGGCTCAGTTTTTGGTTTCTTAGTTATCACTGAATAATATACTCCTTTAGAGAAAAGCCATGTCTACAAATCTCTTTGAGATTAACCCTTTATCTTAGGCTCCCTATGAGACTGCTGAGTGAAAACACCCTAAAACCTCTTAGAAACTTCACTGTCTACTGATGAACGTTTTCTTAGTATGACCCCTTCTGTAGCCCATGCTTTCCTCAGAACCTAATCCACTACATCAGTGCTTTTACATTCATTCCCATGCTCTGTAGTGTCCTCATGGCCACTATCACCAAAGAATACATAGTTCCTATATAGAAGGTGTACATTTTTTTTCTGGCACTTGCTAAGTTTCCCTACCACTAGCTATAACCCCCAACATGCCACCCCATTTTTCATAGTCTACTGCTGCTTCTGTTGCCTCTTTCCGCAGGGATTTCTGAAAGGCTTTGTCAGCCTCAGCTGCTTTAATCAACACTTACACAATTTGAAATTTATCTTGCTATTTCCCTGGAAATGGAGTTCACGAATTTTGTTGTTGCTGTTTTCCTTACTGCGTAGAGTCCAAGAGAGGAGAGAAGACTCAGATCTAACCTGCTACCATCTTACTACCAGAATTAAAATGAAATTATTTTAATATTCTTATATATTTTTTAAAATGATCCCTCTTAGGGATGTGTGTCAGAATGATAAGGGGTAAAAAAGAACATTTTGAAACAGCCGATTTGATATTACCTTAATTTGTATGAACACAATTTATTGAGGCCACTTGGGTATCACAATTTTTATTAACAAGTAATATGTCAAATGAGACACCCCATCGTTCATTTCAGTAATGAGTTCAGATGGGGGTGAGAGTTAGAGATAAGATGAGAAAGTATATTGCATATATTAATGAGTAAAGTGGAAAGGAGGAAAAGGAGATTGGCTAAGAGGAGGGGAACAATGTCTAACAGCTAGTTTATAAGAAGTGACAAAATGAACTGAAGTCAAAGCAACTAAATGGAGAAGGCTGTCTGAATGGACTTCTCAATGAATATGACATTAATGTCGGAGGAAAAGTCCACAGTGTATTTACACTGAAAGAAGCATGCATGTATTATAAAATCCAACATAAAAGTTAAATGAAGTTTTAAGTCAAAATAAAAGATTCTATCTGGAATTCTCTTCAACCTGATCACATAGCTGGCTCTCATCATTCAATTCTCAGGTTAAATGTCACCTGTTGAGGAAAGACTCTGAATTCCCAACCCAAAGTACTCCCTAAATCTCCACCTCATTAGCCCATTTTATTCATAATAGCACATTTCACTCCGTTTTCAGTTTATTTACTTTTCATTTTTATGATCCTTTGTTCCATTCATCCCAATCAATTATCAGCTCCATTACAATGATATCTTCCAGATCTTTTCAACGCTATTTTCTCTACATCTGGACAGATCCTGGTGCCTAGTAGGACCACAATAACATTTTGTTTGTGAATAATAGAGACGGCATGGAAATTTCAGCCTGTCAACAGCATGCCACAGGGGTTTCCACTTGCAGGGATCTAGTCCTTCTTTTCTGCTCTTAGGCATACTTAGATGCAGGTGGGAGTTTGTTCCAACAAATTGGTTATTTATAATATATAAGAAGCTAAAGACTGTATCATTTTTCTGTTGCATTGGATCATCTCATCAGCACTCATTAATTTTGAGTTTGTAAGGTATGTATTTTGTTTCCAGTGTGGTCTAGTCATAGAGAGTTTTATCTCCTACTTTCCAAATGTTGTTTGTTTCTTATAAATGGTTTCACTGGCTGTTTAATTAGCCAGGGCCTTCCTAACATTATTATGCAGTGATAATGGTGAAAGAGAATTCTTTCACCATTGGTGATGAGAATGGTGATGAGAATTCTTCCCTTGTTCCTGAATTTAATGAGAATATCTCTAGTAATTTCACAATAAGGTGAGGCTGATGAATGATTTAAGAGCTCTTCTATGTCATGGTTAATGAGTAATAGGATTTCATTTTATCCAATCAGATGTTTTCATAATAGTGCTGGTATTTGGTGATTTCACATCTATGTAACTGAGATAAATGCATAATTTCCTTATTTTCTTGTTATACTTATCAAATTTTGATACCATATATTTAATTTTTAAAATTAAAAAACTAGCCAGGCGGGTTGTTGAAGCCTGTAATCCCAGCACTTTGAGGCTAAGGTGGGCAGATGGGTTGAGTCCAAGAGTTTGAGACCAACCTGGGCAACATGGCAAAACTCCGTCTTTACAAAAAACACAAAAATTAGCTGGGCTTGGGGGCACATGCCTGCAGCCCCAGCTACTTGGGAGGCTAAGGTGAGACCACCGGTTGAGCTCAGGAGTTTGAGGCTGCAGTGAGCCATGATTGCACCACTGCACTCCAGCCTGGGCAACAAAGAACCACCCTGTCTCAAAGAATGAATAAGTAAAAATTCACTTTAATTTAATTTAAAAACTACTGTTTATTATTTTTAGATCCTAGAATAAGTAATATAAGGCCGGTAATTTTGTTCGTTGAACACTTAAAAGCAAAAGCTCATTAGTTAAAATAAAATACCATTTTGGCTTAGAGCCATGTTTGGAGATAATTTTTTTTTGTAACATATCCAATTAATTCAATGTTTACTTGTATATATGGATTGTCTAATTAAACTTGGTACAATTGATAAATGTATATTTTATCAGAAAATTGCCCAATTCATCCAACTTATCAAACTAATTAGAATTAGGCATTTTAATCTTCCATGACCATCTTTATCAAATGATTATGTTAAAAAGTGTAGTTGTTAGGAGCACAGGTTTTGGAGTAAGGGTGAGAGGACTCTTCTTTGAAATTCCAGCACTGATACATAAGAAGCTTTGCTGTAATGGCAAGTGAAACCCCCAATTTCAGTGACCACATTTATTAAAAAAAAAAAAAAGAAAGAAACACTTTAGAGTTTTGTTTTAAGGATTAACTGAAATAATAGGCAATGCTTAAGTGTAGTGTCTGCTACAGAAAAAGTACACAATACATCACAGGTATTTATCATTATAATTTGAATCATTGTTTCTTTCTGGGTTTTATTTGCCGGGAATTTTTCTCTTCTTTTATACTTCTTGAATTTATTTAATATTTACATTATCTTTTTCTTTTATAATAAATCATTTTCTACTTTTATCTTCACTATTATCTTTCTTCTATTTCCCTTAAGTGGGTTTTCTTTTTCTAACTTCTTGAATTGAACTCTTGGTTTATTTTCATTTTTTTCTTATTTAATTGCAAAAATATTACAAGGCTGTGATTTTGTCTCTTCATACCACCTTGGCTGCATCTCATAAAAGTTAAAATGTAATATACTAATTTTTATTATTTTCTAAATTATCTTTAACTGTTAACTTTTATTTCTTTTTTGGTCTGAACAAAGTTATTTAGAAAAATTATAGCAACTTTTCTAATGGTTAGAGTTTTTGCTTGTTTTGTTTCTTTAGCCTTTTATTATTATTTCTTATATTATTTTATGTTAGTCAGACAATGTACCCTAAATAATTTCTGCATTGTGGAATATACTAAAATATTTTCCAAAACTCTACATGCCTATTTTTTCTGCATGTTTTATAAATATGATATATTCTATATTCTTTGTAGAGTTTATAGTGAAAGTACATTTTTAAATTTAATTTAATTATATATATATATATATATATATATATATATATATTTTTTTTTTTTTTTTTTTTTTTTTTTCCTTGAGACAGGGTCTTCCTCTGCCACCCAGGCTGGAGTGTGCAGCAGCATGACCGTGGCTTACTGCAGCTTCAACCTCTCAGGATTAGGTAATCCTCTTACTTTGGCCTCCCAAGTAGCAGGGACTACACATGTGTATTACCATGCATGGCTAATTTTTTGCCTTTTTTGTAGATATAGGATATTGCCATGTTGTTCGGCTGCTCTCAAGCTCCTGGGTGCAAGCAATCCATTTACCTTGGCCTCCCAAAGTGCTGAGATTACAGGTGTGAGCCACTGTGCCCAGTTGAAAGTATATTTGTTAATTTAACTGTATTAGTTAATTTTCAAATGGTCTCCATTTTTCTCTTGATCTACTAGAGGCATCAATAACAGAACAGTGTTAGTCCTCTATAAAAAACTGTTTCTGTACATTTTTAACATTATGTATTTGATTCCATTTTCTTAGCCTATAAAGATTTGTGGTGACCTTTTCACTACTTTATTTGAAAGTATACTTTTTCTGTATAAATGGCTTTTTGTAATTGGATTGCTTTTCCTGCAATATGCTTTTGGTTTAAATTAATATTTTCATCTCTACAATTGAACAAATGGACAACTTTTTCTGGGTAAAAATAAAAGATATCTGAAGAGACAGGAAAGATCAAAGTCCATCATGATACATTTAGAGCAGAGTAACTGCCCTTGTTCTCTTCTGAAGGGAACATCTTTGCCTAAAGAATTTTCTGCTGACATGCAGTTGATAACATGCAACATTAGCATGAAAAGTTGTGAGAAGGAAGGATTTGCTCTTGACTAGTTAAGAAATAGGCTTAACAATTCACAAATTTCTTATGAGATTAGACTTTAATACCTAATAGTCACCTTTGTCAAGGAAAATATATTTGACACTGTGGGAAATAATTGCAATTTATGGAAATGTTTTGAACCAAGGAAAGAAAAATAAAAAAGATTGCTAATCAGAGAATGGTTAATATGAAGTTGACTCACTGTACTGGAGGGAAGAGGGATCTTGACCAGCTCATCCTCTGGTCTTTCTCTCAGACAAGACTTTGTTTGGCTCCCTAAAGTCATACTTCATCATCACAATTAAAATTCTTTTTACATAACACTTTAAAAGAGAGACTGCAGTTCATCCCACAGATACCTTTTCACAACTATCATTTTTAGATATCTAACTACATTTACGAATCCTTGCTTAATGCTTTTTTATTTGTTCCTATCTTCTTTTTCCAGTCACAGATGGTAGAGGACAGGACTGTCTTGAGTTTAGTTTGCTGTGTAGTAGGCTTAGCACAGAAACATGCTGTAAAGTCTATCATGATGTGTTGCTGTCTCCTTTTACAAATATTATCCTTCCATAACTCTTCTCACTTTTCCTCCCAAAATGAGCAGAATAATTGATGGTAGTCCAAGTGTTAGGTAAAAAGGTAACCTATAAAGGACAGAGAAGTTTTCACTTTTCCTTTAAATCTTCAATCCTGAGCCAAAATTATTTAAAAACTGTATTTGACAAGGCCATAATATAAATATAGTTTGAAATATTTTCATAAAATTTGCAATTGCATAGTTAATTGGGCGAGAGGGAGTAGCAGACAGTTAGGTTAGATGTAAGTTGCTGTATCATCTCATCAAAGAAATCTAAGTAGCCTCTTTGTCTCAATCTATCCATTAATTTTCAAATACATTTCAACCACTTCAGAATCTACTGATTACTGAATGAGCTATTATCTATGTAGTCTGATTTTGGTGGGGGTGGGGAGGGCGCTTAAAAGGAAAATTGTCTTGAACATGCAGTACCTGGTAGAGGTTTGAATAAAACAAGGCCAAAATATACTGGCTCTATCTCAGGACATCCAGGATCCCTGAATAGTCTGTAATTAAGGAGGAGTTGGAGGAGTGGTGCTTGCATTATGTAAAGGAGGGATACATAATTGAATTAAGCAGTGGAGGAAGGGGAAGAAAACAAAGATCAAAGCCAAGTAACATCAGTTCCTGTTCTTGGCAATGACATTTATGATGAAAAAATTTCTTTTGTTATTTTGCATATTATACCACTCTTCTTCAAATGAATACACTACTGCAAAATTTGTAATTTACACAAAGTTCTTTTGAATATTTGAATGTTAAAGGAAAGCTTTACCAGGTTTAGCTTTAGGAGGTCTAGAAATCTCTCCTAATACTTCCTGTGTGGGCCTTTATGTTGGAACATGAAAGCAGCTGACAATGTAAAGAGAAAGAAAACCCTTAAGATTGAACATAGTTACTGGTGTCCCACACATAAACCGTGCAGTTGGGAGTAGCCTCTGGGGGCCATTTCCAGGGAAAGCCTCACCTGGAGAGGTCAGAACCTCAGGATTTTAAAAGCAAGGGGCATGCTTCATTACAATGTGGGCTGGAGGTGAGCAAACATCCCATCACTCTGTAGAGAGGCTGTTTCAAGGCTCACCCAAGTGTTCAGACATAAATACACAAGCAGGAGGCCCTTTAGAAAGAGTTCAGACAAGTTATATACTACCTGAATGTGAGCCAGGCCAAACTGCTCGGGCCTGAATTAAAAGGAAACAGTTTATAGGCTGTAGGGCCACTTACCAATCCATCTTTTTCACTGGGGAGAAAAAAAATCCCTTTTGCAGAGGTGATGAAAACCTGTATTAAAAGGTGACACAGAAAGAAAAAAAAGGGCTAAGCCAATTGGTTAAGTATTTCAAAAAATGAGAAAAAAAAAACAACAACAACATGATTTTTAAACTATTTAAGTGGAAAGGGCAAAAAGGGAAGAATAATTATGGTACATTCTATGATTAGTAGTTCCAGGCCAAATAATAATGACAGCAAAGAACACTTAGAAAAATTTAAGAATTATGTTATTTTTAAGTAGACATCTGTTTTTATGATAGCTACATATATGAATATGTTGATGAACCCTTTACAATAGCGTGAGATGTGAGGTTTGTAAAATTCAAACGCAGCCAATTAAGTAGGCCCATAGCTAAAGCCAATGCTCTTGAAAAGTCTAGAAAGGAGAAGTCTAGCCAAAGCACAATTTATGAATTGGTAATTGCTCTGTTCTATTATGGATATTAGTCTGTAAATGACCTTTGACATACTTCAGGCTCTCTTATGCACACAAGCCCATGGGCACTTGCAGATACATGCACACCTCAATGTAGATCATAAATGTTTATTACCATTGCCCATTATAGATTGAAAATAGAATGCACAATAATACACATAGAGTATCATATTAGTGGTCTTTGAAAAGTGCCCATAAAGGACATATCTTATTCTTTTGCATTAATGTAAAACATATAAGAGGAATTGCTACATGGTGCTGTGACCAGAAGGGATGGAAATGTGTCACCCCGATCCCCCTACAAGATAGGACTTGTTGACTCAATTGCTGGAAGACAGCCTCCATTAGTCAGCTCCTCCAGGGTTTCCAAAGTTTTATGTGAGCTGCGTGTTCCAAGACATGTTCTTGCCCCACCCTACTCCTTGCCCTGATACAATGATTGATTGAGGCGGATGTAAATATCCATCATATTCTGCCTAAGGCAGGAGAACTCTGAAGGGCTCTATATGCACCTGAGCTTTTGGCCAAGGTTTTATTAGACCTCCATGGGTGTTCAATTTCTCCCTCTGACCAATGCTACCTCTTATTCTGATGTACTTGACTTATCAAAATCATTCTTAGTGCCTTCTTCCAAGAAACCTGGAATATGGTCCTGGAAATAAGACCATATTAAAAGGATTTCAGTAAGTATTTTGTGCATCAAATTTATTTTATAAGTTGGGCAATGAAATTACAAAAGGAAGACAACCTGCTTAGGTTGAATAGTGTGTGACACATTAGGTATCAGGGCTATTTTCTAGTCTTTTGATTACCACTCACTCTTTTGATTGTGAGACTTATCAGGGACATTCGATGAGAATGCATAACATTGTAAGTTGTATTCAATTAGCAAGTGAAAATCTAGGCTATCAAGTAACTATAGTTGCATATTAAAATTATAGACAGGGTAACTAATAAACTAGAACATAGAGGCATATTAAATAACTTGAGTCACCACTGGCTCTATCTTTCTCTACATTTTCAGTAGCATTATGTAGCTAGAAGGGATCTTGGAGAACATGTAGCTCAAGTCTTTCAATGGTACACAAGCAGAACCTGAAAGTGTATGATCTCAGAGTTAAACATGAAAAGTAGACAAGATACTTTGATAAGAAATAGATAAACCCAAAGACAGTCAATGCATTACCTGGTATTTGGGGGGTAGGTATGGAGTTAAGGACAATACAAGGTATTACCTTCAGGTGGGTTCATCAGTTTTTTAGATAACGATTGAATACACATTTACTTCCCTTAACATGGAAAAAGGGCAGATGAAACTACATGACATGTCCTGTTGTTATCTTAGTTTCATGTATTTCAAACCTTTAAATTGAGTCAAATATAATCATTGAGATCATGGATGTTTATTTGGTATCCAGTATGTGCTAGGAAATGTTCTAGGTGCTGGGAATACGGTGATAAGTAAACTCCTAAAGTCTCTGACCTCATGGAGCTTATATTCTGATAGAAGATACATGATAATTAAGTAAGCAAGTAAGTAAATAAATGTAGCTCATATATATTAAAATGTCAAGTATGTTTTAGCAATAAAAATGAAGTAAGGTAAAAGGATAGTGTATTAGTGAAGGTTCTCTAGAGAAGCAGAACCAATGGGAAATGTAGATAGATGGATAAATGGATACATAGATGGATAGATGGATGGAAGGATGGGGTGGATGGATGGATAGACAGATAGATGATAGATAAATGGATGGATGTACACACACAGATATATAGAAAGAGATTTATTATCAATGAAGGATTAGCTCAGAAGCCTATAGAGGCTGAGAAATCCTATGATCTGCTGTCTGCAAGCTGGAGGCCCAGGAAAGCCAGTGGTGCAGTTCCAGTTCAAGCCTAGAGGCCTGAGAACCGAGAGAGCCAAGAGATATAGGTTCCAGTCTAAATTCAAAGGCCTGAGAACTGGGGGCCAATGATATAAGTCCCAGTCAGGTTCTGAAGGCCCAAGAACCAGGGTTGCTAATATCCAAGGGCAGAAGGAAATGGATGTCCCAGTTTGAGCAAAGAGAAAAAATTTGTCCTGTCTCCACTTTTTTGTTCTACTGGGGCCCTCCACAGAATGGACGATGCCCATACCCATTGGTGAGGGTGATCTTCCTTACTCAGTTTACCAAATCAAAAGCCACTCTCTTTGGGAAACACCCTCAAAGACACACCCAGAATTAATGTTTTATGAGCTTCTTGGCATCCCTTAGATCACTCAAGTTGATACATGCAATTTACCATTACAGCCAGGTGTGGTGGCTCACACCTGTAGTCCCAGCACTTTGGGAGGCCAAGGCAGGAGGATTGCTGAAACCCAGGACGTTGAGGCTGCAATGAACCAGGATCGTGCCAAGGCACTCCAGCCTGAGTGACAGAGCAAGACTGTCTCCACCTCCAAAAAAATACTTAACCATTACAGACATTGACATGGCAGAATATTCTAGGTGGGATTGTTAAAAGTTATACTCTGGAAGATTAAATTTGGGTAGAAAGGTGGTTGAGGAAAGAAAGTGAGCCATGCAAATATCTGGAATACAAGTATTCCAAACAGAAAGTAAAAGCCCTGATATAGGAAGGGTTTTGGGGTGTAGAGGAATTTGAAGGCAAGGGTTGTTGGAGTGCAGTGAGTGAGTTGAAGTATGATAGGAAATTAAGTCAGAGTGGTTGTCAGAATCTCATGACTTAGAAGCCATGATAAGGATTTCAAATTTTATTCTAAGTATAATGGGAAGGCATTGGAAGGTTGAGGGTAGGAACATGATATAATGTATCTTTTAGAAAGATCACAGACAACTGTGTGGAGGCCAAATTATAGAGAGTAAAAATATCATAGAAGCAAGTAGTATGAGGAGTACTGAGAGACTATTGCAGTAGCACAGAAAAATGATGGTACTGGCTTTGCTTATGGTGATAGCCACGGAGATGATAAGTTGTTGAATTTTAAATATGTTTTGATTAGGAACTGACAGTTTTGCTGTTGATTTGGATTTGGGGTGTGAGAGAAGGAGAGCAGTCAACGATGACTCTCAGGTTGTTTTTTTTTTTTCTGAGCAACTGAGTAGATGATTGTTCATTTACTTAGATGGTGGCCACTATGGGAAGAAATCAATTGGTGCCATAAGTAAGCATTGAACTATTGCCAATGGTTCATCTGTGGCATGATTATGTTTTCAGATCTCTCCTGATCCAGTTATGGCTCTACTTTTGCTTATTAGTGCTCCACCATTTAGTTGGGGTCAAAACAAGTACAAAACAAGAATCTGACATGCCAGAGTGCCAAAAGAGAGAGAGAAAAAAGGAGAACTGGAAAGCATAAGATTGTAGGATTGAGAAGCAATGATTATGGTGTTTGTCTTTTTTTTTTTCTGGAATAGTTGCAACAAAGCATACGAGATGTTCTGCCCTTCTATAAGGAATGTAGAAAATATAATACAAGGGTTCTTTTAAATTCTATAATGTTCCCCATTTTTATTGATATTTTCCTAAAATGAAATAGAAATGAATAATGCAAATAACTTTTCTGATTGCAATTTTCATTTCTATTCCTCAAAATACAGTGCTTCACCCACAGCTGTATAATATTCATTGGCAAAATAAACAAATATAAGAAAATTTTCTGATTACCCTCTTCTCCTCACAGCATTTCCCTGATGTCTTTGGTAAAGGACTGCTTTATCTATGGCTTCATGTATGTTTGTGAGAAGGAATGTTGGTTGCAAGTATTTGAAAGTTGTGTGTTTACATTTAAATTTCCTTCGAAATTTCAGTCACACTACTTATGCTAGTTTATCTCAAAAAATACTCATAAGGTCACAGATATTGCCTCAGCTAAGATCCTCTGAGAATTTGAAGCCTCACTGGGTCTCAATGCCAAGAGAGTAATATTTGAATAGTTGATGTTGACTAATTCTACTACCTACCATACCATCTTTCATCCAACCAGCAACAAATTCCTAAAAAATACATTCTTTGCCAGTTCTGCCAAGATAAATATGCTTTTGCCTTAGGAAAGTTTTGCCAAAAGCAGGACATGTTGGTGAGAAGCCCTTATCAAAATCATCATCCCATTATTATAATCATTATCATCATCACATTATCATTGTCATCATGTCATTATCTTGGGGTGGGAGGCAAGAAAAGCTTGTGATAAGATGATACATTTCTTAGACACACAGAGTATTTCTACTCTGTTTTCCACACGTCTCATAGACTCTGTGCCTTGAGATCTTTTAATATGCATGTTCAGAGACTTGTGGTTATAATAAAGCGAAACTTAATTGATGTGCTGCAGTAATATGTAGCTCCAACTAACTCTTATAAAGTGACAGCCCATCTACAGAGAAAAATTCCAATCCTTAATTATTATTAATATAGCTATCTACGTGATTTAGCTCTGAAGCCATTTCAATGGGCATTGCATTTTCAATATAGGTCAATTAATTTCGTATTAGTTGCTGTTATTATGTTGCCCCAATTGACCTATTTCATATTTGCAAGGCTCCACTGTAGAGGAGAAAAAGACAACAGAGCAAACCTTTCCTTTTAAGCTGCTGTAATGTCCCATCTTTCTGGAATTGCATTCAGAGTAAGGATTTTGCATGAAAGGGTTTCAGGAAGTTACAAAACTCCTTTACATGGCCTGTTGGATCTGTGTACAATTTCTAGCACTACCCAGAATAAATACCAGGAGACTGGTGTGGTTTATAGAAGAGTTTATAGAGAAAAAAAATCCACCCACCAGCTCCCAAGCTGAGGATTACAACCAGGTCCCTGCTGCCAAGTTCTGTGTTTAGGTAAAGCATGAGAAAATCTGCCATTTTTTTTTAAATCACAAAAGGGTTTCTATAGATGGAGCGGTAAGAAGCTGACAGCTTTTTATGCATAAAAGGCAGCTGTTCCTTCTCAGGTAATATTATTAATAAACCCTAAGGTAATGTTTGCTCTGAAATATGTCTAATTGAAATAATTTACTCTGACCCTTGGAGGATTATGAAACTGTTTTCATCATGTTCACACACAGCAAAATAATTATGAGATGCCATATGGAAAAGCCATCATGTGGTAGATGTCTTTCTGAATCTATATTTTTGAAATGTTTCTCACAGATAAATCATATAGCTAATTTACAAAGTAGAGGTGAGCAGTCCCTTTTCCATGTGGAGATCTGATGTGAAATGTTTGCAGACCCAGAATATTAACAGGGGCGTTGACATCAGTAATTACTATAGTTACGAGACATTTTTCACAAAGTATTATGAGAGCAATACTTAGTTATACAGGGAGAAAAAAGCATGGGACTTTTTACATCGTGTATGAAATATGTAGGTACCGACAGTCTCAGAAAACAGTGTGGGCACATTGGTGACTGAGGTGCTTTTTGCCTGTAGCATAAAATCTGTCTGGAAAGTTCCAGCAATTTCCACTGAGATAGCACATTTGGCAAGATGAGGCTGAGTGTGGTATGTAAGGACTTTCGGGAAAACTTGTCAGCTTTCACAGGGAAAGGTCCAAGTGTTTATGGGAACTATGAAGTGGTGTTGGGTGGCTCTCAAAGGGATCTGTGGGGTCACTGGGGACAGACGTTTGAAAGCTTTTTGATGGAAGCTCTTCTGAACTTATCAAAATGGTTAAAAGTCTGGCAGTGAGTCTCATGAGAGCAGACTTTCTTGTGAAATTTCTGGTATGGTACTTTCCTGCCGGGGTGAGAACATCTTAGGAGGACAGACTTTCTCATCATATTTTAATTCTTGGGATCTGTGTCCCTGCTAAACCCAGGAAATGGAGAATCACAGGAAACGGCATTACTTTTCAACCTCTGGGAAGTTAAGATCAGATTTCTCTAGATTTTCAACTGTTTAAGTAAATCAGCTTGCCTAACTTCCTGGCCATCCCCCCTCCCACCAACATAAAAAAGGTGGGGCACAAGAAAAAAAGGGAAAGACAAAAAAGAGGATTTTTGAAAAGTGTAATTTACTTTTCCATAAGTTCCCAGTTTCTACAGACTTCCATCAAACAAGAAAATCAACAAGGTAGTAAATTATAGCTTGTTAACCCTGTTGTACTTAAAACAGGGTTAACCCTGCCTGCTTTTTCTTACCGCTCCCTCAGGGGTATCAGAAGCCTCTTTGACCCTTTGTGTTGTCAGTTATGTGAGGGATCTCCAGCTGCCCATTATTGGATTTCAGAGAACTTGGTCACAGTTGCAACAAATGAGCATTTTCTTCTTCTAACAGCTCTTTTGAGGCAGACACTGGGATGTGGATCATGAGTCCGGTCAGTCAGTGTCATCTCACAATTAGCTAATAGTTGGCACATGGAAAGCCTAGTTCCAATCCCCATGGGTCCTTGCGGGAGCCTCCCATTTGTTTACAGCCTCATTTTACTTCCATTCTCAGCATTCAGTTATCCTTAAACTTTCAAAGAAAAACAAATTTACATAAAAGCTCATGTATGTGTATATGATCTACAAATATTTACAAGGTTACTTTAGAAATGCATGACAGAAATTTTTTCAGTTTTCCAAAATTGCAGTCTACCTTCCAAAACAGAACATGGGATTTAAAAAAGAAATAGTGAAATGCAAAACTGGAAACCTGACAAAACTATGAAACTGCTGCTATTTTCTAATATATTTCAGGTCAAATCCTTGTACTTCCCATTTTTAAACAACTGCCAAATCTTCATTTTTGTATCTACTAGACATCTGTGCTATTGGTTAGCACTATTTCTAGCTATTGTCTGTCCTAAAATAAAGGTAACATATTTTCTGTGATTTATAGTCTATCATTATCATAGTGCAGCCTCTGAATGCATGAACTAGAGATTTATTGCACACTCATGTCTTATACCAGACTCATGTAATAGAGGAAAGGTAAAATGTCTTGGCTTGTTGAGGGCTCCCTTCTTCAAGTAGTTGTCTTTTTGGTGAGGGGTGTGCAGCTTGATTAAACTACGTCACGAAGGTCATTGACCAAACGTTGTCTTTAATAGTTTCCCATAACGTGTATTCCTCATAGGGAGCTTTTCTCAGCTCAGGTTATTTCCACCAATGTTCTCAAACCAAAAGAATGGTCTTTGCAGTAAACCGACAAATTCCCACATTTCATCCTTTATCTCACACGTAAGTGATGACAGCATTTATATTTCTTCTGCTGTCTGGGCCAAGAACAACTGGATTAATGAGCCTATCTCTTTTTCATAAGTGCATTATACTCTCTCTTTGACCTTCTAAGCATGGGAATTTTTGATTTTATAAGACTGATTAAAGAGGAGAATTCCCCATCCCCATGCCACTGTTCTTCTCTTCACATTTCCCCCCCTAAATGGCCAGCCATCAACGAGGATGTATTCAGTAAATATACACACAGACATATACACTCTATGCACACTTTCACATCAACTGGAATGTAGTGTCTATAGCAAAGGTATAAAGCAAAATTTGCTGTAGGATTGCTTTCTTATGTTATAGCACACTCCACAACACTTTTTGAAAGACACTATCACAAAAAGATAAACTGCACAAGTATTTCAAGAAATATATTAGCTAACACTAAATGTATAAAATTTAGGAAAGATAATCTGACACCCAATTTCCTTTTCAGAAATATATTGGTGATATTTTCATGTGTTCTTACCCATTATTGTTTATTAATATTGTAGTTCCTGAATCCTGATTATATTTTTATATGTGAATGGCTGATAACTATGTAGGAACAGAAACATGAGAATATGGCTAAATTCACAAAGCCAGAAGCAAACTACTGCTTCTTTCATATCCTTCATTCAGGCACCGCACTGCTTATAAATTTTTATTTTGGACTCAAGAATCTCATTATGAGGTCAGTATTTTCCTCCTATTTTTATTCCAGTGAAATTTAGCTGATGCTAAGGCAATGAATTGATTATGTCCTAAAAGAGAATGTTGCCAGAGGGCAGTTTCTCAAGACATTGCTAAGTGCACTTGGCTGTTGAGTAATTAGGCTTCCTGTTCTCAGAGCATCAGAACAAGCAAATGAGAGTTGCCTTAAGGTTTCCTTGTTTAGAACATCACTTATTTTGGCCATTTCAGAATCAGGTAAAATCCTTTCTGGTAAAACTTAAACAGTCAGGCAAATTCGTTTATTCTATTAGAGTATCATTTAAATGAAAATATCCCTAGAAATTTCATTTTTCCTCATTTTTTCTCCATTTGACAAGAACAGAAAAAGGAGCTGGTATCTAACCACTCATAAGTTAATTGCAAATGAAAAAGAGGACTTGGAACTGAAGTATCAAGAAGGAGGCTGGGTCTTTTCCCAAATCCCTAGTTTTACTAAGAATCTGTCAAATAGGGAAATCCCATTTTGCTATCCTACAGGGATCTCATAATGAACACATATAAAGAGGAATTTTAAAATTCTTGTCTCCAAACTGTTTCTTCCTTTATCTAGTGCATTTCAATAAATTATGCCATGATCTATGAAGTTGCTTAAAATAAAAAAAAAAACAAGTACTCTCCTTGATTCCTCCCTTTCTTCAACACCTACAATATATATAGCACGTCCTCTGCTCTGTTTAAATCTCTTGGTACCTACTGCTAACACCCTAGCACCTCAGTTTAAATCACCATTATCTTTCACCTAAACTACTGAAATAACTGTGATCAGTCAGAGTCAAATGAGAAAACAGAGTCAATGCTTGGGAGTATGTAAGAAGCCTAAAATATATGACAAAGGAATTAGAAGGCTGAAAAGCCAACCAAGGATGGTGTGCCAACCCACACAAGTGTTGCCATTCCTGCACCTGGAGGGCAGAGGGAGAATATGATATTACCAGGATATTACCAGAGCGTAGGAACCAGGGCCAGTCAGCTGGAGGTGAAACCACAGTGAGAGGGGCTGTTTAGATCCCTGATTAGAATTAGAACCATGAGGAGATGAGGCCATTACTAGAGATTCTACCAGAAGCAGTGGGAGGGTTGGAATTGGGGGCTTAATTTATCCCTTCCTGCAGCCTAAACTCATAATTAGGGCTTCCCATTTACCCCACCTAGCTAGAAAGCAGTTGATAAAAAACCTTGAACATGTTTGTAAAAGCCAATTTCTGGCAAGCAGAATAAGCATGGGAAATGAATCTGTGAGCAGTAAGGAAGTAGGAAGTAAGGAAGTAGCACAGTCCACCCCTTTTTCTGTGCGGCATGCATTTTTGCTAACTATACATCATTTATTCCCATGAAACAATGACTTCATTCTTCTACCTAATAAAATGCAACCCAAAACACAAATGAAGATGCTGTCACACCTCTCCACAAAAGGGACACAAAAAGTCTCATCTTCACTTTTCATTCTCAAAGTTGAAGGTGGTCAAGTGATACAATGTCCTCTTCATCAGGTCTTGATGCAGTTTCTCAGAGTGCAGTGATTTGTGAGTCACTATGAAAATCTATGCATCATGAACACTCCCTCATAGATCATATGAATAGAGAAAGAGGAAAGGGCAAAATAGAAATAATTTGTTAATATATACATAACAAAAGCAGGCAGAGCTAGCATCACCCTCATCATTGTCTCTAATCATGAGTGTGCTGCCTTCCTTCATTCTTTTATGTTCCTCTTGCCCTCAACCAGAACCTCAATTGGTCAGGGTTATTTATCTGGCTGGTGAACCAAGACTTCCTTCCTGAAGGGTTGGAACCCTTAGTGATTTTGGCTTTACTGGATAGTTGCCTTTTGATTTTTACTACTAAGCTTGAAAGTATTAAGGGAAGATGAGAGTAAATCCCATCATGTTTCAGCAAAACAATTTTCAGTTGTTAGGATCAATCCCCACAACCCCTTTCTTTGGCTGATGGTTCAATGGCAGGAGAAGCCCAAAGTATATCAAGGTGGGGGTTTCAATTATATTTCAAAGGGACAATTCTTGTGTTATTAATGTAAGTATTTCTTTTTTGGGAACTAAGATCTCTAAATCTGCTGAGTATGAAGTTATAAAGACAGCAAAAATGATACAAGTATAGTTATTTAGAGTATTAACAAAAATGGTAATTCCATTTACCCATTTGTTCCAAACCTTTATATTCAGGCCATGAGAGAAGCAGTACCTTATAATGGTTCCTTGTTCAAAGCACTCAATATTCCTAGGATGTGGTCTCCCAGCTGACTTCATAACTGAATCATCAGTAATTAATTTCATTGTTCTATTAGGTAAGTTTTCTTCAGACAATAGGGTACACTGCAAGACAAGTGAATTTCATGGGTATAAATTCCTTGCTGCACATTTTGCTGTGAAATGAGCTTCAACATGTTGTGGGATTCTATGAAGATTAACAGTATATTTTTATAAGTTCATGAAATGATAGTACTGGCAAGAAGCATAGCAAATCCATGTATAGAATAGATATCCATCTAATGAAGCCAAATTTCTGCCCCTTCCAAAATGGTTCACTGTTGATTACAGAGGACCACTGTAATCAACCTGCCACCTGAAAGCTGCTAATCCCTTTGATAATGATGCTCTGTCAGGTATTAAATATTGGTCACTGAGGTTGTACTTAGAAACCATGTTATGGTGATAAAGTGGAGGTGAAGACCATGCAGTTGAGGCCTTGCATTGCCTCTGTCTGTCATGATGGCATCTTTGTACAGGGACCCATTGGATAAGCACTGGGGAGGGATGCTGCCTGATAGCCTTTGTATGAATTATTTTGACAATATGATTGCTGAGAACTTCCTCAAGAGTGGATGTTCTCAACAATCATAGAGCATTTTGCACAGGATACAAACATCTTCATGCTTTGTGCCCAGTTTTGGTACATTCACATAACTTTTTTCCCAGACAGTGCTCACCAATCTTCTCACACTCTTCTTCCATTTCCTGGCCAACTAGCCACCCAACAGTGACTGCCTCTAAATCAGTCTGAACCTCAGGCCATTTCTCTTCCCAGGCATACTAAATAGCAAGACTTCCTGCTCCAAGTTTTGCCCACGAGAGAGGCTATCTCTTCATCACTTTTCTTTAGGTCCACCTTTGGGTGAGGCTGCAGTAGAATAGCAATCCATGGCTGGCCAGTACCAGCATATGATGTGACCCAGGTCAGTTTTTCTTTCTCAGCCAAATGGTCATAGGAACTCCCTTGTAGGTCACATGGGTGAATTGAGAGAGGCAGTGATAGTCCCAGCTATTTCACCTGAAAATGAAATCAATTATATTGCACCCTTTCAAAAGGCTGCCTCTCTCTTCTAGTCCCTGGAATTACCTACTTGTCACTCTTCTCAGTCATCACATCTTAGGGGGTGTTAGGAAATCCTCCATTTGGAATATCTTTAGCCCTTCACGTGGGTGCTGTTTTCAGGGGCTGGGAATTGCTTTACTAAGTTTCCACTTTGAACTCCTCAGTAGGCCTGCATTTTTTTTTTTTTTTTTGACTGCACAGACTTGTAACTTGTGGAGTCCTAATTTTTGAATCTGGATCTTCACCTTGAAATATAATTTCTCCGAAGAGTTCTTTTCCATGGGGATAATTGTTACCCTCTCTGGTCAAAGCACACATAGGCACGCGTCTGGAGGTGGGACTTGGGAAATCCAGCCTCCAGCAGTTTCCTCATTTCTTCCTTATTTCCACTTTTATCACAGTAAACTTCCAGTGTCTCTGCTATTGCTCAAAAATTTATCTTGGGGAAGAGAATTAGTATTTGATAATTCCAGAAATCATGAGAATAACTGATGCTGGACATTTTTCTACAGATGACCTCAACCTCTTGGCCATTTGCTCTGTGTTTCACACAGGACTTTACTGAAGACTCTAAGGAGGACCTGTATCTGTTGGGATCCTCAGGGCAAGCCACAGAAACAAGCTTTGGATACTAGAAGCAGAAAATGGAGATATTGAAGACTATTGTGGAGTTTACTGTGAGCCAGAGAACCAGGCTGGGGGGCTGTATCACTTAGAATGAGATCCAAACTCACACCATAGTTCCATCCTTGAGGTTGCCATGTTGCTGCCACCCCTCCTGCCACCCCACCACTGAAGCTTTGGATGCTGGATTCTGGGCACAGCAGGGAGAAGTGTTGCTTATTACCATTTTAGTATGTTTTCTTTCAAGACCTTTTCAAAATATACATACGTATTTTTATTTCTATTCAAAATGGGATACATTTTTGAAGGTTAGCAATATATTGTGAACATTTTCTTTCCATGCTCAGAAACATTTTTCTATAATGTAATTTATAGTGATATAAACTATCTCATAGACCTACCATAGTTTACCTAACAAATCCCAAATCATTTGTGCCATTTCTAAATTTTTATTATTTTATGTAATGCTTTAATGAACATCCTTGCATTTATATTTTATACAATTTTAGAAGTGGAATTACTGGTTCAAAATACATGGTGATTTTTAATTCTTCTGTTGAATATTGACAAATTGCAATCCTGAGAGTTATCTTGAAGGATAGAGTACATGCCCAGGGTTCTTTTTTAAGAAATAATTTGTAATGTGAAACAGAATAGGCTAAATGTTTTTTATTCTCTTAGTCCTACTCTGTCATTCTGCAGAGTTTCACTTATTTGGATTCAAATTCTAATTCCAGCCTACCTCTCTTTTTATATAATTGTTAGGAGGATTAAATTAGATGCATAAAATTGCTGCTTACTACATACATTGCACAAACTAAAAACTTTTCAAAGGTTAACTGTTTTTCTGGTTTATTTTTAAGACACAGGTTCTTGCTCTGTTGCCCAGGCTGGAGTGCAGTGGTGTGATCACGGCTCACTATAGCCTCATCCTGCTGCACTGAAGTGATCCTCTTGCCTCAGCCTCCTGAGTAGCTAGGACTACAGGCACGTGCCACCATACCCAGCTATTTTTTTAAAAATACATTTTTGTTGAGGCTGGGTCCCCTTTGTTGTCCAGGCTGGTCTTAAGCTCCTGGCCTCAAGCAATCCTTCCACTTCTACCTCCCAAAGTGTTGAGATTAGAGGTGTGAGCCACTCCACCTGACCCAAAGGTTAACTATTATTATTGTTATTATTAGTCTGTTTTTTTCCATTCATTTCCTCATTAGTCAACTTTTATTGTTTCAATGTTATTTTATTGTTTTTCAAAGACTCCTTATAGTCACAATATGTACATAATAAATTTTACCCTTTAAGGACACTGAGGTTCCAAATGAAAATGATATTTTTAAGGTGAAACAATTATAGATAGAAAAACAACTTTTTTTTCTGTGAGTACTAGATTTCATATTATCCTTAATGTCTTTCTAGGTAGTAACCAAGTGATTTCTCATAAACTGGAAAACATTATTCCCACTGATATTCTTAAAAACATTTAGGATTAAAAAATGTATTTTAAATTCTTCTTGACAGAAATCATTTATTGCAATTACATTGCCAATTCATATATATATTACATATATGTCACCTTGACTTATAGTAACCTGAAGGGGAAATTTGTAGGTTTAGCAAATCCCTTCGAGTAACACCCACAGAACTGAAATCTTATTCCATTTCTTGGTGGTCTTCTACCAATCCAGTCCTCCTGAGGACCATAAAAACTATTGGTTCCTCTCCTAAACTGCTGTAAAATATATCCTGTGAGACCCAGGGGAAAATCTTTCTGAGGTTGAGCATTCCATGGAGACTCAATATTCCAGATTTTGAAATGTAGCTAGAAGTGGAAATGGATTTATTTCTCAGGATCTCTTTGTTCATAATTAAGGATATAAAAAATAGAGTTCAGAATGTGAGTGAAATGTAACTGAAAAGGAAAGCCTTGATTTTACATATAAAATATCTTTACCAGATGGGTGAAGTAAGGTAACTTAAGACAATACTTAAAATTCAATAACAATGATGAAACTATGAAATACAAAACTTCTGGCACCCATAAGCTAGTTCCTAGAAAGAAGGTTATCATATATTGTTAATGTGTTCACACACTTAACAAATATTAATGTGTTCATTACATTTAAGGCATGAGAACTTACACATCATTCAATGGTGATATTAATAATAATTCAGTAATCATTAATGATGTACATGCTGTTAATAACCACAGGGCAAGTTTATTTTTCTGTTTTCTCTGAGTTCACTTGACTTTCCCTAATTTCTGAAGAATTCATTCTTTTCTTTGTGTGCTAAGAAAGAAAGGCATTAATATTTATTTAATTTTAGTCATTCATTTAAATATAGTCTATCTTGTTCTAAAATGTATTTATGGCCAACATGTTTCTATTTGTTGTCAAGAATTCTTTAATAATTTGTGTATTTTTCTAGCAGTATTGTCTTCCATTTTTCCCTCCACTCATTGGGAAAAATTGCTGATTTCTTTCTTTCCCTTCCTCAAAGTCATCAAATATAGAACACAATCCCTTGTGTGCTCAATAAAATATCCCTATGGAATTCAAAGTCTTTGATAACATTTAAATTTGGTCTTGGGTTGCAGTGACATAGACTTAGTTATCACATTGGCACTCGCTTAATTAAACCTTTCTGCATGATTGAAAACCCTGGTTCCAATGTCTTGAGTTCTGAGATCTGTTTCAGCAGAAAAAGCCCATTTTTTTGTTATGCATTCAAGGCTTGTGTTCTTTAACTGTATTCTGGAGAGAAGGGAAGGCATTCACAGTTTTTGAGTATCTACCATATGAATTATTTTTTTTCTTAGTAATCCTCACAGTCACCTTTTGTTTTATTACCTTGTCCATTTTAAGAATGTGTAAAAAAGTGTAATGCTAATTAGTAAAGCTGAGATTCAAATCCAGCTTCACCTTCATTTTTTCAAACAGCAAACATGTATCATATGCCTTATTGTATAAGAAAAGTTGTCCTAAGTTGTCCTAAGTTATAGAAGTGCTATAGTGGTAGAATTGATTGCAAAGTTGCTTCATATTCTGCAATACTGTTGCTGAAACTATTTTAGGTATGTCCTTGGTATTTCTCAAATATTAGAATTCTAATGTAGTAAAATCAAATTTAATTTGCAACTGAATCATGCACAAACTAAACAGCAGCAAACAAAAATACACTGATCGTGTCTACACTGGCATGGTCATTAACAGTGACAAGGTCTTCATGTAGTCTGGTTTAGTCTGAGAATCTGCAGCCTGGAATATTCATCTGGACTCAAAGCAAATACTCAGCTGGTATGTTCCAGTACACCCATAGCCAGAGGTAGATTTTCATGAAACTGATCATATGAAACTTATTTATACTTAGGATCCTGGTAGAGGCCCTAGTAATAATCTTTTTTCCTGTTTTTTTCTTTTCTTTATTTGTGAAAGTAAGACAATTTGTATTTATTTTCTTCATGGACATATTCCAAATTGTATAAATGTTAGTCTGAACAAATCATTTATCCATGTCTAGTTGTATTAATTTTAAAAATATTGACCTACTTATATAACTGGTTAATTAGTCCTCAGGCATTATCCCTACACTCTAGCTCCAAGGGCTTCTCCTTAGAAATCATCTGGATATCTTTATGATCCAGCAACGGAAAGATCATATCAGCACAGCAGGGAGACTGCAGGACTGTGCCCCAGGTCCAAGGGTGGCATCTGTTTGGATTGGTTGTTACATGTGCTGTTATCAGTGGTTAAATATTTTGAATATCACCCCAAGTAAACCTGAAAATCTAACTAAATTTCAAAACTCTCATAGCTATTGAAGGACACTCTTAAAGCAACTCCAACTATTTTGTCAGGATATATTATTCATATGTAGAATAGCTGTATATGTGTGCATATATACAGCATGTTTGTGTGTGTGCATGTGTGTGTGTGTGTGTGTGTATGAGTAGAATAGTCCTAAAGGAATGTTCAACATTAAACATAAAATGCCAAGGAATCTTCTGAGGTATTGGTATTTTCTGTTTCTTATCTGTGTGCTGATTATAGAGGTATGTTAAGTTTGTGAAAATTCAGAGAGCTATACAATTATGTGCAATTTTGGCATTACATTATCATTAAATACAAAGTTTAAAAAAATGGAGTAATAGTTTTCCAAAGAGATTGTACTAATTTATATTCCCACCAGCAATGTATTTAACGTAGGCCTTTAAAGGAAATTCTAAAAGAAAATACAAACATATCCGTAATTTTACCAACAAAATACATCTCTTTTTAATTTTTATGTATCCCTTACCATTTTGGCAATTTTTAAAAATAATCCTTTTTTGAGCTAAGAAGAGAGAATGAGGACAAGTTAGATACAATCGCAGCTCATTGTCATGTGTCTACAAATAATATTTACTAATAGAATACTAGATTAAATTTTGCCTGTTAACCATATCATATAAAAATGGCTGGGTACATTTTTACAAAACTTGGAGTTTACGTTTAAGATGGCTTGACCTAAAAGTGTAGTTTACCTAGCATACAAAGAATTTCTCTTGTAAGTCACGCAATTTTGCAAAGACATATGTAATTATTATCCAGAGCAGCTGATGTAAGGCTAATTGGGAGAAAAAAAGACGTATAAAAGCAGGTGCTACTGACAGAAAGAACAAGCTGTGTTTTCAGCACAACCTCCAATTGGAACGACCCAAGGTGGACACTTAGAATGGAAGGCTGCTCCTCACAATGGCATCGACAACTAGGACATCCTTCCTGACTCTTCCCTTGAGTCCTTGAGTTCTTCACACTCCGCTGCTTTCCTCCTACCTCATCTTTCTTTCTTTCTTTCTTTTTTTTAGTTTGTTTTTCTGTCTCCTTCTTGTCCTATTTGTAATTCTCCCCTGTTCCTCTGTGCTGTCCTGGGCTTCTTCTCTTCTTCCTACCTTCTCCTTCTCTAAGCGAACTTTTTCAGTCCTGTTTTTCAAACGCTCTTTTTGGGGGATGACTCCCAAATCACCTTCTTCCAACAAATCTCTCCTGAGCTCCAGACCTTCTACCAGCTGCTGATCTGACACCTCCACTTTCACACCTCAGGAGCAGTTGAAACTTAAAATCTATTGATTCCTACTCTTCTTCAATCAAGTCCTGCTTTATTTTTTTTATTTTTATGTTTTGGTAAGTGATACCATCATCCACCTAGTTGTTTATTCTATTTATTTATTTATTTAGAGACAGAGTCTCACTCTGTTGCCCAGGCTGGAGTGTAGTGGCATGATCTCAGCTCACTGCAGCCTCCGCCTCCTGGGTTCAAGCCATTTACCAGCCTCAGCCTCCTGAGTAGCTGGGACTACAGGTGTGTACCACCAGGCCCGATGTATTTTTAGTAGAGATGAGCTTTTGCCATGTTGGCCAGGCTGATCTCAAGCTCCTGACCTCAAGTGATCTGCCCACCTCAGTCTCCCAAAGTGCCGGGATTACAGAAATGAGCCACTGTGCCCAGCCTACCTAGTTCAAGCCAGAAGCTGCCATATTACTTTTGATTTTTTTCTGTCTCAAGCTCCATATCAAATCCACCATAACGTCCTAAAGATTTAATTTTGCAAATGTACCTCCGGCTTGCCCATCTCTTTCCATGTCCTCTGTTGTCATCTGCCCTAGTTCATGATTGGGTCATTTTTGGCCTGGATTAATAAAATATGTTTCTCCCTGGTCTCCTTACTTCTTCATTTGTTCTTTCTAATCCATTATTCACCCTGCAGCTAGAATGGTTCTTTTAAAGGGTAAATCTGATCATGCCACTTCCTGGTTCAAAACCCTAAACGGCCTGCTAGTTCATGCAGCATAGAAGTTCAAAATCCTCATTGTGAACCATAGGGATCTACATGATCAGGCTGCTGCTACACTTTCCAGCGTCTCCTTCCATCTCTCGCATATTTATTACTGTCCTATCACACTGGTCTTATTTCAGTTCTTCAAACTAGCCTGCATTTTCATCTTCCCAAGATGTTTTTATTCGCATTTCTTTAGATAGTTCTAACTCACTCTTTGGGCCTAAAAGGAAGTGTCAGTTTCCCAGAAAACTTTTCCTCACCTCATTCCCTCATCTACATCAAATCCCCTGACAGACTGTCTTATAGTGTCTTGTGCTTTTCCTTCACAGCACCCAACACTGGTTGTGGTTATACTCATATTTCTGAGATCATTGTCTTAATGTCACTTTCTCTTGGGACATTAAGAAAAAATTTTGGAAATATACATGCTACTTGAGGGCGAGGGACAGTGACGTTTTTTCAACCTGGCCTGGACTAGATGTTTATGAAAATTTACTGAATAAATGAATGCATCAATTAAATATTTATTGGGTATCTTCTGTTCAGCACACTAATTGTCTTGAAGGAAGAAAAAACAGATTCACTCAAAATAAGTTGAAACTTCTAAACTACCAGACCTCTAAACAATTAGAGGATAAAGGATGACAGTAGGCAATTAAGTGCTAAAATGTGTGGTACAGAGTGAAACTGCTAGAGGAATGCTAGGGAGGAAGAGATCATCTGGGGTTCCAACCACTAGGCGAGTCTTCCCTGAATAGGTGGGGCTTCCATGCACATAGAATTTGGTCACTTCAAACAACAAATATAATTTTTTACTCTCCCATAGCCAAGCCTTAATTATAACAATTATTGATTTTTTTTACAGCAGTTCTTTTGTGGTTGTAAAAGGCTTCATAAATATGTTATTATTTAAAATTCCTTTTTCATCTTGACATAGTCATATGTTTCTTTGCTTTTTGTACCACTGGTTTGAGTGACATCAGGAAATACTGCTTTTGCTCTAGAGAGACTGTCCTAAATTGGAGCCTTCAGAAGGAATGGCGTTCATGGCACCAAAGTGACACCCCCTTCCCACCCCCAGCAGCAGATGAAATATTTCAAAGGGGACATCTGCCACCACCAGTGAGATTTTACGGAGTACCCACACATGTAGACTCACTAAAGTGGGCATGACAGCTGAAAAATATTAAAAGTGTGTGTGTTTTTAAAAACAACTTATGGTTAGGAATTAAGAAATGACTTTTAAATAAGAACAGAATTTTTTTTTTTTTTGCAAGTGTATACTTTTTTTTTCTTTTTTCTTTTTTTTCTTTTTTTTTTTGTTGAAGACCCCACACTTGCAAAACCTTTTAGGTCATGTGTTTGCTTTACGAAACATTTGGCAAGTAATAGGTGCCATGGGAATATATCCACTCCATCTGGAATCAGCAGATCCTCCTGGTTTCACTGTACCTGAATTACCACCAGTCCCCATGGCTTACAAATGTTTTTGTTTTCTGTCTTTAATAAATTTTGGATGCAATAATTAAATGGAGGAGTCTTAGTAAAGTCAGTTCTTCCTTAACATTTTGTAAGGCAAATCTTAGGGAAGAAAGCAAATGCATATTTGCCAATTTGATGTTTACAAAAATGAAACCTGCATGGAATGGAATTACTTATTTTCTCAGAAGAGCATTTCCTTTCATAAAATGAAGCCCAGTGAATACACGTTATTTTTGACCTAGTTCCCCCCCACCCCACCCTAGTAGAAAACTTTTTAAAGGCATTTAATTTTATTTGGATAATCACAAGTTATGGGTCATGTTGTCCTAACTTTTATGTTCCTTTTAAAAATTGAACAGATATTGAAACTGGAAAGAGGATTTCGTTATCTGATCCATTTATGGTCAGAGCAAGATTGTTTCTTGCTATATATTTTTGGATTTTTAATTTTTGTCATCAACTGAGGATGGTTATATCACTTCACAAATAGCTTTCTAGATTTCCACTGCTTTAATCATTTTGTTTTGCTTTGCCTTGCTTTATTTTGCTTTATTTTATTTTATTTTATTTTATTTTATTTTATTTTATTTTATTTTAAGGGGGAGGTCATGTACAAAATCAGGCTTATAATCTCACAAATACAGCATCCCTTGTTTGATATTTGGATCTTTCTTCTTTCATTTTGGCAAGAAATACTGTGGGAATAAGTGTTTCTGCCAAGTATCAGTTATTTAAATATTTCATTATCTCACAAAATAAAAAAGAAGATGGAAAAAAATAGCTTCTTTAAGACAATTGGACAAAGACAAATTCCTGATCTATCTGAAGCCCGAGTTCTTGCCCTTTCTTTAGAACACTAGACTTTTTAGAAAGTCCCTTTTAAAAGTTTTGAAAGTATTCATACTATTAAATCCAGTTATGACAATTGAAGATAGTTTTCTAAGAAACAAATCTTGGTGTCAAAGAAAGAGCTTTCTTCCTATGTAAGCAAAAGCAAAACAAAATGGAATAGCAACAACCAAGAAAAATATAATAATAAAGTATTAACCTTAATACATTATTATTAGGAGGAAGAAAACACCGCACACACACACACACACACACACACACACACACACACACACAGGCACAATTTTTCATTGATCTTCAATAGCTCCTCTTTCTTATTACACATATCTTACTATACTTATATGTCTAATTGAAAAGACTCAAAAGACCAATAGTGATAAGAAGAACTGGGATTGTGTGTGTGTGAGAGAGAGAGAGAAAGAGAGAGCAAGCAAAAGAGAGAGAAAGCAGACTGCACAAAACCAAATATCCCGTATGGAAATTAACTATTTTTATGTGCTAAAACTTTTTGCTTAATTGCTGCAAAATACAACTTTGTATTTGGTGATGAGCTTATAAACCTGAAGATTTTGGCTGCTAAAGATAGTAAAAATCTAAGTATATCTAAATAGGTCTAGTTTTACTATTAACAATATATTATCTGATGTATCTGGCAAGAAACATTTCAGCCAGTTGTGGTGGCTCAGCCCAGAAATCCCAGCACTTTGGGAGGCCGAGTTGGGCAGATCGCCTGAGGTCAGGAGTTTGAGACCAACCTGGCCAACATGGTGAAACCCTGTCTATACTAAAAATGCAAAAATTAGCTGGGCGTGGTGGCGGGCACCTGTAATCCCTACTACTCAGGAGGTTGAGGTAGGAGAATTGCTTGAACCCAGGAGATGGAGGTTGCAGCGAGCCAAGAATGCGCCACTGCACTCCAGCCTGGGCAACAGGGCAAGACTCCATCTCAAAAAAAAAAACAAAAAAAACAAATCATTTTTAATAAAACACATTTATAGTTTGTATTTATTTCATGTACCACTTTACAATTGTGGCATCTATATCTTTATCTACAGGCTTGCCAAAACATAACTTAAAAAAAAAGTAAAAGAAAGAATACATTTTGCAAATGGAATCTTATAAGAATATTGCCTATAATGGTGAGGCATTTAAGATTGCTTCTTTTGGATCGAATTCCAGGGACTAATTATTGATAGTTTCAGAATGTCCTTGCTTTTAATCCATGTCAGCCATCTGACAAATCCTTAACGTGTATATAAAGGAAGCATATTGTCAATTTCCAGTATATTATTATTTAATTATATTTTAATTTCCTAATGACAGATGGAATCCCTTTATATGCCAGCCTGTTGCTCTATGCTTCAGCTTAAATTCCTATGTTAAAATAAAGTGAATTCTTCTATTTCAGTCTAGAACAATAGTTTTCTGAACGAAGGGGATTGAGCCTGAGAAGCTGGAAATATTCAAAACACTTCTGCACAAAATTCCGTATATGCCATTGGATATAATTTGAATATCAGTAACTTACACATCAGAGCTATGTCAAATATAAAGCTCTAATTTTAGGCCAGGTGCGGTGGCTTATGCCTGTAATCCCAGCACTTTGGGAGGCCAAGGCAGGAGGATTACCTGAGGTCAGGAGTTCAAGACCAGCCTGGCCAAGATGGTGAAACCCTGTCTCTACTAAAAATACAAAAATCAGCCAGGCATGTTGGTGGGTGCCTGTGATCCCAGCTACTTGAGAGGCTGAGGCAGAGAATTGCTTGAACCCAGGAGGCAGTGGTTGCAGTGAGCCAAGATCACGCCATGCACTCTAGCCTGGGGGACAGAGCTAGACTTCATCTCAAAAAAAAAAAAAAAAAGGTCTAATTTTAGTGGTTGGAAAATCATATTTTAGACATTGTTTTTTAGACATTTTTATTTAAAAGCTTTCAATAGCTTACCCTTTCAATAGCTTACCCTTTTACTTTTTATATAACATGTCTCTATTTTTAAAATATAAAAGGAATACTCTTTTTTCTTGTCTTTGAAAACAAATTAAGGAATAAAAGATTCCTTTCGGCATAAATACGCATTATTAGACTTAGGAGAAAAATGTAAGGTTAAGTATAGTACCAAATTTTTAGTTCAAGATGTTTTGTTTGTTTGAGACAGGATCTCGCTCTGTTGCCGAGGCTGGAGTGCAGTGGTGTGATCACAGCTCACTGCAGCCTCGACCTCCTGGGCTCAAGTGATCCTCCGGCCTTAGCCCAGCAAGTAGCTGAAACAAGAGGTGTGTACCACCATGCCTGGTTAATTTTTATAGAGACAGTTTCACCGTGTTGTCCAGGCTGGTCTTGAATTCCTGGTCTCAAGCAATCTACCCTCCTCGACTTCCTAAAGTGCTGGGACTACAAGAGTCAGCCACCATGATCACTTTTCATACCTGAAAAGATTTTGCTTATTAGACCGCCTGTTATGCATATAACTTTATTCAGTAGCAATTTTTTTACTTTTATTATTATTTTTAGTGGACATATAATGATTCTATGTATTTATGGGGTACAGTGTGATATTTCAATACATGTATGCAATATGTAAGCTCAAATCAGGGTAATTAGCATAGCCATCACCTCAAACATTATTATTTCTTTGTTTTCTTGGAAACACTTGAAACCTACTCTTCTAGGTATTTGAAAATATACAATAAATTGTTGATTATAGTGACCCGATAGTCCCATAAAACATTAGCACGTATTCCTCCTATCCAGCTGGAGCTCCTCATCGGTTAACCAATCTCTGGCTATCCCTCTCTTTCCTCTACTTTTGCCTGCCTCTGATAACTACTATTCTACTGTCTACTTCTATGGAATCTACATTTTTAGCTTCTGCATATGAGTGAGAACATGTGTTGCTTCTAAAGATGAAAAAAATGCGAGTATATTAGAGATTATAGAACAGACTCAACCCTTATAATACCTGTGACTTTAGCTTATACTTACAGGATTTTCTTCTCAACAATTATTTATGGGGACAATCCTATGAAACCCAGTTATGGTAAAACTCCAGTTTGTACGTTTTCATATGCTAAGGATCAGGGGAAACCTTGGGCAAGATTACACTCCACAAATCTTAGATGACACAAAATATTAAGTTATGAAAATTATATATATATGTTATATATGTTATATATCTTATATATACATATGTTATATATACATGTTATATATATATAAAAGTGCATCTGACTTTATTCATAAAACAGGTTTAGTTATTTGTAAATCTTTAAAAATAGCTTATTCTCTGGTATTATGACCCAGAAGATCTTCCATGAAATAAGTAAATTTTGAGACATTCTCCTTCTATGAGTTATGGTTTTAGTAACTAATGAATTATCTCCTTGTCTGGGATGTCTTAGTTTAGTCACACACACACACACACACAGACACACACACACACACACAAACTTGGTATCTTTTTAAAAAAATTTATGTTGGTCAAGGCATTTAAAATGTGGGATATGGGAAGAGATGGATATAACATTTTGAGGCCTGAAAAGTATGAAGTTTTGGAACCTCCCCCTCCCCTGAGAAGAAGAATGCAAAATTATAAATATAAAAATAGGTACAGGATCTTGGAGGCTATCTTTGCTAGTGAGGTGCCGAGATGCTGAAGCTTAAAGATTAAGGCCTTTCCGTGAAGCTTCAGATTCTTTTCTCATCTCCTTTTTTCCTCCTGCACTTTATTCCCAAGGGGAAGAATTAACGTTGATGGTCAAAGACATTTATAATGCTAATGTGTTAATGTACTAGTCTATCTATCTGTGTCTCACTCCCTCTCTCTCATCATTTCTCACTCACTCTCTTGCTCTCCCTCAAACTCAGTTGTCTTTTTGTAGATTTTTAAAAATCATACCTTCCTTTTCCTGCAGTTTTAGGTTGGGATATATCTTGAGAAGACCTGGGGTGGGACAACTATGGTTTTTATTGAATAAGAAACTTTTACTTTCCCCTTTCTCCCTTGAGGTACTTTTCTTTGTACTCATTATTCCTTGTCATTGGGGTTTTTAGATATAGGAGACTAAGACTCTTTTAGGTATAGAGTTTAGGTCAAATGTCTCAAACCCAAAGCCAGGAGTGTGATGAGAATGCAGAAAATAGACCTGGAGTAAGAGAAAAAATGAGCGACAGAGGCTGGAATGTTTGCCTTCTGGTCAGAGCAGCCCAGATGTTCCCCGATAGGCAGTTGATTCTAGCGGTGCAGATCTTTGTTTTCTGTCCCCAGAAAAAGAAGCAGTGAGGCTTTGAAAATAAGAGACCAGCTAATTTTTAATGTTTGCAAGCAATTTAGTACGTCTAACAATACACTGACAGCCAAAACCTATATGAGCCTGTTGCAGTGAATGGTCATCAATTTGTAATCTAAAATCTATAGGCAAAGGGGAAAATGGGATTGTCAGTGGATTTGGGCTGCTTAATTCTGTCTATAGCTTAGGGAAAAGGAATCTCCTTATGGCCAGCATAGGTGTTCAGGGCTTTTGTCTACTACTTCTGAGGAATGAAGAACATGTATTCGCTTAGCCACAGCCACTGCACATATATATCTTCTGGAGAGATCTCAGGTGAAGTGAAGATGGAGATAGGACTGAGAGGAAGTGGCTGGTGGTAGGACAATATTCAGGCATTCATGATCTTAGATTTCTAATAAAATACCATTTCAATTCTACCTTACAGGGTATTAACTGCCTGTACTTTCTCTTTAGGAGATTTCTGCAGCTTATTCTTGGGATTTAATTTATAGAAACTATTTCTTAACCCTGTAGCTGAGGGATTTTATGGTTTCCAGTACATCCAGGACTGCCATGCTATTGAGGATTTTCATATTCCCACATTAAATGTAGAGAGGAGCCCGATTATACAGAATGCTTTTCCTGTCATTTGGCCTCTTGACATTTCCCGTATGTTCTATAACTGAGCCTGGCAGGGATTTTGTACGTAGTTTAAATCACTTAAAAAAAAGCAGGTCTGGAATCTCATTTCCTTTTTTCTCTAGGGAACATCCATGTTCTAAATTGACATCAACACATGATAGAAATTGGTCACTCCCTGATATAGTCTTTCAGGAATTTTTGCTATTTTAAGGCCTATTATTATTTCCAGCAGTTGCTACTTCATAATTCAGCAAAATACAGTCATCCAGAACTGTCTGACATATCAGTAGTTCTGTTCCTGGCCTTAACTCCCTGGTAGCTAGCCCTGCCACTTAACACAGACATGATAGGGGGCAAGAGCTTATGGGCTTTGAGTCTAAGAAAAAATGTAGTCCAATCTGTTTCCACTCCTCTCTCTTTACTTTTCCTAGGAATCTAGGTTTGTTTGGTAACTCTCAGCAGCCTTATCTGAATGGAGTCAATCAAGTTTTTAGACTGCATCCTGCCTCTGCCAGTCTAACTGCATCTGCAACAATTTTTTTGTGTGTGCAAAATGAGGGGTGAGAACAGTGAAGACAGTGAAGAAGAGAACAGACAAAGAAAACTCACAGGGTTTTTTGCAAGATACAAAATAATAACAGAGAATATAGGCAAGAGACACATATGAGACTATAAGAAGAAATCAATAGGGAGGAGTTAGAAAAAAATGTATGCTCAATTACAATATTTTTGCTCCTTCCTAACTTCTAAAGAGCATTTGAGTGTTTTGCAGAATTTCTTCAATTCTACATGAGGGTACTTAGTGGAATAAGTTTTGTTTGTTTGTTTGTTTGTTTGTTTTTGAGATGGAGTGTGGCTCTTGTTGCCCAGGCTGGAGTGCAATGGCATGATCTCGGCTCACTGTAACCTCCGTCTCCTGGGTTCAAGCAATTCTTCTGCCTCAGCCTCCTGAGTAGCTGGAATTACAGGTGCCCACCATCACCTTTCTTTAGAAAGAATTTAAATTTTTAAATTCTTAAAATTTTGTATTTTTAGTGGAGACTGAGTTTTGCCATGTTGGCCAGGCTGGTCTCGAACCCCTAACTTCACATGATCTGCCTGCCTCGGCCTCCCAAAGTGCTGGGATTACAGACATGAGCCACTGCGCCCCGCCTGAGTATTTTTTTTATTACTTATTTATGTTCATTATGCTAGTTCACTATAAGATTTTACATCCACCTGGTTGCTAAATTAATGCTTCATAGGACAGAATACTTACTGACAACCCAATCTTACATTCTTCCTATAAATGCTTTTGTTTTGTTTTCGAGGTTTTTGAATCTCTGAGGTTTCAAAACATGGATAACTGAAGATTCATTAACTTAGGCACTAATGAGTTTCTAAATAAAGGTTTGCATGGATGCAGCCTTATGTACTTAAAAATTTAGCCAACTTCAGAGAATAAATCAACCGAGCATGGCAGGAAAGAGCATGCGAGGACTCTGCAGCTGCAAGGACTTTTTAAAAAAGTAATTGAAAAGAGGTCATTTTCAACCATAGTTTATAGCATATCAGTTTGTAGTAGGTGGTGGGGACTGATTCTGAGCTGTTGTTTGCTTAGATGACTAAGTTGTCATTTTTAATTAGCTTTATGCTTTTCTTAAAGGCTAATTGCTTTTTTTTAAAAAATCAGGATTGCTTGATTGCTAATGACAAGGGTGCTATGGTTACATATTTTTTACAGAAAATTCTCCAACCTACCAGGTTGTACAGAACTATATGTCTTTTGGGTTTCTTTTACAATAATGTACATGTTTTTAAAACCAGAAAAATACATATTTACTAATAATATTAGTAAAATAAAACATCTTGTTTTTGGCAAGAGGATCACTGCTAACATATTTAACAAAACATAAACAAACATTCATGGTCCTATTTGGAGTTAAAATATATTTTATATCTCCATTTCCTTACAACTAGCATAATTTTCTGGACAAATACACTGCAACAGCCAAATAAGTATGCTGAATATAGAAGTCATTTTACTGATACCCCCTGTTGGGAGGTATATGCTATAGGGGGTTTTCTTATCCAACTCCTATTCTGAATCATACTGTGTCATCCACATTTTCTTATTGCTGTGACTTACTGTGTACAAGGTTTAGGTGAAAGGATAGCATCAGAGTGTTGTTTTTGACTGTAGGAGAGAGATTTTACTTCTGCAGAGCTAATTGGTTCCTCAATTAACAGGTAATGTTGTTTGTTACCTCTCTAGGAAGCAGCCAGGTGAGTTAAACACCTCAGATTAATAATGTTCAAATTTTCATGGAGTACTCTCAGGTTGCACATTTTCTGATCACCTACTACATGGCAGGCACTGTTCATGCCACTGAACAAAACAGATGAAAACCCCTGTCCACAGGGAACTTAGAATCTAGTGGGAGAAAACAGATGATAAATAAAATGAGTAGGTAAATGAAGTGGAACATGAGAAGGCAATAAGTGTTATGAGGAAAAAAATGACATAGGGAAGGGAGAGGTGCCGGTGAGAGTAGGAGAATTGCAATGTCAACGGGGAGGCCAAAGATGGATTCATTTAGAAGGTGATATTTAAACACAGATTTGAAGGAAGTGAGCTCAGGGATATGTGGGAGAGCAGTGCAGATAAAGACAACTGCACGTGCAGAAGCCCAGGGGTGGGAGTGCCTGGTATGTTCATGGAAGAGCAAGGTTGCTGTAGCATGAGAGAGCAACAAGGAAGATACACAGGAGATTAGGTGAGAGTGATAAGGTGGGATGAATCTTACGCAGCCTCAGAGACCCTCAGAAGGATTTTGGGTTTCATGGTTCAGGAGAGGGGAAGGAGGGTGCTGAGTGAGGGAATGCCAGGATCTCATTTAGGATCTAACAAGAGTACTCTCCTGAAGAGAGAACAAATGGAGGACGACAAGGCTATAGGCTGAGGGATCATTTCTGAAGCTAGTGCAATAGTCCAGGCAGAGAAAGTGAATTTTGTTCTATCTTTAATGTTTCTCCAGTTATCACAGTAGAAAACATTAGTTCATTACCCTCACAGAGAAAATTGTGGTGAAGCATTGAGAAGTCACTAGAAGCTCTGAACGTGACTCCATTCTTCACACTTTCTCCAGTCATAGAATTCACCACAGGGAAAGCCTTCCATCGAACCTGTGATATTTTGGTAAATATGTAATTATACATGCAGCATCTTCATATGTTCTTTTCAGCAAACAATTAATATAAACCAGATGTGTGGTGAGTCAGAATCCTCTCTGGAGGCTGTCCTGAGAAAGTAAAGACATATTGATTTAGAGGCCACACCTGCAGTTCTTGCTGCTGTTTGCTGCTTCTGCTGCAGCTTTGACATCAGCTGCTTAAGGAAAGCCTCTGCTTCCAAAATCCTCTCTTCTTGATTAAGTGGAGGAACTCTGGGTCAAGAAGATTCTTTAATCACTTCATTGCAAAGCACAGAGCATCAAGAAATGACATCGTCTTATAGGAGCTCACTAAACCCCACCTGATATTTAACATGATCTGCTTGCTTTATAGTGAGCTCAAAGCAATCACTTCTAAAGTTATCTGTGAAAATAAAGACTCAGAAAATGTAAGAACAGGTAGGAGTATTTGAAAGGTTTCGAGTAAATATAAAACCTTGCACTGTTTTCCTGATAAACCAAGAAATACGGACTTTCACTGTAAGCAAGACTGTACACTTAAGATATTTAAAAGAGGGGGGGGCGGAAATGGCTTTATTAAGTGGACAAGTAGTCAAGGAAAAGGTTGGGAATATTGGGAATTAAATTATTTATTATAGTAATCCAAAATCATAGCCAAACAAAGCTCTAGACATGACTCAGATGTAAACATTTTTTTTCTTTTAATTTCTCTTTTTGGTCATTTAAGTGATGAGTGAAACTTTAAGATTGATGAAAAGTACAGTGTTATAATAGTTTTCATAAAGAGTAAAAGTCTGATAATTTTTCAGGGTAATGGCAGTAACCATCCCACTTTGGGCATTGACTTTTTTTTTCAGATTTTAGTTATGTTGACCCAAATCATCACATCCAGATTATAATGTGAAGTCTCTACTTGTAATAATATTTTATTAATAAAGGTTATTAACCCATCACTAAATTTTTATCATGATTGGATCTTCACTTTTACAAAGAAATCCTGATTTCTTATTAACCATTCATGTTCAAGGTGGAGTAATTTGTGTACCTACTAAGGTAGGCAATTTGGATTGTTTTTCTCTTGGTCCAGATGAACTTACACTTCCTCTTTTAATCAATAGTCCAAGAGTATTTTGTCAATGGAAGTGATAGGTCCAAGCAAGAGCTTAGTATTTCAGGCTAGGGGAGCAAATGTACTAATATGGGAAAAAGTTATAAATGGGGATTATAAAATAAGCACTCTCTTAGGGCTATCATCTGAATATTGGTATCCATCCCCAAATTCATATGTTGAACTCCTACCTACCAAAGTAATGGTATGAGGAGGTGGGGTGTTTGGGGGATGATTAGATCATGAGAACTGAAACCTCATGATTTGGATTAGTGCTCTTATACAAGAGACCCCAGAGAGCTAATTGGCCCCTTTAACCATGTGAGGACACAGTAAAATGATTTCATCCGTAAGCCCGAGATCAGGCTCTTACCAGACACTGTATCTGCCAATGCCTTGATATTGGACTTCTCAGCCTCCAGAACGATAAGAAATAAATTTCTGTTGTTTATAAACTACCCAGTTTATGGTATTTTATAATAGCAGCCCAAACAGACTAAGGCCAAGAAAAAAAAACAAACTGGTATTTAGAAATTGATGTGCTGTGGTAACAAATACATAAATTGTGGAAGCGACCTTGAAACTGGGTAATGGGTAGAGACTGGGAGAATTTGGAGGAGCATGCCAGTACAAACCTTTATTGCTATGAGTGGACTTTTAAGGGTGGTTCTAGTGAGGACTCGAACCTAGTGGTTCTAGTGAGGAGCTGCAGAGAAAGCCTTAGTCCTCTTAGAGAATACCTAAGTGGTTGTTGTTCAGAATGTTGATGGAAATATGGGAAGTAATGGCCATTCTGATAAGGTGTCAGATGGAAATGAAGAACATGTTTTTGGAAACTGGAGGAAAAAAGATCCTTGTTATAAGAGGCAAAGAACTTGACTGAATTGTGTTTTTGTCCTAGTATTTTGCAGAAGGTAGAACTTGTGAACAATGTGGCTGTTTAGCTGAAGCTATTTTCAAGCAAAGTGTTGAAGGTGAGGCTTTGCTTCTCTTGACTGCCTATTGTAAAATGCAAGAGAGAGAAATGACATAAAGACAGAAGTGTTAATCAAAGAGGAAGCAGAACTTAAACACTTGAAAAATTCTCAGCCTGTCTGCATCATCAAAATGAAAACAAAAACAAAAACAAAAACAAAAATGTGTTCAGGAGAGAAGATGGGTGTGGCTAAAGCAGATTAGGGTGAATCAGCCATCTTAATGGAAGCTAGGACCTATTGTTTTAAAGATTGGAAAGTTGGACATCTCTTCAGTGTTGTCCTCTACTACTTGTGGTGTAGCACTAGGGTCTGAGAATACTCAGCACTGCCAAATTTCTCTACTTCCCCTACAAATTACTTGAACTTTTTGTTCTTCCATTTTCTCTCCCAATAAAAATTTATAATAGATTATTCCACAAATATGAAGGGTGATAGAAATGATAATGCTTTCTTTTTTTAATCTCTGGACAAGATAAATGACTCAAGGGTAAGGAAATGCCTATTTGTTCTTCTTCTTCATTTTTTTTTTTTAGGAAAGAAGAATAAATTAATTTCATTTGAAGAAACCCAGATGTCCTTAAAATAAGCTGTGACTGCCAAAAGAGTTCTTTAGAAATTCTCTGATGAGTCAAAATTCCAAGGTTCTTTCCCATGTTGGCTTGTGTGGTTCCCTAATATTGCTTTGGGTTAGGTCAGACTGATAAGGGATCTCTCACTAAAATGTTCCTACAATCCTCTCAGTTGTCAACCGGTTTTTTGAATTCAGGATTTCTCCAAAATCTTATCCCATCAGGTCATTTTTCATTTCTCACTGATCCCTGAGCTGAGCTGCACGTTAAACAATAAAGGGAACAGTATTTATACAAATGTTGATTGATTCAAATACTAATTGGCAATATATGTGTGCAGTAGTTTCCTTCAATATATGTTATAATATTCATAACTAGTCTCATGTCCAGGATAGCAGACATTATGTATTTGGACACTATTTGTTATACTTCATTTAATTATCTCTCATAGATTATCAATAGAGCATTTTAAAAAAATGAATAAGTGCATGCAGAGTGCTTCTCCATAACCAAATGGGTGTGTGTAATTTTTTCTTTGGTAAAATTTCCCAGAGACCCTTCTCTGAGATAGTCATTTAAATGATAGTGATCTTTGGATGATTTTGTTAGGATTAGATAATAAGGGTATGACTCATAAACATGTCATTTCAATCTGGGAACAAGTAACTATAACCCACTCTCTCTAGCCAAAAACCTCTCATTTTCATGGCTTTCCCACCCCCACATAAATGGCATACACCTCCAGTCTTTACACTGGCAGGTTTTCTTAGAAAAATGACCCATTCCATGATGAAGAATACCTAAATCCCACAAGTAAAAGAAGCAGCCTGTTATTACTCTTCCTGTTCAGTACATGAAAAGCAAAGTATGTGAGAACCAGGCACAACCTGTAATTTGGTAGCCAAACAACAGATCTGTGCTGTAACAGGAAAAATAAAAATATAGTTCTACTTTGGTATTCTTGGATGGCCTGCCCTGGAGGAGTGAAACTGCTTGATTTTCTCACTTTCAGAACAATGTTCTTGTCTGCCACTAGATCCAACTGAAGAAGATCCCGCACATGGGAAGTTCTGTGTTTGTTTCCATTCCAAGGACTGAGATTCAGGAATATATGCTTTTTATTTCCTCTGCCACATATAAGGCCTTCCTCTACTGACACACATACTTTTCTCCTAAATGCATTTTAGGGTTGAACTGTTTTAGGCTGCATTTTCTTCTCTTTAAGCAAGGAACACTGTTGTCTCACTATCGGAGTGATCAGAATTCCTTCTATCTATGATTGACTGTAACTTGCCCTTGGCAGAACGGTTCTTCCTGCTTCAGTCTATAAGGCAATACAAAAAGATTGATAATGGGCCTTGTTCTATCAATACCAATGACATATGTTGACCTTTTTGACATATGTTGACCTACATATTTAGGTCTATAATTTTTAAGCACATGCATGTACATATATACCTATACCTATATATATATATATATATACACACATATATATATACACACATACACACAAATATATACTTGTATATATACACACATGAATATAGATATATACATATACTGTATTAGTCAGGGTTCTCTAGAGAGACAGAACTAATAGGACATACATATATATAAAGGGGAGTTTATTAAGGAGCATCAACTCACACGATCACAAGGTCCCACAATAGACCATCTGCAAGCTGAAGAGCAAGGTCCCAAAGCTGTAGAACTTGGAGTCCAATGTTCGAGGGCAGGAAGCATCCAGCACAAAAGAAAGATGTAGGCTGGGAGGCTAAGCCAGTCTAGTCTTTTCACGTTTTTCTGCCAGCTTTATATTCTGGCCGTGCTGGCAGCTGATAGATGGTGCCCATCCAGATTAAGGGTGGGTCATATGTTGACCTACATATTTAGATCTATAGTTTTTAAACACATGCATGTACATACATACCTATACCTATGCCTCTACTGGGGATGGGGAAGCTATTTCTCCTGGCAAAGAAAGGTTCATTAGATTTACAAACTCAGTGTCCTCAGCTTCATCAGTGTCCTCCCACACATCCCCATTCCAAGTTGCAGGGTCCCATTCTTTCCCAATCAATGCCCTTACTTTAACAGTGGACACCCGGCAAGGCTGTGCATGCAGCTTTCATTGGAGGTCAGCTACTGGCATTACAAGAACTCATGTCTGATTTTCCACCATATCAGCTCTTTCTCTATGGGTGATAAGACTCTCACTCAGGGCAATCTTAGCAGATTTGAGGCTCAATATCTGCTTCTGAAGCTGGGAGTTAGAATCTCTGAGTTCATTTTCTTTCATCACTTTTTCCAGTGATTTTAGGAGCAACCAACCAACTTCATTGTGTTCTTTGGTTCTCCACATATGGTCAAGGTATTATGTATAGAGTCACTAAACTCCTCGCCTCTCATGAGTGGTGAATCAGGAGTGTCAAATGGATTTATTGTGTATAACTCTCTAAACAGTTCATGCCAAGGACTATCAGTGTTCTCCATGCCATTAGAAATAGAGTCCTTAGCATTTTGGGGTTTAATAATATTAAGCAGCCAACTCCAGAAACCCCAAAACCAATGAAAGAACTCCATCCTTAATATTCTCCATCCTCTAGAACCACTCCTGGTACCAAAATCTGTATTAGTTAGGGTTCTCTGAAAGGACAGAACTAATATCACACACACACACACACACACACACACACACACACACACATATATATATGAGTTATTAGGGAGTATTAACTCCCATGATCCCAGCCCACTGACTCAAATATTAATCTCTTTTGGCAACACCCTCACAGACACACCCAGGAGCAATACTTTGCATCCTTCAATCCAATCAAGTTGACACTCAGTATTAAACATCATATATGCCTATATAGTTTAATTGGGAAAATTCATATTTGCCTTGGTTCTTATAATAGCAACAAAAATGATGAAAACATTGTTATTATTGTATAACTCTCACTGAGGACAACATTTTTTAAAATAGATAATGGGAATTTGACACAGTTGCAAGAGAAATAGCTTTTAATCCAAGGAATCCCCAAAGCACAAATCATTCTATGAAAATGTTAGGAATCTGAGGCTCAAAGAAGAGACTTGAAGCCTTGCCAATAGTCCTTTATCTAGAAAGCAATCTGGAGCCTAACCAGGGATTTGACTTTCAGACCAGTGAGTTCCTTTTTCCAGGTTGCTTTTAACCTGAAGTGTTTAGATCACAAGTGTTACTGGTTCTTTACTTCCTTAGCATTCAGTCCCACTGAACTTTTTATTGAGTAGTGTGTATATCATAACAAAATCTCAGCACTCTAAAAAATTGCAAAATTCTTTCTATTGTTAAACAGAATTGTATCAGCATCATGATACAATTTGATGGGGGAGTATGCATTCATAAGACAGTATCACGAGACAGATAATAAAGTATTTTCCTGGTAGATGGAAAATCTAAAGAATCTTCTGGTGGGTTGATATGTCATGAGAAGAAATAAAATGTAACTAATTCCAGCAAACCTTTGTATTAACACATGTAACAAGAGGAGACAAAAACTAGGTTTGTCCATCATTTCCCTTGGCTTTATTCTAAATTGGCGCAGTTAACCTCTGTGTTTCTGAAGGGCTAAATTGCTGTTACTTCTCCTATTCCCTCTGGGCCTAGGAAAGGCAGATCAATGAGGACAAAAAATACTTTTGTGTTTCAGGAACACGAGGGGGATCAATTAAGGTGCCAAAGCTGAGCTAATGCTTTGAGTTGAGGAGGCGGTATTATAAGGGCGTTTAGAGAAGAGAGGTGTTCTGAAAGTGTTGTAGGTCTTTCTGAGGCTAGAAGGCACCATCAGTCTCTCCAGTGGGAGATATTCTTGACCCTAAGATGCCAATATCATTCATGAGGTAGTCTAGGGATTCTAGAGGTGGGGACTTAACATTAGTAACTATGGCCATAAGGGTCACAGTGAACAATATCCATCCCGGCAAAGAAGACTCCTGAGGGCCCCATCTGAGAAATAGTAACAGCAAAGTCCTGTGTGGACCAATGACCAGAGTGCCCTGCTCCAAATGTTCTGGAGTGACCCAAGAAGAACTCGAGCCTAAACAAAACTTCCTTCCAGAAATATAGGAGGGAACTCGGAGCAGATTCATGATTAAGATAAATTTAAAAAGAACTTGGGAACTCAATTTCATTCAACTAACCAAAAGCCTTGCCCACTCAGATCAATTCTATTTTCCTTTTTTTGTCTTCGTGCATATCCTCCATCTAAACTTTGTTTGAGGTGAGAAAGATAGGTTGAGGAAAAAACCATGAAAGTTATTTCCTGGCATCTCACCCAGGAATGAGTGATGAACAGAGCCTGGAAACAACTTTAAAAGCCAATTTCTTTGCTCATATGAGGTCATGAGGTTGCTCTTTGCAACTCTCTGGGCACCAGAATGAATGAAAGTGGCACAAAACACACCCAAGGTTTATCATTGATTTACAGTGATTGATGGCTGGTCTTGTCTGATTGTGCTACATTGGCAAACCATCCATCATCCCAAACAAACTCTGTACTCCATAGTCCAATATACAGTTACATGTGGCCAAAGGGTTTAGGATTTTTCTTTCTCTTTCTTTCTTTCTTCTTCTTTTTTTTTCCCCCAGAGAGCAGTTGGTGGTGGGGTGGGAGGAGAAAGAGAACAAGTTGCTTCCTTTTACAAAACTGCAAAGTAGTTGTCTGTTAAGAAGAAAGTACTCTGATGACACATGCTGAATTCCTGTTAAGTTTATGTAGGAGTTTATTCATTTCCATTAAGCAAACCACATTTTCGACATTTCCCACACTTTCCTTAGGCTGGGTCTTCCTCAAGATTTTTTTTTTTATAAGGCCTAATATTTGTCCTTCTCAGAGAATCAGTCATTCCTAATTCCCAGACCAATCGTGGATGGAGACAGGAAGTTCATTTTTGTAAGATACCTAGAAATGATTATTGAAGTACTCATTACTCAAAACATAGAAGATAATGTATAAGGAAAGAGATGTAACACGCAATCCCTTCTTAACTTTAAGATCCCTACATCTCAAAGAGTAACCTCACTCTTTCCTTCCCCTATGTTTCCTAGGAGTTGATATTCATAAGTAGTTAGCTGTAATTACATCTTTTACCCATTTAATATAAAAGTAAGATCATGCTGTGTATGAGGTTGCCCATTTTTCCCCACATAAGATTATATTTTGAGTGTTTCAACCAGGTCATTGCAAAATCTTCAAATGCCTGATTCTTCAGGATGACCAGGAATGTATTAGCATCTTCTGACTGACTCAGCTGGGTTAAGTGGACTGCTTGGGGTGTGCCACTGCAGCACTGAGGTTGAGTCCACCCATTCTGAATCACCAGTGCTGTTATCTCACCCATGACATGACTTCTCCTGCTCACCTCTGAGCTCTAGGGGTCAGTTCAGGATCTAGCTCACTCCTCACACCCTGCAGTGCCTCTAGTCACAGAATCTCAGGTCCAACTTTGCTGCAGGTGCCATAGTTCCTAGAACTTGGCTTTTTCCTCAGTCATCATTCAGGCCCCTGTTTTTAGACAGTCATGAGGACCAGGCTTTGCTCTGTCCATGTGTGGTACCTCTCCACATCTCTTTTCTATACATCCATCCTTTTAGAATGCCAAGAGAGATGCTGTTCTGGCTTGACGTTGGAGTATCACTTTCTTAGATCTCCCCTTATTCTTCCTCGCCTCCCCGATGCTGCATTCTGACAATCTCTTAGCAAGTTCCACTGTGCCCTGGACCCTGGTATTATGCCAGTGTCATGATTGTGTGTAGCTCTATTACATGGATACACTCCTTTTTCCTAGCTATTAACCTCAGTCCTGCCTTCTACCATCATCAACTCCTAATTCCTACATAAACAAATTTACTGTGGCTTCAGTAGCTGTAAGCTAGTTGGTTGAAGGAATTGCACCAGGTTCGTTGATACCCAGATTCTCCCTCTTTGGGTAGTTCTATCAAAGTGACATATCATCTGGATGCCTTTTATGACTTCTAGTGTTAACATCTCCCCAGAGGCTTCCTCTTGGCTCATTGACTTAAACTACGGGAATTTTTCCCCACTGGGGACATTTGGCAATGTCTGGAGACATTTTTGGTTGTCACACCTAGAGGAACGCTGCTGGAATCTGGTGAGTAGAGGCCAATGATGCTGCTAAACATTATACAAGGCACAGAACTAGCCCGCACAATGAAGAATTAAGTGGCTCAAAATGTTGGTGGATATGGTTAGCTAGATCATGTTGAGTTTTTCCTTTATATTTATAAGAGATGTTGTTCTGTATCTTTCTTCACTTGTGATGTCTGTGTCTGGTTTTGGCATCAGGGTAATTCTGGCCTCTTAGAATGAGTTGGGAAGTAGTTGGTAAGTGTTCTCTCCTATTTTAATTTTTGGAAGAGTGCATAAAAGTTGGTACTGATTCTTCTTTATATGTTAGGTAGAATTTATTAGTGATGCCGTCTGGGGTGGGGATTATATTTGTGAGAAGTCTTTAAATTCCAAACTCAATCTCTTTACTTGTTATATGTTGTCCCAAACTGTATTTTTGTAGTTCTAAAAGTGGATGCATTTCCCTCTTATTTGAGAAAGCCAAAACTCATTGAAATATTATCTTTGGTATCTTGGTGAGGGAGAGGAAATAGAATAATTTCTCCAAATGCAGAAATCCTGCCTTAAGCTGTACACACCATAGCCCATGAGCATATGATGCCACACTTACCTCTGGCTCAAGGCACACTGTACCTCCCCTTTCTCTGTGATTCTCAGGGACACATTCAACACTCCTTCCTCCACCTGCCTAACTCAATAATAGTGGATAGATGTACTACCACACCTTGGATCCTCTTTATTAAAAATGAATGGCGAGGCCTCACCAAAGAATCTTGAACTTTGTATCACTCTATGAATGACACTAAGCAAGGCACTGTGAATAAGATACCAGATCCTTCATGCTCTGGTACTTTTAGGCTAACATGGAAAATAAAATATGTTCACATATGACTTCTTAATATCCATATCAGTGCACTCTGACATGAATCTGTCCAAGTAATTAATTTCATGGAATGTGGCTACTCCTGGCCTCTTCCCACCCTCCTAAGTCCCAGTCTTCAATTCTGGATAGGCACTCTAACAAAAAAAATCTGAATAAAACTAAATTAACATCCAAAAATGATGTATAAAATACGCCAAGCCAGTAATTTCATAAGGAAGCCAAATTCCTTGTGCTGCCAAAATTCTTATCTGGTGATATCCTTCACTTCACCTAATAATTTATATGTTCTAATGAATGAGAAAATGAAACAATTTGGTTCCTTTTTAGTGAAATATATTTTTACTCTCCATTACCATGAGCTTCCTCTCTGCTCTTGGTTTTTCCTTTGCTTTTCTACGTAGCTGAAATCAGAGACACTTGTCTTCCCAGTTAGCTCTCAGCTTGTCTCTCTATTTTCCCTGATATCCTTTTAATCTCACCTCTCTCTGGTATTTTTTCTATATTGAGTAGAATGATGGAAGTTGTTAGCTGGTTATATACAAGCTACAATGGGAGTAGGGAGGAGGGGATTTCACGTCCATCTGGGATTTAGTGTACCTATGGAGGAGGTGGCACTGGGCAGAAGGACTCTCTAGTACAAGGGACAAGCATGGGGAAAGGCATCCTTGCAAGGAAGTCCACGACATGCTCTCAAACAGAAAAGGATAAGTTTTGATTGGAATGTAGTGGGTGTGAGAAGGATCAGTGAGTAGAAAGGCTAGAAATGTAGATCTGAGACAGATAATTGAAGGCTTTGACTTCTAAGCCTGAGAATTTAGACATTATAAGCAATAAGGACTCACTGAAGAGAGTGTGTTATAATCTAAGCTGCACTACAGCAGGGTTATTTTAGCAGCAGCTTGAAAGATAAGGGGCAGCATGGACTTCAGACTCAGAAGACTAAATCTGTATGCTAGCACTGCCATGTACTAGCTGAGTGAACCAGGAGAGGTCATCAAAATGGGGTTGGCAATACATACCCAGCAGTGCTTTGCCATGGAGTGGAGAGAATGGGTTTCAAAAACCAGAGCTGAGCCTGGCAGGTGTAAGCACTCAGTAAGTGTTCACTGGGAAAAGGCAATATTGGAGGCAGAAATATTTAAGAATGTTTCTCAATAGTATGAGTAAAAGCTGTGAGGGACTGAGGAAAAAGGAAGGATTGTGAAAGATAATGTAAAGGAAGAATCTCTAGATCTTGAAAAAAGTGAAAAGGAAAAAAATAGATGATGACTGATGTGTTGATAATTGGTGACAGGAAGATGTAATTATCAGAGATAGAAACAGCAGATAAGGAAAATATTTGGTAATTTTAATAAGAATCATACATAACAATTTGGTTTCTTGGCTAGTTATTTCTGGAAATAATATCAATTATAATAGTAGCTAAAGAGTAAATAGCACTTAATTCTCATATAAATTTTCATGGTAGGCACTACATTAGGTATTATATATTGACCCTACTTTAAAAAATTAAGCAACTGAGGCGCAGATAGGCTAAATAAATTGCTCATGCTCAAATAACTATCTGAATCAGGCATTAATCGCAGGCACTCTGATTTCAGAATCAGGAAGCTTAATCTCTGCTTAATCTCTATGTTACACTGAAAAGGATTGAAAGCCTAGAATAAGTTCTAAAATACTCAGCTTTTCTGAAGGAGTGGTCAGGCCTCCCTAGCCTACTATGGAGAACTATGTAAGTTGTACTATGTTACTGACTTTTCAATGAAACAGATATAAATTATAATTAACAAATGAAGATTTTAAGAATTACTCTGTATCTTTATTTTATTGAAATGAATTCAAATCCAACCAAGACTCCATTCTATTAAGATGTAAAGAGACTTTCAGATGTTAGTGCTACTCTTGACAGAGCTATGGTAAAATCATTGGTCTTAGGTAGAGCAAGACCTAAGACTCTGTTGGGGAACTTCTATAGTCATTAGTCATAAATCCACATTACATACTGCTGAGGCTCCATTTATATCAGCCTACATAGACATGTTCAGGCCTGGTTTCTCTGCAGTTCCCAGGGTCCCTACTGGCAGGGAAAAGTTGGAGATCATGGGAATCCAAACATTATGTCCATTGACCTTTTTTGCATCACGTCCCTTCTATAACATCCTTGTCCCTTCCACAGAACTATGCCAGTGACTGATACACCTTATATCTCTCCAGTGCAGAAAAGTCTCTCCTTCTCCTTTCTTGTTGATGCATTTGGAGATATTCTCCTTTTTATCCTCCACATCACCAAGACATCAAAGATAATATTTCAATGAGTTTTGGCTTTTTCAAATAAGAGGGAAATGCATCTGCTTTTAGAACTACAAAAATACAGTTTGGAACAACATGTAACAAGTAAAGAGATTGAGTTGGGAATTTAAAGACTTCCCACAAATATAATCCCCACCCCAGATGCCATTTCTGATGAATTCTACCTAACATATAAAGAAGAATCAGTACCGACTCTTTATGCATTCTTCCAAAAATCAGAATAGGAGAGAACATTTTCTAACTAATTTTAAGAGGCATAGTATTACTCTGATACCAAAACCAGACAAAGACACCACAAGTCAAGAAAGCGAACAATATCTCATATAGACCAAAAAACCCTGAATATAATACTAGCTAACCATATCCACCAACATATACCAAGGATCATACACCACAACCAAGTGGGATTTATCCCAGGAATACCGGGTTGGTTTAGCATCTGAAAATTAATTAATGGAATAGATGCAGAAAAAGCATTTGTCAAGATCCAATACCATTTCATAGCAAAAGCACTCAATAAATTGAGGATTGAAGGGAACTTTATCAACCTGCTAAAAGTCATCCACAAAAATCCCACAGCTAACCTCATATGTAATGGTGAATGACTGAAAGCTTTACCCCCAAGATCAGGAAGAAGACAAGGACATCACTCTCGCCACTTACATTCAACATTTTACTGGTGGTTCTAGCAAGAGTAATTAGGCAAGAAAAATAAATAAAAGACATCCTGATTGGAAAAATGAAATTAAACTGTTTGTATTTGTAGAAGTCATGGTTTTGTACACAGAAAATCCTAAAGAATCTATGAAAACCTTAGAGAAAATAAATGAGTTCAGTATGCAGGACACAATAACATCATACAAAGGTCAATTATATTTCCATATACTAGCAATGAATGACCTGATAATGAAATTTTAAAAAAAGTCATGAAAAAGACTAAAATGCTTAGGAATAAAGTGAACAAAAGAAGTATAAAATATATACCTTAAAATTACAAAATATTGTTGAAAAAAGCTAACAAGACAATTTAAATAATTGGAAAGACATCTGATATTCATGGATCAGAAGATTTAATGTTGTTAAGGTGGCAATGCTCTCCAAAGTATCTACAGAGTCAATACAATCCTTATCAATATCTCACTTGGGTTTTGTGCAGAATTTCACAAGCTGGTCCTGAAACTCATAAGAAAATCCAAGGAACCAAGAGCAGTCAAAATAATCTTGAAAAGGAACAAAGTTGAGGGGTTCATACTTCTCAATTTAAAAACCTACCACAGAGCTATATGAATCAAGACATTTTGGTACTCACATAAAAACAGATTCATAATGTGTTAGTCCATTTGCATTCCTATGAAGAAATATGAAGAAAAGATGTTTAACTGGCTCATAGTTCTGCAGGCTGTACAAGCATGGCACTGGTAACTGCCTGGCTTCTGGTGGGGCCTCAGGGAGATTTTAATTATGATGAAAGTTGAAGCAGGAACAGGAGCATCACATGGTGAGAGAAGGAACGAGAGAGAGAGAGAGAGGGAGGAGGTGCCACACTCTTTTAAACAACCAGCTCTTGCATTAATTCAGAATGAGAACTCACTCATTACAAGGAGGATGGTACCAAATCATTCATGAGGGACCCACTCCCATGACCCAAATACCTCTCACCAGGCCTTGCTTCCAATACTGAGGATTACATTTCAATATGAGATTTGGAGAGGACAAACATCCAAACTATATGATCTAGATAAATGGGATACAATGGAAATTCTAGAAATAAATCTTTATGTTTATAATTAATTGATTTTCAATAAGGATGCTAAGACAATTCAATAAGGAAACATAGTCTTTCAACTGCGACCACTGAAGATCCACATTCAAAAGAAAGAAGTTGCACTCTGCCTCCCATCGCATACAAAAATTAACTCAAAATGGATCACAGTTGTAAATGTAAGAACTAAAATTATAGAAATCTTTGGAAAAAATATAGAAACACATCTTAATTGTCTTGAATTAGGCAAAGACTTCTTAGAGATGAGACTAACAACACAAGTGACAAAAGAAAAATGGTTTGGGCTTCATCAAAACTGAAAGCTTTTGAACTTCAAAGGATGCAATCCAGAAAGTGAAAGGCAGCCTAGAATATGGAAGCAAATATTTACAAATCACATATCTGAAAAGGAACTTGTATCTAGACTATGTAAATATTTCTTACAACTTAATGATACAAATGCAAATATTCCAACTGAAATTTGGCAAAGGGTGTGAATAGAAGCTCCTTCAAAGAAGACATGCAAAGGACCGATAAGCTCATGAAAAGGTGCTCCACATCATTAGCCATGAAGGAGGTGAATATCAAAACATGAGATACCGCTTCACATCTACAGGACAATGGTAATAAGGAAGACAGATAATAACAAGTGAGGGCAAGAAAGTGGGAAAATTGAAACCCTCCTACAGTACTGGTGGGAATGTAAAATAGTGCAGACATTTTGAAAAACAGGTGGCAATTTCTCAGAGGCTAAACATAGACTTTTCATATGACCAGCAATTCCACTCCTAGGTATATACCCAAGAAAAATAAAAGACATCTGTTCTCGCAAAAAAATCCTTGCACATGATGTTTATAGCAGCATTAATAATAATAGCTAGAAAGTGTGAGGTCAAATGTACATTAACTAATGAATGGATAAATAAAATGTGGTGTAGCAATATAATGGAATATTATTCAACCATAAAAAGGAACTACATAGTTGACACACGCTACAACATGTATAAAGCTTGAAAACATCATGCTAAGTAAAAGAAGCTATTCACAAAAGGCCACATATCATAGAATACCAGTATAGATATGTCTATAAAGACAGAAAGTAAATTAATGGTTGCCTAGGGCAGGGGTGTTTGGGGGGTGATGAAAATATTCTAAAATTGATTATTGGGTTTAGATGCACACTCTGTGATTCTACTAAAAGTCATTGAATAGTACACTTAAAATGGGCGAATGATGAATGGTACATGAGTTACAGCTCAATAAAGCTGTTATATACAATAATACTTGATGCAACAAAAATGCTAGCAGCTTTGGGAAGAAGGATGAGGGAAAAACAGAGTAAAACCCAAATTTATATCTTCAGAGAAATAACTGAATATACATTATCTGTCTCTTCTGCCATAATATTTTTTTCATGATCCCCTATGAAATTATTTTGGAATGAATGGTATCGAATGGAATAAATATATTCCAACTGAACTTTGGCAATAGAATGTTCTTGTCACTGCAGAGAAAACAATCAGGATTTCTCTTCTCCCCTCCACCGGATCATTCCCCATCCAGCTTCCCCACCCCCAGGCCCATGGTTGGCCACCTGGTCAGCTCTCTGGAAAGGACAAACACTAGCTGATTTAAATATACATTGAGGTATAAACTATTCGTATTTCAAACTTTTCCTGAAGCTCATAGGTCCTTGGAAGTTTAGTGTGCCAGAGTATCCCAAAGGAATATCTGCAACCTCTGAAGACAGATTCAGCCAACTTACCATGTTACCCAGGATTAGAATTTATGGCAAGGGGGGCAATTTGGTAAGAGAAACTGCCTAAGCTTTAATAATAAAAGCGTGGCTGGGCCATTAAAATTACTATAAAGTAGCAACTGTTTTAAATTGTCTTTTGAACTGGAACCAGAGATTACTGTTATAGGAGAGTTGGGAGGATTTAGTTAAGGTTTAGGAAGATGTGTGGAATGTTCAGAGGGATCAAATTGGAGAGAATATTAATAAGAAAGAAATGGCCTTTTTAAAGAAATTATCAGTAGGAAAATGAGGTGGATTGCTGCTGTTTTAGAGGGGACAAGGAGGGGACAAAACGAAACCAATAATTAATCTTATATGAGACTGAAGGAAATTAAAGTATAATGGATATGAGTGACTTGAGTTTGTTTTGGACTAGAGAACCTATTTAATAATGAGGCAACTGCCCAGACTGAAAAGAAATGTTTGGGAAGAGATGAAGACAAGCTTATGAAGACCAAATTTACTGAGCTCTTAAAATATGATCATGTTGGAGTGAATTTCAAAAGTTATGATTATTAAAACTACTTACTACTTCTCTTCATTTTTATCTTGCCAAATCCTACCAGTTAAAGAGCACACAACTTAAAACTGCTGCAATGGAACTGAGAGAATTCGCAAAACTTCATTAAAGGTCCCGAATAAACATGCAGAATCTAACAAAAATCAGCTTGTCTTGGCTTTCAAATGTTGCTTTCCTCTCAAAGTGTCCATAAACCATACATAAAGTTGTAATGGAAGAAATGCTGGTAAGTTGCAAATGTTCTGGAAATATAGTGATATTTATCTGCTATCAGCATGTATTTCTCACTATGTTTCTCTCTCCCCTCAATAATATAGCAAATACAGGTGATATGTGCTATGGGACTAGAAAGTCCCAATAAAACCATGATTTAAATATCTAATCATAACTCTTTTAAAAAACAAAGTCCGAAACAGTTATGTTTCCTCTTTAAAGAAAAAAAATGCAAGCAGATGAATTTTAGATTCTGGATATAAACATTAATGAGACTATCCAAGCTGGGTGGTAAGAGTTGGGGTGAGAGAGAAGGAAAGATAGAAGGAGGAGGCAGTGTCACTGGAAATACATTGATGGATTAACAATGAAAAGCGCAACCAGAAGGAAACTGCCTACACATTTTTACGAGAGAAGGTTAATCTAAAATGACACCAGTCCTGAAAAGGTTAGCTGTCACATTTAACAGCAGGGGCATACAGTGGTCACTGGCTACCTAAGGGAAGAAGTTGGTAAATGACTTTCTTCAGTTCACATACTTTCTGGAGTGAGCAGCTCTGCATTGACTTTGGCTGGCCTGCATTAGGAAGGCTTGCCATTCCGTGCAACGTTTTGTTAACCTAGCTCAGCAGCAGGTCCTGATTGGTCATGGGAGAATCTGGGCTAAATGGTATACATTTCCGATGATGTAAAAGTAAATTAGAGAACAGGGCAAGTTATTACACCAGAGAATGTGGGGCAATGGGGAATAATAAAAATCAGGCTACTCTAATTTCCTTTGAACAACTAAATATATACAGGTCATTATTTCCTGTAATCCGCAGGCCTCCCAATGCAAGTCCCGGCCTTGTGTTAAAGCCTCTGAGACAAAAACAACAAAATGCAGTGTGGAGAGAAATGAAAAAGGCTGTAATGCTATCTAAAGAATGGATTAAGTACAGTTTACAGATGCTGGTTTTCTTCCCATTTTGGAATGTTAAATTAGACAACCAAGGAGGAAAACTCACCTGGTTTGAAAAATTCAGATGTTTTCCTAACAGTAATTTCATTCATGTTCCCTGCAGTGTTTGTTCCGCTACATCGCGGAGGTGGCTGAGCCACAGTTTAACCACATTTTCTTTGCCAAGGCTGGATCATAAAGGGAATCACAAATTCTTCTTGAATGGGGTTTAGGCTGCACTTAACATTATTTCTCTGGAGACTGATCTTAGTCCTTAATTTCAAGTCTATGCCAAACTCGGTCTATTTTTACGACACATACAGCATGCCACTTTTATAAGAATGAGGAAGCCTCTTCCAATAGGTACGTAGGTCTGTACACCCCTCCCAACCTCCCAACATATGACAACTTCTAGGCACTAAGAAAAGGTTGCATATATGCCTATGACATCCTCTGTGTTGGCAAGAGAATGACTAAGAATGACTCAGTAAGATGAAGCTTTTACCTGTGTTTTTGGTTGCATAAACCTCTTAAATTCAAATGGCCAGATGCACCTATTAAGCGTTCTGATTCTTGCGCATCTAATCAAGCTTGCTGAGGGGTAGAACTTAAAGTCCATTTTAAATAAGGGCCCCAGAGATTCCTATACATACTAAAGTTTGAAAACCATTGCTAGCCATTCTTCACCTTTTCACAAAACTTCTCCAAAGGAGTGCTAGGGATCTTTTTTATTATTATTTTGTGTCTGGGGACCTGTAGAACGATTAATAAATTCATCATGGCTGTACCAGATTTTTGCTCTATACACTGTAATATTGTGGAGAATTGGATTTTCTTCCTATGATACTAAATACTTGTACTACTAAGTCAGCTTATGATAAAGTCCTGTTGCATTTTCACATGTCCTTATTGTTTCACCCATGGAACGATGCATAATTGACAGTGCTTTCTTCGTGTGGGGAGTCTTGGCTCTCTGGTAGCTAGACCAGGACAGGGAAGCTGAGGAATGGAAGAGAGCCCTCTCTTTTGGACACTAGACTAGAGACACTAAATTCTTACCTGGTCCCAGTACATCAATCTGGAAAGGCTGGAAAATATCTGGTGATGGCAAGGGTTAAAATAAGACCCTAGGAATCTGGGAATGTGGATCCAGCAGGTAAGGCTGAAGGGATGGGAGCTTTATGTGAAAGATACAAAGGGTAGTCTGCCTGGAAAAATGACAAGACACTGCCATCTCATATATGTCTGAACATGAATTTCTTTACTATCAAGCATTATCCCATTTTATTTGGAATATTTCTGACTTAGGCTTCTTGTCTCATTGAAATCATTAATTTCTCCTCTTTCACTCTCAAAGGTATTCCAGTTTAGATTAAAAATGATATGCACATATACAGGAACATCTAGTCCTCCCATTATCTTTGCTGATCTTAAAAATGTGCCACATATCCACATTCTATTATTAAAAGATTATCAATTCCCTTTAAGCCCCTGTCATTTCTTAGCCTTAGAGTAAGTGTTAATCAGGTGATTTGAGATTGAGAAGACAGTAATATTGAGTGAGATAAATAATACTAATAGGTCCCACCGGTACTAGATGTGCAGTGCAGGATGGGTGGCATCAAAGAGAATGGTACAGAAAGGGAAGACTGGAAACGAGAAAGGCAAGTCATATCAACTTTACAAGTTTGCTTGAGGTCATCCCTGGTACTACCCAAAATCCTGTTACTTCTAATTGTTATTTTTCTTAAAAATATTTATGTTTGTAATTTAGAGCACCTAAACTAAAATGTTTAGAAATTATCTTTTTATCCAACCATTGAACGTATTTATTTTTCCAACTTTGCTTAATTATTAATTTGACAAATCTATTTTAAAATTATACCTTTACTCTGATTTACCAACTATCAACATTTCTAGCAACTTTTTTTCAGGTTTTCCCCCTATCACCGTCTCTGGTAATAGTCTAAATATTATTAATGATATTTTAGGGGAAAAAACGATTCCAGATGTTGGTGTTCTAGAATCATACAAAATTGGACATCTCTATTTAAAGACAGAAATTGCCATAGGTTTTATTAGGTTTGAAAGGCAGAGAAAAAAGTCAAGCAAAACCGGGGGCTGATATTTAGAATTTAAAGATTTTGAGGAAAAAAATGTCACTTTCATAGAACTAAGTTCCGTTGCCATTGCCAGAGAGTGTCCCTGAGAAAATAAACATATGCACCCCCTCCAAAAAGGAAAAAAAAAGTGAGAACAGTTTTTTTTTTTTTTTTTTCACTTAATTTGCTGTTTGTTTCTAAAAAAAAATCCACCCCCACATAGGTCACTTGGAATTCATTTTGTCTACATCCTGGACTGCACGTAGGGAGGCAAAAAAAAAAAAAAAAAAAAAAAAAAAAAGGGAAAAAATGCCTGGGATCTGAAAAGAGGAATGTGGTAGGGCATGGGAATTGCAATGTCGTGGTGGTCACCAGAGCATATTTTGGCTTGTCTTAAAACAAGCAAGCACCGTTGGACCTCTGGAATACTAACAAATTAGTCCTGCTATCAGGCTACCTATCGGAGACTGGATGCCTGAGAAAAAGTGTGTGGGTTTGTAGCTGCAGCCCCAGGCGTTGGCAGGCCCTTCTGTCAGCCCCTGCCCGCTTTCTCACTTCCAGTCGTGCTCAGTGACCTTTGCCCCTATCCGGTGTACCGTTACAGTTCATTTCAATAATTAAACAGTTCGAAGATGGCAAGACTTTTTGTGTTGTCAAGAGAAAATCAGGGCAGTGGCTTTTTCTTAATACTGAAATCAGGAGTGTTTGGGTTTAATTATATTAGCTAGTGCCTGTTCATTAATTTTCCCAATCATTGGGAGACATGTTTGCTGGAAAGATTGGCAATGGGTTAGAGCGGTTATCAAGGCAGGGCATTTCAAAGGAAAGGTATCCGAACTCTGACAAAATCAGATGTCTGAAATTTCAGTCAAGGGCCCCGGGTTTCAGTGGCAGCTTACTCCACGAAATAAGGCAGCTACTCTCCCATCTGGAGTCCCAAGTTGTTCAGGCAACCCAGCTAAGGCATTGGACGTCAGCTCCAAATATGCTGATTTTCCAATGCCAGAAAAATAAACCACTCCTTCTGAACTCCAAGTAATTGGCTGCTGTGCCACTTTTGAAGTCTCTTACATCCTCACTCACTACGGCTCAGTGAAGCCTTACCACCTCCCCACTTCAAGAGAAGAAAAAAAAGGCAATATAATGTACTTAGTGAAACCAGCAAATTTGCCATTTTTGCTGCTTTAGCAAAAATGTTAATACTTCAAATTTGTTAGGGATGCCTTGGAAATTCTGCTTATTTTTCCCTCTTTGGAGAGTTTAATGTGTACCTTAATGCCCCCTTTCATTATCGGCCTGGCCTTCTTCCTAGCTCTTCCCTGCTGACTCCGGACCTATCCTGGTTATTTTGTGGTTGTGGCTGGCTCTTGGTCATTCAGACATGTTTGTGGCTTATAATGTATCAAATTAGATGCTACAGTCTCCTAGGTCTCCTCCCTATTCCCTGACAAAATTTGTCTTGCTCACAAATCTCCACTGGCCTCCCTGTACTCCTTAATCGACTATCTCCTTTGTGAACCTGAGAAATACCCAACGCCTGTCTGTACTCACAATGAAAATGGCCAAATCATAATAATTCAAAGGTGTCCTAATAACGTTTTTTAATCCTTAAGGATACAGTTCACCAATGAGTGTCCTTAATGTTTAAACGTTCAACCAGTCATGTTGTTTACAGTGAGGCTCTAGCGAATGAAGTTATGGCTATCATAATCCTGTGATACCAGTCATAGGTAAATCCTATTTACCAAGTGAAGTAATCGGTGGGATAATAGCAAATTAGTCCTGCTGTCAGGCTACCTATCAGAGGTTGGACACCTGAGGTGAACAGCTATATTTCTTTCTTGACTAGCCAAAAATTCAAACATAGATGACTATTAAAATCTGGTGATAGGTTAGCTATGACACCTGTGGGTTCTTGAGTCAGGAAAACAGGTTTTGGAGCTAGTAAATTAGGCTTACATTCTAATCCTGTTTATTTCTATCTGCAGAATTTTGGGCAAGTTACTTATGGTCTATCACCATTTCCTCCTCTGTAAAATGGACCTGATAATAGTACCTACCTCAGAGCATTGCTGGAAGGATTACATAAATAAATATACCTATGGAACAATGTCTTATCTCAAAGTAATGTCAGTCTTGCTATTGTAGCACCACGAGCTGATTTCTATTATAGCATTTAAGACCCAGATTTATAAATTTTATTTACCTGCTTTCATTTCTTTGTAAGCTCTTTGAGAATAAACACTTGAGCACCCTTCATCTCTGTGTCCTTAGTGTATCACTGCAGTGCATTGTACAAAACTACTCAATAAACATTTGTTAAATGAATGAATAAATAGATGATGAATGGATGAGTGGAAGGATAGCTGGATATATGGATGGGTATATGCATATATAGCACTGTGTTTGATCATAAGCAATCATTTTAAGATCATGAAGTTATCCCTAGTGACATCTCTCTTTTTATCAGTTCCTTCAGATTGTGTTGCCTTTCCAAGCTTGGACAAGCTCCTTGCCTTGTTTTCCTCCCATTTTCTATCAATCTTTTCTCTCTTTAATCCTTCTAAATGACTGCTTATCTAATTTGATCTATTAGTGAAAGGGGCTTTATGTACTACAACTTTTGGATAGCTTGCATATTTTATCAGATTTTTTTCCCCTCACTACTTCATTCCAAGGAAGTGACTAATGTGGGAATTTCAGTAAGGCTATTAGGAAAAGTATTTTCTGTAAAAGACTGTGGACTTTCTTTAAATCATACCCCATGAACATCTGCCTCCTCTACCTGGGGCTAAACCTGACCCTGAACAGTACTTGTTCCAATACATAAACAGTTACATAAACTCATTTTGGGTGAAAAGATAGGGAGTAAATATTGCAAGACTAAGATGCCACAGTAAACCCCTTATAGCATATACTGAGTTACAGTTTAGTGATAGGTTGAACACATGCAGTTCAGCCTGCCTCCCCCACCCCTGAGGAAGTGAAGCCAGAGTAGTAACATGAAATATTCACGTCTCACATTTTCCAGGTGTACACAAGCCAAATCTCCCAGTGATGTTGGCGACTTCTCAGAGTTGCAAAATAATGGAGAAATTTTCAAGTGAATGATTCTCTGGCTATCTTAAGAATATCCTTTATTCCTACTTGTTCTTTCAAATTTGATATTTCAACAGCAGTGCAGGGTCAAAGTAGAATTCAGACAAGTGTCACGTATCTTGCTGAGGTAACAGGTGTATAATGAAGAATTTCTAAAGCTAGAAAATACAATAGATAAAGAAGAATTCAATAAAAACTCTAAAGTTTAATATTTACACTGAAGGGCATTTATTAATAAAGTTGGAAATATGTCTTAAGCAGTTTTCCAAATGCCTGGTTAATAGCTGTTAGTTACTGAAAGCATATATGGAGCACAGTTGAAAGAGTCCTTAAACTGCAGAGGAAGAAAATGTAGGAGGAACAAGGATGCCACTGGCATCACCTTTCTTTATAAGCAAACCCTATTCATTGTGGGTGCTCTGAAAAAAGCTTGTAAAAGATGTAAAGGAGAAGACCTCAAGGTTACACGTGATGAAAGAGAAAGGACAATAGTGTAAGGGAAAATTAGCATAGGAGAAAAGAAAAGAACAACCACAGAGGAGAGAGAAAACTCCAAGAATTTAATTCTACAGATGCAGGGGACAGAAAGAATGATCAGTGGAGAGTATAACTTGCAGAAAGATGCAACAGTGTGAGAAATAAGGAACGGAGGGAGAATGTGTTTGTTATTCACAACTATATATTCTCAGCAGAGCTAGGCCCTGTTTTATCATACCAAGAATCCTTGAATACAGGTATTTTTGGTCCCCATTTCATAAAAGAAGAATTTGGGGCTCACAGAGGGAAAGCCACATGCCTCAGGTCAATGTTAAGTAAAAACAGGTCCAGGATTCCAATGCCGTTGTCTGTCCCCATCTACATTTTCCTCTATGCCTTCGGCACTTTTACTCTGCACTGTCTGTCTCTCAGTATGGGCAATTGATTTCATGTTCCGTCATTTCCTAGGAAAGAATGGAGACTCCAGAGAGAGTAGTATGGTCTGGTGAAAAGGAAGCTGTCATAGGAGGGATGGATCCCTTAGTTTCAGTACAAGCTTTGTCACTAACTAGCTATGTGCTTTTTAACTGCTGGTCGAAGTTCCTTTCCTCCTCATCTGTGAAATGAGGGGCTAGGGACTCAATGTTGTCTTAAGGTAGCTTTTGGCTCCAATATTATATGATTCAATTGAATTAAATGAATGTGAACATAAGTAGTGAGGGCTGGGTTCTAGAGATGGTACAGAAATATACTCCCAGCAAGTAAGAGTTGTTAAGGTCATTAGGAGAAATGCTTTAAATTTACATTGCATCAAGTCAATGAAAAAAGAAACTACATGGGGATACTGAACAAATGTGAAAATCAGAAGACAGATATTTCAAAACTTTTTGGAGAGCATCTGAAAGGAATACAGGAGGGAAGTCAGTAGGAGAAAGGTTGAATCAAAGTTTTCCCCCCTTTGGGGAAACAGCTGCACTGCTGATGTCCCTTGCCTTGTAACAGAGTTGTGTACTGATTTCAGAATATGGAACCACTTGTAGTATTTTTTCTCTCTACTGATTCCAATGAGTATATTATATTCCTAGATAGGTAATTTTGTATTCTCTCTTTATTTTATAACTTGCTGCCAGTTAGCTCTGGGTGCTAATGTAAACTTCACTATTCATTTAACCTCTTTGAAACTTTTTCTTCATTTGTAAAATGTGGTTGGTTACCTATAACTTGAAGGCGGTTGTTCAAAAGAAATAAGCTTATCTCTTTAAAATAAATTTAAAATTATATAGTATATACATACTATTTATCTTATTATGAATATAGAGCCAAATCTTCAATTATCTATATTTTTGTCATATAGCAATAGCACAAATAATTTATAAAATCTCAAATTTATTCATGATTTATTTTAATTTTAGTATATTTTATTTTAAGTAATTAGAGATATAACAAGCCATAATATCATAAGGAAAATACACATTTAAAATTAATCCTGCCTCTTTGTTTCTAGATCTTGCTTTCTTTTGTATGTTTGCAAAGAATATATAGTACACTTCCTTGATCTGTGGTTCCTAAAGTGTGATTCCCAACAAGCAGCATCAGGATCATCTGGAAACTTGATAGAAATGTAAATTCTACAGTCCCTCCTTGGAGCTACAGATTCAGAAATTCTGAAGTTTAAGTCCAGCAGTTGGTTATAATAAGCTCTCTAGGTGATTCTGACTTGCACCAAGGTTGGTGGACCAATGCCTTAGATTAGTAAAAAGCACTGTCATAGAGTAAGCACTGCCAAATCCACAGATATTCATTGAATGGCTACCAGACATAAGATACTATGTACACTGATTAGAAAAGTAAATACATAAAGCAGATCTCATGATGCTTGCTTCTGCTTTTCACTGTGTTTAAGAGAGAAATAGGGAAGGAGAAAGGACTATGTCAAGTTGTACAAACATTAACAAACATTAAGTTTTAATCCAGCACATCTGGGTGAGAAATGGCAAATGATTCAATTCAGGAGAGAAGAATTTCTTTGTTATATACTATCTGAGACATATCCCATATCCCCTGCCCAGACATACTAAAAATTGCTTTAATTTCTTCTAAAGAGATAAAAGGAAAGGGGAATGGGGGAGGGAGGGAGGGAGAGAGTTGGGGAGAGAGAGAGAGAGAGAGAGAGAGAGAGAGAGAGAGAGAATAGTGCCAAGCTTTCTCTCTGAAGTGAAAGAGATAAAGAGATATGTTCTGCTTAGCACCCTGAACAAAGATAAGTTTGAAGAGACATGGTGGAAGAAAGGGAAAGGCCACAAGAAGGAGACAGAAATATTGGTACTACCTGCAAAGTAGATTTAAAAATCTAATAACAACCCTCAATCACTGCTCAGGGCAGTGGCATTACTTTGGGGATGAGGAGTCAATAACTGTGGAGGAGGAGTCAATTACTGTGGAGAGGAGAAAGCTGTCACTCTCTTGGGCACATTCCCCAAATGTATGTTATCAGACAGCTGTTTAGTTGGAGACTTCCAACAATTTTCAAGCCATAAAATAAGTAGGTCACACCCTCACAGTATCTATTTATTTATGTGTTTTTAATAACTCTCATAAATGTACAATAAATAAAACCCAGACAATAATATTTAGAGGATAAAAACAAATAAATACCATTTTTAGTAGTTCGTTAGCACAAATCACTGGTCTGCTTTGCTCACCCACTTTGAAAATCATTAGTTGAGACTAAGGTGTAAAGGCATTTGAGTTGCAGTGAGAGAGGAAAGATAGATCTGGGTTTTATATCCTCAAGCATCATTGACTCAGATAGACAAGTAAAGACAGCGGTTTTTGATGGTGAATGTGTATTTTAATCTGCTGGATCCTCCATCAACTAATAAGCACAAGACCCATTCTTCTCCTCTCCCACAAAGTTGACTCTAACACTTTCTCATTAGGTTCCTTCAGAACCCAGCAAAGCTTCTCTGAGTGGTAGAGTGGTCACCACAGCTTACAAGGAGAGGAATATCCAAAGAGTAATTTAAACTTAATTTGGCTGCACACAATCTCCTTTTCCCATGACTCATAAACCCACAGTTCTCTAATTAAACAAAACACAAAATTAGCAATGTGTTTGTGGGTGCTTTGGGCAGGTGGAAGGCTAAAGGGAAAAGAGTTTGAAGAGCCCAAGGCAGGTTTAAAGATATAGCTTTAAACAGCAATTCAATGAGCACGAATTCAGAAGATGCCAGAAATTGGAGGGAGAAATGACTCATAATAATTTGAAAAGAAGTTGGGCAGGCCAGGCTTTTGGATTAAGTTTTGTTTCTGTTAAATGATGTTTTCGTGTGTGTGTGTGTGTGTGTGTGTGTGTGTGTGTTTAGCATAGGTCAGAAACATTGAGGAGGTGGTTTTGTTGGAGAGAAAACAATGGGAAAAATGTTAACTTATTTTGATCTAGATAAAAAGAGCCAGGAACCCTAGACTGACCTCTTAGTTTCTTTAGGCTGGGAACCTGAGCTACCAGGGAGAGCGTATAGCTCAACAATACTGTATTTAAAATCATGAAACACAAGTTAGCAAATTAAGAGCCTTTCCTAGGTATTTGTTTTCAGACTGGAGTGATCTCTTCAAATAATAAATTGCTTCAATTAACTACCTGTTATATATCTTCGTTTATGGCCAGGATCAAGACATTAAAATTCTTCAACCCATGCTCTCCCACACATACCTTGCACAGACTCACCTTAATTTGACATTGTCATATTGATTGTGAGTCTGTGGCCAAGATCAGGATCACTAAGTCCTTGAATTTAACTACCTATCTCCATTGCATGATTTCAAGGAGTATATGTGGAAGAGAGAATACACTAGATAAATATACCCTTATTAGTGATTTCATAGGGAAACCAATGTGCAATGTAGCCCGTTAATGGTAAAGAAAGCTGGCCCATATGTGGGCCCCTGGGATTCCTAGTGACTGTGTTAAATTAGAAGGAAGAAGACCTCAAATCCCACTAGGATTATGGGAGGGAAGAGTGAAACAAGGTGTGAGTCAATAGACAAGCCACCCAAAAGAGTACTTTCTAGATAGAAGTAACAGCTTTTAAAAATGTCTTACCTCTCAGAAAGATGAAACCAAACTCTCCAGTTAACACTAGTGCAGGCAGTGAGGCTGGAATGAGAGTTTGGAGAAGAAAGGGCAAATGCAATGATTATATTCTATTCTATAGTTTACAAATGAATATAGTGCATTTTAAAAATTTGTCTGAAAATGACTTTAAAAAATCAGTGGGAATTCTCAAATACTAAATCTCTGTGTATCTGGTGACTAAAAGCTAAGCCTAATGGAAGATAAAATGTTGCCTTCTACAATTATTTGGAACTGAGAATCAATTTTACCATTACTATTGGACCAAACATAGATATATATATATTCTTCCCCAAATTCATGATCAAATAAGTATTTTGGGAGCCCTCCCAATTCCTAAGTTTTCACATTCCTGAGCCAGGATGTGAAAATTTATTTCATCTTACTTTTCAACTCTGCTCTCATGATGATGACTTCCTGGAACACATATTAAAAATGATTCATATACCTTAAGATTTCCATGATTAATTTGCAATGTCTCACATTGGTATGGGGAAAAGCAGTGGTAGTATGTATTCTCTCTTTTTTTTTTTTTTTAAGTTGGAGTCTCGCTCTTGTCCCCAGGCTGGAGTCCAATGGTGCGATGTCTGCTTACTGCAACCTCTGCCTCCCGGGTTCAAGCGATTCTCCTGTCTCAGCCTCCTGAGGAGATGGGACTACAGGTGTGCACCACCATGCACAGCGAATTTTTGTATTTTTAGTAGAGATGGGGTTTCACTATGTTGGCCAGGATGGTCTCGATTCCTTGACCTCGTGACCCACCTGCCTCAGCCTCCCAAAGTGCTGGGATTACAGGCGTGAGCCACTGTGCCCGGCCAGTAGTATGTATTCTTGTATTTGACATTCAAGAATAATAGGAAAATATGTACAGAAAGTGAAAAGGAAAGAGAATATTTGGATATCTGTGGTGTGTACAGAAAGTATAATGAGGCAAGAATACCATACGAAGAAATGGAAGATTCTCAAGGAGAGGGTAAGGCTTATGTCTCAAGATAACATGACAAGATTGTATCAGACATTTGATACATATCAGACATTTGATATGTATCTGATACATTCTAAAACAATTTTAATATTTTAGTACCAAAAAAAAAAAAACCCCTCCAAATCTATGCATACTTGGAAGGCACAAAGCACGAGCTCAAACAAGAACAATCTTTTGGTTCTCTGATGTAGGGGAAATTCCAGAAGGAGCCACTGAGCCTTATGAGTGCATTTTCCCAAAGGATTATAAAAGCACACAGTGCTGGGCCAGTGCACATTCCTTCTGATGTTCTCGTTTACCTTTTCCCTGCTTTTTTTCTCATTTCTCTTGTTATTCCTAAATGCTTAACATTTAGGAGTTCTTCCTTTTAACAAGTTCTTTAGCCTTTGACTTGCCTGTCACCACGGAGTTTTATGCTTTTGTTATAAGGCAGTGAGCTTGCTCCACACACAGTCCAAACTGAGCAAAAAACCCTTCAAAAGCCCCCCAAATGATGGCCTTGTCTTTTTTAATGTATGCTCAAAAAAATGAAACAATCTGCTTGATTCCTTGTGTTAGAACAGCTGGAATGAAATGAATAGAGGGGGGTGAGCAGTTCTGCAAAATCTTTGATAATAGAGAAATGCAAGTGTTCCCCGTCAGCAGTAGGATGACAATTTCTCTGGTATGAATGATGTAACCAAATGGTTGTATATCGCTGCCCCATTCTTTCTTGTCCCAAGGCACCCTTGGAAATGCAATGCTACATCTCAATGGGATTTTCCAGTACAAAGATTCTTTTCAAATAACATAATTGTGGATACACACCACTCCTACAGTGGTAAGTATACTGAAGATGTGCCAAAACATTAGGGCAAAAATTCAGTTCCCATGGCATACAAGCAGGAACCCAACCATTTGCAGCAATAAATAAAATTTTTGTAGACTACGAGATTATAAAGTATGCATTCTCTGTTAGAATCAAATTGCCTGTTTGTTTGTTTTGGAGTAAAACAACCTGATAAATGAAAGAAGAAAGAAAAGCATATATGAATGCAGAATTTGCGAATATTTTTGTTTCATAGCTGAAACTGGTATATTTTATTGCTCTCAAATATGAAGCCAATAGATGATAAGTGATCATATAAAGAGATAACAATTCTTTACTTAATATTGGTTGAACTCTTACTTCCTTGACTTCCTGAGACTGTGTAAACAAAATGAACAGGTAAGCAAATTAAAAACAACAATGAAAAATCTTGCCATCTAAGGTTCAACCAAAATAGAGTTCAGGTATAAAGAATAGCATAACAGAGGGAGGAAAAAAATGAGCATAAATAAATCATTGGGCATCACATTTCTGGAAGCCATGACATATTCACAGTAGTTGAATAAACTTGCTTTAAAAATGTGAAGATGTGTGTAGAACACATAATAGACAGATTTGGATGGCTTCATCGGATGAATTAGAACCAATGGGTAAACTATAGAAGGGCAAATCAGATACCAGCTAAAAATAAGAAAGAAAATCTTAGCTACATTTACTGTATTAGTCCATTCTCACACTGCTAATAAAAAGATACCCAAGACTGGGTAATTTATAAAGAAAAGAGGTTTAATTGACTCACAGATCAGCATGGCTGGGGAGGCCTCAGGAAACTTGCAACCATGGCGGAATGGAAAGCACACACGTGCTTCTTTACATGGTGGCAGCAAGGAGAAGTGCCAAGCAAAGGAGGGAAATGCCCCTTATAAAACCATCAGATCTCATGAGAACTCCCTCATAATCATGAGAACAGCATGAGGGTAACCACCACCATTATTAAATTACCTCCCACTCGGTCCCTCCCATGACACATGGGGATTATGGGAACTACAATTCAAGATGAGATTTGGGTGGGGACACAGCCAAATTATACCCAACAGTAATAACAGTAATAACAAACACTATGACTGGAAACTTTTGAGATGAAATTGCAGTGAATAAGACCCAGGGACTCCTTGCCATAATTCCAGAATTTCCCAGGCTATGATAGTGAAGCAATGACAGGTACAGTGCGTACTTGAGGAAGTTTATTCCTTTAGGAGCGTCGTGAAGAACAAAATATAAGACTCTTGTGTTAGGGAGTAGGAGGTAAGAAAGGGTCTGGACTGTGAGTCACTGCTCAAAACTGTAGGCTTCACTAGACACTCATTTTAATCTAGCATTCATTCTCTCTCTCTCTTTTTTTTTTTTTTTTTTGGCTGAAGTCACTCTAATTTTCCTAGGAAAACCAATTCTTCCCTACTCATAACTCATTTAGTTGAGGTTCACATCACCCAGTTAGTTCTAAGGAAAATATTGTGACTTGCATCTGCTAAAAAAAAAAAAAACATTACATCCCATGGCCACAGTGATTGGTTAAACAATAAGTGTGTGACCCACAATCAGCCAGTTGGAGCCAAAGAAACCCAGTGAGAAGGAGTCTCCATGCTAGTGTTGTTGAGTGGTCTCAACAAAAGCCTAGAGCTTTTGGAGGTCATCTTGTCATCATAGAAGAAGAGCCTATGTGAAATAAAGTTAACCCAGAATAAAGCAGAACTGAGAAAGGGTGCCGAGTAAAAAGGAGTATGAATTTATGTGTGCTTGCAACCAGTCATACATAAAACTAACCTAAACTTTTCACTCTTTGAGCCTCCCTCACCTCAATCATTGTTTCATTATGTCTGTTTGAGTTGATTTTCTGTCACATGCAACCAAAATGTTCTGATTAATATATGGATGTCAAGTGAGAACCATGGTGTGAAGTTCCTGGACAGTCAGCAGTTCCCAAGAGCCAGGAGAAAGGCAATGGAAAATGTGACTGCCCCATGACTTTTTAGAAGCTAGCGCTGAGTACTACACACCATTGACCTTAACCACATTCTCTATTCATATCATTGATTGAATCTTAATTTTATTTTCTCTCAACCTCTGCTAAATAATTTCATTTCCTCATAGCCTTTTCAAACCCATCCCATCTTATTTCAGGCATTCTAGACTTCAGACCACCATAATTTTTACATGCCCAAATACACAGGTATAATTTGGTGCAATGGGAAAAAAATGACAACTAAATTGATTTAAATGCTCGCCTGTTATTGTCGTACTGGGTTCTACCCTTCTTAATTCCTTTATTCTTGTATTGTGTTGTATATTGTTATTTATTGAGTTATGTATTGTCTTTGTGTTTCATTTGAATGCTCTAGAGAGGGAATAAATTTATAAATGCTTAGAATGATGTAGTTTTCATACAATTATTTTATTTCTATTGTGAAATTGTATTTGTAATTTTAAATGTTTCCTTAAAATACTTTAGTCAGGTTCCTGGCACACATTGTTTTTATTTGCAAATAAATGTAATACAATTTGATGAGAAGCAATGTTTAGTACATAATGAATCCTTAAGCAATTGTTTTTCAATTTTGTTTATGATAGATTATGCCTTGCAATGACAGAAGATAGCATGTTAATAAACTTAGGAGAAGTAGGAAAAGTTGAATAGGATGCCGGCATCTTAAGATAGGAATTTTTTTAATCTCTTATTTTAATTGTTGAAAAAAATTAAGCTTAGGAACTCCTACTTTTAGAAAAAAAAGGAGACCAGTACTTCCTTCCCACCAATTGCAGTGCTTTTTAATTTTTTAGATGATAAGATATATATATCTTATCATATATATGTGTATATATACATATATATGTATAAATATAAATATATATAAATAATATATGTATATATATTTTATATATATATATGTATATATATATAAAAGTAGTACATATTCTGTATCCTGGAGCTTAAAGAACAAATTTCTGGCAAGCTGAGGTGACTGGCCCAGTGTCGCAGCTCCTCTAGTCTCATCTGACTACTGTTCCAGCAGAAGGCAGCGATGTCCTGAGCTTACCTGTAGCTTATAACCTTCACCAAAGCTAATCATTCTGAAGCATGGTCACTTCTACAAGCAAATTTAACCAGCAAATGGCTCCAAAGGGAAAAGAGCTGTTACTTTTTTTTTTTTCATTTACTCAATTCCATTTAGATGCCTTTGAATAAAAAAAGGAGAGAACATCATTTTAGTTATTCTAGCCTGCTTTCTGAGATAAGCATAGGTTTGTTCATATGGGATTATATCATTTATGTTTTTTTTTTATTCCTTTAAGGATAGCTACCCCATATAATTCAATGGTTTAGATTCTTGTTCCCAAAAGCTTTGAACATGAGTCTCTTCTTGCCTTATGTAATCTTCTGTCAAATACAAACTCAGCTAGTAGGACCTCTAACTTTGTATAAGAATGCACTAAGCCGAGAAGTTAATAATTGAGGGTTATGACTGCAAGAATATAAAGGTGTTTCTTTTATTTCAGGAATTATACAGATTATGTACATGAAAGCTATAAATAAACAAGCAGAAATCTTTCCCTTGTGGTCTTACCCAGGGTATTTCACCCATTCTCCAACAATATTTTACAAAACCAAAGAGCCAAAATAAAATTCAAATTGTGGTTTCAATAGTAGAATTGCTTACATTTATGTAGTTTGAGGAAGTCTAATTTAGAATTCACAGGCCATGGATTTAGTCCCTGCTCTGCCGCTATACACTATTCTCTGACAATAGGCAGCCTAGACCAAGGATTCTTAGACTTGAGTGAGTGTTGGAATCATGGGTAGAGCTTCTTTAAAATGCAGATTCCTAGGTGGACCCTACCAGCAGAGATTCTGATTCTGCAGGTCCAGGGTGAGGCTCATGCATTTGCATTCTAAGTGAGGCTGATGCAATGATGATCTTTGAAAAATCAGTAGTTTAGACCTTAATTATTCTGTTTATAATGTAGCTATCCAATTAGGCCCATCAATTATAAACCTAAAAAGGAAAGCATGACAAAAATTTTTACCACCAAATGAAAAGGTATTTGTTTAAAAATTCCATACTTTAAAATATTAATGAAAGAGTAACAGACTCACAAACACATTGTGGAAAATGTGGAATGTATATTGGCACCATAGTCCAGGTGTGGGAATAGAAGCAGCAGATATCTGTGAGTCTAAAATTATTCACCTGGATAACAAGAGAGTGTTAAGACGAATCTTCTCTCTCTACTTCAGAGTCCAATTTTCTTTTGTTTATCCTTCACAGTTTTTTAATAAGTGAACAATAGCCTCCATATAGCCTGTAAAGATTTATGGTATTTAGGAAAGAGATTCTGTCTTCCCTAGGTCACACATGTGTCTTGAACCTGGTTTTGTAGCACAGGCCAGTAATAATTTAAAAAACAAAGAAAAAATTTAAAAAATAGTGTTTTCTGGAACAAGTCACATTTCATTTTTGAAGGTATCAAGAGTGCTAACAAGACTCTGGACTTGTAACAGTCTGGACTCTTATGCAAGAAGCCTCAACCTTTATACACTCTTGCAGTGTAATCTTTTTCCCACTAATTGAGATGAGACACTAGTTACGAACAGATTTAGTTAACACTGCAGTTCTGTACCTTCTATCTGAACCTAATTACTGTCCCACACCACCAAATGTTTGCTCATACCTCACCTTCAGTATTTCAGCTGCTGAAAAGTAAATCCCCAAACATTCCCTGATTAAGTTCTTGTTTCATGCTTGTAAGTTAATATTGAGATGCTAAGCCAGAAGGTGGAGGCATTGTTAGTGACAACTAAAATTAAAAACAAAGTGAGAATTAGTTTGTTTCTATAGCTGTCAATGGGGGCTCTGAGGGAATGCCGGTGTGTAACTCCAGTTGCTGTAGTATGCTTAGAAGGATTGTATTCAGTCACTCACTTTCAATAAATACCAGACATTTGACATATAATGGGATTTCAGGCCATCCAACAGGTTGGGTCTCATGATTACTTTGTTTTATTTTTTGTTTCAGATATATTTTTATATACTTTCACATAGTAGTTATATACTTTCACATAGTAGTTTTGCTTCTCTTAATTGTGAAAACAACTCACAAATGATATTACTTGACTTGTATTTTCTCAGCTGTATCTTTTAGTTGATTGTCTTTCATTTTGAATTTGGCAAATGAATTTTGAAATATGTCTCTAAACATTATACAAGGCCAAATAAATGGCAATGCATATTTTGCAAAGTAGTTCCCCGACTTATATTTTATGGACCAGCAAAATCACACAAAACAATGGAGACTGACATAGAGTTAACAATTTTCTATTTAATAAAAAGAGCATTGAAAATATAATACCTCCTATTATACTTTCCTCATTTATCAATAGTTTAGGTTTTTGAAAAGTAAGAAAATAGACAAATAATAATGTCAATTTTTAAAAATTAGCTTAAAAATACAATACAATATCTTGCCTGTTTTTTTTTTTTTCAAGATGCACCCCTGAAAATGTTATTGACAGCCTAGAAATACTAAGAACCACTGTGGGAAAGAGAGAGAGTTAATTATCTGCTCAGTTGAGGAGAGGGGTACATGATGGGCATACTGAAGGAGTGATTTTCTGACTAAGCACACAGTCCTTTAGAGAACATGGGAAAAAGTAATACGCACAGGGACTAAGGCTACTAGAAATCTCAGTGCTACTCTTGACCCTAGCTAACTAGTGTGTGTAGGTCTGGCTAATAGCTCTATCCTTTCCTCATCAATACTTGAAAGGGTTGTAAGTATTTCATTAACATGAATATTTTGAGGACTTCCTGCCCGTTTTATTATCATAACATCAGTAGGAAAACAAGACTCGTTTTAAAGAAATTTACTTTGCTGCACATGTTTACTAGTGTTCTGTCATGCAAGATGTATCAGAAGAGAAGATGGCATGTTTCTTATTGTGTATAGATTTTGGCATAAAAATTTACATAATCTGGTCAAAGTCTAAATGGACAGTGCAACATAAACTGCTGGTTAGCCTCAGTCTGGGCAGGCTCAGAGTAGCTGGACTTCCTGGACAGTTGCCCCCAAGCCAACATCATAGACCTTAAGCTGCTGTGTCAAGCTGGGTCTGACAGTGACGCCTTGCAGATGGCCTGCTGGATGAGTAATGCCTAGTATTTGCTGCTTTACTAATGATGCTCCAGGCTCTGCCATGAAGCGGGTGGACAACTGCTTTAGTGGCCAGGTGCAGAATTCATTGTGTTCATTTTGAACAAAGATCTTTTAGAGCTTCTGGAGGAGGAGTCCTTTTTCAGGGTATCAGAGAGAAGGCTGTGTAGTCTAAATTGTGATTTTGCCTGGGGTGGGAATTGGGTGGGTTGAGTGGCAACAAGGTGGACATCCTAAGTAGACAGAGCCGTGCAGGTGGACCTACATCATTACTTTACGTATACCAAGATCAACTATCTTATGTAGACTGTGGTGGTTAATACTGAGTGTCAACTTGATTGGATTGAAGGATGCAAAGTATTGTTCCTGGGTGTGTCTGCGAGTGTGTTGCCAAAGGAGATTAACGTTTGAGTCAGTGGATTGGGAGAGGCAGGCCCACCCTCAATCTGGTTGGACACTGTTTAATCAGCTACCAACACAGCTTGATAAATAGCATATACAAGAAGCCTAAAGATAATTTTATACTTGGGGAACAATTGAATGCCTTTCCCTGATATTGAAAACAAGGCAAAGGCTATCTGCCCTCACCACTCTTATTCAATATGGTGCTAGAATTCCTATCCTGTGTAATAAGAAAAGGAGAAATAAACACCAAACAGATTAGAAAGGAAGAAGTAAAACTGTCCCTATTTGAAGATGACATGATTGTATACATAGAAAATCCTAAGGATTCAACCAAAAGCTACTATAACTAAGTGAATTTAACAAGCTTTTAGGATACAAAAATGAATGCCCAAAATAAATTGTATTTCTACAGGCTAACAATGAATACATGGTCAGCAAAATTTAAAATCAATACAATATCATTTAAAATTTCTCAAAAAAGATATATACTTAAGCACAAACATCAAACAATGTATACAGGACTTATATGCTGAAAACATGTTGCTGAAAAAATCAAAGAAGATCTAAATAAACAGACATACTGTGTTCATATGTTGGAAGACTCAACATAGTAAAGATATCTATTTTCACCAGATTGATACACAAGTTTAATGCAATTCCTACTAAAATGCCAACAAAATTCTTTGGTAGATATAGAGAACATTATTGTAAAATTTATATGGAACAGCAGAGAAACTAAAATAGCTAGCACAATTTTGAGAAAGAGAAATGGAAGAGGAGAAATAGGTATACCTAATTTTAAAACTTATTATTATAACTACTGTATTCAAGATTGTGTGACGGTGGTGAGACAGGTACATAGATCAATAGAACACGATGGAGAGCCCATTATTAGATGAACACAAATATACTCAACTAATTTTTGACAAAGATGCAAAAGCAATTCAATAAAGATAGCCTTTTTCCCCAAAAGATGGTGTAACAATTGGATATCCATAGGCAAAAAATAAATAAATAAATAAAACTTGACCTAAGTCTCACATCTTAAATTAAAAAAAAATGCATCATGGACTTAAATGTAAAACACAGAATTATGAAACATTTAGAAAAAATAATAGTAGAAAATCTTTGAGATCTGAAAGCATAATTCATAGAAGAAAAAATAGATTAATTGGACTTCATCACAATTAAAAACTTTTGCTTTGTAAAAGATGCTATTAAAAATATGAAAAGAGGAGCTACAGACTTGGAGAAAATATTTGCAAACCATATATCTTCCAAGAGAGTAGTATTTAGAACATATAAAGAACTCTCAGAATTCAACAATAAAAAGCAAAGCAATGCAATTTTACTGAACAGACATTTTACTGAAGGGATATATTGGCAACCACACAACTTCAGTGATATTCAACCTAATTATCCATTAGAAAAACATAAACTAAAATGAGGAAATATAACTACATACCTATCAGAATGGCTAAAATAAAAAAAATAGTGCTAATACCAAATGCTTGCAACAATTAGTAGAAAGTGGATCCCTTCTACATTGCTGGTGAAAATTTAAAATAGTATAGGCACTTTGGAAAATAGTTGGGCAGTTTTTTAAAGAAATGAAATATGCAGACATCATATAACCCAGTAATTGCACTTCTGGACATTTATATCAGAGAAATAAAAAACTTACACCCACACAAAAACCTGTATGTAAGTGTTTATAGAATCTTTATTCACAATAACCAGATACTGGGACTAATCTAGGTGTCCTTTGGTGTATGAATGGCTAAAAAACCTGTAGTACATGGAATACTATTCAGCAATAAAAAGAACTGAACTATCGATACACATGACCACTGGATGAATTTCCAGGGAATTACACTGAGTGAAAAGAAAAGGCAATCTCCAAAAGTTACACGCTGTATGATTTTATTTATATATCATTGGCAAAATGACAAAATTATACAAATGGAGAACAGATTAGTGATTGCCATAGTTTAAGAATGGGTGGGGAGCCTATGAAAGGAAACGTGTGATTCTTACAGTGATGGAAATGTCACCTTGGCTATATCAATGTCAATATTCTTGTCATGATCATGGTATCACATGATCACATGGTATCACATGGTATGGTTTTGCAAAGTGATACTATAAAAGATAACTGGGCAAAGGGAACATGGTGTCATTATGTATTTTTCTTATAATTTCATATTATCTACAATTTTCTTAAAATCAAAAAACTTTTATTTTTAAAAGTTATAGAAGCAAACTCAACTTCTTTATAAATCTTGTATAAGATTTTATTTAAAAGTTTAAAATGACTATTATTTACTAAATCTCCTAATATTTTTGATTTGCTCTTATCACAGGCAAATAACAAAGAAAAATGATTCAATATTTTCACCAATATAGATTCCCTCCAGGTCTGTTTCCGTTTATCCCATTGTATGTTTCAAAGTAATTCACCTTGTCATCATAAGAGGGAAACATTCCGTACGAAAAAAATAGAATATTTAAAGTCACTTTTTTGCAACCTTCAATAAGATAATTACCTATGTAATATCTACATCAAAACTTACATGAATATATTGATAAGGAATTTTGTAATGGTTGTGTCAGGCTGACAACACCTGGGTCCATTGATAATTTCAGTAAACATCAATTTCAAAAAGCCAGTTCAAATGGATAATCAGATATTACGTAGATCCTGATGTAATACAACAAGGAACACATAGCAGCAGCCATGAAGTGTCTTTCCTCCACAAACACCTCCCAAATATACTACTCTGAATGAACTCAAAACTCTAACTCTGTCTACTAGTTTACAAGAAACCTAGAGGATGGAGACAGGTCAATGACAATATAGTGAAGAATAAGTGAAATTCAACTTGAAAAAGGACCTAACTCATTCAACAAAAAAGGGTCAATTGTTAAAGGTTAAATAAAATTTAAGAAATGTATAAATCAAATCAAAGTGTGGATTTTGTTTGTATTCTGATTTGAGCACACCATCTAAGAAAAAGTTAGCGGAAATTTAAGTGTGGGCTGGACAATGATGATGTTAAGTATTTGCTTAATGATTTAGATGTTTGATGACATTGTGGTTATGCTTAAAATGGCCCTTACTTTTTAGAAATACATATTGAATCACTTATGGGTAAAATGATATGATGTCTGGAATTTGCTTTAAAACACTCCAGCTAAATAAAATTATTGATGACCAAAGTCAGAGAATAGAGATTTATGGAATAATATTGACTCATATTTGGGAATTGTTAAATTTGGACAATGGCTATATATAAATTAGTATATCACCCTATTTACTTTAGCATTTGTTTGAAAAATTTTCACTAAAATAAACAATTTTTGCTAAGCGAAATCAAGTAGAGATTTCACAGATGATTGTCAGCTTTTCATATAGTATTTTGAAAGACCTCAAGCAATGTATTCTTGGATCATTATATTATTCAGACTCTAAATCAGATTGTATCAATAACTGGAATTGAATGCCCCTCTATGTGTTCTAATAGTCTTTTATAATGGCATTACTCATTCAGTGGCCAAGATTTTAACATACTTTTAGATTTCTCACTGTAGCAGCCCTTGAGCACTCTAATGCATACCTACCCTGTGCAAGATCCTGCCTTAAGTTTAGTTTTTAGTTTTGTGTGTGTGTGGTTTTTTTTTTTTTGGGGGGGGTTTGGTTTAGGGGTAACACAGTTTAAGGTATTGCTACAAAGGTCCTTATGGTCAAAACATGATAAGTAAATGCAAGGGAGGAGAAACATTCTTTGCTTTGGCTTTCTCCTTCCTGCCCCCCGCCTCGTTTTTCTCATTCATTCATTCATTCATTCATTATCTTTTCTTTATTTCTGTATTTATTCATTCCTCTTTTATTTTTACCTTTTTCTTAGGGATTCCCTTGCTATTAGTTGTATGATGTACTTTTGGAAGACGGTGGTTACTCACGAAAAATACCTTTTACACTTGAGAAAAACAAAACAATTTCTTTTAAGTACAGTACATTATCCTGCTGAGCTGTCATATGAGAACAGAAAAGTATTCTTGTTCAAACTCATGAAGTTGGAAAAAAACATGCAAATTAAGTGTGAAGCATAAATTGTTCTGAAAACAAACAAAAACAACAACATTAAAAAGAACAAAGTCATCAAGGGAAATTCAAATTCAGGACACAGCTGTGCACAACCTTACAAAGCAGAGAGTGGCAAAGCTCACATAAAGAAAGGAAAGATTACATTAAAAGAGAATGCTCAGTGAAACAAGACATGGGCTAAGTCTACTTTTATTTAGAGGAGATCATTGTAAGATATTTTAATTACTGCTTAGAAACACCTTTAAGGAACAATTTCCTTTTATATTAATAATGAAATTAACTTTTGTTTCAATTTTGTTCGGTTTTCTTCATAGCAGTGGGACTTATAAAGTGAATAGGTTGTCATCAAATATGCTTAAGAGATCACTCGTTCACTTGTTTACTAATTCAGTAATCTTTTATTGCTCCCCTCCTATGTGATGGGCATTCATGTTTCACAATTAGGAGGTACAGTCCTGAAGTTTCATGTACTTTAACATCCTGCACAGGATACTCAATGTCAAATATAAACACAATGATTACAGTAAAATGTGTTGATGGAGGTATATCCAGAGTTCAAAGTGGCACACAAAAAGACCCTTCAGTCATATTAGGGGCATAAAGGTTAAGTTGTGTGTGCGTGTGTGTTGTTGGCTCACTGTAACCTCTGCTCATGGTTTTAAGCGATCCTTTCACCTTGGCCTCTCCAGTAGCTGAGACTACAGGCACACACCACCACACCTGGCTAATTTTTGCATTTTGGGGAAAGATGGGGTTTTGGCATGTTGCCCAGGCTGGTCTTGAACTCCTGAGCTCAAGCAATCCACCCACATTGGCCTCCCAAAGTGCTGGGATTACAGATGTGAGCCACCATGCCTGGTGGTGGCTGTAATAGGGTGAGCAAGGGGAGGTTTCTGGCATTTCAAGCAAAGAGGCCCATGTGAGACACAGTGGTCTACAATAGTTTGAAGCAATCTAAAGCTACAGGTGGTTAACTGATGGTGGAGCAGAGGGTATATCTTGACACCAGAGGGAGGTGCTAGAGACTTCTTCTGTGATGAACTCAAGATTTACAATCCACCCTTGAACAACATGGGCTTGAACTGCCTGGGTTTACTTATATGCATATTTTTTCAATAAAAGTTACTCCAAGTGTGCCTGCCTCTCCTGCTTCCCCTCCAACCTCCTCCACCTCTGCCACCTCTGAGACAGCAAGACCAACCCTTCCTCTGCCTCCTCCTCCTCAGCCTGCTCAACGTGAAGATGACGGGGATGAAGACCTTTATGATCCACTTCCACTTAATGAAGAGTAAAAATATTTTCTTACTAACATTTTCTTTTCTCTAGTTTACATTGTTGTAAGAATATAGTATATAATACATATAACCTAAAAATATGTGTTAACCGTTTATGTTATCAGTAAGGCTTCTGGTCAACTATAGGCTATCAGTGGCTAAGTTTTGGGGGAGTCCAAAGTTATACATAGATTTTGGGCTGTTTGGTGTCCCTAACCACTGCATTGTTCAAGGTTCAACTGCACAATATAAAGAATGAGAATGAATTGAAGGATGTTACAATGGGAAAGATGGCATGATCAGATCTGCATTTCAGAACGATATCCCTGGTATCATGCAGAATGGTGAGTGGGCCTTAAAGTGCCAAACAGATGGTAAGGAAATCAGTGAAGATGTTATTTCAGTAATATTCTTTTGTGTTCAATACCTGTGGCTAACAAAAAGTTAACTTTTTAGCCAAATTGTGCCAGTCCTTCTCATATCCATTTTGTGCCTTTCTTCTGCTCTGCCTTATAGTTAAAGTGGCCAATCTCTGCAAACTACATTTCCCAAGTCCCTGTGTCCACAGGGCTTCCATCAAGGTTTGGCCAATGGAGTTATTGGTGGGAGATTGGAGGACAGGAAAAGGGGAGAAGCTAGGGTATTTCTCCAAATGCCCTAGATTTAATTTTACCATAGTTTAAAGCCAACATGCTTCTTCTTTTTTTTTTTTTTTTTAAAGTAGGGTTCCAATAATAGTTAAGTAGTGGATAAGAAATCTTCAAAAATAGCCATACTGACAGGATAGAATTTGGTAAATTTTCAAATAAAAGTACAAAATGTTCTTAGAGCTCAGGTAGGGAGATAGAGCTACCAGCTAGTCAGAAAAAAAAGACATGGGTTTTATACACTGCTTGGTTGGAATTCTCTAAAATCATAATCTAGTCTATTTTGAGGGCTACACCAGAAAGCACCTCTGAGTTATGTACTCATCAAATCACTGACTATCTTGAGATTGCTAGTCTCCTGGTATTTCCCTCTGTATGTCTACTATGGCACCAATTTTTGTGCTTCTGGTTTGGGCCCTTATCTGATAGAAAAGGAGCTTATAGTGTAGCTGTTTGGACAAAGGCATGCAGGTATCAGGTGACAAGAGAGGCAGCCAGGGGACTTGATATTTATGTGGATTGAGGGCAGCATAATATCTTTGGGATTAGGGGCTACTTATTAATTTCTAGATCCAGAAAACAAAGCACTTAGACAGCATATTGCCAACATATATGAATTAGAAAACCGCAGACCCCATATAGACGGGGAAGAGAAAGAGCTTTTAGGAGATGGAACTGAGGAAGGCATGTGCAATAATTCCTTGTCAAATTATAATATTTTTAAAAAATTAGTCTTCTGTTAAGTATCTATGTAATTGCTTTTTGTTCTGTTTTGTTTTTGATTTTGGATTATGCTCAATTATGAGTGTCAGAAAAATACTATAACAATCAGATATAACAGAGGTAAAGGACCTGGACAGAGTACCCATTTCGGCTACCTGGGCAAAAAGAAAATCAACTATTTGACTGAAACAATAACACCAGCAACAATGAAAACAGCACCTGGAACAACACAACCCTCCTTCTTTTTAAAACTTGGAGACTCTTAGTTCCTGGCACTTGCAATGAATATTAGTGTTCAATAAACAATAGATTAATGAATGAATGGTTATAAAAATGACAAAGTACTTTTTTTACAGCCTTTGGATGAAAACATGATTATTAAGACTTGCTGCTGGAAAAAAATAAATCATTCTTTTATTTATCTTCAAATCCAAGTAGTTTCCAACATGTACACCCAAATCAAAATTATGAGTATTATTTTTAATAGATTCTTTTTTCTTCTTGAGTTTAAACAATGAGTCAAATTTTATAGGCACCCCAAAGCTATCCAAAAAAAATCTGCCCTTGAAATGCTGAAGACCTTCAGTGTGAACTACCAGTCAAATTGCAATCGTATTTTGAAATCTTAATTTCCTTCCCAAGATAGGACTTTAAGCCTTTTTCTATTTTGATGATGAAATATTGGATTTATAGTATAGAAGGGTAAACTTGAATTTTCATAATAGTAAAAAAAATACAAAGTATCATTGGCAAAACCACTATACCCTCACAAAAAATGAAGCACTATAAATAGAATATTCCAATGGGCAGATGTTAGCTTAAAGTGTGCATTGTTTGGAAAAGGAGTTAATTAACAACTTATTAATTGGATAGAAAATCTGAAACTGTTGTACTTCTAGCAAATACATAATTTTCTTCAAGTATTATTAAAGCATTTTTGTTGTACCTATTAAAGATTCTTGTCTCTAAGTTAATTTCATTATGCTAATAAGCTATCATCGTTACAGAACCTAAGCTTTGATCCATGTTAATTGTCGTGATCTTCAAAGACAAAGTCACCACTTACTTTAAATGAATTTTACATCTTTTTAAAGAATCATACGGAAATTAGGGGAAGTAATTAATTTTTTATTATGTGTCTCAATATTTTTAAGGGAGGAAGTCAATGGTATTGGCTAGAATTCATTTTAACATTTAACTAGGGAAAACAGCATGAAGCAAAAAAAACTGTTCAGATGCAAAAGATTAAAGAAAATTTGAAACTGGGACCTAATTTGTCTTGATAAACTTTGGTGTTTAATATGCTTCTTTTGTTCTCAGTGTGAAACTGCAGGGTTTTGATTTGTGAAAACTTTTTGAAGAATTAATTCTTTCTAATTTTTCTTCATTTCTTTGCCTTTCTTTTACAGTAAGACAGACAAGTTGACCTTCAAACCATAACTCTTTTAAATATCTATGAACTTACAAGGTTAAATCTATTAGTGGTTTGATATTAGCTATTGTACGCTAACAGAGTAGTGTCTTCTGAAACGGATAAGACTTATTTGTTCCTATATAACAACTGGTTGTTTGAACCTTAACAAGTATAAGCAAATAATGTTATTAAACTATTTGCATGTCTCATTGTAAAACAGACAAGGTTAAGTATAAAAATATTAACTCTATTTTATGAAGTTAATATTTTATGAAATTTTTTTTGTGTGAAGATAAAATATACTTTAAGGACATACCTGAAGTGGATAATTATTGGTTGTATATTCGTTATAACCAGAGTGACATGCAGGTTAAAGGCATTCTTTAAACCGCCCATCAAAGTAGATCAAACACGAGATCATAAATGAGAAAAGCAGAAGCATCATATGGTATATTTTTTCTTAAACATTCAGAGACAAGGGATTAACAGCCAAAATTATAATTTTGTAATTATTTATACTGTATTAAGCTTTCTGAACGATTTTTTTGGAACGATATGGCATATGAAAGAGATATTACAGTTAAACATACATTAAAAACAGGAAATCACTAACTGTGGTAAATAAATGCTTCACAGGAAATAGAGATGTATCAAATAGATTTTTAGAGAAAATCTGGTGGCTGTAATATAATTGTTAGCAAATAAGAACATCTTCATACAGCAAACAACCTAATAGTGAAATTCCACTTTACTGTGAAGAATTTCTAAGACCCACTGGAGAAGTGTTGAACTCATTATAATGATTTCTTTATATGTAAACTGTTAGTTCTCAATTCTTTGTCTATAAGAAAATAACCTGGTGATAATAAAAATGAATTTTAGCATGGTGCCCAAGGGTTTATGTTTTTAACAAATATTGCCAGTTGCTTTTAATGCAGATGATTAATGGACTACAGGACTTAAACGTTGATAACATCAGTAACAAACTCAAATTTTGTCTGTCCTTCAACTTTATGCATTTCACTTCTTATAATTCTTTACCAGCCAAACAAGCTAATAGTAAAATCCACTGATGTATCAAGAAAATAGCCATAGAAATGAATATATTGGATTAATAATTTTAGTATTAGCATTGTTCGTGTTATATTAGAATGACTAAAAGCAATCAAATGAACTAATTTCATTAATTAAGGTATGATGAAACATAATACATTTTCAAATTAATAGTGTTCTTTTCAACACTGTGAACCTATATACCTTCTATGGTTTGGTTGTCATTTTGGATTGTTTCCTTTGCATTAGATAGGCACTTAATGCATGTCTGTTACATGAAAATACTAGATTTTAGTCTTTTATTTTGTAACTCAGTGTATGGCCCAATTTAAGGTTATCTGTTTTGTTCACCAGGTGTGGGTATTTTTTTTTAATCATAACCATAGACACAAGATAAGCATTTTCTGCCATTGAGATTATTTGAAAAGCTGTACTGGGGTTTCTGAAGATATTTACATGAGTTTTTTTCTTTTAAAACTAAGTTCTGTAATAGCATATGAACATTTATTGTATGTGCCATCTTACAAATTTTCATAGACAAAATCACACATTTTCATGTGTATGAATGTGTAATTTCTCTCAGAACTGCCTGGTGGCAGTGGGGGGCTGGAGGCTGTCTACATTATATTTTGAGATTGAATGTAATTCAATTATATTCACCTAAATTATATTTCCCATTATATTTTGAGATTGTTTCAATTGTATTTTGTTTTGTATTTTGAGATTGTTTCAATACTGTTTTAATCTCAAAATAGAATGGGAACAATCTCAAAATATAATGGGAAATATAACTTAGGGTGAAAAGACTCATAAAAGGAAATTATTTACATTAAAAAATATATAACTCCCAAATCCTAAGCAACTCTTATCCATAACATCTCCCTCAAACATATTAAATCATACTTCAAATGTATTATAGAGATAATAGTAATAAATTTGTGAAATTATTCTCTTATTGAAAATGTTCACTTTAGGCTACAATGAAAAATCTGGGGACATGATAAAAGTGACAAAGAACTCAAAGTTTACTCTTGAGAGGATTGTGTTAGACTTGGGTTGAGGAGGGAAGAGGAATACCATTCACATCCAGCTCTACCAGTTTCTTCCTAAGCTGTCAGAGGGCCCTGCTGTAGGTAGGAGGGAGAAGAAAAACTTGTAGAAAGTGGATGAACAACAGCCTTTTGTTTTTCCACTTTTGTGATTGTAAGGAAAGAATGAAGTGTGGACTGCTTTCCTTGACAGATCTTAACACAGAAATTCATAGATTCACATACCTCCTTTTGTCCCAAGCAAAGCCCTCTGGTCACTAAGCTAAGAGGTCACTGCTAGATATGACTGTTTAGAGCAACATGTGCCATGTACAAGTGGCAAATCCTATGGAGGCTCAGACCCTCTATGTATAGCTTTAATCAATTTAAAGTTTTAGACCAGCTGACATATGATGAAAATTATGAATAAACAACTTTAAGGTTAGGAGATAAGAGGTTTACGAAGCTAAAATTGTTAGATAGTTTAATCAAAGGTGGAATTTATTGAATATAAAACTTTGTTTTAAGACTTTTTATTAAACTATTAGAACAACACTGCAATGGCTTCAAATAAGTTTACAATCAAAGGTGTAGCAAATCCTTTCTTTAGGAACCATAGCCCAGACTTTGTCAAATGCTATAAGCATTGAAGAGCAATAACTTTTAATAACATCTGATTTATTTTAAAAGAGGCATAACTTTCCATTCAAAGAAATATAATATTTATTCAAGGAATAGTTATTTTCCCTGATTGTACTTGAATTAGCCAATTATTAATATTTTTTATTTATTGTACTTTATGCACAGGCTGCATAATGGCACTCTAGCCCTAATTTGTGGCCTGCACAATATTTTATACATTTCAAAGTTAGTTTTTAACACCTAAAATACAAGTATCTGGATTTCTAGCTTAAATTTAAAAAACATTCACTCTCTGAAAATATCGGGCATTTTGATCTACATAGCAAAGATGAGATCAAGGCAAGCAGAAATTTCCTTTTTTACAGTTGAGCACTGTGTTCACCTCAGCACTTAGCTAGCTGCCTTCACTTATGTAAATAACTTGTCCAAACCCAAAAGACACTTGGGTTTGCCCCAGTTGATGAAAACATCGTGGTCTACTAGAAATGAATGTCAACCCTATATCCATGATTGCGGAGCCATCTATGTGAAAATCACTGGGATACGTTGAAATTCAAAACAATAATACTAAGGAAAACATTATAAGGAATGAAAAGTGAAAACACGAGAGCAGGATGAACTGTTATCTTAAGAGACACAAGACAGATGGGTTCATGCTCCAAACTACCATTCTCAGCACTTTAGGGAGCCTTAGGTGAATCATTGAGTATTTGGCAAGTCTAAGATTGAGAAGTAAAATGTTAGAATTTGGTGGAAATTACCTTAGTTTCCATGTACAGTAAGTAATATTCTAACTTAAAAATGCTAAAATACCTCCGACTGAAGATGGTTATAAGATGCTCAGGGTTAACTGTGTTAGATGCTTTCCTCTTCTAAAGACCTTTGCTTTTAACTAAATGCTTGCTTATCTTTCTAATTTAACATAGTCCCACATTCTTCTTTGTAGTAATTTTGGGCTATCAGATAACATATAATGGAAAACATGTTTATGCCTTCCACCAGTTCTTGTTGCATATTTCAAATGCTTAGAACAACAATTTTCAGAAGCTTTCATTAAGGTTAATTTAAAAACTACATTAAATACAAACAGATTTTCTCACAAACAAAATGCAATGTGTACTTAACAGACTTCTGTATGTTATATTTGATAAACTACCTCATATAAATGCAAATTTTGACTTTCTGCCAGAACCAGGTGGTATGGAAAATATTTCTATTAAACAAATAATGCTGGAAGAGCAAACTTCAAGCACTGGTATGTTACATAAGGAAAGAGGATGTTTCATTCAGGTTTGATGTATATTTCAGGTTGACCTTTATGCATACAAAATAAAAGAAACATACTGAAGAATAATATGTGGTGAGCGGTTGTCTTTGGCGTGCAAGAGGATTCAGGAAAATATACCTGGGGAGGGATTTTTACATATTCAGAAAAATAAGCTAAAAATATTGTCTTCTGTTTTGCATGGTTATTTGCTTGCGTTATCTTACCCACTGTGGTAGTTATCTGGATAGCTTTCATCTTAATCACTAAGTAAAATTGAACAAGGAGAGCTAAATAAATCAGGATGATCCCATATATCGCCTCACACAGAAAGGCTTCTTTGAACTCTCAGCTAGACAAAATACAATAAGAACACTCATGTAAACAGGAGACCTCCTCAAAAATAATAACCTTAATGTAACTATGAAAAAAACATTAGACAAGCCTAAATTAAAGGATATCCTACAAAATGTATGATCAGTACACCTCAAAATTGTCAAGGTCATCAAAAGCAAAGAATGTCTTGAACACTCATACATCAGAAGACACTAAGAAGATGTGATAACTACATGTAATGTAGTATTCTGGATGAGATCTTGAAACAGGAAAAGGATGTGAAAAAACTGGTGACATTCAAATAAAGCATGTAGTTTAGTTTAATTAATAGTTATATACCAGTGTTGACTCAATTCTGACAAATACACCACAGTAATGTAAGTTGTTAACAATAGGGGAAACTGATACAATGTACACTGGAACTCTCTGTAAAATCTTTGTAACTTTTCTGTAAATCTAAAACCATTCTCCCAAAAGTTTATTTAAATTAAAAGAATAAACAGAAGATAAATGGAGAAAATAGTATTTGGCCCGAAGGTATATGTTCAGGCTTATGAGGATACTTCTATTCATTCCTAATAGGATAACTCCTTGGAATTGCTATGTCGGAGATGGTGATGATTATATTCAAATTATATCTGCTTTCTTGCTTAGTCACTGTGATGAATCATGCATGGTGTCCACCTGATGACTAGGTGTTCATTGCAAAGACAGTTGTTGCCTACATGAAGTGCAATGGGAAAACCTGTGACCTTGAACGCATTGGTACTGGGTCCTAAAAATTAGGCCTAACAAACTTGATCCTCGCTGTAGACATAGGCTATATTTGTGAGGTGTTTTTATGAGACAGGCTGAAGACTCCAGAGAAATGTTTGATTTAGGACATGGTAGTCATATTTAAGAATGTTGCAAATCGTTACAAAATACTATAATGATAATTTGCAATATGGGAATAATGCCTAATATAAAAATATACAAAATTGGGAATAACTATTAGGTTTGAGGTGATAGGTTAATTATCTAAAAGTAAAACCCCAACTTTAAAGAAAAAATATTTTATACATAAACACACACACAAACACACACACAGAAAACCCCACGAAGATGCTGATGATAATGATAGCTTCTTCATGGGGACTTCTGTTCTAACCACTGCACATAGAGCTTTATATACTCTCTCCAAGGTTGCTATCACCACTTCTGTTTTATAGTAAAGTCAATAAGACTCAGAAAGAATAAGTAACTTGCCAAAGTACCCACATCTTGTAAGTAATACAGTAACTTTCCTCTAATCAATTTCTCACAACAGCACCTATTACCATCCTTGCCAAACTTTCTCTCCTATCAAGTCTCTCAGGTCTTTATCTGCTTGGCATTATTTCTTGACTGTCTTTTTAGATTAATGACTCATGTTCATGTCTCAGAGACCATAAATGATAAGGCTGGCATTCTAACCCAAGTCCATCTAACCCCAAAGTCTATGTACTTGAAACAGTGAATTAACATGCCCGCAATACAATATTGTCTACATAATGCTCTTGATCTCAAATAATTCTAGAATGGCTAGTAGGCTCAATTATTCAACTATTTGAATTATTATATTTACCTTTGGGGTATGAATAAATTAACACATTTTATGTACATTTGAAAATGTTAAAAAAAAAACCTCTCTGATCAAAATATTCACTACCAAAAATATAGTTTTAAAAAGAATATGGAATTACATTTTTCTCTTTGCAAAATATCTGTTAACTTCAATATGTAAATGTTATGTATATTAAAGTCACAATGTAAAACTGTATAGGAATTATAAAAGTGAATTGAGAACAAAGGAGAAAGCCTGGGGTTGGAACACTGAGAAACTTTGTAGGGTCTTAATGAAAAGTTTCTAGAGAGAGAAGAGTAGACTTTATTGATGTTGTTCTTGCTTAATATAAGACCTTAGGTTTTCATCCCTTTATGTAGGGTATTCCTCCTGCTAGAGAAGATAGAGTGGGCTAGCTGAGATTTCTGGAGATCTGTTTAGACTTCTGATCTAATGTGTTATTTCTGCTAATCTGAGAGTAACATTACTGACTCATAGGAAACAATTTAATTGTCTCTAATGATAATATCTGACTGAGCCTATAACTCTTAAGAGCCAACTAGTTTTACTAAAATAATTTTCATTTATATCATAACATACTTAAATTTCTTTCGTTTTAGGATCAAAATGTAGCCAAGGCTTTAGAGTTCATGAACTTTCAAAAAGAGATCTTTTCTTTCCCGTTGAAATGGGAATAGCAGTCATTGTGTGCTTCCTAAGAAATCCTTGTCTTTACAGAGCTAATAAGTTATAGTATACATATATTCAGCACAACCAGTATTCTATTCCAAAGGGAAGTAAAATTGGAAAATTATAGTTGTTTTTATTAATTCTATATAATAAACGTTTTTCTGAATCCTTGAGAGAATTCGAAAGTCAGAAAAAAATTGATTATATAAAGTATGATTTTAGTAGTGGGTTAATAAAATCATGTGTACTCTTAACATATTTAATGTGAGGAAGCCTGACAAATGGCATTGACTTTATGACAAAATCAATATTTGTTTTGCTATGCTGGGTAAATTTATTTCTCATAGCATCAAAAGAACAAAATTCAAAGAATATGCAAAACCAGAGACTTTCAAAATTGAATATGAAGTGAAATATTATCAAAACCTATGTTAAGCTGCTCTAGATTAGTTATTATTTAAAGCAGATAGTCAAAAGTATTCAACTTTTAAAGTGAAACTCTGATGTATTTAAATATGAGTGACTTCAATTTAATACTATTATTATTTCTTTATACATTTTTTCCAGGGAAAATTTCAGATTTTGAGCCAAGTATAGAATTATATGGTTGGAGGTTACATAATGCAGGCCTACAGTGTTTTATATTATGTCTAGGAGATAGAGCATTAGATTTCACAGAGAAAGTCATAGAGATGTCACATTGTTGAAATTTCTGATCTAGTTGCGATGCATAGGTTTGAATGACAAACCCAAGGGCCAAATTCACAAAACAATTACATTTGCTTTTTGCACCCTTGATGCCCAAAATACTGGGATTTGCACTTTTAAACAGACAAAATAAATTATCTCTTTCCTCCTTATAAAACTTTAAATTTACAAATGTTTCTTACCTAACTTTAAGAACTCTCCTTAGGGGCTTAGCAGACCTGGAAAAAAACAGGACAACCAACAAAAAAGGTGTTCCCAGCTCAGCCATCCTGTTTATCTATCTGTTTAGCTCTAGTTCATTGTAAACCACAGGCACATAAAGATTTCTTCCCAGGGCATCTCTAAAATATGTAGCATCACTTTAAAAAGTAGTTTATGTCATTTTTTAACATATTACATTTATTTCCAAAAGAAAAGAATAATGTCACCAATCAGCCCCTATTTCTCTTTACTGTTGAATAGCAGATTCTGTCCCTTTAAAGCTCATTTCTTGCCATCATTGTCAGAAAGATAAATGCACAAATTATATATAATTTATGCCCATTAAATGTATATCAAAATTCCTAGGTATTTAAAAAAATTCTTGATATTATGACTTTTTAAATGTTGGAAATCTACTTATTATCCAAATAAAAGTTATTAATTAGCAATATGAAAAAATGGATTTTCATTTTAATCAAAAATAAACAAAAATACCCTTAGAATTGTTACAATACTGATATTTATCAGTGCAGATGGATACCCTTAAAGATTCTCTTTTTTGTCGGCCCACAGCCACTTATTGTAAGTACTACAATAACCTTCCTTTCATTGATTGCTCCTAACAACACCTAGTACCATGTCAAACTTTGCCACTTGTGTAGTTTCCCAAGGCTTCATCCTCTTTGCATTGTTTCCTGACTCCTTCTTTATGGTGAGGACTCAAGTTCATGGTCTCCCGGACATTTACTTGTGCTTGTCCCAAGAAAGTTCTTCAGATTGAATCTGATGCTGCAAAACACTTCTGCCTTGATGAAGGAATCTTCCATGATTCGAATAACTTTGTATTAATTACGGCCTTTAAGTATTCCAGTGCTGAAATTACCAATACATAGGGCAACTCCACATCCTGGTTTGCCCAGACAGTTCTGTTTTCTGCCTGTTATCATCAGTTAATTATTAGCAGCACTCACTCATACTCTTAAAATTGTTCCTATTTGATCACCATTTCAATAGCCAATTTTTAAAAGACAAGTTGAATGAGAATAAACTCATGAGACACGAGTGACAGAATTGCTACTTTAGGAAGGAACACTATTTGAGTTATGTATAATGAATATTACTGTACTTCTGATGATAAATGCATAAAAATCAAGCTGTAGTGCAAAGGGTCTTTTATTAAAATTCTAGAACCAGGCCTCAGAGAAGGTAAATAATGGAGAGTTTTCTACCCAAAGGCTTAGTGACCATGTGCAAGAAATTATCATTTGTAAGTTTATACACACATACCAATTTAGTCTTAGTAATAAGATTTGGTTAACAGTGAATAATAAAAGACCTAGGTATTTTAAAATAATGTAATGTAATGTAATATAATATAATATAATATAATATAATATAATATAATATAATTTTATTATTCATAGTATTCTTGTGAGTTACCTCAAATAGCAGCCTGGATTGAAAAAGGAAAATAGCACCTACTGAGGGACTACAATGTGTCAGGCATTGAGATGGGTATTATAATTAGGCAATGGGATTGTAAATACAGATATGTTAACACACATGGTCAGAGGGCCTCCTGGAAGATCTTGGTAATGAAAGACAAGTTAATCTCTTGGGATAAATAAAAAACTAGGGGAGAAAAAATAAATGAGACAGATACTAATAGGATACAATAGCTTGCCCTTCTACATGGACAATGGAGAGGTTCAACTAGGTTGTTGTCTCAGGTGATGGCTATTGTGGAAAGCTCATATTATCTTTGAAGGTGGGAAGGGAAATGTCTGCAAGCAAGGATCAGGGATCAGCACTGGGAGTGCAGAGAGACAACGATTTCCGGAAGACCTGAGAAGGAATTTCTGGCCATTCCTAAGTAGTAATAGATGCTAGAGAACTGAGGACTGAACCCAGCCATAAGGGGACTCTCATCTCAGCACATACACAGCTGAAAGCAGAAAGAAAGAGTGTGGATTTGAAAAAGGTTTTGCAGATTGAGGATTTCCTCAAATTCTCAGGGTAAAAAGTGTATTGATTTAATACTAATGTGCATTTTCTCTAATTTTTTTGGTCTGTATAACTTTATGGCAAGAGTTAATATGTGAACGGCAGTGTACTCTAAACTTACTATTTGAGGTTGTCCATGAACAATTGCATGAATGTAGGGGTGAATGTACCTCACACATGCTATTACATTTCATTCTCACCACAACTTTGGGAAGTAGATATTATCATCCCCACGTGACAGATGGGGACACAGTATACACAGATTGAGTAACATCCAAGATTATACAATTAGTGGCAGAGCAGCTCTAACTCCAAAGTCCATTTATTTTCCAGCATATTATTAAGATTGTAAAGCACTGCTTTTCAAAGTTAAATGTTTGTAGTGATCATCTGGTTTTTGTTTTTATTTTTTAATGCATACTCTGAATCAGGTGGTCTAGGATGGGTCTGAGATGTCACATTTCTAACAAATTCCTAGGTAAGTGATGACAATGCTGTGGGTCCACAGACCACACTTTGAGTAACATGAGTATATTGCCTTTATTCTTGAGTTTTCAGGATTATAGATGCACCATTTGTTAAAAGTTATTTACATACTTATTTGCATCAATTTCTTTTGCATTTACTTATTGTTTGAAAAATTCAAAATTATGATGTATGTCATTGATCACCATTTGTAATTTCTAATCAAGTGAAATATTCTGTGGGATAGATAATTGCGGATGCACTTTTTGTGAGTTAATGATATGTTCTCATAATGAAACAGGATCATGAGGCTAGGTTGATGTGATGTCATATTTCTCTGCAGTCTACAGTATGCTTCCACGTTTACTGTCATATCTCCTATTAGCAACATTTTGTTCCTCTACAGGTAATATACAAAAATATCTCCTACCTATGAAAATTTAAATTTTAGCTCAACTGTTTCATGTTTATTATAAAAGAAAATAAAAAATAAGTAAATACATACAAAGCAGTAAAACAATAACAAATACCCCCAAATTAAAGAAGTTCAACCTGCTATCACCAATATGGTTTCAGGAGACTGTTTTCATGATATGGAGACTGAGCTGAAAGGATTTCCTCCTCTATGTTCATCATAGCTTTTAATTTAATTTTACTCACCTTACTTTGGCTCGAGACCCTCAGTCACCTCTGTTCAGGAGGCAGAGCAGTTCTTTACCATCAATTGTGATAGGCACGGGGAACCAGGCTGAGAGAATGAAGTGCCTCCTACAGCTACTTTGAAAAGTAAGTATCTTAGAACTTGATTATTTAAAATAATAGTAATTTTAAATACTTTGATGTTGATTTTAATATCCCTTTCTTACAATATATGTTCCAATATTTTATTATCTAAATATTCATATTATATAAATTATACTTATAATTACTGTATAAATAATTAATGTTCATTAACAGCAAACTTTTTATTATGGCAAAATCTAATAACGACTCTTGCCAACACATTAAGTTGTAGTCATTCTATTTTTAAGTAGCTATTAAATTCTTTAAAAAAGATTTTTTAATAAAGGAGAGCTCTAAAAGTTTATATTAACTTAATTTTAACCAATACAAAAGATAACTTTGTAAAAAAAGAAAAAGTCCTCTAAAAAGAAAACAATCTGGCAAAGTGATTCTAAAGTTCATATGAAGAGGAAAAAGACCCAGAATATCCAACACAATATTGAGGGAGAAGGATTACATGAATTTGAAAAATTCACACTGACATCAAGACTTACTATAAAGCTACAATAATCAAGAGAGTGTGTTACTGGCAAACTGATAAACAAATAGATAAATGGAAAAAGATAGAGATCCCAGAAATAGACCCACACAAATATAGTCAACTGATATTTAACAAAGTAGCAAAGGCATTTCAATTAAGAACAGATAGCCTTTGCAACAAATGGCGCAGGAACTACTGGACATCTACGTGCAAAAAAAAAAATTAATCGAGATATTAACCTTATACCCTTTGCCAAAATTAACTCAAATAGATTACAGACATAAAATGCAAAACTATAAACCTCATAGAAGATAGCACAGCAGAAAATATAGATGAAATCTTGGGTTTAGTGCTGACATTTTAAATTAAAAGGGAAAATTCATTAAAAAAAGGATGGATACAATGGACTTCATTAAAATTAAAAACTTCCCCTCTGTAAAAAGGACTATCAAAATTTCAGCACTTTGGGAAGCTGAGGCAGGAGTATTGCTTGAGGCCAAGAGTTGTAGACTAGCCTGGACAAGGTAGTAAAACACTGTTTATAAAAACAAAAATTTAAAACTGGGCATGGCGGCACATGCCTGTAATCCCAGCTACTTAGGAGACTGAGGCAAGAGCTGAGCTCAGGAGACTGACACTGTAGTAAGCTATGACTGCGTCACTGCACTCAGGCCTGGTGACAGAGTGAGACTCTGTCTCTCAGAGAAAAAAAAAAAATGTCAATGAGAATACAAGTAACAGTCTAGTAGAAAATATTTGCAGAGACATACCTAATAAAGAACTGTTATTCAAAATAGACAAGAACTTTTAAACTCGACAATTAAGAAATGAGCAACTCAATTAAAAAAGGAACAAGAGAGCTGAACAGACACCTCACCAAAGATGATATACAGATGGCAAATAAACATATGAAAAGAAGCTTGACATCATAGTCATTAGGGAATTGCAAATTAAAATAACAATGAGATATCACTATACAGCATTTTAAATGGGTAAAATCCAAAACATTGACAACATCAAATGCTGATGAGGGGGCAGAGCAATAGGAACTCTCATTCACTGTTGGTGGGAAGGCAAAATGGTAAAGCAACTTTGAAAGACAGTTTTGGGAATTTCTTACAAAACTAAACATACTCTTACTATCTGATCCATCAATTCTACTCCTTGGTGTTTACTCAAAAGAGTTAAAAACACGTCCACACAACAACTTGCACACAAATGTTTATACCAGATTTATAATTGCCAAAACGTGAAAGCAACTAAGATGCCCTTCAGCAAGTGCATATATAAATAGTTACATCTAGACAATGGAATATTATTCAGTGTTAAAAAGAAATGAGATATCAAACCATGCAAAGATATGAAGACATTTTGAATGAATATTATGTGAAAGGAACCAATATGAAAAGTCTCCACACTGTAAAATTTCAAATATATAACATTCTAGAAAAGGCAAAACTGTGGAGACTAAAAAAATCTGTGGCTGTCAGAGATTTGCAGACAGAAAGGGGTGAATAGGTGAAACAGGTAATGTTTAGGGCAGAATAACTGTTCTGTATGATACTACAATGGTGGCTACATGTCTGTATACATTTGTCAATATCCATAGATTGTACCACATTAAGAGTGAATACTAATGTAAATTAAGGGCTTTAGTTGATAACGTCAATGTGGTTCTTCTGTTGTAACAAACATACTGCACTGATTAGGTAGGTTTATGGTGGGGGTGTCAATGTGTGTGAGAGCAGGGAGGGAGCAAATGGGAATTCCCTATACTTTGTGCTCAATTTTGTTGTAAAGCTGAAACTGTTCTTAAAAAAACACTATTAATTAAAACAAAGAAAGTTATCAATTTAACGTTACATTATGCAGTCACTCAAGGAATGTATAATATTAATATTTCATTTTTGTTTTTATTGTCCTTATACAAGAGAGTTCTTCTAACCTCCATCCCCAATACACACACACACACAAACACATTTCCTGTATATGTTTAAAGCTTATCTCACAAAAGATTATTTTTCTTTACTTGGTAGATGATATTATGGAATGATGTCTTATGTCAAATTGTTATAAATTTCAGGTCTAAGGCATTGACATTTTATGGCCTGAGGCAGGCCAGTGGATGTGATGACATAGAGTAGAACTGGACTATCTTAATGAGTGAATCAATTAGGGGATCAAACATATTTTAAATCTTATTATGGACCCATAATCTAGAAGGGATTTCATAGTAAAATTTCTTAAGTATTAAAAACTAAACTGATGTGACAGTTACTTAAGATCAAATAATAAGCCTTTGCTTTCACAGTATTTGTCAAATAATTTTTTAATTAAAATAAGAAGGTGATGAAAATAAGAAGGCTATGGTAAAGAGAATACCTTAAGCTATTGAGTTCACTTAGAGTACACTTGCGAGGATGTGGATGGATTCTTGGGCACCGAAGCTTCAGATTTATTTTAAAAGCTCATTAATAAATCAAAATTTTGTCCTTTTCTGCAGCAATGTGTATGCATTAACCTTTTACAAAGAAAATGCAACAGCAATGTTTTTATTTCTTACATTATTTTCTGCAAACTTTAAAATTTAACATTTGTGTTAGTTATATTTGTAAGATTATAAGCTTGTATTTCAGGCATATTTTTAAAAACACAGGGATATATGCAATATGTACGAAGTCATCTCTGGTGCTTTGCACTTTAACCAATTCATTCACCATTTAAAAACAATTAAAAAATTAATTAAGCTGGATTCTGCCCTTGGATACACACAACAAAACCCCCATTGAAGTCAATGGAAATTGTGCATGCATATCCAGGGGCAGAATTTGGCCCGCTGTGTTTAATTCACTCTGATCATTCCTATTAATTCAATATTAATATTTCCGTTCATTTATTCAATTAGTTCTGTGGTATTCAAAATTCGTTGTATGTAATACATTGCGATCAGTCAATCATTACGTTTCCAGTCCACTTTCTAACAATCAATATTTGAAGTTAGTCAAGGCAAAATGCACTTAAAAACCAAACAGAAAAAGAATTAGTCCCTCTGCAGAGATATCTCCCACTTTGTTGCCTGGTTTCTTGGGCCCAACCTCTCCCTGTGGATTTAGTCAGTGTGAGAGACATTAATAAATGTGGGGCAGAGTTGGCCCTTAGATCAAATGCTACTTTGTAGGGTAGCCAAGTAGGGCTATCTAATAACAGCCAGATGTGAAAGACTAAGCTCATGAAATACCCACCACTTAATTAGGTCACACAATACCATTTGGATTCTAACCAAATTTGGGTTATCTCTTTTCTGAGTGGAGGGATCTCTTCTGTCTTCCAAAAACAGATCAAAACCAACACAGTGTGTTAATATTGCAGTATAAACATTGCATGCATGAATAAGTAGGGCTAAATTCAAGAAGTGCAATGATCCCCATGCTCCAAATTCATTAAAATATGACTTCTGTAGGCAGGAAAATGTAACCTTCTTATATAATTTTTACATCTGTTACAGGTATCCAGACTATGCAAGATTATCTGCAAATTTATAGAGGGAAAGTCTGTGGAAATTTACAGTTCATATTTAAGTATTCATTGAACATTCTAAAAATAATTATATTTTGTTTCTTAATAGCTTTATGAGTTCTAATTGTAATATAATAAACCACATGTTTAAAATCTACAATTTGATAAATTTTGATGTACATATACACCTGTGATATTGACATTACACTCAAGATATTGAACCTATTTATCACTCCAGAAAGTTTCCTCTTGTCTCTTTTGTAATCCCTACCTTTGATTCCCTACCCATGTCTCCCTTCAGGTAACCACTGATTTACTTTCTGTTATTAGAGATTAGTTTGAATATTTCACAATTTTAAATAATAAGAAATATACTATTTTGTGTCTGGCTTTTTCACTCAGCAAAAATAATCTGAGATTAAATCATGTTGTGTGTATCAATAGTTCATTCCTCTCTATTGCTGAGTAGTATTCCATTGTATAGATATATAGTAATTGATTTATGCATTGCCCTGAGGGTGGACATTTGGGTTGTTTCTGGTTTGAGGTTACTAAAAGTAAAGCTGCTGTGAACATTGTTGTACCAATCTTTGTATACACGTACCTTTTCTTTTCCCTTAAGTAACTAAGTAGAAGTGGAATGGCTGGGTAATATCATATGTGTATATTTAACTTTTCAAGAAACTGCCACATTATTTCCAAAGTGGTGTGCCATTTTATATTTACATCAGTATCATCACATGAGAGTTCTAGTTCCTCCAAATCCTTATCAACATTTGGTATGGTCAGTCTTTTTAATTTTAGCCATTCTCATAAGTGTGTAATAATATCTATCATTGATTTATTTTGCATTTCTCTAGTAATTATGTTTAATATCTTTGTATGTGCTTATATGCCATCTGCTTATCTCCTTTGGTGAAGTGTCTATTCAAATCTTTTGTCCATTTTTAATTGGGCTATTTGTTTTCTTTTCCTTTTTTTTTTTTTTTTTTTTGAGACAAGAGTCTCACTCTGTCACCTAGACTGGAGTGCAATGGCATGATCTCAGCTCACTGCAACCTCCGACTCCCAGGCTCAATCAATTCTCCTGCCTCAGCCTCCTGAGTAGCTGGGATTACAGGTGTGTGCCACCAGGCCCGGCTAATTTTTGTATTTTTACTAGAGACGGAGTTTCACCATTTTGGCCAGGCTGGTCACAAACTCCTGACCTCAAATGATCCACCTGCCTTGGCCTCCCCAAGTGCTGGCATTACATGTGTGAGCCACCACGCCTGGCCTGTTTGTTTTTTTATTGCTGAGCTTTAAGAGATATTTATTTTTTTCTGAATAAAAGTCCTTTCTCAGATATATGTTTGATACATATTTTCCCTCAGTCTACACATTGCCTTCGATTATCTTAACACTGTTTATTTAAAGAACTGATTTTTAATTGATAGTCAATAGATTTATTTTTAAAAAATTTTATTTTTAGAAAAATGCTATTAGTGTTATATTTTAAAAGTATTTATGCCTAGTCAAATGTCACAAAGATTTTCTTTTAGAAGTTTTATGGTATTATATTTTGCATTTAAGTCTGTATTATCCAGTTGAATTAATTTTCAAATACGGTTCAAAGTAAGGATCAAAGTTTGTTTTTCTTTGAATATTAATATTCGATTGTTTCAGAACCATTTGTTAAATAGCATAAGCTTTCTCCACTGAATGAGCTTCACACTTGTCAAAAGTAAGTTATCCATATCTATTCTTCTGTCTTTATGCCAATACCATTCTTTCTTGATTGTTGTCACATTATGCTAGTCTTGAAATCAAGTAGTTTCAGCCCTCAAATATGTTCTTCTTTCATAATATTGTTTTGGCTATTCTAGATCCTTTCCTTTTCCATATAATTTTTGGAATCAACTTGTCTTTCTCCAGACACCCTTCTGGGATTTTGTTTGAGACTGTATTAAATCTGTAGAAAAATTTGGAGAAAATTGGTAAATTAACTCTATTGACTTTCCCAACCAATGGGCATGGCGAATTTTAGATTTATTTACTTTTTCTTTAATTTATTTCAACAATATTTTATAGTTCCCAGTGTGCAAATATTGAGGATTTTTTATCATACTTACTTCTAAGAATTTTGTTTTTTATACTATTGTGGATAGTATTTTTAAAATATCAATTGCAGATTGTTTGTTGGTAGCAGACGATAATTTTATATCAGAATTATATTCTGCAGTCTTAACCAACGAACTTATTAGGGTTAGGAGGTTTTTCTGTAAGTTCTATGGGATTTTCTGCATAGGAAATCATGTCATCTGAGATTAGGACAGTTTTAGTTCCTTGCTTCTAATTTGAATTTTTTTTCCTATTAGTTTATTGAAATGTCTAAAATCTCCAGTACATTGTAGAACAAAAGTGGTGAACGCAAAAATTTTTGTCTTTTTCTTGATCTAAGAGAGAAAAACTTCAGTCTTTCATCACCATAAGTATGGTATCAGCTGTATATTTTCCCTTGATGGACTTTGTCAGGCTTTGGAAATTGCCATCTATTTCTTGTTTACTAAGATTTCTATCAAGAATGAATATTGAATTTTGCCACATACTTGCATGTGTGTGTATTTGTATTAACATGATCATATGGTTCTCCTTTAATAGTTTATTAATATAGTGAATTACATGGTTTGATTTTTGAAAACTGAATCAGCCATGCATCACTCAGATAAACCCCAGTTTGTCAGGATGAAGTATTACCCTGCTTGTATATTGTTGTATTTGACTTCCTTATATTTCACTGAGAATTTCTGTATGCATGGCATGAGGGAGACAGGTCTGTAGTTTTCTTGCAGTGAGGTAGTTTGGTGTTCATATCAGGCTAATGTTTTCCTTATAGTATGAGTAGGGACATTTTTCCTCTTCCTGAATTTCTGAATGAATTTGCATAAAATTGGTACAATTTTTTTTCTTAAATGTATGGTAGAATTCACTACTGAAACCATCTGGGATGAAAGAATTTTTTGGAATGTTTTTAAATTAAAAATTCAACTTATTTAAAATAGATAGGGCTATTCATATGATCTCTTAAGTGATCATTCAATTGTTTCTCTGCTATTTCCATAATTTCTGCTCTGTCTTTTATGATTTTATTTTCTTATTACTTTAGATTTATTTTGTGCTATTACTAGTATTTTATCGAAGACCCTAAAGTCATTGCTTTAAGACTTAAAACATTTATTTAACTAGTCATTTGGTGGTATAACTTTTCCTGCTTATCATGGTTTGTACTGCGTTGGCAGCATCCTACACATTTTGATATGCTGTGTTTTCATTTGCATTTCTAATGACTTTCTAATTACTCTTTTGATTTATTTTTCTGACCAGTGGATTACTTAGAAATGTGTTCTACAATTTCTAAATATTTATAGATTTTCCAGAGATTTTTCTGTTATTTGTTTCTAATTTAATTTCATTGTAGTCAGAGACCATATTTGTTTTGCTTTTGAATATATTGGGACTTGTTTTATGGACAAAAAATAGGATATATTAATAAATGTTTCCTGTGCACTTAAAATAATGTATATTCTATTGTTGAGTGGCATGTTCAATGAGTCAAATTGGTTGATAGTACTTTTTTTTTTTTAGTTCTTCTATATCCTTATTTTCTATTTCTTCTATCAATTGTTGAAATGGGGTACTGAAACCTCCGACTGTAATAATGCATTTATTTTTTTCTTGTGGTTCTGTCAGTTCTTACTTTATGTTTTGAAACCTTCTTTTTAAAAACATCAAAGTTTAGGAATGCCATATCCTCTTGCCAAATTTATGCAATTATTACTATGAAATGACCAGCTTATCCTTTGATTAGTGTTAGTATGGTAAATCTTTTGTCCTTTTAATGTTAAACAATTTTTCTATATTTAACATGCATTTCTTGTAGGCAGTCTATAGTAAGATCTTGCTTTTTAATCTAATATGATAATCTCTGACTTTTAATTGGAATTTTTACCTTATTTCTGTTTAATATGATTGTTATTATTAGGTTCAATCCTATCATCTACTATTTATTTTATATTTGATCTTTGTTCCCATTCTGCTGTATTTTTCTGCCTTTTTTGAGTTAATATTAGGTTAGTGCAAATGTAATTATAGCTTTTGCATTGTTAGAATTTGCTGTTTGACATTGGAATACGTTCTTAAATAAATGTGGTTAGGTTATACATCATTTTAATGGGCATTGCTTGCTTTATGGGTTTTTTTTTTTTACTAATGACTTATTATTTGCTGTTTATTTTTGACTATGGAAATGATGTTAGACACAAAGCAAATTCGAGCGATTTTCTTATTTGAGTTCAAAATGGGCTGTAAAGCAGTGGAGACAACTCGCAACATCAACAATCCATTTGGCCCAGGAACTGCTAATGAATGTACAGTGGAGTGGTGGTTCAAGAAGTCTGGCAAAGGAGATGAGAGCCTTGAAGATGAGGAGTGTAGTGGCTGACCATTGGAAATTGACAACAACCAATTAAGAGCGGTCATCAAAGCTGATCCTCTTACAATGACACAAGAAGTTGCCAAAGAACTCAATGTTGACCATTCTTTGGTCATTCAGCATTTGAAGCAAATTGGGAAGGTGAAAAAGCTTGATGAGTGGGTGCCTCATGAGCTGAGCGAAAATTTTTTTAAAAATCATTGTTTTGAAGCGTTGTCTTCTCTTATTCTACGCAACAACAGTGAACCATTTCTCTATCAGATTGTGATGTGCAAGGAAAAGTGGATTTTATATGACAATTGGTGATGCCCAGCTCAGTGGTTGGACAGAGAAGAAACTCCAAAGCACTTCCCAAAACCAAACTTGCACCAAAAAAAGGTCATGGTCACCATTTGGTGGTCTGCTGCCGGTGTAATCGACTACAGCTTTCTGAACCCCAGCAAATCATTACGTCTGAAAAGTATGCTCAGCAAATTGATGAGATGTACTGAAAACTGCAATGCCTGCAGCCGGCATTGGTCAACAGAAAGGGCCCAACTCTTTACAACAACTCTCGACCACATGTCGCACAACCAACACTTCAAAAGTTGAATGAATTGGGCTATGAAGTTTTGACTTATCTGTCATTCACCTGACCTCCTGCCAACTGACTACCACATCTTCAATCATCTCGACAGATTTTTGCAGGGAAAAAGCTTCTACGATCATCAGGATGCAGAAAATGCTTTCCAAGAGTTCATCAAATCCCAAAGCATGGATTTTTATGTTACAGGAATAAACAAACTTATTTCTCATTGGTAAAAATATGTTGATTGTAATGGTTCCTATTTTGATTAATAAAGATGTGTTTGAGCCTAATAATGATTTAAAATTCATAGTCCAAAATCGCAATTACTTTCCCACCAACCTAATATATTGTATTATTCCATTTTATGTTTTGTTGGTGTATTCACTATTAGTCCTTGATTTATTACTTTAATGATTATCTTATAGTTTGTAGCATATATCTTTAACTTATCACAGTCCTGTATAAGAACTTTACCATAGTATTCTTCTATCACCATTCTCCTAGAAATGAACTGCTGCTGTTTTAAATTCTAATTACATGTATGCTACAAACCCCACAACATATTTTTATCGTTTTTGTTTAAACAGTCCATTATGTTTTAAAGAGATTTAATACTAAGAAAACAATTTGTTCACTCATGTAATTACCTTTTCTGATGTCATTTATTCGTGTAGATGCATATTTTCATTTATTATTACTCAGCCTGAAGGAATTCTTTTAACATTTCTTATGTTACCTACCTGTTAGTAACAAATTCTGTCAGCTTTTGTATACATGCAAAAGTTTTAGTTTACTTTTGCTTTTGAAAGATGTCTTTGCTGGGTATAGAATTCTAATTCAACAGATTTATTCATTCAGTGCTTTAGAAATGATACTCCATTGTCTTCCTGTTTTTATTGGTTTAACAAGAAATCTGTCATATCTTTTTCTTTGCTTCTTTATCCTTATCTTTGCTTCTTTTTTTTTTTTTTTCTGGGCACTTTTAAGAGTTTCTCTTTATCCCTCGTTTTGAGCAATGTGATTATAATGTAATCTGGTGAGGTTTTCTTTGTATTTTTGTGCTTAAGTTTGTTTGAATTTCCTGGATCTATAGGTTTACAGTTTTCATCAAATTAAGAAAGTTGTCAGTCATAATTTCTCCAAATTATTTTTATGTCCATCCTCTTTAACTCTTTCAGGGACACCAATGACACAAATATTATGCCATTTAAAGTGGTTCCACAACTCCCTAATTCTCTGTTTACTTTTTTTAAATAAATATTTTAAAAAATATTTTCTGTTCATTTTAAAAGATAAATATTTTATTTTTGTTTTTCTATTGCTATGTCTTCAAATTTATTAATTTTTTTCTGCAGCATCTTACCTGCAACTTATCTCATCCAATGTATTTCATCTTAGACATTGTAGATTTCATCTTCACAAGTTTGATTTTGGTATTAAAAACATTATCTCTTCCTTTACCTCTTACAATGCAATTATAAATTCTATCTTAACATCCTTATCTGTTAATTCTAACATCTGTGGAAGTTCTATGTGGATTTGCTTGATTTTTATTCTTATCATGGGTTGTATTTTCCTACTTCTTGTCATGTCTGGTAATATTTGATTAGATGACGGTATCATACATTTTATTTTATTGAGTGTATAAATAGTCTAGAGCTATATTCTGGCACACAGTTAAATCATATGAACATAGTTTGATTCTTTTGGATCTCCCTTTTAAGATTTGTAAGTTGGGTCTGGAGCAAAGCTCAGTCTAGGACTAATTATTCCCTACCACCCAGGCAAGATTCTGTTGAGTACTTTACCCAGTGCTCCATTAATCATGAGGTTTTCCAATCTGGCTGGTAAGTATAGACACTACTCCCACTGTGGGTGATCACTGGAAATTGTAACATCTAACATTTTTGGATCCTTCTTTCCCTGGTTTGGGGTAGTTTCTTAATGATCTTCAGTGTTACTTCTCAGTTGAAAGTGGAAGTCTTAAGTTCATCAGGTAATCATAATTTTTGTGCCATGGCCTCATCATTGCATCTCAAACAGGGCACAGAAAAGGGCAGGTTATGGTCCTCTTCCACAATAAGCCATCTAAATTTTCACAACATGAAGAACTTGGAGAAGTGGCAATTATCTGGTTAACTGACTAACTGTAGATCATAGGCATCATTTGTTGTAAACATTATTTAGGGTTCAGAATAATTCAGTTTGGGGAAATAAAATCTAGTTTGAATTCAATGACAGATTTTCATGTGACTCTGCTCTTTGTGTCACTGGGTAGATGCATGCGATTCCAATCATCACATAGTAGCTTAGCAGAATGGAGACTAGTAACTAGCTCATTCAATTTAGCCTTCTCTTTGGGGGTATTACGGCCTACTGAGTACAGAGTGAATGAATGATTCTGATGATTATAAAGGCCATTGAAGATCTCTACTAGTCAATTTTTCATTTGCCTTTTAAAAAATTGTAGTTTCAGCTTTACTTTTATAGCTCCAGGAACATCCAGTTACATTTTTCTTTATTATTTTTTCTTTAAAGATAAGATCATCAATAAGACGATTGTCTTGCTCATTTAAAAATATTCTTTTTCTCTTCCCACATCCCAAAAATTACATAAACTTTTCCATTCTTAATTCAATGACTTAAACAACTGTTGTGAATTCATAAATGGAAGCATTTGACTACAGGTGGGGATTAATAATTTGGAAGGGCAGGAAAACTGTTGAAAACAAAGAGCTAGTGTCCAAGTAAATATCTCTTGAGAAATTAGGAAGTACAAGTTACACTGCATGAGAAGAATTGTTACTGAGTGTAATGGTTTAAAGAATTCCAGGTGGTCTGCGTGGGTCATAATGCTAGCATTTCATCTTGGAATAATCTTTATTCTTTTCTTTCCTTTTTTTTTTTTTTTTTTTTTTTTTTTAAGAACTAGGGCTGCTCCTGCAAAGTGCTAGAAAGTTTGTTCCTATAGGCTCTTTAAGTCTGTAGCTACATTAATACAAAATAAAATGTGAAAGAATAATCTGTTAGGAAAGTGTTTCTTTTGTACTAACTATAGAGATAAAAAAAGGCAAGATAACTTTTGAGGTGATGATGGGTGAAGGAGGTATGCATAATCTGGATCGATGCCTAATTCACCACTTCACTTTCCTCGTGGGAGTATAGCTCTAGTGTCCACAGGTTGAAACCTCAAGGATTTTCTATTTTTTTGTTGTTGTTGGAGGAGAGAGATAGAGATTAAAGTCTTTTTTCTTTGGTAGATAAGGAGATCTATGCTGGTAAATCATGAACAGAAGAGAAGGTGGGGTAGATGGTAAGGAATGATGAAGCAGAAACAATTGGCTTGGACCTCATGAGCTGCCATCTTTTCCTCACTGCCAAGATGGCCCTTATAATTCACTCTACAACAGAATGTAGCAATTCCCACTGAAAATAGCCTGTTCTTGTCTTCAAGGCAAATGAGCAAGTTTTACTTATCTTTTTATAGCCGATTATTTCACACTCTATATTAATCCTTCATTCTTCCCATTGCCTTAAGAGTAAACTCCTTGGCATGGCTTCTTCTACAATCTAGTCCCAACTTATCACTGCATTCGTATCTGATGTCACATACCTCCAGTCACACCATACAGTGACATTTCCCCAAGCATCATGCAGTTTTAAGCCTCTTCACAAAGATCTTTTCTCTACCTGGAATGCTTTACTTCTTTCTTACTCACCAAGTGCATCCTGTTCCTTTTTCAAGACCCACCTCAAATGTCTTATTCTCTTTGAAGCCGTTTTCAACTTTCTTAGGAAGAGTCATGGCTTCCCCTATTCGTATAACACTTATCATTAACTATCACCCCTAGAAGCAATACACTGTATCTCCACCCTAATAATTAACTCATCACTGCCACAAGGTAGGCCTTAAGTAAATTAGTATATGAAAAAAATTAAATGAATGAGCAAATCGATAGTTTATTCACACATAGGGATGTCATTCAGAGCCCACAGTGTTCAGTTTTCTCTTCTCTTTTCACATGGGTAAGTGATGCACTGACCTCATCAGTGGGAATTGTTCTAGTTTATTTTTAAAAGGATTTTGCTGCATCGGGCAGTCAGTGCCATCAAAGAAACCTTGATATGCTTGTGCCTTTTGGGGTTGGATAGGGAAAGTGAAACCAAAGGTCAACTACAGAAGCAGAGGCCACTGATGGCTGGATAATGAATGGCCACTGACTTGATACTACAAACAGAAGAAAAAAGTGGCAAAGCAATGGAACTGTCAGGAACAAGGTAGTCATGAGCCTATTTATTGACTTGATCCTTAGTCAAAAACTTTGTAAAATTGTTTTAGCAGTAATCTCCCAGTTTTTAGTAGCGGGACTGCAGCTAAAACAATTTCACTTAATAGCAGTTAGATATTATAACTACAACCACCTGGAACTGTAATTCTCTCACTACCTTCCTTCAATATTTCCACTGTCACAGCTCCTCAACGAAAATAATCTCTTCTTATAGTGGAATTACTGAAATTGATCTATCAGTTTATATCCATGAATCAGCAACAAATACATTTTTAAGAAATAATTTCTGTTCTCAACTTAATAGTTTGTTTAAATAACTGACATCTACTTTTGTTGTTATGGGTATTAGTACATCAAAATCGTGCTTGTTTAGCCTAGTAAGTAAATTATACAATCGTGGTTCATATTTGTTTGTTTCCAAGGATAAAAGAAACAAATACAGTAAGTTTGGAACGTACTAGGCCCACAGTTGATGGAGTGGCCAAATGAATAAAGGTCTGCTTCCTTCTTTTACTTATGTCTGCACTCTAGCTGAAACAAAGGGTGAATTTAAGGTAAATCACATGACTTAGTAAAGCTCCTTAGCCCTTTAAAGGCACCTTACAGATCCATGCTCTAACTTCTGGCTTGGCCCTTTTAGACTATTGCCACCTCTCACATGCCCCCTTTAAGTAGAAAAAAGAGCAAAAAAATGCCTGAGACAACTGTGAAATATTTTGCAAGATTTTAATATTAACTGAAGCAAACTTTCATTCCCTTTGTTTAGCAGCCAGCTGTAGCTGACACAAATGTATGTTGCTAGCTGTGAGCCTGCCCTGAGCATGAGATTTTATAGAAGGGTTTATTTATGGCTAATTTCTTTATCTTTATATTGAATATAATACTTGCTAGTATCTTTCAGCTTGTAATTATTTTGCTTCACATCAAAGAACAACATTAGAAATTAAAGTCCATTCACTGTCATGTATGATTCATAGCCTATGTTATAGATCTTATGAAAGAGGCTCATTTTTCTTTCTTTCCCAGACCTCCTCCCCTCTTCCCTCTGTTCCCTGCAGCCTAATACCCCCACTTCACATTGTTCAGTTCTTTGGGGATTAGTAAGATATACTAATATTTATTTATCACCAATATATAAATGTCAAGGAAAGAAACTTTTTCCTGCCCACTAGCCTGATCCATAATCCAAGGGAACCTTAGTGTCTTTGGCCTCAGCATAATCTTTTACTATGAGATTGTTTATGTTGACTTCCTGAGGCCCTTGCTGAATAAGAACAACATACTTGGTACCAAGATGTTTCACTTTCTACTCCTTAGAGTGGAATCCTATAGCACTGTGGAACTTATAAATAATTGAGTTATTTTTAAACCACTGGATGTTTTCCAGTCACTCTATTTCACACTGGATTAATTATGTAAGAAAACTGAATTGTTCCTCATCAGTGTTACAACTTTTAAAAACAACATGCTGTTTAAATTCGGGTTTGGCAACTCTGGCCTGAGCCCCCTCAAATTTATGGCACCACACCCATAACATAATAAAACCTTTAGTGGTCCTTTGTCTTTTAGCTTTCCTTCTATTTTTTCTCAAGGGTGTTTTATGCTGGAAGATGCAAAAAAAAGTTGTCCAGATGTTATTTGTATCAGAGCAGGATTTCAGTCCAGCTATCTGCGGTTGCAAATGTTTATTTTAATGGGTTATTGTGCAATCCTTGCTGTGTAGACCTTCATGGCCTTATATGCATGTTCTCAGCAATGCCAGGACATTGTTTTTTAAAATATATCATTTTAGTCCAGTTGAATGATTAGTAGTCACTAGGGGAGCAAAAAATATAACACCTGTAGAAACACAGATAATATTTTTGTCAATGCCCCTATGTTGACATTGTGCAAAACTGCCTGATTATGAAATCATGACCAATGGGCTTTAGGTAAGCAGGAGGAAGGTGTGGTCCAAGCCCTAGCAACAGCCCCAGCCCTCTGAGACTAAGTTACATGGCTGCAGTAAACATGCCAAGGGTGTCGGAAAGAAGCCCAGCTGCTGCCCCATGCAGTTTGATGGAATGAAGGAAGAGCTTAGCTAAGTCACCATGGTGTGAGCAGCAAGTTTATTTTAGCTATTACAACAAGCACAGGGCTGGGCTTATTATTCATTTTTAGAATTCTAATAAAATCTTAACTATGTTTCCTTGATACTAAAGTAAATTGTTTACTCTGTATCTAAAAACAAATATTATACCCAATGTACCAATTAGCAGTGAAGAATTTCTAGTCCTTAAAATTAATTTTGAAAAGAAATTACATCATGTAGAAATGGATTTGATTTTTAAGAAAGTGCTAAATTTTAGAGTTATTAGTTTTCTCTGAGAACTTATTTAAAATCAAAGGTTGCTTAGAGTAATCATGTAGTGGACTCATTTATTGCTGTAAAAGAAAAACCAACAAAACAACAAAAAGGCAAATTTAAAAGCCCTTAAAATTTAAACTTGCAGTTAGAAAGGATCCCTAAGAAGAAGATTATTCTAGACATTTAACATCAAGGACTAATAAAGCCTCACACTAAAAGTTTTATTAAGCATTTTTGATAGACATGGTAAGCGGATGCTAAAATATTTAGTTCAAAATACATGTTGGAGACAGTCTTTTATTAATCAGTTTTGAAGTCAATTAAATATTGGTATAGTTTTCATAGGTATAAGCAGCCCTAATAAGATTTGGTGATTCAGAAATTAGAGTTTATTATAAGGAAAAGTTTTTTTTCATATTTTAGAAACAGATTTTAGGTTATTTCATATGATATCATGTGTATGCCATTCATCATTATAATAATAGCACTGCCCTATATTTGTCTAATAGTTTATAGTATAGAAAGTATTTTAAAATTAACTCATGTCTTTATAGCATTGCATATCTTATGGTGTCATACTTTTATCACTCCCCAGAGTTAGAAATATCCTCGAACCATGCTTGTTCTTCACAGGTGTGGATACAATGCTATTTCTGTGAGATTTTCCCCCATGCACTCACATTGTTTATTGCTCCTACAGATCAAGGGCTAGAACAGAGCCAACACATAAGCTACTCATATGTTGCATTCATATTCTGAATTATAGGACTTGTGTAAACTATTAAATAATCTCTTTAATTTGTCTACTAAGATTGCATGTAAAAACAGTTAAATATGGCAAATTTGGCTAAAGAGAACACCAGAAGAGAAGAAATGCATGCTGTCGCTTTCTCTTTCTGCCTAGGAGGATCTAACTATCACTGTAGTTGAAGCCCTGTGAATGCAAATGCTTGGTGTCTTAGTTTGGGTTTCCCCAGAAGCTGAACTAGACATAAGGGCACGAGGGCAAGCAGTTTATTTGGGAGGTGCAGGAAACACTAGTTGAGGGTGGTAGGGGAGAGGCCCAGGGCAGTGAAGTCATCCATTAAAGAGTGCTTTATTAAGCTAGCTATCACTGTGTGTGGCTGGAGCTTAATCCTGCAGGGGACCTCTGGAATATAGTAGAAAACACACACCTCAGAATGACCCCATCTGAGAGGTGAGAAAGTTGAGATATTTACATACCACCTCCTGAGACTCACTGTATGAAGACTTATTGGATAGGGGTGGGGGAAGAGAGTGGCAGTGGTGATGGTGTGTTCATGTTTGGTATTTCTGAGCTGACATGTGTGCACAGAGTAGCTTTCTTTGGTCCAGAAATGAAAACCCCAGGCACATAGATGCAAATGATGGCAGGTGGACACCAGTCAGATCACAGAACCAACTCTGCAGATTAAGGGTAGGGCACTTTATGGCATTTGCTGTGTTTGAGAAATAAGATATTCTAGGATTTAGAGTTTCTAAAGATTCAACGAAATGTGTGCTTTGATTCATGTTGCTAAAATTATTCAAAATATTATTTTTTTAAATGTTCTCAAGTGAATTGTCTGGGGAATATAAAATATATCCTTCTCTGCAAGTTCAAGGTCAAATGATCCTTTGGTCCTCATTGTAACCATAATTTCTCAAGGAAGAATATCACCCATATAGATGGCCAAAGATGATGCACTAACCTCAGAGAAATATTTTAGCACTTTGTTCAATTTCGACAGAAAATGTAAAGTCAAACTTGTTTCCTGGGATTTGCTGCATTCCATTACAAATAAATTATAGTAAAAAATGAAAAGAAATATAATCAGTTGAAGGTTGTGTTATATTAATTTTTGTTAGTCAAGGTTTTATTGTGGCTGCCTAAAAGAAAGCAGAGCCATTATTCAAGCAATAATTTATTTAACCAACAAGTTTTATATACTATTTACCTTTTATTAGATGACTATAAAATAAATAACATGAAGGTGACCCAGGCCAATGGTGAAGGTCTTTGGAGTAGTGGAGGGCTGATTCTGAAAATCAGCTCTGCCACTTTCTAGCTAGGAGGCCTCAAGCAGGTTACCTCAGTTTCACAAGTCTCAATTTCCTCATCTAGAAAATATGAGTAGGGGACTTAAGGGATTTAATGAGATTATACATGAAAAGCACTTAAGTGCCTGGCATGTATTAAGCACTAGTTATATGTCATTTTTATAATGGTGGTGATAGGAATGCTAACATGGCTACCATTAAAGTCTTTGCAATCTGCTAAAGGGGGCAGCTAGAAACACATACATAATGCAGAGCAAATCATGCCTTGCTCTCTGTGATCAGAGGATGAGCGTGATTAAAGACATATTCTTTGAGGAGGTGGGATGGATAGGTGAATCTTGGAAGAGAGAAAGGTTTCCAATAGGCGGTGATAGTGTTCAGTACAGGAGGGGTAGGTAAATCAAGGCATAGAGTTCTAAATACAGCTGGTGGACCTGGAACAGTTGACTACCAAGTGCCCGAGACAGAGCACATATAGCTGATCTCTTAGTATTGAATATTCCCATGTCTCTGCCCTTGGATTCTTCCCTTCCTATCTACCCTTACGTAGATAGTTAGGTAAACTTATCTAAGTTCCACGTTCCGTGGCTTTAATACTAGCAATTCACCATTGTACCCAAAATTTAGTTTGAAGAACCCAAATTGAGGTTTCCAGGTAAGCTCTTGTCAATGGACTTCAGTCTGCATTTATATGTATCTACTTGGATATCTAATGAGTATCTTTTGCAGTTGACATGTACATAAATCAATTATTTATATTTCCTTCTAAAAGTTATCTATTTCCCCATAGTCTTCCCCAGCTCAGTTCCTCGCAACTCCATCTTTCCAATTGCTCAAGCACCAGATTGTCTGTTCTCCTTCATTATTCTCTATCTCTCAAACCTCACATCCATTTCCTCATCAGATCTGTTATTTCAGATTTCAAAATATGTCCACTATCTCTATTGTTACCATCCTGGTGTACTTCCTGGATTACTGCAATAACCTCCAAATATGTCTCATGGCTTCCACTTGAGAACATGAAAAGTCTCTTCCTGTATTAGTTCATTCTCATGCTGCTAATAAAGACATACCCGAGACTGGATAATTTATAAAATAAAGAGGTTTAATTGACTTACAGTTCAGCATGGCCAGGGAGGCCTCAGGAAATTTACAATCATGACAGAAGTGGAAACAAACAAGTCCTTCTTCACATGGTGGCAGGAAGAAGAATGAGCCAAACAGAGAAAAGCCCCCTATAAAACCATCATATCTCGTGAGAGCTTACTATCATGAGGATAGAACAATGGTAACTGCCCCCATGATTAAATTACTTCCCACCAGGTCCCTCCCATGATACACAGGGATTATGGGAACTACAATTCAAAATCAGATTTGGGTGGGGTCACAGCCAAACCACATCACTTCATAAGCAGCAGCCAGCTTAATTTTATTTGAGTAAGTTGTAGCATACTACTCCTCTTCAAAACACTGTAGGCCCCACCCTGCCCTGCTATTTCATCCAGAGTAAAAGCCAAGTTCTCATAATGTCTAGAAAGCCACCCACAATCTCACCTATTGCCTAGGACCTCACTTCTTTACTTATTTCCTTCTTGATTATGTCATTTTAGTCATACCGAGTTCTTTGTCATTCAACAGATGTGGCTTCACACTCCCAACCTAATGCCTTTCTTCTGCCTATTTCCTCTCCCAGGAACATTACACATCCACACATTTTACTTACCATCTTAAGTCCTTGCTTAAAATTCATCTTTCTCTGTCACATCCTGGTCACAATGACTCTACTATTTCTTTTTCCATATCTCTTACTTCCCAGTAATACAATATAATATTAGTAATTTTATTTCATGTTTATCTCTTCCCGAACCCACTAGGGTATAGCTCCATGAGGGCTGGTGTCATTGTATGTTCTGCTCATATGTTTACTGAAGGAGTGATCAGCACTTGTAGATGCTCAATACATAAAGAACAAGATAATTAATGTTCTTTCCTCTTTCTCTTGAAATTTGCTCTTACTCTGTTGGCAGAAATAGCCCTCTGAATCCACAGTGCCCAGGATTCCTTATTATTTGAAGGGTTTTGTATACAATTTCCATATTCTTTGAAGGTTCTCTCCATTGAGAAATGGAGTGTGGTATGAAATAAAGAATTGTTATTTAGTCTACACTTTGAAAGACACCTTTTATTTCTGGAAAATTACTAAAGTTAGATCCATATTCAAAAAAAATCTAATAACATATTGAGTAACTCCAATATGGCAAGTATTGTATGTATTATTTCATTCAAATTTACAGTAATACTGAGTGAGCATCATATCTGCTTTAATGATTTGAAAATTAGAGGCCAGAGAATTTGGTAATTTGCCAAAATTCACACAGAAAATGAACTGTTCTGGAGTTGGAGCCTAGGTTTTTTCTGACTCCATATCACCTATTGATCAGCCACCTTGATAAGATAAATTATTAATAGTATATACTATGTGGATATGTATCATGTGGATGTGAGAAAAATTGAAAATGCACAAAGTCTCTGAATCTAACGAGTAAAGAATAAATACTATTTAAAGAAAATATACCTTTATCTAAGACACTTTATCACATTTCTAACTTACCTTGCTTGTAGGCCACCCCACACGGAATATCTTCATAGCTGTAGAGGAGCCTTTGTTAAAGATAAATGAGATCATGGGAATTGAACATTCATATGCAAAAAACCAATTAGTGAATTATACTTACTAATTTATGCCAAAGATGTATGGACTATAACAACTTTAGAGTTCAATATACCAACATTTTCAAAGTGCTGTTCAAAGTAGCATCTCATGATGTTTGCTGTCTGAAAGTAATCTTTGGAATATTTTATTGCTGGTTTAGATGCTTATTTAAAATTCATTCAAAACTTTGATTTGAACTTCCCAAGAACATTTTATTCCTGTGCCCTTTTTTAAAACCAAATATTGGCTTTTTTTGTGTGATGCCTTTCCCATTCTCTTGTAACTAACAATGATGTTCTTAAATGTTTCTTTCACTCCTTTCTTCATGCATATCAGCTGGATTAGGAGGAAGACGCATCTGCTTACACTTCTATCAACTAATTTTATGTTGTATACTTCAAGTCCAGATTACCAACTTGTGTCATTTCCTTTCTTCTTTCCCAGTCTCATTTTCCTTTTTCGATGCAATTAAGTAATTATTCAGGAGGGGGAATTTCAAGTTCACTTAAGAAAAATACATTTTGTTTCTTCACTTCTTTTTTCCCCAGTCTTCTGCCAGCCTAACAAGCATAGCAAGAAGATATAGCCCCACAACCACTTTATGCACAAAGTTAGAAGCATAAAATCTCATGGAAGGAGACCGATTATCTACAGAAGAGGTTGTCTTGCCATTTCTCTCATGTTAGAGGTGAGAAAGTGAGATCCAAAGAGTTTAAAGGGCTTTCCTAAAGGCATACCACTAGAAAGTGACCGAGCCAGATGAGTAGATTGCAAAAATTTTCTCCCAACCTGCACATTGTGCACATGTACCTTAAAACTTGAAGTATAATAATAATAATAATAATAATAATAATAATAATAAAAGAAAGTGACTGAGCCAAGATGAGCAACTCTCCATTCTCATGCATTCTATCTTATGAGTTAGGTTATTTTATTTTTAGAAATTAGGGAACTGATGCGACTTGACTTCTTACTACTACTATGCCCACAGAAGTGTAGGGGTATCAATTATTATTAAGGGCTTATTGATGCTTCCCCACATGGGCATGTTAGCACATTACAATTTGGAGAAGCAAAAATATTTGCCTCTGAAACTTCAGATTTATTTGAGAAAGCTAACATCTGAAAAGAGAAATCCATGTCTCAATTTCCAAGAGTCAATGTAACACTCTCTGTGGGTTTTCTTGTCTCTTTAAAAAATCCGTATATGTAGTAAACAAAACCGAGAGTTAGCTTCATATGCTTTCCTTTTTAAACCATACTGTAGAAAATAGGTTAGAAAAATCAAATTAGATAGGAAGATTTCCAGTGAGATACCTTTGCTCATCTTTAGTTTATCTTCTGCAACTGAGTGTGCATGAAACAGTTCACCCACTGCTCTAGCTGTCATGGTTTAGTGCAGTTCCACAGAGTGATCCTGTTTTAACCTAACCTTCAATTTGCTGGGGTTTGAACTCTGAATAATAGCTTGTGAACATAGTTTAACAGCCAGTACAAGGGCTTCCTTTGAATTTTTAATCATATGAATTAAATATTGCTAGAGATGCTTTTTAAGATGTTCTCCTAAAAATGATCTAATGTATAGAAAGTCAAGTATGGATCAGCCTAAGGAGACTGAAACGCAAAGGTAGCAGGACTGGGGACACCCATAGGCTACACACTTTGCTCATCAAATTGAGATAGCAACTGCAAAGCATTCATTAAAAATTACATCTTAAGCAATCTTCACATTATATACTATTATGCTGTTCAAATGTATAACATATATTGTATAGTCGTCTTCAGATTGTCATTACTCAAATAGAGGTAAGCGTAGCTTCAAAAGATCCATTATGTCAAAACCTTAAATTGGCACAGAAACAAATCAGATGGCAATTAACATACTAAAGGACTATTTGATTATGACTATAGAATTTCTTAAAAACTGCAAGTTCTCTTAATGCAGTGTTTTTCAAATGATAACATTTTTGTGAAATTTAGTGAATGCTGAAATTAATTTAATAGAATTCAACCAACACTTTTTAAGGGACAAAACAGAATAGAACAGAAAATGTCCGAATGTGTCTGATATCATACAGTTAAATTATTTTGTGGAATTTTGTTTTAGCTATATATGTGTGTGTTTTTGTCCTGGGTAATGTTGCATTTTTTTTTCAAATTCTGTTTAGAAATAGTTTGAAAAATATTGGCTCAGAATATATGAATTACATTTGTATTACCAAAATTCTTACTATTCTAATTTATTTTCTTAGGGATATATCTAGCACATATAATGAGTCATGTAGAGAATAATAATATTGAGACATAGCAAAGTTCAGTTTTTTAACAACTTCCAGAAAAATTCCCAGACTAGGTAAAGTGCTTTGTAGTGAGAAAATATATTTCGCCTTAGCATTGGTTGGTTTTTCAACTATAAACATGTGTGAGTATGAGCATTTTACTAAAACCTTTTCTTTATTATTTATTCTAGCATGAGTTTTCTTACATACTAAAATTTATGGGGAATAAATTCAGTACACCTGGATATATTCTTGCTTTACCATGTGAGCAGACTGCTGCTTTGGGGTGTAGGATGATGCTTTTTTTTTTTTAACTTATATCTGGCTTAACACACTTCATAAAGTATAAAAACAACTATTAACTAGTTAGAATCATTTGACCAAAAAACAGAGAAAAGAGAAGTTAAACAAGAAACACACACACAAAATCAGGGCATTTGGTGCAATAAGTCATGAGCCTCTCTAATTTATAATTCTGTGACTTCTGTAATGGGTTAATCCCCTAGTATACATGATGCAGTGTACTGCTGGTTGTCTGGATTTGCACAGTCAAGCTTTCTTCTCATAAACAGAAAGATGCATGTGTTCCTTTTGCCCCCCTCCACCTCCTCTTTCTAAGGATGAATATCTGTGAGTAGTGTGGATCATGTACTAATGATTTCAAAGGTTGAAGAAAAAAATAGTGATATATTTAATTCTTAAGAAATAGTACAGCTCTTCATTCCATAAATACATGACTTACTTATTCCCCTTTCTGACATTGAATCTTAACAAGACTATTGAGAACAAAACTTTACCTTTGTTTGTGGCTCAGTATAGGCTGTATTTGTTTTAATTTTTAAAAACAATTTGATTAACTGCATAAAACCAGGTAAGTACAGAGAAAGAAATGAAGACAGTTCCATTCATTGAAAGGGCTCTGGACTGGCCATAGGACAAGAAAATGCACTGAGACAATGGATTCAATAAACTGATATGGCTCATTGTGGTGAGGCAATAAGGCAAGAAGTAACAGAGGAGAACAGATTTTGGATAGCTTTTGAATACTTTTCTTGCCATGTGATGAAATGGTTGCTTAAAGCAGCTGGCTGCATTTAATTATTTTTATTTCAATTTTGTTTTTTAAAATGTGGTTACTTCATAGACACATTTATTTTCCAACATCAGCTCCTTAGTAGTATAATATAGAATGCCTCATTAGCAATGGAAAATGGGCTTAAGTTTGTAGCAGGAATGTCCTGAATAATGTTTTTAGATGTGGAAGAAGTTAGCAAGGGAGATTATAGAACCTCTCACTTCCCCCTGGAGATCTTTAAAACAAGTAAATCTTTTTATTTAATCCACAAATTTTACATCAGATCTATCCTCATTTACTGGTGCTGCCTTTGCTTTACTAAGTTCTCTTCCTTTGTTCTTCCTCATGCTGCCTTTGCTTGGAGAAGCTTCATGAAAGAAGAGAAATAAGCCTTGGCTTGAAGGAGGCTATGGGTATTGCTCTAGCAAATAGAATGCCTACATTGCAACCCATTTCTCTCTAGGTTCCAATCTAGTTTTCTCATTTATCATTTAAGGGAGTTGGATTAGTGCATCAGTTTTCAAAATGTAGTCTCTGGACCAGCAGTATTAGAAGCACCTGAGAGCTTGTTAAAAATAGAAATGTTCAGGTCCCATACCAAATTAACTGAATGAGAAACCATGGGAGTTCAAGGGAATGTTGAACTGCTGTACACTCAGATATGGCATGTTCTATCACAATTGAAAGACCTGAGCCATTCAATCAAATACATGAAAAACACAGTGAAAACAACAATAGAATACTACATGAGCAGACAAAATTCCTTACCTGGCAGTGTCCACTGCCCAGTAAGACCCAAATGTTTGCACGTTGAGTGTTTGCTCACACTTATTTAAACCAAAAGGATTATTTGTCCTAGATGGCTCAGACACAGTTCATCTATGGTCAACAAACTCAGTCAAAAATATTCATTGAGTACCTTGCATGTGCTGTGCACTGTGCTGGGCACAGAGGATACACTGGGAAGATGGTAGGCACCGGACAACTTCACCCTGTCCTCTGCAGAGATGAAAAAAAAAGCATTTCAAGAGCTGAATCAGGCACTTTGGCTGCTGATGCCACCAAAAAAGACAACAACAAGAACAAAAAAACTTTTTTATTTTTCCAGTAGTTTCTACCCTGCAGGTGGAAGAGCCTTTCCTACCAGAGAGGATGCTTATATCCCCCCGATGAAATTTCCTCAGCCTAACAGTATGTTTACTAAGAATGCTATCTTTAGGGCATTCTAAAGAAAGGCAAACTACAGTACCAGAAAGTGCCGCAGCTGAGATGTTTGCATGCGCCTCTAACTCAAGTCTGAAGGGTGAAGCTGAAGCATCGGCCGCAGCTGGAAGAATGGGGAGCAGAACACTGGCAGTGGGCAAAATGGTTATTCATTTCCTCTCTTGTGATCTTTCATCTTTCATTTTTGTGAATCTCAATGCATAGTTGAGACTTTTCCCAGATTCACAATCAACTCTGATTATCTGCCTCCTCTCTCCACTTTTCCCTTTTTAGTTTCTTGGATGCTGTTAGAGGAAAAAGATAAAAACTATCTGGCATGGAACATTCTTGCCTTTCTTCCTTTTTTTTTAGGTCACTTAGTATTTGTCTAAGATTTGAGAAAAAGAAGACAGTGAGACCAAAGGATAAAGAGAGGCAGAAAGTGTTGTTTCTCTTCAAATATGTTTTTCATCTCTGACCTCAGATAAAAACTTTGTAGTGCTTCCAGACATAATATTTACATAATTTTAAGCAGGTAGTGATTCTTTTGGTGACAAAATTATTATACAGTGTATATCCCTGCTTATGCTCTTATGGTTTCATAGCCTTTTATTTTCCTTGAGATTTAATATATGTGGACGATTTGGTCTGAGTGAACAGCCTAGCAACAGTTTGATTGCTTTAAGCTACTCATAAATTTTTGCTTACCTGAGCATCAACTCTTAAAGTCTCCATAATTATTCTAATCCTCTGTACGAAACAACAAGATTCACATAGTTGTTGAGGATTTCCTAAGTGCAGTATACTGAGAGGCACAGCTTGGGCTGCAGCCTCAGAGCTCCATAATCCTTGAGGCTAGTTTCTTCTTCATCCTGCACAGAGGTTTCCGATGGTCTGCTTCAAGTCTTACTCAGGGAAGAGATTTACCAATAAATGAAATATACATGGAAAGTTATGTGGCTAGATTTTGAAAAAAATAAAAAAGCTTCAAATTAGAGGGAGAGTGGATATATAAAATGATAGAATCACAATCCCTGCTGCCTTCAGCCCCCCAACTACAGATACTAAAAGGTACTGAGAAATGATAAACCACCAGGATGACCAGGCTAGCTCTAATATAAATACATGTGATGGGAATAATGTAAGATCCTACACCTGAATTCAAAACCAAAATGCACAAAGAACTGGGGGGGATATGACTTAGCAACAGCATGTGTGAAAGTGTCTTAGGCATTTAGTTGACAATCAACTCAGTGGGAGTTAACAGTAATGTGGCTGCCAAAAAAGGCTGATGGGCCCCGAGGCTGCATTAATAGAAGTGTTGTGCAAGAATAAGGGAGATAATGGTGCCACTCTGCCTGATGCTTTACACACAACACTTGAAGGGTGCAGTCAGCCCTATGGGCTCCACATGGACCCATTTGCAAGGAATAGTGACAGTTAAAGACAGTGTGCACTATAGCACAGCACGTAAGGAACAGTTGAGGGAACTGAGAAGGCTTACCTTTAGAAAAGTCTTGAGAAGGACATGGTGCCTTGAATAACAGACTTGGCAAAAAAAAAAAAAGGGGGGGTTAGAGTTACTCTGCATGATCAAGAAGAAAGAGAACCACATTGTAGAATCCTTGGAGGGATAAACTAGAAAAATAATATAGGCATGGATGTCAGACAGATCTAACATGGAACTCTGGCTTATAAAGCTACTCTATGAGTTTGAATAAGTTTATTTTCCTCTTCTTCACCTCTATTTTCATTTTAATAATATGAGGAAGATCTCTATAGTTTTGATATCAGGATTAGAAAAATGCACGAAAAATACATAGCTTAGTGCTTGTTGGAGTACATACTCAGAATCTACAACAGCTGTGATAAGAATCAGAGATATCTAGAGCATAATGGACAACATTGGGAAGAAATGAATGAAATTATCCTCACTAGAAATGTTGGTAATACTAATGGACCAAAGGACATATACAGTGTTGGAGGTGGATAGGTGATTAAATAGATGATGTATAGGGTTTTTGTTGTTGTTTTGTTTCTGTATCCTGAGAACTGATGAACATTTATTATGTAGTTGGATACATAGAAAAAGAACACATTAAAAGTAAAATGAAAACAAAGAGCAGTCAATCTATGAAGAAAATTATTTTTCCTCTTACATGTTTTGTAAATATTTAGAAAGATGATGATATTTTCTTTTAAAAACAGAAATCTTCGCTGGTCATGGTGGCTCACGCCTGTAATCCCAGCACTTTGAGAGGCTGAGGCAGGTGGATCACGAGGTCAGGAGATTGAGACCATCCTGGCTAACATGGTGAAACCCCATCTCTACTAAAAATACAAAAGTTAGCCAGGTGTGGTGGCTGGTGCCTGTAGTCCCAGCTACTTGGGAGGCTGAGGCAGGAGAATGGCTTGAACCAGGGAGGTGGAGGTTGAAGTGAGCCGAGATCATGCCACTGCACTCCAGCCTAGGCTACAGAGAGAGATTCCATCTCAAAAAATAAATAAATAAATGTAAATAAATAAATAAAAATAAAAAAAAAACAAATTTCTTGAAAGGACCGCGTTAGAAGGTATTAAAAGCATCATTGAGTAGGGAATGGTGTGGAGAGAGATGGGTTAAAATTATCCTGAATATTACAAAAGATTTTTTCTAAATTACCTGAATAGGCAATTTATTTTATAGTTCAAAAATGAGCTGGTCATCTAGTTGGAATCCTAATTATTTAATACTGAGGATAGAATTATTTGAGCTATGCTGAGAAGATTGTAAACATTGTTTTCTTTCATATAGCCTTGAGTCAGGTGACATGTAATAGGGCTTACACCATCACTGTCTACTTCCTCTCTTTATAATTAAGAACTTGAGCATGTATCTGGAGTAAAGTATATTTCAAGTACAGTCTCTTAAATTATGATTAAACACTACTTGTGGTATTAAAGTTTTCTCAGTTGATTTGTTGCAATTCTGATTACATCAAAATAAACTGTCCCACCAAACCCACTGCTATTCAGGAACACAATCTAGGCTCTGCAAATGACCTTCCTCAATGTTGAAGGCTAGTCATTAGGTAGAAACTGAAAATCTGAACCTAAGCCCTAATCACGGGCTCTCCTTCTTCTTTTTTTTTTTTTTTTTTTTTTTTTTTTTTTGTGAGACAGTGTCTTGCTCTGTTGCCCAGGGTGGAGTGCAGTGGCGTGACCTCATCTCACTGCAGCCTCCCCTTCCTGGGCTCAAGCGATCCTCCCATCTCAGCCTCCTGAGTAGCTGGGATTACAGGCATGTGCCACCATGGCTGGCTAATTTTTCTTCTTCTTCTTTTTTTAAATTGTTGTAAAGACGGGGTTTTGCCATGTTGCCCAGGCTGGTCTGAAACCCCTGGGCTCAAGCAATCCTCCTGCCAAAGTGCTGTGATTACAGGTGTGAGCCACCGCACCCAGCCTGGGCTCTCTATTTTTTTATGGTTTCTTTAAATATTAAAGAAATGTACATTCATAAGGACATATTTTGTATCTCTTTTGGTCATAAGTATATCCTAATAAATATTCATAGTAGGGCACATTAAATCTTCGTTTAATGTACCTAATCTTCCTTCCCCCGAAACAACTGTTTTGAAGTTAGGCTAAAGTGGTGTAAGTACTGGTGTTGGGGAACATTCATTCTAGATGACCTCACCTTCGGGTAGCTGAATACTCAGGCTTTGTGCTGTGTCAGTGAAGGAACCAGCGAAGATGAGGGGTCATACCAGAGCAATGAGTGCTGTAATGTGTCCATCACTGTGAGTATTGATTACCATTTCCTTTTCTGGATTCCAGGTAAACCTCAGGTTCTCCTCCTGCCTTTTGCTAAGTATATGTCTTGATGACAAGCCTTCTGCTGATGAGCTGTGTTTCTGGACCGATCATGGTAGAAGTCAATTAACGTGTCCCTCACTTGGGGTTTCTCAAGGGTATGTTACCACAAAGACTCTCATACACCCTTTTTTCTGATCTCCCTTTCCCATTCTACACTTGTGTGCTGAATCTGTTTAGCATTATAGTTAGTACACTTACACGTCCACTAAAAAGTGGAAATTAATTTAATTACCAATGAAGTAACAAGAATTTAGTTTGGCAATGGATTTCTTCTATAATCCAAAGCCAAGTTACCTTTCCACTCATGGTTCTAAAGATTACTCAACTGTGTAAATCATCTGTGCCACATGGAATAACTCAAAGTAAGTTCTTTCACCCCCTACTCATTCTAAGTACACCAAATAAAACTCTGCCTCTTTTGGAGAGTTCATACACTGTTCAGAGAAGGCTGTGAGGTATTTATGATATCTAATCCAGAAGGAACTCAAGTGATGTTTGTTTTAGAAATAGAAAGCAAAGAATGATTATGCTGCAAATATTATCATGAAGACATTTATAAATATATTACAAATGCATGTTTCCCGCCAAATAATTGACAAAACACTATTACTTGCCTTAAAAATAATGCACAATTAATGAATGCAAGAAATTAAACCTCCGTACCATGATTTTTATATTCAAATAATTTGCTTTTACCTGAAAATGAACATATTTGATGAATTACTGTAGAGGTGATGGAATCACTGTATAAACTTACTGCAAAAAGAAGATACTTTTCTCCTTCCATCTTTAACCTCTTAAAAAAATTCCTCTGGTGCAATGATTATAACATAAAATGAAACACTAATGAAAGCAAAAGAGCAGAAACCTAAACCAAGCAAGTTAATTCAAATATTTGCTTCACTTCAGTAACATAACATATCATTTATTGGGTCATGGTTTCACTTATGTAAAATGATGAGCATAGTGAAGATATATGTATGTGTGTATATATATATATACACACACAATTATTTAATATATGTATATACGTACTTATTTAATAAATAATGAGATAAATTTTAAAAATGTTGGAATAAAATAATACATAATGTATTTTAATTATATCTTTTTGGTTTTTAAATAAAACTGCAGATCTTTCAATATATTTTTTGATGTAAAATGTGAATAGAAATGTTCAAAAGATCATATCTGTATCTCCAGTGTGGGCAAGTTTCACTACTGGAAATGAGATTGTTGACTGAGAAAAAAAGAATGCTATTTCCCTTTCTGTAAACATATGATGCTGATATTTGATCATTACATTTTATTATTTTATAATAAAATAAAAATATTGAGTGATAATGATTTTTGTTATATTTTAAACTGATATATTCAGGTTTCATTCAAAGTAATGCACAAACATATTGCTACCATTTTTATTTAAATCCAATCTTTGAGCAGAATATATATATTGTTTTTCAAAGGCATTTGTTAATAGAGAGTAGAAAGACGATGTTATATATTGTTAAAAGTTTTTCCTAAGCTTGATTTTTAGAAAAGAGGAAGAAGAGAGGAGAAAAAAAAGAAGGAAAACAAACAGAAGAAGAAAATGAAGGCCGTAATTCTGCAACCTTGTACTACCCATACATTTGCTAATTTTTTTTGTTTCTGTTTCATGTGCTTTCCTCTTTGCTAATGGTCACATGCATTCATTGAACCCTTCAAAACTGCCACAAATATGATCTCAAGTTAAAGGAAATTTAAGTGCCTATTGGCTAATGAGTAGGGTTGAATTTTGTATGATGTCGCCATGTGTCTGGTATTCTGATGTGCCATAGTGAAATCTGATCCAGGTTGTTGCCTTTTAAATCAACACGTTGGACAATGACTGTTATATCCTCAAGGAACAGGAGTGTTAATGGCTAAGTACCACGGTAATTGCAGCACATACGGATAGAAGTTAGGCCTGGTGGAATTTAGGACTCATGGAATAGTGCTTTTAATAGGACTTAAAGTACAACTTGGAATATGGGAAGAACATATTCTATATTGTACATTGCAAATAATTAGGGATAAAGAGTATCATACTGCCGAACCCATTTTATCTTTAATTTTTTTTTTAAATTTTTTACAAAAAATTAGCCGGGTGTGGTGGCGGGCGCCTGTAGTCTCAGCTACTCAGAGACTGAGGCAGGAGAATGGCGTGAACCCGGGAGGAGGAGCTTGCAGTAAGCGGAGATCGCGCCACTGCACTACAGCCTGGGTGACAGAGTGAGACTCCGTCTCAAAAAAAAAAAAAAAAAAAAATTGTAATTTTTATGGGTATATAGTAGATGTATATATTTCTGGGGTATATGAGATATTTTCATACAGGCATGCAATGCATAACAATTACATCAGGATAAATGGGGTATTTATCACCTCGAGCATTTATCATTTTCTGTGTTACAAATATTCCAGTTATACTCTTTTAGTTATTTTTATATGTACAATAAGTTATTGTTGATTGTAGTCTCCCTGTTTTGCTATCAAATATTAGATCTTATTTATTCTAAGTGGTTTTTTTTGTACCCATTGACTGTACCCATTCTCCTCACCCCCCGTCTCCGACTATCTTTCCCAGCCTCTGCTAACCATAATTCTACTCTCTATGTCCAAGAGTTCAATTGTTTTAATTTCTAGCTCCTACAAGTTAAGAACATGCGAAGTTTGTTTTCTGTGCCTGGCTTATTTCACTTATCATGTCTTCTACTTTTATCCATGTTGTTACAAATAATAGAATCTCATTCCTTTTTTTTTTTTTGGCTGAATAGTACTCTATCGTGTATATGTACTGTATTTTTTTTTTTTTTTTTTTTTTTTTTTGAGAAGGAGTCTCACTCTGTCGTCCAGGCTGGAGTGCAGTGGCACAATCTCGGCTCACTGCAAGCTCTGCCTCCCAGGTTCACGCCATTCTCCTGCCTCAGTCTCCCAAGTAGGTGGGTAGGTGGGATTACAGGCACACGCCACTACGCCCAGCTAATTTTTTTTTTTTTTTTTTTAGTGGAGACAGGGCTTCATCGTGTTAGCCAGGATGGTCTCGATCTCCTGACCTTGTGATCCACCCGCCTTGGCCTCCCAAGGTGCTGGTATTACAGGCATGAGTCACCGCGCCCGGCCTGTATTTTCTTTATCCATTTGCCTGTTGATGGACACTTAGGTTGTTTCTAAATCTTGGCTATTTTGAGTAGTGCTGCAATAAACATGGGAGTGCAGATATCTCTTTGATGCACTAATTTCCTTTCTTTTGGGGTATATATCTAGCAGTGGGATTGCTGGATCATGTGGTAGTTTTATTTTTAGTTTTTTGAGAACCTTCTGTACTGTTCTCTATGGTGGCTGTTGTAATTTGGATTCCCACCAACAGTGTATGAGAGTTCCATTTCTCCACATCCTTGCCAGTATTCATTATTGTCTGTCTTTTGGATCAAAGCCATTTTACCTTGAGTGAGATGATATCTTCTTGTTTTGATTTGCGTTTCTCTGATGATCAATGAGGTTGAGCACCTTTTCATGTATCTTTTTGCCATTTGTATGTCTTCTTCTGAAAACTCTCTTTTCAAATCTTTTGCCCATATTTAAATAGGATTATTATAATTTTTTCCTATTGAGTTGTTTGAGCTCCCTATATATTCTGATTATTAATCCCTGGTCAGACGGATAGTTTGCAGACATTTTCTCCCATTCTATGGATTGTCTCTTTTTGTTGATTGTTTCCATTGCTGTGCATAAGATTTTTAACTTGATGTGATCCCATTTGTCTATTTTTGCTTTGGTTGCCTGTGCTTGTGAAGTATTACTTAAGAAATTTTTTCCCAATCCAATGTCCTAGAGAGTTTCTCCAGTGTTTTCTTTTCATAGTTTCCTAGTTTATGATTTCAGATTAAGTCTTTTAATCCATCTTGATTTGATTTATGTAGATGGGAAAATAGGGGTCTTAGTTTCATTCTTCTGCATATGGATATCCACTTTTCCCAGTATCATTCATTGAAGAGACTGTCCTTCCCCAATGTATTTCTTGGCGTATTTGTTGAAAATGAGTTTGTTGTAGTTGTATGGATTTATTTCTGGTTTCTCTATTCTGTTCCATTGGTGCTCAGCCCTTTTTCTTATAAATAAATGCCTTAAAACCCATCAAACGAAAAAGAAACCCTTTAAGTGTATACAACTATCTATCAACCATATAAGGAGCATAGCTGGAGAGGAAAACAAATCATGACACAATCCCTCTCCACAAAAGGTTTACAGTTTACTAGGGAAAAAGAAGAAAAAAATAAACTCTCTGCCTCTCTCTCTCTCTCTCTCTCTATATATATATATATAAAATATATGATATATATATGTGTGTACATATATGTATGTACATAAATATGTGTGTATATATATGTATATATGTATATGTACATCTCTCTATATACAATACACACATGTAAAATCAGTTTATGTGATATGATATAGGCAATACGTTTTATTAGAACTTAACATTGAATCATGTGCAGTGAAATACAGGTGATCCCTAACATTAAATCATGTGCATTGAAATGCAGATGATCCCTAATTTATGATGATTTGACACACCATTTTTCAACTTTATGATGGTGCAAAAGCCATATACATCTAGTAGAAATCATAATTCGGTACAGTATTCAATATATTTCATAAGATATTCAATACTTTATTATAAAATAGGCTTCGTGTTATATTATTTTGGCCAACTGTAGGCTAATGCTCATGTTCTGAGCACATTTAAAATAGGGTAGGCTATGATGTTAGGTAGACTAGCTGTATTAAATGCATTTTAAACTTATGCTATTTTCAATTTATTATGGGTTTTTTGGGACATAGCCCTATTGTAAGTCAAGGAGCAACTGCAGTTCTGTTGAAGAGGTAGATTTGCAACCAGATCTTTGGAGAGGAATAGAATTCAAATAGGAGAAAGAGGAAGAGAAGGAAAGTAATAAACATTACTATCGGAGCACCACCAATACAGTATAAAATAGAGCCATAGGCCTTTTTGGAAAAGGATGAAGCATAGATCTGGCCATGATTACCTATGGAACTATGCTTGGCAGGAGGGTAACAGGGAGGATTTATGCTGGTGGAATTAAGAGGGATAAAGACAGAATTCTGAAAAAAACATCCCTGAATACACTCTAGCCCTTGATCAGGAATAATAGGTATAGATCCTACTCTGTTTTCCCATCTTTTTAGTACGGGAAGGCAAAGTAATATTTTCCTATCCAAGAACAACTGCATTCACATTTAAAAGTGCTTCTTGTTTAGGTATCATCTTACCTTTATGAGATTTCACATCGTTATGATAGATTTTGGATAATGAAGTTAGGAAAAGAGATGTCATTTTAAAGTAGAAGTGTTTATGTCAGTCAGCGCTGCACGTACTGTATTATTACATGTGTATAACAAAGTTCTCAGTAGCAACTGTAACAGTTCAGGTTGCTATTCATAGATACATTCACTTTATTTCACCAGCTTTTAGCTTTCTTCAAATGTTTACATGAAGGTGGGGTAGGAGACAGGAGAATAATGTGGCTGTGATTATGAGGCTTTCTGCAACATAATAAACCAAAACAGTAATGCAGAAATGATTTGAAAACAAATCCCTGGGTTTAAACCTACGCACCAGAAGAAAGAAGAGGGTCTGGTGATCTGAAAACAAAAATACCCAGCATAGAAATATAGACCACAGACATATCCCCTAAAGCAAAGAACTCAAGAGGACATTTGCTTGGTGGTTACAGCTTTGGAGCCAAACGGCCTGGATGTAGATCCTGGGGTCATCATTTGCTATCTGTGCAACTTGGGAAAATTGCTTCACTTCTACAGGCCCCAATTTTCCCATCATAACCTGCCTCATAAAGTTGAAATGAGGGATGAAAGAGTTACCATTTGTTAAAATCTGAGAACAGTGCTCAGCAGGTGTCACTCAAATAGTGGGAGCATGTACAGATGCTCCTTGACTTACGATGGGGTTATGCACCAATAGACCCATTGTGAGTTGAAAATATGGTAAGTCAAAATGCACTTAATAACACCTAATGTACCACCTAATGTATCACAGCTTAACCTAGTCTACCTTAAACCTGCTCAGAACACTTACATTAGCTTGCAGTTAAACAAAATTATCTAACACAAAGCCTATTTTATAATAAAGTGTTGAATATCTCATGTAATTTTAAAAATACTGAGCTGAAGGTGAAAAATTGAATGATTATATGGTACTTAAAGTATGTGTATCACAAAAGTGATGCATGTTCAGTAGAAATGAATGTGTAAAGTCATAGAAATCATAAAGTCGAAAAATTATGCATCAAACCATCATACATATGGGACTGTCTGTAATGTATCATCCAAAGCAGAACACTTTTAATAGAAAAAGGGGGTGCTAAAAGCATTAAAGTTTATATGATATTTTGAAATGTTTATTTATTGATCACAAAAGGTCTATGTATAAACTAATATTAGCTTATTCAAAAAATATTTTCAAAAGGAAAACTTTTTAAATATAATATATATTCATAACCATTAAAACAAAATATTTTATTTATTGAATATTATGAAGAAATAAAAATAGAACAATCATTTCTGGTATATTTTCATGAACCTTAGTCCATTTTCTTTTTTAAACTTTTATTTTAGTCTCTCTCTGTCACTCAGGCTGGAGTGCAATCACACAATCATGGCTCATTGCAGCCTCAAACTCTTGGGCTCAAGCAATCCTCGCTCTTCAGCCTCTAAGCAGCTGGGACTATAAGCATGCACCACCACGCCTGGCTAAGTTGTTTTATTATTTTTGTACAGACAAGGTCTTATTATGTTGCCCAGACTAGTCTCCAACTCCTGGCCTCAAGTGATCTCCCTGTCTCAGCCTCCCAAAGTGCTGGGATTAAAGGTGTGAGCTACCATGCCTGGCTAATTATTTTTTTGTTTGTTTGTTTGTGTCTGTGTCTAATATTGTGTTACTGGTTTTGGTCCCTAAAACAAAAAAACTCTGTTTCTCTGTGTTTTTATTTTTAATCTTTTTGAAACAACTTTATTAGGGTATAATTTATGTGCCCTAAAATTTACCCATTTTAGTATACAAATTAATGTTTTTAAATAGATTTACAAAGTCGTGCTAACATCTTCATAAAGGCTTTCATTTTTTTAAGTTTTTCATAAAATTGCCTGCAAAGTTCTTCCAAGTTTCTTTTCATGGTTAGTTAACTTGAACATATTAATACCTTTAACTGACTCTTCTTTATGGGCCATAATATTTTAAATGAGGAAATTATCAGTTAACAGGTAATGAAGTGCTTGGTAAGTAGAATTTAGTAGCAAATTCTGCTAAAGAGTGGATATTCTGACTTCTAATTTTCTTAAGTATAAAAATATGCACATAAAAGCAGGACAAAGAGTGAGTAGTGAATTGTGGGGTTGGCAGGCAGGATGTAGTATTAAAGTAGTGTCAATTTTAAAAATCAAGTAACACATAACCACTAAACTGGTTCTATGCCAGCATCAGTTTATAACACTGTAATGCCACATATCTAATTTTAAATTTTTTAGTAGCCACATTAAAAATATAAAATTAAGCAAAAAATAGTAAAAATATGAATGTGATTCCACCTAAATATTTTCACAGGTACTGACTTTTTGCTTCATTTGCATTCACTTTTGCCAATGCATAACTATTTTTATAAGATGCCACTTTTCAGGAAAACAAAGTTGTCATGATTAAATTTTCAAGATCTTTTACAGGACAATTTTAGAATTTAAAAGGTAAATATTGAACACTATTTGAGCATTCATTGTTTAAATTTCTCAGTTTTCCCTTTGTCATTACAAGTATAAATTTTAATTCTTTTTTGTTTGCGAGGCTTGTTTTTCATTATCCTATATTACAAAACTGATCATTCAAAATGACAATTTCTGGGGCCTCATTTAAAAAAATACTTTAGGGAGGACTTCCAAATGATTACTAAGAGTAATATAAAATTATAAAAGTTTTAATACTATTTTAGAATATTTAGGTTTTCTTATAAAGCAGCTTTTCAAAGGCTCAAACATTTTTAAAATCGATTTGTTGATGGACAATGAAAAAAATTTATTGCTATTTTTTATATAAAATTATCGTTACTCATCTGCTTCATCCAAAAAATTCTGTATTTTAGTTAGTCCTGAGGTGTAGAAATTTTTAAAAATTATAAATTCTGACTACAGATACTTCTATTTCAATTGGAGATTTTCATAGTTTGGAAACAAAATTATAAATTATGTATGCAACCTAGCCAATTCAAGTGTATTTCTGTTCCAAATGTTTCTTAATTTAGTAAGAGTATTTTTTAAATGATAATTTCCTTTACCAATATTTATATTTATGTTATAATTACAGAACAATTTTATTTTTAATTTTAACTTTTAATTTTAATTTTTAATTTTGATTCATTTTAGCAAAGCGAACTACTCTAAACTTCCCTTTGATTTTATAAATTGGATGAAAATACTGATTATGGGAATTAACTTGTCCTTTTGAAGGATCTTTCTTCATATATATACATACATAATATTTTCCTACTGTAGTGCTTGTTGAATTTATTACCCATGTACTATATTTAAGGCATTCTAAAAATGCTTGTCCCAAAGGCAGTCAAAGATGGCTTTTTAGAGGATGCAATGCCTAAGCTAAGTCTTTTTTTGTTTCTCTGAAGGATCTAATCAAAAGAATACAAAACTACCATCATTTCACCATTTACAAAGTTCTTCTGTTAATAGAGCCAATACATCAGCAGATATCATTTCCACTTTTGTATGTACATAAGAAAATTTGGTCTGAAACCTGAGCAAAATTAATGAAAAATATTAATTTGAACTAAATGGAAATCATTGCTTTTATAATGATATGCAAACCTGTCTTCTTTAGTTATATTTGTTAAATTTTTGTCTTTGGCACAGTCATCTATGAACTGACTCTGTCTCAAAAAAAAAAAGAAAAAAAAGAAAAGAAAGAATGAAAAAAAAAACTAGGACATGGCTAACAGGAATGGGGACAAAGAATGTAAGTTTGGCATCCCCAAGCAAATCTGATAATATAATCCCCCCTACATAAAAGTCACTATTTTTTCTTACTGTCTGTGCATAGATTAACTGAAACATGCATGGGTCAATCTAAGGAAAGAAAGAGCACAGTCTGGGTGTGGTAGCACACGCCTGTAATCCCAGCACTTTGGGAGGCTGAGGTGAGACAAGAGGATTTCTTGAACCCAGGAGTTTGAGACCAGCCTGGGCAACATAGGATGACCCCATCTCTTAAAAAAAAAAAAAAAAAAGAAAAAGAAAAAAAGAAATTATCCGGGCATGTTAGTGTGGCCCTGTGGTTCTATGTACTCGATGGGGTGAGGTGGGAGAATCACTTTAGCCTGGAGGCTGAGGCTGCAGTGAGCTATGATCACACCACTGTACTCCAGCCTGGGTGACAGAGCAAGACTACCTAGACAAAAGAAAAAAGAATGATCACAAATTACATTAATCATGCATGCATTTTCATGTAACATATTTTAATGCTGGTTTGCCTGTGTGTGGGCAAATACCAAATTTGGGGCTGGCATGACTCTCTCCACATAGTCTAACCTGTCTCCTTCCCTAGCCACTTACTCTTCTTCATTCCATTAGCTGAGAATGCAATTAAGCATTAAGTCTGAATATTTTGTGGTTTTTAAGCATGCCTATTTAGAAGAGACCTAAGAGCTCTACCTTTTTGCTATCTGATGCTACATATAGGGGAAAACAAGCAGATGTTGCTGACAGTGTCAATTAAGGAGTTAATAAGCAAGGAAAGTCCGTCTGTGGCAAATCTGGGTTGAACATCATAGGATCACATTAAGTAATATTTGTTGAGCACTGCTATAAATGAGGCATTATCCAGTTGTTCTGATACAGTGGCCCTGGGTCAGTCCTGTCATCTCTTCAACTGCATTTTCTCTTCTCTTAGACATGCAAGGTCCTCATGATTGTCTCAAAACTATATAGAATTGAGAAGGTGAGCAGACATGAGTACATTTAGAGAAAAACATGGCTTGGTCCTAATAAATGTTTAGTGAGCTTGACCATTAATATCTTTAACATTTTTTTCTTTCTTTTTATTCCCAGCTGCACTGATGAGGAAACTGAAACAGAAAATCCAGAGTAAATTCCACCAGGCCACACAGCAAGGTCTGATAGAGCCAGGAGAGACTTTATGAAATCCAGACTCTCACACTAATGCTCTATCAGCTAGACCTCCATGTGAGTCTCCCCAATGTAGGTAGGAAGTGCTTTCCCTAAAATGCTCATAAAGCAAATCAGAGCAATGCTGCATTCCATGTGATTTCTAATTTGAAATGCAAACAATTGCCAATTTGTTTGACTTGTATTTATAATTATTTCCTTGTGAATTACTCATCACTAAATGCTTTATAAATATTTTCTCTTTTTTTCCTCAATGTCTATGGAATGATCACAGCATAGAAAATGTTGGCTTTCAAGGATTTATTAATATCTCCTTTTGAAATAACATGTATTTGTAAGACAGAATAAAATCACTTTAAAGAAACAAATCTTGAATTTGATTTCCCGTTCAGACAATGACTTATTTGATGTCCTTAATAAGATGAACTACATAGTGACTTTTATTTAAAGGATCCATTATATAAGAAGTAGAAAAGTAAATATGCACACTTAGATGAGCACGGCCTTGCCAACAGCTCCTTCTGATAGATTTTTAGACTTTACTAAGTTTGTGTAAGCCGAAGGCATCACACTGTATGCATTACTGAATCTAATTTCACTTTTGCCAATAACAAAAAAAAACAAGCTAGTGGCATAATATGGCAGTATGCATCATATGCTTACCATAATCTCAAAATTTAACTCTTTGTAAAGAACTGAGCCAATTATTTCTGTCTTTTTGAGCATGAAACCTAATTTAAAGCATTTTTCTAGATGATAAAATAAATACTCCTTTACTCAGAAACTTAACAAATCCAGAATAGAATACAGAACTCAGTAGCTAGATTCAGAATATTGTTCATACTATTTGCTTGGAATCACATCAATATCACGTGATTTTCAAGGAAGAAAAATAAACAGTAGTTCCCCGCTTTTTTGGTCCTGGTTGCTCCCAACTGGCAATAGCGTATGTGTGTTTTAGTCTGTGCTTTGCAAAACTTGATGTGAATTCAAACCAGCACAAATATTAAAAAGTGCAATTTCCACTTTTGAAAACAAAATTTAGAAATTGTTAAATATTAGCAATTTGTTTAAGCAAGGGAGGAAAAGGAACCATTAGAAGAAATTCAGAGGCATTAAAAGGGTCACAAGGATTGACTTATGAGATCAAACAAACAAAAAAAAACACACAATGCTAGATCTGTTGCTGGACAAAACCATGGTAAGCCAAAGCTCTAATAGTGATATATACAGTCTGGGGAAAGCAACTTCACATTTTGGTGTAATTGAGGGAGGAAAATGACCCAGTTCTACTTGCTAATAATAAGTATCATTAGGTAAAGGATATAGTAATTGAAAGGCAACTCCTCAGATTTAAATATTATTTAAAGTATCTTTAAGCAAGTAGATAAGTATAGCAACAATCAAAAATGCTTATTCAACTCAATTCCTACTTTCCCTTCCCAAATCTTAAAATTGATAAAAAACAAACACACAAACAAAAACAAAACAAAACAAAACAAAAACAAAAACCAGAGAAAGAGAGAGCTAGTTGGATACCAATGTCTGAACTCCATACCCCAACAGGGACCTCGTTTTGTATGACTGCCACAGAAACGAGCACAGAGAGGGGCAAGATAATGTAAGGAACAGGGTAGGGGAGGAAAAAATGGCCGTTTTAAAAGGAATGACAAGGTTGGGTGAAACATAAAAAGCCACTCCATAGCCAAGAGAGATTAAAAAGAGCTCAAGAGGGTCATGTTGCTTCCCATTTCCCCTTACCTGATTCTTGCTGCCACTCCATTGGTTAAGTTTTACAGGTTGCAGTAACTGGCAAGGAAGAGGTGTGCCTCTCAGCTGTTCACAATGCAGAATCTTGAAAAGGTCAACATAGTAGCAGTATGACAGGCCATGTAAGTCATTATGTGCTTTATAATTCATTTGTAAGTAGAATGAGAACTGGAGCAAATTAAATGTAAACTCTGCCATAGGACCTCTAAAAACATGTTAGTCATATGGAAAGCTAGGTTTTGTTTTCTATCTAGAAAGACAAACAAATATTTCTTCACAAATGTGTTACTTTCCTGAGGAGAGCAGAAATGGGAGATAAATCCATTTGCTGCAAAGTGGTTTAAAGAAAATATATTGGCAGCAGGAGGAAGGTGGTTTAGGGAGATGATATGTAATAGAATACATATACAAGTACTATGAGCGTTGAGATTCAGGTTAGTGCTAATTAGACATTTCCTGATCAGTGAAAATCGTAAGACTTTCAAAGTCCTGTATTTTAAGAAATAGTAAAATCTATCAGGTAAGATAATATATTTATGACTTACCGCAGTATTTTTGTGATGGTTCTGTTCTTTGTGAAGCCTTATTTTGCATTGAAATTGGCACAATTTTACACCGTTAACCAAATTTTCTTTTAATGGAAACTCACACACACATAGCACATTCTTTAGTACTAAGATGCTAAAGTTGCTGAACATGCTACAGGTGATTATGAGGCAGTAGTGAAAGAGTTAATTATCCATCATTCCTCCCCCCTACCCTAGACATCCCACTGTGCCTCTGTTATAGACTTAGGCACAGTTCCTAATGGCAAAATCTATTAGAATGCACAATATTCTCCCAAGGGAGCTGGTGGAAGTTCTGTCACTTGAGACATTTAAAACTACACTGGGTAAAGCACTAGAGAGCTGTGAGTGCATGTGTTCCAACCCTCAGGACAGAAATCATGACCTAATGGGTGATTTCTATCCCTTAATGTCTCTGATTCGCTGGGTGTTTTAATAGCTCCCTCATATTTAAGTAGATGACCAACGGTCTATTTTTTTTTAATGGAACTTGAGTTTGGTCTGTAAAGTGTCAAGACAGAGGTGACAAAACAAACCACAGGGGAATGGAGGAAGCCTCGTGGAAATTTAGTTGGTTTGAAGGAGGGTTGAGCAAACACAACAGTGTATTCGGGTTTAGCAAATGCCTTGACTTCTTTTTTTTTTTTTTTCAAATGTTTTCAGTTCAAGGAAACCCAAAACACATTTGGCTAAACAGTTTTTCCTTAATTTTCAAACCCATGTGTATTTCAAGGGAAATTTAATCCATGTGTTTCTGATTCATTTACACTTAGCTCATCAAAATGTGGTTTCATAAGACCCATTTGATGTCTAAGAAGCCTTGTGAGCTTTTTTTTTTACAAGCTTTTTTTCTTTGAACCAGGAAGTTACATTTTGCCAAGAGTCAATGGAACTTCAACCAGAAAAGAATCAGTTTTGTTTGGGATCTTGGAATCCTCAAAGTTGGTGGGAGCTAATGAGCCGGGAGGGGAGGGGAGGAGAAGCTGATTCAGAGAGCAGGAACCTTCCCATTTCTAATATGTTATCTGTTCAGATAACTTGAAAATCTAATTTTCTCTCAGTTTATAGTAGAAAATTCATCTTCAATTTTTGAAAATCTTGTGGAAAACATGAGCATGAATTTTATTACAGGGTCCAATGCTGTCACATGATCTGATAATCATCCACTAGTGAGTCTGTGGGTGATGAGTATCAGAGCAGTAATGACATACTTATCTTAGAGGCAATTATTAAGAAGTGACTCACAAAAGTGTTTAGATTGGCCATTTTTTTAATATTTAAAAAAGCTTCCTCTGCCTGGTTGTTGTCGCTCTGTGCACAACACTACTGGTTATTTAAGAAACAAGACAAATAAGACTCAGTGAATGTGCTGATTCAGGTGCACACAATCCCCTATCTCATTGCTGGTGTTGCTAAAGAGCATCTGGGGTAAGGAAACATGCATCCGGTCCATCCGTCAAGAGTCCATGAGAAAGCCAACAATGTTTGCACCTGCAGGATGAATTACATCTTTGGTGAGTGTGGGAAGCTACATAATGAGACAGCTGAGTGGCTGACATTTCTTTTTTCTTGCTCCTTCTGCACCTTCTTTTTGCACTACCTTCATTTTTCCCACTTCCTCTCCCTTTTCCCCACCTTTATACAATCACCACCAATAATGGAGCAAATGTGGCACATCCATCCAAGGATGGGTTGACATGGTTTACACATTGCTTTCATTTGGTTGTTCTTTGGATGAATTCTTCCTTGAGAACAAGATAATGAAAACCATACGGTCATTGAGCACACAATCTGCCTTCACTTTGGCTGTTCCCTCGCAGCCCGTTTCATTTTATAAAGCCTGGTCCCTGAGTTTACGCCAGTAGAAGATCCCAAGCAGGTGGAATCCTGCCCCCTATGGGCTTGCAGAATTCAGCAAACACTGTCAGTTTAGCTCTTGCCTGTCACCCATACATCAGAGAACTTATTTGAATGGAACATCTCTTGCTAGTCTGGTAAAGGTTTAGAAACTTGGCCTTCTAAGTATTCATGTAAGTTCTGTTCTGGGACCTTCATTGTAGGAACTGAAAATGAAAGAACCAAAATAGATATCAACAGATAATTAAAGGAACGTTTGGAAGTTTTTTACCTCATGCAAACCTCAAACTCTGAACCACTACTGCCTAAAGGAAATAAATACTGTGTTATGGTGAGTGAAGGTAAAGGTGTACTTTATTTCTTGGATGAGTTTTGACAGTGTAAAACAAAATGATAAGTTTTTAACTATGGCAGAAAGTTCAGACAACAGGTGTGAGGGAAAAGAATTATTCATTGATTCAAAGTCCCATACAAGTGAGTGAAATGGCTAAAAGCAATAAAATTACAGATGACGTCTTTGGAATTTAAACAAAAGAAGTTTATTTTCACTTTCTAATTTGTAGCTTGCTTTTATAGACACCAAAGAAACATCACAGAAATATTAAATTATTCTCTGAAAATACAAAGATAAAAACTATTGAGGTTTAAGATAGAAGATATTTTCTCTTAAAATTGGCTATGATACTTCTACACTGATAGAACTTATGAAAATAGCCAATCTATTATGACTAATTTAATTTTCTTTCCCAAAGATACATAATTCAGAATAAAAACCGTAATCAATGCCCAAAACACAAATCTCATACATCTTGCTAATGCTGGAGAAATAGTGTCAAGTTCTTTTTCAGTACAAATATATGCAGTACTTTTACTATGTTTTGTTTTTAATTCTCAGAAATCCTTATTATTAATCAAGCAAAACAAGCTTTTTATAATATAGAATTATCCTTCCGCTGTAAGAGTAGAAGCAAAGTAATTCAAAGTAAAATATGAAAAGTGCTATAATTTAGTAAGAGATGGAAAGAAATTTAGAATAATTTTGTTCAAACTCATAATTTTATGATTGAAGAAACAAAAATCCAGAGTGTTTAGGAGTTTGTTCAAAGTTCAAAACCTGGAATCTCTAAGGTTGGATATCAGAAGTCAGCTCTAAATACAAGTTCAGTGCTATTTTAACAATCAATAAAATTTCTAAGAGCAATATATTCCTGAGATGGAACACATCAGAAAAGACTATAGGGATTCTTTGAATTTGGAAAGTTCTTACTAGGTAGAAATTCCAATAAATACAACAGATTAAAATGGAACTCATTCACTGAGGTGGAGTTGGAAACCCTAGGGTCTCATTTGTTAGCTCCTCTCACCCACTCCTTCTGAGGGCCCTCTGAATACCTTGTAAAAACTCCAAGAGTTTCTTAGGACACTGTCTTAAAACCACCAATAATATTCCCAGTTGTGGTGAGTAGACTCAAAAGTGACCCCAATGACCCTACAAAGTACCACAGACTGGGTGGCTGAAACAACAGACATTTATTTTCTCATGAGTCTGGAGGTTAGAAGTTTGAGATCAAGGTGTCAGCAGAGTTGGCTTCTGAGGCCTCTCTCCTTGGCTTGTTGATGGCCATCTTCTCTCTGTGTCTTCACATGGTCTTCCTTCTGCACTTGTCTGTCTCTTAATTTCTTCTTGTAAGAACACCCATCATTGCATTAGGGCCTGCCCTAGTGACCCCATTTTAACTTAATTATCTGTTTAAAGACTTTATGTCTGAGTTTAATTAAGCTAATACAACAAAATACCTTAGACTGGGTAATTTATAAACATCAGAAACTTATTGCTCATAATTCTAGACACTGGGAAGTCCAAAATGAAGGCACCAGCAGAGTCAGTGTCTGGTGATGGCTCACTCTGCTTCAAAGATGATGCCTTCTCAAGTGTCCTCACAAGGTGAAAGGGTGAGGCATCTCTCTGGGGTCTCTTTTATCAGGACAGCAATCTCATTCACAACAGCAGAGCCCTCATGACCTAATCATCTCCCAAAGGTCCCACCCCCTAATATCATCACCTTGGTGAGTAGGTTTCAATATATGAATGTTGTGGGTATGCAAACATTCAGATGATAGTACCTTATCTCTAAATACAGTTACATTCTGGGGTACAGTGGGCTTTGACATATAAATTTGTGGGTTGTGGGGAAGCGGGCATTTTTCAGCTCCTAACACTCACCTTTCTATATTATCCCTTTGTATCATACCCTCCCCTTGGGTGGGAAATTTGACTTGATTCTAATCTATAGAATATGACAAAAGTGATAGGAGTCACTTTATCACTTCATGATTATGTCACATGATAAAATAACCTGTCTTGTTCTAGAGATTTTCTGTCTCTCTTATAGACTTTGAAAAAGTGAAGTGGCCATGTTAGGAGGCCCAGATGGTAAGGAGCTGAGGGAGGCCTCCAGGAAATGGCCAGCAAGAAGCCGGCTCCCTCAGCCTTGTAGCTACAAGAAAATGAATTCTGCCAGCAATCTGAGTGAACTTGGAAGCTGATTCTTCCTCTGTCAAGCCTCCAGATGAGAATCTCAGTCACAGCCAACACCTTGACTGCAGTCCTTAGCAGAGGACTCTGCCAAGCTGTGCCAGGACTCCTGACCTGCAGAAATTGTGAGGTAAGACATATGCATTGTTTTAGGACACTAAGGTTGTGATAATTTGTTACTAGTATGGAAAACTAATACCTAAACTCTCAGAGTGGTTTTGGAACCAGGCTGTGGGTGCAGGCAGGGGAAATTTTGAGAAACACGATAGAAAATGCCTAGATAGGGCTGGGCGCAGTGGCTCACGACTGTAATCCCAGCACTTTAGGAGGCGGAGGTGGGCGGATTGCCTGAGCTCAGGAATTTGAGACCAGCCTGACCAACCCAGTGAAACCCCGTTTCTACTAAAATACAAAAAATTAGCCGGGAGTGGCAGTGTGCGCCTCTAGTCCCAGCTACTCGGGAGGCTGCAGCAGGAGAATTGCTTGAACCCTGGAGGCGGAGGTTGCAGTGAGCCGAGATTGCACCACTGCACTCCAGCCTGGGAGACAGAGCAAGACTCTGTCTCAAAAAAAAAAAAAATGATAATAATAATAAAATAAATAATAAATAAAAATAAAAAAATAAAGTAAAAAGAAAATGCCTAGTCTTGATAAGATTGTTAGCAGAAACCTGGATATTAAGGACACTGTCAATGAGAGCTGAAAAATGAAGTGATGAGCATGTTATTGAAAATTGGAGGAAGAAGGATCTTTGTCATAGAGTGGCAGAAAAATTAGCAAAATTGTCTCCTACGGTTACACGGAAAGCAGAACTTGTTAGTGATGCATGTGGTCATATAGCTGATTTCCAAGCTAAGTGTTGAAGGTGCTGCCTTGTTTATTCTTGCTGATTATAGTAAAATGTGAGAGAAGAGAGATAAATTGAGGACAGAACTACTAAAAAAAGGAACCAGGACTTGATGATTTTGAAAATTCTCAGTCTCTCCAGATGGCAAAAAAAAAAAAAAAAATTAAAATTAAGGGATTTGCTGTCAAGAAAGCTTGCTCTGGAGAGAAAGCAGAGGATGTGACTCTACAGTCTTTTACTAAAGCCTCGGAAAGATTAAAAGGTTAGGGTATTCAGTAACGCAAAGGGCTCTTTCAAGAGATTAAGGCTGTGCCTCACAGATTCTCCCAGTCAAACCGTAAAGGTTCCACTGAGTAAATGGTGGTGTGCTTTAGTCATTTTAGCAGGATGCCAAAGAAGAGAAGGGATTTACTCAAAAAGATCTGTGGGCCTGGCTTTTGTCTAATGGAATGAACCCCTTTAAAATCCACAGGAGACCCACAAAGTACTTAAGATAATTGTTTCAATGAAGGTGCTACCAGCTTGGACTAAAAAGGACAGAGTACATGTGAAAGGAGGCTGTCAAACTCCCAAAATTCTACTGGCAGGAAATACTGATAAAACTACTCAGCTGCTACCTTTTATGAAAAAGGAAGGGTGACTCAGAAAGCAGAACCAAGAACTAAGAAGGCGGAGCCTAGAGCCGCATGGAATTATCCTTATGTCTTGAAACCTCTTCCAGAAATCAAACCTTTGCCTGGCTGGATATCACGGCTGCCATGGAGCAGTGACTTCCTTTTATCTTTCATTTCCCCCCTTTTTGAACTGGACTGTCTATAGATGTTATTTTTGGTCTGTCCCACGAATTTATATTGAGTTTGTTGAAGGCAGATAACTTGTGTCTTTAGTTTCACAGGATCACAGATGGAGAGGAATCGTGCCTCAGGAGCTAGCTATACTTAACAGATTATCGCCAGAAACCTCATTTTTACCTAGACCTGATTTAAATGATGAGATTTTGAATGTTGAGCTGGTTCTATAATGGGATGAGACTCAGGAAATTTGGGAGGGGGTGAATTTATTTTGCATGTGAGAGAGACATTAATCGTTGGTGGCTGGAGAGTAGACTGCAGTAGACAGAAGCTAAAATGGCCCTGAAGGTCTTCACTTTCATGCCCCTGTATAATCCCTTCCCTTAGAGTGTGGGTAGGGCCTGTAATTTGCTTCTAATTAATAGAATATATACAAGGTTATAGAACATCACTCCCAAGATAATGTTACATTATATAGGAACTGTCTTGCTGGAAATCTCTCTATGATGCTGATTTTGCATAAACACGCTGCCGTGAGTCTTAGAGTCACATGAAAATGAATTCTTTCAACATCTTCAATCAAGTTCTACGTGGGCCTGTCCTCAGGCAAGCCTCTAGATTAGAAATACCTGTTTGTTTGTTAATCTCTTTTTGTGTCCTCTCACCTATACATGGACATGTTGTCTTCAAGGTCAAGAGTTTGTAAGCTTCTGAAATTAGAGGTTATGGCAGTCATCTCTACTGTCTCCTGACACTTCCTGGGGTAGGACTGGTACTCAGATGCATGAGTAAATGAAAGTCAGGGTTAACTTCTTCAAAAACCCAAATCTTTTTTCTCTACTAAGCAAGTTAGTTTATTCTTTACACTGGCTCTTTTCAAGCTTATAAGATGGGTGCCCTAGATCCAGATATACAATAAAGATAAAATGATGTAGAGCAGAAAATGAGAAACTATTTCTATTTACTGTTTCTTTTTATCAGTAAGGAAACATTTCCCAGAGACCCCTAAGATAATCCTTTCATATATCTCATTGGCCAGTCCTGGGTCACATGCCCACCATATAATTATTCCCTGGCAAGCAGATTGGTAAAACAATCGCAACCTGCTAAGACCAGCGATGATTTTTCTGAGTTGCTGGGGAAGAAGTGGACACACGTTAACAAAATTTAGATCTAACAACATGAGGAAAAAGGGGAATTTGCTGTTGCTTGGACAAACAATAGTATCTTCTTCAAGAACATAGCACAATTTTACAAATAATTGTATTATAAAATCACTGAAAAATCCATAAATATTTATTGAGCAACTCCTATGGGTAGTATTCTGGGAGCTAGAGGTGCAATAGTGAAAAGTAGAGTTTCTTTTTCCTACTTCAAATGAGTAATGTCACATGCTGATAGTATAAAAGATAAAATTCATAATGGTAAAGAGTGACTTGGTGAGGGTGTGGCAGGGCTGTTTTATGTACCCTGGCTATGTGTACATCCATGGAAGAATTGCAGGTAACACAACTGACCTGAATTCACACTTAACTAAATAAAGAGATACCCCATTGTGCCCCTGTGGCCAATCCCTTGTTACACTAGTTCTGAATCTCTCTTTCTTTCCCCGTATCTCTAGCCTTTTTTGGCCACTTTGCATAAGGACTAAAACATACCAAAGTTCTCTTTCAAAGTTTCATTATTTTGAAAATGAATAAATAATAGCAGTGCCACCTTATAAAGTTCCACTGTCTGTGCACTGCACAACTCCAGAGACAGTCAGACACAGACTATGCTGTAAGTAGTTGTAGCGTGGTGTCCCTGAACACTTGTCTCCATCCACCTCAGATCTCTGTTCTAGCTACAGCCTTATCTCTCTGTTCTCCCCCTCACTGCAAAAACTCTTTAAAATAATTCTCTGCCCTGGTTGCCTTTTCATTTTCTTCTTCTATTTATTTCTAAAGTCACTGCAATCTGGCTCCCACTCTACCAGGCCTGCAGCATCAACAATGACATCTTTTTACTCAACCAAAGCCTCTTTTTAGTTGACATTTGTTTGACATTTTGACAGCCTTGGATTCTCTTTCTCGAAATATTCTCTTCCCTTTTCACATTCTCCTAAGTTCATTCAACCTCGCTGACTCTTCCCTCTCGGTCTTTATGGGGATTCTTACAATTCTGTGCTGCTCTATATTCTGCATTAGGCTACCTTCTCTTCTCACTCATAAGATGCAGACAGATCAATAGAGACTTGGACAACCAAAATCCTGTTGGCCATTTTGTATTGGTATAAAGTTATGGGCATCTTTTGGATATTTTGATGCATCTAAACCATGTACAGGTATAATCCAATTGTAGACTTTGATGTTATATTTTTGAAATGAGATAGATATAGCTCTATGTACCAACCAAGGGATATCTCACCTAAAACACTGTGATATGTTGTCTACCTGATACATATTAGGTGTTCAATAAGTAATTGTTGAATACATTAATGAATATAATTTTTAAAGGAAGAGTAAATATAAAATCATGGTAACAAATTCTAAAAGATAGATATATAAAATAAAATGTCTATGAAGTGTGACTCAATGATTTATATTCCACTCAGAAATATTTAATTAAGTTTGGAAGACTAAAATTTTATATCCAATATGATACAGATTATTTATCTGGTTCAGACTTGAGGTCAAAGGCCAAATACTTTTGGTATTTTGTGGCATGTCCATAGTCACAATAATAAGAAGGAAAATGTAAAAGCAAATAAAGTAGGGGGGTTTGATTATCTGGGCATATGAATATAACATTTTAAGTCAATATAAGATACAAATTACTTAAGGATAAATGTAGATTATTTGGTTTATGATTTATGAGTGAGAATGATAATTCAAATTTACCAAAATATAAAAAAAATGAAACTGAAGAAATTACATTCTTATAGTATTTTAGTATAAAGAAGAAGAAAAATGATTCAGACTTCTAAACTTCCAGCCAAGCTTCCCAAGGGTCAGTTAGACATTTTTATTAAAAGGAAAAAAAATACAATATAATAAATCCATTATTCTTTCATTTTGCAAAATGTCAAACTCCATGTGATCCTTTTCATTTCTCTGGGTGTTCTAAACAGATCGTATTTAGAGATGGAGCTAATACACAGCATGGCAAGTATAGATCAGAATATGCGTAAAAGGCATCACAACTTGCACACACACCCCACACACATACACTCACACGGAGTATCAAAAACCCTTTAATCTGACAGATGTAATAAAGCAAAAGTTCTCTGTTGAATTTCCCCTAACATCTATTTATGACCCACTTTTGTCTCATGAAAATGATTTTTTTTGTCTAAAGGATATGGACATCATGATGCATCTATGCTACTCTTTAACCTCCTGGAGCTGAGTAAAGGTCATGAACAGTGCACTACTTATTTCCTGAGTAGCCAAATTGGTATTACTTTCTCAAGTTGTTTATGGGAATAAGACAAGATGATGGCAAGATTGGATAATTTCATACGAAACATGCAGTTTCCTTTCTCTCCCTCTCTGTTTGCCCAATTCTGAAAGTCACTTATTTATGTTCACCCTAACATTTGAGAATTTGAGCAATTATTAGATGCAGGAAGTAGACTAATCAAATGTATGTGTTTAAAAGCAAATAAACTTTATTCCACCTTTGTAGAAGATAAAGCTAATGACTTCTATGTGCAAAAGCCGTTTTTTCTTCTTTGCTTATCAAAAACCAGATGGACTTCCTGTTCTATCATTCTTTAAGTCTACCTAGAGTGGTCTTAAGGTGAAATGCCTACATATTAAACCATAATCAATCATTGTACACACACAAATTACTTTCTGTCCTCCCCTTTCCTTGTTATCGTGGTCCAAAGCAGGTTTTTGAGACAGAGTACATTTATCTGAGCTGTTAGCTGCTTCACGCCACTGCATCCTTGTGTATGATCTGCCTGGTCCCAGACCCCTGGAGAAAATTTGTGCTTGCATACTGTATGTGAACTTTAGATAAATAAATAAACACGCGAAACAGCTTCCAGATAATTGAAAGTGAATGAAGGAGGGAGCAAAAAGAAAACAATTTCTCTGGGGGTAAGCAGCTAAGGTGGCAGGTATGATTAAAATCCATATGATTTATGGGTAGGTGGATTACTAACATGACAACCCTGTTAGTGTTTGTTTGTTTGGGAGCATTTGACAATAAAGTTTTCTTGTTGTTGTTGTGCTTGCTGTGGGTTTTGCTCCGGACTTAGCCACTCAGGAATTCCTAGTGCCTGACTGAGCAGTCATTTAGCAAGCTCTCTTGTGCTCTTTTCCTGTCAGCATTAACATGTCAATTCATTTTAATAGTCTGGGCATGCTCAGTGGGCATGCATTTTCTCAGTAGGTATCCCATGAGCCCACCCCGTGGTGCAGAAATGTGTTATATCTTGTTTCAGACCTCAGAGACTTCAGCAGGTTTATTTTCATTATGGCCAAGTGTATTTGTTAAAACAAAGCCAAAATAATATATAAAATCAAGACCCTAACAAATGAAATAGGTTATGTATATTTGATTGGTAATTTAAGCTCTTTCAAAGATTAGGTTGTACCATATTTCGTTACACAAAATTATTACCATAGTGGAGCTTAAAAAAATGTGTGCTGTTACTTCCTCTAGTTTTTGGAAGTTAAATGATATTCTGTCACAATGGGAGTTTTCTGTAATCATGATTAATAGTTGAAGTGGCTTTTATATTAAAGGAGAATTTGCTCACCATCTTTCTCATTAAAGTATTTTCAAATGGATTTTTATCTAATGTTCTATCCATAAGTAAATGAATAAATGAAGAAATAAGTAAATAAGTACATAAATAAATAAACACTCAAATCAAACTACCAATTAGGAGTATTGGTGGTTCATAAATCTGTCTCTCAATTGTCACACTAGGTCTCAATTTACATCCAAAATTTAGATGTGTTAGGGAATACCTTGTCAGACAGAAAGGAAGTAAAAGAAGAAAAGACAGAGAAGGAACCTAAATTTCACAACCAAAACAAAATTTGGTTCAAGATCACAGAAGGGTTGACAATTTATGCCATGTATACAAATTACTGCTTTAAAAAAGCAAGCTTTTGAGGGTGTACTTTAAAGCAGCTTAATAAAGTATGTTATATTGTTGACACATTTGGGATCTCAGAATTTCTAAAATGGCTGAGTAGTTCTGTAATATCACAAGTAAAGGTAAAAGTTTAGAGAAAGGTATCAGAGTTGTGAATTACATCAGCTTTTCCTTTGACTGCTCCATTTTCTTTTTTCCTTTTCATCTATTTTTTTAAAACCTTTAGTGACGAGCTTTGTCTATTTGCTTATGTTGACTGTGTATAGGCTCATAAAATTTTTCTGCTGTACACAGTTGTTGGAAATGATCAGGCATTTGTGATTCATTATATGATAGAGCACAATTCTGGTTAAAATTTAGCATTTGATGGGATGATATCTTATACCTCAAGTATACACTTGTATCCCACTAAACATTCTTTAGAATAATTTTAAAAAGATTTTTTTCTAAATTATTTCATACATAGAACATTTTATAAATTCTTGGCACAAACTGTTAGTTCTCTCTTAATGCTTTAAATCATCAGTGATTGGAAATATAGATCTGAGATGTGTAAGTAGTAGGAACTTAGTCCTAAATAATTTTGATAATATTTTAACTAATATCATCATTCATAGTCAGAAAGTTACAATAACAGTGCTTTTAAAGGTCTAAAAATATTCACTGACCTCAGGAAGTAGCTTCTCGTGAATGCTTATTCAGGTCAGGGAAAATGTTTTCCATACTCTGTATCTAAAGGGTAAAGTGGAAAGATAGAGGATAATAGGAAGGGATACAGAAGAGATTAGATGGGTGTGAAGGCAGAGGTCAGAAAAGATGGAGTGGCTCCCCTTCCTGACAAGATATCCTGTGGGTTTTCTCTCACTTTGCCCAGTTCAGCAACCTCTGGAGCCTTCCAGCCTCTCCTCATCTGACTCTGCACAGGAGCATATCTCTGGGCGCGCACCTATCCGTATGCCTGCACATTCACCTTAAGGGGAGTAGAGAATGGAGAAATGAAGGGGCAAAAAGTCTTGTCTTTTGAGTCTCAAATTACACTACGCTTGAGATTCTTCTGCAGTTTGCACATTGGGAAAAATTGAGTAGCCTTTATTCTTTTTGCTGAAATGAAAAATAATACTTTTGTCCTAAAATAGTGAATATATCTTAATTCATGAAAACTTTGCTCATGTAAAATACAGCAGAAAAAAAGCGCTTCATCTATAAAGTGCTTTCAGATCTTCAGTGAGAAGTACTCTATTTTTATGATCTAGTCTCCTTACACATTCATTAATATTATTATGGGAAAATAATTATCATTTTCATAAAACAAATTATAGAATATATTCTGTCATCTACCCTATGTGTTCAATATACAATGAATTACCTGCCAGCAGTATTTTTTCTGGCTTGAGTTTCTACTCAGATATAGCACTTTCAATGGTTTCTTAAATGATATTTTTGCATAGTATGATTTACATAATCTGTGATTAATAATGTTTATTAATAGAACACCAAATCTCTCTCTCTTGTCTCTCTGACATACACATAAACTCACACACACAATATACCCACAAACACACACAAACGATACACACATACACACTCTCTCTCTCCCTTCAGGGCTCATTCCTATCTTATAAGGATTATTTTTAGGGCATTCCAATGTAATGTTTCAAATTTATATTCTAGACTCCTTGTTCTTCTCTTTCAGATAAAGGAGAGTTCCAAGAACAATTATGGAAGTCTTTTTTACTTAAATATTAAAACAATAGAAAAAGAATTAGATGTGAAATATTCAGGACAATTTCTTGGAGTTCTGAATGAATCCTCCTAACATTCACAGTGTTTACATAATTTGTGTATGACTAGAATAATGGAAGCTATAGAGAATATCACATTTTAATCAATTTTTGGAATTATTTTGAATAGCAATTTAACTTTAGAACTAATAAAAATTCAGCCCATAAATGTTCAGTAGCCAAAATATACTACCTAATCATTTGCTTTTTATGGAGGTAGGGGTGGGAATGGTAAAATTATTATTTCCTTTAAATATCTTTGTCAATTTCTTTTAATCTTTGGATTTATGGCTAGCTTTTTACAGTGAATCTAGTTTTCAAAGAATTACTTATTCCTGAAAAACTTTATAAAGGCATCCAACATGATTCATTTTCATAGTATTTATACCAAACGTGTAAATCAAGTACCAATGATAGTAGCATCTTTGTAGTTCTTCTTAAATATGGATGAAAGATGAGTTTTCTTCCAAGGTACAAAACATCATTATGGGCTCAGGTGGTTAAAATCAACATGAAAAATACATGCTGCATTTTCTTCCCTTAAATGCGATAATGTAATCAGATTTCAAGTCATCCTACCTACCTCACTTACAGCTTTATGGAGATTAATTAGTTTTTAGATCCGCGTCACATGATCTTTTCTGACTGTCATTTAGCTGGCTGACTAGACCTGTAAGCTGTCTCCTGCCCCAAAGGAGAGATTAAATTTTAGTATTGTTTGTCTTCATTCTTTGATTTAAAGGTGGATTTTTAAAGTTATAGTTTAATTGTATTTTGCTTTAATTAGAAATATATTGTAAACTTATTTGTTAGGAAGGTAAATATTTAAATAAATAAGTAAAATGAGGTGTTTCCCCTAGTTTGCTAAAAAGACTGTTACTATACTGACACCTACAAGCTAATTTTTAAAATTATTTATGATATAGATGCTACATTCATTAAAATGAATTTCCTACAATAAAGCTTTATTGCAGAGGAGTTTACACAGGTGCCCCAAGTTAAGATCACTGGTAATTGGTGGTTCAAGGACAAGTTTTCAAGATCAAAATGAATGTGGAATTAAAAAAGATCTGGAAATTTACTAACAAATAAAAAAGGGTTTAATTTGTTTCAGTGGCATGATTTCTGTTAAAAAAACATAAAAACACAGAAACAAAAGACAATAAAAAACAATTATGAAATTGCTGATTCTTAATAACATATTTTCTATAATAACTGTTACCATTTATTTCTCTGACTGAGAATTGCTGACTGAGCTAAGGATTAAAACTGAAAAACCACAGCGTTAGTGTTTATGTTAATCTATTTGGCTATAGATTCTCAATCGGGAGAAAAACAAAAGAAGAAAACATTGATAAACTACTTCAATCTGCTTTACAATATGTGATTAAAGAAAGAAAAGAAACCTTGTCTGCTACAGTTGTTCAAACACTGATATTTCTAGCTGGGGTCCTAATTAAGGTGTAATGAGAGATTTGAAGTGCACTAAATTCCCTTCATTCACGTCACTAAACCAGTGAACCACAACTACACGTAGAATTTCAGGGAGACATAGGACCCAGTGAATTAGTTATCATATAACTCCTGAGCAGTTGGTTCAGAGCTGGAGCCACTGGGGCATAGATCCACAGTGAACGTGTGACTGCTTGGCTGCTATTTGACTGCAGCTTTCCGTTCATGGATACTTAACAATAAACAGTCACTCCACTTAGGAGAGAACTTGATTCCACAAACACGTGGAATTTCCTGGCTCTTGAATGAAGACGCCACAGGATTTTCACTGCTCAGGTGTTACTGGATGCAATGCTGATTCAGGAACCGAAATAGATTATCTGTTTCCCTTGCCTGTGTAGTTGGATCATTGCCCTTGGCAGTAACCCCAGACTCCTGCAAATGATGAAGACGTCCCTCTATGCCTATGTAGAAAATAGGGCCAACATAGATGCCATTAGAGAGGCTCAACTGAGCTTATGCTGGGAAAATTGTGGCATCCATACCTTGCATAAGGAGGGAATGTTGAGAACACCAGAATAGGTTGAAGCCCATTCCCTTGAATGGGAATCACTGGGTTGTTCAAAATCTCACTGATACAGTATTCCCTGGCTCTTTTTCCTTCCAACACACTGTTCATCAACTGGTGCTTCCTGGCTGACTTTGGCAATGAGAAAGTAATCACTTGACTCTCTGCCTACCTTCAAAGGTTTTTTAATAATTAGTGCAGAGATAAATTATATGAAAGAATTCAATACTCATCCTTGAGCATTTGTATAAATCATAGATTTGGTAAGCTTTATATTCATTTTCTTTATAATGACCTTTGGAGAATAAACTCCATTTCAAATTCTCAATTTGTAACGAACAAAAACCCAAGGCATGAGATGAGTAACAGGATAACCAAAATCTTCTATATGGATCCCATCAGTCTCTTGGTTTCTCTTGGGAAATGTGTCACTTATGTTTGGGGTTCATTGCCAGAAAGCATCAATTCCATACCCCATGGCATTCTTTTAGTCTTGTGCAGAGATTTTGTGCATACCATTACCCTATGTTTAGTTAAGAATGATAGAAAAAAATTTCTCTCATTCCAAGGTAAATAATACACTTCTAATTGGTTTTACAACTTTAGAGTTATAACTGCATAATTAGGTTCTTTATTGGCATTTGGGAGTTGCCCCTCTTTACATCCACAAAACAAGCCAATTCCAGTGCTGGGCGGGGGTAGACGGTAAGCACCCTCCCCTCATACACAGAAATTATCATAAATAAACAAATGCCTGAATATATCCATTTCTGTCACCAGCAGGCAGCATTCCAAGCCAGGCATGTTGATCCTGGGTTTCTGTTCCATTGATAAAAGGGAATATGCCATTTTTGTTCCAGCCCAGGGCTGTCCAATGTGCCCTTGTAAGGCAAGTTTCCATGTTAAGTGAATAAGGATCATTGTTTCCTTTATAATGAGCCTCCCCCTCCTTTGGCTCTCAGTGAAAGGCTGCCACCACACTGGCTAAGAAATAGTTCTGTTTAACCGCCAAGTGTCTGCTGAACACAGTGCGGTAATGGGAATGATTTTCTTATCCATCATTACATGACTGGCACGTGAATAATTTTGCCCACCAGGTCATCATGTCACATCAGCCATGGCAACTTGGCTCAGTCAAATGTAAAAACTATATTACTCCCACAAAATGATCATTTTCATAAGGAAAGTAAAGAACATTCTTTGTTTCTACTCCCCTCCCTTTCTATATATTGAAGATACTCATTTCAAAGATACCCTGGTTAAGAAAAGCCAACAAAGTACATTGACTAAATTCATATTATAATTTAGAATACATATGTTTTCAAGTGGTACATCTGTTTTGTACCTGTTTCTGGCTGGCATAGCCAAACTAAGGATCTAGACATTAATAATAGATCAGTTCACTAATATTTATTGCTCCAAATCCAATCTATATTAGCATGTCAGCCCTGTATCAAAGCAGAAGACAGCAGTATTTATGATTATTAGTACAATATTGAATCATCCTGAACCAATTACTGATCCAATTACTGTGTCATTATTATCTTCTGAATAGGGCTTGATTTGTCTGTGATAAATATGATGCAATTAAACCACCTTTTTACATAATAAAACACTGCAGGTGTTTATTCTTAAGAGTTCACAGATACTAACAACCAATAGATTTAATTAAAAAAAATCCTTGATAAAATGTGAATTTCATTAAATTATTCTAACTTTAATATATATTTAAAGTGTATCTTATTGAGTGATACAATTGTATAATCTTTTGTCTGGCTATTGTTTAGAAACTATACTGTCAAACCAAACAAAAATTAACAGGGTCGTTTAATATTCTGATTTAAAATGTCATTTGTTCAAAGCATACAAACATTAACTGAATTACAAAAAATAAGTTTCTGAAAGTAGGTACATTACAAAAAGACTGATAATTACAAAAATTATATGTATACAATTTTAAAATATTTTTGTCACTACATATTTTAAGAGCCCATATTATTTGAATAATCCATGCTTCAAGCAATCTGAGCGTTAATAACTCTAAAAATTATCATAAAAACAAAAATAACAGAGAGCAATGTTTAGTTAGTATTGTGTTTAACTTTAAAGATAACCCAGGAAATTGCTTTAGTTCTTGATGTATGTCTTCTCTTTACCTCCTCCACCCCCAAATTTAAAATCAACATTATAATTAAAGGACTGGAAAGGAATAATAAGTATCAGTTTTATACTTTTTATTTTACAAAAAATATCTTGAATATTGTAATAATCAATCTGTTTGATTATATTTTAAAGCCCCAAAATTCAAGTTAAATTGGAGATTTTTTAAAGAGATAAACAACATTGACTAGTCAGCTTTCTGAGACATTAACATAAATACAAAGAAATTTCATGATTTTATAAAAATGTTTTATTAAAAATAGATTCCTAAACAAACTGACTTTAACAGTTTCAATTTATTGTCACATGGAACTATTATAATATTTCTATTCTGCGTTTTTATTGATATCTTTTAGGGAAAATAAATTTGATGTAAATCTTAATCTACCACTCAGGCTAGTATTTGTTTAACTAATTTCACTCAGCATTGAAACAGTGGTTGGACACCAACACCTTTCATAATGTTTTTTGTAGGTGTGGCTATATAACACCTATCAGCATTCACTGACAATTATTGCAGTCGGCCAAGGATTTCAAAGTGGTTGATAACATATAGCATTTATCACACACCTTGCTGTTGGCCTGTGCAGGTAATTAAGGAAAGTTTGTTTTGCTTTAAGGCTGTAACTGTAAATACAAATTACAGTTTTTATCTGTTTTCATTCTCTCTCTCTCTTCTTTTTCTCTCTCCTCCTCTCTTATTTTCTCTCTTTCTTTCTCCTTTCTCTCTCCCTCTCTCCCTTTTCAATGAGTTCTGAATAGGAAGGACTGTCTTTTTCTTTTCTTTCTTTCTTTTATTATTATTATTATTTTTTTTGAGACGGAGTTTTGCTCTTGTTGCTCAGGCTGGAGTACAACGGCATGATCTCGGCTTACCACAACCTCTGCCTCCCGGTTTCAAGTGATTCTCCTTCCTCAGCCTCCCCAGTAGCTGAGATTACAGGCATGCACCACCATGCCTGGCTAATTTTTTATATTTTTAGTAGAGATGGGATTTCTCCATTTTGGTCAGGCTGGTCTCAAACTCCCGACCTCAGGTGATCTGCCTGCCTCGGCCTCCCAAAATGCTGAGATACAGGCATGAACCACCATGCCCTGCTGGACTTTCCATTTTTATTGCCAGCATTTCAAAAATTATAGATGTGTTCCTGTAGAAATCAATTGATAATTCTGAACACGTACCAACGTGCAATTTTCTTCATATTTTTAAAAGGCAAGAATAAACTCAAATCCATTCCAAGTAGATTAAGGAAAATGTACTCTGTTTTTTCATCCATGTTGTATACAGCAGGGGTGAGGGGAGGAGGCTATTGTGCTTCATGTAAAGGAGTAGTAAAGATGAAAATGAACATTTTCATTGGTGCAGACTAAAATTTACTCTCTTAACCACAGAAATTCAATATAAATTCAGAGTTTGTGAAAAATTGAAAATGGGTACTAGATTCCAGACAATATTTAATTTAAACTAAGTGTTAAAATAAAAGCAATAACACTGAGAATAAATTAATAAACTACAATTAATTATATTTACCATAAGTGGTTTGGGTTTGAAACACCTACTCTCTACACCGATAAAATAAAACCTGCATCCTGCAGCAGCTAAAGTAAGTTAAATGAAGATGCTTTTAACAAGGTTATTACTTAAGCAATGACAGGTTTACAGATTTTAGCACCACTGGGTTTTCACAGGAGCCACAGCAAGTGCTAAAATAACACACACCTTCAGGTTCATTAAATTCACCAGTGTGATGGAATAACTGATATTTTGCTATATTACTGTAGTCCTTCAAAGAACCATCTATAAATAAGAGACACTAATAACAACTGTTTGTGCTGGTAAAACAATGAAATAATTCTTCTGAGTTTATCTGCAAGGGAAAAATTGTGTTTAAGCAAAACCATTCACATAGTTAGCTCTTGTCATTTGGATTTCTTTGGAGTCACATATTTATTTATTTACTTAAAATAGGTGCATTCTGTAAAGGGTTTTGCCATGAGGCTGCACTCAGAAGGAAACTTGTAAAAAGGTGGTGTATATTAAAAGGAAATAAACTGAATCTCACCCCCAAATATTTACTTTATTGTCTGATGTTTACTAGGATATTTATGGAGGCTGTTTTATTTAAAGAACTTATAAAATTCTAATAACTGACAGAAACAGCAGCATCTCTGATAAATCCTTTACTGTAGTCTGCTGTGAGATGAGCCAAAAGCATAAATAGTGGGTTTCTAATAAATCAATGGAGTCTGGCCTTTGGAGACCTGGAAGACATATGGACAGTAATAGAGTATCTCAGGTTGTCTCATGAGTGATTCCATCTGGATGAAGTCTTGGTGTTATTCACAGCCTACTTCTCCCCTAAAACACCTTCAATCTTATCCACAGCCTCCATCTCAAATGTCAGACCACCTGGGATATGCAGCTGTCAGGCTGAAAGGGGAGCTGCCTGGGACTGGCCCCAGCCTGCTCATCAAGGAGACGCTGTCACTAGCCAGCAGGCAATGCTAGGTGCACAGGGGTGACAGCACTACCAAAAGCCAGGACATGCGCCAGGCTCTGGATCTAAGATTTTAAGGAAAATATAAAGAACTTAGCTGGAACTATGAATATCTCCACAATAGACCTGCCTCTGATGTGATATTCTCCTTCAAGATATTTACATTTTTCTTGTCAATATTCATGCACACATCTACGTATTTTGATTATTAATAAGTAAAAAGTGTACAACATTCCTTACACAAGAATATTTCTATATACTTCATAGCATTCTCATGTTTTTTGACATATGTTCTCTTACATTGGTGTTTATATTTTCTATTATTAAACAAATTTAGCTTGATCAGTACAAGTCCTCTGAGAGAAACATTTCTTTGTTATAACTGAGCTTGTTGGTTTCTTTTCTCTTCTCTTCTGCCTCCTGACCTCCTTCCAAGTGTGCTGATGTTTGTGGCGCACACTGAAGATAGCAGCACCCTCTTATAAATAGATAGCAGCACCCTATTATAGAGAGTCATTTTAGTCTGACAGATGAATAATAAGAATCCAGTACATTTCATATTTACTGTTCTCGTCTTCCTTTTTTTTTTTTTTTTTTTTTTTTTTGAGATGGAGTATCACTCTGTTGCCCAGGCTGGAATGCAGTGGTGTGATCTCGGCTCACTGCAGTCTCTGCCCCCCAGGTTCCAGTGATTCTCCTGCCTCAGCCTCCTGGGTAGCTTGGATTACAGGTGCCCGCCATCACGCCCAGCTTATTTTTGTATTTTTAGTAGAGACGGGTTTTCACCATGTTGGCCCGGCTGGTCTCGAACTTCTGACCTCAGGTGATCTGCCTGCCTTGGCCCCCCAAAGTGCCAGGATTACAGGCGTGAGCCACTGCACCTGACCTCTCTTCTTCATTTTTGTAAACCCCCATTAAAAATTAACAGACACAAAATTTGGGATTGAATTATATTTCTGTAATTTTGAATTATTTCCTAGAAATACAGAAGGTCTCGGCCGGACGGGGTGGCTCATGCCTGTAATCCCAGCACTTTGGGAGGCCAAGGCAGGCTGATCATGAGGTCAGGAGATTGAGACCATCATAGCTAACACGGTGAAACTCCATCTCTACTAAAAATACAAAAGTTAGCTGGGCATGGTGGCAGGCGCCTGTAGTCCCAGCTACTTGGGCAAGACTCCGCCTCAAAAAAAAAAAAAAAAGGAAAAAAGAAATACAGAGGGTCTCTTAACCCCACTGAAAATAGTCCTGGTTAATCAGAGTGTGATTGTAATTGGTTAATCACAATCACAAAGAATGGGTTCTCCAAGAGGGCAGATGCCATATCTACCTTAGTCTCATATATTTCTAGTTTTAGCAGTGGTTGTTGGCACTCTAAAATATTTCTCAAATGAATGAGTGAATTCGTATTTTTCCATCTTCCTATGTAGCAGAAGTTGTTTTCATGGATAATCAAAATTCACTGTGAGATTTTGTCTTAAATTTTTTCCCTAAATTTCTTGCCCATGTACACTTGTTACCATGTTCATATTCCACCTTTAGTTTCTTGTCCAATGTAATGTTGTGCTTAGTTCACGCTTTTTGCTTCTCTTTTCTAAGATTTAAATTCCTAGGCCTGAAATCCACTATATCTGACTTTAAGATAGTGTCTGATAGGTAAATAAGTTATTTGTTGGTTGGTTGTCTGTTTTTATGATAAATGAAGTATAATTTTTTTTCAGACAGGCAACATGGCATAGTAGTTAAAAGCATGGAGTTAGATGGAAACAGTTTCAGAAGCAGTCCTGCAAGGCATGGCCAGCATGGTACTGGGCAGCACTGCAGGGTGTACTCAGGTTCTTCCTCACAAGACCATGGGTTAGGGGGTAGAATTCATGGGGATAAGTGTATGAGTACATAGAGCCAGGCGTGTCACGTCAGGCAGTGCTACCATTGAATGCCTGTTCTTTGCTCAACAACTTGCTCTGCAAATTATAATCCCCACTTGACTCCGAGAAAACTAAGTCATGGAAGAGTTATGTAATTTGCTTGATATCACATCAAGACGGGGTTGAAGTCTTCCAGTGTCTTTATTTATTCTTGCCAGTTGCTCAGCAGCCAACCTTCAGGCCTCTTTTTTGTTTCATACCCCTTATACAATTGGTCAGGAAAGATGACCGGCTGCCTTTTCAAAACAGGTCCAGAATCTGACATCTTCATTCCACCTCCACTGCTACCATCCCAGTCTCAGTCTCTATCATCTCTTGCCTGGAATTTTCTATCGGCCTCTTATCAGTTCTTTCTATTTTGATCCTTACTCCATACACTCTCCTGTCAACATAGCAGCCTGTATTAGTCTATTCACACGCTGCTAATAAAGACATATCCAAGACTGAGTAATTTATACAGGAAAGAGGTTTAATTGACTCATGGTTCAGCATGGCTGGGGCGGCCTCAGGAAACTTACAATCATGGCAGAAGGGGAAGCAAACGTGTCCTTTTTTACAGAGCAGCAGGAGAGAGAAGAATGAGTGTCCAGCAAAGAGGGAAGCCCCTTATGAAACCATCAGATCTCATGAGAACTAACTCACTATCATGAGAACAGGAAGTGGGAAACTGCCTCATGATTCAATTACCTCCACCTGGTCCCTCCCAGGACATGTGGGGATTATGGGAACTACAATTCAAGATGAGATTTAGGTGGGATACAGCCAAACCATATCACAGCCCAAGCAATCTTTTGAAAGTATATGACCTATCATGCTTTCTTCTGCTGAAAATCCCAGACTGAAACTTCATTTCACTGAAACTAAGAACCAAAGTTCTTGCAATGCCTAACAATTTCTTATACCAAATGTCAGCATATTGTCTCCCAATCATGATTTAATAGCCCATGAGCTAAGGATGACATTGCATTTTTAAATGGTTGAAAAAGAATTTTGCAAATGTATGATATGTGAAAATTATATGAAATTTAACTTTCAGTGTCCATAAATAAAGTTAATTGGAACATAGCCACTCACATTCATTTGTGCATTATTACCTGTGGCTACTTTCACACTACGTAGGCAATTGAATAGTTACTACAAACATCTTGTGTGTTGCAAAACCTAAAACAGTTACTATTGGACTCTTCTCAGAAAAGTGTATTGAACTGTAACCTAAAATATCTGGTTCCTGTGACGTCTGTGACCTCATCTATTGCTCCCTTCCTCTCACTCTGCTGCAGCTGCCTTGGCTTTGTTGCTCCTGTTTTGGGGCCTTTGCACTAACTCTTCTCCCTAGATTGCCCTTTTCCTAGATCTCCACATTGCTAATTCTCTTTACTTCTTTCAGATGTCACCTGCTGAATGGGGTGACCTACACTGAGTATGTCATACTGTAATACACACCCTACACTTTATAGTCTCATTCCCTCGTAACTTGCTCTTCTTTTTCTCCTTTATTCATAGCACAACCTTCTAACAGATTATACAATTTGCTGACTTTTAATGTTAAATAAAATTTTCTTTTTTTGCTGTAAAGCAAATTCCCTGTGTTCTGGCTACCACTTCATCCCATGCTTCATGGGCTGCAATTTATGCTACTTGCATGAGTCTGGTGAGACAGTACAATCACATGACAAGTTAAGCAAAGCAACTTTATCACTCATCAATAGGCAGCAAGGGACTGTGGAAACCTAGGATTCATGGCGGGCCGGTTTCCAGGGCTCAGGAAAGCTGCCTCATTTAATGGAATCTCATCTGTATATGCCCTACATCACACCACAGCTGAGGTACCCCAAAAGCAGTCCACCCTGGGCTTTCGACCTAGGGGGTCAAATGACATGTGGCTAAAGCATGGAAGGATATCCTGTTCTAGGAGGGACAGGAATAGAGCCCCAGATGTTCTGGTCAGTTTTGCCTTATCTTAGGATGCAGCATTCTCAGCACATTCTATAGTTTTCCTTGAGAAAGACAAGTGAGAAATGGGGGAGAACTGGTTTGGTCCAAGGCCACTCAGATGACTGTCCTGTACTTGCTAGAATATAAATCCCATGAGGTCAGAGATTTTTGTCTGTTTTGTGCCCCAAAAACAATTGCATTCAATACATATTACTTCACTGTTGAATGTGATACAGGTTGGACATCCCAAATCTGAAATTCTGAAACTTTTTGAGTGCTAACATGACACTCAATGGAAATGCTCAGTGGAGGGTTTTGGATTTTGGATTTTCAGATTTGGGACACTCAACTGGTAACTATAATGTAAATATTTCAAAATTTGCAAAAAAAATATGATATATGAAATCCTAAATACTTCCATCTCAAGCATTTTGGATAAGGGATACTCAGCATGTATTATATTGCTTCTAACGAAATAAGGTATTTTAATATTTGACCTTTGGTACCTCACTAGAGCTGCTATTTTGATTTATTATTTGTCCTCAAGGTCGTTAAACACAAAGAAAAATGTACTTCGTTATGTAGTTACTGAGTAATTTAGTTATGGTATTATTAAACACCATTCTCACTGTCCCAAGAATAAACTCATCTACCCATTGCCTTACTCCAAAAAAGCAATTAAACAATGTTGAATTATTAAAAATACAAATGTGCCTGATAATAAATGCCTATTATAATTTTGAGTTGTAGGCTGGGCATGGTGACTCATGCCTGTAATACCAGCACTTTGAGAGGCCAAGGCAGGAGGATCACCTGAGGGCAGGAGTTCGAGACCAGCCTGGCCAAGATAGTGAAACTCCATCTCTACTAAAAATACAAAAATTAGCTGTGTGTGGTGGCACGCGCCTGTAGCCCCAATTACTCAGGAGGCTGAGGCAGGAGAATGGATTGAATCTGGGAGGTGGAGGTTGCAGTGAGCCGACATTGCGCCACTGCACTCTAGCCTGAGTGACAGAGTGAGACTCTGTCTTAAAAAAAAAAATTAAATAAATAAAATAAAAAATAATATTTTTGAGTTGTATATACTGTTACTTAACTGTTTTTATGTGAGAAATAAGTGTGTCTGAAATGTTTAAATAATGAAAGTATTTCTTTATAGGAATATTATTAAAAATTATGTATATATATTTTTGAATAGTATTGTAGGTACCCATATTTAAACTTGTTTTGAAAAACTCTGATGAATAATGGCAAAATAATGTATGACTAATTTTTTTATTATACTTTAAGTTCTGGGATACATGTGCAGAATGTGCAAGTTTGTTACATAGGTATACACGAGCCATGGTGATTTGCTGCACCCATCAAACCATCATCTACATTAGGTATTTCTCCTCATGCTGTCCCTCCCCTAGCTTTCCACCCACTGACAGGCCTCGGTGTGTGATATTCCCCTCTTTGTGTCAATGTGTTCTCATTGTTCAACTCCCACTTATGAATGAGAACATGCGGTGTTTGATTTTCTGTTCCTGTTTTAGTTTGCTGAGAATGATGGTTTCCAGCTTCATTCATGTCCCTGCAAAGGACATGAACTCATCCATTTTTATGGCTGCATATTATTCTATGGTGTATATGTGCTACATTTTCTTTATCCAGTCTATCATTGATGGGCATGTGACTTGGTGCCATGTCTTTACTATTGTGAATAGTGCTGCAATAAACATACATGAGCATGTGTCTTTATAGTAGAATGATTTATAATCCTTTGAGTATATACCCAGTAATGCGATTGCTGGGTCAAATGGTATTTCTGGTTCTAGATCCTTGAGGAATTGCCACACTGTCTTCCACAATGGTTGAACTAATTTACACTCCCACCAACAGTGTAAAATCATTCCTATTTGTCCACATCCTCTCCAGGATCTGTTTCCTGACTGTTTAATGATCGCCATTCTAACTGGCATGAGATGGTATCTCACAGTGGTTTTGATTTGCATTTCTCTAATGACCAGTGATGATGAGCTTTTTTTCATGTGTTTCTTGGCCACATAAATGTCTTCTTTTCAGAAGTGTCTGTTCATCTTCTTCGCCCACTTTCTGACGTGGTTGTTTGTTTTTTTTTTCTTGTAAATTTGTTTAAGTTCCATGTAGATTCTCAATATTAGCCCTTTGTCAGATGGATAGATGGAAAAAAATTTCTCCCATTCTGTAGGTTGCCTGTTCACTCTGATGATAGTTTCTTTTTCTGTGAAGAAGCTCTTTAGTTTAATTAGATACTATTTGTCAATTTTGGCTTTTGTTGCCATTGCTTTTGCTGTTATAGTCATGAAGTCTTTGCCCATGCCTATGTCTTGAATGGTATTGCCTAGGTTTTCTTCCAGGGTTTTTATGGTTTTAGGACTTATGTGTAAGTCTTTAATCCATCTTGAGTTAATTTTTGTATTAAGATGTAAGGAAGGGGTCCAGTATCAGTTTTCTGCATGTGGCTACCCAGTTTTCCCAACACCATTTATTAAATAGGGAATCCTTTCCCCATTGCTTGTTTTTGTCAGGTTTGCCAAAGATCAGGTGGTTGTAGATGTGTGACATTACTTCTGAGGCCTCTGTTCTGTTCCATAGATCTATATATCTGTTTTGGTACCAGTACCATACTGTTTTGGTTACCGTAGCCTTGTAGTATAGTTTGAAGTCAGGTAGCGTGATGCCTCCAGCTTTGTTCTTTTTCCTTAGGATTGTCTTGGCTATATGGGCTCTTTTTTTAATGTAGTAGTCTAATTCTGTGAAGAAACCCACTGGTAGCTTGATGTGGATAGCATTGAATCTATAAATTATATTGAGCAGGATGGCCATTTTCATGATATTGATTATTTCTATCCATGAGCATAGAATGTTTTTGCATTCATTTGTGTCCTCTCTTATTTCCTTGAGCAGTGATTTGTAGTTCTCCTTGAAGAAGTCCTTCACATCCCTTGTGAGTTGTATTCCTATGTATTTTATTCTTTTTGTAGCAATTGTGAATGGAAGTTCACTCATGATTTGGCTCTCTGTTTGTCCATTATTGGTGTGTAGGAATGCTTGTGATTTTTGCACATTGATTTTGTATCCTGAGACTTTGCTGAAGTTGCTTATCAGCTTAAGGAGATTTGGGGCTGAGATGATGGGGGTTTCTAAATATACAATCATGTAATCTGCAAACAGAGACAATTTGACTTCCTCTCTTACTATTTGAATACCATTTATTTCTTTCTCTTGCCTGATTGCCCCAGCCACAACTCCCAATACCATGTTGAATAGAAGTGGTGAGAGAGGGCATCCTTTTCTTGTGCTGGGTTTCAAAGGGAAATGCTCCCAGCTTTTGCCCATTCAGTGTGATATTGGCTGTGGGTTTGTCATAAATAGCTCTTATTATTTTGAGCTCATCAATATCTAGTTTGTTGAGAGTTTTTACCATGAAGTGGTGCTGAATTTTATTGACGGCCTTTTCTGCATCTATTGAGATAATCATGTGGTTTTTGTCATTGGTTCTGTTTATGTGATGAATTACATTTATTGATTTGCAGATGTTGAACCAGCCTTGCATCCCAGGGATGAAGCCAACTCGATTGTGGTGGATAAGCTTTTTGATATGCTGCTGGATTCAGTTTCCTAGTATTTCATTGAGGATTTTCGCATTGATGTTCATCAGGAATATAGGCCTGAAATTTTCTTTTTGTTGTTGTTGTTGTTGTGTCTCTGCCAGGTTTTGGTATCAGGATGATGCTGGCCTCATAAAATGAGTTATGTGTGAATTTGATCCTGTTATTATGATGCTAGCTGGATATTTTGCCCGATAGTTGATGCAGTTTCTTCAGAGTGTCGACGGTCTTTACAATTTGGTGTGTTTTTGCAGTGGCTGGAACCGGTTTTTTCTTTTCATATTTAATGCTTCCTTCAGGAGCTCTTGTAAGGCAGGCGTGGTGGTGACAAAATCTCTCAGCATTTGCTTGCCTGTAAAGCATTTTATTTATCCTTCACTTATGAAATTTAGTTTGGCTGGATATGAAATTCCAGGTTGAAAATTCTTTTCTTTAAGGATGTAGAACATTGGCCCCCACTTTCTTCTGGTTTGTAGGGTTTCTGCAGAGAGATCCGCTGTGAGTCTGATGGGCTTCCTTTTGTGGGTAACCTGACCTTTCTCTGGCTGCCCTTAACATTTTGTCCTTCATTTCAGCCTTGGTGAAGCTGACGATTATATATCTTGGGGTTGCTCTTCTCAAGGAGTATCTTTGTGGTGTTCTCTGTATTTCTTGAATTTGAATGTTGGCCTGTTATGCTAGGTTGGGGAAGTTCTCCTGGATAACATCCTGAAGAGTGTTTTCCAACTTGCTTCCATTCTCCCATTAACTTTCAAGTACACCAATCAAAGGTAGGTTTGGTGTTTTCCCATAGTCCCGTATTTCTTGGAGGTTTTGTTCATTCCTTTTCATTCTTTCTTCTCTAATCTTGTCTTCACACTTAATTTCATTAAGTTGATCTTCAATCTCTGATATCCTTTCTCCCACTTGATCAATTCGGCTATTGATACTTGTGTATGCTTCACGAAGTTCTTGTGCTGTGTTTTTCAGCTCCATCAGGTCATTTATATTCTTCTCTAAACTAGTTATTCAAGTTAGCAATTCGTCTAACCTTTTTCAAGGTTCTTAGCTTCCTTGCACTGTGTTGGAACATGCTCCTTTAGCTCAGAGGAGCTTGTTATTTATTACCCACCTTCTGAAGCCTACTTCTGTCAACTCGTCAAACTCATTCTCCATCCAGTTTTGTTCCCTTGCTGGCTAGGAGTTGTGATGCTTTGGAAGAGAAGAGGCGTTCTCGTTTTTGGAATTTTCAGGCTTTTTGCGCTGGTTTGTCCTCATCTTCGTGGATTTGTCTACCTTTGGTCTTTGATGTTGGTGACCTTCGGACGGGGTTTTTGTGTGGAGGTCCTTTTGATGTTGATGCTATTCCTTTCTGTTTGTTAGTTTTGCTTCAAACAGGCCCCTCTGCTGCAGGTCTCCTGGAGTTTGCTGCAGGTCCCCTCCAGACTCTGTTTGCCTGAGTATCACCAGTGGAGGCTGCAGAACAGCAAAGATTGCTGCCTGTTCCTTCCTCTGGAAGGTTCGTCCCAGAGGGGCACCCACCAGATGCCAGCCGGAGCTCTCTTGTATGAGGTGTCTGTCGACCTCTGCTGGGAAGTGTCTCCCAGTCAGGAGGCACGGGGGCCAGGGACCACTTGAGGAGGTAGTCTGTCCCTTAGCAGAACGCGAGCAGTGTGCTGGGAGTTCTGCTGCTCTCTTCAGAGCTGGCAGGCAGGAATGTTTAAGTCTGCTGAAGCTGCACCACAACTGCCCCTTCCTCCAGGTGCTCTGCTCCAGGGAGATGAGAATTTTATCTATAAGCCCCTGACTGGGGCTGCTGCCTTTCTTTCAGAGATGCCCTGCCAAGAGAGGAGGGATCTAGAGAGGCAGTCTGGCTCCAGCGGCTTTGCGGAGTTGTGGTGGGCTCTGCCCAGTTCGAACTTCCTGGCAGCTTTGTTTCCACTGTGACGGGAAAACTCCCTACTCAACCCCAGTAATGGTGGACCCCCTTTCCCCCACCAAGCTCAAGCATCCCAGGTTGACTTCAGACTGCTGTGCTGGCAGCAAGAATTTGAAGGCAGTGGATCTTACTTTGCTGGACTCCGTAGGGGTGGTATCTGCTGAGCTGGACTACTTGGTTCCCTGGCTTTAGCCCCCTTCCCAGGGGAGTGTCTCGCTTGTGTTTCAGGCATCACTGGGGTATGAAAAATACACTCCTGCAGCTAGCTCAGTGTCTGCCCAAAGGCTGCCCAGTTTTGTGCTTGAAACCTAGGGCCCTGGTGGTGTAGGCACCCATGGGAATCTCCTGGTCTGTGGGTTGTGAAGACCTTGGGAAAAGCATAGTACCTGGGCCAGAGTGCACCATTCCTCAAGGCACAGTCACTCACGGCTTCCCTTGGGTAGGGGAGGGAGTTCCGTGACCCCTTGCGCTTCCCAGGTGAGGCGATGCCACACACTGCTTCTGCCTGCCCTTCGTGGGCTGCACCCACTGTCTAACCAGTCCCATTGAGATGAGCCAGGTATCTCAGTTGGAAATGCAGAAATCACCCACCTTCTGCGCTGATCTCACTGGGAGCTGCAGACTAGAGTTGTTCCTATTTGACCATTTGGCCAGCCATCCCACAATAAGAGGATTTATGATTAATATTAAATGAAACTTTAAAAAGCCCTTTGGTAAAAGAAAGATTTCCCAAAATAACATTGTGTTTATTGCCTCTACAAATAAATATTTTAAATTTAATTTTGGCCTGATTGACTTTAAAAACGATGCAATAAAAAAGAAGTGAATTTAAGTAAAAATCTTAGCTTTTTTCTATAAATTTAATTCGTTTGACTAATTTTTATTGGATGCTGCCAAATGTAATCCAATATGAGCAGAGAAGTTACATGTACCTATAGCAAAAATGAGTAACTGCTAATGAAAACATGTTTTATTTAATAACTTGAACAATTTTTTGAGCAAGGAATCTTTGGACAGAATATACAAATTATACTCCTGTAATTATTTTCTAAAATGTTAAAAGCAGAAAAGTATAATTATGGCATTCTACCAAGTGAAAAATTTCTTTAACCTCATGTCTGCCCATATGTAATACAATGAGATTTGATATTCAAAATGATAACTCTGAAGAATTTCAAAACCTTAAAAGACCATATGAATCAACTTGTTAAACTTCATTTTCATCATGTTGGTAAATTTCATTTTATTCTCTTCAGTTGAAAATTCGCCATCTACTTTGAAATAAATATAAATGCTTTAGGCAAAATCTCTATTAATATGAGTGTATTAGACCCTTCTCACATGGCTATAAATAAATACCTTAGACTGGGTAATTTATTAAAAAAAAAGAGAGAGAGAGAAATTTAATTGGATCATGGTTCTGCAGGCTGTACAGGAAACATGGCTGGGGAGGCCTCAGGAAACTAACAATCCTGACAGAAGATGAAGGGGAAGCAGGCATGTCTTACTTAGATGACCAGAGCAGGAGGAAGAGAGAGAAGGGGGAGGTGCTACATACTTCTTTTGTTTTTTTTTTGAGATGGAGTCTCACTCTGTCACCCAGGCTGGAGTGCAGTAGCGTAATCTCAGCTCACTGAAACTTCTGCCTCCCGGGTTCAAGTGATTCTTCTGCCTCAACCTCCCATGTTGCTTGGATTACAGGTGTCCACCACCACACCAGGCTAATTTTTGTATTTTTAGTAGAGATGGGGTTTCACCATGTTGGCCAGGTTGGTCTTGAACTCCTGACCTCAAGTGATCTGCCTGCCTCGGCCTCCCAAAGTGCTGGGATAACAGGTGTGAGCCACCGCACCCAGCCCTGCTACACACTTTTAAATAGCCAGATCTCACAATAATTCACTCACTCACTATCACGAGAACAGCACCAAAGGGATGGTGATAACCATGGGGGAACTCCGCCCCCATGATCCAATCACCTCCCATCAGGCTGCACCTTCCAACATTGGGGATTATATTTCAACATGACATTTGGGTGGGGACAGTGGTCCAAACCATATCAATGAGTAAAATAAAGAATTTGTTCATATTACACTGATTCTATCAAACTCTTACCACTTGCTTGTGGGTTGATAATAATTTATTCTTGCTTCCACTCAAATGGTCCATTGTAAGTGATCAAATTACCTGTGAAGAGTAAACTGGTACCTTACATCTAGGTATTATGTAAATGACAGATAGGGGAAGGAGAGTGAGGCATTCAGTAAATTGGACAGAAATTGGAACTTTGAAGAAATGGACCAGATAATTAATACTGTAGTTAGCGTGCATTTAACTGCAAACATTAGTTATAATTTGAGTGGATATGTTGTCCTAGGTCATTGGCTTTCTGGTTAATGCTGAAAATCTGTGGTCTGGAGTTTATTTTGGTTTACAGATAGGTTTTTGCCAATCCCTTAACCTGAAGAAAGTAAACTTCTCCAAAAAGTTGGAAAATTGATTTACTCAGAACTTAAAGGGGCTAAAAATAGGTTTTAAGGGAATACTAATTCTTATGAAAATAAATAAAAGAAAAATGGCAGAAAAATGTTGATTTTGTTTAGCAGTCCAAGATATTTCTGTATGGCTAATTTAGAAAAGACCATGACCCTACATCTGTAAAACAAAATCAAAAACTGTAGCACATATAAATAAAAGAAATAACTCAGTTTCAGCAGTACAACTTAATGGATACCCATTCTATACAATTCTAAAGCTCCTAAGTTTGGGGAAACTGAGTCATGGGGGAGGTAATAGGAAATGCCATATGTGGAAATGACAGAATTAATGAAACAGGAGCTCTGTGAAGGCTTAGCCTCACAGCCTGGTAGCAGAGGGGAGGCGTTCTCAACTTTGGAAGCTCATGGAATCTATGTTGGTTTACAAGGGGAAGAAGTCAGAAATGAACCCAATGTTACAACTGCTGTGAGTTAAAGAGACACTTCATGTCTTGAGAAAGGGTGACCATGTAAGTAATAAGAAGGACGTCAACAGCTCATGTCTATATCAATCCGGGCACTATCACCAACTTCTATTTCCCCAAAATGTGTTTAATTATAAAATACTCCCTTTAATATCATTTTATAAAGAACAGCTATACTTCATAATTTTGTTTCCAAATATTGTATGCACTTTCTAGTAGGCTTGTAAGAAAATTTTACTTGGGGGCAGAGTTCTATTAAAATCAAGATAGTTCTTGCTGTTAACAAAGGTCTCCTTTGGGAACAGACCTCTTGGTAAATGGTGATATGGTTTGGTGATATGTCCCCACCCAAATCTCATCTCGAATTGTAATCCCCAGGTGTTGAGGGAGAGACCCAGTGGAGGTGATTGGATGACGGGAGTGGTTTTACCCATGCTGTTCTCATGATAGTGAATGAGTTCTAAAGAGATTTAATGGTTTCATAAGGGTCTCTTCCCACTTCACTCTCTTTCTTTCCTGCCACCTTGTGAAGAAGTCGCTTGCTTCCCTTTGCCTTCTGCCATGATTGTAAATTTCCTGAGGCCTTCCCTGCCATGTAGCACTGTGAGTAAATTTGTTCATAAATTACCAATCTCAGGTATTCTTTATAGCCGTGTGAAAGTGGATTAATACAGATGGATTTTGGGAAAAGTTGTTTTTATGTAATTTGCTGACATATTTTGGCTCTAGAGTGTGTGATTGAGTTGAGATTAAAATTGTATTATTTCCCTATGTCTATGCGTATTTATCTTATTTCCTCCAATACTCTGTCTATAGTATTTTTTAGAAAAAGAAAGTCATATAATTTTCTAAGCTGAGACTTACATTTGAATACTAGTTTTCTTCTAATGAAACAGAGATTGATGTCTATTACATCGATATTCACTTCTCAAGATCATTTGGCTCTTTCTTCCTCCTGTCACTTTTTACTTCCATGGAGGCAGGTATCCTTGAGACTCCTTAAGGTGGGCTAGCAGGAAAGGAAATGTAGCAAACAGGGGACTATTTTGCAAGTTATTTTTAATTTCTGATAAAAAGGGTGATTAGTGGAGGATGGAAATTACCTTCCAATCTTTGAAGACTAGGTATTTTGTGGGAGCTGCTAACCACAATCCTTCCTGTCTCCAAATAGATTCTGGGACATTAATTTTTTTGAAAATGAAACAGATCATTAGTGTTTCATTATAATGTTTCACTTATTTATCTGTTCCAGCTAATACCATGCAATGTCTAATAAAAAAAAATTTCATCCTTGAGCTTCTATTCTTTTGTTTTGCTCTCAGTGTAATTTCTTTTCTGTATATTTGGCAGAATTCAGTAAGAACTCAGTCAACTGCCCTGGAGAGGGCTCAGTCTTGATATGTCTGCACAGATTCATTCTGAACATATATATGTTTGTATATATATGAATGTAAATGATAGAATGATGAAATGATTATAGAGTAGAAAACTTCAGGACAAATTCAGGGAACAGGTAAATGAAGTTATATTGCAAAACTTGCAAAAAATACCAGTAATGAACTGTTGTTAAGATCATAGTGTAGCTATTTGTTGGTGGTGACATTTTTATCTTGTGTTGTATTGAATTTCCATTTTACTGAAGCTCCATTTTCTCATAAGCTTCTTTGACTTGTTTTATCTATTCTACTTTGCTTCTGAGTAAATTTTGCAATTTTATAAGTTAAAAAATCCTTGCATTTTACATTATTATTGTAGATTTTTAAAAATTATATAATAATGAATGCTTGCATTTCATTTTCTTCCACTTGTATTGCTACCAACTATAAGTCATATGCAATGTTATTTATATTTATATTAAAATGTATGTTACTCCAGAGAAAGCATACTCTTGTATTCTTACATTGAGGTAGCAAAACACTAAATATATATTTTCATGTGAAAGAACAAAAATGGATTATTGATAAGGATGTAGTATAGATAGATAAACTTGAATACATATACATAAATACACATGTATTTAAGAAAGAGTGGTTCTGTATCTAGGGTAATATTTGCTTTGATAACTTTATTGGAAATGCTTTTTTAAATGCCTTGTTTAGAACCAGCTTGTGTTTCTTCTATCAGTGACCACATAGGGATATTATGGAGTGTTATATCAAATTTATATCCTACTCCACAGCTCCTGAAGAGTTAAAAACTCTAACAAGCTAAAGTAGGCTGACCTGGGGAAGAACTTGAAACCAAGTTTAACAATAGATTTTATATTATCAGCCTTTGGTAGGTCTACATTTTGTAACATACTCAAATAATAAAAATGGTAAAGGTAACAATAGTGCATGTAATATTTGTGTGGGTGTGTGGTACAATATTAAAAAAAATGTGTAAAGCATTTAATGATTTAATGCCATTTTTGGCCCATGATAGGCACTTAAGAAATGGTGGTAATAGTGATTTGTTATGATTATTATTCACAGATGGTGATAGATCTTAATTAACATACAACTAATAGTTAAAATAATTTGTAACAAGAAAATATCGATAACTAATATATAAGTAGGATAAATATAATAGATATGAAAAAATGGGATTGATTTGTTTAATATAGACTGCAACATACATTTCATTCTCACTGTACTTGTGATATAGGTAAAACTCAAGAGAAAGTTATGACTATCCATACAGCAAATCATCAGTAATAAGGTGAAAATACAAGAAAACACAAAGGGTTAATTTTTTGACTTTAAAAATCTATTGCAGTAGCTTAAATAATGTAAATACTTTAGCTAGTAAAATAAACGTAATAGAATTTTTCCTTCACTAATTTCAGGATATTTTCATTGGAAAGAATATCACATGTCTAATCTAAATAATGGCCATGTCTACATAGAGCCAACTACCTTTAGAATAGGAGAAAGCCATCTTCCAGGTCTTTGTTGTACATGAATAATGTAAGGTGTCTGGATACTTGAAAGAGATAAATACAATATTTGTATGATGGAAAACATTGTTCTCTTTACCAAGATGTATTTGGACATTTTAGAGTTTACCTATATTATCTATGATATAATGTGTATCATGTCAAAAATATCCATTGTTGTTGGTGTGATCCAGAGTTTGTTTGCCTGGTATGGCAGTCACTAAAGTATTTGAGATATATGCATGCCCAAACCTTCAACTATGTCAGCAGAATGGACTTCTAATTTTACTCTGGCAGGCTAACTCACTGTCAACCCATGGCTAAAAGAGTCACAAGGATTTGTAGAGAAGGATAGCATTGATGGGATGCCATAGAAATTCATGCTGCACCTGTTCTCAAAAATAGAGCTTCCTGTCTTTCCAGCTTTCAATATAGCACCTTCCACTGATACTAAATTTGTTGATTATTAAAAAAAGGAAGAACTATACAAACAGACAGGGAAATAAGGTGCCTGTAACACCCCCTGTTGAAAGCTGCATTACTTATTCCGCTTGAATGAATTTATATTGGATAAATCTAGTACGAAGTGAAAACCCTATTTCCAGCTGAGACTTAAAGATGTTTTACTAAAACATGCTTAAGCAAATGCATTTTGATGCCTCACAAGGAGGATACACACAGAGCTGTCTTTGGGGAAGTTCAATAAAGTGTGTATCGGCAGCTAAAGAAAGATGTTCTCTATCTGATTTGCACTCATAGATTTGCATCAACTTAATTTAAAATTCCTTGTATGCACAGGAGAAATGGTTAAATATGACTTTCGGATGATACCTAACAAGGGAAAGTAACTTTTCCATTTCCGTTCAGTAGTTAGTCATGCTGCTGAAACCCCGAATGCTCACCCAGAAGAGTTCCTTTGCAGTGAAAGCCTAAGTGAGATTGCACCTTCAACTGGCATCACTCCACCTTACAGGATCCTGAAAGCTTTCAAATCCACCTCAAGCCCAGGCAGTGTCAAAGAAGGAGAGGAATTGAAGAAGCAAAAATAAATATTAAAGTACATAAGAATTAAATATTACCTTTTTAAATAGCAATTATGCAGTTGAAAACAAGATCATCACACCTGTACAAGAAAAGGCATGCAAGCCCAAAACATCTGCTTGGATCCACCTGCCAGGCACCTGTTTTGCTGTTTCAATGCCATTTGATTGCTGGAGATGTAGAGGCTCTTGTGAGGTAATGAGTGATTTTACATTATGCATGATTGAAAACAGGTGTTCTAATGCTGCACAATTCTATGCATGAATAATTCAGTTTGTTTAGAGCAAGATCTTTAAAAGAAGTACTGCATGGGCTTTATTATTTCTATAAACACGAAGGTTATTTTTTTTAAAGTATGACGATTGTTCCTTTGCAGCCAGCTTGTTTATGGCAATTTTTGTGTAATTTTATGGATGAGGAATAATATCCTGAAAGGTAAAATTGATCACACTTAAAATATGTAAGAAGTAAAATTGAAAGGTCTGTTAGCAAGAGGAAAACAGTATTAAAATTCAATGTTCTAAGTAAAAATGTCTGATTATTTCCTTCCTGCTTTGCCTGCTTTCTCATGGTAACAAAACATTCGTCTGAGGGCTATAATTAGGGAGGGGTGAACTATCTGGGAAAATAGAGAAATTGTTTTGTATCTCAGCCCTAACACTAAGCAGAGCCCAGACTTCCTTAAAGATAGAACTGATATTAGTCAGCAGCCTTTCTCTCCTTAGTTATCATGAGTTCACACCCTCTTGTAATCCACTATCAGGACATCACTGATGGAGACAATCCCTTTTGCTCTGATTCCCACTTAACGTTTTGTCTACCCTGGCTTCATAGGGTCAGAAGTGTTATTATCAGAGTGTTGTGTTTCAAATAACATGTAATGTCCATAAATTCTCAATGTTAATAGCTAGAACCTCACTTAAAAGACAAAAGGAGTTATCTTAGAGACCAAAGACACTATTGTCTTGAACCACATATGATTAAATATTTAAAATGTCTAAGGTGTGAGAGATAGAAAACTTATGTAGTTCAATTAATACTGTTTAAGTAATAGAAGACAAAGGAGAGCTATAGTCATGTTGCTGTTACTAGTTTATATTTGTTGAGTGTTTCATACCACATAAACCATAGTATGAGAGAGTTATTGACACATACTAATCCCTTCCTAAAATATACCAACTCAGCAAGTAGTCAGCTCTGAGCTTTGAGGTTTGGCTACCTTCCCTCACTTTAAGAGTTATGGGTTCCTTCACAGGGGATCTATTATTGAAAAGCTTTCCAGTTAGAAGTAAATTGTAAGACAGGTCCTTCATGTGGGGAGCAACACTGGGAAAGTCACAAAGAAAAATAGAAGATTTGGTAAGAAGGAGAGCGCTTTTATTGCTATTGACACAGTGAATTGACCTTATTCCCTCCCAAGGGGATAAGGTTGGAGAGAAGGTCTTTACAAGTCTTCGCCAAATCCAAGCATTGGCCTCATTAACTCAGAGAATCAATGCCAGGAAGGGATTCAGGAATCTGGACTAAGGGACATAAGTAACCAGAAGATAGACATGTTGGTCTGGCAATCCTGACCTAGCATAAAATGTTCACTTTTTCTCAAAGTTAAGATTTCAAAGCTTTCTTTCTGAATTTGCTAAACATTAATATAAAATATTTTTAAAATATACATCTCAATGCTGATGGATACCTGAAGTATTAAGTTGAATCATACAAAATTGAAAATCATCCTACAAATTTTTGTTAGTCAATGATGGTTAAATATTAGATCTTTCATATGGTTCAGTCTCTCTCTGCTAAGAGTTCCTTAATTTGAGGAATCATGTTTTCTTGAATACTATAAACCATACCCTTTCATTGCATGAAATACATAACTAGTAAGAAAAGCAATGCTCTCTGATAGAATTAAATGCAGTGACAGAGTGAAGCACATGTTCAGCAACCACTTATAAAGAGAAGGCTTAGCAACCATGCTAGAGTTTGGAAAATACTTCACCTCATATTAGGAGGTGGAATTAATTACTATCCCCGTGAATCTAACCTGTTCTTAATGAATTGTGTCACCAATAGATTGAAGCAGAGCTTTGCAACTTCTGAGTGGGTCTCTCATAAGGATCCTGTTAGGACCCTTTCGCTAAGAACTCAGCCATCATGATGTAGGAATCTACATGGTGAGATTGTGTATAGGATAGGCACCCTGGTCAACAGCCTCATCTGTGCTCTCAGCTAATTGCCAACATCAGCTTTCAGTCCTATGAGGGAGCCAATTCAGATGTCCCTCCCAGTCTTTGAATGACTCCAGTCCCACCCACCTTCTGAGTGCCAATGCTTGGTTGGTTAAATATGGCTGCAAATACTTTGACACTCTTCCCATTGAGAGATGGGGTCTATTTTCCCTCTTGGTGAATTTTGTATGGGTTTTGACTTTTTGGACCATAGAATATGGCAAAAGTGATGCTGTGCTAGCTGTAGGTGTACTTTCAAAGGACTGTCAGTTTCTGTTCCTTTTGTTTATAAATAGTTGTTCTTAAAGGTAAACTTCCATGTAAGAAGTGAGAACATCTTAAATTCACTGTGCTGTAAGGAGCCCATCCACTCTAAGATGCTCTAAAGCAGGGGTGTCCAATCTTTTGCTTTTCTGGACCACAATGGAAGAATTGTCTTGGGGCACAAGTAAAATACACTAACAGTAATGATAGCTTATGGGCTAAAATAAAAATCACACAAAAACGCATGTTTTAAAAAAGTTTATGAATTTGTGTTGGGCCACATTCAAAGCCATCCTGGGACCCATGTGGCCCATGGGCTATGGGTTGGACAAGCTTGCTCTAGATAATGAAACACAAAGTGAAGTGTGGGTAAGGGAAATGTGAAAGGGAGGGACATGAAATTTGGGAGAGGCCAGGGGCAGAATGATATGGTTAGGCTTTGTGTTCCCACCCAAACCTCATCTTGAACTGTAATCCCCATAATCCCCATAATCTCTACATGTCAAAGGAGAGAGCAGGTAGAGGTAATTTATTCATGGGGATGGTTCCCCCATGCTGTTCTTATGATAGTGAGTGAGTTCTCACAAGATCGGATGGTTTTATATAGGGCTCTTCCCCCTTCACTTAGCACTCCTCCTTCCTGCTGCCTTGTGAAGAAAGTACCTTGCCTTCTCTTCACTTTTAGTCATGATTGTAAGTTTCCTGAGGCCTTCCTTAGCTATGCTGAACTGTGAGTCAATTAAAGATATTTCCTTTATAAATTACCCCATCTCAGGCAGTTCTTTTAAGCAATTATTTATGTAAACAGACTAATACAGTAAAGAAGCCATCTTGGAAGTAGATTCTCCAGCCCCTGCAGCTCCAGTTGATGCCATGTGGATCAGAGATGATCCATTCAATCAAGCCCTTTTGAGTTCCTGACTCATCAATCTATGAGTAAAATAAAATGGTTGTCTGAGATCAATAAGTTTTATGGACATTTGTCATGAAGCAATAGATAGAAGAAACAGAATAAAACTTTAAGATATAATCAAGCTTCAGTTACTAAATATGTTTGCGGATTTGAAAAATTAGTTAACATTTCAGCCTTAATTTTATCATCTCAAAAATGGAATAGTGATCTCATCCATATCTAAGGGTTGTTGGGAAAATGAAAACATGTTGATATGGTTTGGTTCTATGTCCCCACCCAAATCTCACCTTGAATTGTACTCTCATAATTCCCATGTGTTGTGGGAGGGACCCGGTGGGAGATAATTGAATCATGGGAGCAGTTTATCCCATAGTGTTCTAGTGGTAGTGAATAAGTCCCATGAGATCTTATAGTTTATTGAGGGGAAACCCATTTCACTTGGCTTTCATTCTCTGTCTTTGCTTCCTGTCATCCATGTAAGACTTGACTTTCTCCTCCTTGCCTTCTGCCATGATTGTGAGGCTTCCCCAGCCACATGGAATTATAAGTCCAGTTAAAACTCTTTATTTTGTAAACTTCCCAGTCTTGGGTATATCTTTTTTTTTTTTTTTTTTTTTTTTTTTTTTTTTTTAACGACAGAGTCTCACTCTGTCGCCCAGGCTAGAGTGCAGTGGCGCGATCTCGGCTCACTGCAAGCTCCGCCTTCTGGGTTCATGCCATTCTCCTGCCTCAGCCTCCTGAGTAGCTGGGACTACAGGGGCCCGCCACCATGCCTGGCTAACTTTTTGTATTTTTAGTAGAGAGGGGTTTCACCATATTAGCCAGGATGGTCTCGATCTCCTGCCCTTGTGATCCACCCGCCTCGGCCTCCCAAAGTGCTAGGATTACAGGCGTGAGCCACCTCATCCAGCCTACTTAATCCCTTTTGCCTTTATTTTTCTTTATCTAGTACCAACTCACTGAGCTTTTATGAGGATGAACCGAATTAATATCTGCAAAGTGCTTAGAATACAACCTGGCACACAGCAAATACATGTAAGTGTTTGCAAAATAAATATTCTAGTTATAACTTTTAATATAAATATTAATTTGTTTTGAAGATGACAAAATTTGAGTCTAAACAAGTTAAATGTCTTACAGACTCTTCAGAGCTAGGTCACAATAGGACAACATTTAGAAGAGAAAAGAAAAATACAAAAATTATTCAAATCATATGGATATAATAAAAATGAAGTTTTATATGAGGGGTTAAGGATTACATATAAGTTTTTAAGGTCATTAAAATTGCCATCCTACTTTGGAATAGATTAGTATATAAAAAGATAAGATTCAGAAAATTTAGAGTTGTACAAAGTTACGGTTATTTGAAATAATGATTCAAATTAGGTTGGATCCTCGATATTGGCACAAATGGTACTGTTTCTGGAATTTCAAACCAAATCAAACTACCTGACAATTATTTCCAAGTTTAGAAAACTTAAATGAAGTAAACAAAATGGAAAGCTGCAAATAAATATTATTGAATTAAATTATATTAGAAGAGGTTTTATAGTACTGTGTGAGGCACTGCAAATAGTTAAGAAGAAGTTAAGCAAAATGCTGGCTTCTGAAATCTCAGGGTTCAGTTAAGGAATGAAGATCTGAATAATTTAATCACCGAAGGATAGGAGAGGCTGACCAGTCCAAGTGAGAAGTGGAATAATTGTCTGGAGAAAACAAATGGAAAGAAAAGAGTGTCCAGTAGTCATACACAGAGGGAAGGGGTGACAAATAAACAAGCGCATTTGTTTGCAGATTAATTTGAAAAACAAATGTGAGTACAGAGGTATAAAATTACTATTGTCCACCTATGAGAAATACCTGCGCATCTGGTAAGACTTGGTCTTGCCCTCCAGGTCGGTCTTACTAACTGCTTCTGACCTAATGGCTTCACCTACTCTCCTCCCATTAGTTGCTTTCCTTAAAATCTATCTCAGAGTATACTTTTTTGATTTGCTCATACATTGCAGACAGGAAAAACTAACAAAACAATAACACTTAGATGTCAACTAGGCATGAATGTCAAGTCATAAATTTAGGTACAAAGGACTTTAATTTTATATTCATATAACTGAATTTATTTTATCTTTTGAGCTTCCTTTTGCCATGTATTGAAAATTAAATTGCTGCTGAATGGTCACTCATCCCTAAACTCAGTCCTTGAGAAAGGAGGACCTAGTGTTAAAACTATATGGGCAAGAGATAGGTGGAGGTCGGGCAGGGCAAAAGGAATCTGGTCCAGGTTGACAGCATTCGTCCACACTGACACCTGTTGAGACTTAGATCACACCACCTGATCTCTACTTCTGAATATGTGCACATCGCCACTATTTTTTCTTTATTGCAAACTCATGGTCTCTCCAGGTCAGCTCTCTCATAGGAAATATTGTTCTTTCCTCAGGCAGCAAGACAAGTTTACCTGCTTCCACCCTAACATTCTTGGAAATGTGCTGCAACTAGTCTTTTTATCTAGATGATCCATGATACGATTTGTATGCTGCTACCCTTTCCAGTGCTGAATAGTGAGAAACTCCATATCTTGCCCTGGACTTTATCTGGATTTGGGGGTACATTTCCTTTTTCTCTTAGACACCCCACCCTATCCAAGGTTTCTGTCATCCTTGCTTTTTTCCCTGCCCTTCCCATCAACCTGTGGAATGATTTTGTATTATCTGTGGAGACCTTCTCTTATTTATGAGGAATTAATCTAAGCCTTTTCTTTTGTGTCACAAGTAATTTAGTGCTTAGAAACACAATAATCTGAGAGTTCTTGCAATTCCAAAGCCCTTTTAAAGCTCAAGATATTTTCTGCTTCCGATTTATCAACCTTTCTTGAGACAACTGATGGATCATGGCCCAGAAGATAAAAGAAAGGTCATTGAATAACAGGAGATAACAGGGAAAATTTATATCAGTTAATATTAATGCTTATCCAGCTTTTTATAAATCAGCAAATCATATTTCTGTACCTGGTTATAGCCAACTTCAAAAATTTCTCCTATGTGTTTCCTCATAAGTTTAAGTCTCTGAAGACAAATCTTTTTTTAGGCCTTTGTGCATTCAACTCACATGGCTTCTTCTGCCTCAATCTGCCACTTTCTTCCTCTTTCCTGGGTAATTCCACATTGTAGTAGATCATCTTGGGAAAGAGGGTGGTTTCTGGGTTTAGACCTTGTTGGTTCAGCTCTACCACTTACTCCATGGGAGGTATCGGGCAAATTATTTAAACTCACTCTGCCCCTACTTTCATCATCTGCAAAATGGGAATAGTCAGAGTCCATTCCTCAAGGGTTTATCATGAGGATTAAATAAAATAATATGGATAAAGTACTTAAATGGTGTCTGGTGTGTAGAAAGCACTCAGTAAGCATTATCTATTTTCACTCACCTTTAAAGGCTCACTCAATTCTGCTGTTTCCAGATAATAGCCTTTCTTTCCTTTTTTCTTTTTTTTTTGTTGTTGTTGTTTTGTTTTTTTGAGATGGAGTCTCGCTCTGTCGCCCAGGCTGGAGTGCAGTGGTACAATCTTGGCTCATCGCAACCTCTGCCTCTCAAGTTCAAATGATTCTCCTACCTCGGCCTCCCGAGTAGCTGGGATTACAGGCATGTGCCCCCATGCCAAGCTAATTTTTTTGTATTTTTAGTAGAGACAGGTTTTCACCATGTTGGTCAGGCTGGTCTCAAACTCCTGACCTCAGGTAATCTGCCTGCCTTGGCCTCCCATAGTGCTGGTATTACAGGCGTGAGCCACTGCCTGGCCCAGATAGCCTTTCTAAATAACCTTGGCTTTGGGCTCAGGGTCTGTATTCTCAGGTCCCACAGCTTCCCACGCTTACCCCAATCCTCTACCCCCATTCTGCTGCCCCAGGTGGTCATCAGAGTCAGAGGCCAAAAGTATCTGTGAGGGTGGAGAAAGAAGGGGGCAAAGACACTGACTGGAATGGCTTAGAGTGCATTTTCTCCAGGGAGAGCAGGGTTTTACACTTGGGGAGTAATGTCTTGCTAATATATTTCTCGCAGCTTTTAGTGTTTTCTTTTCCAACCCTCTGTAATATTATAAACCCCTCTTCTGCACCCAAGAGGTGTGGTGGGGGAGAAAATATGGAAGGAAGAAGAAAATATTTGTACCAAAATATTGGTAAAACTAGTATTCCTACCCCTACTTTTTCAAATAAAGAAAAGAAGGTTAATGGAGACAGAGTGACATACGCAAGGTCATAGGTCACATGGTGTATAGTTAAATCATGACTCAGATCAACTCCTAAGACTTCTATCATCTTGGTGTTTAGAAAAGGTAATTATATTTCTTATGAGAGTGAGCCATTTCTGAGGAATACATTATAAGTGATATCTGGACACCAAATACAGCAAAGATATTGGCTCTAGAAAGTCAACTCTGGTTTCTCATTGCTCTGCAGGACCCGCCTGGCTTGTTTGGGTTGTAATCCCAGTTTCTTAAAGCCTTACTATTAAACTTATTGACTTGACTCTTGTTCCAGTGTCTCAAGTTTCTTGCCACAGATCACAAATACAGTTTTGTTTTTTTTTTTTTTTTAAGCAAATCCTTCATTTTCTTTGTCTGGACAGAGTTCCAGGGCCTGGATATCATCTAGTCTTTGGGTAACATCTTCCAGATTTGTTTTAAGCTGATTACATGTTGCTGAACAATCAGATTTTCTGCCCTAAGCAGCACAAAACCAAGTGATGACAGTCCTGGCTCCTGGCCACCGGCAATGTGATGAGGCAGCATCGGTCTTTGATAGCCATGATTTGATCTTGGGTGTTCTCAAATGGCTACACACCCTGAAAAAATGGGAAGGGAGTCTCACGGTGTGACTAACAGAGATGAGGAAGCTTCTCTGTGTCAAGGCCTGTTCCGCCCTCTTTTTCATACTCAGTCTCCCTTTTCGCATTCTTCATGCACAAGCCCTTACATTTTAATACACATTCATATTTCTAATTGAGGCACATTAGGTGTTTTAGAGAGACTATTTTAAGAAGTGAAATGGCAGCAAAGGGCATATTCTGTTTGGAAGTGTAGGCGGAACTTGGCATATCTGTTTAAGAATCAATCCTAATGTGAAAAATCTTGAGTTGGACTTTTGTTTTTCTGTTTAAATGTCTCATTCAAGTTTTTCTGTCAGTTATGTTGCTAGCCTCTCATCTCCTGAGCTGCAGTTACTGATACCCTGGATCCCAGATGCTAATGCATGATGGTGATTCCTGTAATTTGGTTTTGTCTTTTGACCTGCCACAACAGAGGATATCTGTTGAGGCAGAAATATGTACCTAGGACACACGATCTGATTTATTTAGCGTCTCTGTACCTGAATGCTGCAAGCAGAATTCCGGGAATGTCACAATGGCTTTGACCTTTATAGAACAGAGCACTACAAACTTGAAGAAAACACAGGGGATGAGAAAATGACAATTAAGCAAAGAGGTCACTTAGCTTTTCTAAATGCTTACCAGGAGTAGAGTTCTGGGCTAGAAAATGCAAAGGATACCAAATACAAAACAAAGCCCCTGACTTTCACAATTTTGATCAACTTGAGGAAAGTGGCATAATGAATATTAACTGGCAATACTGAGTGGGACATTCAAAGTATCCACTTAGATCTAGAGGAAACCAGTTCTTTGGAAGAGTAGAAAAGAAGATGAGCATCATTGTGGCTTGAAGTGATCAGGGGATGGTTAAAATTTTTGGAACCTAAACTGGTCTACGAAGAGATAGTAGAAACCATATTTCAGAATCAGGAAGATGGGCATTCCAGGTAGGAGAGAGATTTAAGCAAGATTTCCAGCTAGGGAAGATTAAGGCATGAGTGTGGGGAAATTGAAATTAAGTTTGGCTAAAGGGCTTACATGGTTGTAAAGCAGGATGGCTGGGCTGGCTACCCAGAAGAAATTCAAGAAACATTTGCGAATCACATAAGAAAAAATTAAAATGATAGGTTGATACCAAATTATGGTACATGGCTTTTTTTCTTTTTCTTTCTTTTTTTTTTTTAATCTAGTTGGTAAAAGGATATAGGTAATAATGTGATTAAGGTCAAAGGTAGACTCTTAATTGAGGCCTCCTAATAATGTAGGCTAAACCTGGATCTTCAGCAAGCATCTACAGAAAATGTGTTAAAATCACAATGGGAACTGAGTAAGACAAGGCAAATGGGTGAGATTAGAGGCATCTGCGTTGTTTGAAAAGAACCCAAGGTGTGTAACATCTAGAACATCTGCCTTTAAATGAACCCTGAAACTCAGCCCTCTGGGAGTGGCACCTTTTTCCAGTTTAGCTAGTGAGTATGCCCGTGTTTTGACTGCAAGAGTCAGTGGGGGCACCCTGCATTCTTCTGGCCTGCTTATTTGATGTGTTCTCCATCAGATTATAAACTCTCCAGGGTAGGAACTGGCCTCTTTAACATTCATTGCTTACTTGGTATCGATTGCCTGAACTCATTGATGAAAACATCTGAAGTGTTTTTTTAATTCAAAATTTCATCAACTTAATAAAAAGATGAACTGAAATGAATTGAATGTATACAATGAATATAGATAGATTACATATAACATAAATGTAGCTATAAACAACTGTAATTGGATGATTGACAGTTGTCACCAATTCCTCTTCAGTATAATTAAGAGAATGGTACCTAGTTTGGGTAGATCTGAATTCCTCCACTTAGTGCGTTTTTCAGGGATTGCTGATTCTCAGTTTCTGGTTCAGGAAGTGGTTACTCCCCAACGTTCGCAAATTTTCCAGAGATTTGTAATTGCACAAAGTTTATTTTTACAACCATCCTGAAATTCCAGGGCATTTTGTTCTCTCCAATGCTCTATAATGAGATTTTTATTAATCCCTTATTGCCTGGGAAATGACAACTTTGTTCCTCCAGAACTACAGCCTCCACCTGGAATCTGTGTAATTATATCATTCCTGTTTTTGCTGTAGTACTAGGAAGGATTAGTTATATCTTGATCCTTTTCGTGACAAAACAATTTCCTGATTGGAGTTTTAAAAATGAAATTTAACCTACTTTGGCAATTGTCTAAGTGTGCTATAAAAAGCATGTAAAAAATTGAATGAGTGAAACAAAAAAAAAACCCTGCAAATATATTTTTATATTTAAGATGTGTCCATTATTTTGAAAAAATGATACATATTATAATAAATTCAGAAAACGAAGAATAGGAAAAGAAAAGCATACCTAAAATCAATATCCAGAAGTGGCCATTATTAGATAAAAAGGCACATTTGTTCCACAGAAATATAACTAGGTTAAATTAGAAACAAAATTTAAAAGAAGGAAGAATATTACAAACATGAAAGTTTATATGTATATATCCACAAAAGGGCAAATGTAATTTTACTTATGTTTAAAAAAAGAAAAAAAACTTGAAATAATGTTAAAGAAATTACTGACATCCAAATACATTTTAAATAACTTCTAGACATGGTTACTAAAACAATTTCTCTCAGTTCAAGAAAAAAGATTATTACAAAAGTTAAAAGGCTAAGGTCAATATGTTTTAGCTATACTATTAAATGAAGAAAATGAAGAGACATTTTTCCATCTATGTTTTCTGAGTCTTAATATTTTAAAATAATAAAGAATTATATGATGTCAAGATTTTTAACAAGTTCATAATAAAATTCTCATAGTTATTTAAAACTAAGTTTATATTTAAACTTATTAAGTACTTACTCCTTGTTCTTTTACCATGGTCTCTGTACTTGAGTTATTTATTTGGAGTTACCTCTTGGTTTGCTAGAACCAAGAAGAGTTCACAGATTCTGTATTTCCTAAGCATTTTCATGTTTAAAAATGTCTGTTCTTTCATGTTATATTTAAACAGTATTGGGTCTGCATTTATATTCTCAGGTCTTTTACACATTGTTCCATTGTCTTCTGGCATTGAATTAATGAGAAGGCAAACTCCATGAGGGAAGTGCTTTGTCTGTTTCTTTCTATTGTTATTGTTGCAGCTGACACGAAGACTTGGACATAAGGGGTGCCCTTAAAACATCTGTGGAATGATCAAATGAATATTGTATAAACAATCCTAATACTAGCCTGGATTTACTCCTGTTGAGGTGATGAAAAAAATTCTTTCATAATCCTCAAGATTCAATAGCTTAACCAGGATATGAACTGGCATTGACTTTTCTTTTCTTTTTTTTTTGAGATGGAGTCTCGCTCTGTCACCCAGGCTGGAGTGCGGTGGCGCCATCTTGGCTCACTGCATGCTCAGCCTCCCGGGTTCAGGCCATTCTCCTGCCTCAGCCTCCCAAGTAGCTGGGACTACAGGCGCCTGCCACTGAGCCCGGCTAATTTTTTGTATTTTTAGTAGAGATGGGGTCCCACCATGTTAGCCAGGATGGTCTCAATCTCCTGACCTCATGATCCACCCGTCTTGGCCTCCCAAAGTGCTGGGATTACAGGCATGAGCCACCGCGCCGGCCTACACTGACTTTTCTTACACAGTTATTATTGCAGCATAAATCGGTCTTGCTGTATGTAGACTTATTTTTTTAAATATTCCATTTTTTGTTAAAAATATCTAAGTTAGACCAGTTCCCCTGTAACAATGCATAGAGTAATGGTATCTACTATAACTTTTTGTGTAAAACAAGTTGCACATTACACAGACATATTAAGCATCATATAAGTGTTGATGTTGCCATCATTGTTATTTAATCTGACTTGCCCTCTTGATATGGTTTTATCTCAGATTTTGTATTCATTTTACTATGTAAATGTTACTTACAAAAGATCCATGAGGAGACTATAATTACTTTTCCTATCTTGAACAACTTGTACTTTACTCTGGGGTTATTATCTTGCTATTTCTTTGCTTAGTTATACTTGTACTAATTACTAATTCTCTAAAACCTTACTTAATGGGAGCTTCATTTCAATATTTCCAAATACATCAGTGGTCCACCAATTGTATAATCCTGGGGACCTGCCTCTCTGAGCCTGCTCACCTGGTCTAATCTGGACTGGATGTTGTGTATACCTGTTACACAGCTGTCATGTCAATGTCCCCTTCACCATCTGCCTTTGTTTTCAATGTGCTTCTATTTTTTTCTTAGATTATATGTCTGTGTTTTTCTTGGATCATTCTTATTTGCTCACCTTCTAGTAACTTCCTGAGAAGGGTAAACAGTAGTTTAATAATTTGAGAGTTTATATGTCTGGGAAATATATTAAATTTATTTCCCTGTTGTTCTAATACATTTTCCTTTCTGTTATATGTCTAATTTCTAAAATCTCGAGGTTATGTTTGTCTGCTTGTTCTTTCAATATTTATTTTTAAATAGCATATTGTTCTTGTTTCATGGATGTAATACCTGCTGTGACTGTTCAAATGGCCTTTTTTTCACCTTATGATTCCTTTTTTTCTCTTTGTCCTCAATGTTTTATGCTTGTAAATGTTTTAGTTGTAGCTGTGTATAGTTATATATAATCTATGGGAGTGGTAAGCTACCTATATCCATTTAATGCATTTAATTTGTCTCAGTCCATCTTTTCATTGAGTTGATAAAACTGAGAACATGAGGTGTATCCCTATGTATCGACACAGAAGCTTCTATCAAGTAATTGATCACTTTTTTCAATATGTTCGGATCTTTACCAAATATTGTTATATTGTCTATATGTTCCTGATTTTGTCATCATTAATTTCTTTAATATCTTTATCACTTTTATTTGCAGTCACTAAGATTTAGCCAAGCCTATCTCACTGCCTTAATCTGTTTATGCTGCTATGACAGAATACCACAGACCAGGTAATTTACAATGAACAGGAATTTGTCGGCTCACAGTTCTGGAGGCTACACAGTCCTAGATCTAGAGGCTGGCATCTTGTAAGGGCCATCTTGGTGCCTCATAACATGGTGGAGGGCATAATGTGGCAGGAGGGCAAAGAGAGGACTAGAGAGAATTTAAGCCCACTCCTAAGATAACAGCAATAATCCATTAATGAGTGTGCTGCCCTTATGACCCAAGAACCTCCCATAAGGCCCCACCTTCCACCACCATCACAACTGCAATTAAATTCCAACAAGTTTTGAAGGGGACAGACATTGGAACCATAGCACTCACTGTTGGCAATATGGTTCTTGTACATATTATTTTTTTCATGTGTATTTGTAGTGATGTTCTTTTAGCTAGGCAATCTCCATTTTCAACTAAATCTTTGTTTTAAATCACTTATCTCTGAGCCTTAATGCTATTGCAATTTAAATTCCTGCATAGTGTGAATCGCTTTTAGAAAATATTTTGATCCCTGGGTTACATTTTCTTTCTGACTGTGGTCTTCATCTGCTTTTTGCATGCTTTATTCCTTTTCTGTTTTTCTCTAAAGTGTGTCTGTATGCTTTTCTTTTTATTTTTGCTTGAGCATAATGTGGGGTCTGTATTTAAACTTTTGTTTTGTTCTAGTACAATATGGGTGAATTATCCTGTACTCTTTTTCTACCTTCTTAAAGATAAGTTGTCTTCACCTCAGAAGGGCAAAGTGAGTGTTGTGATCTGCTTTCTCTATAGTCTGAGGTAGTGGGAAGAGCTCTGTGTGTGTGTATGTGTGTGTGTGTGTAGCAGGGTCAGCAGGGAAGTGAAGGGCAAAGGGGAGAGATCCATTGGCAAATTTGCTGTCTTTGCTGGAGACTGTGAATTCTGATGTCTTTTCTGAAATTTTGGCACAGCAATAGTTGGGAGCATGAAAGCAATGATCTAGGACTCTTTATCAATTGAATAATTTTTCTCTCTCTTTTTCTGGCAAATCTAAAATCTATTTTTCTATCATGGAGTCAGATCCACTTGTTAATTTCTTCTCTTTCCTTGCTCCTCAAAGTATTTTGTGGACCAGCAGTACAAGCATTGCATGGGAGCCTCTTAGAAATGCAAAATCTCAGGCCTCACCCCAGAGTCCCTGGATCAGAATCTGCATTAAACTAGGGGACATATTAAGCCACCTGTGGCCCCAGTGTTGATACTTGGGAAGGAACAGTTTTGTGTCCTTCTGCTTGTTTTTCTTCTGAAGACATTGTCTTGTTTACTTTCTCTTTGTATTCAATTCTAATAAGTTCCATTTTATTACCTGAGATATTTAACTACATTTGATTTTGATGATTGGCCCCTACCTCTCTGTTTCTACCACCTCTTCCCAAACTGAGTCTTTATAATGGGGACAGCCCAGGTGGTTCTATCTTTTCCCTTAGACCTTGCCACAGTAGATATAGCCTTCTCCCAATAGCCTTTCTGCAATTCACCCCCCAGGCAATTATTCACTTCCTCAGTATGCTTCTCTCTCAGTCAATGGTTTTCTTTAAATTATGCTCATACACATTATATCTCCAGCAATCTACCTATGTGTATTAGGCTGTTCTTGCATTGCTATAAAGAAATACCTGGCTTTAGGTAATTTATAAAGAAAAAAGGTTTAACTGGTTAATGGTTCTGCTGGCTGTACAGGAAGTGTAGTGCCAACATCGCTGGGCTTCTGGGGAGGACTCCAGGAGTTTTACTCATGTCAGAAGGTGAAAAGGGAACTTGCACATCACATGGCAAAAGCAGGAGGGAGAGAGGAACAAGGCATGTGTATGGCAGGGGTGTGCAGGGGGAGGTGCCACACACTTTTAAACAACCAGATCTCACAAGAACTCAGAGCAAGAGCTCTCTCATCACCAAGGGGATAGCCCAAGCTATTCATGAGGGATCCTCCGCCCCCAGGATCCAACACCTCCCTTCAGGCCCCAACTCTGACTCTGGGGATTACATCTCAACGTGAGATCTGGGTAGGGACAAATACACAAGCTATATCACTAGGTAAAGAGAGGGAAGGCTTAGCACCCTAGAAAAAATACAAACCACACCAGACTCTTCTGTTTCTGTTCTTGGCCACCATGTTGCTGCTTACCTGTTTATATTACTGTTGAGGTAGTCGTGGTGGCTGTGTTTTTCTTCTTTCTTTCTTGGGGCAAGAGGGAGGTATAAAACAGATACTGTATTTCACTTTTACTCTGCTGTCTTTACCTCAGGTCCCATCTAAACTTATTTTAGAATTAATGAGGTTTTTAGGAAAGCACAATCTTATTAAGAAAAATGAATGTTTGTAAATGTTCTCTTTCCAAGGAACGTTGAAATATAAGCAAGAAAAGATGCATTCTGACTTTTAAATCTAAGTGGTTAATCTTACAATACTTTAGCGATTGGATAATGCTTGCATTTTTAAGGCCTGTGTATTATGGCACTTCCTCAGTATGGGTTTTACAGGTAAGCATTTTTTTACTTACATCTGCTTACTAGCTTCCTTTCAGTCTACTCCTCAAAAATGCCCATCAATTTGCCTTTACTGAAGTTGTGTTGTATTCACAGTCTGGTAAGCTGTGAGGAGCATTATTAGTGTGAGCTTCCATGTATTTATTTCAACCTTTACAAGGAAGGGCAAGCCTCCCAGGTTGAGAGATAATTCTGTTTTTATGATCACTCCTGCTGAATTGTGCTGTGTTATGTGTGATCTGACTGGAATGGTGCAAGTCAGTAATTTGCCAATATACTTCTAATAGGAAGTAACAGAGAACATAAGAACAAACAAAAAATTAATGTTATTTATAGAATGAAAGACCCAGGGGCTGTACACTGTAGACCTAGCATATATGCAGAACTGTAGCAATTCAGGATAACATCACATAGTTAGTAGATTTCATGTTTCTAGTCAACCAATTAGGAATACAAGACACATCAAAATATAAATTAAAAAAAGGATGACAGGAAAGGGGGCTCTGTATAAAAGGAAATTAGCAAAGGAAGCCCTGCATTTTTCAAAGTTGATTTGATTGAAATGATCATAGTCTATTTGAGACTGGCAATAAACTTATGCAAAATTTACATTCTGGAATCAGAAAATGTTTTTATACTTGTTACCTCTATGGAATAAGTTCAATTTATCAAACACTGAATTTTAATTCTAAAATTACAAGAGACATTTTGATAACATTGATCCCTCTCAAGAATATTTCAAATGAAAAGTACTTCCTCACTTTGTCAGAATGGATATTTAGGCATTAAATAGTTTGGATCTTTCTTCATGTTATAAACTTCCTAATAAAATAATATCTTTCAAGTAGAAGAAGAGTCATAAATTTTCCTACATATCTAATAAAGCAGGCAAAAAGTGGAGGTACACAGAAGAGGCTTTTAGTAGATTTTATGTAAAGTCAGAAACTGTTTAGATTTAACCTTGACTTTCCCTTTGCACTCATCTTCCAAATTCTTTTCCTCCCTAAACTGAAGAGTAACTATCTATTGACAGACCATATAACTCAATTTTACCAAGCCACTTTTATTAAAAAGATAGGTCATTCAAGAAAAAAAAATATCATGGGAGCAGTGATTTTACTGACCAACCTTCCCCAATTACCAATATTTTAGAGCTGAGCTTACAGTCAAATAACTCTACTTGCTTAGGAAAATGGTGGAGTTGAAGAAAAGGAACTTTCCTCATGTCTCAGAAAAAACAGCACTGCATCACCTAGAAATAAACATAGAAGGTAGTCCCCCCAAAACAGTGGGAAGTATTTTATTCTTTCACATTACAAACATTTACTAAACACCTTTTAGCTATTTTGTATTTGCCTTTATTTTTTTTTTCTCCCATTTTGTGGATTTCTGTTTTCTTTTTTTTTTTTTTTTAAGTAAAAAATAATCTTGCAATGCAAGAGGTAGAAAGAGCCATGGTGATTATCTGATCTAGCCTCTTCACATTACAAACTGACAAATAGACCGAAAGTGGTTAAAAGATGATACCACCTAGGGAGACAGGAGTGGAAAAGGCTTCCTTGAGCCCTGGAGCATTCTAGGAATCAGTCAATCAGAGAAGAAAGTGCTAGAAGATGAAACTGACAAGGAGTAGCCAGTGAGAAGGTAAGAAGACAGTCCGTAGACTATTCAGGTTTCATTTGTTAAATCTGCAAGCTCTGTATGCTGTCTTTTCTCAACCTTGCTGGCTTACTTATAATACTTATCTATGCCTCTAACTTAGGGTTTCTCAATCACAAAGCTATTGACAATTTGGACTCATTCTTTGTTATGAGGGGATTGTTCCATGCACTGCAGGATAGGATATCTAGCAGCATCCCTTGTTTCTACCTACTAGATGCCAGCAACAACTCCCAGTTTTGATAACCAAAAATGTCTCCCAATATTGCCAAATATCCCCTGGGAACAAAATCACCCTGGTTAAGAATCACTGTTCTTAATTTAAATAATCTGTAGAAGTTTCATTTTCTACTAGCTAAAGGGATGTAAGAACCTGGAAATAGGTGTGCAGTCTCATAACAAATTTTACTGAATTATTATGGAAATATTTTATAGCTTATTACTGTTTTTATCAACAATGTGACACATATTTTCTATAGCATAAGCATCTGCATTAGCGAAAAATTCTATCAGCTCATGCAGGATTTTTGGAACACAGCAAAATAAAACTCTCTCTCTTTTTTTTTTTTTTGGCTGCAACTTTTTTTTTTTTTTTTTTTTTTAAAACTTATTTAGTCAGAGAAAGTATTTCTCAGTTACTAGAGGAAGCACCAGCAGGCCCATTTCCTTTCTGGGCATTCACTGGTAATGAGAGTCCTCTGGTAGCTTCAATTTACAAGCCCAGTCTCAATTCGGAAAATTGATCTAGCTTTAAATCTTCTCCCTTTCCCTAGGCCAGGGTCTACTTGGGCAGTAGGAGAAAGCAGAGCAGTGGGAGAGGGCAGGGCAGTATGGACTTCCTTGTAGATTTCATCTGCTGTCCATTTCTTCTCCATACGACATGTGGAAAGTACCAGTATATATCGGCATTAAGACCCTCTGGCTGGCAGACTTATAAAGCCGACTAATCTCACAGGCACTGTTATGAATTCTTCCTGCCCTGATGAGTCCTTCTGACACAATTCCATGGCATGGATGCCACTACTCCTCAGTCCCTGGTTTTGCTGTGGTCAAATCCTCCCAGGCTCTTTTTATTGGAGTCCATTTTGCCCTGTCAGGAAGTCGTCTTCAGCATGAATCCAAAAGGTTGCAGGTGGGCTGTCTTCATTTGGCCCACATCTGGCACATGGGGCTTAGTTACATCCTTTATCCAGTCAACCCTAGAAGTATGAGTCCAATCCCAAACAGCCACCCCTTCTTATGGCTGAAAGCGAATGCAATCACTCAGCAGACATAACGTTCTTTGTTCTTTCCTGGGGTCAAAGCCCTCTTTAATGTCATCAGCAATGGGCCAGACATCAGTGTCTGGGTCTTCCAAAGGAATAATCTTCATTTAAATAAGCTCTTCTTACTAGGCATGAGGCAGCACATTCAACCCAATTCCTGTAACAGAGTAAGAGCAGTTCAGTAGCTCTCCTAATAAAAGCACTGTAAAATACTCTCTAAATTTTGAACTCCTGTTTTGAATCTCAATGAGAAGGTGAGTAAGGTAATTGGGTCCTGGATATCCACTTTAAAGGTTTTTCCAGAGTGGCCAATCTCACATTCAATTTGGTACTTGATATCATTAAGTCTATGTGTCTTCCATCAAACTGTTCTTTTAAATTCCTGATCTGGCCATGTAACTAAAGTTTTTGTTTTCATCTGAATTATTATACTAAAATATAGACCATTTACTCCATAAAAATAATGTGTGAATGTACTAATTCCCCAGGACTTTCAACAATCCACTAAACCTGTCTGGGGCCCTCTGTTTACAAAACAATTGAGTGGCACCAGATTATATTTAGGTTCAAGTAAGATTTTAAAATTCTGAGATGCTATATGCTGTAATTCCTAGAATAAGCCTGTATGAAAAAACATCTGATTTCATTTTTCTTACTTTTCATTAATTTATATTCCTTATTTGTTAGGACAGGAATTGCATTTTCTTGATAGTAGGCCCCTTGAGGCATTTGAAAGCATGGGTGATAGTTCACTTAATAAATCAGTACTTACTGGGTACCTACCATGGACCATGACCTGTGCTGTTAGATCATGTGCATGGCCTTGGACGGCTTAATTTACCTCTTTCAATCTTCCTTTAAAAATCTATCAATTTCTACAACATTTCGCTATATGTAGCAGAATAAATTGCCCTAATCTTAAAGCACCTTGCACCAGTAGGAGACATCCCAGTGAAAGCACCATGATCATGTTGCCAAAATCCTCTATAAATCTTTAGGACACACATACAGTTGCATTCTTTATTAACTAGAGCTGTCACTGGTTGTTGCTGATTCTTTCTTTAGCTGTCTCTTGAATTTATAAGTTTCCTATGAACTTACAAGGATTTTTCACCAACTCAAAGGATATCTCGAGGAAGTACTTTTCTAATTTCCCCAATTTTATTTTAATGCTCCATATTTTTTCTTGCCATGATACACAATAAGGTGAACCTAATGATGAAACTAATGGCTTGAATGGATTTATTCAGAGTTTGCTGAAAATGAATTCTATCTCTAATCTCATCCCAGGAATATGACTAATTCAGACATCTTATCTTCTAAAACAGTCGTATACCAGTTAAATTCACCTCTTTCTTTTGACTTACAAAGCAAGCTAAAGAGAATATGACCATTTTATGACATTTCAAACATTCTCAATTTGCCATTCTGATGTATTTTTGGAAGATAGAGAAAAATGGGTTGCCTATGGGAGAGAAAAAGAAGAAAACACATGTTTTAAAATTTTAACATACTGATCCACATGAAATTCCTACTACCATGTAGCTATGTCTACACATTTCACAAATAAAATCTGTAACGACAGCTAATCTGTATTAAATGCTTAATGCTTTATGTGTTAATTCTTATGATAACATTTTAAGGTAAGTATTGCTCTAAGTTTAATTCCATATTGTCTTTCATCTTTAACTCATTCATGTTTTATTATTTTCATGTCACATTTACACAACCCGACCAGTATGTTTGGCAAAGCAATCAGCATAGCATTAGGCTGTAAGACTGTAACTAATCTTACCGTCACTGAAAAATTGCTTCTATGGATTCTGTTGGGTTCTCTAGATTGAAGCAAATTGTGGCAGCCAGGAACTGTTGATCAAGAAATATGTAAAAAGATATGTGATACAGCAGGAGATAGGACTATTGAAGCCTCGGTTGGCCCTGTGGAATCCTATACATGGAGAGAACCTAAAATAGATGCATAAAGAAAATAATAATCTCACGTTTGCTAGATTTGGCTTGTTATTTTATATTAAAATCCTTGTTTTGACCTCAGATGGAATTATAGTTACAAAGGACAAGGAGACCCAAATAACAAAAGTATCAACTTATTTGTATAACTTTGTTGATAGTTTAGACATTCACTGATTTCACAGGGACTTGCTTGGTCTACCCTTCATGTGGTCGGGTTATAAGTATTATTTTTTTCATTGCCATTTGTTGTCTGTTGTACAGTGGCATTGACCTAATGGTGATGCTGTCATGCCACATCCACCAAGCCTGAGTTATAGGCTGGGAGATTACATGAGAACCCTGTCAGTAAAGGAGTGCGTTTACTTTATTTCCATGAACAAATAAGGGAAAGGGGTAGGATGTCGACTGGAGAGAAAGAGAAAGAAAAGACAACCCTGGGTTCATGACAATTTAATTTTGGCATACTGATCATCAGAATTTCCCCAGTTTTCATCTCACAACCTGTTCCTCCTCCATCCTTTCAGCTTTATTATTATGACTCACTTTTGTTTTCACCTAGATTTTGCTTCTTTTTCCATTAAGCCTCTTCTCTTCCCTGCTCCCATTTTTCTAATACAGACAGTATAATTTATTTGTACATGTTCTCTCCCCCGCCGTTTTCTTTCTAAACTCTCCCTCTGCAATAGATGGAGTCCCTTTCCTTAAAGAGTAGGCCAGCTTTAAGCAGACATGGAGAAGAGTGGCTCTACTCTTTGAGGGCAGGTAAGCTGCTTAACTTGGCTGCTGAATAAGTAGTCACTCATGATCTTCTTTGCTCTGAATAGGGCTTTCTTCCAGGAATTTGGGGTAGAGAACTCTTCCCCACCATTCCATGGAAGTAATCATTCAGATACGGGAATGATAAATACAGTTTTTTTTTGTTTGTTTGGTTGAGACCTGGTCTTGTTCTGTCGCCTAGGCTGCAGTGCAGTGGTGCAATCTCAGTTCACTGCAGCCTCGACCTCCCTGGCTTAGGTGATCCTCCCACTTCAGCCTCCCAAGTAGTTGAAACTATAGGTGAGTGCCACCACGCGTGGCTAATTTTTATATTTTTAGTAGAGACAAACCAGGCTGGTCTTAAACTCCTGGGCTCAACCAATCTGCCCACCTTGGACTTCCAAATTGTTGAAATTACAGGCATGAGCCACCATGCCTGGCTGATAAATACATGTCTTAATTTATTGGTTATGAAATAAATAAAAGCTTTCTGCAGCAGAGATTTTGGTTCCTCTTTAGTACAGCTTTAATGCCTGTGGCAGAGGTATTCATTCTCCATCCTGGGTTCAGTGGCGAGATTAATACTTAAATGTAAATTGTTAGAAAAATAGACCACATGTAAGAAACAAGTTAAAAAACACATTTGCAAAGCAACAAACCAGCATATTGAAATCAATCCGACATAGTACAAATTGAGTACAAAACTGCCCCTTACTTGCATTATTCAACACTAAATGGTTATTTTGAATCAGTATAGTAAGGATTGCAACAGTTGCATTGGTTAGGGTTAATGTCTACTGAATTTGGCAACATAAGTGTTGTGATCAAATCCTGTTTCTCTATGACAACTTTGCTAAATTACTTAAATTCCAATCTCATAATCTGTGAAATGAGACTAATAACATGGTGATACAAATAATGTAAACTTTGTGATATTTGTTAATGCCTGATATGGAATGTAGTAAGTAACTTTAAAACATTGGCTCAATGACTGAGAAGTAAATAGACATCAACTAAGAGCAATACCAAACTTTCATTCTTTACTTATTTGATGTATATTTAAGATATTTTAATGTTAATCGCCTTTAAAAATAACTTTGCAAAATTTGAGATGTATATTTACCCACATCATATAGAAAAACTTACCTAAAAATGTGGTTAAATATTTGTTTGATTCTGTGAAGTAAAAAAGTTACATTCACTAGGAATTAATATTTTATAATAAAGAATCATATGGTGAGATAGACTAAAAGTGCCTACTGTTTATTTCTTTCTTATGCTTTTGTTTTTATGGATCAACTTTTCTCCAAGTCATTGCAGAGCTAATATTGCAACACCTATAAACAGCGTTCACAATAATAAAAAAGTAACTACCAATTTGCCACAGCATAGGCTCTTGTTTTAAAGGAAATGGGTTAAGTAATTTTAAGTAGCATAAAAAGATAGCCATGTATCATAACTCTTTCCAACATTTCTATTCCATTGGCTTCAAATCTTTCCAGAGAATGTTCAGACTTGAAGATAACGAATAAAATTGGCATATTGGCTGGGCGCGGTGGCTCATGCCTGTAATCCCAGCATTTTGGGAGGCTGAGGTGGGTGGATCACAACGTCAGGAGTTCAAGACCAGCCTGGCCAATATGGTGAAACACTGTCTCTACTAAAAAAAAAAAAAAAAAAAAAAAATTAGCCAGGCGTGGTGGCGCATGCATGTAATCACAGCTACTCTGGAGGCTGAGGCAGGAGAATTGCTTGAACCCAGGAGGCGAAGGTTACAGTGAGCTGAGATCATGCCACTGCACTCCAGCTTGGGTGACAGAGAGAGACTCCATTTCAAAAAAAAAAAAAAAAAAAGACATCTTACATGAGAAAACGGGGGGGAAAGTCTACTTAAAATAATTGTCGAACACTGGGAGAAGGGCATGAATGCAAATCTTCAGATAACCGTGTTTAAATGTAGCTAAAATGATCACTGCATATTTAGGGTGAAGGTGGCTTCCACTAGATCTGTAGCAACACAATACTATACTGTAGTGGCAAATAACAACTTGATCTAGTTTCTTTCTTAAGCATCTCAACTTAAAATAGTACCATATGTTGCATGCACAATTCCTACACCCAGTGTCTTTTCTTGATGCAGTGCTCAGGGAAACCGGAAATTTTTTAAATATATTTTTTAGGAAGACAGAATAAAGTTGTGGTTAAAAGGAAAGGAGGTGTACCAAGGCCTTTACAATTATAGATACTGAATTTGTATTCTGCACTGTGTGGAAAGTATTTTGTAGCATTTCTTCTCAATAGTATAATTTCCTTTGAGATCTAGTTTAAGAGCCATAAAAAGGGCTTGTAATTGAGGAACTATGAGGATGTCATTTGTAACTAAGACATTCGTGTTTATAACAACATGTGTCCTTTTAAATGTTGCCAGGTGTTGAAGCTATTACGCATGGTAGACTATAATTTTTAGTATGTAAGTTTTCAGAAAAAATGCTGATATAAATCTCTTTTTAAAAAGTTTAATGAAATAAATAGTTACGGTCAGGCAATCTGCTTAGAACATTTTTGTGCTAATCCTGAAAAGGGGTTGTATTTTCCATGAGATTAGTACTATCACATTGGTAGTATGAGTTGTCCAAGATTATATGATGTCAATTCATGTTTCTTTCGTTTCAAGGTGCTTTGCCTATGTAGAATGAAGTCCCTGGTGCAATACATTCTGGAAAGATTATAATACACAATAAACAGGGAACATTTTGATCTAGAATGCATCACCTTTATATTTCTTGTAATCCCCTGAGCATTTTTACATGATCAATGTTCTGGCCTTTAAGTTAGTTGCGGGGAAAATTATATGACCAAAATAGACTTTACAGCACATGTCACTGTGTCTGCTTTATTGTAACAAGTTAACAGAATAGGGTCATTTGCTGTTTGCCTTTGAGGACCTCTGTCCATCTGGGTCTTTTGCACTCTCACGGAAACTCGTTCCAAAGGGTCAGATGCTCAGCACTCAGACCGATGGCATGAACCAGGTGTTAAATATGGAGGCTGCATGTGTAGTTGAGCGCTTGACACGAAGGCTATTTCTGTCAGCTTCTGTGATTGACTATGCTGCTTGTTTAAGTTGTTCTTTCCCAGAAGGCTCCTTGAGGATTACTTTGTGGTCCTTATTGACACCTTTAAACTTTAGATAGCCATTATACTTACACTTTTTTTATCCTGTCATAATATTTTCCATCAGAATTATATTGATTTCCTTTTGTGAAAAATATAATAATCCTCATAGTGACTGAATTTTTCTATTTTTGCCAGAAAGAAAACTATTAAAATGCTTGCACGTCTCCCTCAAACTGATACTATGCATTTAAAATACTTTTGTAACAATAAATACCACACAGGCATATGTATCCAGTAAAGGGTTTCCATTTTTATGACACTTGCTTCTCAAGAACAGACATATTCTTTAAAGGAAAATAAAAAGTTGCCAGCTCTGAATTGATTGACATTTGTTTACTTAACTCTCTCCTTTTGAAAGCCTGCACACCTATTTCAACCTTGAACAGTTTCCAACTGTGGTATACTGGAACATTTTTTCATTTATTAAGTTCAGTGTTGCCAACCCAAACAAAGTATAATCAGCGATGATCCGAGCAGACCAAGCTGTCTAGCACCATACAATGTATCTGCATACTAATTTCCAAATTCCCTCACATTTCCAGAGAACTAATGGGATCATTTTCATTCTGTTACAGCAACTCAACAGTTACTGAATCACCATCTGTGTTTTCGTTAACCTGAATCAGATATGAATTCTGTTATTGCAAGGTAGAGCAGCTTGTTTAATGATTCTTAATCTTTTCTTTAATTAAATCATGCAGCCAACCTGAAAAATCTATCTTAATGCAAATTAGGAGCTTTTTTGGCATTCGCTTACAGTAATGCACTAATAAGGTTAATTTATGAAGGTTCTCTTCCAGTCTGTACAGATGATATTTGTTCACTGCATATTTTTAGCATATTGTCCCTTTTTGTAATATTTTAAGTAATAAAAACATAGTTATTTTTCACTTACACAAATGAGAGATACTGTAAGCAGCACTCTCTGTTAACCAAAACTAAGTACAAAAAATATAAAGAATTCTAAGTAAGAGGGGAATTCATTTCACTGAATTTCAAATGCCATTTCTCTGGAAATAACTGTCTCTCTCTCTAACGATGTTTAGGTTCTTAGATGTATGAGAGAGAAGGCACTGAATAATTAGATGAAGCATATCCTTGGACTATTTTTAGCCCTTTGGACATGAGGTAGTAGTACGAAAGGTAAACCAAATATCATAAAGTCCAATCAGAATTTATCAATACATAATTATTATGAAATGCATTTTGATCATCTCAAAATACCTTGTTTTCTAAATAAATTCTTTATTTCAGGTAGGTGCATTATGATAAATATTTCTTGTGGTGCTAAATTCAGTGATAAACACACAATCATGGAGCTTGAATAGATAAGAAATAGTATGGGCTAAGAAGAAATGGCGAGTTGTGAGAATAGTGAGATTAAAATTTAATGAACAAAAAAACCAATTCTAACCTTATAATTCTAATACTTACTTATATGGGCTCTTCACTATGAGCCTGATTTCCCATATTATGTTGCAAAGAATGTCATTTCATGATCAAGACATAGTTAACTACTGTATTTACTAAGACTCTTTAATCTAGAGTTAATATTTGATTAAATAACACCAAGTTAAGGTAGAATAAAAATCATTGGCATAAATTTGTTATGGTAAGCATAAGAATTTATTGAGAGCCACATATATGTGAGGCATATTACTCATGCCCATGTGTAAGTATGTGAATATAAACAATATATGAGATCTGCCCTTTAAATCTTTAGAATTTATTGGAAGGATTATCAGCTTTGCACCCATAAGGTTTGCTAATGTGATTTCAAGTGAGGTGTCAGTATTTCCTTAAGTATTTGTATCTTCCTTGTATGGTTTGGCCAATTTGCACAATTTGTCTACACCTAGGTTAGACTCAGCTAGCCTAGGCAAGGATGAAACATTTAATAAGATTATTGATAACATGTGTCTCACATTATACTTTGAAATGTACTATAGTAGGATGCTTTTAACTGGTGAAAAAAGTGAATAACTTTTTATTTTTATTTTGAGCTCATCGGCTATTCTCATGATATTTACACTCAATCTCTAAACAGCTATCTGATTAAATACACTTTAATATTAACATTACAATCAATTTCTTTAGACCATAACTGCATATCAGTTATTTTCAAAACTCATTTTCCAAACACAATTTTTACTTGTTACTTACATGGAAAATCTAAGTTTTTAAAAAAGCATTTTGCAAAATTTTATTATGGAGCTCTGAAGTATGAGTATTTCATCTATCCCCAAAAGCACTGGGAAATAGTATAAGTAAAAAATGAGTGCTGTGGCCTTAACAAAGTAATAAATTGTAGAGCATATTGCATTGGTTATTACTAGGCCCCTAAGCCTAACTCGTTTATCCATAGTACAAATATATGCAATCTTGACCTATGGTTTTATATCTACTAGACTCTGAAAAGATAAAAACAAGCTAATAAGTGAAGTAACAAATGTATTATTGCCTTTAACTTCTCAAGTCCAGTATAGCTGTTGACTATATTTATTATATCTCCAGGTAAAATTCAGTCCAAGGGGAACTAAGCCCAACAGAAAGCATCAGTCATTTAGAACATAATTATGCAGCTTAATTATAATTAGAATCAAAGCAAGAGACTAGTGTTCAATTGCCACCAGCAAATGGAATAAAGTATTTCAAATACTTTGCGTCAGAGATTAGAAGATATATAGGCATTAAAGTAGCGATGTTCTTTGGCATGAGTAGAATCCTTATATTTGAATCCAAATGGCACAGAAATAGTTTTATCTAATTGGCAAGTTGCATTGCCTTTTTATTTCTTTGAGGCAGAAACTATAAAATACTGAATTATTACCTTACAGCAAAACTGCTATTTTAAGAATTTTAAACTAATATTGGCTGCTGTCAGATCAGTTTCTAGATTTATTGAATTAAGAAGTAGATATAAACTGAGGTGAAGGCAAGGTCATGTCAATATTTATCTTGTGAATCAATAAATGTTGATACTAACAAAAAGTAAAGCTCAGCGAATGTATATGGTTGATAGGAAGAGGTAAAATCTGATCAAAACGTTTGTAATTTTCAAATTTCCCTAGCAAATTTAATGTATCAGTTTCAAATATTTTTTGATAATATTTACCCTAAGGGTATAAAGGAAAATATTTTTAAATAATATTCCTAAGAACATAGGCTATGTAATATACATATACATTGTCCCTGTCTTCAAAAGACAAATGTTTTTCAATCGCATTGCATTATTCCTTATTAAGATTCTTTCCTCATTTTAGCTTTTATTTATCTGCCTCGGAAGGGAGAGAAACAAATTAGAGAATATTTGGTGCTGAATTGGAATCTTGCTCAATTTTCAATCCAATGTCACTGGAAATGTAGTTCCTGAGAACGAACTATAATTACTTGGCTTACATGTGTGTTATTCATCTTTAAAGCTCCCGTGTGAAACAAGGTACCTGACATGCTATAGACATCCACTTATTTTATTAAGGAAAAAATTTGTTTTCCCATAGTTCCTGATTTCAGATTCTTGAGACTCCTTCATCCCTCAAGTCACTTCCAGATAATTGAAAGTTGGTCAGCTATGGGTAGGGAAGTATATAAAAAGGCCAGCTATGGGTAGGGAAATACATTAAGGCCAGTTATGAAGGCCTTGATGGGTCCAGCTATGAAGGCCTGCTATGGATAGGGAAATATACAAGAAAAATCCACAAAATCCCTGGTCTGTGTTACCCACATTTTTGCTTCAGCTAATATAAGATGACAGAACACACCTGACACTAAATAGTGTTTAGAAAGCATTGTGTAGGTAAATAGAAATTGGCATATTGCAAAATACATGCATGAAACCTAGAGATAGAAACTGTGGTCACATCTGAGGAGGTTTCTGAAATCCTGAGTAAAATGTATTCCTGAATAGGGGGTTCCTATGTTTCAGTCTGTCAAATTAACAAACAACCCAAGAAGACAGAGAAGAGAAGAACACGTTCTTCATCAGAACACTTCTAAGAGTAAATATTTTGAACAGAAAATTGATGTTCACATAAAAATATATGCAGATAAATCTATAGGCTTTTATTTTTAAAGTTTAAGCTAGAATATGATTACCGATATTATAGTATGTCACACTTATCTTTTCCCAGCCAATAGGAAAATTGCCTTTGTCTCAAATCTTACATCATATGTAAAAACTGTTCTTTTTACATATGCCGCTTTCTACCTTCTATATTATATACCATATCTCTAGGTTTCTGAGGGCAGGAAGCATAATTTATGTGATCTTTCTACTCTCTTCATTGCCAAGAAAAGTGGTTTGCACATAGTAGGTCCTCATTCAACAAATGTGGGTTGAATGAAACATTTGTATAATACATCACTACAGTCTTTAACTGGAATGGGTTGTTAATGTATTCTTTGGTAAGATGTTCCATCACCTAGATATTTATGAAAAAAGACACTACTTCATTTGTTAGAATGAAAATTAAATGAGTTAACAATCTTCTTGTGTGTTCTCATAGCATTTTGCCTATTATTCTATTATAATGTGCATTACAATTTAAAGAAATGTTTACCTGTCTATGTCTTATACTAAATTATGGTCTTCTCAAGGAAATAGACCGTGTTTTCTTTTCTTTGTTTCTTCAGAGCCCAACATTTACCTTCCATGTAGTGAGGACTCAATGGTTGATAAAATAGAATCCTCAAAAATCTGTGACAAATGAGTTATTGTAATGAAACATTCTATTCAATGAGAAGGGAAAACATTTAGGACTGCTTCCCTTTGCTGGGAAGACACCTACTTAATTTGTGAAAAGTGGGAGGGAAAGATAGAAGACTACAAATTCTCTGCTTTTAATATGTCCTCTTTTATTTTGCTCCCATTGACAGACTTATCAGAGTCTTTTGCACACAGCTGATTCACTTTGCAGTAAACAAATTTCTATAGGTTTACAGGTTCAGTGAAAAACTATACTTTAGTGTGAATGCTAGGAACTTTGAAGTACACATTTGAATAATCCAAATGCAAACTAATAGGGTTTGAATACATTTAAAATAAAAAAGAATGCAGCAAACTTGACACTTGTATCACCATGGGAAGGGGAGGAGAGGAAGAAGACAACCATTTCATAGTGCAAAAGTTTATTGTTAACCTGACATCCAGTTCTAGTACACACATCAAAACACTTCTTTCAAACTCTGCTTTTATGCTTCACTGAGAAGCAAAGATTATGTGTTCTTCAAAGTGTGGTCTATGAGTAAAGCAACCATCTTATTTATCATCTAAACTAAAACACTTTCAAGAGTTAAAGGGGGCACTCTTACTAATAGTATATTTACTATTGGTATTAGAAGCAATGCTGGGACTATCTAGTCAAGCCAGGACAGTTGATAACCCTGTGTGGACCACTCGTGTTAAAATTGTCTGGGTGCTTATTTGGAAATGTGAATTTGGGGCTCCAAACTAGTCTCACTGAATCAGAATCTCTAAAATTGGACTGGGACTTTGCATTTGAACAAGCACCTCAGGTGGTACTAATGTACATTGATATTGGGGAAGCTGGAGTTAAAACAACAGACCAAAAAAGAGTATGCACAGGCCTGACATGGTAGCTCGTGCTTATAATTTCCAGTTCTTTGCGAGGCCAAGGCAAGAGGATTGCTTGAGGTCAGGTGTTCAAGACCACTGGGCAACATAGTGAGACCCTGTCTCAAAAAGAGAAAATTAGCCAGGCATAATAGCGTGCACATGTAGTCCTAACTATGCGGGAGGATCCCTTGAGCCTGGAAGTTTGAAGTTACAGTGAGCTATGATCACACTACTGCACTCCAGCCTGAGTGAAAGAGTAAGACCCTTTCTCTCAACATAAAAATAAAAATAAAAATAAGCGAACTCAGAATGAAGAGGCAGATTGTAACATTTCATACTTACCCATAAAACACACTTTTACTTCTTACCATACCTGAATATGTTGGACTTATGATTCAGGAAGATTTGCCAGATTTACGATACAGAATGTTATGGTGGGACCTTGAATATCCTTTGATATATTACAAATTCCCTATTTTATACAGATTGTTCATAAACTCAGGCTGAGTGAAGATGAGAACTTGGGCCTTAATATAAGCAGCAATGCTTTGCTCTATACTACCATAATCTCCTGCTAACTCACCCAAGAAAAAATTATGGGAATGAAACAGGAAGGATTTAAATAAATGGGTTTATTATAACTCCCACTCCCAATCCTGGGACCCCAAAAACAATATCTATAATTAAAGAGACAAAGATTCTGTCAAAGAATGAAGAAAAATATAAAGACTTTTGAAAGCAGGTGTTTTAAGCTCACATTTTTAAAACTGAAAATAAACACTTAAGAACACATTATTTTAACTTAAAATATATTTAAATGAATTCAAGGAAATATATTATTCAGAAAAAAAATGTTCCGCGTCTCTGACTATTGTACCCATCAGTCCGATGACATACTTACAATGAATTGTAGCCTAGAAAAGGTGCAAGTATAACATCAGCCAGAATGAAAGGCATCATTTCATTTATATTTAACTTTTCCAAAACATGACTTTTCTTGTTTTTTCTGAAGAAAGCTTATCTGCCAAGGAATGAGCAAGGGTAGGAACAATCTACTGTAACAAAAAGAAGGTTGTTTTCTTAGCATCAATTGTGATGTATGCATATTTTTATATTTAAAATGAAAGCATTAAAATTATAGCTTAAATGATTAAATATTAGTTGACCCAAAATAAAAGAAATAAATTCACCAATTGTAGTTTCTCAAAGCTGAGAGGACTATTTCTCATCCAGAACAAAAAAAGGCACCATTTGTTTGATATCATTTTGATGAATTATTAATTTTATCACAGCTAAGATGACAGCTAATATTAGAACATTGAATTATTAATTTTCAAATGTGCAATAAAAAAGCAGAATAAACATAAACTGAGATGTGTTTTACGTAAGGGTTACATTGCTTACTTATTCTATTTAAGAAAAATACCAAAGGAAACCGATGAATTAAAAATCTTGTCAACACTGCTGATGAATTCTTTTACTCATTACTTTACATGCCATTTTAAAATATGAAGCACAAATAACATTATGTATTACCTGATAATAAATGTGATTATTGAGCATTAAAGATATATATTATCCATATTACAAATCATCTTTGTGTGGTTGCTAGTATGATAGTGAATTACAGAGCCATAATAATAGTGAGAAACATCTGTGGCCTTAAAGGATTCACCTCTAATCCTCTCAGGATTATTTTACTGAGAGAGGCAAACTATTTCTTCAGAATAGCTTTGAGTTATTTTTTAGCAATTTTTTTTATCATGACAGTTATTTCTGTTACCTCACAGTCTAATGCTCAGAGAGGTCCCAGTCTTCTTCAAATGTATAGTGTTGGTGAAGTTTCAGTCCTAAAATAAGGACAGACTCTCTACAGTTCCATTGCACTAGGGGCCATTGCTGATTGTTCTGTCAAATAGCGCCTCATAAACATCCCCTAGACTCTTGAGCCTTCAAAGCCTTAACACTTGATTCCTAAATATGAAAATATTTCCATAGCGTTGGCATCATAGGCACTCAAGCAATGCAGAACAGAGCCACTGCTCAGAGCACAGGGACAGTTAGAGGAGATGGAGAGGAGGCTGTAAGGCAAACAGACTGGTGGATAATTTTAGGACATAATTCCCTGGTGGGAGAAATAAAGCTCTCATTCATCCCAGAGTTCACAAGGATTTAATCCAGATATAAGGTGAATTCACTTCCATCAAAAAATGTATTCCCTTATTATGACATTTTCTACTTAGGTAGAAGGATCAGAGAGTATGAAAAAGAGGGAGTTTCACAGTAGAAAGACTTTTTTTTCTTTTCACTGGAGCAAGACCCCAAACAGGAAATGATATGATTTATACCTCATCTAATTTAGACAAGAATGATTTGAGCCATAAATGCATTTGTGATAATAATATTTAAGGCAATGATGTTTAGTCACTAGTTTTACACACCACCATTGCCACATGTGCCCTCACTGAGGGTTCTGTGTAAGCTGTCATAAGACTTATTAATAAATTATAATATGCTATTTAATAATTAAAACATATGTTTTATATGTTAGAATACCCATCATCAAGTAACAAATTTCCTAATAAGCCAACTCACAAATGAAACAAGAAGATCTGGTCTTTTGTTCTAGGTCCTTCTATTCCCATAAGTTCTGTAAAATAGATTTTATATATGTAACTATTTTTTTTGAGAGATTAAGTAACTTGCCCAATATTACATCACTAGTAAGAATTCAAATGCATTTCTGTGTTAATACAAATCTCATTTTTCAGGTAATACACCTCCTTCTTGAAAATATACAATGTATTTTAGGCCATTAAAATGTCTGAGAACTTTTATGATATTGTATATATTTATATAACTAACTAATAGAGTTCTCCCAACAGTCCTATGTGCTATGTACTATTATTATCTCACTTTTACTTGCATGAAGGCTGAGACATAAGAAGTTAAATACATTTCTGGTTACTAAAAGGGCTAGACTTTGGACTCAAGGTATTTGACTCTCTCAAACAAGGTGTTATATTACATTTGTGTAATGGAGTAGATTATGTTAATATAGGTATGTATAACCCAACACACTAAACCGAAAGTGTTGAAAAATTAGAAGCAAAAGAGACAAACAGGTTCTGTGACTCCTGGATTCATCAGGAAGAAGAGATTTGAGTTGCTTTCTTTAAACAGAGAAGAGTTGAGTCAGCTTTCTTTTAGAATGTGGTGGGTTCTCTCTACTTTTCTTATGCTTAATTTCCATTAATTGGCTCCCAACCTCTCCTCCTCTTCCTGGCCTTCCACAGAATGGAGTCTATAAGTAGCCCAGAACACTGAGTGCTCCTGGAAAGACGTGCAGCCCTTCGTTACCCTCACGCTGATAGGCTCAACACAACTTTATGCCTTGAGACCATGAGGATCAATCTACTCATGCTCTTTATTGATGTTTATGTCCGTTACCATGATAAACCCAAATTCTAATTCCCTGCCTTCTATTCCACACATCTCTGTGTGTCTGCTCCTATTTCTACCCCTTCCTGACGCCTAAACACTCTTCCACCTTGCCCTCTTTGACTCATAGCAAGTCTTCCGTGCACCTCCCCATAGATCAATCCTAATCTTCTTCTTTGAATATTCCCCTCACCTTATTGTTCTAAAAAAAATTCCCTTTATAATTCTCACCTGTAGGTACTTTCTTCTCTTCAGCTCTCTCAATTGGTGCCTGATTTTGCTCCCACTCTTCTCCTATTATTGAGTAGGAAGGTTGAGTACATGTTTTCCTTGCTCAACTACTACATCATTTTCCTCCGAGAAAACACCCAGCTTTCAGCTTCAAATCATCAGACAACCCCACCCACTCCTCCTCCAACTCGCAGCCCTTTACACAGATGTGCTGGGCCACTCTCATTGCTTAAAGGTTTAATTTCTAAGTTTGCTGATATTTTCTCCAGGAATACTCCTAACATAGTTCCTGAGGAATTTGATATCTGCAGATTCATAGATGATCTTTCTGATTCCCTGGCCTCTTCATTCCTTGGCCTCTGCCTTTCCTCAGACACTCACTCTCAAGGTAATACCCTAGACCTTACCGTTACTAGTAACTCAATTTCTTCCAGAATATCATTTTAAGCCTTTCACTCTTGCAGAACCATGGCCTTTCCTTACAACTGGTTTCTCAGTATCAGCAGTGCCTCAGATATGCACACACACATACATATTCCACTCTTTGTCTCACTTTATAGAGGCACAACCTCAGCTTCCTTCCTTTAATGCAGAGCTTCTCTTCCATTATCTATCATGTTCTGCTCATCTTATCACAGCAGTTTCCATGCAGTATTATACAATAGCCTGTTTATATTCCCAACTATACTTACTTTCCTTAAGAGAAGGGGGCATTCCTGTATTGTTCATTCTTGAATCTCTACAATCACAGTTTGCAGTCCATACAGTAATAATTAATGAAACTTTTTTGGGTTCACAGATTTCAAGAACACTTTTGCTTTAGATTGGCAACTTTGTGATTTTTGATAGTCATATGGATTATAGTTTCACAGTAAGAGGATCGAAGGGAAAAAGCCATAAATTATTCAGAGAAGAGAAGAAACTGTTCCCTTTATATGTATATGGCTTGAGGCATGAACCAAGGATGTTTTTCTGGCACTTAGTGTTTATAGAGAGGTGAGGAGAATATGGGCCAAGGACCTTATGGAGAGATGATACTCCCCTTTTCTGCCTAAACAAAACAACCCTAAGTATATGTATCTATACCTCTTAAAGGCAAATTGAACCAATATCTAGCCGCTGGAAACAATCATCTTGGTACTTTTACTTTGGAAATTCAGTTAGTTATCCATGAGTTTGTTCATCTAGTTATTCAAATTCATTTTCAGCATGTATTCACTCCTTACTTATCAATACCACCCTTCTCCCACCCCTAACTTATTTCCATGGTCTCATGGTAAGCAGAATGTACTTTCCCAATCTTTGACTTGTTTTGAAAAATTAGATAATCGGCGAATGTATGGGAGCCTTGAGACCGGGCTTGCATTGTTGGGCTTGTATTCTTACCCCTCTGCATTTTGGTAGGAAAAAAACATGTTTTAAGTATATATATACTTTTGGTCCAAAGAGGATCAGAGACATGTGGAACAGAGCTGAGCCAAACATACCCTTGAAACCAAATCACACCAAGTCTAGCCAAGATCAGCCCAACCATAAAGACCTGTAGGCTGTGCCTGAGAAATAGCTGTCATAAGACATTGTGTTTGGGGATGGTTTTAATACACAATTATTGTTAAGAGAACTAACTGCCCTTTTTCCCTCTCTCCTTCTCAAAAATTTTGAAAAGAATTGGGGCTTGGTCAGAGAAGGAATTTTATTACTTCTATGTTCCTAATGTATACCCTAAAAGTAGTACTGTCCTTATTGCTATACAACTACAAAATGGGAAAATATTGGGATAAGACACCTATTGAGTCTTTAGTTTGTGTACAAGCCTATTAGATATTCCTTCTGTGAAATTATAATCTGTACATAGGTTAAAACAGCCAATGAGGCTTCCACTTCAAATAGAGACTCAAATTATTCCACTTGTCACCAAACTCCACATGGATCCTTTGGAACTGGAGATCAAGGGAGTGAAAACACTCAGTTGGGACTTATAAACATTGCCAGTTCCTGAAGCTGCTTGCTACACTCTGGGAGTTCAGGAATATTTCAGGATAATAGCTAACTGCATAGAAATCTAAAGGTAAAGACTAAACTCCTCTGGAACATCATGCAGTCTTTGCAAGGGCAGCCTATCATGTATTTCCTCAAACACATTTGGTACAACTTTCTTGAAGCCGTGCAACCTTTGGCCATGCAAAGCAGGATGTTATTATTTTTTTTTTTTTTGTATCTGCTGCCAGAGGCCTGGAAGACCAACAGCCTTAAAGGAAGTGTAAACATTTTTTATTTAGCTAAATAAAGTGTGAACTAAAGTTGCTATATTAAAGATAGAGCCAAGATAGGCACACATACAAAAACACCCAGCCATCCTCTGGTGCTCTGAGCTTGAAAGCTTAGAAGACTTAAGTTGACAATTGCATCAGCCTGTCTTATTGTACCATATAAGGCATACATTAGTGGAATTTACCGTTGCTGTGTGACTATTGTATTTTTAAATAGCAAACACACATTTACATAGCTCTTGTTCTATGTGAGATACTGTTCTAAGCATTTTATTAAGATAAATTCCTTTTCAAAACTGCTCTATAATATCCACCCAACAACAATTAAATATGCATTCTATCAAGCGTACATAAAACATTCTCCAGAATGGATCACATGTGAGGCCCCCAAACAAGTTTTAATACATTTAAGGAAGTCAAAGTAATATCACATATCTTTTTCAGTTACAATGGTAAAAAGCTAGACATTAATAACAGGAGGAATCTTGGAAACTTCAAAATAACACCAAGGGAAGTAATCTTATTATCCTCATGTAACTTATGATGTAACTGAGATCCAAAGAACTTAAGTGATTTGCCCAACATCATGCAGTAAATGGTGAAAGCAAGATTTGATTCCACAATCTGTATTCAAGAAACTGAAAATCTTTGCACAATATATCAATGCAAAAATAAAGCTGTAATTTTTTAAATGTGATTTACTTCAGAATTATGATTTTAGGTCTCACTGTGTACACAGCTTGGTAAAAACAAAATAATTAAAATGTTAGGATTATTTTATCCATCTTCATTGATTATTCAGTCTTATTTAAGCCTAATTAGAGAAACCATTTACCTTTTACCATGCATATCTTAGTTACCTATTATGCATTCATCATACACATATAGAATGCTTTCATGTATGAAGAGGAGTTAGTGTAAGGCAGGGGAGAGAAGAAGAGTTAGTGTAAAGCAGGGGAGTAAAGAGGAAAAAATGCTACTCCAATTAAGAAAACTAAATTATACAATTGTTATTTTAAAAATAGATCAATTTTTAACTACTATAAAGTCACATGGAAGATGGGAGACAAGATGAATTCAGTTAGGCTTTAGCAATAATTGCTATTATCTTCAGGTCATTTTGGAGGCTTAGCTCTATATAGTACAAGAGCATCCTGTAAGTAATCCATTTATAGGTGGTGGAACATTCAGTATTTCAGAAGTTTTAACTATTTGTCACATGATAGGTAGTTCAAAGAAAAAGCTACATAGTTTGGAATATTCCGGATGTATTTATTTCTTTGAGGTCTGATCTCCTATCCCATATTGGATGAATAGATAGCTATTAAAATGCCATGATGATTTGAGGAATGTCAGAAAACAATAATTAATAGCTAAGATTTATTGAAAGCTATTTTGTGCTGAGCACTGTTGCCAGCATGTTGCCTGTATTTTCTCACTCTTTACAACCACCCAACAAGGTAAGTGCTGTTATTATTGTACCCATTTTATAGGTAAGAAGGTTGAGGTCAGATGGAAGATAACATGATCCTACAGTTAGTAAGGATATATACCCAACCAATCTTGTTCCAGAAACTGTGGTATTAAGCTTTTCCTTCCTTGTTCCTTTCCCCAAACTTTTTTAACCCCCTGTTCCTTGCTAGAGGAGCTTCATTTTTCAGTGACATTGCTTTAAAACTATGGCAGAGAGGTCTATGTGAGATGCAAATATTTCAGCTGGGAGAAGGATGAATAAGAAGCGGGGCATGCTATAGTAGAGGACTGACTTGGTATAAGGCACCAGGGCCACCAGAACCATGGAGCAGGTAGAAAAATCATGGTAAACCCAGGGCCCAGCTGAGAAAGAAATGAAGCACAAATGAGAACAATTGATAAAGGCAACTCTATCTATAATTCCTTCCATGCTGTCCTTAACAGCACTGAAGTCCTTTCAGGCAATATGCTTTGGCTTAACTGGGTTCTAAGCCACAGTTCTCAGCTAGTCTGGTAGTTGATTGTAGCCTCATCTCTATTACCTGAGGTGGACAGGAGTTTTCAGCCCTTAGCACATTAGTTACACCTGTGGGGAATTCAGGACACCTGTCAGCCAAGGGAACTGGTTGTTCACCTGAAACTACTCTCTGACCAGGCTTACACATTCTTTATGACACTACATTTCCCCCGATTCACAACCATATTCCAGCAAGCTCGTCCCTGTGGAAATGAAGCATTGCTTTGAACACTACATTGCTTATTTGAGCCAGACATCTTTCAAAGAGTAACATTGTCTTTGTTTGCTGTCTCATCTCTTTGCACAGCTAAGCAGCTACCAGAAATCTGCTCCGATCTTCCTCCAAACAAACCACCTCAAAACATGAGATCACCTCACACCTAAAATTCTGAGCACTGCTACTACTTAACAAATATTATTGTCTTGCTTTACCTACCAGATCACTCCCCTTGGAAAATAAACTACCTAGCATGTCATCTGGGTTCTTCAAGAATATCTGAACATGTGTTACAGGGAACGGCCATGTGGGTTGTCCTATTTTCTGGATACTGATTGCTCTATTCCATTTTCATTTCCCATACCTCTCCTAGGCCTTTGTTTGGGTCACAGAATATCTTGAATGCAGAGCTCACACAGGTTGTGATAGGCTTTACTTCTATCACTAACTGGAAACAAAGAAAATCTACACTGAAGGAAACCTTTTCAAGTCGAACTTCTGTCAAGCAATTGGAGGAGCATGTGGTTTTGTGGTAAGATTTGTCAGAGAGAGTTGTGGAAGTGGCTAAGTGTTGCAAGTGGTAAATGACTACTTCAATGCCCACATACTGTGTGAGTGGTGCCTGCTCTTTACCCCATCAGTTTCTGATCTCCGCTGAAGCTCAGAAAGAGATCGTCACTTGTTAAACACAACCATATCACAAGCCATTTTTAATGTTTTAAAAATTTATTGCTACATGTGGAATAAATATGCCATGAGCTATTAAAAACTTTAATTTTCCATTAAAAAGTATTGAAGAAAAGCTTATTCATTTGACCAGCCCAGAAATTTTTAGTATAGGATCTCAAGTGCAATTATTCTTTCTCTTACAGGTGCATTCAATAAATATGGACCAGTTCTGTGCTAGGAGTTTAGGATACATGTTGGTTTATAGTCTAGCTGGGACAAAAAAAAAAAAAAAACCACAGAGTAAGTTTTCTGATAAGCAAGTTAAATCACACATGACAAGCAGGCAGAGGAGAAAACCTGTGTGAGAAAGTCTGGCAAATCGGAACAATTGAAAGAAATTCAATATGGCGGTGGAAGAGTGGCAAGTGATGACATGATGATCCGAGAGAGAGAGAGAGAGAGGTCAGATGACACAAGTCCATAATAAGCTCTAAATATTTTCCTTGTCATTAAGAAATTATTGTAAGACTTCAAGCAGTAGCATGAAATTATAACATTTATGTTTATTTTCAAAGGATTATACTGGTTTCAGTAAGAGAATAAACAGGAGAAATTAGGAGACAGATATGGTAGTTTTGATTAGGTTAGTGACAGGGGGTAGAGAGAGAGTTAAATAGTGTGAACTGGAAAATTGGACAGAATTGGCAACTGTTCAGGAAGTTAAATATCTTAAATACAATAGCTCTCCATTCTCATTATCTGACTAAACATACCTCACCAGCTTCAGCTAAAAGCCATGTGCCCCCTCACTCTTTATGCTTCAACCACAATGACCTACAGTTCCTCAACCTCAAAAACCCTTTGCTATGTCTTTTTTAATACATACTCCTTTTGGCTAAGAATGCCCTCTCCACTGGTCCCTACAATTTCAGGTCTTCCTTCAGGACCTATCCTGAGCCCCTAATCTAGGGGCTGTTATATCTAGGGGCTCTTCCTGTTATGTATTCCCATTGCCTACTGCTTTCTTTTTTGGGGTGGTGGTGGGGTGGTGGGGAGGGTAGTAGTCCCTTCAATCACACTAGAATACTTTGGTATGAGGTGGAATAATCTCTCTTTTATTATAGTAGGGACTTTGACTAACTTTCTCTTTGCTGTATTCCCATTGCCAGGACACTGCCTACACATACTAGGCACTCAATATATATTTGCTAAAAAAATTAGCAGACTCAGATGATGAATCTTACTAAGTCTGCCTTAAAAATATGCACATCCTTGTAGAGTCAGTATGACTAAAATATTTAGTCTCCTTAGGTTTCTGCTGGAAACCCAACGATGACTATCTACTGCTTATAGGTGACACTTATGACCACCAAATTGGTAGCATAGACAATTCGGTCTAATTCCAGTGGTATACACAGTACCATAATTTGGGTAGCTTTTAAGAGTACTGATGCCCACCTCCTATACTAGAACAATTGAATCAGAATCTCTGAGGTTTGAGGTAGGCACTGGTATTTTTAGATTATCCAAATGACTAAAATATGCATGAGAGATTATTACAGTGTGATGTTTACTCAGCTCTACCAGCTAAAATACCGTAGATGTACAGATCTGATGTTCAAATACGTTTCTATAGTCTATTAAACTCACTAAACCAGGGACTGCATCATTATGAACTTTGCAATTCATTTGTTCAATTTCCCAGAAGCATTTATTGCGTACCTGTTATGTGCCATTTTTACATTAAGTGACAGAGATGCAGACATTTTTAGGACTGAGGGTCTTTAGAAATAGTATTTATTTCCTACCTGAAAAAAAGCTATGGCTCCCAGATCCATAAAATATCTGACTTGTATGTACAAAATCACTTGTTATCAATATTTTCATTGACTTGACTTTGAAAACCCTTGTTTTTATGTTTTATCTTCTAAATCAGTTATGCTCATGTTTATTTTTTCTGCTTACATATGTTCTGCCACATTTCCACTGAGCAGTAGAAGATACTACTTTTTAAATGTTATTACAGCTTTTTAAGGGTTATATTAGACATAGTCATGGAATAAAAGAATGTCTGCTAAGATTCATCAGCCTGCTCCTATGAATTTTCTCCTTATTCATATTACAGTGGATGATACATATTAATTACTAGACACAGGTGTTTTACAGGAGGAAAAAATGTTTTATGCTTCTTCACAGAAACTGTGTCTATTAGAATGTGAAGAAGAAACAATTTACCATCATTTTGGATGTCTTTCTCGCACTGCTATGTAGAATTGAGAGGCACTTCCTCACCTTTCCCAATTATTTGCTTGTGATTTCACCCTGTTGGAGAAATTCTCAGGTCTGTTTATCATTCAAAATCTAAGTCTCATTTCTTCAAACCTTTTTTTCTTCTTTAGGTCATGTGGATTCGCTATATGGAATATGATTGAAGGATGATTATAATTACAGAAATTATAGGTACTAACTTTCCATATTTTTGGGCTTTATACAAATTTCTGCAAAGTTCCAGAGAATTGCCTTTACCAATGAATGTTTCCTAAAATGTGTTGTCTATTCATTATCTCTTCCTTTCTTCTCTACATCTACTATTAGTAAGAGTTCTAATATAAGAGTGCTGCAATGATGATATATAAATGACAACTCAATTGAACAAAACTATTCAATAAAATGAATTTGCATTTAAATATCATATTTTAAGAGATAAAAAAGTTTATGATAATAAAATGGGAATGCAGTCTACTACAGGGAAAATAACTAGGACTTAGAATCTGTAACAACCAGAGACTGAATCCTGCCAATTACTTTATCAGAGGCTTTGGGCTAATTACCTCAACTTTCTTTCCTGAACCTCAGGTTAGTCATCTGTAAAAAAACAAAAATAAAAAAATTTTAATAACGACATGCAATATTTTCAATATGCAAAATTATAAGTTTAGGAAAAAATTGATTTGAATTGTTTAGGAAGATCTATTTTTCTACAATTGTGGTAAAACAATTTAAATAAGACAAGAGCATATGTATGACATAGGTGTAATAATGCATATCCCAAAAATTCATTTGAAAAATATTTGATGAACCATTTGTATGTATAACACACTCTTCTTAAAATCTAGAGATATGACAGAGCAAGATATGGTCCCTGACTCATGGATCTTACATTAGTATTGGAAAGAAGCCTATTAAACTCTCCATCCTATCAGCTTCAATTTCAGCTATTAGCTTTACTTTCTACTGTCTTTTTCAAGTCAAGATCAAATGGAGAGCAAAGGGAGTGCACCTTTCCTCTGCAGTTCCATCACTGTTCAACATAATCATCTCTACCTACATTTCAGAACAATTCTGAATATTAATAAGACAATGTCTATGAGATGAGCTCATCTGGGAAAGCATAATATAAGTGTAAGCCATTATAATTTATTGCTTCTCAAATGTTATATAAGATATTCAACTGGATATGTTATTAATAAAAAATTATAATAAAGAGAAATTTAGAATGAGAAAACATTTGGAATTCTTCATTACTTGATATGAATAGTCTATAATCTTTTTAAGTCATTCTGGCTTTATGAGGCACTTTGTCTATTGAGATAGATGGAGCATCTAGAAAGGAAAAACTTTGACATGCATTTTGAGGCTCTTTTGAAGCAAAAGAAGAACAGAAAGTCTTTTGAGGTTTTTGGATGTACTAGATTGAACCATATGTAATTACTGAGACAATATTTTTTGTTCTCCAAAATGACATTCCATATGATTCACTGTAGTTTGTACTTTAAAAATTGTTTCCTTGATTTGCCTTTTTGTTCATTGAGAAAAAATTATCGAGCCAACCTGATATTGTGTCATAAAGAATTTGTATTAGTTGTAAGAAATAACAACTTACTTTTGTATTTGTTTTTTTCTTTTTCTATTTGGTTTATAGGTAAAGTTATTTTTATAAATTGGTGTGGATTCCCGAAATATATTATGAAACTATCCATTTCTGAAAGGTGTTAACTTGAATATATCCTTAGTTCATAGTGTTCATGGATTTCATTCTAAGTTTATGTCAAAGTGTAGTATCTGAGAAGACCAAACCAAGGTAAGGAGGTCTGCTTGAGAAGAGAAGCTTCGCTGACCATCCTGTGAAGTCAGTGACAGAAAGTGCAAATTTCTTTAAAATATTTATGAATCTAAGTGCCATAACTATGGAAAGTTCACAATTGAAATTCTTACCATATCTGAATACAGTGACTAAAAGGAATAGATGATTTCAGGAGATTTTTCAAATTAGATGCTGGGTGTCAGAATTGAGTGGATCAGAACTCCAGTTAGCACGCTTAAATTCCAATTATATATATATTTTAAAACAAGGATATCCCTGGAACATGTAATAAGTAGTCCAGAAATTGGTGCAGCTAATTAGCAAGAGGTTGTGGTCTTCTCTTGAGACCACTGCCAAGAATGAGGACATAATCTTTGATTCTTCTGAGATACCTCACAGAGAAGATAAATTAAGAGATAAAAAAGAGTTTTCTAGAATTTTTAGCTTATAGTTGAATAATAAGGACATTTTTATGACAACTGGAACTAAATTCTCAAAATTAACTTTTAAAGAAATTACTTCATGTTCTTTATCTTCGTAATAGCCATAGGAGATAAGACCACATATCACTATTTTATAGAGAGGACAATCATGACTGAAAGGAAGATTTTTCCTGCAATTGACAGACTGCAAATAGCAAATTCAGATATTCATATTCTGTATATAAATATCAAACCTGGTGGTTATTACTGTCTATCACATTTTATTTCTGTATTTCACAGCATTTGCTATAATGAGTACTTGGACATCAAAAATATTTTCTTATTCAACCACTATTCAAAATCTCATAAAAAGGAATAAAAAATTGTCTGCATCTTTCTTAATCTACTACCTCATAGTAAGATCACTATCTTTTCACTGCTTTTCCCTTTACCTATTTTACATGATCATTAACCTAAGATTATCATACGAACTAAAGCCCTGTGTTGTCACAATAGAGAAATCTTTTGCTATTTTCTGTTTTCCTCTGTCGTTGCTTTTGCCATTTTACAGCATTTCGTGTAAGGTGAAAGCCTTCCCTGTCTATACAGCGTCTTTCAAATTTTAATCAATATTGTGCACATTTAGTTCTTGGTACCATATTTAAAGAGGAGAGAATAAGGATAACCAAAATTTGTCCTGAATAAAGTAGGTCAGCTGATTAGAGGGACAGAAACAGTGTCATATAAAATTTGTCATTGTATCCCATATAACACAGCACCTAGGAAAACTTAGCACTGGGAAGGAAACAAGAACTTAGCCCCTATGCTGGATCTGAGAAGGTCAATGGTACCTCCTTAAGTTCTGCCTATTCCCAGGGCCTTGGGTTCTCATGATTACCTTTGGATTGAATCCAGTCGTGAAATCTGTCAACTCTCATTTTCCTACACATGTCCATTCCCATAGTTTATCTCCATTGTCTACCAGATGCTACAATCTAAGCATGGAATTTAGCCCCCTTTGCTGGATTTTCCTTTATACAATCCACATTGATCATTCATATATAAAGAAGCCTTTATTAAAGGTTTTGGAAGATGGTGGAGAGAAATATAAGTCACAAAAATGCAATATATATATATATATTTAAGTCTTTTGACTCCACACCAACACCACTGACTACATTTCTTTATGAACTTTAGATTCTGACATTATTGCCATCTTCCCCCTCTCATTTTTCTCCTACTATTTTCCATCCCGAATTTCTCTTCCGACACAGGCAATATAACCTCTCTCTTTCTTCTCACAAACCATGACATTTGGGTATCACCTTCTGAATCAAAGTAATATGCATTCTCCCTCTAAAAGGCACCATGGTACAATAACATGTTTTCATTGGCTATTTAAGTTTGGCCTACAAAGTGTGTGTGTGTGCATGCATGCATGCATGTGTGTGTGTGTGCGTGTGTGTGTGTGTGCACGTGTGTGTGTGTGCATGCGTGCATGTGTGCGTGTGTGTGTGTGTGTACATTTTTAAATAAATTATCAATCTATGAGCTATGGAGATTTTTATTAAAATCTAGATTTTTATGAAATCTCGATTTTTAACTTCTTTTGAAAATAGAAGCTCTGGTAACACTAATCTCCCATATTTGTATGAAGAGTTAAATTAAGCTGAATCATCATGGCCGCTGTGAGATGGGGCTGAAGCCCCACCATTTTCTGTCTTCCAGAAGGAATCCATATTCTCAGTTATACACTTGGCCTTTATAGGCTTATCAATTTGCATCTCCTGGTTTATGACCACTAAGGAAAAGGACACACCTATAAAAAGTTTGTAATATATGCTATCAATAAATTCTCTAACAAATATGGCAAACATTTTGAATAGAAGATAAACGAGAAAATGAGTGATGCTAGTTAAAACTTCAGATACTTCTTATATCAAGAACACAATCTATACGATTGAAAGGCAGAAGCAGAATGATCTGGGAAGCTTTTAAGATATACCAGCTTCTTAAATTGAACCTGTAGAAATGCCACATTTAGAACGTTTTGACTGAAACCTTAGAATTAGACTTTCAAAAATGCTCATCAGCTGATTCATTGATATGTAGCCCAGAAACAGAGCACAGACCATAGGCTTATAGTACCAAAGGTTTCAAGTATCTATTAAGCATTGTCCCTGATATCAGTCTTAACTATGCTGTCTGCTAAGTCCACAGATTCTTCTAAATAAAGCTTCCACATCCAAATGCCATACTAAATAATGATTCTGCCCTGTGATCCACAGGCAGTGGGTCAATAGAATGGTAGAAATCTCACGGTGATCTGGTGCAAGATGATTAACTAGATCAATTAGATTCTTCACTCTGGCATAAAAATTATCAAATGTGGAGAGAATGATGGGAGAGATTCAGCAGTGGTAAAAGTTGAAATGTCATAAGGGAGACACTGGAGAGGCTCTGATGAGGCCACATGCAGTTGGAATTTATGAGAGAATGGAAATTACAATTAAGTTCAAAAAGCTATTAGATGAAGGAGGAAACACACACATACACACACATGCACACTAAGCATCAGGTAAGGAAATAAATAGAAGAATGATTTGAAGAGCAGACACAAACATACAAATAGTTACAGAGTAATTGGAGGTAGTTGGGATCCTAGAGAGAAGATCCAGGATCCCTAATGGCTGAGGCTTCTAGTGCTGGTTTTAATTCAGAACGACACTCATATTTCTGGTCTGAGCATTTGGTTTTTAGCTTTCATTTGGATCCTACATATATGTATCCTTGGAATAAACGATATAGTGTAAGTGTGTCCTTGTTCTTTACAACCGATTATCACTAACATGTGTTCCTTATCTACACAGATAAGAAAATGGTGAAAATTTTAGGATAAATAGCTTATCATTCACATTAGACCCTCAGCAATTTTATTATTTCTTAACACCTATACAACCTTATAGCTGAGAATACTTTCCAGGTGATGGGTGAAAATTAGTAATGCATTCTTTGTTTTTTGCCTGTGTAATTATGCAATTAAATTTAGTAAATTAGTTTTGAGTGGTAATAAAATACCTGGCATTATGCTAATATTTATTGGAGTTGTCTCACTTTATTCCAGAGTTCCATCATGGGTGAAGGTATGAAATGGCATGGGCGATGATGTCCTGAGAATTCAGTAAAGGAGGGGACAGACTTGGGCTTGGAATAAGACCCAGGAATAAGCTTAGTTCAAGGAGAGGAGAAGATGAGCCATGGGGTTAGATTCCTTGTTAGGTATGTTGCTTGCAAAGACCTTTTGGAAATATTCTAATGGCCCCTTCCCAGCTAGTTTAACCAAAATGACCATATTGAAATGTCATGTACTCAAAGTATTTAAAAAGCCAACATCCAAGGACATATTCAACTAGAGAGGAGAAATGTCCACTTTTCTCTCATCACCCCCCTTTTCCTTCACAGCTAAATTTTAAAAATCATGCTTTACATTTACCACCTCCTTTTTGTACCTGTTGGTCTCTTTGTCCTCTCTCTGCTCCTTATTCCAGAAAACAGTTCTTAGTAAAGGTAATAGTAATCTCACAGTCACTCAATGCAGTGTACATTTTTTAGCATTCCTTTTCCTTGACACTTGTAGTTCTGGAAACATATTTTTGCTTTGACTTCATGACCCAATCTTTCTGAGAGATGCTCTCAGTGTGTTTTTCAGATTCACTCAGCCATGAAAATTTGAAGTTCTTCCTGGTTTAGTACCAGACCTCCTTATCCTTTTTCTTTTTATCTTCTCCTATAGTATCTCTTCCCTGCCTATGGTTCCACTGACCATCTCCATATACTGATGCTTCTCAGTATATCAGCCTGATCTCTCCTCTTACACAAAATGTCACAGTACTTCAAATTCAACATTTCTAATTGCTAAGTCGTGAATGTTCCTCCACCTCCCCCACTTCAACACACATTTTTCTCAAACCTGGTAAACTTCAGGATATCTCAGTAAGAACTACCATCCTATATTTTGTTGCTCTAGCCAGAAACCTTGGAGTCATTTACAATATCAGCCTTTCCTTTATTTCTATACAAAAATCATCACCAAGTCCTTTTGATTCTTCTAAATATCTTTTCATTCCCCCTTTCATACTACAAGGTTTAAGTGGAAACCAGCATCACTGTTTGACTGGCAGGGTACTAAAATTGCCAACTAGTTTGTCCACCACATCCAATCTGGTACCTTACCAATTCCTTCTCAACACTACAGCCAGAATAATATCTTAAAAATACTAAACTGATTAGGTGACACCAAGTCACTAATTAAAATTCTTCTATGATATGCCATCATTCTTAAGATAAAATCCAAATTTTCGAAAACACTGCGTGATCTCTACAGTGATAGCTTGCATTGTCTGTGCTTATTCTTTGCTCAAGGCTGTTTTGCCTGTCCTTAGTTCCCATATCATTCAGATTTCCTTATGCCATAGGAAATTTTGTATGAGCTTCCCTTTTTTTCTTAAAACATGTCGAAGCTCCTGCCCTTCTCTAAAAATCCATGCTTACTCTTTCTTAACATCTCAGCTGAAGTGTCATTTACTCTTGGAGGCCTTTCCTGATCCCAGTTCTACATCAATTTTCTCTGTATAAACACTCACAAAAAGATGCTCTCTTTTTGGAGACCTTATCTCCATTCAATATTATATATTAATATACTACAATACATTTGTAAGACTCTCCTCACTAAATTTCAACTTCAAAAGATAAGGAACTGGCTTTTTTTGGTCAACATTATTATCTTAGGTTTGGAAGTATGCCTTGCACCCAGTAGGGACTCATTTAAAATACTATTGAATGAATGCTCAGTGAATGTAAGTAATTATTGAAAGTGTTATGGTAACAGTAAACATGGTAACAAGAGTACAGGCAAGAGAAATATGAGGAGAGATTTTCTAACAATGCCCTTAGTCAGTGCCTTAAACTGTGAGGAACAGTACCTGGCTACAAATATAAACCAGCTCAATCAACAAGGCTGGGGAGAGTTAGCACATATAACAGGATTACATGGAGTCTAAGACCAGGAAGCATATCTGTGTTCTCCAACGTACTTAAACAGAGACTGGAAAATTAGAAATAGAAACCAACCTCTCCGTCTTTCTGGGGTTGCATAATTTCACATGTCTTTTTGTCTCTGTGCTTCTGTTTTGTCTCTGTACTTCTGTTTCACTCTTATTTTAAACAATACTGGCTATTTCTTCTTTAGGCTCAATTTGGATATCTGGCAAAGTGTAATATCTCCTCATTCCAGTGAGGACACTGATTGATGGAACTTCTATGTGGGTTACTTCGCATTCTTAAGAAAATTTTTATTGGTGGAGCTTGAGTGTTGTAACTATACCTGGTCCAATAAGCTATTGCCAGAGGGCTAAGATCACAAACATGGCTATTTCTCCACCTTCCAGAAAAGACTGGAATAATTCTCAAAGAGTTGTGGATTTGGCAAGTAACACCCAGGAATCTGCTATGCTATCACTGGCAACAGAATGGGTATGAGAGATGCTAGATAGTTGAGAAGTAGAAGATGAGTCTAGCATCAACAGGCTCAGTGGTTAGCAAAATTATAATGGTATTGGTGGAACTAGGGAGTTAATTGGAAGAACTAGATTGGAAAAAAAAGGTTGAGAATAAGATATTGCTGTTGTATTATTAGAGATACTTTGTGGATGTAGTTTGAAGAAAATTGAGACATTTATCATTGGGTGGTGAGGGTTTTTCCCTTGATGCATGAGAAATTTACACGAATAAGGCTTTCTCTAAATAAAATACCCCTCATATCATGATTCCTCAATCTAACAGACCAACCCCTTTCCTTTTCTCCAGAATTTATGTATACAAACTAGATAAACATTTTTTCAGGCTATTCCCTTAGGCATAATTTCTGAAGTTCACTGATTGGCATTTGAAATTGAACAACAGATATTGTTGTGGATATTTAAATATAATATGAATAGTGTTAAAGCAATTCTCTGAAAAGGAAAATGATAACTTAATAAACTCAGTACTTATACTAATGGTAAGATTATGCCTATGCATCACACTTCTAAACTTATGATGGGCTCGACAATTCACTCTGAATTGAGGACAGTTGAACCATAGTATGAAACATATACTTTTTACTTGAAAACATTTTTCACTAGTAATTTATAGATAGGTGCCAAAAATGTTTCACTTGGCAGTCAAACTGTATAGACTATGGACAGCTGGACTGAATGGCTCCTGCTTGCAGTTATATGAACTTTAAATAATATTTTTTATAAGTGTGATGGCAATTGACTTTGAGAAAAAGTGAGACAATATATGATAGGGAAGTACCAAATATTACTGTCGCACACTTTTTACTTTTTATGGGGCTGCTTAACAGTATGCAGTATTTATATTCAAAATAAGAGAGCTTCAGTTGTATTTATGTTTTAAAACTACCAAGGCAAAAAACAAATCAAAGAATTTATCACAGAATTCAATAATATGACAAAGTATATCAAAATTTGAGATATGAGAATTATACACAATAGCATGTTTTGTGGGCAGTGATAGCCCACAGAAATCTAATTTAATCAAATATTTAAAGAGGTAATAATTAATTTTTAACGAATTGAAGTGAACCATAACTGGGAAGAAATGTTATTGTTTATTTTTAATGCCAGAAGAGTACTCCTGATACAATTTTAATATTTCATTAAGGCAGTAACTTTCATATTGTGGGTTTCAGCCCAGGTTTTTATGTTTGATGATATATTTTCTCCTCTTGAAAAAAGTTGGAATTTTATTGTCTAGCAGTAGTGGATAATGGGAAGTGCTCTTTTTCTGTCAATTCGATTATGTTCTATCCTCACTACATTGCTAGGGATTAATCAAACAAATTATGGAATGTATATTGGCTTATGTTAGAACCAGAACTTATTATCATGCACAGTGCTTTATATTTTATGGAAATTATGCAGAAATATTTCACTAGATGCTTTTCTTCAAAAGTTTTCCTATGCTGGATAGCTCTTAGAATATGTTACAATGTATAAGGTCTTTTCAAATTTGTCTTGCATTTTTCATTAATTTAAAAACAGTGTATTTTTTATACTTAGATTATTTGTCTCTGAATTTGGGGAAAGTCATTTAAATCTTTCTCACTTCAGTCATAGTTTAAAGTGTGAATTACTAAAATTGAAAGGATATATACACATTAACATGGCTGTAAGAACAGTATTTGGCAGAAGGATGTATGGTAAATGAATGTTTGAAAAAAAAGCATTTAAGATAAAAAAGTAGAAAAAAAAAGAAAAAAGACTCAAGTTTGATAGATGAAAGACAATATATGTTCAGTTTTAATTTGTGAGATGCAAAAGGTTGTGTACACAGAATTATGCTCATTTTAAAGATTTAACTTTTTTTTTTTAATATTCTACCATGACTCCAACTTGTGGTTTTTCATCAGTGAGTAGAACATTTATATTCTGTCAGACTTGAATATTTAGTCATCTGTGACTCTTCTTGCTGCTTTGAATTCTGTTACCAATAAATTGTGAATCTCCTTATTTTATTCAAAGAGATGTTCTTTTTTCATAGGGTTTTGGTGGAATTCTGAGAATAGTCTTGCCTCAGTAGTGGGGCATAGTTAGTCCTAGACTGAATACTGTTATGGTCCTGAAAAACAAACCTTAAACAGAAAACTAAAAAGCTTCGAGTTATGTCTAAGAAATCTAACTGTATATCAGAATGTATTTCAAGAATATTTGTGGGAATATAACAAATATCTGGCATCCAGAAAATTAAATTACTATGTACAGCATCCAATTTAAAAAACAGATATGCAAAGAATCAGGAATATACAAATCACATGGTGATAAACCAATCAATTGAAACTTATGCAAAGCTCACACAGATGGTAAATTAGCAAAGACATTACAACCATTCCTACAAATGTATTCAAATGTTTAAAACGTTGAATTGACACATAAAGGAATGAAAGATATAAAGCAGACCCAAATTGGATTTCTGTATGAAAACTACAATGTCTGAGGTGGAAAACACATGGATACAATTGAATATATATTATACATAGCCAGAGAAAAAGTTAGTAAAAGAAGGTATAGCAATAGAAAATCTAAAATGAAATAGACAGAAAGAAATAATTAGAAAAAATAAACAAAGCATCAGAAATCTGTGGTATTTAAAGTGGGCTAATCTATAATTAATTGGAATTCCTGAAGGAGAGTATGAAAGTATATTTGAAGAAAAATTGGCGAAATGTTTTCAAATATTCATATGATATAAGAGTACTCTACAGATCCAAGAAGTTCAATGAACATCATACACACAGGAAACAACATAAAACATCAGAGCCAAACTGCTCAAAAATAAAGAAAATATCTTAGAATAAATAGAAAGAAAAAATATATTATGGACAAATTTAAGTGTAGAATATTTCTCAACAGCACAAGGCAAGTGAAAAGACAGCAGAACAAAATGATTGAAATATGAAAAACAAAAACCCCTATCAACTTAGAATTCTATACCCAGCAAAAGCAACTTTCAAAAACAGTGGCAAATATCTATTTCAATTCATAAAAATTTATTACCAGCAAATCCACATTCTAAGAAATATTAAAGAATGTTTATCTGACAGAATGAAAGGAATACAAGATGGAATCGGCATCCATAGAAAAGAAATAAGAGCACCAAGAATGGTAACTAGGAAAGATCTATAATATAAACCTTAAAACCACCATTAAATACCAAAACAGAGTATAGCTAATAAGCCAAATAAAAATAAAATAAAATCATAAAAAATCAGTTAATCATAAAAGTTTGTTAAATCAATACATATTCTTTAATATATTCATCACAAGGGCTTACTCAAAGACTTAATTAAATAAAACAGAAACAAAACAAAAGCAATACCACTGCTTACCATAGCGTCCTATAGAGAAATTAATAAAAGGAAACAAACAGACAGCACAAGGAGGGGAGTGTCGGTCAGGAATCTTGGCTGGAGTTCTACTTTTATTTTTATTTATTTATTTTTTGAGACAGAGTCTTGCTCTGTCACCCATCCTGGAGTGCAGTGATGCAAACATGGCTCACTGCAGCCCTGACCTCTCAGGCTCAAGTGATCCTTGTACCTCAGCTTCCCATGTGGCTGGGGCCATAGGTACACACCACATGCCCAGCTAATTTTTAAAAATATTTTGTAGAGGAAGGATCTCCCTATGTTGCCCAAGTTGTTCTTGAAGTCCTGGGCTCAAGTGATCCTCCCACCTGTGCCTCCAAATGTACTGGGATTACAGGGATAAGCCACTGCGCTCAACCTGAGTAGGTTTCTTGAAGGCACTTCTTAAAGTTTGTGGGGTTGGTTGGTTGGTTTCATATATCAGATAGGAATGGCAGAAAACACATCAACAAGATGTTTATGTCAATATCATATTAAATATAAATGATCCTATATCCCAATAAAAAGCCATATATGGCAAACAGACAAACAAAAAAACCCTAAAACGCAAGTACATGTTGCCCATAAGAAATACACCTTAAACACAGAGTCAAGCCTAGGATAAAAATAATGCAAAAATACATGCTAAAATAATACTAAGACATTTGGAGTAACTGTTAGACCAAGCAGATTTAAAAACTGGTTTGAATACTCTAACTTAATAATAAAGGAGTCAGTTGGTGAAGAGACATAACAAATATTTATGTACCTTTATTACTCTGTATTGTGTTTTTATAAAGAAATACCCAAGGCTAGGAAATTTATAAAGAAAAGAGGCTTATTGGGCTCACAGTTCTGCAGGCTATACAAGACGTATGGTGTCAGCATCTGTTTCTAGTGAGGCCTCAGGAAGCTTATACTCATGGCAGAAGGCAAAGGGGAGCCAGTATGCCACATCGAAAGAGAGGGAGGAAGAGAGGGGAAGCAGGAGAGAGGGGAGAAGGCACCTAGCTGTCTAAACAACCAGCTCTCACATGAACTAATAGAGTGAGAACTCACTCATTACCACCAGTGATGACACCAAGATGACTCATTAAGATAACAAGCCATTCATGAGGGATCTGCCCACATGACCCAAACACCTTCCACTGGGCCCCACCTCCAACACTGGAAGTCACATTTCAATATGAGATTTGGAGATAAGAAACAACTGCATCTAGGATATTTTCCAAGATAAAACAATATTCAATCATTTTTAAAAGATTTTTGCCATACAAACTATGTTTTCTCTTATCTCAATGAAATTAAATTTTTAAAAGTCAGTACTGAAATTTGGGGATTTTTGAGGCATCTATTTGTAAACAAAGTTATATGTGATTAAATAATCTCTTAGTCTTAGAGGAAATCAAAAAATAAAATTACAAAGCATTAAATCTAAACAAAAATGAAAATGCTATATATTCAAATGTACGGGATGCTGCAAAAGCAGTACTTAGGGGCGCATTTATAACATTAGAAAGAAGAATGTTTGTGAATAATTATGTTCCATATTAAGAAACTAGATTAAACCCAATGTAAATAAAAAAGGAAATGATAAAGACCACACCAGAAATCAACAAAATAGAAAACAGAACCATAGAGTAAGTAAATAGAACCAAAAACTGTATCTCATATAAGTTCCATAAGATTGATAAAACTTTAGCCAAATGGACAGGAAACAAAGAAAGAAGACACAAACTACCAATATCAGAAGTGAGAGAGATGGCATCACTATGTATTCTATAACTTTTAAAAATGTAAATAAATATTATGGACAACTTTATGTCAATAAATTCAACAAGTTAGATAAAATGTAAAATTCCTTAATAGACACAAATATCAGATCTCACAAAAAGAAACAAACAACCTGTATATCATGTCTATTAAATAAGTAGAATTTTTAGTTAAATACCTTCTCACAAAGAAAATTTTAGGCCCAAATGTCTTTGCTGGAAATAAAACTTTCAAACATTAAAAAAAGACACTAATTATCCATAAATTCTTTCACACAATTGAAAAGAATGAAGTGCTTTTCAACTCATTTTTGAGATTAATACTACTCTGATACCAAAACAAATATAATATTAAAAATTAAAAAGAAAACTACAGACCACTATCCTTTTGATAACCAATATAAAAGTTCTAAACAAAATTTTAATATGTCCAACTTAACATTAAAGGAAAGAAGGATGCCTCATGGCCAGTTTACCTTCATCTCAGCAATGCAAGAGAGGCTCAATACTGAAAATATGTCAACGTAATTCATCATATTAATGAACTAAAAAGAGAAAAAGGATATGATATAGTTGGAGTCTCTGTCTCCTCCCAAATCTGATGTCAAATTGTAATCCCCCATGTTGGAGGTGGGGCCTGGTGGAAGGTGATTGGATCATGGGGGCGGATTTTCCCTTTGGTGCTGTTCTCATTATAGTGAGTGAATTATTGTGAGATTTGGTTGTTTAAAATTGTGTAGCACCTCCCCCTTCTCTCTCTTCCTCCTGTTCTGGCCACGTAAGAAAGACTACCTGCTTCCCCTTTGCCTTCTGCCATGAGTGTAAGCTTTCTGAGACCTTTCCAGCCATGCTTCCTATACACTCTGCAGAAGCATGAGCCAATTAAACCACTTTTCTTTATAAATTACCCAGTTTCAGGTACTTCTTTATATAAGTGTGAGAATGGACTAATACAGGATGTTATCAATAGATGCAAAAAAATTAAATAAATTATCTATTCCTAAGTAAAATTTTAAGCAAGCTAGGAATAGAGGGAAACTGCCTCAACCTGACAGCAAATCTAAATGACATCTACATAAAATCTACAGTTAACATTAATGATGAATGACTATATGCTTTCCCCATAAAATCAGAAAAACAAAAACAAACAAAACAAACCAAGAATGTCCATTTCCACTACTTTCATTCTATATGGTATGGTATTGGAGGTTTTATCTAACATGGTAATACAGCAAGTGGACAATATCCAGATTAGAAAGAAAAAAGTAAAATGGACTTATTGACAGATTACATGAATCTCTATGAAGACATGGAATCAATCTAAATGCACATCAATGGTGGACAGGGTAAAGTAAATGTGTTGCGTATACACCATGAAATACTACGCCACCATAAAATTGAGATTACATCCTTTGCAGAAATATGGATGGAGCTAGAGGCAATTATCCTAAGTGAATTAACATAGGAACAGAAAAGCAAGGAAAGGGAAAAAAAGCATATGTTCATACAAAGTTTTTTAGGAATGTTAATATCTACCTATTCATAATAACCAAAACCTGAAAACAACCCCTAAAATCCACCAATAGGTGAATGGATAAACCAGCAACAAAAAGTAAACTATTAAAGCATACTACTACACGGGTGACTCTCTAAAGAATTACAGTGAATAAAAGAATCCAGACAAAAAAAGTACCTAATTTATGATACCATGTATTAAAAAAGTATAGAACATGCAACCTGATGTACTGACTGGAAGTACAGCAGTGTTTGCCAAATTTGGTGTGCATTTGAGAGGGGAATGGGAGGAGTAGGAGGGAGGGATTAGGAAAGGCTAAAGTGAAAATTTGATGTGTAGTGGAATATATTCATTGTCTTGACTGTGGTGATGATTTCATGGTGCTACATGCACATGTCCAAACTTAAAAAGTTATACACTTTATAAATGTGAAGTGTAGTGTATATCAATCAATTATACCTCAATAATACTGTTAAACAGTAGAAAACTTACTTGAAATAGACATACTGTACTCGAAGTCTCCAGGGAAATAGATAAGCTCCAAAGTATTCCTACCCTATCCTTGTCCCTCTTCTTTTGATTCAAACTCAGGGAGAGGGAGAGGGAGAGAGGGAGGGAGGGAGAGAGGGAGAGAGAGAGAGAGAGAGAGAGACCAACCTGTTGTTCTTACTTGAGTCACATTCCTACCATTTATGTAGGTTTGAAGTCTGTGCACATTGAAGATAATTTCTCAGAAAAGTTTGAGATGCTATTCTGAAAAGAAAGAGAAAAAATTACCAAACTAAACATATTATCTTAAGTATATTTATTCCAATTCACTTAACATTCAACAAATATTTAGTTATTGCCTACTACATCCATGAATGACATGGTGCCAGGGTTTGATATTTCACTGGTGAAAAGACAGAGCCATCCTTGGAAAGTGGTACAATGGGAGAAATGTATATACAAAGAAATAATGAGAGTAGTGATACAGATTCTTATTCTCTGAGTCTCCGGTCCTGCTCAAATCCATGAAATTATCTCACAGTTCAATCTAGCACACAGACATAAGGAGCAAATGAAACGTTTTAGGGCCATTAAAAATAAAAAGAGTAGTTGTTCCAGGAGTGATGAATAACAAGTAGCAGGCATTTGGAGAAGAGGATTGGAGAAAAGCAAACTCCTTTAAGTGCAGTTTGAAAACAAAAGAGTGAGCAAGTGCACACCAGAAGTTTATAAACTTGCAGCAAATAGTAAAAGAGAGAAAACAAACAAACCCTTCCTACAGCTAAAGCAGACTAGCCAGGTGAATTCAAGATCAGCAGAAACTGTGCAGCACTATTGCAACAGATCAGAGCTCATGTCAAGAGTTTCTACCAGTTCACTGAATAGTCAGAACTGTGAAATCGATCAGCACATAATATCTGTAGGTGGAAAGACCTAAGCTGACAAACTCCTCTACTGCTTATGGATGAAAATTCATCCTGACAGTTAAGTTCTTTTTCGTATTCTGATCTGTTCAAAGTTGATAATATTAGTTGATAATATTAGTTGATAATATCTGTTCAAAGCAGCCACCTCATATGTGCATTAGGAAGCATACATGAAAGAATGTGCTTAAATTCCTTAACAGAATACCTGCCTCAAGGTATGGTAGAAATGGTTTAGAAATTTTTGGAGATTCACGCTATATTGCCTATAATTTATTAATTCTAATTATATTCATATTAGCTATATAGTATCTTGTATATATTCTTTTCTTCTATTCATTAAAATCTCTAAAGAATCTCCCTAGTTACAGTCATTGCTAGGTATCTATTCTATACACAACAGAGTATCTCACTTATTCACTCCTTACTTCTTCTCTTCAGTACCCAGCAGAATGAGTAACACATATTTGATGAATTACAGGAATGAATTGGGAGAATTCTGTCTAAATATAGTAGCCAAAGGTCTTGTGGTCAGATTAACAAAAGAAATTAGTTCTACAGCAGCAGAAAGAATATTACCTACTTACCTGAACAACTTGCTTCTAATTGAATTTAATACTGAGAAAGGCCTCTAGGATCTCTAATATTTGAAGTCTACAGGCTTAAAGTTGCTCTTCCTGGTTTCAGATATGATGTTGCCCCCTTTGCTTTAATAACGTGTTTTTGAAGAACAATTTTCCTCCTATGCCTTATAATTGTAGGTGGAAATGTATAATTGCATATATATATATACATATATAAATATATATTTCAATTTATCTTACAATGAGTCAGTAAAAAAAAAAAAACATGAACCAGCCAATCACCAATTTGTTTTTCTTTAACCCTGAAAGTTTTCTCCCCATGATAGATACAATAAACTAAAATTTGTCTTTGTGCAAGTAAATGTGCATGCAATTCAGGATATGCTCATTAATAATTAAGTAAATGCCACTCATATTTATTAAAAATTTCTTTATATATTTTTTTGGAAAATTATTTTTTACAAAATCATATACCAAGTTAATGTTCTGATTATTGCTTATTAGCGACATAGTATCTTATATATATTTGTATTAATTGTACATAATATTAATTGCAGTTTCAAATGTAATGATGCAAACATTGAAGAAAAGGCCTTGCTGGCTAACATTTTTCTCCATAGATTTTATGAAGGACTGACTCTCTAATCAGGATTTTGAGCTCTTTGATTGCTGAACTAGCAAACAGTTTGTAAGTTACATATGGTGCTAGCTGAAAATGCAGACTTTGCAAGACTTTCTAAGAATTTCAGAAATGGCACAAAAGGAAATATTAAGTGTACACAGTAGTAAAGGTATGATGAGGAAGACACATTCAATGACAAAGTAAATTCGTTCAGAAAAAGAGCAGCACAGGCAATCAAGATAACCAGTTTTGCCACATTGCCCTTGAGAAAGGTATTGAGAATTCTGGCCTCCATCTTTGCTAGAGATAAACTCATCACTTTACAGCTGAAGCTATCCAAAATAGAAAATGCTTTATTCTTACTCTCTTATAAATTGGTGAAATGACAAACCAAGCAAAGGAAATATTTTTCAATGATCGGAAAAGCCACCTTATACCTTCTCTTGCCAGCTTCTCTCAGAAATCCCTCAAACCAATCCATGTGCCATATGAAATTAGTTGCATTAAATTTATTTTACAAGATCCTAATAGCTTTGGACCAACAACTTAGCAAACTAATGAAAGCAACTTCTGACTTGGAAACATTTCTTTCCATTTGGAAATACTGCAGCCAAGGAAAAATTTTTTGAAAAAAAATATAGAAGGCAAATAATAATCTGTAATAATAGAACTGAATTGTGAATAAAATAGCATACTGATGAAGAAGAAAGATGCATAACTGCCCTCTCCAAGGCCTATGTAGCGGGCCCTTTTTGGAAGTTAGGATTGATTGGATTGGCCAGAGTCTGTTTTGTTGTGCATAGAGCTTCCTGTTGGCTGGCCTGATACAACACGCTATTAACTAATTTGGGCTGGAGCATCATTATTCTCCATGAAGAATTTAAAGAAGATCTTGACTTGAGCTGATTGCAAGAGAAGTCATGCTGCGCCATGCAGTATAAAAATATCATCAGTCTTATGCCACTGGCACATTCAGACACCTAGTGGGATAAGCCAGGCATCAATGTTCAAGGTTTTATATAAGGTAACAGCTGCTTTGGTCAGACAGTTAATTAAATATGTTAATTTCCCATACAACCAACAGTAGCGACAGCAGATCAAAGAGGGATTTTATGACATTTCTGGGTTCTCTCCTATGCCCAGGACGATGGATTGTGCCCACATCATCTCCCAATGTCTTTTGTGAAATGGTGCTGCCTTTCCCCTTTGGAAATGGCCCTGTTCTATGACATTGCAAATATCGTACATGTTTTGGTACTACATTAACCACTGCCAATTGTCACCACTCCAGTCTTAAAAGGCTATTTGGGTCTGATCCCATTTGTAGTGTTTGGTTAGTCAGTAAATATCACAAATCATGCTGAACGCAGGGAATGGGATCTTTCTCCATTTGCTTCATTCTAGGTTGGCATTTATGTTTTGTCTTCATGGAACTGATAGGACACAGATTGTAAATCACTGTATGAACAATGACAAGATTCCATCCTAGGCATGCAGAAGCATCAAAAGATTGTTCTAGATTGTGTTACAAGTTAATCACATGGAGTACACAGAACTCAGAATACATGTTTACACATAATACTCAAATGTACTTTGTGGCAATATATGACACTATGTGAGGAGAAAAATGTTCTCAATTCATGAGAAATGCTAGTCATACTATCTAGCAGTTATAAATATAACAGTGACGTGGAGCCATTTATAACACTTTTTGGATCATACAGGACTCTGAGGATGGCTAGGGAGATTGTACTCTCTTTGTGATGACAATTGCTTCTCTTTCCTTAAACAAAAGATTCAGAGAAACTGTACTCTCAAAGAGCAATTGGAGCTGGTCCGGATTTGGTAATTAGCATTTTGATAGAAAAATTTATTAGACTACAAATTTCTTGGGGAACTTCAAAATGCTCATAGTTGCTGATTAGGTAATCACCACTATAATGCATATATTCTCAGGACTAATGTAACTTTTTAAAGAGGGGTGATGATTATATAGCACATGTATTAGTGACATTGCTTAAAAATGTCTATTCTCCATGCCATTATATCTGAAAGCAAAGTGATGTGGTACAAAAGAATAATGAACCAGCATTTCTGTCATAATTGCCATCATGTCTCTATTTTCTCATTTGGAAAATAAGAGACTTGAGGAAATAAACTTTGAGATGACACCCATTTCTAATTTTCTATTGAAGGCAATGTGATAATATAAAAACATTCTGGCCCATCACTAACCAGCTGGCAATCATATAAAATGCTCAATTAACACCACAAAAGGCAGAAGAGTGGAAGACAAAAATAGGAACTAAGAACAAGGGCAACAAACAGAAAACAGTAACAAATTTAGTAGATATTAATCCAACTATACCGGTATTCACTTTTAACATCAATGGTCTAAATACACTAACTAAAAGACAGAGATTGTCAGAGTGGATCAAGAAACAAGACCCAACTATATATTGTCTATGAGAAACCCACTTTAAATTTAAAGACACATACAGATAAAAAGCAGATGCATGGTGAAAGATATCAGGCTAACACTAATCAAAAGAAAGCAGGAGTAGCTGTGTTAATTTCAGATGAAACAGACTTCAGACCAAGGTGTTTACCCCTGTATCAGGGACAAAGAGAGGCATTACGTATTGATAAAGGGGTCACTTCTCTGAGAAGACATATCCTTGATGTGTACATACCCAATAACACAGCATTAAATAACTGGAGCAAAAACTGATAGAACTTCAAGGAGAAATAGATGCAGCTATTATTGTAGTTGGATGCTTTAACATACCTCTATCAGAAACGGACAGGTTAATCAGACAGGAAATCAGTAAGGATGTAGTTGAATTCTACAATACCAATCAGCTGAATAAAATGGACATCTATAGATTGCTTTATCCAACAATAACAGGGTATACATTCTTTTCAAGCTCACATGGAACACTCACCAAAATCAACCAAATTCTAGGTTAAGAAACATAACAAATGTAAAAGAATAGAAGTCATAAAATGTCTGCTGTCAGACCACAGTACAATTAAACTAGAAATCAATAACAGAAAGATAGCTGAGAATATTGAAAATAATTACAGATTAAACAACACGTGAGTCAAAGAAGAAATGAAGATAAATTTTAAAATACTTTCAACTAATTGAAAATGAAAATAAAACTTATCAAAATCTGTGGAATAAAGCAAAAGCAGTTCTTAGCCAGATATTTATGGCATTGAATGCATCTACTAGAAAAGAAAAAATATAAAATAATCACTTATACTTCTATCCCAGGAAACTAGAAAGAGAGCAAATTAAATCCAAACTAAGCAGAAGAAAAAGAATAGTAAGTATTAGAGCAGAAAACAATAAAATTGCAAACAGGAAATCAATAAATCCAAAAGCTGTTTATTTTTTAAATATCAAAGGTCTTTTCCCTTGAAAAATCCAGAGGTCAATACACCTTTAACCATGCTAAGGAAAAGAGAGAATACAAATTACTAATATCAAAAATGAAAGAGGGGACATCACTACAGATCTCATGGACATTAAAAAGATAAAGTATTTGACATATAGCAAGTTTTCTAATATGACCAATTCATAAAGGACATTTTAAAAAGATAGTTGTAAACATATAATCAAAGATGGACACCAAAGCCTAGCACAGGTCTATAAAACTTGCTGAAGAAAAAAAAAAGCCATTTTTGGAATAAAAACATGATTTAATTAGGAAAAGGACATCTGTTTGTCAGAAAATGAGACACTAACATGTAGCATAGATGAGGCATCACTATTAACTATCTTTCTTCAAGTACTGTCATCTAGGAAATTAGTGAGAATTGAACCAGGAGAGAGCAGAATCAATATCACAAGGAGGAGGAAGATTTTCAGAGCAAGAGAAAAGAGAAATCCAGTAGCCAGTGGTTTTATTTCATTTCAGATCTCTAGGTCCATTGGAGTTTCCTCCTGAGGTAACAAATGTAGATTCTAACTATGACTGCAGAACACATGAAATACCTTAGAGGTTGAGAGAATGAGAGTGGGGTGATTACTGAAATTATAAAATTATAATTTTAGAGTCAATGTTCAGCATATTAAATATGAATTGTAAGTCATTTTAAAAATAACAGTGATAGTTGATATGAAACTGTCTGCTCTTCCCTGAATGGGCAGTTGGAGGATGGAAGTGATGTGCAGACAGCAGTTTCCCAGGGCCTCAGTTAGGCAATATGAATCCAGGGCACAATGACCAAAACAAGCATCTTGGGATTTCCAGGTCAGTGACAAGATAACCAATGATGAGCTAGCTGGTTTTCCAAATGCAAAGATATCTAATGAAATAAAGGTTACAAAATAAAAAAGGACAAAGATTGCACAGCTGCCAAATCATGAGATTTCAGTTCACGAGTAAGAATTTGCACAGATGTCAAACATTTGCTCTGGTTTATATGCAGTGACTGCTACCTCTGCTGTAGGTCTCTAAGGCAAGAGTTAAAAGAACAGATGAAACTTGTGGATTTCCTCAGAAGCAGCATGATCTACCCACCTCATTTGCATATTGAGATATTTATTGTTAGAAAAATGCCACACAAAGCATTCCCTGATTTTACTCTGACACTGCACATTATCTCACAGAATTGAAATTAGCATAATCTTTCTTGAAAGAGAGTTGAAGTTTTATTATTTTCTTATCCCTTTTCTTTCTGCTTTCTTTACATTTCCATTTTTTAAAGTTATCATGTACCTGGCACTGGTCTACATACTAATGTTATCTCTGAGAAACTTTACACCAATTCCATAAGGAAAGTACCTTTCCTTGTGAGGGAGGAGTATTTTACACATGATAATAAAGTAACTTGCCCAAGTCTGTCAGCCAGATGGTGGCTGAGGATTCCAACCCATATTTATTTGGCTTTTCAGTCTGAGTTCTTAATGTTCCACCTCTCAGCTTCCTAAGGTAGAAGCTGGAGTACTCAAAAGCATACCTGGAAGAAAAGGAGGTTACATAAAATTATTATAACATTAGGCTGGAACCTTAGATATAATGAATCCAACAGTCTCTTATTGCTCTTGTAAAACACGAGAGAAATATGGCAGGGCTGTCCAGAGAACAACTCACCCAAAGAGAATGGTGTAATGAATATGAAGAGAGGTCTCTAGTGAGAAGTTAAAGAACTCAGTCTTTTGTCCCAATTTACTCATTAAAAAAAAGCGCGGTATTGATTAGTTGTAATTCCACATTATAGTTGAATATTGTTTTATAGCTTATAGAGCACTTTAAAATAAGTTATCTCATGCAATTTGATCTTTACAGAAGCTCTATTACCTATAGCAAGGGGGGAATGTTACATTCTTAATTTTATAAATAAGAAAGCTAAGATTTGAGTTACAAAACTATCTTGAAATTGTATAACTAGCAGATCTATATCAAAAGACAAGCTTTTTTTGTTGGGTTGGTTGTATTGATTTTTAGCTGCAAATGTGTTGTTCTATCACATTATCCTTTCTGAAATGACATAGTCACCAAATTTTGTGTTTTGTAACAAATACAAAAAGTTTGATAGATTAATAATTATCCTAAAAGTGTTGAACTCAGGTCTGACACAATGGCAATTAATTTCAATTAAAATAAATAAATGTAAAGGTTGTATTTATATTTTAAAAAGAACTGCCCTGAATTAAGAGAACGTCCTTGTCACGAGCCTGTTGTGAATCAATCTTGCAATAAAATTTTTCATGAAAACAAGACGGAATTAGGAGAAATACATTCTTCTAGGGAACAGGAGTGACAGCTTTGTCTTTTCTGCATCAGTCACAACGCAACCAGAGTTTTAAATTCAGTAATTGATAGCACATTTAAGAGTGATGTTGGCAAGCTGAAGTCCAGAGGAGGTGACTAAGTGGTGAGATGAAGTTGGAAAAGGGCCTGGCTCATGGGTCGGGCATTGCCCAGTGCCACAGGCAGAGTTCTAAAGATCTGAAATTTATCATTTCCTTTTATCGTTATAACAAACTTAGACAATAGAAACTAGCATTATTCCTATCCCACAGTTAAATGAACAGTCATCTTTCTAATACTGAGAATAATCATCGTTAAACATTCATTTTGCGAAAGACTTATCAAGGAGCACAATTAGAATGATGCAGTTATGCTAGAGAAACTCTAACATCCTATAAGGTTCTAGATTTATTTACTCTTTGATGTTCTTCTAATCTTCATCCCCCTAGACCCCTTGGGTCTCAAAATTCAATTAAAGCTAAAGTTTACTTATGTTGGTGAGCATAAACATGAATAATGATGTTAACATAAACTTTACCTACACCATAACCTTACCTATACCATTATATATAATATAGATCAAATGTAGATAACTATAAATTTATATTGACTCTCACTTCACCATACACTTTATATATGCCATGAAATTAAAAAAAAAACTAAATATTTCAGCACCTTAATAAAGTGTTGTTTTACTTTGTTACTTTAAATAACTGAATCCCTTCTTAGCTATTCCTCTATATTTTTTCTATTTTTTCCAATGTTTAATTATTTACTTAAAAAAATTGAACCAGTAGGTAAAAAAAGACAGGGGAAAAATACAGAAAAAGTTCCATCTATCACTGCTCTGACACCAATTCTGTGACATCAATTAGATGTCCTGAATTTAACTGAATTCCAACACTCACTACCTGGTGTCAGCACCTGATTCCACAAGTCAAAGGCAAAGTTCCCCAAAAGCCTATCCTTACTTCAGACATCAGTCACAAACGTTGGGGGCCACTTCTGACAGACCAACTATACATTTGGGGATTCCCACCACACTCTCAAGTTTGATAATTTGTGAGAACAACTCACAGAACTCACTGAAAGCATTTTCCTTGATTGAGGTTTTGTTATAAAGGATACAAATCAGGAGCAACCCAAGCAGAGACATGTAGTGTGAGGTCTGAGTGTGAGCTCTTCATGCACAGCTTCTGCACACTCCCCTCCTGGAAGGTGGGCACAGCATCTTCCCAGCACTGCAACATATTTGCCAACCAAAAGATCCACTGAACCTCACATTCCAGAATTTTCACTGGGTTGTCATTAGACAGACATGGTTGAGTAAATCACTGGCAACCTGATGGAACTCAGTCTCCAGCCTCCCTCTTCTCTTCCAGCTGACTCAAAATGCCAACCCTCTAATTACATGATAGGTCTTTCTGGTTAGAAACCCCTTTCCTGAAACTATCTCCACCCCTACCTACTCACCAGTAGTCACTTCATTAGCACAACAAAGATACTCCTAAAACTTGAAAATGCCAAGGGGTTTGTCAGGACCCAGGAACAAAGACTAAATATATGTTTTATTATACCATGTTATCTATTTACCTATCTAACTGCTTAATGTAGTTTACTATAAAAATGACAGATCCTTTCTATACAACCACATTTAAACTTTGAGAAAATATCTAGTTGATTTGAATGAGTTATATTCAAACATCAGAAAAATTCATGTTTTAAGAACATTTGCCACTTTGGTAATGAGTAATGAGGAAATGCAGAGAGAGATTTTATTGATTAGCCATGCCCAGAATGATTCTGAGGACCACTCACATTCTGCTCTTTAAAGTAGTTATCCTAGGTTAAGGATCAACCTGGTCATGTTGGAGTGAATCTAAATTGCATGACTGGAAAGAGTTTGCAATGTTTTCCCCTTCCCTTTTGTCAATGAAGCAGGATATGTCTATCAAAGGCAGAGAAAATGAAGGGGTGGGAAAAGAAACTGCGTAGCAGCAGCGTTTCTGTGTGTGTCTAGCAGAGCATGAGAAAATGAGGATGATGCTGGTTTAGTTTCCATTCTATTCATCCCTGAAGTTGCGTAGATAACATAATAAATGAATACTGTAGTTCCTTTAATTCGACATAATGCACACGCACTCTGTGAGGTTTATAGCTTTCCTAAGGTTTTGTGGCAATGTTTGTAGAAACTTTAGAACAACTGTGAGGTCTACAGGGGATAAAGTCCCTGAGAAATGGAGTGCTTTGTTAGATGGAGTGGAGACGAAGGGCATACATCCTGCTTATCATGCACACTCAAGGCTTGATGCAATGCTGACTTGACAGGTAGAGAGCAGAGAATTACCGTGTCTGTTCACAGTCCCTGAAATGACATCCTCTGGATACAGCTTCCTGCCAGGGGAGAAACAGACTATCTGGTATTTTGACAAAGAAGAGTTTATAAACACTCGAGAAAACTTGGACCTTTGGCAAAAGAGAGATTACGGGAGGGGGCAGGGATGCAGCGTCAAATCAAGAATGTCTGGATGAAAGTCAGCCAGTACTAAACAACATTGCTGAAGAATCTAATGATGTGTGTTTTAGTTGCAGAGAAGGCTGAGTAGCAGTTTGGGACATCTATTACTTATTTTTCTTATTGTGCCATAAAACATATAAACTTCTAATAAAAATCATTCTGAATAATTTCTAATTAAGTTGGGGCAGAAAAAGAGTGTGAGACTTAAATGTAGATCTTTATATCTTGGGAATGAAATATTTTCACACCCACAAGATGGACTTGAGTGATTTAAGCTACCCTCCTAGTTATAGAATTTCTATAACTGTTGCTCATCAGGTGAGAGAGGAATATGACAAGGTTTCTGTTTGAGCCTTAGGAAGGCTACAAAAGAGGCAAAGCTACCTTGGTTACAGTTGCAGTTTTTTATATTGACAAATTCTTATTTAATTAGCTGCATGTCTTTCTGTCACTATAGCTACTGCAAAGGTTTCATTATTCATTAAATAAGCAATGAATATAGACAAAAATTGCAGCCACATGGGCTGCACAAACGCATTTTCATATTATTAACATGTTGCCAACTTGCAACTCTTCGAAGTCTGAGTAAATGTTTTGACAAGAAGAGACAGCAAGGACAAATAAGAAGTAGCGGTCTTGAAGAAATTCAGCCCCAGTTCTAACAGCTTTAAAGTCTTAAGAGTGTTTTTGCTGGGGCAGTACCAGATAAATTGCTCTTATATGTGCATGTAAGAGACTAAAATTCCTTTGAAAGTTTATAATTTCTCATGGGAAAACACAACATAAAAGTAACTTTTACTCATAGAAAAACAAAACCATATTTTCCTGTCAACCTTTGCTGTTGGGAATTTCAAACTTTTTGCATTTTTTTCCTGTGATATTTAGCTGGCCCAAGGGACAGGCGTTTACAACATAATTTACTTTCAACGTGTCTCTGTAAATCATTGTAATACTCTCTATTGCTTGTGGAGAGAAGAAAGAAAAAAAAAACCCAACAGGGTTTTATGTCCCACTTTCCTTAGACTCCAACAGGCTAAACTCAAGCAGAAACTTTCCCTTTTAATGTCCACATGCAAAGACACACACACACACACACACACACACACACACACACACACACACACAAGAAATACGTACAATGAGTACAGGTAAACTTAGAACTATGGGCAGGCTCCAAGGGAAAATTTGTATTTTAGGGTTAATTGGGAGAGCTGAGAGTTGTCTTAGGTGATGTGAAAATTGCAGAACTATTCAAATCGTTGCAGAGTAGGTGGGTCACCTTCAGCCAAATGACTTAAAATCTTTTTTTCATAAAAATCCTAAGGACCTGTTAACACACTTTTGCCAAGCTATTAATATCAAGGATCATTCAGTTTTATATGAGAATTTGATGACTATACACTGGTTGAACCTTCACCTTTTACAACCTTAATGGGGATTTATTAGCTATTTCACAGTGTGTAAATTTGAATCTAGGTCAGATGAGGAAGAAAAATAGGGCATATCGAGACCTAAAGAGTAACCTGAAAAATAATACATCAGAGAAAAAAAAAGGAAAGAAAGAAAAGGTGCAAAATTAAACAGATGACTAGAAGTTTCTTAAGCAATCTGAGATTTGAAGACAGAACCTGTGAAATTAGGATTCAGTGTAGACCATTTGAGCTCAAATGCAGGTGACTAGTGAATTTGGTTCCTAAACAGTGCTGCAGATTAAGGAGTTAAAATAGCTTATTAACCTGCTTCGGCTAACTGTCTATAACAGGAAATGTGACCCAGGTGGGTTTGATATTCACAAGATTAAAGCTTATGTCTACCATCAAATGGTGACCACATTAAAGCTGTTTTAATGAGGCCAGGGGAGATAATGAATGAATGTTGCTTATTCACTGCAGAGGAGACAGCCTGACCTTATTCTAACCTCTTTGCTGCCAGGTATCTAAAGCAACATGTTAGTCCTGCTTAAAGCCAAAATGGGATGGTCCAGAAGATAAAAACAAGCCAAATGCTTAGGAGAATGATTTTGCTGGTGTTAAAGCCAAAAAAAATAAAAAAACAAAAAACAAAAACTATTCTCCCTAGAATCCTTATAAAAAGGACAGTGTGTAACAGGATGGTAATCATCCTCACTGTCACCTTTATCACAGACACAGCCATCAGTTTCATCAGGCAGTTTCCTATGGTGCCCCTCAATATTGTCCAGTTGCAACACCCAAGGAAAATAACCTACGTAAAGGAATGGGTGGAGGACTCTTATTTAAGGATCTAACTCTCTGCTGGTTTAACTTAATCCTGAGTAAATTTTGGAGGATCTAGAGGGACTGCTTATCTTTCAGGTAAGCCTTCATAAATACCAAACATTTGATAGATTTAAGACAGCAGTGTATTAGAGATTGCACTTGCTAGAAAATAGGCAGAGTACAGCAAATTCTATTGCCAATTTATTTTGTTTCCACTTGTTTTGCCAGTCAGCAGGAGTAGGGGGTAGGTCTTTGTGGAAACTGAGGGCCTAGTGATGGTTTTTCCCAAATAAAATGTAATTTGTCTTCTGCTAAAAGGTGAACTAAAGCAACCATAATTAGAAAAGGTGGGAAAGGCATGAAATACTCTGTCACATATTTTGGTCATTGAGTACAAAAACTATCAAGTAAGGGAAAATTAATACAAGTGAGAATATATTTTAAGACTTGATCAACATATATACAGTAAGTAATTTAAGTTACAATAGCTTCAAAATCTTTTTGGAAAGAAAAGAAATGCATTAGATGTAAATGATGGAGTTTACATGAACTTTGTATTGGAATGCTGTTTCTCTTCAATAAGTTTATCAAGAAAGTTAATAGATGTGATAAATGAATACTGTAATTGTCTACATGTGCACAGCCTCGGCTTCTTAAGGATGGATATCGTTAGCTTAAAATACTGAAGAAAACTTAAGCCAGAGGGGGAAATCCTTAAAATTACTTTCCAGGCCAGATTTATTTTGGCAGTCACATTCAGGAAGATATGCAGTGTACCAAGTTTTGAGTATTGTATTTGGACACTGATCCGTAATTTTAGTCATCAGTTTACTGGCAACTATCTGCTTGGACATTACTCCCACCTTCTAATAAGTAACGTTAAATTAAAATGGTAACCCCCAACAAATGGCAACAGACAATTTTGGCAACAAAAGTAAAAATGATAATAGGACCCTTAAACTCACACAAAATTGTGTCAAGTAGTGATCCCATTTCATCATTATCTAAACACATTTAGATAAAGTTATCAATGCTTTTCATCACAACCAAGATCCTTGAAAAGATGATCTGCATCTATCTTTGCTTCTTTATCTGTCACTTCTCTACCCACAGCAATGAGTCCCAGTAGTCAAGTCAAATGGAAAGTTGTCTGTTATCTTACATTAACTGAGCCATTTAATGTTATGGAAGTAAGATAATGGTTCAATAAGTGTTGGATGACTCTACCTTTGTTGGTGTTTTCTTAGCATAGCTACCATATATATCCTGATGGCTCTCCAATATCCATGTCTAGTCATCTTGCAGCAGGTTCAAAAGCTATATAATTAATGACTTACAAGGTGTTTCTGTTTAAGTGTTTCACAGACATATTCAAATAAAAATGCTTGATTAAAACAAACAAAGACTGCAGGTGGGGTTTTTAAAAAATAAATAAAAATTTAAAAAGAGAAAAAAATGCTCAAAACCAAACATGGTTTTCCACTCCTCTTACCTCCGATGCAACATTCACCAAACCTGCCCTTCTATCTCAAGTTTTGTCAAAATCTCAGGGAAAAGAATCACTCAAAAACCTAGAGTCATCACTGATTTCTTCTTCTCCCTTCTTTTTCATAAACCAGTTAGTCACAATGTCCTGCAGATTAGGTTGTAAATAAATGATAATAAATAAAGATTTGCCTAAAACAAAACAAAATCATTGTCTTATTTACCTGCAAACTTCAGGCTTAATTGGTTCTCTGGCTGAAATTCTGCCTCTGGACCATCTGCATTGTTTTGATTGTTGGTAGATTTCCAATCATGGTGGCCAGATGGCTGCCAATAGTTCATATTCCGTCTTCCAGAAAATCCAGCTGAAAGAAAGAACTCCTTCCACACAAGTTTCAAACAACATCTGTAAATCTAATCGTATTGTCTATGCTTGGCCTGAATTAGATCAAGTGCTTATCCCTGATCTAAGCAGTGCAGGTAAGAAGAGGCAGCCACCTGACTGGTCAGGTCTGAATTGCCCATCCACACCTCTCTAGACCCAGGCTAATGTCACCTAAGACACAAGATTTAGAATGGTGGTAGGTTTAAAGTCCAGAAATTAGGAGAGAAGTTAGTAGTATATTTCAAGAATGTATTTTTTATCTTTTTTTCCTAAAAATGAGGGAGACAAATACAGAAACAAAAATAAAAATGTGAATATTTTAAAGCATACCCATGCTATAACTTTATGAATTAGGAATTGGGTAAAAGTAGGAGTATTTTGGAAGTCATCTGGGTAGGTCTGGTTACTAGGAGGTCCCCTTGGAAAGCTTCTGTCTATCTTCTAAGCAGGCAACAATGTTTATACATAGTAAGTCTTAATGCTTTTATTCTTTCAAAACAAGTTCTGTATTTTAAAAAAGTAATTAATTTTGCTTTTTCTAACTTGAATAGTAGAATAATAGTTCAAGGGACAGAATGGAAATACGAAGAGAAAGTTGGTTTTTTTTTTGTTTTTTTTTTTTTTTTTGGTTTGAGGAAAACTCAGGAATGACTTAAATCATGGAGATTAAGTACATAAAGATATTTCATACTAATTTTATCCACCAGCTGTTTCTTTCCACTGCAAATTAAACAAAGGGAAAAGCTTAAAATTTGCAGAAAGAGGATTTAGATTAGGCATAGGAATCTAATGTTTCCATGCATATTGAATGCACCTGTAGCAAGAGCAGACTGACCCTCAGGTAGCTTTGGCATGAAGTTGTGCTTCATCTTGCTACAACAGCATAATGATGGTTTCTCCCCTCCCTCCGCCGCCCCCACCCCCATGCTCCTCTGATCCTTTCTGATTAAGGAAGCAGAAAAGCTCTCAGGGTTGGTGGGTACTAAAATACATTCACCATGGGAAGGAGGTCTATGTCTTTCTCTTCTGCTACATTTCCAATAAGCTGTGAGAGATGCTATCTGCCCAGAATGGTTTATACCTGTGATTCACCTAGAGGGCTTGTTAAAACACAAATGGCTGGGCCCCTCCTTCCAGAGATTCTAACTCAGCAGGTCTAGGGTGTGTCTGGGAATTTTCATTTCTAAAAAGTTTTCCAGGTGATACTGAAGCTGCTGCTCTGGACAGCCTACTTTAAGAATCAATAGTTTCAATATTACCCTGTTGTAGCAAAAAAAAAATTGGGGATAATTTTATAATTAGGTGACTGAAATGCAGGTTCCCAGGTAGTTTCATGTATTTAATAAATTAATTGTAAGCCTCTATAAGTAGTATTTTCCTAGAATCCCTTTTATCAAATAGGGCTCATATGGAAATTTTCTCAATATTCCTTAAAATTTAAGAGGACTGAAAATCTTACTTTTAGAGAACTCTGGCTTGTGACCTCCCCAAGTGATTGAACATTTTCCTATAGGCCCAGGTCCACTCTATTTCCTACCCAGTCTTCAGCCAGCATATTTTCCAGCCTCAACTAAAGAACAGAGATTAAATCAGAACTGAGAGAATAAGGCCTGGGTCTTTATATTTTTACATGACCCCCCACCCAGTGGAAATGAAATGCCCGGCTGTCCTAATGTTTTTCCACTGGCTTTTTGCAGTTTAGTATAAATACCTTGTAACAGTATTATACACAGATTCAAAAGTGCTGCAACTGAAGCAACTTAGATTGCAGTGGAGATGGGATGCTTTGGAAAACTCAGTTTATTTGAAAAGTGATTCATGTTATGAAGAAGGCACTGCTATCAAAGAATTACATGGGGAATCTGAATAAAATTGTCAAACTTGTGAGTAGGGAATAAAACCAATATTTTTAAGTGAACAAATTTTACAGAAAAGGTGATGTAGGTATGCCTGAATAATAATATTATAAATAAATTAGATGTCACAATGAGAGGACAAATTTCTCTATGTGATCTTTCCTTTTCTGTTGAACGAACTGGCCCTTTGACTACCTAGAGTAGCTCTCTCATGAACTACTCAAGCCAGGGCATGAATCTCAAGGCACAGTTTATATTCCAGTTGGGTTTGAGAAAAAACTAAATCATTATAATTTTTCCTTTCCTTTTTTTGTTTGATATGGAAAATTAAGGGTACAGAGGACAGAAGCTCCTTGAGAGATTTATTTTTTTTCTCTTCTATTCCCTAACCTTGGAAGTTCCAGGGACCTGGTTTTATTGATAACACTTTAGTGTCATCAGAAAAATCTGCCATCATTATAAAATTAGTCCATTTAAATTGGCAGAAAGAGATGTCTCACCACCCATTTTATGTATGTATGAAATTACGACTGAGAAAAATCATTGAGATAATGCACAAAAAAACAAGGCTCTCTTACAGAGATTTAGTTGTGAATTATTAATACTTTGAATCTGTTGTTTTACAAGCTTCCTTTACCCAACCCCTGAATCTTTTAGGGACGTGGGGGTAGGCAGATACTAGTTTTGATCCTACCTTCCACCAAGTGATTCAGCCTGAAATATCTCTTTCAGTGAATGCTTAGAGCTTCCAGTGAGGAGAAATGAAGACATCCTCCAGAGTATCCCAGCCTAAAATGGAGCACAGGAGCTGTCCTTTAGGAAGTGGTATAGTTTACCAATTCCTTTTACTCTACAAATTGTATCCATTATGTGGGCATTCCTGATTCTCACTGTGGTCAAAAACACATTTTGAAAAAAAAAAATAACCCAAACTTCAGATTTTTTTTTTTTTGCATATAATTCTCTCAAATTCATTTTAAAATAAAAGAAAAGGAAAGGCAACTACTGGGTGAGAGATGAATCCAGTAATCATAAATCTTTCCAAAGGTGAGTTTTGAAGACTCAAGAGGTTGATACATTTTGGAAGGGATCACAATTGACTTATGGAACACCTTTATGTTTTAACTCCATATGAACACCCATTGAGGACAGACCTTCGGGGAAAGTTGGTCCTTGAGGAGTCCTCATTCTGGCTGGTCTCACATAGGGTGAATGTATTAAGGCTCCCTTTAGTTTGCTTGTTCATGGTTCCATGTCTGTTGTTTGCTATGCAGAACCCTTTGAAGGCTTTGAATAATTCTGAAGAAATTAGATATTCTATAAATTGTTGTTAAGATCTATCTTGAATTGAGTGTGTGGTTCAAATGCCACCATGAAATAAAAATGGGAAAAATTATTTTCATAGAAGTATGTTTTCTGTAATTCTGGAGACTTGGATAAAGACACTCATAAGTAGATGTAAGTGATAGGATTAACTGAAGTCTTCATATTTATGTCATGGTGATGTTTGTGGTAGTATTTCCAAAATGAATAATAGATTTAAGATGTGTTAAAGCTCAGTAATATCCCATTAATGTTTCATCAAAGTAGTATAATTTTTTCTTCCCCATTCATGGAGCATATTTGCCAGTGGTTTATCTCTGTCAGTTAGCTTATTAAGCTTCACAGACAGAACCATTGATATTATGTGATATATGTGTATATATGAAGGATATGAATTAACTTTATATTAGTCTGGGTTCTCCAGAGAAACATATGTGTTTCTTCATATATATATATATATGTATAAATATGTTCACTTGTTATAACACGTGTATATATATATGAATAACAACGTGTGTATGTGTCTGTATGTGTGTATATACATATTATATAAGGACTATGTTATGTCACAATGAGAAGACAAACTTCTCTATGTGATCTTTCCTTTTCTGTTGAATGAACTGTTATAATATATAACATATTATATGTTATAAGCAATCAACTCACATGGTTATGAGGGCTGAGAAGCCCCAATATCTACAATAGGCATGCTGGAGACCCAGGAAAGGTGATGGTAGAGTTCCAGTCTTGAATCTCAGCTTGAAGGCGGGAGGAGAGCATGATCAATATCTCAGCTTGAAGATAGGCAGAGAGAGCAAATTCTCCCCTACTCTGCCTTTTGTTCTATTTAAACCTTCAACAGGTTAGATGAAGCCTACCCCTATTAGGGAAACGCAACCTGTTTTACTCAGTCTACTGATTCAAATGTTAATCATACCCAGAAACACCCTCACAGACATGCCCAAAATAATGTTTAACCAAATATCTGGACACCTTGTGGCCCGGTCAGGGTTAGCCCTTTTCTCCTTATTTTCTTTTCTTTTTTTTTTTTTTAATAACTTAAATGTGTGTCTTTATTGGTACACGAGCACTGTTTTAACCCAACTAAAATCTGAAGTGAAATGACATTCTTCTGGCTTTTGTCTGAACTTTGTACGTTTTGATTTTTTTGCCTAATGATCATATACTTTCTAAGTTTTAAAATACAGAAATACTCTTGTGTGTATTTTGCATTAAATGACAAAGATCTTTTACATAGGTCATACTCTAAGCCTGAGAGTTGACCATTAGTTACTAAGCAATAATATTTACACCATATATCTTTTATTTATAATACATAAATGTTTTATATTGTGTGGAGCTGTGTGTATAGCTGTTTCCTGGTTTATCTCTATGATTAAATTTTCTGCATGGAATTGTAGAGTATGGAGTATGGCACAACTCACATGAGTAGAAACAGTTATCTAAGTCATGAATCCTATCCCACCTCAACCCACTTATTGTAATATTTCTCTTCAAGAAACTCCTTATATATCATTAAATAATTAAAGAGAAGAATTGATTTATTTTGCTTTCCTTTATCTATAATGACCTTAAAAGAGGAAGGCGAGAAGGGAAACAGAATGTTGATGCTGTTAATAACTATATGTAATGTTTTACCATGGTTTGCTGGAGTAAGAGAACAAGCAAGCTCAATTTTCTTCTTCCTTAGCAGGCCCCTTGGGGTGGGGATAGCACTCCAGATTGGTCCTATAAAGGATCCTCTTGTTCTCAGCAGGTGCCAGACTGTTCTGGCATGTTGCCCATGTCCATATATATGGATACGTGTGTGTGTGTGTGTGCATGTGTCATATATAAATCATATGTCTCCATAGAGAAACCAAAGATCAGGTAAGCCTTGGAAGGGAAGTCAGATCACACCACCCTATCTTGAAAGGTAAACATTCTTTCTTTCAGAGAGCACATAATTACACACATCCTACCTGTCTCATATTATTCTAGTATTAAGAATCTCTCTAGTATTCAAAACCATTATGTATTCTGAGTTATTATATGTTATAAAATTTAAAAATAATTAACAGTGTATAATTAGGTTACAGTATGACTGAATATTGATAACATGTTTCATACCTTGTGTATTTTCACTTGGTTCCAAAGATTGTAAAATTGTTTTAAACATTTTTTTTCCTACTCAGAATTTTACAAAATCACCATGTTTGGAGAAATGTTATTTTTCTTTGATTTGGCCTTGTGCAAAAATGAGCTGTTATTCATGACAAAGGGTATCCAAAATTCTACCTCCTCTCTGAAATGTTATTGGATTTCACTTGTTCATTCACTTGTTCATTTGGCAAGTATTTATGAAGTATTCTAGCATGTACTCTGTCTGTTCTCGGTGAAGAGCTTGGACTTCTGCTTCCTTCTTCTTCCCTTGGTGTGTATTATCATCCTTGCCCCTTTTATCAGCAGAAGCACTGGAAAAAAGCAAACAGACAAACAAAGAAAAGCTCAACATTCCATTTGTTGATTTTTATACCATTACCCTACAAAGCAATGTCGCTGTCTGCTTCTACCCCAAATTATGGTTCTTAAATTGCTCCTTTGGGTGTCTCCCACACTATTAACATATGCCGCTCAAAGCTCATGGATGGGGTCCATTTAAAGCCTTAGGTTACCAGTTTGCACTGCTTTTTAATGCCTGTCTCTCTGGAAAGTGGACCCAGAAGCCCCTAATGATGAAAACCTTCTGTATTTATTTACTAGGGCTGCCCTAATAAAGTACCACAAACTGGGTGGGTTAAAACAATAGAAATGTATTGTCTCACAGTCCAGAGGCTAGAAGTCTGAGATTAAGGTGTTGGCAGGGTTGGGTTCTTCTGAGGACTATGAGAGATAATCTGTTCCAAGCCTTCCCCCAAGCTTCTGGTGGTTTGTTGGCAAGCATTGTCATTTTGTGGCTTGTGGACACATCATCCCCATCTCTGTCTTCAGGTTCGCATGGCATTCTTCCTGTGTGTATATCTTTCTCCAAATTTCACCCGTTTATAAGGACCCCAGTCATATTGGATTCGGGGCTCACGTTACTCCAGTATGACTTTATCTTAATAAATTACTTCTGCAACTACATTATTTCTAAATAAAGTAAAATTCTGAGATTCTAAGAGTTAGGACTTCAACGTATAACTTTTGGGAGTGGCACAACTCAACTCATGATACCACATTATCTACTAGGAATTACAGAAAATGGAGGAGGGAAGTGATTGAGAAGATGACATCTGTGTTTGCTATTTATCATCTCTTCCCAATCATCTTCTATAACCAACTGGGTCTTGTCAGGAATAAAGTTTCTTCACAATTTTGAAGAGAGGCACAAGAATATACTCCATTAGGAGGGAAGGTGATTTGAGATTATATTTTGTTTGAAGGGAGATAGTGCTGCTTGGGAAAGATTGTAATGTTACTATATGTGTGTCACTTTTATAATTTATGTTTTAATGACTGAAATTTCTGTCATAAAATTTTTATTGTTTTGATTGCTCAAGTGGTTACATATAGAAGCTTCCAGAAATTTGGTAGTAGTCCTCAAATTCCATGCTTACAGGGTCATTATTTTTGCCTAATGCATGTGATCCTAGAAGCTGCAGGATGGGGAGGAATATTTAGAAACTCAAGGTCACCTCTGCCTTAGTGGCCTTTTGGAATTACTATTTGGAATTGGAGCTGTTTGGAATTACTTATTGAGACAACAAAAACAATTACAAATGATTACTTTTTGTTTTTCTTAACATTATATGAAAACTGAATTATATTGTGCGTTACTATCCAATTAAGTTTAGATATTTATTTTCTTTGAGTTCCTTGTGGATTCTACACTCTAAAATAAGCAGTAATTAAATAAAAAATTACCTTTATTTTATTCATATAGGCACTTGTATCCCCATTGACTCCACTATCAGCTGAACATATAATACCAGCTGATTTTTAAGAGCCTCTAAGAAGTGGAAATAATTTTACACGACTTTTAAAAGTTTGGACTTATATGGATCACCACTGACTGTGTGTACATGTGTGGTGTCTGTGTGTGTGTGAGAGAGAGAGACAGAGAGAGATAGGGAGAGAGAGAAAGAGAATAATTTTACATGGCTCTTCTTTGAGACATACTAACATCGTAAAGGAGGATGCTTCTGTATAGATTCTTTGGCACACATTTTAAGTTCAGTGGATTTGGGAATCCTGGATTACCTGTGTCCACCCACGACTATACAATGTCTAGTTGTGCCAGTCTTTACCCTCATCATGATCTTCCCATAAAAAGAAAAAGAAATACACTGCACTCACACGAATGAAGTTACAGTATGGGGAATTGTTTCTTGCTTTTCTGTAAACCAATGGTTGAAAATCTGTCTGACTGGAAACATTTCAATGGAAAACCAGACTGGGTTTTTGGAAACAAGTCCGCACGCAGTACCTGATGCTTGGTGGGTAAAATAGTGTGTTAGGTGAGTGTGTTAGAAGGTGTGTATGTTTCTGTAAGCAGTTGGACAGTTCTTTCAAAATCTTCCAGACAGATTGGCTTCACTATGTTTTTACAGTTCGAACGATTTTTTTCAAGATAAGACGGTACCACAGTCTAATACCTTTTTGGCAGTCAGTTATACATGTCTTTTCAAGGGCTTTGGAATCTGTTATTGTGTACCTTAAGTTGGATTAACATGGAGTGCAAGAATTAGGAGAACTAGGGAATACATTTTCCAATATTTCAAAAGGTCTTCTGGAAGCCTAAGAAGGCTAAGAAAATAGTCTTGTTAAACTTGTCCCTTCTGACCCAAAACTCCCTATCCCTTCCCAGGTAAGATAAACAATAGATTCTGAACTAAGCCTGAGATTTCCCATTATATTTTCAGCTTTTAAGATTTGCATAGTAAAATCTCTGATTCGAACAGTGGAAATACACTCTTGATATCTTTATTTCTTTGTTTGTTTGCTGGATTTATATAGCACTTCTGACCCAAGGTCCAGGGCACTTTCTTAGGTCAGCTCCGTCCTCACCTTTTTAAAATTGATCACTAGAGATGTAATCTGTGAATCACCCCGGTGACTTCCCGTAAGCTACCACTGGCAGCACGCACTGGCTGCTCGTGTCAGAACCACAGAAAACTACAGCGTGTCAGATCCATGCAACGCCAGCTCTCCGCAGAGAAAGACATTCGTCAATGTCTTATTGCAACTGATGCCCACTTTGGGAATTCTGTTGTTGTAAAACTGTGGCCACGAGACTAATAAAAAAAATCTGCACATATACAAAAAAGTGCAATTGGTTGTTATTTTTGTTCCTTTTATTTCCATCAAACCATAATATCTTAACAGAATATGTGCATTGTGTTACCTCTCAAATGCTAGTGCTAAAAGCCACACAAATCTTCAAGGAGAAAGCTGATCCAGCTGAAAGCAAGTGAGAAGAGACAAATCAAGGGTCTGGGAAGAGGAGCACAATGGCAAAGCGAGTGCAGGTCTCCTTTTCGGTTCAAAGCTACTTTTCTGATGATGAGGCTTTTCTCCGAAGCCCCTCAGTTTAAAAAAGGGAGGATGATGGAAAATGCCTTAGTTAATTGTCAGCTCACACCTTTCTTTAATGAGTTTCCTAGAAGTTTATGGTTAAGTTACCCTGGCGACTCAGGTGGGGTTTCCTTCAACTCCAGCTGAGACTGTCAGAATAGGAAAATGGGGGTCCATTTTCTGATTAATGAAAATAATAATTATGTACAGATGAAAGCAAAGAGAGAAAGCAAAGAGCTTCCATGTTACTTTAAACAAAGAAGAGTTAAGGCCTTATCTTAACTATGCATTGGCACCGCAATGCGAAATGGTCATGCAAAATTAATTTTTAATGTGTTCAATTTATATTAAAAATTTCTGCAAGTGTGTGAATTTTTTTTCCAAGGCTGGAGTGCTACTTCATTTACAATATTCCCTGAAGGTGTTTTTTTTTAAAGAGACTCTTAAACTGAAGCCATTTTAAGGGTTTTATGAGACATTATGTGAGCTTTCATATGCAAGTTAGTCGTTAAGTACCAGATATTATATTCTGTAATATGCTTAAGTGATATTAGAGGCTGTATATAGCCTGCAGTAATGGCTATTGCTGCTTTTTTAATTTATCAGGAAAATGTTGCTTAAATAAGGAGCAAATCAATGCTGGGTTGTACAAAATATAAATGTAAGGAAGTAACAGTATTTTTTATAAACTTGCTTCTTCTAGCTTCACTGGAAGGGAAAATACAGCTTAAATTTATGAACTGTATTGACAGAAATTGTAAGAAAGATAAATAAAATGTAAAATAAAATGGTATTTCCAATTCGAGAACTGCTAAGACTACCCAGAATGACATTGAACAATGGATACTCATTGTTTCACAGTGCATCTTGGAGAGTATAAAGATGAATTTTATGCCCTTGATAATTATTTTTTTGTATGCTTTCTGGCATTTAGACAAAGTAAAATCTCTTACTTGGACTTAAACCAGTTAAGGCTTTGACTATTCTGCCTACAAAGAGAAATATTTGTACTAAGCTAGATTCATTGGTCAAGCTTTGAAAAACATGAATAAAGCCCCCACCTGGTGAATGAAATTGACTTAAAAACGTAAAGAGAGATTCTTTTTCTTCTTCCTCTTTTTTTAAAATTTCCAACTTTTATTTTAAGTTCAGGGGCACATGTGTATGATGTGCAGGTTTGTTAAATAGGTACACGTGTGCCATGGTGGTTTGCTGCACAGATCATCCCATCACCTAGATATTGAGCCCTGCATCCATTAGCTGTTTTTCCTGATGCTCTCTCCCCTCCCACACCCCCCGACAGGCCCCAGTGTGTGTGTTTTCCCCCCACTCTGGCCATGTGTTCTTCTTGTGAAATGATCCTCCCAGCCTGCAACCCAACCATCACCACCACTAACTATTTCATAATGTGAATAATTGTGCAGTGCTCAGTTTTTTTTTAACATGGTTTCCAATTAAAGTTTGGCAAGAAATAAGACATGACTAGTTATTGATAAGTTATATATTGTATTCAGGGGATTGTCATTATTAACATAGGTGTCGGGCCTAAAACTAATCCATTTCTCATTTTAAAAAATTATCTTAAAGTAATAAATAACACTAAGCAAAATGAATTTGACAGTATGAAATTTATTTATTTCTTACTTACATTTTCATGTTAAAAGCAAATGATTCTTTAGCTGCAATTATGACTTAAATTTAGATTTGAGATATAAATTACTCCATAAAAATATTGGCTGATTTTGGCTTCCCATTCTGAAAAATACGATGTAAGAAATCCATCCATGTTTTGTTTATTAGTGATTACAAGGATCTGGGATCTGTAATCAAGTTTCAAACTTTAGGCTGGGTACAGAGGCTCATGCCTGTAATCCCAGCACTTTGGGGATACTAAGGCAGGAGGGTCTCTATAAATAAAAAAAGTCAAACTTTAAAATAAACAAACAATTAACTTTCTCAGTGGAAGAGTAGAAAGAGTTGCAATCCATTATTTGGTAGCCATCTTTTCTCCACTATGGGCATCATCAACATACACACATATATATCTACATATGTGTGCATACATATACACGCACACATAAATGCACATATATAGGTACATATGTATGCACATGTGTATACACACATATGTATGCACATATATAATTGTTTTTCTTGGGGGTTTAAGGGGAGACTTCTTAAACAGCATCTTAAATATCAACAACGGCTTGTGGGAGGTTCACACGTTAAAATCACATTTACTCAGAAGACAAAAAAAGAAAGTTTAATTGGATTTTTCTTGACACTGTGTTTTGTGAGACAAATCACAAGAAAATAAGCCAATATACAAAGCAACTTTCAGAGTATATTATAGGCTCAATACATGTTTAGAACCTCCATATCTAAAATGAGTTAATAATTGTTTATTGATTAATTTTTATGTTTATTCCACAAACATTTACCAAGCTCAAAGTATATTTCTGACATAATGTTCTCAGATTCTGTGAGCTCCTAAACTGCCTTCAAAATCACCAACAAAAGAGTAAATTATGTTCACTACCATTTTAATGGCCAATATATTTTTGGTTTCCTAATTCTTAAAGGATGATCATAAAAATCTTTCACGTAATAGAGATAACTATCAGATAACCAAAGTGCTTGTTTATATTAGACCACTCTATCAACAACACTTTTCGGAGTTTTTGCTGTTATTTTCAATCTTGGAAAGAATTCCACTCTAGGAACTATCCTTATTATCATTACTATTTTTTTATGTCAACACTAGCAGACAGAGTTTTCTATACGCAGCCCCCAAACTGTAGGAACTCTATGAACAACACTTTTCTGAGTTTTCTGCTGTTATTTTCAATCTTGGAAAGAATTCTGCTCTAGGAACTATCCTTATTATCATTACTATTTTTTTTGTGTCAACACTAGCAGACAGTTTTCTATATGCAACCCCCAAACTGTAGGATCTTTCTATGTATTCACAAGTTTCTGGTCCCCCTGGGTCCCAGGAATCCAAAGCTGCATATGTAAGATGAAGACAATACTCCAACCTAGAATCCTGCCTTCCTAAGGCCAGCTGCAGATCCCTCTCTCTCCTTCATTCTCTATTCTGCATTATGATTAAATACATTTAAAATCAAAATCATCTTTTCCACTTGCCTCCCTCTCCCAGCTGCTGATTCCCACCCGATCCTTCTTTTGGAGTCAGATTTAATACGAATATTTAAAATCAAAATCATCTTCTGTTTCTTTGCCCTAGCTGAGCAGCTGCAGATTTCTACTCCCAGTACTGTTCTCAGCCTGTAGCTCACCAAACATTTCTCAGAAAAAGAATATGACATTTTATTTCTTCCAAAACTGCTAGTATTTTCATGGCCCTCCTTTTGACCTATTTTCTTTTATAAGGATCATGAACATGACCATGCCAGAAGTTAAGTGTGTCAAATAGTGGTATGTATGTTGGGGGTTAAGATTGCTTTAAATTAATTAACATTGGTATAAAATTGCATGTCGGGTCGGCTGTACCATTTATTCCTATAGAACATATTCAAACAAATACGTACTTATTGTATTTTTTTTGTTAATACAGGAAAAGAAAACTGAATAGAACTCAGCTCTACCAGATTTTAAAATAAACATTCAGAAGAAATAAGGAGAAATAAGCAAATAAAGTTTTTTTGGCAGAGAGTTTATTTATTTAGCAACAGCGATACAGTTGCTTACACTTTCTACAAATGTTTTATCTCTTTTTTCCGTAGCACCTGTCCCTGAGTGAATAGGCCCACATCTGTCTCATCTTGGCATAACAAGTACACATCTACATCTGTGAATGATGATTCCATTTTTGAAGGAAACTGTACACTTTTGCACTCCTGCAGTCTGGTGAAAAAAAATGCACAATGGGTTTTGTGTCTTGCAGGAAGGCTTCTAAATAGTAAATAGAAAGTTTGGAACTAGTACAAAAATATTGAATTTGCAATTTTGGAAAACTATGAATTTTATCTCTATCTGTGTATGCATATTGTACATGTAAATGTATATATTTTTATTAACACAAATTATCAGATAAAAGATTTAAGTGAATCCTTAATAGAAGGTATCATTTAGAAAAGAAAATGCTGTAGCGAATATTGTTTTACAAACTCATATGATACTAGTAATTTGCATATTTTTCAGAAATATTTCCTAAAGGAACAAGATTAATTTTAGGTAAGGAAGAATTTGGGACCTAATTGATAGCAATTAGAGTTACTGATTGTGATAATTTAGGGCATTTTGTATTTTGCACACATGGATTTTAATGCCAATAACCAGTGTCTATTGCAGAATCCTCTAATTAATGTACAGCATGAGGGGAGGTGGTGGATCTTGGAAGCCATAACTTGGGATCCAAGGCAGAAGATACAGTCCTGAAAATACAAACATTTTTCTTTCCTCCAAACTTATACTAGCTGCGGTGGTCTCTATTTGAAACTAGAAATGTGGACATCATCCTTTCTTTTTTTTTCCCCTCTCTGTTCCTCACGTTCTAATCTCTTGATTCTAGTTCATTTTGCTCCATTATTCTACAATCTTGTTGGAATTCACCATTATCTCCTATCTGAATTTTGCAAATGCCTCCGAACTGACCTGCCAGCCCCAAGACTAGATTTTTCTCTAACATCTCCTCCCACTGCAACCAGGAAGAACATTCTTGAGCTCACCTTTGACCTCAGATTTCCCTGATTAAAACTCTTCAATGGCTTCCTATTGCCCCCAGGAGAAAGCCCAAACTCAACCCCTCATTGTTCTTTAAAAGGGGCTCAAGAATTGAACTGTCTTTGTGAGGTGAGGCAGTTTCACTTGTTTTCACCTCCCTCTGTCCCGCCACAATGCCTCCAGCCACTGATGGATTATTTCAGTTCTTGAAACACTTCCCGTTATTGCTCTCTCTCTCTCTCTCTCACACACACACACACACGCATGCGTGCGTGCACACACACACAAAACTCTGAGCTTTTTAATATATTATTTCTTGTACCTGAAACAGTTTCCCATTCCACCCCTTCCGTGGCAGCCCTCCACATTACTTTATCACATAGTAGCAAATGGGGATGGATGAAGCTACATAACAAAAGTGAAGCAAGTGGCTGCAGGAATTATGAACTCAAACTTCATGGCCTTGTTATTTTTTTCTAGATGCTTGTTTATTATGTGTAGAACATGGTCTTAGGCACTGTGAGATTATTTTCTAAATGCTGCTCAAAAGTTTGGCAATGCTCTTAGGAAAACGGCACTGATACAAGCAGAATGTGCTGATCGATATACAAGATAGGAGTGGCACAAGGGTGTACAAGAAGCAGAAAATTATTTTGATGTTCAATGCAAAGGGTGAAGACAATTCCTTTGACATATTATTATTCTTTGATATGCCATTATCTCATATTAATTTTTGTCTACAAATAAAATAGCTAAGTTTTTGATAATGCTGATATAATGATTTGAAGCTTTCCAAGATAATCCTTTAGGTGATTCCATAATCTCCCTCGATATGATTCCCAGAACTTCACTGGTCTTGCATTTATGATCTCTGCTTTATTCCTTTATTCTTTATTCTGGAAGTCAATTTATTTTTTCTTGATCACTCCATAGTGAGAAGGAAGAGCAGCTGCTTTCCAAGGCTGTGTCTGTTCATATTGCTAAAGAGTTCTGTATCTCACCTGTCTTTCAAATAGCACTAGGTTCTCCAAGGAAAAACTGTGGCTGCAAACTTAGCTGAGTTTTGATTTTATTTCAGGGACACTGGTGGTCTCAGGGCGCTAGCTGCACTGTTGCATTACCCTCTCCTAACTTCCCATGAGAACCTTCCAACTGCTCTCAAATCTATACTTACTTTGTTCCTTGGGTTAGAACTGCCGTCACATGGCTGCAGTGCTGACCATTGGCAGGCATCTTCCTACGTACTTTTTTTTTATTTCTTTTTTTTTTCATCTGAAGGTGAGAAGATCAAACTGCATAATTTACCAGCACTTCCTGGGTGGTCACACCTTCCTTTTCTCTCCTGCTTGGTCTAACCCAGCTGCCATCTGTTCTCCTAAGCACCCCAGGCTGTCCTGGGCTTGACAATACACTGTGGTGTTACAGGCAGAAAAATGAGCTGTGATACAAATCTGAAATTCTTTCTCCATCTAAAGTGTGTCCAATTTCCTGTGTTTTGTTAGTTGCAGCCAGTTTGTATATATACACTTACAAATTTTCTTTTGCTTATTTTTATTCCAAAGAAAGAATTTTTTTTTTAAATCAACCAAGAGGGTTATTGGTGCATAATATTTAGTGATAACACTCTGGACTTTTAGATAAATATGTAAGTAGTCAGTTTTTGCTGGTTTTTTTTTTTTTTTTTTGAAAGGAGTCTCACTCTCACCCAGGCTGGAGTGCAATGGTGATGTCTCAGCTCACTGCAAGCTCCACCTCCAAGGTTCAAGTGTTTCTCCTGCTTCAGCCTCCTAAATAGCTAGGATTACAGGTGTGTGCCACCACAGCCGGCTAATTTTTATATATTAGTAGAGATGGGGTTTCACCATGTTGGCCAGGCTGGTCTCGAACTCCTGACCTGGTGATCTGCCCACCTCAGCTTCCCAAAGTGCTGGGATTACAGGCATGAGCCACCACGCCCAGCCTAGCAGTCAGTTTTTTAAAAACATATATTATACACCCAAGAGAATAAAAGGAGTTGTTTCAGTCTAGTGAGAAAATTATATAAATATTTTTCAAAATATATTACTTCATCAGTTTTACTGCTTAATTTGGGTGTGAATTTATATATTTTTAAAACACACATTTAAAAGAATATAGACACAAAGGATTTTTATCTGCCAGATATAAATTTTTTTCTAATTTTAAACATGCCTATCATTTACAAATTCCTCAGATTTCTCAGCTAATCCTTACTATTATGTTCAGAGTTAACATTACTATTTAAAAAATAAATCTTCAATAAAATACTCAGTGAACAATGAACATTTAAGAGTTGGAATAGAAACTTTGGCTTATTTTCTTAATGGTCAGTATAATTGTACTTCTGAGGAGAAAAGAAGCATTGGTGCCAGTAGACACCACATAAATGTCTACCCTGCTTAGTGATTTTTAACCCCAAGTACACTTACTTCAATTGCGGTAACTCAAAATTACCATTTATCTTCAAACAAAATTGTTCTATCAAATTTTATTTAATAAATCTTAAGTTTAGTAGATATCTTTCTTTCTTGACGATTTGAAAAACCAGTAATAATTTGGAGTAATTGCCATTCAAGATCTAGATTCAAAAATGTAACAAAAACATAATATTTGGCCCAGCATGTTTTTCCTTTTCAGTGAAGCTAAGATTGTAATTTTGAAAGTTTAAATATATATTTACATTAGTTGTCTCTAACCTGAGGAACAGAAAATAATGAGAATGAGAATTAGTATTCTTAGTTAAAGCTTGAAAATATTAAAAATCACTAAAAATAATGTAAGTAAAATCCTTCTAATTACCTGTGGCCATGAAATCATCTTCATTTAATATTATATCTGCCAGGTGGAAATAGTATATATCTATGAGTATATCCAATAAGGCATTTATAAAGTAGTTGACACTACAGTGATATTTCCAGTTAGAGGTAAGTATATAACATTTATTAGAAATTGTCTATATTTATCTCCTGTTAACGTTGATTCTCAGATTTACCTGCAATTAGTTTACTCCTGGTTAACTAGTGTCAACATGGTTAGCTGAAGTCCCCTGACTCTAGGTGTGTAAGTTGGGCGGATTTTCTTAACTTCTCTTAGTTTCCTCCTCTGAACATGGAAATTATACTAGTTCTACTTTTATCAAATTAAGGGTCAGCAAACTATAGCCCAAATGCCAAATCCAGTCTGCAGCCTGTTTTGGGGCAGGACAGAAGCTAAGAATAGTTTTACATTTATAATGGGCTGTAAAAACAAAACAAATCAACAGCAACAAAAGCCAAGAAGACTACACAAGAGAGCACTTCTATGGCCTGCAAACCTAAATATTCAGATTCTGGCCATTATAGATCAGTTTTCCAACCCCTAAAGTATATCGTAACATAATTTTAAAGACTAAATGAGATAATACATACAAAGTGGTTGATAATAAGCCAGGAATATGGGAAGGGCTCAATGAATGTCACTTCTTATTGCTTTTGGTAATACCAGGAAGATAATAATATTACTATTCTGAAGTGGGTCCATCAATTGGTGATATCCCAATTAATGTATTATCTCATATTCTGTCTTATTGTACATACAGCCATTCATCTCATAGTGATTTTCCAGTTTACATTCAACCACATATGTGATGGTGGTCTCATAATATTATAATGGAGCTGAATCCCTACCACCCAGAGATGTCATAGTTGGTATAAAGTTGTAGTGAAACACATTACAAACGTGCTTATAGGTGATGCTTGTATAAATAAATCTACTGCATTGCCAGTTGTATAAAAGTAAATAGTACAGTTATGACTGTCACTGGTTTATGTATTTATTATACATATTTTTTTTTTTGAGACAGAGTCTTGCTCTGTTCCCCAGGCTGCAGTGGAGTGGTACAATCTCGGCTCACTGCAGCCTCTGCCTCTCAGGTTCAAGTGATTCTCCTGCCTCAGCCTCCTGAGTAGCTGGGATTACAAGTGTGTGTCACCACACCTGGCTAATTTTGTATTTTTAGTAGACACGGGCTTTCACCATGTTGGCCGGGCTTGTCTTGAACTCCTGACCTCAAGTGATCTGCCTGCCTCTGCCTCCCAAAGTGCTGGGATTACAGGCATGAGCCACTGCACCTGGCCCTATGCTGTACTTTTAAATTGTTATTTTAGAATGTACTCCTACTTATGTTAAAAAAAAAAAGTTAACTGTAAAACAGCCTCAGGCAGGTCCTTCAGGCATTGCTATCATAGGAGATGACAGCTCCCTGCGTGTTATTGCCCCTGAAGATTGGCCAGTAGGACAAGATGTGGAGGTGGAATATAGTGATATTTTTATGATATTGATGTTGTGCATGCCTGGGCTAATGTGTGTGTTTGTGTCTTAGTTTTTAATGAAGAAGTTTAAAAAGTAAAAAAATAAAATAAAAACACACACACAAAACTTATAGAATGAGGAGGTAAAGAAAAAAGATATTGTATAGCTATACAATGTGTTTGTGCTTTAAACTGTTATTATGAATGTTAAAAAGTTAAAAAGAATTAGATATTGTTTGGCTGTGTCTCCAACAAAATTTCATCTTGAATTCCCATGTGTTGTGAGAGGCATCCCATGGGAGGTGACTGAATCATGGGGCAGGTCCTTCCTGTGCTATTCTCTTTATAGTGAATAAGTCTCACGAGATCTGATGGTTGAAAAAAGGGGAGTTTCCCTGCACAATCTCCCTTCTCTTGTCTGCCACCATGTGAGATGTGCCTTTCACCTTCCGCCATGATTATGAGGGCTCCCCAGCCATGTGGAACTGTAAGTCCAATAAACCTCTTTCTTTTGTAAATTGCCCAATCTCAGATACGTCTTTATCAGCAGCATGAAAATGGACTAATACATAGTTAAAAATTTACAAAGCAAAACAGAGTGAGCTAAGGTTAATTTGTTATTTGTTATTAAGGAAAGAAAATATTTCTTATAAATTTATTGTAGTTTAAACATGCAGTATTTATAAAGTTTACATTAGTGTACAATAATGTCTAGCCCTTCACATTCACTTACCACTCACTGACTCAACCAAAGCAACTTCCAGTCCTGTGAACTCCATTTATGGTAAGTGCCTTATACAGGTGTACCTTTCTTTTGTCTTTTATACTGTATTTTTACTGTGCCTTTTCTATGTTTAGATACACAAATACTTACCATTGTGTTACAATTGCCTATAGTATTCAGTACAGTAATATATTGTAGCCTAGGAGTGACAGACTATACCGTATAGCCTAGGCGTGTAAATGGCTAGACCATCTAGGTTTGTGGAAGTACACTCTATGATGTTTGCACAACAATGAAGTTGCCAAAGATGCATTTTTCAGAATATATCCCTGTCACTAAGCGACACACTACTGTAACCATCTTGTGCTAGAAAAATTAAAAGACATTCTTTATTTGGAAGGATGCTAAAGATTCTACTTTTTAAAGAAAGCTTAATAATGTATACTTCCTGATTTATTTGTATTAGTTAATTAATTAAATTGTTAGATTTTTAATACAACTCTAATGTAAGAATCTGTCTTGGGAGAAGGAAAGTCTGAAGATAGGTTCATAAAAATCATGTCAAAGACCACTGGAAAGGAAATAACTCGGTGTTCTTTCTCTTTGTGTGTGTTATTCTTATGTCTCTTGCAAAAGAAAGAATTTTAGTCACTTGACTTTTTTCTTTCCTTTTTTGAAGAGAGGCTTCAATTTGGAAAGAGTGATTTTTCTTCCCAAAGGAGGAAGAGTGCTGAAGAGAAGATATGAAAGGAAAATAAGTTTGTTGTTTTGTTTTGTTTTACAAATGTGTTTGGAGAACACAGAACATTAAATCTCATGCTTTCTGAATGACCTGGCAATCTTAAATAATCCTACCATACAGGCAAACATCACTCCATTCTTTAAGTGTTAGATTTAAATGAATTTTTAAAATAAGCCTTTGTTAGAAGTCCTGGTGGTAGAATCCTGTGGATTCCAGCCAGTGGGTCCATGGGAATGCTATAGTGAGGGGCTCAGCCAGCTGGGGAACAGAGCAGTGGAACCTGCTCAGGTCACAGTCCTGTTTGAACTCAATCTTGAATCCAGTTAAATGCATGGGAAGAAAAAGCTAAGGGTCCACTCCTTCTATCCTCCCACAACTGCACACACACAATTAAATAAACAAAAAGTAGGAAAACCAGCAGGGGTTCAAGTTAAAAGGAACAGCCTTAAAAACAGACCTGATTTGCTGCTTTGGTCAAGCAGTAGCGGGATTTGTGAGGGGTATGGCTGGGTAGAAATGAAATAGGACATGAATTCCCCACCAAATTCCTTTGCAAATAGGATTTCAGCGTTCTTGCTAGGGCCTTCCCTGTTCCTCTGCATCCTGATGGCCAAGCCACATGATCCTAAAGCCCTTACTTAAAAAAGTGTCACAAATCTGTTAATACGCTGAACCTGTGCTTAATACTAAAAGTCATCAGTCAGACCACTTTTAAAGCATTAATCCATAAACACTTTTGTTACAAGCTGTATTAGTCTGTTTTCATGCTGCTGATAAAGACATACCCAAGACTGGGCAATTTATAAAAGAAAGAGGCTTATTGGACTTACAGTTCCATGTGGCTGGGGAGGCCTCATAATCATGATGGAAGGTGAAAGGCAAGGGGGAGCAAATCACATCTTACATGTATGGTGGCAGGCAAAGAGAGAGCTTGTGCAGAGAGTCTCTCATTTTTAAAACCATCAGTTTCGTGAGGCTCATTCACCATCATGAGAACAGCACAGGAAAGATCCGCTTCCACGATTCAGTCATCTCCCACTGTTTTCCTCCCACGACGTGGGAATTGTGGAAGCTACAATTCAAGATGAGATTTGGGTGGGGACAGAGAAAAACCATACCATTTCACCCCGACCCCTCCCAAATCTCATGTCCTTACATTTCAAAACCAATCATGCCTTCCCAACAGTCCCCAAAATCATAACTCATTTCAGCACTAACTCAAAAGTCCACAGTCCAACATCTCATCTGAGACAAGGCAAGTCCCTTCTCCCTATGAGTTGTAAAATCAAAAGCAGGTTAGTTACCTCCTAGCTACAATGGGGGTACAGACATTGGGTAAATACAGCCATTCCAAATGGGAGAAAGTGGCCAAACAAAGGGGATACAGGCTCCATGCAAGACCAAAATTCAGCAAAGCAGTCAAATCTTTAAGTTTCAAAATGATCTCCTTTGACTCCATGTCTCACATCCGGGTCACATGGATGCAAGAGATGGGTTCCCATGGTCTTCAGAAGATCCACCCCTGTGGCTTTGAAGGGTGCACCCTCCCTCCTGGCTGCTTTCGCAGGCTGGGGTTGAGTGTCTGTGGCTTTACCCGGTACATGGTGCAAGCTCTCAGTGGATCTACCATTCTGTGGTCTGGAGGATGGTTGCCCTCTTCTTACAGCTTCCCTAGGTGGTGACCCAGTAGGGACTCTGCGTGGGGGTTCCAACACCACATTTTTCTTCTGAACTGCCCTAGCAGAGGTTCTCCATGATAGCCCAGCCCCTACACCAAACTTCTGCCTGGACATCCAGGCATTTGCATACATCTTCTGAAATCTAGGCAGAGGTTCCCAAACCTTGATTCTTGACTTCTGTGCACTTGCAGGTTCAACACCACATAGAAGCTGCCAAGGCTTGAGGATTTCATCCTCTGAAGTCACAGCCCAAACTCTATGTTGGCCCCTTTCAGCCACAGCTGGAGCAACTGGGATGCAGAGCAGCAAATCCCTAGACTTCCCCTAGCACAGGGACCCTGGGCCTGATCCACGAGACCATTTTTCCCTCCTAGGCCTCCAAGCCTAGGGAGGGGCGGCTGCAAAAATCTCTTTCATGCCTTGGAGACATTTTCTCCCTTGCCTTGGTGATTAACATTCGGCTTTTTGTTGATTATGCAAATTTCTGCAGCCAGCTTCAATTTCTCCTCAGAAAATGAGATTTTCTTTTCTATCAGATTGTCAGGCTGCAACTTTTCCAAACTTTTATGCTCTGTTTCCTTTTTAAAACTGAACGCCTTTAGCAGCACCCAAGTCACTTCTTGAATGTTTTGCTGCTTAGAAATTTCTTCCACCACATACCCTAAATCATCTCTCTGAAGTTCAAAGTTCCACAAATCTCTAAGGCAGGGGCATAATACTGCCAGTCTCTTTGCTAAAACATAATAAGAGTCACCTTTGCTCCAGTTCCCAACAAGTTATTGATCTCCATCTGAGACCACCTCAGACTGGACTTTATTGTCCATATGTCTGTCAACATTTTGGTCAAAGCCATTCAACAAGTCTCTAGGAAGTTCCAAACTTTCCCACATTTTCCTGTCTTCTTCTGAGCCTTCCAAACAGTTTTAACCTTTGCCTCTTAACCAGTTCCAAAGTCACTTCCACATTTTTGGGTATCATTTCAGCAACACCCTACTCTCGGTACGAATTTATTGTATTATTGTCCCTTTTCATGCTGCTGATAAACACATACCTGAGACTGGGCAATTTCCAAAAAAAAAAAAAAAAAAAAAAGAGGTTTATTGCACTTACAGTTCCACCTGGCTGGGGAGACCTCACAGTCATGGTGGAAAGTGAAAGGCAAGGAGGAGCAAGTCATATCTTACATGGATGGCAGCAGGCAAACAAAGCTTGTGCAGGGGAACCCCCATTTTTAAAACCATCAGATCTCATGAGACTCATTCACTGTCACAAGAACAAGGCAGGAAACACCTGCCCCCATAATTCAGTCACATCCCACTGGGTTCCACCCACAAAAGTTGGAAATTGTGGGAGTTACAATTCAAGATGAGATTTGGGTGGGGACACAGCCAAACCATATCACAAGCTTTCTCACAGAAAGAAAGAAAAAATGATGATGGATTATCTAAGTTCTCAATAAGATGGAAAAAAAAATAATCCATACCTTTCCATGATTTGGCTATTTGACCATTTTGGAAAATGTAACATGACCAGTCTCTTTAAGGTCAACCTTAGGTGGAGGACAAACTAGATGACATCAAATTGAGTCACATCAGTAAAGACCAAGTCCCAGAAGAAGGGAAGCAGACAGAAGACTGAGATGATTATGGTGGGGTATATAGAGTTTCTACCAGAAGTACTGTGGGAAGATCTGCTAATAACTTTGCTAGATAAGGTCAGTCTTCATCTTTAACATCTGACTTTGAAATGACAAACAGATATTCCTCAAATTGCTGCTGCATCTATACCATTAGCTGCACCCTAGCTACTGGCACTGTGACATAAACTAAACTTAAGAACAGGTGTGAATTTCAAGACTTTGGTGAGGACGTTGCTCATCACTGAATCTGACTTGAGCTTATAGGATGATTCTTAAAAACTCTTCTCATTCAAAACTAGCACTCTTAGAAATATTTTAAGATAGCTTTGCTGGTCAACTTGGAAACAGTTTTACTTAGTTTTTGAACAATGAAGTTGGTAGATCAGCTAAAGTGCAATTGCAGGTGAAACACTGTTCTGTGCTCTTACTTTGCATCCTGAATCCTAACTTTTAACTTTATTTTGCAATTCCAGCTATGCTGGACCCACCCCATGACATGGAGATTCTGACCCTAGGGTTTCACATTTTAGGACACACGAGCTGCTTCTCTTGTTATAAACATGCGAATGGGTGCAGAGTATGGGCCCTGAGGAGAAATTGGCAAGTCTCCCCACCCTAAAACTGGAAGCTGTGCCCTTTGAAGTGGGAGCATTCAAGATTCATTCCAAACCTACTGGTGATCACTAAAGGCATCTATGTATGTCATCTCTATATAAAGAGAATTCCAGAGAGAGGCTAGATGCATGTTAAGTAAGTAGCACAACATATTTCCTACTAATCCCCTCCTTGAGAGTCTGAACTGTGCCTCCAGAAAAACATAAGAGCCTTTTCCATAGGAAATATTATCCTCGGGATACATCCTTAAATTGTTTTTATAAGTATATGAATGCTGAAATATAACCAAACTGTAAAATGCTAAATACTGTGGAGTTTTTTGTTTTTTGGGTTTTTTTTGTTTGCTTGTTTTTGCTTTTAAATGTCCACATTTCCTACCACCTCAAAGAGGGAAAAAAGGTAAGGCACTGTGAAACGGTCATATTGGCCAAAACACTTGAGAAATAGTTGCTCATTTCTGATGAAAGTCCTTGAGCTGCAACAACACACAGAGCTAGCAGCAGGCACTGTCCCAAAGCAGTCAACAAGGCTCGTCAATGCTCAGAGCTGCCTTTGTGTACTGTGTGTGTAGTTAGTAAATGCCAGGCCAGGTCTGGTGCAGTCTGTCAGCATCTCTTTTTCTGTTTTTTCTTTTCTTTTTTCTTTTTTCTCTTTTTCACTTTCTCCCATGCTTCCTGCTTCTCTCTGTAACCTTTATCTTCTTGATAAAATTTTCTGGGATTTGGAAGGTTAAAATAAGCCTTAGAGATTTGAAATTGGGCAAAGATTGCATTTTGTTGACTTTGATTTTCTAATACGTTTGGTGTGATGTACTGGTCTATGAGTTTGTAAGGGAGTGTTGAAGTAGGTGAGAAACAAATGAAGAGAGAAAATGAACGTTTATTACTCATTGGCTGTGTGCCAGGAACTGAGTATATCACTCCATACACATTATCACACTTAATGATCATACTGATTCTGTGAAGTATCATTTTACTTATTAAATAAAAGAGAAGTTTTAAAATTACAAATAAGCCCAAGATCAGGCAGTTTGTAAGTAGCGGAACTGGACATGAATCCAAGACTGTCCAACTCCAAAGTTTATGCTCTTTCAGGTAAAAATTCATAGAAAATTTGGGCTTGCAGACAAAAATATTGTAGGGAAACTTCATGAAATATATTACTTATTTCTTAGTATAATAAACATCTGAAATGGCTGCTATTTGCCAGGCTCTGTGCTAAATATTATGAATGCGATGTAGGATAAGACAAAGTCCCTGTTCTCTAGCAGCTTATGTTCTAGTAGGGCAGGTAAAGAATGAATAATTAGGTAATAAATAAATTAGACAAAGTGAGATGCCAGACAGTAACTAGGAGAAGGGGATAATCTACTTACATTAAGCGGCCCAGGGAAGGCCTCTCTAAGGAAGTAACATTTTTGGAAGGTTGAAAAGGAGGTGAACTTGACAAGAGTTGATAGATGGGTGTTCCAGGCAGACAGAACAGAAGGGCAGGGTAAAAGGAATATAGGGAATGGGGAAAAAGTTAATTGGTGGGAGACTGACGATGCTGAAATGAATGTGTCCCTTAGTGTATTGGTATTTATTTTAAGTGCAGTGGAAAGCTATTGAAGGGTTTGATGCAGAGGAGTGATACGATATTATCTGAACTTAAAAAAAAAAATCCTATCTGGCTGTTGAATGCCTCTCTCCATCTAGTATTCTAGGAGGTAAAAATGTGCCTTACAGCTCCGTGTTATGACATCTGAGAGGATTGAAGCCGATTCAGTGTTAGTGTTCTTTCCTTATTCCAAATAGGTTATCTGGTTTAAATGCCATTGCTTTTCTCTTATCTGTATGACAATAGATAAGCAAGTTATGACATCTGAGATTACAAAACAAATATTTAGCTCAAAACACCATTGCCTCTGCCTTACCAGTGTCTTACCTCTGTCCTTATGTGTGAGGGAATGGATGAACAACAGTGATCACCTTCCCATTGGTCAGCGCCTCTGCATGATCTATGCGAAAGGACCATTGGGGTTGTTTAGTGCCATGGTACTGCCAATGGCATCTTTTACTTATTAAAACATGATATGGCATAGCTGGTAGGAGAATGCTTCTGGAACCACACTTATATGTTGAATCCTGGCTTTGTCAATTACCAGTCTGGAATCCCTGGGTGAGTTATTTCTCTCTGTCTTAGGTTTCTCACCTTTCATGTGGAGATGATAATAATGTCTACCTCATGTGATTATTGTGAGAACTAAATGAATTAAAACTTATGTAATGCTTGGAACAGAGCCTGGAACATAGTAATCAATGAATAAGTGCTAGTTGTATCTCAAATTGTTGGATTAGGCTACTCTTTGAATAGCATGCCAAAACTTGTTGTATCCATCCCTTTGCAGGGAAACAGGAAGGTACTCACTCCTTTTCCAATAACACGGTGTTTGTAGGTCAATGAGATTGGATATTGGGAAAACTACTGGAAAGAAAGAGAATGGAAAACAATAACCACAGGACTATAGAGAACATCAATATTTAAGAAAAGGAAGGAGGGAAGTAAAAATAGGTCAGCAGAAAGAATGTTCTAAAAAGGTAGAAGGACAACCAGATGAAAATAGGGTTAGAGTAACAAGTGGTAACAGACCACAGGTGGCAAATGCAAAGAGATCAGTAGAATGGCAGGTAAAAATAGATCACATTGATTGTAACATTAGGAAAATTTGACTTTGTTTAGATGGTGTTAGGGCATACTTGGGACAATAAGTTGATTTGTAGCCAGTGGTTAAAACCTAAATATGAGGTGAAGAGTTACAAACAACAATTCTGATAGGAAAATGGAAAGCGAGGGAAGAAGTGGTTGCTTTGCAAGGAAGTTGGAATTATGTGTGAGGGAGTGTGTGTGTATACATTAAAAATATACTGGGAAAATAAGAACATGTTTATAAGATGGGAATGTATTGCAATGGAAAAGATAATGTAAACATTTAAAATTAAAGATAATGGGTTTTTTCAAGGAAGATGTATGAGACTCTGGGTGGAAAAGGGGCAGTTACGAGCACTCTGCATGGGTTTGGATCCTATCTTCAGCGCTTGCTAGCTGTGGCCATTGGCATGTTTTCAAAGATTTCTGTGCCTCAGTTTCCATATCTGTAAAACTGGAATAATAGTAGGACCTATCTCAGAGGGTGGTGACAGGATGTTATGCTGAGGCAGGCCTCAAGTGTACATCAAGCTACTGATGTACAGAAAGGGAAATGACATTTGCAATAGGGAGGTATGTCAGCAAAGGAGTAACTTAGTTGTGAAACATAGAGGATGGAATTTGCGAAAATTCTTAACTTAAACTCTCTGCTTTCTCAACAAATAAGAGGACATTTTTCTGACAATAAGGAGGGCAAACATGGAGTCTGAAATTTAGAGAAAGTATAAGATTTGGGCATGGGATCTGGAAATGACAAAGAGAGAAGAAATAGAGGATTAAGATGGACTAACAGCTCAGCCGAGGGTGATATGAGCACACTTACTTAAAAGCCAATGTGCATGCTTGTGAGATTTTTTCTCTACCAGATTTTTTCAGTTAAGGAGCCTCAGAGAATGATACAGGGTGGTGTATTAGCCAGGATATGTGATGTTATGCTGCAGTGACCACCCTATTAGGTCTATGCAAATCTGAAGGAGAGGTAGGAGTGGGATTGGTGAGGTATCTGCTTCTCACAGTCATTTAGGAAACCATTCTCTCAGGGATGCTACAACTTTTTTAAACTTTCATTTTTAAACATTTTTCTTGTGTTAAGATATATATAAACATATAATTTAACTATTTTCAAGTGTACAATTCAGTGGCGTGAACTATATTGATATTGTTGTGCTACGATCACTACTAAGCATTTCTGGAACTTTTTGATTATACCAAACTGACACTCTGTATCATTAAACAATAACTTCTCATTATACCCTCCTCTAGGCCTTGGTAACCACTGTTGTACTTTCTGTCTGTATGAATTTAAGTATTCTATGTATGTCACATAAGTGAAATCATACAATAGCTTTTTTCCCCTTTTTTTGTCTAGCTTATCTCACTTAGCATACTGTTTTCAAGATTCATCCTAGTTGTAGCATGTGTCAGAATTTCATTTTTAAGGCTGAATAATACTCCTCTGTATATACACACCATATTTTAGCTATTCATCTGTCCATGGACATATGGATTTTTCCACCTTTTGGTTATTGTGAATAATGCTACTATGAATGCTGGTGAACAGACATTTCTTTCAGTCCCTGCTTTCAATTCTTTTGACTATCTACCAAGAAGTGGAATTGCTGGGTCATATGGTATTTCTGTATTTAAAATGTTAAGGAACTATCAGAACCATGATACTGTTTTTTACAAAAAAAAATGCAGTACTTACATTCCCACCAGCAGTGATTTTGTATATGTGTGTACATACATACACACACACACAAACACACACACATCCATCCATCAAGACTAAGTGGGCTTTATTTTAGGAATGCAAGCTTGGTTTAGTAGCCAAAAATCAATCAAGTCATTTCATCATGTTGACACACTATAAAAACAAATGAAAGAGTATGATCCTCTCAAAAGATGCAGAAAACACATTTGACAAAATTTATAACCCATTTATGATTTAAAAAGTAAGTCTCAGGAAACTAGGAACAGAAAGAAACTTCTTCAACTGAATAAATAGCATACATCTAAAAGCCACCAAAATATTTTTTATTGGTAAAGTATTGAATGCTTTTCTGCTAAAATGTGTAACAATAAGGCAATGATCTTAAACGAACAACTTCTATTCGGTAATTTATTAGATATTCTAAGTGCACCAGGTCAAGAAAATAAATAAAACTGTGTGTAGCCGGGCACAGTGACTCATACCTGTAATCCCAGCACTTTGGGAGGCCAAGGCGGGCAGATCACCTAAGGTCGGGAGTTCGAGACCAGCCTGACCAACATGGAGAAAAGCTGTCTCTACTAAAAATACAAAATTAGCCGGTCATGGTGGCACATACCTGTAATCCCAGCTACTCGGTAGGCTGAGGCAGAAGAATCGCTTGAACCCGGGAGGTGGAGGTTGCAGTGAGCCAAGATCACGCCATTGCACTCCAGCCTGGGCAACAAGAGCTAAACTCCATCTCAAACAAACAAACACCACAAAAAAATACAACAACAACAAAAAAACCAGTGTGATGATTTCAAGGGAAAAGTAAAACTGCCTTTCTGTGCAGATAATGACTATGTATGTCACCAAAAATGTTGGTTCTATAAAATACTACTAGAAATAATAATTGATTTTAACAAGGCTAATGATACAAGGTCCTAAGATAAACCAATTATATTTTTACAAGAAATGTAATTTTAAAATTCTAACACATAATTGTAAAAACATAGTTTTTGTTAGTAATAATAAACTTGGTAATAAAATTATCAAAACATATGTAAAACCTTTACACTAAGGTCTCCAAAATGTTGCTGGGAAATTTAAAAGTACTGAAAATATGAAAAGATATCCTGTGTTCGTGGATTAGAAAACTCAATGTTATTAAGAAGCTGCTTTTCCTCAAATGATTTATAGATTTGATGCAACGCCAATCAAAATTTCAGCAGGCTATTTTGTAGAAATTAACTAGATGATTCTAAATTTTGTGGGGAAATACAAAAGACCTAACTAGATTAAACAATTTCGAAAAAGCAGAACAACGTGGTACCTTTTATACTAACTGATCTTAAAAATTATTTGAAAGCTAAGCTAATGAAGATTATGTGGAATTGGCATGAAAAGAGATATATAAATCAATTGAACAATATATAGAGTGCAGGAATAAATCTGTTTATACATGGTCAATTGATTTTAGACAAAGGTGTAAAGGCAATTCAATGGAGAAAAAGTTACTCTTTTTCAACAAATGGCTCTATAGCTATTGCATTAACATGTGAAGTATTAATGAAATTATCCCCAACCCCTACCTCACAATATGCACAAAAACTTAGAGATGGATCATACACCTAAACGTAAAAGCTAAAACCATACATTTCAAAAAAGTAATTATTAGAGAATTTCTTTATGACCTTTTGATATGGAAAGATATTTTAGCAAAAAACAAACAGCAACAACCATAAGAAAAATTAAGTTTAGAAAGTGGACCTCACCAAAGTGATTTTTTAAAAAACTGCCCATCAAAAGTTATTATTAAGAAAATAAAAAGGCAAGACACAGAATGAAGAAAATATAATACCAAAATTTTAAAAAGGAGCTATATCCAGAATACGCAAAGAATCTACAAATCATTAATGAAGAGTAAACTAGTCAATACAAATGGCAAGATAATTGAACAGCCACTTATCAAAATATATGGCAGGCCAGTAAGTCCGCTGAACAGTCCTTCATTAGGACCAAGTACTGACTCTATGCCCATTTGAAGAACAAAATTAAGACTGACAACACTAAATATTTTTGATGATATGGGAGCCACTAGAACTTTCATTCATTACTTATGGGGCTACAAATTATTACAGCCCCTTTGAAAAAGACTCCTTGGCTATTTCTTCAAAGTTAAACAAACTCCATCAATCTACCGCCCAGGTATTTACAAGAGAAATGTATCATATGCCCACAAATAGCAATTTACCAAAATGTTTATAGCAACTTACTCACAGTAGTCCCTAACTGGAAGTAACTCAAATATCCTTAAGAGAAAAACAGAAATTCTAATATATTCATATGATGTAGTACTACTCAGCATTAGGCAAGAATAAACTTTTGGAAGATGAACAGAAATATTGAAGAATTAACTAAAAACATTTGATTAAATTAAAGAATCAAAACAAAAGAGTACTTACTGTGTGATACAATATGTGTATACTTCAAATACAGTCAAAAGTTAGTCTCTATTGATTAAGGTCAGAGTATTGGCTGCCTAAGGAATCTGTGGAATTCCTGTATGGAAACAGAAGGGAAACTTTGTAGCACGATGGAAATATCCTGTATGTTGGGTACATGGGTATGTATATTTGTCAAAATCATTAAATTGTACACTTAAAATATGCATATTTCATTGTATATAAATTAGTTTAAAAATTGTGCAAGCTTGGCTAATAAGTAACAACAACACGTAGAGGAAGAAGTGGTACTGATTTCAGTCATGTTGGCTTTTTGGTGTTTCTTTTACACTGACCTCTTTCACACTCCTTTCTATCCTCTTCTCAGCTCTAAATGGCTCTTGACAACATTTGACCTCCCCACTTTTGCATGCATCTCCTTTCATGACAGTCTCTCCTCTTCATTTTTTCCTTCAAATACCTCTCATTCTTTCCTTTCTCATATCCCTTATTCCAATTCCTTTGTCACTGAGAGCAATGAACAATATGCTAAACTGTTGCCTTTTATCAATAAAATAAAATCAAATATTGATAGAGACAGGGTCTCACTCTGTTGCCCAGGCTGGAGTGCAACGGTGTGATCACAGATCACTGCAGTCTTGACGTCTCAGGCTCTAGCAGTCCTCCCACTTTAGCCTCCTGAGTAGCTGGGACTACAAATGCATGCCACCACTCTTGGCTAATTAAAAAACTTTTTTTTTGTTTTGTTTTTTCAGACAGACAGGGCCTCACTATGTTGCCCAGGCTGTTTCAAACTCCTGGGCTCAAGTGATCCTCTCAACTCGGCCTCTCAAAGTGTTGGGATTACAGTCATGAGCTACTATGCCTGACCCATTTTTTTTATATGTATAAAATTTTAGAGCTCACAGAGAATAAATTAGCTTAAAAATACTTTGTGTCATCAAAATTGGAAAATTTTAATTTTACCTTGTATTTTAAAAATCAGTTTCACAGCTAATACTTCAGAGAGTTTCACGGGCCTGAAGATACACTGAAGAGCTTTTAATCTGGGGTGACAGGGGTAGACCTTAATTAAATAATGATGTAATGAATGTATGTAAACAAAATGACTTCTATCTCTGAGGGAAGGCAAGTCTTCTAAAGACTCTTTCCTCTCCCTTTTTATTTAAATCTCCCACACATTTTACCATGTATTCTATCCTTGAAAAGTCACTTCAGTGTGTCTCCTCAATTCCGTACCTTGTCCATTGATCCTGCTCCAGTGCCTCCTGTTTCTCACTTGCACCGAGATGGCTCTTTACCTGTCTCTGTGATTCCAACTGGGTCCATCTCTTCTCTTGCCACTTTTCCTTTCCACTTGCATCTTCACCTTCTAACTCATTCTCTCCTAACCTTTTGTGTATACACTTTTACGTTTCTGTATCTTAACACCGGCCATGCCCTTCTTCAGGAAAGGCTATACCCAGGCCCTGACTCCATCAATATCCAGTGGTTACTGAACTAGTAATTTTTGGGAAGCCTTATCTGCTGTCTCTTGTCCATGCTTCTCTTTGATTACTTTTGTTTATTATTATATGTACCATTTTGTCTTTTCACCTGCTGGATTGTAAACTCTTTGAAAAAGAGATTCTATCTTATAACCTAAGTATTTCCAGCCCAATGCCTGACCCATTGTAAGCATTTAATAAATATTAGTTGATTGAATGTTTCATGAGAAATATTTTAAAAGGTAACCAGCCTTAACTCCAAGGAATTTTTTTGTGTATGTGTGTTTGCCTCATTTTTATTTATTTATTTTTAAATTTTTGATCTCATTCTTTTATTTACAAACATATTCACACATGGAAAATGATAAACAAAATTTATTGCAGGAAAGTGCAAAAAGAAATAACATATCTAGGTGCTTTCTCTAAAGCTGAACATTTTTGCCTCTTATTTTTTATGAAATAGATTTTGAAACAACAGTCTTCATTGTTAAGAAATTAACAAAGTAAAAACTGGCTTTAAAATCATCTTCTAAAAAAGTATATTAACACTTCTTTCTATTTTTCTTATTTTTAAAGAAAAGTAGAAAGAGGAGTTAATATTCTTTTAAGAAGATGATTTTCTTTATTCAGTAGATGAGTGTGCACATCACTGGCCCACTTTTAACATGATGAGGATAATAGGTAGGTTTAGGTTGGTGATCAAAATTAAAGTCTGAAATCTGCATCTAAATTATGAGTTGCTTGCTTGTGAGAAATTTCCTAACTGGGACTGCTTCCAAAAGCACTTCACTGAAGCTTCATGGAATTTTCTCAACTGCTTTATTTGTTCCTTCTCCACACTTCTTTCCTGGTGCATAGAGGTACATCTGTCTGTTTTCTGCCTTATCAAGCACGAATCTACATCTGAGGGGATAACTCCACTTCCTTAGCTAAAAACCTGTATCTGATTGTGGTGATAAAGCTCTACTTCCTCAGTTCAAAACATACATCAGACAAGACCAATTACTCCAAATGACTCACAGTAACAGGCACAGCAATAGTCATCTTTTCACAGCCTTTGAACTTCTACTGCTTCAAAGGTGTACTAAAATGTGGTTATGAGGCGATTGTCTAAAATTGCCAAATTACCAGTTTCCAAGCTTTGACATTTGTTATTTTGCATAACTTGACAAAGGAAATCAGCAAGATTACCTACCAGGAGGAAAAGAGACAAAAAAAAAAAATAAAAGACGGACCAAAAAAGTCTCTATGACATAGGTGGGACTGGTGGTATGATGCCTCTTAGGCAAAGTGGAGAAAAAGGCTTCAATTATTGTTATAATTAGGATATGAAGATAAACAAGCAGACATTTTTTATTCTTATTCTTGCTCTGAAAAGTATAAACAATACATTACTCTCTGAATGGTCAACCAATAAAATTTTTCTTTAAAGGAAGTCGCTGTCTGGAAGCACTGCCTGATTCTTTGAATTCTGTCAAAGAAGTTGCTGAAGTTCACGTGTGTATCCAAAGGGCCAACAGTGGTGAACAGTCGCCAAAACTCATAATTGCCTCGCAGCTGTTTAGAAACTTGCGTCAATTAAATTTGTGGTCATACCTGTTTCTGTCCTTTCTCCAAGAGTAAATTTAGCAGTGACTGTCTTCGAGGGAAATATTTTCTGTACATTTATCACATTTCTGTCATACTTGTTCATTAGCATAAAAGGCTTTTAATTTTATCTCTTATAAACATCTTTGAAATAACTACCTTCTTTATAAAACCTCTTTCTAAGAACTGTAGGTTATACGGAGAAGGGGCAACAGAGTGCTGCCTTTGTAAGCATGTTCTGTAGAGCCCAATGCCTAGATTCAAATCCTGGCCCATCCATGTGTCCCGCTAGATGACTTCAGGCAAATTACTTAATTTCTGTCTTAGTTTCTGCATCTAGGAAATGTGAATAAAATGATGCTACTTACCTCATGGGTGGCTGTGAACATTAAATACATTAATATTCATAAAGCATTTCAAATGGTACCTGGCACCTTGTAAGCAGTATGTGTTTTGTAAATTTTTAAAAAAGATGAAGAGTATGTACATTTAAAATGTACTTTTTAGAGCTTGATTACATTGGTGGCAAAATGTTCTGTGTTTAAAAAAGGAAGAAAAACTAATGAGGAAAAATTTTGAAGCCCATTTCCTGAGTCTGAGGTGAAGTAGTTGGTAACCCACATTAGCCAGCTTCTTCTGTAATGTACACCACACTGAGCCACTAAAGGTTTCCCATAGCGGAAAGTCCAGAGAGCTTTACTAAATCTACTAAACTAAGCTTTGCCCAAAATGCCTTTGCTTACTTTCTTAGACTGTCACTCCTGTTAAAAGAAGGAGCAAAAAAATCCCAGCCCTTGAAAATATACTCTTTCTCACCAATAAATGAGCCATTGTAATAGAGTGATATTATTCACACTTTACAAGTACCTAGCACACAGTCCTGGTGCTACCACCGACTGGTGAAAATTTAGATCAGGAGAGACACTTTAGGCTATTTGGTTCAAACTTTTCAGTTTACAGAAGAAAGAGACTTCAATGAAACAGATGTCAGATGAGTATTCTAAGATTACAGTCAGTTAGCAATGGATTTGGGCCACACCGGTGAAGAGCATGCCTTGTGGAGTCAGACAGCAACAAGTTCAATTTCCAGTTCTCTTAATTTCTTACCTCTGAACACGTCTTAATTCCATGTTTCCTCACCCTTAAAAAAGATAATTAGTTAATATTTATAGATGAGATAATAATTGTAAAACAATTAGCACATTGGCTGGCTTGTAACAAACTCTCAATAAAGGGTACCTTCAAAGTCTGTACACCATGATGTGGTTCGAAATGTATAGTTGGCACCTTAATTTGTTGGGCAAATGATGACTGAGTCAAACGTTCATACTCATATTTAAATATAGCTCATATCCTGTAAATAAACCTGCAGAGTCAAGTTTTATCTTGTCCACTCTGTGTTACCCAGATCTTGTACAGGAAATGGAGTGTATTTAATATTGATGACTCTGTATGTGTCATTTAATTGTCTCTATTGATTGGATTTCATCAGAGTGTGGGGCTTGGACAGAGCTTTGATTAGACTGTAAGGATTCTTTGCCGTTTTCTTTTTTCCGACACCATATCAATGTACCTTCTGGTGTGATATCACTTTCACAATCAATATCTGAAAAAAGCTCTGCACACAGGCCTGCAGGAAAAGAGAGAAGGCACTGCCTCTAAGTCCCCTTATACACATAGATTTAACCTCTCCAATTGAAAAAGGTTTATTGCATGTTTTAGAGCAGGATGGAGTGGGAAAAAAGACCTGAAGGAGTCTCCATAGATTTCTTGTGTAATTTGCACATCATTTTTTATTTAAAAGTGTCAAATTCTCCCTTTTAATGTTGGTTGACATTTGAGAATGGATCATTTTTATCAGTGAAATTTTACAGTTTCAATCTAGCGGTTTTTTTTTCTAGATGTAATAATAGTCTATAAATATATTATTTGGGCAAATTGATATCTTAGACAGACTATTCTTGTCCAAATTCATTTTGCATGGATTTTACTGCTGTGAAATGTCCACTGGGCCTCCCTGACTAATCTTCCACTGAGGCAAAGTTTATTTTTCTATTTGCCAAAGTTGTTTCACCAAGAATCCACAGAGCTCAGGCTCCAGATTTAAATAACACAAACTAAGTGGCGTTATGCAAAAATGTGTATTTTTATACTAGGTTCATGAAGTTTGTGGTGGTGTCTTAATGCTGACTGGGAAAGGGGCTGGGAAAAATGCTTATTTATCTCTCCTCTGAAACATGGAATTTTCTCCAAGGTCAGTTGCTGGGATCTTGTTGGTCAGAATTGCACTGAAACTTTTGGAAATAGATGAGGCAAGTCCAATAATGTTAGACTATTTTAAGTATCAAACTCTGGGGTTTGGAAAGAATATATCCTATCATATAAAATGTAAATCTCCAATAAAACAATTGTCTAGCATCAACGTAGTTAGTGTTATCTCCTGAAATGGAAGTTTTCTGCCATAGAGTGGTAGGAACAAATGGGTAAAGAACAGGAAATCTATTCTTTACTCCAACTGTCCTCTTTTTTGCAGTACTTCTCACTTTCTGTAACTTCGGCATCTCCTCCTGCAGGTTCTTTTATCCTTGTGTTGTGTTCTTCCTTTTGTCATATGTTACATTAGAAAGTGCTTGGCAAACCAAGGACCACGAGCCAAATTCTGCTGTCTGTTGTGAAAATAAAGCTTTACTGGAATACAGCCACACCCATTTGTTTGAGTATTGTCTATGGTTGCTTTCCAAGTACAATGGCAGAAATGAATAGTTGTGATGGGAACCATGTGGCAGGCAAAGTCTAAAACATTTGTTATCTGGCCCTTTACAGGAAAGGTTTGTAGACCCTTGCTTTAGAACAAGTTTACATTGTGAAAGAACAAGTTTTATATGAGAAAAGTTGGAGGAGAACTGGAGCTAAGTGCTCCACAAAATACCAACCTGCTCTCTGGCAATAATTCTAATTTCTGCATATTTTCTATATCCCATTTTAAAAGATACAAGTATTTGAGTGTCATTTCTATGTACATTTTTACACAACATTCTTAATACAAGGAGGTATTAAGTGGCTGAAGATGCAGGTCTACACAGTTTGCTGTTGCACATTCCCTGATGACATTATAAACTAATCTTTTAAAAATATCTCTTCTGACTTATCTCACCTCCATAAAAATAGTTTAAATGTGTGGTTGCCTCTGAACAATGAGAGCATATATATTTTTATTCCTTTATTGATATTTGAATTAAAAAAATCATGGGCACAAATATATTTATTTAAAACATACGTTAAAATTAATATTTCCCGAAGAGTTTATTACATATCTGGTAATTATATTATACAAGGAATAGGCATTTTTTCATTTAATAAGATAGAATGTCATGTAAAAATAAGTTTGTAACACAGTATTTTTCACATTGCATTAGCCTATTTTGTGTTGATCTAAAGGAATACCCAAGGCTGGGTAATTTATGAAGAAAAGATGTTTATTTGGCTCACTGTTCTGCAGACTATACATGAAGCATGGTGGCAACATCTGCTTCTGGTGAGGACCTCAGGAAGGTTTTCCTCATGGTGGAAGGGGAAGGGGAAGCAGGAGTGTCACACGGTGAGAGAGGGAGCAAGAGACGGTCCGGGCTGTTTTAAGCAATCAGCTCTTGCATGAACTAGGAGTGCAAACTCACTCATAACAACAGGGAGGGCACCAAGCCCTTCATGAGGGATCTGCCACCGAGACCCAAACACCTTCCACCAGACCCCGCCTCCAATAGTAGGGATCACATTTCAATATCAGATTTGGAGGGGACAAATATCCAAAATATATCACACATAAATTTTATTTACATTTTTCTATACTTATAATCAATGAACTTTAGGTAAGAAAATTATAGCTCTGTTTAACTAAAGTGAAGACTCTCAAGCATGACCTTTCCAAACTGTTCTAAAACATAACAGAAGTAACTACTATTTATCGAGTACTTAGTAAGTATCTATTTTTTTAGGTAAAACATTTTAGTGATACTCTCTAACAGCTCTGGAGGAGGTTATAGGTGAAGTGATAGAGGCTCAGAATTTAGCCCACTAGGGAAGCATAGGAAGGTAGGTGTGTCTGGGTCTGTAGCTCAGGTTTTTTACAATACCAGTTGCTTCTGACTAAAGGCAGTTCTCTGTGGCATGCAGACTTTAAATGCACTTGGCGGCCAGTTTCAGTAGAGACCCTGGGACAGGTGAGACTTGAGGTGGGAAATAAGTTCTTGCTTGGATATATTGGGTCTCAAGCTCACTCTTGTTTATGTACTAATCAAATGCATCACCATTTTTAGGTACAGGTTAGTGGGGCCTGGTGCATGTACAGTCAAATCAAATGAACAGTAAATATACCATCCTACATTTCCCATCACTGAGCCTTTGCTCCCGCATTCCCTCCTTCTTGCTTATCATCTGATCTTCTTCAATTTATCTGCATCTGATGAAAACAACCTGTCCTAAGAAGTCTGGCTCAACTGATCATAAAATCTGAAAACCTTCCTAGACTTCCTCAGTCATAAATAGTCTTTCTTTTTGAAGCATTTTGTCTTTACTTCTCTTTATGGCTCTTCACTGTAATCACCTAGAAGTGTATCTTCCTTCATAGGCATCTAGACTAGCCTCTTTTGTCTAAGTAGATGAGGAAGTCACTCAGGTTATTGTAAATTTTGTGGGTTTCTGTTTGCTTATTAGTGTTTTATAAGGGCAAAAGTGCACATGTAATTCTCAAGAGAAGCGAGACACAGCCCTATAACTGAGCTTCCCAGATGGAAAGCGTATTGGGAAACTAATGGAACCCATGCACCTTGTGGGTACAGCAGTCATCCTCCTTGGCCTTCCCAGTCTAACATCATACAGACCCTGCAGGAAGGAACCACGGCCCATTCATCTTTGCATGGTAGCAAGTGTACTACCTCGTATATCGGAAGCATTGAGATCCTGGAGGACAGAGGGATGGAGGTTTGCCGGGGTCGTGGAATGAATATTTTCCTTGGAGGAGGATCTCATTCCAATAGCAGACTGAGTGAACTTGATTACCCATATATTAAAAATTTCTTTTTTCCTCTCCATTCTTCTCTCCATAGCCAAAATCCTTCTGCTGAAACTGTCATTATGCACCATGACAATGCTCAGTTTCCAGACTGTCATACTCCAATTTCCATCTCACTCTCTGTGAGTTCATTACAGCAAGGCCATGACACATAGAAGACTTTCAATAAATGTTGACTGAATAGGTGGCTAGCAACCAGCCGTAATATCATTCTGTGCACACATCATGTGTGAGATACAAGGGTCTGAGGAATTCTCCTCACGTAGTTTGTATTTTCACTAAGAGGAGGGAGTTATTATATTTAGATGCACAAGTTCTTCATTTTGTATATGGGCTAATTGCCTGTTCAGAAAAACAACTACATACTTGTAGTGAAAATGCATCTCTGTGGCTTATGAGAGCTACTTTATTATTTAATGAAATTTATTTATGCAGAAGAAAGTAAAGATTAAAAAATATATATTCAAATACTAAATAAATACTTTAAATGATATCAAAGTTGAGGGAAAAATATGAAAGCTCTGCATCTGGGGTCTGGATAAGGGTTGAGAGAAGGCTTGTTATCTTTAGCCGAGGAAATGGATAAAAATAGGGAGAAAGTGATAAGTTGTAAGGAATAATTCTGAATTGGCACAAGCAGGAAAGGTAGGATTTGCCGGCTACTTTGAGCCTATCCTTCATGTTCATTATACTTACTGTAGACCATTAAGCTATTTTATGGGCAAGAGAGAAGTTCAAGTACAGCACAAGTTGCCAAAAGGATTATGAAGTTCATTTTGATTGATCAATAATTAACTGTACCTTGTGAACTTATAGGCTTGACTAACTGTGGAATGTATTGTAGTGAACAGCCCAAGCTGCCAGAAAGAACAGAGAAGACAGAAGAAAAAGCAATGGAAACTGGAACATCTGTCCCCTTCATGCTGCAAAAGCTAGTAACCAAGATCTCACTGTTTCCTTCTCTATCTGAAGGACAAACAGCATAAAGCAGGGATTGGATTGATATGGGACACTACAGAAGATGTTTGCTTATAATTATTTCTAGCACTTTTTCTGAAGCTCAGGGATAAAACATTTCCAATTATTCATCAAGCTCTTGGAACTCACAGGCATCTGTAACAGGGATTTAGCAGAACAACAAATAGCATGCAAGAATACAGATGAAAGGAAGGAATGTGAAGAGATTATTACCATATAAAGCAAATGACTATTTGATGAAATTGCAACAATACGGAGAGTCATAGAGATACAGAAAAGTAATGCTAATTAATAAATATATAGTTGTTTAGCATTGATTTGAATTATGTCATAACTATGAAATGAGTATTACCTGTCACTTTCTTTTCACAGGTGAATATCAAAGGAAGACAGACGGACCTTCTGAAAGATAATTATTGTAGACTTTGTATTATTTCAGTAGCTGTCTTGGAAAAGCTGCCTACCTGAGACCATTGACAGCTCAAATTTTTAAAATATTTGTGTAAATACCTTTTAGTAGTATCTGACAGCCTTAGTCTACCCAAATACATGATGATTTTTATTACTTATTTGTGGATTACACCCTGTCTACTTCTAAACAGATTTTGAGCGTCGTTTAACATAGACTATCTTAAATCTAAAACAAAGCATGAGGGCTATCTCTGCTCCTGTTCTATAATTCCTCTGCATCCTGTTCCTCCTTTGCTAGTACGGAGAAAATTTAAATTATCTATAGATAATGACAATTATAGCAGAGATATGCTTTAAAAACTTGCATTTGGCAGATTTTTAAATACTGAGTGCTGTCAAAGTGGAAGGGAGGGAAGGCAAAATTGCTTTCTAGCCACATATAGCTGGGCCATCCTTCCAACAGTATACGTCAGTCCAGGAAATAGATTGCTGTTCAAAAATACATTGAATTTAGTTTTTTCAGTTACCTTTGAGTAGATGACACATTTCTATTTATTTTTAAATAAAATACAATATTTTAAGGAAAAGGTAACAAAGAAATTCAAATTAAGTGGCAGGATGGTATCTCAAAGTCTCTTCTATTGTCCCAAACTGTAAGAAGCTGCCATTGGCTAAACCTTTCAGTAATGACATTGAAGAGCTCAGTGGTCCATTCTGTCAAGAGCCCTGTTAGCCCCAGCACCTCCTTCAGAGGGCACAGAGCTGTTTAGGGGACTTGGCAGTTAAGGTCTTTGAGGTTTTGTGTAGTTTGTATTTTTTTTTTCTGTAAACAACTAAAATTTCTGTTTTATAGGCATAAAATACTTGTTGGAGTAACCAAGCATGTGACTCACGATGGCATAGCCTAATAAAGTAAATCAATTTGCTACCTGTTAATGTTGTGTTTTAAAGGAATTAGGAAGTGAAATTTGCAGTTTGGAAAGGTTCACATTTATAAATTAAGCTACATCTGCCACCTATATAACGTTAATAACTATTAGCTCTACAAACCTGCATATCGCAGTTCTAAACAGAAGATCACTTCCTGGTCAGCTTGTGGGTGAAGAGGTAATAAAAGAAGTCAAATGTTCTAGGACCTTTAAAGAACTAGAACTTCGACAATACCAGTTAGGCAAATAAATACATGTGTATGAAATAGGATTCCACTTATTTTTGAACAGGAAGAGAATTTAAAGAGAAGGGGAGAAATAAAGAAAGAAAAGGTATCTAGTCATTTTCTATGCATAGTCTCCTGAAATTGAGAATAGGAAAAATATTTCAGTTTTATACTGATTTTCTTATAGCTTTTGGAAGTTATTTATTTACATGACACTAAAATACCACAATAAAGTTTTTGTTTACTATGATTTAAAGTAAAGTAAATGTTTTATGACCAGGATTTAAAGTTACATTTGTGACTGCAAGTAATTCTTTGGAATGAATATTTCCCAGTTTTACTCTTATGCTAAACAAATCTGCAGCGTGTTACTTTAAAAATGAAATAAAGCTTGTGTTCTTAGTGACAGTCAATAACACTACAGCATAATAATCAATTGCTATTTGTAGCAGCAGGACTAGCAGTGGGGGCAGATCAGTGCAAATTACTGTCACTGTGTGCTGTCAGTATGCAGCCAGCCTGTAGAACCCAAGACAAATGATGCCCTACGCAATAGAAAGAGACAGTACTTAGTCATACCTGCACAACAGCAAAGCCACGCATGCCGGCATCAAATGTAACAGGAAAGTGGATATAAATTTGAAACATTGATGGGTAGGAAAAATAAATTAATCCAGCTAAGAGTTCTGGTCCCGAGATTTAAAGTTAAATGCTTATCCTTTTTTTTCTATGAGCTGGAAATAGGTGGATTACAGGTGTCTGGGGATCCACAAAAAGGTTAGATGGCTTTTTAGTGAACATCAGAGAAGTCTGCGCTGTACTTTACTCCAGTGTTGCAGAGATGACTCTAAAACCAGATATTGAGTGTAAATCACTTGCTATGGCCAATTCTAGTGACAAATCGGAATCATCATTTATTTCACATACAAATAAGAAACAACCTGTAAGAGGAGAAAAAACCATGGTTATCAGTATCTTTAATCATTAAACTATTTTTAAAAATTGTTTTCAGTTTTATATTTAATTTGAAGAAAGAAAGAATGCCTCTGGTCTGACATTGGGAAACCCTTAAATCTTTTAACAAACCAAGCAGGTTATTTTGAAGCTACACCTGATGACTCTCTACCTGGGTCTCTTTGACTAATGAATCCGGCCAGATTGTCTGCTCTTTGCAGGGAGGTAATACAGAGTAATGGGAAGGAAACAAACCTGGTTTCCTCATTCAAATCCGCACATGCCTATATTTGCAAAACCAAGTTCAGCAAATTGATGGTACACTAATCCCTCTATTTCTAACATTCCTCAGTAGTTAATTAAATCTGCAGAGAAGTATATTAACTCATTCAGGAGAAACATGCTTCAAATGTTAGCTTGAACAGGATCAGAACTGGCTACGTAATTTACTCCACAGTCTGCAAAATAAATCTATTTTGAACCTTTGTTCAAAAATAGTAAAGAATTTCAACATGGCAACAACAGAACATTAAGCCAAACGTAGGGCCTTTCTATGTCAGGAACCCCTTATGACTGCACGGGTTGTACCTCCATGAAGCCAGCCCTCAATAGGAGAGTTTATCTTTCTTCTCTTCAACCTCATAGCAAACATTGGCCTAGTTTGGCTTAAGTTACTTAATCAACCCTTGACAGGCTGATTCTGAAGACAGGGGTTGCAGACTCATAGGCTTCAGGCTGAAGTTGGCCCAGAGACATATTTTGTTTAACCTGATGGGTGAAAATTATGGGTGAAGACTAAGTAACAGCTCTTCTCTTTGGATGAGACTTGCTCACTTCAGGTTTTCACAGTCCCTATTATTCTTTATTGATTTACAATGAGCCGTTTTTGCCCTTTACCTGCTTAGCCCCTATTGACTCTTGAGTTTGCCACCTATTACATGGAAATGAAAATCTTTGGCCAGCGTTTTATGCTCCTAAAACCAGCACAAATAATAGCAGTAAAAGCTTCATGCTGATAAAACTATATATACATATATTTGCTAAAGCAGAAATGAGGTAATAGTATTGATGAAATATATACTCAGTAAACTATTCTCTCAGTAAAAATGACACTAATTCAGTACCCTATCTAATAGAAACCTGTTGGGACCAAATGTCATTTTCTATTTCACCCTGTTTACTTCACTGATCTAAATGGAAAAACTTCAAGAATTCATTTACCAATATGCTGAGCCATTTACAATTCTGAAATCATATTATAAGCAACTAACAAACACCAAGGGTAGAGTTGGGGGGACACTTAAGTATAATTAAAATAAATTGAAGTGACCCTCAAAAGGAAACTGCAATCAATGAAAAATATCAACTCTCTTCCAAAGTATAATGACTGTATCAAACATGTGTAAGATATATACATTATTGGAAATGTGACAATTCATCTCATTATTAAACATCTTGGTGACAAACTGTAATTTCTCAAAAGGGAACAAATAACCTGAAAATTAATGCACCTAAGATTAAAAAAAATCCTGCCAAATATGACAATGCCTTGAGTTCAATACGGTGGTTTCCTCATTGATAGTTCATGTTATTAACGTCTTAAAAGAATGACCCCGTCTTATAACTCCATCACTGGTTGACTCCAACTGCAAACCCAATTCAAATTTCTACTGGTTTCAATTTCCTAGATTTATTCCAAGATAGAAAGTTTATGCCAATTTAATTGTGATTAGTCTTAACTTTTGGCCTAAGCTCACATATGGGAAGATGAACAAATTCCAGAATATTTTTCTTAATTTTTGCAAATGATCACATTTCAGTACGCTTTCAGGCTCCCAAGTAATAAAATGAAGAATTTAGCATAAACTTCTGGTCTTTGCTGTATTTTACTGATAAAATCTTCTGCCTTGTTTGAAAAATAAGGCATTTGAAAAATAAAAAAGAATGCAAGTGGTAATACACTTGAATCAACATCATGCCGTGGTCAGCCACTCTGTCTATGACATCATGTTTATATAACTTCATATTATAGGATTTTTTCTTTGTTCTGCTTCCATATCCCAAATTATAATTTCATTCAAAGAAATATTTGTCATGTAACTCAGCATGGATTAGAACTATCTTCAGGAGACTGATTTAAAAATATTATTGATGCTTACTTGGTAGAGAAAAGACATGACTACTGCTAACATTACTACCATTTTCCTAAAGATGTCCCTTTTTAATATCTCTTTTAATGCTGGAGATTATCTAAAGGCTTTCAATCTTTCTGTTTAAAATATTCACCACCGAGCTTAAACTAGGTGTATAAGAAATTATTTGTTTAGAACAAAGTCAAGGTGGAGTAACATGTGTTACAGAAAATGTTTTCCATGCAAGAATCTATCTCATGAGGGTGTGAGTTATTTGAACCAGGAAGGCTACAAAGCTAGCACCACTAGCCCATATTTCTGGGCTGTTTGCTTTTCATGAGGTAGTCTAGGTATATCTACTTTCCTCTCTTGATTGTCACTTTTCTACATGAATCTCCTTTTACAATTGGCAAATTCCATTTCATGTTTTGTGTAATGTCTACATTTCGTGAGTAAGAAAGCTGGCTCACAGGAACATGAATAAAACTTTGACTTGATAAGAATGAAATAGCACTAAATGGAAACGCGTTTTTTTTATTGTATAGAACCATCTAGAACCAAATGGCCAGGGATGAGGCTGACTTTGCAACTCTGTGGTTGATTTAACCTGCACAAATTCACATGTCTAATAAATGTCACGACGAAGATCTGCACCTATGCTCAGAGGCCCCAGCTCTTTCCGTTCTGCCATGTTGTCTTTCTGGAGGCCGTGTGGGTGCTAGGGCTCGGTCCCTTAAAAGCCTCATCAGTAAATGACCCAGATGATACCTTTGAGTGTTTTTTAGCTTTTGTTGGTTACAAAGTTTATAGAACTGAAAATTCAAAAGAAAAATGTTTCCCCTTCCCTCATGACTCCAAAACAAATTTAAAACTGGTATTATTGAATTATAGATTCTCAAGAAAGACGCAATAACAGATTTTTTTTGTTTGCTTGCTTTAGAGACTGGTTTTGCTGTATTGCCCAAGCTGGTCTGGAGTTCCCAGCCTCAAGTGATCCTCCTGCATCAGCCTCCTGAGTAGCTGGGAGTAGATACTCAAGCCACTACTCCCAGCAGGAGATTTTTTTTTGAAGTGCTTTTCTCAAGGTATCAAAGAATCTGTGCATATTGCATGTAATTGCCTAAAATGAAAATTTAGTAGAGTCTTCTAAATTATAAGACAAATTTATTAATCTCTATTCTTTATATATTCAGTGTTAAGTGTAATTATTTGAAAATCTGTTTTCATTCATCAAATTTTTGTTGAAGGGATAGTATACATGCAACAATGAATGACACATTGTCCTCTCCTTAGTTTGCTTATAGTGATCGATAAAGTACCTGTGTAACTTTTTTCAGTTAACCAAAATACTAATTATATCTTTCTTCTGGATACATGGTAGCATATAGCATGTAAGAGACCACATATAGAGAAAAAAGACTCAGACATTCAGGTATTGCAGGTACAAATATCAGTCTCATGACTATCTCATATATGTAGATCCTTTTTGTGTATGTACTTAAAAAGTAAAATGCAAACTCAGTGTTATAATAACTTTGTCAATTAACTAATTTTACAATCTGTAATTTCATCACAAACTTTCGAAGTACTATAAACACTAGTTATTTTTGATGCCCTTTCTGTTTTCTGCAAACTCCCATGTGAAATAAATAGCAGTGCATTCAACTCCATCACTCATTGGTAATCCTGTTCTTTATAAATAGAGAGAAAAAAGGAATCCTAGAAAAGCCCATTTATTTTATGTAGCATGTATATGATAAAGAACCTATCAAGATTTTTATTAAAATAGAAAGTCACATTGACTGTTTGCTTGCAATGCTGACAGTATGCTCACAACTGTTGGTTCCAAAAAGCATTGTGAAGAATTTTAATGATCTAAATTGTAATAAATGCATTAACATTAAGTAAAGGTGGTGAAGAATCTCTAGTTCTAATTTGCAAACTCCTTTTTTTATCACATCCTTTTCTTACTTTGGGTTTTGTCATATGAATAGGTATAGCCGTATGGGCAGATATAAGATTGATTGGATAGCAGCAACTTAAAATAATGTGAATGGATCTAAAATTCAAGATTTTGTTGAATAAAATATGTTTAACTTGTATTTTTTCCTCAGAAGAAAAAAATCTTGAAAGTTATTTGATTAATATTATACTATTTAAATTTCTAATTATTCACATTTACAAGAAGAAAGGAAAAAGACACAAAAGTGTATTGTGTTTCACATCTTGCAAGATGCTGGTGAAAAGGCCGAGAAACCAGACACTAAGAAAAAGAAACCTGAAGTAAAGAAAGATGCTGCCAGTGGCAAGGTGAAGAAAAAGCACCCCAGGGCCAAAAATGCCCAATAAGGGAAAGCCCCGCTGCAGCTGAAACCCTGTCTTGGAAGGATCAACAGATATTCCTAATCCGAGGAGTGCCCTGTGGAAGAGGAAGTGTTCAGCAGCTAAATGCAGGATTGAAAAGAAGAAAGGAGACGGTTCTTGCCACTTTCACAAAGCCAGTTTGTGGTAACAAGAATGGTGATCCCCCAGTGTGTAAGCTTGGCCGTATGCCTACTTATTATCCTACTGAACATGTGCCTCAAAAGCCATTGAGCCTTTACAAGAAACTGTTTCATCAGCATGTGAGAAAACAGAGATTGTGTCACTTCCAGGTCCCCTCTGTTTTCCCTCATTTGTCACCAAAGAAGCCAAAGGATAGCTTTCCTGAGGCAACTGAGCCACTTGTTCATTGTGATTGGACCTCTGGTCCTCAATTGAGCTTCTCTGTGTTGAACACAACAGAAATTTGTCACTGCTACCTCCAGCAAAATTAGTGTAAAAATCCCAATGTTTCTCACCGATGCCTACTTGAAGAAGAAGCTGCATAAAGCCAGAGACCAAGAAGGTGAGATCTCTGACATAGAGAAAGGGAAATACAAGGTTACAGAGCAGCGCACGATCCATCAGAGCATGCTGGGCTCTCAACTGATGCCAAAACTCAAAGCTGTTCCTCAGCTCCATGGCTGTCCGTGTTCCATGTTCTTTCTCGCGAGTGGAGATTATCCTTACAAATTGGTGCTCTAAATTTCTAACAAAGAACTCTAATTAAAACAAATGAAACATTTTTAAAAAGCACAGTAATCCTTCATTATCTGTTAGTTACAATTTGCATATAGAATCAAACTTGTCAATGACAAAAATGTTATCTAATTTTAAAAGAAAAGATTTTGAAAAATTGGCTATTGTGAATATTTTATTTTTGGTTAAATGTAAATTTGCTGTATGTACCAGAATCTCAAGAAAAAAGAATTGAACTGAAAATAAATGCTTGCATGCATGGCTTTTAAAGAGATAGAGTATTACTTTTACTATTCAATACAAATAAACACTATTTGTTTTATCAGAAATAAGGTTGAAATTTACTTTTAGTAAAATGCTACCTAGTTAAAATCATAATTCTGTTGGCATACACGAAGTTTTGGATAAACCTGGATTTTTATTTATTTCTCACATTATATGATCTATTTATAGATTATAAGAATAGACACCAATAGATAAAATCTATATGTTCCACATAGGAGATTCATATTATGTTATTTAATGAATAATAATGAATATCAAATTTTGCTTAGTTTGGGGAAAAACCTAAATTTCATAGAACACAGATATAGTACTTGAAGAAAGAGTAATGCCTGGCTAACAAAGGACCCTGAGAGAGAAGGACCTGTCTGATATCTAGAAAGTTATTGGAACTAGCACATGGTTAGTTTATCAGTGTTGCAATTTAAAAAATTAACAACTCGGTATAAAACTCAGCAAAATTGACAACCAATAATACTACCACTAGAAATGTCACTTGTTTTTTCAAAGGTGTCCAGTGAGATATTTTGCAGCACTTAGGATTCATCAAAGTGTAGCATATGTAATATGGGAAAGTAGCTTTCAATAATTGCCCAACCCTTAAAATGGTGGCAATTGCTGAGGGCCTAATATGATTTGGCAAAAAGTGCCTTATGTCCTTCAATCAAGAGCTGATTTAATCTTACTACAAAAATGATAGTGGTTTTATTTAAGTCCTATCTAGTCTCTATTGGTCTAGTCATGTAGATGGAAAATTACTTCCTATCTTTGTTCTTTTAACTTAAGATATTTTGGAAAAGGAAATTAAAATTTAAGTTATCAAGGTAATGTTGTAGTTGATGCTAACGGCAAAAAAACTTTGAAATTCAAGGAGATTAGTTGGGGAAATGAAATGAGGCTTCTGTGGAGTGCTTAGATGCTTCATGCCAGTTATAATGGGGGCACCTTTTACCCAGAGATAGGAAAATAGTATTTGCTTTATATTATCTTTGAAATCTCCAGAAAGCTACCCTTCTGCTCACAATAGCATAATTCATATAGCACCACGGTGCCACATAAGTTGTACAGACCTATTTGAGAGGTTGGCAAGCAAAAATAAATAACTTTGATACACATTTATATTCTAAGCTGAAAAATATGTTAATTAAAGTCTACATATAATGCATATGGAGCAAAAGATTTAGAGATAAAATACAAAGTTAATTGTAGTTGAATGTCAAGAGAGGGGGAATTTAAAGATTTCCATGAGTGGTTATTTCTTAGTTATTATCCCTTTGTGCAATAAGAGGCACTGGAGAAATTACTGAACAATAGAAAAGATCCTGGTGAGGTTAGACGACCCTGAACACAGTCTTTCGATCCTCAGGGTTGCCTTGCTCAGCTCCCAACATCAGTCACAAAACTGGCCTAGTGTCTGGAACAAATCTGGCTCCTAGGAGGAAAAATATAATGCCTCAACATCAAATAAGTCTTGTTTATATTGAGAATATTTAGCTCCCATGACTAGGCTCAAAACTTTTCCTTAAAATTAGGTCCATGTGTTATATTTCACTTTTAAGGAACTTAGAACTTGCAAGAGTTCCCAGGGCCGTATTCCCTCTGTGACAGAAATAATTTTCTCCTTTGCCCAAATCTCTTATCTTAGAGACATGTTTTTAAATATTAGTCTTTGTGACTGGATATCTGTTACTCATCCTTGGCTCTATTAATTCTAACAAGATCTTTACCTAGAATTCTGTCTATTTCATGAGAAATCCTCTGGCTTTTATCATTGAATCACTCAAACACTATTAACCACCTAAAATTTATTTACTTATTGAATACTGAATAGGTTCCAGGAATTTTCTTAAGTGTAGGGATTGAGTAGTGGAAAACAAAAAGTGTTTTGTGTATTTTCCTGGTGTTTACAAGCAGATGGGGAGGGCTGGCATTACATTTTTGAACAAAAGAGTGATGGGTGTTTTTAGGGACCATGAAAAGGGGTGTGGAAGTGTATATCCAGCTATCTCTCCTGGGCTGGATGATCAAGGAATTGCTTCTGGTGAAAGAATATTTAAACTGAGACCAGAAATAGGAATTAGCCAGGTGAACATGGGCAGAAGAACATTTAAGTAGCAGGAAACCTATATGAAAATCTGGCATCAAAAAAATAATGGTAGATTAATTAAAGAAAATAAAAATTAAGAAGACAGGACTGTAAATGGGATATGTGTCTGAATTTTTTTCTATTGCCCAGAACTTGCCATGATCACCTGTCCTGCCTTCTTTCCAGTTACACCCAATCCACTCTTCCTTCTTACATTGGTGTCTGAGATCTTGATCTGAATATAAAGTAACTTTGAGGATAAACAGCAGAGAAACTGCAGAAAAAAGCAGAGTCTGGTGAGAGTCTAAATTAGATGTTCAGAGTAAACATGGCTCAGTGGGTTAGCTGTGCTATGGGATATACAGTATGGAAGACTTAGCAGTGGCTCCTTACTTGGAGGGACACAAAGAGGAATAATAAGGCCCTTGGGAGATTTGGCCACTCATGAGTTGAAACCCTACCAGCTGAAGCAGTTAGAAAAATAAAACAACAAGTAAAAATAGCTATTTCCAGTCACATCTACCTTGGAATAGAATGTTCATATTTAAGTTGTTTAATATTTAAATTTCAAAAACTATTCTTATGTCACATATATATGTAACATATATATGTATACACATGACATGATAATAATTTTAGAAATTTAACTACCTAAAATTAATTTATTTATTGAATACTGAATAGGTTCCAGGAACTTGGCTTAGTGTAAGGATCCAGTAGTGAAAAACTAAAAGTGTTTTCTCTATCTTCCTGGGGTTTACAAGCTAATGGAGAGGGCTGGCATTAAACTTGTGAACAGAAGAGTGATGGGTGTTTTCATTTCAGATGACTCTCCAGAGAATTATGCTATAATTATTTTATATGTAGAGAGAGATAAATAAAATATATAGATGTAAAATAATTACAGCATATATATGAATCTCCAGAGAATTATAATTCTCTATATAATTCTGCAATCATTTTATTTATATGTATATATATATAAATGTATAGATGTCATCATGTTAGGCTTGATCACATAATACTATTTGGGCATTCCTTCTTTTATGATCATTGATATTTGTGGTTGAAATTTCCTTCAGATTTTTGTTATCCTATTTAGATTAACACTTAGGCTGTACTTAGTACAGTTGACACTAATTTGACTCAATTTTTACTCGTCTTCCTTGTCTAGGAAGCACAAAACATCACTATGTGCTTGTACATTTACTGGCTTCAAATCACCAAAAAATACATGTGGGAGGCAAGTGTGAAACTGCTGTTTCATGTCCTCTCCAGGATTAGCTAGGATGGGGCAGATCTGCCTAAGGCAGATGGTGTGATTCAAAGTGTTACCCAGGACAAAGAGAGTTGAGATAGGCTGGAAGAAGAGTCATAATAAGAAGGGGGAGTAAATTTGTCTCTGCCAAAGCCAGTCTCCCATTTTGAAGGCTTTGTGGCAATTTGATGTGTGTGATCATTTCAGCCTGGCTCAGATGTGTCCTATATTTGAAGAGACCCAACTTCAGCGTTCAAATCAGAAAGTTTAAGAGTGAGGTCAAATACCATATTCAGGAATGTTGAATTCATCAAAGTATTTCCAAAAAAATGGATTTTTTCAATAACAGAAGCAATCTGGTCCTGCTGGATTACATTTTAGGGCTGTTTTATAAAAGTTTGCTTATCTGAGAGAAATACAGATACAACTTCATGTACCTTGAAAGGGTAGCAAGGAGATGTCTTAGCCTCTAAAATGACCCCCAATGATTCCTGCCTTTGCCATGCATGCCATATATACCCCTTTGTAAGAAACTATCTTGGAGTGTAGGTTAGACCTAGTGACTCATTTCTAACAAAAAGAATATTGCAAAAATGATGGGAGGTTTCTTATAAGACTAAACATGCAATTATTCAGCAATTGCACTGCTGTGCATTTTTCCCAGGGATACAAGAACTTGTGATCACCCCAAAACTTGTGCATAAATGTTCATAGCAACTTCATTCATAATAGTTAAAAATTAACATCACCCCAGATGTCCTTCAACAGGTAAATGATTAAATAAACAGTGCCACATACCTGCTGTGGAAAACAACTCAGCAATAAACAGGAATTTTTGATACACACAACTTAGATGAATCTCCAGAGATCTATGCTAAGTGAAAAAGTCAGTCCAAAAAGTTGCATACTGTATGATTCCATTTATATAATGTTTTGAAATAACATTTACAGAAATGAATGGATTGGTGGTTACCAGAAGTTATGGGCAGGAGAGGATGGAGAGAAAGAAGTGGCAGTAATTATCAAAGCGGAAGGTGAGAAATAATTGTGTTGATGAAACAATTAGGTACCTTGACTCTGGTAGTGGACACACAAACTTACACATGCGATAATATTGTAAGGGATTAAATACACACACGTATACAACAAAGTAAAAGTGAAACTGAAGAAATTGGAATAAGATGGATGGAATGTATCAATGGCAATATCCTGGATGTGATATTTTACTACTGTTTTGCAAGATATTACCATTGGTGGGAGCTGGGTAAAAGGTACATGGGATTTCTTTGTATACTTTCTTCCAACTGCAGATGACTGTATAATTGTCTCAGTAAAAACGTCAACAATTTGATATAGCCTGGCTCGGTGTCCACCCCCCCAAATCTCATCTTGAATTTTAATCCCCATGTGTTTGGGGAGAGATCTTGTGGGAGGTGATTAGGTCACGGGGGTGGTTCCCCCATGCTATTCTTATGATAATGAATAAGTTCTCATGAGATCTGAAGGTTTTATAAGGGGCTTTTCCCCCTTCACTCTACACTTCTCTCTCCTGCTGCCATGTGAAGATGGACATGTTTGCTTCCCATTCCATTATGATTGTAAGTTTCCTGAGGCATCCCCAGCCATGTTGAACTGTGAGTCAATTAAACCTATTTTCTTTATAAATTACTCAGTCTTGCCCCTTTCTTTCCCCTGCTCTGGGGGAAAACCTGCTGCCATGTTGTAAGTAGCACTATTTCAAGGCTCAGGAATTAAACAAACAAACAAACAAACAAAAAACATAAGCCAAAACAAAACTAAAAAAAAAATGATGTCATCAAACAATAGCCAGCAAGGAACAGGAGTCTCATGGTTAGCTATGTGAATTGTCTTAGAAATGGTATCTTTAGCCACTGGGTGAGCTTGAAGGCAGATTCTCCCCCAGTCAAGTCTTCAGATGACTGCAACTATGCCCATCCCTTGTGAGAGGCCCCGAGCTAGAGGTGCCCCGATAAGCCAGACTAGAATTCATGACCTCCAGAATCTGTGAGATAGTAAATATTTGCTATTTTAAGTTGCTGAGTTTTGAGGTAATTTGTAAGACAGCAGTAGATGACTTTCAGAAGGACCACACAACTGACAATGATACAACCTAAAAAACGTCTCCATTCAGTGCCTCACAGGGTCTCACGGGGTGGCAGTGTCCCCATTCTCTCTCCTTCTTTTAACCTTTCCCTATTCAAATAAACAAACAAACAAAGTTCCAGCCCCATGGCATATCTGTATGCCCCTGTCATACTCTGCCTGCTGTAAGCTGCAAGGCTGAAAGCTGTAGCTAAAACGGGTATGGACAGGTGTGGATCTCCCATTTTCTGGCTTCTTTTGGGTTGGATGAATGGGAAATAATCTTGGAGAACAGTGAAGTTAAGATTTACATTTCCTGGCTATCTTCTTGTAAGGTCACCTGAAGGAAGCTGTATGACTGTATCCATTGAGAGAAGGTTCTGACCCTCTCAAAGCAGCTTGTGGCCCTGGACTCCAGACTCTCATTCTTCTGTTCATCTCCTCAGGTCCAGGGCTAGACAACATCTCTAACATTCTTAGCTCTGAGTTCTCTGAGTCACTGTGGTTCCTCTACACTCCAACCACAGTTTGCAGAGTCTCTGGAAAATTACCCCACTATGCTTCCTATTCAGATTCAATGATTTTAAATCTTACTCTTCTCTTCTCTCACACTTTTTCTAACTTCACACCTTTTCCTTCCACCAACACAACTAACTTGCTTACCTTCCATCCCTACCTTCCCTTCCTTCCTTCCTTCTTTCCTACCTTCCTTCTTTCCTTCCTTCCTTCTTCCTTTTCTTTCTTTCTCCTTTCCTTCTTCCTTTTCTTTATCTCTATTTCCTTCCTTCCTTCCTTCCTTCCTTTCTTTCTCTCTTTCTCTCTTTCTTTCTTTTTCTTTCATTTCTTCTCTTCCCTTTCTTTCTCTCTTTCTTTTTCTTAGGTCACCTTGATGCCCTTTCTAATGATAATAAATTTAGCTCTTCTAATTCTCTCTCAGGACCTATAACTGAGCACCACAAACAGTGTTACTTAGAAGACAGAAATTGGACGCTATTGTGAAGATGTTGCTATTTTGGTTCATGACTATTTTGATCATGCTATTTTGGTTCACTGTGTAAAGTTGTGCAAGTTTTGCATGTGACAACAACTTTCAATCAGAGGGAGCAAATGAAGGCTGAAGTCCAGATGAGACCATACTCCACTTGTCACACATTGGAGCTGCGCATAGGACAGACACTGAATCAATAGAACAGCACATATATTTTCTTCTATAGGCCCCTTCTGCTAACCAAGTCATGCTCCTAGAAGGGTTCCTCTGCTGCCTGGAGGGGACCCTCTTTCTAAGTAGTACCAAGGTCATTCTCTTCTCTCTGAGGTTTTGTTTTGTCTGTCACATTAGGATTATTATTTATATTGTCCCCTAAAAGTGCACTAGCACAGAAACCCTTCAAACAAACAGGAAGAATTTTTGGACCAAAATGTGTAATTTTAGAGTAGAAAATCACAGAGGATATCTGTAGTCTGCTTAGGTAACCATAACCATCGTGTTTCCCTTTATTTGGCAAAGTTTCCTTCATTTATCATTTATCAGATTTCTGTAGCCCATTGAATGGTAGTCAACATGACTGGGCTTCAATGAAAACATAAAATTAAGCCATAATGTAAGATATTTTTGAAGCTACTTTGGCATCTCAGTTTCACCAAGGCCCTATGTGTTCTGAGATCCTCTCAGCCTATGATGCATCCTCACGAGTTATCTATAGAGCAAAATTTGAATGCAAGTGACAAACACACACACAGTCTAAGCATAAGCATGGGATACCATTTTTTAAAAGTGTTCAGGAATTTGGATAAAAGCTGATCTGTGAATTATCTGAAAACTGAACATGTCCTATTCACTAATTATTTAATTTAATCATGGGATGGTCTCTGTGTCTTAGGGTGTCTTGTGCTTTGAGGTTCCTGGGTCTATATAAAGGAATCTAGTTACTTCTGCACTGGATTTGCAGTGCATTGCATAGAATAATGACAGTCATTCTCAGGAAACAAAGCCTTACTTCCATGAAATGGCACTTCCTAAAGCTGCCCTGTGGTATGACTCTTTTACTGGAGTTGAACCTTTTCCTATGCAGCTTAACAAAAAGGTATTGCTAGAAGTTCTGGGCAGTAATTTAATTTGGTATGATAGTGTGATGATTAAATGGATCTATGTCACCTTTCCTTTACTTAATGTATGGAACAGTTTTAATTTTAATAAATATTTTCTATGTAAACATTTAATTCGTTGGAGTTCTTAATGCTAAATGTTGAACTCATTCTCATTAAAATTGCACTTTAAAATCATCTCCACTATGTCCTAATAAATCTGTTATTAAAATATTGGGTTTTGTGAAGATTGTTTTCCTCTGTGATGCATATTACTTCAAAGATTTCACTTGTAAAGCAGGTAATGAGAAGATGCTCTTTTGGATTTTACTGTAATTTAAGTAACTCTTTTTATTAAAAAGAAAGGTAAATACAAATGGGAAATGGGATAAACATTGAGAGCAAAATGTTTCTCAGACATGACAGAATATAATAAAGCTCCTTCCAAATATGTGGTTTTATGCTTCTAAGCTAAAAAACATATTCTCTCTTATAAACATCTAGCTTTTTAAAATAAAATAATATAGTAGGCAGAATAAAAGAATTTTGTGCCCATAGAGCTTTCAAGGTTTTTATGAGCATTTATTAATAAATATATGCAAATATTCCTTTTTCTATATTTTCTCCTTGTTGGCCAACTGCAAACTGATCACTTACAATTGTACTTGAGTGTTTAGTGACCAGAAAATTTACAAATGCTGCTGCCGCTAGAGAAACTGAAAGTGCACAAGCAGATTGAAGGAAATACTACAGGCAAAAATTAGCCATCGTTAGTTACCGCGGCTAATATTGCAGAAAATTGAAATGCTTGCCTCACTGAGAATTGGAAAACATTTCTGAAGTTATTTGGAGCAATCCAAAAGACTCTTATATATACATAGATATAATCATTCTACGACATTGTGTTGTTATATTTTGCAACTATATTTTAAAATTCATTTGTACTTAATTAGATCTAAGATATTTTTAAAAATATAATTCCAAGCTCTTCGTTTGCATTTTATGACTGTATATTTAAAAATCTCATAAGAAGACAAAACTTTTAGGATATGCATGCTGTAATTTATTATTAGTTTTTTCCACTAGTTCTTCACTAATATAACTGTCATATTGATATTCCAGGGTTACTTTTACAAAATTACCTCACATTAAGATTTTTTCCTCTGAACATGTCCTTACTAAATCACCACTAAACCATTAGGTAATCAGTGTTTTCTTGGCTGACTGATAGGACTTGAAATTACAATTTAAGATTCAGTTGGAAAATATATTCATTGAAGACATACTATGTTCAATGACACTCATTTAGATCTTACAAAAAATTTAGAAATAAGGAAGAAGAATTATATTATTTAGTGAGGAACACATATATATCAACAATCAAAATACCGGGCAGAATGTTCTAAATGTTTTAGTAGAGGTAAATGCATGCTACCCCATTAAGAAAACAATTTTTTTTCACTGCTACATGTATTTCCTTTGTTTTTACAGGATTTATTTATTTATTTATTTTTTCCATGTAATGACCTCTCTCTGTCTCTCTCTTTCTTAAATATATTGGCATATTCAAGAGCTCTTAGTCTTTCTCTATATTTCAGAAAGAATGAGAGGGGTTAACAGAGAGAGAGTGAGAGTGAGTGAGAGAGAGAGAAAGAAAGAATTGTGAGGTAAAATTTTAGGATACTTTAAAAATACATATTCATATGTATGTGTTTAGTTTTTGCTTTTAAGGGACATCATAATTGATTTCTCCTATATATAGCCTTTTTCCCCTCTCATGCAACTAATGGCTATTGATATTTTCAATGTTAATGTTCACAGATGACCTTACTGTGAATATCTCTGTCAAGTACATTTCCCTGACACCTGTTATAAACTGCTACAGGCTTCCATGCACATGTGACACCATATTGGAATGATCCAGTTCATTTGGCATAATGCAAATAGGTAGAGTACATGTTGCCTAACATATTTAAGCAGCATTATATTTTGATCAAGGGAGACTTTGGGAAGATTTTAGATGGTGTAATGTATAAAGATTCTTTCAGAGTGCTTATTATTAAAACCACCAACCAAATAAATGCCATTGAAAAACATGCCATTCTTGGTTAAAGATAATGTTGAGACATATGATAAAATATGTGTAATTAAATTAGAATTTTCACGAAGTCATCATACATATGGCCATAAGTAAAAGTGTGTAGGCATATTATTTTTTAAAGCATTTGCACTTTTATTTGACTCTAAATCTTTCCTGAAGGATTTTTTGACTCGTAAGTTTTCTTAAATGGATTAAAATGATCAAATGGAAGAAGTTCTGTGGGAATTCTCGGTTTTGAAGCATGTCCTATATACTGAGGAACCATGAAGCATTTAGCACCATTAGTATGGAACTGATAAAAAGTTCTATCTGCCATTGATTTCTCACACTGTTAGTATGGAACAGGGTTAGCATAATACAGAATAAAAATAAATTTTAAGATTAACTAAATGACTTCTTTCATTTAATAAAAAATTTTTATGTGCCTACTAGGTGCAATGTCTTTGTGCTTGGTTTATTGATTTATAACTGAATACAATCCAATTCCTGTCTTCAAAGAATTTTTATTACCCACACACACACAGATTCTCAGACATGGTGTGTACAGCCTAGCAAAGATTTTCTCTCAGTTCAGGCATAAAGTAGTGGCCTGAAGGAGGACATAGTTATTTGATAATACAAAGTTACAAACCAAACAAGAAACTGCAAAGTAATGTCATTTTTCATTTCTTTTAGGACCGTAATTGCAGATCCCTTTTCCTTAAGAGGAATGAAAGTCCAGGAGACAGGTGAGATGGTCACGTACAGAGGCAGATGTGCCCAATACAAGGGGCAGGCAATGAGAATCAGACTGGTAGGTATACAAATGTCTATTTTTTTTTGCAAGCTACTAAGGTAAGTACTTAGCACCCTATCACTGTCAGATAGACAGTGAAGGTAATGATCGCCAACCTTAAGAAAGACCATATGACAAACATATGCTTCACCATAAATGTTATATGTTTCCTGAGTGTAAAGTCATGATTCTTTTACTTCCTTTTAAAGCCATAATGCATGCATTCTATTATGGTATAGTAAGTGTTTACTTTGTATGTGACTAGATTTTATTTTATTTTCTTCATCTTCTTCCTGGAATAGCCTAACTTTCATTTTGTGTTCCTAAAACTTATGCCTTCATTTTGTGATATATTACTTCTAATTGCTATTTAAAAAATAAAATTTAAAAATTTACTTAGTTTAATAAATGTTTCTACCTATATAACTTATTTCTTAAATTATAGGTTTCTGGTGTCAAGAATTTCTCATTTTCTTATTCGCAGGAGTCAACCCAAGTAGATAGTCAACACATGTTTGTTTTCAAATTATTTTTGAATAAGTGTGTCATACAACCAAGTAATTAGAAGGAAAAGGAAACCCAAAATCTACTAGAAATGCACAGCTCCACTGTAATACGACACGTTTCCAAAGCATGGTTAGTCTTAGTTCTTTAGTCTTTAGGACTTAGTAAAAATGCAATCATAAACTTAATACACATCAAATAACAAATTGAGTAGACAGAAACATAAATAATATTGGATTCATAAGCTGCACTGCTATAGTTGTTTATACACAGGGCTTAGGTTTGATTAGGTGGCATGGGATGATGCAAATGGCATTACAAATCTCTATTAATTGGGAAAGATTTCCCAAAGGATGTAGATTTTAAATTTCCCTCTAAAGGAGTTGAGTAAAACAGAATGTTAGAGAAGGGACTATTCTATGTGTGATAGCTTGTTTCCATTAATAGGTAAGAAAATATTAGGTATATTGGAGAGGAAATGCACTTTGGTAGTTTTGTGGGAGACCCTGAAATTCATAAGCATGATTGCTATGTACATACTGTGGTCAGTGATGGATTAAGTTAGGGTTGGGGACACACAAGGTGACTGCTGTGAAGGCGGCATTATGTAGAGGGAGCAATTTGAAACAGAAAGCCCAATGAGATGATGATAAAGATCATCATGAAGATGATAAATACACACCTCCATATATATATTTGGGGGTGTGTGGCTATTTGTGAGAGATCTCAGTTTATAAAATTTTTCCTATCTTTTTTGCTTTTAATGTTCACAAAATTGTTTAAGGCAAGTGTAATACCTTTAAAGGATGAAGAAATATGAAGTGACTTATGTCAAAAGTTCAGAAATATGGAATAGAGAAGGGAACTGAATCCAGGTTTTTCTATATCCAGTCCAAAGCTCTTTGGAGAGGAAGTAGCAGTGCTTGCTGAGGCGGCCGGGTAAGAGGACTTTTCCAAGGGTGGTGATTCATTCATTCCTGGATAATGTGACTCTATCAGCCACAAAAGGCCTTGCTCTCTTTCAGGCTGCTTCGTATTTCAAATTTGTCTATTTAGAAATATGACTAGAGAAGAACAAGGAATATTTTCACTTTTTTCTTGAAAGGAAACCCTGGTAATTACCAAGTTTTTTACTTCATGAAGTTGTTTTTGCCCACTGATATAAGAACTACTACAAAATTCCACGTTGTATGGTTTTCACCAACGAAAGCTTCTTAAATAGTATAATAACCACCTAATTTTGTTAAGCATTGCTGCCAATGGGAAAGATGCATGAGCGAAGACTGGAGGATCAGACCTAAGCTCTTGGGTGCAGTGGCCATAATAGCTCAGGAGTGGCAGGGAATTATTGATGGCTTCAGAGTCCTAAATATATCACCATTTTCAGTAAATTGAAAAAATATACCTTGAGTTGTAGTTAAATATATGGTCACTTGATACTGTCTATATGTAGCTTCATTGGGTATATAAAAAAAGAGATTGCCATTGAAAATATGCTAACCAACAGTTCTTACCCAGAGCAATCTTAATTTTATTTTTAGCTCATGATTTTATCATCAGAATAACTGATAACTGTGTTTGTAGACCCATCCATTCAAGAGAATAACGTTCTTACTGATTAGGATGGTTGTATAGAGGAGATTCGTTGTTGTCTATTCTGTGAGTGTGAGCTACGCTAATCTTGAAATATTTGGTGTAGCAAGAACAGTGCATAGTTTATGGGCTCATTCTAATGGTATGTTCCTGCATCCCTCATTTTTCATTGATGGTTATACTATTAAAGAATCAGTTCACAAGCACCAAATTAAAAGAAGTCAACTTGAATCCACAGCGCATATAAACTGCTTTGGTTCCAACTACAGTGCACTCAAATGGCTAAAAATCAAGTTTAATTTGATAACTGGTAGAGGAAATGCTATCTCAGAACTTTAGTCCAGTAAATATCATCTTCACTTTTTGGCAGACACTGTCTGCAACAATGTCCAAATGAGAAAAATTCCCCTAGTCAATCACACATTTACCAAAGATATTATAGCAAGTGAGGAGTTCTTAGTATGGATTCACCTTCAGAAGTCCAAAATAAGACTGAGATTTGTGCTGAGAAATAAAAAATGAACTAATTATTCAGCATAGAATGACCAAAAATATTGCAGAAGCATTTCTTGCAATTCCAGAATTTAATAGGGCGTATTGTTTATTATAAAAGATCATTGTTCTGAGTAACTTTTCCCAAGTTGTATAAGCTTGAGGATATTTGTGTTCAAAATCACAGTCCTTCTGTTGGCCACCATGAGTTTAATTTTACGCCACTCTTTTGGAACTTTGTCATTTATCACGAAGTAATCAGTTAATAATTTATATGTTGGTGTATTAGATCCTAAAACCCCTTTTTTGCTGATTATGCAAGCGATATTTAGGAGAACTAGAAAGGGAAATAGAATACGAGCTGAACAAAAGACAATTCAAAAAATAAGCTGATGTAAATGATAGCATTTTTTAATCCATCTCATTGATATTGTTTAAAGATATTTCTGTAGTTACTCAGATGCTTGCATGTCCTTATGCATAGTCAAAGCTGTTTATTTCACACTAAAGTATGAGCTCAGATGATTTTTCAACTTGTTTTTTTCCCCTAGACATTTAACAAAACCTGGTCACAAATAAGCTTTGGAGGAGAGTATTTTTCTTATTGGTGATTTAGATTGGATCTGAGGAAACAAAGGGTAATTTATAACTTTAATTTACTAAAAGCATGTGAATTGAATATGCTAGGATTCAATATCGGTACTGTGATGCTTAACTCCAGCTGTATCTGTCTTTGTGAATGGTGATTAAAAAAGGCAAATTTGCTTACATCTTTCCTTGCTGACACTGAGGTCATTGCTTTATGGGTTTGCTTTCATTTGCTCATCCATAGTAATTTCTATTTTTGGCTACTCTTGCAAAAAATTAGATCCCCTGGATCAAAACAGATATTCTCACAGTGCAATTGTAGCACCAGGCAAAAGCTACTGTATATGGAAAAAAAAGAAGAGGAAGAGGAATATGGCTGGTTTCATCATAAAATATAACCAATAACATTATGATACTTAACATGGAGAAAACATTTCACACGCTGCTCTTTGTTACCACATAAAAATGCCTTCATAATTGTTGTTCCTTGACACAAGGTCTTTATAAAAGAAATAATTTATTGTCCTACCTGTGACTGAAATAATGACTAAATCATTAAAGGAAAAGTCTACTAGCTCTTTCAGAGTAAATCTTCCACAACTTGCTATAGTGCTAATCGTAAGCATGTTATACAGTAAGTTAGCCCGAAGCTAAGTTAAGCAGACAGATTAGGACTGTAATATAGTATCAGGACTCATAAATCAAGCTTGCTTGCAGATTTCCTTTCACTTACTGCTCCTTCTTACAGTTCAGACAAGTCATAATTACACATCAGTAGGCACTGTGAACCGAGGAATGAGCTACAACATAACGCACAATAAACCCTGTCATATAAAAGCAAACTGGATAAAATAACAGAAGCAATACTCCATTTTACAACATCACACTAAAGAATTACACCGTGCCATTGTGTATTATTCTGATCAATCATGAATCCATCCACAATTGACAGCTCAGTGGGATAAAATTTACCATTGAAGAATGGTTCCCAGTTTTATTATTTTCTTGTTTGATTATACACATTAAGCACAAGACTGTGTGTGATTCTGAAAAGCCACAGGTACATAATATAACACTGCCCTGCACGCATTGCAATTAAATAAATTCTGCTAATGCTCTTTTAAAGCTTTCTTTTATTAGACATGCTTAAAATAATTCATACCGGATGAACTGTAAGTGGTTCTTTATTCATGTTTTATTAGTATTATAATTTTGAGTAATTATTCAGGTATTCTTGTTACCTTAGACCAAAGAGATGTTGACTCTGAAGTCTTTTCTGTTATTTTCAGGCTTAGATGATATTACCACTAAGCTCAAAGGACCCTCCTTTATCACTAGGTTTGAGCTGAACATTGAAAATGGGATTTAATGAAACATGAGCAAATATTGGTTGTTTCAATTCTAATAAAACATTTAAAAGAACTAATAAATGTTAGGTAATTGTTGAATGCTAATCTAAAATTGCTACTACCAGTTTTATTTTATAGTTGGAACTCAGCAGGAGGGGGTATATATTTTTTACATTATTTATCAAATATTGTTATGAGAGGCATGAAGGTGTTTTACCTACTGCACATTCATAAGAATGTAATTATAGTTAATATATTAATGATACTAGAAATATAAAGAAAATAATTTTAGAGCCAGAGAGCAAATTATATGGTACTCTGGAATTTCCTTCCAGATGTTACTGGCTTCACATTTTAACTATTATTCCTATGTACATGAAGGAAACCCTATTGAGAAATGAGAAGCTCACATAATGACTTTTATTTTAATTCTGATTCTTTTAATTTTTTCCCCCATAGGATACTGTTATGTAGATATTAGGATTTAGAGAGAAATGGGTAAATATAAGTTTGCAAAGGCTAATGGGGTGAGTGTGACCCAGTCCTATTTTATGCAAACAGTGACTTTGGAACCAAAAGACCTAAGTTGAGGCTTGAATTGGTCTAAATTCTACCATGTCCTTAAGAATCAGGGCCATGTTTTTGATGTCTGTCCACAAAACTTAATACTGTGTTTGGGGCATAGTTTTTATTTCATCCAGAAAAGAATGCCCTGATACCTCTCTGCTTCCAGAAGATTCTGCTCTAATCTCTAATGCAGCAATTAATTTGCTGCATATACTCATAATTAATATGAATACTCATATAGTGAATATATATATATATAATGGATTAAGTCTCATTTAATCTTCAGAAAAAGTGAACATATGTGTGTGTGTACATATATATATACATATATATATACACATATATATATGTATATATATATACACATATATATATACATATATATATATAAACTATTATTATTACAATTCTTACATTGGCAATTGCTTAAGGTCACACAGCTAGTAAATGGAGAGCCCAGGATCTGAAGCCAGGCAGTACAAGTAAGTCTGTAGGTCCCTGTAGTCACCATGGCCCACTGCCTGTTATCTTGGGTCAACCCTTTCACCCTTCCCAGTCATAGTAAATGTAATTCTCCTCTCCATGAAGAAGTTCCTGTCTAAATGGTTGAGGTCAAAGTCTGATGCCAGGCTAAGTCTCACACTGGCCAGGGTAGAATGCCATGGGACCTTAAACTGAGAACATTCTCCTAGAGGGACTTGGCCAGAGAGATCTGCTGGAGTATCTCTTTTAGGATTTGCTTGCATTTGTCCTTCCTGGTACTGTGACTTTATGGGTTTGCTTTCATTTGTTCATAATTTGGATTTTTTTTAAATGTGTTTGGTTTTTTGTTTGCTTGTTTTGTTTTGTTTTTGTCCAAACCTTTTGAAAGTCAGAGCTAGCCTTTTAAAAGGCTATTAACTATTTCTCCATTACAGAGAGATGAGTGCTTTCTGAATACCATAGTTGAAGACTACAATATTTTTTGGTAGAATTAGGCCAGAATAATTTCCTACATTATGGCTTGCTTTATTGAAAACATGGACATGCATGTGCGTTTTCTATTTTACGGCTACCCCAAATAATATTTAATTGAGATTGAATCAACTAGTCTATTTAGGCTCCATCACTCCAATATGTGAAGATAATGGTGAAAAATTAGTGACGTGGCACTGTGTCTAAATTAAAACACCTGGTTGATCAAATATTTGACATTCTATCTCTCAGTTTCTTATTGTTGCAGTGTGTCCTTAAGAAACTGAGGGAAGTCTATGAAAGCAAAGGACAGGCCTAGCTTCAGGAGAGGTAGAAGCCTTCATACAATTCTGAATAGAAACTGTTTGTATATAACCAAAATTATTCAGAGTCCTAACATTTTATTTTAGCAAAGAAATTTTGTCTCTCTCTTGTTGTGAAGCTTTGATGTCAGCTGCTAGTAAATACTGCAAGCAACTGTTAACTTTGCTATAATAAATGCAAGGGTTTTTTTTCTTTTATTCATTGCCTTAGTGAATTTAACAAAAGGTGAGTAGAAAATGGCAATAAAGGGAAGGACAAAAAGGCCAATGGCCTAAAAACTGAGAGGACAACACCTAAATAATTAAGATGCCTCTGTCTCTCTTGAGACCCATGCCCACAGTTAATTTATTAGAAATTGCATTTAATACCAGGATTGGCAACTTAAGTTGTGAACTCTTTAACTCCTCTCCAGTAAAGTGTAAATCAAGTCAACAATTCATGAAATAGTTCCTTTAAAATGACAGCAGATAAGGCTTTTCCTAATAATGAAATAGAGAATGTTAAGAAGTTCTAAAAAGTTTCAAATGGAGAAGCTAAGTAAAAAAGGATTAGTGGCTCTGTCAATCTGAGAGGTGGTGGAGGGTAATTTTGTCTTAAGCTGGAAATGTTGCTAACATCAGGAAAATTGGTATACAAAATACTATATGAGACATCTGTTAACTTGGTCAGCCAAATTAGAAAAAAAATCTTTAAAATTTCTAAATAGTCATCGCTTTTCAATGGGTATCTGTGTGGACAGCAAAATTCTATAAAATACAGTTGAAGTTCAACTGTATGAAAAGGACATTTTGGCAATAGAAAATATCTGTTGGAAAATATGGATTCTGAAATAATGAGTAATTCATAGTTGATTTGCAGTTTGGAGATTATATAAGTATATGCAGCCGTAGGGTTAAAAAGGCTTTTTCTTCCTCATTTATTTTCTTAGAAAGTGTTATTATCCAGCCTGTTGAAATAGCAACTATGCAAATTTCTCATGCTTTATAAATGTTTTACCAAAGAATTCTCAACCAATCAATTAATTCTATTTATTTATTTTTCCTGATGGTCAGCAGATGAGTATCTAGTGAGAATGGTTCTTTTCTTCTAAGTTGGTTTGTAAAGACTGTAAATTCATTTCCTGTAGAAGTCTTTTGGAAAGGGAGAAAATAGTGAATCACATAAAAGGAATTGTTTTCTCCCCCCAAAATGTTCTTTCTCTTCTTCATAGCTGGAATCTGGAGGAGAGAAAAATATAGAATAGCTTTGGAATGAAAATTTATTTAATAAAAATTGCTTAGTAGGTATTGAAAGTATTTAGCATGCATTTGTGTTAATATTCATCTTAAACTGTCTCCAACTTTTTTTTTTTTTTTGTGAGATGGAGTTAAGCTCTTCTTACCCACGCTGGAGTGCAGTGGCATGATCTTGGCTCACTGGAGCCTCTGCCTCCTAGGTTCAAGCAATTCTCCTGCCTCAGCCTCCCGAGTAGCTGCGATTACAGGCACCTGCCACCAGGCCTGGCTAATTTTTTGTATTTTTAATAGAGATGGGGTTTCACCATGTTGGCCAGGCTGGTCTTGAACTCCTGACCTCAGGTGATCCACCCGCCTCGGCCTCCCAAAATGCTGGGATTACAGGCATGAGCCACCGTGCCCGGCCCTCCAACTTTTATTTATATAAATATCTGCAGGTGTAGGAAGCTGAGATAAAGTCTTTGAAACATAGAATCTCAATTTTAGAAGGAACATTTGAGAGTCATCAACATATAGATGACCTTTAAAGTTAAGGAAAATGGATATATGTAGCAAAAATAACACACACAAAGTTCTATGGCATCCACCACTACAAGGTTGGGAAGAGGAAGAACAGCTAAAAAAGCATCTGAAAAAAGCAAGTAGGGAGGTGGGAGGAAACTGAAAACAGCGTGGCATCCTGGAAGCTAAGTGAGAAAAGTGCTCTCAGATCAAACATGATAGAAACTGAGAGTTCGGCACTGGATTTAGCAATATGGAGACAATGGGTGATTCGAAGAAAGGCAGCGTCAGCGATGTTTCTAGTAAAATGTCCATACAAGTAGGCTTGAGAGAGAATGAGAGTAGAAAAATTGGTGACAGGAAATTTGAACAACCCTTATGAGGAACGTTGCTGGAAAAGGGAGTGGAGTGAGGGGGCAGTAGATGGAAAGGGAAGGAGAGTATATAGAGAGATTAAGATGGAATAAATAGCATGCTTATACAAAGGCAGGAGTGAGCAGAGAGAAAAACAGATGTTGTAAGGAAAGGATAATTGACGGGATGATACATGAGGGTGAGAGAAGACTGAGTCTAGTATATAAATGGAGAGGTTGAATTTAGACAGAAACGCTGGTTTAAAATACAGCTATGCCTATGCCTATCTGTATCTCTATCACTCTAACTATCTACATGTTAACGTCCATCACACATACATACATTAATAGTAACTAAGGGCAAACTATATGATTTCAGTTGTTGGTAGGTGAGTGGATGTGATAATCGGAATTTGTCTCTTCTTACTGCTTCAGGTTTCTCAATGAAACGGGAAGCCCAACGATTAGCTAAGTGTAGGATCAGGGAATAAATGTTGGAGTATTGTATAGAGAGAAGGATACAATAATCTGGGAGGGTGGGATGAGATAAACAGAGCACGTTTGCCTGATAACATTGAGGTTAGATGTGTTGTTTATGAACTTAAGGCAAGAACAAGTAGCAGGTTATATGTTTCTCTCAAGCCCTAGGAAGGCATAGAGTAGGAAAAGAATTGGATTGATGCACTCTTGTGGTTTTCCAGAGAGTATAATAAAGCAGCAAGCGGGGCAAGGGAGTTGGGATTGTAAACAAGGAAATGATTACACTGATTGACCTTGGAAATCAAGCTGGTAAGGACTGATGTGATCCCCTGAAACATTTTCCAAAATGGTCTCCTTGACTGCTTCCTCCTCTTCCTCTCTATCCTCTATGCTGCCATAAATTATCTGTTCTATATAGTGCAGAATATATCATCCCTCTCTTTTTCTTAGGAGATACTGTAAACTTCTTAGCATTACATTAAATTCCAGCTTCAGCTCGCACCTTGCTTATATCTCAGTCTAGTCTCATCATTACCCAATCATGGCATGTCCTTTTAAACATGTTATTTTGTTATATTGTTCTCTTTACTGAAAAGTTTCTAGCCCATATTCATCCTGAAAAATCCAAAAGGAATTTATCACTTTGAACAAATTTTCTCAATTTTTTTTTTCAAGGCACAGATTATTCTTCTTCCTTTATGCCCATTGCATCTGGTAAATATATTTTAAGACACTTTAACACTGCATAGTAAACATCTAGTGACATGTCTGAATCATTAGATTTAAAGCTGCAGACTGGATATTATTCATATGTTTTATTCCTGTGGCTCCAAAAATTCTTGGCTTATAATTATCAGTAGGTATTTTTAATGAATAAATACTTAAAGAAGCAGACTAAAATGGAGCCATATGGTGTTGTCTAGTGACCTTCAGCCTTGGGTAAAAAATGGAGGAGTTCTGATTTAATATGATAGATATAGATCTTAACTCAAAAAAGAAACTATGAAATATAAGGTACAAATATGGCAGCTCTGCTTTGGAAGTATTGTGCCATACTGTCTAACAGGGAGAAGTAGGAGGGTGTCAATTCTAAAGGCAACTACAATAGACCTGAGAAGTTATTGGAGAACTATGTCTGTGGCCTAACGAATACAAACACACACATCATCCTTGCAGCTATGATCACTGTAAGTTGCTGTCATCCCCTCATTCAATGGGATTTGTGCTTTTCCCTAGATTGCATTAGCATTAGGGTACGTTGTTGCCCTTTAGCATTTGTGTATATGATTGTCTGCTTACTTGGTGAAATGCACAGTTTCTTTTGGTGAAGTGTCTCCCGTCTACTGTGCCTCAGTTTCCCTTGACAAAAAGTGGTGGTGATGATTTTTAGTTCTGTCTACTTACAAATGCTGGGAAATATAAGTCAACAGATGGATATGAATGTCTTTGAAAGTGCCAAAAATACAAGGAATTATTGTCTGAAACAAGAAAGAAAATCTGAAATATTCGTTGTGTTGTGAGAAATGGAGAGTTAGGAACACACTGCCTTCATCTACTTAATAAATAAATGCTAATTTAATAAACAAAGCAAATAGTTATGTCAAATCTTTTACATTAGTCCAAAAAATACACTCAAAGGGAAAATGAATAACTTTAAGCTTTAGCTATTGAATAACTATGGAGAATCTGGCAACAGCACTAATGATTGGAATGTTCCCACAATATCAGTCATGGTGTTTTTATTTTTAATTTAATTTTTTCATGGTATATGAAGCAGTGAGCTAACAACATAGTGAAGGTTTTTCTCAAATAAGGGAGAGTTTTTAGGCTTTGAAAGAAATTAGATTACCACACAGAGTTTAAATAACCTAGGCAAAACTTAAATCAGAGAGAAAGGAAGCAAAGTTCAGAGAGGGTAAATGGATGTTTTCAAAAGCTGGAGAATTGATAAGAAAAGGGAGTAACACAAATGCGCTAAATTACCCAAGCAAATTCATTCAGCATTCTAGGCCTGAAAGGTCTAAAAGAAAACATAGCTATCTGAAAAGCAACCAGTGTGTCCGGGTGGCTTCTGTCACTAGGCTCATCATTAGGGTGTTATGTGTGGTAATTGCAGGCTAAACTTTTGTGTGCTAGTTGAAAGAGCTGTGACCAACTATAGTTTTCAACCTATAGTATAGTTGTTTGGGGACTTCTCACTATGTCTGACATGTATTTGAGTGAAGTCCTTGATTATGTGTCTGGCATGTTGCATTTTCAATCTCGTCTTCTAATTCGCCTTTTATATTGGTATATATCTGAAAAAAGTAAGAGGTAAAGCAAGGAAGAGGAAGGAGTGCTTTCTTCTCTAAACTAAATAAAATGTTTAATACAGATAAGAAAAGACACCTAGCAAAATAAATATCTAAGGGGGTTGGTTCTAATTAGGAAATGATGTTTGGAGGTTATTGTAAATAAAAACATTAAGTTGGAAATCATATAGACACATGATTTAAAAAATACACTCATTTTCCTGTGTAAAAGCTTCAGAGAATTTGATGTCATTTGATGTAAGAGGAGGGAGAATTTATAAACTGCAGGGATTTTCAATTACAAACCTGAGGAATTCTACCTCCCACATGCTGTAACTCTATATCGTAAAAGAGATTACGCCTAAATTACTAACTAAATGCTCGTGTGCCAAAGATGGCCTACAAGCATGGCACATTTGATAATTACAGTGTCTTAAAAAATGTTGAGTGGATTGCCAAGACTTAAAAGTTGAGAGATTTTACATTTAAAACAAATCTAAATTTCCAGAAAAAAAAAAAAGAGATCTCAAGAGCTGGCAACACCGACCACACATTGCTCCCGGGCAGCAAGTAAGTGGATTTCATAATAGTTGATCCTTTACATGAGGCATCCATTTCCTTGATCTCTTAGATTGTCCTCATTCCCTCTTTGTCTTATAAGGTGCTGACTTCGCTCATTTAAGTTCCCAGACTGGCACCTGTTAGCATCTGAGATTGAAACCTTGTCCTTAATGGGATCATGACCTCCTTTGACAAAACTTGACTTTAAATCACATGCTGCTATGTTAAAACTTGTAGCGTATAATGAGGGGCCTGTGCAGCTGCAGAAATAAAAGCAAGATGTTACGTGTCAATTGTAATTGACACCTGCCAAAAAAGTGTGACTTAGTTTTTTAATCATATCAATTGAGTTATTCCTTAGGTAGAAATGAGGAGGTTAATACAGATTATTTAATGAAAAATTGTTTGTATTGATTAAAACAAAGGCTAACTTGAAAGTAGATCAGCATTTTGTAGTAAGAAAGATGATCATTTAGACATAAGGATTGGGAAGCTAATAGAAATGGTTATATGTAAACAAAGAAAACAGAAAAATAAATTTTTAAAAGCACCTACATCAAAACCTAGACACAATGGTTTCAAACAAAAGACATAGATTTAAAAACTGCCACAATACTATTTCTAAATAAAATCAAGCCGATTTTTAGAAATATAAAATGATCATATGTTATTTTTCCCATTTGAACCAGATTTCTCGGATTAAATTGCTATTTAAGTTGAATTTGATAAAGATAAAATCCATAAATGCATGCAGAATATATTCATAACAATATTGCACCTTGAGGATAAAGTAGATGAAGTAGATAATATGATATTTTTTATTGGACCAATAAATAAAAGACAATTCTCGAGCCCCAGAGTCTCAAGTACATTTTCACTTTAAATGAACACACTCATGAAGCATTTTATTGCAACAATTTCTTGTGGGAATATATAGGTAAACGGCTGCAAGAATGTGAAAGTGCATTGTAAATTGTAAAGCTCTATTTAAATATTCTTCATGTTTTTAGCATAGAACTGGACCTTGTTATGTCTTCTCTGTGCCCAGATTAACCTCTATTTTACAGAATTAAAATAAACTGCAAGAGAAAGGACCGGTAAATATTCCATCACATGGAGATTAGACTTACAGTATGACAAAATCGTTGATTTAGCAGCAATATGAATAAATATAATTATATACTCATAATGGCAATTTGCATAATTATTATACAGTTATACTTTCAATTACATGATTGTAATACTAATAGCTAACATGTATTGAGTGCTTACTATGTGCCAGTAAGGACTTTGCCTGTATTAACTAATTTAATCTTCACACCAATCCTAAGAGTTTGAAACCATTATTATTTGCATTTAAAGAAGGGGAAATTGAGACAGGGAGGTTAAGTAAATTCTTTGAGATCACACAGTTAGAAGTTGGCAGAGTTGGGATTTGAACCTAACCAATCTGGTTCCAGAGCCTGTGCTCAATTAGATGGAAAATTTCAGGGCAAGGGGCAAAGACTTAACACTATGATTAATTTGTGTTCAGTCTCACTCAAGGATTATAACTTTGAAAAACTCCTTAATTTATCTGCATCAGGGTTGTGTCTTCAGTGATAATAAAAGCAAGTTCTTAGGTATGCAATAAATGTTAATTAAATTACATAGAAAACATGTAACTCTATATATGAATCTGTATGTCCAAGAATAGGGGGTCAGATATTGTTACTATTATAGCTTATTAACAATGTTCACATGGTTATTAATAATAATAATTGGTTGGCATCTAGCATAGTGATTTACAAATGAAAAGGTAATTAACTTTCACAAAAAAATTGTAGGAAAGGAGAGGTTAAATGTCCTTCTTATCTGTAAGATCTGGCCAAAAGTTATCATAGTGTTATAGAGTCTAAATAAAATGCTGGCTAACACCTTTTATGGTAGTTGGGCAAAATGTGGTTACTTGCCCAACTGTACATGAAGGTAATGGCCTTGCAGATTTTGCCCATGCCACAAAAGTAGCAGAGCAGCACAGTGTGGATCACTTGGTGGATACTGTGGGTAGAAGTGTCTGGTGACATCCACAGAGAATAGGGCAATCTTCCCCATGTCCCCATACAGGTATAGAAATTGAAGGAGGCATGGAGGGAGAGAGAAAGACACAGAGAGAGAGAGAGAGAGAGAGAGAGAGAGCCTTAGCCCAAAGATATATCAAATTTATCATGAGAGAAGGCACACACAGTTTTGTAGTATGCACCAAGTGATCAAGGACAAAGGGAGTATGGAACATTTGAGTAAAAACTAGAGCACCAGTGAATGAGGAATGGGGATTTCAAAAGGTGTCAGCAGAAAACAAATGCCTCAGCCCAAGGTCTGCCCTCTAATTGATGCCATATGAGATCCTCTGAACAATACGTGCTATAGTAGAGGAAGGGGAATACAACATGATTTGGATGCATTCTAACCTAAACGAAAAGAGAACGAACACTGACGTTATTGGATTTACCAGAAACTGATTAGGTTACAGGGTCTGTCATCAGGTTTCATGGAATCTTCAACATTTAATTCTTGACATACGTAATGGTAAATCCCTTGGAAATTATAGATACGGTAGGTATAATAGTATAGGTCTAATTAGAAAATCTGAGTAAATCAGCATGAAATGATTAGATCTAAAAATAAGAATGTTGTGCATGACACATTATAAAAGTAAATATAATTTGTACAAAGCAAGGAAAAATATAGAAACACATTAATATTAACAAAAATATATAACATATATATATGTTGTATATCCGTAGGTATAACATATCCCTAGGGATATATATGTTATAAAACTAATCAAGAACACAGGATCCATATGAAGATAACTACTGCATTTTTATTGAGAGATTGAAAATTAAGTATATGAAAAAGATGTCTATGCTTTTATAAGGAAAGACCATGATATCAAATCTTGTTAGTTTTGAATCAATTCATTTCAATTAAAAATAATTTATATTGGCCAGGTGTGGTGGCTCACACTTATAATCCCAGCACTTTGGGAAGCCAAGACAGAAGGATCGTTTGAGGCCAGGAATTTGAGACCATTCTGGGCAACATGGCAAAACATTGTCTCTATAAAAAATACAAAAAAATTAGCCAGATGTGGTGGCACGTTCCTGTACTTCCAGGTACTGGAGAGCTGAGGTGGGAGGATCACCTGAGCCCAGGGAGGTTGAGGCTCCAGTGAGCCATGACTATGCCACTGCACTGCAGCCTGGGTGACAGAGTGAGACCTTGTCTAAAATAAAGAAACAAACCAACACTTTTATCTATTGGCGAAAATGTCCCCAATTTTATTTAAAAATAATGAGTAGGCCGGACATGGTGGCTCACACCTGTAATCCCAGCACTTTGGGAGGCTGAGGCCGGGGGATCACCTGAGGTCAGGAGTTCAAGATCAGCCTGGCCAACATGGTAAAACCCCGTCTCTACTAAAAATACAAAAATTAGCCGGGCGTAGTGGCGGGCACCTGTAATCTCAGCTACTCGGGACATGGAGGCAGGAGAAGGGCTTGGGCCGGGGAGGCGGAGGTTTCAGTGAGCTGAGATCCAGCCAGTGCACTCCAACCTGGGAGACTGGGCGAGTCTCTGTCTCAAAAATAAATAAATAAATAAATAAAAATAATTGGGTAATATAAACAATGGAATTCTGAAGATAAAAGATAATTAGTACAGGAATCTTATTACAAACTACTAAAATATATACTAAATGATAACAATAATTATCACAGTGAAGAAGTGGTTCTGGAACAAAAAAAAAGAATGTCTATAGAATAGAGAAGAAAGGTCAGAAACACAAACTCACGTACGTATGTGTGCATATGTGTGTGTGGGTATGTGGGTATACACCATTTATATACATAATATATGTCTGTATTCGTAGATGACAATATTATTCCAAAGTAGTGGTACAAAAATATATTTCATAAATAGTACTGAGATAATGATTAATTATCTGAAAAAATTGGATCCTTACTTTATTCCTTGAATCACAGTAATTTTGAGTTGGTTATGAGAGTTAAATATCAAAGAGTAATGCCCAGAAGAAGTAAAAAAAAAAAAAAAAGGTTGGTGTTTTTGAAGGTAAAAAGATTATCTTACAGTATGGTATTACAAATGAATAGATTGATTTATTTGACCATATAAAAATTATTCTTGTTCTGATGAACAAAGGAAAATTTCCACCATGAACAAAGAGAAAGGCAAATGACCTAATGGGGGAAATATTTGCTACGTATGTATTATATTTGGATGATATCTTTAATGTATAAAGAAGTTCTGCAACTAAGTAATGACAAAATGAATGCAATAATAGAAAAGTAGGAAAATGCATAGAAAAAAGTTCAACTTTCTTAGTAAGCAATATATTGGTTTTTGCTTTATCAAATTAACAATATTTTATGATAACATCTATTTTGGCTAAGGATAAGAAAGGTCACTCTAATACATTGCCAGGAGCAAGGTAAATTAATACATGCTTTCTAGAGGATAATGTGGTAATATTTTTTATAAGGCCAAAAAGAACATAGTCATTGACCCAATAATTCCATTATTTTTAAGGAACTAATCAGACAGTTATATAAATGATTTTCATTAAAATGTTGTTTATAATAGTAAGAAAACATGAAACAATCTAAACGTCCAGTAATAGTAAAACAAATTTTAGTAAAATTTGCACAATGGAATATCACCAAAATGAATATTGATCTTTTGACATGGAAATAAGTGTACGTGTGTGAGTGTGCAAATGTATGTGTGTGGTATAGATGTAATTTTGTTAAGTTGATTTTAAGTAATACTGCATCACACACATACACACACATACATACACATACAGAAACACACAGAGAATATAAATACACATATACATGTGTTCATTTGCATATAATTTACATATATCACATACGAGACATTTAAATATCACATACACAAATCACTATATATAAATATACATATATACACATATATATATACATACATATACATATATATACACATACATACTATAGCTGTACACACAAACATACTATAGCTGTACTCTTTTATTTGCCATGTATCCATATATTGGTATCTATGCATACATATATATATATATATATATCCTCAAATGATATAATCCATAGATATTAACCATGATTATGCTTGTGTAAGAGGAATAGTTATGACTTTTACATTTTCTTTATGCTTATTTATGTCTTTAAACTTTTCTACGATAGGCTATGTAGAATATTGCTATATAATTAAATAAATAATGTGAATAATTTTTTATAATGAGTTAGTAAGTAACATCTTGGTTCTTTCACATGTGTGATCAGTGCAATTCTGATTACATTTTGTGCTTGGATGAAAATAAAAACTTCATTTCTCATTTTAATCAACCCCTGCATTAATCTCTGGCAGTAGTTGGGTATACTGAACTGTTCTTTCAATGATAATCTTGTGAAAGGTAACTGTTTTCCCAAAAATGCATCACCCTAATGAACCACCCATTGATACAGGACTGTTACTCATTAGCCGCCTTCTATACACTAAGATTTGAAAACCAGGGAAGGAGAGTTTAAAACTGACACAAATTCCCAGTAATGAAGTGCACTAAGATTTCTTTCCCCCAAATTACAATGAGGAGACCTCTTTGGATTTATTGTAAATTCTCAGTGAATATTCTCCATTAACAACATACCATTTTTCTTTGACTGCAGTGCATGTCATCCTTGCCTAGTGGGAACCCTAATTTGCTTTAAATTGCCAAAGTGCTCATTATGGAATGCTTAGTAGCTAGAGTTTGTACATAATATTTGAAAATCAACCTTAATTTTTCTGCCTGAGATGAACACTTGGATTCCACAGTAAACATAATCAGAGATTTACAGAAACCTAGTGAACTCTGTTTATTATACTTGTCTGGAATAGCTACAGAAAAGGTCAGAGGTCCAACATCTTCATGCAGAGACAGATCATGTTCTAGCTGGTTCTGAGGAGAAAAAAACAGTAGGTGATGCTTTAATGAATGGCTTATCATGTGAAACACACTATGTGATAATAGCAGTGTTGGTAAGACAAGAAGGAAGTTTTTTCTTTCCTTCTTTGTAAGGGCTTAGTTTTACATTGCTTTAATGCTAACATTTCAATAGTACCATATAAAACAGTTCACTGAGAAACTTAAATTCTGCAATGAGTCAAGTGATTGATTTCATAAACTAAATTAGAAACTTTTAAATTTTATTTTATTTTGGCAAAAGCTGGCCTTTTATAAAATGTAAGCATCTGGGCTAGAAACTTTTTGATTTCTTGAATTTATGATTTTCTTTTATGCTTCCCTAGGCCTTAAGTGAAGAAAACAGGAAAGAGGCCTCCCAGAGGTGGAAGTTGTATTGTAAAAAGTGGTCTTATGTTTTAAGATAACTTGTGGGAATGATAGGAAGGATGTGAATAGGCATCCCTTGTTTTTGTGAGTTCGTTTTTTCAGAATGCAATGAACCAATTAGGACATTTAGCTTACCAGATTCTCCTGACTTCAAACTACTCTCCTCCCCTCATTCAGCCAGCAAAACAAGAATAGGCTCAATGTCTAAAAGAAATTGTTGCATACCAATCAGTTCCTCTCTAACTTTTATTTTATACATTTTTATTTTAAATTCAGGGTACATGTGCAGGTTTGTTACATAGGTAAACATGTGCCATAGTGGTTGCTGCACCTATCAACCCATCACCTAGGTATTAAGCCCAGCATAAATTAGCTATTTTTCCTAATTCTCTGCCTCCCCGCTACCAAACTCCCCAACAGGCCCCAGTGTGTGTTGTTCCCCTCCCTGTGTCCATGTGTTCTCATTGTTCAGCTTCCACTTATACATGAGAACATGCGGTGTTTGGTTTTCTGTTCCTGTGTTAGTTTTCTGAGAATAATGGCTTCCAGCTCTATCCATGTCCCTGCAAAGTATGTGATCTTGTTCCTTTTCATGGCTGCATAGTATTCCATGGTGTATACGTACCACATTTTCTTTACCCAGCCTATTATTGATGGGTATTTGGGTTGTTTCCATGTCTTTGCTACTGTGAATAGTGTTGCAATGAACATATGCATGCATGTATTTAACTTTGATATGCATAGGAATAATGTAGAGACCATTATTGTGCAGGTCTGCGATTGATTCTTCATTTCTAACATGCTTCTGTGAGGGTGATGCTGCCTGTCAGCAGACCATTCTTTGTGTAGAAAGATTGTACACAGGTTAACAAAAAAAAACAGTAATTGAAAGAATAATTCCATGTGTCAATAGATCAATAGAACAGAATGGAGTGATGAAAAAGGGGTCCTAATATAATGAGAACTTAGTAAATAATAAAGGTAGATATTTTCATCAATGAGGAAAGAAGGATTTAGCCCACCATTAGTGTTGAGGAAATGGATCAGATCTTTGATGCAAAGAATATCATCTTCCTCTTTCACATCAATACTAAAGTCATTGCCAGGCATATTGCAAAATCTTGTGTAAAGTTCAATACTATAAAAAAGTCAAAGCATAAAACTATAAAATAAGCATAAACTCAGAATGGGGCGTAATTTAAAGTATAAAACAAAGGCAAAACTACAAAGGATAACAATTGATATATCTGACAAAATACACATAAACTTTTTTATGTTAAAATAATTGTGAGGTAAATAAGTTATGAACATATTTACAGAGTGTAACATTTCTAGTAAAAAATTGATTATTGAAAGTTTCTATCATATGACTCAGTAATTCTACTTATTTTAGCAAAATATTCCAAGATGTGTATAAAGGTATTTTCATATAGATATGAACCATAGCATAAATGAGTATATTAAAAACAGAAAATATCCAAATTAAATAATTGGGAATGAGCTAAAATGTCTAGACTGTGAAATACTAGGAAAATATATTGAGTGATAGTTTAAACGAGTATTTAAAATTATATGGAATTTTCATGGTTATTTTTAAGTGTGAAGTAGATTATCAAATTATATTAAATGTCTGTATATATACAAGTATGCATATAATACATATAAGATATTATGCATATGCATGTGTTTACATATACCAATGATGATTAATGGATTGATAGATAGATAGATAATAGTAGGTAGATAGATATACCCACATATATATATATCCACACAGAGGAGAAAACATTAGGAAAAGACATATTTTAACAAACATTTGCTCTGTTTAGTGGGATTACAGGTGATGCTATTTTATTCTTTACATTGTTCTATATATCCAAATTTTCTGTAACAAAATGCATTATTTTTATAATCATAATAGGGACTATAGTAGTTCTTTTTTAATAAGTAAGAACTACGAGCCTAGAAAATATATGTTTTTCATAACGCAACAATTTTAGTCTGGATAAAACCAAAATCAAAGAAGGCCCAGAGCATTCTCTGCCCTAATAGTAGAACCTCTCACCCCTAAATAATGCAAAAGGGACTCCAAGGGACAAGAATCCAGATTTTCCTTAATTTTTGATTTGTCAATCATAAGCCATTATTAAACATCTACGATATGTCTAGCACTCTGTAAATGCATCTGTTTGTAAGACTATTGTAATGAGTTAACATGACAAAATATACATACTTGGAAATCAAAAGATTTTTTTGTTACAGTTAAGGACACATTTCCACTTTGAGATTTTTCTGATTTGCCTATTTTAAAACACAGTTGTGTCAGGAAAAGAAATACCTTTGATTTAGTGAGACCACAGATGTGATGACCACTGTGCATATGTTATATATAAATACATAATCTTTTGCAAAGTAGATATTATCATCGTCATGTTGCAGATTCAGTAATTGAGATTTGTTTAACATCTCAGAAGAAAGAACCCCATCCGTCTAGGACTATAGCCAGTGTTCTTTCCTTTATGCTAAGTTGCCTATTGTTAGAATTTTTACTTAATAAACAAGGAAAAGCAAGAAAAAAAAAAAAGAAACGTCCTATGCTATTGAGTGTTATGGATTTGTTACCAGGTGCTAGGTCTGTACAGCTTCTGGGGATAGTCTGTCCTGATTTCTTAGCCTAACAGTCCTCTGTCTGTCCAGGAGCAGGGATCAGGCATTAATTGAGTTATTTCGAGTCTGTTTTGTGACTATAGATGTCCTCTAGGAAAAGTGCCGAATGTGTTCTTTGAGGATCAGTCATTTATTAAACTTCTCACACACTTTAGAGAACTAGTAAACAAATGGGAGCAAATTGTGACTAAAGAGACAAACCTTACGGTGTCTTAATTATTAATATTTATAAAGAGGCTAAAGAGGTCATGGAAATGTCTTCTCTGATGGACCAGTACTTCTGCTCCAGGTTATAAGGGAACAGGTGTGTGGCAGTAGCTCAAATATCTTGAACATATTTTTCTCCCTGCTGCCAAATACTTTTCACCAAAAAATAGGAAATTAATTTTTAACATGTTGCTTAATAAAAGAACCAACATGTATTTTAACGTGGAAAAAAGTCACTGTTGAAAATTGGCACTGAAAGAGTTAAGATGGGTCTAATGCAGGCCCTCCAGCAACCTACGGGAGAGTAACTTTGCCACTTCCTTCAGTGCACACTCAGAACAATTGGGTGTCCTTTGTTGCTGTTCTGGAATCATATGACCAGTCTTGGTTCTGCCCAACTGCTTCAGCAAGAACATGTTCTGTGGGTCTAGGGTGCTCTTAGGCCAATTATGTGCTTTATTTTCAATCTCAACCTTTATTTTCAAGCTCAATCTAAACCTGCAAATTCCACTTGTTTTCACTGATTTATGACTAACTTCTCTGAATTCATTAAACCCTTCCACCCAGTTCCACTCATTTACACAAAGAACATTTGACACACTGATTTGGATATCTTGCACATGGAAGGGAAAATTATCTTTCTGAGAACATTCTAGTTTTGCAGTTTTCTTATTTCAAAAAATATTAAAGTGAATATTTTACTAAATTGTATTACTATTAACAATATATTATAAATAGATGCATAATAAAGATTTATGAGGTATATAATAATATATATTATATAATATATAACATACTATAGATTAATTTAATACTGTCTAATATATTTTATTAATATTAAAGTAATTTATATCATGCCCAGAATGGGACAGTAGGTATAAGTTTAGGGAAATTAGTATAGTTTGGTGGATAAGATGGTGAGTTCTGGAGCTAGAAACATAATTTTAAAATTCTAATCTGCCATTTATTTTTCAGCGTGACTTGGGCAAATTACCTAACTTCCTCTATTGCTTTGTTTACTTAGCTTATAAATGGACATAATGATGGTACCTATCTCAAAGTTTTGAAAGAAGGATTAAATAAAAATAATGCAGTGCTTGGAATATAATAGTCTCTCAAGCAAAGTTAGCTACTATTAATATTCTCTGAATTCTCATGGATTATACTACATTTTGGAGGATACACACATAAACACAGAAAGACATGGACTCCTACTTAGGAAAACTTAAATTCTATCCGAGGACACAAAAAGATAAACAAATTGCTTCATCACAATATGGCAAGTGCTATGCTAGATGCACGACCTGGGTCTATGGGAGCACAGAGAATTCACATTGGCCCTGACTCTGGTCGGGGGAGGATTCCTAGAGGGGACAGCATTTCCCAAGACTTGAAGGAAAACCAGGCATTATTGAGGTAAGTAAAATACTTTGGAACATAAAAAGGCATATGAATGAAATGTACAGGATTTGGGAATTGATGTGGGACAGTTTCTGGATTTGCCTATCATATGGTCCTGGCAGTACCCACTGCCAGATGTAGGGCTACTGGAGGATATTTATGATGGGGAAATTAAATCTATCTACAGTTTGGGACATGTTAATTTAGTTCCGCTTGTGACACAGTCAATTAAATGTATCTGGTGGGCATTTAGAGTCAAAATATCAGGGTCAGTACTGTCACAGTAAATTTGAAAATCTTCAGAATATAGGTGGTAGTTGAAACCACAGAGCAGATGAGATTTTGTTGTTGTTGTTGTTAGGTAAAAGAAATGGATGAGGAATAAAATTTTGGGTAGAAATCAGCTTCAGATATCAAATAGAGGAGAATTTCTCAACCTCACCCCTAATGATGTCTTGCACTGAATAACGTTTTGTTGTTGTTGCGGGAGGCTGTCCTATGCAATACAGGATACCTGGCAGTTTCCTTGGGCCTCTTCTCACTAGAATCTAGGATCATTCCCTGCCTTCTCTGGTTATAGGCATGTGTCTCCACACATTGCCAAATATCCCCCAGAGGACAAAGTCACCTCTAGTTTGGAACTGATGAAACAGAAGAAGGGAAATTGTGAAGTAGAAGAAGAGGGATTTTCAGCATGGTAGGAAGAAAACAGCATTTTAATATTCTTGAAAACCACAAGGACAAATACTTTCAAAACACAGAATATTCATTGGTTTTTAAAGACAGGTAGTTTTAATCTTGGACAATGAAAACCGTTACTTAGATGTGTCAATATGAATGTCTGTGATTGAATTTGCCAGAGTAAATTCAGATGCATATGGAAGCCAGTTTATAATGGGTCAAGAGATGGCTGGATTGAAAGAGAGAACATAGAGACAATAAAAGTAGAAGAATCTTTTATGAAGTGTAGCTGAGATGGAACAGTAGAAAATAAGGCACTTGTGAGTGAGGTTACACGCACAGGGTGGAATTCATTTTGGTAAGAGAGGGAATGGGGAAGTTGAGAGTGAAAAGGAAAGAGAAGAAAACTGATGCAGCAAATCAGGCAAGGTGTGAGATCAAGAGATTAGGGGAGAGGCTGATTGGGAGCACTTCATTCTTTCAGCCTAGAGGAAAGAATAGCTTAAGTTTAGTTATCTTTTGCTTCATAACAAATTATCCCCAAACTTAATGGTTTGAAGTGACAATACTACTATCTCTCAGCTTCAGCACATCGAGAACTCAGATGCATCTTTGCTGAGTTCTCTGCTTCAGTTCTCTCACAGGCTCTAGCAAAGTTGTGGGCTAGGACCTAAGCCATCAAAGATCTACCTGAAAGGATATCCTTTCAAGATCACACAGCTGGTTCCTGGCAGGGTTTAGTTCCCTGTGAGATCTTGGACCCAAAACCTTAATTCCTTGCTGGTTACTGGAGGCTACCCTCAGTCCTTTGCCCTGCTGCTCTCTCTAGGCAGCTTATAACATGGCAATGTTCTTCATCGAAGTGAGCAAGCCAAGGAGAGTGACATAGAGAGACAAAGAAAGCGAGAGCAAAACAGAATTCTGTTTTCTGTAATCTAATATCCAAAAAGATATCCCATCACTTTTGTCATATTCTGTTCCTTAGAGGCAAGTCACTAGGTCCATGCCATACAGGAGAGGTAGGGATTACACAAGGGCCTGAAGACCAGCCGTTGTTAGACTCCGTTTCAGGAATGGTATCCCACAGTACGGAAACAGGAGCATATTTGTAAAAGAGGGGCACATAAAGCTGAGAGATTTCACACAGGATGGCCTCAAATTTCTCAAATATGTCTCTCTGAAGGTGAAGGGGAAAGTGCTGACTAGAAGGCTGAGGAATAACATGAAGATTTGTAATATCTGCTGAATGAAACAGAAAAACTCGACCAAGAGCAAGAACAAGTAAAGAGTCTTGAAAGAGCTAACAGATCAGATATGGTCAAGGTCAATTAAGATTTTTGGCATCAATTTATAATTTGGGGGTTTCCTGTAGCAGGAATCACCATCCAGGTACAGAAAGAAGAAAATGCTGATTTTTGGAACTCATTTATGACTGGAATTTATTCAGTGGTCACTGTAGAAGAATAGGTAGCCAGCATATTGAAAGACAGTGAGAGGCTATCCGCAGTTTGGCATCATAAACTCTAGGCAGGAAAAGAGTGGAGGAGAGGAATGAAATGACAGAAACCAGAGACTTTAGGGCTCTATATAATAAAAAAGAGATTATTGGAGAAATTGGAATGAGAGAGAACATAGTGGGTGAAAGTTCATGGTCAAAGATAAAAATGCAGGATTTCCAGACATTTGATATGGAGCAATTCTAGGTTACAGCAAGGTCCCTCTGCCACCACAGCTAAAATCTGCAGTAAAGTGGTACTGAAAATCAGTGGTGGGTGGAGGCCCAGGAAATGTGATTGCATCGAAAGAATCAGATTGATCGAAATACAAGATGTCAGCGTAGAGAACATCTTAGGAAACTTGGGAAATACAGATTATTTTTGTAACTGAGAATCAATATGATAAAGTGGAAGGTATCAAACAGACCGATTGATGTACTCTTAATAAAGATGTTGATAACTGGGGCTGATATTTTTACTAACAACTGGGAGTTAGTTATCATAGGAGTCACCATACATTTCTGGAGCCTATTCTGGTTTCATGTCTTACCAAACCCGATTTTGCTAAGTCATGTAACCTAACACCCATTTTACTTACCTATATAATGGGAATTGTACTTATTTCATAGAATGATGGTGATCACATGAGATCATGCCTGTAAATCACCTAGAAGATGGTAGACAATCAACTCATGGTGAGATCATCCTTCTTACTTATTTACTGGCCATTTTGAGTTAGGGTAAAAAATCCCAAGCATAGAGTTGGAAATCTACTTGAATATAAAATAATATATTACAAAAAATAATGTAGTCTTGTGTGATGTTACTACTTCTCTCTGTTGGATGTAGAAATGAGCACTCCTTGTCTCAAGTCTTCTCCTAAGTGTTTACAGACTGTCAGTTTGCTCATTCAGGTTGAAGTGCCCTTAGACTTGAACCAGCTGTCTGTGGATCCAGTTAACAAACTGAGGAAGACTCACTGGTGAAGGAAGGAAATTGCTCATGCTGACAATTTGAAGTAGTATACACCCTTACCCTTCAGTATCAAACCCATCTCAGATAAATTTACTGCCTTTGGTCAGCTTTGCTTTTTGAAAGATAAAGCACTGTATGAAGCCCTGATTTTTTTTCAGCTTTTAATATCTTCCTCTGCACAAAGTTATGTAGATCTATGATCTGCATATGGAGGATCAATCCTTCAAATACAGGCTTACCTGGAGGAGGGTAGAAAGTAATAAGACAAAACTACTAGAGTTATTTTTATCATTCTTTTTTATTTACACTCATCTGGCTCATTAAAAAAAAGTTATTGAAAAGAGCTAACAGCAGTATATGAAGTTAAGTTATCTATGATGACACACCCAAAGGAAAAAAAAATAGATCACTTGGAATGGTCCACAACTGAACTGATGCATCTGTCATCAGCATTACTTTAGAGTTGATAAACTTGCCACATTTTTTTATTCATTTGGGAAAACAGGGTCATACACAAAGAGGATTCCTTTATTAACAACATGTACAGATATGCTTTCCAAATACATTCATCTTAGCTCATTTATATGAAAAGTGGGAATATACTAATCAAGATAAAGACTTAGCTGGCGTAAAAAATAAACTCAAAATTACAATAACTTTATAGACAAAAGTTTCCCCTCTTACATAATAGCATCTGCGTGAAAAGTTCCGTTTGGTGGCATAGCTCTGATCCACACTGCCTTTCAAAGCCCAGGGTTTCTTACATCTTCCTGTTCATCCACCTCTAATTATTTTCCTCATCTGCCTAACTCAAGCTGGCATCAGTTTGTTAGTGTTTGTGGGAAAGGTGAAAAGAGTGTGTAGAGGATATATAGTTACTGTTTCTAGGCCCACACCTGGAAGTGGCACACATTACTTCTCACATTCTGTTTATGAGGATTTCATCTTATGGATACATAGAGCTGCAAGGGTGTCTGGAAATGTAATAATCCCTATCTGGGGAGGTAGGGTATATGTTTCTAATACTGTGAAGAAGGAACAGGGACTTTAGTAAACAAGTAGCAATCTGTGTCAAAAGGAGTAAATTAAACAAAATCAATATTATCCAGATAGCAATTCCAAATAAATGCAGTGATTCCTTTACAAAGTATACAAATAAAAGGCTATTTCTTAGGCTTTCCTAGGCTGCATAATGAAAAGCATAGTTATCAAAAATGTAAAGCCAAGAAATATTTTATTTTCCTTTTTGGAAGAAATTTCTGATTTTATTTGGTTCAAACTGTTCTGTAGCATTTCCTAAGGAGATATATTAAAGTTAGAAGAAAACCAAGCAAGCTCATTAGGAGAACATACGGAAGACTATTGCAATTATTTTGAGTCGTCAATTTTATCCATGCTTAACATGCAAGTGATGCCAGCTCAAGTAATACCAAAGATAACTGGACAACGAAGAGTTGTTGTCAAAGTCTTCTCTATATTTTTAAACAAGGTATTAGTTGTAAAAATAATATTTATAAAATGAGTGAATGACTTGCTTGCACTTCTACTATGTATAAAAATTAAACTTTTAATTTTAAGAGGGATATAAGATTAATAGGAGGGAGATGCACAGCTATGAAAGGATCTTTTTCTCTCAATGTTTCACACAGATAATATAATCTATGTTTTCATACTAAAGTTGAGGGTGTCAAACTGAATAGAGAGTTAGTGATATGTGAATATAGAGATCTGTAAGTATATCTCCAGTGTAACTCACTTCACCAGCTTGAGGAATAATTAAAGACTCATTTCTTTTCAATATTTAAATAAATTTTCCAAGTAACTGGAAAGGCACCCATTACATTTTAGTGTGTTTCCTCTCTTAAAAAGTTCATGAACACCTAGAGCTTATTTAGTCTGAAGAAACCTGTCCTGCTTTCATATGTGAAGGAGAAAGACAACTGGAGAAACTGATCTGCCACCCATGGGCCCAGTTTTCTGTGTTCTGCTATGTCTATTTTGATCATAACATACACATCCCTAATGAAAACTGGTCCAACACAATTTGAAGTGCCCTTGTTCACCGCTATAGTGATGCTTTACCAGATGTAGGGAGGTTGATTCCACCACCTCATGATTTCTGCACTTTGGATTAATCAAGAAATATCCAGATTTGGGATTCCAAGCTTATAGAAGTTTACAGATGTTAGCTGACTTCTGTTGCCCTTTTATCGTTTCCATAGTTGACTTCTGGCTTCAGCTGTATACTAGATGGTAACATCTGAATCTACAGGTGGATTCTGATTGGCTTATAAAGTGTTAGTGTATAGAGTGGACACCGTTTAAAAAATCAAAAGAGTTGGCTGGGTGTGGTGGCTCATACCTGTAATCCCAGCACTTTGGGAGGCCAAGGCGGGCAGATCACCTGAGGTCAGGAGTTTGAGACCAGTCTGACCAACATAGAGAAACCCCATCTATGCTAAAAATACAAAATTAGCCGGGCATGGTGGTGCATGCCTGTAATCCCAGATACTCGGAAGGCTGAGGCAGGAGAATCGCTTGAACCCGGGAGGAGGAGTTTGGGGTGAGCTGAGATTGTGCCATTGCACTCCAGCCTGGGCAACCAGAGCCAAACTCCATCCAAAAAAAAAAAAATTCCAAAGAGTTCACATAAAAATCCAAGTTTCTGGTTTATCTTTAAAAGGGAGATCAGACAACCTTTCATTTACATTCCTACAAGGGGGTGGGGGAGCAGCTGCTTTCTCGCCAGGGTCTTGCCACACTCACTCCCTTCACTTGTTTTTGTTACCTAGGCACTTGTGATTGCAGCTCATCTGGCGCTTGGTGTTGAATGTAGGTCTTTAAGTCGTGCTGTCCTTTCCCTCACGTCAGTAATTCTCAAAGTGTGACTGGGGAGTTTGGAAATCCTAAGATTCTTTCAGAGATATCTATGAGATCAAAAGTATTTTCATAATAATAATAAAAGATATTACTCAACTTTTTCATTTTCATTCTCTCACAAAAAAGCACAGTTTAAATTTTGTACTGTGTATTTGAAAGATCTGCATAATTCAGTGGACCAATATTTTTCAAATCATCAACGCATGATTTTACAAAATCATGCATAGTTAAAAGATTTATTCAAAATGTGTGATAGACTAATTGGTATTGATGCAAATGAGTATAACAAATCCATCGATATTGTTTTAGGTTCCATATTGGAATCTAACTCATCTTAAAGAAACTACCACTTGTCAAGTTTTGGTATATTAAATAATATAAAAACTATGTTGAAGAAAGTTTAAACTATCCCTCCATTTTTCAACTACCTATCTGTGTGAGATTGAGTTTTCTTTACATACTTCACCCAAAATAACACATCTTAACAGACTGAATGCAGAAACAGATATAAGAATCCAGTCTTTTTTTACTGTCAGATGTTAATTTGTAAAATGTAAAGAATATTTTTTACTTTAAACAATATAGTCTTAATAAAATATGCAATTTATATAAATAAGGATTAAGGATAAGCATTATTTTATTTAGTACATATTTTAAAAATATCTGTATTTTTATTATTAATGTGATAAATGTTGAAAGATATAATTCATATAATCAACAGCTCTTGAGGGGGCATTGATAATTTTAAGAGTGTAAATGGGTCCTGAGGCCACATATGTGAGAATCAGTGCCAGAACTCCTTCGGAATTCAGTCATTGTCACTGCATTTAATCAGGAGGATGGAGGCAGAGCCCCACGGACACCTTCTCTCAGGAGTCCTGGATTTACACAAATATGTCCATTTTTGATGGACTGGCTCTGTGAGGGGTATTAGGATCCAGTCACAAATGGCTCTTTTATGACATATCTTTCCCACCTGGGGGTGCCTGCTTAATGTGCTTTTATTTGCATAAGCAAGATGTCACAAGTAAGGGAGTGATATTTGGAGACAAAAATATCGTGTCCTAAATAGAAAATACTTAAAAGGTAGCTTCTTTCCATGAAGTTCCACCTGACTGGGCTCCCTGCTGCTCATCAAACTTGCTAATGGCAACATAAGCTACTAAGAAAAACTGAACCAAAATCAAAATTACTGACTTCAGGTCAGCAAAGAAAATATCGCTTACAGCTGGCAATGTTAATGCCTATGTGGGCAAATACTAATTTCTCAAATATATATTGATGAATTGTCAACTATTAACTCAAGGCAATCATTTGTACTATGCAAATTATAGATATGTTCACATTTCCATTTATGCAAGCATATCTAAAATTACATATATGAATATCTCTCATAATTTACAGAACTACTTAGGAAGATAAAATTTTTGTGTATTTGATTATATGATTTTTATTATTTGACAGTATAAATTATATATATTTAACTTATGTGTTTATATATAATATTTTATAAAACTGACTTTAAATATCATAAACTTTCTTATTGCTCTGACTTAAGATATAGCATTAAAAAATACTTGCCAAACAAAAAGCTTTATATTTTATTGATACATCACAATTATATACCCAGAGTTCTGATTGAAAGGGAATCTTAAAACTTGTTTTCACAAAGCAAAAATTGGGTAAAGAAAATATAATCTGCTGTTAATAGTTATAACTTTGCCCTAAGCACTAGCTAATTTTTGTGTCATATGTATGATTTAAGGTTAGATTGCAAGTTTAGTTGCTTGTGAAGTTCCCTGTGTTCAGAATCTCTTTCTAGTTTGTTTATTACTTTACATATCTGTTCATTTAGATAATTATCTGACACCTGCTCATGGCAGATTGTTTTGACAGATTTTATTGGCTGAGATCAGTTTGTCACCTGCCATCTGTCCAGTAAAGGTGAGTTCAACAAGCTGGTAATTTTTGGACCATTATAAAATATCATTTCTTATGAGTTATATTTTATAATTTTTTCCTAGTCTTAAGAAGGTGTTGAACAGAAAAAAAGTTATTGACACATATTATGAGATACAGTATCTTTAGTCTTTATCAGATATATTTCTTTGTCAGAAATGGCGACTTCAACATTATTTGGATTTAATCAGAAATATTTGATATTGAAAGAAAATGTTGTTTTAAATTAGGTATTTAATTTGGTTTGGCATCCTGAACAGTTTTAAATAGCATTATTTCCTTTTCCCTTTTGGTTGTATTTTTGACACTTTAGCAATCTAGAAATACCTCAAATTAAAGTGAATCTTTTAAAGCACATATACAATATTGTTTATATAATAATGGAATTAGAGTATCTCTATTATTATAGACTTTTTGAATCCATACAAAGCAAACAACATTCAATGAGAGGAAGGAGAATAAGTAACTCAGTGTCTGATTGCAATAAAGAAAACCGTTTTTAAGCAGCAGTGATAATTATTTGAGGTTATTTTTGAAATGAGAATTTAAAGAAAACTTGAAAGCCAATTATAAAATTCATGTAAAATAAATAAAAAAATCAATAGGTTCTGTTTCTTAGAGTGGGCCAATATTCCTATTTTTTTAATCAAAAGAGTAATTAATTCTAGTGGAAGAAACAATGGTAAATTTACTTTCTTTTTTTTTCTACTTTTGTAATTATTTAACTACCATTACCTGAACACTTACCATATGTCAGGCGCTGAGGATATGGTATTCAGCAAGATAGATCTAGCCTTAGCCCTTCTCAGACCGTGTAAGGTCTAGCTTATATAGTTGTCCTAAAGTAGCCTGGCTATGTATGTCCTCTCACCCACGCCTCTAACGATTGCTATTTGAAAATGCACCTTCTTTGTAACCACATGAATTGACCAACAGCAATGTGAAACCCGTGTTGGAAGCAAAATTAGAACATCTTGAGACACTTAAAAATGTATCCAGTGGCTTGCGAAGTGACCTGTACTTTGGATGTATATTTATTAGAGGGGAGAGGGCCAGGGTTTTTGCTACCCTTGTAAATTCTCCCTAGTTATCTGGCATGATAGGAATTTTTAACAGACTGCTCTGAGAAATGAGTCCAACACTGGTTTAGAGTATGCTATTGGACTTTGGGGAGTTTAAAAAAAAAAAAAGAAGGAACAGGGCAAGGCAAGTCCTTACAGACCTTCTGGGATAATGGGAAGACAGCACCAACATAAATATATGGATATAAACACAAGTGACTCCAAGAAATAAATATACACAATCAACCGCTGGACCAAAGGCTTTCTCAAGGGCCTCTTTGTGCTATATGATCTCATGATTTGTTGAAGCATTGCTTTCTAGAGGAATATACAAAAATCTTAGAGCTCCAAGAGGCATGAAGTTTGAATAACTGGGAATCCTCAGAGCCTCTGTGGAAAGGCTTCATCAAAGAATTAAGCCTTAGGTCATACGTATCAGACACACAGCATCACACTCATCAGAAGCACAGCCAAATTGCCACCATGTCGACATGCTGCCAAAGTATTTAGCCGAAGAATGAGAAATACAACCAACTGGGCCATTGTCTACATGGCATGGAAGAATTGCTTAACTAATTTTTTTGATTGATGTGACCAGTTGTTTTGGCACCATGTCAAGACTGCATCATACACAAGTGCCCTGCATGAGTCATTGCAGATTCCAAAGATGCTCAGATTCCAATCTGGCTACATTCTGAAAACTAGGATTAGAGATATTTTTCCAATAAATCTGTTAACTTATTTCTGATCTAGCCAATAACAAGAATTTTGTTTCTTTATTTTAAGAGATGATTTATCTTTAAAATGTAAGCCGCAACCTCATTGCTTATTTTACAACTATATATGGAAGAAAAATTGCAGAAAATTTTGTGCTGTACACTAAAAAGTAATTTTATCAGAATAAACTGTTATTTTTTCTAATAAACAACATGATGTAAAATAAGTTGAATGATGGCAAATTCTCCTTGAAGTAACACTTGGGGACCATGAGGGGAACTGAGTGTGGGAATAGCTATACCACATGAAACAGAGGTCATAAATACAAGTACATACCATAAGTAACTTCAGTTCACTTTAAATGGCACACATTTGAAGTAAACTCAGAAAACAAAGGTAATTTTAATCTTCATGTCTAAAGAGTTCAAATAGAAAGAAATAAGTAGATACAAACATGAGAATCATGCCTGTTAGGAAAGCCAGACAAGTTAGAATAAGAGAATTCAAGTGCAGGAACAGAAGATGATTTGCAGAGGAAGGCAGCCTCAGTTGGTCACGTTTACCTTGGCCTTAGGTGAGGGTAGAGGTGTTAACCACACCAAACTGACTTAGAAGGAAAGGAGTATATTTGGTGTGTACTAAACGTAGTCTTTAATTGGAGGGGAGCACGTTCTTCTGATCTCCAATAATTGCTCCATAAAAAAGATATTGGTGATAAAGAAAACATATTAATCAGCGGTATACATGCTAAAATTTTTAACATAGTAGACTATCTATGGAAATGAGATTAGGAAATCTGACTTAATGTCAGATTTGTCCGTTGAGGAACCTAAGTTGATCATTCAGTGCACTTCTGTCATTGTTTACCTGGGAAAACTGAGACTCAGGGAGACCAATGATCTTGTCTACCTTCACATGATGGCAGAGGGAGGAAAGGGCATAAGACTCTAGGGATCTGGCCAAGTGCTCTTTCTGTTAGTTACATGCAAACATGCTAACAGTCAAAGTGGACTTTCAACTGTTGATTTTTGGCATTAGAATAACAGAGAATTTTAGGTTCTGTATTCTGTATGTAAGGCACCACTTTCTTTGGTCATTTTTTGCTATTAATTTTAAACACTCTTGGAATTTCTGGGTTTCTTGTATAAACTTGGAAGTTTATATTAGACAGGATTTGAAAATAGGTGTAAAGAAGATCTTTCAAAATGAAGCATAGCATCTCTTTATTTAGACTGACACTGGTTCTAGCACTAACAACGGGTTCTTAGTAGTGAATTACCTAGTTCTCCCTTCTTTCAGTTAATTTCTAAAAGGCTTTCTCTTGTTCACTGTTTTTTCCTCACTCAGATTGCTGTTCTTCCAATGCCTTCCCCTCTTTGCCATACATAAGTTCAAACAGCAGGCTGGCTAAATTTTAATGATGGTACAGCCACCAATCTACAAAAAGAGGATATATGACCAAGAAGGTCTCTTCATTAACTTCCGAAAACATCAAAGCCATAGTTTAATAGTTTATTTTTCCAGTTTGAAGGCAAAAAACTGATAAAGACAGAGACGTTCCTTCCCATAAGTAACTATTTTGTAAACGGAGATAACACTGAACTATCCTAACGCCTATAGGTGGATGAAAATTCTGCCAGGTTCAATAATATAAGACAATCTGAAGTGATCAAGAAAGGTAGTTCCACAGTAGTGGAAATAGCTGGATTTTGTACTAATGCCAGATATTTTCTGATTTTTTTCTTGAGAATAAAAGTATAAATGACCTAAAACACCTTAATACTAATTATTCAGAACATATCTAATATAATTACCAGAGTTGGGTTTTTATACTGCATGATCCATGGAGAGTTACATCTTTTTTTCTGCCTGGGACTCCTCTTTTCTCACTTTTAGTTACTGCTCTGCCAATTGTTACTTCTTTGGGTGCAATATAAAGACCTGATTTTCAACGTTTCCACTCAATCCTTGACTTAGGGAATTGAAGTATTTTAAATTGTGTTGGTTTCTTTGCTGTTTGCTTTTAATATTTCCTTACAAAGTGACAAATTCTCTACGTTGGAAATGCAAATATGTATTTTAAAATAATATGTTACATAAACATCTTGTGACTAAAAACTAAAAATAATGCGTTATGGTAACGTTTGTTTAGTAGGAAACATAATTGGTAGGAAGAGGGAAGTCATGTACATGGTAAATATCAAGTAAATGATATTTAAGAGTTTGTGTTAGTATATATATATATATACACATATTATATATATATATAAATATATATATACACATATTATATATATATATAAATATATATATACACATATTATATATATATAAAAATATATATATATATATACTGGTAAAAAAAGAATTGATTTTGTTTTTATTTAAAGTTTCAAAAACCTGATTTCACTATATTTTATGTTCCCATTATGACCATTATTTTATTCCATTTATTCAGAAGCATTTGGGATACCTCGTGGGCACAGGGTGCTATACTGGGTGCTATAAGGATATGTCATTGAAATTAACTTACAGTTTACTCAAGACCAGAATAAGACAGACAGGGCAAGTGCTGCATGTAAAGGGCAGATTTTCATCATTCAGTCGGATAAAAACTTGGCCTCTTGACTCACATTCTTCCCTAGGTGAAGAGAGTTGATTTATCTCAATAGTGAATTGGAAATTGGAAAGAAGCTACAACATACCTTAATTCCAATTGTTTCTTTATTTATTTTGGAATTTAGGCATTTCACTGGAGAAAGCACCTACTGGGAGAAGGGTGGTGGGGGAGGAAAAAGCTTGTAAATGTGATACAGTGAATTTAATACAGAGGTGAAGTAATAAGCCCACCAGCATTGTTCTCTGCAATCACCTGTAATTAGTAATATAGATGACAATTTCAGGTTTATTTGGCTGAACCCCCAAAATTATAAAAATAATATAAAATAAGAGGGAAAGTTATTAGTGAGGTTAAAGGAACTTAAATAAAAGATTATAGTGACAGGAAAAGACAGTGTACTTCTGATGGAGATGCTCATAAGAACTTCATGGAGGGAGTAGCCTATGACTTGAACTTGGAAGAGTCAATAAAATTTAGACATGAAGATTAGAGAATGATAAGGGTGAAAATACAGAAGTGAGGAAGTATGAAAAGTATGCAGGAAATACCAGAAAAACAAGCAAAGAAATTTGACAAGCGCACTGTGTTTGTAAAATTATTTGAACAAACTTCAGCAGTTTTGGTCTCTTAGGAAATGGCAACTCCATCCTTCCAGTTGCTCAGGTCAAAAAAAAGGAGTCATCTTTGACTTCTTTTTTTCTCATATAACCCACATCCAACCTGTCAGCAAATCTGTTCATTCTAACTTCAAAACAGACCCAGAATCCAATTTTTTCTCAATCTCTCTATTGGCCTACAACCCAAAGGCTTCTCTTTTCAATCAGAGAAAAAGCTAAAGGCCTTTTAATGATCTCTCAAACTCTGTACAATCTGGATCCTGTTTTTAGCTTCCTTTCATCTTTGGCAAATCTCCATCCCTGTTTGAATTCTGTCCACACTGTCCTCTTTCTTTATGTCAACTGGGATATGGCCTAGGGAACTTTACATTGTGGCTCTCTCTGCTTATAACACTCTTCCTCCAGGTGTCTCCATGACTGCTGTCTTAGCCACTTTAGGCTTGTGCTCAGAGAACACCTTACCAGTGAGGTTGTCTCTGACAACCCTATTTAAATCAGCAGCTCTGGCCCCCATCCCAACTCCAGACTCCTTTATTCCTCTTTCCACTTAGCTTGATAGCACTTACCACTAGCTGTTTCAAACAGGTTAAATTAAGTTCTGCTGGGGCAGTTAGTGACCCTCAAACCCCAGCCTCTTATAACATTCTATATATCCAGATGGGTCAGCTGTGGCTCAGCTGTATATAATTTTCTCCCTTGGTCCCAGGACAATAAATAACCTCTCTATGGAACACCACTGGTTGTTTCCACAAAGAAAAATAAAACATTGTTGAACCACAAGCTGGCTCTTAAAGCTTTTTCCTGGAAGTGACAAATATCTTTTCCACATACACTTTGTAGTGTTCAAAATGAGAAATACAGTTTGACCTGATGCTAATCAAGTGGTAAAACAGAATTCTTATGCACCATAGTGAGGGGTATTGAAATATTTGGCAACCAGTAATAAAATCCACCACTTTATATGCCATAAAATAGTTATTATTTACTTGGATATTATCTGTCTTGCTTTATATCTTGGATGAGCTTCCTGGAAACATACTCTGAGATAGAGGTTGTGTGCAGAAAGAGAGTGCCCTTTGGAAATTCACATGTATGGAAGTGAGGAAGACAGGATTAGACAAAGGGAGATGCTGACTTTTAATGTGGTTGCAAACAAAGACTCAATCTACCCTACAGAAAGCTCTGGAGCTTGGCGGACCTTCAGAGTTGTCCAAAATTGAGGTCAGCACGGCAGGCCTTTGTATTTTCATATCTAATAGCCATTGGTTCCAAGCATCTTCCTAAAACAGGGTGGAAATTTGCCCAGGGAGTTCCCTGCTGTAGAGGACACCGCCATTAAGGGTAGAGGAATGAACAGTTAGCCATCCAAAAGTCTCAGCAACTGGGGAGGGCAGGGGTAAGTTGAGTGTGTGTGCTTGGACCAGAATATCTTGGTAGAGCATCAGAGCACCAATTGCCTCCACCAGAATGAGATGCCCAAGAAGGTTGGGGCTTGCACTTACTTGGTTTATTGCTATAGCCACCATGCCTTGAAAAGCTCCTGACAAGAGATATGTTCAATATTTGTTGAATGAATAAACGATTAAATGAATAGTTTGGGTGAAATTTTAGGTTAGAAAGGGAGAAACAATACAAGCAAAGAGGGTCTTCAATAACTACAGAGTTTAAACTTGCAAATAATTTAAATGCTTTGAAATATGTTTCAGGAGTATGGATCAAATGGAAGTGTGAGCAGTGGATTGAATGTGAGGAGGGATGCTAGGAATGGCTATCAGAAAGCTAGTGTCATACTTCAGGTGGATGAAATGTGAAACTCATGGCATGAGATTGAAGGTGGGCAAGGGTGGTCCATGACAGCAGAAGAATGTCTAACAGGAAGACAAATTTGGCAATATGGGAGAGCAGAAAAAGAGAACAAAAGTTGAAAGATGTCTTGGAAGGTTATGGTCTAGGAAATGAAACAAACAAAGCAAACAAACAAAAAATAAGGAAAAAAGTCCCCCGAGAGGGGAAATGAAGGGCATACTCTAGTTAACTCTTGGGAAAAAGACACTTGGCAACAGACTTGAGGACAAACTACAAGGTTTGGGGGCAGAAATACATACAATATTGGGGACAGAAATATGTCCTTTGATTTATGTAGCAGGTAATTTCATATTTTTCTGATTAATAGTATAAGAAATGAATTGTTTTCATCATTTGATTTGTTTGTAGAAAACTAGCTGTCTTAATTATACCAGTCTTTGGTATCAGATACATACTGCAGAATTTGATTATGATACGGACAGGAGGCAGTGAAAACTAGGCAGGAAAGGGTGGGGTTCCTGGTGAAGCGCCACTTTCAGGCCTGGACGCACAGTCTAAAGTGGGAACATGCATTCCTGTTTTCCTGCCCAAATGTTGCCTTTTCCAAAACCACCCTGTTCCCCCCTGCCCCCGCCCCCATCCTATACCCTTAAAAACCCCAGGCCCTACCAGTGGAGAGGCAGAGTGGCAGAGAAGGAGAGAATAAGCAGCTCAATGTCAGAGAGAAGCAGCTTAACTTCAGGGGGATGGCTTGATAGTGGGACTTCAGAGAAGAGTTTGGCTGGTAACAGCCGAACTCCAGGGGAAGACCACCTTCCCATTCTATCCTCTTTCCAGCTCCCCATCCTGCTGAGAGCCACTTCTATTGCTCAGTAAAATCCTCCACATTCACCACTCTTCAATTCATTCATGTGACCTGACTCTTCCTGGATGCTGGACAAGAACTTGGGTACCAAAAGGGTGGGTGCAAAAGGCTGTCACCCTGACCTTCCACTGAGCTGTTAAACACTTAAGCTGTCCATAGACAGCAAAGCTAAAAGAATACACTGTAACCCTTGCCCTCTGGGGCTCCAGGGGTCATGGGTACCCCCCAGCCCAGACACTGGCACGAGGCCACATGGAGTTCTCCTGCCAGCAGCCAGAAGCACTTGTCCCAGCCCCTGCACCCACTCACCTGCATGCTCCCCATCCCATGAGGGGTTGAGAGCTGTGGGCAGAGTAAGCAAGCCGCCTCTTCACGAGTACCATGAAGAGGTCAAGGGAACTATTCCATTTAATTTGTTTGAAATATAAATACATGAAGCATCTCGATTACTTAGAAATTATCAATTACCACTGGCTGGCAATCTAATGAGACAGTACATATTGTTGAGGGGATCTGACCATGGCTTTCATATATAAAATCAATTCTTTTTTTTTCTTTTTTTTTTCTTTTGAAAACTTTATTTCAACTTAACTGTGCTTACTAGAAATGCCCTCATATTGGTTAATAGAATGTGATTTAAGTTTAATTTATCTTACACAATTTGAACCAAAAACTTGGTACGTGGTGTAGGATTTTTAAAAAGGATTTGCAATCTGGTTTATTTTTATCTATTACAAATATATAAGAGATCCTTCCTCAAATGCTGCTAAAGAAGGCAGCAAGAACCTTGAGAAATTTACCACTGGTTTGCCTCAGAAAACTAATACATGTTGCACTGCGTAAGTTTATAAAATTGGTGCAACAAAACATTGTTGTAATATTTCAATGCCAGTTTAGAAAGTTTAATAACTAATGGATATGGAAGCGGCTGAGAAGGAGCCTATGTACACATGTGAAACTATAAAAGTTATGTGATTTAATGTTGCATGTAGATTGTACATTCATACAAACCAAGATTCAGATAATTTTTTATATCTGAATTAACACTATTTGTTCACTTCACCTGCTGAGGTCAACGAGGAAACTGGACCTACTAGCTATAAGTTTTTCTGACTTATGCAAAAAAGAAAAGTTAGTTTATTTCTTAGTCTTTCAGTCCAGAAGTGACAGTCCACTACAGGCAAGGTATTCCTTCCATTGTCGATATGTATAGGGTGACATGCAATGAGGTTTACTTGTGTTTTAATTTGTATCTACACTCATATGCAAATCAGTCTCCAAAGTTAATGACCACATGACTTAATATTTATTTATTTATTTATTTATATTGAGATGGAGTCTCCTTTTGTTACCCAGGCTGGAGTGCAATGGTGCCATCTTGGCTCACTGCAACCTCTGCCACCTGGGTTCCAGCGATTCTCCTGCCTCAGCCTCCTGAGTAGCTGGGATTACAGGTGCCCGCCACCAGGCCCAGCTAAATTTTGTATTTTTAGTAGAGATGGGGTTTCACCATATTGACCAGGCTGGTCTCGAACCCCTGACCCCAAGTGATCTGCCCACCTTGGCTTCCTAAAGTGCTGGGATTACAGGTGTGAGCCCCTGTGCCCGGCCAATGACCACATGACTTAAGAAGTGACTCTGATGCTAGATGATGAGTTAGTGGGTGCAGTGCACCAGCATGGCACATGTATACATATGTAACTAACCTGCACAATGTGCACATGTACCCTAAAACTTAAAGTATAATTAAAAAAAAAAAAAAAAAGAAGTGACTCTGAAAAGTAAAATGGCCCTTTTTAGAAGACTGGAGTGAAATATCCAGTCATAGGTATAAGCCTTGTCAAAAAAAAAAATGCAGCCCCTTTCTAAGTGTTATTTAAGGATTCAATGAAGTGTTATATGATAAGTCCATTATCTAGCTAAGAGATAGTGCCATTTCCATCAAACTAGATGACTGAGAACAAATTTACTATAGATGTTCTCCATAGTCAGTGAATGATGCATATGCAATAAACAAACTATAATAAAGGAATTTTTAAATATGAGACTTGTATTTTAATATTCACATTCTTGTTCCTTTTTTTAACTTTTAAGTTCAGTGGCACATGTGTAGGTTTCTTACATAGGTAACTGTGTGTCAAGGGGGAGTTGTTGTACATATTATTTTATCACTCAGGTGTTAAACCTAGTACTCATTAGTTATTTTTCCTGATCCTCTCCCTCCTCCCACCCTCCACTCCCAATAGGCCTCAGTGTGTTGCTCCCCTCCATGTGTCCATGTGCTCTCATCATTTAGCTCCCACTCATAAGTGAGAAAATACAGTATTTGGTTTTCTGTTCCTGCGTTAGTTTACTAAGGAAAATGGCTTCTAGCTCCATTCATGTCCCTTCAAGGACATAATCTCATTCATTTTTTTATGGTTGCATATTATTCTATGGTGTATATGTACCACATTTTTTTAATCCACTTTATCATTGATGGACATTAGGTTGACTTCATGTCTTTGCTATTGTGAATAGTGCTGCAATGAACATACAAATGCATGCATCTTTATATTAGAGTGATTTATATTCCTTTGGGTATATACCCAGTAATGGGATTGCTGTGCTGAATGGTATTTCTGTCTTTAGGTCTTTGAGGAATCACCACACTGTCTCCCACAACAGTTGAACTAATTTACACTCCCACCAACAGTGTACAAGCATTCTTTTTTCTCTACAACCTCACCAGCATCTGTTATTTTTTAACTTTTAATACCAGCCATCCTGACTGGTATGAGGTGGTATCTCATTGTGGTTTTGATTTGCATTTCTCTAATGACCAGTGATGTTGAGCTTTTTTTTCATATGATTGTTAGCCGCATATGTGTCTTCTTTTGAGAATTGTCTGTTCAAGTCCTTTGCTTCCATTTTAATGGAGTTGCTTGTTATTTGCTTGTTGATCGATTTAGTTTCTTATAGATGCTGGATATTAGACCTTTGTCAGATGCCTAGTTTGCGAATATTTTCTCCCATTCTATAGGTTGTCTGTTTACTTTGTTTATAGTTTCTTTTGCTGTGCAAAAGCTCCTTAGCTTAATTACATCCTATTCATCAATTTTTGCTTTTGTTGCAGTTGCTTTTGGCATCTATATAATGAAATCTTTGCCCTTACCTATGTCCTGAATGGTATTGCCTAGGTTGTCTTCCAGGGTTTTTATAGTTTTAGGTTTTACATTTATGTCTTTAATCCATCTTAATTTTTGTATATGGTGTGAGGAAGGGGTCCAGTTTCAATTTTCTGTGTATGGCTAGCCAGAAAATTTAATAAATGTTCAGAATAATACTTACTGTATTATTTCTCTACTGGCCAGAAGATACTAATGTCAAATGTGGTACAAAGATATACAAAAATGTGAACAGTGTTTGCCATATAGTGGGTACTCAACAAATGGTAGAAATACTGCTTTAGTCCATTTTAATCTATGATAGTTTAGAAAAGCATGCTTGACTAAATATTTCTGTTATTCTATATAACCTATATGGCTTACCAATTATATGGCTTACCAAATTCCCATGACTAGAATACAATAAAAATGCTTAACACTATAATTAAGAGTTTGATTAATTAGTTTCTATATTTTCAAATAAAAATTACATGTTCATTATTTTAAGTTTTAAGTAAAGTCATCTCATTCTCAATCCTCAGGTATTATGTCTCATAGGATCTATCAAATAATAAAATACCAAGATTATTAGGACTTAATCTCACGTGAAAAGCACATATTTCTGGTACTAGCATAGAACCTTATGCAAAAGATATTCAAAAATGGTTGGATTAATTAATTAACCATGCATGCACATAGGCACTTCAGTAAATTTGCAGGTAGGCAAGATTTGCAGGTGACCAACATATGCTCTGTTTTATTTTATTTAAAATATTTGTTTCTAAATATATATTTGCAGCATAAAATAGCATTTATTTATTGCTACCAACACTAATGCCATATCTTACATTGATTTTTTTAGGGCTAAACAAATAATTTCAAGTTCTTTCTAGCCTATGGCTATATCAGAATATGATGCATTTCAAAACATCCACATACCTTTAAAGTATGGCTAAGGAATCTCTCAAGGCACTAAAACAAAAATAAATAAAAAATAAAGAATTATTTTAAAAGTATTTTGCTCACCTTTCTTTAAAACAATGGGAGGGACTAAGAAACTTGGGGCTTATCGAATCAAGCAAAGCCTCAATCCCATAGTAACTTATTCAGGGGTGATATTGATCAATAGAGTCAAAGACATAAGAATCTAACTAAATAAACACTATCTTTCTTATTCTCAGTGGGTTCTTCCTGAGTATCCTGTAAGTAAGAACACAAATGATTTTCCTTTAGAGATATTCTGTTTATTCCTATTAAACATGCCTCAGGAATTCTCTAACACCAGTAAAGTCCACAGTGCATTCAATGTATTGGTTGCTTTTCCTAAGAATTGTTGAGGGTATGGCAGTTTCAGGAAACCAATTGGCTAGAAGTCTAAATAATTAGTAACAACTTTTTGATAGAAAAATATTAAACATATTTATGTACATTTCTTTTAATAAAGATTTAACAGATACTTTTAAAATGTAATTTTTATTTTAAAACTTCAATCATAAGGACTATTCATGATTATATGATGTTTGTCTATATTAGAAGTTATTTGACCTCAGCAATTATATACAACATTCGATGATTTTAACTTTGTGTATCATTTGTAAATGCAGTAGTAAGATTCTATAGTTTCTTTGAATTTAATCTTTTTTTGGAATCATGTGCCCATTACCTGCTTGTCTTGCTCTTTTGGAGCTTGGTATATTTTTGTTCTTCTTTCGTCTTTTCTAATTTCCTCACTCTCCTTGTATTCTGTTTCATATTTTCAAATTTTTCCTGCTTAAGTTTTTCTGTGAAGACTATGGAACTCTTTGGTGGCAAAGAGACACAGGCATTAGAAAAAAGATATGTTTGGGCATCCTCAGGCCCATATTTAACTTGAATCTTCGTCTGGTATCCCAGAGTCAATATAAATATGGAAGTCAGAAAACACAAAACAGTTCAGAACAGTTTGGCTTCACATAATTAAAAATAAAATAAAACTAATTTTTGATAATTCGGAGTTTTTTTGTGGTATAGGTGCTACCTTCTGTAGGTCTCTTGACCTGTCGGCCAGCATTAATGTTTGATCTAGCAAAGAAGTCAAAATTAGTCCCCAAAGCCTTCCTCTCAATACATGGTTAATGTTTCCTTCTTCCACTTCAATTATGCCATCTTCATTATGCTTCCTTCCTCACTATCACAGTTGTTAAAATGAAGAGCCTCTTTCTGAGAGCCACAGCTCCATTATGCAGGCCTATACCTGTGCTGGCAGCAGGCTCTTCTTCTCACCTCATATTGCCTTTTGCTTGGGGAGGAGATCCCTGCCGTGCATCTCAAACTGAAAACTGAAAGAAAATTAAGTTGCTGTTTGGAGTTTGAGTGAATTATGGAAAACGGGCCCTTTTTTTGTCTACCAGGCATGCTGGTATAAGCTATTACCCACCTTCTCCCCCAGTCCCTACAGTGGTAGCTGTCAGTGTGGAAATCTCATCTAAACTTCTTATCCGTTTATACCTTGGGCAAGGACACACACATACAAACTTGGCATAGCCACCAAATGGTTGATCTGCCTACTCTAGCCATCTTAAGAGCTGACTTGAGGCTCTGAGTTGATTGAATTCTAAAGCCAGACAATGCAATAATAACCAGTTTCTAATCCAGAAAAATTAAGAAACAAAATCAATTATTCAATAGCAAAACGTGAGCAGAGACTAAATATGAACCTGCCTTCAAATAATCCAGAGTCCATTGTAGAAAAAGCACATTATTTGATCATTCACATTGTGTTTGTATATTTTATTCTTTCAATTTCTGATATCTTTATAGATTTGTGAGAGAATATCAAAATATACACACACTCAGACACAGTTGAAGCTGTAGGTCTTAAGCAGTAAGGACCTAAGCCAGTTGGGAAGCTGAGATGCCTTTAATTCTGGTGGCAACCAAAATCAAAGCAAGTAGGGACATGAATGGGTGAATGCTGGTCTTTGGGAAAGTTAGCTTGGTGGTGTAAACTACCAAAAACAATAGATAGTCCCAGAACAATCTTATGGCTGATGTGTTTGCTTAAAGTAGTATTACAGTGGTACTATTTGCAATGTGAAGTAGGTAGAAAAATGCTATCTATGTATTATGTTTTAAAAATCTTCTATTAAGGAAAATCCCTCCAAAGGCATTCCCAAAATTTTTATGCCTGAGGCCAAGGCAATGAGAGCCTCTGTTAAGATAAAAATATTATTGGGGAGGACAGCACATCAAGCCATTTTTCACCATGAACATCTAATTTGATCTAGTTGCTGGAAGCTCTGCCTCAGAATTGCAAGCTCAGGAGAATTAAATTTCAATATCTTTGATGAGGAAATTGGGAATCTGAAAAGTTACACAACTGGTGCATTGCTATAGAGAATTACAATTATTCTTTACTAAATCATTAGGGTACTTTCAGGAAATAGGAATCTGAAACATTGGGACTAAGCAGAAAAAATGGGCAAAATCAAAAAAGAAATGTATTCAATTTACTACACCAGGGTTATCCAAACTGTTTCATCTCATGGCAACATATACTCAAATAATTAAATATTTAAAATAATGTGCATAATTTAGGATACAATATAATAACTGATTTTACATTTACATTTTTAATTTTAGATCAATATATTTTTAAGAAGCATTGTAAATATAACTTAAAGACCAATTTTAATTGTATTTATGATGTATTAAAGACATTTTAAATCATTCTACAAACTAACATGTTCCATACACAATTAAATTAATTTTAAATTAATCTTATAACTAGATGCATGATTGCTGGAAACTATATTAAAATGATGTATTGGTCTGGTTTTAGGACTGAATAGTAGAGTAAAATGTAGACTGAAATTTAACTCTGTGTTACATCTTTGTCAAAAACAAAAGCCTTTAATGAGCAGATATTCAGAATTCTGACTTGCTTTAAAATTAATGATTTATTTCATTGCTTTAAGTATAATAATCATGTTTTTATATGGCTAAATACATATTTGAAGGATTTCACAGATTATAAGTGTGTAATTCAATGAGTTAATGATGTACTCAATTGTACAACTCAGAGGGTTAGTGGATGAATGTATCTACCCACTTAGCCATCACTCCAATCAAGACAGAGAATTTTTCAACACCCCAGGGTATTCTCTCATGCCTCTTCCCGTCAATTCCCATCTCCTAAGCAACAATAGTTCTGACTTCTCTCACCATAAATTAGCTTTGCTTAACCTTGAACCTTATATAAATGAAAAAATATAGTATGTTGTCTAATCTATGGCTCTTTTCACTTAACTTATATTTGAAATCCACTCATGTTATTGTGCACATAAACATATGTTGTTTTTATTGCTGAGTAGTAGTATTTGATTGCATGAATTTACCCTGATTTGTGTATCTGTTCTCCTCTTGGTGGGCATTTTCATTGTTTTCAGTTTGGATCTATTAAAAAGCTGCTATAAACCATTCTTGTAGACATTTATTAGAAGGCGTATGCTTATATTTCTCTTGGTAAATGTAAGATGACTTGTTGGTTCATAGAGCAGATACACGTTTAATTTTATGAGAAACTGCACACACATTTTCTAACTGGTTGTACCATTTCACTCTCTAATTAATAACATATGAAAGCTTCAATCCTTACCAGTCCTTACCAATCTTCAGTGTCATCAGTCTTTTATATTGTAACCATTCTAGCCAGTATGAAATGGTATTGCATTTTTACTTTTATTAACATTGTTTTGCTGAAGTATGAAAGATGGCATTACATGTGCTAGAGGAATTTTAATCAAATTAATGTAAATAGCAAATATGGAATAGAAAGTTTTAGGCATTTTAAGAGTATCAGAATATATATTCCCTTTATCATTAGAAAAATTTCAACTTAATGTTTCCTTTTTTATTATTAGGAGTTTCCTATAGTTCTGAATTAGATAATAAATCACCAAGATTAAAAACAATTTTAACTATATATCCAGGCAAAACCATCATGCCACTAGTGATACTATACCAAGCAATGTGAAACTGAACATTATTTTCAGCTTGTTCAAACCCTTAAATCAAGAACACATTAATATTAGAGCTAGTATTTGATAGCATAACAAGGTGACTTATAGTTAAAAATAATTAAATTCTACATTTAAAAATAACTAAAAGTGTATAATTGGACTGTTCGTAACACAAAGGATAAATGCTTGAGGGGATGGGTACCCCATTTTACATGATGTGATTATTACACATTGCATGCCTGTATCAAAACATCCCATATTCCTCATAAATATACACACCTGCTATTTAAAAATGAATACAAAAATTAAAATAAAATAAAAAATTGAAAAAAATATAAAGAAGACATTAATATTGATGCTAGTCAGAAGATCTAAAGGCAGTGGTATGAAATATGTAATTATCAGTATACCTTCTGGTTTCTGTATGCTGTGCTTTTAGGCTGAGAGCAGTGGCTCATGCTTATAATTCCAGCTACTCAAGAAGCTGAGGCAGAATGATTGCTTAAGTCTAGGAGTTTGAGACCAACCTGGGCAACACAGCGAGACCCTGTGTCTAAAAATAAAAATAAAGAATAAAAAAATTAACTGCTCTGGTTTTAAATAATGTGCCATTTTACTATTAATGATGATGCCAACTTTTTAATACTATAATGAATGAAGTATACAACAAGAAAAGAAGAAAGAATAGACAATTACATGGTAATTAATGTTAATTTTTTTAAAGCAGTAGTCCCTTCAAGTAGTCATTTTTGTCTCAGACCTGGAATTATGTCCTAATTCTAATCCTTTCAGAACACTATCTCTAATGTTAGACTTTCTGAGTACCTTGGTAAGCTGCCACTGTTTAAGACAAGTCTATCAAAATTATTTCAAAAGTGAAATATTCAGTCAGAAGATAGTACAGGTATCAATGTGGCCACATAGTTATAAAGAACCAATTTAACTGTTTTTTTTCTTCTGCCGAAATGAAAGGTTAGAATAATTGTTTGGTTGTTTGTTTGGGTATAGCTACATCTTCTAAGAACTTTACCTACTAATTAGGTCTGAGTTGACATCTGACTCTGGAGATTTTAAAGATTATAAGTTATTTCCCCACTGGTACCAGAAGAATTAAGTCCAATTTAGGAAGACTTTGACTTTGTATGGAGAAGTTAAGAGATTTCAGTAAAAATTTTAAAACTGTGTAAAAATAATAAAGCAGTAATCACAGGACATAAAAGTCTATCTGAATTCTTTAAACCGTTGTGAGTAATTTCCCTTGAATAAACAAGTTATTCTGAAAGGGTTCTAAAGTAATTTAGAGGGAAAGCCGGGAGAGCATATGAAAACCCACATGGCAAGCAGGATCACTTTTTTAAAAAGTTTGTCAATCTAATGAGCACTTAATTAAAGTCAACAGAGTCTCTAAGTCTCCAAGTAATTTTCAAAAAGAGCTTTTGGGAAAGGGAAAATTTTTCTCCCTGCTTGTCCTCTTTTTCTCTCATTCTCTATTTGTCTGATAACCATGGAAAGCCTTTATAATATTATCTTTGGGGTTTTATTCATATTAACTCTTTCTTCTCATTCTGCAGCTCAGTTGGAGACCATCAAATATAACCCCCCCTTTTTTTTGCTCCTATTAAAACAACAATACAGTGGTTTTACAAAAAAATATGGTTTTATCATATTGTTTGGTTGGCCTCTAAATTTTGAGTCTCTTGATGATGCATATATATTGATATGTGTATGTGCACACATACTTCTGCACATACACATATATATGGAAAAATCTCAGTTTAGCTATTTCAGACACAGTTTTGATCTGCTCACTTCTCATCAAAAATGGCCAAGAGAAGTAAGAGGAATAAGGAGAGGCAGAGGCATCCAGATGTTAGAAGAACGGAAAGATAATATTAATCATTTAATACCTTGTTAGGAAAAAAATAAATTATTAGTCAACTATATGACCATTTTAGGAGGCTTGGGGAATATAAAAATGCCTAATCTCTAATAATCTCATAATAAAGAAAGAATTGCTGTTTTCTCTTTGAACTATTTGTTCAGTTCCTCTTCTGTGTATCAACCAGGATTATAGTCGTGAGCCTAGAAATGACTCCTCTTCCTTCTGCCCCTTGGCTCTCTTCCTCTTCCTCAACCTATTGACATTGGCTGGTTTAAAAGGGGAGTTAAGAAGTCTCCTGAGAAAATAATTAAAACATTTTTTAATTTCTGAGGCTCAGATATATATCTGTATCTCTAATGAAATTGTGGAAACCAAGATGAATGGATGAAAAGATTATGGGATCACTAAGAGAAAATCCATCCTGAAACTAGGGGAGGGAAGCAATCGGGCCTGAGGAATGGAGAAAAATGAAGTTGCCAGGTAAGCTGTGGCTGTTACTAGAACGGCACAAAATTAGGCACACTAGACATTTGTGTAGAAAATGAATACGAGCATAAAGAAAAAGTACGTAGAATATTTGGTGCTATCAATGATTTTCTAAAATTAATTGCAGCTTTTATGTACTTTCAGCTGATAACTGCGTCTTACAATGATGAAATATTAGGAGGATGGAGGGTATAACTATAATTGTTACTTGTACCTCTCTTTCACTACATAGGCAGTTAGAGGAGTTAAGGATCATCAGATTGATCCAGGACCAGAATTTGGACCTAAGATGTCTGACTTCCAAAGTCCTTACTTTTAATCACTATATGATTTTGCCCCTCATAAAAAAAGCAATAGGCAAACCATTAAATATTATTGGTTGTAATTGTCCTTACTTATTATTATTTCAATTTATTTTATATTTAATTAGAAGAAAATTATAAAATTATTAATTTTAGAACACTTCAAATATTTTATTTTTTCTTTTGTTTTATTTTTGTTCAGGAACTAATACTACAAGACCACACACAGGACAATTTTCTTTCAATGCTTATGATAAAAGTCTATATGCTTACAAGGAGAGGTTCATCAGGGCCTTTACAAAAACAAGTCGAAAAGAATTGTTCTTTATTACCAGTGTATGCACTGACAATCCATAGAGGAAAATGCTCCTCAAAGGTTCTAATGTAATTGTGTTTACACTGTGTTTGTTTTCATACAACCTGTAAAAAGTTAAGCTTTAGTCCAACCCGCCTAATTATTATTAATTTTGCATTAACACCCACCCAAATTTAGTGAAGTCATACTGTACAAAAATTAATATTCTGAAATTCCTCCTAGTTGATCTTGAGAAGAGAGTTAGTGCAAATTAACTTGTTCCTATTTACCACAGATTTAGTGAGTCAAATTCTTCTTTCAAAGACTGACTACATAATAGCACAGACTATCTCTTGTAATGAAGAAATATTAGGAAGATTGAGGGTACAACCGTAGTGGTTACTTGCACCTATCCGTCACTACATGGGTACTTAGGGGAGTTAAAAATCATCAGATTGAGCCAGCATGTCATCTGTTGGCCTGTACCCATCCTCTCTTAATTACCAATAGAAACAAAAAGGGTGGAGTGTGCCACTTTTTGGTCCCAAAACAGAATTTCTTACCTAGGGTAAACCCGAAGGGCTTAGAGTAGGGCCCTGTGAATGAATGCCTTATAGATAACTCTACATCAAGAAATAGCAGAAAACTAATTTCCACTGCTAAGGAAAATACACCAAGGACAAAGCCAGAATAAAACAGCACAAGGCCACTGTCTGCATGTGGCTATATTCAGTACAACAAAGATACTTAGTTAAAATAAAAAAGAACCACTGGGAATCTCCCATCGCTCAGTAGCTCATGGGTCTAAGTCTCCAAGAAATAAGGAAAATTAGACAAAAACTGCAATCTTCAAACTTTTTTACTTAGGTACCTCATAAAATAAATTTGAAATTTATGTACTCCTCTTTGCATATTCACAAGCTGACACGTGAAAGATTTTGTTATAGGTTTAAATAAGGCTATTTTTGGATAATAGAAAGTTAAAATATTGCACAATTTTGGAAAATGAAATATGATGAGGTTTGACTATAATTAGAACAAAAATTTTATATATTGATAAAATAGATTTTAACTATCTTATTAAATAAAGTACACTAAGTCTGAAAGAAATCATGTAAAACTTTTATATCTTTGGCTTTATTCAATATTACCTGGAAAAAAATTGTTTTGGAAAACACTCTGGTTACATTTGGAATAATCAATATCGCTAACTTACATTACTTGGGAAGTTTGAATTTGGGACATTCCAACACTGACCAATCTTTTTTTTAATGCCAATCTTCATTTTTAGTGGAAATATGTGTAAGACAAGGAAAGGCAGAAAGTCTTGATTAATCTGTAAAGGAAGGTGCCTCACACCCAGTGTTTTGATTTTCCCTTTGACTGGTACTAGAAGATTTTTATATATCTGGAAAATGCACCATCTTAAAATTTGGGATAGATGAGAGATGATTATTTCCTCTGTAAAATGGGTAAAGGGACTATTTTGAAGAGGGTCATTCTCAGGCAATTTGATTTTCTGGAAGAAACTTTAGATGGAATTTGAATAGCTAGAAGTTGATCCCCTAAAACTACCTATGTCTGTGTGCTACTAAAAAATCCCATAACCTAAAAGGTAGTCATACCTCTTCTTGAACTGCTGGGTTGAGAAAGCACTTCCATCTTAAAGTTATCAACCTTCCCATAAGAGGAATAACCTAAGGCATCTGTTAGTGGCAGTGTGTGAGACAGCAGGGGACAAAGCAAGTGAAGGGAAGGCAAATACAAGCTTCTTGGTTTGGATACTCCAGAATCCTGGGGAGGGCAGATTACTTACTCGAAGTGTAGAATAAACGAGTATTCTACTTGGAGTTAAGGGCAGAGGTCTAAAATTCCCTGAATTCAGTTATCAATAAGAGATTAATTCATTGTTCTTTCTAACTGAAGGGGATGTTGAAATCATATGTCTTGCATTTTCTCTTGAAATCTTTATCCCTGCACTACACATATTTTAGATATCTCTTCCCAGGACCATTGACAAGGGGGTTCTTAGGATTAGTGGCCACTGTGGTCAGCAGGACCTGTACTGGACAGGGTGTTGCTAAGATCTCAGAGTCAAGACCTCCTACCACACTCTGGGCCTCTCAGCCAGCCCCTTCACAGCAGTTTGAATGTGTATACGGGCACTCATGCGCATGCACGCATGTGCACACACATACATGCACTCACGTGTGCATGAATATATGGATGTCATTGGATATCAGCAATGGATGTCAGCTGACACCCTCTGGAAGTCTAGACAATTTATTTAGATAGATATACTCCTTCTAGGCTCTGGTAGACTCTGAAGAAGAAATCCAAGTGCCTTGCCTCACTCACATCCATCAGGGGCTTCTTTACAGGCAACTAAGTGGCCAGTTCAAACACATTACCTTTCATTCAGCTATCGACTTGGATATTTACCATCTATCCCCCAGCTTTCTGCTCTCCAGCCACACAACATCATCCTATTCCTTCTCCTAAAACTTTACTTTATGTCTGCCAGACTCCCCATTTAAGAATCAACAAGCACAGCTCCAACCTCAGTCTCCCTATGCAACAGTCTCCCATGTTCTCTCATATCAGAAATCTGGTACTCCTCCAAGAAAACTCTCTACTTCTCTTGAGTAAAACCTTCTCATCCTTCTGAATTCCATGTGCATTCATGGAGTGTTCTTTCTCCCAAGGTGACCTTCAGAGCACAAAAAAGGATACAAATGTGTCGTAACCAAGGGGATCTGGGCAGAAAATCCATGTTACACACTACAGCTGTTAATCCTTTTGCTTCATGAAGTCTCTTCTCAGTCCCTTCTGCCTTTCCTCACTGAGGTGGGTTAAAGATGGCAGCACATTTCTTTGTCACTCCTCCCAACCAGAGGATTCCACATCCTCTCTATTTGAATCATGGCAGGTTCAGTGACTGCTTGACCAAAAGAATAAAGCAAAAATGATACCATGTCACTATCTGGGCTCAGGCCTTAAGAGCCCATCCACTTTCACCTCCTGCCTCTTGAGATAGGTGTTTCCGGAGCCAGCCAGCATGCTCTGAGAAAGCACAAAGCAGCTCCTTGAGGGACCCATATGGAGGAAAATTGGGCTGCTTCTTGTCAGCTCCAGCAAAGCTCCCAGGTAGCAGCCAGCACTGACTTCTCAGCACTACCTTGTAAGTGAGCTATCTTACAAGTGGATTCTTCAGTTCCAATAGATTCTCCAGGTGATGATCTGTGAAACTGATGAACTCTTTCAAACTCCAGATTTGTGAACATGTTGTTTTAAGCTGCTAACTATTGGGGTAGTATATTACACAGCGATATATAAAACCAGAATATTTGCTTACCTATCTAGCGTAAAGTGGCATATTCCATTACTTCAATTCTTACAAATAGTCCTATCTTCAAGTCTCATTCATCTTTTCCTGACCCCTCTGGAAAAAATGTTTACCATGAATCAACTCATCTGTCTGACTGCACCCTATCTACCTCATGTTGCTGATCACAACTATAATTCCACAGTTTCCAAGTTCAGATGGTCGTACATGCTGCTTAGAAATCAAGGATTTCCTTATCCACGCTCTCTTATTTTCCACAAATGTTTTAAGCCTACTCTCCTCTTCTCAATCCTTTGACTGAGAAACCTAATCCCTCTTTCAGCAGATCAACTTGACTACCAGTTCAGAGCAAAAATAGAAGCCACCAGATGGAAACTCCTCCCACACCCTGCCAATTATTCTAGCGGCTTCCCTCCCCTCTTTCCTTCATCTTTAGCTCCTTCTCCTTTTCTGTGTTCTTCCAAGTAGCACTTAACTATGGTCAAACATTTCCCATATTAAAATAAAATCCAAAGACACTTTATTCCCCCATTATCCTGCAGCCTTGATTCATAGATCTCCTAACAACCCAAACATCACCAAAGCACTCTTAGATGCACTGCTTCCATTGCTTCCCATTTTATTTCCTTTGTACCCACTCTAGCTCTTACCTTCCCCATGGCTAAAATTGATCACAGTGTGGTGGCTACATATTCCCTTATTAATGCATCCTCCAGATAACCTTTACCCCTTATTCAACTTGATTTCTCAGCAACCCTTGATTTTGTTGCCCACTACTCTTCTGAAATGTTCTGTTCCTTTGGCCACTGTTATTTATTCTCCAAATTCTTTTCCTAGCTTTCTGGGTGCTCCTTGAAGCCCTCTTTGCTGCATCTTATACCTTTCCTTGCTCATTAAACTTGGTATCATTACCAGTTATATAGAGGCAGGAAGACCTATTTCACATATTTTTACTGGATGACCTCATGTGATCACATAATTTCAAAATTCGTACTGCCAGCTGAGATGTTTTTCATGAGATCTAGGTATATATATCAATATGCCTACATACTACTAACAGATTTACCCCCAAAAAACTTGCCAGAAGAAAATATATCATCTTGAACACTAAATATACTTATTTTCCTTTTTTCTCAAGTAAATGGTAAGACCATTCTCTCAATCACTACAGAAACCCAGGCATCATTTTGACTCTTCTCTCTTCCCTCATCCTACACACCTGACCAATGACTAGTCTTATGAGTTATACATTTGAACTGTTTCTTAAATCCCTAAATTTCTTTCCATCCCCAGTTTAGTGAGGAATTACCCGTTTAAATTAATATCATAGCTTGCAAGTTGTTTCTACATTGTTACATTGTATTTCTAAAATCAAAATATGATCATGTAATTGTCTCCATTAGGAAAACTTTTCTCAGTGACTCTTCCTTTCAAGGACCTGCTTATCTCTCCTGCTTCATCCTCTAGGTCATCAGTGCTCTCTTCCCAGCATTCAAGCTGTGTTTGTCCCAGCCATGTTAATGAACCTTTACACAATTTTTCATTATATGACATGAATCACATAATATGACTAACGCTAACAATCGTGTTCCCCTTACTCACCCACCAGAGCAATCCTGGTTACCTCTTTGGCCTCAGATTAAACTTCACTTCTTCCAGGAAGCTTTTCTTAAACTCTAAAGTCCAGGTTGTACATCCATCATATGTGATCTTCTAACACATGGCTTGCCACTCCAGATAGTACTGATGACATCATCTTGCAATTTCCTACCTTATCCTCAGTAGATCCCACTAGACTGTAAGCTCTGTGAGAACAGACAGTGTGTTACTCTTGTTTTGAGTTGTATCCTCAGTGCATGGCCTAATACCTGGCACATATTCAACAAATATTTTTTAATAAATAAATGAATGACCTTCCCATTTCTTTTCTGATGTAAAAATTAAGGCCATCAGAGCAAATTAAAAGATATTACACAGTAGATTTTAGGTGTCCTTCCTCTGTCAGTAATTCAAAGCCTCATTTGATGAGGGTTGTTCTGAATGTAAAGTTTTGCACTTACACAGAGTACAGGCATTGCTAAACTTTGACCAGAGTGTGGGATCCAGGTCCCATTTTCTAACCTGTATCTCAGATTCCTAATACTTTATACACAGTCAGGGCCAGAAGACAAGCATTCTCTTTCTTACTTTTTAAAAAATGCTGTTCATGCAATAAGCTATTTTCTTTGGTATTTAAATAATTAAATATAGATTACAAATTTTTTTGGTGAATATTACACCATCTATATGAACTGTTCATCAGTTCTTTGAAACATCTCTGAGGCTGTAGTTGCTGCAGTAGCTACTTCTTGACAACTGAAATAAGTGAAAATTTGAACATTTGTTCAGTTCTGTTGATAGTCTTAATCATTGAACCTCAACACAACCCATCCACTAGAATTTGAACTCCTGGTGGACCATGACTGTTTGTTATTAATCTTTGCAATTCTAGCAAATGTAGTATTTAGTAAAAGGAGGGTAGTTAATACCTGTAAGATGTGTGCATAGTTTTAAAGCTGCTCAATTTATTGTGAAAGTAGTAAATAAAAAAGAAAAATTAAATCCATTATTTTACAATCTGCTTATATAATTCAGGCCTACTTTCTAGATATACTAGGAGTATGAAAGCTGGTTAACTTTTCTGAAAAATAGAAAGATACCATGAAGAATTAAGGAAAGATGTTTTTTCTGTTTGCAAATATATTCTATACATAAAACTTACCATTATTATTCCTGTAAAAGAAACATCATCAGAAACATAAACTCAGAGGTTGTTCAGTCTGCATTTTATTACTGTAAAGATGTCTATTCACACAACTGCCAATTGCTTTGCTTTTGATAAAGCTACTGTAATTACTTTTAATTCCAATATAAATTCCCTTTGTTGCAAGAAAACACTTAACCTTAGTTATGTTAGAAAGGCAAACAACATAAAAACTGACTATATACATATTTAAAATCATAAGCATAAAAATACTAATTAAGATAGAACATTATACCACAGCCCCTATAATAAACACAAATTAATAATCCAATCAGGAATGTGAGCACCTTCAGAAAATTATGACATGACTTATATAATTTTACAAAAAATTAAGCAAAATGATGTGGAATTTGGTTAATGACCTAGTTAATTTTTGACACCTTTGAGGATTTCTTTTCAGACTACAAAAACAAAATCTTCATCTGTTAATAAAGTAGGTTAAAAAAAATAGTTCTATACTTTGTGGTTCCCAAAACAATCAAGATATGGAGGGATTTATTTAAAAACTGTCAACCAGAAGAAACTAGAGAATACAAACAAAATTACACTGACTATTCTTTAAATAAAATTCTGAGATAAAGACAGACATGAGGCATTTCTGACAGACTCTTGGAGATTTAAAAAGAGAAAATGTAGTTACCACAGTAGTGGCTCCACTATAATGAGTGCTGTGTGGTGCTACCCACGGGACTAAGGCATTGATTTCTCCAGCTGCAAAGTGTTGGTGGCTGACAGCTCTCAGATGAGTCCCTCTTCTGGAATGGCTTTTGTTGTGACTACATCAAATTCCTCTTTTCCCTGTGCCTAGTTCTATGTCCTTCAACCCACCCCACAAGGCTGATCTAGAGAGCATCCCAGATGAACAAGCTGCACACAAATCTCAGACTCAGAATCTGTTTCCTAGAGAGCTCAACCTAGGATGGACACTCAGACTGAAAAACAAAACAAAATCAATACGTAGGCTGTGTGTTTTATAAGAGTAATACAATTATTTGAAAGTAAGAAATCTGCCTCAACCTTGTTTACACCTTGGAAGGTACCCGGCCATCTGCAGATGGATTTGCTTGCATGATTTTACTAGGTGTTCTCTATGTAGACAAAGCATTAAAGACACACCTAAGTACATACACAATCTGCCTAATGCTTTTCATTGCTTCATCATACCAATGTTACCATTTTCCTATTTCTTCCTATTCCTTATATTTGGCATTTACTTATTTTGCTACAACTAAATATACTCAAAATTTACAAAAACAAAAACACTATATTTTATGTAAACTGACTTTTTTTTTTTTTTTTTTACATCACAAACATGTGGAGTCAGCCCTTGCCTGATTGCCCAAATCAGCAACTTCCCAAACTTATATAGTCATGAGAAACTGGGACATTTTTAAAAACACAGATATTCTGATTAAGTCATTCTGAGATAGGTCTGATAGGCTTAACAGTCCCAGGTGAATCTAATAATATGAACTGGAAAAAAACAATAGTATGGAGAGTAACCAATAGCTTAATATTCCATTTTCTAGTGCTTCTCTACATTAATGTGTATATGAATCAATGGTTATCATATTAAAATGCAAGTTTTAACTCATGAGCTTTGGACTAGAGCTTGAGACTCTACATTTCAAGCAAGCACATAGGTAATACTGATTGCCCATAAATGCTTTTGAGTAATAAAAGTGTAGCCTATTCAGAGCAGCTGGAAGAGAAAATATTTCACAGGTGTGTCTTAGGTGTGTTGGAAAATCTTTTTTCTTTGAAAAAAGGATTCTATGAATATTTAGTGCTTTACGTAGGAGCTGACCTACTTTCCCATTCTCTTTGTTATTGTCTTGGGATTTATACCTGCAGAAGGGATAGTTCACATGAACATAGAACTATGCTTTGGTTTGATGACGATCACTCTCTAGATGTTGGAGATGTCTGTGACTCTCACTCTGTAAACACAGCTTCCTGACTCAAACTCTCTGTGTTGACTCAAATATTCCCAAATTGATCATCTGCTTTTCATGTCCTTTAGTTCAGCCTGATGAATGGATTTTTAAGGGACTCAGGAAGTATCCTCCAGGAAAAGATTTCTGTAACATGTTGGATGACATATAGTGTAAAACTAGCCAGTCGATTGGTTTGTTGTCTTTCAATTTAAAGAAAAAATGACTATTTGGCCAGTATATGAATTGGTAGCTCAAGGTTGGTGATAAACATTAAATGAATGTTGTGAAAGTTCATTTATCGAAACCAGGTTCTTGTCCAGTTTTGCTGTATTGTCTGGTCCTTTTACTTTGGGTGGTTGCAAATGTAAAATGGCTGCATTTCAGACAGCAAAGCCCTTTATGTTGAAATTGAACTTGGTGGTCATATTGTGCCTATATATATATATATGTAGTCTATCTATCTATCTATCTATCTATCTATCTATCTATCATCTATCTATCTATCTATCTGTCATCTATCATTCCTGATTAAAACACTATGCTGTGACTACTTAATGTCTTTATTTTGGGGACTATCTACAGTTAAAACTAATTCTAATATAATTTAGTTAAATCAAATAACAACTAAGGTGTCAGATAGCTTTAGTCAAGGTCTCCATAGAGTAGGGAAAGTGTCTTCTTGGAATTTTCTTGTTCTCACTTTGATTGCACTCATTTGAATTGGGTAAAATTTTCTTTCAAAGCTTCATGATGATTGCTAGTCTTTTTCTCCAATTTCAAGACACTGATTAATATTTTTGCAAGACTTTCCCTCTTATGGTTAATTCCCTTACTTTTGGACATGGATTTGAGAAATGATTTAGTTGCAAAAATGTCTGTATATTTTAAAATAATTTTCAGACAATTCTTACACTATAGGGTTTTAATGTTCATTTTTAAGAAACATAAAATACTTCCAAAGCCCAGATGAGTTGGCTTGTTCATTTTCACATTAGTATAATGGAGTTTTCCTTGGTGAGAACTAGTTTACCACCCTTTCATTAGATGCTATTGTTAATTACTACAAGTCTCCCATATGGCTTCTAGGACTGCATTACAGATGGACAATTCAGAGTCTAAGTCGGAACTGGTCACTGAGCTACTTAAAGCAAAAGTACGAATCAATACTAAAGATGATTTTCAAAATTTATCTTCATAAAACTTGCTCTCACGTTTTTGCAATCTGAAGAGTTCTAAGAGAAGCAGGAGAGGCAAGCAAACACATTTTCATCTTCCGTGGCTGCCATATCCTTTTAAGTAAAATTTACTCTTTGTCTATGCCTTCTCCTAGTTATCTGTTCTCAAGCTTTAATATGCTTTAGAATTCCCTGGAGGCCTTATTTTACAAAACTAAAACAACAATAACAACAAAAAAACAAAACAGGTTCCTGGTATCTACCTCCTGAGTTTGTAATTCATTCAGCCTGGGGTGAGACCCAAGAATGTACCTCTCTAACAAGTTTTCAGTGGTGTTGATGCTGATGCTACTGGTCCAGAGTACCTCTTTTGAGACCCACCATGCATCTCTGTTTTCAAGTTTCCCCTCTATACTCTTCATGTCTTCTCTTCCCACATCAAATGCTATCTGAGTACTCAACGATTACAAAATAGTGACAAACTACCTTTACATGCAATCATGTTAACAAATCTCAGAAGTGTTATGCTGAGCTAAAGCCAGACACAAGCATGCATGTACTGTACAATTATGTTTATATAAAGGCAAAGCTAACCCAGAAAGATTGAAATTTGAATAGGGGTTATTCCTGAACGTGTGGGAAAAGCAAAGAGAAAGGCACATAGGGGAAGGTTATGAGGTGATGCAAATGTTCTGTACCTTGGTTTGATTAGCAGTAAGGTGGTATACATTTTTAAGACTTAGCCAGTTATACAACAATGATCTGTAGTATTTTATACATGTAAATTTTACCTCAATGAATAAAAAATTATGATTACAAAAATAAGTATGGCTGTTGGTTGAAAAAATGTCTGTTAAACCAATTCAGACTAAAGTTAAGAGGACTGACTTAATATGGTTCTTCTCCTCAAGAGCATTTGAATTTTAGTGGAATAACAAAACAGAAAAAAAATTCGTTTAATAGTGGATTTTGAGATATTTGCTAGACTCAGGGTAGACTGTTCTGGGAGCAGGGATGATTCCTTGAGACTGCTCTCAGCACCATTTCTCCATTTCCTGATTGGATAATCAAGACATGTTGAATTTTGATTTATTTTTATTTTCTTAGAAAGGTTAAGCATCCTCACAGAGGACTTTCTCACCCTCCACAATAATGTAGGCCTCTCTACAACCCAATAACTGTTTATCACATTATCACATTTTATAGCGTCTTTCCACTCTGAAATTGTCTTGTTTATTCATGCTTCCTTGGCTATTTTTTTATTCCACTCAACCATAATGTTCACAGTATATCTCTAGCACCTAGAATAGTACATTGAACATATTAAAAACTCAATAAATATTTATGGGATGAATAAAAGAATGGATAAGTCTGATTCTTAACACTTCATAGAGTAAAGTAAACATTCTGGCCAATTCTATATCTGTCTCACTTTTATTTGGCCACTAAGACCAAAGATGAATTATGTCAGGCCACTTCCAAGATTGTAGGGAGGCTCACTGAGAGAGGTGGACAACACATGCCTATACAATCCCACATGTTATGAATTGCTTAAAAGCAATCTTTGATCCAGGGATATGGATATCTACCCAAGGATCGTCCTGGAATATAATTCAGACACAGATATCCAGCTGCGTTGTCCAGGAGTTCACAATGCTGAACTGTGGGTGGCAATGGGGAAGAGCAGGTTAGTTGTTGGGCAATGATAACATGAAAGGTATTTTATAACATTGTCTTTTGTTATTTTTTGGCATTTTCATACATACTAAAATTTAAATATGCAGCTTTTTTTTATGTTTCTAAATTTATGTAAAGTAAAAGGCATCTCTGTGTTAAAAGAAGTACTACCTTCCCTCTGGAAATTTTCAATGACTACATACACATATGTTCACCTTGGAAACTAGGAAAAACATAGTCATGACTCATGAGAAATGTAGAGGCAGAAAATTCCATAAAGGCACCTCTTGGCCACCTCTTGATAATGGCAGAAAGTGAATGAACTGCTCAAAATGATAGCTCTTTAAATTTCCTTTGCCAGGACTGCTATCTGAAAGATACATTGGTATACAAATTACACATAGAGAGTGTGGTTCTCAAAGTTCAAAAAATTTCCTATTTCTAGGTTTTGCCACTAAAATCTTGCATGTCCTTGGACACAAGTGACCTTTAAAATGGGAATAATTATTTTGGACCCATCAACCATATAAAGCTAGTCTGTGCAATAATGGGTGTAAAATACTGTTAAAAAATCAAAATATGTTATTTGAATGTGAAGTAATAGTTCATTTTTATTAAAATTAAACAATGTTTTCTTATATGAGTAGTGGCAGTAATAATATTATGAACATACAAGTAACACAACAAGTATTTTAAGCACAATTTAAAAGTAAAGTACATGCTTTTAAACTCTGGAAGTGTATTTTTCAGTATGTGCTATGAAATTATTTTCAAATGATGCAATAATAAAATTTAGTGAAAAGATCTCAGGATTATTTTATTATCTTGTCATTGTACAATTAAAGAAAGTTGGAGGTATAAAAACTAAGTGACTTACTCTAGATGTCAAAATTGCTTATTTACAAGATTGAGACCAGAATCCAGAGATCTTTACATGCCATCCAAGGAGTAAAAATGATTCAGATAGTGAATTTTTCCTGCTTATTTGGTATGTAAAGACTGGTATTTTAAATATTAAATTTCATGTCATGACCTCCTTAGCACATCACTCTCCTAGAGTAACTTACCATGGACAATGGATTGTAAAAATCAATGAAAAACATGAAGATAACTGGTAGAACACAGGTTACACAGCCATTCTTACACAAGTGAAAATGATTTGTTTATAGCTTACTCCTTGGTTTCTTGGAATTTTCTTTTTAAAAAGGCAACAAGTATTTGTACTATCAGTTAGACTTAAAAAAACATTCTTCAGAAAGAGAAAATGTATTTGTGAAATCCATTTAGTAAAGTTGAGTGTTTTGAAGGATGTTGCTGTCATCACTATGGGCCATTTGCTAATTCCCAAGAATGTGTATATAGCAAAATGTCTCTGCCTGAGGCAGTCCCTCCTAATGTTGGAGCCAAATCAGTGGAATGGATTGGATACACATAAATGTTTTGTCACCTTTCTAGTACCGGAGAGCTTAAATTGCTGAATCTTTCATTCCCTTTCGTGGCTGAGAAATGTGTGTTCTTTATTATGAAGGGTTTAGGGATTGCATACTGTGTAATAGCTCAGATGAGTGAAAACAAATTTAAATATCAGCAATGCACTGACTTATACTTTACATGTTGCAAATACTCTTAGAAACAGTATGGGGCCTTATTAAGTTTGAACCTCAGGTCTTTCAACTTCCCTGAGAAAAGAGAACAAATGGTAACTGCATGAGAAAATAAGTAACTAACGTTTGTGATTTCCCACTTCAGCTCAAGCCCAGATATTTTTGTCAGTTGTTAATTACAGTCATATTTCTCTAAAGCATTTTCTTTTTTAAGGATTAAAAAAAGGAGAGAAGAATTTCAAGAAGAAAGGCTACACCATGCGATACAGGTTCACATTTCTCTGAGTGGAGAGGAACGCATTGGGGTGAAGGTGATAGGCAGGGCCACTTGCTGGAGAACGGGGAGCTAGCACTTAGATAGAGTTGATAGAAGTGGAAATCAGACTGGGATAAAGTCAAGAGGTAGGGCTAGATCAAGATTCAAAGCAGAAAATGGCAAGAACTCTGGCTTGACAGTAGGGATGTCACAGGGGAGAGATGAGATGAAAACATGGTGGGATGCAGTTATGTTCATTAGGCCAAGAAAACGTGTTCAATATCAAATTCAGTGCTCTTCTCTTTTTCCAGATACTTGTATACGATTGTTTATTAATTCCCTGTGTCTCTAATATTGTGGATCTTCTTCCTGTAACTCATACAACTAGCAGATTTCTGGCTTAAAGACAGAAAGGAAGGGTAGCATTTTTACATGAGGAGGGATTAAGGCAGAGAGAAGTAAATTAATTGAAGTTCCTATAATTAAATTACTAATGGTATCTGCATTAGGGTCACATTTCCTACCCCTTCATCCTGTATTATTTCTAGAATCTTTACACTGGAATTGACCACAGAGCATTGCACTGGATTTGACCACAGAGGTCATTTAGTCCAGAATTTTATCATTTGGTCCACCTTTCCTTGGAGATTAAACTAATGAGCTGGCATTGCACCCACCCACCTTGGCTTTATCCTGATAATTCCTCTCAGGGTGAGTGGTAGTTCCCATGGAGAACACTAAGCAGGTGGTTTTGTTGCACAGTGAGCCCTGGGCTTCCCTGAAATGCCCTGAAGTGTCAGTTACTGTTTTGATTGCTTTTTCATTTTTCTATCCAGACACTTGTTGACAGGAAACTCTGTGGCCACCATTCATTGCATTTAAGAAATCAAACAACCACAAACTGTCACTGTCACTTTCATTTCCTGTCATCATTCATTTTCTTGAGCTGCTGCTAGTTTATCAGTGTAGCTGGATGTCCCGTGCTCCTGGGCATTGGGGAGGAAAGACTGTAGGTATGTGCAGGTGCTGAAAAAAGATGTGAGAGGAACGCAATAAACACTTGCAGCCTCGCTCCTGGCTTTCCGTTTATGTCATTCACCTGTGGGTTTAGAAACGTTTTCTGTTTCTAGGATCAAATGGAAATCCCAGCCTTATTGCTGTAGGATTTTCTTAATCCTTCCACAGTAGTTAAAGACTCTCCCTAGCTTCACTTTGTTTGTTGTAGCTTGTGTAGGAGTGATGCAAGGCAGGCTTAACTGCTTCCATCAGCAGCTCCAGGAGGAAGTTTTGTGATGGTAAGAATTGGATTTTGTTGTCCTTCACAAGGACCTTTCTCCCAGCTGTTTCTATATAAATGTACGTCTCTATAGCTCAGAGAACTATCAGGAAACAGGTGTTTTTCCATTAATAGCCAAGATGCATCAAAGGAAGGAGAAGGTACAGCAGTATGTGAAAATCAGGTGGTCCACGGTTGAATACTTTGTACACAATAACTAATCACTCAAAGCTTATATCTATTTATAATAAAGTCTATAATTACAAGCCAGGTGGCTGTGGTTAGGAGATTGTGGGGTTTTTGAACAGGTTACTTGACTCGCCATTACAGCTTTAGAGGAGATATGTCCACCTGGGTAGTGGGTGATGTGGCACGTGTTTGCCTATAAACAGCACACATGTGCTCTGCCTTAGCTTCTTTTCAGCTGTCTTCCGAGTCTGTGTGCATCAAAGTTGTATTCTACAAATCTCCTTGCTTACTGGCAAATATAATAGCCAGAAAATTTTACAAAAGTTCTATGGGCTTTGAGTTCAGAAGTTTTGCTATACTTTTTCCTGAAGAATATTATGTACAACTGATATAAATTGGAGTTTGCTGATGCAGTATTTTGAAGTCTAAGATGTCATCTGGCCAGTTGACTCTAACTATGGAGTCTTCATTTTTTCCTTACCATGTGCTTCAGAATTCATAAGAGATGATTTGAATAGTGATATAATGACCATGACATATTGTAAAAGTGAAGTTATGAGTAATTTGTTAATTATTTATTGAGTATCTCTTATAACCAGTGACACTTTTAAGGGCTGTGGGGTATATAAATAAGTGTAGGAGATGGTTCCTCTACTGAAAGAACTCTTTTCTCAACTGGGAAGATATGATTCAAAGAGAAAACGTTGCCGCTACTACGTATTCTATCACTTGCTCAGACAATATGTGCTAAAGGTAGTAAGATATGTGGGATTATTATGCAAGGAGATTGTATTTAAAGCTTCATGAAGAAGGTGAGATTAGAAAGATGAAATTAACAGGTAAAAAGAACAATAAAGGGCATTTGGGTGTGGTGATTGTCTTAGTTTTTTATGGCTGCATAACAAATTATCACAAACTTTGCTGATTAAGATAACACATATTTATTCCTTCTCATTTCTGTAGGTCTGGAGTCTGGCTTCACTGGGACCTCTCCTCCATGCCTCCCAAGGCTGCAAACAAAGTGTCATTTAGGCAGCATTACTCTTTGTAACTCAGGATTCTCTTCCAAACTCACATGGTTGTTGGCAGAATTCAACTCCTTGCAGCTCTATGACTGAAGCTCTTGTTTTCTTGCCAGCTGATGTCCAGGGAGCACTCTCAGCTGCCAGAGGCCTCTCTCAGGTCCTTGCCATATGGCACCCTCCATAGACCTCTTACAACATGGCAACTTCCTTCTTTCAGGCAAGCAGGAGAGTGTCTGCTGCTTTAAACCTTCCTCTTCAGGAAGGACCTAGTCTCTCTTTTAAAGGCTTACCATATTTAAGTCCAGTCCACCAATGGTAATTGTTCTTTCAATTAACTCAAATTCGACAGATTAGTCAACCCAATTAGTATTGGGAGTAAAATTCAATCATTTTTACAAATTATGCACACATTCAATTGGATGGGATTGCACAGGGGGTGCGTGTACAAAAGGAAGTAGAAATCTCAGGGACCATCTTAGAATTTGCATATCATAGTGACAGAAACAATGCAACATGGAGTGGTTTCACATAGTGTGTTGGGAACATGGTTAGTTGCACAACATAACTGAAGAAATCAATTGTGAAATAATTTTGGAAATGCCAGTTTGGAAAACACAAACAGACACACACAGACACACACAGACACACACACACACACACACACACACACACACAAAAATAAGTACCTCAAATCTTTAAGCCATTGTAATGGGTTATATTGTCTTAGCATTTAAAATGAGAGTGCAAGGGACCTACTGTCCAATAGACTTAATAATCTTGAGACATCTTGTCAACTCTTCCTAAAAACTCTGATAATGACTATAGTTTACCTGTAGCTAGGAATTTTTCATTATATTGTAAAGGGTTGTGAAAAACAAAAAAGAAAAGAAGAATAAGAAAAGAAGAAGGAGAAGAAGAAAATAGGAAGAAGAAGAAGAAGAAGAAGACGGAGAAGAAGAAGAAGATAAAGAGGAGGATGCAGTGTGGTGAAAAGATGAGGAGGAGAAGGAGGACAAAGTAACTATGCATGATCCTCCAAACCTAAAATATTTATTATGTGGCTGTTTATGGAAAAAGATGCTGTCGCCTGACTCTAACTTCTAAGCACAAAACCCAAAGGCAGTCTTCAACTTGGACATTTTAGAGGATGAGTGCTAAAGAAATTACCTCAAAGTTTGTGTTAAAATGCAAACTTTATGTATTGAAAGTTTATATTAAAATCCTCAGGTCTCACTTTAAACTACAGCACTCCGAAGGGTCTTGGAAACTGTGTATGTATGAGGAAGGATGTGTGTGGCAGAACTAATGAATTCTCACTTCTCTGGATAGATATTTAACTACCCAAGCACTAGTCTGAGGCTTAGTGTATGACTTGGTCATTGTTTCAGCTCCTCTGGCAAAATTCTGTGGTCCAAAATGATAGCTGATATTACTTTGTCTGAACTGAAATTTTACAACAATTGCTTTGTTGTGTTTATATTTGTATTTATTTATTTAGAATTCGCTGGGTCTTTTTTATCTGAATATGTATGTTTTCCCAGTTCTGAGAAATTATCTTCTATTAATGTTTTGATAATTTCAATTCTTCTGTTTTCTTTATTCTCCTTTTTAAAAATTCCACTTATTGGTACACTTTTATTTATCTTTGATATTGTGTATATTTTTATTTTTCTTTACTTTATGTGCCACATCTGTGACTCAAATGTCTCCAGATGTTGGTAAGAATCATCACCCATCTTAGCTACATCCTTCGTCCTGTGACCCAGAGTTTCCTCCTTCCTAATTTATCACTTATCGTTTCTCCACTAACTTTTCATTTTCTAATACATTGCCAAATGTCTTTGTTTCTCTAATGAACCTTTTCTTAGCCTGTCTGTTGTAGTGTATTTATGTTCTTTTTATTCCTTTGCATTATTTTATTTAATTTGCAGGAAGGAGAAGTGGTAAACATGTGTAGCCAATCAGACTTAACTGAAAGCCAAAATTATGCTTTTGTGAATATTTTGGTTGTGTGGACTCTTCTTTTAGCATTTGAAAGTAAGTCATTCCATTGTCTTCTGGCTTTCATGACTCCAGAAGAGCAGTCTGTGGGATTCTTACCTTCATCCTTCAGGATGTAATGTCCCTTTTTTCTCTGGCTGCCATCAAGATGTTTTCTTTGTATTTTTTTTTTCAGCATGTTGAATTTGACATGGCTAGACTTTTAAAAACTCTTTTTGTATTCTTCTTGGTATCTCTGAGCTTCTTGGACATGTGACTCGACAACTTGGTATGGTATCATAACTCTTAAAGGCTCTGTTCTGTATGTTTTTGTGTGTGTGTTTTTCCATTATACTTCTCTTTGTTTTTCCATCTGTAATTTCTATGCAATTATTTTCTGGTTTGCTTATTATTTTCACAACCATGCCACATCTATTGATGAGTTCCTCAAAAGTATTCATCTTTGTTACTGTGTTTATAATTTCTGGCATGATAATTTGATTCTCTTTTTAGTTTCGATTGCTCTGCTGAAATTACCCATTACATATTGCACATTGTCAGACTTTCCCATTAGATTGTGAACACATTAATCAGAGTTACTTTAAATTATATGTCTGATAATTTAACATCTATATCATATCCGAGTCTAGTTATAATGATGGCTTTGTCTCTTAGAAGCTTGCCCAATCACCACTGGACTTTTTATATGTTATACTTCGTTTAAAGATAGACATTTTATATAGGATAGTAGAGACTGAGGTAGTAGGTTTTATGTACATGTTCATTCTGTTAGGCCTTGGGTGAGAGAGTGAGTTGAGTTAATCTAATTGAAAGTGGAGCTGAGTACGAATTTTATAGTTGTTGTGGTTACCTCAGGACAGCAAAAGCTTCAACATCCTCTTTTCTAGCAATATGTTGCATTCATGATGGAGGCTGGTGTGTCAGAATGCTTTTTTTTTTTTCAGTTTTTACTCTACCAACAACTTTATTATCTTTTTTCTCTAAATGTCAGAGAGGGTCTCAGTCTTTCAGGTTACTTGTGACATGATACATACCAGCTTGGTAGTGGACTGTGGGGGAGTATTCACTGTTATTCCAATTAAGCCTCAGTGTTAGACATCTTACACAATCATTGTCTTTGAGTTCCATAAATGTTGCCTTTTCAGTATTCCTTCTTTCCCCGAAATCTATATTCTGACCCTGGCATATGTTCTTGCTCCCTCCTCAGAGATACAAGGTTTTGTTCTTGTTTCTTTTCCAAGTTTCAATAAGTTTCCATAGGTACTCAAAAGGGGGCAGTGTCATTGCCCTTCCCCCACAAATTAAGTCATGGTCTTATAGAGGAGATAAGGAAAAAGATCTCAGTGGAGTTTGATGCCCCTTTCTTAATAGCTATAGCTTTCTCCCTCAGTTACCGGCCATGAGAGGGACTTTCTCAGTTCTCTTCCAGTATTTTCTATGAGCATGAAGTGGGGCGTGTGAAGGAAAATCTCAAAATAAGATAGAAATTTGAGGCTCTCAAGTACCTGACCCTCTTTTCCCTCCACCAACTCATGAGTCATCACAGTTGAACTCTACAGCTCATGTCTTATCTTTCCCTTCAGGCACTTGGCTCTGACTTTGGGCCAGTTGGTGACCCTAAAACCTGAAGAATTCAGTGTGTTTAAGAAAAAAAAGCACATGTTTTCTATTTGCCCTAATATTTTTTTTGTGTGAGATTTTATGGGATGCTCTTTCCAGCTCTCTACATTTCTAAGGAGAAGCAATGTCAAGATTCTTCTAATATTAGCTGCACTTATGTAAATTGCATCGCTGCATTAGATTTATCAACTGTATGTAACTACTTATGTTACATATTTTTCAAGGTACATTTATTTACCCCTTAGAATTCATTCAGGTATATAGAAACTATCATTTTCAGTTCAGTGATTAGAAAAAGTGGCAAAGAAATATATTCAATAAAACAAATCAATTTAAGAACAATGCTAGAACTTTAATATCCGTTCTCTTCCTGTCTGATATGCCTTTATTGTCACTGAAACAATTTAATTTTCCTTTTCATAAAGTGGGGGGACCTTAATAGTTCTTTAGTCACCTGCAGAATGCCCACCACTGTTTGCTGCCCAATTCAGGCCTTTGGTATTTTCAGCACTTCAAACAAATTTTATTATGGAATAGTTATTTCAAAACAGGTTAAAATTTAACCAGAAGAAACCCTGTTTTCCTGGAAAGCTTAAAAGTATTACTACATTTTTCTGGATGGACAGTCTAGAGAATTTAATGCAAATACCTATGACAAATGGCAGGTCTCATTCACCTTCCATTTTGAGGCAGCAACCTAGTTGCAAAAAAGATATAAAGAACCTTAAAGTGTTAAGCAATAAAATATTACTTAAATCTGTAAGTTGTGCTATGCCTTTTCCTTTATCATTTAAATTTCTCTAACTTTATTTTCTTTGTTTGATAGGCTTACTGATGTCATAAATATACTTTATAATTATAAAATATATGTTACACAAGTAGTGATTTTGTAAATATTTAGTGGTTTAGCTTAACTGAACATTAATTGAATTTTGTAGGGGCAGATTCCATTTTTCAGAAGCTTCTGATTTCTCCCTCAAGTAGGTATTAGAAAAAAATATATCTTTGAATGGTTTGCTCTTTGCATTTTGTAGTTGCTTTTGTGCCTTTTTGTGTTTAAATTTCTCAAGTTATGGGTTCCTCATGAGAGCTGACACAACATAGTAAAAGATCTAGATGGATTGGTAGTAAATTCGTGGGTAGTTTTCTTTTTAATAAAGTCTTTGTAAGGTTTGTAAATGCCTCAGGCAACTTATTCTTCTTCTTCACCCTTGTCATAAGGGCAGGTTATGAACAAAAAAGAACAAATATTTCTTACAAGAGTAGTTTATGTGTGAACAAAGCAGTGCATTTCAAGTAGCCTTTTGTTGAAAAAAAACACTTAAACTTTTTTTCTGCTTCTAGTTACTGTATATTAAAGAAAATAAAAAACCAAGACCCATAGTATACCCTTATGGGTTTATACACTTCCGAATGTTATGAAACATAGAGAAATTTAGCCACAGAATCTGAAGCAAAGTTCGCCAATGATGTCCTGGGATTTGATCATTTTCTAATATTTTATATGGTCTGAGCAAGCAGTGTACCAGTTAAAAAATAAAAGTGTGTGCTAATATTGGCATTATGGCATCTCTTCCGAAAGCATCACTCTACAGTGCCAATGATGCCTTAATATTTCCTATCTTTGAAAGAAGTTATGTGATTTCTCTTTTAAAGCTACAGCCACTTTGGCAAATTACTTGCTCCTCCTGCTCCAAATACTAACCTATAGCAACAGATGTTTCACTGGTAAATATAAAGACATAGCCATTGTATGCTGTTTTAATTATTTTAACGTCTGAAATTTTGAACTTTAAGGTATTTGTTTAAGAAGCCTTCTCTAAATTCTAACCCATCCTAGTCTGCAGCTATTCATTGACATAACAAGCTAATTATGTAAATTAAAAATAAAAATAAAATTTTAAAAAAATTCACTCATTTCCAATGGTCATAATAGGCCACAGGCCTCTGTAATTTGGTTTCAGGAATACAGAGCATCTTCCACTCAAAGGAAAGGATCAAAAAGTGTCTGGAATCCTACCATTCTATTTAATTAAACTCTTCCCATTTTGTTTCGATCTGTTTAAAAATACAAACATCCCAGAAGAAGAGGTCAAAAGCACAGGCTGGTATAATTACTCCAGTCTTTCCTATGAAATAAGAAATATGCAAAAAGGAAGATAATCTCATGTAGCATCCTGGAACAAGTGACATCAGCAAGATGGTGGATAAGAGTTTTCTGTCATGATCTCCAAAGTGCGCTGATTTTGACAATGACCCATGGACCAGAATACATTTGTAGGAATATGCAGGTTTAGCAAAGAAGATTCAGCACACCACTGAAGCAAAAATTCCACCAGCAAACACGCAAAAGAGGATAAAAATAATAGCTTTACTTTGCCCATTTTGCCACTCCTGCAAGTCTACACAGCTGAGTGCCAAGAGAGACCCCTTGGCCCATGATTTTTCTTACAGGAAAAAATGAGAGCATAATGAACTGGTGCTCAGGTCCCCCAGCGTATTAGCCTGTTTTCACACTGCTATAAAGAACTTCCCAAGACTGGGTAATTTATAAAAGAAAGAGGTTTAATTGATTCACAGTTCTGCACGGCTGGCAAGCCCTCAGAAAGCTTACAATCATGGCAGAAGGTGAAGGGAAAGCAAGGCACCTTCTTCACAAGGAGGCAGGAAGCAGAATAATTGCAGGAGGAACTACCAAACACTTATAAAAGCATCAGATCTCAAGGGAACTCACCCACTGTCATGAGAACAGTGTGAGGGAAACCACCACCGTGATTCAATTACCTCCACCTGGTCTCCCTTTTGACACGTGGGAATTAGAAAAACTACAATCCAAGATAAAACTTTGGGTGGTGACAGAGCCACACCATGTTATTCTGCCCCGGCTCATCCCAAATCTCATGTCCTCACATTTCAAAATACAATCATGCCTTTCCAACAGTTACCCCAAAGTCTTAACTTATTGCAGCATTAACTCAAAGGTCCACAGTCCAATGTCTCATTGGAGACAAGGGAAGTCTCTTCCACCTAGGAGCCTGTAAAATCAAAACAAGTTAGTTACTTCCAAGGTACAATGAGGGTGAAGGCATTGGGCAAATGTTCCCATTCCAAGTGGGAACAATTAACCAAAACAAAGGCTACAGGTCTCACACAATTCAAAATCTGGCTGGGCAGTCATTAAATCTTAAAGTTCCAAAATGATCTCCTTTGACTCTATGTCTCACATCCAGGTCATGCTGATACAAGAGGTGGGTTCCCACAGCCTTAGGAAGCTCCACTGATGTGGCTTTGCAAGGTCTGGTCCCACTCCCAGTTGCTTTCATGGACTGGCATTGATTGTCTGCAGCTTTTCCAGGAAAACTGTGCAAGTTGTTGGTGGATCTACCTTTCTGGGGTCTGGAGGATGGTGGCCTTCTTTTGACAACTCCACTAGGAAGTGCCCCAGTGGGGACTTGTATGTGTCTCCAACCCCACATTTCCTTTACACACTGCCCTAGCAGAGGTTCTCCATGAAGGCTCTACCCTTGCAGCAAACTTATGCCTGAACATCCAGGCATTTCCACACATCCTCTGAAATCCAGGTGGAGGTTCCCAGACCTCAGTTCTTCACTTCTGTGTACCCACAAGCCCAAAACCATGTGTAAGCCACCAAGGCTTGAGGCTTTAACCCTCTGAATCAAAGGCTTCAGCTGCATGTTGGCCTCTTTTAGCTGTAGCTGGGACACAGAGCACCAAGTCCCAAGACTGTGAAGCAGCAAGGCCCTGGGCCCAGCCCATGAAACCATGTCTCTCTTCTAGGCCTCTGGGCCTGTGATGGGAGGAGCTGCTGGTGGTAAGACCTCTGGCATGCCTTGGAGACATTTTCCCCCATAGTCGTGGTAATTAACATTTGGCTGCTCAATACTTATGTAAATTTCTGCAGCAGGCTTTAATTTCTCCCCAGAAAATGGGTTTTTCTTTTCAATCACATCATCAGGCTGCAAATTTTCCAAACTTTTATGCCATGCTTCCCTTTTAAACATAAGTTCCAATTTCAAGCCATCTCTTTGTGAATGCATAAAACCAAACATTTTTAAGAGCACCCAGGTCACATGTTGAGCACTTTGCTATTTAGAAATTTCTTCTACCAGATACCCTAAATCATCTCTCTCAAGTTGAATGTTCCACAGATCTCTAAGACAGGGCCAAAATGCTGCCAGTCTCTTTGCTAAAGCATAGCAAGAGTCACCTTTGCTCCAGTTCCCAAGAAGTTCCTCACCTCCATCTGAGACCATCTCAGTGTGGACTTCGTTGTCCATATCACTATCAGCATTTTGGTCAAAACCATTCAACAAGTCTCTAGGAAGTTCCAAACTTTCCCATATATTTGTATCTTCTTCTGATCTCTCCAAACTGTTCCAACCTCTGCCCATTATCCAGTTCTAAAGTCACTTCCACATTTTCAGGTATCTTTATAGCAATGACCCACTCCCAGTACCAATTTACTATATTAGTTCATTTTCACACTGGTATAAAGAACTGCCCAAGACCGGAAAATTTATAAAGGAAAGAAGTTTAATTGAATCACCATTCTCCATGGCTGGGGAGGCTTCAGGAAATTTACAATCATGGTGGAAGGCAAAAGGTAAGCAAGGAACCATCTTCACAAGGTGACAGGAAGGAGAATGAGCACGGGAGGAACCACCAATCACTTATAAAACCATCAGATTTTGTGAGAACTCATTGTTATGAGAACAGTATAGGGGAAACCAACTCCATGATTCAATTGCCTCCACCTGGTCTCTCCCTTGACATATGGGGATTATGAAGATTATGGGGATTACAATTCAAGATGAGATTTTGGGGTGGGAGACAGCCAAACCATATCACCCATCTATGTGGGAAGCTGCCTAAGAGGCTCACTTCTTTCTTTTACCACCAAGAATATTGTGGGTATTAACACAGCTAAATGTCTAGGAGAGGCTGAGAGCAGGGAAGAGAGTCAGATTTTTATAGCAGCCAAAATTTGAAACTCAATAGAGGACTACATATACTGCTAACCTCTTCTTAGACTTCATCAGAGGTCCAACCATGAGTCACATGGGACTCCTTGTCTGTGGGCTCCAGCCAACTGGCCTGTGGGTTCCCCCAGCATTCCAAGGGCCTTATCCACAACCCTCTACCATCCCATGGCTGGCTCTCCACATCCACATGTGCACCCTAGATGGTGAGTACAAGCCTTTGTAGACAGATAGTGAGCCTGTGCAGACAATTAGCTAGATTCAGTGGGATTGGGAAAAGGCATACAAACTTTATCATTTCAGGTCACCACCCGAGGCAAAATGAACAGAAGACTGTCAGCACACAGCCTTGTTTTGGGATATTGAGAGAAGGCATATAATTTTAAGAATCCCACCCAAGAGGGAACAAAAAAGGTAGAGTGGACAAATATATAGAAAGCACTGAGAGAGTCTCAGATTCTTTAGCCATGTTGAGTGGTAAAGGTGTTTCTTTTCTGAGCCAATCAGTAAAGACTGGAAGAGGTGAGTGTTTCTTTAAATGTGAAGGCAGCAATGCAAAATGTCAAGAAACATTTAAAAAGAAAAGGAAACATGTTACCATCAAACAAACAAACAAACAAACAAAACAAACACACAAATTTCCAGAAACTAATCCCAAAGAAATGGAGATCTGGGAACTGCCTGACAGAGAATACAAAATAATTGTTTTAAGAAAGATCAATGAGCTAAAAGAGAATACAGACAGACAACTCAATGAAATGAAGAAAAAAAATCACATGAACAAAATTAGAATTTCAACAAAGAGATAGAAATTATTTCTTAAAATAGCAGGAAAGTTTGGAGCTAAAGAATACAATGAATGCAATATAAATGCAATAGAGAGCTCCAACAGCTGACTTGACAAGCAGGATAAAATAATCTGCAAACTCAAACACAGGTCATTTGAAATCATCCAGTCAGGGGAGAAAAAAAAAGGAAAAATAAAATCTTATGGGATTTATGGGAACCATCAAGGAATACGATATGTACATTATGGGAGTTCCACAAGCAGAAGGGAGACAGATAAAATAAGTTTATTTAAAAAATGGCTACAATGTTTCCCTGTCTTGGGAAAGATATTGTCATCCAGGAGCACAAGGTTCAAAGGTTTCTAAATAAGATCAACCAAAAGAGGACTTTACTAAGATGCCTTATAATCAAATTGTCAAAAATTAAAGACAAAGAAAATTTTTGAAAGCAGAAAGAGACATGTCACATATAAAGGACCCACCCCCTCCAAATTCAACAACAATGATTTCTCAGTAGAAAATTTGCAGGCCATGAGGGAGCAGAATAATATATTCAAAACACTGAAAAAGAAAGATGCCAACAAATAATATGTTACCCAGAGAAACTATCCTTCAGAAATGGAGGGAGAAAGATACTTTCCAGAAAAACAGTAGCTAAAAGAGTTTATTGCCGCTAGACTTGACTTATAAAAAATGCTAAAGAGAGGTCTTCAAGCTGAAATAAAAGAATGTTAATTAGCCACATGAACACATATGAAAGTACAAAATGCACTTGTCAAGTATATAGTCAACTTCAGAACATTTTAATACTGTAATGGTGGTATATAATATATTTTTAACTCTAGTATAAAAGTTAAAAGATAAAAGTATTAAAAATAACTATAGCTACAATGATTTATCAAATTATATACAATATAAAAAGAAGTAAACTATGACAAAGTAAATATAAAATATTGGGAGAGGAAGTAAAAGTTTAGAGCTTTCATATGTGATCAAAATTAAGTTATTGTCATCCTGGAATAGGCTGCTATAGCAATAAGATGTTTTACGTCAGGTTCACGGTAAGAATAAAGCAACAAGCTATAACAGCTACACAAAAGATAAGGTATACTACCATAGTAGATCATCAAATCACAAAGAAAGACAGCCAGAGAGAAAGGGTCAAAAGAAATAGAAAGTAGCCAAAAAACAATTAACAACATGTCGATAGTAAGTCCTTACCTATCAAATGTAAATGGAAATAAACTAAACTTTCCAATAAAAAATAGGGTGGCTAAAGGATATAAAAAATAAGACAACAATATGCTGACTACAAGAAATTCACTTTCACTTTAAGGACACATAAACTAAAAATTAAGGGAAGGAAATAAGTAATCCATGCAAGTAGAAACAAAAAGGGAACAGGGATAGCTTCACTTATATCAGAAAAATGGATTTTAAGCAAAAAGCTGTCAATGAGACAAAGAGAGTCACTAGACAGTGACTAAACTAGACAGTGATAAATGGGTCAGTGCATCAGGAGGATATAACTATATGTATATATATGTATACAGATGTAAAGGGAGAAATAGACAGCAATACAGTAATAGTAGGGGAATTCAATATGACACTGGCAACAATGGATCATCCAGAAAAAATTAATAAGAAAATATTGGACATTAACCACACTTTGAACCAAATGGACTTAACTGATATATACAGAACATTACCTCTATTGCAGTGAAATACACATTCTTCTCAAGCACACACAAAACATTACCCAGGATGCAACATATATTAGACCACAGAACAAGTCTTATCAACTTTAAGAAGACTGAAGTCATAACAAGTATCTTTTCAAACCACAATGGCATAAAACTAGATGTCAATAACAGGAAGAAATCTGGACAATTCAAAAACATGTTGAAATTATGCAATATACTTCTGAACAGCCAATAGATCAAAAAATAAATCAAAAGGAGAATAAAAAAAATCTTGGGGAAAATGAAAATGGAAATAGAATATAATAAAACTTACGTGATGCAGCAAAGCAATTCTAAGCAGGAAGTTTATAGCAATAAATACCTATGTGAAGAAAAAAGAAAAGATCTCAAATTTTAAAACAACTTTAAACCTCAAGGAGCTAGAAAAAGAAGAATAAACTAAACACAAATTTAGGAGAAGGAAAGAAATAACAAAGATTAGAGCAGAGATAATAAAATAGAAACTAGGGAAAAAAATTAAATCTCCAACATGGTGAAACCACAATTCTAGCAAAAAATACAAAATTAGCCGGGCCCAGTGGCACACACCTGTAGTCCCAGCTACTCAGGAGGCTGAGGCAGGAGAATTGCTTAAGCCTGGGAGGGGGAAGTAGAAGTGAGCAGAGATTGTGCCACTGAACTCCAGCCTGGGGGACAAAGCAAGACTCCATCTCAAACAAACAAACAAATAACAATTAAAAAATCCACAATATTAAGATTTGTTTGGTTGAAAAGATAAAATTAACATTTTAGCTAGACTAATAAAGAAAAAAATGCAAATAAGCAAACTCCTAAATAAGAGAGAGACATTACAACTGATACCATAGAAATAAAGAAATATAAAAGACTATTAACAACTATGCACAAGCAAATTGAATAACCTAGAATAAATGGATAAATTCTTAGGAATAAATTATCTGGTGAAGTAAAAGATTTGTATACTAAAAACTAAAAAACATTGATGAAAGAAATTGAAGAAGACACAAACAAATGGAAAGATAGCCTGTGTTAATGATTGAAATAATTAATGTTGTTCAAATGTCCACCTTACCTGAAGTGATCTGCAAATTCAAAGCATGGCATTTTTTTACTTAAATAAGAAAAAATAATCCTAAAATTTGTAGAGAACCACAAAAGACCCCAAATAGCTAAAACAATCTGGAACAAAATAATTAAAGCCAGAGGCATCATATTTCCTTATTTTAAATTATCCTAATATGCTATAGTAATCAAAACAGTATAGTATTGGCATATAGATAAACATATAGACCAATGAAACAGAATAGAGTGTAGAAATAAACCCATACATATAGTCAACTAAACTTTGACAAAAGCAGCAATGATACACCATGGGGAAAGGATGATCTCTTTATTAAATGGTGTTGGGAAAACATGCGAAATAATACATTTTGACCCTTATCTTGCACCATACGCAATAATCAACTCAAAACTAATTAAAGGCTTAAATGTAAGACCTTAAACCATAAAACTCCTGTAAGAAAACATAGGGGAAAAGCTCCTTCACATTGCTTTGGCAATAATTTTGTGGATAAGACACCAAAAACCCAGACAACAAAAGCACAGACAAGCAAGTGGGACATCAAATTTGAATGCTTCTGCACAGCAAAGGAAACAATCAACAAAATGAAAAGGCAACCTATGGAATGGGAGAAAATATTTGTGAACATATGTCATATGAGTGATTAATATTCAAAATATATAAGGAACTCATACAACTCAATAGCAAAAAACAAACAAGAACAAAAACAACACACGCAAAAACAAATAATCCAACTTAAAAATGGGCAAAAGACCTGATTGGACATTTTCCCAAAGAATACATATGAAGAGGTATATGAAAAGCTACTCAACATCACTAATCATCAAAGCTACAAGAAGATATCACCTCACACCTTGAGGAAAGCCTACTATAAAAAAGGCAAATGATAACAAGTGTTGAAAAGGAGATGGAGAAAAGAGAATTCTTACATGTTATTGGTGGGAATGTAAAATGGTGCAGCCATTACGGAAAACAGTTTGGAAGTTTCTTAAGCAATAAAAAATACAACACCATATGATCCAGCAATCCCACTTTAGGGTATATATTCCAAAGAAATGAAATCAGTTATGTCAAAAAGATATCTGCAGTTCCATGTTCATTGCAGCATTATTCACAATAGTTAAGATATGGAAACAATCTCAGTGCCCACTGATGGATGAATGGATAAGGAAAATGTGGTATATAGGTATAGATATGCATACAGACATATGCACACTATATGTATGTGTGTGTGCGTGTGCATATACATATACCCATACACACAGTGGAACATTATTCAGACTTAAAGAAAGGAATCCTGCCATTTGCAACACCATGGATGAAGGACATTATTTTAAGTTAAGTAAGTCAGGCAGAGAAAGACAAATACCGCATGATATTAAAAAGTTAAACTCATGCAAACATAGCAAAATAACGGATACCAGAAGCCTGGTTATAGTGGTGTTAGGGAGATACTGGCCAAAGTTTGCAAACATAAGTTTATAAGATGCACTTTGGGAGGTCTAATGTACAGCATGGTAACTATAGTTAATAATACTGTATTGTATACTTGAATTTGCTAAGGCAATAAGTCATAATATTCTCACAAAAAAGGGGGGCATGACTATGTGAAGTGATGGGTATGTTAATTAGGTAATTATTTCACAATGTCTATGTGTGCCACATCATCCAGCTGTACATCTGAAACATGTACAATTGAGAGTTGTCAATCTTACTCAATAAAGCTGGAAAAAATAAATATAAAAATCAGGCATTTCTCTTAGTTTTCTGAGTGTTCAGGTCTTACTTGTGAATCTTAAGACCGATATTTTACTGAAAAATGAAGAGTCATATATAGAAGTAGGTAAATGCAATCATACAAAATGTATTTCACAACCATGGTCTCTCCATGTCAATCCATGATGGTTGACTAACTCAAGTTCAGAAGTAATTTCCCTGGAAGGAGCAAATGGCTACTAGGGCAAGCCAAGATTTAGTATGTTTGTTGTTTGCTTAATGTTTTCCATTCAACCAGAGGTAGCAAACTCCCATGTTTATAGAGGTCAGGCAGCTCACATCAACCAGTGAGGCTGGCTGAGGGGGCTATGACTGACTGGAGGTGACTGCTCTGCCTAATGGGTCAGCTGTGCTTCATCTCCAACTGACTTGTCCATGCTGAAACGTGGCCTCAGTTATGTCTAATTTTCCTGTTTTTCAACAAAAGCCAGAAATCTAGATTTTAAAAAATCCGATATTTCATGTATCAATTTTTATTATTACTACGATTTGTGGTCAGAAAATTGACAACATCAAGGCCAGACTTACCCTTCGCGATCAGTCTGTAAACATTGCACAAGTCTATGCACGCAGTGAAAATGGAACTTCATCTGCAGTTCACTGTGGGTCCACAGTGAAAACCGACTGATGCATGATAGACCCTCCATTGTTACTGAAAGAATGAAAAGTTTTAGTAACTTATTAAATATATTCTGTTTCTCCTAATCTTATGCTTAGCATGAATTCAAAAGTGAGACTCAAAACAGTGGGAAAAACAACGATGAACGGATGAATTCAATAAAGTCATGGGCTTCAGAAAGTTAATACCAGAGCTGTTTGATTATATGAAGTTTTTTAAAAGTAGCCCAAGGTTTAAAAAGTTGTCCTGTAGTCCAATTTTATTTGGCTGTCACAATATTTTAAAACACGCAGGCATAAATATAAAATATATAAATAAGAAAGTATCATATAAATTCCTAGATATCAGAATTTTCTTCAAAATAGACAGATCTGAAATAATTGGGTCTATATTTACACATTGCAAGGCTTTCTGTATCTGGGAAGTGACTTCTTCCTGGGACACATGCTTTTCAATTAGGACAGTACCCACTAATACTTATTGTTCCATCACACCAAGTGTCACTTGCCAGTTTTTGTGGCATTCATGTTGTTCATTTTTAATAGTAAAGATATTTTTTTCTGAGTCTCTGTCTCTACCAAAATTGAGAAAAAGAAAATTGAAAGTTTCTATTAACACAAACACCTGTACACAAATGTTTATAGTAGCTTAATTTGTGGTAGCCAAACACTAAAACAACACAGCCCTTCGATTAACGGATGGTTAAGCAAACTGCTACACCATGGAATACTACTAAACAATAAAAAGGAATAATCCTTGGTCCACACAACAACTTCGATGAATTTCAAAAGACTTATACTAAGTAAAATAAAGCTCAGTACCAAAAGGTTATATACTGCATAATTCCTTTTGTATAGCATTCTTGTAATCACAAAATTATAGAGATAAACAACAGATTAGCGGTTGCTAGAAATTAGGGAAAAAAGGAAAAGGTGGGGTATAGGATCCAGACAGATGTGGTTATAAGGGGGCAACATGAGGGATTTTTTTTTTAAACTTTTAAGTTCAGAGGTACAAGTGCAGGCTTGTTATATAGATAAACTTGTGTCATGGGGGTTTGTTGTACAGGTTATTTCATCACCCAGGTATTGAGCCTAGTACCCATTAGTTGTTTTTCCTGATCCTCTCCCTCCTCCCATCCTCCACCCTCCAATTGGTCCCAGTGTATGTTTTTCCCCTCTATGGGTCCATGTGTTCTCATCATTTAGTTCTGATTTATAAGTGAGAACATGCAGTATTTGGTTTTCTGTTCCTGTGTTAGTTAGCTAAGGATAATGGCCTCCAGCTCCATCCATGTCCCTGCAAAGAACATGATCTCATTCTTTTTTATGGCCACATGGTATTCCATGGTGTATATGTACCACATTTGCTTTATCCAGTCTATCATTGATAGACATTTAGGTTGATTCTATGTCTTTGCTATTGTGAACAGTGCTACCATGAACATATGCGTGTATGTGTCTTTATAATATAGTGATTTATATTCCTTTGGGTATATACCCAGTAATGGAATTGCTGGGTCAAATGGTATTTCTGTTTGTAGGTCTTTGAGGAATCACCACAATGTCTTCCACAATGGCTGAACTGATTTACACTCTTACCTACAGTGTATAAGCATTCCTTTTTCTCCTCAACCTAGCCAGCATCTGTTATTTTTTGACATTTTAATAGTATTTATTCTGACTGGTGTTAGATGGTATCTCATTGTAATTTTGATTTGCACCTCTCTAAAGATCAGTGATGTTGAGCCCTTTTTCTTCATATGATTGTTGGCTGCATGTATATCTTCTTTGGAAAAGTGTCTGTTTTGTCCTTTGCTCACTTTATAATAGGGCTGTTTGTTTTTCTCTTGTAAATTTGTTTAAGTTCCTTATAGATGCTGGATATTAGACCTTTGTTGGATGCATAGTTTGCAAAAATTTTCTCCCTTTCTATAGGTTATCTGTTTACTCTGTTGATAGTTTCTTCTGTTATGCAGAAATGCTTTCATTTAATTATATGTCAAGATAAGGGATATTTGGGTTTTGTGAACAGTTTTGCGTCTTAACTGTGGTTGTAGATACACACATTTACACATGTGATAAAATTGCATAGACATACAATTACATAGAAACTGGGGAAATGTGAATAAGGATGACAGATTTTCAACCTCAATGTGCTGGTTATGTTATGTACAGTTTTGCAATACGTTACTGCTGGGGAAAAGTGGTGAAAAGGTACATGTGATTTCTCTGGATTACTTCTTATATCTGCATGAGAATCAACAAATATCTCAAAAATTTTAATTTAAAAAAGTGGGAAAATTGCCTTTACAAGATTACACAATGATGCCACAACTTGCCCACTTTACCTACCCATGTCACCTGCCTGGTGCTTGTAGGATTTTGAGCGTGTAACTTCTGACTTATGTGTGCATGCCTACGGTTTACAAGGGATCCTTTCAGAGAGAGTTCTGAAGATTTGGAGCTAGACATAGAACAGAATCAAAGGAAGCACAAACCAGTGGTCAAAATAAAGCACATAAAAGCGGACTACAGGCCAGGCGCTATGGCTCACTCCTGTAATCCCAGCACTTTGGGAGGCCAAGGCAGACAGACCATGAGGTCAGGAGGTCAAGACGATCCTGGCTAACACGGTGAAACCCCGTCTCTACTAAAAATACAAAAAATTATCCAGGCGTGGTGGCACGTACCTGTAGTCCCAGCTACTTGGGAGGCTGAGGCAGGAGAATCGCTTGAAACCAGGAGGTGGAGGTTGCAGTGAGCCGAGATCGCACCACTGCACTCCAGCTTGGGCGACAGAGTGAGACTCCGTCTCAAAAAACAAAGCAAAACAAAACAAAACAAAACAAAACAAAAAAATCAGACTACAAAATTTCTCCAGAGATAAATGTCTTTGATGTTTTCTAATGACAAAAGAGTTGGCAAAGCCAGAACACACAATAATATTGCTAATTGTTGTTATCTTTGCAGGTGCATTCCTGCCCGAAGAGTACAGTGGACCCACACATTTTCTGCTCAGTTTCTTCTTTCCCCTATGAACTTGGAGAATGACGTTCAGGGTAAAATCTGGTTTGGTCCGGCCTCACAGAAGTGCATCGTAATAGAATATGCTCTGTAAGTATCCTACCATCTACTCAAATATATTTGCCCAGTAATTAGCACATATACTAAGCAAGGAGGTTGCCCAAATAATGAATATGATAGAGAAGTAGAAAATACCTTTAAAGCGCCCATTTTGATCCATGGTCTTAATTTGTTATGATATTAAAAAGATGCCAAATAATTAAATAAAATACTAATTTGAAGGGCAAAAAAAAAAAAAAAAAACAACCCCACCCATTTATCTTCTCAAATTTGAACAAATGCCAAATGAGGGCCAGATCCTGCTGTCTACTTGTGCTTCCTTTGCTTCCTGAATCCAGGAAGGAGAAAAGAGAAGTCAGGAATGTGATGTGTTTTCCACGCCTCAGGTCTGCCTCCATGTGTCAGCGACGTGTAGGCTTCCAAAGTCTCAGCATTTAAAAGGGTTGACTTCAGAGCTCTGAGGGAGGGGACAAAGCTCTATTTGTTTATAGTCTTTAGCTCTAATTACATAATTACATTGGAAGGGGGACTGACTTCTGAGGAATAGCAACAAAGCAAACAAGGTAAAATTGTAATAGGTCAGTCCAGTTATTATCTTTCTAGCCCTCCAGTGTGTGTGTGTGAGCACGCGCATGTGTGTGTCACACACGTGCACACCGGCATATGGTATTAACAGATAAAGCCAGCCGTGTGTATGCAAGGCTATCATTTTACCTTTAGTGCACTGTGACACCCTGATTATCTCATTGAAATTGGAAGGTAAACGGGATGTTGTAGAAACAGAGGCTCTCATGGCAGGTAATAGAGCAGATCTAATTAGCCTCAAGTACCTGTAATCCTAGGAGATATACTTGGAGATAAAAGCTAGGGAGAGTCCCTCAGGTATGACTAATAGGTCCCCAGCCAGGTTGGCTCTGGATCAGGTGTAGTGGGACAGCTGTGCTGAATGTGCCCTATTGATCTGAGAAAGGCTACACTTTCTGCCACAAATTGAATTCAAATTGCTTAAGAGAGGAAGGCATCAGGTGCTACTTGCTTCATATTTCAAAATAATTTTCTTCCATACCAGTTTGGTAGTAGATTGTTTAGTCTTCTGTAAAAATCTGTCTTTTAAAACATATCCTCTGAAATCTTATATACGATTTCCTTTAAAACCATTTTTTAATGCCATGGACAAGTGCATTCTAGACACGTTTCATATTTTTGAAAACTGAAGAGTTTTCTTAAAGATTATGGCCCATGCCTACTAGGTGATATTTTATAAAAGGAAATTTTGTTATTCACTTTAAGGAGAAGAAAGATATGTTTCCCTGTTTATTAATTAATTATAAGAACTTAATTAGAAACACAGAAAACAAAACACAGGATTTTAAACAGGGGATAATCTAAAATAATGTTTTCCAAGTACCTGTCATCCTAGAAGATGTACTGGGTTTGAATACAAGTAACATTTTTTACTTAAAGAAAATGTTATGTTAACCCCTCCCCCCAACACACACACACACACACACACACACACACACACACACACACACACACTTCCCTGGGCCCCCAACAACATAATCAGAAGCTGATAAAAGGAGGACCCTTGGCATGAAGCCAGGGTAAAACCCAAGCCCCATCCATTTGCTCCCCCCTAGGCATGTTGCCTCTTACTGAGGTCTTTGAGGCCTTGGAGCCTCTCAAAAGAATCTAAAAATCACTGAACTGGGCAATGTTTGGTTTTTAAGTGGGGCCATATTTAAACAATTTCAGAAGATTGACAGTCGAAGTTGTTTTAAAAATCTATTTCTGAATGAGATATCATAATATCTCCTAAGTCAATTAAGTATACATCACAGCCAGAAAATTCTTCGTAAGCACTGTAGCTTGTTATTCTGTTCAGACATTGGTGATTATCTCATTCATTCAACAAATATTCATTGATTATCTACTATATACCAGACACATTTCTAGATACTGAAGAGACGTAAGTGAACAAAACAGAAAAAAACTACACTTAATAAGGAGTTTATGCATTCCAGTAGAGAAGACATAGACAGTATGTAATTAGCAACATAAAAATAAAATTTTCGGTAATTGAAGACACAAGTGTGATGAAAATAATAGAACCATCATAAAAGGAGTTGAAAGTACTGAAAGGGCTAGAAGAAATTTTAAATGGGATACTTAAGGTAAGCTTAATTTAGAAAGTCATATTTGAATAGAGACATTGATGAGGGGAAAGAGATAGCCACATAGATCTCTAGAGACAAATACATATTTAACAGTATTTTGCATATAGTAAACACTCAAATGCTGTAGATTATGTTTATTCTTGAGTTAGCCAAAAAATTCTGGATCATACTTCAGGGAGCCAATACAAGGTTACTATCCTCAAATATAAAGAGGGGCAATATAATAAACGTAAAAATGTTTGTAAAATGTAAAAAATACAAATAAAATAAATTTAAAATAAAATGTGTTGTAGCTATTGTTTAGCTACGTAGTATAGGGTAAAAGAGAAGGCAAGCCAGCATTTCATAGCATTTTTCATTTAAGGTTTTCCATGTGTTTCACAGTGCTACATTCCCATTTCTCAGTATAAACCTGGAGTAGGAAAGTTAAGTTGGCAAGTTAACTAGTGGTGAATTACAACCAGTGCATATCAGTGCACAAAAGCTGATGGTGTGCATCTCTTCCTGATGCCCCTTAGTAACTTCATGTTGACATATAAAAATCAGCCATGAGTAGGTACACTCATACCATAGAAATTGAAAAACACCACAAATCTGGCCTGTCCTCATCCCAAGAGCTGGCTATTAAACATTCACCAGCACATCGCAGAAAATAACTTACCGAGTCAATTTTAAATAGCCTCAACCTACTGCTTTTGTCTTAAAATGTATGCCAATTTTCTCAAGAATTCTTCATTAACAGTCTTATTAGATCAGTTGCCAGGTTTTTTTAATACAATGTGCATATGTATGTGTGTGTTTACTCTAAGTAATTTGACCCACTTAGTGTCCTGTTTATTCCTAGTCAGCATGACCAGAAGAAACTACCCCTGATTATATAAAGTTAGAGCACAACACTTCTTGTAATGTTCATTTTAAATGAGGACTTGATCTATCGTTTGGAATTCTTCTGTTGTATGTGGAGGACAATTAGAATATTAAATGGAAGTAAAAGTGACACATTGAAGCATAAAAATAGTCTGATTACAAAAATTACACAGTGCAAAACAGAACAAATTTTAAGAGGAATGGTGTAGTTTGTAGAAGACCAAATATTTTGCAGACAATGTGTGAAACTTACAAATAATCAAAATAACTGAAGAAATACCATTTGGAGGGGTATGAATTGTCTACTTTACCTATATTTACCTTTGACTCAGCAATTCAGAGTCCACAACTAATTCATATGAGCATTTTCTGTCATCCAAAAATACATCTGTTTCCAATCCACTTTCAGGATTTAGAAGACATTTTTGAGCCTGAGCATATAGGAAAGATTGATAATATATGAGAGAATTTCTCAAATTCTCAAGATTTGATGTTTCAATGTTTGATCTTCCTTAGTGAATGTTTGTCATTAAATCAACAATGTTTCTAAGATAAGTTGAAAGGCTGTTAGGCTTATTACTATAATACACCTACAGGGGCTTAAAATTGGATCAGGTTTGTTTGAAAAGGATGCAAGATAAAAACTAGACAGCTGCTTTTTTCTCACTCATTTCACTCTATTACTGGTTAACTTAGTGGAAAAGTGTAAATTTTCCAGGGGTTTTAGGTTGAAGGTATCTCAGCCAATGTAGATGTGTGCTTAACTTGAGGTCTAATTTAACTCCCATGTAGTATTGATCGGTGTAGACCACCGAGGACACTTACAAACTTCCTTTGCCAAAGGTAGGCAATGGTGTAAGAGTAAAGTGTAATAAATGCCCCTGTCCAGTTCTGTGTCGATATCCAGCTGCATTTTGTGTGAGTGTGTGTGCCATTTTGAGTGCATCAGTATTTCACGTTTATTGTAGTGTGATGAAACACCTTTCAAAATGGCCAGAGGGACATTCAGCAGTAAGCATTTAGGCAGTACAAATTGGAGTGAACAGGAGGACAGTTAGCAGGGAATATTTCTGAGGTCAAAGTAGTCTGGGTAGGAGCTGAATCAGCTAAATGCAGAGTTAAGAGCTACAGTACCTGCCGCAAAGTAAATATAGATTACCTTCTTGATGACAAATTGATCCACTAGACAAGGATCTTTCAGACAAAGAGACAAGTGCAAAAAACTAAGTAATTCACACTGACCAATCTTTTTTAACCCTTTTCTCTGCAACCATCCTATCTCCCGGTAACTTTCTACTTCAGATCATTTCAGTCTAAACTAATCTTTTGAACAAATAAATACCTATGTAAACTTAAAATTCTAACCTATTGAGAGCCGAGTTGTTAACCCACTTATACTGGACGTTGCAATTTTTTGAATTTTTGCAATCAGACCTTGGCAATGACCTTGAGCAGTAGGATATAAATAACTCCCACATGCTTAGCATTCCAATAATGGAACACTAGGCATAAATGGGTTAATTCCTCCTCATTTAACTTATGATTCTATACAATCACTACATCAATGGTAACTTCTAAATCTCAAGAGTTTAGTGAGCCTTATTATGCAATTGTTCTGAGAATCACATCTGAAAAACTTATACGTGGGTGGAAAATCAGCCTAATGGAGAAGTTCCATTTTGAATTAATTCACCAAGTGTTGTTGAGCCTCTACTATGTGCCTGCCTGCTGTAAGTTTATTTAGATAGTGGCTACCTTCAAAAGATCTATTTTTCCGATTTATTAAGATGGACAAAATTTCATTGGAAAGGAATTGGGCAACAAGGTGGATAATGCCTTCATTCACTTAGTTAGCTAACATTTATTGAATGACTATTCCAAACAAGGATCAATGGCAGATGATGGGATATTAGCCTCAAATACTTAATTTCTTCCTACAAGGAGTTCTAGGTTTATTTGGGGAAAATAAGCTGTCAAATATTCAAAATAGAGTATGGTAGATGATACAAAAAGGATCTTAGAAAGAAGGTAGGTGGTCAAGTTACCCAAAATGGTGGGTGAGAAGAGATCACAGAAGGTTTTCTAGAAAAGATCGTAAAATGAGAAAGTAGAAGCTGATAGGGTTAAGAAGGGAAAAGACAGAGTTAAGAAGGGAGGATGAGGTAAGGGGAAAATATTCAGAGAAAGCGGTGGCACATATAATGCATCAACAGGGCACGTTCAGGAATGTAGAAATCGTTTGGCATTGCTACAAACAAGCACAAATAAACAATAGCAACTAAGGGTGGGTGAAGGGGAGCACATGAAAGAGTAGTATAACCAACTGATATCCCTACTGGAAGTTGGCAGCATAGAAATTATATAAAATTAGAAACAACAAGCTAATGAAATCACTCCCTGTCTTAAGGAAGGTTAAGATCTAGCATCACACTGTGGTAATTGAGATGACTTTAAAAAGAAATAAACGTGAGCTGGACAACTTGCAGAAAGTTTCTCCACAAACTACTAGAAATGTAAATGTTCCACTGCATCTAAGAAATCATAGTGGTAAGGTTTTAAATAGACCCATACTGGGAAGTACAATTTTTCAGACAGTTTCTTAAAGTCAAATTGTGAATATTACTGATACAATTTTACTTTTCATTTGGAAATGAATTCACTGTAAGTAACATTTTTTCAGATGCTAATTGTTGTTGGATGTTGATGGTCACCTGTATGGAATCAAATATGCCAAGGGAATTGAAAGAACAGTCCAAAGAATGAATCCTCTATGTTTTACAAACACGGATTCCTAGTAGATCCAAAGATACATCCAAGAAGATGCAGAATTTCCTCTTCAGACAGTACAGATTGTATTAAATGTGTGTTAGTTGCTCACTGTGATTACAAACCTAGTATTTCATAGGCTATACTTACAAGAGAATACAGACTTACATTGGAGATACCATGGGTTCACTTCCAAACCACCACAATAAGGTGAATATAGCAATAAAATGAGTTGCCCAAATTTTTTGGCTTCCAGGTGGATACAAAAGTTATGCTTGCACTATACTGTAGTCTATTAAGTGCACAATAGCACTATGTTTAAATTCACAATGTACATGTCTTAATTAAAAATACTTTATTGTGGCTGTGTGTGGTGGCTCTCACCTGTAATCCCAGAACTTTGGGAAGCCGAGGCAGGAAGATCACTTGAGCTCAGGAGTTTGAGACCAGCTTGGCCAACATGGTGAAACCCCATCTCTACTAAAAATACAAAAATTAGCCAGACGTGGTGGCACACGCCTGTAATCCCAGCTACTAGGGAGTCTGAGGCAGGAGAATCACTTGAACCCAGGAGGCAGAGGCTGTAGTGAGCCCAGATCATGCCACTATGCCACTGCACTCCAGCCTAGGCAACAGGACAAGACTCCATCTCAAAAAGAAAAACAAAAGAGAAAAAAAAAACTTTATTGCTAAAAAATGCCAACAATCACCTGAGCCTTTGGAGTCCTAATTTTATCACTGGTGGAAGGTTTTACTTCAATGTTGATGGCTGCTGACTGATCAGGTTGGTGGTTGCTGGAGGTTGAAGTGGCTGCGGCAATTTCTGAAAATAAGACAACTATGAAGTTTGCCACATAACTGACTCATCTTTTCACTAAAGATTTATCTGTAGTATATGATGTTATGTGATAGCATTTTACCCACTAAATAAAACTTCTTTCAAAATTGGAATGAATCCTCTCAAACCCTGTTGCTCCTTTATCAACTAAGTTTATGAAATATTCTAAATCCTTTGTTGTCACTTCAACAATGTTCATAGCATCTTCACCAGGAGTAGATTCCATTTCAAGAAATCACTTTTCTTTGTAGCTCCTCATTTCTTCATTTAATCACGAGACTGCAACAATCCATTCGTGTTCAGGCTCGACTTCGAATTCCAGTTCGCTTGCTGTTTCTACCACATTTGCAGTTACATTCTCTACTGCAGTCTTGAATCTCCCAAGTCATCCATGAGGATTGGAATCAACTTCTTCTAAACTCCTGTTAACATTGATATTGTGACCTCCTCTCATAAATCATGAATGTTCTTCATGGCATTTAGAATGATGAATTCTTTCCAGAAGATTTTCAGGTGACTGCCCAGATTCATGAGAGGGACCACTATCTATTGCAGCCAGACCTTTACAAAATGTTTCTCTTAAACAATAAGACTTGAAATTAGAAATTACTGTTTGATTCCTGGGCTGCAGAATGGATGTTGTTTTAGCAGGCATGAAAACATTAACCTCATTGTACATCACAATCAGAGCTCTTGGGTGATCAGGCGCATTGACGATGAGCACTAATATTTTAACGAAATCTCTTTTTTTGAGCAGTAGATTTCAACGGTGGGCACAAAATACTCAGTAAACCATGTTTTATACAGAAGTGCTGTTCTCCAAGATTTGTTCATTCATTTATAGAGCACAGGGAGAGTATATTTATCATAATTCTTAAGGGTCCTAACATCTTTGGAATGGTAAACAAACATTACCTTCAACTTAAAACCACTAGCTGCATTAGCCTCTAACCAGAAAATCAGACTGTTGTTTGAGCTTTGAAGCCAGGCGTTGACTTCTCCTTTCTAGCTGTGAATGCCCTAGATGGCATCTTTTTCCAATATAAGGCTGTTTTTTTTTTTTTTCTACAGTAAAAATCTGTTGTTTAGATAGCCACCTTTATCAATGATCTCAGCTAGATCCTCTGGATAACAAGCTGCAGCTTCTCCATCAGTATTTGCGGTTTCACCTTGCACTTTTATGTTATGGAGATGGCTTCTTTCCTTCATCCTCAAGAACCCATCTCTGATAGCTGCAAACTCTTCTGCAGCTTCCTCCCCTCTCTCAGTCTTCATAGAATCAGAAAGAATTAGGTCTTTGCTTTGGATTAGGCTTTGGCTAATGGGTACCTTGTGACTAATCTGATCTTCTATCCAGATCATTAAAACTTTCAGCAATAAGGCTGTTTGACTTTCTTATCATTTGTGTGTTCATTGGAGTAACACTTTTAACATTGTTCAGTAACTTTTCCTTTGCCTCCACAACTTGGCTACCTGGTGCAAGAGGCCTAGCTTTTGGCCTATCTCAGATTTCCACTTGCCTTCCTCACTAAACTTAATCTTTTCTAACTTTTGATTTAAAATGAGAGACTTGCAACTCTTCCTGTCACTTGAACACTTAGAAGCCATACTAATATTATTAATTGGCATAATTTTAACATTGTTCTATTTCAGGGAATAGAGAGACTGGAGGAGAGGGAAGGAGGGGAATGGACAGTTGGTGGAGAAGTCAGAACATACAATATTTATTGATTAAATTCACCATGTGGGTGCAGTTTGTGGTGCCCTAAAATAGTTACAAAGTAACATCAAAGATTACTGATCGCAGATCACAATGAAAATACAATATTAACGACAAAATTTGAAATATTTTGAAAACTACCAAAATGTGACACAGAGACACGAAGTAAGCTCATGCTGTTGGAAAAAAATGACACTAATAGATTTGCTTGATGCAGGGCTGCCAGAAATCTTCCATTTGTAAAAAAATAAAATATCTTTTCAAAAAACCAGCTCCTGGATTCATTGATTTTTTGAAGGGTTTTTTAATGTCTCTATCTCCTTCCGTTCTTCTCTGATCTTAGTTATTTCTTGCCTTCTGCTAGCTTTTGAATGTGTTTGTTCTTGCTTCTCTAGTTCTTTTAATTGTGACGTTAGGGTGTCAATTTTAGATCTTTCCTGCTTTCTCTTGTGGGCATTTAGTGCTATAAATTTCCCTCTACATACAGATCAACAAAACTCATAGACAACTAGCAAGACTAATAAAGAAGAAAAGAGAGAAGAATCAAATAGATGCAACAAAAAATGATAAAGGGGATATCACCACTGATCCTACAGAAATACAAACTACCATCAGAGAATAATATAAACACCTCTATGCAAATAAACTAGAAAATCTAGAAGAAATGGATAAATTCCTGGACACATATACACTGCCAAGACTAAACCAGGAAGAAGTTGAATCCCTGAAGAGACTAATAACAGGCTCTGAAATTGAGGCAATAATTAGTAGCCTACCAAACAAAAAAAGTCCAGAACCAGATGGATTCACAGCCGAATTCTACCAGAGGTACAAGGAGGAGCTGGTACCATTCCTTCTGAAACTATTCCAATCAATAGAAAAAGAAGGAATCCTCCCTAACTCATTTTATGAGGCCAGCATCATCCGGATACCAAAGCCTGGCAGAGACACAACAAAAAAAGAGAATTTTAGACCAATATCCCTGATGAACATAGATGCAAAAATCCTCAATAAAATACTGGCAAACCGAATCCAGCAGCAAATCAAAAAGCTTATCCACATGATCAAGTGGGCTTCATCCCTGGGATGCAAGGCTGGTTCAACACATGCAAATCAATAAAGGTAATCCAGCATATAAACAGAACCAAAGACAAAAACTACATGATTATCTCAATAGATGCAGAAAAGGCTTTTGACAAAATTCAACAGCCCTTCATGCTAAAAACTCTCAATAAATTAGGTATTCAAGGGACGTATCTCAAAATAATAAGAGCTGTTTATGACAAACCCATAGCAAATATCATACTGAATGGGCAAAAACTGGAAGCATTCCCTTTGAAAACTGGCACAAGACAGGGATGCCCTCTCTCACCACTCCTATTCAACATGGTGTTGGAAGCTCTGGCCAGGGCAATCAGGCAGGAGAAAGAAATAAAGGATATTCAAACAGGAAAAGAGGAAGTCAAATTGTCCCTGTTTGCAGATGACATGATTGTATATCTAGAAAACCCCATCGTCTCAGCCCAAAATCTCCTTAAGCTGATAAGCAACTTCAGCAAAATCTCAGGATACAAAATCAATGTGCAAAAATCACAAGCATTCTTATGCACCAATAACAGATAAACAGAGAGCCAAATCATGAGTGAACTCCCATTCACAATTGCTTCAAAGAGAATAAAATACCTAGGAATCCAATTTACAAGGGATGTGAAGGACCTCTTCAAGGAGAACTACAAACCACTGCTCAATAAAATAAAAGAAGATACAAACAAATGGAAGAACATCCCATGCTCATGGGTAGGAAGAATCAATATCGTGAAAATGGCCATATGGCCCAAGGTAATTTATAGATTCAATGTCATCCCCATCAAGCTACCAATGACTTTCTTCACAGAATTGGAAAAAACTACTTTAAAGTTCATATGGAACCAAAAAAGAGCCCACATTGCCAAGACAATCTTAAGCCAAAAGAACAAAGCTGGAGGCATCACACTACCTGACTTCAAACTATACTACAAGGCTACAGTAACCAAAACAGCATGGTACTGGTACCAAAACAGAGATATAGATCAATGGAACAGAACAGAGCCCTCAGAAATAATACCACACATCTACAACCATCCGATCTTTGACAAACCTGCCAAAAACAAGAAATGAGGAAAGGTTTCCCTATTTAATAAATGGTGCTGTGAAAACTGGCTAGCCATATGTAGAAAGCTGAAACTGTATCCCTTCCTTACACCTTGTGCAAAAATTAATTCGAGATGGATTAAAGACTTACATGTTAGACCTAAAACCATAAAAACCCTAGAAGAAAACCTAGGCAATACCATTCAGGACATAGGCATGGGCAAGGACTTCATGTCTACAACACCAAAAGCAATGGCAACAAAAGCCAAAATTGACAAATGGGATCTCATTAAACTAAAGAGCTTCTGCATAGCAAAAGAAACTACCCTCAGAGTGAACAGGCAACCTACAGAATGGGAGAAAATTTTTGCAACCTACCCATCTGACAAAGGGCTAATATCCAGAATCTACAATGAACTCAAACAAATTTACAAGAAATAAACAGACAACCCCATCAAAAAGTGGGCGAAGGATACGAACAGACACTTCTCAAAAGAAGACATTTATGCAGCCAAAAGACACAAGAAAAAATGCTCATCATCACTGGCCATCAGAGAAATGCAAATCAAAACCACAATGAAATACCATCTCACACCAGTTAGAATGGTGATCATTAAAAAGTCAGGAAACAACAGGTGCTGGAGAGGATGTGGAGAAATATGAACACTTTTACACTGTTGGTGGGACTGTAAACTAGTTCAACCATTGTGGAAGACAGTGTGGCGATTCCTCAAGGATCTAGAACTAGAAATACCATTTGACCCAGCCATCCCATTACTGGGTATATACCCAAAGGATTATAAATCATGCTGCTATAAAGGCACATGCACAAGTATGTTTATTGTGGCACTATTCACAATAGCAAAGACTTGGAACCAACCCAAATGTCCATCAATGATAGACTGGATTAAGAAAATGTGGCACCTATACACCATGGAATACTATGCAGCCATAAAAAATGGTGAGTTCATGTCCTTTGTAGGGACATGGAGCTGGAAACTATCATTCTCAGCAAACTATTGCAAGAACAAAACAACAAACACTGCATGTTCTCACTCACAGGTGGGAATTGAACAATGAGAACACAGGGACACAGGAAGGGGAACATCACACACCGGGGCCTGTTGTGGGGGTGGGGGGAGGGGGGAGGGAAAGCATTAGGAGATATACCCAATGCTAAATGACGAGTTAATGGGTGCAGCACACCCACATGACACATGTATACATATGTAACAAACCTGCAGGTTGTGCACATGTACCCTAGAACTTAAAGTATAATAAAAAAAAATCTGCAAAACACAATGAAGCAAAGTGCAATAAAACAAGGTATGCTTGTATCCACTTTGATTAAATAAACTAAGATAACAAGAATTTACTTATTTGCCTAAAATTGATTTCTCTGTTTTAAGGCTAGTTACCCTTGTTTAGGGGACACATCTAATATACCACACATAGCAGGTGACCACCCCCTTCAAACTCATCAAATTAGAAATATTCAAATTTATTCTGATGGGACTCTGTCCTAGCTACTTTTTGTCAACGCTCAGGTAGGAAAAGAAAATGAAGAGAACCACTGAAGTCAGAACACAGTCCTGGATTTTCTTCACGAACTGAAGATGGAATTTGTATCTTGTAATTAGCTAGTGCCTAGAGACATTTTGGAATTATGTCCTAGGGGTTAACGGCATGCTCAATATTTTAGCCAATCAAGTAATTAAATGATTAAAGTTATTGCATATCATAAAGTAATATTTGTAATTAATATTTTAAATATTAGCAAGAAATGTGTAAATAAATACATGATATGAATGAATAAATCAATTAAAAACTTTGCCAATAGAAGGGGCTCACATATATCCACATAAACAACTTATTTTTAGTAGAATGCCAAAATTTGTGAACTTAGAAGTATGATCTCAGTATCTGAAATATCACTTCAAATTCTCTGTTACTTTAATCTTATACTAACTTGCAGAGAAATTTGAGGATAATAAAATTTCCTTCTGTTGGTAAGAAAGGAGCGAGAGAGAGAGGGAGAAAGAGAGAGAAATGAAAGAGACATGGAGAGAGAGATGATGAGAGAGAGGGACAGAGTGGGAGAGTCATTGCTAAGAAAAAGATAGCTACCCATCCATTTTATGTCAATGAAAGAAATATTACAAGCTGCCTGGCTCTAATTTCTACTAATAAGCAAAATATCAGAAGAATTTGCTGCATGCTTTTTTTAAAAATCATGTTTTCATGTACGTAATCACATCTGTGAACATATTAGGGGGATAGAGTTACTAGCATATGTTTCCAAGTGTGTTCCATTATATTCCTACTGCAATTTTCTGAACACTAATTTACAACTGTACTTCAAGCTTCCTCTAGCTACACTGATGTAAATACTGTATATATTTCAGGAATTCTGTACTAAATTATATATTTGATAGCAGAGTGACTGCTAGCTCAGTAAACATTGCATAGCTGCATTGTATTCATCGTGGTGCCCCATGATTTCTGCACAGCAGGCACACAGAGGAGGGGAATTTGTATACATTAATATTTTGAAGTCAAATCCTTGAATACCCTGTCAATCATTTCACATCCTAATTGGAGAAGCTCCAGCATCCCCTACTATCATGAGTACGGGGAGAAAGGCCCATTTTAGAGATGAACTGATTGAGGTAATGATAAATAGAAATGATTTATTAAAATAACATCAAATCAAGAGCATGAAGAGGAAGGGAAGATAAATCGCAGCTTATTGATTGTAGTAGCTTCAACCCAGGCCTCCCAGTGAGTGTCAAAGGTATAGAGCCTCCTAGAGAAAATGGCTGCTAACTAGGAGGCAATGACTAGGCCGGTATGAGGCAATACAGCCATCTCACCTCTGAGCATCCTATACTTCACCTTTGATGCCAGAGATGCTCATTTCTTCCCACTCTATTTTCTTTGCTCCAGGCAATGGCTAAAGAAAAAAGAGCTGTTCACAGGTCTCTAACGTATCTGGGCATCTGTATACACTGATGGAAAATATTTTCAGTTCAATCACTTTGAAAGCCTGGATTATAGAAGAGCAGGAGGACTTGTAGCATTGACAACAAAGTTTGTTGTTGTTGTTTTCTTTTATCAACATGAAGCTCAGTTAGCAATTGCACCAAGCATTGATTTCACTGGCCTGCTTGTTGGCACTACAAGGGTCTTTTTAGCTGTACAACACATACATATGCTGAACAGCCTTTGATTTTCTTTTTCTTAGAAGTTTGTTTTACAGGATAGGTCATTGCCAGCATGTGTTGCTCCAGTCATTATATAAGATCTATATTATCACTTCGTATTTAAAAATCACCTGTTCCTACCCTTTCGTTTATCTCATCTTCTGCCAATCCTTGGGCATTTGCTGGTTTTTCCCAACACCAGTCTTAGAAGTTCTGAGTTTCATGCGCAGAGCTACTATAAAAACGTATCAGTAAACAATTCTCCTGGGAACTCTCCTCTCACTGCTTCTTGGGCATGCTGTGGAACACTCATTATTGTGAAGGGAGTTATGCACGTGCTTCAAGCAGAGAACAGAACCCTTAGTGTAAACTTTTTGACAGGAGTCTCTGAAACAACTTTTCAAAACCCGTGTCTCGTTTATTTTCCTCTTTTTTCCTCCTGGTTTGATGTCAGTCATCAATCGAGCAGGAGACAACTCATTTCATTTCTGTGACACACCATGATGAACTTGTGTTGCAACCCTGACTTATTTTGAGAACTTCAATTTCTCAAGCTGAAAGCTTGAATGTCCCATGGTTGGAAGAGCTATTGATCCGATGTAGAAGGACGGCTCAAGAGGAACTGATACATTCCTTACAGCACTTTCTTTTTCCCTTGCCTCTCTGGCTGCTACATAACATAGTCTTTCTCAGAGTTTGTTGTCATCTACAAACTTTGATTCTAGTATCACGTATATATTCTCTTTTTACACCATTTTTTTTCACTATAAGCTTGTCTTCCTGTGGTAATGCTCCATTTCATTTCAGATGAATTTTCTATTAACTTATGAATTAGTTATTCTTGGTCTCTTTTACAACTTGCTGTAGAAAATCTAGGCATCAAGACTAAGCGATATTTTCAATGTGCTTTCCTAGTCATTTTAGAAGAATGTATAATATTTCTCTCAAGTACAATATGCTAATATGCCAATAAAAATTTTAAAAATTTAAGCTATTATTTAAAACAGCAACTAAAAAATCTGAAAATAACCCCAAATGGGTATCAAGAAGCAGATTTTTTTTTTTTTTTGAGATGGAGTCTCTCTCTGTTGCCCAGGCTGGAGTGCAGTGGCATGATCTACGCTCACTGCAACATCTACCACCCAGGTTCATGCCATTCTCCTGCCTCAGCCTCCCAAGTAACTGGGACTACAGGTGCCCGTCACCACGCCTGGCTAATTTTTTTTTATTTTGTATTTTTAGTAGAGACGGGATTTCACCGTGTTAGCCAGGATGTTCTCCATCTCCTGACCTTGTGATCCACCCGCCTCGGCCTCCCAAAGTGCTGGGATTACAGGTGTGAGCCACTGCGCCCAGCCAAGAAGTAGATTTTTTAAAACGTGATATACAAAATTACTGGTAGAAATATTATGCTTCATGCTCTTTTTGATAGGGGAAGGTGGCTACACTCTGCCTGAAATTCCAGAGAATTGGACTACCTTAGCCTGAAATTTCTTTCTTCAGTTAAAAACAACATTGGTTTAGTGCTGGATGATAGTATTAGCACTCAATCTGTACCCACTTGTGACAACAAAAGAGAATATAAGCATTTTACTTAGCAGACTTCATGGAAATTAATTTTCTTCCTAACATTTATTGCAATGACAATGAAGTGTTAAGCTCTGTGCAAAGAATTTTGATGCATTTGTTCATCTAGTCTTCATAGGTCCTCTATAAAGTACATCTTATTATGATATATATTTTACAGGTGGAGATACTTGAATTCATAACTTATTCAAGCTCCATAGGTAACGGGGTAAAGCAACTATTGAAATGAACTCTATCTGACTTTGGAACATATAGGGTCCCATAAGGAAACAGGATTCATCTTAAATAAAGATTTTGATAAAGGAACCACCTATATACCTGTGGCCAAGTTTAAGAGAACCACAAAGATATGGAGGTGTGTAGAGATGATCAAGAATGCATGTCATTAACATCCCTGGGGCTAAGTGGGTAAGAGGATCAAAGATCATAGTTACTGGAGAGTAGTAAGAGCTGGAGCTAGGAGAAGCATCCAGAAAGATCTACTTCAGAGACAGAGGCATGGCACCTAGACCTCTCTCTTTCTCCACCCTCTCACCTCCTCCTGCCTGCATTCTCCATGGGCTGCACCCTACTAGAAGCCAGCCCACAAAGGAGCCTGGGTGATGCAATTTCCAGAACCAGTATTTTAGATCTCAAAATAGGGCAAAGAAGGGAAGAGCAAGAATGGGGGGCAGGTGGCAGAGGTGACAAACAAATACATACACTAACCAATTGGCTCTCTGCATAGCAAGAATGTCCCAGCTTTCAAATGGAGGTTCAGCCTTTGCCTCCTGTGGTCCATTTCTGGGAGATAATTCACCTTGCAAAGAAAAGGCAATATCCCCCAAAAATATCTGACAAACCCTATTAAAAAATAAAATATTTTCATGTGCATGCACCCCAGTTTTGTGGTGTTTTTTTTTTTCATTCTTGAAATAAACTAAGCATGTATTATATAACATTTCATTTAAATAGGGTTTAACTTAACATGTTCCTGGGAACTTTAGTTTTATTATGTATAAAATGTGTTTAAAAAGTACAAATAATTTTGAACTATAACTATATAACTAATGACTAAAATACGTGCCTGGAAACTTTTTATTTCTTTATTTTTTCACAAACTAGTAACTTACAATGTTCTCTCAATTGATCATATTATAATATGTTGTCATGGTCTTAATTTAGTTATTGGCCTCTCTTAAGCTATGGATAAATAATGATTAAACTACATAAAGATAAGGAACAATCACTGAATGACTTAACCTGTCATTCCCAACTCTTTGTATTCACACTCTAGCCTTTCCTTTCTCCCTTGTCCTTTAGGATTCTTCACCATCCTATGTGGGAGCCAGCTTTAGTTCCTCCTGCACGAGGCCAGGGATGTGTATTCTGTGCTTTTGCACCCTCGTTGCTCCAGTTTGAATGCCTATTCTGCATAGTCAGAACTGCTTTCCAACTAGTTTTCCTGTAAATAGTCTCCCTATATTTAATACTGCCTACCCCCCACTGCTGACAGGGTTATCTTAATAAAAAGCAAATATGATTACACTCTTTGTCCTCCTAATAGCCTATTCTGACTCTCAAATGCCCACAGGATAAAAAATCTAAGCTTCTTAACTTGGCAAACAACTAATTTGCAGTCATTTTCAAACTCACTTCTCTGGCCTCATTTTCTCCAGCATTGTCTCCCGCACACTCTATGCCCATCCAAAGCAAGGCCATAGGCTATTATTTCCTTCTGGCTTTGTCTATAATGTGCCTGGAGATCTCTTCTTTTCCTTAATCCCTTTGACAAACTCCATTCACCCATCTATCCATTTATACATCCATCCATCCACCCATCCATCTATCTGTCCATTTCCTTATCCATCTGTCTTTCTATTCATCTATTAATCCATTCAGTCTCTGATTAATTCATTCATTCCCCCAATTTAATTATCAATTAACCCCTAATTTTGATCAAGGAATCTTCTAGGAGCTGGAGATTCAATGGTGGACAGAGCCAGACAGCCCATGTCAGCATGAGGTTTGGTCTAGCTGATGGTGATAGATATATATTAAACAACCTCATCACTGTGATTACAAACAAAGATAAATATTGTTATGAAGAAAAAAAAAGTCCCATGAGAGGACTTAGCAAGGCCATCTGCCTTTGACTAATGCTGATAGTTAGAGGGGTCCACACAAGAAATCTCTCCTGAGAAAATGATTCTTAAGCTAAGATATGAAGATGGGAAGGAGATAACTTGGCTAGAATGGGAAGAGAAAAGAGAAACATATCAAGTAGAGAGAATGCATAGGCAAAAACCTCGTAGCAGACAAGAACATGACACATTTGAGAAGAAGAGTAAACAATGGACCAGAGACAGCTAAAAGGGAAGATGTACAAGAATTAAATGAAGAGAAGAGATAAACAGATACGAGGCCATGCAAGAAATCGTGAACTCTGGGGAGGACGCTTTGGCTTTATCCAAATACCCATGTAAAGCTATTGTCTGTGGAAGGAAGAAAGGTGAGGTGATCAGGTTTCCACTTTATCACTTTGGTTACCGTCAGAAAACTGGAGAAGCATCAGGGTGGAAGCAAGACAAACAGTAAGAGGTTATTTCCATAGTCCAGTGAGAGAGGACAGTGACTTGAACATTGATGGGGTAGAAGAAATAGAGAAAAGAGAGCAGAATTATAAGATAATTGGGAAGAAATAGGCAAGATAAGATGAAGAAGATGGACTCAAGGACTACTTCAGGGTTTTGGACTTGGGCAGCTGGTAGATCCATTCACTGAGGCAAATATTTATTACGTGGCCCAGCTTAAATGTCATCTACATAAAATTTTCCTTGATTTTAATAGAGCAAATTTAAATGTTTTAATAGAGCAAATTTAATGTTTCTTCCCTATTCCCTGTGGCTACCACAAAGACTTATCCATAACTTATTGCTTATATGCTTCTTCCTTTTACTTGCACCTAGCATATAGTAGGGGCTCAATAATAATGAATGGATGCATAAACTTCTTTTATAGTTTATATAAAGAAGCTACTCTTCTAAAGTAAAGATACACACATTCAAATTACTGAATATGGGTGAAATCTAAGAGATTCTTTGGGCTAAGCCTGTTCTTTCTAAATAAAGTAATGGATGCCCTGGGATCTTAATTAATTTGTTTAGTTTTAAATATTTAGAAAATGTAGAGCTAGTCTAGGGCCCTTCTTCCCCTCTTCTTGTATGATGACTATTCTGCTTCTGTACTTGTCTCCTCTGGTGTTTCTTCCTGATGGTAAAGATAAGTCTACCTCCTCTGACTTTAATTATGGTTTTCCTCTAGGGTTAGTGACTTCTGTGCATTCTGGCTTGAGCATGACTGAACCACAGCATTTATACCCTATCTATAATTGTTTACAGATCAAGTCAACAAATAGGTACAGAAAAATAAAGGAGAATAAAATAGATATATTTAAGAAGCATAACGAGGAGTGAATTGATTTCTGTTACTGGGTATTTTATTAATTATAATTTAATATATAATGACAATCACAATTACATAGTGATGTCTATTTGAAGTGACTTTACAGATTACGTTTTGAAGGTATATTATGGGCATGATCTGGCAACTTTATTGCAATCTAAATTGAATTTTCTCTGCTGTCTCCTTCCCTCTATTCATCCCTGCCCCGTTTAACAGGTCTGGAATAGGATATCTGAAGTACAGTGACACATAAAAAGAGAAGAGAAGAAAGGTTATATACTTTCTTGTATTTGAACTAACCTTCATATTAGTCCTTTTTGTCTCCATATTCATGTTTGTAGATATAAAAATGTGCATTTCTCAATAGTGTGACAAAGTATTTCTAAATGTTATATATATGTTTTATATGTATAGACTTGTGTATATATGTATGTCTTAGCCAATCAAAGGCACAAAAAGTGTTATCCTCTCTCTAATTTTCTTACATCACCAAAAAGTAAACAAATCTTTCTTCTTGAAATCTAACATAATCAGAGGAAACACTGAGTACAGAAAGCAAGCCCTGCTCTAAGAGGGTAGTTGTTTAATAAAGGGGTGAGAACATGGAAGCTGTGTCTTGTAGCTTTTTCACAGGGTATTACACTGATGACAATAATGATTATGAATATCACAGTTACTGTTTATAATTTTTTTTACATATCTGGCATATGCCTCATTTTATTAATTCTCACTTAGGTGTACATATGATTTGTATCCTTGTTTAATGTATGAGGTAACTAAGATCTAAAAGAGAGAATCAAGTTACTTACTCAAGTTTTACAATCTAGAAGAGGTTGAATATTGATTTGGAAACCTCTCTCTAAGCTCCCAGAATCTGAAATCTTAGCAAGCCAATTCTCTATTAGTTATTCTTGAAATTCCAACTCAATGGTCCCAAGTAGTTTTCTGTTCACTTTTGTTTGATTTTCTTACTTGAAAAAATGTAAGGGTTTAAAATAACAAAGTCGTGACCATCTTTAGCTTGTCCACCCAGCACCTGATTCTCTGTGAATTGCCCTTCAGGGCTTCAGTGAACATGATCTCTGTGTTCTGTTTCTACAGTGGGCCCTTGCCTTCTAGGTGCAGGGCTGAACATTTGCTCCAAGACTGGTCAGCACATCTCCTTCCAAGGAATTTGAGAGAGAGAAAGAGCAGTATCTCTCTGATGCTGAAACATATGTCATGCAAAATTTGTCCATGCCCTTCCTCTGCCACCTGAAGAAGTAGCGAGTAGAGCACAGACTATAAGGGGAGGCTCTGTTCCAGTTATGACTGAATTCACAAAAACTTCTGTCCTACTTTATTTTATTTTTTGAGACATCTCAAGATCCTTATGATAAATTGCCTTTTCATTTTAGCTACTTCAAATTTGGTATCTTTAACTTTGAACCCAAGGGAAAATCTCAGCATACCTACTGTAGTCCTGAGCTAGTCTTCAAATTTTTGACTCTCATCATAATTAAATAAAAAGTCCTCTATCATCCATTATTAATTCATTATCAAATATGATCAAATATCTACTCTTTGACAGCATACTAAATATTGGGAATATAAATATAAAGAAAAAACAGTCCCTGCCTGAAAGAAATTGCCAGGAGATTGGGCTGGGTTGGGGGTTAGATTTTCTTACCTGACTCAGACCAGTCTTATTTGGGGAGCAGGCAGTCACTCTATTTGCTGGCATAGCGGCCTTTCTTTCTTTTGTGAAACAAGTTCACAATTAAGGCTGGCCTTAGACAGAGTCATGAAGCAGGCAAAATTTTAGGGTCTTTCAACATCCACTTTACAGTAACTTTTTTTCAACTGACCCCAAGGCTATGATTGCAAGGCCCTTATGGTTTTCTTTGAATACCAAGTCCACTCAGTTGATATCTCCAGGAGGCCTCTATGTTCCTAATAATCTGTACTTCCAGTAGCAAAAGATTCCAGGTCTGGGTCTTATTCACTTGGTGTTTGATTTTAACTTGATGAAGGCTAGCTAATATGATGAACCAACACATGGAAAAGTATCAGTGGAAATGATTGAATCGGTGTAGTTTTTGGTAAGCTATAAATCAGAAGAACAAATAATGTTGGGGGTTTGGACTCACAGACAAGCTATTTGTTAAGGCACTTTTTAGTAGATGAGAGCAGTGAGGCTTTTCAAGCATAGCTGAAGATATGCATTTATACATTGAAATTTCTTTCGGTAAATAGAGATGTTTACAGTTTGTATGTAATAAATCCTTGATCATATAAAATCTGTGTTATCTATGCTGTTAACAATTAGATCTCTTTAGAGACTAGCATTTCTGACAATATCCAGGACAAACCTTCAGTTCAAACATGGATTAATTATAGGGTTAAAAAGTTTGAAAGAATTTTTTTAAGGCTAGAAGCTTTAAAATGTTTCTGTTGCTATTAGCTATGCAATATATCCAGAAGAAAAAGAAAATAACTCCTCCAAATTCCACTTATTGAAAAGCAGAAAGCTTCAGACAGATGTTCCAAATGACAGGAGTTTCCTTTCAAAAGTGTAGTCTGATTAGGAATATAAGAAGTTAGAGCTGATAGGAGAGCAGTAACGATGTATTTGCACATAAAAGAGCAGAGATAAAATCTTACAAATCTGAAATTACCTCTAGGTCACTTGGCTAAGAGACGAAACTTGACAATATACTACTGCATATCCAAATTGTACTTTTAGAGTTTTTTTTTTTTTTTAAGTTTATGATGTTTTTGAGAAACCATAGTTAAATATTTTAAAGCCTTAGTATTTTGTATTTCTACTCTTTAGCCCTTTTTCTCCAAAGTTCATCCATGATGTATTGGCTCTTGTATCTCCATCCTAGGAACAGGAAGGATTTTGACACTCTTCCTAATTCAACAAGTAATCCGCTTCAACTTGAAACTTGTATTTTTAGAATCGACCTCTCTAAACGTGACTACTTTAAGTACTACTTTTCAATTGCCTTATGATACTACTTTTCAATTGCCTTATGATAATTCATGTAGGAAATGACATTCAATTGGTAAATATAATTCTTAGTCAACCAAAATTTTTGACTAATTTGCATGTAGCTCACCCACCGTGCAAGATCTATTATGCTGTTTTCTTTTGAGATACAGTAAAAAAAAAAAAAAAAAAAAAAAGTCACAGTTTTCAACTGGTGCACGCAAGCCTTATTATCCTGATCATTAGTTTGAGTACAAAGTGAGCTAAAAGTGAGTACCTATTGACATCTTACCTTCCTCATGATTGGCTCATTGTCCTACTTTTTTTTTAAATGAGTCATATTCTAGGTTACAAATGGGCTTGCATTTATCATTCATTTGCATTTTAATTTATATTCATTTTTTAAGTGGGAAGCAAATCAACAACTTCAAGTTCCATTGATATGATTGACAATATAGCAATATCCTGTTTTTATTTAGTGACCATCTGTTTTCAGATTGTCAAGAATCCAATTAATTGAATCTTCATATGATTCCTTAAATGTACATTAAGGGACAGGTTGTCTTTTGGTTTCATTTGGAGAACTGATCAGTTTTACTTTTTTGTTTAAGGTTAGAGATAAATGGAATGAAATAGAGATGAAGAGAGGCAGAGACAGAGTTCAGTTGCTCTATTACCCACGCAGAACACTGTGAATGAAGCAGAACATTTGTCATTGAGGTAGAGAATTAGAAAGCATGCCACTTAAGACAGAATGAACATCAGGTTACTGTTTTTCATGAGAAGTTAAGAAATGTTAACTCAATTTGAAAAGAGAAATGTGATAAATATGCATTTTGACTTCTAACATAATATCCTACTTTCTGTGTTTCTACAACTGTCCAAAAAGGCCAGGCCACTGCATACTTGGCATATCTGATACCCAGGTGGATACAACTCCCTCTTCTCTGTAATAAAATTGATTTCAGTAATACTAATGGAACAATAGGTAATAATCATTATTTCCTTTATTCATCTTTAGGTTTGAAACAATTGACATTTAAAAGAAGATAGATATTGACCGTAACAATGTCATCCTAGTTGTGATAGTATACGGTTTTGTAAGGTATTATCGTTGAGGGAACTTGGTAAGATATACACAGGATCTCTCTGTATTATTTCTTATGGCATGTGAACCTGCAATAATCACGAAATAATATTTTTAATTACAAAACAGATAAACTGCAAACATATGTGACACAAGCATTGACTTCATGTTTTTTTCTATTTCCCTCTCATTCATATACATAACCATATACAGTATATGTTTACTCATTTGCCATCACTGTGTACAATTTTACACTGTTTACTTTTTTATCATTAATAAATGACCTCTTTTACCTATTACGTAGTCCTAATAGTAGTAATTACTATTGATGAGCACACAGTCATGCTGATAGACCATAATTACCCCTTTTTGAAATCAAAATATCCACCTTTCATTCTAGAGTAGAATTTGAATGATAATTGATATAGTTTGGGTGCTGTCTCCTCTACATCTCATATTGAAATATAATCCCCAATGTTGGAGTTGCTACCTGGTGGAAAGTATTTGGGTCATGAGGTGGATCCCTTAATAGCTTGGTACTGTCCTAGCGATCGTGAATGAGTTCTCTTGCAATCTGGTTGTTCAAAAGTGTGTGGAGTCTTCTCCCTACCAACCTCCCCCCACGACTCTTTCTGTTGCTCCTGCTTTTGCCATGTGAGGTGCCTGCTTTGGCTTTGCCTTCTGCCATGAGTAAAAGCTCTCTGAGGCCTCCCCAGAAGCCAAGTAGATGCCTGCCATACTTGTGCACCCTGCAGAACCATGAGCCAATTAAACCTCCTTTCTTTAAAAACTACCCAGTCTCAGGTAATTCTTTATAGCAATGCAAGAATGGCATAACACAATAGTAAAATAAATAAATTATATAAGAAAAGTACATTAAAGACCTAAACTTCCTTAAGGCAGGAGGTAACAAAGGCCAGGGAATTTTATTGTCTAAAAGCTATGAAATCTTATAATTTGATTTTTCAACAGACTTCTATCAAATATGCTATAGTTAATATACTTATTTTTAAATTTATGAAAATTAAAAAGAATTTGCCTGTGATGAGCACATGGAATTTCATTATGCTATTATATACTTCTGTTTATATTTAATCTTCCAATATTCAAAAGATTTTTTTAAATAAAGAATTTGCTGTAAAAGATTTTTTCAATATCCTTGGGAAGAGCTTGAAATATCTCTTGGTCAGCAGGCCACCATTAGTCCACACAGCCACATTTGTGATAATTTTTTGAAAGTATCTTTTCCTGACTGTCATAGGCAAGGATACAGGAGGACTAAAGGTAATGCTCTGTTTTGGATGGGACCCTGGAACAAAAAAGGACCTTAGGTAAAAATCAAGAAAATCTGAATAAACTATAAGTTTAGTTAATAATCATGTATTGGTATTGGTTAATTAATTGTAATAAACGTACCATTATAATGTAAGATGTTAGTAATAAGAGAAACTAAAAATTTATTTTAAAAAGAAGGGGAAATGTCATATGAATGATGTCTAAATTCAGTAATGTATTTCATGGATACATTAAAATTTGCACTTACCAAATGAAAATATTGCATCCCACGGTTCAAATTTTTTCTGTCTTAAATAGTAAACACACATAAAAATCCCAAGTGGCCACATACAATGGCAGAAGTAAAGTCACTTAGGTTCTGTTTCCATTTTTTTTTAATAACCACTTTTCAAATGCAGGAATATAAAGCAGCCCTGAATTTGGTGACAGAAACTGAATCTGAAGGAAACTTCATTAATTCTAAACCTTAGTAAGCTTGCTGTCTTAAACACATGTAGCTGGTCCTCATTTTTTTTTTTTCTTTTGAGTCATGAGCCAATTGGAACCAGGAATTCTGAGAATTATCTTCAATTATATAAGTTATATGATATTTAATTTAAATAATACTATATTTATTAAAGAAAAAATAAAATAATGAAGTAAAAAAAACAAACTTTTAGCTATGCGAAATACTTATTAGCAACAATTCTTTAGAACTTACACCAAAATAGTTTTTAGAGGGTGATTTTAGAGGCTATTTTATTATTCAAATCACTTACTATTGCTGGTATATGGTGAAAAGCAAATCAATTTGTAGGTAGTTTATTTTTTGTTTAAAATTCTCTTATGGTTTCCCTTCCTTTCTTGCATCCTGGGCTCATGGTTTCTTCCACCCTACCCTTCGTATGCCATTGAGGCAGACATAATTTTAGATACTGGAGATACAGCAATTTTCTTCTCTCCTGAAGCTTACATTTAAGTGAAAGACTTATATGATAAGTAAGCAAATTATTAAATAAAGAGATAATTTAACATATTGTTAAGTTCTGGATGGAATATGCTAACACAAGAATCCCAAAAAGCCTGCCAGGCACTGTGCCTTCTTCTTTGTAGTTGAGGATACAAGATGCATCAGTTTTTCTTTCACTCTAGGAGGAATATCCAAGCACATCCTTTGCCCATAAGCACCTTAAAACCATTCCTGAACCAACAGGTTCCTAAGTCCTCTTAGGATTTGTCTCCTACTCTTTGGAGTGATTGTGTTCTTACCAAATCATCCCAGTCATCTGCTAGTTACCTCTTGCTTGCCTTGTCCAATCAACATGATGCCACTAATGTAATGGGTCAGTGTAAGTCATCAGTCAAAGGGATGATCAGGATGGCCAGATTTTTTCAGATTCTATTATGACAGAAGGAAGAGAGCTAATGTATTCCTAATGTAAAATTGCAAGTGGATATTTTTGTTGTTTCTGATCCTTCTTTTTCATTGGGATTGAAAAGAATGCATTTTCTAGCTCACAGGCCTTATGTCAGATACTTGAAGTTTTATTTATCTGGTTTAGTAATGATACCACATCCAGCTCAGTAGATGGAAAGGACTCCTACATGGTTAGGCCTGAGACCATAAGTACTTTTTCTCCAGTTTCTACAGGGGCCAGAACAGTGACCTAAGTGGAAATATGGTAGATCCACCACATCTTCATCCTCTGGGTCTTCGATGGTGATTCTAATTTCTGCCATCTCCTACCTGTCTACACTGAGAATGCAATATGTTTTGAATTACATTACTATCTTGGCCAGGAGTGGGAGGCAGTTTTGGAGGTTTCCACTCAACCTTTCCCACAGGAAGGATCCAACATGGAATTTTTTCTCATTGCCAATATATCTGTTCCAGTTTTATTGGGAATAAGACCACTGGGGGCCACTCTAAGCTGAACTTTAGTCAGGATTTCTTTTACTACTCAGCCCCTGTAAGACTCTAGTCTAACGAGGGAAGCCATGATGATATTTTGTCTCTGGGTATCAGTGTCAACTTAGACACTGTGTCCTGGAGTTTTCCTAATGCCTGGGTATTTCCTTTCCTCAGTGTATGGTCACCTTAATAAAAATGGATCAGTGCAATGTTGAGGGGGAATGATTATGCCCCTATGGAAGAGCAATGAGGGAAATCATCATAATCTATAATGCTGCTAGGTGTCCTAAGGGCTTCTGCTTCAGCCAGTGGCTTCTGAATCTGAAAATTGACTTGGATCTGGAACTGAACAATATATCATGACTTTTTATTGAGTGACTATACACTTCCAGTTGTCTGATTATAGATATTAAACAGCAACTTGTTGGCTATTCTCTTGGAAATTTTGGCCCTAGGAACACTATGGTCTATTAATCATCTCCAGAACTCCCCATAGGCCTTGGCCAAACCCCTGCTTTACCAACTGTTATGGTAGTCATATCCCCTGACACCTGAAAGTTAAGTATGACCACCTGGCCTCTTTCACTTGGTATCCCTTCATACCGATGGATATTATGAGCTATCCCTGACTCTCCAATCTCCAGCTCTGGCTGGTGGAACAGAGCCACCAGTGAAATTAGGGTGGCCCTCTCTCATCAGTGCATTCCTGTCGGCCTTGGTTAAAGGCCTGTCCTTCTGTGGGACATAATCTTCTGGTGGATTTCCTGGTCTCATATTATATATATGTATATATATTCTAGCATGCCAACTTTATTCAGTCTCTTTACTCTTTCCTCTACCATCTTCTAGGCCAGCTTGGGTATCTCTACTGCATTAATCATTGGCCATCACTTTTCTCAGGCCTCTAAATGTCACCCTAAGAGAGTTTTCCCTATCCTAGGGGTAGATGCCAGAATATTAAATCTTATATCCTGAGAAAGTATCCCTAAGTCGTTGAAGTTATGCTTTTCAAATCTTATATTCCAGCTTCCTTCATCAAGCACTCTCAAAAGCCAGTCCCAGTGTTGCTCCTCTGACTCCTGCCAGGTTATGTTTGCTCATATTTGCGGTTCTACATCTCTTTTCTCCCTTTCAAGGCCCAGAACATCTTAAGGATGGAATTTAACCTTAGTTTCTGTCTTGCAGTCAGGAGAGGAGGTGAGAATGTCTGAGCAGACAACCTGTTGCCTTGCAGAGGAGGGGTTTCAGAGCTTTTTTCCAGCATATAATAAATGCTAATTCTGAAAAAGTTTGGATAATTTCTGCAAATTCTGAGGCTTCTAGAAAGTCTCAGAAGCCAACATCATCATAGGCATCCATGTAACTTTCCCTATCTCATTTTTCATGTTCCAAGGATTTCCAACCATGGATCCATGCATAGCAGATCTGCTTTGACTAAGTACTTAGACATTTGGGGGGCTCTGCATCTCTAGGTATTAAATCATCTGTGTCTGTTCTTCTACTTAGTCTTTGCTTGTTAACTTCCCTCAGTTTCTCATCATCCTTCTGCAGGGCATCGTTAAAACCTAGTAGAAAGCAGCCATCTCTCCTGTTTTTATAGGCATTGTTCCCTTGTAATTTTCATATTTTTGAATCATTATACCTGCAAGAGCTTTCTCCTCCACTGGGATATTTTTCACCCAGGTCACCTCAGTGAAATATTTGGAAATTGGAACATTACTGTGTACAATGTGAACTTAGAATTAAAGTCTTCCTCTTTGCCAACCAGTTGGTGGGTGAGCCTGTTCCAATATAAGTACAATACTACTTATATCAGTTTGAGCTTTCCAAGAAGCAGACAACGAGATGGGATTAGAAGTTCAACAGGTTTATTGGACAGAATATGGAGGAAGTTGTTTCTCTTAAAAAGCCAAGTGAGATTTAAAGGCAGACATTCCAGGGTCCTGTGGTAGAGACCGATAATCAGTGGAGCTGGTGAGAACAAGGGTAGCAAAAAAAAAAAAAAAAAAAGAGGGGCTTTTTCCAAAAGAAGCAACACTGTCCCCCCGCCATGACAAGTAGGAGCATAGGGAGAATAGGCAGAATTTGTGTGAGTGGCAAAGCTAAAATGTGGGCAGCTGTGGCAATCAGCGAGGCTTAACTGGAATTGACAGAGACTCTCTTGAAGGCAGCATGAGCACGTGTAGGCTTTCTTAATAAGCTGATTAGTATATGCTTTGGTTTGCAGAAAAGCAGGGATACATAGAAACAGAAAGGAAAAAAAATGTTTTGAAACAGATAGTTGGGGAAAAAATCGTATTAAGTGGAAAATCATAACTGTTCAAATTCCTTAGTCTTAGTATGAGGTTCAGTCTATTTTAAATTACATATGGTGGGAAAGGGAGGATGTCCATTGTAGTTATTGCTTAATAGCATGATTCTGGAATCTTAGTCAAAGGAATAAGATAAGAAAAAATATAATATTAGAAATAAAATATCTTGTTTCACATAATTATCCACTAAAACAACTCAAAATGAGCAATGGGAAATATAACTAAATTCAGTTTCAAAATGCTTAGTATTTATATATAAATACATATTACTAAAAATCATTACAATAATTGGATTACATGAATATGTTCCTGAACATATAATTTCCATAGTACTACTATAGGCATTTTTCTCAAATTAAGTTGTACATTCCATGAAATTCAAATTTCTATTTTAATGCAGTATTTTTAATAATTTGTCAACATATTTTGAAATTCATATAAAAATAAAGGAACAAACATAGCATATTAAAAGTAAAAATAAGAGGGATACTTCTATTCCTACATATTACAACATATTATAAAGTCAGAGGTACTCAGGAAGTACAGTCTTATTCCTAATGCAGACTTATAGATAAATGAATGAGAATAGATAGCATAAAACTGGTCTTTAGGTTTATTGTTTATTTTTCTTTGCTAATAAAGACGGCATCCAAAATTAGTGGGGAAAATATAACATCAATGAATCATACTGTGAAACACAACTTTATGGACTTAGGAACAATTGTTATTCAGAGTATCATTTAAAATGACTTAACATGACTATCATGTTAAGAGTGTAGTTAATATCCTTATTCTAGGAGTATCCTGTTTTCTGAGAGCTGAAGATGTTGCTGGGATGTGGGACTTTCTGGTTTAAAAGTGGGACAATTTTGGTCATCCTAGATAATGCCAAAGTAGGAATTTGAAGGTCATGGTGTAAAGAACTGATGAGATAGTTTATAAGATAATCAGTAGATAAGAGGAGAATTTCCTGTTGAAGTTCTAGGGTCAGAGGGTGAGTAGGCAGTTAAATTATGCAGGACCTTGTGGGATGAGGAAAGAATATTGGAGTTTGATTCAAGTGATTGGCCCCCAGCGAGGGTTTTTCAATGGGGAGTGACTCATGTGTTTCCATATGGTACCAAGAATTTTTCCAGCTGTCATGAAGAGAATAGAGGTGCCCACTTCTTCCTAGACAACAGATTGGGAGGAACTGCACCAAAACATTTCTATGGCTATTTTTGAATGGTGAGACTTGTTTTCTTTGTTTTTAAATATTACTTTTTTGAATGAATATTTTTACTGTCATGCATTACTGTTTTTAACAATTCTTTTATTTAAAAGTAAGTTTAGTAATATGATCTGAAGATAGAAAAAGATAATAAATGAACACATGTTCCCACTTAATTAAATATGTCTAATAAAATGGGACTTTTTATCAAAGTTTATAATTTACTTAAGCCAACTGAATAAAGTTCAAAACCACCCTCCCTTACCCACACATTTTTCCTAAGAGGCCAAACTCCAGACTTGGATCTGGAATTCAAAGTCCATTCATCTGAATATAATGAAAAAGGACAATTTAGATGTAAAAGCAACAAAAATCAATTTGCCTGTATCAGCAAAGAAATGGTAGCTATATAGTTTTACTTCAAAGGTTTAGAAATATGTCAGTAATGCTGAGATTAAAATTACATAGACCTGGACAAATAACAGATTCGACTCTTCTCTACTGTGGACATTAACAAATTCTAAAGTTCTAGTTCAGATTAAAAATAAAAATAAAACAATATCCTTTCTCAAGAACAGCAGTACAGCCTTCTTATCCTTTTGCTAATGTCTCATGGAGACTCATGAAGACTATCATAGATTCAGTATTTTGAAGTAATATTATTAAACATTTAATCTAATGACATATTTGATATTTCTAACGAGGTACTTTGTAGGGTTCAGCACTGGAACATCAATAGCAATGATTACATACACACGCATGCACACACACAGTTAATTTGTGAAATTTACTACATCGAAAAGAGCTTCTCAGTAAAAACGAACCATAAGTGTTTTCAATGTTAATGACCACTGAGTTTTTTCTTTTTTTTTTTCTTATCCTTACTCATGGATAATGATAGTGTCAGTTGTATCACTTGAAATTATGAAAGATAATGGTTAGGTAATTACTTGTTTTTCTGCACGCCCATGTCATTACAAATTAGTGAAGTCCACCTCAAATTGTCAGCATCCAGCTCCATTGATCTCTTGGTTAGTTTCTAAAAGCAGGAAGTTACAGCGATGTGCAGTTAATGCTGGCGGCTGCAAATAGACTGCCTACAGGTCTGTTTTTGTAAAGAAAATTTTCAATTAGTGAAAGCCATGGGCATCAGCTTTCAAAAAAAGGAAAAAGAACTTCCCTATACATCTTTGATCTTTTCTGCTACATCATGTTTTTTCATGAAAGAGAGTTACAGTGCTCCTGCTTTAAAAGCTTCTACAAAATAATTTCGTTTTCCAGCCAGCAAGATTAAAGACTCAGAACCCTTTATTTAAATAATGGTGCAGGAACAAAATGTTAAATTTAGATCGTGTTTCTAAGAGATTCACTAGATTAAAATTAGCTAAGAAGTAATAAAGTAAGCGAAAGAACTTATTTCATTCACTTTTTTTTAATTGATAGTATCAATATTTCATAGATTGGCTGATCGTTTCTTCCTGATCTTTCTCTGCCTTGCCATCACTTTATGAAACTATTGTTGCTTTTAGAGGTTTCCTTGATTCATGAAATCTCCTTTAAAAATGTTGTTTTCAATCTCTGTTCTTTATCTAATGGGGGAAAAATTTGTGACAGCAGAGAAGAAGCTCTGGATCTTGTCCCTGTTTCCATCAGCCATGCATTCCCATATACCCTTATATTTTGTTTTTCACTTCCTCATTAAGGAAAATGCAGTGGTTTCTGTCAGGTGTAGGTTGTACAGAATGTAGACACTTAGAAGGTCCACACTTAGATGTTAGACTCTCATGAGAGAAAAGTAATCTCAGGTGAATCATAGCCCTGACAAGGTATCAAAAGGACATGGACATAGCCTGGAATTGGGGAAAATTGTTTGTTTTTTTAAATTATTTAATATTAAGTTCTGGGATACATGTGCAGGATGCGCAGGTTTGTTATATAAGTATACATGTGCCATGGTGGTTTGCTGAACCTATCAAACCATCACATAGGTATTAAGCCCCACATGCATTAGCTATTTATCCTGATGCTCTTCCTCCCCTTGGCCCCCTAACAGGTCCCAGTGTGTGTTGTTCCCTTCCATGTGTCCATGCGTTCTCATTGTTTAGCTCCCACTTATAAGTGAGAATGTGTAGTTTTTGATTTTCTGTTCTTGTTGTAGTTTGCTGAGGATAATGGCTTCCAGCTCCATCCATGTCCCTGCAAAGGACATGATCTTGTTCTTTTTATGGCTGCATAGTATTCCATGGTGTATATGTACCACATTTCCTTTATCCAGTCTATCACTGAAGGGCATTTAGAGATTTCTTAGAGCACTTTGAGTTGTAAGTTTCTAGCACAGAGCTCTGTGAAGAAGAGGCACTCTGTATGTGTGATTGTATTAGGTTGTATAAGAGAGTTTTACTATCTATTAAAAATAAATATCATCTTTATTAAAAATGAAAAGCAGTCAATATCTCTATCCATCACAGGCTTTTAATAATAAGTTCCATCCTCCCTGGTGTCTAAACAATAGTTTAGTTCCTCAGTCAATCCTTCACATGGAGATTATTAGGATGGGTAGTCTTGCAGGACTCACTATGTACGCAGTATCCTAGGGAAATAAACGAATGCCAATAGATTTACTTTGTACAAGTGTGAGAAAATTTACAAATGCAAATAGTTAATAATGGTTAGGAAAATCTACTAGTAACATTTTTATAAGTAATGGATAATAAGAGAAAAGAAAGCTTTAAAATTTGTAGGATAATGTAATGGTAATTTTAATTAAGTGATTAAAATTGTGTATAATTTATGCTGAATTCTGAAGAATAATAATTATTATTACTTAAATTTCAAATTAGCATTGTTCAGTTTTCTTTGATTTGAACAATATATCACCTGTACAGGTTCAGTATTTCTGCTTTGTCTTTCTGTAATGTGATTGAATCATATATTATAAACAATTAGAGAAAATATTGGCTCAGAAAATGTCTATGGAAAGACAATAAGAAAAAGTCTATATGGTTTTCATGAAAAAAAAACTATGATTTAACGCGCTTTCATGTCTACTCTTGGTATTCTCTATTTTCGCCTATTCAAACAAAAAAAAAATCTTGGATAAGCTTTGTTATATAACACAAAAAAGATGGAAAAGAAAATTTTCTTGAAGTTCAAATTAAGAACAAATTACATCCTAAATGGAGGAGCTTTAGGCTTAGCCAACATTTCTCTGTGTGCATTCTGCAGAAGAGAGTCTGCTACAAGTAACTCTGTTAAAAGCCTTCCATGGTCAAATACATGAAGGAAATTTCACTCTTAATATAGTTAAATATGTTTATGTTAATATTCTAATCTGAAAGTCTAAAAAAGGGATATATCTTGCAGAATTTCCCAAACTTACTTAAATGCAGTAGCTTTTTCTATTGTATGGCATCCTTGGTTGCTCTGTGGAACAAAATTGTGAAACATTTTTTCAGGTAATAATAGGTAATGCAGAAGTAAAAATGCAAGATTAGAATTATTTTTGTTTTCTCTTGTTTTTTAAAATCCTATCCATCTCATACCTGAATTGCTTTTTTTGTCTAACACTTTTGTTTAACTTACTAATGTTTTAGGACATTTTGTTCCAGTTATTGCTTCGAGGAAAGAAACAAGGTGATCTAAATGCTTTTTTAATAATTGTGTGGGTCCCTAAAAGCTTGTCTTCATTGTCCTGTCTGGATCCTGTCTTGCCACATCAAATATTTTATTGTGCTTCACAATAAGTCACCTTAATTTAAAATAACTTAATCTTTATATTTTAAGTTTATGTTTAGATTAACTATTTTATAAGGACCTGTTCTTGAGAGTTTAAGGTTATGTTTCTAATGTTGTTTGAGCATTTAATATATAGAAAACTTTTACCTGAAAAAATAAGTGATTAAAAAATAAGTGATTTGATATTTTTCCTCTATGTAGGAAACCTGATTAAATGCTAAGTCTTTCCAGTTCTACTGTTTTATGAATTGATCAAATGTTATAATCTTTAACAGGTTTTCTAATGATACTAGCTATTTATTCATCTCAGCTATAGAAATATTTACTGGTTATTCTTTTTATTTGAGGATCTATCCTTTAGCCTCTATTTTTATTCATCTTTAAAATGGAGTGCATCCTTACTCTGTTAACCTTTAAAATGTATGGCTCTAAGTGAAAATACAAAAGTAATTATATTGTTGATAAAATATAAAAATGTTTCTGTAGCAAACTACACATTTTTTTCACAAAACACTTGCATTTTGAAAGAATTTTTGACAGGGTTCCACATCAGCAGTTAATGGCAGAGTACTTGGTATGGGAGTCTTTGGAGAAGGGGAAAATTGGCTCTACAAATTAGAGACCGAGAGCAAGAAACCAAAAAATACAGTCATAGATGGGTGACACTACATTGGCAGCAAAGGTGAATATGTGGAGACTGACAGCCAGAAGTATATAGATTTAGATCATCTTAAGACGACTAGATAAAAAAAGAAAATAGTCAAGACAGTTACATTAGAGTTGTATCACACTAGCTGTCTGTTGGCATTCCTATTACAGAACATTCTTTCGTTTTCTGGGTATACCAATGACTGACAAAATGAACTAACTACAAGCCAATACTTGGTGGGCTAGGCCTCAAGCCAGTAGCAATGTTTATTTTTCAAACCATGAAATGCATTTGGCCTTCTTTAGTTACCAGGAAAAGAAGAAGAAAGAAGGAAAACTCGATTGGCACAAAGTGGCTTCATTTAGAAAATACAAATGATTATTCTGCCAAAACCTCATCCTACTGAGTTGGGGCCTCAGTAAGGGGAGAATTCTTAAAGAACATTTTTGGGTACCTATATTAGTTTGTGTGCTTCATGTAAAATCATATTTCCAACAGTATAGCACACAATGCTTTCCATGTGAAATCAGATAATGGGTGTTATGTATTTTTTAGAATTGATAAGGCCCATTGCAATTCACTTTTTATAAAATGTGAATGTTGAGTTCTATACTATTAGGGATATAATATGCCTCGACCAAGAAACTTTCCAAATACAGTTTGAGCCAATATACCAGGATTGTAGCAAAGATTTGCTGGATTTATAATATATTTTCTCAAAAACAGTTTAACCACATATATGCAAATTCTCCTTTGAAGCTATTCTCTATTCATTGCTAAATATTTCATTATTGTAGTTGCTCTCAGTACATATAAAAAGATGGGCAGTCCAGAAACATGACAAACATAATGCTCTTTAGTAATTTTAAAAAGCTAATGAAGGGCTGGGCACGGTGGCTCACGCTCGTAATCCCAGCACATTGGGAGGCCGAGGTGGGAGGATCATTTGACGTCAGGAGTTTGAGACCACCCTGGTCAATATAGTGAAGCCCCGTCTCTACTAAAAATACAAAAATATTAGCCAGGCATGGTGGCACATGCCTGTAATCCCAGCTATGCAGGAGAATGAGGCAGGAGAATCACTTGAGCCCGGGAGGAGGAGGTTGCACTGAGCCAAGATTGCTCCACTGCACTCCAGCCTGGGTGACAGAGCAAGACTCCATCAAATAAATAAATAAATAAATAAATAAATAAATAAATAATAAATAAATACCAAAAAGCTAATGAAGATATTCCTTACAAAATATTTTACTTCATTTACTTCTAGTCCTTCCCAAATACATGAGTTTTAACAAGGAACAATGATTGCAGGCTGTAAAAAAATAAACTGCATTCAGAAACATTTTCATTAAAGTTGGCAAATACTCTTTAGTCTTAAAGTTATACAATTCATATTTGATATATCTAAGCCACTAAATAATTTCTCAAAAATTTCAAATGTCTAGATAGTACCCAGAATAAAATGAATTTTATAGAAGTACATATTTATTCTACACTTTTAGAAATATCCAGATATTGACTAAATTAGTTAGATGTGAGGGGCCCGGTGAGTATGGTATTCTAGGAGATATTTCTTCTGATACTAAAGTATTTTTTAAACTATGTTAACTGCATTTTTTTCAGTAGCCATGTGATCATAAGTTGCGCTCATGTTATTTAATATATTACAAATAAAAACATAATTTTATTTTTTAAGCACAATGTTTTTATTTAGTGGATGACTATTAGGAACCTGCAATGTGATAAGTGCTTTTATGTGCATCTCCAAGGCTTGACAATCACCCTGGAAAATGAGCAGCCTCGTACCATAGAAATGAAGAGTGAAAAAGGTTAAATAATTTTTTACTTAGCTGTAGAATAAAAATTTAAATTTAGTACCTGATGATTCTAAAGTCTACATTACTCATTTTGTATACTATCTTGCAATTTTATTAAAATACTAATAAAGAAATATACTTCTTATGGAACCATGTAGCAAAAGTGGTGGCTATGTGACTGGTACTAGACTTTCTACTACATGTTTCATTGGTTTGCCCTCCTCTTTCTTTCCCTTATCCCTGCATGATTTGGACAATAGTTCATATATCTAATACTTAAGGTTGTCTACATTTTATTTTGTTATCAGTATTGGTTAATTTGAACTTTATAAAGTTAACTGAGAATCAATGATCTAACACTATAGAATAACATCTACATAGGGCTAGACACAATGGCTCATGCCTGTTATCCCAACACTTTGGAAGGCTGAGGCAGGCAGATCGCCTGACGTTAGGAGTTCGAGACCAGCATGGCCAACATGGTGGAACCCCGTCTCTACTAAAAATACAAAAAAAAAATCGCTGGGCATGGTGGTGCGTGCCTGTAATCCCAGCTACTTAGGAGGCTGAGGCATGAGAATTGCTTGAACCCGGGAGGTGGAGATTGCAGTGAGCCAAGATCACCCCACTGCACTCCAGCCTGGGCGACAGAGAAAGACTCCATCTCAGAAAAAAAAAATTTATAGAATAATTATACACTTATGATATGCATAATTATGAACAAAGAATCTAGAAGTGCCAGAGAGTTATCTTTTGATGTTAACTTTCAAGCCTTCCAACCATGGATATAGCAAATGATAAAATGAAACTAAAAATCCAAACCATTATCTCTGCCTAAACTCAGCGTTCTGAAGTTTTATGACCTATATTCTGCTAATCTTACACACTGGAAGAATCCTGATCTTGTCTATACTATGATGCTAAGTTTTTAAAATCAAGGTAGTCCTTGTTAATTGAAAAGAATTACATATTCACTGAATTGTGATTGTCCAAAGGAATTCATTTTCTTAAGTGCAGATGCTCCTTTATTTATGATAAAGTTAAATCTTTATTCACAAAAGTTAATCTGCTTTTGAATGGAATCTTGTACTCTCTAATTGTTTAGAGAACAGTTAGAGAATTCTGTCATCTCAGAGAATCTCTGAGTTTCTTTCAAAAAGTTTACCAAGGCCCTAACATCAATCCGTGGAAGGTGCCAGACTGTGTTTGGCCTTAGGTGGTGGATCAGATGTAAATGCCCCAGGGCCTCTTTGACAGTTCATTTCATTTCAAAGTGGTCAGGAATTTGGATCCCACATTCATACAAATAATTGTCTTTCTTTTCAGTTTTTTAAAGTCCTCAATATTTTAGTGGAAAGACAAGGAAAAATAAGAGTTCCAGGTGAAGCCATCCTCTGGTCGCTCCTGCAGAGGTGACAGACTAGAAGGTATCCTGACTCAAGGTTGTGATAGAATGACTTAAGATGAGCTTCGCTGGCCTTGTTTCTCATTCCTTCCACAACCTGCCTGCTCTACCAGTGCATGTCTGATTTAAAGATATGGATGCTAGCCAACTGTTCCATGATCAATCTACACAGGAAAAAGGTGATATTGCAATTTAAAAGGAGAGGCCGATGTGATTTAGGAACACTTGAAGAGAATTGTTTGCCCTTAAACCACAGAGGTTCTTAATCTTGAGATGTTACTAAATCATCAGTACCTAGAATCAGATTTAGGAAAATTTTAGCTATGAGTTATAGGACAACACTGAATTAAAAATGGGACCATCAATGTGTGCTATATTAAACCATGATGACATGAGCATATGAGCAAATTCATTAATCTTTTAGGAAGTAAACAAATCCAGTATGAAGAATTTTATTAAAATCATTTCATAATATAGAACAAAAAAGCTTGATCTAAGGACTGGGGAGATTTCCCTTCAATAACAAGCAAACTATATATATATATGTATAGGCATCTACTAGAAAGTGGCTTTTAATGCTGAGCAAATGGGTATTGACTCTACTTTCACAGCGAATAGAATCAAGGCCTACACTACCCAATAGAACTTTCTGCAGTGACGAAATGCTTTGTATTTGCAGTGTCTGATACAATCATAAGTAGTCAATGTGGCTATTGAACACTTGAAAAGTGGATAGATTGATTGAAGAACAAATTTTTTTAAATGTCTAAGTAAATTTATATAGCCTTATGTGACTACTGGCTACTTTATTGACAGCACAAATCCGGACAGCCAATCTAACAACCAAGAAAGTATTTAACTACTAATTATAAGTGTTCTGAAAGAAAAATAATGTGAATGATAAAGCTAAGCTGGGGGACCTTACTAGCCTGGGACATAATGGTCAGAAACGAGTTTCCTGAGGAAGTCATCCCTCAGCTAATATCTGAAAAGTGAGTAGGAATTACTGGAGGAGGAAGATGAGGGTGGGGTGGAAGCAAAGGGAGCAACTTACACCCAACAATGAGGAAAGCGGAGTGTTCTCCACGTAGAAACAAAGGTATTACTTTGCCTGAATCACCTGGACATCTGAACTCAAAAGAGAGAGGAATTAGCAGAAAAACAGGCACAGTTAAGTTCATGCAGAACCTTCTGGACCATGATAAATATTTTTGTCTTGGTAATTAAAAAAATTAAAAGCTATTGAGTTTTGAATAGAAAAATGATCATACTTGCATTTTTGCAAGATCATGCTAGCTACAGTGGTGAGAGAGGATTAGAGGATAAGGGTGGATATGGAGAGGAAAATCTGAAGGCTGTGGAAGCAGTCCAAGCAGGACTGATAGTAGCTGCATGTGATGGTTAATATTGAGTGTCAACTTGATCAGATTAAAGAATGCAAAATATCGTTCCTGGGTGTGTCTGTGAGGGTGTTGCCAAAGGAGATTAACATTTGAGTCAGTGGACTGGAGGGAGGCAGACCCACCCTCAACCTGGGTGGGTGCCATTCAATCAGCTGCCAGGTAGGCAAGAATAAAACAGGCAGGATAAGATGAAAGAGCAGAATTGCTGAGTCTTCTGGCCTTCCTCTTTCTCCGATGCTGGATGCTTCCTGCCCTCGAACATCAGACTCCAAGTTCTTGAGCTTTTGGACTCTTGGACTTACACCAGTGGTTTACCAGGGGCTCTTGGGCCTTTGGCCACAGAGTGAAGTTTGCACTGTCAGCTTCCCTACTTTCGAGGCTTTGGGACTTGGACTGATCCACCATTGGCTTCCTTGCTCTCAACTTGCAGACAGCCTGTTGTGGTACTTTACCTTGGGATCCTGTGAGTCAATTCTTAATAAACTCCCTCTCCTATATGCAAAGATCCTATTAGTTGTGTCCTTCTAGAAACCCTTGATAATACACTGCACTAGGAAAATGGCAATGGAGAGGAAGAGAAGTGGATGTTTGCAGAGGTTTTAGTGCATAAAACAGATAGGACCTTATAAATATCAGATCTAGAGTGAGGAAATATTAAGTGTCACAAATAACTCATGGATTTCTCAGTCACAGAACTGGATGGATGGCTGGGACATTTGCCAATAAAGGAAAGTGGAAGGAAATCCAATCTTGCTGAGAAAATCATCATTTCAATTATGGACTCAGTGAGAATTCAGTGTCTTTGTGACATTTAAAAGTGACATAGTCAAGTGAATATACAGGTACAGAAATAAAAAGATTTCTGGCTAAGAATATAAACCTGAGGGTTAGTGGCATGTCAATTAAACATGGGCAAGAAAGCGGTTTCATGGAGTGAGAGAAGAGAGTAAGAAAAAAGAGGGCCTACAACTGAGCCATCCATAATTCCAATGTTTTATTTATTTTCAGTATTGACTTCATGTTTTATATCTGTAATCTCCAGGTCATCTCAATTTATCTTAGATGATACATTTCAAATATCCAGTTTTCTGGGTTCTATTTACTATGACTCAGTTACTCCTAAGTAGGAACATGTAGGAAGTGTTTAACCTAGGGTATCTTTACTTATGTAGATACAATGTTTCCACATATTTGTCTCTCCTGTCTTCTCCCTAAACTTCTAGTCAAAATTTCCATTTTCTCAAATTGCAGAATGTAGCAATTTTAATCAAAGAAATTTAGAGAGAGAGATGTAGCAAAGTTTTTTTTTTTTCAAAAAATACTTAAGCCAAATACATCTGAAGCTATTTCAATACACGGAAGCACATTCTTCCCACTAACTCATCTAGAAGGAGAAATGTCAACCTGAGCATCTCTAAGGGCTCTGCTCCTCCCACCACCCCAACATTTTTCCCCACTGTGTTATTCTTTTTATAGCCATGTAGCACATTGTGCATCATCTGGAGCTCTGAGAGCAACAGTGACCAACCCCTGGGTACCTCCTTTAAACAGTCCATTCTCCACGTACCAACACATCCAATAGCAGTTTCACATAGTCAGCAAAAGAAATACTAGTCATTTATCTCTTCTATTTTGGGAGTGGGGGGTGTTTGGAAGAAACTTTTCCTGGTAAGTTGCTAGAAGAAAGTAAATGGAGAACTCTGGGCTCATGTTAAAATTCACAGCTGGGCACAGTGGCTCACGTCTGTAATCCCAGCTCTTTGGGAGGCCCAGGCAGGCAGATCACCTGAAGTCAGGACTTCAACACCAGCCTGACCAACATGGTGAAACCCCATCTCTACAAAAATACAAAAATTGGCTGGGCGTGGTGGCAGGTGCCTGTAATCCCAGCTACACGGGAGGCTGAGGCAAGAGAATCACTTGAACCCGGGAGGCAGAGGTTGCAGTGAGCCGAGATCATGCCACTGCACTCCAGCCTGGCAACAGAGCAAGACTCAGTCTCAAAAAAAAAAAAGAAAAAAAAAAAAAGACCTATATGGCTATATACATGTATGTTCATATAAGATAATGAATATATAAAACCTATAACGGACCCACATGAACATATATATTTCAATAAAAATATAATTATATATGTATATACATACTTGTATGTGTATGGATTTATATAGAATCCAGTTCGCTTTTTAAAGAAATGTTTTATTTTTAATTTTTATAGGGACATAATAGGTGTATATATTTATGGACTACATGAGATATTCCAATACAAGCACGCAGTGCATAATAATCATATCATAGATACTGGAATATCCGTCCCCTCAAGCATTTATCTTTTGTATTATAAACAGTCCAATTATACTTTTTCAGTCATTTTTAAATGTCCAATTAATTTATTATTGACCATAATCATACTGTGGTGCTATCAAATACTAGGTCTTATTCATTTTTCCATTTTTTTGTACCCATTAACCATCCCAACCTCCCTCCTCCCACTCACTACCCTACCCAGCCTCTGGGAACCATTCTTCTACTCTCTATCTACATGAGTTCAATTGTTTCGATTTTCAGATCCCACAAGTGTGTGAGAACATGTGTTGTCTTTCTTTGCCTGGCTTATTTCGTTTCATATAATGACCTCCTGTTTCATCCATATTGTTGCAAACGACAGAATCTCATTTTTTCTTTTGGGTGAATAGTACTTCATTGTGTATATGTACCACGTTTTCTTTATCCATCCATTTGTCGATGGACTTTTAGGTTGCTTTCAAGTCTTGACTATTGTGAACAGTGCTGCAACAAACATGGGAGTGAAGATATTTCTTCAATGTGCTGATTTCCTCTCTTTTGGATATATATCTAGAAGTGGGATAGCTGAATCATATGGAAGCTCTATTTTCAGTTTTTTTGAGGAATCTCCAAACTGTTCTCCATAGTGGTTGAATTAATTTACATTCCTACGAACAGTGAACAAGGATTCCCTTTTCTCCACATCCTCACCAGCATTTGTTATTGCCTGTCTTTTGGATAAAAGCCATTTTAACTAAGGTGAGATGAGATCTCCTTGTAGTTTTGATTTGCATTTCTCTGATGATCAGTGATGTGCACATTTTCATATGCCTATTTACCATTTGTATGTTTTCTTTTGAGAAATGTTTGTTCAAATTTTTGCCCATTTTTAAATCGGATTACTATGTTTTTTTCTATAGAGTTGTTTGAGCTTCTGATATATTCTGGCTATTAATTCTTTATCAGATGGGTAATTGGCAAATATTTTATACAATTCTGTGGGTTCTCTCTTCATTTTTTTATTGTTTCCTTTGTTGTGCAGAAGCTTTCTAACTTGATGTGATCTGATTTATCAATTTTTGCTTTGGTTACCTGTGCTTGTGGTGTATTACTAAAAAGTTTTATGCCCAGACAAATGATCTGGATAATTTCCCCAGTGTTTTCTTGTAGTAATTTCATAGCTTGAGGTCTTAAAATTAAGACTTTAACCCATTTTTGATTTGATTTTTGTATATGGCAAGAGATAAGGGTCTAGTTTCATTGTTCTGCATATGAATATCTAGTTTTCCCAGCACTATTTATTGGAAAGACTATTTTTTCCTCAATGGATGTTTCTTGGTACCCTTGTCAAAAATGAATTTACTGTAGGTATGTGAATGTATTTCTGGGTTCTCTATTCTGTTCCATTGGTTTATGTGTCTATTTTTATGCCAGTACCATGCTTTTTTGGTTATTATAGCTCTGTAATATAATTTGAAGTTAGATAATGTTATTCCTCCTGTTTTGTTCTTTCTGCTTAGGATAGCTTTGGCTACTATGGGTCTTTTGTGGTTCCATATAAATTTTAGGGTTTTTTTTTTCTATTTCTGTGAATAATGTCATTGGTATTTTGACAGAGATTGCATTCAATCTGTAGATTTCTTTGGATTGTACGGATTAACAATATTGATTTAATGAATATGAAATATCTTTCATTTTTGTGTCATCTTCAATTTCTTTCATCAGTGTTTTATACTTTCATTATAGAGATCTTTCAGTTTTTTGGTTAATTCCTAGGTATTTAATTTTATTTGTGGATATTGTAAATTACGTTACTTAAAACGTTTTTTCTCAGAATGGTTACTATTAGTATATAACAATGCTATTAAATTTTGTATGTTAATTTTCTGTCCTGCAACTTTACTGAATTTATAAATTCTAATACATTTTTGGTGGAATCTGTAGGTTTTTCCAAATATAGGATCTTATCACCTGCAAATAACAATAATTTGGCATCTTCCTTTCCAATTTGGATGCCCTTTATTTTTTTCTTTTGTCTAGTTGCTCTAGTTAGGACTTTAGTACTATGTTGAGTAACAGTGGTGACAGTGGGCATTCTTGTCATATTCCAGGCCTTAGAGGAAAGGCTTTCAGTTTTTCCCCATTCAGTAAGATACTAGTTGTATGTCTGTTATATATAGCTTTTTGTTATGTTGAGATATGTTCCTTCTATACCCACTTTTTGAGAGTTTTTGTCATGAAGGCATGTTGAATTTCATCAAATGCTTTCTCAGCATCAATTGAAAAAATCATATGATTTTTGTCTGTCATTCTGTTGATATCATATATCACATTGATTGATTTGCATATGTTGAACCAGCCTTGCTTCCCAGGGTAAATCCCACTGGATTAACATGAATGATCTTTGTAATGTATTGTTGAATTTGGTTTGCCAGTATTTTGTTGAGGACTTTGCATCAATATTTATCAGTGATACTGACCTGTAGTTTTCATTTTTTGATGTGTCTTTGTCTGGTTTTGGTATTGGTGTAACAGTGGCTTTATAGAATAAGTTTGGAAATATTCCCTCTTCCTCTATTTTTCAGAATAGTTTGAGTAAGATTGGTTTTAGTTCTTCTTTAAACGTTTGTTAGAATTCAGCAGTGAAGCCATCATGTACCAGTCTTTCTTGGACTGAGAGACTTTTTATTATGGCTTCAATCTCGTTACTTGTTATTGGACTTGTTCAAGTTTTGGATTTCTTCATGGTTCAATCTTGGTAAGTTTATGTGTCTAGGAATTTATCCATTTCTTCTAGATTTTCCAATTTACTGGCATATAGTTGTTCTCAGTAGCCACTAGGGACCTTGAATTTCTGTGGTATCAGTTGTAATGTCTCCTTTATATCTTTGACTTTATTTATTTGGGTCTTCTCTCTTTTCTTCCTGTAACTTGTTGCATGAAATGTTCCATACATATCTATTGGGTTTATTTGGTCTATTATACGGATTTAGTCTTATGTTTCTTTGTTGATTTTTTCCTCTGGGAGACCTGTCCAGTGCAGAAAGTGCAGTGTTGAAGTCTCCAGCCGTTATTGCATTGGGATCTATCTCTCTCTTTAGCTCTAATAATATTTGCTTTATATATCTGAGTGCTCCTGTGTTGGGTGCATATATATTTATGATCATTATATCCTTTTGTTGAATTGACCTTTTTCTCATTAGATAATTACCTCCTTTGTCTCTTCTTAGAGTTTTTGTTTTGAAATATATTTTGTCTGATATAAGTATTGCTATTCTTGCTGTTTTTTTATTTCCTCTGGCATGGAATATCTTTTTCTATCCCATTATTTTCAGTATTTATAGGTGTAGTTTATTTATTGTAGGCAACAGATAATTGGATCTTGCTTTTTTATGTCCGTTTGGACAGTCTATGTCATTTGATTGAAGAGTTTAGTTTGTTTACATTAAATGTTATTAATGATAAGTAGGGAGTTACTGCCATTTTGTTATTTGTTTTCTGGTTGTTTTTGATCTTCTCTTCCTTCCTGTCTTCCTTTCAGTGAAGGTGTTGTTTTATTTTATTTTATTTTTTTTCTGGTGGTATGCTTTAATTTCTTGATTTTTAATTTTTGTGTATTTGTTGTATGTTTTTTGCTTTGGGGTTACCATAAGGCTTGAAAGCACTACCTTATAACCCATTATTTTAAAGTGATGTCAACTTAATACTGATTGCATAAACAAACACATAAAAACAAAACTAATAAAAACTCTACACTTTAACTTTGTCCCCTCACATTTTTTTTCTTTTTTTTGAGATGGAGTTTCACTCTTGTTGCCCAGGCTGGAGTAAAATGGCACGATCTTGGCTCACTGCAACCTCCGCCTCCTGGTTCAAGCAATTCTCCTGCCTCAGCCTCCAGAGTAGCAGGAATTACAGGCATGTGCCACCGCACCCAGCTAATTTTGTATTTTTAGTAGAGATGGGGTTTCTCCATGTTGGTCAGGCTGGTCTTGAAATCCTGACTTCAGGTGATCCACTTGCCTCAGCCTCCCAAAATGCTGGGATTACAGGCATGGGCCACTGCACCCGGCCTGTCCCCCAACTTTTTAACTTTTTGTTGTTTCTCTTCATGTCTTATTCTGCCTATGTCTTGAAAAGTTCTTGTAGTTGTTATTTTTGCGTGGTTCATTACTAAGTCTTTCTACTTAAGATAACACTAGTTTACACACTGCAATTACAGTGTCATGCTATTCTGGGATTTTCTGCGTGCTTACATTACCAGTGATTTTCTTTTTTTTTTCTTTTTTTTCACCATCAGATGATTTATTCTTGCATGTTAACATCCTTTTCTTTCAACTGAAGACGTCCCTTTAACATTTCTTATAGGACTGGTCTGGTGTTAATGAAATCCCTCAGCTTTCGTTTGTCTGAAAAGGTCTTTATTTCTTCTTCATACTTTGAAGGAAATTTTGGTTGGATCCAGTATTTTAGGGTAGAAGTTTTTTCCTTCAGGACTTAAAATATGTCATGCCACTTTCTCTTGGCCTATAAGATTTCCACTGAAAAGTCTGTTGCCAGACATATTGGAGCTCCATTGTATGCTATTTGTTTCTTTTCTCTTGCTGTTTTTTTGGATCCTTTCTTTATCCTTGTCCTTTGGGAGTCTGATTATTAAATGCCTTGAGGTAGTCTTCTTTGAGTTAAATCTGCTTGGTGTTCTATCACCTTCTTGTACTTGAAAGTTAATATCATTCTCTAGGTTTGGGAAGTTCTCTGATATTATTCTTTTGAATAAACTTTTTATCCCTATCTCTTTCTCTGACTCCTCTTCAAGGCCAATAATTCACTATTTGCCCTTTTGGGGCTATTTTCTAGATCTTGTAGGCATGCTTCATTACTTTTTTATTCTTTTCTCTTTTGTCTCCTCTGACTATGTATTTTCAAGTAGCTTGTCTTCAGGCTTACTAATTCTTTCTTCTGGTTGATAATTTCTGTTATTAAGGGACTTGATGCATTCTTGACTATATAAATTGTATTTTTCAACTGTAGAATTTCTTCTTGATTATTTTTAATTATTTTAATCTCTTTGTTACATTTCTCTGATATAATTCTGAATTCCTTCTCTGTGTTACCTTGAATTTCTTTGGGTTTTCTCAAAACAGCTATTTTCAGTTCTCTGTCTCAAAGGCCACAGATCTGTTTCTTCAAGACTTGTTCCTTGTGTCTTATTTAGTTTATTTGGTGAGGTCATGTTTTCTCAGATGATCTTGATGATTGTTTATGTTTGTCGGTGTCGTGGCATTGAAAAATTAAATTTTTATTGTAGTCTTCACAGGCGTAGCTTATTGTGCCCATCCTTTTTGCGAAGGTTTTCCACATATTCCAAGGGACTTGGGCCTAAAGCCCAAAAATGCTGTAGTCTTTGCAGACTCATGGAGGTACTACCATGGTGGTCTTATATAAGATCTGGAAGAATTCTCTGAATTACCAGGCAGAGACTTGTTCTTTTCACTTACTTTCTCCCAAGCAAATGGAATCTCTTACTCTGTGCTGAGCTGCCTGGAACTAGGGGCATGCAAGCACCTCTGTGAACACCACCACTGGGACTGTACTGGGTCGGACCTGAAACCAGCTCAGTACTGGGTCCCACCCAAGGACTACTGTCATCACTACTTGGCTACCACCTATGTTAACTCAAGTCCCTAGGGCTCTACAGTCAACAGGTGGTGAAGCCAACCTGGTTTGTGTCCTTCTTTTTAGGGCAACGAGTTCTCTCTGGCCCTGGGTTGATCTGGATATGCTGTCTGGAAGTCAGAGATTAGAGTCAAAATTCTTAGAAGTTTAATTGATGTTCTATTCTACTGTGGCTAAGTTGGCACTCAAACCACAATCTGAAGTCCTTTCCACTTGTATCTCCCCTTTTCACAGGCAGCAGAGCCTCTCCCTGTGGCCACCACCACTGCCAGCCCATGAATTCATGAAGGAAACTAGTCAAACAAACTTTTTGGCAAAATGTGATAGTTTAATGAAGAAGTAGAATCATATGTATTTATCCAGAGAATCTTATTCTATAATGGAAACCACTGTATAAGTCTTTGGAAATGTTTTAAAACATTGGCCTGGTAGCTTTTTCAGAGCCTTGTATGTATAGGCTTTCATTTTATTAAAAAATAAGATGTCATGATATTACTTGGAAGGCTGGTGGGTAGATCAGCTAAATATTATACAGTTCGACTTTTTAAATTTCATTTTAAGGAAATTTTACCAATTATCCTAATAAACAAAATGTCAACATGGGTTATATTACTTTAGGCAAGAAACTACCTATGGAAATATATATTTAAACATAAACTCAACATACAGTATGTGACTGCACTTCGTTTGTTTTTTTGCCTTTGGTATGAACCACTGGGGCTCACCATTACTATCACATGCCAGAATTCTGCCCGACCACCACCAGTGTTTACAAAGAGCCCAAGGGCTATCAGTCAGCTTGTGTTGAATCCTGCCAGGCCTAGACTCAACCTTCAGGGAAATGGGCTCTCCTCTGTCCCAGAGCAGGTCCAGAAATGCAGTCCAGGAGCCTAGGTCTGGACTCAGGGACCAGAAGAGCCTGCTTGTTTCTCTACGCCACTATGGCTAAGCTAACACCTAAGCTGCAAGACAAATCCCCTTTACTTTTACCTCTGCATTTCTGAAATAAGATTTCTTTCACCATAGCCACCATAGCTAAGAATGTCCTGGATCACACCTGAAGTTAGCATGTCTCAGAGCCCAAGGCCTGTGGCATACTACCTGGGTATTGCTGCTGGTTATTCAGGGCCCAAGAGCTCTTCAGTCAGGAGGTGATGCATCCTGCCAGGACCTTCCCTTTAAGGCAGTGGGTTCTCTATGGCCCAGAGTGTGTCTAGAAATCTCATCCATGAGCTAGGGCCTGGAATGGGGGCCTCATGACTCTGCCTTACACTATTATGGCTGAGCTGGTATCAAAGATGCAAGACAAAGACCTCTTTGCTTTTCACTTTCCTCTCCTAAGCAGAAGGAAGGATTCACTTTTGTTTCTGTGAGCTGCACTGCCTGTAGTTGGGGTGGGAGTGGCATAAGCACTCCCTTAGCCACCCTATCTGGTGTCTCCCTAGGTCACGTGCTACGCTAGTCCATTGGCTCTGAGCCTAGCCCCGCACTAGGAGTTGCCCAGGAATTGCAGTCTTTGTGTCTTAGACCACCTTTCAAGTTTACATAGGACCCCAGAGCACATTGGCCCATGTAGGCCAGGCTTGCTGAGAAACTTGAGTTCCAGCCATGGGGATGGGTGACTCCCCCCTGGCTAGGTCTGGTCCAAATGCTCTCTCCATGCATGAGTGCTAGTTGAACTCAGCATGGCTTTGCTCTTCGCTGTGACAGGACTGGACTGAGTATAGTGTAAAGACCCTTAGTCACTGCAGTCTTCCTCTCCTATGTGCACAGTCTCTCTATGCCATATGGCTGCTGCCAGGGGATAGGGGAGGGGTGGCATCGGCAATTTAAGACTGTCTCTCCTACCCTCTTCAATGCTCTTTCAGCAATATAAACTTAAAGCCAGGGACTGTGATCACTCACCTGATTTTTGGTTCTTGTGATGGTGTTTTTATGCTGAGTTTTGCTGGATATTTGTACTGAGTTTTGCTGGATATTTTTCTAGTCTCTTCAGGGCTCACTCATGCCTCTTCCATAAGGCTGCAAGTTGGATGATTGTCAGCTTGGGCAACATGGCTCTCCTGTTTTATCAGACAAGAGGATATCCCTGGCTTGTTCACTTGGTTGCAATATTAGGGGTCCCCAGAGCAGGAGGAAGCATGGAAGGTTTCTCAAAGCTCAGACTTACAACTTGTACAACTTTGGTTCCCCAACATTATGTTCTTCATAGAGTCACTAGGCTAACTCAAATTCAATGAGTGGAAAAATACAGGAGAAAAGGAAGAAACTGTCCATTTTCTAAAATGAACACTTTTTAAAAACATTTGTACATTTTAAAAATATTCGTACATTTTAAAAATAAATATTTTTAATGGTTGCTTGCTAACATTTTTTTATATATTCATTTCATTGTGGTTTCTGTTCTCTCCCTTCAACCCTTATGTAAGTTAAATGTTACTTCCATGAGGGAGAGACCATATCTGTGTAGTTCTCATTATATGATTAGCAGAATACATATGTGTCATGGGCTATTGCCTTCAAAAACTTCCATAATATGCTGTATGAATTTTTAACATTATTATCATACACCTGTTTCACTGTTTGTTATAGACTCTCTTGGTCTTCTGTAACTTTTTGAGGGCAGTGACTTTATCTTACTCATATTTATAACCCTTGCACTGGGAACTGTGCCTAAATATAGTAAACTATTAATAATTCTTAATGATTACATGAATGATTGAATAAATTAATGTTCTCAAGCTTAATAAATACTTCTAAATAGGGAATCAAATTTAAAGTCAAGGAATGAACTCACCTATTTCACTAGAAATTTTAAGATTTTATTGCTTTATTTAATTCAAAGGCAACATTTTAAAAGAGAAAAAGCATAAATGTAACCTATTTTCTCATCTATGTCTCTCCCCTAAGGCCTGGTGAACTTATGTTGACCCACCTAGTTTTTCCCCTGAACTGTGCATATTTTTCAGTAATTAAACTAGCTTTTAGTTGAAACCATGGAACTTTCTTTGGTAGAATCATGAGATAATTAAGTGACCATATACCCAATTTGCCTGAGACATACCCAGTTTTGTGCTTGCTTTTTTGGTGTATTAATAATGCCCTCTTCTACTTCCAAAATTGTTGTGGCCAGGACCATAAATTACATGATTACCCTAAATACAGTCCATGCTTTGAATATGATGCCAATGGTAGCCTGAAGTTTAAAAATTCCTATCGTACTGTGAGTATACGTAACTATTTCAACTGGACCAAGTCACCTAATCTTACTGTCCCATTTTTTCACTATTATTCAACATTTTTGCATTACAGACATCAGAGAGAACTAGAAAGTACACCTCAACTAAAGGTCACCAGCGAATGGCTTGTGTATAAACAAATTCTTTTGTGCTATAGTTACCATAACCAATAAATAATTAATTAAGTAAATGGGAAGATTCCCCAGAGATTATGACAAAGTCATTGGGTTAAAATGCATGATAAAAATGGCACTGAACCTTTTACCTAGGGAGAGGAGACTTCCTTAGCCTTTCTGCACTTGTGCCTTCTTCTCTTTCACAGCTGACCTAGAGTGACAAAGAGTCTATGTCTTCTAATGGAGTTGGGCTCTGGGAATATGCTACTTAATTCTGTCCTGTGATAGCAATTGTGAGTCCCAGTGGTTCATACTAAAGGCAAAAGAATAAATGAAGTGCAGTCACATAGTGTGTGTTGAGTTCATGTTTAAATATATATTTCTATAGGTCGTTTCTTGCCTAAAGTAATATAACCCATGTTGCTATTTTAGTTATAGAGTAATTAGTAAAATTTCCTCAAAATAAAATTTAAAAAGTCAGACTGTACTATATTTAGCTGATGCACCCATCAGTCTTCCAAGTAAAATCATGATATCTTATTTTTTAATAAAATGAAAGTCTGTACATACAGGGCTCTGAAAGAGCTACCAGGCCAATGCTTTATAACATTTCCAAAGACTCATGCAGTGGATTCCATTATAGACTAAGATTCTCTGTATAAAAACATGAGATGCTACTTCTTCATTAAACTATCATATTTTGCCAAAAAGTTTGTTTGACTAGTTTCCTTCATGAACTCATGGCTTTTATGGTTGCTAATTTTTAAACCAACCTTCCTCCCTCCCTCCCTCCCTCCCTCCCTCCCTCCCTCCCTCCCTCCTTCCCTTCCTTCCTTCCTTCTTTCCTTTCTTCCTTCCTTCCCTTCCTTCCTTCTTTCCTTCCTTCCTTCCTTGCTTCCTTCCTTCCTTTTTTCTGTCTCTCCCCCTATATTTTGCTCTCTCTCTCCCTTATCTCCCTGTCTTTCTCTCCTTCCTCTCCTCCAGATTTTAAGTGAGTCTATTCAGGAAACAAACTCACAGTGCCAGAATAAGATATAGCTACAGATTCTCTGTGAGGAAAAATATGCTATGTGAGGATTTATATCCCATAATAATGAAATGCAGCACTGTAGCATGGCATGCTTTCACACAAAACCTTCACCATAAAATGCATGACTTTGGCGTTCAGAAAAATATGCAGATATCCATAGCCTATAGGTAGAGAAGCATATCAATATTTTAGCTTCTCTAATGCTTTTGAATAAAGACTTTATATTCGCTGTTTTCATTCCAAGCTTTTTCTCTTTATTTATTTTTGCTTTTCCCCGGAGAAGCACCATGAAGGGACTTCATGGCCTCACGCCTCTGGACTAGACATCATTTAAAGCTAAAGATAAAGAAAAAATAAGAACTGAACAACACAAAAAAGAATGAATTGATTTTTTCCTCAGCCATAATAATTACTCCTTACTTTTTAAAACACACAAAATAATTTTCCTTTTGTTTGTGATGGCCTTGATAATGAGCTTTTCACCACAATGGTTTAAAAAGTGACATTCATAGATAATACTTGGAAACTTTAAATAAAAGAAACTGTCGAGAACTGAAAAGAATAGAGTTTCATTCTGCTCCTGATCTTTGCTTTTTTTTTTCCATTTCTATCAATGCCTGTCCAGTGATACTTACCCGTCTTATCTAATGGCTGAGTCACTATCAGAAATAATAAAATCCACTCACACGAGGAAATATAAAAATGTGCGTTGTCATATTTGCTATTTTATAAATTTGAACTGCATGGCGCCCTTGTATTTGGTAACTGTCACTTGTCTCTAGACTCTGCTTTGAGTCAAAGAAAATTCAAGTCTCCATAATTTAGAATGGAAAAGGTAGCATAGCTTTGAAAATAGTTCAAAAACAATCATCTTAGGGAGCTATCCATCAGCTGTCATTTTCCTCTGAAATACCTGTATTTCCTCCTTGCTCTTGTGTCTGTTTGCCAGTAGGAGAACAATACAGTAGCCTGTATTTTTACTTATCAATAAATGTGAAACTGGATGCACATGATGTCTGTGTATTTTTCCCTTTTCATTTTTAATATCAGTTAACAAACTCTATGTGAGTGTTTAGTTGAAGAAGGATTGAAGAACATGGCAGTCAGGTAACATAACATTGAACACTAGATTTAGTTCATCATTATATTTTAAACTAAGTTTCCTTAGTCCCACACTTATTTGTAATAAACCCTAAGAAGTGGGGGAATAAAGGATACCTTTCTTTTCCTTCCCACAGGGAAGCAACTATTTTCTTATAAGCCATCAGAAGGGAGAAAAGCTGAATGAGATGAATCGAATTCCACTATCTTCATTTATGTATTTATTATTTTAATCCCTCATTCATTGAATCACATATTTATTTAATAAATATGGTCTAACCATGGTAGACTAATTTTTATTTTTTAAATTTTATTTATATATTTATTTTTGAGACAGAGTCTTGCTCTGTCGCCCAGGCCAGAGTGCGGTGGCGCGGTCTCAGCTCACTGCAAGCTCCACTTCCCGGGTTCACGCCATTCTCCTGCCTCAGCCTCCGGAGTAGCTGGGACTACAGGCGCCACGCCCGGCTAATTTTTTGTATTTTTAGTACAGACGGGGTTTCACCGTGTTAGCCAGGATGGTCTCGATCTCCCTACCTCGTGATCCGCCAGTCTCAGCCTCCCAAAGTGCTAGGATTACAGGCGTGAGCCACCGCGCCCGGCCCTAGACTAATTTTTAAAAAATTAGTTTAAAAAATTATGATAAGCTAAATTGTCTAGTGTACAATATTATGTTATGCACTGAAAAAGAGACATGGGACTTACCATTTAGGGTGACGGACAATAAACACTTAATCGAATATACCTGGAGTAGGTACTATTAGAACACAGATTTGTGGACCAGCAGGGCAGGGGCAGGCAGAATTGGCATTAGTTTAGATAAGATGGCTGAGAAAGCACACTTTGTGGAGGTAGCTTTGAGTTAATGCTTGATAAAGAAAGAGCAGGTGGTGGCTACATAAAGACTTGGAGAAAATGCCTTTTGAGAAGCAGGGAGAGCTGAGGTGATGGCACTTAGACTGGATGAAGCTTGGTCTGTTCAAGAAAGTGCAAGGATGCTGTGTGACTGGAAAATTGTCACTTCGGGGTCATGGAGGGAATGGAGACAAATGTTGAACAGGGGCTTTCTCGTGTAGCATCTTAAAGCTGTGACACTTCACTGGAAGCTATTACAGGATTTTATTAGCACAATGACAAGAAAATTCATCTATAGTTTAAAAGAATATTCTAGCTGTCAACTGGAGAGAACCTGTGCAGAGGCAAAGATTTCTTAAAGGAAGAATTCAGTCATAATGGTTTACTTATTTCACTTGAGATATGACTATAATTTGACAGATTTTTAAAAAACATATGTGAAATGTATATATTCAAAGATGCGTGGTGTTGTGAATCACAACCCTAAGAATATATTCTTATAACTCTAACAATATCACTTTTGAAAATAACAGATTTAAACATACTTTTGGGAGGAGTTCAGAGCCTGTACCTTTACCTAGAATGACGGCATGTTTTGTAACTTTGATTAGTGAATCTGATTTTTAAGAACAGAATAAAAACATTTGGAGTCTTATCTAGTGAACAGCATGGGTTAATAAAAAGGGTGATGTGTACTTTGGTGAGAACATGACTAACATTTTGTTTTTATTGTAAAAACATTTTCAAAGTTCAAGTTGCAAAAAAGTTTTAAGCAATTGCAATATCTTTGGAATAGGTGATCTCTTCTGCCCCCAGATGGTGATGGTTTTTCTCACCTCTAAGCTTCCAGTACAATTTAACCTTTATCTCCCATAAGAAATGAATCACTTGGGTGTGGTGTCTTACAAGCACTCTCATATTGTCTTCCTGGCAACACTGGAAACTATTGAGAGTGGAATCATGCTTTTTGCATTATTTATCTTTCTTGGTCCAGTGCAACTGGTACTTAGATGATCATCTTTACCTACCCAAGTCCCAACTCAGCTAACCTGAATAATTGTGCCATTTTCAAACTCAACTTTGCCCAGCCTTAGAATTCAGCAAAGCCTGGTCTGGTGACACTAGGACTCTCTGTTCACTAACTAGTGGAACTTGGAGAAAATCTCCATTGGAATGTGCAAGTTGATGGGACTAGAAAGACTAGAAGTAATTTCTTTGCCTTTCCTCTATATGTATTACTTTCTTTTACACATTTCTAATTTATTTTGTTTTCATTCTCTTGATTGCTTTTGTTTTCCAAAGTCTCTTGCCATAACTATATTTTCAGTCAAATCTAATTTTCCATGGGCACCTAATAATCTGATCTATGTTTCTGAGATAATTATGTCTTTTTCTTGGAATTTTTCATGATTTTAGTCAACTCTTATGTTATACATTTAGTTTTATCATTATTTCTCTTCTGATTTGGCATGGACTTTCATATCTGCCAAATAATGTTTGTTTAATTTATATTGTAGTATTGAGTTGCAGTTTTATTCTGTTTTCCAGTTTAGGTTTCTGTTAACACCTTAATCAATTGAATAATTTTGATTGCCACTTTCTGTTTTGTTTAGTTTTTTATGTGTCACTTTGCATGAGTTGTTCCTGCCATTTTGTTGTTATTCATTTTTAAATGTGATAGAGTTTTCAGGGCAAGCAATAAAAGGTGAAATATGGAAGGCTTGAGTAGTTACTAGACTTCTTAGTTTAGTAGAATTCTCTTTTATTGATATAGAGCAGTTTGATTTCTTTAACTAACTCTACATATTGGGAATGGGTTGGTGCATCTTCTGATTCTACAATCTATTTTTGTTTTGTTTTGTTTTATGGACCACTAAAGGATTGCTTGCTTTCTTCTTTTCTCTTCTTCCCAAATCTTCAAACTATTCCATTTCCTTCCAAATTGCTTCAATCTGCTCTAGAGTTTTACCTTCTCAGAATTGCCACCTCTAATCCCATGCACTTTCAAGCCAATTCCTTTTGAAGCCGTTAGAGTTCTAATCCATAAGGTGTCAAACCTGCTCCTGCTTTCCGTACATTTTCCCATCAGGATGGGATTGAATAATTCTGAGGGTTAGGTTTACTGAGTTGCATGACCTGCTGGTACTCTCCTCTTTTTTTGTGGAAGCTAAGACTGACTCAGCTTTCTGCCAGGGTGTCAGAGATTACTGCTAATTTCAGGTGTTTATTCTTGCACTTACATACAAATAGAAGTTTTTGTATTGTTTTCCCTGCTATGTTGTATTTGTGGGTTATAGGTGGATTTATCTGATATCCTTATTAAACGGTATTCTTTTTGGAAGATTTGTGGCTATGTGTGCTGTTACTTGGATTCAATTATCATGAAGAGCAGCAGTACAGTAACATTTAGAGCTATGTTATGAACTATTCTATTATTTATTTCATATTCACTTTAGAATACCTAACTTGACTATTTCACATGCTTGGACATACAGAAGATTTCCTTAGTTTTTTCCCTTTATTTGCAAAATACCTGATTCTATACTTATACACAGGTATTAATTTAACAATCACCTTCAAGAGGGCACTAATTATTTCAGCTAATTTTTCATGGCTCAATACATGTGTTAGATCCCAGCACAAAATGTACTCTAATAGATTTTGGACAGAAAAGTCATGCATTTGAGCCAATTATCTATGTTAGAAAACTCTTCTAAGTGGGTTTAAGCCAATGATACCTACTGAAAAATAACTCCATTGGGTCATGTGCCATCACCATTACTAAGCAACTATAAGAACCAACTATAATAACGTAATGCAGAAATTCACGGTCTAAGAAGGCAACCACTGTGTGGCAGACAGAACATGAACTTTGACATCAAATTGAATTATTTCATTTTAGATTTGCCACTTATTAGGCCCGTTCAAAATTAGTTATTCTGTCTCAGTTTTTAATTTTAATTGTAAAATAGATGTAATAATACCTGCTTCATAGAATCCTTGTTATATATAAATGAGATAATATATTGAAAACACTTAGCAAATTATTAGGTAGAAAATATACATTCAAAATTTTTTTTGTATCTTCCCCCTTGGAGAAATGGTAACTGCGTAAAAGATCATGGTTCTGCCATCACTTTCTAGTTCTTACAATCTTTTAATTTATAGAATTATTAATTTCTCTGATATGAGAATAAGTGATCACCATATTTTAAGTGGTTTATTAATAATTCACAAACAAGAATATTGTAGTAATTGACTATTTGATGTTAAGGATTCTAATTGTTACAAATTATGCATATGATATCCAATATCTACAAGGAACTCAAACTAATAAAAAAAAATTAAAAAGCGGGCAGAGGACATGAATAGACATTTCTAAAAAGAAGATATACAATGGCCAATAAATATATGAAAAAATGCCCAACATCACTAATCATCAGGGAAATGCTAATTAAAACTGCAATGAGATACCACCCTACCCCTGCCAGAATGGCCATTATTAAAAAGTCAAAAACGGTAGATATTGGTGTGGGTATGGTGTACACTGCTAGTGGGAATGTAAATTAGTGCAACCTCTTTGGAAAACAGCATGGAGATTTCTCAGAGAACTAAAAGTAGATCTACTATTCAATCTAGCAATCTGAATACTGGTATCTTCTCAAAGGAAAAAAAGTCACGATATCAAAAAACACCTGCGCGCATATGTTTATCACAGCACAGTTCACAAATGCAAAGATATATAATCAACCTAAGTGCCCATTAACCAGAATGGATAAAGAAACTGTGGTATATATACACCATGGAATACTATTCAGCCTCAGAAAACAAAGTAACTTTTTTTTTTTTTTTTTTTTTTGCAGCAACTTGGATGGAACTGGAGGCCATTATTCTAAATGAAGTAACTCTGGAATCAAACACCAGATATTGCATCTTCTCTTATAAGTGGGAGCTAAATTATGGGTGCATAAAGGCATACAGAGTACTATAATGGACATTGGACATGTAGAAGCGGGGAGAGTGGGAAGGGGGTGAGCGATGAAAAACTACCTAGTTGGTACAATGTACACTACTCAGGTGATGAGTACCATAACACAATTCATCCGTGTAATCAAAAACAACTTGTACCCCTAAAGCTATTGAAATTAAATAGTAATAAAATAAAATAAAAAGGATTGTGATTTCCAACCTCAAACTGGGGAAACATAGTAAAAAGGATTTGCTCCCAACTCTAGTTGCTGGGGGAATTCCAATTACTTTGTTCTCTACCAATTAAATTAAATCTTTATACATCAAAAAGGTATTTTCTAAAAGTTTCTCATCACATGTGCAAAGGTATAATACCTTAAATGAAGTAATTTTGAATTAAACAAATGAATAGAGCTGTTAGTGGGATTTATAGTACCCAAGAATCATCTCAGAATGTACTTCACAGATTGCTTCCTTATATTACAGAATGAATACGATTTTATATCTGAAGAAACAAATCTGCACATTAAGTAATCAATGTTTCTCATGATACACACTTGGTATTATTTCTGGGAATACTAAAGCTGGCATAACCTAGTTAAAATAGTACAATTTATTTAACTACATGCAAGTCCTTTTGGAGTAAAAACTGCTGCTTACTACATGTGAAGAGAAACAATGACCTTCCTGCTTTGGGAATTCTCAAAGGTATTTAACAAAATTTTTATTTAAAATTACTTTTTGCTCTACTCCCCCTCAAAGCCCTGTTACATAATTCCTCTGTCTACTTGAATGCCTCTTAGATTTGAAAAACAAAAAGTGGGGAAAGGGTGAAAGGAGAAGAGGGATATAAAGGCACATTCAGTCACAGAATCTGTACAGAAAAATCCTCAACAAGCAGAATGGATTGAAAAATTCAAGCATGACTAAAAAGTACATTCCCCACTAGTCAGTAGATTTTGCTTCCTATTTGTCACTGCCACCTTGGAGAGCGGGGAGCATTAATAATGCATGGGTGCTAGGAATGTATTAGCAACTAACCTTGCGAAGAAAATCAGCTGGGGACCCAGTGTGTGTGTGTGTGTGAAAGAGAGAGACAGAGAGAGAAAGGCAGAGTGAATGTGCACACATACTCTAGAGTATCCTTATTTATTGAAAAGATCTGGAGAGCAGTGTCAGGTTCATACGCAACTATGTATCATTGTAAAGGAAAGCTGGAAATCCTTGGAATGGGGCCATAATTGAGTTCATTGATCACACTCATGAATTTCTATCAGGGCACTGTATTGCCTACTCTTTATGTAACACAAAGAAATTTCCTTGGGAAGGTAAATGTATTTATACATTTAGGCAAATACAAAGTTTTAGTACGTTATGTCTTATGTATCTGTCTTACAGAAACCTGAGCAAGTGTATTTCTTAAATATGTTCTGTGCGATTTGAAATCTACTTTAGGATGTAGTATCTACCACAGATATATTTATTGTGATATGTGGATGTCAATTCTGATTCTAGAATTCCCACTTAAAAAAAATAAACAAGCAAATGAACAAACATCCAAAAACTTACTAGCTCAGAATAGTGAGGTTGCTCCTGCCCTTAAAATAAACCTTATTTTTTAAAATGCATTTGAAAATCTTTTTCTAGCTACTTCGAACTGAAACCAACTCAGTTTCTGTGAAGTTACAACTTGTCTGTGAAGATGCCACCATATGACTGCTTAGCCCTGCTGACTCTGGGCTTCAGCCTAATGTGGGGCTTCTCCCCAGAGAATGCGCCATGCTCTGTCCCTAGCACTCCCCCTTAACCGCATCATCTCACCCAGTATCAATGACTTATCAAACTATTGAATTGATTGTGGAAGAAGATAGATAATAATGAACCAAAGGAATACATTTGTAAAATATTTATATTTTAAGCCAACAGCCTTCAATTCAAAATATTAAATTATTACACAGGGGTTTGAATTTTCATATCTAAAGATTTTTTACTAAAAATATTTGTTAATATGAAAATATGTGAACATGGAATGTTTTAATTTATTTACTATTGGGTTTTTATTATGATTTTTTGAAACTTTATTTATGGCAAAATGTCAAACATACTGAAAAGTTGAAATATTTTTCATGTATTTCAATATATTTCATATATTCATTGGGTAGTTTGTACAATTAACATGTTACTCTACTTGCTTAATCACGTGTCTAATCATCCCTTTCCCATTCATCTATTTTAATATTTTTTTACATGTCAAAGTAAGTAGCAGATACTACTATACTTCCTCCTGGATTGTTTGGCATTCACATCATTTGCTAGAATTCAATATTTGTTTATACTTCTTTTGATAAAAAATTTATATACAGTGAAATACCCAAGTCATAAACATATGTCAATAGGCTCTATGAAATGCATACAATTGTGTAACATAAATCTCTTCCAAGATAGAGTATTATCAACTTATTATTTTCTTAGCTTCTTGACACTATTTAATTTTGAAGAAAAAGTTAAGCCCAAATACTACAGCTAATAGATTTGCCCACAAAAAGTATTTAATCATTATTTAAGAAGACCGGATTTTGGCATCCTAAGAGGATCATGTGATTAAGATATGAAGATTGGAAAAGAATTGCTTCCCTACCACTTTCTCATATTCATTGCAATTGCTCTCTTGAGATATGAGCAATTTCACCCTATTATTTTCTTTTTTTTTTTTTTTTTTTTTTTTTTTTGAGACGGAGTCTCGCTCTGTCGCCCAGGCTGGAGTGCAGTGGCGCGATCTCGGCTCACTGCAAGCTCCGCCTCCCGGGTTCACGCCATTCTCCTGCCTCAGCCTCCCGAGTAGCTGGGACTACAGGCGCCCGCTACCACGCCCGGCTAATTTTTTGTATTTTTAGTAGAGACGGGGTTTCACCGTGTTAGCCAGGATGGTCTCGATCTCCTGACCTCGTGATCCGCCCACCTCGGCCTCCCAAAGTGCTGGGATTACAGGCGTGAGCCACCCATTATTTTCTTAACAGTTTCTGTTGAACTTAATTAAAGTTTTATCAATTCTTCTTTAATTATTATCATTATCATTATTATTATTTCCCTTAATTTCTCATTTGGGAAAGCATCCCAGAACAATTTCATTTTTTTTTAACCAACTTCCCCTTAACTATTTTTCCTCCTCCCTCCCCTTAACCCTATATGCACATATACATTCAAAGAAAGCCTAATGGAATAGTTACCAAATTAATTCATGTTACTTAAAGCATACACAATACATACAAAATAAATCTTTTTACACAAGGAAGTTCTGAGATGAATGAATAAATGGTACAGAAATTACTTGAGTCACATTTATTTGTGTTAGTTGATATTCTTTGAAGCAAATTACAAAATACTAGATTGAGCTGTGTTTTCAGAAATGCATTTCAAGATTTACTATCAACTGTTTCATGTGGGAAAATATGTATATTTCCCTAAGTAAAAAAAATAATTTTTTAATAAAAAAATTCCTGAAAGCATTTATAAGCACCCACTCATATAAAGACACATAAACACACAATACTGAGACTTCTTATTCCTCAGAAAAGAACACTTTAAAGATTTAGAAACCATCTAATATGTACCCATTGAAACAAATGATCTTTATTAAAACCTCCATCATGTGCCCATTCAAACCGGATTCTCTACAACGTAGCTAATGTATTTTTTGAAAAGAAAGTAACCATTGGAAATAACTGATAGCCTGCACATTTTGTTAACATCTTCCAATATTTTAACAGAAATTCAATTTCTTTGACTTTAAGTGAGAAATTGTAATTAATTCATTCTTCCCATGGGGGACAGAAATGTATGGAACCTGGCCTTACTTTCCCTGCTAGGTGATTTTAGCTGATAGGTTGAGATTTCTTTATTGCTGACTTAAAAATACGAATACTTTGGGGTTTTCCATGTAATCCCATTAGGATATTATCCAATTTCTCTTCACATTTTTGTTTTTAATTGCTGAACTGATGTAATCCCAGTATTTCTTTTTGGGATACATTTCAGCAATTTATTTAAACAAGAAAACTAGCATCCAAAAGAAGTATTAACCAGAAAAGTTCAATTCAAAAAATCTTTATGGCAAAATCATGAGCCACCTGGAAGCTGAAAGATGTGCAATTAATAGGAACAAGAGCTACAGTTCTCCTAGCAGCTAAATTCCAAGGTGATCCACTTATTCCCTCCTTAGAGTGTGCTACCGTGCAAAGGTCCTAACAAGTTTTCTTGCTTCACAAAATTGTGGGTTAATAAGCTGTTAATTTTTCATTAAAATTATTCTAGTAGTAAAATTGGTAGCTAAGACATTTGTCAGTCCATTAAAATGTATATTAATTCAAAAATGTAAAAAATCAAATTCATTTTGCAAAAGATGGTGCACGAAATATAAAATTTAAGCAGAACAAGAGGAATATGGAGTGCTGGGAAGGGATATGGGTTGCAGTTTTAAAGAGGGTAGAATATCATCTTGATTGAAAAGCTAACATCTGAGTAACAACTAGAAGGAAGTAAGAGACTGAACTATATTGATATTGGGGAAAGTTCTTCTGAACAAAATCTCTAAGCACCTCTGGTCCCCAAATTAATGGGACTGCCAGCGGGCTTACAAGCGATATATGGGGGTTAATTATACATGGTAAACTCTACTTGTCAATATCCCCACAATAACACTTTCTCCTTAATATGCACACACACATTCACAAAAACACACAGAGAGAGTGAAAGTGTCGCAGGCTATAATATATATCCAGGCAAACAACTAAATATTTATCTTTGAAATGAATAAGACAAGAATTCCAGGGATAGCCAAAAAATGCTCTACTCCATTTCAATGCCTTAAAATAAAGCCCCTTTTATTTTGACAGATGTTGGATTGCAGCCCCAAAGCCTGCACAAAAGACCACTGCTGAACACAAAGCAAAAAAGGGAGAGTGAATCCATTCATGGCTTCCACTCAGAATCACTACCAAGAGAAGAGACCTAGCAAAAATCAAATGCATTAACAAGAGTATTGGGGCTATAGTGCATCCAGAAAACACAAATGTAATTGTAGAAAGAAATGTTGTTAGACAAATAAAACCTCTTAGAGATTTTTTTTAAAAGGGCTGTTAAAAAATTCAACATGATTATAAATAGAGAAATAATTCAAAAACAAAAGAATTAGAAAATATGAAACACAAACACATGAAACTAGATGTTTATTTGTTCCACAAATGAAAAAAGGGATGTGAGAAGACATGTTCAGCAACATAAAAGGTCTCCATGATTACTCTGCTCAATGAGGATGAAAGGATTAATGAATATACATATTATGGCAAAATGTCAAAACATTAACGATAAACAGAATACCTTAAAAACTTGTAGAGAAGAAAAAAGTTATAAAAAACAAAATACATATAAAAAATAGAATTATTCTAGCATAATAAATTTTTTCAAAGCCAATGGATGCTCGATGAAAAAGGTACAATGCTTTTAAAATTTTATACCCAGAAAAACTGTCATTCAAGTAAAATAAAATCATGAAGATTTTCAACATGCAAGGCCACATAACATTTATCGTTCATACATTTCTCTTAGGGGAATACTGGAAGATAAATTACAGTCAAAGGAGAGAATAAATCCCAAAAGAGGAAGGCAAGTAGTCCAGGAAACAATGACTACAAGTCTGCAAACTTTGAAGAATAGCCTGAAAGAAGCCTCTGTAACACATTAGAAGGCAATTGTTCCCAATTGGAGAAGGCTTATAGCCTTCAGTGAAAAGGTTGCTAAGGAAAAGGGAGCCTTGAAGAAGGAGAAATTGTGATTGAAAGGTTAGGATAATTTGTGAATAGGAAAATGTCAGATGACAGATAAAAAGAAAATTAGAAAAGCCCAGGTAAACAACATGCAATAAAAATATAGAAGAAAGTCATGGTCCAAGTATAAAGCAAATTAAAATGAAGTATGCTTTAAAACAATTGAGAGCTAAAATAAGAAGAACACATTTTAATTTTAAATATTTGTTCATTTATATCCAATTGGCTCAAGAAAATAACACTGTGCACGTAACAAATGAGAAGTATCTTAATAGAGAACTTAGCCCCTTGTTTAACAATATTTACTACTTCCTATTATTATTGAAAGTGCTATTTATAGGTAAGAGAGCCAATCTACTGTCAAGGTATGGGAGACTAGGTTGTGATTGCAAGATGAAAATAATATGTTTCAACTTATACCTTCTATACCTAACACAGAGTCCATAATAAATATGACTCCTCATTAATATTTGAAGAATAAATAAATACATAAACTTCAACGGTGGAGAAGTACAATTGAGAGAAGATAAGATGTAACAAAACGGAAGAAAGGAAGAGGAAAATGTAGTCTCCAATTTACAAAATGTGGAGTCAGAAACTATTGAAAGAGGAACAAAAAATATGGCTTTTAATATATCATTTAAATTACAATAGCAACTAATGAAAAACTAAGAATAATAAAGTCACTCAAACAATAGAATGCAAAGGGGAAATTGTTAATATAGAGTAAATACTCTTATTCCATATCATGAAGTCAATAGATATTTTTCTGGAAGAGGTGTAAGTATATTATCAAAAATTATAAGAATTCCTTTCAGAAAAATGAAAGTTATAAGTATTAGATTATACCAAGTGAAAGAAGCCAGGCACAGAATGCCAAATATTGTATGATTCCATTTATATAAAATATCCAGAATAGGTAAATCTATAGAGACAGAATGTGATTTGGTGGTTGCCAAGACTGGAGTAAGGGACAGTGTGAGCAGCAGTTTAATGGGTGTGGGGCTTCATTTAGGAGTGATGAAATTTTGGGGGGATCTAGAGGGAGGTGGTGATTGCACAATACTGAGAAGGTACTAAATGCCACTGACACGTTCATTTGAAAATGGTGAGTTTTATGTTATATGAATTTCACCTCAAAAAAAATTCTAACTACTAAAAAAAAAAATGAGTGTAGGACTGGGGAGGTAAGCAAAGAAGCCAGAGACTGTTGATTATCACCATGTATTTATTTATACTATGGAATGTTATCTTATGCATGCATTATTTTAATAATTTTTTTAAAAAAATGTTTTAAATAATACAAATCCAGCCCAGAACAGGGGGATAAAGTTTTCTTTCTTAAGAGAATAGAGGAAATGAAACAGTAAAATGTTGTCCAGTTTATTAGATTGTAAATTGATGCAAATATGCTTGCAAGATAATCTTTTTACTTTCAGAAGATATAAATGGATTTCAGCTATTTTTTTCGATTATATGCTTATGGAATTAAATGAATGCATATATATTTCAGATAAGTATGATAAGAAATCTATAAAATGAGCATCAAATGTACTTCTTTAATTCACCATAATCCAACTGTAATCTGCACTCAAAGCTTTGTGTGTTAATTATGAAGTGATATGAATCTCTGCATTTCCTTTATACTTGCCTTTTAATAGTGACTTGGTAATATCTGCTAATGGGCTTTGTTGTCTGATGAACTGAATTACTGTGTTCTCTGCAAAGGACTCTGCTAAATGGTCCAAGATATTTGTGAAATTAACCTCCATTTAAACATTAGAATTGGGGAAAGAGCATGAAAAGATTACCTCTGTTGGCAAAGAAAAATCAATGTTTTATAATTTTCAAGAAAATAAAGCAGTTCTAAGTTTTTCATTCCTTATTTTATTTGCACTTAAAGCAAAACTAGAAAAGCAATTTCATGATTTTAAAAAAGAAAAAATAATATTATCTGGCTCTAACTCTTTGAATCTAGTTATTTCTTTTAAAATTAAAATTTTGCCTTCAAAGTGTCGCTATTTCAACCTGTGCAAGTAAAGTTACTCATAAACACACTGTAGAATATTATTTTTTTCAAGGAAGCAAATTTTGTCCTAATTTACAGTAGTGAAATCATCTAAATATGCACATTTCCAAATTCTCAAGATTCGTAAGAGGAACTTAATGAAATGGAAATCTCATTGGTAATTATACTCAGCTCAGCCTGGGAGTTCATGGTGCTGTCAGCCTGTGTGGTCATGGGTAGCTAAGCAACACAGCCAACTAGCACCTTTGTGGAGGATATTTTTAGCTTCATTGCACATTTTTCATTTATCTATTGGAGATTGATTTGTTTTGCAATTTATTTTGAAATTCCATTGCTTAAAATGAAAAGTATCCCATCGCACCAGAAGGAAACATACAAGTGGGAATAAAAAAAGACAAATAATCTCCATGATTTGATATACAAACAATATAAATACTGTAGGAGAGTCAAACATTACACTAAAAAAATACTTTTGAGGCTTTGGAAATACTTTCTTATCAATAAATAAGAGTTGAGTTTTCCGTTCATGGGTGAAGGCACTGACATCAAGAGCTAGATAGCTTAATTTGTTTCTAAACTCAAATTAGTATCTTAGTGACAAGTCCATGATTGCTTAGTAAATAGAGTATGAATGAGACTTTAGGATTATGTTCCTTTGGCAAACAGCATTTCCAGGGGAGACAAGAAAGGTAACAAGTTGTCACAAATCTTAAATGTCAGAGTAGCAATGGGCAGAAAGCTTTTTGGAGTAGTTAATGGCATTTCCAGACCCTTGTGCTCCTGTGCAGCACCTGGAAGAGTGCTGATGGCCACAAAGCACTTTTACTCCATCAGGTCACACTTGTCCATTTCCACCCACTAGGTCTGATTGGGAGAGTTCTCCTTAAGGTAACCTGTTATTCACATAACCCTGATAGGAAACTGCATGGCTTCGAGAGAAAACAAACACCCAAGCCACCAATCAACCAGACCTGATATCTAGAATTGACAATAATGGAGAGTTCAAGTACCAGCTCCATGGATGAATATCCCTATGTTCCTGAATTAGATGCTTACTGTCTCTCTAGTTTGAATCTTCACCGGTAATGGAATGATATTTTTACCCTTTAGAGAGCTTCGAGAAATTAATGAAGTGCCTAAAATATCTAGCACACATTAAGCAACTTAATGTGGTCCAACTTTGTCCCCACCCTTTGTAACCATACATAGTAATTGAGTACTAATGATTTAGATATTTGTTATGTCTTACCTGTTTTCATTAATCCAACCTTGGGTGCTACCAACTCTTGAGCATTAGCTATATTTTCTTAAGAAGAACAATACATTTTCCAGTAGGAAAACTTGCTATTTCTATATAAAATTGAAAGTTGACTTGGGCTACTGAATATAAGTAAGGGTTTTATAAGCTTCTATCTCTCATCATTTAAAATCTATTGATCATTTTAAATTTTAAAATATTTCTAAAATACATTCTCTGTTTCATTTAAATATGATTATCATTTGCTTGATAGAGTAAAATACTCTTTTAAAGGATCCCATTTATAAGGATTTCCTATGTGTTTGATTTGAAGGCCTAGAATCATGACCCATTTTCCTGGGTTGTGTTCTTGGTAGTATTCAGTGTGCTCTTTGCATAATATCTTAATGGGTGGGAGATGTTCCCTACATAAATTGGACAACTCCATGGTTCTCTGTGTGAATTGATAGTGGAGACAGTGATTTTCCACCAGCATTTGTGGTTGGTGAATGTGAGCATATAGGAACCCTGGGATGGTCATGTAAAGTCTCTGGCCTCTATTAGCATATAAGTGAAGTGAAGTGAAGTGAAGTGGGAGAAGCCTGGTTGAACTGGGAGCAGTGAAATGAGGAGGCAATGAGTATTTTTAGCTTGATTTACTCTTGTTTGTGTTCCTTTCCAGTGTATGCTGAATAAAGTAGAATTTGACCCCTGCTATTGGAGGACAACAAAGGAAGGAAGTAAAATAATACACTCCCTTTAATTCTGGAGTGGAGATAAGATTACACAATAGTAATGCTTCTCACTACTGACATAAAAATAAATTAAAAACATTAGGGGGAATGCCACCAATTCAGAGCTTCCCAATCACACTCCCTATAGAGACGCCCGTTTCCTGGTACAATGGAGACTTTTGAATGAAAGGGTCAACATACAAGGATGTAACTATTATTCCTATAGCATGAGTTGTAGGTGGAGGAAAAGCTAGCAGAACATCAATTTATACAAAAAAAATTATTGATGATATTGGGAAATTAGAAACATTTAAAATCTATAATTTTTTCCTATTATTTTTTCCTATTTTAATGTTTTATATTATTTAATAACGGTTCTCAATATATATGAATATGATTATATGCTAAATACACACTGAACAGAATAGGAGAAAGGTCATATAACTTTGAGAGGTTGTCCACAAAATGTATCAGCATATAGCATATAGAAAATATAAACATTAGTATCAAACATATGCAGGGATTATGAACACCTTACTATTATGTACACACTCTTCATTTTTATTATTGAGTTTATACTACTCTCTTTAAGATAACACCTTTATCTTTGATTGATTTCTTTTAGAGTCTATTCAGTTTTTTTTGTGTTTATTATTTATTATTTTCCCATGACATATTACTGGGCTTAAAGACCATCTTCTAATTTCAAAACTTTTTTTTGGGGGGGGTCATCTTCCACTACTCTAATTATTTGTTCTTGATGTGTTTTCTTTTAAAAATCACTTTATTCTTTTAAAAGCTTAAATTTTGACCCATAAAATAATGCACAAATAATCCTCTAATCGTTTTAAAAGGACCTGTTGTTTACTTTGAAATGATATTAATGCTTTTAAAATTTTAAGTCAATTTTTTCCCTTCACTTCAGAATGCTATTCATGTTTAGATAGCTAATCTTACACAAATAAAATAAAGAGTCTGCCCTGACAGGAACCTCTTTTACTTCATTTTTTCTTTTTCTTTTCTTTCTTTCCTTTTTTCTTTTCTTCTCTCTCTCTCTCTTTTTCTTTCTTTCTTTCTTTCTTTTTTTCTTTCTTAGCAGGATTTACTTTATTAAAACAATTATACACTTATTCTCTAATATCTCTATATATAGCTAATTATTTTCTTTCTTCTCTATTTTTGACAGATTTTAATGGCTAACTTAAATATTAGCTATACTGTCTGTCAGTAATCTAAATTATGATTGACACAATTTCTGAAGAAAGCCTAAGATTTTATTTTAAATTTATCTATTGTTTATGTTTTAGAATTGACTCCAGGAAACTGTTTTTACCCCTACCTTCTGTTTTACAGCTTTAAAAACAAATAAATAAACCCATGCTCTAGTGTAGTTAGGCATTTGTTATTTAATAGGTTATATTATATGAGAATACTTTTCCATGTTAAATATAACATGATTTGAGGCAACATAGAGTAGAGTGAGATTGTATAATTTGATATTCAGAATGTAAAGTCTGACAAGACACTAAATACCACTGGACCTCAGTTTCTTATCTCTGAATGGACATAACTGTATAAACGCTTGAGAGTTGTGAGACATAAATGAATATTGCATGTAAATCGCCTAAGATATGGTTTGGTATACCATGGATATTCAAGAAATAGTAGCTATTATCATTAAATATATGCTGGACTTGACTCTACATTTTTTATTATTTGCCAATAGAAGGCTTTTCAGGAAATAAAAGCAAAGATGTTTATAATGTATCACTAACAGCTTGTTCTTTATTTTTTTCTAAGATATTTTACAACTTAATAAAACTATAAAGTTTAGAGTTTAAAACAGGTATGGAGCTTTTTTCTAAAATGGATTAATTAAATTTTGTTATTTCAAACTCTGTGGTTATCTTCACAAAATCTTGATTTTGGAAAAATATGCATGTGGTTTTTAAATATTTGACTATTTCCTTCACTAAATGCGGGTGGCCTCAGCTTAAAGATTTATACACGGAAGCGGGAGACATTATCCAGAATATATATCAAGGAATTTAAATAGGGATATCCAATTAATTAACATCTGTATTCATTTATGCCTAGCTTTACATTGGATAGATTCTATAGTCTATATCCTGCCATGGTTCAGAGCACGAAACTCTAACTAGAGACATGTATGTAAAATAATCAGTGCAAGAAAGATTGTTCACTTTACCTCCAAAAAAACCTTTTGGCTTTTTAAATGTTGAACAATAGACATTTACTTAATTGGCACTTGTAAAGTCCATAAATAACTTAAGGGGATAAGGGCAAATCTATAAACACTGTAAAATATTCTAGGTTAGGAAAGAACTTTTGATACTTCAGTGTTGCCATATGGTATGTATGATCTCATGAATGTGAGGCAAAAGGAAACAATTGAAATTAGTAACCTCACTGCCTTTTTTCCTATCTGAGTGATGCTGTGATGTAGCCACTGAATCACATTGAGAGAAATTTGGGCTTGGGGCTGTATTTTTTAATACATGGAAATGTCATAATTTAATAGTACTCTAATACTAATTACCTCTCGTGATTTTTTTTTCCTGAAGTCTCTTTACACAGACCTAAATTGAACTAGATTACTTCCCTTTCTCTCTTTTCTTGTAAAGAAACCTCATTTAAACTTGAACCAGGTATGAGATGAAAGTGCCTAGTTTCCTCATTGATGCTCTATAATGAATATATTATTCCAGGAACCTTCTTGGCTTACCTTTTGCTGTTGAATAACACCACATTTTATTAAAGATCTGTGAAATGTTCCCTGAGATGTTATATAGCCTGTTCTCTTTAGACAGTAAGTTTTGCAAAATCTTCTTGGCTTTGTATAGGTGATAACAGGAAACAAGAATAATGAGATAAAACCTCTTCTTTCAGGTTTTTTAATTGAGGAACAAATTATTTCATCGTTTCTCATTAGTTATTCCCATGGATTCTAATGACAAGGTGCCAACTTTCACACTTTAAACAGGTTAATTAATCAGGTAGTAATGAAGTTGGGTGATACCTGAGTGTTGGTGTGCAGAATAATCACAGTTCCTAATAATGTGCTTAAATGTCTGTAAACCTGAGAGGATAAGTTGAAACTCAGATCTTCTGAGTTATGCATAAATAAACATATTCTGGCTAATGTGAAAACTAATTTTAATTTATTACACTAGGTATAATCTTTAATTCAGAGATACATATATATATAAATGAATATACAAATTGAATATGCATATTTATACTCACAATTATATATATTGTTCTTTTCATTTGAGAGCGTAAGCATGATGATGTTTTAACCTTCATATCTGCACTATTCTTACTTTGTTTAGCCAGTCCATACAATTATATATTTTAAATCTTATTGTTTGATTGTAGTTTTAGTTACAAAACCTGGTAAGAGTGAAATAATAGGCGAAATCCCACTATATGACAACAGCACGTGAGTATGTCAAAGGAGAGATCATTACCAAGAAGAAATCACTATGATGTAAATCATCTTGGGTATCCTGGGCATCCACTCAGCAGGATATGCTGGAGAGGTCTCAGGTTTTTGTTAGTCAAACTTCCTTCCTCAAAAACTAGAGGAAAAATCAAGTGAACAAATACATATCTGATACATTATTACCGCATTTATAATCATGGAAGGAAATTATAATAAATGTTTAAGGAACAGACATATTATTTCTATTTTTGATAAAGGTATTGCAAAGAAGTCTATCCCTAAGAAAACAGGAAGCTTGGGATACAAAGCATTATGCTTTCTATCACCAGCAAGCACTTCATCCTTGTGAAATCAGCAATAAAGAATCAGAAACCTGCTTCATATGTGCAGTATGTGGAGTGTCTCCACTGCCCTGGTAACAAGGAAAATACCAATGAGATGGTAACATGTAAAATTGCCTATTGACTAATTAGGATTTAAAAATTGAGGATGGGTCAGGGAAGAAAGAGTGTATTCAAATCAATATGAAAACAATTCTATTGACTGGGCACGGTGGCTGGTTGCTCAGACGTGTAATCCCAACACTTTGGGAGGCTGAGGTGGGAGGATCACTTGAGTCCAGGAGTCTGAGAGCAGCCTGGACAACATAAGGAGACCTCCTCTCTACAAAAAGTAAAATATTAGATGAGTTAGTGGTATATGCCTGTCGTCCCAGCTACTTAGGAGCCTGAGGTGGGAGGATCACTGGAGCCTGGAAGGTCTAGGCTGCAGTGAACCGTGATCATGCCACCGCAGTCCAGCCTGGGAGACAGGGCCAGACCCTGGTCTCAAAAACACAAAAGCACATACACAAAAAAAAACAAAACAAAAAAATAATTCTACTGTCAAATTTTGATTATCAAAAATGAATTAATTATGGTTAGGAAGGAGTAAGGAACTTGAAATATCTGACACTTGAAATATCAGGATGATGGATGCTCCATAACAGGCAGTTAGGGATGAGGACATGATCACTGCACCCTCAGAGTTGGAGCCAAGCAGCCGCCCCACCATGCTGGGTCACTAAGATTGGGGGCAGGCTGTCAGGAAGAGACAGACATGGGAGATGGGACACGGGGCTCCCACTGGCAAATCATGAGGAGGCTGCAGACCTGGGATCACACCTGTACCTCATGGAGATGTGGCAATCCAAACCTCAATGGGTACTTTCCTAAGACTTTCTTCTGGGAGGGAGGCAGTTGGCTTGCTCTCGCTGCTATCTTAAGTTCAATCTCTAAGCCAGTTAGATGGCTGCCTTTGAATAATTCAGAATTCTCACATTCTACATACTCATCTACACCTGTGTACATATCTATTTTTAGGTCGATATGTGTGTGTGTATATATATATATATATATACACACACACACACATATATGCAGGCTGAAGGTGTGCATATGTAGCAAATACATCTGCATACTTACCTATACTAAGCTGTTTTACTTGAAGTGTTTTGTTTTTGTTTTTGTTTTTGTTTTTACTTTGTTTGTGGGTTTGTTTTGTGGAGGGAGTGGTTTTTATTTGTTCTTTTTGTGCTCCTCTCCCTGAATGGCTGCATCTCTCAATCACTCCCTGTCTAATCTTGCAATACAGTCTTGGGAAGAGGGTCTGGTTACCCACTTCCCAAGAGTACAGCATAAACCAATTAATTAACCTTTAATTTAAATGATGCAGCAGGTGAAATTTAGCAAATTAGAACAATTAATTTATTGCATTAGTGAGTATTAATTGTAATGATATATAATCATGCACCTCAAGATTTCAAAATTCTTCTATTTTAAAACACGAAAGCAGTGATAGTTTTTTTTTTTTTAATTAGACTGAAGTTTATACCAAAGTTTTCTAGACCCTATGTGGTCTAACAATTAGATTTTACTCTGCTGGGATATAATGAATGGTGTTTCAACTACTTAAGTACCTACATATTTTTCTTCTTATTTACACATTACAATTACAAGCCATGATCTTTATTCACAGTTTATTATGGGTGAGTGTCAATAATACTCATTGATGGAAGGATAATATGAAGAAAACAAAACAAAATCTTTCATGATATTTGAAAGTCATGTAATGTTATGCACTTTACCTTCTTCTCCTCGAAGCTGACTATGGACAAACCAAAACCTCAAAATACCCTTAAAGCTTTTGTTTCAAAATGACATGGTTCTGCTAAGTTGTTGTCGAAAAGGAGAAAAAAATACAGAAGTGTGTGTATCATTAGCACAACTGCATTCCATTATTTTCTTTTTCAAAATAAATTACATAAATGGGGTTTGTATTGTTTGCTGTACTTCACCCAGAGATTGGAATAATTAAGCTTCAAGAACTGAGATGCTTTAAAACACATTTAATTTAGTAAAATTGGTAAGGAAGCTACTGCAATTAAAAAAATAAACAAAAAAGGACAAAAGTTTTCTTAAGTCTTACTGGGTAATTTGGGGTGAATTTAGTCTATGGCATTAGAAGTACAAAAGGTAACTAAAAATGCCGTTAAATGAAATGTTCCAAGTCCAAGCAATTTCCTTCTTAACAGAAAGCAAAATGCAAACAGAGATTACAAAAACCCTGCTGTGTTTAATTTAAGTGTATGTAAGCCTTTTACTCGCAGTCATTTTGTCTGGAGATAATCACGGCCATCCACAGTGGTCAGGGCTGGGAAGCATGGGTTGTGAAAAGTTGCTCACTCTTTCATTCCACCTTGCTTGTGTCAGCCATGGCTCAGATGAGGCAAGTCCAGCTTATTCATCTTCTGTCAGGGTGGGATTCTCCTACTTCTACATCCACCAATTTGTTCTTGTCACTTCCAGACCACTTGCAGCAACATGAAGTGGTATGTGTAACTGCATGTCTGTCATTGCAAAGTGACATGACATTATTTATTTGTGGATTATTTATATATATGCTTGGTTTATTTAATATAAAATTTCAAATGATAAAGTTTGTAAATATCAAGTCAACATTTTTACAGTATTCAAACTGCTAGAAGTATTTTGTATGGAATTCATTTTGAAAAGTAAGCAAAATCTTGGTAGCGTTTCTTAGTGGTAAAGAAGAAGGTCTGGATAATGACTATTTCTATTAGAATAGTAATTTTTTATAATATTTTAAATATATATTATATAATTTGGGATAGGACTATTTTGAAGACCAAAGGATGCCTTTTAGGGGATAGATGACAATAACATTTTTTTCTTTCATATTCAACTTCTAGTTGCTAGAAATTTCTAGGAAGAGGAGAAAACTTGCCATTATTTTAATTTCAAAACTGAACATTTGGTATTTATTGAGCACCTAAGTGTGCATGAATCCCTGATGCAAGATTATATGTGTAAATAAAAGGGCCATGAATAAAAAAAATGTATTTTCTGTCTCCGAGGTAGAACATGAAGAATCATAAAATTTCCAGAATATATATAAAAGAATTATAAACCACCAGAATATATATATATATATATATACACACACACACACACAGACACACGCACAAATATATATATATAGTCCAACTTTTAATGGAAATAGGAATGATTCTTAGACATTAGTATAAGTCCTTTCTTAACATGTGCAGCACTTGTGAAATGTCACAATGAGCTAAAAACCACATGATTATCTCAATAGATGCAGAAAAGGCCTTTGACAAAGTTCAACAACGCTTCATGCTAAAAACTCTCAATAAATTAGGTATTGATGGGATGTATCTCAAAATAATAAGAGCTATCTATGACAAACCCACAGCCAATATCATACTGAATGGACAAAAACTGGAAGCATTCCCTTTGAAAACTGGCACAAGACAGGGATGCCCTCTCTCACCACTCCTATTCAACATAGTGTTGGAAGTTCTGGCCAGGGCAATCAGGCAGGAGAAGGAAATAAAGGGCATTCAATTAGGAAAAGAGGAAGTCAAATTGCCCCTGTTTGCAGATGACATGATTGTGTATCTAGAAAACCCCATTGTCTCAGCCCAAAATCTCCTTAAGCTGATAAGCAACTTCAGCAAAGTCTCAGGATACAAAATCAACGTGCAAAAATCACAAGCATTCTTATACACCAATAACAGACAAACAGAGAGCCAAATCATGAGTGAACTCCCATTCACAATTGCTCAAAGAGAATAAAATACCTAGGAATCCAACTTACAAGGGATGTGAAAGACCTCTTCAAGGAGAACTACAAACCACTGCTCAAGGAAATAAAAGAGGATACAAACAAATGGAAGAACATTCCATGCTCATGGGTAGGAAGAATCAATATCGTGAAAATGGCCATACTGCCCAAGGTAATTTATAGATTCAATGCCATCCCCATCAAGCTACCAAGGACTTTCTTCACAGAATTGGAAAAAACTACTTTAAAGTTCATATGGAACCAAAAAAGAGCCTGCATTGCTAAGTCAATCCTAAGCCAAAGGAACAAAGCTGGAGGCATCATGCTACCTGACTCCAAACTATACTACAAGGCTACAGTAACCAAAACAGCATGGTACGGGTACCAAAACAGAGATATAGACCAATGGAACAGAACAGAGCCCTCAGAAATAATGCTGCATATCTACAACTGTCTGATCTTTGATGAACCTGACAAAAACAAGCAATGGGGAAAGGATTCCCTATTTAACAAATGATGCTGGGAAAACTGGCTAGCCATATGTAGAAAGCTGAAACTTGATCCCTTCCTTACACCTTATACAAAAATTAATTCAAGATGGATTAAAGACTTATGTGTTAGACCTAAAACCATAAAAACCCTAGAAGAAAACCTAGGCGATACCATTCAGGACATAGGCATGGACAAGGACTTCATGTCTAAAGTGTTTCAGACTTTATTTTAACTATTTAAAAAGCAATGGCAACAAAAGCCAAAATTGACGAATGGGATCTCATTAAACTAAAGAGCTTCTGCACATCAAAAGAAACCACCATCAGAGTGAACAGGCAACCTACAGAATGGGAGAAAATTTTTGCAACCTACTCATCTGACAAAGGGCTAATATCCAGAATCTACAATGAACTCAAACAAATTTACAAGAAAAAAACAATCAACCCCATCAAAAAGAGGGCAAAGGATATGAACAGACACTCCTCAAAATAAGACATTTATGCAGCCAAAAAACACATGAAAAAATGCTCACCATCACTGGCCATCAGAGAAATGCAAATCAAAACCACAATGAGATACCATCTCACACCAGTTAGAATGGCTATCATTAAAAAGTCAGGAAACAACAGGTGCTGGAGAGGATGTGGAGAAATATGAACACTTTTACACTGTTGGTGGGACGGTAAACTAGTTCAACCATTGTGGAAGTCAGTGTGGCGATTCCTCAGGGATCTAGAACTAGAAATACCGTTTGACCCAGCCATCCCATTACTGGGTATATACCCAAAGGATTATAAATCATGCTGCTATAAAGACACATGCACACGTATGTTTATTGCAGCACTATTCACAATAGCAAAGACTTGGGACCAACCCAAATGCCCAACAATGATAGACTGGATTAAGAAAATGTGGCACATATACACCATGGAATACTATGCAGCCATAAAAAATGATGAGTTCATGTCCTTTGTAGGGACATGGATGAAGCTGGAAACCATCGTTCTCAGCAAACTATTGCAAAGACAAAAAACCAAACAGCGCATGTTCTCACTCATACGTGGGAATTGAACAATGAGAACACGTGGACACAGGAAGGGGAACATCACACACCGGGGACTGTCGTGGGGTGGGGGGAGGGGGGAGGGACAGCATTAGGAGATTTACCTAATGCTAAATGACGAGTTACTGGGTGCAGCACACCAACATGGCACATGTATACATATGTAACAAACCTGCACGTTGTTCACATGTACCCTAAAACTTAAAGTATAATAATAATAAAACAAAAAAATTAAAAATTTTCATGATGGCATAACTATTGGCCTCTAAAACATTCACTGTGAGCCAGAGCTGGTGTAAAGGAATTCTGGAAAAGTTATTAAACAGGGTAATCCAACAGGTATGAACCAGATAGTATGGTCACCTGAATATACAATGCAGAACTGTGGAACTAGTCTTTGCCACATAACAGACAACAGTACCAAATGGAATGTTGTATGATCTTTGAACTTACAACAGCATAGGATTTATCAGCAAGCCTGGGCTGTGGCCCATAATAAGCAGTTTACATATGATATTCACTATATATATAAACAAATGATATGCATTATATACCATTTATATTATAATGCTGTTACATTATAAATCTATACCTATATATGTGTGAGTGTGTGTTTGTACATATATATATATATTTGTAACTCCTGTATTCTGTTTTAAAATTTTTATGGGTACAAAGTAGGTATGTATATTTATGGAGTACATGAAATGTTTTGATACAGGTGTAAAATGCATAATAATTACATTATGGAAACTTGGGTATCCATCCCATACAGCATTTATCCTCCATGTTACAAACAATCCAATTATACTGTTTTAGTTATTTTAAAGTGTACAATTAAATTATTATTGACTACAGTCACCTTGTTGTGCTATCAAATACTAAGCCTCATTCATTCTTTCTAATTATGTATCTTCTGTACTCATTAATCATCCCCCTCACCCCCAACCCCCACTATACTTCCCAGCTTCTGATAACCATCCTCCTACTCTCTATGTCCATAGGTTCAATTGTTTTGATTTTTTAGATCCCATAAATGAGAGCATGTTTTGTTTGTCTTCCTTTGCCTGGCTTATTTTACTTAACATAATGACCTCCAGTTCCAACCATGTTGTTGCAAATGACAAGATCTCATTTTCTTTAATGGCTGAATAGTACTCATTGTATCACATTTCTTTATCCACTGATCTGTTGATTAACTCCTAGGTTGCTTCCAAATCTTGGGTACTGTGCACAGTGCTGCAACAAACAATGCAAGTGCAGATATCTCTTCAATACACTGATTTATTTTCTTTTGGGTATATACCAAGCAGTGGGATTGCTGGATCATATGGTAGCTCTGTTTTTAGTGAGGAACCTCCAAACTATTGCTTGCGGTTATACTAGTTTACACTTCCACCAATAATGTATGAGGGTTACCTTTTCTCCACATCCTCTCCAGTATTTGTTATTACCTATATATTAGATAAAAGCAATTTTAACTAGGGTAAGATGATATCTCATTGCAGTTTTGATTTGCATTTCTCTGATGATCAGTGATGTTGAACACCTTTTCATAGCCCATGTGCCATTTTTATGTCTTCTTTTGAGAAATTTATATTCAAATATTTTGCCCATTTTTAATAGGATTGTTAGATTTTTTTCTATAGAGTTGTTTGAGCTCCTTGTATATTCTAATTATTAATCCTTGTCAAACGGGTAGTTGGCAAATATTTTCTCCTATTCTGTGGGTTGTCTCTTTATTTTTTAAATTGTTTCCTTTGCTGTGCAGAAGACCTGATATGATCCCAATCATCCATTTTTACTTTGGTTGCCTAAGCTTGTGGGGAATTACTCAAGAAACGTTTGTCCAGACCAATGTTCTGGAAAGTTTCCCCCATGTTTTCTTGTAGTAGCTTTATAGTCTGAGGTCTTATATTTGAGTCTTTAATTCATTTTGATTTAATTTTTGTATATGGTGAAAGATAGGGTTCTAGCCTTCTTCTTTTGCATATGGAATCCAGTTTTTACAACACCAGTTATTGAAAGAGACTGTCTTTTCCCAGTGTGTGTTCTTTAGATGTTTGTGAAAAATGAATTTACTGTATGTGCGTGAATTTATTTCTGGGTTCTCTATTCTGTTACATTGGTCTATGCATCAATATTTATACCAGTACTATGCTGTTTTCATTACTGCAGCTTTGTAGTATAGTTTGAAGTCTCACCTGAAGCCAGCAAGTCAGAATCTTACCCAAGGCCCTATAACCTGGGTATCGCTGCTGGTTATTCAGGGCCTAAGGACTCCTCAGTTAGCAAGTGATGAAGCCTGCTAAGACTGGGTTCTTCCCTTCAAGGCATCATATCACTGATAGAGGCACTGAGGAGATAGAAAAAACAGTCTTGAATTGCTGTCACCACCCTTCCTCTATCCCCCAGGGAATCATCTTAGGAAGTTCCCCAAAATTCCACAGGTGCATTATCACAGTGATTGCCATACAGAGCACTAGACGGGAGGGGTGTCATAGTGTAGGTAGGGGCTGTCTATTATATATTATATTATCTCATATTATGTTCCAGAGGTTGGCACTTGATATTTCTGGGTCCCTTACTGCCCCAGAGTGTGTATAGAAATGTCATTTGAGAGCTAAAGCCTTGAAAGGGGGCCTCATGATTCTGACCAGCACCCAATCCTGCTGTGTCTGAGCTGATATCCAAGATGCAAGACAAAGTCCTTTCCACTTTCCCTCTGCTCTCCTCAAGTGGAAGGAAGGGGTGTCTTTTGGAACTGCAAGCTGCGCAGTCTGAGGTCAGAGGAGGGGTATATCAGCACTCACATAGCTGTCCTGCCTGGTGTCTCAGTAGATCTTGCATCCCCCTAGTCCTCTGGCTCTGGGCCCAGTTCAGCACTAGGATTTGCCTAGGAGTTCCCATCCTTGGGTCCTAAACTGCATTTCAAGTATATTTAGGTCTCCAGAACCTTTATCCTGTGGTGGCAAGAGTTGCAGGAACTCAAATTCTGACCTCTGAGCTTGGTGATTCCCTCCTGACTAGGCCTGGTTTAAATGTTCTCTCCATGGGTGGGCATCAGCTGAGTTTGGTGTGGTTTTTCTTTCTGCTATTACAGGGCAGCAATGAGTTGAGTGCCTCACAATTGTTGAGTTCTCCCTCTCCCCAGTGCCCAGGAACAGTCTTTGAACCATGCCACTGCTGCTGGAATATAAGGGAAGGGTGGTGTCAGCAATTCAAGACTGTTTTTTCTATCTCTTCAGTGCCTCTATTAGTGATATAAAGTTAAAACGAGGTACTATGAGTGCTCACCTGATTTTTGGTTCATATGAAGGTGCTTTTGTTGTGTAGATAGCTGTTAAATTGTTGTCCTTCACACGGGGATGATCAGTGGAGCCTTCTATTCAGTCATCTTGATCTACTTTAATCGTAACTCCTATATTCTTTTGCATCTTTTGCTTCTTACTAACCAATATGTTATTATATTCATTTACTGTTACAGGTAATCATTTTTCTATTTAACTTTCTCTGTTCAAAATAGTGTATGTCTTTTCTTTCCTCATTTAACCTAGATTGTTATAAAGTTTTACTATTATAATTTACAGCCCCAAAAGCAATATATGATTTTTTGTGTTCTCTTATTCTTGAGACTGTTGAGTATTATGTTTTAAATATTTTATGCTTTAATCATTTTGATAAAGTGAAAATATAGTATTTAGCTTTTCTAATTAAAGCTTTAAATGCTGGTGAAATTAAATAATTTTATTTATCATTGACCATTTATATTGTGTGTGTGTGGTGAACTATTTGTTAATAGCATTATTCCCTTTCTATTGTAGTTAAATTATATTTTAAAAATTGTGGTAATTCTTTATATATTTAAAATACATGTCCTGTATCTGATATATGTTGCAACTATTTATTTCTTTAGTTATCCAACTCTCATGTTTCTTTTGGCTTTATATATAAATATATAAATACATATATATGCTATCTGTTTCATATGTGTATATATAAATGTGTAGATGTGTATATATAAATATATACACATAAGTTTTAACGCTTTAAAATTTTCAAGTTATGTTTTTATTTCAACATAATTTCTACCTTTCATATTTTGTATGAAAACTCATTTCCAACTTCACGTTTTATATAAATAATCACCTCTAATTTTAAATTTATATTATTCAAAGTTTGTATTGCATTTAACTCTTTAATCCCATGGAATTAAGTAAGTTTATTGTGTAATCAATGCGTACTTTTTCCACAAATTGGCTAGACAGTCAATGTCCTCTGTAGTATATATTGAAAAATTCATTTTTTTTAATTAATTAAAATTCCACATTCATTAAATTCTAAATTATTTGCATTCTTTATATTTCATTAACTGTTCATATATTTCTGGGCCAATTCACTTGTCTTTGATTACTATAAGTATCTCCATAATAAAATAAAATATATATTAAAATGTAATATTTGTTATGGTGAGGGTTCTTTGTATAGATCTTTAAATTTGCTAGAAAGTTTTGTTAAAATTTGTTATCATCTGTTTTTTTTCCAGATGAACATCAGTGCCATGATCTAAGATTTGCTTCTATTTTATCTTTACTGTAAATTGTAATTTCATCAAAATAAAACTTTTTTGTTATTTTGATATGTTCCTCTTAAATCTTTTATAAATTCAAGCATGCTATTGAACATGGTTTTCCAGTCAATTTAATATTCATGTTTTGATAATATGATTGATATTTCTATGTATTGTTATAATGAATAAGGTTGGTCCTAGACCTGCCATAAGTGTTTTATGATTTCAATATTTTTTCTACTTGTTTCTTTATAGTTTATTTTCTGCTACATGGAATCAGTTTTTAAAATTGTTTTTAATTTTCTTTTCTTTTCACTTATATGTCTTGTTTTTATTATTATTATTTTTAATTTACTTTAACACTTACATGTCTTAAAATATTTATTTATAGTTTTCTAAATTCTGCTGCTGGTTTTGCTGAAATTTCTCAAAGCATTTTAACCCAATAATTCTTATATGGACCCACTACTCAGTAAAGTGCACATGCCCTCACATTTTGCATATCATTTTAGGAGAGATAAAGGCCTTTGATACAATCCAGTCTTAGAAATTTAAGATTTTTTCTTTCTGAGGCTATTTACTTAGGTAGTTTACTAAGGTAATGAGTAACATGAGGTCATGTCTCCTAACGGATAAACTAGAAAAAACAAAAACAGGTTGTACTAAAAAAAAAAAAAAGTTTTTAAAGCATCGGATGCAGAAGCAAAGGGAACTATACAAAATGTCCTGAGAAGGAGGAACCTCTTTGGGAGTTTTTTACCCTGAAGGGATTTGCTGCTATGTCTAGGCCAAAGACTCTACTATGGGAAAGTAAAAACAGAGGAACCTTTGATGATCACATGTGATGGCATGACATGCTAAAATGTTGAATGCTCCAAATGTAGAGCCATATTTGCTCATGGGACATTTACTGAAAGCCGTATTGACACAGAAATATGGAAGTGTATGCAAGAAAGGAAGAGTGAAATCACTGACTTAGAGCTTCTACGATTCTTTAATACACAATATATGTTGTATAATATACAATGCATACAATGAAATATTATAGGACAAGTGTGAAGTGGCAGGTAAATGTGATAAGTAGTAAAGGGGAAAATCGAGAATCAGATAATCCTAATGTTGAAATTAGAATACAGGAGTTTAAAATGCCTATTCAACCCCAAACCTTGGCATTGCACAACATTCCCAGGTAACAAACCTGCAAAGTTGCACATGTATCCCCTCATTCTAAAATAAAAGTTGAAAAAATCCCTTAGACTATGAAAATAAAATAAAATATCTCTTCATATATTAAATATAATTGAAAATGAATAAAAGTTGAATATTTCTATAAAAATTGATTTTAAAAATTAAATAGACATTAGGATTAACTTAAAGATATATCAATAGAAAATAAAAATACATCAAAACTGAAGCTGAGAAGCAAGAGTAAAATAAACAACAAGACAGAACTTAAGAGACATGGACCATGGTTGAATAGCCTAGACTAAGTGTAATTGGAGTACCAAAAGGAGAAAAATGAGAGAATGAGAAAAACAATATTTGAAGAGATAATTATCAAACATTTTCCATAATTGATTAAAAATATGTAAACCTAAGTTTTAAGAAACTTGGTTTATAATAGCCATCTTTACTCTAGTCTAAATTTATTTCCTTTCTCTCTTTTAAATAAAGTATTAGAAGAACTTCTTAAAAGGTGAAGTAAGAAATTTTAAAAATACGATCCTCCACATTGAACAATGTCTACACTGAAAACTGTCGATGATGAAAAGTGAAAAGAAATCTGAAGACTAAGACAGATTTGATTTCAGGAATTGCCAAATCACATTAGTTAAAATGTCCAATTTAAAGCAAACGAAAACAAGTATAAAGAAACAGGCAATATAGTCCCGTATACAAGAAGAAAAAAGCTAATAAAAACTGTCTCTGAGGAAGCCCAGATGACGGGATTACTATACAAAGACTTGAATAAGCTCTTAAAAATATGTTCAAGAATTGTCCAAAAAGGATGAGAATGATGTCTCACCAAATTAAGAATATCAATAAAGTGATAGAAATTTTAAAAATGAAATAGAAATTCTAAAATGGAAGGGGTTAATCTGGTGGAAGAAATAATTAGCAAACTCTAAGATAGTTCATTTATATTATTCAGTTCAAGAAACAAAGAGGAAATAAATGAAGAAAAGTCTATAAAGCTTCAGAAACCAATGGAACTCCATAAATTTTATGAATAATGGGGGTCTCAGAAAAGGAAAGAAAAGGTAAAAAGAATATTTGAAAAAATAGTAGATGATAACTTCCCAAATTGGATAAAACACATTTATCTATGTATCTAATTAACTCAACAAACTATGTAGGATAAACTAAAAGTATTGCACACATAGGTAAAACTCAAACTGTCAAAATCCAAAGTCAAAGAGAGAAACTTGAAAACAGCAAGAAGAAAACAATTTGCTGCATACAAGGGCTCTTCAAGTTAAATAGCTTACTCCTCAACAGGAGCCACAAGGCCAATGGGCCATGGAATAACATGTCCAAAGTGGTGAAAGCAAAATAAACCTTTCACTCAAGAAGTCTATGTCCAGCAAATTATATATCTACATCTTTCAAAAGCTGAAGAAATTAAAAGATTTCCAGATAAAGAAAACTGAGAGAATCTTTATCAGCTCTTCCCTAAAAGAAATGCTAAAGGGAGATATTTGAGCTGAAATGAAAGGATATTAAATGACAATTTGAATTCCTATGAAAGCACTAAAAATAGATGACGCCATAGGTCAATATAAAATCAGTCTAAATATATGGTTCTTTATAATTCTTTCTTTCATTATATAATTTAAAAGACAATGACAATGCAATATTTGGAAAGTTGTATTGATGGGTGTATAATGAAGAAGGTTTAATTTGTATGACAACAGGAGCACAAAGGAGGAGAAGGGAAATGGAACTGTTCAGACACAATTTTTGTGTACATTACAAATTAAATTTACTACAAATTAAATTATTTTAAGTTAGCATGCATATCTAAGACTCAGAGAAACCATTAGAAAAATAAAATAAAATGAAATATAAATAGCAAAATAATTTAAAAAGTACACTGAAAATTATTTAAGACAATAATAAGGCAGTAATAGAGAAAGAATCACAGAGTATATATGACACATTAAAATAGCAAAATGACAAATGTGCACCTTGTTTTACCAGAGCAACACTAAATATGAATAGATTAAGTACCTGCAATCAAAGGCAGATATTGACAGAATTGATGAAGAAAATATTATCTTACTATACACTGTCTACAAGAGACACATTTTATTTGATGACAAAAATAGGTTTGAAGTGAGAAAATGGAAGTAGATACATTATGCAGCAAAGAGAGCTGGAGTAGCTATATTATTGTTAGACAAAATAGATGCTAAGAGAAAAATTGCATTAGATATGAACGATACTTTATAACGGCAAAAGGATCAATACATCAGGATGTTATCTCAAATAGATAAAGCAAAAGCTGACAGAAATAAAGAGAAAAATAGACAATTCAACAATAGAAGTTAGAGAATTTAATACTCCTGAGCTTACAGAAATAAAAGGATTATAAAAATACTATTAATAATTGTATACCAACTAATTAAATAAACGAGATGAAGTGGACAATTTCCTAGAGAAACAAACACTACTTAAAATGACCCAAGAAGAAATAGAATATATAAATAAGCTTGTAACAAGTAAAAAGATTGAATTAGTAATTAATTAAAAAGCCCAGGATGAGATAGCTTCACTGGTGAATCCTACTAAAACTTCATAAAGAATTAATATGAATTCTTCACGAATTCTTTCAAATAATAGAAGACAACAGTAATTCCCAACTCATTCTATCCTAATACCATATCACTCTGACACCAAACTCAGACTAAGATGTCATAAGAAAACTATAGACACGTTATTCTTATGAACATTAATGTAAAAATTATTAATACTAGCAAATTGGACCCAGTAACATATAAATAAAAAGCTTATAAAGCATGACTAGTTGGGATTTATCCCAGCAATGCAAGTTTGGCTCTACATATGAAAATCAATCAATGTGATACACTATATTAATACAATAAAAGAAAAAAATTCAAATAATCATATCAATGGATACAGAAAAAGTATTTAAAAGATCCAAAACCTTTTCTGATTAAAAAAAGACCAACAAACTAGAAATACAAGGTATTTTTTTTCAACCTGATAAAAGACATCTACAAAAATCCCATAGCTTAATACTGAAAGACTTAATGCTTGCCACTTTTATTCAACATTGCATTGACAATTCTGGCCAGAGCAATTAGGCAAGAAAATGGAATAATAGGCATCCAGACTAGAAAGGAAAAAGTAAACCTTTTTCTACTTTCAGGTTGTATGTAATCTTTTTTTTTTTTTTTTTTTTTTTTTTTTAGACGGAGTCTCGCTCTGTTGCCAGGCTGGACTGCAGTGACGCGACCTAGGCTCACTGCAACTTCCACTTCCTGGGCTCTTGGGTTCAAGTGATTCTCCTGCCTCAGCCTCCTGAGTAGCTAGCACTACAGGTGTGTGTCACCATGCCAAGCTAAATTTTCTTTTTGTATTTTTAGTAGAGATGGCATTTCACTATGTTGGCCAGGATGGTCTCGATCTCTTGACCTCGTGATCCGCCTGCCTGGGCCTCCCAAAGTGCTGGCATTACAGGTGTGAGCCTCCACACCTGGCCTGTAGTGTTATATAGGGAAAAATCTAAGGAATTCACAAAAAGAAGTATAAGAACTAGTAAATGGGTTCAACACACTTGCAGTATATAAGATCAAAATACAAAATCAATTGTATTTTTATGTGCTAACAGTAAGTGTGCAAAAATAAAATTAAGGAAATAATTTAATTGTATTTTTATACACTAAAAATAGCATACAAAAATAAAATAAGGAAAATAATTTAATTTATACAAACATAAAAATAAACTACTTAGGAATAAATTTATTTAAGGAAATGCAAGGCTGGGCACGGTGGTTCACACCTGTAATCCCAGCACTTTGGGAGGCTGAGGCAGGCAGATCACAAGGTCAGGAGTTCGAGACCAGCATGGCCAACATAGTGAAACCTGGTCTCTACTAAAAATACAAAAATTAGCCGGGCATGGTGGCGCACACCTGTAGTCCCAGGTTCTCAGGAGGCTGAGGCAGGAGAATCACTTGAACCCGGGAGGCAGAGGTTGTGGTGAGCCAAGATTGTGCCACTGCACTCAAGCCTGGGCAACAGAGTGAGACTCTGTCAAAAAAAAAAAAAAAAGAAGAAATGCAAAACTTATACTTTGAAAGCTACGAGATATTTGCGAGATAAAGAATATCTAAATAAATGGAAAAACACCCCATGCTCATGGGTAATTAGACTTAGTATTGTTAAGATGGCAATAATATCAGAATTTATTTATAAGTTTAATGTAATTCCTTTCAAAATCCCAGCCGATTTTTTTACAGAAATTGACAAATGGATCCTAAAATTCATATAAAAATATAAGAAACTCAGAATAGCCAAAACAACTTTACAAAGGAAAAAAAATGTTGGAAGACTCACATTTTTAGATTTCAAGATTTACCAAGGCTTACACTTCCAGATTTCAAGACTTATTACAAAGCTATAGTAACCAATATAAGGTAATACTTCATAAAAACATACATATACATCAACAACATAAAACCACAAGTCCCAGAAATAAATCTTCATATTTATCATCAATTTACTCTTGACAATGATGCTGAGGCCATTCAATAGTGAAAGAATAGTCCTTTTAATAAATGGTGCTGGAATTGGATATCCATATGAATCCATACGCAAAAGAAGATAGCTGAAGCACCACCTCACACCAGATACAAAATGTAACTCCAGCTGCATCATAGATCTCATATTCTAGCTAAAACTATGAAGATGTTAGAAGACGTACTTAAATTTTTATAACCTTGGGTTTTCAATGGTTTCTTAGAGATGATATCAAAAGCATAAGTGACAAAGAAAAAAACAAGTAAATTAATTTGATCAAAATTTTTCTTCAAAGGAAAGCATCAAGCAAAGAAAAAGGCAACTGATAAGATAAAAGATTCACAAATTATACATCTGATAAGAAAATTTTACACAGACTATATAAGGAATTTGTACAACTCAACAATAAAACTCAATCGATTTAACAATGGGCAATGTTTAATCGCTATTTCTCCAAAAAAGATATATGAGTGGTCAGTAAACACACGAATATATGCTTAACATCATGAGCCATTAGGAAATGCAAAACAAAAGCAAAATGAGCTGTTGCTTTATGCTCACTAGAATGGTTAAAATAAAAAAAGATAGTCAACAACAAATGCTGATGAGAATGCAGAAATTTTGAAATCCTCATTCATTGCTGTTGAGATTGTAAAATGGTGCAGTCACTTTAGACAACAGTGTTTCAAAACCTCAAAGTGTTAAACATAAACCATATGTCACTGCAATTATACTTCTAGGTACATACCCAAGAGAAATGAATCCATGTATCTCTGCAAAAAAATTGTTCAAAAATGTTCATCATGCATTGTAGCCAAAAGTGGAAAAAAAAGTTCATCAGCTGATAAATGGATAAACAAAAATGTATATTTATATAAGAAATATTATTTGACGATAAAAATAAATGAAGTACTAATACATCCTACAGAATAAATGAAATGTGAAAGTACTATACTAAGTGAAAGAAGCCAGTCACAGAAGAATATATATTATATGAATGCACTGATATAAAATTTCCAGAATAGGCAGTTCCATAGGGAGAGAAAGCAGATTAGCAATTGCCAGGGACTGGAGGGAAGACAGAGTGGGGGTGTCTGCCAATGAGTATGGGACTCCTTTGTGGGGTGATGAAAATATTCTAAACTTTGATAGTGGCAATGGATGATTGCATAACTCTGTGAATATACTAAAAACCACTGAGTTATACATTTTTAAATGGCAGATTTTATGATACAAAAATTATGCTGCAAAAAGCCATTATAAAAGTGTTATAAAAAATAAAAAGAGTGGAATGTTAAAAAATATATAGTGCATGAACCTTTTATTTACCCTCATGTTATTTGCCCCAACTTCTTTGATCTAAAAATTACAAGATGGTGTTATGAATTCAGAATATTATTAATAAATTTATTCTTTACAATAAGTGCTTATATTTCTATTAAAATATTTGTAAATTTAATGTATTTTATAATCAGATGTCTCCAGCTCAAGTTTTCTAAAAAGCAGGAACTAAGACAAGGATTATGATAGTGACATATTATTTGAGTAGCATAAGCTCTGGTGTGCAAGGGTAAGGAATAGGTAAGAAAGATGCAAATCAAAACAATAGCATATCCTACTACAGTGGGGGTTTGGAATTATCTGCTAGATAATCGCAAATGGAGCTTGACCTTACCTTTGTGAAGATGTATTTAATGGTTGTATTGGTGGAATTTGGATTAAAATTAAAGAGAAAACAGAGATAAAATTCATAAAGTCAAATGTGCATATTGCAATAGGATGAACACATAGAAAGAATCCATAATAAATTATATGTTAAACAAATTTTTAAAAATATTTATTTTGTTTGAATATATAGAAATTGTCTGGTGGTACGAGGAACTTGCTTATACTGGTTCAAGGTTACATTTGCACATTTTCAGGAATTTTGCAAGACATCTGTTCAAACATTGGTAATTTGAAGTAAGCCATAGGAGGAGCATTTACGCCATAAAAATTATCAAGCCACACATCACAGCTCTTCCTTTCCCCATGAAAGTCAGTTGCTAAATATATATTTTTTAAATTATACTTTAAGTTCTATAGTACTTGTGCACAATGTGCAGGTTTCATACATAGGTATACACGTGCCATGTTGGTTTGCTGTGCCCATCAACTTGTCATTTACATTAGGTATTTCTCCTAATGCTATCCCTCCCCCAGCCTCCCACTCCCAGACAGGCCCCAGTGTGTGATGTTCCCCGTGCTGTGTCAAAGTGATCTTGTTGTTCAATTCCCAACTATGAGTGAGAACATGCAGTGTTTGGTTTTCTGTCCTTGCGATAGTTTACTAAGAATGACGGTTTCCAGCTTCATCCATGTCCCTACAAAGGACACGAACACATCCCTTTTCATGGCTGCATAGTATTCCATGGCGTATGTGTGCCACATTTTCTTTATCCAGTCTATCATTGATGGACTTTTGGGTTGGTTCCAAGTCTTTGCTATTGTGAATAGTGCCACAATAAACATACATGTGCATGTGCCTTTATAGCAGCATGATTTATAAACCTTTGGGTATATACCCAGTAATGGGATGGCTGGGTCAAATGGTGTTTCTAGTTCTAGATCCTTGAGGAATCACCACACTGTCTTCCACAATGGTTGAACTAGTTTACAGTCCCACCAACAGTGTAAAAGTGTTCCTATTTCTCCACATCCTCTCCAGCACCTGTTGTTTCCTGACTTTTTAATGATCACCATTCTAACTGGTGTGAGATGATATCTCATTGTGGTTTTGATTTGCATTTATCTGATGACCAGTGATGAGCATTTTTTCATGTGTCTGTTGGCTGCATAGATATCTTCTACTGAGAAGTGTCTGTTCATATCCTTCGCCCACTTTTTGATGGGGTTGCTTGTTTTTTCTTGTAAATTTGTTTGAGTTCTTTGTAGATTCTGGATATTAGCTCTTTGTCAGATGGGTAGATTGCAAAAGTTTTCTCCCATTCTGTAGGTTGCCTGTTCACTCTGATGGTAGTTTCTTTTGCTGTGCAGAAGCTGTTTGGTTTAATTAGATTCCATTTGTCTATTTTGGCTTTTATTGCCATTGCTTTTGGTGTTTTAGTCATGAAGTCCTTGCCCATGCCTATGTCCTGAATGGTATTGCCTAGGTTTTCTTCTAGGGTTTTTATGGTTTTAGATAGAACATTTAAGTCTTTAATCCATCTTGAATTAATTTTTGTATAAGGTGTAAGGAAGGGATCCAGTTTCAGCTTTCTACAAGTGGCTTGTCAGTTTTCCCAGTACTATTTATTAAATAGGGGATCCTTTCCCCATTTCCTGTTTTTATTTTTTATTTTTTTATTTTTATTTATTTATTTTTTTGAGACGGAGTCTTGCTCTGTTGCCCAGGCTGGAGTGCAGTGGCGCGATCTCGGCTCACTGCAAACTCCGCCTCCCAGGTTCACGCCATTCTCCTGCCTCAGCCCCCTGAGCAGCTGGGACTACAGGTGCCCACCACCACGCCCAGCTAATTTGTTGTATTTTTAGTAGAGACTGGGTTTCACCGTGTTAGCTAGGATTGTCTCAATCTCCTGACCTTGTGATCCGCCCGCCTTGGCTTCCCAAAGTGCTGGGATTACAGACTTTAGCCACCGTGCCCGGCCTCCCATTTCTTGTTTTTGTCAGGTTTGTCAAAGATCAGATGGTTGTAGATGTGTGGTGCTATTTCTGAGGCCTCTGTTCTGTTCCATTTATCTATATATCTGTTTTGGTACCAGTACCATGCTGTTTTGGTTACTGTAGCCTGGTGGTATAGTTTTAAGTCAGGTAGCATGATGCCTCCAGCTTTGTTCTTTTTGCTTAAGATTGTCTTGGCAATTCAGGCTCTTTTTTGGTCCCATATGAACTTTAAAGTAGTTTTCTCCAATTCTGAGAAGAAAGTCATTGGTAGCTTGATGGGGATGGCATTGAATCTATAAATTACCTTGGGCAGTATGACCATTTTCACAATATTGATTCTTCCTATCCATGAGCATGGCATGTTCTTCCATTTATTTGTGTTCTCTTTTATCTTGTTGAGCAGTGGTTTGTAGTTCTCCTTGAAGAGGTCCTTCACATCCCTTGTAAGTTGGATTCCTAGGTATTTTATTCCCTTTGTAGCAATTGTGAATGGGAGTTCACTCATGATTTGGCTCTCTGTTTGTCTGTTATTGGTGTATAGGAATGCTTGTGACTTTTGCACATTGATTTTGTATCCTGAGACTTTGCTGAAGTTGCTTATCAGAACTCAGGATTAAGAAACTCACTCAAAAACACACAATTACATGGAAACTGAACAATTTGCTCCTGAATGACTGCTGGGTAAATAACATAATGAAGGAAGAAATAAAGATGTTCTTTGAAACCAATGAGAACAAAGACACAAAGTTCCAGAATCTCTGGGACACATTTAAAGCAGTGTGTAGAGGGAAAATTATAGCACTAAATGCCCACAAGAGAAAGCAGGAAAGATCTAAAATCAACACCCTAACATCACAATTAAAAGAACTAGAGAAGCAAGAGCAAACAAATTCAAAAGCTGGCAGAAGGCAAGAAATAACTAAGATCAGAGCAGAACTAAAAGAGATAGAGACACAAAAAAACCCTTCAAAAAATTAATGAATCCAGGAGCTGGTTTTCCAAAAAGACCAGCAAAATTGATAGACCGCTAGCAAGACTAATAAAGAAGAAAAGAGAGAAGAATCAAATAGATGCAATGAAAAAATGATAAAGGGGATATCTTCACCAATCCCATAGAAATACAAACTACCATCAGAGAGAACTATAAACACCTGTACGCAAATAAACAAGAAAATCTAGAAGAGATGGATAAATTCCTGGACACATACACCCTCCGAAGACTAAACAAGGAAGAAGTTGAATCTCTCAATAGACCAATAACAGGATCTGAAATTGAGGCAATAATTAATAGCCTACCAACCAAAAAAAATCCAGGACCAGATGGATTCACAGCTCAATTCCACCAGAGGTACAAAGAAGAGCTCGTACCATTACTTCTGAAACTATTCCAATCAACAGAAAAAGAGGGAATCCTCCTTAACTCATGTTATGAGGCCAGCATCATCCTGATACCAAAGCCTGGCAGAGACACAACAAAAAAAGAGAATTTTAGACCAATGTCCCCAATGAACATCGATGCAATAATCCTCAATAAAATACTGGCAAACTGAATCCAGCAGCACATCAAAAAGCTTATCCGCAACAATCAGGTAGCCTTCTCCCTGGGATGCAAGGCTGGTTCAGCATATGCAAATCAATAAACATAATCCATCACATAAACAGAACCAACGACAAAAACCACATGATTATCTCAGTAGATGCAGAAAAGGCCTTCGACAAAATTCAACAGCCCTTCATGCTAAAAACTCTCAATAAACTAGGTATTGATGGAATGTATCTCAAAATAATAAGAGCTATTTATGACAAGCCCACAGCCAATAGCACACCGAATGGGCAAAAACTGGAAGCATTCCCTTTGAAAACTGGCACAAGACAAGGATACCCTCTCTCACCACTCCTATTCAACATAGTGTTGGAAGTTCTGGCCAGGGCAATCAGGCAAGAGAAAGAAATAAAGGGCATTCAAATAGGAAAAGAGGAAGTCAAATTGTCCCTGTTTGCAGATGACATGATTGTATATTTAGAAAACCCCATCGTCTTAGTTGCTAAATATTTACCAGCAAACCACAAAGAGTAACTTTCCAAGTGAAATGCAAATAAATAATATTTAAGATTTATTTTCTTAAAAGAGTGGCTGACAGTGAAAATTTATTGACTGATTTATAGGCCAAGATTAAGGATGAGATTGATACTAAATGATGGCAAATTACTAAAATAGCATTAGAAGTTCTTATTATATGGGTATTTTCATTACATGCGCAGGTGTTAATATTTTTTCAGTATACCTATTTGCGAAAATTTACTAGATATAAAAGAAAAAATAGATTTTATCTGTAAATCTTGTTTACAATGTCTCTCTTATCCTTTATATCCATTTTTAGAAAGGCAGTAGTATAGAAATTACAATGTTAGTCAAATTATATTATTACCTGATATGCAGAATGATTTATGTATTTTGTCCCCCCCAAACAGTAATTATTGTAAATCTTCACTGTCTACCCTGCCAACAATCACCTCATTAGATGGTGCAAAATGTTCCAGGCCTTTTCTAACTCAAAATAAAGTCATGCCAGAGTTATCACAGCAATCTTATCCATCCATTGATTTCTCGTCAGCTGAAGGATTGACTTCAAGGCATCTTCTAGTTCTTCGGGGTTTTATTTGGATTATAAGATTGAAGGCTTTGTTTCTTTGTATTTCATGAAAGTAATTACTACTGATTCTTCATTCTTGGGACATAGTGTTACTAGAGTTGTCAAATTTCAGTTGGTGATCATATGAATAAAAGTGCTTTTGTTATATGGTTCTATCTTCAGGAATCCATTAATAAATCTTTTTCTATTTTCAATATTTTATCTAAAATCTGTTTTAAAATCATTTAAACATTGCTTTTTACATTATCGATTTTTCCTTTTAGGTGGTTGGTGTATTTCACTTAAAAATATGATAAAAATTAAGTGTATTGGAAAGTGCCTACATAAAAGTGCTTTATAAAATATATGTTGTTACACTCTTAACAACTTCCAGCAAACAATTGGGAATAAATGATTTTTAAAGACTGTGTCAGCTATATATGGGATAGAAAATAATATTTTTTATGTTAATGCAATTTCATTAAGTGGAAACTAAAAAATATTTCATGTTTTATATGAAATAAAGGTAACAATAGCTGCTTTAATCTTATATATCAAAATCTTTTGGAATCTTTATCTTTTAAAAACAAGGAACTCTAAATGTTAAAATATAATTTATTATTATTATTATTTGAGATGGGGTCTCTTTTTGTTGCCCAGGCTGGAATGCAGTGGCGCATCGCAGCTCACTACAGCCTCAATCTCCCAGGCTCAAGCAAATCTCTTACTTTAGGCTCCGAAGTAGCCGGGATTGCAGGCACATGCCACCACACCTGGCTATTTTATTAAAACAAAAAATTAAGTCTCATTATGTTGTCCAGGACGGTCTTTAATTCCTGGGCTAAAGCAGTCTTCCTGCCTCGGCCTCCCAAAATGCTGGGATTATAGGCATTAGCTACTGCACCCAGGTAAAATCTAACAGATTTTATTATAGCACTGGAAACCTAGTTGAAATTGAGTATTTGTGACTTTATCAGATTACTACGTTTTTGCATATATCGTGTTTTTTTCCAGTTAAGCTTGAGAGTTATGAATTTTGTTTATTTTTGGAAGACAAATACGTGAGTAACAGGGAATAAAGTATTCCCCTCCTTCGAAAGTGTTTTCTGCCACTTCACCATGAGTGTGTATAAATGTACTGTATAACCATATAGGAGATCTTGAAACTGCCAGGTTCCTTCTGAACTTAATATAATTTTGTTTAATAGAGGCACTTGTTGCTGAGATACTTTGAATCCTGGAGAGAGAAACAAAACGAAACTGAAGGCGATGAAATCATAACCAAATTTAAATGTAGAAAGTAGAATCCCTCATTGAGGAGAGTCCCATATATGCCTTAGCCTCACTCTTACAAAAGTGGACAAAATTTCCTCTCAGAGCTGAAGAGCAATCACTGGTACCAGTTTTAAAGAGACAGAAACCTTTCTCAGGGCTAAAACGCAGCAGGAGTAGTAATAATATCAGTTGGAACCTTGATACACATCAAAGGAAATGAAACCCTATGGCTGAAAAAATTACATGGATATCATAGACCAATAATTTTAAATATTAAAAGGCTCTTTTTAAGCTAAGAACAATTTGTAGTTATAAGCAGACAGCCCAAGGTTAGCTAGTACTGAGAAAAAATCAGTCCCTTGAATCCAAGATTTTTTTTTAACCTTCAAGCCTCCTAAGAATTAAAATGACTCATCTAATCCTTACTGATTAGTGTAATATTTTTCTACCATTTTCCTGTATGCGTGTGCTTTCACATCAACTTGTGTACATATATTTAAAATAAAATTTCATCCATCCATTTTTATATTATATATTAGAGAGCAGTGCCAATTTTTTAATAGAAATAGAAATGCATTGTTGATTAGAGGTGTCTCTAGCCTATTTCAAGCCTCATATTTAAGTTGATACTCAAATTTGAAGTCTCATTTTCTTTCTTAATAAATGCTCTCTCATTTAGCTACCAGTCTATGCTTTTGTTGTGTCAACCTGATAATATAAGCAGATAGTTAGAGGTTCTGATTTATGATGGTTCTTCTTGAAAGATGGCTTGCATGTAACTCCTCAGTCTAGAACATTTGCTTGCTTGGTTTCTAACAAAGCCTCATTAAAATGACTGAAACTAATATAAAACTTACCTTGAAACAGTTCCCTGGCTGAACTCTACTCTCAAAGGATTTTCTAATTTGCAATTTTTATTTAAGACTTTGACCAAGATATTAAAAAGAAATAACACGTAGTACTCTCTGCAAATAGTTGATTCCACTTTCAAAAGTGGAATAGATTCATGGTACTTGGATTATTAAGACATTTGTGTTTATTTAATTTATTCATAAAAGAAAATAATTCAGGATAGGCGCAGTGGCTCACGCCTGTAATCCCAGCACTTTGGGAGGCCAAGATGGGCGGATCACCTGAGGTCGGGAGTTCAAGACCAGCCTGACCAACATGGAGAAACCCCATCTCTCCTAAAAATACAAAATTAGCAGGGCATGGTGGTGCACGCCTATAATACCAGCTACTCAGGAGGCTGAGGCAGGAGAATCGCTTGAACCCAGGAGGCGGAGGTTGTGGTGAGCCTAGATCACGCCATTGCACTCCAGCCTGGGCAACAAGTGAGAAACTCCGACTCAAAAAAAAAAAAAAAAAAAAAAAAAAAAAAAAAGAGAGAGAGAAAAGAAAAAGAATTCAACATGTTTTATCACTAATTAAATGGCATTCTGAAAATTATGATTCAGTAAATATTTGCTACTTCCAAATATTGGGGCAATCTGGTACATAGATTTGAATAATAAACTAGATTTTGAAACCAGGTGATGTTTGGACATATGCATAAAACTTTGCAAGTTTCCCTTTTCTAATATGATTGTTTGATGTGAACAAATTAAGCTCCTTGACTATGTTTTTGGCTTCTATTTTCTCTCATTTTGACACAGAGTACAGTTTAAGCATATATTTATTATTTTCTTCTGTCTGAGGTTTAAGAAATGAAGTAAAATCCCAGTAAACACACTTCTTAGTGTCTGAGTTGTATTTCAATTAACTGAGTTTCTGATCAAATTAGGGTGATGATAAGAATAGATTTTAATTTGTAAAAATGTTTCTAAAATATATTTGTCATTTTTTCTATCTTAATATACTGAATTTAACATTTTTGTGTAAATTATTGTTTTTTACTGTACCTCAGGGTCGTCAACTTGAACATGAATTATAATTTTTCAAAGCTAGATGGAAAATATTAGGCTATTAATGCTGTAACTTCAGGATGTACATGAGAAGCTGCCTCATGAACAAATTACTGAATCAGCTTGTTTTCCTGGATTATTGGCTTCCTCCTCAGAAATAGTATAGAAAAGTTTTCTTTAAATATTATTGTTTAAGGAGGATTTCTATTGATTGGAATTCACTTAAAGTTTTATTAAAAAATATAGGTAACCCCCAAAAGAATACATTATGGTTAAAAACAGTGACTCTCTGGGTTCTTGACTTAACTTTTTTAAAAGACAAGAGATGTGGCTCATTTCACGGTTTCTTAGGAAAACAGGCGACTAGAGGTTTTGCAATAGCTTGTTATTGCCAACTCCATCTGATTACGGATCCATAAGTGATTTGACACACCAAGGGAGTCACCTAAATCACATTTTGATAATGGACCTATGTACAATAAATTGTTTCCCACTTTTACTTTTGTGTGCTGGTTAATAGGGAAATCTGTGTGTAAACTGAGCATGTAAGTGACCCTGCTCAGCTACCTAAGTATGTATCTATGGCTGAACTGTCCTAAGTAGAGTTCACCAATGCTTTAACCAAAAACATCTAATATGACTAGGTCGCCACTGCACTAATAGAAGTTTTATCCCGGGGTAGCTCAGACCACACGTGTAGTATAGCAAAAGTGCCATCTGGAAGTAATTCACTGTTATTGCTTCTTATCAGGACTGCTGAGAACTTTCTTAAAAATTCAAGTATAAATGAATCATATAATAGACTGATGTATGCTCATTAAACTATAAAAACTTGTCAGGTGATCATCTTCACCATGCAAAATAGAAGTCTAATAGAAGTAAGCTAGATCATGTGAGCCCATAGGATGAGCGTGACATGTGATGGGAGAAATCGACTGCAATCTGTCTGCGTTATACCAGGAAATTACATATTCTACTTAAAGTAAAATAAACACTTGACAAAGCTGTTAATCATCCCTAGTGGAAAGGATTTACAGATTCAATATTAAGATGACGAGCTTCCCACTGGTCTTAGAAGCACTGTAGTCAAATGAATCCATTTTCCTCTGAAATCATTTAGATAAAAATTATATTCGCATTGAAGAATATGGATGACTTGAATGCTAAAATGTCACTTTAAAAATGCATTGTCCCTTCTGTGGGCTCCTATTGGATTTCAGTTAATATTTGGTTAAGAAAGAAAGACATCTAAAATCAATCTACTTTCTTGAATGGAGAAATAACTAGCCTATATATTTTCTGTGTAAAAGAGAATGATACTAGGACTGACAACAGAGGCAAGTACATACATAGCTCAAATTCACTTCATATTTATGCGTGTAACTCAGCCATAAAAGAATACACAGTTTCATCTTTAGATTACTTCATAAAGCCTCCCTCTTACATTTTAGGGTAAATTGAAATAATCTTTCACTGATAACATATTTGGAAATTTACCTGCAGTGATATTGTAGCTGGTAACTCTTATAAAAACAAACAATCTTTAGAAGTTATCCATTCACAAAGAGATTATAGAATTTAGTGATTAAGGATGTGTGCAGTGCAGTATAAGTGCATTTGTTTCCTAGGAAACAAACTAGTACTGTGCCACTGAAGAAATTTGTAAGCATTAAAATATTCTGTAATCAGGCCCCAGGAGAACATATTAAATTTTTTGAAAGGAATAAATATTTGACGTCCTAACCATTTTTTAAATATAATTGTAGATGAGGCCTGCTGTCAAGGGGCCATGTTTTTAGGGTGGGAAAAAATAACATTTTTTAGGTGAGTCAAGAACATGCTTTGACATGGCTAATCCAAGTGACAGGATTAATCCAGATACAGCCTGAAAGATTAAAGTCATTCAAAACCATACAGTGGGAATGACAACTACAATAAAGCAAAGGTAAACTAATTTTGGAATAAACACTCAGAGGCAGGGATGGAAGGATATCAATTTAAAACACACCTTGTTTAAATAAAGAGGGAACAATGAAAGAAAAAATTACGCTATTATCAGGAGGTGCTATTACAAGTGGCCATTCTAAGCAAGGAGACATCTAAATGATACTATCTGCTGCGTAATGAAAGACAAAACAGTTCCAAAATACTTTTGCATGCCTATCATGGTGCCTGAAATCTTTACTACCCAGTGATAGCTACGAGAGGTCTTCTGGATCTTTCTAACTTTGATGAATGAGGCTAAAATAGCTTCATAGGGGGTTATATTATAGAGGAATAGAGAAGACCAAAGATTTGGATGTAGCCTCAGTGTTTTCATCTGTAAAATAGAGATTATGATATCTACCTCACAGGGTTGTTGAAGGATATGTTATTTTAAGATCCGATAGATGATATAAAATAAATGTCTTGTACATCATAGGCACTCAATACATGGTAATAACTTTTATCTTTATCACTGAAAAAAGAGCCAAACATTATTAAGAATTACTTACATTTAAGAAATTACTATGCATGCTGTCTTCATTCTAAAAGTGAGCTTTTGAAAAGATTAGATGGAAAATATAAACAAATGCATATATGGTATATAACACATCTAATTTTTCCTCTGAAGAAAAGAATAGAAAAAAATCAGGGAGAGATAGAAGATTCCACTTTATATATGATGAACAGAGGAAGACATTATCTTCATACAATATTTGAGAAGAGACCTAAAAGTGAAGGGGTAAGCATTCCAATGACTGGCAGAAGAGTATTACAGGTAGAAAAAGCCAGTGCAAAGCCATTGAGGGTTGAGCATGGTTGCTTGAGCAAGAAGCAAAAGGAACAATGCATGGTTAAAAACAAAAGTAGAGATAAAACCAGAAGGAAACAAAGTTAGGAGGTACTTAGAAGCCAGCAACTATTAGGGTTTTGAGTCCATAGTAAGGTCTTTGGATGATGTTTTATGTGTGATGAGAGGTTATTAGAATATTTTGTTCAGATAATAATGTTAGCTGACTTGTCTTTGATCCATGGGGTATAGAGTAGGATGTTTAATTAATGAATGGAGTTGTAAAGCCAAGGAAAGGATTTTACCACTGTCTACATGCAGATAGTCAGGAAATGGAATAAGTAGCTGGTGTGAGAAGCTATATGCCTTTTACTGCTTGAGGATAATGGGTACTTCTGAGTAGCAGACATTGAAAGGGACTGGAAGAGTTTTTTAAATCCTGAGTGTTACACTTTATGGACAATATATGTATCTTCAGGACACAACCTCTAGATATGACAATAGCATTATGTATAAAGGTGGATCTTACATCTATTTCATGTAGACTTTGCACCATTGCTGGAAATACCATTTGCCTTTTTCCCCAATAATCTTGTGTGGCCACAAACACTGGTAGTCACACATGCTCCTCATTAAAGAAAAAGAAATATTCAGAGGTCAACTTTTGTCGTTATCATCTCTGCAACATACAGATGGAGAACAGCATGGTGTATGTGGGGAAACAAAATATTTAAAATTTGAGACTAGAGCAGGAATTGGGGTTTGTTTTCATTTGGGAAATTGTGAGATATTTTGTTTTATAATCTCGTCTTGTTGAGAAGGCCTCTCAGCCAAGAGAGAAAATTATTAAAATTGATCTAAGCAAATACTTTCCAGTGGCAAAGCCCCATGAATATTCAGACACAAGTACTTGTTTATTTAATAAGCAAGATATAAAAATATATAATCACAGCTCAAAAAGAGACTGTATATATCAGAGAATCGAGTTGAGTAGGATAGTATAAGAAAAAGATTTAAAAATAGATGGCAGATATAAAATACATGTATTTACACGGAAAATCAAAGAAAATAGGTGGGCATTTCATCATGAAATGATATATAAATACCTACCTCAGGCAAGTTAGAACTGTAAATATCATGAAGAGAAATTTTGAATTATTTTTGAAAACTCAAATGTAATTTCTGGTTATCTCATCTACATAAAATACCTAGAGTTTGCAGAGCATCTGTATTGGATCTTCGGCATTCACTTTGGCATCATACCTTGTTTTTGGCAGTCTACTCAGGAGAGGTCAAGGAATGGCACTAAGGCTGGTGGCATGTTAAGCTCTAGCTGTTCTAGCAGAAATGCATGGTGAGGTTGGAACAGCACCTGATGACTCAGATCCTCTGGTCCCTGATCAGTGAGTTTCATCAAATATATTTATGAAGACCAACACCCTGCAGAATAAAGAAAGAAAAAAATCATAGTTAACAAATTGAAAGTAAAAGTCCCAGCAGGTGTTAGAACTGCACTGTCCAACAGTAGCCACTAGTCACAGGTGACCATGCCATGCTTGAAATGTGGCTGGTCTGAATTGAGATGTTTTGTAAGTGCAAAATACACATTTGATATAGAAGATTACATGCAAAAAAAAGAATGTAATATATCTCATTAATAATTTTATATTGATTACACATGAAATGATAATATGAAAACTTTTATTTCAGCAAAATATGATTTTAAAATTAAATTCAACTGTTTCTGTTTACTTTTTAAAAATAACTACTGGAAAATTTAACATTGCATTATAGCTAGTACTTGTGGTTTGCATCATACTTCTATTGGACCATGTTGTATTACAACTTTATTGGTTTTGGCCAGGCATGGTGGCTCACGTCTGTAATCCTAGGACTTTGGGAGGCCGAGGTGGGTAGGTTACTTGAGGTCAGAGTTCAAGACCAGCCTGGCCAACATGGTGAAACCCCGTCTCTACTGAAAGTACAAAAAATTAGCCAGGCGTGTTAGTGGGCACCTGTAATCCCAGCTACTCTGGAAGCCGAGGCAGGAGAATTGCTTGAACCTGGGAGCAGAGGTTGCTTTGAGCCGAGATTGTGCCATTGCACTCTAGCCTGGTAGAAAGAGTGAGGCTCTATCTCAAAAAAATAAAAAATAAAAAAAGAACTTAATTGAGCTGGGCTTTAGTTTGGCTGATGAAGTATACAGGGGGACAAAAAAGTGTGTTAGCTAGGATGAAAGAAGTATTACTTTGGTGTCAAATCTGAGTCTAAGTGTATAAAAGCTATATACAGACAGTCCTTGACTTAATGATGGTTTGATTTAACAATTTTCTGACTTTACATGGTGCAAAACGAATCACATTCAGTAGAATTTGTGCTTTGAGTACTCATAAAAACTTCTGTTTTTCACTTTAAGTAGTGTTTAATACATTACATGAGCTATTCACTGCTATTATAAACTAGGTTTTTTGTTAGATGATTTTGCCCAATTGTGGGCTAACTTAAGTGTTCTGAGAATATTTAAGGTAGGGTAGGCTGAGTTATGATGTTCTTTAGACTAAGTGTACTACATGCATTTTTGACTTATGATATTTTCAACTTATGATTTCCTTATCAGGAGATAACTCCATCTTTAAGTTAAGGAGCAATTGTACTTTAATACTTATGTCATCATGGATCTTTTATTTAATTTATCTGATGCTCAGGGACTTTCAATCTATGAATGAAATTAATAATATTGGAGGCTTAAGGTTATGAAAATGTACATAGCACAGTCCCTGTTTCATCATAAGGCAATTTTGTTTCTTCTTGTAAGACTAGCAAAGAGAAAACGAAACTCAGAACACCCTCCCTCTAATAGCTAGTATTATGTTGGCAGACATATCTGTTAGTTTCTCTTGGCTTCAATTAATTAAGATATAAAAGGGGGATAATAATCTTATAATTGTTTTGAATATAGATGTCTTTGCACATGGATTTTCTGAGTTCTTTTTACTCCAAATGTTCAAATATTAATTATTATATTTCAAATGACTCAAATATTTAAAATATTACAAAAAATTTCCCAGGAATCCTGGGATTTTCTTCAGGATTTGAACTTTTAAAAATGTAAGTAAAATCTGGCAAAAATTATCTACTCAATAAGAATGATATACATTTGACATCATTAAAATAGTGACTAGCATATTTTATCTTCAATCTTTTTTATTAAAATTAAAAGATCTACTACTCTTTAATTTTTAAAGCTTTTGTGATATGGCAAATTTTCTCTGCATTTGAGAAAAATTTTGCGAAATGTTTCCTCTCATAAAGCCATAGATACGTCTCTTTGAGAAGCTGTTTTTCTCCTTTTTAAAAGTAAATTTTTTTTTCATTAAATACATTTAACGCTTTCATAGCAACACTGGCTCTAATTTGAAGAGCAAAATTTTCCTGATGCCAAAGGAACTTACTTAGCGGACACTCGTGCTAACAATTTAAAGATGAGTTCTCCCCTTTATTTTTTAATAAGAAGATAAATGGTTATTTCCAAAATATGTATAGATTGTTCTGCCTTCTTTCCTTTGTAAAGCATTGTTACCTAAATATGGAGAGGAAGAAGTTTGGGCAGCTGACCTATGTTCCATTTTATCCCCATTTATGGAGGTAAAGGGAGAGTTCACAGGCTAAAAGAAAAAAGAAGGAACGTGACCTGGACCCATGGGCAAATAGACTAACAGCATCTACTAGAAAAAAAATCCTTACCTATTAAACGCTTTGAGTAGGGTGTTCCTGGTTGAGGGCTGTGTAGGCTGCGTATGGCAAAAACAACAGCAGTAACCATCAGCCTAAATCTACGTAATTATGGCTCCCTAAATGTCGTATAAGCTATATAATATTAAGGTATACAACAGAATTAAGATGAAGATGTTTCATAACTTAAATATTCCCTGCTGTGTAAGGTATCCAGTATCTATTACAGACATCATATTTTAATATATATATATGTGTGTGTGTGTGTGTGTGTGTGTGTGCATATATATATATATGTTATTTGTACAGGGACCTCAGATATCATTCTGAGACAGAGAGTGCATTCCAATGTAGATAGAAAGACCCTTAAATAGCCACACTGGTTGTCCCAGATCTCTCCTCACTTTGCTTGTGCTTCTTTATTAATTAATTCTTTTATTTTTTTTTATAAAGATGAGATCTTACTACATTGCCTAGGCTGGCCTTGAACTCCTGAGCTCAAGTGATCCTCCCACCTCAGCCTCCCAAAGTGCTAGGATTACAGCCATGAGACATAGCACCCAGCCTATTAATTAAATTTTAAAATCATTAGTAACATTTGATACTGGCTAAGATTCAGGTTTCAGGTAACATTGATTTAATAATCCCCTCCTTTGTTTAGTTCAGAATACATCATGAAGAAGGCCTTACTTCCATTATGACGGCTTTTTGTATATGAGTTAAAAAGAGAAAAGTGAATCCTTTCAGTGGGCTAAATCAGATCAGCATTGGATATTAATGATGCTTAATTTCTATTTTTCTATCTACACAACATGTAAGCAATTAGTACTCACTTTCTGCCCTCATTCAAAGCTGATATGTGGAAGCCCTTAGGATTGAAATATTAGATAAGCAAATGTATGTAATTCAATAATTTTTCAGATTTTCAATGTAAAAGAATTTGTAACTAGAATTTTAGATATTAACAATTACAAAGGTAATGTGATGAACTAATCCACATCTAGGGAACCACCAGTTTCCCTACTAGTTCTCTTTCACCTATATAGACTGGTAAAGTAGTGAGCTTTCTATTCTTAAAACATCTCCCTGTTCTTAAATGGCTATAAGTGCATACCTGGAGTATATATACCTTTCTAGAGCATATTAATAGCTTTTATAGATAAAAATAAGATCTATAATTTGTATATAGAGCTGCACTGCTTGGATACTAAGCAAGGAAATATTTAGGGTTAGTGGGGAAGGAGGAAAGGATAGGACTCATCAACATGAAACATGACTAACACCTAAGAAGACTAGAGAGGCAATGAGCATAGTGGTTCTTTCTTTTTACCTTTTTTCCTTAATTCCTTCCTAAGTTAATAACTTGTAAAAACAGGCTTTGGAGACTATTGAATTTTTATCTCATTTATAGTTTATTTATGATGGTCAAGCTCATTGCTATCAAGTGTTTTGTTTAAATCTGTACAGCCTTTGTATTTCCTCTCAAATATATTTTGAATAACAATTAAATGTTCTCATATTAATTTTTAAGAGCTTCACTTTGCTTATAAACACTAGATACAGCTCCATCTCTGAGTCTCATCTGTCCCACTCTCTGCTTATTGTTCCCCTTAACTTGAAATATTTTCTTTCATTCCTTATCCAAATCCTATGCTTTCTTTAAAGCTTAACTCTTATGCTACTAGCATGGAGTTTTCCCTGACCATTTAGTCTATATATATATATTTTTTCATATATATACATATAAATATATACATAGTAAATATATATATGTATACACATATGTACATACACGAAAGGCTTTATTGAAAATGACATCTCACAATCTGTTATGATAACTCAATTTAGTTTGCTGTAAGTAACACATGCAAAACTGTATACATCATCAATACAGGTATTTTTACTATCTTTTTCATCTCTGTATTCCCAGTACCCAAAACAATCCTAGCATATAGAAGAGGCTTAAAAATGTTGTTTATTTATTTAAAATAAATAAGGAATGAAGGACTAAAATTAATTAAAGAGATTATAGAGATGATTCCTATATTCACCTGTCTGTCTTATGTTGTACATTGGAGAAATGGTTGGTGGTGATATTTAACCCACATTGCTATAAAAGAATAGCAACTATTTTCAGAATCCTTTTCTTATAGTGCCATTTTATTCTTTTGCTATTTGGAGATACCATGCTATGATGTCAGCTCTTTGCTTTGGAGCCTCTCATTACTAGGCTTAGATTTTATATTAGCAATTGCTTGAAATGTGCTTTATTGCTGCCTTTCAGGAAAAGCTTTGCTCCCATTTAATATGGCATTCAAATTGATCATGTAATGCTATAATTCTAATTTTTCAGAATAAGAAATTACCTGCAACAGCATTTGTGTTATCATCAGATCCAGAATTATTTTGTACCCTGGGAAAGAGAACACTTTAGAAACAAGAACCACTTCCTTCTTGGAGTGATTCTTGAAAATAGACCTTTCCTTAAACAGCACATGCCACTTCTGGTTCAACTCCATGAAATATGGGTTCTGACTCAATGGTGTTATATAAACCCAGACACATGTGCCTGTCATGCCACACATTATATATGAACATACTATATCATACATGAACATAGAAAGCACAGAAAAAGTGCCGATGAACTGGCTGATTTTCAATCTGAAAATGTAAATCTGATCATATCACTCCCTTGCTTAAAACCTTCATGATCTGCCCCTACCCTTCCATCAAAAGCAAAACTCATTACCTGGCCTTTCAAGGCCCTACATGGCCCCCTCCAGAGCCTGTTTCTTGCTCACCTGTCCATGCTCAGCTCCTCCAAGTACCCTCTGCCTTGCTGAGTCTGCAACAGTCATGTTGGGCTTCTCTACACAGAACTTTGAAAATGCCTGAGAATTTCCACCTCAGGATCTCAGCCTTTACATTTTTTATTTATCGGCTTGTAATTCTCTTTGCAAGATTGTTTTTTTCTCCTCATTTACACCAAACTTTGCTCTTTGAAGAGGACTTTCTCTGCATCAATCTACATGGCATTTCTATGATTACTTCTAATACTGTTTTGGTTTTCCTTACTTTATAGAATTTATGTCTGATATTATCTTTGTTTGCTTTTTGATTACCTGTATTCCTCATTAAAATAGAAGTGCCATTCAGTTAGACACCTTAACTTTAACAATCATATCCAGCTCTGCTCCAAGACTGAATCCAGTGATATTTATGCATTAATCATTAAACTATTGTCTCTCAGCATGACGTCTCCCTTCTACATTCTGCTTTCTGATCCTGGGAGCTAGCAAATCAGATGTCTGCTTTGCTGGGTGGATGTACATTAGAGGCTGCCAATAGAGAGAGAGTGAGAAGCCAGAGGTGTTGATGGCACCTAACACTCAGGTAGGCTCCTGGTTGGCTCCCCCTCTGCTTTCTTCCTATGGGAGGATCCCAGAAACACTTGTTCACTATGATATAGCAGCTTCTTCCCATAGCAGCAGTTGAATCTGCAGGGTTTATTTTATTTTTGGCACTTGCAAAATTAGCATTACCACATCCCCTTAGAGACACCAGCAACCACTAGATAGCGAACCCTCCGGAATTCTAGTTTCCAGGACCACAGGAACCATCCTCCTGGCCAGAGACTCAAATGCCAGGCAGCTAACCACTCCTCTCAGGTGTCTGAAGCCAGTTCTAAGAAGTCCCTACTCCAAGCTCCCAAGTTTTAAAAAGTGCATCCTTTTTCCTTGTCCTTCATTCCTCCAGGACTGCAGGTGGTAGCTCCTCCAGTTGTTGCCATCTTCGTACCTTCATGTTCTTTTTTTGGAATTTTCAATTATCTGGTTAACTTTATGGCTAGTTAACAATTCTTTATATACAAAATTATTAAAATAATTGATGTAATTTCTGTCTCACAACTGGACTCTGACTAATTTATATAGAGATATATAAAATTCCATGGATGTTTACATAAATTCCCTAGCTGGATTACTTGACATCTAGCTCTTCCTTAGAATGTTTTATTATTTTTAAGGCATCTTCAGCTTTGATTAGTCAATGGTATTCTATTGTAAGTTAGTTTCCTTATAGGAGAGGAATGATACTGGTTTTTCAAATACTCTGTTGCCTTTAGAATTCCCAAATGTGACTACTGACTTAAGATCTATAAAGAGCAATATTCACGTTTTATACAGTGTCTTGTTCTGGAAAAATCACTATTACAGTAGCAATAGGCTGAATGTAGTTGACTAGCTGACCTCACTGAGAGGGCTAATATACTTTTGACATTGAAAATATGATGTTGGAGCGTATGATTCTGGGATTTAAATTGTTCCCTTGTAATTGGGTTGCTTTAATATCTAAATATTAAATTCCTGTCTTCAGAAAACATACCCAGACACCGAAACACATGCTTGCAAGGAGAGAACAAACAGACTGCTGTAGTCCAAGGAGATTTTCCACTAGTTCTATTTCAATTCCATTTTAATAGAAAACTCTCTAGAGAAAGAATTGCTAGAGAATTACAAGATAGAAAGGGGGCTATCTGGCAACAGAGGGTGTGGAATAAAAACAGCATAGGGAAATACTTGAAGTCATGATGAAGAGAAGTAAATGGTGCCAGAAAAGAAAGTATCATTTTGACCCCCCAAAAAAATCATAAGAAAAAGGAAAAAGAGAGAAAGAAAATTATAAGAATGAACTTAGTTCTTTTTCAAATTTATTTAACAGAAATAAAAGGGAGAATTCTAGTGAAAGTACAACTCATATGTGTACACTTTAGTATTTTTTGGTAGTTCGGTTTGCTTTCTTTTTGCTAACTGATATTAATTCTCTAAGTCTGTAAAGTACTTTCTTGTGCCTTTGGCTATTTTCCTAATTCAGAGTTATTTTAAGTGAGTGTACTGAGGTTTTGGAACAGTTATTTAAGGTAAAAGTTCAACCCAACTTTCTCTAGGGAAAACATGTTAGATAGATCAGTTGGTAATTCAGGAGGAAAAGATCCATTTTCTTGCTAATATTTTAGATTTGATTCCCTATGTGGGTTTAAGAGTTTAGCAGAACAAACAAGTGTAGTTCAATGTTACTCAAAAAAGTACCTGTACCGTGATGATAAAGTACCTTTACCATGATGATATAGTACCTTTACTATGATGATAAAGTACCATGATGATAAAGTACCATGATGATAAAGTACTCAAAAAAGTACCTTTACCATGATGATAAAGAAATTTAAAGGAGCTGGGGAAGGCTTTTTGAGAGATGAAAGGCTCATGGAAAAAAAATTGTATTATTCCATGAGCTTTTCAATATTGCTTTGTTTCTGACTATTGTACTTTTTTAAAAAAATCAAAGAAAAATGAGTCAAATTCAATTTTTTTTTCAAAATAGAAAATAAGTATATCACCTCCTTGGATGCCCAGGGTATGGCTGGATATCAAATTAATCATTCTCACAAAAATTTTAAAATAACCTATCCGCCATGGATATTTCATTTCTACATCTCTCATTTAGGACACTGATTTGTGTTTTTAAATGTTCTTAATGACAGTTTATTTAACTTTTCATAGCTAAACTAAATATATCCTTTTTAAAAGATGAAAATAACAAAATTTCTTCTAAGAAAGTCATCAGTGTTCAAATTCCAGAGTGTAATGTATCTACCCCATAGTATAATTATTTCACCAGAGGATTTAAGCCAGCAATCAAAGTTGTATTGTGTGTAGAGAAGGAATGGTAATGTAACTATTGGGGAAAAGTAGAAGTTGAGAAATTGCCCTCTGGACAAAATGTAAGTGGGGAAACTGCATGATTTATTGCCATGTACGTGGTATTAGCATGTATGTGGTATAACAAATTAAACTTATGTTTCTACTAATAAGTAAACCAGCGAATGACAGTATCCAGAGAACAAGTCTCTAAGAAAATGTACCTGATAGTTTGGTGGTTTCTAAATTAGCTTTTTAAATTTTAATGATGGTGTCATGGAAGGAGCATCGTATTTCATAGCTTTGGAAACACAATGCAACTTTAGAAACACCACAGGCTTTCTAAGAAATCCTTTGCTCTCTGTAAATAAGTATTTCAAAAGTATTGTTACGAAAGGATTTTTGAGATTTCTACTTCTTGGCAGAGTATATATTGCTGTATTTCCTCAAAGGGGTCATCTATTCCAAACACATTTAAATACAAACTATTGGATTTGAATTCAAATTTGTTTGATGTTTTTGTTGTGAAATACTCTCAACCTACTTTAAAGTTATTTTTTTCTTTCAGTTTAAAATATCACGTCTTTGGAAAAAAATGTTTTCTACCTTTTAAATCAAAACCTTGGATTGCATTACAGGAAAAACAAATCTTGTAACGGAGGAAAAGTAAGGTTGAATAGCAAATAAATTAGATTCAGACTTGAGATAACAGAAATATCTGTAATCAGAAGATATGTTTTATTATTACAGATGGAGATAATGGTGAGAAAAGTGTGGGAGAATGCCTAAGGCTTATTTTAAGACAAATGTAACAATATATTACCTACATGGTTTATTTTCACATATGTGTTTTTAAGAAGTGCCTTTTCTGGAAAGCAAATTTATTGCAATCTTTCATATGGAAGATTAAAACTGACAAGCATTTATTGAGTATTTTCAATACACAATAACTATGGGTCATGTTGTATAGAGTGATAACCAAATTAAATACAGTATAATTCCTGTCTTTTAGGAGCTTACAATCTCTTTTCAAAAAAATTATAAACTTGAGAAAAAATTTAGGTACATTTAGTATCAAATGTGCCAGATTTTCAAATTCAAGAAAGACAAATATCAGAAGAAACAATAAGCATATTTGCTCATCAGACTTTGAGGAATGAGGTCTGTGAAGTAGCTTAGAGGGAAATAATAGTATTTTATTTATTTATTTTTTCTTCTTTTTTTATTATTATACTTTAAGTTCTAGGGTACATGTGCACAACGTGCAGGTTTGTTACATATGTATATATGTGCCATGTTGGTATGCTGTACCCATTAACTCGTCATTTACATTAGATATATCTCCTAATGCTATCCCTCCCCCTTCCCCCCACACCACAACAGGCCCCGGTGTGTGATGTTCCCCGCCCTGTGTCCAAGTGTTCTCATTGTTCAATTCCTACCTATGAGTGGGAACATGCAGTGTTGAAAAAATGCTCATCATCACTGGCCATCAGATATATGCAAATCAAAACCACAATGAGATACCATCTCACACCAGTTAGAATGGCAATCATTAAAAAGTCAGGAAACAACAGGTGCTGGAGAGGATGTGGAGAAATAGGAATATTTTTACACTGTTGGTGGGGAAATAATAGTATTTTAATAGAAAATTGGTTGGGATTAGTTAAACAATAAACGAAAGAAGAAAAAAAATCATTGAAATTTTTTGATTCTGGGTCAGAGTGTTTAAATTTGAAAATAATCTGAAGTCATGGTCTAATTAAAAAAAAATTCGTAACTTTTACAGACTGCATTTTCCTCATATTTTAAGTGAAAGTTAGATTAGACCATTTTAATACATTTCCTAGGGCTAGAATTTCAGTGGCCCAAAGTGGTATACAGGAAGCTCTTGTAAGTAATCAAATTGACACCCAGTATAAGAATTTACTAATTATTGATAACCAAATACAATTGTTATATTCTTTAGGAGCAGGACATTTTAAAGAAGACTACAGCAACTGCATGGACTCTTCAAAATGTTATTACAAGATTTCTGATAGAATGATAGAATACAGATAAAAAATGAATACATATATATTCACTGAACTTTAGCATATAATATACAGGATTCCTATTTGCTAAATCAGACAACAATAACTGAGCTAGACTTTTCTTCATTTATTTCCCTGGACTATATAAAGGGCCTATGTTTGAAATCTTACCAGGCCTTGTGAAATTATGTTCATAACTCTTAATTTTACCTTTAAAAAATTCCTAAAGTGAGAAATGATTTGAATGAAGTTATGGACAGCAAGACCATAGCAAAGAATTTTTGCTGAAAAGTGTGTAGAGGAGATAGAGGAGATGGTAGGGTCTATGCATCTATCATAATGATATTAGTTGCATGGCTCTTTCAGTTAGTACTGATGAAAATGCCAACATCCAGAACCATAGGATTTTTATTTTATTTTGTTTTGTTTTATTTTATTTATTTTATTTTATTTTATTTTATTTTATTTTATTTTATTTTATTTTATTTTATTTTATTTTATTTTTGAGACAGAATCCTGATCTGTCGCCCATGCTGGAGTGCAGTGTCACGATGTCTGCTCATTGGAAACTTTGCCTCCTGGTTTCAAGCAATTCTTGTGCCTCAGCCTCCCAAGTAGCTGGGACTAAAGGTGTGCCACCGTGCCTGGTTAATTTTTTGTATTTTTAGTAGAGACGGGGTTTTACCATGTTAACCAGACTGGCCTTGAACTCCTGACCTGAAGCAATCCATCCACTTCAGCTTCCCAAAGGGCTGGAATTACAGACATGAGCCACTGAGCCCAACCAGAACCATAGGATTTTTATATGATTAACCCTGTATGCTTATTTATGTGTGTGGGTCTCCATTTAACGGTGGAGATCTCAATGTTGTGACTACAAAATGTGTTTGTGACTTAACATCTATTTATCACCTGGACCTGAAACTCATGGTGAAATCTCCAAGGAACACATTTTTTTTTTTTTGGTGGGGGGGTGGTTGGGGATGGGGGATGGAGACGGAGTCTTACTCTGTTGCCCAGGCTGGAGCGCAACGGTAAGATGTTGGCTCACTGCAACCTCTGCCTCCTGGGTTCAAGCAATTCTCCGACCTCAGCCTCCCGAGTAGCTGGGATTACAGGCCCTTGCCACCATGCCTGGCTAATTTTTGTATTTTTAGTAAAGACGGAGTTTCACCATATTGGCCAGGCTGGTCTCGAACTCCTGACCTCAGGTGATCTGCTTGCACCTGGCTCACTATTTTGTTTTGTTTTATTAAAAATAGTGTCACTTTTTGGTGTCAAAGCCTCCACTTTCCTTTGGGAATAGATCCTAGCCTCCTTAATTATTTAAGATATCTCTGAATATCATACCTAAAAATTGAATTTTGTTGTATAGTTCTATGAATTTTAATGGATAGATAGATTTATGCAACTATTAAATACAGACACAATCAGGAGACAGAGCAGTTTGATCAGCCCCCCCAAATGCCACCATTCTTGCTTTTATAGTCTCATTCTAACCCCAACCACTCATTTATTCTCTCTCTTTCACTATGGTTTTGTCTGTTCATGAATGGAACTGTATGTATCTATGTATGCAACGTTTTGAGGCTAGCTTTTCTCACTCAGCATATTGTCTTTCAGAATCATCCCAGTTATTTTATGTATCAGTAGTATGTCCCTTTATATTACATGACTATGCTATAGTTTTTTTATCCATTCACTAATTGAAACACATTTTTTTCTTTCCCAGGTTTTGGTCATTATGAATACTTTATTCATATATATTTGCCACGTATATTTGTGAACAGGTTTTTCTGGGAAACCTACCTTTTTTTTTTCTCTTGGATAAGTACCCAGGAGTAGAATTGGTGGGTCATATAAGTGAATGTTTAATTTTCAAACTATTATCCAGAGTGTTATAGCATTTTGTTGTCTCACTAGCGAAGTATGAGTTCCAGTTGCTCCGCATCATTGTTTGCACTTGGTATTATCAGTATTTTTTCAGTCGTTCATTTTAATAGGTGTGTTGTATCTCACTGTGGTTTTAATTTACATTTTCCTAATAACTCATAATTGTGAGCATCATTTCATGAGTTTATTTATCACTCACATGTCCTCTTTGCTAAAGCACCTGTTCAACTATCTTGCCCAGTTTTTAATTGGGTTGTTTCCTTTCCTACTGTTGAGTTTTAGTATTGTGGATAAAAGTCCTTTGGAGGATATGTGACTTGTAAATATTTTCTCCTAGTTTGTTGGATTATATTTTCATTCAATTAACAATGTCTTTCACAGCACAAAAGTTTTCCTTTTGATGGGGATATTTTTCCATATCTTCTTTGGTGTATTACGTTTTTGAAGTTATGTCTGGGAACTCGGAGAGAGGAGCTGTTATGGGTTTGATTGTGTTGGGAACTCGGAGAGAGGAGCTGTTATGGGTTTGATTGTGTTCCACCAAAATTCTGTGTTGAATTCCCAAATCTCAATACCACAGAACGTGATATTATTTGGAAATAGGGTAATTGCATATGTAATTAGTCAGGATGAAGTCATAGTGGAGTAGGGTTGGCCCCTAATCCAATATGACTAGTGTCCTTATAAAGAGAGTAAATCTGGATACAGACATACTCACAGGGAGAATGCCCTATGAAGATGAGGGCAGCAATTGGGATGATACAGCAGAAGCCAAGGAATGCCAAAGACTCAGATCAAGACCCCAGAAACTAAGAAAGCAGGATGGAAGACTCTCCTTCACAACCAAGAGAAGGAAGTAACCCTGACATCACCTTGATCTCAGATTTCTAGGCTCCTACAACTGTGAGATAATAAATTCCTGTTTACACAGCTCAGTTTATTGTACTTTATTATGGCAATCCTAGGAAATTAATACAGAAATGCTGATGTCCCAACTATAATTGTAGAATTTTTTCAGTTCTAAAAGTTGTCTAATATGTTTTAAAAGTCTGTTGTTACATACATACTCATTTAGAGTTATTTCTTAGTAAATTAATATTTGTATCATTATACAATGTCCCTTTTTATTCCCTTTAAATTACTTTGAAGTCTGCTTTTTTAGATATTAATATAACGAATCCAACGTCTTCCCTCGTCTCCTTCCTTCCTTCCTTCCTTCCTTCCTTCCTTCCTTCCTTCCTTCCTTTCTTCCTTCCTTCCTTCCTTCCCAGTGAATTAACATTTTTGGCAATAAAATTAACATACCATATAATTTACCTTTTAAAAGAGTATTTTTTAAAAGCTATATTTGCAAAGTTTTGCAACCATCATCTTTGTCTTGTTCTAGAAGACGTCACCACTGCAGAAAGTATGGCCCCTACCCACTGGCTTTTGACATGCCCTAATCTCCTACCTCCTGGCTTTTGACATGCTCTAATCTTCCTGTTTCTGGATATTTGCTTATTTTGAGAATTTCATATAAATGATATCACAGAATATGTGGTCTTTTGTTTCTGGCTTCTTTCTCGTAGCATAATGTTTTAAATATTCATCCATGTTATAGCAAGAATCAGTATTTCAATCACATAAGCAATAATATTTTATTATATTTATTTAATATTTCTTCTAATTTAATTTCTCCTTCATTTTTGAAGTATAGTTTTGCTAAATATAGAATTCTTTGTTCATAGTCTTTTTTTCATCTATTTGAATATGTGATCCCACTGCCTCTGACATTCACAGTTTGATAAAAAAATTAGTCCATAACCTTATTGATCATCACTTGTAAGTGTTGACTCAGTTCTGTCTTGTTGCTTTAAAAATTCTCTCTTTGTTTTTGTCTTTCAACAATCATTTCTTGCTTGCACAGAGCTTCAAAATTAACCGAAGTTGAAGGTTTAGGACATTTTCAGGTTTGTATTGTCTATGCATATAGTCCTGGGGATGTTCTCCTATGTTCGCAGGTGATCTTCTAGATTCCCAGGAATATAATGGAGCTTCAAAACCTCTCTAGTCATCTCATTCTCCAGTTTTTCCTTTAAAACTTTTTTGGTTAGCCTATTGTTCACTCCAGTGATTAACCACTTCTTCAGGTAGCCATGTATTTCATGAATTGTGTCTAATTGCTTTCAATAAACGCCCTTGGAGACAAGACTGTTCATAGTGGGAGACCCTCAATTCAGATCTAATAAAAACAGCTTCGCAAGTAGAGATTTCCAGGTTACCACTAGCGAAATCAAATAATAATTTTCTTTGGGAATAAAAGTGCTCTAGTTCTATTCTGCTTCCTTTGGTAGTTGCCACAGTGTTGGTTTTCATTATGATTGAAGTTATTGGTTTTCAAGATAACTACCAAGCTGGACAGAGGTGGGAATAGGGTAAATTAAAATATCACCAAGCTTGCTGTTCATGCTGAGTTTTTGCATTTTTTTTCCTTGAAAAGAACATCCCCTCTATTGCTGCAAGTTTTTGGTTAATTTTCAGCATTCTGAAAAGTTAAATATTATACTTTGCCACTTTTCTCATTGCTTTTATGGAGAAAAAAAATTAGAGGTCTTTATTTTGCTGTTTTCACTGATGTTCATCCTTTTATGTTTATCTCACCTGTATCATTATATTTAAATTAAGTTTTATGTATATATCATGTAATTAACCCATGTATTTTAATTCATTCTGACAATCTACATCTTTTAGTTGATTTGCTTGGACCATTTAGACTTATTATTTTTAATGTGTTTACAATTAGCTCTTTCATTTTATTGTTTGTTTTCCATATATTCAAAATTTTTAACTTTTGTTTTTTAACAGATTTATTTTGATGTTTCCGTACATATATTTACTTGACTTTTTCCTGGTCAGGGTTTGATCAGCTTCTAGTATCTGTAGGTTTAGATCTTTTACCAAATTTTAGACTATTTTAACTATTGTTTATTTCAATTTTTTTAATTGTCACATCTTGTTTTCTTTTCCTGTACTCTGATGACATGAATATTAGACACTTCAAGGCTTTATTTTCCAAAGATTTTTATCAATTGTTCCCACTAGATAATTTCTATTTATCTATCACCAAGTCCACTAACTTTCATCTGTAATCAATCTAATATTTACATCTTCTACTTATACATGTGTTTATTTATTTATTGCTGAGTTTTCCTATTTTTCCATTGACTTCAAGATATTTACAATTGTTTGTTAAAGTATTTTTATGGGAGCTTCATTAAAACTTTTGTGGGATAATTCTGCAATTTGTTTTATCTCAGAATTAGCATCTGTTGATTGTATTTTTTCACATGAGTTGAGATTGTTCTGGTTCTCAACTTGCTAAGTGATTTTGATTACACCCTGACACTTACGTATTATCTTTCAAGTCTTTGAGCCTTGCTTAAATCCTGGGGAGAATCATGATTATTTGTAAAGGAAATTGACACAGTTGGTTTAAGGTTATAAGTTCCAACCTGCCTTCTGTGGGCTGTGGGTCCAATGTCAATGTAGTTTTCAAATCTGTTTGGATTTGTCCCAAGTATCGGCCATCTGCTGGTCAGTCTGAGACTTGGGCTCTGGTCTAACTGTTAGTTGACTCTCACATATTTTGTTATGCTCACTGGAATAAAACTACTTGTGCACAGCTTGGAGCTCATCCCAGGAACTTATAAACAACTTTGTAGGATTGCTTTGCTTTCATCACGGTCTTTCTGATACTGTCTATGTCTCAGATTCCTCTTTGGTCCTCTGACCTGTAATCTGGGGATTCAATGGCCCTTCCCTGCTGTGCTCTTTTGTGGCTATGCCCACATCTGAGCCCCACAGGAAGGAGAACAGACAGATAGAAATATTGAAAGCAACGGAGGCTTGCCCCACCTTTCTGGGATCACAGCCTCCTTCATCAGAGGGAAAGATTTACCTCCTTCTCAGCTGTGGCCCTACTGGGCCTCTGTTGCTATTAATATTGCTTTCATTACTGGATTGTTGTGGGGCTGGCACACAATAGAATGATGATTTTAAAAAAAAGTAAGAAAGAAAACAAAAAGCAAAACAAAAAGTGGGGATATTATTACTGCTCTGAGTGTTAGGACTTCCCTCTCCTCCTTAAGCCAGAACTAGAATCCTTCTTCTGAAGGACCACAAGGTGTCCACAGCCTTGCGTCCACTTCTGACTTTTGGGTGTCATTGAGATCAAATTGGAGGATACCAGAGGAAAAATAAAATTATAAACTCACTGCCATCTCATTCATATTTCATGGTCCCCCCTTCTACATGGCACTATTTACTTTTTAGAGTCGTTGAATAGTCATCCCATAGATGCTGTACATATTTCATGGATGCATTTCATATGATAAACCACATGGCAAGTGCTTACGCCATCTTACCTAAAACAAGAACTACAATAGATTCTTTTAAAAATGCGATTGTATCCCTGTATAATCCTTAAATATTTACTGAGAGGCAGCAGAGTGGTATTTACGTAGATTAGCTTCTGAGCCAGACTGCCTTAGTTCTATTGCTAACGCTACTACTTAGATGTAGGGTATGTACAGATTGTTTGAACACCTTCTGCCTGTCTTCTCACATTTTAAAGGGAACAACAATAATGATAGTATCTTATTTTCAGTAGGTTACTTAGTTAATATATATAAGTTCTCCTCTTAGTGGTTGACACTCAGGGAATCTGTATAAACTTTGTTGTTCTCATAGTTTTAAATAAAAAAGTATTTTTTTTACCATCTTAACTGTATAATCTGAAAAATATCCACTATACAGAGTAGACATGTTAAAATATATCTGAGATCACTTTGTTCATTAAGACTTTGTAAAAATGCAGATGATCTCTTTCTAGTTTAGGTTACCACTTTCCCTTTTATCCTCACTACTTCCTTCAGTACATTATATAAGATCGTCCTGTGAAGATGCAGTGCGAATGACCCGGTCTCACCACCGTAGCAATTAAATCACATAATCAGAAAGCTAATTTCATAGCACTTTGAGAGGGTTATTAATCGTTGATGTACATATTTCAGAGAAAGTCAAACATTGGGCAGAGGGCAGATGCTGATAGTCATGCATCAGCCAGGATTCAAAGGAAACTTAAAACCAAGCTTCCTCAGGATGAAGATAACAATCAGAAGACTGATGCTATAATGTGGAAAAAAGAGCAGACCATCTCTCACTCTTCCTCTTTCACTGAGGGTAGGTCACAAAGAGTACACTTTGGAGGTTGCAGAGAATTATTAACTAGAATTTTTTTCCAGTAATGTCCCCAAAATTTAAGCAGAAAATCAAATGGAGCATACTTTTATACTTGCTGCCTGGACAAAACAAGAACATAACATAATTTTGTTTGAAGGATATTCTTAATGATATCTAGCCTAGAGGAAAGAATATAGTGGTCTGAAAAGAGTTTATGAACTCTGATCAAAAGTTAGGACCATGTAGGGGTGTGTGTGTGTGTGCCTCTGTGTGTGTGTGTGTATCTATATATGCTCACACATATATGTATGAATGTATGTATAGATACACAATACACATATGTGTATACATATATATGAAGAACAGTATTAGTTTAGTGTATCCTCTCGGTTTTGAGTACTTTGTTATTTAGTGAGATAAAGAGGGATACAAATAACTACTTCATTTACTTAGTATCTTAAGCCTAAAGAAACTTTCATATACAAAATCGTTAATGTGCCAGACAGTAGCTGAGCAGAACATTTCTAATGAAAAGCATCATCATGTGTTCTATACCAATGCCATATTTCCAGTAACTGCTATGTATAAACACCCTATAACGGGATTATGAGCAGTTGACAATCGTTGAAATGTATAATGTATTGATAAGTTTGACACTTGAACATTTTTATTCCAAATAAAAACAAAAAAAATCTTTGAATTAAAATGTTAGAAAACTGGACGTAAACTGGCTTGAGCACAAAGGCAATTCTGGTTCTTACGCAACAGAATGTTGACAGGCAGGGCTTGGTTTTGGCATGGCCAGAATCAGAGCTCCGTGTTATCATTGAGACAAGATTATTCTATTTGTTGCCTTTGTCTGGAAATTTCAGCCTCTATGTGGAAGCAATGGGTACTAAGGAGTCGATTGGGGGTTTGGGGGAAGTGCCACGGAGCAGTCTACCCTCAACAGGAAGACTATTTTATCGTTGTATTGTTTAGCATTGCCAATGAATAGTGATAATACAAGGCACTCTTTTTGCAGTTTTTAGTATTGTTTTAAAGTCTCTATGTACAATGCATATGCTATTGCCTGGACCTAGAGTATACAACCCCTGCTCTTACAATTCCCACATTGAGTGGAAGGAGCATGATGACAGTGATTCTACCCCCTATACTCTTTCAGGAAGAAAGTTACCTGCTTTTCACTCAGACATCGCAGCAAAACTCTTATTGTGTCTTGATCTCTCTGACGTGGGCCCCACGTTTTTCTGAACCCATGCCTTGGCCTAGAAGATTGTTCTCTACTGAGTGGCTTAAGCCAAGCAGGGCTGGGTCTACCCATGCCATAGAAGACAAGAGAAGGAAAGAAGTGGCTTCTCAAAAGTTGTTGTTTTTTTGTTTTTTTTTTTTTGTTTTTTTTTTTTTACTATAAGAAGGGTGGAGGTGAATGGATGCTGCACAATTTAGTCAATTTACCTTAAAATTCTTTATGCATTTTGTCTAAATGATGTATCGTAAGGATGAAAGTGTTAATTATTACATGTGACCTATAGATAAGAAGTACATAGAGCTAGCATTCCAGGTCCACAGAGTTGCAAGGGTAGAATTGCTAACTTCTTAACCTTTAATTTTATTACCACAATGTACATTAGAGAGCCACATGTTTGAATCATACATCTTTCAACAGAAACAGACAAAACAACACAGTACTCAGAGAACATGTGCCACTTATTACATCTATCTATTCTAACTCTGTGACCAACAACATGCATGGAATTTTCAGTGAGGTCCGTGGTTGCATGTGTATCTGGTTAAACATGTGAACTTCTGTTTATTGTTTATTTGTCTTGACAGGTTGAATCACAACCATAAAATCCAATTAAATGGATCTTTGAGATGTAATGACACAAATGATTTCAACCGTGTAATATACATCCTGTCAAGGTATATTTTTCCATATAAGTGTGGATTCTATAGAAAAAAAAGTATGGGAATTGATGGTATTATACCACTCTACCACTTGGTTAATTATAGCAAACCTGATCTGACAGTTATGGACTATATCAGAAATTGACACTTGGTCCATGGGTCAAATCCAACCCACTTCTTGTTTTTGTAAATGAGGCTTTGTTGAAACACAGCCACACCCATTGAATTGTGTATTTTCTATTGCTGCTTTTGGCCTGCAATGGCTCAAAAATAATATTTACAATCTTTCCTTCTATGAAAAAAGGTTTTTCAATACCTGGGCTATATGATTGGCTGACATTTATCGAGGGCTTACTATTTGCCAGGCACTGAGGTAAATACACTAAATGCATGATATAATTTAATTCTTGTAACAAACTTACAATGAATTACTATAATATTTCTAGAAATGAAAAAAAAGAAATCAAGAGATAAAATAAGTAGCCCAATGTCACATAATCAGCATGCATAGAGATCCAACTGAAAAGTAGATTTATTTTTGAAATTTAAAACCAATTCACTTAACCACTACTTCCTCACATTCTGGAAGTTTTCTAATTTCTACTAGGTGCAAAAATAAGAAGTTTAAATTAAGCAATATAGATAACGTAAAGCACTTTTGAATTGGGAAACAGAAATCAAGACTCTAGGCCTGATTTTGCTGTTAGTTAGATGTGAGAATAAAGAAATCACTCTAAATTTCCTGACATCAACTTCACCTTAAAATTAGGCATTACTCTGAGATGACCACTGAAGCCTTTTTCAATTCTAAGTAGTGAAGATGCTCAACTACCTAAAAAAAAAGAAAACAAAATCCTGTTTCTAAATAATAAACTTAATATAATCTTAATAAAGTTTGTTTTAACTAATCTATATGAGAGTAGTTTCATGACAAGAAGAAATATTAACTACACTTGAAATGGTCCTGATTTGTGTGTTATTTGGCAACTTAGCTGTATAAAAACTAGTCCAAAAAACTAATTTGGGTGCAACTCTAGAGACAATGTTAAGCTATATGGAGAAAATTATATATCAAGAATAATTTGTTATTCTCACACATACTCCTCTACCCTCACTAGATTTGATATGCTATCATAGATATTTATTTACATTTTAAATTATATAACATGAAAAAGGTAGTTCTTTGTTCACAGAGTTAAATTATTGAGCTATGCTCCTTCTTAAGATAATGGTATGTGATTCCTGTGGATATCATTCAGAACAGAAAACTCTGCTAACCCCCTAAATTTGAGTTTGCAACTGTTGAGGGTACACTTCATATTATCTTTATCTGGTCGTTTGAGGAGGATCAAGAAGTTTGTTCTCACAACATTCAAATTTCCTGTCAATACTTCTTATACCCTATAGCAGCTAATTTCAGTGAATCTTAACTAGAATCATCTTCTTAGCGAGCAACCAGCTAATACTGAGGGACACAGACAAATTGGAACAGTTTGACATATATATTTGTCCTGATTTGTCAGACTGTAAACAGCTGAGAGAAACAATAGGGATACAGAAAGATGAGTCTGTGTCATAAAGAAATCTATCAGTTAATCAGACTGGAAAAACCATCCCTGTGTCCACCACGTAATGCAGAGATACTACCTGCCAACTTTAAAGACAGTGACAAAGTTTGATTAGGGAACCAGTCCTCCTGCTGCTTCCATGCAGAATGAACACTCTGCACAACCACACAGAGCTTCTTCGGTGGAGTTTTGTTGGAGGTACATATGTGCAAGGAAGTAACACATGGTTTCTAAGACATGCACCTGTGTGTGGATGTGCGTGTGCAGGTGTACGCGCCATCCATTTTCCTAAAACATAAGAATCAAGAGATGCAAGTTTTATAAATCTGGAAAGGTAAAGCTGAAAAACATTTACACAACTTAGCTGTTCTCCTGAACTGGGCTTAACTTTACCATACACATAAAGCATCCTGGAAACTCCAAGTGAGAAAATACCCCCAAGCTATATTCTTTGGCAAAGGCAGGCTCCTAATGTCTAATCGGCCTGTATAATTATACGGCTGACATTGGATTTATTCAAATGCTAATCTTGCTGTCACTATGGCAGTGGTGGTATGTTTGTATGGTGTGTTTAGTGTGTGTGTGAGTGTGTATGTATTTCCAAGGGTTATTTGGAACCATAGCATAATGGCTGAGGTCAGATCAGCCTACTCAGTAGAGCCCTAATGATGTGACTGGAAATAAATGAAAATATCCAAAATAATTTGTTATTCTCGGATTCAGTGTGCTCGTTTATCCACTTTCTTAGTTTATATTATCTTATCAGTATACTATTAATTCTACTTTAATAATAATAATAATACTATCTCTGAGCACCTTTTTTCAAAAGAAGCATTTCTTCCTGGGACTTTGAACGAACGTTCATTCTTAGAAAGGATTTTATTTCAAACTTATAAAACAGTTATACAATAAATCATCTGTAGATGTAAAATTACATCATCTGGTTATATTTATATTCATGACTATAATGTGTCTTTTTTCACTTCACATAGGTCTGTGCCGCTGTCAACCTCAACCTTTCCAAGCGACATTTTCATTTAGAATCTTATCTTTTTATAATTATTACTTTTCAGAACTCCCAGGGAGTGAACAAAAGCTTCCTCTTTGTATTTCCATTGTTATGTTTCTTTGAAGAACAAATTAAATTTCAATCCCAGCCAAAATAAACTTTTAAATGGCAAAATAAATCTAGAATTATGTGAAAAAAAATCTAGGGAAAGCCTGACTCTGGCTATCACAAGTTCAGGTGTATTTAAGATAATTTACTACCATGTTTTCTTTTCTTTGTGTGAGGCTGTGGCACCACATGCTCCCTTTGTAGTAGCAAAGGGAGGAATGAACTAAGGTCTGAAAAATATTACTACAAAATGAGCTGAGGAAACTAGTTAGTATATCATTCTATCCTGTCCTGAAAACAAAGACACAGAGCTGAATTTTCTTTCCCAGCTTACCTTCCATCTCTATCTCTTACATATACTCGTTTTCTATTAGCGTTAGTGATCTGATGGTATGTAGACGTCTATAAGGTGAACTTCATTGGCTCAATATACTGATAAAAAAGTAACAATCTCCTTGGTGTATGGGGCTATTCACCTAATCTTCTCTGGATGCTATTTACTTAATCTCTTCCCAAGTATCTTGAGTCTATGGAAGCAAAACAGACAATTTCATTTACTATACTTACCTGATATACCAAATGGGCTTCAGTGCTCTGCATTTATTAAAGTTATTATTTAACTTTCACATAAAATGACTTAATAAGCTCAATTGGATCTGTCCCTGCAAGTTGCCGTATTATAGAACCTTTTTCCCCACTCATTTCATCATATTGCTAAAATAAATTGCCTTCTTTCTCTCTTTGTTTTGGCTTCCCCTGTGTTTTCCTTTGATTTTCCTGTTCATTTCATCTATCCTTGTGCTTGCTTCTGAATTCTTACCTTTCCTCCTGCTGAGTGTAAACACACCTTCAGGCTGTACTGCTGGTCAATTAAACAGAGAAATAAAAGCCAAGCTATTTAAGTAAAGAAGCTATTGCATCTTGACTCTAAGAGTAATGGAAATGAAATATCATGAACATATGCATTTCAGGAGCTCAAAATATTTTAAACGAAGTCAGTAAGTGCATTGTGAAGGATGTTTGAAACAACATTTGGCAAATTCTTCTCTAAAGGGGCCTGTGTGTTCCCTAATTTGGTAAAATTTCTCTTATCCCAGGCCTACCGCAGTGTTTACATAGTATAGTTTTTGTTTTTAAATTGGCTCCTTGTTTTACTGAACATGAACATTTTATTAGTTTTATGATATTTATTGCTTTTTAAAGTTTTTTGTTTTTGTTTTTGCTTTGCTTTGACCTTTAATTACTTTACCCATTTAGTCCTATTCTTCCATTTCCTAGTTCCCTTTCATAACTTTTTAAATCCTCAATTTTAACTTATTACGTAAATATATTTATACACACACAAACTGATCTAATTTTTTTTTAAGTGTTGGTGCTATCCCAGAACTGCTATGCTGATAAAAATGTTCTGAGGATCTTTGTGTCAATATTAGCAAATGAAAAGGGATTATGTTTATGCTGGGTGCTAGAACTAAGGTCTTCTGATGGAAGAGTTATTTTAATGTTCAATATCCCAAGACATTTTGTGGTCAGTGGGAGAAACAGCCCAAGATATGAATTCTTATCTTGAAAATAAGAAAATAAAATGATGCTTTATTTTCTGTATGTTGACATATTTTTATCTCTCTATCAAGATTTTTGGCAGCTTTTTTTTCTTCTATTTATAAATAGAGAATCTGGAGCTAAAAGAGGGAAGTGAGTTTTTAAAAGATATGTGGTTGGTAGATTTTTAAACTTGACTTAAACTTTGGAATCTTGACATCAAGTCCCTGTCTACTTTGCTGTCTTTCGGGGTAGCGTGGCACTGAATTTCAAAATAGTTTAATGACCAAGCGCCAACTCTCTGAGATCAGATACATTTGGGTTAATATTCTATTTCTGCCATTTTGTAGTTGTGTAACATGGATTCGGTAAGTTATTCAATACTCTAATATTTCAGGTTTTTACCTGTAAAGTGGGAAAATAATGCATCTGCCTCGATAAGTTCTTGTTTTGAAGTGAAATAACAGAGATATACCTGACCTATGGTAAGAATTCATTAACTGTTAGTCATAATTATCATCATTATTATTGATGATGATATTAAGAGGCAGAACCACTAAGTCAACTACTTTTGGGGTTTAATTATGTCATTCCACATGTTCTCATTTTTTATTATTATATACATGGGTAGCATAAAACTGACTATAATGATGATATTTCAGTTTATGAGGCTAATATAAATGTTATATAAAGAACAATGCTTGACATTCCACTGAGGCTAGCAGAGCTCACCTTGCAGAATTTACCTAGATCATGATACCAGTCAGGGTTCTCCAAGTAAAGGAATTAATTATATACTATATACCATATATCACATATTGTTCATATATATCTTATATCATATACAATTGACCCTTTGACAATAGGAGTTTGAACTGCACAGATCCACTTATATGTGGATTTTCTTCCACCTCTACCACCTCTGAGACAGCAAGAACAACCCGTCTTCTGCCTCCTCCTCCTCAGCCTGCTCAACATGAAGACAATGAGGATGAAGAACTTTATGATGATCCACTTCCACTTAATGAAAAGTAAATATATTTTCTCTTTCTTATGATTTTCTGAATAACATTTTCTTCTCTCTAGCATCTTTTACCTTAAGAATACAACATACAATACATATAACATATAAAATATGTGTTAATCAACTGTTTATGTTACTAGTAAGGATTTCAGTCAACAGAGGGCTATTCATAGTTGTTTGGAAAGTCAAAAGTTATACACAAATTTTCTACAGTACCAGAAGCTGGTGCCCTAACCCCTGCATTCTTCAAGGGTCAACGGTATATATAAAACCTGTTGAAGTTTTATCTCTATATGTAATAAAATCAATATTTTATTTATTCATTTTAGAAAATATTTAAGAAGTTGGCTTCCATGATTATGGGGCTGGCAAGTCTAAAATCCATAGGGCAGGATGTCCATGTTACATTCCTGAGTCAGAATTTCTTATTTTGGAAACCTCAGCTTTTGTTCTTAAGACCTTTAACTGATTAGATAAGGCCCACCCAAGCTAAAGGGGTTAATATCCTCTTCTTAAAGTCAATTGACCATAAAAGTTAATCACATCTACAGTGATATCTTGATAGATAACCAAACAACTGGACACTGTAGCCTAGCCAAGCCATAACATTCATCATCCAATGTTTTGGTGTAGACAACTAGTAAAGGTGTTGGGGAATTAGAGCACTTTGGTGGCAGAAACCGGAGACAATTTTGTTGTTGTTGTTGTTGTTATATTTGAGCAAAATAAAATTTAATTTTAGTTCATTTGCACACTATGGGTTAATTTCAAAGTTTTTCAGAAAAGGGTCAATAATTTGTTTATGAAAAACTATAGTAAAAATTATTTTAATATTCTGAATGTAAAGGGAATACATTTTCAGTTACAAAATCTTATACAGAAAAGTATGTTGATTTTACTTTGAGGGAGATAGTTTAATAAGATTGTTAAATAGCCCACGCTACTAAAAGGTTAAAAATCATTAATCTGAAGATTGTCTATTAGTAGAGTTTTCATCCATTTTATTTTTTGTTAATATTTTTGTTTTTTAGGTCTTTTAACTTTTATTTTAGATTCAGGGGTTCATGCAGGTTTGTTATATAGGTAAACTTGTGTTATGGGGCTTTGTTGTACAGATTATTTTGTCACCCAGTTACTAAGTCTAGTACCCAATAGTTATTTTTTCTGATTGTATTAGTCCATTCTCATATTGCTATAAAGAACTACCTGAGACTGGTAATTTATGAAGAAAGAGGTTTAACTGACTCACAGTTCTGCAGGCTTAACAGGAAGCATGACTGGGAGGCCTCAGGAAACTTACAATTCTGGCAGAAAGTGAAGGAGAAGCAAGTACCTTCTTCACATGGTGGCAGGAGAGAGAGAAGAGAAAGAGAGAGAGAGAGAGAGAAGGTGGAAGCATCATACACTTTCAAACAACTAGATCTTGTGAGAACTTACTATCAGAACAGCAAGGGGTATGTCTGCCCCCATGATTCAATCATCTCCCACCAGGCCTCTCCCCTGAAATATGGGGATTACAATTATAGATGAGATTTGGGTGAGAACACAAAGCCAAACCATATCATTGATCCTCTTCTTCCACCTACCCTCCCCCCTCAGGTAGGCCCCAATGTCTGTTGTTCCCCTCTTTGTGTCCATGTGTTCTCATCACTTAGCTCCCACTTACAAGTGAGAACATGCAGTATTTGGTTTTCTGTTCCTGCATTAGTTTGCTAAGGCTGACAGTCTCTATATGCGAGGGCAGGGGTCTGGATCCACTCACATTAGTTAGACACAGTGTAGTTTGTTGAGTGGTTAAGGGCCTCTGCTTTTCACCTGTTCTGCCCAACCATGTGGGCTTTGGCAAGTTTCTAATTCCTATGTGTATCAGATCCCTTATCAAAGTGGGTGCTAACGATACTTTCTCCATAGTGGAAGGGGGTTTCTAGGAGCAAGTAAAGTAATAATTTAAATCCCACAGAACAATGCCTGGCCTATATTAGTAGTAGATACAAGTTAGCTATTTTTATTATTTTATCTGGTCTTTAATCTTTATGTAATTAGGTCAAAACTGGGACATATTTAATAGTGAAAGAGACATTTGTAAATATTTATGCTGATAAATGAAACACAGAGCAGAGTGTCTAGGGCAAGTCAGGCCATATGGTTTACCTAGCCATACTGATAATTTGCTGTGAGTTTCCTTTTACAGTTAGAGGTGCTTAACAAATTAAGTTTCTTAATTCTTTGAAGTTGTTTTTTTCTTCTTCACAAGTAGTTACTCATCACATATAGTTTGATTCTGGCAGCTAGGATGGACACGACTGCCTTAGGCAGACTCTATTCATTTATTGTAGGTAGGTGGTGTTAGATAAAATTTAATTTGTCCTGAGGGTCCCTGCAGATGGAATTTAGCTAATTTAATGACATCAAATTCATTTTTTTGCTGCTTTTATTTAATGTGTAGGTACCCCCACTTGGAGGCAAAGTAGCCCAGCCAGGTTCAAATCACTGAGGAAATAGTATTTATACTTATCTCTATTTTTCCATGAGCAAGATAATTTCTGTCTTGGAAATTCCATGTTGTTGTGATGAAATTATGGCATGTTTAAATTATACGGCATGTGAAGACAGAATGAGAGAAGCAGAACCCATTCTCTAAATGACATGTGATGCATTTTATTTAATTGTTCATATATTGTATGCCCTTTGTTCTGGCTGCACTCTTATCTTCCTCCTCCCAATTTTAAAGAAGTAGTGCATTTTTTTCTCGTCTTTGCCTTTTGCACCATGATAGGCTATCACTGATAGCATTTGTAGCCCCAAATTCCAAAAGTTTGCTAAGAGCAATTTTAAGGCATGAGTGGTGCCCTAGTCAAGGTTCAATTAGAGAAGCAGCTCCATGATAAGTGATATAGAATAAAAAACTTGGTAGTGACTAGACATTATATAACTCCAGTTAGGCAGTCTATGTAAGCCTGTTATACCTGCATCTGGTGACAAGCCTAAAGTCAGGAAGGACATATCTGGGAAGGGCCAGTAGATGTAAAGTAGAGGAGACCAAAGAATAATAAGGACCCTATAAGTGAAACTGGAACCATGTTTGTCTCTCACTGCCTCCAGGATCAATGATGCAGGTGATCTTCAAGTAAGCCAGCCCCTTCTGCACATATCTTAGCCCAGGATTCTGCACAGTTGAAGAAAGAGATCCAATAAGCCTGGCTGCTGTCCCCACTCACAAGATGAGCTAGAACATTGGCAACTACATAAGAGAGTGGCAACAGGGCCTTCCTGACAATGTCTTAGACCATAAAAATGCCTTCTCCTTCACTTGTGCCTAGCTAATTTCATGAAATTTATCTTGTGACCAACTCACCCAGGCACCTGTTGGAAAAGGAATTTTGGGAAATGTAGTTCTAGCTAAGCTAAGCTGACATACTATAAAGCCACTGCAAATGGTTTTAATAAGATTCACGTTGCTGATGTAGACTGAAAAGTGCTTAACTGTTTGCTTTTCTTAACTATTCTTGTCGAGGATCCAATGAAGTCTCTTGTGGCTAACCTCGGTGACCTACTTATTGTTTGAGATCTACCTTCTGCCAAAATTTAGTGGTGCCACGGCAGACCACCATGTAACTTTAAGACATCATTCTTCCCTCTCTCCCCCACTTCAGGAGTAATATGTAAATCAAAATTGTAGAGAAATGATTTGGGTCACTATCTGTTTAGGAGGGAGAATGTGATTAATAGTGAAAAATGCTGACTCCTGAGATTAGCCCAGATTTACACCATAGCTCATCTTCCTTCTAGTTATATCCCATGAGACAAGTTACTCAACCTCTCTACTTCAACTTTCTCATCTATCAATGGGGACAATAATCATTGTCAGGTATGGGTATCAAGTATTTCAAACATAGTACTTAGATCACTGCTATGCTTAATAAGTCTTGGCTAATGTAATTACACTAGAAATTTACTCAAAAACATTTAGTTGTACAGAATTCATCAAAGTCCTCTTGATTAGGAAAAGTAATCTTTCTTGCCTTTTTAAGATAGCTTGATATTTAAAAGAAAATGCTATGTTGGCTATGAGTCACTGTTTCCATACCACAGTTATCATTTCTTTTCCTATGGGATAATTTTTTCTTAAACTGATTTTGTTATTAAAGAAGCTGGCCTTGCCTATCTGCTTTAACCAGCATGACAATGAACAAAATTAAGATGTTCATTATCTTCTTCCCTTCCCTTATTTCATGGATTTGGATAAGTGGGTTTGGCCCTGAGAAATTGAGAGGTCAGTCCGTATATTACCAGTTGATTAAGGCTTTTTAAAAATCACATCTCCTTGGCTGGGCACAGTGATTCATGCTCGTAATTCCAGTGCTTTGGGAGGCTGAGGCAGGAGGATCCCTTGAGCCCAGGAATTTGAGACTAGCTTGAGCAACATAGCAAGACCCTGTGTCTAAAAAAAAAAAAAAAAAAAAAAAAATTGGCCAGGCATGTTGGCATGTGCCTGTAGTTCCAGCTACTTGGTAGTTTGAGGCAAGAGGATTGCTTGAGCCCAGGAGAAGTTACAGGGAGGTTAGAGGGAACTATGATAGCATCACTGCACTCCAGCCTGGGCAGCAGAGTGAGACCCTGTCTCAAAAAGAAAAAAAAAAAAGACCACGTCTTCTTCTAAAAAAAAAAAATTTTAGCTGTGCTGAATACAAACACACCCACATACAGAAATTTTCCACTGATTTTAGGAACGACCAATAGCCCCTAAATGTCAATTTCTTGATGTGTGAATAGAGCCGGCTTGAAACTCATTCTAGGGAGCACTACTCTGTACTCACACTTTAAAGTGTACCCACACTTCATTGATATGTGTTAACGAGATGTGGCTAGAAAACTAGGCAGCTGTCTTGCTGAGCTTTCAAAGGAGCAGATTGAAACTTGGAGCCAAGCTTGTCCATATTTGACCATTTTCACCTTGTGAAGTTGTGATGGAATTTACTACCATGCATTAGGTGGAAAATATGAGTAACTGCATTTGCTTCAGTAAGTAAAATATATATTTTATTATTATTCTTAAAGTTGGGGAAATTTATGTTTTCTAGCTTTGTTGTACATAGATCAAAGAAGAGACCCTCATTTATGCCAGATTTCATGATATATTAAATGAGCTATTTTTGCCTAGATTATGAGGTAACCAAAACTCTTTTTAGTTTAATTTTACGTTTAACTGGATTCAGATTGCTTCAACTGAAGAGTCAAAGGGCCTGACCTCTAATTCATTAACATAATCAGAAGCACATGTAAGCTACTGGCTGCCAATCTGTTTGCAAGTCAGTGACTACGGGGTACACACAGCAGTCTTAGATGTTTTCCTCAGTGACATTCTGGGGATATTCTTAGGTGCACAGGCAGGAAAAAAAAATAGAGAAAGAAACAAAGAGAAAGGAAGAAATTCCACGATGTAAACCAAAGTTTTCGTACAAACTGGAATCCAACTTTCTATAAGACTTAAGTCAGTTGTTTCTTTAGGTGGAGGAATCATAGACATGATTCTCTCCTTGCTGTCACAAATATTCTTCCTTGGGTTTTATTTATTCTACAATTTGTAAAAATTCTAGTGGCAGGTGATCATAATAGCTCCTCATGAGACAAGGTCTCTTGTGAAGTACTAGTTCTCCAAGCAAATTAACTTTTGGTAAGAATTTAAATAGGAGAGAAGGAAAATATAGGACTTCAAATACGTCTCCTGATACACATGGAGAGTTTAGAAGAGCAGAAAGAAAATCCTTTGTTGAGATGAAACAAGAGCACATTAAAGTGGGTGACGGCTGAGCCCTGTCTGTTCCTTAGAGACTCTGCCCTGCAAGGACTTTCCTGAATGCACTCCTTTCTAGCTTACATTTTACTTTGTAAAGCAAGTTTCATTCTTGCAGAGGATAAAAAAAGTGGATAAAAAAAGTATCAAACAAAACCTTAGAGAAATAAATTAGATATAGTACAAGTCCGACTTTTATTTTCTTTCCCTGCCATCGGGCAAAAAGAACCAAAATATATGAGATACCATTAATGTTGCAAACACTGTACAGAAATGAAGAGAGAAGGACATTGAAACCACTGACTCCGCAACATAGTAACGGCAAGCTACTATGGTAGCATTCTTTATTCAGCAATATTATTCAATATTTACTGAAGTGTCATAAAGAGGAATAGTTTGCATTTGTCTGTTTGGTTTTGGTGTTGTAACTCCTCCTCCCCATTATATGACAGCATCCTTATTGCTGATCCTCTCCAATTATTATAGTGCCTTATTGCCTTGCTTATATCTGTAACTAAACAAAGAGAGATTTGTCCCTGTAGACAAATTTCATGTAGGATATCTTAGTCATTCTCTTATTTACATTGCTTTCCCTTTGCACTGTAATTCTCCAAATCATAGTCACGTATTGTACATAAAATGTATGTCTTTGTCTCACAAGTCAAGGGCAAGAGAAATTTTGATGTATTTGTGATCCAGAAACACTCTTCATTCTTAAAATGATCTAAGAGAATAATTCAACTACTTCACCTGTAAGCATTCTTTGTGAAGTTATTTTAATATTACCCAGAATCTATTTGCCAACCTTGTTTTCTCCCAGATACGTGTAGGTGAGCCATATAGAGTTTTATTAACACACTCCCTGATTCAGCAACTGGTAAATAGTAATTATTCAATATTTTGAATGCACTGGTCTGTTATTTTATATAAAGCAGCTGAGATTGAATGGGAGCATACCTAATGGCCCATGTCTGAAAATCCAGTGCCAAACTTGCATAATTAATTCTCAGGAACCAGCACGTGTTGCCCACTTCACAGAATATTTATCATTCATTCTATGCTCGTCTCCCTCTACTAATCACTTACTGCATTTTCACCTTCCTTTCCCATTACATTCCTCAAGTGGACTTTTTCTGTCACTTCCCAAAACTCTCAAGTTGCTTAATTTCTCAGTTTTCCTGGGAGCACTGTTGTTATTAGCTGTGTCTTTAGCCCGTACAAAATCCTTTCATCCGTCCTATTTCTGAGAGTCAGACCTAGGGCCAATAGAGGGAAGACTTTATAGTCAGAAGGAATCAGGTTTAAATGCCTGCCAGCTATTACCTGTGTTAACATTAAAAAGCTGATAAATCCTATAGGGACTTACTGTCCTCATCTATGAAATAAAGTGATACTTGCCTTGTAAAATTCTTATTTGTAGAACAGTCAATTTTCAATACATATCCTTTTTTATACTCTTATTTATGTTGCCTCCCTCATTCCTGACTTTATTATTTGCAGGCTTCTTTTGTTTCTTTGCCCATGAATATCGCATTCTTTCATTTAACCCCATTGTTACTGCCCAGATGTGGCAAGCACTCCCCTTCCAGGTGATTTCCCCCACAGCTCCCCAGTTATCATTATTAAGAACTATGAACTTGAAAGGTACAAAGTGGTTTGTCATGTTTATGTCTTATTTATATTTTTGGATGATCTGGCATTGAATGTATGAAAATGTTTGTCTTTAATCTTTAGTTCTCTACTGTAAATAGTAGAACTTTGTACTGATTCTTGATAACCCTGTTTCCCATCATTGTTTTGCCTAATGGTTGGACAACAAATAGTTGTCTCCATTCTCATATAGCTGGAAAAGAAAACGGCCTTTAAAGTGAAGACTAGTATTTGGTAGTGCTTTAGTGCCTTGTTATTCTAGGCATGGTCCTGGGATCATCAGCATCAGTGTTTGCATGGGAGCTTGTTAGAAATGCTGAGTCTCAGGCCCTAGCTAGACCTGGTGAATCTGAATGTTATATGATCCCCAGGTCATTGCTATGCACAGCAGATTTTGAGAACTGCTTTACAGCCCATTGATTAAAAGAAGTGAAAGCGATTTTTGAACTGGAAAAAAGTCAGAAAGATAGAGGCAATATTTAAATGTCATTCATGAACTAGGGAATGTTGGGAGTAGGGGAGAACTGAAAAGAAGTCTGAATTTTGAAACCTCCCATAAGGTAAATGATAAACTGATTGCCAATATAAGGGACAACTGATGAAATCTAAAGGTAGATTTTTCTGCTTAGAGCTGAACTGAAGCCATGAAAAATGTTGTTAGTAACTAGCCTGATGTTTTAAAAAAAGAATTACCAAGTGACATATTTCTAGATTAAAAGGAAATATTAAAACTGGCTTTCAATATTTAAAGCTTACTTAACTAGTAACACTTGCTTGACACTGACTCATGTCATTTTATTTCATTCTTCTTTTGATCCATGCAAATAGTTACAAGATTTAAGATATACTATCATGTCACTTTTTTGAATAGATTAGATAAAAGAATTTTTTAATACTGGGTGATAAACCCTATGGCCAAGGCTTCACGATACTTGCAATAAAGCAGTGAATCTAGGCAAGAAGAAAGCCATATTTTCCTTTTTAAAATAATGAAAATGCATTATTTCTACCTACTATTTCAATATTGTGCTCACTGATAATTAATGAGAAGTCTTGTGGCCACTTATTTGAGGTATTTCCCTGCATGCAGGAGTTGTCCATATTAATTTTATTTACAGGATCAAAAAGTGACAAACCATCAGTATTGCTTCCCCTTTGATTATTAAGATGCGAAGGATATCATGAGAAGTATTAACATAAAATCAAAGTAGTCCTTTTCTGCTTTATTTTAAATTTGCTCAGGTTTTTTTTTTCTTTTTCTTTGCTTTACATTTAAAGAACTAGGTTCCTTTCCCATACTTGGTATGTAGTACATCTTTTTTCTCCGAGTTAATTCTCCAAGTCTGGTCTGTCAGCCAGTATAAACAACACTTGATGAATGAGACTCAAGGTGTTTAGTCACCTGAAGCAGCTGTTTGAAGTAACTCTACACACAGCCTGAGGCCTGTGTTTTCACAGCTGTGAGAACTCTTCAAAAGCTTTCCCTCTTGGCCTAGCTCTTTGCTGTGGCTTTAAACTCTTAGCGCAAAATCTGGACTATTTCAAAAGAGCAGAATGAAACTAGAGACAGTAATTTTGCACGATTTCAAGCCAAAAATGGCCTAAAATAAATAAATGAAGTACATTCGAAAGTGCTTTACCTAGGTGGGCTATATATCTGAGAATTGTTCTCCTTCCTACGTACCCATATACTCTCTTAACAGGGAGATGTGTGGCTGAAACACTATGCTCTGTTTATATGGCAGTATTTTCATTTTCTTTTCTGATTCTATGACACTGAGGCTAAAATCTTATGAGCTTGGAACTATATGTACCTGAATTAAGCTCAGGGAATTGCTGGATGTTTGATAGAGTTCCAGGCTCATAAATCGACCTAAGGTGATTAAAAAATGGCATTCTTTGCCAGCCTGCTTAGGTGATTCACGCTTTTGAAGTTCCTCTGATGTCTTCTATTGGCCTGGCAGACTTAACTCATGGAGCAAACTTAATGTAACCACTGTATTTGTTATAAGGCTTCAGATTTGCTTGAGCTTATTTCAACAACAGCTGTTTTTCACCATTTTATATATAATAAAAAAGACATAGTTGCTTCTCACAAAGAATCATGAACTTCTCTACTAGAAATATGTAAGGACCATTTTTATTCAGAATGACAATCATGTTTTTTGTTCGTTTTAATTTAGGGATTTGATTTCTGAATTTGGAAAATGACTATTTCCTTTTTGGAGCTACTTGGCACCATGTCAAGTGAATAAAACTTGCCTTTTATACAATTTTCATGTGATGAAAATATTCTTCCAACTAGTCTCCTCTACTTAATTCAGGAGAATCATATGTATAGTTTATTCATTCACCTACAAATATGTATTGTGTCTGACAGATGCCAAGAACTAGATTACTGAGAATATAGAAGATATACATGGTACTTGCCACCACATGGGTTAATATCTAATGGGAAAAAAAAGATGCATTACATAAGTAACAAAATAAATGAGTGTCTTACAATCAAGAGAAGTCCTACAAAGGAAGGATCAGGATACCCTGAGAGCAAAAAATTCCCAATGTCATCTATCTTAATTTGTCTGAGGTCTTTGATTTTAAGATCACATTAAAATCAAAATAGATAATAAACTTTTATTATATTATCATCTTAGTGCATTGGTTATTAGAAGAAACTCTACTTTTAATCATTGTGGTTTTCATACTGACACATATGGTACTTTGACTCTTACGTGTTTTTTAATCATGTTAAAATTTAAATTCATTTTTATTATCCTCAAATACATATATAAAATATTCAGAGTACCTGACATAGAATTGAGACTCTATGAAATTTATGCCACTTTGTTTAGCCATAGCTCCTGCTCTGAATGAGTTCCTAAGACACAGGTGGAGGTAGGTTAAATTCATCCATTCATTTCTTTATCTGTTCATTGCTCAATTATGGACTGCCTAATCTATGCCGTAATTGTTTCTGGGAATACAAAAATGAATAAATTACAGATCTTGTATTTGTGACCTAATAACAATTTCTGTAACTGATGAACCCTAAAGTTCTGATGGCCTTACAGGAGTGGACACATTATAGCTTAAGGGTCACTGCCTGGTTTTGTTCACCACTTGCCCTAAGAATGACTGTTTCTTTTTTTAAATTATTGAAAAAAGAATCAAAACAAGAATACTATTTCATGATGAATGAAAATTATATGAGCTCCAAATTTCAGTGCTGTGAATAGTTTTATTGGCCCACAACCACATCAATTCATTTACATATTGTCTTTAGCTACAATGGCAGAGATGTGTAGTTGCAACAGAGGCCACAGGACCCACACAGCTGAAAATATGATCTAGTTCTTTGTAGAAAAAATTTCTTGAGTCCTGACCTAACATAAGAAAAGTTTATTTCTTATTTACAAAGCAGTTGTCCCGAGCCACAAGTGTTCCTCCTCAAAATAGTGATTCAGGGACCAAGAGTTTGTCTACTTCTGGTTTCTGGTAGCTGTCTTTAACATGTTGTCTCACAATTGCTGTGCTTATTTGCAACAGGCTATAGGGAAAAGAACATAGAGAATGATGTATGAGCAATTTTTTTGAACCAGGCCTGGAAATGGTACACATTGATTCAGCTCACAATGTTTTAGCTGGAACTCAATCCTGTAGCCACACTTAACTGGAGGTGAGACTGGGAAAAACAATCTAGCTATATGACAAGGAATAAGAGGAAAAAAGATTTAGGCATCAGCTACCAGCCTCTGCTATAATCTTTTCCCTAAAACGTCTTAACAATTAGAGACAAACAAATATGTAAACAAATTATATTATCCTGTTGATTTACTTAGTAGAGTTATACTACAGGAATGGTAGAGGCAGGGAAAGGGAATTATTTAAAGATTTCTAAGAGTGGTGAAATCAAGAAATTTACTGCAGAGGAAAGATAGAATATCATGTAAAAAACATAACATGATAATATAAGTTCCATCATAGAAGTTTATATAGAGTGCTAAAGAAACTTGGAAATGCTAGCAGGAATGTCTAACTTTGCAAGGGTGAATCAAGGAAGTATTTACAGAGGGGCTGTTATTTTTATGATGAAAACAGCCAATTACTGTTTATTGAGCACACATTAAGTTTAAGACATAACAGAAAATTTCCATGTACTAAATACCTTGTCAATCACCACAGATTTATTAGGTAGTTTTTATCCTCTATTTTATCAATTAAAATACTAAGATGAATTAAATTATTTCTGAGTTTATATTTCTAACAAATTGGGACTTTAAGTCATATCTTTCTGAGTCCAAAATTTACGTCCTTGACTAAATTGTTATATTGTATGTAGAGGAAGACAAATAGGAAGGGGTCACTCCTTGGAGAAGGTAATTTGTATATGTATAATGGGGTTTGATAAAATAGAATACTGAAGAACAGTAGATAATTACAGGTGACTGGAATATGTGATACAATCTGGGGAGAGGGAGATGATGAAGATATTAAAGGCTGGTTGGGCTTTAGTTATGGAGATTCAGGAAATATTTTTATGTAGGAGAGTGTCATGATCAGATCTGGGTTTCAGAGAAATAACTTAGCTGTCCAAGTAAAGGACATATTTGACTGGAGAAATTACTGAATTTTGAAGGGGTGGATAAATAAGCATATTTTGGAGAAGGGGTAATTTTTCTTAAAAAATATTATTCATGAAACAGAACGTTGATTATAATATTCCTAAACAACAAATATTTTAATGTATTTCATTTCAGGATAGAAATAACAAAGTAGTAGGAGCTTTTGGAAGTCACTTCATGTTTTTTTCTTAGTATGTGATTTATTTCGTTAGAGTACCAAAGTTACTGTGGACAAACTTATGAAGTAGATCGGATGCACAAAACACTTCGGGAAGACTAAGATCTTGATTATTTTCTTAGGTGGAACTTTTATGGAGACGAAAACAGCAAAAATGAAATCCCTCATGGACACTAATGCAAACGTTACCTGGCATTTGTACAAAAATTTTATGAGCTCTTTCTCACCATAAAGGGCAGTGTTTTTTTATTACTCAATTTAATTAAAACTTGTTCCAGAGACCACCTATGCAACAACCAATTCTTAGTTTCACAGTTCTAGCAGAGATTCTTACATCCCTAGTTTGAGGATCTTCAACATTTTCCCTCACGCTCTTTCGCAGGCTAGTGGAACAGACTACCGGTCTTCTTGAGAATGTTGTATCTTTACACCAACATTTTTTCACCTGGGCAATTAATATTTTGGCTTACGGATTTCATGTTTTTAAGACCTGGTATTTCTTTGTGCAATTGATTAGCTTACAACTACATGGTTTTAAATAGAGCTTGAATTTTATATTTTCCATATTTTTCAAGCATAAACACACTTTAGATATTAAATCAATAATATAAAATTTGAATGTGTTTTGCTCTAAAGCTATTCTATGCCAATAGGACCCTAGGGTATGTGTATGTTTTCTGAGCTACACGTAGTTGTGTTTTCTACTTTTCCATGCTTCTGTCAGAACCATGCGTTCTCTTAAAATGGTCTCTTAAGAGCAAGAAATTACCTAAGATCTATCTTTTGTTACTGCCATTGTTATTGATCAATGTAATGCCTGATATATAATCATCAAAAAGTAAATTTTAGCTAATATATTTTTAGGATGATAATAATGTCATGCTTTTTGAAATAGGAACCATGAAGGTTTGGATGGGAATGATGGTTTGAGGAGGATAAAGATTACCACCTTTCCTTAGCACTATAGAAATCAATGCTAATATTAGCAAAGTTTATATGTCTATATGTGTGAATATATAAACACATCAATATGTATATGAGGTATAAATATATACATATATCATGTATATTTAAAGAATGGAACTCCAACAAGCATTAATATTAATATCTATAATAAGAATTGATACCCAATCATCACCATCTGTCTTAGGTCAGGTTTTCAACAAAACAGGTTTTGAGTCAAAAATTTGAATCCAGGAAGGATGTATGAAGTTTCATCTTGGATAAACACCTTAGAGAAAGTATGGACAAAGGGATTGGGTAGAAGGAGATGTTGAATTTTTATGCTGTCATAACAGAGACCTTGGCAGGTCCCACAGGGAACTCAGATGCTTGCATGGCCTTGCAGACCTATCCTAAATTGACACAAAGGGGCTGAACTTTTGTAGGCTAATTAAGTGGTTATTGCTACAGTTACTGAATGTGGCCCAATCCCCAAGACAGGGTGATGACCTTGGGTGAGGCAGCTCCCTTCAATTTAGGGTAATCCTGAGAGAGAGATTCAGCTGTGGACTATCAGTAGCCAATATTCCTAGGATATGAGAGAACATGTACTTCAATTTCCAAGGGTTTATCTGGGCCTTACACCACAAAATCCACGAAAGTTGATCTTTTGTATCACTCAGACCCACTTACTTATTATAGTAAGTTTATCTAAACTGGATCTAGCTCTTTCATAATTCTAGTTGGTCACTTTTCCTGTGAGCATTTACCAAAAAATAAGATTAGTAAGGTGAAATACAGTCTTCACTAATGCAGCTGCTCTCAGGGCTACAATGATAACATTACCTTCTTCAAACACCCATTCTAGATTCCACACACCTTTGCCAGCACCTCTCCTCATCTCAAAGACTTCCCTAGTAGGAGACACAGACTCTCATCTTGAGAGGTATGAGGCCCTGATAATCACACACGTATCAGACAAAGGTTGCTGCACTCATCCTTTTATTGTTGGAACAAATGACTCAGCAGATCACTAAGTAAAACACATATATTTCCTTGACTCCTCTGAGCAATACAGCTCTATCACCTCCTGATGATCAGAGTCGATGACTCTTGCCAGAATGGTGATTCCTTTCTTCATCACTGGTCTGTTGGCAAGTGGAGCTCAAAGTAACTGGATGACAGTCATAGATTAAAGTTTAATGGGACTCTTTCTTTGTCCCCTAATAGTAGCATTCTTATTCTGAGAAACAGGTTCTCTAAACTCACAAATCTCAGAGTTACAGGGATAGTGCACACAGATTCCTCCAATGGGTTACGAGATATAATGACAAGTGAAATAACTCCTATGTTTATCTGGTTCTTGGACCCATGCATTAAATATATTGGAGAATTCACACCATACAATGATAATTAGTTTCGAATATAGTATGGTGCCCCATTCTTTACATTATTATCACCAGACTGGTCTTCATCTGTACCTGCAGGAGACTATTTCATTATTCTTACAGGCAGACAGTTTCTGGGTTACAGTATGTGATTGATTGGCTAATCCCATGACCTTGGTCTGATGTAATGTTATATGGGACTCTGTGTCTATGGACCTCCTATTTTGAGAGCCTTCAGTAGGTTCTGGCCAAGGACCTGTAGGCAGAAAAGGCAAATTACACACAGAATAAGTATTGTCTCTAATCCGAAGAATTTGCTTCTGTTACCTCTACTGAAGAATCAATGGGAAGTTTCTGCCAGCTACCAAATGTATCTACTCCAATTAGATACCCAGAGTTTGGAGATATGATCACTAGGTGCATCTATTTGTGCAAAGGACCCACAGTAAACTTGACCTAGACCAGGACTTCATTTATTATCTGCCTTCCACATACCCTCACTTAAACAGGCCTCTGGCTTTCAATATCAACTCAGACCCTTTGTCAAGCAATCCCTGAAAACTTTGGGTAGTCTCCTTTCACCAGCATAGAGAAAGGGAGATAGGAATGCATTCTGAGTGACGACGTGTTGTCTTGCAAGACAGAACTGTCTATATCATCTTCAAGCAAAGGGGTTAATATTAGATAATAGGAAGTGAGAGAGATCCATTTCTGTTCATGCAGGATTTCAGGGGACTGGGAATTCAAGATTATCAAGGGCATCCATCCAGGTATTCTAATATAAAGTCTTACAGTCCTCCTCTTTTCCAGTCAGCACCCTGACTTTTGTGTGTCAGATGTATCAGCATTGAGAATTGAACTTTTCTGGAATTCTGCTGTTTTAATGATTAAGTGCCGAATAAAATCTTCAGCTTTTCCTTTGCTCTAGCTGCAGGAGATCAGAACCTCTTTAGACACAGCTAAGAATAGCCTCAGATTTTCTCAGATTTTTACAATTATCCTTAAATTGGTGCCTAGTCATCCTCAGCCTTTTATCGTTTTTCTAAAATTCATCAGTAGTGCCCAGAAACAATTTTCTGATTCTAAAGTCTTCATAATTAATACATCTTCTGACCTTCACAATCACCTGGGATATTGAACCCATCAATGCATTCCCTTCCACTGATATCCCATATCAGTGTAGCTCTGGTGAGAGTTTTAACACTTGTACCAAACCACATGCCAGGGATTACCACTACTTCACCATGGCCAATAATGAGGTCCTTCCTGTCAGGCTGATGGCTGGTGTTCCAGATCCAAATCCCTTCTGAGAGTGTGTTTCCTTGGACTCATGTCTGGCACTAACTGTCATGGTCATGTTCTTAGAAAACAGACTCTGAGGTAAAGATTTGTGTGCAAGAAATTTGTTGGTAAGTATCCTCAAGTCAACACAGTAGGGGAGTGAAGAAAGCAGTGCTGGACAAAAGGAGAAAATAAACTGTGGACCACATCCAAAATCCTCCACCAATCCTAAGGAGCCTGGGGCTAGGTTCCTAAATAGAAAAAATAAGAAGGCCCAAATAGAAGAGAAAAGCCTGAGTGTTTGTAGTCCCCTCCTTACTTCATTGCCTAGTCATTGGCTGTCAGTGGCTCTTGAGAATAAGACATACATGTGAATAGGGCAGCCTCCTGACCTAGGATAATTCTCAGGAAGGGTTTCAGCTTTGAGCCAACAGCAGCCAACACTCCTGGCATCCTGGGAAATGAGTACAAAGTCTTGAAGTAAGGAGAGAGATGTGAGTGGTGTACCCCAAAATCATTAGCCTAAAACATTTTATCTACTAAATATGACCCAAATAAATTAACTCTTAAATTGCATTAAGTCATTATAAAAGAGTTTGAATGATCATTCTTATGTTAAGAAATGTTGTCTATGACATTGATTGAAGAAGTAAAGGAATAACTACACTGTTATTCCACCAAAGGCACTAATCATGAAAGCATATTCCCATAGACAGAATGATATAAACAGAGGCTAGGAAGAAAAGACTACCCCCATCCATAGTTATTGACTTCCATCCACATCTAGGAACATACATATAAGTACAAAATTGTACGTTGCATGTCCTCGAGGACTTGGTGGTCCTCTTTTCCCTCGTTTTTCAAAATAGTGATGAAGGAATAGTGTCCACTATTTTGACTATGAGAAATCACATAATTATCCAGCTTTAATAGTTTTAATCCAATTTTCTAGGCCCATGTCAACCATGTAGCTCTAAAATATGACAAGTTATAGCAAAATGAAGAGAAACAGATAGTAAATAACATAAATTAAGTATAAAACATGATTCTGTGATAATGAGTTCTATAATAAGAAAGTAGAGGCCGGGCATGGTGGCTCACCTGTAATTGCAGCACTTTGAGAGGCTGAGGTGGGCAGATCACTTGAGGCCAGGAGTTCAAGACCAGCCTGGTCAACCTGGTGAAACCCCGTCTCTACTAAAAATACAAACTTAGTTGGGTGTGGTGGCAGGTGCCTGTAATCCCAGCCTGGGCAACAGAGCAAGACTATCTCAAAAAAAAAAAAAAGTGGATAAAGGCATAGTGAAAGTTAGCATAATGAAATTTTAGATGGTGAGCATGTTACCCAAAGAATGTACCATGTCTGTATAGACCTGAAGGAGGTGAGAATAATCCATGCAAATATCAAGAGGAAGAGTGCCCCAGGAAGACAGTATAGCCAGTGTAAAAACCTTTGGTGAGTGTTCAAAGAATAGTAAAGAGTGGAGTGGGGGAGAGATGGAAGAGAGTATGATGTATAGTAGGAGTCAATGTGAAAGAGGTAAGAGGAACCAGATCCTTTAGAGCATAGTGTCTTTTAAGCCATTGTAAGGACCTTGGCTTTAACTTTTAGTGAGATAAGAAGTCATTTTGAGCAGAGGGGTAACATGATCTGATTTTGTTGTAAAAGAATCACTCTTCTCATTGTGCTAAGAACAGAATAGACTAGAAAGGCAAGGGTAGGAGTTGGAAGATCAGGCTAGTGTAATAATTCAAGCAGAGATAATCGGGAGAAGATGACTGTAGCTGTAGAATTTGTGAAAATTTGTCAGATTCTGTAGGTATTCTGGAGGGAGAGAGTGGCCAGAATATTTTGCAGAGTGTGAGTGAAAAAGAGTCAGGAATGACTCCAAATCTTTTGGATTGAGGTACTTAAAGGGTAGCGATGCCATTCCCTGAGATTGAGGAGATTGCGAAAGGGGAAAATTTGGTATTGAGACAAGACCAGGAGCTCGGTTTTGGCATGTTAAGTTTGACATTACTCTTAGATACCAAATTGCAGGTGATAATATCAGGAGCTGAATACATCAGCCTAGACTTTGAGGGAGAGGTCTAAGCTGATATATATGTTTAGGTGCCTTATTACATTAAAAAATTCTGAGGATGTAGAAAAACAAGAAACAGAACTAAGAAAGAGCCAGGCTGAGAGGTAGGAGAAAAACCAGGAAAGTGTTATGTCTTGGAAGACAGTGAAGAAAATGTTTTGAGAAGAATTTTTTTTCACTGTAATATGCAGTATATTCTTTAAATCCTATATCTAGGCAACCAATCTTGAAGAAGTATTTGGCTGAATGTCAGTAATCCAATAAGCCAAAAAACATTTTCTCAATATATTAGGTGCAAGTAAATAGGCATTACCTAGTCCTTAGCCGCTAAATTTGAGATGGTTCTATACGTTCATTCTTGCTGAGAGTTCAGGTTCCTGGAATAATGTGAGTATATCATTATATTAATAATATTCGTATGGAAGTGGTTTCATTTATTTTTCAACTTCTGTATAAAATGTTCATATTTATATTGCTTTTCATACTGAAGCAATAATGAAAGAAAATATATAAACCACCGATTCTCTATCATATGAAACTTAATACTTGAATTTTTAACACCTAGAATACAGAATAGATGATGGTCTCTAGAATTTAAGCTTTTCTTATATAAGCAAAGATTGTTTTCATTTTGTACTAAACAATATAGTGTCTTTCAAATCTCCTGATGAATTTGTGCACTGTCTCACAGCTCTCATTCCTCTCATTTTTTTTTGCTTTCACATTGTTAAGCTATAATGCCGTTAACATCTATTTCAAGTCGTCTCCCCTCTCTGGTGATTGATGGTAGATACAACAATTATGATGCCAATGCTGGGGATAATTCTTCACAGATGTTGTCAAATTACAGGTTAAATGGGGAAAAGAGTTTCTTTCTTCCGGCCACCCACTCTTCATTCCCTTGAAATAGGTGCGTGGTGCTGTGTATCCTGTGCTGTAGGTATGCCAATTCTCCACAGCCTGTCGCTCATCTGGTGTAAATGACTTCTATTTGCTATTTCAAAGAATGACAGAATGTTATGTTCAGAGTGCTTTGCAGGTACCAAAAATGCAGAAATTCAGCCTCGAATTTTAACTGGCAAAGGGAAGTCCGTTGGGTCTAGCACAGCCATTATGATATTTCTTTTATCATAAATCACATTTGCCATTGCTAATTAAAAAAAATAAAATAATAGGATGACTGTGATTTGCTTCAAAATTACATGGGAGAAAAAAGTAGCCTTCAATTGATAATTGTTAAAACTGGGCTGTTGATACATTGCGTCTATTTCTTTCTCTGTTTAACTTTCCATTAAAAACACACACACACAAAAAGGGTTTTGTTATTTTAACCCTTCATTAAACTATATGTTATCCTAAGGAGGAAATATAGAAATTCCATGGGTAATTCTTCTTTCAGTTATTTAAAATAATGAAGTCATATTTTCTTGGTCATTTAGTTTGGACCAATGGATTATGGTACAGCATTCCGTGAGTTTTGCATTTATTTTTCTAAGTGAGTTCATTGCAATTCTCAGCAGGGAAAGGGGAAAGGATTCGGGATAAGGGACAGAGCAAAGACAAGGAAACTTGGGTTGCCAAGTAAACAAGTAAGGTTAGAAAAAAAGGTTTGGGGATTTAGGTTTTAGCCTCACCCAACAGCTGATGTATTGTAAGCCAAGAAAATTTGATCTAAGTTTTAGTTGAAATTCCTCCACCTGGATAAACCAGGGGTAATTATTTGAGCTATTCCCATAGAGGTGACAGGAAGTTCTATTAATAAATGTGGGTCCAGAATGTAAAACTAAAGATGCTCCCTATCTCCCACTGGAGTGGGAATAATGAGGAATTTTTTGTTTTATGGCATAATTTGTTTTAAATACAGTCTTGCTACTCAAAGTGGAAATATTGTAAATGGCCATTTTTTTCTTTCTTTGAACTATAGGTCATCAAATGTTCATCTGATGTAACCCAATATAACTTGGCAACGTTTCATTAAAGGCATTCCACCAATAAAGTGGTCTATCATTTTTTTTAATCTCTAGAGAAACCATTGCCTTCCTTTAAATCACTTGCCAATACCTCAAACTATAATAATCAGGAAGTACTTCCAAGTGTCTAATTGAAATCCTTACCACTGTAATTTAATATAATTAACCTTGAATTTTCAAGGTATTTTCATCGATCTTATTTCATAATTCTTATTATTTTCTTAATGACTTAGATATAATTTAGGTTGTAATAGCATGGATGAGTTCAACTGTAAGACTTTCCAGAAAGAGGCTGAAAGAAAAAGAGAAAAAATGGAAATGGAAAAACCCAGGAATATGAAACCTACTCAGTAGCTTGACTATTATCTGATGGATTGCGCACAACCCAGGTTTAGCTCATACTAGATAAGGATTCAGAAGAACTCAACAAAATTTTGGTAGATCAATTACAAACATGTCCACAATTCTTCGTTTTCCCCTTTATTCATGCTCATTATAATATAGCTCTATAGCTTTTTTTTTTTTCCTCCACTAAACAGTCTGTTGTTTCTATTCTTGAATCTGTGTTGAACTGCCACTTGTTTAGGCTAATAGAAAGGACACTTTATTGGTCTCTCTGAGACCTCTACCAGTCGTATGTAAACAAGGCTAGGTTAGTCTGCATGAGGATTTAGGAAAAAATGGAGGAAATATGAGGTGCCCAAATGACAGTCAACCAATCCCAGAAACAGAGTCACTGGCCAACCGTAACCAAAGGAGACAGCAGAGACAAGAATAACTTTTTTCAGCCCAGCCCAAACTGTAGACCTGTAAAATTCTAAGTTAAATAAATAGGTATTGTTTTAAGTCACTGAATTTTGGATTCGTTTCTATCACTGCAATAGAAAACAGATACAGAGATGCTAAAATCATTGGCAAAAAAGTTTGAGTTCTAGGTGAAACTCCTTTTCTAGTGGAGATGGTACAGTCCAAATCAGGAAACACAGTCACATAAATTTGAAAATATTGATAAAGTAGAGTGAATGGTTGCAACTCTGGCTGTGTAGTTGACCCCAACTTTTGAAGCTGTTAGCCACCCTGCTTAATTTAGTGTTATTGACAAATAGCAAACTTTCTTCCCGTGTTTCTCATAGGAAAGAGGGCTGCCATTTGCATGCTGTACTTGACAATTGTATGTTAGAAATTGAAGATTAAGGTGTTTGGGGTCCTAAGCATTAAGTGTCAGTAGGACTTTATAAACCAAATCATTCCCAGATGTTTACAAAGTTCATTAAGATAATGCAAAACCCCAACAAAATAAAAATAAATGTTAATGTCTTATTGATGAGGGAAATTGTGTTTGTTTACCTATGTGACTTTGAAAAGTGAATGGCTATTGTTCTGATTGTGGATATGAAAAATTGAAAAGTAGGAACTGCATATTCTGTTGTTCACTCTAAACAGCCAGTACCTTTCACAGTCCCTGGCACATAGCATTGAATAAGTCCTTTTAGATTGGCTAACTGGAAGGAGAAATTTAACGGTTCTTGTATTGAAGTATTCATTCAAATCTATTTCAAGTACTACTTTCAGAGTTTACAGAGGCCAAGAAAATTATCTAGGCAGCCAATGTGATCTCATTTAAAGTGAATGTTTTTACTATCTAAATAAGGGAATTGGAAACGGACTATGGGAACTCAAGTTACTATGGGTTCTAATCTCTACACAAGTATTTTCTTATTTGATTCTCTGAATAACCAATAGTACATTATTATCTTTATCTGTATTACATGACAACAACAAAAAAGAATAAGGCCAAGGCATTGAGGAAATACTAGCTTAACTAAAACTTATCAACATACTTCTTTTTAAATCAGTTGAGCTAATTCTGTCCTCTGTTCCTAAGTCAGATTTTTACTCACTGATATAACTAACAATGAGAAATTTTTTTAAAATGGGTGTTTTAGAGAGTCATCTGTTAAAGAAAAAGGTAAAGTCTCACCTTCAGGTAGTTTATATACTGGTAGAAAACTCTGATCATATATAATAACAGTGAATAACATAAATTCAGGTTAAAAAAAGTGGTTCAAACACAGTGTTACATGATGGAGTTAGGAGCTCTTTGAGATAAGAGTCTTGGAAAAGGCCTCTCTGAGGTTTACATTTGAGCAGAAATTTAAATTCTGTGGAGTCACTACCAAAAAGTGGCAGGGAAATAAGTCAGTAGAATACCTAGATAAAGTGGACAGCCCAATGGTGAGCACCCAATAAACACTCTGCCTGTATGTAGCTTTTATTAAACTATTATTGTGTTTTTGAATTACCACATCAAATATATCCGCCATCTGCATCCAAAAATAAAAATTAATATACATTTAAACATCTGCTGATATGCCATGTATTTACAAAATTAAAGTTTTAAATATATTAAATGTATTAGTTAAATATTATTAAATTTATCATTCATTAATAAAACAGATTCAGATCTATCATTGTTATCTCAAGTTAGAAAGCATATAATTTTATTTTTTATTGTATAAACTCAAACACATACAATTTAGGAAGACAAAGATAAGGGATATGAGAACCAAATTTGCAATTTGGCTGGGGTTGGATGAGACAGGTAGTAAACCGGCAATTAGAGTATAATGTGTGGTCTCTTCAAAGATAAAGACATGGTTTTCTCAGAGCCAAGAGGAAGGGTGTTTCAGATAGTTAATGTCAGTAATGGTTTTACATTCAAAGTGCCTTCTGAACTGTCTAGATAAATTATTTTTTTAATAGAGGTTAAAAAATTAGCTGGGTGTGGTGGCACATACCTGTAATCCCATCTACTCCATGGGGCTGAGGTGGGAGGACTGCTTGAGCCTGGACAGGTCTAGGCTGCAGTGAGCTATCATCACACTACTAGACTCCAGGCTGGGTGACAAAGTGAGACCCTGTCTTGAGGAAAAAAAATTTTTTTTGAGGTGAAATTGTTGTAACATAAAATTCACCATTTAAAATGTACAATTCAGCAGGATTAGTACATTCACAATGTAGTGCGATAGTGACCTCCATGTAGTTCCAAAGCATTTTTGCCACCCCCAAAGGAAACCTGGTACCCATTAAGCAGACACTTCCTATCCCGTCCCACCTCCAGCCCCTGGTAACCACTAATATGCTTTCTGTCTCTTTGGATTTAGCAATTCTAGATATTTTTTATAAATGGAAACATATTATATGTGACCTTTTGTGCCTGCCTTCTTTCACTTAGCAAGTTATTGGGGTTTATCCATGTTGTAGCATGTGTCAGTACTTCATTTTTTATATAGCTTAATAATATCCCATTGTATAGATACACCACATTTTATTTAACCATTTATACGTTAATGGACATTTGGGTTGTTTCAACATTTTGACTATTGTAAATAGCACTGCTTTGAACACGTGGATGAGTATTTGAGTACCTGTTTTCAATTTTAGGGGGTGTATACCTAGGAGAAGACATGCTGAGTCATATGGTAATTCTATGTCCTTGATAAATCCCTAATTTAGGAGTCCATAAGGTAAAGAAGATGCAGAAAGGACATTCTAGGTAGAAGGAATGAGGGAATATGAGAAGGCATGACAAAATGCCACTTTTGGGGGCATGTACTATCAGACATAGCAGCAGCAAAGGGCAAGCGTAAGGGAACACTAGGGAATAGCACAGCTGCTTTCTCACAAAGGATGCTATGTATTAAAGAGCTTGTACTTTACTCTATGGAGAACTTTCATGATAAAAATTCCAACTTTCAGACTTAGATACACCTAGTCCATGAGTTAATCCCAGCAAAAGCAGGGAGCATATATGAACCACAAGTGTCTAGATTGATTTCTGTTTCTAAGCCTGAATGTGAAAACATATTAAACTATTGGCCGGGCGTGGTGGCTCATGCCTGTGATCCCAGCACTTTGGGAGGCCAAAGCAGCTGGATCACCTGAGGTCGGGAGTTTGAGACCAGCCTGACCAACATGGAGAAACCCCATCTCTATTAAAAACACAAAATTAGCCGGGGTTGGTGGTGCATGCCTGTAATCCCAGCTACTCGGGAGGCTGAGGCAGGAGAATCGCTTGAACCCATGAGGCAGAGGTTGCGGTGAACCGAGGTCGTGCCATTGCACCCCAGCCTGACCAACAAGAGTGAAACTCCATCTAAAAATAGATAAATAAATAAATAAACTATCACCTGTAGTGGAGATCACATGGCAACCAGTACAGAGAGATACATGATAAGTTTTGTGGTTTTGTGGGGTGGAAGAGTCACTATTGGTAACAATAAGGATGATAGATCATGGGACCGTGATGAGGATGATGTTACATTTAAAGGCAAATAGAAAGTAAGTTGGTCAGGTAAATGTGCTGACAGCGTGAACCAAGGCAGTGCTGGTGGAAATTATGTGGAAAAATCGTATTGTAAAGATCTTAGGGGTTAGAAATCAGTATTTTTTGCCTGGTTGGATTTGGTGTTTGGACACGTGATGAATGTCAGAGATGATTTCTTGATTTAGATATGACAAGGACTAGAGGGAAAATTTATGAGTAGCTCTTAGTATCCCCGATTGTGTGAGCCAATATAAAGATTTACCCAAAGAAGACAAATGTTGTTTTGTTTAAATTACCTCATGATAAGCTAGCAAACCAACAGCTTCTTTTTTCCTAGTACACAACTTGGAAAACCCCTCCACAAATTGCTAGAGATGCTTTGTGGAAAGCCTATACCATTCTCACTTGATAAACTAAAACTGAATCATTTTCATTGTGAAAATATAAGTGATATATATGACAATATTACAGTCAAGGTTCTTTGGTATCATTCCGTGCGCATCCAAAAACTTAAGGTTTTTAAGTGTATTGCTTACGTGAATGGAGGTAGGTGAAATAAACATTAGAGTCCAGAGAAATACTGAAGAAATAAAGCAATGTATTTCAAATTATCTATGAGTCTATGGTTTAACTAGAGTCTCTCCAGTTTGGCATGATTGACATGTTGGAACAGGTAATTCTTTGTTGTAGGGGACTAACCTACTGTGCACTGGGGCATGTTTAGAAGTATCTCAGATCTCTACTCACTAGAAACTCCCTCCAGTTGTGGCATTCAAAAACGTCTTAGATATTGCCAAGTGTCTCATGGGAAGTAAATTCATTTTAGGTTGAGACCCTCTAATCAACCACAAATGGTGGAAATGTCAAGTGTTCATTTAACCAAAATGTTTTCCTTGTGATATACAATACTGATCAATTAATTTGCAAGATTTGTTTTGCTTATTTTCTCTCTGATTGAATGCTTCAAGTTTACCAGTTGACATTGTAACCATAGTCAGTTTAAATAATGACAATGTCTAGTATCATGACACATGATATTGTCATTCAACAATTCATTCAACAAGTTTTGATTATTGATTGCCATCTGCTTACATTGAATAGTGTTAAATTTTTGAAGGAAACAATAAGTGCCAGTTAATCAAATAGTTAATAATGGCTGTGAGTTGGGCTCTGGTGGTCCCCAAATATCTATATAGGATTTTTTTGTTTGTTTGTTTGTTGTTTGTTGTTTTTTGTTTTTTGAGATGGAGTCTTGCTCTGCCACCTAAGCTGGAGTACAAAGGCGCGACCTTGGCTCACTGCAACCTCTGCCTCCTGGGTTCTAGCAATTCTCCTGCCTCAGCCTCCTGAGTAGCTGGGACTACAGGCGCACGCCCCCATGCCCAGCTAATTGTTTGTATTTTAGTAGAAACGGGGTTTCACCATGTTGCCCAGGCTGGTCTCGAACTCCTGAGCTCAGGCAATCCACCCACCTCGGCCTCCCAGAGTGCTAGGATTACAGGCATGAGCCACCATGCCTGGCCAGGAATTTTTGAATGAAGATTTTATTGATAGATATAAATAAAAGATTTAGTATAAAATTACTGATAGCAAGCAAAGTGTCTTTGTTGTTGAAGTTGGACTGTACATTGATCCTTGAACAATTCAAGGATTAGGGGAACCAACCCCCTGCATGGTTGAAAAATTCCTGTATAACATTTGACCTCCCAAGAATTTAACTAATAATAGCCTCCTGTTGACTGGAAGCCTTACCAATAATAAACAATTTATTAATATATATTTTGTACATTATATGTATTATATACTGTATCCTACAGTAAACTAGAGAAAAGAAAATGTTAAGAAAATCATAACGAAGAGAAAATACATTTATCATTTATTAAGTGGAAGTGGATCATTGTAAAGGTCTTCATCTCAAATCATCTTCACATTGAGTAGGCTGAGAAGGAGGATGATGAGGACTGGTTTTATTGTTCAAGGCTCCATTGTGTTTTTATTTGTAAAGACTTATGAGAAAAAAGCTGACAGTACCTCTGGGGGTGGGGAGGTCTGAATTCGTCTCCCATTCATGACTCTACTGGAGCTGAAGATAATGCAGAACAAGCACTTAAAATGTAGTCCTAATGACAATCAAAATGAGAATGAAAAGCAAGAACAGGTTTTGCTGGAGAATATCCCTTGAAAAGGTTGAGTCTGGAAAAAGATATAGCTATTGATTGGATGGCAGCATCTCTTTCTTAGGATGACCTAGAAGAAACATCTTCTTAAGTGACAGTATGTGACTGAAAATGACAGAGGTTCTGTATAAGAGAGTTTAAAGAAATTAGATTGACTTGGCTGATAGAACTTCTTTGGCATGGTGCTGCTTGACCAAACAACTCAAATTCTGAACTATGAAGTTTATATTTGAATTTCTACATGACAATACATTTTACATTCACACACAAGCCTACCTCATTGTACTTTCATTGTATCATTAATTCATTGAAAATAATTTAGCCCACCAAGACAAAGATTGAGATCGATTCACTTTTTAGCTTTGTATATAGCAGATTCTATGCTAGAGGCTTTGAATCAATGGAGAATATCACAAAATCCATAGTCTTTAGAACCTTCCAATCTTGGGGAAGGGATTAAAAAATAAGCTATGAATCACAGGTATAGGTAAATGATATAAATAGAGAAATGTTTAAGCTATAAGGAGAAAAACACTAAATCTACTTGAATAAAAAGTTTATTTAAATTTAAGATTTTAGTTGTCTTAAAGTATGAGTAGTACTTCCCAATATGGAACAAAAAGGAAAAGGCTTTAGATGAAATAAGAAAACATCTGGAGGCAGGTGAGTATGCAGCATGTTTAGAAAAGTTAAAGTAGCTTGATGTAATTGAAATGAAATACAGAGATTGGCAGAAGACAAATATGGAAAAGTATAAAAGAGCCAGATCATGACGGGCACCCAATGCCAAGGTAGTGATTTAAGTCTACCTTGTAGTCAGTTAAGAGCGGTTGAAACAGGGAATTATTTCATGATATTTGTGTTTTAAAATACAAGCCTTTATGTGAAGCATACATGGAAAATGGAGGAAGATAAGATGTAGTTTAATTAGCTAGGAGTCTGTTGTAAAACCTCAGAAAACATATGAAGAGGGCATGCACAAAAGCAATGGCGCTTAGGATGGAGGCACAATCATGAATGGACTTGATGGATAAAGTGATCATCTAGAAAAGACATGAAGAAAATAAATGTGTTATGCCACTGTAAGGGCGTGCAAAATAGAACTGTAGCAAAGACTATCTGTTTGCAAAACCTATTTCCTCCCTTTCTGGGCATAGGATTAGACTAAATATTACAGCTTCCCTTTTGGTATGTGGTGGCCATGTAACTGAGTTCTGGCTAATGGAATGCAATGAAAATCTCTTCCAGACCAGACCCATGTTGTTTCCTCTTCCACAGGGCAGGGCTATCATGGTGGCATTGGACGCCATCTTTTGAAGATGGATAAAACTTACAGGATGGACAGATCCAATGTCCCTGAAGTACTACTGCTTGAAAAAAAGGTGCCCCAAATCAAGAACATTTAATTTTTACTTTACATCAATGAAACATAAACTTTGGGGTTTGTTTATTTGGGCAACTAACAATATCTTAACTGATGTAAGGCCTTAATTCAAGAAAGTCCACCATGAAAATGAGGGTTTTTTTTTTTTCTGTATTTATCATGGTATCTCTCCATAACTGTAGATACCCATAACTAGAGTACATATATATAGTATACAACACATACATTTACATTATTGTTACTACAAATTTTTATTTAAAAACATTCAACGCTGACTTTCTAGGACAATAGGGCTGGGTGAGGTGGCTCACCCCTGTAATCCTAGCACTTTGGGAGGCCGAGGCGGGCAGATCACCTGAGGTCAGGCGTTGGAGACGAGCCTGGCCAACATGGAGAAACCCCCTCTCTACTAAAAACACAAAAAATTAGTGGGGCGTGGTGGCATGTGCCTGTAATCCCAGCTACCCGGGAGGTTGAGGCAGAAGAATTGCTTGAACCAAGGAGGTGGAGATTGCAGTGAGCCAAGATTGTGCCACTGCACTCCAGCCTGGGTGACAGAGTGAGACTCTGTCTCAGAAAAAAAAAAAAAAAAAAAAAAGAGAGAGACCCCCGCCCAAAAAACAAATTTAAGCTCACTTGTACCTAATATAACAAGTAGGCTATGCCCCATAACAATAGAGCAATCCCCCAAAACAGTTTAGATGAAGTCATTTACTTGTTTGGATTTATGGCAGGATTTATATTGCTATCTACAAATAGATATCAATAGTTAAAGAGATTTTATAGCTTTTTGACATTCAATATATTATGCAGGTTTAAAAGGCTCTCGAAAATGAATGAACTATCTAAGCTGAATAACTTTCCACTTGTAAAAACGTTTCTTAAAGTACAGAGTCCTCAAATTTAATACTTAGTCTTGGTTGTTTAAACACATGGTAAAATGCGGACAGGTTTTTCATTTGACAGAACAATCCTGATGGAACAATGCAGTCTCCACAGGGCTAAAGCCAAAATGAAAGAAATGACAGACTCATCTTATTAGGGGAAATAATTGAAGGAATGCTTAGTTTTAATGTTTCTCTTAAGCAATATTATTTTATTTCTATTTTGATATGAATCCCTCTTCCTTACCCATGGGGAGCTCATTTGTTATATGATCTAGATATATTCTATTGAGATGATTTTGGGCCAGTCCAAGTGCCTGAAATACTGCAGAAGCTCTCTTATGTTACTTTGCACATACAATAGCTTGTTTTATTTTGCATTATGGTCTTACCAGGGTAATTTCAATTTACCAGTTAACAGTTAAGATAAAGGCCTGAAATACTGTGGCCAACTGGGTCTCCAAGTCAGGCGTTAGCGATTTGATAAAACTATTAAAAACACAGAGGATGTACATCTTTGATTAATACAAATAATAGAAAATTTCCTAAATAATGTTTTGTCCTGGGCTGCTTCCAAAATAGTAATTCACAAAATATGACTTTTTTTTTATTGGGGAGGTTGTAAAAATTTGTTTGTTGGAGGTAGAGAAGGAAATGTAATTAAAGGCTAAATTCAGACTCACATTTCATTTTAACAAAAAGAATATGTGTGATTTGGACACCAGTCACCTAGGCACTTCCTATTTTAAGGCAGTGCACATTGTCAGTAAATCAAATTATCCAATAGCAAAACTACATCTGGCAGAGCTATCTATGCCAGGTAACCTTAAATAGAAGCTCGGGGGTAGTTAGCTATGTTGCAACACTGGGCTTTGCTGGTAAGAATTATCTAAAGTTCCTCTTTGTAGCATTGCAATTAAAAGAATAAAATGGGAAGAGGTGACATGAAAACATTAAGCTTGTGGGTATATGTGTGTGATTTAATGTCCCCTTTACATTTGAAAGTGCTAACAACAGCAAATTTAAGATAAAGCAACTCTGGGGTTTCATTTTATGTATTTTTTTATTTTTTAAATGTTTTCCTTTTGCATATGGTCTTTATAAAGTAGAGCTTTAGATCATATATGCTTTAATAAAGGCCTATTATAAATAATTTACATTTAGGAAATCAAGAAGCTTGGAATTTGGATTGACTTGAGGTACCAATCTAATCTGAAAATGCCCAATTAAATTATTTTTGTTGTCATTAATCTGAGGAAAAAAACTTTAATTTTTAATCTCATCAAAGGAGTATGTGGAGGTCTGTTTACAATAATTTTTAAAAATGTATTATACTTTTGTAAGGCTGTTTCAAATCCACGTTTATGGAGTGCACAACACACACCCACACAGACAAACAGACACACACAGATGTACACACATTCCTAGCCTGGTCAATTTAGATCTGATAATATTCTTTTTCCTCTTATGGACAAGGATAGTTATATATGAAATCCAAAGTGGGCCTGGAGTCTCCAATAGGGTTGTGCATCTACTGTTTGTTTTACTGCAAACATTAAGCAAGAAACACACTCTTTCCTATATGCAATGTTCGAAGCAAATTCGTCCATGTTTATGACATTGAAAGTGTGTCATTGGCTCTGCAACAGTCATATTTCAGGAGGAGGCATGATGTTTCTTTTAAACAGAGAAGTAGAAAAAATCTTCTGTGATAATCTTTGGAGATATATGAGTTCAGAATTTAAGAATTTCCTAGGCTGTTCAGGATCAGCAAGAACAAACCAAGCCTTTCTCTTAATAAGTTAAATCAGTGTTGTCCAAAGAATGAGTTGGCATGAGAGATTTGAGGTATTTAACCCTTATCCTAAATATTCTGAGAACAGGTATAATTTATTCAAATGTATTTGTTCCCTGAAATGTACTAATTGTTTTCCCTTTAGCCAAAAACTAGGAACAAGGTTGAAAATGGCAAAGTGCAGAGCATGGGATTCAGAAATCCATAAAGTTGTGAATAAACTTCTAAATAACCTGCATGTGATATCCAACTATACTAGTTTATTCACCTTAAGATTGTCCATCCTGTAACTCAAAACCCTTTGTCAGGTCTGAGAAATGGTTTGTTTTCTTAACCTGATGTTGTTTTAAAAGGCAATACCCAGATGTTCTGGGTTTGTGATAAAGAGAGAATTAATGAGTCTGTCTGTCCAACTGGAGCCTATTTATGAATCTGTATGGATGCCAATTGCAGGTTAAAGTGTGATGTTCCTGGTGCACAAAGGACTTAAAAACATTTTAGAGAAAATGAAAGGCTTTAATTAATCTTTCCTTTAAACACTTTTCTTTTTCACAGTCTACCAACAAATAGATTCAGGCATGTTCTGGGATCACTTTAAAACCCTGATCTGTTATTTCTTCTTTTTCTTCTTCTCCATTTATAAAACCTTAAAGCAATTGCCTCTGTTGATGTGAGTCAGGCTTTGCTCTGTTTTGTTACTTTAACCTTAAGCTTTACTGTAAGCTGTGTAAACTAAAATTATAGATCTCTCTTCATTTCCCAAGTTGTTTCCCTCTAAGAAATCCCTTCTGTCTTTTTCCTAAGTAAAAAAGACTAAAAATATGTTTGAATAGAAACCGTAGCAATAATGACCTTAGCTGAAGCTTTGGCTGAGCATACCCTGCATGAACCAAGAGCAAAATTCTACCTACAGTAAGCTGAGGTCACCAGGGCCTTCTCAAAGTATTTTCAATAAAGCTATTTCATTTCATTTCTTTCCTTCTATTTTTTTCTAAGCATTTAACATAGGAAATCATGATACAAATAGGTTCTATATCCATCGTCTCTTGACAAGTGAAATATTGAACTTCTCTAGCTCAGGGTAGTTTGATCCCTGATTTCTGCCTAAAAACTTGAAATAATCTTATTGAGTTAGGTTCTCCTTTAACTACTAAAGGGAGTTGGTATGTAAATCCTACTTATACTAATGAGATTGTGTGTGTAAATTACTGTATATGGAGGCGGGACTGTGCCCCATGAAATTGATGTGTTTGTTTAGAAATTACAATGTGTAACACGTCTCTTATCCTGTAGATCATAATAATTTCATAGTGCAATTAGCTAATCACAATTTAGTGACTATTCAGTTGAAGGTGTTATCTTTTATTCATATCCAACCATCTACTTTAGAAAATAACAAATGTCCATATGTTTAACCATTTAAAGACCAGCCTTCTTTAGGCCTATAACTTTTGCTAAAATGCTCATAAATGTATTCAGCAAAAATCATTATAAGAATGATAGATTTTTAACATAGAGTATTAAAAAACGAGGCTTGAAACTACCTTGCACCAAAGAGAAATAAACTATGGGTTTCATTACTTTTCCTGATATTTTTATTATAAGAATTTGTTGGCCGGGCATGGTGGCTTACACCTGTAATACCAGCACTTTGGGAGGCCAAGGTGGGTAGATCACTTGAGCTCAGGAGTTCGAAACCAGCCTGGCCAACATGGTGAAACCCTGTTTATACTAAAATCACAAAAATTATCCGCGTGTGGTGGCGGGCACCTGTAATCACAGCTACTTGGGAGGCTGAGGCAGGAGAATCGCTTGAACCCGGGAGGAGGAGGTTGCAGTGAGCTGAGACGGTGCCACTACATGCCAACCTGGGCAACAGAGAGAGACTCCATCTCAAAAAAAATAATAATAATAATTTGTTTAAAATCATTTCTTTTTCTGAAATATAGCAGATTTCAATTATTACTCAATAAGCATTTTTAATCTAAGTGTTTTAGTGATTTCAAGAACTTATTGGATTTTATTTATTTACTTGCCATGGACCTGACAGTGCTTGTAGACTAAAACTTTAAGGATTACTGGGGGCCTAGTGTTCATCTATAATTGAAATATTTCACTGTAAGTTTTATCTTTATAGTTTTTAATCAAAAAGTTTATAGCATAACATTGTGAAAATGTTAAGAAAAAGTTAATATTTTTCTTTTCTTAGTTTAATGTTAATATAATTAAACTTTGCACAGTTTATTGACCCCAGTTGTAGTAATAATGTGTAACTGTAATATCACCTAAATATATATATATGTTTGACATTCCAGTCTAAATGAAATAATTAAACCGTATCATAACTTTTAAGCTAATGTATTAGTCCGTTTTCATGCTGCTGATAAAGACATACCCGAGACTGAACAATTTACCAAAGAAAGGGGTTTATTGTACTTACAGTCCCACATGGCTGGGGAGGCCTCAAAATCATGGCAGAAGGCAAGGAGGAGTAAATCATGTCTTATGTGGATGGCAGCAGGCAAAGAGAGATTGGGCAGGAAAACTCCCTCTTATAATACCGTCAGGTCTTGTAAGACTTACTCGCTATCAGGAGAACAGCATGGGAGAGACCTGCCCCCATGATTTAGTTACCTCCCACTGGGTCCCTCCCACAACATGTGGGTATTCAAGATGAGATCTGGGTGGGGACACAGCCAAACCATATCCCTAACCCTGTGGAGAAATTAGATTTGCCCTCTTGCTTTGGATGTTATAACTAACTTGCAACTTTAATCTATACAATTTAATCTGTTTAAAATTTATATCCCTACCTCCTTGCAAAAAGAATTTGATGAATATTGCATAGAACTGACCATTTTTTCCATTATGATGGTCTTTTTATATAATTTTCTTCATCCATATTTCTCAATTTCCTGCTTTGACTAGAAAAAAAGTGAGATTATTTCAAAATTTATATTGTCACTGGATTGCTAATCCAATTTCCTTTGTCCAGAAGCTTGAGTCATTTCAAAAGTATCTAAAAATATAAGCTAAAAGCCAAAATTCTAATTGTTAAAAGAGTTTACAAAGAGACAAGAAAGTAGAGATTATAAAATAGAAGCGAAAATGATACCATTTGAAGATTCCACTGTGAAAAGATCAGTGTCCACAGGTACAGTTGATATGTAATCTTCCTTGAGGATCAGGTGTCAGTCATTTATATCTATTCAGGAAGCTTTGCATCTTACACGATTCCTCCTGTCCTGGACTGTACTTCAGCGACACTGGCTTTCTTTTCTTTCTTCAAACCTGTTAAGCTCTTTCCGACCTCAGGACCTTTGCCTGGGACATTTCCTCTGCCCAGAAAGCTCTTTCTATGGCTAGCTCCTTTTCATCTTTATTAAAGTTATATATCATCTCCTCTGAGGTATCTTCTGACAACCCAATCTAAAGTAGTTACTATCTCCAACATCATCCCTTTCTGTTGCCTTTAGAGCACTGATCACAGGATATAATTGATCCTTATTTGTTCACCTGCTGGTTTAATGCCATCTTTTGTCACTATCCTGCAGCTCTATGAGTACCTGATCTTTTTTTCATGGCCACTCTGTGCCCAGAAGTGATCACAGTCTCTGGTACATAAACAATAATTAAGAAATATTTTTAAAAATTAAAGGATAACTGAAAGCTGTGGGATAATCAAAGAAGTAAAATTCTGTCTCAAGAACCTCTGATCTGAGTGAAACAAAATATAGACATGTGCAAATTGAAAACAGTATTACAAGATAGCATATCGCTGATTACCATAGTAAATGTTCAAAAGAATGAGAATGAGAAATTATAGGGGTCTGGAGTGGTCAAGAAAGTCTTTAGCCGGGCCTGGTGGCAGGTGCCTATAATCTCAACTACTTGGGATGCTGAGGCAGGAGAATCGATTGAACCCAGGAGGTGGAGGCTTCAGTGAGCTGAGATGGCACCACTGCACTGCACTCCAGCCTGGGTGACAGAGTAAGGCTGTTTCTCAAAAAAAAAAAAAAAAAAAAAAAAGAAAGAAAGAAAGAAAGAAAAAGACCTGAGTTTTGGTGAAAATCAGTTTGAACGTAGACATTCAATTTTGAGATAAGCTAAGCCAATCTTATGATGGGGATGAGGCCACCATTCATTCAGTCATTCAACAGTTATTTTTGAATACTTATCACATTTGGAAGCTGGAGTTATAGCAGCAAGCAAAGCAGACAAGTCCTTGCCCTCAAGAAGGAGCATCACTTATTGGCTGACTTTTGAAGAATTATTAATACTTACTCCCCCTAAGTCTCAGTTTCCTCATATGTAATGCTGGAATAAAAACAGTCCTTTGTAGCAAACACTATGTGTGTCACACTCAGATCTTCTTGGTTTTCCTTTACCAACTCTCTGTGACACCCACCCCCACCAACCCCAATTCTACATACTTTGCTGTTAAGGGCTCTCTACTTTTTCAAGTTTTGTCGTCCACATTATTGGTCTTGGTTGCCTGATTGGAGCATTACATTGAAAATTGTTCTGTAACTGCTATCCAGATCTATAGCAAAGAAAGTTTTAACTAATTTGGGATATTTTACTTGGGCACAGGAAGGAGTTCCAGTATGAAGTTATATCTCTCCACTTATGCCAGCTAGAGGCAAGGAGCCTTCTCTGAGGCTTTTATAATGATGCAAATTCAAGTGTTAGTTCTGGACTGGGTTGAACACTGTTTGCAATGAAGAGCAGAGAATGGATCCAATTATGTTATTAAAAAAGAATCAGCATGCTTTGTTAGCTAACCAAATGAGTGTGGTTGGCAAATGTAGGAGAGGGAGGGGTAACAAGATAAAGGAACCAAGTTAATGGGAACATTTGCAGCCCTTTGGCCAGGAAAAATGCTATAATTGACAAAAATATGCAGGTGAATATATTGAACGTTGGAAGCCAGTTTGCGAAAAAAGATGACACAATTAGTTTAAGCAAATCTGATGAGGTGAACTTGAGGAATGTGCTGGCAGTTGGAGGTGGTGTTCAGAGTCAAGAAGAGGATATAAATATTTTGGGCAATGATAGTAGGAATAAGGTTCTAAATGCGTAGCCGGGGATTCAGTAGATGCATGCCCCAGCTTGGTTCACTCCTCTTTCCTCTTCCCAAGGCATATATTCAGGAAGCTAAACAATAACTTTTGTAACAATCATCTCAAAATGGCTCGGTCTTGATTAATAAGTGACAATTTTTCTAATTTTTGTCCCAGTTTCCAACTTAGAACCAACGGGAGAAAGCCAAGTATGTACCCTTAACCAATCACATGGCATGCCCCGATTCTAGTTCACCGCCTATAGCTTTCCCACACCAACAGCCTCCAATCAGGGTGTGCCTAAAACCTTCCCTTTTTTCCACTACTGTAAAAGCTTCCCTACCCTCTGCTTGTTTTGGAGTCTCTGCCAAAACACAGATGATGGGCGACTGACTCCCTTGCTATAGCAAGCTCTGAATAAATAGCCTTTGATTTTTTTCATTTGGTAGTTCTTCATTTATTTCCATATCTGCCTTTTACTAAAAATAGATAAGTTATTTAGAATATAAGCCCATGTTTGGGTAAATAGTTAATTTTCAGGACTTTGTATGTTTGAGAAGATGCAGAAGTCAAGAAGAAAAGATTGGATGAACTACTAATTGTGAATATATACCGTGAGATAGGCTACTGATAGGGAGCGAGGGAGACAGCTAGAAATAGAGAATGCTTGACAAGGCTAGAAAGTAGAAGTGAAGAGTGGGGATAGTACTAAGAAAATGAAGGGGGTTATCTTTTTCCTTCCTCATCCTTAATGCTTAATCTCTAGCACACGCTGAAGGCCCCTGAAGCAAAGCTCCTTGCATTTTATCCAAAACAGAGCAGCAAATAGGCTAAATCTAAAAGCCTGGCCTTTTAATTTTTTTGTAGTTGCTTTGAATTGTCAACCAATTACATGACCACACAATAATTTGTGTTTCCTCAACAATAAAAATAACAATAACAACTTGGAATTCAGGAAAAATGATTCACATGGAACAGTTTCAGCCTCTCTATTAGATTACTTTAAGGTCAGCATGAATCAGAGGAACCTGTTCTTAATGTAATGGTAATTAGGACTCTCCACCCTGTTTCTCTGTTGTTTTCTTCTCCTCCCAGGTCTCCTTTGCCAAGAAATCTTCCACATCTCCACCTCTGCTGTTGATAAGCCTAAATCAGTCTCTCAACAACTTCCCAGCAAAAGTATTCTCTCACAATCTCCTCGGATTTGGGGTCATTCTTGTTCTTTCCAATACAGGACTGAATTTTAAAAAATATATAATGCTCTCACACTGGTCAAATGAGGTGAATGTTTGAAACCAACCAACATATTTTCCTGGCACTTGGAGTTCATTGAACTCACCCAGGATTTTCTTAGGCAAGCAAATCATCAAATCCTATCCGAGACCTGCAGTATCAGAAACCCTGGCTGGGAGGAACAGTAATCTGTATCGTAACACACTCTTCAGGTGAATTTTAAATTTTGAGAAATGTTTGAAGACAATGATTGGGAAACTGCTGCTGATATGCTAATTTTGCCCACTGTTTATTTTGGTACAGCCTGGTAAGCTAAGAATGATCTTTACATTTTTTAATTACTTCAAAAATCAAAAAAGGATGAGTAATTTGTTGTATGTAAACATTTTACAAAATTCAAATTTTACTGTCAGTAGAGTTTCATTAGAACACAGCTATACCCATATGTTTACATATCATACATGGCTGCTTTTGCAAAAACTGAATAACTGTGGCCGTGATCAAATGGCCCACAAAGCCTAAAGTAGTTTACTATCTGTATCTTTACATAAAAAGTTGGTCCCCTACTCCTAGGGCATAAGCTTTCTAGGATCAATAATACATGTTGGTGACAAGCTCTGAAAGTTTGCTTTTCCTTGTGGTGTTTCTCCTTCAGATGCTTTATTCTATAGGTCTGGAAATCCAGTGGCATTTCCTCTCAGTCAGACTCCTTTCATTCCCAAAAGGCAGCCTCATCAGGGTTGCTTCACAGCAAGGGAAATGTTATAACAAAGGGATTTCTCTACCTTAGATGTGATCATTAGAGTTACTTCTCTGAGAATGGAAACATAGTTGAAGACATACTCTGGAAATATCTTACTGCTGGTTTAGCAGAGGTTCTCAAATTTGGCTGTGCATAAAACTGCCTCTGACGCCTGAAAAGTTGTAGATCCCCGAGACAAATCTGAATGGGAAGCTCTGAGTTGGGCATTGGGAATCTGCATTTTTGTAGGCACCTGAGAAGATTCTGAGTCTGGTAGTCTGAAGGACAAACTTTCCAGAAACACTAACTTACAGAAATGCTCCAAGGAAAACATTGCTGGTATTAGAGAAGAGGCTGATGGCAGCTCACATAGTCTTCACTCAGAATAACTGGCTTCTGTACTAGTTCTCTATTGCCAATGATTAGGCACAAACTGGCTTTTAGACTGAGGCCTGGGATTTGGGGTTAGAAAGTACAAGGGAAGAAATGTTCTAAAAGTATGGAAAATGTAAAAACGCATTTGGATTACAGTGTGATCTAAGGCAGGATAGATTTCTAACCACTCTAAGTGGAGATGTCTCTCTGAACTCAGTGAGATACCCAGTACATCTTTTTATTTTGTGTCGCTATCTACAATTTCTCTGTAATTTAGCCATTTTTAGTATTTTACTTCTTAATGCATTTAAGGTTTCTCCACAAAAGAAAAAAAAATCAGTCAACTTATTTGTGGTGTTAGCTACAATTTGACCAAAACCAGTGGACCATACATTGCTTTCTTCCCTGTCAACATCATTAACTCTTTTCTATTTTATATCTTATTTCTCTAAATTTGGTAGAAGAGGGACTTTTTGTGTACTTTCTGCATGAGGCCTTTCATACGAAGAGTGAAAATTGCAAATTAAAGAAACATAAACCTAAAAAAGAAGCACAGGCCTTAAAATACTTCTTTTCTCACTTCTCTATATTTCTAATTATATTTACTTTCTACAAATATTAGTAGTATGACTCAAACTTCAAGATACCATCTAGTGGAAATCCTGCTATTAAATAAATCAACATGCAACATCTATCTCTTTGTGTATCATTTAATTGTAGAAAGAAATGACATTTATAAAAGTATTCTCTCCTTTTCTGATGTTTGATAATATCATGTGGCATTCTGCTTTTTCTGTTTTCATCGTTGACTGAACTCTTTAGTAACCACCACAATAAAAATACAAACTAATTCATGTTCATTTCATCTAAATCACACAAGCAACTCTACAGGATAAGTGAGTAAATATTTTCAGTTCTAGATAAGAATCTCTAGCCAGAGATTTAAGGAATATTTAGTTCAGCAAAGTACTAAGTAAATAAAAGGGTGACCCACAACTATCCAATCTTGGGGCCAGCAAACCTGATGCTGTGAAATAAAGAAGTAATTGTCCCTCCTCAGCTAGGAGAGCTTTCAACATATCACACAAGTCCCACCCAGGAGGGTGAATGTTCTTTTCCTTCCTTCTCTCATATTCTCCTGCTCATCCCGCTGACAGCAAGTCTAAGGGAGATGATGAATCATGCCAGAAAGTTGGGGCCTATCAGTTATTTCTATGAGCCCAGCTTACACTGACTCATTTCTAAGGAAGCAGTATGCTTCTATGGCAGATGCTGGCTATTTATTTATTTATTTATTTATTTCGTGCATGTGCTTTTCCAGACTTATAACATACACCAGCAGCTTCCTGAGTGGGTTCCAGAAGTGAAAAAAATCATAAATTGAATGCACATGGAGAAAGCATGTCCCCATCCAAGACCTCACAGGCTCCCACCCTAGCCATCCAAGTCCACACCCTCATGGTTTACATAGCACCTTTCTTCCAAGGATCCCAGAGAGCTGCTCCAGAACAAAGGAATTAGACTAAGGGAAGAATATGTTTGGCTTTCCTCTTGACTAGTAAAAGGAACTATTGGGCCCTCTAGAGTCCAAGGCCTCACAGGCAGGCTCTGTATATACCTTGGAATCAAATTAGATCTAAAGTCCCTAGGTGTTCAATTTTACATTTTAGAATCTAAATCACTTTTGATTATTTTTATGCAGATTGAAAAAAGTATGAAGTGAGAAGATTTTGCTTTTGGAAATGCATTCCCTTGAACCCCACTTCCATTCCATTTTTTTCCTAGTTATCACACTCTTTTCCCAAACATCAGGCACTCTCATGCTGTCTTCCCAGGAGAGCAATCTAATCAAATCAGTCATATTAAGGTGCTACGATATGACTGCTTATCCCATGTATATTCATGTTTTTAGAAAGGAACATAGCCTAAGAAATGAAGAAATCACTGAAAATGAAGGAATTTGATTTAAGATAAAAATTTTGATGTATAAGAGTCTTTCCAACAATCTGTGGTTATGTAATCTACACTTTCTCTGCTTAAGTTAAAGACATGCTTGGCTCAAAACAGGGCTAAGAACATACAGTAAAACATAGCTTGTCAGGGCCAGCCTATTGAAAGCTGCTGTGTTTCCCTATGCACAGTCTGCAAAGTTAGCCATTGCTTTAGATTACTGGCCTAAGAGACTTGAGTATTTAGTCTGAACCTCGAATGCTAACTGAAAATATATAAAAATGTAAGACCTGAGACAAGTTCAACTCAGTATCCAGTCGAGGCTAAGTTATTCTTGATCCATCATACCTCTCAGTCATTTTATTGTGACTTGTGGCAACTGCTGGCTTCATTTTCCTTTGCTTCTGTACCTGGATTTAATTCACTAGGTTCTGGACATCGTGACTGTTATCTGTGCCCATTCTGATGCCTGGTTTCCTTGCTGTAAATCTTACTGCCGTAAGAACTATAGGGCTGGACTCCTTTTTCCCAGTCTGGTATTTTTACCCTTCATTCAGTTTGCTTCTTCCCACAGTCTAGAATGACTCAGCATCATGTGGAGAGCATCCAGTGTGTGCCCGCTAGAATACAGAACATTAAATCTCCAATATCTGGAAACCACTGGCCTAGAACCCTTGAACAACCAGTCTCTCCATCCCTCCTTGCTATCTCACTACCCTAAGGCAATTGGCTTGGTGGAAGAGGCAAATGCCAAGAGAACAAGTTAATGTTCTTAGGGGTTTATAAAGATCATTTGATGAATGAATCCTAGATGTGTAAAAATATGGGCTCCTGAAATAGGATCTTAGACACCCTAAATTCTTTTTTCTACTCAAGGATACTGAAACTCCAAAAGGTGTAATTATATTGCCCAGCACCACAAACTCACTGACAAACTGAATCAGGACTAGACTTTGGCCTCCTGAGACTCGAGACAATGTTCTTTCTATTATACTATCCACCGTGCTCCTTTCTTATAATACTAATTTTTTAAAAATACGCAGCATGGGAAGCTGCTTTAATGTTGGCCTCCCAGCTCCTCAAAACCATTCTCAGCAGGATTTACAGATCCTGGCCACATGTCTGCAAAAGGGCCTCTGAACACATACTTGAGATTTTCATGTGTTAGATAAACAGAGCTAAGCCCATCAAAATTAAGATTTTCTCATTCCCTCCCACTTCTGCTGATATTTTGGTCATAGTGGACATTAAAAATATTTTTCATGCCATAATCTCAAGTTTTCTAAAATTCTGATTGCTGTTCCTGTACCTCATATTCATTCTACTTCAAGTAATTATGCTTCTAGAAGGAAAGTATTCTCTTATTTACTGTAGATATGTCTCTATTTATAAAAAGCACCAGGGCCAGTATACACTCATCCTAATGTCCCGCATGCTCTACTCTCGACATCACACCAGCACCACAAGGAAATTGATTCTCCTGATAATGGTACATACAACAGTCAAGGTGAAAACTTGCTAGGGAAGGGTTCTAAATTCTTCAGAAGACTTCCATAGTAAAGTACATCCATGGTTTGCTCTCATTGCTGAAATATTAAAGCTTGTTGTCACCCTTTATTTTACAGAAGAAGCAGTTCTAGTTGATTCATCTGATTGGCTAAAAACAGGCACAGTCTAGAACACAGACTCCTGCATAAACTAGCTAGTGAAAGATACTTTGCGGAGAATTTTAAGGAACCGAAAGAAAAAGTGTTTGGAGATTAACATCAGAATTCAAATCCTACAGACTCCCTTTATTCTCTGAGCATTTCAATCCTTTCTTCTTAGGCCAGGCAAATTTACGCAGTGGCAAAACTTTCAGGTTCAGCAAAGAAAGCACCACTTTAGATTCAGCAAAGCACCCTTTGCCCTCAGGAATATCAGTCCCTATTTGCCAGAGCAAAACATGAATAGGAACACAATTTGCAGACCAAATCATTACATATTTTATTATTGTTGAGATATCCTCTGTAGAAAGCAAAATATGGCTTATATGAGATGTAACATTAAAATTTTATAATATTAAAATATTGTTATTTTCCTTCAGGGGGAACGTAATTGTTTCTGTCACTTGGAGAATAAAATTTTTGCAAATGGCATGCATTATCTTGTCATGGTCAACAACAATCAGTTATTTATCTGTACGTTTCTTAGATGCCTCCTTAAAATTGCATGCTGGCCATTTTCTTCCTTCTGCTCATCCCACAGGTTTACTGTTTACCACCCACACAAATGCTGATATGCAAGCCACATGTACAGACACACTTTTTGTTTTGCTTCTTCTTTTTTAATGTGTTAAGGCTGAGTAACAAGTAAGGATTTTGCCATGGAATGAAAACAAGGATTCAGCTTTCATGTAAATATCATTTATTTCCTTTTACCTGTGAACAAAATAATAAATAAGGCATGTCTTTTTTTCTTGCCATGCACAGATACTGTTCTATCTTGCTGTCTAAAGTCTAGGGAAAGCAGATACTACCACTGCATTCTTTTACAGGACTGATGCTGCTTATCAAATGTTTTCTGTAGAAGCAATCCAACTACTAAACAAGCAGAGATGAATCTCTGCTTTTTCTTGCAAGGCACCCAGGAGGCAAAAATTTGCAATAGTCCTAAATAAAAATATAATAAGAAAAGAAAATGAAAAGTTCTTTTGAAATGTATTTTTGGTTGTGAAATTAGAGTGAAAAATAGCATACTGGATGTTATTCAATTTCTCAAAATATTTCATATTCTAAACAGTGTCTCCCTTTATAAAAAGAGTTAATCTATTTAAACTAGTTTAGAGGTTTTTAAAAATAACAACAAAAACAACAACGAAAAGAAAATACACCACCAACAAGCTTTTCTATTCTTTTAGTAATAAAGACCTTTTACTTAGAATGGATTATGTATTAAACTTTTTCCACATCTTTGCTAGCTCAGCAAACCTTTGTTCTGAATGCTTTGTGACCATTGGTGCCTTTGATTATAGATTGCACCACCATTTGATTTATTTTTTTCTCATGGGCAACATATTTCTTTCATTGAGCAACATTCTGAAACTTGGAAATCTAACCTGTGTTTTAGTCTTAGGAAAGGAACATTCATATGGTAAATCCTCCCCAGTTGGACTTGGTATTCATTCAACTCTTATATGGTTGATTTCAGGCCAGCTTTAATTATGCAATCACCCTCAACTCAAAGAGGATAGTAGAATACAAAAGCACTTTCTAATGCTTGTATTTAATAGAGTGCCAGTTTTCTGGAAGAAGCAAAAAATTGAGAAATGTTAATATTTAACAATGAAGTAATAATCTCTAAATGCAAGTCTAGAGGACGACAAGAGCAATTTATTGTATAAATTACAGATCATTTAGGACTGAAATCCAGGTACACTCCCTTATGTGTCTCTGCCAGTATTAAGAAATATGTATATATGTGCATGTGTACATATTTTTTAATTCTTCTTTTTATCAAGAAGAAAAAAAAATCAGTCACTTGACCTGTTTTACGAATTATAAAAAAAATTAAATGTACCAGTATCACCTCTGAATTCATTGCTTTTTTTTTTTCATCCAGAAAATGTGGTTGCTTTAAACACAGTTTCCAGGGAAGTATTTTTTACACATTCTGAATTACTTGTTCAGTCATTTTCTTATATTACATTACTCACATCCCCTTGCTGGAGGAAATTCCCTCTTACAAATGCTGTATCACTGGGATCTATGTATATTTATGTAACCCCGGTGATTCTGTTTCTTCTTAGACAAACTCAGTGGCACTATTTCCTAAACAGAACTCCGTTGTCTCCATTAATATTAATTTCGCACTCAAGAAAAGCAAAATGCACTCAGATCTCCCAGGTCTTTTCTTCAGAATCTTTATAGCTAACATGCTCTGCCCTGATTTAGGGGTTTACTAGAGAGTCCTTAAACTTCCTAGAAAGCTCATCATTGTAACGCTTTGGTTGAATGCTTGCAGGACAACTGTTCCCTTCCATATTGGCATGTATTTTCTCTCTATTAATGATCCAGAACAAGGATAAATCAAAGATCCTTAGCTCTAGCTAAAAGAAATGTATTCTCCAAATAATAAACAAGCAGGAAAGTTGTTCACTCCAGAGAGCTGAGACCCCCACAATTGTCTGGCTCATTTGAATGACCCAGAAAAGTTATACAGACTTCTTGTCTTACATGAGCCTAAAAGGCCTCCTGGGAACAGCTATGGGCTCAACTGGAATGGCATGCTTGCCATAATAGAGTAGTACAGCCCTGAAACTTGCCCTTTAGATGACAATATTGTGATAACTCCCATGTTACATGCCTATAACCAGAAGCCTGGAGGCCTTGGATTATAATACATGGATCTCATGGTGACATGAACCCTACCTCTGTTTAATGCTAAATGTGGAGGATATTGAGAGAAGGCTGAAGGGTAAATAATGGACCCTAGTAGCTAGGTCCACATTCTCTATGTTACTAGACTCTGAGACAGAAAGTAAGTAAATGTTTGTATATACCTGAGCATTGCTTTGGCCTTTAAATAAATTGGAAGGGTAGTAAACCCTTAAGTAATGCTTGTTGGAAAACACTGAGGCCTGTATCCAGATTAAATAACATGACTGCTGAATTTCCTTGCCCTTTGCTGCAACCTTGGATATAGATTCTTGCCCTAACCACTTCTTGTAAGATTTTTCTGAATGGTTCACTTAATTTGTATGTGAGCTAAACAGGACATTTGGTGGGGAAAAAAAAACTTTACGAGTGTCCCTCTCCTAATTACTGTCTAAATGTTACCTCATTCATGCTTTGACATAAGTTTTTGTGGGCATACAAGTACAACATTTTCCTAAATATTTAAGTGAGAAGGGCTCATGCTGTTACTCTTCACCAAGCATTTTCTTAGAAATGCTTTCTTTAAAGGTATTGAGTTGATTCTTCAGTTTTCTCTAAATTTGATCTCACTGCTGAAAAAATCCCTCTGAATCCCTTTTCATTACTCACACATAGTTGATCATGTTAAGAGGCTTAGAACTATTTGGCAAATGTTCCATGTCTTATGATTTCATGCAAAGCAGCAGAAAAGCAATTATTGGGGTATTTCTTTTAAAAAATAGAAAGTTCTCATCTGATTTGAGGATTGGGTGGAGCCCAGGGTGTGTCTTTTCTATCTCTTCTGGTTTCTGGTAGAGTCAATTTTTTTCAGAGGAAGTCTATTTATTAGCTATAGAAAAGGATAAAAGTACTGAGGAGATTATGAGTGTATTGTGATTTTCTTTCCTGGGTGATCATAAATTCATTTTTGTCACATAATATATTGTGGAAATAATAAATTTCCACAACTTATTATTACAGAGGAATAAATCTGGAGGTATTTACAGCCTGTCATATATATATATATATTATATATATATAATATATATATATAATATATATATAATATATATATATCAAAATTGCAACACTATAAAAAATTATAAAATTGAAATTTTTTCTATGCCAAGGATCAAAATTTATTTGGAAGTCATATTTTTATCAGTCTAAAAGGAGACACTATCTTCATTTAATTACTATCATTATGTACTCTTCCTATTCTTTATTGTTTCTCCCTAAGAGGTAGCACAATTATGATTCATCCCACTGTGAGGTTCAGGCCTTAAACAGATATCTGAGATAGTCCCTTAACCTAAAACTGCTTTTTCAGTGCATCCCAGTAAGTGGAACTGGATCACTGATCTCCCCAAATGAAAACTGGTTATTCAAGAGAAATCAGGCTCTCTTTGGCCCTCCATGCTGGCATACTGTAGCCCCTTTCTCTCCCTGGCCCCATCTCTTATGCCCGGCTAGAAACCCTCATGGTTGCCACGGTGGGTCTAAGGGACATCCTGGGCAGTTCATTTATCTCTCAATTACTTATGATAATTAGCAGATCTAAAAGCCCAGATCATTAAATATACAGATAATTCAAACTCTTCATTGCAAGCATAATCTTCAATCTCTGATCTCCATAATTTTATAAAAGAGGCAAACAAATAATACCATTTGAGAGATTTAAATTTCCTGTTTGTCTGTTTCCTTCTTTGTACCTCTGGCAAAAGTCCTAAAGAATCTTGGAATGGTCAAAATGCATAAGCTAGGAATAAAAGAAAAAGAACAGAATCTTAGATAATCCACCAATGGAGTAATTGGTGAATGCTGTAAAAAAAATCTATCACATATTTATAACTCTGTGAGGAGAAATTTTTCCTACACTTTGAGTGCTTTCTTACGCATTTAAACAAAATCAATCATCTCATTTAGTTAAAAACAGTGACATTCCAATAAAAAAATTCTTTTCCAAACACATACGAAACACACAGATACACTCTCACATATACGGTTCTCCAGCACTTTTGTGCATAACATCTATTAGCACAGTTCCACAGTTACAGCTACCACTGTATATGACCCTTCATTCATGAAAGCTCCTGGTGCTTAGCCTTAAGCTATTGGGCTCCTGTCATTTCCCACTGAGCACACTGGGGTGGATTTGGGTGTCTTGCCCTCATTTACAATCTGAACAAAAGAAACCTAAGCCAAGAAAGCAGCTGGCACCATAAAAACAGTAAAAACTCTAGCTGGCATCTCTGGTTGCCACTGACTAGCCAAATATCCACAGGGAATGGTGCCAATATAGATTTCTGGGACAAAACAACAAAATAGATTTTTGTCAATAAACATTGATTTCACAAGAAGTCAGACAAATCCATCCATACCAAATGACACATACATCCACAGAGTTCCAAACCAATGAGTACCTTTTGGACAAATTGAAAACCTGCCTAAGCTGGATTCATACATGGCACATGCTCTCCAAGGTCTTCATCTGCCAAGTATGGTTACATGTTAGGTGTCAATGTTGCAGTCTGATTCTGCTATCAGCTGACAACATAAACCGTGGACACTGACAAAGAAAACACATACCATCACTCCAGGGGTGATATTTTTTAAACTTTTTTGACTGCAATGGATTGAAAGAACTATGTTTTGTGGTGCAGCCTAGTACATACGCAGACATGCAAAGAACAAATAAAATAAAATGTCATGGATCAATACTTATCCCTGCTATGTGTGATGCACCCAGTTTTATTCTTCCTTTTCTATTTCATTTTTACATTCTATGTTATATTTTTAACATTGTTTAGCTATTGTAACAACCCCTGAAATTTCTTACAATTCATTAATGAGTCATGACAATGAGTTTAAATATATGGCTCAGAGTGATATAAACATCCTAATCTTTCAAACTTTGCTTACATTTCTTAATAATTTTTTGGGGGGCAGGCAGATGGCTTTCTTTTTTTCATAGTTACCTACAGACACATCACAATGACTCTAATAATCCCCATCAGGAATGTGGCTCAAAAAAATAAATTCCATTAAATTTGACATATATTGATTGAGTACTTATTATGCATAGGACTCAGGATGAGTTTCCAAGGGTTGTAAAGATCAACCCAAAATTATAGGTAACAACATCCATTACATCTAAATTACTTATATTTATATTTAGGGAATTAAAATACACTAAGTAACATTTTTAGAGTTGATTGTTCATCTAGAGTTGACCTACTTAAGGAATTCTTTAAAAGATATTGATGAGCAAAGTATAAACCCAGCACTGTCAGGTCAAATATTGTTTTTTTTTCTCTTTAGGATGAAAATTCAACTGAAGTATCCTCTAAACTTAGGGATATAAGCAGCAGTTGGGCTAGATGATCAGTTTTGCAAATAACAAAATACAAGAAGATCATTGGGAACAACCAGTCTCTTTTTCTCAGTTTATGTATTTATTGTAGAAAAGTCTCACTTCCTGGTTCCCAAAATGGACATTTGAGCCTAGCCCAGGCAATTAGGATATGCCAATGACCTGGCCACTCTAATGAGCTCAGTATTGGGCACATGACACAAACCAGCCAGTGAGAGTCACTCTTGAGAGTCTAACCTAAACTATCTGGAAAAAGCCACACTTTTAAAACTTATTTGTTTGTTTTGTTACCTGTGTTACAATATAAGCCTTAAACAAAAAGTGACCTTGGTCTCTTTTCTTGTGGTAGACTACAGTGGGGGTTCAAGACAGCAAGAATATTTGAGTCAAAGAAAAAGTGTAAAAACGTACATGTCATGCCCCTTTTGGAGAACACACACCCCTGACTTTTGTTGCCCTCCATCAGGATGTTCACCTAAGAAAGGGAAATATCTTTTGTAGGGTAGAATGGCTGTAAGTTAATAGACTTCTCCCAGTTGCGTTTGTATTTTAAGTCTCACCTCTGATAGTTGAAAGTGCTGCTCCTATTAAACAGCTTTAGGTGTGAGAAAGTGGTCAAAGAAAGGGTTAAGAGTGCACTCCAAATTTGGGAAGACCAATGAAGGTGTCCTTGAGTCCGTGAAATCATCTCAAGTTCGACATCATTTCTGTAGGTAACCTGGAAATCCAAATTTAAGAGATTTGAACAAGAGCAAGACTCTCCTGTATCTACTTCAACCTCTTGCAGACATTGATTCCAGCTTAGCTATGCAGGGCAGGTCTTACTGGAGGAGAAAGATATTTTGCTTTGTTTTATTTTGGCATGTGATTCATTTGTGCCAGTATATTCAGGATTCCGGTATGTTCTAAATCAGACTCTGTAATCTTGATGTCCCAGAAGAAGTTTCTTTTATGTGGCTGTCTAGGAAACAATTAGCTTTCAATCACATGTTTCAAAAATGTGTGCAGCATGCTGTACAGGTTGTGGGAAGATTATAAACTAGAAGACAGTACCATGCTGTTTTGGTTACTGTAGCCTTGTAGAATACTTTGAAGTCAGGTAGCATGATGCCTCCAGTTTTGTTCTTTTTGCTTAGGATTGTCTTGGTTATATTGGCTCTTTTTGGTTCCACATGAAATTTAGAGTATTTTTTTCTAATTCTGTGAAGAAAGTCAATGGTAGCTTGATGGGCATAGCATTGAATCTGTAAATGACTTTGGGCAGTATGGCCATTTAAACAATATTGATTCTTGCTATTCTCTTTGTAGCAATTGTGGATGGGAGTTTACTCAAGATTTGACTCTCTGTTTGTCTATTATCGGTGCATAGGAATGCTTGTGATTTTTGTACATTGATTTTGTATCCTGAGACTTTGCTGAAGTTGCTTATCAACTTAAGGAGGTTTTGGGCTGAGATGATGGGGTTTTCTAAATATACAATCACGTCATCTGCAAACAGAGACAATTTGACTTCCTCTCTCCCTATTTGAATACCCTTTATTTCCTTCTCTTGCCTGATTGCCCTGGCCAGAACTTCCAATATTATGTTGATTAAGAGTGGTGAGAGAGGGCATCCTTGTCCTGTGCCAGTTTTCAAAGGGAGTGCTTCCAGTTTTTGCCCATTCTGTATGATATTGGCTGTGGGTTTGTCAAAAATAGCTCTTATTATTTTGAGATATGTTCCATCAATACCTAGTTTATTGAGAGTTTTTAACATGAAGCGGTTTTGAATTTCATTGAAGGCCTTTTCTGCATCTATTGAGATAATCATGTGGTTTTTACCATTGGTTCTGTTTATGTGATGGATTATGTTTCTTGATTTGCATATGTTGAACCAGCCTTGCATCCCAGGGATGAAGCTGACTTGATAGAGGAGGATCAACTTTTTGATGTTCTGCTGGATTTGGTTTGCCAGTATTTTATTGAGGATTTTCACATCGATGTTCATCAGGGACATTGGCCTGAAATTTTCTTTTTGTGTGTGTGTGTTTCTCTGCCAGGTTTTGGCATCAGGATGATGCTGGCCTCATAAAATGAGTTAGGGAGGAATCCCTCTTTTTCTATTGTTTGGAATAGTTTCAGAAGGAATGGTATCAGCTCCTCTTTGTACCTCTGGTAGAATTCGGCTGTGAATCCATCTGGTCCTGGACTTTTTTTGGTTGGTAAGCTATTAATTATTGCCTCAATTTCAGAGCCTGTTATTGGTCTATTCAGAGATTCAACTTCTTCCTGCTTTAGTCTTGGGAGGGTGTATGTGTCTCGGAATTTATTCCCTTCTTCTAGATTTTCTAGTTTATTCGCATAGAGGTGTTTATAGTATTCTCTGATGGTAGTTTGTACTTCTGTGGGATCAGTGGTGATATCCCCTTTATCATTTTTTATTGCATCTATTTGATTCTTCTCTCTTTTCTTCTTTATTAGTCTTGCTAGCGGTCTATCAATTTTGTTGATCCTTTCAAAAAACCAGCTTCTGGATTCATTGATTTTTTGAAGGGTTTTTTGTGTCTCTATCTCCTTCAGTTCTGCTCTGATATTAGTGATTTCTTGCCTTCTGCTAGCTTTTGAATGTGTTTGCTCTCGCCTCTGAAGCAATAACGATCATGAGGAGGCTTTCCATATTTGTGCATAAAAGCATCTTTTTAGACAGATGTTGGATCCCTTACAGTTATTTGTATTTCATATTATATTGGAATTACTCATTCTTTTCTATATATGTTTATTGGTATGTATATGTATATATAGATGTGCTATATATGTATACACGTGTGTGTGTGTGTGTGTATTTGAGCTCAAGGTGACATTTCAGGAAGATTAAAAGAAACTGAAACAAAACACTTATTATTAAAATGTCTGAACTTTGGACCCAGAATAAATTAAATATTGGAGTCTCCTATGTATCTGTCTGTCTATCTATCCATCTAATTGCTAGTTGTACTGGAGAGTAAATAAATCAAGAAATTTTATAGAATATTTTGTAACTGCATATCACCAGCATAATAGGCCCCATTCATAAATGGAATTTGTGGAGTTGGACTAAACATCTGTTCATTCCTTGTCACATTCGTTTCACTACTTGTGGGTGCTACAAAGGTGAGTTATAATGGAATGAGGAAGACCTGAAGGGTATGAGAAAATAAAGCATAATTAAATAAATTATAAAAATGAACAAAGTAGAGGGGTGGGCACCCCATTTTCACAATACTGTGTAAGTTGAACTTTTTGAGGAGGAGAGCATTTTGAGGAGAAGAAGAGCAAGAGGTCATCATGAAGATCTTTATACCCAAATAGTTTTCTCTTTAGTTTACAATTTCTGTGTGGAAAAGGGAAGCACCATCATCTGTCTGAGGACGTTGCATGGAAGTAGAATGTCTAGAAACATTAAAGGCTTTCACCTCTTTTTTTTCCAAGTAATTTTTTCTCTAAATGTTAAAAGACAAATCTCCATACTAATACATGCAAACAGGCAATTGGAAGTTATTTCTTTCTCTGATTTTCTTTTTTTAAGTCCATTTTGACCACCTTTAAGCTGAAAAATGAAAAAGAAGCAGGTAATAGTTTAATTTATTATTAGAAGAAATTGCTCTCTGGTCTTTCAGGTTTACTTCTATGTAAGTTGTAAGTAGAAAACCATCTAACATATATTTTACTTGGTAAGCTATTCTAAATGATCAGCAAATACCTTCTCATCATCTAAAAGAAGCCATTTAAAACATTCTTATTCTGATAAAAGAAAATTATAACCTATGAGACCATAGAAACTAAAGTGGTGCTTAAGTTGCAATAGACACGTATAATAAAGAAAGACATGTTTAATTAGCACATGTTTCTTTGATTTTCCTCTTTTGATTATTAATAGATACAGATTCTGTTTCTGTACATTGCTATAAACCCAAGTCCTAGTCAACTAATAAAAGAAAAAGGTAGACTATAAACTGTATGAAAGATTTGAATTCAAATACTTTTTGATATCTTTTGATTTGAATCATTAATGTGCATAAATCAAACGCTTACTCAGAACTTAGAAGAGGGTTTGTTCTGTTGTTTTTGTTAAAGAAACATAATGTTATCTATATATTTTTTTAGCTTATTTATTTATTTCTATTAAATAAAAATATTTACTGTGTTTCTCATATGCCAACCACTATTTTAACTGCTGGGGACATAAACAAAACAGATAGTTATTGACATCATGAATTTAACTTCTGGAATGGCTAGATAGGCAATAAACAACAACAAATCATAAATATATACTTGGTTGGTTGGGTGGATTTTAATAAATCCAATGGGAAAAACTAAAGTGAAATAAGAAAAGGAAGTTCCAGGTTCAGGGTCAGGTAGTCATTGGGCCACTTTATAAGGATCATCAAGCAGGACCTCATTGAGGTGACATTTAAACAGAGAACTGTAGAAAACAAGGGAGGGAACCAGATAGATATCTGGGGGCAAAATGGCAGGAGAAAGAACAATAAGTAAAAGGGCATTGAAGTGGAGATTTCTGGGAAGATCAAGGAACAGGAAAGAGACAAGTGTTTCTGGAGCAGGCTCAGAGTCCACATAGCAAGTGAAATCAGAATTATAATAGTATAAAACCACATAGGACATTGTAAGGGTGTTGGATTTTACACTGATTGAGAAGTACACTACTGAAAAGTTTTAAAACAATAAGTAACATTATCTGATTAATTTTCATCCTACTTTCAAACTAGGCTATAGGGAACAATGGTTGCAATAAGCTCAATTTAGAAGACCTTCGCAAATATGTAGGCAAAGAATAATGATGGGTTAGACCAAGGTGGTATAGTAATGGACATAATGAGAAATGGTTGGCCTTTGACTATTTAAAGTTAAAGAGAATAGGATTTGCTGCTGGATGAGTGTTGAATGTGAGAGAAAGAAAGGGTTAGGAAAACATGCATATATTTTAGCCTAAGCAACTGAAAAATAAAAATGAATTGCCCTTTGCTAAGTTGAGAACCACTATAGAGAGAGCAACTTTGAGATAGGTGAACAGGGATAAGAAGTCTGACTTTATTTATGTTAGATTTGAGATGCCTTATCAAAACTCATATGAGCATGTTAGGCAGAGAGTTGAATATATAAGACTGAAGTTCAGAACAGCTATTACTAGTGGAGTTTTCAGCTCCTTATGAAGTATTTAAAGCCATAGGATTAGATAAAATCACGTGTAAAAAGTGGGTAGATAAAAGCAAAAAAAAAAAAAAAAAGAGAAGAGTCTAAGGTTTGAGTCTTGGAGACTTTGTTGAGTTTGAGTAGATGAGAAAGAATTAGCAAAGGAGACTGAGAAGATGTAAATGTCAGACAAGATGACCTCAAGAAGACATAATGTCCTGGAAGCCGTGTGTGGAGGGTATTGTTAAATTGAGGCAATAATTGGCCATGTGTCAAAATACTGCTGATAGTTCTGTTCAAGTTAGGAACAGAGAACTAATCATTGGATTTAGTAATATGGAAAGTCAAAGTAAACTACTTAGAAGTTTGTTTACAGGAAGAGTATCTAAAATGCATTTATTCCATATAATATAAATATGGAAGAAATATAAATACATAGATTATGTATATAATTTATACATTTCCTAATAAATTCTGAGCACTTAGATCAGTGTCTGGCACATAGGAGATGTTCAATAAACATTTGGCTTTTTAAATTTTAATGTATCAGATCAGGAAGAATTGGTAAAAGAAAATAAAGGTGGGGAAAAGAATAAAATTATCTTCACTGTGTTTTTATATAAAGCCAGTATTGGCTTTAAATAAATGGGTGTACTTTACAGTATACATATATACTCTGCTTTTTCATTTTTATAGAAATAATAATTGATTTTCCAGAAAAAGAAAAATATGTTCTATGGGAAGTCATAGAATCCTAGAAACTAACATTACTATGCAAAATTCTTGAGTGACTGTTTTTTAGATATATGACAATGTCAATGCTTTGATCATTTGTCATTAAATGATAAAAATGGATTCCTTCAATAAAAAGTTTGAAACTAATATTTGTAGTTATGGTTGCACAGGTAATTTATTTATTCAAAGTCTTCACTTTGCAATGTTAAAAAAGAAAGAAGGCTAAAAAGAGGAAAATGCCTGTTATCTTACTCAAATTCTGTAAAAACGAAGAATATCCAGAAATTATTACTTAAATACTATGAACTCTTGGTGTAAAGCACACATATGCTTAGAGGAAGATTAAATTAGAAAGCTTGTAGTTTTAAAAACCAGACTTGGTCATTCTGTCTTTCATTTATTTAATAATCATTGAGCACCTAGGATGTGAAAAGTATAATTCAGGATATCAAAGGCAAAGTCTCAGTAGCAAAGTCTACAAGTTGCCTGTATCATCTGCTGTTCTTCCTTGCTACAAAAACCTTTAATTTCTTAAGGGGGAAAATATGTCCAGTCCGCAATACTCACCATTCCAAACTCTCTTGCAATAAAGGTGAGGTATGCCATGTAATTCTCACGGTAATGTAAGTGGAGGTAAGATGTAAGTGAAGTTTTCTAGGTATTTTAGAGAAATCTGTTGCCAAGCCCAAAACCTTCTTCCTTTTCTTCCTTTCTTTCTTTCTTCTTCCTTTTCTTCCTTTCTTTCTTTCTTTTTTTTTTTTTTTTTAAGTCAGGTCTGTCAATGTGATACCTGGAGGTGGATGGGAGATCTGGAGGGGAAGAAGTGGCTGGCTGAGCAATCAGGTTGAGGCTGGGGACCTACACACAGGGGGAGTGGGTCAATTCCCTGTTGGGGTTGGGATGTAGTACTCCCCCTGGACTCCCTACTCCTGGAATTCTGGTTTCCTGAGAAAAATAAACCCTTTACCTGTATCAGTTTTCATTTACTAGATTTAATGATTTAAGCATATTCTGTCCCAAGCACTGTCACAATGTAGTGGGGGAAAATGCAGGTGAATATGTAATTATGCTTCAAGGTTATAATATGAATAAAAGAAGTCAGCACAAACATGAAATAGCACAGAAGGAGTGAACAACTGTGCCTGGTGGGCATGAAAAAACATGTAACTTAATTGTCATTTAAACAAAGCCTTACAGCATGAGTATCATTAACCTGAAAAAGGCAGGAAAGGGCATTCTTGGCACGGAAAACAGCAAAACACAAAAGGATGGAGTTTTAAAACAAAAAGGTGTGTTGCATACTTTATTCTGGCGTGTCTGTGGTAAAAGTTGGTTATTATTAAGAATTCAGGCAAGAAGGGAGGCAAATGCAGGAAGATGAGGGGTCTTAGTTGGCCTATGTTATGGTGGTTGGGCTTTGGAGGAAGTGGGAAATCATGAGAAGATTGTAAGCAGGGACTGACATTATCAATTTGTGTTTTAGATAGAGCTGGCAGCAATGTGGAGTATGAAACATAAGTGCCATCTCCCTTTCTTCCACACCAACCAAAAAGATATTGAATAAAATCCAAATATGCGGAAATGAAGGGATAAATACTGTCGTCAAGTATATGAAACATTTATGAGAAGGATGCTCAGCAGTTGTTCTGAGTGTCTGTGACAGACCAAACACAAAGGAATACACTCGAATAAAAGCAGTAGAGAGTTGAGTTGGACCTTTAGCAAAAACATCTCAATTGAGGGCTGCCCTGGAAAGGGATACTACCAGAATGGGCTGATATGGGCAACTGGAAAGTTTCCCTCCTTATAAAGCTGAGAGAAATAAAAAGAGCTATCAACTCTGAAGGATTTTTAGATATTCACTTCCCTGAGAGTAAGGAGCATGGTAAACTATGCTTTGGATGCACTTCAGCTTAATTGTGTTATGGTCCCTAAAGTCTCGACGTGAAATATCCCATCTACCACCACCCCCAACAAAAACCCTCAGCTACTTAGAATTTAGGGAAATAAAATGCTGATTGGTTGCATTCATGACTACTTACGAATATCACTAAATGTTTATTTATACTAAGAGAAATCAACATTTATCAACAAAAATATATCCCAAATTACTATGGGAACTATTGTGAGGAATAAGTCCCACAATAGTTCCCATAGTAATTTGGGATACGTATTTTTTCTTCCTGCATTATGCCTTTCTATTATACTTGCTAAAAGAGTTCTATGCTCTAATAGATTTGGTAAATAGGGTGACAAAAAGTTAAACAAATTTGTTCATTGCAAAACACCTAAAAGTCTTCAATGTTCATTATGAATGTGTAATAATTGTATCCAATATTTTATTTAAGCGGATGATAAAATATTCTCTGATCCAAATGTATTTGACCATGGAACTCCATTTTTATAAATGCAGCTATAAGCTATTTAGAAAAATACGCTTTATATAAAATGATATTTACAGATCTGAAAAATACTTGATAATAGGAACTTTAGTTTCTTTAGTTATGAAAAAAGGCACAAAACTAACATATGTTGAGTAATATTCTATACATTTTTCACTTAATTCCCTCTATATTATAGTATATTATCTCATTAAAATAAGGGAGATTATTTTCTCATTATCTTACTTCTAATAAATAACTGTAAATTACTTTGCTGCTGGGGTTATTATGGAATTTATCTTTCAAGCTAAGATCTATTTATGAGCAAAATGGGGTGCTAAAGGTATAAAATTATAATTTTATAAATATTAATTCATTAAAATTAATTTCTATATTTGGTAGACATACGTGGTTCTATTTAAAACTATTAAGGGAATAATATTTTCAAATGGCAAATCAGATAGGATGCTGGGAAAGCAGGTATAAAATGGGATAATCATGGGCGAGATGGAATATCTAGTCAAATTAATTCAAGGCCTTTGACAAATGAGTTCAATCTTCCTATCAACTTTGCCTTTCATTCTTCTATACAACATTCTTCCACATCAGTTAAACTGGATTCCTTGGGCTCCCCAATGGAGATCATTGGTCTTCTCACTTTCATTAATGTCTTTCTCTCTGCCTGATTTTTTTTAACAAAACAAAACTCTAATTCTTTCATGCACAATGCAAATGCTACCTTCTTGACATCTTTCCTTTACCCATAGCCCCTACTAGTAATTGAGATCTCTTCTAAAATTTGCTGCTATTACTTTTAGCACCTAACAGCACTCATCCCATTGGCGTTCTACTGCAGGTATTAATAGAATTATTTTAAGTTCTATGTTAAATCAAGGACTGCTTGAGAATAAAAACGTTTATGCATTTGGTATATCAAGGTATTTTGTATCACATATGTTCTTTTGTATTCTAGGTGCTAGATAAATATTTGATTTTGAAAGTTTATGGATGAATGAATGAATGAATTCTGGAGTTCAAATGAATATTAGAACTAGATTTTGCCTTATTATTGATTTTTACTATTTACATTCTTTAGGTGTTAGCTCATAGCTGAGGTAAAGAATGGACAAGTTAAGAAACAGTTAAAAAAAAGATGAACTGAATAAGAGATATATGTTATAGACCATTGTCATATTTATGTAAGTCCAAACATTCATGACAAAATTAAAAAATAAAAATCCACTCTCTGGACATTGACTTTACGTAAAATGCCTATCATAAGAGATCTATTTCTTCTCATTTTTTGGTTTGCTTGTTTACTTTTGTATTATTGCTGTTAAATTGACTCAATCTAGAGTTTAAAACCCAGCAGCATTCATAAGATCTACAGTTTGTAGATACAACCTGGTGGTTTTGCATCTACATATTCTCTAAACACATACTTCTTCAGTGATCACTATGTCTACATGGATCTTTCAAACCAGTCATGGAGACAGACATTAACCAAATGATCACAGTAATACATGTAAAAGAGCTACTATGTTTAAAATAAAAATGTAGTAAAGTGAGAGCATATCAGAACACATTTAACCTAGTGAGAGAGGACAAGTCAAATTTTCCTCAAGCAATTATAAACATTTAAGATCTGAAGAAATAGCAAGCATTAACAAGCAGAGATTTAAGAAAGAGTATCCTGTCTGGGGAAACAGCATGTGCTCTATGATGATTAGGAGTGTTCAGAGTTTAAAAAACTGACAAAAGCGAAATAAGGATGGGACGTTAGAAGAGCCTTCAGGGCCATAGTACTTCTTTGGGCCTCTCAAAGCGGTGAAGTCAACCATTCAAGTCAAGAATATAAAAGGGTCAAGCTTAGGGTAGTGTTTCTATAACATCACACTTTCTGAAGAGTGAAGTCATGTGTCATCCTTCAGTCCAAAATGGTGCCTTGCACTTAATAAGAACTATTTTTACACATGAAAATGAGGAGATAAATTTATGAAGTTTATTATATGAAATGTACAAATGAGTTGACATTTTTCCCCCTTTTCTCTCCATGGCAAACCCAATGGATTTCAGGAGCATAAAGAAAACACCTGCCATTTGTAATTTTCTTAAATGCTGAAATGTTGTAGGTTAGAAAGTACATAATGAGCATTTTTGGAGTTGACTTCTATTGAATAGATGATATTTTTCTGATGAACTCTCAATGTTTCTCCCTTTCACTCACTCCCATTCGCTTTTTCCACTCATAACGACCTCACTAAGGGCATAGCAAATACCCATTTCATTTAGTTTCCTGCCAGAAGCTTTCAGATTAAGTATTAGAAGGCAATCTTACCTTGTATGTGTCTACCATAGGCTGGGCACTGTGCTAGATGCCAGGGATATAGCAGAAAATACAATGATTTCCTCGTTTTCAAAAAGTGGTTTTTAAAGATGACAGAAACTGGCTTTAAACAAGTTAATAACAACAAAGATACTTTCCAACCATAAAAATGCTGTGGAGATAAAAATATAATAAAAACAAGGGTTTACTTCTTTGCGGGGATGACTTCCATAATTACAATGATTAGGGTCAAATAACAAGTGCAGTACTGAAATTTCTTCTTCTTGCCTCTGTTGAAAGAACATAGCTCCAGACTTGCATTTCAATGTTCAGTGTAGGTTTTTAATTATTTTTATTTGGTTTGCGTTTTAGTGCTATCTATTCAAAATATGTAAGAGGCATGAAATCCTCTAACATATAACAAAATAATATTAAAACTTTTTACTAGAAATGTGATATGTTTTCCCAATGAGGAGCACATGTTTCTAAAATGTCAAGTTTAAGTTAGACTATCTAGCTGGCTCGTCAGCCCCTGACAGTGCAGCTTTCAGGGTCACTTGGTCCTCTCATTAGGCTGCAATTTTTGAGGAATTATACTACTGCTGGATGAACTTCACAGTCAGGATGGATTAACTAGATCAGAGAAAGTAAGACTCACTCTAAATGCTAACTGAAATTGAAACTTTTCTCTGCGAGAAAGGAGAGAGTGAAAAAGAATGAGCAGGGGGAAAGAGAAAAAGTGGGAGGAGAAGAGACAGAAGACGAGCAAAAATAATTGAGAAAAGCAAGAGAGAGAAAGGAGAGAAGAAAAGCCAATGAGAGAACAGAGAGCGAGAACAAAGGAGAGAACACAGAGAGACAGCAAATGAAAGAACAAAGAGAGGAGAGAGAGTACACTCTCATTTGAGAGGCAGCTAGCTGTGAGGAGTATGGAAGGTGTGTTGGGCTACTGCCCAGGGAGGACAGGTGCTTCTTCTCAGCATGATTGCCCAAAGGTTTCAGGACCTTACTCCCTCTACTTGTATTATCATGCTTCATGCAAAATGGAGGAAAAACATTCTTTTGTGATTATTTATAACTCAAGTCAGGGACTTTTACCAACAAAGCCATACTTAAGGGCAGGTTAAAGTCACAATGTTCTTTGTAGAGTGCACACTCAATCCGCGCCCTTGAGTGATCGACTAAACTGAAGATAGGGTCTAGAATTTTAACTATAGTCACCTCCACATCTACTGTGTTCATTGACAGTGGCTGGGATTTTACCAAAAATCTCATTTTGATTCTTCTTTCCTCTGGTCAAAAGTGAATAAATAAATAAATGAACAAACAAACAAAATAACAAATGAAACTGCTTTATAATGTGGTTTGACAAACAACAGTATCACCCTTCTCCTCAGGAACATTATTTAGTTCCTCTTCACGAATCAATCTAGAGCCATTTCATCTTTCCATACTAAGCATACCTCTGGGGCTGTGCTGTTTAGAGTGATACAGATGAAGATTATAGGATATGCAAGTTAGTCAACCTTTCTGGAACTCAATTTATTCAGCTATACAATAAGGATAATATAAGTACCTACCTCATAGGACTATTAGAAATATTAAATAAGATGGTCTGTATGAAAATATCATATCACATATATAGTCAATGAATATTAGTCTCTAGGCAGTTCTGGATTGGGCAGGCCATGGGGGTGTAGGAAGAAGTCAATAGAGTAAGAGCAAACATACAGTTGAGTTGGGCAGGTCAGTCTTAAATAGAAAATAAAATGTATATCTTTTGTATGCCAAGTTTGTGGAGTATGTCATTTCATATATGGGCACCCAAGCGAATCAAGAGACTAAAAATATTTATGGATGAAAAGAAGAGACATCCATAATGAAGACTGAGAAGGAGCTGAAAGAAAAGATAGTAGAAACATTAAGAAAGTCAAGAAAAAAAAGCATTGTAAGCGAGATACGTTAATAATGGCCAATGCTATCATATAAGAACTGAATGATGTCCCTTTGGTACACTGACAAGAACAGGATCATAGTAAACTTTGACAGAAGCTGTTGGAGTGGAGTGGTGAGGTGATAGTCTGCATTGCTTTGTTTTTAGAAATGGATAGGAAAAAAATGAATTGAAGATAATGAATAGAGAAAACATTTCAAAAGTTTGGCCATAAAGGAAAGGAGGAAAACAATCCATGTTTGGAGAGAAAGTTGAAGTGATTTGTGGCCTACACAATGCAATGTGTGCTCCAAACCTGTGGTAAGCAGCAAAACAGACCATCAAGGAGGTCCACGCCCTAATCTCCTGGAACCTGTAAATATCTTACCTTACAGGAAGAAAGGGATTTCACAGGTGTGATTAAAGTTACAGGCCTTGAAAGGGGAGATTATCCTGGATTATCCAAGTGGATACATTCTAATTACATGAGTTCTTGAAAGCCGACTTTCCCTAGCTGTGGTCAGCAAGAGAAGGCTCAGAGAGATTCAGTGTCTCACTTTGAAGATGGAGAAAGGGAACCATAAACAAAGGAATACAGGTTGCCTCTAGAGGCTGGAAAAGGAAAGGTCATGGATTCTTACCTAAAGCATCCAGAAAATAACTCAACCCTGCCGACACGCTGATTTTAGACTAGTAAGACTCATGTTGGACGTCTGACTTACAAAGCAGGTATATAATTAAATTTGTGTTGTTTTAAGCCACTAAACCTGTAGTAATGTGTTATGGCAACCAGAGAAAACTAGTCCACAATCTATCTTTGCCTCTTGGCTCACAGCATCTCTTCTAGTTAGGTGGTTCCATGTGATTAAATTCTAGCAAATCCATAAAAAAGTGAGATCAGGGTGGGGCGCGGTGGTTTACGCCTGTAATCCCAGCACCTTGGAGGCCAAGGTGGGCAGATCACCTAAGGTAAGAAGTTTGGGACCAGCCTGACAAATATGGTGAAACCCTGTCTCTACTAAAAAAAAATAAAAATTAGCTGGGCCTTGTGGCGGGTGCCCGTAGTCCCAGCTACTTGGGAGGCTGAGGCAGGAGAATGGCGTGAACCCAGGAGGCGGAGCTTGCAGTGAGCTGAGATCGCGCCACTGCAGTCCAGCCTAGGCGACAGAGCGAGACTCCGTCTCAAAAAAAGGAAAAAGTGAAATCAGTACCTCAGGACTGGTCCCTAAAATATCTCATGAGCTTCTTCACAGTCTTTCTTTTTCCTCGCTTGCTTCCAGTTGCGGAGAATTAAATGGTGTTCTTCCCAGACCTAGGAAGTGACATAATCACAGGATGGAAAGATCTCTGTGTAGAACTTTCTTGAGCTGAACTCTGTCATAATGAAAAATTAAACTTTATTGTATTAAGCACCCATATGGTGAAATTTGGGGGATATTTTTACAATAGGTATTATGCCTCTGAATAATACAATCTTTGTACTTTTAAAATGATTAGTAAGATTTGCTACATTTGAATGCTAATTAAATGAAGCCAGTGAAAAGGGCAACATTCAAAATAAAGACAGGAGTGAGTGAGAAGGAGAAGGCAGTAAAGTATTAAAAGTAATGGCAAAAACCGCAGTTACTTTTGCACCAACCTAATAGTAGAGCTAGGATCTATAGCACAAGCAATGGGAATACTCTGGTAGGGGAAGCAAGAAAAAATTAAGTGTAAATGAGGGTAACTCTTAAAGTTGCAGTGTTAGAAAGTTTAGAAATAGTCTATTACATCTGATAACTTTCAATTTTTCTCTGAAGTGGTAAAAACATTTGTTGGTGAGATGGAGAGCAGTTTGGTCAGAGATGGCACCGGGGTTTTTCTTTATAGGTTTTAATGGATTGTAAAATGACAAAACATAATGTTTGGCATAAGAATTACTAAGCTGATGAGCCATGTGCTATTTACCCATTCCAGAACATTTTCCAGCTTTCTCTGCAATGCTCTGAGCCTCAGGAGGTTGATGTCTATGGACTGCCTTATGTAGGCTCCCATAACCTTGATTTGAGTTTCCCAAATGAAGGCACCATAAGAGAAAAAAAGAAAGAAAGAAAGAAAGAAAGAAAGAAAGAAAGAAAGAAAGAAAGAAAGAAAGGAGGGAGGGAGGGAAGGAGAGACAGTGAGAGAAGAAAGAAAGAAAGAAAGAAAGAAAGAAAGAAAGAAAGAAAGAAAGAAAGAAAGAAAGAAAGGAGGGAGGGAGGGAAGGAGAGAGAGAAAGAGAGAGAAGAAAGAAAGAAAGAAAGAAAGAAAGAAAGAAAAGAAAAGAAAGAAAGAAACAAAGAAAAAAGAAAGAAAGAGAAAGAAAAGAAAAGTATCCCCAACCCCACCTCTGCTTCTTCCCTGCTTTGCCTTGATTCTATCAGTGATTGTGTTCCAGTTACCTCTTCTGTTAGATGGCCCTTCACCCACGGCCCCAAGCTCTCTATAAACTCTAGCAAGAAGTTTCATTCTTTTTTCCTTTTCACATCTAGGAGGCACAGTAGCTTCTCATTACTGTTATTCCCAAGATGCTTTCCTTCCATCATTGGCTTTTTTAACCCTACCCACACCTCTGTTAGTAAATCCATTATTAAATGATCCTTAGTTAAATTTCTGGCGCACCATCAATTTCCTGCTAGGGCCCTGACTGGCACTGCATTGGAGGCCATTGTAAACGTGTTTTTATCTTGAGTTAGATGTGAAGACTTGAGAATATTTTGAGCTCTGCGACTAATTATATGTGTGACTTTGAACAAGTCATATAGCTCTCTCTGTTTCAATGTATTCATCTGTAAATAAGATAATTGCACACTTGAATCATTTCAAAGGTCCTCAGTATTTTGAAAAGTATTCAGTGTGTTAGTCATTTTTACATTGGTTATTTCAGTTCTTTATTATCTGGGTGAGTCAAGGATGTTTTCTTTTCTTACATCACAGAATACTTTTATGCCAAGCAATTCTTAAAAATTCATTCCCTGTAGATTATTTTTTACTCTCTTTTAAATGCACTTCTCTCTCTCTCTCTCTCTATGTATATATATATAGATAGATAGATATAGATATACACATGTATACATATAGATATAGATATATACATATATAGATGGATAGATATCATTGTAGGTAAACTTCCTTTGTTTCAATGATTTTAATTTTTATATTTTAGAACTGGATATTTGCTACCATTTTTTAAAGAAAACATTTCAGTTGTATAGAGGTACCAAGATTTTTCTCTAGCACGGTAGATTAGATATTGCATGAGCAACAATCTCAGACTTTAAAATGATCATATTTACTTACCTACTTTTAATACATAAAATATTTACTACAAAACAAAAAGACAAAGAAGAGATTCTGAATATGCTCTCACAAATCTATTTTGTTTTATGTGTATTAAACATTTGTAAAGTATTCATTGTTTACCAGCTAGTCATTTTTCAGCAATTGGAAATAAGTGTTTAATTTTAAATGTCTTTTTTCTACAATTTTGTTTGGTAAAAAACAGCCAGTTGGATACTGTCATTTATTACTCTATATGTTCACTCTTTACTTGGCTTGAGAAATTGTGAGTACATAAAGTAAAGCAACTTTTCGAAGAAAATGTATTATTCCTCCAAACCTTAACTTAGTATTAGCATAACTTACTATATTACAAGTTACTTTTTACTTTTGAATTTTTAGTCTTTGATATTTCTGTGATTGATCTAGAAAGCAAAAGTCCTTAAAAATCATACTCAATCCACTGCCATTCCCTGCCTTCTTAACATTTTAATATATGTTTATTTCAACATCAATAGTATCATTGCAAAGAAAGAAAAAATAATCCACAGCAGATCACATTATGCCTAGAATATGTTAATGGCAGGGGAATGGAAGAATAGCAGCCACTATTTTCCTATAATGGTAGGAAGGTTTTAGGGGCTAATTCAAAAAAATTTTAATGTGGATGAATCATGGCATTTCTATCACTAATATGTTGAGCCTCTTATTGCCTCATTGTTGAATCTTGAACTATTTCTCTAATCTAGAACTTAATGGCCCACAAACATTAAGATCATGAGAATTTTACACATACCTTGTATCATCATCAATATAAATGTAGATCATTCCACAAGGGCAGGGGCCATCTACTGTAAGATGTTCACTACATAAACTAATCTCAGTAGTGCTTATTTTCTTATCTTTTGTCCTGTAAGATTGTATGTACTTTGAAGGCAGAGATAATTTCATACTGACTGTTGAATACTTAACAAAATCATTTCACCTATTATTGAAATCAATAATTATGAAGATATTTCTCCCTTCAAAGAATAAGAAAATAAGGTCCAAGAAATCAGATAACCTTTCTAAGTCTCACAAGTAATTAGTAGCATAGCAGACTCTAGGTCTCCTGACTTACAGACTGATTTATTCCTTGGCTCTCTTTTTACTTTCCTGAAACTTCTCTATGAACTTCCTACATCCTTTCTCTTGCCTTGAATCCACTTCAATTAATAACTAATGAATATATATATGTGTGTGTATATATAAAATATAATTCTAATAACTGATGAATATATGTATATACACACATACATATGCAATAAACATATGTGTATATATTTATTATATATATGTATATACACATATAATGTATGTATATACACATATAATATATGTATATACATATATAATATATGTATGAATATATATAATGTATGTATATTCATATGTATATGTATATACTTATAATGAATATATGTGTATACACACATATATATATTTATTATTTATTAGGTAGAATGTAGGAAGTTTATAGACAAGTTCCAAGAAAGTGACAGAGGCAAGGAATAAATCAGTCTATAAGTCAGGAGACCTGGAGTCAGCTATGCAACTAATACATACATATATATATACATACATACACACATAAACACACACACACGTACTTTTTAACTTCAGTAGCAATTTCTAGAAATCTCAACGAAAAATTTTGCCAAAAGTTTTTTCCACTTCTACTACCATTGTCAGGAGAAAACAGTCACAGGCCTTTATGTTCTTGTTCAATCCTTGTCTGAAGGAAATATTGGACTTGTAATGCTGCACATATGTTATGTAAATTATCGTAGCACTTTGTATTGCTTTGACCTTTATAACACCCTATAATTTGATTGGCTGACTAGTCAAGTTGATAGTGTTTACAGTCTTGCCCTTACTTGGATGGACATGATAAGATATTCCAATCTAGCCAATCAAAAAATAGAATATCAAAAAGGTCAGAGTAGTATAATGTTTTTTTAAACTACAGTCTTCTCTTTCCTGGTCAAATATATGCATTCTCATAAGAAAATAGAGAAGTCATGTGAAACGCAACATATCTGAGAATAAAAAATGTAATGAATATTTTATTTGATTACATTGATGTCAACTTTCCTGTTTTTAAAATTGATTGTCCTAGGAGAACTGCTTAGATTTTTACCAAGGCTGTGTTGTCACAGATTGTGTTTTACTTTTCTTTGAATCTCTAGAACCTATAGTAATATCATAATACAGTGCTTAGTATATATTGATTAAATAAATAAATTTGAATATCAAAACTGTCTCACTCTCTTCCCCTTTCCTGTATAAGGTAACACATAAGCAGAAGTTTACCTTCTTCTGGGTGTCCTTGGTAGCCTTATCTCTTTCTTTCTGAAGTTCCTCAAGGCTCAATGCCAGGCCCTCTTCTCACCATATTGTTTTTCCTGGGGAATTTTATTGAACATAGTTCAATTATCATTCATAAGCTGATGACTTTCAAATGTGCATTTCTATTACTCTCACCTGAGTTCTTGATTCTTATATCTTATTGCCTATTTTAAATTTTCAATTGAGTCCCAGAAGGAACTCAATTTTATTATGTACAAAAACAAACTCAAACTTGTTTTCCTCCAAGTGTCCTTATCTCAGTCAATGGCACCATCATCTAGGGGTTATCCTTGACACTGTCCTTACTCCTGCACAACATATTACTAAGAACAGTAGCTTTTACCTCTTTAATATCTTCTTAATGTATTTACCTTTATTTTTCATCACTGGGACTTTCCTAGTCAAAGGTGCCATCATCTCTTACCTTGGCCATTAGGTACTCACCTGTTGTTCTGCCTGCCATCACTTTCATAGAGAATCCAGAGTTGCAATTTAAAAATAAATTATTGACAATGCCATTACCTCTCCCATTTTCTTCCTCTTTAATATTCCATTTTTCTTAGTTTACAGATAAAATCTCTTATATTGTCTATAGGACTAATATCTGTGACACCTGAAGACACACTCTCTCTCCCCCTCTATGCTGCAACTACGCATTCTGGTTCTTATAATGTTCTCTCTTGCTACAGGGGCTTTTGCTTCTGTATCTTAGTCTGGCTAAAGTCTTTTTTTCTAGTTATGAATGGAACTAAGAACAGATATTTTTGTCCACTAAATAAGTGGATATTTAACACCTTTGAAAAGACAGGAAAACAATGGGCAGACGTGTTCCTGGAGAATATAGACTCATCAACCGGGAAGAAAGCAAAAACAAGGATAATATGTTTCCCAGTCTTCTCTGAATCCACTGGGAAATATCAGAGAAAACCTTTAATCCAAGCAAAGAGTAAAATTATTCCAGGCAGATATGGGACATACTTTTGCAGTTAAATGTATGTTCTATAATAATTATTGTATGATAAATCTGGTCATCAGCAAAGAACAGAAATAAAAGTCAGAATATCAATCCATCTATGTCTGTGCCCTTGGCTTCAGGACAAGGCTGATTTGACTTTCACTCTGCAACTCTCCTTCTTCCTAAGTCAGGTGGATTAGAGAAGAAGTGAGTTTATCTAACTTTTTTGTCTTCCTCAATGTCTGTCAAATATTTAGTATTTGTAATTCCTAGACTTTTAAATTTTTCCATTCTTACACATAATGTTTTACTCATTTATTAATTTATAGTTCATTTGTTTATGCATATGCTTAAAAGAATTTTATTGAGATGTTGTGCTAGAAACAGGGATATACAAGACAAACAATAGCAAAGTTCCTAACTTCACGAAGCTCAGAGTCCAATAGAGAAGAGAGATTTAATAAAACAAGCAGACAAAGAAAGTAAATGTTGTAACTTTTGGCAAAATGCAATTGAGAAAAGTATCTCAGTGTCATGAAGGGATCTAACAAAGGATCCTAGTTGACTAAAGAATGCTTCCTGGAGGAAGTGATATTGGGACTGAGATCTGACTGATGAGTAGGAGTTAGCTAGTATAAACCTGATCATGTATGTCACTCCACTGCCTGAAATACTCCAGAAGCTTCCCCCTTCTTAAAGTGAAATTCAAACTCCTGACCACGGTCTTAAAGGCCTTTTCTGGAAATTCTCCCTTTCAGACTTTCATATACTGTGCTTCCCTTTGTCATTCCATTGTTAGCTTAAATTTTACCTTCACAAATTCCAGTCTAAAGAAACAGAGCTTTGCCCAACTAATTTTAATGTTTTTTTACAAATCTTATTTTTCTCTGAAATTGCATATTTGTAGTTGTGGTTGTTGTTGTTGATCACCTGCCTCTCTCAGTAGAATATAAACTCCGTAAGAGAATAATCCTTCTGTCTTTTGTTCCTCCCTATATCTAAATCACCTCATGCGGCACTGTCACATAGAAGAAGCTTACTAAATACTTCTTCAATTAATGAATACTGTTTAGATTAGGAGAATCCCTAAGTGAATTATAGCACCTTTTCGAATCAGTGTGGCCTTTTGCTTTGGAACTTTGTTAAATTTAATTTTCAAACTTTGGATTTCATCTTAATTTGAATGCGAAACTAAACACACCAAAGTGACTAATTAAATAAAAAGAAAGTATATATTTAGTATAACCAAGACAATATAGGTAATGCATTACTTTTCCTTACTCCTATAGCCTTCTTAACCATGAAAGAATAGCTATAGATATAAGTGAATTGAATTCCATTCACATTTTAAATTTCATTCTCAAAGTACCAAGGGTAAGGTCAAACTTGATTTTCTGGAAATATTTGCCTTTTTTTTTGTCCCTTAGTCAAGCCAGAGTCATCTGGCATCCTTACAAGGACCTTTCCTGCTTCTGTGGGTTATAAACTATGTGTGGGACAGACCAGTTATTATTTACTCAGGCGTTGGTATATTGTTTGATGAAACAGTCAGCAGAATGGTCAAAGGAGAAACAATTTAGGGGTTAAATGAGAAGTAAGTTGTATTTTTTCCCCGCTTTTTTCCTATAGGCTCAATGTAAAAACTGCGGTTTTCTCTGCTTGGGAAAAACATAATAAATTACTAAGTTTCTTGTTTTCAGCAACAGTAGAGGATATGTCTAAAAACCTAGGCAATGTGTTTTAATGAAAAACCACCAGTTTTAATGCGAAATATGAATGAGACAAACAAATCAAATGAAGTTAACCAAACAATATTTACCAACTAATATCGTACAGTTACCTTAACGACAAAGAAATTGGACATTTGGGGATTTGTGGTTAAAACCCAAAACGACCTACCATAATCAAACAAGTTCTGTAAAATTCCACAGTTCATCATAAAATTCATGGAGAGTCTGTTTCATCTACCAGAAAATTTCCTTCTTCACTCTCACATAACTAATTCTCCCAATCTATGAGTAAGATTATGCTTCAGGGAAATGTAATCCTTAATTGCTAGCCTAAGTCATTGGTAGTTTGAGAGGTACTGATTTAGCTGTTGCTAGAAAATTGAATAGCAGAATGTTGGAAGTGGAAGAAAATTAGAGACTATGGGCCCACCCTTTGGTATTAGAGAGGGTGTGTGACGGTTCAACAAAATGTCTTGTAGTTTATTAGCAACTAACTCAGATTCTGCTTGAATTCTCATGTCTTGCCACAGCATCTAGTCAACTTCTCATTAGCTGGATGCTGCTTGGGCCACTACTTGTTACTGCATTGCTGCTCAATAGAATTTCATTTCTATGTGGTTTGTTTAATAACCACACAACATAGAATCATCTAAATGTACCATCAGGTAAAGCTTATTGTAAAGTCATGACAGATTTCAAGAGATAGGGGCTCACATCATCATTATTATTATTATCATTATTATTAGAGTCAGGGTCTCCCTCTGCCACACAGGCTGGAGTGCAGTGACATTATATTGGCTCAATGCCGCCTCGACCTCCCAGGCCCAAACTATTAGGAGCTCATATTAAATAATCATTGGAACACCTTTCAGCTCTCTCTAATAAGAAGCTGGATGATATGAGAACTATGTTAAGATCGTATGTAATTTTTTAAAATCACAAAAGTGAATGGGCTTTGGAAAATAAATAAAATAGTAAAGTCTCTCTACTCCTGAAGATTTTAAGTACTGTGCTTATACTCTTGCTAGAAAACCATGAAAACTTTCTCCATTATCATCATCTATTCTGATCAGCCCGGTAGTCAACATTGTCAATGGTGTGCACTATAATTGAAGGGGAAAAAAAGAAATTATTTCTGACTTATCTCATTTCAAATGCACGCTTGCATGATGATGTATTACACAAAGCCATTATCACAATTAAGTTAAAGCAAAGCTTGTGACCACCTAAAATGTTTGATTTTTCTCTTAACAAAAATAATAAAGAGATTTAGTCCAAAATAAGGAAATCAACTGTATAAAAAGAGATAAAGCATGATTTTACAGGAAGAAGGATTTCAATGTAGAAAATTCCTTTGTCAATATATTTTAAAAATTCTACTTTGGACCCACTATCACATATTCAATATTTTAGCAAGAAGGGAATTTCCTCCCTCCCCTCCACTGTGTATATTTCCTCTCTCCCCTCCTCTTCTGTATATTTGGTATACAGATACCAGATCCTTGCTTTATAACCCATGGAAACCTACCCAAAGATCAGAGGCATATGAGATTAAAATCTGGGGCATAATTTTCTAAACAGTATGTGTTGGGTCTTTTTGGAAATTTATTGGTCAAAACATTTTTTGTAAAATGGAAAGAAGATTTTAGTAGAGGAGAAACATTTCTATCAAGAGAACCTAAACAGTAGTTTCCTCAGATTTTCATGCCACTCCCCCAACACGTGATTCTTCTCTAAATCCCTGGCTGAGCAAGGAACCATTTTAATTAGACTCTGAGGCAAGCAACATTGTGTCCATGGTAACAGGTATAAAAAGAACTTAAAAAAAAAGAAAAAAATAAGAAAAAAATGTGATAACTGAAAATGTGTTTAAATCATGATAAAAGGATTTAAACAGATGTTATTTTTTTCAAAGTGTTATTTTAAAAAAGAATTTTAAAGGGCTCTTGATATGAGAAAAAATCATTTTTGGATGTATCTTTAGGGAAGGTTTCTCACTCCTAAATTCTGTAGTTCATGATTGCTATGGGTGAGTTGGATGCCTGTTAAGTGAAAGGGGCGCCCAAGGGGAGAAATCAGAAAGTAAAACCAAGGTACCTTCAGGTAGATGCTTCAGATCAGGTGAGCTAAAGTCTCTGCAGTGTTGTTTAGTAGGCTGCATGTGTTACGGTCCTTTTTTATTAAAGTTTGTGTTCAGAAAAGAGAAAGTACAGGACTTGAGTTTTGGAGACTGGTAGGGGTGTGGATAAACCTGGATATATTGCTTAGAAAATGACAAAAAATGAAGAAGCATAGAGCAGTGTATCCTTCAGTGGTAGATGCACTTGCTTCCACAGCTTTAGACAAGCCTGAACTTATGTGAAATAATTTTCTTACACTATGAATTTGACCACCTCTTTATTATGTGCATTCTCTCTCTCTATATATATATATAGATATATAATTCATTTTATATATGATGTATATAATTCATTCACTTTAGATATATATAATATATTGCATATATTATTTATGTATATATATATAGAGAGAGAGAGAGTGAGACAGAGACAGAGAGAGGGAGACAGAGAGAGGCAGTCATAGTCAAGAGGTTATCCCTAGCAACCCACATTTTCAGAATCAGTAGAAAGTCATTATGAACAAGGCCAAGGTAAGAAGAGGGGCTTGTCCTCATGTTGATTTTTTGTTTTTCTGCCAATTACTTTCTCCAGGAATAGTGATTCTGCCACTTTGTTTGAAATATACAAATGACTCCCTGAAGTTAATTGTCCCTCAGAAAGCCCAGGCAAATTCCATGGAACTAAGTGAAGGGTAAGTTATAAGAGGAAACCCAGAGAGAGTAGTAGGAAAGGAGACTTTGGGCCTGGCAGAAGGATGGCTTATTTTGGCTGGATTCCTTCTGAAGCTTAACTACCCACTGATTGAAAGCAAATTGGATGTTAAGGAAGGCTGGAGTGCCCATGTGAAGGAAAACAAACAAGCAGTGACCCTAAGTTGGTCTTGGAGGAAGTCAAATCTCTTGTTGCTTTGCCTCAAATGTTGAAAGAACTTAAATACAGCTTTGTGTACAACATAATTTTCAGTTATTTGGATTTTTGTAAATAAACTGGTTATCTGAGAAAATACCAGCCAGTAGAGGTGAACTCTGAAGAGTAGGAGAGAATGTGGGAAAATAAATTAAAGTATTTTATTTTAAATTTGTTCTTAGATTTGATATTTAAATTAATAGGCTTTCTAAGAGTAGTAAGTCTAGATTTATCATATAAGATAAAGAGTATAACAGCATAGCACTGATTATAAATCATTTTTTATTGAACGGGGAATTACATTTCATACATCATTCACAAATTGATATAGTAATTACAAAAATATTCCTGATTCTACATACACATACAAACGAACTCACGCACGTGAAGACATACTCATATAAACATATACACATAGATATTCACACTTACATGCAAACAGGAAAAAATCAGCTGTACATGGAATCTCATATTATAGATGGATTTCACTTCTGCTACTCTATTACAATGTGAGTATAATACCTACTTACAATTAAATTCTACACTCTGAAGTTTCATTTTACACTCTCTCAATTTGCCTAAGTGCAAAATTGTATGTGTTTGTGAAGACATTTGTAATAAAAGGAGAATCTTTTCCCAAAGTTTTTATTTTTGGATATCATTTCTATGATATTAATAGGTGTCCCATAAGGAAAAGGTCTCCATAGCTACATGTGTTTATAGAAATTATGGTTTAAACTCATCTTTTTCATGAAAAACTTCAAGATTTTTAACTTATTTATTATGAATCTCTCAATGAGAGTTATTCTATATTGGCCAAACAAATTTGTTCATGGAAAGTTATTTTCGCAGCATCTTCTAAGAAAAATAAAACATAAGATGAGATACATTGACAAATAGAAGGTCACTGTGGTTCAAACAGTTATTGTTCAAAGTCTACATCCTTTTAAAATGAATGCTAGTTGCATATCTACTAGGCCAAACACTGTACAACAGCTTGTTTTGTCCTTGGGATAACCCCATGAGATACATGTGAATATCTGCCTTTAATGAACAAACAAGCTAAGACCCAAGAAGGCTAAATATTTTTTCTCAAGTCCATGCGGCTAACAAAGATGAAGCTAAATCTTGAAATAATGTGTTCTGTAGACTATGTTCTACCAGAAATGATAAGCAGCCTACTGACTTATTTTTCAAATCAGCATCCATGCATGCGCTATGCAAGTAAGAGTACAGTTTTGAGAAAGGAGAGTATTTCTCTTTACGTCATGATTTTAGAGGTGCCAGGAAACCTGCCCCCCTCCTCAAAATGCCTTCTCAAACCATCTACATAATGCAAAACTTCTGAGTAGAAATGCTTCTTTTAAAAGATTTATTTTCTCCTCTGAAAAATGCAAATATTCTTGCAAATTCTTTAACACTGTCTCAATACTTTAAAGAAGTTCCCAAATCTGGCTGAGCAGCAGCAATTACTTAGAAAAAACTTTAAAAATATATAGACACCTTACAAAACCCTAGATCTTTTCAAACATAGTAGCTAAAGCTGGAGTTGAGAAATCTTTATTAATATTTTGAAGTTCCCAGGTAATTTTAGTAATTATTACTTAAATCTCTATCAATCTTTTCCCTTCTCAGTGTGAATGGACTAATTAGAGAGACATTAAAACAGTACAGAACTGTAAATTTGGAGTCACAGGATTTGAATTGAAATCTCAGTTTCACCACTTAATCTCTATAAGAGGCTGGACAAAATAAATCGTCCCTTTTTGACTTAAATGTATTCATTTTATAATGGGGATACTAATATTTCTCAAATATTGTTATTATTATTAAAATATATAATGACGGCAAAGAGCTTTTTGTATGCTATATACTTGTTGTTTCATCTTCTTTCTTAAGAGTACAGTTTTATTCCTGGTGCCACATGGAAGAATTAAGACACTGTTTCAGCATTGAAAAAGACAGGCTGATACAGAAAAGAAAAGGACACAGCCAGGAATAGGGGCCTCCCGCGTTTCTCCTTGGCCTTTCCATATTTGTGCTTCTTCCCTGGGTCTTTTTCATCAGAATGAAACTGAAGGACACTTTGGCCCCAGAGGTGTCGTCATGACTGAGTCTGGATCAGATTCGGCTTACTTGAGCCTTTCTTGTTGGCAGCTATTGTGGCTTTAAATAAAGTCGCGTCTATGAAAAAGCAGACCAGACTAGGCTCAAAGGAGAATCCCCATTCTTGATGACACTGTTATCTGAGTATACCACTTCTAAAATATGATACTGACCAAAAAGGGGATTCATATGATCTATTTCCAGAGTTTAGGGTGCAGTCTTAAGAAACAGTTTCTTGCAGCAGAGTGAGACCACATCTTAACAAAAAAAAAAAAAAAAAAAAAAATTAGCTAGGCATGGTGGCATGTGCCTGTGGTCCCTGCTACTTGGGAGGCTGAGGTGACAGGATTGCTTGAGCCTGGGAAAGAAATAATTTTGTTTTGCTTTGAGGCAGAGTTTTGCTCTGTCACCCAGGCTGTAGTGCAGTGGTATGATCTCGGCTGACTGCAACCCCTACCTCCCGAGTTCAAGCAGTTCTCCTGCCTTAGCCACTCAAATAGCTGGAATCACAGACAAGCCACCATGCCTGGCTAATTTTTGTCTTTTTAGTAGAGATGGGGTTTCATCATGTTGGCCAGGCTGGTCTTGAACAACTGACTTCAGGTCATCTGCCCACCACAATCTCCCAAAGTGCTGGGAGAGAGCTACCGTGCCCAGCCAGAAATAGTTTCTTAAAGCAAATTCTTGTTAATACTAACAAAGTTTCAAAGTTGAATTACTAAAAAATAATCTTTGAATATATAAATAGAGCTTTTGTGTTTTTATTCATTGACTTTTGTTTTTTTTCACTAAATGAGTGAAATGTAATACAGGGCCTTAAATCTGTGTTATTGTTTTTGTTTTGATTGGTTGATTCTCTGGACACCTTGACTTGACACAACATAGAAACCCCAAATATTTACATCATAATAAGTGGCTAGCTTATGGAGATTCACAATCACAGGTCTATTTTTGAACATATTTTTCTTCTTGCATATTAAATATTTTCCAATTTTCAAGTACAAAATCTCTTTTTTATATTAATAGTATAAGATAGCATTAAAGTGCTATTAAAGGGAAACAATGCGTTTCTACATAAAATGGAAGGGTCTAAATTATTGTCATATTTTTAAACCAAAATTAATTGTGTTATGCTTCTCCAATGGCTGAAATGCTTTTTAAAATGTGTCTAGGCATACTTATTGATATCACAACTTTGGAATTGTAAGGACACAATAAGTGAATAATTTTCATAAGATTCTTTTTTATTTGACTTATTTTTATGAATCTCCTACTGCTACAAGCTACACAATATACATGTGTTGCAAGAAAATAAAAGAATCTTCATCAAGTGAATAATGTTGCCAGTTGAAGAAAGCTGTGTAGCCATGCTATTACAAGGTACTACAGCTCCAAATAGTTGTCAGCCAGCTCTCATTTTGCTCATTATCCAATTCTTCCCTGTTACCAGAAAACCGTGCCACCTAGAAGTTAGTTGATCTATATGAAATTGCAAAGGTTTAACCATTTTTTATCTGGAAAGGAATGAGCATTTCTTACAGTTCCATTAAACATTGAATCAGTTACATGTCAGAAGACAGTCAAATTAGTATTACCAAGTCTAGCAAAAAGCACATTCTTCCTCAAATAAAAACAAAAAGAAAAAAATTCCAAGGCACAGACAAATTCAAATAGATAGGTAAGCTTATTCATAGTTCAAACAATTTTCTCAATTCAATAAATGATAGACCATTTTTTGTTTCATAGGGTGTTAACAAGAATGAGCTTTACTATAATAACCGCCTCCAATTTGCAATTTATTATATAAACTTCTTCCAATTGCACCATTAAAATAGTGCAAGAACAATTTCTTATGACACGAGAAGTCTTCTGGACACTGATTACGGTACATAGTGCTAATGCTTACAATATAGCTCTTATAGGATTCTGCAGTTTGTTCATTCATCAGAAATAGATAAGAAAAAAGGCTTGAATCAATCTCACACAAGCTGGTATGAAAATAGACATGTTTTAATGATCAGTAATATCAATATAATTCTTTCATCGTATCATTTGTTATCAAAACATTTTGAGATATGGAATATTGATAAAATTCTAAGAGAATATCTCCAAGACTGGAAATTTCAAAATTAAAAGCAATACTTAGAGAAAATTGCCACAATCTCATAGTGGAAATGGATTATTACAATATTTAAAAAAACAGCCAGAGTAAATTCAATATGTAGGTAAAATGTATTACAACTATGCATATTATAATTGTTCACTAAGGCAGCCCATTATACCTGATAGAAATTTTAAAATAGGAATTTGGGAAAGGTTAGTCAATGAGATTCTGGACCCAAGCCCAGATCTCTTTATTCTCCCTTTAAAGTTTCCTCTAACTAATTAAACTGCTTCACTGTGTCCTAAAACAGAATATTTATATCATATATTACTTTTGTGTACCATAGATTTTATTCCATAGATTAAGGCCTGTTACCTGTCAAGAATCTGAATTAGAATAAAATAATATTGCCATTTTTCATTGTCTCAGTCCCCACTTCCTTTCTTCTTTTTGTTCTCCGCTATATTTTTAAAGCTGGTGCTGTCTGTGACATGCACTATTACTATTGGCATTTTATTGTGGCACAGGGTGGAGATGAGAGAGATCTCCCTAAAGTAAGCTTTATGTTTCTTAATGTATCCGTCAGTATAAACATTGTTTTAATTAGTAAATTCACTGGCAATAAGCCTAAATTAACAATAGTGGCCTGGCCACATAGCCTTAAATAATAGTAGTGCCCTCATCCTCAAAACTAAATAAAAGAAAACAAAAACAACACCTAACAACGAAACAAGGCTTATTCTCAGCTGATGAGACCAAACACCGGTTTGAAGGCCTTAGTGTGTGGTTGCACCTACAAACTCTTCCTATGGCCAGCCTGGGATGAAAAGGGATGCTCTAAGGGTGTGCACTATATATTTACCAAGTGCTGTGTCTGGTTTTGCTGTGTGTTCATCTTTGTCCTTCATATTCTAACTGTAGATGCTGAGTCAGATGATGCTCACCAGGGAATACATTCTTTCAAGTGATGTCTTCAATTACTAAACATGCATCCTCTTGTCTTAGGATTTCTGATTATCTAGTTACCTGAAAATGTATTGTACAGAAGTATTTAAGAAGTGTTCACCATGAAGTGTGCCTAGATATGCCTATTAAGCCTAAATAGCACTTTTTAAACAAATCACAAATTTAGCCATCTATATCCTTGTTCTGTTTTGTTTTAACAAAAAAAAATTTCCACTCTATTTTATTTCTGGATGTTTGGTTTAAGTAAAATATAAGTCCAAACTTTTGCAAATATAGAAAAAAATCATGTTGATTAAGGATGTAAAAAATGCAGTCTCTTCCTAGTTATAATACACCATGGTGGTGGTTTAAAACTAGAAAGTTTCCATTTAATGTAACCCAATGTTGCTTTTCTAAATGTTAGAAATTGTTACCCTTATTATTTTTTGGTTTATCTGAACACCAATCGCAGATAACTTGAGATTTCAAGTCAAAGTTGCTCTTTCACGGTAATTCCATTTAAAGTCTTGTTATATTTCTTGCTCTTATCAAAAAGCTTGTATCTAAACTTAAATGGAAGTCACATATGTAGCTTTGTGAGATCCCTAGTATCCTTTAAATGTTCCATGGGGCTCAGCCAAATGAGTAATTGTCCATCAGCTTATGGTTCATTAGGAACCACAAATCAGTTGAGTGGGAGGTGTTTCATAGGAAACTATTCAAACCTAAGTTTTGCTAGATTTCTGATGAATAGAATAGCCTAGGATAAGAAACTTTCATCTAGGAGCTCCAAGGTAGTTAGGCTGGTGGTAGCTAAGGCCTCTAAAGCTAATTGGGCAGATAAGAAAAAGGGGTAGCAATATGGTCAGGACATAGAAAGGAGACATTCCTCGGTGCTTATTGGCGAGTAGATGGCTGAGCTGGAAGGGTGATCTGTAAATGAAATTCACTAAAGAATTAAACTTCAAGAGGCATTCTCCACAATGAAAAATACAGCAATAAACCTTACAATTGTGATTTTTGTTTCTTTCTAAGGGGAAGACTATTTTCTTGTATGTATCAATTGCAAATCATTTTATTATAAGTGGTGTTTAGCTTCATAAGCAATCTCTTAAAATTGATTTTTACAAAAATATTTTCAATTATTATTTTCAATTAGACTACTATTTTAAGGGGAATAAAACTGTAGCATACTTCTAAATAGATGATTTCCCTGGATCATTTCTCCACCATTTTTTACCCTATGTGCATATGGCAAGAATCATTTAGTAGTGGATTTTCTCCTTAGTCCTATGGAAAGATAAATATATATTCCAAGTTTCAGAAATGCATGAAGAAAACCAGGTACCCGTGTTAAGGTTATTTGATATTAAGAAAAGCTTTGAAGTTACTGAATCTTACTGAAACGAACACAAACCAAAAATAGCTTTATGCAGCATTCCAAGAAAGATTGGAGAGATGCAGAAATAGTCTGCAAAGTTTTCTCAGATTCCAGTGATTTTGATACTTGAAAAGTGAAAGGGAACCTATGCACTAATTCAAATGATAAGCTAGCCTTTTAGAATCTTATACATATACTATATTGTTAATTAAAACATACTTTAATTGAGTAGATTAATTGGATAACTGTAACACAAACCATCTAGGCTTGCTTTATGCATATTAGAAAATTTCGTTAACCCAAAGAAGTATATTGTCCTACATGTCCTTTGGAAGAACTCTAAAAGGCACATCTTACCTGGGGGAGAAAAAAAGGGAGTGGTCTGGGAAATCTGTTAAAACACAGGTTACTTAATGAAAGAAGCTAATTATGATTTTAGAGCTTAAAAGGAAAGGTGTCTCTGAGGGTATAAGAAATGGGACAGAAAATTGCATGTGAAAGAGGAGAGGGGGTCGTGCATGGTGGCTCACGCCTGTCATGCTAACATTTTGGGAGGCTGAGGTGGGCACATCACTTGAAGTTAGAGACCAGGATGGCCAACATGGTGAAACCCTGTCTCTATTAAAAAATACAAAAGAAAAAACAAACAAACAAACAAAATTAGCTGGGTGTGGTGGTGCACGTCCGTAATCCCAGCTACTCAGAAGGCTGAGAAAGGAGAATTGCTTGAACCCAGGAGGCGGAAGTTGAAGTGAGCTGAGATCGCACCACTGCACTTCAGCCTGGGCGACAGAGTGAGAGGGAGACAACGTCTCAATATAAAGAAGCAGGACCAGGATGAAGCAATCAGCATTCCTTCACAGTAGCTAATCTGGGCAGGCATCACCTTGGGAAGGACAGCAAAGACAATCCAAACATTTTATGCTTTTCAGAAGAGACCATAAAGAGAAGGAACATGGCAGTTACAGTATCACATTGACTAGAAAGAAACAGAGTACTACCACAAGAATATAGAAAAAGCAAACAGGTCTTCCTATTCTCTGTTTACCACTCAATACTTCTGTGACCTCTGATCACTAAGAAATGAGTGAGTATTTTCCCCACCAGACGTGTCCGCAATTCTGACTCTATCTGCCTGAAGATAGCATCAGATCTCACAGGCTGAGGACTCAGTCCCAAGACTGCCCTCTAATTCACATGCGAATTGCAAGCCCCAGGTTGTGAACTGTACTTCTCATTAACCAGATATAAATCCAGGTTCCCACACCCTACTCCTTGGGTTTGATTAATTTGCTAGAGCAGCTTATAGAACTCAGAGAAATACTTTACTTACATTTACCCATTTATTATGAAGGATATTATAAAAGATACAGATGAACAGCCAGATGAAAGAGTTATACAGGGCAAGGCATGGAAGAAGGAGCATGGGATCTCCTCTCTTGTGCACCACCCTCCAGGAACCTCTACATGTTTAGCGATCCAGAAGCTGTCTGGACTCAGTCCTTTTGAGTTTTATGTAAGCTTTATTACCTAAGCACAACTGATTAAATCACTGACCCTTAGTGATCAACTCAACCTTCAGCCCATCTCCCCTCCCTGGAGGTTAGAGGGTGGGGCTGAAAGTCCCACACCTCTAAACATGCCTTTGTGTTTCCTGTGATCAGCCCCCATATTGAAACTATTTAGAACCTTCCAGCTACCAGTCATCTCTTAGCTCACAAGGGACACTAATCACCTCAGAGATTCCAAGGCTTTCAGGAGCTGTATGTCAGGAAACCAGGCTAAAGACCAAATACAACTGACCCTTGAACAACACAGGTTTGAACTTCAAGGATCCACTTATATGCACTTTTTTTTTTTTTTTTTTTTTGAGATGGATTCTCACCCTGTTGCCCAGGCTGCAGTGCAGTGGCGGATCTCAGCTCACTGCAACCTCTGTCTCCTGGGTTCAAGTGATTCTCCTGCCTCAGCCTCCCAAGTAGCTGGGATTACAGGCTCCTGCCATCACTCCTGGCTAATTTTTGTATTTTTAGTAGAGACCAGGTTTTATCACGTTGGCCAGGCTGGTCTTGAACTACTGACCTCAGGTGATCCACCTGCCTCGGCCTCCCAACATGCCTCGGCCTCCCAACATGCTGGGATTACAGGTGTGAGCCACTGTGTCCAGCCTATATGCAGATTTTTTCCACCTGTGCCACCCTTGAGACAGCAAGACCAACCCCTTCTCTTCCTCTTCCTTCTCAGCCTAATCAATGTGAAGACAATGATAAAGGCTTTATGATGATTCACCTGGATTTAATGAATATATATTCTCTTTCTTATAAATTTTCTAATAACATTTTCTTTCCTATAGCTTACTTTATTGGAAGACTATAGTATAGAATACATAAAACTTACAAAATATGTGTTAATCAATCAATATGGCTTCCAGTCAACAGAAGGCTATTTGTAGTTATATTTTGGAAGAGTCAAAAGTTACACCTGGATTTTTTTTCCTGCATGGGGGTTGGCCCCCTTAACCCTCACAGTGTTCAAGGATAAACAGTATATATAGTCATGAGCCGCATAACAACGTTTCAGTCAACAGCAGATGACATATATGATGGTGGTCTCATAAGATTATAATGCAGCTAAAAAATTTCTGTCATCTAGTGAAACCATAGCCATTGTAAGGTCATAGTGTGATTACTTTTTTAAAATAAATGAAGTGTAGCCTAAATTTACAGTGTTTATAAAGTGTACAGTAATGTCTCAGGCCTTCACAATCGCTCACCACTCATTCACTGACTCAGTCAGAGCAACTTGAATCCTGCAAGCTCCATTCATGGTAAGTGCCCTATACAGGTATACCATTTTTTAAATCTTTTATATCATATTTTTACTGTATATGTTCTATGTTAACATATGTTTAGGTGAATACTTACCATTGTGTTACAGTTGCCTACATTATTCAGTACATAACATGCTGTACAAGATTATAGCATAAAAGCAACACCCTATGATGTTCACATGGGACAAAATTGCCTACCAATGCCTTTCTCAGAATGTGTCCTCATCATTATGTGACACATGACTATATTTCACAATAGCATAATTATTTTATTTCCTTTTTCCTGAACAATTAATTAATCTTATCTAGCTTCAAGACTGTATACTTAGGCTGAGTGCAGTGGCTCACACCTGTAATCCCAGAGCACTGGGATTACAAAAAATTTATAAATTAGCCAAGCATGGTGGCACACACCTGTGGTTCAAGCTACTTGAGAGGCACAGGTGGGAGGATTACTTAAGCCTGGGTAGCAATGATTACAGTGAGCTGAGATTGCACCACTGCACTCCAGCCTGGGCGACAGGATGAAACCCTGTCTAAACAAACAAACAAACAAACAAACAAAAAACTGAATACCTTGTATACCTTCACTCTGAAGTTTAAAAAAGTATATTATTCAGATATTATTCAGTTAAGTAACTTGGAGTTTTTATTGTTATTTATTTGTACTTAGTAAATTGATTTGATTTTATATGGTATCTTAATGTAATTTTGCATATATAAGATTGCAAATATAATCATTGCATGTATAAGACAGCAGGACTTTTGGTATCTTATTACAAGTCATAAAAGCGTGAATGATTTTTAAACTACCTACTCTCCATATCTGTAATTTTACATATCAATATACTCCTAAAAAAAGAATTATACTACATTAATACAGAGCTTTTCACCAGATGAAAGCTTAATACAAAATTGGGACTACTGTTTATCTTAATTTGAACTATGAAAAAAAAATATTTCATTGACTTACATAGCAGAACTTTGAGTTATTGTTGAAAGTAATTGTTCACCTTGCCATCTTTGGCATCAAAATGCATAGATCTCAAAATTTCTTGGAGTATTCACACATCTAGGGGGAAAAACAAACTACACAGAACAGTTCTTCCACTGTGAAAAATAGCAAAATTCCACACCTACAACAAATTGCAAATTTTCACGTATTTGCTCCAGGCAAACATTTGCAATTTTCACAGCAAATAAGGCTGTTGGCTCCAATACACACTTTTTTTTTTTTTTTTTTTTTGGTCTTCTCCCCTCTTGGAAAAAAGTCACTGTCCCTATTTTCAGAAATACAGAATAACACTTGAAATGAAATTACTGATAATATCATGTTTATTCTAGGTATTTTATTTTTGGTTCTACCCATTCAGATAAAAAATATTACTTTAACTTGACTGTACCTTATTCAGGAATCCATGAGTTTGGATAGAGACCCTGAAAATGAAACTTAACTGTTTTTGTGACCTGGGATACCCAGTTCCACTCTGATCAGAGAGACCACTCCTAAAATGTTGCCTAGTGCTTTCAGGAAATACAGATTTTTTTTTTTTAATTTTCAGTAATCAAATAAAAAGAGAAGTTGGATTTTCCCTAAAAATATATATTTTTTTAAATTTAGTACTATAAAGCAATGGTTCTCAGGCAAGGAACAATGATATTTCCCAAACAGCTATATAACATTATTACAATAAGGACATTAAAAATTGTATATAACCCAGCCATGAGACAGTCTTCACTACAACGCTGTCCGCAGAATTTTCTCCTATGTTAAAACAACAATGACAACAACAATAAAAATAGGAAAGTTGTCTTTGTTATAGAAAGCATGTCATTTTACTAATGTTATTGACTTGTGTTTTCAAATCCATGAATTCTGTTCTATTCTATCCAGTTGATTTACTAAGGAACTGCTTTAAAAAAATTTAGTAAGTTAGGTGTGGTGTGTGGTATGCAGTGATGTGTGTGTGTGTGTGTGTGTGTGTGTGTGTGTGCACGCATGCGTGTGTGTGTGTGTGTGTGTGTATGTGTTGCATGCTGGAGGACTTTCCATTGCACAACCATCTATATTATATTGCTCCTGTTTTCTGGTTTCTGAGGAAAGTCATCTCAAACTATAGTACACATTAGGCTCTGCTCTTCTTTAAAACATAGCCCTGCTTTGACAGGAGAAAAAAGCCCAGTCTCTTCTGCATAGTTTTTAAAGACCAATCACAATTGATCTCTGTCTACATTACTAGGTTACTCTTCTGTATCTTTCTTTCATATCTTTGTGCTACTGTCACCTGAACATTATGCCATCTTTGACCCATTTGGATGTCTTTGCTTATGGAAGACTGGCATTCTCTGCTTACCCACTTCGCCTACTGAAATTTTTATCCACCAAAACTCAGCTAGCATGCCACTTCTTTAGCAAAACTTTCATAATCTTACTATTTGGAGCTTTTTCTTATCTTCAGTACCTTTATGATATTATTTTACTCATTCATTTATAATTATTCACTTATCAAATATTTATTATCTAATATTGCCAAATAGAAACAGATACAAAAGTTTTAGACATAGTTTTTGCCCTTTAAAAGTTCACAGTGAGGGAAATTGTCCCAATCCAATCACAAAGAAAATTAAAAGAACAGAGATTATCTGCTTATCACTCTTATCAGTGCTTTAAAATGGCAAATAGTTACAATATGTTTTGACTAAATTACAAGTGCTTTCTATATGATGAAGAAACATAGTTAATTTGTTCAAAATTTGATTTGTGGAAAAAATGAGAGCAAAAAGAACCCAGAAGATGGGAAGTACTTATATAAATATAGTTTTAAAAAGAGCAATTCCCTGCAGCACAATTGAAGGTACAGGAAATTTACAGAGGGAAATACCCTGCTGGAGTGTTTGGGGAACTTCCCCCTTGACATCAGCTGCACAGTAGCTGTAGTTCCTATCGCAGCCTCCTATTGTTAGTAACTTTGTCAACAGATATATTAAAAAATGCTCAATATTGCTAATCATTAAAGAAATACGAATAAAAAATACAATAAACTTTCATTTCACAATTTGTCAGAATGGCTCTTATAGAAAAGATTAAACATAACAAGTGCTGCAGAGGATGTGAGAAAAAGGGAACCCTAGTACATTGTTGGTGGTAATGTAAATTAGAAAACAGTATGGAAGATCTTTAAAAACCTTAAAAGAGAATTATCATGTGATCCAGCAATTCCAGTTCTGGTGATTTACCCGAAAGACTAGAAACCATTTAATTTATGAGATGTCTGCATGCCTATATTCATTGCAGTTCCATTCATAATAGCTAAGTTATGAAATCAACCTGTGTTCAACAAATAAATGGATAAAGAAAATGCGGTATTTATATATACACAATGAAATACTAGTCAGACTTTACAAAGAATGAAATTTTGTCATATGCAACAACATGGATTGTATTGGTGAGCATTATGCTAAGTGAAATACATCAGGCACAGAAAGACAAACACGCCATGTTCTCACATATATATGGGAATCTAAAACAAATGAATTCATAGAAGCAAAGAGTAGAATAGTGATTACAGAGACTGGAGGGTGGCTGGAATGGGGAGATGATGGTCAAAAGGTGCCAAATCTCAATTAGACGGGAGAAATACGGTTTCTTTTCTTTTTTTCTTTCTTTCTTTCCTTTTTTTTTTTTTAGTTCTATTGCACTGGATAGTGAATATAGTTAAAAATAGACTGTTGTACATTTTGAAATTTCTCAAAATAAATGTTAAATGTACTCACCACAGAAAATGTTAGTATTTGAGATGACAGATATGTAAACTAACTTTATTGAATTATTCTTCATTGTGTTCATTAATTATAACATTAATTTGTACTCCATAATTTTTATAAAATTATAAATTGTCAATTTACAATTTTTAAAAAAAAAGAGCAAAGAAAGGGTTTAACCGAATAAGCGTAAGGTTTTTTGCTAATGCTATTAATCTAGTGCATATCTTAGAGGTACCATACAAAGTTTAAATATTCTTTCTAAATCTCTGTTTCCTGCACCTTTTAAGTCTTAGCCTAATTATCTTAAACGGAGTTGGACCACAACTTTCAAATGCCAGCACAACCAGTCAATCTTATAGAGGAAAAAAAAGTTCATAATTTTTTTTCTTTGCCTAGTTATAGGACAATTGTGTAGTTATTCTTTAATTAGAATGAAACACTAATTGTATGTTTAAATCTATGATGTAAGATTTCTATATACCTAATTCTATATCTATTACACATTATTCAACATAAATGGAATTTCTATGAAGTTCCAGATACCAGTGCCAGATATTTTCATCCATCATTGCACTCTCAGGACTTTATCTCTTATCTGAACTGCTATGATCACCTCTTAACTGACTGAACGAACACCTTCTCTACTGGCTTAAAAATGATAGAATAGAATTTATTGTGTGTTTACTATATGCCAGGTTTATGTATATTATTTATATATACACAATTAGCAGCTTGCAGGTTCATTACCACTGAATACTTAGCTGCACTTTTATGGCTGTGTTATTGCTGCATGTTCTGTATAGAAAACCCTACAGGTCTTCATTATGATAACTGGAAGTATTAGTCAGCAACTCAATACAGTTGTCATTTTTTTGGAACATTCCTAATCACAAAAGCTAAGTGAAATGCTACCCTACCCTGTCTGACATGTTTAACACCCTGTGCAATAAACAATTTTAGCATGTACTTTATTGAGATTATTATTATTATTATTATTTTTGAAACGGAGTTTCCCTCTGTTGCCCAAGCTGGAGTGCAGTGGTGCCATCTCGGCTCACTGCAACCTCCACCTCCCGGGTTCAAGCTATTCTTCTGCCTCAGCCTCCCAAGTAGCTGGGATTACAGGCACCCGCCACCACAACCGGCTGATTTTTGTAGTTTTTAGTAGAGATGAGGTTTCACCATGTTGGCCTTTTATGTGTCTCTCTTCTACTAGACTTTGTGCAGTAGTGGGAAAATATTGTTTGCTTTTCATTTCTAATATCTACCATATTGCTTGACACATAATACACATTCAATAACTGCTTACTTTTAAACTGAAACAAATTTGGGTGCAGGAGGAGACAGAGATGGACAGGAGACTGTCTAAGGTGCGTGGTCTCATTCATTTTTGACTTAAGTATTTTGTCATATCAAATATGAAAATAACTGGCAAAACTATACTCTATTCAACACTTGGGTAGCTCTTTCTGGCTTGCCTCTTTCATACATGATTTTATTGATCCTCACAGTGTAAGTATGAGGTAGGTATTGTTATTATCCCCACATTAGAGAAGAGGAAATTCAAATTTAGAGAACTTGAATGACTTCCTTAAGATCACACTACTGGCAGCCAAGGAATTGAAACCAGACCATCAGACCCTGAAATTCTTTCTTTAATTAAGATTATTAAAAAATAATAAAAGGAAAAAGAATAAAAAATCAATATATTCATTGAGCCCTTCTAATGCACTATTGATACTCCGTGGTAACATGCATTTGAGGAACAGTGACAGTATGTGTTTCATCACTGTGTGACAGAGGAAAGCCTTAATTTGGGAATTAATATATCTATGTGATTGTTTTATACCAAGATATATATGTTTAATAAAATGATACTCAATGACTATTCAGTAATTTTATTTCCATCATTTATGGAGCATGTATAGGTATATAAAATCTGGAAAATTAATGAACATCTTCAATATAACTGCCAAATTGGTTTTTCTGTATACCTTCAGGTGTTATATTTTAGTAGAAATATTTAATTTAAAGCTCAAGACTATGTAAGGTTTTCATTTTTATATGCTCCTCTAATAGCTTTATGTGAAGTTGGTTTCAACTACAGTGTTCAGAAACTATTATATAATAGAGCATATTGTATAAAACTTGTTCATTAAATAAGTCCTAGTTCATATCCATAAATATTAATTGTTTCTTGTGTTGAACTTAGCATAGCCCAAGAGCTATGTTCTATTTTATGATGGGATAAAAAAAGATGAAGAAGGCATATCCTTTCATATTTGCATTTCAATGGTTCTGCAATTGAATAGGGTTGGAAGTCATATTTGGGGAGGCTGTAAATTTTGGATAAGAAATTAAGAGATATTTGGTAGATAGTATAAAGCAGGAAGGTAAAATTGACATTCCTATGTTATTAAACCATGTTGGAGTCTCAGACTGTCTACAATCTAATGGTATAAAATAACCAGAAAGCTATTATTAAGTCAATACATATATTTACCATACACACACACACACACACACACACACACACACATATATTTACAAAACAGAATATATGTATTTCCAAAACAGAATAAAATCCTGGCCAAAAACACCAATAGTGGAAACTGAAAAAAAAAGACAGATATAATTTTTTTTAAAAGAATAATAAGAAACAGTTGGTAATTGAAAGAACTGATTTGTAAAAATGAGACTATCCAATAAAGTAGAAAAATATGCATTTGCTCCTTCACACTTGTATTCAAATAAAAATTTGTAGCTAAAAAAAAAAAATGACTGATGACAGAGATACTGCCTCAGTGAGACCAATAGAGCTTGTTCAGTTCTAAGGTGGATGGATATGGTGAGGATAAACCAGGAGGTGAGGATGAGATGGAGGTTTAGAGACTGCTGAGTAGATATGGTAGCACCACAGTCTCAGAGAAAAGGCCAAAAATAAATATAGGTTAGTAGAAAAGTCATTAGTTGAGTTTAGAACAAGTATTTGAAGGTGCTTCATGTCTAAATAGAAATATTCAAAAGTTGTCAACTGGAAATATGTTATCTAATAGTTACATGTAGCTATGCCCTGAAACCCATACATGTAACCATCCCCTTCCTCTTCTCAAGGACTAGTATGTTCCTACAATAATTACTTCTTATTTTACGAGAAATAACCACCGTGTCCAAAAACCCCTGATTTTTGCTACATGACAGTTAGTGTTTCCAATACATGAAATGCTAAAATTAACATTATGGGACTTAAATGAAATATGCATGTCTTTGTAGGACAAAAGGGATGGAAACACTTTGTATAAGTAAAATGTTGTCATTACAATGCTAAATGAAAAAATTTAAAATGCGGATTTCAAAGAAATGCCAAAAGTTCACACTTAAATAGCCAAATTTGGATATGTTTATGAATAATAATAATCCATTATTCTTTTTTACCACTGTTATTTCTGACACACTTTCAGATATAATTTTTGAAGGATGTGATCTTACCATATGTGAAAAGGTTGCTTAAGTTTTACTTCAGTCAGAACCCTATTGTCATGGAGTTCAAATGCCTACATACAGTTTTGTTGACATTGTTACGTGTATCTCCTCAGATGATAACTGACAAATCAATGCAGCATTCTGTTTTAATTATCCTTCTCTAGACACTGACTATTTCATCACCTCTTGGGGAGGTATTTACTGAGCATTTCCTATGGACAAAGCATCCAAGTAAGTGCTGATGGCCATATATAAAATAAGTACTCGAGCTCCAAAATCTCAGAAGTCATCCTTTTCACAAATACCCCACTTGTCTACTACGTTTCATACTGTTGTACTTTCCACCTTTTTATCTATTTGATTTATGTTCCACTTAGCTAACAATTAATTTTTATTTTTTTATTCCAAAAACCCTGATAAAGACACTGTACGTGAGTACGCTGGTTGATGAATGCTTTTATGACCTGCTGCTTTATAAATTTTACGATGCTCTCATTCACCTGAGGTGGACTGAGGTCATATTAGCTACATGATGGTCAATGTGCAACTACTTACAGTCCTTTGAAAATGGCACTGGTGTCATCAAATCGTAGTTAATCCTGTGGAATAAAGCTTCATAGTCAATTTTTCGAAACCCTTGAAATGTAAAGGTAAAAAGCCTTAAGTCTATGCAGTCAATCTTAAATTGTATTCCTTAAATGTTATTTTCTCACCAACGTTTTTGAAAAGAAGCGGAAATCCTTTTGGAACCCACATCTTTTAGAATGCGAAGACTTCAAGCTTTTTATGTTGTTTAAAAAGGGCAGAGACCTATGATTTAGAAGTCAGATAAACTGGTCACATTGAGTGGTCATTCTTTTGTACACTTTAAAGAGCCTTTCTTTCTGAGAAATATGATTTTTGTAAATTTGATCCTCTACCTTCCTCTTTTGAGAGACCCATGGGAGTGGCTAGAAGAATATAAAATGGAGGGAAACCCTCATTGGTGATAAAAATAGGCAAAATAATAGTCTCATGCCCTCAATTTCAAAGGATTTTTTTTTTTTTTTGAGATGGAGTCTTGCTCTGTCACCCAGGCTGGAGTGCAATGGCGCGATCTCGGCTCACTGCAACCTCCACCTCTGGGGTTCAAGTGATTTTCCTGCCTCAGCCTCCCGAGTAGCTGGGCTTACAGCCGCCTGCCACCACACCCAGCTAATTTTTGTATTTTTTAGTACAGGCGGGGTTTCACCAGGTTGGCCAGGCTGGTCTGGGACTCCTGACCTCAGGTGATCCACCCACCTTGGCCTCCCAAAGTGCTGGGATTACAAGCATGAGCCACCACACCTGGCCCAAAGGATTTTAATTAAATAATAAACCAAAGGAAATGATGTATTTGGTAAGAACCTAAGTTTGGTCTGGATTCTTCACTCAATAGCTGCTTGGTCTTACAGGAAAATTAAAAATCCCTATCCCTCAATTTTCTTACATGTAAAATGTAAAGAGAATGCATTTGTATCTATATCCTAGATTTGTGAGATTTAATTAACATGGCAAGTCCTCAGCCAGGTGTCTGTTCAGTGGGAAGTTAGCAGTAGTCACCTCCCTATCTTCCTCTCCATTGCTATGCAAGAGGGAATCAGAGTCAGAAGTAGGATTTCTGACCTTCCCCCACTGCCTGCAGGAACAATGTGGCCAGGATCTGAGTAGAGCTAATGATGAGAAAACCCCTTTCACAGTCTCTGAGGAAAAAGGACAGGATGTGGTCTCAATGATCATTTTAGAAACCCAATATGGCAGGGTTTCTCCCTTCTCTAGCAGCCAGAACAAATAAAGTTTCTTTTTAAGTGAGTATCAGAATAAAAAAATAATAAAAAATAAAAAAGCTAATAGCTGTATAAAAAGATGCATTATGTCAAAACAAGAGGACATTCCTGAATGCTTAGAAGAATTGATTCAAAAAAGTAGATATACTGTAAAACAAAACAAGACAAAAGCCACAAAACAGAACTGAAACAACAAAAAAAAATTAGAAGCTTTCTGGTTTATAATCTCATTAATATTTGAGAGAATATTTTATATATTTACATGGAAGAAGAAAATATGAAACAGAAACAATGTAAAATCAGAAAATATTGCATAAGAAGGAAAATGTGATTGCTTAATTGAACGTAAGATAGGGCTCAAAAGCAACAAAAAAGATACAATAGAAAAGGGATTTGTGGGAATTAAACTCAAGAAATTCATGTAGGAGTCAGAGAAAAACTGTCCAAAAAAAAAGAAAGAAAAGGAAAAAAAAAGGAGAAAGGTCAAGTACAGATAAAAGAAAGAAAATACAAGACAAAAGCCCAAAACAATAACAAATATAAGGAAAAATAATCAAAAATATTTTGTTTTTAAGAAAAAACTGTATTGGGATGACAGAAAATCCAGTTACAGATTGATACAGCTTAACAAATATCAAGAGCAAAAAAACTGAAGAACTCATTGCCATCAAATATTTTAATAAAAATTTTCAATCTTAATGATAAAAATTTTACTAGGAGCCAGAATAAGTAAACAACAGGAAAATGATTAAGTTTTTGTGAATGAACTACATTTTGTAAATGATAATTTAACAATTACCCAACTGGATCGAAAAAAGACAGATTTATCAACAAATTTTGGAACTATTTAAGTTAGATAACTAGGAGTGCTGTTGATATAATGTAGTTCATGTCCAAAGGTCTGAGAACCAGAGGAACAGAGGGTACAATTCGCAATTCTAGTCCAAAGCCTGGTGACCAGGGAGGGCAGAAGGACAGTAATATAAGTCCCAGAGTTGGAAGGCCAGAGAACCAGGAGCTCCAAAGTCCAAGGGCAGGAGAATATGGATGTCACAGCTCAAGAACAGAAAGAGAGAATTAGCCCTTCCTTATCTGTTTGTTCTATTCAGGCTCTTAATAGATTGTATGATGTCCATCAATATTGGTGAGAGCAGATCTTCTTTACTCAGTCTATTGATCCAAATACACATCTCTTCCAGAATCACCCTCTAGATACACACACTCAGAAAGAATGTTGTATCAGCTATATGGGAATCCCTTAGCCTAGTCAAGTTGACATAAAATTAACCATCACAAGTTTACCCCTTGCCAACTTGGCATCCATACACATCTCCTTAAACCAATTAATCTTCAGATAAAAACAATAACAAGGTCAGAGAGGAAGTCTTGACCTGTATTTTTCTTCTATGAGATGGCTCACATGGCTCTTTCACTAGTTTTTCTATCTGCTAAATGTGATTTCATCAGAAAGACATACCCTAATTGTTCTATCTAAATTAACATACCTCACCCTTTCTCTATTCTTCTTTATTCTTTAGCTGTTTTAGTTTTCTTCATAACATCACTTGACTGATTACATATTTAGTCATTTGAATGTGTGTGTGCACTGATATAGCTCCATTCTAGAACAGCATCTGATGTATAATATGCAGTCGATTAATATTCATTGACAATATTAGCAAGACTAGGGTTTGCATAAGGAATCAGTTTTCAATCTGCTCCAAAATGGACCAAATTTTTCTATTAAAAGGCTACTTCATAGTGTTTTAGAATATCATGACAGATTTTAACCTAAACATTAAGGAAGGTGAAAGAACTCTTTAGCATCTTCTTTTAATACACTCTCACCCAAATATTTGGTTGATTTAGGAATATTCATAGGACTAGTCATAAGAATATTCCTAATTTTATTCATAGCTTATAGCCATAGAAATATGTTTTAAATGGACAGATGGAATGAAATAATTTTGTGTTGATCAAATAATTGTTGAAAATTATCTATCAATTACACAAAATATACTTTTGAAGGAGAGGAGTTGTTTTTGCTGTGGTTTACCATAAGCTCTGATTCTTTATATTGGCTACCAATCAGTATTATTCAGTATTATTACACTAAAACTACTCACTCTTAGTTCTTGATAACCAAATGGTGTTATCAGTGCTTATTATATTATCTCTGTTTTCCATGGTATGCTGCAAGTATCCATTTTATTCATATATCAGAATAGTTAATAGTAAAACTTGACATCGCTTGCTTCATTTATAAAACGATGAACTGAAAGACCAAAATCTGCGACTTGTTAATAAGAAATAAAAAGTCACAATTTATACTTCACCTTAGTCAAAAGGCCAAGAAGTGATTCACATACAATTCCAAGGAGTAAGAAATGTAAAAATAATTGCATGAACTGTACTTTGAATCCATACAGAGGAATCATTTCTGAGGAAACAGTTAAAGTTAATTTGGCAAAGAACAGGGCTCACTGTTAGAAAACAAAAAACCCTTTAAATAATCTGTTCAGTATTTCATCTTTACCCATACTTTATATAACATGAAGGAAAAATTAAGTAAGTTTTGATAAAATGAAAGTTTATGATGAATAGTGGTATGTAGAGGTTCAGTATTTAGTAAAAATTTCTTGAGTATAGAGCTATTGTCACAAGTCTATCCTGATTCACTCAGCCCTCTACAATACTCCCCTGAAATAATATTAGTACAAATATTACTTGTAATAATAAATTTGATATTATAATCAAAATTTGTGGTGGTTTTAAGCCATATCCATAGCTTATTTAACTCTTCTCCCATGGAGAGGTAGGTTCCATGTCTCTTCCCTTTAATCAGGACTGACCTTGGTGATTTACTTGTGAGAAATAAAATGCAACAGATGTTGTCCTATGTGACTTCTAACTCTAGGTGATAAAAGGCCATGCTTCTTCCTCCATTTTGAGATGTTAAATTTGGAGAAAGTCTCTCCAAGAAAACCGACCACTCTGACACCACCATGCTCAAGAGACCCATGTAAGTATTCCAGATAACAGCTCAGCTGGGGTCCCTCTCAACAACCAGAATTAATTGCCAGCCAAGTGAGTGAACCATCATGGATGTTAAACCCAGTTGAGCCTTCAAATGATGGCATGCTCAGTCGTCATCTGACTAGAGTCACAGAAGAGACCCAAACAAGAACGACCCAGTTAGTGCCTCTCAAATTCCTAATCCATATTCACAAAATCATGAGCAAAGTAAGATTATTGTTTTAAGAGGAAATTTGGGGTAATTCATTTTGCTGTTATATGAACTGGTACAGATTAGAGAACTATATTTCTGCAACCTTTCTGACCAAAAATTATGGCATGAATTAATTTATCCAATTGTTTATTCTAAGCAACAAAGCTTCTCAGAGGAATATTTTAGGCTGGCATTTTTTTTTTTCAAATTTGAAATTTCTTGTAAGGGACTAGGTTTAATTAATTCTAATTTTCAGATAATTCCTTTGATATTCTCCTTCATGTCAGACATCTGTCAGCTGTGCTTTTTTTCCCCTTACTTTTTGATACTCTTTTCCCTCCATGGTATCCCAGGGAAAACATCCCTCATGTTTTCTTCAACTAATATTGGTTAACTTTTATGAAATTAATAAAATTTTCACACGGATTTCTCTCTTAAACCAAAATTTATAGGTGTTAAATAATGATGTTATTAAATTTGGCCAACAGTTTTTCATCTTGGATTTAGCTAAACATCTTTAGAGGTGAGGAAAATGCCTCGTATATAATTAAATATATAATTATTGTTATAGCTACAAATATAACTATAATAACCTGGGTGTGCAGACAAACTTTTGGCAATGATGCTACAAATCCTTTCCATTAGATTTCAGAACAACATATGCCAACTACTTTCTATGTAAACATAAAAGGAACAGAAGGCTGTCCAAACTTTAAAAATGCATACAATCTATATTTTCTTAAGCAGGGAGCAAACAGCTTTAAGCCATGCTAAATACATCTAATTAAGAGATGGATTAAACAGGTAAATCACTTTCCTATTACAGAAGGTTTAATAGGGTGCTAAGAATTAGGCTCTGGAGCCATTCAGACTGGGTTCAAACCCAGCCTAGTCCCTGTGGTACAGAATGCAAACTATGTAACAAAAATATGTATTTTCTTTCTCCGTAAGGATATTTGTCTGCATTCTTTGCTATTAGGATGAGGATATGTCTGAGTTCTTGACAATGAAATGTGAGCAGAAGTAATATGAGACAACTATCTGTTGCATAAACTCTTCTCCTTCTGTCATCTTAACGTGCCTTTTATGATGATGGTGAAAACCAGGTTTTTAAGTTTCGCAGAACTTTTATCAGCCTAGTTCCATGAATATCGTGTGAAAGTGAATTTCTCCACTGTCCATTCATTCCCAACCTGAGACTGCAATGGAATATTATAAAAATAAAAATACTCATCTATTATAGAAATCCTTTCAAAATCTAGGGTTTATACATCACAGTTGCCACAGAATCCTAATGTAAGCACTTACTAGCGGTGTGACCTTAAAAAATGTAAACCTTCAGTGCCTCAGCCTTCTCATGTATAAAACGACCATAATAAACACTTCATTACAGGGTGGTGAAAGGATTAAATGAAGTAATGTATGTTAAGTACTTTGAATAAAGCCAAATTCACAACAAGCACTATGAAGTCTTGGCCATTATTATCATTACCATTATGAGAATTCAGTATGTATAATGTTTAATTGCTAAGCATGGCCTTACATTGCACAAATAAACATTAAAGATTAATTTCTATGTTTGACCTATTTCATATGAAAAATGTTAATACTTATTTTATTTATTTACACATTAAAATACCAAATACGTACTATTTATGAAGCATAAGCTATGAATTACAGATATAAAACTGAATATGGCAGACATTTTTCCAGCCCTCACAAAGCATGTCATTTAATGGAGAAAACAAAAAGCAAGAAATTGCTCTGCAATAACAATACAATAAGATAAGTCTTATATTCAAAGTAGATAAGAATGAAATGGAAGCAAGTAAGTTGGGCACATAACAAAATGTTGAGGAACCCAGGGCTCTAAGAAAAGGCTTTGGTCATAAGTGGGAGTTGTTGGGGGGCTTATCTAATTGAACTGGGTGGATATGGGGGCTAGACAGGAAAGAGAATAGAAGTCCACACAGAAGGAAAAGCACATACTGAGGCTAGGAGGGAAGAAAAACATGGTAGAATCTTAAGAATCACTGGAGCAACAGGATCAGGGGAAGGGACAGAGGGATATGGAGAAAGATGTGGTTGGATAGGGAAGCAGTGACAAGACCATGAAGGGATTCAAGACTGCACTGAGGCCTTTAGATTTTTTTCAAAGGTCATGAGTTATATGTAGGAGGTGACATGACACAATTAGTGTCTTACAAATATGACTATGTCTACAATGTGAGACTAGCTTGTCAAATAAGTCTGGAGACCCTGAACATTAGAACTATTAGGGAGCTGTTGGAGCAATCTAGATGAGAAAGGATGGTAGGCTGAACTAGGATCATGGAGGAAATGACTGAGACCAATCAATGGTGTCAGTAATTTACAAGACTGAATTGTTATTTGTAAGACTAGAAAGGGTGTGTCACAAATAATACCGAGGTTTGTGATGAAGATACTGAGCGGCAGCATTTGAAGTGGCTCGGGAAGAGAGTTTTGGTCATTCAATTTTGTAACGTGGTGGATTTCAAAATGGAGAGAATGAGTAGGCACTCGAGTACCAATGTTCACAGGTCAGGTCTGCAAGTATCCTTGTCTTTTCACTCTAAAGGGTAGTGTAAAGGCAAAATGGAGCCAGTTCTTAGTCAACTCTATAGCCCTGAGTTGACCTGAAGCAGATTTAAGGTCAGGAAAGGTTGCTAATATGGTGTCTATCTAGCTGACAGTGCCACACAAAATAATGGGGATTTGAATGAATATTCATTGGGATGATTTAATAAAGGAGAAGATCCCTGTCTTCCAAAACCTATTCTAGGGATAATTCCAGTGTTGGAAAATCTTTCCTTAGTTCTCATCATCACTACAGAGGAATGGGAAGCACTAAGAGGACTCCTTAATAAAACTCTGCTTTAAACGAAAGAAAATCAATTAAATTCTTTTGAAGAGGAATAGAAAAGCGATTCCAGTAGGCTCAAGAGTTTTTTATTACTACTTTACTGGATGTGTCTTTCAATTTTTTTATTTAGAAAATATTTAGGATAAATCTAAATACAATAATACTTGCATAATATATGAAAAATACTAGAAAGTTTATAGAAAAAAAATACATGAAGATGCTATTAATAACTTCATGTATTTTCTTCTAATTCTTTTAATATTGACATATATATTTTCTACAAAATTCACAACACAATTTTTTACCTTGTTCCTGTTTATTTTCTGTTTTAAAATATTGCCCCAAGTCATTAGATATTCTTTGAAAATTTCAAGTATTATCATTGATGGCAATACTTTAAAAGTGTATCCATTCCCCTGTTGTTGGACATAATATAGGTGCTAATTTTTATTCATTACAAAAAACTCAAAGGGCCTTCTTTACAAGTGGTATAATAATCATGTGTCCTTAGAAGTAAAAGTATTTCATTAAAAGGTATGCTTAAGGGATGTTTAAGAACAATTTATTATTTATTAGAGTTATGGCTGAGAAATCACATTTCAGAAAGTAAACCTAATGTAACATTTGTACTATCTCTGGTTCCAGTAGTCAGTTACTGTTTAAGGTAGATATCATGGAGTATTTATGCAGCTCACATTGTACATTTTCTTTAAAGTTTGCTTTGAGTACAGATCTAACACGTGTGAAATGGTACTGTTGATTCCACCCAATGCACAGACCTATGTGGAAACCTTGAAGCCATAGTTTTCTCTATAACTTTAATGTGCTTCATTCTACATGACATTGAAGGCCTGTGTCAATTATGAAAAACTGTGAAGCTCACAATGAATGATACATTTAAAGCCAATTCATTTGTCTCTTTGAGCATGTAAATGCATTGGTATTCACCAAGCCTGCCATGATAGGACATAATAGCTACTTTGGAGTCATTTCATTGTACACTTATATATCAGTACAGCTGCCACTAATGTTTACAAGCCCATGTGCTACATATCCTCTTGATATTTTTGCAGAGCTTAATGTTTATGCACAGTAGATATGTTTATTACGCAAGCAATAACAGACCCACAGGAGCCATTAGAGCTCTTAAGAGATTAGTGTCTATGATCTCTCCCATTTTATTCTATCTCCTTCTTACTCTGTTTACTTCTTACTCTGGTGAGCTTTTTTTAAAAAAAAAATTTCCACTCGTACTGAAACAATTTATACATTCTAATAGTAAAATTAGTCTTATACCTGTCTGTTATAGATTTCAGAATATATTTTATTGGTGTGTAAATCAAAATCTATTTCTAGAATTGCTAGTACTTGCTCTTTGACTTTGAGGTTGTGTCCCTATTCTTGCTAATTCACCCTTGATAATGGTCTAGACAATAATCTACTGTTACGTAGAAAATATTTCACTTCTAGCAAAGGATTTGGCTATCTTGAAATAGTAAGTGATAGCAAGGCATAAAATGTTATGCCTTAGATCCAGTGCCTTGCAACATAACTTACAGAGGCTTTCTCTTCAAGAAAAATTCTCACTTGCGATTCATGTTTAGTCTGTTTTTCCTATCTTATCCTTAACAGCTGGGTTATATCTACTTCCAGGGAAATGTGTTATGTATGTTTAATACCAATAGCTAAAAAGAACGTTGAAAACTGAAAATAGCTTTGCATTTAAGTTTAAAACAATCTGCTGAAGAATTTTTAAGTTGATCACCAAATTAGTGATCATGACATTAATCATTAAAAAAGATAATTATGAACTTAAGTTCCAGTCTACAGAAACACAGGAAACGTAAGCAAAGATAATCATTTTTGTTTAAATTACAGCTTAATCCCTAGCTTTACTTTCTATGTTTCGAGAAGCCTCTGGGTTAGGGCCAATTTACTTCAAGCAGAGACAGTATTTAATCCAAATTTTCTGGGGCCAGCCCGTGAAGACAGGAGTTCTGTTCTTCCTATGGCCTTGTCAATTTTACTCTTTCAGCCTTGTCTGATTACATGCTTTGCACTTCACACACTTAGTCAGGAAGATTGTCATAATATTAAACCATTTTCATTCCCTCAAAGCCACATCATTTTTGTTCAAACCGGAAGAAGTGTTGGCCAATGGGGGCATTACTCACAGAATATTTGTCAGGCCAGATGTATTGGTGTTCATCCTCTACCTATGAGGCAATGTCTCTGGATACTGAGTCACAGGGGAGGGTTGAACAATTTCAGCAATTATAAACCTGCAGATGTTAGCAAGGGAGGTTTCATTTACCCCATCTGTTTGGGATTTTTTTTTCCTTTCATTTACATGTTTTTTCTTTTTTTTTAACTTTCTGAAAATACATTCTACAATTTTAAAATAAATCTCATAGCTTTCACTAGAGTAATTTTCACCCACTCAGACTCATCATAGAGCATTTGGTTACAAGGGTTAATATCAATAAAAATAGAGATGCAAGTAAGTCTTGGGTTGTGTGAGTGTAATGAAAGATGGTATATATAACTATTGCTCTACCCAATGACTGCAATATGGAACAGGGGTGTTAATGTGAAAATGGTTTTATCACTTCCCTTCAGTGTTAGCTATCAATGATGAGTGAACAAGGTTTCCTGAGTCACCCTATTTAAAGAACCATGAGAGCCCCAACAAATTTGTTTCTCAGGCCATGGGGAACATTCAATGATGGCATAGTCTAGCAAAAACTCAGAACTGACTTAAAGTTACTTATTTTGTAAAAGATATTTAAAAGCCTTTTGTATTAAATGACTATTTGAACTTTCAGTTAATGATACCCAGGCTGAATTTGACTATAAATGTATTAATAGATTTTATTACCAGAAAAGTAAGCACCTGGGTGTAATCATGTCTGTATACTTTCATCAAAAAGAAATTATTCTTACTTATATTATTTTGTGCTAAAATACAATAGTTTACTCCTGCGATACTTTTAAACCCACTGTTATTTTGAAACCAACTTATAAAAGAAAAACCCATAAATTACATTATATTTTGCACAAATGATGCACTTATATTTGTGAGACTATTTTATTCATAACAAGAATAGTTTCCTTTCCAAAGGACACCCATTCCTTTCTCTGAGCTTAAAGGAATACTATACAAGTAGCAGTGCCGTAAAAGACAAAAGGCCCTTTCAAATCCCAAGGATTTAGGACTATAAGCATTCTGTCATGTGGAGGGACTTTTTCATAATGCCTGATACTAATAAACAGCACTGATTTTAGTTTAGAGTATAGAAAACCTACAAGATATGACAGGAGGATTTCTAAATAATTGATTTGTCATAAACCTAAGTTCATCGAGTAACAAAGGTAGATTTTCCTCTGGGGAAGTGGTTGGAGAGTCCTCTGATGTTACCAATGTAATTCCTGAGGAGACAAACAAATTAGTCATTCAAAAAAAATAGTGTCATTACTATTTTTTGAGACATGGTGAAAGGCAGAATTTATGATGCTTGATGCCAGAAATGGTATTTATTTTCATGTACTATCTACAGTATAGGTGACTGAGGCATAATTACTTTCAAAAAAAATCCATGTGGAAAAAAATGTGTTTTTTTTTTTCTTGGGCAATATGAAGAGGATGGGAGACAAGCAAATTATAATCCTAGTATGAGAATAAACTATTTTATCTCATTTTAAAATATATACGACTTTCAAACAGCTTCCAAATTGGGATACTGCATCATTAAGCATTTGACATTTGTCCAGTTAAAACTATTGACTCATGCTTTCATGGCTTCCCCCTCAAATTACTACAGTGCCACAGCTGATCTGACAATATTTTCCATTTCTTATAAATAGCCACAAGAAAAGTATTAATTATCCTTGTACGATTTAATGCACCAACTGCCTTAACCTTTCAGGTTTTCTTAAACGCCAGCATAACAAGGCATATCCATGGCAGCAAATGTGATTTATGACAGGAATCTTTAATTTCTGTTTTTAAATATGTTACCCACCGATCTGCATACATTTAAATTCGCCTGCAACACTTTTCTCTGTCTTGAGGCTGTTGTTTAATATTCAAGGATGATTTTTGTCCACATACATTTTGGTCTATGTCACCTCAGATTAAATTATTACTGTTTGCAGCCTTTTCGGAGCAGGCCTCAGGCCCTTATTTACAAGAATCAATGAAACAGTAATGAAAATCCATTTTTCATACTATCAGCTCTGGCCTGCTTTTATTTAGTTAGCTGTGTCTAAGCAAGCAATTCATTTTGTGCAAATGTCATGTAGAGAAAAAAGGATACGCTGTGAAAGGGTTAATCATGAAATAAGACCTAAGCTTTCCCCCATAGTAAAAAGCATCCGTAATGTTGAAATTTTTTTAAAAAGCCTTTCTTAATATATGCAAAGTAATGTATATTGACACATAAGCAAGGCTTTTCATGATGAATATTGAAATATATATGCAAAGCACAGGAAATGTGTAACATGTTATAGATCTTTCAGTGTACATTTAGAGGAAATGAACCATTTATATTCTACAATTTAGTGAATACCTACTGTTTATTGGTACAGAGCACATAGGAGTATATTTGTCTTAGTAATTTATTTAGGTAAATATATTTATTCTTCTAGGGGTTCTTGTGCTTTTCTTGGTTCTATAGTACTAGACATAAATATTTAACAATGCATTGTCTCAAATGTTATTCATGTAATTTATCAGAGAAAACAGTGGAGTTGTAATAACTTTTAAGCCTGAACCTTCTCTTAAACCTGAGATTGATTTAAAATGCAGGAAACTGACCGAGGTTTTCTTCATGCTGCTGCTGAAAATTATTTACTAGTTCTAACCGAGATGAGCTAAACTAGTCCAGCTACCAAACGAACAAGGTTCATTTACCCCTTTTTGAATCAGCGTTCTTAAGCTAATACTTTGGCTACATAATAAAACGAATTAGTATGAGAAGAAGCATTTAATTATTATGAATATATTTCATAATATATTTGCTGACCTACCTACTTTCCTTTATACATATATGTATACACAGAAATATACATTTATATTACCCCGTGTGAGTGTTCCTCTTGGGAATTTCTGCTAAATTTTAATGCACTTGGCTATAAGGATGTCAGTTCAAATTATAGCTAAGATCTTGTAGAAGTGACTGTCCACTTTTTAATATCACAAAAGAAATGAATAGAGAGTGAAAGCATTTGGAGTCTCCGTCTTTGCTTGGAAATGACTTTCCAAGTCATTTCTTGGAAATGAATGTTAAAGGCTCAAAATGTGGATTTTTCTCTCTGTACATTTTTTCTATTACATTTGATTTTTAAAAATCTGTTTCCTCTGTTTGGAGATAGAATCTGTAATACTGGTGAAATGTGCAGATCTGAAAGCTAGCTGATCTGATGGTTTCAGCTATCTTTTAAAAGCTGATTGCAACTTCTATGGAGCCACAGCAGAAAATTTCTGCATCATAATCCTGAAGCTGCATCAGAACATTGGGCTCAATACTGTCATTGCTCATGAGGCCTGCAACATATAGATCAAGGCAAGGTCTTGTAATTGAACAATTTATTGTAAACCAATCAGACATGAAACCAAAACATCTAGCCAACCTCAGTTACCAAAATTGTATTTACCTCCTCAAGTGCAGTATCTATCACAATGTGAATATAAAACAGTTTTTATTCAAATCCTAAAGTCCTACATGTTGAAATTTTAAAGCTTGGGAACAGTACAACCGTCTGAATTAACAAAATCTGGGCTGCAGTGAGCTGAGATCACACCACTGCACTCCAGCCTGGGTGACAGTGCGAGACTCCCTCTCAAAAAAAAAAAAAAAAAAAATTCTGAATTATTTCTGCAAAGTGATCATTAAAATTATTTATTGTTGAAAAAATGTTGTTACCTCAAGTCTGATAAAAAAGAAAATTAATAAGTGGCTGGTAGAAAATAAGTTGCTATTTTTTGATATCATTTCTCATAGAATTAGCCCACCATTAGCTTGCTTTCACATACTGACATTTACAAAATGTGCCAAGGATTGAAAGATATATATATATAGAGAGAGAGAGAGAGAAAAAAAAAAATAATAGTACTGTGCTTTCAAAAACTGCTTTTAATTTCTCAAAACGTTTAAGCTTGGCTTAAAAAAATAATACATACTTATGCACACACATATATAAAGCTTTACTTTTGAAGTTCAAAAGCAATCAATTTGAGTTTATTTTGGTTTTATTTATTCCAGCAATCCACACTGCCTGTCAGTAACCCCTTCTAGTCATGTTCCGTACAGTTGACTGAATGTTACTTACCTTGAGACATCAACTTTCTCACTTCCACATTTTTCATATATATGATATATATAATAAACATCTAGTCAACCTCAGTTATATATAATATATAAATTGTTAACAGATTCCAAATGTTCCAAGACAAAGAGCTAAAGATCATGTCTGAGAACGAGTCCCTAAATTATAAACCCCTCTTTACAAGTGACCAGTAGGTCTAAGATCTTTGTGGCATGTTCCCCATTCAGAGTATATGATGAGATATATATAACTCAATCATTTTATACTTTATCTACAAAAGTTTGGTGAAAACTTGACAAAGGGCCAATGTTACATATTCAGTTTAAAATAGAAAAAATTCTGGTACTACGGTCTCTCAACTCTGTATCTCTCTAAGAAATATGGGGAAAAGAGTATTAGAAAAAAGTGCATAAAAAGTTAACATTAGATTTTTCTGCTGGGTCAGACTTAGAATGGATTATTTTTAGATCTTTCTATGTTTTTATTTTCTAAATTTCATATAATGACTAGACACTAGAGGGTATTTTTATTGTGGAAAGATTTTTTTTTTTTTTTTTTTTTTTTTGAGACGGAGTTTAACTCTGTTGCAAGGCTGGAGTGCAGTGGCGTGATCTCAGCTCGTTGGCAACCTCCGCCTCCCGGGTTCAAACGATTCTCCTGCCTCAGCCTCCCGAGTAGCTGGGACTCCAGGCGCATGCCACCACTCTCAGCTAATTTTTGTATTTTTAGTAGAGACGGGGTTTCACCATGTTGGCCAGGATGGTCTCTAGCTCTTGACCTCGTGATCCGTCCGCCTCGGCCTCCCAAAGTGCTGGGATTAGAGGCGTGAGCCACCATGCCAGGCCAAGAATTTTTTTTTTTTAATGGGATGAGTTAAGGAAGGTAAACCCCTGTGAGAAGGAGGAAAGCATCTTAAAGGGGGACAAGAATCTCTCCCATCCAGGTTGTTATCTTTTCTTTCACTTTTTTTTTTCCAGTGGAAATTATCCCCATAAGGTATTTATCTGAGTTCAGAAGGGCGTGTGTGTGTGTGTGTGTGTGTGTGTGTGTGTGTGTGTGTAGAGATGGGGGCTTACGTTGCCCAGGCTGGTCTCAAATTCCCAGGCTCAAGCAATCTTCCCACCTCAGCCTCCCAAGGAGCTGGGATTACAGGTGTGCAGCACCACACCTGGCTAATATTTTAGATTATTATTTACAGAGATGTGGGTCTTGTTATGTTGCCCAGGATGGTCTCAAACTCCTGCCCTCATGCAATTCTCTCGCCTGGGATTATAGTCGTGAGCCATTGCACCTGGCCCGAAAGGGTTTTCCTTTTAAATCTCTCCGAGATGGTTTGGAAGAGAAAGTATTAATTAGATTAAAAAACGTATTGCTTTCTTCCTGAGACCTGGCTTAGCCCAGCCGAGTGAATGAATGAGGAGTTAGGTGATGAGGCTATCACAGGGAGAGAAGGCTGCACACTGTGATGGGTAGGCTTCAGTGTGGGGTCACAGTGGACTGGGATAGGAAATGGGATAAATCTATGGGAACCTGGCACAGCCATTTTTTCATTATGAAAGAAATCAGTGAATCCTACTTCTCCTGTTTCCTTACCTATAAAATAGTGTTAATTTTAGCACCCATGTCACAGAGTTTATGGCTAGAATAAAATAAAATAATAAACAATAAAATACACATAATGCATTTATAACAAGAACATTGAAAGAGCTAAAAAAAAATTTATTTATGGAATGTATTTTGGGGAGGCTGAGATGGGAGGATTGCTTGAGGCCAGGAGTTAAAGACTAGCCTAGCAGCATAGTGTGACCTCGTCTCTACAAAAGTTTTTTTAAAAATTTGCCTGGCATCGTGGCAAATACTGTAGTCCTAGCTACTCAGGAAGCTGAGGTGGAAGAAATGAGCTCAGGAGTCTGAGGCTACAGTGAGCTATGATTGTGCCACTTCACACCAGCTTGGGTGACAGAGCAAGACCCGGCCTGTAAAAGATTAAAATAAAATAAAATAAATATTTTAAATGTTTAGAAATCATTAGACAGGGTAATTTTGAATTCAAAGATAGATGCAGAAAGGGACGCATAAGGGTGTATTTTTAAAATTTTAATATTTCAAAAGGGTGCTGAGGCCTAAATCCGAAAGAGAAGGGAGGATAGAAAAGTGTTTATCTTTATTATCCTTTTCTTTCTTCTCTTTTCTAAAGTGGCAGGGCCCCTGCTATCAAGAACTGAGGCTAATATGATTAACATTGAGTTAAATGGTGTGATTTATATTTGGGCTAGCCTGGGAACCAAAAATTCATACTTCTAAGAAAAATATGTTACTAGTTCAGACACCTGATCTAAACATTAACATTTGTTATTTGTAATAAATTTGTAATATATTTATTTCTAAATTAGCTGTCATATTTTATTATATTTTATTTGTCATTTTACTCAACAAGTACATTTTTAAATTCTATTGATATGTATTCAATTGTGGGCTAGAGAATCAATAAGGAATAAGAAAACAAGAATCGGAGCATATACTGTAAAAAAAAAGAGTCTAAAATAGATCAAAATTGTGGTTAACAAATGTTCTCAGTGAGCAAAGAGACCAGGAATAATTTATTTGACTTTTACTGTTTTATTTTGTTAGCGATAGCTTATACTGTAAAAAATTACTTAAATAAGTGAATATTTTCTGTTGCATTGTCTTCATCTCAGATAAACTTTGAAATTAAGAAAATACATTATAGATAGGACACCTATCTGCTAGATACCTGCAAATGAATCAGTGTCTCATTGATGCACATAGACAAAACTGGAGGAAATATTACAGTGTGCGTATCTGGTAACTATAGAAAGGAGGAAACATTTTTAAAAAAGTGTTTATACCTTTGTTTTTTCTGAGTACCCTGTCATAGTACAGAATGTTACAAATACGAACAACAAAAGTAGCTATGCTTCTAAAAGAACCAGAAAAAGAATTGATTCATCCTGAGCATATTCAGATTCCATCAATGATTTATGACCATTTATGAAGAAAAAGAAAATATCAATTTCTAAATTTATATTTAATATTTACAAATATGTAAATTAGGCTGTCTCAGAAAAGTGTAGCAGATGTCCCTATCTGCTTGATGCTGATGGACTGCTTAGGTATTACTTTAAAATGATAGATTGGCAATGAGAATATAATTTTCTACTCTATTTCATCTTATTCATTTGGAAGCATTAATTTTTTTAAAGCAGATTATACATGCAATCCAATCTTGACAGCCTGGCTGTATGTAATGGGATGTTCTATTTAAATGTGAGGACATATTGATCTCATTCTGAAGTATCTATCTAGTATCTATCAAGAAGATAAAGTTTGAACATTTTCCATGGTGTCCTGTTCCAAAATTTTTGAATATGAATATGTTGTAAAGAAAAAAAATAGTAACTTTTCACTTCTTGATTTAGAGACATTTTAAGCAAAGAAAAGAACATTGAAGGAAGTTGTGATATTTCTTTACACAAGGTCTTTTAGCAGGAGGATAGAAAACTTACTTCAAGGAGAAAGGGAGCCAAAGGGCTTGATTCTCCTATATTTTGAAAAGTGGATCATTTTGCTCTGGGGCTCTGGGCCATAAACCATTACAATCTCTACAATGTTCTAATTTATGGGAGTGTTCTTTTACGTATAGCATTTTTGAGCTGTCATGAAAATGAATTGAACTAAGTAAATTAATATATGTTATGATCTTGGATTTGTCTTGACTATTTCAAATGTGAGTTGCAAAAGTGTTCTCACTATATCATTTTTATTTTCTATATCTATGTGTAAAAACATGGCAAACATCTATGTAGTATTTGTTTCAATGAAGAGGCCCTTTGGTATGGAAAGAAAGTGGTATATTTGAGGAAAATAAAAATGGACCATAACCAATGGTTGAAATAAAGAGTGACTGTCATTTCGTGGTGTGTGTGTGTGTGTGTGTGTGTGTGTAAATATATATAATACATTATATATTCCAAACCAAAAACTAAGGCAAATTAAGAGTGCTATAAAAAGCATAAATACTGAATAATAACTGTTTATTTACATTTTCTGCATTAACATATTTTAGCCTAGTGGAATTCTCCTAGTAAAGTTTAGATTACCTTTCACATACGACTATCAAGTGAAATGGTTGGTGAGCGTAAAATATTATATGTGGTTAATTGAAAATATTTTCATTTCAAAAGAAAAGCAGCTACTAATATGTACCAATTTCTCTTTATTTTTAATATAAATGAATTCAAATAAAATTTTGAGCATTGATGATATATGGTGAACAATTACCAAAAAAAATTTACTAAACATTTTCTGTTTGGGCTACACTAATGGTCATATTAAAGTGTTAGGCTTATCCTTAAAATTATAGTGTGATTACATTAACATTGTCCATATACCATGTTAGTGAAGATTCCATGAAATTTGAGTCATAATCTCATACTTTAGAAGGCTAGAATATAAATCTGGGATATCTAGTGTCCAGAATTGTCATATTTTCTTAGAGCTCCCACTCAAATTTCTATAAACCAAGTAATGTATAATACTTTGTTTATAATATATATTAACCAAGTAATACATAAAAACCAATGATTAAAAGCATAAAAGTTACAAATTTTTAAAAAATATATGTGATATATAGAAATTATATAGCTAACATTGACTTTTAGTAGTAAAAAACAATAAATTGGGACGCAATTATTCAGACTACCAGGACTACAATAGATTTAGTGCGAATACACAGAAAGATGAAAAAAACAAAACTCTTTTAGAAATATGTGTATATCCCTTTAATATTCACAGAAATTCAAATATTTTTCTAAAAGATGCTTCTGCTTATTTTTATATTACTTTTCATTATGTAGGAATTAAATTACCTCTTCCTGACAAACTCACAACTTTCTACACACGATATAGTTTTCTTAGAATGTATTTACTATTCTTTGCTTCTAAGAAAAAGAGTTAGCCTTTTCTATTAATTACTTTCTAACTGGCACCAAAAAGTCAAAGGGATCTAATTACTAAATAGTAGAAATTAGAAATGGGACAAATTTTCACTTATCTGCCTTAACAATGAAGAACAGATAGTTCAAAATATATGCCCACATAATAATCATTTCTATTTGTATTTGAAATGCATTATTAAAATCAATTTGTATCACAAAGCTAATGGCTGAATGAGTTGGCGCAAATCCATTCTGAATGATAGTGGGAAATCATCCTGGTAGTCAATTTGCAAAATATTCTCTCTCATTCAAGGGAGTGTTTCTGTAGAAAGGTTGAAAGTTGCAAAATGTTCTTGGTGAATTGCTCTAAGCAATTAAAGGTCAAAATAATTTCAGAATCTCTTTTCAATCACCTATACAAATAAGAACACGGGACTATTTTACTAGTTGATGATTACAGATGTTTTCAAAATAATGTTTTATAATAAAATATTCATAAATTGTGTCTTGTGTCACTTTTTTTTTTTTTTTTCAGACGGAGTCTCGCTCTGTCGCCAAGCTGGAGTGCAGTGGTGTGATCTTGGCTCACTGCAACCTCCGACTCCCTGGTTCAAGTGATTCTCCTGCCTCAGCCTCCCAAATAGCTGGGATTACAGGCACACACCACCACACTCGGCTAATTTTTGTATTTTTAGTAGAGATGGGGTTTTACCATGTTGGCCAGGATGATCTTGATCTCCTGACCTTGTGATCTGCCTACCTCGGCCTCCCAAAATGCTGGGATTACAGGTGTGAGCCACCACACCCGGCCACCTTTTCTTTATATTTTGAACAAAATTAAAAGGGAAGGAGGGTTGACTCATATCCACCCTCACCCTCACCTATGCTAAACTGCTTTCAAATCTGCACTGTTTCTCCTTGCTGTTAATATATCTCCATCTTCACTTATTTTTGCCCTGTGGTGGGTTACCATCTGGAATTCCAGGTTTCATAGCCTTCCTTGATTCATGGTGGTCCCTGCTATGTGTGCCTCGGCAGACTCATCATTTAGATAAAATTATCCTTTTTATACTGAAGCCCCCTTTCATTTTGGCCAATAGTAGAAGAAAAGAAAAATGCTGTATTGAACAATTAGGAGAAGCTACAGGAAATGACAATGTTGAAAACTTTGTGTTAAAGACTCAAAGATAAAAGGAAACCTACTGCTTCATCTTTCTCTTTCTCTCTCTCTCACACTCACACACATACACACAAACACACACACACACACGTAGTTGCTTTGTTACACATTTTCTGCCCTTCCAGGTTCATTCTCTACCTTTCTACATCCTACTCTGCTTTTTGCTCTGGGAGGCTGAGTTGTGAGGACTCTGTCTCTACAAGATCCTTTGCCCTTTGACTTCTGGTTCAGTTCAGCCAATGGGAGACAATGAGATATGTTGGAAAAGTGGAAGGAAAGTGAGGTGGGGATATTTATTTCACTGGATCCCAATGCAGGTCAACCCTCTCGCAAAGTACACTGATGCTATTTGCTGGCTCTCTCCACTGAGTGACAATCTCAGAGTACCCTAATCATTCCTACCACTTGCCCCTTGAACCTATGGTGGTAATGCCTGCTTGCTTTTGTTAATCTTAGATAAATGTGCTTAGTGTTGTTGTTGTTTTCTCCTTAGTCCCTACTCACCACCTTAAAAATAATCCTTTTATTAAACCTGACTCACTGATAAGCCAGAAACCTGACTCAGTAGTTCTCTTATTAGCCACTCCCTGTCCCTGACCTTGTTTTCCTTCTGGAGTTTTTACTTTTAATTCCTTTCAAGGAATTGATACCAAAAGAATTGAGTTACCTCCAAACCTGGGTGATCCACAGCACACAGTAATTCTCAGTTGCATATTTCTGAATGGCTGCTTTAGTCTAGAATATGGTCCTCCTTTGCTTTTGCTAACTTTTAGAATCTCTAGGTTAATTTTTGAACATAACAGCATCTCTCAAGGGCAAACAATGATTCTCAGAGAGTATAATCAAATTTTTTTTAAAAGAAGATCAATAACTTTTTGAAGACGAAGTATTGACAAAAGAACTCGTTTTTCATAGATCCGGCTCTATATACTATTTTCCAGAATGGTGTCCGTCTCCTTCACTCGTCTTCCAGTTTCCAGACAGGGCTGAAAGGACTAAAAGACATAAGAAATATCCATCATACTGCTTTTCTAAACAACATAATATCCACCCCTTAATACATTATTTTTTTCCTTGGGCAAAAGTAAATTCAAGCAATTAAACATTGCAGGCCAAAACATAAGTCTAGAAGCACATCTCACAGTGTTTATAAAAATTAACTCAAAATGAATTGTACACCTACATTTAAAATGCCAAACTGTAAATGTCCTAGAAGATAATGTAGGAAAATAATCTAGGTGATCTTGTATACCTCAATGATTTTTTAGATGCAACGCCAAAGACATGATATGTGAAAGAAATTATCGATAAGCTGGACTTCATTAAAATTAAAAAAAAATCTGCACTACAAAAGTTACTGTCAAGGAAAAAGTAAGACAAGCCACAGACTAGAAGAAAATATTTGCAAAACACATTTGTTAAAACCCAGAGACTTTTCCAACACTGAGAGTAAATCCAGACGTAAGCTATACATTTTGGGTAATAATAAATGCTGTGTCAAGTTTAGTTCACAATGTTAGTGTCACAAGTTAGTGTAAATGTTAGTTGATTATAACTAATATACCATTCTGATTGGGGCAGGGAACATAGGGAAATTTTCTGTACTTTCTGTTCAATTTTTCTGTAAACCTAAAACTGCCTTAAAAATAAAGTCTACTTGAACAATAACAAAAATAAATCCCTAGTTTTAATTATATTTCCATCCTTATCCACATAAAAACATAAAATGAATCGAGGAACTATGGAGGAGATATCTTCTGTTTTGCAGAGTGATTGTCCCTCCATTCCCACTCCTACACCACCTCATAGCTCCCTAACTCAGGAGTTGAGCATCATGCGTTTGTTATTTCTGTTAATTAAACTCATAAATATGTAGAATAATATCAAGTAGCTCACATTGGATCCAGGAATTCATTGGGCCATAGTGTATGGGAAGCTGATAAACAGTTTTACTATAGTTTCACTGTTGGAGGAGCTACGGGGCCTATATATATATATAGGCTGTGAAGACTAATGTGCAAAATTGAGCCAGAGATAGAATAAGTCTTCAGAATTCCAGATTTTTTCAATATGTGAAAAAAAATCCAGTTTTGCAAAATCAAGTCATTCTTCCTGAAATTTCGTTGAATAGCATATGGAGCTCTCTACATTCCAGTGATAACATCTTTCAAGCTATTAATTTGAAGAGATATACGTTAATCCAAATGGAGACATATATTTGGATTAATGTGAGCCTCTTTAGAAATCTCTACTATGACTTTCCTTAATGTGACCCTTTTAAATTAACAATTTACCAAAATATTTTTATGTACACAATTCCATCCACCTTCAATCTGGTGACGTAGAAATGACCACCGATGTTTTCTTATCACATACACTTAGTCAGCAAAGTGTATTGAAATGACTCCCAACCCTTTCCCTTTTTGTTTTCCTTTGTTAACCAGTTTTCCTTTCCTGGTCACTACCTGTATCCCTGATACTAAATTTGCCTGTGAAATAATGAATCTCGATCTCTCTCTCTCTCTGTCTCTCTCTCTCTCTGTGTGTGTGTGTGTGTGTGTGTGTGTGTGTACCATTTCCATGTTAAAAGCAGACAAAGATAAAACTGGTAGCCTATTTCCCCACAAGAAAAAATTCCAAATTCTTCAGCATGTTTTTCAGAGCCTTCAAAATTTAGTCTCAACTTCTTTTCCTTTTACATTTCCCAGTATTATCTTCATTCCTTAACCAATAAACTTTATTTTCAAGTCCACAAAATTTATCAGACTTAAAATACTATGCATTTCATTGCTTCCAAGTTTTATGTATACTCCCCCTTCTTGCTAAAATTTCCTTCCTCTTCCTCCTGATAAATGTATATTCATCACCTAAGACGTGGCTAATGTCATTTGATCTGTAAAGTCTTACCAACTTTGACATCACTGAAGAGAATTGGTAGCTCCAATTCTCCTAGGTCTTTATACATACCTATCAAATTTAAGTCAGTCTACTCCACTAGACTGGAATTTCCTAGAGGAATTATTCATTTATGCAAAGCGCATAGTATACAGCTGATAAATACTTTCTGGAAGAATGAAAGGATAAATGAATGGATCTCCATCTTTCAAACTGAGGCTTAGAGAGGATAAGTGATTAGCTAACACAGCTAGAAAATGAGTTAGCTAGGAAGATGACACAGCTGTTTCAGAATTCCACTATTCTTTCTATACAATCACTTGGGAAGCGTTTTCAAAATATAGATGCCATGCCTCAGGCCAGATCCAACAAATCAGAGTCTCTGAGTCCTGTGACAAGGGATACACATTTCTAAGCCTGCACACGTGGTTAGTCTTAGCAGTGAGAGCTGAGAACTCTTAATTGTGCCACATCACACTTACATCTGAGTGTGGAAACATAGTTGCTGGCACCTAAGGCACTCAAAGTCCTGTGCCTATATTTCTAGAATTCCAGACCCTAGTTGAGGAAGAGCAGGGAGAGGAGAGTGGAACTGGAGTGGGGAGAACAACAGCAAATGCGACAAAAGAGAAGGCAGACTCAAACCAAGCTTGCCAAGAGGAGACAGCTTGTGGCCAATCACCCTTTGCAGGAAAGCTAGACTACTGCATTGTGGTGTGACAAAAGCAATAAGCAAGGCTACTGGCTTATTGTAGAGTTGCTGATATAGGATGCAGAAACTTCAAGATAAATAAAAACTTGCCTAGAAATTACACATAAGATTAGCTGCCATTTAATTATGTTGAGGTAACTTTTGATACTTCTCCACCCATCACCTTTTTCAAAGGGCATATAATCTCACTGGGCCAGGGATATAAAATCATCCAAAACTCTACTACATCTTCATTTTTTAACTTTTACCACTCACCCCTTAAAAATAATTTTCTGTGCCTTCAGGATAGTGGGAGAATCATATTTAGACAGAAAGTCAGGATATCAATCTGTTTATTTGTTTGATCTGAGGGTTTATTTTATTTTTATTTTTTTGGCTGTGTTTTTGTTTTGCCCCCAAAGACTTAATAACAGGGCATTCAATAATTTCTTTGAGAATCAACCCAAATCCCACATCATTGTCTGATCCTTGTTGTGTTGTTATTGATTACATATGAATTTCCTAGTATACCAAGCGAAAAACAAGTTTACCTACTGTTTCCTTGCCCTTAGCTGCTAGGTGCTTCATTCTGTGTGGTGCTACAGGCAAATCATTTATGTGGAGGGGCGGTGCTTTGTCCCTTATTGGCCTGCAATAATGATGATCTCTGTGATTCTCCCGTTTTTCCCAGGTCCTCCAGTTTTCTTCACCCTACAGGCAATTTCTGGTAGTGAGCTAAGACCCCAAAATAGATTTAATAGCAGTGCTGCATGATCTTTTCATTATCTCAGGGTTGTCTTTTCAGAGGCTCTGTTTCATTTCTATGTTGTTGAGAAGTTAGAAAGCTCCTAAGTCTAATGAGGATTAAAATCCTCAGGAGTAACTCTCCTCTTCCCATCAGCTATTTTTATGTTCTTGCAGAGTTCACTTCCCCTTTAATCTTGGGGCCTCATTAGTTACTTTTATACTGGGACAAAGGGTTGAATTTTATGGAATGGGAGCTCGCACTCCGAAAACAATGACATTTCATCTGTCGTTGTGACTGCATATGGTGGTTGCTGTTACTGACATTTGTCCAGAGATTTGCTACCAAGATAAACTTATTTTTCTTAGGTGCATCAAGCTGATCTTTTTTGTTCCATAAATATTCATGCAAAAGACTCAAGAGTCAGGGAGAGCCTCAGATAACCATATTAAAGTTTGTAGGAATAATTAATGGGAGTTTAAAGACCTGAGTAGAGCTCAGGGTTTTGTACATGGTAGGTAGGCAATAAATATTTGTTTGCATATACTGCATGTGATACATATAAAAGAAAGAGACAGAGACAGAGAGATAGGGAAGGAGAAAGTATGAGGGTCTAGGTTAGGGCAACTCTCAATGTCTATTTCATTTATCCACTGAAGAAACAGTGCATTAGAATTTCAGCAATGTATACAGAGCCTAATGTGAGACCTTTGGGAAGGATGCTTTAAAGGCAGTAAAAGATTATCTCTGACATTGAAAATGCCTGGTCTCTTGTCCTTGCCTTTCAGACTCTCTGTGTTCAAAGGCGTTGCCTCTAGAAGGACTGGCTGCAGTGATATGCTTATAGCTCCATTTGCAGACTTTCTTATAGGTTCATAAATGGAGACTAGAAGGAGGAGGGAAAGAAATAAAATTTAATAACTGAATAAAAATGTAAATAAAGATTTGCCTAAAATTACTTGTCCAAGAAATAATTCTCCCTCCCCCTTAAGCTAATACTTTGATAAGCTCAGTACAGTGATCCTGATTTGGAGCGTGACCTTTGAAAATGCTCTCCAGCTTGATTAAAGATGTATTAAATTTGTTTAAATAAACCTCGTTGTAATGGCACATCATTTGTAAGAAGCTATTAGGGGGCTGGAAACTGTGCTGCTGTATTTGCATGAAAATGTGCCCTGCTCGAATTGAGGATCTCTCCTGAATTAACTGCAAAGGGAAAGTGACACTTTCATAATTTTTTCTGACAAAAAAAAAAAAAAGAAAAACTTTATGCAAAGCTCTAAGAGAGAGGGGAGAGCTGCATGTCAATAACAGAGCCATAGATCAAGTCAGTGCTCTTAGTCCAACCAGCATTCTTGATGTTCTCAATGTATTTGGATAAGTGCAATCAATAATATTTATCTGTCAATTACTTTGCTCCTAGAATGGCTTCATCTTTGAGTTTCTGTGTGAGCACATGAATTGTTTGAGAGTAACCAGATCCACTAGGATGTTCAAAGGAAAGTTGCATTATCATATGTCTTGAAATTTTACGACTGGAGTTCTCTCCCTGGCTTCAATTTTCTTGTGGTCTCTGCTGCCTGGGTTTGTGGAGAAGCTTAAGCACCCAAATGCCTCCACCCATCACTCCTAAACAAAGTATATAGCTGCCAGATGTACTTAATTCCTGCCAATGGCTCCCAAATGAGCTGCCACTCTAAGGAAAAAAGGGCTTTTCCTTTAAATCAAATATGATATTGAAACCAATTGCATCTTTCTAGAGGAGTGAGGAATCTGGGCCACCTGCCGTCTGTAGGAACTCCATTCTCTCTCTAGTTACCATTTCACCATCTTGTCAGGCACAAAGAAGTCTATTTTTACTTTAGCTTCTTCCTGATCTGTTCTTCTATTTAACTAATAAAAATTTCCAATTTTATGTTTCCTAAAAATCACCATGGTCTCTCCAGTATACGGAGTCTTTTAGTTGAGGTGCGAGTAAAGACCAATTCTCTATTATGCATATGAAGGTGATTAGGAAATGCAATACGGTTTCCTGTGGTACTCAGGCAGCTGCTGTCTTCCAGACATTGTGCTATGAGTTTCATTTTTTTATTCTTAAAATAGCCTCAAGATTAGATAATATTCCCACAATTATAAGTTGACAAACCGAGGCTCAGTGGTCTGAAATCTCATAATTAGCAAGCTATTGAAGCTGTGTTTTCAGCTTAACTGTGTCTGAAACTAATACTCATGCCATATTATAGTAACTTTGACTCAAATTTACCATCTAGAGATAAACTGAAGGACCCAGCTATGAGACATGACTGATAATACTGAACAACAGTCCTAGATTCAGAGATGAGCATGTCCCCAACAAGATAGACTATTTACCTAGGAAAACAATTCTATCCTAAATAATAATGTTTAGGGAGAAAGAATTGTTTGTTGTGAATCATTTGGAATACTTTCTTTTTCTTTTTAAATTTTCTTTACAGGCTGTGACACTTTCTGTTAAGTATTAATAGTTTTAGATAGCACATTTCCAACACTGAAAATAATTTTTATTTTATTTTTTCTAAAAGAGCCTGAAGTAAATTGAGGTTAAATATGGTTATCAAATATAATTATATACCTTTTTTTGGCCTGACTTGTGACTTACAAGTAATGTCTTTCTGCTGTCCAAATTTTCATGAAGGGAGTTTTAAAAAGTTTAGAGCAATGGAAGCATGTTTAGAGCCAGTACATCATTTTCTTAGGTAATTACTTTGAAGGTAGTAATACACTTTGATATAGAGAGTATTTTCATAACAAAATGAAAGAAAGAAAATAAGTCAGGGAGAATTTGCCAGAAGACTAGAAAATGCATGGATGAACATTCTGTTTCTGAGAGAATATGAAAGCATATTTGAAAAAAAAAATCTCTTGTCCTGGTATTGATTTCTTAAGTTATTATTTTCCTACCAAAGTCCATATGAAATATTAAAAAGAACATTTTTGGATTAGAAATTATTTAGCACAATGTATAAGTCCAAGCCTCTCATTCAACAAAACAACAACAAAACAAACAAAAAACAGACTCTAAGTTATGAAAACAGAATTGATAATTGCAACATGATTAGTGAATGACATAGTTACAAGTAGTTTCCTGATCTATAGGTTCTCCACGTTTTCTTTCTACTACATTCCTCAGTCTTATTAAAAGTTCTAAGATTTGGTATCTTAAAATTTAAGGTCTCCAGAAAAAGTGTCACGTCAACCTTATAAAATTATTTTCTTTTGTTTTTCCTCATAATCTTCTTCAATTTTTTCCCTCCATATTTGATCTAGAAAAAGGACTAGATACTTTCATATTTGATGTAGAAAAAGAGATATTTCACTAAATAATGAAAGCACAAGAAAATCAGGAAGTAGTAAGGGTATCATTTCTGGATAGGCTATTTGTTAAATTTCTATTACGTTATCTTGGCTCCAAATGAGCCTCTTGTTCCTATTCCAAATCTTCATCAGCTACAGCTCTGATGTTGTACCTTCACATTATTTTAAGGTATTTTCCAGAAGCAGAATTTAATGTTAAAAGAGCAAACCAAAGCACTTCTTTCTTATTATCTGATTAGATGGGGAACAAGTACTGTATGTGCTACTCCAAGGTGGGTGGAGGCCCACACAGGAGTACCTGCTCTTTGCCAGACATCTGGGTACATGTTTGTTTGCTTGTTTAACTATAAAAAAGGAAAAATGGTCTCCCTCTGAAATTGTTGCATAGGGACCCAGAACTTAAACTAATGCTCCTGTCTTCTACTCCTTTTTTCCTCCTCATTTCCTTTTAGTTTTTAATTTACCATTCCCAGCTGAGATACTTGAGCAGATAGAATCAAGCCAGCTCCAGGCTAATTGGTTCATCATGCACTTTATGATAATTTTCATTCTGGATTTTGATTAGGTCAGTATGTTGACTGCTTTGGTCAAACCTTCTAATGATCTGCCTATTAACTCTGAAATAGGGTCTTTGACTGTACTCATCTTATTAGATATCTCAGCTGCCTTTAACTCTGCTAACCATGAAATATTACTGGACTGTATAATGTCCTATGCTGGAGAATAATATTTTCCATATTAGTTTTAGTTCTATTTGACTCTATTGTTACCTTCATTGGAAGTTCAAATGTTGTTGATGGGGAGATGACATACTATTTCCCCTTTAACTATCATTTGTAGGATCAGCTCTTTACATCTTGCTAATGTAGTGAAGTGTGTCACTATCCCTGGAGTCGGCCATGTATGGTACCATCTGTAGCTCCACCACTTAATAAATTAACTAACTGGTGGCTAAATCACTTACTCCCTTTTTGCCTCTGTTTCTTCAGTGTAATCCTGTAAAGCAGTTGATATGATACATCTGTAGAGCATAGCACAAGGCTTTGCATATAAAACAAGTTTATTTAATGCTGTTCCTACTATTATTATTGTTTCAGGGTTATCAAGGCAGATTTCAAACATGGTAATTCATTAAAATGTAGATTTAAACAGAATACAACATGGAGAATATAACAATTATTAGGAGTTTATATTAATTTTAGGAATATTAATATAACAATTATCAGGAATCAAACTAGAACAACTTTGCTTCAGTTTTCTTGATTTTTAGGCAGTCACATTTAGGGAAGTGAAAGTATTTGAAAAGTTGATTTTATACTTATTCTCACTTTGTATGTCTGACATCCTATTAAGTTTGGTTAATTCTATCAAGACCTTGATTGATATTGATTTCTATGAAACATTACAGAGGAGTGACACTTTCTTTACTCACATTTTGTTGATTCAGATTGTTTTACAATCTGTTAGCATTTTTAAGTTCATTTTTGATTACAAGTTTTGTAATCCATGTCCATCCATCTCTTTCATTCCAAGTTTTTACTTTCCTCCTCCTGAATATTCAATTCAATTAGAAATTTTGTTTTTAAGTCCTGATGTAATTCAATTTGTGATTTCTGATAGTATTATCCCTTTACTTTCTATGATTTAATAATTAGATATAGTGGCTTTTATTCTCAAAAGGTTAAGAACTGCTAACACAAATTGCTTTTATAAAACCAAAGTGAAAATTTGAGATACAATTTTCCAAAAATAGATGTTTCCAGGAGAAAAAAAAGTAATTGTTTTTCACATATATGTACATATATGTGTGTAAAATTTTGATCTCAACTCAACTTTCTACCATACCACATTATGTTTTAGTTTGTACTATACAACATATACAGCTGTAACTGGAAGATATTGCAGGTTTGGTTTCAGACCAATGAAATAAAAACATCACAGTAAAGCAAGTCACATACGTTTTTGGTTTCCTCAAGCATATAATAATTATGTTTATGCTATACTATTGTCTATTTAGTGTTCAATAGCTCTTTGTCTAAAATAATAATGCATATAGCTTAATTTTAAAAATAATTTATTGCTAAAGTATGCTAACAATCATCAGAGCCTTCAGCAACTCATAATCTTATTGCAATTGGAGGGTCTTGCTTTGATGTTGATAGCTGCTGACTGATTGGAGTGGTGGTTGCTGAAGGCTGGGGTAGCTGTGGAAATTTCTTAAAATAAGATAGCAATGAAGTTTACCACATCAATCTTTCTTTCAGGAAATATTTTTCTGTATATGTGTTGCTGCTTAATAGCATTTTACCCACAGTAGAACTTTCAAAATTGAAGTCAGTCCTCTTAAACCCTGCCCCTGCTTTATCAACCCAGCTTATCTTCTATTGTAAATCCTTTGTTGTCATTTCAACAGTGTTCACAGCATCTTCACCAGGAGTGGATTCTACCTCAAGAAACTACTTCCTTTGATCATTCCAAAGAAGCAAAATTTTATCATGAGATTGCAACAATTCAGTCGCATCTTCAGGCTCCACTTCTCATTCTAGTTCTCTTACTCTTTTCACCACATCTACAGTTACTTGCTTCACTAGAGTCCTGACCCCCTCAAAGTCACCAATGAGGGTTGGAATCAACTTCTTCCAAACTCCTGTTAATGTTGTTTTTTGGACCCTCTCCCATGAATCACTAGTGTTCTTAATGGTATCTAGAATGGTGAATCCTTCCCAGAGGGTTTTCAACTTCCTGTGCCCAGATCCATCAGGGAAATCATTATCCATGGCAGCTATAGCCTTACAAAATGTATGTCTTACATAATAGGACAGGAATATTTGAATTATTCCTTGATGCATGGGCTGCAGAATGGATGTTGTGTTAGCAGGCATAAAAAACAACATTAATCTCCTTGTACATTTCCATCGGAGCTCTTGGTTGACTAGGCGCATTGTCAAGATTTCAAAGATTTCAAACATTTTGAAAGGGATCTTTATTTCTGAGCAGCAGATCTCTCCAGGGGGCTTAAAATATTCAGTAAATCATGCTGTAAGCAGATTCTTTAGGACCCTAGGATTTTTGGAATGGTAAATTAGCGTTAGTTCCGACTTAGTCATCAGCTGCATTAGCCCCTAATAACAAGAGGCCTGGGCTGTCTTTTGATGCTTTGAAGCTATGCATTGACTCCCCTTTCTAGCTATGACAGTCTCAGATGATGTCTTCTTTCAATACAAAGCTGTCTCACCTATGTTGAAAATCCGTTGTTTATTGTAGCCACCTTCATCAGTGATCTTAGTTAGATCTTCTGGATAACTTGCTGCAGCTTCTACTTCAGTGCTTGTTGCTTCACCTTGCGCTTTTATGTTATGAAGACGCCTTCTTTCCTTAAACATCATTAACCAACCTGCTCTACTACCTTCAACCTTTACTTCTTCAGCTTCTTCACCTCTCTCAAGCTTCGTAGAATTGAAAAAAGTTAGGCCCTTGCTCTGGATTAGGCTCTGGTTTAAGGGAATGTTGTAGCTGGTTTAATCTTCTTTCTGTTTGGCTTTCTGATCATTTGTGTGTTCACTGGAGTAGCACGTTTACTTTTTTTCAAAAACTTTTCTTTTGCATTGGCCACTTGGCTAGCTATTTGACCCCAAAGGCCTGGCTTTTGGACTATCTTGGCTTTTGGCATGACTTCCTTACTAAGCTTAATCATTTCTAGCTTTTTATTTCAAATGAGAGATGTGCAACTCTTCCTTTCACTTAAACAATTAAAAATACATTGCATTGTTATTAACTGACCCAATTTCATTATTGTAGTCTCCCGGAATTGGGAGGCTCCCGAAGAGGGAGACAGACTGGGGAAAACCCAGTCAGTGGAGCAGTCAGAACACATACAGCATTGATCAATTAAGTTTGCCATCTTAAATGGGCACGGTTTGTGGCACCTCAAAACAATTACAACAGTAACATAAAAGATAAATGATTACAGATAATAACAAATATGATAAAAATTTAAAAGATTGAAATATTATAAGAATTACCAAAATATGACACAGAGACCTGAAGTACATGCTATTAGAAACATTGTAGGAGTAGAATTGCTTAATGCAGATTTGCTACAATCCTTCAATTTATAAAAAATGCAATATCTGTGAAGCATAATAAAGTGGAAAAAAGAATGCATGCCTATATATAAAGGTATATAAAGGTATAGATACATATAGATATGCTATCTACAGCTGTATATATGTGTGTGTATATAAATATATTGTTAACATAAATATTAATAGTTCTGGTGTTTCTGCATGGATTCTTTACCTAAAAAAAAAGAATAAAGATTTTCAGCTGCATACTAATGTTGCAAGTAAAGATTTAATGCATTTAGTGTGTATTTATTGTTTTCAATTAAAAACAAATTGATTCTTCAATCATTTATTAACTATGATTTATTGAGATTTATTAACTATATAATGAGCATTCTATAGTTGTTTAGGTCACTTTTCTATAAAAACTAAGTAGATAACCATATAAAACCTGCTCTCAATCTACAACAAAATCTAAGCCATAAATTGTCAAACTGGATATTCTTTTCTTCTCAAAGTCATTTACTTTTTACATAAAGATAATTTACCACTGACTGATTTTTGTTAATTTAGAAGAATTATAGGCCACAAGTTAGATATCTTTTTTCCCCAATGTAGAAAACTGTTATTTTCTGAATTGTGGCAAGTTGTATTTTAGTCTCTTTTTAAGATAAAATTTCTAAAAAATATATTTATAATATTTTATTGTGGAAGCACTCAGTTACAAAAGACAGTTTTAATTTTTTGATATTCAGAAACCATACGCATATGGGACTTAGGTAAGTTAAATCTGCTGCAGTCTGAGGGCAGGTAGAAGTTCTGCCTGCTCAACATTGCCAGTTCTGCAGTTTGAGGAAGATACTGCAGCACTGTGGGAGTGGGAGGCTTCCTCACTTTCGGGCAAGTTCTTATGGGTAGGGTCAGCACATGTAAGGGTACTGTGCTTTTTTTGATAGACTTAAAAACTTTGGTTACATCTTAAAGTAATCTACCTCATTAGGCTATCTAACTAAAACTTACCCAACTGATATATAAATAAGTTCAAATTTATTTGTTGACACCATTGGCTCTTCCCCTTCTTGGGCTACAACAATCATGCTTACTCCTAGAAAGGCCCCTTGGTATCAGAATAATTATGAAACCAACACCGTTCTCATATTTGCATTGTATATCTCTAGTGGAGACCTTTCCACTAAACTCCAAAATAAGCCCATCTTCCATCTCCCCTTGGAAATCTTAGGAACACCTCATACTCCAGATCTTTAAAACTGATCTCATCACCTTTTCCTTTAGACTTGCTACTCTTCTTGTATTTCCTATTTCAAACTGCATTGTTACTGAAAACAGAAATCTGAAGATCTTGCGGGTTCTCCCCCACAACTTTAGAATTATTCTGCATATGGCCGGGCGCGGTGGTTTACGCCTGTAATCCCAGCACTTTGGGAGGCCAAGGCAGGTGGATCACCTGAGGTTAGCAGTTCGAGACCAGCCTGGCCAACATGGCGAAACCCCCTCTCTACTAAAAATCCAAAAAATTAGCCAGGCATGGTGGTGGGCACCAGTAATCCCAGCAACTTGGGAGGCAGAGGCAGGAGAATCACTTGAACCCGGGAGGCAGAGGTTGCAGTGAGCCGAGATCACACTATTGCACTCCAACCTGGGGAACAAGAGCAAAACTCCGTCTCAAAAAAAAAAGAAAAAAAAAAGAATTATTCTGCATCAATTCGAGTACATTGAAAGTACTGAATATCTCTTGAATTCCTTTCCTCACCTTCCGCTAGCCAGCTTAGTTCATTCTCTCCTGGTCACTCAGTGATCTGTAACTAATGCTGATTAGTGGGCAATAGTTGTTTGACTCTCTTGCAGCCCTTTCTCCCCTTCCTCCTACAGCAGGCCTTTGTTTTCTTGTGTTTGTTTGTTTGTTTGTTTGTTTTTGTTTTGGCTTTGGGATTTTGTTTATTTGTTTTTGAGGATTTACCACGTTCTACCCTTATTGCAGGTTTCCTGTCTAGTGCCTTTCTCCTGGGGTGAAAAAATAACCTAAGCAAGTCCATTAAGAGGAATAGCTGGATTCTTGCAGGAAAACCAGAAAAGAGGCTCCCTCTTCTTGCTGAATTTAAGTCTGGAAAATGTATGACTGAAAGCGGCAGCCATTGGCCACCATAAGCCTGAGAACAAAGCCAGCATAGACAAGGAAGAACTGAGAGAAGAAATTGCTTCTTGATGACATTGCATTTTCATTTTCATTTTCATTACAATATTATTAAAAGAGACAATGCATTTACTTTTTTAAAATTAGGTAATTTTTGAATTATTATTTCCTAAAATGCATTTAATTGGAATAGTTCTTAATGGCTTCTCGTCTTCTCAGTCTACCTGAAGATTCACTGAATCTAAGGCAAAAATACATACGTAGGCTCACAGTTTGTCTAAGTACTTAAAAATTACAAATCAAGCTAAAAGCTGTCAAATAAAATTTCCCCCCATATTTGCCAAATATGCCTTCATAAAGATGAAATTAAAAACATAAAGCTGTTTTTAAATGACCGAAAATAATTGAAATATCAGACAGAATTTAAGTATTATTTTAAAAGTATGGCTATTCTTCTGATGGGCTGGTGAAATTTGGACAGTTAACAAAAAAGATATATATTAATTACTAAAGTATTATTTCTTTATTCAATATAATTTACTTTTTGTTTTCTAATTTTAGCAAAATTACTAAGTTACTATAGTTGTATTTGTACATAATTTTAATTCTAATGGCAAGGCTGACGTAAAGGATTAAAATAAAATGCAATCATAATCACAATGTATTAAACGTATATTATTTCATAAAATTCTTAAAAAGAAGATGCAAAATAGAAAAATTATGATATTCTATGTTTTCAAATACATTTTTATATTAGGCAGGCAAACATATATATTAAATTTAAGAGTCAGGTCTGGTATGGTGGCTCATGCCTATAATCCCAGCACTTTGGGAGGCCAAGGAGGGTACTTACCTGTAAGTAAGGAGTTGGAGACCAGCCTGGCAAACATGGAGAAACCCCCTCTCTACTAAAAATTAAAGAATTAGCCTGGTGTGTTGGTACATGCCTGGAATCCCAGCTACTCCAGAGGCTGAGGCACGAGAATTGCTCAAATCCAGAACAAGGAGGCTGCAGTGAGCGGAGATCACGCCACTGCACTCCAGCCTGGGCAACAGAATGAGACTACACTTCAAAAACAAATTAAGAGTCAAAAATCAATTATAAATTCAAATACTTAAATTAAATAAAAATTTAAATTATATTTTGAAAGATTTATAAAATTTTAATAAATTCTGTTATTAAAAATAAAACTATTGCAGTTCTTATGTGTTCTAACCCAGATGTAAAGAATTGATCCCTTGGCTGGGTGTGTTGGTTCATGCCTGTAATCCCAGAACTTTGGGAGGCCAAGGCAGGAAGATTGCTTGAGCCCAGGAGTTTGAGACCACCCTAGGAAACATGGTAAAACCCATCTCTACAAAAAGTACAAAAATGAGCCTGGTGTGGTGGTGCACACCTATAGGCCCAGCTACTCAGGAGGCTAAGGCCAGAGGATCAGCTGAGCACAGGAAGGTCAAAGCTGCAGTGAGCCATGATCATGCCACTGCACTCCACCTAGGACAACAGAGACTTTGTCTCAAAAAGAAAAAAAAAAAAAATTGGTACCTTGCATCGCCATGTTACATCTAGACCTACAGTGAAAAAAAGTTAACCATTAAATTTTTCACATTGAAAAATATTCCGTAGCCAATAAGAGCAACTATTGTAAAAACTGTGCTAATTCATGAGTGTCTCCGGAACTTCAAATTAGAACAGGAAGAGAGGAAATAAAATGGAAGCTTGACATTCTTGGGAAATGGTACTATTTCATAAAAATACATTGCATGCATGCTTTCTGAAGGGAAGAATTTGACCAAAAAAAAGTCTTTTCTCTTACCAAGTGCTTCCACTGCTTAAATGTCCCATGCTCTCTGAAGCATTGTCTCCCTCTGGTATCAGCAGGAGTACAACTCTTACATCTTCATGGAATGTGGATGCAAGTGTCTTGTCTTTTTTTTTTTTTTTTTTCTTTTTTTTGTAAGGACTTTGGACAAGAGATGTGGAGAGTATTTTCCTGAGGACAGATTGGGATGAACAACAAAGTGAACCTTCAGGGTTATGAATTTTATTAATTTTATTGACCACTGCTGAGTGCCAGATCCTGAATTCCGGATAACCTCATCTGTAATGTACAACACTTGTTTTGTATATTTCTGATATGCGAGGTCATCTAAAGCAGGAATTCCATTTTCCGTAAGACAATCTCTACCTTTAGTGAACAATCTCTCCCATCGTCTACTGGAAAAAAATCTTTAGATGGCATTCAAATTGAAAGCCCTGACCCAAACATTGCCTACTTCTCTAAGTTTATGTCTTACCACTGCCGGCCCCTGCATTGATTCTCCTCCCTTAATTTTCCTCTTTCCATAATGTTTATTCCTTCCATAAATGGTAGAGTTGGGACTTGTACACAAAGTCTAAATCCAGGACTTGTGTCCTAAACACCATACTCAATTGTTCATTCTACTGTTGTTCATCTAGTGCTTCACTTTTCTTCACAACAGAATTTAGTGGCTCCTATCACCTAAAGGAAAATGTTTATACACAGTGTTGTGGCACCAGATATTAAAACTTACCTCAAGTGCTCACCAAAATGAATTGTTTCCTCCCTTTCATGTTACACCATATTTACCTCCAAGTAGATTACAGACTCGTTGAAGGCAGAAATTATGCTTTATACCTCTTGATGTGCCTCTTATTACTAAACACAATGATGTGATGTGTGGCATTAAAAAGTTACTTTCTTAAAGAATCCATTTTCATTTGAAAAAAACACCTATAGTTCAGAGACACCTTGTGTATAATGAATCATGGTGTTATTTGTTTTCCCTCTCCAATTAATTTGGTGCAATCTCCAGCTAGAACATCATGTCTGGCTAATTTATTGCAGGGCCATCCCTCTTCTCCACTGGGACACCTTCTTCTTGTTCTGTATCTGTGTGTGCTTGGGGTGGACACCTGGTGGAAGGTCTGTTCACAGGCTTGCAGATGGGTGGAGGGGAGCACACCGCCCCCTCGTGAAAACTGGCTTGCCACTGAGAGAATTACCTTATGTCCTCTAATCCAAAACCATTCTGCATGTTTTCCTTACTAGGATTTAAAGAACATACTCTGTTCCCATCCAAATGTGAGAAGTTTAATTTCAAAATAAAATGTGTCACAATAGCAAAGAAACAAAAAGTGGAAAGATTCCTTATTTCATTATCAGTCAGCATGTCTTACTTTTAGTGGTTCTATACATAGTATAAATCCTTCAAAATTGCTCTTAATAAAAAGATTAACACACTTTTTATTCTTGTGAATCTGAATCATTTAGGAAGAAATGTCAAAGAAATATTTTCCTCACACAGTCCAGTCTAGACATGACAGTTTAACAACTACTCATCTTTACCTCTCAAACACGTGTAAGTTCTCTTTTCTTCTGCCATGAAAAGAAGAACATTCCATTAGCCTTATTGTAAACCAGCACTGATAACCCTATAGATGGGACAGATATACAACCAGTAGTTATGATTCAAAGGAACTTATAGTGACTTCTGTTGCAATTATCTATCTCTACTGGAGTACACCCACTCTTTAATTCATTAAAAAGGAAACAGGCTGGCGCGGTGGCTCACGCCTGTAATCCCAGCACTTTGGAAGGCTGAGGTGGGCAGATCACGTGAGGTCGGGAGTTCGAGACCAGCCTGACCAACATGGAGAAACCCTGTCTCCATTTAAAAAATACATATATACAAAAGTAGCCAGGTGTGGTGGTACATGCCTGTAATCCCAGCTACTCAGGAGGCTGAGGCAAGAGAATCAACAAAAATTAGCTGGACGTGGTGGCGCGTGCCTGTAATCTCAGCTATTTGGGAGGCTGAGGCATGAGAATCACTTGAACCCACAGGGTGGAGGTTGCAGTGAGCCAAGATCACACCATTGCACTCCAGCCTGGACAACAAGAGTGAAACTCTGTCTCAAAACAAGACAAACAAAACAAAACAAAGAATAATTAAGCACTGGCTATGAATCTATGAATCAGGCATTTTGTCCAGAGGTTAGTCAAGCAAGCATCAAGTGAACTTCCTGCCATCCAGGAGAACTGATAGTCCCTATCAAAATACAAATGTTATCTAAATAAACTAACACATCAATCCACTTAAACACAAACGGTTTGTCAAATTACTAGTTAGTCACCCACTAGGGTACTGACCTGATGGAATGAAATTTGTTACAGGTACTTGCGGTAGAAATAACACAGATCAAGATGTCTGTACATGGGATGACGCCTAAATGAAACTTTCAGAAGACCAGTTGGTAGATCATTTGGGTTTGTCAAAAGAAGTTAAATAATAAAAAAAATTATGTTAAGAAGTTTTAAAGGCATGGTTGTTTCAATTTGTGTTTTATCCTATGACTAACCCAGCATAATGTCCATATCGAAACACTTAAAGTTGTGATATTTTCCTTCCATTAAGGTAAATCTGGTCAGAATGCCTTTGTGGCCTTGTGCCTTGTGGTCAGAACGCCATATGCTTTATGTGGACAAGAGCATGGACTACAGTTTTCCAAATAGAAAAGCAGAGTTTCCCAGTCCTCTTCACAGCATTAAAAATCAAATGAGATTTGCGTGACAGACTGGGGTAAAGCAGAAGGGTGTCTACGGCCAAAGGCATCTAACTCCAGGGGCTCCACAAGACCCAGGTCCCACACATTTTCCCTAAGGGGGAGCCATGCACAGCTCCACACACCTGCATCCCATGTGCAGCACATGATAATCTTGAGGCACATTTATGAAGAAGCTCTTCATAGAAGCTAGAGTATATATCTTATAAGACACCAATTTGTAGTATTATAATATAGGAAGGGGAAAATAAGTACCCTTTGAGAAGGAAAAATGTGCCATTTTCTATTGCAGAAATTGTTATTTTGAAGAGGACAAAAAGCTGATCATTGGGAAATGGAGGGGTTTACATGTAGAAAACATCATTTGAAAAGCAGAGTGGCTTTAATAATAAAAGCACTATTCAAAATTGCATAGAACAAAAATTAATATATAAAAATGAATATAACTTTTTCTCTTTTTGTATTTTGCTTGATGTTCCACATTTGCTATGATGAGAGCTATATACTTCCATGATTAGAGAAGATTATGTTGATTTAAAGATTAGTAAGAATGTGTCATTGGGAGGAACTTGGTTAAGCCTTTCCAATTTCCCCTCACAGTGCACTATTGTGTTTAGGGAACCTGGAATGTGCCATCTCATGGCTCCATGTAATTACCATGCAGTAACAGATCCTTTAAATATAAATTCAATGCATATTTAGGAGCTAAAGCATACTTAATTGAAAGTGCTACAAGTTGTCTATTCTAAAGAGCTGCTAGCAAATTGGAGAGTGTCAGAGGATTGTCTGTCCTTTACTTTGAAACCCTTAAATAATGTGACAAAGAGAAGTGGAAGTGGGACTCAAAAAACAGTTGCACAATATTACAGTTGTGAGTCTCACCTCCTCTCTCAGCAAAGCTCTTCCTGTCACTTCAGTTGATTATCTTTGCAGATTCTTGATGTTTGTTCTGATGAGAACAGTATTGTTATCAAAGTGTGCCTACTCTCCTCCATTTAACATGCTATTTATTATTCAAGAACTTAGTTTCTAGCTCATTTCTGGTTTGTTTCCATTTTAGTTTTAAAAATATGTAATACTGACTTTCTAGATTTTGTTTACTGCATTTCAAATGCTTGTTATCTTTTTCAACTCCTGTGACCACAAAGAGCTGAGTCTACCTTAAACAATGAGTGATTATCACTTAATTCCTACAAATAATCCTGAATATTGTAGTCTATCTTCATTGTAAAAGTTAAAATTATATGTCCCCAGTTGTTACATGCAAATCTTCTCTCATTGTCTGAAGAGAGCTCAGGCTTTGTTTGAATTCTTCATCAATGTCATATGTTGATGAGTTGTTCCTTCTCAGATTGATAGTAGCTAGAGAGAATATCTGAGAAGAGATGATATTCAACCAAAATCCTTAGAAATTATTTTGACACATAACTTTGATATTTGATTATAAATCTGGAATGCGGTAAAAAAAGTATGAAAATATCATTTACTGAATATGTTATTGGGCATATGGATCCCAAGTCCCTATTTTTATTTTGTAAAAATAAGCCATAGACTTAAGTCTGGGAGAAAACTTGAGACTTGATAGAAGAGTAATTGGTATATTTGCCAAGTAGTAGTATTAGCAAGTAGTAGTGCCTCCCAATCCACTGGTGAAAATATCTCCTATGAGGGAGAAAGAAATTATCTTCCTCTTCACTAACCTCCTCACCTCCATATTACTTCTTCAAATAAGATTATAGTCAGTTTAGTTCACGTAAGATGGTGTCTTAGTCAGCTCAGTCTGCCATAAAAAACATATCATAGAATGAATGGTTTAAACAACAGAAATTTATTTCTCAAAGTTCTGGAGGCTGGAAAGTCCAAGATCAAAGTGCTGGCAAGGCAGGTTTCATTCTGAGGCCTTTTCTCTTGGCTTTTTGGAAGCTGCATCCTTGCTGTGTGCTCACATGACCCCTTCTTTATATGGGCATGGAGTGGAGAAAGAATGAGAATGAGAGAGAGAGAGACCTCTTATCTCTTCTTATAAGGGCACTAATACTATTACGAGTGCCTCATATTCATGACCTCTTCTTACTTTCCAAAGGACCCATCTCTAGATACTATCACGTTGTGGGTTAGGGCTCCAGAATGTGAATTCACAGGGCAGTAATAACACAGATATTTAGTCCATAGCAAATAATAAGATAACTTTAATAATAATTAATAATAATTCTTAAGCCTTAGATCTTGCGGGAGCCAAGAAGAACTGTGTTTTAAATGACTTCTGTGATTTTCATTAGTTTCCTTTTCATGTAATGGGAAGAGTACTGGCCTGATGATACATGCCAAGTGAGTTTAAACTTTAGTTGTATAAGTTTCTAACTGTGTTTGACTTTGGATGTTTAGTCTCTTCAAGGATAAAGGTTCATGAACAATTATTTTTTACTTCTATGTCTTATTATGCAGTGCAATACAAACAATCATTACTTCTATGTCTTATTATGCAGTGCAATACAAACAACATACATGGATATGCTTTGAATATAGAAAAACTCAATACATGTTTCAAAAATACTTTTTAATGAAACTTACCTTGCCTATTATTAGACAAAGGAAACACACTATACAATTAAGCAGACATTTTAAGAAAATAACGACAGTTGACCCTTGAACAACATGGGTTTGAACTAGGCTGGTCCACTTATATGTGGATGTTTCTCAACCTATTGCAAATCAAAAATACAATATTCCTGGATGTGAAATCCATATATATGGAGAGGTGACTCTTCATATACACAGGCTGGGCAGGACTTATTGCAAGACTTGAGTATGCATGGGTTTGGGAATATGAGGGGCTTCTGGAAACAATCCTCCACCTATATACGAAGGAACAACTATCCATTTGGCCATGATCACCCAAAATTCAAGATGAAGCGTGTCCTATCTTCTAATCTTCATATTATTTTGTTAAATTCTAATTCATTACATAAATTATGACCAAAAACTTGGCACAGAAAAGTATTATTTTGTATTTATGTCATGTATTAATTCAGATCAGTAGTTCTACCAGTAAGAACAAAAGAATATGTTCTGCAGATATGACCTATAGGCTGGTAGTATGATCTTCTAAGGAAAACCATTTTTCTTGAGATTTCTAATATTTTCATTGCTATTAATGGTTTCTTTCAAGTTCTTAACCATCTCGAGTCAGGTTTGTTGTATTTATCTTTCTCTCTGGTTGCAAATTTCCTTTAATAGTCAATGGGACAATTAGTAAAATACATTCCAAATACTCTGGTATAGAATAGGTCCTGGATTTCAGCATTTGAGCAGACACACATCTACGTGTTCATGTCTAGACTTCTATTCAGTACAAAGATAATAGCTTCAGCTCAGAAAGTATTTCACCACATTTATCTATTGCCTTATTAAAAGTAATTCCCAGAAGGAAACTTCATGAGTAACTATTAATGAGTCATTTACAGTTACTCCATAGACCAGATTAACCAAGATAAAATTTTGGTAATGAGTATTACCTAGTAGGAAGGTAGGTTGTAAAAACAGTTTTGGTTGAAACTTGAGTCAATTTAGTTGTATCAATGAACCTATCAAAATACAACTTAAGAAATAGTTGAATTCTTCAACTTTGAATGACCTTTCAGAGTCTATTTGCAAGGCGTTATTTTCTGTCTTCTATTTCTTTTCCGCATGCTTGTTCACTTTACATTCCTTTACTGCCTTCACTTATTGATTGCTTGAGTAAAACAAGGCCACACCCTCTGTAGACTCTCGGTAAACTGATGAGGATGAGGTTGACAGACTAGAAGGTAGGAATAATGTCTAAGTACAGAAATGGGTGTGTCAACTGCCCTCTGAATTGTGAATTCCAACATCATGTAGCTGAGGATCTCTGGAGAAATAAGCCAGTCAGCCAACTGACAAAAGAGGCTTCAGGTTTTTGACACAAGGTGTAATGACACTTGGGCAATATGACCTGTTCCATGGCATTTTACATTATGTCGTGATAATATCACAAAACATAAAGTTCTTCAGGCGATCTGCTACATCATATTCCACCATGAGTTCATAAGGAATTTAAATAGCTGATTATCAACTTGAATTAGTGTAACTGCTGCCAGATAGTTGTAAATAACAACAATAATATATTCAAAGAGTGCCCTTAGTTAAAAATACAGTAGGCAAAGAGACAGAATCAGCATTAAACGTCACACAGAAAATTCTGAGTTAAAGATTTGGGCAGCAGTCTACGTTGCACTTGACTTAGAGGTGATTTTAATAGACTGGGTGGAATCAACAGACTTGCAGCACATATTCATGTTGAATGACTCTAGATGAGTGAAACAAAATACACAAAAGGAGACTAGGTGATAATTCTAAGAACCTATATTCTGGGAATAATATTATTAACAACTGTATTCAAATTTATCCTTACTTGTTCGCCGTTCTTTAATTTTCTCTTACTGAGGAGTTTGGAAATTGAATGTATTCATTCCCCAAAATTATGCCTGTGTGATGAGTTGAACTAATGTTTTTAGAAGTGAGCAGCTCAAATAATGAGAGTTTGGGGGCTACTATATTGCACAACTCCAGCGGGCACTATTTACATTGTATTCTGTACTGTAAATATGACATATGGTTACACTGAATTTTATCTAAAAAATAAAAGAACTTCCTGACATAAACTATTACAGTTTATACCAACAGTCTACTCTATAATTGGGCCCCTCTGCAGGCTTTTAAACATAAATTGACCTCATACTCATCTTTAGAATGGCTTATTAAGGCAGGACTCACTAAAAGTCATAATGCCTTTATAGGGGGAGTAGAGAGAAATGGAAGTTGTTGATTAAAAGAAAAACAAAAGGTAGACTACTTGACTTAAACATCTCTTATAAGCTATCTTATTTAAATATTTAATCTTCCTTTCTCCAGAGCAGGGAAGTATTTTTTTTTTATTTTATTGCTTACATAAAATTTTCTACTACACTTGCAATTAAATGTAATGTTCTCCTACTTTCTTTGTTTTTTTCTTTCCTTCCTTACTGTTAAGAGTCATAACCACTTTAGTCCTGCAATGAGATTAACATCCCTGGAAATATGAAAAATAAGATACCTTAAGAAATACTTGACATGAAGGGTGTAAGATGTGATCGACTTTCACCAGCCTCTGCACAAAGACTCCTTGGCAAAAGAAAGTCAAAGAGAGAAAAAAAAAAAAAAAAAAGGCATGAACTAGAACTATAGGTTTTTAACCTTTCCGATTTTTATCATAGGTGAAAGCAGATCTATGAAACTACTCTATTCTCTACAAACCTGAAGAGAGCCAGGCAAGTTGGGCTCCACATGTCTTGTTATCATTCCAGTAGTACTATCTTGGGAAGAGATTATTTCAGTTCTGGAAATGCTAATAGGTTGGCAACATTCCCCCAAGTCTTTCTAGCTTGAAGGAAGGAATGAGGGCAGAGTGCAGCAAGTTACTTGGAGTACTTGCATTTCTGAAGTCCTCCAAATGGCTTACCTACTATTTCCCCAGCACTTTGCTGGGTCTGTGAAACAACTTCTATGCCGGGGAATTTGAAACTTCCTAAATGGTTGAGGTGGTGCTGGGGACACGTTGTTACCTGTGTGTGTGCTTAAAACTCACTTACATGCTCACCACAAATCAAACATTTGTTTTCCAACCAGTAAAGAGGAAGTAAATTCAGATTCAAGTTTCTTTAGGAACGAGACCATGCTGAGAGGCAAATGAATGGCCACTGTGGGGAATTTATTTCTCCTGCTGAAAAAGCAAAGGCTAATAATAATTGAGGTTGATTTGCAAAATGCACAGCTTTACAATAATCATATGATACCTAGTAATTTTGAAATTGAGGTAAAAAAAGGAAGCACTTCAGAAGTCGGAATTATGAAAATCAAGAAGTTGCTTAAAATATTTGAGGGTGTGCTTAGATAATCAAATGCCATATGCTTTATTTGCTTCTGATGAGAGATCATGTTTTCCCTTGGAACAAATTACACACACAGGTGTTTGACACAGGGTTTATAAACTACCAAGAGGAGCCAGAATGTTTGGGGTTGGGGTAGGAGGTATTAATTTGGGGAAGGTGATACTTGGTGGGGACGGTGGGGACGGGGTGGAAAGAACAGGCAGTAGGAAAAAACAAGTGTTTTAGCCATATTTGCAAACTAGGTAGAGTTGTTAGAATTAGAATTTACCACCTAAGTGTAAACCCACCCTGATTTACGCAGTCAGATTCAGACTTTACTTCTCAACTACTTTGCTTATGAGTCACTCCTGTAAGAGAAATGAGAAATAATAGAATTAACATACAAATTTGCTTGTGTTTTATATATGTATATATATGTATGTATATGTATGTATATTTATTTATGCCTGCTATATGGAAACTATATACATAAGCTAGGTTAATAATTGTTTTTTTCCTACTCACAGATTCAAAAGGAAATAATTATCACTCATGGTACAGACGAGCAAACTGAGACTAATTTTAGTTCTTCTCATACTGACAGATGCTTGATAGAGAAGATACTTGTTGCCTGAAATATAAGACGTCACTATCATAATTTCTATAAGGAAATATAAAATATTGTTTTTGAGCTGGAGTCTATAATGAAACATTGCCATTGAAAATTGACCCAGGTCTGTAAAGTAAGATAGACAGTTTGACATTTCATAGATATTGTTTTCGGATATAAAAAATAACAAATAAAAAAAGAAGTGTTAACTAGACAGAATTAGGCCCACTACACAGATTTTATGATATTACATTAACTGTTCTGACTAGTATGTAGACTGTGATAGTTTGTTCTATATGACAGCCAAACATCCTGATGGAAACAGTAAATTCAGTAATATTCAATAATATACCTTATAGAAGTAGGTTTTAAAAAGTTATCAGAATGATTCATTTCAGGAGAGACTCTCTCAACTGGTCCATATGAATTAGGATGTGTTTAAACTCTCTTAAGTCTGTCTTCGAATCAGGAACGTTTCAGAAACAAAAATTAATGAAGATGGAAAGGTAACCTTTTATTTATTTTATTATTTTTTAAAATTATACTTTAAGTTTTGGGATACAAGTGCAGAATGTGCAGGTTTGTTACATAGGTATACATGTGCCATGGTGGTTTGCTGCACCCATCAACCTGTCATATACATTGGTATTTCTCCTAATGCTATCCCTCCCCTAGCCCCCCATCCCCTAATAGGTCCTGATATGTGATGTTCCCCCCACCGTGCCCATATGTTCTCATTGTTCGGCTCCCACTTCTGAGTGAGAACATGTGGTATTTGGCTTTCTGTTCCTGTGTTAGAATGATGGTTTCCAGCTTCATCCATGTCCCTGCAAAGGACATGAACTCATCCTTTTTTGTGGTTGCATAGTATTCCATGGTGTATATGTGACACATTTTCTTTATGCAGTGTATAATTGATGGGCTTTTGGGTTCATTCCAAGTCTTTAATCTTTTGAAAGCTCTGAAAGCATATTTTATAAAAACACATTCAAAGCAATTGAATATTATAGCAAAGGAATTAACTACAACAGACAGAAATTAACCATTTTAATTCTCACAGTTATTTTAATTCTGACAATTTTTTTTAAATTCCAAAACATTATCTCAAAATATAGAATGCTTGAATATTTATTATTTCTCTTTGAATACATATTACTTAAGGTAATTTCCATTATGTGTGATTTTCTGAAATTAATTACAAAAACTCATGTTTTGTGTTTTATTAAATTTTAAAATAATTTTAAAACAATAATAATTGAGCACTAGAACATTTTTAATAGTTTCTAGCTGAAGTCAACTAACGACCCAAATAGGATGTTAAAATTGTAAAACAATCAACCACTTTTGTTAAATGATAACTTGCACCAAAACCAAGTTAAATGTGAAAATATTTCTTTCTTCTCAGTGTACTCAATAATAAACTCATGGGTAGGTTTTGAAAGGCAGCACTCACAATTAGTCTGACTTATCTGGAAATGCTGTTTTTTGGTAAACAGGATTTGACTTACATTATATCCATTTTTGATAGAATATTATAATTATACAAGTCAAATGTGTTGAAAATCATTTAGGAAAGGTAATATGCTTTTTTGCAACCAGGTTATTAGTGATGTTTGAATCTTGAACAAACCTAGAATTGTAAGGTTTCTTTTCTCATTGTTGTTCTGACTGTAACTACTTAAAAATATGTGTGGAGGTGGCAAAGAGGTTGAACTGTAGTGATGTATAACCGGTAAATTTCCAAACTGGATGACTCAGCCGCATATAGCCAGCCCAATCTGTACTGATTTTACCAACGTAAGGCCTGCTGATAAATGGTAATAACAATGAAAAGAGATATTTTAAAACAATAATTTTAGCTTCCCTGTGAAATTTCTTATCTTTGCTTTCTTCCAATGTTTATTTACTCCAGTGCAAATGGATAGAGTTTCCGTATCCTTCCTCAGACTTGCAACTTCATTTATAAGATTTTAAGGTGTAGTTTAACTGATAAGGGGGAAACATTGCTTAATCTGGACAATTTGGAAATGTTAGTTGTAACAAAGTACGAAGAATTTAAAAGTTGTAGAACTAACATTTTTTGTCCTTATAACAAGATCTTTTACTTAAAGATAATTGACTTAAGGTCATAATGGATTACTACCTTGCTCATCTTATATTTCTACTAAGATGGGGAGGGAGGGTGGGATTGGAAAAGATTTTCCCTTTTCAAACTAGTGCTTTTCAGATAAACAATAATAGGCAAAAATTCTTCATTACTATTGAGTTTCTACTTTTAATTTAATTATTTTTAATGGAAATGTTAAGTATGTACCTTTAAGATACTCCATAACTTCAAAAAATTCCAATGTGGGTTATATATAGTGTTTTATTTTTAGTACTGAATGGAATTATCCCCTTTCTTTTTGTTCTTGTTTTATTTATCTTTTAAGAAAATAATCAAGCAATCCTCAAAGGTAAGGAGTTTTACTGCCTAGCTCAATTTCATAAGATAATTGTGTGCTACTTAAAACTAAGTTCCAAATCTAAGGTGAACAATTATAGATGTACTTCAAAGGGACAAAATAGATTTTTTACCAAAAGGAATTCTGAAAACATGACATGGGAAATGCACTTAGTGTTTTATTTAACAGTTATGTACTAATAAAAAATCAATATAGATATATAATTAGGAGTTATACATCCAGGAGTTTCACTCATCCTGGTGAGCTCTTTCCTCTAACATCTTTAGTGAGGTTTGTGAAATATTAGTTGTACATATCCTTCCAGTCTGGAATTACCTACTTGAGTTATCTTTTCCTTTACTGGTTAAAATAGCTTGAAATTTTGGAAAACTTAATGTCTTTCTTTTCTCCCTCTGCCTTTACTGGCAATTATTTTCTGGCAACTGATTAACTATACAAGTATAGTTCTCATGTAAGATTACATACTGGAAAAGTTGTCATAAGTAGGATATTAGCTATGTTACTTTTAAAGGGTAAAACCTGTTCTATTTGAGGTTGATTTTCATAATTTTTAGTCATTATCTAGATAATATTCTCATTAGAAAGTAGCTGATAATTAAGGTAATTAGAACTGAAGGCATTAATCTTTTCGCAAAGAACACCATTTCCAAACGGTGTGGGTTTAAGTTAGAAGAACAGGAACCAGACCAATATGGGGCCAAGTTTGGCTGACTCAATATAACAACACTGAGATGTGATGGTGTTGGCATAATGACATCATGACTCCTTTGGGACCAATGTTTTGGAGTGCAGGTGGCAGCGCTAGACTGATCTCATCGGAAAATAGCTAACCCATACAAACCAACTTTTTCAGGGTCTAGAACTGCTTTTTCCTGTCCATCCTCACCACTAGAGGAAAGGACGTGTGTAAGTGGCATTTCAATATTAACTTTGAGATGTTATAGGTTATTGAGAACCAAATATCCTACTTGACCATTAAAGCACCTATTCAGCTATTAATTAAAACTTTAAATATCAATGGGCCAAGGTATTGAGGAAGTCTAACAATCAATTTGTATCTATCACCATTACTTTTCTGGCATTTATTCATTCCTCCTGTGGACTACATAGTATCAAAATTTAATCATATAAACTACTAAAAGGTGAAAAGAATTGTGTAAATTGAATTACTCAGAATAATTTCCCATCCTTGTGACTTCACCTTATTTAGTAAATATATTACAAGTATAAAGATATAGCTGTATCTATATTTGATTTTAAGGTTTCAAAATATTTAATTTTTAAATTTGTACAAATTTTCTGATACTTTTTAAATGTACATGCAAAAACAAAACCACCAAAGTAAAAAATTGTCATTAAGATCCTGTCTGGGCTATTAGTTCAGAGCTGTTTGGATGATGCCAGACCCAAATATGTATCATTAAATAAGTAAACCTAATTCAAACCTGATTCAAGGCATGCCCAACAAATAATGTTTTATCACCTCTAGAGATCTTATTTCTTGATATCTTTGATTTGCATGTAATGTAAATATCTATGGATGTTTAATGCAGCAAGACAGAAAGCCTCGAAATCTAGAAGGAAGAATAAATTATATAACTGATTAATACTCGTTGATTATTTAGTAAGTATTCTTAAGTTTTCAAGGAAATGTTGCTATTATTCACACACAGCAAAAACACAGATGGACGGTCTTTTGCAGCAACATTTATGTTCATATGAACTTTACTTTATAAAGCAAAGAGCTAAATATTTTATGAAAAGGGCAATAATCTGTTTATGGAAAGATGCAGGAGCATCTCTTTAGGAAAGTAGTTTGTTCTGAGTTCATAAGTTGACAATCTATTTGTAGCTATCATTTGAAATTCATACCATTTCCTTCTCACAGCCATTCACTACCACTCACCATGCAAGGTTCTATAAGTTCTCCCATTTGGATGCCCTTAAGAGAGCCTTGCAATGACAGATGGTTTGGTTAATTACAAAATTAAACTCTGTGCTATTGAGACATGATTTCAGTGAATAATATTTTCCAGACAGAGTTTAATAAGCAGCTTGCGGTTGAGTAGCCTTTAGCCCAAAAAAGGGAACCAGGTCTCTGTGACTACCTTCTACATTCAGAGAGCATGAGCTTAGAGGATGTTAACTTGACCACCCCAGGAACTCAGTTCCAGTAACCTTATCAGGGTCTACCAGAGTGACCCCACCCTAAGCATTGTGAAAGAAGGACTGTTGAAATAGCACCTGGCATTTCACGCTGAACTCCTGTAACACTTGCTGATTCACTGACCACAGTGAAGGGAAAGTACACTGGATATTCAGCCGGCCTTTATGGGTGAGCCCTGCTGGTAAACATGAACTCATCTGAGAAGTCACAGGTTTTAAAATTCACATGCAGCAACTTTGAATTTTTTTTTGAAATATGGTAAAACAAATCAATTTTTAAAATATGAAATTTAAATAGATTAAAACTAGAAATCTAAATATTTGTAAAAGGAATAACTTTTACAATCACAGATCCTTTCGTTGTCGTTGATGATGTATTTCCTCCTGGAAAGTAAGTAAAATAATTGACATCTGATATGACCAGACATCTGATTTTTGGTGAACAGATTTTCTCAAGGTGATTTGGGAAGACTATGCTTGACTATGTTTGACTAACTTGAATAGGTTTAAGGGAGGAAGTTTCTAGATCTGGCCACTAGTTCTGATATTTATTAGTTTTAGAAACAATATCTGATTTAAGTAGAACCAAACAAGACTAACTTGGATTTGTAATAAGTCAGAAAACTGATAATGCATGCAATGATCTCCAAGATTTTATTTTTACTTCTTATATATATACTTGGAAAATACTACTAAATTCAACAGATTTTTTTCCTCTAATAAATTGATCACTGCTTTTACTAAGTCAAAGGTATAAAAAATATCTGAAGCAACCAGATGATAAGTTAATTACCATCCAGAAAATATTTAAACAACTATGCTCCCATGAAAATTCTCCTGCTCAGTTTTCTTAGTTATATCTTCAATACTTTTTTTGAGATGTTAGTTACATGATGCTGTGATCTGTCTTTTCCATTTTTCTATCACTACAGAAAATTTACGATGATGTATAGCATATATTTAATAAAAAGTTTTAAAATAAAAAATGACTAGACAATTTAGAATACGAGTACCAAAATTTAAATCAATTCAGCAAATGTCTGCTTCTTATATAAAATATTGTTTAGCTGATAGAACTGGCAGATTACGTAGGTACTCTCTGAATGAAAGACGGCAACTCTATATTTTAACAATGATAGCACACACTGTGGTCTAATGACCTAGGGGCAGAGTTGTAACAAAATGAATGGTAAAATTTATTAGAAAAGCATAACAAAAGTAAAGAAGCCACAATTTTTCAATTATAATATTTCTATAAGTTACTAGAATATTTCTATAAGTGGGAAATAGGATGAGTAAAACAAATAAACATTTATTGTGCCCTTTTCACATGCATTACACATTATTGCTTTTCATCTTAATGAAACTGATAAGGACTTGGGAAACTTAGGATCAGAGAAATTGTTTAATTGTTGAGGGCAGACAGAAAGATACTAAGTCACAAATTTAGTAAAGACTTTCTTTATAACCCAGTATGTGCTTAATTTTTAAAATCAACCCTATTGAAGTATAATATGCCTTCAACAAAATGTACCTATTTTAAACTATTGAAAACGTGTGCACGTAGAACCACACCACAATCCATATAGAATCTTTCCAACATCCCCCAAAGTTTCTTTGTGTCCTAAACTAGACAACCCCTTTCTCCCAACTGACCCAGAAAACCACTAATTTGCTTTCTGTCACCATATGATTCTTGTTTCATTTAGACTTGAGCATATACGACATATAATTTTTAGTGTCTGGCTAATTTCACTCAGCATAGAGGTTTTAAGTTTCATCCATGTTATGATCTGTACTGTTGTCTTTCTTTTCCCCGAGTTCCAAGGAATTCCATTGTATTCCACTGTATGTTTACGACAAATTATCATTTCTTCATTAATGGTTAGTGATTTTACTATTAAATAAATATTTATTAAGTAAATATTTGCTTATCCTAATGTTGTTAAAATATTTTTTCACATTTCTACCAAAGTTTTATAATTTTAGCTTTTACGTTATTATTTGATCTATTTTGGTTTGTATGTGTGTGTGTGTGTGTGTGTGTGTGTATGTGTGTGTGTGTGGTTGGGTCGGGGTCTGTTGAGAGATACTTTATTCCATGTGGATAAATAGCCAGGTTCCAGCATCATGTTTTTTAGAAGACCATGTTCCCTCCATTGAGCTACCTTGGCATCATTGTCAGAAATCAATAGACCCTACAGATACTCTGTAACTGATTAATATCTATTGCCAATATTATGCTATCTTGATTACCTTAGCTTTTCAGTTAAGTTTATACACCAGAATGTACAAGTTCTCCAAATTCATTCTTCTTTTTGAAATTGTTTGGGCTGTTCTATGTTCTTTGCCTTTAGAACAGACAAAGACACAAAATTTCTGTGGGGACTTTTATTGAGATTGCATTGAATCAGTAGACTAACTTGGAGACAGCTGGCATCTTAACAACAGTTATTCTTTCAGTGCATTGATTGGAGAGAGTTGATACCTTAACAGTCTTTATTCTTCCAGTGCATGATTATTTATGTATTTAAATAACTTCAGGAGTAAAGTTTTTGACACATTTTGTTATATTTATTTCTATTTTTATATTTTTGATATTATTTTAATTTTTAAAATATATTTAAAAAAATTATTTATTGCTACGCTGCAGAAATACAACTGATTTTTTTCACATTGACCTTGTAGCTTGTGAACTCTGTAAGTAATTAATTTTAGTGGCATTTTTGTAGATTTCTAAGATTTTACATGCACAAGATTATGTCTTTTTATAATAAATAGAGCTTTACTTTTCTAACTCCAGTGTATATGCCTTTTATTTATTTTGCTTGTCTTAATGCTGAGGCTAAGACTGCTAGTACAACAGTCAAAAGCAGTAAGAGAAGGCATTCTTAGTTTTTACAGTATTAGAGAATAATATATATTCTTTATACTCACTTTGTGTAACATAAATCCAGTCAAATTTATTGAAATTTGTTTTTTGGCCTATCACATACACTATTTTGGTGAATGTTCCATGTGCACCTAAAAAGAATATTCATTCTGCTGTTGATGGTAAAATTAATGGTGCTTCATAAGTGTCAATTAAGTCAAATTGATTTTTAATATTATTCATGTCTTCTTTATACTAATTTTTTTGGTCTACTTAAACTGCTAATTACTGAGACATGAGTATTGAAATTTCTAAGTATGACAGCTTTTGTTTCCTCTTTCATTTACATCATTTGCACCATTTATTTTGAAGGTCTATTAATAGGTGGGTACAGACATTTATTATTATGACATATCTTTTTATTTCTGGTACTCGTCCTTGTCCTGAACCCTATCCTACATGATATTAATATAGTCACTTCAGCTTTTATAAAAGTAGTTTTAACAGTACATATCTTTTCATAGTTTCTTATTTAACATGTCTGTGTTTGCATAATTGAAATGTGTGTATAATAAAAAACATGTCATTTGTTCTTTCTTAATACATTTTTCTAATTTGTGTGTTTAATTGCAATGCTGAGACCATTTACATTTTGTTACTTTCTAATTTGAAACATGAAAATATATATTAGAAAATATGTTTCTAATTGACCTACCTATACTTCATTTCTCTTTTTTCTCCCTTATTTTGGATTACTTGAGTATTTTTTATTACTCTGTTTCATCTCCATTCTTGGCTTATTAGCTTGATTTCCTTGTATCTGTTCTCTTTTAATTGATCTAGAGTAACAATTCACATCTTAAACTTATCCCAATCCACCTAAGAACAATATGATAACACTTGAAGTAGAACAAAAGAATTCTTTAAGCATATATGACCATCTCTGCTGCTTTGTTATTTTCCTGTTTTTGTATATTTTACTTTTACATATTTATACACCCCATAATATAGTGGTGTTGTTTTTGCTTTAAAGAATTGATTATCTTTAATGCATCTTCAATTTTTAAAATATTTTTAATTTTTAAAATTTTTCCTGTGGGTCAGAAAAGAATGTATTTTAGGCAATGTTTGGCATATGACCAATAAGTCAAAATAATAGTTATGTTAAAAATTTTACTGCCTTTTATAACTTGCTGGATGTAACAGGGTGATGTTTATGAGAGCAAAATGTTCACATTTTCTAATATGTTTGCAAAATTGTCAATTTTTTGCAGTCATTTCAATTTTCAAGTTGTGTTTTGGCTGTATATGTATTTGGAATTGTCTTAATTTTCTGGTGAATTTAATCTGATACTAACATAGCTATTAATGTAACCTTTGCAGGTAGAAAATTAAGGCTCATAATGCTACTACAAAGACACATGCACATGTATGTTTATTGCTGCACTGTTCACAATAGCGAAGACTTGGAACCAACCCAAATGTCCATCAATGACTGGATTAAGAAAATGTGGCACATAAACACCATGGAAGATTATGCAGCCATAAAAAAAGTTGAGTTCATATCCTTTGGAGCGACATGGATGAAGCTGGAAACCATCATTCTGAGCAAACTATCACAAGGACAGAAAACCAAACACCGCATGTTCTCACTCATAGGTGGGAACTGAACAATGAGAACACAGGGACACAGGAAGGGGAACATCACACACTGGGGCCTGTCGTGGGGTGGGGGAATGGGGGAGGGATAGCATTAGGAGGAATACCTAATGTAAATGACGAGTTAATGGGTGCAGCAAACCAACATGGCACATGTATACATATGTAACAAACCTGCATGTTGTGCACATGTACCCTAGAACTTAAAGTATAATAAAAAAAAAAAAGAAAATTAAGGCTATTTGTAATAGGTCAAAAATAATTAAGAAAGTACCAATCTTTAGGAAAGGTAAATATTGATGTCACAGTTTGCCCATAGGAACATATCACAATCTCTGGTGACTTGGAGTGTGAGGATATTGGTTCACAAGGTTAAATAAGAATGGAAAAAAGAGGGAGAAATTTCAAAACACATCTAACCAGATTTCCAGACATGTTAAGGAGAAATTGGAGGGAGGAAGAATTTAAAACAATGCCGGGTAAGAATTATCCTGACAATGAAATCTAGCCATTCTTGGGTTTAGGAAGTCATTAAATACTGAGTTGAAAAGAAATGAAGGCTCTATACAAGTACAAATCACTGAGCTGCAGAACAGTAATGAAGGAAAAAAAAATCTTAAAAGCAGCCAGAGGAAAAAAATACAGATAATTTAAAAATTAATGGCAAGCAGAACAAAGAGCTGACTTTTTAACAGCAATAGTGAAAGGAAGCAGTTGACTTTATCTTCAAGGTATGGTGAAGAAACAACAGACCATCAGAATGCTATGCCCAGTGTTAAGAATTAAATTGTCTCCCAAAAAGTACTTATAGGTGGGCATGGCTTGACAGTGTGGACAATCAATTAGGAAAGGGTAGGTTTATGTAAAATAGGTGAGGGGTGGAGGTCAATCAGAGGAAAACGCGCCAAATGGGAAGACAAGTTCTCAATTGTTGCTTGGCTTTCAGGCTTTAAACTGTCTTTGGCTTGGAGGGGTTTCCCCGGGAGCCCACCCCTCTCTACCTAGGCATTTAGCTGCCTTCTGCCACTCTCAGTACCACAAACTGAGTTGCCTAAAACAACAAAATTTATTTCTTTCACAATTTTGATATCTAAAAGTTTGAAATCAAGGTGTCAGCAGGACCACGCTCCTTCTAAAACCTGCAGTAGAGAATCCTTTCCTGCTTCTTTTGAGTTTCTGGTGTTTTATTGGCGATTCTTTGCATACCTTGCCGTGTAGCTACCACACTTCAACCTCTACCTCCATTGTCACATGATATTATCTCTTGTGTCTCTTTGTCTCTTTTCCTCTTTTTACAAAGGCACCAGTCATATTGGATTAATGGCTCATCCTACTTCACTATGACTTTATCTTAACTTAAATAGTTACATCTGTAAGGACCCAATTTCCAAATAAAGTCACAATCTGAGATACTGTGTGTTAGGACTTCAACATATGCCCGGCATTTGGTTTTTTAAACATAATCTTTTATTATTACTGAAATCATAAATATTTATTGTATAAATTAATGACATTTACACTGGCAAAAAGAAAATAAGATAAAATGTCACATTGTCACTATCCATAAATTATTGTTGTTAATATTTTAGATTATATTTCTGTACCATTTATATGCAAACTACACAGATACAAAACAAACATGTGCCATTATTTTTACTGACTTTTAAAAATAAATGTATTAGTTAACCTTTTAATAAACTATTTTGTAATAGTTGATTTACAAAAAAAGCTGAAATGATATCTTTTTATAATCTTGATTTTTCAATAATTGATCTCCATTATTTCATTTCAGAAACTTACCAATACATAGATGATATTAACGTTTTCTGAAATCTCTATACAAACAGAATATATGTCATACCTCTGATTGTTGTTCTCTTAAATCACATTTAATCTAATAAAACCCAGTTTTTCATGAGGTTTGGCTAATTTTCTCACAGAATGTTCCAACTTCTGGATTTCTCTGCTTGCTTGTTTTGCTTTCTTTTGGTAGGTTATGATTGATTCACTTTTTATTGACATTTCATAGTAAGTCATAAATAAAATGTTTTTTCTGGAGTACCTAGTTTTTATTTATTTTAAATTTTTTGGGGTATATAGTATGTGTATATATTTATGAGATATATGAGATTCTTTTTATAGGCATGAGATGCGTAACAAACACATCATGGAAAATTGGGTATCCATCCACTCAATCATTTGTCCTTTGTGTTACAAACAATTCAATTATACTCTATTAATTATTTTAAAGTGCACAATGAAATTGTTATTGACTATAGTCCCCCCGTTGTGCTATCACATACTATGTCTTATTCATTCTTTCTAACTATTTTTTTTCCCCCTTAACCATCCCCATCTTGCCGCTCCCGTCTACCCCCGACTACATTTCCCAGACTTTGGTAACCATCCTTCTTTTCTCTTTCTCCATAAGTTCAATTGTTTTTATTTTTAGATCTCACAAATAAGTAAGAATATGTAATGTTTGTCTTTCTGTGCCTGACTTATTTTACTTAATGTAATAACCTGCAGTTCCATCCATGTCGTTGCAAATGATAGTATCTCCTTTTTATTTCAGAATAGTACAACATTGTATGTAAGTACCACTTTTTAAAATCCATTTATCTGTTAATGGTCACGTAGTTTGCTTCCAAATATTGACTATTGTGAACAGTGCTGCAGCAAACATGGGAGTGCAGATGCTTCTTCTTTACACTTATTTCCTTTCTTTTGGGTATACACTCAGCAGCGGGATTGCTGGATCATACGCTAGTTCTGTTTTTAGTTTTTGAGGAACCTCCAAACTGTTCTCTATAATGGTTGTACTAATTTACATTCCCAACAACAGCATATGAGGGTTATCTTTTCTCCACATCCTCACCAGCCTGTGTTATTGCCTGACTTTTGAATAAAAGTCATTTTAATTGGAAGGAGATAATATCTTATTGTAGTATTGGTTTGCATTTCTCTGATGATCAATGATGCTGACCACTTTTTCATACTATTGTTTGCCATATGTATGCCTTCTCTTGAGAAGTGTCTCTTTAAATCTTTTCCCCTTTTTTAATTAGGATTATTAGATTTTTTTCTTATAGAGTTGTTTGAGCTCCACATAAATTCTGATTATTATTTCCTTGTCAGATGAGTAGTTGGCAAATATTTTCTCCCATTCTGTGGGTTGTCTCTTCACTTCACTGATTGTTTCCTTTGCTGGGCAGAAACTTTATAGCTTGATGTGATCCCATTTATCCATTTATGCTTTGGTTGCCTGTAGAAGATGAGAGATAGGGATCAAGTTTTATTCTTCTGCATATGGATATCCAGTTTTCCCAGTACCATTTATTGAAGAGACTGTCTTTTCCCCAGTGTATGCTCTTGACACTTTGGTCAAAAATGAGTTCACCATAGGTATGTGGATTTGTTTCTGGGTTCTCTATTCTGTACTGTTTTTATGCCAGTATCATGTTATTTTGGTTATCATACTTCTGTAGTAAAATGTGAAGTCAGGTAAAGTGATTCCTCCAGTTTGCTCTTTTTGCTCAGGATAGCATTGGCTATTCGGGGTCTTTTGTGAGTCCATATAAATTTTGGAATTTTTTATTTCCATGAAGAATATCATTGGTACTTTGATAGGGATTGCACTGAATCTGTAGATTGCTTTGGGTAGTATGGACATTTTAGCAATATTGATTCTTCAAATCCATGAACATGCTGCATTGAACCCTTTATCATTATATAATGACCTTCTTTATCTCTTCTTATACTTTTGTCTTGTAATCTATTTTGTCTAACAGAAGTATAACAACTCTTGCTCTTGTGTGGTTTCCATTGGCATGGAAAAGCTCTTCCGTTCCATTATTTTCAGTCTACGTGTATCTTTATAAGTGAAGTGTGTTTCTTTTGGATAACAGATCATTGGTTCTTGCTTGGTAGAGAGCAATTTACTATTTTATTTAATTTATTTATTTTTTAGAAACTAATTTGTGATGAGTGACTGTCACATATAACACAGGTTTTGATACAAAATATGGTGTTGAATTAGATAAACTTTACAATTTAGTATTCTTATTATGTTTCTATATTCTAAGGTTACACACACACAAAAAGAAAAAGGTTCCAAACTTTGAGCAATGACATTATATGCCTACAAACTTATTTTTTGAAAGCTAGCACTTCTTTGGACAAATACATTTTGAATGTTTACTTAACAAAATAAGTGATCAAAATTACTTAATAGTTGCATCTTGAATTCTGACTTTTAATTTTTTAATGAATTTTTAAAAATTTCTTTGTTTTGAAATGATTTTAGATTTAAAGATGAGTTCTGGAAACGGTAGAGAGTTCTCATATACCTTTCCCTCAGCTTCTTAGTGTTATGATCTTACATAAACAGAGTACATTCATCAAAACTTTGATATGGACATTGAAACAATACTGTTAGCAAAACTATTGACTCTATTCAGATCTCCACAATTTTTCCATGGTGTAATTTTCCCATATCCAACGAGGATCAAACACTGCACTTAGTTGTCATGTCTCTGTAATCTTCTCAAGCCTGTCCAAGTTTGTTAGTTTTTATCTCAGACCTTGTTGCTAATTTAGAGTAGTTGTCAGGTGTTTTGTAGAATATCCCTCCATTTGAACTTTTCTGATGTTTTCTCATGATCAAACTGAGATTAGAAATACTGGGAAATAATTGCATCATATCAAGTGGTACATAAGAACAACATGATTTATCAATGGTGACGTCACACTTGATCACTTGGTTAAGGTGATATTTACCAGATTCCTCCATTATAAAGTTACTATTTTTCATGTTCACACTCTAGTGGTTTTGGCATCAGAGTAATTCAGGATGCATAAAATGAGCTGGAAAAAGTTTCATCCTTTTTCTATTTTCTGCAAACTTTTATACAGAATTGGTATTATTACCTGATTAACTGTGTGATAGAATTTACATTCTGGGCCAAGAGCTTTATTTTTTGTAAGATTTTAAACTGTAATTCTATTTATAAAATAGACATAGAGCTATTCATTTTATCTATATCTTCTTGTGTGAGTTTCTGTAGTTTCTGGCTCTCAGGGAATTTGTCAGTTTTATCTAAGTTGTTGAATTCATGGGCATGAACTTATTCATAGTATTTCTTTATTGTCCTTTTAATATTTTGTCTCACTGTTGAGGCCTCCTTTTCTACTCCTCATATGGATAACTTGAATCTCCCATATTTTCTTTCTTTTTTTTCCCTACTCCGTTGCCTAGGCTGGCATGAAATGGCACCATCTTGCATCACTGCATCCATAACCTCCTGGGCTTAAGTGATCTTTCCACCTCAGCCTCTAGAGTAGCTGGGACCACCATACCTGACTAATGGTGGCATGTGCCACCACACCGGGCTACTTCCTTTTTTTTTTTTTTTTTTTTTTTTTTGTATAATCAGGGTTTTGCCATGTTGTCTAGGCTGCTCTTGAAATCCTGGGCTCAAGCAATTCTCACACCTTGACCTCCCAAAGTTTTGGGATTACAGGTATGAGCCATAGCACCTGGCATTTTATTTTATTTTTAGAAAGGGTCTTGCTCAGTCATCCAGGCTGGAGTGCAGCGGCACAGTCATGGTTCACTGCAGCCTCAACTGCGTTGGCTCAATCTGTCCTCCAGCTTCAGCCTACAGAGTAGCTGGGACTATAGGCACACACCACCATGCCTGGCTAATTCTTTGTTTTTGGTAGAGATAGGGTCTCACTATGTTGCCCAGGCTGTCCTCTAACCCCTGAGCTCAAGCAATCCTCCTGCCTCAGACTCTCAAAGTGTTGAGATTACAGGCATGAGCCACTGCACCCCGCCCATATTTTCCTTTTTGATTGATGTTCTTAGATATCTATCAAGCCCATTGATATTTTCAAGTAATAAGATTTTAAATTTATTATTATATTTATATTTTAAATATCATGATTTCTACTCTAATGCTTTATTTCCTTCCTTCTGCTTGTTTGACTTTTAATTTAAAAGTGGAAGCTTAGATTATTAATATTCATCTTTCTTTGTTTCTAATAAAATTATTTAACGCTATATATATCCTATAAGCAAAGCTGCAGCTATCAAATTTTAATGTGGTCTATTTTTTCATTCAATTCAAAGTTAAATTTCCTTTGAGGCTTTCTCTTTGATTTGTGGGTTATTCAGAAATACGTTTAATTTCAAAATTTTGAAGATATTCCAGATAAATTTCTGTTACTGAATCCTAGGTTAATTGCACCATGGTCCATATGTCTTCTATTCTTATAAATGTGTTCAGATTATTTATGGTCCAGATTATTGCCTCCCTTGGTAAATTCTCCTTCTGTATTTAAAAAAAAAAATGTGTGTGTGCTTTTTTGTTGTTGGATGATGTTTTCAATACATATCAATTTAGACTAACTGTTTTATGATATTTTCAGTTTTGCTATGCATTTGCTGATTTTTCTATAAGCAATTACTATGTGTTATATCAATTACTGATAAGAAATATTGAAGTCTCTAATCATCATTATTAATTTGTCTAGTTATAACTTCGGCTTACCCAGTTTTTCCTTTATATATTTTCAAGCTCTCTTGTTAGAAATATTAATATTTACAATTTTTATGACTTCTTGAAGATTTTATCTTTTTAATTAAAGAATGTCTCCTCCTATCCTGATAACCTTCCTTGTTGCGAAGTTATCTTTCTCTGAAAGTAATATGGTTACTTCAGGTGTATTTTGGTTACTGTGTTCATAGTATATCTATTTACATCCTTTTAGCTTTAACTTGTCTATATATTTCCATTTTAAGTGGTGTATTGTAGACAGCATATAGATGCGTCTTGCTTTTTCTCCAAACTGACTATCTTGATATATTAGCTTGTGTGTTTAAATCATTCATATTTAATGAGATTATTGATCTGGTTGGCATAAAATTTGCCATATTGTTAATTGTTTACATTTTCTTCATTTTATTTTTGTGTCTTTTCATGTGTTTCTGAATTCTTTTGAGACAATTTTACATTTTCAAAGATTTCTTTTTGCCTCTTTTATTAACATATTGTTTATTCACTTTTTTGCATTTTTCCAGTTGTTTCCCTTGTGCTTATGATATATGTTTTAAATTAATCAAAGTCTCTCTCCCATCTTTGTGCTATTTTTATTACATCTTCTATTTTAATTATGCTATAAAAGCTCAATAAATTGCTACTGCTTTATTTTGCATGGTCAGATGTATTTCAAGGCAAGTAAAATTTAGAAAAATTTAATTTAATATTGCCTTCATTCATCTTATGTTACCTACTTTTTATTTCCTTATCTAGATCCATGTTTTCAATCTCATAGTTTTTCTCTCCAACTAGCTTCCTTTAAAAAATCTTATACAAGATTTCTGGCAATTAACTACTTTAACTTTCATTGGTCTGAGAGTATTAATTCTTCAGTTTTAAAACATAGTTTTGCTGGGTATAGAATTCTGGGTTGAATTTCTCTCCTTTTTCCCCCTGCTTTATTGAGGTATAGTTTATATTGCATATATTTAAGATGTACAACATGTTTTTATATATGTATACAATGTGAAATTATTACTACAATCAAGCTAATTAAAAAGTGCACCTCACATAATTACTTTGTTTTTGAGAACACTTAAGATTTACTCTTTTAGTAAATTTCAATTATCTAATATGGTTATTATTAACTATGTTTACCATGCTGTAAATTACATCTTCAGAACTAATTTATCCTGCATAATTAAAACTTAGAACCCTTGACCAGCATCTTCCCATTTACCTCACACCCCAGGCCTCTGAAAACCACTATTCTACTTTATGCTCTTATGAATGCAAATTTAAGATTCCACATATCAATGAGATTTTGCAGTATTTGTTCTTCTGTGTCTGGCTTATTACTTATTTCACTCAGCATAATGTCCTCCAGGTTTATCCGTGTTGTCACAAGTGGAAGTTTTTTATTTTATTTTATTTTATTTGCTTTCCAAGGCTGAATATCATTTCATTTTAGATAGATAGATTGATAGACAGATAGATAGATATAATGATAAAATATTATTTTTATATAATTCGATTTTTCTTTATCCATTCATTCATCAGCTTAGGTTGTTTACATATGTTGGCTATTGTGAATAATGCTATAATGAACAAGGGAGTGCAGATATCTCTTTGGCATAATGATTCCATTTCCTTTGAATATATACCCAGAAGTAGGATTGCTGGATCATATGGCAGTTCTACTTTTAACTTTCTGTGGAACTTCCTTTTTTCATAGTGGTTCATAAATTGGTTTTACCAATTTATACTTCCACCAACAGTGTACAAGGGTCACCTTTACTCCACTTCCTTGCCATTAGTTATCTTTCATTTTTTTTATAAGAGTGATAACAGCCATTCTAACAAGAGTGACAATATGGTTTTAATTTGTGTTTTCTTCTGATGATCAGTGATGTTGAGGACGTTTTCATATAGGTATTTGATATTTGAGCATCTTCTTTGAAGAAATGTCTATTCAGGTGTTTTGTATAATTTTAAATTTAATTATTTAAGATATATTTGTTATAAAATTGTTTGAATTTCTTGTATATTTTGTATATCAACCTTTTACCAGTAGTATGTTTGCATATATTATCTCCTACTGCATATATTTTCTCTTCACTCTGTTGATTGTTTCCATTGATGTTCAGGAGATTTTTAATTTGATGCAACTCTATTTGTTTATTTTTGCTTTTGTTGCCTGTATTTTTGGATTTTATCCAAAATTTCATTGCTCAGATAAATGTCAGAAGCTTTTTCTGTATGTTTTCTTCTAGTTGTTTTACAGTTTGAAATTTTATATTTAAGCCTTTAATCTATTTTGAGTTGATATTTTATATGGTGTGAAAAAATAGTACAATTTCACTTTTCCGCAGGTGGATATTCAGTTTTACCAACACCATTTACTGAACACCATTAACCTTCCCCATTTTGTGTTCCTGGCACCCTTAGCAAAGATCATTAGGCTGTAATGGATTTCTGTGCTCTCCATTCTGTTCCAATTTTTTATGTGTTTTTTTTTTTATAGCAGTACCACGTAATTTTGATTACTATAGCTTTCTAATATATTTTGAAACCAGGAAATATGATGCTTCTATCTTTTTTTCTTTTGTTTAAGATTGCTTTGCTTTCTCTTTAGGAGTTACATATGAAGTTTAAAATAGTTTTTTTTTCTATTCTTGTGAAAAATGCCATTGGGATTTTGACAGAGTTGGCATTGAATATGTAGATTGGTTTGAGCAGTATGGGCATTTAAACAATATTAATTCTTCTAATCTATCAACGTGGGATATCTTTACATTTATTTTGGTCTTCTTAAATTTCTTTCATCAGTGGTTTATAGTTTTTCGTGTATAGGTATTTTACTTCCTTAGTTAAATTTATTTGTAAGTATTTTTCCATTTTGATGTTATTGTAAGAACGTTTTCTGGATTTAATTTTTGGACATCATATTGTTAGTGTGTAGAAGCACAACTGGTCTATGCATGTTAATATTGTATCCTGCAAATTTATTGAATTTGTTTATTAATTCTAATATTTTTGTAGTGAAACATTTAAGGTTTTCTATATGTAAGATCTCATCACCTGCAAACAGAGAAAATTTTACTGTTTTTTCCTTTTCATACTTTTCATTTTGTTTCTTGCCTATTTGCTCCACTAGGACTTCCAGTACAATGTTAAATAGAAATTGTGACAGTGAACATTCTTGCATTATTGCTGATCTTAGAGAAAGAGCTCTCAGCTTTACACTATTGAGTGTGATGTCAGCTGTGAGCCTGTCATATATGGCCTTTATCATGTTGAAGTACATTCCTTTTACATATAACATTTTAAGAGTCTTTATCTTGAAAAAAATGCTGGATTTTGTCAAACAATTCTGCATTTATAAAGATAATCATATGATTTTTAGCCTTAATTTTACTAAAGTGATATATCATATTTGTTGATTTTCTTTTGTTGACTCATCCTTGAAATTCAAGGAAAAATCCCACTTGATCTGGTGTGTGACTCTTTTGATGTGCTGTTTAATTCAGCTTACTATTATTTTGATGAGAACTTTTGCAACTATTTTCTTCAAAAATATTGGCATGTAATTTTCTTTACTTGCAGTGTTTGGCTTTGGTATCAGGATAATGATGGCCTTGTAAGAAAATTGAAGTGTTTCTTCCTATTCAATTTTTAGGGCAACTTTGAGAAAGATTGGAATTAATTCTTCTTTAAATGTTTGGTAGAATACACCAGTGAAGCCATCTGGTCCTGGCTTTTCTTTATTAGGAGGTTTTTTGATTACTGATTCAATCTTCTTATTTGTCATTTGTCTCTTCAGATTTTCTAGTTTTTTTTTTACTGATTCAGTTTTGGTAGGTTGTATGCTTCTGGAAATTTATCAATTTTTTCTAAGATTTCCAATTTATTGACATCTAAGCATTCATAGTAGTCTCTTGCGATCTTTGTAATTCTGTGGTATCACTTGTAATGTCATCTCTTTCAGTTTTGATTTTGTTTACATGTGTCTTCCCTCCTTTTAAAAAATTAGTGTAACTAAAGTCTTCTCAATTTTATATTCCAAAATACCAACTGTTAGTTTGTTGATCTTTTCTATTGTTTTGCTCACATCTATTCCATTTATTTCTGTTCTAATATTTATGATTTTCTTCTTTCAGCTAACTTGGGGCTCAATTTGTTCTTTCTCAGCTTCCTTGAGATGTAATGTTAGGTTGCTTATTTAAGGTCTTTAAAAAAAAGGTGTTTATTATTATGAACTCAACTCTCAAAACTGTTTTTGCTGCATTCCATAAGTTTTTTTTTTTCCTTTTTCTTTTTCTGAGATAGAAACTTACTTTGTCACCCAGGCTGGAGTGCAGTGGCGCAATCTTGGCTCACTGCAACCTCCACCTGCTGGGTTCAAGCAACTCTCATGCCTCAGCCTCCGAGTAGCTAGAATTAGAGGCACATACCACCAAGCCCCCCCTAATTTTTGTATTTTTAGGAGAGGTGAGGTTTCACCATGTTGGGCAGTCTGGTCTTGAATTCCTGACCTCAAGTGATCTGCTCACCTCAGCCTCTCAAAGTGCTGGGATTACAGGCGGGAGCCACCATGCCTGGCCTCATAAATTTTGTTTGTTGTTTTTCTATTTTCATTTCTCTCAGGATTTTTTGTTTTGTTTTGTTTTGCTTTGAGTTCTCCTTTAATTCATTGGTTATTCAAAAATGTGCTGTTTAATTTCTACAAATTTGTGAATTTTCCAATATTGTTTTTGTTTTTGATTTCTAGCTTACAAATTGTCATAAAAGATAATTGATATTATTTAAATATTCTTAAATATGTTGATAATTGTTTCGTGTCTCAACATATGATCTACCTTGGAGAATGTTCTGTGTGCATTTGAAAAAAAATGTGCATTCTGCGGCTGTTGGATAAAATATTCAGTATATGTCTGACAAGCCCATTTGGCCTGTGGAATTGTTAATTATTGTTTCCTTATTGCTTTTGTGTCAGATGATCTATATATTGTCTAAGTGGGTTATTGAAGTCCCCTACTGTATTGCATTATTGTCTATTTTTTCCTTCAGTTCTATTAATATTATCTTTACATATTTAAGTGATTTGATGTGAGGTGCATATATATTTACAATGGCTATATCTGCTTGGTGAACTGATGCCTTTATCATTATTTAATGACTTTCTTCATTTCTTTTTGGTTTTTGACCTGACATCTATTTTTGTCTAGGTATAGCCCCCCATATCTTCCCTCTCTTTTGGTTACAATTTGTCTGGAATACCTTTTCCCATTTTTTTTTCTTTCCTTTTCCTTTTAGCCTTTGTGTGTCCTTAAAACTAATGTAAGTCTTTTATAGGCAGCATATTGTTGAATGTTTTCTTTTGTTTAATCTATTTAGCCGCTGTATGTTTTTTGGTCAAAAAATTCAAACTATTTCCATTTACAGTAATTATTGAATGTAAGGACTTACTCTGGTTCTTTAATTCTTTTTGAATGTTTTATAGTTTTCTGTTACTTTTTCTCCTTTCTGTCTTCCTTTGTGGCTTGATAATTTTTTTGTAATAATATGCTTTGATTCATTTTACTTTATCTTTGTGTATCTACGTCAGGATTTTCTTTGTGTAAGCCCCGTAGTAATATGGGGCTTACACATAGAACATCTTATAGTTTCACACACAAAACTCAGCACTTTAACTTGTCTTACCCTTACATTTCATGTTGTTGATGTCACATTTTACAAATTTTTATACTGTATATCCTTTAACAAATTATTGTAGCTGTACTTACTGTTAATGTTTTGTTTTTAAACTCTTACATCAAGTTCAAAAGTATTTTACACATCACCATTATAATATTATTTTGCATTTGACAACATTCTTACCTTTATGGTGAGTTTATTTCATTGACATGTTTTCATATTGTACTTAACATTTGTTTATTTAAACTTGAAGAACTCCCTTTAGCATTTCTTATGAAAGGTCTGGTGGTGAACTTTTTTAGCTTTTATTTGTCTGGGAAAATCTTTCTCTCTCCTTAAATTCTGAAGAACAGCCTTGTTAAGCAAAATATTCTTAGCTGGAAAATTTTTTCCCCCTATTCTTTTAGTTCTTTGACTATGCTTTCCTGGCATACAAGGTTTTGGCGGAGAAAAATGCATATAGCCTTATGGAGATGCTCTTGTATGTTACACGTTTTTCTCCTGCTGTTTTAAAAATTCTCTTTGTCTTTGACATTTTATAATTTGGTTATAATATATCTCAGTGTAATCTTTATAATCTTGATCCCATGAGAGATATTTTGTACTTCATGAACTTATATGTCCACATCCTTTCCAAGATTTGGGATGTCTTCAGACATTTTTTTGAAAAATGCTTTCCATTCTCTTAACCGACTTTCTCCTTCTGGGAATTTACAATGTACATAGAGGTTTGATGTCTCTTATCTGAAATGATTGGGACCAGAATGTTTGAAATTACTTTTTCTTTTCATATTTTGAAATATTTTCATTATATTAACTGATCGAGCATGCCAAATCTGAAAATTCAAGATCTGAAATGCTTTAAAGAGCATTTTCTTTCAGTGTCATGATGGTGTTCGAAAAGTTTCAGAATTTGGAGCATTTCAAATTTCGATTTTCAGATTTGGGATGTTCAACCTGTAGTGGTATACTTGGTGATGTCCTGTAAATCTCTTGGGCTTTCTCTACTCCTTTTAATTTATTTTTCCTTCTTACTATTATGATTAGATAATTTCCATCTTTAAGATCATAGGTTCTTTTTTCAGTTTGTTTGAGTGTGTTTTATACTCTATTGCACTTTTTATTTATTTCAGCACCACAATTTCTGCTGGTTCTGTTTTATGATTCCTGTCTCTTTTTAAAACTTTTTGTATTGTTTGTGAATTGTAATACTAATATTGTTGAAGTCACTATTTTTGTCTAGTGTAGTTCACTGAGCTCTCTTAAAACAATTGTTTTGAATTCTTTGTTGGGCAATTTGTAAATCTCCATTTCTTTGAGATTGGTTACAAAATTTATAGTTTTTTTTTCAGTGGTGTTGTGTTTCCTTAATTTTTCATGTTCTTTGAAGTCTTCTATTGCTGTCTTCACATTTAAAGGATCAGACACCTTTTTTCAGTCTTACTGATTAGCTTCAGGAAAAAAAGACCTTCACCATTCATCCAGGCTAGGTATTATTAGGACTCCTAGACCTGTTCTATGGATGCATCTGCTTCACTTCTCTTATTTCCCTTTTTGGGGGAAGAAACAGTCTTAGGGCTGTATGTATTCTCTCAATTCTGCAAAGCCAGGCAGTGTGTGAGAACACTATATGTTTCCTAGGGCCACTGTGCCCTGAAATGTTGAAGGATAAACACCATCTCTCAATCTTGCAGAGATAAATCAGCTATCTGCATGTGCTTGTGCACAATCTTCAGGCGGTCACATACACTATATGCAGGGTGGCACACTGGGCACCAGCTACAGGGGCCAGGGAAAGGTACATGGAGTGCTAGTGCTAACAGCATGAATGGGCTAGTTGGTGGGTAGAGGGTATAAAGCTGTTATATTCTGCAAGATCTATGGGCACACTTCTTGGTGTAGTTCGTGAGGAGGTTTATAGAAACTATGGCCCTTTACTGAGTTCTGCACCCCAGTGCTGTGATTCCCCAACCCTCTTCCCTGCTCCTAGCCATACCACATTTCTGGGGAAGTTGGGTGTTCACTGTGTTCTCACTTCTCCCATGGAGGAAGTCAAGAGCCAAAGGGGTCTCACTGAGCTGTGCCATACTGGTAAAGAGGGGATGTGGGTAAAGTAAAACTTTTCTTCTTATCCTTTTCAATACATCTATTCCTGCATTTGTTTTTACTCCAACAGGTGGTGGGGCTTCTTCATTAGATTCCCAGTCTTCTACAAAGGTGTTCTCCTCTGAGAGTGGTTGTCAAAATTATTTCCTCTGTGGGAGGATAAGAACAGAAAACTTGTATTCCTTTGACTTGATAATGTTCAGCACTTTAATTATGTCAATATATTGTCTTCTGGCTTGTGTGTTTCTAAAGATAAAACTGTTGTAATTATTATTTTTTTCTTCTATGTGTAATAACCCTCTCCCATAATAGCTGACTTTAATATTTTTGTTTGTTTGGTGTATTCAGTAATTTCGATATGACAAGTTGAGGAGTGGTTATGTTTTGGGAATCATCATCATAGGTATTCCCCGAGCTTCTTTGATGTGTGGTTTTGTTTCTGTAATTAAATTTTGAATATCCCAGCCCATTTAAAATATTTCTTACCTCTTTCTCCTTCTTTTTTATCTTTCTGGAATCAATTGCTTACATATTAAAGTATATGATAACATCCCACTGATCTTGGATATTGTGTTTCAATTTTATTTTCACCTTTTTCTCATTCTTCTCTTTTTATTTTTGTTTGAGTAATTTCTATTGAACTATGTTCAAGTTCACTTATTCTTTACTTAGATATTTTAATTCTATTTATTAGCTGATTGGGTAAATTTTATATCTCTTTTTCTGTATTTTTATTTAGAGCATTTCCATGTAATTATCTACCAGAGTCTTCATGTTTCTATTGAGATTACCCTTCAAATTTTGCCTTTTATTTAACTTTTAGAGTGTTTAATATAGTAATCATAGTTATTTTAAATTACCTTGGCCATATCTTATGGTTAACATAATTTGAAAAGACAACTAGGTGATCTTTCATAAACATGGCATGCAATTAAAAATTAAATGTGTAAAGCTGAATAAGCAAAGTTGTTTCTAGTGTTTTAAAATATAGTTTAAGAAACAATAATGTGCCCCAATGTAGCACAATCAATAGAAAGACATAACGAATATGAAGAATATGTCTTACAATAGAAATGATGTCCAAAGAAAGAAAAGATGAACATTTAGTTGGACTCTATCTTAGCTGGTTCAGCAGTAAATTTAACACCTTCACCGTGACTAATTCACTAATTCCTTATAGCTTTCTATTGTTTTGAAGTGTACAATAAACTTCATAGCCATGTGAGGTAAATTAGACAGGTTATAGTTCATATTCAATCTGTCTACTACTCTGTGGAGAGATTCTAGGCATGGACAATTCCAAAATTAAGTTTCTCACATCCTACTATTTCCTGAAACATCCATTGTGTTTCTTCCCATATTATCAATTTATTAAAAGAGTAGGCTATATTTAGTTCTTCATTTCAATGCATTTTTTTAATTTTTAAAGCTATCTGTTTAGCACACATGCATACACACACACAAATGCATATTTTCTAGATATGCTTGTAGGTTCTATATTGATGAGCAAAACAGAAGAAGGTCTTATCATCATGTTGTTATGGTCCAGAAATAAACAACAACAAAAAAGAAACCCAGCAAAATTTAGCGTATTGCTGATAGGAGCCATAATAGATGTAGCTAAGTATGTATACCTCCACCACTCTAATCTGGGCTTGGCTCACAACTTTGGTAAAGGTGTTTTTCAGTAGATCATCAACAATCGCCCTCTAAGTAAACCAATGTGTTTAAACATTTTACCTTGATTTTGTTATGGCACTCACAGTATTTAATTGTTTTCATCATCTTTTTATTATTGAACTGTTCCTGAAGCCTTCAAATAATTCATTAGTTTATGATTAAAATACACGTAGCATGCATGATACAAATATTTAATCAATATACAAAAGTGTTTACTCATGTTTGTGCACACATATATGCTTTTTACTTACACAATTGCTGAACTCAGCCCTTTATTTCTATTATTCCTTTTTTTCTCATTCTGTTTATTTTTGCCATTACATTAATTAATTTTGCTATTAACTATTAGCAATGCAGAAAAAGCAGGAAGCATAGCTCTCTTTTACAACTGCCTTCAGTACTAAGAAATGACTTCAGGGAGATGTATAGAGCTATAATCTTATGACTATATTATGACTTTTATAAATCTTATATATATATAACATTGTATGTACATATATGCTTAAATACTGCCCATTAGATGCATCCTTAAAACTATTACATCCTTTTATCTATCTATGAAGTTTTAGTATAATTTCCTTAAAAATATTTTCTTTACCAAGAAGATTGTACAAAAAGGTTAATACTTTGTAGGTTATTATTTAAAGTTCCATGCCTTAGGTTGACATGCTATATAATATACATGTATAATTGTAGTTACATGATATAACTTGGAAATTTGATTATAAAACTAACATTTGTCTTTGTATTGGGAAAAATAAGGACTTGACCTGTCTATAAAAGTGTTTCTTAAACTTATTTTTTATTATATCCCCCAAAGAAACTCTTTAAAATATTTTTTCCCAATCCCCATCTCATACAAATTTAATATCAGAAAATACTACATATCTTTTTGTGTAGTGTGGCCCTTTGGAGGGCCACAAAGCTTTGAAATATCCATACTTTTTTTTATAGCCCAAGAGTTCATTTTTGGCCCCTTGAGGGTTATAATTCCCATATAGAGAAATCATGGCTTATAAGGTCAACTCATCATGGTTGACCATGGTACTACATTTTTTGTTCTATTTCATTCAGAAAATCAAATTTATAACAATTAAGAAAGCTTTGGTTACAAATTAAATGAATTTTTAAAATAAACTACTTCAGATTTTAGTTTGTCTGAATTTTTTATTATATCATTCTCATTATATAGTCATAATAATTTAGTTCTATAATAAGTACTTTTTTAGTTATATAATCTTGTGCCATAAATCTGTGACACTAGATTATATATACATACAATTATATGTTAGTGTGTATATACACACATATATACACGTATGTGTATATACACACATATATACATGTATGTGTATATACACACATATATACACGTATGTGTATATATACACAAATGTGTATATATACACGTATGTGTATATATACACAAATGTGTATATATACACATATATACACAAATGTGTACAAATGTATGTATATACATATATATATATATATATATATATATATAGTTACTTATTCCCTTACACAGTAGTTTGAGATTTCATTACAGTCCTAATTTGTGAAGAAATTAATTAGACAGCATGGAAACAGATTACGCAAAAAAGAAAGTTTTAACGTAAGTAGAAATAGAGGAGGTATTCAATAACTCAGGAAAAACAAATAAGTTAGGGCAACAATGTAACTTTGGGAATTGTCCCGACATTGACACTCAATAATAAACTCATTTTGTTGAAATGATTACAGTGCATTTTGGAAAAGGTATATTCTCGATATAATCTTAAAATTGTAATAATATGATCAGTACATCTGGAAAATAACAGTGAAAATTAAACTGAACTTCGTCTGGATACTGCAATTTTTACATGGCTCTGTCAAATGTCAGGCTTCCCTCTCCCTCACCAATTTCAAAAATGTTTCACCATGATTTCAAACAGTGAATCATCCCACCCCTTGCCAACCATCTGTTTTGTCTGCCCCCTCATTGACTCAAATTAGATGATGGAGGGCGGGGCAGGTTCTCAAGAGCAGCCATTAACACTGGAGGAGAAAGGTTCTGGCAGCAGACTTTCCATTGGAAATTATGGACCACTAAAACTGGCAAGAAGAAACTTACAGACAGAGCACTTAAGAGTAAAATAAAACTATGAACAAGAAGGGTGTGGAAAAAATTAAAATATAAAAAGATCAGCTAATCAATAGAAAAATAAATTACAAGACAAAATTCAAAAAGTATCAGATACCAAAGAAGCTAAAAAGGGTAAAACATGTCTGAAAAATATGATAAGAAACATTAGAAAAGAAGCCATATATGACAGAAAATCTCGTGCTTAAGAAATGTCTTGCCATATTTTATATTTAAATATGCTCTCTGGATTAGCATTTATATTTGTGAAAAGATATGTGAGAAAAATAATTTACTACCAATTTCTTTTGTATTGGCGCACGTTTGAAGAAAAAGAGAACATCAAATGGAATTATGTACGTGGAATAACGGACATACTTCAGGAAAATTCTTATGGATACTACAACAGGATGAAACTTAGCAGGACATGGTAACAATTAATTTTTCTGATAAAAAACTAATATTCATTTCGTTTGAAGGAATGAATGTTTTAAAATCCAAATGAAGAGAATGAAGCAACTAGAAAAATATTTTCTATCCTCTGAAATCATGCAGAAAGTTGCTAAAACCAGCCCATATTCTAGGGCAGGGAACTTAGATTTTGCATCTTGATAGGAGATGTGTAAAATCATTTGTAGACCTGTTGTACAAGCACCACAATGATAAGCACATTTTCAGTATAAAATTATGTAATGGTCATCAAGCTTAACAAGAGGTTGGCCAACCAGAACAGTTTTCCTGGGACGGAGGGGCTTCCTAGGATGTTAGAATTTCAGTACTAAAACTGGGAAAGTCTTAGATAAACTCCAGAGAGTTGGCTATGCTACAATTATTCTGATAACACTAAAAATGGGAACGTGAGGTAGAGAAGTATTAAAGTCCTCACAGTTAAAGTACGCATAAGTCCTAACAAAGTATATACTTCATGGAAAACTACAAAAAAGATACACTTTATAAAATGATTGATTTCTGGTCAAATAAACTGAAGAAACTTTAGTCACATTATTTCTCCCTAGAGACTTAGATAATTAAGCCTGGCATCATACAAATATCTTTGATTGACAAATATTTCTTTTCCACATAAAACTTGTTAAATAGACCATATTTTGGAAAATGATAAATGAAATACAAGCAAACAATGCCATGAAATGTCTATTTGTGCAAATACAAAGTCATTAATATGGAGACATACTCAAAGATCAGAAAATGTGAGAGATTTAAAAGCACAATGTTGTTGAATATGCATGCTTTGTGAGTTTCCTACCTGACTACTTTGATTTTAGGTATATAAGGATTGTATTCGTTCAGGTAAAGATTGAAATACATGGTTAAGTCAGGAATTTCCAGAAATAGAGCCAATTTTGTTTTAAATAAAATAAAGTAACAGACACCCAAGCTTAAATTATCTGGCTAAATGTCTGTGTGGGAAAGTTCTCACATCCTCCTCACTTTCTGCTTCACTCTAATCAGAACCATTAGTCTTCTCATCTTTTGAATATCAAATTCACCTGCAGTGGAAAAATACAGGAATATTAAAGTTTCTTTTGTCAAAACATAAAGTACAGTTTGCAAATCATACTATAGCTCTCTTGAAGGCCATTTTATTCATTGAAGAACAAAATCAGGTTTAATAATTTTCTAGATCAATCTTTCTGAAATTTATTAACAAGACTTAAGAATCATTTAAATCAAAATATGAAATGAAGTTTTGAGGGAAAATAGCTAAAAGATTCATGGTTTTTCTTTCTGTTTTAATTCAGGAGAATTGTAGCATTAAAGTCCTTCAATGAACCAAAATACGTAACTTAGTAATTCTAAAACTGGAATGCAATATGATGTCATAACAAGTATCCAAGAATGGAGAGTTAGAACATCTGATTTTGGGATCTTTTGCTGCAGTGACTGTGTGGAATGATTTGAGGAAATATAAGTCTCTCATAACCTTAGATTTCTCATCTACAAACTAAAGAATGATTTATTGGCCAGGCGCGGTGGCTCATGCCTGTAGTCGTAGCACTTTGGGAGGCAGAGGCGGGCGGATTGCCTGAGCTCAAGAGTTCGAGACCAGCCTGGGCAACATGGTGAAACCCCGTCTCTACTAAAATACAAAAAAAAAAAAAAAAAAATTAGCCAGGCGTGGTGGTGGGCGCCTGTAGTCCCAGCTGCTAAGGAGGCTGAGGCAGGAGAATCACATGAACCCAGGAGGCAGAAGTTGCAGTGAGCCTAGATGGAGCCACTGCACTCCAGCCTGGCAATACAGCTAGACTCCGTCTCCAAAAAAAAAAAAAAAAAAAAAAAAAAAGATTTCCTTCATGCAAATTCTTGAAGTTACTGTATGTATAAAATGAGATAGTATTTGTGAAATAATATTTAAAAAAAGCCTGATTTACGATACTGCTATAACTAGGGATCAATTTGTACTGAGAGCACATCATTCATTTTGATAATGATTATCACCATTTATGAAATAGTTTGGCATTACCTGATTTTATGCTAAGCACTCCATTATTTAATGCTGACAGCAGTTTTGTTGAGAGAGGGATTACTTTCATTTTACAGTTGAGGAAACTGCGGATCAGAGTTAGAAAGGCATTTCCCAAGATCACACATCTATCTAGTCAGGAGGAAGCAAATATGCATGTTCTGGTCCCACTATGTTACATAGCATCTCAAACATCCCAGTTAACAGATTTTGCCCTTGGTATTAAGAAGTTCTTGAAGATCTCTGCCTCAGCCTCCTGAGTAGCTGGGATTACAGGCACCCGCCACCACACCCAACTAATATTTGTTTCTGTATTTTTAGTAGAGATAGGGTTTCACCGTGTTAGCCAGGATGGTCTCGATCTCCTGACCTCGTGATCCGCCCACCTCAGCCTCCCAAAGTGCTGGGATTACAGGCGTGAGCCACTGTGCCTGGCCGTCAGAACTAATTATTAAACCTAAGTTCCTGTATTATTGATTTTATGTGATACACTGCTTTCTACTTTCTACACTATATTTGAGGTAAATATTTCAGGTAAGTTACTGAAATTCTGGATAAAAGTTATTTCAGTGACCAGAGCTAAAGAGATATTATTGCTGAAGCAAGTGTTGTAAATCTAAAATCTCAAAAAGCTAAGTCCTTTAGTACTTTCATAGCAGTTTACTGGAAGGCCCGTCAGGTGCTGACAATCAATTGATAATCATCTGATAAGATCAATAAAGATTAAAAAGGAGACAAACTCCATCCAAAACAGCTGCTTCAAATTTCCATGCCTAAATGTAATGGTAAGACTCATCTTTCTAATGACTGCAATTCTGCAACTTTTACTTTGTCTTCTATGGACACAGGTTCTACTTGGAGCCAAGGGATTTATTCATAAAATGGAAGAGGTAGGAAGTTTCACAGTGAAATATTTTCAAGCTTTCATTTTTTTTTCCAATACAATTTTCCATTGTATTGGTCTCCCTAAGAATTTGCCTTAGTTTATCCTGGTATCACAAAATACCTGAGACTAGAAAATTTATAAGTAATAGAAATTTGTTTCTCATACTTCCAGAAGTTTTAAGTTCAAGATCAAGCTACTGGCAGGTGGTGTCTGGTGAGGACCTTCTTGCTGTGTCCTTACATGGCGGGAAAGGGGAAGAGAATGAACGACCCATTTCCTCAGATCATTTATATGAGCCCTAATTCCATCTGTGAGGGTTCTGCCCTCATGCCGTTATCACTTCTGAAGTTTCCATCCACCTCTGAGTACTCTCACATCAGTAATTATGCTTCAATGTATAAATTGTGGGGGGCACATTGAGACCATCACGTTCGCTTCTCATTCATATTGCTCTTTTGGTGTGGCTTGCCAGAAATTCAGTGAAAATTGAATTTTGATTAATCTGTGGATTAATTTTCTGGAAAGCACAAGTTTGGTTAATATTAAGGTAAGTCAAAATGGAAAAGTAGTTTTTCAAAAGAAAAAATAAGAAAAAGGAAAAAGAGACAAAACTTGTCTGTTTAACTCAATTCTCATGTCTTGAATGTGGCCAGGTATAATCATATTGTGACACCACAGTTAGTGTGCCTACAATTGCATTGTATTCAAGAGAAGAAATATATAACTTGATTTGTGTGTGCCCAATGAAGCTATAGGACTATGTGACACAGTAACCAGAGCAGAGCCTTCCAAAGTATATCCCATGGAAAACAAGAAAGGAATGTCCATTTGGGAGAAAGTTGGGCTGGAGGTGGTAACAATTGAAAGTTTCATTTTTCTAGTTTATGTGGTTTTTTTTTGGCTTTTATTTTTGAGACAGGGTCTTGCTCTGTTGCCCAGGCTGGAGTGCCGTGGTGCAAACACAGCTCACTGTAGCTTTGACCTCCCAGACTTAAGCAATTCTCACACCTCAGCCTCCCAAGTAGCTAGGACCACAGGAGCACATAGTTTATGTAGTTTTGCTGATTCAATTTTTTTCCTTCTACTCAAAGAAAGGTAAAAAATATTCCAGTGTATCCATGGAAAGTCTACTATATGCCAGAGACTTCTCTCTCAGTTAATCACTAGAACAACTCTTGTCAGTTTGGCAATATTATTTAATTGTACCAGTTTTACTGAAAAAAAAAATAAAGCTCAGAACTCAGAAAAATAAAAAGAAGCTTTCCAAGGTCACACAGTTCCGGGACTTGGAATTTTTATCTAGCATTGATTTTTCTACTGAACATTTCAAAAGAAAGTCAGGCAGTATAAATTAAATTAGCAACAACTGCTCTTAGAATGCTCCAACTGCCTATATGCATGCAAATAGGAATTATATGTGTGTTTGTGTGGGGTTGTATACACACTGTGTGTGTATGTGTGTGTGTGTTCTATATTTTCTATTTTTTTAAACATATCAAGGAGCAGAAGTATCCTGTGCTTTTCTTTTAGGGAATCATGGTTTCACAGAAACAGGGGATTATGTGCTCTGCATCACAGCCAAGCTTTTGGAAGAAATATTACAACCATAAGAGTGGGCAATGGCAACCACTGAGAAAAGAAAGCAAAATGTACCCATGGGAGCTACACTACAAAGAGAAAAGGAGCCACAGGGAGTCTTTGTGGATATGAAAATGGGCCCTGAGCTTGAGGGTAGCAAGCTCTCTGCTAATAGCTTGTACTTACTAGTATTTCCTACAGTTTGAACATGTATATTAATAAAATAATTCAAAAGGCTAAATATTTATTTTATCAACCCAATTAGAGACAGATGTCTATGAATTTGTCAAAATAAATTTAATGGAATGGTAAATTTCTGGAAACAATGGTCACATAGTGCCAAAATGGGAGTCTGTCTTTATCAGTTTCAATTCTTAAAGATTCCTCAATGAAAAAACCCCACCAACATCACCAAATGTAACCTATAAGTTTAATAAGCATCACTTCTGATATAATCAAAGCATAACTTTTGTATATTTGTTTATTATGGTCTCCCATTATTTATTTAAAATGTATGTAATTGGGCCCTGTTATCCTTCTCTTTCCTCTAGTTAAAAACTAAACAGGTCCATTTTCTTGTTTTGTTTTTCACATGACTCCTTTAAAAACATTCTTAAGGCCCCTTGAAGTGAAACTATCATTAAACTTAATTCAGTGCAGGTAGAGAATGGTATGGCCTTTTCTCCCTCTCCCTTTTTACTTCCTTTCTGACTCTTAGCTTCCCGTTTTACAAAAACATTGAGTCTAAGCCGGTACCAGGAACAGAGGAAATTGGTAAATCAGGAAAAGATTTTATTTGGCTGATGATGTATACTCTTGTAAGGTAACTTCATTATCTCAGCCATGAGGGTATAAGAGTGGACCCATTCTCTAATGCCAAATTCATAGACTATCCAGTTCCCTGGGGGCATCTCTGTTTATGACCCTCTGTTCATTTTACACATATGCTTGCTCTGGAAGTCTCATGACATTCTTTGGCAGAACTTAAAAAGGCTCTAGCCTAGCAATCTCTCTTCCCTGTGGCTCACATTTAGTCCATTGGAAATATTTTTTGCCCTAGTAAACTCTGAGATCCAAGCATATTCTAAGTCTCTATTCTGTGGTCAATAGTTGCTACTGCTATTTTAGGTATAAGCGAGTACTCTGTGCCATCCAACACCAGGGAAAGCATTTTTTTTTTTTTTTTTGAGACAGAGTCTTGCTCTGTCGCCCAGGCTGGAGTGCAGTGGCTTGATCTCGGCTCACTGCAAGCTCCGCCTCCCGGGGTCACTCCATTCTCCTGCCTCAGCCTGCTGAGTAGCTGGGACTACAGGTGCCCACCACCACGCCCAGCTAATTTTTTGTATTTTTAGTAGAGATGGGGTTTCACTGTGTTAGCCAGGATGATCTCGATCTCCTGACCTCGTGATTCGCCGGCCTCGGCCTCCCAAAGTGCTGGAATTACAGGCTTGAGCCACCGCGCCCAGCCAGGGAAAGTATTTTGTGGTTTCAGGGAAAGCATTTTGTGGTTTCAGGGATCCCACTAAGCTCTCTCCCCTAGATTTGTGAGGTAAGATTCAAATACTGCTTGAGAAGGTAAGATTCAACTGCCACTTTGGGAAGTGTTAATGAAAATCACAGGACGGCAAAGGCTCTCAAGTAATCTGTTTGTGTTCAGATGCCTCTAAGGGTCTAAGAATTGTGGAACAATATTTTGATTATTTTTCTTTCACAATTTTTTTGTTGGGATTTGCACACACTATCTAATATTAATATCTATTTTGTGGGTGACAACCTTGTACCTAAAGTCAAAATAGTTTAAATTTTACAGTATGTTACATAATAAAACATATTTCCACATGATCAACACGACTTTTAAAGTGTTCGTGGTGTACTTCGTCCACTTGAATATTTCCAAGAAATTCAAGTCAATTGGTCTGACACAGGCTAAAGTGGGTTGACCTCCCAATAGAAGACACCAAAGTCATCTCAGGACAGCTTTGTTTTCTGAAGTATTATAATTGTTTATTTCAGCATCTGTTTTTATCCACTGTTCTGAAAGCTCTTTGAAGACAGGAAATATGATTTTTAAATGTCTATATCACATGGCTTATCACTATATCTGTTGCATAGAAAGTTTAACACAAAATTGTTGAAAAAATTAAACTTAAAAATCCTCACCAGTTCAGAAACAAGAACAATCATTTATTGACTGTGAGCCCAGTTAAAATCTAACATAGCATACAGTGTAATATAATGGTCAGAAGTGAGAGTAAATCTTCTTATGCTAAATCTGCCAATGATTGGGGCAAACGACTAACAGTGAACAACTCCTGGTGTATTTTATTTAAATTCTCCATAAATCCTCCTTACGCTATTTCACCACCAAAGCTTTCTATACAACTCAGCCTTCTTATGATATAGATGGAAAGGTACAAGAATACAGAGAAACCTATCAGATTCTTGTTTTAAGTTTCTTTGTAGACATTAGTTAACTTATACCTTATACCTTGCAAGAGCTAAGCTAAAGATGGGGGGTAAAGAGTTATTTTATAATAGTAGTATTTTAATTTAACATTAAAAATCGGGAAATAGAGTTTAAATCAGAAACCACAGAGGAAAAGGAGACTACAGAAGAAATAAGGGTATAACAGAACCTTTCTGGACACTATAAAAAGAGACAAAAATTTGACCAGATGGCGGGGGAGGAAAAATTGGAGAGGGTACATATAGGGAGAGAAGGAGGCTCAGTGTCTAAGAGGGTGTGCAAAACCCCATCCTTCTGGGCTAAGCCCCAGAGATATGTGCCAAGGCCCCAGGAGGAGTTGGGGGATGCCAAAACACGAGCATTGGCTGGCTTCCCATGTTAAATCCTAGGTAGCTTGGTGCCTCAGAGAGACATAATGATGGGGGAGATGGCTGAGTCTAGGATCCCAAAGGGCAGCATAGCAGGATCCCACAACCTGCAATGTGGTGCAGAAAAAGCACAGTCTCTGAGTCCTTAGACAGCAGGCAGGAGACTCCAAGGGAAGCAGCATTTTTAGAGTAGTCCTTAAAGTTCAGGCATAGATGACTCTGAGAGACTAGCGAGGCTCTAACCACTGAGGAATATAGAGGACTAGCTATTAACTCGGCAACTGCAATGGAGACAGAGGCTTATGCTCGAAGACTGCAGGACAGCTAGCATATCAAAGGGCACCCTGAAAAGGTACCCGTTCACAATGCCAGAATGATACCTCTGTCTTCCAGGAAATTGGGTCATTTCTGGTAGAAACAGCAGACGGGAAAGATAAGGAACCCTCAACTGATTGTACACCTACCCAGTTTTAAACTGAAAGTGGCTCAGTTCCAGAATTAACTTTTTTTATTACTACTAGTCCTTAAGAACTAAGCTAAGTGCTGTATAGAAAAAATAAATTAATTAAAATGTTTTAAACCTGAATTTTGTAAACTGCTAAAAATGTGAAATCAGTATGCCCATTGCACTGGCTATGAAAATTTTTGCAAACTCTCTGTTTTTATTTCTGCATAGTTAGAAGAGGACACAACTAGAGTTACCACACACATTTTTCTTTCACTCTTTGAAATGTCCCAGTTATGGTTATCTTAACATTAATAACAAAACAACTCATAGAACAATGTTTAGCTCTGAAAATGCAGATAAGCTTTTAGTGTAATACCATTGTTTTCTAAGCACTCAAAAATTATTGTTTTCTTTTTCTTTCCTTTTTTTGAGACAGGTTCTCACTTTGTCACCCAGGCTGGAGTACAGTGGTGTGATTTCAGCTCACTGCAACCTCAACCTCCTGGATCAAGTGATTCTTCCACTTCAGCTTTCTGAGTAACTGAGACCACAGGCATGTGCCACCACTCCAGTGAATTTTTGCATTTTTTTGTAGACAACGTTTTGCTGTGTTGCCCAGGATGGTCATGACCTTCTGGGTTCAAGTGATCTGCTCACCTCTCCCTCCCAAAATTCTGGGATTACAGGCATGAGCCACTGTGCCTGACCCCCCCCCCATTATTACCATTTTTAAGCAACATATTGAGGTAAAGAAAAAAGGTTTAAAAATGCATCAAATTTCTTCAATAGTGGCAAACTCTTGATTTCTTACATGAACTTTGAGCAGCATGAAACCAATCAACTTCTCTCCTGAAAGATAGCTCTAAACAAACTTGGGGGGGCATTTCTACCTTAATTTAAGAAAATATTAGATAATATAAGACCTAGAATATTCTGATTTAGTATTTGAGAACATTTTCCTATAGCTGAATCATGATTGCAAGCAGTAAGTTTATCGTTTAACCATCAGTATGAGGAAATGCAATAATTAATATGTACTTTAAACTAAAGATAATCTGGATTGACTTGAGGTGTCCTGCTATCATAGTTAAAAAGATGTATCATAGTTGCGTAAGGAATTAGGAAAAAATCTGTACACCGTCTCTACAAGCTTTCTCATCTAGATTTCCTTTCTCGCACTGCATCGTTTTCTTAGCTAATGAATGAAAATGGGTTGAAAGCAAAGGCTCTTTCAATGAAAGGAAAGCCATTATGAATCAGAAAATTGTAAAAAGGAGAGAAAATGAACTACTCTGAGAGCCCATACAATTTTAGGAGACAAGTGTAGAATTTCTCTTCTGGTGAGGCAGGGTGGTAGAGTGAAATTAGGCAAATAGGCATCCAATTAACCATCAACAAATATGTGTGCCAAAATGCCAGGCAAGGAGCACAGTCACATGCAAAACCCAGGCTCAGAGCCTAATTCTATCCACTTCACAGAATAAAAATGACTCTATTTCTGTAGTCCGCACTGACCTTCACATAAGGATTTCATCCTGGAAATCTATTGCTCTATATAAGCCTTTGGCAATTTCATCTGGACCCAGCTTCAATTATCACCTCTGTGGGAATGACTCCTGCTGCTACTCATTCTTCCTTTGTGTTTATATAAAATCTTAGGTTCTTTTGAAGATCACCCCCTCCAGTCATGCCACTATCTCCATCTTTTTGTCTTTGTCATCTGTAGGACTTCTTGGTCTCCTTGAAGACATTGCCCGTCCAGTTTTTATCTCTATCCTGACTCATACAATCATCTTATGTGTCTTTATTGCCCAGTGTCACATCATTTAATAACATTCACCTCTCAGTTGATCCAGTCTTTAACACAAGCCCACTATTTGTAACAGTCTCGAATCCTACTCTCAAACCACAGCCTGTAAGATTACTGAGAGCAGAATCCATGTTGAAACCACTTTTGCAACAATTATAACTGAGGAAATTACGACAGTGAAGGAGATCACACCTACTAACTCCATCTTCTTTCTGACCTTTAAGCTGTCCTTGTTCATTCCTGGGTATAGGCTGAACCAACCTAGAGAAGGAACTTAGTTTATGGGTGACTCTGAAACAAAATTGATAATAGCCCTTTCCTGAAAAGACCCCCTTCTTGCTTTGGGTCCAGTTTGCCTTTGTGAGACTAACAAATTAACTACAAGATTAGAAATTATGATTTAGGGGTCATGTAGCCTCTGGCTGTAGGAGCCTGAACCTCCCCAAATTGCTCCTGGAGATAACATCACTATTGTAAAACCTAAGATTAGTGCTTGAGATATTTTGCAGACCCTGCAGTCAATGGATAAGCTGACACCACCCATACTAGTAATATGACTCACTCAGTTCTGCAATCCCACCCCAGAAGAGAAGGCAGCAAGAAAACCTCACTTCAACTCCCCTGTGATTGATTCTATCTCCAACCTGGCCAATCAGCACTCCCCACTTCTGAAGCCCCTACCTGCCAAATTATCTTTAAAAACTCCATTTCTGGAATGCTCTAGGAGACTGATTTGAGTAATAATAAAACTCTGGTCTCCTGTAGAGCTGGCTCTGCCTGAATTACTCTTTTTCCATTGCAATTCCCCTGTCTTGATAAATTGGTTCTATTTAGGCAGCAGGCAAGGTGAACCCATTGGGCGGTTACAAATTTGGGAGCTCATCCAGGATTGCTCTTGGGGATATCTGCCTGTGGTTTGGTAGCACAATTCTAGCAATGGATTCAGAGGCCAGCCCAAGTGGCGGCCTTGTTTTCTTGGACTGGAGGCTGACTCTAACAATGTCTCTACCAGTGGGGCCTTGCCAACCCAATGTGCATGGATTTAATTGTCATGGAGAAACAGCCCTGGGGAGACACCCCATAACTGTAGCCCTATCACAGGGTATTTGTCTGTAGCCAGAGGGTGCAGTGTCTTTCAGTAGTTCCATTATGGGTTGACCCATTCTGTGAGTATCCTAGGCACTGCCAATGACTCCTTCCCTCTCCTGATTAGTTCCGTGGCCCCATTCATTGTAGGGTGTCTGTCTCAGTACAGCTCCTTTAGGGGTTTCAGCTGAACCTGCCCAAATTGCTCCTGGGGATAACAACATTACTGTAAAATCTAAGAGTAGTACTTGAAATATTTTGCAGACCCTGCTCTCAATGGATAAGTGACACCACCCAGACCAGTAATCTGACTCAACCAGTTCTGTGATCTCACCCAGGAACAGAAGACAGCAAGAAAACCTCACTTCAACTCCCACTATGATTCCATCCCCAACCTGACCAATCAGCACTCCCCACTTCCTGAACCCCTATTCACCAAATTATCTTTAAAAACTCCAATCCCTGAATGCTTGGGGAGACTGATTTGAGTAATAATAAATCTCCGGTCTCCTGCACAGCTGACTCTGCCTGAATTGCACTTTCTCTATTGCAGCTCCCCTGTCTTGATAAATCAGCTCTGTCTAGGCAGGGTACAAGGTGAACCCATTGGACAGTTACAAATTCTAACCTTTCATTGTAGTTTTCAAAAGATTTTTTTCCAAAAGCATAATTTTAGAATGAAACACTTCCCACCCCCAAACAGCACTTAACTTTTCTTTATTTTAACTCTCTGTGCAGATTTTGATGCCCCCTTTCCTTACTTCTTGTCCTTGTCATCTTTTGAACTGATTTCCCAAATGCTCTACTGTTAGTGTCTCATTCAAGTCTCTGTTTCTAATATAAGGCTCAATTCTAGGCCATTTATTCAGTTCTGTAACGATCAATTCAGTTGTTTCTACTTTATAGGAATTGTGCCCATAGCAATAGCATTATTCTGGGCATTATGTAATTCTCTGTGGATTTAATATTAGTTTGGAGAAAGATTCATCCTTGCCACACACATCAATATCAGAAAGGAACTGATGCCTGGTAAGAGCCTGCTCTGCCAACACTGGGCAATGCACATATATTAAGCCATTTAGTTCTCCTGAAAACCATCCCAGATTGATATTATTATCCACACTTCAAAGAAGTGGAAACTGAGAAGTTAAGTGTTTTTCACATAAATACAGAGTTAGTAAGGGATAGAATTGGAATTTGATCGATGCTGTATAAAACAATTCTGTCCTCCAAAGTTAAAAAAAATAAAAAATGATGTGGTGATTCTCTGTGGAAAGGTAAGTACAAATGTTTTTATTTCTCAAGTTAGGAAATGAAAGTACATAGAGGATGTAACCTGACACAGCCATGCAGTCAAGTATATGTTCCAGTGTGGCTTCTACTCATTTATTTCAAATTAAGCCAGTTAAATGAATTATGTTAAATCACATACATAAGTAAATAAAAGATGTAAGTTTGAAGTCCATGGATTTTCTAAGTAAAATCTCACAGTTGTACTGTATAGGCTTCCATGGACTATTGTCTACTGAGAGTGATCTAGTCACTGAAATTTCTCAATGGCCTAACATCATGTAAACAAAAACTCTGGGCTTTATGCTGCCTCCGATTCATTTTTGATAATATTTATTTAGAACATTCAATGTTTTCTTTCTCCTTGGAGACATCTGGCTTCAGACCCAGTAGTTCTTCCCCTAGGCAGAGTCAGGAAATCTATAGGATACTCTGTAAAGCATTGTACACAAGAGACATAACTTCAGGCAAATGATTTTAGGAAACCAGATCATCAAATGAGCACACAAAAAATAAATCATCCCAACACTTCAAAATTCTTCCTGAAGATTAATCCTCCGGCTTCATAGTTGTAAGTCAATTTCCAAAGGTAAATGCTCCTGGATAAGATATAAGATCTAGCTTACAACCTTGGGATAAAACTGAGAAAGGTTGAAAACACGGGGATAGTCTCTGGTCCCTGATTTAAAATAAGATAGGCGATTGGGAAGAACAGAAGAAGCGCTAATTGTACCAGCGATCAAATTTGCTCACTTAATAATTTTTCTTAAAGTGGGCCCAATTCCCAGATACTGAAAATAAACTAGTCAGTCATCTTCCCCCCAGAAAAATGACTTAGATAGATACCCACTTGCCAGGGCTTAAAATACAACAAGCAGGAAATTTTATAAACTATCCTTTCAGTCTATTGTGTTAGCTTTCACTCTACTGGGTTTATAACGGTGTGTGTCAGGGGCGAGTTTGCATAGCTATAGGCATCTGCTTTTGAGAATTTACTTTGATGACATAGGAGTCAATGATGAAAAGCAGGCTTGAAGAGAGATGTGGAATCTTGGATAAATGTGGAATCTTGGATAAATGTGGAAAGATCCAATGCAAATTGGTGTGTCCCGAGGGTTAAAAAAAATCATGAACACATATTGTTTAATAATTTTGAGTGTCTTATTGATAGTAAAAATGAATGAGTGAGAAAGTAAGAAAAACAATGGGGTACCAAGTAAAATATGAACTTACAGTTTATTCCAGAAAACTTTTAAAGCTGAGTATATTTACCACTCTGTCTAAACAGGAGGAAAGGGCTTAAGTATGTTGTAATACACCAAACACTTCAGCGAATGGAAAATACCATATCAGACGAGGGAACACAGGTAAATTGTTTCCTCTGGTGAGCTGTAGCCTTTGAAAGCTCATTTATGTTCTCACAAAGGTGAAACGTAGGTTTTAGAGAAATATAAATATCTATGTATACGTACCATGCTTCCAATCAGAAAAAAGACCCAGTCCGTGTGTGTGAGATGAATTATCCTGATGTCTGTTATAAATCCCTAACATAGCTCATGAGATCAATTAAGATGTTCAAACAGCTACAAAAAGGATGATTGAGGCAAATGGTAACATCAGGATGACCATATGGTAAGGGGAAACTAGAACTGTTTGGATGTAAAATGAGAGCCATCGGAATTCCAGTTACAAACACGCACTACACAGTGAGGAGATAGCAGAATGAGGCAGCCAAGAAAAATACTAGATGAAGAACAGTTTGCGCAGTGATAAAGACAAACTAGCTTGTGTTTTCGAGTCAATAAGCAGGTGGTAGGGACAGAGGGTGACATCATCTGTGCCTGCTCTCTTTCCCTCTTCTAGGCCAAGAGCCTCATGGTTTACTGCAGGGCCAGGTATTTGTCAGACAAGTCACTTTTGGATTTTTAAGTAATGAAAGAGGCTTGTTGGGGAGTGTTTAGCAGAGGGGAAAACTATTTCTTAAATGAGACCATCAAAGGTTGTATTTCCCTTGCTTTTCTCAGGAACAGAGCACATTAATTGTCTGGTTCTATATATGTTCTAGGACAATTTCTCTCAATGGTGCCCAGTGGGCTGTGCAATGACAAGCCATCATCACCACAGGATACAATGGCCTTTGGAAAATGTAGCTCACCTAGAAATGCGTTATCAGGTGATAACAGCTTTGCCAGCTCATGTCACCCCAGTAGTAAAGTTTAAAAGGCTTTCAATGTTGAGGTTTTCTTCAAACTGCTAAACTGTGATAGGCAATTTAGCCTAACTATTCACAGCAGTCCTAAATCTATATTTACTAATGATTTCATCATGTGTTGAAAGGAATATACTTTGAAAATCAATTAAGGATATTGAAACATAAGAGCTTAACCCAGCCCTCTAGATGGAATGTCTTTCGAAAAATACACTAATCTTTTGATTCACAAATAATGAAGGCAACGTGAATATATTTTAGCTGTCTGAGGCTAAATGAAAATCTCACACCAGAGAACACTTCATGATAAACTAAGAGAAAAACAGTAAATCTTCATAAGATGCTGAGCCAGAAAAGCACTGTGTTTAGGAACACAAGTTGTAAGGCAAGATCTGGAACTTTATATGTGACATGAGGCAAAGGACTTACCCTCTCTGTACATGGATTCGCAGATCTTCAAAATAGGTATAATTATTGAATCTCTCTTAAGTTGGTTGTGAGGATTAAATGATATAAAGCATACAATGTTCTTAATGCAATATTTGCTATATAACAAATGTTTAGTAAATATTACTCATCATTAACATTATTATGAAAATTAAACAAGTGAGAAGAGACAGGAGAGTTCTGCTTTATTGCAAGTGGAAAAATGCAAGAAAGACAGTTGCTTTCAGTATTAGTGTGCTTAAGAATCACGCAGCATGGTGTGGTGGCTCACGCCTATAATCCCAGCACTTTGGAAGGCCGAGGAAAGTGGATTGCTGGAGCCCAGAAGTTCAAGACAAGCCTGGGCAATACAGAGGAACCCTGCCTCTAATTTTTGAAGACTTTTGGGGATACTTGAATGTTTTGGAGCAAAGAGTTAATATCTTCTTGGCCTTAGAAAGATGATATTGCAAAGTATGCATTGGGACGGACAGTAACTAGAGAGAAAAACTAGTTTGGAGATCATTGTGGTTAGACAGGCAAAAGATGATGAATTTAGGTCTCCATAAAGTAGACAGACAGAAAGAGATAGATGGAAGAAACACTACAGAAAACTAAGCAACTATAAAAGGGGGTAGGAAGAAAAATTACGTTTTTGGCCTAGAAGACTTTATAAAAGATGACGTAATAATTGAAACAGAAAACCCCCAAGGAAGAAGCATTGTCAGTGTGGAGGCGGAAATGTAATTGCCAATGAATTCTGTTCACATGTCCATGGCACATCTATGCAAAAATGTTCAATAGGCAATGGGAAGTACAAATCACAAACTTAAGAAAGATTGTCTTCCAGCTGGTAAGTGTAATTTTTGCTAAACCACATAGATGTCAAACCATGGAAAGAGAAAAACACATACACACATGTGACTTTTGAGCATGGAATTTAAGCCAATAGTACATAAAAATGTGTGTTGGGGAAGAGAAATGAGGCTATGAGAGAGCGATCAGGAAGATTCTGTAATAATAATAATAAGAAGGCAGGGCTTTTGAAGCTGTGGAGGAAGTACATGCAGGATATTTGAACAGAAAGTCATCAGAAAAGAGGTCATTGTGGCCAGGTGCAGTGGCTCATACCTGTAATCCCAGCACTTTGGGAGGCAGAGGCGGATCATTTGAGGTCAGGAGTTTGAGACCAGCTCAGGCAACATGGTGAAACTCCATCTGCACTAAAAATACAAAAATATTAGCTGGGTGTGGTGGTGCAGACCTGTAATCTCAGCTACAAGGGAGGCTGAGGCAGGAGAATCACTTGAACCCGGGAGATGGAGGTTGCAGTGAGCCTGCATCACGCCACTGCACTCCAGTCTGGGTGACAGAGTGAGACTCTGTTAAAAAATAAAAGAAAATAAAAGAAAGGAAAAAGGTCATTGTGTTTGGGTATTTGGAATATTACTTGACCAATAGCAATGCAGAACTTATAACATGAATTAACTTCCTAATAACCTCAGCTTTTAATTTTTATTAAAGAAATGAATACTATTTGGGGAATATGAGAACTAATTTATTATCCTCATTGTCATAGTTATAAGTTTAAACCTTTTTTATTTTAAAAATTCCTTGAATATAATGTTCTGTATAGGACAATTCATAAACACTGCTTTCCAGTTTTCAATTTTCAGAATCATTATATTTAACAAGCACAGAAGACGTTACTGGCTTAAAAAGATGCAAGAGTTATCAATTTTGTGATTTAAACATTATGGAATGATGAGAGTAGTTGGGATAAAGTAGGGAGGGAAAAAACTGGAGCAAAGCATAGGTATGCTAATTTCCTCATTTTACATGCTTGGTAATTCAGGAGATACCATCTACAATTTTGAAAATAGTGTAAATGTATCATTTGACATTATAAAAAGGCATGTCCCACTTCAAGATGACTGAACAGATATGTTTGCTTCTCATCCTTCAGATCCAATGAAAGGCAAGGCCTAAAATACAAAAATGTGATAACCCGTAAGAGTAAAGAGAATAGGTAAGAGGTATTCATGAGTAGATGAGGGTTTTCAATTTATTCTTGGACAAGTTAAAGTGGGTAGGTCAGAAGAAGTTACAACCCAGAACATACTTTGATAAGCTTACATTTCTGTCAGAATTCCAGGAGGACTTTAAATAAAAGTTTGTAGATCTGATGAAGAACAGAAGTGAAAAGTGGAGCTGAGAAGAAGATTAGCTTAAAATCTATATAGGGAAAAATTAGTGTCTTCCTACTCTGCTATCTCTATGCAAAGAAGGAAGCAGGTTGGCTTCATCCCATAGGCAAATTATAAATGAGTAAATATATAAATAAATTTATTATTTGGGTAGTTTCAAATAACTTGGAGAGCTTTAGTGTAGGTGCTGCTTCCCCAGGACAAAGCCTTCTGCAAATTGGAATATAAGTGTTCCAGGCTGAAAGCCAGCTCCTTCCTCATCCAACTCCAAACAAAACCTGAGACTCTATTGTTACTTCCAGCCATATTTCTCTCACATGGGTGATGACTATTATGGAATTTATCTGCTTGCAAAATAGCAGAGGAAACTCACATTTCATAAATCTTAAATATAAATGGACTGTCAAGAATCTCCAGATACACACAAAAGATACAACAAAATGGAGGAGAATACAAAGAAAAATAAATAGAAAAACTGATCTTTGAAAAAAATAATTCATAACTAGGAAACAGAAAAGAGCTTTAAAAATCACGTTATGAGATATCAAAATAGTTTTTTTAAAAAAATCATATACTTAGACCAAAAATAACACCATAAGAGGCATAATTGTAGAACAGAAAGAGGTCTTTTCACAAGCTAAAGAACACATCTTCAGTTTAGAGAGGCCCACGGCATGCCCACCAAAATGAATGAAAGAAAAGATTCATACTTAGACATATTCACTTACTAAAGAAAGAAAACTTTAACTTCCAAAAAATAAATTTAAAAAATTACCAGTTTTTCAATTACAGCTTTGGATTCTAGGAGATTGTGATGCAAACTCTACAAAATTTTAAAGGGAAATTAATTTGAATATTTTATTCAGTACCCAGCAAATCTATCAGATTTTTGTGAGAGGACAGAACACTTTTAGATACGTGAAAATTGAATCTTTTCCTTTCAGGTAATTTAAACAGTTTGTTGAGCTATACTAAATTAAACAAGGAAGCATATGAAGAGATTGGAAAATATATAATGTAGGAAAGAGTAGACTTCCAGCATGTCACGCGTGTGGTAGTCCTAGAGGAAAAAAAAAGTCCAGATTGAAATAGGAAAACTGAAAAATTCATAGGAAACTTTTCACATAAGCGGAGAATATGCAAAAGCTAGAATAATTGAGAAGCTGGAACCACAAAGTTAAAGACACAAGTTAAATTAAAAGGTCACCCCACTGTGGGGGAAAATAAAAATTTTAGGGAAAGATCTATGTAAGAAAGAAGTAAAATCATTATCCAAACACCAGGTGAAATATATGGTATAATTGTGAGCAATTGTTTAAGAAAATGGAATTCACTCAACTTGGTAAGCTTGAACCATGAATATTCTCCTTGGAGAAGAAAATGGATCTATAGCAATAGAAATATATTAGTATTTCTCACTACTTCACCCAACAAGGAACATCATATGGAGTGTCAAAATAATGTAAATGATACTTAGTGACTTTAACTTTTTGGTCAATTTTTGCACACAGCACAAATGGCCTGGTTATGTTTCAAGTAACATAACTTAAATGGTAAAATCATAATAAATTTGTTGACCAAGAAAGTAGAGTAAGTATGCTATCTGGTATAACCTTAATAAATATTTGGTAGTTTGGAAATATTTTATTATAATAGAAATATAACTCTTTTGTGAATGCTGTTATTCATACATATTTATATTAAAAGAAAAGTAAGCCAATAAAATTATAAGTAACTTTGACCTCTAGGCGTCTCAGTGGCGTAAAGATCACATAAGCAGTTAATAAAAGCATATATATAGCATGTAGTTTATATGATTAATTACCCTATACACTAAACTAGCATATATTATATGATGGACTTGTAAGGATTACAAATTCTATGATTGTATATATATTCATATATATACATATATGAATGACAATATTTTGGTTTACATTTTAATAAGCACCTTGTCACATTTAATCCTCAATCTATCCATGTTATAATGCTGGAAAGATTTTACATGTGAAATCTTGCTTTTCTATATATTGTAAATCAAAGAAAATTACTGAGGTGAGTCTCAATCATTTTAGAGGTTCATTTTACCAAGGTTGAAGATGCACCAAGGAAAACGTAACAAAAAATCACAGAAACATCTGTGATTCCTGCTTTTTCCAAAGAGGATTTAAGGACTTCAATATTTAAAGAGAAAAAAGGGGGGCAGTAGGGGAAAGAGGAAAGAAAAAATATGGGGAGGGTAGATAAAAGGAGCAAGTTGTTGCATTCTTTTAAGGTTTTGATCAGCCTTCACTGAAGCCACATATTACAAATGAAAGGAGGGGGTCGAGGAATAGTCAATTATGCTCAGTGAATTTGTAGTTTTACATAAGATAAAGTAAACATAGAGTGGAGGAAGCAGTCGAACATGCATTTGTCTCAGTTGAATGGAGTAATGACTCCTAGTCCTGTCCTTGTCCCATACCTGTGAAGATAAGTTGTTAATGTATATTGTCAGGGTAAAAGTCAACAGGACTGTTTCAGGGAATCTTGGGAACCACAAGAAATTATTTTTTGAACAAATTGTAAGGGAGGCCCCTTGGGGAAGTATGTAGCCTTTTATCTTTGTAGCTATCTATTTAGGAACAAAACGGGAGGCAGTTTTACTTTATTCGTTTCCCAAGCTTGACTATTCTCTTTGGCATAGTGAGTTTGGAGTTGTAAGATAATTATTTTCATTTCACAATGCATATGTAATATATCACTTACAGTACATCTTACATACTGTCTATGCTATAGTGGGAAGCACAGGACTTGGGATAATGCACACAGGATTTGGAATGAGATAACATTAGGTATGGATCCTGATTACACTGGCTTTTAACTCTATGAACTTAAGCTTACTTCACTTTTCTGAGTGTTATCTTTCACACCTGTAAAATAAGGATAATAGCACCTATCTTAAAGTTTCATTGTAAGAAATAGACTGGGTTTGGCTAATGAGAAGGTAAAATCAATCAATATCAAAAAGTAAAAGAAATAGAGAAAAATACAAAGTGCCGAAGTTTTAATACTTATTTTCTAAAAGGTGTCTATTGTTATTTTTATTAACAATGCATATTTGCATATTCTATTGACATCACAAAAATATGCTGAAGGTTATGTTGCTAATGGTTTTACTTTTAATTTTTTAGTATTCATGTTATTCTGAAATAGCATAAAGCATATGAATAATAAATTTACTAAGACTATCATTTACGAATCCTAATTTTATAAATGAAACACGTCACCATCTACACAATCTAAGAATTTTAATGTGATTATTAAACTAGGGTTTGATGAGATCACCGCAACTCATCTCACAAAAAACTCAGAGACAAAGCTAAAAATAAGTCCTGATAATAAACTAGTGTTGCCTCTGACTAGCAATAAGAATCGGGAGTCAAGCAAAGCCCAAGACATTTCGTCAATACTAAGTAATAGTTTGTACAAATATAATATTATTAAAGCTTTAGACCTCTTAGAGTTGATCGTGTTAATTTCTACTACTTTCTGTATCCTATTTCCTGAAACAAAGCAACAAAACATATGCCTCCCATTTTTTTCTAATTTAAGACACAAAGTGGAAGAACTTGCAAATGAGTTACTGCTACCCAATTTTCTTATGGATAATTGTCAGTCACAAGAGATTGGTAGAGATAAACGGATCCTGATTTCCCAGCAATGTGAAGCTCCATGTTTCCATGTAGTATTGGGGAAGAGAGCATATGAATCATGCAAGTGGCAGCATCATTGGAGGCTCTCATGACAGTGTGGATCTGAAAACTGAATTATTAACATTGTTGCAAATGTCAGTTGTCAGATTCTCAAGGTAATCTGAGAATTTATTCCTGTATTTTTTCTATATCTGCCATTGCCACAAGGGTCATAGGTGCTGCATTGTTTAAGTATTCATCATGAGAGTTGCTATTCTTTGATGGCTTTGGAAAGAGAACATGGCCATTGTATCTCAATGCAAGCCACTTGGTATGTAGAATAGTCTGTACTGGAGGAACCAAATAATCCTGGGGCAAGACACATTGAATGGATAAGAATGTAATGATAACACATAGTTTGGATTTATTTATTCTGCTCCAGCTGAAAGGCTCTCTTAATTGTAGACTTTGATGTTAAAATTTTCTATATTAATATAATATTAATATAACAGGATATATTAAAGTGTCAAATGTATACTACATGACATTATATGTTAATAGTTATATGCAAATACAGTATTATCATATTATGTTAATATTAGTATAACATACTATGGATTTCAAAGAAACATTTTGTAAAAGCACACAATTCTTTAGATGACAAGTACTTTGGCGGCTGTCTTATAGATGCCTTCATTCATTTTCTCTTGTTACTAGAAAGCATACTGGACTTTTACCAAATAATAAGTGACAAATCTCATGTAAATTATTATTGAATGAATTAATAACTAACCTCTCAATATCCATGTATAGGCTATAGAAAATGACAGTTTGGGTTGTTAGACAAATAACCAACTCTCAGCTACTATTCATTAAAATATTAATCATCCTTAAGGTAACACTCACTAAAATACTTGGTACAGACAAGATGCTCAACAAATATTGGAAGAGGAATTGTTCCAAATTACCTATATATTTATCTAAAATATATATTTGATATGTGCCAAGTAGTTATTTCAAGGTTTTGACTATCTGATGCAAAGCTTTCAAAATAAAAATAACCACAGCATTAACAAAAAATGGTTTCGTTTTAGATAAATAGCTGGGAATATACAAATCTTTACAAATTTGAATATGAAGAACCTGATTGTTTAGCTTTTTTCATCTCATTCTATTCTGCTTATCATTGGAAAGATCAAAGTGGCTAACAAAGAAGTTGAATGTGAAATTATCCAAATTGAAAGGGAGGTGAAGCTCGTCATAAGTGGTTCTTGTGATTACAGCACCCTATGTTTGAATGCACCTTTTGTTTTGTTCTGATGCACTTTTTCCTTTCTGAATTCTAAATATCCTCATGCAGTCCAGACTACCAATAAATCTATAGTCTCTTATATAATAGTGACTCTGAGATATTTGGAAAGATATGTTGAATGTGCAGGTTTGGCACAGAAATTGATAGACATATGTGAACCCAAGGAACAAACTCTAATGATGGAGAGAGAGCATTGTAACAGGAGGATAGAGATAAGTATCTATTTCCCTGTTCAGATGGTATCATGGAGAATGAATTTACCTACATTTATAATCAGCTTTGCTCATTCTTTAAATATTCAATCAGGAAGAGACACTAAAACAATTAGATACAAAAACAATATCTTCTAACGCTAGACAATCTACTGCAGGTCTCATTTTCTTAAGCAGTGTAAATTGACTCATTTCTGAGTTGATTTAAACAAAATCATTTTTTGCACCACATGCCTTAAGCTTTGTTCAGTTCATTTTGTTTGGAAAGACTTGTCGTTCCCGATGGTGCTATTCTTACTGTCATGCACACACACAGAGTTATTTCTCCCAGAAAGCCCTCCCAGATGTGCAGCTCACATAGCACAGGGGATCAACATAGAGGATTTGGAGGCAGGTCACCTTGCTATGCAAGATTCAATATAGAATTCTGTAAAATGGCATAATATTAATTTAATAAAAGAGTTTTGAGATATGCAAAGCAAGTGACTCAGCACCAAATATTCAGTGAACGGCAACACCATCAAATACTGGTAGAGTATAATCTATAGTCCAAGAAAATTGCAGTAATTTTGTTTTCTAAATAAACCTGTGATATAGGCAGATTAGCCAATTTGTACAGATGAGAAAACTAAAACTTGGAAAGGTCCAAAATTGTCACAAAGTTGTCATTAATTGGTCCCTCTAGTGACAGAGTTTAAAATGCAACTTTTCTGGTTTTATCTTTCCCCTAAACTGAAATTACCTGTAACCTATTCTAGAATCATTCTCTGACCAAAACTTATCAGGATTGTGTTACACATTGACTTAAGGTTTCTGCTTGATCTAGAATATTTGTCTATATATAATAGTGTTTCCAAATCAACAAAAATGATTACCCAATATTTATGATTACGCTTATATGTTGTTATCTTTTCTTATCTCATGAAACATATTTACATTATTTATTTTAAAGATGTGTATGATAATTCCGAATTGTGGGTCATTTTGGAATTTTCGCCCATGAGATTTGGACACATTTTTATTGTTATTTCTATGCCAGGTAATTTTGAATAATATTCTGGATATTGCAAATGTTATATTGTGCGAACTCTGAGTCTTGTTATAATCCTGTAGAGACTGTAAATTTGTTTTTACCACAAACCAACCTCGTTGTGTTCAGATTGTAAATTTTGTCCCTTGTCGTCTGAGCTATCTCAGTTCAAATCTCAGTTCATTCTCACACTTTCTGCTAGGCTGATTTGGATCTATGCATTGTATTTGTAGTTCAGGGTTATTGTAAGATTTGTGAAGGAGGTTCAAACCTCAGTTCAGCTCTCAAAACCTGTGAGACAGGTTCATTGCTGTTCCAAAAATGCATAGTTCATGGGTTAAATTGAGAATTGTGTATAGTTGTCTCCGGAATTAGCATATCCCCTTCTTTGAGTCTCATGTCTCAGGGATTCACCTATGCCTTCTAACCCACTGGGTCCTCTTTTCTGCTTTTTGTGGTTCAAGAAGATTTGTTTCATTGGAGTTTCAGTTATGAGTAAAAAGAAGAGTAAGAGGAAACTCATGCTCATGTGAGTTGCTTCTATAATTTTGGTCTCCCATGCAAAAGTTTTATACTTTTATTTAGTTACTGGTATCCTAAGATTACTGTTTTTGTTGTTTTTTAAAATAATTTGTGTAGAGTTTTCTGTTATTGTCAATGGAATTGATGGGCTACTCCACCAAGCCAGAAATGGAACTGTACAATGTCACTTTTGATATAAATAATTAGTGCATATAGTATTTGCTTCTGATTGTGTTATTTTGAATGTTATATCTCTCTGTGAACATTATATAATAAAAGACTCATAATCATCACCTGATTCCACTGAAAAAAAAAATAACCTCAAATCATCTATTCAAATTGTTGCCTCTAATGACTATCTTGTTTTAATTTTCTATTTCACTATCAAAGGTGCCATTTCACAAAAAAGTGATGAATCACTCAAAATATCTAGCTTTCATTGAAAGTTAGTGTATTAGTCCATTTTCACAAGCTATAAATAACTACCTGAGACTTAACTGACTCACAGTTCCACAGGCTTAACAGGAAGCATGAGTAGGAGGCCTCAGGAAACTTACGATCATGGCAGAAGGCAAAGGGAAAGCAAATACCTTCCTCACATGGTGGCAGGAGAGAGAGAGAGCACAAGGGAGAAGTGTCACACTTTTCAAACATCAGATCTCGTGAGAGAACACTCACTATTATGAGAACAGCAAAGGGGAAATCCGCCCCCATGATCCAATCATCTCCTACCAGGTCCCTTCCCTGACACGTGGGGATTACAATTTGATATGAGATTTTGGTGGGAACACAGGAGCCAAACCATATCAGTTAATAATAATAAATTTATCTTATACATTTCAGTAATATTACATTCTTAAGAAAGGCTTACTACTCTAAATGTGACCTAGCTTCTTGCTTTTACTGAGAAATGGGCTTTACCAGATGAGAATTTATTCCTAGATATCTAGGTTCATGGAGGTATTCAGTGGAAACCACTGAAAAACATAAGAAACATGCATGAGGAAAATGGCCATTCTCAGATACAGAAAAAGGTTGAGTAATAATCCCAAATAATCTTAACTAGATAGATATCAAATACCTTTCTTTTTAAAAAATTTATATATCATACATATATGAATACATATCTGTGATGCTTGGGGCCATCAAAATCTTGGCTTCTGGTTTGAGGGTTAATTTTAATAAAGTTCTGTGGGTACCTGGCCCAATGTCAATCTGCATGGCTGAGTAAATCTTCCAATATCTATCTCTTGATCAACAATTTTAGGGTTGCTCATTCTGTATAGCCACAATAATTAACCTAAAATTTCTGTTTTCACATAGCTCCATATTAGCTAAGGGGACAGGGAAACATGTGGACTCCATCATCTATAAGATAACTCTTCATATGATGAAATTTCTATTGTTTCCCTCAAACCATTTCTCCTCTAGATTAAGCAATGTCAGTTTCTTTCTTCGTGGTTTCTATTTTCCAATACTTTTCTCACATTCATTTTTTCCACTGCCGGATCCCTTTTATTGATTGGTGGAGCTCCCTATTGTTCTGGATTTGTGTCATTCTGACAAGTTTAATCTTTCAAATCAGTCCCAACTAACACTTCACATGTTCTAAACTTTGATTATCTCCATCCAGTTTTTACAGGTTATGTCCCTGTTTATATATTCACTAAAATGTTATCTTCCCATTTTCTTCTTTTCAAAGAGCAAACTACATTGCTCTTAAAAATATTATAGAATAGAAACCAACTTGTGACTAAAAAGAAAGAAGAAAAGGAGTAGTCACTATAGAAAATAACTCTACACTTAAAGTAGTGTTAAATGTGTGCCAAGCTGACTGACATGTATGACTTGTGAATATATGCCTTGAGTTCCCTTCTGTCTGTGTAAGGAAACTTTTAAATTTAGCAAGAGTTCTTCATATGGAGATCTACTGCTAAGAGGAAGGAATGAGAACTGAGCTGTTTATGAATAGTTATTAGATAGATGCAGCTTAAGAGCAGCTATTCACAGGAAAAGAAAAAAAATAATTCCGAATAGCTACCCATTCTGGCTAATGGCTGTGCTGGAACATATGCAAAGGTTGTGGAGGATTGAGGCCATTAGCTCAACAATGCAGGCCAACAGAATACTTTTTGCCTAAAACATATACACAATCATGGCAAAGGTTTTATTCAAACATCCGGCTTAGACATTTTTTTTTTATTAATTTGAAGGCACAGCCTAAGGTGAGATTTAGTGTTAACAGGGTTAGTGCTTTCATGAAAGTCCAATATTAATATCTGCATTATTACAGACTCCAGGTTGCCATAATCAGGAAAAGAAAAATGCTTCAAAAATATAAGAATCTTTAAACCTACAAAAACCTGAAATCCTAGGCTGTCATTGCCATCTTAATTGACCTCTTCCATGGAAGGAAAAAAAAAGAGTCAAGTGGAAATGTGAGCCTAGATTTACAGTTTTAACTGTAAGTTGCTTATTTTAGTTATACCGGGACAATTTCACTACTTCATTTTGTACATGTCATTTTTCCTCACAATTATATTCTGTACGTTGATTGAACAAGTCGACATAACATAATGCACGGCAAAAAAAAAAATTGTTTTAAATTATAGTAACATGATACATAGTTTTACAATTGGAAAAGTTTTGTGTTTCTTTCTCTCAGAAGTAGAAATTGCCAGAGATAAATTTATAGGTTTTCAATTTATTAAGGCATCATAACAATTACTTCAGCCTATTAATTATTTGACTACAGTATAATTTGTATGACTTAGATTCAAAATCCAAAACAATATTTCTAAAACATTAGTAAGTTTTTATTGTCAGTGAGTTTCTCGAGATCAGGGGCTGTATATTTTTCCCTTGTAAATTTCCAGGGCCTACCATGGTACCCTGAACAATATAGAAGATACAACATTTATGATTATTAAGTCAATATAGAGCAGTGACAAATTTTTCTACTGCAAAATATAATGGTATTTTGGAATTCAGAGTTAAATCTAAAAGTAGCAATTAGAAATAGGAAAGACCTTATGTATACATTTAAGGTTCTTTCCAAAATAATTTATTTTCTTTCCACAGTATAACGTATTGTTATTTTTTCTAGTTCAGTTTGAACTCAGTGCAATGGTTGTAGCTCTCGCTGTTTTATTTTGCCCACAGTGAGTAATTTCTAATGCAGCATAACTTTGACAGAAGTGTACTGAGGATGAATGTCAACAGGGACCTAAAGAATCCAGCTGAATGGAGAAGTTATTCCCATGAGAGGGCAGCTTCTTTCAGTTCCTCTTCATTTCCTTCCTCACTCCTGCCTGGGTATTTCCTTAGATGATACCTTTTATGTGTATGACAAACTCAAACTGGCCAGCCAAAAATTCATTTACTGCAATTATTTTGCCTTCTCAGGCAGCACCATGTAACAATAACAACAACAACAACCAAAAAAAAAAAAAAAAAAAAAAAAAAAAGAAAAACAAAAAAACTTCTCTATCAGTTTCACTTGGCATGGAACATTTTTAAGAAAGAAAGAGGAAGGAAAATCCCAAATAGTAAACAAATACAACGTTAAAAACTACATTTTTTTTTCTTCTGGGAAATCTAAACCTGTGGAAGAACATCATGACACCTTCAAACAGAATGCCCCTAGTGCAGTTAGAAACAGTAAGAACTTCAAAATTATTTAACCTATATCATATTTTTAAACTGATACAAACTCTAACACCAATTCTTATTGGATCTCTGACATCATGAGAAGGATAAATGATTTTTTAATTAGATGTAGACACCACTGTGCCTAGCATAGTGCTGAAAACAGAAGGTGGTACATAAATTGTTATTGAATAAACAGATAAAGATCTAGCTTTGAAGAAGTTTATGGAGAGAAAGGAGAAGCAAACATGTTTATGATTTTAGGTCTCATTGGGGACATGAAAGAAAAGAAAATGTGTCAATCAAGATAAATTACTATAGCATGAGTCTTTCTTCCTCATAGATTTCCCTTCTGTCATTCCAAACTTTCTGTTTTAGTAACCTGTTTAGACCCTTTATCACAGAATGTAAGGTGAGGACTGTCATGATAAGAACAAGGTATGATAAAGTTTCTGAGAATCTGCCTTTTAGCATCACTTATTTGGGAAGTCTCTTCACTTTTTTTCTCTAAGACATAGAGTTGGGAAATGCTCTTGAAGTATGCTTTACATTGCAGAATATTGATATCATAATTAACCATTCTTTTTTTTTTTTTGAGACAGAGTTTTGTTCTTGTTGCCCAGGATGGGGTGCAATGGTGCAATTTCGGCTTATCGCAACCTCTGCCTCAAGTGATTGTCCTGTCTCAGCTTCCCAAGAAGCTGGGATTACAGGCACCCACCACCACACCCAGCTAATTTTTTGGTATTTTTAGTAGAGATGGGGTTTCACCTTGTTGGCCAGGCTGGTCTTGAACTCCTGGCCTCAAGTGATCTGCCCGTCTCAGCCTCCCAAAGTGCTGGGATTACAGGTGTGAACCACCATTCCCGGCCCATAATTAATCATTCTTATCTGAGCATCTCAAATATTATTTTTGAGGATGCAGCCATGTCGTTAACTAGTGCCTTCTTCCAAAATGAGAATCATATGGAATTCCAACCATTATGTGTTTACATCTAGCTTTGTTGTACATTTCTTATCTCCCCCGGGAACATGAAGAAATGATGATCACATGAGGTGATCTGGTTCAGACTTTCCAGCAGAGATTAAGCATTCTAGGAGAACATGACTGCTTGAATGAGAGCAGTTACTTAACTGCTCTCCCCATCCAGCAAGTGATGTACCACAAAATTGAAAAATAATGTAAGCTGACATCACAGAATGCTTATTGCATATCAGGCTCTTTGCTAAATTCTTAGTGCAAATGTTCTCATTTAACCTCAAGAAACTCATACCACAACCTAAAAAGGATACACTAGCATTATCCTCATTTTACTCATGAGGACGCTGAGGCTAACTAAGGGCTAGTAAGTTTCAGAGACTATTTCAAACACAGGCCTCCTGTGTGATTCCAGAGCATAAACTCTTCTAAATACTGTACCTTCTCTCTTATCTCTCCACCTACACCTTGCGATGCTGCCACTCCATGAGATCCTGCAGTTTATTTTTCTTTCCCTTCATTATTACAAGTCTCCTAACTTGTTCCTCTTCTCTGTCTATTCCTTTCTAGAACTAAGCCACTCTCCTTGATCTTCCTAAAATGCAAACACAGTCAATTCACTCTCCTCTTTAAAATCTCATTATGAATCCCTATCGTCCACAGTCCACAGAGGAAATGTCAAACTCTTTATCATTCTATTCAAGGATGCTTGAGTCATACCATGGCTAGAATTTCTGAGCAATGCTGCTGCTTGTGGTTTCTAAACCCCAGCCTCTCATATTAGTGTTCTGAGTCTCTGATTAATATAGTTGTCTACCAACAGGACCATACTTGAGCTTCAAATGGCCTGAGATCTCTAATACCTAGAAGCACTGATGATGCAGAGCATTGACCAATCCAGGCAGATTATTGGAGTTATCTGGAGATAACTGCAGATTATCTGGAGTGCAGTGGCGCAATCTCGGCTCACTGCAACATCTGCCTCCTGGTTCAAATGATTCTCCTGCTTCAACTTCCCGAGTAGCTGGATTACAGGCACCAGCCACCATGCCAGGCTAATTTTTTGTATTTTTAGTAGAGATGGGGTTTCGCTATGTTAGCCAGGCTGGTCTTGAACTCCTGACCTCAGGTGATTCACCTCTCTGGGCCTCTCAAAGTGCTGGAATTACAGGCATGAGCCATCACACCCAGCCTATTAATGTACTCTTTTTTCTTTCTTTCTTTCTTTTCTTTTTTTTTTTGTTTTTTGTTTTTTGTTTTGTTTGTTTGTGTGTTTGTTTGAGATGAAGTTTCCTTCTTGTTGCCCAGGCTGGTGTCCAATGGTGCAATCTCAGCTCACCACAACCTCCGCCTCCCGGGTTCAAGCGATTCTCCTGCCTCAGTGTCCCGAGTAGCTGGGATTATAGGCATGCACCACCATGCCTAGCGAATTTTGTATTTTTAGTAGAGACAGTTTCTCCGTGTTGGTCAGGCTGGTCTCGTTCTCCCAACCTCAGGTGATCCACCCACCTCAGCCTCCCAAAGTGCTGGAATTACAGGTGTGAGCCACCCCACGCAGCCCATGTATTCTTAATAGAAACCACAATTACCTAATACTTTTGCTGGGATTCTGTCACTTATCTTTAATAATTAGACTCATGCTTAACTGTCCAGACTTAACCATGGCTACTCTCCTCAGTCACCAATGTTCCACTTTTACCTTGAGAATTTGCCTGAACACACTATGCTGGCTTGTGATTTCTATTGTTCAACTGTCCATTACACTCCCTCCATTCATCTTGGAAAAAATTTTCAAACATTTATTCCTCCTCTTGTCGTCACCTGATATACTTAGGTGTTCCTCCTGTTGTGTACCAGAAATACACCTGACATTGTCTCTGGACTGTGAATACTTTGAGAATAAGAACTATGTCTTCTTCATAAGTGTATATTTAGAAACCAATGCATTTCTTATATAATGGATGCTTAATCAATATTTGATGAAGGAAGGCAAGCAGGCAAGCAAAGAAGGAGGAAGGAAGAGGGAAGGCAACCAGAAAGAAAAGAAAGAAGGAAGGATGGTAGAAGAGGTGAAGGGAGGGAGAAAATGATATTAGGAAACACTACACAGTTATTCTATCTGTGATACATAAAAATGCCTGAATCTCAGTTTTCCTCTCCTGTTTGATTAAGCTGAAGTAAAAGAAGCAGAGCCTTAAGTATGCTCGACTATATAAAAGTAAATAGAGTATATCATAAAAGCCAAGTAAACTTCTCAAAGAGAAATAGAATTAAAAGTCAAGTGCATGCCTTTATGTTTTCTGATTCCCGCTGTGATTTAAGTTTAATCTCTGGGTTCCTAAACAAAAATTTCAGGTAACTATCCACTTAACATTTTTCTAAGGATCTAGACTTGCAGTAAAGATACTTACTTACTTAAATAGACCTACTGTATGAGACAATACTATTAAAAGAAAATGTACTAGTACTTTTGTGTATGCCTGAAGAAATCAGTTTGCTAATTTTAGGACTTTGCCAGGTGGACTGACGCTGATTTCCAAGATTGTCTGGCCCTATGTCTTTCTTGACATACTAGAAAGGACATTTGATGTACACACTGTGATATGTACAGGGAAACCATAGCCCTTGTCCTGAAATGACTTAGGAAATAAATTTGTCTATCCCCACTGCCTTTGATCTTATTAAAAGTCATCGAGGCTTATTCCTAGCACTGAGAACATAGAAACAGGCATTTGATTATGCGCACATCACATGGTGATACGATGGTCTTGCCACGAACTGGAAGCATTCTGTCAAATTAGAACATTGATTTCAATTAGTCTTTGTAAACAAGAGTTACTGATCAACTGTTCTAAAATAAAATATTATTTTTGCCCTCATGGAGTATAAAATCTAGAAAATAAATGAGGTAAAAAGCAACATCAGTTAATGCTAAGTATTCTGAAAACCAATAAAACATGATAAGAGAAAAAACTGTTGTTGTCAGGGGAGGTGAGCACTCAATTATGGACTTTCTGAGAACGTAGCTTTGGATCAGAGATCCATAGCGAGGTCATGAGATTTTCCAGGGGAAGAATGTGCCAAGTAGACAGAAGAATAAGTGCAAAGGCCCTGAGGTGAGATTGTGCTTGGCATGTTCAAAAAATGGCAAAGAAGTCACCATTGCAATCACAAGATCAGCTTAGGGATAAGGTTGCAGAAAACAGGGAAGGCGCTATTACGTAGGGCTGCGTAAGCCATCGGGGGAAGAAAAACACTGTTTTTTACTGAAAATTGAGTGAAAAGGCAAATGAAAGTTTTAAGAAAGGTAATGAAATGATCAGAGTTATTTACTAAATGAATCACCTTGACTAATAGGCAGAGAATAGATACAATGATTGAAAAGTAGAAATGTTCTTGAAGAGAGGCAATGCTGCCTCGGTCCTGGGGTATGGCAATGACAGTAGCAAGAAGTGGTCCAATGTAAGACATCTTGAAGAAAGGGCTAACAGAAATTATCAATGTGCAGTATGAAAAAAATGAGGCAGAAAGGATAATTGTAAAGTTTGGGGCCTTAATACCTGAAGTAATGGAGTTACATTTTATTTGGAAAGGTGAGCTTGGGGAAGAAGCAGATTTGGGGGATAAAACTATATTTTATTTTTGTTAAATTAAGTTTGAGATGCCTATTGAGCATCAATGAGACTCAATGGAAATCTTGAGTCTGGAGCTCAAGGGAGAAGCCTGTGATAGATACATTTTAGGGTCATCCATATAAAGATGATATTTAACATCTGCAATCTGAATGAGACCACCAAAGGGATGAGAAAATAGACAGAGAGGAGGAGTTTCAAGGGCTGAGTCCTTTGAAGAGTATCCAGCAATCAGTCAGAGAATGGAGTGATTATATTGTAAGAATGTTGAGACTATGTCCAGTTGTTCTTAGAAACTTGTGCTGGAGAATTATACTATTGGTAGGCATTGGTTACATTTTCTGCCCTCTTTTTGAGGCCTCATGAAAGAAAGTTCTTTCTAGTCCTAGAACTATGCATAATTATGTTCCTCCTGAAAAACTATTTTATTATATTATGACACTATGAATTATAAAATAGTTTGTAACTTTTTTTTATTTACAGTTGCTTCTGAAAGCATACAGTCTAATTGGTTAGACACTCCTAGCAAGTGTAAAATCCCTTAGGGAACAAATTTTATGTACTAACCTCGCTTGTGACTCTTTCTTATCTTTCCTACCGTTATTTTACCTTTGTTCTGTTCCCTAAACACACTTAATCTTTAATTTTACTTTATTATGTTGCAATTTTACATACTTATGTAAGTTACTGTATATCATTTCTGGAATTAATAAGAGCATTAATAGGTTTATAGACAGTAGAGGATAGACAGATGATAGATGATACATAGATTAGATAGATTGGTAGATAGATAGATACATTGATTGATAAGGCATCGATAGTTTTAAACACAGTAAGAGTCACATATTTTGGTTTCAGTGGCATTTTGAAGGAAGTGTGCTGTTGTTGGGCAGTGTCTTGTGATAGAATGTCAACAGGTCTGTATCTGACTGATAAAGAAACTCAGTCGGTTTCTATTCTGTGCATCATATCAAGACAAATGCAAGTTACAGGATGTAGCCCTCTTCCCTATACTATTCTCCACTTGCATTTATTTTCCCTACACATATTGAAATCTGAAAACTAGGCTGAACTAAACATTAGAGAAGCTTCTATAGTGAGTTTAGCTTCCCTTGAGCCATGTGCAAATGAGCTTATTTTATACATATATATTTATATAAAATCTGCTCTCATAATACACATTGGTCAAAATGCCTTTGTCTGGTTTAAAAAAATAATATGTGCACTCCACCAAAAAAGTTCTACAGCTATTTTTCACTGTATGTTCAAACAAACAAAGGAGACAAAAAGAGAAACTAAAGATTATTTTTAATGATAACAAGCCAAAACTTCACCTCGAAATTACACGTGCACACTGAATTCTGCACATGTCCAATGGAAGCTCTCACTTAAAATCAAATTATTTTTCAAACTAAAGCTGTGAAGACTTAAACTGGGAGAATCTGAGATCTGGCCCCTTTTATAATACTTTGAAGTACAGCTGGGAAGTTAGGATTTCTGGAAACCTATCTTTGATTTCCACTAAATTTATTGCATCACACATTTCAATTTTGCCTTCATTGTGCATCCATTAAACCATTAAAAAGTATACAGTTCTTGCAAGGGGTAGGATTGGGAGAAGTGGGGTTGGGATTATATTTAAGTCTTCACTGTGGGAAAATTCCTGAGTTCCTCATACCCTGTTAATATTCAAAGGTAGCTGTTGATCAGTTATCTGACAGGTAGAGAATAATTCACATTGCCACAAAATTACAGTAACCTTTTTGGAAATGTCTTGTGGTTGAACATTTTTATTCCTTGGTCAGGCAAATAAGATCACCATTATATTCAGAGAGGATGCTTGAGTCTGCGCCTCCTGTTTAGGAGAATTAATATATTCTTAGGACAACTGTCACACTACACAAACCCCGTGCTATCTGCAAACAGCTTGGGGAAAATATTTCCTTAGGTCTGACATGAACTAGGCACCTCTTTTATGATACTTTTTTGGCAGAGAGAACCAGCCTCAACAAACCAGCTTCTTTCCAGTCATACTGCGTACACATCCACCACCTCTGGCCTTATTTTTAAACCCAATGATGATAATAATTTTAAGGGCTGGGAATTATGAAGGCTTACTTGGCAGAGTCTTCCTATTGTGAATGATAAATCAAACTTGGGGTGCTTGCCAGCAAAAAAGTTCTTTCTTATCTCAGTAAATAAGTGAGGGTGGGCCTGATAAAGGCAAGACAATTTGGTAAGAATATTGTGATAGGGGCAACGGGTGGGCTTTGATATGGTTTTATTGCCTGCCTCATTTCAGTTTTTGGCTCACACACATTTGTCCACAAGCAGTGTCAGTTGGCTTTTTCCTTTCACAGCAGATTTTCTTACCTTGTAAGTAGAAACCTACGTTAACCCTCTGCCAGTAAAAATAAGAGAAGCATTTTCTAAGCATATTTCTAATCAGCCATTCCTCTCAATAAGTGGATCTGTAAGACTGCAAACATAAAACATTGTTTTCTAGTCACCCCGATTTCCTAAGTGTGTAAATCCCCACATCTCTTCCCCTTTACAGCGCGCTCTCACTTGCATGCTACTAGTTTGCATTCTAAAATGCCACCTGTTGAAAATAAAAGTCTCATGATATTTGCAAATTTTGGTTCATCCTGGTTTAGCTTTACACAGCAGTCTAATTTCACCGTGCTTAGCAATTACTTTTATTAGTTACTCCACCCAACAATCATATGATGTCAGAAACTTCATCTATTTCCCTGTCTTTATCTCTCCCTCTCATTCATTTCTTTCTCTTTTTTCTCACATATTAACACACATACACCCAGTTATTATCACTCAAATCATTTTAGCAGATCTCTACATGTGTCTCAAAATATTCCATATAACTCAAAATAGCAAGTACTTGAAAAGATAGTTATCATCCCTCTGAACAGGCAAGAGCAACTGAGACATAGAGATATTTCTCTGATTAGAGATTTGTTGTTTTAGAAATAAGTTACATAAAATGTCCTACTGCTTTTAGCTGTATCTGTTGCAACTTTGAGCAACTCAGTTTCTTCATTGGATAATATGAGGGCAGTGGATGAGGTCCACAGTGTCTCCCAGGGATATCGTTGTACAGTTCTATTTCCTCCAGGGCACATGTGAAATAAGTGAGGGATCTTTATGTAGACACAGCTTATCAGTCCCAAAACAGTGTCCCTCCTGTAGATCACACATTTTCTGATAATAACCTGAGGGGAAGAGGGGCAAGGTTGCCTGTTTCCTGACATCCTGCTTTGCATACCCAAGACACCTACTTTATTAAAAAGTTAACTTTGCTCCAAAAAAATTTTTCCCTAAGTTTTTCAAGATTGATTGTTTCCTGTTATTGTTGGAGGTTTGCTTTCTATGGTCATTTGGTAAATAAATAGCTTTATAGGGGAAAACAAATGGCCTTGTTTTGTTTTTCTACTCCAGGGTTTATGTGTTAAATTTCAGCTATGTCGTGTACTCACAGCTTAGTGCTTCAGACGGTTATGGGGAACTAGGAATTCTTAAAGGGGTAGGACAGGATGTCCTTTTCTATCGCTCAATGAGTCATGGAGGATGAATGCCGTTTCAGGGGTTCTGTAGTTGTGATTTCAGTCAAGTTCCAGTGGCTTTCAACCACTTCTCTAAATCTGAATGAAGAAGCAGCCACAGGGACTGTGTGAATTATGCTAAGATGCATTCCCGTTAAGTGCTGAAGTGGCCTTTGCAGTGAATCCTTAAACTTTACAATGCCAGCAACAGCCTATCCAGAGACAGGGCAGAACCCCGACATATACCCTCTTCCATGCCCACATAAGACATTTGCATTTATCTCCATTCTTATTGCATTGAGCATCTCTGTCTCCTGGTCAGCAACCTCTGTGTCTTTGGAAAGTCAGGCCTCACTCAGAGCATGCTCCCTTCTCAGGCATTGTGACAAGATTGTGTTTCGGTTCCAAAGGGTTAATCCCAAAGTGAATTCTTTGCATGTGTAATTCAATACTTCATAACTGCTGAAAATTGGAGTCCACATAATTTATTTTCTTTGGTCGGGCACATTTGCCTCATGCTTGGCCGGGGCTGACTTCAGAGAGACACACCTAAAACTCTCAAGTGTCCCAAGTGGCCCATGTCAGTTGTACAGAGAGATTGTGGTACTTGGACAGAGCCCAAGGATTAGGTGTTCCTGAGAAGGTTTTTTTGGCTCTACAAAGCCTTAGGATGTCATGGGAATAGGCTGCACTCCCTTTTCCCCCTTGAAGGCCACATATCAACGGGGTATCTAACCACTCAGAGACAGGCTCTACACAAAGGTATACATTAAAATAAATAGAACATGCAAGCAGAAAGAACTGAAAGAGAGGGAGGAATTGCTAAGTGGAGACAGGAAACAATTGCTTCATTGTTGAGGCAGTGATCTTAGAATTGCAGAGTACAGCCCCATCTACAGGACAGTTTGTAAAGTTGGAGCTTTTGGCTTAAAACACGAGACAGAACTTTACATGCAGTTTTTAATCCAGCTCACTTTGCATGGGCTTCACCTCACTGACAAAAATCCCACATTTTTACTTAAAAATAATTGTCCCTCTTTGATGAGAGGGATTCAGAGAGTGACAGAGAGATAAGAAGTGAGGAAGAACGCGGCTTAAGGGTGCTTTCATTTAGCTCCTTTTCTTATTTTGGCAGTAAATATTCTTGTCCTCGCAATACTCATTTAATCTCTTTCTTTGCTTTCCAACAACTTCCTCTCATTTGGTTTCCTCTCATTATTCCTTGATTTGGGAGGGGGCTTGTGTATTTTCACCATTCAAACAAAATAAAAAAGCTGTGCTTGTTTGAACACCATTTTTGTGCTGGCTGGCAAGCATGTGACTTTAAAGAAGGTTCAGGTTTTTAGGTTGAAAGGAGCTGAAAAACTTTAAAGTAATAATTAAAGCCAACTCTCTACGTGCACATTCCCTCCCCTCCCTTTATTTTAAAAACCTTGCCTGCCAACGCAGTGGCTGCTGTCTTAATGCTATTTCAACAGGAGACCTGGGTTTCAGGACAAGATCCAGGCCATAGGGGAGACTTGATGGCTCGGGGAATTAGTAATGGGATTTGGAGCCCTTCATTTCTAGGTCACTGGTTTGAATAGAGCCCAGGTCAGTAATGACTGAAAGTTGTTACCACCCGATGCCTGCTCTTCCTTAGCTGATCTGAGCTTGCCTGCCACTCCATCCCTGAGTGCCTGTGGCCCGTCTGCACTAATGGCATTCATTGACAAGTTGGCTAACTTAGGCCTTAAATGTGAGGCAGCCCAGTTTCTGCCATGTGCAAACACGGGGTCCACACTCTGCTGCAGCTGCTCTTCAGGGAATAATGCAGAGAGAGACAGAGTTACAAAGCTATTTTGCCTTTCTGATTACTCTGGGACCTAGCAAATCTATCTCCACTCACCTTAAGTCTCTGAGGCATTATATCTTCAGCCATTTAAAGGTAAGATCCAGGGAGAAGAAGGAACAGGCCTCAGAGGACCAAGTTTTCAAATACTCCAAATGTATGTATTCTGAGAAGACCGATTTAAAAGATCTGAATTAGGAGCTGCTGCTGCTGTTTCTAGTACCAGATAATCATGGCCCTTTTAAAATACCGCTTGCTGGACCCCAAACCTGTGCTTACAAAGTGTAGAAAGAAGGCAGATGTTTCCAGAACTTATATTAGGAAAGTGTTTGAAAAAATAATTACTGCTTTCTTTTTGTTTGTTTGTTTGTTTACAAGAGGAGAAATGCTTGCTGTAAAAGGATGGAGATAGAGAAGGAAGGACTGTGGAAACTCAAGAACAATGCACTACATTGGCAGTTCCTGCAACCTGCTACAGCCGGAGGCCAGTCTCTATGTGCAGAGACAAACTTGCTCTGGAGCTGTGGTTAAAGAGGGGGAGGAGCTGGAGTGGGGACTAGGTGCCTCCGGAAAGGATCTGAGGCCTTTCACACAGCTACCTGTCAGTCCCTGGGCCCGGGGCTGCAACCTACACATGCTTCACTCTGTCTCTCCAACCAACACCCCTTCCCTAGAGGCAGGTGAAGCCCCTTCCCAATAAAGAATTACATTATGTATCATCAATTAAGAAATACAATTATATAAAGACCCATTTGTATCAGTCTTATATTTAGATTTCCTTTTCAGACAAGGGGGTTTTTAACAGCATTGATTTTCAGTAATAAACCAATTACAGGTTCTTACCACATTGCTAAGATACTGGATGAAAAGTTTTAACTATAGAGTTCGGTTAAAGTGGGTAATGGAAAACACAGCACTATGTTTCCATTTGTTTCTGATTTACTACTTCCAGCTCTACATTTATTCCTCTTAGATTTCCTGGATTTTTGTTTACTTGGTTTTTGTTTTCATTTCATTTCCAAGACTATTTGTCTGCTTTTTACCTTTGCATTCTCTTGTTTTGTTTAGGAAGCACAGTCGTCTACATTTTTGCTGGAAATATGGAAAAGCACTATGGCTAATGGAATGACTTGATGCCAATGATCTACCCTTCCGCTAAGCCATCAGGCTCTGCTCCTCACTCTGACAGCAGTGGACTCAGCCCATGGCACCACCCCCACTTCCAGCATCACCTGCAGGGCCTGGGCCAGTGGTTCTTTGTGTGCCATCCATTTTCTGCCTTTTCTTAGATGAATCCAACTAGTAATTGATTTTGTTATTCAGAGAATCCTAGAATCCTAGTGTTGGATGGAGGCTTACAGATCAGCCTCTTCACAAATTTCTCCTAGCATGGAGATCTGAGTATTGCTTGAACATGTTTTGAAGAAGCACTCTCTCCTCTTCTAGGCTTTCTATTCCATGTTTGTTTATTGTCTCACACCAGTCAGGAAATGGGGCTACAGCGGTAAACAAAATTGCCTCTGCAGAGCTTGGAATTGAGTACAGAAGAAGAATCACCCCGTAATTGCAAAGATGTTGAAAGTTCATCAGCATTGTTCACTACCGTCTTTCCTAGGTTGAATCTGAATCAAACCCACATGTCATGAACACCCACTCATGTCTTCATCTGCCTGCTGAAATTCCAGGTGGTATTCTTCTTCTATATGATGGCTTCTGGACACAGTAAATGAGTTCTTGCCCATTTCAGGGGTTTTATTTCTTTAACTCCCACAGCCCTGAGACCTTGACAGGAGTTGACTGCTCCATAAATGCCTGGCTCTATCAGGAATGTCAGCTTTGGTCATTGTAGCTGGACTTTGGACCTAGCTGAAGTTGCAGAGACTACTGGCACCCAAACTAGCCCTTTAATATGTTGAAGAATAGATGAGACACACTTTGCAAGATTTCAAATGAGAAAAAAATAATGTGAAATACCTGCCACTATGACTGACTTCATATGAAAAACTGTAGTGAGGGACATGAGAACTAAAAGTTTTAAACTTTATGATGGAATAGTTTTACATAATACTTTTGTTAACACTACGAAGGTACAAAAAACTACACCAAAACTCATAAACGTGATTACAAATGGGGAAAAGAGGGGCCATAGGTAGAAAAAAAATATGTTGTAATGTGCAAATGTTATATTACTTTTATTTTGTACCATTGACTGCATTAACGATTCACAATTCCATGAATTTAAAAAATTGTGTTATCACCATCTAAAATTGGTTTAAAAAAAGTAAAAATAGGAAAAATAACAAGAGAAAAAGATTTTTTTTCAGTCTTGAATTTTGAGAGTCATGAAAATATCTGCCAGAGTTTAGCAGAATTTTTAAGCTTTGATTCTTGTATGAAACCCAAATCCCTTCCCTGGGCAAACAAAATTACACAGTTTGTAGCCAAAAAAACCATAAAGACAATAAAAATAAAAACAAACCAAAATAGAAAAATTTCTGAGTCTGCAAGGAGAGACTTCAGGCTCCAGTGTCTTCAGACCTACTATCTTGAGCTAAAGGCAAAGCTCTTACAGAGGAACAGGCTTATGAGGAAAACATCTTTGTACCGAGATCTTCATGTGTTCACCTTTGACTTGGCATAGAATTGAAGATCTAGAATTACAACTCTGCAAGACTTTTTTCAGATGTTTTTTTCATAACATCACATGTTCAGAGCTGAATGTGTGAGAAATGGAATATTCTGTACATATTGTAGAAGCTAATTAAAAGATGCTGATGTTACACAGTCCTGAGATCTATTCCTACCTTTGTCACAAAGCACTTTGCTTAACTTCTTTAAGCCTTAGTTTATTTATAAAATGAAGATAATAATATATACATACCATATATATATATATATATATATCAGGGTTTGTTTGTTTTTTTTTTGTCAGAGTTTTGCTCTTGTTGCCCAGGCTGGAGTGCAGTAGTGAGGTCTCGGCTTGCTACAACCTCTGCCTCCCAGGTTCAAGTGATTCTCTTGCCTCAGCCTCCCAAGTAGCTGGCATTACAGGTGCCCACCACCACACCCAGCTAATTTTTTGTATCTTTAGTATAGACAGGGTGTCATCATGTTGGCCAGGCTGGTCTCGAACTCCTGACCTCAGGTGATCCACATGCATTGGTCTCCCAAAGTGCTGCGATTACAGCTGTGAGCCACCATGCCTGGCCTCAGGGTTCTTACGTTAATAAAATGACATATTTTAGGTTCTTAGCAAAGTGATTTATCACATACTGAGTGCTGAATAAATGTTGGCTATTATTTTCAGGTTACTGCTCAGAATCCGGTAGTAGTCTTGTTCTAATAGTTCTTGCTATCTCAAGTTATAACTCTTTTATGTAGTCAGGCTGTGTTCTTTTCCCCTGCTCAGTGTCTATTGTGTGGCTTGAAGTAGCAGCATAACCACTCAACCACTCTCTGTTTGTAGGGTTCTGTGGTGTTGACCCCAACACCCTGTTCCAGATGTGTCCTCCAAACCAGGACTGCCGAATTAGCATAGTCCAATCCTCTGGCAATAATAATTAGGCCAAGGTTGAGCACTGGACCAAAGTCTGGCCAATAGGATTTAATTATATGGCTTTACTTTTAGAACTTTTGTCTGTTAATGTTTTATTGGACTTTCTATTAATTCTTAAAAGTCTGATGGTGCTGGTTACCACCCAGTATTCCTCTTAGATGTGGGTTACTAGGGTCCCCATCCAAGGCATACTCTTGCTCCCCTGCCCTGCCCTTTCCTAAGGAGCAAAGGAGACATGACTACCGGAAACATACCCCTGCCTTGGTACAAAAACACTAGAATTTTCTGCCAAACAGTTGTCAGTTTCCAGGGCCCAAAATAGGCCCCTTTTTAGGCTCCATATTCAGGGAGAGGGGAAGGACTTCAAGCCAGGCATCCCTATTTTACACAAGCCTAAAATGTACATTTGCAGGCCCTGAAAGCGTTTGGAGCATGCTTAGGGCAAATATTTGTAGTCAGTGTGCCTAAAAGTGAAACCAAGGATGAGACAAGCAATCAAGGGACTGAGACAGAGTCTTGATGGACTTCTTTGAGTTCTAGATCCAGCTATGTGAGAAGCAAGACTAACCCTTGGATTTTCGAGCTCCTGAGTCAATAGGTTAGTTTGAACATGTTTTCTTTCATTTGTAACTCAGAGGGTTCTGTCTGAGACACTTTTCCTTTGTACTCCATCCTGAATTGACATTCCTTTATCTGTAATCATAACACCACTTATAATATTCAGAACTTTATCATATTCTCTAATTATTTAATGCAGGAGAATTTTTCTTTCTCAAGATTTCCAAAGGATGTTTGCAAGCTGTGCAAGAGGATGGAGTTTGGACTCACTCTGATGTGACTAAATGTATGACCTTGAATAAGTTAGTTAACTTCCTTGATACTTAGTTTCTTCATCGTTAAAATGGAAATAAGCCTACTCAAAGTTCTAGGATTGCTTAAGAGATTGAATGTAATCAGCCTTGTACACAATAGTCATTCAACAAATACCTTGATCATTTCCTTGAGGGCCTTGGCTGTAGAAGGTAAGAAAACCAAATTAACTGATTTAAGTAAAGTGTCTTTTTAATTTAAATATATATTTTTTTAAACATTTTTGTGGGTACATAGTAAGGTGTATAGAATATGATAAAAGAAGCGTCTTTTAAAAAATCATTAATGTAATATCTCATGGAGAAAGACGTAGATAGGCAAGGGTTAGCTGGTAGCAGGGACACAAAAACCAAACTATTTTTTTTCAGCTCTCCTTACCTATTCCATTCTTTCCTTTTGGTGCTATCTGGCTTTGTCTCATTCTCAGTGTACAGTGAGGTATAAGGCTTCCAACAGACCCTAGGTTTGTTTGCATCTGCTTCATTCAAGAGTGCATCTAAACTGAGCTAGAAAGTTTTATTCTTATGTCAAATTTTTAGGAAGTACTCTGATTTCTTTAATTTGGACCAATCAAATGTGGCTAGGCAAGAGGTTAAAAATTGTATTAACCTTCTGCAGTAACATAAGGTTGAAGTGAGGGGAGGAGAATTCCCAAAAGATAACAGCACTGGTGCCACAAAAAAGGGAGATTAGGCTAGAAAAACATGTGATATTAGACTATAGCAATAGTTTTTAAGAAAATATTCTGAATTTCCTACCTTTCTAACAAAATACTAAGTACATGTTAGTGTACCATAAACACATGACTAAATATTTTGTGTTTTGAAACTCAAAACTGAACCTACAAACAGAGGGGCTGAGTGGTTTCTTAATCACCACACAGCAGGGGAAATAAATCAGCAATGAGACTTGACCTCTTAGTCCCTTAATATGATCCCAAGAATCTTTAATTCAAGTATTTATCAAGGCTTCTTCTTTTAAAGTGACCATGTAAATCTTTAGTAGATGGCTGTTATAATGTTGATATGGACGCATTATGTATGAAAAATGGGTAGCTGAACACTTGCAGTGACTGATTTCCACGCATTAATAACCTGACCATTTAATTAAAATATAATGCCCGAGGGTCCCAATCCGCAACACAGAATGACCTAGTGAATGTCCTGTCATTGAGAGGTAGGAGAGGGATAAGAAGAAGTAACTCAGCGACAGACTGGTCACCTTTGTATCTTTGCATGACTTACTATAACTAAAGCCTAACTATGTCTGAGCCCAGAACTCCCACCTAGCAGGCTTTCTAGCTCTGTGTATGGTGTTTGGATTTTGTGCATTCCTTTGAGCTCCAAGGCTGTGAGTGCACCACAATGCAACAGAAATGTGCAAATTCCAGTGGAAGTCACTGGCACTTCTTTGGCTCCTGAAAATACACCATCATTGTGATGTCCCAGAAATAGCCACACTCTGAAGGTTGTTTCTTTAGCCAGTGTAAGCCAGAGACTCTACTGCATAAGTGGGACATGCTAGCTCAGAAACTTATAATGTAAAGTTTTCATGTTCAGCTCACTTCTTAGTTTACAAAAACCCTTATCAAAAGAGCATTCTAAATTGGAATTAGTTAGTGATCCAGGTCTCTAAAGCCCAGGACTGGAAGAAAAGATTTCTTAATTACACCAGCAGGGGCTTGGTTTCTATTCTTAGTGCATCTGGGTAATGTGGTTATGTTCATGATGCGTCTAGTTTCTGCACTGCCAGGGATAGCCTTCGGTTCATTCTATGTTAGGGTGTACAAATGGAGGGTCTCTGAGTTTGCTCTTTTTCCTGGATAGAGGTAATTCAGGATTCTCAAAAGCAACATATCAATGTAATTTTTATTGTGCTATGTCTTAGGCCAATCAGATTGAAGTTTATGTAAAACACAAAATTATTAAAACAAAGGATAATTTGATAGGAATTTTGAGTTATTTGCATATCCTGTTCAGTGAATGTCACTACTCAGCCCTCACTGAAAGTAGATCGGATTGAAACTTCCAGGCTACCTTGAGGGAGAAGTAAGGGTTACTATTCAGAGAGTATCTATGCTGCAGTTTTCTGCTAGTAGGCCATCTATGAAATGGGAAACTCAGGGTGTCTTTCTTTGCCAATAGAGCACCATCTATGTGCTTCTGTTTCTGAGAGGAAGAGTAAGTGTCAGGAATCAGTTTCCAACAATCTCTCTTTTTCTGCCTGAAAGTTGAGTTATGTGTTCTGAATTACTGTAAATTTTTATACAAACCTATGTCCTTGTGATATTGTTTGATTTATAACTTTTGGCTACCTTCAAAGTTCTGAAAAGTACAACAAAACACAGCTTAGGGAGAAAATACAGATTTCTTTTTAACAGAAATAGTTGGTGAGTTAAATCAAGGGCCCAAATATTTTTAATTGCTGTACTTTTTTATTTAAAAATATACAATAGTCTACCCTGAGGTAAAAAATAAATAGCTTGGTGTCATAAAGTTAATAGACACTATTCACAAAGTTGGGTTTAATACCAAGGCGTTTATTTTCGATCATTAAAAATCTACTTCAGATGGCAATATTCTTTTGTACAAAAATTTAACAGAAATTCATTTACATTCTTCTCCATTTTATGTTTATCTGAGGAAAATGATGCCATAAGTTCTTATGAAACAGAACAAGCCAAAAACTTTTCTTTTAACTAATCCTGATGAAGTTTGTCAAAGTAAGATTTAAGGCAAGAAGGTTGCTTCTTGGCAGGAGAATTCTGGAAGGGAAAAGTGGCTGAAACTTTGCATGGTTGCATTTGTTTCTGGTCAAGCTGCCTTATCACAATTCAAACTCTCATGCTGGGAAATTGCTCTTTCTTTGGTACCTTTTCTGCCAGAATTCAACTCTAACAACAAAAGTTTATAAACAATGAAAATTCCAGCTGGTTGACATCAGCGTCACGAAGCTTTCTCTTCACACTGATACAAATATTTACCCTGAGCTCTGGCAAGGCTTTCCTTGCCCATGTCACCCTTAATCATACATTTTTCCTTGATTGAGTTATGCTTTCCAGTATGTGATTTGCTCTGGTTTACTTTTTAACACATCCCAGAGGCTTCGTCAAAATCAACTCTGGGCAGGCCATGTCATTTGGTAGCTGCCAAACATGTTATTGAGAAGAAACTTGGCAAATATCAAACCAGTCCTCTCTAACTGCTCTAATAAATGTTTGTTCTTTTTGACCACCATTTACTTTTTAGGTCCCTGATATCCATAAAGCTATGAGCCAAGAAAGTAAGCAGAGATGCACTCAATTCCCTATAATCTATTCCCTTGAGATAACGCACCAATTTCTCTTCCAGGTACCTTATTGCAAAGAAGTTGAAAATTTCAAAGGTTTCATCAATGACTCTTTATTTCCTTCAAGAAGACACAAAGGTTATTTTCAAAAGGTTAAAACAACAGATTGATGTACTCTGTTACTGTAGTAAAGTCCACTAGAACAAATATTTGCCACACTAAAGTGACTAGTGGAGGGATTAGCACAAAATATTGCAAATATTTCTACAGAGCTTCCCTTGCCAAAATAAAACATTGGGTTCTCTGCCCTAGGTGCTTGCAAAATCATTGTGAAGTGCATTGATAATGCAGAATTTGGGGAAATTTTTCTCTCAATATTGAAATAATTGTATAAACAGGTGTCCTACCCGATAGAAATATAAATAAATATCTCAGTTACACTAGTTTATACTTATATTGCATTTATGGTTTAGAAAAATCTGGTCATTATACAAAAGCTATATATGGACCATGTGCCACTCTACTAACTCATTTGAAAATAACATGTAGTAAGCTGTGAGAGTTAAACAACTCTTTATTTTGCCTATACTGGCTTAAAAATTAATCTCAAAAATGAGATGGAACCCCCACCTCTGACACATTCATCATTCTTGTTGTTATTGTTGTTGTTTCTCTTGTAGTCCTCAGGGAATGCATGTGAGCATGCACACACACACACACACACACACACACATGCACACACACACACGTTCCTTATACACACAATATACTTTGCTTAGAGGGTCTTATTCTTTCTCTTTGCCAACATACAGCTTCATCTATGTTTTTTTTTTTTTTTTTTAAGAACCATTTTTATTTAACACAATTTGTTTAATTAATGTGATTTCAGATGGCTTGAGGATAAGTGAACACATTTAGGTGGTATAGAGGGAAGATAATTTCAGGCTTGGGAGCCCAGTAAACACACAGAACAACATTGCTCAGGAGATTGTTCACAAGCTAGTTGCCCTTGCCTTTCATTACTTAACCCAAAGAATTTTTAAAAATTCTTAGGTTTTTCAAAAGGACCTCTATGCTGTTTCTTAAGTTTTTCTCTTTTTCTCCCATGACATCATTAGTGCCATTGAAGGTACGACAGTGTTAAGTCACCTTACTCTTTTTTTACTCCTCCCTCCATCTTGCAGCTTATACATGACAATAAGTGTTCATTATTTAATAATGTTTAAATATGCAATACCATTTCTATGTTGAGGTGTGTACTTTCCAGAGCATATTGAAATGCAGTGATGTGTAACAAAACTTACCTTCTGTGATTATTAATACATAAACATATCTGAAGACCATAGTAAATAATTATTATAATCTAAGGTGTGGCCAACATATTTGAGAAAACAGGAATTTAATAAGATATTCTCTTCAGTTCCATGGAAGAAGTTGTAGCGATTTTTTGTTAATGGAATCTCATTATTCTTTTGTATCATAAGAAGTAAATGTAGTGTAGAGACATGAAAGAAATAAGCTCTGAATAGGCCTGAAGGAGTTAGAGCAACTTCGCCAATTCCTAACCTGATCAATTCCCAAGAAAGCAAGAAGAGAAATACCAAGCACTAGTCTTTATGCTAAAGACCAGGTGGAAACCAGAGTGAATGGTAGAATTTATTATCCCTACTTTACAGGCCATGGGAAGAAGACCCTGGAAATTTCACTACCTTGCTCCTGGTAATTTAACTGGTGAATGGAGATTAGAGGTTTGAACCTAGTTAGGTTTGACAAATAGGCTTGTGTTTTTTACCTCACTTGGAGTGTCCCAGTGGAGTGACCCAGAGGGCCAGATTTGGCCAAGTGTGCACTTAACTGGCCTAAGGCACTGGGGGATTTAACAAATGGATAGCCAGTTAGGGACTAACCTCACATATCTATAGGGAATCATTATAATATTCAAATTGTGGGGATTTTCTTGGAAATAAAGTTAAAAATGGGATACTCTTTGTTTTCCCTCTGTACCCTGTGGAACTCCGGAGTTCTGCAGAGGGAGGTTAGGAGCTCCTACTGAGGCTAACATGGTGGCCAAAGAGGTAGCACTGGGACCCCACCCCTGCTATTGTCTAAAGGTCCACTCTTATCTTTTTTGATACATTAGGAATCTGCATAAGACTTTATTTATATAATTAAAAAATAATGTTTTAAACCCAAGAATTTTTATGACTCAGATCTTTGAGCATATTAAAGATACTTGAGAAATAGTTTGATCCAGACCATAATTTACATAAAGTTGCAATTTTTGCATGACATCCAAAGGCCCTTAAAGTCAAGACATCAAGTCACTGATGAGACTAGGACTCAATATAAACCTGATTTATGCTCAATTTTTCAAACAGTAAGAAAGTATGAATTACTAATTATATACCTTTATGCTCCAGTTAATGTAATAAAAGATAATGTGTATAAGTTTGCTTTCATATACACCATTGAGATTGCTTATTCAAGGGACTGTATTAATGATTCAAAGGGCAGTTTTTTATTGATTTGAATTTTTCTACATTATATGCAAGTTATATCTGATAAGACAGTAGTTCTTTATTTAATTTTAACCTAACAAAGTCTATTGTGAAGCGGAAAACACTGTTTTTGAGATTTTAGTTCTTTTCAGAATTGTTCAGGACAATGCTTATATTATGAGAATATATCTGGTTAGATCCATTGAACTAGAATTTCCAGGAGTAGGAAGCAGAAAACTGTACTGTAAAATCATGCCTAGGAGGTCTTGAATAATCAATCAGATTGGAAACCACTGATGTGCCCTATTTGATTTTCAGATGTGAAAGGCTTCTTTGCAAGGAGATTATTTTATTTTTATATAAAGCTACCTAATTTTTTAAGATACCATACCTTAGGTCCAGCTCAGTCATGTTTTCCAGACATAAAGTGAAGTGCAGCTGGGAGACAGAAGCAGTATCCGTGGCAGGCCTCCATTTACACAGAGCCCATAAGAATGGCACAGCACCCAGTGAGTCTGACATGCCTGGGGGCTCTGCTGCTCCTCTTACCCACCCTCACATGAAGATGTCTCATTCATCTTTACATCCCCAGTCCTTAGCACAGTATCTGGCACATTTTAGATACTCAACACATGTGTGTTGGTTATAAGAAATAATTAATGAGGACATCATTCAAGTTCAGTGGTAAGAAACTCTCATCAAGACTTCAGTTTTTGTCCCCTTTTAATTTAACCCAATTGCTTCTTAATTTTCAGAAATTGTTTTATCTCTCTCTTTTTTTTAGGTTCCACAATAGCATTTGACTTTCTTCTCCTAACTTTAATTTGATATCTTCCTATAGTTTCCATTTCTCAGATTCCCTCCTTCATCTTCTCTTACAGGCACAGCCAATCAACCATCCATCCTCTCCTCAACCTTCCAGAAGACTGTGAGTCCTGAGAGCATAGAAACTCTCCTGATGTTGCTCCCAGACCGTGACCCGTGCTGGCAAAGCTTCTATTCCCATGTGGCTGCATGTTTCATAAGGAGAGCTACTAAAATGCAGGAAAGCACAAAGTCTTAATTGCTTGCTAGTGGGCACTCAGCCAACACGCTGTTAGCAGAATGAAATCCAATCTTAGAGAAAAAGTGCTGAACCTCGGCTCTGGATCGCCCAAGCCCCATATGGATTGCGTGTGTTTTGGGGGAAGATTTGGATATGGCAGTCTTTTTTTTCACTCTTTTGAATGGGAATGTCAATCTATGGGTTACTAGAACATTTTATTCTTAATATAATAATCCCAGCTGCAAAACAACATTAAGAGGGAACACTGCACCTCTTCTCCCCACTTATGACCTGGACAATTAATACATTCTCATTTTTTGTGCTTCTCTGAAAATACTACTTTCAATGCAATTTCCAACCAAATTGTTACTTTGAAGAATTCATACATAGTCATTCTGAAACATCCCTGCCTTGTTCTGTTGTTTGCTATTTGATCTTTGATAATTAATCTCCCTAAATCTCAGTTGACTTATCTTTATAATGGGAAAAATAAAAATGCTTTCCTGACAGGGATGCTGTGAAGACTCAATGAGATTCAAAGCTCTTGGCAGTGTGTGGCACAAACAATAATGTCCAATATATGTTAACTCCTAATTTTATTGCTAAAAATAATAGTCTAATAGATTTCTCACTGTGAGAAATCTCAATATATAGCATAAAATATTTGGCCCCATACGTTTTGGTGTTTGGGGCTTTGACAGGTTTTCTTTGATCTGTCACATGATATATTTCTATATTTCACATGACATATTTGATATATTTCTATAGTATCCATTTTTTCTAAAATGATTAAAAACCTCTCTTCACATAAACATTACATGAGACAAAAAAACAAACAAGTAATATGTAGAGAAATATTGGACACTACACTTCTTCTGTAAATTTTAATATGAATGCCATGCTCCAAAACATAAGCTCTGGATCTCTGTCTAAATCCTAAAATGCTGAAAATCTCCCATCAGAGTTAGATGATGATGACAGGGTTGAACATGAATTTTATTTGATCCAAAGTACTTCAGAGAATGTGACATTAGACTAATTACTGAAATTTAAGGGTGTTAGGATAAGATTGCAAGCTACTTTTTTTTTTTTTTTTTTTTAACTTATCTGAGACAGGGTCTGGCTCTGTCACCCAGTCTGGAGTACAGTGGAAGGATCATGACTCACTGAAGCCTGGACATCTTGGACTCAAAGGAATCCTCCCATCTCAGCCTACCAAGTAGCTGGAATCACAGGCATGCACCACCAAGCCTGGCTAATTTTTTGTAGAGAGAGGGGTTTTCCATATTGCCCAGGCTGGTCTTGAACTCCTGAGCTCAAGTGATCTGCCTGAGTCAGCCTCCCAAAGTGTGGGGATTACAGGTGGGAGCCGCAGGGCCCAGCCAAGTTTGCAACTTACTTTGGATAACAGTCCATCCCTGAAGTTTGTAATAATTATTTGTCACACAGGTGTCTGCAAAGGATTGTTCCCGATGATACAGACCCAAACCCATCAATACCAAATCTGTCAGTCCTCTCTCCTAGGAGTTTTAGAATGTTATGCAAATGAGATATCTTTTGCCTCACCTTAATATCCCAGAATTCTCTAAAGAGCATGAAGATTATACTCTTCATGGGATATATTTTATTATTTTTTATTATAGTGAATTAAAACTCCAAAGAAGCAATGTCAGTGGTGTCTGTGGTCAGTTTCTATAATATTAATCTGTTGGTTGATGTAGCAGTTTTTAGCACAGAGAGATCTCATCCCAGAACTCTCGTTAATATCAGATACTCATCCACATAAGTACTACGTCCAACATTAAAAATTACCTTTGTCATTTTCTTGGTAAACAATAAGAGCTAGATTTGATGATAAAGACATCATCCATATGGTAATTTGATATCTCCAAAAATCAGGGTAGGCCATTTAAATTGCTAAGTTCAATAAAGCACCATTAAAGATATCTTATTCCCCTGCTCCCCAACCAATTCTGCACCCCAGGAAAGGCTTACCAAGAAAGCCTGAATGCTGTGTCTTGTTTAAGTTTGAATCAGATATGGCTCCATTTATTTCTTCAAAAAATGGTAAGAATTAATTAATATTAATCTATAATCACATTGATGGAAAAATTAATGGAAATTTTAATAAAAATGTAACCTTAACAGGATTTGAAGGTGTCCTTTAGAATATAAAGCTAACACTTTATCCACCAAGCAATGAATCCTCTGGTACCAGCTGATGAAATTATAAAAATTAGCTGCAGGATTGTTCTTCTTTTGTTCTCTATGTATCAAAAGTTTTGAGAATCAAAAAGAAAAAGACATTAAAAATTAAAGTAAATTTAGAAATTCAATAAGCTTACTCATTATCTCTATTTCTTTAGAACATACATTTTTGGGGCGAGTTGATGTGGTTGTTTATTCAAACAGACTTAATTTTCTTTCTTAACCTATCAACACTTTGGTTTGTGTTTTTACACTTATAGTTTCATAAAAGACTTGATAAACTTACATGAATAGGTCAACTTTTTAAAATTATTCAAGTTGGGAGAAATATACAATGACGAATAGGTGTTTGGCACATTAAATGTTTTTGCTTAAGGAAAAATGTATATATGCAGAAAATTAGTGCAATATTAAAATCACAATTACCAATGTTAAGCATGCATTTTCTGAAATATCAATAGTCTCATTCCTTTTCTCTGTTTACTATATACTATGTAATATTTAGCAAAGCAACTTATACATAGTGCTAAGAGCTTATAGAAAAATGAAAATTTGATCTTTTAAAATATTTGTTGAATGTTTATAACATTACATACTGTGAAAAGTACAGAATTACATACACTATTATTTTTGTCATTGTACTTCTTTAGTGCTTATCAATATTTCAATGCCAGTATGGGATGTTGAAAGCTATTTTTCTTGGCATTATGTTAGCCAGAAATCCTTATCAGAAGACACTTCTTCATAGCTATTCTTCATAACTATGGAATAATGATAACTTAGCTTTATAGTGATAACCCTAAAGCAAACAAAATATCCTGAAATCCCTTTTGAATTATCAAAGAAAAACGATTAAATAATATGAGAAAAATATAGTAATAAGTAGACTTTTATTACATTCTACTAATTTGAAAATTGATAATTCACATATTTATGGTTACTCTTCGCAAAGCAGAATTTTTGATTAACTAAAATGATGAGTTCCTGACTACACCTAATGACAGAATTGACAGTCTTAGCATGATAATTAGATCCAGTGGTGGACACTCACAAAGATGAAGAAGCAGGGATACTGACTTCTTTTCTGTTTATTATTGCAATTCGAATCATGTTTATAACCAGTGATGTGGCAAATAATCTTGTCCCTTTCTTCCTTCCAACTACTCGATTTCCTAGAACCAGCCTCTTTATTCTAAAAGCATAAGATGAGAAAAGTAACTTTAAAAAACACAGATACCAGGAGGGAGCAGCTTTTGTCATGAAGTATTCCTTAGTTGAGATATTTTCTTTAACACTGGGCAAAAATGATCTCAAAGCTGCAGACCTGCAGGAGCCCATGACCTAATGGGGACCTGCAGAAGCCAATTCCCCTCCTTAACAAAAGACTTGAGGCCTTTGTCTTAAAGATGTCTCCTTATATCAATATTATTTAACCCTTAATATTTCCCATCTTATTTTCTTGCTGACTACATAAGATGTATAAAATAATATTGTAGATGCAAAATGCTTACCCACTGTAACTGTGCCAGCAAATTAAAACAAACATTCATTTATGAGAAAAATGCATACCTTGTATCTGAAAACTAATAAAAACTGATATATATAAGGACAAACAATAATTGGTTCAAAGAATATGTGTACTTTCAAGACTTCATTCCTTTATAACAGTAATTCCCATTTGGGAGGCATTTTTCTGTTGTCACAAATCTGAGAGGCAGGTACTAGCTTATAGTCAGTAGAGGCTGCCAATGCAGCAAAATATCCTACAATGCACAGGACAGCCCACGCAACAAAGAATGATCCACCATAGAAAGTTCAATATTACTGAGGCCAAGAAATCCTGCTTTATATCCAGTGAAATTGGACTAAATCCCATTTAATGTGACTAATCTCAAATTCTCTGTTTAACTTATTTAATAAATTCAGATAAAAACATATGTGTATATACATATATATACACACATAATACAACACGTCTTCAAAATGAAAGAGCTTATGTGCTACTTATTTTGAGTGTAATATCGCTCTGCCTAAGAGCACACAAATCCACCAGAAACAGTTGTTCTATGTTCTCCACTGTCAGCACTCTACTACAGATACCCCATCTGGTGCGGTCTGATATGGATAATAATGGTGGAGTGTTCTTGCTGTCTTGACTGTAGTCATTACTGTGATGTTATTTTAGGACTAAGTAGTGTTTGCCCATTGGACCATAAAACTGTGTCATGTAAATACAGGTTTTAGAGCACACAATAGTCTGTCCATGTGTAGACATATGCAGAAAAAAAAAGCCTCATAAAATGCCTTTTAATAGTATTTGTTGGGCATGTGAAGTAATTCCTTTTCAAAGTTAAATCACTTGGAAAAAAAGAAGCTTCTCTTTTCAAAGACCCCGTAAGTAATTATACTGCATTATACATCACTCATATGTCAATGTAAATTTTGTTGTTAAATGGAAGGAGTTTTGAATGACATGGTACCAAGCGAGTGTCTGACATTAACCAAACCTTTTATTTATTTATTTACTCTCACCTGAGTTGCTCTTTGAAATTGAATTGGGGGTAGAGGGTTAGTATTTATGTAGCCAGCAACCTTATATTTGACACTTTATCCTAGAATTAAATTCTGAACACCAAAATAACTCACAGAAATGAAATTCCAAATGAAAACAACTTTCACAAAAGACATCCTTAACAGTGAAGCCAGTTTCTCAGTAGATATTATGTCTATATTGACAGCAAAAAATAAAATAAAGTGGGTACTATTAAAGGTCACAACAGTATTTTAAAATCTTCTATACATTGAATCCTACCTAGAAGTGTGTGATTATATTATGGATGTTTGAAGTCTATGTTTGGTTGACATTTTTTTCATTAGCTGTAACAGTGATGAATATTTCCCTCAGATCAGCTTTTGATAATGATAGAGAATGAAATTTATAGTTATATATGAGGTAACTGTCCAAATTGGATGAAGCAACTTGATGCTACACAGAGCAATCAGAGTTACTAAAATGGTGGGTGGGCTGTAGATGCTTAGATGCTTCTCAAAACAAATTACCTTCACAGTCTGAATAAAAATCTCACAAAATGGACTTTATTTTCATCATGGTATTCACAGACATTTTAAGATTGAGAAACAACTCCAGATAATTACTGAAATTTTATTCTTTCAAAAATAAAGCGGGCAAATATTCTTAAGTGTTCATTAAACTCACCTATTATTTGATTCCAACATTTGAAGAAATGTGTGGGAATTTTAGATAGATAGGAAGATTTTTTCTTTCTTTTTCAGATTTTTCTGCATCATTTAAAATATAGCTGAATCCACTTTAGTAAGAGTCAAGTTTACATTTGACTTCATCAACTGATGTTTAGATCAAATCAGCAACTACATCAAAATCATTACTCAATTTTATTCTGTAGGTGTTTAAATAGAAAAGAACAAGTGATTTGAATATGACTTTATCTGACAATGGTGACATAGTCCTAGTTACAAGAAATACTGACCAGTTTCAAGAGTTTCTGTAATATGCATATTTTTAAAAAATTTTATGTTGTCACACAAGAAAAGATTATGGATGAAAATGTGACCAAATCATTTTTAGGGACCTACTCAACAATATGAGTGTTTACATGCCTCCAAATGGATCTTTTTGCATTAAAAAAAGTACCAATCAGTGAGAGCTGAGATTGTGGATTCTAAAACAAGACTGTCTAATTAAATTCCAGTCTACAACTTATTGCTGTGCATTTTTAGACAAGTTCAGTAACCATCTGTGATTTGGTTTTCTCATCTCTGAAATGGTTATAATAATAGTACCTCCTTCATAGGATGGTTACAAGGATTAAATAAGTTAATATATATAAAGAGTTTCGAACAGTGCCTGGCATATAGCACCACTATATGAGTTCATTGTTTGAAAATATTCCTAACATTTTTTTTCTTCATTTGAAGAAGAAATGCATAATCCTTGAATAGAAACATAATTCACTCGTGTGTACTTGTTATGTGGACCAGAGTCAGTGACCACCAGCAATGTGAGATTTAGCTATAAATGTATTTCCTCTAAGTCAGTGAAAACACAAGCCTTTGCTAAGAGACCTGGAAAATTAAATTTAATGCTAAAATCACAGTGAAGTTTTCCAAAATAAGCCTTAAGTAACCTTAAGTTTTACTTCATAGGATTTCTATGTGATAGGTTTGGTTTGAACATATAATAATACAAACAAGTGCAAGGGTACATAAGAGAAAAAAATCACAAATGATTTTCAGTTTACAAAGTTCCACTCAAGGTATAAGGCCATACATAAATATTAGACTTGTATATATTTGCTTCCATGTGATTTAATACATCAAATACACTTTCTTTTCCATCACCAACTTTCCTTGTCTAATAGTGCTTTACCACAGATTAGATGTCAATTGGTCTGGCTGTAAAATCATTTGAACAATATTATCTCAATTTTGTCTGATGTGCATGGGTAAGACCTAATACCTAATAATGAATGGATCTCTCATAACAGCTGAGATCCTTTTAGGATTTGATTAGAGTTAAGCTGCAAAATCTCTTGATATCAAATAGCATCCCAGCAGTCAGAACCTAGCAGACTCAGCTTTAGCATGACCTGCAACTTCATCTTAAGCCACTTCCTCTTTTGCTTTCTATTCTCCAGCCACACTGGCCACTCTTTAGTTTCTCAAGTGAACTAATTTCCATCTTTCCACAGAGACTTAAAACAAATACCATTTCAACTGCCTGGAACATTTTTCCTCCATCTTTTCACCCACTCAACATGTCTCCACTGGGATATAATTTGAGTTGCCATTTTTTTAACCCTTTAAAAATGATTGTCTTCTTATTAGGTTGTCTTATGCTTTCCTGCATTTTTTTGTGTAACAGTAATTGAATCTTGTAGTTTATGATTTCTTTCAAATCTTCTTCCCCAGCATATCCTAACTTCCATGGGGACCTAGACCTTTGTATTTCTCATTTCTGCATGCCATTGAAATAACACTGATGCACTCACCTCAACAAAATGTGTATTGACATCCTTGTCTTTTCTTCTAAGTTCTTGACTAATTTCATATTGTCTGCTCAACAGTTCTACTGAACATGGCTCAGACTGAACTCTTGACCTGCTCAATCCCACTTGGTTTATCCTCTACTCTCCCTATCTCTTACAAAGGGTCCCTCCATCTACCTATTGGTCACACCAGAAATCATCTGGAAGCCATCTTTGATACCTCTCTTTTTCTCACCGTCCAATTCTAAACCATCACTAGGTCTTGTCTTCTTTATTATCAAATGCATGTAAGTATGTCCACATCTCTTTTCCTCCACAACTGCCACACGTATTATTCAGAGGCCTGCCGGGAAAGAGTAACCTGCTCAAAGTAAGTAACGTGAAGAGGGAGTTTAATAAAAACATATTTAAAAGATATAATTAGGTTTGAGGAAAACAAAAAGAAATACTTCAAGACCTCAAGGCTAGGAGCAACAGGGAACTATAACAATTTAGGCTAAAGGGACAATGGAAGGGAACAGTTACTGGAAACTAGACAGGATAGTCTGATGGTAAGAACTGTCTGAGATAAGGTGTTGCCTTTGAGAGAGGGACTAGAAAAGTTGAAGCAAGGAAAGAGCAGGGGGAATAAATATCCCAACTCATTCTGCTGCCACTCTCCTTTCTCAGGCTGGTATCTCCCACTAGCTCAACAAAATTGGAAGTTGAAAGACAAAAGAGCAGTTTTTATGCCATTCATGATTGTCAGCATTTTGGAGTCTGATTACCTTGTCTACTGCAGTTGCCTTATAATTGGGTTTCCAGCTTTCTCTCTCACCAAAACCAATCCTTAAATCCATTCTGCACACAGTAGTCAGAGTTCCCTTCTTAGGATGAAATCTGTATTAAGTTCTTCTGATTAAAGTGTCTTGATTATTATTTATTTCTGTATGTTCCAAACTCCCCATTTTAAATTTGTAAAACTTTTATGCAAAAATAAATTGTCTTAACTTTTTTTCCTTACTAGAGTGAGCTCTGTGAAGGCAGGCATCATCTATGATCATCTCTGAGTCCCCTATCAATGTGACTAGAATAAGCACTAAATAAATATTGGATGAATTAATGAATTTCAGAAGATAGATTTATAGCTTTAAAAGCTTCCCAGGTAATTCTACTGGTCCAGATTTTCGAAAGGATTATTGGAATGATTAATCTTCAAATGCCCTAGATTATGAAAAAAAAGAATTAGGATAATTAATCCTAAATCATGGAATTCACTCATTATATGTTAATTAAGAACTCAAGATGTGTTCATAAAATGTGTTGCTTTGCCCAAGGCTGACTACGTCTTTTTTTTTTTCCTTGAGTTTTTTAATCCTTTTAAATATCAAATTTAACCTTGATTAGGCCAACCAAGTATGTCTTCCTTTTTAAAGCTCAAACATGAACGACTTTATGGTGAATCTACTCACATCTAATCTTGCATTTGAGGAGAGGAAATATTTCCCAAGGAAGTGCTTTAGTGTATTCTCATTATTGGATACTATAGAAGAACAAATTATTTTCTACAATTTAAACATTTACTATTTTGTATATTTCAGCAGTTCTATAGGAATATGGTCATTTTCATTGAGTAGTTTAAAGTTAAATTACTTTTCTTTGGCTCATAGGCCTTTGAGATTCTACATACCTGGCTCTGATCTTTTTCTGTTTCATTTCTGATAAAGTTTCTTTAATATCTTGTTTCCATTTCATTGGAAATGAGGCCAATATTTTCTCATTTGTACTCAGATGTTTATATACATTTGATGTGCATCTGCCTGTTGCAGTACTGAAGTAATTCCATTTCTGTGACACATTTTTTTAACACCACTTTTGCCAAATAATTCTATTTTAAAATCTACTATTTTATAGATAAGTAATTAATAATAATAAATTACTCAGCTAAATACTATACCTTTGGGGGCATAAATAACTCTCATGATCTCTTAAGTATTTTTGATGCAATTTTTCAACAAACTGATATGACAATTAAGAATATGCATATGTATGTATGTATGTAAAGATATTTATATATATGCATAAAGATAAAAGTGCCTATATATTTCATTCCTTCATTTTAAAATAAAATGTCGGTATAATTTCTAATTTACTGAAAATGATTGGGTAAAAAGCAATTTGTTAGGGGAATTCCTCTTGAGCATATAATTTTGAAAAGGCACTAGCTCTAACACGTAATCTCCAGCACTTTCATGAGCAGGTTACCCTTCCTTGTGTTTGCTATGTATTAACATCCATCCTACATTAATACAATCCTATGTATTAACATTCATCATACAATATTTCTATAATTGTTCTTGGCAAAGTTAAAGATGACAAATCGTAAGATAAATATGAAGCTGTAATAGCATGTCTCAGTAAATGTATAAAACCTGGGGTATTTCTCGACAGATTCTCCAATAATGTGAGTTCTGTACTTAAATAAATGCCACCAAGGTTTTCAGAAAAATTATAATTCCCAAATCTTGATTCCTAGTTATTCATTTTCTACCTTCTCCCAAATGCAACCAATATTGATTTCTGTTGCTGCCCCCATTTATTTCACTGTCTTTATACTAAAGGTTTCTAATTGAGCTGAAGCATATCCACCTAGTTTTTCCAATATGACTGTATTTTCCCACAAAGGCAAGGCAATGTCTTATGTCCTTTGCATCTTTTATAATTCCTGGCGTTTTCTAGATATGAATAAATATTCAATAATTTTATGCTTTTTTACTCCAAATATTTAGCAATCCCAACTGATCATTAAGAAATATTATACAGTTAATTTAGCAATGCTGGAGTTGAAAAACTAAAAGCAAAACTCTGGCATTTCATTACAGAAAAAATTAAGAATCATTTATTTAGAAAAACTATTTTGCCAGGTCTTCACTTCGTGTTAGATGTGATCAATATATCCTGATTGCTAATGGGAGTAATAAGATTACTACCCTGACTTCAGAAATAAATGGAAGTAGAACCCTGAATGCAGGTGCAGCAGGAAAGTTTGGGTAAAAGATAAGCACCCAATCTTGTCCTACCCACCAGTGGGGGGCAGGTAACAATGAAGGAGAAAGTCAATAGCCTCTAATAAAACACCAAACTCTAAAACATGGTTTCTTACCTTTACTTTCACTTGTGTTATCATAGACTTAATTATAATTTTAAATCAATAAATACATATTTATCAAGCATTGCTAAATTAGGACACTGTGCTAAAATTGTACGGGATATACTTTTTTTTCCCTCAATTTTAGATTTTTTTGGATCTATAGATATTTGAAGAAGCATTTGCTTTTATCTTCAACTTGATCTTGATAATGACTGAGTAGCGGAAATTGATGATCTGAAGACATATCTATCTACACGGCCTTTCAATGCAAAATCCACTTTACAGTCTTAAGTAGTCTGCTGTGTTTTAAAATGAATCTAAATATTAGGTCCTGGGGGAAGATCAACATTTAGAATAAAATGCTAAAATACAGTGGCTATGCTAATACTTATTAATACTCACTTATCTACAAATCTTAAAAGGAAAAGGTTTTCCAACAATTTTAAGATGTCACAGTGTTAATCTACATTTCAATAAGATATTTAAAGACAATGCTAGAACTGTCAAGGACCTGCTCTTAAGCTTGAGAGAAACCTACAAAGGAATGCTGACAGTTTTATTTTATGTGACATGGAAGCATTATTTATCAAGAAAATGTTATTATATCTTTAGACATTTGAGCACGTTTCATTGCAGATTCTCAGGAAGTTCCACAGATACTTGCAGTATGTGGCGGTAGAATATTATCTATGTAAAATATCCTGAGCTATCAAATTAAGGAAGTGATTTAAATAAGCAAAGTTTCCTCTGTTTCTTTTTTTCCACTTGTTTCTATCTAGAAATCATAGCAAAGTCTGAAGCTTTGAATAACAGGCACTCATGTTTGAAAACTGCAAACTCAATGAAGAAATTGGAAGAGATTTAAAACTATATGCTCAATTATGTTTAGGTGCTTGTTAAAGATTTGTAGTCTGGGAGAGTCACACCTTTAGCAACCTCATGGATTTTACTAAGCAGTCTTGGTAAAAGCACTACATTCCTTGTTATGATATATTTCCGAAAATTAGAAAAGTCTTTCTGAGTCAGCAAAGAATTAGTATTACCCTCTGAGATAATGGAAACCATCCAAATGTTGAGGGAAAAAAATCAAAGAATTTCTGTTCTAATATAATGGCTCCTGTTTGCTTAGTATCTCTTAGAAACTTCTTTTGGAAAAAAACAAACAAACAAAAAAACAAGTCCCATTTACTGGGTACCCTATTAGAATTTCTACGTTTAGTAAACAATGCTAGTCTAATAGGGGAAGTATTGTTACTTCAACCTCTTGTCCCAGAGATTTCTTCCATTGAGATAACAAACTTCGGGAAAATATTTCGCAGACCAACACTACAATAAACCAAGAAAACCAATAATAGATAAACTGCTAATTTGTAAGTTTAAGAGGGATTAGGGGATGAAGGTGGGAGATGAAAGAGACCAAGTCTAGGGAGGAGCAGAGTGAGCCATACATCTTGGCAGAAGGGTAGAGCCTGTGGTAAGATACTGCCAGTTGAGAGTCTCCAGTCATGGAGGAGTCCGGGTGATTTTAAGAACAGGAGTGTCTAATTATTCAGCCTTAACTGGTTTGCAATTCTCTCACATAAATTCCCCCTGCAGTCCTCATTCTTAAAGAAAAGCCTTCTAAGCCAGCATTTTGTGTCAATAGAATTTGGAAGAATAACTCAGTTTAGGTACTCCCTGAGGCAAAGCCCATGTGGAAAAATAACTTGTGTCCAGGTAGTTAATTTATTTTAGATAAATAAATTCTGATTCTAAGAAGCAGAGAAAATTTAAAAAGGAAGGAGGAAAACAGAGTAAGGGTGAATCATTGAGATCTCTACTGTATACACTAGGGCCTTCATTCCTTCCTAGTCTCACAGAAATGTGCAGGATGGTAAGGAAAGACAGGAGCGTGGAGCACTCTGCCTACAGGTTCCTGTTTCCCTTTGGTTGAGGGTCATCTTAGAGGTGTTAGCTCTTCTTTATTTATAGATGACACTTGTGTCCAGGTCAATGAGCCCCCACATTGCCACAAAAGACTTTGTGACAGAATGCAGAAAGACAGAATGCCGGCGCCTAAAATGGGATGATCTTAGGTTTGGGGTGAAGCTGAATGGTCTACCACTCAGTGGCTAAAATCTGATGTGGACTCAGGGCACGTGATGTGAACCACAGAGGTAAGCTAGAAAAAGTAGTCATTATCGTGTGATACAATATGGAATAAAAGTCTAGGGATCAGGTGATGAAATGAATTAGTTCAGAAAAGTCCAAAGCTCAAAGCCAGATGTGTCTAGAGGAAATGAGAACATCACCACAATACCCTAAGATCTATGGAGAGTTTCAGTGAAACACTGGGTCTTCCCTCCATGTCCAGCATGATGAGTCATTGTAAACAGTATTTCCTAGGTGACATTCAAGTAAATATTCAGAGGAAGGCTCTTGTCAGATAACTCACACTTGAAAAAAGTAGTCTTTTCTGCTTGAAACAGTAGAAAATGTGATTTGGAATAATGATGTTACTAAATTTATTACATCTCACTGATAAATCTGAGTTCTAAGACCTTTTTTTGACTCTCCTCTTATAGGATTGCCACTGCATACCTCTTTAAGGCACAATATAGGCAGTTCACACCTGACAGTGATTGTTTTTATTAAATAATAATAAATAGCTGTTGTGTATTTTACCAAGTGTTGTCACTCTTCTAAGTGTCTTGCATGAGTTAACTTCTCCCAGCAATCCTGAGGTTGGTACTATTGTAACCACCTCATGGATACTTCCTGCCACTGCCCAAATAAAGACAATGGCACTGTAGTAAAGAGTTCAATTGACAAGAGGCCACACAGGAGACGGAGTTATTACTCAAATCAATCTCATCGACGGCTTATAGGTTAGGGGTTTTTCAAAGATGGTTTGGGGAAAGGAGTGGGGGTGACTATGAAATGGGTGCTTTCTGCTTGTTGGTTGGGTTAGAGATGAAATCATAGGGGGTTAAAGCTGTCTTCTTGAGCTGAGTCAGCTACTGGTGCTATTGGTGTTAGACATGCAAAACCCAGAAGAGATACCTCAAAAGTCCAATCTACAATAGTGGTTATCTGTAGGAGTGATTGGAGAAGTTTCATATTTTATGACCATTCCACACCTTAAAAGAATTCATGCTCTTCTCCTCCCCCTAGCTTGGTAGTCTCTCATTAGATTTATAAAAGCTGTTGAGTTTAGGAGAATGACTATTGTCATTTAAACTATAACCTAAATATTTTCCAAAGTTAGCTCTTCCTAAGCCCAGAAATAATTAAGGCAGCTTGAAAGCTAAAGGCAAGAATTGTGGTTGGTTAGACTGGCTCTCCCCCACTGCCAAAAGTATCTCACTGATATAATTTTTGCGAAGGGAGTTTCACTATTATTATTCCCACTTTTTTTTTTTAGATACTCAAATTAAGGCAGATGAGGTTAAGAGTCTTCCCCAAATTCTCCAGCTAGTAAGTGGCAAAGCTGGGATCAGACCTAAATTTTGGGGTGCAGTCAAACCTCTAAAACAAAGCACATTATGACACTTGGGAAATCTCAGACACAAAGTTCTTAGAAATCAAGATCCAGAATACTGTCTACAATATTAGCTTATTATAGTGTTACCATGCTTTTAAAAGAAATACCTTCATCATAATTTTTGTTTCCTAGTCATAATATTGACCTTTAAAATGATCTACTATGTTCCATCAGATATATATGCAAAATCCGCTTTATTTTAGATTTTATTCATTTTTTAAAAATTTAACAATACAAAAAATTAGGTCAGGCACCTTTGTTAATTAGCTGTATTTCATTAAAATCATGACCTCTAGTTGAAAATGCCTTCACTCTTGTGTGTTAAATTTATATGGATGGCCCATAAACAGTCCCTAATTAGTCACATGTGTATTCAGATGTGGGCTCATGTGTTATAAACTAACACTGAAGTGTATAAGGAACTGTCAGTCAGATCAAAAGTCAACTGAAAATCATCCCGTTTGCAAAGCTGAGAGTCTGTCACAGTTAGTTAGTCATAAATGTTTAAAACAGCAACCAAACTTTTATTCTAATTGAGCATGAGTTGAAAGGCTACCCACTTTGATGTCTTTGCTTTTATCATTTGTATATAGCTAAAAAACTACTATTATGCCTTTTAAAAAAGTCCCCCCTTGGAGTGGTAGACATTACTTGGTTCTGAAAATATACAGGTAGATCAATCTATAATTGCAGAGCCTTTGTACAGGTTCCAGGGATGCCTATAATCTTTCACGTGCAAGTGTTCAAAAGTAAGATTCTTTCCTCCTTTTTCTCTATTTGATCTCCTTCTCCACAGATTTGTGATTTAAGACATAAGGAATACATCTTTGTAATGATATTTTGTGGGCCATCGTTTAAAGTATAGTATTTGTCTTACCCGAGTTTTTCAACCTTGAAGAGGGATATATAATTATATATTTTTAATTAATATTTCACAATTTATGAGTAAAATTCAATTGTGTTAAGGGTACCATTTGAGAGATTCAGGTGTGGAGACTGGGAAATGAGGGAACTATGAAGGATCCTACAGCAATGCCTCTGTCTATATGGGAGTGATCTCCAAGTACCAGTCCTGTACACATTTCTATTCAGTTAATTTAGAATTTTCATATAAGTCCCACATTCAGGACCATTTTCTTACAATTTTCTCTCCAACAATATTATTAGTTAGGCTGGCTTATGCTCGAAACAATCCCTAGATTATCCACAGAACCATAAAATGTGTGTCCCACATTTTACTCCTCATGTTATAAAACCCCAAATGATTTATTATTTTTGTTCAAAGAATCCATTATTATTTAAAGATATTTAGATAATAAGACAGGAATGTATATTTACTTATGTAGTTATCATTTCTAGTTCTCTTTCCTTTTTGTGTAAATCTGGATTTTCATCTACTCTCATTTTCCTTAGTCTGAAGGACTTAATTTACTATTTCTTGTAGGGCTGGGGATGAATTCCCTCAGGCATTGAAGGTCTGAAAAATAAAATATATTTTGCCTTCATTTTTGGAAAATATTTCTTGCCAGCTATAGAATTCAGGTTTGATAATTTTTGTCAAAAAAAAAGTAAGTTTTAGACAAGAAATCTAATATTTTCTTTTTTTTAATCTTTGTTTCCTTGAACAGACCATGTCCTTTTCTTCTGGATTTTTTAAGGGTTGCTCCTAATACAGGTTTTGAGAAATTGTATCATGATATACCTTAGTATATTTTTTTTTATTTTTTATGGGTCTTTTGAGCTTCTTGAATTTGTGAGTTTATAGTTTTCATTACATCTGGAAGTTTGGGTGCAATTTTTCAGATACATTTTCTTCAGAAACAACAGTTACTCCTATGTTAGGGTCAACTGAAATTGTTCTGCTGCTCACTAATGATCTTTTTATCTCTTAAAATTACCTTTTTTCTCCCTGTGTTTCATTTTAGATAGTTTTTTGCTGCTAAGTCTTCAAGTTCACTAGTATTTTCTCCTGCAATGTCCAGCCTTTTAAATTCCACCAAGTGTTTTTTGTTTGTTTGCTTGGTTTTGTTTTTCATATCAGACATTGTAGTTTCACCATTAGAGTTTCATTCTGGATCTTTTTAAATTTTTCTCTGCTCTATAAACTCTTTGAACATACGAAATAGAGTTGTAATAACTGTTTTTTTGTTCCCTTGTTTGTTTTGTAATAAATATTTTAATGTCATTCCTATTATTTGTATCTGTGTTCATTCTGGGTCCGTTTCAATTGACTGATAATTTTCCTCATTACAGGTCACATTTTTCTTCTCTTTTTGCATGCTTGTTAATCTTACATTCAATGCCAAACATTGGGACTTTTGTCTCTTTGGATGCTATCTATTCTTCTTTTAAATCTTGAGCTTTGTTCTGGGATGCAATTTAGGTCCAGAAGTGTTCACTCAGGAATAATTATTCCTCAGTACTGAGGGAAGACCTTCCTGAGGACGCAGTCCAATGCTCTGTGAATTAAGAGTCTTTCTGGTATATTTTGTAGGAACAAGCATTGTTCCTGGCCCTGTGTGCACACCAGGTACTGTTTCCTCTAATCCTTTTGAATGATTCTCCAGCCTTCAGTAGTTTCCCACAGGCATGTGCTGATTGATACACTGCTGAATACTGAAGGAAGACTGCACTTGTGCAGGGGTCTCCTGTGCAGCTTTCTCCTTCAGGTATTCTGTCCCATGAAGTCTAATGGCCTTGGTTTCCCTGGGCTCCCAGCTGTATCTCCTCAACTCAGCAATTTCTCTGGGCTCCATCTCAGTTCCCTCTCTTCGTGCTGTGGCCAGGAAACCACTGAGGCAATAACCCAGGGGCAAACTTAGGGCTCACCTTGTTTGTTTTCCACCTTTCAAGTATTCATAAAATGATATTACCTTCATAACCTGATATCCTGTCTTGAGAGCTACTGTTTATTTTGTCTGAATTTTCTTGTCGTTGCTGTTGTTATGTTTCCAGTGGGAAGCTAAATTCAGTTCCTGTTACTCCATCTTGGTCGGAATGATTACTTTTTGAGGATGAAAAACATAAATGTATTGAGCACCTACTACGTCTTAGACACAAATTTAAATTCTTTACATATGTTACAACTTAATACTAACCCACTGAATCCATAAAATAACTCCTGAAGTAAGTATTATTACTCCCTACTGGCACTCATGGTTGGTAACCTGTCCAATAGCATTACTATCTTTTTCATTGATAACAAAAACTCAAATTAGTTCCGAGGACATTCTGTCTCTGATGTATAAGTCTAAAGAAAGGACATCCACTCCTGATTAAATTTGTACCTTCACTCTTCTCCTATAATCTCTACATCACATATTTCACTATCTTAGAAAAGACAGGATAATTCCTTCTAAGTCTTTTTATTTTTATTTTTTGGATGGATGGAATAAAATTTCTAAGGAAGTAAATTTCAGGAAATAGAAATGGCTTTTGATGGTCTTTAAAGCAGTCTTTAACAGTAGTCCCATCAAAAACCGTTTCAATTATTTCTTAAGAATTATCTGTGAATGACATATACAAGTTGCTTTCTTGTTTTGTAACATACAGAATCAATTATTTCCTTGCTCTATTTTTTTGTCTTTTAAAAATGTTTTACAAAACAATACTTGTTATCAAAAGATGATGTATTGGAGTGGTCCGTTCCAAGATGGCCAAATAGAAACAGCTCTGGTCTGCAGCTCCCAGCATGATTGACACAGAAGACAGGTGATTTCTGCATTTCCAACTGAGGTACCTCTTTCATCTCATTGGGACTGGTCAGAAAGTGGGTGCAGCCCATGGACAGCAAGCCAAAGCAGAGCAGGGCATCGCCTCACCCAGGAAGCACAAGGGGTCAGGGAATTTCCCTTTCCTAGCCAAGGGAAGCCGTGATAGACTGTATTGGGAAAATCGGGACACTGCCACCTAAACACTGTGCTTTTCCAATGGTCTTAGCAAATGGCACACCAGGAGATTATATCCCGTGGATGGCTCAGCAGGTACCACTGGCAGCAGGACTTGCTCACTGCTAGTCCAAGATCGATCTGCAAGGTGGCAAGCCTGGCTGGGGGAGGGGCATCTGCCATTGCTGAGGCTTGAGTAGGTAAACAAAGCAGCCTGGAAGTTTGAACTAGGTGGAATCCACCGCAGCTCAATGAGGCTAGCCTGCCTCTGTAGACTCCACCTCTGGGGGCAGGGCATAGCTGAACAAAAGGCAGCAGAAACTTCTGCAGACTTAAATGTCCCTGTCTGACAGCTCTGAAGAGAGCAGTGGTTCTCCCAGCATGGTGTTTGAGCTATGAGAACGGATGGACTGCCTCCTTAAGTGGGTCCCTGACCCCCGTGTAGCCTAACTTGGAGACACCTCCCAGTAGGGGCCGACTGACATCTCATACAGCTGTGTGCCCCTCTGAGATGAAGCTTCCAGAGGAAGGATCAGGCAGGAATATTTGCTGTTCTACAGCCTCTGCTGGTGAAACCCAGACAAACAGGGTCTGGAGTGGACCTCCAGCAAACTCCAAAAACCTGCAGCTGAGGGATCTGCCTGTTAGAAGGAAACTAACAAACAGAAAGGAATAGCATCAACATCAACAAAAAGGACATCCACACCAAAACCCCATCTGTTGGTCACCAAAATCAAAGACAAAAGGAAGATAAAACCATAAAGATGGGGAGAAACCAGAGCAGAAAAGCTGAAAATTCTAAAAACCAGAGTGCCTATTCTCCTCCAAAGGATTGCAGCTCTTCAACAGCAATGGAACAAAGCAGGACGGAGAATGACTTTGACGAGTTAACAGAAGTAGGCTTCAGAAAGTCTGTAATAACAAACTTCTCTGAGCTAAAGGAGGATGTCCAAACCCATCGCAAGGAAGCTAAAAACCTTGAAAAAAGATTAGATGAATGGCTAACTAGAATAAACAGTGTAGAGAAGACCTTAAATGACCTGATGGAGCTGAAAACCGTGGCATGAGAACTACGTGACACATGCACAAGCTTCAGTAGCCGATTCGATCAAGTGGAAGAAAGGATATCAGTGATTGAAGATCAAATGAATGAAATGAAGCAAGAAGAGAAGTTTAGATAAAGAAGAGTAAAAAGAAATGAACAAAGCCTCCAAGAAATATGGGACTATGTGAAAAGACCAAATCTACTTTTGATTGGTGTACCTGAAAGTGATGGGAAGAATGGAATTAAGCTGGAAAACACTATTCAGGATATTATCCAGGAGAACTTCCCCAACCTAGCAAGACAGGCCAACATTCAAATTCAGGAAATACAGAGAACACCACAAAGATACTCCTCAAGAAGAGCAACCCCAAGACAATTGTCAGCCTCACCAAGGTTGAAATGAAGGAAAAAATGCTAAGAGCAGCCAGAGAGAAAGGTCGGGTTACCCACAAAGGGAATCCCATCAGACTAACTGCAGGTTCTTGGCAGAAACACTACAAGACAGAAGAGAGTGGGGGCCAATATTCAACATTCTTAAAGAAAAGAATTTTCAACCCAGAATTTCATATCCAGCCAAACTAAGTTTCATAAGTGAGGAAGAAATAAAATCCTTAACAGACAAGCAAATGCTGAGAGATTTTGTCATGACCAGGACTGCCTTACAAGAGATCCTGAAGGAAGCACTAAACATGGAAAGGAACAACTGGTACCAGCCACTGCAAAAACATGCCAAATTGTAAAGACCATCAATGCTAGGAATAAACTGCATCAACTAAGGAGCAAAATAACCAGCTAACATCAGAATGACACGATCAAATTCACACATAACAACATTAACCTTAAATTTAAATGGGCTAAATGCCCCAATTAAAAGACAGAGACTGGCAAATTGGTTAAAGAGTCAAGACCCATTAGTGTGCTGTATTCAGAAGACCCATCTCACATGCAGAGATACACATATGCTCAAAATAAAGGGATGGAGGAAGACCTACCAAGCAAATGGAAAGCAAAGAAAAAGCAGGGATTGCAATCCTAGTCTCTGATAAAACAGACTTTAAGCCAACAAAGATCAAAAGAGACAAAGAAGGCCATTACATAATGGTAAAGGGATCAATTCAACAAGAAGAGCTAACTATCCTAAATATATATGCACCCAATACAGGAGCACCCACTTTCATAAAGCAAGCCCTGAGAGACCTAAAAAGAGACTTAGACTCCCACACAATAATACTGGGAGACTTTAACACCGCACTGTCAATATTAGATCAACTGGACAGAAAGTTAGCAAGGATATCCAGCACTTGAACTCAGCTCTACACCAAACAGATCTAATAGACATCTACAGAACTGTTCACCCCAAATCAAGAGAATATGTATTCTCCTCAGTACCATATTGCACTTATTCCAAAATTGACCACATAGTTGGAAGTAAAGCTCTCCTCAGCAAATGTAAAAGAAGACAAATCATAACAAACTGTCTCTCAGACCACAGTGCAATCAAATTAGAACTCAGAATTAAGAAAATCATTCAAAACCTCACAACTACATGAAAACTGAGCAACCCACTCCTAAATGACTGCTGGGTAAATAATGAAATGAAGGCAGAAATAAAGATGTTCTTCGAAACCTATGAGAACAAAAACACAACATACCAGAATCTCTGGGACACATTTAAAGTAGTGTGTAGAGGGAAATTTATAGCACTAAATGCCCACAAGAGAAAGCAGGAAAGATCTAAAATCGACACCCTAACACCACGATTAAAATAACTAGGGAAGCAACAGCAAACAAATTCAAAAGCTAGCAGAAGGCAAGAAACAGCTAAGATCAGAGCAGAAGTGAAGGAGATAGAGACACAAAAAACCCTTCAAAAAATCAGTGAATCCAGGAGTTGGTTTTTTGAAAAGACCAACAAAATTGATAGACCTCTAGCAAAAGTAACAAAGAAGAAAAGAGAGAAGAATCAAATAGGCACAATAAAAAATGATAAAGGGGATACCACCACTGATCCCACAGAAATACAAACTACCATCAGAGAATACTATAAACACCTCTACGCAAATAAATTAGAAAATCTAGAAGAAATGGATAAATTCCTGGACACATACACCCTCTCAAAACTAAAACAGGAAGAAGTTGAATCCCTGAATAGACCAATAACACACTCTGAAATTGAGGCAATAATTAATAGCTTACCAACCAAAAAAAGTCCAGGACCAGACGGATTCACAGCTGAATTCTACCAGAGGTACAAAGAAGAGCTGATACCATTCCTTCTGAAACTATTCCAATCAACAGAAAAAGAGGGAATCCTCCCTAACTCACTTTATGAGGCCAGCATTATCCTAATACCAAAGCCTGGTAGAGACACAACAAAAAAAGATAATTTTTGACCAATATCCCTGATGAACATCGACGCAAAAATCCTCAATAAAATACTGGCAAACTGAATCCAGCAGCACATCAAAAACCTTATCCACCAAGACCAAGTTGGTTTCATCCTTGGGATGCAAGGCTGCTTAAACATATGCAAATCAATAAACATAATCCATCACATAAACAGAACCAAAGACAAAAACCACAAGATTATCTCAATAAATGCAGAAAAGGCCTTCAACAATTCAACATCCATTCATGCTAAAAACTCTCAATAAACTAAGTACTGATGAAACATATCTCAAAATAATCAGAGCTATTTATCACAAACCCACAGCCAGTGTCATACTGAATAGGCAAAAACTGGAAGCATTCCCTTTGAAAACTGGCACAAGACAGGGATGCCCTCTCTCACCACTCCTATTCAACATAGTGTTGGAAGTTCTGACCAGGGCAGTCAGGCCAGAGAAAAAAATAAATGGTATTCAAAAAGGAAAAGAGGAAGTCAAATTGTCCCTGTTTGCAGATGACATGATTGTATATTTAGAAAACCCCTTGTCTCAGCCCAAAATCTCCTTAAGCTGATAAGCAACTTCAGCAAAGTCTCAGGATACAAAATCAATGTGCAAAAATCACACGCATTCTTACACAGCAATAACAGACAAACAGAGAGCCAAATCTTGAGTGAACTCTCATTCACAATTGCTACAAAGAGAATAAAATACCTAGGAATATAACTTACAAGGGATGTGAAGGGCCTTTTCAAGGAAAACTACAAAACACTACTCAATGAAATAAAAGAGGACACAAACAAATGGAAGAACATTCCATGCTCATGGATACGAAGAATCAATATTGTGAAAATGGCCATACTGCTCAAGATAATTTATAGATTCAATGCCATCCCCATCAAGCTACCAATAACTTTCTTCACAGAATTGGAAAAAGCTACTTTAAAGTTCCTATGGAACTAAAAAAGAGCCCGCATTGCCATGACAATCCTAAGCAAAAAGAACAAGGCTACAGGCATCATGCCACCTGACTTCCAACTATACTACAAGCCTACAGTAACCAAAACAGCATGGTACTGGTACCAAGACAGAGATATAGACCAATGGAACAGAACAGAGCCCTCAGAAGTAACACCACACATCTACAACCATCTGATCTTTGACAAACCTGACGAAAGTAAGAAATGGGGAAAGAATTCCCTATTTAATAAATGGTGCTGGGAAAACTGGCTAGCCATATGTAGAAAGCTGAAACTGGATCCCTTCCTTACACCTTATACAAAAATTAATTCAAGATGGATTAAAGACTTAAATGTTAGACCTAAACCCATAAAAACCCTAGAACAGGACATAGGCATGGGCAAGGACTTCATGACACCAAAAGCAATGGCAACAAAAGCCAAAATAGACAAATGGGATCTAATTAAACTAAAGAACTTCTGCACAGCAAAAGAAACTACCATCAGAGTGAACAGGCAACCTACAGAATGGGAGAAAATGTTTGCAATCTACCCATCTGACAAAGGGCTAATATCTAGAATCTACCAAGAACTTAAACAAGTTTACAAGAAAAAATCAACCCCATCAACAAGTGGGCAAAGGATATGAACAGACCTTTTTCAAAAGAAGACATTTATGCAGCCAATGGACACATGAAAAAAATGCTCATCATCACTGATGAAATGCAAATCAAAACCACAATGAGATACCATCTCACACCAGTTAGAATGGCAATCACTAAAAAGTCAGGAAGCAACAGGTGCTGGAGAGGATGTGGAGAAATAGGAACACTTTTACACTGTTGGTGGGACAGTAAACTAGTTCAACCATTGCGGAAGACAGTGTGGCGATTCCTCAAGGATCTAGAACTAGAAATACCATTTGACCCAGCGATACCATTACTGGGTATATACCCAAAGGATTATAAATCATGCTGCTATAAAGACACATGCACATGTATGTTTATTGCAGCACTATTCACAATAACAAAGACTTGGAACCAACCCAAATGTCCATCAATGATTGACTAGATTAAGAAAATGTAGCACATATACACCATGGAATACTATGCAGCCATAAAAAAGGATGAGTTTATGTCCTTTGTAGGGACATGGATGAAGCAGGAAACCATCATTCTGAGCAAACTATCGCAAAGAGAGAAAACCAAACACAGCATGTTCTCACTCATAGGTGGGAACTGAACAATGAGAACACTCGGGGACAGGGCGAGGAACACCACACACTGGGGTCTGTCATGAGATGGGGGGGTGGGGGAGGGATAGCATTAGGAGAAATACCTAATGTAAATGACGAGTTAATGGGTGCAGCAAACCAACAAGGCATATGTATACCTATGTAACAAACCTGGACGTTGTACACATGTGCCCTAGAACTTAAAGTATAATAAAAAAGATATATATTTTAAAAAGATGGTGTATTGAGGGACTATAAAATATTAAAAAGGATAAGTAAGCTTTAGAGTACGTACTACTTTAGTTCTATAAAATCTGTTCCCAGCCAATCCCATACTTGGTTAATATAACTCACAACTATACAAACTTTAAAAGAATAGAAGATTATACATTGAACCTTGCACCACTCCAATATCTATTAAAGAATAAAAGTGGAGAAACAGAGGTAGTAAGAAAATTATGAAAAAGTACACCTGTTTATGGTTGAGGATATTTTTCTGGTTTCCTCTTTGAAACACATCTATCACAAAGAAATCTAGAATAGACAGAGAGCAGCTCAAGGAAAAAAAATACTGTGAAAAAATATAGAAAAGGATAATTTGTTATGACAATTAAACTTATGGATAATCTTTCAACCAAAACCTTAAGGTCAAAAAATGTTAAATAATAGTTTAGGAGTGTTACCCACCAAGGTTTTCTGTGATTTAAGTCCCCAGCATAAACATATTTGTTGAAAGCTTTAATACTAGGATTATATGTGTTGTATTTAACTAAAGTACACAGAGAAAACAACATATAATTCATGAAAGGAATTCGGAACTGCAATTAAAATGACCCCTAAAAGAAACTGTATTTTTAGAAGTTAAATTTTAGGCAGATACAGCACAGTCTTATTGCATTTGGGATTAAACTGAAAGACTATAAGCCTGTAAAGTAATATAGATACAAATAATAAGATGAGAAAAATGAATAAATGAAGTTATTCATAGATTCCTTATCATGAATCTATGTTATTTATAAATGTTGGCCTCCAACCGTCTCCATCTATACAATGGCACACCATGATCTAGAGTGGTTTGGAAGTGACCACATTATTCCACTTCCCTCCAGCTTCCAAAGGTGGTTGCATTACCTAAGCAAGATAAATCAGTTTTCTTTCTAGAATGTTTAATTTTAGTGTCACTAGAGGAGAGAGGTTCTCTTGTGTCTCTCATTACCAAAGGAGGATATATGTAGGGATACCTGCACTTTTTTACTCTGCAAGTGTGTGATGGCTAATCGTCCTGTGGACAGTAACAAAAGGAAAAAGGAGAAAGGGAGAAAGAAGAAGAAAAATATCAGAAGATAAATAATTTTAGCAGTATTGAATCTCTGGTTCCTGGTTCTGAGATTCTTAAGGTTTCCGCAGTGTTTTCTTTGATTTGGAGAGCTGCCCCATCATTTCTACTTTATATGAGGAATTATTAATCATTCTTACTTTATTTGGCTGAAACCGGCCTAGTATAAGTTGAATTTCCATTACTTAAACTGAAGGAATTCTGGGAAAGGGAAAGCATTAGCTGAGTTGATTCTTCTGTGATGCAATAGCATGAAACTTTCTACTTTACATTTAGGAGTCAGAGTTTAATAGTAAGCTGTGTATGAAATCATATTATGGACAAAGTCGATTCCAAGTGCCTAAATTCTAACCTACTGATTTTATTTTACACATTCCTCTGAAATCTGAACATTTAGTGAAATGCAAAACATTTGAAAAATAAAGGGAGATGAGACCTAAGAAAAAATTATTAAAAAAAAAGTAAAAGAAAACTGTGTGTCAACATTGTAGAGTGTGATGTTTAGGATCAAGGACATATTTTCTGTGAAGATGATGAACTTAATTGTCTTAGTCTCCCACATAAACAGGACAATTCTAATGCCCAGGAGAGGCCCTATCAATCTACTTACATGGTCATAGGATTTAAACATTTTTCAGAATTAAGACATTTTGTCCTCATTATAATTAGTTAAAACTACCTGCATTTTCCACTTGTTTCCTTCATCATATCTCCTCTTATGTGGGCTGGTGTCAGAATGGCCACAGGACCATCGACATTTTTGGAATCCGACTAAGGATAAGTTGTGTCCCAGTTACACTTGTTTTGGATTTATTGGGTGTAGTGCTGTGACTTACAGCCACTATTATGTACAGTTACATTATTGCTAGCTCTCTTGCTGTAAGAATGCCTTCGCAGGATATTTCTGCCATCCACCTTATCAACACTCGTGACGTGGAAGAAGAGGACCCGAGACTGTATTGCAACCTGAATGTGTCCTACAACACTGACCACCAGAGACATATGGGAGGGGGAGAAGTTTGAAATGCCTGGAGCCAAAAAGTGCTCTGTGGAAAATGAATGACAACAATCCTAAAATTTTATATAAAATAACAATAAGTTGTGAAGCTCAAAGTGAATTATAAAATTATTATTAAAATCAATTTCCATCAACCATTCCTAAGGAAAGATCTAATTATCTTTTAATACTGGTGTAGAACATATAAACATTAACAAAATTAAATAATTATTTTGTTTCACTGGATTTTGTGGGTTTGTTTCATGGGTCAGATTTCTGTTTTCTAATTCGTAATCTGTTAGAGATTCTTTTCGCATTCCAGATAATTATTTACTTTCATAACTAATTTTGATTTGTGATTGGTATTCTGACTCTTAAAAGATTCCTCCAAATAATATAATCTTCAGGCCCCACAAAACCTTGATTTTTTGCAGTCTGTACCCAGGTGGTGTCAGGACCTAAGATGGAGGCTGGCTTGTGGGTTCATGTGGACGCCAAACAAGAGAAAAATGGTCATGCTTAACTGTGGTTAAAATATTGTGAGTGAAAAAGAAAAAAGACAAACAAACAAACAAAAAAACTACTGTAAAAAGCAACTTTGAGGCCAACCAGGGCCTTTACGTCTAGTAACGGGCAGTGGTATTATAAGCCAGAATGAGTAATGCCAGTGAGAATGACCAATGCAGAGAGTTGACCAGAGATCCAGAGATGCTTCCCTTCCCCTTGTTTTCTAGAACAGCAAAAGCTCCAGGCACTTTTGTGACCTAAAAAGGAACAACTGCTCCCCCAAAAAGAATGCTGTGAGATTTCTCACTGTCTTTGGAGATAGGTTATCAGTAAAGGATTTGATTAAAAAAAAATAAAGAGCAGTTGGAAAAAAAGAAAAGGAAGAAGAAGAAATTACTAAAATCGAAAAGAAATTGCCAGGCTCTGTTACAAATGCTTTAATAAAAAAAATTGAACATAAAGCATCAATAAGAAATGCATACATGTTAAAAGAGAACTAAAGAGGCGACCTTGGGAACTTTGAAATAATGTTATATACAGTTCTCACTTTTATCCAACTAGTTATACAATATGAGCTCAATGCTAGTTGCCTTTTTTCCTACAGTATAAAATATCTTCCAAGCAATTCCTGTAATTAGAGTTTAATCCCCCCAATTTTTTTATTATTCTTTGACTCTTAATATAATAAATATAACTTACATGTAATATATAAATATATATGTATTTTAAGTTCAGATGTTCAGAATTTACAAATTTCACTCACACCAATTTTTATCTTCTAGTATAATACAAGCAACTCCTCTTTAAGTAAGCCAGATATTTGAAAATTGGGTTTATAATACAGGTATATAAAATACAGACACAAGCAGAATTTTTTCTGCACATTTAACGTAAAAAACATTACCACATAGAGTCATACACAAGTGATTTAATCACATCTCAAAAACATTATTTCAAGGCGGCTCTTGTATTTTTTAGCTTCATCACAAATGAAATTCCATGTAACATATGAATTATGCTTCATAATAATAATTACTTCTTTCTAAAGTGAAGTTAGTTTTATACTAGATAATTATTTTAAAATGTCAGCATGTCCTGTGGGTAGTTTACTCTGAAAATAATATATAATGGTTAAGAGAAGACCAAAGTCATGTGGTCAGTATTATTTTATTTCTCTGTGCCTTGCTTTGGTTTTATGTAAAAGGGTGCTCTATAAATATTAGATATGGTAATGTATGTAACTCTTGATGCATGATAATATCTCGGTAAATGTTATTTTCTCTTACTTATTCTACTACTATATACTAGAGCAGTCCCTATTGGAATATGGTAGTTGGTAGAGAACAAGAAGAGATGGTTGAAATAGAAATAGAAGTGTTATTGCCAAACTTTGTTTCCAAGTTTTTTATATACTGAAGTTTTTCATAGTAATTTACTAATTAAAAAAATGAGTTCCACTACTGAAACTGTAATTGAGAACCTCTCGCTCTGGTCTGACCTTGCTTCACCTGTGAGATTCCCAGCCCTCACTCAAATTATCTGTCATGACAGAGACAGATTCTCTTAACTTCCCACTCAAGCCACATTCTCACCATCAATTATAGTGCATCGTAGGACTTAACCTTAAATGCCCTTTCTTAATCTTTCAACTGGCATATATAATATAACAAAGAAGTAACTCCCAAGAGGCGCCCAAATATGTTCCAAGGACAATGGGTCAGTGTTAGAAGAGAGGGGAAATTTTGAATCCTGTATGGGTTTGGGTATTGCTCACTCAGATTGTCCCCTGGCTCCATTGGCCTCGTGCCTGGCTCCCAGGGAAGTAGGGGGAAGATGGCAAAGACTGACTAAAAGCTGAAAGAGCTCTTTCATTAGAATCTCTGAAAGATTTTGGAAGCCCAAGGCAATAGGACTTTGCAACCTCTGTCCTACTGAGATTAGGGGAACAGGGGTGAGTAGAAGGGTGGGGTCCCTATTCAGGCTTTCTATTGAGCATGAAAATGTCACAACGTCTGAAAAATGGATCAGCTGACAACTGGAATCCAGAAAAATTGGGAATAGTATTTCACTGTGGTCAGTCTTAGAGATTTCTTTGCAGCATTGATGATTTGGGATAAAATGGAGAGTATACTTGGCAGATCAGGATGGGAGACCTTACAATGGTTTTGATATCACTGGTAAGATCCAGACCAGGAGAAAAGGGGAATGACAGTAGCTGAAGGGACAACTTCCTGAGCACAGTAAGACAATCCTGGACCAGTTTTGGCAGGGTACTATGTTATAAAAAATCTGAGATCCACTAAAGTCCCCAGCAACTTGAACTATACAGGTACTGTGAGAAAAAGAATAAGATATCATGAATATTCAAAAGCAAAAGCTTTAGTAGGTTTTTGCAGAGACTGGAGGGAGTTACAAGGATACTGGGTCCCTGGTGACTGTAAAGACCTCAATTCAGTCATCTTCATAGTAGGGTTTCACAGTTTAAATTAGTGTCTACATTCTGAAGAATTTCTTATTTCTATCACTATCGCTAAATAGTTTCTCTGATACAGTAGCTTATAGTTTGTTAAGAGCTCAGTCTTCTCATCAGACAAATTGGGTTTTGAGTCTTAGACCTTGGGCTAAGCACTTCACTTCTGTAAGCTTCTATTTCTTCTTCTCTGCAGATAAAATAATAATTTTACCTACCTCATAGGATTTTTGTAAAGATCAAATGAGGGAGAGGACGTGGTCAGTACTCAATCAATGTCAATTAAGAATAATTTTCTATCATTACTTTGTAACTATACCTATGTTTAACCTGTGTTTCACTGGATCCTTTATAATCCATCCGTATTGTGATCTTTCCATTTGTTACTTATTCATGAGTGGCATAATGATTATTTATGTATATATATATGTATATTTATTTATGTGTATATATATGTATATTCATTTTATAACTTTAAGAGAGATTCTGATTGGTCTGAATAATCTTTTTCAAGACTCAGTCACTTGTTTCTGAATCTGTTGGGTCGTTTTCCTAAATTCATGTAATTAGATATAGGAGTGATTAAGTGAATATATTTATATATTATCATGGCTTACCTTTATGGTCAGCAAGACAGCCAAATGACGTATATTTACTAGGTCCTTACTTTGTATTAAGCAAGATATTGAGTTCAAAAGATTTAGCTTTGAGCGTTAAATATAGAGTTTCATTCTCTAGACTCCCGGAACCATTTGGGAGACATTTATTTTATTTTTATTTGTTACTTTTTTTCAAGACAAGGTCTTTTTCTATGTCACCCAGGCTGGAGTGCACTTGTGTGATCATAGTTCACTGCAGCCTTGAGCTCCTGGGCTCAAGTGAACCTCCTGCCTCGGCCTCCCAAAGTGCTGGGATTACAGGCGTGAGTCTCTGTACCTGGCCTAGAAGAAATGTTTTTACGGACTACAGCTTCCAAAGGACAGGTGGGGATATATATATATATATATATATGTAATTTTTAGTGTTGTTGTTTTTATCTTATAACCCGCAGGCATCCATGGCCTGGGAAAACATGGGTTTCACTTTACAAGACTGAGGAAGAGAGAATTTTAAAGAAAGAAAGCCTATGTTTGGAAGATCAAGATGGGAATGTAGGAAGACCTGGTTAAAACCTTTGCAGGAATGGGAACTTGTACCAAATGAGGCAGAAGACTCGAGGCTCTAGAGAAATCTTGTGATGAAATTGAAACTTGTGATAGATAAAGCTGCAGAATTGTGCTACTACTTTGATACATATACAAAGTCTTTAAAACAGCTTTAGCGTCCAAGAAATAAGAAAAGGAATGTATTTTGTTGTTTGTTCCACCTTTCGTGCCCCTCAGGTAACCAGGGTCTTTCTACAACTTTCAGTTTGCCAGAATTAACCAGTGGAATTAACCATCCAGCCCTCCTGGTTACTCAAGCTCTCAACTTTCCCATCCATCCACTCTCCTCTGAAATATGATCCACAGCAGGCACATTAGTTAACTTTCAGTTTGGAAATGATCTATAGACTTATTCCATTATAATGAGAATGATGAGTAAGATTGTTCTAAACTGGTACTGAATTTAAAGGGAAGAAAATAAATTATTCGAAGAAAGGAAAACTTAATGGTATTATATTCTGAAATGGGGAGTGAGGAGGTTGAGAGATATTTATAGTGTTGCATGGACCTTACATATGGCACTTAAATCACAAGTAAGCCTTGCTCATTCTCCAATGTGTGAGAATGATTCTTAATTCTTTGTTTATTTAAGTACTGCACATTAAGCAGGACTATTTCCCATTAGCCAGACCATGCATTATGGGTGGTGAAGCTATAGCCATACCACCCTAAAGAACAAAATTCAAGAATAAAGTTTTCATGCACTCTAAGCGTATTTTCTGGATAATTAGAAAATGTTCCACTGCTTCAAAGACCTCCTATATAATACACAGTTAAGTGATTATCTTGGAGCTTATTTTGGAGTATTATTACCTTTGAGAAAGCATTGTTATTGGGCACTTTTTTCTAGCAGACATTAATGCGTATAATTAAAAACATACAATTTACAATTCAACCTCTCTGCAGGACATCTATGAAACCATTTATGGGTTGTTTTTCCTTGTCCTTCTAGGTGTTGCTAACTGTGTGTTCATAGTAATGAGAAGAAAGTTATTTTTAGGTTGGCATAAGTGTTTTGGTTGCTCTAAACTAAAAAGCCTTATTTAGAATTTGTATACACTACTACGGTACATTGTGTTTTATACAAAGCTAATTGCTTTCCTAAGTTTTGCCATTATCCATTTTTTTTTCTAATAAGCCTTTTCCCACTAAAGAAATGAAAATGGAGTAGATTTATATTGCTGGTTGGAAAAAAAACAAAATGTTCAAAGAAAAGCAATGTATTAAAAACATTTTCCCACCACGACCACCCCAGTTCAAAGGGATTTTGCATCTTCATCTATTTTGGAAATAAGAGAGAAAATACATGTGTTCTATATATGCTCATATAATCAATGAGATGACCCAAATGATCATTATCTGCCTGCATATTTGCAAAGACAGTGGATGAGAGAAATTTTAGCGTAACTCTTCTGCTCATAAGTATTCCAATATTCAAAATAATTGTTAGGTATTCTTATTAAGCACTTACCTATGCCCTCATCTCTGTTGGTTGCTGAACAAAGCAACATTAACGCCCCATGAACATTGTACTTAGCAGCTTACTATCTAAAATAGTAAAATGAGAAGCCATTGGTTCAATAGTTGCTTGAAGTCTTGCCATCAAGTTTCAAGCCCAATTTATCCTGACAAATGAATAATAAATTGATTATAAAACCCAAACCACTGTCCCCAGGCCATTGAACATTTAATAGTATATGGAGATGTGGCTCTAAATAGCTAATTCAGGATATGATTGGACTAGCCATTCAGATCTGAATATGTTGTGATTGATTTGAACATGAAGCTTTCTTATGTCTGGCCATAAGAGGATGAGAACTATCTGAGCCATAAGGCAGGAACATAAATTTCTACTGGACTGAGTTCAAGCACTTTCGGGTGAGTTGAGGAGCCAAGCGCAGGCAATCAAGTGTGTACATATGGGAAGAAGGGAGCAAACAAGATAAAAGGAGGATTAGGAAATGTGTTCCTGCTGCCCAACATCATCCCTTCATCAATCTCCTGAGTACTAATTCATTTTGAAAGATTATTCATTATGTGTTTTTGGAGTTTCCTCTTAGGTTTGTAACCTCAAAATGATGAGCCAGATGTTAGAGCGAGTGAGGGTGGGCCTGGACAGAGGTAAAGTAGCCAGAGTGGGCCTTTGTAAACATATGCCCCCACTCATCTCTTCCTCTCCACGGATGCTACACCACCATGAGCAGGTAACTCCGTGCTGCCATTTCCTCCTGTTCCAGGCTCTCATTGGGTACTTTGTCATGGTCTCCATCTCAGTCTGTACCTCAAGTAGTCCCAGGAGACCCCAGGGGTAATGACTAAGCCGGGTCAGTCCACCCACCCGTGCTCCAAGACCAGCCATGCATTGCCTCCCAAAGTATCTTTATGCCTCCAGTGGAAGAAAACAAGATTCAGTTTCCTGTCATCTCATCCCAGCTCTATCTGAAATGCACTAAAGTGCCTGGATTTAAATTATTAAAGAAAGGGAAGGGGGAGAGGCTCAAGGAAATTAGGAGAAAGTGTCTTTGAAGGCTGTTATGGAAATTAGGTCTCCACCTGCTTTATTATCTTTATAAAAAATATTTTAAAGAATGTAAGAGTATTCCATAAACATAGTGATCAAGGACAAATGAGAGAACTAGCTGTGTGAGAGCTCTAGTACTTGAATCTTTTTACTTTTCAACCCACTCTCCCTTCCTAAGTTAATATGTACTATTTGTTCAATTAAAATGTATATTTATTCAAACACCTAATATGAGCCCAGCACCAGAAAAGCCCATTTACTTGCTCTTTACATATAGTAGTCCCTCCTTATCCAAGGGGAATATATTCCAAGACCCCACAGTAGATGCTCGAATTTAGTAGCTAGTACAGAACACTACATATACTGTGTGTTTGTCCTATGCATTCATATCTATGATAAAGATATCTACTTAATTTATAAATTAGGCACAATAAGAGATTAACAACAATAACTGTAATAAAATAGAACAATTATAACAATATGCTGTAAAAAAAGGTAAAATAAAGGTTAGCAGAACTCAAGCATCAAGATACCATTAAGATCAGCCTGATCGCTGAGTCACTGACTAAGTGATTAAGGGGCTAGGAGCATAGACACCTTGAATACATTGGACAGGAGGATGATTCACATCCTGGGCAAGATGGAGCGAGACGATATGAGATATTATTATACTATTCAGGACAATGTGCAATTTAAAACTTATGAATTGTTTATTTCTGAGATTTTCTATTTAATATTTTCAGATATTAGTAGGTTGCGGATAACTGGAACCCTGGAAAGAGAAACTGCTGATAAGGGTGGAATACTGTATTTAGGGCACTGATTTTGTTTCTTAAAATTATCAGTGCAAGAGAGTAGAAGGGAGTCTTGAGGCGAAAAGTTTTCATTTGATATTATTGAAGGCAGAACTTTTGTCCCCAAGATCTTTTCTCTCCTGGTTATGTCACACTATATGGAAAAAATGGATTTTGCAGAAGTAATTACAGTTACTAATCTGCTGACCTTAAGATAGGAATATTTTCCAATGTAGGCCCAATTTAATCACATGAGCCCCTAAAAGCAAAGAACTTTCTTTGGCTGGAGACAAAAGATATGGCAGAACAGAAAGTCAGAGACTCAAAACATTTATGACTCACCTTTGCTGTCTTGGGATGGAAAGGACAGCATGACAAGGAACACAGGTGGCTTTAAGGAGCTGAGAGATGCTGGTAGAGCATAGCTAGCCAGGAAATAGGGACTGCAGCCTCCCAGCCACTAGATATTGGGTTCTACTTATAAGCAGATTTCTCTACCTCCTCCCCAACAGCCTCCAGATAAAAGACCAGGCTGGCTGACACCTTATCTTCCACCTGGTGAGATCGGAAACAAAAGAATCAGTGGAGCCCATTCAGGCTTCTGAGCTACAAGAACTGTGAAAAATTCAATCTGTTGTGTTAAGCTTCAAAGTTTGCAGTAATTTGTTATGTCACTGATAGGAAAGTAATAATACACATGTAATAAATCATTTCTCCAGAAAACACACACATGTGCATGCACACACACACACACATACCCAATGACTATGGATGCCACACCACTCTGCTGTTTGAATTTTACAGTCAAGTGGGCATAATAAGAAAAAATAAGGTTTGGAGTGGTAGCTCACACCTGCAATTCCAGCACTTTGGGAGACCAAGGCAGGTGAATTCATTGAGCCCAGGAGTTCAACGACAGACTATGCAACATAGTGAGACCTTGTCTCTACAAAGAATACAAAAATTAGCCAGGCATGGTGGCATGATGGCATGACCCTATAGTCCCAGCTCCTCATGAAGCTGAGGTGTGAAGATTGCTTGAGCCCAGGAGGTGGAGGTTGCAGTGAGCCATGATTGCACCACTGCACTCCAGCCTGGGCAACAGAGTGAGACCCTGTCTCAAAAAAAATCAAAACAAAAAGAAGAAAAAGTAAAAGAAAGAAAGAGAGAGACAGGGGGAGAAACGAAAGAAGAAAGAAAGAAAGAAAGAAAGAGAAGAAAAAAGAAAGAAAAGGAAAATCAGAGGACAGCCTTTAAAAACTCATCTGACTTTTAATCTGAGCAGAGAAAATAGTGGCAGCAAATTTCTTTTTGTCCCCATCATTAAATGGAGTAATAAAGTCCACATCTAAGCATTTTGTGAGAATTAAATGTAATTTTCTTAGCACATTTTCAACGCTCTGTATGTGATAGTATCCCTTTCTCCTCCTTCCACTCCCCAACTGAGGCTGTCACTTGATTTTATTGTACCTGTATATTTACAGGGTTATACATCCTAAAAAAAATAAATCTGTAATATAAACAAGGAATTGGCAAACTTGGCAGTGAATCAGTATCATCTCAAATGCTTGTTAAATATAGACTCTTCCAACCCACACCACACCTACTGACTGTGAGTCTCCAGGGGTGGTCTTCCAGGTATGTGAGTTTCTAACATGTTCCCGAGGTGAGTCGCATGCAGGGCACACTGAAGAATCATGCAGCTCGGGTATGGCCAGACTTGATCAGAATGGAGTTATCAATGCTGAGTTATGTGAATCTGCCAGATGGGTAGTGTGGCTCCACGTCATGGCTGAGGACAGAATCATCGCTCTTTTTGGCAGTCAGGTAGGCTGCTCCATCTGCTCTTCATAGATTCCGCCAGCGAGCTAAAGGAAGAAAAAGGAACTTTGTTCTTTCTACCTCTTAGTTTAGAAGGTTAGGTAGGAGGGCATTACTATAAAAGAAGAAGAAGAAGAAAAGATAATGCCATAGTGGGACTACTCAAAATCAGACCCAAAGCTGCTGAGTTGATAGCTGTCGTTGTAATTCAGCTGTGGTTGAAGTTGGAAAACCTGCTGGGTTTGTGGGAACCAGCCTCTAGTAGCAACTGTGACCGTTATTTTTCTCTTTTATGGTGTTTCCTTTTAAACTATGTTTGAGATCTTTGTTGTAGACGTATACCCTGTGGCACCAGCCTGGTGTGTGGAGACATCAGTGAGATACAGCACATAAAAGGATATAGTGTAAGTGTGACGAATCACAATGACAAGGCTGAGTTGGTAACTTGTGAATGATAAAGTGAATTGAAAACTCCCTTCCTGTGACAGTGCAAAGGGAAGATGGGGGGCAACCTGAAGATTTGGACTGTGTTCTTTTCCCTGGAAAGTGTGGCCACACACACTATGTGCCACCACGTCCTGATCAAACATCCAAGGTCTGCATTCACTCTGTCCAAAATAAATATCATCTGCCATCAAGTGCACACATTATTAGCAACAGGCTACATGAGTTAATCATTCATGAAGGTGGGGAATTTGGCATTGATCCAACATTGAGCAATGTGTGAGTAAGATGAAAGAGCCTTGCCTAGGTATTCAGAAGAAAGACCAGTGCAATCAACAAAGCAATGCAGTTATTAAAGCCCTCCCATGGTGAATAAATACAAAATCATCAATGACAGCTTTGGAAAAAATACTTTCCCCTGTAGTGACCTCTTTGTACCCCTCCTGTGTTTGACTTAAGAAACAAAATTTTAGTTTATAAAAATAAATGAAAAATCAAGTCATATCCCAAACATCAAACAAAACGAATTCAAGTAACACACTGAGTTTTACTTCTGGCTTGTGCTTGACATGAAGAAATGGTCATGGCTGCTTTTTGGCATCTTTTCAACTGGACTTTCTTAACGGGACTTCCAGGATGATGTTAATTCAGAAAAGAGTTACAAAATAAAGGTGCTTTGAAGAAAAGAAAGCAAGGCTGTGGTTCAAATACAATGGATTCTTCCAAGACTTGCTTTGTGGTCACTGTCAGTTGTATCATTGTCTGGAGCATCGCTTATGAGCCAGGTACCGAGAACATGCACTAACTGGCTGTACAACATAGTGAGTTCTTTTGTTTTACAGTTGGAAACATACTGCTGTATCCCTCTCCTTATCTTGTACAAATTTAACTTGATTGGTTCCTTTCTGCCACACAAATAAAAAGAGAAAAAGACTCTTTCAGAATTGTCAAACTTGCTGATAAAATATTTCAGAATTATGAAAAAATAGCATATTGAGCTATATTAGATGTACAGTGTTCATTGAGCCACAGAGGGCACTACAGTGTCCCACAATGATTGGAGAACAGTGGTGAGCACAGTCCTGGATCCCGCAGAGTCACCACAGCCAAGGTAGGAATCCTCCAGACTCTGACACTCAGAAGTTGTCTTTCCCTGTTATCCCTGCTGCCTAGATGCTCTCTGATGTGGTGATTTTCTCAGCTGGGACTCTGATGTTTTCTCAGTAGCTGGTGGTCCCTTTGGTTGTAGTCAAGTATGGCATCGAGAACTACTTCTGAATGCCTGTTCACGGGAAACTTCTCAATTCGGCACCATGCTACCCACCTTTTATTTTTATTTTTTTTTAAGACCACAGCATTGCTAGAATTTTGAATGAAATATCTCATCGAATGTATTGATCCTTTCCATTACTATTTCCATTTGTAATCTTGGCCCCTATACCAGTGATATCAGTCAAAATTACACACACACACACACACACACACACATACATATATAATATATACATACATAGATATATGTGTATATATATGTGTGTATGTATATATATATGGAGATAGAGATGGATTTTTAAGTAATTGACTGATATGATTGTGGGGTGGCAAGTCAGGCAAGAGTTCATGTTGCAGTCTTGAGGCAGAATTTCCTCTTCTCTAGGAAACCTTGATTTTTGCTCTTAAGCTTCAACTAACTGGATGAGTCTACCCCATATTGTGTACAGTAATCTCCTTTATTTAAATAAATTGATAGTAGATATTAACTATACCTACAAAATATCTTCACAGCAACACTAGCTTAGTGTTTGATTAAGTCACTGGGTGTTATAGCCTAGCCAAGTTGACACATTAAACTAATCGTCACAATCTCCACCTATGGACAAAAATGCTCCACCACTTTGGTTGAATTCTTAAGAAATCTGCTTTATAATCTTACCCAGAAATATGGATAGAACTATGAACCACTTTCTATCTTTAGCTCTCTTTAGAGAGCATTCCTGATTGAGAGTAATGACTTCTAACCTCATTCTTTTTCATGACTCCTCCTTTGAGAATTGTTGAAAACTATGGGGAGTTCTTTAGGGGAAGAAAAAAATTCACATATATAAATGTAATATTTCAAGTATTTCCTTTAGTAGACCTTGTACCTCAGTTTACACATCTTTGCTCCAGATTAAGGACTGGAGAAACAAAACAATCTCTACTTTATTTTGAAGTTGAATTTATTTTCCTCCTCACTGTGTACATGGCTCAATCACATATCCTTGCAAGTTGAATTAAAGTTAATTGAAAAATAGATAAGGTCAGTTGAAGCAACAAGCAAAGCTTATACTGTATCATTGTAGATAATTTAAGACATGAGGAGGTCAATTACTTTAAAAGAAAATACTGGCTTGAAAAGTTATTTTTACTCCCAAGGTTCGTAGGAAACTTTTCTTAATAACTGTAACCTCAACAAAGGAGAATGTTATTTTAATATACCCTAGGGGGCATACAATTTTAAAAAGGTTCCTTTTAAAATCCAGATCAGTAAGCTATATCTGAACTATGGAATCACCAGAAACTTCAATTGACCACCATGCTTTGCTTAAGAGTGCAGACATGAGACATTAAGAGTTGGGTTACTGTGAATTATTTGCATTATTTGAATTATTAGTGTGGAGATAAAATGAGTCTTTGTATCATACCTTTAAAAACTCCATTTATAATTAATTAAAAATTTAATCTTAAGTATATATTAGAGGATCTTCCACCTAAATTCAAGAGTGGTTTTATGTCAATACTATTGGTTTTAATAACTGTAGTGCTGGCCAGGTGCGGTGGCTCATGCCTGTAATCCCAGTACTTTGGGAGGCCGAGGCGGGAGGATCACGAGGTCAGGAGATGGAGACCACCCTGGCTAACATGGTGAAACCCCGTCTGTACTAAAAATACGAAAAAAATTAGCCAGGCACGGTGGCGGGAGCCTGTAGTCCCTGCTACTCGGGAGGCTGAGGCAGGAGAATGGCGTGAACCCAGGAGGCGGAGCTTGCAGTGAGCCGAGATTGCGCCACTGCACTCCAGCCTGGGCAACAGAGCAAGGCTCCGTCTCAAAAAAAAAAAAAAAAAAAAAAAATTGTAGTGCCATTCAGTGTAAGGTGTTTTATGAACAAAATGTTGTTTTTAAATGTCAGTTTTGTGTAGACACTATATAAATATAATATTGTATCTAATAGCTATATTCTTCCATCAGAAACATAGGAAATTTAATTAATAGACATGTGGTAGTATGTATTTTTGAATTATTTATTTATTAAGAGCTGTGTGTCAGAAAATTCAAAAACATCTCATAAGTTCTTGTAAAGTAGGTACTCCTATTCCCATCTTAAAAAGTTATATTGAGACTCAGCAAACTTAAGAACCTATTTCATGTCATTTCTATGATACAAAATCAAGGTAGAATTTGATCCCAGGTGTGTTTGACTTTGAGCCTCCTGCTTAAATCTCGTATTTGGCGGCAAGTTGTAGCAGATGATCCCTAGAGTCTATTTCAGTCCTATTGCCCCATGACTTTTGAAAGACTTGAACTGAGAAAGATGGTTTCAAGTCTTTTTAGTTATTGTTTTAAAGTCAAAAAGCTCATCTGGTAAATAAGCAAGCAGCTCTTTGGTTTTGAAAATTGAGTGCTGAAAATGCTAAGGTTAACAAGAGGGAAGCTAGAAATGGGTCTCAATACAGAGGTTGAGAAAGCTAGTATATGTATGTAAAGATTTCTTGGCAAATAGCCTATATGGGCATTTAGAGTTAAGACAAAAGATTCGAGTTACTTGAAAAGATAGAGGGTCAGTGAAGATATTCAGGGAACAGGATGAAGTAATTACAGCTGGGAAATAGAGAAATGAGCTCAGGCTCTTGTTTTGGATATAAGAAAAAGAAGGGAAGCAGAGAATAGCAACAATTTCTGTGGTTCGCATGGCCAATCCATTACTCTTCCCAACTTCTCTCCTAATTTCATTCACATTCTCATGATTTCTTCCAAACACTTGGCTGATTATAGTAGAAATGACACATTATTTCATTGAACTCCCAGCACACTCTTGTTAAATATATTCCCTTAACAATAACTGTTTTAGTTTTTGTTGGAAAAATTATAGCTACACAAGCTAGTCAATTACTATATCTGATAATAGTCAAGACTGACCAGTGGATAAACATGCTAAACTACAGCCGAATTAATATTTTGCTTCATATTTATTTGTTATACAAATTATAACATGGTTCCCAAAGCTTTGTTTAGACTAAGAGGTACTAATTGGAGCTGATTGATAGAGGCCTAAAAAGTATTATAAACTTATCTGAACCTCCTGTTAATGCAATGTTTATTGGGCTTATACAATAAAATAAATTAATTTAGATGATAAAAATTTGGAATTTGAGATAATCCACTCAGAGTCTGGGCTAAGTGGGTTTCATATGTATTAGGAAGGAGTGTGCTTTCTGAGTCAATTAATAAAGTAAATATTACATTGGGGAGCATTAAAATATTCAATGCAGAATGAAAGCTATTTTCAAGCATCTTCTAGAACAGTATTTCTGTACTAGAAGATGGGGGTAATTTTGCCGGAAGGGGACATTTGAAAGTGCTGGAAACATTTTTTTGGTTTTCACAAGTATTGTATTTTTTGGGGGGTGCTACTGGCATCCAGTAGGTAGAAGCCAGAGATGCTGCTAAACGTCCTATAATACACAGGATAACCCGCCGACACCAAAGTATTATTCAACCCAAAAAGCCATTAGTGCTGTGGCTGGGAAACCTCTAAAAGCACCTATTTATCTTATATCAGTATGTTTATTATAAACTATGCTTATCCAATCACTAAAGTAGGCCCCCTAAAACTTCTACTAGGAGGTTCTTTGTTGGTCTAGGTTAGTTATTGCCTTAGAAGTCATTAATGATTCCGTCCATTATTCTTTCAGTATATTAAGACTGTAACGGAAGACGTTGGCGTTAGCTTATGGGAGTATACAGAAATCATTCCTATATCATCAACTCTAATATGGAAACCAAAAATACATAAGAATGACTAAAGTAAATTATTTTGAAACATCTGTATCGTCACAAAATTCATAAATTTAAGCTTGTCTTTTCCTCCTTAGACTACATGTAATCTAAATGAAAATTTGATTCAGTTTTTTCAATTTACACAAATATCTGTCTTGAATTTGAAATAGTTGGATTTATTTGAGAAAACAACTTTTAATAAAATTGAATAGTCTTATAGTTGGGTTTAAAATAATTATATGTTGTGTAACATATGCTATGAGAAAATCAATGCACCTTAATGATAGAACCACAGTTATTACGATTATTTTTGCTATTTATTATTTAGTAACCTGATTACATTGTCTAAACTCATTGTACTCATTTCCAAAATGTACTTTGTGTTAAGTTGCAAAATTAAAATTGAATAAAGAAATCAACATGTTTAGACAAAGGAGAAAAGAAGTCTCTAAGTAATTTTGCTAAGGCCTCCAAAAGCTGCTAGACCCCAAGGCAGCTTTGCATTAATTAATATAGCTTTGCTTTAATGATATACATTTGTAATTATGTACTCTTAGGTATCTAAAACATTTAATGTGTTTCACATGAAAAAAATCCAGTCCTCACAACACCCTATATAAAATAATATTTACTTCTATGTATTATAAGTAAATATGAAAACAAGCCAAAGTAAGCATTCTAAAATCTGGAAGGCAAATACAGCCTTTTTCCTTTCCTTTCAAAAATTTTTTCAAACGTCTCCTAGAAAGAAACAATTATTTTGTTACTATTCATGAAAGTTAAAAACAAAGAAACAAATAAAAAACAAACAGACAAACAAAAAAAACCCACCACCACGACAAATTTTCTCCTACAGGGCAGAGCCAGGGATCAGAAGGCAAAACAGCAGCACCTAGATTATCTAATCACTTCTACCACATAATCAGTGGCATTTTAGTCCCTACTAAAAACTGCCTCCTCCCCACGTGTTTGAATATCTAGAATGGATTTTTATTTGTAAAATAAATTTAAGGTAATGAATGGAGATTACAAACTAGAACACCTAGTCGTTGATATATCTACCTTTGGTCTAAAAAGAAGCTTAAGACAGAGTAGGAAGACATAAAAGTAAACAAAAAGATAAAAATAATCAAGTTAAGATTAGTACTTAACCCTTCACAGCCTTTCTTCTGAGTGCTCTTGCTAAGTATAATAATAAAACACAGGACTTTTTGACCTAATTCTGCTACTGGCTTTCTGAGTGAACTTAGAAAATCACTTAACTACTTGCTACCAGTTTCCTATGCACAGTGATAGCATCTGTACCATATGTCTTGTTTCTTCAAAGTGGAACATCATTTATCAGCCAGAGAAAGATTAAGCAAACAACACATTCAATACTTGCCCAACATGCAGTACTGCATGTGGCTTTTCACAAACACCAAGCTGTGTTCTCTGTAGTTCTAATGAGTATAGCCATGTTCTGCCTTAGTCAAAATGACTGTATGGCATATTTGGTTTTATCTGAGGAATGTCAGCCAGATTTTGGAGTAGGTGAAATTTGTTGAATTTTATGCGGCATGCTTTAGAGGTAGATACATGTACAAAATGGATGTCTTACCTGAGAACCTTATAAATGATAGCTTTTCAAGTGAATTCATTAGCTGAACTCCTGAAATTCTTTGAACTTTACATGTCATTTATAATAACATTTATAAAAACATTATTTTCAGTTCTCCAAGTATGACTTTTCTTTAGAAGTGCCTGTCTTCTCACACACAGATGGCTACTGGCTTGCAATGCATAAGCAATACGAGCTTAAGGAAAGTAAAAGGTTCTCTCACTGGAAATCGGTATGCGCTTAGGAGGATAATTAGAAGGATAAACAATAATAAAGTCTTACATTGCTCACCAAATTTGTATGAGTAGCATACTTAGCTTTATACCCACACTTGGGGATAATATATGACTTGAGAAGTCTCCTCCTATAACACTAGTGTTAAAACCAAGAAGGAAGTACCTTTAAAAACAATAAACTTCAGTTTTCAATATTCTATCCTGTTTGCCTAAGTCTCTTCACAAAGTGCCTACAAATGTGGCCATATTTCTCTCCAAATTCTAAGGCTCTGATTTCCATTTCTCTGAATCCCAGCAGACACTCCTTCCCACTTAGCATCCCTACCAACTTGTGAGAGGTGTGTTGTATAATAAAGAGTTTGATCTTGGTCCTGGTTCCTACCATGGAGCTTCTAAAACTCTTGGAATTTCCCAAATGATAGAAATGTCTTTGGTACTCATGAACTTTCTTATTCATGATTACATGATTACACTTCAGTTTAAGCTAATGAAGTGACTCATGTTAGGCCCTTAGGTAGAATCAGATTTGGAGCAAGTCACCAGAAAGATCCATCACGTAATTCCAGAGATGGGATTTTTTTTTGTTATCACAACCTCCTCAGACGGGAGGGAGCCTGGATAGTGAGTTCAATCATGTGGCGATTTATTTAACCAGTCATGTCTCTGTAATAAAAACCCAAGACAAACTTTGGACATGGAAGCTCAGTGGTGCATTTTGATTGAGTTTGTGAATACATTCATGTGCCAGGAAGGTGACACACCCAGATTCCACAAAGAGAAGGCATGGAACCTCTGCATTCAGGCCCCTCCAAGATTTGCCCTACATGTCACTTCACTTGGTTATTCCTAAATTGTATCCTTTGCTGTGTTCTGTGAGTCATTCCAGTGAATTGTCAAACTTGAGGGAGTCATGGGAACACCTATCTTGCACTGCCATCTGCACTCTTGTGAAGGATGAGCCCATGACTTGTGGGATCTGCACTAACTCCAGTTAGCTGGTGCCAGAATTGAATTGCAGCATACCAGTTGGGATTACAACAGCATAAGTGCTCTTGGGATTGTTGCATGAACATCAAGAATAGATGAATGACCTGGTACATCTCTTGCACTTCTTCACCCTCTCCCCTCTCCCTGCTGTTTCTGCTGCTAGGAACATTCCAAAGATACCTCTCTTCTTGGAGATGCTGAGCTATGCTGCCTGTTTGGGTTTAAGGGAGGACATACTGCTCTCCCCTTTGCTACTCGGTCCCAAGAAAGGAAGAGGTCCTCTTTAACAAGGTGGACTTTTCTGAATGCTTAAGACGAATGGAGGGGTAATGCAACCCAGAGGATCTAAGAATGCTCTTATCCTCTGGACTGTTACCTAATGGCAAGGCCAATGGAAATGCCCTCAAGCAAGCTTGCTCTTCCATTGATCAAGCTCCAACCCTATGAGGTTCCAGAAAGATAGGAAGATTTCTTGCACATTGCAGTATGAAGTTTTCCTCTCAAATCCTTATTTCTTAAATGCATAGATCTTTTCTTAAAATGATTGGTAGTGGGACTCTTCACTCATTTCATGCAGAGTGGTAAGGTGATACAGCCCCAGAAACATAAAAAGTTAGAATAGATATCTGGGTTCATCAGTCTAGATTTCCAAAGCAGAGCATTCATTGCTCACTCGGGGCTGAACTCGGCCAATCTTAACCCAGATCTTTCTTTCCTATATCCTTCTTTCAGTTTCTGGTAAATTTCAGACCTTCAAATTTTAAGCAAGAACACAACAGAATAAGCAATATCCTGTAGAATAACAAATACCCTATAGTCTCAGATTAGTCTAAATTCAGAACAAAGAAACATTATAAACTTACAAAGCCTGCAGAAGCTCTGCTAAACCTATATCTAATTCTCATTATCAAATAGAAACTTTACCTTCTTCAGATGAACGTCTGTTTTCAGTTCGGTGGTCACTTAGGGTTTTTTCTCAAGGACAATGTGCTGCTAGTCTCTTCTTAGTTGTGTAAGTAAAAGTCCCACTCTAGTGCTTTTCTCAGAACAGAATAATTATTTCCGAAACCTGAATTAAATTCTCACTCTGGGAAGTTTAAACTGCTTTCAGTATTGTTTAAATGATATTTGGTCTACTTGTTACATATATATTAATACATACATGGTTCGATAAACTGTGATCTAAGGAACATACTATAAGAAGCAGCAACCTAATTACTGAATATGTCATCAAAATACACTGTGGTCATATGTATAAACGTGATATATTTTACCCAATACAGCTGGACTATACCTAACTTTAAATATCCCTTGCCCCTTAGATATTCTGTTCCTATGCAGAAAAAATTGTTCCCACGCTCCAGGCTAGAAAAAAAAAAAAATACTACCATCTGGATTTAAGACCATTAATGCAGAAATAAGAGTTTGTTTTAAAATTGATCTTACCTCACAAAAAGAATAAACTTCAAAATTGCTCAATTTCCCTTTATTTGTAGGTAATAATGGACAACACTTTTACCTTTTAAACTCTTGTATATTTTTATTAGTTGTTTATTTAACCAAGTACAGCAGCATTTCAATAATGTGTATCTAAAATTGTACTGTTGATTTGCTTGCAACTGCAGACCCTGGAGGTTCTACATACCTGGCCCTGATCTTTTTCCACTTCATTTCTGATAAATAATTCTCGTCTATCTTTGCTTCCATCTCATTTGAAGCAAGGCCAATATTTTCTTATCTGCTTTCAGATGTTTATGTACATTTGATACGCATCTGCCTGTCCCTAGCATTAAAGTAATCATATCTCTCCAGCGTATTCTTTGCCTAACAATAATCTCACCAAATAACATTAATATACACATTCTGATGTACAGATATTATTAATAAAAAATAACTGGCTAGTTCCTTTGTTCTTATTTGGTCAGGAACCAGGATATCTCCCGTGCTATGAATTACATGTAACTTTAGTGGCTGTAACTTAAAAAAAAGATTTTATTCTTCAGTGAGAACATTAGCAACTATGTTCCCTCCTATCTGGGAAGGAGGTAATAAGATAGTATTTAGGCTTTGATGGGAGAAATTTTACTCCTTTCCACCCACTTCCAAGTTCTCTTGTTCTCACGGCCAGAGGGTTAAGCCTGATTCTCAGTCTGAGAGTGGCGACATGGCTGATAGCAAAAGAATATTTTTGTGATTCAGCAGTGTCTTACACTAGGCTACGTCTGTGGCAGTGGTGTGGTCCTTGAGGGAAAGGAAGAATGACTGCTCATGGTGGGGCCAGTTCCACCTCAGGACACCTAAGTTGTCCCTGCCTTCAGGGTAAGTGTCTATCTGGGTGAGTCTCAAGTGTACTGCACTTGGGCAGTGAGGGGAACATTTGTCCCCACTACTCTACAACAAGCAGGGAGGCCAAATATGTGATGCTACCATTGACAAGAGCCTGCTGTCCCTCCAGCCACACTGCCTGATCCTCCTCCCCCATAACAGTCCCCAACACAGGAGTCCACCAGGCTGATGGACCAATCCTTATCGAAAATACTGACAGAGCCAAATGGAATGTGGGCACCTCTGCTCATCTTTACAACAAGCTCTTTTGTGTTACTTACTACCTTTTGCAATAAGCCAGAAAAGAAAAAAAAATACAAAACTATCTGGAGTGTTTTTATTGTATTTGTGATTCAAATAAACTCACACAATTCTAACAGTCCCTCAAGAAAAAAATAGTTCACCCCTTTAAGGGGTTCAACTAAATTTAGAAAAGAATATGGTCTCATGATTTTATCTGAATAAAATAGTCATCTCCTATGAATTCTATCAAATCTATCTACCTATCTATCTATCCATCTATGTATATTTATATAAATATGGATGGATATATAAAATATATAAAAAGTATATATACATATATGCATTATATATTTTTATATTTCTTCCCAACTTATCAAAGCTTAGAAATCTGCATCCTTTCGCATCCTTCATTTTGAGTAAATACATGCATACATGTTCCATACTAATGATTCCCCTTTCAATTGTCACAATATGGGATAATCGCTGGCTATTTTTTCTCTAAATTATCAGTGAAATTGCACTTTCTCCTTTCAGAGAACCTGTCAATAATTTCCTAAATATATGTGGTAGTTGTGTTTCTGTATGATATGATTTGCTGTGAGACAGGAAAGAAGAGCTGCAGCCCATCCCTTTTACTCTTCACCAAAATGATGAAAAGAACCGCTTTCAGTTTTGCCTTGGGTCCTTGAACTTTTGCAACTTCTCTAATCATTTTTTGTAAGGGTTTTCACGACTTAAGTGAGTTTTGGGGCAAACTAACAATCCTGAAAGCTGTGCACAGTATTGGCTTCCCTTTGAAAATCCTAACTGCAAATGTCTCCATCCAGCTAGTGAACCCCAGGAAGTATGAGGATATGAGGCAGCTTCTTATCAGAGAAATGAGTGGGAGAGCATTTCCTTCTAGTGGCTGTGACAGCAGTGGTAATTCTGGGCTAAAAGGCCATAATGATAACATCCACAAAATGGCACGCTGTTCTCTGAAATGCAAAATGAACATTCCCAAAAATGAAAGACAACCAAGCTGCAAACAGCACAAACAAAACATACGAATTCACAAAACCATGGAGTTGTTTTTTTACTTGTCTTTTTTTTTCTCCACTGCTTGAAAGAACAGTGTCAGAAAGAAGAAATAAGCAGTTTAAATTACGTTTCTTTTCTTTCTCTTCCTTAACAATTCTATGAGAAAGCTACAAGAGGAAAGACAACTCCTATTGCACAAGCCCTGGTTTTGTAAGAGAGGAGAAGTTGATGAATTAGCAGATAATATTCTAAAAAACGAAAATCAAGAGGAAAAATTGAGATCTAGGTAATCCAGGGGCCATGAACATGAGTACAGGGGTGCAGACATCCAGATATTTTCTGTGAGTGAGGGGAAGGAAAGACCTACAATAGTTTGAAGAAAACAATAGAACATATAGGAAGGTTATGAAAGGTATATGTCTCTCCAGGAAGGAGCTAGGGAGGACACAGGAGAGCTCTTTGCAGTTGACTGATTCCAAATAAGCCACTCACACAGGAAGCATCGTGTCCAGGTTTGCTTTCTACTTCTAGATCAGCCATGACCAGCGGAGAACCATCAATCACTCCCACTCACAAAATGAAGTGAGAGTGATTGATTGTTCAAGGCTGAATTAGCCCTGCCTGATTCACAGGAAATCTTAATGGAATCTGGGAGCCCTGAACTGGAAACTTGGGTTTTGGCCTGGAAACAGACCCTAAACCTTGGGGCTAAGTCCAGGTGTGCCCTAGTCAATCCAAATCCACAACTTTGGGAGGAAAGCATTTGGATACCGTTTCACTTATTGTCTGTTTTATTTTATTTTGAACACTTTTAAGATTTTCTTTCTGAAAAATATGATATAAATAATATGGCCTTTTCTTGTTATTTCTGGATCATATTCTATTATTATTTTCATTAAGAACCTATGTACTTCTCTACCCCAATCTTGATAATAATTGCTCTCTATTTTAAGTATCTATTTTTAGAAAATAGTTCTATTCACAGAAATATGATATAGAAAAGTATACATTTCAATAAATACACACTGAGCTGTGATGAAGTATTCAGCACTTTGCTAGATGTTTATACAGTCAATCCTAATTCAAACATGCTGAAGACTCCTTGCTCATTGCCAGACACAAATTTTCTTACCTATTCACAAATAATGAAAACATTATTTCTCACCTTAAGAGCATTAACATTGCATTGACAAGAATCAATAAAATAAAATAAATTGGTGTATTCCTTTAAATAGTAGAAAACAGAAACTCATATCTCATTCTCATATAACACTATATAATAGCCAACAGGATATTGAGTATGAAACATTATTTATGTATGTAAGTCACACAACTCCCCCCACACACACATGACCTAAAAGAATGAAAAATCCCAGGGTAATAATATTATACCATACAGCCGGTATGAACAAGAATATTGTTATTTCTGATATGTTGCTTCAAAACTATTTAGACCTGCTCTGCTCTGAGCAATCATCTTCTGTACTTGAAAATGAAGCTAGATCCTTTCTTGATTTTAATTATCTTATAATGCATAGGAGTATGTTTAATGTGCTGATATACCACAAGATAATAGACATTTCAACAGACTCCTTTTCCCCTCCTAGATGATTTCCACCTTTCTTTATTATTATTTTTAACTCTGAAGCTCATTTATTTTTGCTGAAATAGTAAATAGTTTAAACACAAGTTTGGTTCTTTAGGCGCTCTCTCCGTTAGGAAGAGGAAATGCTTGAAATTTCTTAAACAGGACAATGGTGACAAGCTATATATGGCCTGAACATGACAATCACTCCTCTCCTCTTGAACCTCTGACCCTTGAGTTTTACAGACCAGCTCGAGCTTGAATCTGAACTCTCTCAAGACCTGGTAAGAACATTTATTTTTAGTGGAGAGCCCCCTCATTCTTGGAATTCCTCCTTTCTCCAAGTCTGACAGAATCTCAGTTTAAGCCTCTGAGGAAATTGTAGGGAAATGTTTGAGAGCAGAATCTTAGTTGCTTGTGGATTGTACTCTTTTTATTAGCAATGGAGGTCCCTCCTTTGTTATTCATTCTATTTAGGTATAACATTACATCCATTTTAGCACACACTTTAAACAGAGAAATAATAAAGAAACTGATGTCAAGCGATTTATCTGATTCAGATTACAGTCTCCACAGACAGCAAGTCCAGTCCAAACTCTAGAGCACATAGGGCTAGCCCAAATTTGCCATGTCTCTAACTAGGTTGTCTGAGGTTGCTCCTTGAGGAGTCAAGTCCGGGATTGAAGTAGTATGAAATGTTTCCCTATCAAACAGACAGGCTTTGACATAGACAAGACACAATAATAAGTCTCTCTTACTTCTAAATATATTCAGCATTCATTTTGGTGCTTCATGAAGACAGTGTATTTAACAAAAATAAGTTTGGGGACCAAACTACTAAGCATACATTGATGTGATAGGCAGCTTGTTTAGGAGGAAATAATGTCGCGTACGGAGTGCCTGAGCATGTCTTCAGGTCTGATTCAGTTGGAAAGAAAAGAAAGTCCTGTATTCCAGGAGTTGGCAGATGCATAGGGCATGATGTAAGGTTCCCTGAGCTTCAAATCACTTGCATCTCTGCCTGGCTTTTCCACATGAAATGCTTGCCATTTGTTTAATTAAAAGCTTCTTTAAATATATTACAATACAGAGCACTGAAGGAAGAAAACATACTCACTTTGTTCTTCCATTCACCTTGATAATTTGACACCATACTAACTAGCCAAGAGACCTGAGAGCAGGGTACCACAGTGAAGACTCAGAAGCCAAGTGCACATTGTTGGTGGAAGGGTAAGGAAGTTTCACGGCATGTGCTTCTGTCAGAAAACACAGCAGTCATCATAGGAGTGCCTCTACCCCAGAAGAGAGGTATTGAAATGTAAATGAAAGAAATAGGCAGAATAACTTTTCTAGAGTTATAAAATACCATATTTTTAAAATTTACACATTAGATATAAAAATTAGACAATTTTTTTTCTTTTGGCTAGGATCTAGTTATTCTCATTTTGTTTCTGTGATTATCAGCTGGTCCACTTATCCCCGTTTTGTTTCTTGTTAGACCCCCAATTGCATACTGAGATTATGGATGTAGGAACAATCTGTTTACCTATCACACTTCCGCTCAAGGAGTCTACCATATTTCTGCCCCAAATCCTATCCTAAAGATGATGTTTACCACACATCTTTCAGCAATACTCTCCTGTTCCACAGGTTGCCACTGAGATTCACAGTCTAGGAGGTGGTTAGGTGATACTTTTACAAAAAATAAATAGATAAGGCTGAGAAGGTTGTGCAATTGTAGGACAAGCTAGAAGATTTGGGAGCTGGAAAATGGTGATTTTAGAGACATCCCCCCACATTTATTTCTACTTTCAAAGATTTTGTCTACCAAATAAGTATATTAATGTAAAGAACTGTGGAATGAGAGCAGAGATATAACTAGAAAAATAGTACCTTTGAAACAATTCAATTGTAAAGACAAGGAAGGTCACCCAAATAATGTCTATGGTGTCCACTGAAGTACTGATAGAGCATTTGTGATGAAAGACTTTCTGTTTCCAGGCAAAATGTGATTATAAAGCATCTCTTTTAATTTTTATTGTTCAGCATTTGTCGAAACACAAGTCCAGATTTGAGAGTGACTTCATCTTGGGAATGGTTTCATCTGGGATCATCAGTGAATAAGGACCAGTTAGCTTAAAAGTAGGGTCAGAAGCCTTGAATCCTAGGGAGTATGAGGTGCAAACTTAATAGAAAAAATGTTCTCTCTGAGCTATGTTTAAAACCATACAGAGGAAGACTGTGGTGCCTGGATTATGAATAAATGTCAGAGAGAAAGAATCCTACCACAAACACCTTCAACCATATTTTGCTATATCAAATGTCAAAGTTAATGTCCCAATACAGTATGCTAAATGAATTCTATCTGAACATTAGTGGTGTGTGTTCCTGAGCCAGTATGAGAGAGAGAGAGAGAGAGAGAGAGAGAGAGAGAGAGAGAGAGAAAGGGAGAGAGAAAGAAAAAGAAGAAGGAAGAGGAAGAGGAGGAGGAAGAGAAAGAGGAAAATAAGGAGAAAAGAGGAAATAAAATAAGAGGCAGTTAGTCCCTTTTAATTAAGAGATCAGATTTTTTGTGTCCATGTGTCACCACTTAAGAGCATATGATGATCATTTAAAAGAGTACTCGATTGTGATGAGACAGATGCAACAGGGATATGTGGCATGCACAAGACAGCATGGTGTCATGAAAATGACAAAAATAGTGACTGGTGTTGTGACTCATTCACATTATAAAAGCAATAAAACCCTTGGTGTATTAGCACCCTAGAGGCTATTTCACTTTTTATTATTATTATGAAACAAGGCCTTTATTTGTAGCTGGGCAGCAGCACCTCTTTGTGGTTACAGTGCCATGGACTTAATGGCATGCTTACAGAATTCTACCTTCAATTGGTTCTATAAATACAGCCATGGTTTGGAGTATATATAGCTTTTATAAACACATATGTGATAATCTTTATTATCAATCCACATCTTATTTTCCCCTTTCTTTAGACTTTAGCTTGATGACAATGATGGATATGAATTCCAACGTGTTAGTTTCCTAATTTTTTTTCTTAGCCTAAAATAAATATATATTTAAAGTACTTTCCTCCTTAGGCAATGTGTTTCTCATTTGCTGTGACACTAAGTGTGTAGGTATGGCTGACCGCTAACCTGACATGTGCCTGTCACCAGGGACTGCTGGTTCTTTCATCTTCTTAATGGACATTTCTCTACAGATGTCTGTGGCCTACCTGACTATAATCCTTTAAATTTTAATTCACTTTACATTTAGCCTGGTCATAAATACCATTTAGGTACCAATACTCTGCTTTATACAATCCCTAAGGTAGTGCTTTTATTTTAATGAGGCCATTTGCAACTTAAGAGCAAAAAAAATTCCATCTTTGATTGAATATATTTGTCAGTTTTATTCCCGATTGGCATTTTCATGGGAAAACTTGGATAAAACTAAGGGATGGCTGCTTACCAAGTGGGATAAAAGTTTCAGTATGTTTCTACTTTCAAAATTAACTGAATAAATAGTCTTTGAAATTCATTTTGAAAACATTAAAGTAAATCATGGCTATAATCAAAAGTAAAATTCAGAATTAAGTTTGTTACAAATGAAATTTCCACTAGCATTTTCTTTTCTACTTGAAAGGAAAAAATAAAGTGAGACCCCAGTTAATAAACTGTCCAGGTAACTAATGGGCCAGCATAAAAATACATGGAAGTTAATGTAGTAGAATTCATGCAAATAGTGGCTAATGATAAATTTTGTGATTTTGTCATCCCATTTTTATTTCAGTGCTAGTCTTTTTACAAGTAGCACAGTATCCACCCCCCTCTCCCCAACCCCACAGCATTTAGGAGCAGGTAAATTGCTACTGATTTTTTAGTTGATTTATAGTTTGGTATGAAAGACACTTTTTTCAAAAATCTCTAAGGATGATATGCATAGTTATCTCTGATCTTGGAGCAAGCTCTCTGCTCTAGTCCACATGCTCTCCTGAGTGTTATTTACAGATGCCCTCTATATTCACAGAAACTAATTTCTATGTATATGACATCATAAATATTGTATTAGAATTTTGCTGTGCATAAGTTAGTGATAATTGTGTAGTTTTATTTGGGGATGGGGACAACAGACAAATGTTTAATTTGAAAAACAACAATATTGAAATATTTTCTCAATATGGAAATAAGACCCTGACTATTTAAAATGCTGTCATAAGTACATTTTTTTGGTTATGAATTTAATAACCCTTTTCTCATTTAGAAAAAAAAAAAGTGCAGCTCGCTGCCAGTGATTATTTAATTTTACATAAATACCTTCTTTGAGGCTGAAGTAAATCTGACTGATTTTCAGTGTGAAAATAAAATATAAAAACTGTTTTTGGAGTTATTTCTAAACAGAACTAACATCAGAATTATATGAATCATCAGAATTCTCTATTTCACAAAATTCAGATTTGTCAAATAAATCCCTGCCTAACAACTGCTCGAGAAGGATGTTAACATCACGCATAGGAATGTCACGGTTTCTAGGTTTTGACATTTTCAATGATTAAGAATTACTATATTTTGTAAATGGAAATACCATCACTAAAAACAGAATGCTATAAGTAGAATGATGTCTTTTGTTTCCAAAGTTGATATACTAGAGCGATGCAAAAATAATGATAAAAGTGACATATTTCATGGCAAAGTTATCTAGGGGTAAATGCTGCAGCTGCAAGAACTGCCAGTGAGAGGCAAGTATTCTTGGTGCAAATGGGGAAAGGGTTTTGTTAGATTTTGTTTTCCATCTTTGGTTTACAGTATTCCTTAGATAAAATCATGGCAGTTATTTTCTTAAATAAGATGAATGGTAGTTCACCATTTAGAACAACAGAATAATACTTTGTACAGAGGGTTTCACTTTCTTCTTTCATTTAATCATTTCATCCAATTTTAAAATATCATAATTATTTGACAAATATAAAAAGGAAGGTTACATAAATTTTAAATATCACATAGTAAGATATGAAACTGGATTTCAAATCCACATAAATCAGAATTCTAACATTTTAAATTTAGTCTTCTACACTGCCTCTCCACTGTCTGCTAAGTATATTTTTTGTTTGTTTTAGTTTTTAAAAAAATATTTTAAAAAAGCTAGTATCTTAATAGGACTAAGCCAAGACCAAGTTTGCAAGCTGACATTCTAACATATCTTTAGTAATCTTTTTTATCAAAGGCACTGTATCTTTCAGAGGAAACCTATACCAGATGAAGTTGAGAAACAGGAGTGAACATTTTAGCTATTGTCTATGTAATTTGTTCCCAGATTTGAATATTTTCATTCTTAAAAATCATTTGCATGAATGAAACTCACAAAAAATGTGAATTATGAGTCTAAATAATATTTTATACCAAAGTGGGGCTTTTATAAAAGAAAATGGCACCACTATTGTCTCCTAATACACGGTGACACAAATGTTTCAACATTCTATGAGAAGAAGCTTTAGTATTTTATTGTTTTATCAAGTAATTAAACCACTCAAGAGACTGTGCTTGCATTGAGAAACAATTGAATTTGTCATGGTAATCCAGGATGTCAATTACAAACTGATACATGGTAAATTTATGAGGAAATAAAGAAAGTTCTATAAAAATAAATGTATCCATAAGTTACTTTTTAGATTTGGGAATCCTGATACTCAAAAACCTATTTCCTATTCACTGTTACCTTCTTGCTTTTCCTTCTTTCTTCCTCTCCCTCCTTTCCTTTCCTCCATCCCTTCCTCCCTCCCTCTCTCTCCCTCCCTTCCTCCCTCATCCCTTCCTTCACTTCCTTTCTTTCTTCCTTCTTTCCTTCCTTCCTTCTTTTCTCCCTTTCTTCCTTCCTCCCTCTCTCCCTTCTCTCCCTCCCTCCCTCCTACCTTCCTTCCTTCCTCCCTCCATCCCCTCCTTCCCTTTCTTCTTTCCTCCCTCCCTCCCTTCCCTTCTTCCTTCCTTCCTCCCTCCCTCCCTTCCCTTCTTCCTTCCTTCCTTCCCCCTCCTTCCTTTCTCCCTCCCTCCATCCCTCCATCCCCTCCCTCCCTTCCTTCCTTCTTTCCTTCTTTCCTTCCTTCCTTCCTTCATTTCATCCTTCCTTCCTCTCTCCCTCCTTCCCTTCACTCCTCCCTTCCTTTCTTTCTCCCTTCCTCCCTTCCTTCCTTGTGCTAGCAGTTAGGATTTAATCTAACTACCTCTAATGTTAAAAAACAAACAAACAAGAAAGAGTGATGCCAAGACTCTTTGAAAGGCTTATATTTTTAATGAGTAAAAATACAACAAGCAAATTTTTTTTTAAAGATCCAAGAGTCCTTTTCTTCTTGGAGTCTGAATAAAATCTTAGATCATAATTTTGTAGAACCAAACCAAGAGGCTTGGTTAATATATTGAAGACTCAGCATACTCCTGGATACGTTTAAAAATGTGTTCATTTTCATAAACTAAAGGCAAAAGGTTTGAAGTGTACTTATTTTCTACATAATGTATAGTAAGAATAATATCAAATATTTACTGAGCATTCACTATTTGCCAGGCATTGTGCTAAATGCTTTTTTAAATTGTCTCATTGATGCCTTGCAACTTTCATGATTGACATGTTTCTACATCATGTTTAATGTAGATGCCTTATCATTAAGATATAGAGAAATTAAATGACAATAATTATCTGTGTTTCCATTAAATTGCAAAGCCAAGATTATATCTCATGTTTCTGTGTCTTATTTCAATAATCCAAAAGTTGTGTATAGTCATGACTCCATACAAATTTTCCTAAGTAAAAGGAAGTTCTGGGCTCTACTCTCACCATTGCCATACCTGCCTATTGATATCTGTTAGGTACTCAGGAGGAACCAGGCATCAATTGATGTATTTCTTATTTCTTAGTAGATATCTCAAAAGCGACATTTCCAACATTTTATGGATTAAACACTAAGCTATTGATATGTGTGTGGTTTCAAAAAAAATCCTTTACTTCTCATTGTCTTTCCCATTCCAGTTGCTACGCAGACACTCTTATGCTTGGCTCTTCCTTCTCTTTTACACTATGTATTCAATCCATCAGGAAATAATGTTAACAGTACCTTTGAAACCCATGCATAACGCAGCTACTTTTCGTCAGCTAGACCACAGCCTAAGATCTAACACACCATCTTCTCTCACTCAAATGACTACAATCACTGCCTAAATCACTCTTGTTGCTCCTTGTCCCCTTCAATCTATTCATACAGCAGCCAGAAAGATCATTTTGAAACCTGACACACCATGCACTCCTCTTTTCAAAATCTTCCCCTGCTTTCTGTATCACACAGGAAAAACCCTCATATCCTTACTCTGCTCTCAAGTCTCCAAATCACAGATGCCTGCTCACTTCTCTCACTCCACTCTACCAACACTCTGACCTATTGCCTGATCTTTGATGACACCAGACAAGCTCCTGCCTCAGGGCCTTTGCACTTTCTGCTTCCCCTGTCTGGAAAGCTCTTCCTCTGGGACACATATGACTGGCTCTTTTATTTTCTCTGTTGTGTTAGGTAAATGCCACCATTTCAGTGAGTCCTTCTTTACCCTCATCCCTGACTCTTTCTATCCTCTTTCCTTGCTTTATTTCAGGAGTTGGCAAACTTTGACTAGCAGGCCAAATCTTGACTGCTGCCTATTTTTATAAAGTTTTGTTGGAACACAGCCACTCTCATTTATTTACATTTAGTCTATGCTTGCTTCTGTGCTACAAAGACAGAGGCGAGTAGTTGTGAAATGGACCGTGTAGCCCCCAAAGCCTAAAATGTTTATTATCTATTGCTATTGAAGATTTTGCCAATCTCTGCATTTTTTTATTGCTATGTAGCACACGATGCATTTTATTTGTTTATCTCATTATTGTCTGTCTCTTTGTACTTGAATGTAAACTCCTCCAGTACAGGAGTTTCCAACATTGTTTATTGTGGTACCCCCAGCACCTACAACAATGTGGAGAGAGCATATAGGGTGTTCAATAAATATTTGTGAATGCATGAAGAAATTTACTGGCTGACATATTTTGACTCTATACACTCATCTCATGTCTCTTAAAGATGTCAATGTTCTCTATAGCAACTCTCTGAGATATCTTAATCTAAAAAAGAAAACTTCATCTTGCTAATGACAGTAATATTTATGGCGATGCGGTGATTGCCGGCCATCAGTTTTGGATTTAGTTTTGTTCATAAAGATAACCTTACTCCACAGGAATTTGGATTTTAAAAATTATACTCATGAACAAATTTGATAAGAAAATGTGCTGTGTGTAACATCGTAGAACAGTGAGGATAGAAGGTATGGGATATATTCTTTCTGTATTCATTATTTAAAAAAAAATTTGAAAGATCTTATGAGGTCTTTAAAAATTCCTCATTGAAACATACACCTGAAGTGTTATGGTTTATTCAGAGGAGTCCAGAATCTAAAATCAGAAGTGGGGTTAGAGCCCTGGCTCTATCATGTACCAGCTATACGAACCTGAGGTGGAGATTATGAAAATATCCATCTTACAGGGTTATTTTGAGCATTAAATGAGATGAATATAATTTAACTTATTGTACAATAAATATTCAGTAAATGTAAGCTTCATCTGGAAACTCTGAGCTAAGTTTATTTAAAAAACAACAAATGTTATAACTTTATGGGCTACCACTACTCCAGGAAAAAATACCTGATGTGCATAAAATTGACTTTGTGCTTTTCTCACCATTGGTTCAGTGTTTGTTTTTTTCCTGCATATTTCTCAACGTGGTTTCATAGAAATTTGAAGTGAGCTGACTTAAATTGGCTCATATTTTCCACTGACTAGCTGTGTAGCCTTAAGCGAGCTATTTAATATCCTTGAGATTCAATTTCTCCTCATCCTCCTTACCTAAAATGAGGATGATAATAATACCTACCTAACAGTGCTCTTATGAGGATTAAAGGATTACGTATGTAAAGTACTTAGCAGGGCATCTAGCATATTTTAAGTTCTTAGATTCCAATTCATCAAGGTTCTCCTCTGTCTCTCCTTTTAAGCCTTGCTTCCCATGGTCAGTCAATCATATAGGGTATGGTTATGCTAATTTTCAGGTTTCCTCGAAAATTTATTAAAAAATCTACTAAAGAATATGGCAGAATTTGTAATACTCTATGTCCAAGATATTTACATTTTACTGGTTTTGAAATCACCTTCCTCCTACACACACACACACACACAGACACACAAACACACGCACACGAAAACTTAAAGAAATTTGTCTTTGGTAATAAGCTCAAGACCCCCCTTCCAAGAAAAAAAGAGCAGAAAATCTTTTTCTAATCTTTCAAATCATGCCATGTAGATACTATGTAATTATCCTAGTTTTGACATAGTTGTTCCCTTTAAATATATCTGTACTAACATCCTGTCTTGCCCCTAGTATCAATTCAGTCTATAGATATTTTGGAGGGGAGGGGAGAAAAAATGTGTAGGTTTCTTTTGTTTTATTCTCTGAATTGGAAAAGTAGTTGTGTTACTGTAAAAATCTGACATGCAGCTCAAGAAGAAAAAGGTGTCTGTTCCCATAACTCTACTCTGAGCTCTGACAGTCAGTGTAAGTCTGCCTTTTTTAGCATTGAAATTCACCATCTTTTTTTTTTCTATTTGTTTCCTTTACTGCTGCTGTGTACAGGCGGAATGAGTAAAGCTCTTCCCACATTGCATCTGAAAGTTCTTTCCTGCCATACCTAGCCACTTAAAGAAGCATTTCTCTGTTTATTAGTTTCTCTCTTGCTCATTATTTTACCTTTATCTACATTCTTCTGCATTTCATCTGTGTCTTTGATCAGACTGTACTCTGACCTATTTCTAGCTTGAAAAGGTTTTATTCACAGAATTTTCCCACCTATCCTAACCTTTCTCAGAGTCAGTTATTTTTCCAAAGGGTCAACAGCTATGGAATTCCCTATGCTAACTTCAAATAGTGACCTCTTTAAATAAACATTGCTAAAAGGAGTTGTTCAAAGACGATTGTGTGGTCTAAATAAAGCTGGGTTTAGTCAACCTTGTGAAGCAGTTGCAGTTTATCTTCCTCTTCCTTCTCTTCTATAAGAATATGACTATCCTATATTTCATTATCTTAGAGCTTGGCTTTAGCTGGTTGACATCAATGCTTAAACATTCAGTTAATATGGGTCTTCATAGTCTTCATTCCCAACTCTCTCTCTGTCATTACTAGCATTTTCACTTACCTTATTTTAAGAATTGAAACATATTTTTAAAAATATAATTTAACATCTTTGAAATTGGGATAAATTTTAGAGTTGATGATCTGCCATGGTTAAATTGGTAATATATTTTTTCTTTAGTTGTACATATAATAGTGACAGGTTTTATAATTGATGACATCTTAGATTCAATGAAGTCAGAACTAAGTAAGCCCTAGAAAGCACAAGACATTGATTGGTGGGAGTCAATCCCTAATAGTGGAATTTCAGGCACAATTGAATCTTAATGGGAATGTTAATTTTGGCCAGGGAGAAACACCCTTACTTTCTCCAGACTCTATTCTGCAGGTGACTGCTGACTTCAGCTATAAACCAGCTGGCCCTAACTCCAAAAGAAGCAACTCAGAACTTAACTGATGCAAGCAGCTTGCATTGCAGGGATGGAAAGGCTGACATTATTTTCATAGGAAAAGTTTCTGCTATTTAGGAAAATGCTAAAATAGTTAAAAGGAACGTAAATAAAGAGGAAGAATGAGTATAGAGTGTGTTCCAGGGGGACTCGCTCTGCTTAGTTTAGCAACAGGTCAGCAGGATTTGTAAAACCTTTTAAATGAAAAGCTATACAGAGCTTTACACTTATTCCTAGCATTAATTCTTTCTTCCCTATGACTATTGCATGAAATTTCTCTTCACAAAGTAGAAGTGTGACACTTTGTCAATGTAAATGGGATAAAATAACATGCACAATCTGTTCAGTTTTTTGTCATTAAACAACTTGATTTAATCATCATATAGCCTGTGTCCTCTACTTATTTTCTAGTTGTTCATTCATGATTTGGACATCTAGGAGAAATATTTCATGATTGGAAATCTAGGAGAAATATTTGGAAATCTAGGAGAAATAATGAGATAAACAAATAAAATGCCTCGTGCTACATAGCAATAAAAAATGCAGAGGTTGGCAAAATCTTCAATAGCAATAGATAGTAAACATTTTTGTGCAAAAGTGACACTGCTATGTCTTCCATCTGACATGGGTTTGACTGGCCATGTACCTTCAGAAATCGTTGGGCTCTAGGGACTATGTGCTTGCCATAGGAAGAATTTGCCATTAGAGCGTAATCTTGTAAATTAGCAGCAGAACAGAAGCCCACTTCTCTTCCCGGTAAATTCTGTAGTCAGAAGACAAAAAAAAAAGTTATTTTTTTCTAAAATTATAACCATATATTTCTACCAAAATATAAGTAATTTATATTATTCTATTAGTCAATTATTGTATTGCTATAAAGAAATAACTGAGACTGGGTAATTTATAAAAAAAAGAGGTTTGTTTTGGCTCACAGTCCTGCTGGCTATACAGGAAGCATAGGACCAGCATCTGCATCTGGTGAGGGCCTCAGGAAGCTTCTAATTATGGCAGAAGGTAAAGGGGGATACAGTTATGTCACATGGTAAGAGTGAGAGCAAGGGAGAGGGAGGAATTTCCAGGCTCTTATAAATAACCAGATCTCGTGTGAACTCATAGAGTGAGAACACACTCATTACCATGAGGACAGCAGCAAATTATTCATGAGGGATCCACTATCATAACCAAACATGTCCCACCAGGCCCCACCTCCAACACTGATGATCACATTTCCACATGAGATTTGGAGGGGACAAATATCCAAACCATATCAATTATTAAAGTTTAATTATTTAAAATCATGAATCAAAATTAGAATATAGGTTAAACTGTACGCTGTTACTTTCCAGACAATCATAAAATATTTATTAATCTTATCTCAGAGATGAGGTCAACATTCCCTGAATTTTTAAATCTTCCCCAATTATTTCTGCTGAGGTTGATTGATGGACCACATTTGGATATGATTAGACTTGACGTTTATGGTTCCTTTGATTTTTTTTTTTCAGATCTGAAAATATCTTTTTTTTTTTAGGAAAAAGATTCCAGGCAGGTTAAAAATTAACAATAGAGGGTATCGATGCAGAATTGTAGTCATTCTAAGCATTCAAGAAATACGGGAATATAAATATCTGGAAACCGGCTCTTAGTTTTCAAAACAAAAGGTGTAAGTCATTCCTAACTAATCTGAGCTTTATAGCATTTTCCTAGATAGGAAGGGGAAAAACAGTTAACATTTGAAAGTCCTGAAAGCTTTTTCTTTGGTTCATTACGTTAGACTGTTTACCTTTGATCAAATTCCTTCTTTTTTATTATTATTTTTTTACTTTTTTGAAACGAAGTCTTGCTCTGTCACCCAGGCTGGAGTTCAGTGGTGCCATCTTCGCTTTCTGCAACCTTCGCCTCCTGGGTTCAAGAGATACTCCTGCCTCAGTCTCCCGAGTAGCTGGGACTACAGGCGCATGCCACGACGCCTGCATAATTTTTTGTATTTTTAGTGGAGATGGGATTTCGCCATGTTGGCCAGGCTGGTCTCGAACTCCTGACCTCAGGTGATCCACCCACCTCGGCCTCCCAAAGTGCTTGGATTACAGGTGTCAACCACCTTGCATGGCCAAATTTCTTCTTTTTTAAACACAGATAAAAATATTATACAGGTCCACTGTTAAAATAGACAACATGTTGCAAATTAATTTGATATGTATTCCAAAAAAGCTTAGAAAATAAAGGTGTTAAAGTTGCTTTGGACTAAGTTTAATAGTCATCTCCTCTGCTGACAACTTCTTTACATGTTGGATGCAACACTATGGTATGTTCAAACTGCACTGTGTATGATCCTTTACTGTCACACAATGGTGGATACAATTTCCAAGTCACAGATTCTTCAGAGCCATCAAGAATTTCCTTTCTCCCAAGCAATCCAGCCATCTGTGGCAGAAGGTGAGGGTGCCAAAATTTTCACTGATGACATTTAACAATTATTTTGTTTAGAAACCTTACTGGTACATGTCCAACATCAAAATTTTTCATGTAATATGAACATCCCATATCATCATATCTTTTCCTGTACTATCAATGGTTTCAATTGCATACACTTCCTTTCCTCCATTCTTGTTGCTTCTCCTCCTTTCGGAATGGACACTGTTTTTCCAGCATGTATTCTATATTTCCCGATTGAATGTCCATTTAGGTTATGGATTGGTTTCACCTGTTGTGTCTTCCCATCTATTTCAACTTCATAGGACTCCATAAATTTTTGGATGGACTCACCAACATCACACAGATGAACATCAATTCCAGCACACTTCATTCCAGTAGTAGCAGCATCTTTTACAGCTTTTAATCATGTATCATAATTGGGATTAAAAGTGACAGTAAGACCACAGTCAGTAGTCAATATTCCTACCACTTATACCGATTCCAAAATCTATTTTACAGATGTTATCTTACTGTAATACTGTTGTGTCACCAGCAATGGGAGTATAATGGGCAGCACAATTATTGTGAGAACTTCCAGCAGGAAATGCCAGGCATGCATTTAATCCATTTTCATTTATTAGATTGTGTGAACAGTTTTCCAACTTTTCACAGATTTCTATCATCCCAGGCTTGATCCAGCTCATTACATATATTCTCACTTGTCAATGTGCTTCTGCAGCTTCTCAAAAATCATTCCAAATCTCTTCCCTAGCCTGATCTAACACTTTCTTTTCTTCACTCATAATTCTCCATCCATCTTGTGTGTGTGGGTATTCACTTTCTTGTCCTTTGGGAAATACACGACTAGGATACAGCCACATATTGGAACTGAGGGAGGGAGGGTCTGTTGGAATTTTGGTTGTTTCTTCTTCCTCCTCTTCTTCTTCTTCTTCCTCTTCCTCTTCCTCCTCCTCCTTGTTCTTCTTCCTCTTCTTCCTCTTCTTCCTCCTCCTCCTCTTCTTCTTCTTCCTTTTCTTCTTCTTCTTCCTCCTCCTCCTCTTTTCCTTCTTCTTTTTCCTCTTTTCCTTCTTCTTTCTAGTTGCTCCATCTCCATCACCATCTCCGTCTCATCATCATCATCTCTTTCTTTCTTTTCCAATGCTTGTCTTTCCAGTTGTCTTGCTCCTTCATCCACTGAGGCTCTTAATCCTTTATCAGTTTCCTGCTGCCCTGCTGCAGCCCCTTTACTCTTCTTTTTCCTCCATCTGTTTTTCTTGGCTTCTTCCTCAGTTGTAGAGGCAGCTTCCTCCTCCCTTTCATCTGGATCCAGGTTGCCATTCATGTAGCTCCCAAAGGTCGCTGCCTCCTCCATGCCTGCCATGTTGCCTGAAAGGTTCCTCTGAATTTTAAGAGTAAATATTTTCTAATCACTTGAATTTAATATTGTCTCTAAGTGTATCCTCTATATTCTAAGATTTGATGCAATGTACAAAGAACCTCTTGGTTGAATGAGAAACATTCTAGTACCTTTCACTTAACTTTGAAAATCAATGTTAGCCTATTATGCAAGTTTTGGTGACAGTATATCTTTCTACCAACAAACCAGAACTTAACACTTCTCTCTGCGAATTCGAAGTTATGGTTGTTCATGCTAAAAGAAAGCAAAGTGCTAGAATAATAATTTAAAACCCCCTTTTAGTTAAATTCTCTCGGTTTACTTAGTATTTTTCTCTTACAATAGACTCAGGGAACTAAATCCCTAAGTTGTTGTTGAAATCTTCTTTTTAAAAACATGTAACACTTTGCATTAATTATAGTTACACAAACAGTATAGTATTTTCTACACATGCAGTCTAAACCTTAGGTTGATTGGACAAGACCTTTGAGAAATGTTTAGCTGAGTCACAGTTATTTACAGGAACCTAAACCTAAGAAGACTTGAACCCATTTTTAAAAAATTTGTGTTAGCGTCACCAAATATTTCTTTCTGGGTGGTCCAGGATCACATTTTCTCCTCAGGTACGTTAGCTGTTCGGTGTTGGCTAACACCAATCAGCATCTAGGGTCAACAGAAGGAATTAAGTAATGCATAAAATAAAGAAGTAGTTTCCAAAAGTTGCCATAACCACCATCTATGCCTTGTCTTAACATATATCTGTCTTCTCTGTGTACTACTGATTTCACCCACACATTCGGTTATTTTAATCTCTTGCCTTCTCAGACTACCATGGTCTTCACATTTGTAGCTTGTCCCCTCTCTTTTAGATTCCATTTGATCTGGTTGTGTAGAAAACCTAAGTTAGTAATGTAAACCAGAAGATCCAGGTAAAATCTCACCAGCCAACCAGCCTCTGCATTTAAAAATTTGACATTTATGCTTTCAGTTATGACATTCTGTTGCTTTCACTTACAAATTCTGCAACAATTCCTAGAGATTTTCAAATTTATCAAAAAAAATACCCAACAATTAGTCAACAATGTGAATCATGAGCAACATTCTTTATTAAAACTAAATAGGCCAGGTATGGTGGCTTAAATCCATAATCCCAACACTTTGAAAGGTCGAGGAGGGCAGATCTCTTGAGCTCAGGAGTTCAAGACAAGCTTGGGAAACATGGTGAAAATCCATCTCTACAAAAAATACAAAAATTAGCTGGGCATGGTGGCATGTGCCTATAGTCCCAGCTACCCAGGATGCTGAGGTGGGAGAATCACTTGAGCTTGGGAGTTGGAGACAGCAGTGAGCTGAGATCGCACCACTGCACTCCAGCCTGGGTGATAAGAACCAGAATCTGACTCAAAATTAAAAATTAAAAAAAAAAAACTAAATTTACAGAAATTACAGTCTAAGTAATATACACAGCACTATAAAGATAAAAAAATTCATTTGAGGCCGGGCGCGGTGGCTCATGCCTGTAATCCCAACACTTTGGGAGGCAGAGGCAAGTGGATCACGAGGTCAGGAGATCGAGACCATCCTGGCTAACACGGCGAAACCCCGTCTCTAATAAAAATACAAAAAAAAATTACCCAGGTGTGGTGGCGGGCTCCTGTAGTCCCAGCTATTCAGGAGGCTAAGGCAGGAGAACGGCGTGAACCTGGAAGGCAGAGTTTGCAGTGAGCCGAGATCACGCCACTGCACTCCAGCCTGGGTGACAGAGCGAGACTCCGTCTCAAAAAAAAAAAAAAAAATTCATTTGAATGTCACCTTCTAGGACTTACCAACTAATTCAATATATTTTTAAAAGAGTTCTCATGTTCATTTGTATTTGATCACTAATTTCACAATATACAAAGAAGACTATTGATTCATCAAGAATCTAAGGCCTTTGAGCACAATTTTTAATTCTTCTCAAAATATTTTCTCCTCCAGTCTTAATGACATCTGGTTTCTGCTCCAGGATATGGAAACCTAGAAGGAGTATTTCTTCTACACTTATAGAAACAAAAAGGCTAGAAAAATAGTAAACCCACAACTTTTCTTGGACCCATTCAAAAGTTGAGATTACAACACAACCAACTAACCAGAAAACTGGGGAGAGACAGGTGCCTACAGGGAGAGACAGGATATATGCATTTGCTTTGCTAAGGTGGATGTCACCTGGACACCACTAAGTGTTCAGAATAACTGATAAATTGGAGGCAGAGTGCAGAGTGCAGACTGGTAGAGAGGGTGAAGCCTCTGAGGTCCACAGATATGGGAGAAGGAGACTCCCACACACCAGCATTCTTTTTATCCATGAAGCCCACTAGGTGTTAACAGGAAGGTATGGGGGTGAGGGGATCAGAGAAGTGAATCCAGAGACAACTTCTTTTATGTAGGACTGGTGGACAGGAAGAGCAGGCATAAAAAATGAGCTGGAGGTATGGGGGTTAGAGGATCGGAAAGGTGAGTCAAGAGACAGCTTCTTTTATTTAGGACTGGTGGACAGGAAAAGCAGGCATGAAAAATGAGCTGGAGGTAATGCTCCTGTATGGAACCAAAGCCTTAATCTCCCGGAAAAACACAGGGCATAAGGCACTGATGTTAACCTATGGCACCTGACAAAGATAACAAGAAAAACAAAAGGAGCAGAACTATGTTCTTAGCAAGAACTATAGCTGGAAAAAGAGCAGTAACACTTTGAGGGCCACATCCCTGAGACCCAGAGACTTTTCCCAACTTCACTACCCACCACCAGGCTAAAAAGCACCAAGTAAGGTGATAATGGAGTACTGCTGGTTAAGTTGCAAGTGACAGACACTCTTTGTGGTACAGCACGAAAGGGAAGGTTAATGGGGAAGGTGGAGTAGAAATTGAGAAAAAAATTTTGGGAAGCCTCCATTCCAAACACACAGTATATTGTTAGAGAAATTTGAAGACTGGGGTTTACTAAAGGCAAACATAGCAAAGACAATTTCAACACTGAACAACTCCTGGCTAGATTAACACAATCCTATATACAGAAAAGGTATGCCTATTTAAAAGCCTAAACTCTAAGTACTTGAGTCTATGCTTTCCTATACAAAATACATGGCTTTCTACACACACACACACAACCCCCACAATGTAATCAACAGAACCACCAGATTCAGATATGGTGCAGATGTTGAAACCACCTGACTGAGAATTTCAAATTACTATGATTAATATGTTATACACTCTAAAGAAAAAGGTGGACATATTTAACATTATATAGCCAGTTTTATCAAAAAGAGGGAAAGCAAAAGGAAGAAACAAATCCAAATGGTAGAAATGCATAGCATAGTAATAGATAAAGCATGTATTTGATTGGCTTATTAGTAGACTGGACAGAGTGAAGAAAATATTCAGTGAACTTGAACATAGGTCAATAGGAATTACTTCAACTGAAACACAGAAAAAATAGTGGGAAAAATAAAAACAAACGATAACACAGAAAAAAGCATCCATGAACTGTCAGACGAAATCAAGTAATCTAACAATTGCCTAACTGGAATTCTAGAAGGAGAATCAGGACAGAATGCAGCAGAGAAACATTTGAAACAGAATGGAGCAGAGAAGCATTTGAAAAAAATAATGACCAAGAATTTTTGACATGAATAATAGACACCAACACATAGATCCAGGAAACTCAAAGAACATCAAACAGGGTGAATACTTGCCTTAAGGGATGAGACCTGGTGGGATAGGACAGTAAACACACATAGGTATCATATTATATTATAATATTACATATAATATAATATAATATTATTACATTACATATATTATATATTACATGTAATATAATATAATATAATACTATAGTATTATAGTATATATAATATAATAATATAGTATTATAGTATATATAATATAATATTATATTACATGTAATATATTATATTGACATGTATATTACATTGACATATACATAATCAATATATTACATTGATTATGTAATATATACATGTAATATATTATATTACATATAATATATTACATATAATATTATATTACATATAATATATAATATAATATATTACATTATATTATATGTAATATTATAATTATATATTATATTATATTATACTATATTAAACAATGCTGCAAACAAAAGACAAAAAGAAAACACTTAACACAGACTGAGAGGGAAAAAAGACAAGTTACAGGGAAACAAATATATTATAGCTGATTTCTCATCAAAAACTGAAAAAAATAAAATACTGTCTTTCCATAATTCTTTACCCAGCAAAAATATATTTTGAAAATGAGGTATAAATACAGGCTTTATAAGAGAAACAAAATCAGATAATTCATTTTGAGAAGATCTACGCAACAAGAAATGTTCAAAGAAATTCATCGGGCAGAAGGAATGTGATATCAGATTGAAATGTGAATCTTCTAAGGAAATAAAGAGCACTGCCAAGGGAATAACTGAAAATAAAATAATTTAAAAATTTGCTGTAAAAGATAACTTAATGCCTAAAGAACAATACTAGCAACATATTGTGTTTATGGAGTGTTTAAAAGAATATGTATGACCTCAATAGCTCAAAGAATGGGGAAAAAGAATTGGACATACACAGTTATGAGGTCCTTAAACCGCTTGTCAAATAGTACATGATTTTATTTAAAATAAGATTCTGATTAATTGAAAGTATATATTGAAAGTATGGATCACTGGACTATGAAAAAGTACAAATAATTTAATAACGGAGATAAAATTGATTATTATAAAATGTATTATTAACACAAGATACATCAGAAAAAGAGGGAAAAAATAGCAAAAACAGATAGAACAAATAAAACACAGTGTGGGAAAATGATAGATCTTTATCTCCTAGGCTTTTTATTGTTGTTCCTCTAGAGTCACTCTGAAAAATCTTAATTCATATACATAAATACAGTAATTTGTGAATAATCTTACTGGGAAGCAAGAGGCATTTGTAATATGGGTAAGCTGTGTTTTCCCTGCAGGAAACTTCCGGTTTTCTTTATAAAAAAGCTTGTGGTTTTATCCTTACAAAAACATACACGTGAATACAATCATTAATTCATCAAGTATTCGTTGAGCATTTTTTTTTTTTGAGACGGAGTCTCACTCTGTTGCCCATGCTGGAGTGCAGTGTGGAATGCAGTGGCATAATCTCGGCTCACTGCAACCTCCACCTCCCAGGTTCAAGTGATTCTCCTGCCTCAGCCTCCTGAAGCTGGGATTACAGGTGCCCACCACCATGCTAAGCTAATTTTTGTTTTTGTTTTTTTTTTTTTAGTAGAGATAGGGTTTCACCAGGTCGGCCAGGCTGGCCTCGAACTCCTGACCTCTGGTGATCCACCTGCCTTGGCCTCCCAAAGTGCTGGGATTACAAGCCTGAGCCACCACACCCAGCCGATCATCTTCTTTATGTTAAGGATTGTGGGTACAATGTTGAACAAAACAGGTACAGATCTAGTAGAGTTCTTCCAGTACTGACAAACTTGTAAGTTCTTGATAGGTCAGTAGCTGTTCCCCAAATTGTCTTCAAAGATCTGTCATTTTAAATGGCTTCTTTGTGATACAATAAATACATTCCTCTAAAAATATTTTATTTTCATGTTTGTTGCACTGCTAAGAATAAAATCTTTGAAATATATCTGTAGTGAAAAAATACAATGGACAATTTCGATTGTCTACTCAACATTCTTTGTCTCCTTACACCTTCCTAAGAGCACCTGGGATGCTCTTCAGGAACACATTCCTCCTTCATACTACCTGGGTGACTCAGGGAAAACTGATTCTGTTTCTAGCTCAGATGCCACCCTTGATCAATCTAAATTATTAATAATAATCTAGTCCCCATTCCACACTCGATCAAGCCAGTGATCGATTCAGGAGCTCAAATTTAATCCAATCAGCAGAGAGCATTCCAGCCTTTGGTTATTTTTATTCTGTGAGTTGACCCAAGACATGATATTGCCCAAACACAGTGGGAGAGAGGCGTTTTATTCCACAAATAGAAGAGTGGCTTTTCCTCTCTCCTACTACATGAAGACTAGGAAACGGGCTGTCCTGGAGGCTACTGACAATCATGTTTTGGCCACAAGAGAGGCCAGCTTGAAAATAAAGTTATACATGTACAAGAGTTGACCTGGAAGAAGCACAGGGGAACTGAGTTTGAGTCCTCATTTTAATTTGCCTTGAGCTTGTTCTCTCTTGGGACTTCCAGTTATGTGAGAGTCACTTAACTCAATAAATATTTATTGAGCACCTACTTTGTGTCAGATATTCTTCTACTAGGAATACAGCATGAACAGTAGAGCTGTGTTCACAGAGCTTATGTTCATGTGAGCACAGAAAATCAGAAGGAAAGTAAATATAGAATAGGTCAGATGTTAAGAAATGCTATTATTTGTTATTTTTGATTGATACTCTATAACTTTTAGTGACTCCAACTAAACACATGGGGTCATTCCCTTTAGCCTCTTTTCTCAGGAATCCTGCCCCCAAATTGCCATCCATTTCACTTTAGCAGCCCTGGATTCTGATCCAGCCCCACTCACCTCATTCAGCTCCTTCTCCCTCTTCTAAGGTTCTAAAATGTTACAGTGGTCCTGATATTCAACACATATTTCTTTTCCCTTTTGGATCACATTTTGTCTGTTGTCCCGTATCTAAAACCACCTGCCTCATGCATTTTTGGTTGGAGGAAAAGTCCAGTACAAATCTCATGAGCAGAAGTGTAAAGAGACCTGAGTTTTCATAGTGAATAGGAGTTTAGAAAGATGAATAATTCACATATAAGAAATCATCTGTATGTAGATATGGAAAGATGAAATATATATAATATATATTTTTTAAGTTGACATATACTATATAGTAATCAGATCAGGGTAATTAGCATATCAATAATCTCAAACATTTATCATTGCTTTGTGTTGGGAACATTCAATATCCTCCTTCAAGCTATTTGAGACTATATAATACATTGTTAACTATAGTCATCCTACAATGTTATAGAACACTAGAATTTATTCCTCCTATCTATCTGTAATTTTATATCCTTTAACAAATCTCTTCCTATTCCTCCTTTTCCCAACCCTTGATGTGAGAGCAACATTTATTTTTTCTTCCACATATGAGTGAGAACATGTAGTCTTTAACTTTCTTTTCCTGGTTCATTTGACTTAACATAATGTCCTCCAGTCCCATCCATGTTGCTCCAAATGATAGGGTTTTTTGTTTGTTTGTTTGTTTTTTTGTTTTTTTTGTTTTTTTTTTTTTTTTGGAGAAGGGGGTCTCACTCTGTTGCTCAGGCTGAGTGTAATGGTGCAATCATAACTCACAAGAGCCTCAAACTCCCAGGCTCAAGTGATCCACTCACCTCAGCCTACTATGTAGCTGGAACCACCAATGCATCATCAAGCCTGGCTAATTTTTTTAATTTCTTGTAGAGATGGGGTCTCGCTTTGTTGCCCAGGCTGTTCTGAAACTCCTGGCCTCAAGTGTTTTTCCTGCCTTGGCCTCCCACATTTCTGGGATTACAGGTGTGAGCCACCATAGTCTGATCTGACCTCATCTTTTTTTTATGGTTGCATAGCATTTTACTGTGTATGTGTGCCACATTTTCTTTATCCATTCATCTGTTATTGGACACCTAGTTTGATTCCACATCTTGGCTATTGTGAATGGTGCTGCAATAAACATGGGAGTACAGATGTCTCCCTGATATAATGATTTCCTTTTCTTTGGATAAATTCCTAGTGGTGGGATTGCTGGATCATATTGTAGTTCTGTTTGTGGTTTTTGAGGGACCTCCATACTATTCATAGTGGCTGTATTAGTTTACATTCCCACCAACAGTGTATAAGAGTTCCCATTTTTTCTATATCCTCACTAGCATTTACTAGTTTTTGTCTTTTTGATAATAGCTACCCTAAGGAGTTAAGTGTGACTTGAAAAGGAGGACAGATTATTTCTAAGAGTTGTAACTGAATACAGATGTGTCTAGAGGGGAAGGCAAAAGTTACGTCATGAAGGGAGGGGTAGCTAAATAAACATATTCTTCCATATCTTCCCTTTCCTAACTTTTCCCTTATTATGTTCACAGTTTCTATTGATTATTTTCACTTGCAGATCCACACTATAATATAAGGTTGCTGAGAATGAAACCATAACTGACTTGCTCACTGTTACATTTCCAGTTTCTGGATCATGGTAGGCACTCAACAGAAAATGTGTTGAATTGGCTATGTCTGTGTATGGTTGTGTACAGGTTAAATGTATTTATATGTATATATATGGGGTTGTTTCATGCATTAAGCAACTTAAAACATTACTGATGGTGTGAAAGTAAAACTTCGGAACTCTTATTAGGTGGGTTATTTTTGAAAGCATATTCATTCTTTCAGGAAAATAATATATTACTAAGTATATTTATTTATTTCATTAAAAGTTTCAAATTTTGGCCTCCACATTAAAACTACCTTGGGGCAAAGGTTCAAATGAATTATAATTAAGTCAAATAAAAACAAGCATAAATGTCCAACATACGTTATATCAGTGGAACACCTATTTTAGAAAATAGCTAGTGTAACTCCCTTGGTAAGTGAGCATCCTGGAGACCACCAAAAAATAACCTTGTGAAGAAATCATAGTTTGTGAAAACAAATGGCTATGGTATTGTGAGAGAGAGGTTTCCACTGAAAAGTAAATTTCATGATTTTTGTCTACCATTGAAAAAGTATTGTTACTTCCCTAGTCAAAATATGTGGTTTTGCCATGTGTTTTCAAACACAATATGAATGTGTGAGGGATATTTCGAAACAGCCACCTGGAACAAACATAGTAAAATGACCAATTAGGAAACACAGAGGCTTCCATGGAAAAAATAATAAATATTTTAATTCTCCCCAAGTTTGCATTTGGAAATATTTGTTAGAGGTTTTATTCACCAAAATAAATAACCAAACTTCTGAGATATCCCACCTCACTTGAACTTAAATATGTTGTGCACATAGTTAAATTTTTACCTAGCTTCTCCAGAGTAACATTTGTAGGTTCCCTGTTTTTTTTTTATGTAAAAGTATTTAGGTTATTGAAACTCAGTCACCTCTCCATCAACTGCACGTGAAATACTCTTCTTGTGAATTATACACAGAACATTTAAATTGCATAAAACTTTATCTTCCACAAATATTTACGGTGCTTTTTACAGGTTGTAAGCACTTAATACAAACTTATTGAGTAAAGGCCTCCCTCATGTCCTTTGTTAAAATAAACATTCTTTTATATTTTGACACAAGAAAAGCCTTGCTAAGCATTTTTCCTGAGAATTTGAGGTAACTGTGTCAAAATCACATGGACAAAATAATTTTCCATAATAAGTTAAACAGGTGAGTTTCTTTCCTTGTTCCTGTAAAGATATTTTCACACTGTGAGGGGACAGAAAGAAGGTTTCAGGATAAAATAATTTAGGAAGATATATTAGAGTTAGAGCTCGGTGAGGGCAAGTGAAATATAATAACCTTAGCTAAATTAAGTAGATATTTTAATGGAGATGTTGGTGAGGAATTACTTACTGGCATAAATGGGACTTTTATAATGCAAAGATAAGAAATGCATCAAGTCCCTTTAGAAAGACTAGAGCCCGGTGTATAGTAATACATAAAAACACCATCAGAACGCAGGGAATGTTTCGTTGCACTCAATGACTTCTTTCTCTCTCTCTTATCTTTTTATCTTTCTTTTTCTGCAGATTGGGTTTCTCTGCTTCTTACTATGTGTGTTAAAGTACACTATGCTACCATCTCAAATTTTTATATCTCTGCTGTGCAAGAGATCCACCCCAACTGAAACTAGAATCTCTTAATTTAATTGATAAATTCTGGTAAAAAGAATCTGATTGGCTCATCCTGAGGCAATTTTCCACCTATATTTTGACTCCTAATGTAATTATTAATTTTGAAGTACTCTATATTTATTTACTTGCCTTATATTTAGTGATTCTATAGGACTCAATTATGAATAACTATTTTATTTTCAATTATGACATGGTTCACCACATTCCTTGCATCATCTACAGCGTAACACAAATGTGTCTTTATCATACAACAATGTTAACTTAAAATGTTTGAGAAACTGGTAATAAATTTATGTCAACAGAGCCATAAAAGCATGAAACTTGGAGGAAGGAAGGCTTGAGTTATTCTATCAGGCAACCATCCCAAAGATCGAGTGAGGACAAAGATAACGTTAAATTGGTAAGTAGAAGGAGAAACAATAAATATCAACTCTAGCATAGTGACTGAACAAAATCATGCACCTTTTCTTCCTTCTTCCTTCAATTAAATTTCCCCTATTATTTTTTATGTGTTAGTGAATGATAAAATTGCAACTTGATTTTTAGAATATATGACCAGATAAGATTGTGACTGAACTAGAAAAGAAATTGATATTGACCTGTGTAAAATATGACAGACAAGGGGACTTCATATCATCCATTTTTGGAAGAGGTGAGAACATTTCCATTTAGACAGTAGATAGTTTTAGCATACTAAGCAGAAGCAGAAACACTGATTATTTTGTGGTATGATAGTTAATTGTGCATAAAAGCATGAAGTGGACACTTCGAAGCATGTACCTTCTTATAGAAGGTATTACTTTAAGAATGCAGAAGCAAAATATCTTTCTATATTTTTGCTCTCATTTAGTGTGGCAGACACTTTAACTATTTGTATAGTTTTTCCTTCACACACACACACACACACACACACACAAATGGTGTCTAGAGTCAAGGGGGCAGTCAAGCAGTTGCTGACTCCAATGAAACAAACCTAAGGCAAATGAAATATAAAGAATGATGGTTCCAAAGAATGGAAAGATCCTGGGTTCTTTGATGAAAAAGTTGAGCAACTAGGCCAGACCTGGGAGAGTTTATTTCTAGACTTCTTAAGGGAGGTAATAAAGCTCAAATTATTTCTGTTATTTTGGGTTGAGAATTTTGTTTCTTGAATCCAAACCTACTCTAAGTTATACAAATAAGTATTCCCTACTCAAACTGGTTTCCACATTGCACTTCTAATTGATAATTACCTTGTTAACGAAACCTTCCCTGACAACCCAATGTATTTAGGAACCTTTATCTGACACTCTCCATAGAAGCTTTATTTATAAGAGCCAAAAACTAGAAAAAAAATCTTTCAAAAAATCGAATGTTTTGAATTACCCAAATTGCCCCTGCCAAAATCATTAACGCTCCTTAATTACAAAGGGAAAAGCAGTACTTTCACAGTGTCTAATGGGAACAGCCCCTTAATCAAGTGATCAAATCCTGGGACCAGTGAGTCTCACATGCTTCCTGGGAAGGGCACACTGTCATTCCTTTGGTGGTCCTGCCACAAATCATGATTAGAATGTAACAATGTGAAACATCAAAGGTATGTAAATTCAATTACAAAATAACCCTTCTGTTCTTCTCAAAAAGATCAAGGTCAAGATACAGACTGAAGGAAAGAGTCGGAAGAGATGGGGCAACAAGCTGCAACAAGTGATCCAGAGTAGACCTTGAGCTGTGGAAAAAACAAATGCAGCACATTTTTAGGATTATTGACACAATTTGAATACAGATTGTGGATTGGATCACAGAGCTATATGTTCCTGTGTGAAGGAATTAATACATTCAATGATATTAATGTAAACAGACACCACATCTCCAAGTTATTGTCAAATGTTTCAGAGCAAACTTTTTTGAAATTGTATGAAAATAAAAGTTAAAACACACACACACAAACACACACACACACAGACATGCCTTAGCTCAAACACCACTTGTCTTTATCTCTCAGTCTGACACAGATGTTTTGTCTCCCACAATGCTCTGTACATGCCACTACCTTAGCATCTTTCATGCTATATGATAATCATTGATTTGTCTCCTTTCCTATGGGAATCAAAACTATTCAAGGACAGAAACTGTCATATTTGATTTTTTTTTTTTTTTTTTTTTTTGAGACGGAGTCTTGCTCTGTCACTCAGGCCGGAGTGCAGTGGCCCAATCTCGGCTCACTGCAAGCTCCGCCTCCCAGGTTCACGCCATTCTCCTGCCTCAGCCTCCCGAGTAGCTGGGACTACAGGTGCCCGCCACCACGCCCAGCTAATTTTTTGTATTTTTAGTAGAGACAGGGTTTCACTGTGTTAGCCAGGATGGTCTTGATCTCCTGACCTTGTGATGTGCCCGCCTTGGCCTCTCAAAGTGCTGGGAATATAGGCGTGAGCCACCCCACCCGGCCCATATTTGATTTTGAATCTTAGGTTACAGCACACAGCTTGTATAGTTGTGAACCTAATAAGTGCTTACAGAGTAAGCACAAATAGATATATACATTTGCAGAAATATACATTCCATGTGGAGAAGGAACACTAATTATTATTAATAAATTAATTTGTAAATCTGCAATATTATGCATTTGTTAAATCATCTGTCTAACTATAATTGAAGGTGAACCTTTGACTAATTTTAGAAGACCCAATGGTCTAAGCTAAAACACTTTTAATATTCAGATTTTTATAAATCTGCACACCAGTGATTCCTTAGATGTATTTGAAAACAGAATAAATGTTATAAACAAAACAAAAAGATGGTGGACAAATCCTAGGACAGCCTACCACTCAAATGTCATTGCTTCAATATCAGTGCATCCCTTAGTAGGAAGAGAAAATAATTCCTTTACCTTTCTGCCTTTTTTAGTTTATATCTCATCGCATCTTTGTCTTGTTTTCTCTTGTCCAGCTTTAGGCACATTACACATAATTTTCTTGTCCCATTAACTAATTTCTGCCAGGTTTGTCTTGTGGGAAAAAATATACTGCGCTCAAATCTTAGTGGTTTTTTTAAATTTTTTACTTTAGGTTTTATAGTTTAGGTCTCTTACTACAAGAAGTAGTATGTTAGAAGAAAATTATGATTCCCCATTCCTGATTTTATCTTCCATGTAGAGGAAGACTTTCTCTCTATCCTTTTCCTCACTTTACCCCAGATGCAGGCACTTCATTTGAGGATTAAAGTCAGCCTACTCTAATAGGTTCCAAGCCTATTCCTCTTGGAAACTTTTTTTCCTTTAAGGAGAAACACAGACTATCTCTACCTCCTGTGGCTGACTTTTCTCTACCAACTTTATTCTGGCTGGGCCCAGGTGAGTAATTCAACCTAAATTCAATGGTGACTAGGTAGGTTCAAATAACTGACTCTAAATAAGGGGCTCTTATCTGATCTTCTAGTAAACAAGGTGTTACTTTGACTTCCTCTGCCATTCCTTTATTTCTCTATTAGCTTTAAGAACTCTGTTGCATGAGAGGGGTGATACTTATTGGATACATCCTTAGACTCCAACACAACAGAATGTGACTGATATTGTACATTTTTAGCTCTAATAAAGTTTGGTGACAGAACCATCCCAACTGATCTTCTATAACTCCTCTAAACAGTATATTGTGGGTTACTTGTTAAGAATGGGCTGCTTTACAGAAAAGGAAGATAAAGAGAAGGATGTCAGTGTCAAGACACATCCAAGTACTAGTGTGAAGCAAATCTACCCAGTTTCTAAATAAAACTAACTTTATTATGGCATTGTCAGATGTTCTTCTTCTTGGTATCTATAGCTGAGAAATTCTCATTATTATCAAGATGCAAATGAGATAAAAGTCCCTGAGGAGAAGCTGTACTTCCAGGCCTTCTTCAGGATTCCTAGAACTATAATATCCCACAAACAGAGTTTTCCATAGTATATTCCCAGAAAGTTTAATATGGATCACATGAAAGTAGTTGGAATACTGGGTTATACAGTATAAATCAGGCTTATCTTTTACAAACTATTATTATATAACTGAATGCTGTAAATCTCTGAGGGATGAAGATGGTATGCACTGTTCCTGTTCACTTTAGAAGTTTCCTCCTAAGAGATTTGTTTCACTTGTAATTACCAGGAATTAAGAGAGTGGCTAACTGACTTGCTGTTTCCAGCAGGAACACATGGCATATATATAACTTTCACTGGAGTGACTTCAGAGCCAGGGTGTCGATCTTGGCTTTACCTAGCTAGGAGTACTATTTTATCAGTTTTCCCAGGAATGGTCAGGCTCTAGAGGACTCATTAATGCTAAATAAGCTTACAGGAAACAGATTTATAAACCAGAATGCCAATTTATTCACTTACACAGAACAACACGCTGCACTATGTAACAGAATACTTGCATCAGCTGGCAAGTACATGCTCCTTGCCAGTTTAAAAAAAAAAAAAGTCTTCTTGGGAAATCAAAATAAGGTCAAATGGTTTTTGTGGTGAGTCAAGAGGTGAAACAAAGGGAGTTGGATGATATTAGGGAATATTGTGTTCATGTAGTGGTAGATGATGCCGCCTTCTGCATTTCAGGTTTATACCTGCCAAAAAGTGAAGAGCAGTATCACCAAACCGGCTGACTACCCTTTGAGTTATTGCTAAATAAGCATGGACAGATTTTAGTATTTACTTAAAAAAAGAAACAATGTTTCTTATCACTTAACATAAGATTCTGTTATTTCAATATAATGGTTATTTCACACAATTAATTACTTTCTAGCTTATCTATCATTACTTACATTCTTGATTACTGTCTCCCTTATAAAATGTTGGAAAGAAAATTTCATGGCTCTCTTGTTGAATTTTAGAAGACATATTCATCTTACGAAGACATGCAAAGTCACTTCTCAGGGAGGGTGCTTCTACAAATGGCTAATCTCATTTGTGTTGTGTTGAATGAGATCAGCTTCAATACTCAATGTAATGAGTATTGAAGGGTTCTTTCTACCTAAGAAGCATGATATCAAATACACACTACATAACTAAAATATTTTCTTTATTCCTGCTGTTGAGATTTTACACCACAAATGTTTTATTTCTTTTTAAAGGGAGCACAGCTGAGGTATACACAATTGCAAACTCAGGCCTGTTTGAAAGATGGTCATATTCAATATAGGACATACTTATAAGGTGTCTTATATGTCTTGGCATTGCGGTTGGCATGGTGACTTAAAGGCGAATACAATTCAGAATGCAATTTCAAGGCTACATTGAATGTATTAAGTATGGATCAGAACTTATTCTAAGGTCGAACAAATGACGATATAGTCTATTACCCACTCATTTCAGAGGGTACGAGAAATAAATTGGTTTACTTTAAAAAATTTTTCCTCGTGACTGGTTGATTCTTCACTTCCTACCATTAATATCTTATCACTTGATAGTACAGTGTACTTTATCTTGAATGCAACTTTTCCTGAAAGAATTTACCCTGCTATGGGCTATGTGAAAGCTGAAACCAAGATAATAGAAAGTGAGATCCTTAACTCCGCAGGACACTGGCTGGAAAAACACTGCACTAAAAGTCATGAAACAGAGTATTTTCTGAACCTAGCTCTCTGTCATGTCACCTTGGATGAGTCATTTATCCTGTGTGGATTTCAATTTCCTTATCTTATTAGGATGATTATAAACTCAAATGACCATTGCTGGAGGGTAGATATCCAAGTGATTGAACTGGGCTGAAGTTAAGAGATTAAAAAGTTATGGGGGGATCTCGCTTATTAAAGAAGCGAAGATAAACCTAGAGGCCTAACAAATTTGTCTGTGGTTGACTTAGTTGTAACACTGATCTGGTATCATATTTAGTAACATTTTCTATACTCCTGGGAGTAGGTTTGTAGATTAAGCATAATGATGGTGTGATGGTTAATTTTATGTACGAACTTGATTGGTCATAGTGTACCCAGATTAAACACTATTTCTGGATGTGTTTGGGAGAGTGTTTCTGGATAAGATTAACATGTGAATTTGTGTAGTGTACCCAGATTAAACATTTTTTCTGGGTATGTCTTGAAGAGTTTTTCTGGATAATATTAATGTTTAAATTTGTGGGCTCATTACAATAGATTGCCCTCCCCAATGTGGGTGGGCATCATCCAATCAATTGAGGGCCTGAATAGAATAAAAAGTGGAAGGAAGAACTTGATTGTTTTTTTCTGCCTCACTGGTTGAGGTGGGGTGTATCATCTCGTCTTCTCCAGCCCTCAGAGTGGAATTCACACCATCAAGTCACCTGGGTCTCAGACCTTCCAATTCCAACTGAATCATACAACTGGCTTTCCTGGTTCTCCATCTTGCAGGAAGCAGATTGTGAGACTTCTAGCCTCTGTAATCACAAAAACTAATTTCTCATAATAAATCTCTCTCTCTCTCTCTCTTTCTCTGTCTCCTGGTTCTGTTTCTCTGAAGAAACCTGACTAATAAAAATGAGTATTCTATATGTTTTAGGACCTTTTCCAATATTACATGGTAAAATTGTGAGAGAACTGAGAAAGGATCGGAGAACACAAAGCCAGAGAAGTTTAGATCTCAGGATGCTTTAGAGGTCAGAAAGTATTTTGCCTTACTTTGTAGAAGGGAGAACTAAGGCCTAGAGTAAATTACTCACTAATTTAGGTTTCTTAATTTTGGTCTGGGTGAAGACCAACAGCCTGGACTCCTACTGGGTCTCTTTTTCCAACACTCTGATGTCTCCTGTAAGACACAGATGTAGAGAATTTTAGGAAATCTAACGATTGTCTAGTTCAACCCCTTAATTTTTTTATGTTACAGCTGCCAATCACCCAGCAACAGAGCTGTAACTACAACCAAAGTCTACTCGGAAGCAGCAGGTATTTATATTTCACATATTTGATACATTTTTTTACTTTATGTAACAAATGATACAAATGAAAGCAATAGTCATGAAATCTAAATATTCTGAACTGTAATTTTAAACATGTTCCACATGTAATATAAACTCCCAATTATGAAATATTGTGTTTAGTATGTCCAAACATTCAAGATGTGGGATGAAGACTTTAATCTTGTTTCTTCTATTCAAATTCTGTTTCTGCCACTGAGAAGTAATCATTAGAAGAGAGCATGCTTGTGTTATTATACAATTTCATTTCTTAATAAACACACATTTATTTCTCTATATGTAAAAGCATATTATGTCAACCGTATACTTCTCTTAATTCTGCTGGTAGAATATACTTCAAAATTCTCATAAGTTTACTGGTTTTGAGAACAACACTAATTCTTGTATGCTGTGTAAGCCATTGCTATTTCAAGCTTTTTCCATTGGTGTCTCTATTTTTTGACAAGTGTGCAATTTTATTATTGTAAAATGTGTAAAATTATTTCATGAAATCTTGTATAACTGCAAGTTGTTCAGAATAGGAGATAATAAGCTTTTCTTCATCATAATGGAAAGGTTCTGAGATCATGGAGATAACTATCAATATTCATATTTATCATGGAATTGTTTACCTTTGAGAGGCTACCCATATTTTTTTCATAAGGATATAACTGCTAAAAATATAATAGAAAAGGACAGTGATTTGCTACTGGTGAGTACTTCTGAAAGGTAATATGAAGTCCAGATGGTCATGCACCTGTGGACATAAAACAACTAAGCAAACAAGCTCCCGAGTAGTCAATATAGTCATTTTACTTAAGTAAATAAACAAGTCCTATAAAGTCTATCTCAAAATGTAACATTTGCCTTTACTTGTGTATTTTCAGCCTAGATACAGGGGTTAAATTGTTAATGCTTTACTTTCACTTCCTTAAATTTTTTTTTTTAATCAAACTTTGCTTTTTCTCTCCCTGGGGAACAACAAATGGACAGCTTTCCTCTCTTGTACTCCTCCTTCCATTACCATCACAGCAGAATGCATCTGAGACTGTAATAATTCAGTGATGAAATACAAAATGTCGCAATGCCATCTCTCTTAAAGTGAACTGAGATTTTGTTATGCCATTTTAGGTGCACTAATAGCAACTCAAGTCCCATGGAGTATCCTAATGTGAATTTAATGAGCTGATAGCATATAAATGACAGTACTGTGAGGGTGAAGGTGACATAACCTTTTTCTTCCTATTTGATGTTTGTCTTTGAAAAACTACAGATCTGTTCAAAATGCACTGCATTATTACTAAGTGGCACATCACTCACCAAAGAAGCTACTATTGTTTTAGCATTTAAGAACATTTTTTTTCTCTTACTGGAACAAGCACCAAGAGCAATTTTTTAATCATTAGGATAATAAAAACATGAATAGTCTTTTCTCTGAACAAACACAAATTATGTAGCGTTCTGGTGTCTATTTCGCCATGGGCTGATGGTCTCCAGTGACAAATATTTACTCATATGCCCCATATCTTTGAACATCACAGTCAGCAATGTAGCACTACTAAATTGGACTTTAAAATAGCAAAACTATCCTTCCTTATATGAGGTATTATTTGAGGATGTTATCAACATAGTACTTAGGGAAACTTTGCCAATTACAATTGATTCCTCCGTTTAGTTCAGTCTTTCAGAATGGTGCATTGTTTGTGAAAATCCAGGTAACCAAGTTAAATTGAAAGTACCATGATTTATCCCAGGAACATACTGCAAATGGAACAAGGGGAAAGAGTTAGCAAATTTTTAAACATAGAAGAAAAGAAAAATAACTGAATATCTCTGATGGTGATCAGTAAGCATGAATATAGAAATACTTTGTAAAAGTTCAGTGGAATTTATATTCTAGAAGTACTTCATATATATCAGAGCATGCTGGAGGGTTTTGAGATAGAATGTGGGTCAAAGATTGACAAAACATGGGTACTAATGAAAGGCCTGTATACCCATGTGCCTCTAGACTGAGCATCTTTGATATTCCTCTCATTTAAAAAGAAAACATAAACCTCAAATTTTTTTACAACTCTTTGAAATTTTTAAGTGCATCTCCTTAATTTACCAATGAAGAAAATGGGATCAAAGGGATTTCATTATTTTCTGAAGTCTCAAGACTATTTTAAACAACAGAGCCAAGCAAGATTAGAACACTCATCCTTTGCTTCTCTGTTCATTTTTCATGGCTCCTTCAAGACATGATAAATACATGAAATATACGTGACTTTTAGTATTTGTCATTCATGCAGGTCTAAATAACTAACATGGAATCTGATATGAATTGAAGTTGACATGATAACTATGAGGTTAAACATCTTTTAGCAAAATCTATCACAACTCAAGAAGTCTTATGCAATTAGCTCTCCAAACAAAAATATACCATGGATTGTGTTTTATGAATATAAAAATTAAGCAGCTTAAGAGTCCCGAAAGTTTGGATTTTGGCAAAGTTCAAAAATCTTTTGGTTGCCAGGTGACAAAGCAAAACATATCACATATGCCTAACAACCAACATGTACATATTTTGTCTTTCCAAGGTTTCTAGGGCTGGTCAGGCATAGTAATGCATTACTGCTGAAGGAGCTTCCAGCACGGACAAATGTTTATCTGCTTCAAAAAGCATTTTCTTAATCCTTAACAAAAACAGCCCAATATTTCTCATCGTTTAATGATTGAGTAAAGGTTGATGCTACCCAATAGAGATTGCGTTCCACTTTATATTTGTACTGTCTCAAGAACAGTGTTTGTTAAATGAGAATCGCTAATGATAACATGGTTGCAAATAATTAAATATATGGAAGTATTTTTTTTTAATTCCCCCACCATGGACTGTAAAAGCATTGTAATGTTGGGTATATCTATTGCCATTAAAATGTCAAATTATTTCTGTTACTTTTAGGAATAATATTAAAGCCTGAGTATTATATTGCACTTTACATATATTTTAAATGTATTTTCTAAACTTAAAAAATCTCTTTGAGGCAAAAGACCAGTCAAAACATCTTTTATTATATTTAATGCTTGGCAAAAATAGAAAGGTAGAATGATGTATTATTCATAGACAAATTCCAAAGAGAATATTAATTACAAAATAAATCTATGCTTACTGAAGAACAATTATAACCTCTGCTCACTTAAAAGTCAACAGCTGATTTATTGGTTACTCACGGCAGTGCAATTTTAGGAAATGTGAAACAAAAGTTGTATTTGACTTTTTAAAAGCACCTATAGGTTTAAATTTCTATTTTTTAATATTTAGAGTAAAATGGAATTAAAATGTAGTAATACAAAGAAAAGAGTAACCATTATGAAAGATTTGAAAAAAGAGCAACACTGGCCTTTTCTTGAGTCTTTTCTTTTTCTTACAATCATTTTAAACTGTTTTCTGTAGACACAACATTTTTCTTATGGGCCCTAGCACATTTCTAGGTTCATTCTACACTCAATATGAAAAATTATCTTTAATAATTTTATAGGAAAATATCTAAACAACACTATGTTGATCTCAAAAAAGAGATTATTAAGTGTTAAACTTTGTAAGAGTAAGCATTCTGTTAATCCCTAATAGTAATGCTGAGTATTTTACAACAGATTAATGCCCTGGAAAGTATGAATCAAACTACTGGTATTCATTAAAATCCATGTAAAGTTGGTTCTCCAGGAGATTTTCCTGATAATTTGGACCAAATGGACTGTCATGGTGCTTTGTTAGATAGATTTTATTTAAATACTTTGAACAAATGCTTATTTTGTTTTCAGAATAAAACAAATAATATGTGCAAAATCCAAATAATAGAGACATATATTCTAAAAGATAAATGTCTACCATAAGTCTACCACATGAAAAGACCCTTTGTCAACAAGTGCATACATATTCTTTCAATTTTTATTTTTTCTGTATACGTTAATAATTTTCTAATTTTTATGTGAAATGAGACTATACTTTTCATATTGTTCTTCAATACACTTTTCTTCACATAGCAATGTATTCACTATATCTGGCTTATTTCTTAAGATAAGCTTAAGAAATTCATATATCTACATATATGCATGTATCATATATATATGATGAATTACTTTAATCAGCCTCATTGATGAACACGAGTATTTAAAAATTGGTAATATTGCACATAAAAATGCAATAAACTTTTATACATACATATATTGTGGAGGCATTTTTATAGAATAAATTCCTGGAAGTAGCAATGCTGGGTCAAAGGATATGTAGAGATTCAATTTTAGGATTTATTGTCAAGTTTCTCACCAAAAGAGTTGTAATCACTTGTTCTCCAAGTGACAATATATGAAAGCGACTACAATTACATCAACTCTGGATATTTTCAAACTTTAAAATATTGTTAATCTGAAGTTTGTTAAAAAAACAGCTTTTAAAAATGTTCAATTACTTGTTTATTACTGAAATGAGTTACTTTTCACCTGTGCCTTGTCTGTTTGTAATATTTTTCAGTGAATTCCTATTAGTATTATGCAAATTAGATTTTTTGTTGGTCTGTAGTAGTTCTTTATATAAAATGGCTGTATGAGTCTGGCAATTACATATAAAGCAAACATTTCATCCCAGTATATCATTTGCCTTGTAACTTATTTTATGAGTTGAAAATTTCCAAAATTTTTGTTTAGTCAAATGTATCAATTTTTTATCAGATTATATTTTTATTCTATTTGACATATCCTAACAATTTCTAAGTAACGGGGGTTTCAGCAAAAATTCAAGTGAGGACTATCATAGATCACGACCAAAATCTCAAGTGGCTGAGATGAGTATGTGTTATAGCTAACATTTCTTATATTTTAATGGGGTGGATCTCTGTTAATGTTGTACTTCTTTAACTTAAATTGTCACAAAAATAAAATAAACCTTTGTTTTCAAGAGTCTGACGGCAACACACTCAGTGAGGCTGGCTGACATTATTGATCACAGAGAAAATTTCTGTGAGGAACAAAGGCAGCCCCTTGTGCTTTTAACTGGATATGTATTCTGGGTACTGCAAGGTGGGGTTTTGTTTGTTTGTTTTAGTGTTAGCTAAGTGGAAATCCTAGTTATGATTTCACCAAATGGCCTGTGGACAGTCGTCTGATACCTGACCTAGTGCCGACGGCTATAGATTTATTTCTTAAAAACACCTGTGCTGTTCTGCAGGAAGATTCTGTTGCCTTTCCAAATCCCATAGAATCCCAGGCAACTTTCAAAGTAGCTCAGGACTCTGAGGAAGATAGGGAATAAAGCTTGGTGGTTCTCAATTCAAAAGAGATAGATTTTTATTTAATTTTAGAACCTGTGGTTGAAGCAGGGTACAAAGCCTAAGAAAAAAATAGTTTCCCTGTTTTAGACTGGAAATAGAATGTCAAGAAGTGCAAGAAAAGCCCTTTCCCACTGCAACGAAGTATAAAAATGTTTTACCTCTTTTCACATCTTCAAAACTATGTATTAAGTATCTACATTATTCAAGGGTTTATGTCAGGCATTGTATAAAATACAAAGAATGCAATAAGTAAGGATTATTACTATTAGTAGTATTTTTTCAAGGAGATTCTTATACAACTAAACAAATGGGCAAAAATAAAATAAAAAACCAAAAGGAGGAGGTCATATAAAAAGAAGAGAGATAAAGTTTGATAGAAGCTTTTAGGAAGAAAGGCTTATTCTTATTTGTAAACATCAAACTCTTGTGTGAAAGAAGTGACCATTTCACCAAGCCTTGATGAATAAGAGATTGTTAAGTGTGAAAATATATGAGAAACAGAATCTCACGGAGAAGAAAGGATTTGAGTTAAAATTAAAAAAAAAACAAAAACAAAAACTGCTCAGAGCCAAACTCCTTTGACCTCAGACAAAACAGCATCAATAGTTAAAAGTTTCTCACCATCAGAGTTGACACAATGTCCTAACATCATTGGATTGTTCTTATCTCTTCATTCATATATATATACACATATATATATTTTATATATATATAAAATTTATAAAAGTTTACATGAATATAGATAAATGTAGGTATATGTTTTTATAAATACATTGAGATAAATATTTATTTATGTAAATGTACATGTACTCATATTTTTTCAACTCTTGGCTACAACCATGTGTACAAAAGTATTTGAGTAAATTTCTGAAATATGAATGAGAGCTAAACCAGTTGACTTTTATCTGTGATGCCCAGAGTTTGAATTTTTCTTGTGTTAAGGGCTGTTCTTATCATGCAAATAAGATGTCTGATAAATGACAGGCTATAAGACTTTACATTTTTTCATATATGCTTTTATCATATATGCTATTAATTTAGAGGCTTTATGATCCCTTCTGATGCAAATGTTTGGATAAGGGTTGGATTAGATTATGAGGGTAAAAAGGATCCACAGCCCTTGATTTTCTGCTTGTAGATCTGGATGAAAGCATGTATAAAAATCAGCACTATTTTTGCTTCTGGGTTCTGATAGGCCTAATATAGCAGAATCCTCACAAGGATAGCCTGAAACACAGAAAAAAAATCAATCAAATATTTCCGCATATGTTCTTTAAAGTACTGTGTAGGAAAGATTGTCATTTTTATCTGATAGCTGCAAGCAGCGGCCCTTCCAAGGACTGTGACCTGGAGCCTAAACAGAGTATATGAAGCTGATTCTTCTGAACAACCAAGTGATGTGCACCATCAGTTTAACATTCACAAGGTGCACAGATTATCTCTGAGAAAAATGTGTGTATCAGAAAATGGGCATGGTTTGTCAGTATAAACCCCATGTGTACAATAGGAGTCAAGGTGACAGACATCAATGGAGAGTATGTTTTCTGTTTGCCTCCAATCAAGGCCTGTCCTTCTCTGTGGTCCAGTATCTGTGACCATGTCTTAGGCGCCGTGAATAAGTAGACAGCATCATCCTACTAAAATGACTCATTCTGATCGATTGTGTCAATGAAATAAATGGGAGACAACCTTATGAAGCTCACTTCTTTGTCCCAGAGGCCAGGTGCGTGTAGTCAGGGATATGGTTTAAATGACTTTTCAATGAGTTTTTAAGCCGGATTATTCTGTCTTTCAAATATGTAGCAATCACTATCCCACAAGAGCTAGATGGAAAGAATCTCATTCCTTAAAATCAGAATATGCCAAATATCATTGGCACTAACATGAATTAACATTCATTTTACCTTAAAAGGAGAAACGCTAAGAGGAATGCAAATGGCTTAGATAAAAAGAACAAATCTCATGTGGTTTTCTCAAGAGGGAGACAGATTGGGAAACCCTCAAGAAAACAAAACTTGAGCCATAGAAGCAAATGGTCACTGCAGCAAAACTCAATAAATTCAAGCATTGTGTATACAAGCGGATTGAGTGGCTTTGGAAACCACACCTCCATCAGTTTATACACATGGATCTGGTCCTGCTGTTACCAGTCAGATTTTAAGCTTTGATTTATGCAGCTTTTGGTATTTGAGGTTTTACTTGACTTTGGATCCATCTTTTTTTTCTTTTTTCTTTTTATTTGTTTGCAGTGACAGTATTGTGTCCAAAAATACACATCAGAATTTTATTTATATGTACATGTAATGTCATTTTATAAATCTTACATATTTAGTATAACCTGGACGTTCTGAACCAGTGTTAGGCAGAGCTTTGTAGCTGAAACAATATGTAAGTCTGTGTAACCTGCAATTATAAAAAATATATAGTTACAGGAAAGAAGTTTTTTTTTTTTTCAGTCTCTTCTGGGAACTCTATATAACTTGTTTATTTACCCCACATTTGATTTATAACACATTAAATGAATTGTCATCATTCCTCAAAATGAAATTATTTCCACAGGTCACAGATCTAAAATATGCCATAAGAAGTTCAAGTTATAAGGGACTAAGTCCTTCAGTATTGTCCAAGTCTTTCAGTTAACAGACGAAAGAATCAACATCAGAGAGGTTGGTTAAGTGGTTTGCAAAAAATAGTATAATTTGTTAATTCTCAAGCTGAATTTACTGACTCTTATCTTCTGGCCTCTAATCCAGGTTTCTTTTCTCTACAGTGTATGTCATGCCAAAGAACCTCAATGTTCTAAATTTAATACTTCCCTTACGTTGAGGATAATAAATTAATCATCAAGGAGCCTGGAGTACCTAATGAGCTGGTTTCTGTGGGACAGGATTGAATCTATTAATTCTACGTTATGTTTTTACCAGCCCCCTCACAATAGTCATTCATCTTAAACACCAAACCAAACAAAACAAGAGGGGGAAGAAGAAGAGGAGGGAGAGATAAAATTTTAGTTTTCCAATGGACCAGGTGCTTGAAAAGATCACAGTGGAAAATATATATCCCCTTGTGACATTATGAAATTAGGGCAATGGTTGATTTGGGATTTGGGACTGAAATAACGGTACTGAAAACATTTTTAAATTTATTATTTTAATTTTGCATTACAGTATACTGTATCACCTTAATAGGAGATGCTTTATATTTAGGTGACAGTTGGATAATAGCTACCTTTGTAATGGATGATATTGCAGGACCAATCAAGGTCACGGTTTGCCCAGGAACCAAGATCATATGCATATGATCAGTTAAGTTCTTGAATGTCAATGAATTTCTTTTTAGATGACATGGAAGATCTTTTAACATTTTTGAATTGTGACACTGGAAATATATTTTGATTTTGAAGTAAGATAATGATGTGTATGCATACATTCTGGTCTTCAAAGCAAATACATACTTAACTACTTAATATGTCTTTACAGGTATAATTTTCATTAAATTCCATTTTCTACATTATGGGATAAAATATTCAAATGCTGAGAGAAACAGGCTAAGTCTGTCACTGGTGGTTTTCAGTACTAGCTGCTTATTAGAATTGTTCTGGGAGCTTTAAAAAGTATTGATGCTTGGGGGCCACCCTCAAAGATTTTGAATTAATTAGTCTGGGGTGTTGCTTGGGTACTAGCAAATAATAATAATAAAAAAATCCCAGGAGATTGTAATTATAGACAAGGTTAAGAACTGCTGTCATAGATGTTATCATGGCCATGTCTTTAGTGTTATCTGTCCCCATCTGCTCCTGCCCAATTGACCTGGAGCTATGGAAGCATCTACAATCAGGTTCTGTGGGGGCGTCCTCTCCACCTTAAGAGAAACTCATGGGCCAGGAGCAGTGTCTCACACCTGTAATTACAACACTTTGGGAGGCTGAGGTGGGAGAATTGCTTGAGCCAAAGAGTTTGAGACCAGCCTGGGCAACATAGCAAGACTTTATCCATACAAAAATAATAAAATAATAAATAATAAATTTAGCTGGGCATGGTGGCCTGCACTTGTATTCCCAGCTACTCATCAGGAGGCTGAGGTGGGAGGATCACTTGAGCCTGGGAAGTCAAGGCTGCAGTGAGTCGTGGTCAAGCCACTGACTCCAGCCTGGGTGACAGAATGAGACCCTGTCTTGAGAAAAAAAAGAGAGAGAAAGAGAGAAACTGAAGGGCAGTTTACTAAAAAGGTAAGTGGGATCTTGTAAAGAGAGGGCTGAAATTCTTTCCTTTTCTGAATATTCCCAGAAGTAACAGAAATGTCAGAGGTGTTTGAACCAGAGTAACTCCATCTTGAATAGGGGGTGGGTAAAATAAGGCTGAGACCTGCTGGGCGGCATTCCCAGTAAGTTAGGCATTCTAAGTCACAGAATGAGATAGGAGGTCAGCAGAAGATACAGGTCATAAAGACCTTGCTGATAAAACAGGTTGCAGTAAAGAAGCTGGCCAAATCCCACCAAAACCAAGATGGCAAGGAGAGTGACCGCTGGTTGTGCTCACTGCTCATTATATGCTAATTATAATGCATTAGCATGCTAAGTGACACTCTTACCAGTGCCATGACAGTTTACAGATGTCATGGCAATGTCAGGAAGTTACCTTATATGGTCTAAAAAGGAGAGAAACCCTCAGTTCCAGGAATTGTCCACCCATTTCCTGGAAAACTCATGAATAATACACCCCTTATTTAGCATATAGTCAAGAAATAACCGTAAAAAAATGGACAATCAGCAGCCCTCCTGCTCTGCCTATGGAATAGCCATTCTTTTATTCTTTTATTCCTTTACTTTCTTTTTTCTTTTTTTTTTTTTGAGACAAAGTCTTGCTCTGTCTCCCAGGCTGGAGTGCAGTGGTGCGATCTTGGCTCACTGCAATCTCCACTTGCCAGTTTCAAGCAATTCTCCTGCCTCAGCCTCCCGAGTAGCTGGGACCACAGCACGTGCCACCACACCCAGCTAATTCTTTGTATTTTTAACATTAACGGGAATTTACCATGTTAGCCAGGATGGTCTTGATCTCCTGACCTCGTGATCTGCCTGCCTCAGCCTCCCAAAATGCTGGGATTACAGGAGTGAGCCACCGCGCCCAGCCTATTCCTTTACCTTTTAAATAAACTTGCTTTCACTTTATGGATTCCCCTCAAATTCTTTATTGTGTGAAACCCAAGAATCCTCTCTTGGGGTCTGGATCAGGACCCCTTTCCAATAACAGAAACACAGCAAAAGTATCCTCTCTCCAGAGGTCTAACAAAATTTAGATAAAAAAATTATTATGCAACCATCCTTGAGGTACAATGGCAAAGGAACAGTCAAGCTTTCCTAGCTTAAGATGCATAGTATATTCACCACCCTTCCAACCCCTTAAGCTTTATTTATTTTCTTGAATGGGCGTGATGGCCTCAGAGCTCCATTTGCTTCTATGTTCAGCATCCCAGCACTCTCAGGAGCTCTACTAAATACATTAAAAGTCAGCCACACCCCAGGCTAATTGATATCTCTTTTCCATGAAAGTTTCAGCTCCATTTCTTTGGTTTGGTGTCATATGGATCCTTTCATTTCCCATCTTTTAGGAGTCACTCACACTGGAATGAAGGTAGAGGAATTCAATGTCTTTCACTACTATTCATCTCCTCACTTGCTTTTCTTTGTCTTTTTCTCTCTTAGTCAAGGAGTTATTTTCATTTGGAAACTTCAATGTCTATTGTGTGTGCTGTGACCTTCTAAGGTACATTTCTTTATAGCCCTGTGTCAACATCACAAGATGCTCTTATTTATATTTTTCCCTTTGCAATTTCATATTCATGCACTGTCTTGGCCCTGAAAAGTTTAAGCCATATTTCTGACAATTCAGCAAAGTAACTTACTAATTGCATGGTGTGCTGGATACATTGTCTTTACCACTGGGCTTTTTGTTTGCTTTCAGCATCCTGATATCAGCTACTGATTCTCTGAGAGGGAGCACAGCCTGTTGCTGTGATTGGAAAAAAAAAAAAAACTGATTGGTTAGAGGAATAATCTGTAAAGCTTCTTAAAAATATAGTCTCACCTCAGACCCACTTGGGACCAGGGACCAGGAGCTCACATTGTACAAAGCCCCATGTTCAGTGGCCTAGTGAACAAGACAGTCTTTAGAGCCATGTAGTTCAAAACTCAGCTGATAACCTTGCTACGCCTCAGTTTCCTTTTCTTTTTTTTAATCTCAAAATAGAGATGAATATGAAGGAATTTGTAAAGATAAAATGAAATTGTCTATATAATGAGCACAGTACAAAGTAAGAAATCAACAATTATTTTCTTTCTCCTTTCCTTACAGCTTGTAATTAATCATGGTATTTATAGAGATGTATAAGCAAGAATAGTCCAGTTTGCAAACAACATTTTTTTTCTGTTACTTTTTATTCTTCCTTCTTCAGAGTATGTCTCCATTTTCCAAAACTGCAAGATAAAAAAAGAATCATTGAGCTTCCTGTACTAAGATTATAGTTCACATTCAATTTGTAGCCATCTAGTCAAAAAAGTGCAAAATCACCTCTTGGTCGTCTCTGCTTTGCCCTATCTTTCTCCAAATGGAAGGGAATGTGCTGTGCCCACCCATTTTGCTGAAATTGACCCAAGGGAGAGAAATTTGCCTTGCATTTGTCATTAGAAACCTGTTGCTTTTTTATTCTCTATAGATGCACTAGTTCCATGACTTCACTTTTACTAGGGTCAATTGGGTTTACATTCAGATTGCATTACAAAGCTGTGAATGGTAACACAGATAAGGGAGAAAACAATAGTCATTAGGCCCTTTTGAACTCAAATTTGCAAGAAGGAAAAAAAATAAGAAACAATATTTCTAGAGAGAAGATATCGTAGAGTGAGATGTAGAGACTATCTATGTCTATTTCACCCAAGAACTCACCTTTGGATTTGCACAACTATATCGATTGACCTCTTAATTGAGTGTTTTTGAAATATTTAACCAGGAGGACTATAACCAGTGTATCTAATAGTTTGGTGATCATATCTTGAGTAACCAGTTGATTCTCTGCCATGCCTGAAGACTTGGAATTCTGCTTTAAAACACAGTTACACTCATCACTGACAAGTTCAGCTGAGTAGAATTAATCTGGAAAAAAAAAATATATATATATAATCTTTTCTCTTTCCTTAACAAAGGATAAGCCAGAAAGCTCAAGAAATCAATGGGAAATGGGAGGCGTTTACAAAATAAAAACTAATTAGAGGCAAAATGTAACTCTGAGAAATAATAGAGCAATTGGAAAGTACTTGTTAAAGTAGGCAGGCTACTGTAGAATGGCAAATAAATATGAACCCCTACAAAACAAATGTTAACCACAGACAGAATAATTTCCATCCTTCTGAAAAAACAAAGGAGTTATTTTGAGATAACAATTCAGAGCGGGAAAGCAGAAGACCATTCCCGGGAAAAGGCAGGTATACAGCTAAAAATCTGACATGGTGACTAGCTTCCCCACTTTTCTATCCTCTGCCAAGTCCTTTTGACTATTTTTTTTTCTTTCTTGACATATTTTTCCTATCAAGTCTGCCTTGGACCTAGTTTTCTTTTTCCTTTCCCAATCAAGTGCTCTAACTGCATTTTGAAGTTTGATTATCTGTCTCAAGTTATGTCATAACTAGTAATAATCCAGTGTCAGGATGCATGTATAGGTTGTATTATTATATATCATTAACCATCTTAGGAAGTATATGTAATGACTCCTGGATTATAAAGATTTTGTATTTACCACCAGCCCAATGTGTCCATAGTTATCTTTTGGTTACAAAGTTCCTGACCGTCTCCAAGTCGCTGCCAACAGTGACTCTACTCTCTCAGTGAAGTCAGAGCTTCTGCCATTCTTCTTTTCAATCTCCATATAAACTTATTTTTAAATAGCTTTGGAATTAAGATATGATACTAGCTTATATCCTGCAATCTCATTTTGAATAAAGTCCCCAAATCTTTGGCATGTCCTTCCTGCCTTGGTTCTTTATAGTCTCCCCACTTACCCTCATTCCTCTTCAGCCACACTAGTCTACTTGCTCTTCCAGAAACACACCAAGTCAACTCCCTCCTCAGGCACTGGCACTTATTTTGCTCTATGCTTTGAAACTCTTCCCTAATACATTGTTCAGATCTCTCCTTAAACATCCTCTCTAAATGGCCTTCTCAGACCACCTTATCTAAAACAGCACCACAGCCACTTTTATCATTTCACTCTGTTCTAGTTTCCTTCTTGATTCCTATCTATCTGACATTAAATTTGTTTTATTCATTGACATTTTACTTTTACTCCCTCCATGATGAGCATGTAAGCTCTGTAAAAGTAGGGATCCTGACAGTTTTCTTCTTGTCTCTTTCTCTATATTTATAACAGTGCTTGGAATATGGTAGGGGTTCAGAAAATAGACTGAATGGATAAATGAATGAATAAATGAATGAAACACCTTCTACTGCACTCTGAAATGTTTGAGAGCGGTGAACAAACAGCACATAAAATAAACTACCTTGGCCATCACAGTGGCTTACGCCTGTAATCCCAGCACTTTGGAAGGTGGAGGCGGGTGGATCACGAGGTCAGGAGTTTGAGACCAGCCTGGCCAACATGGTGAAACCCCATCTCTACTAAAAATACAAAAATTGGCTGGGCGTGGTGGCACGCACCTGTAATCTCAGTTACTCAGGGGATTACTCAGGGGGCTGAGGCAGGAGAATCATTTGAACCCGGGAGGCGGAGGTTGTAGAGCCGAGATCGCACCATTGCACTCCAGCCTGGGCGACAGGGCGAGACTTTGTCTCAAGTAAATAAATAAATAAATAAATAAATAAACAAAAAAACTCCCTTATATATGATAGATATTTAACATAATTTTATAAAAGAGAATGTACGAACAAATGAATGAATACAATAGCTATTTGATTAACTAGAAATTCTTTTTTTTTTTTGGATGGAGTTTCGCTCTTGTTGCCTAGGCTGGAGTGCAATGGCACCATCTCAGCTCACCGCAACCTCCGCCTCCTGGGTTTAAGCAATTCTCCTGCCTCAACCTCCCAAGTAGCTGGGATTACAAGCATGTGCCACCATGCCTGGCTAAGTTTGTATTTTTAGTAGAGACGAGGTTTCTCCATGTTGGTCAGACTGGTCTCGAACTCCCAACTTCAGGTGATCCACCCGTCTCAGCCTCCCCAAGTGCTGGGATTATAGGCGTGAGCCACTGCACCGGCCTAACTAGAAATTCTTATTCTCTAACTGCAATTTAGTGTATTAGAGAGATTTTCTATGAGTGTTAGTAACATAGAGGAACAGTGAGGGAGTACCATTGCTGGGGTTTCTGGATTACAAATAAAATTTTTAATTTCTACATTATAATTTTTTTACAGAAAGGGCCAACGGATATTCATGTAGCAGCCTGAAGAATGACCAATACCGTTGCAAGTAAGGGGCAATGACAGCTGTGTTTCATGGGCCCTAGAATTTCTACTCAATTATGTGCTATTCTAGGGCTTTTCCATTTCTTTGGGGTGAAGTTAGTTGAATCCTGATCCAAGCTTACTTTTGGAAACTTTGTTATGTTTCATAGCCAGGCAAGCCATACATTATCTTATATACTAATAAGATATTCGTATATTCTATTATATTCTAAACATTTTAGAATTATAGGAGCCATTAGGGCATACAACATTTGCCATATTTCTTTATAATCTCAATCCGATTTATTGAAATAAAGTACGATTGCATATGTATTGCTAATGGGAGTTTGTCCTTATTGAAAAATAATGATACATTTAAACTTTTTGCTTGAAATTTTGTACTAAAGAAAAGTTTAAGGATATCTTGTTCGTTATTCTACAGAATAACTAATACCTAAAGACAAAAGAAAAAAATAACTTTGAGGGGAAGACATTTGGTATTACAAAAGCCTTTTGATATTTGATTCTGAAATCATTAGTTGTCCAAGCCAAAAAAAAAAAAAAATAGTGAGGGGGAAATCCAATCTTATATACTGAGATTCAGTTCAAAGCTAATAGCTTACTACTCTAAATTGGCTTTAAATTCACTAATATTCTTGAGACTGATGTTATGAGTGTGTTAGTTTGCAGTAATTCATATGGTGTTTATACTACCAATATGTAACCTACTTGATCTTTGACTGTTCCAGAAACTACCACCAATAGATTATCCATAAGTTACATATTCATGGTTATCAGTGCATCATTTGGGCTTGATGGATTTCTCTTTCTTAGCCATTTAAAATTGTAAGGCAGTGTTTATAGGCTCTGGACACTCTGAATGAGGAAACACATTCCATTAACTGTAATCATAATAATACTTTTTGTCAGGTGTTACTATTTGTCATTGACCTCATCTTTATAGGCCAGTTCATTGCATGGTCTGAATTTCAACTCCAGTGTCATGCTTGCTATTTGCAAAATGCTGTGCAGAACTTCTCTTCTTGCGTGTGGACAGCAAAGTTAAACTGAAATAAGAAACCTGACAAAGATTTCAAGAAGCAAGATAATGTGAGTATGTGTGTGTGCAAGTGTATGTATGTATTTTGAGATCTAAAGATAACCAGAACACTCCAAACATAAATCAAGGAGTGAATGATTTGCATGGCAAACCAACATTTAGGTTACAGAAAAGAAACATGTCAGTATTTTCTTTTGTCCCATTCAAATCTGATCTCTTAGGAGCTGTATTAGAGCACAATTTGTTCAAACAGATATATTTTATGATTTGTTGTATTTGCAAATTCTAGTTAAAATATTTAGTTTGTACCCATGTAGACTGCATGATTTCTATGAATTTGGGTTCCACTGATACGATTTTTCCTTTTTTGTGGGACAGTTAGCTGATTAGATTTCTAACATACCTTTTATTTTCATTTTCTCTTATCTCTTTGATTTATCTGCACCTCTTATATTTTAATGTATCAGGGAGAATAATTATTTAAGTTTAAAGTTCAAATAAATGTAAAGTTTAAATGTTTATCATGTTTTCTTTTATAAAGCTTCCTTTTCAAAATTTTTCAAATATCCCTGAAAGGTTAAAGGATTTGATTTAGGGTCACATGACTGGTTATTGATAAATATAGAACTACAGACCTGGAAGGATGTTTGAGGTTAAGCATAAGCTGCAACACTTGTTATTGAACTACTATATTTGATATATACTATTTTATTTAACACAAAAATATGATATTGATTTTATAGCTTTTTTATATGTATTTCTAAAACATCCACCAAGCAAACACTAAGGTCCAATTCTCAAACCACATATATGTTATTTTCAGCTGTGGTTAGAGATTCAAATATGAAAATGGGGCAGTAAGACCCACAGTAGATGTAGTAAAGAAATCTAATAGAATTAGCCTTAGCTATTCTGTCTTTTGTAATAACTTGGGATGGCAATTATGTTTGCCTTACATCAAGTTGCTACAATTCAAGTATTATTGAATTACAATATATGTTTAAATAAAAATGGTAAATCTTCAAGCTTATTACAAGGGCAATATATTATAGAATTGAACTAGATGCTAATATGTAACAGCTTTTGCTTTATATGCCATATGATTTATATTTACATCTCAGAAATGAATTCCACAATAATCTTATATTAATCAAGATTCAAAAAGTATCCTAAATCTCCCAATAATTTTCCTCTTTTTGAAAATGGATAGGTATATTGGGAAGATTGTATGGTTCACAGTCTTTTCTTGCTTTTTACAAAAATCTTGCTTTTCAATAAGCAAGGAAAGCTTAAAAGAGGGAAATATAACAAAAATTTTAAAAAGCCAGAAAAAGAACAAGGCAAGAAAAAAAGAAAAGCATAGTTGTTTGCCATATTTGGCACCTGATGATAAAGGCAAGTGATCCTAAAATGTTTTGAGGAAACAATTGTGCAATATTAGAATTTTAAAAATCAAAACAATCTTGAATAAGTACATAATCCATCTTGTGTTCTTTATTTTCCCCTGAAGAAATATGGTGAATGGGATTAGCTTTCCTAAATAAACTAATCCTATTTCAGGGAAATGTCATTTTCCATGTGAAAACACCTGTACACTTCTAACTCCTCTGCCTGAAAGTTTTCTCATTGTATGCTGTGTTTACTTGTTTCTCAGCGGGGTTTGCTGATGCTAATGGACTCACAGCAGTGCATCCTACTTCAGTTATTACAGGTCTAATTCAGTCATTAACATTTCATTAATGGACGGGCCTCCTAGCTGCCTGTGAGGCTGTGCAGATATTGATGAGCTCTCTGCTAAAAGAAACAAGTCTTTAAGGTGGACTGCTGCTTTAGACACAGAGTGTCTTAGTGAGGTTTTGCTGGGAGAAGCGTGAATTGTTTTAGCTAAGTCCCAGGTTTAGCTAAGTCCCAGGTTAAGACACAATGGAGAATGATAAGAGTTTTGTCCCTTACCTTCAGGGATTCCACAGCATTTAACAAATTGAGCACACATTTTATTTTAGAATGAGTGGTTAATTAATAATGTCATCCAAAACAAAGCACTGTGCATGTGCCCGAGGTAAGAAATCAGAAACCATTTTCTCACAACAATTTAAACGTTGCTGTTTTTTGTTACTGGAAGTACAAACTTGAAGAAGTAGCTTAATGAAGATGTCATTTAATGTCTAGTTTCCCAGCAGCTACTGTCACCATAGTAAAGCATCCTGAGCTTAATGCCTTCAGTCACTTTTTATACTTTCTCACCTCTATCGACTCCAATCAGGCTTCAAACCTCCATTGCCAGGGAAACTAGTGATTTCTATATTGCTAAACCAGATGGTCATTTAAGCTGGCATTGGTTACTTGATCTTTCAGCAGCATTTGATACGGAACCAGCCCTTATTTCTTTCGATGGGCTCCATCATCCCATACTCTCTTGACATTTTACCAGCTACTTTTGCAGCCTTCTTTGCTGGTTTTCTCTCTTCTGCTCAAAAACTACAGGTTGACATGCACCTCCTGTTCAATTCCTCAGTGACTCAGTCCAACCCAATGGCTTTAATACCATTTCTGTGCATAAGATTTTCAAGTCTAAGCCTTTTGCCCCAACTTCATTTTGCAGTCCTAAGAAAGTTAAAAAGTGGTTTCCATTCTAGCTCCTTCACCAGCTTTCTATGTTACATTAAGTCAAAGAACTTCCCTTAACTTCTACTTTCTTTTCTATAAAATAAAGTTGTTGAACTATATGATCTCTAAGGTCTCTTCAAGCTCTAAAATTCTATGACTAGGAATCTGAGCTTTGTATAAACAGGACAATCAGATCTAAGAGTATGAACTGTATCCCCAGTTCTCCTATTAAACAAATTGTTATCTTCCTGTGCAACTGAGAATTGAAATATATTGTATCATACCAATTTCTAATGCAAGTACTTTGTGAAAATTCCTAATTTGATACCACAATTATGCTTGCAATGTAAGATTATTAAGCACAGCCATATTGCTTATAACCGTACATGGAACTTATATTGTTGCAATAAAGTGTGTTTAAATTCCATTACATAACCTTATTGTATTCTTTGATAGCATCCACAATTTTAATAGGAAAAAAATAAGCAGGCAATCAAAAAAGAATGATTGTGAGTAACCGTAAACTCTATTCTGATGCTTAAAAGGAGTAACTAGTGAGTTTCCTGTAAGCACCTTTAAATTGTGTTTATGGTCAGTATATTCTAAGCATCACAATGAACATAAGTATGATTAGGTTTGGGTCACTTCAAAACACTTTAAATAAGATTATTCATCAAAATATATTCTATGAGAATGTAGATTCTGCTTCATAAATAAGACTTTCATATTTTTGTTTGTTTTGTATGATATTTTAAGACACTTTAAATTTTAGTCTTCTAGGATTATGCTGTTGAGTTATAGGAAAAATATAAAAGCTTGAAGAACTTAATTTATTTGATAAAACTAAACATGAGGAAAGTAAAGACTTTACAAAATTATACAAAGAAGTAATCCAGAGTAAATTGGTTAATGTGTTTCCCACAGAAAACTTTAACAGTGGATAAGTTGAGGATGTAGGTTGTGCTCATTTAACACAGGAGAAAATATGTATATAATTTCTAGGCCACATGGCCAAAGTTTTATTTAAACTTTTTAAAGTTTTTATAAACCTTTTAAAATTTAATAATAACAAAGATATAAATCACATATTGAAAAATGATGAGCAGAGTAAACAGAGCTAAAGAGTATGATGAAATATTATAACTGTCTTCTTTGCAGTTGCCCATCTGACCTCATTTTGATGTTCTCATCATTTAAAAGCTTTTATTCCTTTAAAATAACAGAATTCCAAATCCCCAGTCTCCAAAGATATAAATGTACCCCAATTCAAGAATGGGAATACCTCAGTGCCACTCAACTTTTAGTTTTATGCTGTATATAGAGAAACCCATGTAAAATAAAATTAATTAGAAATTATGTTAAATGCTGTTTATAATTAAAATCAAAGTCATCTCAGCAAAGAGAAAAATTATAGATTATTTCCTCAATAAAAATAACAATAGTAATATGAATCAATGCACAACACAAATCTGTAATATTTGATTTTTTCTGGCAACTTTTAATTTTAATTAATTTTTACTTATTTACTTGAACTATATAATACCTTCCATAGTTTTCTTCCCTCTGACAGGATCTTGTAATGAAACTTCAAATCAATCAAGAACACTCTGTCACGCATGTTTTGACAAGTAACGAAATCCAGTATGTGTCCAAGGCCTAGTTTACTAGTACTGTGAAGAGAGTATGAAAGTGAATCACAAGGAAATTTCAGTTGCCTAAATCAGTTCAATCTGATGCAATATGGTCAAGTCTCTCCTAGGATAATTTATTTACAACTCTCTTAATTTTCAGTACTTATATGAAGAACCATAATCCATCTCTCAGTTTCTTTTGCTCAAGAGCTGGTAGCCGTGTCTCCATCACACATTTAGCTTTTTGTGCAGATGCCCTAGATTTGTCTAGCTGCCTCAGATTCTCCTATTGTCAATGCCATTCTAAAATTCTGGAGAAGGGAACGCTACTGAGCTGTCACTTTGTAAGGCATTTCTTGCTATTTGTAGAAAATATGAGAAAAATTGTTGAATACACTTTCTCTTTTACTAACCTTTCTACTGCTGATCCTCTACTTTAGAAATGTATGATTTTATGTTCCACAGAAGCAATTGGTCTCACATTTGATCTCCAGCTACCTTTTCAGATAAATAACATCAGTTCCCTGTCATTCATGATATGATTCAGCCAGATTGTACTACTGGCCATGTCTGTCAAGAATGTGACATATTCTCTCCCTCTGCCTGGTTATGTAATGGCAGTTAACTCTGCAACTCTTCTTGAATACTTTTGTCTAGTTGACAAGCTCTTACTCATTACTTTTCCCTCTACCATCTTTTCTCTCTGTGATTCCAAAGCATTAGTTACACCCTCTCTTTATATTATGTAAAACATTGCATTAATATCATTTATTTGTATATGTACTATGTACCTCCCTGAACAAACTAAAAACACAATTTAAGATGAAGGATGAAGGAAGGATTTTTTTTTCCCTTTGTGCCTCTACTGCCAAGAATAATACCTGGTTTGTATTTGGAGTTTGGATATACAAATTGGTTGTCATGAGAATCTCCTTATTTATTGATTAGATTGTGGATTTAGTGACTATTTAGTGCTATAGATGGAATTGTGTACCCCCACCCCCGCCAACCTGAAAAACTCATATGTTTAAGACATGGTCACCAATGGGATGGTATTGGAGATGGGGGCTAATTAGGTTTAGATGAGGGTCATGAGGGTGGGAACCTGATGTTGGGATTAGTGACCTTTAAAAAGAGACATCAGAGAGCTGGCTCTTTTCCTCTCTTTTTGCACACTGTGGGAGGACACAAGAAAAAGGTGGCTGTCTGCAAGTCAGGAAGAAGGCCATCACCAGAGCCCGAATATGCTGCCACCCTGATCTCAAACTTCAACAGTTCAGAAATGTGAGAAAATACCTATATGTAGTTTAAGGCACCTAGTCTGTGGCATTTTATTATGGCAGTCTACCCCCAGATTTTCCTCTAAAAATCTTCTAGTATTTCAATAACTAAAGCTGTCTGTCAGGAAATATACCAAATTTTGGGTAGCCAATGAAACACTACTGTTTTTTTCAATTATATAATTGAAAGTATTAATATCTATCATTAATTTCTCTAATTTATTTCCCCAACTTTTATAGATTTTCCTGCTATAAACCTTTACTTGTGTATAAAATATAATAGAGATGCCAAGATAGATTCAACCATTAATGGTTTTGGCATCAATGTTATATGGGGGGGTGTTCACAATTGGAGAAATGATTAGTCTAAATTTCTCTCCTGTTACCTATAAGGAAGTCAGTGGGGGTTTATTGGGTGGTCCAGTGTTATTTCCACTTGGAAAGAAAATTATTCTTATCTTCTATGGACAATTAACTTATGTCTGAAGAATGTGAGTTGATTTACCTTCACCATATTCACTTTGTAGCACTGAAGATGTTATTAGTGGTCATAAAATTACTTAATTCTGTCTGTGCAGATTATTTAATTAAATGATCCTTGGAGCCAGAAATGCTGCAGGTTAACTATATGCTGTGTGAGAAAATATTTCTTTTTATTTGGTCTACATTTATTGCCCTTTAAATTCAATAAGGGTCCCTCTGCTCTCATATTTCACACTTGGGTGAGTAGGAGGGAGTGGTCAAACATCATTTGACTCTGAAGGTCGAACTCAGCTCTTCACATACAACTGGTCTCTTCCCAAAATACAAAGTTCATTCATTTTGTATTTTAAAATACAGACTTTCTCTCCTCCCTTCTCGCAGTTATTTTTAACATTTTCCTTACGTTTCCCTAGCGATATCACAGGTTTAAGTAAATGTCTTCCTAAAAACATTGGGAAATAATCATCCAGGAAGAGCAGCAATCCCTGGAGCTATGAAATAGATTCCACACAGGAAGTAGACATGATACCTTGTTAATCACCTCAGCTGTGCCTGGAGTGAGTTGGGGGAACAGGTGGAGTCATCAGGTGTTAGGATTTCCTGTTTGATTCCCACATGGGTGTTTCTCCAGATTTAGTCTGCGTGGCCTGTGAGTTCTGTCCAGTGAAAAATTCTTGCCTAGCATATAATACAATACTTGCCTTACCTTTGTTCTCAAAACTGATTAAACAAACAACAAAAAAATGAAGAGCAGAGGGAAAGAATGTTGATTAAATAGCCTTCCTGTTTAAGAAATAATTGAACATTTATGTTTGACATATAAGAAGTCATATTCATAGGATAGTAGAGCAGAAGTGTGGACTGTGTTCATTTAAAATTCTGACTAGTCTTTTGAAATTATATTTAAAGTCATATTCATAGCATACTAGAGCAGAAGTGTGGACTGTGTTCATTTGAAATTCTGACTAGTCTTTTGAAATTATATTTATTCATTTGTTAGGCTTTTTGAGATCTGAAGAAATAATCCATGAACGTATCTCAATGGATTATACAAAAACAGTAGACTAGAAAAGTGATCACATGGAAGAAAATTCCAATGAACAAAAGAAGCAACAGCCTGAACCTATCCCTGCAAAAGGCAATGCTTTACCAGAAGAGTGGTAGTCTTATTTAATATGGCTCAGTAGCTGAAAATCCCATATTCTGGAGCTAAATAGTGTGGGTTGAAAAGTCAAGCCCTACCTAATATATATTATTGGACAAATCACTTATCCTTTCTGTGTCTCAGTTTACTAATTTAAAGTGTTGATTTTACTATTACTTACTGTATAGGATTGTGAGGATGATAATGTTAATATTAATAATGTTCTTAATATGGTATCTGGCACAAACCAAAACCTATTCCCCCTTGACATTCCAAATGATGTTACTTTTAAAGATGAAGAGTATAAATCTTTGAGATGTTGTGTTAGTTATCTATTGCTGCTTAACAAACATCTCACATTTTTATACAAATGTTAACTGCTTTATATAACAATGACTTGTTTTTTCTTACATATGTATTAGTAGGTTGGGGATTCTGCTTATCTCTGCTGGGCTTCACTGGGACCTTCTGGACTCCCACATATATCTGTGATTAGCTGTTTTGCAGTATAGAGGCTGGGTGATCTAGGGGGTTGTTGGCATTGGTAAGTTGACACTGTCCTGCCTGGTCTCTCATCCTTCATATGCTACTTCAGGCATGATCTGATAGGGCAGGCTTCAAAGGGAGTAAGTAAAAATGTACAATACAAACAATTTTTTAGGCCTTTGCTTGTATGAAGCCTGCTAACATTCTTTTGACTAAAGCAAATCACATGTCTATGTGCAGTTGATGTGATAGGCAAATAGACACCAACCCTTTTAATAGGAATTGCAAAGATACAGAGCACAGGGTATGGATAAAGGAATAGGTAATGTATTCGGGTCATCAAGCCTATCCATTTGCCACAACTATATACTCAATACCTAGGATTATGTTAAAAAAGGCAAGTCACTGAACTAGTTCAATACTGTCCTTCAACAACTATCAAATTTCATTTTACTTCCCAGCCATGAACACGCATTTATACTCTATTAGGTTTGGAATCTTGAGAAGAAAGAGAAGTAGAGAACAAAAGAAAAGTGTATGAGGGATTGGTAGGAGTTGTAAAACAAAATAGTGTTTTAATCTTGTTCAGAAGTAAAGTGGTGGAATTATCTATGAAAAAACAATTTCTGTCATATCACTTTTACACACCACCCTAATAATATATATACCAGAAGCAGTAAACCTAATAAAAACATAACAGTCACTTAATCATTTACCAAGACTGCCTCTTTGCATTATCCCATCTCATTAAAATTTTCAATATTGCTTTTAATAGTACCTTTGTGATTTAAAAATGAGTCTAACTTCTGGTATCTCACATGGTCAGAAGGCCACAATACTGTTCTTGGTTTACCAATTACACTAATAAGTGAATAAATTGAAGTATGGATGAATGGTTTTGTGGGATTCTGGAATGGTTATTTAAGTCATTTATATTTGGGTTTATTCTGCTATAATATTTCTGATTTAAAACTCCAGGAGGCTCTGGTATTATTAGGACGGTTTAATTTAGTTTTGATCTTTTACACGAATTTTTACTCACAGTTTCTTGCTTTATTTTACTTTTATTTTTTAAGTTTTCTATTTATTCTATTATTATGGTTTCACTCTCTAATTACACCTTTTCCAGTTGTGCTCAAACTAACATTCTACCCTCCCTCTCTGTGGAGTGTGTCAGACTTTACCATATTGACTGTGAGGCGTCACCTACTTGCAAAGAAACAAGAAGGAATCCGTTGGATTCTCTTTGAGCTGCACCTACAAACATATTGAGCAAGGTCGTTTAGCAGCAGGTTTCAGCCTTTAACTCTCCCATTCAGAAGCAATAACACCACATTTTGAAGATAAAGGGTTTAATTTCCAAAGACTTTCATGATTCCCAGTCTTCTCGGCTACAGATTTACATGAAACCCCCCTCTTATGACTTAGAACATAACTTTCAGCAAAACTGAAGTGTAGAAGAATAAAACGTTAAAAGAAAAAATAGGCAAAGAAATATGTAGGTGAATGTACACATACCTTCACATATATGGTTTTAGGAGAAGAGAGGAGATGTTAGGATAACAGTGAAGTTTATTAAAATCCTCATTTTGAATTAGTGCCAAACTCCTTAGTTGAAATTACAATCACTGTTGTTACCTGTTTTAAGGGAAGAACAATCTGGAAAAAGTGAGGGTTCAGTCACTAAATTGGAATTTTGTCCCCTTGGCTTCCCAATACTTAAACTTAGAGAAGCAGGAGTCTGCTTTTAAAGCTATTGTTCCAAATAAAATCTTTTCTGTCCTCATAAGAGTGTCTATTTTTACTGTACTACTGTTTTTATTGTAATGCACTCACATTTTGTACTCTATAACATAGTATTTTTGCCCATTGAAAAATAAAAGAAAATATTCTCATTCTAGGCTCAGCTAGAATGTGTTTAGAGATTATATCCAAACCTGGCACACACTTAGCACTAACAGTTTCCTTTTTTCATCTGAATTCTCCTGGGAGAAATGTAAATGGCAATGGCTACAGCAGCAGTTGGAGCTAATGTACTGATGGCTGCGGGAACCGTTACAACAGAGAGCCCCTTAGCTAGAACATTCCACTCAAAGGCCATTTCTGGAGAAAAATGGGCATTTCAGGGAAGACAATTATTAGACACAAACTGGATTATAGCCACTGTAAAAACAAAGAAGAAAATATGCTAGTTAAATATGTTGTGTCTTTCCTTCAGAAAACTTGATACAGCTATATTAATTTGTGTGTGTGTGTCTGTATTTGTGTATGCATGTATACTTACAAAGAGCACACATAGACACACATTGAAAACGAATGCATTTCTATACATAGATAGTCCCTGTAAGTCTTTTTCCTCATCTGTAAAACAAAAGGAAATTTAAAGTATCTATCCAAAGTAATTGTGTAGAGTAAATGCATTAATACCTGAATCTGATAAACTAACTCTTGAACAGTACCTATCAGTGTCTGACATATAGTAAGTGCTCAATAAATATGTTGTTATATTTTTTATTGTTAATATCATTATATTTAAATATGTTTGGAATTAACAAAATTAACATCTGATTTATGATTTTATAATTAATTCAAATTTGCAGTCTCTTAAGCACTAATTTCACTTTATTTAAAACAGGATTTGGTAAAGTAAAACATACTAGAAAATAGATACACATCTTGAAAAATGTATAAAGGAAGTTTTTTTCCACCATGTAGCAATTAAAATAATAATATCTAGATCATTATGCTGTTTTTGTTCTGTTTTTTAAAATTCATAATTGTATTTAAGAGATAAAGGAAAAAAATCTTTTGACTAATTTTGAATGCTTTCACACCTGATACTATAAAGCCACAATCATTCTCACAAGCTCATTCAAAAATTAATTATAAAATTGACAACTTCATGATTGTTGTATTCATCCATTTTAAAAGCATTTCAATAATAACTCAGTAAAGAATACCAAAAGTTTTGACAGATGTCAGTTGAATACTAGTGACATCAACAGTAAAAGAAAAGAGAGCTCACTAATTACTGGGAATGAGAAGGGAGCTAAGAGGACTGTTATCCAGAAGAAATCGACCAGGAAATAATTGTGATTTATCATTTCATAGACTCATAATACAAAGGGAGCTGATCAGAAAGTAGGCTAGAAGAATTCTGTGGCAGATCTTTAAGAGATCAACATTTCCTCGGAGTAAACACCCTCCAGGGATCTGTATGAAAGATAATACCACGAAAAAAGGCTAACCTTCAAATTGTACAGTAACTATTTTTATTTACACAAACAACAAATTGTTAATAATCAAGGGATAATTTAATAAAATAAAATAAAACAAATTTGTATTTACCTGAAAATCTTTCCCTTGAAATGTATGCCTATAATTAGCCACGCATTTGTTAGTCTGAATTTCCGAAATACCTTCAATTTACCTGAACATTCTCCCAGAGGATGACAAAGTTTAAATTTTTCTGTCATACACAGACATAGTATTATCATACTCAAAATAATAGATGAGTTTGAAGAAAAAAAAAAACCTGTGGCTATAATATGTATATGTTCTTCCCTGTACTTAGAGCTCCCTTCAGTGTGTTTGGATTATCTTGCCCCTTTCCTCTACCATAACATTATAGAAACTATTTCTTTATGAGAGAAAAGGCTCATCTCTTACATATGAGTAGAAAATAAACAAAAATATTATTGTATTTTCTGCTAGATTTACTTGGAAGTATGTTCCAGTCACTATGGCTGCATAGTAAATTACCCTAAAACATGTGGTCTAAGACAACCACTTATAGTCTCGGTCCGAAATTATACAGGGCAGAGCACGAATGGCTTTTTCTCTCTACTGCATGATGTCTGAAGCCTTAGCAGGAAAACTGGGAGACTGGGTGCTGGAAGAGTCATCTGAAGGCTCACTCCCTCAGTCACATTGCTGATGGATGGTCCACGCTGGCTGTCAGTTAGGGTGCTCATTTCTTCTCTGTGCGGGAGTCTCTCCGTGTGTGCGAATTTGAGTTCCAAGGATGAGTATCCTAGAGAGAGGAAGAAAGGGAAAGGCCAGATTGCCCTTGAGGGCCTATCCTTGGAAGTCATGTGGCATAACTTGCGCGGCATTCTATTGTTGTGTCAACTGCAGAGCCCCGCCCATTTTCAAAGGGATGGGAAATACACTCGACTTTTTGAAGAGGAGTGGCAAGGTACTAGAAAAGCGTGTTGGACTGAAAATATTGTTGTGGTCACTTTTGAGAAATACTATCTGCCACCGAGAACTTAGGTATTTAGGAAGAATGTGACAGTGGATAATTCTTAATATGCAACGTCAGATTCTTACTGTTTATGAAGCTAGGGCCCAAACAAGCCCCATCTTCTGATATAGATATAATTCAACAAACACTAAGTACCTTTCAAGAACAAAACATTATGCTACATAATTTAGGAAATACAAGTAACTTATTTAAGAATGCAAAAAGTACAATACAAAATGTTGAATTTTGGTGAGGTTGGGAGAGAGAAAGATTATCGTCAGGGAATCTGGAAGTTTTACCTTGATATGAATCTTGACGTGTAAGTAGGATTGATTGAGTAGAGAGAAGAAAGAACATTTCTTCTAAAGAAAAGAGCTTGAGGAATGGTTGCAAGGTGAGGTAAAAAGGTATATTGAGATGATTCATTGGTCTAATATTAGAAGTGGGGAGGAAATGGTTACAAGGTGGCGTGGTAAGGGGAGTGAAAAAAAAACAACTAGAAGATTTGGATTGGATCATGGACGCTGTCACTGTCTAGGGGCAAGGGAGCAATTTAAAATTAGTTTTGAGCAGGAAAATTATAATCAGAATTATGCTTTAGGAAGGATTCTCTTCTAGAACTACATAGCTAGGGAAGACAAAGGAAGTGACAGGGAGGCAATCGGGAAAATATCTTCAAACATAAGGCAGCAAGCAGTAAGAGCCTGGGTTAGAATAGATCCAGAGGTTACCAAAAAACGTTTTGACATAAGGGCTTTCCCAAGGTAGAAATGACTGGACAGAATGCATAATAGAATTTCTGGGCAAATGATTGTGTATTAAATATAGTGAAGAGACAACTCTCTATTTTAAAACCAGGAACACCTGGAGGCTGATGAAGACAATAATAGTTAAAAGAACAGAAAACGTGAATGGATATGGAGGTCGTTTTTAGGTATGTGGTGGTTATAAGAAGTTTACAGTATATCAGTGCATAGTTTCCAGAAGATAGGTGGAAATCTAGAGCTTAGAAAAGCCTGAACTATAGGTGAAACAACATTAAGCAGTCAGTCATGAACTAAACTACATGGTAGAAGAGAAAGGAAACAGAGAAAGTGTTCACAGCTGAATCTTACCGGACTCATTGAGTGGCATGAAGGAAGAGAAATAGAAGTCAGTAAACAGGCAGCCAAGAGGGGATCCAGGAACAACATAGACAAAAATAAGGAAGAGCACCTTTTCAACATTGAAGGAATCCATGGTGTCAACTGTCGGAGATTACCGTCTGCAACAATGGAGAAGGACTCAAAAGATTTTATGCAGCACTTTAACAGCAGTGGTCCTTTCCCAGGAATGATTTTGCAACGCCCCCTGGGACATTTGGAAATCTCTGGAGACATTTTTAATTCTTATGACTGGAGGTGCCACTGACAGTGAGTGGATAGAGGTAAGCATCCACAAAGTATAGGATACATCCACAACAAAACATCATCTGCCCCAAGATTTTAATAGTGCCATGGTAGACAAATTCTACTCCAGCTCCTGTTGAGCACAGTTGACTGTAAAAGTAAGATTTCCATCTTTTCTCAAATTCTGTATCACTTTTCAAAATTAGAAAGGGCGGGTCCTCAGAATGCCACAATTTTTATGGTACCTCATAATTTCAAAAATGGGCCCAAGACTCATTTTTCCTTTTTAGACTAAGTAGCAGCAACAGATCCTATATGTTTCCAACAGTAAATGTCAAGTCTACTTAAGAGTCATGAACTGGCTCTATTTACCTTGTCTAATTCAATATGGATTTTTCAATGTGCAGCTTGAAAGCTGGCCTGCTGTAGGCTTGTATGTTACAGGTTAATGTTCATTTTAAATGCATTAAAAATTACTTAAATTAAATACATCTTAAAGCCTGTTTGCTAAGGTCTGTGAATGAAATATAAAGAATTCAGCAAAATGTGTATTTGTTTTCAACTTTGCTCTCTAAGACAGTTATATTTTTAGAGTAGCAAGAAAAAAAAAGATGTTTCTGGGAAAAAAATTCATTGTGGAATAACCTGACATTCTGATAACAGTGATATTTTTACTCAAATGCATACCTTAAAAATAATTTCAGGCAGGTGTGGTTCTTCTCTCAACAGTGACCAATTTTTAAAAGACTAAATATAACTTGTTGCATCTTCACATGAAGCAAACTTCTTAAATTTACTAACTACACAATCAAATATCTTTCAGAAGATGTTGATTTATTTATGTAAAAAGCAAGATAGTACAAAGTGGCATTGGGGAATTATTTCCCTTCTGCCCTGGGCCTTTGAATCATAGGCTACATCATGCTGCTCAGCTGTTGACTCTGGACAGAGTCCAGGACAGCACAGTACTGTGGAAGATGCCAGAAAGATGCACCTCCCTATAGCAAATGAAGTAAGAATTATCTTCTTTACAAACTCCAGAGGATAGCAGAATGATTTGCATTGCAGTTGATATGCAGAACATTTGTCTTTAATTTTTGGTGTCGGTCAGGGGGCACTTTTAGTTCACAAGATGGCATATTGCTCTCCTAGGAAGTAAAAGGAAGAAAAGCTCTTAGAGAATGCTTGTGCCCATCTTTGCTGACTGGATCCTAACATATTTAAGCACACAATGATGACTTCTTCAATCAGCATTGCTTAATTGTCCTTGCTGAGAGAGTCAAGGATGATAGCAAAAGAAAAACAAAATTAATTTCTTCTACCAAGGCACTTGGCATGCCAGAAATAAACCATTAGTCTGCCTGTCCTTTTAGGAGCATCTTGCTAGTTGAGACTACCCAGGTAATAAAATCAGTGTGTGCCTCGTTTTCTGTGGTGAGAGCAGCAGCGTGCTTCCATTTCCAGAACTTGCTCGCGGTTTTGACAGCCAGTGGAGTTGTTGTTTGCTGTATTCACATCCTAGGGCTAGGGAAGTTGCCAGGTATTGCAGCTGTGCAGAAGTATGGAGGCTCATTTTACAGAGGAGACTTCTCATGGAATTCCGTAGAAATTTCATAATGGAGAAATGCTTGGCACTTTGGGAAGAAGAATTTGTTTTAAATTTTCTTGGCAGAGCTCCTCCATGACAATAAAGTGCTCAGAAAGCAGTGCCTACTAGGGCTCAAGTAATTCCAGAGCCCAATCCTTTGAAAGGTAACCGTAACTATTTTATTAAGATGTGCACTTCTCCCCAATTTGGGTGATCTGACCAGGAATGGTGAATTTACTGTTCAGCTAATTTTAATGAAGTCCAATGAAGAGTAAAATATCCAATTACTGGTTTACAAGTAAATTCAAGTAGTTACTGGTTTACAAGTAAATTCAAGGAGTCCACCAACCATGGTTGAACCATGCTGGATTCATTTATGAAGGATGAATTATGCATTAAGTTTAGACCATAAAAATAAATAATATAAAGTCAAGTACAATATAAGGAGAGATATTTTGGGAGGTATTTATAAAAATTAGTTATGTAAACACTAAGTCAGAAAAGAATAATATTCTGATAAGCCAGTTTTATTGCTGGTGATTATGGGGTCATATGAAGATTGAAATTGAAGATAGTTTTGTGATAAGAAAAGCAACAATGTAGAATGAATCTCTCCTGGAGTTTTGGGATCTGGTTTACTTTTTGGGACTTAACCACTCTTTATGATCTTTGTTAGCTGTAACATGAGAAAAAAATATCCTAGTGTATGTGAAACATTTTTACACTTTCACTAAGATCTCAAGCTCACATCATACGAGGGAGTGGGTCTATAGAGTCATGTGGCATATGTGTTCAATAAATGGCAGTGATTCAAGCCCTTATTAATTTTTTGTCATAGAGCAAGAATAACATGAACAAGCTTGTGTTCAATAAAGCTTTTGCTATTAATGTTTATTACTAAATTAATTTCTACTCTAACTCCCATTCATGTACTCCTCCTCATTCCCCAATCTCAAGCAAATTTAAAAAAGGAATTTCTTTATTTGGGATGAAATTGATTATTCATACATGTATAAATTATACATCAGATAATATATATAGCCATAGTCTTACTTTCCTAATCTTTAAGAGACCTGTAAATTAAAGGACATTTGTAAAATTTGCTTTTTGTTTAAATAATTTGTAATATAAGAAATTAATGTGATTAGTGAATTGTATTCTAGGAACTACAAGTACCCACAATAAAGCCAGAAATTGAAAAGCTAGAGAAAGACGATGGATGGAAATTTGAAGCAAACCAATGACTATGAAAAAACAGCCTTTACCTCTTTCATTTCCCCTTAATCAAAATTCTTTCATAACTGCAGCTAAGTTCAAGATTCTCATTAGAGAGATCTCTAATGGGAAAAAATCTAGGAAAGACAGTATCACTGATAGATTCCTGAAGCCCACTTTAAACTCAGCAGCCTTCCTCTCTTCTACTGTAAAGTGCAGCATTCCCTAATGACCAAAAAGGTTAAGATCCAAAACTCCAAGTGGTGGCTTGGGATTTAAAAATCATTTTCTCCTTTATAATATTGATGCATTATTAGGATCTACTATCTTCTATGTACTGTGCCCAACATTGGGGATATAAGGGTAAGTTAGAAACAATTCTTGCTGTCAAGGAATTCATGATCATCTCAGGGAGATAGAAACATCAGCAGATGGATAATATTTTATTTAGCAGAATTCCCAGAGTGATAGGGAAGGCAGGCCAGCATGGCAGGACAACTTCCAGAAGAGAGGTCAGAGTGGTGAAATAACCTGTCCTTGTCCTCCAGTATCTATATGTTCACAAATTGGGTGGGACACATAGTAGGAAGGTAGGCTACAGAAGGAATTGAGGTAGAACAGCTCAGTATGATGTTGGAGACTGAGGGAGTCATAAAATGTGTTTCTCTTTGGAGCTCCTTATACCTTCAGAAAAGGTCCTAAACTTACAGGAAGCCGAGTATGCTTGAATTTCTATGGGAAGACATGGATCCGTGAGGCTACATTTGGAAGCTAGATGTGGAACACATGGAATGATACAGCCTGCAGGGGGCTGTGGAATGGAGCAGAACCTCTGGTAGGAGAACAGGATCCACTAGGGTATCATGTGCTCAGAACCCTGATAGAAGAAAATGCAAAATGCCATTGGAGTTCTATGAAGAACACCGTAAGTGGGGAGGGGATCAATCTCCGAGAAGGCTTTGCGGAATGAAAAAGGGATGAGATGAATCTTAAAGACGAGGAGCTTTTAAGAATAGATTAGGCATTCTAAGCAGAAAAGTAGAAAGAGGGAAATAAATAGCATGGGATGATTGGATAATTACCATTTGTTTTCAGCAGGGAGAATTTTGGAGATAAGATCTAGATTATAGGAAGCCTTGTCTACATTGTCAGGGAGCTTGAACTTTATCTCTCAGGCTGTATAAGACACTGGATGCTTTTAAACAAGGGATTGATTTGTTTTAATAGTGGGCTTAGGCTTGCAGTTCAGTCCACAAAACTTGTGTATGCCTCAATATGCCTGAAGCCTAGGACTGGTGATGGTACATCAATCAAGTGCAGCAAACAAACATCATGATTCCAACAAATCTCATCATCCCCCAAAGGCCTCAATAAGTTCCTGTCATCAAAGTCATTCCAGCAGCTGTGTTGTGTAAACAATGTGTCTATGGCAAAATAATTGGGAGTTCAACAGTAATCCTTCCCACTCTGTAGTAGGATGGAAGTATTCAATGCACTGTTCTCCTCTACCCCAGCACATTTTTGGTAGTAGAAATAGGAGTAGTTCCAACAGCTTAAGACATGGCTACAGTCAGTCAGAGGCTGGTGGATTTGGATGGTTCTTAATAAGGATCTTGAAAGTGAGTTGCAAGATGCAGGCTTTTCTGCCAGTGGTTCCCTGTGCATTCAAAAAAAAAAGTGTGTGAAAATCAAAAGAATTGGAGTATATTCTCTTCTATATATTAGCACTGCTTGAAGCACAACCATTGGTTTATTCCTGGGGTTATATATGTTCCTGTGAATATTCTTGTGCACTTCTATTTTTCTTATTAATATTAAAAAAACTGATAACTAAAAGTCACATTATTTTGTGATATCTTTCCTCACCCATCCTAAGGGTCATGACAGCACTCGTATAGCAAAATACAGATTAACAAGAGAAAAGCACAACACATTTATTTAATCAAAGTTTTATGTCACACAAGTGGCTTCAGAAACGTGTCTATTTTTGTGTTTACATTCCATAAAGAATGAACAGCTGTGTAGAAATGTGATTGGACCAAAGAATATGATCTAATGGTAATAGATTAAGGGAGGGTTCTTAGCCAACACCTGACTTCAGATGCTTCTTGGACTCTCGGTGTAGCATTCCTTCCCACTAGATGTGGGGCAGGACCCCTTTGAAAAAAGTGTCTTATAAACTACTTTCAGGAAGGGTAGGTCAGAGAAGTTCTTTACAGCCAGCTCTGATGCAGAAAAGCAAGGGAAGGTCAGAGTAATCATCTTGCTTCTGATGATTCAGTCCTTCAGTTCAAAGTACTTTGCGGTAGCATTTTCTGAGCCCCAACACTCACATTTTACTTATAATTGGCTTCCTTAACATTAAAGTGTTATATTCTGAGAGCTAAAAAAAAAAAAAAGTGTGTGTGTGTGTGTGTGTAGTTTAACTTTTCTAAAGAATAGCAAGGCAGGGCCCATGGAAAGAAATGGGTTTTGCACAGAGAAAGCTGCTAAGAAGACGACTGGCTACAGAGTGGACCGATAGGGAGGAGTCAAGATGAAGGAGGAGGAGTCAAGACGAAGGAGGAGTAGTGGCTGTCTTGGTGTGCCTTCCATTCAAACACCCTTTTCATGCTCATTGTCATGATGCTGTATTCCAGCGTTCAAGGATTTGATCTAGCGTGTATTCTCAGTTCTACTATAGAGCTTACTGTATAGCTACACTTAATAAATTTTAAAACAAAAATAAATAGATCGACCTTGCTTTGAAATGAAAGCCAAAGGGAGGATGGGAGGGCAGATGGATGGAATTTACAGGCAAGAGTTGATTTAAGACCAATAAGAGGGCAGATGAGCTGGTTATTCTCCATTTGCTCCCCCAGATTCCTTTTTGGCCTTCCTTTGCCCTGCTCTGTGACTGGAAGTTGCTTTTATGGACTACCCACAGGTTTTTGTTGTTTTAGTTGTTGTTATTGTTGTTCTGGGCTTTCAGTTAATTGGGGTGAATGGTAGGTATACAGGCAGAATATGAGGGACTGGAAGAGAAATGCAGGTTATTTATTTTTTGCTGGTGTCAGGGCGAGTGTTCTTTCATGGCTCCTTCTGTCTTAAGACTCCAGTAACACCATCCCCTCCCTTTTCTCCTCCAGGCTTAGAAGTAATAATGGCATCCTATAGTTCAAATGTATCAGGTGCCTCAAACATCTCTAGCTGGTTGCCTTCATTCCAGACTTTCTATTAAACTGCTCTGAGTGTACTATATTGCATTACTCTGTTTATGGGCTGCAATAACAAAATATTTCAGACCGGGTAATTTATTAAGAATAGAAATTCATTTTCTCACAGTTCTGGAGCCTGGGAAGTCTGCTATCAAGGTGGTGGCAACTTCAGTTGTCTGATGAGGGCTGATCTCTGCTTCCAAGATGGCGCCTTATGGCTGCATCTTCTGGAGGGAAAAACACAGTACCCTCACAGGGCAGAACCTGGAAAAGCAGCTTGTCTCATTCTGTGGGAAGCTTGTTTTATAACTGCTTTAAGTCCATTTACAAAGGGAGGATCTCTCATGACCCAATAACCTTGGAAAGTACCCACCACTCAATACTATTGTGTCCGGAATTGGTGGGTTCTTGGTCTCACTGACTTCAAGAATGAAGCCGCAGACCCTCGCGGTGAGTGTTACAGCTCTTAAGGTAGCGCGTCTGGAGTTTGTTCCTTCTGATGTTCGGATGTGTTCGGAGTTTCTTCCTTCTGGTGGATTCGTGGTCTCGCTGGCTCAGGAGTGAAGCTGCAGACCTTCGCGGTGAGTGTTAGGGCTCTTAAGGCAGCGCGTCTGGAGTTGTTCGTTCCTCCTGGTGGGCTCGTGGTCTCGCTGGCTTCAGGAGTGAAGCTGCAGACCTTCGCGGTGAGTGTTACAGCTCATAAAGGCAGTGTGGACCCAAAGAGTGAGCAGTAGCAAGATTTATTGCAAAGAGCGAAAGAACAAAGCTTCCACAGTGTGGAAAGGGACCCGAGCGGGTTGCCACTGCTGGCTCAGGCAGCCTGCTTTTATTCTCTTATCTGGCCCCGCCCACGTCCTGCTGTTTGGTAAAGCCCAGTGGTCTGTTTTGACAGGGCGCTGATTGGTGCATTTACAATCCCTGAGCTAGACACAAAGGTTCTCCACGTCCCCCACCAGATTAGTTACAGAGTAGGGACACAAAGGTTCTCCAAGGCCCCACCAGAGTAGCTAGATACAGAGTGTAGATTGGTGCATTCACAAACCCTGAGCTAGATACCGAGTGCTGATTGATGTATTTACAATCCCTGGGCTAGACATAAAGGTTCTCCACGTCCCCACCAGACTCAGGAGCCCAGCTGGCTTCACCCAGTGGATCCCGCACTGGGGCTGCAGGTGGAGCTGCCTGCCAGTCCCGCGCCCTGCGCCCACACTCCTCAGCCCTTGGGTGGTCAATGGGACTGGGCGCCCTGGAGCAGGGGGTGGCACCAGGGAGGCTCGGACCCCACGGGAGCCCATGGAGGGGGTGGGAGGCTCAGGCATGGCGGGCTGCAGGTCCCGAGCCCTGCCCCGCAGGAAGGCAGCTAAGGCCCGGTGAGAAATCGAGCGCAGCGCCAGGTGGGCTGGCACTGCTGGGGGACCAAGTACACCCTCCGCAGCCGCTGGCCAGACTGCTAAGCCCCTCATTCCCCGGGCCGGCGGGGCCGGCAGAGCCGGCAGGCTGCTCCGAGTGAGGGGCCCGCCAAGCCCATGCCCACCCTGAACTCCAGCTGGCCCTCAAGCGCCGCACCCGCAGCCCCTGTTCCCGCTCACGCTTCTCCCTCCACACCTCCCTGCAAGCTGAGGGAGCTGGCTCTGGCCTTGGCCAGCCCAGAAAGGGGCTCCCACAGTGCAGGGGCGGGCTGAAGGGCTCCTCAAGTGCCGCCAAAGTGGGAGCCCAGGCAGAGGAGGCACCGAGAGCGAGCGAGGGCTGTGAGGACTGCCAGCACGCTGTCACCTCTCACTATCACATTGGCAACACCTGAAATTGTTGTGGAGTGGGGTGGTCACACTCAAATTAAAGCACATCTGTTTCTTGCTAGGAACCTCACTGATAGAGCAGAGATTTCTGAACCATGAGGAAATGGAGGAGGAACATGTGACAGAGCTTCAGAAAAGAACTTCACACTTGGGTAGAAAACACTTCAATATGTCTACAGTAAAAAAAATAAAAATAAAAATTATATATATATATTTTTTTTTAATATATGAACTGCTCTCCTAATGCATACAAGCAGCACATATCCCCAAGTCTGTCCATTAATATAAAATGAACAGGAGTATTTTTCCAGCTGTCTGAAATTATCTCTTTATTTTTAATTCCATAAGCCTAAGGAAGGGCAAAGAGAGCACACTGGGGGAAGATGGAGTCACCGCAGCCACCTCCAAAACTAATCCTGAAAGCTTGGTATGCAGCACGGGACCTGGGGAAATACAATCAATACATGGGCCAGTGCTTTCTGTTGATTCACAGACTTGAAAAGAAAAAAGGAGAAAATAAAAAGCTTTAATAGCTCAAAAGTGGCTTAATGCAAAATATTAACATACCACAAAATGCATGCTCTGATAGAATTAAGGCGATCTTTTCAAGCTTTCTGTACTTGGCTGTCAGAGTCAGCATCCAGACCTCCCTGAAATATGAGGAGAAATCATTAACATCAGAAGCACATTTAAGGCTTGATGTTCCCTTTATTTTTGAAGCACAGGTCCTAAGCTCAGAACGTGGGAATCAGAAATGTTTTCCATTCACTTTGGCTATAAACAAAGCAGATTAACTTGGTGAATAATGTATACTCTTAATTCAGTATTTATTTCTTACATATTTAGACTCTCAAAAACATTGCTATTTTTATTTTGAAATAGTTACATAGAGATTGCCATTACTAATATCTGTCAGAAAACAAACTAAAGAACTCTCTAGCCTCATATATTAAAGACATTCACCTGTAACCTTGTCATTGTTCATATACACAAAGTAGGGGGTTATATTTTACGTAAAGCTATATTATGGTAATTTGTAAGAGTGCAATATAAAATATTAATGAATTCTCAGTTTTCATAAAAAATTTGAAATAATAAAATTTTATGTTTATTCCTATAGGAAAATTAGTTTTAAATGACATGAATTTCAAATTATGTGACATCTTCAAAGAAGCATTCTTTGCATAAAATATGACTGTACTTAAGTGTCTTGCTTTGCAGGACTAACTTATCTTTTATTAGGCATATTGATAGTCAAGTTGTGTAAGTTCAGAAACTATTCACCAGTAGATTCCAAAGTAGAAAGCATCACAAGAAATGTAGAAGCTGCCCACATTCAAAGTAATAAATCACCAGGATTCAAACTCACTTAGTAAGCTTACTTAAGCCATGTTAACTGGCTAGAATAAATTAGATTGATAATTTGGAGTAAACTTCTTCAAAAACTATTGGAAAGATCCTGTTCTGGATGAATGGGACTTATTTGCTTAATTGTTTGGACTGTAGGGCTACTTCGATGAGACAGTTAAAATGCTATGCCATAGGATAGGACTGTCAGCTTTCTCAAGGTCAACAATTTCTTTCCAGCCAGACATCTCCAAACTATGTGCCACCGGGGGTCGAAAGTCACTATTTGAGGGGTTGAGTAGAAAGACAATCACCAATCCAAGCAAGTTCTTAACATACAAATCAGTTGTATTCCAAAATCACATTTGTCAATTTTTGTCTGTAGAACTTAATTCTCATTTCCCCCCAAAAAATTGCTATATATTTTGAGAAGCTTTCACAGTGGTTCAGTTATTTGACCTACAACAGGTCCAATATTAATTATACTGTAACTGACATTCCCAATGCCTCACTATGGAAAACAAGTAAGTCCTATTAAAGTCCAATGAAGAAAAGTACCTTAATATTCTGCACTTTGTATCTCTGCCTACGTAATGCATGCAACAGGATGTTAAAATGGGAGTTTCTGCTGTGGCACCAAGCCTCCATACTGTATTACAAAGGAGATGTTAGACCATATGCAGAATTTCAAAATAGAAAGCCTTTCACTGACTTGGAGCTCCTTCCCATCCAATGAGAGATGAAAGGGTCAAGTAAATGGATATTAGGGAAAGGTGTGTATGAGCATTTTTTTAGAGAACAGCTGATGGGGTGTGAGCTCTGTTGCATACTCATATAGCTTGGATATTTGTCCCCACTCAAATCTCATTTTGAATTGCAGTCCCCAGTGCTGGAGATGAGGCCTGGTGGGTGGTGTTTGGGTCATGGGGATGGATCCTGCATAGCTTGCTGCTGTTTCCCTGATAGTGAGTTCTTGCGAGATCTAGTTGTCTAAAAGTGTGTGGCACCCTCCAGCCACCCCACCCCCTCTCTCTTGCTCCTGCTTTTGCCATGTGACATGCCTGTTCCCCTGTCACTTTCTGCCATAAGTAAAAGCTTCCTGATGTCTTCCCAGAAGCAGGTTGTGGCACTATGCTTCCTGTACAGCCTGCAGAACTATAAGCCAATTAAATTTCTTTCCTTACAAGATACTCAATCTCACGTATTTCTTTGTAGCAATGCAAGGGCAGCCTAACACACAGACCTTCCCTCTAGTGGTTTCAGGGGACAGTTCCTGCATCTCTCTGAGTGCTCATTGAGAGGGCATCAGTAACACCACCCAAAGAACAAAGACTGTGGTCCCTCAGTTAGGGACCTAGCAGATAAGTTCCTGAGTCCTGTCTAGAAAAGTAAAGTATCCTGCGGCAAAGAGGAGAGTGATGCATCAGTGAGGAACTGCACTCTCATCCAAAAAGCAGACAAAGTACATGAAGCTTAATTAAAATTAAATAAAATGGAAAATGTAGTTCCTCAGTCACACTAGCACATTTGAAATGCTCAACAGCCACATGTGTGTTAGACAGCATGGACATTGAACATACCCATCATCATAGAAATTTCTATTGAATATCCCTGCTCTAGACCCTGAGAAGCAATATTTTTAGGAACAGAAAGTAAAGATTCCCTATGAGAAATTCTGGGGATGATGTTGGGTTGGGCCAGCCTCTAACTTCCATTCCTTGTTTTCTAAATTCATGGAAATTATCTACTTGAAACAACTTAGAGCATATAACATTCTGGAAGATTGCGTACCATCCTAAACATGCAACAGCTTCAAGTAGACTCCTCAATTGTACCTTCAAAAGATTGATTAGCAGATTTTGGGTGGTGTGGGGTATGCTCAGGCCATAGTCATATGCCCATTGCTATAAAGTGGATCTCTTTTACAATGCAGTGTTCTGTACGTTTCTGTGTTAGTAGGATCAGTCACTGTCTAAACTCTTGGTTAGTGGTGCTGGCTGAGACAGGAAATGAAAACCTGTACCCAGAATACATGCAGTCCATGTCAAGATTAAGTATTGGCCTTCCTGCAGTAGAAAGAGTTAAAAATAAATCATTTACCACTAAATAGCAAGTTAGACTCCTCAAAGGATGATACTATAATGGGAGCTCAGAGTCTGTCTCTGGTGCTGGAACCTACTTATTGTCCAGAGATCAGCCTTGGTGAGTTGGAGCCCAAGATTTGAGCCCGTGAACATCCTCCATTGCTACCACCATGGTTACTCTGTTTATGAGCACATTTTGCCAGCTAGGGATAGAAGCTGGCTGAGTTATTCTGTCTAGGTGGTTACTTTTTAGCATTTTTCTTTGGAATCCCTTCTACTGAGCATTAATATGTAATGCAATAATTTTTACATTCATGTTTATTTCATAGGTCCATCTATCTGCTGCTTCCTCAGATCTTGCCACCAATCTTCCAATATTTTTCTTTCTGAGTGTCTTACCAACTAAACAAAACATTTGTTACTCACCGGTGATTTTATATGTAGTCTTATCACGAACCACTTCCCCTTCTACACAAAACAAATGATTAGGTATGCCAGCCAAACTCTGTAGTTTGGGAAGAGTTTTTCTCACCACTTTGTTCCAGGGATGCTCCTGTGCAAGGAAGTAATGCCCCAGCAATCCATATTCAATTTATATTAACATATGAAGCCGATCCATCCTGGGATTACTTTGTCCTCTGTCAGCCAGTCAAAAGGGTGGCTTGTCATACAGTCATAGGCATGAGCTGAAGGACAGAACAATTGGCACAGGGGAGCTTGATGTGGGGTATTCCAGGCCACCTGCTCATGCTGCTGATTTCTGCCTCTGGCCCCTCTTATGCTTTATCCTCCCTATTACACTGACATCTTATGATGGATTGTTGCTGAGCCCACCCAGTCTTATCATCTTTTGGTTGGACAAAACCCAGCTCATGATGTATAACCACACGGCCATGTGATCCCTCAGGAACAGCCTCTCAATCCCAGCCAAGACTCAATATAGGCTGGGACCTATTTTTTGAATGATATGTAGTACTTCCTTACAGATGACATGTTTCTTCTCAAGAAACCTGGGTCTTAAAGTTGAGGACCTCTTACTGGGACTTGCTATAAACACTACACTGTAATTTTCATAGTTCCTCCAGGACCATGACGTTTGCCAGATTATGTGGCCCAAGCAGCAAGATGGCTTGCACTTTGGCATAGACTTGTTCAAGGGCTCTTTCCTGTTCTGGACCCAATTCAAATTTGGCCGCCCTCCAAGTCACCAGGTAAAAGGGTAAAATGAGTATTTCCAGCTGTCAATTATACTGCTGTCAAAACCCAAAAAAGCCTACCAAGCCTTGTGCTTACTTCCTAGTGACTGTGTAAGATACAGTCTTTTGTCCTTCACTTATAGAGAGTAGGTCCGGGCATAACCCACTCCATGGAATTCCTGCAGCTTTAATCTTACCCCATGGAATGCATGTGCCACACCAAGGTCTCCAATGTATTCTCTGCTTCTTGGTTATCCAGTCTAATTAATCTGATACCACTGATACAGTGGACTAGGCATAGAGTTAAATTAGGCCTGAAGAAAAGCTGAAATGCATACTGCTGCCTGCCATGTAAATATGAACTGCTTTTTATCCTCCTTTCTCATAGTGATGAAAACAAATGCATATGCCAGATCAGTGGTCACACATCTTGTAGTGCAGTCAATTGGCTCTAGCAAACACGTTATAGTCAGTGCAGCAGCTCCAGTTGGGGCTACAACTTGGTTATGTTTGCAGTAGTTGACTTTCCTCTCCTAGTTTTCGCTTGTTTGTGTAAAACAGAGTTTTAAGTTATATAGTGATGTGATTGGAACTACCAGGCCTGCATCCTTTAAGTCATTAGAAGTGGTTTTAATCTCGGCCATTCTACCCAAGATTCAATATTGCTCGTGTTTTACTATATTGATTAAAGTTGGGTGTCAGTTTCAGAGGCTTTCACTGTGCCTTGCCCACTATGATGGCTCTTATCTTATAGGTCAGGAAGCAATATGGAGGTTTTCCTAACTATCCGGTGTGTACATTCCAATTGTACATTTGGACCATAGTAGGAAGTATTGAGTAGGTTGATGGACACAGTAGGCCCATTGTGAGCTGAGCATGGGTTTATTGCCTGAACGTTGTATGCCTCTACAAAACATAGAAACTATGGAATGCTTTGGGTCCCTATGTATTATTGTCAACTTAGACCCTGTGTCCAATAGTGCTTGAAATGTCTGATTTAGATAATGTACTTGGGATTAGGTGGCAATCTCTTCTTGCTTTGGTGGCCAAAGAGCAGTCCAAGTGGATGAAAGTGACTGTTCCCTCCTCTCCAGCCTCCTGCCCACCCACTGGTCAAGGTGCTAACTAGCAGGGACATGACATATGATGGGAGCTGCGTGCCAGGTGCTTGGGGTATGTTCTTTATCCCTCAGCCCTCCAGAGTCCAGTTGGCCTCTTGTGTGTTCCTGCTCTCCCCGTTTTCCTCCTCTCCACCACAGTGAGGCAGGGGTCTAAGGTGGGTCCTGGCCCTCCTCTTATGAACAGGCATGCTGAGGAGGTGAGCCTGTGGAGGGGGAGCTCCTATACACACCCCTGCCCTCCCACCTGCCTGACCCCTCTACTCCAGGCAGCAGAGGAAGCACATTTGTTGGTTTCAAATGCACTGTTCTGTTTGCAATGTCTTGTCTGTGTATTTCCTTCATCCTGGTCTTGGTTTTATTGAACATCATGCTTTTAGCATGTTTTTTGGCATGTTAAACTGATAACATCTCAAAAGCAGCAAATAAAGAAAAAAGAGTTATTACTATACAGACTTGCTATGGGATAGCAAGATCTTCCTCACGTGGCACCTGACCTCTTCTTTAGTCAGTCAGTTAGCTTGTGAGCTTCTGACCTTACATGATATATCCACTTTAGCATTCACACTTCTCTGAATTTTTTGATTTCCAACCCCCACCACCTTGTTCTGCCGTGGTAGTCAGCATTTGTGTTTCACTGTGTATGGGCCATTGATTTTTCCAAGTGTCTGAAAAACATCCAAGTAACATATTAGTATTATCTCTCTGAGTCCTTGCCAGGATGTTAAATGCTATATCATGGAAGAGTGCTCTTATATGGATAAACTCTCCCTTATCCAACTTTGTATTTCATCCCGTTTAATCCAGCATCCTCAATATCCAGTCTCACACATACTCTCTAGGCTGTTGTCAATATATGTTGGCTAAGACCCACAGCTGCAGCTGTCAGCATTTCTCAGCATTTCCCTGGACAGTATATTATTTGTGGTCTGTTGTTCAGGAGAAAAGGTGGTGGTAGATGCTAAAAAAAAAAAAAAAAAGAGGACACATTATAATGCAAAGCACAGGTCTCTACATTGTCTTCATCAAGAGAGTAGGGCTAGCTTTTAATAGGGAGAGTGAGCTACTTCTGCAGATTTAGAATGTACAAGAAGAGCAAAGGTTTCAAAATACTTGAGTGCATTAACCCAGATGTAACAATCCCAAATCTCAGAATCCCACTCCTTTAAACCACTACTTGAATTGTGGTGTAGCAGACGTTCTGTGGTTGAAAATTTCACCTTCTCTGGAGATCTGCTACCTATATTAGTAAGTGTTGGGCCTGATGCTTGGCTTGTTCTATCATCTGGCTATCAGGAATAACTCTATTTTTATATGATGCCAAAGTGTTTTGACATTCACCTTTTGTTTTACATTGTCAATAATCATTCTCAGACTATTTGTTGACTTACAGTAGAAGGAAACCATGGGAAAATAATACAATTTATTTAAAAATGCTTATGTGCAATTTGCATGTGTATTTAAATAGATTTCTTAATCTTAGCACTAAAGACACATTTATTCCTTGTTGTGGGGCTGCCTGAATTTTCTGGGATGTTTAGCAGTATTCCTTGCACCTATTCAGTAGATGCCAGTGGCACTCCCCTCCTCCTTGTAAGAACCAAAAATGTCCCTAGATATGTCTCTGGTTGAGTGTCACTGATTTAAAGTCATGTTCAGGTGTGGGTTTAGTTTAAGATGATTATACAAAGAAATTATTTCTAAAGTAGGCCAATCTTGTGTGCATGACATTTGAGGATGTAATTTATTTTATTTAATTGAAAATTAAATACTGAAAGAATGAGGAGTTAAGAGAGATCACATTAAAAAGAGAAAGCCTAGATGATTTCTCTAATGGGGAAAATTAATCATAGTATTAAGTATGTGTTAATCATATTTTTTTCTTGTTTCCTGTACCTTGTCCATGAGAGAAGAAAAAATAGAAAATTTTATGATGAATAAAAAATTAGAATCAAAAATTTTAATCTTAGGAAAGAAGATTAAGACTTCTGAGGAAAAAAGCCCTGAAATCTTTGAGAATTACAGAAACTTGATTCTCTCAAAACTTGGAATACTTTTCCGAGTATAACTGCACGACTGGGTCTTTGCTGTTGGATAATATCCAGTAACATGTGTTTGAAAATTTATTACAGGCAGGCACAGTGTTGAGCAAACATAAGGGTAAATAAGCCATGCCCCCTACCCTCAATAATAGTACAGTCCACAGCAGTGATTCTCAACTTGGCCATCCATTAGAATAAAGTGGAAAGTTTCCCAAAGTACTGTTGCTCAGATGGTACCTCAGACTAATTAAATAATAATCTCAGCTTAAACCAGAGTGTAGGCATCAGTAGTTTAAAAGCTTCTCAGGTGGTTTTAATTTGTAGCCAAGATTGAAAGAGAAATTTATAAACACACAAGTAAGATAAAACATGATAACTATTATAAAATAGAAGTAAATATCTGATGATATTGAGGCACTGAGAAATCAATACCAAGAAGCAAATTTATAGAAGTTTCATAAATTTGAATATTATCCCTATTGCAAAAGATATAGAAATAGAAGATATAATTTTTATTAAGGTATACAAAAAATGCCGGATGAGTAAATTTTAAGACCATGTTAAAGTACCACCCTTGACAGATGAGAAAAAATGAATAAAATAGTCTTTGGTACCAATCTGCTGTGAGTCCATAGAGCCATTTATACTATCCAAGAAGATTTTATCTTTATATTGAAAATTCCAGATGAGTTGTTCTAAATGAGAAAGGAGAAAATAAAAGTTCAATTGAATGATGTTTGATTATAATTACTATATACTGTAGGTCATTCAAATTATTAGCCTGGGGGTACATATTCATTAAATCATTATAAAACCATGCAAATACCAGGTATTCCAATGTGCAGTAGTGATTAATTTTATGGCCAAAGTGGGTAATCATACCTGCTCTCGATTTTTCCTGGTCAAAATAATCTAGTATGTGCTTTGTGGTGTGGAAATCTAGCTTCCCAAATAATAATTTATTCATAAAATTCAGCAGATCCAGTTTGGGAAATATTTGGGTCAGTTTTGAATGAATTTTGCAATTTACTCCCATACATTATGCAAAAAAATTCCCACTCTTTTGAATAAAATATAATTATGTCTACTGAATTGTCATGTACAGAGTAAATACTATGACTATCACACACAGTATGCAGAGAGTTGGGATATTGTTAGTCCACAACACAACATTTGTCTTCAGACATTTACTATAGCTCAGTCTTGAACTACAGCAATGCTCCTGTTGAAAGAATAGCTTACAGAATCTATATTTAAGGCAGGATGACCGAGACACTCACTATTTATTTCACTTTTAATTTATAAGCTGTATAAAAAACCATTTTAGAAGCAGAAATCCATATGCCTGGACATATTAGCCTACTTCCCAAGAATAAAACATTCAAATAAAATGGTCACATAGAATACATCCTTGTCTATTCCGAAAAAAACACCATCAAAGGAATTTTCCATTATGTTGTTCAATGTTGCTCACGTAAAGATCATTCATAAGTAACTTTCAGAATTAAGTTTTTGAAAAATAAAATTTCTATTGTCACAGACAACTGTATATTTTACTATCAGACAAGGACAAGATTATAAATGTTAAATTACTCATCTCCTTTCATTCCAATACTGTAACCATTTATAACATTCTATGTTTGTGACATTTTGGGCTTCCTTTTACATTTTTAAAAAATATTTTTATTTCTAGAAAATGTTAAGCTAAATTTATGGCTCAATTACAATAACTATATAATGCTAAGTTCTTGAGATATTTAATTTTTCCAACATCTTGTGGTTTTAAATTTTCTTTTTCTATTTGTACACTGATATTTTATGTATATTTTATTTTAAGTTGCATCAAATAATTTGTCAAAGTGGGCAAGATAGAGACCCTGTTAAAAGGAAGCATTTTTCAGAATTAGATATTAATGAGAAACTAAATATATATATAGTTATATATATGTAGTTATATAGATAGTTATATATATATATAGATAGGTATATATATAGTTATATATATAGTTATATATATAGTTATATATATAGTTATATATATAGTTATATGTATAGTTATATGTATAGTTATATATATAGTTATATATATAGTTATATATAGTTATATATATATAATTTGGATTTACTCGTTATACTTTGTTTTGTCTTTTAAAATATAATATTTAAAAATAATTCCAATTTCAGGCTGGGCATCGTGGCTCATGCCTGTGATCCCAGCACTTTGGGAGGCCAAGGTGGGCAGATTGCGAGGTCACGAGATCAAGACCATCCTTGCCAATATTGTGAAATCCCGTCTCTACTAAAAATACAAAAATTAGCTGGGCATGGTGGCACGCACCTGTAGTCCCAGCTACTCAGGAGACTGAGGCAGGAGAACTGCTTGAATCTGGGAAGCAGAGGTTGCAGTGAGCCAAGATCGCACCACTATACTCCAGCCTGGACACAGGAACTCCATGTCAAAATAATAATAATAATAATCATCATCATCATCATCATCATCATCCCACTTTCATTCAACAGTACATTGTTAAGTGGTAAAGTATGCCATTTGTTTTGTTTAAATTATATACATTCATGAGGAGTATGTCTGTTTGGGACAAAAATTAAAATCTAGAATCTTAGAGGTTGTCTATCCTATCAAAAGACAAAACACCTAGAAGTATATACCCAGATGCAATATAAGATAAATTAGAAATGCCCATTAATCTATGTCCCCATTCAAAATATGTATTCTATAACATATATCTAACACAGAATCTCTAGAACAGTACTGTTCAATATGCTAATCACTAGCACCCTACAGTTATTTAAATTAAGTTAAAATTAAATAAAATTGAAGTATTCAGTTCCTCAGTTGCACTAACCATATTTCAAGTGCTCAATAGCCCCTATGGCTGGTGGCTGCTCTATTTGACCATAAAGAATATTTCCTTCACAGTATACATTTTTGCATTGTACGTTGATAACTTAGAACTCCTTGTCACCAATTCCATTCCAATTAAACAGCACTATTCTACATAGCTAATGGAAACTTTGCACAAATGAAGACGATTTTCATAGCCCTACTGAAATGTACTTTTTCTAGTATCACAAAAAATTGTGTTTAACATAACATAAAACTTTGTCATTAAGAAATAGGACAAATCTCATACTTGGATTTTAAAAATTATTCAAACACGGTAGTACAAAATTAAGAAATCTCCTGGAAGATACCTTTGGAAATTGATAGATTGCAACTTGATGACCCCTTTAAATCAAACTATAATTGTGGCTATTTACAAATTGAGGAAAATACTACGCTATTGGAAAACTTCAAGCAGAAGAGGATGTGGTCGCTATTTTTAGAAGTCAGTTCTGATTATAGTGTTAAAGAAAAAATTACTCGTGAAGCTTGTTAAAGAGGGTGAGGCAAATTTTATTCAAAAGGCAATGCATTGTAACAGGTATAGGGAACACTGGAATGGGGTCTTGCAGTGGGAGACCAAGATTGGACTCAACTCTGACTCTAACAAGGATACACAGGGTTTAATAGCCAAGCAGTAGGGTTGGGGAGAGAGGATGGAGAATTACTGAGAGCAAACTCAGGTGTAAGGGAGAGTCTTGCCAGACTGACTCCACAAAATCCTTGCTAAAGGGAAACCAGGCTGGTAAGGTAGAGGTGTCAGATACCAAGGGTAGAGGATTTTTGCTAAACTGACCTAGCAGGATTTTTGCTTAAAGTGGGTTCTACAAGGACAGAGAGGAAAGGCTAAACTCCAGCCTAGTCAAACATAGGACTAAGAAGAGCCTGCTTAAAGTTTTGGTCAAAGGACTGTCTTTGCCAGTAGAAAATGAATGTATAGAGATTAAGACTGCAGAGCAGGCCGGGCGCAGTGGCTCACGCCTGTAATCCCACCACTTTGGGAGGCCGAGGAGGGCGGATCACGAGGTCAGGAGGTCGAGACCATCCTGGTTAACACGGTAAAACCCCGTCTCTACTAAAAAAAAATACAAAAAAATAGCCAGGCGTGGTGGCGGGCGCCCGTAGTCCCAGCTACTCGGGAGGCTGAAGCGGGAGAATGGCGTGAACCCGGGAGGCAGAGCTTGCAGTGAGCCAAGATCGTGCCACTGCACTCCAGCCTGGACGACAGAGCGAGACTCTGCCTCAAAAAAAAAAAAAAAAAAAAAAAAGACTGTAGAACAGAAGAAGAATTAGGCGGCTGTTCAGTTTAGTAAACTAAACTAAAAATGTTGATGTCTGAATTAGGGTAGTTGAAAGTGGGAAAGAGAACAGGAGATATTAGAGAAGTTGAAGAGGCTATACTGATTTTAAAAAAAAACCCACAGATATTTATTTAGCACCTAAAATGTAGTAATGTGGTAGGCACTGCTCTGGGTATTTGAGATGCATTGATGAATGAAACTGCCAGTCATCTCTCCTTAGCAAGAGGAAGAAACACTAACAAACACTAACATCAATCAACAAATAAGCAAAATATGCAGTGTTTTAGAGTTATAGATCTTAAGTGAAAAATAAGAGAAGAGTCTGGGGTCATAGAGGTGAAAGTGGTGAGAAGAGGGCAAAAACAGTAGGATTGTTTGGAGAGAGATATATATATGTCTCCAAGCAGTTTGGGGTATCTACTGAATATCCAAAAAGACAGAGATATATGTATTTGGAGTTTAGAAAGATACCTGGGTTACAGGCATAAATGTCATGGTAGTCATCATAAAGACAATCTCTAAAGCTATGTATGGATGAGGTAACCAAATAAGTGGATATAGTAAAGGTAAGAAGAGGGCTGAGGAGTGAACTGTGGTTAACTCCAGCATTAGGCATTCAAGAGAAGCAGAGGGAACAACATGGGAGATTGAGAAGAAGTGCTTAGTAAATGGAAAGAAAAAGAAAGAGAGTGTAATGTTCTAAAAGGTATTGAGGCTTTGGGAGGTCAAAGCAGGTGGATCACCTGAGGTCAGGAGTTCGAGACAAGCCTGACCAACATGGAGAAACCCCATCTGTACTAAAAATATAAAATTAGCCAGGCATGGTAGTGCATGCCTGTAATCCCAGCTACTCAGGAGACTGAGGCAGGAGAATCACTTGAACCCGGGAGGCGGAGGCTGTGGTGAGCCAAGATCGTGCCATTGCACTCCACCCCCCTCCAAAAAAAAAGTTATTGAGGAAGGATATTTATATATTAGATATGCTCAATTGTGTCAAATGCTTCTGACCATTTGAGTAATATGGAAGCTAAGAAAATTTAGATATTGATAGACAAGATGCACAAGAGAGAAGAGTTAAAGAAATGCCTGGATTTCAGGTTTGGGCAACTGAATACATGATGTTTCAGCTCAATTAGATAAATAGTTGAGGAGAAAAGGACTGTGGGAGAAGCTAATGTTTTAAGCAATTGACTTGGATCCTGGGGTGCAAGTGGATGCCCAGGGTAGTCCATGACTGCCCCAAGGTGTTGGCCAGATGGAGACCATGATCCAAACTGGCAGTGGCAAGAGTGTGAACAGCAGCCACCGTAATCACAGAAGTCTGGCAGGGGCTGCCCTTCCTTGAAAGAGGGGGCTTGGATTGAGGAGTGCCACCACCTGGAGTCTGGATCGGAAGCATCTGCACAAATACTCTCCACCCTGAGCAGCAGTACAGGAGCTGTTAGTGTTCACGCACTATACCTTGCCAGTGAATTCATACAAAATAAAAGTGTACATGTAGACATTAAAATAAAAAATATCACAGAAATATTGAAATTCTTCAAAGAGTTTATAATATCTGGTTTTAAAAACTGCCACAATTTCAAAGCACATATCCACAGACTTAATAGAAGTTAAATTTAAGATAGTTGCAATCTACAGGAAAGGACACTATTTTCATATGAAGCTTTGAGTGAATTAATTATTAATGACAAAGGCAATTTTAAAATTATTTTTCCTGTAATAGAAGCTACAGCTATAAAAAACATGCATGGGTGTTTTGAATTTTTGAATTATATACAACTCTTAAATCCACATTTGGTTTCCTGTACAATCTCCACAAGTTATAGGAAAAATTAAAATGCTGTTGTATAAATTTCATTTAAATGCATATATTTATATATTAATTACATTACATTTATATATTAAAGTTGTAACAGACTTACACAGAACAGATTTGTATAAATAACTCTAGAAAAACTATTCCTTAAGAATCACTAGCTATAGATGGTACTAAAATTTATATTTCAAAATAATTTATCAGAAGTTCATTACAATGTCATCACAGCCTATAAAATACACTGAACTGTTCTAGTAACAGTTGTATCAGCAGAAATATCCTTCTCAAAATTAAAAATTATCAAAAAATTTTGCAATCTTTATTTGCCAAGAATGAATGACATCATTTTCAGTTTTGTCAATTTAAAATGAGTTGTTAAACATATAAACATATAAACTTTGATGACTTAAAATATGAATTTTCAGAAAAGCAAGCCAGGAAAATCTTATGATTAATCAAGATATCACATAAATAAAATATTATTTATTGCATGTTATAAAGTTATACTAAAATATTACTTTTTGCAATTTGTAAGTTTGTTTTTACTCATGTATCCTATTACCTTTAATGTGATATATATGATTGAACCACTATATTCCATCCTTGGCTTGTCTCTTAAATATATATGTATATATATCATATATGGTGATATACATAATATGTCATATATGTCATGATATATAAGATATGTGATATATGAGATATATCACATATCTCATATTTATCTCATATATCATATATCTCATATTTATCACCATATATGATATATATGATATGAGATATATATATATCACCATATATATATATATATTTATTTATTTAAGAGACAAGCCCAGGATGGAGTACAGTGGTGCAATCATAGCTCAAGTTTGCTGTAACCTCAAACCCCTGGGTTCAAGTGATCCTCCAGTTTCAGCCTCCTGAGTAGTTAGGACTACAGGCACATGCCACTGCACTGCCTAATTATTATTTTTTTTAATTTTTGTTGAGATGCAGGTCTCCTTATGTTGCCCAGGCTGATCTTGAACTCCTGGCTTCAAGCAATTCTCCTGCATTGGCTTCCCCAAGTGCTGGGATTACAGGTATGAGTTATCATACCTGGTCTCCCCACTGTGTTTTATAGTTAATAAAATATTTTAAAAGAAAAAGGCTTTATATTTTAGTGCCTTTAGCTTTACATTTTTTCCTGCTTTCTAAGCTAGTGCCCTCATTTTTGTTTGACATAGGCCTTTCTTCCCCAGATTATGTAGCCAGCTCTGCTGAGAAGTTGATTTGCTCTGGTGTAGTATTTTAGAGGCTAGGAAGGTTTTGAAAAAAGAAACGGAGAACAAACTACCAAAGGAGAGAAATCACAAGGAAAATAAGGAAGAAGTTAGATGAGCAGGTATGGGAGTATGCATCTTAGGCAGTGACCAGAAATGCTCAGGATGTGGGTAAGGTTGGAGTTGACTAGTTGAAAAGTAGCCAACAGGGTGAATGCAACAGATCCCTAGTTGATGAAGTGAGGCGAAGAGAGAGAAAGGGGGAATGGGAAGTCAGACCTCTCTCATTTCTGTTTTCTGAATAATAAATGACAGTTAAAGTCTGGCTAGTTGCCCTCTTGCCCTATGTTTCTTAACTAGCTGACATTTGAGTTCTTCAGAGGAATCATTAACATTATTTTTTACATTAATAAAAATTTACTCCTTCTGTAGTATCAACATAATGTTTTCCATATAAGAAGCAGCTCTACAGTAGATAAGCAGCTTCATTCCTTGTGACTGTTGTTTTGGGGCTCATATTTGAAATCAATCTTTCAGTTGTCTTTCCTGGTTTACTAGTAAATAAGGCATATCTGTTCTTTGCCTGCACTTCAGACTCTTTGAAAGGGCAATGGTCCAAACTTTTTTTTTTCTTTTGGTGTCTTTAAGAACCCTCAAAGATGCTTATAAAGCATATCATATCCTAAATGTTAAATTATGCCATCTCATTACATGAAGAACAAAATCGTAATTCTTCATATTTGTGAAAAGATATTCAGTTCTTTCAGTGTGATACTGACCGTATTAGTTTGCTACAGCTGACATAACAAAATACTACAGACGGGCTTAAACTATACAAATTTTATTTTCTCACAGTTCTGGAGTCCGGAAGTCCAAGATCAAGGTGTCAGTGGGTTTGGTTGCACTGAGGCCACATTCCTTGGCTTCCAGATGACTGCCCATTTGCTGCCTCTTCACGTGGTCGTCCCTCTGAACACCCACCCTTGGTATCTCTCTGTGTATCCAAAATTCCCTTCAGAGGAACATCCGTCAGGTCGAATTAGAACCCTCCCTACAACCTCATTTACCTTAATCATCTGTTTAAAGGCCCATCTTCAAATGCAGTCACATTCTGAAGTACTGGGATTTAAGGCTTCAACATTTGAATTTCGGGGGGGACACAATTCCAGCTATAGGACCGCCAAACAAGTAATTGGTTTATATAGAACACGATGACAAACTGAAATGCTTCTAGAAGTCAGAAAGAAACACTCATGAGTAAAGAAGGCGAGGTGCACGAAACCGCAAAGCACAAGCCCTAGCTGAAGGTTGTAGTTGCCACAGGAGGCAGGAAACTTTTCTCAAAGAACTGTGGGCCTTCTGACTACGATCAAGAGAAAACAAAAATTTGGGAGGTTCTGTTACATCTCTCGGTTTATAAATTTCGATAGATAAATATGTGTAGTATTTATATGTTCAGAATACACACACACACAGACACACACACACACATACCCACACACTCACTTCAGCCCAAATAGCCCAGGGTGCAAGCTCTGATATGGAGAGTGAGTAGAGAGTTCTGGGCTTACGCATTTCTAAAAAGTGGCAAGACATTCAGCAACTGGTAATGAGACAACATTTTCTTTCCATAAACAACCCAGAAATTTAAATTATTTTCAGGTAGAAACTATGCCAATGTCAACAATTTCTAAGGACATTTAGAGAAGACGGGTTGAAGAAAGAAGTTGCATGCTGGAGACCAATTAACAGGTAAAACAAACAAAAATTAAAGAAGTATTTAGTAGAACTAACATGACTATGAAATATATATCTGTACTTTCTTCTTTTCTCTGTAAAGATGTCCTTAATATGGTAATGCATGTTAAAGGGTGGGGAGACGGCAATCACATTCAATATAAGATAAGAGGATTCCATCTTTTCTGCATATAAAGCTTTAGACCTGCATTTTATTTCAAGTTTGGTGAACAGCAATCAGTTCCCATTTGTGATTAGTCTCTGTCTTCTCACTAAAGAGGGGGTTGAGACAGTTTTAAAGGTTATTTTACACCAGACAAAAGGAGTACATGAAAAATAGAAAGCTTTTCAAATGATCTAAAGTGCACTTGAATCTGCCGCTTTGATATCATTAGCAAATTGTGATTGATTAAGTATCACAGTTAAATCTCTTATAAACTTTTTTGTAGAAAAGGGGTATAGAAAGTGGATATTCCCAGTATGTGGCATTATTTTCTAAATGTGGAAGTGATTTTTTTTAAGATTGAATAATCCTATCTTTTACTCTTGAAATTATAAAGTTAGACAGAATCCTGAGAGCAGTTGTTTTTCAATCAGTGTTTAAGCAGGTGATTGTCTTGGCATTTCCAACTGGGGATTCATAATAACAGGCTTAGAATGATGCTTAAGTTTCACTCCATAGACAATGCAGCGTATGATTCAAACATGGTTTCTTTTATTGTTTTTATAAATTATACTTTTAATTAAAAGTCTTTATTTGTCATAAGTTTGATTCATCTCAATTAAACAGGTTGAGCAAACTGCTTTCTTTCTAGGGGCAGGAGGACACTGTTTTTCTTTTTTTCTCTTTCTTTTTTCTTTTTTTTTCCTTCCTTTCTTCCTTCTTTCCTTCCTTCCTCCCTTCCTTCCTTCCTTCCAGATAGGGCCCCTCACTCTGTTGCCCAGGCTACAGTGTCATGGCTTGATCATAGCTCACTGCAGCCTCTAACTCCTGGCCTCAAGTGATCCTTCCTCCTCGGCCTCATGCGTTGCTGGGACTATAGGTGTGTGTCACCACGCCTGGCTAATTTTTTATTTTTTGTAGAGAGGGGGTCTCATTATATTGTTGTCTAGGCTGGTCTCAATCTCCTGGCCTCAAGTGATCATCCTGCCTTGGCCTTCCAAAGTGCTGGAATTACAGGCATGAGCCACCATGCCCAGCCGTTTTTTCTTTAATATTGAAAAAAATATATACCCCAAAGGTCACTAGAGGTCACCAAAATTCTCTTAAATACAGTGATAACAATATACCTATAAAACCAAGATAGCTTGTTGTACAAGATACCCTTTAATATATCCCTTTATTTTGACAACTTTCTCAAAGAGGAGAGAATTAAAAGAGACAAAGCAAAGGTCAGCATGTTACAGATTGCCACAGAAATATGAATGTACAGATCCTTTTATAAAGTCTGTGAAAGAGGAGGAAGTAGGTTATACTACTTAAAAATGATATATACTACAAAAGGAAGATTCAGACATTGAAACTCAGTTGTAGCTCTGCCAATTGCTAGTTGTTCACATTGGTATCTCATTCCACTTCTCAGTGACTAAGTTTTCTTCCTTGCCCTATCTTCTTAGCGCCATTTTATTAAATAAAAGGCTCAGAATAGGAATTTTCACTATCTTACTTGCTGTTACCCATTCAAAGTTATCTTTAGGGCCATTCAAATATTCTAGTTGTTTCTTTATGCAGGCATTTAGTAGAATCTCACTTGTCCTTGCCTTTTGAGATTGGGCATGAGTACACAATTTGTTCTAGCCCATGAAATTCAGGTGGCAGTGGCATTGGTTATTTCTAGGGAAAGCTTTGAGAACCAGTGCATGACGACCATCCCTGCCATCGTGATCATGAAAGATCTGTCAAGATAGAGCTTTTGTAGTATGGGTACCTGAGTACGTAGGATGAATTTGCATTCTCTACTGATAATGGAAATGTAACAGAAATCAATGAATATACTTTTAATATATAGGTCACTGAGATTTGGGGACTATTTGTAAATGCAATATAACATAACCTATCCTAATTTATATAACATGTTTTATCCCCAAAATAATTTGCTTCAAAAAATAATACAACCATGTTTCTAGCTTATGATATCATAACTAGAACTTTTAGGGGATATTCAAAGAGTCAAAATTTAATTAAAATTATTAACAAAAAAGAATATTTAACCTTAATACAGTAATTGGTATATGAAACTAGATAATCATTCCCTGGCTAATTTTTTACATCTATGTTGCTAAATTTCTGGGTTTATGAGTTTCTTTTACCTCCTTTGTCCTGATTACAGATGAGGCAATTCCTTCCACTTGAGTTCAATATGATTGTGATGCACCTTCCCAATAGTTATTCAAAAATCTCTATAACTCTAACTCTCCACAGGCCATTCTTTATTCTTGGAAACCTCCATTAATCCCTTCTTTATGAAATTCTACTCAGCTTGCTTTCAAAAACATTCACACCAACTCTGTGCAGTTCAATAAGGGAAGAGGATCTTGTTTTGCTTTTCTCATCATCACTACTTTTTCCGTCTTTCCCCCACCCACCCCTTCCTTAGATGCCTTCCTTTGTTACTTCGGAGCATAACTTGGATTGCCTAGCAAGGTTGTTTCCCATCCAAGAATTCACTGATATACCCTCTCCCACCTTTCCAATGATTTCTCTGACACTATTACTTCACTCTGTTGACTTCTCAGTTTTTTTTTTTTCTTCACATTTACAACTCCATCCTGCTGAAAGCCCACTATAACTATCTGTGGAGTAAAGAGTTACAGAATTTCAAAGAGGGTGATATGCTTTGGCTGTGTCCCCACCCAAATCTCACCTTAAATTGTAATAAACCCCAAATATCAAGGGCAGGGCCAGGTGGAGATAATTGAGTCGTGGGGGCAGTTTCCCCCACACTGTTCTCATGGTAGTGAGCAAGTCTCACAAGATCTGACGGTTTTGTAAGTGGGAGTTCCACTGCATAAGTTATCTCTTGCTTGCCACCGTGTAAGACAGGACTTTCTTCTCCTTTGCCTTCCACCATGATTGTGAGGCCTCCCCAGCCGTGTGGAACTGTGGGTCACTTAAAACTCTTTCCTTTATAAATTACCCAGTTTTGGGTATGTCTTTATTAACAGCATGAAAACAGACTAATGCAGACTAAATTGGTACCAAGGTAGTGGGGTGCTGCAGTAAAGATACCCAAAAATGTGGCAATATCTTTGGAACTGGGAAACAGGCAGAGGTTGAAACAGTTTAGAGGGCTCAGAAGAAGACAGGAAAATGTTGGAAAGTTTGGAACTTCCTAGAGACTTGTAGGGCTCAGAAGACAGGAATATGTGGGAAAGTTTGAAACTTCCTAGACTTGTTGAAAGGCTTTGACCAAAATGCTGATAGTAATATGAATAATAAAGTCCAGGCCGAGGTGGTCTCAGATGGAGATGAGGAATTTTTAGGAAACTGGAGCACAGTTTACTCTTGCTATATGAAGAGACTGGTGGCATGTTGCCCCTGCCCTAGAGATCTGTGGAACTTTGACCTTGAGAGAGATTATTTAGTGTATCTGGCAGAAGACATTTCTAAGCAGCAAAAGCATTCAAGAGGAAGCAGAGCAGAAAACTTTGGAAAATTTGCAGCCTGATAATGCAGTAATACCCGTTTTCTGACAAGAAATTCAAGCCTGCTCCAGAAATTTGTCTAAATAACAAGGAGCTAAATGTTAATCACCAAGGCAATGGGAAAATGTCTCCAGGCCATGTCAGACACCTTTGTGGCAGACCCTCCCATCACAGGACCAGATGCCTAGGAGGAAAAAATGGTTTCGTGGGCTGGACCCAGGGCCCCTCTGCTGTGTGCAGCCAAGGGACTTGGTGCCGTAAGTCCCAGCCACTCTAGCCATGGCTAAAATGGTCCAAGATACAGCTCAGCTGTGGTTTCAGAGGGTGCAAGCCCCAAATCTTGGCAGCTTCCATGTGGTGTTGGGCTTGTGGGTGCACAGAAGTCAATAATCAAGGTTGGGAAACCTCCACCTAGATTTCAGAGGATGTATGGAAATGTCTGGATGTCCAGGCAGAAGTTTGCTGCAGGGGCAGGGCCCTCATGGAGAACCTCTGTTAGGGCAGTGCAGAAGGGAAATGTGGGGTTGAAACCCCCACACCAAGTCCCCCTGGGGCACTACCTAGTGGAACTGAGAGAAGAAGGCCACTGTCCTCCAGACCCCAAAATGGTAGATCCAATGACAGCTTGCACTGTGCACCTAGAAAAGCCACAGACACTCAATGCCAGCCCATGAAAGCAGCTAGGAGAAGGGCTGTACCCTGCAAAGCCACAGGGGTGGAGCTGCCCAAGACCATGGAAACCCACCTCTTGCATCAGTGCCACCTGGAAGTGAGATATGGAGTCAAAGGAGATCATTTTGGAAGTTTAAGATTTGACTGCCCCACCGGATTTTTGACTTGCATGGAGACTGTAGCTCCTTTGTTTTGGCCAATTTCTTCCTTTTTGAATGAGTGTATTTACGCAATGTCTGTACCTGCATTGTATTTAGGAAGTAACTAACTTGTTTTTGATTTTATTATATCAATTTTGATGAGACATGAGAGTGGTCTTAATTAGGTAATGACAGGATAGAGAAAAAAAGTAGATGATGTAACAGATTAGGAGGTAAGATGAAAATGATTTGTGGTGGTTTGAAGAGAGATAATGAAACTGCCTTTCAAAAATTATAGTAGTAAAAGAAATTTGACATAACTGACTCCATCTTGCACCTACCAGGCTAAATTGCTTTTGCTCATTATTGTGTGGAGGCCATCATAGTCCTTTTCTTGAGCTGATTTCCTCCTTGTTGAAAGATAAAAACTATATTTGTAAAAAGTAGTAAAAGGCCACAAGTTTAGAATCATGGTAGGGGCCTGAACTTTGCTAAGGAATAGGTATGGTTAAATGATAGCCATCCATTGCCTGCTTAGCTTGTTTAGTGTCCCAGAGTCATGTAACTGAGGTTACAAGATGTATAACTCCCCCAACTGCTCCTATAGATAACATCACTATTATGAGACCTAAAGGATTAATCTTTGAGATATTTTTCAGATGTAGCATTTTGATAGACTGAGAGATGCCACTTGAACCTGTGTTCCATACTAAGGACTGACTCAACTGGTCCTGCACCCTCAGCTGGGTACGGACTCACCAGCAGCTTTGTCATCCTTGTGATTTCATTCCCAGCCAACCCATTGTTTCAGTTCCCCAGCCCCCTCCCCACCAAAGTACACTTTAAAACCCTAGCCTCTGAATTCTCAGAGAGGCAGATTAGAGAAATATCTCCTGTCTCCTTGCTTGGCTGGCCCTATGACCATTAAACTCTTTTTTTTCTGGTTCACCTCCTGCTGTTCTCAATGTATTGACTTTTCTGAGCAGCAAGTGAGAAGAACCTGTAGGGCTGCGGTGGTAAAGGATGAGGGAAGAGATAAGAATGATACAGAGGTTAGAAGATAGAACGTCTGGGGATACAGACATTCACTGGAATACGTATAAGAGGAACCAGAAGCAGGCAGCCCAAATTGTGTACAAAGAGATCAGTTTTAGATAAAATGGGTTTAGCAGGACTATGGAGTCAGCCTTTAAGTGGAAATGCCCTATACTCAATTGTATAAACTGAATTGAAATCTCTCAAAAGACTGGTCAATTTTACCTTCTCCATTTTGCTTTCTAAGTATCTTCTTCAACAAAACTGAAATTCTTCTTACTATTTTATTTATGCCCAAGCACATCATGATATTGTTTCAATAACATTAATTAACTACCTTAAATTGTATTTGTTTTAAATGTTGTAACACTTTCCATGTCAACTTCAAATACTACCACTGATATGATTTCTATTGAAGCTGGTATTTTAATTTACATTTTACAGATGAGAAAATTGATGCCAAATTGTTAAGTGATGCACTACATTTTATAGTCAGTATACAGAAGATTCTTGAGACATTTCTAATTGCCTGATTTCTAATCACCTGTATTTTTCTCAGTTGTGTATTTTTGATAAAGGGTATGGATAACATAATACTTCAAAAATATTACTGGCTCTTTTCTCTACACATTTTCTTGTCATTAGCAAGTAGTTGTGATATAGGTTTTGAGTAAAAGTAGGTCCATTTTGACTACCAATATTTTAATTGGCCATTGTATAAATACCACTAAAATACATAAATCTTAAATGTCTAGCTTAATAAATCTTACACAGTGAAGTACTCAGAAGCCTCCATCATGTTCATTCTCAGAAACTAAATACCCAAACTTAAACTAATATTCTGAATTTTGTTATAGAAACTGTTGTATATTTTGCTTTTTTCAAACAAATGGAATTATACGAACTTTACTTTTTATGGTCTGACTTCTTTTGCTCAACATTTTGTCTAACATGTTGTATGCGACAGTAATTATTTTTGAAAAAAATAGCTCTATGGTATTTCTGTATGTAAATATACTACAGGTTGTTTGCTTATGTTTCTGTTGATGGGCATTTTGGTTGTTTCCTGTTTTTGTCTGAGATGAACAAAACTGCTATGAATTCTGCTGCATGTATTTCGGTGCATGTATGTGCATATGTTAACTGGCATGGAATTGCTGGGTTTACAGAATTGTGTGCATGGTCACTTTTAACAGGTAGTACCAAATATTTTTACAAAATGACTGAACTAACTTATACTACCAGGTATAGTATATAAAAATTCCAGTTGCAACACACTTCTGCCATCATTTGATATTTCCAACTTTTCTTTTTTTTTCATTTTGGTCATTCTGGTGGGTGTGTAGTAATCTCATTTTGATTTTAATTTTAATTTCCTTGATGAATAATGAAGTTGGGGAACTTTTCATATGCTTATTGACCATTCTGACAATCTCTTTTGTAAAGTGTTGTTCAAGTCTTTTGACAATTTTTCAATTGGGTCGTCTGTCTTTTTAATCTCAATTTGTAAGAGTCCTTTATACATTCTAGATAAGAGTCCATTGTTAAATATATGCATTGCAAATTTCTTCTCCCACTCTGTGGATTGCCTTTTCACTCTTAATATTGTCTTATGATGAACAGAAGTTTTAAATTTTAATTTAGTAGAAATTACAAATCTTTGTCTTAATACTTTTTTTGTTCTGCTTGAGAAATTTTTACCTGTCTCAAGTTCATGAAAACCTTTTACTGTTATCTGTGGTGTATTAACTTTCAAATTTAGATTATGAGTCATCTAGAATTGGTCTTTGACTATGCTGTGAAGTACTGGTCAAAGTTCCTTTTCTTTATATTTGAATATAAAATTGATTCAACATTATTTAAGATTCTTTTTCATTAAATTGCAGTACCACCTTTATCATATAATAGCTGACTGTATATTTGTGACTTCTCTTTTGTTTTGTTAATTTTCTAACCTATTCGTTTCAGTTTCTCTAGATTTATTAAGTCTTCATGTATACTTAATATACATTCTCCAATTTTATTCATTTCCTCATAGTTGTCTATGCTATTCTTCATCTATTGAACAGATGAATCAGTTCAGAAATAAAACTTTTGAAATTGTGACAAAAAGTAACAATTAGAGGACAACAATTGCTTTTATTGTATTGGCAGCTAATTCACATTAGCTTATTCTGACCATGTTTTGAAAGATTTAAGGAAATTACCGAAACTAACACAAACAGAACGTTACTGCTATCTTGACACTTGTCAAAATATCCAGTTTCTGATTCCTCTTTTTCCTTTATGTAAATAATGTATGGGCTGTTTCCTATTTATGGTATAAAACTGCTTGTGACTGAAATACTGTTTTCAATTAAAGTTTTGCATACTCAGCAGCATCAGATCTATTCTTATCTCACCAACCTCTTATTCCCCATATTCTTTTATTTCTACCATTCCCACAGCAAACTGTTATAATATGGTTTTTATCAACTTCTGAAAAAAAATAGTCTTTTATATGCTAAAATACATTTTGTGGTACATCTCATCTGGATAAAATGATGTAGACTTACATCACCCTCCTCCTCTCCACTAAGTACAATGACAAACTGGAAATAATGCAGTAGGAGATCAAATGGGGAATGGTGAAAGGTGGAAAGAAGGAAAACTGGTTAGAGACTCTGGGATTGCAGGAAAAAAAAAAGGGACAGGGTGTCTTGTGACCTACACCCAACAGAAGACGATGACTCAGTCCTGCATTTCCTGACTATCAACCTAACCACAGAAGGTGGCCTAGGTGGGTGCATTCCTTCTCTGGACTGACCTCAACAACCTCAGGAAAGTAGGTCAGCACAGCAAGGCCAATTACTCAGGAACCAGGCTGACAGCAAGAGTGTTCCCTTTTCCTTCTCCTACTAGGCCTGAGATTTCCCTTCTCCACTCAGAAACATATATGGGTACATACAATAGGCTGTCCTTCTCATTAGTTTTATAAGCCGTATTTTAAGATTGATTAAAATATAACACTATCTGATATGCAAGACGATATTTAAAAGTAGGAAAGGAAAAAGGACATAAATGAAGTTAAGGTTTCTGCAATTCACTGAAAGTGGTAAAATGTTGATATCATTAGACTGTGATAAGCCACATATGTATATTATAATAACTAGAGCAACCACTGTGAAAACTAAACAAAGAGATATGCTCAAAATAAATCAAGATGTAAACCTAAAAAATAAAAAATCCAAGTAATCTATAGGAAGTCAAGAACAACAAAACAGAGACCCAAGAAATAGAGACAACAAACAGAAAATGGATAATAAAAAGGCAGATTTAAGGTCTAATGTATCAATAAGTACAACAAATGTAAATAATCTAAACACACCAATTAAAAGGTAGAGATCAATATAGTTGATAAGAAAATATGACCCAATTATATGGCATTTAAAAGAAAAGTATTTCAAATTTAACAATATACGTAGGTTAAAAATAAAAGGATCGAGAAAGACATACCTGTGTAAATGCTACCAAAACAAAAAGCAGGAGTGGTTGTATTATTATCAGATAAAGCAGACCTCAGAGCAAAGACAATTACTAGAGATAAAAAGGGGAATTATGAAATAATAAAAGATCAATCTGCCAGGAAAACATAATAATGATTTGAAATGTATATGCACCAAAGAAGATACTCTGGATATAGATGAAACAAAATCTGATAAAACTTAAAGGAGAAATAAAGAAACCATCAATTATAATTAACAATTTAAAACTCCCCCCACCCCCCCAGCAAATGAAAGAATGACTACACAGAAAATCAGCAAGGATATAGATCTAAACAATGCAATTAGCCAACAGGATCTCATTGGCATATATACAATAAGCCAACCCATAGCAGTAGAATATACTTTCTTTTTTTAAGCACCCCTGTCCTGGGCCATAAAGCAAGCCTTAACACATTTAAAAGAATTAACTCATACAGAGTATGCTCTCTGAACATAATGGATTCAAACAAGAAATCAAAGATACAGAGACAACAGGAACATCTTTAGATACTTGGCATAATATCCAAAAACTAGAAACAAAACAAAACCCCGATGTCCTTCAGTAGATGAATGATTAAACAAATGGTGATACATTGATACCATGGAATATACTTTGCAATAAAAAGAAATAAACTATGGATATCACACAAGTAGAGACAAATCTCCAGTGAATTCTGTCGAGTGAAAAGAAGCCAATATCAAGTTTATATACTGTATGATTCCATTAATATAACATTTTTGAAATGACAAAATTGTAGAAAGTGGGGACAGGTTAGTGACTATCAGGGTGTGGATGGGGGGAGAGTGGAAGAGGAGGTGGGTGTTACTATAAAAGAGCCACATGAGAGATAAGAGAAGTGAGGGAACTGTTCAGTATCCTTCCCATGGTAGTGGGTATATAAGCTTACGTATATAACCAAATTTTATGAAACTAAACACACACACATATACACAGACACACACATGAGTACAAGTGAAACTGGGAAAAATTGAGTATGATCAGTGCATTGTATCAGTGTAAACATCCTGCTTGGTGATTTTGTATTATGGTTATGCAAGCTATTACTACTAGGGAAAACTGGGTAAATGGTACTCTGGAATTTTTATTTCTCACAACTGCATGCAAATCTACAATTATCTCAATATAAAAAGCTTACTTAAGTAATACACAATGTACTTTAATGTATTATTTATCCCTTGATATAAACACCGTTAATAATATTAGCCGCTTTTGAACATAGTTCAATTTATACATAAAATATTTTAAGGTATAATTTTTCACTGAATTAAACACAAAGGCTTTAAAAGAATTCACTAATGAGGAAGTCGAAAAACAACAAATGCTTATGGTCCTTTCGTTTTTCCATATTCAATGATTTTCTCCTGATACCCCTTCTTCCACAATACGTGTTCCTTTTTTAACATTACGAAAATAAACTTACTTCTCTGAAAAAGCTGTTACTTGCTTTACTGTAATGTAACTTTTAAATGTAATTTCTGTAAGAAATGTTGTCTTCTTTCTTATTCAAGCCCCACGGACAAGATGGCAAATAATAAGAAGAACCTATTGTAATGAGAGTAATAATAATAGCCTCTAATTATGTTTTAAGGTACTGGTTTGAAATTTATATTTAATTTTAAGGTATTGGTTTGAAATTTATACTTTATTTCAACATTAAAATATCATTTGATTATAGCTTGGTAATTAGGCAACTCACCATAAATTTTATAACTTTGGTATATATAAATTTAACAGATACACACACACACATGCACACACACACACATTTAGTTAGGTACATTAAAAGTTAGCTTTCTCTCCATTCTCAAATTTATAAGCAGGAGGCAGAATGGGTCTTTCAGTTTTTGAGAACCAGCAAAAGAGTGTTGTTGTAGCAATATTGAAATTTTGTTTTAAAATTCTTTGCTAGTAGAATGAAGGTGTAAGAATTGGCAGCTTCAATTCTTGCAGTATGTTATCACCGTACTGTCAGAAGAGCTCATTTATGCCAATTCTGATGAAACTGGCTGTGTTATAAATCAAGCATGAGCCAGGGGTTTCTTATGTCAACAATGCATTTCAACTCTTACCTTATTACCACATTTTTTGGACTCTACAGGATAATATCTTTTAAGCTTTTTATTGCTTGCGTGTGAAATCTCAAATAATGTTGCCAAATGCAGCAAAAGTTCAGGGCTGTTTCTTGACATTGGTTTACTGAATGCTGATCTGTGAAAGTTTGAATGCCTAAATCCTTATCTATCAATGAGATCGATTAAACCTCACCCATTGCCTTGATGAAACCTTTCTTCATTGTGTAGATTGTGCTAAAAGATTCACTAAAGTATGTGATGTCGCACAAAAATTGCTTTTTCTCAAATATCCTCTGTAAATTCTGAGTACATGTGAACTATTCGGCATGGAATGTGTAATCATTATGCAGTAGAAAAGAAACATTATATCTGAATTTTGCAAGTTATGTTGCCTTTGAAGAAAGCCATCTAAACAGAAGCTAAATTTAGAGTTAATTTATTGGAAAAATGATAAAGTATATTGACAACACAAGTTTCCACAAGATCCTAGTCTAAATAGAAAACCACACTGAAAATTTCTGGGGGTAGTAGAAAGGTGAATCATTTTATAAGAATGAGACAGTGTATGACAAGAGAAACATACATCAAAACATGCTTTATTTACCTTCCATTAGAATGTCTTCCTATGAGAAGGTTAAATACTTCAGGAGAGGGATAGGATTTTTCTCATGTTAACTAATCCAGACAAAAGTGAATAGAGATTTGCTTTCTTCAGCATTTATTGATATTAATTGCTTTATTGAACTAGCTGTGGGAACAGGGATTTCCCAATGCCAGCATAAAGGATCATTATTTATAAGCTAACTGATCCCACAAATTCTACACTTAGCTCAACATTTCCGTTGGAAATACTGAAAGAATCTTTTTAAAAATGTTATATTTCAGCCTTCATACTGTATGCTAAATTACATAAGCTAAATGATAAAACATTTTCCAGGAAAGGGGAATTTTAAAGTCTCACATACTAGGCTTCAAATCAAGCTCTGAAATGCAGCTTATTATTACATTTTTCTTCCATTTATTTTTAATTCTTCCCCTTTGGCTCTGTCTTACAGGTGTCCCTAGTTACAACCATCAGTAAAAACAAAACACATGTGTAGGCTATAAATCTGTATTTGTGCTAATTCATAGGAGAAAAATATCTTCAGTTCCTCCTTCCAATTTCCTTTCCTTTTACCACTTAGAAGCTCTCTATAGTGCTCTGCGCTTACGATTGCAGAAACCAAACTCTGTCTCACGTGATGGGTTAACAGGAAAGTTTTTGCATGTCATGTCTCGTTGGAACTAAAGAAGTCAAGGTGAAAATCCCCAGGTTAATTTAGATTTTGAAAGGACTTAGAAAGGGAATCAATCTTTAGTAAAAGGGGGAACTGCCAATTGAGCTTTTTTGTAGGAACTAGTCAAGACCCAAACAAGCTAATATCAGGTATTAGCAGTAACTTTTCACATTGGGAAGTCATTGCCTTGAATGTCCAGTAGTTAATAAGTTTCCCAGGCACTCAAAGGGAGACTCTTATAATTTTGTTCAGATATTCATATTATAAAGGTGCCAGAGGCAATGCTAAAGCCAAGATAGAATTGGTTATTTGCTTGTAAAGTCTAATTTGAGTGTTTTAGATCAATCTAATTTCAGTGTTTAGATCAGCTGTTTTATTGTTTATTTATTTATTTTGAGATGGAGTCTCACTCTGTAGCCAGGCTGGAGTGCAGTGGCACGATCACAGCTCACTGCAACCTCCACCTCCCGGGTTCAAGTGTTTCTCCTGCCTCAGCCTCCTGAGTGGCTGGGATTACAGGCATGCGCCACCACATCCAGATAATTTTTTTTTTTGTATTTTTTAGTAGAGATGGGGTTTCACCATGTTGGCCAGGATGGTCTCGATCTCCTGACCTTGTGATCCACCCACCTCGGCCTCCCAAAGTGCTGGGGCATGAGCCACCGCGCTTGGCCTAGATCAGCTGTTAGTATGATATACAAATTGTCAGTTCAGAGTGTTTTCTTCTTCTTCCTTTCCTTTTATTTTTATAAAATAATAATTGAGCTTCTAACACTGTTCCATAGTCTTGAAATAACACCAAGAGCTAGATAAAGCATCAGGGATGTTGTATACTGTATCTTGACAAATTCTGCTTATTTTTGTATTTTATTTTTCAAATCATTTTTCCTGTGATAGATGAAGACATTCTTTTGCAGGGGAAAAGTATTTTTTACAAATGTAAGAACAGTCATTTTTGTATAAGTATTTTACAAATAGCAGAATCATATCTGAATAGTCATCCAAAAATTGGAGACATGAATTTAAATAGTGCTCACAGGGTGTCTTAGATTTGATTATGAAGTTATTCCATGAGTAGGTCATGCCAAGACTATCACAGAATCAATGGACCGGACTTACTAAGTCATCATCCCTTACTAACAGTATAGAGTTCTCAAAAGCTTTATTAGGTGCAATTGTAAGTGGCTCAGATAAGAGGCTTCAATCATTTCTTTTTAGAGATGATTCCACAGCTTCAGAAATTTCATTGGCAAGAAATGATTCCTGATGCCCAGTCGGATGTGTCATTTTTCTCTTAGAACACTTGTAATCAATCCTGCCCTGCACCTCCCACTAACCACCCAGTATTTGCTCTTTTGTTCTTTTCTTTTTTTTTAGTTTCCACACTCTTTTCAGTCAGTAAATTTTGCCCACATGATCAAATACATAAGAAAAAGAATAGAAATTGAACAGGTTTGTATGAAGAAGGATTAGAATGAGTTGAAGTAAACCGTGGAAAGAGAATATTTAGTTTGGCTTAAATCACTGCTATAATCACTTAAACATGAACAATAAACTATTTGGAAAATCTCAGGAACTGTTTTATTTCACAGACATATCATTAGGCCACCATAATGTTCCAGGAACCTGCCCCTTTCAACCCAGGCCCATCCCCAAAGAGACTATTTCTATATTAGCATTCACAATAGATATTTCCAAGATTATTTTATGCTCTAACAAAGACAGAATGACATGGCAAGGGTATTGTCCTGAGCCTCTTCTCTTTCTGGGATCAAGGCTTTGAGAAACTGTTGCAAGTCAATAGGGAGTCTCTGTCACAGTCCATAGGGAAAGCTCCTTATGAGCAAGAAGCCCCACAATGAGACTTTCTTTCAGCCCATAAACAATAGGGTTATGAGTTTCATAAGGTAAGCATCAGGCTGGAAAATTGTTATAATGTGAGTTCTGATTCCAAATCTATAATTTCCTGGCTTGTTGAGTGACAATGGGCATATAACTTCACTGACGTGCCTTTTCTAAAGTTTAGTTTTGAAATCTGTATTAGTTACACATTTGATCATAGTAAAACAGATCATTCTAAAGAATAAAATTCTAAAAAAAAACCTAGTTTAAAACCAAAAGGCTAAGTAGAGCCTCTGAAAACAAAAAAACACACACTATAATTATGAGTTGAAATAAGCCACTCATAACACCTTTAAACAAAAAGAGCTGGTAGAATCTTGAGCTATAAAATATTAAAATGTATTGCTCAATGTAAATATTTTAAAGTGTGGACTTCTGTAAAATCAATAAACAGATCAAGATATCAGATTTGTGTCAGAAAAAAATCAGTGTACAAAAATAGACAATATGATTCAATGGTTTCCAGAATGAATATACTGAAACATTAAATATTTCTAGATCTCAAATATCTGTCTTTATCCAATGCTAAAATTATTTCCCAATTGGTTAAAATGTTAAACTGAAACATCAAATAAAAGCATTTCAGTTAAATATGAAATATATGACTGTATAGTCTTTCTAAATTTATAAACAATGAAAGAATTCACAAAGGAAAAAACCAATAGATTTTATAACATAAAATTGACTTCCTAAATGTCAAGGAAATTTATTAAAGTTCAAAGGTAAACAAAACTAATGACAATTTTACAACTAATATAATAGATAAATAGTGTCATTCTTAATTTATAAAACTCTTGTTAGGCCCAATAAAATGACCACTATGTAATAACAAATTGAAAAAAAGATGAATAAACAATTCACAAAATCAGAAATATGACTACCCAATACATTCTCATTAGCAATCCAATCAATAAGTTTAAATAGTATAAATATATTTAAATATTTAAATAAATTTAAATCAAATATTTTTAATTCAAAAATATATTTTTCTAGAATGGACCTCTTCTAGACTACCAGTAGGTATATTAGTCTTCATAAGCTTTATAAAAAGGTAGAAATTATTGAAAATATTATTAAGAATTTTAAAATTGTTATCCCAAAATTTTATATCTTTTGTTGCATTAATTCTACTTCCAGAATTTATCTTAAAGACATTTTCCGACTCAGGCTAAGATTCATATATGAATATGTTTATTGCAACACTTAGAATAATAAACCAGTGGAATAACAAAATGCCCATTTATTGAGTTGAATTCAGGCCCAAGTACAGTGTTCTATAGTGGAATAGCATGAACTCAACCAAAATCATGTAAAAAAAATTTTTCTAAAAGGAAAAAATATGTAAAATGCAGTTTAATTAGAAAATAACCTCATAAAATTTTACATTTACCAAAATTTGCTTTGGGCTTCAACATTTATATAGGTATAAAGAAAATAACACTTGAAAGAAATATATCAAAATATTAAGTGATTTTGTCAAGAATGATATTATGTGGTATTCTTTTTCTTCCTTAATTTTCAAATGCCTGTAATTTGAATCCAAAACTTTTATAATTAGAGGACAAGAACATATTTTTGATAGGTTATAAGGAGTCCTGAAACTTACAGTCACATAATATCAAAGTAAACTGAAAATTACATAAAAACACATAGAATGCTCTTCAATGGTTGTAATTAACAAAGTGTCTTTTCTTCACATAAGTGAATGTTTATTTTTAATTTTTTAGCATCATAATTACTGGCTAAAGCAAATATAGCTCTGTTTAGCAAGAAAGCAGGAAATTTTAAAGGGCTAGGGATGTGCAATCACTAATTCTCACAGGCTTGGATTCATAGATAATTCTGATAATTCTGATGAAAAATTCTAAAGTATCTGAGAATAATACAATTGATGGATACCTCCCCAAAGCTAGAGGATGATTAGTTAAGGTTCTTTCTATTAATGTATCTATAATCTAATAATTATTTTCTTAGTCTGTAATGGCCTTCCATGCAACACTCTTTCTTTACAATCACTACCTTTCTCTCTCAGAAGGAAAAAGATGGAGAAATAAAATGTAATTAGTCCAATCCAAAGGGACAAAGGATGAGAATGGAGTAAGAAAGCCAACACTGGCAGACATGGAGGAAGGACAATTATTTTGTTCAACCTCAGTTTATTATTTTTCAACCTAAGGAAGAGAGTATAAGCTAAACCACGTGTACAAAGGCAACTCATACCCAAAAGCAGCAACAACTGCTTCACTTCAGATGATTTAACTGGTCTTTGCAAACGTGTTCAATCTGATTCTTGACCAAGAGAAAAAGAGATTCTTTTTCTCCTACTCCCACACGACATGCTGCACAAACACCCAGTTCTATGACTTTATTGTTTCCTGCACAGTGACTTTTAAGGCCTGCCTACCTTATTCACAATCTCGTGATTCCACCCCCATCCTCCTCCCCTTCCTTTGTAGATTCCAATTCCTGATCCATGGGTTCAGGGCCAGTCTTTACTCACTCTGCCAAGGGAAGACACCCCTAGGAATGTCCTTGTGGGGCTGGTTGTACATCCTCAATATAAGTAAGATGGAAGAACAGAAAAATGATACCATCACTGCAAGTTAGAAGTTTAAAGTGAATCCTATAATAATTTAATTAGGTTTTTCATAGAGAACTTCTACATAGAGTTTTGTATGCTCATAGCCCTGCACTCAGGCAATCCTATGGGAGAAGTCATGTTTGACTTAGTGGATATTGACCCTCCTCTCCTATCAACTCTGTTTCTTCCCTGTGGCATTATCTAGTGCCCTTATATCATAAAGTCTATCTATCCTGTAGATAGGTAATCCTGAGAATATGTTAGCTGATGGATTTAAAATTGAAAATAATAAAGTTAAAATGTTGGAAGATAAGCAGTACTTCTGAAAAAACTCAAACTCACTCTTCGTACTTTTGCTCAACCAATCATCAAATGTTTATTTAGGACCTAATATGCTCTTCTTCCTGCCCTGGTTCCCAACAGTAAATTGTCACATATGACTTTCCTGGCTTTGGTAATGTAGGTTTTCTGCCCACCTCAACACTGGAGAAGTCAGTGTACCGCTGTAGAACATCTCAATAAACGTGTGAGATGAAAGAATAAATATATATATATGTGTTTGTATATATGCAGGTATATTGTGTATAAATATATGTGTGTATATATATATACACACACACACATATTTAAATGAGCACAGACCACATGCAAATCATTGATTAGTTTTTCTCTCACAATTACTTTGTTGAAGATATCGTTACATAGTATGTATAAATTATATTAAAATAAAAACAAGTGGTCTGAGGCCAGGCATGGTGGCTCACACCTGTAAACCTAACACTTTGGGAGGTCAAGGCAGGGGGATCACATAAGGTCACGAGTTCAAGACCACCCTGGCCAACATGGTGAAACACCTCTCTCTACTAAAATTACAAAAATAAGCTGGACATGGTGGCATGCACCTGTAATACCAGCTACTCGGGAGGCTGAGGCAGGAGGATGGCTTGAACCCAGGAGGAAGAGGTTGCAGTGAGCTAAGATCACACCACTGCACTACAGCCTTGGCAACACAGTGAGACTCCATCTCAAAAACAAACAAACAAACAAAAAACTCTAGTGGTTTGAATAACATTTCATCGATGTTATCATGTGTGCATTTGTGAAAAGTAGCCTGATCTTAATTCTTTTCCCTTATGGCTCTAGCATCTCTTTAAGAAGCACGAAAAGGTGCAGAGACATAAAAAAGTCACTGACACTGAGTGTGTTTCATGAACTAAATTTGAGTCAGATTCAGGGTGACAATCTTAAAGGAAATGGTGGTTTCTAATTTCTGGTGACCAATGTAGTGTGCCTGATCTGGGCTCGGACCATTGAATGCCTTTTAGAAGAAATGACCATAGGGCAAGGAATAGCCCCCAATATACATTCTGATCCTCTTTGAATGCATTGAGGGGAGAAGACGCTCTGGGAATAATTTTCTCTGCATCTAATCTCCCACTTCAAGATAGAGAAAAAGCAGTTTCTGGGAGTTGCAAATCGTAGGATTTCTATTCAGGCCTGCTACTAACAAGCCACTTAACAAACATCTCAATTCCTGTGGCTTAAGCCTTTTCTTTAGTTATAAACTGTGTTTACATCCCCTGAATCTGCCAGGGTCCCCAAATGAAACACATGGCACACACAGAATTTGATATTTCTGAAAAGGTTTCTTTATAGACAGGCTGTTCGCAAAAGTTCAAGAAACAGGAGGGAGTCCACAGGATCATTGTGGTACTACCCCGGGTTGGTAGTAACTAAAACACTCCTAAGAAAGAGTGTCCTGTAGTGTCAGCAACCAGCCCTAATGACTTTTTATTTTTTTAACTTTACTTTAAATTCTGAGATATATGCTGAATGTGCAGGTTTGTTACATAGGTATACATGTGCCATGGAAGTTTGCTGCACCTATCAACCCGTCATCTAGGTTTTAAGCCCCACATGCGTTAGGTATTTGTCTTAATTCCCTCCCTCCCCTTTTCCCCTAACCCCCAACAGGCCCCGGTGTGTAATGTTCCCCTCCCTGTGTCCATGTGTTCTCACTGCTCAACTCCCACTTATAAATGAGAACATTCAGTATTAGGTTTTCTGTTCCTGTGTTAGTTTGCTGAGGATGATGGTTTCTAGCTTCATCCATGTCCCTACAAAGGACATGAATTCATACTTTCTTATGGCTGCATAGTATTCCAAGGTGTATATGTGCCACATTCTCTTTCAGTCTATCATTGATGGGCCTAACAACTTTTAAATCCCAAGAATTTTCCACTTCAGTAAACTTTCCACATAGTAAAATGACCAATGAAAGTATTCCTGATGTCTCATATGTATTTTAGAAGTTAGCTTTCTAACCATTCGGGGTAGATGAATGGAAACTCAGAATTGGATGGCACTGCAAACATTCTGGCCAAAATGAAGATCCCAGGTAACTATTTGCCTTTCTTCTCTACCTGAACTATCTATCTCACACTGGGTCCTAGAATATATTGTATAATACACTTTGTTCCTATTTGTTCTTGCAATTTATTTGATACCCTAGGCAAAATAGCATCAGATTAAAGTTTATTGTTAATGAATAAGTATAAGTTAATGAACAACATGAACTTCGAAAATTGTGGTAACACCTATTTGGTGTAAATGCAGGGGTCATTCTTATGTAGAATGTCAAAATTAGAGTGCAATCATTATTGAGTTTCTTTTGCTCAAGAGGCTTAAAAGTGGGAACAGATACAAGAACATTATGAGTTATTTTCATTTTTTTAAAAAAGGTGGACATTTCTAACAGTAATAATTGACTAAAATTGTTTTAAAATGCTTCTAATATATTTCAAACACTGTCAGACTCATTTTAACAGGAAACCTTACAGAACAGCTGAAAATTCACTGGAGCTCACAAGCTTAATTTGCTTCCATTCTGCTGCTGATAACTACATTTCCAAAATTTCGATGCTTAATTTTATCTGAGATTTTTTGCTTTCAGTTTCAAAAAAGCTGCAACACCAATTTTTATGTGCAAAGCTTTTCAGAATACTTTGTTCACCAAGTCCTGATGGAAGCATAATATGTAAGGACATCGCCATGGGCTGCCTAGATAGGGGAACCGAGCAGCTAAATGATCTTTAAGATTTGGTCATCCCTAAAATTGCAGCACACTCCTGACTTTTTTTTCTTCTGCTTGGCCATCTGTCCAGTGTTTTCAAATTCTTTATGACAGTATAAACAGAATCCCCAAGTAGAGTTAAGATAGGAAAATCAGGACCTTGAGTGACTGACATTCATTCTGTTGAGATTATGTGTGATGTATGTAAAACACCACTCACTGGTGGCTTTCCCAGCTCTAAGAAAATAAGTAGGTTCCTGTATCTCAGAATCATCTAAATCAGTGCTTCTCAAACTTTTTACAAGATTGTAAGTCTCCAGGAGGTCTCATGAAACTGCATGATCTGATTCAGTAGGTGTGAGGAAGGCGAGGTCTGAGATTCTGCATTTCTGACCACCTCCCAGGTGATGCTGAAACTGCCAGCCCAAGGACCAGACTTTGGGCATAATATATTAACTCTTCTACTCCTACCTTTAGATTAAAATTTAAAGAGATCTTCGCTTTTCAAACTCGAAGCATTCTCTGTACTTTCTTCCAGCTCCTGATTTCTAAAAATAATATTGGACTGAGCTGGTAGGGGTATTTTGGATTCCCAAAAGTTGGATTAAATTAAGGTCAGGAAAACACTTTAAAAATGCAGTTCAGAAAGTCCTAAATTCCAGATCACTTTCCAAACCATCCCATCTGAAGTTGAAGTAAGCTCTTGTCTGGGACAGTCTCTAATGTTCACCTCGCTTATCTCAATTACTAAATATACCTCCTTTCTATTATCTGCCAAAATGCTGCATTCCCTCATCTCTCAGTCTCTTCCTTTAGTTATGGATATTCCACAGAGGTGCCCTTTCACATATGCAGACACAATGGGATAATTGTACATTAAGTAGGAAAAAAGTCTTTATCATTCACAGTAACAGGAAATCCCAGACCCAGGGCAATATGTATGTAATATCTGAATACACAATCAGACTCTTTGAATAGTATTACATTGTAGGAGCAACAAACACAGCAAAGAGTCCACAAAAGCTGTCTTTTTCAGAGTATTCACAATGCAAATGAGCCATGATGAAGGAGAAAATCTGGTTAAAATAACCCACTGACTGGGTATACATATCTCACCTTTTATCTTCAATTCCAATTTTCCAATTTAATGTCTAGCATCTGTTAGAAAATAAAAATATAATGATCGATGCTGTGGAATTAAATACACAGCTCCCCAAATTTATCAGAGGTTCCCCCCGACCATATTCCCAAAAATCTGGTACATAGATTAAAATGCTTAGTGCCTAGTTTTGCTTTTAAACCGAGTCTAGAAATACAACTTGGGAAAGATTACTTCTGAAGTCTCTATATTCCTCTAAGAATTATTGAAGTTCTGAAAGTGATCTCTATTTTTTGGGTTATTTACTAATGAAAATAGCATTGTAGTGCTTGTAGAAAATACTACCACCACCTACTGGCATATACTGTACATAAAATTGAAAATGTTTCTAAATCATTTTGAACAGTGCCAAATAAGGGCATAGGGAAAAACATAATTAGAGGCACTTTATTATAACTTTAATTTTAAATTTAGTCAAATAATTTCATTTGCTTTTTGACAATATAACATTAACTTTTGCCACCTGAATGTGTAAACAGAAGCAAGAGCAAAAATAAGGCATAAGATATTTAGAAAGTAGTAAGGTAGAGTTATATGCTTGAAATGACAAATGCCCTTGATTTTCACTTGTTGCTGTGTTCATTTTTGCTTTTATTGGAAATTTATTTTTGCAAACTCAGAAGGAAAAGGGAAGTCTAGATCAATGTGGTAATTGAAAAAGTCATTTATATACCTTGTCATGCAAAATTATATTCAATCAACAAAAATATTTAAAGCAGAATATAAAGATATGTACAAATTCTCTACTATTTCAACAGCTATTTTGATGAAGGAAAACAGTAAGAACAATACATGTATACCAGGTTTTTTGAAATTTTTATTTCACAGTTAATTCTCATTAGCTTATAGGTTAGTATTAGATTATTTTCTCTTTACAATTTTCCTTGGGAAAGAATTAAATCCTCATGTTATTTCCTCCATGGTTATTTTGAATTTTATCCTCAGACAACCTAGTCTTTGGTCCCATAAATTTCGTTCCTCTAAAGGAAATACCTCTTGCATAGAATCTATTTTCTTGTTCAATGGTTTAATATTTTGCATCAATGAGCTAGGTTCGTGAGAAGGATATGGGATTAAAGGCATGGATTTTCTTCCCAAAACGCCACTGTGACACCCCTATTTGTTAGAATTCCAACATGGATAATTTATCACTTTAGTGATAATTATAATGACATCTGTATATATATAGAAAGAAAGATAAATTTAGTGGAACCTAATGATAATAGGTGTATACATTGTAATTATACTCAAGAAACTTTTCTGGAGGGTGAACATGTTAAATTTTAAAGAAAGAAAAAAAGTCCTCTAATATTTAATTGCAGTTATATATTGAAAGTACATTCAATGCATTATTCAGTGTATTCAAAGTATATTAAATGTATATTACTTTTATTTTATTTCATGGGTATGAAAATATTTGTAGAAGATAATGGTAACTTATTCCTCATTATCTTATTTAAATTACAATCAATTCTCTACTAGCTTAGTGATTGTTCAGTGCCCTTTAGAAAAAAAAATGTTATTGTTCCCCAAGATATTGTTTTGCATTACATTGATAATTAGGATTTATTGTGAAATACTAAACTACTGGCTTTGTTGAGTTGTTTGACAGCCCAATTTCTTGCTTCTGTGCCTATTCTCACCTTTTGATATCTGACACTATTTCTCCTGAATTTATTTTATCAAGACATAGTCATTGAATCCCTACAATGTGCTCAGCATCAGATTAGCACAACTGATTCGGTAGTGGATGTACAAGGCAGACGAGTTCCTTGACTTGTTGGAAATTAAAACAGAGTGATAGAGAAATGCAGTAAACAAGTAAAGTGCAACAAATGAAAGAGCACATTGGAATAAGTGAGGTAAAGTGTAAGGGAGCAAGTAGGTAAGTATTGTAGCTGTGGCCAGGAAAGACCTCATCAGCAACATGATTATTGAGCTAAAAGAAAGGTAGGAGTCCAATAATGCAAAGTTTAATTGTATATGATTGACAACAGTTATCTGTGTAACTCAGTCCAATAGATTAGCTATTGAAAAATATTAAAAATATTCCTTTTTTCTAATGCATGCAACAGACTTATGATGAATGTAATATATTTTGAAAATTTATTTTAATAAGAGCTGAGTGAGTATTATCACCTAAAATTGAAAGACATGTTGTGGGCTGAATTGTGACTCTCCACAATTCAGATGCTAAAGCTTTAACCCCCAGCATTGTATTTGGAGACAGTGTCTTTAAATAGATAATTAAGGTAAATGAGATCATATGGGTAGGCCTTAGTCCAATATAATTGGTGTCCTTATATGAGGAGATTAGGACACACACACAGGGAAGGCCATGTGTGGACACTGGAGGCAATGGCCATCTACAAGGTGGAGAGAGGCATTAGAAGAAAGCAACCCTGAGGACACCGTTGATCTTGAACATCTAGCTCTCATTTGTAAGAACGTAAATTTCTGCGGTTTGAGCCACCCAGTCTGTGGTCCTTTGTTACCATCTAGCAAACGAATGCAGGTAAAATTTGCAAAGCACTGATGATACAATAAAAGTCAAAAGGGCATAATGGTCTGTGTGATAAGAATGAAGTAAAGAAATTCAAAGAGAAAATAATAGGTAATATGGCAAACAAATTAAGAACAGTGAGTTTTGGTGGAAGTGCAAAGTGAATGGAAAATAATAGGGACACTGAATTTTACTAACCAGATTGGTATTATGTGAGAGAAGATCTTGATTGTCAAGCAAAGAAAATGCTTTTAAACATTATTCTGAAAGTAAGGAAACCTATTATTTCTCTGCCAAATAAACCAAACACAGGTATCTAGATAGAAAATAGATAAAAGCAGAGCTATTATGTAAGGAAGGGCACAGAACCTTGCTCCTCTAAATTTATCTTGCCTTGCCACAGCATCTCCAAGGAGCCTCGTGGATCTGCATCATATTTTGAACACCACTGGAATAAAGAGTTGAACTTTATTAGTGTTCATGGTGAGGCATTATAGTAATTTGTGGTAGGTTCATAGTATGGTCCCCAATTTCTTGTTCCCATCTTATCCTGGAAAGGGAATATATACTTTCATTCACAATTAGATAATTTGCTATAGCCTGTTAGTATAAGAAGTATAATCCAAACACAGCATTGTTAGTTCTGACCACGTGATATAGTTTGGCCAATGTAACCTGAGCCGAGGTAATATGCACCACATCCGAGCACAATCTTTAAGAGAGATAGCACCCAGTTCTGCCAGCTCTCCTGTCCTTTTTTGTCTTCCATAAGAATATTATGTCACAAATGGTGGCCAGTCCTTTATCATGTGTCTGACTTAAGAACACACATAGCACACCAAACAACCATCACAGGTGAAGTGAGCAAGTAATACATGTCAATGAAAAGTCAGATATTGGTTAAAATCCACTGTAATTTTTGGACTGTTTATTACCGCATCAAAGCTGACTAATACAGTGTTTATTAGGAAAAGTAAATAACTCAAACAAGTCAAAAAAGGGAATATCTTTGCTCCAAACTGTATTTAGTAGGTTGTAGGTTGGCCTACAATGAGAAAAATATGAAGTTGATTAATAATGAACATTTAGATATAGAAATACATTACACTTATGATAGAGTTGTCTATCACTTTCTACTCTCTCCATTTTTTTTCAAGTAACCTTATCTCCACTACCAAAATCTGCTGAGTTGGGTCTGCTCAACCATGGCACCATCGCTTCAAAAAAGATGGATGGACTTTGAATCTGTGACTTTTAGGGGGTAGATTTAGGCTGGCCAAAAACTTGTAATGTGTGACCCCAGTTCAATTAAATTTCTCTTTTTGGGAATTTTAACTAAGATACTTAGAGAGATTTTTGTATAATGATTAGCTAAAAAGTCATACTCACTCAATTTTAGAGCAAAGCATTTTGAAGTCTTATGAATAATATTATGGTAATAGAGAGTGGACACCAGTTAAGAGAGAACAAGAAATAGAAAACCTGAAAGAAACAATGACTTATCCTTGCCATTAGAAGAAGAATTGTCTTGGGCCATGCATAAAATACACGAACACTAACAATAGCTGATGAGCTAAAATAAAAAAAAATCACAAAAAACTTATAATGTTTTGAGAAAGTTTATGAATTTGTGTTTGGCTGCACTCAAAGCCCTCCCAGGCCACATGCGGCCTGTGGGGTGTGAGTTGGACAAACTTAACCCTAGTGGCTATATTGAAAAATAAAAAATAAAAAAAAAACAGATGGCTTTGGACACTTAGAATCAATGTGTGAAACTGGTTGGTATATGCAGTAATGAAAGGTAAACATTAAAGATTTCTTTGAGGTTCCATATTTAGGTGGCAATAATACAGGAGAACAATTGGGAAAGAGATGCAGAAGATAATAAGGTAAATTTCTGGACACCCTTAATGTGAGAGGCTGCGATATTTGGTTGCAGAGGTCTACCAAGCAGTTATAAAGAAAGGATGTCTATGCCAAAAGAATGAATAAGCAATTGAGCATTCATTTGCCACAGTATGTGAAGTACTACATTAAATACTTATAGGATCACAAAATTTACTTTTTTGAATGTTTCACATTTGTAGCTTGCATTGTTTGTGCAAAAACTCTAATTCCTTTGCCAGAATTATGGCTCATTTTTGTGATTTTGTGAGTTTATGAGAAGGGCTAATGAATGATTGAAAAGCACTTTGAACTATATTTAAAATCTAGCCTTTCGAAAGATTTTCATTGATTTCTTGTTTAATCCATAGTCTCCAAAATTTGGCATGGCAAAAGGAAAACTTTATGAATTAATTTTCACAATTCTACAGTGTTCAAAACAGAATAATTGGAAGTTGTCAAAGCTGCAATACAATCATATGAATACCTCTAAAACCAGGTGAAGGAATTAAAGCAAATTTAAGTGAAAGAGTTGGGGAACAGGAAACTCATGAAACCTCATTCATTTCCTGGAAGTAGACCACAGATATGGCTCTAATGATTTTGGTAGCCAATGCAAAAAAAGAAATGCAATCAGTATTGATTAGGTAAAATACAACTTTGTCCCCCAGGCAGAGAAATGTTTTCTCCTGACTCTTAAATAGAGATGACTGTATGATATGGAGTTGATAGCAAAAACAGCTCCAAGTTTTATAGCAACATTTTAAAGATCCCCTCCAGATAAGTGAATAGTATATCTACAAAAGTAAAATTAGTAGGAAACCAATTTAATATTTTGAAGCACATAGCTTTCCAAAGAACAAGCTTAACACCAAAATAAATTTCAGAACATCAAAAAGTATCCTTATATTCAAGATCGTTCTTGACAAGTTCAAGGGTGATGCATGCTAGATGTTAATAATTACAGTACAGAGGCCTATTCTTCTTCTTCTTCTTTTCATTTATTTATTTATTTTTTTGAGACAGGTTCTCCTTTTGTTGCCCTGTCTGGAGTGGTGGCATGAACATGGCTCACTGCAGCCTCTGCCTCCTGGGTTCAAGCTATCCTCCTGCCTCAGCTGCCCAATTAGCTGGGACTACAGGTCTGCACTACCACACCCCACTAATTTTTCTGTATTTTTTGTAGAGATGGGGTTTTGCCACATTGCCCAGGCTGGTCTCAAACTCCTGAGTTCATTTGATCCACCCACCTTGGCCTCCCAAAGTGCTGGGATTACAGGCATAAGCCACTGTACCTGGCAGCATATTCTTTCAGAACAAACCTGGTAGGATTAGAGAATCTCATGCTCCTAAAGCCATTCCACTGTGTGGGATACAAGATAGACATTTTAGGAATTTTTTCTTCTTAAAAAGTAAATTTGAAAGAATGGATGATAGATGTTTTGAATGTCTAGATTAAAAAGCAACCATGATAGCATGGAAAATGGTTAAAGCATCCATGGTTAACATGACCATCAAGTCTAAATAAAGTCATCAGAGAACGTCTAACTTGGAGGAGTACAACTTTCTACTATATTCTCAACTAGTTGTAAATGAGAACCTACAATATTAAATGAGTGAGATGCCTTTCAGGTTTATTAACTGAATGTTGGGGAATGTCAACCAAAAATAATGGCTTAGGCTTTGGAATAGTTCATTTGTAGATCTTTTTGCCAGCCATAATTAGATGGCAGGTTTGGTTGATACAGCAATTTAAGAAATACATTCATTTGTTAAAATGGTTTCAAGCTAAAGTCGTTTCAGATTGTCCCCTTTAAGCATTCTACACAGGAACCTATCACAGCTTTGTCTTCATAATAATCATTAAATTCAGTTCAAATACTAGTCATGGGAATTGTTATTTGACATTTATTTATTTTGCAATTCATCTCGAACTGATTTTACTAGGGGAAAAATGCACTAAGGAAGTCAATCTGCTGTCTCAGCACTTATTTGTTTACAGAAAATTTCAGTGTAGGTGACCCTGTTCTGGTCGGAAACTTTACGATTAGAGCTCTTTCTGCCTCAGTGAAGAGCACATGTACTTTTCGTTTTTCTTTTCAGCTATTACCAGACTTTTAAGGGAAACAAGGCAACAGGCATGTATTAAAGGGCCAGATAAGGGACATACTTGGATTTTTAAATATCTAATAATTTTAAGGTAGAAACTGATTTCTAACAGATAATTTGTCACTTTATATGCTAGCATGGCAGGTTTCTTCAAAATAAAATAATCGAAGTTTGGGAAATTATAGGTAGAGCTGAACTATATACAAAATAATAGCCATCCTTACATTCATAATAAATATAAAATGCATTAATTTTTGTCTATATATTCAAAATAATGTTAAATGCTCTTGGATATGTTTTTATATTTCTTTTTTATTTTTCTTTCTTTTTTTAAATATGTAAAATATAATCCTACGTATCGAATACATGCATATGTATTCTCTTAGAAGAAAACAAGATTTTCTCATTATTTTGACATCTCCAAAATTGTATTGTTCTCTATTTGTAACTGCTTTCCTTCAATCACATTTATTGTACCTTAATTCTTATGCAATTAAAATAGGGTATTGGAAAGAGGTATTAGCAAAGATTACCTTCTTTTTGAGGTAAAACTCTACTGATAATTCAGTTTATTTTGCTTAATTTCCAGGGTCTCTATAAAATAGCTTTTTCACAAGTATATATATTATTTTGCTACATGGTTTTACTAAGAATTAATAATTTTAATTCTTCTATGATGATTTCTGATGATTTTGGCCCACTTCAAAAGCCAAAATGAAACTAAAATCAAAATAAATAGAAAAGTACTGATGGCCTATGAGGTCATTAGAGTGTGAACACATAAATTACAGATATGTACATTCTAGAGACCCTGAAGAATTAAGAGAAAGTTAAAATTAGCCAATTCATTTGAAACATAGAAATAGCTTAACTAACCCCCAAAAATCTAATTTGATTTTCTTCTTTTTACCTTTCAAGTTTTTTCGTCTATTTTAAGAAGGCATTGAAACTGCTAGTCTAAACATACAAGATTAGAGATAGGGCTCACACTAAGGTAGATTGGTCAGAACTGGTTTAGAGAAGTTTTTGTTTGATTTCCACATGTTTTCTTATTTTAAATTTGAACATGATGCCAACAATTAAAAATTAAGGTACTTTATATTGAAAAGAAAATCTATATTTTGGATGTTTCTTGAGAAGTCAGGACTAGCTCTTAACGTGGACCACGGCAGCTATCTGCTAGGGCTGTGCACTGGTGGCTTATTTTACCTGGGCACTTCTCCCCAGGTTGCCCAAGTTCCATTTCCAGTATTTATCATATAATACCTATCTCCCATAAGATTTTAGCTTCTGTCTCCTAGGCTAGCCTGAGACCCAAATGATTCTTATTTCTTCTAGCAAAATATAGAATCACAGCATTTTCTTATTTTCTTTCTGGCAACTTCCCCACCCACTCCCTAATGATAGTAATATAATGTGGAAAGTAAAACAAGCAGAAATGTTAAATAATCCATTGTGAGATAAACTGGCCACAATCTCTCCCACTCACTTGGAGCACTTCTCTGTAGAGCCCATCTCTATGCGTGAGAACTCAGCTTGAAATGAAATCAATGAAAAGACCAACTATTTTTATGTCTTTCTTAACCCGGGTTTACATGATCTTTAAAAGATATACTTTTCTGAATGGCAACAGCATTGCAGTTTGTGCAAACCTTCAGGCTACACTACAGATGGTGCCATTTAGCAATGGCCAAATTGCTAGTTACAACCCTCTAAAAAATGCAGAGTTTATCATAGAAACTCTGACAGTCGCCGGAATATCGTGTCTCTTTTGGGCATTGTTTTAACAAATGCATTTGAAAGAAAAATGTTCTCAGTTAACTACAGTTCCCAGAATACCTTGTAGAACATTCTGTCTCTATTGATCATAAACTGGCATAGCCACTGTGCTTCCTCTGGCAGAACTCAGGGGAAAGCAAGCAACTGCATTATATCATGTGACAAACTTTATGGAAAATACTAGTGTGCAGTTTTATCAGTATTTGCATTCTGTCAGTACAAGATAGATCTGAAATCTATTTTTATCCAACAGTTCTTATTAAACCAAGAAGATTGCCTGTTACTATATGTAGTTGTTTCAAGCAGTAGTGCCTGATGATACTTTTTGTAAACAATTGAGAATAAATCCAAACAAGCTAAAAAATGTTTATTGCAAAATACTGTAGTTCAAGAAAAATTACATCTGCATGGACTGCATATTTTACATGAAATTTATGGTGCAGTTTCTCTTCATTAACCACATCTCAGAGAATTTTCAAAGCATCAGCTTGCATATTATTAACATGTACTTAAAATAACAATATCGAAAGCTTCAAGATTAAAATAAAAGGTGAAATGTAAAATGTAAGGTGCCTTCAGTGTGTTTGTATACATGTAATTTGCTTTTTAATTAAAGTGAACTAGACCTTACCTAGCCCAGAGAGATTAATAAGTATCTCATTCTAGTACAACTATTCTCCTTAATAAAAGCAGATGGAATTCATTTTCAAAAGAAAAAAAATTAGTATTAACTATCATTGCTTCTTTTATGTGGTTAAACACATATAATTATTCTACCACATTTTTCATGGAAAGGAACAGTGACAAAAAGGCAATTACAGCATGTGAATTCAATCGAATTTTTTTCTATTACTCTGTGTTATGGATATGTGTTTTGTGGGGTGTTTGATTGGTTTTGTTTACTTTTTGCCACTTGTATGCATTCCCTATTATTTTACAGCTTGAAATTCTTGAAAAAAAATCTGTGTCATCAACTGTATTTACAATGCATGTAGTATTTTAACACATTTGAAAAGCTAAATATGGGCCATGGTGGCTCACACCTGTAATCCCAGTAATTTGGGAGGCCGAGGCAGGAAGATTGCTTGAGGCCAGGAGTTTGAGACCAAGCTGACCAACACAGCAAGATTAAAAATTAAAAACAAAATTATCTGGATGTGGCGGCACATGCCTGTGGTCCCAGATACTTAGGAGACTGAGGTGGGAGGATCTCTTGAGCCAGGGAGGTTGAGGCTGCAGCAAGCTATGATTGAACCACTACACTCTCGCCTGGGTGATAGAGCAAGACCCTGTATCCCCAAAAAATGTGAAATAGGAAAACTATTAATAAAGGAATCTCTGCAAATTCCGGTATTTTATTATCCAAGTGTTCTTTCTTGTCGGTTATACCTAGATCCTTGAGGGCACTCCTTCAAAGTCAGTAGGAGACGGATTCTGATATGTTATTTCCTCTATGCACAATTTCCATGTGTTATCATGGAATGACCATGATTCACGGAATTGACAGAACTGAATTTTAATCCAACTGTTATCTCCTAAACTGTGTGATGCTGGGCAAGTCAGTTAATCTGTCTGAGCTTCAGTTGTTTCATTTGAAAAAACAGCTAAGAATATCTGCTTCATAGAATTGAGAGGGTGATATGGTTTGGATCTGTGTCCCCACCAAATCTCATGTCAAACTGTAACCCTCAGTGTTGGAAGTGGGGCCTGGTGGGAGGTGATGGTATTATGAGGGTGGATTTCTCATAAGTGGTTTAGCAGCATCTACTTCGTGCTGTTCTCGTGACAGTGAGTGAGTTCTCACGAGATCTGGTCATTTAAAAGTTTGTGACATCTACCCAGCACACCTCTCTCTTCTCCTGCCATGTAAGACATACCTGCTTTCTCTTCACCTTCCACCATGATTGTAAGTTTCCTGAGGCCTCCCTAGAAGCAGAAGCCACTATGCTTCCTGTACAGCCTGCAGAACCATGAGCCAATTAAACCTCTTTTCTTTATGTATTACTGAGTCTCAGGTATTTCTTTATAGCAGTACAAGAACGGACTGATAGAGAGAGTTAAAGAGATAATCAGATAAGTGCTAATTAGTGTTCCCAGCACAAGTAAGCCCTTTAAAAAGGCAAAAACAATGACCATTATTTACTCTTCAAATGTAAAGTAATACCTGAAGGTGGTCCAAATCACCCTGAGTTTGTATAAAATGCTGTTTCTTTGTTTTTAATAATAGAGTCAAAATCCTTCACTTTTTAACTGCTAACCACCATTATTTACAAACTTCCCATGCTGGCATACCCCAAAACTTTCTTTCTAACTAAGCCTCCCATCAGTGGTGTACCTAACCCTGCCCTACATGTTCTCCAGGCTCCCCTAGTTTGCACTTGGTTCTCAATTTTGTCACTCTAATGAATTCCCAGTTGTCTTTCAATGATATCTCTTCAGATGCAACAAGATAGAAATAATCACCCACAGCTTCTCTATTAGAGCAGCATCAAAATCTTCTCCATGCATCTGTTGATATTGCTTCTTGGACTATAAGCTGTTTGAGCTATACCTTAGCGTTTCTCCAGCACTGATGCAATATCTGCAGGATGCCAGAAGAGAAGGAGTAACATTATTTGAAAAATACACCCTATGGAAAAGAAAGGAGAGTTCTAATACCTAAATGGGAGGTAATAAAACATTGTCAAAAGTTAGTAGAAGTCCACCTTTTAAGAAGGAAGAGTTGCAGTTTGTGCTAATGTTCCTCAATCCTTTGTTTTCAGGTTAGAACTCTCACATTTGTTTTGCTGGTTCACTCTGCCCGTGTTCTACAAAAGCCCCAGTTGCAGTCTGAGCTGTGGCTCAGCTTCCTCTCCTCATCATAGAATGTTGGCTCTGGGTAATCCTCCCCTAACCTGCCCAGTCTCAGGTAATTTAGGCAGTGAAAAGAATGCAATTCCAGTGATCTAGACATTTAAAAGTAATTCTTAGAACAGTAAAATGTCATTGCAGATAAGAAAACATCATTTGATAGTCAATATTTTTCGTCTTAATTATTGTTGCTCTAAAACATGTATTTTATTTGTTTCAACAGTTCTGAAATGTTTGCTAATGTTGCTTGCCATTTCTTTGCCAAAACCTACTCATTCAATTCCATTTGACCTGGACAATTCGACGGACACAAAGGCTGAAAACACTGCAGAAAAATCAGTCTCCATGTGCTCATCAGAGATTTTGGTGACTGAATCTTATTTTGGGTGGTGGAAGATGAAGTTATAAATCAGGATGTTTTTAAAATAGCTAAACTCTACGTAATGCCTCTATGATTTCCAAGTGAAAAATAAACTCAAAGGAAATTTGAAATGTAAAAGTCTGTAAATCTTTGTGAATGTTATGAATTTTGTACCATATTCATGTATTCCTTTGGAAAAAAATTGAATTATTTAAAATAAATTAAACAGAAGAGTCTTGTAATAATAGATTTGAACTCAGATGAATGCAGTCTTTAATTCTTTACTTTTCTGTCTTCTCATCTATGATTTATTCACAGACAAACTAGAGAAATCTCATTGATCTTCTCTTTAAATAAGATAATCTGATATATTTCTCGATGTATTTTTATTTGAGTAGTTCACATCTAAAAGGAACCCAAGTGCTCTTAACCCTTTTACTCTCCTACTGCACAGAGCTCTTAGGCTTCAGATCAGCACTGTTCTCCCTCAGCGGAATTATAGAGAACCATACAATTTGCTTTTTGGTTTTATAATATGTGCCATAAGAACTCAGAAAACAAAAATTCCCAGTTGTTTCATTTGCTAGCTAGAGCTCAAATCTTTACTACCCCCAAAATTCCAGCATTGAATTTCCAGGCCACCCCACAGCAACTTCATTTTAAAAATATGTTTGATTTTATTTTCCTAATCTTCTTGCAGCCTTTCTTTCTTTCCCTTTCCTCTCTATTCCACTGCTGCATGCTTTAATTTTGCTTTCAGTCGGTAGTTTAAAAACTTTAGCTTCTAATAACTGGAAAAAATGGTTATTTAAAGATAACTGCAACTTGCTTAACATGCCAGGCTATCATATGCTCAGTGCTTTGAAGCTGCAAATTAATGACGAGCAGGAACAGTGACTATCTTTCAGAAGAAACTGACCTCTTTCTAATGGCACATCGCTAATGTCATCTGTCTACTGCATCTCATTATGTGAATTTCACGGAGTTAAAAAAAAAAGTATCTTAAGGCTGTGCACAAATAAAAAGGACCTTCTAGTATTAAGCACTTTGAAAATTTTTGATCTCTCAAAACACCTTCCTTAGATACTGCTTCCCCCTTTTGTGCATGGCATGCTGCTTATGTCATCTATTCTCTGTGACTAATTATGTTAATTTTGTGCCATAAAAGTAACTGAAGGCTGTTAAGGAATAAAAGCTTTTGAGTGGCCTTATTTCATAAACACCCCTTTTGAACAAGGCACATTTAGTCATATTTGCAGTAACAGAAAGAGTCTTGTGCTAAAAATACAACAAAGGCTCTTGAATATGGCCATTTATTCCCACTTTATTAGGTAATTTATGAAAAAGTATGAAGGGAAGCCTTTTTGTTACTATAATTTGCATAAAGCTGGTGCCCCATTAATGAGATAACTTCCTGCCTTTTGTGTATCACCAGCTGGAAATAGAAATGGGGGAACTTTTCTGTAGCCCAATTACTTAACCTGCTGAGTTCAGAGTTGGAAAATAAACAGGATTCCTATTTGCCGAAGAACTTTATTTTGGTTCCTCTACCCTGATTTTTTAAAATAAAAATAATTAGAAGAAAGATGAAAGCAAAATTTTAAAACTAAAAATTTCAGCAAGGCTTAATGTTAGAATACGTATCTACTTCTGGAGAATATTACTTATTTAATAATCATATTTTCATCATTAGAGGAAAATTCTGATCTACTTCTGCTTTCACTGATTGGATCAAATAACATTTGATTATCCATTTGAGTATATGGAACTATAAGTATGACAAAAGAAAAAAAATTGTGAATAAATTCTAGACAACTTTTTGTGGGAGAAAGGGAGCAAATATTATGATCTGCAGTCCTTCAATAAAAGATATTTAAAAATTTCATAATCATCATAATTGTATACTACTGAAAAATACCTTGGTAATACAATACATAACATGATAGCTATTTATTAAGGCCCCAAATATGCCCAAAATAGTACAAAATTTTGCCATGTACGGTAGATATTCAATATATACAGTAAACACATAGAAGAATAAAATAGGGGCAAAAGAAAAGGGATGATTCTGAAGTTATAACTTGTTTTTACACATGCTCACATACACACACACACACACAATATTAGTAAGGCTTTGCTTACTCCCACAGAGTCTATGAAAAGGAAAATTTTGCTTATTGATATGGAACTATACTATTTACTTACTCATTTGAAAACTATAGTTCAATCAAATTATGCCATTATACTTTTTCTTCCCACATTCCCTAACCCCAGCACTGTGAATGTGCTTTCAGATGACACGTTATAAAGGCTGCTCAGTGGAAAATAAGAGTAAGGACAGAGGGGCAAAGCCATTGTCTTTGACTAGAGTTAACAAATAAGTTAGAGAAGTGGATGGTCAGTCCCGTGGTTTCATCCTTAAAAAGAAGGCATTGAACAATTTGAGACTGTATTAAGAAATTATCTTACCATTGGGCAGAAATGCTGGTTTTCTGTACACCCCTTATTACATCTTGGGTATATTATTGTTTTCTGAAATAATAGAAATAGTTGCAAAGCCTTGGGCTTTGAAAACCATCACCATTCAAGAATGTAGTTGCATTTTGTCAGCCACTGAGCTCACAGGGGCTAATTTTTAGAGTTAAGCATGATCACATTTACATTCTACTTATATATTTCTTCTGTAGGTCATCTATAGTTTAATGCAAAGCCTGGCTTCCACTGTGTTGCATTTCCTTCATTCTTTAGGAGCCTACTTGTATCTTACACCCTTGAATGGAAGTTTATTAGGCATACTGTACTCATTCCTTCACTTACTTCAGGTCAGCATTTCCTAAACATAATAATCCACAAGACGGTTTTTCCATGATATGTCTACCTTCCATATCTTCTTAAATTCCAAAGAATTCAATGTGAGAAATGCTGTTCTGGGAAAGTAACTTTCATGTCTGAAGTGATCTATTGGGGAATTCTTTCTTTTCAGTTGGTTTTATGTTCTACATTGTTTGATTTAAGATAATTAATAAGCATAGAAAATAAGTTCTATTCTTAAATCAATGGAGCTTACTTTTTTTTTCAACATAGACTTAGGGTAAAGAGCATAAATAGTGCTCTGGCTGTGGAAAACACCTCAAAATCCCAAGCAGTAGTATCCAAGAAGTTACCAAGGAATCAGTTGGTCCGAGTAGGCACTTCCTATTCTGCTTTCTTCTATTACCTGCAGTGACATACATTCCACTTGCAGAAAGAAATGCACTCCACAAATTAGTCATAGTTTCCAATTTTTTTTTCAACTGGACTTTTGACAAAATCTATAATTTAAATTTTCATGATGATTAATCATTTGAACCCCCGGAACATAAATGAAAAAAAAAAAAGTGTAATGAGTAATCATCTAATGAAAAAAAAAAAAAACCTACACCAAACTTAATTAAACTCAGTGGAGAAAGTAGCCAGAATGACAAAGCAAACATATATTATTTTTATTTCATTTTTTTGGAAACCCAATATTTTATATTTTAGTTACCCTATTAAAAAATTCTATGTTCCAGCTCTACCGTTCTATATTTTGACCCAAACTTTTCCAACATAGACCTGAAAATTAGTTGATCTTACAATCTGTGACAGTTGCAATGAAGAATTTAAGTAAGCTCTATATTAGTTAAGTAATATTTAACATTGAGTGTTAGAATATTAATTAAGCAATAATTTGAGGACATATTATATGGGCATATGTTATCATCTTGCAGGGTGAAGACGTTATAAATATATAGTTCTCTCTCCCCTTGCCACTTCTTTAAAATTTATACAAACTCTCTCAAAATAGCTCATAAAAGGAAAACCTCACTCAGCATAAAGTTACTATACTGTTAAAACTATGTAAAAGTATTGGGAAGCTATAGGGGAAAGTTTGAATCAACAAATATTTTCGACATTCCTACTGGTAACTCCAAGGCCTTTTTTTTTTCTCTGTTCTTCTTCCCCCTCCTTGTCTGTTACAAGTTATGACGTGTGGATGAAGGCTTTTTCCCATGCAGTAATGACTGTATACTGAGATTTCAAGGGGCTGTTCATGACAATCCCATTTTCTGTGTAATTTCATGGTTGTCTTCTTGAATGAAGATATTGGCTGCTCTGAAGCAGGGGTCAGCCGCTCCTGCTCCCTTTCAGTATTGTTCCGGAGTATGTTTCCTTTCAGCTGATGAAAAGTAATTCATCATTTACACCCCTGAATTCTGCCAGCATTTTTTGAACAACTTTTCTTTCCCTGTGGTACCTTAGGCCCATGAAAGAGATAAATAGGTTCAATACAACACCAGGCCCCAGATCCTGGGAGCAGGTTAGGCCTCTGAGGCCCCAAGCTGCCCCTTTCTCATGATAGAGTTTGTCACCTTTCTACCTCCAGAAGTCAAATCCTGTCGACTCAGCCATCTTTCAGGCTCTCTGAAGTGGCTTTGGCACCCACTGGGGCATGTGAGTTTAAAATTGATTTTTTTTTTAAGATCTGTCAAGTTCCCTTAAGGGACGGAGTTGACAGCCAGCAGGCCTCAACTATCACAAAGCATTCAATGTGTAAAAGACACCTAAGGAACTTCCTTTGAGGGGCCAAAAGGCTTCAGACTTTGTGACACATTAGAGGGTGCTGTTGCTAAGAAACTGGCTTTTGGCAATAGGATTTTTTTCTGCAACTCTGCCACTTTGGGAAGTACTTTAAGCTACCTCTCTTCTTATGGCAAAAGACAACATTGCCTATTATGAAAACAAGATGCCCCCCAAAAAGATGTTGAATGGACTCATTACATGGTTCTTCACACTCCAAACGCCTATTACTTAGGCATTTTAGAAATCAGTTAACTCTAGTATTTGTACCCGCTTTCAGAAGAATAAAACATTAGGCAATCTGACTTAATCAAAATAAAGTCTGATATTTGTTTCTAAAAGCAAGGATATTAAGTGTTTAGGAGTTGGGATGTTGTAGAAAATCATGCAGAGATAGATTGTTCTTTCTCAACTTAGAGTAAACAGTGACTGGCTTAACACCCTAGCAGTAAGTAGTATTGCCCAGGCTACAGCTTACATTTGGTTTGTTGCAAAATAATTCTGGTGCAGGTATGGCCATTTGTTCCTGCCCAGGGTCTACTGGATCAAGCAACTGTTTAATTCAGCCTTTTATTTAGCCATCACCTTTAATTTTATATGTTCTCTTGGAAGTCAAAATGATAGGAGCAGGGTCCTCCTATATTGTTTTAAAGGATAATGAAATATTCTATTCTTTGTGTTATTGATTTTAAACAGCTTCAATATAGCAAATAATTCTTTTTGCTGTTGTTGTAAATGAAGGAAACAACTTAGCTTCTTTTAGCGACCACAGCATAACCACGTTCTCCTGCAAAACTATTTGTGCAGAGCAAGCACAACATCCTTCGGAAGATTAGCAATTCCTCAAAAGAAGTCAGAAGACAGATTTTCACATTCAATTCCAACCTGTGTGGTTTGAAGGCCGTGAAACTTTCAACAACAATATAAATACTGCATGTGTCTCTCTCTCCCGAGGCTGGATTTTACCGACTGGTATGTGAAAGGCCAATTGTATAAGCAGGTGTAGGTCTGAGTTGAAAGGATTTGATGGCATTAATCTCCCTTTAAGAGGTCTTGTTTTCATGGGCTGTTGTCAAACACAACTGAGTCATTCTGTGACTATAACTGCAGTTATCTGTCCCTTGTTATAGAGAGTTGCCCTAACTTTTGAGATAATTTCTGCATGACTTTTCCAAAGAATGTTTCGGTGTTCTCTATAGAGAGAGGTAGTATGGCAACGAGAGACAAATATAGGCTCTGCAGGCAGACATACCTGGGGTTTAAATGTTGGTTTGCAGGATCTGTGTTGCTTCAGTAAATTCATGAAAATTCTCTGAGACGGAGCTTTCCGTATACAAAATGAGGACAATAATAGCTGAGGTTTAAGTGAGGTTATGCATGAAAAATACCCAGCATGGTCATTGGCATAGAAGTTCAATAAATGATAAATATTATTCCTCCAATCGACCAAATATATGGCATGATTTCATGGTCCTTGCCACTGAAGCTCAGACATCATGAATATTAGCTATGGATATTAAGCAGTTATCCTCCTAATTCCAAAATACTAAACACGTTAATTTCCAGACTAGAGAGATGATTACCTAGGGCTAAGTCAAGAATTAACCCTGATAGTTGTGAAGTCATAACCTGGTCAAAATATAAAAGGAAATGCTGAGACATTGTCTGCACGATTTATTACTAATACACCTAAGGTTACTAATAAAAACAAAAAGTGGCCAGGCACAGTGGTTCACACCTGTAATCCCAGCACTTTCGGAGGCCAAGGTCGGGGGATCACCTGAGGTTGCGAGTTGGAGACCAGCCTGACCAACATGGAGAAACCCCGTCTCTACTAAAAATACAAAATTAGCCAGGCGTGGTGGCGCATGCCTGTAATCTCAGTTATTCAGGAGGCTGAGGCAGGATAATCACTTGAACCTGGGAGGAGAAGGTTGTGATGAGCCAAGATTGCGCCATTGCACTCCAGCCTGGGAAACAAGAGTGAAACTCCATCTCGAAAGCAAACAAACAAACAAAGGACTAACAAAAAGGAGCTGGTGAGAATAGATGTTAATACTATCATACTTCTTTTGTTACATAGGCTTAATTTGCATTGCCGTTATTGACTGGCTGGGCCCTTCATCCTGTAAAATGAATGTGTTGCTTTCATGGGATGAGTGAATGTGGTCCTTCTGCTTGTTGGTTCATTGATATTTGGTCAGCTCTCCTAGTTTCCTGGTATATTTAGTGTAGGTGGATCATAATTATTTTGCGAAAATTTTCCCAGGTGATTCTAAAGTCTAGCCTGTACTGAACATCACTACCTTAAGTAAATAAAATTTAATAACTTGGTTATAATTTTTTCATGAGCTACATGTCAGTAGCCATAACCAATTTTCTGGGAGAAATAGTACACAAGCAGGTAGTTGCTGAGTTGCCAGAGACAAAATAAAGCAGCTGAAGTTAAAGAGAAACAGAAAGAGAGTCTTCAATGTGTGAAATAATAAATTATATTGTTATCTCACTGTATCCTCTTAAGAATTAGTAACACACAGCAATCTCACTCAACAAATTGATGGTATAACGGTACACCACGTGTTTAAAGTTTCTTTTAACTCCTCTTCCATGTAAACACATCGAAGAGATAGAAATGGGACTCACTTTGGCCTCCATCACTTTCCACTGCAGCTTTAAGTTATCTAGTTCCTTTTTCTAGGAAGTGTCCCCCGACCTTAACAGTAAATTAGATGTGCCCCTCCTGTGTTTGTCTCGTGCCCTCCAATTTCCATGTTACAGCGTGGGAGTGATTGAATGAAGGCGCTGAGCACAATGGATGTACTGCCTCATTAGATTGTAGGCATTAGGATTAAGTACCCACGTGCAGAGGAATCATCCCTGTTTCTCCCATGCTTATTTCAGCGTTTGTCAATTGCAGTAACTTATGGATACACTGATAAGTGTATGAATAAATAAATGAGCTTGCCACAGAGAATTTCCCACAAACAACAGCCTCCCAAAAGGCTTAATATGTCAAGTCTTTGCTCAAGAATATAACAATTGCTCTAATACCAAATATTGCCATATTCTTTTAAGAAAGGATGACAAAAAGATCCATGATTCACTAGAATAAAAAAGATGGACTTTCTATCTTGAAGTGAGAAAACTGTGGAATTCATTCAAGAAAGTAGAAATGAGGTGGAACAGGCTCATCCTCTTTCCATGTTGGGATATAAGTTCACCAGGAGGGTGGGAAGAAATAAGCATCTTGCCTATCTTGGACATTTTTACAGCTATCTCTGATAAAGAAAAACTGCAAAAGTTTCAGTGCTACACTTCAATGCATCTATGTGTTACAGGGTCATCATATTATAGTCATTATGGTCTATAGACCATAGGCTCACTTCCCTCCCTGGTCTATTATAACTGACCGTAATGTACCATAGAGGTTCACGATATTCTCTTCTTGACTGAGCTTGGAGAGTATCTATTTCACAGTGTATTCCTCTTAAAGGGTGAGTCTAAAAATGGCAATAGACAAGGCACTTATCTGTACATAAGTATCAGAGACAGAATGGGAGGAAATGATGCACTTCATGGAGTTGCATTACTTCTTCAGTACAATTTGTTGCACTAAAAACAAGAAAGAAAGAAAGAAACGTAATTTGGTAAATGGATTCTAGTGGTCTGAAAGAGTTAATGTGCCTCTTTCCACTAGAAACAGTGAGCCATTTATATATAGGCAATCCCTTCTCTTCTCCTGAGTCACATCACTGCTTCAAGAGACATTTTAAAATGGATCTTCACAGACTCCAGGGATGGAGCAAGAGGATTGTTTTCACTGTCAGTAGTAACTACAAAATGAGTTTGTACTTTCTTTTCTTGTTTATCCATTTTTTCCCCCTGTGGTGTCACCCAGAAATGAAGGTTTGAAAGATATCCTTTCTTACATTTGGATTGAGTGTCATGGGGAGGTTACCTATTGGTGTTCTTATTTCACCCATGCTATAACTTGAGGGATTAGCAAATACTCTCTATTATAAGAAGTGCCAACTTGTCCTTCAAAATTTTGATAGATTTCTATTAGTCAGCTTCTTTCTTTTTACTACCTATTATCAATTCAATTATATTTATGTAATATCTGTTTCAGGATATTTCAAGCATAATTTTGCTTAGGCTCATTTTTAAAGTATATCAGCTTTTTCCTTAATCATAATTTAAATGGCTACTAAATGCATCACCACTTTTTTAAATTATAAGTTTTCCCACAAATTCATTATGATTATAAGAAAAATTTTCTTTGTGGTTTTTGCATTCTTTCAAAAATATCCTTTCCCAGAACAACCTCCCTTGAAATCTTCTATTTTCATAATAAATACTTATCTAGGTGTTTCAATAGTAAATATTAAAAAAATTAACTTTTATTCACTTATTTTTCAAATTCTAGAGCACGATTTTGCAAATCATCATCTTTAACTGTGCATACATGTGGATTACTTTTTTTGCCTTAACAAGTTTCAACCCTGCTAAGGGTATTTTATTAAGAAACAAAACAAAATAAAACAAAACATTTCCTGTCTATTTTCTCTTCCTGCCCTGGAGGTGTATTTCAACATTCACAAAATACCTGACTACCCTTATTTTCCTTAATGTCTGTCCAAATAGCATCTGCTGTGTCAGCTAAACACCCACAGCATTTCTTTTTACTGGCTATCATACGTGTGCAATATTGAGCCCTCCCTCCTCCTTCTTATTTGGTTTCCACTTTCAGTAAACCTTATCCTAGCATTTTAATTCCTCAGTCATTTCTCTGACTCAACCATAGCATTTCCATTTCAATAATATCATGCTTATCCTTGATACTCATACTCATACTTATCATCGATAAGGCTTTGATGTAATAAATCCTTGATATAATATCGTACTTATCCATGCTATGAGATATAATCAAAAATGAAAGCAGAAACTTAAGATACAGAGTAAAATATATTACTTGCCAATTTTCCACAGTAACTTTTCATCATTACTCCAAAATTACTTTTTAATGCAAAGAGTAGTTTCAATCACATTGAGGCCCACATGATTCAGATACTATCATAATCACAATTAGATTACATTACTGCAATCAGGAATGGAGATCATTAAGAGAAAGAATATAAATTGCTTTAGTTTTACAAGTACTGAGCTAGCAAAATTATAATTAATCTCCATTTATAATCTTTTCTTTCATAGAACTGCAAAGCATGCTACTTTTTTTAGGCCATCAATACAAATTAGAACTAAGTAATAAAGCCCTAACTACTACTACTGTGCTGTTCACAATTGAAGAAACTTTCACATTATGTATAGAAGGCTTTTGATACAAACAGTGCCCATAGAGTAGATTGTTTCAATGCAAGAAGTGCAAGTATCACAAGGTGCTATACAGCAAACAATGCTGCAGAAACTATCCTTCTTCTCAGCGTAATCAGCTTTTGCATTCCATTTCTTAAATGGGATGGTGCTACTCATGGAGATGAAGAAGCAATTACTTACAAATCACAGTGAGTGCCTCACTCTGTATGTCCCAAGTTTTAAATATAGTCTTTTAAAAGCGCATGAAATAAAACCATTTTAAAAATTCAGGATATTGAGACCTTCAAAATGCAATCTATTATAATTACTGTAATTGCTTCATATTTTTAAAGTGAATTAAGTTCTGTTATACCATGATACACCAAGTCCTTATATAGTACTATATATACCTTTTATTTATTAGTCCTTAAAAGCTATCATACATTAAAACAGAATATATTATTAAACTCAGATTTTAGTGAATACATATAGAAAATAGCTAATATTATACAATTTCAGATTTTTTTTTCCCACATTGCTGAAGTCAAAACAGTGCTAAAAATTTAACAATTTCTTCGAACTCATTTGGTGGCAAGTTGACCTCACATGAATTCATTTAGGAGGAAGCTAACTTGACATGAACTAATTTAGCAGAAAAACTTGGCCTGAACTTGCAGAAAGTTGCTTATATTCCTTATCAGTGATTTTGTTTGACAAATAAAAATAGTATATATTTAAGGTTTACAACCCAATGATTTTATGTACATATACAATGTGAAAGGATTATCACCATCAAGTTAATTAATATCTCTATCGCCTCACATAGTTAACCTTTTTGTGTGTGTGATGATGACATTTAAGATTTGTTACACATATTGTTAACTATAGTCACCATGCTGTACACTGGATCTCCAGAATGTATCCGTCTTGTAACTCAATGCTTGTACCCCTCGGTCAGCATATCCCCATTTGTCCCCTCTTCTAGTCACTGACAGCCATCATTCCACTCTGTTTCTATTGGCCCAACTTTTTAAGATTCCACATATAAGTGAGATCATGCAGTATTTGTCTTTCTATGTCCAGCTTATTTCACTTAGCATAATGTCCTACAAGTTCATCCACATTGTCAAAAATGGCAGAACTTAGTTCATTTTTAAGGCTGAATAATATTCTTCTGTGTGTGTCTATGTATCAGATTTTCTTCATTCATTCATCTGTCAATATACACTTTTGTTTCATAGCTTGATTATTGTGAATAATGCTGCAATGAACGTGGAAGTATGGGAGCACAGATAGCTCTTCAAAACAGTGAATTTACACACACATACGTAAGTGAATTTATACACATTCACACGCATATGTACGCATATGCATGTGTGTGTCTATATATATATATATATATTCCAGTTGTTCTTGCACAACATTGTTTTAACTATTCAGGGTCAGTTTAGATTTGTACAAATTTTAGGATTTTTTTTTCTACTTCTGAGAAAAATGTCATTAGAATTATGATAAGTATGGCATCAAATATGTAAATCACATATATATATATATATATATATATATATATATATATATATATATGCCCTGAAGTCCTGAAGTGGTGAAGTGGGATTGCTAGATCATATGATAAAGTTTTAGCTTTTTGAGGAACCTCAATGGTGGCGGAAATGTAAATTGATAGAATCATTTTGTTATTGATTCTATCAATTTACATTCCCACCAACATTGTCGAAGGGTTCTTTAGTATTCACATTTTTACCATCACTTGCTTTCTTTTGACTTTTTGATAATTGCTATCCTAATGGGTATGATGAGGTGATATCTTTTTGTGGTTTCAATTTGAATTTCAATGGTTATTGGTGATATTATGCACTTTTTCATATACCTGTTGGCCATTTGTATCTCTTCTTTGGGAAAAAAAAAAAAGAAGTCTATTCAGATTCTTTGCCCATTCTTTAATCAGGCTACATGCTTTTATGCTGTTGACTTGGATGAATTCCTTATATATTTTGGGTATTAACCTGTTCTTGGATACATGATTTGCAAATATTTTGTCCTATCTATAAGTTGCCTTTTTTTTTTTTTTTTTTGAGATAGAGTCTCACTCTGTCACCCAGGCTGGAGTGCAGTGGCACGATCTCGGCTTACTGCAACCTCCGCCTCCCGGGTTCAAGCAATTCTCTGCCTCAGCCTCCCGAGTAGCTGGGATTACAGGTACCTCCCACCATGCCCTGCTAATTTTTGTATTTGTAGTAGAGATGGGGTTTCACCATCTTGACCAGGCTAGTCTTGAACTCGTGACCTCATGATCCACCCACCTCAGCCTCCCAAAGTGCTGGGGTTACAGGCGTGAGCCACCATGCTCGCCAGCCATAAGTTGCCTTTTAATTGTGTTGATTGTTTCTTTTGGTGAAAAGAAACTATTTAATTTGATGTGGCATAATTTGTAATATTTTTGCTTTTTGCTTTTTTGTCTGTGCTTTTGAGGTCATATCCAAAAAAATCATTGCCCAAACAATGTCAAGGAACATTTTCCTATTTTTCATCTAGTAGTTTTACAGTCTCACATCTTAAATCTATTTCTTTAATCCCTTTTGAGTTGATTTTAGTGTATAATATAAGGTATGAGTCCAGTTTCTTTCTTTTGCATATTGATATTCAACGTATTCCCAGTGTTATTTATTGAAGACATTATCCTTTACTCATTGTGTATTCTTGGAAGCTTTGTGGAAGACTAGTTGACTATATATATGTATATGTGTGTGTGTGTATACATTATATATATATGTAATGTATACACACATATCACTTTATTTGTGAGCTTTCTATTCTATTTTATTACTATATGTGTTTGTTTTTATGGTATTGCCATAATGTTTTGATTGCTACAGAGTTATAATTTAATTTGAAATCAGGAAGTCTAGTGCTTCCAGTTGCACAACAGTGTTTTAGCTATTCAGGGTCATTTTAGATTTGCACAAATTTTAGGGTTTTTTTTCTACTTCTGAGAAACATGTCATTGGAATTATGATAAGTATGGCGTCAAATATGTAAATCACTTTAGTATAGAAATTTTAATAAAATTAATTCTTCCTATTTAGGAACATGGAATATCTTTTTATTGATTTGTGTCTTTAATTTCTTTTATCCATGCTTTATAGCTTTCAGTGTATAGATCTTTCACCTCCTTGGTTAAATTTATTCCTAAGTATTTTGCTATTTTGATGCAATTGTAAATGGAATTATTTTCTTAAATTCTTTTTCAGACAGTTTGCTGTTGATGGATAGAGGTGCAACAGAATTACAAATGTTTATTTTGTACCTTGAAAGTTTATCAAATCTGTTCATTAGTTGTAACAGTTATTTGCTGGAGTCTTGAGGATTTTTCTCTACATAAAATCATGTTATCTGCAAACAAAGCCATTTTACATCATCCTTTTCTATTTAGATGATTTTACTTCTTTTTCTTGCCTAATTGCTCTGGCTAGGATTTCTAGTACTATGTTGAATAGAAGTGGTGAGAGTGGAGATTCTTGTCTTATTACTGTTGTAAGAGGAAAAACTTTCAGTTTTTTACCGTTGAGTATGATCTTGGCTGTGAGACTGTCATATATGTCCTTTACTATGTTGAAGTATATTCTTTTATACCTATTTTGGTATAAAGGAATCCATCAGTGATGTTGGCCTGTAATTTACTTTGCTTCTCTGTTTGCAGTATCAGGGTAATGCTAGCCTTGAAGAATAAGTTTAAAAGTATTCAATCCTCTTCAGTTTTGAGGGAGAGTTTGAGAAAGCTTGATGTTAATTATTCTTTAAATGTTTGGTATAATACACCAGTGAAGCAATCTGGTCCTGGGCTTTTCTTTGTTGGGAGATTTTAAAATACTGATTTAATCTCCATACTCATTACTGGCCTGTTTATATTTTCCAATTCATCATAATTCAGCATCAGAAGGTTGCTAGGAATTTATTCATTTCTTTTAGGTATACAATTTGTTCACATGTAATTGTCCTAGTAGTTTTTTTTATCATCCTTTGTAGCCCTGTGTTATAATTTATGAACTCTCCTATTTCATATCTGATTCTATTTATTTAAATCATTTCTTTTTTTCCACCTGGTTAACTGAAAGTTTGCCAGTTTCGTTTATCTTTTCAAAAAACCAACTCTGAATTTTCGTAATATTTTCTGTTGTTTTGCCTCCATTTTATTCCAGTCTTTATTATTTTTTTCCTTCTGCTAAATTTAGGCTTACTCCGTTCTTTTTTTTTTTTTCTAGTTCCTTATGATGTAAAGTGAGATCACTTATTGGAGAGCTTCCTTTCTTCTTTATGTAAGCAATCATTACTATAAACATCTCTCTTCGAACTGCTTTTCCTGCATCCCATAAGTTTTAGTATGCTTTGTTTCCATTTTTACTTGTTTCAAGCTATTTTTTATTTAACTTTTGATTTTTTTCTTGCCTGTTTTTGATATCTAGTTTCATTTCATTGTTGTCAGAAGAGATACTTGATATGACTTCAGTCTTCTTGAATGTTTAAAGACTTGTCTTCTGACCTAATATATGATTTATCCTGAAGAATGTTCTGAGTACACTTGAAAAAAAATGTGTATTATGCTCACGTTGGATGAAATATTCTGTACATTTCTGTTAAGTTCCCTTAGTCTAAAATGTAGTTCAAGCCCAATGTTTTCTATTTGATTTTCTTTCTGGATGATGTATCCATTGTTGAAAGCCAGGTATTGAAGACCTCTATCATTACTGTATTGTTATCTGTATCTCCTTTCTGTGTTGAATATATGCTTTACGCATTAGATGCGCTGGTGTTAGCTATATATATTATTACAGTTGTTATACCCTCTTGAGAAATTGATACCTTTATCATTATACATAACCTTCTTTGTTTGTTGGGACACTTAATGTCTATTTTGTATTTTGTCTGATATAAGTATGCCTACCCTACGCTCTTTGGTTTCCCGTTTGCACATAGTATCTTATTCAATCTCTTCACTTTAAGCCTACATACATCCTTAAAGAAAAAATAAGTCCCTTGTAGGCAGCTTATAATTGGTCTTGTCTTCTTTTTCTTTTTCTTTTCTTTTTTTTTTTTTTTTTTTGGAGACGGAGTCTTGCTTTGTCCCCCAGGCTGGAGTGCAGTGGCGTGATCTCTGCTCATGGCAAGTTCCGCCTCCCCGGTTCATGCCATTCTCCTGCCTCAGCCTCCCGAGTAGCTGGGACTACAGGCGCCCGCCACCATGCCTGGCCAATTTTTTGTATTTTTTTAGTAGAGACAGGGTTTCACCGTGTTAGCCAGGATGGTCTCGATCTCCTGACCTTGTGATCCACCTGCCTCGGCCTCCCAAAGTGCTGGGATTACAGGCTTTTTTTATTATTATTATTATACTTTAAGTTCTAGGGTACATGTGCACAATGTGCAGGTTTGTTACATAAGTATATATGTGCCATGTTGCTTTGCTGCATCCATTAACTCGTCATTTACATTAGGTATTTCTCCTAATGCTATCCCTACCCCCTACCCCCACCCCATGACAGTCCCCACTGTGTGATGTTCCCCACCCTGTGTCCAAGTGTTCTTGTTGTTCAATTCCCACCTATGAGTAAGAACATGCAGTGTTTGGTTTTCTGTCCTTGCAATACTTTGTTGAGAATGATGGTTTCCAGTTTCATCCATGTCGCTGCAAAGGACATGAACTCATCCTTTTTATGGCTGCATAGTATTCCATGGTGTATATATGCCACATTTTCTTAATCCAGTCTATCATTGGTGGACATTTGGGTTGGTTCCAAGTCTTTCCTATTGTGAATAGTGCCACAATAAACATATGTGTGCATGTGTCTTTGTAGCAGCATGATTTATAATCCTTTGGGTATACACCTGGTAATGGGATCGCTGGGTCAAATGGTATTTCTAGTTCTAGATCCTTGAGGAATCACCACATTGTCTTCCACAATGGTTGAACTAATTACATTCCCACTAACAGTGTAAAAGTGTTCCTATTTCTCCACATCCTCCCCAGCACCTGTTGTTTCCTGACTTTTTAATGATCACCATTCTAACTGGTGTGAGATTGTATCTCATTGTGGTTTTGACTTGCATTTCTCTGATGGCCAGTGATGATGAGCATTTTTTCATGTGTCTGTTGGCTGCATAAGTGTCTTCTTTTGAGAAGCATCTGTTCATATCCTTTGCCCAATTTTTGATGGAGATGTTTGACTTTTTCTTGTAAATTTGTTTGAGTTCTTTGTAGATTCTGGATATTAGCCCTTTGTCAGATGGGAAGATTGTAAAAATTTTCTCCCATTCTGTAGGTTGCCTGTTCACTCTGATGGTAGTTTCTTTTGCTGTGCAGAAGCTCTTTAGTTTAATTACATTCCATTTGTCTATTTTGGCTTTTGTTGCCATTGCTTTTGGTGTTTTAGTCATGAAGTCCTTTCCCATGCCTATGTCCTGAATGCTATTGCCTAGGTTTTCTTTTAGGGTTTTTATGGTTTTAGGTCTAACATGTAAGTCTTTAATCGATCTTGAATTAATTTTTGTATAAGGTGTAAGGAAGGGATCCAGTTTCAGCTTTCTTCATATGGCTAGCCAGTTTTCCCAGCACCATTTATTAAATAGGGAATTATTTCCCCATTTCTTGTTTCTGTCAGGTTTGTCCGAGATCAGATGGTTGTAGATGTGTTGTATTATTTCTGAGGCCTCTGTTCTGTTCCATTGGTCGATATCTCTATTTTGGTACCAGTACCATGCTGTTTTGGTTACTATAGCCTTGTAGAATAATTTGAAGTCATGTAGCCTGATGCCTCCAGCTTTGTTCTTTTTGCTTAGGATTGTCTTGTCAATGCGAGCTCTTTTTTGGTTCCATATAAAATTTAAAGTAGTTTTGTCCAGTTCTGTGAAGAAAGTCATTGGTAGCTTGGTGGGGATGGCATTGAATCTCTAAATCACCTTGGACAGTATGGCCATTTTCATGATATTGATTCTTCTTATCCATGAGCATGGAATGCTCTTCCCTTTGTGTCCTCTTTCATTTCATTGAGCAGTGGTTTGTAGTTCTACTTGAAGAGGTCCTTCACGTCCCTTGTAAGTTGGATTCCTAGGTATTTTATTCTCTTTGAAGTGATTGTGAATGGGAGTTCACTCATGATTTGGCTCTCTGTCTGTTATTGGTGTATAAGAATGCTTGTGATTTTTGCATATTGATTTTCCGTCCTGAGAATATGCTGCAATTGCTTATCAGCTTAAGGAGATTTTGGGCTGAGACTATGGGGTTTTCTAAATATGCAATCATGTCATCTGCAAACAGGGGCAATTTGACTTCCTCTTTTCCTAATTGAATACGCTTTATTTCTTTCTCCTGTCTGATTGCCCTGGCCAGAACTTCCAACACTATGTTGAATAAGAGTGGTGAGACAGAGCATCCTTGTCTTGTGTCAGTTTTCAAAGGGAATGCTTCCAGTTTTTGCCCATTCAGTATGATATTGGCTGTGGGTTTGTCATAAACAGATCTTATTATTTTGAGATACATCCCATCAACACATAGTTTATGAAGAGTTTTTAGCATGAAGGGCTCTTGAATTTTGATGAAAGCCTTTTCTGCATTTATTGAGATAATCATGTGGTTTTTGTCTTTGGTTCTGTGTATATGATGGATTACGTTTATTGATTTGCGTATGTTGAACCAGCCTTGTATCCCAGGGATGAAGCCAACTTGATCGTGATGGATAAGCTTTTTGATGTGCTGCTGGATTCAGTTTGCCAGTATCTTATTGAGGATTTTTGCACCTATGTTCATCAGGGATATTGGTCTAAAATTCTCTTTTTTTTTGTTGTATCTCTGTCAGGCTTTGGTATCAGAATGATGCTTCCCTCATAAAATGAGTTAGGGAGAATTCCCTCCTTTTCTACTGCTTGGAATAGTTTCAGAAGGAATTGTACCAGCTCCTCTTTGTACCTCTGGTAGAATTTGGCTGTGAATCAGTTTGGTCCTGGACTTTTTTTGGTTGGTAGGCTATTAATTATTGCCTCGATTTCAGAGCCTGTTATTGGTCTATTCAGGCATTCAACTTCTTCCTCATTTAGTCTTGGGAGTGTGTATGTGTCCAGGAGTTTATCCATTTATTCTAGATTTTCTAGTTTATTTGCATAGAGGTGTTTATAATATTCTCTGATGGTAGTTTGTATTTCTGTGGGATCAGTGGTGATATCCCCTTTATCATTTTTTATTGCGTCTATTTGATTCTTCTCTCTTTTCTTCTTTATTAGTCTTGCTAGCCGTCTATCAATTTTGTTGATCTTTTCAAAAAACCAGCTCCTGGATTCAATGATTTTTTGAAGGGTTTTTGTGTTTCTATCTCCTTCAGTTCTGCTCTGATCTTAGTTATTTCTTGCCTTCTGCTAGCTTTTGAATGTGTTTCCTCTGGCTTCTCTAGTTCTTTTAAGTGTGGTGTTAGGGTGTCGATTTTAGATCTTTCCTGCTTTCTCTTGTGGGCATTTAGTGCTATAAATTTCCCTCTACACACTGCTTTAAATGCGTCCCAGAGATTCTGGTATGTTGTGTCTTTTTTCTCATTGGTTTCAAAGAACATCTTTACTTCTTCCTTCATTTTGTTATGTACCCAGTAGTCATTCAGGAGCAGGTTGTTCAGTTTCCATGTAGTTGAGTGGTTTTGAGTGAGTTTTGTACTCCTGAGTTCTAATTTTATTGCACTGTGGTCTGGAAGACAGTTTGTTATAATTTCTGTTCTTTTACATTTGTTGAGGAGTGCTTTACTTCCAACTATGTGGTCAATTTTGGAATGAGTGCAATGTGGTGCTGAGAAGAATGTATATTCTGTTGATCTGGGGTGGAGAATTCTGTAGATGTCTATTAGGTCCACTTGGTGCAGAGCTGAGTTCAACTCCTGGATATCCTTGTTAACTTTCTGTCTCGCTGATCTGTCTAGTGTTGACAGTGGGGTGTTAAAGTCTCCCATTATTATTGTGCGGGAGTCTAAGTCTCTTTGTAGGTCTCTACAGACTTGCTTTATGAATCTCGGTGCTCCTGTATTGGGTGTGTATATATTTAGGATAGTTAACTTTTCTTGTTGCATTGATCCCTTTACCATTATGCAATGGCCTTCTTTGTCTCTTTTGATCTTTGTTGGTTTAAAGTCTGTTTTATCAGAGACTAGGATTGCAATTCCTGCTTTTTTTGTTTTCCATTTGCTTGGTAAATCTTCCTCCATCCCTTTATTTTGAGCCTATGTGTATCTCTGCACATGAGATGAGTCTCCTGAATACAGCACACTGATGGGTCTTGACTCCATCCAATTTGCCAGTCTGTGTCTTTTAATTGGGGCATTTAGCCCATTCACATTTAAGGTTAATATCGTTATGTGTGAATTTGCTCCTGTCATTGTGATGTTAGCTGGTTATTTTGCTCATTAGTTGATGCAGTTTCTTCCTAGCATCGATGGTCTTTAAAATTTGGCATGTTTTTGCAGTGGCTGGTACCAGTTGTTCCTTTCCATGTTTAGTACTTCCTTCAGGAGCTCTTGTAGGACAGGCCTGGTGGTGACAAAATCTCTCAGCATTGGCTTGTCTGTAAATGATTTTATTTCTCCTTCACTTATGAAGCTTAGTTTGGCTGGATATGAAATTCTGGGTTGAAAATACTTTTCTTTAAGAATGTTGAATATTGGCCCCCACTCTTCTGTCTTGTAGAGATTCCGCTGAGCAATCCACTGTTATTCTGATGGGCTCCCCTTTGTGGGTAACCCGACCTTTCTCTCTGGCTGCCCTTAACAATTTTTCCTTCATTTCAGCCTTGGTGAATCTGACAATTATGTGTGTTGGGGTTGCTCTTCTTGAGGAGTATCTCTGTTGCATTCTCTGTATTTCCTGAATTTGAATGTGGGCCTGCCTTGTTGGGTTGGGGAAGTTCTCCCGGATAATATCCTGAAGAGTGTTTTCCAACTTGGTTCTGTTCTCCCCATCACTTTCAGGTACACCAATCAAATGTAGATTTGGTCTGTTCACATAGTCCCATATTTCTTGGAGGCTTTGTTCATTTCTTTTTACTCTTTTTTTCTCTAAACTTCTCTTTTCACTTCATTTCATTCATTTGATCTTCAATCACTTATATCCTTTCTTCCATTTGATCGAATCAGCTACTGAAGCTTGTGCATGCGTCACCTAGTTCTCGTTCCATGGTTTTCGCTGCATCACGTCATTTAAGGTCTCCTCTACTCCGTTTATTCTAGTTAGCCATTTGTCGAATCTTTTTTCAAGGTTCTTAGCTTCTTTGTGAAGGGTTCGAACATCCTGCTTTAGCTTGGAGAAGTTTGTTATTACCGATCTTCTGAAGCCTACTTCTGTCAACTCGTCAAAGTCATTCTCCATCCTGCTTTTTTCTGTTGCTGGCAAGGAGCTGTGATCCTTTGGCGGAGGAGAAGCACTCTGATTTTTAGAATTTTCAGCTTTCCTGCTCTGCTTTCTCCCCATCTTTGTTGTTTTATCTACCTTTGGTCTTTGATGATGGTGACCTGCAGATGCGGTTTTGTTATGGATGTCCTTTTTGTTGATGTTGATGCTATTCCTTTCTGTTTGTTAGTTTTCCTTCTAACAGTCAGGACCCTCAGCTGCAGGTCTGTTGGAGTTTGCTGGAGGTCCACTCCAGACCGTGTTTGTCTGGACATCACCAGCAGAGGTTGCAGAACAGTAAATATTGCAGAACAGCAAATGTTGCTGCCTGATCCGTCATCTGGAAGCTTTGTCTCAGAGGGGCCCCTGGCTGTAAGAGGTGTCTGTCGGTCCCTACTGGGAGGTGTCTCCCAGTTAGGCTACTCAGTAGTCAGGGACCCACCTGAGGAGGCAGTCTGTCCATTCTCAGATCTCAAACTCTGTGATGGGAGAACCACTACTCTCTTCAAAGCTGTCAGACAGGGACGTTTAAGTCTGCAGAAGTTTCTGCTGCCTTTTGTTCAGCTGTGCCCTGCTCCCAGAGGTGGAGTCTACAGAGGCAGGCAGGTCTCATTGAGCTGTGGTGGGCTCCACCCAGTTCGAGATTCCTGCCACTTTTTTTTACCTAGTCAAGCCTCAGCAATGGTGGACGCCCCTCCCCAGCCTCACTGCCACCTAGCAGTTTGATCTTGGACTTCTGTACTAGCAGTGAGCAAGGCTCCATGGGCATGGGACTCATGGAGCCAGGTGCAGGATGTAATCTCCTGGTGTGCCGTTTGCTAAGACCATTGGAAAAGCCCGGTATTAGGGTGGGAGTGTCCCGATCTTCCAGTTACCGTCTGTCATAGCTTCCCTTGGTAGGAAAGGGAATTCCCTGATCCCTTGTGCTTCCCCAGTGAAGTGATGCCCCGCCCTGCTTCAGCTCACACTCCATGGGCTGCACCCACTGTCCAACAAGTCCCAGTGAGATGAACCTGGTATCTCAGTTTGAAATACAGAAATCACCCATCTTCTGCTTTGCTCACACTGGGAGCTGTAGACTGGAGCTGTTCCTATTTGGCCGTCTTGGACAGAGGATTTTTTTTTTTTTTTTTTTTGGAGACAAAATCTCACTCTGTCACCCAGGCTGGAGTGCAATGGCACAATCTCGGCTCACTGCAACCTCTGGCTCCCGGGTTCAAGTGATGGGATCCTCCCCCAGCCTCCTGAGTAGCTGTGATTACAGGTGTGCACCACCTCGCCTAGCTAATTTTTGTATTTTTAGTAGAGATTGGGTTTCACCATGTTGGTCAGGTTGGTCTCAAACTCCTGACCTCATGATCCACCTGCCTCAGCCTCCCAAAGTGCTGGGATCACAGGCACGAGCCACCATGCCTGGCCCCTCTTTTTCTTAATTCATTTAATGGCCTATATCTTTTGATTGGGAAATTTAATTCATTTACATTTCATATAATTATTAATAGCTAACAATACTTACAATTATCCTTTTGTTAGTTGTTTTCTGACTATTTAATGGTTTCTTTGTTCCTTTTGTCCTCTCTTGCTGTCTTCGTTTTTGATTTGATGAGTTTTGTGTGGTGGTATGCTTTTGTTTCTGCCTCTTTCTCTTGTATATAAGTGGGTTTTTGGTGGTTATTATGGGGCTTACATGAAATATCTTATAGCTGTAGCTATCTAGTTAATCCCATATAAACTTACATTTGTTCTCTTACCCAAATTCAACATTTATACACACACCCCCAAACATTTTATGTTTTTGATGTCAAAATGTGTGTGTGTGTGCTTTTTATATGTATATCTATTAACAACTTGTGGTAGTCATAGTTATGTTACATACATTTGTTTGTTAATCTTTATACTAGAATGAACAGTGATTTATTTACCACAATTCCAGTATTAGAGTATTCTGAATTTTACTACACACTTACCTTTTCCATTAAATTTTATAATTTCATTTTTTTGTTACTAATTAGAATTCTTTTGATTCAGCTTGAAGTGTCTCCTTTAGCATTTGCTGTGAGGTAGGTCTAGTGTTAATGAACTTTGTCAGTTTTTGTTTTCTGGGAAAGTCTTTATGTCTCCTTCCTTTCTGAATGACAGCTATGCCAGGTAAAGTATTCTTGGTTTGTAGTCTCTTTTCTTTTAAAACTTTGAATGCATCATCCCATTGTCTCCTCAGCTTAAAGTTTTTTTAATCAATAAATTTGCTGATAGTCTAATAAAAGTTTTCTTGTATGTGACAAGTCTCTTCTCTTGCTACTTTCAAAATTCTCTTTGATTTTTGACTATTTGGTTATTATATGTTTCAGTGAAGTTTTATTTTTATTGAACCTGCTTGGGGACCTTTTATTCTCATGTACCCTTTTTTGTTTTGATAGGATTTTGGGGAACAGGTGGTGTTTGGTTACATGGATACGTTCTTTAGTGGTGAGATCTGATATTTTGGTGCACACATCACCTAAGCAGTGTACACTTCAGCCGGTTTGTAGTCTTTTATTCCTCACCCACTCCCATCCTTTCCCTTGAGTCCCCAATGTCAGTTTTATCATTCTTATGCCTTCACATCTTCATAGCTTTGCTCCTATTTATAACTGAGAATATATGTTTGTTTTTCCATTACTGAGTTACTTAGAGTAATAGTCTGCAACTCCTTCCTAATTGCTTTGAATGCCATTATTTCATTACTTTATATGGCTGAGCGGTATTTCACAGAATATATATACCACATTTCCTTTATCCACTCACTGATTGGTGGGCATTTGGGCTGGTTCCATATTTTTGCAATTGCAAATTGTGCTGCTATAAACATGTGTGTGCAAGTGTCTTTTTCATATGACTCCCTTTTTTTTTTTTTTTTTTTTGAGACAGGGTCTCAGTCTGTCACCCAAGCTGGAGTGCAATGATACAATCTTGGCTCACTGCAACCTCCTGCTGCCAGGTTCCAGTGATTCTCCTGTCTCAGCCTCCCAAGTACCTGGGACTACAGGTGTGCACCACCATGCCTGGTTAATTTTGTATTTTTAGTAGAGACAGGATTTTACCATTGGCCAGGCTGGTCTTGAATTCCTGACCTCAGGTGATCTGCCAACCTTGGATCACACCAACCAGGCATGAGCCACCACATTTGGCCCAGTGACTTCTTTTTTTCTGGGTAGATACCCAGTAGTGAGATTGCTGGATCAAACGGTAGATCTACTTTCAGATCTTTGAGGAATTTCCATACTGTTTTCCACAGTGGTTATACTGGTTTACATTTCTACCAGCAGTGTAAAATTGTTCCCTTTTTAACACATCCACACAAATATCTCTTATTTTTTGATTTTTAAATTATGGCCATTCTTGTAGGAGTAAAGTGGCATCACACTGTGGCTTTGATTTGTATTTCCCTGATCATAAGTGATGTTGAGCATTTTTCATGTTTGTTGTCCATTTGTATATCTTCTTTTGAGAATTGTCTATTCATGTCCGTAGCCCACTCTTTGATGAGATTAATTGTTTTATTCTTGCTGATTTGAATTCTGGATATTAGTCCTTTTTCAAATGCATAGTTTGTGAAGATTTTCTCCTACTCTGTGGGTTGTCTGTTTACTCTGTGGATTATTTCTTTTGTTATGCAGAAGCCTTTTAGTTTAATTAATTCCCAATTATTTATCTTTGTTTTTGTTGCATTTGCTTTTGTGTTCTTAGTCATGAAGTCTCTGACTAAGCCAGCGTCTAGAAGGTTTTCTCCAATGTTATCTTCTAGAATTTTTATGGTTTTAGGTCTTAGATTTAAGTCTTTGATCCATCTTGAGTTGATTTTTATATACAGTGAGAGATGAGGATCCAGTTTCATTCTCTACATGTGGCTTGCCAGTTATCTCAGCACCATTTATTGAATAGGGTGTCATTTCCCCACTTCATATTATTGTTTGCTATGTAAAGATCAGTTAGCTGTAAGTACTTAGCTTTATTTTTGGGTTCTCTACTCTGTTCCGTTAGTCTCTGTGTTTATTTTTATACCAATATCATGCTGTTCTGGTGACTACAGCCATACAGTAGAGTTTGAAGTTTGGTAATGTGATGCCTACAGATTTATTCTTTTTGTTTAGCCTTGCTTTGGCTATGAGGGCTCTTTTTTGGTTTCATATGAATTTTAGGATTTTTCTTTCTAGTTCTGTGAAGAATGATCGTGTTATTTTGATGGAAATTACATTGAATTTGTAGATTGCTTTTGGCAGTATGGTCATTTTCACAATTTAATTCTACCCATCCATGAATATTGGATGTGTTTCTATTTGCTTGTGTCTTCTGTGATTTCTTTCAGTAGAGTTTTGTAGTTTTCCTTGTAGAAGTCTTTCATGTCCTTGGTTAGGTATATTCCTAAATTTTTCGTTTGTTTGTTTTTTATTTTTGGTGCTATTGTAAAAGGAGTTAAGTTCTTGATTTGATTCTCAGCTTGGTCACTGTTGACGTATAGCAGTGCTACTGATTTGTGTACATTGATTTCTTATCCTGAAATTTTACTGAACTTACTGATCAAATCTAGGATCTTTTTGGATGAATCTTTAGGGTTTTTTAGGTATACAAAGATATCACCGGTGAACAGCAACAGTTTACCAATTTGGATGCCCTTCATTCTTTTCTCTTGTGTGATTGCTCTGGCTAGGACTTCCAGTACTATGTTGAATAGAAGTGGTGAAAGTGGGCATCTTGTCTTGTCCCAGTTCTTGGGGGGGAATGCTTTCAACTTTTCCCCGTTCAGTATAATGTTGGTTGTGGGTTTGTCATAGGTGACTTCTGTTACCTTAAGGTTTGTCCTTTCTATGCCAATTTTGCTGAGGGTTTTAATCATAAGTTGTTGCTGGATTTTGTCAAATGCTTTTTCTGTGTCTATTGAGATGATCATGTGATTTTTGTCTTTAATTATCTTTAGGTGGTGTATCACATTTATTGACTTGAATATGTTAAACCATCCCTGAATACCTGGTATGAACCCACTTGATCATGGTTGATTTTTTTTGATAAGCTGTTGGATTTGGTTAGTTAGTATTTTCTTGAGAATATCTGCATCTATGTTTATCAGGGATATTGGTCTGCAGTTTTCTTTTTTTGTTAATGTCCTTTCCTGGTTTTGATAATAGGGTGATACTGGCTTCATATAATTGTGAACCATGAAAATGTGAGACAGGGCACAGATAACTTAGAAAGTTTATTTTGCCAAGGTTGAGGACATGTGCCCATGACAGACTTAGGAGGTCCTGATGATGTGTGCCCAAGGTGGTCAGAACAGTTTGGTGTATACATTTTAGGAAGACATGAGAGATTGATCAATATATGTAAGATAAACATTGGTTTGGTCTGGGAAGGTAGGACAATTCGAAGCAGGGAGGGGGCCTCCAGGTCATAGGTAGACAAGAGACAAATGGTTGCATTCTTTTGAGTTTCTGATTAGCCTCTCCAAAGGAGGCAATCATATAACCATTTATTTCAGTAAGAAGAGGAGTGACTGAATAGAATGGGAGGCAAGTTTGCCCTAGGAAGTTTCCAGCTTGATTTTTCCCTTTAGCTTAGCTATTTTGGGGGCCCCAAGATACTTGTCTTTCCCACGACTTAGGAGGATTCTCTTTCTCTATTCTTTGAAATTGTTTCAATAGGATTGGTACCAGTTCTTCTTTGAATGTCTGTTGAAATTTTCCAGTGTATTTAGCATTTCTCTTAGTGTGTCTTCCATTTCCAGAGGTTTTGATTGCTTTTTTTATGCTATTTCTCTGTAGATTTTTTGGTCCATATCCTGTATTTTTTTTTAAGTTTCTTTAAGTTGGATTTTTACCCTTCTCTGGTGCCTCCTTGAGTAGCTTAATAATCGACCTTCTGTTCTTTTGTTTGTTTTTTTGTTTTTGGCAACTCTAAGTTTTATTCTTGGTTTGGACCCATTGCTGGTGAGCTAGTGTGATTTTTCAGGGAGATTAAAGAACATTTGTTTGTTGTATTGCCAGAATTGTTTCTCTGGTTCCTTGTCATTTGGGTAGAATATATCAGAGGGAAGATCTGTGGCTTGAGGGCTGTTTTTCAGATTCTTTTATCCTAAGGGGTGATCCCTTGATGTGGTGCTCCCCCACTTTCCCTAGGGACAGGGCTTGCTAAGAGCCAGCCTGCACTGAATGTTATCACTCTTCTGGGTCTAGCCACCCAGTGGAGATACTGGGCTCTGGGCTGGTACTGGGGAGTGTCTGAAAAGAGTAATGTGATGTGATCTACTTTCAGGTCTCTCAGCCATAGATACCAGTACCTGCTCCAGTAAACATAGCAGGGGAGTGAAGTGGATTCTGGGTGGGTCCTTGGTTGTAGTTTTGTTAAGTGTGCTGGTTTCCTCAAATGCCGGTTGTGCTGTCAGTGAAACTGTCACATAGACAGACTCAGGACCTCTGGTTAGCCAGGATGTTACCAGAGGTGGAATTAGCTGTTGTTTTCTTCTTTTTTGAAACAGGGCTGTTCTTTTATGAATTGTTATAATGGCTTGAGTTGGTTGGCCTCCAGACAGGAGGTGGCACTTTCAAAAGAGTATCAGCTGCGGTAGTATGGTGGGGAAACAAGCTTGCCCTAAGGTTTCCTGGATAAGTATTTGGGTTTACCAGGTGTCGGGTGGGGCCGTAGAGCTCCCAAAAGATTATGTCTTTTGTGTTTGGTTACCAAGGCAGATAGAGAAAGTCCATCAGGTAGGGGCAGGGTTAGGTGTAACTGAGAGCCCAGACACTCTTTGTGTGGGGCTTGCTGCGTCCACTGTGGAGGATAGGGGTGTGGTTCTCAGGGCAATGTGGTAATGTTCCCAGGGGGATTATGGTTGCCTCTGCTGAGTCATAAAGGTCACCAGGAAAGTAGGGGAAAGTCAAGTCAGCAGTGACAGGCCTCACATAGCTCCTATGCACCCAACAAGGCCAGTCTCACTTCCACAGTGCCCCAATAACAGCACAGAGCTTATATACAGGTAGCCAATGAGCAAGAGCTGAGATCTTGCCCCAGGCTACAAGCTTCCCTGCTGAGGAAGCAAATCAGGCTTACAGAGCTTTCAGCCTCCACCCCTCCCCACAGCTAGGGCTTCTCTTCCTATCTGCACTTTCTGTTTGCCCTCTTCCCCAACCCCACCCACCTACACACCCCAGCCCCCAGATTCTGCTCAGGAAAATTCACACTCCATTGAAATTATTAAAGAATTCAGCTGATGTTTCCTTCTCCCTGTAGACCTTCTCTAATTATACTGGCAGCCCTCCTCAAGGACCCCTCTGAGATAGAGTCAGAGGTGGCTTCCCAGGGAACTGGGAGTGCCTTCAGGGCTCTTCCTGCTTCTTCTTCTACTTTTATATTTCGCTTGGACCTCTAAATTCCTTTAAGTTCTAGGTAAATTTAAATGCTTCTTCCGTGATCTGGATTTTCAGGTTCCCCATTGTGGATTTGTATTTGGAGGTGAATTTTACTTTTCTCATGCTTTGGGCACTCAGAGTTTTGGCTGTCTCAAGGAGTTTGCAGCCACAAGCCACTTCTTTCAAAGGTCATTGAATTCTTTGGTTTTCCTGGAATGTTCCCGTGGTAGTTCTTGGAACTAAAGTTCACGATTTGTCTTCACAACGCTGTTCTGTCCTTCCAAGTGAGAGGTGCCTCCTATCTGCCATCTGAGTCTCAAGTACCCTTGATGTCTATCTCTCAGGATTTGGGAAATTCTCAGTCATTATTTTCTTATATAAACCTTTTCTCCTTTTCTCTTTATCTTCTCTTTCTGAGACCTCCAGGATCTTTACACTCTTCCTCTTCATGGTGGCCAATACAAGTCCTGTAAGCTTTTTAAATTCTTTTTAATTTTTTTTCCATCCTCTAACTGAATAATTTTAAGTGCCTTGTCTTCAAGGTGCAGATTCTTTCTTCTGCTTAATCAAGTCTCTCATTGAAGCTCTCAATTGTGTTTTTTATTTTATTATTTTATCTATTGCATTCTTCAGCTCCAGAATTTCTGTTTTTCCTTTTTTAATGATTTTTATCTCTTTGTTGAACCTCATGTTTTGTTCATGTGTGTATGTGGTTTTTAAAATTTAATTTTGTTTTCTATCTATCTGTGTTCTCTTGTTCACTTCCTTGTTAAGGAAATTCACTGAGCTTTCTTAAAACAATTATTTTGCGTTTTTGTCAAATATTTTATAGATTTCCATTACTTTTAGGTCAATTACTGGATAATTATTGTTTTCCTTTAGTGATGCCATGCTTCCTTGGTTTTTAAAGTTCTTTGAAGTCTTGTATTGATTGCTATCTTCACATTTGAAGAAGCAGTCACTTCCTCCAGTCTTCACTGACTGCCTCCGGGCAAGAAATTACTTCCCCAGTCAGCAGCCTAGGGATTCTGAAGCTCTTTCAGACATTTTCTATGGATACAACCAGTTGACACCTTTTGTTTCCTTGTGGGGCTGGGGGAGAACTGATGAGATCATATGCTTTTGTGTCTGGAATTGGTGGGTTCTTGGTCTCACTGACTTCAAGAATGAAGCCGCAGACTCTTGCAGTGAGTGTTACAGTTCTTAAAGATGGTGTGTCCGGAGTTTGTTCCTTCTGATGTTCGGACGTGGTTGGAGTTTCTTCCTTCTGGTGGGTTCGTGGTCTCACTGGCTTCAGGAGTGAAGCTGCAGACCTTCGCAGTGAGTGTTACAGCTCATAAAGGCAGTGCGGACCCAAAGAGTGAGCAGCAGCAAGATTTACTGCAAAGAGCGAAAGAACAAAGCCTCCACAGTATGGAAGGGCACCCAAGTGGGTTGCCACGGCTGGCTCCGGCAGGTAGCCTGCTTTTATTCCCTTATCTGGCCCCACCCACATCCTGCTGATTGGCCCATTTTACAGAGAGCTGATTGGTCCATTTTACAGAGAGCTGATTGGTGTATTTACAATCCTCTAGCTAGACGTGAAAGTTCTCCAAGTCCCCACTAGATTAGCTAGACACAGAGCACTGATTGGTGCATTTACAAATCGAGCTAGACACAGGGTGCTGATTGGTGTGTTTACAAACTTTGAGCTAGACACACAGTGCTGATTGGTGTATTTACAATCCTTTAGCTAGACATAAAAGTTCGCCAAGTCCCCATCAGTTTAGCTAGATACAGAGTGCTGATTGGTGCATCCACAAACCCCAAGCTAGACAAAGAGTTCTGATAGATGCATTTACAATCTTCCGGCTAGACATAAAATTTCTCCAAGTCCCCACCCGACTCAGGAGCCCAGCTGGCTTCGCCTAGTGGATCCCACACCAGGGCCGCAGGTGGAGCTGCCCACCAGTCCCACACCAAGCGACCACACTCCTCAGCCCTTGGGCGGTTGATGGGACTGGGCACCGCGGAGCAGCAGGTGGCAACTGTCAGGGAGGCTCAGGCGACACAGGAGCCCACCACTGAGGGGCACAGGCATGGTGGGTGGCAGGTCCTGAGCCCTGCCCTGCAGGGAGGTGGCTGAGGCTCGGCAAGAATTCGAGTGTGGCGCGTGCGGGCCAGCAGTGCTGGGGTACCCAGCACCCCCTCCACAGCTGCTGGCCTGGGTGCTAAGCCCCTCACTGCCTGGGGCCCACAGCACCAGCGGTGAGCGCTGTGAGCAGTCCCGGTTCCCGCCTGTGCCTCTCCCTCCACACCTCCCTGCAAGCAGAGGGAGCCTCGGTCAGCCCAGAGACGGGCTCCCACAGTGCAGCGGTGGGCTGAAGTGCTCCTCAAGCATGGCCAGAGCAGACGCCGAGGCTGAGGAGGTGCTGAGAGTGAGCAAGGGCTGCCAGCACGTTGTCACCTTTCACTTTCTCCTCTTCTCCAAAAGAAGGCTGGATGCCTAGAGTCTCCAGTTTATTTTCCCTAAGGCAGTGCCCTGAAATGATCAATTTTGCCTGCCTTCTCTCAATTCTGGAGAGTCAAGCTGGCTAATTGAACATACTCACAAGCCATCTTCAAAAGCTCATATTTGCCATCTAGGGGGCACACACAGGGAGTGTGCACTGGGGAAGGGAAGAGGTTCATGGAGCATTGGTGGTGCCTATGTGCCAATTGGTGTGAGTCAGCTGGTGAGAGGTCTCAAACAGTGGACAGGTCTCCTAATATAGTCTGAAAAGCAGTTTATAGGAATACAGCCCTTTGTTTAGTTTTAAGCACTGATTGCTATAAATCCCTACTTCACTTCTTTTCTCTCAGCCTCTCTTAGCTATTCAGCTGTACTGATACCCTCAGTATTCTAGGTGGGTTGAGAAGGCTCTTGGGTAGCGTCCTGCTGAGCTGGGGAAGCTGGACGCTCACTCATTACACACTTCTTTCCCCAGTGGGAGGAATCACATGCCAAGGAGTTCTCTTTTGGCATAGAACTGTGCTGGCTTGGGAGAAGGGTGATGGTGATATAGTGAAACTCTTCTTCTTACCCTCTTTAATGCACCTATTCTTAGATTTTTTCTCAAGTGGTATGCTGAAATATCTCTGCTCTACTCCCAGATTCCCACAAATGTACTCTTGTCCATTGGTGGTTTTCAAATTCAATGCACTGTGAGAAGATGACAGTAGAAAACTCTTATTCCATCATTTTGCTAATGATATATACATCAGTGTACCTTTTTAAAATGGGAAAAATTGTTTTCCAAACAACATATTGCCACCAGTTGTTTGTGATAAACAAATTATGGACCCAGTAGCTGCATATAGGTGACTGGACACAGCTGAGTCAAAACTGTTAGTAAAAAAAACAGTATCCTTTGCCTTTTGCCTCTGTGTATTCTGTTTCTTCTTTTTAGTGCATTCTTGCTTTCATATTCCCATGAGTCAGAGCTTTTCACCACTGTGCTATGAATGGGTTGTAATTGTGCCCAGATTCTGGTCCACTTGAACTTTGAGGGAACTGATAGAGATTTGGGTGTCTCGACCTCTGGGTAGACACCACCAGCTTTGAATCTACACATCCAGTTACCCATAAACCAATGGTTCCAGTGAGCTGCATAGATATCATTGATGCCTATGTGTGCTATGACTTGGAAAATGTTAGGAAATATTGTCTTTGGTGTCCAAATTCTTCACACCCTCTCCCACTTTTCCTTTGTAACAGGTATAGGCTATTAGTAACAGTGCCTGCCATTTAATAGACAATCATTATTTTCTAAATGTTGAAGGCATAAAATCATGCCATTCTATTATAATTATTTTTGTATTTTTATAGGAACATAAAGCACTAATTTCAGAAAAACAAAGTATCAGAGATCAAGCTATGAATAACTTAATTAAAATGTTATCATCCTGATGTAGACTGGCATATTTCTAAGACAAATCCCCAATATATGGCCTGTTTAAATAAAAGAGAAAAATAAATCTACTATGCTATTTATTTGTAACAGAATCCTCTGTTAATGGTGGAGAAGCTATGGCAGCACAGATTTTTAAAGTCATAAATTAAAAAATGTCTTTGCCATTAGTAAACATCTTACATATCAAGAATTTGTTATAATCCTTAACAAAAACAGGGATGAGGAAAAATGATTTTTTAAAAAATGTACCCATTTCATTTTAACCATAAAAACAGAATAAAAAGTTTTTTTTACAGATAATTATTTTAGTTTAAATTATTAAAAGGATATATTAGATGGTTCTACATTGAATTAAATTTAATTAAAAGATGTGCACACTGCTGGCCAAATTGTACTTTTACTATATATGTGATATAGTCATAATTTAAAAGAACAAACTGATACCTCTACTTATAGGCAATAAAATTAGTTTTTACTGCTAATAAACTCAGGCTTTGTAGCTATAATATTCTATGGCTCTATGTTAGGAATTTTTAAGAAAATTTTTAAAAAGCTTTGCAGAAATTTTCCTTGCCATGAAGGAGAGCATGCAAGTTTGATACATAAAGAAAACCAAGAGGGCTAGAGAAGGATGAGTAACAAATTTGAGCACAATTCATCATTAATTATTGGAGAACGTAATAAGTATTTTCTAGGATACACTGTAAATTAAAAGAATAAGGGAATAATAAAACATCAAACAAAACACATTATTTATAAAAAGCAAATGATCTGTATTTTCTAGTACAATTTTGAAAAACATGAGTTTAATATATCAGTATTATATTTTTCTATTTTTGTTAATTGATTAATTTATCAGAAGTAGATGTTGCTAGGATATTGATATGAGAAGACAGAGTGTTTGACCTTACAGAGACACAAAATAGGCATTAAAACATATTTCAAAACGGTATAAATAAATGAGAGAATCAGAGCTATCAGGTGACAGAGTTTGCTTCTGACTGCAGTCAATAGAGAATATTCTGTGTGTGTATGGTTTATGCTCTCTGAAGTCTGAATTTCTTAGCAAAACATTTGAGGTTTAAAATTTAGTCTCAGTTTGCTTTTATATTTGTATAGCATATGTTTCAACTAAATAAGATTTCGTGCCTTTGTTCTAAGTGAAAAGCATAAGACTACCTTTGTGTTAGACAATAAGTAGTATTTGTCTTAGAGGCCATTGTCTGAAGAAAATTTATTTGTTCATAGTACTTGGAATGAATTGGAAGGGGAATGAGTAAAGAGACAGAAGCAAAGTTTAAGAGTAGAGGTAAGAAAAATAAAGACCTGAAGTGGGAAAACAAGGGACAGGATGAAGGATCAATATTTTGAAGCAAGTACTCACACAACCCAGGGGATAAGGGAGATACGTAAGTTGAAAAAAGAGCAACAAAACCCTTTAGTGTCTTGAGTCTGTGAACAGTCAGAAATATAGTTCCATTAAAGAATGAGGGGAGCGATCAGGGGAACTTTCCTTGAAGTATAGAATAATAAAAGTTTTATTCTCTTTTCTCCCTTTCTCTAAACTTCCCCCCTCCTTTTTTTTTTGCCTTGACATAAAAAACTGAAACAAAAAAAGAAAGTATAAAAACATCATCAAACCAAACCAAAAGATTGTTATGTTCCTGCCAGATACAATTAAATATGGATTAAAATGGTAGTGAATGTTGAAAATTGTGCATATCTTCTGAGACTTAATCAGAAAATTGAGCTCTCAAAACAGAAATGCTATCACATAGGTCTATCCTACTGACTTTTTCTTTAGCATCTCAGAACCAGAGACTTGACTATCTGTAGAGATACAGGGTGACACCACACAACATCAGCATAGAAGTTTCTGGAGAAGAAATCATGCTAATGTGCCATTTCTATGGCTTAAGCAACACATCTAGGAAGAATGAGGGTACTAACAGACATGGAAGATGGTGGGGAGGAGTATGTGTGTGATAGTAGATCAATATGCGAATTACCAGTGACTTAAATAATATTTCTATGAATCCTACCCACATATTGAGGCCAAAAGTTGAAGGGAAATACACTTTTGATTGAAAGAAGTAGTAGAATTCATGAGTAAGTAACAAGAAAAAAAAAACATTAAAATTGGAGACTGTATAACCTAGCTGACCCCCACCCAAACATGATTTGTAGTAGTCATTAATGTTGCTCTCCAAATATTGCAGGCACAGGCTAGAATTGCACTTCTTAACTCCCTACAGTACTTGGGAGCCATGTGACGTGTTCTGGTCAATGAGTGATGAGCATAAGTTATGAGAGATAATTTCACTGCCCCAGAGATTGTTTGTAGGGATTCCTTTTTCTCTGTCTCAGTGCCAGTTAATATTCCATATAGTAACTGTTACGTATACTTTGATCATAAAGTGAGGAGGGTAACAAGATAAATCTGAACTGTGTGTTATATATAATAATTGTAATTTGGGCATTAATTATTACCATATCATTTAGCATTTCCTGGTAAGTACACCACCAACTACCCCAAATTCAAATATAAGTAATAATAAGGGAGAAATAACAAAAAGGATAAGAAAGGAGAAAAAAAAGAGAGAGGGAACAAAAACAGCAAAGGCAAATAAGTGACAAATCTCATAAAGGAAAAACCCAAGGAAACAGAAGAAAAGTTATGATGATACCAATCCCACATTTAAAGGAAATAGAGATAATATGTTCTGTTTTTTAATAAATGCTCAAACAATAGATGGATTTAGACATAAACCAACAGAAGAACATTAAAATAGAAGAAAATATGTCTAAAAAATTAGAAATAAAATTATATCATATAAAAGAGTCTAGTGCATAAGAAATAGTCAAGAGCAGGAGTAGAAAGACTTACTGTAAAGGGCCAGATATTGTCAATCTTTTTTAATTTAGTTATTCTAGAGGGTACATAGTATTACCATATTATGGTAGTAATTTGTATTCTCCAATTTGATCAGTATATAGAGAAAGACTTTTACTGTAAAGGGCCAGATATTGTCAATCTTTTTTAATTTAGTTATTCTAGAGGGTACATAGTATTACCACATTATGGTATTAATTTGTATTCTCCAATTTGATCAGTATATAGAGTTTATTAAATTTTCATGGACTTCTGTGAGTTTTCTGTTAAAATACTTGTCTAATATTTATTGAATTGTATTATGTTTTGTTTTTATAAATTATTTTATAAATTATTATTCATTAACAAATTCTTTGTGTGTGTATATATATATATATATAAACTTTTTTTCTCATAGATAGATGAGAAATGCTAGCAAGGAAACTACTCTGTATGATACCATAGTAGGTACCTGTCATTATACATTTGTTACAAATTATTTATATTTTATAGGCTTTTTTTTTTTTTGAGACAGGGTATCACTCTGTCGCTCAGTTTGGAATGCAATGGCATGATCACAGCTCACTGCAGCATTGACCTCCCAGTCTCAGGTGGTCCTCCCACCACAGCCTCTTAGGTAGCTGAGACCACAGGCATGCGCCCCCACACCTAGCTATTTTATTTTATTTTTTGTATTTTTTGTAGAGATGAGGTTTTATCATGTTGCTTAGGTTGGTCTTGAACTCCTGGGCTCAAGTGATGTGCCCACCTTAGCCTCCCAAAGTGCTAAGATTACAAGTGTGAGCCACCATGCCCAGCCTCATTTAAAAAATTAAATGGTACTTTGAAGAGTAATTTTTACATTAATGACATTTAATATATCTTATCTTTCTTTTACGAGTTGTGATTTGATTACATGTCCCATTTAAGAAATCTTGGTCTAGTACAACTTACTCATAGGCTTTCTTCTGTGTTTTCTCCTAGAATTTTTATAATTTGTAGCTTTTAAATTAGATCTATGATCCATTTTTATTTTATTTTATTCATTTTTTTTCTTGATAGACTTTATTTTTAGAGCTGTTTTAGGGTCATATCAAACTTGAGCAGAATGTACAGAGCTTTCCCATGTATCCATTGTTCCCACATATACACAGACTCCCTCACTATCAAAGTGTTGCACCCTAGCAATACATCTGTTACATCGATGAACCTGCATTAACACATCATCATCACCCACAACCCATAGTTTATATTAGAGTTCATTCTTGGTGTTGTCCATTCTATGGGTTTTAACAAATGTATAATGACATGTATGCACCATTACCGTATCACACAGAGTAGTTTCTACTCTTCCCTCCTTCACTTGTGACCCCTGGCAACCACTGATCCTTTTATTATCTTCACAGATTGTCATATAGTTTGTTAGAATCATACAGTAGGCAGCCTCTTTATGCTGGCTTCTTTCACTTAGTAATATGCATTTAAGATTACTTCATGTCTTTTCATGGCTTATAGTTCTTGTTTTAGCATTGAATAATTCTATTGCCTGGATATACACTAGCATATGTATCCATTCTGATACTAAAGGACATCATGACTGTTTTCAAGTTTTGGCATTTATGAGAAAAGCTATTATAAATATCTGGGTGTGGGCTTACCTGTGGAAATCAGTTTTCAACACATTTGGGTAAATACCAAGGAGGATAATTGCTGGATTATATACGGTCTTTAAAAAACTTTATTGAGGTATGATTTAAATACCATAAAATTCACTCCTTGTAAGTATATATGTTAGTGAATTTTGGTAAAATTTAGAGGTTGTACAATCATCATCACAATCAAGTTTTAAAACATTTCTACCACAGTAAAATTTTCCCCTTCCAATTCCAAACTATAGGCATTATGTCTGTACTGATTTGCCTTTTCTGAACAGTTTATATAAATTAAATAATTCTATATGTGTTCTGTTATGTCCAGTTTCTTCCATGGCATAATGATTTGCACTTCACCCTTGTAATAGCATGTTTCAATAGTGTATTCCTTTTCATTTCTGATGATTATTCTATTGTATGGATAGGCCACATTTTGCTTATCCACTTTCCAGTTGAGGGACACTTGTATTGTTTCGTCTTAGGGCTACTATGAATAATGCTGCTAATGAACGTTCACAAATAAGTCTTGTATGGACGTATGGCTTCATTTCTCCAGGAGCTATGATCCCTTCTGAGTGTGTATGAAGGCGTGTATGGAATGAGGTAAGTGTCAGTTCATTTTTTATCCTACGAATGTCAGTTATTCCAGCACCATTTGCATAAAGACTATCCTTTTTAAAGTGATTTAACTTGGAGATTTGTCAAAAATCAATTTACCATATATATTTGGGCCTATTTCTGGACTCTATGGCTCTATTCTGTCTAAATAATATAAGGTCTATACTTTTGCCAATGACAACGTTTATTAATATGTATTTATGATACATATTGATATCAAGTAGTATAGTACTCCCACTGTAGTTCACTTTGGGTGGTTTATATTGATAACCTTTTCTTCTGCAGTATGTACTCAGGTGTTACTCCTAGCCTATGAAATTTCATTTCAGATAGTTTATATTTTAAATCTCAAAGTTCTATTTGTTTTTTCTATATATATTTTATTTCTGTGCTCATCATGCCCATGTTTTCCTTTAAATCAGTGAACATTTTGAGCCTATTTACAGAAGTTCTTTTGATGTCTTTATTTAATAATTCCATCAACTATGTCATTTTTGGGTGTTTGGCTGAAGTCTTTTCTAAGAGTCTGTCATTGTTTTCATGATTATTGTCTTGTCCAGTTTTAAAAAAAATTTTTTAATTAAAACTTTAGCATTATTAATTTTACATTATTGAGTGCTAGGTTTTCTTATACTAAATTATTTGACTTTGTTTCTACATGAGTTGTTATATGCATTTCAGGTTGATTCTTTTGAGGCTCATTGTTCAAGCTTTGTTTGGATATTTATACATTACCCTTTACCCCAGTGATAGTTTGCCCCACTCCTATGTCCAGTACTTTTCAGGTCTTTATTCAATAGGCTATGTATTCAACAAGATCTCTTCACTCTGCCTGGTAAGAACATGAATGGTTCCTGGCCCTTTTGAGTTCAGGGAATTGTTTGGCTTACAGCTCCTAGGTAATTGTATTTTCCCAAAAGTTTTTCTTTGTACAACTATGCAGAGTTTCACCTTATGCATGCACAGATTAATCTTCAGCTAGTGACTCAAGGAGTCAAGTATACAGATTTCTGTAATCTTTTTCTGCATATTTTCCTCTGTTTTAGCATTGAGCACTGAAAATTATCTACAAACAACCTCCACAAGCTCCAAATTCTGCCTCCTTACATCAACCAGAATGATGGTCTTTGTTTGGTTATATCCAACCACTGCTACAGCTTGAAACCAACTTTATCGAGAAAACCATAGCAATTATAAAGCTTCCCTCATTTGTTTACCTTATCTCAATTATCATAGTCCTGAGCTGCTTGTGATCTGCTGTCTAAAACAATAATTTTATATAGTTGTTTGGATTTTGAATTGTTTGCAGGCATAAAGTAAGTCTTGTTCTTGTTGCTTTTGCTTATCTGGAAGTAGAAGTTCTCTTACATAGTGAAAAAACTCCAAGACACAGTCTGAGCAATGATTTTCAGAATAGAAACCCCAGAACAGAAGAAACAAAAACAACAACATTCAAATGGAATTGCATTAAATTAAAAACATTCTGCAGAGCAAAGGAAACATTCATCAGAGTAAGGAGATAACACAGAATAGGATAAGATATTTGCAAACCATACATTTGATAAGGGGTTAATATATTAAAAAAATAAGGAAGTCAACAGTGTGAAAACAAATAACCACATTAAAAAATGGGCAAAGGACTTGAATAGAAAATTCTCAAAAGAAGACAAATACTGTCTGGCCTGTCTGAGACATACGTGTCTGGCCAAAAAAATAAATATACTTCTTTGGCCAAAAGGTATATAAAAATGCCCAAAATCAAGAACCAGGGTAATGTAAATAATAACCACAATAAAATGTCATCTCACTTCTGTTAGAATGACCATTATTAAAAAGATGAAAGGCAGCAAGTGTTGCCAAGGATATGGAGAAAAAGGAACACTTAGATACTGTTGATGGGAATGTAAATTGTACAGTAATTATGGAAAACAATATTGAGGTTCCTCAAAAAAATTCAAAATAGAACTACAATATGATATAGCAATTCTGCTTCTGGGTATATATCTTAAGAATATGAAACCTGGATGCCCACAATATATCTGTACTCCCATGTTCATTACAGCATTGATCATGATATCTTAGATATCGATTTAACCTAAGTGTTCATGGATAAGTGAAAAGATTTAAAAAATGTGATACACACACACATGAATACACACACACACGTAGAAGGAAATATTATTCAGCCTTAAAATGAAGAAAATTGTATTATTTGCAACAACATGGATAAAGGTGAACAACATGTTATGTAAAATAAGCTAGAAACAGACAGACAAATACTGCATAATCTCATTTATATGTGGAATATAAAAATGGAACTCAGAGAAATAGAGTAGAATCATAGTTTCCAGGGCTGGAGGTGAGGAAGAGAATGGGGCAAAATTGACCAAAGGTTATAAAATTTCAGTTATGCAGGATGAATAAGTTCTTGAGATCTAATATACAACATGCTGAATATAGTTAATAAAACTTTATTGTATAGTTGAATAAAGTAGATGTTGAATTTTCTCAGTATAGAAAAAAATGGGAATTTATGAGGTGATTGGTATGTTAATAAACTTGATTATTGTAACCCTTTTATAGTATATACATATACCAAAACACAATTTACCACCTTTATTTTCTAATTATACCTGTATTAATCTGTTTTCACACTGCTGATTAAGACATACCAGAGACTGGGCAATTTACAAAAGAAAGAAGTTTATTGAACTTACAGTTCCATGTGCCTGGAGAGACCTCACAATCATGGCAGAAGGTGAAAGGCACATCTCACATGATGGCAGACAAGAGAACAGAGCTTGTGCAGGGAAACTCACATTTTTAAAACCATCAGATCTCATGAGACGTATTGACTATCACAAGAACAGCATAGGAAAGACCCGCCCCCAAGATTGAATTACCTCCCACCAGGTTAGATGAGATTTGGATAGGGACAGAGTCAAACCATATTAATATCCCATTAAATCTGGGGGGAGAAAGATCTGAGTGACTCCTCTACATTAAAAAAAAACTTCCTTTGATATAGCACATGAAAGATGAGCCTAAGAAGCCTGAGAAGGTTGAGCACATTGACAAGAGCTTATCCAATGCAATGTAAACAAAAGACCAGCAAAATTGAGAGTAATAATTTAGGCAGTCTCTCTTGGCCACAAACAACTCCATGCTATTGGTATTTTCCTCACCAGAAACCCTTGCTATGCCCTTTAATACTCTGAATTTAACAGCAGAATCTTCAAAATAAAGAATGAATATATTTTTCTTTGCACAGTTACTTAATTTCTTGGAAGTTGACTCAACTTTTCTCTTTTAGTGCTTTACCCTATTAATTTTGACCAAAAACATTGAGAATGTTTACACTGACTATTCCAGTAAAATTACTTGACTCTCGTAATCATTTGTTGAGAAGTTACTACATGCAAGGTAGAAGTCCTCAAAAGTAGAAAGTGAGAGGGAAATTAAAACTAACTTTCAAATAAACAACTTTTTTTTTTTATTGCATTAAGAGCTCAAGAGTTACTGAAAGTCTCTGATGCAACCCAGTATGGGTTCACCAAATTCACCATTTGAAACCTCTCCTTCACTAGCTTTGACACTGCACTGAGACAGGGGAGTTTACTGCCACTTTTTGCTTTAAGCCTTCTCTTTATTTGCTGGATGACTAAAAACTATTATTATGGGGACCCACAGGCTATTAAGGCTATATAGAGATCTAGGTTAGTAATTATGATTATAATAATAATAGTAATAATATTACACTATATATATTAACTTTTTTTGATTTAGTAAAATGGAAGTTTAGACATATAATACCTAAGTAACTGGGGGCTAGTGAGGTACAACATAGATTTTTAATTTCCTGATTTCTCTCAGTTGAGCCTAAACCTATAATACCTCTTAAATTATTTAAATTATGTTTTTTATATATGCCATAATTATTCACTCATTTATTATAAAATGATCACTCAGGAAGACTGCACTGATATAAGTCTACAATACAAACTCTGAAGTCCTCAAGAGAGTTTCTATCTTAACAATGTTTCTTTCTTGGAAAATATGCACTATGGCTGAGAGAAAGTGGGTTTTAAATTATTATTTGTTGAATTAATGAATGCATGTATGAATGAATTAAATGAATTCATAAACATATTTTTATTGTAGATCTATTTTAAAATAAAGAAGGGTCATTTTATCCAACAAACTGAAATATGTTTCTGCTAGATTAAATATAGAAAAGTAATTCCAATAGAAAAATTATGAAGGAATCCTTATCAAATTTCTAGAGTAAAAATTATCTTGAGCTTAAACAAAATATAATTATTTGAGGAAAAGGTAAGTTGATTAGAAAAAACATAATTTTACAGGAAATACATTAAATAATAGAATGAACAAAATACTAGGACAAATTCACATCCAGTGTAATAACAATCCAGTGTCATTGTTAATTAGTTAGTTTACACAAATTGATGTGAAATACGGTAAAACATAAATAGATACATTTTCAAAGAGCATGAATATAAAATTAAAGCAAAAATGCCACCAGCAAGTAAACATGAAAAATTTCCAAGCTGAAATATATAAATTAAAACAATTACATTTTTATCAGTAGCAAAGTTTTAAAGGTAAAAACCTCTTAATATCTAATGCTGGCAAAGATGTGAAGAAAGCTGCAACATTTACAATGCTGTTGGTAGTGTAACTTATAATGCTTTACAAAATCTTTACATTTTGAGCAAAAAAGAAAAGGTATATATTATTTTATTCTCTAATACAACTTATAGATATTTTACTAGAAAATGAATTATAATTTATAATTTATTATAAATGAATTATTTATAATACTTACAATTATGATCCGTTTTAAAGGCACTATAGTTAGGAAGATGACAATGATTACAGAAATTTGGTTACAACCTGAGGAACTATTTTGTGGCTCATTTAGCATAGTGGTAAGAACTTGAAAGCATCAGGTTCTCTTTGTTTGAGTCACAACTGAAACATAACTATCAGTCTGATTTCTATATTTTTAAAAAATTCTGGGCCTCGGTTTATTCATTTATAACATATGGATATATATATTTGTATATGTGTCAATAAATAGATTTGTGTACATGTTTTCCCACATACTTGTGAAAATTCATGGATTGCAAGGTGGGGTCTCTCTGAATTAACTCCCATATTTTGATCTATAAACACCTTCTATGCTTTTACTCTTTACCAGATGCTCAGGATTCAAAGATGTATAAGAGACTGACCTTTTCCTTAAGGGAAAGGCTATCTGAAAGCATACATTCAATGAAGGGGCATATTTCTATCAACAGGATATGGCAGAGGAGGAGGAAGTGAGAGGCCAATTTTATCTTAGATGTTATTACTCTTCTATCAATGTAGAGACTTTATCTTTTTCTTAACCTGTATACAGCTTAATTTTCAAATCCTGTTGAAAAAGAATATCTATTCTTAATTAGTTTAGGAGTTATGGTAGATTATCCTCTGAAAGATTAATTACATGCTTTCCAGTGAAGTATTATAAACCATAAGTTTAAAGTTGGACCAGATGCATTTCAGCCCTGAAAACTCATTAACCATCTGACCATGTTGCACATATGGTAACAAAGTGAAGAATGTATCCAGTCAAACACACATAAACACTTCTTCATCATTATAGGACAACCATGTCTTAAAGTATGCCAGTAATCTTTCTATTTCTGATACCTATGAATATCAGAGAAATTAGTGAAGGGGAGATTTTAAATGAATTTATAAACCCACACTGAGTATACAGAAGTCAGGACTGTGGTCCTTAGTCTGCTTTTTTTTTTTTTTTTTTTTTTTGGCCAAAGTCAGCATTTATCTCTCTTAATCTCAAGCTTAAAATACACTTGGGTTGAAAATGCGAAACTCCATGTTGAAAATGGACCTTTTCTCTCTTGGGGATAGCAACTGCAATGATTTTATTGGCTCAAATGTTGCATTATGCCCAATCTTCCTATGAGTTTATCCGAGAGAAACTTCCCTCTCTTCTTCCTTATGCAGGTGTCAAGCTTGAGGCATATCCCAAATCTCCTTCACAACTTCTGTTCACAGTACAGTACAACAACTGTCAAAGTAAACATTTTGTGCAGCTCTTCTCTCGATCAAAAGATGGCAGCCAGCCTCAGCAGCCCAAACCCTTTCATAGATGAGATGGTTTCAAAGAGGAATATTTGACAGTTCCATGTATACAGCCAGAATATGTCTGTCTATATTTGCAACCATGAAACTGGTATTTAAAAGATGCGTAGTGTTTTCAGGGGGAGGCTCTCAATCCATCAGATTGGTGCTATTGTTATTAATATACTAGTCAAAATAGTTTACTTCTGTGTTGTTGCTCTTTCTGTTTTTCTTTTTAATATTTTTGGTAAATGCCTCAGTTTGATAGGCATTTCCATATGCATACGAGACACTGTACTAAATGTTAAGTAATGTTATGTACCAACTACCAGTTATGAAGTAATTAAATAAAAATGAAAGAAAGAAAAAGTAAAGTTCGAAGAAAATTAAAAACCAAACCACAGTAAGTTAAGGACCTTAACACATTGAATGGTTTTCCAATGGCATTTAGCTTTACACGAGATTGCTGTGTATTTTAATTAAACTTATTAATAAATAAAAGTTGGCAAAAAGAAAACACTCTATTCATCACTTTCTTTGAATGTGGCCAGTCCTTTTAAATTCCTTAACAATAACCAGAATAGCTTTCAAATTTTATATTGCTGTAATACATCCATATTGGCAAAGCAAGGCAGTATCTTATGATTCTTGAAAATGTTGCCATTTTGTCGCTGAATTTTTAGTTTAAAAAAAAGTGGATGGTGTCTTCTGATTTGAGTAGACAGTTTTGCATGTGTTTACAGGTACAGATGGACCTACAACAATGGTCAGGATCTGTTAAGCAAATAAGTTATTATTTTTCTCTCTATGAATATGAATAAATAAGTGGCAATTTGACTTATTATTTCTCCTACTTTTGAAATGTAATGAATAGGGCTGATGGCAATTACCAAATTTCTAAATATAAACACTAAATTGCTTGCATAATTTTAAAAACAACCTGAGTTATTATCTTCTTTTTCAATGGATATTTTTAGAATAATTTGTATTTATTTGCTGATTGTGGGTATTTATTTTCATGCAAGAACTTGACAAAGTATGTGAACAAACTTATCAAAATAAAATGATTGAGAGAAAAGAGACAATATAGTGTGACATAAAATGCACGGGGAAAATTTAGAAACTTTTATTCTTTAAATATATCATTACTAATTTTCCTATATATTCATCTTTACTATTATCTTTTTTTAAAGCTAGTAATGAAAGGTTGAAGTTTACCAGAGATTTAGACTGAAGGAAAAACAGTAATAAGGATTGGGTAAGCATGTAACGTAATTTAATTTAATCATTTAATGTCAAGAACATTTTGAATAGATGTTATCTTCATGTTATAAACAACATATTTAAAGTATCACACTGATAAGCTTGATTGTACAGGTGATGAATGAAACTCTTTTCTGCAGAGGTAGTACATCTTTAATTAAACAGAGAAAGAAGAAAGAACAAGATTATAGAAGTAAATAAGTAACTACTAAGGAAAGGAAATCTTTCTGACTCAAATTATACTTAGATTGCACAGAAGAGACAAGGTCCACAATTTGATGTTTCTATTTTAAATTTTGGAATACAAGTTCAAATATCTTTGCTGATTCAATAATGTTTATTTTTACCTCTGCCTCATTCTTAAGTAATGTTATGTACCAACTACCAATTATGAAGTAATTAAATAAAAATGAAAGAAAGAAAAAGTAAAGTTAGAAGAAAATTAAAAACCAAACCACAGTAAGTTAAGGACCTTAACACGTTGAATGGTTTTCCAATGGCATTTAGCTTGAGGGCTGCAAATCGGACCACAGGCATCTTTGTGGCCAATGTAAAGTGAAACATAATCATTTGTTTTATTCCCAGTACCAAAAATGTTTGTAAAGAAATCAGAACAGTTGCTCAGCACAATAATTTTTTTAAGAGACAGAAGCTGTGGATAAACGAAGTAAAAAAATAAATCCACTAATAAAATTTCATAAAACACTGCAAATTCTGTTGGCAAGGATGGATATTCTTAACACTTTAATGCAATGATTTGCTTGGGAGGAATGAAACAAGTATGCAAAATTTAGTAAAAGAAAACAAAATATCTTCTAAAAGTTTTGACCAGGAATCTTGACTACTGTTTATTATATGATTTCAGCTCTGTAAAACATTATAAATTGGGTAGCTTAGTTATACATAATATAAATTAAAGTACCTTAAAATGCATTTGAATTAAATACAATTTCAACAAAAAATGTCCATCTTGTATTTTAAGATGTTAGCATATTAGTCTCCATATTAATGTAGAATTTATATTGGGAGGTAAAAACACCATTTAATAGGCTACATGCATGCATGCATGCACAAACATATGCAATGGAATATAATTCAACCTTAAAATAGAAGGAAACTCTGTTACATGCTATAACATAGATGAACCTTTATATAGGGTATGAAGACATTATACTAAGTGAAACTAGCCTGTTGCAAAATAACAACTACTGTATGATTCCACTTATATAAGATATATAAAGTAGACAATTTCAGAGAAACAAAAAGTAAAATGGTTGTTAGCAGGGGATAGGGTGAGGAGAAAATGGGGTGTTGTTTAAATGATATAGAGTTTCAGTTTTGCAAAGTGAAAAAAGTTCTGGAGATCTGTGAATATACTTAACACTACTGAACTATACACATTAAAATAGTTAAGGTGGTAAATTTAATGTTAGGTGTTTTTTACCAAAATAAAAAAAAGAAAAAAGGCAAACAGATGTGCCTTTTAAGAAGTTAAAGAGAAACTTGCATTATATTATTGGAAGTAGGGCATACTATATAACATCAAATGGCCTGCTTATATTATCTCAATGGCTTGACTTTCCAGAAATAGTAGACTCATTCTTTTGGCAGTCTTCATGAAACACTCTATCTTTTGCTAACATTATTTTAACTCATTTGAGTTGAATTCCAGTGATTGAGGAAATGTTACTATATGGATTTTGTCATTTAAATATTTCAGCCTGGTTACCACCTGTTCATTGTAAACTTCTTGCTACAATTAGCAATGTCATCTTAACTTTTCTATTTCAGTCTTATTCATAATGGTAAACATGCACACTTGGGGCTATAGGATTGTAAGAATAATTAAAGAAAGAAAATTGGTAATAGCCTGATTTGATATAACTGGTATTTTGTGAGAAATTTTTAAAAAGATGTTCTTCATTAAAAACCACTGTTTGAATTTCAGATTTTATAAGAAATCCCAGTATACTTGATGTAGCTAAGAACAATAAGTTAGCTTTCTGCTTCATTATTACACACTGTACTATGTTAGTAATATCTTTATTAGTTATTTCAAAGAAATCTTTTATGAAAAATGATATTTAGAAGAAGTGCTAATATGTTTTAAACAATATCATATATTCAACATTCATTTTTGTTTTTCTATTATGAAAGTTTAAATTGATTTAATTATACTAAAGTATTAATGGCTTAGTAACATTGTGAATATATATTTATTTAACTAGTTTCGTTTCTGTGTTTCTGAATCCTCTCATTTCTTTAAAACCCAATTCCATTTATTTGCACAAAATGTACTTATCTTCTTATGTTTAACAGTTTTGTCTTTTTAAAAAATAATTCATTTGTAAACCTATCCTTGTTTTTAAATAATTTATTTTTATGGGTGATTTCAATGCCCTTCTTGATAAAAGTAAATATCTCACATTAATCATAGGCAATGCTTCTCTAGTTTATACCTTCTTACCTGATCAGTTTAACCTATTTTCAGGAATGAAACTGTCAGTTTGGGATTATCCTTTATATATTGTTAATTGCTTTCAAAAATTTATGATTGTCTAGTGTCCCCAAGCTTATTAATTTCCTTTTGCTACCAAAATGGTTTCACGTCTGGATCGTTACCCTTAGCTAAGCAGTTATTCTTCTGTATTTTTTTTCATATTGCAAAATAGGCAAACAATATTAAATTTCATTCTCCAAGTATGTTCATTATAGCTTAAGAAGTTCACTTTGGATACCTTTGGCATTTACAAAATAGTGTAATTTTCCAATAGACCACTCAAATTACTTGATGAATTGTTGCAATTTTTTCCTAATATGGGGGTAAGTAATTACTTGCATAAAGGGTAAAAATGTATTTCTTCTCACCATACATCTGTTTCAAGACAGATGATTTAAACTTTTCCCAATATCATCACTACTTAGCCATTTTACAAGCTGCATTAAATTCTCTAGGTATATATTTCCATCAATACAATACTATAGATTTACCACATTACTAATTACTCTGTTTAAAAAGTAAATTCTTCATCATTTGATTTGAATTTTAATGGCTTTTTAACCATAACTTCAGTTGGAATAGAGATATCTACAATGTAATTTTCTACAAGAAAAACAAAAATTAAACTAAGAAAATTTAGCAACAGATGCTTCAGAAATGTCTTCACTTGGGGATACATATGTTTGCTTTATGAATCTTGTGAGGCTTGAAAATACAACTTTCAAAAATCTTGCAGCCTGGAAATGTCATAGCACAAAGAAAGCGCCCAAACAAAAGTAATACAGGCAGTGGTCATTAAAGTTATTTCCCCAGTGATACCCTGAATTAATGGTGCAGCATCTACACAAGTGAGTTCCCATTTCTTTCTCTTGTCATTTAAGCTCTTTCCTCATTTACATTTTGCATCTTTTTTATATGGCATTTTTCTTTTTAAATTGTCTTTATAAACTCTGTCTTGCCATTTTTCTTGCCTGTTTCAACTATTCCATATTTATTCTTCAATTTGCAAACTATTCTTTCTTCAGAATAAAAAAAATAAAGAAATTCAAAATAGATTTCAGGATTCTCAGGTAAAATTTCTTGTCTGTTCACTAATGTGGAAGTCCTCAATAATGTAAGGATATATGAAGAAAATTTCTAGCTTCAGTTGCACTAATGGAAACTAGCTCCTGCAAAATGGTAGTTTAAGAATTGACTACACAGCAGTTACGTGTTAGTCAAACCCATCTGCAAATAAATATAATATGTAAATATAATATTATATATATATAATTTGCCTTTTGGTTTCTGTTTAGATGTCTTTTCTCATATACGTAAACATACTTACTTTAGATAATTCCTTTTTTAAAATCCTGATAATGCCATGAAAACACTGTATGTAAAAATGCATTTAAAATTGAGTAAAGGTCAGGGTTCTGTCTTGATGGTGCTTGTCAGGCACTAAATAAATATTAGTAGATTAATTAATCAGTCATACAAAAATAACAAATTGACTCACACAATTCCCTAAACATATAAAACCAAATTAACTAGACAATTCTGTTAAAATGGACTAATACATAACTGCTGTGTAGTCAGTATAAATCAATGATGGGCAATGGGCTGTCTACTGGCCACCTGCCTCCTATCTAGATGCTGGACTCTATAATGTGATTTCAAATAGGAATTTTCTCAGTTTATAAAAGAGAAGGAAAAGGAATTAAGTGAAAAACTGAGATAACTTTAGACAAAGAAGGAAAAAAAATGCTTTCTACAACCACTTCTGATTAGAAGAGGAGTCCTTTAAGAATATTCTAACTCAGCCAAAGAGGTCCAGCCAGGTGAGAAGTTAAACAGTGTAGGAGGTTGGGAAATGACCAGGAGAATTAACCCTGAAAGAAATAATACCAAATCCCTTTAGTCCCAGTTCATCTAAACCAAACATTGATGCCTGAAGCTGTTTTTTGAAAATGGGGGTGACAGCCTTTCCCTGGCTTGTACAATTTGTCCTTGTTTCCCCCAAACAACAATTATTCCACAATCATAAGAAAGGAAGGTTCATCAAAAAGAAGGTCTACTTTGGTCTTTTCATTATTTTTTGTTTCAAAAATAAAGCTTGTCATAGGATAAGCACTCAGAAAATGGGTTATGGTTAGAAATTAATACATTCTAGCCACAGATGTGATAATAATAGCTGGGTGACTCTCATTAAGTTACTTAATCTGTCTGAATATATCTCTCTACCTATAAAGTGGGAATAATAATGCCCATCTCTCAGTGTTTCATGGATGCCAATGAATAAAGGTGAATACATTCCATGAACTCTTAAGGAATGTGGAAACAAAGGTCTGAAAAATAGCAAAGCTTTCTCCATGCCAAATGTGCCCACACATTTGTATTTTTTGTGTGTTTTATGCCACTTTATTGAGGAATAATTAACATATAATGTATTGCACGTGAAGTTTGATAAATCTTGACATGAATATGCACGTAGAACATCACCACTATAAGAATAATGAACATATCCATCACTCTCAAATGTTTTCTTGCACTTCTCCTCCCTCCTTCCCGCCACTTCTTCCTCTAAACACTGACTTGCACTATTTCTATAAATTACTTTCCATTTTCTAGAATTCTATATAAATGACATCTTATAGTGTGTGCTCTTTTTTTTCTAATTTCTTTCACTTGTCATATTCAGCCATGCTTTGACATGTATCAGTAGTTCATTACATTTTATTGCTGATCATATTCCATTTTATGCATATGTCATAATTGGTTTATAAATTTAAATGACAATGTGTATGGTTTCAATGATTTAAGTAATCCAAAATAAAGGCAAAGGAAGAAGCAGATACTACAGATAATACTCTCTCTAGGGTATGGATTTTTTCTGTCACTCATGTTTGCAGTATGCTGAGAACTAGTTACTGTCACCTAAAGTGCCTCATTTCTCTTCCATTTAGTCTCTCTTCCTCCAACAGGCTAGTGTGGGCATGTTTACATGGCAGTGGTGACATTCGCAACTCACCAAAGAAATAAAACAGAAAATATATGCTATTTGAGGCCCTGACTTTGAAGAAAGGAAAATATAGATAAAAGCATTTCTTCAGTTGTACATCTCTGAATCGATATTTGAACACATTATTTCCACTTTTATAATAAAGTAAATTTAATATTGAAGAGTGACATATATATGATATAAAAAGTGACAAATTTTAATTGTATACCTTGATGAATATTTACAAAGCAAACATATCTGTTTAAACATCATCCAGATCATGAAATAGATCACTTCCAGCCTCAAGGATAATATTTGAATCAGTGACCATCCCAACAAAGTAACTGCTTTCGATTTTTAACAACATAGTTTTATCAATTTTTGAACTGTATATACATGACATCTTGCAGTATATATTCTTTCTGCTCTGGATACCTTCAATCAATATTAGTTTGAGGGAGTCACTATGTTATTAAGGTAGTATAAAAATAAACAATATGTATTTATATTTTTAGAGTTTGGGGCTATTACAAATAAGGTTGATACAATATTTTCCACATATTTTGGACATGTGTGTACAAATTTCTGTTGGATATGTACTTGAGAGTATAGGATATGTATACTACAAAATTGTTTCCAAAGCAATTGTACAATTTGTGCCATCAACATTTGTTATTACCTAAAAAAAAAAAAAAAAAAAAAGACGAAGAAAAAACATTGTAGCAATACTTAATTGTGTAGCATGTCTTTTCATTGCGGCTTTTTTTTTTTTTTTCTTTTGAGACAGTATCTCGCTCTGTCGCCCAGGCTGGAGTGCAGTGGCTCGATCTAGGCTCACTGCAACCTCCGCCTCCCGGGTTCAAGAGATTCTCCTGCCTCAGCTTCCTGAGTTGCTGGGATTACAGACGTGCACCACCACGACCGGCTAATTTTTGTATTTTTCAGTAGAGACAGGATTCGCCATGTTGGCCAGGCTGGTCTGGGACTCCTGACCTTAAGTGATCTGCCTCCCTTGGCCTCCCAAAGTGCTGAGATTACAGGCATAAGCCACCCCGCGGGGCCTCATTCTGGCTTTAATTTGTATTTTCCCGGTGATCTGAGCAACTTTTCATATGTTTATTGCAATTTTGATATTCTCTTAAGAGCACTGTTAGACTTCTGCATATTTTTTTTGTGGTCTGATGTCTGTCTTTTTATTATTGATTTGTGGAAGCTATTTAGGTAAACTGGATATGACCATTCTCTTTCAGATAACTCTGATGAAAATAATTTGTCTTACATAGAGGTTTGCCTGTCCAGTATATTTCTGGTGTTTTTCGTTAAAGAGAAATTATTATATTTATTGAAGAACTATTTACCAATATTTTCTTATATGTTTATTGCTTTGGATGTCTGGTTTAAAAAATATTTGCATAACCTCAAAGTTATGAATATATCTTCCTATAGGACTCTTCAGGACTCTTTATTATAATTTTCAAATATCTACATTTTGCATGGATTTGAATTGTGTATGTGGTGTCAAGTATGAGTTGTTATTTTTCTATATAACTATCCAATCTCAATTGTATATATATATATGTAGACATATAATATTTTAATATTCTTGCACTAATACTACATTATCTTAATTACTATATTTTTAAAATATAATTTTTTATAGGGTGGTAAAAGTTCTTTACATTTTTCATTACATTTCTTTCTACGAATTAGACAGTTTGAGTATGGTAAAATGTTTTAAAATATAATTTTCTAATTATTTGTTGCTTTGAAATGTAGAAATAAAGTTTATATATTACCATTGTATATAGCAACCTTGCAAAATTTACCTATTAATTGTTAGTTTCACTGTATGTATTTTAGATGATCTATATTCACAATTGAATCATCTATAAATAATAATCTTCTTAAATAATTATTTTCCTTTTCAATGCTGATACATTTTACTTCTTTTTCTGATTTATTATGTAGGTTACAACATCCAATATAGTGTTTAATCTGTCTAGTGACAGTGGCCATCCTTCTTTCATTCCCAGATTAAAGGGAAATGTTTTCAACATTTCATTATTAAGTATAGTGCTTGCCACATTTTGGGGGATAAACATGCTTCACATCATTTAGGAAACTTTCTTAAGTTTCTACTCCCTAAAAATAAATTGGTATTGAATTTCATCAAATTTTTCATCTCTATGTATTGTTTCTTCTTGCTTTCCCTAAATTATGTAGTTAATTATATTGATGGAATTTCAAACTTTAACTTATTGTGGTATTTATTGAAATATCATATCATGCCCTTTTCCTTTTAATTTTTTATTTGATTTGGAGTACACAAAATTTTTTTTTTTTTGCATATTCATGTGAGAGATGGACTTGTGATTTCACTTTCTTGTTTTCCCCTTGTTGGATTTTGCCATAAATATTATGCATGCCTTATAAAATAAATATTGATACATTTCATTATAAATGAAAATAAATGTTGGTACATTTCATAAACATGATAAAATAAAAATAATATTTGTAGTTTTCATCACCAATCTCATCAGAAGGTAAGTATTGGGGAGCTATCAAGTTAATGGTATTAGAGATAAGTTTTCAATAATTCTAATTTTTTCTTGAGAGTTCAAATTTTATGATTGGCAGCAAGCACTCCTAACTGTTTTGTTTCTAGTGATAAGTTCACTTGATTTATTCATAAGAAAATATCTGCCATACACCAGGTTTGAATTTCCATATTTCTTTGTCAGTCATTCTTTTAAGTAAAAAGTAATGCTTCATGTAAAAAATAGTTCAGTTCGCAACCCAAATAATTGCATATGTGCTTTTCTTTGAGATAACCATCATATTTTGGAGTTTTAGAGTTCAGTATTGGAATTCATATTTAGCATTATGTGGGTTTCCCATTCAGTACACAGGATAGTAATGATGTCTACTCAAGGGCATTCTTAAGTGAAACTGTTTCTGTTTGTTTATTTACCTTTGAGTATATGAATATAATGACTACTGATATCACTTAGTGCTACTGACTTGATTAAGGCTAAAATATCACTTAGTGCCACTGACTTGATTCAGGCTAAAATGCCGCTGTTTCATCCATCATTACTTTTGCACAGAATAAATGTTAATTCAGTGAAAATGATAAATAATGTCTTATATTTAGGAAAATAGTTTTGATTCTGTGGACCCCTAGAAGGCTCTCAGGGATTCCCAGGGGTTCATGGGCCATACTTTGAAAATGATTGTCACAGAGTTTAGAGTTTACAAAATTCATATTTGATCTACTAGAGTCAACTATCAATTAGAGCTTTTACCAAATCCCATAAAAATGCAAGGACTTTAGAATACTTTGATTCCATTTACCATCTCTAATGCCTTGTATGTTATTATTGTCATATATCTAAATATATATCTATTATCAAAACCTATAGGAGACTATTATTGCTTTGTACAATCAATATTTATGTGGCTTTATCCTCAAGTTTACCATTTCCATTGCTCTTTATTTTTTGGCGTGTATTTGTATCTGTATCTGGAATCATTTTTCTTTTGCCTGAAAAATGTCCTTTAGAAGTTACGTCTGCATGAGCTCCAAAGAATGAAATTTTTCTTTTCATATTGTTGATTACATCTTTATTTTGCCTTTATTTTTGTAGAATATGTTCACTGAAGGTAGAATTTTAGGTTATAATTTATTATTGTTGTTGTTTTATTATTTTTCATATTTCATATGTGCCATTCCATTGTCTTCTCTTTTCTACTGTTTCTCAGTCTTACCTGGACATTGCTCCTATTGTCTTCAAAGACCTGTTTTGTTTGTTAGGCTTATATTTTGTCCAGTTTTTCTACTGTTCTTGGCAAGGCTTTTTTTCATACAAGATTCTCCATCATGACTGGGAGTAGAATTCTCTTCTAATTAATTTTTAATCATAAAGTAAAATAATGGAAGAAAGGTTGTATCTAATTCTAATTGCATTTAATTATTTTAAGTATTCAGGTACTTCAATATTTGTTTAACCTTGATACCTAGAAGATTTGAGAGAAAAAAAGTGGGCTACATTTAATCTATACACACACTGCTTCCTGTGGGTTCTAAGGTAGAAAGCTAAAATTTGTCTTTATGTCAGACTCGTGTACTTTGGAATGAATCATTTTGATAAACCCTCTTAGTCATGAATATGTAAGCCAAGTACCTTCACATTGTTTTGGCAGAAGGCCCAAATATTTGTTGAGTAATAAAAATGCCAATTCTTTAAGAGGTTGATAAGTATTTTCTTTATAGTGTGAAAGATTATACCAGTTGAATAGTGTGAAATGGGCATCTCATCAAAGGGACTGTTTGTATATTAAGAAGGAATCTTCAGCATCCTGTGGAAAGAAGTCTGAGGAAAGAGAGAAAAGTGCGGAACTGAAAATAGAGGGGCTCATGGAACAAAAGGAATAGCATAGCAAGGCAAAGGAAAAGAGGGGAATCACCAATAAGGGCCTCTCCAATGTAAGAGGAAAAAACAATGAACTACAGGAAAAGGGAAGAGTGATAAACAATTTTCATTATTCCATTTTTTAAATTTTAATTTTCTTTTGCCTAATAAAATTCTCTGAAGGAACTATAGTGTTGATCTCCAGAGCATCTACTCGATGCAGACATTTGAAGTGGCACAGAGGAGCAAAGATGATGCCACTGGATGTTGACTGGGAGGGGCAGTTTGCAGCCAGAGATAAATAAATGAATAAATACATAAATAAATAAATAAAAATCAAGGAGTGTCTGCCTTTCCCAGTGATTCTCCAATTACTTGAGAAAGTCACTGGACTTATTATGCTATTTCTATAGTGGACTTGTTATTTTATTTTGATACAAAAAGAAAAAAGTAATTTCATAAAGACAGAAAATGTGGGCATACTTCAGTTCCAATATCTATAAAATAAGGAGCAAATTAACTCATTTATGTAGAAAAAGCCTTCATAGGGGGACATTTTATACTTAAAGAATGAAGAAAAGCAATCTACACTTATAACTAAAATACTAAAATATGCAATCACATAATGAATAGTAAATATGTCTAAATTAAACTCAATATTTGTTTGTTTCCATTTTTAGAATTAGCTACTATAAATCTTTGATGACATGCTGTAACTATGAGCAAAGTATTTCCTACTGATAAGAAATTCCAGCCTTTAACCCAGAGAGTTGCCTAGAATGAACAGGCCTCTGGTTACAGCTTCTAATATATAAGTTAAGTAGATTTTTAGTTATGCTCTTTTCTGTGGAACCACAGAATGGCCAATCTCTAAAACTTGAAAACTTCAAAGCATTGTTGGAAATTGATTTATAGTGTAAAACTCTACATACTATTTGGAGGGAAGGTAAGTTTTCTTCTCTTTCATTCATTCTTCCTAAAAATGTCTGCAAATGTAAAAGGGAATTTTTGCGATTTGCAGAAATAGGGTGAAACAAACCTGTATGCATATTACACAAAATCACTGAGAAAAGCATGAAAAAAAAGCAGTCAACCAACTAGTTGTTTCAATCCTACATATACCATTTTCTAACTATTTGGGTAAAATGTTTAATAAATGAACTAAAAAAACAGTTTTATGGCTTAGTGTCAAAACAGCATTATTTTATTCATGTAATTATTCTGATTTTAAATAGAGATTCCTACCATTCCTTTTCTCCTTCTCTTTCACTCTGTCTCTTCCCTCCAACAAATCTGTATTTGACATATGCATACATGTCATACTGACATTAATCCAAATGTACTTATTTGTATATCTACATTTGATATTGATAAGTATACATACACAGACAGGTATACATATAACAAATACATAAAATGTCTATAGGTCTCATATTTTTATAGTATTATTTTCAGTTCCCAGCACACATTCAATTCAATAGACTTATTAACCAACCATTAGAAATGTGTTACGATATTGAAGCAGCCATGGCCTGTGTTCCATGTCAGTTGTGTTGGCTTAGGCTGACACATAGCTACGAGACATGATGGATCAAAGTAATTAAAGTTCCAATCATTTACCTTTCTATGTTCAATGTCAGCTCAACTAGCCCTCACCGTGGGTTCCTAATACGTTAATATTGCCAGATGTGTGCGTGTGCACAAATGCATGTGTGTATGTGCTTGTGAATAATACAGAAGTGTGATTACTTTTTCTGTTTTGAAAGAATTTGTCAGCATTTTCATTTTAAAATTTGCTTATGTATTATTAAACTTTTACAACATTAAGTTAAAAAACCTTAGCTTTCAATGCATTTACATTTATTCAAATCTGGGACTATCTTTGCCTTGATATGTTAGGTAAGAATCATTAGTAGGTAGAAGTTATGTTTATATATAGAATTATAGAAGTTGTAAGAAAGTTTGCATGGTCCTCCTATCAATTCTTCTGCACTAAACCAGATAAATATGAATCAATCTATGAAAGTTGGTAATATAATCAACTACTTACAGATTTCTCACGTGAAGACATTGCTTACAATTTGTTTGTATCTCTGAGAGCCAGCTTTTCTAAATCAAGAAAAGAGACATAAAATAATTGGCTAAGATTAAAATTTGAGTTTCCAGCAGAAGTTCACTCTATTTGCATGATGTTCAATTTTGAACAGCAGCAAAGTTGATAGACTCCAGGCAACATTTCTTATTACTCTTTAATAGTTTTTGTTTTCTAGAGGCTAACAACTAAGACTATAGCCAGATATACATTTTAATGGTACAATCAACACCGCATCAATATTTACCATGGGAATCTATTCAGTGACACCTATTAATAATCTCCACTCCCACTCCTTGGTTTTACACCTTGGCTTTATTTTGTTTGATCTTGCCCTAACACTTTTAATTTGCCATACTAAAATGATTATTTTTAACTTCTTGGTAATAAAACTCTTTAAATGTTTAGATGTCAGTTGACAAAGGTCTTCATATTTATTCCTCTTAATTATTTTAATTTATCTTTTTCAATTTGTTTGTTTAGTTGCAGCTTAGGTGCAAGTGAACCATACTTATAAAATATTTGCTAAAAAAAGAGCCCAAGTATTTTTCAATATGAAAAAAAATTAGATCTATGTTATCATATAACTATTATTCGGGAACAATATTAGATCAGTGGGATTACTATCTTTACTAACTGGATCAGTTAAAGTATTAGATCCTTATCAGATTTATGGAAATAATAATGCAGTCATTGTCAGTATTTGATTAATGTCATGCATTAATTGCTTTTTGTTGATAGATGGCTTTAGGATAATATATTTGTTCCAAGTTTCCTACATGAAACATTCTTTTGATCCTAAAAGTTATCCTGTTAGGATCTCCTAGCCTCTGGCATTCAGTTGCTGAAAGCAACATGTTCATTTAGCTGTGGATGCTGCAACACTTTGATGCAGTGTTCAGTCAGCACAACTTTGAGTCACGTGATAAATTAATAACGCAGAATTCTTTTCATAGAGCTGTCTTGCCTTTTTAAGTCAGTGAAAGATTACCACATGCATTACTTTTGTGCCTTTTTAAAACAGAATTCACAACAAATTGCCTGGCCTTTTAGTTAGGCTGACCTTTCTGGCCCATGAATGCCAGCTCTAAAAGCTAGCTGGAGTAGTTAGCCTGTATTTGTTGGACTTTCCATAAAGCAATTGAGCATAGAGAAAAAAAATGGAGAATTGATAAATGGCATATATGTGTGTGTGTGTGTGTGTGTGTGTGTACATATATTATCTATTTCACTTTGCAAAGGATACGTATAAAACAAAATTAAGACTATTATCTATATTCACCATTATTTAAAAAATCAAAGACATTTTAACAAAAAATGTGTAACAGGCCTAATTTAAAATTAAGAAACAGACTTTCTGAAATTGCAATTGGCAAACTTACCCAACAATACGTTTTAGAATTTTTATATTTTAAAATATAAAGGCCAATAATACCATATTGGTCTGGGTACAAATTTAACAGCATGCAAATCTGTATTTGAGAAAATAACAACAGGATATGAGTTTCAGTTTAGCTCTTCATTTTTTTTTATTCTTAAACACTAAAACAAACTCCCCTCTCTGTGGCCCCATTATCTCATTTTTAACCCCTGCAAAATAGAGAATGAAAAGTAAAAGTGTGCAATAATGTATAGTAAAGTTAAATTTGACTATGATGTAGGAAATTGAGGCCAATTTTAAAAATTAAAATTTTAACCAAGTTACAAATACGTCAACAACTAATACTGAGTATCAATAGTCTTCTTTGTGATCTCTTTTTCGTGTTAGGTTGTTATGAAATAATTAGCAATATCAAACATAACATCAGAAACTAATCTGAGAAATGGTCCCAGATGACTGTTATGGGCATTCGCTGTATCCTGGGAGTGCTTCAATTCTTCCAAAAATCCAGTATATATTTATTGGAAGCAAAATGACATTTATTTAGAAATTGAGCACAGCATTTGCATTTCTCATTTTAAAGTATAAATTCCTATACATCTAACATTCATTGTTTCTGCCAACTTGGACCAATATATTTTATTTGCTAGATTTTAATACTATTTTTGGGACTAAATCTGCTTAAACATAACTAAAAGCATTGGTTCTTAACCTTTTTTTTTCCCTGAGCACAGACAACACTGCGTATCTGATCACGTTTTTAACCTTTCAAAAATAAATACGATCTAAAATTGGACATTAAATACCAAGGTTTTTATCAATCCATTATAACTCACTGAAGGATCCTATGTTAAATACCTGTAACATAAGAAATGTATTAACTACTTAAAGTGCTTTTTGGTATTTTTACTTTCAATAGGATTAAATAAAAAAGAGATCCCAAATAAACATTTTATGCCATAGTTAGTAGTGTGTCTTTTATATCAAGAATATAAAAAATTTTCGGGGAAAACTGACATGTATTATACAATGAATTTTTTAGAACTAAGAAGCACAAGATAAATTCTGGAATGATAAAGATGAACATTGTTTTTTCTCACATATGATTTTATACTTTGCTCAATTTACGAAGTATGCATGCATTTACATATGAATGTACACATGAATGTATATATGCTTTAGAATAATCTGTTTACTTTAATAACTAATTTGAAGTCATAGCCTCACATTAAACCTGGTTATGTTAAGGAGTATCACCTATACTAACTTTTTTTTACTCTCTGTTTTTAATCTAGGAAAATGTTGAGGTTCTAAAAATCTGATAGGTTTTGCTGAGACTGATTTCTAAATTTAGATATCAGAGCTTTTGTTATGTATATAATTCATAACCATCTCTTCCATAAAATAACAATTTGCATCCCACTTTAAAATGCAGCTACCGCTCTATATATCTGATTTTAAATATTATCTTTTAAACTTCTGGAAAAAAGATATGATGTATTTTTAAATCATTTTCTATGTGGTGAGAAGTACAAACTCTCTGACCTTTCACCTCATATTTCTTCACACACACACACAGAGCTTCCAAAATTCTAACATTTCTATGGTAATTTCTGTTGAACAATTTTAGCAGGCACATGTTAATAAGGTATTAAATACAGCAGAGTGTTGGTGATATTTGGAGAAGGCAACTATTTTAGGCTCTTGAGGCCAGAGGGGGAAGGTACCAGAAGAGTATGCACATATATCTCAAATCTGTAGAAATACGTGTTGGAGAACTTCAGGCTTCAGCCAACCACGAGACTGGGAAATTGGAGATTTGAAACACTGATATTTAGCTCTCTTGGGCAAACAGGTCCTATCTGACTTGTGAGTTAAAGGAGATATGTTTCATCTTTGACATATTTTTTAATGCAATGAATCAGTTATTGAGCGATGGACATTCTGCACTACCTCCTAGTGTCTTAGTGTTTCATGACACTAAGACATCTGCCTTAATGTTAGAAATATAACAAATATAAGGCAGTCGTGAAGGAGTATCTGCATAAGTCAAATTTTTTTCAATGTTTACAAAATTATCTGTATGTATCAAAGAAACATTTTATTATATCTGCATTATAAACTCAATCTTTAAAATATTTACAGGACATTGGCAAAGTATTTAAATAAATCTATATCATTTTAGATCCTTATATTTTTATTTTATTTTCTCTATGTTCTTAGGGGTCCAAATATTATTATGTGCGTGGACAATTAATCCTTTGCTTTTTTAAAATAATAGGTAGTTGAAAAATTACAAACTCAATGTTTTACTTATGCTATTATACTGCCCAAATTCTTTCATGCTGCAAAAGAAAGGCCACACTTTGGAAAATGTCCCTATGTAAATGAACCTGTGAAAATATGGCATCTTTCTGTGTATGCACAAATAACATATTAATTGTCAGATTTTTTTTCTAATTTCATGTAGAGAAAATTCAATATTATACTTAAATATAACATAAATTTAAAATAGATTCCAATATGTTATGTACTCTTATATACTTCTAACATATGTCACTCAATATTCACATGGTGGATAAAGAGTGCTTCTTACAGTAATTTCTCATCTCAAGCATGTCAAAATCTATAAAAGGGATAACGTTAACAAAATTATACCTAACACTACTGAACAGAAAGGTGCAGGTAGCATCGTGAGCCATCTGGAACTCCCAATGGATATCTATAGACACTTCCCAACATGAACACGAGAAAGACACTCCTTCCCTCTATGGGCAACAGAAAACATCTGTTTAGTTTTCTTGAAATGCTGCCAAGTATACATTAGAGCAGGTAGCATCAGGTTAAACTGTGTAACCAAAAGCAAGCACTAATGGCATTTAATATATACACACTTTTTAATGACTGTGATGCTTTATGTCAAAAAAACTTTTAAATATTTTTTTTAAAACACTGGAATTATCAGCATTTTGAATGACTTGGGAGAAAAAGTGCATTCATTTTTAGAAAGTTTTCACTAGTAAATACAATTCTTCTTAATTAGATATCCCAGCTTTTATACTTTTATTTCTTTATTTCTTCTGTTTTGAACATTTCAAACTTTTTAAAAATTAAAAAATAAAAGTTTAAAAATCTAGTCTCTTAAAAAACTTTTAGGTCATATGAGAATAAACTTTTTGCCAATATATTGTTTAACATCTTTCCTTCATTTACTTGCACATTCAGTCCAAAAAGATATATTTAGAAATTTATGGCAATATTTCTTCAAGTATAATGACTACAAATGGTACTACATAACTCATAAAAAATTATCAGAAAAAAACATGTAATTTAAAATATTACAAATAAAATTAATGTTACTAATATCGCTAAATAAGATAACTTACACAATATTTATTAGACTACCCAAATGTGTAGGTATGAGCTAATTTTTTAAAGTGCATAAGTTTACAAGGCTACACCAATATTATAAATAAAGTAGAATCAATCTGATTTATTTATGTAAAGGTTAAAGAGTTCCCTTAAAAACCTCAGATGATTATACATTAATTTTTACATCTGTGGTTGAATCAGAGTAGGTTTAGAATTGTTGTACCATTTTTTCTTTCCTTTTATTTCTGTAAATATCCAACAACCAAATTGTGTTTAACTATTATCGCCTCCCAAGAGCCATAAAAAATGCTATCATTCATTAGGTTATTGATTGTGTACACTTGATTTTTATTTTAATGTAATTCAACACTTTAAAAAGTCAGAAGTAGTAAGAAATGATCTTCACATTTTGATATATCTTCTCTCACATTTCTACTTTAAGATATTGTTTTAGTGGTTTGGTGTTACAATAAAGGAATACCCGAGGCTGGATAATTATAAAGAAAAGTGTTTTATTTGGCTCATGATCCTGCTGGCTAGAAGACTGAGCATCTGCTGAAAGCCTGAGATTGCTTCCCCTCCTGATGGAGGGTGAAAGGGAGCTGGTGAGTGCAGAGATCCTACTGTGAGATAGAAAGCAAGAAAGAGAGGGGAGAAGTACCACCACCAGCTTTTTAACCACCAGCTCTCACGGGAACAAACAGAGTGAGAACTCACTCACCATACCCCCAAGGAGGGCATTAATCTATTCATGAAGGGTTCCCCCCTCATGACTTAAACACCTCCCATTTGGCCCCACCTTCAACACTGAGGATTTGGAGAGGACAAGAATCCAACCTATCGCAGATATTTTCTATCAATAAATTTTTTTAATTTCCAAAACCATTCCCTATGCAGCTAACTTATCTTTTCGCTGTTCTGAGGATATTTGGAGGAACTTGCGCAATAGCAACATAAAAAATTCTACAGACTTCTCACAAGCAAAACAACCATAAAAATTATAGAAATTTACAAAAAAAGATTTAGTGTGTCTGGAAATTGTCCTAATTGTATACAGAAAATGAAAAGAAACAACAAAAAAACTTTTATTCAATATAGTTCCTAAATCTAAATGAAAACAACCATTGTGGAAGACAGTGTGGTGATTCCTCAGGGATCTAGTACTAGAGATACCATTTGACCCAGCCAATCCATTACTGGGTATGTACCCAAAGGAATATAAATCATGCTGCTATAAAGACACATGCACATGTATCTTTATGCACTCACAGTAGCAAAGACTTGGAACCAACCCAAATGTCTAACAATGATAGACTGGATTAAGAAAATGTGGCACATATACACCATGGAATACTATGCAGCCATAAAAAAGGTGAGTTCATGTCCGTTGTAGGGACATGGATGAAGCTGGAAACCATCATTCTCAGCAAACTATTGCAAGGACAAAAAACTAAACACCGCATGTTCTCACTCATAGGTGGGAATTGAACAATGAGAACACTTGGACACAGGAAGGGGAACATCACACACTGAGGCCTGTTGTGGGGTGGGGTGAGAGGGGAGGGATAGCATTAGGAGATATCCTAATGTAAATGACGAGTTAATGGGTGCAGCACACCAACATGGCATATGTATACATATGTAAGAAACCTGCACGTTCTGCACACCTAGAACTTAAAGTATAATATATATATATATATAAAAGAAAATAAGAGTCTATGACATTAAGCCACTGAAACTCTCTCTCCTTTTCCTTCTTTTCCTTACTCAGCAACATGGAAACTCTGTTTATATTGACACAGCTAATAATGCTGGGCTCCTTGTCCTTCCAACTCCCAATGCAGGACTATAGTATCTCCCAGAGGGTTAGGATGCCAGCATTTCTCATCCTTCTTCCCAGATTCATGTTGTAGAATTTTTAACCTAGACAAAAGAAGTGAGAGGTTAGGGGATCCCTTTCTCAGCTTAACACTCCTTGTAGGTTGAAAGCTCAACCCCAGGCATAGCAAGCTAAGAACACCCCCATTTTCTTAATCCTAGCTCACAGATATTCCACCCCAGGAGAGGCAAGTTAAGAAAATCATAGGTAAGTGTACCTGCTCAGTGCCCTACTAGTAAGGCAAAGGAGTCACTCTGAGAATATTGGGCCATTGTGCCCACTTCCAGCTCCAGAGCAGTGGTCACAGAAATTTTTTTCCAGGGAGAAAATAAAGCTCTGATGAGAGAGAGAGAAAGAGAGAGAGAGAGAGAGCATGCACGAGAGAGAGCGGGAGAGAGAGAGACTCTATAACTATCTTAAAATGACTGACTTAATTGGAACAGCATGTTGGGAATTTCAGGAGTAGGGGCACTCTACCCTCAGAGATTTTGGTGGTAGGCAATTAAGGGAAGATGACAGTTGCATCAGAGCAACAAATTAAACTGTAAGCCAAGTAGTTGATTAACAGAGAAAACTAGGGAAAGAGATAGCTAAGAAGAGTTCTTCTGGAACCAGAATAAGCTGCAAATCCTAGCTGCAAAGTCTACCCATGCAAAGAGGCTCAGATCAGATGGAGGCACAATTTATGCTCCATGATATTATTTAAAAATCTGTAGACCAATAATCTAACAACTAGTGTATAATAATTAGTAATAATAATTAGTAAACTAATAGCTAAGTGTGATACCAACAGAGGCAGATAACTTAAAAGAGAGTTCAAAGATGCAGTCAAATGAAGCCCTACTAGAGCCATCATCACTCTCTAGTGAATGTGCCCATGCCCGAGGTTCGGCTCTCTGGTGAAGGACAACAGAGAATACACACTGCATGAGAAATGCTGAAATATAGTCCAGTAAGTCACTAAGGCAAGCAAACAACAACACGAAAAAAACCCTGGAGTTAGGAATGGATTGTATCTACAGATACCGCATTTTAAAAAAAGCAAAATAAAAAAAACTAAAATGTTTGGTTTTCAATAAAATATTATGAAACATCAAAAAAAAAAAAAAAAGGAAAATGTGACCTATACAAAGAAATAAATCATGAAAGAGAAATGGCATTTAGGAGTGTCTACATGTCAGACAGCAGATAAATATCTCAAAAGTGTAATTATAACTATATTTAAAGAACTAAAAGAAACCAGGCTTAAAGAATAAAAAGGCAGGTTTGATAATGATATCTCATAAAACAGAAATATTAATGGGGAGAGAGAAATTATTTTACAAAAATGGAAATTCTGGAATTGAAAATTCTAATACCTGAAATGAAAAGGTCACTAGAGAGACAACTAGTAAGTTTGTGCTAGAAGAATAAAATATCAGTGAACTTGAACATAAGTCAATGAAAACTATGCATTCTTAAAAGCAGAGAGACTAAGGAATGAAAAAAAAAGAGCAGAGCCTTAGAGGATTGTGGGACATTATTAAACACCAACATACATATAATGGCAGTACTAGAAGAAGATCATTTTTAAAATGGAAAAAATTGAAGAAATACTGGCTTAAAACTTTCCAGATTACCAAAAAATGTAATATACAGATGCAAGAGTCTCAATAAATCCCAAGTCAGATAAAAGCAAAGAGAGCCACACCCAGATATATCATGGCCAAAAGGCTGAAATCCAAAGACAAAGCAATAATATTGAAAAAAAGAGAGAAAAGTGACTCATTATGTAAAAGTGAGACTGAATAAGAGTGAAAACTGAATTCTCACTAAAAGCAATGGATGCCAGCAATGGGATAACATATTCAGAGTACTGAAGCAAACAACCACAAACAAACAAACAAACCCTGTCAAGCAAAAATCTACATTTTTGAAATAAATCAAAACTTTTATTAAAAAATGTGAGATGATATTTCCAGATAAACCAAAACTGAGAGAATTGTTTGCTAGCAGACCTCCCTTAGAAGAAACATCACAATTCAGGGTGAAACTTCAGGTTGAAATCAAGAGATTCCATAATATCTTAAATCCATGAAAAATTCAAGCACTCTGGTAAAGTAATTATGTAATTATAAAAGATAGCATAAATGCATATATCTTCTACTTTCTTCTCTTACCTGATTTTTAAAAGTGTTTAAAGTAATATATATATAGTGTTGTTTAAATATATATATATAATTGTATTGTTAGGTATTTAACATACAGATATGTAATACATTTGAAAATACCACAGAAATGAAGACAGTGGAAACAAAGTTACATTATTAGTTATATATATATATATGAACAAGAAAAAGACATAATGTTCTAACTGAATTCATGGAAACAAATAAGGCTAGAAATGATCAATACAAAGCCAAATATAACAAATTCTATCAGTGTATTCTTCATTCTCTTATCTTTTTAAAAGACATAAAATCATATAAGATGATAATTAAATATATTTTGAGATTTGTAACTTATATAAGTATTAAATTTATAACAATAATAAGAATAAATAAAAAGAGGGAAAGTGCTTACAAGAGTAACATTTCAATATCTCACTGGGATTAAGTTCATATAAATCTGAAGAATGTTCTCATGAAGTAATATGTACACGCTAAGCCATAGAGCTGCCACTGAAATAAATCTCCATAAAGTAGTAAAAAAATCACTAAAAGAATTAAAATTTTACTCCAGAAAATATTAACTTAATGCAAATGAAGGTAATAAAAAAGAAACAAAGAAACAAATACATGAGACAGTAAACAAAAACTAAATGGCAAATATAAACTTAACTATATCAATAATAGTAGTAAATGTGAATGGGTTAAATAGGCAAATTAAATGACAGAAATTGGCAGATTAGATTTTTAAAAAAGATTCAGAACAGCCTGACCAATATGGTGAAACCTTGTCTCTACTTAAAATACAAAAATTAGCCAGGTATGGTGGTATGGGCCTGTAATCCCAGCTATTTGGGAGGCTGAGGCAGAAGAATTGCTTGAACCAGAGACACGGAAGTTGCAGTGAGCTGAGATCGCACCACTGCACTCCAGCCTGGGCGACAGAGCAAGGCTCTTGTCTAGAAAGAAAAAAAAAAAAAAAGATTTATCGCTGCCTGCCTCTAGGAGATATTAATATTAAAAAATACCAAGATATGGAAAGTACAAGGATAGAAAAACATATAAAACTGCAACCATAGAAAGCTGTAGAGGTTATAAAGTAGCATCAGGAAAATAAAATAGACTTTAAAATTTTTAAAATGTCACTGAGATAAAGAAAACATTGATAATGATAAAAGTGTAAATCCATTAGGAAGGTATATCAATTATAAACACATATGTCCAACGACAGAGCCTCAAAATACATGAAGCAAAACTGATAAAATTAAAGGAAGGAACAGACAATTCAACAATAATGATCAAAGAATCTAATACCCCACTTTTAATAACAGACAGGACAACTAGAGATCAAAGAGAAAGTAGAAAACTTGAGCAGCACTAAAATCAACTAGATTTAACAGACATCTCTAGAGCATTAAAGGAAACAAGCCTCAATAATATGAAATGTTTTAAGTCATGCAAAGTATGTTCTCCAACACATTGAAATATGATAATAAATCAGTAACAAAAATTTTTGAAATTCACAAATGTGTGAAAGTTAACAACACACTCCCAATTAGCCAATTGTTCAAAAAAGAAAAAAAATCAAAATAAAAAATGCTATAAGAAGAATAAATATGAAGACACAATATATTAAAATTTATGAAATTTATTTACAGGGAAATTTATATTTGTAAATGGCTACATTTAAAATAAAAAATGATTTCAAATTAATAATCTAAATTTTCATTTTAAAATATGTTAGAGAAGGACAAACTAAACCCCCACAAGCAGAAGACAGAAAATAATGATGAAAATAAATAGACAATAGAAAAATAATATAGAAAATCAAGCAACCACAAGCTGATTTTTGAAAATATTTAATATTTTGATGAACTTTTAGTGAGATAAAGAAAGGGAGAAGGCTGAAATTGCTAAAATCAGCAATGTAAGAGGACACATGTTTACAATGTTACAAAAAACATAGAATTATAAGAATCTTAGTATGCAAAGTAAGCAAGTGTATACTAAGCAATTAACCTAGATGAAAAGGACAAATTCTTATAAACACATGAACTACAAAACTGACTTAAGAAGACATAGAAATTCTGAAATAACTTGTAACAAGTAAAAATATTGAATAGGACATTCTTAAACCTCACACACAAAAAAAGACCCCAGTCTTAGATTCACTGGTAAGCTTTATCAAACATTTAATGGAGAATTAATATTAATTTTTCACTAAATGTTTCAAAAAGGAGCAGAGGAAGGAAGACTTCTCAACTTATTTTCTAAGGCCAATACCTGAAACCAAAACCAGACAAAAACATCACCAGAAAAGTGCCACCTAACATCCCTATTGACATAGATGAAAATCTCAACAAAATACTAGCAAGTGAATACAGCAATACGTAAAAAGATTATATACCATGACTAAGTAGGATTTCTTCTAAGAATGTGAAAATAATGTAACATCAGAAAATCAATTAACATAGTACACCATTTCAAAGGGCAAAAACTCACATCATCTCAATAGATAAGGAAAAAGCATGACTACATCTAACACACCCTGGGTTTTTATTCAACAAACAAGGAGTAAAAGGGATTTTTTTCAACTTGCGAAAGGTCACCTACAAAATATCCACAACGAACTTTATACTTGATGATGAAAGATGAAATGCTTTTTCTATACACCGTTAAAGTTCAACCTTTGAGCCAAATCAAAAATGCAATCCCATTTACAGTAGCCACACACATAAAATAAGGTATCTAGAAACTAACCAGGTAGGTGATAGATCTCTACAAGGAGAACTACAAAATACTGCTGAAAGAAATCAGGAGGACACAAACAAATGAAAAAAAATTTCATGCTCATGGATTAGAAGAATCAATATCATTAAAATGACCATACTGCCCAAAGCAATCTACAGATTCAACACTATTTCTATCAAACTGCCAAGGCCATTTTTCACAGAACTAGAAAAACTATTCTAAAATTCACATGGAAACAAACATAAAAAGCCTGAAGAGTCAAAGCAATCCTATGTGAAAAGGAAAAACTGGAGGCATCAATTACCCCATTTCAAACTACACTAGAAGGTGACAGTAAACCAAAACACATAGTACCTATATAAAAATAGACACACAGAACAATGGAGCAGAATAGAGAACCCAGAAATAAAGCAGCACACCTACAACCAACTCATCTTCGACAAAGTTGACAACAATAAACAATAGGGAAAGACCTTCTTATTCAATAAATTGTGCTGAGATAACTGGCTATCCATATGCAGAAGATTGAAACTGGACCCCTACATATCACCATATACAAAAATTAACTCAAAAAGGATTAAAGACTTAAATGTAAGACCCAAAACTATGAAAATCCTAGAAGAAAACCTAGGAAATACCCTCATGGTCATCAGCCTTGGCAAATAATTTATGACTAAGTCTCAAAAGCAATTGCAACAAAAACTAAAATTGAGAAGTGGGACTTAAGTAAACTATCTTTAGCTTCTGCACAGAAAAAGAAACTGGCAATGGTGTAAACAGCTATCTACAGAATGGGAAATAATATTCACAAACCATGCATCTGACAAAGCTCTTATGTCCGGAATCTATAAAGAATTTAAACAATTCAACAGGCAAAAAAAAACAACTCCATTAAAAAGTGGACAAAGGACATGAACAGATACTTCTCAAAAGAAGACATGAAAACAGTCAGCAAACATATGAAAAAATGCTTATCACTAATCATAAAACAAATGCAAATCAAAACCATAATGAGACACTACCTCACATCAGTCAGAATGGCTACCATTAAAAAGTCAAAAAATAACAGATGCTGGTAAGGCTGGGGAGAAAAGGGAATGCTTATACACTGTTGGTGGAATGTAAATTAGTTCAGCTACTGTGGAAACTAGTTTTGAAATTTCTCAAAGAACTAAAAATAGAACTACCATTTGAACAAGCAATCTCATTACTGGGTATATAACCAAAGGAATATAAATTGTTCTACTAAAAAGATATGTGCCTTTTTATGTACGTCACAGCACTATTCACAATAGCAAAGACATGGAATCATCCTAGGTGCCCATCAACAGTGGACTGGATAAAGGGAATGCGGTACATATACACCATGGAATACTACACAGTGATAAAAAATAAATAAAATCATGCCTTTTGCAGCAATGTGGATGCAGTTGGAGGCCATTATCCTGACTGAATTAACACAAAAGCAGAAAGCCAGATACAGCATGTTCTTGCTTGTAAAAGTGAGCTAAACAGCTAAACATTGAGTATACATGGACGTAAAAATAGGAATCAACACTGCAGACTATCAGAGGGGAGAGTGGCAGAGGGAACAAGATTTAAACACTACCTATTGGGTACTATGCTTAACTTACAACTTGGGTGACAGGATCAATTGTCCCCCAACCTCAATATCACACAATATATTCAGCTAACAAACCTATACTTGTATCCCCTGAATCTAAAATAAAAGTTCAAATTAAAAAAAAAAAATAGATGGAATGCTTTCACAGAAAGATCAGGAGCAAGATAAGGGTATATACTCTCACCACTTCTATTCAACATTTTACAGAAGGTTGTAGCAAGGGCAATTAAGCAATAAAAAATTTTTTAAAACCTCCAAATTGGAAAGGCAGACAGAAAATAATCTCTATTTGTAGATAATGTGATATTATGTATAAAAATCTTAAGGAATCTTGTAAAACTCTATTGGAACTAAATTCATTCATCCAGGTTTCAAGGTAAAAGATCAGTACACAAAAATTAATTGCATTTCTGTACACCAGGAATGCATAATCTGAAATAAAATTAAGAATATAACAACAGTAACAAAATAAAATAAGGATGTATTTAACAAAAAAAGTGCAAAACTTGTATTCCAAAGCTATAAACATTGTTGATAGAAATTGTATAAGTCCTAAGTAAATAAAAAGATATACCATGTTCATGCATAGGAAGACTTAATAGTGTCCCAATAGCAACAATCCCCAAATTGATCTACAGATTCAGTGTAATCCCTGACAAAATCTTGGCTGCTTTTTTATATAAATGGATACGCTGATCCTAAAACTCATGTGGAAATGCAAGAGACCTCTCCTCCACCCAAATAATAATCTTAAAAAAGAAGACCAAAGTCTGAGGACTCAAATTTATCAGTTTAAAAATTTGCTTTCCAGTAACCAAGATAATGTGTTACTGTCTCAATAGATATATAGACCAATGAAATAGAATTAAAGGTCCAGAAGTAAACTTTCAAATTTATGGTCAATTGATTTTCTACAAAGCTGCCAAGAAATTCAGTAAGAAAAAGAATAGTCTCAACAAACGGTGCTGAATACGAACATGCAAAATAATAAAACTGGACTCCTGCATCAGACCACATACAAAAATGAAGTCAAAATGAACCACCGACCCAGAAACAAGCACTAGTACTATAAAACTCTCAGAAGAAAGCTTATGCATAAATCTTTATGATTTGTGGTAGGCAAAATCTTGTTAGATACAATGCTTGAAGCACAAGTGACAAAATCAACAAAAATACATAAATTTAATGTTGCCAATAATAAAATATTTATACTGCAAACAATGCTATCAAGAAAGTTAAAAGAGAATCCACAGAATGAGAGAAAACATTTGGAAATTATAGACCTGATAAAGTATTTGCATCCAAAAATAAAGAACCCTTAAAACTCAAAGCTAAAAAGACAAGAAAGAGAAGAAAGAGAAACAATTCATAATTTAAAAATGAGAAAAGGATATGAATAGATATTTCTCCAGAGACCATACACCATGGCCAATAAGCACATAGAAAATGCTCAACATCACTGGCAGTTGGGAAAACGCAAAATCAAATCCATAATGGCATACCATTTCACACTCATTAGGACATTAGGATGGCTACTGTCATAAAGACAGACACAAGTATTGAAAAGGATGCAGAGAAAATGGAATCCTCATACATTGTCGATGGGAAGCTAAAATGGGGCAATCACTTTGGAAAACAGTTTGGCAGTTCTTCAAATTGTTAAAAATGGAATTACCATATACCTCAGCAATTCCACTCTCAGATGGGTACTCAAGAGCAATGGCAACATATATTTTACACAAAAAAATTGTATACAGGTGTTCATAACAGCCTTATTTATAATATTCAATAGTGTAAACAACCCAACAGCCCATCTACTGATAAACAGATAAATCAAATGTGGTATATACAAATATAGATGCAATGATATTTGGCAAAACAAAGGAATGAAGTATTGATAAAGGTTACAGCATGAATGAACCTTGAGAACATGATGCTAAGTGAAAGAATTCAGTAACAAAAGAACATATTTTGTATGATTCTACATAAACAAAATGTCTAGAATAGGCAAATCCATAGAGACAGAAAATAAATTAGTGGTTTTCTGGTTGGCCAGAACAGGAATGGGAAGTGACATCTAATTGATCTGAGGCTTCATTTTGGGGTGATGAAAATATTTGTAAATTGTTTGTGGTGATGGTTGCACCATTCTGTGAATATATTGTAAATCACTGAGTTATGCACTTTAAATGAGTTTGTTGTATGGTATGTGAATAATATCTTAAAGCAGTTGAATTTTTATTCTGTGTATGTCTAATAATGCCCTTTAATCCCTGCATAACCATATGTCTTTTGCTGTTTCTTTTTTTATCATTTAACGGAATAAATCTGAATTATAGACTTTCCAATTATCTCTGAAACCTGTTCTATTTTCTATGCTAGTTGCCATGTTCACATATAATTTTAATGAATATTCTTTTAACTGTTATTTTTTTTCAAGTTATTATAGAAATATCTGTTTCTTCTCCTACCACATATCATCATGAAAACTCACTGTGTTTTATAATCAACTAGGCAACTGTTCTCACTTTGCAAAATGTTAACTGGATGCTGTATACAATGATTTAATAAACAAGCACAATGGATTCTTTCTCTGTGCCTTATTCACCTTCAAAATAATGATCTAAGATGAGGCTAGATTCCCTCATTGTTTTCAGCAATTTTATCACAGCCCTGAATGTCCCTATGAATTTAGTCTTTTAAAATGCTTTGTATTTAATACTATGTGTAAATATCTTGGGCCCTGCTTTACAGATAAAGACACTACGGTGTTGTATTAACTTAGCACTGCTTCTTCAACAAATCACAAACCTGGTGGCTTAAAATAACAGAAATTTACTGTCTCATGGCTTTGGAGGCCAAAATTCTGAAATCAAATTGTTGGCAGGGTCTTTCTCTCTCTTATGGCTATAGAGAATAATTCTTCTTTGCCTTTTCCAGCTTCTGGTGGTTCTGTATCTGCCCAGCAGGTTCACCCTACCTGCGGCCTAGACAGAGCTGATTTATTAAGACAGGGGAATTGCAATGCTGAAAGAGAAATTCACGCAGAGCCGGCTGTGTGGGAGACCTCGAGTTTTATTATTACTCAAATCAGTCTCCCAGAGCATTTGGAGATAAGATTATTTAAGGATAATTTGGTGGGTAGGGGCTCCAGAGTGGGGAGTGCTGATTGGTCAGGTTAGAGATGAAATCTTAGCCAGGTGGAAGTGAGGTTTTCTTTCAGTCTTCCCTTCCTGGGTGGGATCGCAGAACTGGTTGAGCCAAATCATTGGTCTGAGTGGTGTCAGCTGATCCATGGAGTGCAGAGTCTGCAAAATATGTCAACAAGCACTGATCTTAGGTTTTACAATAGTGATGTTATCCTCAGAAGCAATTTGAGGAAGTTCATACTCTTGCAGCTGGAGGCTGCATGGCCCCTACACCGTAATTTCTAATCTTATAGCTGATTTGTTAGTCCTACAAAGGCAGACGGTCCCCAGGGAAGAAGGAGGTCTTTTCGGGAAAGGATTATTATCAACTTTGTTTCAGAGTCAAACTATAAACTAAATTCCTTCCCAAGGTCAGTTCGGCCTACTCCCAGGAATGAACAAGTACAGCTTAAAGGTCAGAAGCAAGATGGAGACTTTCTTTCATTGTCATAATTTGCTGTTATATGTTTTGCAAAGATGGTTACAGTTTTGGCATTCCATGATTTATGGCAACATTAATCTGTCTCCGTGTTCACATGGCTTTCTATTCTGTCTCTCCCTGTCCTTTCTTCTGATAAAGCTGCCAGTCATTGGACTTAAGGTCCATGCTGGATTATTTTATCGCTAGATGCCTATTTACAACTGTGAAGAACTTATGTCCAAATACAGTCACATACTGAAGTCCCTGGCAGGCCTGGATTTTGGGGGGCAATCTTTAACTCACTACAGGCATGAAAATGTAAGCAATAGAAATTGCATGTCAGAAATGTTGGTTTCCATTTAGTGGCTGTGGGATTTGTGGAAAAATATTTAAACGTTATGAATCCTGGTATTCTCACTGGAAATTAAAAATAATAGTTCCTATCTACTTATGTAATTATTATGTAATTATGTAATAGAATTTTATGTAATTATGAGAAAAAATTATTCATATAAAATGTCTAAGACTCTGACTTGGAAATAGGAAGCATTTGATTAATGGGGATTTAAAACAATATCTTGTCCAATGTAAAAATTTAAAAATAAGACGTAGATCAGGGTTTTGAATTCAAGGGTCCCTGACTCAAAAACTCTTTCCCACCAATTTTATTGCATTAAAATGTTAAGTCCACTAGGGGACTGTTCAGGCAAGATCTTTTTATGTAAAATATGTTTATATGTTTATATTAATATTAGTTATGGTTTGTGGTTATTCCCTTTAGGGAAAGTTGCTAATGGCCTCTGACTCAACTTTTGCATAAACAGGGCAAAATGCCTATCATATGTAACCCATTTGGAGGACTTCCAGAACCACAAACCATGAATGATTTTAAGGAATCTCTTACAAGAAAGCATACATTAAAATGGTGATTACAAATAATGATCAAAATAAAAGCACCCTTTAACAAAATAGGACTCTCTATTATCTCTCAGTGTCTCAAGTTAACAAGTTTTAAAAATATATTTGCTCAAATGGTTACAATCCATGCAATTGAACTAGATATTAAATTGTAATATTTGAGAATTGAGTTCAACTGATAATTGTTGGGATACTTGCAGTGCTTTAATTAATATAATTATGAATATGTATATTTGTAATTGTGCTAATAAAACCATTTTATAATTTATTTTGCTCCTTTATTCTTATTAATATTCTCATTAAAAATATATTTCTTGTATTTTAATAGTAACAGAGACTTTATTGAATATTGTGCCTTTTCACACAGTGAACTATTACATGACTATTAAAATAATTAACTAAATCCACATGAACCAACATGGATAAGACTCTAATTATCATAAAAAATTAAACAATTTTTTGCAATGTTAAAAATTTGTGTAATGTAAAATATTAGAAAATTTTGTAAAAAATTAGAAAATCAGTGTGGATAAATCACTAAATTTTGTAAGCCTTTTATTCTGTCTTCTTTCTTCTTCTCAGTCATGCAGTCTTATTTTGAGCAGAAGTTGACCGACAAGCCAAGTCACCAGCACCACTTACGTTAGACAGGGCTCTCACTATCTCATAGCAACAGGTAGCACAGCACCCAAAAAAAATTAGTGTGGTAAGTCTTTACTTCTCTCCTTGCTTCTATAATTTGCATGTGGGTGCTCACCTGCAGAGTTTCATCTGTGGACATGCGGCTATCTAGCAAAAAAAATTATACTTTGTGGAAAAAGTGAAGGGATACTGAGCTAAACAGGAAAGTGAAGAGATATTGCTAATTTTGGACCTGGGAAGTAAAGAAAATATAACCATAACTATAATCTCTAAATAATAATCTCAATCAATTTCAATCAAGTGTCATTTCCACACAGAACTAGAGAATAAAGTTTATATTGCTCTAAATCCATTTAGACTTGGAGAATACTGGAAACAAAAACTACTAAAGAGTGGTAAAGTAGATTATAGAGTCCTCATTAGTTTAAATGTTAAAATAGTAAATTATTAACTATATTAGAAGATACAGAGTCTGCCTTCTATAGAACTGGGTGACAAAGCAAATAGATAGCTGGGTATTTTCCCTTCAAAAATCATGTGCAATTGGGAAGCTAACGTTTACTGCTGGAAAGGTCTATCTCAATTATGACTTAATGAAAGAAACAACTAAGATTTTTTGTAAATTCTGAATCTTTTGTTAATTTTGTGTGTTAACAAAGAAGAATTTTATCAAATTAAGACTATCTAATTTATTTTACACCACTTAGTTAAAAATAATTACGTACATCTTTTTTGGTATATTCATGCTATGCAGAAACAGGTGCCCAAATTATTTCTTTAATTAGATGCTCAGCTTCGTGTTTGTGTTTATGTGTGTGTGTAGTGTTAGTGTATACACATATATCTTATATACCTGTAATAATGTTAGTTCTAAACTATTTGGGGATGGCTAATTTAATTTTGTAATTTACTATCTGATTCAAGAGGATAACTCTTGATTTTAAAAAACTTGGTTTGATTAGTAATTTCATTCAAGTTCTAATCTCATTGAGTACTTTTATACTGAAAAAAGAAAGTATTACTTAATAATTGAAATAAACCTAAGGACATTTAGAGACTAGTCACAATATCTGATTTAGAAGGTCATTACCTTGGATTAATTAATTTGTACATTTTCTATGTCTGCGAAAAGTTAACCTCAATCTAAGTGAGTGGGAAGAAAAATGAGGAAAAGAGTAGAGGTATATGTTGGTCAACTGGCTCCTTAGGGAAATCTACTGAGCTAATGAAACTGTTGACTAAGTCAGCTCTAGTTTCCTTTAGAATTGCCTTTAAAGATGTTTTCTTGAACTACTGCCTATCAAACTTAACATTTTGGAAAACCATTTTAAGGTTATTTTCTTTGTATTTTAAAAATTCTTTCCAATGCATTCTTTTGGATCCAGTAAATATCCTAACTTTTGTAATACAAAATATGCCTAATAACCCTATGATTTCTAGACTACTATTAGAATAATCATATTTTTCTTTGCATTTTCTTTCTCTGAAGATTCTTTAAGAACAAACAAACACATAATTTAATAGTTACTTGCATAGATTTTTAACTTTTCACATAGTCAAAGATACGTATTCTGGTAACAAATGAATTTAAACTTTATATATTATAATTATTCCTGTTTAGGATCAATAAATTATCTTTAAAAGTGACACTTGGATACATGAACCAGTGGCTGATGTATGAGAATTACAATGGTACCACCGATAGGGACATTAGGCCAAGAAAATATGGCGGAGGAACTCACCATCTCTGAACATTGATTTACCTGACTCTGATATTGTTCTCTGCTTTCCCGCCATGCCAAATCTCTCAATGTTCCTTAAACATGCCAACTCTTTCCAGTTTCGGGCCTTTTGCATTTCCCTTTCTCACTGCCTGGAATGCTCTTCATATGGTCCTATATTCAAATTAGTCAATCACTTCACAGGACAGCCCCCATCAACATGCATATCTCACTTAAAATGCCACTTTCTGGGAGAAGGTTTCCATGACCATTTGTCTCTTGTCACTGACTGAAATTATTTATTTATCTGTTTATTGTATGTCTTTCCTCCCTTTTTACCCTTCTTCCCCAATTCAACTAGTACAATAAACATAAAGAAAGCAGGGATCCTGCCTTTTATTCACTACTCTAGTTTTAGTTACTAAAATAGTGCTTGGCACATACCAGGAGCTGAATAAATGTTGTTGATTCACTGAGCAATTTTTAAAATATAAATATATTATGACAGTAAGTGAACTTAAACGTCACCTTTTTTGCTTACTTAATTTTAAGACATATTTTCTAGTTTTCTTCTGTATTTTTCTTATACAAAAATGTGAATATAAGCAGAGCCAATAAATGACATTATATACATTCTATTCTACTTTATTTATATTATAGTCATGGAAACAAAAGACCAGATAGTACACTATATTTTCCTTATAATCCCACCAGCTAAAATTAAATATGAAACTAGAACTTTGCTCTCTGACAGTACTATTGCTTTTATAGAACATGCTGAAATCTAGTTAAAATGATAAATGAATATTTCTACCGATTTTGAAAACAGGGAAGTTGAATAGTAATAATGGCATGGGTAATAGATTCAAAAGAAGTGATTTTCAATGTTTCCTGAATCTTACTAACAGTGAAATCTCAAGATATTTAACTCTTCTGAGATTCAGATGATGTAAATGAAAATCCTAGCATTGCTTTGAGCCTGAAATAAGAAAATGTATTCAAAGTGTCTAGTAGAATCCTTGATAATTAATAGACTCTCAATAGTCATGTGTTACATGTCGATGGGGATAAGTTCTCAGAAATGCATTGTTAGGCAACTTTGGCATTATGCAAACATCATAGAGTGTACTTACACCAACCTGATGGTAAAGTCAGCTACACACCTAGGGTATGTGGTACAGCCTGTTGCTCCTAAGCTACAAACCTGTGTGGCATGTTACTGTACTGAACACTGTAGGCAATTGTAACACAATGGTAAGTATTTGTGTATCTAAACTTAGAAAAGACTCAGTAAAATTATTATTATCTTATGGGACCACTGTCATATATGTGGCCCGTCATTGACCGAAAAGTCATTATGTGACACATGCATTACTCTATATGGTATTTTGCAGTTATCATGTTACCTAGTGAGGTAATTGGTATGGTTTTCATGATGTTAGCTGATTGTCATCAAGAATTGCATCATTCTCCTTCCAAATCTCTCCTCTATCATTACAAAACTGGGGACATTACCCATCACTGCCTCAGGTTAAGCCATTTGAATACTCATAGTTACCTCCGTGGCTTCATTATAGCACCACGAAGTCCTTAAATTAAATAGAAGTAGAAGGTACAAAGATTATTGTTCATTAATTACTTCAATTCTTGTTTATTAGCACATTGTTTTTGCTTCATTAAATTTCAATCAAAACTACAACTGAAGGGAAGAAAGGTAGTTGTCCCCTTTCTATGAGACCCTGAACAAAGCCTCTTTTGGTTACCCAAGGAAAGATTAAAAGACTCAGGAGGAAGAATTCTCCCGCTTTAACCAAGAGAAGTTGGCAGCGCTTGCATTGTCAGTTTGTCTTCAGTCTTCTCAACCTTTAAACCTCCATTAAATGCTGTTAAGCATTGACTAAAACCTAAATCTTTTACCAAGAGTTATGAGAACATCATCACTTGATAAATTCCTTCCTAATTATGCGATGCTACTACTGTCTCTTTGTTGGACCTGTAAAATATGTGACTGAAATGGAGTTGAATTAAAATGCAGGAAGGACCAATGCATCCTTTAAGGTGTGATATTTAATATGAGCTTCAGAATTTCTGCATGAGGTCACTATTCTTACACTGTACAAAAATACGTAGAGTAAAAATTATTATTATTATTATTTTTCCTCCTAAGATCCAGCATATTCGTAACTTTCTTCCTCTTAAATGCCTGCATCTCTTTTTGCACATAAGATGATGTGTACTTCTTATAGTGGGCAACATACATAGTGGTTACTAACTGCCACTAGCTGGTAAGGCACTGTTTTTCTGAATTCAAGGCACATGTGGTAAGAGAAGTTTTTAAGGTGGGGAACGAAAGGATCAACCAAGCATTGTAAGTAATGATTTAGTGCAATTTACTCAGAAAGTATTTAATAAATAATAGCAGTGGTACAATTTTGCTTTTCGGGTATTTAATGTATGGGCTTTGAAGGCTGCAGCCACCCCCAAAGCCAAGCAACCAGCTGCTGGGCTGCAGTCAGGAAGCATTCAAAGACCACTGCTTCAATTAGCTCCCCCCTACTTAGAACAGGTACTTATTGACAGTAGCGATAAGTTAATCAACTAGTGAGTCGATTAAAGAAGTAATTAAAGTGTAAAACAGCAGGAAAAGGACTTGCTTTTAAAAGATGCTGTAATACTTAAGGTTAAGTCAAATCAGCTTACTTACAATTGTATCAGGTCTGTCTAAAATAAAATCTTCATGTGGCTCTTCTATCTGGTGAGTTCTGCTAAATTAGTTGACATAATCATTATGGCTGTTTACTATTTCATATAATCAGTGAAAAACTTAGTCAATTATTTTTAATACTCTATGAAGGCTATTCTGTGTTACAAACTAAAGGATGCACAAGGAAAAAATATAGACTTCAAGTGTTCTTTGTTTTAATAATTGTGCCAAAATTATGTGGAATTAATTGTTCATTTAACCAACTTTCTTTGTAACACTGTGTAGAAGAATAAATGCACATAAACTATACTTTGACAATATCTATATGCTCTTTGAAATATTTCAATGACTCTTAAGGGTAATGTTTATTATATCTCTGAGGCAATTCTTTCGTGTGAACACAACTTTGAAATTATACTGAAAATCAATAGAATTATATGATTTAATAAACGAGTACTCAATTGGATACAAATTTTTAAATAATATATATTTGTAGTCACATTGCTTGGCACATAGCACATTACCATTTGGAGGCTGGAGAAATTTTTATGTTAGTTCCAAAGGTGTTTCTAAACCAAGTATAATTAGTTCACATATTAGGGGAATCGCTTTCATTTTCTGTCTTCATTAATTCCTATAAAGAAAGGGGTTATTATTGTTATCCCATAGTCGGATTAAGAAATCTAGGGTAGAGGGCAGTCACGCACCTTGCTCAAGGTCATAAGATGTTTAATTGGCCTAGCAAGAGTTCATATGCTGATCTCAAACTACTTGTGTATACAATTAATCACTGAATTTTGCATTAGCAAAAACCTATGTAATGTGAGGACATTTTAACTTTTCGAAATATTGTTAATTCCTTGTAGAGAAAGATAATTTTAATGAGGCAGGGAATTTACTCATCCCTTTCTAAGTAGAGTAATGAAAGAGGCGTGTTTGAAATTCCTTTACCATCTGATGCTATTTTACTAGGCCTAGAGGAATACACTAAGATTTCAGTCTCTTTCCTAGAGATCAATATTATATCTATATTAAACTTGGCTGCAGAAAGTGACCTTCCTCTTGGCGCTGTCTCTGGCCTTAACTGTACAGTTGCTTCTCTCTGTAAATCACTTTAGTACTTGGGTGATATTTTATACCTAATCACAACATATATGGGAATTACTAGACAAATTCCAGTGTGGTCCAGAGGGATGGCTCTCAAATTTAGTGTACATCAGAATCATTCAGGTGCTTGTTGAAACAGATTGCTGAGCTCCCTTCCTGGGTTTCTGAGATGGTATAAGAGGTATAAGAATTTTCATTTCTAGCAAGTTCTCAGGTGATGCTGCTGCTGCTGATCAGAAGAGCATACTTTGAAGAGCACTGACGTGCAAGAAAGAGCAGATTTTTTGGAAACGGAATATTTCAGGTTTGAATCCTCTGTTTCCTACCTGAATGTATGTATAATTTGGGTCAAAGTACTGTATTTCTATAAATCTCAGTTAATTTAGTTAATTTTCCTATAGAAATCTAAATCTAGGCCAGGCGCAGTGGCTCACGCTTGTAATCCCAGCACTTTGAGGGTCCAAGGTGTGCAGATCACTTGAGGCCAGGAATTTGAGACCAGGAGTTGAAATCACTGGGCAATATAGAAAAACCTCGTCTCTTCCAAAATACAAAAAAATTACATGGGCATAGTAATGCACACCTGTAATCACAGCTACTCAGGAGGCCAAGGCATGAGAATCGCTTGAACCCAGGAGGCAGAGGTTGCAGTGAGCAGAGATGGTGCCACTGCACTCCAGCATGGGTGACAGGGAGAGAACGCCTCAAAAGGAAAAAAAAAAATCGAAATCTACCTCACAATCATTTTGGGAAATTTAAATCACTCAATGAATAATGTATGGTATTTCATAGATATTCAGATATTTCTTTTGTAGTGCATCTTTAATGATTTACAAAAATACATTTGTTCTTTCAAGTATATATACTCTTGGTCCATTAGGTTGTATATAAACTTTGTAAAGTCTGGCATTCGTATTTTTTAGTTTTATTTTATGAATCTTTTCTAATATTAAAAATTTTAATTAATGGTCAAAATCAATCTATTATTTTGTGTTTTCTGCTTGTGCCTCAATATCAGATACATATCCACTCATATTTTCATCTAGTAAATTTATGTTTTGATTTTTACTCTTTAATCAATCTGATGTCATGTAATGTGTTTGTGTATGAGAGAGAGAGGGAGAGCAAAAGGGTGACAGAGATTGAGAGAGAAATTCCAAGCCCAAATCAACTTCTAACTAGATAGACTTAATGTTAAAACTCTGACAGGAGAAGAGATGTGCCTGTCTTTGGCAAAAAATAGTACCTATCCCAGTCTTTACCATTTTTCTATAAGTGATATTCAGCATTCAATCAAGAAGTAAGAGCACACACACACACACACACATACACACACACACACACACACACAAGCACAACTCATCATTAAGACATAAAGCAACTCATCTTAGGAAACTGATCTATCCCACAAGTATTTTAAAATAACTATGAATAATATGTTTTGAAAACCTGGAGGAAAAAGTAGAGAACATGAGTGAAAAGGTATTTCACCAGTGATTTGAAAGTATTAAAACAACCAAATATAAGTTCTAGACAAAAAGATCACTATATCAGAGATGCAGAATCCATCCAACTGCTCATCAGCCAACAGGGCATGGCTGGGGTGGATCAGGAACTTGAAGATAGCTCAGAAAATTTTCTAAACTGAAACATGCAGAGATTAAAGGATGTAAAAAACATGACTATGTTCAAGAGCTATTAGACATTATAAAATGATCTAAAGTACATCTAATTGTAGCTGCACGAGAGAGAGAGGTAAGATAGCAGAAATATTTGAAGAAGTCATGGCTGAGAACTCCAAAATTAATGAAAATTAACAAACCATACATCCGAGAACACTAAGTAGAATGAATTAAAAGATAGTCATAGACAAACTGCCGAGAGAAAGCTGGAGAGGGTTAGGGGGATGGAAAACATTACATTTAGAGGAAAGATGAATAGAATAAGATCAAACTTCTTATCAAAAATGATGCAAGTAAAAACACATCAGAATGACAACTTTAAAGCACTGAAAGAAAAAAAAAATCAACCTAGGTTTCTGAACCCAGCAAAAAATATCACTCTAAAATAAGACCAAATTAAAGACTTTTGTTTTTCAAACAAACAAAAGGTGAGTAAATATGTTTCCATTTTGTTTTTTATATAAATGTCTTCTAATATTAAAGATATTTTAATGAATAGTCAAAACCAATATATCCCCTTGTGTTTTCTGCCTTTGCCTCAATATCATACAAATATTCACTCATATTTTCTTCTAGTAAATTTATGTTTTGATATCTACTGTTTACTCAATCTGGTGGCATATAGTTAAGTTTATGTGCATGTATATGAAAGAGAGAGAATAAAAGATATTGAGAGAATCAAAACAAAAATCAATTTCTAACTAAATGAACTCAATATCCCATATTAAATGTCTAACAGGAGGTCTACAAAACATACTCAAACATGTTCTTATGGCAGAGGTAGTATGATTTCAGATTAAAATTTTGATCTGTACAAAGGAATAAAAAGTGGCAGAAATGATGAAGATAAAAGTAAATATGAAATACATTATTTTCTTAATTTTAATTCCTTCATTAGACAATTTACTGTCTAATACAAGATAATGATGTACTCTATATTATTTGCACAGTATTTAGGATTCAAATGTATGATAACAATAACATTAATGGTGGGAGAGCTGAGAAGGATATGTTTTAAAGTTCACTATAGATGATACATATTTACATTTACGAATATGTCTATATATTTATATATTCTATATATATACCATATATAGCACATATATATTAATTATATTCAAATATACAAGAGTTAGTAATTTTAAAGGAACTTACTTTTTTTGTAGAACAATTAATTTTCCGAAAAGTGTATATAAGTCTTTATGAGACACCTTACTGCTTTTATTCAAAGTGCCATGTTTTCTTTTTTCTGGCCTGTTGTCACTTTCCGTCACTTTCCAATGGATAGATAGTATTTCTGTTTGAATGTTATACAGGCTGTTTTATTCTTCAGCTGGCTATATCTCACATTTTAAAGCCCCTGCCAATGTTTATTTCCCATGTCATTTTATTAATCATATTAATATTTGTCTTCTCTCAAACAAGCAAGAACTTCACAGATAGTAATTGTCCTTTCCTTTTTTCTACCACCTAAAATTCCTTCTAAAGTTTAAATTCTTTATTATTATAGTTAAGTTCCTTCTATATATTTAAAACCAGTACTTACTTCAACAACAATAGGTTTTCCTAAATTAGCTTAACACCACTCTTCATTGTATCTAATGCTTCTTTTAAGGAGTACCTTTTGTAAATGTTTTCAAAGAGAGTGTGTGCAAAAGCTTTCATGAAAATTAGGTCCCTCAGAATGTACTTAACACTTGCCTTTTAATGGTCATTTTCCATGATATAAAACTCTGAGTTCCAAGTGATGTTGCTTCAATATTTTGAAAACATTTCAATATCTTCTTGCTTTTGTTACTGCTGCTTAGGATTCTTATTTCAGTAAGGATGTTTCTTTGGGGGAAATTTTACCTTTTCTCTCAGGGAATGCTAGTATTTTCTTTCTTTGGGAATAATTTCCAAATTTTACCATAAAGAATCTGGGTTGGTTTTGTTTTCTTTTTTTTTTTTTCTTATATATCCTGTTTTTTACAGCCTATGAGCCTTTTATATCTGAAATCATAATCTGCCATTTTTTTTTACATTTCCAGTCATGATTTCTATTATTTACTACCCTTCATTATTTTTTTTCTTTCATTCTGGGACTTTAGTTATGAATACTGGCATTTCTATTCCTAGTTCTCTTCGAACTTTTTTCTTCATATTGCAATTTAATTTCTTCCTGATCTTTTTTCGGTAAGTTCCTTAACTTGATTTTTCAGCTCACATGTTTTGCCATTTGGCTGTATCCACTTGATTATTCAAACTATCTACTGAGTTCTTTATTTCAATGATTATTTATTTTAATATCCAGATCTCTGCTTGTGTCATCTTTAAAGTTACCTAATGCTGTTTTATGCTTTTCTTTAAGGAGGCTGTTTTAAATTTCTTGTTTTCCTGAACCATTAACTCTGCTTTCTCTGTAATAGGTTATTCAGTGTGTTATTCTACTTTCATAATCTTTGTGATCCTGAGATGTCATGTTAATGCACTTTATTGCTTTAGTCTATCCTGGCAGTCTCAGCTATGTGCTTTGTGATATCAAATGTTGGAATGTGGGTAAGAGGGTCAGAGCCTAAGCCTCAGACTGGTCCCTTCAAGATGAGTTAAGGAAGTAAATACATATACAGAAACTGAAGGCAAGGGCCTACTAGTGTCATGATCCATTTTACCTCTTTACTTTTCTGCTTCACCAGATGGCTTGGTTCCTCAATGAGTTTTCTAGTGGCTTTGTTCTGGCTTCAGGTCTTTCCAAGAATACCTTCTCTGGCTTGTAATTATTTAGAAACATGCTGTGACATGAGAGCTTGGAGGAGGAGGACTCAGGCTGGCCTCCGTACATGTTTTATGTGGTTGTTTGTTTGTTTGTTTGTTTAGTTTTCTTTGAGACAAGGTCACCTAGGCTGGAATGCAGTGGCACAAAACATGGCTCACCACAGCCTCGACCTACTGGGCCCAAGTGATTCTCCCACTTCAGCCTCCCATGTAGCTGGGTCCGCAAGTGTGTGTCACCCCATCAGCTAATTTTTATTTTTTATTTTTTGTAGAGACAGGGATCTCACCATCTTGCCCAGGCTAGTCTCAAGGTCCTGGACTCAAGCAGTCCTCCTGCCTCAGCCACCCAAATTGCTGGAATTACAGGCATGAGCCACCACACCCAGCCCTCTGTACATATTTTTGTAACATTATTCCAGCTGGCTTTCAGGGATAGACTGATGCTATTATGCACCTTCAGTAGTTTCAGACTAGCATGATTGCTGGTTCTATAGTGCCATGGAACCAGCTATGTCCAGACACTAAGGGGTACAGGAAAGGTCACAACTAGGAGGCTTTTCCCTACCTTGTCTTCTGTCTTAACACCTAGTTGCTTTCTATTCAATGACATCTCTGCCACCAGGATAATGGAACCCACTTCTGTCTCCCTTGAGGATTCTCATGCTAGCATGTGGCTTGCATGTTAATGACTGCTTCGTGTGAATATCCTTGAGATGTCTGATTTTGAATATTTAATATATGTGTGCACCCTCTTAAATGTACAATCTCTAAAAAAAAAAAAACTTTCTTAATTTTCAAGGGAGAATGACAAAGAAAGATAAATTTATTTCTGGGACTTTTTCCAAACACACACATACACACAAACACACACACACACAAACACTCATGCGCACACACATACACAGTTCTATAAATGTCACTATTATTGTGGGTAATTGTACTGTTAAGTCTAAGTTGTAAACCCCTAGTGTTTTGCCATAAAAAAATTACTTCCACTTTGGACATATGGAATATCTAGATCTAGACTATTATCTTTTAAAATATTACATATAACAACTTGTTCTATTTGAGATTAAGGACTACATATTTAATGTCATTATATTTACTCAACTGCGCAAGCATTATAGTTAATTTAATTTTTAATGGGAATTTCATGTTTTTAATCAATATTTTTATTACTTATACAATATAAAGTCTTCAATTTGTATACATAATATTGTTTTTTGAAATGGTTGTCTTTAAATACTCAAATTAGTTTTGTTATCAAAGAAAAATATATAAGAATTAATATAAAAATCAGACTTAATCGGGAATGAGAGGCTCTAAGGTACCGCCTATCTTGACTGGGATACATTGTTGTTTTAAACCCAAATAGTTGAGGTTTAGACTATATTCAACTTTTAAAAAGCCTAAATATATATAAGTATATATATTTATATATTATTTATCAAATATCAAATGTGAGTATATTATTTATCAAATATGAGTATATATACATATATACAATTATGAGTATATATATACAGTATATAAAATATATTGAATTTTAAAGTATAACTCTGAATGTGTTTAAAGGGTACTTCACTTTAATATACAAAATATATATTGTCCTAGATTATGATAATATGTTTATGTTCATGCAAATTATACTAGCACACTTTTTACAAAAAAATACTTTTCTTGGATTTACAAATCACCGTTGTTTATGATTTTGTTATTATATTTTCCCAATCACTTGAAATAGTAATAAATAGGTGAGGTTGAAAAGAGAATTGACCCCTGCAATATGCTGAAAGAGATTTTTATGTCTTGTGGTTGTGCCCTATTTGTGACTGTTCTCTCAATGGGAGGGAAAATAAAATACAAGAATTATTTCCTTTCAGAGATGTGCTAAGTGAAATGTGCTAAGAGATGTTGAAAAGAATGTTAAGCATTAAAAATAGTGTTGTGTTGTGTTTAGTTTTACTACTTTGTTTACTTTTCTTGAGTTATGCTTGATACTATTTGGATATTAAATTTTCTTATGGGTTACACTGAAGTAAAAAGTATATTTTACACAAATAAAATAAAATAAAGAAAAAAATGCAATGAAAACATGGCTCCAGGATAATATCCTAAGCTCGCTTGTTTCTAAGATTTGGGAGCTTTGTAATTTACAAAGCTCCTTGTGATGTATTAATTAACTGAAAACAGGAATGCATTGTGTCCAAACAGTGCATATATTGCAAGGGTGCAATTTGCTGGAAGGGCCTAAGTAGGCAATTGTGTTGTGAAACCACAATAAAAAGACTCAGGCAGAAAACAGCTTTCTGAAAATTGCACCTTTTGATGTGTTGGTGACAGGAAATTGATAGAGTCAGGTGGAATAATGACTTTAAATATTAAAGACAGGCAGTATCTTGAGGTGCTCATTAGGTCTCATATGGAAAGAGGATTTAGCAAATTCCATTTTTTTACCTTTCACAAAACTACTAAATATTTTTGATATATATGATTAATCTGCATGGGAGTTATCCAGAGCTGGGAAATCTGGGGAGAAGCTAGTCAGAATCACACTGCTAGCACTCCAGGAGAATCTGTACTGTAAGGTGCTGCATGGTGCATGGTACACACTAACTCAGCTCTGGACAAGCCCACTGCATCAATTTAATTTCAAAAGCAAGGCTTTGAGGTTTGATCCACTGGCCTTCCCTTCACTACCTTGCAGCCAAAAGCTTTCTTTTATAATGGCTGTGATTCTAGGCTCCTGGGGTGCTTCTGATGTTATGGCTTTTAGAGGAATACCACCATTAATGTTGTAATGCAGAGAAGTACAAAGACAATGTTTTCCACTTGTGTGCATGTATTAGTAGTTGCCAAGAGTCTTCACATCAGCCTTGAGGAAAATTGGTATTTGTTTATTTTTAATGTGTTCCCAGGGAATTAGATTTTTCTCCTGCATTTGCAGCATTTGTGAGAAAGGTATACATACGCCAATGACCTTTCCTGATGTAATAAACTTTGCATAGCTGTTAAGTGAGCCAACATAGCATCAAAGCCTCGATAATGAACAACTACATGGCTGACCAGCATGATTTTCCTCATATTTCTGTTTTAACTAACACTGCAATTGATGTTTAAATAAGAAAACCACTTTTATATGTGTGTGTTTCACTTTTCACTTATACATGATTCTGTAATAAAAGGCATCATCTTGTACGATCTAGCATTTTAAGATTAAAAACAGCAAAGAAGACAAAGAATTGCTTTTGTGTTAAAAGGTATGAAACTAGGTGAAAAAAAGCCAAAGGAAAGGCTTTAAAACACTGGCTATCAGAAAATTTAAAATATAAAGGTTTAATTAGGAATATTTTTAGACGATTGTGTGTGTTTCCAAGACAGAAGTTTCACTGCCTCAGACCTTTAAAGTGAACCTCCCAAGATAAAGTTTGGGAATGGAAGTTTCAAAAGTAATCTTTCATGAAGAAATGGCCTATCTGACCTAAGTGGGTTCTTTCTTTCTCTTTCTTTTTCTCTCTTTTACCACTTGGAGAAAAGCTGCGTGGGAAGCAAAAATTCCTCTTCTCACTATTTTTTGCACGTTGTCAGAATTTATTAACACAGTATTTTCAGAAGAATGACAGGGTTATTAGACATTTCATGGCAGAAAGTCAAAAACAATTCTGCATCCTGTTTGGTCAAAACTTGTAAAATTTTCAAGAACCCCAGAAGCAAAAGTGGTCTTCCAATGCATGTGTTAAATACAGATCTGCCAAGATTATAGAACTTGAGATTGGAATAGAAAAATGGAGAGTCAAGTATAGAAAGTTATATTATGCATTAGCATATGTGGGATAGATGCTATTATAATTTATGATAAACAAAGGCTCACAAAGATATAGAAATACCTTCATTTAGAAGGCTAAACCTATGGACACCCCATATGAAACATTATCTGTGTCTATATCATGCCAGGAAAATCAGTTAAATATCTTTTAAAATAATAAAAATTATTTTAAAATGTAGTCAATAAATTAATAATTATTCTTTTAATATTTAAACCACTGGATCTGAACTTTTTGGTTCTGTTTTGACTGGTAGTTTCACTGAATTGATTGGATTGATAAGTATAGCATTCTGCATCATGGATACAAAATCGAAGTGTCATGAAGAGTAAAACAAGTTGAAAATGCATAAAACACAGGTGACTGTTTCGCTTGACTGAGAAAGGAGGAAATACTTTCTATAAAGATGTTTATTAACATGTATATTTACATATTTGGCCAGTTAGTTAATTCATTCACTAAACATTTAGCAACCTATTAGTCTTTGCCACAAACTCTAGACATTATAACAGATGCTAGGAATATAAAGATAATATGACTTGGTCTCTATCATCAGGGAATATGAGACAAACAGAAGGTGGGAAATATAAAATGAAATAAATTTGTGCAAAGGAGTTGTATTAGTCTGTTCTCATGCTGCTAATAAAGACATACCTGAGACTGGATAATTTATAAAGAAAAGAGGTTTAATTGACTCAGTTCAGCATGGCAGGGGAGACCTTGGGAAATTTACAATCACAGTGGAAGGGGAAGAAAAACATCTTTCTTAACATGGCAACAGCAAGGAGATATGCCAAGCAAAAGGCGGAAAGCCCCTTATAAAATCATCAGATCTCCTGAAAACTCACTCCCTATCATGAGAACAGCATGAGGGTAACCAGCCCCATTATTAAATTACCTCCCATCGGGTTCCTCCCATGACACATGGGGATTATGCAAACCACAATTCAAGATGAGATTTGGGTGGGGACACAGCCAAACCATATCAGGAGTCATGATTCTATGACATTGGCCTATGTACATTAAAATAAATTACAAGGAAGCAAGTGGGCAAATTTTCCAAGGGCTGGAAGAGATAGAAATGATCAGACAAGCTCCAAAGATGTGGGGGTTTTTTTGTTGCCTTTGAGTTGAAATTCAAGCAGGTGTTTGACATGCCAAGAGAGGAGCATGCCAGATAAAGTTAAATAATTTTTTGCAATTATTGTCAATAGAACAAGAACATACTTTCAACCGCAGTTTGAGAGTGTAGTCAAATTCTAGGGGTAAAATCCCAACTACTGTAGAATAATTGTTAGCTTATGTCTGTAGTCAAGACCAGACATATAACAAAATTATGAAATCATTTATTTTCTCTTGGTATCTAAACTGTAGTTCTGTTAGTTATACTTGCCATTTATACCACGTCCCCAGATTTTCATACTACCCACAGCGTTACACTGTCAGTCCCCTTCAGAATTGCTTGTGAGGTGACTCTCCCCCATCCCATCTCTTCTACTTTGTGCTCCATTGCTTCTCACTTAGTGGTTGATGAAAAACAATCTGATAAGCTAATTCTTACTAAGGTTTAATTACTTAACAGCTTGATTATTAAATCTCCAAGGGTATATGGATTTTGAATAGAGGATTCTTGGATGTTAAAAGTCTTAATTCGATAGAATTAATTAGTGGGTTTTTAGTGGGGGAATACGTTTTGTTGGGGCACAAAATGCAATGGAGAGGAAGATTCCAGAAACATTCAATTCAAATGTCTTCACACATCTAGCAATGATGAGAGAAGAATTAATAATAGATGATATACTTTTGAGGAACAACAAACTCAAGTACAAACATTAGTACCTTAGGAATTAAAATCTCATACCTGCCATCATCTAAATTCTTATTTTGGGCACTTTAGGTCTTTGAGTCTCATTTTTCTTATATTTATAGAGATAATAACAGTTATGGTATCAATAATGGTTAGGATCAAAGGAGAAGAAGGTAGAAGTTATTTATAAAGTATAAATGTACATTATCATCACCTCATTATGAAATGTTTAGGTTTGCATGCATTAAAATCATTTTTCCTATGTTGTCATTAATTCAATAAAATACCTGCAGGGACAACCACAAGAGAGATAGCTAAACTAAAGAAGTTTATCTTGGTGCATATATATGAGTTTTCTAAATAGATTGTATGTCTTAACGTTTTTGTAAAACATCAAAAAATGGAAGGGATTAAAACATAAAAGTATAATATGGCTCTAAGAGTGGTTCCAGGAAGAATAAAGATGAAATTAATTGATAATTACAAAAACACCAAAGAAATCAGAATAAGAATTTAAGTTGTTTACAGAATCAAATAATATGAATAGACATAGATCTGTTACTTAGCATATGTGATACAATTAACATATAACAAGAAGAGTAATGACTTAAATCCTATTTAGGAGGTTGGGACAAAGAGAAACAACATCAATGCACTATTACAGGCAGAATTAAGTGATACACTTTATTTGGCAATTTGGGAGAACCTACCAAAATTTAACATGTATGTATCTTGACCCAAGATTTTCTCTTTTATTTTTTACACAGCATGTATGTACACACTGGCAGCTTTATTTTTAATAGTGATAAGAGACAAGCTGAATATCAATCTGTGGAGAAATATTTATAACATTCTCCATATTAAAAAAGAGAGAATGTGTCAGGTAAAGTGTTAAGCCCCCCAAAAGAGAGTGATAGTAAAAGAGCAGCTACCTCACAAAAGAGTTTATCATGTCTTGGCAGAGAAACATTGCTTGTGAGAGCACTGAAAGTGTATGCAATTGGTGCATGTCTATAAATGACCTTCAGGAAATCATGGAAAATGGGATGTGAAACAAGAGAAAAATGAGTAAATGTTTTCATTTACATAAAAGGGGAGTTGTGGATCCCAGATTCATTAAGCCTGAGTATAAGGTCTATTCTACAAAATTATGTCATGAATGTTCTGGCATATGTTTTGTTAATGTTATGATAATATGTTACTAAGAAATACTTGTTCAAACTTATGTGATTTGATTTATTTTCTTGATAGACTTGTTAAGACTAGTAAACAAAAGAAATGCCATACACCCATGGATTTTCATTCAAGCAAGGTATTTGGCAAAATCTCTGAAATCCTTTGGGATGATCAGAAAAGTAGGGACTATATAATCACTTGGTAACCTTTTCTGGAATGTGAATGTGAATGAGTGTGTGTGTGTGTGTGTGTGTGTGTGAGAGAGAGAGAGAGAGACAGAATCACTGCTAGTAGAATGAGCAGGAGGGAAGGAACACATAGAGAGAAAGTAGGTAGTGAGTTACCACCTAAACCTAGACTTTGGAGTAAAACCTCAGTTCAGAAATGTCCTACCTAAATCCAGTTTCAGAAATATCCTATCTATTTAATCACGGGTTAATTTGGTATTAATTAATCTCTCCAAACCTCAAGTTTTCTTTCATGTTATTTGAGGATTAAAATGATGCTACCTTAAGGTTGTTGGAAGAATTCAACAGGAACTAAACAAAAGGTGTTAAGTAAGATGGCAGGCATCAAGCACTATGATATTAAAATGAATACACAGATATAATTGATCATGAGAGTTTAGGCAAATAATAGGGGAGTGTCAAATTTGTAGCACCAGAGGCAGTAGCAGCAGAGACAGAAGGCATTTCACTTACCATATATTATCCTTCTGTAAAGGGGAAAGGAAGCTCTCCCCTAAGAAGGATGACGAGCACAAGCAGTCTCCTATTAGGCTAAAGAATATTGTAGTTGAAACATTACACTATTGAATATCTGCAGAAGCATTCCCTTTTTCTAGAAGGTTTGCTTGTGTAACTTCTCAGAAAGTTTTCCATTTAACATTTTTTTCAAGTGCACTGAAAAACAAATCTTAACTATCTAAGTTTGAAATATGTGTTTCTTGTCTCCTAAGAGACTATAATATAATTATTGAATAAAAACTCAAAAAGGTAAATTGTTCCAAACTAACAAAATAAACACAAAAATGTCAAATGTAATGCTACAATGTCTTTAGATAAGACACTCAATTTGTTGTGCCTTTGTCTCCTTTTCTGTAAATAAGATTAGGCTGTAGTGATTTTATATAAAACGAGCAAGATAAAATGCTTAATGTGGTTCTTGGCTAATAATGAGCAATCACAAAAATATTGTTATCATTAGTATCATATGGGAAAATTAGTAAACATAGTGTTTGAAACAGTTAAGAATGATTTACTTTTTTTAAGTCTAAGTATTGTAGTTAATGGCAAGTTCGTTTGATCCAAGAGGGTGAAAATACCACAAAGCAGATAATAGACTTTGACATTGCATTAAATATAAGTTTAATAGTGCTTTCATCATTAATTAGTGAACACTACATAAAAGGTGATAGTGAACACTATTTAACATTAGTGTTTTCATAAAGAACAATAATTGTTTTATCTTACACAGTTAAGATACCATATGAAAGACTCAGTTATGGAAGTAATGTAAGAAGGTTTTGAACAAATTATAGCAATGGTGAAGAAGCTGGAGCAATTGATGAGTTTTTATTTGAAAACGAAAAATATCTAAAGAGAAGAAGAATGTTGATCTTCAAATATCTAGTTTTCATGTTTGAATGACTAATAGATTAGGATTAGGTGGAGAAAGTTACAGTAATCAGATTTAGAGCCAAAGTGGACAAAGTAGATCCATCTGATAATACAATGGGATGTTTTAGAGACTGGATCTTCTTTTATGATTAGCTTTCAATTATCTTTAATTTACACTTCATGAAGTGTGGCAAATACACAGTATCCTTGCCACCAGGGCCCATCCAGAACCTATGGCATGTATCTCCAATCAGCGAAGGACCTTCTCCCTCACTGAACTGATAGGTAGCCTCAGAGTTCTTCACATGGAGCCTCAGAGTTCTTCAAATATTACAGATAGTCACTGACAATCAATTATAATGTTGTTTCTCCCTAGATGATATCTAAAGTCCTATAAATTATAATATCTCATAATATTAGTGTTGAAACTATAATTTATCACCTCTAGATGATACATGGCATTTGTTCTCTATTTACTTATATAAAAGTAAAGGGAATAAAATTTTTAACCGATGTTGTAATGTCTATCTCCAACAATAAATGATGTTGAGATATTCCTCAAGTCTCAAAAGAATCACCAGATGGTATGTTTTCTAGACAAGTCAAATTTACAACAAATGCATTTTTACATTTTGCAATACAACATAAAGCCTAATAATGAGATCTGAATTCTGCAAATACTAAATAAATCTGCAAGTATAACATTCTTCTCTCCTAGTGAACATCCTGTGAATTCATAAATATTTACATATTACAAGTTATAATTATGTAGCACTGGGGAAAAAGAAAATGTAACTGTATATTTATATCCTACAAGAATATAAAAGAACATTCATAAATTACAAATGTGCACTGTTCTAAGAAGGGTACCTACTGAGCTTTTGTATCTTAAGGCCAACACATAAGACAAGTTTCTACATCCCCCCAATCAGTGGAATAAAAATTATAAGTTTGAATGACTTATAATTATAAGTTTGAATGACATTATATTTTCTATTAATAGTTATAAGTGATTATGTATGAGAACATCATTGTAGGTATTTGATAATGTATAAGGGAAAGTTTGTATTGCCACAGGAATAATCCGCCTTAAGAATCTGACAAGCATGATTATAGAAAATACTGCAAAGTATGTATTCCCTTTGAAACAATGGCCTAAAATAGTACAGTTAAACACTATCTTGGTATTACTTTTTCTATTATTGGCTTGACACAGTAAATTCTATATCATACATTAATCTGAACACTAATAAAGTTCTGCTAAATATAAGATGCTTTAAGTTTAGATATTTGTGGTGCCTATATTAGTTTTGAGTTATCTCAAAGGCTTAGTAAATGAATATTGAGAAATATTTTCTATATTTTTGCACTAGGTTTTCCAAATAAATTGTCATCATTTACATTTATTTTTATTATCTATTTTTATACTCTCCTTTTTTATTATTTTCACCACAAAATATTCCAACAGTTTAATTACTCCATGACTGCATTTTTATGCGTATCTCTGCAGGTACATTTATATATTAGAATAAATTCAGCTCTTAAATAGTCTAATCTCTGAGGTTGACAGCACTTATGTAGCAGTGACCTCCAGTCATCTGATCAAATTTTGGGTTACTTACTGGCTATAATCAAATATATTCTCATCTCTTATTTGAACAAATCATACAGAAATTGAATACAATTTTTTATGAACACTAGCAATATGTTCAGTTCTCTGATAATTTTGACATTAAAATTCCATCTTAATAATCCCATCCTTCAGGCTTTGAAGACTCTTAAGGTATTAAAGCAAAAATTATCCTAAGCAGTTAGATTATAATGTATTTAAAGATTAGACATTTCATGTTGAATATTAACTGCTCCACTTCCCAGGAAAAGAAAACTATGCTGATTTTCTTCTTCCATAATTTATACATTTCAAAGGCTGGCTATCCAAGTTTCAAACCATGGTTACAGAAAAACATACTTTAAATGGACTTAAATGCTACATAGAGTTTCAAAGATACATGCAAATGCATATTTAGATAAATTAGAAATATTCACAGCAGTTATGTAATTTTATTTCAAAATAATATACTACAGAGTCATTAAAAATTAACTATGGCAAATGCTTTACCGACAGTAAAATAGTTAACTAAAATAGTTAACTCTTCTTTTAAAAAAGTGACTTTGCACTCTATTAACCCTATGTAATAGGTAAGACATATGTTGAGTATACTTTATTATGTGGAATGAGAAAAATTAAAGACAAATGTGAATTCGCAGGTGGGAAAATAACCTATTAATATTGTTTCCCAAGCTTAACGGGACAGTATGATTCCATCTATTATATTCTACTTCTGGAAGGCGGACATGTGACCTATTCAGAAAGGTGACAGCCACAGTCCTATTTTAAAATTTTTTCAAAGTACCACATTTTGAGCCTATTCACAGATTTCAAAAGCAATAACTTATGAAAAAATTATCAAAGCTTTTTTTTTCTAAACTTGGTTTGTTTTTATGGCATGTTTCTATAAGATATGATCATTCAGTGTGATAAAACTTTATTTGCATGTATTTTAAAGAAAGGAGGTTTGCAAATTACTAAAAAGTATGTTTACAATAGCCTCATTCTGCCTTTATCATTCCTGACAAAAAGGAGTACAGTTGACCCTTGAACAACATGGGTTTGAACAATACACAAATCATTTTTCAATAAATTTACACCAAATGTGCCTGCCTCACCTGTCTCCTCTTCCATCTTCTCCACCCCTGCCGCACCTGAGACAGCAGGACCAACTCCTCCTCATCCTCTTTCTCCTCAGGCTACTCAATGATGATTCTCTTCCACTTAATGACTAGTAAATATATTTTATCTTCCTTATGATTTTCTTAATAACATTTTTCTGTAACTTACTCTGTTCTAAGAATACCATAACAAATATGACAGACAAAATGTGTGTTAATCAGTTGTTATGTTATTGGTAAGTCTTCCTGTCAACAGTAGGCTATTAGGTAAGTTTTGGGGGAGTCAAAATTTATAAGTGAATTTCAACTGTGTGTGTAGGGGAATCAGCACCCCTAACTCTGGCATTGGTCAAGAGTCAGCTTTCATAATAGTGATAAGCTAAAATGAGTAGAAGTATCTATAGTATATCCTCTTTGCATAGTATATGATGATGCCATTATCTTAATGGCCAAGTATAAGTTGTGAGCTTGAAATTGCACAATGTTATTTCTACTATATTCTGTTGTTTAAAGCAAGTCACAGGGCTGACCCAGATTCAAAGTGAGAGGAAACTACTGAACACTGGGAAGGGAGATTCACTGGGGGTTGTCTTTGAAGCCCAGTAGCCACAAAAAAAGAAAGTCAATTCATTGTAGATAGAGAGGTTTAGCGGTGTAACCATATGGATCCTGCTGGAACCCCCTGGGAAATGCATAGAATTACCTCAGAATTACCTTATTTGAGAGGTGTGGAAGCTGAGGTGTCTATCCTCCAACTCCTATTTGGCATTGTTGAAAGGATGCTTTTGTAGGAATAAACTTACATACTTCCTGGTGCCTCAGGCCTGAGGCACATAGGTGGAGCACACAGCCTAGGCCAGAGAAACCCGTCTCAAAGAAAGCTGCAGGAACTTACAAGATGACAGAAGGCAGGAGAATAGAATTCTAACAGGATATGGGATAAGTATGTAAACATATTTGTACAGCTTACAAAAATAACAAAATGAGCATTTAAGGGAAAAAAATCTTATTAGTATAAGTCCTTGTGTTTCCTTTCTGCATTCATACTGCCCACTACTCTCACCCCCAATGGAGTAGCCACTATGCTGAATTTTGTTTTAATTACATCTTGGATTTTAAAAAAGAGTGTTTCTCCAGTGAGGTTTTTATTTGTAAAAATTGCATCACTTAATTTTATCTGTTTTGAAAATGTATATAAATGGAAAGGTAACTGTCTGCATCCTTCTGCAACTTAATCATTCATGTTACATTGTTTTTCAAATTCATGTGTTTATGCTGGAAACTAAAGTTCATTCATTTTATCTGCTTCATACTATTTCATTATAGATCTATCACCTTTACTCCATGTCACTGCTGAAGAATGTTTTTTGCTGGATTCCCTAGGAAACAGAAGAGCATGAATGCTACAGCTTTATTAGAGGGTGGGAGTTAAGGATTGGGACTGCAATCTCAAGACAGAGTAAGTGACGAAAAAAGGAAAGGGAAACAAGGAAGGATTGCGAGCAAATAAAGTTGGAGCAATTTTGAGCAAGTCAGAACTTCAAAAGAAAAGCCATGTCAGGCCGGGCAGGGTGGCTCATCCCTGTAATCTCAGCACTTTGGGAGGCCGAGGCGGGTGGATCACGAGGTTAGGAGTTCGAGACCAGCCTGGCCAACATGGTGAAACTCCGTCTCTACTAAAAATACAAAAAATTAGCCGGGCATGGTGGTGGGTGCCTGTAATCCCAGCTACTCGGGAGACTGAGGAAGGGAATTGCTTGAACCCAGGAGTCGGAGGTTGCAGTGAGCCGAAGTGGTGCTACTGCACTCCAGCCTGGGCAACAGACAAGACATCATCAAAAAAAAAAAAAAAAAAAAAGAAGAAGGAAGGAAGGAAGGAAGGAAAGAGAGAGAAAGAAAGGAAAGAGAGAGAGAAAGAAAGAAAGAAGGAAAGAACGGAAGGAAGGAAGTAAAGAAAAAGAAAGAAAGAAAGAGAGAAAGAGAGAAAGAGAGAAAGAAAGAAAGAAAAGAAAGAAAGAAAGAGGAAAGAAAGAAAGAAAGAAAGAAAGAAAGAAAGAAAGAAAGAAAGAAAGAAAGAAAGAAAGAAAGAAAGAAAGAAAAAAGAAAAGAAAGACCACATCGATATCTCTAGGCAAAAGTCTAATGATCTGTTAGGGAATGTGATCGAAAAAGCGAATAATTTTCCTGCCAGCTCCTTCTTTCCTATTGGATTTATCCTTGTTCAGAATTTATCTTGCAAATCACCAACTCCCTAGTGCTTCTGAGTTGGGTCCCTGTTCCTTACAGAGAAATGTTGAGAAAGCCAGATTGTAAACTCTGCAGTGCCAGTGTCCATAGATGTCCAGAAGTAGCAATAGGGCCTAGATGCTCCATCGGTTCTCTCAAGTGGAGCATTCATACTGGGGATTTTAAATTAATTACTAAATTATTAAATAAATGCTTGCAGTAGGCTGTTAATAGATAACTTCTATAAAGGTAGGGAATTTTCCATGTATTTGCAGTTTGCTAAAATTTCATCATGAATGTATATTTAATATTATTGAAAAATTTTAACTTTCCATTGGGATATCATGTGGTTTTTATTATTTAATTTGTTAACATGAGGAATTACATTATTCTACTTTTAGCTATTAAACCAACCCTGCCTTTTTGAGGTGAAACAAATTCAGATATGATAGGTCATTACTTTTATGAATAACTGGATTTGTATTGCTAATATTTTGAAGTTATTGTTTCTGTGCTCATGAGTGAGATTAGTTTGTAACATTTTCTTATACTAAACTTATTTGGCATCAAATTATGTTAGCCTCATAAAAATATTTTGATTTTTTTTTCTTTTGCTAAAAAATGTTGAAGAAATTTAGCTAAGCTTCAGTGTTTTCTTATGGTAAAATTATCTATCTACTAATTTAATTGATTTATTAGATTTGTGACTACTCAGGTTTGTACTGTTTCTTAACACGATTTTGGCAAATTGTATTCTTGTAGATTATCAAATTTACTGTTTCAACTTTATTGTGTAAAATGGATTCACACATAAAGGGATTTATTAGGATTTATCTCTGCATCTTCTAAAGTTATAAAACCTCCTTATTGTTTACATTGCTTTGTTTTCCTTTCTATTTTTTAAATTAATATTGGAAAGTTTGGATTTACCTAATTCCTTTGGAGGAATCACTTTTTACCATTTGATAAACTTTTAGTTTTGCTTTCCATTTCAATAACTTCTGATTTTATTTTAATTACTTTCTTTTTTCTCCTTTTTTAGCTTTATTCTGGTGTTCATTTTAAAATTTCTAAAGAAGTGCATTTTGTTTAGTGTCTTTCTATTTTCTCTCTCCTAATCTAGGCTTTTAAGACAATAAATTTTGTTGTAGCATCTGTGTTAGCTATACCCCACAAATTGTAATAATATTATTATAATTGTTAGTTCAAATTAATTTCCAGTGTACATGATTGTTCTTATCAGAATTATGATTTTTAGGACTGGTTTAACTTTTCCCAACATACGTATTTTCTTATGCTACTATTTATAAAATTTATATTTTAATGTCATTGTAGTTAACTAATGTCAATCATTTTAAATTTGGAGGAGGAACATGCTTACCTTTTGTAACTATTTTGTATGTATAAAAATAATATGTATTATTCAATGGTTGAGTGTTCTGTTTCATAAATGTCCATTTTCTGAAGTTTATTGTGCTATACAATTCTTCCATATTATTACTCACTTTTAATCAGTATGCTCAATCAGTGAGGGACTATGCTAATACCTATTATGATAGCAGAGCATTCAATTCCATCTTATAATTATAGTAATTTTGCTTTATATATTTAAAAGTTATATTATTATGTGCATACAATATCAAATTACTATATCTACTACAGTGATTAATTTATTATTATGTAATGTCCTTAATATCTAATAATAGTTTTTACAATAAGTAAATTTTGTCTAATGTTAATAGAGCTTCTCCATTTTTTTTGTAAGTGCTTGATTTATTTTTATCGATCCTTTGACTCTCAATTATTCCACATCCTTAAAGTTTTAGTTGTGTCAAGATTTCCTTTTTTAGCTGAAATGTTTATTTCATTTACATTACTTTTCATTACTGATATACTTGGATTAAATTGCATCAAATTACTATGTATTTCTTATTTGCCTTGTTTTTGTGCTTCTTTTTGCCCTACCCCACCTTTTTTGGTCTCTTTCAGACTGATTCACATTTTTTTTTCTTAATCTAGTTTTCCTTTACTTTTTAGAAATCGCAAAGTCTATCTTTTAGTCCTTAGTTATTTGAAAGGCTTATTTATCTATACAATAGTCCCCTCTTATTTACAGGGATACATTCTAAGACAGCAGTGAATGCCTAAAACTGCAGATAATACCACACTCTATATACACGGTTTTTTCCTATAAATATATATCTATGATAAAGTTTAATTTTTAAATTAGGCACAGTAAGAGGTTAATAAAAATAACTGATAATAAAATAAAAAAATTATAACAATATACTTTTTACAATTTCACAGATACAAACGTTCTTACTGTAGGTCCTAGCACCTTAGTATAGGACTTCTTTTCTTTCCTTAAGTTGATAACTTTTACTTTTCATTCAAAGAAAGCACTTTATGGCTTCTCTTTGGCATACCCAAATTTCCAGCATCGCTATTCTTGCACTTTGGGGCCACTATGAAGTAAAACAAGGATTCCTTGAACACAGGTACAGTGATGCTAGAACAGTCAATCTGACAACCAAGACTGCTACTAAGTGACTGACAGGCGGGTAGCATAGACAGCATGGATATGCTGGAAAAAGGAATGATTCACGTCCTGAGCTGGATGGAGCAAAACAGTGCAAAATTTCATCATGCTATTCACAGTGGTGTGCAATTTAACACTGAAGAATTGTTTATTTCTGGGATTTTTCCCTTTAATATTTTAGGACAATGGTTAACAGTGGCTAACTGAAACCATGAAAAGTGAAATCACAGAAAAGGGAGACTAGTGGACCTGTATTAGGGTTCTCCAAAGAAACAATAATATGTGTAGCTATATGTAAATCCATATCTATATATATTTATTTATACATCTGTATCTTTTATATGTATGTATGTATATATAGAAAGGTAGATAGTTATATAGATATAGTAAGGAATTAAGTCACATGGTTATGGAGGCTAAGTCCCCAAATCTGCAGTAGGCAAGCTGGAGACCCAGGAGGTCAATAGTACAGTTTTGGTCTGAGTTCAAAGGCTTGAGAACCAGAACTGTTTTTTTGTTTTGTTTTTTTGAGACGGAGTCTGGCTCTGTCACCCAGACTGGAGTGCAGTGGCGCGACCTCGGCTCACTGCAAGCTCCGCCTCCAGGCTTCACGCCATTCTCCTGCCTCAGCCTCCCTAGTAGCTGGGACTACAGGCGCCCACCACCACGCCCGGCTAATTTTTTGTATTTTTAGTAGAGACGGGGTTTCACCGTGTTAGCCAGGATGGTCTCAATCTCCTGACCTCGTGATCCGCCCGCCTCGGCCTCCCAAAGTGCTGGGATTACAGGCGTGAGCCACCGCGCCCGGCTGAGAACCAGAACTGTTGGTGTAACTTCCAGTCCAACTCCATGTCTAAAGGCAGAAGACCAATGTCCTACCTTAAAGACAATCAGGCAGAGAGAGACAATTTTTCCTTGCTCAGCCTTTAGTTCTATTCAGCATTTCAACAAATTGTATGAGGCCAACCCACACTGGGGAGGGCAATCTACTTTACTCTGTCTTTATCTAATTCAGGTGTTAATATCTTCTGAAATCACCCTTACAGACACACCCAAAAAATGTTTAAACAAATTTCTGGGAACCCAGTGGCTTAATCAAGTTGACACAAAATTAATTTACCTCTACCCAAATGATATAAAGATCTTAGAATACTTTAACTAGGGTTATCCAACTCTAAAAATATATGTAATACCTGTTCAAAATTTATCTGTATCTTTTACTCTAAAAACAGATACTTTATTATTGTTTTAAGTAACTAAAGTTTAAGTTTACTCACACGTTTACGAATAGTAGTATTCATTCCTTCTTAATTCATCTGGGATCATCTTTCTTTTGCCTGTGGCCCCCTTTTTGAATTTATGTTAGTGAATTCTCTTGTTGGTCAACTCTTTTGTTTTATGTTTTGTACTTTTCTTACACAGTTATTTGCAAAAGCCATTTTTTCTGGGTATGTAGTTGGAGCTGGCCAGTTTTATTTTTACTTTATGTAGTTTTGTTTCTTCCCCCAGCACAATAAGATAATTCAGCCATCAATCTAATTGCAATTTTGTTATAAGTAATCTTTAACTTATCTTTGGCTTTCTTTAAAGTCTTATCATTAGGAGTAGTATTTTAAGATCTCCTCAGTTTGCTTGATGATTACTCCCTATGTGTGGATTTGTTTCATGTATCTTCCTTGGGTTTTATTTGAATTTCTGAATATATGGGTTTGTGTATTTCCAATTTCTGAGCCATTACAAACATAACTTCTTTAGATGTTGCCTCTTCCCTTCTTACAGCTTCTTTTTGGAATTCTGGTTATATTAATGTTAGATTGATCTCATTCTATTGTCCACAGCTCTTAGACCCTTTCAATTCATCGTTCTCCTTCTATTACTCTCTCTCCCTCTCTCTCTCTTTGCTACAGTTCAGATAATTTTTACACTATCTGTTCTTTATTGGATATAATCTGTCCCTTGAGTTATTTACATAATTGTATATTTTTTATAAAGAACTACTTTTTGCTTTTTCATGTTTATACCCTGTTTCTCTTTACAGATGATAAATTCCGAGGGCATAGTGTTTCCTGCACAACCCAGTGTCACATTTTAGATGGGAAACTTTTCTTGCTGACTTTTTTCTTCAAGGTTCAATTTTTTTCTCATTCATCTTTCTCACAGTGAAACGCTTTGGGTCACAGGTTTATATTTATACCCTGTATATAAACACCAAAAAGCCAAAAAAAAAGGTTATTTATAAAAGAAAAAAATGCAAATTTTTAAACTCTGTTATTTTTTAAAACATATATAATTGTTTTATATTTTATATCTGATAATTATAGTTTTTGCAGGTAACTTTCTATTATCTGTTTTTGTTGCTGTTTCTCATTCATAGTACCCTGTTCATGTGTGTGTATTATTTTATAATGGATTATTGACATATTTTTCTTGGAATATAATTTTGTGAAATATCTGTCACCTGGATTGAAATTGAGCTCACCAATATTGTTTTCAAAATACTATTTCCTTGGGGATACTACTGTCAAAGTGCATTTTAAAAGGAATTATTTACAGAAGAATTTTCAGACTGTAAATCATAAATTCAGAAAACAAACCTGCATAAGTGCCAGTTTCAGATTACAAATTCCAGCTGGGTGCAGTGGCTCAGGCCTGTAATCCTAGCATTTTGGGAGGCTGAGGCATTAAGATTGTTTGAAGCCAGGAGTTGAGACCAGCCTGGGCAACATAGAGAAACCCTGTCTCTCCAAAAAAAAAAAACAATTTTAAAGATTATGAATTCTGAAGGCACAGCATTTCCCCCACAACCCAGTGTCAAGCTTTAGACAGGCAACTTTTCTTGTTGACTTTTTCTTCAAGGTTTATTTTTTTTCTCATTCACCCTTCTCACAGTGAAACACTTTGGGTCACAGGTTTATTTTATAGTCATTCTATTAGACTCATTTTCTCAGGTGGTCCCTAGGCTTTATATCTCATTCTCTGTTCTCTGAGCAACCACCAAAGTGAAAGCACAAGTTCTCCAGGGTTTCACACAAGCCTTCAAGACAAAAATCTCACTTTGGTACTTATTTATCATTCAGGATTCCTACATTCACTTTCAATTTTTGCTTCGTAGATTCTTTTCCTTTGTGTCAGTTCACAGTTGTATTAAAAGTCAATTTTATATTCATTGTGCAAAAGTTTAGCTGTTTAAATGTCGGTGTGAGCATTACTCAACAAGATCCGGTAAGAAAAACTGAAACTGCATCAGTTATTTTAATGGAAAAAATTTAATATAAGAATTGGTTACATAGACTGGAGTACAGAGAAGGAAAATAGAAACACTGAGGTAACCTGGAGATGATAACCGCCTAAAAGAGAGTCCATGTCTGTGACTGGGGAACAGAGAAGATGGTGGCATTGTTAGACTTAGAAATTTAAAGGAGTGGCCCTTCCGACGTGAGACTTATGTCTCCGAGGAAGAAAGGGTATTCCGCTAAATCTGTATCCTAAGAAGCTCTAAAGATGGACCGTACGGTTTCAGAATCCCTAAAATGACCACTAAGGAGAAGGTGCTGTGAGGAGAGGGAACTGCATAGCTGCTTCTGGTTCATTAAATGCCCACAGGAAGCTCTTTGCAGAGCTGGAAACCAGATTTTTGAGAAGAGACTGTCAGCCAGCTAGTGCTATTATAATATTTTCAAAGATGGATAATAAGCTGGGTCTGGAAATGTGGGGGAAAAATTGCTGGAATCCAGAACAAACTCATTGCCAGTATAAAGAACACTGGCTGCGTCAGGATAACAGGAATAGGAAGCAAAATAGAACAAGCAAAAAAAGCATCCCTTCTTCCGTGTCCATGTTTCCAACCACTGCTTAGCACCCACTACTGAAAACACCTAACAAGAGTCATTTAGGTCTGCAAAGTATGTTTGTAGAATACTAGTCCTAACACTACTATCAATTTGAAGCTGGAAAATAATAACCTAATAACCAGCACAAAAACCTTTTATATTACTACAAATGACATTTGTTGATTGAATTTCCATGGTCATTATTCTCAAAGGATGTGGTCAAATAGGCTGATTAAATGAATTTAATAGGAAAACAACAAAGTTAAAAATAAATCTACATCAGTAAAATAATTTGGCTAAATAAACATATAATTTATATAATTCCTAAAAATTGTATCTTGTAGTTCTTTAGGCCACTGTTCTTCACTACTACAATATGCTTCGCTGTCATCATCAGCCAGCAGAGAAATATAGCCAGAAATGGAGGGTCCTGTTTTCAGCTGCTAAGAGTCAGAAGCAAACAAGTGTACTTGGCTCCCCTAGGGCTGTGGACAATGGGAAGTAACCTGCCTTCACAGATAAAAGATTGTAGAATGCCACTCTATGAAGTCTCGGTGGCATCATCAGCTGCTATTAGCTTGGCTAATGTGTCTCGTTTATTATTCAGGAACACACACTTTCCTAGGGAATTTGAACAATGTCTAACACATTTACCTTTCTTCTATTCTTGGCAAATATGTGTACTCTTCCACAAAAGAAATTCATTTTTTATCACATCAAATATTCCTTTGTTGAATAATGAGCCCTCATTAATTATATAGAAAAACAAAATAATATTTTTGTATGGTTTGGAACTACATTTTTAACTGTGATCAAAGTTGATGTATTAGTGCTTCTCCAAGATGGTGTATTGACAACACCATTTCTTCTGGTTTTCAGTAACCTCAAAGTCAAATATTTTCTGGAGTAAACAAAACTTTCATATTTATAAGAATGCATTTCCTTCAGGATAGAAACTGTGTTCTGTGTCATTCGGTGTGTTGCTTAGCACTTGGACACTCTGAGTCCAGGTGTAGTTTTATGTATCCACCAGGAATAGTCAGAAAGATTTATGAACAAATTGAAATTTATGGAAACCGATATATGCCTTAAATGCTTAGCAATTAAAAGATATTTGTGGAATTGTAGATAGATAGATAGATAGATATAGATATACAGTACCAATGACTTCAAATGTGTATGTATTTAAAACAAAAGATTATTTTATGTTGTAAATGATTTAGTACCAGTATAAAATTTTGTAATTTTCTTTATTTTAAGCTTAATGCAATATATAAACTGTTATTATAAATGTAAAATCAGTTGGTTCATATGTACTCACAACGGAATCTATTTTAAACAGCTTTTACCAACCATCATGTGACATTAGATATACATTTATTTAGAGCAAAACCAATTCAGCTTTATACATAATTAGACCTTCAGAAATTGTCTTACTACTGTATAAGCCTTTTCTGTATCAAGCAATGTATTAAGAAATAAGTAGTTACCTTTAAAATGTTAGGGTGAAATTTTAAAGCTCTCAGGATGTCTATACACCAAGCCTCACAAAGGAAGAATTATTGAAACCATGGTGTTGCGCGTGCACTATCACTACATAAAAGGATGATCACATTCGACTATAATATGATTATTTAAGACTACCTCAATAAATGTCAATATTTTTGGAAATTTATTTTCATTTTCAACATATTGAAATTAAAGATAAAAAATGCACTTTTTTATGTTTGTTTGCTTTTAAAGATATTATTTTAGGCAATTCTACAGTTCTTGTTATGATTTTAACCAATAAGTTTTCAAGATCATTTTAGGCCAATATTTAATACAATGAAAGCATTGTGTTTTATATCATTTATATTCTATTCCTTTGGGCTATGAGTTGATCTAGGCCACATCAGATAATAACTGGAGAATCACTTTTAAATGTTTTAACTTAGATCTTATTATTTATTGGTAAGCCTGCAACAAATAGCTTTGCAACCAATTTTATAACTACTTTTGCCAATCTTCACAAGTTAAAATCCATTTTTAAGGCTAAGAATAAGAATTTATGGTTAGTATCAATTTTTCTTTCAACTACTAGAAACATCAAATATAATAAGACAATGCAATTTTTTATAATATTACTTCATTTGCCTGAAAACATTTCTTCATGGAGCTTACTCTAAGAATAATTTCTATGTAAGTGGCTTTAAATCCCTGGGAACAAGGTATCATCTGTGATTTCTTTTTTTCTCCCTTTTTTCCCCCCTTTTTTGTCTTTTCTTCTCTTCCCGTTTTTTCTTTCCTTCTTTCTTTTTTTCTGAGTTTTATTTTTCTACCTCGATGGACTTTCCATTTTATTTCTTTAAATAATTGTTTAGAAACCGGTAGATTAGTTCAAAATAGAGAGTATGATACTGATCATTCATCGCTTGGTACCAATGACATCATCATTTTTGTCTTTGTTAAAAAAAAAAAAAAAAAAAAAGGAAGTCTTTCATTCTAGACTATGAGAGACTTGGAATGTGACTCCCTATCCAAAAATGCTAAGTGCCTTTTTATACTTCACGGTGGTGGTGTGTAATGATCTGGTATGCGATCTTTAGTTAGCTTCATCAAGGGGTCATAACAAAAGTAGACTATAACTCTCCTCCTGGGCAGTAGGAAACATTTTTTCACTTGCTCTCTCCACTCCCCTATTGTTCAGCTAATACAGGGGCTATGCTTGTAAGTGGGTGTAAGTAAAAACCGAAGTGATTTTCTCTAGATTTCCTGGGCCACTTTCCTAGGGCAGAAGTCAGTAACCCCTGTAGGTTTGTGCTTCAGGCACGCAAACTTTCCAAGAGAATGTCAACGCTGTCTAATACACTCACTTCCCCTCTATTTCTGGCAAATTTGTACACCCTAACACAAAAGAACTTTACTTGTTCTTTGTATCAAATATTTTGTTTGTTAAATAACAATTCTCTGTTTATTATACAGATAAGGAAGAAAAAAAGATGGCAATCTCAAGAATTCTGGTTCATGCACTCATGTGTTATTGCACTTAAACTTTGCAGCCATCTTGAATAAAATCATTTCCAAATCTACGGCCATAATTAAAATGTGCCATGTGTGCATAATTTTTACATTTTAAAATTTGCATGGTTCTGGTGGCAGCCAATATTTTTTAGGGTTATTTGCTTTTCTAGTGGAAGAAACCATTTTGACTGTGTGACCATATAATGCATTCTTTTTATTATAACTTACAATTCTCCATTTTTACATTGTTCATGTGAAATTGATTTTAAACACACACACATACACAGAGATATACACACACATGTTTATGTGTGTTGCAGTGTTCTTCTTCACTATTTGCCCATATGGTGACACTTTATAGAGATAAGAAAAACTGCACATTTCAGTGTCAAGACATATGCCTTTTTAAGATGCTTAATAGATTCTAACTGCCCAATAACACTGAAATAACTGTGTTCATAACATATTTTTCCTCTTGGATTGCCAGCACAAAGGAACACCCCTCATAAACTAGTATAGAAGTTATTGCTATTCTGTGTTAGAATGTACTGTATATGGGCATACCACCTTTTGTGAATATATTCTGAATGCTTAGTTAAAAAATAATTATTAGCCTGTTCACAAAAGGAAGGAGATTTATATACATATATAATCAGAAATTATACTTTCGAGAGTATGTTGTAAGGTATATCCAGACATAAGGTGGTAGGAGCTTGTCTAACACATGAAAAAGAGGAATCCTCGTTCAGAACTCTTTTTAGAGCATTCATAGGGCACTCTTCCTTAAAATCCCACACCCCCATAATTGTAGACTCAAAATGGTAACAATCCTGGAAGGGCTCTGTGTATGAACGTTGTCAGAGATTTTTAAAAACTTTTATCTTTATCCTCAGACTAGGGAAATCAGAAAACAAAATGTACAGTCTATTGCCAGTCAATATCTGTTTATATAGTTACATATTTTATACTTTGTGTTCCCTGAAGTATGTACAGGACTTTTCCATCTTTTCTTTTCTAGCTTGGCCTTGGCATATTCAAGTACCATTTGTTGAATGCATGACTGAATGTATGTCTTATAATCAGAGTTTGTTTAATCCCCAGAGAATTAAAATAGGTAAGTACTATAAACATATTTATCTACACACATATTACATTAAGAAAGCCATAATTCTTTTTAGAAGCAATGTTTATGTATCAAAAATAATCTTATTCCTTCCTGTTTTCACATCAGAAAGCAAAGAGCTTCCATCGGTCTAAAGTGGAGGAATGTTTCTCTGCAGGCCGTGAGCCGACGGTTACAGGCAGGTCTGTTTTGAAGCCTCCCTGAGTCCTGCCTTCCCTCTTCTCCAGAGATTCTCAGCTCTGACAAGTGACCTCTTTACCTTGTATTGGACATATTGATCCAGAAACTACTCACAAAACTTGCCCTGATTTTCTGCTTTCCAAACTACACAGGGCGCCAGAGTTGACCTCCAGTCTTTCCAGTGTGGTAGAGTGCTACCCTCCCCTCTGGCATGTGATGGATAGGCTCCGACCCCATGATATTTGATGTTTAGAATCAAATTTTCTCACTATGCACAACATTAAACTAACAATAGTTTTCTGTCTTAAAGAGCCAAATCCCTGTTATAGAAATAAACAGAGTTCCTCATAATTGTGAATTGTTAAAGAACAAAACAACTGGGTAAACTTCAGTAAATGCAAAAGGGAAGTAATTCTGTAGCAGCAAAACAATAATAGAGTTTACAATGGGGAAAGAGAGAGTGTCTTATTCAGAAGGAATTTTGTGGAGCTGGAGTATTAAATTAAGCATCTGAAGTTTTATTTGCAAACTTTTAAAAAACAAGCATAGGTTTTTGAATAAACATTGAATATTCCTCATTAAACTAACAAAATCAGAATTTAACATTTGCTACATATGAAAGTTATATAATACAAAGCATACACCCAAATGTAGGACTTATTTCTTCTTCAAAAGAGTATCCACTTGCTGCAGGAAGTTACCAAAAATAGGGCTAGTTCCCGAAGGCATTCTTTCTACATTTGTTGAGAAAATAAAGGGATCTAAGCTTCCTGACCAAAGAGTCCAATAAAGTGTAGCTGATCCCAGCACAGGCTCTAAGTCGCAAACATTTACAAGCATTGGTTGGTTCCCCACAAAATTTCCATATGCCCTTATTTACGCCTCTCTCAAGGCATAATTTTGACTCACAGTTAAATAATCTGTCACAGAAAGACTGTAAACTTTTTGAAAAGTTCTGGTTATTATAATATTTCTGCATTTATATTCCATCACATCAGTATTAAAGGCTTTCAGTTACAGTGCTGCTGGGGATAAAAAGCTAAAATGCCTTTGCTCACAGGTGCATTAAATCCTATTAAAGAATCTTCCTTATACCACATACCTCATTACTGCATACAAAGGGCTGGATTATAAAATGAAGGTGAAGTGTACAAAGTATGATTTGCTATTACTTGGTGTGCATATGCTGAAGTCATTAGGTTTTACACTGTCCTCAAATGATAGCAGGTTTCATATTCCTATTGAGTAGCTTCAGTGGAGACTGCTTCTGGGTCAAGTAGACTGACATGGGGTTATGTCTCTCAATACGAGGATGAGAAAACTTCTTTAAGTAGATTTACACAAGGACGAGTGTTCTTTCCTCCACAACTTTATTATTCAGTGGAAGCATCAGGTCAGAGAACAGACCATCATGGGAGAATCAAATAAAACTAAACTGAAAAGAAAAAAAAAGGTATAAGGCTAAATTAGGTGATTTAAACATTTTCCTTAAAGCTTATACAAAATCCTCTGGCTATAAAATCCTGCATAATACTTTCCTGGATTTATATGTTGCAGACATATAAATATTAACTACTTCAGAGCTGGGGTGGTGAAGCTCTTTAGGAAAGGACAAGCTTTGTCTGGGGGAGAATATTTCCTCACATTCAGGTAGCTTGATTCCATTTCAATTTCCCTACAGGAGCCATTTAAACCACTCTCAAAAGGCAAGTGTCAGTAAAGCAGTACATTCTGAAGGTGCATTAATGAAAGTTTCCCCTCTCCTTGGAGAGCACGAATCTTTAGTTGTCTAAATAATTTGATAGCATAAGGGCAGGCAGTTAAAAAGTGGAGATAAAGCCAATTAATTGGCTTGTAACTCACCACAGATACTATTTTTTAAAAAGCCAGATATCCTTCTATACTATCCATTATTCAAGCAGCCTCTTCTGCTCTTGGGTGTCAGATGGGGAACTGATGAGTGTGTTCTGGTGAAGACAGTAAGCGGATGTTAACTTCCCACTGAGAGAATTTCTCCAGGTCGAATAGAAAACGTTCTACTAATCATCTACCCCATGAAAATGCCAGCTGCGGCCCGTGGTAGGATTATCATTCTCATAGACCTCTTACCGAGCTTTTAGCTAAATGAAAAATCTGCCATAGCCTAGGGAGAAGGCATCGAGCAGATAAGAAAGAACAGTGTTTACTAAGAAGCTGTGCTGGTGCAAATAGAACAGGTTTTTCTGTGATGTAAAAATCATAAGGAAACCATTAGGTTAAAAAAAAAAAAGATCAATGTATTTACACGTTTCATTTGCAGCAGTTTTATAGGCTCATTAATTTAACATTTCTCTCTACCTTCTGTCCTGAGGGTGTCTTGTGATTTGTTATTCCATTGCTTTATTTCTGTTGCAACACTTGGTTACATACTGTAAATTGCCATATTGCAGAATAACCCAAAGTTTTAAATATTATTATCTTTTTTTTTCTAGAAAGAGGGGACAGACGGGTTGGAAGAGTAGTTTTACTTATTTTAGACACAAAGATGTTTTTTTAAATAAAACAGAACATAAACCTATGGACAACTGATTTGGAGAGACCGCATGTTATTACTACTAGAGGAACAATAACAACAAAAGGACAGACAGAAGGACGAGGTGTCCACTGTTACTATATTCTGAGTACTTCACACCAATATCTAAAAGTACCCAATGGGTATGCTTATCTCCACCATTTTCTTATCAAGACAACATTATCAGAATACTGCTCTGCTCTCTATATAAATGTTCTATGTTTCAAATTTGGTAAATAAAACTATTATTTCAATAACAGTGAATCTGGAAATATAGCCAACCATATTCTGAAATATGCATAATTTTATATAATATTTTGCACATTTCAGCAATCAGAATGAAACAGAACTACCCATCTTATTTGGTCTAATATTTTAAGTAATCTTTGTTAGTTTATAACCATACAATTTAAACAGAAAGATTAAAAATATCTTTCTAATAATAGGAACACAACAATATTTGTGGTAGTTTTAAGAATGTAATCATTTCAAATTGTTTACAGTTGAAGGAAGTAAAGAAGTGTGCCACTTTGATTTATAAAGCATACTAGAATTTATTATCATGTTAAATACTTGCTGTAGTATTATTGTTATTGCTTCTATAAAAGTTTATGAGAATGAGGACAACATTGTCATTGTATATAATTATTACTTAAAATTTAGGACAAAATTTCATCAATATAAATTTACAATAAATTTGTTTTAGATTATGGGATAAATAAAATATTAATGATATTATTCTACCAGAGCATTTATTGTAGAGTTGCAATTCTAGGAGAAATTTTACTAAGTATGAAAATTTTTTTGTGAATCAATTTTAAACTCTCACGTAATTTTTAGGAATTTCAATATCATGTGAGAAAGTATCCCATGGAAAACAGGAGATGAAAGTTTTGGTGACAACAAAATTTTAGTGACAACTAAGTGTCAGGGTTGAGTTGTCATTTACTGTACTGTTATTTTATTTATTTAATACATATATATTGAACACTGTTCTAGGAACCTGGGACAGGGAAATGAATGAGACGGATACAGCTTCTGACCTCTAAAAGCATCCTTTAATGGGGAAGTAAGTCAATAAACCAATATTTACATAGTTAATGTAATTTACTATTTAATTGTAATTAATGATCCAAAGCAACAGGGTGCTATAAAAGTAGTTAAAAGGAACATGTGCCTCATCTTAAAAAGGCTTCCATTTGTGTGTGCATGTGTCTGTGTGTGTATGAAGAAAATTTTATTTAAGAATATAGGTTCTTCTTACAAGTCCTCTGGCTTAAGAGAAAGTTGGATATTTTAAACTCCAGTTCAGTGATTGAAAGCTTTAAATCAAGCAACATACCGTCATGTATATGAGATGAAGAGTGAGTAGAGGACTTAGAGGGTGAAATGTAAAATTTAGACTATCTGAAATTTACTATTCAAAATAGTCACTACTAGAAACCTACTTATATAAGTGCATTACTTAAATAGGATTCATGAGCTAAGTGAACTTTCAGCTACCTCCTGTAAGAGGTAGGACTTAGTTTATTCTTTAATGATACTTGAATTTCTCCTGTTCATGTAATACAATCATTCACAGAAAATGAGAGCAGTGAAAACTGCCATGACATTTTATACTGAGCATTATGATTGCAGGAATTCTGTTTACTGATAGCTGTGTGGAAAATAGAACCCATCTAATAGTAAGGCCAAAGAGATATTTTAAATTCTTGATTAAATTAAACCTCCTAGTTGAGATTTTTGGCACTGCAGGTACTATGATATTAGATCCAATGATCAGTACTTATAATTTTAGAAAGATTTTTTTGCTCAAGTCTGCTTTCTTATTCTCAGTTAAAAGATTTTATTTAAAAATACAAGTTTAAAACCCTGCTAAGGACGCACATGGTAGGAATGTGAGAGATAGGGTAGGGATGTAGAAGTCTGTGTAAAATATAGACATGTAAAGTATATTAATTCCTTACACTGTGCTAAGCAATCTCCCTATTCCAATTCCATTTTCTTGCCTTGCAATTGAAGAAACTAAAATCCAAGTCTACGTGCCTCGTAAATGGCAGGGTTGGAATTCCAAACCACATACATTTGGTTTCAAAATCTTTTCACATTCAACAACTTTGGGTCTAGTTTATCTGAACAGTTACTGAATATTGTAGTTATGTCCATATGGAATTTAACAACAGAACTTGCCAATTCCAAATTGTTTGTGACTTGTCCCTCCAGACTCTTAAATTTGTTTACTTTTGCCTTAATTTTCAACATCCGCTGTCTCTAGATGGAAAGATATGTTGTAGTCTTTAATTGCTGTCCTTCACAAACATGAGTGGAATAAGAAAATTTAAGTAATTAATTTGAAAAAACATTCCACCCTATAAAGCTCCTTACTTTTCATTGTCTCTTGGCTATCCAAATAGCTTGCTTATCATTTACATTATTTTCTACCAAACAAACAAACAAACAAACAAAAGTATTGAGAGGGAAGAGTTGGTCTCTCTCTTGTAGTAAGTTCAATTCATAAATAACCTGACAATGATTTTGAAGTTGCAGAGTTTTTTATGTCTTCTTAAGACCTCACAGGAAATTCTAATACCCCATTTTGAAAAAGAACCAGTGACCAGGTGTTGAAACTTCAGTGAGTATGTACTAAATCAGTGCACTGTAGGGATGGAAAAAAATGAGATACATTTCCTTATCCATCATAAGCTGACACTCCCATAACAAAAGACTGGTTAAAAAGAGAAAAGGATAACACATATATTTAATCAGTTTTTTGTTTGTTTCTATTTTTTTTTTTTTTTTTTTTTTTTGGAGACAGAGTCTCACTCTGTCACCCAGGCTGGAGTGCAGTGGCACGATCTGGGCTCACTGCAAGCCCAGCCTTCCAGGTTCATGCCATTCTCCTGCCTCAGCCTCCCGAGTAGCTGGGGCTACAGGTGCCCGCCACCACACCCAGATAATTTTTTTATATATATTTTTATTAGAGACAGGGTTTCACCATGTTAGCCAGGATGGTCTCGATCTCCTGACCTCATGATCCTGTGATCTGCCCGCCTCCTGACCTGTGATCCGCCCGCCTCGGCCTCCCAAAGTGCTGAGATTACAGGTGTGAGCCACCGCACCAGGCCTTTAATCAGTTTTACCTGACACGGGAACCTTTAAGAAGACCCAAAGACCCAGGGGAAAGCTGTGTTTTTAAGCTTAGGTTCCATGAACCATAGACATCCATGTAGAAATATGATTGGACAAAAGAGTATGACCTAATGGTAACAAACTGGGAGGGGTGACCCAGCAAGGCCTGCCTGTCCAGCTTCTTGGCCTCTCTGTATAGCATTTCTTCCTCTGGGTATGGGGAAGGACTACCCTGGAATTTGGGTCTTCAAGAGAGAAGGGAGTTAACTTTTCTAGGTTTTATGACTTGCTTTAAGGAAGAGGAATTCTGGTTTCCATGGCTTGCTTCTTGAGAGAAAGAAGGCAGCAGGAGAAGGTCAGAGAACACCTGTTTCTGAGACTTTCCAGTCTCCTTTAGTCAAAGTACTCAGCATGCCAAAGCGCCATCCTCTGGGGTGTCGTTTTCTGAGCCCCTTACTGCTTCTCTATATTTATAATATACTTCATTAAAAATGTTTAAAATGTCACTTATTTTGTTATAAAGAAGAAGAAACCTTAGGGCTATTCTCATCTAAAGTTTGTCCACTGCTCTTTCCCCCATTACTTCCTTTTAAAACCTACGAAACTGAGACACACACAAATTGTTTTTACCACTAAAACTGATGAATTAAGGTGCCTGAAGAGTATTTTGAAGTGCAATAGAAAGGTGCTATGTTCCCAGAAAGAATTCTTATTACCACGCTATTTTAAACATGGATTAAAGGTAATACATACATATATGTGTGTGTGTGTGTATATATGTATATACATATATACACACACACATATATATACATATATATATATACATATATATATGTATATATATATATGTGTATATATATATATATATATTCTTCCATCATTAAGAGTCGTGGCCAACATTCCTGTAGCATAAGACACGTTAACAAGAGAAAAAGCATTACATTTATTTAATCAAAGTTTACATTACATGGGAGACCTTAGAATGAAGACCCAAAGACCCAGGGGAGACTATTTCTATGCTTAGGTTTTACAAAGAATGGATGGTATTGAAATGTGATTAAACAAAACAATATGACCTAATGGAAATAGACTGAGTGTAAAACCCCATCAAGACTTGTTTAGATCCATCTTGGCCTCTCTCTTGTAGCATTTCTTTCTCCAAGGTATCAGGCAGGGCCCCTCTGGAATGAGGGTTTTATGACCTACTATAGGACAAGGGTAAGTCAGATAATTTCTTGATAGTCGTCTCCTATACAGAAAGGTAGAAGAAAGAGCAATATTCTTAAGTTTTATGACTGGCTTTGGGGAAAGTGGTTCTAGTTTCTATGACCCACTTTGGAGAAGAGAAATTCTGGTTTCTATGACTCATTTCAAGGGAGAATGAAGGGCAGAGGAAGAAGCAAAGAAGAAGGTCAGAGAGATCTTAGTTCTGAGGCTGCTTCTGAATTCTTCCAGTGTCCTTTAATTCAAAGTATTCAGCATGCTAAAGTGCTATACTTTCGGGTATTATTTCCTGAGCCGCAACAATGTAGATAGAAAAGATGATAGATAGATAGATAGATAGATAGATAGATAGATAGATAGATAGATAATAGATGATAGATAGATAGATAGATAGATAGATAGATAGATAGATAGATAGATGATAGATAGATAGATAGATATTCTTCCATGTTATTCTAAAATATCTCCATCAGGTGGATTCCAGATTTGACATACTTGGAATTCAGGGACTGTATACTGTATTGCTATACATCAGATGCTTTAATAAATAAATACAGCTAGGAGTGCTGATTTTACTTCCCTTGACAGAAAGAATATAGAAAAAGATCTCTGCAGCTTGCTTCACTAAGAATATTCTTTCATTTTCATTCATCTTCCTGCATCACATAAAATATTTGGTATAGGATGACTAGGATATCTGGCCACCTAGGGAGTACTGCAGAGTTTAGGTATAAAAAATAAATAAACATTCCAGAGTTTATCTTGGCTGCATCTTTTTCTTTTCTTTTTTAACCATGTTTCAAGTCAAATTTTGTCTTGATAAAGATTCCACTAGAGAGACAGTATGTTTGGTAGAAAAAAATTGTTTCAAAAAAGACTAATTTTAAATAACATACACTATATATATTTTAAATTATATAAATAATAGCCTATATAATGTGGCAATAGGTTTTCAGAGTTTTCTTTTTGGAAAGGAGAAAAAAATGTTTGAAACAAGTTGTCAGTGAAATAATACATCAAGATTCAACATTTGGGATCTTTATTTATGTTTCCACTTCCCGTGGCAATGTGGCTTTAATGACAATTTCACTGACAACATAGTTTTGTTTTAAAATTAAATTAGTTTGAATAGCTCCCTAGAGTTCTATTAGTCTGTAGCATTAACATTTCAAATAATAAAGCCTACATAAGTAGAAGAGAAATCATCCAAACACTGAGATTTTAATAATTCAGTATTTCATTGTGAGAGAAAAAAACTTAGATACCAAAATTACCAAACTTCTATTATTTAAGGCAGCTAGTTGATTGTGACCAAAAGTTAGAATTTTCATATACGACTGAAAGCTGCAGAGAAAGTTAGAGTGTGACAGCCACTTCACTGTGGACGCATCAATGTAATTTCTGAGCTAGAATTATAAAACTACAAGCTATGGTTAAAGAAACAGTGATGTTTGTAACAACTAACATCTAAATTGTGATTTTCCTTTATTAATTTAATTGATTGTTTATTTCTGGTGCAATGCAAGAGTTCCTGAAATCTTTCAGACCCCTGTGGTTTAATATAAGTCTCAAAATAATAAAAGCATCTTGTTGAAGATTAGAAAGCAAATGAGACACTTCAAGACTCAAGATAATTTAAGATGTGCAAATTTTAAAGCGACTTAAACACAATTACCCTCTGCTTACTCTAAAAAAATTACCTCTTTAATTTTTTTTACTTTATGATAATTGATTTTATAGCTAATTTGTAAATAATCTTTGCCTTGAAAAAGTTGGCCAGCAAAAAGGCCTGAGACCTAACAGAATTTTTAAATATCATGCCACATTTTTCAGTTATGTTCAACACACCAAGTGATACATTGCACCAAATGTTATTGACAAGATGTAATTAGTAGAAAGTTATCAAGTTAGATATCACTGCACCTTTTTCCATTCCAAAATTGTGTGTTACTCTTAACATTTATAAAGTCTAGGCTTTCAAGTTAATGACTGCAGGTGGCATGATTGTTCCAAAGGTATTATAAGAAACAGCCTCATTTGAATTCCTGAAACATCAGATATCTTACGCAAACAACAAAAAGATCATCACCTGTTTCATTTTCATTTGGCTTGTATTCCTTGAAATGCATGGGAAAAGATCTTGCTGAGCTGTCCAAATAACCACTCACATCATTGAAAAGATGCCCATGTGCCATTAAAGTGACAGAGAATTTGGAGTCAGAAAGAAATGTCCTGAAACTCCAGTTCTGCCACATCCTTCTGTTTAAATTTTGGCAATGTAAAAAATTTTATATTCTAAAAAACAGTGCTGATAACATGTACCTTTCAGAGTTGTTATAAATATTAGAAAAATTGTTATTTTCAATGCCTGCCAAAAAGTGTAACTGCAGAGGATATTGCATTTTTCAAGAATACCATAAAAATAAAATATTTTGCATGAAAAAATCAGTACTAAATGCTTTTCAAGAATATGACATAGAGATAAAATCCTTTGAATAGGGCAAAATTTTGCAAAGAAAGTGTGAGCTTTATTTATTTATTTACTGTTTTAACTTTTAATTTTGGGGGTACATAGTGTGTGTATATATTTATGGGGTACAGGAGATGCTCTGATGTAGGCATGCAATGTGAAATAATCACATCATGCAAAATGGGTATCCATCCCCTCAATAATTCATCCTTTGTGTTACAAACAATCTACTTACTCTATTTTAGTTATTTTAAAATGTATAATTAAGTTATTATTGACTATACTCACCCCACTGTACCATCAAATATTAGGTCATATTTACTCTTTTCAACATTATTTTGTACTCATTAATCATTCCCACCTCTCCCCCAAGCTTCTCACTACCCTTCTTAGTCTCTGGTAACCATCCTTCTACTCTCTATGTCCGTGAGTTCAATTGTTTTGATTTTTAGATCTCACAGATAAGTGAGAATATGCGATGTTTGTCTTTCTGTGCTTGGCTTGTTTCACTAAACATGATGATCTCCAGTTCCAGCCATGTTGCTGCAGATGACAGGATCTCATTCTTTTTTTATGACTGAATAGTACTCTATTATGTATAAGTACCACATTTTTTTATCCATTCATTTGTTGGTGGACACTTAGGTTTCTTCCAAATCTTGACTATTGTGAACAGTACTGCAACAAACAGGAAGTACTGATATCTCTTTGATATACTAATTTCTTTCCTATGGGGTATATATCCAGCAGTGAGATTGCTGGATAATATGGCAGCTCTATGTTTAGTTTTCTGTTATCCATAATGGTTGTACTAATTTACATTCCCACTAACAGCGTACGAAAGTTCCTTTTTCTTCACATCCTCACCAGAACTTGTTATTGCCTGTCTTTTGGATCTAAGCCATTTTAATTGGGGTGAGATTCTATCTCATTGTAGTTTTGATTTGCATTTCTCTGCTGATCAGTGATGTTGAGCACCTCATTTCTCTGCTGATCAGTGATGTTGAGCACCTTTCATATACCTGTTTACCATATGTGTGTCTGCTTTTCAGAAATATCTATTCAAAATCTTTTGCCCATTGTTTAATCAGATTATTAGATGTTTTTCCTATTGAGTTGTTTGGGCTCCTTGAATATTCTGGTTATTAATCCCTTGTCAGATGGGTAGTTTGCAGATATTTTCTCCCATTCTGTGGGTTGTCTGTTCAGTTTGTTGATTGTTTCCTTTGCTGTGCAAAAGCTTTTTAACTTGATGTGCTCGCATTTGTCCATTTTTGCTTTGGTTGCCTGTGCTTGTGGGGTACTACTCAAGAAACTTTTGCCTAGACCAACGTCATGGAGATTTTTCCCAATGTTGAAAGTATGAGTTTTAGAGAACAAACTTTGGATTAAAAGCATTGTATAAAATACACACACACAAACACACACATACACACATGTACTATATACATATATAAAGTATATATACATTTATATTATATATACTTTATATATACATTTAAATTTGAATATATTTAACATATTTATAGTTTTAAAACTATGAAAAACAATATTATCTGTGGCCATGTATAAGTGGTGGTGTTCAGGCCACATCACTCCAAAATATGACTGTAGGAGACCAGAACATGCCACTTCAAAATATTCTAGCTAGCTATTGTGAGCAATTACAGACACAGGAGTAGCTTGGAAAAGCCGCCCTGTTATGAAAGAAATTTATATCTAGAAGAAAAATTTGTGTTAGTATAGTTATTAGTACCAGAAAGAAAGTTGTTCTGAAACAACATTTATCACCTGAGAGAATTTTATCGACATGAAAAGACAGCCTTAATTCACCATACATTTCCTTTACTCACCCTTGCATAATTTAATCACCACTGCCAGAAGTCCAACCCCTATGCTTATATAATGCTCAGGACATTATATAAGCATCAATCATCTGGCCCATATTTGACTCTCATGTTTTTCATGGGACTCCTGTGTGCACAGGTGATTAAAATGTTTCTTTTTGAGAATCTGTCTTACGTCAATATAATTTGTAGCCTAGCCAAAGAAACTCTAAGGGTAGAAGGAAGCTATTCTTTCCTCATCTACATAATCTTTATTAAATTTTATTATCTATACCATCAATTTAATTAATTAGAAAAAAATGTGTTGTGTTGCTTAGCCTTTAGCATTATTTCAATTTTCCATTATATCAAATTGTATTTTTTATTTTGATGCACATTTTAAAATTCAGTTTGGTGATATATTATATTTTATATTTTTTTGAGACAAGGTCTTGCTCTGTTGTCCAGACTGAAGTGCACTGGTGTGATCATGGCTCACTGCAACCTTGACCTCCCTGGCTTAATTGATCCCCTCACCTCCATCTCCTAAGTAGTGTAGCTGGGAATATAGGCGCATGCCACCACACCTGGTTATGCTTTTTTTTAAATAATTTTCTGTAGAGATGGGGTCTCACTATATTGTCCAGGCTGGTGTCAAACTCCTAGCCTCAAGTGATCCTCCTATCTTGGCCTTCCAAGATTACGGCATGAACCACTACACTTGGCTTTGTTTTAATTTTAATGGAAGTAATTATTCATATTTATATTCTTTGTTTTTATTTTTTTTCAATTGATGAACAAAGGAAAGATCAACATTTTTGATGCATTTAATCATCTTGATCAAAATCAGTCCTCTGGCCAGGCGCGGTGGCCCACACCCATAATCCTAGCACTTTGGGAGGCCAAGGAGGGTAGATCTCCTGAGGTCAGGAGTTTGAGACCAACCTGGCCAAAATGGTGAAACCCTGCCTCTACTAAAAATACAAAAATTAGCCAGGCGTGGTAGCAGGTGCCTATAGTCCCAGCTACTGGAGGCTGAGGTAGGAGAAGTGCTTGAACCCGGGAAGTAGAGGTTGCAGTGAGCTGCCATGATTGTGCCACTGCACTCCAGCCTGGGTGACATAAGTGAGATTCCCTCTAAAAAAAAAAAAAAGGAAAAAAAACAGTCCTCCATTTTCTTGGAAGAACACGTAGCTCTGTTTTTAAAGAACATAAAACCCTGGATCTCAATTGAGTTTTAATTAAAATAAGATATTTTATTTAAAGATACCTGATGTGCATGCATCCAGAAAAGAAAATATAGTGGATGTTATGATAAATACAACTATAGATTAGTGATAATAGCTTTATAGGTTGAAATGGAATAGTCTGATGAAAACAAAGATGTATGGCAACAATTTCACTTTGTAACAGCAATGTTTTAGTTCTACTGTTAATAAGAATGTCTTACTTCAGGGTAGCATAAAATAAGGAAACATAAAATAAAATAAAAACCAAATAATTCATATTAAATTTTGTAAAAGATAAAACAAATTTTAGTGAAGATCTTCACTGTGTGAAAAGAAGCTTATAGGGATGAAATTGAGAAAGTGGCCTTATTTCTAAAAAAACTTGAAGTAAGTAGGATTTTCTTGGTAATGGAAGTGGAGCAATCACGCAATAACTCATAAAATAAGTGAAACTTTTTAAAAATCTTTTGCATTGAGGTGAGTACATCATTCTCCACCACAGTTTGCCTCAAGGCATTTTTCAATTCCAAGGTGGCCCAGGAAATACGGCATAAGCAGCACACAAAATATCAGAGTTCCTAAGGAATTCGCAAATCTAGGGGGAAAGAATCCACAAAAATAGTCAAAATTTGAGGATTCTAGATCCAAAGGAAAACAAAATAGTGAGTTTGACATTCTGTACTATTTTTATCCTCAAAGAATTAGCAATTTGTAAGCTGTATGAGGTGAGTCTAAAATCCAGGCAGGAATGGACACCTAAAAGGTACAAAGTTAAATAGAGCTTTTGAGAGTCTCATAATACAGGTGAATACTATGGAGTTTGGGGACTGGGCTACCAAAGAGAAAGGGCTCAGGTAGACACACAGATTCTCAACTGCGACCCCAGAAAGGGGTCACTTGAAATATCTTAGTCCTGGGTAGATAAAGGTGATCTGCCCCAATTTAAACTGCTTGTCAGAAGTCAATCATCTTTGGAGGAATGTAATATTATCTGGAGTTTCTAATTTTTGTTTTTATAAACAATGTCCATCATTAAGTCAAGCATTAACAAATAACAGCTCCAAATCAACAATGTAAAGGAAAATAAAGAGATAATGTTGCTGATATAGAAATCAAAAGGATGGAAAATATAGCAAACTCTGTGAGAGATACTTAGGACTTCAGGAAATTTCTAATATAAGCATGAACATTTAAGCAATAACTTTGACACGCTGCTGAAGGCAAGAGTATGGACCACTGTGAGAGTAATAAAATCTTGGGATGGCAGTATTGGAAGGGGCTTCCATAATTGTGTGGATCTTACCTCCTGGAGACTCAGCAAGTTCTCACAATAAATAGTCAAGAAAAACACTTTTATTTTTAACAGAGGAAAAAAGTAACCATTTTCCAATATACCCACAGCATTCTCCATAGCAAAGGCCTACTGAACAAGGGAAAAGACTTTATCAAAGACTTATCCAACATGGGAGAAGGGATATTATCTGATTTGAGTTACCTCAAGCCTTTCTTTGTAACCTACGAGGGGACGAAAATTGAGAAACACCTGTGAAGGTAACAGCTCAATGACACAGGCTCACTAAAATTATAGAATTATAGAATACTTCCCTGTCACCTATGCCTTAATACCACATCAACAGTGCTTCAGGATAATAACAGTGGATTGCAGCTAAAAAAGCTACAAGGCACAGATTCCACTTAAGAAGAAGTTTGTAGGGAAGCTCTAAGACAACAAGGGAGACAAAACAAGGACAGTAGAGATATTTGGAAACTCAGACAAGTACAGTACAGCAAACATTAAACACAGCTTGTCTCCTAGCCAGATTAAACCTCACACTAAAACCTATTTACCTCAGTTCCTATTATGTGGTACAACATGCCAGCTTTCAACAAAATTTACAAGACATGTTAAAGGCAAAACAAACAAAGTCTTAAGGGTCAAAGCAAACCTCATAACTATCCTAGATACGACACAGTGTTGGAATTATCAGACAGAAATTTCAAGTATGATTAGTATATTAGTGGCTCTATTAGAAAAAGTAGATAACACACAAGAACACATGGAAAATATAAGCAGAAAGGTGGAAACTCTAAGAAAGAAGCAAAAGAAAATGTTAAAAATCCAAAACACTGTGACCTAAATAAAGAATGCCTTTTATAGGCTTATTAGTAAGCTGGACAAAGCTACGGAAAGAATTAGTGAGCTTCAATATTTCAAAAGAAAATTCCTAGAATGAAATGAGGCAGAAACAAAACAATAAAAAAGAAGTTATTCAAAGACTGTGGAACAATTTCAAAAAGTGTAACACACATACAATTGGAGTAACAGAAGATAATAAAGCAGAATTATTTGAAATAATGATGACCAAGAATATTCCAAAATTAATAACACAGATTAAAACACATATCCAGGGCCAGGCGTGGTGGCTCACGCCTGTAATCCCAGCACTTTGGGAGGCTGAGGTGGGTGGATCACGAGGTCAGGAGATCAAGACCATCTTGGCTAACAAGGTGAAACCCGGTCTCTACTAAAAATACAAAATATTAGCCAGGAGCGGTGGCGGGTGCCTATAGTCCCAGCCACTTGGGAGGCTGAGGCAGGAGAATGGGGTGAACCCGGGAAGTGGAGCTTGCAGTGAGCAGAGATAGTGCCACCGCAGTCAGGCCTGGGTGACAGAGCGAGACTCCATCTCAAAAAAAAAAAAAAAAAAAAAAAAAAACCATATCCAGAAATCTCAGAGAACTCCATTCAGGACAAATACCAAAATCTCATGCCAAATACATATCATACACTTAAACAAAAATGCCAATTTCTTACAATATCTTCCAGAAAATAGAGGCAGAGTGAACACCTCCTAACGTTCTATGAGGTCAGCATTAACCAATCACAAAAAACAGGCAAATACATTACAAGAAAGGAAAACTATAGAGCAATATCTCTCACCAACATAGAAACCAAAATTCTAAACAAAATGTTAGCAAATGGAATAACAAAATATTATATGCAATCTCTAATTAAATTTATTCCAGGTTTCCAAAGCTGTTGAAAAAAGTCAATTAATACAACCCACCACATCAACAAGCAAAGAAGAAAAAAAAAAAACATACGCAGAAAACACATTTGACAAAACCCATTTCTTATTCATGATAAAAACCTCTTTGCCAACTAGGTATATAATTTGCTATGTAAAAAAACCCTACAGCTAATATTAGGCTCAATAGTGAGAAACTAAATACTTTCCTTCAAAGACCAAGAAAAATGAATGACTTCTTTACCACTCCTATTCAACATTGTACTAGCTCACGCAATAAGACAAGAAAAATACTAGCTCATGCAATAAGATGATAAATAAAATGAATACAAATCAGGAGGAAAAAATTTTAAACTGTTTTTGTTTGCAAATGACATAATTATGTATGTAGGAAATCCCAGATAATAATAATAACACTTTGGCACTAATAACCTACTATTGGTCCCTTTATACAAGGCTAATATACCAAGGTAAATTACTTTCCTATACACTAGCACTGAACAGTTAGAAATACACATTTTAAAAAACATGATACCACTTATCATCAAAACACAAAATAGTTATAAATACAACAAAATATATACAGTATCTGTATGCTAACAATGATAACATTGTGACAAATAAGTCAAAGTGGTTCTACATAAATGGAGAGATATTCAGTATACATAGATAGAAAGACTCAACACTGTTATAATGCCTTCCAAAGGAGATCTATAGGTTCAAGGCAATCCAAAGCAAAATTCCAAAATTTTTATTGAAAAGGAAGAGACCAACACATAGCTAACACAGTGTCAAGGAAGAGGAACAAAGTTGGTGGACAGACACTACCTGACTTTAAGATTTACTATAAAGCCATAGTAATCAAGACTTCATCATGAAAGAATAGACCAAATAAACAATATAGAAAGATCCAACATAGACCTACAAACATATAGTCCAACTGACCTTTGAAGAAGGAGCAAGAACAATTTAATGAAGAAAAGATAGTCTTTTCAACAAATGGTATTGAGGAAACAGAACGTCCATATGCCAAAAATGATAAAGCAAGAAAAAGAAGGAAAGAAAGATGAAACAAAGGAAAGAAAGAAAGAAAGAAAGAAAGAAAGAAAGAAAGAAAGAAAGAAGAAGAAAGAAAGAAAGAAAGAAAGAAAGAAAGAAAGAAAGAAAGGAAAGAAAGAAAGGAAAGAAAGAAAGAAAGAAAGAAAGAAAGAAAAGAAAGAAAGAAAATAAGTAAAACCAGACACAGATCTTTCCCCTTTTGCAAATTTTAACTCAAAATACTGTAGGAGAGAAAAAGTAATACCTTTTCTCACCCAGTATAAATGTCATGGTTAAAATCCCTATAACAAAAGGCAGGTTAACAGGAAGAAAGCATTAAAAAATTATTTGACAGAAGTTCTGCCTTGCACAGGAGACTTCAGAAATGAAGACCCAAAGACCAAGGCAAATTTGTATATTTTTATGCTTAGATTTCAAGAAGAATGGACAATCATGTAGAAGTATGATTGGACAGGAAGGGTATGATCTAATGGGAGGAACTCAGCAACATCTGTTCGTTCAAATTCTTCTTGGTTTTCCTGTGTAGTATTCCTTTCCTATGGGTGTAAGGAAGGACCATCTGTCAGATGAGGGTCTTAGGACCTACTTTCAGGAGAGGTATGTCAGAGAATTCCTTTATCACCAAATCTCATACAGAAAAGCAAGGGAAAGTCAGAGATTGACCTCTTAGGCACTACATTTTGCAGTAGCATGTTCTGAGCTCCAACAATATAAAATGCAAAACTACAAAACTTCTAAAAGAAAACATAAGATAAAATAGATATGATCTTGGATTTATGATGAATTTTGAGATACAGCATCAAAAGTAAAAGTCTATGAAAAAAATAATTTGGACTTTATCAAAATTAAAATGTTTATTTAGTGAAAAGCACTGTGACTAGAATGGGCAAAAAAAGCCATGGAATGGGAGAAAATATTTGCACATCACATATCCTATAAAAGTCTTATATCCCAAAATATACAAATAATTCTTAAAATTCAGCAATAGGAAAACAAATAATCTGTTTAAAAATTGGGTCAAAGTTCTGACACCTCCAAACAAAATAAATAGATGGCAAATAAGCATATAAAAGACACTCAACATCTTTTATCATAATGGAGTTGCAAATTAAAATAACAATCATGTACCACTACACATCTATTAAAATGGCTGAAATCCGAACATTTCAAATGTCAATTGCTGGCAAGGATGTGGTGCAACAGGGACTCATTCATTCTTGGTGGGAACTGTACAACTACTTTGGAAGACAGTTTGGCAGTTTCCTACGAAGTTAAACCTAGTCTTACTGTACAGCTAAGACATTGCATTCCTAGATATTCACCCAATTGATTGATATTAAAATTTACAACTATACAAAACCTGCACACCAGTGTTTACAGCAGTTTTATTCATAATCTCCCCAAACTGGAAGCAGCCAAAATGCATTCAATGGGTAAATTTTTAAACAAACTGTGATATATCCATAGAAGAACTATTATTCAGTGATAAAAATAAATGAAATCTCAATCCATGAAATGACAGGGGTGAATGTTAATTACATAGTGCTAAATGAGCAAAGCCAGTATGTAAAAGCTACAAACTCTGTAATTTCAATTACACTACATTCTGGAAGAGGCAAAACTATATACACATTAAAAAGATCAGTGTTTGTCAAATATTCAAAGGGAGCAAGAGGGCCGAATAGTTGAAGCATAGGGAGTTTTCTAGGGTGGTGACATTATTCCGCATAGTACTTCAATGGTGAACACGTAACACCAAGCATTTGTCAAAAACACAGAACTTTTCAGAGCAAAGGGTGAAAATGTATGAAAAATCAAAATAAAGAATAATTTAGGAGTTTGAGGCATCACATGACATAAAATCTTACTGTATTACAAATGTATACAGTTAGATTAATTAGCTTCACTGAAGAGAGTTGGGGGAAAAATTCACCCACCTAAGTCACTTGGGAAGTAAGTAGAGTTACAAGAGTAAAGGCAAAATTTACTGTATGAAAGTACTACGCTCTAGTTTAAAATTGTTTCCCATGGGGGCATGTGTTATATCTGATTCTGCTATCAATGGACACTGGCACTGAACAAACATGAACAAGAGTGGCAGATAGTGGAGCCAGGGTTTTCACTATTGGAATGGGAAGTTATGGATAAGCAAAAGGAGGAGACCAGGATGATCCAAGTGATAGTGTATTAGAGTTGAATGCATCTGTATGAACTCACAGGTAACCAAATATAGATACAGAGTTACATATGAAAATTTTTGTAGCTATGTCTACATACTATTGGGACTCAGAAGCAATATCCCAAAAGGAAGGCCTCAGAAGCAAAACTTTTTCTCTGACCTAAGAAGGTCTTCCCTCCTGTTTCTCATTCTAATTCTCCCCCGGGGGCTAGTCACCAAAACTAGAATCCTTCTTCCTCAAGGCAGGTCATAGAAACTAGAATCCCTTTTCCCCAAAGCGGGTCATAGAAATCAGAACCAGACAGCCACAAAACCTAAAAATATTACTGTAACTTTTTCTCTGCCTTTCTATGTAAATACCAGCCATAAAAATGACCTGACCTAACTTGTTTGACTATATGTCATAAGAACCCCATTCAAGAGATGGTCTTGTCCCATACCCAGAAGGAAGGAATGCTGTCTAGAGAAGCCAAGAAGAATCTAGGCAGACAGACCTTTCTAAGTTTCCCTACTGACTCTATTAGCATTAGATCATACCCTTTTTGCTCAATCATATTTCTGTATGGCTGTTCATACTTTATTGAACCTAAACATAAAAATGGACAATTTTCCCTATGCCTTTGGGTCTTTATTCTGAAGGCTTCTGTGTGTACACATTAAATAAATCTGGATGCCTTTTCTCCAATTAATATGTCTTGTATGAGTTGATTTTTTCAGCATCCCTTTAGAGCTAAGGGGAAGTTTCCCTTGGCCCCAACAATACATGTTAGTATGCAGGCGCCATATTTCCTTATTCCTTCAGCTGAGAAGTCTAGAGGAAATGGAACTCTAGTATTAGTAAGCATACCTGACACCCAGATCTTTGCTTCTAATAATGTTGTCCAATAAAAAAAAACAAGGTGTCCTTGAAGAAATAAATAAATCTACTACTAGGGGAGGAAATTAACAAGGAGAGCCTGGAACTTCTTAAAGTGCCAGATAGTAGTGGAATACTGAGAAAAAATAATTCACAACAATGAAAGGGACACGAGCCATTTGAAAGATCACTCTAATAATCAAAGGTAAAATTAGCGGTGCAAATAATAAAGTAGTGTTAGATAATGACTCAAATTATGAAATAAATATTTATGTGTTCATACTGATATAAATGAATGATTGAATAAAGAATTAAATGTGGCAGAATAGACGAACCTCCTGAGCAAAAATATTTCAAATAATTTATGTAGATATTCTGTTCTATGAGGTAGTACATAAAACCCCACACCTCAATTGTTGGCTACAGCTTATTTCCAAAGAGTAAAGTATGGAAAATATGACCAAAAAAATAATTTTACAAGAAAGAAATCTGACAAATTCTACCTTGGCCATTTGTTCAAGGTTAACATCAATAAGTAATAAGTCATGTTGATGGTTGATACAAGGTGATGAAAATTGCATTTAACCCCTATGATCTACCTCCTAAAAAGATGTAACCCCAGTCTCATCATGAGAAAAAATCAGAAAAATTCCAGTCAGGGACATCCTACGAAATAACTGACCAGGATTCCGCAGAACTCTCAATGTCATCAAAAACAGGAAAAGCCTAAGAAACTGTCATAGCCAAGAGTACTGTAAATAGTTAGGACTACTAAAAATAATGTGGTATCCTGGATGGAAGCCTGAAATAGAGAAAGGACATTAGGTTTAAAAATAATGATAAAAAATAGAGTATGACCTTCAGCTAATAATAAGGTATCCATATTGGTTCATGTAGTAAGTGTACCACACTAATGTCACATGTTAATAGGAAAACATGTGTTACATACATAAAAAGGATCTTCACAGTTTTTCTATGAATCTAACACTTTTCTAAAATAAAACGCTTTTTTTCTTTTAAAAAAAGAAAAGACATGAAGGGTAGTTTAATAAATAATGCTGACAAAACTAGATATCCACATACAGAAGGATGGAGCTAGACCCCAATCTCTCACCATATATAACAATCAAATCAAATGGATTAAAGACTTAAGTGGAAGACCTCAAACTATGGAACTACTAAAAGAAAACATTGAAGGAACTCTCCAGGACATTGGTCTGGGCAAGGATTTCTGGAGTAATATCCCATAAGCACAGGCAACCAAAGAAAAATGAATAAATGGGATCCCATCAAGTAAAAAAGCTTCTGCACAGCAAAGGGAAACAATCAAGAAAGTAAAGAGACAATCCACAGAATGGGAGAAAATAGTTGCAAACTATCCATCTGGAAAGTTATTAATAACCAGAATATATAAAGAGCTCAAACAACTCAGTAGGAAAAAGCTTGAATAATCTGATTTTAAAAATGGACAAAAGCTTTGAATAGACATTTTTCAAAAGAAAACATACAAATAGCAGCCAGCTATATAAAAAGATGCTCAACATCATTGATCATCGGAGGAAAGCAAATCAAAACTGCAAAGAGATATAATCTCACTCCAGTTAAAATTGCCTATATTCACATGACAGATAATAACAAATACTGACAAGGATGTGGAGGAAGGGGAATCCTTATACACTGTTGATCAGAATGCAAATTAGTACAATCACTATGGAGAACAGTACGGAAGTTTCTCCAAAACCTAAAAATAGAGCTACCACATGATCCAGCAATCTTACTGCTGGGTATATACCCAAAAGAGAGGAAATCAGTATATCAAAGATATATCTGCACTCCCATGTTTATTGAAACACTATTCACAATAGCCAAGATTCAGAAGCAACCTAAGTGTCCATCAACAGAAAAAATGGATAAAGAAAACATGGTACAAATACACAATGGAGTACTATTCAGCCATAAAAAAGAATGAGATCCTGTCATTTGCAGCAACATGAAACTAGATGAAACTAGAGGATATTATGATAAATGAAATAAGCCAGGCACAGAAAGGCAAACTTCACATGTTATCACTTATTTGTGGGAACTAAAAAGTAAAACAATTGAACTCATGGAGATACAGGTAGAACGATGGCTACAAGAGGCTAGAGAGGGTAGTGGTGTTGAGAGGCATGGGGGAAGTGGGGATGGTTAATGAGTATGAAAACATACTTAGAATGAATAAGAGCTAATATTTGATAGCACAACAAGGTGTCTACAGTCAGCAACAATTTGTTGTTCATTTTAGAATAACTAAGAGAGTACAAATGGAATGTCTGTAGCACAAAGAAATGATGTATGCTTGAGGTGATGGACATCTTGTTTTCCCTTACGGGATTATTACATATTGCATGCCTGTATCAAAATATCCTGTACCTCATAAATATATACACATACTATATACCCATAAAAATTAAAAATAATTCTTTTTCAAAACAGAAGATGCAGCAAAGTGCTTCAAAAAATATTTTAAAAAACATGATTTCTACTTTGAAAAGGCAAGAATTTAGTAGAAAAAACTACTACATGTGTAATAACACAATAGAATCAACAGGTCTCAAGCCTGAAAAATAATATTCAGCTGCTCTTGTTTTTTTATTTTAATTAGCATATAGTGGAACTGACTGTTTTGGTATAAAATTCTATGAATTTTAACAGTTTCTAAATTTGTGTTACTTCCACAATCAGAATACAGGACAGTCCTATCATTCTGGAAATGGCCCTTATGTTACCCCTCTGAACACCTTTTCTGGATCCCAGACAACTGGAAATCACGGTTTGGTTCTATATCACCATTGTCTATTTTGAGAATGTCATATAAATGGAATCATATAGTGTATAACCATTTGATACTGTCTTCTTTCATGTTCACTTTGAGTTTTATACAAGTTATGTGAATCAATACTTTCCTCTTTTTTATTGCTTAGTATTATTCCATTGCAGGGAACTACCACAGTTTTTTATCCATTCATCTATAGAAAAAGATTTGTGTAGCTTCCAGTTTGGGGCAATAATACATAGAAATTCTATAAAAATTTATGCGTAAGTTTTTGTGTGAAAGTAAGTTTTCATGTGACTAGAGTAAATACTATGGAGTGAGATGGCTGACTCATGTGGTAAGTGAATCTTTAACTTCAAAAGAAACTGCCAGGCAGGGCGCGGTGGCTCATGTCTGTAATCCCAGCACTTTGGGAGGCCGAGGCAGGCGGATCACGAGGTCAGGAGATCAAGACCATCCTGGCCAACACAGTGAAACTCTGTTTCTACTAAAAATACAAAAAATTAGCCAGGCATGGTGGCAGGCGCCTGTAGTCCCAGCTACTTGGGAGGCTGAGGCAGGAGAATGGCGTGAACCCAAGAGGTGGAGCTTGCAGTGAGCCGAGATCGCACCACTGCACTCCAGCCTGGGTGACAGAGTGAGACTCCATCTCAAAAAAATAAATAAGTAGATAAAAGAAACTGCCAAATTATTTTTCCAATTTATCTCTAGCCTTTTGCCTTTCCACCAGCAATGTAGATGTGTTTTAGTTGTTCCAGATCCTCACCAGCACTTGATGTTGTCTTTACCTCTTATTTTATTATTTAATTTTTGCTAGGCTAAGTGATACAGTGATCATTATAGTGATACAGTGGTATTTCCTTGTGGTTTTAATTTTCATTTCCCTATTTTGTAACAATGTTGAATATCTTTTCTTTCTTATTGTTCTAATTTTCCATCAGTATATCCCCTCTTGAATATAGTGTCAATTCAAGTCCTTTGATATTTTTTTAAATTAAGTTATTCCATTTCTTACTGAGTTTTGAGAGTTATTTATTTATCCATAACACAGGACTTTTGTTGGATATTTAGTTCTTTCAGTCTGTAGTTGTATTTTCATTATCTTAAAAGTATCTTTCAGAGAACATGTTTCAATTTTTATAAAGTCTAATTTTTCAAAGTTGTTTTTAAATGAAGTTTTTTTTTGTCATGTCAAAATTTATGTACCTGATTGCTGGTTATGAAGATTCTCTCCTATATTTGTCCATTTTCACACTGCTGATGAGACTGAGCAATTTACAAAAGAAAGAGGTTTATTGGACTTACAGTTCCACATGGTTGGGGAGGCCTCACAATAATGGCAGAAGGCAAGAAGGAGCAAGTCACATCTTATGTAATGGCAGCAGGCATTACAGGGCAGGGCAACTCCCATTTTAAAACCACCATGTCTTGTGAGACCTGTTCACTATCATGAGAGCAGCATGGGAAAGACCCACCCCCATGATTCAATCTCCCACCGGGTCCTTCCCACAACACATGGGAATTATGGGAGCTAAAGATGAGATTTGGGTGGAGACACAGCCAAGCCGTATCTTTTTGCCCATGGCCCCTCCCAAATCTCATGTCCTCACATTTCAAAACCAATCATTCCTTCCCAACAGTCCCCCAAAGTCTCAACTCATTTTGGCATTAACTCAAAAGTCCACAGTCCAAAGTCTCATCTGAGACAAGACAAGTCCCTTCCACCTATGAGCCTATGAAATCCAAAGCAAATTGGTTACCTCCTAGATACAATGGGGATACAGGCATTGGATAAATACAGCCATTCCAAATGGGATAAATTGGCCAAAACAAAGGGACTACTGGCCACATGCAAGTCCAAAATCCAGCAGGGCAGTCAATTCTTAAAGCTCCAGAATGATCTCCTTTGACTCCATGTCTCACATCCATGTCACACTGATGCAAGAGGTGGGTTCCCATAGTCTTGGGCAGCTCTGCCCCTGTGGCTTTGCAGGGCACAGCCTCCCTCCAGGCTGCCCTGATGGGGTGGTGTTGAGTGTCTGTGGCTTTTCCAGGTGCATGGTACAAGCTGTCCGTGGATCTATCATTCTGGGGTCTGGAGGACAGTGGCCTTCTTCTCATAGCTCCAATGGATGGTGCCCCAGAAGGGCTCCAACCCCATATTTCCCTTCTGCACTGCCCTAGCAGAGGTTCTCCATGAGGACCCTGCCCCTACAGCAAACTTCTGCCTGGGCATCCAGGCATTTCCATGCATCTTATGAAATCTAGGGGGAGGTTCCCAAACTTCAGTTCTTGACTCTATGTACTCTCAGGGTTAACATCATGTGGAAGCTGCCAAGGCTTGAGGCTTGCACCCTCTGAAGCCACGGCCCAAGCTCTATGTTTGCCCCTTTCAGCCAAGGCTGGAGCAGCTGGGACACAGGGCACTAAGTCCCTAGGCTGCACACAGCACAAGGCCACTGGGCCTGGCCCATGAAACCACTTTTTACTCCTAGGACTCCTGGCCTTTGATGGGAGGAGCAGCTGTGAAGACCTCTGACATGCCCTAGAGACATTTTCCCTGGTGTCTTGGGGATTCATATTTGGCTCCTCATTACTTATGCAAATTGCTGCAGCTGGCTTGAGTTCCTCCCCAGGAAATGGGACTTTCTTTTCTATCACATTGTCAGACTGCAAATTTTCCAAACTTTTGTGCTCTGTTTGCCTTTTACAACTGAATGCCTTTAACAGCACCCAAGTCAACTCTTGAATGCTTTGCTGCTTAGAAATTTCTTCCTCCTGATACCCTAAATGATCTCTCTCAAGTTCAAAGTTCCACCAATCTCTAAGGCAGGGGCAAAATGCTGCCAGTCTCTTTATTAAAACATAACAAGAATCACCTTTGCTCCAGTTCCCAGCAAGTTCCTCATTTCCATCTGAGACCACCTCAGTCTGGACTTTTTTGTGCATATCACTATCAACATTTTGGGCAAAGCCATTCAACAAGTCTCCAGGAAGTTCCAAATTTTCCCACATTTTCCTGTCTTCTGAGCCCTCCAAACTGTTCCAACCTCTGCCCGTTACCCAGGTCCAAAGTCGCTTTCACATTTTCAGTATCTTTTTAGCAGCACCTCACTCAATTGCTACCAATTTACTGTATTTGCCCTTTTTCATGCTGGTGATAAAGACATACCTGAGACTGGCCAATTTACAAAAGAAAGATGTTTATTGGACTTATAGTTCCACATGGGTTGGGGAATCTTCACAATCATGGTGGAAGGCAAGGAGGAGCAAGTTTCATCCTACTTGGATGGCAGCAGGTGAAGAGAGAGCTTGCGCAGAGCAATTCCTGTTTTTAAAATCATCAGATCTAGTAAGACCTATTCACTGTCACAAGAACAGCATGGGGAATACCTACCCCCTTGGTTCAAACATCTCCCACCAGGTCCCTCCCAGAACAAGTGGGAATTATGGGAGCTACAAGATGAGATTTGGGTGGAGACACAGAGCCAAACCATATTATCTATGTTTTCTTTGAAAAGTCATAGTTTTTTTTTTGTTTTACAATTTTATCTATGATTCATTATAAGCTAATTTTTATGAAGTATGAGATTTAGGTTTTGGCTTATAATTTTTGCATGTGGATGCCTATTATTCCCACACCATTTGTAGAAAACATGTTGGAGAAATGTATCATGACATTACTTTGTTGCTGTCTGACTGTTCAGCCCTCTGATTACTCATTAGTATTCTTTCTCTCTCAGACACACACACACATGCACACACACTCACACAAATATAAGACAAATGAAAATTTGGGCTGGTGATCATTCATGAACTGGAAAAACTGAAAAGTAGGTTTCAAGGACACAGAGGACCCCAGAATTTGAATTCCATAATGCCGAATCATGGAACATTTAAACACATAATCTTTGCTTTACTTTCAAGTAACACTGAATGCAATGTTCGTATATTTCTACAGATAAATATTTGATCTACACACAACTGGTCAATCAATATATGACAAGACATGTAATACAATCTTGTTTGAGGTTTATTAGAACACACACACACACACACACACACAAATATCCTGAAAATTATTCTTGAAATACATCTGTGAATTGATACAGTATATTTCCATATGCTTATATAACTTTCTATTAGAAAGGTATTTTTTAAGGAGATGCAGGTGTCAAATGTTAGAATTCTGTGTGGGAGCATTATGAAATAAACATGATGATGTGGCATGAGACGTTCTTTAAGCCTATGATGATTCCATGCTGCTGAAAACTGGGAGGTCATTATGCATGGTTTGGCAAAGGTATGGATATTGTGCATGAATGAACAAAGTAAAACCTGTTGGTTGAAAGTAGTCCAAGGAGACCAAGAATGGGGATCGTATTCTCCCTTTTGCTGTAATTTTAGAGCAAATTTGATTAGAGTTTATTGCTGACAACCTCAATACAACAGAAAGTTTTGATCTCACTATGGCTGGCATAACTGTTAGTATTTAAAACCTGGCCTCCTCCAGTGATTTCCTGAGTTTGTTTTGTTGTCATGCTTCAGGCTTCTGTGAAGGATCTGTATCTTGAAAATAAAGGGGATTAGGACATTGGTAGCATTTCATGTACAATCTTAACACATTAGAACAACCTAAATTTCAACATGGGTCTTTTGATGAACCTTGACAATATTGTGAATGCTCTAGAGTTTAGCCTTATTAGTAAAGACACAAGGAGTAGCTTCTATTTCATCTTCAGGTATTAAAATTGGAAGCTAAATACCATAGTATCAAAGAGATATGGCTACTTATCAAACAGTCATTTTATAATTATCTGAACTACGCATGTACATAGTTATACGTTTAGACTCTGGAGGCAATTTAGCTGACATATTTCTTTTTACAGGAAGTCATCTCTGGAAGTCTCTGTCCCAGGGGATCTTGGATCTTCCACAACACTTTAACCACGTGTTATAAGTGCACGTCTGCTTTTCTGTATCTTTTCCTTAATGGAAAACAAGGACTGAGGACAGAGATATTATGTCTTCTTTGCCTTTGTATTCAAAGCAGCTATTAAAGTATCTGCCTTGTGATGTCTATAATAAAAGATACTGTTAAATTAATTAATAGAAGTTTGGGTGAATGGATAGATAGAGTGACTTATTAATTAATATGTTTATCAATTAAGAAGGAATAGAGATTTTATTTGTGGTACAGAGTAATAAGCTAACATACTTTTTTTCTACTTACATTTGAAGGAGATCTTGTGAATACATAAAAACTTTCATAGCTTGAATATCCTGGATTTTCAAATCCTCTGCTTATTTCCAATTATACTCAATATTTTTAGAAAGACTCTTTCTGCTTGTTATTTAGGTTGACAATCCAAGCCTGGGTCTTTCCCTGTCAACTGTACTTCTTAAAATTTGCCACTACCTGATGTAGGACAGAAAACTTACGATAAATACTTATTTACTATGCCAATATGTGCAACATCTGTGAAGCTGTCAGATGTATTTACCTTCCAGGGAGCCTACCAGCTATTGATACAGTGTAGATTTTAAGTCAAGAGTAGAACAGCCTGTTTCATAGTCCTTCTTTCAGTTCAGAATGGAAATCAGTATTAAAGCTTCACTGCTATTTTTTCTCTGACCCTCGTTCTATCAGGGCTTTAGGCCATCTTGTCTATATCCACTCTCATATATACAAATATTTGGACCATAGTGTCAGAAAATTTTGATCTCTATGTCTATACTCACTACACTTTTATGTCTTTCCATTTTCTGTAAGTTTCCCTTAAGCTCCATGGGGGTTTTTCTTCTTCTTTGGGACAAGAACTTTTCTTATTCATTCTTCTTTCCTGAATTATTATTTAGTGAGCCATCAATCCATTAAAATTTTGTTTTTATATATGGAAAACCCACCTTTCAATTTACTTTCTGGCAATGATGGATTAAAAAAACTGTACTTAAGCTCCCTCAATGCTGGAATGTGTGTGTGTGTGATGGGGTATATATCCTAATCTATTTGCAGATATCAGGCAATAGGCAGTGCAGAACTGTGGTCCTTGAGAGAAGGAGGGAAATGAGGTAGCCTTACCATCAGCACTTCTTTTTGATAAAAGGCAATTTCCCAAATGAAATGTATGGTAGAATGGTAAGGATTAAGCATCGCTCAGCAGCTTAGCTGAATTAAAAAGATAGATATGAGAGTTTGGGGATGCTAAGTGGTTATAAATCAAAGGGGAAATTTTTAGAAAGAAAAAAAGCAGAAAAAAATTTATAAATAGATGTAGGTCCTGAGTTTTGAATGCTTGAGTCCTTGCTGAATACTAAACCTCACATGCAGAAAGTGAAACCCCACAAGCTTAAAGAAAGCAAACAGGGATATAAGCTGAACAATTCTCAGAGCTTACAAAAAGAAGGAAGAAATTTGAGCTCCAAACCCCAAGAGTCCAGAGACCTTGCTGATCCCTTGTGGTTTTTTAGTGGAGACTGCAGAAAAGCTACAGCTTAGTAGTAGGGCTAAACTATATATACAGAAAATGCTAGTCTAGACTCTCCTGAGACATAGCACATAAATGGGTCTCAAAGAGATCAAACTGATAATCAGAAAACTTCATTTCCTGAAAAAACAAAGCTAGTCACTTTGTTTAAAGGATGTTAGAATCTCAGAACTCAACTATATAATACGCACAATGCTTAGCATGAAAGGAAAAATAAATAGACTTACTAAGAAGCAGAAAAATGTCTTAGGGGGAATGTCCAGGGGGAAAAAGTCAATAAAAAAAAGACCTTAATATAACAGACATAGTGTAAATAGTAGAAAAGATTAACTGCATATACATGTATTTAAAGAAAAACATGAAAATGAGAGAAAGAAAAGATGTACAACAGGAACTATGAAGAGTTTCTACATGTGAAAAGTAAATGTTTGAAATAAAGATTCACTGGACAAAATCTGAAAATTACATCAGATTAGATACCATAGAAGATCAGATCCCTGACTAAAAAGACCCAGCAATTTTATCTAATAACAATGGAACACACACACACACACACACACACACACACACACACACTGATAAAATGAACAGAACCTCAGGAATCTGCCTAATAATAAACTAACATGTGCATAATAGAAATTCCAGAAGGGTGGAACATCAGAAAAAAAAATTATTTAAAGAAATAATAACCAACAGCTTTAAAATTTGATGAAAATTGCAAATTTATTAATTTAAGCAATCCAACAAATCATGAGCAGCATAACACAACAAAAATACATCAAGACACATCACAATCAAATTGTTGAAAATTAATAATAAAGAAAAATATTAAAACAGCAATGGGTTATGTAAAGAAAGAGAAACAAAAGACATACAAAAGATTGCTATCAGAAATAATGAAAGTCAAAAGACAATGGAACAACATCTTTAAAATGCTGAAAAAAATTATAACAAAAAACAATTTTAAATCTAGAATTTGATACCTAGAAATGCTCTACAAATATGAAGATTAAATAAAAAATTTTATAGACAAACAAATGTTGTAATAATTTATTGTGAGAATACCTACTCTCTGTGACATGCTAAAGAATATTCCTCTGACGTGAGGAAAAGTAATACTAGATAGAAACTGGAACAATAGAAAGGAATGAAGGCTACTGAAAAAAAATATCAGTGGGTGAAGTTCATTTTTTCAAAATGTTCTTTTTCAAAAGTACTTTGAGGTTTTGGGACTCTGACTGATCCACCCCTGGTTTCCTTGCTCCTGAGCTTGCAGATGGCTGATTGTGAGACTTTACCATGTGATCCTGTGAGTCAATTCTCATTAATAAACTCCCTTTTTTATATGGATATATCCTATCAGTTCTGTCCCTCCAGAGAACCCTAATACACCAAAAAAATAAAAATTGTACTGTATAAACATAACAGATGTAGAAGAAAAATACATGACAATAATATCACAAGGTATGAAAAGAAAAATGGGCAAATACTCTTGTAAGAGTTTTAATATATGCATGAGGTGTTATATTGTGATAAGTTAAAGACACATAAACACTAGAGAAACCACTACAAAAATAAATATATAACTAATAAACAAATTCATAGCATGAAATGCTAAAACATACTCATTTTATAAAAAGAAAATCTTGATATTGAACTAGACAGAGACATTACAAGAAAATATACAGAGGACCATATTCTTTATACACAAAAATGAAAAATATTAAAAGTTTTATTTGCTAAAATTCTCTAAATTTGCTAATAAAATCCATTCATGTATGATTCCACTTATATATGAAACAACATACCATGAGTAAATACAATGTACCTAGAAATGCAAGAATATATTAATATTTAAATATAAATTAATATGATTCATCAAATAAACAGAATGAAGGTAAAAATGATATGAAAACCTTACTAATGCAGAAAAAATCAAATATTCCCCATTTTTATGATAGAAACCTTAAGCAAACTAGAAATGTAGAAGAGTCCCTCCATTTAATAAAAGTCATCTATAAAATTTTTAAAAAGAAAGAAAAATGAGAAAAACTTTTAGCTGGCATTATTGAACACTTTCTTAAGACATGCAGTAAGGCAGATACCCACTCTAATCACTTATATACAATTTAGTGTAGGTCCTAATCATTTCAGGTTGGCAAGAAAAATAGATGAATAGCATGTACTTTGGAAAATAAGAAACATTATTTGTTTTCAGGCTACATGAGCAGGTACACAGAAAATTGTAAGAAGTCTACAAAAATTTACTGAAGAATGAATCTAACAACTAATGGAGCTAGTAAGTGATTTTTTTTTTAAGTAGCAGGATAAAAGTTCAAAAAATAGGCCAGGCACAGTGGCTTATGCCTGCAATCCCAGCACTTTGGGAGCCGAGGTGGGTGGATCATCTGGGGTCAGGAGTTCAAGACAAGCGTTGCCAACATGGTGAAACCCTCTCTCTACTAAAAATACAAAAATTAGCCTGGCGTAATGGTGCATGCCTGTAATCCCAGCTACCTAGGAGACTGAGGCAGGAGAATCACTTGAACCCTGGAGGCGTAGGTTGCAGTGAGCTGAGATCATGCCATTGCACTCCAGCCTGGGCAACAGAGCAAGACTGCCTCAAAAAAAAAAAAGTTCAAAAAATAATATTCCATTACATTTCTAAATGCTATCAACTGAAAATTGGGAATTAAATTGTTTATATCAAAATAACATTAACATTGGAAATATTTAATGATAAATTCCATCTTTGCAACAGACCTACACAATTGATACTATGTTTATCACTGGAATACAGAGAAGAAAACTGAAGCATAAAACAGGAAAGGATCATACAATTTCCCAAAACATTAGGGACTGTATTTGCTCAATGTCTAACAGATACATGGAGCAACCAGAAGTAAAATTAAGTGTAAACATAAATTATTAATTAAATACAACATTCAAAATAATCTTACTTATTTCTTTATTTTAAAACCTAGAATTCTACCAATTAAAATAAAATAAATCATAAGCAACCTATGGCATATTTCACATGGTGTTATGGCTCAGTGTAGAATTTCCTTTGAACAAATAAATCACTACCAGTCTTAGATTACTAACTTTAAATTTCTGAGGAATTTGTCTTCATTTAATTATTCTAGTTAGTAGATTTTACAAAAATATTGTGTGTGTGTGTGTCCATGCAAAACCCTAAAATGTAGATATATTAAGTTCTATTATATTTATGATAATTTCACATCTTAAGTTTTTTTGATGTTATAAATTCATCTTAATATACCCTTATAAATAAGATACATTTTCTTTTGTACTTAACACAAAGCAAGGCAATTAACATGTTCTAAATTTGATGGTTGTTAAATTTTAGCCCCCAACATGATGTATCAGGAGATAAGCAATATATTTTGCAGAAGTTTCACATATTAAATTGTGCAGGTGTAATATAAGATTGCTGATAATGTAAAACCGCACCTGATAAATAACAAAATTAAGTCATTATTAGTTGGTACACTTGATTTGAGATAGAAAATGTGTTAATGGCTGTTAAATGAGGTATAGTGTAGAAAGATTTATATTATGAAAGGCATTTAAATGATGTTGGGGATTAATATTACAACTAACATAATCATGGGCCTTTGATTTGTAATGTTGTTATTTTCTAAGGTACCCTTATACAGCAGCAGAACTAATTTCCAAAGGAATTTTTCTTTGTGGGTGAAAAAAGATAACTTGTTAGTATACAAACAATAGAGGACATTCAAATCTAATAAGAACTCTCATCTTCTAAGCAAAAATCTATCACTAAGTATCAGTATGTACTAACAGTAGATAAATCAATTCACACATTGAGATAATTATACTCTGGATATTCGGGAGGCTGAGGCAGGAGAATGGCGTGAACCCAGGAGGCGGAGCTTGCAGTGAGCTGAGATCGCGCCACTGCACTCCATTCTGGGCGACAGAACGAGACTGTCTCCAAAAAAAAAAAAAAAAAAAAAAAAAAATTGCACTTAAAAACGGCTTTCCAAATCTGATAAGTTCTAATGATGATGAAGCTACGTATATAGACTTCTCATTGTACTATATTATGTACTGCATTTCTGCAACTATTTTAATTTTACAGTTTAAAATCACAGCATGCTGTTATTTAACATGAATTGAACCAAACAACTTAAAACTATTTATCAACATTTTTAGGTAGATATTTCCCATATTACTCCCTCCTTGCACTGTTGGCTCATGGAGTGATCATATGAGTGCGTCTGATGGAGATGTCTCAACTGGTTATGCTCTCTTATGCTTGAAGTATACAATAGAAAAATTAATCTGGGGCCAAAATCCCAGTTTTGCCTTATGATGTTTAATTTTGCATGTCCACTTGATTGGGCCATGAAGTACCAGGATATCTAATGAAACATGTTTCTGGGTGAGTCTGTGAAGGTATTTCCTGAAGAGATTACCATCTGAATTGGATTGAGTAAAGAAGATGTCTGTTCCTGATTAAGAGTGGGCACCATCTAACCCATTGAGGGTCTGAATAGAAGAAGGTGGAGGAAGGTTGGATTTGCTCGCTCTCTGCCTGACTAATTGAGTTGGATTGTTGGTCTTCTCCTGCCCTCTCCTCTTCTGGTTCTTGAGCCTTCAGGCTTAGGCTGGAATCTATGCCACTGGCTCTCTGGCTCTCCGGACCACAAAAACCCATCAACTTTGATGGATCTCCAACTTGCAGAAAACAGATCATGGAATGTCTCCACCTCCATAATCATACTTAGTTTATATATATACACACACACATATATGAGATATATATGATATATATGATCATATATGTGTGTATATGCGTGTATATATATGCAAATATATATAGAAGCAAAAATCTATCACTAAGTATCAGTATGTAAGAAAAGTATAGAAGTTAATTCTCACATTGAGGTAATTATACTCTGGATATTTTAAAAATGCACTTAAAAGGCATATATATAAAAAATATATATATATACATATATATATACATGTATCCTATTGGTTATGTTTCTCTGGAGAAGCCTGACTAACACAGCTGTTTATGAGTTTTTTGTTTCAGTCCAAGCTATTTAACTTTTATGGAGAAATGTGAATATTAATACCTATGAGAGGACAACTCTAATCGAATTTCTTATATTAATATCTCTAGCAGTGTTGTCAAACATCATGTTCTTCTCTCCAAAAGGCTTCTCTTTGTTCAGTAGGTACTTCATTATGTTTTAGCTTTTGGAATTCTTCCAAATGCAGACTGAAAGTGAATGCAACTTTCCTAGCTCCCTAGCTTTCTCACTTTCTTGAACATATAGGATTGCATCAAAAAAAAAAAAAAAATGAAAACTCCACTGGAGACAAAGATGATTGTAAAAAATGAAAACATACTAATTTTAAAATATTGAACCTTGCCTTTTTTTTTTTTCCTTTTCAGAGTTGGAAATGGAAAAGGGAAAAAAAAGCACGGAAATGCATTGGTAATTTGTTGAAACCTTTTTGGAAAATACACACAAACACACACACACACACGCACACACAATTTGGCATATGTCATGAACCTCCCTGAGTCCTTGTCATAAATGTTGCAGAATCTTACACTTATCTTCTATTCATAATCCATGATTGTGGTTCTTTTGTCTTCTAAATCAGAAAGGAAGTCCCACGGTCATCTGCTCTCTACTCTTAATTCTAAATTTGCCAATTTTCCCACTCTTTCTGACCACTTCTTAATCTCTGTGTGAAATAAGAAACCCAGTCACTCAGCTAATTTGCCTTTCTAAACTAGGTATGGTGTGTCTTGGTAATTTGATTACATTAATTTCATAGATTTTTAAATTAATAATTTAATGAAATTATGGAGAAAGTACCTTTTTTATTATACTTTAAGTTCTAGGGTACATGTGCACAACGTGCAGGTTTGTTACATAGGTATACATGTGCCATGTTGGTTTGCTGCACCCATCAGCTCGTCATTTACATTAGGTATTTCTCCTAATGCTATCCCTCCCCTAGCTCCCCATCCCCCAACAAGCCCTGGTGTGGAATGTTCCCCATCCTGTGTCCATGTGTTCTTGTTGCTCAACTCCCACCTATGAGTGGGCACATGCAGTGTTTGATTTTCTGTCCCTTTGATAGTTTGCTTAGAATGATGGTTTCCAGCTTCATCCATGTCCCAGCAAAGGACATGAACTCATCCTTTTTATGGCTGCATAGTATTCCATGGTGTATATGTGCCACATTTTCTTAATCCAGTCTATCATTGACGGGCATTTGGGTTGGTTCCAAGTCTTTGCTATTGTGAGTAGTGCCACAATAAACATACGTGTGCATGTGTCTTTATAGTAGCATGATTTACAATCCTTTGGGTGCATACCCAGTAATGGGATCGCTGGGTCAAATGGTATTTCTAGTTCTAGATCTTAAGGAATCGCCACACTGTCTTCCACAATGGTCGAACTAATTTACACTACCACCAACAGTGTAAAACCATTCCTATTTCTCCACATCCTCTCCAGCATCTGCTGTTTCCTGACTTTTTAATGATCACCATTCTAACTGGCATGAGATAGTATCTCATCGTGGTTTTGATTTGCTTTTCTCTGATGACCAGTGATGATGAGCATTTTTGCATATGTCTGTGGACTACATAAATGTCTTCTTTTGAGAAGTGTCTGTTCATATCCTTTGTCCACTTTTTGATGGGGTTGTTTGTTTTTTTCTTGTAAATTTGTTTCTTTGTAGATTCTGGATATTAGCCCGTTGTCAGATGGGTAGATTGCAAAGACTTTCTCCCATTCTCTAGGTTGCCTGTTCACTCTGATGATAGTTTCTTTTGCTGTGCAGAAGCTCTTTAGTTTAATTAGATCGCATTTGTCTATTTTGGCTTTTGTTGCCATTGCTTTTTGTGTTTTAGTCATGAAGTCTTTGTCCATGCCTATGTCCTGAATGGTACTGCCTAGGTTTTCTTCTAGGGTTTTTATGGTGTTAGGTCTTACACTAAAGTCTTTAAATCATCTCGAGTTAATTTTTATATACAGTGTAGGGAAGGGATACAGTTTCAGCTTTCTAACCAGCTAACATCATAAGGACAGGATCAAATTCAAACATAACAATGTTAACCTTAAATGTAAGTGGGCTAAATGCCCCAGTTAAAAGACACAGATTGGCAAATTGGATAAAGATTCAAGACCTATTGGTGTTCTTTATTCAGAGACCCATCTCATGTGCAAAGACGCATTTAGGCTTAAAATAAAGGGATGGAGGAAGATCTACCAAGCAAATGGAAAGAAAAAAAAATCAGGGGTTGCAATCCTAGTCTCTGATAAAACAGATTTTAAACCAACAAAGATCAAAAGACACAAAGAAGGCCACTACTTAATGGTAAAGGGATCAATTCAACAAGAAAAGCTAACTATCCTAAATATATATGCACCCAATACAGGAGCAATCAGATTCATAAAGCAAGTCCTTAGAAACCTACAAAGAGACTTAGACTGCCACACAATAATAATGGGAGACTTTAACATCCTACGGTCAATATTAGACAGATCAACAAGACAGAAGGTTAACAAGGATATCCAGGACTTGGACTCAGCTCTGGACCAAGTGGACCTAATAGACATCTAGAGAACTCTACACCCCAAATCAACAGAATATACATTCGTCTCAGCACCACATCGCACTTATTCTAAAATTGACCACATAATTGGAAGTGAAACAGTCCTCAGCAAATGTAAAAGAACAGAAATCACAACAAACTGTCTCTCAGACCACAGTGCAAACGAATTAGAACTCAGGATTAAGAAACTCACTCAAAACCATGGAACTCACTCACACCTACATGGAAACTGAACAACCTGCTCCTCAATGACTACTGGGTAAATAACAAAATGAAGGCAGAAACAGATGTTCTTTGAAACCAATGAGAACAAAGACACAACGTACCAGAATCACTGGGACACATTTAAAGCAGTATATAAAGAGAAATTTATAGCACTAAATGCCTAAAAGTGAAAGCAGGAAAGATCTAAAATCAACACCCTAACATCACAATTGAAAGAACTAGAGAAGCAAGAGCAAACAAATTCAAAAGCTAGCAAAAGGCAAGAAATAACTAAGATCAGAGCAGAATTGAAGGAGATAGAGACACAAAAAACCCTTCAAAAAAATCAATGAATCCAGGAGCTGGTTTTTTGAAAAGATAAACTAAATAGACCACTAACAAGACTAATAAAGAAGAAAAGAGAGAAGAATCAAATAGATGCAATAGAAATGATAAAGGGGATATCAGCGCTGATCCCACAGAAATACAAACTACCATCAGAGAATACTATAAACACCTCTATGCAAATAAACTAGAGAATCTAGAAGAAATGGATACATTCCTGGACACATACACCATCCCAAGACTAAACCAGGAAGAAGTGGAATCTCTGAATGGACCAATAACAGCTTCTGAAATTGAGGCAATAATTAACAGCCTACCAACCAAAAAAAGTCCAGGACCAGACAGATTCACAGCTGAATTCTACCAGAGGTACAAAGAGGAGCTGGTACCATTCATTCCTTCTGAAACTATTCCAATTAATAGAAAAAGAGGGAATCCTCCCTAACTCATTTTATGAGGCCAGCATCATCCTGATACCAAAGCCTGGTAGAGACACAACAAAAAAAGATAATTTTAGGCCAATATCCCTGATGAACATCGATGCGAAAATCCTCAATAAAATACTGGCAAACCGAGTCCAGCAGCACATCAAAAAGCTTACCCGCCATGATCAAGTCAGCTTCATCCCTGGGAAGCAAGGCTGGTTCAACAAATGCAAATCAATAAACGTAATCCATCACATACACAGAACCAACAATAGAAGCCACATGATTATCTCAATAGATGCAGAAAAAGCCTTCAAAAAAATTCAACAGCCCTTCATGCTAAAAACGCTCAATAAACTAGGTATTGAGAAAGTGGCTTTTTTAATGCTTTCCAGATAATAGGTCTTAAAGCTATGTTAGTCACTACAAACTCCTGTGCTGCTGCCTCTTCATTATTGCCATCATGATTATTGGGATTGCTATGTTCAGCCTTTTACTCATGTTATTGCTCATCTTATTATATAGTGAACCTATCTTTACTTTGTAAGTTCATCATCAGCCTTTACTGTGACAGTTAAAACAGGCTGTCTTGGTGTAAATTCTCATTTAAATGCTTGTGTTTTAGAAGACTCTAAAACAACATACACAGAGCTGGAGAAAGAGAAGATAGATTTCTCAAGCCATCCTCTGTACTATTTTTTTAGAAGTAAATTCCCTTAATTTAAAACCACCCTTTAAGCTACATGGGAAAATATTTTCTGGTATTTTCCAACCAAAATAAGCCACACTCTCTTTCTTGACTGTTCATGTTCCTTTCTGATTTAATTGTATGGATATTTATATTTTCTGAAAAATAGATATTGAAACTTCTACTTATGCTAAGGAGATTCTGAAGGCAGATACTAATCATTCCATTGAACAAACTAAATTTATGATAAAATGTTTCATCTCATTCAAGTCGTGCTGAGTTTAAGATGCCATTTTTCTTAATGTTGTATCCTGAGGTAATCAATGCTGGACATCCAAGTGAAAAATAATTCACAGAAAATATATGTACTTCAGGGGGAATTATACTAAGGTAGTGAAATAAACTTTTGGAAGCACAAATTGCAAAAAGGCACTGTAAATATGTTGAGGCAAGTGAAAATTTTCAGATTCTGAATAGTAGAAACTTTAAATCTACAGACATAAAAAGGCAGTGGTGGTGGTTTACGTAACCACCGTCAGATAAAAGGTTTTAACCCTTAGATAAAACAATCAATCTACCATTTCTGTATAAAAGCATAAGTGCTAATTGAGGACAACCACTTAATGTAAACAGATAGGAAATGTATTAGGGATGTTCTCTTCCTCTTACCTCACCCCACCCAAATGTAGCTGCTACTGACCCAGCCTACTATGTGGTTTAGAAGGCAATCGTTTTGCTCACGATTTTTCTGAACAACGAACATTCTAATGTATCTGAATAGCTTTCTCAATATATTATTAATACAAAGTCATTTGAAAATATATGTTAGGCATTATGGTTTTCACAGTAGCAAGATGCCAACGACTTTCAAATGAGGAAGAGGAACATATTTATTTCTAACGTATTGTTTTAACTGACAGTGACTGTAGCACCAGGGTTCCTTAAATAATAGCTAGTTTTCTACCAATTCAGATAAAATAATTTAAAGTTACTGGATACTTTGCTTTGTTATACTGCATATTGGCTTCTTCGAATAACTAAAAGAGACAAGCTAAAAAAAAAACCTGGGATAATGGTAAATAAAGCAATTTGTTTCACAGTTCACGTAGATGGTAGAAACTCATACCAGAATGCATTCTAGAAACTCATCAAAAGTAAGCATATCCGAACTTGGTAATTTCAATGTAGCATATTTTCATTTTAATAGATTTTTATTAAATTCATAAAAGTTAATGGACTAGGGATTAAGTCATTATGAACTCTGTCCCAACTGCCTGTTATTAATAGCATCACAATTGTGATTCCATTGTTAAATACTGTGTTTCTAAATGTCTTTTTTTAGTCAATCACAATTTTTCATCTTAGATTTCTCACTCCAACAATTCTTTCAGATGATTATGCTACTTGATCTTAGGCCCTACATTTTTAGTGATCTGAAAGCTTTGGTGTTCATATTATGTGTTATATATAAAAACTTTGCAATATAAAAAATCTATATTAAAAAACCAGGAGACTTCATTTTATTCTTATAACTCAGAAAGATATTACTAACCACACCATTATGACTCTACTAGTACACAGAATTAGGAGATGACAAAAATGATCTTTTCTTTAAAATGAGAGCCTAAATTAATCTTCTCAAATCTGATTTTTCAGCACTCTTCTTTACAAAGCAATAAAATCAAAATTTCATTTTAAGATAAAATTAAAACTTAAGGTTATATTCAAGGCAGCCTCCACTCTTCAGAACCATATTTTTACTCATTAGCAACACTCAGTCACCATTATCCCAATTGCACCACATTCCTTTATCACTCATCACTCTCATTCTTTCCTGGGACACACACAGATTGCTGATAGAAATTTTTTTCTGCAAAGGAAGCATACCTATATGGTAGCTCATCTGTTCAAGTATAACGTACCTGATATATTTTAATCAATTAATTTAAGCTATTTGTGACTCCCAGAATGTTGCTTTTGAACTGTGCCCTTGTGGAAATACTGTTTTAGAAAGCTTGAATTGAAAAGGAATGGGTCGAAGAAAAAAGTTTATTGTTTAAAAGTAATTAGTGGTTTGGTTATGTACACCACCACTGCTGCTTAAATCTCAACAGCTAGACTTATTTGTTCATGAGTGGAAAATATTTTGCTGCATTTCATGGGAATAACTAATCTATTGGTATAAATACATCTAGCTACATATGTACTTTAAAGAAAAATTTGTCATAAATGATCTAACATCTAGAAGACACTTTTGGAAGCCTAATGCAGTTGGAAGACCTGTTTTGGATGCCCACATATATTTTCTTCCTCTCCAAGAACTCAAAGAATAAGCCATGAGGCAACTTATTCACCTCTAGAATTTGAGAATTCATGTCCTCTTGGCAGGCTTAACTTTGTCCTTCTGAGCAGAGGCATTGTAATAACATCTTTTATGATGGAATCACGTAACACTATGTGACATACCATTCATCAAATAATAAAATAGAAACCACATTTGTGGTATAATCTTAACTGTGCATATAGAGCTTTGTATTAGTCTACGGTATGTCCTGAAGCTAAATTTGATTACTATTCCTCTAGCAAGATGTTTAAACTAAGTCGAATTATGTAGAGTTGTACTTATGGCTTAAATGGCACTCTCCTGTGTAATGCAAATAGAATAGCCACAGCAGTGTGCAAATATATGCATGTAAGAAAGAATAACATCAGATTATTTGGTACCCAAAGGTTTAATGTATCTTTTTCTGGGAAAACCTTGATGCATTTAAAAACTTTTTTCATTTTCATATTAATGATAATTATTATTGAAACGAAGCTTGCACATTTTAAACTGAAAATAAGGCCATTCGTTTTAGTTCATATACAGTTCAGAATGTTTCATCCCTTGACATTTAAAGAAAGCATTTTAGATGGAAGAATAACTTAATGGTAGTATCAATATGTGCTTTAATGCATAAAGGATACATGCTGAAAAATTAGTGGATTAAAAGATAGATTTCTTAAATGTATACAAATTTATGACTAATAGATACATGATGGGTACTTACTGGGAAGTTGGGGATGGGATGGTGAGGGTGATCACATAAAATGCTAAGACCATATCCTTCATGATCTATCCTTAGGTCATCTCATCAAATAGGATTCTATTCTGGATGAATCGGTTTTAACATCTCATACATTTTTCCCCCTCATGAGAAGCATTATTTAAAAGTATCACAGGAATAACATAAAATTTAAAGTGACAGGAAAAAATATTCTTTCTTCCTCTGCTTACCTTAATTAGAAAATAAGAAAGTGTCTGAATAATTAAGGTCAAAAAGTGACAGATTATGTAGGAATGTTAGAAAACATTCACGTTTATACTGAGACATTTGAATACACCTGCATAAGTAGTTTTATATGAAACTGACAAATAATTTAAGGAAATCTATTTTTATGCAAAGAAAACATGTTCTATGATGTAGAAGATTTAACACAATGAACAATACATAACTAATATGTCTATTTCAAAAATTCAAAATATTTTATATACAACTTTCACACTGTCAGCAGAATTATAGACAATAAATCAGACCAAAAATTATTAAGTATTTTCAGAAACCTTAAGAATTTTCCAAAATAATTTACAGGTTAGAGATGAGTGTGGTACCAATATGCGAGAGAGATTTATGATCTTAATTACATTTATTTATAAAACAAAAATTTTACATGCACAGGATTCTCAAAAAACCAGAAAGAAATCAAAAGACAAAACCAGAAGTAAGTGGAATAGAAAGAACAGATATTAAAACTACTCTTAATTTTAAAATAAATAAAAGGCAATTGAATTCAAATATAAAAAATAACTATTGGCGAGAAAAGACACAAATCAGAATTGAAAGTATCTGACAAAATATATTTTTAAAGGTAACAAAATAGGAACCATTATGCTTATTATGGCATAATTAGAAATTAGAACATAATTTATTAAAAATACACACATATATGTACATATATACAATTAAGCATATACACATACATGTCTAAACTTTGAAGGTTAGGATGTAATGAGCATATTTCTAGAATAATAAAATAAGCTGAATAAGCTAAATAGAAAAGTAATAGAATACATATAAAGCTCCAAAACAGTAAAAGAAATTGCAGGGAAGGTTAAAAAAATTTCTCACTGCAAAACTCATTAATGGTAAGTACATTTATAATTGAGTTTTAGCAAACTCGTTATATAAGAAATAATTTATATCTTAAGTAAACTATTTCAGAGCATTAAAATGGGAGAAGTTAATTTGGGAACTTAGGAAAACCTTAATAACTTTCTACTTTAAGATAAAGCAAGAAATAACTATTGACAAATATCAATAAAATCAACTCTGCTGCAAAGGTTCTAATTACAATTACTGTAAATTTGAATTTGCAAGTTAAAATAATGTATTACAACTGAGATTGTCTGTCTCTATCTTTTATCTCTCTATATCTGTCTATCTTTCTATTTCCTGTCTCTCTGAATCACCTCTACCTGAATTTCTTATCACTTTCCTCTTGCTCATTTTCTCTCAAAGGCTAGTTTCTACAGGGTCATTGAATTTCTCCCACCTTAGGGCCTCTGCACTGGCCATTTCCTCTATCTGGATTGCACCTTCAACCCCTAATAGTTAACAAATTAAATCTCTCACCTCCCTCAAGTTATTTCAATGTCAATTTCTCAATGAGGCCTTTCTTAATTACTTTATTTTAATTTGTAACCTATCTGCTCCATTACTGGTGTCTTTTGTTTCACTACAAATTGTCTTTCTTCCTTAGCACTAACCGTCTTCCACTATACCATATAAGTTGAGTTTATTACTGTCCTTCACAATATAACATAAACTCTTTGAAGGTCAATATCTTTACTGGATTTGTTCACTGATGATTCTCTCATGCCTTGAAGAGAAATGGAAAAACAGAGGCACTAAAGTTGATCAGTAAATTATTTCTACAATGAGAAGAAGAGAAGATATTAGATAGATAAAAACAACAGATAGCTACTCAATTTTGGTAATATGTATTTCCTTAAGAAAGTATCCATTGCAAGCAGAAATTCATATTATTAGGTTGATGGTAAAGTAACTGTGGTTTTTGCCATTCCTTTAAATGGCAAAAATGCAATGACTTTTGCACCAACCTAATATTACATAGTCAACCAAAATAGTCTCTTATAATTCATTAAATGTACTAAGTACCTCTGATTATTTCACCTTGCTTCTTCAAAATTCTGTGTTTTACTTTTTAATTTTTTGATGAGGTTAGAAATGTGTTTATTCGTGTGATAGTGATTTTTCTCCTCAAGATTAACCATTCTACTGTTTTCTGTCTCTTATGCCATAAAAATAAATTTATGGCATAAGATATGTCTATGATATTCTATTTATAATGTTTTCATTAGCATAACTAATGCAGAAATGTAATAAAACATAGGTTGTGTTGTGTGGTGTTTTCATTAGTACGATTTTCTAGACAGTCTTCTATGGTTGTTTGAAATTTTTATTTGGCCCCAAAATCATTTAGAAGAGAGTACTTTACTTTTTAACAAGTCGACTTTTTTTTCCAAGGTTGCTGTTTTGTAATTATTGCATCTGTCTCTGCCTATGTTACTTAATTCTAACATTATTGTTATGAAAATGTCAATGTACCATGCCTTTATTCTTTGAGATTTTCTTTGCATTCTAATGTACAATAAAGCAAACACATTTATCTATACTAAAATACATATACCCAGAAAAAGAAAATTTACCACGTCTGTACACAAGCATCCTGAAAATGTGTGTGTGTGTGTGTGCACATGTGTATGCATGCTATGTAACAAATTACTATAAACTTAAAACAAGACATAACACAAAATTTTTATCTTATAATCTCTGAGAATCAGGAATTAGATTGTATGACTTAGTTTGGTTACTTAATTCACTGATTTACCAAGCTGCAATCAAGGTGTCAGCCAGGCTGTATTTTCATCTGAAGGTTCAACTGCAGAAAAGTCAACTTCCAAGGTCACTCAGATTGTTGGCAGAATTCATTTCTTTCTGGCTGTAGTACTAAGATCCTTAGTTTTTTCATGGTTGTCAGAGTCTACTCTCACCTGTTAGAGATCACCCTCAGGTTCCTGCCACATAGCTCTGCATAGGCAAGTCATGACATAGCAGATTGCCTCATTAAAGAGAGGAGGATAGAAAGGGAGGGGGTTATATAACAATAAAATCATGGGAGTGACATGTCGTCATATTTCACTGATTAAAAGCAAGTCACAGGTCGTGCTCACATTCAAGTAGATGGTACTACCCAAAGCCGTGAGCACCATGAGACCTAATGGGAGATACCCAGGAGTTTGTTTTCCATGGTATACTTGTGGTTCCTGAAGACTAACTTTCCTCCGCTATACAAAATACATCCATTCTCTCCCAACGTCCTCAAAAGTATCAAAACAGCTATATAGACCAATGGAACAAAACAGAAGACTAAGAAATAATGCTACATATCTACAACCATCTGATCCTTGACAAATCTGACAAAAACAAGCAATAGGGAAAGGATTCCTTATTTAATAAATGGTGTTGGGAAAACTGGCTAGCCATAGGCAGAAAACTGAAACTGGACCCCTTCCTTACATCTTATACAAAAATTAACTCAAAATGGATTAAAGACTTAAATATAAGACCTAAAACCATAAAAACCCTAGAAGAAAACCTAGGCAAAAGCATTCAGGACATAGGCATGGACAAAGACTTCATGACTAAAACACCTAAAGCAATTGCAACAAAAGCCAAAATTGACAAATGGGATCAATTAAACTAAAGAGTTCTGCACAGCAAAAGAAACTATCATCAGAGTGAACACACAAACTACAGAATGGGAAAAGATTATTGCAATCTATCCATCTGACAAAGGGCTAATATTGAGAATGTACAAGGAACTTAAACAAATTTACAAGAAAAAAAACAAACGACCCCATCAAAAAGTGGGCAAAGGATATGAACAGACACTTCTCAAAAGAAGATATTTATGCTGCCAACAAACATGAAAAAAAGCTCATCATCACTGGTCATTAGAGAAATGCAAATCAAAACCACAGTGAGATACCATCTCACTCCAGTTAGAATGGCAATCATTAAAAAGTCAGGAAACAACAGATGCTGGAGAGGATGTGGAGAAATAGGATTGCTTTTACACTTTTGGTGGCAGTGTAAATTAGTCCAACCATTGTGGAAGACAGTGTGGCGATTCCTCAAGGATCTAGAACCAGAAAAACCATTTGACTCAGCAATCCCATTTCTGGGTATGTACCCAAAGGATTATAAATCATGCTACTATAAAGACACATGAATATGTATGTTTATTGTGGCACTATTCACAACAGCAAAGACTTGAAACTAACCCAAATGCCCACTAATGATAGACTGGATAAAGCAAATGTGTCCCATATACACCATGGAATACTATGCAGCCATAAAAAAGATGAGTTCATGTCCTTTGTAGGGACATGGATGAAGCTGGAAACCATCATTCTCAGCAAACTAACACAGGAAGAGAAAACCAAGCACCACATGTTCTTACTTGTAAGTGGGAGTTGAACAATGAGAACACATGATCACAGGGAGGGGAACATCACACACCAGAGCCTGTCGAGGGATGGAGAGCTAGGGGAGGGATAGCATTAGGAGAAATACCTAATGTAGATGATGGGTTGATGGGTACAGCAAATCACCGTGGCATGTGTATACCTATGTAACAAACCTGCGCATTTTGCACATGTATCCCAGAAGTTAAAGTATTCACACACACAAAAAAGTCTCCTCTCATTTCATCATTAGCTCAAGAGCCAAAATTTCATCATTTATAGAAAGTCTAGTTGTGGATGGGGTTCTTGTGATATCATTCATTCAGTACAGTTCCCAGGTACAATTTTTTTTCCATCTGAGGAACTGTAAAGCTAAAGAGCTATAAAGCTCTCTGCTTCAAACACCATCAACATACAAGGGTAGAGAGCCATAGGATAACAATTAGACACATTTCTGTTTAATATGTGGGAAAATGAGAGAGGTTCAAAGACGTTACCTATAAATGTAGTGAAATCCAGCTTGGAAAATGTTGGTAGTTCCTTGATTTCAAAGACTTATTCTTAGTTATATATCAAGGACTAAGAATAATTTTCCATGGCTCTTGATTCTGCCTCCTAGGTTCCTGGTTCTGCTCTCTGAGTCACCCTTCCTTTTCAATGAAGTTGAGTAGTTTTATCAGTTTTCTTCCTTCAAAATTTTAGGGACCCTAGCAGCCCCTTTTCATTTTGTATTATTGCTGTTTATTTCAGTCCAAGTTGGTGTTTTTCCTCTTAATAATTTTCTTAAGAACTTTATAGTTTCTCATATATTTCAATACAGTCCATTCCATTAGACCAAAGCCATACCCACAGATCTTCACAAGTCATCCCTTCTCTATTTTTGGCTCCTGCTGAGATGGTTGAAAAACAATGCCTTCAAGCTTTATAGAGTTTCTATGGTTTGTTTCATAGGATCTGTGAGGTACAACATTAATCTTGTATGTGCCCTTTGCATGACTGAACACCAATCTTTTGATTTTTATGAGGCTGGAGTAGAAGGTGGTAGAAACACAATCTCCACCTTTTCTCTAGAGCACACTTTCCTTACAGTGAATCTTAATTTGTTTATTTCTTGCATATAAAAAAGCAGAGGATTTTAAAAAGCATCCAGTCCTCATTTCTTTTTACTTAACTTTCTTACCTCATTTGATCTCTCCCCTTTCACATTTTTCCTATAAGCAGCAAGAAAAAGAGTGAGTATTTACAATATTTTCTGTAGTTATATAACCAATTTTTCCTTAGCTATATAACCAAGTTTACCAAACTATATAATCAAGTTTACCACTTACACGTTCTGCTTTCCATATACTTGCAGGAGACAAATTCAGTTAGTATTTTGCCACTCCATGACAAAGATCCCTGTAACTCAGCCAGGCACCATAGTGGCTCACACCTATAATCCCAGCACTTTGGGAGGCTAAGGCAGGAGGATCTCTTGAGTTGAGGTGTTTAAGACCAGTCTGGGCAACAAAGTGAGACCCTGTCTTTACAAAAAATAAAAAATTAGCTGGGTATGGTAGCACACGCTTATAGGACCAGCTACTCAGGAGGCTGAGGCTGAAGGATCACTTGAGACTAGGAGACTGAGGCTTCAGTGAACCACGATCACACTACTACACCCCAGGCTGGGTGACAAAGTGAAACCCTGTTCAAAAGAAAAAAAAAATTAAATCCATAACTCTAGTTTTCAGTAGGTTCCTCACTTCCTTTTAAACCTTCACCAACAGCATCCTAGCATCTATATTCTACTAATAATCTGTTTAAGACAATTTAGGCTTTCTCTATTAGGTCTCTCAAAATTCCTTCAATCTTCGCTCATTTTCTGGTTCTAACACCACTCCCACATTTATGGACGTTTTTTACAGAAGTATCCTACATTCAAGTACCAATATCTGAAAGCCATAGTTTTCTACTGCTGTGTAACAATTTACCGCAAACTTAGCACCTTAGACAAACACAGATTTATTTTCTTACAGTTTCTGTAAGTGAGGAGTGAAAGGCGTAATTAATTAGGTTATTGGCTTCAAGGTTTCACCAGGCTGCAATAAAAGTGACAGCTGGAATGCACTCTTAACTGAAGGATTGAGCCAAGAAGAGTTAACTTCAAAGCTCACTCAGGTTGTTCACAGAAGTTACTTGTTTAAGTTCTAGGACTGAGGGCTTTGGTTTTTTGGCTGTCTGTTGACCAGGGGCAACCCTCAGTTTTTAGAGTCATCACAGTTCTCTCCAACGTAGTCTTCTACAGAGTTCAAAATCCAGCAGCTTGCTTCTTCAAGGACAGAAGGAGAAGGAGAAGGGGAATGAGAGCCTTCTAGTAAGATTGAGTCATATAGGACATAATTGTGGAAGTGATATTCTATCACATTTGCCATATTCTATTGGTTAGAAACAAGTCACAGAACCCACCCCTCATTAAGAGGAGGGTACCACACAAAGACATAAAACCAGGAGGAGTGTCATGGAGCTAAACAGACCTAGTATAGAGTCTATCAGCCAAACAGATCTAATATAAATACATATTTTATCAATCTATAGACTGTATTATTTGTGATACTAATATCTTCATATATAGGCTTGCATACTTTAACAAGCTTGATATTCTCAGATATATAGTAATATGTTAAAGTCTCCCAATATATTGAATTTGTGCCATAATTTTATTATATTTTCTGCAGATTTTTCTTAATATTTTAATACTTTTCTATTAAATGTGTATGGGTTCATAAGAGGTATATCTCTTATAAATGATAAATTTGATAAATGTTCTCTTTATATCATTTAATACTTTTGTTGCTGAAGTCATATTTATCTAATATTAGTGACAGAAATTCTTTTTTTCCTCCTTCCCTTCATTTCTCTCTTTTCTAGACAACAATACCTGGTTCTCAAATTTAGTAGGTCTTGTAGTAAATACAAACACATGAAATTTAAAAATCTTTGTTAGGAATCTCTTAAATGCATCTCTGGATTAGATCAATTATGATATAGAGAAAGAAGATAGAGTAAAAAGCAGAAAGCTTCAACAATAAAAACATAAATTAACATTATGACAGTAGGAATTAATATTTCATCTCTTGGTTTGATATATTACATTAAGATATTTTCTCAATATGTAACATCCTTCCATTCCTTTCTTAAATATCCGTAGTTATGGTAAAGTGATATTTTCATCTTAAATCAGCACTGTTTGGTTGCAAGGAACAGAAAGCTAGTTAATTTTATGCAAGTAAAATGAGAATGCAATAATAATTCTGGCTGATTCATGAAGCTCAAGGATAATAATGCAGCTGGATCATGAAAATGAGTGGAAATGCGAACTAGAAAAACATCAGGGAATCAATTAGGGGTGTTACTCCTTCTTGGTGTCCTTATGAGCATATGTTTATTTTATTTCATTGGATATTAGTTTACTCTATGCCCCGCTTCCCATGGCAGAATATGAACACTAAAAAGCAACCTAATTTTTTAGATCAAAGCATATGGAAGGACTTAAATTCTTACTGAGATAAATCTCAAATTTCCAAAGAAGAGAATCTGGTAAGCCTAATCCACTTGTAGTGAAATCAATTAAAATTTTAGTCAATGTTTGTAATTCATTTGCATTAAAAATATATATTTCATAAACTTATCAGAATGTGCACATTATTAATCAGCTATTTCTAAAACTTTTGATAGCTGCATATTTTCATATTGTTTCAAATATAATTGAAAATTATTCTTTTCCTCTCTTTTTTATTGAGGATACCTTGTCAAGAGTTTTTTTGGACTGAGAAAGAGAAATGCAGCCCCTGACCTACAGGAGCTGGCCAAGTTTTATCAGCTAGTCCTTGGTAGTGACATAAGCTGGTATAACACTCACGAGATCATAAGCTTGTCTTGGTGTTCTTCTGTTGGACATAACCAATTTCTCAAAAATCAACATCAGACAAGGCCACTGTGTAATATTTATGGATGAAGACAAAAACAAGGCAACTCCATAATCATGTCTGAACACAGAAAAACATGAACATTGTTTAAGACTAAAAATGATCAAATTTACCTTTATCCTGATGAATATGAATGACTGCTAATTCTTTACCAATTACAAATTTAGCTTTGCCCTTTCTGTTCTTCCAATAGATAGAAGTTGTCAAAATGAACAATTATAGAATCAGTTCAACTTTCTGATAACAGCCAATCTAGAGCAAAGCACTACTTTAAATTCCTTCTCTCCCCAGAAGACCATCTACGGCAAGTGTAAATCATTGTATAAGCCTTTTTTAACATCTGTAACCGAGATGCCCCATGATTAGCACTTTCCCATTAGCAGTAAATAGAACAACTACAGGTATGTTTCCGATGGTCTTTTGTTAAAAGGCATTTACAGAACCAACTCCTTAGTAAGTATTTATTTAAATACAAAGTTCATGATACGTCAGAAGAGACAGATTGTGCATTAGATTAGAATTAAAATCACCTGGCCAGGCACAGTGGTTCATTCCTGTGATCCAAGCACTTTGGGAGGCCACGGCAGGCGAATCGCTTGAGCCTAGGAGTTTGTAACCAGTCTGGGCAACATGGTGAGACACCACCTGTACAGAAAGTACAGAAATTAACCAGGCATAGTGGCACATGCATGTAGTCCCAGTTACTTGGGAAGCTGAGGTGGGAGGCTCACTTGAGCTCAAGAAGTTGAGGCTGCAATGAGCCATGGATGTGCCACTGCACTCCAGTCTTGTTCCAACAGAGCAAGACCCCATCTCAAAAAGAAAAAAAAAAAAAAGACTTGTTCCATTGCATATTAGTATTTCTGAGTTTCCTTTGTTTCTTTTCCTTTCCTTTGCTTTTTTTGTTTGTTTGTTCTCCCTTCTCCCTTCCTTCACCCTGCCTCCCTCCTTTGTTCTCTTCCTCCCACATGCCTTCCCTTCCTCCTTTCGTCCTTTCTTTACTTTTGGCTTATTTTTTTTTTTTTTTTTGAGGATGCCGCATATGAAAGAGTCACTTATTTTCTTGTATTAATTTTATTGAGAGGCATGATATGCAAAAAATAAACTACATTGATTTAAATTGTAAAATTCGAAGAGTTTGACAGATTTATATGTACATAAAGCTACCACCACAGTGATGATCCAGAACACTTCGACAACTACAAAATATTTTTCATATCACTTTCAGTTTGTCATTTACCTACATCTAGTCCCAGTTGAAAATCAATCTGCTTTTTATCTCTAGATGTTACTGTGAATTTTCTTGCATTAAATACCTCTTTAATCATTTTTGCCTTGCTCCTTTCATTTGTCATAATTTCGAGATTCATTCATGCTGATGTGCTTTCTTAAAGAGACTATATAATTTTATATTCTCTTAAGCAGTATATGGGACTTCCAGTTCCTCCCGGTTCTCACCAACAACTTGATATTATCAACCTTTATAATTTTAGCTATGATAATAGATATGTAATGGAATTTCATTTTGGTTTTAAATTACATTTCCCTGATGATGAATGTTGAGCATCTATTCATGTGGTAATAACATTATCTTATCTTCATTTTTGAAGTGTTTGTTCAAATCTTTTGCTATTTACTTAATTGAGTTTTGTCTTTTTATTATTGAGGTAAAAAATAGTTATCTTTTCTGGTCACAAATACTTTGTCAGATATTTGTATCATGAATAATTTTATTCATTCTGTCAATTACCTATTCATTATTTCATTTTGTCTTTTGAAGAGAAAATGGTTTTAATTTGATAAAATCAAACTTCATTTTTTGTTTTTGTTTTATAGTATCTACAAAATACTGCCTAAATTATGATTGCAAAGATATTTTCAGATTAGGCATACTGGCTTACAGCTATAATCCCAGCACTTTGGGAGGCTGAGACAGGCAGATCGCTTGATCTCAGCCATCTGAGACCAGCCTAGGCAACAAGGGAAAACCCCATCTCTATAGAAAATACAAAAAATTAGCTGAGCATGGTGGCATGCACCTGTAGTCCCAGCTACTTAGAAGGCTGAGATGGGAGAATTTCTTGAGCCTAGGAAGTCGAAGCTGCAGTGAGCAATGATTGCACCATTGTACTCCAGCCTGGGTGACAGTGCAAGACCTGTCTCAAACATATATATTATATTTCTTCTTAGTAGAAAAATTTGCTGGTATAAGATTATCTACATTTTCCTTTCCAGGTCTTTAGGATTTATGAGCCCCTCTTGTATTTCTGATATTAGCTGTGTGTTTTTTTCCCTGTCTTACAAATAGTCTGAGTTTTTGTCAATTTCTTGATATTTTCAAATAACCAACTTTTTGTATTATGAAAATCAAATATTAGAAATAACTCAAATATTATTCAGCAATAAAATAGGATAGATAAGTTAATTGTATTGTATTTATTCAGTGGTAAACTATTCAGCAATAAGAATAAACAAACTACTGCCATACAGAACAATATGCAAAATTCATGCAAATTCTTACAAATTTGAGTGCGTCTATATATCAATTTATCCAGGCACTAACAAACCTTCAGGAAGCAAAACTAGCAAAGACATTTACGTCCAAGAGGTTTACATTACAGTGTAATTAAATAAAAATAAATCATAAACATAATAAACATATGTTACAATAAATTGGAAGGTGGTTAGTGCTAAGGAAAAAAGACAATGTATAATAAACAAAAAGGATCAAAAGTACAGTTAGTAGGTGGCAATTTACAATTAGGTGATTAGGGAAGAACTCATCGAGAAGGCAGCATTAACACAATGACTTGAAAGAGATGAAGGATTTCATCTGATAAGTATCTAGAGAAAGTGAGATTCAGGACAGATGTGGTGGCTAATGCCTGTAATCCCAGCACATTTGGAAGCCAAGGCAGGAGGATCATTTTAGATCAAGAGTTTGAGACCAGCCTGGCCAACATGGTGAAACCCTGCCTCTACTAAAAATACAAAAATTAGCCTGGCGTGGTGCCAGGCACCGGCAATCTCAGCTACTCAGGAGGCTGAGGCAAGAGAATTGCTTGAACCCGAGAGGCAGAGGTTTCAGTGAGCCAAGATCATGCCACTGCACCCCAGCCTGAGCAACAGAGTGAGACTTTGTCTCAAAAAAAAAAAAAAGACAATGAGATTCAGACAGAGGAAACAGACAGTGCAGAGGCCTTAAGGTGGGAGAAATCCATAGAAGACCAGTCTGTGGGGAAAAAATGAGCAACAGAAGACTGATAGAAAATCAAATAAAGGTAGTATAAATCAATAGATAGGTATATAGATGATAGATGGATGATAGATAGATGATATATATAGAAAGAGACAGATAGCTATAGACAGTCAATAATATTCAGCTACATTATTTATGGTTTATTTTTTGTCTTCTATATATATGTTAAAAACACACACTCATACTTCATATAATCCAAGTCAATGTATGAAAAGTGTAACAAGAGTAGTTTATCAAAGTTGCAACATATTTCACTGAAAGTCAGAAGATGAGGATGGCAAAGTCGGGTGAGAATTTGTAGATAAGAATGACATACGATCATTGCTTTAACAAATAGGCAGTATTTTACCTGGTGGAATCTAAATAAAGGCAATTAAAAGAGGAAGTTGCTGAGGCAGCAATGGTGTGAAAAGTGGGCAGGTGCAGGACATGACAGTCAACCAGCTTGTAGCTCATTGTGACTGGAGTCAAGAATAAGGGTAAGTGTTACAGGATTGTTGGGAGAAAATATACAAAAAATGGGTTTTCTGTTTTGTTTTTTAGAGACAGGTTCTTGCAATGTTGCTCAGGCTGGTCGTGCATGGGCTGAAGCAATCTACTTGCACTGGCCTCCCAAATTGCTGGGATTGTAGACATAAGCCATCATATGTGGCCACAAAAAAGTTTTTAAAAGTTAGCAAATGCTTTGTAAATGATAATTATTTTATTTGATTATCTCAGCAACCATAAGGTATAAGTAGCATTATGATCTCCTCTATTAGTCCATTCTCACACTGCTATAAAGACATACCCAAGAGAGGGAAATTTATAAAGAAAGACGGTTTAGTTGTTTCATGGTTCTGTGGGCTGTACAGGCTTCTGCTCCTAGGGAAGCCTCAGGAAACTTACAATCATGGCAAAAGAGAAGCAGGCACATCTTCACATGGCTGGCAGGAGAGAGGGGCGATGGAAGGTGCATACACTTTGAAAGAACCAGCTCTCCTTATTAGAACTCTATCACAAGAACAGCACAGGGGAAGTATGCCACCATGACTCAATCACTACCCACCAGGCCCCTCCTCCAACACTGGGAATTACAATTCAACATGAGATTTGGGTGGGCATACAGAGCCAGACCATATTATTCTGCCCCTGTGCCCTCCCAAATCTTAAGTCCTTCTCACATTTCAAAACACATTCATGCCTTCCCAACAGTTCCCCAAAGTGTTAACTTATTTCATCATGAACTCAAAAGTCTCAGTCCAAAGTAAAAGTCTGAGACCAGTCAAGTCCCTTCCACCAATAAGCCTGTAAAATCAAAACTAAGTTACTTTCAATATACAATGGGTGTACAGGCATTGGGTAAATGCTGCTGTTCTAAAAGGGAAAAATTGAGGAAAACAAAGGGGCTACAGGCCCCTTGCAAGTCTAAAACACAACAGGACAGTCCTTAATTCTTAAAGCTTCAAAACAATCTCCTTTGACTCTATGTCCCACTTCCAGGCCACACCAATGCAAGGGGTAGGTTCCCAAGGTCTTGGACAGCTCTGCCCCTGTGGCTTTGCAGATTACAGCCACAGTAGATGCCTTCACAGAATTTCCTTGAGTGCCCAACTTTTCCAGGCACATGGTACAAGCTGTCCGTGGATCTTCGATTCTGGGCATTTGAGGACGGTGGCCCTCTCTTCACAGCTTCACTAAGCAGTCCCCCAGTGGGGACCCTGTGTGTTGGCTCTAACCCCACTTCCCCCACCCCAATACTACCATAGTAGAGGTTCTCCATGAGGGCTCCAGCCCTGCAGCAGACTTCTACCTGGACATCCAAGCATTTCCATACATCCTTTGAAATTTAGGCTGAGGTTCCCAAGCCTCAACTCTTTTTTTCTACACACCTGGAGGCTTAACACCACATGGAAGCCACCAAAGCTTGGGGCTTGCACCTCGGAAGCAATGGGCCAGGCTGTACCTTGGCCCAATTTAGTCATGGCTGGAGCTGGAGCAGCTGGGAAATAGAGTGTAATGTCCCAAGGTTGCACAGAGCAGCGAGTCCCTAAACTTGACCCATGAAACCATTTTTCCCTCCTAGGCCTCCAGGCCTGTGATCAGAGGGACTGCTGCAAACGGCTCTGAAATGCCTTGGAGACATTTTCCCCATTGTGTTGGCTATTAACATTTGGCTCCTCTTTACTTATGCAAATTTCTTCAGCAGACATAAATTTCTCTCCAGGAAAAAAGAAAATGAGTTTTTCTTTTCTGAAAAACACTCATGGTAAAGCTGCAAATTTTTCAAACTTTTATGCTCTGTTTTTCTTTTAAATATAAATTCCAGTTTCAGATAATCTCTTTGCTCACACATATGCTCTTAGAAGCAGCCAGGCCACATCTTGAAAGCTTTGCTGCTTTGAAATTTCTTCTGCCAGATACTCTAAATCATCTCTCTCATGTTCAAATTTCCTCAGATCTCTAGGCCTAGGAAACAACACCACCAGGCTCTTTATGAAAGCATAGCAAGAGTCAACTTTACTCCAGTTCCCAATAAGTTCCTCATTTCCATTTGAGATCATATCAGTCTGTATTTCATTGTTCATATTACTATCAGGATTTTGGTAACAACCATTCAACAAGTTTCTAGTAATTTCCAAACTTTCCCTCATCTTCCTGCCTTCTTCTGAGCCTTCCAAACTGTTCCAACCTCTGCCCACTATCCAGTTCCAAAGTTGCTTCAACATTTTCAAGTATTTTTATATCAATGCCTCACTTCTCTGGTACCATTTTTCTGAATTAGTTAATCCCACACTGAGGTAAAGATGTATCTGAGATTAGGAAATTTAGAAAAGAAAAAGAGGATTAATCACCTTATGGTTCTATGGGCTGTACAGGCTTCTGCTTCTTGGGAGGTCTCAAGAAACTTACAATTATATTGGAAGGTGAAGGGAAAGAGGGCACATCTTCACATGGATGGCAAGAGTGAGAACGAGGTGCTGCACAATTTTCAAACAACCAGATTTCATGAGAACAGTAAGGGGAAAGTCACCCCAATGATTCAATCACCTCCCACCAGGCCCCTCCTTCAATAGTGAAAATTAAAATTTGACATGAGATTTGGGTGGGGACACAGAGCCAAACCATATCATCTAATATATAAATGAGGCTTTCCAGTGTTATACCAGGTGGGCAATACTAGGATTTCTCTTCATCTGCTTGTAACTACAGAGATTGCTATTTCATTAATTGAGATTTACTTTCTTATATAGAGGAACTATAAGCTCATATTAAATTGTCAATTTTAAACAATGTCAGTGTTATCACATCTCATTATTATTGGGGAAACTGAGATTTGATAATAATTAATTTTATGGTTATTTTAACTTCTGTCTCAAAGTCAAAAATTAATTTAACATATCCTTTATGTTTATATCTTTATACTTTACTTGCACATATCATCTACATGGAATCTAGTTGTTTTAAAATTAGAATATGTCAGATACTAGGAAAAGATACATTTCCATGTCACTGTTGTCTCTTGAACTCAATAGCATGAGCTAGGAATTAGAAATTACTCAATTAAAATGGCATGATATATGCATATTGTTCTGTCCATTAAAAAACTAAAATAAAATAGCAGCAAACTGAGACATTATTTTAGAGAAATTCTAAAAACATCAGATTGCATCTATAAAGAAGCCCCAAGATTTTCCCCATAGAAAAATTATGTCAGCTAGTTATTAAAAGGTGATGAACACTTTTTTTAACTATTAGGTAAAATATTCCAAGTTTTAAAATAAAATTTATACCTATGTGACTGCATACAAAAAAAAAAGGTAGTAAAGCTTGCTTAGAAGTAGCAGCAAAGATAAAGTTTGACATTTCCATATATCATTTCCAGTTTTTGAGGTCAAACACAAATCTGCACTTAGAGATGAATTGTTCACAGGTTGCCAATTTTAAAAGATAAGTCAGGTTAACTTGGCTGTATCAGCAAATTTGATGAAGTCCAATAAACTTGGAAGAGGCAACTCACAACTTTCTGTCAGGGTACTCAAGCAGAATCTAAATTCTAGGGTTATTGAAGTTGAGGCTTCCCTAATTGCAATTGTAAGTAGTGTTGGTGTAACGTGAAACCCATTCTTCAGATCTACAAGGCACTTGGTGTGCCAGTTTCTCTATGTTGGGTATTTTAGGAACACAAGATCCAACTGAAAGAGCAGAAAAGGTCTACTGCAGAATTGCACAGACTGTGTATGTATATATATATATACACACACACACAGCAATTTTATTGTATATACTATATCTACACACACATACACACGTATACAAATCTATACATATAAGTATATACACATGCACATATATACAGTCTAATTTACTTATTTTTATTGCTTTATGATCAACTTATTTCTTCTCTTATATGGATATCAAACCTCATTTTATTGAGATAATTTAAATTCTAACCTTGTCTATTAAGTTTTAGATAATTTGTTTGATGTCAAATTATCATAAGGATATTTTGAAACTCAAATTATACTGATGATATCAGTCTTAGGAATTTCAAGACACAAATAAGTTTTGGCATTGAATCCCTGGACAATGATTTAGAGAAGAGTATAATTTTACATATATCATATTGCTAGGGAATAAAACTGAGTAGAATTAAGAATCTGGAGAATATCTGAAGAAAGATTCTGCTGCTTCAACAGTGCTTCTTATTCTGTCACTGACAATAGAAAATATTCCCCTGAAAGGCACAATATACAGAGTTCCAGCACTCTGACTCTTATGTGCTTACAAGACAATTAACATTTTATAAAATATTCGTCTTGCTACTTTCCACATTCATGACTGACTTAATACAAATACCCTGTATTGTTCATCAAGGGCCCATAAGCATCATTTCATTTTTCTTTGAATAATCACATTATTCCCTCAACCCATATATCTGTATGTGGTGATTACAATTCTTGCCCATCAATCTATATTCCTTTTTCCCACATACAGTATTTATTGAATGGATCAAGGGAACGATCCTTCAAACAAAAATAGGATTGGCTAGTCACAATTAGGTTATTAATACATCAGTAAAGTTACTGTTCTTCAAAAAAATGAGAATATAAATCTTCAAATAGATTTACATTAATGTAGACCTGTTAATGAGCAACTGTGGTATAATTTTTCAAAACCTGTGTGACTTTGTCACTTAATAAAATTTACATAATATTTTAAGGTCCTCATTTTTGTAATTATCATAGAAATCACTTATGGTAGCAAATGTCTTTCTGACTATTGACAGCTTCTAATATTTTTCTCTCAGTTTTAATAAAATATTAACACTTTTTTCAGGGAATGAAAATAAGCATTATAATATATTAAGTAGGTTATCTACTGTAATTGGAGTTTATCAAACTTCATTACTAAAGCATTAAGCTAATCCAATATCTTTTCCACAGATTGCAAAGGGACATTTATTTATAAAATAACTGAACAAAATGTAACTCAAAAATCATAAATTTCAACAAATCTTCGGGAAAGCAAATTTTGGGGGGATCAAAATTACATAGAAATATAATTTTGTAGTTGTCTACAAAAGCAGAATTTTGTAAAAATATTAAAGGATATTTTATTTCCAAAGTTATAAAATCATGTTTACCATCTAATAAAAAAGAGCATTAAAATAAATAGGTAGTTAGGATATCCATAGCCTATCTTCCATAATTATAGGTAAACTGTTGAATCCTAAAAACTTTTGATATTGAAGGCATTTCCATGTGACTGTTTAGCACATGATTTTGAATTTTAGGTGTTGGGATGGTTGATCTTGTGTGTCAAATTGGTTAAGATACAGTGCTGAATTGTTTCATCAAACACTAGTCTAGACATTGCAGTAAAGATATTTTGTAGACGTTATTAATATGCAATTGATTGACTTTGAGTGATAAAGATTACCATCAGAAATGTGGGTGGGCCTCATGTGACCAGCCTAAAGAGCAAAAATGATGTTTTCTTGAAAAGGGAATTCTGCCTCAAGACAGTAACATACCAACACTGCTTGAGTTTCAAGGCTGATGTCTTATCTTACAGATTTGATATTCCACACTACAACTTCAAATTTTGCCTGAGTTTCTAGCAGTTGGCCTGTACTGTGGACTTTAGACACAAGTCCCATAAACACATGCACCCATTCCTTAACATCTTAATCTCTACCCTTTTGGTTATGTTTTTCTAGATAACCCTGACTGTTACAGATTGTTGGACATAGTGGTTCTAGAAAAATCTAATCTTAATGATCAGTTCTTGGAAGTGATTCTAAGGTTTCTGAAATTGGTTTTCTAATCTGGTTAGCTTTAAAGGCACTAATGACTCTATTTTCAGTAGTAAAGAGCACATTGATAGTATGTGGTGTGGTGTGGCAATGGAGATACACAAAATATCACCAATGCATATTACTAATAAAATATTTATAAGACCCTGAGGGACCATAATACCTTAGAACATTTTTGTCAAATTAATGAATATAATGAGAGTGGCTGGTTCCTCCTAGTTGTACTAGATAAATTGGGGGGAAAAAAGATAATCTCATGGCTTCAAATTCCCAGCACAAGTGCTGCATAAATAACCAGGAAGTTTCTATGTCTGTCCTGAAAGAAACCCTCCCATAGCTGCAGAGCTGAGATTACTGATAACCAAACCCAGAGTCTCATCCTGCAAGTGGCTGAATTACAACACAAATTGAATTCACAGCCTCACAGAGAAGACATTACTTGGGATGGAATGAAATCTTGAGAATTTGAATGAAGACATTGCAAAGCTCCTGATAAAAGTGGGGCCCTTGAACCCCTAAATTCTGATGAGTCATTTTTGTAAGTAGAAGCAGTGCTTCCCCCATATAAGATTACTCCTGCTTTGCTGAGGAACTGCCAGCTTACCCTGAGGCAGTTATCTTGCAAGACACTGCTGGGTCTTCTCAGAATCTGCTGCCACCATCCATCTTTGGTTCTAGACCTCTAACTAGACTCAAGTCTCTACAGGCCCCAAAACATTAGATACAAAGTGTGACATGAGGAGATGCACTGCATTCTAGAACTATATGATGTTTTCAATTTATATAGTCAGAGATTAGGAGAATATTTGTAGGAATTGATATTAAGGATGTGGAAAAATGGTGAAAGAAACATGAAGTTGGGTGAGGATAAATGTATTGGTATTGGTCTGTTAAGCAGAGATTATGGATTAAATGTTGCAGCTCAGGGTATTAGAAAGGCTCCAATAGTCTGACTTGATTAGCTGGCTGAAACACAGAACAAAAGGTGTCCTGTATTAAATGAAGGATATATGCCAGAACTACTTTGATACACTGTAGAAGAAGGTATCTAAAGGTTAAGGAGAGTAAAATGTTAGAGTGTATTTACCACGTAAAACCTGCTCGCCCTCCCAGAGTACACACCTTTTACCAGGACTGTGAGGAATAAATTTATGAGAGGACCTCCAGCATCCTTGAAGAGCTAGGAGGTTGCTCTTTGGAGGTAAAGCATTATAGTGATAACGGCCACAACTGAGGTGGGATCCTTAAGTCTAATGGGGATAACTGAATTGCAGGGTGGTAAGGCCAAGTGACAGCACTTAATTGCCAAAGACAAGGTGGGCATGGTTACCATAACAGACAGCAGAGTCAGAGCAGTAATCAACATAGTCTGACTTGCAGAGACCTATGGCATTGGCTAATTGATCATGGTGTCCCTGGAAGTCAAATAGATGAGCAGTATATAATCTTACTTGATCTTTTAAAAATAAATTTATGGGGTGCATGTGTAAATCTGTGACATGCATAGATTGCATAGTGATATAATCAAAGTGGAAGGGTACTAGGTCAAGTGAACAAAAGTCTAACTTGAATCATCAACATAGAGAGCCATGGCCTCGTAAACTGAAGCCAGTTAACAGACCCAGAACCTCATGAACAAAGGGGAGACTGGGTCCCTTTGAGGAGGGGCACCACTATACTGCCAAAAATGTATACTGTTAATCTTTCTCTTAGCCTTCTCTACCCTACTTTTACCATATTAGTTAGTGTACACTGGGAACAAGGAAAGAATCAGATTTTGAAGAAATTACAGAACACTGCCTCTGAACTGACACCAATTATAAGACACTCAAAATATCACTGTGGCCAGATGATATTTGGCCACAACATCATGAAAGTCAGGTGCTTTATCTTAGACTCATCTCACAGTGGGTACAGTGAGTCCCCACACCTATTCTATGGTGATTTCCCCAGTTCCAGAATGCGTAATTGGAATAAACACAATCAGCAGCTGGCAGAATCCCCACATCAGTTTTCTGACCTGTGAAGTGATGGTTATTATGGTGAGCAATGCCAAGTGGAAGCCACTACAACTGTCTATACCTATAAAAATAGTGAGTCAAAAGCAGTCCCATCTTCCTGGGAGGATGATTCCAGAGACTAATGACAACATTTTAAAATGAAAGGATGCAGGGGTGGTGATTCCAACCATATTCCCACTTGACCTGCACAGAAAACAGATAGATCTTGGCAGATGAGCATGTGTAACTGTAAACTTACCCAGTTGGTGATTCCAAATGCAGCTGCTATTCCAGATGTGATCTCCTTGCTTGAGCAAATTAGCACACCCCCTGGCACCTGGTATGTAACTACTGAGCTGGTGAACTTCATTTTCTCTCCATACTGTTAGTAAAGACTACAAGAAGTAGTTTGCTTTTGGCTGGCAATTCCAGCAATGTTTCTTCACTATCCTACATCAGAGATATATGAACTCTCCAGTCCTCTGTCATAATTTTGTTATCAGAAACTTTATCTTTCTCTTCCACAAGATATCACATGGGTCCATAACATTGGTGACATTATGCCGATTGGTCCTAGTGAGCAACAAGTAGCAACTACTCTAGACTTATTTGTAACATATTTGCATGTTGAGGGTGGGAAATATATCTGAAAAAAATTTAGGGTCTTCCACATCAGTGAAATTTCTAGGGTTCCATTGGTGTGAGGCATGCTGAGTTATCCCTTCTAAGGTGAAGGATAATTTGTTGCATTCTGGCCTCTCCTACAACCGAAAAAGAGGCATAATGATTAGTTGGCCTCTTTCGATTTTAGAGGCAATATATTCCTTGTTTGGGTATGTTAGTTTGGCCCATTTACCAAGTGACCCAACAAACAGCTAGCTTTGAATGGCACCCAGAACAAGAGAAGGCTCTGTAACAAGTCCAAGATGCTGTGCAAGCTGCTCTGCAACTTCCATTATATGATTCAGCAGATCCAATGGTGCTTGAAGTGCTATTGGCAAATAGTGACTCTATTTGGAATCTTTGGCAGGTCCCTGTAGGTGAATCACAAAGTAGTCTTTAGGATTTTGAAGCAAAGCCCTGCCTTCCTCTGCAGATAACTTCTCTTCCCTTGAGAAATAGTTGTGTTTTCTTTGTGTGTTTTTGTTGTTGTTGTTGTTGTTGTTTTGTTTTTGAGACAGAGTCTCACACTGTCACCCAGGCTAGAGTGCAGTGACGTGACCTCAGCTCACTGAAACCTCCGCCTCCCTGGTTCAAGCAATTCTCCTTGCCTCAGCCTCCCAAGTAGCTGGGATTACATGTGCCCACCACCACACCTGGTAAATTATTTTGTATTTTTAGCAGAGATGGTGTTTCACTATGTTGACCAGGCTGATCTTGAACTCCTAACTTCGTGATCCACCCGCGTCAGCCTCCCAAAGTGCTGGGATTACAGGCATGAGCCACCATGCCTGGCCGCTGTTTTTTTTTTTTTTTTTTTTTTTTTTTGCCTTGCTATCGGACCTTAGACTGATTGCCTAACCATGGACCACCGAGTTACCATGGGACCTGAGCTCCCATCATGGCCTGGGTGTGATCTAACCTGCCAAGCCACAAGTTGGACATATACAGCAGCATAGCATCATCACATGGAAGTGTTATATACAAACATAAGCTTCAATAGGCCTCAAAGGCACAAGTAAGTTACATGAGGAAGTAGCTCAAATGTCCAAGGTTCCCACTTCATCTGTTATCTTCTCTCCCAGCCTGCACCTGTGGCCTCATGGGGAGTTTTCTATAATCAGTTGACTGAAGTAGAAAAAACTCCAGCCTGATTTACAGATGGTTCTACACAATACACAGGCACTATCCAAAGTGGACAGCTGCAGCACTACATCCCCTTTCTTGGACATCCCTGAGAGACACGGGAAAGGGAAACCCTCCCAGAGGGCAGAACTTGAAGAGTGCATCACTCTATTTGAAGTGAGAAATGGCCAGATGTGCAATTATGTACTGATTCTGTAATTACCTGACAGGTTCATTTTGCCTGCTGCCCAGAAAAGCTAATGCACTAACATAGCAGATTTTTGCAATAGAGAAAGTTTATTAAATGCAGAGCTGGATGAGAAAAAGACCAGTGTTTTTTGCTCAAATCAGTCATCCCCAAAATTCGAAGGCTAGGGTTATTTAAATATAGTTTGGTGTGTAGGGGGCTAGGTCATGGAGAATGCAGACTGATTGTGTTGGGGATGAAATCATAAGGAGTCAGAGCTTGTCTTCTTGCCCTGAATCAGTTCCTGGGTGAGAACCACAATACAAGATGACCCAGTTTACCGGTATGGGTGGCACCAGCTGCTCCATCAGAAGGTATGGTCTGAAAAATACCACAAACACCAATCTTAGGTTTTGTAATGGTAATGTTATCTATAGGAGCAATTGGGGAGCTTAGAAATCTTGTGACCTCTGGCTGAATGACTGCTGAGACATAATATCTAATCTTGTGGTTAATTTGTTAGTTTTGCAAAGGTGGTCTTTCCCCCAAGCAAGGAGGAAGTTTGTTTTGGGGAGGGACTGTTATCTTCTCTGCTTCAAAATCAAACTATAAATTAGTTTGCTTGGCCTATGTCCAGAAATTAGCCAAAGTTAGCTTGGCCTATGTCCAGAAATGAACAAGGGGCAGCTCAGAGGTAAGAAGCAACATGGAGTCAGCTAGGTCTAATGTCTTTCACTCTCATAATGTTCCTATGTCAGATTTTTCTCACTAACAGCTTTTACAAAGGCAGTTTCAATCTATGAGTAGTAGGCAATGTTTGGCTAGATGATGCAAGGAACACGACTGTAAAATTAGAGGAAAAAAATTTGAGGAAGAAGCATGTGAGTGGGCCTCTCTGAATTGGAAAAACATGTAGGAATGTGCGTATCTGTATTTTACTGAAAGTTGAAATTCAAGAGAATTTTAATAATCAAGTGGATCAAGGATAGTCTGTCTGTGACTACCAATTAGCCTCTGTCCCAACCATCCCTGTCATTGACCAAAGGGTTCATGAACAAAATGGTGATGGTGGTTGGGCTGAAGGTTAAGCATGGGCTCACAAACATGGTCTTTCATTCACCAAGTTTGACTAGACTACAGCTGCTCAGTTCCCAGTCTGCCAGCAGCAAGAACAATATTCATTCTTGATATAGCACCATTCCCTGTGGTAATAAGCCAGCTACCCAGAGGCATGTTGATGCTATTATACCACTTTTATAATGGAAAGGGTAGCATTTTGTTCTTACTGTAAGAGACACTTTGAACATAGATTTGTCTTCACTGCATGCAGTGCTTCTGCCAAAACCCCCATTCATGGACTGACAAAATACCTTGTTCAACATCATGGTTTTCCAATAGCATCGCTTCTGATCAAAGAACTCACTTCACAGGAAACAAGGTGCAGCAGTGTGCCCATGCTCATGGAATTCACTGGTCATACCATGTTCCCCATTATCCTGAAGCAGATGGCTTGATAGAATGGTGGAAGAGCCTTTTGAAGACTCAGTATAGTGACACCCAGGTGCCAATACCTTGCAAGTCTGAGGCAATGTTCTCCAGGAGGCCCTTTGCTCTAAAGCAGCATCCAGTATATGGTGTTGTTGCTCCCATAGCCAGGAATCATGAGTGTAGAAATCAATGGATGGAAATGGAAGTGGCAGTGATTTATTATCCTCAGTGATTTACCAGCAAAATTTTATGTTTCGTGCCCCTGTTGCTTTATTCTCTGCTGGTCTAGAGGTGTTAGTTCCAAAGAGAAGAATGCTCCACAAGAAGACAGCAACAATGGTTCCACTGAATTCCCAATTAAAACTGCCTTTAGTCCACTTTGAATTCCTCATGCCCCTTAATCAACAGAAAAAAAAAATGAAGTTATCATACTGTCTGGGGTAATTGATCCTCATTACCAAGACAAAACTGGACTGCTATGACATTAAGTAAAAAAGAGTATGTCTGGAATACCAGGGATCCCCTAGACTGTATCTTAATAAGGTCAATGGAAAATAAAACAACCCAATTTAAGAAGGACTACTAATGGTCCAGATGCTTCAGAAATGAAAGTTGAAGTCACCCTACTAGGTAAAGAACCACGACAAACTGAGGTGCTTACTAAGGGCAGAAAATATATACAGTGAGTAGTGGAAGACAATAGTTATAAATAAAAGCTATGACTACATGACCATTTGCAGAAACAACTATTATAAGTATTTTTCCTTATTTAATTATGATGTTTATGAGTATCTGTATATAAATGTATATATTTGTATATGTACGTGTGTGTGTATATCTTTGTTTTCTTCTCTCTCTTCCCTATTTCTTCCCTTCCCTCTTCTCTTTTATATCCTGTAACTTAGATACTATGATGTAAAGTTACAGATACCTAAATACTATGATGTATAGTTAATATATCTTAACTGAAGAAAGAATTTGACCTGGGGGCATAAGGCAGAGTGAGAGACTAAGGCAAGTTTTCGATCAGGAATGAAAGTTTATTAAAGTTTTAGAGCAGAAACAAAAGGAAGTAAAGTGTACTTGGAAGAGCAGGAGTCTTGAGTGATCCAAGTGGGCTGTCTGACCTTTGACTTGGGTTTTTTTTTTTTTCATGTTGGGAGGCTTCCAGAGTCTTTCACTTCTTCTCCCTTGATTGTCCCCTTGGGGTGGGCATCTGCATGTGCAGTGGCCTGCCTGCTAGCACTTGAGAGAAGCTGCATGCTCAGTGCGTTTACTGAAGTTGTGCACCTGCTCACTTGAGGTGTTTTTCCCTTACCAGTTGAGAGTTCCTAGAGGAAGGTCATATACCAGCTAAACTGCCATTTTGCCTCTTAGTGCACATACTTGAGCCCACTCACAAAACTCCGGAGATCTTATTGGGAAGCTGCTGATCACTAGCTTTAGGGTTTTGTTTTATCTATTAGAAGACTACCTTTTCCTAGCACCAACTGCAACCAATTGTTATTTTAGAGAGATAATATTACTTGACATTCCTGATTGGAGGGGTCCTTTTCTGCTCTGCTCATGTCTGACTAACTACCTACTGTAACATTTCCAGTTCTCCTTCTTTGCCTTCCTCTACCTTATTCCCCAACTGTCTATTATTTTCCAATAAATGTGGCTGTGTCATAGACTTATGAGATCTGAGTAAAAGGCAGTCTTTCTCCAAAGTACTAGAAATTGTTTATGAGGACAGTGATCATCTCTACTATCCTGCATAGCTCCTCACTGTTCACTGGGATTAGTCAAATTGATTTTGTAAAGTGCTTCAGGCTCCTCAGAACTGTTATATAAATAGCACATAATATTTTAATCATGTATTGTTTTTGATAGGTCTTTTGCCCTGCAGGAGATCAGCTTCCTCCTAATTTCACCTGCCAAAAGACGTTCATGACTTCTTTCCCTTTTCAGTTGTTTTTACTGTATTTGAAGACTAAGAAACCTACACACAAAATATTAGCACAAATACTATGCAATGATTAATGTATATAAAACAAACTAAAACAATAAGCAAACAAACAAAAACCTTTTAAAGTTTTGTTTAATCATGAGCCCAGCATAAACCCATGAAAAGAAGGTTAGATCAGTCCACCTCAGGAACTACAAGCTTGACCTTATCATTGGAAGTGAGTCGGCGCTGACTTGCTACTTAACTCTGTGGGAATTGATAAGCCCGTTCATCTTGTAATTTTTTGTCTATTAAAAGGATGAATTAATGGTACAAATGTCTGTGAGGATCCAATGTTGCAGTATACGTGAATGCAGTTTGTAGATTTTACTATATACAAAATACTACTATGTGAAAAGTACCAAGGTTTGTCTCATTTTCCATTAAAGTATGGTTTATTTAGGGACCATATCTTCTAAGACATGTACTTAACATGTCCTATTGTAACCAAGTGAAGTTCAGCTACTCACTGCTCAGAGGTAAGAACACGAGAAGTGAGGTATACTGAAAGGAAAGAAACATTATTCAAGTGCTAGCAGTTGGAAAATGGGCAGACTCGTGCCTCTGAAAGATCATTTCATATTTTGGGCTGGATAAGGGATTTAAGAAGGGAAACTCATTATGAGAAACATGCAGAAGTAGTATTGGATATAGGGTCTGCATATCTTGCTCCAATGTCTACCTTGAGTTATTGTCCACCTGGAGTGCAGGCTGGCTCCATCTCAGCACTGGCCAGGTTGTAGATTAACTCCCTTGAGGTAATCTCTAGATGGGAAGGATTTCTCAGCTGAGTCTCTGGGCCTGGTTCATTTCAAGATTAGCCCCTGGAATTTCTAAGCAAGCAGTTAATTAGATAAGCTGGCAGAGTGCAAGGAATGTCTAGTGGAAAGGGAGGAAAACCAAGAGTTTCAAAGTGTATTTTAAGGCTAAGACTAGACAGAATTTTAAAAAAAGGTTTAAGATGCATTTTGAAGCTAAACTAGTCAGTTACACTATAGCCTTTATAGGAAAGTCAATTCTCAAGTGGGAAAAGATGAGTACATGTTTAAAACCCATTATATATATTTGTGTGTGTGTATATATATTATATATATTATATTATATATAATATATATACACATATATAATATATTTTTTAAAAACATATATGCTTTAAAAATATATTGTATATATGCATATATAATGCAACATGCTTATATCATGTAAGCACAGAATAATACGTTTACAGTGTAGAAGCAGAAGACCAAAATCAAAATGCAAGAGCAAGTCCGAATAAAAAGCAACTCTTGCATCTTGATTTCAGTCTTGTGCTTCTAAATTGTAAAGGTATTATTCCGTGCTTACATGTTATAACCACTCTTAGAAAATGCCAGCAACACATCATCATATCTTTTTCCATATCATTACTTCTTAAATGTTGCACCATAATGATGTTGAAAAAGACATCATTACTACTACAAAGGTTGTATGCCACTAAGAACATTAAAAGATTACTGAGTAGATATGATTTTTATTTTCGTTATTATGCTGGTGTCAACTAGAAAGTTTGATCAAGAATGTAATATTCAAATTACATATTTCAGAATTTTTTCATCAAATTATGTCATATGTTGCAATAATGCGCTGTTAAAACTTTCAAATATGTCCCTGTCTCTCTTTATAAAAATCTGGCCCAAAACAAGGGCTTCTGAAACTGTTTCTGAAAACCCGTCAAAATAATAAAAGACATGAGAACATTAAAAATACATTGGAATAAAAATACCTCTGGAATGAACATGTCATTTCTTCTCTAATCTTTTATTGCCATTAAATTGTAACATTGGTTGAATTTCAAATACAATATGAGATCTCCTAAATTCAACTGTCATATTATGTTATTCTATGTGATTTTATGAGATGTTGTGTTAGCAAAGAATGGGAAAACACTGGATATAACTCAGAGTAGTATAAACTAGATAACATGATTTGACAACTGAAATTTAAAAGGGAAAGTAGGTACAGTAGTTTTAGATCAGATATCCCCCATCAAGTTGTAAATCTAGTAGAAGTGAAGTATAAAAGTTGGGAAGGATATATTGCCAGGAAAACTGTAGATCAAAATGTGTTGTGTAGAGCAGTTTTAGGATACTTCTTATTTTTGAAAAATAATTTATCTCTTTAGGTGTTACAGTGTGTTATATATAAAAAAAAGCAAGGTTAACTTTAACGATAGTATTATTAAACAACAATTAGAAACCAAATTCTTACTCTTGCACATTTTATCTTGGAGAAGAAAGCAAGATAAGATCTCTAGCTTTGAATAATAGATATTTTACATAGTAAAAACCTTCTCCAAATGAATACCCTTTTAAAAGTCATGATATTATTTTATTTAAATCATCAATATTCTGGGCATGGCTTACTTCACCAAAAGAAGATTCGTTCTTTACTGAAGCATAATTACATTATCAGATATTAAGAAGAAGCCATAAACCACAAAATGGAAATCAACCCTCCAGTGGCCATTTCATACTTTGAAGATGATTGTATTTTAACATTTTTGTTGCCAACCACAGCAGTAGCATGCTAGAATGTGAAACTCAAGCTTCAACATCACTCTAACCTGAATAAAATGTAAATATATGAACACTAAATTGAATAATCAATAATAGATTTTAGTCAGATAACCATCTCTTTGGTAGTAAGTGGCATATAGGCAAATCCATCTAAGCAAACTCCATCTTCATTAGTGTTGCGGTATTGCAAGATATTTTAGAAACAAGAAGATATTTTCATGTTTTCCGTCCTTTGTTTTTAGTCTCCATTAAAAATTTGCAGCTATACTACCACTTTCTCTTCATTGCCTATTCAGATTTGTAGGAATTCATTGAAAGAAATATCATTTTACAGATTAAATTAATGTTATTATAAAAAGCTTTAAAACTCAAACATATTTATGAGTCATGCTGAGAAAGACCTGTACTCAGTTACAATGATTAATACAAGTTGCCCAAGTTTTACAGATGAAATCACCACCATTTGCATATTTTGAGCAAGAAACAGATAACTATAATTCTAAAAGAACAACAGAAGAAGCACTGTGCTACTGATGTATCTGTTGGGATGAGCTTGCTGTTGTATTGAGCAATGTCTTGCTTTTCGGTTTCATTCATCTGTGCTAGGCAAATTTAAAAGTATTGAAAACCAAGTGTTTGTGTATTTGAGCCTATCGCGGTAGATCACCAAAATATTTCCTAATCCATTTCACTTCTTTGCAATGCAATGTGTTTTGTTGTTGTTTGTTTGTTTGTTTGTTTTTTGAGATGGAGTCTCACTCTGTTACCCAGGCTGGCATGCAGTGGCATGATCTCAGCTCACTGCAACCTCCACGTCCTGGATTAAAGCAGTTCTCCTGCCTCAGCCTCACTAGTAGCTGGAATTAACAGGCATGCGCCACCACATCTGGCTAATTTTTGTATTCTTAGAAGAGACGGGATTTCACCATGTTGGCTAGGCTGGTCTCGAACTCCTGATCTCAGGTAATCCTCCTGCCTCAGCCTTCTAAACTGTTGGGATTACAGGCGTGAGCGCAATGTAATGTTGATGTTTCTACCATCAATAGGTGGTATCTATTTGTCTATTCTCCTGTATAGGAGCAGATTTTGTGACTTGCTTTGGCAAATAGAGTATGGCTTTTCTAGTCTTTATCTCAATGCACCAGTGTGCATGAACCTAGGTAAGACAACCTAGGTCAGGCCAGCCAACCCTAGGCAGTCATGAAATATCATAAATCACTATTGTTTAAGCTGCTAAGATTTGAGGCAAGCCGTTTCACTGGCATAAACAAACAAAACTGTATCAAAACTAAAATGATAATTTTGAAACATAATCAGCTATAACATCAAACTTCCAAACGTGTTATGTTTCTGTTACTTATATGGGAAGTACAAGATTCATGTTTCAAGAACTTAAACACTTGGAATTTACCATTTATTAGTTATGAGGGCTGGGGAGTACAAAATGTTTTTTAAAATGCAAACCATTATTTTCATCAGAACAAAACTTAAATTTTAGTCAAATCAGAAAAAAAGAAAAATAATGACAAAGTAAGCTAATGTTAATTGTTTGAATTTAGATGTAATTTTCGGTAATGTTTTGAGGACAGTGGTTCTTAAATTTGGAGAGTTTTAAAAACCCTAATACCTTACTTCCACTCTGGAGACTGCTTTAATTGATATGTGTAAGGCCCGGATATCAGTATTTTTACTCAGCTAAAGGATATAATCTAAATTCCTACCCCATATGTGTTTACAGAAATGATACAGTGAAAAACAATGGTACCTCTGCCTCCTGGGTTCAATCTTGTACTGCTACAAGATTCAAAAACAGGAAATAATTTTGTTTATATTATTTTGTAAAAAAGATAGTATATCAATATATTTAGAAATATTTGCAGCAGAAAAGACTGAAATGTTGGGAATGTCTCTGGCTAATTGAGACTTACTTATTAACAGAAACTGTTATCTATATTACTCTATTTACTTGGAATTACTGTTTGATAGGTTTACTAGACTGAATTTCTGAAACAGTTTACATATGTGTTTTGTTTTATTTTTCAAATATGGCTAAGAATCTTAAAATTTACATAATACTATTATTGTAAATAATCTAATTATAATTTCTATATCTTAAGCAAAATACATTTTCAAGTTTAATCATGATAACATAAGAAAGAAAATTGCCATTTTAGAAATAGATGTCATTGTAATACAAATATTCTATACCTTGATCTTTTTACATACTTGTAGTTTATTTATAGGCTATATAAATCCTAATTCCAAGACAATTCTCTTTCTCTCTCTCTCTCAAAATAATAGGCATTAAAATTTTTGCTAAGTAGATTTAGCTGAATTTATTTGAATTAATTTTTTAAAATATATAAAATTATATGCAATTAAATAATTATTTTCTCTGTATTTTTAGATTTAAAATTTTACTTGGATTTCACACAAAATTAATTCAAATGTTATAGTCTCCTCATCCTATTCTGTACATGTGAAAAATTAATTTTCTCTTCAAAGATACTACATTTCACTTTTCCTAGTTTGAAAAGCCTCACTATTTAAATTATCCCAAAGTGGGGTGCTCAATAAATTGAAGTCAACTTATTCTAAACATCCAGCTATTTCCTAAAGTTCTTCTACCCATTTTGACTTTCACTGCAGAATTTGGTAAGTATTGCATACATTTCCTTGTTGTTTTTACACCTTTTAAGAAGGAAAAAATTATTTGTCTGTTGATACCAGATATTAATACAAATATGATGATTGACTAAATTTTGAAATGTATTAGGATTTTCTCGCAGAACCCATACATGGCTTCTAGGATTATAGCTCTGTTGTTCAAATGCAATTGAGAATACAACAGTTTTGAGTACTATTTCCAAAGTAATGCATCTTGAAACTATGATGGTATTTTCTCCATAGGACTGTCAGTCAGTAGTAGCGATTGCGGCTGATGAATATGTTTACATCAAGACAGAAGGGCCTTTACTCTAAGTAACTGGATGATCTTGAATGACCATTTCTAGAACCCAATACCATATCCTTTGTCAAAAAGCACATAATTAAAATATCTGCTATCAAACCTGCAAATAGACTTTGTGAAAATGCACACATTTGTACCTGATGGGAAACATAACCTACCAAGACTGAATTATGAAAAAATAAAATATCTAAACAGACCAATGGGTAGTTCAGTTGAATCAGTGATTTTTAAAAATCTCCCATCAAAGAAAAGCCAAAAATCTTATGGCTTCACTGATAAATTCTACCAGAAATTTAAAGAGAACTAACACCATTCCTTTTCAAATTCTTCCAAAAAAATTAAAGAAGAGAGAGCACTTCCAAACTCATCTTATAAGGCCAATATCACTCTGATACTAAAGCCAGACAAGAACACTATAAGAAAAGAAAATTACAGGCCAATATCCCTGATGGTCATACATTTAAACCTCCAACAAAATACTAGCAAATTAAATTCAATAGCACCTTGAAAGGATCACACAGCATAATAAACTGGGATTTATTTCTGTGAAACAAGGGTGGTTCAACATTTGCAAATCAATAAATGTGATATGCTACATTAACAGAATACAAGAAAAATCACATGATAATTTTAGTTGATGCAGAAACAGCATTTGACAAAAATCACCATCCTTCATGATAAAAACTCTCAACAAATTACGTATAAAATGAATGTACCTTAACACAACAAAAGCTGCATATGACAAGCCCGCAGCTCACATCACAGTCGATGGTGAAAAGCTGAAAACCTCTTATCTTAGATCAGGAAGAAGACAAAGTTATCCATTCTCACCACTTCTATTCAATACAGTACTGGCAGTCCTAGCCAGGGAAATCAGACAGGAAAAAGAAATAAAAGGGGTCAAAATAGAAAAGGAATAATTAAATTATCTGTTTGCAGATGACATGATATTATATATAGAAAACTTTAAAGACTCCATCAAAAATCTATTAGAATTAACCAACAAATTCATTAACGTTGTAAGATACAAAATCAACCTACAAATTTCAGTTGCATTGCTATATACTAACAACAAACTATTTGAACAAAAAATTAAGAAAATAATTCCATCTACAATAGCATCGAAAAATACTAAAGTATCAATTTAACCAAGAAAGTAGAAGATATGTACACTGAAATATAAAAAGAAATCAAAGCACAAATAAATAGAAAGATATCCTATATTCATAGGTTCGAAGAATTGTCAAAATGTCTATATTGAAAGCAATCCGCTGATTCAACGCAATCGCTATCAAAATTCCAACGGAGTTTTTCACAGAAATAGAAAAAACAATACTAAAATTTGTGTGGAAGTATAACAGACTCCATGTACCTAATGCAATCTTGAGAAAGAAGAATAAAGCTGGAGACATCACACTACCTGATTTCAAATTATATTACAAAGCTGTACTTATCAAGCAGTACAGCACTAGTATAAAAATAGACACATAGACCAATGGATTAAAATAGAAAGCACAGAAATAAACACACAGGTAGATGATCATCTAATCTGCAACAAAGGTACCAAGAATATACAATGGAGAAGGGATAGTTTCTTCAATAAGAAAACCACATTTTCATGTGAAAAAAAAATTGGTTCCTAATTTTATACTAGAGATGAAAAATCAACTCAAAATTGTTAAGGACTTAAATGTAAGACATGAATTGTAAAACTCCTAGAAGAAAACAAGGAGAAGAGCTCCATGACATTGGTCTTGTGAATAATGTTTTTGGAGATGAAGTCAAAAGCACAGGCAACAAAAGAAAAAAATAAACAAGTGGGTCTACATCAAACTAAAAAGTTTGGACACAGCAAAGGAAATATTCAACAAAATGAAGAAGCAATCTATAAAATGGGAGAAAATATTTGTTAACCATGCATATAATAAGGGATTAGTTAATATCCAAAATATATAAGGAACTCATACAATTCAATCTCAAAAAACAACCTGTTTGAAAATGGTTAAAGTACCTGTATAGACATTTTTACAAAGATGAAAATGTGTTCAACATCACCAATCATGAGGGAAATGCAAATCAAAATCACAATATCACCTCACACCTGTTAGGATAGCTATTATAAAAATGTCAAAAGATATCTAGGATTGATGAGGTTGTAGAGAGAAGGGAAACTTTATGCATTATTGGTAAAAATTAGTTCAGACATTATGGAAAATAGTATGAAGGGTCCTCAAAAAATTACGAACAACTACTGTATGATACAGTAATCTCACTTTTGTGTATATATTCAAAGGAAATAAAATCACTATCTCAAAGAAATTGCTGCAATTCCATGTTCATCATAACATTATCCACAATAGCTGACACATGGAAATAAGTTGTGTCTGCCGACAGATGAATGAATAAAGAAAATGTAGTGAATATATATATCACTATATCTGTCTGTCTATCTATCTATCTATCTATCTATCTATCTATCAATCATCTATCTATCTATGGAATATTATTCAGCTATTAAAAAGAGGAAACTCCACCATTTGTGACAACATAGATTGACCTAGAGGATATTAAATAAAATATGCCAGACATAGAAAGACAAACACTTATGTTCTCACTTATATAAATGTGGAATCTAAAAAAGTCAAATTCATAGAAAGAGTGAGAGGAAGGGTGTTTACCAGGGCTCAGGGGGTGAGGTTAATGGGGAGATGCTGGTCAATGTGTATCAACTTTTAGTTGTAAAGCAAGTAAGTCCCAGAGACTTAATGTACAGCATAGTGACTGTAATGAATAATATTACGCATTGCATAGTTGAAATTTGCTAAGAGACTACATCTTAAGTATTCCTACAAGAAAAAAAGGTATTTACATGAGATAATTGATATGTTAATGAGCTTACCTTTGATAGTCATTTCACATTGTGTATATATAATATCATGTTCTACACCTTAGACAGATACAATTTTCATTGATCAGTCATATCTCAATATAACTGGGAGGAGAAGGCATATTTATTGTAACTACTCAGAAAGAGGGCAATTTGTAGTGGTTTTGTTTTGTGCTGTTTTGTTTTTCTGAATAAGACCAAAAGACAATCATATAGTAAATAATTTTCTTGGGAATAAGTAGAAGCTTATATTTAAGATCTATAGTTAACTGGTTTTATTGTTGACCTAATAAAAAGGAAATGCTCAGGCATTCTGGAAGAGTAAACTTTAGATGGGTCAAATTTGTTCATATATTTTATAATGGAATACTAGCCTGAGGGGGCATTGTAATTATGTTATTATTTCCAGTAAATTTATCATGCAAGTTTGGAGCTTGAATTTGGGAATATACAATAAATCCACAAAGTAATTAATCCAGTGTAATAAATTGTTTTGATATAACAAGATCGATGCTAACTTCTGTCCTCAGACCAGCTGTAGTTTTCAGTCTAGGAAAGTGAAAGTTCTTCACTGCTGGGATGGAAGTAAAGAGGTAGTTGGAGGAAATGGCCAGCACAGCAGGAAAACAATAGGAAGCTCCACCCCAGGAAGGAATGAAAGGCAGAGGTTAGCCCTGTAGCTCCAGTGTTCTACCCAAATCCTTCCTTTTCAGAATATAAGCAATTAACCAGAAGACCCCTGAAATCACTAACACTGTTTATATGCTCCAGTAAGCCACAGAACCAACAATCTCCTCTAATACTATTGAAGCTGAAGCTGACAAGTACCACAGGGTGGGACCACAATGCATTTGGGACATGAAAGAATTGGAATCTCAACCACACTCAAAGACACCCTCAACTATTGCACAGGATCACTTCAATTATGCTCTTTATAATACAATGTCCATTTTAGACAATTGAATTTTCAGACTCCCTTTACTGTGAAGTTTTACTGCATATATCAACTAAAACCAAATTCTGTAAGCTGTACTACCTGAGAAGCCAATATCATTTAGAGACAAAGGGTATTAGCTAATATAAGGAAACTACATAGATGATAGATTGCTCTGGAAATCACCTGATGACTTACCCATCCAGTGAAAATGAATTACAATATTTGGGTCAACCTGCCCCCAGAGGAAAAGCTAAAAAACAAACAAACAAAAAACAAACCCCACCAAAAGAAGCCAAAAAACCCACATTTGACCAATTTTTTTTTCTTAAAAATATCAAAGAGATAATAAGATGGCCAAAATAAAGGAGAAAATGAAAACCTGGAGGACATTTGCTGACCTTGAAGAAGAACCAAGGGGGAGTCCTGCTCTCAGTATTAGAAGTAATTTCCTAACAAACCAGTATCTCACAGGTAAAAACTGCAAAATTTGGGCAAAACATGACCATCTGGAAAAGAAAAGCTGGCCAATTTTGAAGAAAACTCAAAACCTAAAGAAAACTGTGGCCTGGGTGAGTTTCCTGTTTTGAGAGCTTTAAACTGAAGCTAGTGACCCACAAAAAAAGTTCAATAGAATGTCTTACATTATTCCGGCTGGGAAACAAACAAACAAAGAAGGAATGAGCTATATAGCCAGAGCTGCCAGTGAGTCGGGGAATTTCGGAGAGGAGAGAGAATGATCCACAAAGAGAGAAGGGGTCTAAAATTTCTGTGTATAAATTCTGTTCATATTTCTGGCCCACCTGTGAAGCATGCATTTATAGAGTAAGCTGAGAACAATCTGGAACAAGGTTTGATATGCTGTCCATGGGCAGGCGGGGCTGAGTTTTTGGTTTGAGTCTAACCACATTAGTTTTTTTCTAAAGCAAAAACCCTCTTTGGAGGATGGTAACAGTGTCTAGATCTCTACAACAAAACCTTCATTATATCCAGGATGTTACGGACAACTTCGTGCAAACAAATTGGAAAATTTAGACAAATGAATAAACCCCTAGGAAAACTCTTACTTAGCTGATATCAAAAATTATGAATTTATATGAAGTATGATATTAACACAAGGATAGAAAAAATGGAAGAATGAAAGTGGAGACAGAGCCAAGAAACACACATCTTTGTGTATATCAACACTGGATTTACAAAAAAGGTGTTACTAAAGACTGTGAGGGTAGGGAATGAAATTGAGCCCTATCTCACAGAATAGTCATCTTGACATCGGCATATGCCTAAGTGTGAGATGAAAAACTATAATGTTTTTTAAGCATAATATAGAAAAATAGCGTATTACTTTGTATATGCCGTTCCCTTTAATCAAGGCAAAAGTAACCACTGTATTAGTCAGGGTTCTCTAAAGGGACAGAACTAATAGGATAGATGAATATTTGAAGGGGAGTTTATTAAGAGAATTGACTCACATGATCACAACATGAAGTCCCACAATAGGCCGTCTGTAAGCTGAGGAGACAGCAAGCCAGTCTGAGTCCCTAAACCACAAAAGTAGGCAAGCCGATAGTACAGCTTTCAGTCTGTAACTGAAGGCCCCTGGCAAATCACTGGTGTAAGTCTAAGGGCCCAAAAGCTGAAGAACTTGGAGTATGATGTTCAAGGGCAGGAAGCATCCAGTATGGCAGAAAGATGAAGGCTGGAAGACTCAAACTTCTAGTCCTTCCACATTCCTCTGCCTGCTTTTATTCTAGCCACCCTGGCAGCTGATCAGATAGTACCCACCCAGATGGAGGGTGGGTTTGTCTCTCCCAGTCCACTGACTCAAATGTCAATCTCCTTTGGCCACACCCTCACTGACACACCCAGGAACAATAGTTTGCATCCTTCAAAGTTGACACTCAGTACTATCACAACCACTAAGCAAGCAAGAAAAGGCTGATAAATTTAACTACATTAAAATTAAGGATTCCTATTCCTCAAAAGATACCATAATATAATAATATAGAAATAAATATTGAAACCACAATGGAATTCCATTAAATACCAACCAGATTGGCAAACATTTTTAAATTTGACATTATCAAGGATTGGGTTTTTTTTTCCCATTCAATCCTGCATATGACAAATCAAGTATTGCTGATGATATGAAGCAATGTAGAATTTTTATACACTGTTGAAGGACATAAAAATGTATCCAGCCATTTTTGAAAGTATTATATTCTATTCAACATATTTGAAGAGACTGGAAATCCACTTTTGATTGTACCCACTATAGAAGTAGCTGGAATCTTTTTTAAATAGCCCCAAACTGGAAACAACATAACTTTCGATCTACAGTAGAACAGATAATAATTAATGGTAGGTATATTAATCAGTGGAATACTATACAGTAGTTCTATGTAAAATGTCCACTAACTGGCACTGGTACAAGAAATGTTTGATAATGTTCTATGAAGACGTAAGGATCTTGTAACATAATAAAAATTACTTCACTTAGCATATTAGGCTTTGTTTTTGTTGCTGTTGTTGGTTTTAGCAAGAATTTCTCAATAAAGATGCAGTACATTAATTTACATTCTTGTATGTTCATTTATATTTATCCTGGACTGATAATTTCTGAATCTACTCTGAGTAGCACAGATATACATGACATGGATAACTAATGAACTAGACATAAATACTGTAATATAATTCTAAAATATGTATTTAGCAAAAAAAAAAAAAGCACCAGTAATTCACACTAAGTTTCCCTGTACTTAAAGATCTAAATAGGCAAACTGATCTATATTAAGCATATTGACTATAAAAAGATGATTATCTTGAATGTTGGCAAGTTGGTTCTTTATAATGAATATGTTGTACCTATGATCAGGAAAAAAAAAACTGACAGGAAACTTGGGGTTGCCACTAATATTCTATAGGTTGATTTGTTTGATAGTTACATGGGTTTAAAATTCGTAATTATTTTTAACATTTTAAATGTGTGCCTTATGCAACTTTATATGTTTGTGGGCTATATCTCACATTAGACAAGATTTGAATAAAGAAGTTATCTGTGTGTAATGTCCAAACTAAAAAAAATGTTCCAGGTAAGAGAATAAAGTTGCAAAGAAGACACCTAAAAAAAAAAAAAAAAAAAGGAGGAAGTTTGTCTCTTTTCCAAATAAAGACCAAAAAAATCCACTTATCTGAACTGAATAATGATTTTTTAAAAATTAGATGATAACATTAGGATGAAGAATCCCAAATAAAAGGAAATTTGAGATTGTTGCACCAGTAATATATACCCTACAACTGCTGAAAGTAATGAGGTGGTGATTAGATAAAGCTGGGATGATAAAAGGCAGTTACAGAAAGGAGTGAGGACATAATATAGACAGACTTTAAAGGTCATAGGGAAAAATCTTAGCTAGGTAACTACAGATGATGTAAAAAAATGAAGGGAGGGAGGAAGGGAGATAGGGAGAAAGGAAAGGAGGATAGGAGAAAGGAAAGTAAGAAACAACAAAGAAAGGGAAGGAGGGAGGGAGGAAGGAAAGATAGAAGTAAAAAAGAAGGAAGGAAGAAAAGGAGGAAGGGAGGGAGGAAGAGAGTAACAATCACCCTCTCCATCACTCCCCAAAAACAAACTCCAATGAGAGGGAAGAAAACAAAAGATAAAATTTACTTAAAAGAAAATTTGGAGATCATAGAAAAGGACTAGGAGAAGAATACACTATAATGAGTAGAATAAGTGAATATAAATAAAAAAGACCACCATCTATAAAATCCTAGTGCCAGAAGAAAGAGAAGTTTAGTGGTTCAGGATCTGGATGAGACTGAGACCTCATGTTAGTGGGACCTACTGATCTGGAGTTTCGACAACTGAAAGGAAATGGTGTATTGCCCCTTGCTCATACCATACAATGGTGAGATGAGGACAGAAGGACTACAATTGACTACGATAGACACACCCGTTCAAAAAGTAAGATAATGGGAAGCATGCATCAGTCAGTGATCTAGAACAATTCTGAAACCCAGCTGCAGATGTGATGGTAGGCCGTGGCTACTCTTTGTCAGAAGAAAGAAGCATGAAATGAGGAACAGCAGGAGGAGAACAGCTGAAACCTACTGGCACTTCTATGTGTGGCTGAAATTTCCTCTAATCATGATGCCTTTCAGAAAACAGTGGTCCATGGAGCAGTGCTAGGTATAAAAATCGGAAAAATACTTAGAAAGTTTTATAGTGACTTCATCATCCAAGTGACTGACAAGTGGTGCCCTGTGGTTAACAGGAAAAAGAATTGTATGGGTGTTATCAAAGCTGTGTGGTAAGTAGCCTGTGCTGGCAAGCACAGTGGAAACATGATACAACACAGGCTATTGTAAGTTTTCGCTGTTATATAGCTATAAGCAAGATAGTCAATTTATTGTAACTTTCAACTTTTACGATCATTTAAAATTTTCATCAACCCTTTTTTTAAATACTCATTTATAGTTTACATTATTGGCTACGTTAGGGAAGTAAATATTGTAATCTTCATTTTAACCCTAATTTGCTTATAGTAAAAAGCTTCAACTTTGAGACTGCAGCAGCAACAGTAAACCAAATGATGACGGTAGAAATAACTGTGAAGGCATGAGGATCAAATGAGTTCATGCAAGTTTTACTTAAGAGTATGATCTCTCATATATTTATTGTAATTGATAGTAACACACTAAAACAACATTGAATTATTTGTGAAAATGCAACAACTAATGAGGCAATTAACTTCCAAAACTTAAATGGTATTAACATAAAAGACATATGGAAATAAGTTCAAAACCAAAGAACTATTTGAAAGACAGATTATTAAAATAAAGTCAACAGAAGCAGATGTTCAATATTTTACATATAAACATTAGTGCATTGTTGGTTTCTTATAAAGTAGCACTTCGGGTTGCTAAGACTGAAAAAAACAAACAATTACAAACACATTAGTGAAATACCGCATCAAATGTGTTTTCTTAGAAATGCTGAGGGACTGCTGCAGAGAAGGTAACTCAAGTACCACTTTCCAGTGACATACCATATTTGAACATATTCAGGAACTGAGGATGAGTTAGAAGAACAAATAAAGCTAGTAAAGTATTTTTTCTGGTAGCTTGATGTGCAAATATTGTTTAAAGGGCACTTCCTTTACTGTAAGAACAATTTAAGTGTGATGACTTTATGATGGAAGATTTCATTTTATTTTTTGCTTCATTTTTAACAAACACAATTAGCTCTGCACTCTGTAAAGCTGTGACTGCATGCATTGCTCACAAATGCAGTTTGAAAGTTAAATTTGGGGCACAAGTATTGTTCAATGACACAGCTGCAGTGTCATGAAACTTTCTGGAGAAGTTATTCAAATTAAAGAGCTTGCAGCAGAATAGAAAGCAGTACAATGCTTCCCTTATTGAAAAAGTTATGTTTAAATAAATTATAAGCTTCACTAAAGAGTGTGTTTAGTGATGTAGTAAAATTGTTAATTATGTAAAGGCTACTGAATTAAATTTGATATTATTTTTCATTAGGTGACAAAACAGAAAGTTATTATAAACTATTATTGCAGGCTGAGTTACTAAGGTTATTGAAGGTAAAGAGTGTCAAGTATTTATCCACTAAGCAAAGATCTTATGGTGTTTTTGTCAGATAAGAAACCAATTTGATCTCAACTGTGAACAAGATGTAAACAAAGCAGCCAAATGTACTTATCTGTTTGCTTTGTTTATTTTAATAATATTATTGCTTATGCAAGAATGTGATGCAAGTTTTTTTTCATTGGTTGAAAAAAGTTAATGAGTAAAAATTAAAGAAGTTGGAAGCTTTTTATAGATGGTAACGACATGTTCCAAAAATTTAGCCACAGTTATTAAAGAGATAAATGATAATTTTGTTACTATATATTTGCCAAATTTATCATGGAGCACCTAAAAAACCATTTAGAATATTCTGAATATGTTTTAATCTAAAAAGATCTGTTCATAGGAGATTCAAGGATCCAGAATGAATTTATTTTATTAAGCAATAATAGAAACTAAATCATAACTCTATAGTGTAAATTGTTAGAATTTGTACTGGTGCTTTAGGAGACCAAGGAGGGCGGATCACGAGGTCAGGAGATCAAGACCATCCTGGCTAACATGGTGAAACCCCGTCTCTACTAAAAATACAAAAAATTAGCCGGGCGTGGTGGCAGGCGCCTGTAGTCCCAGCTACTTGGGAAGCTGAGGCAGGAGAACAGCGTGAAACCTAGAGGCGGAGCTTGCAGTGAGCCCAGATCACACCACTGTACTCCAGCCTGGGAGACAGAGCGAGAATCCTTCTCAAAAAAAAAAAAAAAAAAAAAAAAGAAAGAAAGAAAGAAAGAATTTCTATTGGTGAACTAAAGACACATTTTTAACATGCGACATCACTTGCTTAATTTTGAATAAGCATGAAAAACAAATATTGTTAACTTGCTAAAATTGTTTTAAAGTCTCTTCTTCCTGGAACAGAGCTTCCAGGAATAGAAGCTCAGTATGACTGGTTTCTCTATTCTGAATACATAGACAAATTTTGCTATGCATTTTCTTTGTAAGCAGCATTATTACACTCAACCTAGATTAGTTAATCAAAAATGAAGTAATTTGTCACATTAAAAACTGTAAATATTAATTGAGACAGTGTGCATTAAATGTATGTGGTAGCATCTCATATGAGGTAATCGCTGCTTTATTCTTAAGAATTTTCTTTGATTACAAGAGGGGACCAGCTGTTGTGGAATTGGGATTTCCCCTATCATTACCTATGTGTATACTTAATAAACAATGCATATGCTTTTGTAATTTGTTTCTTTTCTATGGTATATCTGTTCTGACTATATTTATTAAAAGGCATTTTATTGCTGTTGAACCAAAAAGGTTTTAAAGAAGGATTTAAAGAAGGTGTTTTTTAAAATGCTGTTCTAGACAGCTGGAGTAATTAAAAAATCAGAAATTTATAAGAGTGGAATATATGAATCAAAATAATTTAAATTTAAACAGTAAGAGGTACCAGCATAGAGTCAATGTAATAAAATAATTTAAACATGAATAAATACACTGTAAAAATGACAGCGAGCACAAAAAAGAAAATCAAGGAATAATGGCCTGAAAGTCAGAGATAGAAAAGTGATTCTGAAGTCCATATTTATTACTGCATGAACTGTGAGCTAACTGATTGGTCCAGTTTGAAGTAAGGAACTGGGCATGTAAAGTTTAAGTTTCTCCCTCCCTTTCTTACTGTGGATCTGAGATCTGTACTCTTGTTTGCTCCTAACCATCTAATAAACTGGAGGTAAAGACTCTGCTCTTGTACAGCAAGGCCTCAGTTTACATCCAAGCCAGTGATTGTATAATGCATAAGGTACATTATTCCACCTCTGTCAGGACGAAAGCTGATATTTTGGTCTCCATCTACTTGGCTCCATTATACATTTGGACAGAACTCTGGAAAATGGTCTTGGGCATTGATCCCTTCCAGTCTCAATGCCTACTAAGAGAGACACCTTTGCAAATCATAAGTTGAAAGTCTGAGGGGGATACTTCTATCATCAAAATAGCAATTTATTATAGGTCTTGTATAGATATACTACAGTCTTCTCTCCCTCTTTGTCTCCTGCTGTCTTTCCTCTCATCTATATCTGTACATTTATCATTCTATCTGCCTACCTACCATCTATCTGTGTATCAATCTATCAATTGATTGCTCAATGCATATATCTAATAGACTTCAGACTGCTATCCTTGCATCAAATGCTGTCACAAATACTTTTGATAACACTTCATCCATATGTTATCATCAAAACAACATGTTTTGACATTCATCCTGTTGTGAAATATAATATACCTATTACTCCGATCTCCATAACATTCTTGCATCACATGGAAAATTCTTCTCTATGTGCCCGTTACCACACAGATGGTCCTAAGAGTAGAAAACAATGTGATCTTCTCAGCTACTTCACCACAGATTTTTAAATACAGGCTTTTCATGCTCTGTTGCATTCACCAGAGTTCTCATCAACTTGCATTATACGTGAGTAACACAAAGACTTAAAGTCATCCTCACTGGTTAAATTTAAAAAAACAAAACAAAACAAAAAAACTAACAGTTTTCCAGAGCATGCAGGATTAATCACACATAATAATTATACAACGTGTTAACACACTTATTATAAAACTATATACACACCATTAAACAAAAAGTGGCAGAAACTTCCAGGAAGGAGGCAAATAAACATTAATTGGTAATGATAAAGGGGAAGAAAAAGATACCCAGAGATAAAAATTCCAGTTTTCACTGGTGAGATATTTTGGTCTAAGGGATTCAAAGCTCTGGTTCTTCTGAGACTATGCTGGCCCCTCTTGTCAATGAATCATCTGCAGGGAAACACTCGGCCCTGAAAATCCACTGCCAGCCTGGCACATACAACAGATTACTAAGCATCTTGTCTTTCATTTTGAATTTTATGCTTTTAAACACTTCTTGATGCCAAAAGGGTCAAGAAGAGGAATTCAAGGAAGAAATTTTTAATACCACAAAATAGATTCTGATGAACAGTCCATTTAAATAACATGCTTCTGTTTCCAAACATCATGTCTGCTGTATTAGAAAGAGATATGGATAAGAGATTTCTATGGTTAAACTGCGTGCTGTGTTATGGGAAGCATTCTTCTTAAATTTGACTTGTCTAGATTAAAGCACTAAAACCAAACCAATGTGGCAAAGAAACATTAGTTTTTCATTAATGCTGTCTCTGTGTAATGACTCTCATGGTCACTTTATAGTTCATATTAACCCTGATGTTCATGAAATGATAGCTTGTGTATTCCCTTCATAGCCCCAGGTTTTCTTTGAGTGCTAATAAATTCATCACTCAGTTCCTCCCATCAAAAAATAAACATACTTATATATCATCAGTGTCCATCTATTTAATCATGGCTTCTTGAATATTCTTCGGATGATGATTGGAAGTTTTCACCGTCTCTGTGGTTCATGGGCATTCTCAGTAGTAAGAGACTTATAGCTGGAAGGTGTAGTGATGTCTTATTAAGTATCTTTACTTGAGAGACAACCTATGTTCAACTGTACACTAAAGAACTTCAGCTCCACCATTGTCTGATTTCTCCACCTAAACTCACAAACACATAGTTTGAAAGCTCCAATATTTCGAGAAATAAATCCAATTACATGCAGTAATCATGTCATCCTACAAAATACTCCATAGCCTTTAAACTTTTGGAAAACAATGGTAAGAGCTCTTATCTGGAAAGTAAGAGCTTTAGGTTATAATCCCAGCTCTACTGCTAACTAGCTATACGGTTTAGGGCATACTGATTATCTCCTCTAAATCTGTCTTTCCTTCTTATCAAATGATGAAGACATGCAGATAATGCATCTTAGTGATTCAAGTGAGATGCATGACGAAAGAGGATGTGGGCATTTTGGTAAACTGCTGGGCACAAGTCCAGCTACAGGGCTTGCAAATTCTTTTCATTTTTCTTACTAGGAGTCTATTTAGCTGAATAACACACATTTGATTTGAATTTACCTTAGAGGGTCTTAGTTTGCAACTTGTGTTTTTAAGAAATTTGTTTAGCCCTTCTCAATGCAATCTCCTTTAATTTTACAAAAAGTGCTCTCCGTTGGTATTCAAACTAATTTAGTACCATGAAACCAAAAGCAGACATGTCTTACACAAAAAATGTAAGAGAGATCAGAAAAGTTATTTGTGTCATTTGCTTATAGCTGTTTAAAACTTAAGTTTTTTCAAACTCAATAGTAAGTAATATCATGAACAGGAACCAACAACATGGAATTTCCCCATTAGCAGCAATATAATAGGCCATTAAAAGCATGCCACCATGTTGGTTGGTGAACTTTCTTATCCTTTGCACTTTTCCTTGCGCTTTTCCTAATTTTACTCTTAGTCTACTTTCTGGCCCTATAGTGGGGATCATTAAATGCATAAGAAGCTCAAATAGCTCTAATTTAGCTTCTTGTCAAATATTTACATGTCATGGGTAAAGTCTTGCAAAGGAGTTGTGATTAGTTGCCAAGGAATATCAAGAATCAGATGTGGTTGTTAGTATTTAAAGATTTTTCTGTTTATTTTTGCAAATACAGAGGATAAACACTGTCAGTTCAAAGTAAACTCCAGAGTATATATAATTTTCAAAGATAATAGTCCTCTAAAATTTTCATTGTTCAAAACACATGGCAGAGTGCTAGATTTTCAACCAGCTTTTAGGAGTTAACAGTGCCATGTGTGAAGAATCAAGCAACTGCCTTACCCTCTGGCCACTTTGAAACTAATTAGAAACTTCCATTACAGAGCTTAAAAGCTAATGGAGAAACACAAGTGAAAAAATAAACCTAAACAAAACAAATGCAATCACAGTTGTAAGGGGGACAAATTCTGAGTTTCATATTTAGAATAATCAGGAAAACACAACTTGAAATTTGAGAGAGGATAACAAAAGCACTGTATGGGGAACACAAGCTACTGTTCTGTAAGATGCTGTTTTGAGTGACATTCAGATTTTGATTGGAAGCAGCCATTTGACTCAGTCACTTGAGAACTATTTACTAACATTGTCCTCACTGCCAAATATTTTTCCCTCATTCTCACTTATGTGATTAGGAAGCTAATTCCATCTAATGATGAGTCCCAGTTGTGCGACAAATACTTCTTGCTCTGTGGGTTTGTTAATAACCCTCCTCTCCCCACCCCATGACAAAAGTCCACGGGTGTGGAATCTCTATCCTTGAAATGTGTTTTTCATTAATAAGAGATAGTGACATTAGTATTTACTCTATGGTTGCTACCTCATTCACTTCTCCCCACTTCATCCTTCAATTCTTTCCCCTACCTCTCTTTTCTCCTCCTCTTCTGTATGATCATTTAGACTCACTTCATTACATACGGAGTTAAACATTTTTAAGGTTTTCACAAAATACACTAATAAGCACTGTCCCTTCTGTTAGTAAACTACAATCTGAGGGGACCAAGAAACAGAAAAGTTATAAAGATATAAACAAATTTATAAGAAATAAGAATAATAAAAACGGAATATTTGCTGGATTTGATGGATATTTAGGAAGCAGTTCTGTGTAATGCAGTAGATAGAATTCTGGACCAAGAGTTAAAAGATCTGGGGTCTGGTCCTTCTCTACAAGTAATTAACTGTAATACTTTGAAAAATTGATTTTTCTTACCCTAAAGGTGAAAACAAGCAAAGAATGAAGAATGTGGTAAGTGTTATAAGAGAAATGCCAACTATTTGCTATAAGAACACATACAAGGTAAGGTTTATTCTTACTGCTGGGATTAAGAGAAATTCATGGACAAAATGTCAATTAAACTGAGCCTTGAAGTTTATGATGAATTTTACTAACCAGAAAAGAGAGAGAAGAAAAGAGAGACATTTCAAACTGAGTTCACAATATCAGCAAGAAAAATATAGGCTATTATGAAATAATTCAGAAAGATGTTGTTCAAAAAAGGCATAGAACTTGCTTCTCAAAATTTGTGGTATTTACTACGGATAATTTCCAGTGGCCTATCAAGTGATGCTAAACTTTATTGGAAATTTTTAAAAATCAGTGACTTGAATGTAACATCACAAATATGGAATTAAGTATGTTTTCTGCAGAAATTTCAGTAGTTTTTAATGATATCTATATTCTTCCAGGTTGTAGTGTTGAGCCACAATTGTGCTTCCAACCAACATTTAGTGAATAGTGTTCATCTTCTTTTAACTGAATTTTTTTCAGGTCATCTTTATATTATTGTTATATTTGTTAACTTTTGCTTTTTGTTATTATTGTGCTACTTTACATCACCAGTTAAGCAAAATGGATAAGTGATTCAATATGGTTAATTGAGACCTAGCAGTGGGGAGGAAATAGTAAATAGAAGTAAGCAGATTATGCATAGGACACTAGGGTTAACAAACAATAGAAATCTGTATGATGCTAGGACAACTAATTCTTGCAAGCGTGATGAATTTCCCAAGAACCTGGAATGGAAAACTGAAGATGGGAAGTATGGTAATGTCTACTGAAAAAAATCAGATTTTACTGCACCACCAGTCCACTAACCTCTAATACTCAGGGTTTTGTCTTTTATGAAACTTTGTCTGCTTTCCTATAAGGAATATGGGCAGAAAGCATTCCTTGCTTTTACGTTTTGTTTTTGTGTTTTACAGAGCATAGTGACCTCTCATAAACTAGCAACAAAGTTAAAGTTAAATGTATTTACTTTATTTTATTTAAGATTCAGGGGTACATGTGCAGATGTATTCTATGGGTATATTGCATGATGCTGAGATTTGGGGTACAGGTGGTCCCGTCACACAGGTAGTGAGCATAGTATGGAATAAGTAGTTTTTAGCTAATTCCTCCCTCCTCTCCTCCCCCATCTAGTAGTCCACAGTGTTCATTGCTTCCATCTTTATGTTTATTCATATTTAATGTTTAGCTCCCACTTGTAAGTGAGAACATGTGGTATTTGTTTCTGTGCTAATTTGCTTAGGATAATGGCCTCCAGCTGTGTCCGTTTTGCTGCAAAGGACAGGGTTTTATTACTTTTATGGTTGTGTAGTATTCCATGATGTATATATACCACATTTCCTTATCCAATCGACCACTGTTGGGCACCTAGGTTGATTCTATGTCTTTACTATTATGAACAACCCTGCAATGAACAGATGAGTGCACGTGTCTTCTTTGGTAGAGTGATTTATTTTCCTTTGGATATGTATCCAGTAATGAGATTGCTGTGTCAAATGGAAGTTTGTTTCAAGTTCTTTGAGAAATCTTCAAACTGCTTTCTACAGTGACTCAAGTAATTTGCATTCTGACCAACAGTGTTTAAGCACTCCCTTTCCTCTGTATATCCTCGATAGCATCTGTTGTTCTTTGTCTTTTTAATAATCACCATCTGTCTGGTATAAGATGGCATTTCATTGTGGTTTTGATTTGCATTTCTCTGATGATTAGTGATGTTGAGCAGTTTTTTCATATATTTTTTGGCCATTGGTACATCTTCTTTTGAGAAGTGTTTGTTCATGACATTTGCCCGTTTTTTAATTGGATTGTTTCTTACTTGTTGATTGCTTTAAGTTCCTTGTAGATTTTGGATATTAGAACTTTATCAGATGCATAATTTGTAAATATTTTCTCCAATTCTTTGGGCAACGTGTGTACTCCATTTATGATTTCTTTTTTGCGCAAAAGCTCTTTAGCTGATTAAGTCCCTGTATTAGTCCCTTCTCACACTGCTATAAACAATGGCCCAAGACTGGTTAATTCATAGAGGAAAGAGGTTTAATTGACTTACGGTTAAAAGGCCTCAGGAAGCTTACAATCATGTCAGAAGGTGAAGGGAAAGCAAGGCACTTTTTTCACAAGATGGCAGGAAGGAGAGTGAATGCAGGAGGAACTACCAAACACTTATAAAACCATCAGATCCCATGAGAACTCACTCACCATCATGAGAACAGCATGGGGGAAACTGCCCCCATGATCCAATTACCTCCAGCTGGTCTCTCCCTTGACACGTGGAAATTATGGAGATTGTGGGAATTATAATTCAAGATGAGATGTGGGTGGGGACACAAAGCCTAACCGTATCAGTCACCTTGTCAATTTTTGTTTTTGTTGCAATTGGTTTTGGGGATTAGCCATAAATTCTTTGTCAAAGCTGTTGTTGAGAAGGGTATTTCTTAGGTTTTCTTCTAGGATTTTTAGAGTTTTAGGTCTTACATTTAAATCTTTAATCCATGTTGAGTTAATTTTTGTATATGGTGAAATGTAGGGGTCTAGTTTTATGTAAGTGTGTTGACCTTTTGTTCCAGCTGCTTTCAAATTATTTCTTTTGTGTTGACCTTGGTAAATATGATGACGATGTGCCTTAGGAATTTTGTCTCATGCAGGCTCTTGCAGGTGTTCTCTATATTTCTTGAATTTGCATGTCTACATCTCTAGTGAAATTGGAAAATTTTTCATGGACTAGATCCTCAAACATGTTTTCCAAGGTGCTTACTTTCTTTCCTTCTCTTTCGGGAATGCCAATGAGTGACAGATTTTTGTCTCTTTACAAACTTCCATGTTTCTTAGAAGTTTTATTTATGTTTTAAATTCTTTTTATTTTTGTCTAAGTTGATTTAAAGAACTGGTTTTGTGCTGCGATTCTTTCCTCAGCTTGATCTAGTCGGCTGTTAATGCTTCTGCCTGTATTTTTAAATTCTTATAGTTAACTCTTCAATTTCAAAAATTCAGTTTGGTTCTTTTTTAAAGTGACCGTTTCATCTTTCAGCTCTTGGATCCTTTTACTGTATTTCTTGGATCCCTCGGATTGGATTTCAACTTTCTCCTGGATCTTGATGAGCTTTCTTGCCATCCAGATTCTGAATTCTATGTCTGTCATTTCAATCTGGTTAAGAACAATTCCTGGGGGCCTAGATTGTTTACTTGGAAGTCAGGAGACACTCCAGCTTTTTGAATTGCCAGAATTCTTGTGCTGATTCTTTCTCATCTGATAGAACTGTTGTTCCTTTAACTGTAATGTAAGATGAGTATAGTGTGTTGGCTCTATTTCTGGGTGCTTTCAGAGGGTCAATGCTCTGTACAGGATTTGTATTTCTGGCTGAGTTTTTGCCTTAGGTTTCACAGGCACTGTATACTGGCAAAATATTTTTGGTATTGTAATTTGGGTTCTGATCCAGGAAATGGCACTTAAGTGTGATGGCCTGTAGATAGGCTCTTAGCCATGCCGCGCTTTCATGTTTCAGCATGTTCACAGTAATGCTCTGGAGTCAGTGGGGGTGGGACACTGGGGAGGGAGGTAAATAAACCTCTCCCTAAGACCACCCCTGGACCTTGGAGGCACTCTATCTGATCCCTGATCCCACACCAGCGTTCCATATGTTAAGTATTCCACACCATGCGTGAGGCTCCCTTAGGCAGAGGTTATGCAGGCTACACCCTTCCCAGACTAGCCCTACAGAGGGAGGCACAATGCTCTCCCCCACCAGCTCACAAACCTGGGTATCTCACCCCTCTCAGTGTTCTGAGAATGGGGGAATCCTCCCTTGCTTGTGAGCCACTCAATCTAACAAGTCTTTACTGACTAGAAGCAGCAGGCACAGGGCTTGTACAGTATAACATCCAGGTGTTTCCTAGGGGAAAACAGAACTGTGCACACCAGCAGGGTTCAGGAAAAGGTGGGGCCACTCTGCTGGAAGCAGGAGTCCAGGCCTGTCTGGAGAGAAGAACTGGGAACAGTCTGCTTTCTCCTGGCACCGTGACTGTGGACTCTATTGGTGTAATGGAAGCTAGTGCTGGGCTCCTCAGGGATCCAAAGCCTGTAGGGCTTCCCATAGTCTTGAGTGGTTCCTCTGAAGAAATTCCATTAATACAGGCTCTCTGTATTAGTTGAGGCCTGTGGTTGGAAGTTTCAGGGGGTTCTCTCATTCCCAGAGTTGCACAGGTCCCTGTAGGAAGGGTAGATCCCCTGGGGGCTCTTAATCTCTCACTCTTACCCTGTGTTAGGAAGCTTCTCCTGGTTTCACAGTGATCCCAGGTGGGTGCCTTCCCAGCTTTGTTATTCTCCGTTTTCCATGTGTCCCCTAACGCCTCTGATGGATCCCAACTAGTTTCTTACATGATTCCCTTGAAGAGTCAATATTTACCCACCACTTTGTTTCCTCTCCACAAGAGTGGTGCACAGTAGATGCTTCTAGTCAGCATTTACAACTCTCACAAAGTTATTTTTGGAAAGAAAACAGAATGAGACATTGGCAAAATTTTCTTTCACATTACCCTTTGGTAAATAATGTATCATTTCAACAAAATTCAGTACAAAGGTGCTATTACTATCATAGGTGTGTTCTCTCAGAAACTTTGCAGTTGGAGGAAAATACTGAGATTCAGGGTATGATGTGCAGTTTACATGGAAGCTTAAAGAAGAAGAGTATTGTCTGTTCATCCCTAAATATCATGCTACAGGAAAAGAGATATTTTATAATTTAGAATAAGGCAATATTCCTAGCTAGTACATGGATTTTGAAAAAGTACATCAGGGTTAGTTTCTATGGACCATTAACATGTATGAAAAGAAAGGGCCAGTTAAGTCAATTAAATAATTGATAACTGAAAAAAAAACTCCTACTCCACTTTATTTGCAGAAATCAACTAGCATTCAACAATATACCTAACCTTCTTAATTTCATGTTGAATTGAATTTAGAAAACTGAGACCATGTATTACTCTTTTATTATGCACCATTGCACAATTATGTAAAATTACATGTACTTCTTTGGGCAAGGAGTATATTTATTTTTCATCCTGAAATGTGCTAGCTTTAAGGGGAAAAATGTCCATCAGGGATGAGATAAATTTATATCCTTTTAAGGAACTGAAAAGGATAGAAAAAAATACCTCTCTATGATTTCAACAAGAATGTTCAAATAAACAAAATGAATGTCTTGAATAGCATGAAACTATTACTTCCTGTACATAGTATGGATGTTTTTGAATTTGAGCATGAGCTATCAGTATTCCTAAGGACACTACGGTACAAATGATAATCTTTTTTTAAAAAATTGCCATCATCATCTAATGCTATTTCTCACAGATAGGAAAAATGCATAGGAAGAGATGCCCTCGAGTACTAAATGGAGATAACTAGTACATTGAGTTCATTCTTTGCTGTTTTCTTCTAGTTTTTATTTATTTATTTATTTATTATTTATTTAGTTATTTATTTTTTATTTTTATTTTTATTTTTATTTTTATTTTTATTTCTTTGAGACAGAGTTTAGCTCTGTCGCTCGGGCTGGAGTGCAGTGGAGCAATCTTGGCTCACTGCAACCTCTGCTTTCTGGTTTCAAGCGGTTCTGCTGCCTCAGCCTCCTGAGTGGCTGGGACTACAGGCCTGTGCCACCACGCCTGGCTAATTTTTTGTATTTTTAGTAGAGATGGGATTTCACCATGTTCACCAGGATGGTCTCAATCTCTTGACCTCATGATCTATCTGCCTCGGTCTCCCAAAGTGCTGGGATTACTGTTATGAGCCACTGCACCTGGACTTTCTTCTAGCTTTGAGCGCTCACAAAAGTTGTCCATACAATAAAAGCATGGTACTGCCCATTTCAACTAAACAAAAAATCGGCTAAAAGGATACAATTTCTCTCAACACAGGCACTTTCACATCAATTACATGTTAACTGCAATTTTTGTCATTGTGTTTTTCCATCACAAACCTTGAAAATATAATTGATATACTGTTGAGCTAGTATTTATTACTGCAAGGAAAGCAGTCTTTGGAGTGAAGCGCATGCTTCATTCAAATGTTCAGAGCAATTTGATGGAGCCACCATACAATTGCTGTGTATTCTACTTGTCTCTTACTATTTTTTCCATTCTCACTTAGATCCAGCCCCACTGGCCTCATTAATGTTTTTTTTGGAATTACCAGGTACTAACCCTTTACCCTAGCCATGCCCTTTCCCTGGAAAACTCTTACTCTAGATATTCACTTGCCTAAATCCCTTGCCTCTTTCAAGGCTTTGTTATGTCTCAGTTTCTCAGTGACAACTACCTTGAACACTCCCATCACTGCAAACTTCAAGAGATCCTTCCTTCCTTCCTTCCTTTCTTTCTTTCTCTCTTTCATTCATTCTTTCTTTCTTTTCTTTCTTTCTTGTTCTATTACTTTATAGCACTTTTTTGCTATGAAATAAAACTGTAAATAAGGCCCCAAGCTCTCTGTACAACATGGACTCCTCATGGCAGAGATACCCAAATTTAGACAGCAGAACTAAGTGGTCATGGCAGGGTAAGGGTAGAGTAATCACACATTATTTGCTCTTGGAAAGGAAGCTCTTGACAAACATACTACTTTATGCCTTTGAGCCAGAACAGTTCCTGTGACTGGATCCAAGGAAAACTGCAGCCAGAAAGCACCCCAACCAGTCATTTGAATAAAGCATCTGTCACAGACTTCTGGTTTAGGGTTTGGGAAGCCACCCAATCAGAGCTTGACTATCTTGACCAAACAGAGCTAAACAAAATTGAATCCTTCCTTTGCATAAATGGACCTGATTGAAAACTTGATGTAGGAGCTTTTTCTACTTAAGCCAAGCTTCTCCTTTGTTCTTTGGAAAGCCCACTTTCACTTATACTCAATGCGGATCTCCCTAATCTGCACATTGTTCTTATAGAAATAAAAGCTCTCTCTTTTTCCTCTGCAGATCTCATGGTCTTTTGTTAACATCATTTTCTAATCTACTAAATAATCAACTTATTTGTTATATACAAACTTCTAAGTTGATTATTTGTTGATTATTATTATTTGTTTGATTATTTGTTGCCTGTCTTCCCATTTTAACATGCAAGTTCCTCTAGAGTTGGGAATTTTGTCTAATGCATTCTATGTATCTGATATATTCAATTATCTCATGTGTTTCTCAGCAAATAAAATATTTGCAATAAATATTTTTTCTTACTGAATTGATTAGCTACCAGAGTTATGATTATGAGTCCAAGTTGTCTTATTGAATAAAAATACTAAGTGGAAAAAAAATGAATGTGGACTCTGACACATGACCCAAGATATTAAAAGGTCAGATGTAGATACGTTTTTGAAGGACTGAAAACTAAATAATTCCATTTCTGATATTTAATAATTAATACTGTTTATAATGACTATGCTATAACACAATGATTTATTTTGATAAGTTTATATTATGATAAACTTTTTTTACAATTTGAAAACAATTGACAGGTTTTTTGCTGAACATCCATCTAATGGTTTGAATATACTGAATTTTTGAAAAATGTTAGCATATTGTATGAGAAAAATTCCAGAGAATTTAACCTAGATTGTTGACAGCAGTGATTTCAAATAGTGAGAATTAATGAAGGCTGGCATCAGGGGTAACACCAAGGTGATAGCCTATAGGAGGGAGTTATACATATTTCCCAAATATGTAGTCTAACTTGGGATTGATATGTCCTTTTATGTGATTTTGAACAAACATATGAGCCCTTACACTTCTTTTTTTTAATCATATGTACATCCCATTGTTATCCAGAGATAACATGAGTGAACATTAAAAGATAAAATGGAAAATATTAGCACTAAAAGGTTATATATATTAATAGATAAAAAAGAGATGCTGATACCAATATAAATGCACATAGAGATGAAAATCATTTCATTTTTATTGAACTCAGATTCTGGCTGTATTTGGGAGGAACAAACTAACCAGATGTCTAGTATTAAAATATTCAGTAAACCTAATTTTTAGTCTATTTATACTTATACGTTAGCAGATTCAGTCACTAGAGAACTACTACCTTGTAAAAAATAAACACCACCATTGTAAGGCACTGGACAGATAATGAGAGTGAAGGTAACATGGTGAATGCTACAAGTAGGATGCAGAAGAAGGAACTTGGAAATAAAGAAAAGGAACCATTGAGTGTGCCCTGATGTATAGATGTTAGTAGGCCTGGGAAAATATAGGACAACCTAAACTCCTGTTCCAACAAAATCTATCCTTGGATTAGGGCTTTGTTTGGAGGCCTTAAACCATGGTACATTATCCAGGGTTTAAGGGCCCCAAACAAAACCCTCAATTGGGGTGGAAAGCGGTGGAATGATGCCTGTTCTGAGACTTATGGCACTGTGACAAGCCAAAGAAACCAGCTTTATTTTCATTCCTTCACTTGCAGATCTTCTCTATTTCTTTCTTCATTTTGCTTTTTTTTTTTTTTTTTTAAAGAGTATCGCTATGTTGCTCAGGCTGGTGTTAAACTCCTGGCCTCAGGCAATTCTCCTGCTTTGACAATTCAAAGTGCTGGAATTACAAGCATGTGCCACCATGCCTAGCCTTGATTTGAATTTATTATTCTACTACTCTCTTTTCTTGGTCCTTTAAAGAGGAGTGAAAAATAACAACCCTGCTAACACAAAGTAAACAAGCTGGTCATAAAGAAACAGGATCAGTCTTGTTGGCATGCATAGGGACTTGCTGTAGAGCAGGGCTGCTGTTGTGGTAACTCTGATGTCTACAGTAGTTTAAGTAAAATAGTTTGCATGACAATTGCCTGAGACCACAGACCTTAATACCTGAAAGAATAATAAATTATAAAAAAGCAATAAAGAAACAATTATACATCTTGCTGTGTGCTTGAGACTCTCTTCTCTTTCAAAGGCAATCTTGTTTTATCCTTTCAGTAAACATGTGTGGGACATTGGATTAAAACCAATTACAGGGCCAGGCGCGGTGGCTCACGCCTGTAATCCCAGCACTTTGGGAGGCTGAGGCAGGTGGATCACGAGGTCAGGAGATCGAGACCATCCTGGCTAACACGGTGAAACCCCGTCTCTACTAAAAATACAAAAAAAATTAGCCAGGCACGGTGGCGGAGGCCTGTAGTCCCAGCTACTTGGGAGGCTGAGGCAGGAGAATGGCAAGAACCCAGGAGGTGGAGCTTGCAGTGAGCCGAGATCGGGCCACTGCATTCCAGCCTGGGCAACAGAGCAAGACTCCATCTCAAAAAATAATAATAATAAATAAATAAATAAAATTACAGATGAGGCAAATGAGCCTCAGAGAGGTCAATCACTTTTCTAAAGTGTATGAAAGTTTTGTAAAGTATGCTATAATGTTTATTCATTCTAATTTTTTTTCCTGAACCTCTATGTTAAAGGACATGCTGCCTATTTTAAGATTTTAATGAACTTAGTTGCTTAGTTCTAGGAATTTCACACAAATTCACAAAAAGGCAATCTTCTTTGCACTCTTCAGGATTTTGGTTTATGTTTCACTTTCTCAGGCAGGCCTGGTTATCAAGACTGGGTTAGCTTACTTGTTTTACTTTCTCATAGTACCTGTACCTTTCACTTTTTAGGATAATTACTTTATTAATTAAACAATTCAGATCAATGAGGTCAGACACTTTGCCTATTTAACTACTTTATTCTCACAATTTGCTAGATGATCACTCAAACTTGGAAGGAAAACAGTATATTAGTTCATTTTCATGCTGGTGATAAAGCACACCCAAGACTGGGTAATTTATGATGAAAAAGAGGCTTAATAGACTCACAGCTCCATGTGGCTGGGGCAGCCCCACTATCATGGCAGAAGGTGAAAGGCATGTCTTACACGGCAGCAGACAAAAGAGAATGAGAGCCAAGCAAAAGAGGTTTCCCCTTATAAAACCACCAGATCTTGTGAGACTTATTCACTACTACAAGAATAGTACGGGAGAAACCACCCCTATAATTCAATTATTACCCACCAGATACCTCCCCCACAACACATGGGAATTATGGAAGCTATAATTCAAGAAGACATTTGGTTGGGGCCCAGCCAAACCATATTATTCCACCCCTAGCCCCTCCCAAATCTCATGTCCTCACATTTCAAAACCAATCATGCCTTCCCAACAGTCCCCCAAGTCTTAACTCATTTCAGCATTAACTCAAAAGTCCACAGTCTAAAGTCTCACCTAAGACCAGGCAAGTCCCTTCTGCCTATGAGCCTCTAAAATAAAAAACAAGTTAGTTACTTCCTAGATGCAATGGTGGTACAAATGTTAGATGAATACACCCACTCCAAATGGGAGAAATTGGCCAAAATGAAGGGGCTAAAGGCCTCTTGGAAGTCCAAAATACAGGGGGCAGTCAAATCTTAACATTCCAAAATGATGTCCTTTGACTCCCAGTCTCACACTCAGGTCACACTGATGCAAAAGGTAGATCCCCATGGTCTTGGGCAGCTTTGCTCTTGTGGCTTTGTAGGGTACGGCCACCCTCCTGGCTGCTTAAAAGCTATAAATGGGCTGGCGTTGAGTGTCTGTGGCTTTTCTGGGAGCACAGTGCCAGTTGTCAGTGGATCTACCATTCTGGGGTCTGAAGGATGGTGACCTTTTTCTCACAGCTACCCTAGGCAGTGCCACAGTGAGGACTCTGTGCAGGGTCTTCAGTCCCCCATTTCCCTTCCGCACTGCCTCAGCAGAGGTTCTCCATGAGGCCCCACACTTGCAGCAAACTTCTGCCTAGACATCCAGGCGTTTTCATACATCCTCTAATATCTAGGTGGAGGTTCCCAAACCTCAATTCTTGACTTCTGTGCACCTGCAGTCTCAATATTATATGGAAGCTGCCAAGGCTTGGGGCTTGCTTACACCCTCAGAAGCCACAGTCCAAGATGTACCTTGGCCCCTTTTAGCCATGGCTAGAGAGCTGGGAAGCAGGGCACTAAGTTTTTAGGCTGCATATAACAGGGGGGCCCCCATGAAACCATTTTTTCCTTCTAGGCCTGTAGCCCTGAGGGGCTGCTGCAAAGGTCTCTGACATGCCCTGGAGACATTTTCCCCATTGTCTTGGTGATTAATATTTGACTCTTCATTAATTATGCAAATTTCTGCAGCCAGCTTGAATTTTTCCTCAAAAAATGGGTTTTTCTTTTCTATTGCATTGTCAGACTGCAAATTTTCTGAACTTTTATGCTCTGTTTCCCTTTTAAAACTGAATACTTTTAACAGCACCCAAATCACCTGTTGAATCCTTTGCTGCTTAGAAATTTCTTCCACCAGATACTATAAATCATCTCCCCCAAGTTCAAAGTTCCACAAATCTCTAGGGCTGGAGCAAAATGCCACATCTCTTTGCTGAAATGTAACAAGAGGCACCTTTACTCCATTTCACAACAAGTTCCTCATCTCCATCTGAGACCACCTCAGCCTGGATTTTATTGTCCATATTGCTATCAGCAATTTGGTCAAAGCCATTCAACAAGTCTCTAGAAAGTTCCAAACTTTCCCACATTTTCCTGTCTTATTCTGAGCCCTCCAAACTGTTCCAACCTCTACCTGTTACCTAGTTCCAAAGTTGCTTCCACATTTTTGGACATCTTTCCAGCAACACCTCACTCTACTGACACCAGTTTACTATATTAGTCTGTTTTCATGCTGCTGATAAAGACAAACTCAAGACGGTAATTTATTTATAAAAAAAAAAAAAGGTTTAATTCCACAGTTCCACGTGGCTGGTGAGGCCTCCGCATCATGGTGGAAGGTGAAAGGGATGTCTTATACGGTGGCAGACAAGAGATAATGAGAGCCAAGTTAAAAAGTTTTCCCCTTATAAAACCATTTGATCTTGTGAGATTTATTCACTACCACAAGAACAGTATGGGGGAAACTGCCCCCATGATTCAATTATCACTCACGAGGTCCCTCCCACAACATATGGGAATTATGGGAGCTACAATTCAAGATGAGATTTGGGTGGGGACACAGCAAAACCTTATCAGGAAGGAAAGAAGGAAGGGAGGGAGGGAGGGAGGGAGGGAGGCAGGGAGACGGGTAAGGAAGAAGAAGCCTCTGCTGGGAACATCAAGACCATATTCCAGTCTAATCAACCAAGACAACCAGATTTACTGGGGAACTGACAGGCTGTCTTGCTGTCATCAGCAAATTTGTCTGCTGGGCATTAGCTTCTCTCCTAGGGAAACTCCATGTCCCTTTTGAGTTCAAGATCCGCATAATAGATCCTTACATTCTAAAGAGACAAGATTTACACACATAGCACCGAATGTAATTTACACAAATACTGTGTTGATTTCTTTCTAGTTTCCTGTAAATCCCAGTTTTTTTTCTAAGTGGAATGTCATAGAAAGAAAAGAAGAGAGAACACATTAAAAATTGAATTCTCTGTGTGTGTGTGTGTGTGTGTGTGTGTGTGTGTGTGTGTGCATGCATATGCACAGGTGTTTTTACTTTTTATTTCCACGATGTTGTGTAAAACAATAGTTAAAAGATGCAGATTCTGAAGCCAGACTGCTTGGGTTCAAATTACAACACAATTATTTCTGAACTTTATTACCTTGGGTGGGAAAATCACTTAAACTTTTTTTTGTCTCAGTTTTCTTTTATTTTATCAGTTAAGCTAGGATAATAATATTACTCACCTCCAAAGATCATAAGAATTAATTTCTGTTAAGTCTAAAGACCACTTATTGAGAATGCTGTAAATTCTCAATAAGTCATGACTATTACAGTGGTTATTTCAAAGAAAAAATAGAAATAGAATGTATGATGATTTGGAGAAATCCAGGGCAGCTTAACTTCAACGAGTATAAAAATATCCTGATACTATCTTCCACTATACAGATAGAAATATTTAACTCTAGATTTAATTATACTGTAGACTGTAGAGAGACAAGGAAAGATTAGGAATAAAGATAAATGAATAGGTTAGAGATATCTTTTTCTGCCCTTTTCTTCTTTCAAAACTTACCCCAAAACTACAGGAAAAACAAGAAGGCAAAATAAAAACTTGAATCTTTCTAAATTAGAAGACATCTTTAACCCATTAATCTACAATATCTCATGACACAGAGAGACAGAGTGGGAAAGAGTAACTGATTCAGATGAGTGGGAGCAAGTCAAATCTAAGAGCTTGAAATTAGGCCCACATGGGAATGCTTTCTCAGTTTGCAGGTTCCAAAAGGCTTTTGAACTGATGAGGGAGATTAGTCTAGACTTGAAAACTGAGACGATTATGTGAATTTAGAATTAGGACTAATTGAACTAAATTTCTCACACTGAATTACTGTAACAATCAATTGAGCATCAATGTGTCAAATAATGTATTCTGTTTCAGTGAGCTATATGTCTATCTTCTTGTCAATATCATATTCTTTTGATTACTCTAGCTTAAAATGTAGTATTCTAAGTGTAAAATGTCTTGAAATGTATTCTAAGGACTCCATTTTGTTCTTTTTTCAAAATTATGTTGCCTATACTAGATCATTTGCTTTTTAGAACTGTTTCATCAATTTTTACATAAAAATAAAACCCTCATGGGGAATAATAGGGATTATATTGAATCGTCAGATAACTTACATCTTAAGAATGTTGATTTTTTTGATAGATGAATATAGTATCTTTCTCTATTTAGCTCTTTTTAAATTTCTCCCGACAAATTAATGTAATTTTCAGACTTAAATATATTTTGTTACCTTTAGATCTTACATATATTTTGTTATATTTATCCTTAAGTATTGAATATTTTATGGTATTGAAGATAGTACTTTTAATTTCAATTTCAAATTTGTTAAATATGGAAAAACACTAACTTTTTTTTTTTTTTTTTTGACAAAGTCTCGCTCTGTCTCCAGGCTAGAGTGCAATGGTGTGATCTCGGCTCACTGCAAACTCCGCCTCCCAGGTTCAAGCCATTCTCCTGCCTCAGACTCCCAAGTAGCTGGGACTACAGGCATGCACCACCATGCCCAGCTAATTTTTGTATTTTTAGTAGATACGGGGTTTTCCCATGTTGGCCAGGATGGTCTCGATCTCCCAAAGTGCCGGAATTACAGACGTGAGCAACCGCGCCCAGTCACAATAACATTTTATATTTAACTGTTACCCTAAAAGTACCTAATACTAATTTTAGTATTTGAATTTTTGTGCATTCTATAGGCTCTTCTATATGTTCAATCATATCATCAGTTCTAGTTCCGTTGCTATCTGCATATCTTTTGTATTTTTTTTACCCAATTTCATCGCATTGACTAGGACTTCTGGTAAAATGTTGGATAAAAGTAGTAAGACTAATCATCTTTTTTGTTCCTGAATTTAAAGTAGAAGCTTTCAGTTTTTTATCATTAGCTATAGACTACTCATAAATTATCTTTTGTTTTTTTAACACAAGGTCTTGCTCTGTCTCCCAGGCTGGAGTGCAGCAGTGCTATCTTGGCTCACTGCAACCTCCATCTTCCAGGTTCAAGCCATTCTCCCACCTCAGCCTCCTGAGTAGCTTGGACTACAGGTGCATGCCACCACGCCTGGAATTTTTTTTGTGTTTTTTAGTAGAGATGGGGCTTTGCTGTGTTGGCCAGGCTGGTCTGGAACTCCTGACCTCAGAAGATCTGCTCTCCTCAGCCTCTCAAAGTGCTGAGATTACAAGCATGAGCCACTGTGCCCAGCCATAAACTATCTTTTTTTAGATTGAGAAACTTTTCTTGAATTCTTAGTTTGCTGCAAGTTGTTATTATGACTGTGTGCTGAATTTTGTGAAATTTCTTTTTTGTACATAATTATATGCTCTTTTTATGCTTTTAATCTGTTATATAGTAAAATAATTAAATGAGTTGTGAATGTTAAATCTACCTTGCATTCCTGACATAAGCCAACACATTTAAAAATTTACATTGTTGGTTACTGGATTTCCTTGCATATTTAAAAAAAGTATTTGCTTCTCTTCTGTCACACAGTTAAGTTCTTGGAGTAAGGTGGATTCTTTTGATGCTTGATTTTGAGTTTTTAGGGCAAGCCCAGAGAAGTCTTCAGTCCATAACTAATTTTGCCCCACTGACAAGGTGAAATTCTGATGATTCTGTTCCTTCCATTTACAAATATTCTATTGTTCCAATTACAAATTGCTTTTCTCTGCTAGCTTGTGAGATCATTATCTATTTTCCAACTAGTGTCTGTCTACTCCCTTCTAGTGGTTCTTTCTGCATGTACTATTCACATAACAGCTTATATCAGTACTCAGACGAAGACATGAAAGGACCTTTCTGTAGAATATGATGATTTGCGAGATTTGATAGCTTAGATTAGGACAAAGTAGCATAAGGTATCAGGCTGAAAAATAAAAAAGACTTATATTTGGAAAGGTTATATATTTAATTCCATTTTATGCTAATTGTAAATATGTATTTAACTTCTAGGTAGACTTTCCTGGTTAATATCAAAAGACCACAATACCATGTAATGACTAAGAATCAATTATTATTTGAAGTCATTATCAATAATGTATTGTCCTCCATCAGATATATAAACAAATATTTATTCCAACCTAATAATTTTTCAGATTTGATTTTAATGATACTAGAATATCTTGATATGATTACACTAAAAATTACTGTTGTGTACATGAATAATTTTTCTCATTACATTTAAGAAAAATATTCTCTTTCCCAGAAGAAGATTTGAAATAATTCAGTAAGCTATAGGAATTTTCAATATATGCTAGCCAATTCTCATAATGCTAACTGACATTAATTGAGCTCTTACTCTGTGCAAAGGACTTGGCACATATTATTGTGTTGAGATGGAAAGACTCTTGGAGTTGATACAAACTACTTGTCAATTTCTTTTTGCCAATAAAAAAATTCACACACATTTTCTAAGCATTTGTTTACTTACCTACAAAGTGGGAGAAATGACATTCCAGACAATCTGACCAGATACAACATGTAAAAACCCCTTTAAAACCTTATGGTACAATATTATCCTTAAGGATGTCATTGTGATATGCATATTCCCTTTGACATTCAAAATATATTCAATGATATTTTTCATTACTTCATAACATATTATTCGTATATATTTCTTTATATGTTTGTGTATGTGTATGTACATATATATGTGTGTGTGTGTATATATATATATATATATTTGTTTGTGTATATTTTTTGGAGACAGTATCTTATTCTGTCACCAAGGCTAATGTGTAGTGGTACAATCAGAGCTTACTGCAGCCTCCAACTCCTGAGATCAAGCAATGTTCATAGCTCAGTCTCCTAAGTAGCTAGGAGTACAGGTGCATGCCACCACACCCAACTAATTAAAAAAGAAATTGTAGAAATACAGTCTTGCCATGTTGCTCAGGCTGATCTTGAACTCCTGGCCTCAAGTAGTCCTGCAGCCTCAGTATAATTTCTTAACATATACTTCCAACTGGTTTTTAAGAATAGAAACAATAGCCAGCCTTTTCTCGAAGACTGACTTTTATGTAAACTCCTCCTTTCATATATAGACATTCATGCACATTGTATTACTCATAATTGTACCAGAATTCAATAAATATGAGGTTAGATCTCATTTTAATGTGATAACAGTCATAATTTGTCCATTTTGCACTTAGCAGTTTGCTCTTGTTCCAGTCTCCAAAACTCATATTTAAAAATATTGTTTAGCTAAATTAAATAGAATTTCCATTTTTTCAAACATTTCTTGTGTGCCAGCAGTAGAATGACAGAGTGTCTTTCATTGCTCAAAAAATTACCTTAAATTCAAAGATCAACCCCCATGAGCTCAATTTTATCAAAGAAGAAATATCTTGTCAAATACTGTCCCAACCAACGTATTCAGTAGCTTTCAAAGTATGTTTGACATTGAGGACTGAAAAACAACATAGGAGTCAGAGAAACGAACATCGATGGCCTGTCAAATTTTTTGTAGACATGATGCTATTATCAAGGCACATCAGGATAAAATAAAATGACCTAGCTGACCACAGGCTTACAAATGTCCTGTGAAGGAAAGAAAAACGGTGAATCAAAAGGTAGCTTTGTTGCATGTCCCCCCAGGCCTTTTTATTGACAAGAACGACAATGGTCCCAAGATGCACCATTATCTATGACCAGCAAGCAGACATCAAATGCTCCTGAGCTGTATCTGTCAGAATAGAAAATTCTGCTCAAAACAGACAGGGCTTGTTACATTTTGTTCGGCTAAGGTTTGTCAAAAGCCAGGGTCACTTGTATTGCTCTGCCCTGAAGGGAATTGTAAAAGGAGAGAAGTACATGATTTCTCAATGTTTCTTCTGCAAAGAGACTTTGAGTCTGGTTGACCAAATGTTTTGAAAGTCAAGTCATGACTCAAAGGAAGTAGAAAGCAAAGTTAATAGTCTGTCATTTATCTACTTAGAAATGAGGTTCACATGCTAAAAGGTTAGAGTTTTAGTAGATTTCTACATTTAGGAAAAATTTTTTGCTATGTGTGATTTGTTTTTACAAATTAAAAAAGGAAAATACTACGGCCATTGAAATTGGAGGGAACAAGTTAATGTGTTCTGGCCAAGTATTATGTGCTATGGCATTATGGAGTTTATTACAGTCTGAAATATTTACACTGGTAAGATATTTCTCTAATTTGCTTCTTTTTGACTAAAGAGAGATTTTATACACAAATGTCCAGCCTCTGACAATTAAGTAAACTCACTAACTTGTGGAAACATCTGTTAACCACTCACGAGAAAATGCAATTTGATAGTATTTCTGTAATTGATTCCTTAAAAAAAAAACACCCACACACACACAATTTTTTTCTCCTTTAATAAATTTGAGGGCAAAAATTAAGCCATCACAAAGACAGCATTTGTGAACAAAGGGATTATTTTTCCCTTCTTTCCTTCCCTTATCTTTTACCCCCTCCACTCCTGTCCCCTCTGCTCTTCTCTTTACTGTTGTACTTCTCAATTTGTAGCTTAGCATTCTTTCCTATGCATAGAGACAAATCCAATTCTGATCAAACTTGTTATAAGTTGTCTTGCAAAAAATGTTATCACATTTGGTAATCCTACACTTTTGTAATTTAAAAACATAGAGTTTGCAAACTCATGGTCATGATTGTTTTGTTTGTCCCACATAATCTTTTTCCAAAGTCTATTTTACTTACCGTCTTTAAAAAATAAGAGAGTTCAGAAGATAATTTTAAATTCCAGATTTCTAGGAAAAAAAGAGGGAGAGGGGCTAATTTGACAGTGCACAGTTTGAATTTCTACTTAGCAATATTCTTCCAAAGCACAGGGGCTAAGTGTTACAGCTCTTTTAGAATTTGTTTAGCAGGCTTTCTGGTTTTTACTGGAAAGCCCCTTAAAACACAACAAACAAACAATCAAACAAGAAAAAACCACAGAGGCTGTTGAACCTTTTAGTCAGAACATATAATCTCCAATGTATCATAGTTTCCACAAGGTTTACTTCTCTTGCTCATCCCTAGGGGTTTGAACTGTGAGTTCTGCTCAAATTCAATTAATGAATTAAACTGATCAACTATTTTTCTTATCAATATAACTGTATAATTCTAGCTAATAATTTACTGTTCAGAATATAATTACTCAATTGTTTCATGAGTGGGAATTCCATCTCCATCACTAGACTGTGAGCTTTGCCAGGAGGTAGAGCATATTTTAGACATTGTTTACTGTTCACACTCCTGCAGTAGTGCCTGGTACAGTGTGATGTTCAATGAGTGCTTACGCAGAAAGAAAAGAAGATAGGAAGGAAAAAGAAAGGAAGGTAACATTTTGAATTAAAAAATGAATCTTTCATTGTTTCCATTTCCAACAGTACCAATCATGCTGTGGACACTTAAATAAGAATCTTCGCTCAACTGGCCAAACAGAAAAAAAAACATGGGCTTTAGAATTATGTATCACCTTGCCAACATTACAGTGAAGCTCACATGAGATCCTGTAAGTATTTGTCCAATTAATTCTAGAAAAGCTTCAGGATAATGATTGGTAACACACGTTTTTCTTGATGGTACTTTATTTCCAATAATGTGCCAGGTCATCCATCAGACTTAACCATTAAGCTTCAGGATAATGATTGGTAACACACGTTTTTCTTGATGGTACTTTATTTCCAATAATGTGCCAGGTCATCCATCAGACTTAACCATTTCTCAAGTGTACTGCAAAAAATACTATCCCACCCTAACGTTAAGGAAGGAAAATGTTTCTGTGGTGAAATAAAAATTCCTCATGACTTAGTATACCTTTTAATTACTGATGACTTTTAAAATTTCTATACCCAATATTTCATTCCTCTCTATTTCTAGAAAAAAAACTACTAAATTTAGAGTCAGCAGCCCTTCGGTTCAAGTCCTAAATCTGCCATTTATTAGCAGTACAGTAATATAGTCAACAATCACTTAACCCTGTTATACCTCATTATTTCTATCAGTAAAATGGACTCAAAAACACTTATATCACATTATTATAAAAGCTCAATTACAAGTACCATGCAAAAAAAGTAAACAAGTTTTTAAAAAATCTATAGATATTACTTAAATAAGAAACATAAAATTTGAGAGCAAGCTCCTGCCTTTATAATAAATTATACAATTGAATCTTTTCTGTCTCACCCAACTTGACAATGACAATTGATTTAACCAGCCAATTAATCTGATTACCAATTTGACTGAATTAGCAATTAATTCCGTAACAGAGTCAAACAATTGATCAGTTCGTGTTAGCAGAGAAATTCAAAGTATTAAAAATGGTGGTTAAGGATAAACTACAGTAATTTTCTCATTAATTTATTTCTAATTTGAGACTTCTTGTGCTTAAGTAAAATTGTACTGTGTCCCTGATAAAGTACAAAAGTTCCTCTGGGTACACAGAAATTCTAATGACATAATAGCAACCTTGTCCAATAGTCTCAGTAATGATTTCTCTCACTTTACCCTGACACACCTTTGAAATTTCTATTCAATTCTTTTGAGCAAAATTAGATAACTGACTCTATGAAACTTTTAAAGACCTTTCCAGTGGAACACTCTCTTCACATTACTCTATTCATTATTACAGTCTTTTATTGATTACACCCTAATTATCTGTTTATGTGGTCACCTATGATAAAATTGTGAGCACATTAAACACAGACTGTGTGGTCTTCATGTTGGAACCAAAAATCTAGCATAGCGTCTGAATTTTTCCTGGATTCAGTAAACATTTGTTTAAAAAGGAATGTAAGAGTTATTGCACTACTAATCAACAGATAAAATCAATTTCTGAACAAACAGAGGAAATAGAATACATGAAGGAGGATGATGTGTTGGGGCTTTAATTGAGTTCTCTTCCCTTCTCTCCATTCAATGTCCTCTTAGAGCGTCTTAGAGTGTCCTACTTAGAGAGTATTTAGAGAGTACATTTCCCTTCTGCCTACCTTAGAGATAGTTAATTCTTTAATGTATTTTCCTCAGAAATACTTGAAACTAGAAGAGGCTGAGAGCTAGGATTTAGATGATGTGAATATAGACTGCTCGAATAGAGGCTATAGCAAAGCTGGGAATCACACCAACAAATGGTTGCACACTATTGAAACTGGCCCAATTGTCTCATACAAATAATATTTATGGTTTTTTGAATAGACATAGAAATTGACCTTCCCTTGTTTTAAAACTTGAAACTTACATTTGTCTCATCTGACTTCCTCAGGAAACTGCCCTCAGTGAAGAAACTAAAGCTCATCAGATTACCGTGTCCAGAAAGTGAGACACCAGCTCCCCCTATCCATCATGACTGCTTCCTTACCACTCCCTAATTCCTGTTTTTCCACCTTTCCTGCCATATAAACCCCACCATTTTAGTTGGGTAGAAGATGGATTTGCTACTTTATCTCCTGTTATCTTTGGCTGCAGCACCAGATTAAAGCCTTCTTCCCTGACAATACTCCTTGTCTCAGTGATTGGCATTCATGCCACAAGCAGCAGGACCTATACTGAACCCCTGGAGTTTTGGTGACATTATGATTACCAGGATAAGAGACAGCAGCTACTAATGAAACATAAATCAGTGTGGCCGAGGATGTCATGCAAAGAAATGGTCCTTTGCTCAATCCAGGTGAAAGGTAAGCTTCTAGAAACTTAACTTAACTGCCCAAAGGGAGAATGGAGGAAGGAGACAGAAAGAATATTTGATTGGTTGAGTTTAAAAATCTCAATAAACTAATTTAATAGTAGGAGTGATTTCATAAACCTGAATTAAAACTTGAAAATTTTCAGCTTCTCATTGAAATGAGAATGTCAAGAAAACCTTCGCCTACATATAGATAAAGTTATATCTCTTTTTGTACTCAGGCCTGTGTATTACTAAGACTACACTATTTAAATTGACTACTATACTTTGTGTATAGTTTGGACTTGAAAGGAATTTGATGAGGTTTTGAGAATAATAGCAATAGATATTTGGTAGAAAATAACAATAGTTTTCACTAACTCAGACAATCTAGCCTACATTATTCTCTTAAGAATTGATTAATTGTGCTGTTTTATCATTCATGATTAAAAATTATAATGTGATAATAATTACTGTTAATATGGCGTGTTTTTGTTTGGGGTATTTTTGAGGAAACAAATTCTTTGCATTTGGTTTATTTAAAAATTCACATATATCTCAAGTCTACACTTAGATTGAGTAACTTGAAAACGGCATGCCTTGAGCAAGTTGGTCAACAGGTCTGAGCTACCTTGCTTCTTTAGTTTGTGTGTTGGGGATAAGTATATTTGTCCTAGCTTTCTGAATCACTGAAAGGCTCAAAAGTATTAATATATGGAAAAGTGCATTGAAAACAAAAAAGCTCTACAAGTTATTGTTTTATCAATATGTTGTACTGATATTTCTGAACATTTTCAAAGATACCTTTTATTTTTCATTACAATCAAGTACTTCTTAATCATTTATTAAATACAATCACTGGACTATGTAAATGGGTCTGCTCCCTTGTGATATCTAATTTGATATTCATGATTTGCAAGATACTTTACTGTTCAATGTATACAACTGAAAGAAAAGATTATCTAAAATATAGGCTCACTTAATTTGTATACAATTTCAAAGTACATCATAAGCAAACTTGCCTTGGGAACTATTTTAAGGGTAAATATAATTTTAATTTCCACTGCTCCTCATTCCTAAAACAATGACAAAATACTAGATATTCAGGATTGGGGAACCTCCTGAATGGAAAATTGACTTTCTAAATCTTAGAAAGTTCAAATAAGCATAATCTAGGCGTTAAGAAACCCTGGGGGAGGCTACAGAAGGACTCATTTGCTGAGAATCCTCAGTAATTACCTTCAGTTTTACCCAAGGTTTTGTAGCCACCTTTTTTTCTTTACCTGTTTATATTGTCTATGAGATGGTAACAGCTAAAATATTCATAGGCACTGAGTTTATCATGTAACTATTATCTAAACGAAAAGTAAGATGTAAAACATTTGTCAAAATGCCAGTAACATTTTCACAGGAGAATTTGACAGGTGACCTCCGTCATTATCCTTGTGTATCCAGAAGAGTAACCTGTTTTCTCTCTTCCATTCTCAATCCCAAGAAGCCAAGTGAAAACAACTGCTATTGCAAAAGCTAATCCAAAAATACAAGAATTCATGTTTGCATACTTATTAAATTTATTTTGAATACAAGAAAGGTGAATCCAAATAGATGGCTTTTCCTTTAAATATGTGATTCTAGAAACTTATAGCAGGAAGTTCATGAGAAACTCATGAAATTGCAAAGGGTATCAAGATGGATTGAGGGCAGAAGATGGGTTGTGTTTAAGGACATTTGCTGATTATTTTGTGCACTTAATTGCTGTACCAATATTTCTATGTCTATAGTATAAGCTGAATCTAACCAAGCTAGAATCAGGAAATCATGATCCTCACCTCAGCAGCTGCCAGCCAGAAATACTTTGAGGAATAAGGATTTTCCTTTTTACTGCTGAGAAAAGAAAATAAATGTGGAATAAGAGGCACTATAAACCATTCTAACAATGATCCCATAACTTACTTTTTGCCAAGATATATGAAGTCATTTATTTCTCATTTCTACTATTTGGTTTGAATTTACCTATTGAGCAGTTTGTAGAAATGCAATAACTATAAACATTGTTCTGAAGGAAGAAAACTTATTTAAAGTGCAAATTAAAAGAGTTTCTGGTGTGTTAGAGTTAACCTGCAGGATGTCATTAATCTTCCAGTAGAGTAGGTTTTAGTACAAAGCACTAGTGAAATTCTTCATACTGTAATTTATCTTTTGTTCCATTAAAATAGGAGGTATTTTAAAGCTTTGATTATAAACATTCCATAATTCTTTTAGCCAATTTGGAGAAAAAGATTAAAAAGAGTATGGTTTCTTGTGGTCTCTTTGGACATTTTGTTTCTGGAATTTGATATACAGTTATAAATGAAATGGTAGAAGATAATATACATGAGATCAATTTCATCTTACAAGACTTATCTAAAAATGAATAATAAAGGTACTTGCTGTTATAGTGAATTGTCCAATCATTTATCCTGTAAATTTTTTTATATATATATTTTTATTATACTTTTTTATTATTATTATAGTTTAAGTTTTGGGGTACATGTGCACAAGGTGCAGGTTTGTTACATATGTATGCATGTGCCATGTTGGTGTGCTGCACCCATTAACTCATCATTTAGCATTAGGTATATCTCCTAATGCTATCCCTCCCCCTCCCACCACCCCACAACAGTCCCTGGTGTGTGATGTTACCCTTCCTGTGTCCATGTGTTCTCATTGTTCAATTCCCACCTATGAGTGAGAACATGCAGTGTTTGGTTTTCTGTCCTTGTGATAGTTTGCTGAGAATGATAGTTTCCAGCTTCATCCATGTCCCAACAGAGGACATGAACTCATCATTTTTTATGGCTGCATAGTATTCCATGGTGTATATGTGCCACATTTTCTTAATCCAGTCTATCACTGTTGGACATTTGGGTTGGTTCCAAGTCTTTGCTATTGTGAATAGTGCTGCAATAAACATCCTTGTGCATGTGTCTTTATAGCAGCATGATTTATAATCCTTTGGGTATATACCCAGTAATGGGATGGCTGGGTCAAACGGTATTTCTAGTTCTAGATCCCTGAGGAATTGCCACACCGTCTTCCACAATGGTTGAACTAGTTAACAGTCCCACCAACAGTGTAAAAGTGTTCCTATTTCTCCACATCCTCTCCAACACTTGTTGTTTCCTGACTTTTTAATTATACTTTAAGTTCTAGGTTATGTGTGCACAATGTGCAGGTTTGTTACATATGTATGCATGTGCCATGTTGGCATGCTGCACCCATTAACTCGTCATTTCACATTAGGCATATCTCCTAATGCTATCCCTCCCCCCTCCATCACCCCCCAACAGTCCCCAGTGTGTGATGTTCCCCTTCCTGTGTCCATGTGTTCTCATTGTTCAATTCCCACCTATGAGTGAGAACATGCGGTGTTTGGTTTTTTGTCCTTGTGATAGTTTGCTGAGAATAATGGTTTCCAGCTTCATCCATGTCCCCACAAAGGACATAAACTCATCCTTTTCTATGGCTGCATAGTATTCCATGGTGTATATGTGCCACATTTTCTTAATCCAGTCTATCATGGTAGGACATTTGGGTTGGTTCCAAGTCTTTGCTATTGTGAGTAGTGCCGCAATAAACATACGTGTGCATGTGTCTTTATAGCAGCATGATTTATATTCCTTTGGGTATATACCCAGTAATGAGATGGCTGGGTCAAATGGTATTTCTAGTTCTAGATCCCTGAGGAATCGCCACACTGACTTCCACAATGGTTGAACTAGTTTACAGTCCCATCAACAGTGTAAAAGTGTTCCTATTTCTCCACATCCTCTCCAGCACCTGTTATTTCCTGACTTTTTAATGATCACCATTCTAACTGGTGTGAGATGATATCTCATTGTGATTTTGATTTGCATTTCTCTGATGACCAGTGATGATGAGCATTTTTTCACATGTCTTTTGGCTGCATAAATGTCTTCTTTTGAGAAGTGTCTGTTCATATCCTTTGCCCAATTTTTGATGGGCTTGTTTGTTTGTTTCTTGTAAATTTGTTTGAGTTCATTGTAGATTCTGGATATTTGCCCTTTGTCAGATGAGTAGATTGCAAAAATCTTCTCCCATTCTGTAGGTTGCCTGTTCACTCTGATGGTAGTTTCTTTTGCTGTGCAGAAGCTCTTTAGTTTAATTAGATCCCATTTGTCAATTTTGGCTTTTGTTGCCATTGCTTTTGGTGTTTTAGACATGAAGTCCTTGCCCATGCCTACATCCTGAATGGTATTGCCAGGTTTTCTTCTAGGGTTTTTATGGTTTTAGGTCTAACATTTAAGTCTTTAATCCATCTTGAATTAATTTTTGTATAAGGTGTAAGGAAGGGATCCAGTTTCAGCTTTCTACATATGGTTAGCCAGTTTTCCCAGCACCATTTGTTAAATAAGGAATCCTTTCCCCATTTCTTGTTTTTGTCAGGTTTGTCAAAGATCAGATAGTTGTAGATGTGTGGTATTATTTCTGAGGGCTCTGTTCTGTTCCATTGGTCCATATCTCTGTTTTGGTACCAGTACCATGCTGTTTTGGTTACTGTAGCCTTGTAGTATAGTTTGAAGTTAGGTAGCATGATGCCTCCAGCTTTGTTCTTTTGGCTTAGGATTGACTTGGCAATGCGTGCTCTTTTTTGGTTCCATATGAACTTTAAAGTAGTTTTTTCCAATTCTGTGAAGAAAGTCATTGGTAGCTTGAAGGTGATGACATCAAATCTATAAATTACCTTGGGCAGTATGGCCATTTTCACAATATTGATTCTTCCTATACATGAGCATGGAATGTTCTTCCATTTGTTTGTGTCCTCTCTTATTTCATTGAGCAGTGGTTTGTAGTTCTCCTTGAAGAGGTCCTTCACATCCCTTGTGTCCAGAACCAGATGAATTCACAGCTGAATTCTACCAGAGGTACAGGGAGGAGCTGGTACCATTCCTTCTGAAATTATTCCAATCAATAGAAAAAGAGGGAATCCTCCCTAACTCATTTTATGAGGCCAGCATCATCCTGATACTAAAGCCTGGCAGAGACACAACAAAAAAAGAGAATTTTAGACCAATATTCCTGATGAACATCGATGCAAAAATCCTCAATAAAATACTGGCAAACGGAATCCAGCAGCACATCAAAAAGCTTATCCACCGTGATCAAGTGGGCTTCATCCCTGGGATGCAAGGCTGGTTAAACATATGCAAATCAATAAACGTAATCCAGCATATAAACAGAACCAAACACAAAAACTACATGATTATCTCAATAGATGCAGAAAAGGCCTTTGACAAAATTCGATAGCCCGTCATGCTAAAAACTCTCAATAAATTAGGTATTTATGGGATCTATCTAAAAATAATAAGAGCTATTTATGACAAACCCACAGCCAATGTCATACTGAATGGGCAAAAACTGGAAGTATTCCCTTTGAAAACTGGCACAAGACAGGGATGCCCTCTCTCACCACTCCTATTCAACATAGTGTTGGAAGTTCTGGCCATGGCAATCAGTCAGGAGAAAAAAATAAAAGGTATTCAATTAGGAAAAGAGGAAGTCAAATTGTCCCTGTTTGCAGATGACATGATTGTGTATCTAGAAAACCCCATCGTCTCAGCCCAAAATCTCCTTAAGCTGATAAGCAACTTCAGCAAAGTCTCAGGATACAAAATCAATGTGCAAAAATCACAAGCATTCTTATACACCAATAACAGAAAAACAGAGAGCCAAATCATGAGTGTACTCCCATTCACAATTGCTTCAAAGACAATAAAATACCTAGGTATCCTTTAAATATTTATTAAGTACCTATTGTACTCTAGGGGATATTTTGGAACTTAGCTTTATGGAAAAATTGACAAAGCCTGGGTTCTCTTCAGAAAGTAGAATCTGAGAAAAATGCATGTATACCGGCAGTTTACTTTAGAAAGAGACCCTAAGGAAGGAGGTGAAGCCAATGCAAGATTCCATTACCAATGAGTTGCCATCATGAGCAACTGCAGTTTGATTATACTGAGGACACTTTGAGTTACTGTGTCAAATGAGGTTTAGAAGGTTCATGGAATGGAAAATAGAGCTTTTATCCACCAGAAACCATCTCCTATTAGTCAAAAGTTGCCCTATCAGATGTTAACTCTCTCAGAATCCTAGGTTTGCCCAGGGATCAGAATATCCAAGTAAGTTTCCATACAACTGTGTCATTGAAGCCCAGGAGAGAAGATTTAACTGTTGAGGAAATTCTGGCAATAAAAGGGGGCAAAGAGTCTATTGATTATGTAAGCATGTTGCAAAAGATCAGGGAATGTATCATTCATATTAGTAAATCTATTTACTTATTTGTTCACGATGTTTATTGAGTGCTTATTATGTGCCAGAAACTGTTTTATACATGGTGTTATAGCAGTAAGCTAAACGGAACATGATCTCTACTTTCATGGAGTTAAGGAAAGCAGGAGAAAGGAAAGAAATAAAGCAAATGATAGTTTATAAGATTATAATAGAGCAGAGTAGAAGAGGGAGCCCTGCAAATTTCTGAAAAAGTATCATTTGTAACCTAATTAATAAATTCACAAGTTCTGGTGTGAGGTGTCTGGAGTATTCAAGGAACAAAGAACAAAGAACAGAGAAAATGCTGGGATGCCTTGAAAGATCTTTGTCTTTTTTCCTACATAAGATGAGAAGCCACCAAAGGGTTTAGGGCAGTGATGTACATAATGTGGGTTATATCACAGAACGATGATACTGTCTGTGGCATTGAGAATAAAGTGGAGGAAAGTACAAAGATAATAGTGGTGAGAGTCCAACCAAGAGATTTTGAATAATTGGAAGAGGAAGGTAGTGACAGAATTGATGGGTTCTGGCATTTGAAGAGATATATAGCTGACAGGATTTGCTGATGGATTCAATAAGGGATGTGAGAATTTTAATAGGACTCCTAGATAACATGAAAAATGTTTACTTGTTTGTTTGCTTGTTTTCTTTTGATTTTACTGGATGTATTAGTTCATTCTGATACTGCTATAAAGAACTACCTGAGGCTGGGTGATTTATAAAGGAAAGAGGTTTAACTGACTCGCAGTTCTGCATTGCTGGGGAGGCCTCAGGAAACTTACAATTATGGGAAAATGCAAAGGAGAACCAGGCACCTTCTTCACAGGGCGGCAGGATGGAGTGAGTGCAAGCAGGGGAAATGGCAGACACTTATAAAACAATCAGATCTTGTGAGACTCACTCATTATCATGAGAACAGCATGGGGAAAACTGCCCCCATGATCCAATTACCTCCACCTGGTCCTGCCCTTGACACGTGGGGATTATTACAATCAAGGTGAGATTTGGATGGGGACACAGAGTCAAACCATATCACTGGAAGAATGGAATTGTCATGTATTAAGGTAGAGATAAATGGACAAGTAGTTTAAAAGGGAGTGCTATTTTGGACAGGTGGAATTTAGGAAAACTTATTAGCCAAGCATAAATGCCAGGTATACATTTGGGTACATGTAAGCCTGGAGTTAAGCAGTGAGAATGGGGGGAGGGGAGATGACTTATCCTTCCCCTATTAAATGGTGTTTATAGGCCAAATAGGATAACAAATAAATATTGAGTACTATAACAACATGGAGATTGTTATTGAAAATAACTAAAGAACTTACTGAGGAGTTTGTTAGATAAGGAGCACTTTTCCCGTGGAGTGATGGTCTAAAGAAGAGAAACAGAAGGGAAGCCTGGTTGGAGTATATTCAAGAAAGAAAGAGAGGGTAAAAGTTAGAAGCAGAATTATATGGAAAATGGGGAAAGAATGAGGTAGTAGCAGGAAGGAATGTGTGATCAAGAGATAATTTTTCTTTGTATAAGACAGAGGAAATAAAGATATATTTGTATACTGATGAGAAACTTCTATTGAGAGAGAAATGATTGGTATTGCAGAAAAGACAGTGAGACCGTCCGACGTAGCGTATTCATTTCCTAGGGCTGCCATCGCACTTACCACAGACTGGGTGGCTTAAACAACAGAAATTTATTTTCTCAACCTTCTGGAGGCGAAAAGTTCAAGGTCAAGTGTAGGCATGTTTTGCTTCTTCTTAGGCTTCTCTTCTTGGCTTGCAGATGACTGTCTTCTCATTATCCTCACATGGTCGCCCCTTGGTACATGAGTCAGGTGCCTCTCTCTGTCTGTTTCATAATCTCCTCTTCCTATATGAACACCTGCAATGTTGGATTAGGGCCCACCCTAAAGACCACATTGCATTTAATTAACCCTTTAAAGATGTTATCTCCAAATACCATTACATTCAGAGGTACTAAGTGTTAGGACTTCAAAGTACACATTTTTGGGAAATACATTTCAGCCCACAATGAGTAAATGGACTGGGGAATGAGTGAGGGGGAAATAAAATGTAATGCATGGATGGAGGGAGAGGACTTACGGTTACACAGAGAAGCTAAAAAAGGCAGAGAATAAGATGCAGATGCTGTAGGAAAGTAGATATGATGGGAAGTGTGTAAAAGTTTCCTAATTATATTTACATTTTTTTTTCAATGAAATTAGAAGCAGCAGTTAAGAATCCTGCTGAGAGTAAAGTTGGGAAGAAGGTGCTGGAAGTTTGAGAAGTGAGGACAACATATGGTTATTTAGCCATGTGGTAGAACAAGAGGAATTAAGAAATTCAATATGAGTTCTGGCTCTCCTCTTAAATGTAGTGCTCATGAATTTGAAGTAAGACCAGTCATAATGTTTTCCTTCACATTTGTTCAGCTTCATAGGAACAGGCTTGAGGTTGATATTGAATTTTATTTAACCAGGGTTTGGATTTTGCAGATGAATACAATGAATGGAGATGGGCAAGGCAGTTGAGTGATTTTAATAAATGATGTACTATGAAATCTAAACTGTTAAAAAGAAAAAAGTGAGAATGAAGTCAGAAAGGGAGAATGAAAAGGCATAGAATCAATAGAATGTTAGTCATAGACTGGTGAAGAACTATTAGAGGTAGGTGACTAGAGGGAGTACAAACTGTTTTTATGCTTGAAACTGAAATTTGGAGGGGTTGCAGTTGTTATTGATGATACCTTAGTTGAAATGAGGAGAGAGAAAGGCTGAAGATGGAGGAATGACTATATCTATGGAGAAGTAAACTCCAAGGAACTTTGAAGCCAGGGAACTGAGAGAAGCTTCTATATAGATAATTCTTAAGAATTACAACAGCAATAGTTTTGCCAAGAGTCACAATAAACCAGAGTTAAAAGTGTTAAAGGGATGAGGATGGGTCACTAGAGTCTTAGAAATAACTGCAGTAGGGGAGTGGGGGTTGCATTCTTTGATGGCATGAGCTTTAAACTTTTTTTTTTTCTGAAGTTAACAGGGAGACACAATTTGTCTCAAGTAGTAGTAGCAAGAAGCATCAAGGAAAATACCTAACTCACCACTAAGCCCAAGAATACAACCTGTGGTAGAAGAGTATGACACGAAGACCTAGAGTCTCTTTCTTTACCTGCTGCTGGAATTGTGCAGGCTGAGGAAGGAGTAGTGTTACAACTGGCTATATTGAATAAATATGGGTAGTTATAAAAGGGACCATTCAAAGCATAATCAGTATATTTATAATGGATTCATCTTTATACTCCTTTAAAACTCATAGAAATTTCTCAGAAATGCCTGTCAATACCTGACTTGTTTGTTTTTTTTACTTAATTAACAAGCACTGGTAGAGCAATTACTTAGTGCCAAATACTGTTCACAATACTTGGAAATGTTAACCAGTTAATTTTCATAAAAATCCTAGGATTGTTAGATAGAGACTATCTATCTATAGATAGACATCTGCAGATATCTATATTGTCCATCTATAGATAGAGAAACTATCTATCTAGAAAATAGTTATTCTAGGAGATAGTTATTATCCTCACCTTAAAAATGAGAAATCTGAGGCATAGAGTTTAAGTCAATTGTTCAAAGTCATATTTTAATGGTAATTAACATATTTTTAAAATCTTAGATTTAAGTAAAGAAGTTAAGACTGGGTTTTCACCAAAAATGTTAATTGTTCAGTCATTATTTATTAATGGTGATAAAAAGCTATCTCTAAAACTGAGCAGTATTAAATTAATTTATTTGAATCAATAATTCAGGCAAACTCATTCATCCTAAATTATCAGAATGTGGCCTAAAAAACTGACATAAATGTTTAGTTTGGCAAAAAAACTCCAGGTTTTTTTAAGTGTCAAGTTTTCTCAGACATTTCTCAACATACTGTATATAAAAGAGTGAAACTAGATCCCTGACTCTAAAGAGCTTACCTTCTCCTTGAATGCCATGTCAACAGAGGTGTGGACAGGGAAGGCAAAGAAAGTTGTGGAAGCACAGAGAGGAAAGATTCCCACCCTCAGGGTATTCATGAAGGTCCCAAAATTGAGGGTAACATTTGACCTCAGCAGAAAAGACAAACAGATTGCCAGGCTGCTGGCAGATCTATCCAGGCAAAGCAAATTCAAGGGTCAAGATAGGTGAACAGTTCACAGGTCACTTAAAGGCAGACCATGTTCCGGCGATGGTGAGATACGTACCATGCCTGAGTGCAGGTGTCTCCATGAAGGATGAAGAAACAGGCTTATGACAGGAATGATATAGTCATATCAACTTCAATAAAACACATATGACAGGACTGGATTGGAGAGGGTCTAGAGTGATGCTGAGCTAGAGGGTGACCAGAAATAATCCAGGAGAAAAAGCACCAAGCTCACCTGGCACCAAATTCCTCCTTGCTTTCTCTTATTCATTCATGTTGACATCCTTAAGATCATACCTGCCAAATGTCCTCTCAGTACAGATTTTTGCATATGATTTGCCTTTCATATGTAATGCTTTTCCCTTTCTAGTTAACCCCTACTCATCCTTTACGTTGATATTAAATTGTCAGTTGCCCAAAGAAGTCTTCTCTGACCTTCCTGACCAGGTCAACTCTCCCTTTCATATGCTCTAATAACACCTCTTATTCTAGCACTACACTCAAGGGTGAATTTATATCTATTTATGGAATCAGTTGATCAGTGTCTGTCTCTACCATTAGACTATAAGCTTCCAGAAGTTAGGGATTCAGGTCATGTTTTGCTTATCTTTATATTCCCAGAATAATGCCAGGCAAATAATAGGTACACCAAAATATCAATACATGAATGTTTGAACTAAGGAAATGGAAAAGTGAGGAGTATTTTGAAATAAGTGAATGCATGACTAAGTAAATATTGCTTGATGCTATTTTAAAATTAACTCACATTGAAGAAGTAACTCTTCAAAAATTATATAGTGATATTTCATATTTGCAAACATTTGATAGAGAATAAGAAAAGAAAGCATGTGTATTCAGTTATTTGATCTGAAAAATTGAATAGACATACAATTTTCTACAGTGAATGAAGAAATTGTGGAAATGTCATATTTTCCCATCCTGAAATTTCTTCTCCTGCATCTTCTTCTTACTCCATTGCCTTCTTGCTACCCTCATCTTATTCATATTTCAAGGCATAGCTAAAACCCAACTCCTTCATGATGTCTATTATAATATTCAATCAATATTGATTAATAGATTGCTATACTCAAACCCCTAGGTCTGGTTAATGTGTGTTTAATTATCTTTTCTCCCTTATTTCACAGGTAAAATATTCACAACAGTAATAGATCTTATACAAGTACCAGCAGGAAGCTAACTGAATGATTGATTAACAACTCATGGAGTCATTTTTTCACTTCCAACAAATATTTTTCCTGCTGGCAGAATGTCTGTATTTCAAATATAGTAACATTTTAACTGTGTATCTTACCTACACTCTTTTAAGGATACAAATTCCTTGTCATGTCAACCAATTGTTTTACTAATTTCATATTGCTTACTTTGACCTCCTTTTTTTTCAAAATTGTACGCAAGAATCAAGATCTGAAATCCTAAGTCCAATTTTAACAGCTGGTAGCTGTATCATGAAGCCTAAAAGAAAAACCCCACAAAACCCTGTTTGATAAGATTAACCAAATTGAGTAAATCAGTGAATTGTTATGGACAATATCTACATCTTTTTAAATCTGTGCCTTATAAATTTTAATAAAATATAGGAGCTTAGTTTCATGTGATATTTCACCTAATTTCCCTCCTACTGCTTTTTCATGTGTGAAACCATTTTTCTCTGCTAGGTATCTAAGAGGTAGTGTTGAGTAATACTTGTCTTCCATTTTCCATTAGTCAAATCATGTGGCTATGGTATTAAAAGAATGAATAAAAGGATCTTTTTAGAAGGCAAATAAGATATAATAAATCAGTAACAAAGCATTTTTGTTATTGTTGCTATTATTTCTTTTATCATTGTACCCTTAGAAATGGAATTTGACATTAAGTCTCCTTTGGAGTACGTAGTTATTTTGTTATTTCTAATAGAAATATTCTTAATGTAATAAAACCTCCCAAATTATACATTTAAAGAACTGGAAAAAATGATTGTGCTAGAATAAAATAAATTCACATTATCTAAAAGCTATATTAAAGGGCCACAATTTATGTAACAGGTTGAAAATAAACATATACAGGGTCTTATTGTGTGTGAACACATGAGAGAAAGAGAGAGAGAGAGAGTGTGTGTGTGTGTGTGTGTGTGTGCGTACATCTATGTTTTAGGCATCATTGCGTAATGGATCAAAAAATTATGAGTAAAACAGTGTAGAAAAATTGAGAAAATCAAGTCATTTCAGGCTAATACAGAGGAATTAAAAAGGCTTTCATGAGAAAAACTTGTAACAGTTGTACAAGACCTTTTACACCTTCCTGTTGGTCTTATCTGTAAATTGAGAACAATAAAATCTGCCATTCTGCCTTGCATAATTACTGAAGATCCAGTAAAAATATTATGTAAAAATGCTTTTTTAAGTATCAGAAATATTTGGCACAACAGTGTGCTAAATACTATATTAGTATGATGTAATTAGTAGAAACAAATACTACTAATATAACGCTAATAATAACAATATGGCTAGCATTTATTGAGAGTGATTTTCACGTACTTACTAAGTCCTTCATATGTATTTTTTCATTTTACCTTCACAACAGCCCGACAAAATACTTATTGTTTGTTATGTTCCATGTTTTAAGATGAAGAACTTGTGGCTAAAATAATTAAAGTACTTCCTTAAGGTCATACAAGAAGGAAATGGCAAAGTCAGAGTTGACCCATCATTGAATGACCAGCAAACCCAAACCCTTTTCCATTAGGCTTACCACTTCTTATCCCTATTGTTTTTAGTTGGAACCCTGCCCCCTACCTCCCCAAGCTCCCATTTCACTGTGTATACCTCTTCTTCCAGCACTTTTTATATTGTATTTTAATTACAGTTGTGTCCCTTAATGTTGGCAATATTTTCTTAGAAATGTGTTGTTAGGCAATTTCCTCACTGTGCAAACATCATAGAATGTACTTACACAAACCTACATGGTGCACCCTATGACAAACCTAGGCCGTATGGCAAAGCCTATTGCTCCTAATCTACAAACCTGTACAGCATGTTACTGTACAGAATACTGTAGGCAATTGCAACACAGTGGTATCTATGTATCTAAACATATCTAAACATGGAAAAGATATAGCAAAAATTCCATTTTATAATCTTATGGGACCACTGTTGTTGACTGACAAGTTATTACGGGGCACATGACTTTATTTGTGTACCTACCTTCTCCACTGGACTGTGATCCCATTAAAAGCAATTCTGGAACCTCACCCATCAAGCATCAAGGAAAGAATAGTAAACATTGGCTTAATGACTGCTTGAACTCATTCTCATTTATTGTTTTAATCAAAACGACATTATCTGTAAGGAATAATAATTACCAACATCTATTGGGTAACTCAAATATCCACCACAGTTCTTATAAACATTTGGTGTCAAAAGAAAAAAATAAATACAATTCCTCCTACTCTCAAACACTGCTTTTAAAATTTTCAATATTTTTGGCTGCCTTTGATTTGTGTTACTTATTTGATAAATTAGTGAATATATTTGTGATTTAATTATTCATTAAAATACGTAATAATATATATTTTAAAAACCACATATGTACTGCTCCTTATAAGTGAAGTACTGTAAGTGTTTCATTAGTTTAACCCTCAAACCAATCCTATGAAGAAGGCACTAGTATTACCTGTTTCACAGAAGAGCAGTTTAGCACCTTGCCATGGTTGCACTGCTTGGAGTAGAGGTACCAGCATCTAAACACCTGTCATTTGGCATGAGAGTGTTACTCGTAACCATTTCACTATCATCTCTGTGTTTCATGGGGTCTGGCATTCTGCTGATTGCCTGTTAAGTCAGAGGGCCCCAGGTTTTTTCCTAATATTTTTGGAGAATCTTTTCTCCACAGTAGCTCCCACTCTTTCCTTTTTATTGGGCATTTTTAAAGTAAGGTTTATTGAAGTATATTTTACAGTTAATAAAATTTACCTTCTCTCAGGTTCATTTAAGTGGGTTTTGACAAATGTGTACGGTTACAAATCCACTGCCACAAACAGTATTTCCTCCTTAATAATACTCTTCATTTCCGTTTATATTTCAGTTTTGTATTATTTTTATTTCAATTTCCAAATATTTGGTGCTAGTGCACTGTAACACAATTTATTTTTGTATATGGTTTTGTATCCTGCAACCTGGCTAAAACCACAAATGGGTTATAACAGCTATTGTAGATTCTTATAGGCAATCATGTTGATTTCAAATAGAGATAGTTCTATTTCTTTCTTTCCAATCATGATGTCTCTAATCTTTTTTCTTGTCTAACTTCACTTGTTAGAACCCTATTCAACATTGAATTAAAATGTTGAAATTAGACACTTCTACCTCAATCCCAGTCTTAAAAAGAAAGCATTCAATCTTTCACCATTAAGTATGATATTCACTCTATGTGTGTGTGTGTGTGTGTGTGTGTGTGTGTGTGTGTGTGTGTGTGTGTCTGACATGAGATCTCACTTTGTCCCCCAGGCTGGCATGATCTCAGCTCACTGCAACATTGCAACCTCCATGTCCCAGGTTCAAATAATTCTCATGCTTCGGAATCCTGGGTAGCTGGAATTACAGGCATGCACCACAAAGCCTGGATAATTTTTGTATATTTTAGTAGAGATGAGGTTTTGCCATGTTGACCAGGCTGGTCTCCAACTCCTGATCTCAACTGATCCGCCCACCTCAGCCTCCCAAGGTGCTGTGATTACAGTTATGAGCTACTGTGTAAGGCCTGTAGTTTTTCAATAGATTCTTAAATGAAGTTAAGGAAGTTCCCTTTTACTGATACTTTGCTTATTTTTTTTAAATCATAAACAGATTATGAGTATTGTCAAATTTTTTTTCTGAAGTTATTGAGATGGCATTGATTTGTTATTTTCACCTCGTGACTACATTGATTGATTTTTAAGTTTTGAGTGAACCTTTCATTCTTGGGACAAATCTAATTTAGATGTGTTATCTTCTCTATACTTTTCTGAATTTGTTTTACTAATATTTCCTCAAGGACTTTGAAGCTAAATTTTTCAGGGCCTTCCTACCTCTTCTAATGGGAGGAGAACTCTGCTTTGTATTGGTGTAAATGCTGGGCCCGAGTAGGTTTTCTGCCCCTCCCACTGGAGCAGAGACATTTTACTTCCTTCTTTGCACCCAGAAGTCAAGGATCTTTACCTGGGCCTTGGAAATCAGTGGATTTCCTAATTATTCGTCAGCAGTTTAATATTTTTCTTAGTTTGATAGAAGGCTTTAGGAGATGTGCGCAACTTCATGCGGGTGCCTTACCATGGAAGGGACTCTCCCCTTGTCTCCTACCTGTCTGTAGTCATTTTCATAAATAATCTGTGGAGGTTAGAACAAGCTTGGAAATGAGTGCCTATCTAATAGTTGTTGGGGATTCTCCAGGCTTCTAATCTGTTACAGCAGACCACACTTGCTATTTAAGAATTCAGTAATAATTTTCATTGTTTTCTTCTAATCCATGTCTGTGGCAGCCACCTTCTCCTCCCATTCTCTGCCAAGATTAAAGAGCTTGTTTGTCTCATCTCTCCTCAGAAAAGCTTGTCACCTTTTGGAGTTCAGCTCTACTGGTTACCTTACAACCTCAAAAAATTATAATTTTGTAGTTTATTTGGCCTTCTTTACGGATGGTGAGCAATATTCTCTAGCTTTCTACACGCTACTTGGAAATATTTCTCTCCTTTTTTCTGTTTTATACTGAAAAGTATCCAAATCATATTTGATTTATACTTCAGACTCGAACTATAGCCTGGAGCTAGCAAGTATATCAAGGCTGGGCAGAAACATAATTTTCTGGCTTTGCCATTCTGATTCATTCAACATTCAATCACAGTTATTTCACTCACTCCTCTGAGCCTTGTTCTTTCAAAAATAATCTGATCCCAAAGTAAACTTGAGCTAGAGGTAGTTAAAGAAATTATATTTGTATTTGCCATCTCTAATTTTAATTACTTCTCTGATAGGATATACAGAATATTGCATTATTAGGTTATAAATGAAATGCAAACTGTAGTGAAATTAGGGTTTTAGCTTCATATCTTAACTGAGAACAAGAAAACAATTGAGTTAAAAATAATTTAAACAATTTTTGAACTCTTTATTTTCTTATTTTAAAAAGGCAGAAATAGTATGAAAATTAGTTTAAAATAAGTAGTGAAATAATTTACTATATTTTAGAAGCCTGTCTACATGTTTCAATGTAAAATTTAAATTACCGCATAAAATTTATACATAGTCCCATTTGATTTCTTGTGCTTCTTTTGCCTCAGAGTTTTCAATTGCTTTGGCACTATTATGATTCACTCACTTGCTCTAAATTCAAGTACATATAATACAAACATCTGCTAATTTATTAAGAAGATTGAGTTTTTTAAAGACAATACAACTATGAGGATATCACTTGGCTTAATGTGATCACATATGTTAAAAAAATATACATACATATAACCTATGGAAATTAAGAAAACAAACCATAAAGAGATTAAGGCAAGGAGTTGATTAGCTCTGGAGGATTAAAATGAAAATGTGGATTGTCTGTATAATATTCTAAATTAATTTATTTTTAATAATTACATTAGAGAAGTCACAAATCCATCTGGAAATGATTTGTTCAGATGACTGCAGTGTTTTGTCAGTAATGTTTTGAGTTATCTAAATTTACCTTCCTCCTTAAACAGTAAAGAGGAACAAAAGGCACAGTTGATTCCATTTTAGTCTCTGGATCCATTTTTTATTCAACAAAGATTTCTTGAACATCTTATGTAAGTCAGCAGTCTGTTAGATATTGGAGATTTAACTGTAAATAAGTAAGTGTAATTCCTGATTCCTGACTTCATTTATAGTTGTAAAATAAGTAATTGCAATAAATTTAGATGGCATATTAATCTGTTCTCACATTGTTAATAAAGACATACCTGAGACTGGGTAACTTATAAAGGAAAGAGGTTTAATTGGCTCACAGTTCCACAGGGCTGGCGAGGCCTCACTCATGGTGGAAGGTGAACGAGGGGCAAAGTCATGGCTTACATAGCGACAGGCAAGAGAGCTTATGCAGGGGAACTCCTGTTTATAAAACCATCAGATCTTGTGAGACTTACTCACTATCATGAGAACGGCACAGGAAAAACCCATCCCCATGATTCAATTACCTCCCCCGGGTCCCTCCCATGACACTTGGAGATTATTACAATTCAAGGTGAAATTTGGGTAGGAACACAGCCAAGCCATATCAGATGGTTATTTTATCAGGAGAAGTGGAAGGGATTTTGTAGGTGACAATATGGCAGTTCAGTTTATTCTTGGGACTTTTGAAATCACATGTTAGGTTTTACATGTTTCAGACTTGCTATTCTGAATGTATACAATGGTGCACAGCAGGTAAGAAACACACACAAAAACATTTGTAGAATGAAAATGTAATGAGACTGATTTGCCAAAGATAATTTACCAAGAAGTTCTGGGCAGTCATTAAAGAGGATGGTTTTGCTGCAATGTTTATCTTCGCTTATATGACCTCATGCTCTGGACTACAAAAAGTCAATGAAGATTCTCTTTAGACGTTTTCTCCACATTATATTTGAAGTATGGGCTGCTGTGAATCTTGTAAGGCACGCATAGAAAGTGGAATCTTCCAGAGTAGGTTACACTAAACTCTGCCCTATGCTTGAACAAGAACCTTTTTAAAAAGCAGAATTAAACAAAATCAGAAGGTAGCCATTTGCATGTAGCAAAACATCCAAGATATCTGTAACAGTAGCATATAAAGGAGTATAGAAACTAAACTCTGATAGTAATAGTAAAATTTGCTTAGACTTTCTATAAAACACATAGATCATTTAGGAAAGTGATTTACTAAATATTGTCCATTCATTACTATTGTCTTAGAAGTCTTATCATGTGGTACCCAGCTGGCTTAGCATTTTTAAAAGAAAAAACAATTATTTTTCTTTACATACATTTTACAAATTTGAAAGACATAGCTAGTTTTTATTTTCACAGGAACTTCTGCCATGCTTTTTAATAATATTTTATTCTTCAAGGTTTATTTTGGACTGGTTAATGTGTCTCAACTAGCATTCATGCAATAGAAAAAAATCTCTTTTCATATAACATGCCATTGTATGCTGTAGTTTTAAATTTACAATTTCGATTATTCTTACTGTGCTTTATTGTATCTGCACTTTATTTAAATGAATCAAAAATTCAAAAGTGGTTTATTAAAGAAAATATTAATTAAGTTGTTAAATATCTGAAAATAAGTTTTATTAGAAAGCTGCTCAATTTTTTCCCTAATACCTGTAAGGTCAATATATCACCAATTGCAAACTCACACAATAGTGAAAAAAATCATAGAAGATTTTTATTATTTCCATAAAGTATAGGCACCTTTCTCATAAACCAAACTACACTTTAGAAAATAACACTATGTGAGGTGATGGACCTGTTAATTAGCCTGATTGTGGTGAACACTGATACATTGATATAGGTACATGTGTACATACATCAAAACATCATATGTACAAGTTAAATATATACAACTCCTATTTGTCAATTATACTTCAATAAAGCGAAAAATATCTTAAAAACGAAGAAAGAAAAGAAATATAAAGTGAAAAATTTGTGAAATTGATTAACTTCATAGCCTAAGAAATGAGAAAGCACACAATTACAAAGTTATTATCCAATATTATAATTCTTCACATCAATAAGATGTGAATATTCACTGAGAAAGCAAACCAAGTCATTGTTAATTCTTAACTGGATTATTATATTGGACATTGCATGATATCAGTGTCTTTCAACACAGATTACCAACTGTATTAGGCCATTCTTGAGTGGCTATAAAGAAATAACTGAGGCTGGGTAATTTAGAAGGAAAGGTTTAATTGGCTTACAGTTCTATACAAAGTACAAGATGCAAGGTGCTAGCATCTGCTGCTGGTGAGGGCCTCAGCAGGCATACAATCATGGCAGAAGGCGAAGTGGGGGGGCAGGCATCTCACATGGCAAGAGTAAGAGCAAGAGTTGGGGCAAGGTGCCACACACTTTAAAACAACCAGATCTCACAAGAACTCACTCACTATTGCAAGGACGGCACCAAGAGGATGACCATATCACATTCCTGAGAAATCAGCCCCCATGACCCAATCATCTCCTACCAGGCCCCAACTCCAACATTGGGCATTACAATTCAACATGAGATTTAGAAGGGACAACATCCAAACTGTATCACTAATTTAATTCAAGTGTTTGTTATAGCAGTTTGCTCTGTAGTTGGACACATTTTCGATGTCCGGTACATATATGAAAACAGCTCATCTACTTTTTGCACTGTGTATCTCAGAAAACCATGATACAAGAAAAATAGTAATTTAATTTATATCCTCAGCTGTTTCACAGATTAGAAAAGGTTGTATTGAGTTAATTATTGAAGAAATAGCGCAATGCTCATACCTGAGCATCAATCCACATTCTGGGTTTAAAAAATAATAACGTATTAAGGTAACATTCACATAACATAAAATCAACTATTTTTATAAGGAACAATTTAGTGGTATTTAGTACATTCACAGTGTGTTGTATCTACCGCTTCTATCTACTTCCAAAACATTTTCATCACTCCAAAGTAAAACGTTTTACTCATTAAGAAGATTTTTCCTTATTCCCCCTTCCCTCAAGCTCTTGGTAACTTATAAATCTGCTTTCTGTTTCTATGGATTTACCAATTCTGGATATTTCATATAAATTCAGTAATATGATATGTGAGCTTTAGTGTCTGGTTTCTTTTACTTAGCAAATGTTTTGGAAGTTTCTTCATGTTGTGGCCTGTATCAGCACTGCATTTTTTTTATGGCTGAATAATATTTCATTATGTGTATGTACACCAATTTATTTTTATTGATAGACGTTTGGACTGTTTCTACCTTTTGGCTTTTGTCCATAGTGATGCTGTGAGCATGTGTGTACATGTTTAGTACCTGCTTTCAGTTTATTTGTGTAAATTCATAGGAACGAAATTGTGGGGTCATATGAGTAATTCTATTTTTAACTTTACTAGTTTTCCATGGTGACTGAATCATTTTGTATTACAATCAGCAATGTACTGGGGTTCTAATTTCTTCACACCATGTTGACCAAGCTGGTCTTGAACTCCTGACCTCAAGTGATCCACCTGCTTTGGCCTCCCAAAGGACTGGGATTACAGGCATGAAACACTGTGCCAGGCCCTGATATTAATTTTATTTAATGTTTTAATCTTTAGTCTTATATAATGAATTAGAGTAAAATTCAACAAAAGAAATCTCCTTTATACATATTATTGATGATGTTATTTATTAACACTGACCAAAACACCCCAACCTAATGTGATGAGCTTTGTAATGATACAATAATGCAGGATATACAAAAAGTTATTTCTTAAAAATATTACATAGAAATGTACTACATAATTTTAGTAGTCAGATGATTTTTTAAACACATAACCAACACTAATTAGTTAATCAAATTTTATTGAGCTCACCAAAACATTCTGTTTTCTGTTCAGTTCTTATGTTTTCAGAAGACTTTTATGACTAGATCTTGCAATGCTACTGAAAAAATGGCTAATTTCTAACATGTGGCCCAAAGCCAGTCCACAAATGAAACAGCAAATCTCTCTCTTTAATTCATGTGAAATTCCACTGCAGTAAAATATTACTCCTCCAGTTTTGAGAGTGTAATTTATATTGTTTTTGTTAGTAGAAGTTAATAGATTTTTAAAATATAAAATACTACTATAAAAATATTGATTCTAAAGTTCATGATCATTAAAGAAAGCTGGGTCCCTTTTTCATGAAGGGCTTCAACTTGTTTAATCAGTGATTGAACCACTGGACCTAGTCTTTTCAGCAAAACTAGAATTACCACCATATTTAGTTTATTAGTTTTTGGGGGAATTTGCATAGCAAGACATGGAGAGAATTCAAGTAGTTTCTGCTCGTCACCCAACTTCCATATTTACTAATCATTTAGAGAGGTTAGTCTTTTATAAGATTTCTATATCAACACAACAATGCTATCATGTTTTTCACAAACCTTGCAATAAGACCCTGGAGTTTGTCCCTGCGTTCTTCTGTTTCTAAGCTTTTCACTCTGACTTTTCTCCTTCAGAAACAGCCATGTTCTAGTTGATTCCACTATTCACATCACTGCTGATTTCTCAGCTGTTTACCATGAGCAATAAAAAATAAATTTAAAAGGCTCATTAGGTTGTTTGTCACCTATTTTAATTCTGTCAAGAACAAATGCTTCATTTTGATGTAACCACGTGAAGTTTCTTTGATAAAGTGCTTACAACAAAAATGCAGCTACGTAGCATAAAGTTTTTAGGTATTTAATCAAACAGCTTAATAAAAAATACTCTCTCACTAACAGAGACAAGATTCTGATTACCTATCTTTGAGGAAATGGAATGTTTGAGAAAATTATTTGGTGTGCTTCACTATTGTACCTGTCACATACTTTTAATTAAAAATGTATTGATGCATGACTAAACTATGCTTGGTGAGAAAGAGACCCACTTTAGTTCAATTGCAGTAGTGTACACATAGTCCAATAGAATAAGCCCATGTGATTACAGCACAAAGACAGCTCTGGCACAGAAAGCCTCTCATGCTTCAATCTCAAAACACATGGAGATGAAAGGTGCCAAATATCACAAATCTATGTGGATGCAATCAACATTAATGAATTTACTAATCTACTCTAAATGCCTGTAATAAAGCCATTTTACTAATCTATGACAAATTAAATATATTAAAAACTAAATGTGAATAATGATTAACCTTTTTTTCTCTTTTTTAGTATTTTAGCACAATTTATTAAACCTATCCACCCTGGCTATCTACAATGTCAGTGGCTGAAGTGAAATGCCATATTTGAATATTTTATTTGCTTATCGTATATGTTATGATAAGTTTGGAAACTAGATCTAAAATATACTTTTTATGGTGACGGATTTTTTTTAGTAATTTTACTCACAAAAACATATCCATTAACACTTAATTGCCCTGAGAAATGGAAATCAGAGACTAACATTGAAGTCATTAAACTTTATTGAATATTTTTGAAATAGAAAGGGTAAGGTGCTTTTAAGAATTTCCAAAACTATACCATAGAAAATAAAACCATAAAATAATAAATTATTCCAGTTTTGATAGTTCTTTTCATTCCTAAGCCTGGACAATATATAGATCTAAAAATTGCATTTAATAATGGAGTAACACAATAAAAATAACAATCACTAACTCAAAAATCTCTACAAGAACCCGCTATCTCTTTATTATACTCAACACTTGGAAAAAGTTGAAAACAATTTACTTAGTTCTTTACAGGAGAGGCCTCACATTTGTGTTTCTACATAGAGTATTTATTTTAATCCTCACCACACCATTGATTGTTTTATAGGTGAGAAAACTGCCATTCCAATAAATGAACTGAAGTTCTCCACAAAGCTTGTGAGTGACAAGTTCAGACATTCTCTCCTCTGACTGCAAAATCTAGCTTCTTCTTGCACTATTATAATTATTTGTTCTAAAGTAACAGTGCAAAAGGAGAGTTTACTTGGCGAAGTTCACCAACACGCATGACCCTAATATATGCTATGTGTTTGCATACTTCATTTTACTTTGTTACTCTACTGTTTTAGAGTTAGCATTACATCTTCATTCTACAATAAGAAAATAGGCTAAGAGGGGTTATATCTTCCAAGGCTACTAGTACATGAAGGGTTAAATTTCTAATTTATATGTCCCTGATTCTCAAATTTCTGTTTTTCCTGCACTTACTTATAGAAATAACATACATGGAAGATAAATATGAGTATCCTACCATTTGGATGCTGGGAGGTAAAGTTTACATTGAAGTCTCTAGATTTGGGCAAATAATTGAAAGTTGTTGTTACAAGACAACCTATTGCAGCAAGAGTCCAATACACCAAGACAGCAGGGTTTGCAGCAGAGAAAGAGTTTAATGATCTCAGGGTGTCAAGGAAGGAGATGGGAGGAGACCCTCAAATCTATCTCCTGGAGGAGTTCTAAGCTGGGGCTTTTAAGGGAATCATGAAAAATGAGGAGATGGAAAACTGGAGTCATTAATTGGTTGGGGTAAAGGGGCTAAAGTCATTAGGATATGAATATTGCATTATTTGATGAGTCACCTCCTGTGGGGTCCTTCAGACCAGCTGATGTCAGTAGTTTCACTGGTATACAGGACCTGAAAGAATTTCTCAAATGGAAAACTTAATGTTTCATAATGTTCAAGTTGTTACCTACAGAGCAGTTAGGAGGAACTGTAATCTAGGGTCTACATTATTCCAATACAAGAGGCAAACAACTATGAGGAAGCTGTCCTGGAGCAAGCTGACCTAATGATTAATGCTGAGCATACTGTAAGCTTGGTTCAGTTTCTTTTCTCCCTCTCCATTCTTCTCTGATTAATTGTATAAAGTTAATAGGGAAGGATTCAAGCTTAGGTGAGAGAATAATATTCATTGGCATCTCACTACAAAGAACCAGGGTAATTATAGACATATATCTGGCAGCAATATAAAATGTGATTTAAAAGGGCAGAATGTTGACTAATGATAATGAGGTAAAAGTTTCTGATGGCCAGATAAATTGGGCAGAGTAGAAGTAAAAGCTATGATGGATAGTGGTTATTAGGGATGTAGAATTGATTGGATCATCCCTATACCCATTCAATGGCAGATCCAATGTTTTGATCATTGATGAAAAGATGAGAGAAAAAATATGGCTGAGAGAAATAAAAGCTGGAATGTGAAGCAAAAACAGGAATAAATCTTGATTTTGAGAATAATGAATTTGGGATTTCTTCCATTAGGAATATATCCCTCTGAGTACATTTCTATCCACTGACTTCCACTCTGTTCCTTGGCTATAAGTCTCCATTTGTTCTTCTTGTATTTGGAGTTGAGCCCGATCACTCTCCCTTATTACAAAACGTAATTGCAGTAGTTCCTTGAATAAAATCTTCCTTACCATCTTTTAATAAGTTATAGAATAATTTTTAATGGTTACTAAAGCCATTCTTTGATAAGAAAGGGGGGATATAGACATGGACTTAGCTTTGGGAAAGGTCTCTTTTCATTGGGAGGTAGAAGAGTCACATGCATGGTCATGTAATTTGGTGGAGAATGAAGAAAGACAATATGAGGAAAATTAAGAGATGAGACAGTTTCATTTCAAAAAATAAGTCAGCACCACATGTATTCCAGGCTATATTCTTATCTCTAGGAACCAGAAATTATAAGGGAACTTCAATATTCTCTTTCATAAAAAACATGAAGGCTGATGACACTGAAAAAAATATATAAGTTGACGGGATACTCTAACATAGACTTTGTGAAATGTTGCATTTTTGAAAGATGCAGTTGTACCGTATCTACATTTTCATACTTCTGACTCCCTATGATATTTTCCCCTTCATTTCACAGATATCAAAGACTCTCTGTACATTTTCTTCAATAAAATAATTCATTCATCACACGTACATTTATTCATTAATTAAAGATATACTTTCTGCCAACGTATATGCTAGAGACCGTAGGGTCAAGAAAAATAAAGACAAAATCCCTAACTTCATGGAGGATAGATTAGTTCTTTCTCATAATTAAGAATTTATAATCTAACAACATAAAAATGTTACTGGAGATCTAAACCAAAGAAGTAATAATTTTTGAAGATGTTACTATATTTCTTATTCTCTTTTGCTGTGAGAGACTAAAATTGATCTCTAGGCTTTTAAAATTTTTTCTCTAATTCTGCTAAGTCTATTTATTTAGCTATGGCTTAAATTTATGGGGACAGTAGAAATTTTATTTATCCATGCATTCTCAGGCAACAGGCTACAATTCACTAAAGTGCCCTTGAACTAGTATTCTCTGCTCACTTTTATGGCAGGCAAGATAAGAGAATGAGGTTATACCCCTGGTAATAAGATTCATTGAGTGGATTAAGCAGCCATTTTGTTATTCATATTCCTGAACCCAGGGCTTTTGAGAGGAAAGTTATTTAAAAAAAAAAAAGTAAAACACTTAAAACACTAAGCATGCTACTGAAAGTGTGTCTATGAATCTACAGATAAACATAATGTGAAAGAGATACAAGTAAGTCTTCTCAAACAAATGCCATTGCAGTTATTTTACTCACTGGTTTGCATATCTCTTCCTTAGAAACATTATTTTGCAAGGGTTTTTTTTTTTTGGTTGTTGTTTTTGATTTTATTTTTATAAATTACAACTCCAAATTAACACTACCCAATAATCAAGGGAATTTGGAGTAATCAAGAGAATCTGGAACAAGCTTAGGTTTCTTAAAGAACTTAAGAGCTATTGAATGATGCTGCAAGGTCTTCCCTGTTGCAGTCCTTCACAGAAACTGAGAATTGCCTCTAAGCACACATGGAACCACTTTTGTTTGTAGCTCCACTGACCAATATTATTCACTTTTACTTATACAAACTCTTCACTAAAAGAGAAACAGCATGTTTTGAACAGTGCATTTTCAGTGTAGCATACTGGAAGAGATTTATTACTAGGAAGAGTTGAGTTCTAGGAATGCGGAAGGCCAGAGGGCAATGCAGATATATGCAGAAGGAGTCAATCACAGTTCCAGGTGCCTTCTTCTAGTACGCTTTTAGGGCCTCCCCAAAGTAGATATCTATTCAACATCTTGAGAGAACATGTGGCATTAGGGGCACAGTTTTGATAAAAAATGTTATTTAGTAGACCCTTTCCTCCTTGCTGCTTCATCCATTTCATTCTTTTCTCATTGCTTCTGTCTTAGCAACTGCAGGTTCACATGGTCTCCTTCCACTGACCAGCCAGTTTTCAACTTGCTAGCTTTCTGGAAACATTCATAGATCTCTAAATCCACATTCAGGTAGTTATGCTCTTATGTAGATACAGACAAATTCTTAGGCAATTTTGCTAACATGTCAAGTAGATATCTTAAAATAATGCAAAGAACTGTTTAGTATGTCTGCACCATAATGTTCAGATTGTAAGCTTATACACATTTTCATTAAAAAAAATAAAAATAGAAAGTCTTTCATGAATCATCATAGATAGCATGGTGTACATCCATTACAAAAAGATGTTAGAAAGCAGGCCTTTTAAATTCTGCTTCCCCAAATAAAGGCCCTTCCCAGAAGAGAACTACTTCAGCACCAAGACACTGTCTTTCAAATATTGCTCCAGTGGAGAGCAAAAATTATAGTTAATTGGATTCTTCATTCATGAATCATGTATCAGAAAGAAGACTCAGAACAAAGTCTATTATGAATGAAAACTATTGACACATACAGTGACGTAACACACACACTGTAGTGGAGTTATATACTCATAGTTATGTAATTATACTACATAAATACACATACTAATATATATTAGTGTGAATATATTATATACTTTTTAGATTTGTCATATTTAAGGGCAGATTATTGAATCATATTCAGTAGCCATGAAATATATAGTACAGTTTAAAATACCTCCTGATTTATAATTCTAAGGTCTAACCTTATTTCTATCTTATGCAAAACATGCCTTTTTGACTAGTTTCTCGTGAATTCTTCAATTGTACAAAATATTTATCCTAATAGTTTTCACTTATTTTTAATAGATCAAAAGACTGTTGTTGCAATCCCTTGAGAAAATAATGTACATTTTTTTATTATCTCCCACAAACAATGTAAGTGGTTTCATTTAGTTTCAAAAAAGCTGTCAATTTTATCAATGAACCTTGAATTTATAAAATGTTTTCCCTCAATTCAATTGAGTATGAGCCAAAAACAAGTTGTGTGAGATATTTTCTTCAATTATTCATTCACAACAAATTTTTATGTATATATGTATATAGCTCACACTATATGTGTGTGTGTATACATACATATATATATAGAGAGAGATATCAATTTATTACTGACATTCTTTAATTTAAGGCAATCTCTGTGTATTCATCTAAAATTTTCAGTGCAATTTCTGCCTATTACTTACCCAAGCATTGGTGAATTGGAAGCATGGTCTTTTGATATGCTAATATATCACTTTTTTTCTTACAGTATGAAAATCACAAAGAGACCATGACTATACACATTCAGGATTTATCACCTACAACCCAGTACCTGAACCAAGCTAAGCCTTGAATTTTTAACTTTCAAGTGCCAAATAGTTGAACTCATGTATTAATCGTCAGGACCCCACAGTTGCTGCCCCGTTAATGAGATCAAATTCTCCATGGTTCTAACCTTGCTTAAAATGGAAAAGCTTTATAGTACAAACAGGTTTGAGCATATGTAAATGTGTTCTCCATTTGTTAGCCTGTCTTTCAATCTTACTTCAGAAATAAGTCACTCTTATCACAAGCTTCTGTGACTTTCTTGTTTCTGTTACTTCTCACTTGTTACCCAGAAGAAATCTATCCTGCTGCAATGGGTAAAATGTTCTTTATCTATTTCAAAACAGCTTTCCCTATTATTTGCATTTTTAAACCTTTTTCTGAACACATCCAAGCATCTACTCAGCCGTTTCCAAAAAGATGTGCATTGGGGAACACCTTCATTGAACCAGCATGTTAGTAGTAAATGTCTTACCCCTCAGAGAATTTGCAAGTTCAAAACCTCATGGTATACATGGAGAGTTTAGATTATAATTTTTCAATATTCCTTCCTGTACATTTATCAAAAATGAATTTCATCTGCCACTGGACTGCTCAATTCTCCAGTATGATTACAGCCATCTGGAGCATCTCCCAAACCTCATTAGTTTTTAACTAACGAAAATAGTTTAGTGTTTTCAGAATATTTCACCACTTCCCTGTTCATGTTGTTCTCCTCATCATTAGCAAGTACATTGAAATACATAGGTCCCAACACCAAAAGCCATCAATACATCTTTCAAGTCCTCACACTGCTTTATCAATCGTTGTTCCTAATCTCTTAGCCTCTTTTCCCAAAAAGCATATATACTGGTTCATTGCTATGATGCCTTATACATACTCCTAAAACCTGGAGAATAAACAGCTGAGTTAGTATGATAGTAAAGAAGCAACATTTCATTTCCTCCTGACATTTTGGCAATTAGAAATCAAAAAACTAAGAACTTAGTGGAAAGACAAAGAACATTTGGAAAATATTTCTCAAAGAATACTTGGCAGTTTCACAGTTTCTTTTCACCTCTAGGAGCAGCAGGACCTTCTGTAAGACCTTGAAGCTTCTGTTTAGTTATGACTTTAGTTTTGGATATACATTAACTCATCTGACATGTATTGATACTTCTTTTAGTTTATTTGTGATAATGTTAGCTCAGGATATTATCATTTTAGCTAATTAACTGTTGTAAAATACTTATTTAAAAATGTATATTATTGACTTTATCACATTCTAAGATGAATTATTATTTACCAGAAATGCCAATATATCTAATCTATGTATATATAGATGTATAATAACATATACAATAAAATATATACTATATATATGCTAGTGATGCTGTGAAAAATATCTTTATCTATATCCCTATTACCAAGGGAATAGGTGATAATTAGGTAATTATTTAAATAGTTACCTAATTTCATTGAACTTATTTTGAAGAGATTTAATTTCTCTTTTGGATCAAATAAATATTTTGGTCCTCTTATTTTAAAAATCAATAAATTGTTATAGTTCTTAGTGTGTTTACAATGTATGTTATTATTATATTATTGTTTTTCTTGGATTATATTTTTCATATTTTAGGAAACTCATATAACTCATATTTCTAACAATTGACTAATAATGTGTAAGTTTTACAAAGTTCAATCCAATATACATTACATATATGATATAATACATAATTATATATATTCTATATATGTAATAACAAGAGTGAAACGTTCTGCATAACTTATGCCTCCATGGTATCCAGACCCTACGTGCATTCCTATAATGTATGATGGGATGACATAAAAATCAAATGCTTAAATGTCCAATTCATTTTTATGACTCAGTGAGTAACCCATTTTGCACTATATGTCGAAACATGAATTTATATTACTAACTCCTTTGTACCTGGTCTTTACTGCCACTCATTATTTATTGGATCATGTATTTTAGAAATGATGTCTGATGGTCATATTGAAACATGCATAGGTAAAGACCTTAGATATTTTGTGAAATCTTAAACAAATACAAATTAAAAACTAGTTAACAACGTTGATGTGCCCTTTACACAAGAATCATCCAGTGGAAAAAAAAAAGAAATGAAAAGTAAAGCTAAACAACGAAAACAGCAATATTCTAGGAGGAAGTGTCCTTTAGAAGTCTAAATATAGTTAGTTGGATTTTTAAAAGGAAAGCTTTCAAAGTGCTAATAATATGCCACTTATTAACATGCACAGTTTAGTCAGATTTTTTCATTTTCATATGCATTCTCATTTCCAGCACATCCAATATGCACTGCTAACCTGTTGTCTTTACCTCCTTAATTATAAACCTTTGTAATTAAAAAAGTCAATCTTTACAATAATTAATTTAAATAATTTAATTTAATGAATGCTTCTGAAATGGAAGACTTAAAATTCCAGAAATAATTTTCTGGGGCCGCTTATAAAGTGGTGAATATTATAATAATGAGTGCTCATAAATTCATTGTTCCTACTTCATGTATTTCCAACAATGTATTTTATAGCACTTGCTCTTCCTGCTCAATGAATGTGTTATCCTACTCACGTCTGGCCAGATGAAGGTAGATTAGTCATCTAGATAAACAGTATATCCTCTATTACGAACAAATTAAAAAAACTTTTTAAAAGGACATCATACATGACTTGAAATTTGTATGAATTTACCTTTTAAAAATAGCGTATTTGAATTGCTTCCCATGTTCAAATCTTTTCGTTTGCTAAATAACAATAATAATCCATCATAATTAGGGTTTCTTGAGGATTAAATAAGTGTGTGTGTGTGTGTGTGTGTAGTTATCTATCTAAATTTTCCAAATTTCTACCTGTGACTATATAATTTATTTAACATTTTCTTTGCAGAAGCTTCAATCAGACAGAAAACTCAGTAATGACCTCAGAAAAACTCAATTCAGTTTCCATTTTTTTCTTTTCACAAAGACTGAAGTATTAATATTTTGATAAACTATCATAAAATGTTTTTTTTCCCATCATGGGAGTCCTTCAGAATATGGGTGAAATTATTGAGTAAGACCTTAATTGACTGTAATCCAGCTAACCAAAATCTGCATTAAAGGAAATTTTGTGCCCTTCCCTTTTAATGTTGTTATAAGAAACATAATATTATATAAAATATCATAGCCTCTTTTATAATATACATATTCAAGTAAACCACCCATATCTTCTTCATATCTCCTACTGATCATTTAAAAACTTGAACTACATTTAGCATACATAGTTAATATGTTATGAATGGCAGGGATTATACATACAATAAAAAGGTAAATTTTAATACACAGATTTGCTACCAGAAAATTCAACTATTTACACCTTTTTTTCTTCCATCTGATTATTAGCTTATTTCTTGGTCTTAAATTGCACAATAAAGCATGTGATTTCAGCTGTATTAGAATTGAATCTCTGTCATTATCTTTGCTTACTAAAGTAAGCAACTGGATTTCCTATAACTCAAAGTCTTTATTTGTTCTCAGTAGTGAAAAAAATTTAAAATTCATCCACAGTTTTCCATTTGCCTGATAAACGTATGCATTATCCTCACTGAACATTATCTAAGTATAAGTTTTATTTATTTATTTATTTTTAATTTTTTTAATGAGGCAAGGTCTGACTATGTTGTCCAGGCTGAACTCCTGGGCTCAAGTGATCCTTCCACCTCAGTCTCTCAGGTAGCCAGGATTACAGGTATGTGCTACCATGTCCTAATGTTTGCATTTTTTACCCCAACTTTAACTTTGAAATATTTCTGACTCCAGAAAATACACTCAGGTTTACCAATTGTTAACTTTTTATAACATTTGTTGATACATGTGAGAGTTAATTAAAGGTGCGGTAATATTTTACTCTCAATATTTAAGTATGTAACTCCTAAGACAATAGCATTATCCTGCATGAATGCAGTAAAACTTTCACAGTAAGGAAAGTTAACATCTAGTATCTAATATACAGTAAATATTTAAATTTTCCCAATTATCTCAGTAAAGCTTTTTGTAGCTGTCTTTTGCTTTGTTCTTCAGTCAAGGATTCAATCAAGGGTCATTTTGTAAAACTTAGTTGTCATGTCTTTTATGTTAGAAACTAAAGGAGTGGGCCAGGCACGGTGGCTCATGCCTGTAATCCCAGCACTTTGGGAGGCTGAAGCTGGCGGATCACCTGAGGTTAGGAGTTCGAGACCAGCCTGACCAACATGGAGAAACCCCATCTCTATTAAAAATACAAAATTAGCTGGGCGTGGTGGTGCATGCCGGTAATCCCAGCTACTTGGGAGGCTGAGGCAGGAGAATCACTTGAACCCCGGAGGCGAAGGTTGCGGTGAGCCGAGATCGCACCATTGCACTCCAGCTTGGTCAACAAGAATGTAACTCCATCTCAAAAAAAAAAAGAAAAAGAAAGAAACTAAAGGAGTGCTCAAAAGCGTGTTAGGCCACGTTAAAAGGACATAGGAAGTAGAAGAGACCTTCTTTTATTGGTCAAATTATAGACAACTTGCTATGAAATAAAAATTGACAGAATTGGATTATAAAACATTGGTCAAGTGACAGATCCATATGTCCTTATGTATTCTAAAAAACAAATTATTAAAACAGGAGCAGGTGGGGTACTTTACCTAACAAACTATCTGCTGATAAATGTAGAAGGAAAAATTGAAAGAGTAATGGAAAGTCATTCCCTTGCCACAAATATGGATATGATTCCTTCAAGTAAAAATTGTCTATGGTTGCTAAAAGACTATCTGAGAACCATATACTCAGATTCAATGGTCATCCCACAAAGTACATATTAACACGCAAAGAAAAAAGAATTGAAGATTTCATGGACTACATAAACAAAAATATCAAACTTAGCATCACCAATAATGGAACAAACTGACATCCTATGCCCTCTGATGTGATACTGGGAAGGACACCACATCAATTTAATAGCAGGATGAAGAAAGAATTATAATCTATTTTGCAACTGACAGCAACATAACAGCCCAAGAAATTTATCAGAGATGGAACAACCAGCTGATTTAATTTATCATGCTCATTTTGTTATGATGACACGTGTATGGAGTCTAATTCACAATTAAAAAGAGAAATAAGACCCTTTTACTAGTTAAATATCTGACTCCTTGACTGATAGGTTTAGTAAAACATTTAGATATTTCTGAATAAGCAGATGTTCTATATGGGAAATCAATCCAGGTGTGACTCAAATTTTCAGTTTTCCTGGATTCTTATTTTTTAAAATGTCTCTATATAATGAAGTTAGCAAGTTATGTGATTTTTGAAATTAGTTTTCTTTCTTACATAAAAGGGTAGAAATGTGTGGTTTTTGAATCATAAGCAATGGATGAGTGACATGATGCTTGCCAATTTGTCTAATCATCCCACACCATTTACATATTAACTTTTATAAAGATACTTGAAAAATAAATTGATGTAACAGGTATGTCTCTTTGTTTTTAAAACACACCAAGAGAGTCAACTATACTCATATGATGCATACTTATGATAGGAGGAAAGAAAACACCTGGTTTCAGAATAAGATCACAGAGGTGTTACATTCTTACCTCATCTACCTTTATATGCCTTGTTTCGTAGGTACTCTTATTTTAACAAAAAAGAAAAAAAAAAAAAAAAGAACCTCTGCTTTTCCCAGGCTGCCTCAGTACTTTGGCAAGTTAAATACAGAAGGAATTATTTTTCATGGTGAAAAGACTATACAGCCTCATGAACACCAGGGTTTATGATGGCCTTCAGCAACAGTACTGTGCTTGGCGCCTCTATAATTTTATTTGATCCAGGGAAAAACAGCTTAAGTTATATAATGGACATTCTCTTCAAATTTCCTTTCTTTGCAGGCTTGCACATGTATTGTTTTATGTACACCAATATCAGTCTTTGTGATTCAATGCTGCCAAAAATACTCTTTGATGAATGCTAATAAATAATATTACTCTGTAGTTTTTAAGGTTGGGAGTGGGAAAGAACAAAAGCCAAGTCTGAATAAATTATAGTCTACATTTGACATTGAAAATTGGACCAAATACACATGGCATCAAAACATGAAATCTGTCCAGTCAGAATATTTCCTTCTCCTCCTGTCCATGTTAATCAATGGGACCGCTTAATATAAGAGTCTTTATAGTGCATACCAGCAAATATGGGATCATATGTTACAACACAATAATCTATAGTTAATGGATTTGGAGGTTTTAGCAAAATTCCATGACATGTTGGAATGCATATTGTAGCTATGTTTCTTACACACGAAATGTGTAGCACATGCTCTTGGGATTCTGAAATATTCATCTATTCTGGCAATAGAACTCCATCAAGACTTTGCTGTTGATGAAAAAGGTAGAACTTTCTAGTGTCTATTTGTTATTAACTAATTATAAAAGTGATTATAAATTATTAGCCAAGGGAAAAATGACTCACAGATAATAACTAGTAACATGGTGAGTACTCATTTTGAGTATACCTTTCAAAATTGTCTGGCAATATATTTTTTTCATGATCAATTTCAGGTATTCTGTCAAATAATTTGAGGATCCCATGTATCAATGCTCAAGATCCATGAACATTTATCAAAGTGTAACATGGTAAGATTGAAAGAGACTTAACATACATAGGTTGGCAGTATAAATTTTCATCCAAAAAGGGGCACTTTTGAAAGCAAAAGAGAATGCTATCCAGAAAGGACACTGGGTGACTGCAACTATCCTGCAGAAGAATGGGACCTATGGCAACTCAATTAAAACAAAACTGAGGACATTAAAATAGGTCACTCTATCAGTGTCAGACCTGCGTCTCCAAAGACCTTTGCTTTATATTTTCCTATATGTCATGACATCAGCCCAAACTTAAAATGTCTAACATGACAATTATCTACAAATTTGGCTTCACCACTGGCTTGCCTATTTTTGCCAGTGTTAACATCATTCTCCCAACTACTCATTTCCATAGGAAAAAAAAAATCTAATTTGGCATTGTTAATTTTGCTCAATGTGATTGTAATTTGCACTGCATTTGTTAGGCAAACATTTATTTATACATATTATTTATATGGCAGATATTGTAGACATCTTCTAAGTCACATTTGATATTGTTAGATTTCATAATTTTCTAATCTAATTTATTTATAATCATCTCTTACGGTAGTTAAAATGGGCAATTGCCTGAATGCTACTGAAATTCGGTACATTTACCTACGTTTATTGGCCATTTGTGTTTCCTCTTCCGAGAAATACCTGTTCATATCTTTTATCAGGTTTAAAATTTGTTGTTTCTCTTATTCATATTTGCAGTTCTTTTTGTATTTTTATATTAATTATTTTCAGTTATATGTGTTATAAATATGATTAACCCTTTATTGCTTGTGTTTTCACTTTATTCCTGACTTCAACTGAACAGAAGCTCTTAAATTTAAAAATGTCAAACTTGTCAATATTTCTTTTTATGCTTATTATATATTTAGGTGTCGTGTTTAAAAGATTATTTTATAGCCTGAAATAATAGAAAAATTCATCTATGCATTCCACTTAAATTTTAAAATATATCTTTAACTCATCTGTAGTTAGTTTTCAATTTATAAGTGAATATATATTAGCATGGTGAAAGTTGAAATTTTTATAATATTGAGATATTCTTTTTCTTCATTTTTTTAATTATTATACTTTAAGTTTTAGGGTACATGTGCACATTGTGAAGGTTAGTTACATACGTATACATGTGCCATGCTGGTGCGCTGCACCCACTAACTAACTCGTCATCTAGCATTAGGTATATCTCCCAACGCTATCCCTCCCCCCTCCCCCCACCCCACAACAGTCCCCAGAGTGTGATATTCCCCTTCCTGTGTCCATGTGATCTCATTGTTCAATTCCCACCTATGAGTGAGAATATGCGGTGTCTATTAAGAGCATAAGCACCGGGAGATGGTTTAATGGTAACTGCCTTTTTTGATGTCAGGCTGGAGCTCCAACTAGGAACTTGCGTTACATGCAAGATTGATTGGATAGGGAACACTCCCTGACAAAGAGCTACATAATTAGAAATTCCATTACCTTGATATGTCTTTCTATGTATTTGTCTTTTTTAGTGCTTGGCAAAATATTTTATAAAATTCTTCGTACAAATTTTAGTGTATCTTTCATTAGATTTATTCCTAGAAATGCATAGGGTTTTGTTACTATTTCAAATTGTATTCTTTTAATTTTTTTTTGTTTATTGCTGTTGAATAAAAATGTCATAGATTTTTGTACGTTTATCTTAAAATATCTAGAATATATTACTACTAATAATTTCACTGTAAATTCACTTGGCTTGTGTATATAAACAATCATAGCATCTCTGTGTGGGCGTTTTTCTCTTAATACTTTGCCTGTACTTATTTATGTTTTTCCTTATTTTCTTTTTCCTGTGCTGTCTAGGGCATTTAGTATACAATTGAAAAAAGGTAGTGATAATGGGCAACTTTATTTTTTATTTTAGAGAAAATGCTTTGAATATTTTTGATTTAGAGTAGTGTTTACTGAGAGTCTTTTGGTAGATACCTCAATGGGTTACTTTGCTAGAAGATAGATGATAAATAGGTGTTGAATATTATCAAATACATTTTTCTGCTTCTTTTGGATTTATCATATGGTGATTATCATATATTTCTCCTCCTTTAATCTTTTTATGTGGTAAATTAACATTATGTATTTTCTAATGTTAATCCAACCTTTAAATCCTGGAATCAATTCAACTTGCTCATGATGGATAATCATTTTTATGCACTGTAGGATTTGGCTTGTGAGTATAAAGACTTTTGATCTATATTCACAGCAAGATTGGCCTGTAAATTGGTTTTCTCATGCTAGCATTGTCTGGATTCAGAATAAAGATTATATTGGCTTAATAGAAATGATTGTGAAGTATTCTCTCTTGTTTATTGCATATAATGGGAATTATCTGTTTGTTGAAATTGTGTAGAATTTGCCTGTAAAACCATCTAGACCTGGGTTTTTCCAACAAGGTCTTTTAAATTACTTCTCCTATTTCTTAACTAGTTGTAAAAACATTGATATGGGCTTTTTTTGTTTGTTTTTTTAATTTGGTTTTGGTAATTTTTAGTTTTCAACGTATTTGCTCATTTTATCTAAGTGTTCAGATTAACTGGAATACATTTACTAATGCTGCTTTTCACTGCATTGTACAACTTAGGTTCCCATTTTGTGATCCTACGATTGTTTATTTCTTCCTTCTCGTTTTTATTCATTAGTTTCGTAGTGTTTGCCTATTTTATTAGACTCTTCCGAGCACAAACTTTTGCTTTTTTTTATTTTCTATGTGGTTTTTTGTTTTCTTTTTAAAATTTCAAGTGTTACCTTTACTTTGTCTTACTTGTCCTTAATTTAACTTTATTTTGCAGTGTTTGTAGTTTCCTCACTTCTCTAGCATTATGTTAGCACACTTAGTTTTCAGGTTTACTTATCTTCAAATCCATATTTAATGCTATAAATTTCCATTTAATATCCCTTTTGCTAAATCCTCCAAGTTATAACATATAGAAATATCATAATAATTTATCACTAAGCATTTTTGTTAAGTGTATACCTAAGTATTTCTTGCTGTGATGCTATTGAAAATGATGTAATTTTCTATTTCATTTTCCAATTGTTCATGATTAGTATATACAAAAGCAGGTTTTTTTTGTTCATTGATCTCATATATTTGTATCTACATAGTTTTTATTTCTTTTTTGACCTCATTTTGTATCATAAGTTATTTGGAAGGATTTATTTACATTTCCAAATATATGGGTATTTTAAACTTTATATTTTTGTGTGCTCTAGTTTTGTGTGGGTTTTTTTCATTGTTGAGGATTGATAAATGGCTATTCTTTATAAATATTCCAAACATACTTGAGAAGAATGTATGATCTCTAACTGTTGCACACAACAGTGGTATTTTTCTATTTTATTTTCCAAGTGTTCACTACTAATATAGATAGATTGATAAGTAGATACAGATAAATGATAGACATATCTTAATGTTTCATCATGAAATATAATTGAATACATTTAATGAACTGGATTAAACACATTACTTATGCATATATCATATGTATACTCATATGCATATGTTTACAGTTGTGTTTATGTTAATCCACTCTAGGTCATTAAATATATTATTCAAATATTATTCTATGGCTCTATTTTTTTTTTGCCTAACCTATCAATGATTGAACAGATCTCCTGTAACCTCAAACCATGAAATTTTCACAATTTCTTCTTGTACTTAAATCAATTAATTCATATTTGACTTTATGAAGATAATATTCAAGTTTAAATTCATTTGTTTTCTCTGTGAATATCTTTAATAATTATATAGTGAGCCTCTCTATCCATCATAATGCTTTTTCCTTAAAGTCTATTTTAAATGATATTAATATGACTACATCAAGGTTTTGGGGGGACCATATTTGTGTTGTACAATTCAAATAATTTTACTTTTAACTCTTCTATGTATATATTCTCAATAGCATATATATATATAACATATAATAGCATATATACAAATGTATGTATACACACACACACATACACACACACACACCACACATATAGAGTATCCTACACTAAGACTTTACAATGGTGATTATGACCCACACTGTTTCTATTATTGTGGTAGCATCTTCTTCTATTAGTTGCTCTATTATTATATGCTTATTAACTTTAGTCTATTATCATAGTCTACTGTGGAAGGGTGTCATATATCTCCTTCTGGCAAGGCATTCAAATTTCAACCAACTAATCCATTACAAAGAAGTATGAAAGTCTATGTTTGTGTCATATGAAAGTTCTTTAAATGCAGACTATTTTATTAATTTTTATATCCCCAGAATCTAATATAATGCCTGTTTCATAGGAGTCATTTGTATGAATAAATGGGTTTTGAATGAATATAAATGAATAAAGGAGGTAAGAAAAGAAGGAAGGAAAGGGGCAAGGGAGGGAGGAGAGAAAAAAGCAAGGAAGAAAGGAAGGAAGGGAAAAGGGAGAGAGGGTAGGAAGAAACAATGTTCAAATTCCTCAAATAAAAGCCCTTATTTCATACAATATATAGATTACCTAGTAAAATGTGTAATACTGTAACACTGTATTTTCAAGGTAGTTGCTCAGATATAAGAGTTAAAAGTGAATAGATAGTATAATGACATCTTTATTGTGCATTCATTAGTTTTATTGAATGATGGTGGATATACCCCTTTGGACCTACCTCTGAATTACGTTAGTTAGAAGTAAGGTAAAGGTTTAATAAATGCAAATTTAAGTAAGATTTCAAAATAGTTGCATTAAAATGTACTATGTTATCTGTTTAGTGTATTAAATCTACATGGAATGATGATGTATTGTGGGAAAAGCAGTAAAATGTCAGGTTTTTTGAGTGAATTCATAACCCGTCATTATTATTCCTTTACTTGCCTTAATTATTCATTATACCCACAGCTAATAAATAACAGTTTATAAATTTGCTGATAAAAAAGACCAATTGGTTAGGATATAGCCCAGTTAGGATTACCTCTACTTAGTTTAATAATAAATATAATCTCAATTTAATATATGATTATAAAATTTCAAAGATATTCTGGAGATCCTACAATAATTGTTTCATGCATTTGTGTTTTACTAGATTTCCTGTGGCATATCTTTTAGGAACTGATGCCTATAAATCATATACAAGTGGACAGGGTGATGTGAACTCACAAAAATATTAGACAGTATTAATAACGCATTTAATTCATGTCTGTCAAACTAATATAGAATTTCACCACTCCATCACTGTCAAAAATCAATTTAACACATTTTGGATGGTGATAAAACCTTATCTATTAAGTCCTGGTCGATTCTGCTGATTATATGTTGGGGTGTGTCTTGTTTTGTCATCAGTATTAACCTTTGGTTTTTCTTGAATCTATGAGTTGACAGGTCTATTCATATAGCTGGGACCCACTTTACTTTAAAGATAAATGAAAGTTGTCAGTGGGCTAAGAAATTCTGGATCTTTAAAGCCTATATCAAAAGAGGCATGAAAAAAATAATACTAGTGTTTCTTTGGAGTCTATAGTTTTAGCTCTTATTCTAAATCATATGTAAGAATTGAAATCAGGATTTCCAAGAGATATCTGTATGCCCGTATTCATTGCAACATTACTCACAATGGCCAAGATAGGAAAACCACCCAAGTGTCCAAGGACTGATGAATGGGTAAATAAAATGTGGTACATATATAAACGGAATATGTCAGCCCTAAAAAAATTTGCCATTTGTGGCAACAAAGAGAGACCTGGAGGATATTATGATAAATTACATAAACCAATCATAGAAGGACAATATTGTATAATTCCACTTATATGAGGTATCTAAAATAGTCAAACTTATAGAAGCAGAGAGTATTGGAGTGGTTGTTAGAGGTTAGGGAATGGGGGAAGTGGAGAGTTTCTATTCAATGGGTATAAAGTGTCAGTTATGCTGGATGAAAAAATTTTAGAGTTCAGTACAGCATCGTGCCTATAGTTAACAATAGGGTATTGTGCACTTTCTTAACAGGGTAGATCTCATGCTAAATGTTCTTAACACAATAAACAAAGAAAAAAAACAAAGTGAATGTAAGAAAATTTTAAGAGGTGTTGGATATGTCTATTATCTTGATTGTGGTGATGGCACCCCGGGTGTTTGCATATGTCCTAACTCATCAAGTTGAACACATTAAACATAAGCAGTTTTTCGTATATCCACTCTACTTCAACAAAGCTGTTAAGGAATGAATGAATAAATAAGTGAATAAAAGGCATATTGAGGGCAGATACAATTCCTAGTGCAATGCCTTGTGTTTGATAAGCACTCAGTTACTACCATTCCAATTTTGATTCAGTTCACACATAATTTACCATTCTCTTATACTATTCTGTTCAATAATTTAAGAAACACTAGTACATATACCTTTAAAATAACATTTTAAATTTATTGCAGTTCCAGGAAATATAACCATAAATTTATAATCATTAGTCTTAAATACTTCTCAATATCTTTTTAAAATAGGAATTGCCATTAAAACACATAATAATGATTCCTGTGAAAACACTTACACGTTTGTAAACTGTTTTTCAGCACTTACTAATCTCATTTGTTTCTCATAGCAACTCTGCGAGTTTGGCTGTTGTCACCAAAAGTTTCTATATTTTTCTGAGGTAACAGATATTCAGAAGATTTACATAATGTGTCCAAAATCATACATACCTAATTAAGACAGGCTTTATGATTCAAAACCCATTATACCTTTCACTAAAATATGCTTATCATATTTCTCTCATAAACTTCAATAGTCTTAGAACAAACTATTCCTTATACTATTTGATCTGGCATACTCCAGTCAAAGTCTGCATGGTCCATTTTTCTTGAAAATTTCTGGAACCCATGCATTTATAGATAGATTTTTGTTGATTACATCTTGCATATTTATTACTAACAATAGGGGATTTTATTTTTCATGGCCCCATTATCTATGACAATTAAGAGTCAAATGCTTATAAAAATATTTATAAAGTATAATATATTTTTTAGGTTCTTTCTTCTTGTAAGACAAACCTGATAGTTTTTTTCACTAAAGTTGCAAATGTGAAAAAAAATACTGTTTTCTATTCTGTCTTTCTTTTCCAGCATTTGTCTTTACAGGCTTTTCTGGAGTTTTGTTTCTATAGAAGCACTTTGGATCATAATTTATGAGGTAGGTTGAATCAGATAACTATGTATGCCATTTATACTTTATCATACTCACATAGCTTTATGGGTGTGTACCTTAGAGGCAGAGAGGCAAATTTTTATTAACACATGTTTATACATAATTGACCAATTGGGAAGTGGTAAGAAGTAATGGCTGTGATTTACATAGACTAAGATATGTCTTAGAGCACCTCACCCTGTTTGGAGCCCCCACTGTGACAGATGAGCCCATGCCTTTGGGGGATGACAGCATGCTATTTATGGCATTTCCTTCTGAGACAATTAAGTAACATATGCCAGGACCATAGGGATTATCTTTGAGCTACACAGTATGTAACTCTATCTGAAGAGAAATATAATATTTTACAAATTTGACAAACCATAAGAAAGCTTACATTGATTCACCCATTTTAACAAATACAATAACTTCTTTGTGCCTTAGTAAGATTTATCTCCTGATAAGAGTATGTTATAAAACATTAACATATTATATATATATATTATTCAGAAAATATGGCATATTTATTTTGTGGGGGTGTGATCTTCATAATGAACTCTTACATAGGCCTCTTATTTTAACAACTGCTTTATCTTCCTCTATTTAAACCAAGTCAAATGGAAAAGTTGGTTTATTATAGAAATAAAAACTAATTTCTTATGCTGCTATTGCACTATTACCCTGCATGCTACAGTTTGGAAAAGACGATGGGTTGACTGGGACTAATGAGGGCCAAGGAAAGGAGGAATTAGATGTCAGGACCAATACACTGTAAACTTGTCCTCAGTAACATAGTGACTCAATGCAGTGCTGTGTTTATTGGGAGCATTTAGGTGGTCTAAACTATGGCCTCCAGGAAATTTAGGTTTATTGTTTCTATTTTATTATAGAAGTCATTGAGGTCTAGCAAGATTTATTTAAAAATTCAAGTTCCAATGGGAAGTTGATTACAAATTAGAAATTACACATTAGGAAACGCTGGGATTAAAAGATCCACTACAGGTTAACGAAGCAGCTGGTCTTTGGCATGATTGCTTCATGAGGTTTACAGATCTCCATAGTTTAGCTCATTTTCTTGGCACAATATAGTAGCTGAAGAAGTATTTGTTAAATGCATGAATAAAGAGGAAAAGTTGTTCTCCTGGATCTCTTCTCAGATTTCTTATCTCACTCAAGTTGATTTATGATCTGATTCTTCTTGTGTTTCTGAGGTTCATGCTGCACACCCATGGCCTTCCACAAGTAATTATACTTGTAATTCTTGGTATTCTATGGCGAGGTGTGTATGAGGTCATCATTTGTAAATGATTTCAATTATGGCCTAGTTTTTAAAGACCTCAATAAAGACCAGTTTCTGGAAATTGTTAAAAAACAAAAAAAAGAAAGAAAAGCAAAAACAAAGAGGAGGGAAAGAAGGAAGGAAGGGAGGAAGGAAGGAAGGGAGGGAGGAAGGAAGGTAGGAAGGAAGGAAAGAGGGAAACAAGGACAAGTAGATGTGAAAAAGCAACTGTAAAAGAAGTTAACTGACTTTTCTGGCTGCCCAAGAAGTTCTTGTTTGATCTTTCAAATGGTATCAATTTGGTAGAGTTACTTTATAACAACTTTAAGCCTTAAGGATGTGTATACTACATCATTCCTATGATACTACACTGAAATGATATTCCTATTTTGCCAATTGAACAGGTGAAGGACCATGAGACTGAGTGGTGAAATAGTGACAGCATTAGATTTGAATATCAGACCCATAGATCTTACAGTGGGCTTTGTTGGGTTTATGATAACTTGATATGTAATAATATCTTTATTTATATAGTGCTTTGCCATTGAGAAATTATTTTATAAATATTCATTTAATCTCTGTCTCTCTTCAGTAGCAATTTTTTTGCTAGAATCTATGCAAACTTTACAATTCATCAAAGAATAAAGAAGAAATTCCTTCACATTGTGTTATTCAAAAATCCACCTTACATGCATTGTTTATTCCTCCCTGCCTTCTCCTATCCTTTATTCTGTATTTCTCTCTCCTTCCTTCTACTCATATTTATTGAGTTTCTTCTCTGAGCCAGAGCCTGCAGTAAACACTACTCTCCTTCATGCAGGCAATTCTGGACAGTTCCTCCTGGTCCCCTGAAACCCACACCCTTAGAATCACAGCACTCCTTTGGTTCCACAATCCCAAACATTTTCATACAGAAGAATAAGACAAAGTAGCATAGAAAACATTTATTGGCTAAGCTTCATCCTCATTGATTTTCATTGCTATATCTCCTCCCATCTCCAAGAGATGGGAATCAGACAAAAAACAAAGCGAGGCTAGCTATATTTTTTACTCTAAGAATAGTCTAATATTAACGTACAACATCTATAGTGAGAGAAAAAGAGAAAGGGGTGGTTATACTAAAAGTCATAATTTGTTGAAAATGAATATATCAGGCAGTGCAGTTAGAGAGCATTGTAGTACCTGGCACACTGGTGCAAATACAGGGTCTTTTACAATTAGGATGTCATGAATGTTGTCCCTCATATATTAACCACTTAAATAAGTGGACTTCCATCAATTATTTCTAATTATATGCACTTTCATTCAATTAACAAAAGCTGACAATGATGTCGTCTTGCAACATAGGGTTTCATTTTCCCAGCATTTTTCACCCTTCATTTTCACTCTCTTTCAATAGAAGCCTTTCTTATTTTTAATAATTACTCCTGTGTTAACAAGAGTAAACTTCCTAAGAAATAATGACTCACTGGAAAGGCTAGATATAATGCCTAGGAATCCTTGGATGGTAAGTAATATACAGTAAATGTATTTATTTGAAGGATATTTGGGGTTCTCAAGGTTGTAGGAAGACTGGAGAAACAGTAGTGGACAATGGTTAGGAAAAACATAACTCTGAAGGCTGTGAAGTGGGAGGCTCAGCTATCAACACTCCACTGGAATGGACAGATAAGAACAGAGCCTTCCATTAATTATTCAGCTCTTTTCTGTTGAGTCCCTTGAGATACAAGACCTAGCTAGGGTCATTCAGCTGATCCTAGAACAGGGTTTAGTGCACTGGCTACCAAGAGGGGATAGCAAGAAGATTTCCCCTTTCAGTTTCTAAAGTGGGAGGGAGAGCATGGCCTCGAAGCTACTGTGGCAAGGGTGCTGGAGGCAGGCAGTGACAAACCCTAAAAGAGAAAGAGAGGTAGATACTAACAAAAAGGACTATTTATTAGAAACTATAAAAAATAAAAGGAATGTGAAGTGAAAGTAAACTTAATGTAATTTTCAGAGTGCAATTCTGACCTAGGGAGAGAGAGCATGGAAGGTAGCAGAAATAAGAGATCATTAAAACAGTGTAGAGTCCCAATTCAGTGTCAGCCAAAGACAACCTGTCATTCACAGTAGTAATTTTATTAACAATTAATCTGATATTTGGGATGACATGATTTTAAAATTGCCACCAGATTGTTTCAAAGAAGGACTCGGGGGCCGGGCGTGGTGGCTCATGCCTGTAATCCCAGCACTTTGGGAGGCTGAGGTGGGCGGATCACGAGGTCGGGAGATCAAGACCATCTTGGCCAACATGGTGAAACTCCATCTCTACTAAAAATACAAAAAATTAGCTGGGCGTGGTGGCGCGCGCCTGTAGTCCCAGCTATTTGAGAGGCTGAGGCAGGAAAACTGCTTGAACCTGGGAGGCGGAGCTTGCAGTGAGCTGAGATGGTGCCACCATACTCCAGCCTCATGACAGAGAGCGATACTCTGTCAAAAACAAAAAAAACAAAAAAAACTCGGATCCAGTTTTGTGATATCTCTTTCAATGCTTATTCACATTTCCCCAAGATAGCAGGCTCATCATGGATCACAGAACTTCCAGGCCCTCTCCTCACTTATTCAGTGCTGCTAATGCATCTGCAGTCTCACTCGTTGAGTCCTCAGGAACTCCTTCAAAGCAGCAGCCAAAGATCGGCTGATCACAATTAATAAAGTGTTGGGGGAATGCACCTAATAGGTTTACACACAAACTCAGATTTTAATTATTTTAATTAATTGACCATTTAACAACTGGATATTAAACTAATAGTTTTTAAACAAAACTTTTTTCAATGTCTATGTTTAATTGTAATTCAATTTATTTCACAGGAATGTTCAAAAAGCTTTGCCTCTTTATGAGCCTTTCTTTACTCCTCTAAACTGACATAATACAATATCTTTAGTTTCTAGAAACTTATTTTGTTTCTAGCCTATGCAAGCTTGAGTCAGAAAGTATGCCTTGTTTATGTTGGCATATTTGATTTCTCTCTCTGTCTCTCTCTGCATATACATATATGCCATGTAAGCACATTGACATATTAAAGAACTCCATCCAAATCCCCAATCATGTTCAAGCAACAACTTCCCACTAAAACAACAAAAATATTGGACACTCATGAAAAATTCTCAAAGATCCAACAGTCTAAAATAAAATGACTATTTGTAGTATTGAAAAAATTATTTATTTTTTGCTTTTTAGGCAAAACATTAAAAGTATACAATGTGTAGAGAACAGTTTCTATCCTACTCTGAGGACATATACAGTGCTACAACCACATTATAGGGAAATTTATCAAAGCTAAATGCAATTATAAATGTGCCTGTCCCTTGACTCAGGAATTCTGTTTCTGGGAATTTATTCTACAGAAATTCTGTTACCAGTGCATAAAATAAGAACATAAGCAGATTCACTAGGTCATTGTTGGTAATATCAGAAACTGGGGAGCCACTGCTCTACGTCTTCCCCTAAGTGGCCTGAGGTGATATTTGAAAATGGTTCACTATTCGATTGACACAGAAAACCCCACAAAGTCATGCAAATCAAGAGATTCAAATCGTATTCATTTAAGAACACTCGTGAAACTGCCCAGGCCATCAAGGATATGCATGTATGAAAAGCCACTAAGTGACCTGAAAGATGTCACTTTACAGAAACAGCATGTACCATTCCAACATTACAATGGTGGAGTTGGTAGGTGTGCCCAGGCCAAACAGTGGAGCTGGACATAGGATCGGTGGCTTGAATTTTTGCTGCACATGCTTAAATATGCACAGAGTCATGCTGAACTTAAGGCTTTACAAGCAGATGGTCATCGAGCATATTCCGGTGAATGAAGCACCCAAGATATGCCTTTAGCTAATGGTCAGATTAACTCATACATAAAGAAGCCCTCCTTGCTGCATTGAAATCATCCTTACTGAATAGAAACAAATTGTTCTTAAACCAGAAGAGGAAGTTGCACAGAAGAAAAAGATATCTCCGAAGAAAATGAAGGAACAAAAACTTATGGCATGGGAATACATTCAGCATAAAATAAATGCAATTAAAAGTGAAAAAAAAAATCACTGGAAACAACCCAAATGTCCAGCAATAAAGTAGTAGCTTAATGAGTGTGGTATATTCCTATAATAAAATGCAGCTTTTAAAAGAAATGAAACAGACCTCAATGTACTGATTTGGAAAGATAGCCAAGATATATTATAAAGTAAAAACACCACACTAACAGTATATGTAACTATATTATATCATCTATATGGTTGTATATGTAAAGAAAATATTTCATAGAAATATACAGAAAGCTAAAATAAAAATGTTCCCTGAGGAAAGTATTCAGTATATTTCTTCATTTACATTGCTGCATTTTTTAACCTTTTCAACATATATATATATATATATATATATATATATATATATATATATATTAACCTTACAATCAGAGGAGTTTAAAAACAAAACAGGTATTATAGTGTAAAATGAACAAATCAGATTACAAGACAATGAATGCAACATGTTTCTAATTTTGTTAAAAAATAAGATTAATTAAAAACCATTAGTAAGGTATAATCAAAATTTAACAATGTTTGTAGGAGAGGGGAACTTATGTTTCCTATGCTTCTCTTTATTTCTAAAAATCTACATAATAGAATTGCGCTGTTTTTATGATAAAAATACATAACAGCACCCATTTATAAATGATTTAGGTATTATTATGCATGTTATAGATTTTTTTTTTTTTTTGACAGGATCTCACTCTGTCACCCTGGAGTGCAGCAGTGTGATTATGGCTCATTGCAGCCTTCACCTCCCGGGCTCAGGTGATCTTCCCACCTCAACCTCCCAAGTAGCTGAGATTGAAGGTGCATGTCACCATGCCCAGCTAATTTTTTTTTTCTTTTTGTCTTTTTGTAGAGACGGGGACTTGCCATGTTGCCCAGGCTGCTCTCGAGCTCCTGGACTTAAGTGAGCCATCCACACTGGCCTCCCAAAGTGATGGGATTACAGGTGTGAGTCACCACACCCAGCCAGGGAATGATTTGTTTTAAATTCATTGTAATAATCCCATGGAGGTTTTAGAGACCATTTCAATAATTTGTGATAACTTTAAATTTTTTTTTCTCAAACACCTATTTTAGTTTACTCACAATATACACCAAGCCATTTACACGAAGGAAATCTCAATATTAATATCCTATAATGAAGGTCAACAACATGCAAGAATTTAGATTCTCGGTATGCTCAAGAAACTTGAAAATTAACTCAGCAATTGGACAAAAAAAAAAAAAGATTCTCATTTATTCTGGCGAAATAGAATGAGAAGGCAAATATATTAAGAAAGACAATGGTGAAGTCAATAGGATGCCAGAAAATGAATGTGTTCCTGTGAGTATCGTTCATACACATGCAACATAACAGTGTGCCAGCATTGTTCTAAGCACATTGCAAATATTGAGTTACCTCATCCTTATAACAATCTTAGGAGTACATATCATTAAAATTTTTATATTTTCTGAATGAGAAAACTTTGTTTAGAGAAATTAAGTAGCTTTCTCAATGTCAGGATTCAAAATAATAAAACACGTTTTTGATTGAATCAACAAAAGGCCATAGGAACCACTTTAAACAAAGAAGTATTTATTAAGGAGTTTGGTAACTTGTAGATACCACAGTGTTCTGCATGTACTATGTTGTTCCACAGGACAATATCTACACTTGGTGTCACTTAAGTTACCTACTTGCCCCTCTCCAAGTCCCATGCTGTAAGTTTATCTGTCAGATGAGAAGTTTTCTATTAAATAATTTGTAAGAATTCTGAAAAGATTTACCACTCTGAGCTATAATCTCAATATATTTCCCTTATTTAACTCAAGTTTCTTTAATGTATGGATTGTAAAATTGAGTGATTATTTCAAGTCTTGTGTATAATGATATGCCTCCAGGCCAACTTCACTGAGGAGATAGTGAATAAATTTGATATGTCTCCTCTCATCTTCTTTACTAAATGTTGACATTTCAGTCTTTTCCTCTGTTGTTTATTTGGTGTCACAGTTTCTCCGACATGAGTTTTTAGTTAGAAGCCAGCTTGAATATGCCATTAAAATGTTCATTAAAAAGGTTCTTCTCTCATGTATGTACATTTTTGAAATTTTATCTAGAACATTTGAAGACAGAAAATTTAAAGAAATTATTTTCTAACAATAAAAGTTAGTAACCATAAGATGTCTTGGTGTACAGTGGTTTTTGCCATATTCCATAAAACCCACCACACAAAGAAATCTTGTTAATATTTTCAGAAGAATCTCATTAAAATTATTGGTTTTAAATTTCTGGCAGGGTTATAACATGAATATTTGTCACATACAATGTCTTGCAATCCAGAGGAAAAACTACTTCTAATTTTTATTCAGATTCTGGTGCATTAAAATAAAGTAGCAATCCTCAGACTATATCTAATTAGTCTTTGTCTCCTGCACCTTTTCTTACTGTTTCTTCCCTTATCCCCAATCTGGGCAAAACACACACATTTCATTAGTGAATTGAGCAAAACAACTTGATTTGAAATCCACTTCCTGTTCATGTTGGCCATGTTGCCTTGGGCAAAGTTCTTTAACCTATCTGTACCTCAGTTCCCAATTCTACAAAAAGGGAGCAATAATAGTATCCATGTCTAAGGGCTTCTGTGAGGATTAACTTAATATACATAAAGTAATTACTTAGAGGAGTACCTGGCACATAAAATAGTTACATAGTAGTTTGTCATTTTCATTTTACAAAGATTAAAGTAGGCATACTATAGTTTAATGCAGTTCTATAGAACTTATTTTTAATTATTATTTTATTATAAAACCAATACATACTTATTACTGAAAACATGAAAAAATACAAACACAAAAATTAGAAAATTTTCCTTATTTTTTTCCCATACACGGGTAGGGTCAATACTTTAATCTTATTGTTTACATGCACATACAAACAGGCATATGCCATTTTTTTCTGGAATAAATAAGTACAGCTTGAAAAAGACTTGGTTAAAATATGAAATGTGAATGACCATCTACTCCCACTCAACCTGATACGGTTTAGCTGTGTCCCCCCCACTCAAATCTCATCTTGAATTTCCACATATTATGGAAGCGACCCTGTGGGAGGTAACTGAATCATGGGGGCAAGTCTTTCCCCTGCTGTTCTCATGATAGTAAATAAGTCTCATGGGATCTGGTGGTTTTATAAAGAGGAGTTCCCCTGCACAAGTTCTTTCTATTTGTCTGCCACCATCCATATAAGACGTAGTTTACTTCTCCTTGTCTTCCACCGTGATTGTGAGGCTTCCCCACCCATGTGGAACTGTAAGTCCATTATAAGCCTCTTCCTTTTGTAAATTGCCCAGTCTTGGGTATGTCTTTATCAGTAGCGTGAAAACAAACTAAAACAGTAAATTGGTACCAGGAGAGTGGGGCGCTGCTGAAAAGATACCTGAAAATGTGGAAGAAACTTTAGAACTGGGTAACAGGCAGAGGTTGGAACAGTTTGGAAGGCTCAGCAAAAGACAGGAAAATGTAGGAAAGTTTGGAATTTCCTAGAGACTTGTTAAATGGCTTTGAAAAAAATGCTGATAGCAATATGAACAATAAAGTCCAGGCTGAAGTGGTCTCAAATGGAGATGAGGAACTTGTTGGGAACTGGAGAAAATGTGACCCTTGTTAGATTTTAGCAAAGAGATTGGTGGCATTTTGCTCTGGCCCTAGAGATTTGTGGAACTTTGAACTTGAGAGAGATGATTTAGGGTATCTGGTGGAAGAAATTTTTAAGCAGCAAAGTGTTCAAGAAGTGACTTGGGTACTATTAAAGGCATTCAGTTTTATAAAGGAAGCAGAGCATAAAAGTTCAGAATCTGAAGCCTGACAATGTGATAGAATAGAAAATGCCACTTTCTGAGGAGAAATTCAAGGTGGCTGCAGAAATTTGCATAAGTAATGAGAAGCTGAATGTTAACCCCCAAGACAATGGGGAAAATGTCTCCAAGGCATGTCAGAGGTCTTCACGGCAGCCTCTTCCATCACAGGCCTGGAGGGCTAGGAAGAAATAAAATGGTTTCGTGGGCCAGGCCCAGGGCCCCCGTGCTGCATGCAGCCTAGGGACTTGGTGCCCTGCGTCTCAGCCACTCCAGCCATGACAAAAAGGAGTCAAGGTATAGTTCAGGCTGTGGCTTCAGACGGTGCAAGTGCCAAGCCTTGGCAGCTTCCATGTGGTGTTGAGTCTATGAGTGCACAGAAGTCAAGAATTGAGGTTTGGGAACATTCACCTAGATTTCAGAGGATGTATAGAAACACCTGGATGTCTAGATAGAAGTTTGCTGCAGGGGTGGGGTCCTCATGGAGAACCTCTGCTAGGGCAGTGCAGAACAGAAAGGTGGGGTCAGAGCCCTCACACAGAGTCCCTACTGGGGCACTGCCTAGTGGAGCTGTGAGTCCAGTATAAACCTCTTTCTTTTGTAAATTGCCCAGTCTTGGGTATGTCTATCAGCAGCATGAAAACAGACTAACACACCACCCGTGTCCCCTTCCTCTCAAATGTCTTATCAGTAGAAAACATGTTTTTTTGTTTTGTTTTTGTTTTTGTAAATATCATTAACAGTCTAGGGAAACAAGCAGTGTGCCAAAGACTCTCCTAGATATTATGATGAGCTATTAAAGACAGAAAATTAAAAGGGATCTTGTAGAAAGAACAGAGAGAAATTACAGATCTTGAAAAACTTTGGGGAAGGATAGAATATATCCAGAGAAACTAAACATGTGAAATCAACACATCCATAGAAAAAGGTGGGCCTGGGAATAGATGAGTCACTTTCAGTTATGTATTCAAAAGAGCAGCACTGCTTCTCCAAACCCCATCTCATTACCCACAAAAGAACTCGCCCACAAAGGCACTGATCCTGAGACCTGTGTGGAAAGTGTAAAGTGCTTCCCAGGTGGTCACTTGCATGAGTGAGAGAGAAGCTTGGATAGTTACATATTTCATAACAGGTCTAAAGAAAAACAAAGAAAGCTCTATGGAGGGGATAAATACTTGATTTCCAATAGCCAAATCAAGCCATCCTCACTTTAGAATCTAGGGAAGGACAGAAATTGGTGGCTATCTTCACATTTAAACAGCATAACACAAAATCTACAACTCCCCACTGCTCTCTTTATAAGGCGCCTGTTGGCCTTGCTTTTGGAACAGTCTATTTTTGGAAACACTTCGATGAACTCCTGAAGAAATCAACACCACTACTCATTATAATTGACTTCATCATTCATAACTATAAATATGTTGGAAACAAATCTCTTGAAAGAAAGGATCAAAATGAGAACATAGAATAGTAGATATGTGCAAAAGAAAGTAGGCAATAATTAAAAGCAAAATAATAGCTGGCATCTTTAGAATGTTTGAGGGGACATTTCTTTTCAAATAAGAACAGGCTGCTATGAAGACAGAACATTCAGAAAGCAAGGGAGTTACTAGGAAATAAAAACTTCAAGAAAATCTCAATAGAAGAATGCACTTACTAGACAACCTAAAGCTTTGTATTGAAAATGTTCCTTAAGTGCTGGTCGGACTGAATTTAAAAGCATATGCTAAGAGATGGAAAAATAGAAGTAAGGGTCAGACTTCTTATTAGGTAGCTGCTGGATAAGAACCAGCATTTTAAATCTTAAAAAAAGGTGGCTGGGCGCAGTGGCTCACGCCTGTAATCCCAGCACTCTGGGAGGCTGAGGCGGGCAGCTCACAAAGTCAGGAGATCGAGATCATCCTGGCTAACACGGTGAAAATATAAAAAATTAGCTGGGTGTGGTGGTGGGTGCCTGTAGTCCCAGCTACTGAGGAGGCTGAGGCAGGAGAATGGCATGAACCCAGGAGGTGGAGGTTGCAGTGACCCGAGATCGTGCCACTGCACTCCAGCCTGGGCGAGAGATCAAGACTCCATCTCAAAAAAAAAAAAAAAAAAAAAAGTTTCTCCAAACCCTAACATAATGACTTCTGCTTATATTTATTGGCCAGAAGGACATCACACCCCTTTCTGCAAGGAAGCTGTGGGGAAGATTTTGTTTCTCTATTCTGAGACATCGAATAACCACTAGGTAACCTGTAGCCTTTCCATACATAGTATACAATAAAATTAGAGGAAAATAAAGGTCTGGACAGTTCTCACTAACAACATCAGTTGCACCTGGGAAAGCACTGGGTTGTTAGGGTTCGAGAGCTGAAAGGGGATAGGAAAGGTCAAGACATCCAGAAAAAGTACTTTGACATTTTATGCTGTATTTTTGTTGAAAAACTTTGCAACAAGAAGAGATTTTTGCATTGCTTACATAAAGTAAATAAAAACTTATTTGTATTGTGTAAAATGTGAAGGCTATAGAAAAATCAAAAGTAGTAACTAAAATCATGCAAAATTCCATTGCATTTTCACAGGTGATTTTGTGTATAATTTTCACATTTTATGTAAATACCACACAAACAGATAATATACATGTTGAATTTTATTCATAGTAAACACAGGAATGACACGGGTTTTTGAAAGAATATTATAGACACAGGTTCTTCCCAGCAGATAGTGTTCACCACTTGGTAGTCTTTCCAATTAAAAACCCATAAACCCAATTTTCGATGAGTTTTAAGGATGTAGAAATACATTATTTAAGTCCCTTGAAATAAAAATCATCCTTTTGTTACTATAAGTGGTTTTGCTTTGGGGAGATACTTGTTTGATAACTCCATCTATAATGCCTCAATTGTGTAAACAGATAAATAATTTTTGTTCGTAATTTAATAATTTGTGACTACAATAAATATTTAAAAAATCAAAATCTCATGCTATCAAAATTTCTTACCCAGTAAAAAGAAGTGTGTTAATGTTTAATATAATATCAGCTGCAAAGAATATATAAAAGAGATTTTTTTAACTTAGATTGTCATAAACAATTGTGGTAACCTTAACGTAAACTATTAATCCCAACACTAGAGCATTTTTCTCTACTTTGGATTGTACCCATTGGACCCAGTATAAAGGGTGTGACTAATGCATAGTGAAGTATAAAGTCTCTGTCACCTGTTTCTTTCTACTTCCTTCCCTCCTACTCTTGTTCTTTTAAGACAATGGTTAAATATTTATTTCTAAATATTTCTCTATCTCTTTAACTTTATAGTCTTCTAACTTCATTTGAATAAGAGACATAAAAGTAAGACATGAGAATTGGAAAGATGCACTAAAACTGTATTATGTTTCCCTCTAACTTCCCACCCGTCCTCATCATCCAACCAAATCCCTAACACAAAAGAAAACGAGTGCAGGGACTTAGCCCAGGAATTGTCTCTCTACTGTTAGCCTGAGAGGGGAGGATGAATTTAAATCCAAGGGAATTTGTAAAGACCACGTATCTGGGTAATTTTGGCTCTGGCCATGTATAGAAGAATGAACCTCTAGGATACGGTTAATAAGGAATAATTGTGAGTAAGAACTGTCTGATCAGTACTTGGCAAAGTAGCACAGACTAGGCAGTTGCTACACTATGGATTGATGTGTTAATTAATGTTAAGTTAGTGATATATTGTAACTTTTTTATTTTTCAGGTAGGAGGTATGTGTCCATATGTGTCTGGGTCTGTGAACTGTTTATTCAGGGGAGACGTAGGAAATTAAGCCATTTCTTTCTCTGTAGTCACATTAAAAAAAAAAAAAAGGCCCTGGCAATGCAATACACTAGGAAAATATTTACCTTATATTTGTTTATCACAGAAAACTTTAAATTTGCATAGAATTTCCCTAAATTTAACCACAAATATTTTATTTCATAGAACTGGAATTAATTGGTACAAATGGAAACAGTAAAGAAAATGACCCTTTACTTTTATTTCTATCAATATTGTTTCCATTCTAGATTTTAATAATTGGATTATTGTTGTTCTGTGGGATGCAATGTTCCTGCAAGAATGTTTTCAAGTGTTTTTATTTAAAAAATTAGAACTGGTTTAAGAACTAAATGATGCATAAAATTCTTGATAAGAAATGGAAAACATTTCTAAAATTTATTGATAAATTATGTTTTTACCAGTGTTCAACATTTTGAAGAAGAATCTGAGGAATAAAATTATTACCTCTATTATTCATTGATTATTGTCTCATTCATGTTTTAAAAATACACTTAATAATCTCATGATTAAGAAAAATATTGCCAAAAATGAATTCACTTTTTATCTTTCAAGCTTGGACAGTGTCTTCAAAATCTACTGTAAATATTCATTTAATGCTTTTTATCTTATAGGCGAGAAAATTACATACTTTGCCAATACTATGTTTTTAACATGAGTGCAGTTATATCAATATTATTATAATTAATGATTACATCATGCTTTAGGAGGAAAGTACAGAGAAGGTTGGTATTAACATGCACGGTACACCATTGTGATATCAATACTCATTTTACTGTTCAGATTTTTTTAAAGCTAATAGCTGTCAAAAATACCCATTATAGGCTAGTCTATAATTTGTAGAAGTCAAGTAATACATTTTTTCTGAAGGTATAATGGATGCTCCATGGAGCAATTATTTTAGAAAGACAACTTCATCTCAGCTGTCTCGTGCCAGCAGAACTATTTAAGAGCCTGAGATGCATAATTCAACATGGAAGGGCTGTCAGAGTTGAGAATACCTTTAAATTATAAAAACTTAGCACCACGAGTCAGTTATAATTATAATGGAAATGTAGTTTTCTGTCATTTTATCATGACAAACATCTCTCAAGAAGCAATTTTGCGTGTTAAAATATTTTGGCAAAGTGACTTTTGATTCCAAAGGGATACAGATTATCTGGTTTTATACCTGATTTTTTTTTTTTCACAAATTGAGTTTAACAGCTTGCACTGCTTAAGATGGCAAACATCGGAATATTATTAAAAATCCCATTGGAAAATCTTGCAGAGAGACCACAGGCTACAGTAACTCACAAAGGCAGGTCAGGTTATGCATAAAAATATATTATTTTAATAGCAAAATATGACAGGCAGTTCTTCATCTGACATTCAATTATTTTACATGGCAAATTTCTGAATATAAAAATGGTTGCCATTGTAGACACAGTCTCTTTTCCAAGCAAATATTTCCATGATTAAAAATTAAAGTAAAGGGTAATAGTTCAAGATCTTCCTGGATTCTTAGGTTCTTTGCCTTTGATGGCTTCCCAAAACGTTCTGCTCTCCAGATGGTAGCTCTTGTCTTCCTCCTCTTCTACAAAGCTTTTATTATTATGAAAGATCAAAAGTAAAAGAAAATTGTTTTAATAAAATGAGCTGAAGAATAAAAGCACAGTAGCATATATCATAAATTTCAAGTACTCTTGTAAATTCCAATAGACGGAATATTTAAGTGAGTTCAGATTCCACAGTTCTTTCCTACCAATTTTGAATTACAGGACTTAACAGAACACTCAGTTTTGCATACTGTCATCAAAAATAATTCCCTAAGACAATGAGTATATTTGTTAACTTTATGTAAGTTTTCTTTTCATGTCAGCCATGGTAGTAAACTAATATTCTTTTTTCCAAATAATTGGAATGAACTTTAGGTTCTTAATTTATTTCTAAAAATGAGTAGACTGATTCAAATATTTTTGTTTCCCCAGTCCACTTATTGACTTCCTATTATGTGCATCATTTGCTCCTTTTTGTAAATAATAAAAATAATTTTCAATTATTCAAAATATTTAATTGTCCATTTTTAATAAAATCAAGCCAAGCCAAAACTATATTCAATTAAAGCAGACTAAGAAGAATGTGCTGCAAATCAAACTTGATTATACTTTCAGTTCAACAAATGCTTGTTGGGTGCAAAATATGTCTGAGGTATTTTCTAGACACTGGGGATATATCAATAAAAAGGGAAGAAAAAATATTTTCATCACGTGGTTTATATTACTGCTCTCAAAAAAGAGAGAAAATCCAGCAAGCTAAACACAAACTTTAGAGGTAATATATTTAATTGATGTTATTTTATTATAAGCCTTCAATAGTTTCTTAAAATGAAGAGATAATTCCATAAGACCAAGGGCAGTCATATTAATATTCTTATTTTAAGAAGTATAGGAAAATAATTATCCTCACACATATAAAATCCCTAAAAATAAGGACAAACTCATATCTGAAAAAAAGAGAGCAAGAAAGGAAGAGAGAAAGCATACTTATTTATGCTAGTTGGTTTAACTTTTGTTATATCATTTTATCTACATAGTAACATTGAGAAATGCTGTCCTCATTCTAAGGAAAAAACTGAGAATCAAAGAATTAACTTTTCCAACAAATTGTAAGATTTTTAAGAGTAATTAAACTTATATATTTCTAATTCTTCAACTTCTACCAAATTAGTTTTAAAATTTTTCACAGATTAAACAACCTGAAATGATATTTAGAGATGCATTAATTCATTTCTCTGCCTCTGGAGACAATCTATTGTTACTAACTTAAAAAAATGAGTTTTCCAAGAAAATGTTTTATCAACTATTTTATATTATTTTTCGTTACACATGGAACACAATCTTTTCTATTCTGTATTAATTTTTTGCTTAAGCACATATACACTACACACACATGCACATTGCTTAAAAAACATGCTAACAAGGATTTAAGCTAATATTGGAATGCCAAATTTTTCCCCTGGTCCTTATTTTGCCTATTGTAATTCAAGATGATATAATACTTGCAATCAGTCGCTGACTTTTTTCATATACAGATATTAAAAAAGGTATAAATACTGCATTCTTCTTGTTCATAATAGTACAATCTTATAGACATTGTAACGCACCGATTTTTAAATGATTACCAGAATTAAGTGTATTTTGCTGAAAAATTGAATCTAGTTACGGTATTATTCTATAGTATCACAGATGTAATCATTATCTAGAAAATAAGAAATAATGCATTACAGTAATGCACTACACATATGATTACTTTTAGTATAATGCAGTATAATGCTTAAATTAATTCCAAGCAACTTCCTAATTTTATTTCAGTACAACTAGATTGCAAGACACAGGGAAGAAGAATATAAAACATAGGCAATATTTTATTTGATTCATTTTGACTGAATCATGAACTGCTGTAACACATGAAGATTCTGAAAACGTTAACTGCTTTAGAAGTGAATTTAATAATTTGTCTTTACTCATCATTGTGAATAAATGAATGGAATTCAGAACTGACATAGAAACACGCAAAGTTCTATTTGTACAGTACTGGGGTGGAAGAACATTTTCAAGAAGGGATACGGAGGAGAGAGAAAAAAAAATGGAAAGAGGGCCAAAGAGAGGGAAATAGATAAAAAAGAAAGAAGGTGTCAAGTTAATTTGCAGGGTGGTATGAGCTTATTTGTGTGTTCAGCAAATTGGAAAACTAAATAGGCAAAGCTCCCAGCTTAACTTTGAGATTTACCTTTTACCTTTTTTGTATTCTTCTTTAATATAACAGTTCAAATGAGGACTTAAAATTAATGCTATAAATACAGACTTTTAATACAGTGTTGCATTGTTTGGAATATCACATTAGGTTTTCCTAATGAGTCAACAAAATTCCTACATTGCCCCCTAATTGTCTAAAATTAAGAAATTTAATAATAATTAATAATAAATATATGCATTTTAATAGAGGAAGAGTTAGTTGTACAACTTTTATGATGCCAAGCTTTGTATTCAGCACAAACTGCAAGGCAGAGTGTTCGTGGCGTGGGATCCTATAGATAGTAATCTCTCTTTTGAAGACACAGAGACATTTTGAAGCTGACTCACATTCTCATCAACTAAGGGAACAGTGTGTCAAGATTTCAATCTGGGCATAGGATCTTGCTGAATATTACTAATATATCTTTCTCTCTTTTTTCCTTTCTCTTCATCCAACTCTACTTCTGCCTTTCCATTTCTCCCTCCCTTGATTTCTATCCCATTTTTTTCTCTGCCTCTCAAATCATTAAAATATAATTTAACTATTAATTCAGTAGAATTAAGTATTCACATTTACTATCCAATGTCTGAAGCCATTAAACTTACAGTAAACAATATTTTATTCTGCTTTACTTGTGCAATTTATTTTAATATTGTTTAGGTGGTTAAATTGACCTTAAACCACATTTAACCCCAGTTTATCAAGTATTGTGATGCCATATCATGTAAGTTTTAAGATGTCAAATGACAAAAGTATCAAAGACATATTGTAGATAAGAGAGTGGTATTAAATCACAGAAAATTCAAAGATGGTTGAAACATTTTGAATAGCAGACTATTTCGGATGACCTCTTAAGTAAAGCACTGCCTTCCTATGACCTGATCATTATGCTCCACCATATCCTTGTTTAATTAATCTAGGCACTTTCAAAGTTTACTTCTTCACAAGAATGCTTTTGAATTTTCTGAAACTCTGGAATAATATGTATTCAAGTAGAAAGTTTAAAAAACACATAAGGTACAAAGGCAAACACCCCCAAATCACTTGATATCTCACTATACTTCCCCAAAATGATGAGCACCATTCTACTAGATTTTTCCATGCATATATTATGTGTGGCTGTGGGCTAACATACTTTTTTACACATCTAAGAGGTTTTCAAATAAGAATTTTGCAATGTGTACAGAGAAATCATGAAAATGAAATAATGCCTGTTCAAAATCAGCATTTGGATGAATGGTAAGAGACAGAAACAACATTTTATTATTGAGTGGCAAACAGTAACAGAAATTATTTCTCAAACCAAGTTCAAAGTATAGTAAACAAATATGATGTAATGGTGGGGGAAAGGAAGTGGAAGCTGAATAGTACAGAGAAGGTTGTAACTGACAGAAACCTTGGACACTTAGTTTACTATTATTATTTTTGTTTGTTTTGATTGGTGTCTGATTAAAAGACGGCATGTTATAGATAAAGTGGACTTGGTGACTATTCATTTATATCCAGCTTTCTTTGTATCCCAGAAATGATGTTTAGGATTTTCTCTCCCTCTTGACTCCACTTTCTTTGCTTCTCTCCATATACATATACTTCTTAAGTCCACATAACTTTTTAATATAAACTGTAACAAAAATTACAAGTATCTAAACTCTCTTGTGACTCAAGGACTGGTAAAATACTTTTGTGGGCTAAGTTGAGGGAGCAGACCCATCTAAAGAGAACCTTATGCCAATCTATTGTTCTGAAATCAGTAGTTTTAACATGAGTTTCATTTATGAGACTATGCTAAAGCCAGATCCCATTATCCCATCATAGCCAGGCTCAGGCTTTCGCTTTCTGCCTCTTTTCATGGAGGCTTTATGATCTAAAAAAATGTCTTGGTCCACTATTCGTGAATTCTATTAGCAGAGGCATTCTTGCACTTACGTCAAGTAATACTGCATATAAATGGAGGATAAAAGGATTACCAGATTATAAATCAAACAAGAGTTTCTGGCAATATAAATCTTGGTTATGTAGGCTCTTGTGTTAATGGAATTGCAGAATTCCATTGGCCAGTAAGAATTTAAATTCTGTGTTAGAGACCTCGCTAATTTCTCACAGGAGTCCCTCACTAAAATATACTGAAAAATAAAGAGGAAGGCTTGCAAGCAAATTTGTATCAGGTCTTGAAATTATTTTCTACGATAGTGCCAAAAATATTCCTGGCATTTGAAAATGTATTGTCAACATCCATGCTGTACAATTCTAAGACTTGTCTTGGAACTTATTTAGTCACTTTAATCACTCAAATAAATGCAGCCAAATTGTGTTAAATGCAAACCAGAAGTATATGTAACATTGAGATAAATGGGATATGTTAGCCAATGGATTAAAGTTCTGTAAGGTAGTATCTGGCTCAATCAAATGACTGAACCTCTATGTTCAGGTTAATCAACCAATTCAGTCAAATGACCGTGGTAAAATTTCTGTGTTTGTGGTTATGTTTTTTTTTGTATACATAAATGCAAAATTAACTGTTTTTGAGAATTAACATGGTTTAAGCAGTTGTGTTTGAATAATTAATAATTGACTTTATCTCTAAATGTGAATCTAATACAGATACACATGGTAGTATTCTCTTGATTTATTAAAAGTGATATTTAATATGTGGTGGTTATATAATGGGATGGATTTTGAGATGGTGAAAACAACCTTCATATATGGTAATTGTAAAACATTCTTGTTTCTTCAAAATAGTCTAGATATATTTTAAGACAATAAATATTCATTTATTAAACCTATATTTGTTGAGCATCAAGAATATGAGGAGTAAGCTAGGTGTGGGATTATGACACATAATAGGATATCATGTCTATGCAAAAAGCGAGGACATATTGTTAAGGAGACCCTTCAAAAGGAAATGAAGCCACTTCCTTTCCATGTGAGAAATGATGGTCAGATATAATGTCTATATTTTTACTTTTTATCCAAATTCCCTGTAGGGTTAAACATGTGACACGCCATTGTCAGTTTGCACAAGGCCAGTCCCTGATATTCTTTAATTTTATTTTCTGTAGGATATTTCCCTTTATTTGTCCTCTAATATTTAATGGTAGACAAAGTGGAGGGGTCCCATCTATGGCTAACCCAGAAGTACAATACAGCCTAGATCTATTAGTGCATAAGAACAGTGTTGCAGATGTCAAAAATTCATCATAGGAGAAAAGTCTTGGAATACAAACTTTGCTAACTCCTTGCCTCACTACACCTCTTTAAAATTTATTTAAAGCATGTTTAAATCTGGGCAGAAAGCATTTATTACTTTGGGTCCCATGATGAGTCTTGGATATAAAATGTGTTTAAAGAATGGACAACTCCTGACATAGGGTTTTCTCCATTGTCTCCAGGCCTCAAAAGACCATTTCTCCAAAAGTGCATCCTGGCACTGTACCACACACTGGCAAATATTAAAAATAATATAACATGACAGTGAATGGAAAAAAGTTTTACAATAGGTTTCATAATTTAAATATTTACAAAGACTTCAGAAGCACAGACCATATTTTAATAGGCTTTAGAGGCTAGTTAACATGAACCTTCAGGAATAACAAGAACATCAGGCATTTTAGATGAGGAAAGACATCGCAAGTTGAGAAAAGGGAATAGTCAATGGCATCAGGTGGGTGTCAAATTATGGCGGACTGTAATACTGGAAGATCCCATCATGTGGGTAGAGCAGAAAGGGACATGATGCAATTTATGATTTACAGGGCTGTCTTTGGAAACAATACGAAATGAAGAACTGAGAAACTGGACTCAGAAAGAGCAACTGGGAAATTATTGCAAAAATTCACACAAAAGATGTAGAACCTGGCAGTTAGAGTGAGAATGAAAAGGAGTTAGATTCAATAATTAGTTCAACAGAGGAACTGAGAGTGATGATTTCACTATTGCTCTGTACCATCATTTGTCTGTTAATGTAGGAAGGCAAATGGCATAGGAGTTGACTGAGGTCAATATACTGATGCTGCTGCTTATTAGATGTGTAACCTTGGACAAGTTACTTAATCTTTCTAAAGTTTTCTTATAAAAAATGTGAAGATAATAGACCTCAATTTCATGGAATTTTGGAACTTAGCAAGCTATAATAACTTTTATATATTTCCTTCCTGCTATAAGTATCTACACCTGGACAATGGTAGCAAGAAAAATTACAGCTGTTTTTAAAGTTAGTATGGATAATTTTACTTTATCACTTTTTCAGAGAAATCATATGTTTGTGTGTATGTGTGTGTGTGTGCACATGTGTGTGTATATATATACATATGTACATATCTATCTATATCACATTTGAAGTCGATTGGATTCTGTAAAAAATTGGAGGAGACACATCATATATAATGGTGCTAACTGGACTCTAAGTTGGGAGTTGTCAAACTTGGCTACATATTGAGCTCATCAAGAATTTGGGAAACAAAATTTCTGGGATAAAAGCTGAGCCAATGGAATTAGAGTATCTGGAAATGGAAGACAGGAGTCATTTTTTAGAGGATCACAGGTAATTCCAGTGCACAGCTTAAATTGATGACCACTGCTCAAAGTGTTTCAGGTCAGCACTTCTCAAAATTGAATGTGCATCAAAATCACCTGGGAAACCTGTTGAAATGCAGGTTCCATAAACCTGATATGGAGTCTGAGATTCTGCATTTCTGCAAGATCTCAGTGGCTGGCTTGTCACTGATGAGTAGACCAAACTTGGAGTAGAATGGATCTTGATGATTGGATCAGAGATGCTTCTGTAGACCAGAAAAGTTTCCAGGAGCTTGGGCCAAGGGTTGTTGGATTTCAACAGCTGGTAAAGCATGGAGATTCCATTCAGTCACATGGATCAAGAAGAACAGAGGGTACATGGGGGATGCACGGAGAACAACATGACTGATACACAGTCAATTTTGAGGGAGTAGTAGAGGATAAATCTGAAACATGAGGAGAGTGTGAGAATAGAGTGAGGCCTTGAAAGCTCTGGGGAGATAACCAGGCTTTTACTTGCAAATGGTAGTCTCCCTCTAATACTAAAGAGCCTGGGCAAGAGTACAAATGCGGCACTACTCACAATAGCAAAGACTTGGAACCAACCCAAATGTCCACCAATGATAGACTGGATTAAGAAAATGTGGCATATATACACGATGGAATACTATGCAGCCATAAAAAAGGATGGGTTCATGTTCTTTGTAGGGACATGGATGAAGCTGGAAACCATTATTCTGAGGAAACTATTCCAAGGACAGAAAACCAAACACCACACGTTCTCACTCATAGGTGGAAATTGAACAATGAGAGCACTTGGACATAGGGCAGGGAACATCACACACGGGGGCCTGTCATGGGGTGGGGGGATGAGGGAGGGATAGCATTAGAAGAAATACATAATGTAAATGATGAATTAATGGATGCAGCAAACCAACATATCATATGTATACATATGCATCAAACCTGCACGTTGTGCAGATGTATAATATGTGCACATAATAATATTATTAAATATATTATTATGTATATTTAATAATATTAAAGTATAATAAAAAGAAAGTATATATTTTGAAACAGTTTTAACAATTGCAATAGCAAAACATTGATTTTATATATGGTAGGCACTCTGATAAATACTTCATGCTGATTACGTGGTTTTATTCTCATGACAGTACTATGGGATATGTACTATTATCCCATTTTATTGTTCATGAAACTTAAATAGGCAGAAATCAGTATCTTGCTCAAGGTCATATGGCTGATAATGAATTCAGACCGAATTAGCTCATTCTTTCATTCTTTGTCAGTTTTTCAGAGATGGTACTATTCTGGTTCAAAAAAAATCAAGTTACCAAGTTTATAATTTTATATTCATATACTGCTAAAATGGAGTTTTAGTCCAAACTGAGTAAACTATTACAAATTTATCCAAACTCAGCTAAAAAAGCAACAATATCTTGCATGCCTTAGTCTGTGAAACCATATAATTCTCAATATGTGTATGGGTTTATCCAACATGGTTTAGAAAAGGCAATTCTGAAAAATAATATCAATTTATTGATGCTGGGATTACAATACCTACTTGTGTTGGAGCAGATAGATCATAAAGGATCCTTCCTTAAATGATCAGTACATGTATACTGTTCCAGGAATGTGAAAGACCAAAAACAGAGTAAAATTTTCTAGATAATCGGATTCAACATATCTGTCCCCAAGGATCCAGAATCCAAAATTTTTGCAAGTACCCTATGTAAATATTATGGTATGCCATACAACTTGAGAAACACGAATGTAGTTCAATGAATTCTGGCAAATAGTGAGAATTTTAAGACATTTTTAGTAATAGTTATTTGAAAAACATGATCAAGCTAATGGGACAGTAGACATTTTTACCCTGAGAACGGAGGATGATTTTACTATGTGCCATGTATAGTGATTACTATAAAGTAACTACACAAAGTGTATCCTCTATGCCTCTGAATCTCTCTGTCAGTGGCTATCCAGCAAGAGGGTAAACACTGTCACTTTCCTGTGCTGTAACAGTCCATAGACCATTCCGGCTACATATGACAGGGAAAATAATTTAAATAAAAATGTTCCCGAAAACTGCAAAACTTGCCAGCCTAAGGTATTTTCATGAAACATTTTTTTTCCTTCTATCAACCCAACTCTATCATTAAAACGCAATTTTGACATCCAAACATAATGTATTCAAAATGTTTTCTTGCTATTCCTCACTATCCCCTAACTTCTCTTTCAGTATACTGAACCTTAATCTAAGACTATACATTAGAAAGAGCTATCTTGAAAAGCGTCAGTAACTAAAATCTGCATGTTATTAGTTTTATTCCAAGCAAATTTATAATTGCTAGAGAAATGGGAATGAAAATGAAAGCAGTCCACAGAACACTCCCCATTTCCCAAATAAAATGTTAATATTATAAATATAAAATTGTGGAGAAACTTTCACTTATTCAAAAATGTATATCATAAGTCAAGGTGGATGATGGTCTACGAACTGAGAAGCTGTGATCCTACAATGTATTTTACTAGTTCTAGGACAAAACAATTGTCTAAAATCCTTCCACATGAATAGTTTATGAAGAAATTCGGTAGAGTTTATGGCCCCCAAATTTGTCTATTATTCCTAACAAAAAATGTGAAGAAAGAGCTGAAGCTGAAAATTTTTACTTGTTTAATAGCAACTGTTTTTAAAATATCTGATTATTTGAAACTTGAAAAAGGCAGAGTAGAGGAAATTGTCATTAAACTGTGAGCTATATCTTTTCTTGCAACTCACAAGGCCAAATAATGTCAGACGTTAGAAACACAAAAATGAAGATAAACGGGAAATCAGTGTCTTATAGATTCTTCTCAAGATAATAAATTTAAGACATTTCTGAAATCACATTGTAGGGTTTTTAGGAAAATATCTGACAGCTAAGATGATACTTGAAAGAGAAACTAAATGAAAAATATCTCCAGAAAACAGAGAAAGACAAATATAAATTAGTGACTCAAGGGCATCATGAACTTCTTGCCTTGTGATTTTGTTCACAATAACACTTTTTTGCTGATTATTATAAGAAATAAATGTCAATGAGACAATATGGCAGAAGTTGATTCTGCTAGGTTGGTAAAAATGTGAAGGATATTTTTCCTTTGAAAAGTTGGCTGAGAGTTTACAAATATGGTTTCTGGACAGATTGAAAACAAATGAGCTTCAGTGTGAGACATTTCAAGGCATTTTTAATGCTTTTTTGATCTATCAACAATCAGGTATTTAATGTTTAACTAGCAATTGTACTCTTTATTGGGAAACAGGGATAAAATTGAGACTTTAACTTTGCTTTATTAAAACATAAAACAATGGGAAAATCCTTGGAGTGCTATATTATATATAAAATATTTCCAACAAGGAAATTTTGGTAGGTACTTACAAATGTGTGCTATGTACTACTTGAAATAATGACAATGCATTGAGAAGACATGGCCCTAAGCAACTCGGGGAGTGGGGGCAGCTGAAGAGGAGGGCGGCATAGGAGATATTAAATCATGCTTCCCTTTGTCATTAACAATTATGTATTCGGGTTCCAAGTCAATGTTTAATATATCATCACAGCAATGCATTATAATTCTAGTATGGCTGGCACAGCCAAAGTAACATCACTCTGATGTCATATTAGACTCTGGCAAAGAGCCACAATGAGCATGAAAGTTTAGCCATTCTGAGAAGCATTTCTAGTTTTTTTTTTTTTTTTCAAATAAATGATTAACATTAAGCAAACTAAAGAAACAACACATTTGAAGAAGTGGAGGTCATTTTCCAACTGTTACTTCATAGTGTACACTGGATGCATGCCAGAGAGACAGAAGGGAAAGTCCTGTCATAAAATATGTTTCAATAAATTATTAATTTTTTCATAGGCAGGCTAAAGATTTAGAAGGAAGATGGCATTTTCCAACTAGGCCATAGGCTTATTGAGGTTAAAACTCTTTTTCTTTTGCCCAACATTGCAATATGGATGAGTCTTTGCTCTAGCTTATCGTAACTGCAGTGCCCAATCGATATTTAAATCCTGAAAGATCAGCAATAATGGATGCAAACTGAACAGATCAATATTTAGCCTTTTGTGGACTGTAACTTTTATCTTAGCCCCAATTACTCCATGGCACAAGAGTTGATTTTCAATGTCTTGGGTGTTTGGAATCTCACTAATTTTAATTTTAATTTTAAATGTTAAATAATACATTGTGAGACACTTGTAGAAATAATTGTTAATAAAAATATTCAAAACATATGCTTAAATAGGTTCAATGTCTTTTCAGTACCATTTAATAATCATAAATTTCAATTGTGACATGTATATCATTTTTTTTAATTAGAGGGTATCAGATTATTTTTAAATCCATGAAAAGATATTTCCTTGTAATGTCCTTTGGCAATATTGCATGACTACTTGAGAATGATTTGACCAGTTTATCTTTTTAGGATAAAAACTAATTACAGATCTGATATAACATTAACGTTTAAATATTATTTAATTTATTCAGGTATCACAGTATAACTAATCAAATGTGATCATTTGTCTTTGCAGTTCTATAAAGGATCTTAAGGAAATCAAGATTCTGAAGAAAGAAATAACTTTCTCTAGAAATAGCAATTCTCATTTATCACTCAGACCATTTATTCATAAATGTGAGCTCTATTCCCAAATGCCCAAACTTATCTGATGCTAACAAAAAAAAAAACACTGTAACTTTTACCGCTAAGTAAATTAGAACATTTGCTATGAAGAAGTACAAAGTACTCATTCTTTTTTTTTTTTAGGACTTCTCAGTGTATGTGTGCATATTGCCTCAGAATTTAAAAAGAGAGGAGGTGAAAATTCCACTTGATGGAAACACATTAAGGTTGATTACGGCTTAAAAACTGACAAAACACAAAAAGCAACCACCTGAAGAACGTGAAAAGTAGATGACAACAGTAGAACTGGGAAAGACATGAAAACTTGAGGAACAACCAATATGGTCATGTTTGGTTTCATGTAGTTTTTTTTTTTTTTCTTCTTTAGCTCCCCATTGCAAGACAAATAAATCGAAATCTCTTAGTAATCTCTTTCTGGCTAGCAGACCAGGGGGATAAAAAAGCCCTCTATGAGCTGAAGAGAGTAAAGAGAATTGTTTTTCTTCTCCTGTTGTTTGTTTGTTTGTTTTTAACCTTCTAAGTTCCACACCAAATCCAGTCCTGTCACAGAACGGCAATGCAGTAGTGTAGCAGTGACACAAGTACCTAATGACATAAGAAAAAAAAAGTCATCATTCTAGAATCAGAAATGGAGAATGGGGTCCCCTTGCAGAAGATTTCCAATTTTTTCTCTATATTGTCTTTCTTTGCTTGCCCCGAAAGGTAGGCCCAGTTATATGGAACTGCACACCAGCTTGGGAGGCTAAAACACTGAGAGAATCTCATGATTTTGTCTAGACGAACCAGAACAAACCAGCTCATAGATACTGGAGTGTGTGGGAGAGATCTCAGAGAGGAGTGGAGCTGAAGAAAGATACCTAAATTTGTATATGAACCAACACAAGTTCTAAGCTCATCCTAAGCTGTCCATGTACAGAACATACCCTGAAAGCAGAGCAGAAGATTTGGAAAGTGAGTTACTATATTAAACCTGTGCCCAAGTTCTAGCTCATCCTCTGAGTTGCTCAGATGAGAGGCAGATGCAAAAAATATAGTAGGCACTTTAAAAATTGAACTTACTTTAGATTCACTAACTACAAAAGGCAGTTTGACTTGTATTCTGTACTTAAGTTGATTGTCTGCTAAAACTAATGAACAAAACTCAATAGCGTCCACTGGATTTTAAAAAAACCCAGTTTCTCACAACATAGCTTTCCATATGTCCAAGATACAATCCAAAGTAACGCAAACTATCAAGAACCGGGGAAATATGACCAACAATCAAGAGACAGACAATCAATAGATGACAATCCTGAGATGAACCAGATGTTGGAATTACCAAAGACTTTAAAGAAGTATTATAATCATATTTTATGAAATAAACATGAGCAATTCAAATGAACAGAAAGTTGGAGAAAGAGAAACCATAAAACAGAAGCAAATGAAAATTTTAAGACAGAGAAATTTGCTCATTTTCCAATGTGTAAAATAAAATTACACATTGGAATACTATTTAGCTTGTAAAAAGCAGGAAGTTCTGTCATTAGTGACAACACGGATGAACCCAGAGTACCTTATGCTTGGTGAAATAAGCCAGGCACAGAGAGAAAACTACTGTATAATCTTACTTATATGTGAAATCTAAAAAAAAGAACTAATAGAAGTAGAAAACAGAGTGGTGGTTACCAGAGGCTGGGGTGTGGTGGGATGGAGGAGTGGACAGGAAAAGGGTAATGTTTGTCAAAAGGTTCAAAGTTTCAGTGGAATAGGAGAAATAGGTTCCGCTGATTGATTGCATAGCATGGTGACTACAGTTAGTAATAATGTATTGTGTATTTCAAAATAGCTAAAAAATGGATTTTAAATATTCTCATCATAAAGAAATGGCAAGTATTTGAGCTGATGAATATGGTAAAAATCTGATTTTTTCATTTGATTGAAGCATCACATTTTGTTTGCCTCAATATATATATAATTATTATTTGTCAATTAAAAATAAAGAAAACTTTAAAAATAAATAATAAATCATTGGAAGGGATGAATAGCAGAACGAAGATGACAGAGGAAAAAACAGTAAAATTAAACAATAGAAATTATCTAACCTGAACAGCATAATGAAAAAATATAGAAAATACAATGAACACAGCCTTAGAAACCAGTGGAATAATATTTAGATATCTAACATTTTTGACATTGGATTTCCTGAAATAGTGGATAAAAGATTTTTTGCACAAAGTGTATTTAATGAAACTGTGGTTGAAAGCATCCCAAACTTGGCAAAAGGCATATATTTTTACATAGATAGACAGATAGATAGATAGATAGATAGATAGATAGACAGATATAGACAGATAGATAGATATGCAAGAAGCTCAACAAATTCCAACTACAATTCTCTTAAAAGTATTTGCACACAGAGAGCTCCAAAATATAAGAAATATTAAAAACAGATAAAATTAATAGGGGAAATAGAAAAATCCACAGGTTTAAACACTCTTGTCTGTATAATTGATAGATAATTGATAGAACAAAGAGAGAATATTTGCAAGGATATAAAAAATTATAACAATACCGTAAACAAATTAGAACAGAAGTTGGCAAACTATGGCTTATCAATCAAATCCAGACCACCACATTTTTGGTATGGTCTACAAGGTAAGAATGTTTTTCATACTTTTAAATAGTTGCCTTTTAAACGGTTCTATAAGTATCTACATAATGTCCTCAATTTTGCCTCTTGGTCTGCAAAGCCTAAAGTATTTACTGCTTAATAAAAAGTTTTCCAATCTCTGAATGAGAGCTTGATTGACATTTATAGAACATGCCACTTAACCACCGCTGAAAAATGTAAAAAAAAAAACAAAAAAAAAACACAATATTCTTTCAAGTACTCATTGACTAGTCATTACAATGGACCATATTCTTAACCACATAACAAACCTTAAAAAATTAGTAGAATTAAAACCAAATATAATATGTTCCATGATAATATCAGCATCAGTATAGAAATCAGATTAACCAAAATATACCTGAAAAATCCCCAAATGTGTTAAAATTAAACAGCACACATGTACAGTCAGTGGATATAAGAGTATGTCTCAAAGAAAAATTAAAGCATTTTTAATTACAGTATATCAAATGAAGCTAAAGCAGCATTAAGACAGACATTTATGGTAGTAAATGTTTATACCAAAATATTATAGGTCTTAAATAAAAAACAGGAACATCCACCTTGAGAAACTGGAAAAAGAAAAGCAAATTAAACCCAAAGTAAGCCAAAAAATGAAAAGAATAAAAGTAAGAACAAAAATAATGATGTAAAAACAAAATAGAAAATATTTAATAGAAGAAATGGTATTATCTTAGTAAATATCAGGAAAATATGTAAACTACTATTGAAACTGACAAGAAAAAAGAAGACTCAAATTCATAATATTAAAAAGGAGCTATCACTATTAATGCTAAAGATATAAAAGATGAATACAAGCATGTTACACACAAGCTTAAAAATCATTCTTAGAAGAAATTTTAAAAGATCAAAATATTTGTAAACATTCCATATTCATGAATCAGAAGACTCAATTTTGTTAAGATGGCAGTACTAACCAAGTTGATCAACAGATTTAATGTAATTCCTATCAAAACCCCAGCTTTCTTCATAGAACTTGACAAGTTGATCTTAAAATTCTTATGAAAAATCAAGTCACCTAGAAAAGCCAAAATCTTGAAAAGGAAGACCAAAGTTGGACAACTTATACTTTAGAATTTTAAACTTTAGTAGAAAGCTACAGTAATCAAGATAATGTGGTACTAGCATATAGGGTAGAATATAAATCAATGAAATGAATTTGAGAGCCAGAAATTAACCTTTGCATATATGGTCAATTGATTTTGATAAGGGTATCAAGACAATTCAATGGGGGAAAGTTTAGTTTTCAAAAAATTTTGTTGGGAAAACTGAATATCCACTTGCAAAAAAAAGAAAGTTGGACCCCTCTCACTCTACACAAAAATTAACTCAAATGAATCATGTATTTAAACTTAAGAAGTAAAACTGTAAAAGTCTCAGAAAAAAATCCACTGAGTGCATCGAATACACAGAACAACAGTTAATTGTATATTTTAAATGCACAATGTATCTTATGTGAACTATATAACAATAATGCACTTATATCAAAACAAAACAAAAACCTACACAGTGTCTATCGCAGCTTCCATTTGTAGTAACTAAAACCTGAAAACCCAGATACCCCTGAAATAGGGAATAAACAAACAAAAATGGAAAGAAACTTGATGTACGCAAATATATCAATTCCTAAATGCATTATACAACATCATAGAAGCCAGTATCAAAAGTCAGGATATTGTATTCCATTTATATGGCATTCTAGAAAATACAAAACTGTAGAAATGGCTAATGGATGAGTGATTTCCAACGTCATGGATCAAGGGAGATTTTGACTGCAAATGTAGCATGAGGGTTTCTTTTGAGAGGTGACAAAACTATTCAAAGTCCTAATTTGGTTGGTGTATGACTTCATGCATCAGTCAAAAATTATAGTACCGTACAACCTAAAGGAGTTTATTTTACTGTAAGTAAATTTAAAAATAATTCAATTTATAATGGTAAACTTTTCTGTGCCTAATATGTGCTAGCCATTCTTAGATCCTTTAATGTTACTATTCTAGGAAACACAATATGATTTAGGTATTATCATTCTTATGTTCATTTCACAGATGAGAAACTAGGGTTGAAAGTTTGAAAAACTTAACCCAAGTCACAAACCTAATACTTGTTGGATCAGGGGATTTGAACCCAGCCAACATGACCTTAGAAATCAAACTCTTGGCCAGGCGCAATGGCTTCCACCTGTAATCCCAGCACTTTGGGAGGCCGAGGTGGGCGGATCACGAGGTCAGGAGATCGAGACCATCCTGTCTAACACAGTGAAACCCTGTCTCTACTAAAAATACAAAACTTAGCCAGGCGTGGTGGCGGGAGCCTGTAGTCCCAGCTACTCGGGAGGCTGAGGCAGGAGAATGGCGTGAACTCGGGAGGCGGAGCTTGCAGTGAGCCAAGACTGCGCCACCGCACTCAGCCTGGGCAACAGAGCGAGACTCCGTCTCAAAAAGAAAGAAAGAAAGAAATCAAACTCTTGGCTGGGCACTGTGGCTCACTCTTGTAACCCCAGCACTTTGGGAGGCCAAGGCAGGTGGATCACCAGGTCAGGAAATCTAGACCATCCTGGTCATCATGGTGAAACCCCGTCTCTACTAAAAATACAAAAATCAGCTGAGCTTGATGGCGCATGCCTGTAGTCCCAGCTGCCCAGGAGGCTGAGGCAGGAGAATCGTTTGAACCCGGGAGACAGAGGCTGCCGTGAGCTGAGATTGTGCAACTGCACTCCAGCCTGGCTACAGAGCAAGACTCCGTCTCAAAAAAGAAAGAAAACAAAAAGAAACCAAACTCTTAAGCTTTGTACATAATGCATGCATTTCTATACACTATATTTTCTCCTACATGTGCAAAAATGGATTAGAATAATTATTGCTAAACAAATGGAAACTATAAAATCAACAATAAAATTTGTGGTTTTGATGATAAGTCATTTAAAGAGGCTAGAAAAGAACTTAAGTGACCTGAAGTGACTGGATTGTGTCTGAGTGCCTCACTGTCCAAGAAGCTGACCTAGATGTCAGGGAAGAATGAGTATCTATTGATGTGGTGCCAAGGTAACAGGTAACTTCTGCTTCTTTTTGTTCTTACCTCATGACATGAATTTTGTGAAAGTGTTCAAATTGTAAGTATATGTTTGTGTGTACTCTGCATTGTTTGTGAATATTTTTAAGATTACCTCCTAAATTTCCCAGAAAATGTATTTTTTTCTTAATTCATAAATATTTCATCTCATAACCTAAACAGTCAAAAGTTCTCCAAAATAATTAAACTGGCACATATGCTAGCTTTTTATCTCAGGTGTTTTGACAAACACATAACACTAAAGTTGTATATATTACACAATTATCTTAACTGATGAACACCAGTGTGTCTTTGAGTTGGCCCACCAGTAGTTTGATTAGAAATAAAGTTTCTAATAACTAACATTAATGTCTAAAGTCATTCAGGAGAAAATATATCTGATTTCTTCTTCCTTTAGACAACACTGAATAAGACTTATTTTAATTGTTCATTTATCTGAACCCCTTGACTCCAATATAATTTGGAATTTAAACTGATTAGACATTTATTATATTTTAATCTGACATTGAAGAGTTCAGAACTTATTAGTGTCCAAAGGTGGGGAGAGAAAGATTTAAAAAAAAAAAAAAACTTTGGAATTGGCTGTTATTAAGATAAGTGTCTCATCTATATTATTTGCCCTCTCACAATTTCAGTCTGATATAATTCTGATAAAAAACTATCAATATCACATTTTTGGAGACAAACTATATGAAATTCAAACAAATGTTCATGGGAAAGTCTAATGTGTGTTTTTTTCCACCAAATAAAGTCATTTGGACTTTGTCAGTAATCTATTTTTTTTTGGCTTTGGGTTTACATTCCATCTTTAACTAATTTCAACAACCTCCTTTCTGTGCCAATTAATAGATCATCGACATGTAGAAGTGAAGTTCAGTAACTGTTGGCTGTTTTAAATACGAGAGATGATGCATTTTAAGGAGATAAATAAAAATCATCAGTAAATCATTTTGGATTTTTTAGCACTTTGTGGCATAGAAACAGTACACCATTTTCATCCAGTGAAAGAAGTTTATGCTTTATTTATTTGTTTTATCATTAGGTTTCATTGTTTGTAACGATTTTTTACTCCCAAATCCAATTTTTGTTAACATTTCCTCATTCTTTTTGTGGCTATTTGAAATTTGTTCAGCAATGCAACCACCAAATATATCACTGATCCAATGGAATATCAATGTTCAAATTTCTTAAAATATAAACATATTCATTAACATAAGAAGCATATGGACTATCAAACTGGAGTTTGTCTTTATATAAATAAATATTATCTTTTCTCTTTTTGTGGTTACTGAAACCACATGGTATGCACCCATCGAACTGAATGTATTTTCTTTTCCCCTTCCTCAACATATCCAAACCTTGTATCACCACATTGTATTTTGTGTTTACTCCATAAGCTCTCAGCACAGTGAAGACAATAGGCAAACACAAGCAATTAAGAAAGAAAAAAAAAAAAAATCCAATCACCAGTATGCCTGAGACAAAAGGAAGTTGTAGTTAAAGTACATTTTTTTAATAATGATCAACTCCTGTACATCATCTCTGTTCCCTTAACTCAATAATGAACGTCATTTATACTCAATTACTCATTATGATTTTCCATTGGAGTAATTCACATTAGTGTTACTAAAAGACACTCTTCTCCATATACTCCCAGAGCTATGTGGTAAGAGCATATCACAAATCTTTCTGTCCATTAATTACTCCTTTTGTAGCATAAGTTGAAAATTTTTGAAACTTGAGAATATTTCATTCCACAAACCACAACTGTCATTAAGTAGAATAAATGGAAACCAAAAAAACAAGTGTTTCGATTTTTTTGAATATGTCTGAGAATCTGGTTCTTAATATGCTTGTCAGTTTCTTATAATTTTCTGGACCTTAATAACTTGAAGTTCATATGCCAGTGAGAATATTAGTAACATGAAGAAATGTTAAATGTTGTAAGATAATTGAATATATGGTGCCTCTTTTGTGTCAGAGCATCGTATTCCTTATGATTATTCTGATTACTAATATAATTGACTTATGTAATTATTCTGTAGCATATAAAAAGTCAGAATTCTGCACCATATATGCTTTTTCTTTAATTGTTGGAAAGAAATATACTATAAGTTCAAGTTTCAACTTGCCCTCAAGTTTGGTAGCTGTTACATATTATTGTCACTTTGAGGAGCAGTTTGGGATATAATTTACTATTACCTTACACAGGATTCTTTAAGGGCATAAAAGGTTTGAGGGACTGCTGAGGCGTCTTCCTGGAAACTCAGAAACTTTCTGTCTCTCTCTTTGAAACAAAATCCTTTATCACATTTTTTCCAAATTAATTATGAAAGCTAAAAATGAAATCTTACTTTTGTCCCCCACATTAATCCTAACTAGATCAAAGGTTTTTTTGTTCATATTAATGGGAGCATAGCACTAGTGAGATTTAATTTCAAACTTTTGTAATTATAGCTAAAATTAAATTTTACCATGGATGAATTGTCCATGTCTGTAGATGAAAGCAGGCTAGGAGGATTAGCAACTGGACCTCCAGTATAAGTTATGTTATCTTTGGTAATTAATTAAAATCAGTGTGTAGAGACCTATATTTGGAACATTAAGGAGTTTCCAAGCAGGGATTTTTCAAATTCCCTACAAGTTTAGTGTAAGAGGTGGGCAAGTAGCAGTTCTTTGAGGAAACTTGAGAAGATCATAAAATAGCAGGGTAAACCTACAGTATCTTATTCTGTTTACTGAAATAAGCAGAATTAGGAGCTATTCTTGGTGTACTCTAGAAATTTCATAAAGCTGAAAAGCATGATTTTTACTTCCACAAAGGATAAACATTTGAGAAGCCACTACAGAGTGTGAGAAGATAGATAATTTATCCTTAAAATTGAGCTTGTCCAGAGAAAATGGGGGAGGAAGCCTACTGACCTTGAGAAAGCTCTCTAAGAGAAAACAAATACAAAACTAAAATTACTGGTTAAATGCAAAAACAAAAATATTTTGATGCCAATGGCCAGAGTTGAGAATTGTAAAATATGGGTATGTTATAGACACATACTAGCAAAACAGCATTATTTCAAAAAGCATTGCCCAAGAGAAAGTTTTTGAAGCGTTTGAAGGGAAAGGTCCTATAAATTTCCGAAGTAGTATCACAGCAAACAACCATTATGAAGTCCAGTGACCTAGGCCACTAAAGAGTTTTCCTGGTTTTACCTTTTTATAAAAGCCATTCCATAACACAATGCATTACACAAGTGTTACACCATTAAAAAGTCCAACGGAGTATCTGTTTTCCTTAACCTGGCAGCCCCGTGCTTTCCAAGTGCAGGGTTGTACTTAGAAAGGCAGCCGCCCCTTTACACAGCCAGGGCTGAGGTGTAAGTATGAGTGTTTCCTTGGCAGTGACAATAAATGTAATTGGGACAGATGTACACTAATACCTTTCATCTCAACCCAGGCTGCTGTACCCTCATCCAGATTTTATCTTAAGAAAATAATTTTTTGACACTGCCAATAAGAATTTTTGAACTGTTTTTCATAAATCAAATACACTACAAATGCCTAAAATTGTAAGACTTAAGGTTTGCATGTAATCTCATAGCAATTGCGTTATTGTGGGAAAGGAATAGTTTTGCTCATTCTATCCTAATACTGTAGATTTGAGGGATTTATTTCCTTGAACTCTTCCCTTAATATTTTGTTATAACTTTTAGTTCTGATTATTTGAGTTTTCAGGGTGGGCCGAGCCATTCTCCACTACTAGCCTAACCAGCCTTAAATTTGACTTGAAAAATGTTATACACCCCGCTTCGACGCCTTGTCATTTGTTAATATGACATCTATTAGGAAGCACATCCTGAACTCCTTTGCCTGAGCTTTTGCGCGTATTGTCCAAGCTCTTCCTCCCCTCTCAGTTTCATCTGTCATTAATGTCAATGGTAGCCTCAGTCTTCAGAGAAGTGTTTCCAGTCCAGTCCAGGACATTGCCCTCTCTGCTAGCCTGCACTCAAGGGATTTCATATCCTAGTTCTTCCTGAAGAAACATTATCCTGAATTGCTCCGTGACCTCTCGTGCTGTTGAATGAATATCTGATGTTGGTATTTTACCCAGCTTTCCATGAATATGCATTCTGTCTATAACTAGACTGTAAGGGGTGTGATATGCATTTTTGTATACTGCCCATCTTTCCCCCATCCTACCCTCAGATGAACTAACATGATACGTTTGATATAATAGTTGTTGTTCAAAACATTTTTGCTAATTCCCTTTTAGTGGCCAATTCTAAGTAGAAAATATCAAATTCAATTCTCCATTTATAATAGTTTAGACATTTTTAATAATTTAGTCAGAAACAGCAAATACATAATCCAAGAGAATTGCAAAAAATCGTCTGTCGAGGAGCACTAACTGAGTTGGTATGTGTTACTATTTTGTCCAAGTGTATGATGATTCAGTGATCATCTGCCATTCACAGAAAATAGATTCACTCATTTTGTCCTAGAAAGTAGTAATAACATAATAACTTCAATAACATTTTTTTAATGAGAAGCAACATGGTAAAAGCCAAATACACAATGTAGAGATTATGCCCTTCCATAATTATCACCATCTACAATGTGATCCAAATCATCAATGTTACCACTATTAGGCCACTAATAATTGACATTTCATAGTCACAAATTTCCCTTGACAGAACAGCATGTCAGACATCTGTTACCACTCCACTCCATTGCTTCTGCATATTTATATTAACCTCCTTATTGACCTAATATTTGTCTTCTGCTTCCAGCCGCTATGTAAAAAGGTACTCTGAATACTTCTTCTGAGAGTTATAGGGCTCGCCGCCATGCTATGCAGCAGTCTGTGTCCTGAGAACCTATGCCCATCAGCTTGTTGAATCTTCTGTTAGATTTTATGCTGCATAGCTAGAATTTCACTCAAAAGCCATTGAACACATTAGAAAGATTACTTTGCCCCTTCTGACTCTAGCAGAAGCAATAAACCTGAACGCTATGAAAAGGCTATGAATTGATGGCCCCTGAGCTTAACAGTTGGAAATAATAAATGACCAGGCTGACTGTTATGACAGTGTCCATCACTGAAAGTCCATAGGCTCACCGTCTCTATGTGCACAGTTTACTTGGAGCAGACATTTTCCTTTTCAGCCAGAAGAGAGTCTTGACTATATACTTGCCTTTGACTTAAATGGTCAAGTTATATTAACTGGTGAAATGCACATTTCTAAATGCTGCTTCTTTCAGATTTTTTTCTACACTTCTCAGAGGTTTCTAGGGGTTCTCATCTTGAGACTGATTCCACTGTGAAGTTTTTATTTATTCCTTAAATTTTAACTATTTCATTTAATCAGCTGAAAGGGAAACTGTTATCTGTATTTTAAAATTAGCCTATAGAATTTCCTTTTATTCTAAGTGTCTGAATAAAGTTCCAGCATGGGATTATCATTTTTGTCGTTTAAAAAAATCATATGGCTGCTCTCTTGTGCTTGCTCAGAAATGCATTTAACTAATGGTACTTTCCTATGCTAACCTTTTTATTCCTTCTTTTAATCTATTGACCATTTCCTGTACCAGCAAAAGAGTTCACTGTCTCTCAGTTTTTCCTTCACTTCTCAGTCATTAATATTGCATCAAAGTTGTAGACCAAGCTTACACTTTTGCACCTGAGAATGTCCCTTCTACATATTTCCCAGGCTGTCTCGTCATTTACATGAGTCATATATAAAAATCAGTCCCCAAAGACTGATAAAATGGAAAGTAAAAGGTTGAAGGGATAGGCATAAAACCTCCAGACAAAATGTATGCTGAACAAATATTCATGGTTCAATGCTGTTGTCCAGACTATGCATCCATAAGACCTACTAGAACTTTGAAATGAGGCTATGAATGGGAAAAGATAGAGAAAGATTATAAACCGTGGCACATTCCTGTAACCTCAGCACTTTTAGGGGCTAAGGCTGGAGGATCATTTGAGGGCAGGAATTGAAGACCAGCTTGATCAGCGTAGCCAGACCCAGTATCAACAAAAAATTAAAAATAAAAAAAACTAAATGGGTGTGGTGGTGCATGCCTGTAGTCCCAGCTACACGGATTACTGGAAGACTGAGATGGGAGGATTGCTTGAGCATGAAAGGTCAAGGCTGCAGTGAGCTGTGATTATCGCACTATTGCCCTCAGGCCTGAGCGACAGAGCAAGATCCTGTCTCAAAAAATAAAAATAAAAAAAAGGAAAGATTATAAACTTTCAAAATGAATATGGGTGGCAGTCATTACCACACTCCTTCCTGTGCCAAGAATTTCCAGCCCTTGAGTAGAGTGACAACAGGGAAAGGAGCATCTTTCACTTTGTGTCAGGAAGGTTGGTGCCAGATGTAGACAGGGACTATCATAAAATACTTTCACATGTGCTTTGAAAGAGTCACCACAACTTTATGAGGTTTGTGTTGTCTCATTTTACAGAGAAAGAAAAATTAAGCATGGTGATGTTAGGTACCCCTTTTAAGGTCACAGAACTGGGAAGGAGTTAGGGATGAGAATTAAATGCTAGCAGGACTATCCCATCGCCAGAGCTTTTCATTGAGCTAATGCAACCACATTTTAGGGTGATTTAAATATCTAAAGATTGCTTTTTGTTTGTTTGATTTGGTTTTTACTAGATTATAAAAATATTTTACATAACTTTTTGGATTAGAATCTTGTAATGAAACAACATGCTTCCTTTGGTGCTGGCATGGAACGAGATCTTTTATTTCCTTTGTACTGTCTTGGAAGTGTTAGGAGAAAGGAAGATATTTTCCCATGCACTGTGTTATTAGGTGCACTATCTTTGGAGACCAATATAATTTTTTTTTATGTTTTCTCCAGAGAAGACATAATGATACAGGATTTTTCAGTTTGAACCATCCATGCACAATAGAAACAAAAATAGTTTCCATCTGTGTAAACTAGATGACACACAACTGGAATTACTACAAGCCAGGTACTTCCCAGGTTTAAATTAGTGAACAAATATACCTATGTAACAAACCTGCACATTCAGCACATGTATCCCAGAACTTAAAGTAAAATTAAAAAAAAAAAATTCTGTCGTGTCTCAATAGAAGTCTTTAAAAATAACAAATGTAGTAGCTTCAGAAAAGAATTATGTCCAAAAGAGGAAGTTCAAAAATGATAGAATCTAATAGAAAGTTTGAAATACTGAACCATCTATGTTAAAAGTTGAGGATACCTTATTTTATCCCTACCCTATGTGATTGCATATATGCATCTCAATTGTAAATGTTCAGCTGAGGTTTTATCTTTTTAATTTTGTCCCAGTCTTCTCTTTAGATGAATACACGAATAGAGAAATAAAGTATATGGGTTGGCTTACAGGGCCTGAGGGTGTACACAGCTTTCAATGATAGATTTAAATGGCCATGAATTTACATTGACCTTACAATGTCCCCGTTTATCCTGAAGTGCACATACCATTTTCTCCTTTGTTGCCTTGATTAATGACTCTTCAATTCTTTTCTGTAGTTTCTCTTTTCTAAACTTTCCTGTTGATAAGTATGTTTCAATTCGAAAGCAGAGTGTCACCACAGAGTTGGGGTCACTTCCTGTTGGTCTTAGTTACTTGGAATTGCCAGCCCCATGGGTTTAGCTTTTACAGTGCTGCAAATATTTCATCTTGGTTATGTGGTCCCTGTGACTGGACCACATTGTCTATTATTTTAGATTGAGTAGCCTGTGTTCCCTTTTTTGTATGGCACTTGAGTAACATTGTATGACTGCTGACCCTAAAGAAAATGAGATGCGCCACCCACAAGACAAGAACTGAACGCTGAAACTTCTAAATAACGTTTAAATAGAAGTCAATGCACTAACTCTAGACTGTAAATCTACACACACTTTCTAAGTTCCCAAACTTAATTTTCTTTACATCCCCCATATGCCAGTTTCACTTGTGTGAGTCCTGCAAACTATACTATCTTTACTCTGTTCCCTTTAAGCATCCGGGTGTATGGACCTAATTTTATCACAGAGCTGGCTCTACTTTAAAAATTATAACTCAACACAAGACTCTAGGCTGGCAGTTTCAAGTACTTGGTTACAACTGTTTGCCGCATACATAGGATAACCCCATCCCTTAGGTAAAACTTGGTATTTTTCATAATCTGAAAAAATAAAAATAAACTGCAAGGTCTTGTTCACTGTATTAGCAAAAAAAAAAAAAAAAAAAAAAAGAGAAAAAAAACCTTTTGAAGTAATTTGAGAATACCAAAGATGGCCTGTACGCCTGCACACATCTATAGGATCTCTCTTTTTCTCGTTCTCTCTCCCCCTCTTCTTTCCTCTCTCTTCATCATTCCCTCTCTCTCTCCCTTTCTCGCTCTCCACTGTGGAACATGCAATAAGAAAACAAATCTCAACTGCATAATTTGTAACATTTTTTCCCATGATGCAGTCTATCATTATTTGGATGACTAAAAGCTTTAATTATTTACTTTTGGGAGTCCCTGAAACCCATGTCATTACAAATACTGAAGAATTTTCTGGGAAAGGTTTAAAACACTTCCAGTTACACTCTTGACTTAATATCTCAAGAAGGAAAAAAAAATAATGTTTCTACCACATATTTTATTAAACCCTTTAGGTCCTTTTACAAGAGAGGAAATACCAATTAACGTATAATTTAGCAGAACAAAATATTATCCCATTTCAACCAGTGCCCACTTCCTTGAAGTTTATTCAAGCATTAATAACCATTTAATGCAATTTAACTACACTGAGGTATCCATTACATTAATATAATATATCCATCAGGAAATTAGAGTTTTGTCTCCATAAATTTTGTATTACAAGAAGGTCCTTCTAATTTTATTGTGCATTTTATGATGCTTAATTTTAAATCCTTAGTCTCTGTTGCAGGGTGAGATTATCAAAATGTTCCTAATGTTAAATGATGTTAAAAGATTACAATTACTTGATTTATTGGCCCACAAAAAAGAATTTTTTTTGTATATGTAGATAAACATATTATTAACATAGTGGAGGATTTAAATCACTGGATTTGCCAGAATCATCAAATCTCATTAGGAATATAACAATGTGACTACATTTTTGAGACTTAATCATTAATAGTGATCCTTTGAAGGAATACACATTATACACATTAGAATGGTGTCCATAAAGTAATATCTACAGAGTCTATCGATCTGTACAGTGTTTTCAAGGACAAGTTACATTACCTGTGTATGAAAAATTGCATCTGTATGTATATATATATATATTCTTACATGCTTTAGCTTAAGAAATATCTGATTATGGAACTTCAGCTACATTTCAATATGTAAGAAAAAGATGTAACCACATGACTGTATGTCAGAATGTGAGATATTTAGGGGACTTGATAACCTTTCTAATGGACATTCTTATTTTTCAGAGAATGCTTAGAGATCTAAAAAAAGAAGAAAAAAAAACACTTGATCAAAGTGCCTTGGCTATTTACTCTTGGGATCAGAGAACAGGGCTGTCTGTGTCCAGGTTTAAGCATTTCCTACAACCTTCCAAACTCTTATCCAGGTGGGGTATAAACATTTACAAACAGTAATGGCAGACACAAATTTATGCTTCAGAGTGTCTTTCCTTCCATGTCAGGAGGATAGAGGAAATATGCCATCAACCCTTCTGAGCCTTTTGCAAGTTTCCCCATATTGCAACAGCATAAAAACAAACTCTACTGTAAAGAGTTCAACCTATCTCCATGAAGAAAGGGTTGCGAACCTATCTGGGTCAGATTTGTCTTCTCAAGTAAAACTGGAACCTTTATCCCAGGAATTTTATTCTTTTTTCGTAATTATTATGATCTACTGTTTACTTTTTTTTATTATTACATAGCATTTGCTTAAATGGTGTCTGCCAAGAGAAGATTTTGAAAGTAATAATCTGAAAGGGAAAATAAAATGGCGAAGGCTCCTAAAGTCTTGTTAAGTGAATTGCTGAAGTTGTAAATTTGATTAATTCAAGAAAAAGTTTGTTACTAAGGAGGCTGTAATGGTGTTTACATGGGGAAAGCAAATATAAAGCCAGGGAGATATTCCACAAATTTCAGCAAGATAGACCAACCCAATGTACACATCTGACCCCTTATCCACTGCAAAGTTGAGACACTATCCAGGGAAACAGAATAATTTCCTAAGTTTTCCTGCCTACATTTCCTAATTGATTCAGTTCAAGAGGTTACTCACAAACCACTGTTCTTAATGCTAGAAGGCAAACAACTGTACAAAAGATAAATGAATTTTTCAGTGATTTTCAGCTTAGTCTATATGAGTAAGTGTTATGTCTCAAGCTATCGTTTCCTATTCCATCTTCTTTGTTATCTATATGCCTTGTAATGAAATAAAGTGAGATCATAAACATATGTTGTTTGGCTCTATTTATCTTGCTGATCAAACAGTAAGGATGAGGTCCTAAAGAGTAATGCCTCAGCAAGAATAGATCAATAGCTTTAAATTTAATGAGTAGGGTTTTCTTCCTTGACAACAAGGAAGAAGGAGAGAAGAGAATGAAGAGAGGCAGCCAAGTACTCACTTTGACAGAGAAATGAATCCTGGAAAGGGCTTCCGCTGGAAGGTGAGTTCGCTCTGTTTCTCTCATGCTTTCTTTTCTGTTTCCCATCTATTCTCTACCATTTTAAAATATTCTTACATCTATCGTCAGGTAAAATAAACATAAAAGCTCTTGCCTTATTTTTATTTTTAAATTTGTGTTTACCAAACCTGTAAGCAAACTTTCACAATATTCATTCAATAAACATTTATTGGGCACCTACTGGGTACCAAACATATCCATCTTATGGCTCTTGTGCCACTTCTTAGCATAATCATTGGCTTCCTGGCTTGTCTTCACCGGAAGATGTGCTCAGATGCTAATTCTGGATCTGTACTATCTAAACTTCATAGGCCTGGCACAGCGGTTCACGCCTGTAATCCCAGCACTTTGGGAGGTCAAGGCAGGTGACTCACTTGAGGTCAGGAGCTCTAGACCAGCCTGGCCAACATGGAGAAACCCTGTCTCTACTAAAAATACAAAAATTAGCCGGGCATGGTGGCAGGCACCTGTAATTCCAGCTCCTCAGGCGGCTGAGGCAGGAGTATCTCTTGAACCTGGGAGGCGGAGGTTGCAGTGAGCTGAGATCGCATCACTGCACTCCAGCCTGGGCAACAGAGAGAGACTTTGTCTCAAAGACAATAAAATAAAATAAATAAACTTCATGTTCAGGCATTCAGACACTATGCATGACCCAGGACGTCCAACTCAAAAATTATTCCTCACACTTTACCAACTCCACAGTTGTACAGAGGTTAATTTAACAAAGACTAAAAAAGAAAAGTATTACTTTATTCATTCAAAATAAGATGTGTCTGGCATATGAAAATCCTTACCAAGAGTATTTGTATTCAATTTTTTTAAATGTCTTAAATAATTTGTAGATGAATCTTTCACTGGTAAATTATCTCAAAGTTTTGTACAAAATCTCCCCACTACCACATCCTTGTTGAATCCTGAGATCCCATTTCTACAACTTTGAATTGTTCTCCTCTGCTGATGTTTAAAGTGAAAACTGACCTACTAAATCAGACATTTTGACTGGCTATACAGAAAATTGATAAATTAATTTCTAACGTATCTGATTATCTTATACTGGGATGATGTGGCCTTAAATTTGAGAGGAAGTTTTAAAAACAGATGCCAGATTTCATTTCTCATATAGAAAACAGGATCAGTGAAGAAAACAAAGCACAAACATGAAAATATTGGTTATCTCTATGGAACAAATCATGTGAGCAAAATTGTTTTTAGAATGTAGTGAACATTGTGTGTCAGTGTATAACAGTAAGGTCTATGTTACATAAATTTCATATTCTTCTTCACTGTTGGCTGTATTTACTAAGACATCTTTATTGGAACCCATTGATAGTTATTAAATACTTCTTATTTCACAGAATTTCTTCTTTCTTAGAATGATAGCAGTTCTGAATTCAATCATTTGAATTTACCAAGAAAAAATATTACTACTTCTGCATCTACCAATGGAATAAGCAGGTAGAAAAGTAAAAATCAACTAACACTTGAATCCCTGTTTCCCCAAATCAATGGGAAATGTGTTGATTTATCAATAGTTTTATGGATGATGAAATTGTACTTGACAAACATAAAAAAGATATTATTTAGTAAAATATTTAACTTTTTAAGAAAGAAGACGCATGCAATTCCAGTTTCAAGAGGCAGTGATAGATACTTAGAGATTTCATGTTTAGTTTGACTTGGCCTGTTTAGATTTAACAGTTAATTTCCAGTTAGAATTAATGTGGAGATGCGGAGATGCCCTTCATTTATGACCTAAAACTTAAAGGTTTCAGTTTAAATTATTTGTCCAAATTAAACAACACAAATTATATCCTGAAGAAATTAAAAATAGCTTTGGTACTATGTTCTTTTATGCAGTAATCTTTTACTTTTTACTCTAATATAATAATTACTAGCTTCCAAAATGTTTAATTCAACTCTTAAGACCTTCTGTAAAATCATAACTTTTATTCTCTGTATGCTTACAATGTACCCAGCATTGTGGGAGACACTATCAACAAATTTATCCACAACACATGAAAGACTTGTTATCATCTCCAATTTTCATTGTTCAAAAATAAAGCTTCAAACAAGTAAATTAGCCTTGGTAACCAATGTTATGCACTGCAGAATCGGACCATTCAAATGTGAATCTGGCTGTTCTAAACCTTGTGTATATTCAATAAGGATACACAAACTTTGGCAATTTGATGTCTGTGGCTCTGGAAAGTTATGCCCTGTCTTTATTCTAATTCTAACATATTTTATTCATTGTAAATGACTACTGAATATATAAGCAAGCTGTTCTTTATGACTTCATAAATATGAAACAGTGAATACAACAGAATGGATTCCCTATTACATGAATTCCCAATTAGAGAATCAAATACTGGGTATAGTAATCACAGTCACTGAATCAGTTTGCCTGCACACACTCTCTCTCTCTCTTCCTCTATTTGCTTCTTCTAGGCATCCAAACTGTAAGGTATGGCTTAACTACAGAAAGTAGAAATGTCTCAGGTTGATGTTAAGAATATGATAACACAGAGAAGAAAGTATTTTGCAAAAGGAGCTGTTCTGCTTTTCTGATGCTGACTTGTAACTGTTCATTCTTAAGTCTACTTTTCAAAACAGACTCAGTACATTTTCTCCAGCAATTTAGAAACTTAGAATTTTTTATCCTGAGGTTTACTATCCATTAAAATATAGAATTAAAACTATAATCAAACAACTCAACACGGCAGAAGTTGAAGATTTGTATTTACTTTTATATCCATTTCTTTCAGAATTAACAAGGAAAAAAATGTTCTTCAATTGCTAATATGATTTTTATCTTGTTATCAATTTAAATATCAATGGTAAATAAAAGAAGACTAGATATGCTGTTTTCACAAATTCTAGTTTCATTTTATTTTTTTTTTTAACAAGTAAAGCTATAGGATTTTAAAATATTTGTGCTCTGGAGCCAGAAAGACCTCTCCTGTAATTCTAACTGCTCCATTTATTTACTCCTACCACATTGAAACATTACATAATCTCTGGAGCCTCAGTTTACTTGTCTGTAAAATGAAGATAATGTTTACTTTTCAGCGTTGTCAAAAAGGTGAGAGACAACAGGTATGAAACATCTTCAGATCAGTAAGCATTCAGTAAATGGGTGGTCATTATGATCATTTAGGATTTAGTATAATGGCAATTTGTCTACTAGAGAGGTAGGAAAAAATAATCCAATAGAAATTTAACAATATGAGCATTCTATACCCTTTGAGAATGCCACACAAATATATTTTTTATATCACAGCTTTCTGTAGAAGGAGTCAATGAAGTATTATAGAGCTATGCTGTTTTTGTTTTGTCGTGTTGTGTTTTCTGTTAATATAGAATAGAAAGGCTAGAAGACAAGGTTAAAAGGGGATTGTAACTAAAAAATGAACTTATGCTTGGTGTTTCATTTCTCTTTCAGTTTCTACGATTTCTTTTTCTGGGTGTTCCCCTAAGTGGCATTAAATAAACATTACAGACTGCAATAGGATAAAGGCTGGCCTCTACTGCAATACAAAAACCATCTTAGGAAGACAGGGTGTAGCTATGCAGTTCCAATTGGGGCAAGGAAAAGTATATATAAAAGAGGGGAGTTTGGATTGCTGAAATGCGACTTCTCATCATCAAAAAAACATTTGTTAAACTTCCATACATAGGATACTTGGCGGACAAATGCTGCTGTAAATTAAATATCCAATATGCAGGTGCTTGTTTTCAAATACAGGTATTTAGGATTTATATTTCCTTGAGTTTATGAAATTAAATGAGTAGAGGTCCAGAATTTGTGTATAGTATTATTTAGCAAATAAGTCAGTGCTTATCTTCTAATCATGTTTATTGTCAATGGATTTCGGCAGGAAAACCTGATGAAAAGATTCTTACAGCTCACAATTGCCAAGCATAGAGCCTCTTCCATGCATTTTAGCTTGAAAATGATCATTTATGGCAAAAGCAATTGTCTTTATAATTTGATTGAAACAAGCATATTATGAGGAAAAGTTATCAGAAATGCAGAGACACTGTGTGTCCTCTCTATTTGAACAAGTGAGTGGATTATTGTGCCACAGGCTTTGGTAATCTTTGCTAATTGCCCTCACTACTTAGATGATACCTCACCACTTTTTGTGTGCAGTACACAATTATGCCTTTCATTCAGACAATTCGCTATTATTATCTGCTTCCTAGTTCTTGTTTCAAATAGGTGATAAGCATCTTGGGAACAAGGTTGTGTCTTATCCATGTTAATCCTGTGTACACCACAATCTCCATAGTGCTGAGCAAAAGACACTCAGCTAGCGGTTAGTTAATAAATCTTAAGATTTCTAGCCCTAGTGAAACATGTGGGAATATGGACCTGCTTGTGCACTATCAGTGGGAATATAAATTGATACAGCCTTTCTAGGGGGTAATTTGTCATGTATCAAACATAAAATGTTGAAGTCCTTCAACCTAGCAATTTCTAGCTAACATGTTTTTCTTGAGATCTTTCTCTGTGTATCATTTCCCCATATCACCACCACTTCATTCTCTACCCCACCTATTTTTCCAAATTCGTTAAATCTCAGTCTTTATTTTTTTTAATTCTAACTTTATTGAGGTATAAGTAACAAATTAAAATTGTATAAGTTTAAGGAGCACAATGTGCTCTTTTGATATAGGTATATATTGTGAAATGTTTATTAATCAAGCTAATTAACATATTCCTCACCTCTCATTGATGTGTATGTGTACATTGTGAGAATACTTAAATTCTGAGGTCAAATGCAACCTCCTATTGGAAGCTCTTCTTAATCTTAAAAATGTCAGGTGGTTTTATTTTGAATTCCCCAATATATCTCTTATCTCAGCATTCACTATTTAACTACATAACTGTTGTATCCTCTATGCTGATCAGAGTGTCTATCATATTGTATATACTAATACATGCCTATTAAATTAGTGCATAAATGATTGAGTAAATGAATGAATACTCTGACATGTTTGTATCCATGGTGTGAATAATTGTCTGTAAATATTTAAAAATTACTTTAAAACTTACAAACCACCATAAAAATACTTTTTACATAGTGGAATGTCCTTATTTTATTAAAGAATTATTAAAGTATAAAAGAGAAGAAAAAACAAATTTAATGTTCTTTTTCTATAATCACTTCATCAAAGAATAGTCCATATGCTTACTATAGACATTGTCTTAGCAATTATGATACAGATGTCTATAAATAGAAAATGCATGGATCTGGGTCCTCCATTAGTGAGAATAATAAAACTGAGAATGAATTATCCTGTGATCTTTGAATTGTTTATATCCGTGTTCTACTGTAGTCTAAAGTAGCTAGGATTTACTCCTTAAAAACGTTGAACAACAGCATGACTAATAAGAGGACCCTCTTGGATCATTCCAACCAAAATGATTATTCCTTTTTTCCACTTCTTAAACTGCTAAGAATCCTTTAATAGGAACCCTCTTATAAATCTATAGTAAAGATAAAGAAGGCAACAAAGCAGCTATTTGAAAGAAAGTTCATTTTTTTATTTAGTTTTCTTATATGTTGCACATATTGAGAATAATCACTTTACTTATCTCTATTTTCCTTAAAAAGAATCTAAGATACCACTTTGTAAAATAGTAGACTATCACTCCTATGTGTGTGTATGTATGTATGTATGTATGTATATGTATGTGTATGTATATGAATGTATATGTATATATGTATGTGTGTGTGTATATATGAAATTTTGGGGAAAACAATTATACCCTATCACATCTAATCCTTAGCCAATTAATTAAATGACTTTTATATCTACCCAGATTCTTAGCATTCATTTGATACAATTGCCTAATTTATAAGTGGGGAAACTCAATCACACAGAGAATTTTTTGTGTCTTTCATGGAAACTGAACCCAAGTACCTGATAGACATGCCACTGGTAACTACCTCCTCAGACCCAGTCCAGGGCTTCCAGCACCCATAAATTCCCTCCCACTTCAATCAGTGTGTGATTTTAAAGTATTTTAAGTGACAATTTAGATCTCATACTCTGTACATCTCAATCTAGTACTCACTTATCCCTGAATTCATTCTAGTAAATACTCACAAGTTGAAAATAATATTTTCCAAACTTTTATTATACTGATTTGCCAAAAATAACACACAGCAGTAACCAAAACACATCACAGACTCTCTTCTCTCTTTCATGCACACACACGTACACAATCTCTCTTTCTCTCTGTCTCTACTAAACCAACGGTAGTAATAGTTCCTGTCTAAAAGCAAGAAAACTTAAAAGAAAAAATATCTATTCTACAGCATGCAAATATTTCCTATGACTCTCTTATGCCATCCCCCCACCCCTTTGGTGAGATTAATTGTGTGACAAATGACATGAGATGGCCTTATGAAATTTCAGTCTGGAGCAATTTTTACTGCTAATGGAAATTATAAATAATATGTGCCTTTCGTCAACTGCATTCTTCAGTAATCTAATTGTATCAAGCTAATGAGACCTGGGTTAGGAAATGTTCTGAGGTTCCCATGCCCCAGGTCAGGGAAGGCTGAAAACATCTTGGAGCAGATGTGCTCAGTCTCAGGAGGATGGCGGCTGGAGCACTTGGTCACTCCACAAAGCACTGGCTGTGCAGGAGCCTGTGCACTTGACCTCTCTGCTAGAGGTAAAAAGCCTTCCTGTTGGTTAGCAGCAAAAATGAGGAGGGAGGAAGGGCAGAGGAAGATAAAATTCTCCCCTTCTTACCCTCTGTACCTCCATCTTTTATTAATTTTGTAGAAGATTATCTCCATTTCTTCCCAGGGATAATGGCTGTAAATTCTGCCTTTTCAGAAACTAACACATGTCTTGGCATCTGCGTGTGCTGAAGTGTCCAGGTCAGGGGAGGGTTGCATGAAAACTAAAACACCTCTTTTCTTCATTTCTCCAAATCAATATTGTTTACTCTACAATTACAAAGGTTGATGCAACACCACTCCAGGCTGTTATAGACTTCAACTGCTTCAAAGAATATTTTATATTATGGTTGGATGACAGGCATTTAAATAAAAAATTTCAACATGTTACTAAAGTGGCATATGCTATAACCTCCACCAGCCACACACACACACACACACACACACACACACACACACACACACAGCCTTGGGGTTAGGATGTGTGGGCAGCTGAGCTGAGATATAATTACCTACATCCTCCGAATGATGTCACATAAGGGCAAGATGATCTTAGAGGTTGACTTTCATATTTTGGTCAATATCCAAAATCCAATATGAGATTTTTTTCCCTCTCATTTACTCATAAGTTGCTTTTGTTTTGCTTTTTTTAGTTTTCTCATTTCAATTCAGCTGGAAAATAGTTTTCTTACTCTCTCTTTTTTCTTTGTGTTTTTATTTTAACCAAAGTACAATCATTCCTACTCTCCCATCTTTCCCCAACCCTATGTACCATGAGAGTGAGTATACACACACACACACACACACACACACACACACACACACATCTGTTACATCTGTGCTGCCTTTGTTCCTTTGACCCAAGGCAACACTGATTTCATAGTAGCATACTAGCAAAGAATTGTTCCTTTAGTAAGCCTCCTGGGGTTTTATTTAAGATGTTTCAAATGTCCAAGAATGAGGACACTCACTGCTTTTCTACGGATGTGATCAGTTCTCACGGTGAGCCTTTTTCCCTCTCTCTTCTCATGTTCAACCAAATTCTTTCCTTGCCCTTTGTGCTGTCCATTTGCAGTCTGCCAAAAGATTCTTCCTCTCCTGAGACATTTAAATCTTTCACATATTTGTAGACTGTTATCATGCTCCTCTTAGCAATCACTTAGCCAAAATATACATTACTTTGTGCTGTTTTAATCTCTCCCCATAAATCAAGCCTCTGGTCCCCTAGTCATTTTGTTGCTCATCTATGAAGTCACTCCAATTTGGCTTTGTGTTCTGAGGTGACAAAAATGGAAGACAGATATCCCTGCTTAGACTCAATTCTGTCATGTTGAGACACCATTACCTCCTGCTCCTTAACATGAAGCTTTTATGTATGCCAACTAAACCAATACTCTTCTCATATTGTTGGATTGCATTGCTGTCACATCCCTTTCTCCCTGAAGGTCTAACCTGGTGGGAACCTAGAAGTGGTTCATTATATTGTTTTCCAGCAACAATGAATATAGAAATCACATTTATATTTCTTTAAGACAGCAGAAGCAGACCCTCATGCCCCCACCCCAAATTCTCCAAACATTTACTGGAGCTATTAATTTTTCACATTTTTCCAGGGAGTTTCCGTTAAGAATGAAACCAGACATGGAAATTTCTAGGCCTAACATTTTAGGAGAGGGAAGCAAAAGCTTTTAATGAAAATACTTCTTGCAACTTTACCAAATATGCTTCAATATAGGCATAGAATCAAAAGTAGTTTCTTTATAAGCACTTGCTAAATTTCAGAAAGAAAATTAAATAAAACCTGAATACTTATGGAGTTCTTTGGAGGCACTTTCTTCCAAAAGTGTATCAGATTGCTTCTCTTAGATTTGTGTCATTCAGTGATAATCCTTCAGCTTCCTGATTGGCTAAAGTATTTGGAACCTGCTGGCTTTTGAATCACTCTTTATGCTGAAGGCGGGTGTGGCTGCTAATCTGTGGGTCATTAACACCTCATATATGTTAGTTCAGAGATGTGGGGTGTGCCTCTGTTTGCACTGCCAACATTCGTAGCATTTCTTGGAAATTCAGAGGTTTTGTTTTCTGAGGGTTTGGTTTGAAATATTTTCCACATAGGCATTTCACTCTCACTCTGAGTAATCAGTTATTTTAGAATTTGATTTTATTTAATTCTTCTTTTCTGAACTCATTGATTAGTAGGGATATGCACCAGCTGGAAAGTCAGAAGAGGAGGTATAAGTGTTGCTTAATTGCTCTCTGGAGATGGTATCTTGGATAAAATGAGTATATCACATGTTTCAGCTCCATCTTGATCCTGATTCCCAGTCTTTATCTACAACATTTTCATTCTTGTGGAACATATCCACTCCAAGTTTGACTCTCGTGATAAATCTGAGACTGTTGTTCTATTAACATTAGAAAACTGAACTAATTCTCTTTCTCATGCTTTCTTTGGCATTTGACCTTGTATGCTACCTGTTAAATTAAGTTTAGCTTAAAGCTGCCTCCTTACATATTTTAAGTTCAGCCTAAAGGTTTCTCTATACATAGTGAACTCTATCCTAACTGGTTGTGTAAACAGACTGTAGCCTACTCTTGTACCAATCACTGAGTTTTAGCCAATCAAAGGAGAACAACTGTTCAAACCGTGCTCAAATAAAGCAAATGCCAAGCTGTAAGCAATCCAGCTGTTTCCACAACTCACTTCTGTTTTCTGCATGTCATTTTCCTTTTTTTGACCATAAATCTTCTTTGCCCATGTGGCAGCTCTGGAGCCTTTCTGAACCTATTCTGGTTTGGGGATGGCCTGATTCTCAAATCATCCTTTGCTCAATCCAACTCTGTTTAATTTAATTTGACTGAGTTTTTTTTTTCTCATACCTCTTAGGCCATCGTATCTTTAATTTAAATGTTATACATAGGATATATATCCTAACATACAAATATATAGAAGCCTTGGGGTTTTTTTTCTTTAGTTCCTATATCCATATATATTAATGTATATTTCTTGCTTTTTCTCATTAGAATAAACATTCAAAATTATAATAGAGCAAAGTTCTTATCTGCTTTGCCCAACGTTTCTCAGAAACCAAAATAATTTATTGAAAAATATCAAGGTAGGGAATGTCAAACACATTGGAGAAAAGGTTTGTTTTGAAAATTTCATGAGTATATTTGCTTTTTAGGATATAGATCATTTTATGATACCAAATGAATGATACAGAACAATAGCAGCAACACCAAACTCAACTCCTTACTGCAGCAAAGTAGTAATCCCAGGCACTAACTCACTTAGGCAGTGGTTACTGCCACCAAGCTTTTGTAGTCGCTGTTCCTTCTACCTGAAATGCTCTTCACTCAGATACACGCATGACTTGTCACTTTTGCTCTATCACATTTTTACTTAAATGTTCCCTTCTATGTGAGGCTGCCTTTGGCCAATTTAAAACTGCAACATTGATACAAGCACTTCCATCTACCTTCTCTGATTTTTTTATTTCCTCTATCCCTTATTAATATTGAGCATGTCTGATGTTTGACATATTTATTCTGATTTTTTCTGTCTTTTCTGCTAGAATATAAGCCTATAAAGGAAGACATTCTTGTCTTGTTGTTATATCTTTGGAATCTATTGTCGTCTTTAGCCCACTGCAGCACTTGGTAGGTATTTGCTGAATGAATAAATAAAAATAAAATTCCAATACGACCCAGTGAATTAGAAAGCACCTTGGAGTTTACTGTAACAGACTGACGTCTAACAGACATATTTCTCTAAAGCAAAACTAAAAATGAAGTAAATGTAATTGAAATGGCAGAATTGAATTTAGGGAAATTAATATGTTAATAGGAATTTTTTATTTCCTGTTTACATTTGCATTATACATACACACATATAGTCAACTTGCAAATAAATCATTAACTTCTAAGTGATAGTCTAATCGGATGAGGCATGTAGCCCATTGCTAATGTTATATCTCCCAACATTCTATAAGATATAAAACAGAGAAGAGTATTCATTTAAGTAGGAGTGCTTACATAGAAGTAATGTTTTCCAAATCTCTCCACGTCTTCAGAAGTAAATGAAATCACATTTCTCCCATAAAACCACTGCCAACTACTTCAGTCCATATACATTATTCTATTCTCTACATTCATATTTCGGTTGATAGGTTTTGAGAATTTCTTTGTGCTAGATACCACTGAAGTGCTGGAAAGACACAGCTAAGGAGACATAATCTTATGAGACAGACTCTTGTTTAATTTAATTTTACCATGATCATTAAACAAAAATCCACTTCTTATTCACTTTCCCTGCTTTGATGTTTCTCCCTTGCACATATTATTATCCAACATACAACATATTTTACTTATTTATCCTATTTACTTCCAGCTTGTTTACCAAAATGAAAGACATGCAATCTTACAGCATACAGGACAAGATTCAGCACACAGAAGAACCTTCTCATCCTGCCTTTCGTTGACATTATGTGGAAATACAACAACTGTACTCCTGTATTTGTCAGGATACAATCAAAGAGCATAGACCATTCTGAGTATAAAAAACAAAAGGAATTTAAGACAGAATCACTGATTACACCAAGATTTAGAAGAGGCAGCAAAGGCAAACTGGGTACGATGAGGCAATCCAGAGATCAGCAACAACAGAAAGTGTCCATCATCTGTACATTTGAGGGACAATGGGCCAGGTAGGCTATTGGAGCCCAAGGCCATGTTCACATGGAAGAACTGGAACCTTACTGGGCTCCTTCAGCAGAAACTGAGCCACAGAAGAAATTGAGCTACTGCTGGAGATACTGCTGTGGGTCAAAAAAGGGAAATCATTCTGCTTTCCCCTCACATACTGTCCAACCTCTCAGCAGCACCTCCCACTGGTGAAACCTAAGCCAAAGTCACCCCGCTCTTCTTGTGGGAGACGGGCCAGAGGCAAACAAAACATTTGGTCAAAGGGGCAGGATGGATGCTTCTGAAGGCAAGGAGGCTCAGCAACTGACAACACCTAACATGGCAACACTTTTGACATGACAGTTTGAACATTAAATTCAACTACATTTTTCTTCAATGATGATTATTATCAGAGGATAATTTACAAATTGACATTAAGAAAAAAAAGTATTGGCCAGGAAAGGTGGCTCACACCTATAATCCCAGCAGTTTGGGAGGCCAAGGTGGGTGGATCACCTGATGTCAGGAGTTTGAGACTAGTCTGGCCAACATGATGAAACCCCATCTCTACTCAAAATACAAAAATTAGGTGGGTGTGATAGCGGGTGCCTGTAATTCCAGCTCAAGAGGCTGAGGCAGGAGAATTGCTTGAACCCAGGAGGCAGAGATTGCAGTGAGCCGAGATCACACCACTGCACTCCAGCTTGGGCAAAGGGCAAGACTTCGTCTCAAAAAAAAAAAAGAAAAAGAAAGAAAAGTCTTAAGGTTTAATCTCTTCTGCTTTTTACAGATCTCAACATTACCCAAGTAACAAATCTGTTTAATTTGATATTTATATTTTCTGTGTAAATAAGTAAGAAGTGGTAAGAAAATGACTACACTAGTTTAGCTTTTTTAAGGAAAATTAGGAATAAAAAACCTAATGCTTTTATGCCCTCCTCAGGGGAAAAAAAAATGCATAACAAAGAGAAAGAGACTGAAATCTGGAAACACCATATCGAAGGAAGAGCCTCTGTAAATACAGAAGTTTGGTGGGTATTTTTCAAGCTGCTTAATACTGCTGACTGGGCATCTTTACATGACAAACACCAGATGGAAAAATCAGTCGAGAGTCACAAGCTGAGGATGATTTCATTATAAAATGATCATTTACTCATAATTATCCAGAAAAGTCCAAAACCCTTCAGTGCTTTTGTAATAACATTTGTGTTACCAAAATATAGCATGAGTGTACTTTTGCTAAAAGTTTACACTCTAATCTGCAGGAGAAACCTAATTATTCTAATATGACACATAAAATGTCTGTCTAATTTTAAAATTGAAATTCCGATTTCCAGTAAAACATTTCACCATCACACCATTTGCAGTTTTTCCTCCTAAACTGCTGTCTACAAAAATACTGTAATAACACAGCTTTTCTGATTAACCAAACAACCAATAATCAAGAAGACAGAGTGACTTACTTTCATCCTTATGTAAATAAAAAGCTTATTCTCATTCTCTAATAGCTGCACATAACAATAAAACGCTTTTAATAAGTTTTAAGAGACTTAGACCAAAAAATCAATTTAGCCAATGTCACTTCCATTGACCACACAGCGTGTCTAGGGCTGCATCATGACATGTTTGCATTGTTATTTGGTGGTAAACAAAATGAAAAGATCTGTCATTGGAATTTAAATAAGAGAGACTGGTTACATAAACTACAGCATTCTAAATTTCAGTACTGTACAGTCAACAGCTTGAAGCTCCCCCTGCCAGCTAAACACAGTTGAATTGTTTTTCCAGAGAGGAAAGATTAATAGCTACAAATCACAACCTTTGACTTTTGACATAAATTCTAAGTGAAATGCAATTGGAAAAGCTGGTGAAACCTTAAGTTATTGCTATAAAGGAGTATAATGACCGCATATCTACAATAACTAAATATATACACCCAATTTGGAGTCAGATTTTCTCTCCAGCTTACATTAGAGTATGTCTTATGAATGTACAAGTTTTAGGTTTGCATCCCCACTGTACTTCTGCAAAGGAAAGCCTCAAATTGCTGACTCCTTCAATAATGCAGATTGTTTACAAGTATGATATCCAAAGAAAATAAACCTGTATAAATATAAGGAATATATTTCCTTTGACATTTTAATTGCCTTTATTTAAAAGTCATTTTGTACATTACTTTGTGGTATTGCAATTCTGAGCCTTCTCGAGGAACAGAGAGGCTGATGATTTTCCCTAAACATTTTAGTTAAAATTGGAGAATTACCATAAAGTTGGGATATATGTGTGTTCTTTGAAAGAAAAATATGTAGCTTTTATTACTGACCATGACATTCAACAGTAACTTATTTATCATATTATCATTACTAAAATGAGAATGACTTTATAGCTTAATTATAAAATGATATAATGCATTATATCATTCATAATTCATTTATGATAATAATAAAATATCAGTTACAGGCAACTACCAAAAACAGGTCAAATCAGTAGCTTTTTAATTGTAATTCAACTATGCTTTCTATAAAGAAACAATTAAATTAATACCTGTGTACCAAATGAGTGTGCAATAAAGAGTTAATGGCCCATTTCACTGCAATGTAAAAATGGAATTCCAAATACTATTCAGTGGCACAGAAGCACCACACCAAGCTGCACTTTTCATATCCCTTTAGGAATAAGAGTTATCCTATTATAAATTCTGGAGGAAAAAGATCCCAGGATTACAGAACTGATAAGTAACAAGCCATGTACTGATGGGTCAGATAAAAAGCTTTCTGTAAAACAATAAAACACCCTTTTTCATAAATCTCATAATCCTGGATAGGCCTATGCAATGTGACATAGGCAGTATCACCAGTTTCCAAAAGAAAAGAGAAACACACACAGACACACACACACACACACACAGAGAGAGAGAGAGAGAGAGAGACAGAGACAGAGACAGAGCCCATTTTTATGATTCTGAGATTCTAATGCTGAAATATGACTCATGCTTCATATATCACATTCATTCAGTGGTGGTTACAGACATGCACTAGTCTTGAAATGAAAAAAAAAAATTCCTTAAAAGGGAATTTCTGTTTGTTAGCTCTCTCTTAAAATTCATCATTTTGTTTGTAAGAGCATTAAAATAACTTGTTATAATCCTCTAAGGAGAAAGAGGTAAATGCTCTGCTGTTGTTAATCTTAAATGTGTGTCATTAATATTTAGTTGTTTCCAGATGATGAGCTATTAGAAACCTGAACATTTGCATATCTCTTCTTGGCTTTCAATTCTAGATGGTGTGCTGAGAAAATGGGTTCGTTTCCTTTTCCTCCTGAGACCTAGATGAAAAATATGACACACGTATTTAATAGGCACAGAGGACGTAAGATGACTGGGTAGTTATCAACATCATAATAGATACTTCAATGAGGTTTTGGGAGATGGAAAGTGGACACAAGTGTGTGAATCAATGAGCACTGCAGAATTTGCTACAAATAGGCTGCTCTGGGAGATGAGATCAAGTCTTCTCCTCAGACACTAAAGTGGATTGGGCTCAGAGGAGAAGAGTGCATGGAGCAAGAGAGGGAGAAGTAGTCACAAGTGTGGATGGAGTGAGAGAGGGAGAAGTAGTCATAATGATGACTTAAGGATCAGTATTGGTGATGGTTGTGTCAGGCAGCACAGTCAGCCCCTATGCAAAGCCTAGGCAGTCCAGCATTTGTCTCTGTGGGGACAAAACAACAGGAATTATTTACCAAAGAACTTAAATGAACTATCTGGGGAGGAAACAGTCAGAAGACAAGTGTGGATATCAGACTTCTAAATACAATTCTGACCATTCTGACATTTGACATGTAGCCACACACCCAGCACCTTGTTGCTAATCCTGTAATAAAGTATGACAGTAGTCCTGCCCCTCTCATATGCACAAGGCTGACTGCCTATTCAAGGAAGGAGCACAAATAGAACTATTTGCAAATTTGCCAGAGAAACCCACATCTGCTGACCAACTCTGCATTCTTAACTATGAACAGGCAAATAAGGATCATCAGGTGTGTGAAAAAAGCAACAGCATGAAAAATGCCAAAATAAACAGAAACAATGACCGCAGAAGAAGGAAAGAGAGCAGGTACTTCTGTAAGCAAATAAAAAGGTATAAACAACAAAAGCCTCTCTTGTATAAACAGAAATCAGAGGTGATATTATGTCAATATAACAAAAACATGATGTTATATAAAAGAAAGAAAAAATCAGAGAGTGAAATTAGTATGCTTGGATAATTAAAGATGTAAATATGATATAAAGAGAAAAAAATCAGAGAGTGAAATTAGTATGCTTGGATAATTAGAGATGTAAATATGATATAAAGAGAAACAAGAGGGGAAACAAGAGGAGGAAGAAGTTTGTCCCAACATGTAGAACAGAAAGACAAAAAGTGTGAGAGAAAAAATATTAGTCAAGATGAAACAGTAACATTCTACTAAAAATATTTCTTAAAAAATAAAATTGAAAGCAAAGCTGGAAGGAAATTATCTAATTATCAGAAGAATAACAGGGGAGAACTTCACGGACTTAAGACAGGAGTCTAGGTCTAAAGATTCAACGAGTGCTCAATACCTAATGAAATATATATTTCTAAACTATTCTTGTGAAAATTTCAGAACACCAAGGATAGAGATACTGTAAACTTCTAAAGAAGTAAAACAGCTAACATACAAATAAAACTGAGACTAGCATAGGCATTCTCCCCAGAAATACCAGATTGTAGAATAAAACACTGCAGATAAAACAAAACAAAACAAAACAAAACAAAACAAAACAAAACAAAAAAAACACAGGATTTTTATTTCAAACTCCATGTCATGCCAAAATATCACTCAAATGTGCGGCCCAAATAAGGACATTTTCAAACAGACATGATCTTTTAAAATGTACCTTGTGCATATCATTTTCTAGAAAGTTCTTTGAATATGTGTTTCAAAAAAAAAATACCTGCAAAAGAAAAAGAGGCAAATATTGGATCTAAAGAAGGGTGGACATAGCCCAGGCAATCCTTAAAGGCAAGTGTGGGCTGATGGCTGTACATCAGGTTTAAAAATGTGCTGGTCAAAATTGAAGCACACAGGTAGAAGGACTAGAGGGGGAGGACTTCAGGTAGAAAGAGGGTGTTAGAGAGGTTGGAAATAGGACATAAGATAGCATGTATGAGAGGATGGAAGTCTTGAGATTTTGATGAATTCACAGAGAGAGTAGCATTAAAGTTTTCAAGAAAATAAAAAGATGCACAAAATAATATGCTCCAAATAAAAGATCAAACAAAATGCTTCTTAGCACTTGGATGAAGTATAAGAAATGAGAATCCAGTTGTCCTCAATCCTGGAAATGTTTTTCTTTAAGTGTCCCAGACATCATGACACCAGACTTTCAGGAAAGAAAATTTAATCCCATTTGCTGTGGCAGTGAACAATGTTTATAGGGTCACAACAATGCAAACACTGCAAATTGGTTTCCAACTTCAAAAATCAATCTACGGACAAAAGATGAAAAGAGTACCAGTTTGATAAGTTAAAATAAATCAAAAGAATAAAGGAAGAATGAGGCAGATGAAAGGTGGAGGGAAGGGTAGTGTGAAATACTGACTAGAGCTGACGGTTTATACATACCAGAGTATGCATCCTATTCAAAGTCATAAACATAATGTATGGAAAAACTGAAAGTAATGATAAAACTGTCAAATATTGAAAGGAGGGAGCAGGAGAGAAGATGATATAGAATGAAATAAACCATATATATACTTTTTCTTTCTTTCTTTTTTTTGAGACGGAGTCTCGCACTGTCACCTAGGCTGGAGTGCAATGGTGTGATCGCGGCCTACTGCAACCTCTGCCTCCCAGGCTCAAGTGATTCTCCTGCCTCAGCCTCCCGAGCAGCTGGGACTACAGGCGCCCACCACCATGCCCAGCTAATTTTTGTATTTTTAGTAGAGATGGGATTTCACCACGTTGGCCAGGCTGATCTCGAACTCCTAACCTCATGATCCGCCCAACGTGGCCTTCCAAAGTGCTGGGACTACAGGCGTGAGCCACCGCACGCAGCCATAAATCATAGATTTTTAAGAAAGTGAACAGACATTGTCTCCAGTTGGAAAATTAAGAAAAACAGATGTAAACATACCTAGAGTTAAAACGATAACCTACAGAAAAATGAAAACAGAAATGATTAGAGAAAATTTTTCCTGGAGATTGGGACTAGGAGCAGAAAATAATGAATTGGATGACTCTGCTTTTCATTAGAAGCCTTTTTGTACTATTTTCTTTGCTATAATGCACATATAACCTTGACAACATTTCAAAATAAAAATAAATTTAAATTCTTTTAGAACATTTCCACCCAGTTTTAAATGACTGAAATTTAAAAACCACATTTTTAATACTAAAAAATACTCTACCAATTTTAAAAATTTCTTTGTGAAACAACTTACTACTCTGAACTGTAACATATATACTATTTCCACTAGAAACTTATTTCAGAATGTGAAAGAGCATTTAGGAGCACCCAAATTAGCTATGAGTTCAACCTAATGTAATTTGTTTGAATGTTTGGGAGCATGATCAAAGCGATTCATTTTTTTTTTTTTTTCAGCATCTGCTTGCATACCTGTAACTTTTTCAGAAAACTCAATATTTTATTATTTGGAATTATTTCACTTGACAAATTTTGTTTCTAGATTAAGATAGAAGGCTGTAATGGTTCTCGGAGATTTGTGATGATTTCCAAGATCTCTAATGTGTGAATTAAAGAGGATTTGTGAGTCTAAACGTGGCCTAACAGGTTAAAAAACACACTCCTTTAAAAGCTGCTACATATGAAATTGAGTAAATATAAGCATTTTTCACATTGAGTATACCCCCTGTTACTTGGTTTTTGAATCAGTAATACAGTGTCAATAGAGCAAATATTATGCCATAAGTTTTGTTTTGCTTCGTTTTAAGAGACTGGGTCTCGCTCTGTCACCCATCCTGGAGTACATTGGTGCAAGTGTAGCTTACTGTAGCCTTGAACTCCTGGGCTCAAGCAATCCTCTGATCTCAACCTCTTGAGTATGTGGGACTATAGGCAAAGACTGCCACGCCTGGCTAACTTTTTTGTTGAGACGGGGTCTCACTATGTTGCTCAGGCTGGTCTTGAACTCCTGGCCTCAAGTGTTCCTCCTGCCTCAGCCTCCCAAAGTGCCAGTATTACAAGCATCAGCCACCATGCTTGGCACCATAGTTGTTCTTAGACAGTCAGCAAAGGTCAACCAGTGACCTATTGCATTGGCATACTATTAACTACTTCAGGCCAAGTAGCAATCTGAGCTGGATCCATATTAATGATTTCAAGAATCATACTAATTATGGCGTTTGGTGAAACTTACTGCTTTTGTATAGGATACAATGAGTGTTACCAATTCATCTCTAGTCTCTCCTGATTTCACCAATGGCTAGAAGAGAAATCTGGTTCGTGTATATGTTGAAAATTGGACCATACACACACACAATTAGGATCAATATATAATAGGACCATATGTTAAAAAAAAAGGAACATTGTATATTTTACATATATAATATATATGGACCTTTCTATGCTATATATATGGTTCTATTCTATATTTAATAGGAACCTATTAATCTGCTGCAATCTTATATATCAAATCTATATATGTAAGTCTTGTAAACTTATGAAGTAGATTCTAGCTACTAAAATCTAGTGTTCTCCAGTGCTGAGCTGTTCAGTGCAATTTTGTAATACTTGAAGAATAATTTAGAAAAGTTATAATCCAATGGTATATTTACAGAAGTAGAAACATTTAAAAAGGTGAATTTACCTGCCTCCTGTGAAATTAAATTGTTTTGGATAATTCCATAATTGAGCTGATAGGAAGATGTCAGTGGACTATTTCAAACATGACGGATTTTCACGTATGGAGTCTTTTTTATTGGAATCCAGATGCAATACTATACAAATAAAAGGCATATTTTATAACTGAAATTTCAGTTTAGAAATCCAGAGATGCCTTTATTTGCTGATGTAGTCCTCATATTAAATAGAAGGAATTTCCAGTATATACTTGCCACTTACAGTTTTTGGTAGTCTGTCATCAAGGACTGGGGCCTCTGAACCAGGGTTACAAAAATGGTTAACAGTTAACAGCCTTCCATTTGTCAAAGATGGTACTATGCATTTTGCATGCTTTATTTCATTTAAACCTCACTGCAAACGCCTGAGGTTTGTATGGTTTGAATATTTCTCACAGAAGGAAAATGAGTCAGAAGCTTGTAAGTGACTTACCCGAGGACATACACAACTAATAAGTGTCTGAAACAGAATTTGAACTGAAGCCTCCCGGCTAGAGTACACAGTATCTCCTTCTTATGCTATCTCTACTGCCAAATATACCAAATCCAGAATTTTATCACTAAAGATATTTTTTAAAAATTTTTACTCATATAATTAGAAAATGTTTTTCATGCGTCTGACATAAAAATACTGAATAAATGTTATGTTTTTGCTACAAAAAAGTATAGACTCTGGTGGTATTCATTTCCTTTGCTTGAAAAATCTTTCTTACCATATTCATATGATATACTTCATTCAAATCTCCTAAATGTTACCATATCAGAGAGGCCTTCATAAAAATAAGCATATAAAATTTACTCTTCTGGTTGGGCATGGTGGCTTCTGCCTGTAATCCTAGCATTTTGGGAGACTGAGGCCAGAGGATTGCTTGAGCCTAGGAGTTTGAGACCAGCTTGGGTGACATAGTGAAACCCTGTTTCTAAATAAGGAGAAAAGAAAGAAGGGAAGGAAGGGGAAGGGAAGGAAGGGGAAGGGAAGGAAGGGGAAGGGAAGGAAGGGGAAGGGAAGGAAGGGGAAGGGGAAGGGAAGGGGGAGGGGAGGGGAGGGGAGGGGGAGGGGAAGGAAAGGGGAAGGGGAGGGGAGGGGAGGGGAGGAGAAGGAAGGGAAGGGAAGGGTAGGGAAGGGAAGGGAAGGGGAGGGGAGGGAAAGGAGAAAGAGAAAATGCTATCCTTCTGCTTCTAGCTCTTTTGAAGTAGTTTTTTGTTTGTTTGTTTTGTTTTTACCAGAGTGTAAACTCCATGAGGAAAAGCAATGCATCTGTTTTGTTCATCGATAGATTGTGAGCACATGGGGCTGTCACTGCCTAACATGTAGCTCGTGCTTAATAAATGTTTCTTGAGTGAATAAAGAATTTTAAGTCTTACTTTACCACTTGGGTAGAAAATAATTGTTTTGCAGTTGAATAAGCATGGTCAGCAGCTATAAACCAAACCAGACATTGATTCCATGTGGAAATGCTTGGGAGAAAGAGGAATGGTCAGCAGGATGTATCACATCTCTTGGAAAGAAACACCCAAAGACTAACTCCAACAAAAGAATACAACAGGAGTGTCAGGAGCATCATTATTGCAATAAAGGCAGAACACTTATTCTAAATCCATGTCTATCTCTGTGCATTCTGGATATGATAACCAGCAACTTGATTTTTACATATTATGTCTATGTAAAAATAAATTTTAGTTCTTTATAATACTAGGGGAAAGATTTAGCTCACTATCAGCCTAATATTAAATCCATGTCAGTTCCCTTCCTGTTTCTCACATTTTTCTTAGAGTTTATTATATTTTACATTTAATATTGAAGATTTCATAGAATATGCTTCTATACATGAAATTGTATTCCATGCAATTCTTCTTTGCACTGAAATGTTTTCAATGTTTAAAATATAGGAAATACATTGAAAGCCTATGAAAACAGTATTAGCATGCAAGATAAGGTCACTGGGGCTGTGGCTTCTCATTTTTTCTGATGTATTCTATAACAGTGGTGCATGGAGGACATAATTTCACACACAGCATAAAGTAAAAGAGTGAAAAGAAGCCCTGCTTTATAGTAGGACTTTAAGTAATATAAATGTAACTAAGATTTCTGTTTTATCCCATTGGGCCAATTTGATCAACTGGTGAAATTTACTATCTGATTAGACAGCTAAGAAAGAATGATTATTATTATTAACAGTAAGGAGAGAGTTTCAGAGCAACTGAACAAAATGAAACACACTTTAAATTAATTTGATGTTTCTCTAGAGTCTGGAAAAGTAAAGGATGTATATTTAAGCAGTCTAACAGCTGAGAAAAAACACCACAACCTTTCTCAGTCAATTGCATTACCAAGCAGAATATATTTGTAAATATCTTTTAAGACACTAAAATATGCTACTTAAATTAAAATTACAGTGTTACCATAATTCATAGCTTATAGTAAAACAACTAAAGGTAAATTACTGATGTCTACAGGAATCAAGACGAAGAAGCATGGTAAGATTCTTAAGAAAAGGTGTTTTGTCCTCTAGAAAGCTGTAGTTCCCATGCTAGGGCTGGAAAAAGGTAGATGGGCAGTAAATCTACATTGTGTGAATGAGTGTTAGATGGCTCATCTGTAATTACAAAGTGGCACTGCACAGTTAGCCTATCCTGGTTCAACTCCTGAATGAAGGATTTACTATTAACTGTGTGACTGGGGAAACAAAGTTTACATTTCTGGGTCTCAGTTTTTTCATATGCAAAGAAAAGAGAATGTAATAATTCCTACCTCCTAGGGTTGCTGGGAGAATTACATAACCAAATCCATGAGAAGTTGTAGATCTCTACCTGGCACAGAGTAAGCACTCAATAAATGTTAAATTCTAATTTTATGTATACCCAAGGCCAAATATTCTCAACCCAATATGCACTAAAATGTGTACTCCATCTTTGTGTGGGTTTTTTTGTTTGTGTTTATTTATTTATTTATTATTTTATTTTATTTTTAGTGATAGTGGCTAATGAATTTGTTTTGCTTTGGTCCCAAAAACTTTGTCCTAATATGTAGAGAAAAATGCTTAGAAATTCCAAAAGTATGCCATGCCTATATATTATCCACATATTTGTCTGTCCAGGCATTCTTTTTCAGCAAAATTTTCAAGAACTGACACAAATGACTACTTTTATTGATGCTGGATACCTTGGTGCCCCAGTGTTACACAGAGAGTGACATATTCAAAATTCTAGAGAAATGGCAAATTTCAACTTTACACACTGTTGGTAAATGTCCATCTATAAGATATAATTAAGTAGGGTATAACTAATACTTACATAGAGATACCATTTTATTGCTGAACTTTTCTATTCTCAATTAACATTGCTATTCTTATGTTTTTATTTTCTTTCTTTCTTTATTACATTATTTTTTCCACAAATATTAACTGAGTACATGTATTATCCTATCAACCCACTAATTAAAACACTTCAATTCCTTCCCATTGCTCTGAAGATATAAACTAAATACTTAATTTACTCTATAAGACCCTGCAGAATCTGTACCCTACAAATCACTCTGGCTTCTTTTAGAAACATGGTTTCCATTGCCTCCTTCTTTCAGCCCCTGGTCCCCCTTCAGTTCCTCCAATGTGCTATGTTCTTTTCTGTTATAAGATTCTTGAAGTGCTCTTTTTCTCCTCTGATTACTCTCACAGCCCCTTTCTTTTTCTTCTACAAGAAGGTATGTCCCATAAAATAAAATAGGTAGTGGCAACACTGTACCTCTCTCTCTTTTCTCTCCCTCTCTCTCTAAATATATAGATAGATGATAGATAGATAGATAGATAGATAGATAGATAGATAGATAGATAGATGATAGATTGATAGATAGATGATAGATAGATAGATAGATGTGTGTGTATGTACGTGTATATATATATAGACTTGTGTATATATAGATATATGTGATGTTTGATGAAGCAGAGATGAATAATAGCTTATGAGCCCCACTCAAAATTTCAGGTCCACGAACAAAATAAATTATTATTGTAGTTTTTAGGCATTAGGTATGAAAGTAGTTTGTTAAGTACCAATAGATAAACAAAACACCTTGCACCCATGTGGATTAACATCACTAGAAAAAAGCCACACAGCCATGCAGACTAGTTTTGATTTAAATTCCAGTCTACTGGAATACATGCATTTGTCTACTTGACATCTTCACTTTGACGCCAAATATGCAGTTAAAACTTAACATGTCCAGTTCAAATTCTTAATGCTATTCCTCTGAAAAGCTGCTCCTTGAGATTTTCCCATCTCAGTCGATTATAAATCCTCTTCCCAGTTGCTCAGGCCTAACAAGATTGTGGTCATCTTTGACTTCACTCTAATGTTCAACAATAAATCCAGCAGCAAATCCTGTTGGCTCGTGCATAATAATATATCCAGAATTTCACCATGTCTCTCTATGGCCAAAGCTACCAACATCTTCATCTCCACATTGATCTCTGTGTTTCCTAAAGTCTTGGGGTGCTTGGTGAGGGGTGGTGGGGAGGGAAGGTTGTGCTCAACACAACAGGCAATGTTATCATTATACAACTGTGAAGTCATATCACATCATCAGATCACTCCTCTTTCCAGCACCCTCCGGTGGCGTCCTAATTGACTCAGTAAAAGCCAAAGTCCTTAAATGTCCAAATAGCCCGTGTGATCCAGGTCTTTTATGTCTGACTCATCTCCGACCCAAGTTTCCCTCCACTCACTCACTTCTAGCCATACTGGCTTCCTTGCTTTTCCTTGAATTTACCTGCCTAGTTCTAGCTCTTGGGCTTCTTGGTGCTGTTTTCTATTCTACCTGGAATCTTTTACTTGCTGTTGGCTTCCTTGCCTCCATCAGGTCTGTGTTCAAATGTAAAATTCTGATCATCTTATTTAAAATTGGAACACTTACAGCCCATCTCTATCTAGCAACCTGCATAGGTTTGTTTTTCTCTATAACCTTTATCCCATCTGGTATTAAATATTTAATTTTATTCTTCACTTTCCCAAACCCTTAGAACACCGGCATCATGGCTTCTTCAGTCTGTTTTGTTTACTGCAACATCCCATCCCGCAGAGAAGTGGAGACGCCTACAGTATTTGCCTGATGAACAACAGTACATGTGTCAGTCTTGCCTTCTTCCTGATTAAAACCCAAGCTCCTCAAAGATTGGTCCGATGCCATGTGCTTCACAAATACCCTCATGATATCTAGCACATATTTGAGGATAGGGAAGTTTTATACACACTTTCAATGCTTGCAATTAAATAAAAGGATTCTCAGGAATTTAGTAGCAACCATAGGACTCTACTGATAGTCTTAAAAATATTTCTTCCTACATCAGTGCTCATTTACAAGAAAAATTATATTATAGAATTGTAATTTAATTATATTATAGAAATAGTTTCTTGCAGAAAGTTGGTCTAAAGTCACACAGGAAACGGCAGTTAATAATACTTGCTAACATTTAAACCATAAATCAAAAATACATATTTGTTATTATGTATTATTATATTTCGTTTTGCAGCAATGTTCTTCAGAACCACCTTTGGATGGTTAATTTTATGTATCAGCTTGACCGGGCAAGGGATACACAGATAACTGGTAAAATATTATTTCTGGATATGTCTGTGAGGGCATTTCCAGATGAGATGAACATTTGAATTGGTCGATTACAAGCTTAGGATATCTCCAAAATTAGTGATCTTCAATGTCAGATGATGTTGCTTCTCTAATATTAAACACATGTACAACACATCTCACACACATATGCACACATATGAATACCATTCTAGGAGTAAGTAAAAGAGATACTTACGTATTTTTTCTAACTGAATTATTGGCATATTAGGAATGTCAGAAATGGTACGACACAGCACAAATACGTCCTGTACATTGCAGAACTTTCTATTCATGGTTCTCATTCACTATGTGATGCAGCATCCCCTTCAGTCATCATAAGATCCAAAAGCCCCTCACACTTACAAATGCCTCTGGGATGGAGAATGCAGTGCAGCACCAAGCTTAAAATTAGCCCCATTCCTTAAGTTCTTATCAATAATCTTCCCAAGTAAAATTTACAGGTCAGCTGGGCGCGGTGGCTCACGCCTGTAATCCTAGCACTTTGGGAGGCCGAGGTGGGCAGATTACTTGAGGTCAGGAGTTCAAGACCAGCCTGGCCAACATGGTGAAACCCCGTCTCTATTAAAAATACAAAAAATTAGCTGGGTGCTGTGGCATGCACCTGTAATCCCAGTTACTTGGGAGGCTGAGGTAGGAGAATCTGTTGAACCCGGGAGGTGGAGGTTGTGGGGAGCTGAGATCCCACCACTGCACTCCAGCCTGGGCTACAGAGCGAGACTTCGTCTCAAAACAAACAAACAAACAAAACCTTATAGGTCAATGTGAGTCTATCTTAATTAAAAATTATATACATAAAAAAATTGTCTAGCTTTCCATATGGATGCCACTCAATGTTAAATAATCTTCCTGGTTAAGAGTCTCCTATATTTCTTTATTGAGTTATCCCATTCAGCTAATTGTATTTCTTTTTCCTCTATTTGTATTGAGATGTTAAAATATAAGGTGAGTATTACCCTGGCATGAATTTCATACTCATAGCACATTATCTAATCTGCATGTCTACTATAAACCCATATTTCATATGAAAACCTTCTATAATTTGTCATACTTCTCTCAAAAAAAAAGTTGATGAAAATAAGGAATAGAATTGTATTTGCAACCAAGCATCCATTCAATTAGGTGAGTGGAGTCTGGAAAGAAATAGAGTTTCTTTCACAAACACCTCAAACAGTGCTTAAAACAGATTGGGCTGACAATTCTCACAACCTTAGTGTCTCCTCCAAGATTTACAATGGCATACCTCCCCTTTTTAGCAAATTAAACCTTATGTCAAGGCTTAAAATTAAATCCAAACCCCTTCTTCTTTCTCTGCAGAAGGAACAAATTGGCCCCACATGCCAGTAGTCGAGGAGTGCTGATAGAAAACAGAGTGAAGTGAGAGCTCCCCAACCTGGAAGGCGTCACGTGGCCTAATCACCCGGGATAAACAGTCAATTCTACTTAAAGTTTTACATAAAAAGACTGGTAAAATACAGAGGATTTAAATATAAGAAGTTTTTTATACCACATAAAACTGACTGGATGCCAAAATTTTACATTTCTGTGCTGTGCAAGCACTTTATGGGGAATGTGCTTTTTATTCCACTTTTACATGTTTGTTATGAGTCTGTTTTGCAAAGATTGCTCCGAGCCTAGGTAATAAAAATAAAAAATGCACACAAATGGTCATGATTAACGCATAGAGCAATCTATGCTTTTATACATATGAAATGCATATCTGTTTCTAGATATTTCAATATAGCAAAATATGTGTAAGTTGCTCTAGTTTTCACAAATTCATTGTAACAGCAGATCTTGCTGTGGAATTATTCTAAAAGTCCTAGAACACAAAGTTCTTAGTTTTTTAGACTTATTTTGCCAGGAAAATATTCCGAGTCTGTTTCTTATATGTTACTTGGCATTAGTCTATATTGAGAATTGACAGGAATTTCTTCTCCATAGGAATCTGAGAATGTGGCATGCATATAAAAAAATCTCTAAATGTATCATTAGATTATCATCTTAAAATGAAATGTAGTATATTGATCACTACACATATCACACTAATTTACCAAATTAGTGTGAAGCTTTCCAATGACAGTGGAACAAAATCTGGTTTTAAACACTGTAACCAGTGAGAAATGTGGTGGATGTCCTGATGAGCCATCACTTTTTAAGGGAGTTTTATTTCCAGGATGCATTTCTAGATGTGAGTGTGTGTTTCTTTACTGTTAAGATAGTAGGGAGAGATATGCAAGCTCTTCATGGAAAACCTGAGGTATAGAAAATTAAAGTATAAAACAGCTGTATGCTATATTGTTTTCGAGGTTGAGCACTGCACAATTCTAAAAGACTGTCATTAATATGTGTGGTCATGATAGACTTTTATTTTTATTAAGGTCTTGTGGAAAATCTGCTCTTTTTCTTGTGCACATAGGTACCACCTGGGCTAGAGAAGACAGGTATTTTGCAAGCAAGAGAGACAACTATCTTTATAATCACTGAATGGCTGGGGCATAGATGAAACTAGAGAATGAAAATACTTCCTGTTTTTTGTTTGCATTCATACAGAATGTTTTAAATAATCTGAGAAGGTATTTTCTATTAATTCTCTCAATGGCATTTTGGGATTTTGAGGTAAATTTTTAGAAACTAGTATCTAAATGTGAGAGTTTATGAAAGAAGAAATAAAAAAAGATAGAGGCTTTCAGTGTATTATTACAATAAGTTCTTATCCTGTCTCTTAGTTCTTTCCGATTCTTCTGGCTTTCATTTGTAATTAAATCCCTGGTTTAGTTTATCTTAGCTCCATAATGGGCAGCATATTAGAAAGTATATGGTAGTTGCCAATTTATTTTGCAGCGATTTGGGTTTAGAGTTACATATGGATTAGTATGAAATGATTGATCTCTTTGTCTTATAATATATACTGTCTAAATTCAACTTCAGTTTCACAAACTCTTAGATGAAAAACAATATCAGGTTTATTTTACTATGGAAATTTCATGTTTAATAGGTAAACTAGTAAGATGTTTGAAGAAAGTGAAGAAACTTGATTCATCCCACAATACGCAATTTTTTTGTAGCTGCATGCACATATGCCTCTTTAGGACTAGTAAGTCAATTCAATGATGATCTATTTGTTGTGATCCAGTTCTATATAAGTCATCCTGTGAGGCTGCATCAGTTTCTGAATTGTCCCTGAACAAGTGACCCTGCAATTTCTTCCAGTCATTGCAGAGAATCCTGTGATTAAAACTGTCAGGAGTTCTGTGAATGATTATTTTCCATGGCTCCACAGCCTTGCACCCACTAAAAGCCAATTTTTAAAAAAATATTGGATCAGTTATTTTACGTATGAATCACAACTGCCTTAGAGGATCTATTTCAGTTTTGCCTATAAGTTGAAATGTGAGTAAAGTAAACCTTTTGCCCCAGCTTCTTCTTTATATTTAGACCAGATACATTCCTGTAAGATCCTCCTCCCTTAGGAAAAAGGTAAACAGAAGAATCATATACTACAGAATGCACTTTTTTCCAATTAATTGGTGGTAAAATGGAAGAAGATGTGTCTCCTAGCACTACTTAGGACAGGACATCAAGATAAAACCAGAAAATGTGAAGTTACGAATGAGACACACTGTCTGCAGTTTCAGCTGGTTTTCCTCTGGCTGTTTCTCCAAAACATAAAATTTCTATGTCCCACCAATACGGTGCATTGGCAGAGACATTACTGTTTCAATAAATCTTAATTTTGGAACAGATTCCCATTTGACATCTGAATCATTTCAGTTCATTTTAGTTCCATCACCTTTTGCTTCCTGCAAACCAGACACGGGTCCTTTAAATTTTTACTATTGCCAAAAGTCTGTTACTTCAAACTAGACATCGTCTGCCTGTTTTCAAAGGGCAGTGAGTGACTGCCTACTTGGGCTTCATGGCTCTGGGAAGAATTCCTCTGAGAATGGAAAATTCATTTGGGTTTGCATCCATTGTTTGGATTTCATAAAAGGAAATGAATTTTAGGATGATCACACACACACACACACACACACACACACAGTCTTACGCTGTAAGGCCTCAGGAATTAAAATATACGTTGAATGTAAAAATTGGACCATATTTCTGAAGTGAGGAATATACGTGAATGTAATTTGCATAGATTTTTTCTAAGACTAGTTGGTTCTAGAAGAAACTGCAAACTGTATTATTATCCATCACCTTGTGAAGCTGCATTTATATTTAACAAGTTTTTTAAAAATTTTCCAAGATTTGTTTTCTTGTACCTAGCAGCAAAACTAGTGTCAACAGAATACTAAGTAGAAATACAATTTATGAATTCCCAGGGTTAGCGATAGGATGTATGTGAGATAAGAGTCTCTATGAGTTTATTTTAGATATAATTTTATCAAAAATATTTTTATATTTACATGTCTGTTATAACTGCAAGTTTAATCCTCAACTTACAAAATGCCTTTATGATATGTAATATTCAATAATATTGCTTTATTAATTATAACAATTTTTATATATATTATATATATATATTTTTTTGAGACGTAGTCTCGCTCTGTCACTCAGGCTGGAGTGCAGTGGTGCCATCAAGGCTCACTGCAAGCTCCGCCTCCCAGGTTCACGCAATTCTCCTGCCTCAGCCTCCAGAGTAGCTAGGACTACAGGCGCCTGCCACCACTCCCGGCTAATTTTTTGTGTTTTTAGTAGAGGTGGGGTTTCACCATGTTAGCCAGGATGGTCTCGATCTCCTGACCTTGTGATCCACCCACCTCGGCCTCCGAAAGTGCTGGGATTAGAGGCGTGAGCCACCACACCCGGCAAAAATAATATATTTTTTAATGTTCTACTTGAAATAAATGTTTCATTTTACAGATGAAAAAATACAAATCAATATAATGTATTGACCAGAACAATAGATTTTTAAGTAGAATAGATTTTTAAGTATAATTTTTAAGTACAATATATTTTTAAGTACAACCAAATTTCTCATGAGTCAAAAAACTTCAGTTGTCAAATTTTTATAGTTCTCAATTCTTCTCTCATTCTTTCTCTTTTCCTCCCCTCAGTCCCCACCCCCCATTCTCCTCTCTCTTTTTTCTGTTATTTCTATAACTGCACTTGAAAGTGACTGCTATGGGAAAACATCTTGGGCAAATGCAAAGAAGATAGATCCTATTTTCCAGTTCCTCCCCATTTGCCATTACTTTTATCCATGCATTCCCCAGCCTGCCTACCATTATTTGCAATGTCAAATTAAAACAGTTGCCACTTGGAAAGACAATTTTATTGTTTTGAATGAGTTGTCAAAACATTTCTGTAAATAGAACAGATTATATTTTAAATAAGTTCTGCCAGAATCCAAGTGACTGCTTTAAAAGCTACACTTCCAGGCAGACCAATACATTACTATTTAGTTAATCTCCATATCATGGACCTAATCTAATATCTGGAGAAGGCTGCTTTGTTTTCAATGCCACCACAAACAACTGACTTTCTCAATTTGGCAAATTAAAACAAACAAACAAACATTGACTGTCATGAAGTGAAAACAATATTCTTGAGGAAATGCAATTTAAATAGCCAGTTGTAATGACCATGATAAACATAATAAAACTATTTTGGCAAATGAGATGTTTGAATATCTTTGAAGATCTGCAAATATTTAAGCAAAATAAGTTATAATAAGATTCTGAAATCAAATTATTTTTTATAAGTACTGTTTTGATCAGGGTCCTTGTGGGGAATGGATGGGAACATTTGAGAAAAGTATAATGAATGAACTACTTTCAAAGATATAGGCAATGTGTAACACAACTATCAGCAGAAACCTGGGGCTGATAGGAATGAGATGACAACAGCATTAGGCCTGAATGGTGAAGGGGAAGGGGGACGCTAGAACCCAGAGCCACAGAACACAGAGTGCCAGGTGGAGAGGGCGCCTGCCAAGAGCTGCTGACCTCAGATCCTGGAACTCTGCCAGCTGAGGAGATGACCCCAGGGCTCAGGTGCCAGGGCCGTACATTCCCTGAGTGAACTCTCCTCCTCTAGTCTCCTGCCAGTTCTCTCCACCAACTACCCCACCTTAAGCCAGAGGTCAGTGGACCTGATGAAGTGTGATGAATGATTCTGTATGAATCATTGTGCTGGACCTTAGAGCAGAGGGAAGAAGAGCTTGGATCACGAGAAGCAAAGAAGACATAAAAAGCTGATTAAATGCACAAATATTTATATTTTTGGATATATTAGGATCACTGATGGGATTGTTTCTTTTGGTGTCTATATTTGAGGTTGATATAAAGACTTACTTTTACATAAAGCTTGCTACATACTCTCCTAAGAACTTTATATCTATTAACCCGTGAAATCTATCCCAGTGATCTTGTTTTATTATCCTCATTTCACAGACGAAGAAACTGAGGAACTAGGTGGTCAAGTTAGATTTCACAGCTAGGCTGTCTAGCCAGAATTCATACAGTCCCTGCTGTGTAATTGTAGCAAAGTCCTTTTGATTATTTCAGAAATCTGAGGGGACCTGACAGCTCAAAATACTATCTGCATTTTTATTTACTATTAGAAATACTTCTGTATATTAAAACAATATTACAATACATAAAAGGCAATATATGTTTATTCAACCAAAGTTATTGATTATCTTTTATGTACCATATTTTCCACTAGCTAATTAAAAAACTGAACACATATAGAGTTCAAAGGCTTACTTATGGGGAAGATGGCAAGTTTTATTTATGGGGTATATAAAATCATTGCATGAGACATATACTAACAAATTATTCATTGTTTATTAGAAATTCAAATTTACCCACATCACCTTTATTTTTATCTGCTAAATCTGGCAACCCTGGAATAAACAGATGTGTGACCCTTGGAGAATGTGTGGAAAGACATTCCAAACGGAATGAATGAGAGAAAACCCTCGTGCATAAAAGTGTAGGTATATATTGAAATGCTTATTTGGAGAAGAGAGAAGCACGAGGTGATTTCATAGTGTCCAGAAGAAGGCAGATCAGAAAAATTTTACTGAAAACACAGATTGAGGTTAGATGATTAAAGACCATTTAGTCTGTCAAGAAGAAATGATCTGAATCACGGAGAGATTTTAAGTAGGGACAGGATGTGATCATATTTGCATTTTAAAACCATAACTTAGATGGCAATGTGAAGGATTAACCAAAGTAGAAAGGGGAGACATTGGAGAAAGCTCTTGGAATCCTCCAGAAAAGCCTGTAGTAGAATGAAAAGAGATTAATTATTTATATTAAATATGACAAAAGTTTTTCTTTTTTTCTTTTAACATTTTTGCCCATTTCCAGCCAAACTTTGGACCACCTACTGCCTCATAAGGTTGCTGTTGTTGTTGTTGTTTTTAAATCTCCACAAGTCTTACAAAGTGTGGAAACTGGCCTGTGGACAGTGACCCCTGACCCTTCTTGGATCTATGAAGAAAATGATAAATTGTCATTTGATGAATGCACTTGGCCCTGGCAGTTGGTGAGTGCTGTGTATTTGTGAGACTATCCAGGGGCTATCACAGCGAAATGGATGTCTAAAACAAATGATTAAATGTGTTAGCATAGTTTCATCTCTGCAATATTTTAAGTTAAATTTTCAAGATCACTTATTATAAGTGTACTCTCTAAAGGTAGTTTCATCCTAGTTAAGTATACCAAAATTGAATTTCTGTTATTTCCACCAAGTACCTTCTTGAATAGTCTCAAAATAAGCAGTTATTCTTTTTTTTTTTTTTTTTTTTTTTTTCAGACGGAGTCTCACTCTGTCGCCCAGGCTGGAGTGCAGTGGCGTGATCTCCATGATCTCTGCTCACTGCAAGCTCCGCCTCCCGGGTTCATGCCATTCTCCTGCCTCAGCCTCCCGAGTAGCTGGGACTACAGGCGCCCACCACCACGCCAAGCTAATTTTTTGTATTTTTAGTAGAGATGGGGTTTCACCATGTTAGCCAGGATGGTCTCGATCTCCTGACCTCTTGATCTGCCCGCCTCGGCCTCCCAAAGTGCTGAGATTACAGGCGTGAGCCACCGTGCCCAGTGCAGTTATTCTTAATTATAAAATTGATCATAGCAACAATATTTTTAAAAATAAATTTCTCGTATGAAATGGAGGCAATATTCTGTACTTTCCTTTTCAATGAAATAATCATTCATGCAAAACATATGTTCTTCTTATCTTACCCATACAATTCCTGAAAATTCACAATTTGATGCTAAATGCAATGGTTACAAAAACACCTTAATAAATTTGTGTCACATAATATTAACTCCTAAAGTTGCTCTTTTTAAAAGATGCTTTTTAAAAAAAAAAAATAGCAGAAATTATTTAAAGTCTCGATTTTTTCACACCGCAACACAGTATGACTTGAACAAGAAAAACCAATATATCAAAAGTGCCTAATAATAGTAATAAAAACACCCATTGTATTCAATCTATAGTGTAAGAGAGCATCTTATGTACTGAGAGAGCATAGAAACAGCGAGGGTCTATATCTTATTAATATAAAAGAATAGCTGAGTTTTACCCTCATACAGTTGAAATCATTCTGGATTGACTGGAAGTAAAGTTTACCTTATTGAATACATGAATGTTTCTTATAAGGAAAAAATAAATCAAGAGCCCACTATTTAAAAGCCTTTCCATTCATTAAAACAAACAAACCAAATACGAACATATTTGATATGATTCCATAAAGAATGAGACTTTGCTCTAGTTTGTCATGCAGCCATTTCTGTATGTGACCCATACGGACACTAAGAATGGATTCTATACTAACTACTGGTGCTTACTTTCCTTTAACGGTAATTGTCTTAATGCCTGTTTTAATCAGTATTAACTACTAGCAATAACATGCTTTTAATTATGTTTCAAGCGAGTCCTTTATTGGGCTGTTTTGGGAAGCAAATTAGTCAAAAGGAGCTGTTAATCAAAAACGTGTTACTGGCACAAAATAATTGTCCATTTAAGGAGCCATTTGAAATAAACCTGGCTCATTGCCTCTGACAACCTGCAAGGACACCAGGGCCTCCGGAGGATAACTTCTTCAGTACTCACCTCGATACGCCTTGCTGCTCAGAAGTTATAAGGAGAAACATTAAGCAGTTTAGGTCATTCATCAGCGAACTTTTACTACTGTACTCAAGAAAATGAGCCTCCTAGGAACTTCACAGCAGATCTATCCCTTCATTAGCCAAGCAATATTGAGAGAGATGTTCCTGTCACTTCCAATGGAGAAATCTATTGCACTGAATTTTAGTGGTATCCCTTTTGTCTATGAGCTGTCTTTGCAAATTCCAAGGTATTTATTTTCTGTTACTCTGTAGCCTTAGGATTGGGCTTTTTCACTATTACCCTCTATTAGCAAGCTGTAAATTGAAATACAGATCTGGGAAAATATCTCAGAGAAATTGAATGGATGAATTAATTCTTAAATTTTGAAATTAAGCTACATAAAGAATATTCCACCACATTTTGATTAAAACATTAATTTTAAAGTCTATGTATATTTATTTGTTGGCCAATCTACTTGTCCTTAAGGTTTTGGGTTACATTTTACTATTCTTCTCTACCCTCCATGTTTGAAGGTTAATTTTCCCCCTGTATCATAAAATATTTTTGGCAATCCAATCTCCAAAGTGGAAATACTCCTTTTGAAAAGATTATTATGTATGTGGCCACTATATTGTTCCTTATATGGCCAGTCAATTCACAACAGCGTCTGGTACGCAACGAATAAGTAGTTAATGTTTGCTGAATGTTTGTTCAACATGTACATATATGGAGCACCGACTATGTGTCCCATTAAGAAAGGCATGCGGGATACATAGGGAAGAAGACAGGGCAGCAATCCTCACTGACCCGTACAGTCTGGTATAGGGTTTCAGAAGTTTCCTACTTTCTCAACAATGACAGTAATCCAATATAGCATTAAGAAAGTTCCACAGGCTGTCTGAGGGTGTCACCATCTGTGGTATCTATTTGCCACTTTCTGACTTTCTGGAAAGTGTTGCCATATTCGTAGACTTCCCACCATGGACTTTTTGTTTCTTTTTAAATTGTTGTTTCGTGTTTCTTTTAGTTTTCTCTGTTTTGACTTTTGATATGTGCATAAAAAGAGTCAAACAGGAACAAGTATCCCCATAGACACCCAAGTGTGGTCCATTTTGAGGACTGGAAACAAATGTGAGAATCCCAATGTAGTTCCCAGTAGGAAAATGGAAAGGACAGGGCTGGTCTCGTTCTCTATTTCCTTATTCAGGAGGTGGCAGGAGCCTACAGTAAGGATACTCCAAAATAATGCCAGGACATAAGATGTAGTGTGATCAGGAGACAGAGCCTGAGAGGCTAAAACCCCCAGTAAGATGTAGAGGAAAAAAAAAAATCAGGAAATTTACTCTGAAGGAAGAAAGAACACTGAAGCCAAAACATCCTGGGTTTGGTTTGGCCAGCCCCAGAAATATCTGGCACAGAAAGAGAGAATCACTAACAGCATGTCCAGAGTACAGTACAGCTGTAAAGAATGCAGCTTTTCACTTTGACTCTCAGACACCAGAAGCTGCAGTCTTGGTGAAAGCAGGATGAGGAAGGTGGGTTTTGGGGGGTGAAGGAGGGTGAGAGGTGCTCAGGAAACATGGATGCAGTTTTGTTCCCATAAAGATTAGAAGTGAGAGAGAGCTTTGAGGCATCTTGCTTGAGTTTATTATTACCATACACCCTGACTTTTCCCAGAAAAAAATAATGACTCACATTAATTCACCTCACATTAATTGGTGAAAAGTGCTTTATAAACATTATCTCATTTAATTTTCTCTCTAGGTAGCTCTTATTTTTGTCCTCAATTACAAATGATGAGATTGGTAATTTAAAAGATTAAGTAATTTCTCAATCACACCTCAGAGATAGGACTTGAACCCAGGTCTCAAACCCAACCTCATAGCTTGGAGAACAACCAAGGAAAGACACAGATTTGCATGACTATGACATGAACTAGAAATGAGCATTTATTGTATTACTCTAGTGAGCTATTGCAGTTGCTATCTCTAAAACACAGCTTTATCTTATCCTGAATAATATAGGAACTTCTCCAGCGTCACATACACAATAATCTCCAAATAGTTGTGAGTTAGATGGGTGAATGGATAAGAGATTAAATAAATTTAAGCAGTTACCAGGAGTTAAACTTTTTATTTATCTAACATACCAGTTAAATATAATTAACCCTGGCTGCTGGTGGGGAGTGTGGCTCTCAGACTGGTCCAGACTGTATAATAAAGCTCATTCCTGCTGTCCTGGCTATATATCAATTTCTGCTGCTGTCTTATATCTATAAATTATTTTTCTTATAAAAATTCAGTGATGAAAATTTTATTATCCTATTTGTTTGTTTTGTTTTTACTGGTGAGGAAACTAAGGCTTAGGTATGGTAAGTAATTTATAAAAGGTCACATAGTTATTAAAAATAAAAGCATAATTTTAAATGCAGATGTTCTTATTCAAGGATTTTTAGGTTTTGCTTTCTTTCTTCCTTTTTTTCACTATTAATGTCTTCTCCAATTGTAGCGCTCAATAGTCTGAACATCCTAAAAAATAAATGAGGCAAAGGTTCTCTTTTTCAAGCCTTGTCTCCATTTATTAACTAACTAACGTTGCAATGTGAATTTGAGTGATTTAGAAATCATTTCTGTATATAATGGACAATTAATATATCAAAGGATTATATACTTAATCTGTACCATAACAGTTATTTTAATGAAAATATATTTCAATTTAAGTTGTGTCAATTTAAATCATGCTCTCTCTTGACTAATTCCTGTCATAAATGAAGTACTTCTATCATAAAATTTTTCTAACAGTAGAACTCTTTTAAAACACTTCTCCCTAAAGGATGTAGGCAGACGTAAGAGATGATCAGAAAACAGGTGAGAAATATGCAGAAATAGTCATAAGAATTGTACTTAATTTTCCTTTTTGTTTTCATTGGTCCCAATTCTACCCTGCCCCCTGCAAAGCACTGCTATGGTTTCTCTCTCATAGCTGTGAAAGGTGGTGGAGGGGAAAAGGATCCTTCTAATCCTTCTGCAGAAAACTATAGATGATCAAAGGTGGGATGAAAAGTTGAGTTCTTGTGCTGATACCATATAGCTGCTCAATTAACATGTGCTAATTGACTCAATATAAAAGAGAGTTAAGAATTGAAGGCTGGGATTATGGTGGGTGACCTGGGCAATACTGATTTTATTCATTCCCATTAAATTCTATCATGTATCTAGTCAGAAAAAAATGCTTTTAATTATTAAACATTAGAAGTTTAATTCGGCATTAAGAACGACTCAATTTTACTATATATTTAAACCTATGAAACATCTCTCAGCCAAATATTTTAATAAAATTGGAAATTACTGAAAGTTTCTGAAACTATCTTTATGAAATATACAAAGTTCTATAAATTAAGACATAATTTTGACGATTTTTTTTCTTTGATATTTAAAAGCTCGTTACTTTTTGGAAGAACACTTGAATATATCAACAAAAAATCTGGGGTTGTAGGAAAAGTGGATCTGCACATATGATAGAGACTGACCACTTAACTTTTCAAATGATCATTTTGTTCATTAAGTGTTATGTTAGACATCTCTAGTGATCATCATGTCACACAAGCCACAGTGAGAGATTACTCCTGACTCCACTCTAAAGGAGTTTCCAGTAAATGATACAACCACAATGTGCCTGTCTTAGACTTCTGGACCTACGGAAATACGATATTTGCAATATAAAGTAATTTCCAACTTCCTTGCCTATATCATATGATGCATTTATTTCAACCAGCACTGACGATAACTTTCTTTTGGTTTTAAAATTCCATCAAACTCTCCTTTTCTTTCTTGTGGGTATAGAGTCAAACAGATACCACTGGTGGAAGACAACGGGGAAGCCAAGGACTAAGCCCATGCAGGTCTCAAATTAGAACTACCAAGCATCCATTTATAGAGCCAATGTGGAACGAAATCTTATTTGGAAAATTTTAATAGCAAAATAAAAGCTTTCATTTTCAAAGTGACATGTTTTGGCCCTTCTGCATGTAATTCAGAATAGAACCAGATGTTATAGAAATTTGTTTGTGAAAATCCTATATAGAATTTGTTAGGCCTAACAATCCTAATTATTTATTAGGCCTAGTATTTAATTTTTTAAGTAGTAATTGTATCATTTGGGTTTCTCATCTTTATTTTTTTGGGTGGGGGGGGGGATAAACAACCATAGTTTTGATACTCCACAAAAATGAAATTTAACTGTCACATTAATTATTATTTCATGGATTCTCACAGGGGGTGATACTGCCCCGAAGGGGGCGATCATTCATTCTTTGGGAGGTGAAAGAAAAATTTCTCTTTTTGTATATGGAACACAGATATACTTACAGTATATAAACAGACATACAGTACATACACTAAAATGCATGAAGGGATTAGACAAAAAATGCATGACGGTATTAGACAAAAAAAAATTAGACAGTATAAAAACAGACACACAGTACATACACTAAAATGCATGAAGGGATTAGACCAAAAAAAATGTCTAAAGGCTTCTTAGAGGAGCAATAATAAAAGCAAGTTTGGAAGTTCCTGCACTATTCCATTACATTCAAAGGTCAGGGGAAAAGCCAACATAGGATATACATTTCATAGCAATTTACACAATCATTCAGTTTCCTGTTGCTGCATTTTGTAAACTAAGACAACATTATTATTTCAACTTTATTCAGTTTAAATATTTTTCAGTAAGTTATGTTCTAGGAACAGAAATCTGCCAGCTCTAAATAATCTATAAATACCTTATTTCCTTCCTTGGAGTTTTAAGTACATGTTTGACCAGTATAAAATATTTTTCTCATATTCTAGATATTTTTAAGGATAATTTAGAGTTTATAGGAATTTTTTCATCACTGTCCTTCTTCCTACATGAGTCACTTACTGACCTTGGATAAACAGTACACTAATGCACATCTGGGTACCACTATTTTCTAACTAGGTGAAATGCTCATTCAATATTCTCTTTTATGTGATATACTTACATGAGTGTAAATGATGTCCTTCAAACTCTTAGACAATAGACCCATACTGTTTAGTTCACAGAGAGTATAAATCAAGTATAAATATGGAGGTTAATCATCAGTGACATGTAAACCTGTTACCACTACTATGTTTATCTGCCTCACAATATTTAACCTTCTATCACTTCTGTTCATAACCAAATCTCCAAGAGTAAGATGAGCAAAGAAAAAAAGAAAATTGGCACATTATTTTGAAAAGATTACCAATACTTGTCCTAAGTCTAAGGATGAAGTAACTTTTTGTAATCTAAAATAATAAAAAGAAAAATCAAGAATGTCTTAATTTATATATGATGGAAATATTAATACAAATAGTAACACAATATATAAAATACTTTCTCACAATTTTTATTATAGTTAATCAAAGAATGAGTCATGGGAAAATATGTCAAACATATTACATCAGAAAATACTTATAATGCTCTCAATGCTGACTTAAGAAAATATTACATTTGGTTGAGGGTGATTCAGAATAAAATACCACAGTATTTCTATTATAAATCCATATTTTAAATGCTTAAAAGGAACATTGGAAGGAAATAAAATAATCTTTAATCTCACACAAATTGGAAAAAAAAACTACTGAAAGTATACATTTATAGTAACTATAAAGACTGTATGGCATATCCTAGACTGAATTTATGTGTTAAAAAGTCTAAAACAATCCTTTGTTTCATTCCTTGACTACAGTTTACATTCCTGCCAACAGTGTAAAAGTGTTCCCTTTTCACTACATCTATTTTTTTTTTATGGCCATTCTTGCAGAAGTGAGGTGTTATCACACTGTGACTCTGGATTTGCATTTCCTTGATAATTAGTGATGTTGAGCATTTGTTTTTGTTTTGTTGTTGTTGTTGTTGGCCACTTGTAAATCTTCTTTTGTGAATTGTCTATTCATGTTCTTAACCCACTTTTTGATGAGATTGTTTGTTCTTTTATTGCTGATTTGTTTGAGTTCTTTGTAGATTCTGGATATATTTGTCTTTTGTCAGGTATATAGACTGTGAAGATTTTATTCCACTCTGTGGGTTGTCTGTTTACTCTGCTGATTATTTCTTTTACTGTGCAGAAGCTTTTCAGTTTAATGAAGTCCCATCTATTCATCTTTGTTTTTGTTGCATTTGCTTTTGGGTGCTTGGTCATAAGTCCACCTAAGCCAGTGTCTAGAAAGTGTTTTCCAATGTTCAGGGAAAAGTTGAAAGCATTCCCCCTGAGGACAAGGATGCTCACTTTGACCACTTCTATTCAGCATAGTACTGGAAGTTCTAGTCAGAGCAATCAGACAAGAGAAAAATTTTAAAACATGCCAATTGGTAATGAGGAAGTCAAACTGTTGCTGTTTGCTGATGACATAATCGTATACTTAGAAAATCCTAAAGAGTCATCCAAAAAGCTCCTAGAACTGGTAAATGAATTCAGCAAAGTCTCAGGATACAAAATTAATGTACCCAAATCAGTAGCTCTGCTATACACCAACAGCAATCAAGATGAGAATCAAATCAATAACTCAACCCTTTTTACAATAGCTGCAAAAAATAAAATATAATACTTAGGAATAAACTTAACCAAGGACATGCAAGACCTATACAAGGAAAGCTACAAAACACTGCTGAAAGAAATCAAAGATGACACAAACAGAAGAAAATATATCCCATGCTTATGGATGGGTAGAATCAATATTGTGAAAATGACCACACCACCAAAAGCAATCTACAAATTCAATGCAATTCCCATCAAAATACCGCCATCATTCTTCAGAACTAGAAAAACAACCCTAAAATTCATATGGAACCAAAGAAGAGCCCACATAGCCAAAGCAAGACTAAGCAAAAATAACAAATGTGGAGGTATCACATTACCCGACTTCAAACTATACCATAAGTCAATAGTCACCAAAACAGCATGGTATTGGTATAAAAACAGGCATACAGACCAATGGAACAGAATAGAGAACCCAGAAATAAAGCCAAATACAGTCAACTGATCTTCAACAAAGCAAACAAAAACATAAAGTGAGGAAAGGACACCCTATTCAACAAATGGTGCTAGGATAATTGGCTAACCACATGTAGAAGAATGAAACTGGATCCTTATCTCTTACCCTATACAAAAATCAACTCAAGATGGATAAAAGACTTAAATCTAAGACCTGAAAGCAAAACATAAAGTATTTAAAGTTCAGGGGGATAAACACCATTGATGAGAGCAAAAACTTGTCAGAAAGCATGAAAACACTTTCTGTGAGGTTCAGTGTCATAGCGTGATAAGCACTATAATTTAATGCTGCAGTTTCTACCTACAGTTACACTTTCGGATTAACATATTGCAGTAGCTCCTTAATAGAAAAAAAAAAAAAAAAAAGAACACTACAAAATGCTGGGTGACTACTGGTTGCTTTTGGAGTGATCGTTTTTTTCTCAAACCTTCACGAATTACTGTAGGCCAGGCATTTAGGATCAAGAACTCACAGGGTTGCCAGAGACAGACAAGAAATAACCATAGAAAGAGAAATATCCACCTGTAATTGTTCTAGGCAATGAAAGCACTTCTTTTTCATTGTCAAGTTATAACAATGAATTTTCATAGTTTGATTTTGGATATGCCAAGGAAAGTTGATTAAAGGGAATCTCAATGGAACCATTAACCATAGTGTGGGATTTGGTAAGCCTTGGACCCTATCCATAGTGCTTTAGTGACCCAGGTAACAAACATTTTCTCATATTTTGTAGTGTCTCATCAGTCATTTAAGAAGGTTTCCAGGGTATTAAGTTGTAATATCAATTCAGTAGTAATGAATCCATTATACATAGTACTGATTGGATAAGCAATTTACAATACACCAGAAAAATCAGCAGATTTCTTAGAAAATAATGTTATTGAATAACATCAAGAAATTACAACAGAAAAAAATTAAGTTATTTAATAAAAGTACCTATATATTGTTTCTTTAAGCACAATACACAAAGTAGCTTTTAGTATAAAATGAAAAAATATTTCAGGGGATGATTTCTTAAAGTATTACTATCATATAACTAGTACTCCAAAATTATTCAGGAATGTGATTTTCAGAAAACAAAATAAAATATAGCACAATAATTTGAATGCAGCCTCACGTATCTACATATTCTTAATAAATTTACTTATTCCCATAATCTTGAAATCATATGTACTTTTTTATTTTAAATTCTGACGAGGACACATGACAATCTGATCAATACTTCACAGTCCTTGGTTATGGTTAGTGATTTTACAATAATTTATCTGTTAAAACAAAAATCACAAAAAGCCTCAGGAAGAAGCAGACTAAGAATGTTACAGAAAATGGCCATGGCATGTGAGGAGCTATAAAAAGTGTATTTTAACCAAAGTGATGCCATATTGAATTATGTGTTCTTTAGTAAATTTTTCTGCCTGGAGCACTATTTTCATTTTACACATAAATTATAAACTAGGTCTTACTGTCATTTCATTGTCCCATGTAAATATCAGTACTGGGAATATTTAATAACACCTATTTTACTAAATATTATAATTGTCTGATCAAAGTTTTGCCATAATACTCAAATTAAATACTTTATAGAGCTTATATTGAATAAAGAAATTACAAGGAATTAAACAGAAAAGTAATTATTGGGAAGCAAAACTACCTTTGTTTGGACTAGAACTTTTTGTCTCGCCATTGGCTTGCTTTTAATCAGTTTTAACCTCTATACTTTTACAAGTGTAAGCAACAAGGCAAATGTGGTAGGGAATATCCACCAAAACTTCTTGTGCAAACTTAAATTTTAGGTTCTTCTTTGTAGCAAAATAGGCTCTTCACTGTTTACAAAGTTATCCCAGAGTTTTGAAAATTCTTTCTGTGTTTCCCATGTATTCCTCTACTCAATCTCAGCTGCTACAATCAGACAGAAAGCATGAAAACCCTTTTTTCTTGTGTCTGCAAGTTGTATTAGAACTTTCTATGTGACAAGTTTAAAGTTTAAAGAAAAAACAAGGGTATTGGGGGGATAGAATAGAAATTCATCTCTACAATATGCTAAAGATAAAAAGTACTTCCACCGTTGTCATTTTTTTACTCTCAGTTGAAATTTTTTCAAAACTAAAAATAACTTTTATCATGATAATCTCCATTTTCATTCTTCTTTAGCTGTACTTAGTTCTGGTTGAAAGTAACCCTAATATAAGTACTTGGACTGAATCATACTTTTTCACATTTGTTTTGACACAAGTTACCTTATTTAAAAAACAAACTAATGGCCTAAAGTGTCTCTTATCCTCCCTTTGCAATAAAATTCTATATTGCTATAAACTTTACACACTTTTTAAATACAAAATTGTCACCTGAAAACATGAATTTACTTTTTAATCTCTATATATAGCCTACTAAGAGAAATGTAAAAATGAATCAAATCCATCATATCAAGAATAGAATTGAAAAGCCTAAATGGACCAAAGACATCGGTTAATTTTCTAAAAACTAAAATTAAACTGCAAATTACTGTAGAATATGCCAGAGTTGAAAGTTAAATCCACACAAGAGAAGACTGTAGCAAAGATGGGAATGTGACAGCTGGAAGGAAAGAAATATATGCTCAAGAGGCATATTGACTTTATGTTTTAAGATGAGAGACATTTGGGAATGTTTAATTATTGATGAGAAGGATCCAGCCATGAGATTATACCCAAATAAACAAAATGCAAAAAGAAAAAAAACTACTTGAGGTTTGTGTTAAGATGTTACGGGATTTTTTTGCATGAATTCCTCCACTTAAGCTGAGATACTTGGGCATGGGGCAGAGAATAAAGATTGCAGTATTTACCCAGCTTTGAGATTTCACTGAGTAAGCGTGATGAAAAGGCAGAAGATGGAAATTGATTACTGGCAAGAATGTTCTTAAAATAATAAATCTGGAGATCTAAATTGGATAAGACACGGAGTAATAAAAAGAGAAGATGAGGACAGATGAATTTAGACAAAGGAAAATAGTTAATAAACTGAAGGCTTTGAGTATGTCATTGAAGAAACACAGTTGCAGAGGATCTCGAAAAGGCAACTGAGAAGGTACCACATCTTCAATCAAGCATGAAGTTATAATAGTGAGTTTTAAACATGCAGTTATCTACATGTTTTTGTTATCTAACATATTTTTGCAAATAAAAACGTATTTGATGCCCTCCAGCAAATTAAATAAGGAATCTATGGAGGTCAATATCATAGGGACCATGAAGAAATGGAACTTACCCAGAAGTGTAAAAGAAAAAGAAATCCCAAACTGATTTGGGCCACAGGCATGAACTGTAATCAATATAAATGAGAACACGAAGACAGGGGTCTCTTAGTTGAATATTTTCTTGAAGAAAGAGGAAATTTTTTTTAAAGTATGATTAAGAATCTATAAATTCTTAGTTATATAAGAAATGCTTGTCTTAAAAATTACAGAGAAAGAAAGTGATTAAAATTTCAGGTAAAATAGAGTTGACCAAGATGAAGCAAATATGAATGAGATGAAAATATAATAATTTTTAACATTAGTATCTTATATTTTTTATTCTGCACTAAATAATATGTGGAACAGTAATATTATAAATAATGTATATTGGTTTTTCAATGTCTATGGGAAGTTATGAGTAATAAAACAGAATATAAATGGCACAAAATCTGACAGTGTAAAATGATCTATATAACTAAAATGTGTCTGGGGATGAAAAGGAGAATATAGATCAATATAGATGAGAGTGTAATAGAAAATCAAAACAATAGAGGTTTGATTTATGATCTAAAATAGGGATATAGTTACTAGAAGAAGTAGAAATTGTAACATAACCAACCCAACTTGAAGAATGGAAGAAATGAAAGTGTAAAGTAATGTACTTCATTTCACTTCCTCATCCACCATGTAGATAATGTGGCAACATTGATCAACTAGGATTCAGAGGTAAAATAATAATTTTTAGAATTATTTTTCCAAAATGCTGAAAAGTTTTAACATTTTAGTCATATGAAAGAAGATGAAGTGTGACAGAGAAAATGATGTTCAACTAATATCACTTTTAGTCTTTGGGTGGTTGTTTATAATCTATTTGTTTATACTTTACTATACAGAACACAGGATCTTTTTATTTCCTGGTTCTGGAAACCATTTTGGCTCTACTTTGGTTTATTGCAAGCCACTCTCCTTGGGACCTATCCATGAAGACCACCCAAAAGTCAAAGGCAGGAAATGGCATGGCTGAGTAATTTCTCAATGATTTGCATTATACTATAGCTCTACATTCCTTAAAAATTGCCTATTTTACTTTAGATAAAGTTCAAGGTGTAAAACTGTGGCTCATAAATCCCTAAATAACTGAGTCCTAACTGCTTTTGAGGTTGTGCTCCTCCCTGTGCTCATTGGGAAAATGATGATGATCTGCACTTCTGGCAGTTCCCAAGGTTCATCCTTAGGAAGTTAGACAGGATGTCTCTCATAACAGACCCTTCCTGTAGAAGTCCCTGACTTGGGCAAGCTTTAGTCTCTAGAGAAGCAGAATGAATGTGAGTGTATATGTGCAGAGAGGATAGGGATTTATTTTAAGGAACTGGCTTATGTAATTGTGGAGGATGACAAGTCAAAACTCTGCTAAGCAGGTCCTCAGACTAGAGACCCAGGGAAGAACTGATGTTGCAGCTCAAGTCAGAAGACAGTCTGGAGGCAGAATTACCTTTTTCATTGGGACTCAGACTTTTTTTTCTTAAGGCTTTCAACTGATTGAATGAGGCCCACATACATTACGGAGGGGGACCTGCTTTACTCAGAGTCTACTGATTTAAGTGTTAATCTCATCCACAAAATATCTTCCCAAGGGCATCTAGATGGGTATTTGACCAAATTTCTGGGTCCCATGGCCTAGCCAAGTTGACACATAAAGTTAACCATAACTTCTAACCATAGAAGACAACTTTTTGACTATTTAAATACTGTATATGACTTTAATTTTTAAATTGTTACTTAAGATATCTACTATAAAAAGCACAAGCTAAATGATTAATTAATTATTGCAAATAGAAGCAGTGAATTTCGGTGATCACTACACATAATACTAAAATAACACGAGGACGCAACTAACAAAAGGCTTGTTCCTGGTCTCCAAAGATTTTATTTTTCTTTTCCCATACTTGAAGATTATATTAGCCTTAGTTGTCAAGGCTTCTGGACAAATATGAAAAGGTTATTTGAAAATGAGTAAGTGGAAATTTGTTCTACTTTGTATTTTCTGCTATAACTTTTATAAAATTCTCATGCATGGTTTCTCAATCCCTGTTTCTTCTATGCCATGTAAAAAATTAGCTGTAAAAATAGGTCATCACATCAACTCTGCCTTTGACTTCACTTATTCCCATAGAAAGCTATTTTTAAAACTGTATACTTAACCTAAAATAATTCCAGTATAGTTTAATTTACATTGTTCTAGCTTACATGATACAAATAAATTTTTACTGTAAAAATATTATATCTTAATGTGAAATAAGAAAAACTGATCTAGTAATAAGTAGCCTTTGCTTTTTATCCACTTCGTAGTAAAATTGGCAAAAAAAAAAAAAAAAAAAAAAAAAATCCTACTGACCAGCCCACTTTGTTTTATGTGCTGACACTGAATTAGAGTTTGATTGGAGATTATTTCTTTCTTTTCCTGCATTGTTGATTTCTATGTATAACTAAATTGCTGTCATGTTCTGATTCTGGGAATATGAGTTTTAGGAGAGTCAATGAGAGAACAATGTATGTGCCCACAGTCAATTTATATACATTCTATTGTGTATTTATATGAAATACATATAAACTTTATTTATAATTTCCTTACTTCTTCTCTCCAGGCTCTATGATAACATTGAGCATGTATTCTGTGTCCACATCTTTGCGAAAAACATCTATACTCACTGTTTCAAATGATTCAAAAAATAAGAAATTAATATATAAATCTCTTTGTGTGGAGGAAAACATAGAACAGGCATCCTATCAAGTATGATTTATAACTTGGAAGATATAATTATTCAGTGATACATGTATAAAAGGTTGATGTTTAGAGAAAATATTCAAAGTATCTTGCTGAAACCACTAATCTTAAGTCCAAGGATTCTGAAGCTTGTAGAAGTTGAGTGATTGTCCAAGATCGTATGTGGAATCAGTGGTGGGGTTGAGATTAGAGGTCAACTTTCTTGAAGATTAATGTAGACCCACATCCCTATTCTTCTCTTGTGACTCAATTTTCCTATTACACTTCATACTCGATAGATTCCTATGTGCAAAGATATTTAGAATAATTCTAAAGGAATTTGGGAAAAAAGAAATTGTTTCTACAGAAACCAATACAGGTTTTTAATATTGTTAAGAATAAAAAATTAGCTAAATATATTAGACATAATTAACAGAAACTAGTGTAACTATGAGACTTAACTGATAAAAATATCCAAGCAGGAAACTTAAATCCTTAGTGCTGTAGGTTCTACCATGTTACAGAAATAGCAATGCATGTTCTGACTGACAAAACAATTAAATCATCTATTGGACTGAGCAATAGTCGGCTCTTTCATGAGAGGCACAGAGCTTGAAGTCATACAACAAGAATGAGTTAGTTTGAAAAGTCAGAAATTTACCAGAAGACTATAAAGATTATAATTAGGCTGGGCATGGTGGCTCATGCCTGTAATCCCAGCATTTTGGGAGACCGAAGCAGGTGGATCACTTGAGGTCTGGAGTCGAGTACCAGCCTGGCCAAAATGCAGAAACCCAGTCTCTACTAAAAATACAAAAATTAGCCAGGCAAAGTGACACAGGCCTGTAGTCCCAGCTACTTGGTAGGCTGAGGCAGGAGAAACATTTGAACCTGGGAGGCAGAGGTGGCAGTGAACCAAGATCACGCCACTGCACTTCAGCCTGGGTGACAGAGTGAGACCCTGTCTCAAAAAAAAAAAAAAAAGATTATAATTAGTTAACATATAAATGTTATACTGATGATTGATGGCTGGGCACGGTGGCTCACGCCTGTAATCCCAGCACTTTGGGAGGCCAAGGGGGGCGGATCACGAGGTCAGGAGATCGAGACCATCCTGGCTAACACGGTGAAACCCCCGTCTCTGCTAAAAAATACAAAAAAATATCCAGGCGTGGTGGTGGACGCCTGTAGTCTCAGTTACTTGCAAGGCTAAGGCAGGAGAATGACGTGAACCTGGGAGGCGGAGCTTGTAGTGAGCCGAGATGGTGCCAGTGCACTCCAGCTTGGGTGACAGAGCGAGACTCTTGTCTCAACAAAAAAACAAACAAACAAAAAAGTTATATTGATTTTATGTTTGAACAAAATCTTTCAGGAGTGATTTAATAACTATACTTTGCAAGTAGAACAAGGACTTTCATGAAGAATGATAACCAGCTATTTTCTAATACCATATATAAGGCATGTAATTTTATGATGATATACCAAAATAGAACATGTTAATGCAATACCATGAGGGCTTTGGCAGTTACACGAAAGCACTAATAATAAAGTTGGTTATATCTTGACGTCAGCAAAGAGAGGTGATTCTTTTGAGCTCTTCAAAAATGGGAGAGAATCTTGATGTGAGGAAGAAGTGTAAGGTTTAGCTTGATTTGCTTAAATCTACTATGACAGACTCCTGTTTAAGGTCCTTTTGACTCTATGATTGTGCCATAATTTAACAGTAATATGTCTCAAGAAATATTTTCACAGGTCTCAAATGGAAATTGAATTTGGTATGAACTTTGGCAAGATATTAAACTCTCTGGGCCCAGTTTTTAATACATAAGATTAGGAAGCTGGGCTAGGGTGAAATTTTCAAAATGTGTCTTCTTTAAGCATAGATACTGAGATATGCCACAGTGCCAACTGAGTGATGCTCACAACTCTCTCCTTACTTCAACCTGTGCAGGAAAAGAGATATTATTCATAACCTTGTTGGGATAACAACAGTAGCATGCTTATTATTTTACTGCCAGTATGCTTTCATATGGCTAGTTCCAGAACTGAAGTGATTGTACTGTATTATTTTTCTTTTTTTAAAAAAAATAATAGAGATGGGGGTCTCACTATGCTGCCCAGTCTGGTCTCGAACTCCTGGGCTCAAGTGATCCTCCCACTTTGGCCTCCCAAGGTGCTGAGATTACAGGCGTGAGCCACCATACCCTGCCAGAGTAATTTTTTTTCAAGTTTTTCATGTTGTTACAACATTTTTATTATTATTTAAATAAATGCATATTATTTTATTTTTATTGTGCTACTGGTAGATATTAAATTCATTTATTTATCTTTTTCAAAAAATATTGCCATGGATAGATATATCTGTAGCTTTTTCCATCTTTACTGGTTTTTCCATTTGATATATTTGCAGAAGTGGAATTATTAGGTTCAAAGGTGTGAACATTATATAAATCACCACATTGTTAAAAAAACTTATATATGATTCACCAACAGAGTACTGAAATCCCAATTTCATAGTATCTTCACCAGCACTGGAAATTACTTAAACTTTTCTTTGCTAATGTAATATGGAAAATAAATTGCACTTTGCTATGTTTATAGTATTTCTTGGGTTACTATATTATTTTTCCTCTGAGTTATATTTTGTCTATGATGATTCATATGAGTAGATGATAAGTGTTAACCAGAAAACAATGATAGTTAATATTCATAGTGTTTTGAATATATTAACTCACTTAATCCTTAAACATCCCTATGAAGATAGCACTGTTTCAGGTTTCTAAAATAGATATGGACATTTCGACATAGGAAGTAAAGTCACTCAGTTCATACATGTTGTAACTCTGGTATTTCAGAATTGTCCAAGTGTCTAGAGAACAGGATGGTAGGTGTGAATGAATACACACAAGATAAATGAGACTACTTAAGTCTCTGTGGAGTTTTACAAGTCTCCTAACTGAACTTTCATATTGTTTTATTTGGCTTCTTTGTTAGTTTTTTTTCATTTTTATTTTTTTTTAATTCCTGTATATGCTACAATCACTTCTTAAAACTCATATGCTGATATGTCATCTGATATCCTAAGGAAATCATAGTATGAAATTCTCTTTCTCTTCATAAACAATATTCTAACAATCTATACTAATTTTCTAGGTTGAAGAAAACATGGGATGCTTTAGTTCAATGTAGTAATACATTTTTAGCTGAATAGCTTGAGATCTAGCAGGTCAAGAGATTGGCCCAAATCTCAGTTAGCAAGTGATAAAACTGTGACATTTTGTTACCCCACACTTCATTTCTTTATCTTGCTATTGACTCTTCTTTGTCTAGAAATATGTTTGCTGTAATTATGGCAAGCATGATGGCAGAGTCTCTCTGTTTTAAACTCTCTTACAAGCAAGGTGTTAAATTCTCATTATTCTAAGGCCCCACCTGTGCATTAAATCCTCATGCAGAGGCAGAATGTGAGAGTACAGTACATGCTTCTGAGGAGGATACAATTAACCCCATTCCTATTTGTACTCCATGTCACATGGTCACATTAAAAGACTTTATTGTTTTGCAGATCAAGATTATTTGAGGCATCCAAAGTTAATCTTGAATTATTCATGAAATAACATTATTTATTCATTAGTTCCTGGGTAATTTTGCTTAGCCCAAGTACCTACAGTCTTTTGTTTCTTATATGAAGATGTGTTAGGACATTAGACTTATATGAGATGTACTGTATTACAGGGCAGCTTCTAACCATTTAACCTAACATAGATACTTGGAGATGGGATGCACAGTTAAAAGAACAGATAAGAAAATTAAGCTATGGGATGCTAATCAGAAACAAAGTCAAATCTTTTTGCAGTGATGGACAATTGCTCAAATGCTAGTATCTCACAATTATCAGTGCTTCTTGTAACCTAGTATTCCAATCTCTGAAAGGACTCAAATATTGAAGGGACTCAAAACATCAGTTCTGGACAAGGAGATTACTCAAAACCCTTAGCCTGAGAACATATCTAAATGCTCCCAAACAATGCTTTATCAACCTGTTTACTTGAGAATAGCATAGAAACTCTCTGGTAGCATATAAAGTAGTGTTTTAGGCATTATCATGTAATAAGAAATGGTCTGTGAATGAGAAATAGAGCAGGCGAAAGAAAGAGGATAAAAACAGAAATACAAGAAAAATAAGGTGAGGGTGCTCAAAAAGGTTTTTATGATTTAGAAGATATCCCCATTTATGAGAATAGAAAGGAGTTACAATTGACACACACAAAATTAAGCACATGAGGTTATAGCTGGAATAATTATGTGATGTATTTTTCAACCAATCCCTTTTAAAAGTGAAAGGGGATGGCTCTATTACACCAGGACAACAGATAGAATCCAAGACTGTGTTGGGTATATCAGGCCATGTCACTCTGCTAAATACAGAGGACTTAAGTGAATACTTAAAATGAATAGTATTGTATTTATCAGGATACACTGGAATACACACCTGGAACCTTTGGAGTACCATACTTTAATAGAAATAGTGCCAGTAGAGTACATTTAAAGTGAAATGTCTTGGATGGGGGTGGTGGCTCATGTCTGTAATCCCAGCAATTTGGGAGGCCGAAGTGAGAGGATTGCTTGAGCCCAGAGTTCAAGACCAGCCTGGGCAACATAGCAAGGCCCCAGCTCTAAATATATATACATATATATATGTATGTGTGTGTGTGTATGTGTGTATATATATATATATATATATATATATATATATATATATATATATGTATGTGTATATATATATGTATGTGTATATATATATATGTATGTGTATATATATATGTATGTGTATATATATATGTATGTGTATATATATATACACACATACATATATATGAAAAAGAGAAGAAAATAGAAAACAAATATAAAAATAAAGTTAATGTCCTTTAAAAATATATGTGAAATTGTTGAAGAAACTCAAAACATCTAGCTGGACTAAACAAATGAATAAATAATGATAGTCCTTTTAAAATGGTTGAAGATATATCAAATAACCTGTGAATGAGACTCACGTGGTCTAGATACATAGGCTATAACTGGAGCCAGTGTGTGTGATGCATGAAATATTTTAGTACAACATAAAAAGAGCTGAAAATACAGTGTCATGTTTTAGGGAGTTTGAGTTCACCTGGGTTAGATCACAGCTCTGCTGTTAGTTATGTAGGTGACCTTGAGGAAGTCACTATCTTTTTGTGTGTGTTTTCTCATACTAAGAGAGTCACTATCTTAGGATATGCATGTAGCCTTCTTCTCAGATTCCTCACTGCTAACCATGTCTGAAAAATCTTTGTATAAACAGAAGTAGCTACAACACCAACCCCCATACTTGGTTAACCAAGATGTCTCTTGGTTAACAAGATGAGAAATTTCTCTCTAATCAAGATTATCATTGTATATTGTTAGAGTTGGACACATTGGTTTTCTTTTAACCTCATAGTCTAGAAGTAGGCATACAGTCCATCTGACACCAGGCTAGGGCACCCAGAGAAAACCTGCATAAAGGGTAAATGTTAAAACAATTAAGGAATAGCAGGAAACAACGTGGTCTAGAATTCAGAAAAGCCAATATAGGTTCAATATAGCCCTACACCAGGAAATTCTTGGTCAGCCATCACTGAGCAAGTACCATCTTGAACCTACACTAAACTATAATTCCTTTATATATCTGAAAAGAACTCAAGGTTCTGATGCTAAAACTGAGTTTTTTCTCCTTCTTACCTGACACATGTGTTTCAAGTATAAGAACCATCCTTTCCAGATTTCTGAATGAAAGAACAATGCCACCTTCAGAGAACACCAAATCTAACACCACCAGTGTGTTTTTACCCTCCAGGCTACAAGAAAGGATTATTGTTTCAATATACTGTAAGGATGAGTTATATAAACATTTCCAACAAATTATCCTTGATAGAGCAAGCAGAATAGTAATGGAGCTTCCTGTGTGTACGTGCGTGTGTGTGTGTGCGTGTGTGTGTGTCCACTCATGCAAACTTTGAAGAAGGATTGTATGTGACAATATGTGTGTTTTCAACGATAGGTTATCACACTGAAATTGTCCTCAGAAACATCACATTTGTTATATTTTTATACAATATATTTTAATAATTTTGTGCATAAAATAAACTTTGTGTTAAGTACTTATGTGAAATTTTCCACTTGTGGCATCATATTGGAGCTTAAAAAGTTTTAGATTTTGGAGCACCTTGGATTTTGGAATTTTGGATTAGGGATGCTCACCCTAAATTATCTATCTATCTATCTAGCTATCATCTATTAATATCTATCTATGAAATTACTGAGTCATATGTCAACTTCATATTGAACATTTTGAAGAACCAAACTGTTTTCCAAAACAGCTTTCCAATTTTACATTTCCATTAATAATGTGTGAGAATTCCAATTTCTCTACATCCTCAGGAATATTTGCTATCTTTTTGATAATAGCCAATCTAGTTGGTGTGAAGTAGTATCTCACCGTGGTGTCGATTAGCATTTTGCCATGGCTACTGACTTTATCTGCCATTTATATATCTTCTTTGGAAAATACCTGTTTTGATCCTTTGCCCATTTGTGATTGGGTTATCTGTCCTTTTACCAAAGGGTTATAAAAATATAAAAGTATACCAATGAGTTTTATACTAATGGGTTATAAAAATATATAAATATACCAATGGCATTCTGCCCCTCTCTGCCTTCTGATCGGTGAATTTAATCCATTTATATTTAAAGTAATTACTGATAAGGAACAATTTACTTCTGCTGTTTTTCTTTTTGTTTTTGTATGTCTTTTACCTTTTCTGTTTTGTTTCTCATTTCTTCCATTACTGCTTTTGTTTGTGTTTAATTAATTTTGCTTTTAGTGTACTACTTTGACTCCCATGTAATTTTCTCCTGTATATGTATTTTAAGATTTTTTTTTGGTTGTTAACAAGGGAATGATGAGTGATAACTTAAACTTCTAACAATCTAATTTAATTTGTTCTCAACCTAGATTTCATAGCTTGTGAAAACTCTAGTCCTACACAGATCAGTTCATGTCTCCCTTATTTTACTGTTGCAACAATTACATCTTTGTACATTGTGCTCTCATTAACATAGACTTTTTGTTGAGCATTTGTCTTTTAAATCATACAAGAAATAGAAAAAGAAGTTTTAAACCAAAAATACAGTACTCCTGGCTTTTATGTTACATATATAATTATTTTACTGGAGATATTTATTATTTACTCACGTGGCTTTGAGTTGCTGTCTAGGATCCTTTTGTTTCACCTTGAAGGATACCCTTTAGTATATTTAGTAGTGCAGATTAGCAATGAACACCTTCAGTGTTTGTTAATCTAGGAATTTCTTAATTTCTTCATTTTTGAAGTTTTCTTCTGCATTTTGAAAATTTTGCCAAATAAAAATAATTGGTTGGCATTTTTTTGTCTTCCAGCACATTAAAGATCATCTCACTCCCTTTTGGCTACCACGGTTTCTTACAAAAAATTGGCTGTTAATATTATTGAGGACTATTTATGACAAGTCATTTGTTTCTTGCCACTTTTCAGATTTTCTTTTTGTCATTTGCTTTTGACAACTGGATTATAATGTGTTTTAATGTAAAACTCTTTGACTTTATTCTACTGAGAGTTTAATGAGCTTCATGTATGTGTAGATTCATGTTTTCCATCAAATTTGGCAAATTATCTGCCAATATTTTATCCAATATTTTTCTTCTTTCTTTCAGTGACTTTCATAATGTGTATAAGATATACTTTATGATGTTGCAGAGTCCCTTTAGGCTTTTTTTCTTCATACTTTTTTTTTTACTTTTCCTCATTACTTTTTGCTACTTTTCTTCGTTCTTTTCTTCATACTTTTTTTTTTACTTTCTTCTCTGCAGATTGAATAATTTCAATTGTCCTATGTTTATGTTCATGAATTCTTTCTTCTGTCTATTAACATCTGTCTGTTAAATCCCTCTAGTGAGTTTTTGATTTTAGTTATTACACTTCTCAGGTCCAGAATTTTTATTATATTCTATTTTATAATTTCTATCCTTTTGTTGATATTCTCATTTTGGGCACACATTGTTTTCCTGGTCTCCTTTAGTTCTTTATCTATGATTTCCCATAATTCTTTGAGCACTTTTAAGACAGTGGACTTAAAGCTACATCTAGTGAGTCTAATGTCTGGGATACTTAGGGTCTGTTCCCGTCAATTAGTTTTCCTTTCAATTTTCTGTAGTATTCTTTTTTTGAATGCTTTATATTTTCTTTTGGTGGAAACTAAATTACAATGTGGTAACTCTGGAATGAGATTCTCCTTCTTCCCCAGAGTTTACGGTTGTGGATTGTTTAAAGTTGTACTTGTCTTTTGTTTTGTGACTTTTCCATAGAATTTTTTCAAAGAATATATTTATTGCAGTATGTGGTTACTGAACCCTCTATTTCTTCATTTAGTGGTCAGCCAGGGACCAGGCAGATATTTCCTTAAAGGCTTGAAGTGAAAAACAGAGAGAGAAAATATTCTTCAAGTCTTTGTAGCATAAATCTGAGCTAGAACACTTTATCTTTTATCCCCTGCTTACATGGAGCCTGCAAATCAGCCAGTTACAAGCCTAAAGTCTTCTCATATTCCTTTGAGCATGAAATGTCTGGTATTCGGATGAATGTTTTAGTCTTCCTCCTGCTATATATAATAGATGTCTAAGCTCTTATTCTCCACCCATCTTAAATACTTTCTCCTCTGCCTCCTTATTCCAGGGGCTTTTGGGTCTGTCTCTATCTGGCCTCATCTGACAGCCCTTACCTCAGGTAGGCAGAAGAGGTATATGCCTTTAAATCTTTGGACAGACTCTGCTATCCAGAAATCCACTTAAGTGTAGGAGGAGGTAAACAAATATTCTGTACTGGTTTCCCAATGATTACCCGATGAGACAAAACTCACAACCACAGTATTTTAAGAACAAAGCTCATGGTAGCCTCTTGGAAACAGCAAGCTGTATCAGGAATGTGAGTTGTCATCAAGACTGCTAGAACACTTCTGGGGATGAGAGATGGTAAGTAGGTGAGCAAAAATGCCTCAAAGCTGTTACTAAAAATGAAGTGCCATTTTCTTATTAAGCATTCCTCTTATTACACATTTTAGATTAAATTACAGAGTTTCACAAATTTGATTCTATTTGCCTCTGCCAGTTTATGGTTGCTTTAGTGGAGGGACCAATTCTTTGAGTTCTCTATTCTGCTATATTCTGTGTCTTTATTTATTCACCACATTGATTTTTTTAAATTTTGCATTCTTGGGAAAAGGAGGGATCTGGACAGTTTCAGAGGTTTCTGTTTGGCTTTCCCCACTATAATAACTACTTCTCAATAGATGAATGGCAAATATAGAATGGCAAATATAGAATTACAAATACTGCAAAGTATATCAATTCTAATTAAGCACTCAAGGATTTGAGAAATACCACTGCATGGATCAGTGGATTCTTTGGGTTTAATGGAAGCAAGACTTAAGGCAATCCAGTGTGATTACTAGAAATCAGGACTCCATTGTTACCTGGCTACCAAAGACTCCTACTCTGTGATAATTTTTTGAATCTTCAGACATCACTGTTAATTCAGAACCTATACTGAATAATCTTTGAATAGTCTGGATATTCCCATTTTTTCCTATATATAGTCACCCAAGTAAATAGCTGTAGGCTCCTTTGGGGAAAGATGTGAGGTAATTAGCACAGTATATACCTGCCATAATGTTCAATGTTCTTATTTCTAGAGACATTTTTAAGTCAATAGAAATTGGTTCATATTTAGAAACTCAGCAAAGAATTACGATTTTTTTTTGAGATGGCATCTCACTCTGTCACCCAGGCTGGACTGATGTGGCTGCAACCTCCACCTCCCAGGTTCAAGTGATTCTCCTGCCTCAGCCTCCCAAGTAGCTGGGATTACATGCATGCACCACCACGCCTGGATAATTTTTTTGTATTTTTAATAGAGACAGGGTTTCACCATGTTGGCCTCGAACTCCTGACCTCAAGTAATCTGCCTGCCTCAGCCTCCCAAAGTGCTGGGATTACAGGAGTGAGCCACCATGCCCAGCAAGAATTGTGAGTTCTATTAGAATATGGATATCACTCTCCTTATCTTTCATTCTTGATTTTTTTTTATTTTGGTTATAGATGTTCAGCAGTATCTTTGTTGGCCATCTGTTTATTTTTTTCTCCTAGTTGTCCTGTAATCCATTTATTTAACTCTCTGTGGGTCAAGCCTCCATGGGTACCTCTGCAACCTTCCCAGTCATGATAATAATTGAATTCTCCTGGCCCTTAGTAGCTAAGCACAATCATTTCCTCTTTATTATTTTAGGGGTACCATCAATATCCCTAAGGATGGTAGCAAGCACAGTGTTGGTATTGCCTCCCCAGCCATCCTCCCCTGCAGAAGAGAACCATCAACATACTTAGTGATACTGGTGCCTCTCTTATAATATTTCTTATGGCGGTAAACCAAAGGAATGTGAAACAAGTCTAAATTAATTTAGAAAGTTTATTTTGCCAAGGTTAAGGATGCATCTGTGACTCAGTTTCAGAAGGTCCTGATGACATGTGCCCAAGGTGATCAAGGTACAGCTTGCTTTTATAAATTTTATGGAGACATGAGACATCAATAAATATATGTAAGATGTACACTGGATTGATCTGGAAAGATGGAAAAACTTGAAGTGGGGGCTTCTATGTCATAAGTAAATTTAAAGATTTTCTGATTGGCAATGATTAAAAGAGTTATTATCAGATGAGATCAGGTGCATCCAGGGTGATATGGCCATAGGAAACAGTTTATTATCTAAATAAAGGAATGTCTAGGTTACAGTAAGGGGTTATGATGACCAAGGTTTTATCTTGCAGATGAAGTCTCCAGGTAGAAGGCTTCAGAGAGAATAGATTGTAAATGCTTCTTGTCAGACTTAAAAGGTCTGTTTTATCAGTAATTCCAAGAGGGAGGAGGTTATAATGAGGTAATGAGGCATGTTTGCTGCCCCCATTCCCACCATGGCCTGAACTGGTTTTCAGGTTAACTTTGGAATGCCCTTGTTGAGAGAAGGGGTATATTTGGGTGACTGGGGGGCTTAGAATTTTATTTATGGTTTACATGGCCTTAATAAGTGTTGCATCCACTTGGTTTTCCCATTGAATATAATCCTTTGATGGGTCTTCTGGCCTTACATGATATATAAATTTTGCCATTAACTTCCTATTAATAGTACTCAGTCTCATTATTCTCTGCAGAGTTTCAATACAATGTAGCAGTAACCAGCCAACCCTACTGTCTTTGTAGGCATTGCTACTCTCATATTTTTCAAATGTTCACACCTGTATACCTGTCATAGAATTTCCTCTAAGAAAACATTTTCCCAGGTTACTATTGGTAAAATGTACAGCTATAAAGCCAACACATTGTGTTAGGTGATATCTATGCCCTATATACCAACCAAGATGCCATCCTGTTTGTTGGGCAGTGAGTGAGTCAGTTCCAAATTCCAGTCTTGTAACCTGTTTACTCAGACTACTCCAGTTGTGGTATCACTTGTGTTAGTCCAGTTCTTTCAAGAAGCAGGTATCAACATTAGATGAATTATACAAGAATTGTATTAGGGGACATACCTGTGAGAGAAAATGGAGAAGCAGCAAGAAAAGGCTGGGAGATCCAGTATACCAGAATGTAATTCTGGTCCTGAGTGAAGAAAAGGGGGAATGAAGACTTAGTAGAAGCATCAAATAATGTCATGAAGTTTAAGAATGCTGTAAAAAGACTTTCAGAGAGAGTTTGAGCCAAAGTCTACCATCAGAGGAGTCTACTCTTTCCAGGATTAGTTTCATGTTATTATTATATCCCTGGTATGCTTAATCATTTGCTGTTAGAAAGCTGTGGCCTTGGGAAGCACGGCCTTACTGCAGGTGAAGCAATGGATTCTGGAGTTCAACTACTCCATGGTGGTTGGAGGTCTACAGGCACTCTCATGGCAGACACACAGTACAAGGTATCAACTCAAGTTTAGCTATTTATTTTAAAAATTGATCAGGTTGGGTTTTATGGATGTATGAAGCTATTCAATTATATATACTCTATTAACATATCTAATTAAATTAATAATTAAAGAAACAAGGACAACATTCCTAGCATTATTGCTTAGCATAAAAAATACTGTAAGACTAGAAAAATAAATGAATGTGTATAATTCCATATATATCCACCTATGTATGGAAAGGAATGACCATTATGCCATTATTCATAGAGGATAAGACTGTCTGAATAGACTATTGAAATAATAAGAAAATTTAACAGTATTTATTAGACATAATCAAAACTTAAATTTGTTCCTGTAATTAAAACTAGTCAGAAATTGCCATTGAAATGCATAAAATTTCAAAGTAATTAAAAATAAAAATAAAATAAATATTAGAAAAAACACTTAAGAAATTTATTTTAAACATTTATAAATTCTTATAAGACTACTTTAAAAAATGGAGAGGAAAATTATGCTCATGAATGGGAATGTTTAATATTTTTAAGTTCCTCAAGTTAATTTCTAAATTCAGTGTAATTTCAATCAAAATCACAACAGAATTTTTTAACAATTTAAGCAAGCTAACTTTAAATTTTATATTAAAAACAGGGTTATGAATCAATAAAACAACTTTTAAAGAAGAATAAACTTGAAAATGCAATTGCTCTATTAAAACATAAAATGTATTCATAAGTCTATAGAATGAACAGACTGTAGAATTTGTATAGAGACAGATAAAGTAGATGAATAGTTCAGAACAGAAAGCCACATATATGGAAATTTAAAATATGACAGAAGATCAGCTGGGTGGGGTGGCTCATGCCTATAATCCCAGCACTTTGCGAGACCAAGGCGGGCGGATCACGAGGTCAAGAGATGGATACCATCCTAGCCAACATGGTGAAACCCCATCACTACTAAAAAATACAAAAATTGGCCAGGTGTGGTGGTGCACGCCTGTAATCCCAGCTACTTGGGACGCTGAGGCAGAAGAATAGCTTGAACCTGGGAGGCGGAGGTTACAGTGAGCTGAGATCGTGCCACTGCAGTCCAGCCTGGCAACAGAGTGAGATTCCATCAAAAAAAAAAAAAAAAAAAAAAAAGACAAAAGATCTTTCACTTCTAGTGAAAAAATGGTAACAAAGACTATATTTGCCCTCTGAGCCTAACACCACTAAAAAACTGAAAAATATGTGAGAAAATCATTTTCAGTCATCAGATATTAGGCAGTGCAGGACAGTCATCCCTCAGAGAAGGGAAACAAAAAAAGGGAGCTTGTGATTGCACAAGATTGGTGCCCAGAAAAATATATCTAAGCCTTGAAAAAAGCAGCGAAGGGGAGGACCTGGTAGAATCTAGCAGTCTCTTTGAGGTGAAGAGATAAAGTTGTGAGTCCAGGAAGTGAGTTGGGAGGGTAAATAGCTAGAATTCACAGATCAGAGGACCAGTAAGGAAAAAATGACAAAAACTACAAAAAGGCAGAGCTCTGAGCTTCTGTCCTCACTTACTCAGAAATTTCCTGAGGCTCAGGAAACATTCACCTGAGAAAATTAGGGAAAATAATTCCTGAAGTTGACAAGGAACCACGAGCAGTTTGTGTTTCCATCAACCAGACTGGAGAAAGCTTGTAATTAATTTTCCTTTTTTTGAGATGGAGTCTTGCTCTGTCACCCAGGCTGGAGGGCAGTGGTGCCATCTCAGTTCACTGCAACCTCTGCCTTCCAGGTTAAAGCGATTCTCCTGTCTCAGCCTCCTGAATAGCTGGGATTACAGGAATCCAACACGACACCTGGCTAATTTTTTGTATGATTAGTAGAAATGGGGTTTCACCATGTTGGCCAGGCAGTTCTTGAACTCCTGACCTCAAGTGATCCACCAGCCTCGGCCTCCCAAAGTGCTGGGATTACAGGCATGAGCCCCATGCCTGGCCCAAAGTTTCTAATTCATGAAAATTCAGGGCATATGCTTAGAAGTGTCTGCCTTAACAGTAAGTCAAATTTAATTCTAGACTAAAGACTACTCTGATCCTGATCCTTACAGCAAATTTAAATGTAGAACTTGAAAGGAATAAACTGTTTTCAAGCCACTTATGTGCACACCAATAAGAAGCTTAAACTTATTTGCAGAAATACAAAAGTATCCATCACTCAAAGTTAAATTCACAGTGTCTGGCACCACATAAAAATTTCCAGGTATGCAAAAAAGCAGAAAAGCATGATCCATAGTAATAAGGAAAATTATTCACAGAAATTAATTAGTATTGAAGGATACAAAAACAAATTATATAAAACATATATTCCAAATGTTCAAGAAGGTATATGGATCATGTTTTATATAGACATGAAAGATACAGAAAATATACTGAAACAAGTTTCTAGAAATGAAAAATAAACTAACTGGGATAAATAAAACACACACAGATTGAGATTAACAACAGATTAGACCTGTGAGCTGAAAGACTGGTGAACCTGAAGACACAGCAATAATTAGCATCCAAAATAAAACACACAAAATAAATACTAAAAGTAAGTGAGCAGATCATCAGTGAGCTGTGTGGAAATTTCAAGCAGCATAATATACAGGATATTGGCTTCCCTGAAGGAGAATGTATATATATACATAAAGTGTTTGCATATGGGCAGACATTTTATTTTTGCATTTATATATGTTTTTGCATTTATAAATGTGTTTGCATCTATATAAATATAAATATATACATATATATATAAAGTGTTTGCACATGGGCAGAGTGGGCAGAGTAGAGTGGGCAGAGAATGGGAAATTGTTCTTTACAAAAGGAAATAAAGAATTTGGGGATAACTGATAAGTTTATTTTCTTGATTTTAATTATGATTTTATTAATACATATGTAATAATATGTAAAAACTTGTCCCTTTATACAATTTATGCGCACTTTATTATATTTTATTGACAAATTTTAAAACTTAAAAATCAGTGGAGAAAAAAGTGACAAATAATCTGATGATGTGGGGACATCTTGCTATAGGCAAGAATACTTTACATTTCATACAAAAATATATACCAAGTTTGAAGTATAAAATTTGAAACATCAAGAAGATATCTTTAGAACTGTAAAGTAGAGAGCAAATTTTAAATAGGACCTGAAAATGAAACCATAAAAGTGAGGGATTTAAAAATTTAGTTAGATTGAAGCTAAAATATCCCATACATGAAAAGACTTCAAAAAAATGTGAAAAAAGACTGCAAAAAACTATTTACAATGCAGAGAATTAATATATGTAGCATATAGCAACTCCTTTCTAATTGATAACAGAAAGACAACTCATTATACTTATTACTAAAACTGATGAAATATGAAAATAGCTGATTCATTACAGAAATTAAATGTCCAATAGATATAGAAATGATTCTCAAACTCACTAGTAATAAAAAGCTGTAATTTAAAAATTACAGTAAGATTCCAATTATATTTCAATAAGTTTGTCAAAAAGTTAAAAATCTTGATATTATAGGAAGAATACAGGATAACTATAACTAACATTATTATATACTCCTAGTAGAACTGTAATTTTCTTTTTTCTGTTTTTGTTTGTTTGTTTTTGTTTTTGTTTTTGTTTTTTTGAGATGGAGTCTCGCTCTCTCACCTAGGCTGGAGTGCAGTTGTGCAATCTTGGCTCACTGCTACTTCCACCTCCTGGGATCAAGTGATTCTCCTGCCACAGCCTTCCAAGTAGCTGGGACTACAGGTGTGTGCAACCATACCCAGCTAATTTTTTTGTATTTTTAGTACAGACGGGGTTTCACTGTATTAGCCATGATGGTCACAGGGTGTAATCCCAGGGTGCTGGGATTACAGGCATGAGCAACCGTGCCTGGCCGAGTGTAAATTTTTTAAACACTTTGCAAAGCTATATGTCAATATCTATTAAACATTTATAATACATACTCTTTAACTGAAAATTACGCACCAAAACTTATACCACAGAGAAAAATCTATCAGCAAGAAATGGATTTTAAAATTGATGTTACAGATACAATAAAATACCCTACAATCAATAAAATAGATGAACTAGTTATGTACATCAACAGAGAACCCTCGAAAACATAGCACTTAGTCCCTATATATAAGTAACATGAAAAATGTAAAGCAAAATAACATGTACATACTACTTTATATTTGGACTTTATTTTGGATAATATTTTTACTAAGTAAGGGATTTTGAATTGGCTTTATTTTTAAATTTTGGTACTGTAAAGAAAACCATTGTCTTCAGGTTTGCATAGTTTCTCAGGAGAAGTCAGCAGTATTTCTTATATTTCTTCATGTGTATATCACTTCCCTTTCTTTCTGGCTTCTTACAAGATGTTCCCTTTATTTCCTGTGCTGTTTTTAGGAATGTGAATATTATATCTAGGAGTGTGTGTTTGTATCTATTTGTACATGCACATGCATGTGTGTGCTTTCCTAAAAGAAACCCAAGCTTCTTGGCTCTGTGTTTTCATATCTTTTACTATTGTTGGAAATTTCTTAGCTATTCTCTCTCAAACTTTTCTTCTGACATATTCTTTCTCTGTTTTCCTTGAGCGGTTCTAATTACATGTACATTAGAATATTTGGTGTTGTATTACAGCTGTAGATGCTTTCTGTTTTTATTTCATTACAGCTTTTGGAACCTTTGTTTTCTTCTTTTTCTTTTTTGTGATTATATTTAAATAATTTTATTGTCAAATTTTCAATTTTGTTTACCTTTCCTGAGCTGTTTTATGGGTTGGCCATTTAAGTAAATTTTTCACTGCTATTACCTTTTCCTTTCTATTATTTTAATTTAAATCTTTGTTCTAGTTTTCATCTCTGCTGAAATGCCCTATTTGTCCTTCATGTTGTATGTCTTTTCTATGAAATCTTTTAACCTATTAATTAGAGTTATTTTAAAATTTAATCCAACCTTTAAAAATCTAGATTTTATATATATGTCTGTATTTTTCATAACTTTCTTTCTTTATTATGGTTATTTGTTTTTATTTTTTCTTATAATTTTGATTAAATGTTGGTCACAATGTATAAAGCAGTAGTGACTAAGAGAAAGAGTAACATGCCTGAAAACAATCAATTTGTCAGGCTCTTAGTATGAGGTATTGGCTGGTTCCTTGGTATGTTTTGCTAAGAGTATGTTCAAGACACAACAGTCTTCAAGTCTTTTCAGCAGTGAAATTCTATTGCCTAAGCTTAGAGTAGGGGCAGCAGAGTCAAAAGAATTTTCTCCTTTTTCTTGGCCCATCCTCAGCTTTCAACCTTACATACATGCCTTTGTCACAGATGTGGTTTCTCTCCTCTTGCTTGCCCCTCCTCTAGTGCTCTGCTGCTCTTGCTTGTTACTAGATGGTTACTCAGCTGATGGGCAGGAGCAGAGATTTTATATGTTGTCCTGGTTCAGCCTCAGTCTTATGTGTTTATGCCTCAAAAGTGCGGTTTTATATTTGAAATATACAATATAAAACTAAATATTATATATTGAAACATACATATATTTTGAAGTATATAGCCATATATATTGAGAAGTATTAACAGTACATACAAGATTGTGGCTTACATCTGCAGAAAGAAGGAGGAGAATAAATTTCAGCAAGAAACCCAGAAATATCAATAATATGCATAATATGTAATTTCCTAAGCAGGTTAGTTGTTAAAAGAGTGCTATTGTATTATTATGTTTTTGTGTCCATTTTTTGTGAATATTATGCACACATAGTTTACATTTAATAAGATAAAAACTGCTAACTTAGTTTGAAATTTTATTCTGATTAGTTTTATTCCTTCTTTCAGCAATAATAAACATGTATTATGAACAGACACAGTATTCTTACCAAGACCACTCAGATTTTTTTCAACTTGACAGTAGAATATAAAAATAACAGTATATTTTAACCATCTGCGAAAGAATTGCATAATTGCTATTTCTCTACAAATACTTGTTCTGAGTGAAGTAAATTTTATTCAATTAATTGGCAGTCCTAATCTCCACCAAAAAAAGTTATAAGGGAAGGTATGACTTGTGAAGTATCATTTAGAATACAAAACTAGACCAATCTAAGAAGCTATACAATTTGAAAAGACTGGCCTTTAAAGTCAGCCCTAGTAAGATTAAAACCTCAGATTATCACTTACTAGTTGCATAAAAATGGGCAAGTTAATTAATTCTAGACTTCAGTTTCCTCAAATGTAAAGTAAAGATAGAACCAACCTTGAAATAGGGATGAAATAACCAGGGCAATTACTCTCCTTAATATTTTACTTTGTATGGAATGAAAATAAGAATTAATTATCAATTAGTTCGGTGATTTTAGTAAACTCACTTCCTTCTTATGTGCTTCAGTTTCTTTCTTTCAAACTGAGCATAGCATTTTCCACATATCTCTGTAATAAAAGAAGGATAAAACAAGACAACATACAAAAGCTGCTTGGAAAAAGTATGCTATTATATAGTTAATATATTTCAGTAATCAGGTGTTTGCTTTCTTTTAGAAAACTGAATACCTGGTTAGAGGAGCACTAACTTGAGAGAAATTAGAGACTTATCATTTTTCAGTGGTGAGATAAACACATAATAACTTGTTTCTCAGTCCAAAGGAAACAGAGCTGTGGAAAAAATTTAAAACACACACACACACACACACACACACACACACACACACAAAGAGCAAAATAACCTAGAAATTTTGGATTTTGTTGGTAGTGCTGTTGCTTTTTTTTGGCTTTCATTTTGGACATCATGATTGTATTTTTTTTGTGAAATAAATTTACGTCTTTTTCAGTTGAATGGCAGAATGACGCATAAACAGGTCTATAATAAATATCAGCCATGGGTCATACAATCATGTATATGGAACTGTAACGTTCCATAGGAGGAAATGTTAAAATATTCTTCAAATATATATTTTTGAATATCAGGAAAATTTTGATTGTATGGACTCAATGATAGATGTAATTTTAGAAGCAACATGAATGTGTATTTCCCAAATTTTAACCAAGGACAGCTTACTACTTAATAAGAATGTGTGATAATTTCTCTACCTTGAGAAGAGGATCATCATGGTGGATGGGAGGCAGGACTAGATTGCAGCTCTGGACAAAGCAGCTTGCAGAAGCTCGCATTGTGAATGTTAGCTCCAGATCTAATGCAAGAACAAACCAGCAGTCCCAAGAGGACCCACAGACCCTCTGAAAGAAGAAGACTGTTTCTGCAGGACCTGGGAGCCACCCCAAATTGTCTGAGTGCCCCGACTGCAGAAGTGGAAAAGAGAGACCCTCCTCTCCCAAACACACACCTACACTGGAGAAACTGGAGCTGAGCCAATTTAGAGAGCCAAGCAAAATGCAGGGTTAGAGGAGGCAGCAGAGAGGCCCTGGGAACTCTCTGTGTCCCCTAGCAGGCCATTCCTGCCTGGCACCACAGAGATCTATCAGGTGGGGGACCAGAGGGAAAGGTGGTAAAACTTCACCAGGAGAAGAAAATCTCTAGCTGAAATTTTTAGCAATTTGAATGGGGTGAATAGCCTCCTGGCCAGAACTCAGGGGAGGATGCAAATCTGGTGCACAGACTCCACAGGCAGGGAAAGAACCAAGCCCTTTTCTCTCACAGCTGGGAGGTGGGTAGCCTGGGACAATTTTTAAAGCCCATCATGCTCTCTACCTAAAAACAGACTCGGGACTGTTGGTGGGGCATGGTGGGAGTGATATCAGCCCTTTGGTTTGCATGGAGCTGGGTGAGGCGTGCGACTGCTGGCTTTCCTCCACTTCCCTGACAAACCGCATGACTCAGCAGAGGCAGACATAATCCTCCTAGGTACACAACTCCAGTGACCTGGGAATCTCACTCCCATCACCAACAGCAGCTGCAGCAAGACCTGCCCAAAGACAGTCTGAGCTCAGGTACACCTAGCCTCACCCCCACCTGATGATTCTTCCCTATTCATCATGGTAGCAGAAGACAAAGGGCATATAATCTTGGGAGTTCTAGGGCTTACCCACCACTGGTCCCTCTCCATACTACCACAGCTGATGCTTTCTGGAAAGCACCACCTCCTGGCAGGAGGCCAACCAGCACAAAAATAGAGCATTAAACCACCAAAGCTAAGAACCGTCACAGAGTCCATTGCACCCTCCACCACGTCCACCAGAACAGGCGCGGATATCCATGGCTGAGAGATTCAGAGATGGTTCATATCATAGGACCCTGTGCAGACAGCCCCCAGTACCAGCCCAGAGCTGGGTAGACTCGCTGAGTGGCTAGACCCAGAAGAGAGACAACAATCACTGCAGTTCAGCTTAAGGAAGCCTCATCCATAGAGAAAGGGGGAGAATACTACATCAAGGGAACACCCTGTGGGACAAAAGAATCTGAACAACAGCCTTTGGCACTAAACCTTCCCTCTGACAGAGCCTGCCCAAATGAGAAGGAACCAGAAAACCAACCCTGGTAATATGACAAAACAAGGCTCTTCAACATCCCCAAAGTATCACACTAGTTCACCAGCAATGGATCCAAACCAAGGATAAATCCCTGATTTACTTGTAAAAGAACTCAGGAGTTTAGTTATTAAGCTGATCAGGGAGGGACCAGAGAAAGGCGAAGCCCACTGCAAGGAAATCCAAAAAAATGATACAAGAAGTGAAGGGAGAAATATTCAAGTAAATAGATAGCTTAAAGAAAAAAAAACAATTAAAAATTCAGGAAACTTTGGACACACTTTTAGAAATGCAAAATGCCCTGGAAAGTCTCAGAAATAGAACTGAACAAGTAGAAGAAAGGAATTCAGAGCTCAAAGGTAAGGTCTTTGAATTAACCCAATCCAACAAAGACAAAGAAAAAAAATAAGAAAATATGAACAAAGTCTCCAAGAAGTCTGGGATTATGTTTAATGACCAAACTTAAGAATAATCAGTGTTGCTCCTGAGGAAGAAGAGAATTCTAAAAGCTTGGAAAACATTTTCAGGGGAATAATTGAGGAAAACTTCCCTGACCTTGCTAGAGACCTTGACATCCAAATACAAGAAGCACAAAGAACACCTGGAAAATTAATTGCAAAAAGATCTTCACCTAGGCATGTTGTCATCAGGTTATCCAAAGTTAAGATGAAAAAAAGAACCTTAAGAGCTGTGAGACAGAAGCACCAACTCACCTATAAAGAAAACCTATCAGATTAACAGCAGATTTCTCAGCAGAAACCCTGCAGGCTAGAAGGGAATGGGTCCCTATATTCAGCCTCTTCAAACAAACCAGTTAACAGCCAAGAATTTTGTATCCAGTGAAACTAAGTATCATCAGTGAAGGAAAAATACAGTTGTTCTTAGACAAACAAATGCTGAGGGAATTCGCCATTACTGAGCCACCGCTACGAGAACTGCTAAAAGGAGCTCTAAATCTTGAAACAAATCCTGGAAACAAATCAAAACAGTACATCTTTAAAGCATAAATCACACAGGACCTATAAAACAAAAATATTTGTTAAAGAGCAAAAACAAAAAACCAAAGTACACAGGCAACAAAAAGCATGATGAATGCAACCATACCTCACATTTCAATACTAACATTGAATGTAAATGGCCTAAATGCTCCACTTAAAAGATACAGAACTGCAGAATGGATAAGAACTCACCAACCAATTATCTGCTGCCTTCAGGAGACTCACCTAACACATAAGGACTCACATAAATTTAAAGTAAAGGGGTGGAAAAAGGCATCTCATGCAAATGAATACCAAAAGCTAGCAGGGGTAGCTATTCTTATATAAGACAAAACAAATTTTAAGGCATTAGCAGTCAAAAGCGACAGAGAGGGATGTTATATAATGATCAAAGGTCTTGTCCAACATGAAAATATCACAATCCTAAACACATAAGAACCTAACATTGGAGCTCCCGAATTTGTTAAACAATTACTAATAGACCTATGAAATGAAATAGACAGCAACCAAATAATAGTGGGGGACTTCAATATGCCACTGACAACACTAGACAGCCTATCAAGACAGAAAGTCAACAAACAATGGATTTAAACTATACATTGAAACAAATGAACTTAACAGGTATATACAGAACATTTCATCCAACAACAGCAGAATAAACATTCTATTCAACAGTGCATGGAACTTTCTCCATGGCCATATGATAGGCCATAAAATGAGCCTCAATAAATATAAGAAAATTGAAATTATATCAAGCACTCTCTCAGATCACAGTGGAATAAAATTGGCTATCAACTTCTAAAGTAACCTTCAGAACCATGCAAATATATGGAAATTAAATAGCCTGCTCCTGAATGAGCATTGGGCCAAAAACAAAATCAAGATGGAAATTAGAAAATTATTCAAACTGAATGGCAATAACGACAAAACCTATCAAAACCTCTGGGATAAAGCAAAGGTGGTGCTAAGAGGAAAGTTCATAGCCCTAAGTACGTACATCAAAAAGACTGAAAGTGCACAAACTGACATTCTGAGGTCACACCTTAAGGAGCTAGAGAAACAAGAACAAACCAAACCCAAACTTAGGAGAAGAAAGGAAATTACCAAGATCAGAGCAGAACTAAATGAAACTGAAAAATACAAAAGATAAATGAAACCAAAAGCTGGTTCTTTAAAAACACAAATAAAATTGATAGATCATTAGCAAGATAAACCAAGAAAAGAAGAGAGAAAATCCAAATAACCTCACCAGAAATGAAACAGGAGATGCTACAACTGACAACACTGAAATACAAAAGATCACTCATGGCTACTATGAACACCTTTACATACATAAATTAGAAAACCTAGAAGAGATGGATAAATTCCAGGAAAAATACAAGCCTCCTAGCTTAAATCAGGAAGAATTAGATACCCTGAACAGATCACTGAAATAGTAATTTTAAAATTTCCAACAGAAAAAGTCCAGGACCAGAGAGATTCACAGCAGAATTCTACCAGACATTCAAAGAAGAATTGGTACCAATCCTTTCAAAACTATTCCACAAGATGGAGAAAGAAGGAACCTCCCTAATTCATTTTATGAAGCCAGCATCATCCTGAAACCAAAACCAGGAAAGGATGTAACCAAAAAAGTAAATTACAGACTAATATCCTTGATGAACACTGATGCTAAAATCGTTAACAAAATATTAGCTAACATAATCCAACAATAATCAAAAAGATAATCCACCATGATCAAGTGGGTTTCATATCAGGGATGCAGGGAAGGTTTAACATATGTAAGTCAATAAATGTGGTACACCACATAAAGAGAATTAAAAACCAAAGTCACCTGATCATCTCAGTAGATGCAGAAAAAGCATTTGATAAAATCCAGCATCCCTTCATGATTAAAACTCTCAGGAAAATCAAGATTTAAGGGACACACCTTAATGTAATAAAAGCCATCTATGACAAACCCACCGCCAACAGAATACTGAATAGAGAAAAGTTGAAAGCATTACCTCTGAGAACTGGAACAAGACAATGATGCCCACCTTCACCACTCCTCTTCAACACTGTACTAGAAGTCCTAGCCAGAGAAATCAGACAAGATAAATAAATAAAGGGCATGAAAGTTGGTAAAGAGGAAGTCAAACTGTCACTGTTTGATGACGATATGATCATTTACCTTGAAAACCCTAAGGACTCCTCTAGAAAGCTCCTAGAACTGATAAAAGAATTCAGCAAAGTTTCCAGATCCCAGATTAATGTAGACAAATTAGTTAGCTCTTCTATGCAAAAACAGCGACCAAGCAGAGAATCAAATCAAGAAATCAATTCCTTTTACAACAGCTGCAAAAAAAGTAAAATACTTAAGAATAAAGTAGAATACTTAAGAATATACCTAACCAAGGAGTCAAAAGACCTCTACAGGGAAAACAACAAAACATTGCTGAAAGAAATCACAGATGACACAAACAAATGGAAACACATCCCATGCTCATGGCTAGGTAGAATCAACATTGTGAAAATGACCATACTACCAAAAGCAATCTACAAATTCAATGCAATCCCTATCAAAATACCACAATCATTCTTCACAGAATTAGAAAAAAACAATTTAAAATTCATATGGAACCAAAAAAGAGCCTGTATAGTCAAAGCAAGACTAAGCAAACAGAACAAATCTGGAGGCATCACACAACCTGATTTCAAACTACACTATAAGGGCATAGTAACCAAAACAGCATGGTACTTGTATAGAAATAGGCACATAGACCAATGGAATGGAATAGAGAACTCAGAAATAAACCTAAATACTTACAGCCAACTGATCTTCAACAAAGCAAACAAAAACTATAAAGTGGGGAAAGGACACCCGTTTCAACAAATCACGCTGGGATAATTGGCTAGCCAAATGTAGGAGAATGAAACTGGATCCTCATCTCTCACCTTATACAAAAATCAACTCAAGATGGATTAAGGACTTAAACTTAATACCTGAAACTATAAAAATTCTAGAAGATAACATTGGAAAAGCCCTTCTAGACATTGACTTAGGCAAAGATTTCATGATGAAGAGCCCCAAAGCAAATGCAATAAATACAAAGATAAATAGCTGAGACCTAATTAAACTAAAGGGCTTTTGCACGGCAAAAGGAACAGTCAGCAGAGTAAACAGACAACAAATATCCAGAATCGACAACAGATTCAAACAAATCAGTAAGGAAAAAACAAACACTCCCATCAAAGAGTGGGCTAAGGACATGAATAGACAATTCTCAAAAGAAGACATACAAATGGCCAACAAACATATGAAAAAATGCTCAACATCACTAATGATCAGGGAAATGCAAATCAAAACCACAACCCCATACCACCTTACTCCTGCAAGAATGGCCATAATCAAAAAATCAAAACATGGTAGATGTTTGCATGGATGTGGTGAACAGGGAATACTTCTACACTGCTTGTGGGAATGTAAACTAGTACAGCCACTATGGAAAACAGTGTGGAGATTCCTTAAAGAACTAAAAGTAGAACTACCATTTGATCCAGCAATGCCACTACTGGGTATCTACCCAGAGGAAAAGAAGTCATTATTTGGAAAAGATACTTGCACACACTTGTTTATAGTGGCACAATTCACAATAGCAAAATTGTGGAACCAACCCAAATGCCCATCAATCAATGAGTGGATAAAGAAACTGTGAGATATGTGATATATATATATATATCATATATAGATATGATACAAATTATATATATCACATATATGATATGTATCACATATATGATATATATCATATATATACATATATCAATGATACAATGGACTTTGGGGACTTGGAGGGAAGAGTGGGAGGAACCAATGGATAAAAGACAACAAGTATGGTGCAGTGTATACTGCTCGGGTTATGGGTGCACCAAAATCTCAAAAACCACCACTAAAGAACTTACTCATGTAACCAAATACCACCTGTACCCCAGTAAGTTATGGAAATAATTAATTAAATTTTTTCTCTACTTATAATTGTTGCCATTGTATTTAATCCCAACAAGACTTAAAATCTAAATCTATCCCACGAGACTTGTGTGTGTGGTGTGCGTGTTTGCTTTTTCCCATCTAAAAGACAAATTATTCTTACAAATCCAAGTTAGAGTGTACAGATTTTACATATTTTGTATGACTTGATTTGATATTTGGCAACTGCCCATTAGTAGCTATTCTGACTTATCCCAGTCCCATTTCATCCCAGATTTTTAAGAGTGATGTGAAAGAAAGGTTTCATGAGGTGCATTGAGATAATTGTTTTCACTTTCTTAAAATTAAAAAAAAAATCAAGGCACACTTGAGATTTCACAGGACGATAGCATTGGTCATAACATGAGCTCATAGTTTCTCCTAAATGTAAGCAATACATATAATGACTGACTTGGATACCATTTTTTTTAAAGAAGAGATAACATTTGATTGAACTTTGGATCAGATTTCAAACCTATCTGACTTATCCCTCTGAAGAAAAAAATCTGACTCAAGGGGAAGAATTTTGTTTAATTATCAAGCACTTATGTCAAGGGAAAATTATTGTGAAAAATTCGAACCTTTTTCTAAAGTTCACCATGAGGCTATGGTTGTAACAGGAAGAAAACATTAGTGACTTGAAGCTCAATTTACTTAGTTTTCACTTCGCTGGGAATATGTGACGAAAGTTGAGACATGTGTTACCCTTTCAACAACAAAAAAGTTTGAGGTGCTGACTTTTTGCCCCCATTTGGGCACCCATAGATGGAAAAAAGGAAAAGAATTTTGAATCAGAGCCACAACATGTAAATGTGTTTTTCTTCTTCCCTTTTTGGTTAGTGGCCCTCAGGCATCAAAAGCATAAGGTATCTCCGTGTCTTCTTCTCACAGCATGAAAGTCAGTAAAGCTTTCAACAATCTCATGTCCATAATAGCTTTCTTTTCCTGTGAGTGTGTATGTATAAAATTCCGCACCACCCCCCTGAAGCCCCAAAGCAGCCATTAAAAGTAACCATCATCTATCCAGTTACAGAAGCAGAACAGAAAAGAGCTGAAGAGAACTGTGAGTTGTTGGTACGGAGCCAGGAATCCAAGTCTGATTTTCTGCTTCTATTTCTTGAATTAAAAAGAAAATACCCCAAAGTAATTGCAGTTTAAGAGGACTTCTCAAAGCACAACATATTTGTATGAGAAAAGGAAGAAATGTACGTAAAATGAACTAAGAACTGACTTGATTCCAACATTTTAAGACCTAACAAAGAAAATAACATTTAAAACTCCATGTTCAGGATGAGTAAACCTTTCAAATTAAAGTTTCACAACATTGCTGATGTTTCTACACCTGCCTCAGAACTGGTTAAGCATGCTGATTTAAAGTAAACTCTTTAACTACCTTCAAGTTGGCTCTTTTAGACCAAATGACTATCCAGTCATCTAAGTTACCAACCCTCAAGCATAAGATGGAATTTGAGGGCAACGGATGCTTGTTTTTTAATGCTAAATTTACAATCTCACAAAGCGTATCTTATGTGGGCTCCCCATCTATGAAGTCCATTTGTTCTAGACCATGATATGACAGGTGTAATCTTATTGGATTTTTTTGTTTCGTTTGTGTATATATGTACATACATATGTGTGTGTGTGTGTGTTTGTATATGTGTGTGTGTGTGTGTGTGTGTGTGTATTCACCTTTTCCTGGTCCGATCCTTCTATTACTGACAAATACGACACTGTCTTAAACATTCTGGCTAAAATGTGTAGAGAAACAAGGTTTTTTTTTTTTGTTTTTTTTTTTTTTGTTTTTTTTTTGAGACGGAGTCTTGCTTTTGTTCCCCAGTGGCGCAATCTTGGCTTACTGCAACCTCCGCCTCCTGGGTTCAAGCAATTCTCCTGCCTCAGCCTCCCAAGTAGCTGGGATTACAGGTGTCCACCACCATGCCCACCTAAATTTTTTTGTATTTTTAGTAGAGACGGGGTTTCACCATGTTGTCCAGGCTGGTCTCATCTTCCTGACCTAGTGATCTGCCCACCTCAGCGTCCCATAGTGCTGGGATTACAGGTGTGAGCCACCGTGCCCTGCCAAAACAAGGTACTTTAAAACTGTGTGCATGTATAATAGGAAATGATCTTAAATTTACAGAATATTTTTACTTATTGAATCTGTTACTTGATAATAAAAGAGGAGCAGGAAATTGATTTGTTGAACATGAATCCATGCCTATAAAAGAGAATTTATAAATTAATTTTTCATTAGGAATGATGGCAAAAATGTAAGCTTTTCTATTATATTTGTGCAACCATTTAAAATGCCATTACAATGAATTGCTTTAAATCCAACTGTTCTCTAAAAGGACCTCACTTAACATTTCTTTTAACAACTGTCAATAAATGAAGTAAAACCAGATCACCCTGTAGAAACAAATCTACTAAAACCCAGAAACATCTTATCAAAGTCTGAATTCATGTTTTCATCAAGTGCTAAAGATATCTCCAATATACATAATTCTTCCCTCAAAGTTCTATGATAAATAAAAATGCTGCGAGCAGCTACATTCCACTTTTATTGGTTAACCAGACATATTTCAAGCACAATGTCTTGAAGAGGCTAAAAGAAATTAGAACAAATCTTTAAACCAACATTTCTTGTATTCATATGCCAATTATAAAGTTAAGGAATCTTCTTAGATAGTTGAAGTGTAAATGGTGGGGTAAAAGTTCAGAAAAGGAACAAAGTCTGGGAAAAATTAAAAAGCCACCAAGAGAAGGATGAATAGGGGAAGACAAAATAGAGAAGTCTAAAAGGAAAGGATGTTCTGAAATATATTGCATTCACTTAGAACTGGGCCAAAAACCTATAAATACAAAAGGAAACGAGAAGGTTTTCTTTTGCCACTGTTCCCCATGGCAAGCATATTGATGGAAGTTGCTTCAACAAATTTCAAAAGCTATTATTTTCATTCAATTACCTTCTCATGTTTGGTAATGGTGTGATTTAGTCACATGAACAGTCACTGCTTCCTAATAACACTTTAAACGTAATTTTATCAGTTTAATCAATTGGGGAATAAACTGACCACTTTTTTAGTTTAAAAAAATATATAGAATGAAAATAAAGCACTATAATTTTTGTTTAAGTATTTTCTCCATAGAAAAATACACGGATTTTGGAAAATGTAAACTTATAAGTTACATTTTAAATTGTAAAATTAGGTATATGCACAACTTTATGCTTCTTAACTAGAACTAATTTTATTGGTTTTTCTCCTGAGTTGACACCAGTTCCTCTTCTTAGCGGTATATTAATGGTAAATCTTGACTACCCAAGGAAAGAGCAAAAGACCATGCCCCGAGTGCTGAATGCAACCTTGTGTTGGAGTTCACTTGTCCCAACTTGTGTACAGAGTCGATGTCTTAGTCAGTTCAGGTTGCTATAAAATGTACTTTATACTGGATAATTTATAAACAACAGACGTTTGATTCTCATAGTTCTGGAGGCTAGGAAATCCAAGATTAAGGCACTAGCAAATTTGATGTCTGATAAGTGCCTGCTCACTGCTTCATGAACAGTGCCTTGTGGCTGCAAACTCAGGTGAGAGAAGGAACGAAAGGCCATCCCCATCAAGCTACCAATGACTTTCTTCACAGAATTGGAAAAAACTACTTTAAAGTTCATATGGAACCAAAAAAGAGCCCACATTGCCAAGTCAATCCTAAGCCAAAAGAACAAATCTGGAGGCATCATGTTACCTAACTTCAAACTATACTACAAGGCTACAGTAACCAAAACAGCATGGTACTGGTACCAAAACAGAGATATAGACCAATGGGACAGAACAGAGCCCTCAGAAATAATGCCACATATCTACAACTATCTGATCTTTGACAAACCTGACAAAAACAAGAAAAGGGGAAAGGATTCCCTATTTAATAAATGGTGCTGGGAAAACTGGCTAACCATATGTAGAAAGCTGAAACTGGATCCCTTCCTTACACCTTATACAAAAATTAATTCAAGATGGATTAAAGACTTAAATGTTAGACCTAAAATCATAAAAACCCTAGAAGAAAACCTGGCAATACCATTCAGGACGTAGGCATGGGCAAGGACTTCATGTCTAAAACACCAAAAGCAATGGCAACAAAAGCCAAAACTGACAAATGGGATCTAATTAAACTAAAGAGCTTCTGCACAGCAAAAGAAACTACCATCAGAGTGAACAGACAACCTACAGAACGGGAGAAAATTTTTGCAACCTACTCATCTGACAAAGGGCTAATATCCAGAATCTACAATGAACTCAAACAAATTTACAAGAAAAAAAAAAACAACCCCATCAGAAAGTGGGCAAAGGATATGAACAGACACTTCTCAAAAGAAGACATTTTTGCACCCAACAGACACATGAAAAATGCTCATCACAACTGGCCATCAGAGAAATGCAAATCAAAACCACAATGAGATATCATCTCACACCAGTTAGAATGGCGATCATTAAAAAGTCAGGAAACAACAGGTGCTGGAGAGGACGTGGAGAAATAGGAACACTTTTACACTGCTGGTGGGACTGTAAACTAGTTCAGCCATTGTGAAAGTCAGTGTGGCGATACCTCAGGGATCTAGAACTAGAAATACCATTTGACCCAGCCATCCCATTACCACATATATATCCAAAGGATTATAAATCATGCTGCTATAAAGACACATGCACACGTATGTTTATTGCAGCACTATTCACAATAGCAAAGACTTGGAACCAACCCAAATGTCCAACCATGATAGACTGGATTAAGAAAATGTGGCACATATACACCATGGAATACTATGCAGCCATAAAAAATGATGAGTTCATGTCCTTTGTAGGGACATGGATGAAGCTGGAAACCATCATTCTCAGCAAACTATCGCAAGGATAAAAAACCAAACACCGCATGTTCTCACTCACAGGTGGGAATTGAACAATGAGAACACATGGACACAGGAAGGGGAACATCACACACAGGGGCTTGTTGTGGGGTGGGGGGAGGGGGGGAGGGATAGCATTAGGATATATACCTAATGTTAAATGAGGAGTTACTGGGTGCAGCACACCAACATGGCACATATGTATACAAACCAGCACGTTGTGCACATGTAGCCTAAAACTTAAAGTATAATAAAAATAAAAAAAATTAAAAACATTAAAAAAAGCTCCCTCATGCCTCTTTTGTAAGGGCTCTGATCCAATTCATGAAGGCCAAATCACCTCCCCAAATCCCATGTCACATTGGGTATTAGGTTTCAACATATGATCCTGGGGGGAAGGCCAACATTCAGAAGAAAGGACATTAGAGACCTTAGAGGTATGGCTCTGAATCATTGAGTCTGATTTTAAATAATAATTCAGATTTATACATCCACATGTATGTTGCCTTCTTAAAAGGTGAGGTTATGCATCTCATTTCTTTCCAATCATTTTGCTATTGATCAAATATGCCAGTACCTTCTTAAGTAATTGACTTATACCTGAGACAGAATTAATGCCAGAAACTGCAGTCTAAGTGATTATCATAATGGGTATTTTTTTTTTTTCAGATACAGAAACTGAGACACCCAGAGGTTAAAACCTTTGATTTTTTCACTCTATAAGACTGAGTAAACACTGGAGACAACACTGAACTCTATGACAGAGAGAAAGAGCAAGAGAAAAGGTTATAAACGGCATCAGAAGATATTTCCAAATGAAGTTGTAAGTATTTTTTTGTAACCCATGATTCTACTCACTATACTTGAAATAACTACATTAAAGATCAATCCTGTTTTAACTTTGTGCAGTTTGTTTATCTTTAAAAAATCAGTATTGCTTCTTTATAGTCACACCTATTCAAGGATCAACGTGACAGGAATCATACATTTTTACTGTATCTGCAAATGAAAGGTAACAAATCCCCGTAATTTCAAAACAAAATAAAATCCTCAAAACCAAACAGCATTACTATTTTCTCCACACACAGTAAACCATGTGTTTAAAATTTAGGTTCATATATATGTATGTGTGTGTATATATGTGTGTGTGTGTGTGTGTGTGTGCATGTGTATACATATATTTTTTGATTATTATTTTTAATTTCTTTTTTTTTGAGATAGAGGTCACACTATATTGCCCAGGCTGGTTGCATAGGTCAGTATTTTTTATTCAAGAACAAAATAAGTCTAATTTTTAAATAGCATTATCAACTAATTTCTGTGGACAATTTCCAATAGTGTCTCTGATCACCATAAGCCTTAGACTATCATGAAAGCAATTCTGAGAGCATCATCTAAATTTCTGATTTAAAAAAAAATTTTAAATAGCAGTTTTCCACATCATCCCCTTCTCTCTTCTCCCTCTGTCTTATAAAACAATTGGTATTGGGATTATATTGATGTATTTCAGAAAAAAACTCAGTTACAGGAATATATGTTTACATATTCTGACAAGATTGGTTTACCATCTTCAAATATTCTGAGTGGGCCCTCAATAAATATTTACTGGCCTGAAGGGAATTAAACTTCAACATGATATGTTTCAGCAAGTGAAAAAATCCTGTAAATTTCACAAGGCCACTGCATATAATGAAGTACCTTATGTAGCCTTAAAGCAATCACTGTAACTATTGCAGAACCTTCATCTAGATATGAGGATAACAGTTAAGTTTGCTACTAATTTTCCAAGTTCAAATCCAAGAGGGTGTCATTCTCAGCACACCATGTAATTCAGAGACAACCTGAACATCAGCAAACCCAGAACAACCCAGATGCTATCAAGAATCTAAGAGTCATAGATTCCTAAGACTTTATGATCAACAAAGGTCATGGAATGTTTTTATTTAACTATATAAAATGTTCAGAATACCTCATTTTGGAAATTTCCTGGGCTTCATATTCGGTCCAAAGACAGCTGGGAAAAAACTTTTCATTAAAAATCCTTTTCACTGTTGGAAATGTGAAATGTATTATATAGGATGCAAAGTGATATTTACCTATGTACATGAAGTCATAAAATCATTGAGATTATTCCTGTTACCAGTAAGTTATTTTCCATTATAACAGAAAGGGCCTCTTTTTCTCCAATTCTCCAAATAACCAAAAGTTTGATCTCCGTAAGACAGAAAAATAAAACAAATGACAGACATTAGGGAGGTGCCTTAGATTCTTTGACTTCAATTTAAGGAAAAGAGGCATTTACAGCCATTGACAAAAATAGCCTAGAGCCCATGTAGTTGTGATTTTGTGGGTGACAATGTCTCTCATTCATCTAACAGCTGAAGGTTAGTCTCTGAAAATCAGCCACTATTTACCTTAGTCTCAGCCTGACAGAAGCATCCACTGCTTAGAAGGATCCAAGTGTGCAGGGCCAATATTTACTTCTGATGTGCTGAGAGGTGAGAAATTATAAAACCTGCCCAAATAAAAGCAATTTAAATTTTCCAGACATTTATACTCAGTGTTAAACTCTTTATATATGACTATCTTCAGCTACCTGAAATTTTATCCTATTAATAAAGGTTAAGCACCTTGACATTTATTTTTGCCTGCTCAAGTTTAAATTTACTCAATGAAATAACATACAGATCCACTATAATAAGTATAATAATTATTTCGTATAACCTCCTTCTCAGTTAGAAGTTAAATTTTATTTTGAAGTAAACTAAATTAGGATAATTAAGATATAATATGGTGAAAACTTGACTAAATACATACAAAGAAAAAATAATGTGGTATTTTAATTAAAACATAATATCTACATGAAATATATAATTCTTTTCAAAACTATTTCTTCTTTCTACTTAAGTACCTCATATCTACAAATGCTTATGAAGATGTCAGATTAACTATAAATCTATAGACTAAAATAAAATTGTGCCACTGGAAAGTAAAGAAGGAAGAAGTTGTAGTGCCTGGTTTCTATTCAGCAATTTTCCTTGAATAGTGCCTCCACATCTCCACATGATGATCATGATCATTCATTTATTTCCCAGCATGCAGTCTGGTTTCAGATTCTCAGTTTTGCTCTATATATTTATAAAAGTTTTCAAAAAAGGGAAAAGAAGGTCATGGACTTTTACTGAAGAGATTAAACGTCCCTTCAGCTGGTATATACATAGAAATCCACTTTGATTTAGAGAAAGATCCATTTATGACATATGTTGTCAAGTGTTTTTAAAAATAAGTTTGAGGGTGGAGTAAAGATTAGAAAGACCTCATATTTTACACTAAATGAATGACATGTTTTGTAGTGACAGGCCACTATTAACTTCCTTGCTCCTGTATTGAGAAGGAAACAGCTGGAAATTTAGAAGAATGTTTAAGAAACATTCATAGCCAATACAAACGCAATGAAGTAGGCTGAACATTGAGTGTAGAGGGAATCTCACACCTACAAATATCATTGAAACTCCCATTAATCACTGCATCAAAGTAACTAAAGCATTTATACAGAGTTTATTGAAAATAAATCACTTTATCATATGCTCAAATGTGGGGATGATTTTCTCATAGAGATTTCTTCTTGGGCTTCTGTAGTTTTTTTATAGAGTATCTCCTGCCCTCTTTAGTCCAGATTTTATAACTACATTTAGGAAAAAGATTTAATTCAACGGCATAATTCTGACTTAGCTTCTTTTCTTGCTTGATGAAAATAGGTCATGATTAGCCATTTCTGACAGAAACAGTTGACAGGAAATAGGACAGGAAATGATATAATGATTCCAAAATTGTATATTTCCCCAATGCCCTGCGGTTTGGGGAATGACCTTACAGTTAACCAGGAAATTGGGAGGAGGTATTGAATCACAAATACTTACAAAACTGAATTCACTTTTTCATCCCTAGGTCCTCTTCATGTAAAGAAATACATTCAAACTCTGGAACTGAAAGAGATAAAAATAAATTTAGCTGAGTAAATATTTATTCTTCTTATAATTTATATATATTTCTAGATTTTTGAGCGGACTATTTAAAGCATACATTAATATCCAGTTAGCTAACACAAACATAGCATATAAACCACCTAAATATTAAAATAAAAAACTTCTAATGCTTTAATATTTATGGAGTTTAACTATTTTCTCATGGAAATAAAACTTTGACGCTATTTATTATTAAAAGCCTAGTCTTTTTATTCACAGTTAAATCACTATGTTTTAAAACTGCTTTTTAACATGTGTTTTTATATGCCATATAATGATAAATTACATTAATATCTGGTCCATTGTTCATTTTTTTTTCTAAAATAGACAATATCTCCTGGGTGAAAAATACTCAATTAAAAACAACATGCCTAAAACTCACACAAACACATAAGCACAAGAATATATAAGCATAAAATGCAAACTACTTCATTTAAAATTTTACTCAAATACAATGTTAATAATTCCATTTATACTTTTTCTTTTGTTTAAAGTTACTTTATATCTTTAAAAATAGATCTCCAATTCAGGACCTTCCTAAGACAATTTATAGCTCTACAAACAGAAAGTGCAAAATCCATCACAGGAAGTCCGATTTTCACAGTGTGAAATAAACCTTTTTGTGTTACTCCAGCATGTTCTTAAGCCTTTTAATATTTTAAAATACTTAACCATTTTGTTTATATTCCCTTAGTCATTAACTTCAACCCGTTTTAAATTTATGTCACTGGAGGATCAAGAGTAACAAAGCTGTACAAATTTAACAATTAGCCTTACTATGTAATTGCTTAGAATAAACATCCTGATTAGTTAAATCACTATTAAATTTTAATCAATGTGAGTGGGTGTTTCTATTTTTGATTGGGGAATCCACATAGATTGTCTGAGAGACTCCTTTTTGTACATGAAGTTGATATGTTTCCTCTCTTCATATTATGCCTAATGGATTCCATCTCAATCTCATATAATGCACGATTAGTGAATAGTCAAAGACATTTTTCTTTAATATGATCTTTCTTTTCATGACATTAATGACATATTTTTCTCTGCTGAATTTATTTCTCTTACTGTTTAAATAAATAAAGATGTTTATAGATATTAAAATGTGACAGTTTGTTAGAACAGTATTTTAACAAACGGAATTTGGTTTCATGCAAATATTTGGGGTTATTTTAAGGGGAAAAGTGTTATTATTTATTTTAAAAGAGTAATGCTAATTATTTGGAAGATAAAATTAAGTGAAAAGAAAATACGCTGTGATTTTACCTACAGAATCTAAGATGATAATATCTAACAGTCCCAAAAATTCAAAAAGCAAGTGATTCTTTCAGTAAGATTCATTTAATTAAATGTGCTTATGAGTTTACTTTTTTTCTTGGTTTAACAATTCTTCTTTCAGAAACAATCAATCAATATAAAATAACATTGTGTTTTATATTCTGCAGAAGTCATTTCAGTGTATTACTTTAATGAATGCTTTTGAAGTCCTTCAGGTGTTTTCAGATGAATAACCCATTTCCTATACATTCTCTTATGCCATCATTGTGAGAGCATTATTCCTGAAGTCAAATGTTCAGAACTACTGGACCTTTTTTAGCAATCTCTGCTAATTCAATATAGTCTACCAGGGGACAGGTAGAATGGCTTTTGGAGTAGCAGGCTCTACTACAAATACAATCAATTCTGGGAAACAACAGGTTTCATTTTTTTCAGAAATGTATTTGGTTAAAAGGCTAAAATAAAATAATACATACACAAACATTGCATTTATGAAAATGAATAAAATATTTTCTCTCAATCACAGAAATCATATTTTCTAAATGCAGTCTTTGCATTTTCTTTGCCTTTTATAACCCAGCCAGTTCTGAGTATGGCGTTACTTTGAAACTTATCAAAATAATGCACTGTTGCAAAGGCATTCTGCTCCTTTGTTGCTCAATGTACAGTTTGTGTTCAATAATTTCCATTTAGCCTCTTTTCCTAAATTAAATAATTATTCCTCTCTTTGAGAAATTACAACTTTAATATGTGACTGTGTAAATCTTCAGATAACTAAATGTAGTTCCACTGTTATTTACCATTTCCAGAAACATTTTCATGGTAACAATACAGACCTCATTTTTTTAAAAAAAGGATGACAAAGTTGTAAAACTGTATTATTTACTAAAGCTAAGGACAAATTTAAATGTGCCTTCTGCTTTTCATTTGGATCGTTAAATGGTTAATCCTAACAAGCATGGGGGGAAGGAAAAGAAATTAACTAAAGTAAGGCCCTTGTGAAACAATGACACTTGCTCTATGCTCTTACAGAGAAAAAACATGATGATAAAACAGCACAAAGTGGAGTGTTATGAATTTTATTAATGACTAGAAGACAGTGTGCAAAACATCAAAGGTCTGTGGAAAAGATTAATGACCCCGTGTGAGACTGTTTAATTACCTCCAGCTAATTAGATTCTTGACCAAATTTTTAATATCTGCATTCCTTCTACAGCCTAATTGAGATTCCACATTATTTATCAATCTTTCAAAAAGCCCTTAGTGGGCTGCTTTTTTAGTTTCTCCCTTTGCACTTTGACTCCATTTATGGTCAATTATTAAATAAATAGCAAAGTAACTATTCCCCACAAATTGTATATGCGGAACACTTTATGCCTGTTTATTTTGACTAGAAGACTATCATTGGCATCTTTTATACATAATGAAGCACTCCAACTAATAAACTGATAACTCCACTGTAAACAATGTGGATAATATTTTTGTTATCTCGGCTGTGCTCAGGAACTACTCATGCGGTTTCCGTAAATTAGGCTTTGCAATAGTCAGTTAATCCTTATTTCAGTTTACCTTGGTTGGGGACCAGAGACTCATGGAATGCTGTCATACAAACTAAAGAGAACAACTCAATCAATTCTTTCTTTCTCCTTTTCTTCTCTTTTCTTTCTTTCTTTTCTTTCTTTCTTCTTCGTTCTTTCATTTTTTTTTTAGAATTAGATTGTCTTTTAGTGTCCAGAAAGTGCTAATTGCATCATAATTTGCATTAACAAATATCAAGCTATCAAACAGCTCCTTCTGAAATGCTGGAAACCCAAATCCAGTGATAGATATATATACAGTGTGATATATATATACACTATATTTGGTATTTATATATATTTATATCACAGACATTTCTGAAGGAGAAATATTTGAGATAGTACCTCAATGAAAAAAAAGAACATTGTTGTGGAAAACTCACTAATCACCTAGAAAACAGTAGTGACATGGATTGTCTTTGATGTACATGGAACAAAACAGGAAGTCCAAACTCAGCAGCAGCCAGCTGAGTTATATTTGTCTCGGCATCTTTGTTTTCTGGACGATGCATAAAGTCTTCTCTTTAAATTTAGGTATTTTATAAGATAAATGCACTAGCATGACAGAACAAATATTACTCTATAATCTGTATACTTACAGAATCAATGAAAGAAAAGAAAAACTGTAACAATACAAGCACATTGATCATGTTAACACATGACAGCCTGTGAATCTAACAATGTAATTCTATTGAAGGATTACAGATATATTTCACCTTTGATTATAAAACCTGGAAAATATATATTGGGCTTTATAATACTCTTAATAATGATTGTCTTCTATGTGTTTCTCAGTATGTTTTATATTCAAGAGGAAAGAAAAAAATAGAAAGAAAAAAATCACCAATTCAGCCAACATTTATAAATAGGATGGAGTTATTTTCACTCGTTATTTCATAAAAGTTGTAACTCCTCCACCATAACATATTTAAGCATGGCCAGAAGAATCAGTCAACATTTCTGATCTTATACTTAGTGTCTGATACAGTCCATTGTGCCTCAATGTTTTGTTTATTTATACTGTTGATCATCTTTAGAATAAATAATAATAATGACAAGATAATTTCTAAGATCACTCCTAAAGTTCTATGATTTCAAAAGATTCTTACACCTGTACATCTCAGATACTTCCTTCAAAATAGCAAGTTTCATACCAACAAAGTCTAGAAACTCATAGTAAGCCTTCACCTTAGGTCTGCCTTATACTCATATAAAAATTCATTTTTAGGTAACATTAATATTAATAATAAAATGTAGAGCACCAGCCCTCCGTGAAATCTCATGGAAGTGAAAATAAAATCAGGGAAATTGTCATGCTTTTTAGGAGTGACAAAATCCCACAGCAGTGATATGATTTGAGAAAGTCCAAAGAGGATAGAGTGCATGACCAAAGTAGCATGGGGCAGAGTTAATCTCCCCACTGCAGCTGAGAGAGATATAAGATCTAAACCAGATCCAAACCAAGAGCGATCAGACAATTACATCGCTCGAATCTCTGAACCCCAGCAGATCTTCACTTCTGAGGCATAGATACTTATATTTTTACATAGGATCTTATTTTTCTGGCAAAAGACAAACAAGAAAGGAGGAGAGGGCTTTTTTTATCTAATAATGTAAAAAATGGCTGTGGGAGGGGCAGAACTTTAGTCATATCAGTCATTTACACTTTCATGAAAATGAAATTTCAAGATTCTTTCTTCAGAGCAAGTTTGGATGGGAGGGAGACAGCATGAGGAAACTGGACACAAAATTCAAAACATGAGAAGCAGAACAATAGGACACAGTATAGGAAGTACAAAAGTAAACCTTGATTTCTTCTTTATAACTTTGACTAAGGCTGACCCAATGACTACCTCACGGCAGGATTCAGTTATTGCAAAGGAAAGTGGTATAATTGCACAATGCCTCACGCAAATCCCTTGGTTTTTAACATACTGATGAGATGATCTGGTCAGGAACTTCCAGAAGGTATTAGGCCAATAGAGAAACCTCAGAACAGCTCCACACTCTAGATCTGGCCTTAGCTAATAGCATTCATTTATTCTTTCAGTCCACACACTCATTTACTTGTTGTTTTAAGCAAGCATGTTGTGAGTGCCAACTATATGTGTGATGGCATATAATGTTGAATCATCCATGGCTCCCATCTTCCAGGAGTTTGCCATGTAGCATGTCCTCATGTAGTATCTACAAAACTGAACAGATTTTCTGGGTTCAGTCTACTATAAAATCTACATCCAAAAGAAATGCAGAGGAATACTTAGTGAAAGTGAGAACTTACTTTCTTTTCCCAAAAATCCATGCACTACCAGGAATTCTTATGTATATGTTTGGCCTTAGATTCATATTTTGTTTATCACAGATTTTTTATCTTTAATATCATGACAATTTAAAGATCACAGAATTTTTCTGCCATCAGCAATATTCAGATAATTTTGACATGACAATGAGGATAAAGATTCCCCCTTCCTCAATTCTACATCTACCTGAAGTAACCCAGTGGAGTACCTCACTAAATCAGAGACATTATCTGAGCCAACTTCCAGATCATTAGAGAATCCATTTCACAGCATCCTTCATAGGTTTTCCTTTCAGAGCATTACCTCCCAAGAGCCACCTCTGGTTATATTTTGACATAGTGTTAGTTGTAATGCTGCCATTCACATTTTTCACACTGCAGCAATTATTTTAACAAACATTCTAAATTTCTTCATATAATCGTTATAATTTTAACTTCATATAATTAAATTCTCAGTAACTGAAGTACTAATCTGGGAATAATATCTCTCCATTCATTTTTCTAGCTGCCATGCTTTTTCTCCATACTAAATCACTCAATAATATGAGAATGCTAGTAAGAATATTTTTTCTATCATTTAGCACAAAATATAAAAACTGAGCTTATCAGTGGGACCATCGAAGTAGGAAATTTCAGGGTAACAAGTACTCTCTTTAGCTGTAGGTATAAACATGGATTGCGTTGTGTAATTATTCAACAGAAAACATGAACCTGAAAATTTGTATTTTTTTTTGGTTAAATATTTCCCATTAATAAGATTCAACATGAAGAAGAACAACAACACAGAAAAAGGCACAGATATTTATTCCTTATTTACAGGACAAAGCCTTGATTAAATTGACATCAAAATTATGGAAATGTTTATTTCTAAATAGTACAATGGTCTGTTATAAAGTTTTTTTAAAGATTATAGAATACTATATAATGAGAAATTATGTTTATCATGATAAAAACATACACAAAATAACTAACCATAATTCTATATATCAAAAATATACATAAAATATGCTCACCTAGAAGTCTATATTTTTATTTGTCTTTGAGGAAAAAAAATATTTCAAAAGAGTATGCATAAAATAAACCCACTTCTTTAAAAATACTTAAATATGACTTGCTATTACATTTTAAATCTCATTATATGTTTTTAATTCATAAGAAAAACTTGCAAACTATACAAGCTATTGAAATTTATTAATTATATGAATCAAATGTTCAGAAATATTTACATTTTAGCATAAGTTACTGTAATATTTGAATTGTTTGCTAAGTATCTATTTTGTAATAAAAATACATATTTATGGGTAGAAAAATTAAAACTCATAGCCATAAACCTGAAAACATAGAACAATAAAATGTTACAGAAGATGTCTATGTGTATCTTATTGTTTTTCACTATTTTTCAAACTAACATAACCATATTATTTCATAATTGCAAAAATACAAATTTTAATTAAAATGAAATTTTTTATAAACAAGCCAAATGGATTTATGAATTCAAATCTAACTTCAGATGAAATGCAAAAGTAAAAAAATTAAATAATAAACCACATATTCATTAATACCTTAAATGTAATGCTAAGATAAAATGAAGATTTTATTTGTGATATTGTTATATATTACTTTTATTTATTTATTTATTTTTGTAACAGAGTCTGGCTCTATCACCCAGATCACAGTGACTGACAGTGGCGTGATCTCAGCTCACTGCAGCCTCCACCTCCCAGTTCAAGCAATTCTGCCTCAGCCTCCCAAGTAGCTGGGACTAAACATGCCCACCACTATGCCTGGCTAATTTTTGTATTTTTTTTTTTTTTTTTTTTTTTGGAGAGACAAGGTTTCATCATGTTGGCCAGGCTGGTCTCAAACTCCTGACCTCAAGTGATCTGCCCACCTTGGTCTCCCAACATGCTGGGATTACAGGCATAAGCCACCCTGCTCACCCTCTATATTACTTTTAACTATCCCATACCATTAAATTTTGCACTAGTAAAATCTCAGTCAATCATATTTGGAAAGATGTGCTTACGGATATAAGAGGCAGATAATTTTAGATCTTTCTTTTTCAAGACTTGGTAGAACTGACTTCACATTGAATATAAATTACTCCTAAAATGTGAAGTGCTCTAGTAGTTTTAAATTGCTCTAGATCATGCTTGTTCAACTTCTCAATTATTCGTATATTTTCTCTAAATCGAATATATGTAAAACAGTAAAATGTACACTTGCAACAAATAAGTTATTAAATCTAGATCACCATGTTGTTGACAGGTTGAAGGACTTAAAAGGAAGAGTGTGAGTAATATACCAGGTTTTCACTGGTAGTTACACTATATAAAACAAATCTTCTCTTCTATACATAGACAAAACGCATACCTTAATCAATAGAGACTTCATAAAATGCACATTAGTTATTTTATACTATCTGCTCTCCAGTTTAGATAATTGCTGCTACCTGTAGCCTAAACCATTAACCTCTCAACCTTAGCAAATTGAGGTTTCCTAGCAAAAACCACACTACCAAAAGGAAGCCACATTTCCAACAGGACAGAGAGAGCAGTTTGTTAATCAAGAGAGACTGCACCACACTGCATTTGAGAACTCATGAAAAATTGCAGTGGCGTTTTGTTTTCTTTCGAAAACAGCTTCTTATAAGCTCCTAAATGGACTCTCCTTATCCCCAGCCATGAAAAACAGCAGTGTTTCCAACTTTTCACCTTTCAACCAATGTGTCCCTGTAGTATTCACAGTACTATGAAAGAGATTCTTGACAATGTCACTGCAGACCACCCCAGAAGTGGAGTCCTGCCAATGTAAACCATTATTACAGTTCTGACCGCTCATCTCATGCTGTGAGGTCATTCAGAAACTTCCCCTGCTTCCCTGTTGCTCACACTGTCTCTGAAGAGTGACATCCTCCCTTGAACCATAGACAGTGAGGCAAGCCCCCTGCTACTGATTCCCATCCAGATTGCTATGGACAACATCCACACTTTGATGCTACTGAATGGACTTTCTTTCTTCGGAGGGAGAATCAAAGAACATTCAAAGAAGAAAACAACTTGGCGATGACACAGAAATGTTCAGAAACTATTGCAGTCTTTGCTGTGGAATTTTCCTCACATCCAAAGCTTATAACAAGCAGTGAAGCTCCTTGAGCATAATTATCTAATAATAAAAGCACCAAATAATATAAGAGCTATGTTTTTGCCAGAATCACATTTAACTTTTGGGGAAAAAAATGATTTGGATGCAAATTTAGTTTTTAGTTACTGACATTGGAGGACTTAAATGAAATGGATTGTAAGACATGGCGACTATTAGTTAATATTAAATAACTGACCTGTCATACACAATTTGTATGGTGTGCACAGAAAGTTGAAGTTGTTATATTTTGAGAAATTTCTATGCAAAAGTAAGAGAACATGGATAAGCATTCAATGCTCCTAAGGATCAACTTATCTAACGATTTTTTTCCTTAAAATAACTCTCATATATTAGACATTTTCATATACTTGCCCAGATCTTGCCAGGTTGCCCTTATGAAGACAGGGAAAGATAATACACTTTCGGTCTTTAATAAAAGTGCCTTTTCCCTCTGATGGATTGGAGAACCTGTTCCTTTATGTTCCTATCTTATGCCTTTGCGTTTTCATTGCCTTTCATTAAATGTTAGTACAGAGCCAAGAATGAAAAATTGTCCACTTCATTCATTTACCAGGGAACCAACTGAATTTAGGCTCAGCAGCACTTACATTCCATCCAGAGTGGATAATCTCCATGGCCCTGGATGAAAAGAATCATATAAGGTTAAATAATCAAGAGAAGGAAAATGCTGTGTTCTCGCCCTCCTGGAAATAAATCACTCTATAGAAGAAGAGGCAAAGTGTAAAAAGATAGGTCCCAAATGATGGGAGGGATTTTGGTACAAATAATTAATAATTATTCCTGTCTAAAATTGGAGAAGAATTCACAGACGAGCTTACACACAAAAAGGGCTTTAATGGAAAATTAAGAGTTCTCCAAATGGAGGAAGCAGAAGGCAAGTGTTTCAGGGTGGAGACACAGATGACAGCACATGCTAAGGTACAAAGCCATGGAGAAAAAGCATGGCAGGCTTCGGTTGGAAGTGATGCAGTGATGTGTTGGTAAATATTTAACAACTGGCTCTCTGGAAATAAACAAAAACAGCAACATGATGTAAGTGAGTGCAGAGTTTGGAAAAGATACACAACACGGGCTGTCATGAACCAGTATGACTAGCTCCTGCACACTACCGGTGTTGGGAAACACGGTAGTTGGCTCATCACTTTCTTACATAAAAGATACAAAGGTAATTGAACCTTTATGAAAATGCTTAATTTCATCAAGCAGTCATTCTAAACTTCTAGCTTTTTTTTTTTTTTTTGGCTTAGAGGTCTTCAAACATCAAAATGTGTTTTGTTACCCTGTCATTTATAATTGTGTTGTGTTTAACAATATATCTACTCTGCTCTGGGCTGATGAAAAGATAATCAAGCTTGTTAGAATACTATGTTAAGTAGGAGTTACTAGAACTAGAACCCTCACTGAGGTCAAAAGATTCTAAGACAGGTTTCTGATAACTATTGTAAGGCTTTATTTCCAGATTCAGAATTGGGATTTGAAGGGTTGAGGTGGCTAAACTAATAATCCCCAGATACATGAAATTACAATATACGGATGTAAGTATCACAAACATATTATTTTTCTGGTTTACACTATAAAATATCAGCTAGTTCAATTATGCTAGAAAGAAGCAAAAGCAACAACAAAAAAAGTATTTCATTATTCTACTAATAGAAAAAAAATCCAGCAAATGTGTGTAATTAAATTGACTGTAAATAAGTTAATTGTAATTAAAATAATTGTAAGTAAGTTAATGTATATTGGTCATCTCATTAATGCAGGAGCCCCAAGCAAAATCCTTATAGTGTCTAGCAGGTCATATAAATTAATGCAATGGAGCCAAATGAAATATGGCAGAAATAAAATCAAGTGTCATGGACTGAATGAAGTTGGAAAGAGCAGCTACTGCTCAAGTGTTGCTATCATGGAATGGAGGCTCCTTTAAGAAAAACTGGGATTTTGTGTAAAATTTTCTGATTCTTAAAGGTTAGCAAGTAATTCATACTTTAAACATATTGTGTGGGCCAAACAAAACATGTCACTGGGCAGGATTCTGCCTGTTAGCCACCAACTCCAGACCTCTGCTTTCATTCATTCTAAACAGTGCAATGTGGTTTGTATTATGTGGTATTGGCAGGCAGGTAGTATGTGGAGCTAACGTGCCTGGATTTATTTTACTTATTAATTACTTTATATCCTGCCTTGTTCCCAGATGTATTTGAGATCGTTTATTAAAAAAATCATACACTAATATAATAGAGTCTTGAGGTGAAGGGAAAAAGGATTAAAATCATAAGTAGAGTCCTGGGGAGAGGTAATATAAAGAAATAAAAGACATAAAGTGCAATAAAGTTACTTAAGATGAGATGATAGCACTTCATTGAGCTTCATAGCAGCTGAAGCAAAAAGTGGAAAAAAATCTGTTATAAGATTTATTTACATCATGTGTGAGGTAAAACACACTAGGTAATCAGGAGAAACAGCTTTGCAAAGCACTAAGGTCATAGAATGACTTATGCTAAAGGTCCATTTTTTGTCAGCAATAGAATAACTTTTCTCCCATACGAATGATCTGGTAGTCTTATCTCTAGTAACGAGGTCAGTGAAATCACCGCCTATACTAGAAGCACAATATTTACACACTATTTTCAGGCGCCTTTGTCAAATAATATTATTTTCTCCTTCCTGCCCAAATGGATACCTAAAAAGGGAAACTTCTCTTGCCCCTGCCATGGATTCACCCATCCCTACTGTCAGTAAACTTTGTGGCCAGAACTTTAATTAAAACTAGGACAGTTGTCAAAATTAAATTCCATTTAATATTCATTTAACACCTACAAAAAGTCAAGTGTGGTGTTAAGTGCTTGGTAATTTACAAGGAGAAGTAAAGAAGAAAAAAAGCAACCTGCTTTTAATGAGCTTCCTTTCTAGTAAAGGAAACAAATAGGTTCTCAAATAATTATAAGATGGTATGCTAGGTCACCTTTAAAATGTATACAAAGCACAGAGGTAACAGAGAGAAGAGCATGATTATTTCTCTCTTAGAGAGATAAGAAAAAGCTCCCAAGAGTATACACAGGATACTCAGGAACTTATATTAAATGATGATTAGAAGTTTGCAGGTGTCTTTTGAGAAAGATAAGGGACTTACTGATAAATGAAAAAATACTTTCTATCAATCCCTCTTGGTAGCATCCATCTCATTCTTAATTATGTTCACATCACTCCATTAAACAATTCTGATGGCTCCCTTTTATTATTTCCCTTGCCTCCATATAACTCACTCCTACTGCCCACATGTCAGAATTCTATTCATTCCAATTAGCTCTCATCCCTCTGGCATATACATAGCTCCAAGAAAATCAGTATTTTCTATTCTGGTTTCCCTACTCTATCTTTTACGACTTTAAGTTACACGGCATATGTGGCAGCCACACTTACCCTGGAACTTGCACAATACCTATGGAACTAAGAATGCTTGTAAACATTGATTCACTGGTGCCTCATTATTCAGATATGCTGGCTGCTTTAATCAGACTCACTGTCCATAGTTAGCTCTCTTCCTACATCTTTAGTCTTTGGGTATTATTTTTTTTCTTATTAATTCTTCCATTCCTTCTCTATGGCTAAACAACCTCTCTTTGCCCATAACTTCATGACAAATCCCATTACTTCTTTGAAAATCCTCTCACTTTGCCCAGTGTGATAGATCTAACTCCTCTTCAGGAAACATTGCATCAATTTCTCAGAGTATTACAGCTGTTTAACCAAACAACTATTGTTTTCCAAGAGAATACTGATGTATTCTATCTATTGCTTTAATATACCTGGTCTTCCCATTCTTACCTCTTACCTTTATAGTAGAAATTCTGCTAATGAAATAAAACACTCTTGATTAGAAAGACAAGACACTTAAAGTATAGAACTCAATTGCATTTTAACTCTACATCCTAAGACAAGGAAAACAGATTCAGCAAAAGAGCATCAGAGATACTTCTGTGGTTATCTACAAAGGTCAGATTCACTTTCATATATATTGAAATTCAAGGAGGGGCAAAGGAATCAGAAAAGAAAAGCAACCAAATATTAGAAGACCAGATAGATAATTAAATTCAATGTCTAAGAAAGTTCATAAATGTTGAGAAGAAAATAAAAAGACAGTTCTAAAGGCACAAATTCAGTCGTAAACCTCCCACTTTGAGGAGCCAACATGGTTTGCACTCTAAATTGGTTATGAGTTCTGCTTTTAATAAGATGCAGAGGATCTCACAGGTAGGTGTTTTTAGACAGGAAGAAACATTACCTCTAATGAGCTGGTGTGCCTTAATTTAGAGAGAGTGAGGGGTCTACACTTCAGAGCAGTATCTTTCCCTAAATCCACAAGTTGACATAGAAGCACCATAGTTGAGTAAAGGACAGTACACATTTAAGTTGTAAAATTTCGTGTCTCTTGACTTAGATTTTCATTCCTTATACATTGTTTCTGGCTATCCCTTAGAGCACTATATAACTTTCCCCTGAAAAAAGTTTCCAAGAAGAAGAATGGTCCCAAAGAGGAAGAAGGTTCTCATAAACATCAGGAGGACAAAGAGTAATTTCTCCTTCATCAAAAGAAGGGATTAGAAAAAGGAGATTCAAAGAGATAGGAACTGCAGGAGATTATATGACCTTTAAAGTATAGAGGAAGAAGATTCTTTGCCAAGGGTTGAACGTAAAAGAGTGCAGAATGTGAAGAAATTCAAGCAACAGAAAAGAGACCAATATACTTCCTGAGCTAATTTGCTTTTGCTAGTAATTCATTTTCACTCCAATTTCAAAATAATTTATTTCTGTCATGGGCAATGCCAGCTATTTCAGTATACAGGAAGAACCCAGGAAGAACCAAAGTCATTGAGATAACAAACAGCTACTCCCTGTGTCTGTTAATAGATCAGCCTCAGATCCTAAATTTGCACCCTGTTGGTGAGGAAGTAGATATCTCGGTGCTGTTGCTCCAATAGTTTCAAAAAGAGGGTGAGGAATAGAAAAAAAAAATTGCTGATTCAGAGAGGAAAGACATGGAGGAGGGTTTTATTGACCTGGGGTTTGCATTTATTTTTTTAATGGTTAAAAATAAACCCGTTAATTTAAGTCTCTAAGAACATCTTTGGTCTTAATAACAGAGTTGGCAAAGCTGCTGTGAGAGAAACAATAAGAAATAAACTTAGTTTTTCTTTTAACATACAATTATTGCCTTACTAAATGTAAATTTAATCCCTATTTGAGACATGTAATTTAAATTGTGACCAAAAATATTATAGGCATGCTGAATACTTCTAATTAAATCAGGTGGCCTTATTTTAATGAAGGGAGAATTTGGAGGCAATACCAATTGCAGTAACAAGCTGATGACTTGTTTTTCACAGTCAACATATCATTAGCATTGGGACCCCAGAAAGAGAGTAATTATTTTTTTAAATAAACTTTTACAATTAAAGACTAGGTACACATAACGTAGTCTACCCATGGGTTTCTTTCTTTCTTTCTTTCTTTCTTTTTTCTTTAAGTGCTATTTGAAATAGACATAGACTAAACAAATTAAATGTGCAAAAACACACCTGGTCCTTATCTAACCAACAGCTAAACCTTGGTATAAAAACTACATAAACTTATCAGCTGCTTTGTTTGCTCAGTTAGCATTGTCTTCTGAGTTTATTTTTTAAGACGTAGGGTATGCATGGTAATCACTTAGACATTTAAGGCTTTTTTAAGCTCTATGGAATAAAATATAAATTGTTTACTGAATCAGGGTATGGATAGGAGATCTAAATTCTCTTACTTTTAATATTTCTTTTTGAAATCTGCCCTTCTGGACAGAAATTTCAAGCAACAGTTCCCAGCAAACATATGGGGAAGCCCATTGGAAATATTGTAAGGTAAATTAATAATGGCAGATGCCAGCATGTCTGGATGTTGTTTATGCTGAACAGTCCTGCATTCTTTATGTTTTGAAATTATTCTGTTGTAACCACTTTCAGATTCTTTTAGTTTGGCAATGCATTCTACTCTCAAAAGGTGTCTGCATTTATTTGACTACAGAAAATATTTACTTTAGTAAAGGGCAGCTTAACCTTTGTTTAAATTTGAGGTGAGTTAAAGGTCACTGTAATTATTTGCTGTATTATTTGTGTCAGATTTGAATTACTAAGAATACAGCACATGCATTGCCCTTTATTATGAAATAAGCTAAAAGAAACTCAACTTCTGCATACAGCCAGCATATTTTATGGAACCAATCAGTGTTGCAGAACATTTTCAAGGTTCTCTCTTGGACTGTGATTGACTGAAAGTGCTTGAGGTTAAGGTCCTTTCCCAGAGGGAGGGAAAGAGGCGACTTAACATGGCAGCTCAGTCTTCCCCCACCTCTAGCTATGTTTTTGATGGCTAGCAGCCAGCATATGGACAGAGTGGGGTTCAAGGCTATTAGAGAAAAACTGCAAGCAGTCACTTTTGAAACAAATATATACACAGGGGACTAGAGGATTGGACTTACTGAGCAGAGGATGATTTCAGAACAGATACGCAAGGATCCTCAACTATTCAATGAGGAAAAATTCAAAGTTAAAACATGAAGACTGAGATATGCAAACTCGGTGAAAAATAAGGAGAAGATGATGGAAAAGTTTTGAAATTAAATAGCTTAGGGCATAAAAATGGGTGACCCTTCATTCTTGGTCTTTATCCTTCAATTATGGAAAGGAAATGATGTATCACAACATGTTGACCCCAACTTTAAACACATACACCCATGTCAACCAAAGATATCTATGCATGATTCTGATGACAAAGAAATATCAAGGTTCAGTTAGCGACTGAACTACATTAGTGTGGAGTTTGTTTACTTGGGAGGATGCATTATGGGATATAATTTAGTAGCACATTTAACTACAGTGAAAACAATGAAATTTGTACTTCCAAATTAAACGGATATGGAAAAGTGGCAAGTATCTTTTGCTCATATAAAGATACTATTATCCTTTCTGGATGATTAATTTATTTGTAGTACATAGAAAGTGACTGGCACATAGTCAGCATTTAATAAATGTCAGCCATTACTTATTGTCACTGTCACTACTACTGTTATGAGTCAAATGCTTAAGACTAAAAACTATATCTATAGGAAATGAAGACTTTTGGCACAAGCGAAAGAGAAGGTAAAATGAAAGCCAACTGTATTTCTCTACCACAAAATTATTCAGTATGGATAAGATTTGGTGAAAAGTCTCACTCAAGACATGGGGAGAAGATATCCATATAATTAACACTGATCACAAAAAGGGAAGAAAATATGGCCAGAATAGAAAGGAAAAACTCAAAAGCATAGGTAAACATTGATGGTGATGGTAATTATAGCCCAACAGCTAGCCAGGGTTTTATTTATTCAGGATGGAAACTCAGTATTCAGTTATGGCCAAAATTGTCTTCCTTTAAGATTCTTAATCAACCTTTTTGAAACACAATAAATAATCTCAAACTAAATGAGCTGTCACTTAAATTTTACAATCCAGTGGTTTTAGTTTATTCACAGAAAGACTTGGATAACCATCAGTACAAACTAATTTTAGAACACTTTCATCATCCCCAAAAGAAACCTTCTACTCATTAGCTTCACTTCTATTTTTCCCAAATCCATCTTCCCCTAGTTTTAGGCAATTACCAGTCGACAGTCTATCATGACAGATTTGACAATTATGGGCATTTCATATAAACAGAATCACACAATATGTGCTATTTAGGAGGGATTTGCTTCTTTCATTTAGCAGATATTTTCAAGGTTCATCCATGCTGTAGCATTTTATCAATCCTACATTCCTTTTTATTGTTGAGCAATATTCCATTATATAAATATATTACATTTTGCTTATCTATTCATCAATTAATTAATGTTTGGGTTTTTCTACTTTTGGCTATTAAAAAGACACTTCTTTGAACATTCAAATGTACATTTTTGTGTGAACATGTGTTTTCATTTTTCTTGCACATGCACGTAGGGATGGAGTTCTTGGGTCATAAGACAAATCTATGTTTAACATTTTAGGACACTGCCAAATTATTTTCACAGCACTTACACAATTTTACATTCTCGTGAGCAGTGTATGAGGATTCAAATTTCTCCTTGTCAACACTCATTTTTTAATTTTTTTTGTAATAAGCATTCTAGTGAGTGTGAAGTAGTATTTCATTGTGGTTTTGATTTGCATTTCCTTAATTACTAATGACATTTAACAACTTTTCATGTGCTTAATGGCCATTTATATATTTTCTTTGAAATAATGTCTATTGAAATATTTTGCTCATTTAGATTTTTTTCTTTATATTCTTGAATTCATACGTTCTGGATACTGGACATCTATTAGATATATGATTTACAGATATTTTCTTCCATTCTATGGGTTGCCTTTTCACTTTCTAACATTGTCCTTTGATGAACAAGAGTTTTTAATTTTGCAGGGGAACAGTTTATCTCTTTTCTCTTTCACTGTGCTTCTGAAGCACAACGTGCTTCATTTTGAAGAAACCATTGCCAATCCAAGGTGAAAAAGATCTACACCTGTTCACTTCTAAGAGTTTTATAGTTTCAGCTCTTACTTTTAGGTCTTTGATCTATTGGGGGCTATTTTTGTATGATACGAGCAAAAGATTTCAACATCATTCTTTTGCATGTTAATATCTGGTTGTCCCAGCATCACGTGTTGATAATATTATCCCCACCCTTACCCCCAGTCTTACATTGAATTGTCTTGAAATCATTTTTGAAAATTGTTTGACTATAAATAGAAGGGTTATCTTATGGATTATTATCAGTTCCATTGCTGTTGGTTTTTTTTTGGGTCTATCCTTATGCCACTACCAGATTATTACTATAAATTGTAGCGAGTTTTGAAATGTGAATCCTTCAACATTGTTTCTATTTTTCAAGATTATTTTGACTTTGCTGGATGCACTGAATGTTCACATTAATTTTAAGATCAGCTCACCAATTTTGCAAAGAAATAAAACAGCTGGAAATTAGATAGGAGTTGCATAAGTCCTTTGATTGATTTGGGATATATTGCCATCTTATCAATATTAACTATTCAAATCAATGAACATGGGACGTGTTTCAATTTATTTACTATTTGACTTTCCTTAATGTTATTTTATACTTTTAGAAGTACAAATTTTGCACTTCTTTGGTTAAAATTATTTCTATTTTTTTCTTTTTGATACTATTACAAGTCAGATTGTTCCCTTAATTTAAATTTTGGTTGTCCTTTATGAGTTTATGTAATTAAATTGTATATGTTCATCTTGTTCATCTTGTACTCTGCAACCTTGGTCAAACACGTTTATTAGCTCTAATAGTTTTTAGTGGATTCCTGAGGATTTTCTATATACAAAGTTTCCATCATTTGCAAATATTTTTACTTCCTTTTTTCAGGCTGGATATTTTAATTTTATTTTACTGCCTAATTCTAGAACCACTAGTACAATATTAAATAAGTGTCAATAGAACAAACAACATGCTTGTAAAAAGAAGATGATGAAGGAACTGAAGTCAATAATCTAATCTGTCATTTTAATACAATGGAAAAAGGGAAAAAATTAAAGAAAGCAAGACGAATAAAATAATAAATGATATTAATTATTCTTTACATATTGGGTAGAATTCACCAGTAAAGGCATCTTTAACTAGGATTTTCATTGTCTGAAGTATTTAGGTTACTAATTCATTGTCTTCACTGGTTATAGGCCTACTGTGGTTTTTTATTTATTCTGGAACCTGTTTCAGTGGTTTGTCTTTCTATAAATCTATCCTTCTAAGTTAACATAAGTGATACCTCCTTTCTCATTCCTGATTTTAGTAATATGACTCTCAGTAATTTGAATTCTATTTTTCTCTCTCTCTGGTCCATCTAGCTAAATATTTGCCAACTTTATGGATGTTTTCAAAGATCCATTATTTCAATATTTCATTCCTTTTGCTTTGTTTCCATTGTATTAAAATGACAAATTAGAGTATCAACTTTAGTTCCTTCATCATCTTCTTTTTACTTTACTTTTTAATATAGACTTTTACAGCTATAAATTTCCTTCTAAGCAACAATTTAGTTGCATCCCTTAAGTTTTTATACATTGTGTCTTCAATGTTACTCATCTCCCTTAATTTCTCTTGTGATGTCTTCTTTGACTCAATTATTATTTAGGAGTATGTTGCTTAATTTTCTCACATTTGTCAATTTCCACATTTTTTTCTATTATTGATTGAATTCTATTTTTTCATTATACACAAATAACATACTTTTTATAATTTTAATTCTTTTAATTATGCACTCCTTTTAACTTTCAATCATTTTAAAACCAAGCCTCATTGTTTGTTTTATGGCCTAGAAATATGTTCTTTCTTGGAATAGTTTCATATGCCCTTGAAAAAAAATATGTATTCTGCTGTCATTGGATGAAATGTTCTACAAATATTCATTAAGGTTTATTAACTTTTAAGACTTGTGTTGAAGTCTTTTATTTCCTTGTCTAACTTCTGGCTTGGATCTATATTGGAAGTATAGTATTGAGGTATCCAATTACTATTTTTCCTTTGTTCCCGTGAAGTCAATTTACCATTTAGCTTTATTGCTTTATTCCAGTATAGCTTTGCCCCCAAGTCTGCTTTGTTGTATTTTATCAAATATAAAAAATTTCTCTATCTGGTAAAATAAAAAATACAATTCTATACATATTGCTTTCTACAGTAGCTTTTAAATTAGTTAGGAGAACAAAAGAGGACAAGTAGATTATATTCTCTTTTACAATTACGTATTACCTTTTTGGTTCTCCTCTCTACCTCTCTTTCTTGTTGTTTTATCTTGTTTTGGGTGTAGGTGCATGCATTCGAACAACTATCTGGGGTTACTTACTCTCTGCTTGAAGAACTTATTTTAGTCTTTCTGCTAAGACAAGTCAGCTAGCAACAAATTCTCTGTTTTTGTTTATTTGGGAATGGTTTTATTTTACCTTTATTTATTTATTTATTTATACTTTAAGTTCTAGGGTACATGTGCACAATGTGCAGGTTTGTAACATATATATACATGTGCCATGTTGGTGCGCTGCACCCATTAACTTGTCATTTACATTACATGTATCTCCTAATGCTATCCCTCCCCCTTCCCCCCACCCCACAACAGGCCCGGGTGTGTGATGTTCCCCTTCCTGTGTCCACATGTTCTCATTGTTCAATTCCCACCTATGAGTGAGAACACGCGGTGTTTGGTTTTCTGTCCTTGTGATAGTTTGCTGAGAATGATGGTTTCCAGCTTCATCCATATCCCTAGAAAGGACATGAACTCATCATTTTTTATGGCTGCATAGTATTCCATGGTGTATATGTGCCACATTTTCTTAATCCAGTCTATCATGGTTGGACATTCGGGTTGGTTCCAAGTCTTTGCTATTGTGAGTAGTGCCACAATAAACATATGTGTGCATGTGTCTTTATAGCAGCATGATATATATTCCTTTGGGTATATACCCAGTAATGGGATGGCTGGGTCAAATGGTATTTCTAGTTCTAGATCCCTGAGGAATCACCACACTGTCTTCCACAATGGTTGAACTAGTTTACAGTCCCACCAACAGTGTAAAAGTGTTCCTATTTCTCCACGTCCTCTCCAGCACCTGTTGTTTCCTAACTTTTTAATGATCGCCATTCTAACTGGTGTGAGATGATATCTCATTGTGGTTTTGATTTGCATTTCTCTGATGGCCAGTGATGATGAGCATTTTTTCATGTGTCTGTTGGCTGCATAAATGTCTTCATTTGAGAAGTGTCTGTTCACATCCTTTGCCCACTTGTTGATGGGGTTGTTTTTTTCTTGTAAGTTTGTTTGAGTTCTTTGTAGATTCTGGATATTAGCCCTCTGACAGATGAGTAGATTGCAAAAATTTTCTCCCATTCTGTAGGTTGCCTGTTCACTCTGATGGTAGTTTCTTTTGCTGTGCTCTTTAGTTTAATTAGATCCCATTTGTCAATTTTGGCTTTTGTTGCCACTGCTTTTGGTGTTTTAGACATGAAGTCCTTGCCCATGCCGATGTCCTGAATGGTACTGCCTAGGTTTCCTTCTAGGGTTTTTATGGCTTTAGGTCTAACATTTAAGTCTTTAATCCATCTTGAATTAATTTTTGTATAAGGTGTAAGGAAGGGATCCAGTTTTAGCTTTCTACACATGGCTGGCCAGTTTTCCCAGAACCATTTGTTAAATAGGGAATCTTTTCCCCATTTCTTGTTTTTGTCAGGTTTGTCAAAGATCAGACAAATGGAAGAACATTCCATGCTCATGGATAGGAAGAATCAATATCGTGAAAATGGCCATACTGCCCAAGGTAAGTTATAGATTCAATGCCATCCCCATCAAGCTACCAATGACTTTCTCCACAGAATTGGAAAAAACTAAAGTTCATATGGAACCAAAAAAGAGCCCGCATTGCCAAGTCAAACCTAAGCCAAAAGAACAAAGCTGGAGGCATCATGCTACCTGACTTCAAACTATACTACAAGGCTACTATACTACAAACTATACTACAAACTATACTACAACTATAGTACAACTATAGTACAACTATACTATAGTACAACTATAGTACAAACTATACTACAAGGCTACAAGGTTACTACAGTAACCAAAACAGCATGGTACTGGTACCAAAACAGAGATATAGAACAGAACAGAGTCCTCATATAACACCACACATCTACAACTATTTGTTGTTATCTTTAAACACTCTTACTAGGATGTTCTAGAGTGTGGTCTTTTGCATTTTTCCTACATAGAGTTTGTTGAGTTTGGGGATGTGTAAATTAATGTTTTTATCTTATTTTTTAAGTTTTCAGCCATTATTTCTTCAAATATTTATTTGTTCTTTTCATTTTTTCCTCTCCTTCCAGTTCTACATTATGCATATGTTGGTGTGTTACTGGTGTCCCACACTTCTCTGGGGCTTTGATTATTTTCCTTTATTCTTTTTCCCCCATTCATCTATATCAATTTATCTTCAAAGTTGCTGATTTTTTTTTTCTTATGTTAGATCATATCTGTTGTTGAGCTTTTTGGTGAATCTTTCATTTTGGTTCTTGTACTACTAAGTTTTGGCATTTTCTCCTCCTCCTCCTCTTCCTCCTCCTCCTCTTCCACCTCCTCCTCTACCTCCTTCTCCTTCTCCTTCTTCTTCTTCCTCCTCCTTCTTCTTAATATTTTTTCTTCTTCTTCTGAATATTTTGTCTTGTTATTGCTAATAGTCTCTATTTGATGAGATATTATGATAGTGTGATCATGCTTTCCTTTACTTCTTTGGGCATAGTTTCCTTTAGCTTTTTTTTTTTTAACATATTTTAAATAGTTGCTTTAAATTTTTTAAAACTTTAGTTTCAGGGGGCAATATGTGCAGGTTTGTTACATGGATAAATTGCATGTTGATGAGGTTTGCTGTATGAGCAAAGTAACCAATAGGTAGTTTTTCAACCCACCTTTTCCCCCTAGTAGACCCCAGTGTCTATTGTTCACATCTTTATGCTCATGCGTATTCAGTGTTTAGCTTCCACATATTAGTGAGAACATGTGGTATTTGGTTTTCTGTTCCAGCATTAATTTGCTTAGGATAATGGCTTTGGCATTTTTGTCCTCTAAGTATGACATTTGTAGCTTTTCAAAGACAGTTTCTGATGCCTGCTATTTTTTCTGCAAAGGTGTTGCACTTTCCTGTTTCTTTACATGTTTTGTAATTATTGTTGAAAAGTGAGCAATTTAGATAACCTGTTTCAGCAACTCTGGATACTGATTCCCTACCCCCACAACCAGCCTTTAATGTTGTTTGCTTCTTTATTTGTTTAGTGACTTGGCTAGACTATTTTAGTGAAGTCTATTTTCCACCTCAATGTGTAGCCTCTAAAGTTTTCTTCAGAGAGTGAAGCCTTGGGCATGTGCATAGTCACCTAAGGATAACAGAGGTTTTACAGGACTTTCTTAGACGGCCTTGTTCACTGTCTCTCTTTTAAATTGTTTGACTCCTTTTAGTCTACACTCAGGTGTTAGCCTTAGCTAATTAATTGCTGCATTGTTTTCAATACCGCCCTAAGACATAATTGTTTTACAGTCTGATCCATTTAAATTTGGGCCCTTTCACAGAGATTATCTTTGAGACCAGGCTTTCCAGTGAATTCCAATCCCCAAAAGACTCTTAGTTATCTTTTCCCCTGGTTGTCTCTGGTAAACTTTTAACTGGTTGATGGTTTGCCTTGTTATTCTGATGAAACTAACAGCCTTCCCTTAATTTCCTAAGAGATTCAGGGAATTAATTTTCCTTAATTTCCATATTTGCCATTATTTTCAACAGCGTATGTAAGCTTGAACTTTTCCACACTGCTCAAAATACTCAATTGTTTTGGGTAGAGATTCAAAGCTCTCTTTTCTTACCTTACCTCTTCCCCTGCACAAAACATCTGCACCAATACTCTGGAGTTGGAGTCATGGAAAGTGACCCACTTCAGTTGGAGTAACACCCTGGCTACATGCACAGGACATTGTCCTGGGGTTGGGACAAGGGAATAGCCTTAATTCTCTTCTCAACTTTCTTCTCCCAGCATGAAAACTCTGCTCCACAAGCAAGCTGGAGTAAAGGCAATTACAGCCATAGTATTTTCAGCCTGTTACACCTAGGGTAGAGTTTCTGTCCTTTAAGTTGGTGCTGGTGGAGAAAGAAACCCCAAACCTCTCAGCTGTTCTTGGCTTATAAAAACTTTCTGCCACATGGAGCTGGAAGGGTAAGAAATGCTGGTGTCCTCCCTCCCAGAGCTATACTGTAGCTCTTGATTGGAAACTTGGAGGAGAGGGTGCTTTATGTTCTTGGATGTACCTGCCTAGAATAGAGTTTCCATCATGCTGAACTGAGAAGAGAGAGGGAGGGAGCTATTGGTAGTGTGACTGCTACAAGCTTTTACTGTTCTTTCAGAGATTGAGTAGATTTTCTTGATTAAATATTTCTTCATTTGTTTTATGTTTTCAGTACCTTTTCCAGAAACTTTAAATGGTTAGTTTGGTTTTTAAACTAACTTTCACGATTTCATTAGGGAGAGAGTCCACAGAGCTCTTCACACTACCATTCTGGAGTCATCTTCCCATTAGTATGTTTTTTGTTTTTTTGTTTTTTTTCTTTGAGATACAGTTTCACTCTGTCACCCAGGCTGGAGTGCAGTGGCACGATCTCAGCTCACTGCAACCTCCGCCCCCCAGTTTCGAGCGATTCTCATGCCTTGGCCTCCTGAGTAGCTGAGATGACAGTAGCGCACCACCAAGCCTGGCTATTTTGTATTATTAGTAGAGACAGGGTTTTGCCATGTTTGCCAGGCTGGTCTCGAACTCCTGACCTCAAGTGATCCATCCACCTTGGCCTGTCAAAGTGCTGGCATTACAGGTGTAAGCCATCATGCTTGTCCCTGCTAGTATATATTTATATATATTGAATTGTGAGACAAATGCTTAGTCTTCTGAAATGGGGCTTTATTTTAAAAAATAAAGCACACAGAAATTCAGGTAAAGGATTGCCATCAAAAATCGTAATTGGTGAATTAACGTGACTAATGTAAAGTAATGTTGCTTACACTTGAGTAGGGCTGAAGATCATCTGGGTGTGTGGAGAGTCAAGATTTTTGATACTCTCTCCCACAAGCTACTGAGTAAATAGTTTTCAAGAAGAGTCCTTCAAAGTGTATTTTTAAACCAGTGTACCCAGTCGATATTAAATGAGGTTGTCAAAGTATTCTACTTTGAGTAATACGGGATTAGTAAGTTGAAGATGAAATAACTGCATTCAAACGTCTAAGAGATATGTAAAGGAAAAGGAAAGTTTAAATTAAAAGATACGCATTTTGAAGAAGACAAGAGGACTGTAGAAAAGTAGAGAATTGTTTTTTGGCAATGATTGACCAACCCTGGAACCCAGTAAGTGAAAGAACAGGGCTGATTTATAATATCTTGAATTAAATGATGGACTCTAGGTAAAGCTAAATTGTAAAGCCGTAGGCATATCAAAAAACAAAAACAAAACAAAACACAAACAAGGGACACCACCAATAACCCATTAATAGAAATAAGGGAAGTGAGTCTCAGATATAAATCAATAACCAAAGTATCAGGCTGACAGCAGAAAACAGTAATGACATTAATATTGTGAACAGACCAAAATACAATTCTATAAATGAGTCATTGATCAAGCTATAAATGTAGAAATCACTGGGATTTCAAATAGTAAGAATTCTTCAGAATTTTAGAATTAGGGAGACTTCAGATGCTGCCTAATAATTCAATATTGGAATAACTCATTCATTTCTTCATTTATTTATTGAACAAGATTTTATTTTGGAGTGGCTACTATGATCATGCACTGAACTAGGGGCTTAAAGCATGTCAGTGAACAAAATGAATAAAGATTCCTGCCATAGTAGAGTTGAATCCTAAGGCCTAGAGAAACATAATAAATTCTTATGAGTTAATTACTAGCACAAGGAAGAGTAGAGCTCATAATTATGAATATTCATTTAGTGTCCTAAGACCCTAATATTGGTGAGAATAGACAGAAAATGATATAGACAGAAAAGTTATACCGGGTGAAAATGGTGAAAATGAAGACATTTAAAAACTCAGGTATTAGGTTTTTACAAGGACCACCAAAAACAATAATTCAGAGCTCAACTAAAATCTATTGTTTCAAGATACTACCGATCTCACAATGATTGATAGAGGTAGTCTCCTCAACTACATAGGATGTGATTCAAGATTTTAAAGAAACAGGTGTTTAGAAGCCTCTGGGCAATTATGATAATAATTTTAGTTAATACCTAATGAGCACTTACTATATACTAAGCACAATGATCCAGACTACATCTGTTACCTTATTTAATGCCCGCAACAATCATGTGTGCTATGAAATAGTATCCCTCTAACTTTATTGGTGATAAATTATGGTTTAATTTCTCTGCACTCACAGACAGACTCAATGGGAGAGGTGGGGTTGGCTTAAGATTGCTTTCAGCTTAACCATTATATCATCCTGAACATAATTATACTTAAACAAACAGATTGTTCTATACTCAGTAGCAGGAAGAAAACAGAGCCTTTAAAGAAAAGAAATATATGAACAAATATTAAGATAAACCTTTTCTAAAAAATTGGGATGTGTAAAATGGCAAAAAGTGACCATCAATTTTAGTAACTACGTGAACATACAGATTATGTGTGGTTTATATAAATAGCCTCCCTCTTATATGATTATAAGATTCCACAAGTGTGATTGAGTTGAATCTTCAAATGGTTAACAACTATATCCTTTAAACTTCCTTACAAGCTTTAATATATGAAGAAAAAGAGAAAGAATTATCTATTTTCTACACTGGAAAATATTCATAATTGATTAATAAAGATTGAGCAGCACCAGGCTAAGCTAAGCAGTACATCTTAGATACCTGAAGCTCTGCTCAGTTTATTAAACCATGTTTCCTCTTCTAGTTTTTTTATTTTTTTTTGTAGACTGAAAACTTGATCCCCTAAATAAATATGAGGTGACTTCAGATTCTTAAGCACTAGTAAAAAATATGTCTGCCTTTACTCATGTTCTTGGGCTAATTGTAGGCTCTTTGGGTAATCGAGTGAATACTATACCTTATTCAACACTAGGTTTAAACTCAGGCTGCATTCTAAAATACATGAGCAAACTTTGTCATCTACAGGTGGGAAATTTCTATCTCCCTGGCTACAGAAGGATATTAATCTTGGGAAAAGAGGTCAGTCAGTGTTGTCACAGGATGCATGGATAGCTCCATTTGGTAGGAGTCTTGAGTTGGAATGGGATATAATTCCCATTCAGAAAATGTCTGCCTCCTTTTAGAATTGCTCCTTATAATTCTATTTTCTAGGTAAATTTGTATTTAAGATAATGTTTCTGGTTCATGTTTGCCATTTTTAGATGGCAATGTTGTACAAAGTTGTTGACTCTCCTCATGAAAATACCAAAACATGAAGACCATATTTAGAGAATGGAGGGGAAATTTATATAGCAGAATGTTTTATAATGAGATAGTGGCATATCCACATCCTCATTTCAGGTTCATGTGATTTCTCTTCCTTGTAGTCCTCCGTGTAACTGCAGTATTAAACACCAAATAGTCATATAATATTTTTGCCCTGTCAAATTTTAGGACATGGAGCCAAAAAAATAAATTCTGTCCCAATGCATTGTTGTAGATGAAACAAGGACTCAGTTGGATGACACCTCCTCTCTTTGAGAGGTCACAGTGCATTTGACAAGAGTGCTTATCTCTTGAACTACAGCTGAGCAAATGCTTAACTACAGTATGGTTTCTCATACTGTATATCCAACTTTGTTAAAACAACAATAATAAAAACAAGTGCATTACGGACTGGAATTCAGAGTAAAAATAAAAAATAAACACGTTAAAAAGCTTTTAGCAGACGGAAGCCCATTTTGAATTTATAAAGATGCCCAACTGGTGTAAAGTGAGCAAAAATGATAAACTCAAGAGACCCAGATGTTGTTTTATAGCCAATTTAGTGAAGAGAAAATAAACCAGCTTATTTTGTAACTTAGGAAAAAAGCAAGAAGTGTAAAGGGCTGATATTATAGAATTCTTCATCAAATTATTTCTCTATAAAATAATAGGCTGTTTAGTAACCTAACTATACATAAATGAGTTACTTATTAACAAAATATATGATGGGAGAAATGGGCATTTATTAGGTAAGCAAATTATTTGCCATTCAAATAAGCTTACTTTGATAATCCTTGTGAACTTGAAAAAGGTCAAAAGGTTATGCCAAAAACAAATTATGTCTTCAAAACAGTACCCAACATTTATAGTACTACTTAACTGCATTTGTTTCTCTTATTGAAATTCACAGAAGAGGTTCACAGGTCACAGACTAAATCAGTTTGTCTAGCCTTTAAGAAATAGAGAAAATGAGTTAAAATTCAACTTGTACATCAGCAATAACACCAGGCATGTCTGGCTATGCTATTAGATATGAGGTTGGCAGCTACCATAGCCATACATTATGTTTTAGCAATCATTCAGACATCACAGTCATTATAATAAATTAATTGATTCAACAAAGAATCTGGAAATTTGTATAGTCTGGAAATTGAGAGCCTATTTTCAAGGTTGCAAAGGGTTATAAATGTGAAGGAGTCAGATCATTGGCTGTCTAGGCTTCTCATACTTCACCTGCCTACTTCTTAGTTTTCTTTTCCCAACCAATGGAGAAAAACACAGGCCAACACAAAGACACCACCATTCTTTATCTCTATTCACCTTTGACAAGCTAGAGATTCTGAGGTTTTATCCCAAAATTCCCTCTGCCTGTAACCACCCTCTTATCTTTCTTAATTTGAACAAGTCTTCTTCAATCATTAAGAACTAAACCCTTTATTTTAGTTCAGACATTATATCTTATAGATAATATTTTCTGGACTCCACAGATTGTGCTATATGTTCACATTTTATAAACCTTCTTCACAGCACTTTTACATTGTGTGAAAATTAAATGTTTATGTCAGTCATTAGAACTAGCCCGACAACATTGTGAGGGTAAGGAATTATGTCTTATCTTGGCATAGTCCAGGCCTTTGATAAATATTTGACAGACTGTATTTAAGTTCAGAATAGTCTTTTGGGAAACAATTAACAGCATATTAAGTACTAAATGTATTAGGAAGACATTAAAGCTGATGTGAATTTGTAGTCATCTGTATGAAAACATTTCAACTGCTGACAGTGGAGACAATACACTAGAATTCATATTAAGCACCAACACTTAAGCTATTATATCAAAGCTATTTAACCTCTCTGAACCCCAGGTTTTTCATTCATATAATTGATATTGGTAATATTTAGCATACTATGTTCCTTATAATATAATCTTTAAAATGCCCTTAACTAAATCATTGTAAACTCCTATTATAATAGCCACTCTTGTAAATATTATCATTGTTGGTAAAATTGGTGGTAAATTTTCCACAGGTTGTAGTAAGATAAGTAAAATTAGGAATCTACAGATAGTACCAGGCAAACATTCAAGATGGCTAATGAAGTCATTTTAACATGTTTAATCAAAATAAATATAACTATAATGTGTCTTGTAACTTTTTATTAAAAGTTTTACTTTCAGGGATAGTCTCCCAGTTTGTTTCTTTCAGAGTGTATGTATACCTCCTCTTCCTGCAAACATAAAGTGTCCAGTACTTGTTTAGCTTCTTCAATAACTTTACTTGGATGTTTTGGAAATTTTTAACATTTTAACATTTGAAAAACTTTATATGCTACTCTCAATATTGAAAACAGATTCTAAAGGTGTGAATATTTTCCAGTCAAAATTTAGAGAAATAAGATGAAGGATATATTGGATTAAGCATGTTCATCTGAGTCTATATTTATAAGGCAAACAAGAAAAATTTCACTGGTAAAGGATGATTGTTTTCAATTGCCATTTATTTTAATTTAAAAATAATTTCTGATTAATAAGCACTTTTTATAAGGAATCCACTTAATCTGTGTGTGAATATTCTCTAATGTACAACTTATGAAAATATTCAAAAATGCATTTTCAGCAATTAGATTTAAAGGATTTTTTTAATTGAAAGCAAACACTGCTCTCCCCTCATGATAAATTCATTGATTAATCAATTTTCTTTCATTAAAATATTAGCAGAGAATTTAAAAATAAAAAGTAGCTATTAAAACATTCTAGGCAAATTGTCTTCACAATACAGTCTGCTTTAATTATATAGTATCTGCCTTGGGAAGATTGCTGTAAGACCAAGAGACTCCACGGGCACTATATATTCCCATTTTAAGGATATTATAGAACTGAAGTATCTATCATTGGTTACAAACATATTGGAAAATAGCAATTTTGTGCTTAACTGTAAATTTATTTGATTTGTATTAATCGCAATCACATATTCCTGTCTATCTAATCTTAGAAGATATAAACTCAATGAATTTATACCCTGCTTCATTCACAAATGAATTGTGCTCCTGAATTTTAACATGCTATTCCTAAAACTATTAGCTGTGTATCTGCTTTATGGGATGTTCCTACATAAGCTGGCTGTTCATCAATTTGGTGTCCATACATTTCTTTGAAAGCTATATTATAATTAGAGTTTAGGTTAATACTATTCAGTAACCATAAAACAGACATAAAATAATTATAACTCATTTAGTTAAATTAGAAAAGGAGCAATTATTAGACTCCCATTGTGAAGCTTTGCTGTGAGGGATAGATAATCTATCTGCAAGATGTACTTTAAGAACACCATTTTCGAAGAAATAAACTAGATAGATTACTGCTTTGTTTTTGTGCACTTGAGGCAGAAGGGGTAGAACTAAAAACTTGCGTATGTAAGTTTTTTGAACTTTCCCGAATATTTTTAGGCAGATTGAAAAAATCATTCAAAGGATAGTAAAGGCTATAAGAGATTTTTGCTCATTCTAATACTTGTGAAGCTAAAAAATTAGATGTCTGAGAATTTGTAAATACGTTACACAAATTGATTTGTATTTGTAAAGTACATTTCCCATACTTTTGCAAAAAAAAAATTGTTTTTCACATTTTAATGCGTTTAAACCCTGTCTGAAAATCTTAATGATCATCCATTGTCTTCAGTGTATTTCAGGGGATTGATTTGCTTCAGTGCCAAGAGAAGTGTACTGGGCTTTACAACTTACTTATTATCCTACTGTCCGCACCCTGACAAAGGTATCGTCATTCACCCAGAGATAAACGAGAATAGATAATGTACAACTTGAAAATTTAAAGTAGACAAAGTAACACTTTTTCTGCATTCTCTTTCCTAATGTCTTGTTTCATTGAAATAGCTGTACTGCAACATGAGACTTCAATGTCCAAGGAAGAAAAAAAAAGCTATCTCTCCATTAATATTTATGTACGATCTATCTATCTGTTATCTATCCATGTATATTTTATAGAAAATAAATCAGACAAATCCAGTACATCTGTACATTTAATACTGTTCCTGCGAAGGATGTATGATGGCAAGGATTTATATTTCTGAGCTGGGTGAGATGGCACTTTCTTTGATATGAAAGAACCTGGTGACACATCAACACCAACCCCATATGGCACTGAGGGAAAATAAAATCTCTTAGCATTGGCTTTAAATGAGGCAAGAAGAATGTCCACTCTTTATTCCCGGATTTCTTCAACAATATGTTAATATTTTCCTTGTGTTATAATGTTGTCAAATCTATAGTGTAAACTCAATAAAACAGAAAATAAATTGTGCCACATATCACAGTTGGGGGACCATTGGGAAGAATAGTAACAAATACAAAACAAAAAACATGGGGTAAAATGTTTTTAACAAGTTGAGTTTATCACTAATTTTATTTGTATAATATATAAATTCTGTTTTGATTTCTGCTTGATGAAAGCGAAGATATATCCAGAGAATTACCTCTGACTGCTATGAACAAAAAGAAAGAACAAAGGCTTCCTTCTGAGAGTACTTTTCTGTCATTTAAGTCGTTTACATGTTCTTTTGCTTTTACCTTTCTTTCTTGCTTTCTGATCACCAGGGATCCAATGTTAGCACAGGGTCACTGGGGCTCTGTCCAGCCTTAGACAGATGTTGCCATAGTCAGGGCTTTATGATAACAGAATGAGATTTCCACAACCCACTTGGTGAGTTCTGTGACAATAGTTAAGCTTGTCGTTTAGAGCAAATAAAAGACAAGTCATTGATTATTTTCAACACTCACTACCTTTTCTTTGACTTCATGAACACTTTTCTTGTTGCCATCCAAAAATAATAGTTAGCAGCTCCCCCAAATAGGCCCCATTATTCATAGTCCTGGGAAAGATTCTCAGGCACCATAATTTACTTTGAGCCAGAGGAATTAAGACTTTTAAGATGAGTTCAGTCTTGCTAGACAAGTAAGGCGAATTAATTGAATGAAAATGCAAAATTAAAAGGAAATGATGAATTTGGCTAATTTCTTCCCCTTCCAGTGTTCCAGTATATTCCTCTGACCATTCTCCAGGAACACTGCTTGAACTAACAGCTGTGAATTATAGGTTTCCAGTAAAGTATAGAGATTTTTTTTTCTTTTTTTAAAAGAGCAACTGATGAATAGTTGTCTCAAAGATTTAGAGGATTCATTCCAGTTTTTAATAATCCCATGTGGCTTTAATATATTTTAATACTTTCTCTCAACATGTTTCCCACCATACAGCTGAGAAATTAGTAGGGCAATTGACACAGGAAAAACAGTGTTCTTATTTTTTTTATACCGCGAGTATTTTTAGGGCTCAGGTAAGATCTTAATAACAAAAAGAATGGCATTATAAGCCAATGCTTATAGTTTGTTAATTTAATCAAATTGATCAAATCTTTATTAAAAATAACCATGCCTGAATTTTTTGATTTGAAAAATTAAAATTATAATCCATCTACCTATCATTAAAATGTCATCAATTTATAAAGCTTATCAAACATATTAAGTCTGTAAGATACAGCATGGAATAAGAAAATCACTTACTCTGGCCAACTGTTTTACATTTGCTGTGGATGCTTTCCCTATCACATTTCCCTTAGATAAATAAGATAAATGATGTTTTAATATTGATAAAATTTCATCTTGTGATGGAGAGGAGTTATAAAAGGGGGGAAAGGGGAGACTATATTGATTATCCAAATAGATGTATTAATAGCTTCAAATAAATCAGTGCTAAAACCTTTAACAAGATATCTAAATTAAAATATCCATAATATTTCATATGAACATTGGTGGGATTAACCAAAAAAAAGCTAGATATTTAAAAAATCAGATTGTAATAAGGAAAAAAAGTTTTATAAAAATATCTAAGAGATGATTCTTACTATTGGTAGTGCATTCTTTATTATGAGCTCTCAGCATTACTGTATGTATATTTTAATGATATCAACAGTGGAGAAATAAAAAGTAAGTCACTTCTTCCTGAAAGTGAAAAAATATATTTGAAGAGTGTTATATTTTGGGGAACTTATTTTGAAAATTAATATAAGTTGATCTTTCAAAATTTTCAGGTAATTTAAATCTTCCAATTTTGAGAAAAAATACAAATATACGAAAAATTAGGATTCAAAATAACCTTAATATCATGTGTTTCCTTTAGCATAACATAATGACAAATTATTTTAAAATATTTTACAAATTGTATGTGTAATATTTATTTGTATAATTTATAATGTATATAATTTATTTGTAATACAACTAATTTTTAGGCACTTAGGTGTTAATATTCTTGAAATTTATGTAGAAAAAGAACATGCATATATAACATATATTTCTAATATACCTAGAATAAAAAATAGCACCTTAGTATATTGCCAGCATATTTTGAAATGTTGACATTTGTCTTTGGCAAAATCTGAAAGATTTTAGCATAAAACAATATTAGTTTTCATTGTGAATATGTGAGAATTGTGCTCTGTATATTTTCACTGCAATCCCAACATGATAAAATAAGCATGACCCTCCATCTCTCCCTTCTATTTCCAGACCACTTCAGAGCCATGTGGTGCCCTTCAACCTCAACCTTGCCTTTTGAAAGACTTTTTGTTAATTTATTTTATTTTCATAATTTTAGTTATTTTTACTTTTCATTGCACCTCAGTAAAATATTTTGAGATTTTGAAGATGAAAAACAAAGCAAACTCATGAAGAAATCTGCAACTGTAAGCAGTGAGAGTTAACATGATGCTTAGGTCCCAAGACTTGAATGTCCTTTCTGATCAGTAGCAATAATATTGTTAGAATAAAAATCTAAACCTATGCCATTCTCAAAACCAAAAACCATGACTGGCCTTTCGGTGTTCTAAAATGTTTCTTTTATCCAAAAAAAGAGTATCTTCTAGGCTACTTAATCAAAGTGAAATATGAGATTGAAGCCAAAACTAACCAAGATTTAACTTTAGTCATGAGATACAAATAAATTTCCAACTGCATGTATTTATAATTAACTACCAGTTGTAGGAAGCCACATTTTTATACCTAAATAAACTTCAGCCATAAGATGGATAACTGACAAAACAATACAAAATTTGCTGAGCTAACTTACATCTAAAACCATAAGTCTATTCAGGTTAGAAGTAAAATAAAAGCAGACATGTGCCGAGGAAAATTTATCATACACTACACATAATGTGAATGTATTGTCAAATGTAGTAAATTTGAAGTGATATGATATATTATTTCTCTAGAGTCCATTATAACATTAATTGTTTGAATTTATGTCAGGTTTACAGGAAATTAAAAGAAAGAAGAAATGAAGTTGGAAGTGAGGGAGGTATACAGTAAAAGAGAAAATGAAGGAAAATTGAAAGCATGAAGAAGCAGAAAGCTAAATAAAATCAAGCATTGCTATAATTATAATATAATATGTGACCAATTGATCGGGGTAAATGCTCATTACATCAGACTTAGAACCTTTCTAGGATGATAATTCTGATATTTAACTAACTTTCCTTCTCCAAATCAAATTTGTACACTTTGTTTACTTTATTATATTCTTTCTAGTACCTCTCTCGATTTTTATAGCAGTAAATTAGCACAAATGTCTGTAACAGAAGGAGACTCTCCAAAAAGATGAAGACATCTGTCTTTGTGAGGAGGAATAGAGAGCCTACAAGAGGAATGAAGCAAAAAGAAGGATTCCCTTGTGTAGGAAGAAAAGAGCAGAGCCAGAGGCTGGGGCATTCTGACTCCAGTTTACTCAACAGGGAGTGTTGTATTAGCAGCACTATGAGAAAGGTGGAAAACTTAGGTGGGATGTCTCACACACATACACAAGCAGTATCCAAGACAGAAGAAGTATTGAGAAAAATATTTCAGTACAGAGGTAGAAATGACTGCACATCTTGAAATTACTATGTGTTACATGAAAGATTAGAAATTCAGACAAAAGGTACATTTTCATGATGTTGATCTAATTTTATAACATGTTATACCAAAAACAAGGTGCTGGGTAGTGATTAAAACAAGATGATAAAATGGGTGTTGATTGACTATGTCCAAAAACACTTTGTTTAAGCAATATAATTCCTTCCTATGATCAAATATAATTCATGTGTAAGAACTACACTACCATGAAAAGTTGTTGCAATAGAAACTGCCTGATAGATAATGTCAGAGTTAAAGAGTTTTAAAGAGAAAAAAATACTTTGAAAATCATGTAGGACATATTTTGGACATGAGGCAATCAAAATCTAGAGGTATCAAACTTTCTTATCCGGAACTCTCATAACCACTGATATACATTGATAGATAAGATTAGATATACATATAGAAAATAGATAAAAATAGACAGAAGAGATATATATACATTACATAATTATATATGTGGGATATATATGTATGACAAAATATAGTTACATTTGTAGTTAAATGTAAATATATATATTTGGGATAAATTATAAGTTTCTTTTTTGCATGCTGTTAGCTCTTTAAATAAGAAAATTTATAATTATATCATAATCTCTTTCTTTTAAAGTAAATATTTAATCTAATACGTTTCCTAAATTTTTTTTTATTTTATGAATACTGAATGTTAAAATGGTCCTCCTTTGGATCAACTTAGTCATTTTATATATGAATTTTACAATAGTGAATCAGATGATGAATGGCTTGGATGTCATAGATGTCACCTGCTTTCCTTTTACCAAAGTACATATGTACATACATATATATACATACACATATATATACACACACACACACATATACACATACATATATATATATATATGCATGATTTTTTGTAGCCTCAAATCTCCCATCCTTCCAAACCAAAATAATTTATGGTGTTTAATTTAAACATGAATTGGTATATTTGAAGCAGTGGATAGCCCTTCTATGTCAAGAATATCATCAGCTTATTAGGAAAAGGATTCCATTCTAATTTCTAACAATATTGACATTTTTCCTGACTCTATCTTCAATGATTGGTCCAATCTATATTATCTCTTAACTTTGCCTATTAACATCACTAGCACTTCTTTTTATTAGTCTCTTGGTTCTCACTGATGTCTCTTTCATACATGATGATGCTTCAATTTAGTTGAGCCATAAGTTTCAGTTTAATTTTGAGGCTCCGTGATACCTTCAGCACTTTTTCAATCTATGATTACTGCAACACTTTCTCTACAACCCCTTTAAAATTCTTTATTAATTCTCTAGTAGACAAGCCATTTTTAAGAGAAAGACTAATTAGAATATTGCAATTATCTTAATGTATTGTTGGCATTTTAGCAAAAAATTTCTTTAAATACACCTTATGGAACAGTCTAAACACCGACTTTTCATGAATTTTACTAGAAAATTCTTTGGCTTGTAAATCAAAGAACATATTTAACCATAAAAAAGTGCCATGTTTTAATCATGCTTAGTTTTTTTGCCCTGGTTCAGTGGTGTTTTTTGAATGATGGTTATTATTCTCCACAGTTGGTATCTCAGTATGAGAGCTAATCTGATGGCTTAGAGGTATGGGATTTTCAATTGTGACAGATATTCAATCAACCACTTCACAGCTAATCCGGTGAAATCTCTGTCTTATGTGATGTCCACAGATGAACTTCCAAAACAATTGATAAATTATCTGGATAACTTGTCTTCCCATTAAAACATTCACCTTGACATTTAATGTGTGTTTTTTTTTTTTTACTTTTGTTGAAGGATGCATAGGCAGGCATCCAACAAAGATTGGAAAGTTAAATTTTGAGTCTTCCAACCGAATTTCGAAAGTGAAAGTGGTTATGGAGGGAATGATCATTTCTATGGCCTCTCAAGCTAGGCCATAATTCAAAATCTACAACATCTCCATTAATGTGTTTAGTTAATTGGGTTTGAGGAAATCAATATAGCAAATAAGTTTTTTTTTTCATTTTTTCATGAGAATCACCATTTACTTAATCTATTTCTTAAATTTTACCTGAATACAGAACTTACAGTGAATTGGATCTTGCTGGATAAAGTTTGGAGATAGTATTCTATGACTTCTCTGCTACAAAATGTTTATGAATGTATTATTCTTCCTCCACTATTTGGACAAAAGTACCTTAAGAATGAATTAAATGTGCATGAGTGAAATTCTTGTCTTCAGTTGGGTTTCCTAAATGTAGAGCTTCAGATAGGAATTTAATTGTACACAATGCATTGAGAGTGTGTTTATCAGGAAAAACCTGTAAGGAAGAGAGAAGTGTAACATAAAGAAGAGAACAGGGAGCAGTCCAGGCAAGGATGTAGTCTGTGGTGAAGTTAAGCCTTGGGCTTTTACCATAATGATAAGGTTCTCCTGATGGTTGTCCCACATTGGGTCAAAGGGATCTCAGGTGTTTGTGGCTCATATGAGTTCCCATTGGAGCATTTGGAAAGGTCATGTAACATTCTACATACCCTCTGTGAGGTAGGTTCTCACTAAACTAGATGAAGTCTTTTGAGAAGCTCATGAATATTAGTAGTTAGCTGCAGAAACTTATGCCTATTGGGGAAATCTGAGTAAGGTAGCAAATAGCAATAAATACACCTAGACTTTATTATTTAAAGCAGTGACTCTCAAAGTATAAAGTATGGAACAGCAGCATCAACAGCATATAGGAACATAGTAGGAATGCAAATGTATTGGTCCTACCCCAGACACAGTAAGTCAGGAACTCTGAGATGAGACCCACAAATCTGCGCTTTAAAAAGCATTCCAGGTGACTCTGATGCATGCTCAAGTTTGAGAATCATTATTCTAATGTAATCTTGGTAAATCTATAAAAAAAGACAATAGCTCTGAAATAATATTTGCCCAACTTATCCCTCTTCCACCTTTGGAAATGAAAGAAAGACCACTGGCTGTATGAATGAGGGATGCTGAGATAGAGAGGGGAGGAAAGAAAAAGAGTGAGTTACTGGTATTGATTCCTGAAAGAGATCCTTAGCTATGCCTCCTTCTGAGACAAAGTGGCAAGAGGAACAGGAATGACAGAATTCCTAGGTGAGTATGGGAAATTCTAGAGCAGAGTAGAATGTTCTCTTGAGAAGGAATACTAAGTTCCTAAACCTTTATAATGTCTACAGATTTTCCTAGTATTGCTACTGCAAAAATCTTTGACACAAGTTTACATAAAAATAAAAACCCGACAACCATGCAAAATTTATATGAACAAATAAAATGGAGAGCAAAACTTTATCATTTGAGACTTCTAATTTTAGGCAAAATGGAGTAACAGAAACAATACTTATCATCCCATCTTAAGCCAATAGAAAAAATACAATTTTTTTAAAAGATTTTCTTTTCAGACATTGGACAACGTGCAATATAGGACTCTGATTCTTGAAAGAAGGAAATAAATAAGGTTAGCCCACAATTGCCCAAGTTTATTGCCTGAAGGCTCTTTCCAGGACAAGTGTACAGAGGTGGAATCTAAATGAAGCTCAGAAATCTTTGTCATCTGAGTTGAAGAGAGAGCAATTAGTCTTTTGGGAGGCTTAGACAACTAGAAATTTTTAAAGCGGAGTAGGAGAGACGAAAGTGGTGCATGGAGAGAGAATTCTAGAAATCTGCAAATAGGGAACTCTAACATCTTTGACTGAGTGCTGACATTCTGCATGTGTGTGAGAGAAAAAAATACTTAAGGCTGGGGATAGGAAGAGCAACAGAATAAAGGAATGACAGAAAAAATTCTGGAGCTTGTGCAGGACTAAAAAATAATCCTCAGCCTTAATAGCCAATATTTTTTAAAAACCTTGCAATACATGGGATATCAGATAAAAATTCCAAAAGGCATCCCTTTAATAGTGGGGTTAAGTTAGTCTTAATTTAAAGTTTGCTCTAGAGCAAACCTTAAAAAGCAAGTCTTAAGTGGATCCAGCTAAATCAAAGTAATCTAACTGATCTTCAGGAATTACTGTAAAGCTACAGTTATCAAAATATCATGGCATTAGTGAAAGGAAAGACATATAGATTAATGAAATACAGAGAGTTCACAAAGATACCCACACATTTGTGGTTAACTGACTTTCACCCAAGATGTTGAGGTAACACAATGGTGAAAATAATAACCTTTTCAACAAATGTTCATGGTATAATTGGCATGCTAATTATTAACTGCTGCATAACAAATTACCACAAACATAATGCCTTTTAAAATAATAGTATCTCACTATTTCTGTGAATTAGGAATCATTGTTAAATTTAGGTGAGTTCCTCTGATTTGAGGTCTCTCATACACTGTGAACAAGGTGTCAGCTGTGGCTGTTGTTATTTCAAGGACCCAATGGGAAAGGATTTTTTTTCAAACTGACTTTCATGGCTTGGACAGAATTTAGTTCCTCATGGGCTGCTGCACAGTTTCATTTTATCTGGGACTTTTTCATTAAGGAAGCTCACAACATAGAGTGAGATGGAGAAAGAAAAAAGGAAGTTATGGTCCTTTATATCCTAATCATAGAAGTGACATCCTATCCCTTTTTTTATTTTTTATTCATTAGCAACAAGTTACTAGGTCCAGCCCACATAACAACCAGAAAACAGAGATTATTGGAGACATTTTAGAAGCAGCCTACCACAGTCTACCCTCTTGTCCCAATGTTTCATGTCCCTTTATGCACACCATACATTCACCCTTTCCCCAAATTTGTAAGTCTTATCCCCTTACAGTAGTAGCTTAAAGTATGGAATCCCATTATTTCTCTCAGGTCCAGGTCCAGAATCTGTCCAGGTACAGATTCTTAAGTGGAGCTCCTAGACTCTAGTTCCACTCAAACACTATATCTGTAAAATTAATGATAAAAGTTATCTGCCCTCAAATACTTCATATATAATGGTGGGACAGGAACAGGATAACTGCTAAAAATGGCCATCAATATATTAATAGAAAAAAAATGCCTACTCTTGTCTTTGTCTTGTACCATATATAACAATTAGCTCGAGGTAGATCATCAACATAAATGCAATCAATAAAATTGTAGCAATTTCAGAAGAAAACATAGTAGAAAATCTTAATGTCCCTTTGGGAGGCAAAAATAGCTTAGTTACATATATTTGCATTTATGTTTCTATATCTATATGTTAGTGTGTATATATATAAATATTATATATAATAATATGTACATATATATTATATATAGTAATATGTACATATATATTACACACACACACACACATATATGTTGAACTTTATCATAGTTACAAGCTTTAATACTTAAAGGACATTCTTAAGAAAAGGCAAAGACAAGTTATAGTAGAGAGAAGATCTTTACAATGTATATATCTGATAAAGGGCATATATTCAGAACTTCAGAACATAGAAAGTATTTCCACAATGAAAAAAAAAAGAAACCCAGTGAAAAATAGAGGGGCAAAAGTTGAATAGCCACTTCACTGAAAAAGACATGGATGGCAAATGAGCACATGAAATTATTCTCAACATTGTTAGACATTAGGGAATGATAATTAAAAGCACTATATGACAACTAGAATGGTTAAAATTAAAGACTGAAAATATTAAGTGTTAGTGAAGATGTGGAACAAGTGGAACTCGCATACGTTGCTAGTATGGGAAACAATGTAACACCGTCCTACTGGAAAATAGTTCATCAGTTTCTTATGGAGTAAAATATACAACTCACTATTTCTATTCCTAGTTATTTATTCCTGGGAACTAAAACAGACCCATCCAAATACCTGTATGCAAATATTTATAGCAGCTTTTTTATAATAGCTAACAGCTGGAAATAACCCCAATGTCCTTTAACCCAATCCTAAAGGTATAAAAATGTATGCTTCATATATGAACTTTATTCATAATACCAAACCTAGAATCACAAATATCCAACAACTCGTGGCCAATAAAATAATATTCAGCAATATTAATGAATAAACTACTGATATATGCAATAATAAGGATGAAGCTACAAGTCTTATGCTAAGTGAAAAAAGACACAACAGATTACATACTATATGAACCCATTTATATTGTATTTTGATTTTGGATTAGTCAAAACTATAGGAAGAAAAATCAATCACTTCCCTGGGCTAGCAGTGGAAAGAAGTCATTGATGGAAAGGTACACAGAGAAAGTTTGAAGATAATGAAAATACACTATGTTATGAATGTGGTGGTGATTATATGGATGTATACATTTGTCTAAGTTCATTGAATGATATACTTAAATTAAGAGTAAATTTTACTGCATTTAATTTGTACATCCAGTATACCTGACTTAAACAAACAAAACTACACTGAGAACTCCCACTATGAGAAGGCTGCAATAGGTGTCACTGCAACAATTAGAAAAAGCTGAATATATTTCAAAAATCATTTTTATACACATGAACTTTTTTTTTTTTTGAGAGAGAGTCTCACTCTGTCGCTCAGTCTGGAGTGCAGCGGCTTGATCTTGGCTCACTGCAACCTCCACCTTTCAGATTCAAACGATTCTCCTGCCTCAGCCTCCCGAGTAGCTGGGACTACAGGCACTTGCCACCGTGCCCGGCTAATTTTTTTGTATTTTTAGTAGAGACGGGGTTTCACCGTGTTAGCCAGGATGGTCTCAATCTCCTGACCTCGTGATCCACCTGCCTTGGCCTCCCAAAGTGCTAGGATTACAGGCATGAGCCACTGCACCCAGCCGACATGAACTTTTTTTTTTTTTTTTTAAAGAAGCAAAGATCATATGAAAGACATTCCAGAGAAAACTTTTCCGAGGAAACTTCATGTCTCCCAGATATTTTTCCCTCTAGGAGAATTTGCCAAATTAGAGTCATTTTTCGGTTCTAGGCTGATGTTCAAATTATCTAAGTTTACATAGTTTGATGAGATAAACCAGCTAAACATTTAATGTTCTAGCAGTACAGGAGTTACAGTCTGGGAATTTGAGAAAACCTCATCATTATGCTAGTGCTTCCTAAAGAATATTATAGAACTTCAAGACTGTGCAGAAGGATTCAGAGTTAATGTGAAAGTTTCCAAAAGCCAGCACAAAACCTAGCAGAGTGTTGTGGACATTGGGAAACAAAGACCTGGTAGAGGAAGAGATTGGTTCAAACACTGGTCTGGTTTCTCCTTCAAGACATTTGCCATACTTTAATGCTGCGTTGGTTTAAAAGTTTGAGAGCTGAGTTGGGAAACTCTGGAAGCTAAACTCAGTTTCCTCTAATCTCAAAAAGATAGAGTCAGAGAACAACCAGGCTTCCAATCAAAGTCTCAAGAGTGATGCCCAGGAAACAAGGCCAACAAAAGATACAAGGAACCTTAGTGAAACCATCTAAGTTCTTTTTTTTTTTTTTTTAACTTTTCTTTTTTTTTTTATTATACTTTAAGTTTTAGGGTACATGTGCACATTGTGCAGGTTAGTTACATATGTATACATGTGCCATGCTGGTGCGCTGCACCCACTAACTCGTCATCTAGCATTAGGTATATCTCCCAATGCTATCCCATCTAAGTTCTACAACAAGTCAATCATAATTTTATAGAAGTTTCAGCCCTTTGTCTTTCTGTCTGAGGGAAGGCGAACACTCTCAGGTGGAGAATAATAATAATACTGTAAACTTCTGTTTCCTTTTTACATAATATTTGACATGTAATAAAAAGTATTATATTCTAGATCTAATTAGAGACAGGGAGTTATGCACACAAATCAAGAAAAAATACACGCAAAAGGAATTTACCAACATATTACACAGACATTGGTGTTAGCAAGCAAAGACATCAATTATCCATGATTACTACGTTCAAGAAAATAGAGAACAAATATGAAAAATGTAGGTGAAAGGGAGATGATTTCAACCGAATATCAGAAGATATAAAAACAAACAAAACATCCTAGAACTGAAAAATAAGATATCTGAATTTTAGAATTCAATGGATGGGTTCAAAAGAAGACTGCAAACACAAAAACATAAGATTTGTGAACTGGAAGATAATTCCGTAGAAAATATAAAAACTGAAAGGGAGCAAGGAAAAAAAGAGAAAAGAAAAAATATAGCAATAATGTACAACATGTTTAAAAATGTTCAAAATACCTGTAATGAGCATCAAATAGGAATAGGAGAGACTAGGACATAAAATTTGCAGAAATAATGGAAATACATTTCTAAACCTTTTGAAAGATGTCAACTCACAGATTTATGAATCTCAAAAAAATCTAAGGATAAATATTAAGAAAACCACACCAAGACAGCTGCAAAAAGACATTTTAAAAAAGAAAATCTTAAAAGCAGTTAGAGAAAAGTGGACACGTGATCTTTAAAGGTACAATAAAGAGACATAAAGATGATTTATCAACAGAAATTATGAAAGGCATAAAACAAGGGAACCGACATCTTACTGCTGACAGGAGATAACTGCTAACCTAGATAGCTAGCAAAATACCTTTCCAAAATGAAAGGTAGGCAACAAACTGAGAAAATTTATGATCACCAGGTCTTCACTAAAAGAAAAGCAAAATCAAATTCTTCAGGCAAAAGAAAACCTGTTCCAGACGAAAACAACAAAATCAGAGAATGAAGAAAAGTAACAAAAGGATGAATATATCATAAAACATAAGCATATAGTGATTATACAGAACAATAATTGTGTAGCTTTATGTGATTTAAGTGATAAATAAAACTAAAATGTATGAACATAATGTAAAATCTTAGGGATTTGGGGGAGGTAGAATGTAAATGGTCTGATCTTCTGGCAATATGTCAGAAACAGTAAAAGTAACAATTTTTAATAAAAAGTGAAATAAATGCTGTCTTCTACAGTAATCACTATGAGAATAATTAGATAGCTAAAATGATACAATGGAAGAAAATATGGAATAGGAAAAAAGTTGGTCAATCAAAAAGATGGGAGGAGAACAATAAGGTAAAATAAAAAGTGGCCAAATAGAAAATTAATAGTATGGTTGTAAATAAATATACAAATATATCAGAATTAATTTAAATATAAATAGACTAATTACCCAAATAAACATCTGAAATTTTCAAAAATATTTAGAATACACACTTACATGTATTCTGCTCACAATATGTGGGAAGACAGGGAGTTTGAAAATACAAGATTAATGAGAGTATGAACACTGACTAATGGAACATTTGCATAGCTATATTAATATTAGACAAATAGCCCTTAGGCCAAAGGCATTACTAGAAATAAAACATGGTTATTTCATTATAAAAGAGTTAATTATTTAGTGATCCTAAATTTGTATGCACTCAAAAACAGAGTCAAAACATATAAAGCGAAAATTTACAGAAGTAAAATGAGAAACAGACAAATCTACAATAATGAGAGAGTTTAACCCTCCACTTTCAGATAAAGAAATTTTCAAATATTGTGAAAGTAATATACCAGATTTGGATACAAAATTTAGTTAATCTAAGGAAATAAATCTTAAATTCACTGGCAAAATATCTGAAATTTTACCTCAAAGCTTGGGAATAAAACAAAGTAATAAAGAATCTAATCTCCATTTTTGATATGTGATGTTTGACTGCTGAGAGATTTCTAGCTCCACTGCTTGCTCCTCCTTCACCTTCTGCATCATATTTGGTCAAGCTGATAAGAAATCCTGTTTCTCTCTTTCTCTCTCTTTCTGATGGGGTGTTCAAATGACCCCATAATCAGCCTCCATGAGCGGAGGCTCACCCTAGTACCACCCCCAAACCAATATAAAATCTTAAACTAGTCACCTCTCCCAGCTTTCTCTCAAGCCATGTTCAGCCCTGCTTTGAAGCCTGCCCTTCTTTCTCTAGAAAGCCAATAATAAACCTTTTCATACCTACTGGGTGTGCATGTGGTGCCATTAGTCTCAACATCCAAACCAAATATTGGATAAAGTGTCCATCTACTTCCATGGGGTGACTACAAAAAGCGTATCTGTTAGCACCCCTTCTAATAAATATTTTACTGCATGTCTTAGCTAGTGAAAAATGGCACACACACACAGAGAGACAGAGAGAGAGAGAAAGAAAGAAAAAGAAGAAAAGAGAACATAATAATTGGAAAGGAAGAAATAAAACTCATAACAGGGATAAAATGGTTTTATACCTCAGAATTTAAAAGAATTTACAGAAAACTCTTTAGAATAAATGTGTGAATTTCATAAGGTTTCTGGACACAAGACCAATAAATAAAATAAACTGCACTTTCATGTACCAAGAAGCAAATGGAAAATGAAATTCTGTGAAAAGATAGCAATTACATTAGCATCATAACCTTTCCAGGGAGCATGCACTTTAAGAAAGAAAGAACAACATCTGTTATTTTTTTTTTCTTATAAGGACACTAATTCTAGCAGATCAGGGTCCTACTTTTATGACCTCATTTAACCTTAACTACATCTTTAGAAGTCTTAGAAGTCCCAACTCCAAATAGCCAACCATAGCCACCTGGAGTTTAGAGCTTCAGCATATGAATTTGGGGGTGACACCAATATTCGGTTCATAATATTCCACTTGTGGCCTTCTAAAATACATGTCCTTCTCACATGAAAAATACATGTATTCCATTCCAACAGGCCCGAAAATTCTAATTCCAGCATAAACTCTAATGTACGAAGTTGAAAGTCTTATCTAAATATGACCTAAATCAGATATGAATGAGACTTCAGTTATCACTTATCGTGAGACAAAATTTCTCTTCAGCTATGAACCTCTGAAACCAGACAAGTTATATGTTGCAAAATACAGTGGTGGAACAAGCATAGGATAGACATTCCCATTTCAACCAGGAGAAATAAGAAAGAAAGAAGTAACAGGTTGCAAGCAAGTGCAAAACCCAGTAAGACAAATTTCATTAGATCTTAAGGCTTGAGAATAATCCTCCATGGTTAGGTTCTCCACCTTCCAGACTCACTGGGGTGGCAGCTTGGCCCCCAGAGCCCTAAACAGGGGCCCTCTGTGGTTTTGTGACTCTAATGGGATATCATTTCTGTGGTTAGATTAGATTATGTTGTGTGTCAAAACTGAGGGAACTTTTTAGACATAATTAAGATCTCCAGTTTAAGTTCATAAAAAGTGAGATCATGATGTCTGGGCCTGATCTAATCAGAACAGCCCTTTAAAATAAGGTGTAGTGGTGCTATGGTCTGACTATGTGTGCTTGCCTTAAATTCACATGTTGAAATTCTAACCCCCAAGGTGATGGTATTAGGAGGCGGGGCTTTTGGGAAGTGATTAGGTCATGAGGGTGGAGCCCTTATAATTGGGATTAGTGCTCTTCTGAAAGAGACTCTGGAGAGCCCACTGGCTCCTTCTGCCATGTGAAGTTAGAGTGAGAAGACAGTCATCTATAGATCAAGAAGTGTGCCCTCACCAGGCACCAAATCTGCTTGGACCTTGATCTTGGACTTCCCAGCCCTCAGAACTATGAGAAATACATTTCCATTGTTTATAAAAATCACTCATCTTAGGGTCTTTTGATACAGCGCCCAATTGGACTAAGACAAATGGTCACACTCAAAAGAAGTCAGAGAGATTCCAAGCAGCAGAGATGCTCTCTTCTTGGCCTTGAAGAAGCAAATAGCCATATTTCAGAGACAGTCACAAAACAGAGAATAGTGTGCAGCTCCTTGGAGCTGACAGCTTCCATCCTACAACTTCAAGCAAAGGAACCCTGGCAACCACCTTGGATGAGCTCAAATCTATTTTAAAATACATTCATATATCCTCAAATCCCAATAGTGTATATATAAAATACATGATAGAAATTCACGAAAATAGATTTGACACACACAGAACATTTAATAAAGAATTATTTTGCTCAATTAGCCTTAACAGGTAACTAGGTGGACTGAGATTATTGATATAGCTTTCCAGCATGCTTATGAGCACTTAATTTACATATTAAAATGAATGTTCATTAAAATATCATAAGTTAGAAGAAGGTCATTGCTTACTGTAGTATATTTTTAAAACTGTCTGTGAAAATAGTGGTTGTATTACACATTTAATTGACATCTTATGCCCCTAAAGGATTCCCTGGAACCATTGCAGCAATGTGCAAAAAGCAAACTACTTTTTTGACATCTCGCTCTCTAATTTTTATTATGAAGTTTCTCTAGAAGTCATCAACTGTATTATATTTTTGTGATGATTAATTCTTACTTAATGTGATTTCTAAAAATAAGAAAGTTAGATGGATAGTGTGATTCTTTCAAAATACATCTAGTAGCTGTCAATGATAAAATCACTTAATTCACAATTCCAACATGAAGTGTAGTAAAATATAGTCAGAAAATCTTCAAGTATTTTTTAAAAAGATGGGAAACAAATTATATTCTAATAGTACAAAGCATAAGGGGCAGGATATGAGGCAAGAGGTAGAATATTAGCATTTCCAAGAAAATATGTATAGCTTTTAAGAAATTATAAATTCATAATACACACTTCAGAGAATAAAGCTTGACAAAATACTCCTGTTTGTTGAGACTGCAGGAGTGAGCAAATGACATACTGCATGAGGATCAGAATTTTTTAAAAGAATGACAAACACTAATTTGAAGCTGGACATTACAACTTTCTCTAGGACAGAGCAGACTGATAATCTAAGAGGAAGCCATATAACCTTCCTCTTTGTTATCTTAATTCTGAAAAGTGAGCTTATCAAAATGACTTATCTGGTTCTGATAAGGGGGTCTTTCTTCCCCTGTGCCTAAATAAGTAAGGTAGAACTTTATGACCCACAGTATGGTATGTGAACCTACAGTACTTGGAAGCTTGGTAGAAATAAAGAATCTTGTGCCTTGCCTTCACCCTACTGAATCAAAATATAGCAGTTCCTAGGTATCCACTGGGCATTGTTTCCAGGATCTCTCATGAATACTGAAATCCACAGGTGTTTACGTCCTTTATATGAAATGGTAAAATAGAGTTGATTTTCTAACAAGAGGTTAGGGAAACCAACCTCCTATATAGTCAAAAATTTACCTATAACTTTTGACTCCCTCAAAACTTAACTACTAATAGCCTACCATTGACCAAAAGCCTTACTGATAACACAAACAGTCCATTCAAATATATTTTGTATGTTTTATGTATTATCTCCTGTATTCTTTTAATAAAGTAAGCTAGAGAAAGGAAAATGTTATTTAAAAAATCATAAAAAAGAGAAAATATATTTAATATTAGTTAAGCGAAAATGGATAATCATGAAGGTATTCATCTTCAACTTAAGTAGGCTGAGGAGAAGAGGAAAAAGGAGGGGTTGGTCTTGCTGTCTCAATGGTGGCAGAGGCAGAAGAAAATCCACGTATAAGTGGACCTGCAGAGTTCAAACTCATGTAGTTTAAGGATCACTGTATTTGTATGTAACCTACACACATCCTCCTGAATACTTTATATCATCTCCAGATTACTTATAATATCTAATATAATGTGAATGCTATGTAAATAGTTGTTATACTGTCTTGTTTAGGGAATTACAAAAAAGAAAAAAGCTTGAACATCATCAGTATAGATGCAATTTTTTTCCAAGTATTTTTGATCATGAATTGGTTGAATCCATAGATGTAGAACCCACAGAAGCACAGGGGGCCTACTGTATGCATTTCCATAAAATTCCTGGGTGCCCTGCAACTGCTGTAGAATAGGGGCTGTAAATCCTGATTGTCCACTAGAATTACTAGAAACTTAAACCATAAAACAAACAACAAAAAACAGCAAAAATATTTATAATGTTCCAGCACCATATAATTGGTCTGGGGGTAGGTAGTGACATCTAGATATTTTTAAGTCCTGCCAGGTGATTCTAATAGGCAGCAATATTAAGAATAATTGTTCATGACCTGCTAGGTACATACCTCAGTTACTTCCATGTATGTTTCCCTTTTAGAGACTGAATTCCTGCACTTGAATCATAATGCTAAATTAGAGCCTCATTACTTTGCAGAGAGCCCAGAAAACAAGCCTGAACTTCAAGTACTACCTTTCTTACGATTTCCCTTTGCCTTACTTTTCTTGTCTATCAGGAACTAAAGTTATCATTATTCCTGAAATTAACAGCAATCCTAGAATATAGTCATATATTTCCAAACATTACCTACACCATAGACTTTCCCACACTATCTGTATATAAAACCTGGAAAAGAAGAACTCCAGGCTCTGGCCCTATGAGATCCTTCTCATGCCCATCCTTCTGTAACTAGCTTAGACATCTATTCCATGGGCTAGACAATGACAATCTACTTTGTACCTCTCTTCTGTGTTTTTGTGTTTTTTTAATTCTATTTTCTTAAATTGCCGATAATTGGTTGTAAATCACATCCTTGCTAATTATTTTACATGCACTAATCACTTTATTAATCACTGCAACAAAAGTCTATTTATTGTTGGCACTGGTTTGGAATTCAATAACTTACATGAAAATTGATACTTCTTTGATCACTGTGATGGTTACTATTGAGTGTCAACTTGATTGGATTGAAAGATACAAAGTATTGTTCCTAGGTGTGTCTGGAAGGGTGTTGCCAAAGGAGATTAACATTTGAGTCAGTGGACTGGGAAAGGTAGACCCACTGGCAGTCTGGGTGGGCACAATCTAATCAGCTGCCAACGTGGCTAGAATAAAGGCAGGCAGAAGAACATGATAGTACTAGACTGCCTAAGTCTTCTGGCCTCCATCATTCTCCCCTGTTGGATATTTCTTACTCCCAAACACTGGACTCTAAGTTTTCAGCTTTTGGACTCTTGGACCTACACCAATGGTTTGCCAGGGGCTTTCAGGTCTTCAGCCACAGACTGAAGTCTGAACTGTCAGCTTCCCTACTTTTGAGTTTTTAAGACTGGGACCGCTTCCTTGCTCCTCATTTTGCAGATGGCCTATTGTGGACCTTCACCTAGTTACAGTGTGAGTCAATATTCCTCAATAAACTCCCTTTCATATATACATCTATCCTATTAGTCCTTTCTCTCTAGAGAACCCCGACTAGTACAATCATCAATAAAATTAACCACATGATGCTGTACTTTAAAATAATTTATTTACATGAATCTCATCCTTTCAGTCTACTACAAATGTTCACTTCTTGCAGGCAAAGAAAATATATACACCCTATTTTAAAATGTTTGTTTCTATTTCAAGATAATTTGGTCAAATTATTTTGTAATGAAATATATTTTTACACCCATGAATATTTAAAACATATCACTCAAATTCTTTAACCCATTGATAATAAAACATTGAACATTACTCTCTTGCTAAACTTGCTAAACAATTTTATTTAACCCATATCATTCTAAAATTAATCCAATTAATCTTTTTTTTTTTTGAGACAGAGTCTCGCTCTATCCCCTGGACTGGAGTGCAGTGGCACCATCTTGGCTCACTGCAACCTCCGCCTCTTGGGTTCAAGCGATTCTCATGCCTCAGCCTCCCAAATAGCTGGGATTACAGGCATACACCATCACGCTTGCCTAATTTTTGTATTTTTAGTAGAGATGGGATTTCTCCATGTTGGCCGGGTTGGTCTTGAACTCCTGACCTCAGATGATCTGCCTGCCTCGGCCTCCTAAAGTGCTGGGATTACAGGTGTGAGCCCCTGTGCCTGGCTAATTCTACAATTAATCTAACCCTACCCCTTTCAGATGAGTTTAGATAAGTGCATTTCTTCATAGGATAATCTTGGTTGAACATCTCAACTCAATTCTACAAACATGTTTTGAATGCTTTTTGCATGCCTGCATTAATACTTGTATACAGCATTCAGTGTGTGAAGCATTCTGAGACCTCTGCAGATTCCATCAGTACTTAGGCAAAAGAAATCTGAAATGTAGGGCATGGGTAAGGAAGACATTGAGTGGACAATAAACAAAATAGTTGTAGGGTTGATGCAGGAAAATAGAATACATAGTGCTTTGTGTTTTTCACAAGTCTAAGGAGAAGTTTTTTTTCCAGAATAAAAGAGAGGAACTGGATAAGTGAGACTGGGTCTGAGGAAGTAGTAATTCCTGCATATATTTTGTTTGAATGGTAAGACAGTTTGAATGTTTCAGAAGGGATTCCCCTGAGATACTCGATTATTGCATTGTGATTCTGTATGATTGGCCCATTTATGGAAACACACACAGATACACACACAAAAACCCATCCCATTATGCCAGATGCTAAGGCTGACTCAGAAATTAGAGAAAAATGAGCCTACATAAGTAATGTGTCAGTGTCTTTTACTTACAAGAGGCTGCAAAGAAGGCACTGATGATATAGAGTCAGCAAGATAAATGAATCACCCTCCCTGCCTTTTAGAGTTTCCTCACTTAGGGAGTAAGATCCATAAAAAAAGATACCCTAGTAACTTAAAATAACTTATGATAGCAAATACAACTGTATTATATGGAAAGTAAACATGAATTTTTGTGGACATCTCTATCAAAAGTGATAGAGTTTAGATTAGATACTAAATCCAAATATCAATCTTTTCCCTATAAAAACTCTAAAGCTTTGTGGTTGCCCATGCATTAGTATAAGGCTGAGAATATCTGCATAGTAAGTAATCAAAATTCTAACACTGATATTTTCAAATCTTCTATTTTAAAAGGGACTTTGGATCAGATTATCTGGGTTTGACAAATGCACCACTTATTAGCTGTATGTGCATGGGCAAGTTTCTTAATATATCTGGGCCTAAGTTTGCTCATTTTTAAATTAGACATATTAATAGTATATTAATAGTAGCAACTTCTTGGGATCTTTCTAAAATTAAATGATTATCATATATAAAAAGCTTAGAATTATACCTGGCATATAGTACAGGTTACAAAAAATACTTGATATTACTATTTCAGGTAGAAATAATAAATAATGTATTAACACTGACATCTTAATGATTACTCCTTCATACAACCCCTGTCCCCAAATTTTGGTAATATATTTTGAAAATTATTTTCCTATAAACACTAAAACTACTAAATACTGATAACTAATGCTTCTGAATAATGTTATCATAATTTTCAGTATTTCTCTTAACAAATCTCATTGCAAAGACATAATACTATTTATATTGAAATTAAATTTCAATTAAAATGTTATACATGTACATGAAGAATAATTAGTCAAGCACACATCTGGCATGATAACACATTGATACCTGAGATGGAAACTTGAATAAATTAAGACAAACTGAGAAACAAAAATGAAGGAAGTATAAAAGTAAAACCAATACAAATAGATAAATATTCAGAAAGTTTTAGGATTTCTTATTTCAAAGCCTCAGGCTCAACAATACAGAATGCAGACTAGTGGTTATGCTTTGAGGCATAACAGAAGAAAAAGAAAAAGGAAATTCTCATGATTTATCCATGCAGATCCTGCCCTTTCTGACACCTTAAAAGCCTCTGACAGTTTTTCCTAATGTACATTCTTGGGTAATGTTGCAATAGCACAACTTGGATCTTTAGTTTTGAAGACCCATATTTTATCCCAGTCTTCTTTGGGTCAAGAGTGGTATGGAGGATGAACTAACCTCATTACAAACCACACTATCAAAAGGTGGGAATAGTTAGAAGGCCGCCTTGCAAAATGCATGAGCTATTGAAATGCCACAGATAAACTTGATGGACAACTCATAAAACAAGGGAATTTTAACATGAGCTAAGGCTGTTTTGAAGAAAGCAGATGAAAAGTGAAGTAATATCTCACATTATTTAGAAAAGTGGTTGCAATCCAATATACTAATAGGTATTTTCATCAATGCTGATGGCAGTGAGTGATGTAGCAGTGGAAAGAATGAAACCTTCATTTTAGGGCTTCACATACACAACCTCCCATTTGTCTAACACTTGAAATTAAGAAACCATAGGCCAAATCTTTATTTTGACTTCTCTTTTTTTCATTAGTTGGTCTGTTGCGCATCTAAACCACCATAGGTAATGCCTGTTTGGCCTCACATTTCACTGGGAAATGTATTTGCTATCCTTTTATATCCTTACTAAAGAAAGGTAAAAAAAAAAAAAAAAAAAAAGGAAAAAAGAGTTTAGATTAAATATTCCTGTAATAGTTTTTTCCTAGATGGTCCTCTCAAAGCTCAGTATCTTTTAGTAACCAAGGTTTACTCCTTACCTCTGGTGTGTCAGGTGTTGTTCTTCTTTGTTTCTCACGTCTTCTTCATTACAGGATCCAGGCTGAAGGAGCAGCTCCTTTTTAGGACATATTAGATTTCATGGGTATGCCTCATAGAAATGGGCTGCATAAGTTAATGCCACCCACAGGGAGTCACCTTCACTCACCCAGCAATAGGAAGATGTGATGATTAACTTAATGCATCAACTTGACTGGGCTAAGGGATGCCCAGATAGCTGGTAAAACATTATTTCCGGGTGTGCCTGTAAGGGTGTTTTAGAAGAAATTAGCCTTTGAGTTGGTAGATTGAGTAGGGAAGGTCACCTTCATCAAGGTGGGCAGGCATGATACAATCCACTGAGGGCCTGAATGGAACAAAAAGTGAAGGAAGGGCATATTATCTCTCTTTCTTCTTGAGCTGGGTTACCCATCTTCTCCTGGTTTGGGACATCACAGCTCCTGGATCTGGGGACTTTGAACTCTGGGATTTATACCAGTGGCTTCCCAGTTCTTAGGCCTTCAGACTCTGACTGAATTTCTATGGTTCTGCCCCTTCCTACACTTTAGTTACATTACAGTTGAATTATTCAGCTTTCCTCATTTTCTGCTTGCCAGCAGCAGAGAGGGGAATTTCTCTGGCCTCTGTAATCATGCAAGACAATTCTCATAATAAATCTATTTTTAAATATATATATATTATGTTTCCATGGTGAACTCTGACTAATACAGAAGATACATATAATTCAACTACTGAATGGAAGAGAATGACTAAAAACAATAATACAAATTTATCATATCTTACCCTCTTGGTCACTTAAGTACATTTGCTTTCTACCTGCACACATTATAAACACATCTTTCCCCCAAATAAGACACCTCAAAAAGTCTCAATCGATCATGACATTAGACTCAAGTTCAGGGTCTTATGCATAATTATAGTACTTATAATATCTTCGGTTTTATTGCTACTTCATGTTAGGATAGTAAAATTGCAGACAAATGTGTAGTTAAGATGCTGTAACTCTCAAAACAAAGAAAAAATATAGAAGCATCCATAATTAGCATAAAATTAAAAACCCAAACTGTCCAGATTTGGTGACAAATTATATCTGAATCTTTTATCTGTGAGGATTTGGAAATTAAATAATACATATAGTAGGCTAGGCATTGATCAGATACCTTTTTACAGATAATCTTACAAAAATAAAAGTGTTTTAGATGTTAAAAAGTGCATACACTGTGCCACCCAACAGATGTTTCATAGAAATAGAAGAACATTCAGATCTGGATTAAATGAATCTAGTTTCTAGTAAAGGAACTGCAGAATTCTCTCATTCCTGCACCAGCTGCCTGAGCCATTAACAATGTTAGCAGCTAATGGAAAAGGTGACTTAGAAGCATGATTCTGTTGGGAGCACCTGTGGGGCTTATTCTACCCTTGATAACCACTACTAAATATAGTCTTCACAGTTCTGAACATAAATTGAATGTAGAATCCAACAAAAGAGCACACCTAATTATATCAAATTAGCATCCAAGTGTATGTAATCATGGAGTTTAGACCAGAGTTATTAAGCTGTCCTTTGTAGCACAGTGGCAACAATTGAAAATGATCCCATAGTATAATGTAAGGGGTTTTATGAATGCACGATGGCATCCTTTATAATGTTTGGATGCTGGATGCTGACACTGAAGTTTTATAGAATATTTTCACATAAGCAGGGCTGAGAGGAAAAATCAGGCTTCATCTTTTCCAAGTACTTTCTGATCATTTTAAACTTTGCCATCTGACAAAGTTTGTATTTTTATGGCAATTCCAGATTTAGAAGATTGGAAGCAGGAGTATGACAAATAGAGATAAGTGTTCACACTACCCGGATCTTCAAAAACAAAAATCATAATAAAAATAACAGTACTCTAAAGATCCCAAAGCTAAAATGTGGCCTCAACTAATTCTCCCCACATGACAAAGGAAAAAATGGTTTCTGAATAAACACTATAGAAAGAAAAGGAATGAGACCAAGAAGTCTGACTTGCTGTTGCAACCAATATCTTATTTTTTATTTTTTTATTTGCAAGTTTTATTTTAGATTCAGGGGGTACATGTGCAGATTTGTTATAAGGGTATATTAGATGATATTGAGGTTTGGGGTGTGATTGAGCCCATCACCCAGGCAGTGAGCACAGTACCAAATAGGTAGTTTTTCAAACCTTACCACACACCCCCTTCCCATTCTTACAGTTCTCAGTGTCTGTTGTTCCATCTTTATGTCCACATGTACCTAATGTTCAGTTACCACCTATAAGTGAGAACATGCAGTATTTGGTTGTTTTGTTTATTCACTAATTCACTTTGGATAATGGCCTCTGGCTGTATGCATGTCGCTGCAAAGAGCTTAATTTTGTTCTTTTTTTATGGCTGTGTAGCATTTCATGACAACACACATCTTTAAATAAATACCTGCAGGCCAGGCACGGTGGCTCATGCCTGTAATCCCAGCACTTTGGGAGGCTGAGGTGAGTGGATCATCTGAGGTCAGGAGTTCCAGACCAGCCTGGCCAACATGGTGAAACCCCATCACTACTAAAAATACAAAAATTAGCTGGGCGTGGTGGCATGCAACTGTTATCCCAGCTACTCAGGAGGCTGAGGCAGGAGAATTGCTTGGACCCTGGAGTTAGAGGTTGCAGTGAACTGAGATTGTGCCACTGCACTCCAGCCTGGGCAACAAGAACAAAACTCTGTCTCAATAATAATAATAATAATAAATAAATACCTACGTCACTTATGGTGATGTTCCTGTGACACTGTCTCATAATTTTTACGTGGGCATAGGGCAATTCTAAACCAATTCAAAGATAAAAAAACTAGGGGCTCCTGTTCTTGCAACTTTAGAGTATTGATAACACTGTATTGCTCTTGTCTCTGTGATTTCATTAATCAATCAATTAATCCTGAATTGAATTATATAATGTTTCCATAAAAACCAGTATGGGGTATGTGCTAATCATGAATCCACAATATAGATTTTTCTCCTAAAAATAATCACCTATAGATAGCCAATGAATGTACTTGACCTCAAGAGGATCACTTATGAATTCTTGGATGATCGACAAAATTCAGGCCTGATATGGTTTGGACCTGTGTCCCTACCCATCTCATGTCGATTGTAATCCTCAGTGTTGGAGGTGGGGCCTGGTGGGGGGTGATCGGATTATGGGGGTGATTTTTCATGGTTTAACACCATCCCCCTTGGTGGACTTGTGGCAACGGTGTCTGGTTGAGTTTCATCTCATTCTTTTGTCACAGCTCTCTATAACCATGAGACACAAACGTACACAGAAAAAAAAATCAATGATGCCATCACTTCTAAAATATTTCATTGTCTTCTTTATCCTTCATTAAATGTAAAATTTTGAATACCTTAAAAATATCTGCAAGTGAAAGTGAGATACTAAAAGCCAAAGAGATTATAAAATAATTCCTTGAATTATTTTACAAAGAAATTTAACATTCTTAACTAATTATAAGATGGTTTGGATCACTTTGAAAAAAATCCTAGATAAATTATTTGGTCCAAATCTTTCATGACCACAGATGAACTGACAGAGTCATTGAGCATTGACATATTTGACTTGAGCTGAGAAAAGTGAAATTTATATGGCAATATAGAGACCAATTTTTTTTTTTGAGATGGAGTCTCAATCTGTCACTAGGCTGAAGTGTGGTGGCACGCACGCAGTTCACCGCAAACTCCACCTCTCAGGTTCAAGCAATTCTCCTGCCTCAGCCTCCTGAATAGCTGGGACTACAGGTGCACGCAACCACACCCAACTAATTTTTGTATTTTTAGTAGAGACAGGATTTCATCACGTTGGCTAGGATGGTCTTGATCTCTTGACTTCTCGATCCATTTGGCTTGGCCTCCCAAAGTGCTGGGATTACAGGCGTGAGCCACTGCCCCTGGCCGAGACCAATATTTAACACATATATTCTGCCTTTAATTTATATAATCCTCCAATCTCAGTATTGACATACTCCCTTTTGCCTCCAAACATGGTAGCTTGAAAACTGAAGGAAATTCTTGACAACAAAAGATCTTTAATTGTCCAAAAGCAATGCCTCCAATACCTCATTCCAGCAAAACATAGTCTTTAAAAATTCAAGATGGTACTCTAATTCAACATACAATGTAAAATGCCATCTTTACTTACCAAAGTTTATATATAACATGAATTAATTCTGTTTAATTATATGACTTGGAGCTTTAGCTGAATTTCTAAGGCCAAAGTATCACTGATAGATTATCTAAAATGCACCAATCAATTTTTATCAACTTCCTGGTCACCTTTCAAGACAGTCTTTACAAACAATTAAAAGTTACAATTACTTGTTGAAAGCCAGATATTCTGCTGAGAACACTCAGTTGAAGAAAAAACAGTCTCTATTTTTGGAGAGAGGTGGCCTAGTGCAGAAAAACTTATATGTACATTTGTTCGCATACATCCTTAGTGTTTCTCAAAAAATTCTATTGTTGCTGCAAATAATTCTTAGTGTTTGGATTGTGAGAACAAATTATGCAGCATGTGGCAGAGTACAAGAATCAATAGTTTTCAAAAAAAGGTGATTTATTGGAATGAACAATGGAAAAATCAAAGTCATAGAAGCTGAAAAATGCATAGTATGAGAGAAAAGAAGCAAGTATTTGTTCTTTATAGAGCATGTAGCAGGGAAGAGGCAGGAATGTAGAATATTCAACATGGGCTTTAAAAGGTGCACTAAATAGTTTAAATCTTATTTGAGCTAGAAAAGGCATGTTTTGTAGAAAATATCTCTCTGATGACTAAAAGAAAATTTATTGGAAGAAGAGTGTTAGGATCAGTAAGCCTCTGCAATAACATATTCTATAATAGAGTGCCTCAAACACTGTGGTATTTTCTCTCCCTTTCATGTTACAGTGCAGGGAAGGTGTTCCTGAGAAAACTGGGAAGTGGGGGTGGCTCTGCCACATTCAGAGACACAGGCTGATAGCAGCTTTTCCATCATCAATATTTGGCTTTCAGTGGCAGAATAATCATCACTTTCTACCTCATGGGAAGGGCTTGGGGCAGGGGAGGAGCAAGAAGGAATACACACAGGAATTTTTATGGAAATAAGAATGTGGCAAATATCACATCCACACACATTCCATTGAAAAGAGAGCTTAGTCATGTAGCCAGATTTAACTGAAGAGGAGGCTGGAAATTGAGCTGTCTGGCTGGGCAGTTACATCTCAGATACAACTCAATTGCCATGGTAGAAAAAGATCACAGATTATCCTGGACAACTAGCAGGCTGCATCACAGATTCTAATGTCTCCTCTATCTCTCTTTTTTTAAACTTTTATTTCAGGAGTACATGTGCAGACTTGTTATATAGGTAAACTTGTGTCATGGGGGCATATTGTACAGATTATTTCATCATCCAGGTACTAAGTCTAGTATCCAATAGTTATCTTTTCTGCTTCTTCTCCTCATCCCACCCTTCACGCTCAAGTAGGTCCCAGTGTCTGTTATTCCCCTTTTTGTGTCCCTGAGTTCTCATCATTTAGCTCCTACTTATAAGTGAGAACATACAGTATTTGGTTTTCTGTTCCTGCATTAGTTTGCTAAGGATAATGGCCTCCAGCTCCATCCATTTTCCTGCAAAAGACATTATCTCATTCTTTTTCATGGCTGCATAGTATTCCATGGTGTATATGTACCACATTTCCTTTATCTGTTCTGTAATAGATGAGTGGAATCATAAGATTCCACTCTTATGAATAGTGCTATAATGAATATTTGTGTCTATATGTCTTTATGGTAGAATGATTTATATTCCTCTGGGTATATACTCAGAAATGGGATTTTTGGGTGTAGTGGTAATTCTGCTATTAGATCTTTGAGGAATTGTCACACTGCTTTTCATAATGGTCGAACTAGTTTACACTCCCACAAACAGTGTATAAGTGTTCCGTTTTCTCTGCAACCTTGCCAGCATGTTATTTTCTGACTTTCTGATAATAGCAGTTGTTACTGGTGTGAGATAGTATCTCATTATGGTTTTGACTTGCATTTCTCTCTAATGATAACTGATATTGAGCTTTTTGCATATGCTTGTAGGACTCGTCTATGTCTTCTTCTGAAAAGTGTCCATTCATGTCTTTGCCCATTTTTTAATGGGGTTGTTTATTTTTCCTGTAAATTTGTTTAAGTTCCTTATAGATGCTGAATATTAGACCTTTGTCAGATGCATAGTTTGTAAAAATTTTCTCCCATTCGGTAAGTTGTCTGTTTACTCTGTTGATAGTATATTTTGCTGTGCAGAAGCTCTTAAGTTTAATTAGATCCCATTTGTCAATTTTTGCTTTCGTTGCAATTGCTTTTGGCATATTTGTCAAAAATCTTTGCTCATTCCTATGTCCAGAATAGTATTTTCTAGGTTATCTTTCAGTGTTTTTATAGTTTTAGGTTTCATATAGTCTTTAATCCATCTTGAGTTGATCTTTGTATATAGTGTAAGGAAGGGGTCCAGTTTCAATCTTCTATATATGGCTAGCCAGTTCTCTCAGCACCATTTATTGAATAGAAAGTCCTTTCCTCATTGCTTGTTTTTATCAGCTTTGTGGAAGTTCAGATGGTTGTAGTTGTGAGGCCTCATTTTTGGGCTCTATTCTGTTCCATTAGTCTATGTGTCTGTTTTTGTACCAGTACCATGCTGTTTTGGTACCAGTACCATGCTGTTTTGGTTACTGTAGCCCTGTAGTGTAGTTTGAAGTCAGGTAGTATATTGCCTCCAGCTTTGTTCTTTTTGCTTAGATTTCCTTGGCTATTTGGGCTCTTTTTTTGGTTCTATATGAATTTTAAAATAGTATTTTCTAATTCTATTAGAATGTCATTTGTAGTTATATAGGAATAGTGTTGAATATGTAAATTGCTTTGAGCAGTATGGCCATTTTAATAATACTGATTCTTCCTATCCATTAGCATGGAATGTTTCTTCATTTGTTTGTGTCATCTCTGATTTATTTGAGCATTATTTTATAATTCTCATTGTAGGATCTTTCACATTCTTGGCTAGCTCTATGGTGAGGTATTTTATTCTTTTTGTGGCAATTGTTAATAGAATTGTGTTCCTATTTTGGCTCTCACCTTGGCTATTGTTGGTGTTTAGGAATGCTATAATAGTAATTTTTGTACATCAATTTTGTATCCTGAAACTTTGCTGAAATTGTTTATCAGCTGAAGGAGCTTTTGGGCCAAGACTACAGGGTTTTCCAGATGTAAAATTATGTTTTCTGCAAACAGGAATAGTTTAACTTCCTCTCTTCCTATTTCTATGTCCTTTATTTTTTTTCTCTTACCTTGTTGTTCTGGCCAGGACTTCCAATACTATGTTGAATAGGAGTGGTGAGAGCAGACATCTTTGTCTTGTGCAGGTTTTCAAAGAGAATGCTTTCAGCTTTTCCCCATTTAGTATGATGTTGGCTGTGGGTTTGTCACAGGTGAGGTATATTCCTTCAGAATCTAGTTTATTGAGAGTTTTTAACATGAATGGATGTTGGATTTTATTGAAAGCCTTTTCTGCATCTATTGAGATATTCATGTGGTTTTTGTCTTTAGTTCTGTTTATGTGATGAATCACATTTATTGATTTGCATATGTTAAACCAACTTTGCATCCCGGGAATGAAGCCTACTTGATTGTGGTGGATTCGCTTTTTGAACATCTCCTGTCTTTACGGCAAAGATTCCCATTAGAGAACAAAGAGCCTGAAAAACCTCCCTCCCCTCTTGGTGATGTTTTTTGATTTCCCCTTTCCAATTGTTTTGTTAACGGCATTATCAACACTGCTCTGATCTCCCTTCCTCTACTGTGTCTCCCACCCACTCCCACCTCATGATTAGACTACAACTGTTGAGAAAAATCTAATTAAAAACAGAAACAACAAACAAACACCCTTGCAATTAGATACTATTATTTGAAAGCTTAGCAATGTGGCAAATTCTATTACTGCATATACATACATACAAAATTGTATTATTACCTCCAATTATTCCCTATTTCCTATAAAAAGAGTATACCTTGCAATGCATTTTGCAGTGATTTGCAGAGGCTCCTTGTGGGAAGAGGGTTCTTCTTTTCACATAGAGATCAAACTTTTCATAAGACTTTCTCTGGCTAATGAAAGTGAGATTTGACAGAATGGTTTAAGAGTCACCATATTGTTTCTTTGTGATTTTTCAGCCCCAATCCAAGATGAATTTAAGCTAGAGCCACAGAAAATGCACAACTGCAGACATGTAATATGGTGAGAAATAAACATTTAAATTTGATGCTTACTTGTTACTGCCGCATAATCTAGCAAAAGCTGACTAACACATTAGAACAGGTCTCATTCTAAAGGGGGGCTTTCTTCATATTAAATTCTGCAGTGTAAATTTCTCCATGGACATAAAAAAGTAAGTCTTAAGATACCATTCTTTGTTAAACAGAATGAGCATTTCATTAAAACAGCTTAATTATGATATGCATTAAAGGCTATAGCCAATGAAAGAACAATAAAACAAAAGATTTTTTCCACAAAAAGCAATTCTTTCCACTCTTCTTTGAAGCATAGAATGCATTTTCAATTATTTATGTTTATTTTCCAGTTCTATGTGCCTTAAAGATAGGGAAAAGTCTGAACTTACTCTACCCTTGCTATTTACAGCCTCTCAGTGTTCTTCATATATGAAGATTTAATTATGATTTATTTTTCCAATGACTTGGCATTGAAGCATTATAGTTGTATCAATTCAGTGACTTTCTCACTCCCTCATGATTCATCTCTTTCTCATTCTGTGTATGTGTAATACAGACTTCACTAAGACCTTTTCTTCTGCCAACACTTAACACTTTTGTCTCACTCTATTTCTTTTCCCTACAATTTAGTTTCTATGTCTATACTATTTCTAGTTAAAAAGGATTTGAGCACACTAAGAATGCTTCTTTTCTCAGTATTCGTAGTTTCTCCATTGTATCTCTTATGAATTTCCTATCCCTGGGTCTTTTTGTTTTCCTTGCAGCAAATTAACAAATGCAATGAAAAGTATTTATTTCATAATTCTGCAATGGAACATGACTGTCAATAAACTTACTGCTATGGATGACTATTGCTTTTTTAAAGAGGATAAATATCACTTTAGTCTATCTGAAAGATTTTGAGTATATCACAAAATGTTTAAAATAATTACTCAGAACAATATAAGCAATATCTATGAATGAGAGTTATTATATAAATCAGTAGCAAACATTATTAAGATGAGGTCTATTACACAAGCTTAATATCTTATTGGAAGTCCTTTGAATTTAATTAATCTAATTTTAAATGATCCTGAATTTTCATTCTATCAGATTCTGTAGGTTTTCTACTTAGCCACGCTTTGGTGATCTACAGCTCATTGGTTGTATGTGCCACAACATAATAATATTGTCATACATTTTTTGAAAGTATATTTCTATAACAGTATGAATAGAATAAAAATTTTAAGATTTTTTTGTATGTATAGATATACATATATTCCTGGGAAGAATAATAAATATAATAATATCAAAAATGGCTATGTTGCTGTTACAGAAACTAAAGTTATTTTTATGCTTATTTATATTTTCTTGTATTTTTCTCTGACAAACAGCTTTTACTTGCATATGAAAATGTATATCTCTGACTTTGAACTAATACAAATTTGCGTTGTCTCAGTTTATAATGTATTTGTGGAGTGTTTGCTCTCATAAAATTATTTTTTATAATTTTTTATACCAGTCATTCCATTCTTAAATGTTAAAATAAATTATTAGAATAAAATTGAGCCATTACTCTAGAAACAAAGATTTTCCTACCTAAACTTGCCAAGATTGAGTTCTACCTAAATAATTATGCAACAATATAGGATGATTTCAGAAATTCTAAAGCCAGATTTTTGAGAGAATTATTAATTGATAAAAATAATATTTCTCCCATAAACTTGATGTTCGACTTCAAGTCAACATAGTCACCACCGAAAAGATTACCTTCTTTATGTAAATTATTCATTAATGCTCACTAATAATTACTGGCTCTTGCCTTTCTCTAAGATATAATTTTTCACCGATTTTGCTACAGAGCTACTACTATTACTAATAAAACCTTATCTTTTAGTTATATATCTTGAAATAGTCCAAGAAGCCCCAAACCTGTTACTAATTTAATGGTTATTTTAGCAACACTGCTTTGCCATGACTGTCATCTGAGCAAAATTCTGTAACAAAGCTAAACTTTAGTTTCTATCTGCTATTCTATTTTGAAAAAATATACTATTCAAGATATACGGGTCAGCCCCTGTTCTCTGTGTACAACGTTCTGCCTTCAAATTGCTAATTTAAAAGAATAAGAAGTATCTGCAGGCACTATTTATACCCAGTGTCTAATAGTGAGTAAAGTTTTATTTAGCCTTTGAAATGATAGACTTTCTTAGGAACACATACACACACACACACACCCATACACACATATCTGTGCAATCAAAAGAATGTGTCTCTCTCTGAAAATCTTATCTGATAATAAACTTTCCTAATATTTTCCTGCTAAAGATTAATAAACTTCTTTTGAAACTTATATCTAATTTATGTGACTTTAAGGGTCATGCTTTAATAACAATGATGAAACACGATTATTACTTCCTAATGCTGAAATTACAGTTTTTACATTGTAAATTTTTCCTGCTATGCGCCCTGTGGCACTAACATCTTTATCACTCCATGTGTTTCTAGTTTTAAAACCTTTACCCCTGCTGTTTGAAAAATATTTCTCATTTTCGTCCCCTATGGAGTACAGAAATCCCTAAAGGCAAAGCCATTAGTGATCTCTCTGCCTTTCCCCAAACACGTATTATGATCACCAGTGCTGTTCCCACTGCCTCATTGGCTTTTGGTAAAGTATGCAAATGAGATGTTCAAAATACACACTTTTTGCAACTGTGCAAGTTCATACTGATTTATAAAATGGGCAGGCTATTAAAGTGACTGAAAATGTCAGCAAGATTTATGCATGGGTGACAAATTGTATTGGAGATGTTCATTTTTAACATGCTGCCCAAGGTTTTTTTTTAACAACCTAGATAGTCTCTGTGATACATTTGTTTTAAGGCTATTTTTCCCTCCCCAAACATACTTTTGACAGTGACTTTTTGACTGGAAAAATAAACAATGCTACTTCACAATCATACAAATTGTATTTTATCACAGAAAGCAGTACTGGAAGATATAATAAATTTCATTTTGACACCCATTTTTCCTAAGTACCATTAGTCCACTATGGTTAAACAGTTTCCCTTTATAACAGATAACTTGAATTGCATGCATAAATATTTCATCACTAGGATATAAAATTATGTAACTATCAAAACAATTACCCAGTCACCGCTGAGGAAAATATTTCATTCATATTAAAAATGCACAACTTAGGGAACAAAAGATAGGAGTGACAACTGACATACATCTTCTGGAGTTTATGATTCCGTCTTTGGAGAATTCCACATTAAAAATGGTCTAAGTGATACTCAGCTTTTCTCTATTATTTGTGAATTAGTTCTAGCATATCCCAGCTCCGTCTGTGACTCAACCAGGCAGTTGTAGTACTCTTGCCAGCCCAAGTGTGGTCTTCGAGCAGAGGTGTTCATATTTTATATCTCTGGATGACAGACACTCATTCATTGAACAAAGCAAAAGACTAGGAAAAAATGATGCTAGAACCAGTTCATGCAATACTATTTAAGAAATTATCTAGCTCATCCTGGCAGACCTCAAAACATATATGCACACAACAGAAATATCACAAGTAAAACAGTGTGGTGTAGCACAATTACAAAAGAATGGATTATAGAAATCAAATGCCGTAATGAAGAACAATCTATGATTAATTTCTACAAAACACAGATCTTATAATAGCATTATTATGCAGTCTTTCTAGTTGGAAAAGTTTGGTATTAGAATTCTAATTCTACTTTTTATATTCAGATCAGTTTGTACCAATACTATTATTGCAACTGATTTTCCTAATTAGTTCATTAAGTTGCATAACAATTGGTTTACAACTAACAACTCTTCTTGATGTTAAAACAGTGAAGATAAAATTGATTTAAAGCCCACATCTGATCATTCATTCTTACAAATTCATATGTCCTGGTGTTTGATGAACCTCTCCTTATATGACTGTGCCAGCCTCTCTGCCCTGTTTTCACTTAAGTGCCATGGCTATGTTCTTGCTTATTAAAGAGAGTTAACATTATGCATTATACTTAAAAAATCCAAACAGGGTTGAAAGGAAAAAGAAAACAACAAAAACATCTGCTTTTCATCAAGGGGCGCCATCTTATAGCTTCTACTAGAATGAAGGTTTTGAGAGAAAGCAATAGAAGTTATGACTAGGCACAGACTTGCATAGGTGAAGATGCAGCTAGCAGAGACTGAGAGAAATAGTTTTATCTTTTTTGTTGTTGTTTCTACCTAAAACTATTGTACTTTAAAAGAAAAAATGCTGCTTGTAAGATACTGTTCGTTCAAATATTTTCTGTTGAAGAGAAATACTACTTAATTTTAATGCTGAAATAACCTCATAATCATGTTTTCCTCTAGATTTTTAACTTTGCTTCCACAATTATTAAATGCACCCATCACCCTATTCACAACAGTAAGTTTGCCTTTAAGTTATCAAAAACAAACTTTGCTGACTATCATTCCCATAGAAACATTTTTACCCCAGAGGATACAAGTGGAAACATTAAAAGAGAGAGAGAGAGGGAGGAACTAAGAATAAATTCGAGAACATCTGGTATAGTATCAAGGAGATCTGTCTATGATATAAGGAAAGTCCATCTCCTTTTTTTGTCCCTGCACAGAGATACATTCAAGAAATAATTTACTATTAGGTCAGTGTAAAAGTAATTGCACTTTTGGGCATTACTTTTAATAGAAGTGGTTCAGTCAGAAATCTAACCCATAAAGCTTAAGATAAAGTTAACAGATTGAAAAATAAAGCATACATACTTACACTTATGGGTATATGTATGTGTGTACGTAAATATAATTACATAAATATAATGTTTAATAAAAGAGCACTTTTCAATCTCAATTTTGTTGTTATCCTTAAAAATTAAATATAATAAAATAAAACAAAAAACTCCACCATGCATGTTAAGACATTGCATTCAAACTACTAATCGCTCCTCCCACGCAACTGGAAAGGTCACCATTTTCTTCACTGTGTTGTCTCTTCCTCCAGAAGTCATACATTAATGTATTTCCCTAGTAATAACTCCTTATTTGCAGAGTTAGCTTTACCAGGTCAAGAATGGTTTGGTTTGGTTTGGTTTAAGAAACATTAATTGAGCATCTAATAAATGTTAAATACTGAGTTAGGCTATGAAAATACAAAGATTAAAAAGGCATGCTTCCCACCTGTGAGGGAATGAAGAATAATGGCCATGAGTACAGTGCCTAGGCTATCCCTTGAGAAAAAATTCCTTTGTCAATGCAGTCATTGTTTATTGAAGGTGGAAGAAGTGATGATGCTCATCAAGAGTTAGAATTTTGGTGTTATCCTTTTAACCATGAAGAGTAGTAGTCTTTTGCATAAATTGGTGAATCTCTAATGAGACCATCTATTTTACTTAACCTATTTCCATGTTTTAAAATACACGTCTTCTGCAACCCATTCCCCAACAATACAGACACATTTCTAATTTTTTTCAAAAACAGTTCATACGAAAATAGGCCTTTTAACTAAGTGTCACCCTATATGTACCATTCTCATTTATCTTGTGAAACCTCAGCCTTGATGTTATTGGACAGTAAAAAGGCTGCAATGGGACCCCTGTCAAAAGACAATTTTCTTCCTTGAATGATAAGCAATGGAACATGTAAGAACAAAAAGCCAACTGATTAATGGCATGCAATTCCTCTACAATTATCTTGCCCATGTTACACAGTCATTGTATAGATTGGACTAGATCATTAAATTATGTGATGGCAATCAGCCATCTAACTTTAAAAGAGGTGGGAAGAGCCAATTTAAAAACTTAATATCTCAGGATGATACAGTAGCCTTAGAAAACCAGCCAATTTAGAGAAAATTACCATATGTACCAATGAGAATGATATATGTGAGCCTTAGCTAAGCATTTGTCCTTGTGCTGATGATGTTTTGACGTCCGTAAAGAAATCTGTGCTTCTTTAATATTTGAGAACAGTGGTAGACCAGGGCATTAAACACTTGGAAAAAGAAAACACAGACTCTGGGAGGAAATATGTTCTTGTGGCGACTTTCCACTTTCCACAGCTCTACTGGGAGCTTTGGAATTATATTCGGAAACGTGAAGATCAATGTTTTATTGTTCTCTTCTATGTTTGCTTCTTAGTTGTGTCTCATATGTCTTGTGGCTTTTATTGAACATACTTATGTATTAGCTATGCATTCTGCAAAACCCATAGCATGGGGTTCTTACTCAAAATGGGACTGAAGGTTTTAGAATACAGTGGAAGGGTCTAATGTAATTATTCCTGTAATTATTATATAATTATTATTGGTAGTCAGTAGATATGAAAGTGGCTTATTGAAATTTTTTAAAAATACAACATATGTATCTCCTTTTCATTCTTTCCGTTAAACATTATTTAAAGTGTGACTTTGTATAAGATACAGTAGCAGGAAGTAGGGGTTCAGAGAAAGGGAGTTGTAAAAGAGCTTAGAACCCAGTGGGAAACAGAATCCATAATTACAGGTGACTTTTATAAATGCTATTCTATGGAAAATAGCACATTGGGAGAAACATGATAGGAGTGAGCACACTGAAGGGAAACCGAGCATAGGTCACAATCACAAAGAATGACATTATGTCATATTAAATAGTATAATGGAGCCAACTATAAGTTCTCCTAAAATAATTGAAGGATAAATTCCAATGCATACTAACTTAGTTAGCTTGGCTGACACAACAAAATACAATAGTCTGGGTGAATTAAACAACAGACATGTATTTATCATAGTTCTGAGGGTTGGAAAGACCAAGATCAAGATGCTGACCAATTAGTTTCCCATTGAGGGCCTGCTTCGTGGTTTACAAATGGTGCCTTGTCACTGTGTTCTCACACGGTTGAGACAGATTGAGCTTTGGTCTCTCCTCCTGTTTCTGTAAGACCGCTAATCTCATTATGGGGAGCTCGCTCTCATAACCTAATCTACACCTAATGGTCTCCCATAGGCCTTACCTCAAGATACCATCATATTGAGAGCTAGGGCTTCAACATAGCAGTTTGGGATGGATAAAAACATTCAGTCCATAACACATACCTTATCTCAGACAAACATCACATTTTTTTCAGTGATGATTTCATTATACACAAAGTAATTACTTTTTCCATACTTTAAGTATGCACTTGAAACTATGTTGAATGCTTATCACCATATATTTATGTTGAATTAATGGATGTCAGAGAAGTTTGCAAGCAGTTTCTAGGTTTAGTTAACATTTTATTTCCCATTGAGTCAGGCACACCTGCCCCAAGACCATCCAAACTGATAGCCATCCAAATTGTTTTCCTGTGGTGATGAGTAGCAATTTGATTCTGGCTCAACTGTAGAGGTACTGTTTAGTGGAACCTAAGCAAATGTGTCTGTAAATGGTATGATGTTTTTGAATTGTTTTGACATTCTAAAGGAGGGAATCATAAGCTATGATTTATTTTTCTCCTTTAAATTAAAAAAAAAAAAAAAACTCCTTTACAGAATTTCTGTCTGCTGACCTCAAGTAGTTGGTAACGGACTCAAGATCACAGCAACTCTTTTTTCTAAAATTAAAAAGAACCCAAGATTCAGAAGACAGACCAAATACTGGATGGTTCTCATTTGATGCTGCAGAGAAAGAAACAGGAGGTCACACATTTTTCTTTGAGCTACATTATCAAAACCTAACTATCTTTATGTAGACACTTTCACAAAATAACTTTTAATTGATTCATGAGATTGTGAATGTAACACACTTTCATTTATACCATTCGTTTTAATTGAATTATATTAGGTGAATTGTTGGACTAATGATAACACTGATAACAACAGTAATAATATTATTCAAAACCGACAAAGCCTTTTCAATGTGTCAACTATTCTGCAAAGTTTGTTACATTATTATCTCACTTAGTCCTAACAATCATCTTATTCACTTCACTGAGGCAGCTGAGCAATTTGTCTCAGGTTATAGTGGTGAAAAGAGAATGGGGCCTGCATTGAACACAGGCAATCTGACACCACAGATAATTCTAACCATCATGCCACAGTAGTTGATAATTGACTCAAAATCAGCTGCTTTTTTTCTTCAAACTGAAAAGAATCAAGACCTAGAACACAAACCAAACACAGTACAAACATAGCCCTATGAGTCTAAGGGTGGCTCTCATGCCATCACCCCACGGTTTTGCTTTTACAATTTTGACATTCATCTTTAAAGAAAGAACACAAAATTGTGAATATGTAAATATATATTTAGAGTGAAAAAGTACATCCAAATGCCATTTTCATAAAAAGCAGTTGAAGATGGTAGCCAACACAAAATCCTGAAAAATAATAGAGTCGTGCGTCACTTAATGATGGGGATATGTTCTGAAACATGCTTCCTTAGGTAAATTGGTCATTGTGGGACCATCATACAGTGTACTTAGACAAACCTAGATTCTGTAGCCTACCACACACTTAGGCTATATGGTACAACCTATTGCACCTAGGCTACAATCCTGTACAGCATGTTACTGTACTAAATACTGTAGGCAATTGTAACACAATGGCATTTGTGTATCTAAACTTATCTAAACATAGAAAAGGTAATGTGTTGCACTGTTACAGTACTATGGTACAATGTCACTAAGTGATAGAAATTTATCAGCTCCATTATAATCATATGGGACCAGGATCCTATATGTGGTCCATCATTGATCGTAACGTCATTATGGGGCACTAGACTGTATCTTTTTTTCCTTACTTTTTTTTAATTTCTTTACACTTTCTTTGTTCATCTCTCCATATAATTTTTACATAATTCTCATTTTCTATACAATGAAGAATTAGAATTTTCCTCTAATATATTTAGTTCTTTTTTTTTTAATAGATACTTTAGGAAAGTTACTGTCAGGCTTACAGCTCACTGTTGGTAAGAGCATGAGAACTTTTAGGATTGTTGTTAAATGTGAGGAAACTTCTTTCAAAGTCCTTTTTTCAAAAAAAAATTATAGCACACACACATGTATATACAAATACATATATAGATATACATGCACACACATATATACATATATACATACATACACATATGTTGCATATATTTGTTACATATATGTGTGTGTGCATATATATATACATATACATATACATACACACACATATATACACACATATGTGTATATATAGACACATATGTGTGTATATATGGTGTAAGTTTGAGGAAAACTTCCTTCAGATCAGCTTTTGATTTAGAAAATTCTGAACCTTGTTCCTTTTCTACTACCTGTATTCTTCCAGTGCCAGGGCACCATAGCCCATGATCATTTTGCAGCATGATCTCTGAGAATACACCTTTGGGTGGGTCTGTCTGCATAGAGAATAGGTACAGAGGGTGGCGAAGCACACCTGATGGCCATCCTTCATTAGGTCGACTAGCAGAAACCAAACACAGGAGTATATGGTAGTAAGATTTAGCAGATAAAAATACAGGATACCCAGTTAAATTTGAATTTCAGATGAACAACAAACAATATTTTCTGGATACACTTACACTTAAAAATTATCCATTGTTCATCCAAAATTCAAATTTAACTGATGTCCTGAATTTTATCTGTCAACCATACAGAAGCATCCGTGAAACATGTAAGTATTTAATATAAGCCACTAAACTGAATTTAAGGTATCACCAACTAGATTTCCTCAGAGCAAAATCCCCAAATGGGATCTGGATACTCTAACACTGCTTGACCAGATAAGGGCAATGCAGAGGAAATCAAAGGGGAAATAGGCAGGAGTTTCAGTCAATTATAGTTAAAATATTTCACTTTTGCAACTTTATGACCATGTATGCAAAAATAGGGACTACACAAACACATTGCCACGGCCACTACCAGTACCAGGGACCCATGCAAGTGAAGAACCCTAAAGCTTAGCCTGATCAGCCTTGAAGTTAAGTCTACCTACTTCACTGGATCTATAAAAGACCACAGCATATTGGCCTATGTCAAAGTACTGACCATGCACCAAAACTTCCCCAAAAGTTCTATCAGCACAACTTCTGAATTCTAAATTTTTTCCTCTCTGATCATTCATATAATATTGTACTACATTAGCTCATGCTTATTTGATTGTAATTAAAAACTTGGTGATTTTTTGATTCCCAACTAGGTATCCAGATGTATATCTATGTGTATACTGTATTTTTTTCACAACTAGGTTTTAAATTCCTCCAATGCATTGTGAAGGCTTTGCCCCCTCCTGATATGCTTCTTGGAGTTATCCAAATAGGACCTAAGTGGAGGAAGGGAACAAAAATATTTAGTACAATAATGTATTGGTGTTCTTTTTGAATAATTAGACAGTAGTATAATTTAAATGAGGTAATATGACTTTTTTGTTTAGGAACTTCCTGAGTGTCTCTTTAGATGTTTAAAATAAGCCCAACTGCATATGATGTTAGGGAAGAAGGCAATACACATAGAAGGACAAATAATTCTGCATAATCATAGGAAAAGAATGTTTCTACAAGCAGCCCAGGACACAGTGTAAGAGGGGAGGAAGGAAAAGATGTCTTAAAGGTCTGAATGAGAAGGGAGAGCCCAAGTTTCACAGAAAGAGGCCAGAGTTCTGCAGAAAAATATAGTCAGTTATGTTTTTCCAAGGTGTTGGATAGTAGATATTCTTCACTTCTAAGTATGGAAGTGCCTAATACTGAATTTTAAGGATCTGTTTCACACTAGTAAGTTCTGATAATTCTTTTCTAATTCAGCGGTCTTCAGTCAACATCTATTGCACACAACAAATTTGATCTAGTAGTACTTTGGAAGAATTAGAGGATAGGCAGTCTATTATGTGGCAAGATGGAGCAGTAAAATAGGAAGATCTGGATTTAGTCGCAATGTAGCTACCTTCCTTAAAACAGGCTAGATTTTGGTCGCTAATTTGGTCCAAGGGACCACAGAAATGCATGCGAAAATTGATTGAGGCTGTATAATACATGAAATACTGATCTGGAGCCATTGGTTTTGAATGTCTTTCTTTTTATAAAAAAGGAACTGAAAGTGAAAATAACATGCAGATACTATCAAAGTGGACAACAGTTAGCAATCTATGCTTGCTGACTTACATCTGTCCGTCCTTTCTCTCACCTGCTTTACCTTCTAGCACACTGATTTATTTTTGTGTTTTATCCCTTATCCATCAATTACTTGGGCAAAGCTGGGAGAAAAAGGTCTTTCCTAGCTCATACCACTTCGAGCCATGTCTATCACACACTGCATTTTATTCCCAACACTGTTGAGAATCTCTTGTTTCCTTGCTGCCCTTTATTTATAGACCATCTAGCTACATTCCCAACACAGGTAAAATGTCAGGCAATGTAAACCATATTTCCCTGCAGCCCTTTGGCCATAACGTTATAAAGAAAGCACCTTTAATTTATCATGTCCTCCTTGAGTGCCCACAGCTGTTTCACTTAGGAGAGCCCAGCATCCTTCTGTGGAGAGCTTGGAGCAATTTGACAAAACTAAATCAAGGGGTTGCATGGGGTGATCTCTAAGATCCTTTCCAGCCTAGAATTCTGTGCTGCTAGGACTCCATCCTCCACAGATAAATGTTCAGCTGAGTGCAGAGAAAAGAGCCATACTTTACTATTATCTGATATTAAGGGCAAGAACACTTGGCAGTTTGCATAATTCCTGGCTAAATATTTGTCAGCCTAAGCTGTAATATATGTTAGGTTATAGTTATCTAAAACTAAAATTAAATGTCTAGAAAAGTCTATTGTGGTATATAGTCTATCCATATACTTTCTTGAGGAGTTTTAATTGAAGAGGTAAGGGCTAGGGTAAAGGCGATATGTGCAGGGGTTTCTTAAAAGCATTATTTGACACCTCGTGAAAAAGAACTTGAAAAAAATAAATATATTCCTAAGAGTAATTTTATATTTATTGCACTTAATTTAACAAATTATTGCGGGAAACACATAGACAGCATTTTCCCAGTAAAATTATTATACTTAAATGAACTTTTGACAATGTATTAATTACAAGGACATGACCACATTTATTCTGCTGATCCAGTAATTACACACATTAAAGAAATATTTATCCACAAACCATGCAGTGTATTTCAAAACAGCACTTATTGCCAAACTACATTTCCTGGATATCTGTGCCTGATTTCCAGTTACTAGTAATTTTTTAATTTTAAGAGAAAGGGAGAAGTGATGAGAAATTTGAAAAATCTTGTATAAATAAATGCTTATTGATTTAAAAAATTGAAATGCAGATCTTTTTAATCATAGACCACTTCTACTTGGAAAAATAATTCTGAGGCAACTAACACCATGTGTTTCAGATGGGAAAGGGAGAACAGTAATCATAATATTTCAAGCTCGTTCCTTCTTTCCTATCTCTAGTCATGAATAAAAACATAGCTAAATTTTAAACTAAAATATGACTTCATACTATAAAACAATCAGAGAAAAATTAATATAATTTGCAGCTGTCTGGAAGATTCAAATATACAGTTTATTCCAGAAAGTTTGAATACTTTTTATGAAATCTTAGCAATTGTTTACAATACAGTTGGACTAGTTCTACACTTGTAGTAAACCATAGATACAAACATGCTCATCTTCACTTTGAATGTTATAAAGCACAGTGGGAGAAGGGAGGAAAAGAAGCCTTTTTAAATTCAGGTTCTAAAGTTAGAGGTGTAATGAATGCGAAGAACTGGCAGGTTGAACTCAACCAAAGGGACTGTTTCTTTCTCAGTGGCATACTTTATTTAGCTTACCAAATAATGAAAACATTTCTATTATGATATTTGAAGATCTGATATTACATTCACTTCCCTATGTCTTCGGAAAAGTTCTTATTAACTGAACATTTCAAACATGACACTTAAGAGATGCCCTAACCCCTTGCCCTAACCCCTTGGATAATTGGATGAAATAGCAAGATCTAACTTGATTTTTAAATTTTACATGAAAGGAAAACCTAGAAGCTTTTCTTGTTCCTTCTTCAGGTGAAAAAGGAGGAAATATTATCAAAAACTTAGTACTTCATGTGAAAATAATAATAAAACTAGAAAGAACAATGGAAAAAACTATGTTTTGTTGAATGCCTTCTTTGAGCTAGCATTTTATATATATTAGGTCATATAATCCTCACAACTTTTTAAAAATGGGGTTAACTGCAAAATACACATCTAGATAAGAAGGTTGAAACTAGTATAATGTAGGTCATGAGGTGATTAAGTCCAAAGGTATCCTCCAAACAGTAGAAAAGCTCCAACATACTGGTTTTTTAACACACTCAAGGTTTACAGAAATTAAAACACATCATCAAGTTGATGCCACAATGTGGCAGTGTATCCACTCCTCCTACATTACTGTGCCAATTCCCAAAATCAAATGGTACATCTTAGTACTGATGAAGTAGAGGAGAGTGTTTCCTCAAATACCTAGAAGAGACAGGCATGGAAATTGTTAGGTGATAAAGGTCATCACCAGTGATCATGCAGCTTTGCATAGTGCCTGAGACACTATCAAATGAATTCAAGTCTATAATATCACCTTACTCATTGTCAGTGGGGCTACATCAGAACTTGGCAGAAAACAGATCAATGAGATGGTTACAAGGCCTAAACACAGAGCAGGAAACCTCACTTTTGATTGTGTGTCTGCTGTGGGAACACAGATAAATTTGGGCAGAATGAAATCTATAATACTTTTTAGCTCTAAATTCATCAAAGATATTTCTTAAATTATAAAGCTGCTTAAATAGACACATGAATGTCTTTTGAAAACCCACTTGTAGATATAAAAATACTACATGCTTTAAGCTGCATAAACAATTCCTGCTATAAAATTTAAAATATTACTCTTATTAAAACACAGAAGTAGGTTCTTATAAAAGTATGTTTTAAACGTATTTTTAGGTATAAAGTAGGGAATATTGTTCTTGCCTTGGAGAGAACAAAGTAGGGGAACAAAAGAAAAAAGTAATAGGACTTTCATAACCCAAACTATATTTATTAAAATTAGAACATTCTGCTCCCCACCAAATCTTATTAGAATACCCTCATTGTAATTCTGCCTGGGTTACTACATAATCTGTTTCTAGTGTTGTCAGTGATTGAGAAATAATACGAATTAAAGTGCGTTAGATCAAATAGATAAATATAGGTATGACTAAAAAGGCAAATGAAAGATTGATATGAATTCTCTTCATTTATTTATTTATTTTTTTTTTTTGAGACGGAGTCTCGCTCTGTCGCCCAGGCCGGACTGCGGACTGCAGTGGCGCAATCTCGGCTCACTGCAAGCTCTGCTTCCCGGGTTCACGCCATTCTCCTGCCTCAGCCTCCCGAGTAGCTGGGACTACAGGCGCCTGCCACCGCGCCCGGCTAATTTTTTGTATTTTTAGTAGAGACGCGGTTTCACCTCGTTAGCCAGGATGGTCTCGATCTCCTGACCTCGTGATCCACCCGCCTCGGCCTCCCAAAGTGCTGGGATTACAGGCGTGAGCCACCGCGCCCGGCTTCATTTATTTTTTAAATCCTTCATTTTGATAGCCTACCTTTCTGCAAAATTACATATAGAGAAATAAAGAAAAAACAAGAGCTTAAAATGTATTTTAAACTTTTCTTGCAACTAATTATGTATTTGTTGCTCCTGAGTCACAACTACTGATATTTTTGGCTTCCAGAGCATTCTATGAAAAAAGTTGTGATAAATGTTTTGCTTTGACTTCATACACCAAAGCCTTCACTATCTGGCCAAAAATCTATTTTCGTGGGTTTTGTGGTTATGGCAATTAGGCTCCCACATTTGGCTATGTCCCAAGAGTCAGAGAATCCGGCCATTAGAAAGTAAGACTCCAAGCATAGAATCCTACTTCTGTGCAATTAGATTAAAAAGATATGCTTTCCTCCCCTCCAAAGAAAGTGTTAACTCATGAAACTCTCAATCAAGGATTCCTCCTTTCTAGCATTTATTTCTCATCATCCATCACAACCAAGGTGAGTGTAAACTAAGAACACCAGGATTTCAATAAGTAATTGATCACTGATTACATGCTACATGAACAGACAGAGAAAAGAAAATACATTAATATATGCTTAAAATATGATAAACTTCAACCTTCGTTCTTGTTAAAAAAAAAACAAAAAAAAAAACCACTATGCAATACTAGGTTAATTTGGTTTTGTCTGAAATCCACAGTCAATACCATATTTATTGGTGAAAATCTAAAAGCAAAGTTAAATGGGTTTATTACATCAGTACAGTTTCTAAACATTGCTTTAGGAATTCTGGTCACAGGAAAACATCATGCGATGTAAGTAAGAAGTAAAAATGCTGGAAAGTGATCAAAATGTATTTTTTTTCAAAAATTTTTCTCCACATCAACAATAACTACTGAAGTAGTAATAGCAGGAAAAAATTGTGGCCACCATAGAAATTCTTTTCAAATAAACAAAATTATTCTAAGAATAACTCTAAAAATGTTTGTAAAGGGCCAATGTATTTTTTAATAATTTCTCTAAAATACTAGGTATATTTTAGTAGATACCATAGAACATAGAATCCAGATTTTCCTAAACCTTAAAAAATTAAATGTGTAAAAAAAATCACAAGTCTTCTTGAGATTTATAAGTTCAATATCACAAAAAATAAAATCTTAATGGGCCTATTTTGTAGATACAAAACAATTCTAAAATTGTTTTGTCAATACAAAACAATTCTAAAATACATAAGGAAGCAAGTAAAATGTGGGTATGTATGTTGGGCGTTTGGTTCAGTGTAAAGAGGTATGTACCCTATACAGCTAAGGTAATTATAACAGTGAAGTAACAAATCAAAAATCAAAGGACAGATTGTTTGCCTTTAAGTCCTAAAGAATGCTAAAGAGGCAAGGTTAGCTTTTTGCAATGGAAATATTGGAAACTCTAATGAAAATACTGAGAATTAAGTATTAACTGATAACTAAGTACTTATACCCAACTCTTTGCTTTATTAAATAAATATAATTCTCTAACAACGGTTTCATAAAAGAACAAAATAATAATAATAATGAGACGGAATAGTTCCCTTGACCCCTTTGTGGGACTCATGAAGGGGTGGCTTGCTTATTCAGCCAGCAGCTCTCAAACCCCTTGCAGGAGGGGAAGCATGCAGGTGAGCGGTTGCAGAGGCCAGAACAAGTGCTTCTGCGCACAGGCAGGATTAGAATTCTGCGCGGCTCTGTGGCAGCATCTAGGAGTTGCCTGAGACCCTTGGCGCCCCAGAGGGCATGTGTTACAATCAGTGCTCCTTTTAGCATTTGCCATCTGTGGACAGTTAGGTGTTAATCAGCTCAGGCTGGTTTTAGCATTTGCCATCTGTGGACAGTTAGGTGTTAACCAGCTCAGCCTTTTACACCCTTCCCTCTTGGAATCCAAGTTCTTGTCTAGCATCTAGGAAGAATCAGGTTAAATGAATGAAGAGTGGGTGAATGTGGAGGACTTTATTGAGCAGTGGATGTGGCTCTTAGTAGGAAGGGGAGCAGGAAAGGGAGTAAAGTGGTAGGATAATCTTCTCCTGGAGTCTGGCTGCCGGACTGACCTCTCTGACCATAGTCCCCAGTGTCCAGCTGCTTCTTCTCCTCTTGATGTTCAGACGCTTCTGTCTTCTGTGTGTGTGTCTACTGAGTCTGGGGTTTGGGGTTCTTATGGGCACAGGATAGGGGTGGGATTGGCCAAAAAGGTAAGATTTGGGTGAGAAAACAGGGATTGTACTCACTTTGGGCCATGGGTACAGGCTTGAGGGTGGAGCCCTCACAGGGACCTCGCCCTCTTCTACCCAGTATTTCCCTGACTGTCTATATCAATAATAATGGCATAGACTAGAAGAAAAGAAATACTGGAATATTAAGAGTTGTTATGCCACTCTTAGATTATAGATAAGATTATCTTTACTTTCTTCTTTATATAACTATTGCATTTTACAAACATTTTTCAACGATAATGTGCATTATATAGAATTTTTATTTTTTAGAAAAAGCTACCTTGAAAATATTATTTCCAAATTTACCTTACCCAACCAAGTCAGCCACACTGTGTCATTTACTATGGGTCAAATATTATTCTAAGTAATTTTACAAAATTAACTAGTTTAATAATGCCAACTATAGATTAGAAAACCTAGGTAGCATTTCCTCTAAGCTAAGTGGTAAAACAAGAATATGATCCTAAGCAATTTTTCTCTAGAGGTCAAACTTGAGCAAGATCTAACCAATGACATTAGCTTTAAGGTTGCATCAGGTATTTTGACTCAGTTTATGGCATTTGCACACATAATAAAGTTAACAGAGATAATTTCATCGCTTTGCTTTCAGTGCATTGCAAATACTTCTGTTCATATATAACTAGTTAAATAGATTTACTGCGTCTATTTTTTTACCTAAATTACCTAAATACTCAAATAATTTCCAAGTAAGATAGAGTATGGAAACATTGATCTCTAAGCATATTTTAAGTGTATATGTTTTTTTGCTTTGTATTTTATATGCTATAAAGAGGCTATAGTTTTTGGTCATGATAATAAAACTGCTCATATTTGACACATTAAGAAGGTAAGAGCCAGATGTGTGCAGCTGCAGAAAGGCATGATGTGTGTACCCATGAGTTCTGCTAGGCTGCTCACATGCTATAGTTACTAGGCAGTTCTTGAGTGTCCAAGCCTAATTCCTCTGTGAAATCGAACTTAGTGCTGGGCACGGTGGCTCACGTCTATAATTCCAGCACTTTGGGAGGTCAAGGCAGGCCAATCACCTGAGGTTGGGAGATCGAGGCCAGCCTGACCAACATGGAGAAACCCCATCTCTACTAAAAATACAAAATTAGCTGGGCTTGGTGGCACATGCCTGTAATCCCACCTACTCGGGAGGCTGAGGCAGGAGAATCGCTTGAACCCAGGAGGCAGAGGTGGCGGTGAGCCAAGATCATGCCATTGCATGCCAGCCTGGGCAACAAGAGTGAAATTCCATCTCAAAAACAAACAAAAAAAGGAATCATCGAAGCTGGTTCCTTTGACTAAAAATAATTATAAGTGGCTGAAGTATCCTAACAGTAATAGTGACTAAGAAAAGGAAACTTCCTTGGGGAAGTAGAATCGTCTTTGGTTTCAGTAACACAGGGGGCCCCACAGCCTTGGCTGACTCAGCCCTGGCAGCCTGAATCTGTCCAGACCTGCGGGACCGGCCCCACCCCCACATCTGCTGTCTTTCATCCTCCCGAGACCCTGGGTCTGGGCTAGGGAGGGCTCCCACCCACCACAAGCTCCCCCGCAATCAGCCACCCCCCAACTTCACCCGCGACCCCCTTAACTGCTGCTCCTGTCTTGCGGGATTTGCCACCTGTGCTTGGAGGCGCCCCCACCACCTCCATGCTGGTGGGCTTTAAACCATTTCCATGAACTCTCCAACCCCCTCACTCTTATCTCCTCACTTGTTCACATCAAGTACTTTCATTTAAAATATAAGGACATGGTTGCAGAAATGTAATTCTCCATGTATTATAAACATTGATATTTTAGAAACTGCCCCGTCCTCAGTGTCTCCAGTAACGCCGAGACCACAGCCACTCCCTTCTCACCATCCACTAGAGACCACAGCCACTCCCTTCTCACCATCCACCCGAGACCACAGCCACTCCCTTCTCACCATCCACCCTTAAAAGTACAGCGGGAAAACCACAGCGTCCTTTCTACTCCAATTCACAGTTCACTGCACCCCGTTTCTCCAGGGAGTGAGTACTCAATGCTTGGAAGTATTTACTAATTGCCAGATTACATTCCCCACAACAAAAAACGTTTTTGAAATTTAAATAGCAACGTAATTCTTGTGTCTAAGAGCTGCAAGTGTTAAAATACTTTTCTGGATCCGGTTATGGTCCCATTTTTAGTAACAGGCAATTCTTCCAAACTACATGAGGAATCAAATATTTATATTATGTCATGTGTACATTTCCATCGCATATACATGCTTATATCTATATAAATATATGGCATAAATCTATTTACATAATGCATGTGTAAATATTGACATGGGATATGTAATATGGTATGTGTGCTATTTATTTATGTAATTAATATATCAAAAATTTTTAGAGTTATTTTAAAGGAAAGTACACCTTGTGGAAATGGATTGGGAAATTTCAGGAGTCTCATTTGGAGGGCACCCTAGGGTCCCTGCGGCCCCTCCCAGGACGTGCCTCTGGAGGATTCGGGATGGGGGGGGTTGTTCTTCCTGGGAAAAACAGGAGCTGGGAAGTCTTAACGAGTGTGTGCTGAGTTTTTATTTGTTTATTTGTTTATCCAAGTAAAAAGAGTAGTCTTGTCCTAAAGACATGGTTGTCATTTTTTTGGTCTCTGGACCAAAATTCTTAAAACTTTTTAAGGATCCTAAAGAGCATTTACAGCTATGGCTGGTTAAATCCTGTAGTTTCCTGGGCTTCATTTCTTTGTGTTGGGAGAATGAGTTCTTTTAAAAGTCTACTGTGAGAGCCATTTTGAAAACTTCCAGAGAGAATTTATGGCTGTAGTAATTTCAGTATCTTAAGTTTATTCCTTATGGGTTAATCTTTGAGATTTTTATGATCATGAAGGGGGAGCTGGTCAGTTAAAATTGCGAAAGACTTTGAAATAGGCACTAAAGATCACTGGATGCCATGATGAATGCACCACTCTAGACCATCTGACCTTCCATTGTGTCTGAATCATTTTACAATTTAGTGAATTGTAGAAAACAAACAATACAAATGATTCTTGTACCTAAAAATGCAAACAGATTTTGTCTAGTGGAATGCAATTGATTGTTGCCCTGTAGATACCTGATCAATGCTCTGTGGATATTGATCAGTTTCAAATCTATTTGTAAATTTATTTCAGCATTCCTCATTGGTACTTATTCTTCCTCTCTCTCCACATGTAATACACACATGTATATATGCATATAATGCATTCTTTGAATCCTTTGTATTGTATTTGTATGTATATATCTTTGTATGTATTTAATGCCTTCTTTGACATTTCTTTTTAATCAGTTATAAATCTTACTAATTCTCTCATTGATTAATTAGTTAAAATCTTGGATATGCAGTGATTAAAAAATAAACTACTTCAGAAATCATTTGCTCAGACAACAGTAGGAGGCAGGAGGAAATGAGATGCATTCCAGAAGAAGAAACAACATGTGTAAAACCCCCATAGTAGAGACAGCAAGACCTACTGAAGAAACTGACAGAAGGGCAGGTACATGGGACAGGTAGTATGAGATAAGGCTAGGGAGGGTAGACAGGATTCTTGCATGCTGGGAATTTCAGGCCATATTGAAGAGTTTCATTTCTATTTTTATCTCAAAAGAAATGGAATTCCATTAAAGTGCTTTAAGGTGGGTAAAGGGAAATGGATTTTAGACACTTAGGTGTGATTTCAAAAAGATAGTCTTGTGCAATATGGGGAATGAATTGGAGAAGAGACTGTAGAAGCAGACTGCTGTAGTTCAAGTGAGATATTACGGAAGCTTGAAAAAAAGTGTTGGCCTTGGAGCTGCAGAGAATTGGATCAATTTGAGAGATATTTTCTAAAGCAAAGACTTATCTATTCATTAATCCACTGATGAATAACAAATATTCTGACATTTCAAATATAAAATTAACATAAAATTTTCTTTTGGATGTGCTTTTGAGTCACTGTTAGTTTGCTTGATAGAGTAGTGACAAGAAGGAAAGAGAGATGGAAGCATTTGACAAATCACTAACGACAGGCAGCATTTGTTGCAGATGAGTTTTTGAACAAGGATTGAGGCAGAGTTGCAGGTTGCTGACATTGACCAGAAAAAAAAAATGTTTACCAGAATGTAGGAAGGATGTGATTGCTTTATTATTTTCGAATAATTATGTGTGTATAAGTATGTGTGTGTGTGTGTGTGTGTGTGTGTGTGTGTGTGAGTGTCTGAGAGGATATAGTGTTGTCATTAGTAGAACCTTTAGTCAGTCACAGAGATATAAAACAGGCTCCAGTTTCATGTAATTGAAGAAGGTGAAGCTGGGAAAGTTGTGTTTCTGTCATAAGCACAGCATTACTTGTCTCAAAGGAACTTGACATAGGACTGCAGCTACCAGCTTCCTTCATCTCCACCACAAGCACTTTGAATCATCATTGAAAATAAATATTCAAGAACTCACAAATGTATTTTTTTTAGAAAGAGAAATCTTGAAAATTTTACCCCATATGCAGAAGATACTTTTATTCCAGTTTCTAATACCTCCATGCATGAGGCTTCTTTGGCATTTCTAGAGTGTTCCCTACACACGTCAAGAGAAACAAAACAAAATGAAACCAAAGCACACAGTTTGGGTTTAGAGGGTTGAGTTTATTGCATTAGGGGAATGGCAATGAACATAAGAGATATTATATTTAAACTGGCATGCTTCTTGTTTGGAGTATTTTAAGAACCCTATGTCTACAGAGTTAAGAAAAAAAAAACTGCACATAGATATCTGAGATCCCAAGCCTTTAAAAATGGTCTTTTAAAGAATTCTGTGATAACCTTTTATAAAACAGCATGTTAGCACCACCAAGGATTGCTTATTATTCACAAAAGTAAAAAGGTATCTTTGTAATTGGGAAATTAGGCAGATACCATCTTAATTAAATGGTCACTCAACCTCCCCAATAGTGGGACCAACTGACATTGATTCCTTTCATTGATGGACTGAGAACACATCATCTAACTAGTAGTTCAGCCAAAAATGTTTAACTAGACTCTAAACATGAGGAAACAATCTAATGAATCCAAATCGAGAGATCTTGGGGCCTTAAAATAGCAGTTTATTAATTTTAAAATACTGGAGAACCAATACATGCAACATGCGGCCCTTGGTTGCATCCTGAAAAAAAGCAAAATGAAAACACAAAGAAACAACAAAACAAGTTACAGAGAACATTATTACAGTAATGGGGGGAAACTGAGAGTGGAATGCACATGAGATAGCAGAATTGGATCAATGTTAAATTTCCTGAATATTTTAGTGTATGTGGTTATATAGACGAATATTCTTGTTCTTTGGCAATACATGCTCAGGTATTTTAGGAGGAAGCAAGAGACTGAAGGGGAGGTTGATATGGCAACATGGTAACAATTAAATAAACTTGCTGAAGAGTTTACATATGTCTGTTGTACCATTCTTTCAACTTCCCCGAGGGTTTCATTTTTCTTGAATAATAACTTGGGAAAATAAAATTATTAAAAATTAAAAATCCATTATGTGTTTAGTGCATGCTTGTTTTGAAATAAAAATCAGTGCTAGGCGATTTCATATAGTTTTAGGTGCCTTGTTTAGTTTCAAAACAAACCTGAAAGTTACATGATCATTTCATCATAGATGAAGAATAGAAACTCAAAGTAACAGGAGCGATAAGTCAGTTCCTCATTTCCTGACTCCAATGCCATCGATGGGCATGCTTTTCAGAAGGAAGGCTACTGTTTGGCAACTATCCTCAAAAGCACTTCTTTAACCTCTCTCAAGACCCACATGAGAGAAATTATAATTCTAGAACTGGGCATCTGAAAACCAGAGAATGCCCTCAGAGAAAGAAAATTGTTTCTTTCTGTGTCTTCATCTAATCCCTAGTCCATAATTTTTACTATTTTTAAAGCAGTATTCCTTAAAGCCCTTCTTACATAAACAATAAATACCTGTCTCTCAACATTTGCCTTGGTTCCTCCACAGAATCCTTACTAGCAATTTTCCTTGAAGTCATCAACTTCAAGTTTCCTAGTGAGCTTATCTACTAAAATATCAAACAACTTTTTCCAGTTTAAACTTCACTGTGGCCTATCTAATTGATTTTTCAAATGCAGCTAACAGCTACGTAACCTCTGGTGTACACCCTGCAGTTATTATTGTGTTATCCTTATAGGCCTTCCCTAGGGGGCTGCTCCAACTGCTGCTAACATTAGACCCCACCATTCTCTTTCCCAAGTATCTGCTACACAGAGCCACTGGCACTGCAGACATCAGCACTGTGCAGCTTCTGTCAGAAAGCCTCGTTCCTTTCTTCTTGCCATTTTGTAAATTTTGCTATAAACTTGGAGTATGTACAATTACCATTTTTTTTAAAAAAACTTCCAGCATGATACTGGTATGTGTACATGTGTTTCTTTTTTTGTTAGGACTCATTTTGAGATAAGTTTCTGAAATATAAGACAGAACACAAGTCATTTTGATAATTTCTTTTTTTCTCCCTGTTTTCAGTGGAGGATTCAGCTTGACTATAACATAATTTTAGAATTCAAGGATATCTACATTTATCTGAAGCCCAGGTCAAAGGCGCTCATTAAAAGTGAATTTGGATAAGCTGAGATGTGAGTGTGGAGAGAGAGGACATCTTAAAGGAAAGAGAATAGGGCTAGCTCAAAAACAATGGCTTTGTCAGTGAAGAGTGATTCAGAGCAGAACAATGATGTGGGTCACATGTATCTCTGCTGGCCCATCTCTTGTGAACTCAGGCCTGGTTCTTGAGGGAGAGGGTACAATAAATGAATGAAACTTTTTTCTCTATAATTTTCATAGACACTGAGAACACTTAATCAGTATCTCACCACAGGTGGAAGTGACAGAGGCTAAAGCAAGCTTGGCAATGGCAAATGACTGAGACAGAGGTGATGGCAATAGTATCATTGCCTGCTGCAGCCATGCTTGTGATTGCAATGATCTCTCCGGGGCTTGGGCTATAGAAAATGTGTACCATTGGCACAATTCTGGCCTTAGGTAATAGCAACCTTCATTTGGCTTCTTCAGGCCTAAGTAGAAACCATTGTAGGGATTGGTGAAATCTCTTTAGTTATTGACAATTAGTGGGGCAGTATCACAATGAGTCAGAAGAGGAAAAAAGACAAAAATATTACATTCCACATGCTAGCATAAAAAGCTAATTCCTAGAGCATGTACATACAAGGTCCCTGTGGAAAGTCAACCAATTAATTTAGAGGTAATTAGAACTTCTAGAGTTCCTATATACTGGATGTAGGGGAGAAAGGCAGAGAAACAAAATGGTTGGCTCCAACTCTCATCCTATTATTACTTCAAGTTGGAATACCCATAGGTAGGAATGCTAAGCTTTTTCTTTTTAAAAGAAAAGAAAAATAAGCCTATTTTTATGACACCATGTTGTCATAGCCTGCAATTTCTTCTTGACTAATAAACAATAGAAATGCTACCTTCCTCTGAAGAAGTTATTAGAAATAGCACAAATTAGAAACCAATCATCAAACATCTGAGATCCTAGAGATTTGGGGATAAAATGTAAAAAAATATAGAACTCAATAAGAGAAACTAAATTCATTGTCAACTGATAAATTTGGTTTAAGAAACACCAATTGCAGTGTCACCATGCTATTTATTAATATATTATAGTGAATAGACAATTGAGGTAGAGACATATGAAATGTCTACATCTGGGAAAAGATCAGTTGTTATTGAAACAATAATGATGGGTTAGCTCTGTTCTATAACTAATAAAATCCAACTAGGCATTAACTCATATCAAGGGCCTCCTGGAGATGCAATGACTAGGTGCCTACGATCAACTTGCCAAAGACCACCAGAAACACCTGCTGATCAAACAAAGTTTAGTAGATCTAGAGCAGTAGGAAAGAATACTACCTTGACACAGAGGAAGTGTATTTAAATGGTTGTAGTTCCTAGTCTGGATGAATTAAGGTAGGTCTTGAAGACAGGGCTTGTGTAGGATGGACCTAAGGGCTTTGGATTGTAGGCACTAAGAGATGGGTTTTGATGAGCAAACTGTTGATCCTGAAAAGCAAGCTGTTTAGTTGGTTCACATTACTATCTCCTGGACAAGTATTAGCTGAAACAAGTAGCATTTGTTTTTCTATGATCCCAATAAGATAGAAACAAAAAAGTGACAGAAAAATACATTTGATTTTAGGATTATTTAAACTGAGGATAGAAACATATTTGGGTTTTAGTTTTCATTGAAAACCTATGTTTGTAGTTTAAGACTCTGGGAAGGTATATATACCTTCAATTCTTTCTTAAGGGATATACATTCATTGACTCTCAATCTTCCCAATGTGGAGATGTAAACTAATTTTTAATTTAAACAAAATATTTTGTCCAATGAAAGACATAGTATTTTTATATTTTTAAGTTTTGCTATCAAAATTTCCCTCTGTCATTCCTATATTAGGTTGGTGCACAAGTAATGAATGGCAAAACCCGCAATTACTTTTGCACCGACCTTATATAAAAAGAAGTGTGGGAGGGGAGCAGTGGCTCACACCTGTATTCCCAGCACTTTGGGAGGCTGAGGCGGGCAGGTCACCTGAGGTCAGGAGTTCGTGACCAACTTGACCAACATGGAGAAACTGCGTCTCTACCAAAAATACAAAATTAGCCAGGCATGGTGGCACATGCCTGTAATCCCACCTACTCAGGAGATTGAGGCAGGAGAATCGCTTGAACCCAGTAGGCAGAGGTTGAGGTGAGCTGAAATCACGCACCATTGCACTCCAGCCTGGGCAACAAGAGCGAAACTCCGTCTCAAAAAAAAGTGTGTATACAGATGTGTGTCTTCAGTGTTTATATTTGTATTACATATGTAGTGGATATAAGATAATATGTATATATGTGTTTGTTAACTTGCAAATATAGCTTATGTTTTCAAATATTGGGCATATATAAATAGGGAGGCATTATTTTTTAAAAATAGATACGTTATTGGAATTTGTTTTTCTTACAATATGTCATAAAGTTTTCACATATATGTGCCTCTATGTGTCTATAATGCCTAAGATAGGGGGAAATAATTCTTACTTGATAATTCTATTATTAGGATTAAAAGGGTTAGCATACATAAATTACTTGGAATAAGACCAGGCACATAATACATACCATATATGTGTTTAGTAAACACATTTATAGTTTTGTCATTATTATTGTTTTATATTTTCTATAGAAACTTCAGTCAAAATTTTAGACTACAAAAAATTCTGTGACTATTTCAATTGGAATATTATCTACACTTTTTAGATTAGTAATGTTAGTGAGAATTAACATACAAAACTACCTAGATTTTCTTATCTAGGAACATAATGTATTTTCCTCATTTATTCTAGTCTTCTTTTACATTTTTAAGATATTTTATAGTTATTTTGATACATAATTTGCAAATTTTATATATTTAGCTATTGGGGTTTGTTATTTCTTTGTATATGGACCCACGTTTTTCTTAAACATTTTCTATGTGTACATTCCTGATGTATAAGAAAGCTATCAATTTTTATATTATCTCGTATCAGGTATCTTCTTGGACTTCCTTATTTCTTCTAGTTGTTTTTCTGTTAATTACCTCAGATTATCTAGGAAAATCATCATATCACCTAGAAATATGATGGTGCCATTTTTCTTTGCCTTTTTCTTGTCCTAATTTTTCTTCTTAATATTGTCATAAATTGAACTTCCAATCTAGTGCTCAAGAGAAGTAACAAAGGACTGAGTAACCTTTACATTATTCACTGTCTTTTCTTCATTACTCTTCCTCCCCAAATTTAAGAATCTCATTAGGATATTTTCATTTGTCTTCCCCCATTTATTATCACTTATATTTAATTCAAAAGCATTTTACTTTTAAAAAATTATTACTTTATCATTGTGCATCAAAAAAAATTAGTCATAGCTGTGTATTTACTCTTTTGTTTTTTCTTAATTTTTCTCTTTTTCCCTATATCTTCTTTTTTGAATTAAAAAAATTGCTGGAATATCACCTTTAGAATTTATTTCTGGTACAGCATGCATAGGGAAGTTTTCTAAACCATTGCATTTCTGGAAATGTCTCTTTCTTGCCCTGTCATTTAATGCTAGTTTGACTGTATATAAGATCCTATGTTTAAAATCTTTTTTCCTTCTCGACTTGGAAGATGATATTTCCATTGAGAAGGCTGATGCCATTCTGATCTTTGCTTATTTATTCAGATTTCACCTCATGCTTATTTCCCCATATAAAATCTGAGAAATCAATAGGCATATTTGCACCATTCTTTGAGGATATGAAAAATTACCCTTGCCCCTCCCTGCTTTACTTTTCAACAGTAGGCATAACAAGAGAACTGTATCAAAGTTCTTGAAAGTGTAAGGCAACTTAGAAGTGATGCTAAAGCAGAAGCTGGAGTTCTGGAAATCAGCTGTAAGCAATAAAAAGTGCTGACTTATTTGAGTGAAAGAATGGAAAGAGTAGAGAGCCAAATGAGGAATGTCAGGACAATTCCACAGCTGGGGAGACAAGGGCTATTTCTTTGTGCCTGTTTTAACAGTTGATGATATTTTTTCTCCTCCCTCCTATGAATATAATAGCCACGTCTGCCTGACAAGGTAAAGAATCACCTGTAATTAGTGACATATTATGTTTGTTTCTCCAGCAGCTCATTTTCTCCAAAGTACTCATTTTTTTTTGCATTGTTTTATCAACAGCTCTAGGAAGCAATATAGAAGCTTTCAATCTCAAACTTGATGATTTATTTATGATACAAAAGTTTATTTTACTGTGACACTTTGAAGGCTTTTCTCATGTGGGTGGTATAATGATTTATGTTTTTAAATATTTCCTTGAAATATTAGAGATATCTATTGATTTACAGAACTATATACAGAATGCTACATTGGAATTTAAATATGATTAAATACTTTGTATTTGTCCATTTTTGCATTTTTATTGTTTTTGTTATACATTGATTATAAAAACAATAAAAAAAAGATATAAACAAGAAGAAAATAAAAATCACGTGTTCTATTATCCAGAAATAGGTACTACAGTATTTTGGTGAGCACATTTTCCATTCTTTTCTTTTTTTTTTTTTTTTTTTTTTTTTTTGAGACAGAGTCTCACTCTGTTGCCCAGGCTGGAGTGCAGTGGCGCAATCTCGGCTCACTGCAAGCTCCGCCTCCCGGGTTCACGCTATTCTCCTGCCTCAGCCTCCCGAGTAGCTGGGACTACAGGCGCCCGCCACCACGCCTGGCTAATTTTTTGTATTTTTAGTAGAGACGGGGTTTCACCGTGTTAGCCAGAATGGTCTCGATCTCCTGACCTGGTGATCCGCCCGCTTCGGCCTCCCAAAGTACTCTAAGCCTAATTGTACTGAGACTTGAAGACGGGAGACTTGTGTATCAGCAATGTTTCTTAAGACCGTGATTGAAATCATGTTTTTGTTTATGTTCTGTTTATTTCCCTAAATATAAGTTTAGTTTTGATTTAATAAGTCTTAAGATATAGTAGTATATAAAGGAAAGGGACTTTGAATCTCCCCTATTCTGAATCCAATTTACAAGGAAACTATAGGGTATTTCTTTCCTAGAAGCATCTCTGCTTGGATGTCCTGGACCTGCTCGTGATTGAGTGTCTTTATGACCTTTCTTCTAACAGGGTGGTCCAAAGAGAGATAGCTTTGGAATTACCTGAGGGCTTGTTAGAACTGCAGAATGTGCGTCCCGCTGTGTCCGGAATTGGTGGGTTCTTGGTCTCACTGACTTTAAGAATGAAGCCGCAGACCCTCGCGGTGAGTGTTACAGCTCTTAAGGTGACGCGTCTGGAGTTTGTTCCTTCTGATGTTCGGATGTGTTCAGAGTTTCTTCCTTCTGGTGGGTTCGTGGTATCCCTGGCTCAGGAGTGAAGCTGCAGACCTTCGCGGTGAGTGTTACAGCTCTTAAGGCAGCATGTCTGGAGTTTCTTCCTCCTGGTGGGCTCGTGGTCTCGCTGGCTTCAGGGGTGAAGCTGCAGATCTTCGCGGTGAGTGTTACAGCTCATAAAAGCAGCGTGGACCCAAAGAGTAAGCAGTAGCAAGATTTATTGCAAAGAGTGAAAGAACAAAGCTTCCACAGTGTTGAAGGGGACCCGATTGGGTTGCCAATGCTGGCTAGGGCAGCCTGCTTTTATTCTCTTATCTGGCCCCACCCACATCCTGCTGATTGGTAGAGCCAGTGGCCTGTTTTGACAGGGCGCTGATTGGTGCGTTTACAATCCCTGAGGTAGACACAAAGGTTCTCCACGTCCCCATCAGATTAGTTAGATACAGAGTTTCCACACACAGGTTCTCCAAGGCCCCACCAGAGCAGCTAGATACAGAGTGTCGATTGGTGCACTCACAAACCTTCAGCTAAACACAGGGTGCTGATTGGTGTGTTTACAAACTTTGAACTAGATACAGAGTGCGGATTGGTGTATTTACAATCCCTGAGCTAGACATAAAGGTTCTCCAAGGCCCCACCAGAGCAGCTAGATAGAGTGTCGATTGGTGCACTCACAAACCCTGAGCTAGACACAGGGTGCTGATTGGTGTATTTACAATCCCTGAGCTAGACATAAAGACTCTCCACGTCCCCACCAGACTTAGGAGGCCAGCTGGCTTCACCTAGTGGATCCCGCACTGGGGCTGCAGGTGGAGCTGCCTGCCAGTCCCTCGCCGTGTGCTCGCACTCCTCAGCCCTCGGGTGGTCGATGGGACTGGGCACCGTGGAGCAGGGGGTGGTGCTCGTCGGGGAGGCTCAGGCCGCACAGGAGCCCATGGAGTGGGTGGGAAGCTCAGGCATGGCGGGCTGCAGGTCCCGAGCCCTGCCCCATGGGAAGGCAGCTAAGGCTCGGTGAGAAATCGAGCACAGCACCGGTGGGCTGGCACTGCTGGGGGACCCAGTGCACACTCCGTAGCCACTGGCCCGGGTGCTAAGTCCCTCATTGCCCAGGGCCAGCAGGGCTGGCCGGCTGCTCCGAGTGCAGGGCTCGCCAAGCCCACTCCCACCCGGAACTCCAGCTAGTCCGCAAGCGCCGCACACACCCCCGGTTCCCGCTCACGCCTCTCCCTCCACACCTCCCTGCAAGCTGAGGGAGTGGGCTCCAGCCTTGGCCAGCCCAGAAAGGGGCTCCCACACTGCAGTGGTGGGCTGAAGGGTTCCTCAAATGCCGCCAAAATGGGAGCCCAGGCAGAGGAGGTGCCGAGAGCAAGCGAGGGCTCTGAGGACTGCCAGCACGTCTCAGAGTGCTGCCAGCACGTCACCGCCACAAAGCAACAGAATCATAATCTTCCATTTAACAATACCCCAATGTGATTTTCATACACATGAAATTTGGAGGAATAGTTACTCAGCTACAGCTTCTGTCGGACTTTCCTGGCCGATGCTCTAGCTCTCTCCAAGCTCTTAAAACACTAGTCCCTCCTTTGCCGTTTCCAACTTAGTAATGGTAATGGTTGCCATCTTTCAGTACTCCCTCAGTTTATGTTCCCTCTTGTGGATCCCTTCAACTGTACTCACACCTCCACAAATATCTCCTTCTGTAAAGTGTATTTAGAATCCCAGAGGTGTGTGCTTTTGGTTTCCTTCCAGAAACACAACTGATCACCTCTTGATGTGTGTACCTGGGGATATGCAGAGAGTTGGCAGGACACTGCCTCTATCTCATTCTTTTCTGAGGTCTTTCAATTCTGAATTCATAAAATTGCACTTCATCGATTCTGCCATACCTTGCCTCTCAAACGTAATCAAATTTGTCTGAACTCTTTTATGGTTTAAGTTAGTTTCTCTCCTGGTTTTTGTCATTTTCAAGTCAACATAGATTTACCACTTTTTCATCCAAATTCTGGCACGGTGTAAACATTCTCTTTCAGAGATAATTTTTTAGCAGATATGTCAAAATTTGTCGTGTATACTTTTTTGCTTTGATGAGATGTTTTACTTAGTCCTCATAATGAACTCATGTTATACTTTTAAGGGTGAAAAAACTGAAAAAGGAGATTACATAACTTTTCCAAGATCACATAGTTGTAGATGGCAAGCCCTTCTGATTCTAAAAGACTTTCTCTTAATAGCAATGGTATCAGACCCACCTGCATATATTTTTGCTCATTACTTCCAGGTAAACCTTTGCTGAGAAAGTCATCTAATTTTTTAGCAAAACATACACTAGACTCCTAATCATTTGGATAGTTTGAGCCACAATTAAATAGTCACACCCTGTTCACCAATCTCACGTTCGTAGTCAGACAGCATTCTGCTAAAAGTTAGTTTCTCTCTTCAATGGACATCCACTCTGCTAAGGATGATAAAGCCAATTCTGTACAGCCATATATGTGGCTTTACGTAAAATCTAATGTACCCTCAGAAATTGAGTCCTAGGCCTGTTCGTAGGAAATAGGGAAATTCTGGAATCTCATGATAACATCTTAACTGGTCTTTCCAACCATCTGCCTACTGTATCCTATTAGAGCACCACCTCCCTTCCAGTTGCTCCCAGGATCTTTGCACTTTCATTATCCTGAATGTCTTATGCCTTCCAAGGTAGGACTAGGTCACAGGACTCAGTCATAGTATTTACTGGGGCTAGGAGGAGTACTGTTTTCTTAGGATCAGAGAAAACAGTCAGTGTCATATTTCATGAGCCTGCTAAACCATGAGTCATGCTAAACCATCTACCCCAAATGACAGGAGCTGTAATCAAGCACCATCAATGATTTCACCTAAGAAGACATCTTGGAGGAGCCAAGACGGCCGAGTGGGAACAGCTCCGGTCTACAGCTCCCAGCGTGAGCGATGCAGAAGACGGGTGATTTCTGCATTTCCATCTGAGGTACCGGGTTCATCTCACTAGGGAGTGCCAGACAGTGGGCGCAGGTCAGTGGGTGTGCGCACCGTGCGCAAGCCGAAGCAGGGCGAGGCATTGCCTCACTTGGGAAGCGCAGGGGGTCAGGGAGTTCCCTTTCTGAGTCAAAGAAAGGAGTGACGGACGGCACCTGGAAAATCGGGTCACTCCCACCCGAATACTGCGCTTTTCCGATGGGCTTAAAAAACGGTGCACCACAAGATTATATCCCGCACCTGGCTTGGAGGGTCCTACGCCCATGGAGTCTCGCTGATTGCTAGCACAGCAGTCTGAGATCAAGCTGCAGGGCGGCAGCGAGGCTGGGGGAGGGGCGCCCGCCATTGCCCAGGCTTGATTAGGTAAACAAAGCAGCCGGGAAGCTGGAACTGGGTGGAGCCCACCACAGCTCAAGGAGGCCTGCCTGCCTCTGTAGGCTCCACCTCTGCCGGCAGGGCACAGACGAACAAAAACACAGCAGTAACCTCTGCAGACTTAAATATCCCTGTCTGACAGCTTTGAAGAGAGCAGTGGTTCTCCCAGCACGCAGCTGGAGATCTGAGAACGGGCAGACTGCCTCCTCAAGTGGGTCCCTGACCCCTGACCCCTGAGCAGCCTAACTGGGAGACACCCCCCAGCAGAGGCACACTGACACCTCACACGGCAGGGTACTCCAACAGACCAGCAGCTGAGGGTCCTCTCTGTTAGAAGGAAAACTAACAAACAGAAAGGACATCCACACCAAAAACCCATCTGTACATCACCATCATCAAAGACCAAAAGTAGATAAAACCACAAAGATGGGGAAAAAACAGAACAGAAAAACTGGAAACTCTAAAAAGCAGAGCGCCTCTCCTCCTCCAAAGGAACGCAGTTCCTCACCAGCAACGGAACAAAGCTGGATGGAGAATGACTTTGAGGAGTTGAGAGAAGAAAGCTTCAGACGATCAGATTACTCTGAGCTACGAGAGGACATTCAAACCAAAGGCAAAGAAGTTGAAAACTTTGAAAAAAATTTAGAAGAATGTATAACTAGAATAACCAATACAGAGAAGTGCTTAAAGGAGCTGATGGAGCTGAAAACCAAGGCTCGAGAACTATGTGAAGAATGCAGAAGCCTCAGGAGCCGATGCAATCAACTGGAAGAAAGCGTATCAGCGATGGACGATGAAATGAATGAAATGAAGCGAGAAGGGAAGTCTAGAGAAAAAAGAATAAAAAGAAATGAGCAAAGCCTCCAAGAAATATGGGACTATGTGAAAAGACCAAATCTACATCTGATTGGTGTACCTGAAAGTGATGGGGAGAATGGAACCAAATTGGAAAATACTCTGCAGGATATTATCCAGGAGAACTTCCCCAATCTAGCAAGGCAGGCCAACATTCAGATTCAGGAAATACAGAGAACGCCACAAAGATAATCCTCGAGAAGAGCAACTCCAAGACACATAATTGTCAGATTCATCAAAGTTGAAATGAAGGAAAAAATGTTAAGGGCAGCCAGAGAGAAAGGTCGGGTTACCCTCAAAGAGAAGCCCATCAGACTAACAGCGGATCTCTCGGCAGAAACCCTACAAGCCAGAAGAGAGTGGGGGCCAATATTCAACATTCTTAAAGAAAAGAATTTTCAACCCAGAATTTCATATCCAGCCAAACTAAGCTTCATAAGTGAAGGAGGAATAAAATACTTTACAGACAAGCAAATGCTGAGAGACTTGGTCACCACCAGGCCTGCCTTACAAGAGCTCCTGAAGGAAGCACTAAACATGGAAAGGAACAACCGGTACCAGCCACTGCAAAATCATGCCAAAATGTAAAGACCATCGAGACTAGGAAGAAACTGCATCAACTAACGAGCAAAATCACCAGCTAACATCATAATGACAGGATCAAATTCACACGTAACAATATTAACTTTAAATGTAAATGGACTAAATGCTCCAATTAAAAGACACAGATTGGCAAATTGGATAAAGAGTCAAGACCCATCAGTGTGCTGTATTCAGGAAACCCATCTCACCTGCAGAGACACACATAGGCTCTAAATAAAAGGTTGGAGGAAGATCTACCAAGCCAATGGAAAACAAAAAAAGGCAGGGGTTGCAATCCTAGTCTCTGATAAAACAGACTTTAAACCAACAAAGATCAAAAGAGACAAAGAAGGCCATTACATAATGGTAAAGGGATCAATTCAACAAGAAGAGCTAACTATCCTAAATATATATGCACCCAATACAGGAGCACCAAGATTCATAAAGCAAGTCCTGAGTGACCTACAAAGAGACTTAGACTCCCACACATTAATAATGGGAGACTTCAACACGCCACTGTCAATATTAGACAGATCAACGAGACAGAAAGTCAACAAGGATACCCAGGAATTGAACTCAGCTCTGCACCAAGCGGACCTAATAGACATCTACAGAACTCTCCACCCCAAATCAACAGAATATACATTTTTTTCAGCACCACACCACACCTATTCCAAAATTGACCACATACTGGGAAGTAAAGCTCTCCTCAGCAAATGTAAAAGAACAGAAATTATAACAAACTATCTCTCAGACCACAGTGCAATCAAACTAGAACTCAGGATTAAGAATCTCACTCAAAACCGCTCAACTACATGGAAACTGAACAACCTGCTCCTGAATGACTACTGGGTACATAATGAAATGAAGGCAGAAATAAAGATGTTCTTTGAAACCAACGAGAACAAAGACACAACATACCAGAATCTCTGGGACGCATTCAAAGCAGTGTGTAGAGGGAAATTTATAGCACTAAATGCCCACAAGAGAAAGCAGGAAAGATCCAAAATTGACACCCTAACATCACAATTAAAAGAACTAGAAAAGCAAGAGCAAACACATTCAAAAGCTAGCAGAAGGCAAGAAATAACTAAGATCAGAGCAGAACTGAAGGAAATAGAGACATAAAAAACCCTTCAAAAAATTAATGAATCCAGGAGCTGGTTTTTTGAAAGGATCAACAAAATTGATAGACCACTAGCAAGATTAATAAAGAAAAAAAGAGAGAAGAATCAAATAGACGCAATAAAAAATGATAAAGGGGATATCACCACCGATCCCACAGAAATACAAACTACCATCAGGGAATACTACAAACACCTCTACGCAAATAAACTAGAAAATCTAGAAGAAATGGATAAATTCCTGGACACATACACTCTCCCAAGACTAAACCAGGAAGAAGTTGAATCTCTGAATAGACCAATAACAGGAGCTGAAATTGTGGCAATAATCAATAGCTTACCAACCAAAAAGAGTCCAGGACCAGATGGATTCACAGCCGAATTCTACCAGAGGTACAAGGAGGAACTGGTACCATTCCTTCTGAAACTATTCCAATCAATAGAAAAAGAGGGAATCCTCCCTAACTCATTTTATGAGGCCAGCATCATTCTGATACCAAAGCCAGGCAGAGACACAACAAAAAAAGAGAATTTTAGACCAATATCCTTGATGAACATTGATGCAACAATCCTCAATAAAATACTGGCAAAACGAATCCAGCAGCACATCAAAAAGCTTATCCACCATGATCAAGTGGGCTTCATCCCTGGGATGCAAGGCTGGTTCAATATATGCAAATCAATAAATGTAATCCAGCATATAAACAGAGCCAAAGACAAAAACCACATGATTATCTCAGTAGATGCAGAAAAAGCCTTTGACAAAATTCAACAACCCTTCATGCTAAAAACTCTCAATAAATTAGGTATTGATGGGACGTATTTCAAAATAATAAGAGCTATCTATGACAAACCCACAGCCAATATCATACTGAATGGGCAAAAACTGGAAGCATTCCCTTTGAAAACTGGCACAAGACAGGGATGCCCTCTCTCACCACTCCTATTCAACATAGTGTTGGAAGTTCTGGCCAGGGAAATTAGGCAGGAGAAGGAAATAAAGGGTATTCAATTAGGAAAAGAGGAAGTCAAATTGTCCCTGTTTGCAGACGACATGATTGTATATCTAGAAAACCCCACTGTCTCAGCCCAAAATCTCCTTAAGCTGATAAGCAACTTCAGCAAAGTCTCAGGATACAAAATCAATGTACAAAAATCACAAGCATTCTTATACACCAACAACAGAGAAACAGAGAGCCAAATCATGAATGAACTCCCATTCACAATTGCTTCAAAGAGAATAAAATACCTAGGAATCCAACTTACAAGGGATGTGAAGGACCTCTTCAAGGAGAACTACAAACCACTGCTCAAGGAAATAAAAGAGGATACAAACAAATGGAAGAACATTCCATGCTCATGGGTAGGAAGAATCAATATCGTGAAAATGGCCATACTGCCCAAGGTAATTTACAGATTCAATGCCATCCCCATCAAGCTACCAATGCCTTTCTTCACAGAATTGGAAAAAACTACTTTAAAGTTCATATGGAACCAAAAAAGAGCCTGCATCGCCAAGTCAATCCTAAGCCGAAAGAACAAAGCTGGAGGCATCACACTACCTGACTTCAAACTATACTACAAGGTTACAGTAACCAAAACAGCATGGTACTGGTACCAAAACAGCAACCCTTCATGCTCCAGAATTAGCCCTCCAAAGGGCTAATATCCAGAATCTACAATGAACTCAAACAAATTTACAAGAAAAAAACAAACAACCCCATCAAAAAGTGGGCGAAGGACATGAACAGACACTTCTCAGAAGACATTTATGCAGCCAAAAGACACATGAAAAAATGCTCATCATCACTGGCCATCAGAGAAATGCAAATCAAAACCACAATGAGATACCATCTCACACCAGTTAGAATGGCGATCATTAAAAAGTCAGGAAACAACAGGTGCTGGAGAGGATGTGGAGAAATAGGAACACTTTTACACTGTTGGTGGGACTGTAAACTAGTTCAACCATTGTGGAAGTCAGTGTGGCGATTCCTCAGGGATCTAGAACTAGAAATACCATTTGACCCAGCCATCCCATTACTGGGTATATACCCAAAGGACTATAAATCATGCAGCTATAAAGACACATGCACATGTATGTTTATTGTGGCACTATTCACAATAGCAAAGACTTGGAACCAACCCAAATGTCCAACAATGATAGACTGGATTAAGAAAATGTGGCACATATACACCATGGAATACTATGCAGCCATAAAAAATGATGAGTTCATGTCCTTTGTAGGGACATGGATGAAATTGGAAATCATCATTCGCAGTAAACTATCGCAAGAACAAAAAACCAAACACTGCATATTCTCACTCATAGGTGGGAATTGAACAATGAGATCACATGGACACAGGAAGGGGAATATCACACTCTGGGGACTGTTGTGGGGTGGGGGGAGGTGGGAGGGATAGCATCGGGATATATACCTAATGCTAGATGACGAGTTAGTGGGTGCAGTGCACCAGCATGGCACATGTATACATATGTAACTAACCTGCACAATGTGCACATGTACCCTAAAACTTAAAGTATAATAAAAAATAAAAAAATAAAAATAAAATAAAAAATAAAAAACAAAACAAAAAAAAAAGAAGACATCTTGATCAATCCCATTTAAAATCAGGACACTGCACTTTTCACATTTTGTGGTGAAACATTTGAATTTCTACTGAGTGCCAGATAGCATGCTAAGTGCTTTCATATGGATTATCACATTTAAATCTAACCACAACTTGTGAGGGGGGTATTATTATTCTCTTCATTTTATAAATATGGGAATTGTCATTTCCTAATACATAAGTACTGAGCCCACCAGGTTGGCAAAGGATTTAAAAATCAGACAATGCAAATAATGAGGACAAATAGTAACTCTAGCACATTTCTATCAAGTGTAAATGCACACCATATAGAGAACTATTTGCCAATATTTAGGGAAGTTGTAGATGTACCTATCTTATTATCTGACAAGTACACATCTAGTTATACATCCCAAGGCAACTCTCTCACATTAAGAATATCCATTGAAGACTCAGTTGTAATCATGGAAATAACCTCAATGTTCAACCCAAAGCAAATACAGTAAGTTATGCTTACCTACAGAATATTAGAGAGCAGCTACAAAGTATGATTTAAAGTTATAGATATTGAAATTGATAAATATCAAACATAAAGTTGAGTGAAAAGGAAAGTGCAAAGTGAATATACTTTATGATACCATTTATTTAGAATTTGATACCAGTAAAATCTTAACAAATATTTCTTATTTCTAACTGTATATGTAGTGAAGTATTAAAAATGTTGAATATGAAATGCTACATACTTCTGAGGGGAAAGGAGGAAGAATGGATACCTAAGAGATATACTTAGGAATTTCACCTTGTTATTAGATCTGTGTAGTGGGTACTCATGTGTTCTGCTAAGTTAGTTTATATACTCTTCTCTAATTTTAATAAAGAAGGGAGAAAAGTAGGAAAAGATCAAAAGCAAAAAACAAAACAAAAACAATAGGATGCTAACAAAAAACACGATGACACACACAAAAGAATGAATACAGGTGAAACTGGGGGAATCTGAGTAAAACCAGTGGGTTATACCAACACCAATATCCTGGTTGCCCTGTATTAATATGATTTTGTAAGATGTTACCACTGAGGGAAATTGGATAAAGTATATTCAGAAACTGTGTAATTTTGTACCACTGTTTGTGAATTAATTATCTCAATAACAGTTTAAAATAAAAAATTATAATAAAAAATAAATTTAAAAATATAATGTTCCCACAAGTCTACCTATCATTGGCTTTTACTAAAAATTTAAAGACTAAATAAATAAATTCATAGGGATCAATAAAATCTACAACATTTGTCAGCCACAAAACACTGCTTTTGCTTTTCAAGTTAATTCTTTTCTGAAAAGCACCTTTGTCCCATAGAGATAGTGACACGGGCAAAGTTCCCTTGTTCCCCTTGCAGGGCTGCGATGGGGAAGTGGTGTGCTTCGGTGCCCCTGTTGCTCAGACCTCTAGGGGGCGCATGCGGAGGGGCAGGCTGTGGGGCTCCAACCGCACAGCAGCATCTAGGGGTGAGAGTTTACAGCTGACGCTCCAGTGGCCGTGTGTTACAGTGTGCTTTTTCAGTTTACCCATCCATTGGTGGCTTGTGTTAACCAGCTCAATTAGACCCTCTGACTTATTGCAAGGACAGAGGGCTTTGCTGTATCCTGGGTTCCTTTCTTACTGTACCAGAAAAATCGGAACACACGTGGGCTTGGAGAATGAGTGCAAGGTTTTCAGTGGAAGCAACGCTCAGCAGATAGATGGGCTAAGCCAGAAGATGGATAGAGTGGGAAGGTGGTTTTACCTGGAGTCAGGCCGCTCAGCAGCTGGGCTCTCCTTTGTCCACCCTCGGCGGAACTCCATGTTGTACCACCGGTCGATGGCCTGGTGGCGTCTGCTTGTGTCTGCCCGTGTGTCCTTCCGCGGTGTGTGCCACTGAACATCCAGACGCTTGTGTGTTCTTCCGCTGGTGTGTTCCTCTTGACATCCAGCGGCCTGTGTTTCTGCCTGCTAGGGTCCCTGGGTTTTTATAGGCACGGGATGGGGGCGTGGCGGGCCACGGTGGTCTTGGAAAATGCAACATTTGAGTCCTCACCTAGGTCCGTGGGCACAGGCCCGGGGGTGGAGCGCTAGCTAGGGACCCGCCCTTCTCCTCCAAGCACTCCCCTTCCCCCGCTCCCATATCAATAGCATGTGTGCTAGGCTTGCTTACTAGGAAATAAAATGGTCAAATGCCTAAGAAAATCACCAAAAAGTTGTTTGCCTTCTGGAAATTACAGATATAAATGTGATCCTTAATGAATTATTAAATACATAAAAAATAATATTGTGGCTCAAAATCTTGTATATATAAATAAGCCATCTTTGTTGATAATTATTAATACACTTTACAGTGAGTCTACATCAGAGAATCTTAATACAAAAGTTGACAACCAAACCAGAGTATTTCAAGGTTGATCTCATGGTAACTCCTAATAATCTTTGGTGACTGAAAAATGCAGAATTCCAGTCAGAATTCAAAACTTTTGAATTGAGATCTCTTATGATGTGGCCCAAAGGTTTATACATTGACATAAATGTTCTTTTAATATGTATTATTGCTGTACAAAGAAACTTGAGAACTGTTTATTTGAATACTTGAATTATCCTTGTTGGCTATCACAGTTTATGAAATCAACCAACTGTAATCAACACTTTATAGCTTGCATTGTAAAACTGTAAAATCCATCCCCCTTTAATCTAGCAGTTTATTTTGTGTCTAACTAGGCATGGGTAAGTAGTGCCAGTGTGTAACCAGGTGAGACCATTAAAGCTGCTGTGATGTTTAGACCTTAGGTGTGAGCTTAAGGGCAATTCAAGGAACAACAGGATTTGTGAACATTTGTATTAGTACAAAATAACTTATCCATGTAAAAAAATGTGTTTTTGTCATGTGTGAGAGCAGGAACACTCATAAGTTTCTCCCTAGCAATGTCTAGCTCATTGTAATGTTCAAAAAAAATTTTTTAATTAAATGAATGAGATCTTGGAAACACAATATTCCATAGACAGAGCTTGGAAAATATTTTTTGAAATACCTTTTAAAAAGTCCTTGGAATAATTAGGCTTTCCTAATTATTTCACAACCACACTAATAATCTGAGGTAGATGTTTAATTTCGTGTCTTTCCACACCCCCCAACTATTTGGAGATCACCTGGTTTTAACCTGCATCCAGAGCTGTCTTGCTGGGCTAATGGAGACTCGTGTGGCACACGTCAGGCGGCAGTTAAATAGGGTTGCTCCTGCTGCTTCCCTCATTGCCCAATTACCTGACTGACTCTTGCAAGTCATAGCTCATGGAATCCTACAACTGGGCACACCAGGGCACCTGATCAAACATGATTTTTCAGGCCCACAAGTCACAGTTCTGCTCTATCTCAAAGCAAAGATCTGCCAAGCTCTTAAGATGATTTAGCCTGGAGTATTTTAAATAACTTCAGAAAATGCAAAGCTTTCTGTCGGTTTGAACACTTCCTGTCACTTTTTAGAACACCTGGCACTCAAATATTTAAATTACAATTCCAGCTTTAATGTGAAGGAACTAACAATAAATCCTTTCTCTTCCCATAATACTTCGGGTCTGACTTTTCTTTAATTTTCTAAAAATGCAGATTTGGGAAATGAAATTAGCAATGCAAGGTGAACCTAGTGTGAATTTTACTGAAGATTATGCAAATGCAGGAAATTATAATTCTATCAGGATGTCATTACATGTGTCTACTTAGACACACATTTTCTGCTATGTTTAAGTTAAACAAAACACTAAATGACTATGTAGTATGACATCTCATTAATATGTTTCCATTCACATCTGTGCCTTTAGTATAAAAAAAAAGACTGCTTCAATGATAAGAGATTAGGTCCTTTAATTAGAAACAAATGACAAATCACTGTTAACCCCATGTGATGCTTTCTAAAACTTCCATCACATATTCCTCTTAAAACATTATTAAACATAAGTTCCCCAGATCTACTTCCTAGAAAGTGCCATTTAACAAAACCCAGGCAGGATGTTAATACTGAGGCGGAATTACAGGTTGCCAAAGCATTTCCTGTGAGAGGATTGACAGGGGATCATTTTGTTATGGGGCCACCTCCAGTGTGTTGTGACAACCACTCATTACACCTCTAAGCAGAGCACTCAGCTGTAGGTTTCTACAAGATGCAAATAGCTCCAAATGGGTTCAATTTAGAGCGAGTGGATAATGTATCACTCATTTCTCTAAGGTAGAAGCTTTTAATTTCCCAAGAACAGGAAAGAGAGGAACATTTCAGTTTCTGGAAAAAAAACATTCAGTTAACCAACTATGCCTGAGAAATGGAGTCACAATAGCAATATCTGTTACATTGTAAATAAAAACACTTCACCTGCCTTGTTTCCCCTTGGCCCAAAACGAAACACCAAGTGGTCAAGTGAGCATCACCTCTCAATAAATATAATTACCCACTTAAGAGCTCAATGTCAAAAACTAGTAACCTCTAAGTGATGGTAGGTTTTTCTCTTACAAAAGGAACTGCTTACAAAGCTACTATAGTTAATTATAATAATACTCAAAAAGTGTTTAAAACACATTTTGATATAGAAAAAATATCATGGAAAGCTTTCACAGTTGGACTTTAATATTTTAGTGTGCTAGTTTTTATACCCCTCTGTGATTTTACTCCCACTGTTCTATTACTGATTTTAGTAAGTGTTGCTAACAATGGAATACAGCAGCCTCTACTACCAGCTATTTAGAAGAGAGGTACGCTGATGTGGATTGGAAAAAGTCAATAAGCCCATTTAAGATTCCTGTGTTTAACAAAGCCACAGGAGAAGCCAGCGAGCTACAAAACATGCCCATGTTACAAGACGGTTGTTTTTTGCTATGAGTACATTAATGAGCAGAATGTTCTTTGCTATAAAACACCAGCATCACTCTGGCCATGATTACTGAAATACTCTCTGGATGTCAATGTCCTTTTGTTTTGAGTACTTTACTAAGAAATTAATTATCCACTAGGAATCCACTGAGATGGGTCTATAGCTGACCTATGTAAAAATAATAATGAATCTGTCTGAAAAGATATGAACTGAAAGTACAGAAAGAGGGTTTCTTTAAGTCTGCTATATGATGTAGAATACTTACTAGTGATCCTGAAAGTTTGCTCTTCATTTTTATAAAATTAAGTTTTAAAGATTATTTTTCCATAATCATATATATTTTTATAATATATATTTAATTTATATGTATGTTATAGAAATTATATGTATAAATATAAATATATATGCCATTCTCTGTCTCTCTGAATATATATTCTAAATAGCTGATGCATATATACCCACACACACACACAAACACACATGCATATATATATATATATTTAAAGAGACAGAGAACAGTTTATTTGGGAGATGGTCCCAGGAAACACAGGTAGGAGAGAAAAAAAGCGATACGGGGAAGAGAAGGCAGTCACTCAAGTATGTGTTATCAAGAAAGTTGTTTAATTTTGCTGAGGAGCTCTGGGGATTGGTGCAGATTTCACTGGCTGCCCAGTTACCTAGACATGGAGCAAGGGAAGCTTGCATTTACAGACCTGTTTCCAGCAGTTACTGGCCTGTTGCTATTTCTAAAGTGTAACAGTTCTCCACCATTTAGGTAACTTAATTAAATAAATAATAAAGGGGCAGAAACTGTTGGCTTTCTACTATTGTCCCTTCCTTCTTTAGTAATAGAATGCATAATTTTTAGTTAAGTCATGTGGCTTTCTGTATTAAAATAATATTTCCCAGCCACCCTTAACCAAGTTTTTTTTTTGTATATAATAAGATATAATCAGAAGTGTCTGTGTAGCTTTTGAGCAGTGATGTGAAAGAAAGGAGTTTCTCTTTCTTGAACTTGGCCTCCCTCCTACTGGCTGTTGGCATATATGTATAGAGACACACACATATAACACTGGAGGTGGGGCCTGGTAGGAGGTGATTGGATCATAGGGACAGGTTCTCACAAATGGTTTAGCACCATCCCTCTTGGTACTGCCCCTTTGAGAGTGAATGAACTCTCTGAGATCTGGTCATTTAAAAGTGTCTAGCAGCTCCTCCCTTGCTCTCTTGCTCCTACTCTGTCTGTATGAGATGCGTGCTCCCATTTTGCCTTGTGCCATGATTCTAAGTTTCCTGAGGCCTCCTCTAAGCAGATGCCAGCATCATGCTTCCTATACAGCTTGCAGAACTATGAGCTAATTAAACATCCTTTTCTTTATAAATTACCTAGTCTCAGGTATGTCTTTGTAGTAATGTGAGAATGAATTAATAATTAATACAATGCATATAGAAACTCTTGCTTAGAGTGCTAGGAGAAATGTTTCATAATGTCCATAGCAGCATTTTTGAAACAGCAAAATATGGGGGGTAAAATCCCACCAATAGAATAATGAATAACTGTTGATATATTCATACAGTTGAATACTGTAGAGTAGGGAAGTAAATGAAGAATAGTTATATACAGGAACATGTGTGAATCTCTAAATATAATATTGAGCAAAAAGAAATAACAGAACACATATGATTCTATTTACTTAAAGTTCAAAATAAAAGACAAAATATAAATAGATTTCTACTTCTGTCCATGAATTATTATCTGCAATAGAAATTTCCATTCCATCATAAAAAAAAAAAACAGTAAAAACAGCATAAAATAGATGGAACTGTTTACAGATATTTGACAACATGCTGCACAGAACTGTGATTCATACGAGAAAGAAAGCAAACAAGATGAGCCATACAGTTGCCCAGTTTACTACCAGGATTCAGTTTCTAGGCCACATCCCAGGGAGAAAAAAATGAAACAGAGCCTGGAGGTTACACTGAGGTGAGAAAACTTGTAGGAGTTCAGGAAAGCTGAGACAGTTGTAGAGAATATTGAAAATGATGGTACCGAAGAGAAGCAAAACTCCCAAGATCTTCAGAAGGGTCCCACTGAGTGCCTTTGGCCATGTTACTGATGGAGTCATGCATAGACAAACTCCACAAGAAGAGGGTAGAAATAATGATTCCCAGCATCAGTGAAAAGCTAGGAGTAGTTGAAGTTATCGCTACCAGAGCAACCTCATAACAAGTAAATAAATAATCAGTCCAGGCAAAGTGGCCCGTGTCTCTACTTCCAGCACGTTGGGAGGCCAAGGTGGAAGAATCGCTTGAAGCCAGGAGTTCAGGACCGGCTTCGGCAATGCAACAAGATCCTATCTCTACAAAAAATAAAAATTAAAAAAAGTATTCAAGAATGGTGGCATTGTGTTTGTAGTCCCAGCTACTCAAGAGGCTGAGGCGGAAGGATCACTTGAGCCCAGGATTTGAGGTTGCTGAGGTTACAGTGAGCTATGATTGCACCACTGCACTACAGCCTGGGTGATAGAGCAAGACCTTGTCTCTGAAATAGTAATAATAAAAACTTTGGTTAGAATTCTCAGAAGGGATTTCTATTAGTGGCTAAATTAGCATCAGAATAAATGCTACATTGCTCTTTCCCTAACAAAGTTTAAAAAATAAGCCTCAAAAAAATCAAATTGGTCTACCTACTTACTTACCTGCATGCCAGAATAGCCTAACATTCTTTTCCTTTTTTTTCTTTCTTTCTTTTTTTTTTTTTTTGAGATGGAGTCTCGCTCTGTTGACCAGGCTGGAGTGCAGTGGCACGATCTCGGCTCTCTGCAAGCTCCGCCTCCCGGGTTCACGTCATTCTGCTGCCTCAGCCTCCCAAGTAGCTGGGACTACAGGTGCCCGCCACCACGCCCAGCTAAAATTTTGTATTTTTTTAGTAGAGACGGGGTTTCACGGTGTTAGCCAGGATGGTCTCAATCTCCTGACCTCGTGATCTGCCCACCTCGGCCTCCCAAAGTGCTGGGATTACAGGCGTGAGCCACCGCACCCGGCCTAGCCTAACATTCTTTAAGAGAATATTACAAAATTCAGCACTCAGCAACATAAATTTCAGAATGCCTGCCATGCAAAAAATATCCCAGATATACAAATCAGTAAGAAAAAATAATTAATAGAAATAGCTATAGAGATTAGGGAGAAGATAGAATTAGAAGACAAAAATCTTAAAACAACTTTCATAAAGTTTAGAATAGGATACAAAGGACCACGTGGATGTAATGAAGACAGAGAATGAAGATACAAAACACTCCACTGGAACTTGTAGAGATAAAAATAAATATACAACTTGGAAAATATATTCAATAGGATTAACAGGTGATTAGATACGGCAGAAGGAAAAAAATCAAATTTGAAATTAACATAGGAATAGAAAGTATCCAAAATAAAGCAAAGAGAAAAGTAAACACTATAAAATAATAGAGTATCAGTAATCTGTGGGACTGTATTAGTTTTCTATTGCCACTGTAAAAATTACCAGAGATGTGAATTAACCAACACAAATTCATTATTTTACAGTTCTGTGGTTAGAAGGTCTACATAGAACTCACTGGGCTATGGTCAATGTTCAGGCAGGCTACATTCCTTCTGAAGGCTCTAGGGTACAATCTCTGCCTTTTCCAGTTTCTAAAGGCTATCCCCCTTCCGTGGCACATGGCTTCTTTCTATTTTTAAGCCAACAACAGTGAGTTGATGTCATACCTTACAATTATATTTGCAAAGTCCCTTATACCATGTAAGATACCATAGTCAGTCTCAGGTTCTGGGCACTAAGATGTGTTCTTGGGATGGGGAGGCATTATTCTGAGCACCATGGGGACAAAACTAAAGAGTGTGTGTGTGTGTGAATATATAACTGGAGTCCCAGGAAGAGGAATGGGAGACAGCAAAAATATTTGAAGAAATTACAACCAAAATTGATAAAAAGTATAAAACCACAGATCCAAGAATCTCATAAAAATTCTAGCAGAATAAGAAAAAATAAAATCATCTAAAGGCATATCAAAATCAAATTCCTACATACCAATGATAAAGAGAAAAATCTTAAGACCATCCAAAGAAAAGAGACACATATGAAAACAAAACAAAACAATCAAACAGATAGATAAACAGAAAAACTTGTTGCCAGAAACCATGTTTGCTTAAAGATAAGGGAGTAACATCTTTTAATATTGTGGGAAGGGTGGAAGTTGACAACTGTCAAACTAGAATTCCATCTTCTTTGCAAACTATATTTCAAAAGTAACAACATAATGAAGCCTTTTTCAGAAAATATAAATTGAGAATTCATCACCAGATAATTAAACCCCAACAAATGTTAAAGGAAATTCTTCAGACAAAGGAAAATAATACCAGATTAAAATTTGAATCTGCAGAAATAAATGAAGTGGACCACTAATGATAAACAGGTTGGAAACACATTTTGTAACACACACCCACAGACACACATACACACACGCCCACGACACACAAATCTTTTATTTTAATCTCTATGAAATATATTTAACTGTTTAAATAAAAAATGCCACATGATGTATTTTGGGTTTTATAACATGTAGAAGTAAATTATGTAACAAAAAAGCACAAAGAATAGGAGAGATGCAAGTAGATTGCTGAAAGTGCTTACATTTTATGTGAAGGAGTATGATGATGGTTAAGATAAACTATAAGCAACAACTTTATCTTGTTAAACCTAAAGCAACAACTAAAATTATAAAAGGAAGTGCAGTTAATAAAGGAATAATGGAGATAAAGTGTAAGGATAAAAACAGATGATACAAAAGAAAGAAGAAAAAGAGGGAAAACATAGAAAGAAAAATTACACAAATAGAAAGGATATAACACAACGGTAGATTTTAAGACAACCATATCAAGAATTTCATTAAGTGCAAAAGATCTAGATATTCCAAATAAAAGACAGAAAGTTTTACATTGGATGAAAAAGTAAGACTAAACTATGTAAAAGTTTACACAAAGACATGCTTTAAATATAAAGGCAATATTTATTAAAAGTGAAAGACTGGAAAAGCTACACTATAAAACAAGAAATCAAAAGAAAGCTGAAAATGCTATAATGATGTCAGAGAAGTGAGATTCAAGCAAAAATTAAAATTAACAAAAGTAAAGCAGGACTTATTAAAATGAAAATGAGGTCAATTCATCAAAAAGTCATAACTGTCTCACAGGTGTATGCACCTAATATCAGAATAAAAATCGTGAAACAAATTGAAATAACTAATAAAAGAAATACACTAACAATTACACTCTGATATTTCAATTCTTTTTTCCCAGTGTTGGTAGAATATGTAGTCACAAATTAAGTAATGATAGAAAAAGCTTGCATAAAATATTAGTCAATTTGACCTAATTGACAGTTTAGAACACTTGACCTATCAATAGCAGAATACACAGCATATCAAGTAAACATTAAATATTGACAAAGATAAATTATATTTTGAACTAAAAAGCAAGGCATAAGATGTCTTTCTTTTTTTTTTTTTTAACACAGAAGTTCACTCTTGTGGCTGAAGCTGGAGTGCAGTGGTGTGTTCTCTGCTCACTGCAACTCCGCCTCCTGGGTTCAAGCAATTCTCCTGCCTCAGCCTCCTGAGTAGTTGGGATTACAGGCGCGGGTCACCACGCCTGGCTAACTTTTGTATTTTTAGTAGAGATGGGGTTTCACCATGTTGGCTGGGCTGGTCTCTAACTCCTGACCTCAGGTGATCCACCCACCTTGGCCTCCCAAAGTGCTGAGATTACAGGTGTGAGCCACAGCGCCCGGCCAAAATGTCTTTCTTAATCACACCAAAAGTAAACAAACAAAAAACTAAAATGAAAACAAAACAAAAAACCGAAAAGTTTAAATGGAAGAAAGATAAGATAATCTATAAAAATTAAACAATCCAAGAAACCATGTATAATATAATTAATTACGAGAAAAAAACTTAAATAAAAACACATCATATCAAAATGTTGCAGAGAAAGCAAAAATTGACAAATGGGATCTAATTAAAATAAAGAGCTTCTGCACAGCAAAAGAAACTATCAACAGAGTAAACAGACAACCTACAGAATGGGAGAAAAAGTTTGTAATCTATGCATCTGACAAAGGTCTAATATCCAGTATCTATAAGAAACTTAAATTTACAAAAAGAAAACAACCCCATTAAAAAGTGAGTAAAGGGACCAGATGCGGTGGCTCAGGCCTATAATCCAAGCACTTTGGGAGGCCAAGGAGGGCGGATCACGAGGTCAGGAGTTGGAGACCAGCCTGGCCAATATGGTGAAACCCGTCTCTACTAAAAATACAAAAATTAGCCAGGCATGGTGGTGCACATCTGTAGTCCCAGCTACTTGGGAGGTTGAGGTGGGAAAATCGCTGAAACCCAGGAGGCGGAAGTTGCAGTGAGCTGAGATCGCACCATTGACTCCAGCCTGGGTGACAGAGCAAGACTCCGTCTCAAGAAAAAAAAAAAAAAAAAAAAAAGCCAGGCTCAGTGGCTCACACCTGTAATCCCAGCACTTTGGGAGGCCGAAGCAGGTGAATCACCAGGTCAGGAGTTCGAGACCAGCCTGGCCAAGTAGAGCTGAAACTCCATCTCTACCAAAAATACAAAAACTAACTGAGTGTGGTGGCATGTGCCTGTAGTCCCAGCTGCTAGGGAGACTGAGGCAGGAGAATTGTTTGAACCTGGGAGGCAGAGGTTGAAGTGAGCCGAGATCATGCCACTGCACTCCAGCATGGGCAGCAGAGCAAGACTCCATCTAAAAAAAAAAAAAAAAAAACAACAACAAAGGGGGGCAAAGGATATGAACAGACACTTCTCGAAAGAAGTCATCATGTAGCCAACAAACCTATGAAGAAAAGCTCAACCTCACTGATCATTATAGAAATGCACATCAAAACCACAATGAGATACCATTTCATACCAGTCAGAATGGCTATTATTAAAATGTCAAAAAATAACAGATGCTGGAGAGGTTGTGGAGAAAAATGAATGCTTTTACACTGTTGGTGGGAATATAAATTAATTCAACCATTGTAGAAGACAGTGTAGCAATTCCTCAAAGACCTGGAAACAGAGATATTATACCAGTTGACCCAGAAGTACCATTATTGGGTATATACCCAAAGGAATATAGACTGTTCTATTATAAAGACATATGTGCAGATATGTTCATTGCAGCACTATTCACAATAGTAAAGACATAGAATCAACCTAAATGCCCATCAGTGATAGACTGGATAAAGAAAATGTGGTACATATACACCATGGAATACTATGCAGCCATTAAAAGGAGACAGGATAATGTCCTTTGCAGGGACATGGATGGAGCTAGAGGCCACTGTCCTTAGCAAAGTAATGCAGGAACAGAAAACCAAATACCACATGTTCTCTAAGTACTTGTAAGTGGGAGCTAAATGATGAGAACACATGGACACATTGCAGGAAACAACACATACTGAGGCCTGTTGGAGGGCTGTGGGTGGGAGGCGGGAGAGGATCAGGAAGAATGGCTAGTGGATGCTGGGCTTAATACCTGGGGGATGGGATGATCTGTGCAGCATACCACCATGGCACACATTTACCTATGTAACAAACCTGCATATCCTGCACATGCACCCCTGAACGTAAACTTAAAAGTTGAAGAAAATGTGGCAGAGGCAGTTAAAACAATGTGTATTACTTTGCTAGGGCTGCCATAACAACTACAACATACTGGGTGGCTTAAATCACAGATATTTTCTTACAGTTCTGGAGGCTAAAAATCTGAGATTAAGGTTTTCAGTGGAGCTGGTTTGTTCTCAGGTCTCTTGCCTTTGCTTGTAGATGGCCATCTTCATTTTCACTTGATTTTCCCTCTGTGCATGTCTATGTCCTAATTTCCTCTTCTTATTAGTACACCAGTCACAGGAGATTAGGGCTCATCTGTATTACCTCATTTTCCCTTTATTTCCAATTAAAAAGCTCTATCTCCAAATACAGTCACATTCTGAAATACTGGGGGTTAGGACTTTAACCTATGAATTTTGGGAGTAGGGAGACACAATTCAGCACAAAACATAATGCTTTTATTTAAAAAGGAGAGCTGTCTAAAAGCAATGATGGAGGCTTCCACTGTAAGAAATTAGGAAAATATCAAACTAGAGCATATTAAAACCAAAGTAAGCAGAAGAAAGGGAATAATGAAGTGCAGAAATTGACACAACTGAAAACAGAAAACAGAACAAAAAAGTCAATGAAACGAAAGGCTGAATATGTTGGAGGTTCAGTGAAATTGATAAACCTCTAGCCAGACTGATAGAGGAAAAAAAAGAGACAACAAACTATCAGGAATGAAAGAGGAGACATCACTACAACTTCAGCAAAAATTCTAAAATTATTAAGAAAATAGTATTACAAAATTGTACATTCAATTTGATAACATATGAAATCCATTAATGAGATAAACTTCTTGTTATAAACCTTTCTACAACACACACACCTACAAACACACACAAACAACAACAACCAAAATCTCACCAGGCTAAGAAGGGTATACCAGTGAATTCTAAAAAGATAAAACTAATATCTTCGGACTTTGGACTTTTTACTTTGAATAAAGCAAATATTGCTAAACTACGCTAACCACAAAAGATTTTAAAAGGTAATAAGACTTTCTTGAAAGTAAAAACTTCTGCTTTCTGTAAGGTATTATTTTAAATACAAAAAGACTCGGGAAATATTTACAGAAAATGTAGCTGATAAAAACTTGTTTCTAGAGTATATAAAGAACTCTTAAAAATCAGTAATAAAAAAGCAAACAACATAACTAACAATAAAATGTGCAAAAGATTTGAAATTTAAAAAAATAAATATATGAATTCTACCTAAATATTATTATTAAAAATGCTCAACAGCGTTACCAGTTGGTAAAATAGAAATTAAAAGTAGATACCACCACAAACCAATACAAACTCACTAGAATGGTAAAAAACAAATAAAAAAAAAACACCTCCTCAGCCTGTACTAAGTGTTGACAAGAATTTGGAGAAACTGAAACACTCATACAGTGAGAATGCCAATGATACAGTCACTTTGGAAAACAATTTGGCCATTCTCAATGAATTTAATCATATATTTACCAAATTATTCAGCAAATCCATAGATATTTACCAAGAGGGAGAAAAACATATGTCCGCACAAAAAAAGTATGCAAATGTTTATAGCATCTTTATTCATGCTAGCTAAACACTCGAAACAAATAAAGTATCTATGAACTTATCAATGGAAAAATGGAAAAATGAACTGTAGTATATCCATACAATGGAATTCTAGTGAGCAATTTAAAAAATTAGCTACTGACAAACAAAACATGATGAATCTCAGAAGTGCCTTGTTAAGCAAATGAAGCCAGACATGGAAGATACTATACCAAATTAGTCCATGCATATGGTAGTCTAGATGTGACTCCAGGGAACTGGTTATGGATAAATTCTACATCTGCATTTTCCTGATAGTTACATAGCAATATACGTAATGTATTAATAAAAACTCGACAAAGTATAAAATTGAACTGATATCCTTTTCTTATTTGTAACTTGTACCTTGATTAAGTTGATTAAGGATTATGTTGTTTTACGAAACCAAATGTGGTAAAATTATAAAGGATGCAGGGCATCAATGAGCATAAATATGGAATAGTGGTAACTGGAATTGAGGCAGGAATCCATAGGGGTTTTCAAAAGTTTAGTAATTTTGTGTTTATGAATCTGAGTACTGAATATGTGAGAACTAATTTATTTGTTTATTATTGTATATTTATTATTAACATTAAATACTGCAGGGTAATGTTATATACAATCTTTTGTACATAGGCTATATTTAACAGTGAGAAACAAAATAATATATAGAAATAGAAAACTTAAAAAATGAGTAAATAATCTACTAGGATTGGATCACACTGCCAAAGAGCATTATTTAAAGAAGCAATAAACTGTCAGCAGTACTCCAGAAGAAAATGTTTTAATGGGAAACATGGCATGGCAAATGCAGTACTACTCTTAGAAAGCTGGAGTCTAGAAAGTTCTTCCCTCAGAGTGTACTAGAAATCTGGAAGAAGGAGGAGGAAGCACAAATCTTACTATATTTGGTTGTTTAAAAAAGGAAAGTAAAGGCCCTAAAGGAAAATATCTCCTCAATATTTTTGCTTATCCAGAAAATTAGTGGTCTAAGAGTGAAGAACCATAGATTTATAATTCAGTTTGATTGTGTATTTCCATATATGTTTCATAAGCAGATTCAGGTTACTATAATTTTTAACATTCTAAATTTAGTTTAAAATTGCCTGCATTAGTTTATTGTCCTTCCACCCCAAAACAGAAAGTACACATGAATAGAATAAATAAATAGCTAGGAATTTACATGTTTCTGAAACTCACTGTTACTCATTCAATAAATATCTGATGCCGAGTGTAGTAGCTCATGCCTGTAATCCCAGTACTTTGGAAGGTCAAAGCGGGTAGATCACCTGAGGTCAGGAGTTTGAGACCAGTCTGGCCCACGTGGTGAAACCCCGTCTCTACTAAAAATACAAAAATTAGCCAGGCGTGGTGGCATGTGCCTGTAATCCCAGCTATTCGGGAGGCTGAGGCAGGAGAATCGCTTGAACTCAGGAAATGGAGGTTGTAGTAAGCCGACATCGTGCCATTGCACTCCAGCCTAGGCGACAACAGCAAAACTGTCTCAAAAAAAAAAAAATTTTTTTAAATAAATAAATATCTGAATATACTTCATTTGTACTATTATCAAAAACATTCAGATGAAAAGATCACCAGATCTTCATGTCTACATTACAGTTGAGCATCATACTAATTTTTTTTTAAAGCATAAATATGAAGTAATAACAAATAGAACAAATGTGGCAAGTAGGTTTCTCAGACTCATTGAAAGTGACTGCCTAGTGTTCTGCTTTGATATGGGCTATAGTTGAAATCTAAGTTTAGTAACAAAATCGCTTATGAATAGCTTCGGAATGTTTGCCCTTGGTGTGTAAAGAGAAAAGAGGCAACCCCTTTGCCAGGTATTACCATCTTTAATGTAGCCAATTACATGACTGATGTCAGAAAGTTTGAAAATAATCATTTAACAAACTCTTCCTTACCCATCTTCTATTTCTATTGGAGTATATTTGATTAATTCTTATCCAGTAATTTGATGGCAAAGTTGATATTTGTTTATTTACTCATTCAATTGTTCAGTCCTTCATTTTAGCAATTATTTTTTTAATTTATTTTTTAATTGACAAACATTGTACATATTATGTATCGCGTGTTTTGAACGATGTATATGTTGTAGAATGTCTAAATTGAGCTAATTAACATATGCATTAACTCATATACTTAGCATTTCTGGAGTGAGAATACTTAAAATATACTCTCAACAATTTTCAAGAATACAATACATTGTTGTTAACTATAGTCACCATATCGTGCAGTAACATTTATTGTACTGTGCAAGATTTTGGATATAAGGATATGAACTAGCCAGGCATTGGCTTAATTGACAGGAAACTTGAGACAACGAAAAGCTAAGGAAGAAAATGCAAAAGAAAAGGAACTGAAAATGACAAGGAGCATTATGAAGGAAAAATACCAATCACGGAATGTAGACTAATGGAGCAGGGTCCTGCAGATAAGATATGAGTGTGAAAAGGAGCTTTGGAGGGAGAATTCCAGTCAGAAGAAACAAGCCTGTGAAGGTCTCATGAAGGGAATGCATTTGAAGGCTTGAAAAATGTAAAGGAAGCCAGTGGTAAAAAGCAATGTGAATGAATGGAATAAGGATGAAATATATCAACCAATTAATATTTGTGGACCCTGCACACATTGAGAACAAGAAACTAGATAATCTCAAAGATTTCTTGAGATTAAAAAAACAAGCTGTCTTCTATATATAAAATAGCCTGAATCTCTAACCTGGTAGATGTATTTAGTAAAAATGTCACCATAGTTGTGACCAGAATGATTCAGTAAAATAATTGGAATTTGGTGTAGGTGTTCTTTAAGTTCAATTGAAAGAAGCTCTGCACACTTTAAATAAATTCAGAATATGTAAAAAGAAAATGCAGTTTGTTTTTGTCTCACAGTGAGACAAAGAATATAACTGAAAAGTATTCTTACTTGCTATTGAGCCAAATCAAGCTGAGAAATGTGAGAATTGGGGAATATGTTCTCTTTTAAACAGACCAAAAAAGCACTGCTTCATAAATATTTGGAGCAGAGTATAAGAATAAAGCTTTGGAATTCTATTCAAGTGGTCTCTGCCACAGTTTACCAGTCAAGCAAATGGGCATATGAAAATGTATACTTTTTTGTCAAAAATCATTTTGTAGCTATTTCTTTTTCATTATGATTTACAAAGAGATTGAAATCTCCACTGGAGTTCGGGATAGAAGGGGTGGGTCATTAGGTTTCTGCCTCAAGGAAATGGGTCTCAGCATGCCACCAGCAGAGCTCAAATAGTGGTAATAAGGTCATCAATTATCTTGGCCTGGATATAGTTTGAAACCCTGGGAGGTGAAACATACACCCAGAAAAAGATAAATTACCTTTCTGTGGGATTAAGCACCATCATCATGGAAGACAGGTGGCTTGAGCGTCTGTCGTACACACCCTATGAAAATGACTCCAAAGGATTAAAGGTGAAAATCAACATTCCATTCTCTGAGAAATGGGATTGTTTAAATGCCCCGAACCTGGAACTATTTCCTGGACACCCAAACAATATTTATTTATGTTGATATGTAATTTTTTCCCAAAATTTAAAAAATTAATAATAATAATTTGCTTATTTGGGTTGTATTTATTGCTATATAAACAGGTGTATTATTTTTGACAAATATACATACAAACACGAGTTCAAGGCAAAACAAACAGACAAACAAGCAAAACAATTTTAGGAGCCACAAAGAACGTGAAAAATTAAATTCATTAAAGCAGCAAATTAAAACACCATCTTAAAAAGCCACTACCCTGAAATGCACCCCCTTGGGGGACACATCAATTTAAATAAATGGGCTATGTATGCTGCCCTAAACTCCTCCAGAGCAGAGTGGTCAGAATATTCCATAAGGGTCTTAGCAAGAAGGCCAGTTCTCTGGGGATGCACTCTGACCACTGGGATCTGTCCTCCACTAATTACTTGAGAAGTAGTGATTTCCCTCAGGTCTCATTGTATTTACACACAAACTCTCACTACTTAGCACCATGCCACTTACATTTAACAACATGCACATGTTGTTAATGACTTACTTATCCTTTGTGTCAGTGCACTCTGTCCTTAGAGGGCTGTTTGGCTTTAATTCTATTTCACATTGCTAACTTCAAAGGACCAGGGACTTGCTGATAAATATGCAGAGGTATGAAGGAGCCTGCTGGTGCTGACTTGCAAGAGCAGAAACTTAAATTTTTAGGAATTTGGTGAGCCAGTTTTTAAACAACATCATTATTAGCAATTACATTATATAAATATTCAGTTAAATATGTTATATTAAAAATGAGCATATTAAATACAACTTACCACTCCCTAATAATTTTACTACATTCCACTATTATCTATGCCCTTGAAGTTATTTACATATTTTTATCTGTATACTAGAAATACTGTATCATGATGCATTTCTTACCAGCTGGACCTTTAGTGTTGTCACATTAATAGTTTGAAGTAGACTATGGTGGGTGTATTTACACCACAGATATCAGCAAACATTGCAAAGCAGAACCCCTACCAACTCTCTTCCACAAAGCCATTTATTAAAGACTTACCAACGCGTCATGGCATATATGCTTTGTACAATGACTTACCTGAGACAAAATACCAAAAAACCTTAAGCATTGCCTTTGATAATAACACTGGCATCATCAATAGGTCACCTGAGCTCTCTCCCCAGCAAGTGTGCATGAAAGGTGGATGAATAGAGGGGTCTAGAGAGCTTGCTTTGTGAACTGTACTCCACTCATGTCAGCTCTGTCAAACCTCACCAAAAAGGAGGAGTAATCACATTTTGCAAATGCATTAATTGAAGTATATAAAGATTTATAATGTACTAATATATTGAAGGGTATCTGGCTAAAAGGTAGCAATGCCTGAATCCTCAACCAGAGCAGACTTCTTGATAATGAACTCTTTTCCACCATGCCACACAGAACTTCAGGGTTGTTGACTCTAATCAAAGTCCCAAACTTAGAAAATTAGCAACCTAAAATTCTCATTTTATCTCAGATAATCTGAACAAACACATATAGATGCATCTAAAAAATCAAGAGGGGGCAGACATCATGTGGCCTTCTCAGGCAAAAAACAAAATAGATGATGTAACAAACACATAGAAAAAGCTCCCAGAGAATGCAGAATGATCCCAGAGAATGCAATGGAAATGCTGAATGATATAATTTGAATATTTGTCCCTGCCTAAATCTCACATCAAATTGTAATCCATAATGTTGGAAGTGGGGCCTGGTGGGAGGTGATTCGACCATGGGAATGGACCCCTCATTGCTTGGTGCTGTTTTCACAACAGTGAGTCAGTTCTCATAAGATCTGGTTGTTTGAAAGTATGTGGCACTACCCCCCCACTCTCTCTTGCTCCTGCTTTCGTCATGTGAAGTGCCTGCTCCCTCTTTGAGTAAAAGCTTCTTGAGGCCTCCCCAGAAGCAGATGCTGAAAGTACGTTTCCTGTACAGCCTGCAGGACCATGAGCCAATTACACCTCTTTTCTTTTAAATTATCCAGTCTCAGGTATTATTTTACAGAAATTCAAGAACAGCCTAATACACTGAAGAACTCATCTTCAAATACATTCTATTACTTAGAGAATGAAATAACAGCAGAAAAGCGTATAAAGCTATTTTCATGCTAAAAGGGCTCGATGAAAACTTTGCATACATTTGTAATTTTTCATTTTCCTCCTATGGTTATATTATACCTGCTATAACAAAAGAAGACTGTTCATATTGAAATAATGCTGAAAATACCATTCCCCAGGAAGTTGGTACTAATGTCTATCCTTTACTCTTTACAGAATAAGTATGTAGCAAGCATTCATGCTAAATGCCAATGTACTTGAAAACTGACATGTTGATTATCATGTTTGGATATTATTCATTTTATTTATCTTTGAAAATACAAACATGCAGGCCCATTCTATAAATATTATCTCCATTGGAGAGCTACTACTAATAAAAAAATCTACATTTTTTTGGCTACTAAATGCTCTGAAACTCATTGTACATGCAGTATGTATTATAAAAATATTTTTTTTTCAGTACACACAAAGGACGATTGGGAAGAAGGGAGAGGCAGGGAGAGAAGGGGGTGGAAAGATGCAATTAGAGCTATGTTGGTTTGGCAAAGCCCCATCGAGCAGCAAGCTTGAGACTTTTTTTTTTTTTTTTTTTTTTTTGGCCAAACCACTCCAGGCTTCTTGGGGGTCTTCTATCTGTTAAGAGGGCTTCATTCCAATAAGTATCTTCTGTAGTAGGAGGAAAATAAAGATATAAAAGAATCACCAAACTAAAACCAACATGTGAGTGCACACATTGACACATATACACATAACCTGGGTGGTAAACACACTCAATGGGAAATATTTAGCCTTGAAGGAGATAAAACTGAGTCTGAGAATCCCACTTATGGCAGGTTAAAATTAACAAATCATCAACAAAGAGTAACCTGCAATAATGTACTATGGTTTTGAAAGTGGAAACATTAAATCGGTATCTTAATATTACCTATATATTGTCCCAGCTAGGATTATGATTGAAAGCAAAACATTTTTATAACAGGTTGTACAATGGTTTATGCATGCTCATGGAGGTGCACCAAATTGGATTTTGAAAAAGACATATGTGCCCCGAAAAGCAAAAAGGTCAATTTTTGCCATTAGGATGTAAACACCATCTTTATAATTGCCATTATCACTATTATCACCACCAAGAACAATATCATCACCATCACCATCATCATCATCACTAGCAATTCCTGAAAGTTACTAAGTCAAACAAAACTGTTTTGGTGTAAAAATGTGATTGAGTTTGCTTGCATATTCCTTTTAGTTGAGAGATGGAGCCACATCGAACTGCATTAGTGGATCTCAAACTTATCTACACATTACACTCACCTACCAGAAGTTTAAAGCAATATCTAATAAATTACTAATCTAGCCTGTTTTTTTTTTCATGGCCATACTGAGGAAACAACCAGAAAGGTGAAGAAGTATTGGATTTTGAATTTATTTGAGTGTGATAACTACAGCTAAATGCAAACTTACTGAGTTATTTCTCCTACTTTCCCTGAGTGGTGTCCAGAACTCCTTTGGAGCTTTTGTTCAGGTGGGTAGTAGGCCTGCCTCTTTCTCACCTCTGTCCTGCCACTTAATTTGAGACACATAAAGTAAAAAGTGATCACTTTTCTAAGAATACCAGCAGGTAAGAGGATCAGAAGTAGGGCTCTAATAATAAAATAATAGAGAGATTTTAAAAATCATTTTGTTTTCTATTATGAGATATCATAGATATTATTATTAATATGTCATAGCTTTACACTTGAAGGCTTTGTAAATAGTTACTAAATTCTATTAATAATTACAGTGATAATTATTTATTAGTCTTAAAAATAAAAAAAGGTTTAACAAGATCAGTTTAAACAATTAAGCATAAAGTGTGAATGCATAGGGATGGCAGCTGGATGGAGATAGGATTGTTCAACACTGTTGCTTTCTCAAATTTCTTTTTTTTTTTTTTTTTTGAGATGGAGTCTTGCTCTGTCATCCAGGCTGGAGTGCAATGGTGTGATCTCAGCTCACTGCAACCTCCGCCTCCTGGGTTCAAGCAATTCTCCTGCCTCAGCCTCCTGAGCAGCTGGGACTACAGACGCACACCACCACACCTGGCTAATTTTTTGTGTTTTAGTAGAGATGGGGTTTCACCGTGTTGCCCAGGTTGGTTTCAAACTCCTGAACCCAGGCAATCTACCAGCCTCGGCCTCCCAAAATGCTAGGGTTACAAGTGTGAGCCACCGCGCCTGGCCACTTTCTCTAATTTTTAACAAAAAGCACGCTGGTTTGAAATAGCGTTTTAGTGAACAAAACTTGAAGACAGCAATGGCTTTAACTGGTCTCTGAATACTCTAAGTGGGCATCTTGAGTCACTGCTAAAATGATATTTTTTAAATGTAATACTGAAGAAGCTGATTCACTGATTAGAATTTCCCTTCTTCTGCAAGATTATTATGAACTCTGTGCTTATTCCTCTCTTGTCAGCAGGGACCATCCCTTGAACTCACAGTGCACACATAAAAACTCCATGTGCTGAAATGCACACATTTGAATTCCATGCATTGAAATGCACATATGTAAACTCCATGCACTGAAATGCATATATGTGAATTCCATACACTGAAATGTTGAGCACTGGACCTGCTCACTGTCAAAGCCTCCAAACAGCCATTTTCCTCTGCCTGGAATTAGCAAGTTCTTGCTCCTTTCACCTATACAGTTAACTCCAAAGAAAGTGCCATCTCCTGTTTGGGATGTGGATGAAAAAAAGGTTCATCATCCATTTCCTCTTCAGTGTTCCCCCAATTGCTTAATGTATATCTAATGTTAATATTTGTTTACAATTCAGACTTACCTACTAGAATACAAATTCTATGAAGGTAAAAATGTTATGTTATTCATGTAGTTTTCTCCCAATGCTTACCACTTAGGCTTAGATGCATATTTATTGGATAACTGACTAAAAATATAAAAAGTACACAAATAACCTATTAGACAGTAACTAATAATTCAAGAATAGAATAAGCACATTGTATATGCACTTTGGGAGTTATGATTACCTCACGGAATGCTATTCCATTATGACTAAATTATAAAATTATAAACATCTTCTGGATATGACACACTTGATGGAGATGTTCTAGGTCAAAGCCAGAAGTCTAAGACATTAAGAAATTTAGCAGGGGAGACAACATGTACTTCTTGATATTTATATTAAGAAGCCACTTAGGCCGGGTGTGGTGGCTCACGCCTGTAATCCCAGCACTTTGGGAGGCCGAGGCAGGCGGATCACCAGGTTAGGAGACTGAGACCATCCTGGCTAACATGGTGAAACCCCGTCTCTACTAAAAATACAAAAAATTAGCCGGGAGTGGTGACGGGCACCTGTAGTCCAAGCTACTCGGGAGGCTGAGGCAGGAGAATGGCGTGAACCCGGGAGGCAGAGCTTGCAGTGAGCCGAGATCACGCCACTGCACTCCAGCCTGGGCGACAGAGTGAGACTCCATCTCAAAAAAAAAACAAAAAAAAAACACAGTCAGATAAGATATTACTTAGCATTAAGAATACATGTATCAAAAAAAAAAAGAATACGTGTATCACTTTTCTATATGCTCTTTCCTCTTTCCATTTTCTTCTACACGCATTTGTTCAGTTAATTGTGTTCAATGTCAGCTGTATCAATGTCAACTGCAGAAATATCAGCACAGCAAGGATACCATTTATGAAATTAGCATTTAACTAGTTCTCCAAATACCACCATTGCTATGATTTATTTTAGCATGTGGCAAAATGATGATGATGACAGATGACAACTCTCATTTTGGAAATAGATATCTAACAAGTCATAGGTCAACAAACAAATTATTTTGTTCATTTCTTTTGCTCATAAAATTGCCCAAACTAATTATTTCCTGTTTTGTAGAAATAATATAAATCACAGAATCATACATAGAATGATAAGATCATCTAGGGTAATCTTTGCATTTTACATCTGAAGAAACTGAGGGCCAGCAAAGCAATGGGACACATCCAGGGACACAAAGTGTGGTGAAAAAAGGGTTAAGACAGGTAGCTCTTGATTTCCAAGTGAGTATCTTTTAAGGTGCCTAGAACATTCTTAGATATTAATACAATCCAATGTACACACTACTGTCATCAAATCATTTCAGGTTCTTTCATTTACTATATTTTTTCTGTCATTAAACAAAACATTAATTTGACCAGTCCTCATTTCTATTTTAATATCTTAGTTCTATAGGAAATAAACTGGAACACAAGAGAGATTTGATGGAAATCTCACTCTCCCTCACAACTTACTTCCAAGAGAATATGCCCCTGCTCCTTGAGCCTTCTATATGGGACCTAGGTTAAAAAATCCAGTTATTTTGTCCTCAACAGATGCAGATTTGACCACAGGTGGATACTTAAAGAAAAAAAATTATTGGCTGGGCAGGGTAAATTATCTTTTTTTCAGTTGATAAATTGAGATGAAAATTTGTGGTGCTCTGCACTTCTAACGTCCTGTGGAGTTGAACAGAAAGATAGCATCATTTATTCATTAATTCAGAAAACATTTTATTGAGAGCTTGCTACGTGCTAGGCACTCTTCTGAGCAATTGGGACACATTGGCAAATAAAAGAGATAAAGATCTATACCCTTGGGAACTTACAATCTAGTGGGAGAGAAATAGATAATAAACCATACACTTAATAAATAAGACATGATACAATATATTAGAAAGTGATAAAACCTACGAAACAAAGGAAAAACAAATGGGATAAGCAAAGCCAAGACTCTTGGGGTAGGGAGGGGAGGAGTCACAGGACATGAAGATATAAGAAAAGATTTAAAAGATATAAGAAAGATTTATCCAAGAGAATATATTATGAAAAAAAAGCCCCAGGTAGAGGGAACTCCCAATAGTAAGTGTCCAGCCTGACCTGTTCTGGGGACTTCAGCAAAGAGGCCAGGGTAAAAGGAGTAGAGGAGGCAGGTAGGAAAACAGCAGTGACGAAGCAGAGAAAAAATAGAATAGATAGCGTATGATATTGTGTGCAAAATTTCTCATATATGTCAAAAGTAAGAGGCAGAAGAGAAAAACTATTTGGGAGAGAAGAGAATGAAATTAATATGCTGAAAGAGGCTGAGAAATTGCAACCCTAGAGTGGGGAAGCTACTGTGAGTCTTGGTCACATTTTTCACAATTTGGATATTTCAGATTACCCGCTATTCTACTAATAGCCTTTTATTCCCTGGAGTTGGCTACAGAAGGTTTAGCAACAAGAAGACCTGGAATAGGTGCTATTAGTCTTAAACAAATATAATAAAAATGGCTAGTATAACATGAGTTTTTCATACTCAGAAAGCATATACCAGAACAGTATCTATAACAACATAAAACTGTAGAATAACATTAAGGTGGATATTAATATATTGAATACATTTTAAAATAATATTTAAAAAGTATTTTTCAAAGTTAATTTCTGATGGGCTATTAACATGAGAAACATGAGTGTTTAATGCAACCAAATTTATATACATTAAAATGACACAATTTCTGCATTAACGTTACAAACAAATAAACGATCCAGGCTATCATCTTGGCAGAGGATATATGTAGGCAGCTTTGATCCAGTACAAACTAACCTTTTGGAGATAATGATGATGAGGGAGCCACAATAGGACAAAATGGCTGAAAGCCTGTATATAGACTGAAACAATTAAAATAAACACTGGGAAAACTCAAAACGCCGCCAAAAAGAAATATGATTCTTAGAGGTAATTCCCTTCTGAGATAAAAACAAGTTGAGCAGAAAAGAGAAAAATAATTAACTAGTTAACTGAGCTTTTGTTAACATTTCTGCAAAATAAAAATCTTCAAAAGGTCCTGCCCAGCACAGATATCTATGCGACACCCAAGCACATTTACAAACTCACCAAAATCTTATATGAAAGTTTTTTTTCAAAGATAACCATTATGAACCAAACCAGTAAAGCCCCAAAGAACAGAACATGGATAAACTCTGGGGGTCAGGAAGTGATTCTTGACTAAATAAGAAAAAAGTCTATGGATTCCTAAGAAGAAGGAATCTCAGCCCTCTGTGTCTAAAGAGAAATGAACAAAAAACACGAACTTAATTTTTATAGCTTATAGAATTTTTTAATTATAAGAAAACCACAAGATAGCACAAAACAAAACAAGAAAAGACCATCACAAATTTCTCTCTATTCTAATAAGAAAACTATAACTCAGAGAGATTAGAGAGGGTTGTTCAAGGTCATACAACTAGTGACAGAGCTGGGATGTAACCTATGGTCACTTGATACTCATTGCAGAGTTACTTTCCCTAAACACACAATTCTTTAGAGCTTAACAGCACAGACCTCACGCAACTCCTGATCACTAAGTCAACTGCCCCATAGCAATGTTCTAGCTCTACATGGCTTACACTGAGAAGTTCAACATAGAGGATAAGGAAAATTAAACTAAAAATTGACAAAAAAATTAAAATTCTGAAATATAATAAATACAAAAACCACTGAAGTAGCCAAAGATAAACATTAGTTGGAACCCCATCCTGAGTCTTGGCTTCAAATGAAGGGAGTTTCCAGAGAAATGTAGAGAGAGATCACACTGGGACCACGTTTTGAAACCTCCCATCTTTTTGGTCTGAGAAATTTGCATGTGCAATTACTACATTTGCATGCCTAATTACACCACAGGAAGACACACATGCCAATTGGCATTTGAAAATGTGTTAACTGCACACACAGAAGGGTGGCCCTTTAAAATGTTGGCCATAAGAATCTATTCATTAGGAATGGGTCATGTGAGTCACACTGGGGAGAGAAAGATGGTCCATTTTGAAGCGATCTGAGCATATTCAGTTTGGATGCAAACAAGGAGAATTGATTGATGCACAAGGAGAGGAAATACTGGGTTTTGAGTAAGTACTTTGGAAACCAGCAGAATCCACAGGGAAAGCATTTCAGGCATTAGCTAATTGGATTAGCTGTGGTGTTTTCTGTCGATCCTAAGGAATTTATAAGCTATAGATTAAAATCATCAAACAACTCTGGTCACAGAGGTGAGGAGCTTCTTTTATTGTGCTAGTAAACATTTAGTCCTGTGGACTAGACTATAAGTATATTCAGTCTCCTGCCTCATCTAAAGCAGATGAAATATATTCCATGGAGTCTGGAGCATATGTTTTTTTTTTTTCTCCTTCATTTGTAAACAAAAATCCTGGGAGAAAACAAATCATAACTTTGAATGCTTCATAGTGGTAGATTACAGATTGCCTGTTCTCCCAGAATTGTGTAATTTCCCCTCAACAGGAAACAATGGGATATTTCCTCAGCTCTGGATAGCTCTATTGAGCAGCTTTCTCTCTCTCTGCTGTGCAAAAATAATAATTTGAAGATTCTTGCAGAGTCATATATAACCTTTGGAAATACACCAGTAATTGTGAATTAGTAAATGCCTTAGGATATAACAGTAAAACATAGGTTGAGGGCATGAACTCCAAACATGATGTGAGCTGGTGTCAAAAAAATATCTGGTTTTAAACACCCTGAAATTCCACTGTGGGGAGTTTATTCTGGACTCTTCAAATATCATTTTGGAGCTTAGATCAATGGATTTAGAGTTTCATAAGCAAGCCATGGACACATTCTATTGATTAAATCATTTAAAATGGAAAGGGAGAAACTGAGTGGTGTTTTAATACTCCTTTCCTTTGAAATCCTCTGTGTATCATATAAATGGCTTTCTGTAGTGACTTTATGTAAACATTTATTGTAGCCTATCCTCCCAGAGGTCAAAGATACATCTTTTCAGATGAGAACCCAGCAGAACTTTATTGTCCACATCATCAAATTTTATTCACCTAGTTACACTAATTAAAAAATAACAAACTTCAGGATCATCACAATGCTGTCTTCCTAAACTCAATTACTGCCTAACTTACCTCCAAAAAAAAAAAAAAAAATCTAAAACAAGCATTGCAATTCATACACACTACTTTAGTACTCTCTTATAAGGGCATAATGAAATAATTGAAGGAACACTGTTCTGGGAATGTACAGACAGAAAGTCTATGAATGGCTACCATGACTTCTTCCAGTCCATGCTCCTCTCAGATGTAATCAATACTTTTTAACATTCATGCCCCATTTATGTGTCTCTACTTGAGGACTATCTTCCCTGAACACCATATGGAAAGTAGCCACCTTGCGCCTGAACCCTTACTGATTAACACTATATTTGGTTCCGTGGCCTTCCTAGTAATTTTCTGGCTCTAAGATGATCTGTTTTTTGGTGTGTATCTTGCTCACTCAAACTACAAGAAGGTGATTTCCAGGACACTAGAAATGAAATCATTATTTTCTTTTCTTTGTAATCCACATCTCCTAGAGCAAAGCCTGATACACATTATTCCTATGGATGTTTGTTCAATGACCCCCTTGGGGATCTATTAAATACTGGGTAATTTTTCAAGCATTATCCCATCTAATCCTCAAAACAATTTCATGGGAAAATACTGTAAAAGAAGACCGAGATTTCTATAATTTGAATATTTTGTACAAATTAACATAACTAATAAGTGGGGGAGTTGGGTTTTGCTCTCAGACCTGCCCTACTACAGACACTTTCCATGAGCATACTGTTGATTGTGTCCCTATCTGTGTCATGATTATAAGAGTAGCTCTAGATAAATAATATGGCCAAATATTAGTTATTTACCCCCAAAAAGGAAGGCTTTGGACTAGATGTATTTTTAAATTCTCCACTGTTGTGGAAGTAGAAATCCATGACTTTATTATTCCACTTTTCTCCATGACAACTATCATAAATATTTTACATTTCTAAGGGGCAGATATGCCTATTCAAAGGGCAAATACACACCTTGAGTTTTTCGAAATTAATTAAATTTAAAGTAAGAGCTTTAATATAAAAGTGACCTTTTTATATCGAAGTTTATTAATTCATAACTCTTCCCCTAAAAGTGATGAAAATAAAGACATACTTTTGCCAAAACAAGCAGACTTACAAAAGGAGTGGTGATTCTGAGGCTCACCATCAAACATGCAGAACCTTAGTGAAATTATATGAATGTCAGAGCCTCTTTTGTTCTTAGATAAATTTTAGTTAAAATCAAATGTAATCTTATAAGGGCTGTAATATCTTCCTCATTTTTCAAGCATGTTATTGCCAATGCTGTTTGATTTTTATATGATTCCAGTTTTTAAAGAATAGTTAGACTTGTTATCAAAATTTTGATTGTTTTGAAAATTCTGTTTGCTAAAAATAAATACCAAAATGCAAATAAGTTTGCCCTTTTCACTTTCATTAAACTCTTGTATAAGGAAATATACAAATTTTAGTATAACTTGTGATACTCTATGAAGTTTGTAACAAAGTTTTTGAAAGTTAATTGGAAGCAATTATTGATTTTTAAAAAGCTCACTTTGTCCAACAGTTTTCTCTCTCTTGCTCATTTCCTTATGTAAAAGAATTTAACCAAAGAAAGCCAGCATTCTAATTCAATTTCTCCTCCAAAGTATATAATTTTATTTTGTCATAATGGCTGCTTTTATTTCCAGGGTCAGATTTTATTTAAATTTCAGTCCATTAGGAACAAAAACTTGCCATTTTCGGATAAACAAAATCAGCAGGGGAGCCTCTTCAAAAGAGAAATGTATTTCCATCGACCTTTGTTTTATTTGATCTAAATGACAGGTATATACCACTTTTCCTGTGTTTACTTTTAAAGAATCTTAAAAAAAAGGGGGGTGACATTTTTAACAACAAAACTAGCAATCACCCTAGTAGTCCTGTGACAGGCAGATGGAAGAAATGATAAAAAGATGTAATCCATTGCTTTAGACCACCAAAGAGGCCTAATATGAGTCATTAGCAGAAAACCGTTAATTTTCTTTTTTCCCTATTCTGACTGTTGTTTGTAGAAGTGCTCAACCTCTTAGGAATTGGAACATTTAACTGTTTCTTGCTATTTTGCAAGATGGAGGCCAAAGCATTAAGAGAAGGGAATTAAGCAATATGCCATTACATAGTTTAAGAAATCTGAGTGATATAGATAACATTTTAGAGCCTCTTAGGTTGAACTTGATAATAGCTAATGAGAAGAATTAACACTAGTAGAGCACTTTAAAGATTATAAAGGGCCTTCACAAACAATATCTAATTTCCTGGACATCCTCCCAAAAATCCAACTCTCAGAAAATCTATTTCCTTGAACATAGAGAACTAAAACCCAGGTCCTCCTATTTCAAATTCAAGACTATGTTAATCCACACAAACTAATAAAAATATGATGATGTTCCAATCTAATATGGATGAAAGCAGTCACTTTCCCCAGGTTTGTCTGGCAAAACACCAGTTCTCCATGATGCTAAAAGGCATCAATTATGGGGGGAAAGATTCATGGATATCTATACCTGTATAACTTATTAAGGTAAACACTCTTTTCTGCAGGATATCTCAGAATATTTAATATCTAATATGCACTGATTATGGCCAAGAGATTGATTTAATATGTGGTCCTTTTCAACTTAAAATGATCAAGAAAACTTTTACTCTGAGGTTCTCTAAGAACTAACACTAAGGGAAACCCTCGGTGAATTCTTTTCCAGAATGCTTTAATATTTTGAAACAGTCTTTTTCCCTATCCCTTGATATAGGTCCTATAGACATAGAGTGATAGATACATATATTTTTTATATATATATACACACACACACACAATGTATGGCTATCTAGGTATACAAAACTATATATGTATTATATATGTAAACACATATAAATATACACTATATATTTATACATGTGTGTATGTCTGCATGTGTGCATATTTTTTTCTCATTGTGAAATTCATGTATTCATTGTTGACTGGCTTTTCTGCCAATAATCTTGGATATGTAAATGTTTTCCAATCACTCTGATATGACATGTAATTAGCAATACACTTCAAAGCACTATAAATCTTAGTGCTTTTCAGTCAATAAAATTGTGTCAATTACTGGCTATGTTTGATTTTGAAATGTTTATTTTAACAACTTTTACGTTAAGTAACCAATTTTTTTGCATAATTATCTGACTCTGATTTAAAACCCTGATTTTAAATGTGAAGCATGAAGGTTACTTCTGAAAGATATGATTGCTTTACTTACAGAGTCAAGATACTGAACGCATGGAAATTCCATTAACTTTACTCTGTATGATGTATTCCTGAAGTTCTCAAAAGACCAGATCCAGCCTCACAATATCTTTAAAAAAAAAAAAAAAAGGTAGAGCAAATAAGTTGTTCCCTTATCTGAGGCCACTTGTTATGTATTGATTATTTTCTTGTTTTGTTTATATGTATTGATAATGCAGAGATTAAAGATACCTTGTTTCTTGAGATCAGAACAGGAACAAAATGAAATCTTTGGAAAATATTTTCCCAGTTTGCAATTATCTTTAGAGCTATCTCGTTATTCAAGGTATTATAAAAATATTATACTAAGTAAGTAACATTTTATTTCTGTTACCTTTTCCACCATACATAGGGGTACCAATTTAAATATGAAAAAATGTAACATTAAATATTTATGGGGAAGTCTGAATGAAGCTATGATCTTTTCTTTCAGTTTCATAACACTCATAATATTTTTAACAGTCAGTTCAGTATTCAGTAAGTCAGGCCATTAAAACTTTTGAGCGGTAAAATCCTTGGTTTTAAAACACTGTGAAAAGCAACTGGCTGGAAAAATAAGCTCGCTCTTAAAAGTTTACAAGACGTTGCTAATGGGAAAAATATAATCCTTAAAATGTAAGCTGAAAACAAACTCATGGATGATCACTTCACAGCAGTCTAAGGGAATCTAGAGATCTTTGGGAAACCCACACAATTTTGCCTTTAATGAGATGAAGTATTTCTTGCTAGAAACACCATTCCAGTCAGGGTAAACAATAAATAACAAGTCTCCTGTATTCCATCACATCTGAACACCATATTTTACCAGTTTGGTCATAAAAACTAGATACTAGATCAATAATGAAACTTGTATGAATACCATTTCTAATATTTCTGAATAAATTGAAAAGACCAGATGGTCATATTTGAGCTTTCTATATAACAATTTCCCACTGACAGCTCTACTATAATTTTTAAATATAGAGAAAAATAAATCAAACTGATTCTCTCATATATTTTCAGTAAATTAAGACTTTGCAAGTAATCTAATCCAGTGGTTCCTAAACAAGTACAATTTTCCCATTCCTTCCACCTGAAGATATATGGCAATGTCTACATTTTTGGTTGTCACAATTTGGGAGTGCTACCAGCTCTAGCGAGTAGAAGGTAGAGATGCTGCTAAACATCTGACAATGCAAAAGACAGCTCCCACAACCAAAAATTACCTGGCCCAAAATGTCCTTAATGCCAGGGCAGATAAATTCTGCCCTACGTACACAAAGAATATTGGGAATTTAAATATTTAATTTTACAAAAACTTTTCCCCAAAGAGATTAAGGTGCCTAGGGGAAAAGTTCATCAAAGAAATAGAACGTCCCGCATATATCACTGTGCAAACAAAGTGTAAATAAAAACTACTTTATATCAAAACCAGGAAGAAAGTGAGAATGAAGTTCCATAGTGTATGGTCTAAGTCTGGGAAACAGTGGTGAGTTTTCACTTGCTAAGCAACTATCAAAGTGACTTATTCTTTAAGCCAATGTTAAGGCTCAAACTTTAACTAACAACAAAATTATTCCTGCTTAATCTTAGGGAGTCCATGTATTGAATGCTTTTTTTTTCTCTGTTTAAACTAGAAAATGCCTTCAATTTGTGCTTTACTTAGTTTTCTGCCATTCACACTTTAGGGTGTTTAATGCAATATGATAGATTTATTTTTAAATGCTTTTAGTTTGCTTTTCAATTTAATGATTTGTTACATTATTTACAGGCTAATTTAGTGAACCTACATAAGATTAATTACATTGTCTTTTAGGACACATGACAAATCATTAAAAAGTGATAAAACCAGGCAACTGAGAAACAAGCAGCTTGTAACATATGAATGGGATTTCCAGTACCATTTATTAGTGCACATTTTGGTTATATTTGTTACAAGATCTAAAGTAATACTAGCTCAGAATTGAACATGGGATTGCACAATATTTGAAAGTAAAATACCTGGATAATTCAATAGATTAGAACAGAGTAATAAATTTAGTTTTGTAAGTAGAAGAAAACTGTGACATACAATTCAAAATAACCAGAGTCTTCAGTGTACCATTTCTTTTAAGAAAGAATGGACAAAGTTTTCTGTGAGAAATGTATTTATTTCTCAATTTAAAAATAAGTTTCTAACACGTGCATTTTTTTATCCATCTTGTGTTTTGGAATCTGGATAAGGTTCATGCTAATATGAAAGAAGGGTATGTGCAATAAAGTTGGATTCTACCATAAATTATGGGGGTGGTGTTCACCTTATATGATTAAATAATCTTGTCTTCTATATACATATAGGGAATGTTCTACAGGTAGGCTTCAGGCATGTTTTGGGTAGCATCAGGATTACTATAATGGAGTATATATATATATATATATATATATTAATCTGGACATTTAAAAGCAGCTACTGCTGCATGTCTCATTTTTTATTCCAATATATTTGAAGCCATGCATTTTACACCTATTTTCTAAACCTCTTTTAAGGCTCTAATGGGTGTGAAATAAGGCCAGCCACCTTAGTATGCTTAATGCGGAAGTACTGCCCTAAATGCCAGACTTTCAGTACTAAAACTGGGATAGTATTGGGCAGACAAGGATCACTGATCACTCTAGTTTGAGGTTTCTTAGTACAAAGTGTTGTGGAGGATTCCTGGAGTTGAGATAATTTAAAGTAGTATTGAAATAAAACCTGAGACCATCTACACATAACACAACTATAGAATGGGATTAGATCATTGCTCCAGGAGAGGGAGCAAAAAGAATCTATGAAAACTTGGATAACAGAGAAATCACCAGCTCTCTAGGTAAGGGGAAAGTCATGCAGTTATTTGGACTAAAATTTAAAGGATGAGTAATAAGCTGACCATTGCAAATGCAGAAAAGGACTCTCACAAAAGGAGAAAAAATTACTCATTATTTATCTAACATTCAGATTTAACTGAATGCCTTTTATTTTATATGGCAACTTTAGAAGAAAATGGACAAATAAAAAGAAATAGAAAGTAATTGTTTTTGGTTTAGAGGAAGTGAGTAGCTGGATTTGATTGGCACAATTGTTCTCAAAACTGACTACATGTTGGAATCGCATGAAGAGCTTTCTAAAATTTATATGCATTCAGAGTCACATCCATGGATTCTAATTCTATTAGTATATGGCAGGGCCCAACTGGTGATGTTTATAAAGCTCCCATCCTCAAAATTATACCCAACTCTTTTTTTAAGACTTTATTATTTATTTGTTATTATGGTTGTTTGAGATAGGGTCTTGCTGTGTCACCTTGGCTGGTGTGCAGCGACATAATCATGGCTCACTGCAGACTTGACCTCCTAGGCTGAAATGATCTTCCCACCTCAGCCTCCCAAGTAGCTGGGACTGTAGACACAAACCACTATGCCTGGCTAATTTTTTTTTTTTAATTTTTGTAGAAATAGGATCTCACTATGCTGCCCAGGCTGATCTTGACCTCCTGGGCCCAAGTAATCCTTCTCCCTTGACTCTCAAAGTGCTGGGATTATGGCGTGAGCAACTGCATCAAGCCCATTTTTAATAATTATTTATATTTTAAATTTATAATTGACACATAATAATTATACATATTTATGGTATGTAGTCTGATGTTCCAATGCATGTATACTTTGTATAATGATCAAACCAGGGTAATTACCATATCCATCATTTTAAACATTTATAATTTCTTCATAGTATAACTTTATTTTTTAGAGCAGTTTAGGTTCACAGCAAAATTGAGAGGAAGGTGCAGAGATTTCCTATATACCTCCATATACCCCTTTTCCCAAGTCATGCATAGTAGCCTCCTTCATTATCAGTACTCCCCACCAGAGTGGTATATTTGTCAGTTGATGAACCTACACTGACACATCATAATCACCCAAAGTCCATAGTTTATACCAGGGTTCACTATTACTGTTGTATATTCTATGGGTTTGGACAAATATACTGACATATATTCATTATTGTGGTATCAGAGCATTTTCACCGCCCTAAAATTTCTCTGTGCTTTGCCTGTCATCCCCCTCCCTACCTCAACCCCTGGCAACCACTGATACTGTCTCCATGATTTTGCCTTTTCTGGAATGTCATGCAATATTATATAGTCCATTCTCATGCTGCTAATAAAGACATACCCAAGATTGGGTAATTTAGAAAGAAAAAGAGTTTAATGGACTCACAGTTCCACATGGCTGGGGAATCCTCACAATCATGGTAGAAGGCAAAGGAAGAGCAAATGCACATCTTACATGGTGGCAGGCAAGAGAGTATGTGCAGGGGAACTCCCCTTTATAAAACCATCAGATTTGTGAGACTTATTCACTGTCACAAGAGCAGCACAGGAAAAACTTGCCCCCATAATTCAATTACCTCCCACTGGGTCCCTCCCATGACTTGTGGAGATTATTACAATTCAAGATGAGATTTGGGTGGGGACACAGCCAAACCATATCAAGTTTGTAGCCTTTTCAGATTGGCTTCTTTTACTTAGTAATATGCATTTAAGGTTTCTTTATGTCACTTCATGGCTTAACAGCTATTTTTATTTTTAAGTGCAGAATAGCATTCCATTGTTTAGATGTGCCACAGTTTATTTATTTATTCACCTCCTGAAGGGCATCTTGGTTGTTTTCATATTTTGACAATCATATCTAAAGCTACTATAAACATCCATATGCAGGTTTAACATTTTCAACTCCCCTGGTATATATCAAGAAGCAAGATTGCTAAATCAGACAGTAAGAGTATGTTTATGTTTGTAAGGAACTGCCAGACTGTCTTCCAAAGTGGTTACAGCATTTTGCATTTCCACCAGCAATGAATAAGAGATCCTGTTGTTCTACATCTTCACCAGCATCTGGTGTTTTCAGAGTTCCAGATTTTGGCCATTCTAATAAATGTGTTAGTGGTATCTCATTGTTATTTTAGTTTGCATTTCCCTGATTACATATGATGTGAAGCAACTTTTCCTATGCTTGCTGGACAACTGTATATCTTCTTTGGTGAGGTGCCTGTTACAGTCTTTGGCCCATTTTTTAATCAGATTATTTTCTTATGTCAAACTTTGAATTTTGTGTATAATTCAAATAACAGTCTTTTGTCAGATGTGTCTTTTGCAAGTATTTTCTCCCAGTATGTGGCTCCTTTTCACATTCTCCTGGCATTTTAAAAGAGCAGAAGTATTTAATTTTAGTGAGGTCAAGCTTATCTATTATTTCTTTCATGGATCTTGACTTTGGTGTTGCATCTAAAGTAATCACCATATCCAAGGTCATCTAGGTTTTCTCTTATGTTATCATCTAGTTTTATTGTTTTGCATTTTACATTTAGGTCTATGATTCATTGTGACTTCATTTGCATGATCATTGTAAGGTCTGTGTCTAGATTCATGGTTTTACAAGTGAATGTCTAGTTGTTCCAGCAGTATTTGCTTTAAAAACTATGTGTTCGATTGTACTATCTTTACTCCTTTGTCAAAATCAGTTTTGTGTTTGTGTGTATGGGTCTGTTTTGGGCTCTATATTTTGTTCCATTGATTTATTTGTCTACTTTTTCACCAATGCCACACTGTATTGATTAAGCTTTGGCTTAACTAGAATAAATCAGACTGAGCCAATCTCAAGGTATTCTCTTGCAACTCCATCACAAAGTGTCTCAATTCTGGCAACATTTTTGGCCCAACATAATTTGGATTCTGTTTATGGTACCCTTTGTTATGTGTTTCCTCAAATAAGTTAGACTTAAAAGTGCATTGAAGAGTTAGTGTACGTGGGGTACAGCCCAGGTCACAGTGCTCTAGTCAACTTGAGTGCCACTTGCAGCCACAACAGGGCACAGGTTCTGAGACAGGATTAGATGTCGGGAACAAAAATAACACTTTTGAAATGTTAAGTCAGTGTTAAGCAAAAGTGTTTTTTACCTATAGGTTAGATAGATTTCCTTTAAACATTTCAATACCCAAATCTAGACAATTTATATAATTTCTTTTTAAATATTTAGTGGAATTCACCAGTGAACCTATATGGACCTAAAACTTTCTATTTTGATTCTTGAATTTTAGATTCCTGAAATTTTGATTATTGGTTATAAATCTTTCTTCCCTAATTATTGATTCAATTTTATTAATAGATAAAAGTTTATCAATATTGTCTATTTCTTCTTGTGTGAGTTTTGGCAGCTTGTGTCTTTAAAAAGATTGATCCATTTCATCTAGGTTATCAAATTTGTGGTTATAGAGTTGTTTGTAGTATTCCTTGTTTGTCCTTTTAAACTCTATGGGATCTGTAGCAATGCCCCCTCTTTCATTTCTGATATTAGTAATTTGTCCTCTCTCTATTTTTAGTGTGGCTTGAAACTTATCAATTTTATTGATTTTTTTAAAGAATGAGTTTTTTTAGATTTCCTATTTTCAATTTTATTGATTTCTGCTTTAATTTGTATTATTTCTCTTTTTGTACTTACTTTAAATTTAACTTGCCCTTTTTTAAATCATTTCCTAAAGTAGAAATTTAGATTATTGATTTTAGATCTATTTTTTCTACTACATGCATTTATGCCTGATTTTGACAAAGATTTGGGTGCAGCACACCAACATGGCACATGTATACATATGTAACAAACCTGCATGTTGTATATATGTACCCTAAAACTTAAAGTATAATAATAATTAAAAAAAAAAAAAAACAACTCAAGATCAGTGGGGGAGATGAACCAAAATTAGAAACCAACCTTCTTTTCTACCTTCTGTGCTGTTCTTAATAAACATTGCCCTCATTGAAAAAATTAAAAAATAAGAAAAAATCATAGTGAAGGAAGGGTAAAGTTTTCTACACAAATGGCTGAAGCAATTGGACATTCTAGGCAAGAAAAAAGATCCTCAACCTAAACCTCGCATCTTATTTAAATATAAATCCAAAATAGATAGAGGCTTAAGTATAAATAACACTACAAAAATTTTAGGAAAAATATAGGATAAAATCTTCAGAACCTAGAGTCAGGTAAACAGTTTTTAGACTTGACACGAAAAGCACAATCCATAAAAGAAGAAATTGATAAATTGGATCTCATCAAAATTTAAAACTGTTTCTCTTTGAAAGACTCTATGAAGATGATGAAAAGGCAGACTACAAACAGGAAGAAAGCTGTTAGCCATCTTGCTTAAATTTGCTACTCTTCTCACCTTTTCACCTGCTGTGACTAAGTTTGCTTGATTGTCCTGTGATTTGGTCAGCACTCATGCCTCCCTTCTGTGGGCAATACCTTGTACTTGTGGAACTAGGCTCTCTATCCTTCTTTCACATGGTGTAACAGTCAGGGCACCAGGAGGAGAAATAAATTCAAATTGCATAATTTGAGAAGTGTTCAATAAATTCTCTATGGACAAAAGTATAGCAAAAGTGTAGGGAAACCACAAGGGAAAATACAGCAATAGCACCAGGAGGTAAGCTCCCCTCTCCCCTTTATCCCAGAAGGGACAAAGAGAAGGAACTGTTACTAGAATACCGAATAAAGGAGGAATCTTCCACAGAATGATGCACCCAACCTAAAACAAGCGAGCAAGAAGAGAGATTGGAAATGCCTTGACTTCATTTTCCTTTCTTTCCCAGATTTCCTGCTTGTGTTCCCCACTGGTTAAACCTAACCAAAAGGCACAGAGCAAGGGAGCCCATTGACGTGGCCCATGGAAATCAGTAACCAGTGATCAATGAAGAGGCAGAAATGAGAATGGCTCAAATTATTATTACACCTACCATTTTTTGATTTCCAAAGCCATAAGAATGATCTCTGTTGATTTAGAGATATTAGTACATAAGAGAAAAATGTTTCAGCTGGGCTTAAATGTTATGATAACCTACAACTGGCATGTGCCATTACAGTGTGCAGAGCATTCTGTAAACCAGCCTTAATTTTTATTTCTCAGTTTACTCATTCCATAAAGCCAGGAATGTGGGTGGAGGTAAAGGAAGCAGAGGAATAAGAATAGGTACATTAGGAAATGATTTGCTTACTCATACAAGTTACAACCAGCTTTAGGATAGATGAGAATATAACCTATCACCTAAACCATAACCCTTTTGATCGATGAGTATATAACCTATCATCTAAACCATAACGTTTTTGAATGCTGAAATGGTAAACTGGATGAAATGCTTAGACAATAAGCACAAACTAAGACTTTCCTAGACAAATTGAAATGTGTAGTCTTTCTAGTCATGAATCATTTTCACTAGATGATCAACATACCTAACTTTATAGACTGTTGAATTATAATAAGCAAAGGTCACAGGGTTATTTGTTGTCTTATGGCCAAGTTAAATCTTACTAAGCAGAAGCAAGAAACGTTTCTGAAGGTGAGGATAGTTATTTTACAAAGAAGGCATGGTTTTCTCCTAACTTTAGGACCTTGAAAATAATTGTTTCTGTTTCGTATCCAGGCTTGCTACAGATTCAGTGTAGCATTCCAATATACTACAAACACTTCATGGAATACTGGTTTTGATAGATCATTATGGCTAAATGGCAGAGCTACTTTAACTGCAGTCTAAGTTAGCCAGATAGCCTTCTTCTAGTCAGTGATCTATTCCAAGATGACAGCTTTAAAGCTGTCAAAATGTCTCCCACAAATCCACCAAACACTGTACTTCTTTTTTAGTGGTAAGATGTGTGAGTTTCAACTACTTTTTTTTTTCTTTGTAGCAGATATTCCAATATCACCAAGACCACTGGCTGCCAGAAATTTCACAAAAATATCATGCTTCTTAATTTTCATGGGTTATCTTTCCCACTCTGTAACACAAAAGTGTCTCACTAAGACATCAAAGTCATACGCAATTTTCTGCTTCGCAGGTCTTATCAACATGATACCATATAGAGGGTTAGCATGATGCCCTTGATGTTAAGATTGTCAAAGTCTCCTTGAATTAAATCATGGTCCATATATATAGTATGTAAAACTTTGAGGCAAGATAATGAAAGTGTACTGCTATCTCTACCAGGAGGAAGCAAATTCTTTCTTGCTCTTCTATGCATATTGGATTAGGAAAAAGAAAATATATTTGTCTCATCAGTAACTAGATACTCAGTGCCAGAAGCTGTGTTGATTTGCTCTAACAATGAAATTGTATCTAAAACTTCAGTATACTTCTGGTTACATCTTGTTGAATGTACTCTAATCTCTAAGATTCATTTGTCTCCTATGTGGGACAAGCGGTCCAATTAAAGGAAGATATGATGGAGATTACGCCACTTTGTCTTTCAAGAATCAGTTGGTGGCACTAACTTGAGGATTCCCCTAGAAACATGATACTTTAATTTTCCTGGGAACATGATACTTTAATAACGACTCTAGGTCTTCAAGTTGACTATTCCAATCATTATAGTCTTTACTTCTGAAACCAATGTCAGGATTCTGCCAGTTGCTGAAAATATTTTCATCATATAACACAAGAACTAGAGTAAGGATGGGTGGGTTTGATGACTCAAAGGATTATATGAGACAAACTTAAGCCTAGGGCTATTTATTATATTATGCTTATTTATTCCTACAGATCTCCACTGTGACTGCTGGACAGTAGTAACATTATGGATCTCAAGGATTAGCATCAGTTCAAAGGCAGTGCCTAATAATCTTTGAGTGGCAAGGGTGCTTTCCTGTCCTTAGTGCACAGTCATAGTAGTAAGTGGCCCCAAAGTTATTAGAGTCATTCTCAGAGAAAACTGATCTCTATTTAACATGAAGGTTCTTACTTTATAAAACCAGTGAGATGTGGTTTGCTATTGTGAATTAAATCATGTGTGTGGTTACCAGTCACATTATTTAGAGTTCTTCTGTTATGACTCTAGTTGTGCCTTAAGTAGTTGACTCTTTAATTCTTCATTAGAGACTTCGTAATCACAGCCATTAAAATGATGCATATGAGTCAGGCAATTCTGTTATGACTTTGCCCTTGTTACCTGTTGGGTAACTTATTTAGCTTCTATCACTCTCAGATCCAATCACTGTCATTGAAATCATGGACCTTCTATCAATAACCACAGTTCCCACTTTCATCTTTAATCTACAAAGATCAAGCACTTTTCAAGAATGTTAGTGTTTTACTCAGGATTTTCGTAAAAGGAATGTCCTCTAGGTAGGTCCCATAAGGGCACATAGTTAGGGTGTTGTAAGATGAACACACATGAAAAATTTACTCAAGGTTATTCACATAATTCTGTCCACAATATACCATGAAATCTGTGGCATCTCAGCTTTAATTATAGTCACCTTTAAGTATCAATTTCCACAAGAGCTAGCATACCGAATTCATAGCAGTAAACCAAGCCCAATCTGAAAGTACATTTGACCTTTGCTGGCAATTTCTTTTACATATTCACTTGTTTTGTTCTGATATAAATATACTCAGTTTTGTAATCTTTTGATGAATAAGCCTTCTGTTATGAAGTTGGACTTAGTATTGGGCCCTATGATATGCAGATAGCTGGCTGGAATTGTAGATCTATAGGTAATGGGGTGGTATGGGTGTAGCATACAAAGAATTAGTATCTTGCTATAAGGTATCACTCGAGTGAAATCAGAACCAGGTATTTGTGCACAGCAGACTCACTTCATTAGACAGAGGAGAATAGAATAATTTTGTTGACACAGAAACACCAGGCAAGATTTAGCTTCAGCATATGTTTAGTTGCAATTCTCCCAACTGCTGTCACTCTAATTCTTGGGGTGCCTCTCTTCCAAGTACTGTCTTTACTTTTCATGTAGTGAATGAATTTGATCTACATTAATTCAGTAACCTGTAGAAACAAATTTTGTGTCTGATTTTTTGCTGCCTCAATGCTGGAAATACAAAATACAAGAAGTTCTTTTAGAAAAGTCTCAGAAAATCTAGGTTTTCTAACATTCTATGACACCAATAATTTAAACTTAAAGTTATGAATACGACATTTTTGTTTTTAACTCTTGATGGTGCAGTTAGACATGGGCTACCAACCACACAGTTCTTACAGTCCTTCTCCCCATCATATTGTTTTTGCATCTGTCACTTGATCCTCTAAAACTATAATCTTAATAGGTAACTATACATGTAAATTTAACTATTGTTTGCCTCCAGGTAAAATAAACTATTAGTATCTCATCCTCTAATGCCTTCAAATCCAGCCACGTCAATTAATCAATTTGAGATTCTGATCCTTGAAAATCTTGTATCTACAACCACTTGTGTCCCAAATATTGTAGAAAGCACAGTTTAGTTGCAGTTTTCATATAGCCCATAATAGCTATTTTAATCAGAATAATTTTAAGATATAGCCAGTTAGGTATTTACCAAATCATTGTAAGGGATAGAAGAGCAAGCTATAAATTAGGCCTGCAGCTATGACCCTCACAATGCCACTGCTGAACTGATTCTCAAGGAAAGCAGATACTTTTACCACAGTGCAGAAGCTGGGGAATTAAACGTTTTCGGAACTCTTGGCTTTAGAACACAGTATCTAAGCTGTGAGCTGCAGATCATAAAGTCACTAATGACACTGTTGTTTCCAGAGTCAACATTTGAGCCAAGCAAATAGATGTTTTCACTTTATTCAGTTACAAAATAAAATCTCATGAGAGTGCGTTGATTGGAAGGATCTAAATTACATCCATATTGTACCTGAAGGAGATATAAGATTTACCTTCCAAACATCTGTAGTAACGATGACAAACCAAAAAGAAATGAGAACAGATCTAAACTCGATCTATTGTAGCTAACATAATGAAAGAATTGTTGATCATCCAAGATTCTATCAATAAATACACTAAAGGCTTTCCCATATAATGTATTATTTATATATTTTAATATATTATATATGTTTAACACATAATATATATTAATATATTATATTTAACACATAGTATATATTAATATATTATATATGTTACTTATAACATACATATTTACATATATCTATACATAACATAAAATATATAGATATATGTATATATGTGTAAAACATAGCATATATATTCTATATGTGACACATCTAACTTATGTATTAATTGTATAATTGTATTTACAATTAATTATATAATTGTATATATAATTAATATATATCAATGAATATGTTAACATATGTTTATATATTAATATGTATGTGTTACACCTAACATATATATCAATATATCATGTGTTATACCTGAAATATATTATTATATATACACTACACATTATGTTATATACATTATATATTATATATAAGAAATTTATATATAACATATGTGTTACACATAACATAAAGATATATAACACAAATATAAATATATAGTGTATATATTAACATATATGTTAAGTGTAAGACATATGTTTATATATAAATATATTATACATGTTATATAACATATAGTGTATATAATTTAATAATATATTTAATATTTAATAATATATATACTTTATATTATATGTAATACATATAACATATTGTTATATAGAACATACACAATTTAATAGCATATGTTTACTATTTAATAACATAATTTTGTTATTAAATGTATAAAATATATCTTTAATATGTAATTACATGTAAATTATATATTTAATAATAAAATATTTAATATGGTAATTAATTAATAAACACATGTAATATATTAAATATGTGTTATTATATAGTATATTTAATAATTTAAATAGTAAATTATTTATTTAATACTTAATATATCAAATATATAATAAAACTTAATTATTTTAATAATATATACTTATTAAATGTATACTATTAAACATATAGATATTTAATAACATAATATATTTACCATATAATAACATATGTTAGATGTAACACATATAATATATTTATATATAATATATATTAGTTATATATAATCATTATATATTACTATATATTAGGTGTGACACACATATGCAAATATATGTATATATTAATTAAAAATAATTAGTATGTAATTGATATATAGTTAGGTGTAACATATATGTATGTATATATGTAAATGTTATATGATTTATATGTTTCTTTTCATGTAATCCTGAAAAAAGCTTAGTTACCAAGTCATATTTTAAATTGTAGATTCTCTGTTGAAATTATTCCTACAACCCCTTGGGTCCTCTTAGAAAACAATCACATCACTGCTCACTCATCATTTCCCTCAATGTGACAGTATGAAGAATTCAATTTTAGTCCTTGCTATAAGGGAGTGACAGTAGAAAACTGGGCCATGATGGATCAAGCATTATCAATTCCACAGACGCTCTTACCCAAAACTCAGGTCACAACCATCAACAGATTCAATGAATTCCTGCAAAGCTTGTTCAAGGAGTGTGAAAACAATTGTTGATGTAGAAAATTTACAAAAAATATGAGAGAATACAATATCAATGTTCACAGTACACACAGATAGTGAAGTAATTAAATAGCATTGTCGGGAAAAGCCAAAAGCCAAAATTTTGTTATATAGATAGAGAAATATTATGCAAATCCTGGAAATATCTGACAGATGCCCTGCTTGAAGGATAAGCTTATTAGAAAATAAATTACAACTACTAAAGAACAACAAATGTTTCTTGGTTTTTGGATAGTATGGATTGGTACAGAGAGGTCAATGAACTGTGTGGTGGCACAGATGGTCTAAGACCTACCCTGGCTCCTAAGCACAGGTAATATTCTTTCAGACCCCACCTACATTGTTAGTGGATACTATGATATATTTTGGAGCACATATAATATTAATAATAGACTTGTGAGCACTTAAGAAAAATACTTGGCAATTTTCTAAAACATTTTCCAAGTGAATTCCCCTAAGTCACATTTCTTTATCACCTAAATCACTATTTCGTATTTTGTGTCTCACTTTCTTCCTATTTTTCACAAAGTATCAAAGGCGACCTTAATTCCCCTGCTTAAAAGTACTTAAGTACTTCTCCTGGGTCTCAAAATAAAATTCAAATGCCTTATTTTATAAGACTGTATATCAAAAGTCATGAAACTATGGCATTCTGAACAAATACAGTTTGCTGCTTCATTTGTAAATAAAGTTTTATTGGAACAAAGATGTGGTCATTTATTTATGTATTATCTGTTTTTGTATGACACAGGCAAAGTTGGGTAGTTGTGAGACCATATGTCCCACAAAGTTTAAAATATTTACTATGTGGCCCTTTACAGAAAATGTTTATTTGTTCTTGTCCTATATTACCAAGCACCTGCCTATCTTTCAATTCTGTCCCTCATTCACTAAGTTCTAATCATGTTAGCATTTTTTAACCTTTATTTTAGGTTCAGAAAAACATGTGCAGGTTTGTTATACAGGTAAACTGCATGTGTCACAGGGGGTTGCTGTACAGATAATTTCATCACCCAGGTAATAAGCAGAGCACCCAATAGGTATTTTTCTGATCCTCTCCCTCCTTCCACTCTTCATCCTCTAGTAGGCCTTAGTATCTATTGTGCCTTTCTTTGTGCCTATTGGTTCTCATTATTTAGCTCTCACTTACAGATGAGAACATATGGCATTTGGTTTTCAATTCCTATGTTAGTGTGTTTAGGGTAACGGCCTCCAGCTCTATCCATGTTGCTGCAAAGGATATGATCTTGTTCTTTTTAATAGATGCATAGTATTCCATTATATATATATATATATATATATATATATATATATCAGAACTGTATATATATATATATATCAGAACTGTATATATATATATATATCAGAACTGTATATACTGTATATATATATATATCAGAACTGTATATATATATATATATCCCGCATTTTCCTTATCCAGTCTACCACTGATGGGCATTTAGATTGATTCCATGTCTTCACTATTGTAAATAATGCTGCAATAAACAAACTTGTGTATGTACCTTTATGATAGAATGATTTATATTCCTTTGGGTATATACCCAATAATGGGATTGCTGAGTCAAATAATAAATCTGTTTTAAGTTAGTTGAGGAATCACCACAGGGCTTTCCACAATAGCTGAACAAATTTACACTCCCATCAGCAATGTACAAGAATTCCTTTTGTCTCACAACCTCGCCAACATCTGCTATTATTTGAATTTTTAGTAATAGCTTCTGACTGATGTGAGATGGTATCTCATTGTGGTTTTGCTTTGCATTTCTCTAATGGTTAATGATTGTATTAGTCTGCTTTTGCACTGCTATAAAGAAATACCTGAGAGGCCGGATGCCATGGCTCACGCCTGTAATCCCAGCATTTTGGGAGGCCAAGGTGGGTGGATCACGAGGTCAGGAGATCGAGATCATCCTGGCTAACACAGTGAAACCCCGTCTCTACTAAAAATATTAAAAAATTAGCCGGGCATGGTGGCAGGCACCTGTAGTCCCAGCTACTCAGGAGGCTGAGGCAGGAGAATAGTGTGAACCCGGGAGGCGGAGCTTGCAGTGAGCCGAGATTGCGCCACTGCACTCCAGCCTGGGTGACAGAACGAGACTCCATTTCAAAAAAAAAAAAAAAAAAAAAAAAAAGAAATACATGAGATTGGGTAATTTATAAAGGAAACCGGTTTAATGACTCACAGTTCCACATGGCTGGGGAGGCCTCAGGAAACTTACAATCATGGTAGAAGGCAAAGCAGGCACTTTCTTCACAAGGCAGCAGCAGGGACTCAGTGAGCACAGGAAAAAACTACCACTTTTAAAACCATCAGATCTCATGAGACTCATTCTCACAAGAACAGCACGGGGGAAACTGTCCCCATCATCCAATCACCTCCCACTTGATCCCTCCCTCCACACATGGGGATTACAATTCTAGATAAGATTTGGGTAGGGCACAGAGCCAAACCATATCATTTCACCTTTGACCCCTCCCAAATCTTATGTCCTTTTTACATTTCAAAACCAATCATGCCTTCCCAACAGTCTCCTAAAGTCTTAACTCATTCTAGCATTAAATCAAAAGTCTATGACCAACCCACCTATGAGCCTGTAAAATCAAAAACAAGTTAGTTCCTTCCAAGATACCATGGAGGTACAGGCATTGGATAAATGCTTCCATTCAAAATGGGAGAAATTGGTCAAAACAAAAGGGCTACAGGCACCATGCAAGTCTGAAATCCAGCAAGGCAGTCATTAAATCTTAAAGCTGCTAAATAATCTTCTTAGACTCCATGTCTTACATCCAGGTCAGGCTGATGCAAGAGGTAGGCTTCCAGAGCCTTGGGCAGCTCCACCTATGTGGTTCTTCAGGGTACAGTTCCCCCTCCTGGCTGCTTTCATGGGCTGGTGTTGAGTGTCTGCAGCTTTTCCAGATGCACAGTACAAGCTGTCAGTGGATCCACTATTCTGGGGTCTGGAGGATGGTGGCCCTCTTCACACAGCTCCACTAGGCAGTTCACCAGTGGAGACCCTGTGTGAGGGCTGTGGCCCCACATTCCCCTCCTCACTGCCCTAGCAGAGGTTCTCCATGAGGGCTCCACCCTTGAAGCAAACTTCTGCCTGGGCATCAAGGAGTTTCCATACATCCTCTGAAATCTAGGCAGATGTTCACAAATGTCAATTCTTGACTTCTGTGCACCTGTAGGCCCAACACCACAAGGAAGATGCCAAGCCCTGGGGCTTTCACCCTCTGAAGCAATGACAAGAACTGTACATTAGCCCCTTTTACCCAGGGCTGGAGCAGCTGGGACACAGGGCACCAAGTCCCAAGGCTGCACACAGTGGTTGGGGGCACTGGGCCCAGCCCAGGAAACCATTTTTGACTCCTAGGTCTCCGAGCCTGTGATGGGAGGGGCTGCCATAAAAGTCTCTGACATGTCCTGGAGATATTTTCCCCTTTGTCTTGGTGATTATCATTCAGCTTCTCATTACTTATGCAAATTTCTGCAGCCAGCTTAAATTTCTGCAGCCAGCTTAAATTTCTACCCAGAAAATTGATTTTTCTTTTCTATCTCATGGTCATGCTGCAAATTTTCCAAACTTTTATGCTCTGTCACCTCTCCAATGCTTTTCTGCTTAGAAATTTCTTCTGCTAGATACCTTAAATAATCTCTCTCAAGTTTAAAGTTTCACTGATCCCTAGGGCAGGGGCAAAATGCTGCCAATCTCTTAGCTAAAGCAGAGCAAGAGTAACCTTTGCTCTAGTTCCCAGTGAGTGCCTCATCTCCATCTGAGAACACCTCAGCCTGGTCTTCATTGTCCATATCACTATCAGCATTTGAGCCAAACCATTCAACAAGTCTCTAGGAAGTTCCAAACTTTCCTACATCTTCTTGTTTTCTTCTGAGCCCTCCAAACTGTCCCAACCTTTGCCTGTTACCCAGTCCCAAAATTACTTGCACATTTTTTGGTGTCTTTATAGCAGTGCTCCACTACCTTGGTACCAATTAACTGTACTGGTCCATTTTTGCACTGCTATAAATACCTGAGTCTGGGTAATTTAAAAAGGAAACAGGTTTAATTGATTCACAGTTCCACATGGCTGGGGAGGCCTCAGGAATCTTACAATCATGGTGGAAGGTGAAGCAGGCACCTTCTTCACAAGGCTGCATGAGGGGTTGAGTGAACACAGGAAAAATCTACCACTTTTAAAATCATCAGATCCCATGAGACTCACTCTCTATTACAAAAACAGCATGGAGGAAACTGCCTCCGTGATCCAATCACCTCCCACTGGGTCCCTACCTGGAAACATAGGAATTACAATTTGAGATGAGATTTGGGTGAGGACACAGAGCCAAACCATTTCAGTGATGTTGAGCATTTTTTCACATGCTTGTTGGCCACATGAATGTTTTCTTTTGAAAAGTGTCTGTTCATAACCTTTGCCCACTTTTTAATGGGGCTGTTTTTTGCTTGTAAATTTGTTTAAGTTTCCTATAGATTCGGAATATTAGACTTTTGTTGAATCCATAGTTTGCAAAAATCTTCTCTCATTCTCTAGGTTGCCTATGTACTCTGTTGATAGTTTCTTTTGCTGTGCAGAAGCTCTTTAGTTTAATTAGATCCCATTTGTTAATTTTTGATTTTGTTGCAACTGCTTTTGGTATCTTGATCATAAAATCTTTGCCAAGTCCTATGTCCAGAATGGTATTTCCTAGGTTATCTTCCAGGGTTTTTATTTATTTAGGTTTTGTATTTATGTCTTTCATCCACCTTGAGTTGACTTTTTTACATGTAGTGTCAGGTAGGGATCCAATTTCAATCTTCTGCATATGATTGGCCAATTATCCCAGCATCATTTATTGAATGGATGGTCCTTTCCCCCATTGTTTTTTGTCAGCTTTGCCAAAGATCAGAAGGTTGTAGGTGTGCAGCTTTATTTCTGGGATCTCTATTCTGTTCCACTGGCTTATATGTCTATTTTTGTATCAGTACCATGCTGTTTGGTTAGTGTAGCCCTGTAGTATAGTTTGAAGTCAGGTAATGTGATGCCTCCAGCTTTGCTACTTTGGCTTAGGATTGCCTTGGCTATTTGGGCTCTTTTTTGGTTCATGTGAATTTTAAAATCGTCTTTTCTAGTTCTGTGAAGAATGTTATTGGTAGTGTGATAGGAATAGCATTGAATCTATAAATTTCTTTAAGCCGTACGACCATTTTAATGATATTGATTCTTCCTCCTATCTAGAAGCATGGAATGGCTTCTCAATTGTTTGTGTTCTCTCTCATTTCTTTGAATAGTGTTTTGTAGTTCTCATAGAGATCTTTTATCTCCTTGGTTAGCTGTATTCCTAGATATTTTACTATTTTGGGGGAAATTGTGAATGGGATTGTGTTTCTGATTTGGCTCTTGCCTTGGAAGTTGCTGGTGTATAGGAATGCTACTGATTTTTGTACATTGATTTTGTATCCTGAAACTTAGCTGAAGTTGTTTACCAACTCAAGGGGCTTTTGGGCCAAGACTATGGGGTTTTTAAAATATAGAATCATGTTTTCTGCAAACAGGGATAGTTTCACTTCCTCTATTCAGTGCCTTTTATTTCTTTCTCTTGCCTGATTGCTCTCAATACTATGTTGAATAAGAGTGGTGAGAGAGGGCATTCTTTTCTTCAACTGGTTTTCAAAAGGAATGCTTCCAGATTTTCCCCATTCAGGATGATGTTGGCTGTGGGTTTGTCACAGATGGCACTTATTATTTTGAAGCACATTCCTTCAAAGTCTAGTTTATTAGGGGTTTTTAATATAAGGGGATGCTGGATTTTATCAAAAGCCTTTTTTGCATCTATTGAGATAATCATGTAGTTTTTGTTTTTACTTTTGTTTACGTGGTGAATCCCATTTATTGATTTGTGTATTTTGAACCAACCTTGCATCCTATGGATAAAACCTACTTGATCATGGCAGATTAACTTTTCGTTATGCTGCTGGATTCAGTTTTGTTAAGAATTTTTGAATCTATGTTCATCAAGGATATTGGCCTGAAGTTTTCTTTCTTTGTTGTGTGCCTGTAGGTTTTGGTATCAGGATGGTGCTGGCCTCATCGCATGAGTTGGAAAGGAGTACCTCCTCAACGTTCTGGAATTGTTTCAGTAGGAATGGTACTAGCTCTTCTTTATACGTCTGGTAAAATTCAGCTGTGAATCTCTCTGGTCCTGCACTTTTTTTTTTTTTTTGGTAGGTAGGCTTTTTATTACTGATTCAATTTTAGAACTCATTATTGGTCTATTTAGGAATTCAATTTGTTTCTAGTTTAGTCTTAGGAAGTTGTATGTGTCCAAAAATTTATCCATCTTTTTTTCTAGATTGTCTAGTTGGTGTGCATAGAAGTGTTCATAGTGGTCTCTCGTGTTTTTATTTTTGTTTGTATTTCTGTGGGGTCAGTGGTAACATCCCCTTTGTCATGTCTAACTGTGTTTATTTGGATCTTCTCTCTTTTTTGCTTCATTAGTCTAGCTAGAGGTCTATCTATTGTATTTATGTTATCAAATAATCAACTCCTGAAATCATTGATCTTTTGCATTTTTGGTGTGTGTGTGTCTCAATTTCCTTTAGTTCAGCTCTAATTTTGTTTATGTCTTGTCTTCCGCTAGCTTTAGGGTTGTTTACTCTTGCTTCTCTGGTTCTTCTAGCTGTGTTGATATGTTGTTAACTTGATAGCTTTCTAACTTTCTGATGTGGGTATTAAGTGCTATAAAGTTTCCTCTAACACTGCATTAGCTGTGTCGCAGAGATTCTGCTATGTTGTATCTTTGTTCTTATCAGTTTCAAAGAATTTTTTGATTTATGTCTTGATTTCATTATTTACCCAAAAGTAATTCAGGAGCAGGTTGTTTAATTTTCATGTAACAGAAATTTCCACTGTATGGTTTTGAGTGATTTTCTTAGTATTCATTTCTATTTTTATTGCACTGTGGTCCCAGAGTGTGGTTGGCATGATTTGTTTTGTTTGTTTTTTTTTAATTTGCTAGTATTGTTTTGTGTCTGATTTGTGGTTGGTTTTGGAATATGTGCCATGTGGCAATGACAAGAATGTTTATTCTGTTGTTTTGTGGTGAGTAGTTGTGTTGATGTCTATTAAGTCCATTTGATCAAGTGTTGAGATCAGGTCCTGAATAGCTTTGTTAATTTTCTGCCTCAATGATCCATCTAATACTGGCAGTAGGGTGTTGAAGTCTTTCACTATTATTGTGTGGGAATCTGAGTCTCTTCACAGGTGTCTAAGAACTTGCTTTATAAATCTGGATGCTCCTGTATTGGCTGCATATATATTTAGAATAGGTAGGACTTCTTGTTGAATTGAACACTTTACCATTATGTAATGCCTTTCTTTATCTTTTTTTATCTTTATTGGTTTAGAGTCTGTTTTATCTGAAATTAGAATTACAAATCCTGCTTTTTTGTGTTTTCTATTTGCTTGGTAGATATTTCTTTATCCCTTTATTTTGAGCCTATGCATGTCATTGCATGTGAGATGGGTCTCTTGAAAACATCATACCATTAGATCTCACTTTTTTATTCAGCTTGCTACTCTGTGCCTTTGAAGTGGAGCATTTAGCCCATTTACATTCAATACTAGTATTGATATGTGTGGATTTGATATTGTCATTGTGTTGTTATGGGGTTATTAGGCAGATTTGTTTATACGATTGGTTTATAGTGTCACTGGCCTGTGTGCTTAAGCGTTTTTTTTTTGTCGTGGTTCGTAATGGTCTTTCCTTTCCATATTTAGTGCTCCTTTCAGGACCTCTTCTAAGGCAGGTCTGTTGGTAACAAATTCCCTCAGCATTTGCTTATTTGAAAAGGCTCTTATTTCGTTGTTTTTTTTTTTTTTTTTTTGAGACGGAGTCTTGCTCTGTCGCCCAGGTTGGACTGCAGTGGCACAATCTTGGCTCACTGCAACCTCCGCCTCCCAGGTTCACACCATACTTCTGCCTCAGCCTCCGGAGTAGCTGGGACTATAGGCAACTGCCACCATGCCCAGCTAATTTCTTTTTGTATTTTCAGTAGAGATGGGGTTTCACCATGTTAGCAAGGATGGTCTTGATCTCCTGACCTCGTTATCTGCCCACCTCGGCCTCCCAAAGTGCTGGGATTACAGGTGTGAGAAAAGGCTTTTATTTCTTGTTCACTTACGAAATTTGGCCGGGTACAAGATTCTTGGGTGAAAAAATTTTTTGTAATAATACTAAATATAAGTTCCCCATCTGGCTTGTAGGGTTTCTGCTGATAGATCCACTGTTAGCCTGATGGAGCTACCTTTGTACTTGACCTGCTGCTTCTCTCTAGCTGCCTTTAATACTTTTTCTTTCATTTTCACATTACAGAATCTGATGATTATGTGTCTTGGGATGGTCTTCTTGTGTAATATCTCACAGGGGTTCTCCAAATTTCCTGGATTTGAATGTTGGCCTCTCCAGCGAGGTTGGGGACATTTTCATGTACTATATACTGAAAGATGTTTGCCAAATTGCTTGCTTTCTTGCCACCTCTTTCAGGGACACCAATGAATCATAGATTTGGTCTCTTCACATAATCCCATATTTCTCAGAGCTTGTCTTCATTCTGTTTTATTCTTTTATCTTTATTTTTGTCTGACTGAGTTATTTCAAAGAGCCCATCTTCAAGCTCTGAGATTCTTTCTTCAACTTGGTGTATTCTTCAGTTAATACTTGGGATTGCATTATGCAATTCTTGAAATATGTTTTTCAGCTCTATTGATCAGTTTGGTTCTTTTTTATAATGGCTATTTTGCCTGTCACCTCCTGTCTTGTTATATCATGATCCTTAGGTTCGTTGGATTGGGTTTTGATGTTTTCCTGAATCTCAAGGATCTTTGTTCCTATCCATATTCTGAATTCCATTTCTATAATTTCATCCATTTCAACCCAGTCAATAACTCTTGCTTGGAAATTAGTACAGTAATTTAGAGAAAAGAAGGTGATCTGATTTTTTGAGTTGTAAGAATTCTTGCACTGCTTTTTTCTCATTTGTGTGAGTTGATGTTCCTTCAATCTTTGAAGCTGCTGTCCTTTGGATGGATTTTTTTTGCCTTTTTGTATGTATGTGTGTGTGGATGCCCTTGGTGGTTTCATTACGGTATATAGTGAATTCAGTTGACTGGCTTCTATTCTCATCCAATCCTGGGTCTCGAAGGAGTCCCCTCCAGTTACTCTCTCCATGCCTACCTTTCTTTTGTTCAGTGTTGTAGTCCACATGGATCCCTCAGGCAGAGGCAGCAGTTGTCAGACAAGCTGTATCCTTACCAGGTCAGCCCTATTCTGCTGTTTGTGTGTATCCTGGGGAAAACAGGGTTGCACCCACTTGCAAAGTTTAGGCAGAAATGAGACCCCTGGGTTGGAAGCTGTAGTGGGTGTGGCCTGTCTGGCTAAGGGAGGTAGGGATAGATGGACTTGAGGCCCTGCCATCTGGGTGTTTCCAAGGCAACAATAGGCTGTGCCTCTCAGCAGATTCAGGCAGAAGTAGGACTACTGGGCCAGAAGCTCCAGCATGTGTTGCCCACCTGGCTTTTGGTAACAGTGGTGGGTGGGCTCATGTGTCCTGCTGTCCTGTTTCCTAGGACAACAGGAAGCTATGTCCTCCAGGTAAGTTCACACAAAAGTGGAGCCGCTGGGTGGAAAGCTCTGGCAGGCATTGACTGACTGGCTACTAGTGATGGGGTGGGTGGAGTAGCTGGCTGAGTTTGGGCCGAAGCAGGACTGCTGGGATGGAAGCTGGTGCCAAGCTCCATCCAGGAAGGGGGCATGGAGGAATCTTACTGCTCCCAGGCACCGCAACTGTGGCCTGTGTTGGGGCTATGGCGTGAAGTGCTGGTCTAGTCTGGAGCCCTGTGCTTGTGGGCATGGAGCAGTGTTAATGCTCCCAGGCACTGCAACTGCGGCCTGTGTTAGGGCTATGGTGCTAAGTCCTGGTCTGGGATCTGGAGCCCCGTGCTTGTACTGGTCCCCTTGGACTTGAGAATTACCTCCGTAAAACATCCAGGTGGCTCTCTGCCTCAGTCTAGAAGCATGGTGGGAGAATGCAGAAGCAGGGGTGGGCAGTGGGATTCTCCCATTCGGAGTCTTGCACAGTTCCCTGTGGAGAATGTGAAAACCCCTGGGGGCTTTCACTCACTCATCCTTTCCCATTTTGGAAGGGTTCTACTGGCTCCGCACTGAGCCCAGACAGGCTGTGCCCAACTTGCCTTCTCTATACTACCTGTGTTCTCCTGCTGCCTTGATGGATCTCATTGTGGTTTCTCAGATGATTGGCCTAAGGGTCAGTGTTCACTAGCCCTCTCCTTTCCTCCCCATGAGAGCTGAGAAGATAAATTGCTTCCAGTCTGGCATCTTGGCTCCATCCTCCCATGTTAGCATTTTTATCACTGCTGGAAACCGATACTTCTTTCCTCCCTGAAGTACTTTGGACATGCTTGTCCCAGGATCTAGAATGGACTAGACTGTTGCATCACTAGCTCCATCTTTACCTTGAGGTCATTTATTCAAAGAAGTTTTTATTGAATATTCTACTTCAATAGGGTTCCTCTATTATTCTCTCAGTCCTTGTTCCCTTTATAGCATTTATTATAACTTAAAGGCACTTTGCATTGTTAATATTTTGCTATATTTTGTATAGTTCTATGCCATTTTATTACATGTAGAGATTCACGCAACCACCATTTTTATCAAGATAGAGAACTAGTCCATCACCACAAGCATCTCCTTCTTGATACCTCCTTTCCTTGCCACTTACCACACCATCCCTAACTCTTGGCAACAGCTTATCTGTTTCTCATATCTATAATTTTTAATCCACCTTATTTTTAGTTATTTAATTTTGGCATGTCTCCTCTAACAGAAATTAGGCTCCACAAAGGCAGAAACATGCCTGTCTTATTCACCATTTTACCCTAACTTCTGAATTTTCTAGAATCCAAAATTAGTCTATTGCAAGATTATCTGGTGGATGTCCCTAATCAAATTTCAATGCTCTATTTAAAAGCAGGGTTAAAAAAAAAAAAAAAAAAACTAAAGAAGAACTCTCAATCAAGGCAGTGGCCTGCCAAAATTTTAATTACAGCTCTTTTTTATTAATAAACACTCTATTATTCACTAGCAATAGGCAGCAAACTTTATGTGATAATGCCAATTGATGTACTGAAAAAAATGCATCATAAGAGAAACATAAAAGTTAAGGGGCAACTATATTAATATGCAGAGAACCATAGGGCTTTATTTAAACACCTATCATGTTACAGTGTTTTGGAAGTATTACTTGTTGTAAAACTTGCACAGTTTGGGAATAGCTATGTAAAATTAACAGCTGGATGGAGTTACGGAATCATTTACCAACCAGTTGTGTCTCATGAACAAATGCTCCAAATGCACTGACTTGATTTTAAAAGAGATGCTGACAACTTTGTGAAGACCTTAAAAAGCATTTTACTCAAAAACAATTCTCTTAGGGCTATATATGATTTCTGTGTTTATTTTATCTGCCTTTTATTGACAGTGTATTTTTGCTTCTATTGTTAACTTCAGAAATATTTACCATCCATTAGAAAAATGATTTGCATCACAGTAGCCTCTTTAGTTGTTAAGACTTCATCTGTCCTGCTACTTACTCGTCTCTTGACATCATCTTTTGTGTCAGAAATCAGGGCCATCTGAAATTGGAATGACTGTAACTTCATACATCGTGAAGAATTGTAGAATGATGCCAATTGCGTTTTACCAACCTTCAATTCTATTCCTAGTCTACTCTGCATTTGTAAAGCACCTGTTGACTTATCCTAAGGATCACTCATAAATTCAAGTTGTATAGGCATCTTTCTTTTCCTCAATAATATTTGTAAAGATGCAGAAACTGACGTCATAATAAGCACTTGGGTTATAAGAAACTTCCATTTTTTTTTTTTATAGCAAAACAGGATAAGAGAGTTCCAAAGTAACTCTGGAAAAAAATTATTCTCTCTTACTTTACTAGCAAGTAAGAAAGCAAGCTATTAAAATAATTTGGATATAAATGGAAATTTCCAAGAAAAAAGTTGATAACAAATTCTTTTGCACATAGTTTCATTTATGCAATTTCGACAAATCTTGACAAGCAAAGAAAAATTTTAACATCTAATACTATGATAAGAACTATGATAAGAGTGTTAGCAAGTCAAACTCATCAGAACTTTATGAGAAGAGTTGAAATATAAAGTAGGACTGTGTGTAAGCCATACCTTTAGAAGATATAAGGTGAATTTCATTGTCAGCTATTAATCATTTATAGTAAAAGCAAAAGCATCATAAATTATGTATTAAACACCATTAGGTAATATTGCTGTTACCATTTTGTTCGAAGAAATGATTAAGTCTTAGGAAGATTTCCAAGCCCTATTACTCTGTTTCTTTCCAATGTGTTTCTAATAAAATCTCTTATTTGTTCCGATAATATATCTAGACAAATATCTAGATGGATCTAAATCTAAAGACAGATAAGTGAAAAAAACACTACTGAAAAATGAATGCTATATTTTTAGTTGTTTCAGAAGTGACACATGACTCAAATAGAGAAATCTGTTTAGGTTTTCAAAAGGTTTTTCATCATTGCTTCTGTTGTATGTAATGGTATACAAATAAAAGAAGTTTTAATTTTTGTTTTCTTCTATGAACCCTTTCCTAGAATCTCCAGTTCTTTAATGTTAATACTTCATAGAATTTTGACTTAAGCCACTTCTTTTGTCAATCTGTATTTTCTTTCAGGAAATCTCATTTATTTCCATAATTTCCATTATTAGTAAAGGTCAAAGTTTCATCTTATTTTTCTCTACATTATGTCTCTTCTGACTTTATTTCTCCTTACTTTTAGCTAATATTTCTGAATGTCAGAAGCCACCTCAAAATGATCATATTCTAACACATAATAATGATCAAATTATCACTCCCCAAACTCACTCTTCTCTCACTAGTCTATATCTCTGTTGTCAGTAGCGCCATTTTCTCTGTCAGCAAAACAATTCAGAAACACTATCCATTTTGCGTCCCCTTCACAACGTTGTCAGTTTGCCTCAATCCCATCTCTGAGAGGTTGTTTGTTCCTGTCTCTCATCTACATCACTATTTCCAGTTCCACAGTTTAGGCCCTCCCTCATCCATTCTACACTCCCACTGAGCCATTTATTATAAAAGCCATATTTTTATTATGTTAACAATATCTCTCCATAATCTACAGAATGAAATTGAAATATAAATGACCCCAATGTGGCTCATCACCCGTCTTCACTTTGAGGAGCTCTTCACACAGATGCCATGTTTGCTCTTCTATTTTACTAAACGAATCATTTCCTTTTCTTTGAAAGTGATAAGCCCTTCTCATCTTTCCAAGATTAGCTGAAATAAAGATGATTTTCTGTTGTGGGAAGCTTTGATGGCATCTTACATGCAAAGTTAGTTTTGTTCTCCTTTGTTCTCCAATAGTAGTTTTGAAAAATTTAGATTATTGCCCTTTGCCTATTGTACATATTTGTTTATGGGTTTATATAAATGATATATTCCTATATTTTCTCACTACTTGGGCAGATCCTTAAAGATAAAGCCTTGGATTTTATTCACTTTAAGTCACCTCTGTAAACTACACCTTGGAAAAATAAGAAGCGCTCAATAAATGATGTTCATAAATGAGTTTTGTGTCATCCTCTCAGCCTGACATGCAGAGATACAAAATAAATTTTTCTTGACTTTAAATAAAATGATATAATATTAAGAAGGTTAATTGCTTCTTACGGTCTACAGAATTTTATGTTCCAGGTACCAATTTCCACTTATTTTTTAATATGTATTTAAAAACTAAAAATAAGTTAGCAGTTTGTATTATCAATAAATAATTTATCATCCCCAAACAATCTGGCATATTTCTCAGAACTGCATTTTACAAAATATTTCCAAAATAACCAATATATTTTAAGCAATTTTCCTTTGAAGAAATCCCTCAAAATGTGACAGAAAAACATTTTCCTTGTGGATTTTTATATACCTTTGTTTTTCAAATCAAACACTGTATTCAAGCAAAGCCTAACTTTGGAATCTTATATTAAGTAAAACAGAAAAATCCCAAGCTGCTACAGAGCTCCAAATGCTTAATCCCCCTTTCTGCAGCCCAGCTTCTCCCCATCTGCTGGCTTTCCAAAAGGAGCCTCAAAAAGCACCACTCTCAAAACAGGATGAATAGTGTTGCAACGCTCTGTTCTAAGAGACCACTATCCATAGCAGATGCTCAATGATTTCAGAACCAAGAAATTGGGTGAGCAAGGTAGGTGTTTTGAGTAGAACTGATTTGGTCATCAGTTAAATTTGCATCTCTACTATTTTTTTATGCGAAGTTTTTCTCTGTGATATTACATCTTCAAATTTGTATCCCCTCTTGTGCCAAGTGGCTGTCCAAAACCTTCAATTAGAATCTATATTAATCTAGTTTGTTTATGAGAAGATGAGTGGCCTGCCGACACCCATAAATGCATTAGAACATGTCCTGGAAAATTTTATTTTTGTTATTTCAAAAATGCTAACATGGTTTTTATTCATGACCTTGATTTTATCTCAAATTTGGGCAGATGCTATGAGGACATGACAAACAGGGAGAATAATTTGTGTATTATCAAGGACAGAGGAACATTGAAAGTATTCAGAAAAAAATTGAAAATTATCTATTACCAGTTATCTGCAGCTCTGGGAGAGAGAGAATGTTTAAAATATTCTCTTTGGATATGAATTTTTATTTCATGGGTTAATACTGCAATATTTCATAATTTTTACATAGATTTCAGAATTCTCTTTATTCTTTCTTCAACAAATAATGTTTGCTTTGATTTAGGCACTGTTCTGATACCTAGAGGTACAAAGTGAACAAACAAAATCTCTAGCCACACAGAGCTTATATTTCAGCAGTGGTAACAGACAATAATTGAGATAAGTAAGTAAAATGCAGAGATTTTCTTGTTAGTAATAAGTAGTACTTATAAATTGATATCAATATAATACTAAAAATTTTTTATATTTCCCATCTTTAACCTAAAACATTTATTAATAAGCTTTCAGTGAATTTTTCTTGCTCTTTATTTTCCAAACATTTTAGCCTTTTTCTTTATGTTCCTTACTTTTAACTCTGGTTCTTCAGCCTCTGCACCCTATTCTTCCTGAACAATTTCTCTCTCTAAATGATTTGTGTTCCACTGGCAGCTCTGTACTAAAGAAAGTGATATATCCTGATGAAGCCATTAAGCACTGTACTATGGACGTTAAGAGGATGATATAGGCGTGATTTCAATCATGCAAAAGGAAACTACCCTCGTTCTAAGAAGGAAAAGCACCAGAGAGCTTAACCCACTGTAGTTTACATTTTCATTTCATTAGATTCAAATCTGGGGATGTCAGAAGAAATTAACACTTTTCCCCCACAAGGCAATCACTGTAAGTATCATCATCATCAGATGTGTGTTGCACACCCGCAGAGAGCAGGGCTGGGACTTGGAATGCACAGCACACTGAGAAGAACCAAAGTACAAATTGAGGAGAAATGGGTTGATAATATGGAAAATGTATTAAAATAAAGTTGGACTCTTCACCTTGTGCTGTCAAGATTTTCTGTAAAAATGACTGTTGCACAAAAGTCATAAAATTGTTTTTAAGCTCTGTTATAACCCCAAATTATGTTTAAGTATCTGTTTAGTTACCCTTGCACTTAAAGTATTACAGTACTTAATTTTCTTTGAAACATAGATGTAATCTGCTTTATGAAATAGATCCTTAACTGGCATATAGAAATCATGTATTTTGAGTAAATTAAGTTTTAAACTAAGAACAGGTCATAGAAGTAAAGTAAGGTCTATGAGAAAATGTGTTTACCTAATGCAAAATTAGAGTAATTGTGCTTTAATTTGATATTATTATAGGGATGAATATGAAATAATAGGATGTTTAAGCCACTTCACCTATATTTTCTATTTTGTTAATGCTTAATTTCATGTTTATTGAAACATTTCTTGATTATATGATACATAGTATATATACCATTTTGGTATACACATAGTATCAAATTAAGTTCTATAAAGTATATGGTACTTTGATCAAATTATTAACAAATCCTTTCTAACAGATCAAAGATATTTGCTCTTAAGCAGGGCCAGCTCAAAGTAAAAATAAATTAGAAATAGCTTTAATTCCTTTAGCAAATACTATTTTAACAAAGCCTGCACTGTCTTTCATAATGAAAAATTCTGGATAATGAAATGTATATCTTATAAGCATTAAAAACAAAAATCAAGCATTCAAAATTAAAATTATACTATAATATAAAACTCACTGATATTCTTACTGGCAATTTAAACTAGTTAAACACTAAGATTTTTTTCAACACAAATCTACTTTCTCTGAAAAATATTAAATATATTTCAATCTTTTTTTGAAATCTAGGTTCATAATTAATAATACCAATTATTTAAGTGAGCTATATTAAAAATAAAACCTTAGGGACTGTGGAACTATGAAGGGCCATTTACCTCTATAGAAAATAATACTGTTTAAAGCTTTAAATCATGGGCCTGCTTTTCTTACCTTATTTTTCCATCTCTTTCTTTCTGTTATATCAAAAGATTTTAGTTTCTAATGCCATTTCTGTAGCTGATAAAAGCATTTCCTCTACTTGGGATTTCATTATAAATTAATGTGACCTTGGAAAGCAGAAATCAATCTCATTAGAATTAAGTAAAAACTAAGTATATAGACCTGAGTAAGAATTCTAGGGTTTTTTCTGTAAAAAGTATAAAGACAGTGAAATTGCTTTAAGCCAATCATTTTGGGTGTGTGGGTGTGTTTATGTATGTGTGTGATGCATTACTAATTTGTCTTATCTTGATAAATGAGAGGCTATTATTTGGAAATAGATGAAATAGAACTATAATTTAAAAATCTATTTAAATTTAAAGAAGCACTCAGGTCTGGTAACTGGTTCATCTGTGCAACTTGTTCTCATAGTTACTGTTTGGAAATTATTATTATTAAATTTGAAAATATTATTTTGCTTTTTAGATAGATAGTATCTCATACTGGTGAGGTATTTTTATATGTGCTCAACACCAAATTAAGTTATTATCTTTTTTTATTTTTTGGAGAAGAGGAGACAAATATAATCAATGGGCTCTTTCATAAAATAACTTAGATGCTGCCAGAAGCTGTGGGAGCCCACCCCTTGCATCGGCATGCCCTGGATGTGAGACATGGAGTCAAAGGAGATTATTTTGGAGTTTTAACATTTAATGACTTCCCTGCTGGGTTTCAGACTTGCACGGGGCCTGTAGCCCCTTGGTTTTGGCCAATTTCTCCCTTGTGAAATGGGAACATTTACTCAATTCTTGTACCCCCATTTTATCCTAGAAGTAACTAGCTTGCTTCTGATATTACAGGCTCAAAGGCAGAAGGGACTTGCCTTGTCTCAGATGAGACTTTGGACCTGGACTTTTGAGTTAATGCTGGAATGAGTTAAGACTTTGGAGGACTGTTGGGAAGGCATGATTGGTTTTGAAATGTTGAAAAGAAACAAGATTTGGAAGGGGCTGGGGCAGTGATATGGTTTGGCTCTGTGTCCCTAACCAAATCTCATCTTGAATTTTAATCCCCACATGTCAGAAGAAGGGCCTGGTGGGAGGCGATTGAGTCATGGGGCAGACTTCCCCCTTGCTGTTCTTGTGATGGAATTCTCACAAGATCTCGTTGTTTGATAAGTTTGTAGTTTTTTCCCCTTGGCTCTCTCCTGTTTCACCATGGTAAAGACGTGCTTGCTTCCCCTTCACCTTCCACCACGATTGCAAATTTCCTGAGGTCTTCCAGTCATGCTTCCTGTTAAGCCTGTAAAATTGTGAGCCAATTAAACCTCTTTTCTTTATAAATTTGCCCAGTTTTAGGTAGCTCTTTATAGCAATGTGAGAACGAACTAATACAGATGCTAACTGGGGAACAGGGAACTATGTAAGTGAAAAATGGACTAAAAATATAGGATGACACTACAAAGAGGTGGTATTTTGAACTATGTGTGGTTCCTGGCCTAGCAGCATCTACTTCATCTGGTAGCTTGTTACACATGCAGACCTGTAGGCCCCACCCCATACTTGCTGCATAAGAATCTGCATTTTTATAGGCTCCCCAGGAGGCCCATTTGCACCTTAACATTTAAGAAATTGTTTCATAGTAGACCACTGCAGATTTATTCTGATTATAAACATTTTTGAACTGCATGGAAGATGCCACGCAATGCATAGCAGAAACATAGAAAGGAGTACACACCATAAGAGGCTCTAGATCTCAAAGTCCAAATAGCGCTAACTCTATATCCAAGAAAATACACACCTAGGGAGACTACTGGGAGATAGGAAAGGCTGAGCAATCTCTCAAATTATCTCTTAGTGGTAAATTCTTGATAGTCTACTAAGTTCAAATCTTTTTCTTTGAGGACATAATCCTTTTAAAAAGAAAAATACACCCTAACTAATTCCACTTTATCTGTCTAAATCTTAGCAGCCCTAGAAACCCAAAGTGAATTCCTATCTAGACAATTTTCTTGATATTGATTTTCTTGATCTTAGTGCTAGGCAGGGCTATTTGCATGTGTATGACCACATATGCTTCTGTGTATTTAAGATTAGAACATAAAGCAAATTATGAAATCCTTCATGAGAGCAGACACAGCATATGATTCCTTGCTTTTCTATCAGCATATAGTGTAATGTGTGTCCCATAGAGACAAGAAGGAGAGAGCTGAGTGTCATAAAGGACAGCTAGAGAGACTACATGCCTGGGACTGGGAGGCTACAGGAAAGAAGATGGGTTTTCATGGCTCTCTATTTTGCCCAGGTATGCTCCAGGGTACTAACAATCTCACTCTTCTATAAGTTTTTTTGGGAAACCACAAGAATGTTGTGAAGGGTTAACACAGCTATTGATTTAGTTTGCAATTGTGGAAGCATTCAGGGTTAAGTGTAATCCTTGCATCCCTGTTAGTAACCTGCCTATATCCTAAACCATCTCCAAGTGAAAGCTTGCAACCCTGGGCATTCCCCATATGCTTTGGCATCAGTCTTTGGCATTCACTGTTGTTTCATAAAATAACATCCTTCTTGAAACCAGATTGGGAAAAAAAAAATCAAGGGAAATCCTTGGCAATTTGCCTTGAATCCCAGTAGATGTTATGCTTTTCTACAGAGAGCACAGGCAGGTAGACTCGAGATGAGCCAGCCTTGCTCAAGGACCAGATGCAGGTGAAGAGAGAGCAAGACTCCCGGAATGAAGTCTGTCCTTCCTCATAGCAAGCCCTCATTCAATTTACCTCTCCCATTTGGTGGGAGTAAGAAAATGAACAGGCTTACTAATGCCATCATCCAGAAGTAAAAATTTAATATGTCTAAAATTTTTACATTAAATCATTTTATTTTCATTGTTCACATCTAGGTACAGTTTAGTAAAAGCAGTACAATTTTTAACATGATTGACCATGTGATGAAAAGAGTAAGATTCTGATTTTAGAGACATAATATATAGAACAAATCCTCTACTTAAGCCAACATTTTCGGTGGCTCACGCCTGTAGTCTCAAACCTCCGGGGAGGCCAAGGTGGAAGGATCTCTTGATGACAGGGGTTCAAGATCAGCCTTGTGAACATAGCAAGACCCTGTCTCTTCAAAAAAATTTTAAAAATTAAGTGGGCATGGTGGTACATGACTATAGTCCTAGCTACTCAGGAAGCTGAGGCAGGAGGATGCTTTGAATCTAGGAGTTTGAAGCTGCAGTGAACCATGATCATTGTACTCTACTCCAGCCTGGGTGACAGAAGACCTTGTCTTAAATAAATAAATAAATAAATAAAAATGTACCTGTAATCCCAGCACTCTGGGAGGCCAAGGCGGGCAGATCATGAGGTCAGGAGTTTGAGGCCAGCCTGGCCAAGATGGTGAAACCCTGTCTCTACTAAAAATAGAAAAATTAGCCGGGCGTGGTGGTGGGCGCCTGTAGTCCCAGCTACTCAGGAGGCTGAGGCAGGAGAATGGTGTGAACCAGGGAGGCGGAGGTTGCAGTGAGCTGAGATCTTGCCACTGCACTCCAGCCTGGGCGACAGAGTGAGACTCCGTCTCCAAAAAAAAAAAAAAAAAAAAAAAAATTGTGCAGAATCAGTCATTCTGATATGCTGGTTCTAAAGCAAGGCATAAATATGAATTTTTAATGGGAGCCCTTTGTCATTCTAATAAAGAGAAAGACTACCTGCCCCAGATCTTTGTTACAAAGATCTGTGAGTCAAAAAGCATAATTTTAGCTGCCAACCAATCCTTTAGAAATCAGCCTACTTCCTTTTTTAATGCTTTTTGTCTTTCTGCAAGTTTTTCTGTTTGTTCCTTACTCCTGGAGTGAGCAGCAGAGAAGGTAAAATACAAATGTATTCACAGTCTGTTGATATGTATTCAAAAATAATCTTCTGGAGAGGGTGCCCATATGTTCTGGTTGCCCAATTTATGCCATTTGTCCCAGCAACGCATCCTATATCACTCTCAAAAGTGTTCAAGTCTGAACAATGAGTTTCATGGTCACCTTAATCCTAAATTAACAACTGTAAGTGAGAAGCGTGGAGAAGTGCATTCGTATCTAAATAATTCTATTTTCTGCTTTTCAAAGCCGTTCCTTAAGTAGAGAGCATGAATGTCATTCAAAATGTGTTTTTTAAAAAGGAATAATTGTATAAATTTTAAAAGGTTTATTATGGTCTCCAACATATATGCCTGATGACAAATTCTCTACTCTTATCCTTTTTTGAAAGGATTAGGAAAACTTTCTAACGTCAACAACTGGGATGAAAATGTAATGTCAATAAAATGTCAAAACATAAATCTAAAAATACTTTTATTTAAAACAAATGAAGCCATCATTTATATAATTCCATTAGGTTTTCTGCCAGACCCTAATTCAAAATGTGTAAATTATTAACCACATTACATTGTATTCAGTTCTTCATTTTTCACTAATAGGTGGCTGCCTAAATTTCTACAGTTGCTATAATTTTTCTTGAGAATTTATAGAATTTTAATATTAGATTACATGAAAAAATACTAGCATTTTTTTAACCTTACGTTTTTACTCACCCTTTTCAACTACTGAAACTCAATTTATTAAAAGTGTAAAAGCAGCCAGAGGAAGGAAGGAACTCTGCTGCAGCTGCTACAAACCCAAATTTCTGAAAACTGGAAATATCTTGCAGTTATTCAGCCTCCATACCTCAAAATTAATAAGAAAATAAACTTGCACTACAAATTTGTACCCTTTCTTCTTGGAAATTCAGGGAAGTGTCATTATGAGATTGTTGTGATTCTAATTTAAATTCAGAATTTCTAACAAGCTTCCTGCCAACATTCAGAACTTATTTGTCTGTCCATCCATCTACCTACCTGCCTGCCAACCTGTATGTTTTGCCATCCACCAACTCAAATTCTCTTACCAGGATCCTAAATATGTCTACCCCCTGTAAAGCAAGACCTTATGCCTCAGTTCCCCCATTTGAGCTGACTTTGCTTCTCTAATTGTTAGCATGATGTCTCATCTTAATCAAAAGCCTGCATCTGACCATTACTCCTCCATTCTTGAGAAACAGCACAGGAAAGCACCACGTTCACTCACATACAACTAAGCACACTGGAAACACCGTTTGCCCAGGCTGGATCTATTAATAGATATCAGCATGTAGTGAAAAGTAGCACTGAAAATCAAGTTCTAAAGTTCAATGTGTAGGTGTGGTTTCAAGTTACTCCGATACTCCGACCACAGAAGCATCAACAGAATGAAGATCAAAACAAGGTGATATCTGCTGAGATAATTACTCTGGAACATAAAGTTAGCTCAGAGAGTGAAAGGCGGGCCTAGTTCACTCCTCTTTCTAGCATTGTCAGCATCAGGGAACCAGAGTTCATCTGCAGTCCATCTTCCATTGTCCTGCTTTCAGGCTCCTAATCCACCTTGTCTTCCTGCATATAGAGAGTCTATTTTGTGGCCTACAGTAGGTCTTAAATTATACTCAACAATCTATAGGCTAAACCTTCTATTTGGAGGACTATGAATCTTACTTGACTCTAATATATCACCAGCTTCCCGGACCAGGGACCACACTTAGTTACATGGGAACCAATGCAGGCACCAGTCTCAAGCTTGAATTTTAACTTGAGATATTGAGCTATCGGATTCAAACGATCAATCTGCCTCCTGGAAGCTTAATTTCAATGCTGACTGCTTGAATCCTAAAGATTAGATATCCTTGTGGAAGTTCCAGGTTTTGTAGACATCTCTACAACCCCATTCTGTGGGTTGTTTTAAAACATATTTTGCTGGACATTCCAGGTTTCACCAGGTGTTGATTAAGAGAATAAAATAGGATGATGTTCACACTCACCAGATCAAAGCTCCAGGCAGGCAGAGAAGGAGAATGAAGGACTCTAAAAGGGCTTCACACACAGCCATCAGAGATGGATAAACAAATCTATTTTAAATCCTTGTAATAGTTTTAGATAATTGGTGTCTGTGATTTGTAAAGGGTTTAATATAAAGATCAGTGTGCAACTAAATACCACACAAAATCAAAATTGGAAGAAAAAGGAGAAAAAGTCATGACTTTTTTTTTTTTTAGACAGAGTCTCACTCACTCTGTCACCCAGGCTGACAGCAGTAGTACCATCTCAGCTCACTGCAACCTCCGCCTCCTGTGTTCAAACCATTCTCCTGCCTCAGCCTCCTCAGTAGCTGGGATTACAGGCGTGCCACCGTGCCCAGCTAGGTCATGACATTCTTAAGCAGAAGTCTTTCAACATTTTGGCTGAAACTGGTTTGAATCTTAAGAATAAACAATGTGTCAAATTTATTCATGGTTCCTGACAAACCTCTAGTTAGTACTGAAAGAAAATTTCAGGAGAATGTAAATTGTGCAACTAATTATCCTCCATGGCCTACTTTACTTTGAAAATTATGCTCATGAGGAACTCTATTTCAGAGAACATCAGTGTGTATCAGATAAATGGTAAATCTATGTTGCCATTTAATTTGTGCTAGACCTCAAAATTGTGATCTTCTATATTTTACAAAACCTTGAAATTCCCCTCTGCAGGGATTCTTCTGTGATTTTAGGTTGGATATAATTATAAACAAATTTTAGAGCAACTGAGTACATAACAAGAAAGCTAACCTTGGAGAGAAGCTGCACTAAAACTACAAAACAACTATGAAGACAGGGAGTAATAGAAGAGAGAAACAAAGAAGAGAGAAGAGAGAAACAAAATAACAATTTCGTGGTAATTTGTTTTGGTAAAACTAGCAGAAAAAAATGGCATTATCAGTTGCTCTAACCCTCATGAATTTACAAACTGAGATAATTGTTTATATTTGTAGATGTTAAATAGAATAAATGTATATATGTAAATCAAACTTTTCTGCCTGCATTTGGCTAATGTTAATAACTATCTATAAATGGTTCTAGCCTAAAAAGAAGTTTGTAACTGGTAATTAAAATCTCAAAATTGATGCCCATAAATTAAAGACATCTTATATAAATCATAGAAATTATAGACCTCTCAAAGTTGAGGTCTATAAATTAAATCTTACATTTTTTAGTTGATTATGTTGTTGATAGGACTACATAGTATGAAATATTTTAGTAATAGTTATCTTCCCAATTACCTTTAGATTTTAACCTAATACTAAAACATTTGGGTATTGCCATTATAAATTACCATAAAAAATCATTTGCTGCTAATACTGTATTTGCACAGTGCTTATTTGGTATTAAATAAATATTTACATTAATTAGTTGATCTTTATGAATCAGATATCCTTTACAGATGAGGAAACTGAGCTTTGAAAAGCCCTTGTGATTTACTCAAAGTGACAGACAAAAATAAGTCAGACAAAGGACTCATAACCTGGAATTATGCTTAAAATCTAGATACCTCAATCAAGTATCTCATTGCATGAATATGCATTAATGACTTCTTTATTTATTTTGGACCCTATTGATGCTGGGAAGTCTAAGAAGAGTAATACTGATAGAGATATATGTACCAATACCTAAAAGAAACACGAATAGCAATAATAATAATAGAGGGAGGAGAAATGTAAAACAATGAAAAAGTAAAACACATAAATGACAACAGGTATATCAGAGTTTGTACTATCATGAACTATAAGGACAAATAAATTATATTTAATACATTAGTTGAATTTAATGCAACAGGTAGTTATTTTCAAAATATCTATTTTAATTCAGGCAATTTTAGTGTCCGTAGCTACTCCAAATAATTTCAACATAAAGTTGTAGACCTCAAAACTGTGATCTCTGGTATTGTATTCAACCGTGAATGCCATCTTTGTATGAATTCTTCTGTGATTTTAAACAGGATATAATTACAAGCAAAATGTAAATAATTTTTACAAGTTTTTACGAATGGACAAAATAATGAGATAATTCATCCAGAGCAACATTGTCCAATAGGACGTCTGCATGGAAATATTCTATATTTGGCAAGTGAGCACTTGAAATGTGCCAAATAAAACTGAGAAACCGGGTTTTCACTCTTATTAATTCAAACCATTTAAATTGAAACAGCCACATGTCGTAAGTGTTGGACAGTGCAGGTCTAGAGCCTTCCCACTCAAAGTGTGATCTGGAGACCAGTGGCACCACCATCACCAGGGACCCTGTTAGAAATGCAGAATCAGGATGCCCTGAATCAGAACACTTATTTGCAAGCTCTCCAGTTGATTTCAAGTGCATGTTTAAAGTTTGAGAAGTATTAATCTAATGGCATTGTCTATGCTGCATAGTTTCAAATTTTATGGAAAATAAAAATCATGACATTACTTTCAAGAGTACTGTTTGTGACTATATCTACTGAAAACACAGTATTTCCATGAACATTAAAAAGCCAGGGAATGAGTGGGAGACTTGCAAATATCCAGATATTTGGCATGATGTTTCCAAAATATCCAGCTCACACATGCCCTTCACGTGAAAGTTTGCCTCTGAGACTGGCATCATGTAGGTGCCCACCACGTCCCTCAGAGCTGCACATGGCTAACTTGCTCACTGTATACTTGTAAATTCTCATGATGATCTGAACAAAAAAAAGTAAACTTTTTCCAGAATGGTTTCTGTCATTAGACAATTAAAGGAGAGTAGGTACCAAGTGTAAAGGGTTGTACTTCTCTGCATTTGCCATTTCCTACACACAGACCAGAAACTCCAACTCACCAGAGAATAAGTATTAACACTGCCTGAAAATAAAAAATGTTATCACCATCTAAACCACTGTATCTTTTCCCTTAATGTTTTAGTTTGGAGGTGTTTTAAACTTAGGCAGCTGTAAAGTAGACAAGTAATTTCTGACTACTGGCCTCCTCTGACATGTCAAGGAATAGGAAAAGAATGTCTTGTGCAAGAAAATGAAAAGGACACCATGTGCATTAAGAACCACAGTTAACGTTTTTTTAAATACTTTTCTTGCTGTTTATTTTAATTTCCTAGTATGCTAAATCATTCTAAATAGAAAACATTCTGATTTTATCAATTTAATTGAATTACTGAAGCAAGATAATCTGTAACATTAGGCTCCTTGGGATTCAGCTTTACAGCCACTGGACAGAAGTGGAGCCGGTGGCCCTTCACTATTGTCATTTGAGGCATGTCACCATATATCAAACAAGAGGCCCACCTGCTTGTCACTTTTTTCTCTAAGTTACAAAACTCTGTGTTAAATTTGAAAAGTAGGTACAAAAAGAAAAATGTAATCTATTATCCTCAGCCATCCTTTGGAAAACAAATAATCCTTCTATCCCTCTTTCTTTGACCTCCTAACACAGATTGTTTATTCGGTTTATTTTTACTTTGGGAGGCTTAGAAAACCAAACCTGCTTCTAATGGGATGATACTGAACAAGAAAGTTTCAAATAGAGAGAACTGAAAGGAGAGTGGCATGCACATGATTGGGAGGCATCCTGTGCACATAAGAGAAGTGTGAATCATTGGGAGGACTGCCAGCAAGAGAAATCAGTTCACTGTGAATGTGTAGTCTCAGATTCAGCTGACCCCCAGAGTTACCTGCAAATATTTTATTTTTCTTTGGTCAGTTTCTTCACCCATTCTCCAATGGTGTAAGTTCAGAGCTGTAGCTCTTCTCTATGACCACCACTATCCCAGGCTCTTCCCTCTTAAGAGATAATTCAGAGGCCATTAGGTGAGAAACCTTTTAACTTGCTGCCCTCCAACCATACATGCTTCTAGATAAAATCCCTTTTTTTTCTCCATTTCTCCCATTTCAGTGGGCAGGCATTTCATTTTCTGTCCCAGGGTAATTGTTCTACTTATTTTCTGGATAATATACTCCCCACATTGTCAAGGAAATCAAAGAATTAACTAGTCCCTTTCACTTCAAATACGTAAGTGTGTTCTTTAGTAATACTTTCTATTCAATATATAAAGAAGTATATATATATCTAACTTGTTAAAAATATCTATTAAAAAATACAGCTCCCTTTAATATTATGTTTCATTCTGGTCATGTTTTATCTTCTGTATTTCAGGCAAACGAATGAAAGAGAAACCTATCTTTATAATACTTTCAAACACACCAAAATTCTACTTTCCTCTAAACATTTTTTTGCAAAACTTTCTCAACATATTTTCCAGTAATCTATAGCTATAAACTGTGTACTTGCATGTGTGTGTGTTTTGCTTTTAATCTTAGCTAACCTGTCCACAATATTTAATCCTGATAACTACCTGTTACATCTAGATACTATTCCTCATGTAGTCCCCATGAGTACATTGCCTTTGCTTTTCTTCCTGTTTCCATCTTATACTCAATTGTTATAGCCTTCTCATTTTGAACTCTATACATTGGTATGCTTTTCTAAGCCCTCTTTTCTTCTCTTACATACTTTCCCCTGCTAGCCTATCTTATCTTTGCTTATAACTTTACTTACATTATTTACACTGGTGACGTAGTAATCTCTCTCTCTCCAGCCTTTTCTTTTCTGAAATTAGCCCTGTGTATTCAACAAACTTTAGGGCATTTATACTTTATCTTTATAAACATTGCCTTTTAAAATCAATATATTCAAAAAAACAGGGCATTTTCTTTCTCCCAACATTCTAGAAGTCCATTCAGTGAATTCTCAAGCTTAATCAATAAAAATAACTATCCCATTCAGGAAATGAGACCTCTTCAATACCCCCATCTCCTTTGCCTCTCATATCAAAGAATTATTTTACTTCATAGACTCTATCTCCCGTATCTTTGGGTCCCTAGTATATCTCTTTTCTTAGAGAAAACACAACAATTGTGTGTATGAGTATTTTAATTCACAGTTGTGAAATTGATTGTAAAATATGTATTGTATACTATTGGTATAATTCTGCCTGAGTTCTGAAGAAAGAAAAGATTCCATGTGTTCTAAGAGACACTGTTTCAATCTTGTTTCTTGAATTTTTACAAAATTAGGTATGTTCATGTCTGTTATGTACATGTTTGAGGAAACAGGTTATACTCTGTTCTCTTTTGTACTCCTAAACTTTGACACATGGCTCATGATCAATACACATGTTAAAATTCACATGTATATAAATAACCAGATGACTGGGACTTTGTACATGGATAGAATTGATCTGTGCTCTTTAGTATCCTGAAAACCATAGAAGTAATGATGAAGGTTTGACTTTCTCAGGGTTAGGGTTAAGGTCAACTTACCTTATTTTGGTAGTTATTTTTCTCTTGTCAGAGGGTATTTTCTTATTGTTAGGTGTTATTATTATTATTGTGTCTCTAAAAACTCTCACAGGAACTCCTTTTCTATATGATCACCATATCCTATCCATTATTAAGTCCAATAATTTTCCACTCCTAAATATTTCTTAAGTGTGTTCACTTCTATCTTTCTTCATTACAAACACTCTAATCCAGGGTGCCATCATTTCTTTCCAGATCTACTAAAATAACACATGAGAGCACAGGTATCACTTTGATATAATGATTTCTAAATTTACCCACAGGTAAAGAAATACCTGTGTTCACATGTTTATTTCCCCACTATTCACAATAGTAAAGATATGGAATCAACCTAAGTGTCCATCAGTGAATGAGTGGATAAAGAAAATGTGGCCTATATACACATTGGGATACTATTCAGTCATAAGAAAAGAATAAAACCATGTCATTTGCAGCAACATGGATGGAACTGGAGGACATTATTTTAAGTTAAATAAGCCAGGCACAAAAAGACAAATTTGACATGTTCTCACTTATATGTGAGAGCTAAAAAATTTGATCACATGGAGGTAGAGAGTAGAAAGATAACAGAGACTGGGAAGAATGAGTAGGGAGAAGGGAGAAGGATGAAGAGAAGTGGGTTAAAGAGTGCAAGCATATAGTTAGATAGAATGAATAAATTCAGTGTTAGATAGTAGAGCAGGGTGACTATAGCTAACAAAAATGTATTGTATTCAAGTAATGGACTCGTTTAAATATCCTGACTTGATCACCACATTTTATATACATGTAACAAAATTCCACATGTACCCCATAAATCTGAACAAATAATAATTTTTAAAAAAATTAACAAAGTACTACAAAAAATAAATAAAATAACCCTGGCTCCCTTACTTGTCTCCCTCAAGTGTCTGTGTAATTATTAAAGATGTTTTTCTGAATACGAATCGGTTTGTGTCATTTTTCTGCATTGGTTTCCATTTGTTGGTAGAATAAAATGTCAACTCTATACAATAGCCTTTTAAACCCTCCAGGACCTGTCTTTTTCTCTCTACATGCTCTGGTTGGACCCATCTCTGTCTCTCTTACTATGACAGAGCCACTCTAGTCTCCTTTTGGTTTCTCTCTAACAAGCTGTAGCGGACACTGTTGGGGCTCCACAGAGATTTTTAAAGTCCCTTTTACCATACTCCGCACCCCTCCTCTAGCTTCTGTGTGCTTGTGCTTCTAACCTCCCATACATGCAGCTCTTTGGGGAATAATACTTTTGGTCACCTACTGGAGTTATTTTCCTGGACATCCAAAGACTTGGAGTTAGTATCCTCCCAGACAGGTTCTTAAACAATGACTGGCTGGTGGAACGAGGTTGAAAGCCAGCTCCATAACCTTAGGTAGAAATTGCTCCGAGCTATAATTTATACTCCAGGGCTCCACAGCTAGATCAGGATGAGGCTGAAGCTGGGGCTGAAATTGCACCCTTTCTTGGCTTTTTCTCATCCCTTTCCTCTCCTGGCATTCCTATACTGAGATTTGCTAGGAGAATTTCCTTCATAGATCACTTGCACATGAGCTCTCATCTCAAGGTTAGCTTATGGGGACCACAGATTCACACACAAACCCAGTTATTTCTACCTTAGGCCTTTGCACATGGTGTTTCCACTGCTAGGACATTCTTCCCCTCAATATTTGACCTTCTGGTAACTTCTTATCTTTCAAGTCTCATCCAGCATCACCTAATTGTTGAGACCTCCCTGAATCACCTAGTTATCAAAGATTCTATTGGTTTTTATAATAGCACTTTCCATGGATTGTAATTATTAGTTGTCTCTTTGTTTACATTTTTAAGCATACATCTCTCTCATTAGACTAAGTTTTCATCAGGGGAGGAACTATGTTGCTTTGTTCATAAAGGTATAATTAGCATCTGGCTCATAGTATGCATTCAGATATTTATTGACCAAATAAATTAAAGACTTCCAATTATAAAGTGAAGAAACAGTATTTGAGGTCACACCTGCTAAAGAAAACCATCTCATAAGTCATAAAACTTTTTGATTATCTCCCAAAAGTTTTTATCCTCATTCTTTGATAACAATGAAAAAACAAGATGTTTGATAACAATGGAAATATAAGATGCTGCATTTTTCTATAATGGACAAGTTACAGTAATTAAGCTTTCTTGATTATTTCCCATGCCAGTCTTATCAGGGAGCTGATTTGAAAATAAACCTTTTATTATTCTCTATGCCTTTTGGATTTTTAATAGTAGAAATCTGCACATTTGTTGTAATGTGTTGCTTTCTTTCTTACATTATAATTTCAGGGGAAAAGAGCAATTAATTATTGGCTTTGAAGAAAGGACAAAAATTATAAGTTCTCTTCTAGATTCTTTTAATAAAGGAGAAAAAAATTAATTCAGTTTTAAAATTTAGAGTCAGATAATGGCATATGTCATCTTGTGGGTGCCCAAGAAAGCACCTTAGTGAGAAATTGTAAGAAGTAAATAAGTAAACAGGGAACAGAAAATCGAAGAGTAACGAAGTATTCACCACATAAACAATTTTTGGTAGCTTTCTAACTAATATACAATTTATATTCATATGTATTTCAATAACCTATTTCTGCCTCTTGTGCTTTACACAGAAAATGTATTGAATATGTTTCCACTGAATAAGATATTTTTCATTTCTAGTGAAGCCTGATCTATTCTTGTCTTCGTCCTGACTCTTTCCTTTCAAACATTCCAGGAATCAGAATCTGAAAACCACTATACACATCTCCTGCATTTATTCACTGGGATTATATTTACCACAAAAATGTTCCTTGCTTATTTTTATTTCTAGATCAGATCCATGTTCTAAATTGATTGACTCCGAATATTAACTATAATTTTAAGTGTATCCTTCCAAACTACATTTATACAAAGACAAAGACATGTTATTCCAAAAATCTTGTTGACTGTTGTTGTTTTCTACTTGAAATATCTGCTTTTGAAACTCTTATATATCCACTAAACAAGAAACTTCTGAAAAGTGGCATGGAAATTCTATCTAAACATATAATGTTACATATATATACATACATATATATATCAAGCTAAAGTTATCAATAATAAAAAATAATAGATGGTATAAGTGTTGATGTTTATGTCTCAATGTAATAGTTTGTTTCCTTCACTGATGCTAATCTAAGCTAAAACAATATGTTAAGATTTTTAATTTGATTGAGGAAGTATATTAGAAATAGTGCCAAACAGATATTTAATATTAACTTGCAATTTTTTGTTTTCCTAATTATTTTGCAACCATCAATTTTAGAAAATTAAGCTCATTTGTTGATAGTTGAATACTTTTATTATTATAAAGCCAAAGATGATACAAATTATCACATTTTATCAAATAAAATGATCTGCCTAACCTAGTAACTAATGCTAACAATGATCACAGCATCTAATCTATGGTACACAGTCAATTGATATTAATTAAAATATTAACACTTTGCCTAGGGCATTGGTAGAAAATATTGCCTTTTGAAAGATATGTCAGAATTCTTCGGGTTGCAAGTAAGCCAAAAATATACTGAATAAAGTATGCCTGACAAAATGCAACAATTTATTATCTCACATAATCTAGGTCAAGTAGAGCTAGGTTCAATGAAATCTAGAAGCCAGGTTATAGTCTCCTTTTATCTTTTGTCTCTGTTATCTGTCATGTTTTACTCTTAAACTTCATGTGGTAGGAAGACTGATAAAAGCAGCTCTAGGCTTGTATTCTTCTGGGTTCAAATTGAACCGAAAAAAAAAAGAAGGAACAGAAAAGAAAAGAAAAAAAGAAAAGAAGGGAGGGAAAGAGGGTGTGAGAAAAGGAGGAAAGGAAAAAGGGAGAGAGGCAGGGAGAAAAGGAAGGAGAGAAGAAAAGAAGGAAAAGAAAGCATATTTTTTTTCCAAGAGTCAAAGCAAATCCATTTGAATTAAAACCTATTTTATTTTCTACTCCCAGTTATGAAGGAATAGCCCTCCCAGTTATGAAGGAATAGCCCTCTAATATTATACATAATATTAGAAACTGCGTAGGATTATGATTTTTTAGAAAAGGGAAACAAACAGGGGAAACCCAACAATCCCTAGATGTTTTCTTGGTGACTCTTTCTGGACCATGACACAGAGGGTGGAAGAACAAGCACAGCCCATCAATATCAACGACATGAGAAAACAGAGACCAGAGTTTGGTGCTACTAAAGGGATTGGGTTTTGTGGGGTAGCATGCTCCAGAGCAGGGAGCTCGGGAGAGAAGTAGCTCCAGAAATCCATACAGGGCTGCCTTTACAACTTTGGCTACACACTAAATCTTACATACTCAGGGTGAAATTCCACAGGGCCAGGCACAGAAGAACAACTGGTGAAAGAAGTATGACTGGAGAATGGAGAACTGGTAGGGTAGCGTGAGCTGAATAACTAGTGGAGTTCACACAGCCTTGGAAACATTTAGTTCCAACAGCCAAAGGGCAAGATTTTCTTACATGTTCTGGACATTCAGTAGAGATCTCAGAAATGCCATATCTTAAAAGCTGGGGTAATAATGCCCAAGGAGAAAGGCTACTCTATATAAACTCTAATAAGGTAAAAAGAACTATTAAAGGAAACAAGCGGATTGGCAAGTAAATTAACTACATGCTGTCATAAAATTAAATTCTCTATTAATGAATAGAGAACAATCTAGACACATAATAATATAAGCTCTATAATGTCTAATATGAATTCAAAAGCTACTAGATATTAAATAAACCAATAGAAAAATAGGACAAATAACCGGAAGAAAAGAAAGCAATCGATAAAAATCAAACTGGAAATGTCAAAGATGATGGAATTAGAATATGAAGCAATTTAAATAGTTGTTATGAATATATTCAAACACTTAAACATTAATGTAATAAAGAAAAATAGCAAATATTAATAGTATATCAGTAAGTTTATCAACAAACTATAAAAAAGAACAAAACAGATATCCCAAAGCTTAATATCACAATATCTATAATGAAAATGTCACTGGATCATTAATGCCAAGTTTGGTAAATTACTCACTAATAAAAAGTGAGTGTATTTGAAAACAAAAAAAAAGGGACTATCCAAATTTAACAAGAGAAAACAAAAAGGCTGAGAAAAATTGGTAATATAAAACAACTAGAAATCCATATAATTGAAGTACCAAAATGAGGGGGAAAAGTCACAGAAGAAAAAAAAAATGTTTAAAGAAATAATAGTTGAAAATATTCTAAATTGGATAAAAAATTATAAACCCAGACCCAGAAATCCTCATAAATGCAACAGGGATAATCAGAAAACAAAAACAAAAACGCCATAATTAAAAGTTTGAACAATGAAAAATAAAAACCTCTTAAAAGCAGACAAAATAAAAGATACGTCACATACAAGAGAACAATTTTTTTAAAAATTTCTTATCAGAACCATTGCAAAATAGATAGTAATGGAATGACAACTTTAAAGTGCTAAAAGAAAAAAAACTCTAAATTTCTAAATTTAACAGAAAGAAAAATACTTCCAAGAAGACTTATCTAGACCAACAAAAGCTAAGATAGTGTGTCATCAGCCAGTGAAAACAACAAAAATGAGAAAAGCAGTCATTCAGATAGAAGAAAAATAACACCAATAGAAGCTTGGAATGACACAAAGAAAGGAAAAGCACTGGAAAGCTAAAATATTAACTAAGTTGAAAGATAAATTTTTTTCCTCAAGTTTCCAGTTTACAAAGCTAATTGATAGTTGACAGCAAAAATAACACTGCCTTGTGAGGTTAATAACATATCTAGCAGTAGAATGCATAATGGTAGAACAAAAAATGAAAGGTGAGAAATGGAAGAAAATGGTTCTAAGAGTTTTTAATTGGAGAAAGTCTTCACACAAGAGTATATAGAATTGGCCAGTAAGCACATGAATGAGTGCTGAATAATATCATTAGTCATCAGAGATGTGCAAATTAAAAACCACATTCACACTAACATGGCTCAAATTATGACAATGACAACAGCAAATGCTGGTGAGGATGAGGGTCACTCACAACACTCATGCATCGCTTGTGAGAGCATAAAATGATGCAATGTCTTTGGAAATTTTTTTCTGGCAATGTCTTATAAATTGTGTACCTACTCTATAACTTAGCAATCCCACTTCTGAGTCAATTTAAGGTAAAGGAAAACATATGTCCACAAAAATGATAATAAAGAGTGTGCAGAATAACAGTTTTTTAAATAAAATCCCCAAACATGTGTCCATCAACAGAAGAAATAAACAACTTGTGATACATACTCAGCAAGAAAAAGGAATGAATTAGTGAAACATGTGACACCATAGATGAAACTCAAAAACATTATATTGAGTTAAAGAAGCCAGGCGAAAGAGTATTTACAGTATGGTTTCATTTATGTGATGACTGAGAAATAGATAGTTTATTATGTGATGATCTAGATGATCTAGAAGTTGTAAAAAAAAAAAAATCTACAACAGGCCAAAATTTAACAGTGGATTAAATTGTAAAACTGGTGCCTCTTTGAGGAACTTGGATTCACTGAAAGAACAAAAGGCATTTTTTTGGATGATAAAGATATTCTGTATTTTGATAAGAATGTTAATTAAATGGTATACGCAATGGTCAAAACTTATCAAACTGCATGTTTAAAATCTATTCATTTAAGCATATCTAGATTAAATATCAATGTAAAGAAAAAGCTAGCAACAAAGTGGATTGCTGTTGTAGAGTCCCCATCCCTCTGCAAATCATTTATTGTGGCCGAGGGATTGGATATTTTGCCTGACATTGCCTGAATCCCATGCCCACCAGTGAAATCCTCCGAGAGAACAGAATGAGAGCGGAAGAAGGGACTGTGCATTAGATAAAATCATAGCATTGTTAGAAGTGGGAAAGGCACTAAATGCAGAGAAAGACATAACATGTCTAAACTATAAAAGCTCAGAATTGTTCTCCACAAAATCCACTTCGAATCACAGCAAAGTGGCTGAAACATGTTTAATTTCTGCCATTGATCTGTCTCCAAGGAATTTAATCTGCTTATTGTTTCTGTATTTTTATTTGGGCCAATGAGGTACATAATTTACTAGCAACCACAGGAAGAAATAATTTAGAAATTGCTCCTATACATAATCATTTTAATACATAAGAACTTAGTAATATCATCTATCCTACTATTTATAATGTCTATGACAATACTTAAGTCCTCTCTCTCTCTCTTTCTTTCTTAAAGTAAGTCAGAATGTTAATTGCTGTCCCTACTAATGTTTCACTTATTATTATGAGTAGCATGTCAATTCTATCAACTCTATCCTTAAGGCATTTTCATAAAGGTACAACATTTTTTAAGGTATCACTTTTAATTCATAGAAATCAAGTTATGCATGTGTCTATTCCATGACCAATTTAACTCATGCATAGCTTTAAATAGTTCCTCATCTGTCATCTTTGTTTACCTTACAGAAGCATTTGTTTCTAGAAAGTTGGGAAATCTTTTTAACTTTCTGCCTTTAATCCAGGGAAGTGTCAAGTTTACAAAAGCTTCAATTATAAATGCTTGTGAATATTGGTTACAAAAAGTGGTAGTTTGCTTCTGCTATATGTTACTATGGAAGGAATAATGTTATGCCTCTGTCAACTGTGTGATATTGGGTAAGTCAGTTAGTTCTTATCTCCTTAGTTTTGTAAAACAAATAGGTTGAAGTAAAATACTTTTATTGCTCCAAAATTGCTGTAAGTTTTGCTCATAACAAAATTTTGCCTTAAATATATCCAAAGGATAGAGCAATATGGAATTAGAAGTCACATTATTTTATAACCAGGCAGATTATACCCTATTTATCTTAATAGCTTTCATAGCAGAAAACAGTATATTTTATGCTGTGGCTTTCTAAATTATGTCTTCCTTGCTAAACTACAAACTCTATGAAAGTAGGAATTGCATTTGTCTTACTACTAATCATTACATACCCATGACACTTAGTACATTGCCTGGCACACACTGTGTAGGTAAGAATAATATTTATTGCTATTACTAGCATTTAAATTGTGCCTTAGTTTCTCAAAACCATATATGTTAGGCATTGTGATAAGTATTTTTAAATTTTTCATATATCACACTATTCACATTTTGTTCTGTGTGCTCCTTATTCTACTTAAAATAAAATAATAATGGCAACTTTTATTGTCCTTCAACACATTGACCCTTATGGACTTTTCAAAGAATTTCTCATTTAGTCCTCAGTACAAACTTATGAGTTAGATAGTGGCATTGCCCTTCACCAAAGAAATTAAGACACACACAGGTGAAGTAATGTGTCCACAATGATCTAGTAACCAGTAAAGTCAGAATTTGAACCATGAGTGTAGAGACTTCACTCTTAGCTTCTACCCAGTACTGCCTCCCTAATAATTATCTATTGAATAAATACATTTCTGTCACTTTTTATCATCCTTTGCTGTATATCATTCTTATCTGTATTTAGTAAATTTTATTTTTGTTTTATTTCCCTCTCAACTCTTCATTTGTACCTAGTTTCCACTTTTGGGCAGAAGAAAATACATGAAAAGGAGCAATGCTCCTTAATTCTCTAAAATAGTTCCTTGATTAAGAGCTAGAGTCCAATTTACAGATTTTTCTGGATCAATATTATTTTACCCCACTTTTGGAAGAAATAGTTTATCCAATGAACAATGACAACCTTGGCAGGGCCGAACTTCACATCTTGTGCTTTTTCATTTCAGCACAGAAAAAAGAGAGGGTCAGGAATCTTACAACAGTTCATCCTTAAAAACTTCCCATCCTCATTTTGTACACTGAAGCAATTTGGATAACCATATATATTCCCACTTGTTTCTCCACATCAATTCTCCATAGAAAAATATGCAAAGTCACCCAAAGCATCGACAGAGAAGCATAAACACACACACACACACACGCACACACGCACAATCTCCCTCTCCAAGGAGAGGGCATATCAAGAAAACAGCAATTCCTTGCTTTATAAATATATTTAAAAAGTGAATTATAATAATGATAGATATTTTCTGCAGAAACCACATTAGTGATCTCATGAGATAGCTGGATTCTTTCTTTGCACTCCATATCTCATTCTATATAATGCAGAGAACAAAAGAGAGGGCCATATAAAGATCCAGGGGAGTAGATACACAACTAAGTTTTTCCATAAAATAAACTACTTTGTAGTGAATGTCTTCTTACAAATATTAGAGGGACCAGATTAGATTGCAGCTGGCCCAAGAGGATTTTTGCCTTGGGCTTAAACTACAGCCAGAAAACAAACAGTTTCTACCCATTGCACTCCTCTGATCTTCATAAACCAAGGACGGAAGAAGGAAGAATTATATTTAGAAGGATTATTTTAAAAACACCAAAGACTTTTCATGAGTAGAACAAGAAGTTCCTAAAGGGAAAATATCTATTTTCACAGAAGCATCAGGTGGAATCTAGTTAAGCAGAAACTTATAGCCTAGAATAATCTTTTAAAGAGTGAAGTATTCATTCGCACATTAATTAATGCATTCATTTATTCAATATTTTTGTATCTGTACCAGGTTATATGGGTAAAATAGAAATGGATGTCATGCTGTCTCTCCTCAAATAACTCACTTTCTGGTGGAAATGTTTCTGGATCATGATTTTGAACATAACGTAGCTGTAACTGTCCCACTTTCACAAATTCATTTATTTACATTTTGGTCTGAAGCCCTAGGATAGTTATTGTGCAGGAGTGCAAAATGCTATTTTACCCCTTGTATTAGTCCTTTCTCTCACTGCTATAAAGAAATACCCAAGACTGGGTAATTTGTAAAGGAAAGAGGTTTCATTGACTCACAGTTCCACATGGCTGGGGAAGCCTCAGCCTCATGGTGGAAGGTGAAGCAGGGACTTTCTTCATTTGGTGGCAAGAGAGAGAAGAGCAAGCAGAGGACATGCCATATGCTTATAAAACCATCAGATCTCATGAGGACTCACTCACTGTCATGAGAACAGCATGCGGGAAACTGCCCCCATGATCCCCAATCACCTCCCATCAGTATCCTCCCTCAACATGTGGGGATTATGGGAATTACAATTCAAGATGAGATTTAGGTAGGAACACAGCCAAACCATATATTTCTGCCTCAGCCCCTTTCAAATGTCATGTCCTCACATTTCAAAACACAATCATGCCTTCCAAACAACCCCCCAAAGTGTTAACTGAACTGATTCCACCATTAACCAAAAAGTTCACATCCAAAGTCTCATCTGAGATAAAGCAAGTCCCTTCCACATAGGAGCCTGTAAAATCAAAAGCAAGTTAGTTCGTTCCAAGATACAAGGGGGTGCAGGCATTGGATAAATACTCTCATTCCAAATGGGAGAAATTAGCCAAAACAAAGGGGCTACAGGCCTCATGCGAATTTGAAATCCAGCGGGGCAGTCATTAAATCTTAAAGCTCCAAAATAATCTTCATTGACTCCATGTCTCACATCCAGGGCACACTGATGCAAAGGGTGGCCTCCCATGGCCTTGGGCAGCTGTGCTCTTGTGGCTTTGCAGGGTAAAGCCCCCTGGCCCAGATGCTTTCATGGCTGGCATTGAGTGTTTATAGCTTTTCCAGGTGCACACTGCAAGCTGTTGGTGGATCTACCATTCTGGGGTCTGGAAGATGATGGCCCTCTTCTGACAGGTCCACCAAACAGTGCCCCAGTGGGGACTTTGTGTAGGGGGTTCAACCCCACATTTCTCCTTTGCACTGTCCTAGCAGAGGTTCTCCATGAGGGCTTCACCCCTGCAGCAAACTTCTGCCTAGACATCCAGATGTCTCCATACATCCTCTGAAATCTAGGCAGAGGTTCTTAAACATCAATTATTGACTTCTGTGCACCCACAGGCCCAACACCTCATAGAAACCACCAAGGCTTGGAGCTTGCTCCCTCTGAAGCAACTGTCCAAGTTGTACCTTGGCCCCTTTTTGCCATCGCTGGAGCTGGAGCACCTGGGACACAGTGCACCAAGTCCTGAGGCTGCACAGAGCAGGGGGCCCTGGGCCTGGCTCATGAAACAATTTTTTCCTCTTAGACCTCCAGGTGTGTGATAGGAGGGGCCACTGCCAAGGTCTTTGACATGCCCTGGAGACTTTTCCCTATTGTCTTGGTGATTAACATTTGGCTCCCGATTATTTATGCAAATTTCTATAGCCAGCTTGAATTTCTCCCCAGAAAATGGGTTTTTCTTTTCTATCATATTGCCAGGCTGCAAATTTTCCAAACTTTTAGGCTCTGCTTCCCTTTTAAACGTAAGTTCCAATTTCAGGTCATCTCTCTCAAGTTCAAGGTTCCACAGATTTCTAGGGCAGGGGCAAAATGCTGCCAGTCTCTTTGCTAGAGCACAGCAAAAGTTACCTTTACTCCAGTTCCCAATAAGTTCCTCATTTCCATGTGAGACCACCTCAGCCTGCACTTCATTTTCCACATTATTATCAGCATTTTGGTCAAAATCATTCAACAAGTCTCAAGGAAATTCCAAACTTTCCCATATCTTCTTGTATTCTTCTGAGCTCCCCAAACTGTCCCAACCTCTGCCTGTTACCCAGTTCCACAGTCAATTCCACATTTTCAGGTATCTTTATAGCAGTACCCCACTCTCTGTGGTACCAATTAACTATATTAGTTGATTCTCATCCTGATATAAAGAAATACCTAAGACTGGGTAATTTGTAAAGGAAAGAGGTTTAATTGACTCATAGTTCCACTTGCTGGGAAGGCCTCTGGAGACTTACAATCATGGCAGAAGGAGAAGCAGTCACCTTCTTCACATGGCAGCAGGGGAGAGAAGAGCAAGCAGGGAAATTCCTGACATTTATAAAACCATCAGATCTCATGAGGACTTACTCACAATCATGAGAAGAGCATTAGGGAAACTGCCCCCGTGATCCAATTGCCTCCCACCAGGATCCTCCCTCAACATGTGGGGATTGTGGAGATTACAATTCAAGATAAGATTTGGGTGGGAAAACAGCCAAACCATATCACTCCTTAAATATTATAATTATATATTATAATATTATAACTTTTGGAAAAATTATAATATATTGACTTGTCCTGTAGTTATTGGTATAAGTAACATCTAGCAGTGTAGGCTCTAGGATGTAGAGAAGCCTTTGATCCTTGGGATAATCAAAGAAGACTTCCTAAAACATTGAGAAGAAACTTGAATGGCTCAGAATTTGAAAACATGTAAGGAAGGACATGGGGAGAGCCCATGTTAGGACTCACTTCACCCACAGAGTGACACCACAGAATCAAGAAAATGTAAAGAACAATTTGCCTAGATTATCTCAGGAACATACTCTTTGTGTATCTTTCATTAGAAATGTATTTCCTGAGCCCAGGAACAATTTCTGCTTTATTCTGTACTGAATTTCTAATAACAGCATAATGCCTGGCATGGAATACATGCTCAATAACAGTTTGATGAATTACAATGAAAGTGATAATGAATTGGCACAAGCATAATTTAATAATCTTTGAATTATAGGAAAGGGGAAAATTATAGTGAGCTATAAAAGCAAGATGTAGAAGTTTGGACTTCATGTAATAATGGGGATATATCTCCATCTAACAGAAAAATGTCATGATATATTCCAAGTGGTCTTATTGGAAAATTAACCTGAAGAGATGTGTAAATTATAAAAGGGAAGCAATTTCAGAAATGTAGAAAAGAACAGTGCAAATTGTATCCATTCATATGTCATTCTTATGTGATATTCTAGACCTTAAAGTCTAGAATTAGTTAATAATTAGAACCACACATTGGTTTTTGTAGTATCATATTTACTTTCAGTTTCGAAATAGTATATTTGCCCAAGAAGTTATTGAATATTTGAAATATTGTGAATTGGTGCATATGTCTACTTTCTATAGAGAGGGATTATATTTAAACAGATTTTAAAAGACTGTGTTACCCCCAAAGATTAAGAAATATCTTTGTAGGTTAAGCAACACTTTAACACAAAAGAAGACAATATGTCACTACACAGAATGCCAGCCAATATATTATCTCTACTATAAAATTTTGCTTTTCCCTATCATAGGCAGAATTAAGCATATATATTTGAATAGCTGTTTGTTCAAAACTTTATTACAAAAGTTATTACATTGTATTTTTAGTTCATTGTTTATAGACGTTATCTGCTAACCCTTCTCATTAAACTAGACTCTTGAAAAATAGAAAGTTTGAGTTACTTATTATTTAAGCCCAGTATCTAGCACAAAGCTGGCCCAAAAATCTGTCTTTTTATTTAAGGTATTTCATTTAAGCAGCCAGTTCTTTTTATAAACATTTTTATGAGCTACTAAGGCTCATCATACCTTGCCTCCATATGGTCACCAGAATTCAGAATTTGTAGGGCATTTCCACTTAGAGCAAACTAAGCTTATCAAGACTGTGGCCCATAAAAAGTAATGTTATCTGTCACATATTATAAGACAGAAAGCACTTTCATCAAATCTCTTATGTGGTGAATTCTCAATACCTATCTAGGGTGTAATTGCTTCAAGCGAAGCCCACACTTTTTCTTCTTTTTTGTTTTCCTTTTATACCGCCTCCTTGGGACACTATCCTAGTATTTCTGGAGTAATAACTTAATCTTGTTTGCTGGATACTTCTCTGCTTTTATCCTAAGCTTCTTTACATTCTAAATAATATTTCCTATTTCCTTGGCTTCAGTTATTATCTGTAAACTGACAACTCTCAAATTTATGGCTCTATTGCTAACCCTAACTTCTCTTTGTAATTCCGAGTTTTCATAGCTGGCTGATTTATCATTTCCTCTCAGACCTGCTTCTTCAGTGTCTCCAAACTCAATATTTTCCTCACAACATGACATCTTACTGAAGCCAGACATGGCAGTCATCTTTGAATTCTCCATCACCTACACCTCCCACATCCAATATGTCAAAATTGAATGTTGGTTTTTCTCACAATGAGTTTGGAAAAAATCCTTACTGCCTCTCCGTGCCCACTAACATGACCTAAATCTTTTCCTTTAGGCCTTCTGGTTTCAGTGACTGTTATAATGTACTCCATCCAAAAAATCTGAAATTATGCCTTATACTTTTCTTTCTCTTTTTCACAACTTCAATTCTTATCAAGTCCTATTAAGCCTAGCTATAGAATATATTCTTAATCTGTTCTGCTAATAACACCCGTAACAGGAAAAACCATCATTTCTTCTCCTGTAGTTTGTCCTTCCTCTGATCCATTCTATGCACATAAGTGGAAATTATTGAAACGAATGGAAACAGCTGGCTACAAAGAGTAAAGGGGAAAAACATTTCAAGCAAAAGAAACAGCATTTGCTAGGGCGCTAAATTGGCAAAGACCTCAATGAGTTTTTAGAACAGAAGACAATATCGTTGGCATGCAGTGAGGGGTGGTGAGGGATGACTCAACATAAAGTAAGCAATGAAAGGAGGACTAGTTTGTGTACAATATTGTAGTACACATAAATAAACAATAATAAAGGTAAGTCTTACTTATTATCTTAAAACATCATTCCTGTTTCTATAAAAATAATGGATTATGAATGAAGAGAGAGCAAGAAATTAAGTGGGGTTAGATAACAGGTAAAATATGACAATATCAAAGAAAAATTTATGGGCATGAAAATGAAGAAAGTAGTTGAAATTAGATGTAATTGGGATGTAAAATATATAGGATTGTCTGATGGATTGACTATGAGGTGTGAGAGAATGAAGAATAACTACTGTATTTCTTATAGGAGCAACTGGGAAAATGTTGATGCCATTTACGGAGGTAGAGACAGAAGAAAAGATTTCAGGAAGGGAAGGTTATAAATCACAGATTCAAGGTGGAACACATTAAAGTTGAGATGCTTTGAGACACTGAAGTGAAATGTCATAATGATGAACGAATGAATAAGCCTTTCTTTGATTTCTATAGCTTCCTAATGCAATCCTATTATCAAGTGAACAGGTGAACTAATAATGTTCCGATAAGATTTTGAGCATGTGCATAGCTGACAGGCAGATTTGGGGAGAAAGGGTAATGATCAAAGTAATATATAGTAATTATCAACATAACCAAAATTTGGGGCTCAAATTTTATTTGGAAAATAAACCTTCTAATTGAATAATGAAAATTAATGCCTGCTGAATATTTTTAAGATGCTGAATATTTTTAAGTCTAGCAAGCAAAACAGACATAACATAGGAGAAGAAAAAAAATGATCATTCTAAAAAGCAATGCTTCCATTAGATAACATGTAAGGTGAATAATGTATTTAGTGTCAATATTCCCTGATATGGTCATAGTTCCTATGAGAACATGATAATGCTGTCAATAACAAGAAGTTTCCACCAAGTCTTCCACCAAGGCTTAGAATTCTGAGGCCTTAGATAAGAATATATGAGGTATTTATATTAAGTAGCTGAAAACAGTGCATGCAGTTTTGAAAGAGGAATGGGGTATTACACTCAAGGTGGAAATTTGGAGATCAGAAACAGTGAAATAATGCATGCCACACCTAGGAGAGGGGAGGAAATCATAAACAGAAAAATTAAGTTAAAATCCAGAAAAAATAGAAATCAGAGTGAATCCTATGTACAGATCAACTGAATAGCAATAGGACATTTGCTATTATAGATTTGAGGCACATCTACCCTTCTCCCCAGCAAGCATGGCCTTTAGTGGAGCTAAGGAAAGCTAGACAATTTTTTAAGCCTGTTTATAGTAATTCAGAAACATACATTACCCATCATTTTCCTAAAGCCCATCTCAAAGGGACATATTTTGAATAGGGTTTAAGTAGTGCACAGAACTGCTATTTGTGATATTAAAGATGATCATTTCTTGATAAATAGCTCCTTTACTATTTTACAACACTCAGGACCTTCATGTGTCACAATTCTTCTAAAATTCTCTGTTATCTAACTTTCTGTACAAGAGAAAAAAGGAGATTCTAATCTGGTGAAGCTGTTGGATGATGTCCTAAAATAATTAGTAGGTTAGTGGTTTTCTAGTCTAATAGACTATTGGTATAAACTGGAAACTTTAAAAAATTATGATCACTTGGGATCCACCTGTGGCAGGTCAGGTCTCACTAATGCAGGCCTCCATAACAACTGTTTCAGTACCAATTGAGTGGTTTAGTTACATATTAAAAGCCAGTAAACTTATACAAAGGTGGGGATATAACAAAAGCCATCAGGAGTTTTGCCTAGGCCTTTCCTGGGCCTTAAATCATGACAAAATAACAAAGGAATTCTTAACAGGATTCATTTAGGATTAAACAAGTTTTATTGTGGGTCTGAAGAAACTCCTCAGGCTTCTACAAACAAGTTTATTGGGGGTCTAAAGGAACTCCCCAAACCTCCATGATTTAGCAGAAGACAAGATAAGGGTAATCACTCCAGCACCTGGACCCATTTAGATTAAGTAAATTTACTGAGACTCCAGAGGAAGGTCTTCAGGGCTCAGACCTTAGTTATAGACTAAAAGAAGTTAATCACTTATATCTTCAGATGAATGCACACTTACATGTAGACACATAGCTTAGAAGGTATCTAAGCTCTGGAAAACTTTGTAATTTTGAGTTGGTCTCGTGATAATTTCCAGGCCTTCTCCCTGTAACCAGTTACAGAAATAAAAACTGTCTTCCTCCCCAGTTCATCTGCATCTCATTATTGGGCCACAAGAAACAGCAGCCCGACCCTCTGTTTGATACAGTAACACACCTATACAGGATCTGAGTAAATCAGTCTGAGATGTGCCTCTGTGGTTAAAAACTTCTGAAATGGACTAATGAAAGAAAAGAAATCTATGCATATTTCTGAGTATTTCAGACATTTGAGTCTTAATGTAAGATAAACATTTTACTAGAAATGATGTGTTAAAAAATTCTGACGTGTTCTTGCTTGCCAGCATTGTGTACAATTTGTTTTAGAATTAAATATCTATAATCTTAACACAGGTTAACTCTGGGCATTTCTTTCAATGTTGTGCCAATTGTGTGATGTGGTTGTGTACTGGCCACGTTAAATGGGACCATAAGTAAATAAACTTGATTCTGAAACTCAGATTTGTGTTGTGAGCAAGGGATGGAGGAGAGGAGGTTCTTTTCTTTCATTCATTCTTCTGGTCTCCTTTTCCCAAGGCTACATAGGCAATACATTGAAAATATTATAATTTGACCAATTCTCATGTTGTGAACAGAAAAGCCTGAGTAGAGGTAGAAAAACACAAATGAAGTCTGATTGCATATTAAATATACAACTAAAAGATTGTCTAAAAAAAGGGTTTTCTAAATCAATGTAAAGATTCAAAATTATCAGATGGATGGCTGAGTTTTCAAAGTATACTATTAGAAAAGAAATTTTAAGATTGAATCTACATTGTTATAACATAGAATCTTCAGAGACTGATTCTTTATAAAGAGTAACGCCCTACTGCAAATGAAACACACCTTCCCTTTGAGAGGCATGAAAGTTTCTTCTTTCAAAGAAAGAGATAGGAATGAGCACCCATTGCTTTATGCATATGCAGGCCCAGAGACAATGGATATGTTAGAAATTCAAAAATAGACAAGATTTTTTTCTTTAGTAGTCATGTATACAACGAAATGCTTAAACAGAGAGTGTTACCAGACATTTCCTCTCTGTGAACAAAAGCAATTTCCTTATATTCAAAAATAAAAAGAGATTGGAGGAAATAACCTAAATAAGTCAGTAAAACAACATAATTATTTAAAATACAGGCTGAGTTATATAGGAAAGAGACCACTGGATTAACAGATAAAATCCTCTAATTCTTGTTCCTAATTAAGCCTCTAATTATACATATCCTTAGGCAAGACATTTAGACTCTGTAGCCTGGGGCACAATTTCTCAACTAAAAAATGAACACTTTGCAATATATCAACTAAAAAATGAACACTTTGGACAAAACAACTTTTAAAATAGCCAACTGTGGAAAACAATTATAAATTGCAAATAAAGGCATTATGGCCTTATTAGTGATAAAAGCAAACTTTTAATCTTATATCCACTGATCTGTACAGATTCCAGGGCCCCACCTAAGCTATTAAATGAGAATTTTGGAAGTGGGGCCAAATGATCTGTATGATTTGAAATCTCAAATTTTTTGATGTAGTAGAATTACTAAGTGGCCTTAAATGTCTTTTTGTCTCTAATATTCTATGGTACTATAAAATATTTAATTATAAAATTCTCCATTTAAACAAGCATTTATGGATCGCATCCATGTTACATATTTTTTTTAATGAGAAGGAAGGAAGAAACTTCAATGCTAGAGAAACCACACAATAATAATTTATAAATTGTTTGATTAATGCTTAATTACAGGAGAAAAAAAAATCAAAGGAATGTTGCCTATCCCACACTAAAAAGTAAACTCTGCAAAGGCATCTACAATTTACCCCTGCTTTGTAGTAAAATGCCTGGTACATGAAAAATTCTCAATGTGTGTCTGTAGGGTAAAATATCACAAATGTTAAAACCAAATTATAGAACAATTTACTGATTTGCCCAAATTCAAAGAGTGGCTCAGGGCAAGATAATGGGAGCATAAAGCAATCCAAATCATTGACTACATGCTTTTTTCCCTGTTTTGTCAGCTGAATTCCAAAATTTATAGAAAGTCAGGCTTATTTTACATGTTCACCAGCCACTCACTCACCAGTGTAACAGAAGCTGTATATCATAGATCATCCAACATTCAAAATGTTCAGATTCAGCATTAGAAGAATGTTCTGGAAGCAGCCAACATTTATTTGAAGAGTTTACACTATGTCTGAAGTTTTGCAAAATTCTTAGAGAGAGGGCAACAAGCTTGGTACAAAATCCTTGATTTCAATGAACTGAAGTCAATGGACAAAAGGCAGAATTTTTATGAGAAAATAGAATTTGCATTCGAAATTATATTGAGCAGTACATAATTAACTGCTTACATAGATGCTATTGTGAGCACCACACTTTTCTTGTTCAGAAGAGTGTGATTTAACAGATATCTAAGAATATACACTATGAGACTGGTATGCACATATTTTAGGTAAGTGAGAAAGTTCTAGGTTAGTTTGAGCCTGGAAAGAAACAGAAGAGGAGGAGTGTTTATGTTGCTTCAGGTTTGACCATTTGGGTATAAAATTTAAAAATGTTCTTCAAAAGTCACACCTATCATAGTTTCTAGTAACATTTTTTTTTAATTCTGGAAGAAAAATATTTACAAAATTAGCATGACCTCTATGCCTTCCTATTTAATAGGAAGTATTATAGGAAGTATCATACAAGAACTATAATATTAAATACATAGATGTGGCTAACTTCACTTGCATTCTACCTTAGAAGAACATGCTTTTCTCATAAGTGTTCCCTTATGTATTATTCACCCATATTTTCTATCTTTCTTAAGATAAAAGTGTGACCTTTATTAAAAAAGTTTCTAATGTGTCATGTGATCAATAGATATAAGTACCTTCATTTTTTAAATTAGTCCAAGGCTATTTTCCTTTTACTGTTGTATAAATAGGGAATTGAAGGGTAAAATAGTTAAAACTTAATGCTATAGTGCTAATGTGGCTTTTAAATCACGTCAGCTGCAATCACTGCATTATAATTAACAATTTATTGAACCAGCAATAAAATGAACATCACATTACTTCTTAAAGCAGCAGAATAAAATGGCTAATAAATAGCATAAGCCAGACAAATTGCAGAGTAATAGAAATTTTCTTAAGATTTATGGTCTGCAGAAAGATGGATGTGCTATTAGTAGGAGCTCCAATACTTGACAAAATTCTTTTACAAAGACATTGTTACCATGCGTGTCAGAGTTCACAAGTCTAAGTGGTTTATCCAAATTTCAGCTCTCTGCTATTACAGTGAAAAATACTCATTACAAGGTTTTGAAACTGCAAGCAATGTGTACATTTGCCAACATTCAAACTGCTACTGCCAAAAAGATACTAAAATATTTTATAAACTGTCAAATAACAAGTCTGCTAGCTTAATCTGAGTCTATTTTATACTATACAGACTGTATAAACTATTACATTAATTCACTTCCTGCAAAACTTTTTAAGAGCAGAGAATAGCTAATGTAGAAGCTGAAAAAAGTAACTGCTTTTTACCTTCTGAAACTCTAACAATATCATACTTCTGTTGGGAAAGCATCAGTTTTCTTGAAATGCAATCACACTCCCTTTAACAATCGGCATACGAACAGAATCCATTAATGAAGAGAGATCACAGAAATAGTTAGATTAGAGTCAAGCTGAATGTTTCACTATGACAAGGGGGAGATAGCTATGGGAAAATTACATATATTCAGTGTTTCTACTGATAACATGTATTGTGATGCTTTGTTTCTAGCATGGAGCTGTATGTTCATAATGTAGAACAAAATATAAAATCGTTTATTATGTGACAATAGGCACAACAAATAGTAATATTTTATAAAGAATTTGTTTTTATGTTTTGAAATTATTAGTAGCAGTAGTGGTAGCAATTATAGTAGAAGCAAGCAGGTTCAGCTCTCTACTAAAAGGACAAAAAAGATTGGCTCCCAAGATTTTTGTCATTAATTAGTTCACTCAATAATAAGGATTATTTTTAATATGTAAATTTACATGTATTCATCAAATATTTATCAAATATCCCAGGTCCAAATCTAAACACTTAAATTGAAATGTATAGTAATATCTGCATTAATTACTTGCTAAAAAAATTCCCGTAGAGTAAGTTTCATGGCACTTTCTAATGATGTATTGTTGTTCATAACAGAGGGTAAAATATGACTTGCTCATCTTCTCATGTTATAATACCCATGGAAGTGTAAGAGTTAAGGTCAGAGAGCTGTTATCAATACAAAGAAAAATGTAATGCAGAAGATAAAATTAAACAGAGAAAAAATTTTATTTTAACACTTTACGTAGCTTACAATTTTCTAAGTGAGATTAAGTAAACTATACAAATGCAAATCAAGAGGAAGACATGCTAGAAAAGACCTAAAAATGCTGCAGGATAGTCAAAGAAGGAAATTTTCAGATGTGATATGATCAGAGAAATTTCAGAGGAATGATGTTTTATTTCAATCTTCAAAAATACATAGAATTTTGATCAGTATGTGAGTAATGCAAATGTTAAAAAGCTTGATTTAGTGATACCACAACGTATTCATATATCAAACCATCATGTTATACACTGTAATGATATATAATTTTTATTTGTCAATTAAAAATAAAGAATAAAGAAAAAAGTCAAATATAAGGTGGCCAGTGTGATTCTTGTTTTACATAGAGAAACAATTTTAATGGTACAAAATGGCAAGATGCAATTATAATAAAACCCAAAAATCCAGTTCAAGATTTACACGAAGACTATAATAAGGATGATTCCTTACCCCTCAAGTGAAAAACAATAGCCCTAACACATATATTAGAATATTAATCAAATTTAATCATGAAACTCCTTGAATAAGGGAGGTAAAATGGTCTTGCAAAAATTAACTTTGGTTGTTCCTAACAAAGAAGAGGTTGTCCTATTAGCTTCCCTAGAGAAAGAAGCCTTAAAAATGGAAACAACTCCCACACACAAACACACACACACACACCCACACACACACCCACATACACCCAAGCATCCCTTCTAATACATGGAACCGAATGGGTCAGAGGCTCATTCTCAGATTCTTTCACAGATTCGGGAAAAAAAGACCCTGTAGCCTGCTAAAGTCCCTTTCAAGCAAAGATCAGCTTCAGGTAGTGAAATGTTTTCTGAAAGCCCTGCTTGCCCCTCCCTAGAAAACGGCTGCATTTCACCTTTCTGTTTGAGAGTAACTAACCATCCTATTTTGCCTGGGAGTGGGGGCAATCCTGGGACAGGGAACTTCCCTACTAAAATCAGGAAAGTCATAGACAATTTGGGACTATTTGGTAATTTTATACACTTCCCAAAGGCAGCTTCTGGGATGCCCAATAAGGCTCATTAAGAATTATGTCATGAATAATTTCGATCAACCACTATTTCTATTGAGTATTATTGAGGGTTTTGCTCTTTTCTGTTTCCAGCAATAAGTTCCTTGTTCAAGAAATCATTGGTGTGAAATCTATCTCCCATTTTTCAGAGCCTCCATCTTCATTTTGCCTGGCTTACTCCTCTTCTGTCCTCCCTCCTAGCTTCTCGACATTTACAAAAAAGTATATATTTAGGAAAGCATCTCATAGACTCATTCATAGTAAAGTCTAAATGTCTGCTAATAATTAACACTTTTGCCAGAATTTTAAATCTTAAAATTTGAATTTGAAGAAGTAAAGTCTGATTTATGGATAAACACCAAAACTCCAATTATATAATTTCATGCATTAGAAAATCCAGCAGGCCAAGCATTCTCTTAATTTCCCTCTCGTGACTTTACCAAGTATTCCCATAGCTAGGCCTTCTGATTTCTTTATTTGATGGTTCACCTATATCTCAATTATTGGGCCAATATACATCTAATGATGTACTATTGTTAATAACAGTGGGTAAAATACCATTTGAATACTACTTTGAGTACTACTATTTAAAGTGGGCTCAAAGTCCATACTTAACCTCCAACATAGGAAGGCTCATTGTTTTGCTCTCCTCCCTGTTCAGTTGACCCTTGTTGTGATGCTCTTCTGCAGACCTTTGCTGTGCTTGTAATGCCTTAAATTGACACACCACACTCACATGCCTTTTGAAATTCTGATAAAGAAGACTATCTGTGCCTAAGTGCCAAAGTCCAGTTCATAGGACCAGTACTCATAAGACATTCATTTTCTCATAACTGATAAACTCTTTTCAAAGAATAAAACCCTGCCTCATGCTAGTATTTCTTGTTTTGTTCTGAATTTTGATAATGAATTCTAGTGCCATGTTTTCAAACTTGGTTTTTGTGAACAGACTAAAGAAAAATGTTAACACGTCAGCTTGCCTAGTGCTCTTGAGTACCACAAACCTGTATTCCCAAATCCTGTGCAAGAACCTATTAGGAAACCCCGTAGAATAAACTTCAACCATTTAGACCAACTAGTTGCTGGGGTTGTAAAGATTCTTTAGTTTGGTTAAGCACTGATGAAGGTGCTTAACAGATGAGCTAAACTTCCATTAGTCAGATGTAGACCCTTGTAATTATCCAATTATACAAGGATATTTAATTCAGGAATGAAAAAAAATTACATGATCTGTGTCAATAACTCACATTTGTGTGTCCATGCAGACATCACTAATCAATCACAAGATACTAAACTGTTGGGTTTAGATAAGATCTTAGAGTCCTTTTGTTCACATCTTTCCAAGCAGCCACTACAAATCAACTAGACTTGGCAGCCAAGATGAAAGCTGTTTGCCATCCTTGATCTAGTGGCATGCTTCCCCTTTCTAATGACCTGCCCTGCTGTGAATAAATTATCTTACTAGGCCAGTGGCTTTAACAGCTTTCTCCATGCTACTCTGAAGATGGATATATTTCTCAAAAAGCTGCATAGCTCTTCCTTTATGAATTCAAAAATTTCTCCACACTCTCTCTTTCACCTTTCACTTCTAGTCATCCTATTTACCCAGTTCTAACTCATTGGATTTCACCAAAATTATCTTTTTCTGCCAATTCTATCATAAGAAGAAATCACCTTGACAGTTTACCTAGATATTAATTTAACTTTTCCTCAAGCCCACATCTTAGATCTTCTCCTTACTCTCCAGAATACAGGCAAGTAGCAGCCTTCCACCAAACCTGACACAGATTCCAAGGGGAAAATACCAGTGTTAACCATAACTTAATGCTTATGACAAGGAGATATCAGATAAATCCCAGGATAAGACAAAAGTATGGGCCAGAGTGGCAATACATAGACAACCATATTTACCTACTCATGAGGCTGATGCCAATGCCTATCATTTAAAGTCTTCATTTACAATGCAGGTTAGATCAGTTAGGGATGTGTTGTGTGTGTGCACTTCTGTGTTTGTATGCACACAGGAACATTTATATTACAAATATAAGTACTCTAGAACTCTCATTAAAATCATGATTTAGCTTATGTATAATTTAAAAATATGTAGATAGGTAGATAAGTTAAATTTATCTAATCTGTCTATGTGCATACACACACACACACATGCACCTCCCCATACACACACCCTTAACTGGTTTAACTTGCTTGTAAATTAAGACTTTTAATGAGAGGCATCAACAGCAACCTTGTGATTAGTTCAATATATATAATATATACGTCTTACATGAAGTAAAAGATCAATGACATGTCATAATAATTGGGTACATGTGTGAAACTAACATCCCTCATCTCTGTGTGTCTGTGTAGCTGAAAAGTACAATGTGAGGATATCTTTCAAAAATGAATTTATGAATGTTCAGTAGTTGCAGGCAAGAGTTTTGATTTTTTATTTAAGCCAACAGGCTTTCCAATGCTTTTTATTTCTAAAAAATTCTCTACATATTTGAGTACTGTGATACAGGTTGATTTGTCTCCTGAGGCCCTCATAATGCACCTCATATGTGTGTGTCTACTGACCAATTCATCTCCCATTAATAGCTCATTTCATAAGTCGAGTCCAACTAGCATCACTTTCGACTGGTTATATTCCAAGACTCTACAGATAATAAGTCTTTCTACTATTGTATTAAATAATAAATGTGGTTCATAAGTGATTCTGACGAACCCTCTAGACATATCTTCTAGGAGAAATTTCAAGTCTAACATCTATTCAGAAGGTGACTAGCAAGACTGGCCTGCAGACTTTCATTTTTGTCTGAAGTTTAACAAATCATCAGCTCTGCATACTGCCTGATAATCTTCTGACATGCACATAAAAAAAAGAAGTCCTTTAAGTTTGCTTTCCTCTTTCTAAGTGTTCAGCTGTGTATCATCAAATGATGTGAGGCCTAGGAAAAAATTCTCAGGAATTGCCATGGTTCTATATGAATGCTGATAATGCTTGCAAAAGCATAACTTGCTGATGAGAGTTAACAAGTGACTTGGTGTTCCTCAAGCTAATCTTAGGTCCATAGTACCTTATGTACACCAGGAAAACAGATGTTCCAAGATGATCAGGAAGACTGGAAAATAAGAAATGTCCTATGTGGCCTTCAAGCAGTGGAACCCTATAATATTCTACTGAATCCAGAAGCTAATAAATGGCAGAGAGAAATCTAATCCACATGAAAATGATATATCTGTCTTTTTATTTTTATGTTTCACTAACTTTTAGATGACATATTGGAAGAGAGGATAAGTACTGGGGGGTCAAATGGATTTCATTTTGGGATTCCTTCTGAAATGTTCCTGAATGTTAAGCAAAAATGTAGTTAGGCAAACATGTAGCAGGTTTACCACATGAGTGCATTTTTTAAACTGTAAGCATAATTATGTATTCAAAATAACTTGTCTAATTGATTGGCAACCTGATATAATTGAAAGTTCACTGAGACAAGAACCAGAAGATTGTTTCTGTGTAGAAGACTGTGCTTCTGAGTTAAGCTGACTAGTATTTGACTCTCAAGTTTGATTTTCATTCCCTTTAACAATGTGACTTCATAAGCATTATTTTTTCATCTATAAATATTAGAATTAATTGTGAGAATGGGAGCAAAGTGCCTAGCTCCCTCCCTGATATATTTCAGGTTTATTACAAATGTTACTCGCTATTTTTTCTCTTACTTGTGTCTCATCTTGTGTAAATTGCTTCACCTCTCTGGACCCATTTCTTTATCTGAAAAACCAAGGGCTTAGTTTGGATGACCTCAAGTTCTTCCTATAATTCTATGATTCAACTATGTACAACTTGGGATGGCATGGCCATGTAAGCAGAGGTTGCAAAACCAGGATTCAGTATCAGGCAAATAAAATCAATGTGTAAAACTGTGTAATGAAAAACAAGGGGGAATGATAAACTAAAGAATACATAGACCTGCCTAAAAACATTAAAAAATCTAAAGCATTAAAATAGTGTGCCTGCCAAACCAAATATATTCTTGGGTCAAATTTGAATTCTTGGCTCAAAGGTTTCCAATTTCCAATCAAGAGCTTTTAAACATTGACCTCCATCACCCCACCAGCACCCCAGATTGTTGACAGGGCAGTCAGAGAATGGATCAATCATAATCTTAAATCAAACTGATCAATTACAGTCTATGCAAGAATTTTTTATGGCAGCTGTCATCTCTAGAAAAATATACATTTGGAGCCACCCAGATCATGTCAAGGAGGAAGGGAGAATTGGGAAGACCAAATCAGAAAAGAACCAAGCATAGTTTTTGTTTCTGGCTAAGCCGTGGTTTGGCTGTGAAGATATGACTTCACAGCATCCTATTGAGAATCACGTCTTTGCAGTGGATATTTTTTTTTCTTCCCTGCCATGAACGTGTCTGAGAAACTGCAGAATAAAAATGCAAAACAACAAGTATATTTAGATACACTCCCACACAGACTCTAAAGCTTAATATTTCACTGAACACCACATGAAAGACTGAATTAATATCCATAACTCTTCCACATCACTCATGCTTCAAAGTTCTGTCGTTATAGATTTCTTTGGCCTATATAGTTGCAAAATTAGCTAACAACAGTAATCTTTCTTTAGTATAACATTCCATTGTACTTCATAAGAAAAAATTTATTAGATTTATTCATCTTTTGGCTCTGTATATTCACAGAATTTTTACTGATGTTGCAATAAACAACAAATTTTTACCAGATAAAAATTAAACACAAGTGATTTTAGAATTATTATTTATAATCCAACTCTAGGTATCAAGATAATCATAAGATCAAAATCACTTATGATGTAGTCTATTCTCAACTCTGCAACCAACTAGTTATGTCACGTTGCATAAGTCATTCAACTTCTCTGATCCTCATTTACCTTTTATGTAAAATGCAATGTTGGTGGAAATGGCTTCTAAAGTCTCCTCTTATTCTTCCATTGTGTGATTCTTAGTGGAATATATCCCCCAAATTTATCATTGAATAGAGCTCAAAAATTATAAGACTGCAACTATACAAAACTGAGGAAGGCTAAGGCATCAACAAGCAGCAAAGACTTGACCCCTTATTAAATTGCATATTCACATAATGCAAATATGTGAAACAAGAGGCAGAAATATTAAAGTATGGCTTCAATTGGAAAAAGTAAGTTTCTAGAAGAATATATTCCAAATGTTATCAGAGATTATCAATGGGTAAAGTTATAAAATACTTTTTATTTCCCCTGAGTTTTAAATATCAATTAAAAAATTATTCAGCCTTGACTACTAAAATTAGTCTCAAGTTTGGGGACTCGTTAGAGCAGTGTCATTAACAATATGGTTTACATTATAAGCCAAATAGAATACAATTTAAATTTCTCTAATTTAAGCCATATTTCTTAAAATTATTTTATTATTCTATATATGTTTTTTAAATTAATGCACAACAATGGTAGTAGCAAACACTTTGCATAGACTTTTTTCTTCATTACCCTGGGATCAAATTCTAATAAGGAATGAAACAAACACTAAAATTCTAGTCATACTAAGAAGTATTCTAGAACCACTAAACAAGTCTGTATGTGGAATTTTTTTTTAATTAAGGCATTGTTTTAAATATATAGCAATTTTCAGCATCAATGTTTTCTTATGGCTCACATCTTATTTTAGATATGCAAACAAAATTCTGAGTGTCATTTCAAGGAACCAGATTCATGTATTCATTGATTCATTTAATAAGCGTTTACTGAGCACTGTTACCCTTCACAACATTGGGTATGATAATATCCATGAGCTCTCTTAAATGATTGCCCATGAGGAGATTTATAATGTTTTACAGAGAGTGTCCTGACAGTGCCCAAGCAGCAGTTCATTCTTCCCAAAGAATAGTTTTTAAATGACCCTCCCTATGCCACAGCTAAGAAAAGAATTCTGATAAATGGCAAAAAGAATATAGTAGCAAATAAAACAGTGTCCCGGGAGAAAAAGAGAGAGAGAGAGCGCCAAAACAGCTCTCCTCAGTTTTCTTTCGTTAGGAAAAGAGGAAGACACAATTTTGCAGAGAATATTAAAAGAAAGCAAACGTAGCATAGAAATCAATCTATTCAAAACCTAGTAATGAAAGATCACTCTTTGAGCGAATGAATAACAAGCAGAGCCTACGACATGTTCTGCAATTAGTAATGAGGTCCTTAAAGTAAGAAGCCAGCTTTGCATAGAAAGGCATAAGACAAAAAATAATGTAGATTGTACCTTGACGTATGCTTTCTTTCTTAGATGAATTATCATCAGATCTTTAGTAATGAGTAAGTAGAAATTTATAACAGAACAAAAATAAATACATCTCATTGAAGACTTTAGGGTTCATTTTTCCTCAATACATGATTTGTCAACCCGATAAAGTTTCATGTTATAGATACGGTCTTCTCTAAAGGAGCCTTTTGATTATTATGTCAAGATTCTGATGCCAAGAATGGGGGAATAAGATAGGTAAGTGCCTCTTACTGAATCCTCTCATGAATAAGAGCCTATCATGAGGACATGAGATTAGGATGACCTTTGGATAGATGACACAAGAAGGCTCATATATTGTTCTGTCAATTAATCCTTCATCATAGAGGTTGCTTCCAAGGATATACACTTTAAAAAAAATGATAGCAAAATGGCAGAGATGTTTTAGCCTGGCCGAGGCCTAATGCCCATGACTTGCCTACTGCCCTCCAATCCAAACAAGTGTCCCTCACTCAATTTATGTAATCAGTTGCATGAAGGAAGTAAGAAAAAGAGAAGAGGACAGAATGTAAGGGTGTAGTCTATTGAAATACATGAATCCCACCCACTCATTACTGTAGTCTAATGAATAATTTGCAATGTCACCAATCATATTGACTCTCTCTCCTCGTGAGATTGGCATGGGTGAAGGGATAGAATTCTCTTTCTCTTCCTTACCGCTTTAAAGAGACATATTTATTTACAAATATGCATTAACTTGTATTCTGCTAGATAACAGGATTATAAAGAATAATACATTGTGATTTCCTCCTCACATTCTATTCAATTTTGGAAATTGAATGAAGCTATTATTAATTCAACTTTTATTATTATAAATTACTTATATACTTTATCATAGATAGAGCAGAGAGGTGAATGTTGAAATGACCAGGCAAGTCTTAAGTGCATTAAAAAAACAGAGAATAATAGGGTCTGGAGTAGTACATTGGCCATTTTCTGCAATATTCAAAGAGGACACACATTACTCAGTGTTGGTCAATCACAGTCATGTAAGAATATGTGTTGGGTATTTCCAGATCTTCTCATTTCTAGTAGAATCTAGAAATCTAAATATTTTATGTAAAATGTCTATAATTTATAAATATTACAAATTTATTCAAAGTGAAAATAAACACTGTACATGCCAAAGAGAACTATAATTTACAAATTTAATTTTAGACCTAGATTATAGATGATGCTCAAAAAGTATGTGGTGAATAAATAACAGTATGTTCTACAGATTTCTACTAAACAAAATACACTAAAAAGAAGGATGTAAAATAACTGTAGCATAATTGGCTCATTTTAGGGCATCACCAAAGAAAGATTACTAATATGAGATAATTCAGTATAGATGACAATCTTTGTTTTGCAGTCATTGAAAAAATCAGTTTTATTTTACAGTCCTTATATGCACATTAAGCTGATATCATCAAAATGACTAATGTTAGACTGCAAAGCCTGTTAAGTTAGTAAACAAATATGTATGAATTAGGTGTGTTTTATAAGCACAGTTCTGATAATATTTTCATTAACTGAGGATCCCAAATGTGTGTCCATGAATTAACACTGGAATAGATATAAATGAATCACCTGAAAAATCAGGAAATATATAATTTCTCAAACTCCATCTTGAGTAAATCTTACATGGCATATCTAAAACTTTTGTTTTGTCTTGTTTTGTATAAAGATCCCACGTAAGTCTGATATGCAGCTAGAATTGAGACTGACAGTCATAGGAGCTTCCAAAGAAATATAAGACATATTTCTTGACCTCGTTGACATGATGCTACTCAAGAAATTGCAAACTGAACACATATCAAAACATTAGGACAAATATAAGCTATGATATCTAATTATATAATCACATTTTGTATAGTCCAGTGCTTAGGAACTCAGACTAAGGTCAGGTATGATCAGGAATGCCTGCTTGGACTAGATGAAAGTGGGACGGATTTTGTAGAGAAGTTCAGATGTGAACATGGAGGTGGGAATGGAGCTTTTGTGTTGGAGCTTTAGCATGGCTAAAAGTTTCTGAGCAGAAATGGCTATTAGCATGTTTATAAGGTAGGAAGGAAGTCAATCTGGTTGAAGAAAAAAAATCTTATTTGATCGGTGAGGGAACCTTAGAATTCAGACAGTTATTTAGATTTTTTTTTCAACTTTTATTTTAGGCTCAGGGGGTACATATGCAGGTTTGTTATATGGGTAAATTGCATGTTGCTGAGGTTTGGTGTATGAATGGTCCCATCACCCAAACAGTGAGCATAGTATGCAATAGTTAGTTTTTCCACCCTCGTCCCTCTCTTATCCTCCCCTTTCTAGTAGTTCCCAGTGTCTACTGTTACTATCTTCATGTCCATGTGTACTCAACGTTTAGCTCCCACTTACAAGTGAGAACATTTGGTATTTGGTTTTCTGTTCCTTAGTTTGCTTAGGATAATGGTCTCCATCTCCTTCCATGTTTCTGCAAAGGACATGATTTTGTTCTTGTTTATGGCTGAGTAGTATTCCATGCTGCGTATGTACCACATTTTATTTATGCAATTCGCTGTTGATGGAATCTAGGTTGATTTCATGTACTTGCTACTGTGAATGGTGCTGTGATGAACACAGGAGTGCATGTATCTTTTTGGTAAGAGAGTTTATTTTCCTTTGCTTATATACCCAGTAACAGGTTTGATGGGTCAAATGGTAGTTCTGTTTTAAGCTCTTTCAGAAATCTCCAAACTGCTCTCCACAGTAGCTGAACTAATTTACATTCCAGTGGTTCAGATTCAACAGCAGAAGATAGTATCTGAGGACAATGAAATTGGCCAGATTATAAGATCAGATTCCAGTGTGTAAAGTTTAAGTTAGCTCAGGGTCATAAACATGTAGATTAAAGAAATAGAATTTAATGACTGCAAAAATAGCAGTAGGTCAGTTTAAGATGAGAAAAAGGTGCTAGGAACAGGTGAATGGTTTTACTTAATAAAGTGAACATTACAGATTTAATTTAGTGGCTTGTACATTGGATAATAATTTTATTCCATGAGTTTTTTTTATACCGATCCCTCTGTTTTTGTGTTTGTCTCAAAATTTCCAGAATAACATGTTTAAAAATGAGTCCAGTTTGCAGTCTAGTCAAGAGGCAATATAGACATCAACAATGTCATAGTAATGAAGGTACTAGGGGCAACCTAGACTGTAGATGCATCTGGAAAATCTGCTGACATGCCTCAAGAAAGCAACACTGAGGAAAGACAGACATACGCCACCATCCCCTCACATGTTCATACAAGACTTCACTCCCCACTTATTTGCCACTTCCAGAAGGAAGTGACCCACATGAGCTTGTCTCTCTCTCCCTGGTTGTTTTCAGAAGGGTGGCCTGGAGAGTCAGAAGAGCTGCTCCCCAACACATTCTGCAGAAGTAGAAAAGGTGTTTGTTCCCTTCTCAGCAATTCTTAACTTTCAAGCTGCATCTTCCTGTGGCTGGAATGCTATTTCTTCTCAGAATTGTAATAACTTATTGGAGGAGTAAAACAAACCAGTTACTGCCCCTACCAGCCATTTCTCTAAGATTTGCATTCACTGGAAACCCAAATATATGCTTCTTCCTGATATGGAAGATGTCTTCTACACTGCAGAGGAGTACTGACATTTTCTGAACTCCAAGGGCATCTGTGAATAAGTGGGTCCACACTGGGTTCTGCTCTGTACATTTCCCCTATGGGAAAGGGAAAATGAAATGAAGTCTAAGACTGAGCCTCAGATTCCTGTTTGATCCATATGCACAGGAGATCTATTTGAAGGATCGTAACATTTTGGACTCCTCTTACTCTGTTTTTGTTTTTTATTTTCCCAGGATATCATGTAGTGTCCCAGAATAGTACGTTTGCTTGTTTTTGTTTGTTCGTTTGTTTGTTATTTGATGATGAATTCTCAGCTCAAAATTTAGGGGATGGGTTTGTCCTTTTATCCTCTGCCCTGCCTTCTTGTTTGGAACCTTTAATCCCAGTGTGTGAGCATCTTACTACAAGCAATAATTTTTAAGTCTTCATTGCATTTTTTTTTCTCAGTAACTCTTTAATTAAGCGAACATTGATTAGGGGCCCATCATGTGCCAGGCACTGTTTATAGGCATTTGGGACACATCTCTGAACAGAAGAGATGCAGACTTCAGGTCTTGGAACTTCTATTTTTATCAAAGAGTACAAGCCAACACACAATAAATAAGCTGCAAGTTCATAGGAGGTAGACATGGCCTTTCATTACGAGAGTGTTCAAATGCAGAAAAGTGAAATATTTTTTTTCCATTTTGCCCATATGCCTAACATACATCTAATATATAGATTCTTTATTGAACATTTTGTCACATTTGTTTTACCACATATATATCTCTCTATTAATCCTTCTTTTCTAGAGATAGAATTTTGAATAGTACACTTGGGTGCACCACTCACATGTTTTCTGATCCAACCTTAGAAGATGTTGTTTTTGATAGAAGAGGATACAGGCATATGGATAGTTTAAATTGGAGCTATAAATATAGGATTTCTGTATACAACAGCACAAGAAAGCTAATGGAGAAATGCTGTAGCGTATAAGTTCCCCTCCTATATAAAGAGTAGCATCCATGTCTAGAAACATGGTTAGCTCACCCTGAGAGGCCATGAAGGTGACGTCAATGAAGAAAGCAGGAGTGTTGTAAGGAAGTCACTAACAATCTCTGAGGTCCCACCCCAGGGTCAGGAACATGATCACAGTAGAGATGGAGATAAGCGGGAAGGTCAGAAAGATCTGGCCACTTAATGGGCAATTTTGTACATTTGTTTAACTTCAGTTTGCCAAAATATAAACTTAGAATAACAAAACTTACCATAGGACATTACTGTTATAAATTATATAAAAATATTAGAGGGAAGTAGATGCTCAATAAGTATTAGCTATATTAATGTTACTACTGTAACTAAATTCCTATAAAAATAATATAGCTAGGGAAGGAATAACCTTCTGGGTCTTAGGGATCCCTGAAAAAAAGTATTCATAGTAAAGCAATTATTTTAAGGATAAAAGAAAACCACAATTAAAGACTGGACTGCAGCTTCAATTAGATTGGGATAGATATAGATCCCACTATCTAATGGTTATGGGACCTTCTGCAAATACCCCTAAACCTTGATTTCTTATCTATAAAATAGTATCTACTTCAAATTCCTTATTGCATGGGCGAAATGACATATATTATATCAGAACTGTGTCACTGTATCAATAAGAACTCACCACATACCACCTATTATTCTAGAAAGACTATGTTACATATTGATGCCACATTACCCTGGTAGAGCTTCACCAATTTCTCATCAAAGAAACAATCCACTCCAACAGCTAAAGGGCAGTGAATGATATAATAACAAAAAGAACACTGGGTCATTAACAGTGTTTTAATGTAGGTGGCTCCAGTTTTGAAATTTATTTCATTCCCCTGAAAATTAAATAAGGGTATGTTGGAGCATCTACATAGATTCAACTACATTTCTTCATAAACACTCAATCTTAGATTTATCTTGGAAAAGAATCTATGATATGTAGATAATATCTGTCATTTAAATCTATAATTTTATTTGCCACCAAAGCCTTTTTAAAAATAATTTGGCCAATTATGTCTGGTTTTCTTATTTTCTTAAAATTATAAAAATGTTGTAGCTAATTCCAATGATCTACATTGTAGGACATATGATAGGGATAGTTATTCATTAGCAGCAAAATTTTTTTTGGAATTTTAAGATTCTGAGAGGTTTTTTTTTTTTTTAATTTCTGAGATTTGGGTGCACCCATCACCTGAGCAGTGTACACTGTACCCAATGTGTAGTCTTTTGTACCTCACCTGCCCCCTACCCTTTCCCCCAAGTCCCCAAAGTCCAATGTATTAGTCTTATGCCTTTGAAACCTCATAGCTTAGCTCCCACTTATGAGTGAGAACATATGATGTTTTTCCATTCCTGAGTTACTTTACTTAGAATAATGGTCTCTAATTCCATCCAGGTTGCTGCAAATATCATTATTTCATTCCCTTTTATGGCTGAGTAGTATCCCACGGTATATACATACCGTATTTCTTTTTGCACTCATTGATTGATGGGCATTTGGGCTGGTTCCATATTTTTGCAATTGTGAATTTTGTGTGTTAGCAGCAAAAGTCATTATTAACTTCTCTCTTTCTCACAGACACACACATGCACAGAGGGTTATTTTCTTTAATGAAATCTCTTATTCTCCTTACTCTGTCAGAAAAATTATTCAAACACTGGAAACACAAACACACACACACACACACACACACACACTCACACACCCTATTCACTCTTTCAGTGCCTTGCTAGGCTTAACTTGCTATTGATCATCAATTTTATACACTTTAGGGGCAGCAGTCAACTTGTAGATTGTTGTCCAGTAGAGATGCAGATAATCCCCTATCTAGTGGAATAGAAAACCTCAAAGTCAGAATCCCCTGGAAGACATTAGCCAGTTTTATATGTAATCTACAAATGTATCATAGTATTGCTTTTAATCTAGTTTCTAAAAAAGCTTTGAACTGTTTCAACAGCTTACTGCCTCATCTCATTAATTAATAGTTGGATAAAATCCTTGCCATGTGCTCATTTTATATTTGCAGAACAGCCAAGCCTTTTAACCTTTTGAAAATCATTCCTTAACACCTGTACATCCTTATTACAATGCCACCAAAGTCAAAATTTGTGGTTCCTGCTCATTTTCAACATTACCTAAAAAAACATGTGAACTCCTCATGAAGTTCAGAGAGTTAAAATTTCCAGAAACTCAGATATTCAAGTAAATAAACACTATACAAATACAGCATAAGGCTCACAAAATACTCTTGATTGCAAGACCATACCAACTTACGTTTTGCTCAAATAATTTAGTTCTATGAAGGAATAGATTCTGTTAGCCAGATCATTCCGTTATCATTTTCTCTCTCTTGTGCTACAGACCCAAATATTTTAAACTCTAGAATGTGTTCTGCTTTATTCTCACTGGTATCTGAATTTAGTGTTTCATTAACTTCCATTTAAAATGCCACTTTTTCTAAAATTTCTAAATTAGTTAAGAACATTCTCTAAGTCACTTAATCTAGAAATAAAGACCTCCAGCCACATTCTTCCCTGAGCAAATATTGATAGACCACAGGTACATGCAAAGCACTCTACTGAGATCCACAGGTACACTGGTAAAGAAAATAGAGACATAAACTGTGCTCATGAAGAGCATACAGATATCTATATTTTGCTATATCTATAATACTATTTCTATTTACTAATTATTAAAATTATACCGGGGATATGAAAGGTACTAAAATAAAAATAATTTTGTTAACAGAATTGTTATCCTGTTATCTGTTATTCTGTTTAATAATAGAAGGAACATATAAAATTAAAACTAAAAAACAAGAAGTAACTAGGTATTAGAAGAACTTTTTTTGGTTCTAGAAATACTTGAGCATGGAGAAAGAAATATTGCTAAGAGAAGCCAATTTATTATGTATACGGAAGCCATATGAGCTTCAAGAGTAGTTTGTCAAATACAATTTTCTGGAAAACCATCAGTTTGAAACTGTTCTAGATGATAGAATAATTAATTTTAAAATATACAGGGTTTTATATGTTCCTAGTTCTCATATGTTATAATCTATTCTAGAAAGAGACATTAAATATATACTGACTTAGCAATAATTAGATAATTATTAGCATATAACTTTCCTCCACCAAAAGCAGGCACCCTTGGTTACCTTTTCAACATTCTCTCCCTCTCTCTCTCTCACACACACACATACACGCACACACCCCTCTTTCACCACACCTTCAAACATAGCCCAGGCCTTCTTAAAGAACTCTAAAGAACAATCCACTCTTTTCCAAGTGGTCATATACTGTGGGAATCCTGTCTCTATTTGGTATACCAGGAGGAGGGTTCTTAGAGACACAGTCATCTCTAGTGGTCTCTTTGCCAGTGATTGGTTTATGACTAAGCTTAGGATACAATTCTAGGCAAGATCTAAAAAGTTGGCTGGGGAGCTTCTAGGAAGTGCTCTCCTACTTTGGAAAGGAGACACAGGAAGAGATCATTTTTTATGCTGTCTCTGGGGATGTTTATGTCTGGATGTACAGCTATCTGAAAACTAAACCAAAAGAATCACAGAAAAACTAGCATCACTCTCTGTTGCACTTCTTGTTATGTGAAATATAATAAATTTCCTAAAGTCTGCAGAGTTGACTGAAGATATCCTAACTAATAGACCCATGTTCAAATGGTCACTTATCCTTGCAAATTTGATTTGCAAATAATTGTTCAATTTATCCCTTTCTGCTTCCCCTATTTTGGCCCAAGCTCTCATGATCTCTTAACCAGGACCACAGAAGAAATTGTTGAGTCCCATCTAAACCATTTTCCAATTCAAAAAAGACATAGTATTTTGTTCCTACTACTCCTCAATTTGCAGTCTTCTAATAGTTCATCATTTTTTAAATAATAAATTTCAAATTCCTAGCATAGATTGAAACCCTTTTGTTATCTCATCTTGTTGGTGTTTTTTTTTTGTTTTTGGACATGGTCTCTCTCTGTCACCCAGGCTGGAGTACAGTGGTGCAATCTCAGCTCACTGCAACCTCCGCCTCCCAGGCTTAAGGGATCCCCCCACCTTAGCCTCCTGAGTAGCTGGGACTACAGGCACACACCACCACACCGGACTAATTTTTGTATTTTTGGTAGATACGGGATTTTGCCTTGATGTCCAGGCTTATCTCAAACTCCTGCTCCTGGGCACAAGAGATCCATAACCTTAGCCTCTCAAAGTTTGGAGATTACAGGCATGAGCCGCAGCACCTGGCCTCCCCTTTTTTTAAACATTTTTAGTTCAGGGGTGAATGTACAGGTTGGTTAGAGGTGACCATGTGTCATGGGGATTTGTCGTACAGATTATTTCACCATCCTAGTATTAAGCCTATTACTCATTAGTTATTTTTCCTGATCCTCTCACTCCTCCCAACCTTCTTAAAAAGAAGAAGATTGTTTCCTTTGCGGGGACATGGATGGAACTAGAGGCCATTATCCTTAACAAACTAATACAGGAACAGAAAACCAAATACCGCATGTTCTCACTTATAAGTGGGAGCTAAATAATGAGATCACATGGACACATAGATGGGAACAACACATACTGAGGCTAACCTTCTTTTCAATGGCTGCATAGTATTCCATGGTATATATGTACCACATTTTCTTTATCCATTCTATCATTAATTGGCATTTAGGTTGATTCCGTGTCTCCACTGTTGTGAATAGTGTTGCTAGAAGTATTCCCTGTCTTTCTTTCTAGCTTTCTCGTTCATCTTATCATCTCACAAACAATATATTCCATCTACACTCAACTACTGATGGCCCAATATCCCAACTTGCTGGTAATAATTGTAGTAATGACAGCTGGTACTCACTAGAGTATGCCATATGCAAACATCCTGATGCTAAATAAGGTATATCAAAATTCTAGGAGCTCAGTGATCAATGCCAAGCAAATGAGAAATGATAAAAATTAAGCAAACTACAAACCTAGGAGGTAGGTATTATATTTTCATTTTACAGATAATGAAACTGAGACTCAGGACATTAAATTCTGGCCCTGCCTGCAGAATGAATTACACTGTTTCTGTACAGGGTCAGTGTTGAGCATCTAACACAGCTCAGGATGGGCAAGAACAAATATAGTGGCATCTCAGGTTTCCAAGATTGACACCATTACTTTACTCTAAACTCTTTTCTTTTGCTTTCAATTCTAATTTCAAACCAGAGAACCTTAGCAGTATTAAAGAAAATGATGAGTCTCGCTATTCAAAGTGTGGTCCACAGACGGCAACAACAGCATTACCTGGGAGCTTGTTAGAAATGCAAAATAATCCTGCATCTTCTGAGTTAGAATCTGTATTTTAACAAACCCTCAGGTGATTAGCATGTACATTAAAGTTTGTTAAACACTAATTTGGAGACCTGAAAGATGTTCTAGTTATATTCAGTATTAAAAACCCTCTCTTTTTCCCCAAGTTCTGTCTGTGAAATATCACTTGCTAACATCTTTTACAAGGCTAACCTGGATTACAGCACTCCTTTGAGAGAAAATATACTAATTATTCAAACAGTAAAAATAAAATATTAGTATAAAAGTTAAGGAATGTTTCATTTTTATGGAAAAATAAATGAGGCAAACAGGTAGAAATCAGTTTTGTGGTTTAACAAACAATGTATTGCCTGACTGTAATTTTTTTTCTACTTTGTACTTTATTTTCCCTGAAATTCACTTCTATATTAAATCTAAACCTAGTCACATGTAGTTAACAGCAGATGGGTTCCTCAATCAAACTATTAGAAGAAAAGCAAGAAACTTTCTTTTGGACATCGGAACATAAATTCAAATAACTGAAAATCAGCTAAGAGGATTTTACCACAGAAGACAATGGGTATTATTTAAATATTTTCAACATCATTTTCTTTTCAAAGTAGATGGAATGTGAATTAAACTTCATTTTAACATCTAAATCATATCTTTTTCTTTCAAAGTGTCTGTGAAAAAAAAAAGTTCCTGCATGCATTATTTGTAATAGGGACATGCTCACCTATAAACTGATGTAAAACGTGTCCCTTTTTGGCTGTGACTGCCTAAGTAATGAGGCAATGGAGAGAGTAAAATTTCCCATTCCCACACCCGTCACAGGCACCAGCATTGACTTCACACAGGCTCTTCTTAACTGTGAACCTTTCCTGGGACTAAACATGCACAATGCATGAGATTGTATATTTGCTCTTCAATTCTTTAGTTTTTGTAAATAAAAATGTCCTGCAGCGTTTAGCTTTTGTTCATTTTAGATACAACTGTAAAAGTGGAAAATAACATAATTTCATTCAACTTATAGTAGGTTCTGCTTGCTGGAAAATAATACTGTTGTTCAATTGAATCAGTCCTTCAAAGTAATCAAACCAGCTAAGTTCCTAGAATATTCCATAAGAGTAAAATTGTTTTCTAATCTTCACTGAGATCCTATTCAATAAGGCCATTTTCTTATCAAACTATACATTTGAGAACAAAATATCACATTTTAACAGGTACTATAAACATTTTAATTCTGTTAGGGCCAAAATAATGATAAACATGGATAATAGTAATAATCTCTTTCCCCAAAGAGTCTTAGAAATCCTAATTTACTGACTGGTAGCTACTTTCACTAAGTAGAAATACAGTAATTTAATAATCTTACCATAGCAGTTTTCACAGAAGAAAATTAACTAATTCATTATTGCTTATAATTTGCTGAGGCATAGCTGCCATATTTGTAAAATCAGCAGGTTCTGAAAAAAAATACAAGTTTTTAAATGAATGTTCAATTTTCCCCTAAACACATAAATGATACAATTACTTAGCTCCCTCTAGTGCCAATTTCTAATATAAACTTAATTATAATAACTGTATTCACCATGCAATTTTGAAGCAAATTAAAATTTTACTTGGCAATAATTAAGTAAACTTTCAAGGGTTTTATAGGTTGAGTTTGAGATCAGAGCCAAGCAAGATTCACGGATGACACTGTCATAGGTAGGCTCATGACTACAGTTACAGTAACAGTATTTCTTCACAAATTTTATTTCATATGTTTCAATTAAACACAAATAAACCAATAGAGTGTAAAAGAATGTTGATAAAAGAAATTAAGGCTTGCCATTGAATATTTTTCTACACGTCAATTTAGCTATAACAATCTCACTTAATCTGTGGCTTATATTGATTTTTCTTTGAACAAACAAATTTAAAACCCAAGAAGAAAGACACATCAAAGCTTCTATCAAGGTATAGAGAATAAAATTAAATTTTCAACTGTAGAGGAAAACAGAGCAGGCAGAACATATAATTTTAAAAAATTATAATAAAAACAGCTAACTTAATAAAATGACTTATTAACGTATGTTTCCTGGAGATTTCTCTTAGGCTGAAGCATATAATTGAAGACTTTTATTTCTAAGTAAAGGTAACATAATTACTTTTATTAGGTAAATTGTTTTGTATTGAATGCATTTAAAGAAAAGATAACAAGGAGGAAGAGGAGAGTAGTCAAAAATAGAATCTCATTCAATGAAAAACTGTAATAAAACTAGTGGATTTTCTAGGAACACAACTTTCCACAACAGTTTGTATATTCATTGCTCTTTTATTTTGTAATATAGTCTAAAGGCTAAGAGGGATGACAGCATGAATTTAGGAATCAAATGATATGTATTTGTTTAACAGAACTATGGTTAGTCAGTAAAATACAGATATTGCTTCAAATTAATAAGGCTCATGAAAATTAAAGAAAACGTGTATGTGAAACACACAGTTGAAAAATGATAGTTAATAACTTTTTTCTGTTGTGTTAGTAATTTTTAAATGTTCATAGAATAAAAACATATAATTGAATTGTACTTGTGATCATTGGTAACGTAAACATTATTCCTTAGTGCTGAGAATTAGTACTTTTAAAAATTAACTTATTTTTATTTCAATAAACATTTTTGTCCCAAATAAAAAGAAGAAATCTTTTCTAGAATAATACATGAGATTTTTACTTCTGTTTATTATTAGAGGGTATTATTATTATTGAGATGGAGTCTTGCTCTTGTTGCTCAGGCTGGAGTGCAATGGCGCAATCTTGGCTCACTGCAACCCTTGCCTCCCAAGTTCATGCAATTTTCCTGCCTCAGCCTCCAGAGTAGCTGGGATTACAGGCACCTGTCACCATGCCCAGCTAATCTTTTGTATTTTTAGTACAGGTGGGGTTTCACAATGTTGGCCAGACTAGTCTCAAACTCCTGACCTCAAGTGATCCACCCGCCTTGGCCTCCCAAAGTGCTGGGATTACAGGGGTGAGCCACCGCGCCCCGCCTACTTCTATTTATTTGTGTCATAATGACCCTGATTCAATTTGAATGACTGGACATTAATTCTATAAGGAAGGCAAGAGTCTTGGCCCCTGTATTGGCTCCTACTCCTTCTAATTCCTTCTATTTGCAATTTCCATTTGGCAAGGTTGGACAAGTGCCTTTCTTCTTGTGCAGTATTATGGGTAATTGCCTTCCACAGTTGTTCCAATAAAAATAAATAAATAAGCCACATGCAGGGAGAAGCTTTGGAAAATGCTCTGTACCAATACAATGGGTTAATTTTATTGTGATAGATGTTAATAAGACAACTTACCTGCAATGCTCATAGAGAGAGCTCTCCTTCTTTCTCCTGCCATTGAAGTTCCTTCAGTGACTACCTTTTCACCTATCCTATTCTTGACATACCTGCTTGACTTCTGAAACATTGTGGTAGATGGATTAATGAAATAATTTATCTCAAAAAAAAAGGAATAATAGATGACATTTTTGTGCTAAAAAAATTAATAAATATTATAAGCTGTCTTTTCTCTATGCTGAATGCAGAGATGTCACAGACAATATTCTGAAAAGTGTATACAAGCATATCTCATTTTATTGTGCTTCATTTTTATTTAAATTTTACTTCACAGATATTACTTTTTTTAACAAATTGAAGGAATTATAGCAGCCTTGTGACTAGCAATTCCTTGGGTGCCATTTTTCAAACAACATGAGCTCCCTTTGTGTCTCTGTGTCACATTTTGGTAATTCTCACCATATTTCAAATGTTTTCTTATTATATCTGCTATGATAATCTGGATCAGTGATCTTCGACGTTACTATTGTAATTACTTTGGGGCATCACAAACCATACCCATGTAAGATAGAAAACTTAATAGATAAATATTGTGTGTGTTCTGACCACCCCACTGACTGCCCATTCCTCTATCTCTCTCCCTTTCCTTAGACATCCCTGTTCCCTAAGATACAACAACATTAAAATCGGGCCAATTAAAAACACTACAATGGCCTCCAAGTATTCAAGTGAAAGAGTTGCATATCTCTCACTCTAAATCAAAGGTAGACATGATTAAGCTTAGTGAGGAAGGCATGACAAAAGCTGAGATGGACCAAAAACTAAGCCTTATGTGTCAGTTAGTCAAGTTGTAAATGCAAAGGAAAAGTTCTTGAAGGAAATTAAAAGTGCTACCCCAGTGAACATATTAATAATAAAAAAGCAAAATAGCCTTATTTATGATGTGGAGAAAAATTTCAGTAGTTTGAGTAGATCAAACCGGTCTCAACATTCCCTTAAAAGCCAAAGCCTAATCCAGAGCAAGATTCTAACTCTCTTCAATTCTGTGAAGTCTGATAGATGTGAAGAAGCTGCAGAAGAAAAGTTAGAAGCTAGCAAAAGTTGGTTCATGAAGTTTAAGGAAAAACACCATCTCAGTAACATAAAAGTGTAAGGTAAAGTAGGAAGTGCTGATGGAGAAGCTGCAGCAAGTTATCCAGAAGTCCTAGTTAAGATCATCGATGAAGGTGGCTATGCTAACAACTGATTTTCAATGTAGATGAAACAACTTTACATCTACATTGGAGGAAGATGCCATCTAGGGCTTTTGCAACTAGGGAGGAGAAGTCAGTGCCTAGCTTCAAAGCTTCAAAACACAGGTTTACTGTCTTGTTAGGGGCTAATGCAGCTGGTGACTTTGAGTTGAAGACAAGGCTCAATTTACCATTGCAGAAATCCTAGGAGCCTTAAGAATTGTGCTAAATCTACTCTGCCTGTGCCCTATAAATGGAACAACAAAGCTTGGATTACAAAATATCTGTTTACAGCATGGTTTACTGAATATTTTAAGCCCACAGTTGAGAACTACTACTCAGAAAATATTTCTTTCAGAGTATCACTGCTCATGGACAATGTACCTAGTCATTCAAGAGCTCTGATGCAGATGCACTAGAAGATTAATGTCGTTTGTATGCCTGCTAACACAACATCCATTTCGTAGCCCATAGATCAAGGAACAATGTCAACTTTAAGCCTAATTATTTAAGTAATACTTTTTATAAGGCTCTAGCTGCTATAGATAATGACTCCTCTGATGGATCTGGGCAAAGTAAATTAAAAACTTTCTAATAAGGATTCACTATTCTAGATGCCATTAATAACATTCCTGATTCATGCGAAGAGGTCAAAATATCATCAATATTAACACGAGTTTGAAAGAAGCTGATTTCAACCCTCATGGATGACTTTAAGGGGTTCAAAATTTCAGTGGAGAAAGTAACTGCAGATATGGAAGAATTATCAAGAGAGCTAGAATTAGAAGTAAAGCCTAAAGATGTGACTGAATTGCTGCATTCTCATGATAAAACTTTAATGGATGAGAATTCACTTTTTATGAATGAGCAAAGAATGTGGTTTTATGGAATGGAATCTACTCCTGACCAAGATGCTGTGAACACTGTTTAGGTCATTATTTTGACAAAGGATTTAGGATATTCCATAAACTTAGTTGATAAAGCAATGACTCTAGTTTCAAAAGAATTTCTACAGTGGGTAAAATGCTATCAAACAGCATCACATACCAGAGAGAAATCTTTCATGAAAGAAAGAGTCCATCAATCCAGCAAACTTTGTTGTTATGGTGTTTTAAGAAATTGTCATAGCCACTGCAACCTTCAAGCTACCACCACCCTAATCAGTCAGCAGCCATCAACACTGAGGCAAGACCCCCCACCAGCAAAAAGATTATCACTCACTGAAGGCTCAGAAGATTATTAGCATTTTTTAGCACTAAAGTACTTTTTAAAGTATGATATGTCTATTTTTTGGACATAATCTTATTGCACATGTAATAGACTACAGTATAGTATATACATAATTTTATATGCACTGTGAAAACAAAAAAAAATTCTATAACTTATTTTTGTTATGATATTCAGTATCGAACCAAACCCTTGATATCTCTGAGGTATACCTGTGTGTCTAAAATTTTCTGTGAGTTTACAAACTTAAGAGCATTTTAGAAATATTTAAATAAACCTATGCTATTATAATTGTAGTCTTTTATTTTTATTTCTAAATCTTAACAGATAAAGCCTAGTAACTAAATATTACAACACAATTACATGATTAATTAAGAATTTCATCTTTCCTCCCCTCCTTTGATTCAATGAAAGAAACACTTGTAAGTCACCAAAAAAGATAAGGTTTTTCTTCTTACTTGTTGGAAACTAGAGAGTTGGCCTCTATAATTTTCAATTAGGTTGTTACTTTCTCATCTTACTTACCTGTGACCATAACTTTTTTGATCAATTACCATTGTCCACTATTCTAAATGCTCCCTCTTTTACAACTGGATAGATTTGCACTGCTATCAACAGTGAAATTAAATGTACATCTTTAAAAAATCTTCCTTTATTTAGAACTGAAAATACAAGTTAGATTTTTTGCCAGTGGAAAGTTGAAATGTGATTTCCTATACTCTTGAAAAATTTAAATAATTCCCAAGATGTCAGCCCTTTCCACTCTCAAGTACATGGAGGAGGTGCAAATTTTTAGGAAAAGAAAGTTGATTTGGGAAAAAATACGTATTTAACGTGAGAGAAATCTACATTGGTAGATTTCCTGTCTCAGCAGAAAGTCAGATAATCCTGATCTACCTATCAATAGACTAGAGGACAACAGCTAATGAGGTGACTACATTTCATCAAAATTACTCCTTAACCGTGTTTCAATTTTCTTGATTTGCCTACCTTTCCTAGATGGTACAGTTTTGGTTAAAATTAGAAACTTGCAAAGAACAAATTAACCTCACATTCATTTATAGATATAGGCCACAAGGTTAGAATTGCCCTAATTTTAAAGTTACTTCCCAGGAAACAAATAATTCATTCACTAACCATTTGGAGGAAGAAATGTGTATTTTCTGGAACAGCCATAATGAATTTTACTTCAGATTTCCATTTTTCTGTTGAGGCATCTATTGCTGAAAAAGAGTTCAGTACTATGCAGGCAAATAAGAAGTATGTTTTTAAAACCTATTTGGAGAGCCAATTTTAACAGCTTCTCTTTTGTCGCTGGCTAAAGTTTACATCACAAGAATTTGAGTGGAACAAAAAAGAATATGTTCAAGTATTATTATTATGGCTGGATCATGGGCTAATAATAACAACAGTAACAACAAAAACAATAAAACAACTTTTTAGTCTTATGTTCTCAGGGCTTTAAAAATATATATATTACTTCATTTAGTTCTCCCAATAACCTTATGATTCAGGTATCATTATCTAATGAGGTACAGAAAAGTAAAGTCACTTGGTAAAGTCTACTCTGTCCATAAGGAGAACAAGGATGTGAAGGAACTAGGCAATTGGACTCTGGAAACTGAGCCTTTAGCTGAATGACTATTGTCCCAAATATGACAAAGAGGTCTGGATTAATAACACAATAATCATAGAAATGTATATTTATCTGGCAAATTGACACTTTTTCAAAGCAATATTAATTCCTTTATCTCATTCAAACCTCACAAATCTGTTAGACAGATAGGTCTATCATTTTCTCTTTTCTTGAAAATGAGAAAACAGAAGTTGTTCTGTGACTTTCCTAGATTATATCCCTGAAGGTCTGAGGAACAGGACAAAAAAAAAACAAAAACTAGGCATTTTTACTCATAAACACTAATAGTTCATGCTTGTAATTATAAAATTGTCCAATTTTAAATTTTATTAAGGGTTTATCACTTTGAAATCCAGAGTAATGTACTTTTAAATGAACCTTTAAAATAAAAATGTTTTAAATTTTTTTTTAATCTTAGCCAAAACCCATAAGACAAAATGTTTCCAACATCTTATGCTTTCACCTGTTCATAATAGTGCCCTTTATTTAAAGTTTCCCCAAACCAAAATGTAGAAAATAAAGTTCCTTCTGAGTCTGTGATGCCATGTAGTTCTACAATGCCACAAGAGCAACAGCAAAAATACTCTTCTAAAATGGTTTCTGGATAGTACTAAAGGTTAACCCACGTAATAAAACAATGATGTTATTGCCAACTAATTGTATTTCCTGTGTTTTCAGTGAGCTGAACTAATGAACTGATGGATATTGAAACTTAGGTGTTTTATGGCTAAATTATAACCATAATTTCTAAAACGTGTAATATTTTTTCAATATAGCAGCAACACCTGCTGCTAAATACGAAAATGATTAGCCACAAACTAACCTACTATAAAATATCAAAATGCATTTGCCCAATGAAGAACTAATGGGAATTATGCAGATTACATTTCCTTCCCTGCTGAAGGCAACCGAGCTTCACCTCATAGCAAAATGAAAATATAACTCAAATACAAAACAATATATACACAGAGACATAACCAAATACGTTTCTGATTATTTTTAGACAGGTTTCCTTTTCATGTAATTATTTGGCAACAAAGAGCTAAAATAAAGGTTAGAGCATTTGGTGGGTACCTGAATAGCTCTGTGTTAACCAACTAGGAATATTATTCAGATACCTCATACCAAAACACTCATTCAGAATTATAATGTAGATGTGCATGCTAACAGAAACCAATTTCTTACAATACCTTATCATAATTAGATTTATTCTGTAACTTTTCTTAAAGCACTCACTATTCTGCTGATAGCAAAGAATTGGACAGTAAGAAACTTGTGCAATTGGCTGATTGACTTTGGGAATTAGAATGAATTATCTAAGTTTTCTCTTTCTGTAGTACTAAATACTAAATAAAAATCGACTTTAAAATTATTTCCATAGAATTTGTATTGTTGAACAACTCATGATAAAGGTAACTGCTTTTTGTAGCTGTGTGTGTAAACATAGGATGCTTTCTTCTGTAGACAACTTTATTCAAATGAAGAATGCAGAGATGGTGTATCATCATCCTTTTATAGATGAGCGTCACTGAATTATATATAATAAAATATCTTTTTGCACTCTGAGCAACTGGCAAAGAGAAACAGAAGCATCCTTTAAAAGTGAAGATTTTTAGCATATATTTAAATTTAGTTATTTAGATGTGTGTTTCTATTGCTGAAGCTTCAGGACATATTTGCAAATTTTAAAACTACCACCTAATCATTTTGCTGAAAAACAGCAATAGTTAGACATTGCACAAATCATAAAGTGCTTTGCACAAACTCTGGAAACTGTCTTGTCTACAGAAACTTTCCTTAAGCAACAGCAGGGATAAACAGATGGGCCATACCATGTTTTAAAATGCCTATAGCTTTAGATTCTGTTAGAAAAGCTGGCAAAATTATATCCAGGAAAAAAACTGATAAAATTTAATTTCATTGAATGTCATTATGATTATTTGTGCAATAGTAGAAAGGAAATCTTAACTGATCTCCATCCATAAGTATAAAAGAATTGTCAGATCAAAGCAGTTTGCAGAGCATACCACTCTTCACATTGTAAATGATCAAATGAATACATTGAACAGTGTTGCTTTTAGAATTAGAAAGATAGAGGACATAAAAGATAATACAGCAATGCCTTCTGAAAGTGACAAATAATTGTGTTCATTCCCCAGTAGTTGTTTATTGTAATGCCATTCTCTAAACTATAGTAATTGTTTAGAGTAATTTTTTGTTTGTTTTTGGATACTAACATTCTCCACATTTTCTGCACAAATTTTCCTGACTGATCTTACATACAAAGGAGTTTAGAAATCTAAGAACTAACCAAGTATCAGTCAGCAATCTTGAAATTTACAGTTGATTAATAAGCCTAAAAATGTACTATGAAGTCCAAATGAGTCTCACTAAACACTAAAATAATTCATTTGATTTTGGACCGTTCATTCCAGTAACAGGAAGTTTTACACTTATTGTTCATGGTAACTTTGATCATTTAAATACATTCTTAATAATAAAGGCTACTTTTAACTAGTTTCTAGAAAACCAACATATTGAATAGCAGTTGCTGTATCAGTTTATTAGCCTTCAATTTAAACTCTTAAGTAAAAAGTGTTCTTTGGTTAAGCCAAATCACTGAGGACAATTCAGCCAGATGGCCATGGTGCCGATTCAGAAAATATTAAACTGCTTACTGGAATGAGTCAACTGCAGGACTGATTGATTTAGTCACATATTCAAAACTTTTGCTTCTTATCCCATTAAAAGTAGTACTAATGAGCAGCGGCTATGACCTTCCAGTGAGAAGCCACAAGTTCCACAACCCCTCGATATTTACCACCCAAATTTAATCTTTTTAATGGACACCTTAAAAGGGATCTGATAGAAAATACTAAGAGCTGCTCAGATACTAAAACACTTAGGGAGGCTTTTGATTAATGTTGCATGATTAATCAATTGATTAATATAGTTTTCAATACAGATGTTAGGACACTGTCTACTTTAATCAACCATTCTGAAAATAGTGAAGATAAATGCCATACTTTTGTGTCTGCTAAGAAAAAAAAATCCTTTCTTTAAAGGTTTTTAATTATGACATAAGCCTTATTTACCACACGCAAATTTTATCTAATGTTGACATATTTATACATAGGAACCATTAATGAGATAAGTGGGATCCTTTTGGCAAAGCCATATTTTAATCACTTTAAAAATAATTTATTTAGCCATTTTATGGACGTTTCCCTTAATGAGAAATTATTTTAGAATAATGCTGTAAAATGCATTAGAATCTTAAAGTTTTTATTATTATTTTCCAAGACCATTTGTAATTTGTGATAATGCTTTCCACCATACTAAAACTGAAATCTTTATTCCAGTCAAAAATAATCACCCTGTAATTACTGTGACAAACTGCCCAAGCTGTATCATCGTGGCCATTTCAACTAATGATATTGTATTAGAATGCCTAGCAATAGACTTCAAATGGAAAATATAATTATGTGCATTAGTTTGTCTAAGCATTTATAAGATCACATATCCATCAGTTTTCAGGTCTCATAAAGAAAGCCATACATCACTGTCACTGTGAGTTTTGTTATTGAAAGCGCAGGCCTAACAAACTGAGCTTAAGATGTGTATCTTAAATTTCACTTGTTTTGTGGATCACCAAAATCCCTGTAAATCAAGCCAGCATAATTGAGAAGAGCTTTTCCTCTGGTGATGGAGGAACTCTGAGCACAGACCACTTGACACTCTGACTAAACAGAAGACTAGCCAGCCTGAGACAGCTTAATCTAGCTTTTCCACACCTCCTAAATCTGTGGGAGTCTGATTTGGCATAAAAGCCTATGGAATGGCTTTTGGGCAAGGTATCAAATTAAAGGTTTCATACTGTCGGCTCCACTGACCTGAGAGAAATTAGAAGGAAAAAACGTGCAAAAAAATGATGTACGTTTGAGTTGCGAATGGGAGGAAAGAGTTCTTTGAAAAACAAATATGCAATGAACTTGAATAAATTATACTTCAAATAAATGACAGCATTAGAATTAAAATTTGACAATTATTTACTGGACTCTGCACACAACAAATCATAGAACCTTGGGAACGTTGCTCAGCTTTTTTGTCTCCCAGTGTTCTCATTTGTAAAATGAAGCCACAGATGGATTTTTTTACCGTTTCTAGTTTTAGCTTACTCTAACAATGTGAATCAAAGTTGAATTTAAAAAATATTTGCTCTATCAGTTCAAACAAAAAAATACATTAAAAAGCGAAACCTACTTTGGGATAACAAAAGAAAAATGTTTTAATTGGTTGCAAAAAATAACCTATCAACAGGTATAAAAGTTTCTCTTCTACTAGGAATAATTACGTTACAAAATATTATACCCCCATGGACCCAAATTTGAATCTGTTAACTTCTCATGTTGTGTGTTCATTGTCTGTAGAAAGTGATAATTTGTGTGTGATTTTCTCCTAAAATGTGTCACCTGTACATGATGCTGAAAATGTGTTAAAACATGTTCTGGCATCTTTAGATCAGTCTCTACTAGATCTGGAATGAGAAAATTCACTTCTCTATGATATAAACCTAGTAGAGGTGTGTTTCTAAAGAGCAGCACTACTGACATTTTGGGTTGGATCATTCTTTGTGGTGAGGTTATCTTGTATATTCCAGGATGTTTAGTGGCATCCTTGGTCTGTACCTATTAGGTCCTGGTAGAACTCACCCCCACTCCCAGGAGAGAAAACAAAAAATGTCTCTAGATGTTGCCAAATGTCTCCTGGAGGGCAAAATCACCCCTTGTTGAGAATCACTTTCTGACAGTATAAGCAACTAGTAAAAACATTGTTAGACCAAGAAAAAGTAGAATGCTCTGAAGTCATAAATACGTAGATTTTGAAATGATTCCGTGGTTATTTATTTATTTTATGTATCTATACCAAAGCATGTGAAAAAATTTAAGTAACACAAATATTTTTTGGCATTCATGTGTCTTTTTTCTATTGCTGAATCTGAAGATGCTTTCTAAGTCCTGCCTCTGAGAAAAAATTTGACTAGGAATAATTCTTAACCCAATGTTAATCTAATTGGAAAGAAAAGGTCAAAGTCAAAAAAGCCGGGAAATTATTAGATAAGGTAAGATATTTTTCTATTCATGAAAGGGCAGAGTTTGTTGTTGTTTTTTAATAGTCAATTGATTATCATGATTACTCAGCTCAACTAGTTAAGGTTCTCATGACCTCGTGGATGTCCAAGACAACAGCTTCCAGTTGTCATAACCATATATACATATATACCTATGTTTTACATCTTTTAAATTAATACATCATTTTCATAAGTCAGGAATAGTTATTCCTATTCTATAGATTAGAAAACTGAGGCTTAGAAATGTCAATACTACCATTAGGTGACAGAACTAATAGTCAAGTCTAGGTTTTCTAACGCAATGATTTGTGATCTTAACTCACTGTTCTCAGCTAGGATATTTTATTAAATTCTGCATTATTTTTTACAAAGTATAAATTATATCTATTCAGCAGATGAAAATGTTACTCAGTTCTGTTTGCCTCAGCTGTCTACAAGCCAAAAGCTGAGAAATAAATGACTTTATGATCCTATTTTCATATAATGCTCTCCCTTAACTCATAAGTAGGAAAAATTTTAAAAAAAAATCAAATCTTTTTTCCTCTTGAGGCCACTAATTCATCAGTTCATGGTGTATAGACATGATTCTAAACCATATAAAATATTGTAGCACTAAAGTCGTCAGTATTTAATCCCCCAAATTCCAGAATTTAATTCACCATTTCTATGAAGTATTCACCAGGGCCTTAATTTCTGACTTTCTGAGTTCTGGAAGGCTTGTAGGACATGCAGAATAAGATAGTCATCTTTAAACCCCATGTTGAAGACAGGTCTACCATTGTAGGAGCACATTCATTTTTCTCAGTAGGAAATATTACTATTCCTTTGAAAGTCTAATGCTATGCTAACATCAAGTAACATTCAGCAAAATTCTGCCTACATTGTGTTATTTCCATGTTTTGGCGCTATATACATTTGTCTATGCTTTCAACTCAAAAGTTGAGCAATATTGCTTGCTGTATTTTGGTGCCAGCATAGATTTAAGCCATCCAAACAAGACTGCGTATTTGAACTGACAGAGAGTAAATGATTTGCATCTGGCATAACTGATGGTGGTGTCAAAACCTTGGAAGATAATTCATTGGTAAACATATTCCTCTGGATGCCTAGCCACACATGCCCAATTTCCTATCAAGGGATAGAGCCAGATCATTGCCAGAACAATGTGAAATATTTTATACAGATAATTCAAGAGATTATTTTGCTCTGACAGAAAATGGGGGGTGGGGGACGGGAAATGTGGTAGTGTTCCTCATTGATGAGGCAAGATAATTTTTTAACCTTCATTGCAGAAATTAAATTTCATGCAAAAATGCCTTTATGACAACTATGGAGTTGATGAACTAGTAAAAATAATCACAAACAGCAAGCTTAAAAAAAAGTAATCTACAATTCCTTGTTGTAATTGATAAAGAAAAAAAAAGTTTTCATCAGGCCATGACTAAAATGATGACAAAGAAGGAATACAGCATTAAGGCCTTAACACACGTGTGTGAACTACCCAGATCTCTTGAAAGAAATAGTCGTAACTAGATACTGTGCTAAATTCATAACAAATGTTCAATTCTAACAGTAGTTTTACACTAGTAGCCTTTTTGAGATACACAAGCTCAATGGAATAAAAATCTTTGAATCTTTCCATTCCTTTCCATTCTTAAGGAATTTATACATTACTTCAGATGTCTGTGTTAGTCTGTTCTTGCGTTGCCATAAAGGGGTATCTGAGACTGGGTAATTTCTAAAGAGAAGAGATTTAATTGGCTCACAGTTCTGCAGGCTGTACAGGAAGCAGGGTGCTGGCATCTGCTTCTGGCGAGGCCTCAGGAAGCTCACAATCATGGCAGAAGACGACGGGAACCAGCATGTCTCATGGAGAGAGCAGGAGCAAGAGAGAGAGGAGGAGGTCCCTAACTCTTAAACAACCAGATCTCATATGAACTAGCTGAGTGAGAGCTCATCACCATGAGGATGGTGCTAAACCATTCAAGAGGAATCCATCCCCAAGATCCAATCACCTCCCACCAGGTCCCATCTCCAACACTGGAAATCACATTACAACATGAGATTTGGAAAGGACAAACATCCAAAGCACATCAATGACATATGCAAATGGAATTCTGTCCAGGTGTTCATAGAATTGGGTTGAATTAAATAGTCTCTTGAAGAATGAATGCATGTCATATACAGGGAATAAACTTCAAGATAATTTAAATCAAATAAAACACTCTTGCTATTAAACTATATGCACCATAGTTTATTATCTCTCTGATCATTTAGTTGACCTTTCAAGATCTCGTGGCTCAATCAAACACAGCTATTGAGTACCTATTGTGTCATATACTCTGTGCAAAGTATTGGATCTGATAGAAAAATGACTGTGGCTTTTATCTCTGTCTAGCTCTTAGTCCAGGGAGGATATTTAAGAAATTCACTTTTAAAAATATCATGATGGTAGAACACACTATTCCAATAGATATGGGCACAGACTCTGCCTGGGTTATTTCAAAGGCTTCACTGTGAAGGGGATGGTGAAGATGGCCGTCACAGTCTGTATGTTTTTGTCCCCCAAAAATCTGTGTGCTGAAGCCTTAACTACCAGTTTGGCTTTATTCAGAAATGGGAACTCTACAGAAGTAATTAAGGTAAAATAAGGCCTTGATCCAACAAGATTAGCGTCACTATGAGAAGAGATAGGCCGGGTGCGGTGGCTCATGCCTGTAATCCTAGCACTTTGGGAGGCCAAGGCGGGTGGATCACAAGGTCAGGAGATCCAGACCATCCTGGCTCACACGGTGAAACCCTGTCTCTACTAAAAATACAAAAAAGTAGCCAGGTGTGGTGGCACGTGCTTGTAGTCCCAGCTATTCGGGAGGCTGAGGCAGGAGAATGGCATGAACCCAGGAGGCGGAGCTTGTGACTGGGCAACAGAGCGAGACTCCTGTCTGAAAGAAAGAAAGAAAAAGGAAGGGAAGGGAAGGGGAGGGTAGGGGAGGGGAGGGGAGAGGAAGAGAGGGGAGGGGGAGGAGGAGGGGAAGGGGAAGGGGAAGGGAAAGAAAGAAAGGAAGGAAGGAAGGAAGGAAGGAAGGAAGGAAGGAAGGAAGGAAGGAAGGAAAGGGAAGGAAGGAAGGAAGGAAAGGAAGGAAGGAAAAAGAAAGAAAAAGAAGAAAGAAAGAAAGAGAAAGAAAGAAAAAGAAGAAAGAAAGAGACATCATCACTGAGCGCACCCGCTCTCTCTCCCTCTATGTGTGCACACAAAAAAGAGGTTATGTGACCACACAGGGAGATGGTGACTGCCTGCAAGCAAGAGTAGAGCCTCAGAATAAAACCTACCCAGCTGGCATCTTCATCTAAGACTTCACAGCCTCCAGAATTGTCAAAAAATTCATTTCTCTTGTTCAAGCCATCTAGTCTGTTCATTTGTTATAGCAGCCACAGCAGACAAATACAATGATATTTCAGGTGCATTTTCAAAGACGAATCAAAGCTTTCTTACCAAGACAAAACACATGGGAACAGAAATAAGTAAATGGGGAGAAGGGGTAGATGGAGAGTAAAGAAGAGATCAAGAACAAGACAAGGGCAAGGAGCAGCCTGAGTAAAAGAGCCCATTGGAACAAAGCAGGACAGAAAACATATGCATGGTCAGAGGTAGAATGTGAGGAAATTAGCATGTGATTTATTGTTTCTTTTTCCTGTGTCAAGCCAATCTTCTGTTGTCAAGGGAGGTAGGGATAAATAGGTGGCTTAAAGTAAATTGTAAAGGTTTGAAATATTTGCTTTGGGGAATGAAGAAATGAACTAAGCACAAATCAATGGTAATCCAACAGGATTATTAGAGTTAGGTTGGAAAGAGGTTTATAATGACTAATGAGTGTCTTTTGGTGGTGATAGTGATGGTGGGTGTTTTCCATGTGCAACAAAAGTGGAGGAAGTAGATGATCGGATTTGCCAGGTCTGGCTGACTGGCAGGGCAGCTGTGGCAGAAGCAGGAGGTAAGGCTACTGTGGGTGGTGGAAAAGGTTGCCTGGCTAATCCGATGTCCCGGCTGCAATAAAGAAGAAAACGGAAGGGAAGAAAGCAATGAATCCTGTGAATGGGGCAAAGGTGTGAAAAGCTGAAAGAGAGGAAAAGGGGAAAATTTGGTTAGAGGATGAAGGAAAAAAATGATAGATTATATTTAATGGAATTAAGAGACAAGAAGTTTTAAATATATTGGGAATGTATTTTAACTTGCTAAGCATAGCAGAGACTGGAGGAGCTCTTCACCACACCAGTTTCCTTTTCCCTCTGGATATCTGGATAAATCACCACTCTGGAGGGAAGAAAAAGTAGTTTTCTCCTCCCCCATCACAAGGTTCATGGCCAAGGCCCCTATAAACAAAAGACAGATTAACAAGAGAAATGCATAGCAATTTTATTTAATCAAAGTTTTACATGGCATGGGAGCACTCATAAATGAAGGCCTAAAGATGCAGGGAAAACTGTATCTTTATGTTAAGTCCGATGAAAGAAGAGGATAATTGTGGAGAAGAAACATGTCTCAACAAAAAGGAATATGACCTAATGGTAATGAACTGGGGGAAACTCAGGAAGGCCTGTTTGTTTCGTCTTTTCTGTGTCTCAGGCTGATATTCCTCCCCATTTATGGGGCAAGACACTTGTCACATGAGGATCTTCATGGGAGAACGGAAAAGATCAGAGCGTGACCTTCCTAGCTTTTATGGCTTGCTTCGGTGGAGAGGAATTCTAGTTTCTAAGACCCACTTGGGGGAAGAAAATGGGACCGGAGAAGGCAAGGCTGGAGCAGGTCTATGAAACTGTCTTGTTTCTGAGGCCTTCCCAATCTTATTCAGCTCAAAATCGTCAGCATGTCAAAGTGTCATGCTTTCAGGTATCATATTCAGAGCCCAAATAATTCCCATCTGGCTTATGAAGCATAAGAAGAATGGAAATAAGCCACGTTCAAGAATGGGCTGTAGTAACCTCCTGAATGTGATCCCCACTTATTTGACCTTCTGTGGTGACCTTGGAAACCATGTGTTGAAGATGCAGAGCCACACGATGGAAGGAGAACCACAGCCACTTGCAAATCAAAATTACCTGCTTTGACTATTGCCTTAATAATAGAGGGAGAAATATGACATATTTTAGGTATTTCAAGTGGATTATTTTCTGCCAATGTTATAAGAATACTTTTCAATTTCTATAAGATAAATGCTAAGTAAGCTTATGACATGTATGCTCTCATAATGCCATGTGCACTCTCATAATGCCACCCAGCTAATCAGGGAACTGCTGCATGTTTTCATATGAAATATTTTCGGGGTTCCAAAGAGAGTAACTGTAGTAATGACCATAAGCTGTTTAACCAAGTATAATGATTAAATATATAGGCAAATACTTTTACAGATTTTTAACTCAAAATGCCCAAACATATCTTCTGAACACAATCCTTGCTCTCTAGGTGTCAGGCCTCTGAGCCCAAGCTACGCCATCATATCCCCTGTGACCTGCACGTACACATCCAGGTGGCCGGTTCCTGCCTTAACTGATGACATTCCACCACAAAAGAAATGAAAATGGCCTGTTCCTGCCTTAACTGATGGCATTATCTTGTGAAATTCCTTCTCCTGGCTCATCCTGGCTCAAAAGCTCCCCTACTGAGCACCTTGTGACGCCCACTCCTGCCTGCCAGAGAACAACCCCCCTTTTTCCTTTACCTACCCAAATCCTATAAAACGGCCCCACCCCATCTCCCTTTGCTGACTCTCTTTTCAGACTCAGCCCGCCTGCACCCAGGTGATTAAAAGCTTTTATTGTTCACACAAAGCCTGTTTGGTGGTCTCTTCACATGGACGCGCATGAAACTAGGTATCTCTATAAAACAGGGTGGGAGCTGAGTTTTGAGGTAGAAGGGGGAGTTCAGAGAGGTAGAAACCCTGAGGAGAGACTTATGTACCTCAATTCCACTCCTAGCACCTTCTGAGTAGTTTCTCCTCCTCCTGCTTTCAACATGTCTTTGAGTGACACAAACAAAGCCACTGTTTTGGGGAGAAAAAAATGCAATAGTCTCACAACCATTCTTCCTTTTAGCCTCTTAAGTGGTTTTCTAAGAGTATTTTACAGCTTGTTCCTCCAGATAAAAGAAGAGAACATTTTTTAAAAGCAGCCTCTAAAGCCCTATCCTTTCTCTTTTCACTTGGAAGACAAAGAATGCATGTAAATGCTAATGAGAGCTTTTGCATAAACAGAGGAAGAAGCAGTGAAAGGCCTTGTTTCTTAATACCAGAAGTGGCAAAAATAAGTTTTTACCTCGGCTTCTTCTTAACTTGCCAAACTCTAAAGCACTCTCCTCCCAGCCTCCCACATTCTTCTGAGAGCTCAGCCCTGAGGAAGGTGAGGGAAGGTAGAGCTTGGCAAACCAGTATCAATAAGACAGACCATTTGTGAGCTTTAAGGGAGGGTGAGAAATTCTGATGACTAGGCACTGTTTAACAAAGCAAGTACTGAAGACCTGGGGTGCTTTGAAAATAACATGTTTTGGAGTCACTCAGACCTGAGTTAGACACCTTGTTCTATTGTTTAAGAGCTGTTTGCCTCAGATAAGCTATTTCCTTTCCTGGAATCTTGTTTTTTCCTACCTAAACTGTGGGGCGGGGTGGGGGGGGGCAGGGGGAAGTATCAACATCACAGACTTGTTATGAAAATTAAAGATAACAGTTGGCCGGGCACGGTGGGTGGCTCACACCTGTAATCCCAGCACTTTGGGAGGCCAAGTTGGGCGGATCACAAGGTCAGGAGATCAAGACCATCCTGGCTAACATGGTGAAACCTTGTCTCTACTAAAAAGACAAAAAAATTAGCCGGGCGTGGTGGCATGCGCCTGTAGCCCTAGCTACTTGGGAGGCTGAGGAAGGAGAACCACTTGAACCCGTGAGGCAGAGGTTGCAGTGAGCCAAGATCGGGTCACTGCACTCCAGCCTAGGCAACAGAGTGAGACTCTGTCTTGAAAAAAAAAAAAAAAAAAAAAAAAAAAAAAAAAAAACCACGCACACACACACACACACAAAAACAGTTTAAGTAATGTTTGGAGCCTAGTAAGGAAAATATTATATGCGAGCAACTTGATCAGTCAAGAGATATTTGAGTACCCTACTATATGTGATATCAGCTTTGTAATATTAGCAGGGAAATGGTAGGGGAAATAAGGTGAGTGTATTAGGGAATTGGGGTTTGAACACAAAAGTATTTGAGACAGTTCTCAATCCAGAAAGTTTATTTTGCCAAAGCTAAGGATGCATTTGTGACATAGCCTCAGGAGGCCCTGATGACATGTGCCCAAGGTGGTTAGGGCACAGCTTGGTTTTAGACATTTTAGGAAGACATGAGCCATCAACCAATATGTGGGAGATGTACACCGGTTGTGTCTGGAAAGGCTTCCAAGTCACAGGTAGATAAGGAATGAACAGTTGCACTCTTTTGAGTCTTTGATCAGCCTCTCACTAAATATACAATTTACATGTGAAAGGGGGTAGAGAAATAGTCACTTATGCCTTAGTCTGACTCAGTGAATCTGCATTTTTACATAAACAATAAGACAGAGGAAGCAATCAGATATGCATTTGTCTCAGGTGAGCAGAGGAATGACTTCTGTCCTTCCCCGCCCCCACATCTGTGAAGATAAGCTATTAATTTACATTGCCCAAGGTGAAATTCAACAGAACTGTTTTAGGGTAAAAACCTTGAGACCAACAATGAATTCCCTTGTGGGTGAATTTTGAGAGGTATGTAGCTTTAAAAAAAAAAGAAAGAAAGAAAGAAAGAAAAGAAAAAAGAAAAAAATCTTTGTAGCTATCTTATTTAGTAATAAAATGGGAGGTAGTATACTGATGCAGTTCCAAGCTTGACTTTTCCCTTTGGCTTAGTAATTTTGGGGTCCCAAGATTTATTCTCCTTTCACAGAGGAAATAATATGAGTATATGAGGGAATCCTTTGCGCTTTCTTTGCAACTTTTCTGTAAATCTAAAAATAGTCCCAAGTCCAAAGTTTATTAAAAATAAAAAGCAGGAAAGCCACAGCCTATGTCTAATAAGCCTAATAATATGCTTCTTTTCTACACCATTTGTGAAAATTATTTTGTGCTGGGCATGAAACCTGAAGCTGAATTTTAGCTAAGACAAGACCATAGGTGTTTAAAATAATGCCTAACAGCCAGTAGACTTTTAATCAGGCCTAGATGCATTGTAGACATCTGTATTAGTAAAAGTTCTCTAGAGGGACAGAACTAAAAGGAGCTCTCTCTCTCTCTCTCTCTCTCTCTCTCTCCATATATATATATATATATATATCTCCTATGTGTGTATATATATGTATATCCTATGTGTGTGTATATATATATCATATACATGTCACACATAAATATATATACCCTATGTATATATGTATACACACACATAGGGAAATCTATTAACTATTAATTTACATGATCACAAGGTCCCACTGTAGGCTGTCTGCAAGCTGAAGAGCAAGGAGAGCCAGTCTGAGTCCCAAAACTGAAGAACTTGGAGTATGATGCTCGAGGGCAGGAAGCATCCAGCACAGGAGAAAAATGTAGGCTGGGAGACTAGGCCAGTGTTGCCTTTTCACATTTTTCTGCCTGTTTTATATTCACTGGCAGCTTATTAGATGGTGTCCACCAGATTAAGGATGGATCTGCCTTCCCCAGCCCACTGACTCAAATGTTAATGTTGGATAGAAAGTGCTCTAGGAATAAATGCTCGGTGCTACAAAGTGAAACCAGCACTCAGGCCAAAGTTTAATTCTCTAATTAAGGCAATTTACTTCTGCAAAAGGGTGCTACCTGCATCAATCAAGGTCGCAACAGCACAGGGAACAAAGGAGAGCAGCAAGCTTTTATCTCTGACGGTAGTCCCTACCTCTATGTCACTCCCCCATGGGCTGGGGTCGGACCACATATTCTGAGCTGACCCAGTTGGCTACTTGCAAATATTTTTCTAAATATGTAAGGGGGACGTGAGGTACAGTGGTGAAGCTTGTGAGATGTGCAGTTTCTTGGGGATCAATAGGTGCAGGTAACCAAGCGAACAGATGTGAGTTATTGATTAGAGCTGACGGGAAGGGGTTAGGCTGTTTCACAGTAACTAGGTGCAAGGAGGAACAGGAAAGTTGAGTTTAAGAATAAAAGACAAGGAAGTTAGCAGGCTAAATCTTTGAAGAGAAACTCAGAGAAATTCACTGTATCTTACATTAATCTCCTTTGGCAACATCCTCACAGACACACCCAGGATCAATACTTTGTATCCTTAAATCTAATCGAATTGACACTCAGTATTAACCATCACAAGCCCACCCCTTGTCAACTTGAACTCATACACATCTCCTGAGATCATACATAATCTTCAAATAAAGACAATAATAAGATCATAATTACACCTAACATAATACAACTATCCTTTGTACAACTGGAAATGCACCAATCCCCTACTCAAATACTATTACATAAGGTTAACAATACTTCAATGCTGGTATGAATTCAATAAATCTTATGTCACATGATAGAGGAAATAAAGATATTTTCTTAGTACAAGTGTATACATGCACAAACATGTTTTTAGCAAAAGGAGGAGGAAATACTCATGACAATTATAGTCCTCATTTCCGCAGCTGGTCACGTGGTCATAGCTGGTATTGATGACTACCTTCTTCTACTACCCATTCTGTATTCCCTTTGCAAGCACCTTAGGAAGTCATGGATTTTTTCCTGGTGGAGTGACAGAAATCCTCATTCCTGAGAGGTCTGGCCCATTTGTAGTCCTGCCTGGATTGGGCTATTGTAGTTTCCCATTGACCTTAATCACAAGGCATGGTAATACTAACAGATGCCTTAGTGAATCTCCTGTATTCCATGTATACTCTTCCTTACTTCCATTGTGGAGTAGTAGACTGATTTCATCTTGATAGTCCAGGTCAATCACCCCAGACAACACTGTAACTCCCTTCTTAGCCTGTTGACTTAAAGGTAGGAGGAGCCCAAAGTGTCCAGGTGGCAATCATAACTTCCAGTTTAATGGAATCATTGTGTCTCCTGGTGGCAGCATCCCTCCCTCTGGAACTAAGACCTCTAGGCCAGCAGAATGTAATGTTGTGGGAACAGGAAGCAAAAAATTTTGCTAGTGGATCACTGGGGGTGATGGTGAGTGGTGAGTGGTGCTACTTCCACTTCCACTCCTTGATTTCTGGACCTGTGAATCCTGGCTATGGGAGAAACAGTAGCATATATTGGATGCTGACTCAGAGCATACATGGCCTTCTGGAGAACTTGCCTCACCCTGCAAAGTATTGTCACCTAGTCAATGTTGTAATTGTGGCTTCAAAAGGCCATTCCACCGTTCTATCAATCCAGCTGCTTCAGGATGATGGGGAACGTGGTAAGACCAGTAAATTCCATGAGCATGAGCCCATTGCCACACTTCTTTAGCTGTAAAGTGAATGCTTTGGTCAGAGGCAACGCTGTGTGGAATACCATGACGGTGGATAAGGCATTCCATGAGCCCACGGACAGTAGTCTTGGCAGAGGCACTGTGTGAAGGATAGGCTAACCCATATCCAGATTAATTGTCTATTCCAGTGAGGACAAACCTCTGCCCTTTCCATGATGAAAGAAGTCCAATATAATCAACCTGCCACTAGGTAGCTGGCTAATCACCCAGAGGAATTGTGCCATATTGAGGGCTCAGTGCTGGTCTCTGCTGCTGGCAAATTGGGCACTCAGCAGCAGCCATAGCCAGGTCAGCCTTAGTGAGTGGAAGTCCATGTTGCTGAGCCCACGTGCAACTTCCATTCCTGCCTCCATGGCCACTTTGTTCATGATCCCATTGGGTGATGACAGGGTAGCTGGGGAAAGAGGCTGAGTGGTGTCCACAGAATGGGTCATCCTATCCACTTGATATCCTCCTCTGCTGATGTCACCCATTGGTGAGCATCCACATGGGATGCAAATATCTTCACGATTTTTGACCACTCAGAGAGGTCCATCCACATACCTTTTCCCCAAATTTCTTTGTCACCAATTTTCCAATTATCCTTCTTCCAAGTCCCTGACCATCCAGCCAAACCATTGGCTACAGCTCATGAATCAGTATATAATCGCATATCTGGCCATTTCTCCTTCCATGCCAAGTGCACAACCAGGTGCACTGCTCAAAGTTCTGCCCACTGGGAAGATTTCCCTTCAACGCTTTCCTTCAGGGATGTCCTAGAAAGGGGCTGTAGTGCTGCAGCTGTCCACTTTTGGATGGTGGCTGCATATTGTGCAGAACCAGCCATCTGTGAACCAGGCCCTAGTCTTCTCTTCCTGTTGACTGATCATAGGGAACTCCCCATGAGGCCATCAGTGCAGGCTGGGGGAGAGAAGGCAAGGTGGCAGCAGTGGAGACTAGGGGCATTTGAGCCACTTCCTCATGTAAGCTACTTGTGCCTTCAGGACCTGCTCAAGCCCAATCGCATATATACCATTTCCATTTGATGATGGAATGCTGCTGTGCGTGACCCACTTTATGGCTAGATGGGTGAGAAAGCACCCAGTTTATGATAGGCAATTCAGGTGCCATGGTGACTTGATGAACGAAAGTCAAACGTTCAGTTGCTACCAAACCCCAGTAACAGGCCAAGAGTTGTCTCTCAAAAGGAGAGTAGTTATCTGCAGAAGATGCCAGGGACTTGCTTCACAATCCTAGAGGCCTCTGCTGTGATTCAACTATGAGGGCCTGCCAAAGGCTCCAAACAGCATCGCTATCTGCCACTGACATAGCAAGCACTATTGGAAAAGCACAGAAGCCTGGACCTGTTGCAGAGGTTCCTCCTGTTCTGGACCCCACTAAACTGGCAGCCTTTCAGGTCACTCAATAAATGGGCCGAAGTAACACACCCAAATGAGAAATGTGTTGCCTCCAAAATTGAAATAGGCCCACTAGGTGTAGTGACTCTTTCTTGGTTGTAGGAGGGGCCAAATGTAGCAACTTATCCTTCACCTTAGAAGGAATGTCTCAACAGGCCCCACACCACTGGACCCCTAGAAGTCTTACTGAGGTAGAAGGTCCCTGAATTTTAGTCGGATTTATTTTCCATCCTGTGGCACACAAATGTCTCGCCAGTAAGTACAATGTGTTTGCTACTTCTTGCTCACTGGATCCAATCAGCATAATGTCATCAATGTAAAGGACCAGTGTGATATCTTGCAGAAGCAAAAAGCAATCAAGTTCTCTCCAAATAAAATTATGACACAAAGACAGAGAGTTGATATACCCCTGAAATAGGACAGTAAATGTATATTCCTGGCCTTGCCAGCTGAAAGCAAATTGTTTCTGGTGGGCCTTGTGGACAGGAATGGAGAAAAAGACATTTTCCAATTTAATGGCTGCATACCAGGTACCAGGAGATATGTTAATTTGCTTAAGCAATGAAACCACATCTGAGACAGCAGCTGCAATTAGAGTCACCACTTGGTTAACCTTATGATAATCCACTGTCATTCTCCAAGATCCATCTGTCTTCTGCACAGGACAAATGGGAGAGTTTAACAGGGATGTGGTGGGAATCACCACCCATACGTCTTTCAAGTCCTTGATGGTTGCACTAATCTCCACAATCCCTCCAGGGATGCAATATTGTTTTTGATTTACCATTTTTCTAGGTAGAGGCAGCTGTAATGGCTTCCATTTGGCCTTTCCCACCATAAAAGCCCTCACCAGTCAGGGAGCCAATGTGGTGGTTCCACCAGCTGCTAAGTATGTCTATGCCAACTATACATTCTGGCACTGGGGAAATGACCGCAAGATGAGTTCAGGGACCCACTGGACCCAATGTAAGTTGGATCTGAGCTAAAACTCTATTAATTACTTGACCTTCATAAGCCCCTACTTTAACTGGAGGAGGACAATGACGTTTTGGGTCCCCTGGAATCAACGTGAGCTTACAGCCAGCGTCCAGCAGTACCGGAAATGTCTCATTTCCCTTTCCCCAGTGCACAGTTACCCTGGTAAAAGGCTGGAAGTGTCCTTGCAGAAGGATGGGAGAAAGATTCACTGCATAAATTGTCGGTAATGTAGTGGGGTTCTTTCTCAAGGGGACCCAGGGTCCCCTTTATTCAAGGGTTTCTGGGTCTGTAAACTGGCACAAGTCTGGAAATTGATTGAGGGGCCATGATCCTCAGTTTTTATAATTTAGTCTTTTGTCCATTCGACCTCGAGTTTTTCTGCTTGTATAAATTAACTAGGAATGCAGTAGGCTTCCTATCAATTTCACTTCTAAGGAGTCCATGATTAATTCGCCAATGCCAGAGCTCTACATGAGTCAGACTGTTCTGATTGCTGCTTTGCCTCTGCTGTCCATTATGTTAGCTATGCCCACCTTGCCTTTGACAGTTGAGTGCCGCCACTTGGCCCCTGCCACCTCGGGATCCAATTATTCCCATTGTATTTAACTTCTGTAGTCAAGTGACTGCAGTTCCCACTGTTAGATCTGACACACAGAGAAGAGCAATTACAGGACTCTTCAAAGATGCAGGTGCTGCCCTCACAAATCTATTTTGCAAGGCATTGGTTAAGGGTATATCTTCTGGACCCTCCCAGCTGGGATGAGTATGTCTAAAGTGACTAATCCACCCCACCATCCCAATCTCCCTAAGCCTTTGGATCCCTTCCTCTACATTAAACCAAGGGAGATCAGGCATTTCTAGCTCACTCACAGTGGGCAATCTTTTAATCCACATTTCAGCTAACCAGCAAATAAACTATTAGAACCTTTTTTAACTCCTTGAGCTGCAATATTAAAAGCAGAGTCCCTACTTAGTGGGTCCAAATCAATAAATTCAGCCTGATCCAACTCTGTGTTCCTTCCACCATTATCCCACACCCTTAATGTTCATTCCCATGCCTATTCTCCAGATTTCTGTTTATATAAATTAGATAACTCAAATAGTTCTTTTTGAGTGTAGCACACTTCCTCATGGGTCACAGTCTCAATCTCATCTCCAGGGGCCAGCCAGGACTTCAGTCTAGCTATAGTTGTAGAAGCAAACAGGGGTGTTGGGGGTTTCTCCTGAGAAGAATCAACATTATTTTGTCTGGCAACTGCCTCAGGGGAGGTCATCACTGCTGCCTCAGGCAGTGCAGGGTTTATCTCCTCAGACAAAGGTGGAAAGGCTGATGGCAGCATAGGATAGGGAGGGGATATTGTCTCCACTAGAGATGGGAAAGCTGCTCCTTCTGGCAAAAAAGTTTCATCAGAGTTTACAAACTCAGTGTCCCCAGTTTCATCAGGGCCCTCCCACATGTCCCCATTCCAAGTTTCAGGGTCCCATTCTTTTCCAATCAATGCCCTCACTTTAACAGTAGACACCTGTTGAGGCTGTGCATACATCTTTCATTGCAGATCAGCCACTCGCAGAGCTTGTGTCTGTTTTTCCACAATTTCAGCTCTTTCTCTAAAGGAAATAAGACTCTGACTCAGGGCAATCTTAGCAGATTTGAGGCTCAGTATCTGCTTCTGAAGCTGGGAGACAGAGCCCCTGAGTTCATCATTTTCTTTCATCAGTTTGTCCACTGAACTTAGGAACAACCAACCAGGTTCATTATGTTTTCCACATATGGTCAAAAGTATTATGTAGAGAGTCACTAAACTCCTTGCCTCTCAGGAGCAGTGAGTCAGGAATGTCAAATGCATTTATTTTTCATAACTCTCTAAATAGTTCATGCCAAGGACTATCAGTGTTCTTCATACTATTAGAAGTAGAGTCCTTAGCATTGTTGGATCTAATCATATTAAGCAGCCAAATGCAGAAACCCCAAGACCAATGAAATAATTCCATCCTTAATATTCTATTCCTCTAGAACCACTCCTGGTATGAAAATCTGTATTAGTCAGGGTTCTCTAGAGGGACAGAACTAATAGGATATATACATATATATATATATATATATATATATATAGGAGTTTTTAAATATTAACTTACATGGTCATGAGGTCCCACAATAGGCTGTTTGCAAGCTGATGAGCAAGGAGAGCCAGTTCAAGTCCCAAAACTGAAAAACTTGGAGGCCAATGTTCAAGGGCAGGAAGTATCCAGCACGGGAGAAAGATGTAGGCTGGGAGACTAGGCCAGTCTGGACTTTCCACGTTTTTGTGCCTTCTTTATATTCCCTGATTAGATTGTGCCCAACAGATTAAGGGTGGATCTGCCTTCCCCAGCCCACTGGCTCAAATGTTAATCTGTTTTGGCAACACCCTAACAGACAAGCCCAAGATCAATACTTTGTATCCTTCAATCCAATTGAGTTGACACTCAGTATTAACCATCACAACATCCTTCTTTGGGGACCTCTAAAATTTACTAATCCTTTATCTGAATCCACACTCCTTTATCTGAAACTTTTGGGACCAGATATGTTTTGGAACTCAGAATTTTTCAAATCTTAGGGGAAAAAAAAAACCTCACAAAACATACTAAATGAGGTTTGGGACAGCACCCTGTAATAATCACATTATGTTAAGTCTGCAGTGAAATCGAGAATATTTCAAGAAATGAACTGGAGAATATAAATAGTCTCACATTTGGTCAGATGCAGTTTTGCCACCCAATGGGCTGTAGGGGCTGAGGGCCCTGTGAAGGTTCACTGAAAAAACCACTGACATGAGGCAGATTAATAGGAGTAAAGGCATAGAAATGTATTTAACATGTATACATGGGAACCTTCAGAATGAAGACCAAAGATACACGGAAAATTCTCCATTTTTATGCTTAAATTCTACAATGTATGGACAGCCATGTAGAAACAATATTGGAGGAAAAGAGTATGATCTAATATTTAAAGACTGAGTGAGGAAACCCACAAGCCTATCTGTCTAGATTCTTCTTGGCCTCTCTGAGCATATATTTCTTCCTTCTATATATGGAACAAGATCTTCTCTGGAATGGGAGTCTTATAACCTACAGTCAAACAAGGTAGGTCAGATAGTTTCTTTAAGGCCAGTTTTTACACAGATAGGGAAGAGGGAAAGTTAGAGTAATACTTTTAGGTTTTTTGGCTGGCTTTGGGGAAAAGTGGTTCTGGTTTTTATGATACACTTTTGGGAAGAGGGTTTCTAGTTTATATGGCTAGACTTGGGAGAAAATGGGCCTGAGAGACAGGACGGGAGGAAAAGGTCAGAGAAAAACATTTTATTCTGAGGCTGCTGCTGAGCCCTTCATTTTGGGGTATGTTTTCTGAGCCCCAATAGGGCATTCATTTCAGTCTTAAGTGTCTTCAGGACTTAGAAATCCCAGATAACAGAATGTGAATATGCATACTGAAAATATCTTTGAATTATCTGCAGTCAAAGTTTGCTTTCCTTTCTCCCCCACTGCCCTGTAGACAAGTCCTCAGCAGGGGAATTGCTTTCACCTCAGAAGCAGCAGACAAATGTACTCTGTTTACAAGTTTAATAAAGGAAAAAGTAAAACATAAAAACTAAAATCACATTTCTTTGTCCCATTTTGACAATTCTGTGTCTTCTGTCTTCTTGGGATTAATTACCCATCTCCCACCCTTGTTTCAGCTTCCTACATGTGTCACAGGCTTAGTCAAGCTTTTCTTGCTTTAATGAAGAGAAAAAACAAACAAACAAAAAGCCAGGTCACTCTATTTTCCAGAAATTAAACCTTCATTGGAGACTCTTTTATTTTCCCAATCATTAAAATAATTACTTATGCACTAATTTTGTTTTTCTTTTTTTGGTTTTTGACCTCCTATGTTAAAATTGGTAGGCCAAATGAATATTGCAATTTGAGTAATTTAAAAATCTTTGAGTCTTGCCTTCTTTATAGATAAAATTAATTTAGAAATAGCATTTTTGAAACCAGACATTCTTTCTAAACTAAGAATTCCAGATGTTTTTAGTCGCTGCCTATGACATTTCCACAATCAGAATAAATTGTGTTTCCAGAGTAATGTAATAGATAGAAGTGCTGAATAAATCTCATGCAGTTGAGATGACAAAATTAACATGCTGATGACATTTTAATGTTTCAATATAATCAAGGGGGCATGGATCATGCCTCCACTAGTTCTAATATAATTCTATTCTCGAATCTTTTTCAAAACAAAATAAAATATAGATTTCAGAAAGTATATAAGCACAGTGTGCTACAGTCTTCAGGCAAGCTGTTTAGGATGCATCTGAAATGCTATTTAGGTTCAGCTTTGCCAGTAGTTATTTTACCAAAGCAAATGAGTTATATATATAAAAATCCTGGGTTAAGGGCAGATATTTTGTTAGTTTTATTCTCAAGGCTGCTGTCGGTGCTTCTGCTACAATTACTATTTTATATTTAGGCAGATAGTTTGCTAATTGAAATAGAGAAAATAGTCTATTTTGATTGGATACAGTGAACAGCTGCTATTCACCTATTCTCACAACAACAACAACAAAATGCAAACAAATAAATAAACTTCTTGGGCTCAAAATGAGAAAAAAAGAAAGACAAATAGCTGATAATAGCTATTTGAAATCTTAAAGTCAAATTTATCCCTGGAAAAAAACCAAACAAACATAGCTTGACTACACATGTAGGTTGAAAAGCTGTGTTGCGTGTTGACAAAGTTGTATCCCATTTTCTCAGTGGCATTGGAGAGAAGAATGAAGACAAAGAGATGGAAGAATGGCAATATCTTTTTCCTCATCTGCCCACAGAAAGGGTGGTGATGATAGGCTAGATGGGGACAAGAAGCAATGATGGTTTTGCCAGAACTCAGGTGTAGACAGAAATGAGTGACATAAGATATGTGATTTCTTGGGCACTCATTGAGCTCACTGTAAAACAGTGACAGAATAAATGCTTATTGCTAAACAGCACTTTTCAAGCATATACTTGAATGTAAACCTCAAGATTTTCCTTGAGAAAATTTTCCTGAAGAAAAGTCTCATTCAGAAACATAATATAAATATATTAAACTTATAAGAGAAGACCCCCCTGAGTGGAGCTGGGCCAAATGGCTGGCCCTGCTGTGCCTTTCTAGAGTACAATATTAAATCTACTGTTGCAGATTCACCAAAACACGGGACAGACACATTTTTTTCCCCCAAAATTATTTTCCCAACATATTCCTTTCTTTCAGTCACTGCTGACAAACTGATCTTTCTAAAACATAGTCTTGAATACACAGTATCTTGCAATGGATTATGTATTATCCCAGCTTTCTCACCTCCACATCCATTGCAGAGGATACCCAGCCAGGCCACTAGTGCTTCTGCTTACCTCTCTAGTTCCCATGTGCTCTCTGTGTCGGAGTAGATGCTTTAGCTACAATGAAAGGAAACCCTATTCAGGGTGGCTTCAGTAATGAGCAAACTGTTCCCAGCTTACAGTTAGAGCAAGTCAAAGCAGAGAAGGAAGAATGGCTTGAAGATAACATCAAGGGGCTTAATTCTCTCATCTCTCTGTTCCATCAACCTATGGCTGTTTCTTCTGGTGTTCTAAAGATGGCTGACAAAGAGAACTGTGGCTTCTCTTGCTCAGCTCTACCAAGAGAGGAGAGGGTTGGAAAGGAGAGGGGAGCAGCGGGGAGGTGCGGGAAGGAAATTGAGGAGAGACAGAGAGCCAAGAAAGAGGGATACAGCCAGTCTATAATCCTGGAAAATAAGTCCTCATTGGCCCAATCACAGAACCATCAACAATTGGCAAGAGAAGACCAAAAGTCAGCTAGCAGAGGAGAGGAAAGGAACATTCTGTGAGTGCATCCATGATTCCAACTCTACCAAAGTTTGTCCCACAACCCCCCATCTGGTGATCTGTTAGCATAATCCACACTCAACTGCCAAAAGTAAGTATTCAGAGGCTGAACACTGAACCTGAACAGCAGCTCTGGCAGCAGAGTCTGGATGTTTTGTTTGTTTGTTTGTCTTAGGTAGGGGGCTTTTTTTGAGAGTATGTTGAATGTTGTTCAAAAGAATGTGTTTTAATGTCATACCCAAGAGATGCAAGTATGCAATATATCAATGTGTTTATTTCTCCCTCTCTTCTTGGAAACCTTGAAAGAAAGAGTGTACTGATACTTTGAATTTTGATCCTTCCGGAATAGGCTGAGGAATCTCTAGAAAGTAGAATTGTTTTACACTAAAATACTAGCCCACATCCAGGACATCACACGTACAATCAAAACACTCCAAGTTGTCAGTTGCTTTAGCAGATTGATGGCTCTAAAGACCTCCCATACACTAAAAACCTGAAGTTCCCTGATAGAGGTTTAGTTAAGAGATGTCTTCCTTCCCATCTTGCTTATTGAATTTGAAAACTTCTTAGCTTTTTCTGTCAGGGAAGCTACAGAAAAGAGAATTGTTATAGGAATGAGTTAAAAGAAAAGAGTGAAAAAAGATAAATGTAAATGAACTTTTTCAGCTCGAAACACTGGCAAAGACTAAATATACTTTCACTGAAAGACTGTAAGGGAGGATTTTTTAAATAAGATTTCTAGCCTCGGAATATTTCTAACCACAATATAACACTGTTACAGTAGACTAATACTTTTCTTTCAGTAAGAGAAAAGAAATAATTCAAAGCTTTCCAAGTTTGTTTACACAGTAATGATAAAACTGTTCATCATTTTTTCATTAAAAAGTGAATTACCAGTGCATTCTGCTATTAGGGTCAATTCAAGTCGAATTTGTGAAGAAGATAGAATTTCTTATGGTCACTGTCATTGTTTTAGACACCTCCAAATATAGTACCAAATCATCCAAGAACCTCACTGCAGAAAATCATAGAGATCTCAAGACTTTCTCAAACTCCTTCAATAAAATGAAACTTTGTGTGTTTGTGTGTGTGCAAGCTTTCTTCTGGGTGACTATATTTGTTTAGAGATTACACTCAATTATAAATATATTATTAAATAACAATTTCTAAAACTATTATCATAAGACTTGGGTAATACATTGTCTTTCTGATAAAATGTCTTAATTAAGACAAAATATAGAATTTCTCGAATGGTCCTCCAACATAACTTTTACAATGGACATTTTAGAAAACTTCTAGTAAGGAAGTAGAAAAAATTCTTTGGTAGGCATATTCCTATACGTTTCCTACATATTAATCCAGTTTACTGAAGATTCCAAGATTGTCATTCTTAATTCATTTTTATATTTGTTACCCAAATAGCTGTTTTGAATATTCAAAAGAGTTCTAGATTTGGGGTCTCTTTAGTCTCATACTGGGTGCAAGATTTTGGCCAAATTATTTAAACTTTTAAATTTCACATTTCCTCTGTAAATGGAATTACTGACCCCAGGTGTGTCTTACTTTATGGATAATGTAAGAGAGCACAGGGAGCAAATTCAAATACAAACATACCTATAGGGGCTAAGCAGTGACCAGTACATGTAAAGAAGTTTGAGTCAGAGTAGCATTAAGGAAAGAGATGTTAGACACAAATTAGGATATTTTGAGAAAGAGTTCATGTGGTAGCCATCCTCCGAGGTTGCCTTTAATGATCTTTACCTGGTGGTATTCATATCCTTGTATATTCACCTCCTATATTGACCAGGGTTGTCCAGTGAAGCCAGTAGGATCCTGTGGATATGACACTGTAACTTTTGAGGCTAGATCATAAATGACATCATGTCTTCTATCTTGCCCTCTCTTAGGTCACTCACTTTGGGGAAACCAACTGCCATGTTGTAAGAATACTCAGACTAGCCTATGGAGAGTTCCATGTGGCAAGGGCTAAGCCCTCCCAACAACAGGCAGCATGAACTTGCCGGCTGTGTGAGTAAGCCAACCTGCAAGCAGATCCTCCAGCTCTAATCAAGTCTTCAGATGACTACAGTTGCTGCCAACATCTTGACTGCTACCTCATGAGATACCCTGAGCCAGGACTACCTGTCAAGAACTCTGGAGGGTCTATGATTTTACTGTAATTGCCAGCTAATATGTTAGCCTGCCCTATATTTATGGATTATAGCAGAAGACACAAGATTCCTGGGTCAGAGCCAAATAAGTTTTTATTCACAGCAGTAACAATAGCCAGAGAGTTAGCATGTTCTCACACATGTTCAAATCCCACTTCCCATAGGCACCACAGAGGACCAGGTGACACCTCGTACAATGAATTGCATTATAAGAGAGGAATCTTGAGCCTAGGAAACCTAAATATTTTATACTGGACAGTAAAGATGGCTATCCTTGGTTCAGGTAAGAGATCTTATAGCTATCTTCCAAGGCAGATCACTATACAAATATCTTTGAAAAGATAGCCTTGAATAAAGGTCATCAGTGTCTTGGTTCTCAATACATGTAGAAATGTGAGGGATTCATGGAGAGTCCTCTCTCAACCTTACACAGCTAAGCCACTCCTAAATTCCTGACCCACAGAAAATTGTGAGATAATTGTTCATCTGTTTTGAACTCAGAAGTTTTAAGGTAATTTGTTACATAGTAATAGATAACTAATATGGTTTATCTACAAAAAAAGAAAAAACTAAGTATTAATAGAAAACAGTAATTATTAAATAATGGCTAATTGGTAAGGAGTATGCAGTGAACCTCGGACTAGCAGCAGTAGCAGTACTAGCACATGGAGGACTGAAGAGATTAGGGGAGGAAAAGTTTACTGAAAACAGGAAGGAGCAAGAATCACATAGAAGAAGCCACCACTTGAGATGAGGCAATCTTCAGTTAAGGCTGGTGATTTCACATGGGGTTCATCCAGGAAAATAAATATCCTAACTACTCTTCATTGCTTTTTACTTCTCCACTGGCTGAAAGCAAATGGAAATCAAAAGAATGGAAGCTTTGTTGATGTCATTCATGCAGATACACTTCCCAGGTAGAGAAGGACGGAAAGTGAATGTAGGGAAGCAAATAGGGAATATCTGTCACAACCTGGCAAATAAAAGAGCTCATGCATGCCTCTTCTAAAAGAAACAGTTTCTACTCAGAAGTAAATGATTATATTGCTATTGGGTTATTTAGCTGGAAATACAGAAATTGGAGAGGCATCAAAGTAGGGGGTGGGAGAGGGCCTTAAACAAAAGGGAGAAATAAATTACTTACTGCATGGAGACTCCTTCCTCAAGGGTCATCAGTAGAAGGCATTACTGACTGAACTCATTTCATTCAAGCCCAACAATGCTTCCCATGGCCAGGTATTCTTCCCAAGTGTCAATGTCAAATGTGGAGACATTTGATTCTCTGAACCCAAATTTCTGACCGTTTCAAACCACTGTGCCTAGCCGAGACTTGTAGGTAATTGAAATTCATTTGCATATTGTGATTGGATTCTGGATCCCAAAACTCAGCTTGAGATAGAGGAAAAAGTACTTTGCCAATTATCACATAGAAAGCAAAATAAAGTGGGACACTATGAACCCTTTTTATAAAAAGACGATTTATCAATTTGAAAGCCTTTATAAGTAATCAAAAATCTCATGATTTCTAGCAATTCAACCATACTGGATTTTTACATAGAGTTTGACTCTAACCTAGATTTAATTTCCATCCATCATTTACACTCAGGGCCAGACATAGAGAAACAGATTTTGATATATTTACTAAAACTTAAATACAAAGCAGATATCACAAACTTCTCTATGAAACAAATATACTGTATTATCATTTGGAACAAAAGTTTCAGGGAAAAAAACTACTTCCGTCTTTTTTTTTCTTTTGAGACGGAGTCTTCGTCTGCCCCCAGGCTGGAGTGCAGTGGAACGATCTCAGCTCACTGCAGTGCAGTGGTGCAATCTCGGCTCACTGCAACCTCCGCCTCCCGAGTTCAAGCGATTCTCCTGCCTCAGCCTCCCGAGTAGCTGAGACTACAGGCACCCACCACCACACTCGGCTAATCTTTTTTTGTATTTTTAGTAGAGTCGAGGTTTCACCATGTTGGCCAGGATGGTCCGGATGTCCTGACCTTGTGATCCGCCCACCGTGGCCTCCCAAAGGGCTGGGATTACAGGTGTGAGCCACTGTGCCCAGCCACTTCTATCTTTTTCAGAAGTTAAAACAATACGAAATTTTATCTATAAAAAGGTGATAATACTTTTAATGTAAAAATGGGGTTCAACCTATCATTAAAGCATTAGCACATTTAGATAATATTACTTAAGGAGATATTAACTAACAATTCATAGAATAAATGATTAATGTATTAAGAGTCAAATAATTATAAAAAGGGAAAGATAATAATTTCAATTAACTAAGCTCTTGGTTAGACTATATGTTGTTATAGACTTTCTAGAATGCCCGTTGGGAGTAAACAGCAAGAAATTTTTAAGAGTTCACTTAATTTTATGTCAGAATTTCAATTTTAAAGACATAATCTGAGATTTGAGAAGAGAACTGTACATAGAAAAATGAACCTCAAAGAACTATTTTACATTACCAAAAGTATTTGGAAACATCTCCAGGCTTAGCTACAAATTAATATATCCAAATCTCATGTCATAATTTTGAATGTTAATTGGCTATTAAATGAGAATCAAATAGATTTTTATAATTTTGAAGTGTTCTCACAATATGATAAAAGCAAAACAGACAATATTATAGACAGTGTGATTGCAAGCATATTAAATATTCATGTATATGTGACTAAAAGTAAATATGCTATAATGTAAATATTAATTGAGGATATATTTGCATGGAGGGATTATAAATGATATTTTATTATTTATAGTTGCTATATTTCCCAATCTTTCTAGTAAATATGAACACCATTAGCTTTTAAAATGTTCTTTATCCTTATTTTAAAAGTCCAAATGAGCAAATATTGGCCAACTGAACAACATAAATGCACACTAAAATACCTTTTATCTACTGTCAAAACAACATTCTCCTAACCTTCCATTAATAAGGGGGCTTATAATATAAATTACTGAGTACTTTTTTATGACTCTAGTACCAAAAGTCATCAATCCTATCTGTAGCTTTTCACAACACACAATAGAATATATATATTGAATTCAAGCCAAGTGATTACTAACTGGTGTTTTAGAGTGAGAATTCACGCCAAGTGACTGCTAACTGATATTTCAGAGTAAAAATTCTGGGAATTCAGAGTGATAGCTTCACTACTTGTTCTTTTTCACCCCATGAGCACATTGGTGTTTAAAGTCCTAAGTATAAATTGAGGATATGTAATCACACAAAAGTATGTGGGCACAGCACTGTGTCTTTACTGTCCTTGGGGGGAAAAAGACAATAGAGAAATATGTTTGTGCTATAACCATTCTTCTCTACATCTCTTGTTTTGCTGATAAAATGAAAGTGGAAGGATATTTTCATTTAATTTCAGACACATAATGAAACGTGAAGGTTTCAGATTCCTTCACTTTATTGGTGTTTAATAACTTTAATTTTTATAGATCTCAAACACTGCTTATAGTAAACTTTTCATGTCATTCTACAATAACTATTTGAAAGTGTTCATTTCAATTATCTAGGGGATATTTCCTGTTCTGTTTATTTTATCTACTAACTAATACCACAAGGCACAGTTTGGTCATCTCTTGCCTGAATTGTTTCAGTAGGCTCTTACTGTTACCATGGTCTCATTCCCTCCTCTCTTTCATCCATTTGCCTCATTGACTTCAAAGTTACCTACAGAAAAACAAATGTAAACAAAAATAAAACATAAGTTATGTACTTCATAATTCCTTAGCACACATTCACAATCTGACCTTCTTTCCTTTACCTGTGTGTGCATGTATATTCATACCATCACAAATTTACTTCTTCTCTTCTTTCATATTCCACCTGGAATCTCATGAACTCTGACTGTATCTTCAGTGTTGTACTTATTTAATAGTTCATTCTGCCATTTTATTCCTTCCTTATTCTGTTTTGTCCCTTAGATTGCAGATAGTTGAGGTACATTTTCTTCAGTTCTCTAAATCTGCAGGATTTTCCCCAGTGATTTCATTACCTGTTGGATGAACAAAAGGCCTACCAAACTCAAAATTTTACTTCAAATATATATATTGATCATTGCCTCTGTGATGTTTCATTTGTCTGAAACCTTGGTTCCAGGAGAGTTAGTTACTTCTTCATTGTTATATACCAATGTGGTATATATGAGGCTCTCATCTTTTCCCATAATCTCGTTGCTCCATCAACTCCTTCAGAGACTATCTAATTATGACTTTATGAAAAAAGACTAGTTCTTGGATATTTTCAAAATAATTTTGATGTACCAGTTTTTTTAAAAAGTTAATTGAAAAATAATTAGTTTTTTCATAACTTTATCTTTTTAAAAAAATTTTTATTTCCATAGGTTTTGGGGGAACAGGTGGTTTTCGGTTACATAAGTAAGTTCTTTAGTGGTGATTTGTGAGATTTTAGTGCACCCGTCACCTAAGCATTATACACAGAACCCAGTTTGTAGTCTTTTATCTCTCATCTCCCTCCCACCCTTTCCCCTGAGTCTTCTTTCTCCCAGTAAATAATTATGGTACAACTCCAATGTTCCAAGCATTCCTCTAGGTACCAGAGGTATAGCAATGACCATGTCAGACACAGTCTTTGCCATGATGGATTTCTCAGGTTAGCAGCAAAAGCAGACATGATAGAAAGATTTACAGAAAGAATTCTGTAATTGGAATTCTTGGAATTGTAGTAAGTGCTAAGAAAAAAATGCATTCTTTCTGGTAAGGTTTATTTGGAAAACCTACCAATTCTGGGTAGTTAGAAGAGGCATTCAAAAGAAGCTCATATTTAAACTGAGATTTGTGAAATTAGCAACAATTGACACAATAAAAATTAAGCAGGAATTATTCTACCTAGAAAGAACACCATATGCAAAGGCCCTGAGCTTGGATACGACATGAAGTAACTGAACGCCAATGTGTCTAGAGTACAAAAACGGAAAAGAATTTATCCAAGAAACATAGGTTACAATATTTCCCTGATAGTTCCTCAATTACTTATGTTGATGAGGAAGAATCGATTAAGTAAGACAACAATAGCTGTGGCTTGGTGAATACTTTGCAGCCAACTTCTACTTCCACAAAGTGACAAATGAGAACAGAGACTTCAGATAGGATACCTCTGCACTGTCACATTTTTTATCAACCCTGTGCAAAATCATTGAACTAGAAGTGGGTGAGAGTGGCTTTCAAATAAAATACATTCATCTTGATTCAGAAAACCTTATTACTAGACTCTTTATAAGGAGCCTATAGCAATATAAGTGAAGTCCCCCCTTTTTTTTTTTTTGAGATGGAGTCTTGTTCTGTCTCCCAGGCTGGAGTGCAGTGGCGCGATCTCAGCTTACTGCAACCTCTGCCTCCCGGGCCGGGTTCAAGCGATTCTGCTGCCTCAGCCTCCCGAGTAGCTGGAATTACAGGCTCATGCCAGTACACCAGGCTAATATTTGTATTTTTAGTAGACATGGGGTTTCACCATGTTGGCCAAGCTGGTTTCGAACTCCTGACCTCAGGTGATCGCCTGCTTCGGCCTCCCAAAGTGCTGGGATTACAGACGTGAGCCACCGCCCTCAGCCGTAAAGTCCCTTACATGAACATTTAAGTTATTTTGATTAGAAATAGAAACAGTAGAAGGAAGAAACACAAAAATCAGGGAATTATGAGATGCAGAATTATAAGAGATAGAGAAGAAACAGTGACAAAATAAAAAAATTCAAGGAAGGATTCCAGCCACTATGGGAATAAGATTGTTATTCAAACTAAATTAAAAAAATTTTTTTTCAATATGCTTCCTAGTGAGCATTTAATTCTTTTACCTTATTTACAAATTCCAGAGTTGTTTATAATAATTTTTTAAAAACTTTATAAGTATATTAATGAGTTTTGCAAAATATTGTGTGAAGGAAAAGGCCTTTAGAAACATAACAGAAAAGTGTCAGTCATCAAAGAATCTCACCAATACAGAATGCTTTGTTAATATGAGTGATCCAAAGGCAAACAGAAGACACTTTGTTTTACATATAGGAAGGATGCTTTTTGAAAGATATGGCTGTTTTTCAATTGAAGAACCCTCTGGTTTACAATTTTCCACTTAGAAATCTTTACCAAAAAAATTTTACCATATTGCATTTAACATGTTCAAAGATTGTTTTGATCTTTTTTTTTTTTTTTTAAGATGGAGTCTTGCTCTGTCACCTAGACTGAAGTGCAGTGGCATGATCTCAGCTCACTGCAACCTCCGTCTCCCAGGTTCAAGTGATTCTCCTGTCTCAGCCTCCCCAGTAGATGGGATTACAGGCTCACGCCACCATGCCTGGCTAATTTTTTGTATTTTAGTAGAGATGGGGTTTCACCGTTTTGCCCAGGCTGGTCTCCAACTCGTGAGCTTAGGCAATCCTCCCGCTTCAGCCTCCCAAAGTGCTGCAATTACAGGAGTGAGCCACCACGCCCTGCCTTGATCTTTTCTTTTAAAGTCAGAATATTTTGTTTTTTTTAAGGAGAAGAAATCTATTTAAGATGAAGTAATACTGGCTCTCTATTAAAAAGCATTTTGCTAACACTGCAGATAAAATTATTCTACCAACATTGTCTTTAAAATGTTTACAGCAATATTTAATATATGTATTTTGAGGTTTCATAAAAATTGCAGATTAGTGAAAATTCAAATTGAAAGTGATAACCAGCATCCTTCTCTAGGGCAGAGAGGTCTGAAAGAGGACAGAGACATTCAGCTCTGGAGGTGGGCCTCCTGGGATTTCCTTAGCTCACAGGCAACTCCAGGCAAATTTAAATAAATTGGGGTTTAGACACCCAGATAAATGGCCAGATTACTGCTAATTAGTGGACTATGCAAAGAGCAACCAACAATATGGTTATGTGATCTTTGTTCACCTCTCTTTTTCTAAGACCTTGCGTACATTCCTGGGCAGAAAAAACAGATGCAGAGGATAGGCCATGGAAATTCAGGCTTGTTGAAGAGAGAGAAGAGAAGAAGAAAGGGAAAGTGAAAAGAGAAAAAAGAAGGAATAGAAAGAAGGAGTGGTGGGATGAATAAATTATGGCTGGAAGGACAATGATGAAATATAGCCATGAGGAAGATAGGAAAATGAAGAGAGGAAAGTGTATGGAAATGAAATATAGCTGTTGAATCAGAAGTTCAATTAAATATATTTCAATGAATAGTCTCCTATTGTCTTCTAGCTCTGAATTAGTCAAATCCACAGTAATTTGACTAATGGAATAAGGTAGAAAAGCGGTTTGGTAAAGTTTTGTACATTTTTAACATAACATTACTTCTGGAGGCAGCATGTAAGGGAAGCAACATGTTTATAATATTCAAAAATAATACAATTCAAATTTGCTTATATCATTTTAAAATACTCTATTTTCTCAAAAATTATGCTTGCACTAGGAATAGACAAAGTAATGTCATGTCTCCATACCTCTGCCTTCTAAGATTCTTTCTCCCTATGCTATCATCTATTGAGCCTATCATTTTAAAACATGTATATCTTAGGATCTGGCTGTCTCTTCCAATTACATTTTTAAAATATTTATTTAAGAATATATTTTTGTCTCAAGTGTTAATTATGGATTCTATATTTCTATGGAAATAATTGTTTCTGAGGTCTGTGACATAAATGAAATTCTTTTCTTTTTGAGTTGAAATGAATCAGCAGTTAGAGAAAAACAACCCAGGTTCAAACCACAAATGTAGACTTCAATTTCTCAATTTTTTTTTTTTTACTACACTCTGAGGCATGTCTCCCTGCTATGTATATTTAAAAGACAATGTGGGTTGTATTTTATTTCATTTCTAAAATTTCTAAGAAAACCTGAAACAATTTACAACTTGCTACATTATAATAAGTATGTGAGTCAAGTTCAGTATCCTCTTAGCTTCCACCCACCCTCATCAACTTCCAGATGCACATTCCACTTCCCAAGCTGCTCCACGGCCTCTATTATGTGTTCCCTATAATTTAATATCTATTGTACACTGGTTAGACACTGTTTGACACAAATATCTATACATAGTCTAGAGAAGAGACCACAAAATTCAGGGTCAAGCTGCTAATACTACTAAGTACTACTAATTACTTTGAATATAAAGGTCTTAATTCTGGATTCCAATTCATTGCCAAAATGAATTTATTCTGGGAACGACGTCTCAAAGATATTTGAATAGCATTGCAGTTATGTGAACTGCCCTGAAGTCCACTGGAGTCACATATTTTTAATTTATTTCTCAAAAATATAAATGTAAAATTCAATATGCTGATGTGTTTAAATAAATAAATAAATAAGTATACACATATACAATTCAATATACATTTAAAATCACTTCTGAAAAAGACATGATTTTGATGGTTGCAGAATACATTTTTCCTGCAACTTACACATATTCAATCATTATAAATAATTTTCATTCTAGGACAGAGTGTGCTTTGTCTTGTAACAGTTATTGCTAATTTTATTCCTCACATCCCATTCATTAAATATCATTTGTGGCATCAAACGCTAGGTATTTTAGGGAATGTAAAATAGGCTATTTTAATCTTTGAGAATTACATAAAGTAATAGGGCAAACAAGATATCTGGGAGCAATTTTGGCTATAATATGTATTCATCCAATTATATTTATTCAATTATGTCCATCTTTTATATGCTATAAGATACTGAGGACAGATACAGAGATAGGTAACATTTACTAAATGTTACTGTGAATGTGTGTCACATGAATTAGCCACCAAGTTCTCACAAATAAAAATAAGACAGGTACTAATTTATCTTTTTTTTTTTTTTTTTTTTTTTTTTTGCAGTTCAGGAAATGAGACACAAAGTGGTGAAGTTCCTGTGCCCAAGCCACATAGACAGTAAGTTGTGGCACTGGCAAAGTCTTTTCTAAAACTGACACCTTTAGCCATTGTATGTTGCTGTCCCTCAAATGCAAACAAAGGAGCAATCCCTTCCTTCACATTTAAAACCAAGCTGAGATGCCGTACCTGCAGATTTAACCACATTTATACATACTGGAGATAAGAAGAGAACAATTTCAGAGCAGTATAAAAACAACCCTATTAAAGAATGATATATAGTATAGATAGTCCATGGATTCCTTTAGAACTTGAAAACTCTTCTGGCAGTAAAAACTTGAATATAAGTGAAACATCTAAATGTGTAATTCAGGAGGACAAAACTCTCCTCAAAAATCCGATAAAGAAAGATTATGTCCAGGATGCTCCCTCAGATGACCAACAGAGCCAGCTGGGATTTGACCTGGCAGAGAAAAATTCTTGGGCTTAAAATGAATATGTAAGTTCACCAAACTAGCTAAGTCTAGTTCTTACCTTGTTAAACCTCTGAGTTGTTTCTTAATGGCAAAATTTCTCATGATTCCAGGACTTATACACTACTCACTAGTGATATATAAATGCATAAATAATGAAAAGTTTGGAGAGCAACATGTTAAACTTAGTGTCTTCAATAAGCATTTAATTTGATTCACTAATAGAGTCATTACCTGTTAATTGAACACTACTATTAGGTATATACAAGATATGACTTAATTATGTCACTTAAAATAATTATGTTAAGGACACATATTAGTGGATTCGCTATTGAGTTATGCAAAAGTTAAGCCTTTTACTTTTTGAGGGAAAGGAAGATTAAATGATCTCTGATCATGACTCCTTTTATGCATTGGAACCTTTCATAAACAGTTAATATTAATGCATCCTGAGACCAAGGCCATTTGCAATACAACTGTTTCTGAAAGTTTCCAGTACAGAAAAGGAGTCATGATCTGAGATTATTTAATCTTCCTCTCCCCCAAAAAGTCAAATGCTTAACTTGATGTTCAGGAATGTCTCCTCTTGCTCCAGCCTTTTATAATATTTATATACTGTCAAATCACTTTATTTTATATCCAGGTGTTTCATGTACTTTAGGAATTTTCATCTACTACCTTTAACATAGAAAACCAGAAACTAGATCTTAACGACCGACTCATTAATGATTTAGAAAAGAATGCCATAGATTCCTGCTGTAGCCAGGAAGTAGCCAGTCTCTGTTAGGGCAACCACACAATCAAATTTATTTTGTTGGTGACACCTTTGTATCCCACAGTTTTTTTTTTTCACATGTAATTAAGATAATCAAAATCAGTATTAATTCAACTTTTTTCAATAATGGTTTGTTATGATTTGCAGCTATTAAAAATTATATTGTAAAATAATATTTGAGAAAAAGTGGTCTTTTACAAAGTATATTAATATTATTAAATTTTATTAAGAAACTGTATACATACATACATGAAAAATTACCAAAAACTCAGGTTAGATGTTGAAATTATATTTGTATCACAATTACTACTGACGTTTTTCTCACCTTGGTTCTTTACTAATTTAAAATATTTTTTGACAGTAAAATACACTTCTATTTCATTAAAATATTCTAAAAATCCTGCTACCTAGTTCTCATGTACTTATATTATTATGCTATGCACTGTATGTAGAAAATTATTTCATCTAACCCGACTCATGTCTTCCTTCTGATCTCTCGATCATGTTGAGCTAATGTCAAGAACCTCAATACCAGAGTTTTTCTAACCGCAAGCCATGATCCGTCAGTTAATAGTTACAATCAGTTTTTTTAAAAATATATATATATAAAATAGACAAATTTTTAAAGAAAATATCAGTGTGCAGTGTGTATAGTAAGAAAAATATTTTGTGAAACTTTTTCTGTTTTATGTATATATGAAAATATATTGGTTCATACAATAAAATATATTTCTTACTATTGGACTAAGTCAGAAAAGTTTGAAAACTACTTCATTAAAATAAACTATATAAACAGATAAAGAAATGAAACTACAGAGGGTTTAAAACAACTTACTCTAGGGTTTACCTAAGTAAGAAGAGGCCGATTCAGAAGTGGTATTTACTTAGAACTATCTGGTGGTTATCTTAATCATGTTGCCCACAGAGTACACTGTGTAAATCAAAGAACGGCAGCTAGCAATAACATATGTACTCCGTATTTCAGAACTTTTATTCTTTTAACTCAGCAGCCTTTCTTATTATGGCAAATATGGAGCACTCCAGAAGAAAAACAAATAACACATAATCATTTACATAATTAATTTGATTATTTTAATAAACATTGTTTCTAGTCGCTATAAAAACGATACCAAAAAATCTATATTTTGCTTCCATTAGTCTCAATTAGTAACATAGTCATTTCTCAATTATATCATTGCCTACCATACATGTATCCAATAATCTAAAATTAAAATCCAGTATGCTGTGCCATTCTCATTAAATGCCTTACATCTAATCTGTTGCACTTGAGCTAGTGAAGGATATTGTTTTGGAAAGGTAATTAGCAATATTATTTCTTACAACATTCTATCTGCTACAATAGAGATTTTTAGAAGAAACTAGCAAATATTCTAATTGAACTATCCATTTGACATAAGTATTTCCACTGATACTGTTAATTATTCTCTACTTTAACTGGTCAATTAAAACTGTAAAAGGATGACCAATGTGAAAGTAGTGTTTTTAAAATGTTGTGTCCCCATCATTAACTCCAATAACTTAATTGTATCACTTTCACCAAACTGAATCAAATGCTTCCAAGTGCACATATTTTTCTTAAAATTTAAAATCAAGTAATAGTCTGTGTCATATGGAGACAAGAACAGTTCAAAGCGCCATTATCAATGCTATCATGGTGATAATTAATTCTTTATTATCATAATGAGAAACCATGTTCAGAAAATGCTAACTGAAAAATTCAGATATCAAACACAAGTTATTCATTGCCTATCAGCCAAATTGATTCTTACACTTTTGGCAGATTAGCACAGAGCCTTCCAAATAATTTATCTAGCCTACTCCAAACTTTTCTAGCCTTCTTATGTTTCACTTCATGATTTTTTTAATGGCCCGCTCTAACATGAAGTACCAGTATTACACTTTTATTTCTTAATTTGTGATGGATCTTTCATCCTAATCAGAACTGTTTCCTGATTTTGTTTTAAATATGGTCTATATTTCATTCCTTAACTGAACTGACTGGAATAAGTTTGTAAGTGTCTATGGTTAATTAAGTCTGAAACTTTAAAACTTCCAAGTATAACTTTATCAACTTCAAAAGAACTGATAATCATTTTCATATTGCCCAGTGAAATCCATAAGTGAAATTAACATTCCAAGGAATCCTAACTCCAAATTCATCTAGACACATTATGGGTACAGAATAAGATGATGCTTTTTTTCCCCAACATGTGAAAACTCCAAGGACTATATGTCATATAAGTGAAAACTCCAAGGACTATATGTCATTACACTATATGTCATTAAGTGTAAAGTATCTTAAAAGGACTGTTTTCTGAATTTTTTCTAGAGTTTCCATCTTGTATTGACATGTGGGACACTTCCAAAATGATGTCCTGTAACCACCTGAATATACACTGAACTCCCTAAGTTTTGTCTTAACTTTGCTTACCTTACTGTCTCTTTTTTCCCTACTTTTCTCAATCTCAAAACTTGAGGGTTATTAAAATCAATTTTTGTATTTGACAATCACACTCAACTGGCATGCTTATACATATATATCCAGTAATCAGGTTATATTACAGCATCATTTGACACCTTTTCTTATGGTCCTGTTGAGTCATGAGGAGCATCATATAATAAGAAACAAATAGAGAGGATTCATAGCAAAGCACAAACATGAATAAAATATTGGGTGGTAAACTGCAAGGGGGGCATGTTTGCAAGGAAAAGATCCAAATTTCCTCAAAGGAAAGCACATAAAAACTCATCCTTGAAAGTCCTTCTATACCAATATGCCCACTTCAAAAGAAAGGAAAGATAAAATAAAAAGCAACAGGGGTAAAAATGAAAATTAAATGGTTGCTCCAGTTATATTCCCAGAGCCAACAAAAAGTTAAAATTCTGTGAGATGGCTGACCAATGGCTCCAGCAGCAGGAATCGGACAGTACAAATTCCTGTTGAGAGGTTTCATATTCTTAAATTTACCATCCTACAGAGAACTTTCTACATTAACCAAACTTATAATTATACTGTACTAGAATGTCAGCAATGTATTAGTTCAGGCAAAGCTTCATTCATAGAAAATTTGGATTGAGATGATTGCTTCTCTATGAGCAATTTCTCTAGAGATATCTTTCTAAATCAAAGACTTGTTCAATATGCCTGTTTATTATCACAATCTAATAGTGCTGTCTGTCAGCTTGTGTATTAAGACTGGTATAAACTGCATTTACATCTTTAATGTAGCTGCCTTTGTTATAATTTAATGGTAAAATCTATTTTCTTCCTTATGTGGGATATTTAAATATAGGTGAAATGTGGCTATTGCTGTCTCAATATGCTTATTCAACAAGGATGACTTAAAATCTGACCATCCATGCAAATGGAATTTTGAACTTGTGGAAGCAAGAACTCAGGAGGGGTTCTCTCCAAGTCACTAGTAACTTTCTGTGTTCTAAAGATTACTTAGTTCTCTGTTCAAGCTGTCTTTTGTACATAGCCATATATTAACACAGGACAATTTTGGCAGTCCCTTGGCTAGGCAAACAGGAACTCGCCATCCTATCTCTTGGGTCAATAAATTCTGCCCAAAACATCCTGACTAATTGAGCTAATGGATACTTAGATATGTAGGGTTGAAGAAACTGTCAGATTGGACAGCTGGGGGATCATTATGCACTACTATCATAACTAATCAAAAGTCTGGAAAGGGACCGGAATCATTGGCTGCTATTATTTAGAGGACAATCCTCCTCTGCTACTATAAAAAATACAGACCACATTCTGTTCTTCATTCAAACGATGTTCTTTCTCAGCTTTTTATTAGCATATACTGTTTCCCAAGCTGACAATTGCTAATGTACTTCTGACTTTACCTGCTCTTTTTTCCTCCAGTGACTTATCCTAATCTACTTGATAGGATTTTCTTTTAAAACAGTATACCCCATATTTTTGTAAGGGCACACTTTTATAGACATTCAGTCAACTTCTCCTAACAACTCTTAGTGTGAACAAAATTAATGAACAGTGCACTAAAATGGTCATAAATAGCACAAACAGACGAGGTGATGAACATGTACAGCTCTTCCTCTTAGTCTTTCTTTCCATTTTGCTCTCTTCTCTTCCCTTTCTTCCTTAGTCCTTTTCCCCTTTAAAGTAGTCAGACCTAAAGCCATTAGGTACAGCACAATGACTTATGGGTTAAGGGATGGAGGCCCCTGGGGTAAGGTGGACAGGGAGCAGAACAGGTTATGAGAGCCTAAGCAAGGTAAAGAAGGCATCCGCGCAGAGGCGCAACCCTGTTGGAGATGTTAGATACCAAGCAGGAAAGCGAGGGCAGGCTTGCATAACAAAAGCCCACCTTTGGATATTGGAGACCAATCTGTAACGGCACAGAAGGAACAGCAGTGGAAACAGTAGTTTGTATACATATAGGGATTTAATCAAATAAGTATAATGAGAATATTGGGAGGCAGGTTTCCCAATGGAGAAGAAATTTACCAATATGGAAAAGTTAAAAAAACTACAAGAAAACCCTGTGGAAATAGATTGGAACTGAAATTAGTGGTGAAGTTGCACATACACAGGTGAACACACACATATATGCACATATATGGAGTTAAATGTAGAAAATACATAGATGTAACTTCAATAGATATACGTTAGATATGCATCAATGATAGATATCAGTATAATATATATATGTCCACACACACACACATTGACACATTGACACACTGATAGGTGCTAAGAGCAATGGTATCCCAGTAACAATAAGAAAATATAGAGAAATCAGACTGTGGCTTCTAAATACTACCCACTACTAAAACAAAACAAAACAAAATGAAAAACAGAGCCCATTTGAGAGATAGTTGATTGTAGGACCAGAGCAGGATGAGCCAAAAAGTCTTGATTTATTGAAAAAAAAAAAAAAAAAAAGAGATGCTCAAAGAATGACGGGCACAAGTCAAAAAGAGATAGAAACTAGCTTGAAGTGCTCCCACTGGACAAATCAGGATAACATGACCATAAAAATAAATGACAGGAATGGATTAGAAGCTGTTGAATATAATAGAAAACCATGAATCCATCTAGATATAAATAAGCTTATAAATATAATGAGAAGACTATTACATAGTTTAAAAGTATATAGAATACTTATTCTAAGGTTTACAAATGTTTCAGAGGATTTGCAAAATTTGCCAAAAGCTTCTGAGTAATTGTGCAAAACCATTAGTGGTCCACATGATGCATGTGTGCCTGGCTTGGGAATCCTGGCAAAGATCACTCTGATCAAGCAATAAACATGGGCATCATAAGTAATCAGGGAAACAAAAAAAATCATGAGCTTCTTGATGGGACATAATGAGAAAAATACAGCATCAATTCATTGATACTCTTCTTAATGATGGATAATTGGAATCTAATCAGGAGCACCAATCCACATTTAATAACATCTGAAAAATAACGGACCTTTAAACTTCAAAAGCATCAAAACCATGAAAGTCAAAGGTTGAGCAACTGTTCTAGGCTGAAGGAAACTATGGAGATGTAATAATTAAATACACTACTTGACTCTGATCAGATCCTTGGAGGATTAAAAGGAACTGCTATATAAATGTTAATTTCCTGATTTTGATGGTTGTACGGTGGTTGTGTAGGAAATAAAAACTAAAGCATTTCAGGAGTGAAGGGACATGAGGACACTGAGATATACTCCATAGGTACAGGAAACAATGTTATTTGTACCATACTGGCAAGTTTTCTGTAAGTTTATGATTATTTCTAAATCAAAATTAATTAACTAATGAAAATTGTGTAGAGAAATGAATAGAAAATAATCAAATGTGGTATATGGGTTTTCTAGCCATCCTCAATCTCATATGTTTCTCTACAAATTTGTTTACCATATTGCATTGGAAAACACTGTTTAAATCTCTCTCCTATAATCTCCTTTATAGTCTACATTTATGGCCCCAGTGCTTAGAAAAGCTCATATCTGTTCTTGAAGAGATCATGTTTTGTTCATAACTGAGTTGTAAGTAACCTATCTTGGTTTGTCTTTTTTATACAAAAGAGAAAAGTTTAGATATATTTTAAAGCAGCTAGAGAAACCAGAAGCAACTCAGTATAGCACCCAGAACATAATGCATTCAGCCAATGAATAGAGTCATGGCATTGGTTTCTTAGAATTATTCAGAAAATTATTTCTAAGGCTCACAAGCTCTCTGTGCCATCTTCTGGAAAAAGAAACACTGCATAAATTATTATAAATTTTTTTTAAAAGAAGTCAAACATAACAAAAGAATCTCCCAGCTTGTAAACTGTGCTGAAAATTTTCTTAAGAGGAGGTTGTTTTAGTAAGATACTCCTCAGGTAATGTTTCTGCTCTATTATTCCTTTTACTAATTGGCAAAATATGGTTACTGGATAAATGATTTTTAAGATTATTCCTACTTTAATGTTTGTGGTTCTATCCTTTGTTTACCTTTTCAAAACTCCGAAGTAATCAAGGCTTACATTAACTGGAATTAATATACACAGGAGAAAATATTCTTTTGCCTTTTGGGAGTCAAATACCCCATGGCATGACTTAATATAAAATTGTAATAATCATCATTAGGATTTTCATTAAGATAAATGATATGTATCTCATGTTGTATATAAATACTACGTGTGAAATGTCAAAACTTACCTTGCAACTAATAAAATAATATAATTTCCATGGGTTCAACATAGAACGAAGTTTCCTTTCTTTTAGGCCTGTTGCTTATTTTAAGTTAAACATCTTTGATAACCTCGTTTTTCTCACTGCAACTGCAGTGAGTTGAGGAAAGATATACATCTTAAAACTCAGGACTAATTTTGAGTTCTGTTTCAGCTGTCCCACCCCCACCCCAACCCTCTGCATTATTTCTTCTAATTTCCATGGACTATTTTATCCGAAGACAGTGTGTAATATTAAATTACAATAATAGCAATCAAAGTCATGGGGAGCAAAAGGATTTTCGATTGCAGCCCATGCTTGGCTCTCAATAGCACGGCAGAAGGAGAGCCTGAAAAGCACAACAATTCACAGAACTTGCCAGGAGACCCCATTGTCCTTTCGGTTTCTAATGACACTGAAGTACTTCCATGATTAAAATTTAAAGGCTTCCCGGTAACCAAGTAATTTGCCCAAAACTCCTTATCCAGCACTTACCAACAAGACTCTGATTTTAATATACTATTAATCAAGCTCCAGCCAAGTTTACCACTGATACTTTCAATTACAGAGAGACTAGCTTCATCTCTCTCAGTATGTATGTATGAGATATTTTTTTCTGATTAGTCAGTTACCCAGCAATGAAATAAACCACAAACTTGGTTTAGATACACATTACTAAGACACTAGTTGTGGATTTGCTAACAAACTAAGATGTTTTGAACTATTAATCACTAGTAAGATGATTAAAATCTGAAAGCCTTGGTGTTCATTACCAGGAATTAGTTATTAGTATTATTAAACCTGCAGTGTACTCATTAAGACACATGCTAAAACAGGCTTTATGATATAAAAATCAACTAAGAAATGTATTTCAAGAAAATAGTGATGAATATATATCATCAGTTTCAGTGCTGTCCATATCATATATTTACAAAAATATATAATATTTATATTATATTTATATCAAATATATGATATAGACATATTTACATTGCATAATATTTACATCAAAATAGAAAGTTGACTATATAAATTATGAATTATTCCTTCAAAAGATTGAATAATATAAAAATAAGTTTATAATATTTTTACTAATATGGAAAGTACCTAAGTGGAAAATAGCTGGTTTATTTTGTTAAATATATGCAAGTGATAAGTGATACTGTAAATATAATCACCTATATGTAACCAATGCTTATCTTTTGCTGATTAGGGATTGTTTTTACTTCCTTAATTCTGATTTTTTAAATTTGCATTTTCATCATCAAAAATATATTGCTTTGTAATCAGAGAAATGATGTAAATGCATCTCATTTCACACATAAGAAGGCATCTATATAGCCAAGGAAAAACCAAAGTATTTTGTCCTTTTCTTTCCCCCTCAATATTTATTTAATACCGTAATGACTATTATACCAAGTCACATAATTCTTTTAAAAAAATATCTGGAATGCTATTATATTATTGATGTTTGCAACAAAAATGTAGACTATGCATGCGGCTTAGTGGATGATAAAAAGATAATCACCAAATTACTTTGGACAATTCAGTACAAAATAAAAATAATTTTGTTGATTTATTTTTTACTCTATTTTTAATGTTTTATATAAGATAATTTAATATCATTAAGGACCAGGAATTTTACTATATATCTAAGGTTAAATATAGGATGATTCTAAACAATAAGTGACTATATGATAGCATTTGTTAGTGTTAGCAAGATAAGATGAAATTTAAAAATTGAAATTATGTAGATTGAATTAGAAATTGTTAATTATATATTACCTTATGTATTGCTATGATGTAAATTACATTTTCTGATTAAATATTCATGCAATGTGGAAGAAAAATAAATTTTCTGAAGAGGGTTTTAGCCAACTAAATGTATAGCTTCTAATTCTGGAGGCATGTGGGCTTATTACTGTTTTTATGATCATTTGAAATAACAGTAATATAATTGCAAAATCAAGTTTTTATACATAGCAATTATTCACTAGTATGTTAGTGATAGTAGCTCATATTTATATAGCATTTTACAAAACACTTTAAAAACAATGATTACAACTAAATCTCAAAAAAAATCACTGAATTTTATATTTTAATCATTATTTGCAGATGACAAAATTCTGTATCAGATAGTATATAAAAATGTTCAACTTTGCTAATGATTAGAGGTAAATAAGCAAGCATCTGTTATTTTAAATTTTAATTTATAATATTATTAAAGATTATTTTTTATTATTTTGATGATAATATTTACTGTTGTTAGAGATGTAGCCTCCTAAGTTTTCTCCTATTTCTATGAAAAAGTACAGTCATTTTGAAAAGAAATGAAGCAATAAGTATCAATTTTCAAAATATTCACATCATTGAACCAAATAATCCCCTTTCTGAGACTTAGGTCTAAAGAACTTAACTAAAATAGAGGAAGAGTTCAACTAAAAATAATTGACACAACTTAACATGCAGCAATATCAAAATAGGCAATTAAATTTAAAAACTATAAATTTATTAAAATAATAAAGTTGTTTTAATAGCAAGATAATTTTTTATCTTATGTAGTGCTTTACTACTTTGTCATGGTGATGTTTTTCAAAAAATATGAAGATTAAAGATGAAAATGAAATGTACCAAAATGTTAATGGTAGTTATCTTGCAAAAATATTGGAATTGTTTATTTTTTGTTTTAATATTTCTTCTTTCTTATAGTTTTCAGACTTTCAACACTGAGCAAATGTCACTTCTTTAAACAGAAAAAGATAAAACTAATTATGTTTTAAAACTTTTCATGTTAGCTAAACAGTCTCTTGACGTAGCTTGAGCTTGATTTGACACTATTCACCTGACGTTATCCAAAACAAATTACTTTGAAGATGACTAATACCAACAGAGAGATAAAATAAGATTTTCTATAAATGAGAATTTAAAAGATTTCAAACATTTGATTCAATTTTTTCATTAATACTGGATTTGCAGAAAGTATATTTGGGAAAGTTTAAGTTTCATTATGTAGCCAAAAATTGATTGAAAACATTCACTTTGCAGTTTTAGACATTCTTGATGATTAAAATGATTTATATTATTTATGTAATAATCAGTAACTTGGATTTTAAAAATATTCCACAGTAGATGATTCATTAACCCTATTTTAAATGCACTTACTTTTAAGATCTATTTATGCTGGGAGAGGCACCTCTCCCAGCATAAATAGATAGATAAATAAAAAAGCCATTTCTTTTTCAGTTCTCTTTTCTGATAGCTATGGTATGAGATTAACAATTTTCTACAAAATCAAATGGTAAGAAGAAGATGGAACGACACATTTTAACCAATTATAAGTATAATATATGTGAACATACACACGTCTTTAAAACATGTAAACATGTGTCAATATACTTTAGCATACACCATGAAAAAGTTTTTGAGGACTTTCTAATTTTATACAAAGTAAAGAAAGACTTTTCTGTGAGCTTTGATTTCCTATTTTAATAGTGTACAATCACCTGTACATAAAATTAGAGAAAATCTTAGCTTCAGTAATTGAAAGTGCCAAGTAAGTGGAATTAAAGTAAAAACATAAAATCACAGGTAGTTTGTACTGATTCCAAAAAAAAAGAATTGCAAATTTTATAACTACTATTTTTTTGTGTCCTTTATGATAGTGGTAACTTACTATAAACACACAAAAAATAGATCTCTACTCTTTCTGAGGTGATTTAATTACATGTATTTCACTTACGGTGTTTTTTACTCAGGTCATCTAAATATAATAACTATATATTTAACTTTTTAAAGTACTCTCCATCACTAATTTCTCAGGTTACTAGAAGCTATCAAATGAGGCTACAAATGTGTAGTATATCTACCTTACATAATAGATAAATAATTACACAAGCACATATATACACAAATACTGAGTAAATAAACGTGAGGAGTGTGACCTGAAAAGCAGCCAATATTAATTCATTAATTTCTCTTTTTAATGAACACTTTTTTTCCTACTTTGCATATAGACTTGATTAAGACATATTCAAGTTGGCTGTTACATGAAAGATTTGAGTCCTCCTATGAACTGCACCTTCTCTAGAATGCAGGTTTATTCTTTATTAAGGGGAATTCTCAAGTTTGTTTATGAGTGCTAAGTAGATCTTACAACAGAATATTTAGGCAATTGTCTACAGTCTAAAATAATGTTGAGTTTCCCTCTGCATTACCTTCCCACAAAATGCACAGCATTAACCAATTCTTTTCTGTCAACTAGCAATTTTTGGCAGATCCCTTTTGCATGATTCATGAAGGACCAGTAAAAGGCTAATTGTTCAAATTAATTTGCGTAAATGACTAAGCAAGAGATAACAAAATTACATCTGCACTTGTTTGGCAAAGATTCAATAGCAGCGGCCCTGTACTGCCAGCTGCTTCCAGACAACACTCTTGCAGAAATTAAAAGCTACAAATATTAATTAATACACTTTTTTGGTACGTTAATTTGCACTGAAAGGTTCCGGAGTGCAAAACTGCTGAGAAGATGAACCATGATAATTAGAATTAATGGGATGGATGCATGTTTTTTGCAGCTGAAGTTTTAAAAACCCATGAATGGAACTGGGAACTTGAAACTGACATTCTCATAAATCTCTATGATAATGCAGCTATTAGTATTAGAAGGATTAAGTACTATGGCTCCAGAGTTATCAATCACATGACACGTTATATCCCATCTGTCATTGCAGTAGCTAAGACACGATAGCCGTCCTTGAGGAAGCCATATGAAAAGCTTTGGGAATTCAAGGAATTGTAGTGATGACTGTCAGACTACAAAATGAATACCTCAAAACTCCGACTTCCAAACAGAAATAATAGCCAACACTCTATTTGTCAGCTTGGTACTTTGCAAATACCCTAACTCTAGTATCTATATTTAAGATTGGTTAGGCAATGTGAATTATAGATAGATCACACTGGAAAAAATGGTAGTAAGATGTCACAGATTTTACCTTTAATACATATGTAACTTCACAACTATGAGTTTTCCTGTAACATAGTTTTTACTGATTACATTATTAACTATACATAGAAGTATCTTAAAATCTTACTGTTGACATACTAGAAAATATGCTGAAATAATCTTGATACAAAGTGATTAAAAAATAAAAATGCAAAAAATAAAAATGGGCTTTTAGCTTTATCCATTGATTTGTAGATGTTATAGTTCAATAACTGGCTATAAAGATATAACATCAGTTTCTACATGTAACGTCCCAAATACTGCTAATTAATGTATGCCACCTAATTAGACAGACACATTTACTTTTGTTGCTTAAATAATAAAAAGCCACATTTGCATGAAAGTTTGTAGGATACGTGCAACACTTTATTTACCTAAGCTTTCTATTTAATTTACCTAAGTTTGTATTTAGAAAGAATACAGCATAGAAAAACCGAGAGGAATTGTTTTACAGCATTCTAATTTGGATCAGTTAACACTTTTTTTTTTTTTTTTTTTTTTTGTAACAGTGTCTCGCTCTGTCGCCTAGGTTGGAGTGCAGTGGCACGATCTTGGCTCACTGTCTCCTCTGCCTCCCGGGTTCAAGCGATTCTCCTGCCTCAGCCTCCCAAGTAGCTGGGACTACAGGCACCCACCACCACGCTCAGCTAATTTTTGTATTTTTAGTAGAGACAGGGTTTCACCATATTGGCCAGGCTGGTCTCGAACTCCTGACCCTGTGATCTGCCCACCTTGGCCTCCCAAAGTGCTGGGATTACAGGTGTGAGCCACCGTGCCCGGCTGTGGATCAGCTAACACTTTCTAGAGTGTTGCAACCACTATAAAATACTGCCTTTAACGAGAGATTATAAGAAAATGAAAAAAAGTTTTAATGTTTTTTAAAATATTGAATATTTGGAAAAATATTATTCTTTATACCAGGCTACCAATACGCAGATGGATGAAGGGAAAACTCCAGACTTAAGAAAATTTTTTCATTGATATTCAAAATTATATCCTAACATGTTTATTCATTTTACAGTGATTTTATTTATTTATTTTTTTCTTGAGACGGAATCTAGCTCTTGTCACCCAGGCTGGAGTGCAATGGCTTGATCTCGGCTCACTGCAACCTCCGTCTCCCGGGTTCAAGCAGTTCTCCTTACTCAGCCTCCTGAGTAGCTAGAATTACAGGCCTGCACCACCATGCCCGGCTAATTTTGTATTTTTAGTAGAGACGGGGTTTCACCATGTTGACCAGGCTGGTCTCGAACTCCTGACCTCAGCTGATCCGCCCACCTCAGCCTCCTAAAGTGCTGGGATTGCGGGCATGAGCCACCGTGCCCAGCTCATTTTACAGTGATTTTAAAACACATATTCCTTGGATAGCTTTCCCAGATATTATCTTTCCTAAGATTTTGTGGCAACTTGTGTGTACTTTTTTCTTCTGGAGAAATGCCTGATTATATGTATATTTTTTTATTTTCATCTTTTTTTTTTTTTTTTGAGACGAAGTCTTGCTGTATCACCCAGGCTAGAGTGCAGTGGCATAATCTCAGCTCACCGCAATCTCCGCCTCCTGAGTTCAAGCGATTCTCCTGTCTCAGCCTCCCAAGTAGCTGGGATTACAGGCATGCACTGCACCTGGCTAATTTTTGTATTTTTAGTAGAGTGGGGTTTCACCATGTTGGCCAGGCTGGTCTTGAAATCCTGACCTCAGGTGATCTGCCTACCTTGGCCTCCCAGAGTGCTGGGATTACAGGCGTGAGCCACCGGCTCGGCCAACCTGATTACATTTTTACATTATATTTTCAAAGATGTTAAGACTCAAGTTTAAATTCAAGTCTTTGATCTCATTTTTAGTGGAAATATATGCATTGTCAGGAAGGCAATATTTAAAACTGCTAACCGTCCTTTACTGTCCCTGGAAATAGATTTTGAGTTTTCCTTGATAATAGTATCCACAAAGGGTGCCAGGAGGACACTGGTGTGATTATAGATGGAAAGAAGAGTCTCAAAGTGAAGAAGGTTACAGTAACAGAAGGCTGAGTGACAGGGTAAACCTTGCCTAGCTCAGAACTGTGCTCAGGGCCTGAGTTGCTTTTGAAACATGATAAAGAACCTAAGTAATTTATTCTGGGGAAAAAAGATCATGCAGTAACTCAATAGTTTAAGTATTTGGTGACTCATTTCCAGGAAGAGACTGTACATTGGACTTTATAGAGAATATCTTAGTAGCAAGACTGATGAAAGCTGATGATACAAACCTGATGAAAGTATAGAGTGTTTCTCAGGGGATGAAGCAGAACTGACATTCACTTACTCTTATCACAATAAACAATTTTCAAATATTTTTTCCCAAAGGGAGGAATTTATAGCTATGAAAGTATATTTAGTTATAGTAAATAATCTTTCTGTAAGCTCTTTAAATGGCCAGCTAATATGCAGAATACGAACTTTTTTGTTAGGATGGAAAAGGTGATATGTCATGGTGTCTGTTTACTTGATTGATAAAATCAATGCAAAAATTCTAGAATGCTACCATATGGTGTTCATTTGTCCCACCCTTCATGGGTTATCTCTACTATTTACCAGCTATACTAGCTAGACTTGGAAATATGCCCATTCCACAAGCATTTGTAACTAGTTGGAATTCCTATCATACCAAAAATTTCACAAAGTGTAAACATGTTATCAAATACTTCTTTGAGAATTCAATAGGCTTTGTTCTATAAAAAATAGTTTTCATAAACCCTTTAGTAGGACATGCCTAAAAATTGTTAAAATACTGTTTTCTAAATTTTAGAATGAAATACAAGTTTCTAAAACACTTCATGAGTTTATCATTTATAAAGATGACTTTATACCTTTAATATTCATAATTGATTTGAGTCTCATAAGGTCCTTGTCAGAGTAGTTAAAACATTTTATCAAGGAGCACATAATATTTTTTTCCATTGGGAATGTGTTTCTACGTCTATATGTAATTTCAGAATCACATGAAAGCTTTATGGCTTTGTGGGTGCCAGCTTAGAACAGTGACTGACACAGATCAAGCTGCTGTTTTACCAGGGAAGAATTATTGGCCCTTGTCTAAGCATGATGGCGTTGCCTGGCAAAATGTTAGCTGCTTCTTTTATCATGTTATTTGTAAGTTAATATTTCAGGATATAATCACGCATCAACAGGCAACAACATTCAAATTTAAAGAAACTCCCGATATACAGAAAAATACACGCAAATATACAAAGCAAGCAAACATCACGCAGATACTTAGGCAAGTGTCAAAAGTTAAGAAAAAAAATCTATACGACAAAATAAACATAATTTAAACAAAATTAAAACCAGCATTTTAAAAAATGATCAAATTCCTATCATCAACATTCAATCTCCATTTTATTTTGTCCATAAAGAAATATCTCATAAATAAAACCTAGAAGACATTTCTTTCCCAAATCTTAAGGCAATAAAACAATTCTCCTGAATCCATTTTTTAATATTATGGTTTCATAAATCAAACACATACACAGCTTTATCCCACTTGGAAGATCATACACAATAAAATCTGTGCAGCTATTCATAAGTGGGTGTAGTACAAAGTCTCAGCCTGATAGCTTCTTTCCAGAATTCTATTATTTTAATCAAAGAAAAGGAATTATACCTCATCTGCCAGTGAATTTCTTCACCTAAAATGCTTTCTGAGCAAACATTAGAAAAACTTCGTTTTAAAAAAGAAATGTTTATGAAGGACGAAACCTACATTAGCAAAACTTCATTTTAAAAAAGAAATGTTTATGAAGGACGAAACCTACATTAGCCATTCTACTTTTAAGTGATCTTTCTGGCCTGCTACCTGCTATTCTCTGCACAATGTATAGATCAATAAGCACACTGTGCTTTGGGATATCTACGGTTTTATTTCCTTCAACTATTATTTGAATTATTTGTTTGTATTTATCTTTCCATCAGTCTTATTATTATGTTACCAAACTGGATTGTAAACTCTTCAAGGACATGTTCTCAAGCTCATATGACCTCATACAGCTTGGTATTCACTACAATTCCCAATATGACTTGTCTGCATTCGATTTACCCCACTTTGGGAAGGTCTTCCAACCTTAACACTGACCCTTGTTATCTGGAAATTTCACTTGTTAAAATCTGCCCCTCACTTCCACTAGTGCATACAACTGTAATGCAGAAGCCTGTCTCTCATACTCAAGTGGGCACTTAAGCTACAAAAACCAGATATTTTGCCCTCAGAAGTTGGACATTTGTAACCGAGGAGTCAGTTTCTGAAAATCTTTAGAACTAAGTCAGTTTAACTACAGTATTTTAGATAAAAAGTCTGTGAGATTTCTAGATTTTCATTCTTGGTTGTTTACCTGCTTCTTGGATTCCTCATCATGGCTCAATATAATTCCATAATTTTTCCTTTTGGGAAGGTGGCTGGAGTTGCTTTCCCTTTCTTTGCGTTTTCAGTTATAATTCTAGGAAACTTAACTAATAAATACATACTCACTAGAATTAGCATCATGAAGGAGTTTCAAAGAAATATAGTCTTTATGCTGGTCATGGTGGCTCATCCCTGTAATCCCAGCCCTTTGGGAGGCCGAGGTGGGCAGATCACGAGGTCAGGAGTTTGAGACCAGACTGGCCAATATGGTGAAACCCCATCTCTATTAAAAATATAAAAAATTAGCCGAGCGTGGCAGCACATACCTGTAGTCCCAGCTACTCAGGAGGCTGAGGCAGGAGAATCATTTGAACCTAGGAGGTGGAGGTTGCAGTGAGCCAAGATTGCGCCACTGCACTCCAGCCTGGGTGACAGAGTAAGACTCTGTCTCAAAAAAAAAAAAAAAAAAAAAAAAAAAAAAAAGAAAAGAAATATAGTCTCTACAACAAATTTTAAGAGAAAAAGTACTGATTTCTTATCAGACCCCTTTGATAAATGAATAAAAACACCCGCCTCTGTATGTATGTATCCTATGAGCAAACCCATTATTACTAAAACATCTCTATGAGTTGTGGGGAATTTTATTACATGCATTTAATCAAAATATTCAATCTGATTAAAATATATTTGAAGAATCCCAGTTACACTTGTGCCAAGCTTTATTTACCTTGAGGTAGGTATGTAAGTTTTTTTGTAGTTTTTTGTTGTTGTTGCTTGTTTGTTCCTAAGTAGAATTCTCAAATCAACATCAAAATAAAGCTGTCTTTTGAAAATAATTTATCGTTCCTAAATTCTTCATTGCATTCTCTATATCATGAAATGTATTTGTGATTAGGAAGAGTCAACATCCTATAAGACATTATATACACCTCCATAATATCTTAAAAAGTAAAGACAATTTTTCCATTAGTGAGTGAGAAAAAAAATAAAGCAATCATTAAGAAGTCATATGGTTTTGGGATTTGGGGGACAAAGACACTTTGAGAGAGCATCTTTCATGACAAAGACTGTTCCTTTTTTTGAGAGGCACACAGAATCTACTTAGTAGAAAAATTATTGACTCATAAGGAAGCCCAAAGGTGGAAACCATTTATTTGTAAATCTATTTCTTGAATGCTTGTTTTTGTTTCTTAAATCAAGTTACTGAAATTGGTATTAAGAAATAAAAAATTATTTAATACACAGTCACTAAGATTATCACTCTATGGAAGAAAACATTTGACGTGTATGTATAAGTTATATAATATATCTAGAATGTTGATGATATAAATAGAAGAGGCATTTTAACGCCTCGTAGTTTCCTGGAAAACAACTTACCATCAAGTGTAGTGATGAAAATAAAACGCCTTAAATTCCCCCATCAACATGTGGCTATGTTAAAATTTTAACGATCAGAACACCTAATGTTCAGTCTGGGTAGTAGGACTGGTTGTAGAATACTAGATGGATAGGTTAAAACGGTACCATATGTCTTCAAAACAATGCATTGTGACTAAATGATCGGCCACAGTGCCTTTGGCAACCGTTCCTCTGAAGTTCAACTTAGAAATGGAAAATGAATGAAACTTGTTTACCACTGACTGGTTTATTTATTACCACTAACTCACTGTAATCTTGCAAAGGAAAGATCTGCTACCAGGTTTCTCATAATCTTAGGTTTTTGTCATCCTAATTCCTTTCAAACAAAAGGTTTTATTATTTGAAAGAACATTAGAATAAAATTCCTTCTGAGATTACTTTACATTTTCTATTCATAAGCCCCAAATAATAGCACACCAGGGTAAGAGCAGCAGTCTAATATATTCGCCACATGTCTGACCACTGATTACCTTTTATTTAGAGAAATATCCTGGACATCAGGTATAGGTTTCTTATAGCCATGTGACAACATAAAAAAAAAAATTATTGTTCTGGGAGCAAAAGGGAGCAAAACTCCTCCAGTGGCTCTTGGGTGATCTTGAGGAAGTCATTTCAATTACCCTAGGCTCAGTGTTTGCATCCAACATATGGCCATGCAAACTCTGTATTATTCACTAACTCAGTGATTCAATTCGAAAAGGAATGTCTACTAAAACTGAAGGCTGATTTTATCTTTTCAAAAGAAAAGGCAAACATACCAAAGAAATTGCCACTCCTTTCTCTTGGAATATATAATTCATTTTACATGGCGTTTGCTCTTAATGCTTGAAAACGGGGCTCAAAGAAACAAGCCAAGTGAATAAGAATTTGCCCATGTTTTATTTCATGTAACCAGCACTCACTATGGTGGTGGCTGACTCTTTTTTTCTGGACCACAAAAAGGAGTTCATACTGTTTGCGTAAGAGATTTAAACAACCAGGTTTCATGCTTTTATCATTTGGTAAAGCTGCCAGAAGAGGTCTGAAATCTCAAACTATCAATGAGTAGAAGAATAAAAAAGATCTTACCTTTTAAAAAAGACTATGGAAAGTTGGAAAGGAAAATAAGGAAGAATATAGGTAAAGAAAGCAAAGCCAAGAGGAAGTAATAGGGTTTCCAGTACTACTTAGCATGTCAAAACTATCAGGGATTCAATCAGACTTTTTTAATTAATTTTTTTTCTCATAATACAAATACAAATTTGTATTAATACTATTAATAATTAATAATTGATTAAATGAGTAACTTTTTTATCGTATTATTTTTCCTCAACATTTGTCTATGATTCTTAAAGGAAAAATAAAATATCACTGAATAAAACCCCAAATCTGGCTTTCTGAAGAGTATTCGACCTTGGAAAATGGTCGCATGCTTGTCACATTTAGTCTACTACATAGTTCTAAGTCTATGTAAAAATAAAAACAGATATTGCTGAACAAAGCCTTAGCAAGGCAGGACTGTGATTCAAATTGCCCTTTTCATTCAACACCTTCTGGTGAGTAGAACTAGCCAGGAGCAATGCAGACTGGGATTAAGAAACATGACCAGCTGTCCAATGGAGTCAGGTTCTATGAAACTAGTGGCATTTTCTCTTAGAAGTAATTAAACAAGATATTTATCATTGTTTCAGTTCAGAGAATGGAGAATATGCATTTTGAGAAGTGAGAAAATAGGATGAATTAGTTTTAAAAAAAATGGAAGAGACATGCTGGTAAGGGTAAAAGAATGAACTGATAATTTTATAAGAAATATTTTGGTGGATTTTATTATGTAGTTTTCTTTGGTTTCTCAGTTTTTTCTAACCTATGCACTTTTAGGAATAAAGTGATTATCACTAATGTGTCTAATAGCCAATTTAGTTAATGTAGCCAATTTATTTAATAATTATGACTAATGTGCCTTTATATACATTGTAAATTACAAGCTTTAATTCTCACCAAAAACATGTTCTAGTGAATAAAGATTGTATTAGTCGGCTAGGAAAATCATAACAAAATGCCACAGACTGCATGGCTTAAACAACAGAAATTTATTTTCTCACAGTCATGGAGCCTGGGATTCCAACATCAAGAGGCCAGCAAGGTTGGTTTTTCTTGAGATCAGTCTCCTTTGTGTACTCAAGGTCACCTTGTTGTTATGTCCTCCCATGGCCTTTCCTCTCTGTGTGGGTGCATTCCTGGTGTCTCTCCTTCTTTTTATAAAGACACCAGGTATATTGGATTAGGGCTCCACTCTTAGGACCTCATTTATCCTTAATTACCTCTCTAAAGATTCTGTCTTCACATACAGTCACATTGAGGGTTAGGGTTTCAACACATGAATTTTAGGAGGACACAATTCAGTTTATATCCAGCATGCGATAACTATAAAATTTTTAAATGCATTTCCTTATTATAAAGAGACTCCTTCCTTATTCATCCATCTCTTTAAAATAGTTATTACTATGACTTAAGTTTTAGCTTCTCTTTTAATGAGAATAATACACCTAGATCTATCAGACCATTTTTAGGAAGCGTATTTTAAAAAATTTCATATCAAATAAGATCTTGACCAAACCAAAAATTGTAAGCAGCCAATTTAGCATAAAAACCAAGAACACTGTCTACTTTGGTATAGTATTGAAGCGACTCACCAATTTAATCAAACCACACTTAGGTGCTAGTGTAGTGACAGAATTTTAGAATAATGTCTTTAAAGAAGTGCCTACATATAACTATTAGAAAAATCACCTGAAGTTTGGAAACAAGCAATAGATTACTAGGTGCTCTTTTATTACTTTTCTATTTGCTGTTCAAAATTTACAACTCTTTAGGAACACAACCTAATGTACAGATTTTTCTCAGGTAAATATGCAAATCATTTCTCTCCAATGAAGAGATAACTGTGAAAGTTACAATTTATTGCCCAGAAAGACATTAACTAGTTTTATATCTAACCCAAGAATCTCACCCTAATATGTTTTCTTAAAATTACCTCTATACCTACCTCATCAAATGTTATTTGAACTGATTTTAACTTTCCTGGTCCATTCATTAATTAACAGGTTAAATAAAATATTTGACACGTCTATTTAATATTTGCCTCAGAGGCACAGATTTACCCTCCTGAAAATAATTCTTAAGCATAACCAATAAACAAATATTCATTGATTAATACCTTAGGTTGGCATATTATAATAAACAATCTAATCTGGAAATTGAATCATTAATAGAGACTATAATACCAAATGATTTATAGTTTAATTTTAAAATTACTTGTCATGCTTTTAGGGAAAAATGGAAAATTAAAACTTTAAGAAAAGCACCTGGAACATTAAAAAAAAATTTCTGTTATTTTTATGTTTATGTAAACATATAGTAAAAGAATAGGTAAATTTCTAAATTTCTTGTTTCCCATTGTCATTTAATAACCACATGTTAATTCTGTATGTAGGCATTGTGAATACATATTTATAAAGAGAAAGAAGGGAAATTAGTATGATTTTAATCTATGGCTATTTATAATAAAGCAAATCATCTCTAACCTCATGGGCTTTGAACTCCCTATTACTAATATAGCTAGAGTCCCACATTGACTCTAAGTGTTTTGTGGGGGAAGAAGAAGCTCAATGATTTTTCTCCCAAAGAAATCTGGCCTAGTGTCCTGAACGGAAAGGAACTAGCTAGGTGGATTGTTGGTTTATGGAAACCTAAATGCAGGTAGGATCCTTTTGATATAGTCTTACTGGGTCAATTCTTCTGTTTCTTCAATATTCAAGGTCAGGAATCTTTTTCCATTGGGAAGTCTTCCTTGCCTACAAACATTAGCTAAATTAGACGCCTCTGAACTCCTATGCCGCCCTTTAATTGCACTTAACATGTATTTCGTATGTTTTATGATACTGCCTCCTTCTTTATTCCATAAGCTCAATAAAAAGAAAAACTGCAATGTTTGTCATCCAACTAATTTAGTGTTTGACATCTACATACTAAGTAAATAAACCGGGATAAAATATATTTGATCAGAGGAACTAATTAGCTTGACATAAAAACTTGAATATAGCCTTTCTCCCTGGCGGTTAGTGCTGAGGCTGAGGACAACATGCATTTACTAAAAATTCAAGAAAAGTCTAAAAAAATCTTTTAAAAATATCCCCTCAAATCGGCATCTACTCCTCCAGAGAGTTACTATAATATTTTTTCTTCCCCTTTTATTAAATAACCCTGTCAGCAGCCAAAACCGACCCCACCCGCGGCCCTGCAGCAGCCGTAAGGAGGAACCACGAGACCCAGGCCTTCCCGCCGCCCGAACCGGACACCGGCAGCCAGCAGACAGCGGCGGACAAGCGACCTCGCTCTGTGGCCAGTGAGTTGTTTCTGATTCGGATGATTTTTGTCCCTCGGCGCGTGCCCTTGCTCCCCGCCCCCGGCTGCGAGACCCCCGGCCCGGCACTCGCTCTCCTCCTGTCACGAAAGGGTCGCGGCCTGTAGCCCTGTGGGCAGCCGTGCCGCGATGAACCCCAGCGCCCCCAGCTACCACATGGCCTCGCTGTATGTGGGGGACCTGCACCCCGACGTGACTGAATTGATGTTCCAAGAGAAGTTTAGCTCGACAGGTCCACCCTCACCATCCGGGTCTTTAGGGACTGGCTCACCCACCTCTTCGTGGGCTACGTGTCCGTGAACTTCCTGCAGCCGGCAGACGCGGAGCGTGCTCTGGCCACCATGAACTTTGATGTTATAAAGGGCAAGCCAGTATAAGTCCTGTGGTCTCAGCGCGATCTATCGCTGCGCAAAAGTGGAGTGGGCAACGTATTCGTTAAAAACCAGGACAAATCCGTTGAGAAAGCACTGTGTGATGCATTTTCTGCTTTTGGTAACTTCCTTTCGTGTAAGGTAGTTTGTGATGAAAATGGTTCTAAGGGCTGTGGATCTGTACACTTTGAGACACAGGAAGCAGCTGAAGGAGCTATTGAAAAAATGGATGGGATGCTCCTGAATGGTCTCAATGTATTTGTTGGACGGTTTAGGTCTCCTAAAGAACAAGAAGCAGAACTTGGAGCTAGGGCAAAAGAGTCCAAAGTTGGACCTGCCTCAAGTGTAAAAGTAATAACTGATGAAGGTGGAAAATCCAAAGGATTTGGATTTGTAAGCTTTGAAAGGCATGAAGATCCACAGACAGCTATGGATGTGAATGGAAAGGAGTTCAGTGGAAATCAAACTTACATTTGTCTAGCTCCGAAAAAAGTGGAAGAGCAGACAGAACTTAAGTGCAAATTTGAACAGATGAAGCAAGATAGAATCACCAGATACCAGGGTGCTAACGTTTGTGTGAAAAATCTTGATGAGAGTATTGATGATGAACGTCTCCAGAAAGAATTTTCTCCATTTGGTATAATCAATAGTGCAAATGTTATGATGGAGGGTGGTTGCAGCAAAAGGTTTGGCTTTGTATGTTTCTCCTCCCCAGAAGAAGTAGCTAAAGCAGTTACAGCAATGAACGGTAAAATTGTGGCCAGCAAGCCATTGCATGTAGCTTTAGCTCAGTGCAAAGAACAGCGCCTGGCTCACTTCACTAACCAATACATGCAGAAGATGGCAAGTGTACGAGCTGTGCCCCACCCTGTAATCAACCCCTACCAGCCAGCACCTTCTACATGTTACTTCGTAGCAGCTATCCCACAGACCCAGAACCGTGCTGCATACTATCCTCCTGGCCAAATTGCTCAACTAAGACCAAGTCCTCCCTGGGCTGTTCAGAGTGTCAGACCTTATCCATTCCAAATATGACCTGTGCTATCCGCTCAGCTGCTCGTAACCACCACTCTGAGACCAGCTTCTTCACAGGTTCCACCAGTCATGTCCACACAGTATGTTGCTAACTCATCAATACAGACAATTAGTCCATGTCCTGTAGCTGCTGCTGCTGGCTCCACTCCTGCGGTCTACATCATTCCACAGTACAAATATGCTTCAGGAATTCTCATTCCTCAGCAGCATCTTAAAGCACATCCACAGGTTACCAGGAAGCAGCTTGCTGTTCATGTCCAAGGTCAAAAACTTTTGACTGCTTCCATGTTAGCATCTGCCCCTCTTCAGCAGCAGAAGCAGATATTGGGTGAAAGACTCTTTCCTCTTATTCAAGCCACGCACCCTACTCTTGCTGGTAAAATCACTGGCATGTTATTGGAGCTTGATAATTTAAAACTTCTTCATATGCTTGTGTCTCCGGAGTCTCTGAAGCTGTAGTTGTACTACAAGCCTACCATGTGAAAGAGGCTCCAGAAAGCAATTAACAGTGCTACTGTTGTACCAACTGCTTAAAATTGATCAGGGACCACCAAAAAACAAAAAAACAATAAAACAAAAAAAACTTGTGTTTCAACAAAGAAAAATATCTAAACATCAAAAAACTAAAATATTATGGAAAAAAATTACAAAATATAAACAAAAAAGGAAAGCAAACTTTGAACCTTATGTACTGAGGAAATACCAAGTCTAGCAAACTTACTAGTCCTAGATTACTTATTGATTTGAAAATAACAGAAAAAAGAAAACAAAAAAATAGGAAAATTTAAAAACAAGCTGGGTGTGGTGGCTCACACATGTAATCCCAGCACTTTGGGAGGCTGGGGTGGATCGCCTGAGGTCAGGAGTTCGAGACCAGCCTGGCCAACATAGTGAAACCTCATCTCTACTAAAAATGCAAAAAATTAGCTGGGCGTGGTGGTGGGTACCTGTAATACCAGCTACTAGGGAGGCTGAGGCAGGAGAATTGCTTGAACCCGGGAGGCAGAGGTTGCAGTGAGCCAAGATCGCACCATTGCACTCCAGCCTGGGCAACAAGAGCAAAAAAACTCCATCTCAAAAAAAAAAAAAATTAAAAACAAATTAATGTTTTATAGATCCTGGGAAAAATAATTTTCAGCAAAGTATGAAAATTTAAAGCATTCCTTTAATTTTTTAACTCTTAACTGTGGAAAAGCTCAGAATGTCAGTTATGTTTTAAATAACAGAATTGATAACTAAACAAGGAAATATAACTTGGATTATGAAATTCTTGGTTTAATAAAAATTCTTTAAATGGTTTAAAAAAACCTGAATAGGCTCAAAAACATAAGGTGATTATGCAGTGTATGTACACATCAAAGGAAGATGTGGCTGGGTGTGGTGGCTCATGCCTGTCATCCCGTCACTTTGGGAGGCTGAGGTGGGAGGATCACGAGGTCAGGAGTTCAAGACCAGCCTGGCCAACATAGTGAAACCCCATCTCTACTAAAAATACAAAAAATTAGCCGGGCATGGTGGCAGGTGCCTGTAATCCCAGCTATTCAGGAGGCTGAGCCAGCTGCCTGGGAGGCAGAGGTTGCAGTGAGCTGAGATCACGCCATTGCACTCCAACCTGGGCAACAGTGCGAGACTCTGTCTCAAAAACAAACAACAAAAAAAGAGAGATGTGTATGCATTAATACTAATATGTGAATCAAAGGATTACTCTAATTTTTTCCAAAGTAATTGCTTATTTAACCTATTCAACCATTTTGTTTGTTTCAAACCTTAATAGGAATATAAACACAATCTAACTCTCAAACAGGTTAAATCTAAACTCTCTACACCTTTATCTAGCAAGTGCTATGTTGTATAGCTTTCTTCACTGTCACATCACAGCTATGATTTTGTAAAGCATTTATTTTTACCTCATTGGGATTTGTAGCTATTAGAATATCAAAGCTATAGGAATATTTCAAATATCCCAAATATAAAAACGAATTTGATTTCAAAGGGAGGTTTTACACATTTAAATGCCTGAAAATAAGGGGTATAATAAAGAGCCTGGTAGACTGTTTACTCTGACAATATCACTGAAAATGGCTATAAAATATGATGGAAACACTGAAAAATTACCTTTGAGGAGGATGCAGAATCCGTTTTCTTTGTAAACTGACCCTGAAGATGTGTCAAAACATTTGTAATATCCACAATAAAGAGTCAACGGCATGACTGGAAGATTTCTTGGGCCTGAAATACAATATTCATTTTAGTGATTCTTCTTATTTAATGTGGTGAGGTGAAAAACTGATATAGTCTATCCATTTTTCTTTAGGTATCCCTATTAATATCCACTTCTAAACTTTCAAAAAGCATAACTAAACAATGCAAAAAATATTTGTGATTGCCAGAGTAGCACAAGGGAACAGCAAAGACCTCTCAGCCATGAAAGAAGGAAACAAATGGGTTAATTTTTTCAATGCTTAAAAACAATCCATCTCAACCATGTCAGTAGTCCATCTGATTTGATTTTCTTCTAACTTAAGCTAAAGTACAGGTTATTCTCACACCTCGGTAAGGATGTAAGGTATTTGAAGACGAGTCCTGTAAGATAAAAATGTCAATAATATATTTATTTTTTGCAGTAAGATGCAGCGTTTTGCAGTCCAATAATTCAATTAGGAAAATGGAATATGCTACTCTGGTTTTTTGAACTTCTTTCCAAGTTTTTAAGAGGTTATTGTTCTAGCCTAGCAGTTATTATTACTCAAAAAATACTAAACTTTTTTTTTGTTTCTATGATGTATTTATTCTATTAATTTTTACTAAGTATTAAGTATGTATTATCAAAAATGATGCATTCTTTAACCTTTCTTATAAATCAATATTTGGAAAGATAGGCTGGTAGAACTGTTACTAAAATATGTAGGCAATTCATTCCTCATAGGGATAAAATATCTTCCAACAATTAGTAGGTATTATATCCCATTACCAATCTTATTCCATTATGACAGTCAAAAGTTTGTTTCCTGGTCAAAAAAGCGCTTCATTTATCAGCACTTATGTATTCTGTGTGTTTCAAAGACTTTGGTAGTTGTCTCCTTGTAGTATTTCAGCTTTTAAGCTGCTTCCTTGCCTCACTGAGCTCACATAAGATACATCTGAAAGCTTTAGTACAAATTTACTTCGAATAAAGTCTTCAATTCATTTTCATGGCACCAAAAAGACAGCTTTAATAACTGCAATGACAAATAAACTGGAAATCATTCCAGGCCTTTTCACTTAACTGACAAGTAGAACACTCTCATAATGAGCCGCAGGTTTTACGTTTTCTCTTTGACCATAATAGCTTCATTTAAGAGTGTCAGACCCTGACACTTCATCATTTATCTACATTATTTCTCATCTTCTTTCAAATAAATTACGGAATACTGGACTGAGAACATAAAAACAAAGTGACTTGTTATCAGTAAACAGTAAGATAAATTGTCCAGAAGTTCCTCATTAAGTTCCTTTTAAATTTAAGGGCAAGTTATTGGGTGCACCTTTTTTAACTTCCAACGTTTGCATTTTTACAACCATCTTATTTCTCTTGCCACTGGCCTCTGCGCACTCATCCAGAGCCTGATGTGGAAGGCATAAAGTAATCCCATTATCCCAAGGTTGGCCGCTGAAGTACAAAGAGGCAGAAGGGGAGAAAATCAAATAAACAACTTCGAGAGAGATTTCTCCACATCTATAAAACCCCCCATCCATAATACATCTTGTCATACTAGAAAATGTGACAGTTCAAAGTAATGAACAGTGCAACTGTAACTCTTTTAGCCCTTGGAAATACAGCACTGACTTTAAATGGATGGGTGAATGCCATCTCCTCTCATTGAATCTTTTTTTTTTCACCTTATGGAACTGGAGGAAATCAAATAAAATCCCGATCGGATTGTATTTCTTTTTGAAACTGTTGACCAAGTTTATGGAAATCCTCACCTCTCTTCCTTCTTGCATATTGGTTTAGTATTAATTTCAAAGGACGTAAAGAATCAGATCACATTAATACAAATATCAGTATTTTAGAAACACTAAAATGTGTTTGTGTGTGTGGTAATACATATTAAAGTCTTATTTATATGCTAAATGTATCAGTGAAAGATGTATAATGTAGATAGTCATAGGCTGATTGTATATTAACAACTTTTTATTGACTTGAGTTATTCTGGAATTAAGCCTTAAGATACTGTTGTGTTGTTTTGTTTTTCTTTTTCTAGGTATTACAATCAGTTTGGTCATAATTATCTCACAGATTTAGCAACAATGTAACATGGAAATTTAAACACTGGTAACTTAGTAATGTTTTATAGATGCCCTACTCAGTGCAAAATTCTGATATAGGGAAATACAAGAAAAGGCTATATGGCATTACCCATCCTCAAAGTTCTCTGCAAATAGGTTTACTTATCTAATTTTGGGATGCTATTTAGCTTCTGAGATTCTATAGTGGTGAGAATAATTTAAGGTGTGAATAATTTATATGCCTGTATATTTATATTTTGAGGAACTTTTCCAAGTTTTAGTTCCTGAGAAGTTGGTGTAATAATATGCTATTTTGGCTCCTTCTTCTAACCCAAACATGAAGATATTTCAGAAAGAGATGTTGATGAATTTCTCAGCCAGCAGATATCATAGAAATGTTGGTGGATGTGTGGGGGCAAAAGAAGATGGTTAGGGCTGTATGTGAATGGGAGAGTGTTGGGAGGTGGAGGTCGAGGTGGAAGGAATGCAAGGCAGAAGAACTTGGAGTAGAAACAGTCTAGGTCATGTCAATTTAGGTAGTCATACATTTTGGTGGAAAAGTGCCTTTTCCCTTCCTCTATTTTGTACCCTTGCAGGAATAGTCGGCCTAGGAGACAGGGAGAAAAGAAATATCTCTTTAAAAGACAGTGTCTGAGTAAATGTACAGATTATCTCATAAAAGCTCTTTATGCTATGGCATGTCTCCTGTCCCCTAAAGTCACCAAGAAAGACAAAGGCCAGGACAAAAATTATCATCCCATCCCCAAGTGTACAACCCAGTAAAGGTGACTAACTCCCAAAGACAATACAAACTCACAAGGGAAAATAAAAAGACAAATATAAGACAAAGACACCAATCTGCAAACCTATAGGCTGAAGACAACAAACTGCAAACCTACAAATTAACTTTAAAATGAGTATGCTAAATATCTTCAAATAAGCAAAAGAAAGTATTGTACACTTTGTTTATTGAAACAGAAACAATAGTAAAATATAGCAACAATGACAACTAGTAGTTCTGGGTGTGAAAACATCACAGAAAAGAGAACTCAGTATATGGTTCACATACACACAGCTGAAGAATTAGCAAGAGAAATGGAAAACAAGATGACGCAGTTTATTGAGAAGGATTACAAAGGGAGAATGCTAATAAAGGAATGCAGAATGAAGGGGAAGGTTAAGTTACATATCCAAAAAATTCAAACAGATTAAAAAAGAAATGACTGGAAAAATTTAATGAATTACTGATGCGGAGTTTAACAAATAAAATTATGAGAACTCAGATACAAAGGATTTATGGCAAGTCAAGCAGGACAAATAATAAAAACGACTGATACCTAGAAATGCAGTGAAATCTAAGAATTACAAAAACATAAAGACAATTTTAAAGGCCACCAAGGAGAAAAAAAATAGATCTTCTATAATAAACTGAGAAACAGTCTTGCTTCTCAACATCTACAGATAATGTACTAAGTAGCAGAGCAGTAATATTTTCAGCATCATAAAGAAAAAGAAATTCCAACTATATAGTCATATATATAGTTAAACTACCATTTAAATGAGCAAAGCCCAATAAAGATATTCTCAAGCACATTTCTTGATAAGTTTCATTACACAAAGAACCTCTTTGATAGTACCATTGGGTATAAAAAGATAAATATATTTAGGTGGTTTCTATCAGCAGAAAAGAGAGTATTAAAAGCTATGATAAATAATAAATATCAAACATGTAAATCCCCTGAAGTTGGTCTTATCATTGTCTCTATTTTATGGAATACAAAATTGAAGCAAATAAATTTCACACACATGGGAAATAAAAATGCCAGGATTTGAACCCAGTAGTTTAGCTCCAGAGCTTGCATTCATACTTGCTACAAACAATACACATACACACACTTATACACACACACAAACACATACATAAAACAATTCAGAGTGAAAATTCAGAACTCCAGAACTGCTGTGTCATCGAACTCTAGTGAGCACCATTCACATGGAATATATTGTAATAACAGGGACCGTCCTTCACTTCGTAGTTTATGTAAAGGGCACCTTCTGGAGCTGTGCAATACAATGGCTCCATTTTTATTAGAACACTATAATTGGCTAAGTCTATTTAAAAAACAACAGCTAACTATAAAACTCATACTTCCACATATGAACACATACTCCAAATTTATAGAATTAAAAACAGTGTAAAATTGGTTCAGTAATAAACATTTAAATTAGAATAGAATGGAAAGGTAAGGGACACACATACACACATAGGCGCTTGGCATATGAGAGAAGTGGCACAATAAACCAGCAGAAGAAGTATGCACAACTTAGATAGAAAATGTTGAGAAAATGGTTTACTATTTGGATACAATTAAGATATATCACAGTTACACTGTACACAATGGTGAATTATGATAGCTAAAATGTCAAAGTTAGGTAAAGAAGGACTTCTGAGTAAGACCCCAAAGTTACAAACAATAGATAAAGTTGAATGCCATAGGAACATCTGTGTTGAACAGTAGATACTGCAGATAAGGTTAATATGTGAGTAATGTATTCAGAGACAAAAGCAGACAAAGAATTAATGCTTGCAATTCAAGTACTTTTGCAAATCAACTAGGAAAATTGATGAAACTTAATGGGAAAATGAACAGAAACATTGATGAACAATTTATACAAGGGACAACAAACATCAAAATCATTCAGAATCAAATGGAACAGTAATTTCCCTAGCAAAATTTCCTGTATAAAAAAGGTCAAAATTTGAAATAAATACTCTCACCCACATTTACTCATTTTCTTATTTATTATCTAAATTATATTCTGAGGAACAATAGCTGGACTCAATTTTACTATGAATTCTTCAGAAAAAACTGATAAATATCTAAAACACTCAAAATATAGTATCTGTAGTCCATAGCCAAAATTTAAAAAAGGAAAAATATGTGAATATGAATATATATTTATAATAATAGTTATGACTGATTTATAAGAATCAAGGAAACCAATGAAAAATGGAAGCAAATTTATATGCGGTGATACACTTACAACTCAGTGTTTAAAAATGTGCAAAATCTATTTAAACAGAGTTAGTGGCCAGGTGCAGTGGCTCACGCCTGTAATCCTAGCACTCTGGGAGGCTGAGGCGAGCAGATCACTTGAGGTCAGGAGTTAGAGACCAGCCTGGCCAACATGGTGAAATGCAGTCTCTACTAAAAATACAAAAATTAGATAGGCATGGTGGTGCACACCTGTAGTCCCAGCTACTTGGGAAGCTGAAGCAGGAGAATTGTTTGAACTCGAGGTGGAGGTTGCAATGAGCTGAGATTGTGTCACTGCTCTCCAGCCTGGGCAACAGAGTGGGACTATGTCTCAAAAAAACAAACAAACAAAATGGGGTTAGCAATGCTACCTATAACATTTTTTTGATGATAAGGTTCATGTATTTATGTTTTCCATCCAAAAAATAATGACTGGCTGGCCCTTAGTATTTAAAATATATGTATAATTAACTAAATGTCCTCCTAAACCAGCATCTTAGATGAATTATTACTGTAATTATATAAAGAATACTTTCTTTGGTCCCATTTATTTTTCTGCTAGAAAGTAAAGAAACAAATAATGTATGGTCCATGACTAAGTATAACTTACTTGCATAAATTGATAAACTGTAGAAATATGTAATTTTCACATATGAGGACACAAATGAAGATCCCCTAAGCCAACATGGAGAGAGATACAGGACCTGGAATTCCTCTAAGATATAATAACACCTAAGCCACATCTTAAGAGAGTAGATAGACTATGTGAATTAGAAGACCCAATATTAAGATGTTTACTTTCCCTAAATGCTGTAATCCAGATCAAAATCTCATGTGTAGTGATAGATAAATAGATTGAAGAATCATAATAGATTGCAGAAATAGACACATATTATCAATTGGTTTTCAACAAAGGGCCAAGGCAATAAATGGAGAAAAAAAATTTTGAAAAACATGGTTCCAGAAAAACTAGATAAATGTAAAAGAAAATCAAAACAAGAAAAAAACTTTGACACATACCCCACTCCATACCAAAAAATTTAATTTGAAATAGATCATAGACTAAATATAAAACCAAAAGCTATAAAGTGTTTTGGAAAAAAATATAAAAATATAGATTCCACAAAAGAAAAAATACAAATAAACTGGACTCTATCAAAATTAAAGACTTCTCTTAACCAATACTGTTAAGAAAATAAAGCAGATCACACACTGAGAGGAAATATTTGCAATACACATAACTGAAGAAGGACTTATATTTAGACTACATAAGCAACTTTTAATGATAAGTAAAAATAAAAACTACAGCAAAAATGGGCAAATTTCTTTAGGAACTTCTAAAAGGAAGATATATGATTAGCTAATAAGCACATAAAAATTGCTCAACATCTTAGTCATCAGGGAAATACAGTTCAAATGACAAGAAGACACTACTATACACACCTAGACTGGTTAGAAAAAAAAAAAAGAACAACAAAAAAGAAAATTACTGCAACACCAAATGTTGATGAAACTGCAGAGCCACTGGAACTCCCATTAATTGCTGTCAAAGTATGAAATGGTTCAACCACTTTGGAAAACCAAAAGTTTCTTATACACTTAAACTTATCATATGGTCCAATATTCCATTCCTAGGAACTGTCTAGATAAATAAAAATTCATTTATTATTACTATTGTTCTTATTACAACTACTATATACACATATACATATATACATGTATGTGTGTATTTGGTTGAAGTGTATGTCATTAGTATATGGCTCCCGTGAATGTAATATCACATATACATATATACATGTAAGTGTATATAGTAGTTGTAATAAGAATACATGTAGAATACACATACATGCATATATGTATATGTGTATATAGTAGTAGTTGTAATAAGAATAATAGTAATAATAACTTACCAGTCCCTGCGACTACATTGGTAAATCTCAAAAACATGATGTTAAATAAAAGTATGTGGATACAAAGGAGTACATGCTGTGTGATTTCATTTATATGAAGTTCAAGAACAGGAAGGGCTCATCTATGGTTACAGAAATGTGAAGAATACGTACTTACGAGGTCTGTGAATTGACTGCAAATGGATATGAAGAAAATTTCTGAGATGATGAGAATGAATGATTTATATGTTGACTATGGTTTTTGTACTTAGATATAAACATCTGTTGATAGTAATTGACAAATACCATATATACACCTATGTAGATTCTATCTTAATAATTAAAAAAAAATACTAAAAACCCCCTTACTAGTTTGGTGGTAGATGTCTCACTGGATGGGCTTAACATACTGAACATAGCAGAGAACCAGATGAGTGAACTCAGAAAATATGTCAATAGAAAATATTCAAACTGAAGTACAGACAGAAAAATGAATTCTAAAAAAAAAGTCAGAATATATGAGAATAGGTGGGACTCAACCGAAAGGTCAAATAAGCTTTAATTAGACTCCTAGAGTGCAAGGGGTAAGAGAATGATGCAAAAAAATTTTTTGAAGTAATAATCCAAAGAACAACATCAACCCACAGAAGAAAGAATCTCAGCAAATCCCATAGGATACATACATAGAAAACTAATCATAGGCAATCATTGTCAAATTGCTAAAAATCAAATACAAACATAAAATTCCACAAGCAGCCAAAGCAAGATCTGATATTACATCCACGGGAGCCATATACTGATGACATACATGTCAACCAAATTTGGGGAGCTAGAAAACGATAGATTGAAATATTTAAAGTACTGAAAAGAATAAAAAAGCTACTAAAGTGTATATCCACTGAATATGTGCTTTTAAGATGAAGGTGAAATAAAGGTTTCAGATAAAATAAACAAAAACCCTGACTCCTTGCATTCCTCACACTTGCACTTCAAATATTACTGAAAAGATTTCATCACCATGAAGAAACATGATCTCAGATGCAAACTCAAAGCTTCAAGTTGGAATGAAATGACCAGAAACGATAAATGTGTAAGTAAATGAAAATGAATATTAATGACTTAAAGTTATAAAAAAAAACCAGGTTCTGACCAAGAAACAGAAAGCACAGTAATAATTTGAGCAGAAAAATATTAGTATAAAAGAATTATTAAATAGGCTGGGCTCGGTGGCTCACACCTATAATCCCAGCACTTTGGGAGGCTGAGGCGGGTGAATCACCTGAGGTCAGGAGTTTGAGACCAGCCTGGCCAATGTGGTGAAACCCTGTCTCTACTAAAAATACAAAAATTAGCCTGACATGGTAGCGGGGGCCTGTAATCCCATCTACTCGGAGGCTGAGGCAGGAGAATCACTTGAACCCCAGGAGGTGGAGGTTGCAGGGAGCCAAGATCATGCCATTGCATTCCAGCCTGGGTTACAGAGCAAGACTCCAAAAAAAAAAAAAAGAATTATTTAGTAAAAGGTGGTTAACAAATATAACAAAAGAATATAAGAAAATGCTAAGTAATACAGGAATAGCAAATAGCCTTCTATCTCCAAGGCTAAGGAAGAGCACCCAAAGATGAAATAAACCTGGGTGACCCCTTGCTTCCCAACACTACTACTAGCCTGAGATTCAGTTCTTGCTAAAGAGGATAAGTCTGTGGCCTACTGGAGGGTGAAGACACTCACTGGGTGCCATGGCACAGAGCTGTTCCACAGCCAGTAGACTGGGAATGGTGAGCAGGAAGTTGCTTGATTTTTGGTGAAAATCTGAAACTTGAGAGCCACTGAACATTGTTTCATGTGCTGCTGGAAGCAATGCCATAGGAAGCAGAAAGAAAGGCCAGCAGAACCCAGAAGACAAGCTTCTTCCCTTGCTTTGCCCTGCAGTGTCCCAACAGCACCCCCCGCCCCACCGCAAAGCTTACTATTGAGCCAACTGATGAAGGAGAACTGATTGCAGCAAGCTTGTCCAGCCCGTGGTCCATGGGCTGCTCAGACGATTTTGAATGCAGCCCAACACAAATTCATGAAATTTCTTAAAACATTATGAGATTTATGCACGGAGCTTTTTTTTTTCAGCTTATCAGCTATCGTTGCTGTTAGCGTATTTTATGTGTGGCCCAAGACAATTCTTCCAATGTGGCCCAGGGAAACCAAAAGCTTGGACACCCCTGGATTATGGGGTGCAATTCTAGTATCATGAGCAAGTAATGTAGGGCAGATCACAGCTGAGAGGCAATAAACTTATAACTGGCGTTTAACATAATATCTTGTAGGATATATAACGTGTAATTGTAAAATATGTGACTATGCTAGCACAAAGAGTGAGAGGAGGGTAAACAGTTAAATCAATGTGAGATACTTGTTTTGTTTGGGTCATAAAAAATAAAGTAGTTTCAACATACAGATGTATATCATACTAGAAACTAACCAAAGAGATCTCACTAAAAAGAATTTTTTAAAAAAAGATCATCAGCAAGGATATCTGTCTTGCTTTTTCCCATTATTATAATTAGAAATATTTTTTCTAGCAATAGAAAAAAATTAGATTTATCCACACAACTAAATATGGTTCTATAATTTTAGAGAAACAGGAATTGTAAATGAGTATGTACCCACAACAAATGTTCATTATATGAAGTCTAGTGATAAAAATAGATTTTAAAAGTGTAAATACTATCTTTTAATAGCTAGATTATTGAGCACTTGTGGCATACCAGGCACTCGGCAACATGTTCTCATTTTATCTTACTGGCAGCCCTACAAGGTATTACCTCCATTACAATATAATCCCATTTTCATAAATACAGTCACACATATATTTATAGGAAAAATACTAAATTTATCTCTGATTTGGTGGGATAACCAGTACTTTTAAATTAACCTCCATTTGCTTTAGAATATTTTCTATTTATCTCCACTGTGAACATGTATTAGTATTCTGAAAAAAAAATTAAATAAGCATGTAGAATTAAAGCAATGGGTAATCTAATCACAATTATTTACCTCAGACAGTGGAAAAATTAACCTATAAATTTAAGAAATATGCCTGAAGATTATGAGACTAAGCAGTTTATAACTCAGTAGTTAATATAGTTTGCAGATTGTTTTTATTCCTTTGTTAAAAGAATCAGTATGGAAGATTTGGCTTTTCATCATGCCTCTACCATTAACAAGAGTAAGTTGTTTTCAATTACTTTGAATATGAAAAACTACAAACATTACTTTCAAGAGATTAATTAAGGTCTCATAACTTGTTCTTTTAATTTAGGTACACTGACATAAGGTATCCACAGATGGTTCACACAGTTGATCCATGGTTGAAACTACAGGACCTGTATTATATCTGAAATAAACAGAAAGACATGAATTTTCTGCTCACAAAAAAGATAGCAATCTTTATTTAAACAGCTCTGTGTAATATGAATCAAAGAGAACAGACAGTTTAGTAAGTAAGAGGACCCAAACTTTTATGCAAGATCTATGATATTCATCTTTTTTTTTTCTTCTGAGCACGTAAATGTCTTTGCAAAACAAACAATTTTGGGACTTACTGAATAAATAAATTGATCTGTGTAAAGTAGATTATAATAATGTAAGGATAGAATATAAAGTCCTATAAAGGTAAATAAATGAAGTTTTAAAATGTGGGTTCAAGGGAGTCTTCCATAAGGAGGTAACATTTCATCAGGACTGAGGGTCCAGACCTGTCCTGGGATATTCTTATATACTACAGAGAAGGCATCCCTTGAAATATGCACTCCAAATAAAAGTTCACTAGGTCTAATATCTGTACACTCTGTTTCTTATCCTTTCTTCTAAAAGTTTTTAAAATCTTGCTGTCTGTCATGATCCATTCCTGGTGTCTTCTACTGGTCTCTCTCGTACCTCTCTAATTCTCTTTTATTCACATCTATTCTGCATTAAAACTATTCATAAACTTTTTTATCTTGTTTCTTACAATTTCCAGTTCTAGAAGTCATATTTGTCTTCTAATATTTTATCATTTCAAATTATTTTTCCAGATTGTTATTCTTGTCTTTAAAATGACCTGAAGTGTAGTAAGCATTGTTTTTATTGAAAGTCTGCATTTTATATTTCCAATATCAGGAGCCCCAGTGGATGTCTTTCAGTTTCCCTTTTTTCCAATTTATTCTGATTTATATATTTTTTGTCTCCTTGGTTGTGTATAATTAGATGCTCGACATGATAACCGATAATTTATTTGTAGATATAGTTTGAAGTTTAGGATATTGTTTTCCACTGGTGTGGCACCTGGGAGAAGTAGCTTTCCAGAATACCCTAAAGAAATTTGAGCAACGAATATTTCCAAGGCCATTCAAATGACTAGAGGCTGGACTATGGTTTGGTCTGTATGAGGACTGATTTGTGTCCACTTCACCTTCTGTCCCAATTCAGAGATAAGGGGATTATACCAGGGTCACTGTCCTTGTGAACCCTTTACTCTAAATTGTGACTGCAAGCCATGAAAGAATTTCAGAAGAGCTATTCAGACTTGCAGCCACCTCTCTGAGAATCTGCAGAGGTCCCAAAGGTGACTCACTTCTGTGGATTTCAATCTTCTCTTGGAAATTGAGCTAGAAACATTTCATAACTTTTAGCTTTCTGATGCCTTCAAGCAGCTATTTTGAGTAACTGCTCCCACCTCCTAATTTCTAGTTTTCTCAATGAGAAGGTTACTTAGTTATTTTCTAATTTGCAATTTTAAGAAGAGGAAGTCTCCATACAGAATGTTAAGGACATATACTTTACAAGTAGTTCAAAGTGGAAGAAACACAGCTAAGAACAATCCAGGGGTTATAAACAAAACATAGTCTGGAGGAATTTGACCTAATTGGTGAAAGTCATTTTGGCTTTTCGTGATGAAATATTAAAAAAAAATCAAACAAGTGATTTTTTTTTTTTAGAAAGCTAACTCTGAAGGCCTCTGAGGACTTACAAATGTGCACCGTCTGTGAGGCACTAATACAAACACTATCCTTCCTGCCAAGGCAATGCTGCATGGCTAGAAATGGGAATGCCTTGTTTATACCATCAAGCTCTAAAGACACACACACACACGCACACACACACAAACACACACACACCATTTTCAGTCATTCATTGACATTAATTATGGCTTGTTCTCTTAGCTCTTGAATTACACAAGGTTGGCTTCATAGAAAAGAACTCAGTTGATAACATTTGCTTATCTTTATGGATAAAAACAACTTTTAAGAACACAAATATGTTTTTCCTTTGATTAAAACAAATGATTCAGGAAAACATGAAGCTGTTTTGTGTTTTTCTCTATCTTCAAAATAGTTTTATTCTATTTTGGGAGGCAAGGCTCTGGCGATTGTCAACTACTGCATTCTAGGACACTGCATATAATTCCAAAGTTTAAAGCATATGATTTGCTTAAGGTAATCAAATAAGCTAAGTTCGTATCAAACCTTCCTTCTGTTTTCACCATGTCTGAATAACCTTATAATGATGGAGACCAGAACCATTGCCTAGCTTTGCATAGGATGGCATAAAAATACAGCCTTCACTTGTGAATGTCTTTGATAAAAATGAAATGTAAATATTTTTCAGTTTTATTTTACAACTCAAATTCAAAACATCCATATTTTAAAGACCACTCACAAAGAGAAAAAGGTAACACAAATTTTAATAAGATATATCTGTTTTGAAATAATCTACTCTAGTAAGTATAAGAGGTTTTGTCTTATTGATACCAATTATAGATAAAATATTACAGAATGAGTGTACATTTTGAGATTGCTAAAAATAGTAGCATTAAAATAATGGATACACAATTTTATGCTATTTAAAAGTTCAAAAAGAAATAAAACCTATATATCAGATAAGACATCAGTTTAAAATTTGCAAGAAACATATAATTTACTGTAGATTGGTTTTCAATGCTCATTTTATACTTACATTAGTGGTATTTATTAAAATATTTACAAGTTGTTTCAAGAAGGAAGGATAATCTGTAATTTAGCTTTATGTTAAAATATCTCTGTAAATAAGATGTTAAACTGTTAATTTTGACTATTTCTGATCTACAATGTAGGCTTTAAGTATAAATCCTTAAAAGAGTGCCTTAATGTGTATCTTTTAAGAAATGTATCCGGGCATGTAAGATTTTAAAGAAAAAGAACAGAATAATTTTGTGAAACAAACTGTGAGTTACATTAAAGAAGAGTACTTAGTTATGAATATATTAAATAAATTCATAATTTGTACTCTTTATGACTGAAATTATGTAATGTTCAGTTCTGTATGTGTGTTTTACTTGATTGATACCCAAATGAATGCTGCATTGATTCTATATTATCCTTCTTAATTATCTTAAATCTAAATGTAAAATAACACACATACATGTACAATGTCTCAGGAGTACCGTGGGGTGTGTAGCACTTTTAATTAAATTTGGTAAACATTTTAATGTTCCAAAATTTATTTCTATTTTCTGATTTACTGTTAGTTGTGCAAGAGATTAAAATAACCAGTAAGAGGTAATATAATCAAGCAATACTGTTATGAGAACCGGTACATGCATTACTTTCTAAAGCTGACATGTTTCTCCGGGCCCTTCTGCTTTTTAAACTCGATTACAGCCTGTATTTTCTAAAACAATGGATGGACTATATAAGTCTGTCTTCTGAAGTGATGAGTTAGAGAATGTTGCAAGAGTACTTGCCAAATCATAGTACCATTATTAATTCAAGCATGATGAAATTGCTCATTTTTACTATAATCATGTAATTCATCAAAATACTACTAGACCATATCACTCTCGGCTATTACACTGATATAGCACCTAATTCTAACACCAACAAAAGCAGAAAATTATTTTGCTGTTTATCTCCCAAAAACAGTAATTGTTTTGAATTTGGGCAAGCGTTGACTCATATTTTGATAAAAGGAAAATTTCAACATGTTTTTATGTACTGACTTGAATGTAGTTGTTTTGCATTTGAATAACCTCATCTATTAAACTTTAAAATACGTCAGGGTGTTGAAAACTGAAATTCCCTCATGTCAGTTTCTTTATTATTCTTGATGAATATATCACAAACTGGGGTAGTATACAAGTAAATATCCCCTTAAGTCATAAACAGAATCATGAAAAACTACAGTCTCATTACTGAACAGTTCTTCCTTGAAAGTTTCTTTTGCCGTCAAACTTATATACTTCCAAATGTTATGTTGGAAATTGAAATGCAGTGGACAATAGCCCTACTTCTTGTCATTTACCCATAAAAGTTTTGTTGAGCACAATTCATTAGGAATAAAAAAATCAGTAAAATGTTTGTACATATTGTTTACTAATATACTCAACTTTTGTCTAATGCTCATGGATTTATTTCATAAAATAAGAACCATTTACTGCTACTAAAATATTGCAATGAATAACAATATCCACTTATTTATATGCTATACTTGAGCGTTCAACATGTGTGAAATTGTCCCTGCTCCTTTCTGAGGACTGAATTGTCTGCACCACAGTGCCATGCAGAGAACAACCTTATTAGAAGGTAGAGTTATCAATAAATAGATAAATTAAAATAAACTAAGCTAAAATAGATTTTAAAAAAAGAAACTCTGGTTGCTTCTTGTGCCACTGAATCTATTATTTTATTGTATGTTTCCTTTGTCTTTATTTTAGAGTTTATGTTTGTAATTTAGTTTTCTTCATCCAGTGGGTCTGACAACCTTGGAGACCTTCAGTATGGTAGATTTTTAAGGTAGGTAGATCCCGCTACCCCCACTGATTCCGATTTATATGGGGAGAGGAACACAGCCTGAAACATATTCCTTGCCCTTGCCGCTCCTCCTTTCCTCTACCCTGATTTCAGATCACTGTTTATTTATTTTATTTATTTTTTATTTTACTTTAAGTTCTGGGATACAAGTGCTGGACATGCAGATTTGTTACATAGGTATGCATGTGCCATGGTGCTTTGCTGCACCTATCAACCCAGTCATCTAGGTTTTAAGCCCCGCATGCATTAGGTATTTGTCCTAATGCTCTTCCTCTGCTTTCTCCGGATCCCCCAACAGGCCCCAGTGTGTGATGTTCCCCTTCCTGTGTCCATGTGTTCTCATTGTTCAACTCCCACTTATGAGTGAGAACATGAGGTGTTTGGTTTTCTGTTCCTGTGTTAGTTTGCTGAGGATGATGGTTTCCAGCTTCATCCATGTCCCTGTAAAGTACATGAACTCATCCTTTTTTATGGCTGCAGAGTAGTGCATGGTGTATATGTGCCACATTTTCTTTATCCAGTCTATCATCGATGGGCATTTAGGTTGATTCCAAGTCTTTGCTATTGTAAATAGTGCTGCAATAAACATACATGTACATGTGTCTTTATAGTAGAATGACTTATAATCCTTTGGATATATACCCAGTAATGGGATTGCTGGGTCAAATGGTATTTCTGGTTCTAGATCGTTGAGGAATCACCACACTATCTTCCACAATGGTTGAACTAATTTACACTCCACCAACAGTGTAAAAGCATTCCTATTTCTCCACATCCCCTTCAGCATCTGTTGTTTCCAGACTTTTTAATGATCACCATTCTAACTGGCATGAGATGGTATCTCATTGTGGTTTTGATTTGCATTTCTCTAATGACCAGTGATGATGAGCTTTTTTTTCCACGTTTGTTGCCTGCATAAATGTCTTCTTTTGAGAAGTGTCTGTTCATATTCTTTGCCCACTTTTTGATGGGGTTGTATTTTTCTTATAAATTTGTTTAAGTTCCTTGTAGATTCTGGATACGAGATCTTTGTCAGATGGGTAGATTGCAAAAATTTTCTTCCATTCTGTAGGTTGCCTGTTTAATCTGGTGATACTTTCTTTTGCTGAGCAGCTCTTTAGTTTAATTAGATCCCATTGGTCAATTTTGGCTTTTGTTGCTATTGCTTTTGATGTTTTGGTCATGAAGTATTTGCTCATGCCTATGTCCTGAATGATATTGCCTAGGATTTCTCAAAGTTTTTATGGCTTTAGATTTTACGTTTAAGTCTTTAATCCATCTTGAATTAATTTTTGTATAAGGTGTAAGGAAGGGGTCCAGTTTCTGTTTTCTGCATATGGCTAGCCAGTTTCCCCAGCGACATTTATTAAATAGGGAATCCTTTCCCTATTGCTTGCTTTTGTCAGGTTTGTTGAAGATCAGATAGTTGTAGATGTGTGGTGTTATTTCTCACGCCCTTGTTCTGTTCCATTGGTCTATATATCTGTTTTGGTACCAGTACTATGCTGTTTTGGTTACTGTAGCCTTGTAATATAGTTTGAAGTCAGGTAGCATGATGCCTCCAGCTTTGTTGTTTTTGCTTAGGATTGTCTTGGCTATACAGGCTCTTTTTTAGTTTCATATGAAATTTAAAGTCGTTTTTTTCTAGTTCTGTGAAGAAAGGCAATGACAGCTTGATGGGAATAGCATTGAATATATAAATTACTTTGGGCAGTATGGCCATTTTTACAATATTGATTCTTTGTATCCATGAGCATGGAATTTTTTTCCATTTGTTTGTGTTCTCTTTTATTTCCTTGAGCAGTGGTTTGTAGTTCTCATTGAAGAGGTCCTTCATGTCCCTTGTAAGTTTTATTACTAGGTATTTTATTTTCTTTGTAGCAATTGTGAATGAGAATTCACTCATGATTTGGCTCTCTGCTGTCTATTATTGGTGTACAGGAATGCTTGTGATTTTTGTCCATTGATTTTTTTATCCTGAGTCTTTGCTGAAGTTGTTTATCAGCTTAAGGTGTTTTTGGGCTGAGACGATGGGGTTTTAACACTCTCTTCTTTTTTAAAACAATGTTTAAATTAAATTAATTAATTTATTATTATCATTATTTATTTTTTTGGTAGAGAGAAGGTCTCGCAATGTTGACCAGCCTGGTCTCACACTCCTGGCCTCCAGTGATCCTCCTGCCTCGGCCTCCTGAAGTGCTGGGATTACAGGTGTGAGCCACCATGCCCTGCAAGATCACTCTATTCTTTGAGTTCTGGAAGTTTGCAGTAAGCATCTTCTATTAACAAAAACTGTAAACAAGGTTTCCAGAATGTGGAAATTAAATTTACAAACTGAAGCAATTGGATTAATTTAAACAGACCAAAGTCGTGCCATTCAGCAACAAAGCCCTTGTACCTACTTTACGAGCTACCCAAGGCTCTTCTATTGACTGCCTATTGCCCAGTGATCTCCTACTCATCTGTTGTAACACACCTCATCTAATACCTTGAAAGTAAAATGAATATATGAAATCTTGCTGTATCCCAGTTCCAGAATATCCAAAGTAAAAATAATATACATCTTTTTTATAGTAACACAAATGTCAAAGGTTCTGCTGAGTGCAGTAACATAGATCTATACAAAGCAACTTTCCCAAGAATTAAACAAATATGAGATTGAATTACAAAAAAAAATCTGTAGGCTTATTTTTTTTTAAACCATTTATTTTGCTTAATCTCTAGTGTTAACAAGTGAACTATGATTAAAAATAATAATAAGTATAAGTTCCATACTAACAGAACTTTCTGCTGTGATACTATAAATACTATAACTCCTTATCTTGTTCAGGGCTATAAAACTTGGCTTTTGTAGAATTTGTTTGTTTATGGTTTCTGGAATTTAAGAAAGCAATAAAAATTTCTGATTAATCTACCTAAGTATATGAGTAGAAAGATGTCACGTGGGCCAGTTTAAAACATGCTGTGAATTTCCAGATTCTTCATTTTGAAGCTAACTTAAATAGAAGTTTATGTTGTAATTCACTTACCTTTCACAAAGCATGCCTTCATATGGTAAAGGGGGAAAGTGTTCATCAAAGGATTATAAAACATAAAATATTTATTGAAAATTAGTAATTTAACATTTTCCATTCAAAGTGAGGAATATATATATGTATTGACTCACCTTCTTAGCAATGGAATTCCTAGGCAGGGAGGGGGAAAGATGAAAACTATTTGAATATTGGATAAGATTTAAAAATAGTTCTAAATTACAACAAGCTTATTCCTCTAGGGAGATTGTTATTTCTGCTATAGGAAAAGAAAGCATTTTGTTAAATCTTTTCTAAAAGTTCCTATTCCATTGGGATGTCTCCTAGACAATGGGCTTTCTTGTGTAAGAATTGAATTTCTAGGATGAACTTGAGTGTATCAAGTGGATCAATACAAGTTTTCTGAATAGCATACAATGTCAGAATTCTCACTTCAGAACTTTTATTGGGTTATGATCTCTTCTTCTTTCCTCATCCCCCTTTAAGAGCATACATTTTTTGTAAGTTTGAATTAAGAAAAGACTATTGAATCCTTTTACATGAATATTTATGTCAAAACGTCACTTTGAGCATTACATATATACAATTTTATTTGTCAATTATACCTTAATAAAGCTGGAAAAAGTTTTCTTTAATGTTCTATCTTGCAAACATTATATAAATGTTTGCGTATATGATATATATGTATCATAATATAAGTATGATATGAAATATTCATCTGAAAGGATTAAAGCAATTAACAAAAAAGAGACCATATAGTCTATAAACAAATTTTAAAAGAAACACAAATTTTTAATGCTGTCTAAGGCCAACACATAAAATACTTGATGTCATCAAATATTGCTATTTGATTCCTTCACAAAATTTAGATGTGGATGTTTTCTTTAATTGTATACCATGATATGTACCATAGAAGTATTTAGAATAAAAGATAGTCAATTCAGCCCCTGCTTTTTAACATCATAAAATGTGTTCAATTTAGTAACAATAAAAACTCAAATATAAATGAGAAATAAAATTGATTTTATTTTATTAAATAATAAATTTTATTTATCTGTAACTTTGCAAGCATTTCTATAATGTTCGAAGACAGAACATTTTAAACATTTTTTTTCAGCTGTATTAAGGTATAATGACAAATAACATTGTATATATGTAATGCTCAAGGTGATGTTTTGATATAAATATTCATGTGAAAGGATTAAATTGGGCTAATTAACATATTCAGCACATCACACACATGACATTTTTTGTGGTAAGAACATTTGAGATTTAATCTTTAATCAATAGTAATACAATATTATTAACAATAGTGACAATGTAGTTCAATAGACTTCTAGAATGTATTCATCCTAACTAAAACCTTGTACCCTTTAGCCAACATTTCCCCAAATCCCTCACTTTCCTCTACCCTGTGTCCTGGCAACCACCATTCTACTCGGCTTCTCTCAGATGGATTTTTTAGATACCCCATATACATGAGATAAGGTAGTGTTTATCTTTCTGTGCCTGGCTTATTTTACTTAACATAATGACCTCTAGGTTCATCCAAATGACAAGATTTCCTTCATTTTAAGGCTGACTAGTATTCCATTGTGTATATATACCACGTTTTCTTTATTCATTCATCTATTGTTGGACAATTAGGTTGCTTGTATATCAGGGCTATGGTGAATAATGTTTCAATGAACATAGGAGTGTAGTTATCTCTTTGACATAGTGATTTCATATACTGTGGATATATACCCAGTAGTGGGATTGCTGGATCATATGACAGCTTTATTTTTAATTTTTTGAGGAACTTACATATTGTTTTCCATAATGGCTATGCTGGTTTACATTCTTGCCAACATGGGCATGAGTTCCCTTTTCTCCACATCCTCAACGAAAATTATTAGCTTTTGTCTTTTTTATAATAGCCATTTTAAAAGGTATAAAGTGATATTTCACTGTGGTTTTTATTTGCATTTCCCTGACGATTAGTAATATGCACATTTTTTCATATACCTGTTGGCCATTTTGTATCTCTATTCCAGTCCTTTGCTCGTTTTTCAATAGGATTATTTGTTTCCTTGCTATCGAGTTGTTTAATGTATATATTGGATATTAACCTCTTATCAGATGCATTGTTTACAAATATTTTTCCACATTTAATAGACTGTCTCTTCGCTCTGTTGATGATTTCCTTTGCTGTGCAGAAGCTTTATAGTTTGTTATAATTCTACTTGCCTATTTTTGCTTTTGTTGTGCTTTTGAGGTCATATTCAAAAAGTAATTTCCCAGATCCATGTCATGGGGCTTTTCCCTTATGTTTTCTTCTAGTACTTTTATAGTTCAGGTCTTATGTTTAAATCTTTAATCAATATTGAGGTGATATTTTTATTTGGTATGAAATAAAAATCTAATTTTTCTGTATATGGACATCCAGTATTTCCAATACATTTATTGAAGAAACTCTTTTCCCCATTGCGTGCTCTTGGCAGCTTTGTGAAAAATCAATTGACCATAAATGTGGATATATTTCAGGCTCTCCATTCTGTTCCATTGGTTTATGTGCCTGTTTTTAGTCCACTATTATGGTGTTTGATTACAATTACTTTGTAGAAGAATTTGAAGTTAGATAGTGTGATACCTCTAGCTTTGTTTCCATGACCATCCCCCATACCCCAATATTGCTTTGGCTATTTGAATTCTTTCATAATACCATAAAACTTTCAGGATTTTATTTTTCTATTTCAGTAAAAAATGTCATTGGCATTTTGATAGGGATTACATTGAATCTGTAGATCACTTGGGTAGTATGGACATTTTAACAATATTGATTTTTTAAATCCGTGAACACAGGATATCTTTCCATTTATTTGTGCCTTCAATTTCTTTTATCAATATTTTATAAATTTCATTGTACAGATCTTTCACCCCTTTTGTTAAATTGATTCCTAAGTTTTTTGGCTGCTTTTTAAATAGCAATTGTAAATGAGTTTTTTTTTTTAATTTCCTTTTCGGATTTGTCATGGTTAGTGTATAAGAATGCTACTGATTTTTGTATGTTAGTTTTGTATTCTGAACCTTTACTGAATTTATTAGTTCTAATAGTTTTTTTTTTTTTGGTGGAGTCTTTTGGGTTTTCTACATATAAAATTATTTCTTTGCAAATAGGGATAATTTAACTTCTTTTCCAATTTAAATGCCTTTCATTTCTTTTTTTTTTCTTTTTTTTTTTTTTGCCTAATTGTTCTGGCTAAGATGTCTAGTACTATATTTAATAGAAGTTGTGAAAGTAGACAAACTTGTCTTGTTCCTGATCTTAGAGAAAAAGCTTTCAATTTGTTTTATTGAGTATCAAGTTAGCTGAAGGATTGTTATATATGGCTTTATGGTGTTGAACTACATTTCTTCTATACCTAATTTGCTGAGAGTTTTTATCATTAAAGGATGTTTAATTTTGCCCAGTGCTTTTTCTGCATCTGTTGAGATGAGCACATGGTTTTTGTTTTTCATTCTTTAACATGGTGTATCACATTTATTAATTTGCATACATTGAACTATCATTGCACACCAGGACTAAATTCCACTTCATGATGTTGAATGGTCCATTTTATTTGTTAGTATTTTGCTGAAGATTTTTACATCTATGTTTTTCAGGGATATTGGCTTGTGATGCTCTTTTCTTGTAGTTTTCTTGTTTGACTTTGGTATCAGGATAATACTATCTGCATTAAATGGATTTGGAAGTATGCTCTCCTCTTCAATATTTAAAAAAAAAACTTTTTAAAGGATTAATATTTATTTGTTCCTCTTAAATGTTTGTAGGAATACAGCAGTGAAGCCATAGATCTGGGCTTTTCTTTAATAAGAAACTGTTTTAAACTGATGCGATCTCCTTACTCATTATTGGCCTGTCCAGATTTTTTTATTTCTTCATAATTTGGTCTTGGTAAGTTTTATGTTTCTAGGAATTTATTCATTTCTTCTAGGTTATCCAATTTGTTGGTAAAAAATTATTTATAGTAGTCTTACATAATTATTTGTATTTCTGTGGTATCAGTTGTAATGTTTCCCCTTTTATTCCTGATTTTCTTTCTTTGAGTCTTTCTTCTCTGTTTTTCTTAGTCTAGCTAAAGTTTGTTGATTTTGTTTATCTTGTCAAAAAAACACAATTCTTTATTTTGTTGATATTTTCTCTTGGTTTTCTAGTCTCTATTTCATTGTCTATGCTCTGATACTTACTAATTTCTTTCTTCTATTAACAATAGACTTTGTTACTTTTCTAGTTCATTGTGGTATAACATTAAGTTATTTAAGATCTTTCTTCTTTTTTGATAGGCACTTGTTTATATAAACTTCTTTTCTAGAACTGCTTTTGCTGCATCCCATAAAATTTGGTATGCTGTATTTCCATTTTCGTTTAACTGACACTATTTTTTAAAATTTCTTTTTTGATTTTTTCTTTGACACATTGGTTTTTCAAGAGCATGTTGTGTATATCCACATATTTGTCATTTGAACAATGCTATACACTAAAAGGATCTAGAACATTCCATCAAACAGCAACAGAATATACTTTTTTCTCAACCACATTCTTCAGAATAGATTATATGTTAGGCTACAAAACAAGTCTTAGCAAATCTAAGAAGACTGAAATTATATCAAGTATCCTTTCCAATCATCACAATTCACATTCTGCCTATGTGTGTCCTTAAAGCTAAAGAAAGTTCCTCGAGGCAGCATATCGTTAGAAATTGTTTCTTTATCTATTCAGCCACTCTGTGTTGTTTGATTGGAGAATATAATTTATTTACATTTAAAGTAATTATTGATAGATAAGGACTTACTACAGTTATTTTGTTGTTACCTGTTTCATATGTCCTTTAACTCTTCCTGTCTTGTTTTCTTCCTTTGTGTTTTGATAATTTTTGTAGTCATATGCTTTAATTCCTTTTTCTTTATCTTTTGCGTATCTATTACAGGTTTTTTCTTTGTGGTTACTGTGAGGCTTACATAGAGTATCCTATATTTATAACAGTCTATTTTTTAGCTGATAACAACTTAACTTCAACCAAATTTTAAAAAACTACATTTCAACTTCCCTTCTCCCCACATTTTATGTTACTAATGCCACAACTTACATCCATTACCAAATCTTGAGTGTTCATTACCAAATCATGTAGCTTCACTTTATTCATATACTTTTACCTTTTAACTGTCTTGTTAGAATTAAAAATTAGAATATTCTGAATTTCTCTATATTTTTACCTGCACACTGAATTTTATACTTTGGGTCAGGTTTTCATGTTCTTAGCATCTTTTTATTTCAATTGAAGAAATTTCTTTAGCATTTCTTGTAAGGCAGGACTAGGGGCAATGAACTCCCACAGCTGTTGTATGTCTGGGGAAGCCCTTATCTTTTCTTAATTTCTGTAGGACAGCCTTGCCAGGTATAATATTCTTGGTTGGCAGTTTTTTTTTATCTTTCAGTACTTTGAACATATCATCCTACTGTCTCCTGGCCTACAAGGTTCCTGCTGAGAAATTTACTGATAGTCTTATAAAAATTTCTTTGTATGTGACAAGTTGCTTTTCCTTTCTTATTACAAAATTCTCTGTTGAATTTTGAGAAACTGATTATGTCTTGTTAAAGATCTCTTTATATTTAATTCATTTGGGGTTATTTTTTCTTTATGGATCTGAACGTTCATTTCCCTCTCTCCAGAGATGAAAAGTTTTCTGCCATTATTTATTTAAAAAATATTTATTTGTGCCCATTTATCTTTCTCTGCTCCTTCTGGTACACCCAAAATGTATATTTTGCTTTGTTAAATGTTCCCAAAATTCTTGTAGAATTTCTCCACTCTTAAAAATACCTTTTATTAATATACATAAATGTGATGTTTTGTTGGGTAATAATCTGTGATTCAGAAGAATTGGTATCATTTACTAAGCCCCTCCCAGACATTTTGATACCTACTACTATCAAAGCACTTGCTACACATAAGAAGGTGTAGCAGCTTTCTAGAGACCATTAAATGGAAAAACAAAACATTTTTTCTGCAATAAGAATGTTTTTGAGTTTCTAAGAGCCAAAGATGTGGCAGAATAGAAGATAGGAACTGTTCCTGTCACTGAAATGTTCACAATCTAGTGGCTAAGTATTCAAATAATCAACAAAATATAATTTCCAGAGTCTCATTAGCCATGTTGAAAGAATAAATAGGTCAATATAATAAAGAAGCAATAGAAAAGCATTCTTCATATACAGTTTGTCAGAGAAGACTGCTGTGAGGCAGCAAATATGCAATTTGTGAACCAAGAGGTAAAAGATGAGAAGCCACTTATTAAGTAAGGCCCTGATAATTCACAACCTTACTATTTCTCCCCAGGGATCCAGAGAACACTGCCTTATTTTGGGCACCAAAAAATTGTATGTATGAGGAGAAACACTGACATGTTTGAGAAATTTGATGATGGCTATCATTTATCCCCAGTCCAGAGATGATAGCAGAAAATGTCACCATCAAATTGGAATATAGAATTTCAGAAGACTGGAGATCAGATAGAAAAATTTAAACAACAATCAGAGGTAGATAAAAAATCTTAGAAGACAACAATTGCATAAAGCAATCAGCAGAGTTTGACCTACAGAGATCTATGATGATTACTAATATATCATCGTGTTATGAAGGGAAAGATAGATGGACAATTAACCAGAATTTGCTTAATAATAATAATAGAAGAGCTGATAAAGAGAAGTCTCACTTTATCAAGTTTCCAAATTTAAGACAGGTCTCAGATTCTGAGCTCACTAATTAAAAAGAAGTTCGGATTCCCACTGAGGTGATTCTGCAAAGCAAATGCAGGATATAGGGTAAGTACAGCACTATGATGCTTTCCCAAGGAATCTGAGCCTATTTACAAGTGTAGCCATGCGCTATAGAAAAGGGGATATCTAGTCTTTTAAGGACTGTTAGATGTGGGATCTGAGATGAAATTAATACAAGAGGGACTGAAACACTGTTAGAGTCTTCCTGTTACGGCAGTCTACATGAGTGTTGGATGGAGTTCATATCTTACTGATTTATAGGGTTCTCAGACACACCCTGTAGTTATTTCCCTCTCTCCTGAGTATGTATTTCATAACCAGAAGCAGCTGCCTGATAGAACAAAGAGTAATAGAATACAGAGTGGCCTGTTTAAGGTTCAATCTTCCTTGCTCAAATGTCTCTGCCAGCACCATTCAAGGGCCCAATCCATTGTCATGGTGTCACATATATCACTGTAGGACTCCTATAACCACAAAAGTATATTATAACATAATAATCATGAAATTTATTGTTCTGTGTACACAGCTGCCCTGATATAATGGGGAAATTGCTTGTTGGGAGGTGAGCTAAGGTACCAGCTCAATAACAACACCTTCAAGGTTGAGTGGCCATCTACTAAATAAGGTATATGCACTTGAGGAGGTAAATAACGAAATGAAGGTAGAAATAAATTAGTTCTTTAAAACCAAAGAGAACAAAGACAAAATGTACCAGAATCTCTGCGACACAGCTAAAGCAGTGTTTAGAGGGAAATTTATAGCACTAAATGCCCACAGGAGAAAGTAGGAAAGATCTAAAAATGACACCCTAACATCACAATTAAAAGAACTAGAGAAGCAAGAGCAAACAAATCCAAAAACTAGCAGAAGACAAGAAATAACTAAGATCAGAGTGAAACTGAAGGAGATAGACATATGAAAAACCCTTCAAAAATGAATCCAGGAGCTGGTTTTAGAAAAAATTAACAAAACAGATAAACCACTAGTAAGACTAATAAAGAAGAAAAGAAAGAAGAATCAAATAGACACAATTAAAAACGATAAAGGGGATATCACGACTGATCCCACAGAAATACAAATTGCCATCAGAGAATACTATAAACACCTCTATGCAAATAAACTAGAAAATCTAGAAGAAATGGATAAATTCCTAGACACATACACCCTGCCAAGACTAAACCAGGAAGAAGTCAAATCCCTGAATAGAGCAATAACAAGTTCTGAAATTGAGGCAGTAATTGATAGTCTACCAACCAAAAAAAGCCTAGGAGCAGATAGATTCATAGCTGAATTCTTCAAGAGGTATAAAGAGGAGCTGGTACCATTCCTTCTTAAACTATTACAAATGACAGAAAAAGAGGAACTCCTCCCTAACACATTTTATGAGGCCAGCATCATCCTGATACCAAAACCTGGCAGAGACACAACAAAAAAGAAAATTTCACGTCAATATCCCTTATGAACATCAATCCAAAAATCCTCAATAAAATACTGGCAAACAGAATCCAGCAGCACATCAAAAAGCTTAACCACCATGATCAAGTCAGCTTCATCCCTGGGATGTAAGTCTGGTTCAACATATGCAAATCAATAGACATAATCCATCACATAAACAGGACCAATGACAAAAACCACATGATTATCTCAACAGATGCAGAAAAGGCCTTCAACAAAATTCAACAGCCCTTCATGTTAAAACCTCTCAATAAACTAGGTATTGGTGGACCGTATCTCAAAATAATAAGAGCTACGTATGACAAACACACAGCCAATATCATACAAAATGGGCAAAAGCTGGAAGCATTGTCTTTGAAAACCAGCACAAGACAAGGATGCCCTCTTTCACCACTCATATTCAACACATTATTGGAAGTTCTGGCCAGGGCATTCAGGCAAGAGAAAGAAAGAAAGGGTATTCAAATAGGAAGAGAGGAAGTCAAAGTGTCTCTGCTTGGATTGACATGATTGTATATTTAGAAAACCCCATCGTCTCAGCCCCAAATCTCCTGAAGCTGATAAGCAACTCCAACAGTCTCAGGATTCAAAATCAATGTGCAAATATTAGAAGCATTCCTATACACCAGTAACAGACAAATAGAGAGTGAAATCATGAGTGAACTCCCATTCACAATTGCTACAAAGAGAATAAAATACCTAGGAATGCAACTTACAAGGGATGTGAAGGACCTCTTCAAGGAGAACCATAAACCACTGCTCAAGGAAATAAGAGAGGGTACAAATGGAAAAACATTCCATGCTCATGTATAGGAAGAATGAATATCTTGAAAATGGCAACACTGCCCAAAGTTATTTGCAGATTCAATGCTATCCCCATCAAGCTACCATTGACTTTCTTCACAGAATTAGGAAAAACTACTTTAAATTTCATGTGGAACCAAAGAAGAGCCTGTATAGCCAAGACAATCCTAAGCAAAAAGAACAAAGCTGGAGGCATCACGCTACCTGACTTCAAACTATACTACAAGGCTACAGTAACCAAAACAGCTTGATACTGGTACCAAAACAGATATCTAGACCAATGGAACAGAACAGAGGCCTCAGAAATAATGCCACACATCTACGACCATCTGATCTGTGACAAACCTGACAAAAACAAGCAATGGGGAAAGGACTCCCTATTTAATAAATGGTGTTGGGAAAACTGGCTAGCCATATGCGGAAAACAGAAACTTGACCCCTTCCTTACACCGTATACAAAAATTAACTCAAGATGGATTAAAGACTTAAACTAAGACCTAAAACCATAAAAACCCTAGAAGAAAACCTAGGCAATACCATTCAGGACATAGGCATGGGCAAAGTCTTCATAACTAAAACACGAAAAGCAATGACAACAATAGCCAAAATTGACAAATAGGATCTAATTAAACTAAAGCACTTCTGCATATCAAAAGAAACTATCATCAGAGTGAAAAGGCAACCTACAGAATGGGAGAAAATTTTTGCAATTTATCCAGCTGACAAAGAGCTAATATCCAGAATGTACAAAGAACTTAAACAAATTTACAAGAAAAATACAAACAACCCCATCCAAAAGTGGGCGAAGGATATGAACAGACACTTCTCAAAAAAAGACATTTATGCACCAGCAAACATATGAAAAGAAGCTCATCATCACTGGTCATTAGAGAAATGCAAATCAAAACCACAATGAGATACCATCTCATGCCAGTTAGAATGGCTATCATTAAAAAGTCAGGAAACAACAGATGCTGGAGAGGATGTGGAGAAACGGGAATGCTTTTATACTTTTGGTGGGAGTATAAATTAGTTCAACCATTTTGGAAGACAGTGTGGCAATTCCTCAAGGATCTAGAACCAGAAATACCATTTGACCCAGCAATCCCATTGCTGGGTATATACCCAGAGGATTATAAATCATTTTGCCATAAAGACACATGCACACATATGTTTATTGTAGCACTGGTATCAATAGCAAAGACTTGGAACCAACCCAAATGCCCATCAATGATAGAATGGATAAAGAAAATGTGGCACATGTACACCATGGAATACTATGCAGCAATAAAAAAGGATGAGTTCGTGTCCTTTGCAGGGACATAGATGAAGCTGGAAGCCATCATTCTCAGCAAACTTACACAGGAACAGAAAACCAAACACCTCATGTTCTCATTCATAAGTTGGAGTTGAACAATGAGAACGCATGAACACAGAGAAGGGAACATCACACACTGGGGCCCGTCAGGGGGTAAGGGGCTAGGTGAGGGATAGTATTAGTAGAAATACCTAATGTAGATGATGGGTTGATGGGTGCAACAAACCATCATGGCATGTGTATACCTATGTAACAAACCTGCACATTCTATACATGTATTCTAGAACTTGAAGTAAAATTAAAAAAAGAAATAAAAATAAAAATATAAAGGATGAAAGCTAACAAGTGTTGGCAAGGATGTACACTCCTGGCAGCAATGTAAATTAGTACAGCCATTATGGAAACAATGTGGAGTTTCCTCATAAAATTAAAAATAGCGCTGCCTAATGACCCAGCAATCCCACTGCAATCACATAACCAAAGAATATGAAATCACAATGTCAAAGAGATATCTGCACTCCCACATTCATTGCAGCGTTATTTATAATAGCCAAGATATGCAATCAACCTAAGTGGCTATCAATGGATAAATGGATAAAGAAAATGTGGCGTATATTCACAATGGAATACTAGTCAGCCTTAAAATGAAGGAAATCTTGTCATTTGTGACAGCATAAATGAACCTGGAGGACATTATGTTAAGTGAATTAAGCCAGTCACAGAATGATACCTATCCCATTATCTCACTTATATGTGGAATCTAAAAAAGTCCAACTGAAAGAAGCATAGAGTAGAGTAGTGGTTTCCAGGGACTGATGGTGTGTCAGGGGACATTGGTTAACATATACAAAATTTCAGTTCAATAGGAGGAATAAAATTCAAGAGATGTTAGTTAATTATAATATATTTAGCATTGAAAATCACTGAGGACATTTTGTTCTCACCACAAAAAAATGATGTATGTGAGATAATGCACATGTTAATTAGTTTGATGTAAGCCATTTCTATACATATTTCAAAACATGTTTTATTTCATAAATATATACACCATTTTTGTCAATCAAAATAAGTAAACTTTAAGAAATGTCCTGATGTGATGAACAAATGCTACCACATTGGAACAACTCTCAATTCTAACAAGATTATGGACAACGTGTGTGTGTGTGTTTTTGAGTGATGTTGAAATTCACAGAAACTCCCATTTGACCAAATGCCACTTTACATCCACATTCTTTGATTTCCCTCAGATAAGAATCCTAAAGTCAAAGAGTTGGTATTATTGAGGTGCCTGAAAACCAATAGGCATATTCCAAGCTTGGACCCTTTAAATTCTTTTTAACAGATGAACTCAGTCACCCCAGTGAGCTTTCAAATCCCTTGAGATTCTTTAAAATCATGGAAAGAATTTTGTTCTAAACCTTGCACATAGCATGCACTTAATAAATAAATAATGAATTGAATGTCTGATCAGATTATGTATAACTGAACCTTCTGTCGATATTTCTTTAATCCCTGGACTCCAGTGGGGCTCACTGGGCTATCTACCACTGAACACCACCTGTCTCTCACCACTGAAGGGTGAGACTTATGCTTCTTTCTTAGGACTGGAATTTCTTCTCATCTGTGATGGCTCAGCGTCTACCAAGCATCACGTGTTCTCCAGTTAATATTTAAATAACTTTCTTTACTTTTCTACTGGCCAACTCATTTAATTAGTAATTCAATGTGTATATGTGTGCTCCTTTATTTTTGACAAGATACAACTTTCTAGTAAAAGGTCCAAAATAAAAGACAGTTTTATAAATGTTGCACATCTCATTTATTTAATAAAAATTCACTAGATAGGAAATCAAAATGCATCATCATCCATTTGAACCCTATCTAATTTTGGCTCGGGTTGTAGATAACACAGTAAATGTAATTTGTCATCATAAATTTATGATTATTTAATCATATGAAACTTTTAGTTTATCTTGAGCAAACTTTATAGTAGTTTTAATACACAGGAGCCATCCCTGACAGATATGATGAAATAGATTTATCACTCTTGACAAATTATATTGCAAAATGTCCTCTCATGACTGCCCACAATGGAACTCACATTCCCATATTCAACAGAAAAGTCACCTGTGATTCTTATTTTATAAGCTTGTTTGGTGGCAATCTAAAACTGCTTTTCGGAGGGACTGTATTTAGAATGTACGATGGTTATATAAATAATTGTATGAATGAAGGAAACCTGTAGTCCTTTAAATCAAACTAAGTAGTGTTTTATTAAAGTGCTCAGCAAATCAATCTAAATCCAAGGATAATAAAGCCCTAATCAGGTGGTAGGAAAAATAATAGGTTGTCATGCATGAGAAAAAATAGGCAATCATGAAATGTTTTCTTTAATTAGGTCATGTAAAGTGGAGGAACTGAGTAGGTGCTGGCAAAACATTCATCATGAGCAAGGTGGGAAATTATTTAGATTACTAAGGAAGGAAAATTGAGTGTGATACACTTAGATTTGACTGGACAGAAAGTTAAAGCTTTTTTTCTTCACTATATGTACTATTTTAGTGGTGATAACTATTGACAGGTGTGGAATTTTTTTTTTTAAGCTGATTTCAGCCAGTTAGTCATCTAGTTGGCTAAGTCCTCATACGTTGCTTGTTATCTAATGATTTTAATTTCAGCAATGCTCTGGGCCAGTGAATGTGTTCCTCTGGCATTCTTACTGCAAAACTGCCTCTCACCTCCAATGGAATTTAGCTCCTAATAAACTTGAGATTGATTATTAAGCACTTCTCATTTTCTTCTTAAACTGAAAGGAGTAATTAATACTAACTGGGATTGTTAGTACACTGCTCTGTACAGGGATACTGTTACAAATTACAAACATCAGTAGACAGATTTCTTGTTAGACATTGTTGCCTTCACAGCTAAGAGTATTAAATACGTCTCTTTAAAAAGGCCTAATTTAGGGAATGTAATGACATGATTTCTAATATATGCAGTATTGTGACAACCACCTTAGACAAAATTACATTTACCAAATTAAATCTGAGAACTCAGCCTTCACCATCCCAAATAGCATCATCAAACAATTGGAACATCGTTGGCTTTATTTCTCTACTGTGCAAGTCATCTCTACATGTTTCCAGTGATACTGCTAATTAAAGACACTATGGTAATGCAATGGCGCTTCTGTACTTCTTTTTACGTCTATCAACCATGCAGGGGAAACAAATATACCACAGAAATCTGAAAAGGTTTAGTTTTCCTAAATTATATTCATGGGGTTTATAATAAACTAAGGAATGGCAAATGCTGCCAAACACACCTACAATATCTGTTGACAGACTTTCACTCATTAAGTCCAGATTTGACTTACGAATCTTTTTGGAGCACTGCATAGTGTTTGTGCCTTGCCCATATTTCCCTGGCCCATTTCAGAGGTCAGATGGCACTTCTGTGGTCAGTTCCAGTATTTGTCAGAGGTTTCTGTGTCAAGCAACTGCTTCTAAGAAGATTGTTTGACCAGGGAACAGAGTAGGCCATAGTGCCAAGGTGTGACAATCCCAAGAGCATGCCAGAGAGACCACCCTTCCACACTGAGAAATGAGGGCTGGTATTACTACCCAGACTCTACACCTCTCACAGCAACTTGTCTGAGTTGTATTCCTTAGAGTGCTTTAAGGGGTCTCTAGTGGGATTGAGCCCCAATTGCCCAGAGCAATAACTTCACATTAACTGAGCCCTTATTTGCTTACCTCCCTTCCCTTTCCTACTTCATCTGCCAAATACGCTATTTGTTTCTGGGTCTGCTTCTGTGGCAGCTTCTCAACACAGAATTCTGGGCAGGGATTACCAATCACCATAGCTGCCTACAAGATGAGAATTCTCTGTCAATGCAGCAGTAGGTATTGGCAATATTATAATCTGACTTCTACTCAAGCAGCAACAGACCGAATATTGATTTATTATTTTATTTCCTCCCACTCTGTCACAGTCATTTCTGTATAATTAATTACAAGACCAAATTATTTTGAGACTCTTTGTTTAGTTTGGCAAAGTCAAGCTACTATACTTATAAATTAGGTAGATACCTTACAAACAAGCATCTCTTGCTTTTTATGGACAAGTTTTTACTGAAAATATTCCTCAGAGGGTAATTTACCAGAAGGACAAATTTCCCATTACTTTTAATTGAAGAAAAATCACTTATTCTTGAATTCCAAAACTGGCACCTATTATTTTTAAAATAGCTGGATACCCTAACTAGAGACAGTTATTTCAAAATTCAAATCATCAAACATTTCCCTTTAATGAATTATGCTATTTATTGGTTTTCATTAAACACCTTTATAATTATTATAAATGATATATTTAATAGTATGCTAAAATAAAACATTTTAAAACTCACATAAATTAGTAAATATAAATCAATACAATAATGCATTTTGGATGACATAATGCACAATATTATTTTATAGACTAACCAGAATACTTTGAGAGGAGGCTGTAACAAAATATATACCTATTATAAAAGTGTTTAGGTGATTAATGTTATTGTGTTTCATGCGGGAAATCTAAATAATCTCTTTAAAATGTAAAATAATTTTTAAAAAGCCTCAGAAGCCCAAGGTAAGGCTTAATGAAGCTCCTTGTACATTTGAATCTTGTAAACTACATTTGTTAGGAAAATAGCCAAACCTCAAGATGGGTAGACATTCCTGAAACTCGCTGACACAGTGTAGTTGTTTTTGTTTCCCATAGTATCTGAGCCTAACACATGGATTCTTAAAGTTTAGATTTCATCAGAATCACCCAAGAAGTTTTGTAGAAATGTAAATTTCTAGCTTCAAAAAGCCCCAGGAAATCTCAAGCCAAACAAGTTACATATGTTTCTGCAAAAATCCCGGTTAAAAAATCTGATATAGACAGTCCACAGACAGAACTTTCAGAAAACCTAGTCAATTTAGTACTTAATCAATTATTGTTGAATTGAAATTTAAATGTTCAAACAAGTTGACTATAAATAATTCTCACCTTGCTTAAGCAGGAAGAAATATAATATACTAAGATAAACATATTACATATTTTTCCACGGATCATACCAATCTACTGACAGTCAGTGGATGTGAGAATAATTAAACTACTACTTGCTGAAAAGCAGACTCTCATTAGCCTACTGGAGATTTGCAGAAGATTGAAATCACAGTTTGGTCCCAGGAATGTGTACCATGTTCCATTACCTTCGGGTAATATTAAACTAACTTCATACTTGCATAGTTTTCATATTTCCATGTGCTGCCTGGCTGGATGTCAGCCTGAGTGCCAGCAAGGTCTCCTTGATTTAGTGGTTCAACAGGCCTGCCAAAGAGGTCCTATTGCCTCTCTTCCACCACTCATGAAGAACCAACCTACAAATCACTTGTCAGCAACTTTGATCTACCTTGTTTCAGGTGGTTTACTCTCTGTCTATTATTTCTGTTAAGAGACCCGTGAAAATTAAATACAGACCCTGCTGATGCTTGACTGACCCGGTGTTCCATCATAACAGCAGTGTAATAGCAATAAATCATTTCAACTTTAATCTATTGTTATTGATGAATGTACAATTATTTGTCATCTAATATGCTGAAAATGATGACCAAAGAAATAGATCAACTTTTTTTCTTCCTCCAAGTGTGGCATTGATGGATTGTATCCCTAAGCTGTTATTACACTTATAATGTACTCCTCTGCACTGACAGCACAGCTAGTTTTTTAATCATTCCATAGTAATCAACTTAAGACAACATAGCAAGACTCATAACTCATGTTCTTTTCTTTTTTGGCAGTGATGGGAAATGAAAATGTTTTTATTCTTTTGAAATAATTCTTACCTGACTAGGCTGAAGATTGTTCTAAAATTGTAAATAAATGGTTGTTTATTGAGCTGGAACTGAAATGTGACATATTAAAATGTCTCTTTCCAAAGGGGGGAAAAATATTATTTAGGCCTGAGTGGAGTGAGACAGTGAAAGTATTTTTTTTTTTTTCTTTAACTGGTTCATTGCTAACTCAATACTTTAAGAGAATATTTAAAAAGCAATGTATTGGGCAAAAATGCTATGGAGAAAATGACAATATTAAAATAAGAAACAATAATTCCTCTTAAAGCACTACTCTACTCTTCCGGCAGATGTTTCGCCAATCTTCTTGTTGGCTTCCATTACTAGCTCAGGTGGCTGATAATTTTTGCATAATGAACCACACACATCAGAAAGCAAACAGAAAATGATTCAACAAAAAATTGATTCAAGTTTATTCTTAATCCAAATGTTGGATTAAGCTAAATGGAAGGTTCAGCATGTGTGGGCCAAAAAGTGAATCAACTTTAATTTCTCTCATAATTTCTACTCATGTCATGAAAATTTTTTCTTAAAAACCTTCTACTGAACTCTAATCTAAATATTTCTTGCTGCCACATATTCATAGGAATGATTTTCCCACAACTAAAAAAAATTCTAAAGTACCATCACTGGGTGTAAGTGAACAAACTTTGATTTCCATACAGGGCCCTACTTTTAGGTCCTTACTAACTTTAGAACCGGTAAAAGCAAACAAACAAACAAACAGCCATATCTTTAGGTTCTTAAAGATATACAGTTAGGATGTTTTGTAAATAGGAAATAGATGATAGCTTAATTAAATATAGCCTAATGCAGTGGCACTCGAAGTGTAATTTATAGACCAGCAGCTCCAGCATTACCTGGGAACTTGTTATAATACAACTGTGTAGATCCCAACCTGCTAAATCTGAATCTCTGGGGGAGGGCCTCAGGAAACAATTTTAGCAAGTCTCTAGATAATCCTGATGTATACAAAATTTAGGAAGCACTAACTGTATAAGGCTCCCTCTATTTTGTTATTTCTTACCTGTGAAAATTTCCAAGGTAGATATGGCAGGAGGACACTTCTACAGTTGGCCAGCATAAGGTAGTTATTGAGAGGATGACTCTGGAACCACCCTGCTTAAAATGTGTCTAAGTTTCTAGCGCACTATCTGTATGACCCAGGGGAATTTATTTACTATTTCTTTGCCTCAGTTTTCACACTGATAAAATGGAGATAAGAACAGTACTTACTTTCATAGCATTACTGAGAAAATCAATTAGCTAATAGATGTAAAAGGCTTAGATCAGCACCTAGCATGTAGTAAGCACCCTATAAATACTAGCTATTAGCAATACTCTTTTACCCAAGGTTGCAGAATATTTCTGTGGAAGTAAAAATGACTTGGAAAGGATAGTGACTTGAAGTAACGTGGGTAGTTCCAATATTATGCCCTAAATAACGTTTTAAAGCTTCAAAAAGGTCCACTTGAAAATCATGTTTTACTCTTGCTGTATAGTTGAGAATACATGAAAATTAAAAAGGAAATAATTACCATTCTTTAATTAAGCTTGTCAAATTCCTGATTTACAAAAACAAATGAAGCAAAACAAAACTGGAATGACTTCATGATTCAGATCACTACTACATATCACTTAAAAGGCACAACGCTCCAGTCTTAATCTAGTAATTACTTATGTTTTAACTTTCTCTGATATATCTGGTTATTCTGAAACGCTGGCCTCTGTTAGGGCAACATGATCATGGCTTTAAGATGTGACATTTTCTGTGGCCTGTTGCTGTTAATCTTCTTTTAGGGCAAAACTCCAGGCATGTAGGAAATAGTCAAATTGCAGTCTCATGAATTATGACTTCTGCTATCTTCTACTTGAAGTCTGGGTCTGTTATGGAGAGGAGCAGGAATGAACAACACCACTGAATATTCTCAGAGGGAGTAGAAAGCTCTAACTGTCAAAATTGAGCCATAGAAGGTGCACTGAGTTACAAGCTGTTTTCTGCAATGGTAGGAGACAACTGGAGAGGCTCATAAGCAGAGGAGACTTACTGTAGCTACAGTGTAATAAATTACAGTCTACATGTGCTATGGTTTAAATGTTTGTCCACTCTGAAACTCATGTTGGAACTTCATCCCCAGTGTAAGAGTATTAAGAAATCAGGCCTTTAACAGATGATTGGGCCTGAGGGCAGAGCCCTCATTAATGGATTAATCCATTCATAATTAATGGTTTAATGAGTTATCACAGGAGTAGGTTAGTTATAGAACTAGCGGGTATAGTGGGTCTGTTATAAAAGCCAGTTTGGCTTTCTCTCATGTGCCATTCTCATCCTGTGGTGCTTTCCACCATGTTATGAAGCAATAAGAAGGCCTTCATGAGATCCAGCCCCTTGATCTTCGACATTCCAGCCTCTAGAACTGTAAGAAATACATTTCTCTCTCTCCTTTTTTTAAAAAAAATAAATTACCCAGTCTGTGGTATTCAATTATGGAAACAAAAAATGGACTAAGACAACAGATGACTTAGACCATAGTTTGTCATACCTACCACTGATCTTCCTTTATCAACTCATAGTAGGTAGTATGGTGTAGAATCAAGGACTTTCTGAGGTTACATAAATTAATTACACTGTAATATCAAATATTCATTTGCTGTATTCTTTAATAGGTCTTTATCCTTAATCATTTTATTTCCATTACTATTCTCTGTGATGTTCATACAGAGAACATCTGTATGAACAGATGGCAAAGACTGGAGTAGCAAAGACTTGTGTCCTGTCCACTTTCAATGACAGCATAGGGGATGAAACTTTTCCTTATCTTAACAAAAAAAACCCTACTTCTATTGTAATTTTAAGAAATCACTATTGTTGTGACTGTGTTTTTTAACTGCCAAACACTCATGCACACTTTTAATTTTCTCTGTCTCTTTTTCACTCTCTTTTGAATTATTTATACTAAATTTTCATCTAGTCTTAGAATCTTTTGCAAATTATAATACTTTGCAAATGGAATCCCTTTTGTTGTGTTCTTTCCATACTGATTAACATCTTATTTATCTGGCTTCATTAGTATAGGTCGCACCACTCAGTTTATTATGTGTAAATTTTATTAAGACAGGGGTAATTGAGAATGAGTTAAAAAATACCAAATGCTACCCATTATAGCTGCTTTCTGGCACCATTCTTATATTTAAAATTATTTAAATATACAAATGAATATACGGTAAATGAACAGAGCTTGTAGAACAGTGTCTCCTTTTCAGTGCCATAAACTAATTGAGCATTGGCTTTGTTTTAAGTACAAAGTGTATGGAAACATAAATTTCTAAAATATTATTTATAATGAGTAGACAAATAGAATCTGAAAACTTACTTTATCTTTATCTCAAAAATATGTCTGGACAATATAAGAAGCCTTCAATCTAAAGAAGATGTCAAGTAAAATGTCTTTTATCCAAGCTAAATCATTATTTGCCTGTATGTTCTCTCCATATGCTTAAGTTTCTGCCTAAATTTGTTTTTGTTGGTGATTAATTATTAGCAAGTTGTCCTATGTAATATTACATCATTTCATAAATGGATGGTGAAAAGAGTTAAGGAAAGGAAAGAGGTAGAGTGGTCAGGTAGGTGCTCCCAAAATTGTTCAGTTCTTTTGAAATGCTGCAATGTTTTGGTAATATGCAAGATCTGAAACATTTCAAAAAATATTCAATATGTTAAAATGAAGTATCATTAGGACCCATGTATTAGTCTCCATATTCTTCTGCAGAATTCACTCTACATACTACTAATTCACAAAACAGTAATAGTTCATTGAACATTTTCTCTGTGTCAGGTATTCTACTAAGTGCTTCATATCCATTAGGCATGATTACCCTTATTTAATGTATCTAGAAATTAAGATTTGAGATATGAACAATTTTCCCACTGTTATTAAAAGGCAGAAACTGAATTAAGAGGCCAGATGTGTGTACTTCAGTGGCAGTTGTGATGAAAACAGTGCTTGTACACCAAATATTATCAACACTTTTCTACCTGTCTCAGGCTATTTTGCTATTATATTGAGGCCATGTGTCTATTTCTAGTTAACGAACTTTAAATGGAAGTAATGTGTGTCACTTCCCACCAAGATGGATAAGAAACAGTGTACAATCTCGATGCTTCTTTCTGTTAAGCCTTCTTTAGAGGCATCTTCCAGATGGTAAAATTACAAAAAGGAAAATGTCCTCTTGTATTACTAGTTTCCTAGGGCTCCTGTAACAAAGCACCATAAACTAGGTGACCTAAACAACAAAAATTTATTACCTCACAATTATGGAGGCCAAAACTCTAAAATCGAGATGTCAGCGGAGCCTTGATCTCTCTGAAGACTCTAGGGAAGTGTTTGTTCCAAGTCTCTCTCGCAGGTTCTGGTAGCTTTAGGCATTCCTTGCCTTGCAAATAGCCATCTTCTCCCTGTGTCTCTTCACATGGTCTTTGCTCTGGGTGTATCTGTTTCTATGTCCAAATTTATCCCTTTTTATAAGAACACCTATCATATTGTATTAGGGCCCATGCTAATGATCCCATCTTAACATGCCTGGATCTGCACAGACTCTGTTTCTAAGTAAGGTCATATTCTGAGGTACTAGGTGTTAGGACTTCAAAATCTATTTTTTGGAAGACACAATACAACCTGTAACACCACCTAATCTGCATTAGACATGTGAGCAAAAATTTAGTTTTCATTTGATATAATTTTTCTGCATTTTATAATATAGAATATACTATATATATATTTATATATGAGGTATAGTACCACAGGATACCCTCTGTTCTAAACTTATTCTATATTATGTGAAGTTATTCTACATCATAACAATTTTAATTAGTTTTCTTTTTCAGCATTTCTATTCCCATGCCATGTTTAGTCCAGTTTAATAAAACTACATATGGGCATTATAACAACATTTTGATTCACAATCTTAGTTAAAACTCAGAGTCCCTTTAGAATACTGATCCTGGTCACTGGTCATACATTTTACCATTTTCCTTATTGACTATTATTAATGGACAATATTCCTTTCAAGATCCATAATCAACCTGAATATTCTTTATTTCTTCTTCTTCCTTGGTAAAATGACAGTCAGCATGTTTAAGACAGCCCTCTGGCCCTGTGAAAGTTATGTTAGAATTGAGCAGCATAAGGATTAAGTCCTAAGTCTATGCATGGGAGTATAAGGATTTCTATAATATGGCTCTGTATACTTACTTCCCCACCCCTCTCCATACCTCTCTCCTCCACTTACCTGACATGACAAAAATACTGAATGATAGGAAACATTGCATATAAACAGTTTTTCATTTCTCTATGCCTTTGCTCTTGTTATTTCCTGTGTGTAATTGATCCACCAAACCCCACCCCCATCTCTTCTATATATACCACCTGAAAAAAAAAAACTCATATATACAATTAAGGAGTCCATTTTAAGCATTTCCTATTTCCTTTGGGCAGATTGGTAGATCAGTAGATTAGTTACAGGAGCATTTGCTGCTGCAATAAATTATCCCCAAATGTCAGTGGGCTGATATGTGGACACATCAGTCCAATTATAATGTTCCTGATCAGTAATGATTTAGGAACCCAAACTCCTTCTATCTTGAGGTGCCACTTTCCTTGTTGGGGTAGGGGAAGGGGAAAGAGTTGGGAAGGCACATTGATATAACAAGGTCTGGAAGATATGGTCCTTTTCTGGGAACACATCTTCACCAATAACTCTATATGAGTGGTCAGCTAGGCCTCTCTGCCTTACTGCTCCTTTTACTTCACCTCTTTCATAGTATGTATTGTATTAAATTGCAGGCTATATTCTTTTTCTTATGTTTGCCTTCCAAATAGACTGTTAATTAATTGTGAGAGCCAATAGTGGCTTGATAATGGTATTTTCTCAGAATGGTACCTGACGCGAGGTAGGAAGCAAATAAGCGTATATTTCACTTACTTATTGGATTAAGCTAAATTGTCCATTTCTGGCACTATTTGTACTTTCATTATCCTGTGATTTCTGGTCTCTTAAAATCAAATATGATAAAAAGGAATCCAACCCATTTGTAACACTCTGACTTTTTTTTTTTTTACTAGATCTAAAAGATAGTTAGCTAATATTCATAGCTAAGCTTGTTAAGCAGTATGCCGAAAACCCCTAATCAAATCTAACATTGCCGGTGGCATCTAATTGCTCAAATATTCAAGTAATAGAATGCTGAAACATACATTTTGTATTAGTAAAGTCTTGATAACATCTAATTTGGTTATTACTATTTCCAATGATTTGAAACTCAATACTGTTTCTAATAGGTTTATATGATAATGAATTTTCCTATTTTATTTATTGCTTAGAATTGTTTGGGCTATGGCATTCACATTGTTCATGGAATTAAAAAAAAACCTATAGAAATATTTGGAGCACTAAATAAGAAGAAGTAAATTCTAAATATGCAGCTGCATGGAACCTCTCATGTTAAAATTTATTTTAAAATTTTATGATCAGTTTAGATTTCATTATGTATGGTTCCACATTTTTATTTGTTTCCACATGTGTTAGCTAAAATGAATTGCTGTAATTAGTATAAATTGCAGTATAAGAGAAATAAAGAAGTTAAAGCTATCTTGAGGCCACTATAGCTCAAATTTTGGTCAGGAATGTCCCAATTCCTCTTCTCCACATGGTATCATTAAAACATTACACACTTAATAAACAGAATTTTTAAAGAAATCTAACAGCAAAGTTGATAACATTAATTCTTGATTATAAATCTCATCATAAAATTGTATCAAGACAGTATATCTTTTACTAAACCAATAATATTGAAATATTTGTGAACAGTTCTTTTATAAATTTGAATTATAGATACTTAAGTTTCTATGCCACAAAACCCTCAATAATCCATATTTTAATAATGTTCTAAATGCATATCTCAGTATAAACATATCCCAGTATAAACTCCAAAACTATGTATACTCAAACAAAAAGCAAATGTTGATTTTCAAGCCATAAATTCTGACTGGCAAAAATATAACTTGATTTTTAAAATAATTTCATCTTTACTTTGAGATTCTTTTCTGACTAGTGGCAGAAAAAACAATCTAGGTAACATCAGATAAACTGGATACTCTAGTATTTTTCTTAGCCATTTCAAGTTCGAACTCAGCCAGATAAGATTTCTTTCTTTTCCCTGCCTTCTCCATGGGCTGGACAGTTTAGGTATCCAGGCTTTAATTAACCATGACCTCAAGAGAAGGAGTTGGTTTCTGTTCATGACAGCCTTTTTGGGTTGTAAACACATCTCTACTTCTTAGCTCCTCCATACTGATAATATCAAGCAGTGTCTTAGTTCATTATGAATGTTTTACCAGTATAACATAGACTGGGTAGCTGATAAGTAACAGGAACTTATTTCTCACAGTTCTGGTGGCTAGGCAGTCCAAGACGAAGGTACTGGCAGATTCAGTGTCTGGTGAGGGCCCACTTTTTGGTTCATAGATGGGACCTTCTCACTGTGTTCTCACATGTTGGAAGGGGCAAAGGGTCTCTCTCTCTGGCCTCTTATACAAGGACGCTAATCCATTCCTAGTGGCTTTCCAAAGGCCCCACCTCCTAACACTATCACCTTGGGGGTTGGAATTTTAACCTAGGAATTTGAGGGGACACAAACAGTAAGACCATAGCAACGAGCCTTCAATTAAATAGTCCAACCTGATACTTTCTAGGGCCCTGACTAGCTCACTCACATGCTTTCTCACATTCTGTAAATATTATGTTATTCCCCAGTTATGGGTAATGAAAAAGTCCCTTGTTTACTGTTTTGCACTGTTTCATATAGGAAGTAGATCACATGACCCTTCTATTCTCACAATCTGCAGAATTACCTAGTTTTATCATATTCCTGGAGTTCAGCCTAGAAAAGTGAACATAGCGCCCCGCTTTGGAGACTCTCACTATATGCCCACCAGCACTAGAAATATTTATAAACTGTAAGCAGTTAAACTGGTTCTTAGATTATATTACATTGCAACAGTTGTCATTATTTATGTAGTAAATATACTTATTTATGTAAAACAGAACATATCTAATAAAATAATGTATCACATTGATCAACCAAAGAATCAGTGGGCAATGAGAGTGCCAACAGGTCAGCCTCCAAAGTGAAGGAGTTGCCCAGCACTGGCCAGAGGAATGCATACCTGTCAAGCTAAATCAAGAATCTCATCTGCTTCAAATATTACAGCATGAGGCCATTACACATTTGGATCATGTAACTAATTATCCCTATGCTTATTTTAGACTTACTTAAATAACCCTCTGGCAAGCTAGCTTCCCAAATGATACAGGAAATATACTGGTGAACTCTCATACATTTTATTGTACATGAATATATCAGCATAATTTTATACATCATCCTCTAAAGAGTTTTATTTACATAAGTTCATATTCTCAGTTCTGGTTTATGCCAGGATACTCACAAGAAAGTACCTGCCCTCCTGCCACCACTGGGTTCACAAGACTGAAAAAAGTGGTGAATTTAGTTAGGCAACTGCTGTCTTCTGTGGAATCTTTGTCTCAATGTTCTTTCCTCAAAATTCTACTATATGAATTTTCCAGGTCTATAATATCCTACTAATGTAAAGGCTTTTTACATGATTGTTTTATTTTGTTTTGTTTTTTGTTTTTTTGAGACAGAGTCTCACTCTGTTGCCCAGGCTGGAGTGCAGAGGTGCAATCTCAGCTCACTGCAACCTCCGCCTCCCGGGTTCAAGCAATTCTCTGCCTCAGCCTCCCGAGTAGCTGAGATCACAGGTACCCACCACCAAGCCCGGCTAATTTTTGTATTTTTAGTAGAGACGGGGTTTCACCATGTTGCCCAGGCTGGTCTTGAACTCCTGACCTCATGATCCACCCGCCTCGGCCTCCCAAAGTGCTGGGATTACAGGCATGAGATGTTTCAAGTGATAGCCTTAAGCAGAGCTGCTCCACAATTTTCTTTTATAAAAGATCTCTAAATACAATGCCGGTGGAGAATTTACTAAAAAGCTTGTTATTGGCTGTTTATAAATATTAGCCCAAGATTTATTGCTATTTGTCATATAAATATCTAAAATATTTCATTGTGCTTAGTTTATATCTATAAGTGAGACTTCCTTGTTAAGGAGGTATATTCACACATCAGAGCAGTCAAGGCTCACCTCCGAAAGGAGAGTCATCTGACGTCAAGAAAAAACCAAAAGTAAGTATTGTGAGGGTAGCAGGGAAAGAAAGCCTGGGTAATCCACATACCTGAACGAGTACTTGTCTGCACCTCATATTCAACTAGTGCCAAACAGGAGTCAGTTATTATTGATTCCATAGAGCTGAGTCACATGAAATTCATTCTCTCTGGGATTTGGCCAGAAACAAGGTTTATTAAGCCTTACATCACTTTATTATCCAGGTTAACTCCTCACTCTAAGGGCTAAGAGAGCTTTATTATTAGTTTGCAATTTTGTATGTTTTAAGTGGAATGACATTATTTTGCCCAAGTGAATAAAATGAAGCACAGTAATTGTAATTGCTATTGCCAGACTCCATAGCGAGCCTCGCAGGATTTTCCAAAAGTAAAATGACAATGCATCTTTGTCAACCTGGCCACCAACCCACCACGATGATTTCTGGCATATTTCCAACATTCTCCAACAATTCTTGGGTGTCCCTGCATAAGATATACGACATGTCAAAGTCCAGATTCATTACATTTCTGCTTTTTTTTCTTTAGTACAAGATAATCCTTCATCATTGACTCATTTTTTAACAGAGTGCTCCAGTTAAAAATATATCAAGATCTTGCCACAAGATGTCTTGACACTGACTCATTATTATAGAAAAGAATATGTTCAAGGAAACGAATGGGTAGGATAATGGCCAAGTGACAAAGCACAGCACTATACACATAAGATGGATAGCATTGACATAAGATGATAAACTGGAGTACCTGAACGCTCATGATAATTTAAATTGTATCCGTTTAAGAAAAGTGCAGTTGAGAATTAAAGAGAACCAACACATCATATGAATATAACAAAGTTAATGCCTTAGGCTTACATTACCTGGTCCCCGGCCTAAGAGATAATCTCATCACTCACTGCTAATTTCCCTCCTCACTCCCCTTCGCATTCCTTGGTTTTGTATTTGTATGTGTGCAACATGCACAATATACACACATGAGCACATACTTGTAACCTACCAACTTGACTTCTGACAGTTTCTTGACTACTTCATACTTGTACACATCACTAGCATTTTGTTCTTCTAGTACCGTCTACTCAAAACTTTCTTGTTTCCTTTACTCTTTGTTCTACTAATATAGGCCCAGTATAGATCTTCGTTCTCAGAAATATTTGGTTTACAATGAAATAAACTGGTACAAACTTAAGCCAAAATGTGGATGCCACATATGACATGGCCACTTCTCATAGAACCCAAGCATAGCCATGTGGTAGAAACAAGGTTTAGAATTTGTGTGTGTGTGTGTGTGTGTGTGTGTGTGTGTGTATCAGTTGTGATAGAGCCATCATATAGGAAGGTCCAGTTTCCTCACAATGGAAATGTAGTTTCAAGTAAGCCATATTCAAACTCTGCTTACACTATGCTAAATGACCCCGTCATACATACTTGTGGAGTTGGTATCAATAAATAAAACAAGCTTTATACAAGTAGTATTTAACACTTTTGAGAATAAAAGCATTTCTGCGTCATTCTCTGTAATCCTCAAAGAAAAATGAAAAGAACTCTGAATATCTTTGATTTGAATGTGCCCAGAGATTGATGCAATAGAAATATCAATTGAAATAAAAGAAGCAACAAATAACCTGAGATCAATACGTTATGTCTATTTAGTTTGATTATACCAAAATTTGCTTCAGAATTTCAGAGTTATAGTAATCATATAACGTAACTAGTTAACCCTGTGGTATTGCACATGAGAAAACTAAGGCTAGGTGGGTTTAGTAAATTACATAACCAAATGTACATTACAAAAGCAGTATCTACGTCTAAAAGGGCTCACGTAGACTAAGTAGAGAGAAATTAGGCTCTCGAGAGAAAATTATATAGTTGGCCAACTATGATGAGTTTCTACTCCACTGATTAAGTGCTCTTACTCTAGTTTCTCTTCTATAAAAGCATGGTAATAATATATGCTTCATAGAATATTGTGAGAAATATATAAAATAATATCAAGGAGACTCCTAGCCCAATAACTGGGACAGAACAGGCCTCTTAATAACATCTTCCTCTTCCTGGTTAACTCATATGAGTTTGAATTTAAAATACTATTCTAACTTTATTTACAAATTAGATTAGTGTGCAATGTATCAGATAATTTTGCACTTTTATATTTCCACAGAAAAAGTATATTATTTGGGGTATATGTGTTATGTGTTTTACATAAGTGTTACGTTCCCTCTCTACCTTGCTGTCTTTATCAACAGTATAAATTAAATAACTTTCCATGTAGTTATATTTTGTTCCTTTTAACTATAGCAGAGTATTTTATAGTATGAATATTCTAACATTGTTTAAGCAGTCTCTAATTTATGGACATTTAGATTAATACAGTCTCCCTCACAATATTGTTATAAAGACTGAAATAACTGAAATAATATTGTAAAGTTCTCAGCACAGTAAGCAAATAACAAATGCTTGAAGTTGGTATTCCATGTTCATAATATTATCATAATCAGTTTTAAAATTATTCTCATTACCATTTTCCACACTTTTCCATTTCCCCATATAATTTTTTTAAAAGGCAAACTTTATATCACTTTATTTTTCTTCAGTTCCCTTTAAATTTGCATTTTACTGTAGTTTGATTTCATCCCCATAAAGATTTTACAAAAAATACTTTTACTGAGAACATCAACAATCTCTTATTTTTTAAATAATGGGACAATGTATAATGTTTACAGATCTTTTTACTGTATTGACAACATTTATTTATCTCTCTCTTCTTTTTAAAATGTGTATATATATGTATGTATGTATATACACTCCTTCAAGAATTATATGAGTTAAAAACCAAAACTTAAATATATAAAATAAGTAATATTTGGATGCTTTTAGAATTGTATATAAAATGAATTATCCTCATTATTATTTACTACTATTACTAAAAATAAAGTAATATATTGTGCATTGAAGAAACCACGCAAGCCAAAAGACAATGGAGTGATGCCATCAAAGTGCTGAAAGAAATAAAACTACTAAACCAAGAGTCTATACCCAGCAAAAATATCTTTAAAACTGAAGAAGATGTACTTTCTCATGTAAAAAAATTGAGAAATCTATTGTCAGCAGACATGTACTATAAGAAACGTTGAAATAAATTTTTGAGGAGTATGATAGCAGGTAGAAATTTGGATCTACATTAAAAAATGAAAAGCACAGGAAAATAAATAAATATAAATAAATATGACTTTTCTCCTTATTTTAAATTGCTTTAAAAAACTGGATGTATGAAACAAAAATAGTAGCAAGGGTATTGTATGTGTATATTTCAAGTAGGTAAAAGTAAAATGCATGACAAAATATTATTAAGGATGGAAAGAGGAAATAGAATACTGTTGTTAAGTTCCTTACACAACATATGAGGCAATATGTTAGTATTTAAAGATATAATCTGATTAGTTAAAAATAAATATTATAAAGTATGAGGCAACCACCGAAAAATTTTTTAAACCTGGCACGAATAGTAAGGCAACAGTGAAGATAAAAAGGAATCCTAAAGATACAAAATTAACAAAAATAAGTCAGAAATTAAGGATGAGCTTGCTGTTGTAATAAAAAATAAATATACCAAAAAAAAGTCATAAAAAGAGAGAAAAAAGAAACAAAACAGAGGCAATAAAGAGAAAACAATTAACAAGATGGTAAATTTTAATTCAGCCATATCTGTAATTACATTAAATGTAAACAGTCTAAATATATCAGGTAAATATAGAGATTATTAAATGAGATAAAAACTAAGACATAAGTACCTACCTTCTTAAAAACATACATTACCAGGAAAAGAATGAAAAAATACATACCAATTCATACCATGCAAACATGAATCAAAACAAAGCTGAAAGATTAATACTAATATTGGGCCAAGTAGCTGAAAGACTTATACTAATACTGGGCAAAGTAGAATTTAGAACAAGGAATATTATCAAAGAAAGAGAAACATCATATGATAACAAGTCAGTTATCTAAGAATAAATAATAAATCTAAATATTCAAGCACCTTTATGTACAATTTCAAAATACATAAAGAAAACACTAAAAAAAAAGAAGCAGACAAATGCACAATTGTAGTTGGGTACTTCAATACCCCTCTCTCAGTAAATGATACAGCAAAATGCAAAAACTGGCAGAATTCAAAGAAGGAGGCAGTTCTACAATAATAGTTGGATACTTCAGTATTAATCCACTTTTAATACAGAATAAAACATCGAGGTAGAAGATCACTAAGGAAATAGGTGGTGACTTGAACCATACTATAAACCAACTAGACCTAACATTCATAATTATTATACAACACTCTAACATCAGAAAACTTCACATTTTCCTCAAGTGCACAAAAGACATTCTCTAAGATAAACCATATGTTAAGCCACAAAACAAGTCTCCACATAAATCTTTTCAATCACATAAAAAGATTGAAATTGTGTAAGTATCTTCTCCAATCATAATAAAATGAAACTAGAAATCAATAACTGACAGAAAACTAGAATATTTACAAATATGTGAAAATTAAACAACACATTTTAAACAATGTGTCAAAGAAAAAATATACGGGAAATTAAAAAGTACTTTGAGATCAATGAATATGAAAATACAATATACCAAACTTTGTGAGATGCATAGAAAACAGTGCATATAGAGAAAATTATAGTTATAAATGCCTCCATGTAAAAAGAAGATCTCAGCTGGGCATGTTGGCTCATGCCTGTAATCCTAGCACTCTGGGAGGCCGAGGCGGGTGGATTGCCTGAGCTCAGGAGTTCGAGACCAGCCTGGGCAACATGGTGAAACCACATCTCTACTAAAATACAAAAGAAATTAGCTAGACGTGGCGGCATGCACCTGTAGTCCCAGTTACTCGGGAGGCTGAGGCAGGAGAATTGCTTGAACCCAGGAGGTAGAGGTTGCAGTGAGCTGAGATTATCACGCCACTGCACTCCAGCAACAGAGCAAGACTCCGTCTCTTAAAGGAAAAAAAAAAAGAAGAAGAAGATCTCAAATCCACAGTGTAATTTTAAAACTATAGGAACTAGAAAAAGAAAAGCAAACTAAACCCAAAGCTAACAGAAGGAAGAATTAAAGCAGACATAATATAGAAAACAGGAACATTCTGTATTTTAAAGCAGACATAATACAGAGAATAGGAAACCAATAAGAAAAATCAATGAAACTAATAGTTTATTCTTAAGTTAAATACTTATTACATAAGCACAGATACAAACAAAGTTACCAAAAAATACGCTAGACTAATTAGGAAAAAAAATGACAAAGCCAGGCACAGTGGCTCACGTCTGTAATTCCAGCACTTTGGGAGGCTGAGGCAGGTGGATCAAGAGGTCAGGAGTTCGAGACCAGCCTGACCAAAATGGTGAAACCCTGTCTCTACTGAAATACAAAAATTAGGTGGGCATGGTGGCACGCACCTGTAATCCCAGCTACTCAGGAGGCTGAGGCAGGAGAATCGCTTGAACCTGGGAGGTGGAGGTTGCATTGAGCCGAGATCATGCCACTGCACTCCAGCCTGGGTGACAGAGTGAGATTCCATCTCAAAAAAAAAAAAAAAAAAAATGACAGCAGATGCAAATAACTAAAATCAGATGATTTTAGTGGAAATGGGCCCATTACTACTGACTGTACAGAAATAAAAAAAGACAATAAGCGAATACTATGAACAATTGTATGGCAATAAGTGAGATAACCTAGGTGAAATGCACAAATTCTTAGAAACACAAAAATGGCCAAAATGCATTCAAGAAGAAACAGAAAATCCAGATAGACCTATCAGAAAGAAAGAAATTGAACAGTAACAAGAATCCTCCTATCAAAGAAAAGCCCAGGGCCTGAAGGTTTCAATGGCAAATTCCACCAAATATACCCAATATTATTCTTTGAATTAATACCAATCATTTTCAAACTCTTCCAGAAAATAAAAGGGAATATTCCCTAACTCATCTTATGAGGCCATCACTACTTAAACCTGAAAGTTAGATAAAGACATCACAAGAAAAGAGAATTACACACCAATATCCATTATTAATATAGATGATAAAAAACTCAACAAAATGCTAGCAACCTCAACACAACAGCATACTAAAAGGAACATATACAATGATCAAGCGGGATTTATCTCAGGATTTCAAGAGTGGTTAAAAATGAAAATCAATCAATGTGATATACCACATAAATGAAGAAAGAAAAAAACCACATGATCATCTCAATTAGTATAGAAAATGCATTTGACAAAACAATAACATCTGAGTTAGTCCATTCATGTTGCCATAAAGAAATATCTGAGGCTGGGTAATTTATATAGAGAAAAGAAGTTTATTTGCCTCACATATCTGTAGGCTATACAAGAAGAGTGGCAACGACACCTGCTTCTGTTCAGGGTGGAAGGTAAAGGAGTAGCAGGTATCACATAACAAAAGGAAGGAAGCAAAAGAAGGCAGGGAGGTGACAGGCTCTTTTTAACAATCAGTTCTCGTGGGAACAGATAGAACAAAAACTCACTCACTACCTCAGGAACAGCACCAAGCCATTCATGAGAGACCAGCCCCTATGACCCAAACATCTCCTATGGGGCCCTGACTCCAATACCAAGGATCAAATTTCAACATAAAATTTGAAGGGAACAAATAGGCGAACTATATCAGTATCCAAAAGAATGAACAAATTAAATAAAGAAGTAAGAGATTTGTACACAGAAAACTATAAAATATTGCTGAAAGAAATTAAGAGGACCTAAATAAATGGAATGACATCCATGTTCACCTGGAAGACTAATGTTAAGATGGCAATACTACCCAAAGTGATCTACACAGAGAATAGAATCCCTATCAAAATCAAAATGACCTCTTTTACTGAAATGGAAAAGCTGATTCTAAAATTAAAATGGAATTGCAAGGAATCCTGGATTTCCAAAACAATGTTATTATCTCACTAGAAAAATCATTTGACAAAACTTACCATTCATTCCTGATAAAACCTCCAAGAAAAGTAGGGAAAAAAAAGACTTCCTAATCCTGACAAAAGGCATCTACACAGAAACCTACAACTAACAGCACACTTAACATTAAAAGACTGAATGCTTCCCTCCAACAATCAGGAAGAAGAAAAGGATGTCCACAGTGGAATTTCTAGCCAATGCAGTAAGGAACATAAAGGATATAAGAGGTATTCAGCTACGAAAGACAGAATTAAATCTGAAATAAATATTTACATATAATATGATTTATAGATAATTTACAGATAATATAATTTACAGATAATATAAAGAAAAGGTAGAGGGATCCACCCAAAAGCTACTATAACTATTGAGTAAGTTTAGCAATATCACAATATAAAAGATCAATGTACAACAATTAATTGAATTTGTATATACCAGAAACACACAATTGAAAGTTGGAATAACGGGATCTGTTCCAAGATGGCTGAATAGGAATAGCTCTGGTCTGCAGCTCTCAGCATGATCAATGCAGAAGATGGGTGATTTTTCCATTTCCAGCTGAGGTATTTGGTTCATATTATTGGGACTGGTTGGACAGTGGGTCCAGCCCACAGAGGGTGAGCCAAAGCACAGTGGGGTGTCACCTCACCCAGGAGGTGCAGGGGGTTGGTGGATTTCCCTTTCCTAGTGAAGGGAAGCCATGACAAACCGTACCTGGAAAAAACAGGACACTCTCGCCCAAATACTGCACTTTTCCCACAATCTTAGCAACCAGCAGGCCAGGAGATTCTCTCCCATGCCTGCTTCAGTAGGTCCCATGCCCACAGAGCCTTGCTCACTGCTAGCACAGCAGTCTGAGATAGACCTGCGAGGCAGCAGTCTGGTGGGGGGAGGGGCGTCCACCACTGCTGAGGCTTCAGTAGGTAAACAAAGCAGCCAGGAAGCTCAAACTGGGAGGAACCCCCAACAGCTCAGAAAGGCCTTCTGCCTCTAATAGACTCCACCTCTGTTGGCAGGGCAGAGCTGAACAAAAGGCAGCAGGAACTTCTACAGACTTACATGTCCCTGCCTGACAGCTCTGAAGAGAGCAGTGGTTCTCCCAGCATGGTGTTTGAGCTCTGAGAATGGACAGACTGCCTCCTCAAGTGGGTCCCTGATCTCCGTGTAGGCTAACTGGGAGACAACTCCCAGTAGGGGCTGACAGACACCTCATACAGGTGGGTGCAGCTCTGGGACAAAGCTTACAGAGGAAAGATGAGGCAGCAATATTTGCTGTTCTGCAATATTTGCTGTTCTGCAGCCTCTGCTGGTGATACCCAGGCAAACGCGATCTGAAGTGGACCTCCAGCAAACTCCAACAGACCTGCAGCTGAGGGACCTGACTGTTAGAAGGAAAACTAACAAATAGAAAGGAATAGCATCAACATCAACAAAAAGGACATCCACACCAAAACCCCATCTGTAGGTGACCAAAATCAAAGACCAAAGGTAGATAAAACCAGAAAGATGGGGAGAAACCAGAGCAGAAAAGTGGAAAATTCTAAAAACCAGAGCGCCTCTTCTCCTCCGAAGGATCACAGCTCCTCAGCAACAATGGAACAAAGCTGGAAGGAGAATGACTTTGACAAGTTCACAGAGGTAGGCTTCAGAAGGTTGGTAATAACAAACTTCTCCAAGCCAAAGGAGCATGTTCTAACCCATTGTGAGGAAGCTAAAAACCTTGAAAAAAAGTCAGACGAATGGCTAACTAGAATAAACAGTGTAGAGAAGACCTAAAATGACCTGATGGAGCTGAAAACCATGGCACTAGAACTTTGTGATGCATGCACAAGCTTCAATAGCCGATTTGATCAAGTGGAAGAAAGGATATTAGTGACTGAAGATCAAATTAATGAAATAAAGAAAGAAGTTTAGAGTAAAAAGAAATGAACAAAGCCTAGAAGAAGTACGGATGATGTGAAAAGACCAAATCTACGTTTGATTGGTGTACCTGAAAGTGATGGGGAGAATGGAACCAAGTTGGAAAACACTCTGCAGGATACTATGCAGGAGAACTTCCCCAATCTAGCAAGATAGGCCAACATACAAATTCAGGAACTGCAGAGAATACCACAAAGATACTCCTTGAGAAGAGCAATCCAAAGCACATAATTGTCAGATTTACCAAGGTTGAAATTAAGGAAAAAATGTTAAGAGCAGCCAGAGAGAAAGGCAGGGTCACCCACAAAGGGAAGCCCATCAGACTAACAGTGGATCTCTCGGCAGAAGCCTTAGAAGCAGAAGAAAGTGGGGACCAATATTCAACATTCTTAAAGAAAAGAATTTTCAACCCTGAATTTCATATCCAGCCAAACTAAGCTTCATAAGTGAAGGAGAAATAAAATCCTTTACAGACAAGCAAATGCTGAGAGATTTTGTCATCACCAGGCCTGCCTTACAAGAGCTCCTGAAGGAAGCACTAAACATGGAAAGGAACAATCGGTACCAGCCACTGCAAAAACATGCCAAATTGTAAAGACCATTGATGCTATTAAGAAACTGCATCAATTAATGGGCAAAATAACCAGCTAACATCATAATGACAGGATCAAACTCACACATAAGAATATTAACCTTAAATGTAAATGGGCTAAATGCCCCAATTAAAAGACACAGACTGGCAAACTGGATAAAGAGTCAAGCAAGACCCATCAATGTGCTGTATTCAGGAGACCCATCTCCTGTGCAGAGACACACATAGGCTCAGAATAAAGGGATGGAGGAATATTTACCAAGCAAATGAAAAGCATAAAAAAGAAGGGGTTGCAAACCTAGTCTCTGATAAAACAGACTTTAAATGAACAAAGATCAAAAGAGACAAAGAGGCCATTACATAATGGTAAAGGGATCAATTCAACAAGAAGAGCTAACTATACTAAATATATATGCACCCGATACAGGAGTACCCAGAATCATAAAGCAAGTCCTTAGAGACCTACAAAGAGACCTAGACTCTGAAGCAATAATAATGGGAGACTTTAACACTTCACTGTCAATATTAGACAGATCAAAGAGACAGAAGGTTATCAAGGATATCCAGGACTTGAACTCAGCTCTGCACCAAGCAGACCTAATAGACATCTACAGAACTCTCCACCCCAAATCAACAGAATATACAATCTTCTCAGCACCACATCACACTTATTCTAAAATTGACCACATAATTGAATGTAAAGCACTCCTCAGCAAATGTAAAAGAACAGAAATCACAACAAACTGTCTCTCAGACCACAGTGCCATCAAATTAGAACTCAGGATTAAGAAACTCATTCAAAACCTCACGACTACATGGAAACTGAACAACCTGCTCCTGAATGACTTCTGGGTAAATAACGAAATGAAGGCAGAAATAAAGATGTTCTTTGAAACCAGTGAGAACAAAGACACAACATACCAGAATCTCTGGGACACAACTAAAGCAGTGGGTAGAGGGAAATTTATAGCACTAAATGTCCACAAGAGAAAGCAGGAAAGATCTAAAATCAACACCTTAACATCACAATTGAAAGAACTAAAGAAGCCAGAGCAAACACATTCAAAAGCTAGCAGAAGGCAAGAAATAACTAAGATCAGAGCAGAACTGAAGGAGATAGAGACAAAAAAAAAAAAAACAAAAAAACCCTTCAAAAAAAAACAATGAATCCAGGAGCTGGTTTTTTGAAAAGATCGACAAAATTGATAAACTGCTAGCAAGACTAATAAAGAAGAAAAGAGAGAAGAATCAAATAGATGCAATAGAAAACGATAAAGGAGATATCACCACCAATCCCACAGAAATACAAACTACCATCAGGGACTACTATAAACACCTCTACACAAATAAACTAGAAAATCTAGAATAAATGGATAAATTCCTGGACACATACACCCTCCCAAGACTAAACCAGGAAGAAGTTGAATCTCTGAGCAGACCAATAACAGGCTCTGAAATTGAGGCAATAATTAATAGCCTACCAACCAAAAAAAGTCGAGGACCAGATGGATTCACAGCTGAATTCTACCAGAGGTAGAAAGAGGAGCTGGTACCATTCCTTCTGAAACTATTGCAATCAAAAGAAAAAGAGGGAATCCTCCCTAATTCATTTTATGATGCCAGCATCATCCTGATACCAAAGCCTGGCAGAGACACACACACAAAAAAGAGAATTTTAGACCAATATCCCTGATGAATATCGATGTGAAAATCCTCAATAAAATACTGGCAAATTGAATCCAGCAGCACATCAAAAAGCTTATCCACCACAATCAAGTAGGCTTCATCCCTGGGATGCAAGGCTGGTTCAACATACGCAAATCAATAAACATAATCCATCGGATAAACAGAACCAACGACAAAAACCACATGATTATCTCAATAGATGCAGAAAAAGCCTTTGACAAAATTCAACACCCCTTCATGCTAAAAACTCTCAATAAACTAGGTATTGATGGAATGTATCTCAAAATAATAAGAGCTATTTTTGACAAACCCACAGCCAACATCATACTGAATGGAAAAAAACTGGAAGCAGTCCCTTTGAAAACCGGCACAAGACAAGGATGCCCTCTCTCACCACTGCTATTCTACATAGTGTTGGAAGTTCTGACCAGGGCAACCAGGCAAGAGAAAGAAATAAAGGGTATTCAGTCAGGAAAAGAGGAAGTCAAATTGTCCCTGTTTGCAGATGACATGATTGTATATTTGGAAAACCCCATCATCTCAGCCTAAAATCTCCTTAAGCTGACAAGCAACTTCAGCAAAGTGTCAGGATACAAAATTAATGTGCAAAAATCACAAGCATTCCTATACAGCAATAACAGACAAACAGAGAGCCAAATCATGGGTGAACTCCCATTCACAATTGCTTCAAAGGGAATAAAATACCCAGGAATCCAACTTACAAGGGATGTGAAGGAGCTCTTCAAGGACAACTACAAACCACTGCTCAACGAAATAAAAGAGGACACAAACAAATGGAAGAACTTTCCATGCTCATGGACAGGAAGAATCAATATCGTGAAAATTGTCATACTGCCCAAGGTAATTTATAGATTCAATGCCATCCCCATCAAGCTACCAATGATTTTCTTCACAGAATTGGAAAAAAATACTTTAAAGTTCATATGGAACCAAAAAAGAGCCCGCATAGCCAAAACAATCCTAAGCAAAAACAACAAAGCTGGAGGCATCACGCTACCTGACTTCAAACTATACTACAAGGCTACAGTAACCAAAACAGCATGGTACTGGTACCAAAACAGATACATAGACCAATGGAACAGAACAGAGGCCTCAGAAATAACATCACACATCTACAATCATCTGATCTTTGACAAACCTCACAAAAAAATAGAAATGGGGGAAGGATTCCCTATTTAATAAATGATGCTGGGAAAACTGGCTAGCCATATGTGGAAAGCTGAAACTGAATCCTTTCCTTACTCCTTATACAAAAATTAATTCAAGATGGATTAAAGATTCAAATGTTTGACCTAAAACCATAAAACCATAAAAACCCTAGAAGAAAACCTAGGCAACAACATTCAGGACATAGGCATGTACAAGGACTTCATGACTAAAACACCAAAAGCAATGGCAACAAAAGCCAAAATAGACAAATGGAATCTAATTAAACTAAAGAACTTTTGCACAGCAAAATAAACTATCATCAGAGTGAAAAGGCAACCTACAGAATGGGAGAAAATTTTTGCAATCTACCCATCTGACAAAGGGCTAATATCCAGAATCTACAAAGAACTTAAACAAATTTACAAGAAAAATACAAACAATCCCATCAAAAAGTGGGCAAAGGATGTGAACACCCTTCTCAAAAGAAGACATTTATGCAGCCAATAGACACATGACAAAATGCTCATCATCACTGGTCATCAGAGAAATGCAAATCAAAACCACGATGAGATACCATCTCATGCCAGTTAGAATGGTGATCATTAAAAAGTCAGGAAACAACAGATGCTGGAGAGGATGTAGAAAAATAGGAACGCTTTTACACTGTTGGTGGGAGTGTAAATTAGTTCAACCATTGTGGAAGATATGGCGATTCCTCAGGGATCTAGAACTAGAGATACCATTTGACCCAGTGATCCCATTATTGGGTATATACCCAAAGGATTATAAATCATGCTACTATAAAGACACATGCATATGTATGTTTATTGCAGCACTATTCACAATAGCAAAGTCTTGGAACCAACCCAAATGACCATCAATGATAGACTGGATTAAGAAAATGTGGCACATATACACCATGGAACACTATGCGGTTATAAAAAAGGATGAGTTCATGTCCTTTGCAGGGACACAGATGAAGCTGGAAACCATCATTCTCAGCAAACTATCACAAGGACAGAAAACCAAACACTGCATGTTCTCACTCATACGTGGGAATTGAGCAATGAGAACTCTTGGACACAGGGCGGGGAACATCACACACTGGGGCCTGTCAAGGGGTGGGGGCCTGGGGGAGGGATAGCATTAGGAGAATTAACTAATGTAAATGACGAGTTGATGGGTGCACCCAACCAACGCGGCACATGTATACGTATGTAACAAACCTGCACATTGTGCACATGTACCCTAGAACTTAAAGTATAACAATAAAAAAATAAAAAATAAAAAATAAAGTTGGAATAGCAAATACCATAGATTCAAAACTATAACATATGAAAGAATAAATGTGGCTGAACATACGGAAGTTCTATATATTAAAAACTCAAAATTTTTATGATTGTAATTCTCCCCGAATCCATCTGTGGCTTCAAAGTAGCCCCAGTAAACATTCAGAAAGACTTTCTTTGTAGTAATTGACAATCTGAATTTAAAATTTATATAAAAAATTAAAGTACCTACAATAGCAAAAACAACTGTGAGAAAAAGAGAACAAAATTGGAGGGCTAACATTAATTGATATTAAAACATATTAGAAAGCAAGAATAAGCAAAATGTGTGGTATTGGCATCATGATAGATGAATAAATCAATGCAACAGAAGAGAGTTCTAAAATAGGCTTGTGTACATAGACAACTGATTTTAGACAAAGATGCAAAAGCAATTCTGTAGAGAAAGAATAGTTTTTCAGTAAATGGTATGGGAACAACTGTATATCCACATTTAAAAAAACGAACTTTGATTCATACCACATGCTACATGCAAAATTAACACAAAGTAGATCATACTATTAAATGTAATATTTAAGACTGTAAAATGTATAGATGAAAATATGAAAAAAAATCTTTTTGACCTTGGGTTAGGCAAGGCTTTCTTAAATATGACACAAAAAGCATGATCTATAAAATAAAACTAACAAATTTGATTCTTTCTATATTAAAAACTTCTGTTCTTTGAAAGATTTTTAGGAGAAAGAAAAGACGAGCCCCAGACTGTGAGAAAATAATTGCAAATTATATTTCTAATAAAGAACTTATATCCAGAAGAGATAAAGACTCTTAAAAATCAACAACAAAGAAACAATCTGCTAAAAGAGGGGAAAAGAATATGAAAGGGCACTTAATCAAGGAAAATGCATACATCAAATAAACGCATGAAATGATGCACACCATCAACTATTAAGCAAGCTAATATTAAACACAATGTGATACCACTATGCACTTACTTGAATGGCTAAAGTTAAAAATATTTACTTATATACAAGATTTGATGAGGCTACAGAGGAACTGGAACTCTTATGCACTACTGGTGGAAATGAAAAATATACAACTACTTTGGAAGTCAGTTTCTTATAAAGTTACACATACATCTACCATATGACTCATTCATCTTACTCTTAGATGAGGGAAATGAAAACATGCATCTATATAGAGACTTGCACACTGATAGGTATTGCAGCTTATATTTTAAAAGCAAATCTGGTAAAAACACAAATATCATCCGCTGGTGTACAAATTAGAAAACTGTTATACATAAAATAGAATATTAGTAAGCAATAAGAAGAAATAAACCATTGATACAGGCAAAAACATGGATGACTATCAAAATAATTATAAAGAGTAAAACAAGCCGAGCCAAAACACAAGCAAAAAATAATCATACAGTATTTTTCCATGTATAAAAAACTTTTAAAAATGCACATCAATGTATACTGACAAAAAAGTCAGTAGTTACCTAGAGACAGAGTGTGGTAGGACAGAGAGGGAGGGATTAAGAAAGGAAAAAGACACTTTGGGGGTTGTTAAATATGTTCATTATCTTGATTGTGGTGAAGAAATAATGAGCTTACACATTAAGCCTTTTCAAACGATATACTTTAGGCACAGTTCGTTTCGTGTTGTATACTTCAATAATAAAAAATGAAGAAAATAGAAAAGTTTCTATTTTTATGGCTAACTCTAAACTATGTTTGCTAGAGAAATACAAAGTAGTAATCTTGTAATTCCCTCGTAGTTAGGGAAACCCAGGTAATTGTTTATAGAGAGAGAAAAAGGAAGCTTCCCCAAAAAGAAGAAAAACAAGAGCTGGAAAGAAGGGATTTTTTAGGTTCTCTGTGGGCTTCTAGGTTCTCATTCTTACCCACTTCCAAGACCAGTTTGCATGCAGCCTCACAATTCCAGGACACACTATCTACTGAACACATCTTTGTTATTAACTCACATATTCACATTTAGTGATTTTGTTTTCGTATTTTTGGCTTAAGTTAGCACAAGGAGGCTTCTGTTACTTGCAACCCAAAATATTCAACTAATATAATAACTATCCCATAACCCAGTACCCCTAAAGCTGCAAAACCGGTCCTTTCTCTCTTGCCAGATTGACACCAGAGGCCATAGCATAAGTAGCTTATTTGGCAAATGTGGAAGCTACACAAAAAGAGCTAAATTAAAGTGTTAATAGATCAGAGTCACATAGCTTTACATTTTAATGTCATAATAGCATGTCTTAATCTTGCCAATGAAGTTGTAATAATAGTCCAAGTCCATTTTTTAAGCCTCTCTTTTTTGGACAGTGCTTGAAATAGTATTTATTTCCAACATTATCCTCTGTAATCATATCATCTTTATATTCATCACTTGTCAATCCCCATTTTGCAATATTTCTTTAAATAAAAGGCTATACACTATCAAGTTCAAGTTGAGTCTTCTAGGTGTTTCTGTTTATGTCTTTTCTTATCTAATAAATGTTGATTTAAAAAATTAAAACTTGCAGAAAAAATAATATTTCTCTTATTTCCAGATCCTTCAGAGATACTCCATCATTATTCCTAATTATTAATGATAATATTCACATTATTAACTGGGCTGTAGTCAGAAATAAATTAAAAATTTTGTGAAATTGCAAACTGGAAACCCTATTCAAATGTGAAATCTTATTATTTTAAAATAGTCAAAAATTGTTTTAACATGCATTTTTGTCTATTATATTACTTTCTTTATAAGAAATGTAAATCATCTTACTTTTTTAAGTCTCCTATGTCATTTAGCAGCTAGAGGCTAAAAGGTATTAGCCCAAAATATACATAGATAACTATACCAGGAGTCATATCATCTCAGTGCATACTACTGGATCCATAAATGACTATGTTGTACAGAGTCTAGGAAAAGTTGTGACATTTATTCTACAACTCATGAATGGAGGGGTGAATGGATGGAGAGACAATAGACATACAAATAGATGATAGGTAGACAGGTAGATATTGACAATTACTGAGCATTTGGATAGTCTATAGAAAGTATAATGGTCAAGGAAAATTTAAAAATAAAAAGCCACACATAAGTCCTTGGAGGCTCAGATATGAGAGCAGGATTAAGAAATACGTGTATTTCAGACGTGCAGTTAAAGCATTCTGTCAGTAACAAGAAGCAAGTCAGTCCACTGGAGGCATAGATAGCCTCAAAGAAGGCCTGAAATGGAAAAGATATTTGGCCATATCAAAAACTTTGAGTTTCCAAACATGGTAGAGACTGTTCCTTATCCAGAAGTTAAAAATTACCTACTCTGAAGAGTCAGAAAATGTAAGATTAAAATGTATTAAAATGTGATACCAGTTCTCACCTATTAGAATGGTCAAAATCTGGAATACTGACAACACCAAATGCTGACAAGAATGTGGAGCAACAGGAACTCTCATTCATTGCTGGTAGGAATGCAAAATTGTACAGTCATTTTAGATAACAGTTTGGCAGTTTCTTACAGAAGTAAACATATTCTTACCATATGATTCACCAATCGAGCTCCATGTATTTACCCAAAGATGTTGAAAACTTATTTCCACACAAAAACTTTCACATGAACGTTTATTCATGTTTACTCATAATTGCCAAAACTTGGAAACAACCAAGATGTCCTTTAGAAGATGAATGGATAAATAAACCGTGGTACATCCAGACAATGGAAAATTATTCAGTACTAAAAAGAAAATGGGTTATTAAGCCACAAAAGACATGGAGGAACCTTAAATGCACTTTACTAAGTTAAAGAAGCCAATCATACATACTGCGTGAATCCAACTACACGACATTCTGCAGAAAGCAAAATTACAGAAACAATAAAAAGATCAGTGGTTTTCATGGGCTGGGAGTGCGGAAATGGGTGAGAAGGCAGAGCACAGAGGATTTTTAGGGCCATGGAAATACTCTTGCATGATACTGTAATGATGGATATGTGTTACTATTTATTTGTCCAAACCCATAAAATGTACAAAACCAAGAGTGAACCTAATATAAACTATGGATTTTGGGTGACCACGAGGTATTAATGTAGGTTCCTCAATTCTGACAAATGTACCCTTCTGGTGGGAATATTGATAATGAAGGAGGCCATACATAGGTCGGGAGGATATATGGAAAATCTCTGTACTTTCCTCTCAATTTTTCTATGAGCCTAAAACAACTCTAAAAGAATAAAATATTTTAAAAAATTATTTTGCAAAATGTGTTTTGTTTAGAAAATATATGCTGCGTTCAGATCTCTTGTGTTCTGATCCTCACTACTATGTGACTTGGACACAAAACCTTTATCTTTTTCTCAGTTTCCTCATTTGTAAAATAATCCTATTAACTGTACCTACTTTGTAGGTTTGTTGTGATGATTCAATAAGTTAAAAATGTAAAGCACTTAGATTCACGATCTAAGTAAGTCCTGCCACGTGGTCAGTGCTCAGCAAGGGCTGGCTTTTATGATCAGTGTATGAATGACCACAACTCTTCACTCTTCTTGCCATTGCAGAAGATCAGGCCCAGGCCTCAGAGGTCACATAAGTTTATTTTGCACACTGCATCATCCAGTATTGAGGAAAAAGAAAAGCCTGTATATTCTCACATAAATTCTTCTTTGCTGGTAAAATATTCTTTAGTCTTAGTTGATTTATTTCCCTATGACTTACATTTCTTTTTCTGTTTCTTAGAAAATTCTACATTTCAATTGTACCCCTATTCTCTGAAGAAATTCAAACACCTTTTTTAAAAAAAGATTAATTTACATATTATCTGCCTGAAGGGAAGTTCTAATCTCTCTAGACATTAATAAAATCTGTCTTTATGAAGGTAATAAAAATAAAATTGAGTTTATTGTGAGTCAAACACTGTACTAAATGCTTTATTATTTTTTAGTTTATTACGTTATCATAAGAACACTATGAAATAAGTATTGTTATTTTCTCTAGTATACAGGTGCAGCAATTGAAGCATAGAGAGGAGTCAGCCTTCTAGTAGGCAGCAAAGCTAGAATTTCGTTTTGGTCTGGCTTCAGGAAGAGCTTACTGGTTACCAGACTCAGGGTCAAGCACTTTACACGGATGTTGCTGAATTTTACCAAATGCCATAAAAATCTGCTTCAAAATTTAATTGAAGCCAATCTGTAGCTGAAAACTGAGAGGTCCTTTCATCCATTTTTTCTGTGCAGAATGTGCACAGAACACACATTTTTTTCTGTGTGTTCTGCTTTCAGGTACCAAAGCAGGTACTGTGGATACAATAATAAATAAGCCAACTACCTATTAAGGACAGACATTGAAGTCAGATCCAGAAATAAGACATGCGGGTTATTGTACACTTTTCTCCTTTTAGCAGATAGCCATTCAGTAGCTTTTGACCAATACTGTGGGTAGTTATTACATACATGATGTGTTTGTTGGACACTGAAAAAGCCATAATCAAAATGTAGCCTTCAATTTGAAGGGTCATAAAATTTAATTTAAAAACATTACTACTAATCTTAAGCATTAAATGGAGATATACAAAATCATTGATTTAAGACATCTGAGCAAGCAGAAATCATGAAAATGGGATGTTGATTACACTTCCCAACCAAACAATAACAGGAACAAAACCAGGAGCAGTTCTGTTTTACGCATTACTCAGTTATGTATCTAAGCAGTATTTGGTATGAACCAAGAGATTCTTGGCTAAACAAAGAGTCCAATAACTATCAGACAGTACATCCCTTTTATCTTTCACAGTTTACAGGCCACTGTCAAGTTACTGAAACAACTCCCTCCCTTCCATGGCTGTGAATGTCACATCAACTTCTCCCTATACTCCTGCTTATAGAGTTTCCTGAAAACATTTTTCAAAAATTAAAAGATGTAACACACAGCATCTTGTACTCCACTCCTCAAATCTATCTATATTCAGGTTTCAAACTTGCTCTATATGGATTGGAATAAAAAATCTCATCATTTCTTCTCATTTGGCAGCTCTTCTTGCCACTCTACCAATTCTATAACCCTGAGTTTGGTAACAGCATATGAGAAAAGCTATGTTCATGTGACACAGTGGAGATTTGGTAGAACAAAAATAAAGAATCCACCTGTTCAAAAAAATTTAAATGCATCAAAAGAGGTACAACTGAGTACAGTTTCATAGAGTTTTATGAAATTAATGCTTGATAAATCAAAATGAGAGTATGGGCTTTGGAATCAGATAAATCTGGGTTAAAATTACAGAGCTTCTAATTAATCCATATAAAATTGGACAATTTATTTAATCACTGATTGACCCTCAGGAAATGGGGATAATAAGAGCTAAATGATAAGTTATTATGAAGTATAGTACAGCAAATTAATTGTTATGTAAAAACATGGCCAGACATGGTGGCTCACACCTGTAGTCCCAACACTTTGGGAGGCTGAGTTGCGCAAATAGCTTGAGGTCAGGAGTTTGAGACTAGCCTGAACAACATGGTGAAAACCCATCTCCACAAAAAATACAAAAATTAGCCAGGCCTGGTGGTGTGTGCCTGTAGCCCCAGCTACTCTGGAGCTCAGGTGGGAGGATCAATTAAGCCTGGGAGGTTGAGGCTGCAGTGAGCTGTGATTGCCCTACTGCACTCCAGTCTGGGCAACAGATTGAGACCCTCTCCCCCATTACCAAAAAAAAAAAAAAAAAAGTGACAAAAAATGAGAGGTCTAAGTTTCATATTTGGGTGATTTCTTTGCCCGACTCATTCTACTCTGTATCCAGCAATGCCATAGTCTCAGACAGAAAGTAAAATGGTTACTGTTTTATTTTATATATGTTGATACTGCATATTTTATTCATCAAGTATTAATAACCTATTTTTGAGGGCACTGAGTTTTAGACTGGGGCACAATACAAAGTATACAAAAATACAAGTTGAGTTATCTAGTAAAAATCCCAATAGCTCAGGATGATTGAAGCAATGACCTCCTTTCCCTAAAAGCCTCAAACTTATCTCAGAATTACCAGGTGCTAGCCACCTGCAGCCTTAGAAAATTTCCTTTACAGCTGGAATTCTCACAAAGAATTAGAATTCTCACTCTGCTGCCCAAGTACTCTCTTTTACACATTACAGTAGCTCCCCGCTTATTCATGGTTTCAGTTGTTGCAGTTTACCCATGATCAACCAGAAATATTAAATGGAAAGGTCTGGAAATATAAAAGTGTCAGGGAACCTGCCCCGATAGTCACATAGGTTCTTTTCTATTTTCCCTATGCATCAGCCAGTTTGAAAAATAAAGGGACAGAGTACAAAAGGGAGAAATTTTAAAGCTGGGTGTCCGGGGGAGACATCACATGTCGGTAGGTTCCGTGATGCCCCACAAGCTGCAAAACCAGCAAGTTTTTATTAGGGAATTTCAAAAGGGGAGGGAGTGCATGAATAGGGTGTGGGTCACAAAGATCATGTACTTCACAAGGTAATAGAATATCACAAGGCAAATGGAGGCAGGGCAAGATCACAGGACCACAGCACCGCGGCGAAATTAAAATTGCTAATGAAGTTCTGGGCACCATTGTCACTGATAATATCTTATCAGGTGACAGGGTTTTGAGAGCAACTGGTCTGACCAAAATTTATTAGGTGGGAATTTCCTCTTCCTAATAAGCCTGGGAGTGCTATGGGAGACTGGGGCTTATTTCATCCCTACAGTTTTGACCACAGAAGACAGCCACACCCAAGGGGGCCAGTTCAGAGACCCACCCTTAGGCGTGCATTCTCTTTCTCAGGGAGTTCCTTGCTGAGAAAAAGAATTCAGTGATATTTCTCCCATTTGCTTTTGAAAGAAGAGAAATATGGCTTTGTTCTGCCCAGCTCGGCTCACCGGTGGTCAGAGTTTAAGGTTATCTCTCTTATTCCCTGAACAATTGCTGTTATCCTGTTCTTTTTTCAAGGTGCCCAGATTTCATATTGTTCAAACACACATGCTCTAAAAATTTGTGCAGTTAACACAATCATCACAGGGTCCTGAGGTGACATACATCCTCCTTAGCTGAAAGGATTAAGAGATTAAAGTAAAGTCAGGCATAGGAAATCACAAGGGTATTGATTGGGGAAGTAATAAGTGTCCATGAAATCTTCACAATTTATGTTCAGAGACTGCAGTAAAGACAGGCATAAGAAATTATAAAAAATATTAATTTGGGGAACTAATAAATGTCCATGAAATCTTCACAATCCACATTCTTCTGTCATGGCTTCAGCTGGTCCCTCCATTTGGGGTCCCTGACTTCCCACAACATATAAGTTTTACTTTTTAAATGGCATGCTGTTCTGAGCAGTGTGATGAGATATTGCACTGTCCCTCTTTGTTCTGCCCCGGAAAAGAATCATCAATTTGTCCTGTGTATTCATGCCATTTATACCACCTATCTACTACTGTATAAGAAAATAATAGTGTATATAGGGTTTGGTACTGTCTGTGGTTTCAGGCATCCACTGGGGGTCTTGAAACGTAACCCCCATAGATAAGGGGGGAACTAAAGTAAGTAAAAAGTTTTTCTCACTCTTGTATCATGAATGTTGAAGAGCAAGGGATAGGATTCTTCCCCTGACTCTTATTCCACTGTGTATCCACCAATGCCATAGTCCCAGTTTGTCTTTCTTCTGGATTAAGAGGCAACAGGACCCTCTTACCTCCTTTTTGCTGAGCCTTGAATTATATTTCCCTAAAAAGCCTGTTACTTACCCATATGAAATTATGAAATTTGCTTTTTCCCACTTGACATATAAATGTATAACAAGGTATGGCTTCTTTACTCAATGACTTAAAATGTGTAGATACTATAATTTATAAAATGTGATAAAGGCATTGACATAGTCTAATCAGAAAAATATTTAACACTTAAATTAATTTTTGAGAAAAGGCAATTTTCTTGACTTTTATAGTGGCTGTTAGAGTCCTTTGGTAATCAAATAAGTAGCAAGCAAGTTTTAGTGGCATCTGGGAATGAATAAGCTATGTATGATCATGGCAGGATCTTTGTCTATTGTTAAGTCCATCTGGGTTTCTAGTATAATTTGGAAATGATTGGAATGCTATAAACTAATGTTTGTGTCATATGTTGACAACCTAATAACCTAACTCACAATCCATAAATTGAAAACCTAATCAACAATGTCAGATATTGGCAGGTACAATCTTCGGGAGGTAGTTCAGTCATAAGGGTGGATCCCTCATAAAAGGGATTAGTGCCCTTATAAAGGAGACTCCAGACAGCTCCCTTAACACCTTCCAGACTGTGAAGATGCAGCAAGAAGAAGGCTGTCCATGAAACAGGAAGCAGGCTCTCACCAGATACTAAATCTTCTGGTGCCTTGATCTTAGACATTCTAACCTCTAGAACTGTAAGGAATAAATTTTGTTGTTTATAAGCCACCCAGCCAATGGTATTTTCTTATAGCAGCCTGAATGAACTAAGACAAGGGACTGTTTTCAGAATCTTGGACACCACTCGTGACCTAATGATGCCTGCCACTATCATAGGAGTTAGCAGTACTGCATTTCAAATCCTATTCAAAACAGTACATTGGAAGAAGTTATGCCTCTCACCATATTTCAAAATTATTTTGCATTTCAGCCCATCTACCAATTATTATAATAAACAATATTCCATTACAAACAGGAGTTTACAAAGAGATTTGAGAGGAGCAAGTCTTCAGGCACAGCTTTTCCTATAACTTGAATTTACTTATCCTTATGCATATTTATCAGATGATTATATTATCTTTCTATGGAACCCTGGCATCTTGTCACTTACACTTCTTTGTTAGCTCTGGAAAAGTCTTGAGCTGACTTCAGTTATGCCCACCCAAATTTAGTGCCCTTAAAAATAAGAAACAATAAAATCGTATTATATCCATATCCCAGATCTCTCTAACCAATATTAAAAAGGATTTCTGCTGGTTGTATCAATGTACAGATTCTTTAAAAAATGAATGATGTTAGACAACTATAAAGTCACTGCCTAAAAAGAGAAGAAAGGAATACAGATTTTACCTGGTTTAAAATTCTTATTTCCACTGACCAATTAATCAAAACATATTGTCTTTAGTCAAGGACAACCCTTTACCTTCTAAAGAAAGGAAGTTAGAATAAAAGCAAGGGGTGGACACAAAACTGTATGCAAATAAATCATAGACCTTAATGTAAGAGCTGAAAGTGTGTAACTGTAAGAAGAACGCACAAGAATAAATTTTCATGACCTAAGGTCAAGAAATGTCTTCTTAAATAAGGAACCAATAGAACAAAAACAAATACAGATTAATTAAACTTCATCAAAATTAAAAACTTTTGTGCTTAAAAGGACATCATTTCAAAGTAAAAAGATCCACAGAATGAAAGAAAATATCTGCAAATGATGTATTTCATAATAGACTTGCTTCAGGAATACATAAAGCACTTTAAAAGAACAATAAAAAAAGAAAACTCAAATGAAAAATAGGCAAATGATTTGAATAGACATTTCTCCAAAGATACACAAATGGACAATAAATACATGAAAATGTGCTGAATATAATTAGCCATTAGGGAAATGCAAATGAAAATCACAATGATATACCACTCTGTACCCACTAGGATGGCTATAATAAAAAAGACAGATAATAACAGGTGTTGGTTAGTATGTGGAGAAATTGGAACTCTCACACATTGCTGGTAAAAATGTAAAGTGTTGCAGCTGCTTAGAAAAATAATTTTTCTGAAAACGTTGAACATGGAGTTACCATATGATCCAGCAATTCCACCCTTCAGTATATAACCAATAAATGAAAACATAAAATCTTATTTTGACACAAACACTGGTACACAAATATTCATTGCAGTATTTTTCATAATAGCCAAAAGTATAAACAATCCAAATGTCTATCAACTTATGAATGGATGAATAAAACATGATCTAGCCATAAAATGGAATATTATTTGGCAATAGCAAGGTATGAAGTACTGATACATATTGCAATATGCCTTGAAAACATTAAGTGAAAGAAGCTGATCACAAAGAACCACATATTGTATGATTCTATGTATGTAAAACATCCACAATCGGTAACTTTATACAGACAGAAAGTAGATTAGAGGTTGCCCAAGTCTGGAGGGTAGGGGAGAAATGTGAATAGGAAGTTACTGCCAATAGGTATGGAATTTCTTTTTGAGGTGATGAAAATGTTCTAAAATCCACAGTTGCACTACTTACTGAACATGGTAAACAACATTGAATTGCACACTTTTAAAGGGTAGAATGTATGTTTTAAAATTGCAGCTTAATAAAGCTATTTTTAAAAAGTCAGGGGGGGTTGGCATTTGAATAAGTGACCAATGACATCTCACTGCTGCATATCCATACGTTGAGTCAGAACAATCTTAAAGGGAAAACAAAACTGTTAAGTATTTTAAAGATGTCTATTGTGAGCCACTATGAGTGACTGTAGCTCAGGTATACAGTCTCAAGAGGTCCTGACCTGTGGCAGTCAGATTAGTTTGGTTTTATACATTTTAGGGAAGCAAGAATTATAGGCAAAGACTTAAATCAATACATGGAAGGTATACATTGGTTTTGCTCAAAAAGACAGGCTATCTTTAAGTGGAGGTAGGGGCTTAAAGGCTGCGGGTGAATTCAGAAATTCTTTAATTTGCAATTGCTTAATGAAGTAAAGCTCTGTCTAAAATTTGGAGTTAGCAGAAAGAAATGTTTTAAGTTAAGGATGCTATGTAGTAACATTGATGGCCTGCAGATGTGACTTAATCCTTGCCTTGCACAGCTTTAGGTCTTGTTTATAATTTGGTATCTTATTGTCACAAAGAGTTCATTTTGTTAGTCTTATGATCGCTAGTTTAACATTAATGCTGGTCAGTTGTACCTAAACTCCAAAAGGGAAGGGATATAATGAGATATGTTGGACCTCCCTTCCCATCATGGCTGGGAATTCAATTCTTAAGTTTTTTCTGGGGACCCCTTGACCAAGATAGGGGTTGTACTCCTTTAGGAGGAACCAAAATGGCCTAATTTCTAGATTTGACCAAGGTGTTTCTAACCTATTCAGAACTAATGGACCTTGAGCAGAATGAGTCAGCTTTCAGAGAAAATATGTCCAGGGTTAGTAAGCCTTTCAACAGGGCCTTTACTGGAAGCACTTTAACCATCCTTTAAATCAGGAAGAGGTTTCCCAGCTTTCTTCCTGCTATGTTCAAGAAAGAAAACATAGAAAGCCAAAGGGCTTTAAAATTGCCTCAGTAGATCAAGCTGTGTGGCAACAGTCATGCGACCAGAGATAGATGAATTCACCACTGATCATGACCAGATATGGATAATGCTGAAATTGATGTCACGTGTATGCCAGTATGAAAAGAAGTATATTTTTAAAATGACTTCTCAGCCAAGATCTGTGACATCATTGATTGTAGAAAGGTCAATGGCTGTCACCTTAAGACCCTTAGATGATGCTCACTATTATTATTAAATGAATTTTAAAGGTAGGGGTCCAGTGGGAGCTTGTAAGCACTTGATATTCTTACATGTGGAAAGACGGCAGGTGAACAATTATGAAGATATTAAATAAGCAAAATAAAAAGTTTTCTGTCCAATACTTTGTCATAATGTGTAGTTTGTCAGGACTTTTGACCTGATCAAAAGTTAATAGTTACATATTTTATTTACATCTTTTACTTTATAAACAAAGTGAATTATTTAAAAAATATATTTACATATTTGTATCATCAAGAAAGTATTAAACTAATTAAATGTATACTAAAGGGAAGAAATTATTATAAACATTGAAAAATTGTGCAATAGAGCTTCATTAGGATACTTTATTCTATCTAAAAAGAAGATCTTTCTTTTGTTATTAAGCTATTTGCAAGATTTAATTGTTGCTATTCCACAGAGAATGGTTGACAGTGGATTATTATTCCTCATTACACTTTAAAAGACAACCTGCTTAAACTAAAGACAGACACTCTCCCTCATTTGGAGTTATATTTACTTAATTATTGTCCTGTTTTCTTAAAGAGATTTAAGTGGGTTTTTTAGAAGTCACTAGATTCACTGGGCCCAGAGACAACATTATCATTTTCTATAGCAGTTCTCATTTTTCTTAAAATCATGACCCATTTGATATCTTAAAAACAGCAACATTAATTTTAATTTGTCTTATTGTAGGGTATAAATTGACTAAATGTTAATAGCATTCTTCTAGAGTAATCAGTTCTACATGATTAACCTAAAAATTGCCAAAACATTGTTTACTCTTCATTTGTATCTGAAGAAAAAGGCATGATGAGTCAGACAGATTTGGATTAATTTACTTTCTGATCTGCATTAAAACTTGCCACAATGATTCATAATCATTTTACTTGATATTTATTTTGACAAAACAACTTAATTTTGAAAGCAGTTCACTGGAAAATAATTTAGGGCCAAAAGGTATTCCACTTCATAACTACAATTAAGTTGCATGGAAAATACTATTCTACTTTATTTTTCTTGCTTCTTCTCTATCTAATAAAAATTGGGCAAAATACAACCTCTGAAACCTTGTAAGCATTCCCTTTTGAAGACTTTTTTTTTTTTTTAATAAAATCAGAGTAGGTAGCTTGTGCTTTTACCACCATCTAGTGGGCTTCTTTTGTGACAGCAAGTGACAACTAAGGAGAAACAAAGATTCAGGGAATGGGATACTGACCATTAAATATGTTAAACTTTCCAGAATTTTCCTGTGAGGGCAGGGTCAAGGGGCCTACACTGAAGAAGACACTTAGTTATATGTTACAATTTTTTAAAAAAAATCTTCATTTGACATCTTTTCTTAAGAATGAGGAAACAGAATAGTGACCACATAAATACTTTTTTTCCTTAAAAATTGTTCTAAAAATGGGAAAACACCAAAGTCATCTTCAGAAGTGTAAATTGACAGTGTTCCCTTTTGAACACATAATTTTGACCACAGATGATTCAGCAATACAACAGAAATAGATATAGCTAATGAAAATAATATAATGAAATGTTAAAAATATAGAGTTCCTTTATCTTGTTTCAAAAAAAATAAGATTTTAACACACACAATTGTTAAAACCTTGTTAATGATTTAAAAGATATGTTATAAATAGTAACTGATTTTACATTCACTATAGCAAAATCACTTTACAACCTTTCTTTCAAAGGTACCTGATATTGAGATTACATGGAAACCAGGGAACCACAGTCTATGAATAATCAACACTACTCATCATTACATATAAACCTTGGCACATACTTATAAAAACCTATATTTTCAAATTTGGCTCAACATAAACAGTGTCTTCATTTTCAACGCAAAGAATTGAATCCAGTCTAATATAGACAGAGACCTAATCCAATTTCTACCATAATTTACTTAAGTATCTATATACCATTCTAATGAAATCATTTTTCTCATGCTATCAATCAACTCCTCCATACTAAATCTAATAATTTCTTTAAAATCTAATTATTCCTGACTTTTAAAAATGTATATGATATTTTGAAAATTGCTGAATTTTAAAAACTCCTTTTTTCCCCAGTTTCTATGAAAGAAAATAGGAAAATATGCTTTTTAGAGCCTCCTTTTTGCCTTCCTCAGTTTCCTCCACTGCTCTTTAAATGTAAATAAGCCCAGTTTCTATGACCCTTGACTTTTCTTGCTTATGTAACCAGCTATCATCTCTATCCAAGCAATATACAAATATAGAGTTACTGGTTTTGAACACTCAACAACATTTTTTTTTCTCTCTGCCTTAGGGGCACAAATATTTGTCCATCTAGCTTATTGTTTAAAATTCAATTTGTATAGAACCATGCTCTGACCTAAAAAATTCACTTTTCCAATATTATTTAAAGTTTCCATCATTTGAACATTATTCTTCTATTTAGAATCAAATTTAATTCTCTACACTTAAAACCTGGTTTGAAGGTCAGGCACGGTGGCTCATGCCTGTAATCCCAGCACTTTGGGAGGCCGAGGCGGGCAGATCACCTGAGGTCAGGAGTTCGAGACCAGCCTGATCAACATAGAGAAACCCTGTATCTACTAAAAATACAAAATTAGCCAGGTGTGTTGGTAAATGCCTGTAATCCCAGCTACTCGGCAGGCTGAGGCAGGAGAACCCAGAAGTCGGAGGTTGCAGTGAAAAAAAAAAAGTAAAAAAGAGAGAGAGAAAAAAAAAGAAAACCTGGTTTGAACACCACATTCTAAGAAAATGCTGCCTTAAACACATTTCATTCTGCACAAGTGAGACCACATACTCTTTCACATACAATCAATTCATTTTCTTGTCATGCATTTGGTCACGTCATTCTCATTGGAAAGCTCCTTTCTCTCCTCTGTATAGTCTAAGATACCTTTTCTTAAAAATCACACTCATTTAGTGACCTCTTCATTGTGCTTACATAAACTTGAGATCTGTAGGACTCATCATGCATATGAGGAACATACATTGTTGGCTCTTTTTTTCTCTCTTTAGTCTATTTCTCCAACTAGATTTAAATTCTTTTGACATTAAATGTGAGGTGACAGAACTGTGTATTCCCAGCACACAAGCAGAAAGCTCTACACACGTACAGTATTCAATAACTATATGCTATTAATGCTGTTGATGGCAGAGTTGTAATCTTTGTAATAGGTAACAATAACCAGGTAGACAATATCAATCATTTAAACATTTTTTACTCCAAAATTTAATACATAAGCAAAAAATTTTCATCACTATTGCATTCACTACTCTTCTTGTCACCATCCAATCTAGGACCACACAGTTCTCCACCCACAATATGTCCATTCATCAAATTAATATCTATTGAGTGTCTCCGTGTTTTAGGTACTGAACATACAGAAGACACATACACACACATACACACAAAGATGTGTTTACTCCCCCTTATGATGCAGTCCAGCAGGAGAAATGTATATTAAACAAATTATTATATATACAGTAGTAGTTAATATTTACTGGATATTTATCATATGCTAGGCACCTTTTTAAGAGCTTAAACAAATTAACACTTTCAACATGTACAGTAATTCTATTTTGTAGGTATTATTTTTCTTATGTATAAATGGGAAAAAAAATGAGGTGTTGAAGGATTTTAAAACTTGTCCGAAGTCATCAAGCTGGTAATTGATAGTCGATATTCCAATTTAGGTAATGTAACTACAGAGATGAAGCAGAACAAATCTCATTGTAGATTTGTTGGCGATGAGGTTTGAGTTCCTAAAACTGAGATGTTTGGGTATAAGGTAATAGGCATTAACGAAAATACCATTGATCCTTGGATAAGAGAACTTGGCTTTACAATGTTCACAAAGCCAGGGAAGTTGTTACATGGGCATCTATAGAACCTTATTCATCCACTTATGATATAGGTAAAATTATTTCCATTACTATTTTACAGATAAAGGAAGTGAAATCTATGTTACATGAATGGATAAATTAAGTTCTGAGAGATTCCTAAACTTACCAAAGCTCTCAAGGCTGGAAAGGGGCAGGGATGAGATTCAAACCCAAATTATAACTCCAAGTCCAGGTCTCATCTGGCTGTAACAGAACTGCCATGAGTGGGTAAAGCAAAGACACTAGGGTGTTTTAATTTCGTAGGACAATTTCTTCATTTATTCTTTCACCAAGTATTTATTAAATAGCTCCCATGTTCAATCACCATTCTAAATGCTTTGATATATAAGATCTGGTCTCTGTTCTCCACCACTTCATAATACAACTTAGGAAAAAGGTATATATATAAATACCTGTGATATAAGGCAGCATATGACAAATCCCATGTGGGTATGACCTAATTGTGAGGGAGCAGAGTATCTTGCATAAAGCGAATGTGGCAGAAAACCCTTGTACAATCTTGCTTCAGCCCACCCAAGGTCTCTCAGCCATTTTCTATGTCAGCATTACCTTCACTTGTGAACATTTAGACTTCTTATACTTTTGCTAAAAGAATGCTATACAGCAAGACCTGGACTGTTGTAATCCTATAATAATTAGTCTAACACAAATGGAAGATAGAACAAAAGCACAATATGTTCTAAAGTTTTTAAAATTATACACTGACAAATTATAGTTATACAGTATAGCTAATAATTGAGTACTGTACATCTCCATATCACTAAGAAAGTAAATCTCAGATGCTCTCACAGCAAAAAACGTCAAATGTTTGAAGTGATGCATAGGTTAGTTAGCTTAATCTAATCCTTCCACACTGTATTAAAAGATCATAATGGCAGTTTGTGCCTGTATTCATCCTACTGTGCAACAGACCTCAGAAAAAATCAAACTTATTTCTCCTAACTGAGGCTTTGCAGTCTTTCATGATTATCTCCCCATTTCTTCCACCCCTACCTCCCGCCTCTGTTAAACACCACTTTACTCTCTGGTTCTATGAGTTCAATTGTTTTAGATTCCACATGTAAGTGAGGCAATGTGGTGTTTATCTTGCTGTGTTTGGCTTATTTGGTTTAGCCTGATGTTCAGTTTCATCCGTGTTGTCACAAATGACAACATGGCTTTTTAAGGCTGACTAGTATTCTATTGTGTATATATACCACAAGTTTTTAATCCATTCATCCACTGATGGGCACTTAGGTTGATTCCATAACTTGGCTGTTGTGAATGGTGTTACAATTAACATGGGTGTGCAGACACCTCTTTGACTACATCTGATAAGGGATTAGAGATTAATATGCGAATGACATAAGGGACTGAAGCAACTCTATAGAAAGAAAACAAATAATTCAATTAAGAAATGGGCAAAGGAGCTGAAGAGACATTTCTCAAAAGAAGACATATGAATGGCTAACAGATAAGTGAAAAAATGTTCTATAGTTTATTTACTTTCATGAGAGTTTTGCTATTTGGTAATCTTCCTATTAGTAACTCACAGAAAATTTTACTCCAGGCCCCAAGTGAGGTAAGAAAAGTTGCAATCAGATGTTGTGCTTATCAGTCATCTTGGATATCAAACTGGAAACAGGTTGCTGAGTGAAAGGCATATTGAGAATAGGAACCAACCAGTTTTGTTGAGACTTTTAAAACTGCTCAGAGAGAAATAACTATCAGAAGGGTGAAATCATAGAATGGGCAATATCTGATTATAACTGTAGGTTAACTTGAGTTAAAATTAGGAATTTGTTAAGCCCTTGTTAATGATCTCTATGTCTTGACACTCTAAAGTGTTTTCTTACTGTCTTCTACTAAGAGCTATTGGAATAATGTGAGGCCTGAAGAGTTCCTGTCTTCACACCACCCCATCCCTCAATCCCTAAAACATCTAGTGAAGGTGGAATTGGGAAAAGGTGATGTTTTCATAAATCCTAAAGAAAGAATAAGATTTTGATAGACAGGAGGCAGTAAGGTGGAGTGAACAAAGATATGAAGGTTTCAAAGCTCATTGTTTCGGGGAATGTCCATTACATCATATTGAGGCTTTGTTTTATTTGCTTGCTTGAAGAAAATATGTGAGTCATAAGTCAGGAAATGTAGGGTATAGCCAGAATGTGGAATATGAGAAACTAGAAAAGGGATTTTGAAAAGGTATCTATAGGCAATGGTTAGTAACTCAACAAGAGTATCACATGATGTCAGATATATTTTTCCAATAGAATCTGGAAAATTAACTTGGTATGAAGTTATTGCAGAAGGTATGCCATCAGAGGCAGTGAAATTTGTTAAAATCAATTGTCTAAGCCTGGACTAAGAAGTTAATAACTGAGAACAAGGGAAAACTTTATGGATAAAAATGATGGATGCATGATCTGTGGAAAACAAAAAGAAATTAACAGGATTGAGAACTCTTCCTGAAAGGGTGAGGTAAAGAAAAAGGGGCAAAAGGGTTTAAGCCAAGGATGAACTACAGGAAGTAATGTAAAATTAACAGATATTGTAATGTCAGAAGTAAAAGCAAGGTTTGAAGGAAAAATGAATAGGGATAGAGTAATATTTCTTGATCTAGAGATGCTGTTTGGACTTTTATTTGGAAATGTTCTTTAGGAATTTGGAATTTCAGATCTGGAATGCAGAAGAGAGATCATGGATTACAGTGTGTGACTCCTTTAAGGGAAAGACAATAGAAGGATCCAGGTAAAACAAAACAAAACAAAACAAAAAAAACTAGAGAAGGTAAAAAGAGCCAGAAAAGATATATGAAGTTCAGAGAGGTAGGAAGATAATTAAAATAATACCAGCAGGAAAGCTTTCTGATTCAACTCATTAAAATGGCATTACTTCAGGCAATATTTTAATTAGCTCCTCATGTTCAGAATTTAAAATTTTCTCTAAAACTGTCTATTATCTTTTACTAAAATCTACAAGTAAATACATCAGTTTAAAAAATATAAAAATTGAAAAAAAGTGGATTTTAGTGATAATTTTTGCCAAAATTAGTTTCCTTAAGATTCTAGCTTTTCTGGAGCCAAAAGTGATTTGCATGTTACAATAAAAACATCTATGGCTGGGTGCAGTGGCTCATGCCTGAAATCCCAGCACTTTGGGAGGCTGAGGCAGGAGGATCACTTGAGCCCATGAGTTTGAGACCAGCCTAAGCAACATAAGGAGACCCTATTCCTATAAATAATTTTTTAAAAAAATAGCTGGGCATGGTTGCACATGCCTGTGTTCCCAGTTATTCTGGAGGCTGAGGTGGGAGGATTGCCTGAGCCTGGAAGGTAGAGGCTGCAATGAGCCACGATTGCACCACTGCACTCCAGCCTGGGTGACAGAATAAGACCCTTTCTCAAAAATAAATAAATAAATAAAGAGAAAGAAAAAGAAAAAGAAATCTATGCATTCTATCAAGGGAGAAAATTAACTTTTTTTAAAAAAAGACAGTGATTCTAAGCTACAATTCTAATTTTAGAACAATATTTCTCTTTTGCCTAATTTATATTTTCTCTAAAACAAAAATCTGGGGGAAACTTAGAGCAAAATTTTTCAAATCACCTTCTTGTATTCTAGAAAAGTAAAGATATTTTAAAGGCCATGTTGTCTCTCAGAGTTACTGAAACATTTTACCAAATATAGAATATTCTTAAGTACTGTGGACATGGTACCAGACACATCACAGATATTATTTTATAACTTAAAATAGCATGTAAATACAATATTTTAAGATTAATTCTCGCCTAAGCATCATCTGTCCATTCACTCATTCATTTGAAAATATTGATTGCACACTTGGGATGTATCAGTGACGAAAATAGACAAAAATTCCTGCCCTCTCATTAGACATGGTTGCTGTACAAGACAATGAGGTTGAACCCAAACTATAACTTGACCCTTTGAAATATGGAACATTTGCTGTTAAATTTATCAGTGCATTTATGCTCTGTGTGTGTAAAAATATTTTTTTTCCTCAGAAAATCTATGTCTTTCAAATGTGAGGGAAACGAAATGACCTTTACTCCTGTCTACTTTAATAATACTTGGACTGTTAATTTTTACTAAAATATCCTAGTGGCCCCACTCCTCAAAAGCACACACATATATTTTTAAATGAGTTTGTAACAAAAGATAAAAGATCCAATTTCAAACAACTGATCATTGAGATCCCAGGTCTCAACTTTGTCCTTCCTGGAGGGAGCATAGATTTTGCACCTAATTAGGTAGTGACTGAGTGATGGATTAGTACTCTCAATGATTTTCTGATTAGTTGACTAACTGAAAATTTCCACAGGGCAGAGTGCAATTTACTTGTGTGCCCCAATTAGCACTGCTAACTGGGGCACAAAATCGGCATAAAATTGGGCCCTGATTTTGTATCAGCCACCATCCAGAGAATGGCAAAGAGCCAAAAAGACTCCGAGGAAAATCTTTAGCATCCTTCCTTTTGTCATTTGCTAAATCACCCAGTAGTCCACTGCTAATTTTATAGAAAAGTTTACCGTTTGTGGATTACAAAAAAAAAAAAAATGTGGCTTATTAGGAAGGGTTTGAGGACTTAAAGCCTTATACTCACTGAGAGACAAGACAGCAATAGAAACATTGGGAATTCTTTTCTGGAAAGTCTTGTGTGCTGAACCCCCAGTAACATCTTCTTTTGTATATGGAAATACATAAAATGTTGGGAGTAATTTTATACCTGATAGAGAAAACTTGTGCCATATTTCCATAAATTGTTTCTCTTTGGTGAGGCCCATGTAGCCACATAATAAAAGTTCTTATTTATTATTTACAAGTTTTCTCTGACATCTTTTATAAACTTTCAGAGGCGCACAGAACCACATTTAACGAACAAGACTTTTCAACACATTTGTTTGCTGTTTGAAAGCCCAACATTTTCTTTTACCTAATATTGCATTTTCCTGCTATTTATTCATTTAATAATAGGCTTCAATGCAAACACATAGTAATGTTACCAAAAGGGCAAGTGCAGTAAATAGCCTTATGTAGGAAAGTCAGCCAGCTTTTCCTATTGCAAATTGGGAATCTTGTTAAAACATGATTGTGCATAGGACCTTTGCAGAATGAAAACAACTCTTCCTCAGAAACTTATTTGACTTTGCCTAAATTACACTGAAACAAAAGGACAGTTGTGGCTCTTTCATTACTCTCTATCCTGTGCTGCCTCTCCTCTGTGCATACTACAGGCACACACAGTAGTAATATAGGTGAGCTGTGCTTGTGAATGAAGGCACAATTATTTAATAAGTGTGCCTGCATTTTGCACAAACCTAACTTGTTCTATTAGGTTGATGCAAATGTAATGGCAGGTTTTGCTATTAAAAGTGATGGCAAAACCACAATTACTTTTACACCAACCTAACAGAACAAAGATGAGGTAACAGGCTCAAGACAACTTCAATTTAGGAGAACACGTAGATATGAGTCAGTCATCGCCTCCAAAACTTAACAACTGCCTTATTCAGCTCTGACACTAACACTCCACGTCCACACCAGCAGCATGAGTTATGTGGTCCTTCAGCAGCCTAAGTAGTGCATTGATATTCTGAGATACACAGTGTTCTTCAATGTGATAGATGCATTTTGCAATCCTGCACACCTTTGTATTATCATTGGCCCAATTGTCAATGCTAAGTTAAATTCACAACAGCAACATTATTCAAATAACTCTTTAGAACACCTTGAAAATATGTCAGATAAACCAAAAATGTAATCCAATTCAAGAAGGTCTTAGATGAATTCAAAGGCAAGACTATGATTTTTTTTTATATTGCATGCACTACTCTAACAAATGTGGACAAGACTGTAATTATGTCCTTTTTCTTGCCCAAAAACCCCCACATAATAAATAAATAAAACATATATTTAAAACAAGATGGAACATTGGGTCATGTGGCTGTATTCATGAATTTATATTTATAGATTATTTCACCCAGATTATATTTTAACTTACTGGAAAAAATTATTCGATTCCAGTTTTATATTGTTGTTATGTGTGGGGATAAGGAGAGACAGAAAATGAATTACCATTGGATGAGACAGAGGAAGAGGGGCAAGGAAAAGTAAGAATAAAGAGGAAGGGAAGAAGAAAAAAAAAAAGAAAAGGAAGAGAAAGTAATTTTGGCATTACTTTCACATGGAGTAATTTATGTATTTTAGTTATGCCTGAAAATTCACTGAGTATAAAAGCCAAGGATTATCTTTTGATGTGTACAATGCCATCTCTAGCATATTTCATAGCTCATATCAGTCTCAGTGATTTTGTCTATATTTGAGTTTTTTAATCACATTGTTTCACCTTTTAGAAGGTTTAAAATTCCTTTTTTCCAACTACTGATTAGCAACAAGAATTTTCAATTTTGTTAATGCATTTGAATTCCAATGCAATCACTAAGACCACATTAAATATATGGACCTGTTGTGTAAAAAGACAGTAGAACCTGTTCATAATTCAAAAGGAAAGTTGAAACTTTCTACCCCTCTTATAGGTTAAGGAGGCACCTGATCTAGTATAAGAAAGTCAGTTGATTTTGTAAGTTTAATCAGTTACATTCATTTTTATTCCAGTTATATCTGTATAATCTGGTCATTCAATAACAAGCAGATATGACCGTAGCCTAAAGAAGATGATGAAGTCATAATTACTTCCAACTAATTTATCTTCATCTTCAGTAACAGCCATAGACTTAAGGCCTTTGTGATATTAAGTTTAGTTATCAACATATTTCAGATGTGACTTAGGCTGCTTTAGCATATTACTTATTATTTTGGGTTCCTTGTTGTCAGTTACATGCTCTGAATTCAATTTTAGTATTTCTGTGTTTAGCTGAGAAAGGGAGTCTAGGAATTCCACCAAGGAACCCTTTTAATTTTGCAACTTGTTCTTTAGTATTTTTAAGATGCTCCCATAAACAACATGTGATTTGATCTTTGCAAAAATACAAGTGAAGAAGGTGAACACATGATATTATCCCTATTTCACATAGGATAAAACTGAGGCTAAGATAGTCAATTTGCTCTTAAGTTACCCATTTGGAATTAGAATTCTATTCTATATTCTCTAAATTGTCTTAGACAAAGTAGACATCCCTGGTGACAGCTTTAGATGTCTTTAAGAATGAGGGACTGAAATATAATATTAATATCTATGTACAAAAATTATGTGGAATAAAAAGTTAATCACAGACCTAAAGGTAAAATGCAAAACTATAAATCTTCTATAGAATAATAGAGGAGAAAATCTAGGAGACCTTGGATTTGGTGAAGGCTTTTTAGATATAATACCAAAAGCACAAACTGTGAAAGAAAAAAATTGATAAATTGGACTTCATTAAAATAAAAATATTTTACTATGTGAACAACACTATGACAAGAAAGAAAAGGCAAGCCACAAACTGGAAGAAAAATCTTTGCAAAACATCTATCCAATAAAGGACCGGTATCCAAAAATATACAAAGAATACTTAAAACTCAACGATAAGAGAGTAAACAATTCAATTCGAAAATGGGCAAAATATCTGAACAGATACTTCATCAAAGAAGATATACTACTGGCAAATAAACATATGAAAAGATGCTCAGCATTGTATGCCATTAGAAAAAGCCAGTTAAAACAACAATGAGATACCACTACACACCTATTAAAATAACCAAAATCTGGAACCCTGATGAAATTAAGTGCTAGTGGGGATGTGAAGCAACAGGAACATTCATTCATTGCTGATGGGAATGCAAAATGGTACAGCCACTTTGGAAGGCAGTTTGGCAGTTTCTTACAAAACTAAACATACTCTTACCATATGATCCAGCAATTGTGCTTCTTGGTATTTACCCAAAGGAATTGAAAACTTATGTCCACACAAACACCTGCACATGGAGTTTTATTCATAATTGCCAAAACGGGGAAGCAACCAAGGTAACCTTCAAAAGATGAATGGATAAACTGTGGAACATCCAAAAAAAATTAAAATTAATTAGCAAGAAAAAGGAGTGAGCTATCAAGCCACAAAAAAAGCCATAGAAGACCCTTAAATACATATTACGGTGAAAGAAGCCAATCTTAAAAGGCTACTACATAATTCCAGTACTATGTAATTCTGGAAAAAGCAAAAATTGGAGGCATTAAAAAAAATCAGTGGCTGCAAAGAGTTTCAGGGGGAGAGAGGAATGAACAGGTAGAGTCCAGGGGATTTCCAGAGCACTGAAATTATTCTGTGTGATATTCCAATGTTGGATATGTGTCAGAATCTCTTTGTTAAAACGTATAGAATGTACAACACAGGCAGTGAGCTCTAATGAACACTATGGCCTTTAGTAATTAATAATGTATCAATATTGTTGACCAATTATGACAAATGAGCCACACTAATGTAAGATGTTAATAAAGGGGAAACTGCTGGGAGTGGGAGTCTGGTGCATGAGGAGATACTTGGGAACTCTGTATTTTCTGATCAATTTTTCTTTAAAGTAAAACCTGAAATTAAAAAGTATCTTAAAAAAATACAACCATGTGGAAAAACATATAGCAAAATGTCCTTTCAATTTTCTGTGAAGCTTGTTTTTACAAAATTAGTAAAGGGGAGGATTACTAGCCTCTGATTTAACCAGCCCATAACATGTTCATGTAACTGTTCAGAGTGAAAGATGAAGAGATAAATTTGTGATTCTTCTTCATTCAATGAATCCCCAAAGCCTTAACTCTTAAGCTGTTCCACCTACCATGGTTAAAAACAAAAACTAAAATCTTATGCACAGCGAGCACTAAAGACAGACAGTAATCACATTTATGACAAGAAAATATGTGTAAGTGATGTTTGCCTGCATTTAGTGGTGCATGTTGCAGAAGATTTTTATTTGGAGCTCCTACTATTAAAAGTATAACAGCACAAATATGAGTGTGAGATATGCCCAGGCGCAAAAATACACATATATATTCAAGCACAAATGCAAGCTTATGCATGCAAAAATGTACAGTATTAATGCCTTTGAGTTTAATTCTCCACAGGTAAATGTATCTAAATTATAACTTTCTACACAAAAATCTCAGAATTGAAACTCCCTCATTTCTTTCTGAAGTGAGATAATATCTATTTAACTTTGATCATGAAGCCTTCAGAAAGGGACTATGTCATCTTCCCCACTTAGAATAATGGTAGAAATTCTATCAGCCCCACAAATAACAATTAACAATAATAATAATGGTAATGTGAGAGCCAGTGTAAGCTATAATAATACCCTAGATGAAATGAAGATCTGCCATCCTCTCTATCTCTATGCTCAGCCAGCCTGCTAATCAAACACTGGCAGAATGAACTGAAGTTTAAATGGCATCATTATTATGATTTAAATATAAGTTCTTGTGAGAGACTGACAATCTTGGAAAGTAAAGTCATCCATTTATTCACAAAATCAAGAGAGCACTTGCAGTGAAAAAGCTCACTTCCCCTCCACTGACCTGCCAAGTAGCTTGAACTCTTTTCCAAAAGACCACATCTGGTGAGAAAAGAATCTTAACCATTAGGGTGCAGATGCCCACATCATCATAACAAAAATAACAGTGCTGGCAAACTGGGGGCATTAAAAAATAAAAATAAAAAACTCTACGTGCTGTTCCCTGAAGACTCAGAGCATGTTCAGGCTACTGCAAGTCTCAAGAATTCCAAATATTATTCTTCCTTTCTTAGGAAGTTTGTCTGTAATAGAACTTAAACCAAAGCTGTGAGGGACATTCAGCTTACATTCTATCTCCAAATATTACTGCATGAGAGTTTCTGAAGGCCCGATATTCTACAGGGGCTTGATGGGAAAGAAACATACAAGCATTTAGTCTTTCCTGACTCTCTACTTACCAGTCTACCCAGTTCTTTGTTTCTGTCACATCTCAAAGGTCATAGAGCACACCGCAAGCAGATTAAAATATTGACAACCAAATTTCCATTGCACTTTCTCTAACTGAGCTTCAACAAACATCATTCCACACTGTCTTCTTTGAGTTCCTCATGATATTTTATAATTACTTCATGGTCTTTTTCTTTCTCCCTGAGTCAGCAGCCTCAGGAATGAAATTCTCTTTTACTGGGACAAATCCCAACTATATATACAATAATACTAAAAACAGATTCACTTTTTGACCTTCTACATGCCTTATTTGTATTCACCAATTCAATCCTCAAAACCACCCTATGAATATCTCCATTTTACTGATGATAAAACTGAGGTCATTTCACAGAATTGGTATTTGATGGAACTTATTTATAGGGATAGGTAGTCATGTTCTTCTTCCTCCCTCACCAATAGTTTGAACAATATAACACTAAGTACACAAGATGTCCAATACTACATAAATTGTAATTAAATTCCATTTGATTCAAAATTAGGTTCAAGGGAAACAGAGCTTTCCCCACCAAGACACACTCTAATTTGGATCATCATATTATGGTCCTGTACAGTGAGAACCTCCATCATCCTTTCTACCTTCTCCTCATACTTCCTTATGGACAGCCAGCCTCACATCAAACTTATTTCCCTGCAGTATAGTCTGTTCCTAAATATTTCTACAGTCTGAATATTCTTTCCACCTTAGCACTATTTGGCTTCTCTCAAATCATCACAGATAGTATTTGATAAATAACTAAAATCTACGAGAATTCCTTAAGAATCATTTCAAAATGGCATTTCATGTCTAAATATAATAATTCAAATATGAACAATAAAATCTCGGTGGAATAAGTCAGAAAGAATCTGACACAAAAATATTATAAGTTCTATATATAATGAATAGCTAATTCTCTATGTCTTAATTCTTCCTGAACTACCTTAACCTTTTTCAACAAAAACCAAACCAAAACAAAACAAAATCCGCAAGCACCGCTACCAAAACACATACATACACAGAAACACACAATTATATATGGACATTGTAAATGAGTTTTTAAAAATTAGATGTTATAAATGGTTCTAGTTAATAAATAGTCTCATAGTAGGATGTAAAATGAATGTCATCATTTGACTAAAAATGACCAAAGCAAATATTGTTAATTGATTGTATTGGTCTTTCCCAACAAGCTAGTATAGTGTATTAGAATCATTTTTAAAAAACTCTTCATGCAGCAACATCTAGAGTTGGATTGTAAGATGAAATGTATTTTCCATATTTGATTGAGTTAAATTATATCATATACAAATTTCCTAAGAATGTAAAAATATCATATCAACTTAGCTATTTCTGGCAAAGATATTGTTATACAAGCCCCAGATGCAGAAGAAAAAAAAATAACACATGTATTTTATTCTGTTGTGACTCTCTTTTTTTCAAAGTTATCATCTGTCACAATTAACTATCTAGCAGTTTGTGCTGGGCAGAGGACTCAGCTGTAGCTCTCACAGAACTCCGCTTCTCATTCACGTAAGTGGTTTCTTTCATGTTTGCTAACATGTTGAGCTTTTTTTTTTAAAAAAAAAAACAAAAACAAAAACGCATTTTTATTTTTTTAGGTCTTCTTAACTATATTTTCCCTTTATATAAAAAAGATGTAATTCCCATTTTATCAATCTGCTGGCTTTATTTTCCAAGGAACAAGGAAATGTACATTAAAGGGAAGCAGAAAAAAATCTAACAAAGTGAATTCTACGAATAGTTTGCTTGTAACTGCAGTAAAGGGAGGACTTTGCTTATAATTCAGATATTCTATGTGGGATACAAAATCTTAAGTATTTTCAAAGCCACTGTTTTATAAAACAGAAAAATATGGAAACACACACAAAACAAACTATTCCCCATAGGAATCCAAAGAAAAACAACTCAAAGTTCATTTCATATTTGTTAAAATTTCTACATACTTTGAATGAAAAATCAAGTTGAGAATGGCTTTTATCTTAAATAAAATCTGCCCCAGTGTTATCAGACTCACTATCCTCTTTCCAAGAATTATACTACTTTCATATGGTGCAGAGTTAGTTTTATACAAAATAATTATATAGAACTGATCAATTTTCTGAGAAGTTGTTTATTTAAGGTTGATAATTCTCTAGCAAGAATGGAGCACACCATTTACAGTGTCTTAATTTTTTTTCTCCCCATAAAGAGGTAGTCACATTTTGCTATCCTCACTGAAAACAACACTGATGAAAATTGGCAAATCCTGGGTGTATCCTATAGGACAGTTAACTGATTGAGGGAGTGGTGGTGATATTGATTATGAGCCTCAGTATTGAGTCTAGCAGCAATCTCCCATTTTTCCACCTTTTCCTTCAAACTTTAATCACATTGAATTGGGAGGGAGATCAGAGTGGACAATATACATTTTTAAAATTCTTGAAAAATCTAACAATTGTAAATGATTAGGCAAGAAGTGCAATTCCATTTTTTTAAATCAAAAAATTTTAGAGATAGAAGATTTACAGGGTATTTCATCAAGTGTTTTAAGTTGTAAAACCATCTTAAGAAACAGAAATAAAGTACTCAGGGCTTTTAGGAATGTCATACAATTAAGTAGAAAGTTGACTCCAGATTCCTACTCTAGTACAGTTTTTACTACCTCATATTGTCTCTGAAATATTTTGTATATTTTATTTCTAGTAGGCTTGTTGATTTGTCCTTTACTAATTTTTCTTTTACTTCTATCAAAGAGCTTCCAGGCATGCATGTAGTCAACCTGTCATCAAATGGAGCCCCTATGAGATATGGCATTCCATATTCTAAAGATGGAGAGAAAACATAGCCATGAGAACATCTTCTTCTTATGAAGATTTTAAACCAATACAACATTAAAATAACTATCAATTTTCAAGATAAAATACCCCTGTAATCTGGCTCTAACAATGTTAATCCATCTTTATACTAAATAAGACATGAGAATAGGTACATTGTCAATATAGACAAACCAGAGAGTTTGGGATTTGGAAAATGTATGGGAGAACTGCTTAGTTCTTCCTAATAAACAGATGTCCCATGTGTATCAGTAGGCTTCTCCACTGCACCCTCTACAGGCAGTGGCCTTGGCTTTATCCTGGGCATTTCTACTTCAGAGGCCAGCAAAACCCAGTGAGAACATTCTGACTGTGTTCTCTCAGCCTATACATCAATCTTTCAGAAACTCAGGATGAAGGCCCTTGTTTCTTCAATTTCTCATTTCCTAGAACCAGGATCACATTTCCTCCTAGTTATCACTTCTAATTTTATCACACCTTAAAAGGCTCACATCTGATTTCTTTAAACTTTTTGAAACGGACATCCCTATTTGTGAATGTTTACTGATTTATAAATTAATAATAACCTATTTATAAATTATGACCCTTATAATGATTTGTACATTATAAAATATATATAAAACACAGTTTTGTTTTGTTTTGTTTTGTTTCTGAGATGAAGTCTCGCTCTTGTCCCCCAGGCTAGAGTGCAATGGCACAATCTTGGCTCACTGCAACCTCCGCCTCCTGGGTTCAAATGATTCTCCTGCCTCAGCCTCCCTAGTAGCTGGGATTACAGGCGCCAGCCACCATGCCTGGCTAATTTTTGTATTTCTTTTTTATAGTAAAGATGGGGTTTCACCATGTTGGCCAGGCTGGTCTCAAACTCCTGACTTCAAGTGATCCGCCTGCATTGGCCTCCCAAAATGCTGGGATTACAGGCATGAGCCACCGCACCCTGCCAGATATTTTTTAATGAAATGGTGACACAATAACAATGTTTTAAATGATTTTTAAGTTTCTGTTAATGGTACACAACATCTTTGTGTCCTCCTTAAAAAATAATATTAACCTTTCCAGGTGTGGTGGCTCACATAATCCCAGGAAAGCAGGATATTTCCCTGACCCCTTTGTGGGACTTGCAATAGGGATGCCTTGCTTACCCAGCCTGCAGCTTTCAACTCTTCATGAGAGACAGCATGTGAGCAAATGAGGCAGGAACTGGAGTGCACAAATGCTGGAACCAGTTGGCTGTTTCAACACTGGCAGAAGCAAACTCCACTCACTAGGACCTGCTGTGCTCCACCCTTTGCAGAAGGGAGCGTGCAGGTAAGCAGGTGCAGGAGCCAGGGTGAGCACTTTTGGGTACCGGCATGAAAGAACTCCATGCATGCCCTGTGGCAGCATCTAGGGAGTGTACCCGCAACCCCCGAAACCCCAAAGAGAGTGTAACAGTGCTCTTTTAGCTCCATGGGCCACCAACAGCTTAAGTGTTAACAGCTCAGTGGGTCCTCTTCCTTTTCACAGGAGGCAGCTGCCTTTCACCAGCGAGGGCAAAGGGTCACTGTGATAGCCTTTTGTATCTGTACTTGTGGCTCCCGAGCTGTTGTCCAGCAGTCAGGAGAAATGAGGTTGCACAAAAGAATTGAAGGATGATAAATGCAGGAGACTGCATTGCCCATGAAAGTGGCTCTCAGCAGGAAGGGGAGCTATAAAGGGGACAGAGTGGGAAGGTAATCTTCCCCTGCAGTACGTCTGTCTCCAGCTGGATTCTTCTCCAAAGTTATGCCCTCAAGCCGCTTCTCCGACATCCAACCATAGTCTCTGACATCCAGCTGCTTCTCCCCTTTCGGCCAGATGAGTCTGGGGTTTTTATGGGCACAGGATGGGGGGATGGGGCGATGGGGCAGGCCACATGTGGTTTTGGAAAAGGCAACATTCCAGAAGGAAAAGAGAAATATAAGTTCTCACTTTGGGCTGTGGTCTCAGGCTTTTTGGCTGGAGGATGGGGCTTTGCCAGGGACCCACTCTTTTCTGCCTAGAATATCTCGGCCTCCTGTCGCTATCTCCAGCACTTTGGGAGGCCAAGGCAGGCAGATCACTTGAGGTCAGGAGTTCAAGACCAGCCTGGTCAACAATGGTGACACCCTGTCTCTACTAAATATACAAAAATTAGCCAGGCATGGTGGTACACACCTGTAATCCCAGCTATTTGGGAGGTTGAGGCAGACAAATTGCTTGAATCTGGAAGGCAGAGTTTGCAGTGGGCCAAAATTGCGCCATTGAACTCCAGCCTGGGTGACGGAGTGAGTGAGACTGTCTCAAAAAAAAAAAAAAAAAAACAACTTAACCTTATTTTAGTGACAGTAATGTGAATAAATTTACTACATTATTTTTAAAAATATTTTTAACATTTAAATTACATAGAAATTCTTGATTCAGTTTATTTCAACCATTGGTCTTAATGTATGTCACAGCTTAAAAACATACTTTTTAAGAATATGTAGATAGATGTAAGAGAAGTGCATCAGTATTTTTACCTTCTAATGAATTATAACCATTTTTCAATATTATCCACAATTTGCACAAAGGTTATTTGTTTAAATTTATCTAGTAAATTTCCACACTCTCTGATGGCACTCATTTTTTTTTTACAAACTAATTGGAAATTGTAGCATTTTTATATTATAACAAATGAGTTCAATGCTCATTAAAATTCTTCACTTGGCAGGTTTTAAAATGTTATGAATTTCCAAGTTTTTAATAATAATTGTCATCTTAACAAACAGTAATTACAAACTTCCTACAAGTCAAGCAGTCTCCTAAGTTTTCTACTGTAACTCCATTTAGTCTTCATAGCAATGCTATAAAATAGGTGTTATTTCTTATCTCTAGTTACACATGGACGAACATGTAACAGATTTTATAGGTGACAGAGCATTTTTCCCAACACCTTCTAATAACTCTTCATGTGATCAGTTTTTTTGAAAAGTTGTCACTCTCTCAGCCACGTATCTTAACTGGAAGACACAGTGAAGTGTAAGAGAGTGGGTGTGGGTTTGTGCACACTTGTGTGAGTGTTTATGTGTTTAAAAATATCTGCTATATATCATAGTATGGAAAGCCATTTATCATCCTAGAAAACTGCAGCAAATAGGGAACACTTTTTCTGGATAAAAATTATTAACTTAGAGAATAATTTTACATATTTGGTAACAAAATAATAAACAGTGTCTACATGAAATAAAGATTTCCATGATCACTCTCAATATCTTCACATAGTAACATAAAGATTTGATCAAAAACATAATCCCGTCTGGGCACAATGGCTCAAGCTTTTAATCCCAACATTTTGCAGGGGCAGGAGGGGTGGATCGCTTGAGCCCAGGAGTTTGAGACCAGCTTGGGCAACATGGTGAAACCTCGTCTCCACAAAAAAAACAAAAATTAGCCAGGGTGGTGGTGCACATCTGTATTCCCTGCCACTTGGGAGGCTGAGGCAGGAGGATCACCTGAGCCTGGGAGGTCACAGCTGCAGTGAGCCGTGATCACGCCACTGCACTTCAGCCTGGGCGACAGAGAGCCTGTCTAAAAACAACAACAACAACGACAACAACAACTCATGTAATCCCAAATCCACTACACCTAGCATGTGAAAACTGCCATTGGCTGCAATAAGGTGACAGCAAACCCCAAATGAAAGGAACCATCATCAAGATTTCTTCCTATTCCTGTACCCCAGCTCTAAGTACAGATTTCTGACACGCTGTCCAGGGTCAAGCCATACAGAAATGCAAAATTTCTTTCTTATTTTAGATGAAAATAAATATTGCTATTTTAATGGTTCCTCCTGCAGTTCCCTAGCATTTTGAGCACCTGTGTTGGAGTTTAATTCTGCCTTCACCTGTCCTGCCATGGGAGGTAAAAATGTTGCTAATATCTGTTGTTGATGATGTGAATATATCTAGACTAGAACTGGATGATCTTTTCTGGAGACCTTAGGGGTTTTATAGTTCCAGAATCAATGTTCATGCCCTCAACTGATATGTAAAGGAAAGTATATGCACAGATACTGCAAACCAGCTCTCTACTTGTAGAGATAAAATGATCAGAAAATAGCTTGGGAGGACTCAGCCCCACATTCCACAAGGCAGAATCCTCCACCTTGTGTCAGGATTCAGGCCAACTGGAAAGATGAATATAAAACATTATTTTTGCTATGGCACCCTTTTCTCTGCAATTAAAAATATACTGAAAAGGATTTTGGTGAAAAGAACTCTAGATTAGAAGTCAAAGGATATTTAATATTATTTTGTAAACCTCAATTTACTCAACTGTAAAATGAGGGTGTTAGTTGTAGATCAGTGGTTTCCAAATTTTATTTTTTCAGCAAAGCCTTTCTTCCATGACAACCTAGGTGGCATGATAAAAGTGAATGGGGATGAGGGCCCAAGATGCTCCTTCCCTGCACTAAAGTAGCTTGCAAGGTCACTCCAGGGAACCTGGAAGTGCCACAGAACACAATTTGAAAAACACTAAACCAGGTCTCAAGGGCCCTCTCTAGCTCTAAGACACTATGATCGATAAGTCAGGATACCTAATTCAGTTTTATACCTTTTGCTTGCCTCAACAGAGGATGACTTAATATTATAAAATGGGAAATTTATGTAACTCTGTCACTTAAAGGCAGAAAAATTGTAGTCTAGCCAATTCTACTGAAATGTTTTCATCTAAACAGAGTTTATCCTCAATAAGTTCACTAAGGTTATTAACTAGACCCTTTGTACTCAACCATTCCTAAATAAGCTGTCACTATTCATTAACCTTTTTCTTTCTTATTAAATAGCAGCATTAGAAATCATCAATAGATGAGTGCTCAAACTGTACTTCTCTTGATGTGTATTCTTATTTTTGCCTTGCTTTTTGAGGTCAGCAAACAAGCCAAAAGCCCAGGAAGGCACAGAGGCAATGGGGACATGGCTATATAAAGAAGGCTTTCATTAACCTTGCTGACCCACCATAATTTCAAATGTCAGCAGCTAATCAGAGACTCACTGACATCATCAGTGGATGGAGGGAAGAGATATCCTGTGGGATCCATCTTTTCTCTAAGTCTGAAATATGTATTTATAATGCCGCAGGGTTACTTTTGCTATGAAATGATGGTGAGAAAATTCCCTTCTACTATTGAAATACATGCTTCTAATGCTGAAGTTAATGATTAATTTTGACAGAACAGCAAAAACATTTATTTAAATGTCAGAAACTGACTACATTATTGGCTTCTCTTCTACTAAATTCTCCCATGGCATTTTGACAACATGGGCAGCTGTAATGCTTGGCTCACTAATCCAGAAAAGAAAAGGTAAGCTAAATTATATTTCTTTTCTTACAGAGGATTTTTCTCCATGAATCATATTCATCTCAATGGGGGAAAAACACAGAATAAAGTATTCATTATTGCTTCAATTGCTACAATTTGTAATATAATAAAATGGCAAATAATTTGTCCATTCCCAATAAGCAGCCATCTAAGATATATAATAGAATGTTTTAATGAACTCTACCAAATCCAAAAGAAATGGGAAGTGAATGTTTACCTAAGAAAGAGGAGAGTTTGTAATTTAAATTTTATTTATTTCATAGCTTATATAAAACTTACATTTAAAATGGGTTTCTTTTGTCAAAACATTGCTTGGACCATTTGTGACCCAATAGTCCTGGCAAAATACACAAACAAATATCCAATGATACTTCATGTTTTTAACATGTTTAACGTACAACTTCTGATGTCTACAAATTATTTTAGATTTCCAAACTCTTCAGATACCGTTTCTGATTTGAGGCTCTTGTTCCTTTAACTCAGCAATCTTGTCCGCAGTCACCATGGAGGGAAGGAAGAGAAAAGTGAGACTATGAGAGGCTGCCACCTGATAGGAAAGAGACACCTTCACATTTAATCCAATCCAACCCCTCTTATTTAAAATATATTCCCTAAGGACTTGACCTTATACTTTACAGCAGTTAGGTGATAAAACTAAAAAAATTGAAAGCTGAAATGAATCACGTGCTCTCTGGAATAAAATATCAATATATGAGAGTAAGGAAAACTAAGAAGCATAAAAAGAAAAGAAATTGAGACCACAAGAAAGAAAAATTCTGAAAATTAAAATTTAAACGAGGATATCAGCACTGTATTAGTCTGTTCTCACATTGCTATAAAGAACTACCTGAGACTGGGTAATTTATAAAGAGAAGAGGTTTAATTGACTCACAGTCCCACAGTCTGTACAGGTAGCATGGCTGGGGAGGCCTCAGGAAACTTACAATCATGGTGGAAGGCAAAGGTGAAGCAGGCACATCTTCACATGGTGGAAGGACAGAGAAAAAGAGCAAAGGGTGATGTGCTACATACTTTAAAACAACCAGATCTCATGAGAACTCTGTCACTAGGGGGATGACATCTAAGACATCACTAGGGGGATGGTGCTAAAACTTTAGAAACCATCCCCTTGATTCAATCACCTCCTACCAGTTCCACCACCCGACAAGTGGGGATCACAATTTGATATAAGATTTGGGTGGGGACACAGATCCAAACCATATCAAGCACTTAATTTCTAAGGTTAAAAAAACTAAAAATGCAGTATGAAAACATTTAAACCCAAGGCTGTATCTTCTGTTGTGAGAGAATTCTGGTTTAGTAACAATCCACTAACACATTAATACTAATAGAATAACGCATATCTTAGTTTTTGGCAATTTCTTTATAGTATTCCAGGAAAAGAGTAGGCTGCTAAAGTATCACAGAATTACTAAAAAGATACATAGATGGGATATCTTTTTAAAATTAGGTACCACATTGTGCAACATCTATAACTAGGCAGTGATTTCTTCATTCAATGTAGTTGCAGAATAGTTAAAAAAAATTATTCTATACTCGGCCAGGCACGGTAGCTCAAGCCTGTAATCCCAGCACTTTGGGAGGCTGAGGCAGGTGGATCACGAGGTCAGGAGATTAATACCATCCTGGCTAACACAGTGAAACCCCATCTCTACTAAAAATACAAAAAATTATCCAGGCGTGGTGGTGGGTGCCTGTAGTCCCAGCTACTCAGGAGGCTGAGGCAGGAGAATGGCATGAACCCTGGAGGTGGAGCTTGCAGTGAGCCGAGATCGTGCCACTGCACTCCAGCCTGGGTGACAGAGTGAGACTCCATCACAAAAAAAAAAAAAAATTATTCTATACTCACTTCCACTTCAACTCATTTGAAAATCCAAATTATTGATTTTATTATGGATGTATATCATAAAATAATAGATGTAACAGTGTTCATTGAGTTTGAGTTCAGACTTTGCCACTTTTTGTAGCCTCATGGGAATCACCTAATAACCTTGATATTTTTATGAATATCAAAATAATTTCATAGACTCATGTGAATCACCTAATAACCTTGATATTTTTATGAATATCAAAATAATTTCATAGTCTCACGTGAATCACTTAATCTCTCTGGAATTGTTTTGAAGATTAAATAAAATAAAAGAAATTGTAACAATTTCCACTGAACTGACCTATCTCTGATGAAGCTCTAGAACACTTGTACACTTTTGCTTGCACACTTGAATTATATGTTTACCTTTGGTTGTGGTCATCCACAAATCAACTTCTGCCAGATGTGCCTATTTTTCCATGGATAATGTAATAAGTTGGTACAAAGCAAACAGATAAAATATGGTGCAAAAATATCGAATTCCATGCAAGAGACAAGTATAAAAGTTTGGCAAATATCAAGAGAGTTTTTCTGCTCATATTATAGTACAAGTATATTTCAATTTGTGCCTCCTTTGAGCTTGAAACTATAGAACATTTAATACAGCACTTGTTTATGCAAGAAAGTCCATTTCAAATTCCATTCAGCAGGCTTATACTTTAAGGAAAGACTTAGACCTTATATCAAAAGAATGCTGAATATGTTCATAATTGGAACTAAAATTAAATATTTAAGGTATTAGGTATCATTTTTTGTGCCTCCTGATAGTTTAGCTAACCAATCATTTTCAGATTCTAATATCTTTGGGTAAGAAGTATTCAAAATAAATAAATGAGAGAGATAAGTAGATCATTAGATAAACAGCAGTGATATAGATTTTTTTCTCTCTCCACACACACACGCACACACACAAACACACACACACACAACTGTAAAGTGTTAAGCATGATTTTTTAAGCCTTCACGATAAAATATATTTATTTGCCAAGCTAATTTAGAGGAACAGTATACCGTATATTTGTCTCAATATATTATTTTTTCCCAAAATAGCTCTGAATATTTAAATATGTGAAATAAAATCATGTAATGCTGGAGACTTAGTGAATAAGATTTTAGATTGTCTAAGCCAAACTATTCATTTTGAAAAGAAGAAATTGAGCAACCCCAGATCCAAGATGAATTGCTTTATATAAAACATAGAAATAAATATAAATGTATATAATAATATTCTCTTATAATGGGTCATTGAGATGCTCTGGTCTCTGATTCACTCTATGACATGATTTATTCTTACAATTTTTTTCAGTTTTGGCTTAATTTCTTAAATATGAGAGACTATAAAATACTCGATGTGCTTTTAATTTATAGATGCAAATGTTCAGTTTAAGAGAAAGTAAAATGATTGAAATTTTTAACACAATTAATAGCGTATTATTGGTATACTTGGAAATGATAGCTTTTATTTCTTCTAGACAAGTCTTTTAGACTTACTAATTTGGAAAAACATTTTGGGAGAGAACTTGGATGCTCTCAACATTAAAAGCATATCCTAGGAACCAGCTCATGAACAATGTCACTTTCAAATTCCAATTTGATTTTACCTTCACTTCAATGAGTGATGTGAATTTTATCTAATGTTGTCCAATAGTCTGGACTTACCTGCAAAACATTAGAGATGGGAAGCATAGTCCCGAATACCAGAAGCCCTTTACTTTGCCATGAATATATCAAATTGTCTTTTATTTCTGCATTTTTGAATCTATATCTATAAAGAAAAGGCTGCAACAAATATAAGTTTCATAGTGAAAGCCACATTATCTGACTAGGTCCCTCTTTTATGCTAGAATATACCATTATGTCTGGCATACAGTAGGTACTTATCTTTTTAAATGAATGAATGAATAATTTCACTTTCTTATACAAATAAGACATATAGAAACAAAACCTTTCATCTTTTATGTCCTATTTCTCAAAGATGACTTCTTACAGCATTTATGTATTAACCATTCTCTTTCCTGTTTGTTAGTGTCTTTGCTATCTTAAAATTCGATGCAGATTTTTAGTTTTATATATTCTAAACTGGCAATTTTTTTCTCTTGCTAATGTTGGCATGAATTTCTGTGTATAATGCACTCATTCTTTAAAAGCTCCATTGAGAAAGACTCTTACATCCCTTCATTACCCACGACTTATTTTTACATTAAAATTGTTAAATTATTCTTTAGTGTTATTGTACTAGTGACCCTTATAAGTTTGTAAACAAATACATTTGTTTTCTATATATTTGTTCTTTGCCTCCTAAACAGAGTGAAAATGAATCTAGAATCTTTATCATATTCTCAACAGGCTTTGATGATACAATTAAAATACAAAGTAACCAGAAGTTAAATTATCAATAAGAGTCATTTATTTTGCATTTTTATTTTAAAGAATACTTAAGAGAATTGTGATGAATTAGCAATGACAAACTACTTCTTGCAGGCTGATTTTGTGTGGAGAGTTTAATTAAACATTGCAGCTGTTTATCTCTATGGTGATTAAATTTTCATATGTAAATTACATGTATTAAGATCAAGATACTTATGTAAATGTCACTTGCCTTAATGTTTTGTGTTACCGTTATTAACATCTAACCACCAGTTTATAATCTTCTTGTGTTGCAAACTATTGGTATGTGATACATTGTTAAGACAAGTAGATTTAGATCCTAAGAACAAACAAATTTATTTTGTATTTTTATCTGCAATCTAAAGTTTATCATGCAATCTAAGTATATTAAAGAAAAGTAAAATCTAAAGCATCTGGAAAGAACAGTTGTTTTCTTCCAAATTCCATTCTGTAGATGCATTCTACATTCCATATAAATGTATGTAAATAGATTATTTTAAAAAAATACCAACAAATGAAAACAATAATTGTGTTTTCCAGAAATGTAGAATGTGTAGACAAGATCAACAGATACAGCACAACATGTACTTTCTGAGTTGCGATGTAGGTATTATCAATATAGCACCTTAGAAAACAGAAATCACTTCATGTCACCTCCACGTAAACAAAGACTAAGCTTTTGCTTTTCAGATTAACTCTTTATTCCCCGGACAAAGAAAAGGGAGTATTTAAAGCAAAGTCGTTGAGGAAACCCTCAAATAGCAATGACAATTCTTACGTTGCTCAACATAGCTCTCACATTTAAGTCAACACACTTTTTAAACCAGAAGAAATTTGGTCTCTAAGAGTAATCTCTAAGGGGATAACGTACTAACTAGAAGTCACTCAAAATGTTATTGCCAATTACATATCTTTCTTTGCAGACTTCAGAGACAGTCACGAGTTGGAAAAAGTGTCACCTTTATGACAATATTTGTGCTAAGTCTTGATTTAACATCTACATTTAGATGTTCCCTATTATAGCATATTAGGCTCAATTATCATTATCTGAGCTATAAACAATACTCCACTCTGCATGATTCCAAAAGATTTTTTTTTTTTTTTTTTTTTTTTTGAGGAGAGAAGGTCTTGCTTTGTTGCCCAGGCTAGAGTGCAGTGAGACAATCGTAGATCACTGCACCATGGACCTCCTTGCCTCAAGCCATCCTTCCACCTCAGCCTCCCAAGTAACTAGGGCTACAGACATGCACTACCCTCCCAGTTAAAACTCTTCTTAATAAATCGAACTAAAAATGAAAATGAAAGGGTAATCTCCCTCTTTTCTTGTTGAGTGCAGTTACTGGCAAACTTCAGTCTAAATATTTATCTTCCTTACAAATATACTGCTTGTATTTGTGCATGCACCCAAATATATTTTCATAAATTATATAATATTCTGTTAAAAGATAGGCACATTAAAAATTTAAAAAGTTTATTCAAGCATTAAGAATTCATGAATCAGACAGTTTCAGACTGCAAGAGGTTCAGGGCTCCACTGATGGGGTGTAAGAGGCAAACTTTTATAAGGTATACTAAGAAGTAAAGCAAAGAAAATTTTGGGCCTGGCACGGTGGCTCATGCCTGTAATTCCAACAATTTGGGAGGCCGAGGTGGGTGGATCATGAGGTCATGAGTTTGAGACCATCCTGGCTAACATGGTGAAACCCCATCTCTACTAAAAATACAAAAAATTAGCCAGGTGTGGTGGCGGGCGCCTGTAGTCCCAGCTACTCAGGAGGCTGAGGCAGGAGAATGGCATGAACCCGGGAAGCAGAGGTTGCAGTGAGCTGAGACTGTGCCACTGCACCCCAGCCTGGGCAACTGAGCAAGACTCCATCTTAAAAAAAAAAAAAAGGAAAGAAAATTTTTGATTGGTTAAAGTGGAGCAGTAGCTTCAATGTCCCCATTTAAAGTGGCAATTTCCGATTGGTTAAGCTTAAGTTTTGTTTTCCTAGGATATGACCCTTTACAATGAATTAGGTTTCAAATTGCTTCTGTGGGAACTTCAGTTTGCTTAAGGCACTAGAGCTACCTCAGTCTAATAACCTCTAAGTTAATTATTTTAATAATCCCCTCTTTGGGTCGGCCTCTCATTTATGAGGGATTGACCGAAACTCTGGCATAACTATTGCTCTGTGTCACGATCATGCCTGGTTTGCCTTTGCGCATTGTGGAACTTGTAAGTCAGGATGTCAGGTTCTTGTTTTGTCATTCTAATAGCAGTGAGACCATCCGGCATACTGTTGATGGATGCAAGCATGCATTTAAGACTCTTGAGGGAACATAGCACACCAGGAAGATTACAATGATGACTATCAGGAGGATAATACAGAGACTAGAACATACTCCTTAGCCAAGGTCTCTAAAAACCAAACCAGCTAAAGTCAAGTAAATCAAATGATGAATGAGATGGGAATGTCTATAAACAAAGAAAGAAAAGAAAAAAAAAAGCAAGGGTTAATGGCTAGAACAAAATATTAATTTAGTCTTTGAGTTGATAGGGCAGTTAGTCAAGAAGATTTCTAGATTTGAGCTCGGAGCACATTTAGATGGTGGAATGAGTATGGCAGTTGCAATCTGACAATATTTCTGGTTTGCAATGTTAATGTCTCAATTATCTCAGTGAACTCCCTGAGTGGCCTACACAGCAGCAGGCATGAAAGTTGGCCTCTGAACTTTGTATGAAATTATCCAGTTTCAGCTTGTGGGGCTTCAGAAGAAAGGCAACTTTTGTTATTAGTGAATCTAAGTAAAAAGGGGGGCAGAAACCTGCAAACATTAGCTTGCAGAGTTTTAGCCAGATATTGGAGGAAATGAAAAAAAAATCAGGATCCAGTCCAATCCACATCTGATTGTTGTTTATAAATAACAAAACTCCAAAGACAATGAACAGGGCTAGAATCTAATAATGGATGCACTATAGTTTTCTACTGAAAAAGAGCTTTTCTCTATATAGTCACCCCCATTTCTACTAAAGATAATTACAGTAAGATTCTAGTCTCATTGATCTTGGCCTGATTACTTGCAAAAGTGCAGCAAGAATAGTGATTGATTACATGAGCTCTTTTTAAGTCTGCTTTACTGGAACTTTTAACAACGACAACAAAAAAAAAATCCCAGATTAGACATTTACAATTCTCTTGAGGCTAGGAAACCAAGCCAAGGACTTGCCATCAGACTTCAATTGCAATAACTACAGATTTGGGTGAATTTCTCTCTTCTCAAGTTCCCCAAATATTCATAAGTTTCCTGGACCTTCCAGGAAAAAAACCTCTCAACCTGTAAGTCTAGGACCCCCTGCCACTCCCCACTGCGAGGGCTTTATTGGCCCCATAAAGTCAACCTTAGTTCCCTAAAACTGTTTGGTCATATCTAATTCTATGTACATTCTCAAATATGATATCAATCAAAGTCATTGCAATATAACCAAAGTTTCCAATTGTATCCTGTTTCAAGAATAGATTCTTATAAAACTTGTACAAATAACCATATTTGGTTAAGAACACGAATACTCACTGATAGTTTCCAAATTCTGGAGTAATCAGGTAGGGAGAAAAAGAAATTGTTTTAATTTTGGTTTACAAAGGTACACTTTATATTTCATCTTGGTATTGTTTCACAGTGATCTATGAGCATTGTTAATTGAGTCTATAAACCATTTGATATTTTTGATAAACTTCCAAAAATCAATTTCAAAATTAAGTCTTTTTTGACCTTGAACTTATTTTGGAATTTTCCAGATGGGTCCCTGAAATATCTCAAGTGATATTAGTAACATATAACTTCAAGAAGTCAAATATTATTTCTTTAACGAGACTTTCCATGCAAATTTAACATATCAAATAAGTCTACTTAGTTTAATAGCTCTGTTTTTAGAAGAAGAGAAAACAAATTTTTACATTAAATTGTATTGGTTTAATTTTGAGGGAATTACAAAGGTACCAAATTGCTGAAATTTACAGGTATCTTTAGAGAAAAGAGAAAATATTTCCTTAAGTATGAAAAACAAAACTTTAAAGGTTTAGCAATGTCTCCAAAAAAATTGCAATAATCAGTTTATTCAGTCCTATGTGATTAATTCTTATTCTGCTTCATCTTAGGTTACCAGTTTTATGAATCAAGTTTTTCCATTACAGTTGTAGAAATTATTATCTTGTTTGATGGTATGTTAATAAAGTTATCAGAACCTGTACTTATCAGTCTTTTCCATGAATCCCCTTGAAGACAAAACATTTAAGGATTATAGCCATTTGCAAAGAGCTGCCTGTGGGTGACAAGACTTTAAGTGGCCGTGGTTAAAGATCTGATGAATGTTTATTATAATAAAATTGGCAAGAAATTTTTATTCCTGTAACATATCACATTTCTAACATAGTAACTAGAATTGTGATTAAAAACATATTAGGACACATAAGAGTTCTAGGAATTTTAGACAAATTCTGTAACATTTATATTAGTAACATATATCCATATAAATATAACTTCAAGAAGGTCAAACATCATTTCTTTAACAAGGCTTCCCATGCAAATTTAACATATCAAATAAGTCTACTTAGTTTAATAGCTCCCTTTCTGCAAGAAGAGAAAACAAATTCACTTGAGATATTTCAGGGACCCATCTGGAAAATTCCAAAGTAAGTTTAAGGTCAAAAAATACTTAATTTTGAATTTTATTTTTGGAAGTTTATCAAAAATATCAGATGGTTTAGAGACTCAATTAACTATGACCAGAGGTCGCTGTGAAACAATACCAAAATGAAAATGAAAAGATTTTAAATTACATAATTGAAAAAAAATAAGCTCTTTTAATAATGAGAAATCTCAGTTTTCTGATTACCAGAAAAGGATTACATGAAGCACAGGAAATTATTTTAAGGCACACAATCTTCATTTTCTAAGAAAATTACTCAAAAGGTAAAGAAAAATATTTCACACTTTCTTACCAAGAGCAGACCTATATATTAAGAACACTTTGTCATTTTAACAGAGAAGACTAAATTCTAGTTTTGGATTAACGTACTTTTGCTATTAAAGCTCAATTATAAAGAACACATAAAAATAAACCCATTCTAATCTTAGCCATCTTAACCACACATAAAATTCCTTTTCCAAGATTCCCTTGCCACAAAACTTCTACAACTTACTTATATTTATTTAGATTTTGTCTTACATTTCTTTCTCTTTCTCATTGTAGAACAGTCATTCTACTTTAGGCCAAAAATTACTCTATTTGTCCCTTAAGAAAACAGATGAACAAACAAAAACAAATCTCATACTTTATAGCTTTTCTTACCAAAAAAGTCTTACTTTCTTTGTATACAAAGTTGCTTCACTTATTACTTGTTTTAATTAACCTATATTTATTAGAACTTTTAAACTTTAGTACCTTTAATTTTTAGCAAAAACTATAAAATAGCTGTCTATCATATTAGTATTCTGTAAACTGGCAAATCTATGACTGCATAATTTCATAATGTCGGAAGCATATGATTCCTCATAGTACAATTTTTCACCATGGCACAGGACAAGTTTTCTAACAGACTCAAATACCTTTAGTTCTTCTGTAATAAAAAGGCAAAAGTAGATCAGTTTAAACCTATGTTCAGTAATTAATATTTGGATATTTTATCTTATTTAAAAATCTATATATTCAATGAATATCCATAATTTAACTTAAATTAGCAAAATTCCAATGGTGGAGGCTAACAAGGAGATTGGAGAAGCTATTTTTAAATAGATATATATAAAACATAATTATGTTTGAAAGGTTTATGTATAAAATTTTGTTTCTTACATCTGTTTAATTCACTTGTTCTTAACAATTATAGTTGAAACCATGAAAATTTTATGAGATTTAGACAAAGAAAGTCACCGTCTCAAGTTATTTTCCTATTAACTATTTTTACAGTGTGCGCATGATACAGCATCATCAAGAAAGCAACCTTAATAAATTTAAATAGTTCTTTTTGTTTTGTTTTGCTGCTTTGCTTAATACACATGAAATAATGTATTCCACATTTTCACATTTCTTCTTAGGTTGAATTCATAGCTTTATCATCTTAACCACCTTGTTGAGATAACATAAATTTATTTGACTCGTAAACCCAGGTAGAAATAAAGTTGTGTGTCTGCATCATATTTAATATTGGCAACTCTGAAGACGTATCTGTTTTAATTAAACCAACAAACTTAAACTGGTTTTTATTTGCCAAAGATTATCCCAGATCATGTGCACTTGAAAACCATTTGGGTTAGTTTCTATATTTCTGAGAGTTATGGAAATAATTTATATAAGCACTTATTTTTCTTTGTCAAGTAAAATAAGCCAAGTAAATAGGGCTCTTTTGCAAATTTAATTTTGGCAAACTCATTTAGAAGTAGAAAAAGCATCACACATGCATAACATACATATAGACATACATAAATATACAGGCAGAAACAGATCTTATAGCTTTCATTCTAAAGTTTTAGCAATGTGCCAAGTACAGCAATACAAAATGCACTAGTTTATAAAAAAATATTTCTGGATCTGAATTGTGGTCTTGGCTGATGAAACAAGATTATTCTCCCACATGGCTAAAGATTTTTACTAATATTTGTGAAAAAGACTTTTAAGGTTATTCATTTGCCCAATTGTCAAATATCTTTTTTTCTGATGAGGCATGTCCCTGAAATTTGCATATTAAAGAGATAAGCCTAGGATTCTAGAGGAGAAATTATAGAAAATTTACATCTCAAAGACACAGAGTTTAGACACCAGGCCTAAATGCCAAAAAAGGATATCGACCCAAATAAAAAAAGGTGTGGGTAAAAGTCGAGTTAAGACTAGATGGCCAAGAAAATTACCTTAAGGCAAGGTTTGCGGTGTAGTTTTGAGTCAATGCCTTCTTCATTCTCTAGTGTTTTACTCTTCCTTCTCTTGCTTTTACAGAGTGAAGTCACCCTTACACATGGAGATCTCCTTTATATGTAAATTTTTCTTACAAAGGGTCTCAAAATAACCAGCTCAGAATAATGTTATGGAAGCATATTTGGGGGGCTAATTCTGACAGATTGGTAACTTCCCAAACCAGCCATTGTTTTTCAACTCGATTACTGAGTTTAGGGAGGAGCTGATTGATGAATCGGGCTTACATTTTTTATGTCTGACAGTCACTATTTTTCTAGCCATTTTTGGTCCATCCCTGGAAAATTGAGTGGTTAGATCTTTGATATCTTTCCCATGAACCTCCCATTTGGTTTCAGCCATCTATTTATGGACTTCTCCAGGTCCCAATATTATATGAATAAACTGATAAGGATCAGAGCATCTTGGATTATATGCTGCAATGAAAATTCTAAATTCCTCAATAAATTTATGGGTTTTGTCTTTGGGATAGGAAGGACAGGGAAGTCTTTAACTATTTCTCTGAGCTCAGGTGTTTTGTTTTGTTAGAGACGGGGCTTTCCTCTGTTGCCCAGGCTAGAGTGTAGTGGCATGAACAGCTCACTGCAAACTAGAACTCTTGGCCTCAAGTTATCTTCCCACTATAGCCTCCTGAGTAGCTGGGACTAAAGTTGTGCATGACCACGCCCAGACAATTTTTTTTTTAGTTTTTTTTGTAGAAATGAAGTCTCACTGTGTTGCCCAGGCTGGCCTTGAATGCCTGGCCTCAGGTAATCCTCCTCACTCAGCCTCCCAAAGTGCTGAGATTACAGACATGAGCCACAGTGCCTGGCCAAGCTCAGGTTTTGACGAAGGTATAAAAATGTTTAAAGAAAGCCTGGTTGATATGAAGGCCTAAATTTATAAGGGATTTGTGTAGTGTTTTGTTGTTGTTGTTGATTTTATTTTTTTACTTTTGCAGAGAAAAAACTAAGCATAAAGGTTGCATTCAGAGTAATTTGGGTAGAGAACTGAGCAGCTGAAGTTAAGTCGGTCAACGTACATTTTCTTTTTCTTTCATGATCAATTAAAGTTTTTATTTGCCTTTTATAAGGACTCTTTTGGAGAGGCTATTTCTAAATCTTTTAGTCTCTTGGAAGACTGCATGCCTATAAAAGACACGCTCCCTTATTTTTGAGGCACTTGGGATTCTGATTTTGAGGTTTCTTTTTCTAAAGTGCCCCATAAATGAAGAATTTTTTATTTTTATTTTTATTATATATATTTTTTGAGATGGAGTCTTGTTCTGTCGCTGGGCTGGAGTGCAGTGGCGTGATCTCGACTCACTGCAACCTCCACCTCCCAGGTTCAAGCAATTCCCCTGCCTCAGCCTCCCACATAGTTGGGACTACAGGTGCACACCTGGCTAATTTTTTGTATTTTAGTAGAGACAGGGTTTCACCACATTGGCCAGGATGGTCTCGATCTCCTGACCTCGTGATCCGCCCACTTCAGCCTCCCAAAGTGCTGGGATTACAGGCATGAGCCACAGCGCCCGGGCATGAAGAATTTTATGTAAGGTAAGCTTTCACAGTGCATCCACTATTATTCTAAATTTTCTTTGGTAAAGTTCACTCAAGTCTATTTTATCTGTTATGAACATAGCTACTCTAGGTTCTTTGTGATTAACACTCCCAGGTATAATTCTAACAATTCTGTGATTTTTAGATTTTCTCCTGGCAGTAGCAATTCCATTTTTTGAGCTAGAGGATGATTTTGGGGAAACTAGGGATGGCTGGGGCAGGGTGAAAAGAGAAACAGGATAGGACAGGGAAAACAGTATGCTTAAAAGAGCTAAAAAGGAAGCAGATGTGGTAAGAGGGCAGACCCTTAGTCAGAATACCAGGGTTCAAGTCTTATCTTGACCACTTAGTAACAGGTGGCCTTGGGAAATTTATTTATCCTCTTTATGTCTCATTTTTCTCAGCAGTCAAATGGGTAATAGTAGTATTAGGGTAATATATTACTCTAATATTAGAATCATAATATTAGAGTAATATAGTAGTGGTTGTAATCAATGTCTGTTGGTTTTCATGAGAATTAAAGTAGTTTATTTGTAAAGCAGCCTGAACTGTGCCAGGGACATAATAAGCGCTATGTGTTTGTTAAATAAATAAAAATAGGGAATAGAAACCATAAGGAAGGAATAAGATAACTTTAGCTAAGTTTTATTTCACCCATTTGAGATATCTCTTTCACAAATAAATTTAATCAGGTACACTTTTTGTGATTATTTATATATGTGGAATTCTTTCTATAAATTTTTTGTTTCCTATTGGTCACATTTTTTTCTGTAATGCTTTTCCCCCCCTTCTTTCTTTTCTTCTATTAGATTGAATATATATTCTCAATTCCTTTAGGCCCCCTTTTTAACCTACTGATTTAGAAGTTATTCACTTCAATTTGAATATTTTAGAGGATATTTTAGGACAAAACTCCTTATGATTTACTTGCATTTCTATATGTCTTGCAAGCAAAGGCATTGCTTGCCTTTTCCCTATCTTTTTAAGGATGTTTGCACAGCAAACGGGCACTGAAGACAGAATGACCACCTCTGGAACAAGGGGCAGGTTTGTTTCATGTCCACTATAATAAAAGTCATGTCTCTTTCAGACAAATGTTCTGTCCACTCTGAAAGATCAGATTCCTTAAGTTCAAAGTTCCTCAGGCATGACAAAAACCCTCTGAATATACAGCACGTCCCTGCACCCCTCCACACTGCCATCATGAAATACAGGATGAAGATGAGCTCTCATAAACATAAAGCTCATGCTTCTTGCTGTGCCATGATATTTTTTAAAAGACTGGGCATAGCAGCTCACCGTAATCCCAGCACTTAGGAAGGCCAAGGCAGTAGGATCAGTTGAGCCTAGGAATTCAAGGTTACAGTGACCTAGGATCATGCCACTGCACTCCAGCATGGAGCAACAGAGCAAGATCCTGAGAGAGAGAGAGAGAGAGAGAGAGAGAGAGAGAGAGTAGAGAAGCGAGGGGAGGGGAGGGAAGGGGAGGGGAGGGAAGGGAAGGGGAGGGGAGGGGAGGGGAAGGGGAGGGGAAGGGGAGGGGAAGGGGAGGGGAAGGGGAGGGGAAGGGGAGGGGAAGGGGAGGGGAAGGAGAGGGGAAGGGGAAGGGAGGAAAGGGAAGAAGGAAAATGCTTTTCTTCACAACCAGGAGTCTCATTGTTACAGTCTCACCAATGTACCCCAATGTAGCAGTCTCCCATTATTTGAGATATCACCGGGAGTTCTTTGTCTAACAAAAATTAAGGAGCATGGACACCAAGGGTGAGGTTGGAGTGAAAGTTTAATAAGCGAAAGAAGAAAGCTCTACATGGTGGAGAGGGGACCCAAAAGAAGGTTGCCATTTTTTACAGTTGAATCCAAAAGCATTTATAGGAAACAAGTGAGGGCTGGGCATCTCATTTGCATAATGCATGAATTTCTGGTAGCTCCACCCCATCCTCCTAATGCACATGTGGACCCTTAGCTTGAGTTACTTCATATTGCTTTGCTCCCCTTACTGCACATGTATCAGGGGATGAAATTTTCCATTGTGGGCATGTCTGGGCAAGTCACCTGTTTAGCCTTTATTTTCTGTGTGGCTGTGAGCATGTCTTAGGCAAGCCCCCCTGTGCAAGGTCCCTTATCTATGCCTGTAGCTTGATTTTTCAGGCTGTTCTTTTGTTTGAAAGAATTCAACTGAGAATCCACCTTAACTGCCTGCCTGACTGATTTCTTTCTTTCTCCTCTCTCATCATCTCGGATAGTATCCACAAAACAGAATCAGACAGGTCAGGATTAGAGCAGAGCAAATGAGATGAGATCATGCAAGTGTAGCTTCAGATGGCATCTTTGAAATATTGATATTTTGTTCATCATGGAGATTTTGCATGAATTTTTTATTTTTAAAATATTGCTTTAAAACATTACTTATTCAATTTTTTGGCATGCTTTAAAAATTTTGTGTCCCAAGTGAGTGCCACATTCCTTCATTCTAGTTCTAGCCCTGCTTCTCAGTCTAGAAACACCCAGAGCAATTAGAAAAAAGGTGGCGGGGGGCGGGGGGGCAGGCGGGGGCTGTCAGCAATAAGGATAAAGGGGCTTCGGTGAATAGAAAACATCAGAAAATAGTACAATTCTAGCTGTTGAGCAGCTGGCCACTCAATATCAAAGGCAAATGTGACTTATATGCTGGTGTGGAGCTGATTTCTACCTCCATACCCTCTGATACTTTGCAGCACTTCCACTCTTGACCTTGGCTGTTTTAAGGGGACAAATCATCAGTAGTATTACTAAGGTCTTCTGCCTCCAAAGAAGACCAAAGGTCATACACACATATAAGAGTATATTGGGAAGCTATAAGGAAGAAAAGGGATTCAAATCTTTATAGCTCAGTTGGATATAAGTTCCCATCTTATATTTGGTCAATATCTTATCTAGTCTGTAGGGTAGCAGATACCAATAATCAGCTAATGGGGCTTGGGAAGAGTTCACAGTAAGGAAGAGAAGCTAATGTAAACTTGTGGATGAGATCTTTGTGTCTTCAACCACTAAATATATAAATGCTATTGATATTTTACATGTCTGAACTGTACATGCTCATTAAGTGGCAGAAGGGACTATCCAGATTGCAAGGGCCACGTGTAGGTTAGAGCTAGTACCTTTGGAACACCTCAACCATAATAAACTCTTTGAACCACAAATCTCTACCACTGATAATTTTGTCAGTTAAAACACCTGGAGAAGAGGGAGAGTCTAGATCCAGAGGCAACAATTTGGTTTTGAATTCATTATCCCTCTGATATAACTCAGCTATTAGTTTGCTACTAGGCTCTTGTAGAAACTGAATGTTTCATCCATGGAGGTTTTGTGATTCTCTAGCCTGATTTCCTTTTTTCGGGATATTCAACTTTAACTCAACAACTAACAAGATAGGAAGGGCTCAAATAGTCTAGCTTGTCAAATGGAAATTATATATTTAAGAACAGAACCTGCCAGGCATGGTGGCTCAAGCCTGTAATCCCAGTACTTTGGGAGGCCAAGGCGGGTGGATTACAAGTTCAGGAGATCAAGACCATCCTGGGCCAATATGGTGAAACCCTGTCTCTACTAAAAATACAAAAATTAGCTGGGCGTGGTGGCAGATGCCTGTTGTCCCAGCTACTCAGAAGGCTGAGGCAGGATAATTGCTTGAACCGGGAGGTAGAGGTTGCAGTGAGTCGAGATCGCACCACTGCACTCCAGTCTGGGGGACAGAGTGAGACTCCATCTCCAGAAAAAAAAAAAAAAAAAAAAAGAACAGAACCAGCCTGGGTGCCAACATCATCTTGGCTTTACATGAAAAAGTGGCAGCTATCCTTTGGAAGAAGTTTTATGCTCTACTCTCTATTCTACCTGAAACAAAGTTGCTGATTCAATAGTACCCTTCATTTGATGAGGTTCTCCTAAATGCTAATTACTAATTTGCATTGGTGAGTTACTTAAGTTGAAACCCTATGATGTCAACTGAGCAACTGCAGCCATTCAACCTCTTCATCACCAGCTATACAGAATAGAAAGCAGGTATGATTGCTCTCAGTGGTCAGAACCCAAGACTGCTCTCATATCACTGTTCGCTTGATGAAAAAGTCACATTTTTACCGACTCTTGGGATGTTGCCAATGCCTTAGCTTTTTGGTCAGCCACTTGGGAAATAATAAACTGGGAGATTAAAGAAACTCCTTGAGGAAGCAGAGCAAAATGGTGAATAGAAAGCTCCTCCAATGCCTCCTGAAGGACACCAACTTACCATCTACATAGAGAAAACACCTTCATAAGAACCAAAATTCAGGTGAGCACTCGTGGTACCTGGTTTTAACTTCATATTGCTGAAAGAGGCACTGAAGAGATAGAAAAAACAGTCCTGAATTGCTGATGCCACCCTTCCCCCACCCCTGGCAGCAGCTGTGTGGTACGGGCACAGAAAGCATCTCTGGGCACTGGAGGCGGGAGAACACAGAACACAGCAATTGTCAGGCATTGAACTCAGTGCTGTTCTGTTACAGCAGAAAGGAAAAGCAAACCAAACTCAGCTGACACCCACCCAAAGAGTGGGCCTTTAAACCAGCCCTAGCCAAAGGGGACTCATTCATCCCACAGAGCTAAACTTCAGTGCTCTTGTAAACCTCACCACCGAGAGCTACAGTGCTCTCGGATCTCTAAGTAAACTTGAAAGGCAGTCTAAGCAATAAGGACTGCAACTCACAGGCATGTCCTAGGGCTAAACTAGACCCAGAGAGAGTGGACCAGGGGACACATGACCTACTGAGACACTGGCTGAGGAAGACAAGAAAGTGCTGGCATCACCCCTTCCCTAACCCCAGGCTGCATAGCTCATAGTTCCAAAAGAGACCCCTTCCTTCTACTTGAGAAGAGGAGAAGGACGAGTGTGGAGGTCTTTGTCTTGCATCTTGGATGCCAGCTCAGCTACAGCAGTGCAGGGCACAAGTCAGAGGCATGAGGCCCCCATTCCAGGCCCTAGCTCCCAGAAGGGAACCAGATGCCTTGAAGGAAAGGGTCTAGTCCTGCCAGCATTCATCACTTGCTAACTGAAGAGCCCTTGGGTCCTGAATAACCAGCAATGATACCCAGTACTACGTCAAGGACCTTGATGAGCCACTGAGACTTGCTGGCTTCAGGAGAGACTTGGCACATTACCAGTTGGGGTGGCTACAGGGCAAAACTCCTTCTGTTTGACAAAGCAAAGGGAAAAGTAAAGGGGACTTTGTCTTGCACCTTAGGTACCAACACTGCCACAGGGGAGTAGAGCACCAAGTGGGCTCTTGGGATCCCCTATTTCAGGTTAATTCTTGGGTGGCAGTTCTGAACTTGCCCTGGGCCAGAGGGGAGCCCGCTGCCCTGAATGGTGAGTCCCAGGCTAGGCAACATTCACCACAAGCTAACTTAAGAAACCTTGGGCCTTAAGGGAACATTGGTGGTAGTCTGACTATTCCTCATGGTCAGGGGTGGCAGTGGCTACAGGGTGAGGTACCTCTGCCTTCAGAAAGGGGAAGGAAAAGTGGGAAGAACTGCATCTTGTGGTCTGACTGCCAGCTCAGCGACAATACAATAAAATACCAGGTAGACCTCTATGGTTTTTGACTCTAGTCTTTGACTCCTGGATGGTACTTGTGGACCCACCTGAGGCCTGGGGACCTCGCTGTCTTGAAGGGAAGGACACAGGCCTGGCTAGCTTTGCCAACTGATGATTGTAGAGCCCCATAGCCTTGAACAAACACAGGCAGTAGCCAAGGAGTGTACTGCAGGTCTTGGGCAAGACCCAGTGCTAAGCTGGCTTCAGGTCAAACCCACAGCAGTCATAGTAGTGGTGGCCCCTGGGTGCTTGTGTCACTCCACCCCTAGATTCAGGTGGCTCAAAACAGAGCGAGAACTCTGTGTGCTTGGGAGAAAGTAAGGAAAAAGAACAGGAGTCTCTGCCTGGTAATCCAGAGAATTCTCTAAGATCTTGTCCAAGACCATCAAGCTGGTAGGTACCTACTATGAGTCTGCAAGTATCCACAGACTTACTGGACTTGGGGTGCCCCCTACAGGAGAAACAGCTAAGATCACAATACCCAAGTCCTTTCAAATACTTGGGAAGTCTTCCTAAGAACAGCTACAAATAAGCCCAGACAGTAAAGACTACAATAAATACCTAACTCTTCAATGTTCAGACACTGAAAAACATCTACTAGCATCAACACCATCCAGGAAGACATGACCTCAACAAATGAACTAAATAAGGCACCAGGGACCAATTCTAGAGAAAGAGAGACATATGACCTTTCAGACAGAGAATTCAAAATAGCTGTGTTGAGAGAACTCAAAGAAATTCAAGATAGCACAGAGAAGGAATTCAGAATTCTATTAGATAAATTTAACAAAGAGATTCAAATAATTAAGAAGAATCAAGAAGAAATTCTGGAACTGAAAATTAAAATTGGCATACTGGAGAATGCATCAGAGTCCTTTAATAGCAGAATTCATCAAGCAGAAAAAAAAATAGTGAGTTTGAAGACAGGATATTTGCAAATATAGTCAGGGAGACAAAAGAAAAAAAGAATAAAAAATAAAGAGCATGACTACAGTATCTAGAAAATAGCCTCAGAAGGGCAAATCTAAGCCAAAGAGAAAGGGGTAGAAAGTTTATTCAAAGGGATAATAACAGAGAATTTCTCAAACCTAGAGAAAGATATCTATATCCAAGTACAAGAAAGTTATAGAACACCAAGCAGATTTAACCCAAAGAAGACTACCTCAAAGCATTTAGTAATAAAATTCCCAAATGTCAAGGACAAAGAAAGGATCCTAAAAGCAGCAAGAGAAAAGAAGCAAATAGCATACAATAGAGCTCCAATACACCTGGCAGCAGGCTACTCAGTGGAAATATTACAGGCTAGGAGAGAGTGGCATGACATATTTAAAGTGCTGAAGGAACAAAATTTTTACCCTAGAATAGTATATCTGGTGAAAATAGCCTTCAAAGATGAAGGATAAATAAAGACTTTCCCAGACAAACAAAAGCTGTGGGATTTCATCAACATCAGATCTGTTCTACAAGAAATGCTAAAGAGAGTACTTCAATCAGAAAGAAATGGACATTAATAAGCAATAAATAATCACCTGAAAATATAAAACTTACTGGTAATAGTAGGTACACAGAAAAAACCAAAATATTATAACACTGTAACTATGGTGTGTAAACTACTCTTATCCTAAGTAGAAAGACTAAACAAAAAATCAATCAAAAAGAACTACAACAACTTTTCATGACATAGTACAATAAGATATAAATAGAAACAACAAAAAATTTAAAAGTGGGGGGAAGTCAACGTGAATATTAATCTTCTTTTTGCTTGTTTATGCAAATAATGTTAAGTTGTTATCAGGTTAAAGTAATGTGTTATAAGATAGGATTTACAAACCTCATGGTAACCTCAAACCAAAAAACATACAATGGATACACAAAAAAATACAAAGCAAGAAACAAAATCATATAATCAGAGAAAAGCATCTTTACTAGAGGAAGACAGGAATTAAAGAAAGAAAAAAGAGAAGACTAAAAACAACCAGAAAACAAATAATGAAATGGCAGGGGTAAGTTCTTACTTATCAATAATAACATTAAATGTAAATGAACTAAACTCTTTAATCAAAAGACATAGACTGGCTGAATGTCTGTTGACTACAAGAAATACACCCATTTATCTGTTGCCTACAAGAAACACACTTCGTCTATAAAGATATACATAGACTGTAATAAAGGTATGGAAAAAGATATCCCATGCCAATGGAAACCAAAAAAAGAAAAAAAAAAGCAAGAATCACTATACTTATATCAGACAAAATAGATTTCAAGACAAGAATGGCAACAAGAGACAAAAGTCACTAGGTAATGATTAAGGGGTCGATTCAGAAAGAGGATATAATAATTTTAAATAAATATGCACCCAACATAAGAGCACCCAGATATTTAAAGCAAATATAATTAGAACGAGAAAGAGAGATAGGCCCCAATCAAATAATAGTTGGAGTCTTCAACACCCCACTTTCAGCATTGAACAGATCTTCCAGACAGAACATCAGCAAAGAAACATCAGACTTAATCTGCGCAATAGACCAAATAGATCTGACAGATATTTACAGAACATTTTATGCAAGAGCTGCAGAATACATATTCTTTTCCTCAGCACATGTATCATTCTCAAGGATAGATCATATGTTATGTCACGAAACAAATATTAAAACATTCAAAACAATTGAAATAATATCAAACATCTTCTCTGACTACAATGGAATAAAACTAGAAATTAAGAAGAATTTTGAAAACTATACAAATACATGGAAATTAAACAATGTGCTCCTTAATGACCAGTGGGGCAATGAAAGAAATTAAGAAAAAAATTAAGAAATTTCTTGAAATAAATGATAATGGAAATACAACATACCAAAACCTCTGGGATACAGCAAAAGCAGTACTAAAAGGGAAGTGTATAGCTATAAGCAAAACATCAAAAGTTAGCAACTTCAAATAATCTAACAATCTACCTTAAAGAACTAGAAAAGCAAGAGCAAACCAAACCCAAAATTAGTAGAACAAAATAAATAATAAAAGATTAGAACAGGAGTAAATGAAATGTAAATGAAAAAAATATAAAAGATCAATGAAACACAAAGCTGGTTTTTTGAAAGGTTAAAAAAAATTGACTAACCATACTGAGAAAAAAAAGATCCAAATAAAAATCAGAAATGAAAAAGGAGACATTACAACTGATACAGCAGAAATTCAAAAGACCATTAGTGGCTACTATGAGCGACTATATGCCAATAAGTTGGAAAATCTAGAAGAAATGGACAAATTCCTAGACACATACACCTTCCAAGATTGAACCAGGAAGAAATCCAAAACCTGAACAGACCAATCACAAGTGCTGAGATGAAAGCCATAATAAAAAGTCTTCCAGTTGGCTGGGCACAATGGCTCATGCCTGTAATCTAATCCCAACACCTCGGGAGGCCGAGACAGGAGGATCACTTGAGGCCAAGAGTTCAAGATGAGCCTGGCCAACATGGTGAAATCCTGTCTCTACTAAAAATACAAAAATTAGCTGGGTGTGGTGGTGAACGCCTGTAATCCCAGTTACTCAGGAGGCTGAGGCAGGAGAGTTGCTTGAACCCAAGAGATGGAGGTTGCAGTAAGCTGAGATTGTGCCACTGCATTCCAGCCTGGGTGACACAGCAAGACTTTGTCTCAAAAAAAAAAAAAAAAAGTCTTCCAGTAAAGAAAAGCCCAGACCTGATGACTTCACTACTGAATTCTATCAAACTTTAAAAAAAAAAGTACTAATCCTACTCAAACTATTATGAAAAATAAAGGAGGAAGGAATACTTTCAAATGTATTCTATGAAGCCAGAATTACCCTGATATGAAAACCAGAAAAAGACACATCAAAATAAGAAAACTACAGGCCAATATCTCTGACAAATATTGATGCAAAAATCTTCAACAAAACACTAGCAAACTGAATTCAACAGTATATTAAAAAGATCATTCATCATTACCAAGCAGGATTTATCCCTGGGATGCAAGGATGGTTCAACATATGCAAATCAAAGAACATGATACATCATATCAACAGAATGAAGGATAAAAACCATATGATTATTTCAATTAATGCTGAAAAAGCATTTGATAAAATTCAACATTCCTCATAATAAAAAGCCTTAAAAAACTGCATATAGAAGGAGCATACCTCAACATAATAAATGCCACATATGACAGACGCACAGCTGGTATCATACTGAATAGGAAAAACTGAAAGTCTTTCCAGTGAGATCTGGAACATGAAAAGGATGCCCACTGTCACCACTATTATTCAACATGGTACTGGAAGTCCTAGCTAGAGCAATTAGACAAGAGAAAGATATAAAGGGCATCCAAACTGGAAAGGAAGAAGTCAAATTATCCTTGTTTGCTGATGATATAATCTTATATTTAGAAAAACTCTAAACACCCTACAAGAAAACTATTAGAAATGATAAAAAAAATTTAGTAAAGTTGCAGGATACAAAATCAACATACAAAAATCAGTAGCATTTCTATAGGCCAACAGTGAACAATGTGAAAAAGAAATAAAAAGTAATCGCATTTGTAATAGCCACACATAAAATTAGATACCTAGAAATTAATCAAAGAAGTGATAGATTTCTATAATGAAGACTTTAAAACATTGATGAAAGAATTTGAAGAGGACATCACAAAATGGAAAAATATTCCATGTTCATGGATTGGAAGAATCAATATTATTAAAATGTCCATATTACCCAAAGTAATTTACAAATTCAATGCAGTCCCTATCAATATACCAATGATACTCTTCACAGAAATAGAAAATAAAAGTCATAAAATTTATATGGAACCACAAACTACCCAGGACCACAAAAGTCCCAGACCCTAAGCAAAAAGAACAAAACTGTATGATTCACGTTACTTGACTTCAAACAATATATATAGCTGTAGTAACCAAAATAGCATGGTACTGGCATAAAAACAGACACATAGAGCAATGGAACAGAATAGAGAACCCAGAAACAAATCTACACACCTAGAGTGAACTGGTTTTTGATAAAAGTTCCAATAACATGCACTGTCTCTTCAACAAATGGTACTGGGAAAACTGGATATCCACATGCAAAAGAATGAAACTAGACCCCTGTACTCTCACCATATACAAAAATCAAATCAAAAGGGATTAAAGACTTAACTCTAAGACCTCAAACTATAAAACTACTACAAGAAAACATTGGAGAAAATCTTTAGGACATCATTCTGGGCAAAGATTTCTTGAGCAATACCCAACAAGCACAGGCAACTAAGGCAAATGGGATCACATCAAGTTAAAAAGCTTCTGCATAGCAAAGGATACAATCAACAAAGTGAAGAGACAACCCATAGAATGGGAGAAAGTATTTGCAAACTACCCCTCTGACAAGAGATTAAAAACCATAATGTATAAGGACCTCAAACAACTCTATAGGAAAAAATCCAATAATCCAGTTGAAAAAAGGACAAGAGATTTGAATAGATATTTCTCAAAAGAAGACATACAGATGACAAACATATAAAAAAGTTCTCAACATCACAGATCATCAGAGAAATGCAAATCAAAACTACAATATCATTTTATCACACTTAAAATAGCTTATATCCAAAAGACAGGCCATAAAAAAAATGCTAGTGAGGATGTAGAGAAAAGGGAACCCTTGTACACTGTGGATGGGAATGTAAATTAGCACAGTCACCATGGAGAACAGTTTAGAGGTTCCTCAGAAAACTAAAACAAGAGCTATCATATGATCCAGCAATCCTACAGCTGGGTATATACCCAAAAGAAAGGAAATCAGTATATTTAAAAGATATCTGAATTCCTATGTGTGTTGCAGCACTGCTTACAATACCTAGGATGTGGAAGCAACCTAAGTCTCCATCAACAGATAAATGGATAAAGAAAATGTGGTACATGTATACAGTGGAGACTATTCAGCCATAAAAAAATGAGATCCAGTCACTTGCAACAAGAATGGAACTGGATATCATTATGTTAAGTGAAATAAGCCAGGCGTAGAAAGACAAACTTCACGTGTTCTCACTTATTTGTGGGATATAAAAATCAAATCAATTGAACTCATGGACATAGAGGGTAGAAGGATGGTTGGGAAGGGTAGTTCCCAACAGAGATTAGGAAGGGTCGTTGAGGCTTGGGGGAAAGTGGTGATGGTTAATGAGTTAAAAAAAATAGAATAAAAAGACCTACTACTTGATAGCACAATAGGGTTACTATAGTAACCTATTACTAAGTATACAACTTAATTGTATAAAAAATAAAGAATGTAATTGGATTGTTTGTAACTCAAGGGATAAATGCTTGAGGGATGGATACCCCATTCTCCACAATGTATTTATTTCACACTGCATGCCTGTATCAAAACATATCATGTACCCCATAAATATATACAACATGTACCCACAAAAATTTTTAAAAATTAAAAAATTTAGAAAAAAAAGAAAAAAGAAAGAAACTGAGGCCACCAACTGTGTAAACAAATTACATTTGCTATCAGCCTCTCTGGGTCACTTGTATAGATGCTCGTTCTCTAAAAAGACAAACCAGAATCAAACTGTTGATTGATTCTGCTTCACCTAGATTGCTACCTTTCTGCCAGAATCCATTACGGTATCAGACATGGCAGCACACTAACTATCATAGGGTACACATTAAAAAGGATTAGAGACGCTATCATTGCATGCGAAATTTGTCACTCCTACTAAAAGTTGAGATTTTGTATTATAATGAGGGAAGTCATATTGCATGTTTACCCTTCATGAAGTTTTGCCCCTGCCTGCTTCTGATAGACTAACTACATCAGATTTTTAACACTTTCTCAGGGTTACTGTTGTTTTACCATTGTTGACATTTTGTTAGGTTATGATGTTGCTGTTCCAGTCCCATCAGTTGATTCTGGCTAAATTTGAAACTAAATTTGGTCACACATTCTGCTGCTTTCTAGATCATTTCTAAACAAATATACAAGTTAGATTATCACTCAGTACCCCTACCTGGTCCCCCTCCTCACCAAGAAAAAGCGTTAGTCATAGTCACTGAAAAGAAACTGTGAACCCATAAGTTCTACTAACTGGCTGGGAAGCCATATTGGAGTCAATATCATCGTGTGCCCCCTTACAGAGCGAAAACATGTAGCTTATACATGGTGGGGTTTCAAACATTATAACACCATGTGCAAACCTAGGACAGTATTACTCTAGGCGAGCCAGGCTTCAAGTTGATTATATCCAAAAAGAAAAAAAAAAAGTCATTTGCATTGTAGAAGAGGTCATAAGAGATTTTCAAGTGTTTAAGAAAACATGCCTAGTATATCTTGTGATCTTCAAATGACTGTAGAGATGTTTCCAGAATGAGGCTACCCTTCCAGAAAAGATTTCCATAGGAATAACTAACTCATTATTGGTGTACACTCTGAGGACAACTATTCTTATAATGGAAGTCATCCAACTTAAAAAGGTGGTGCAGAATTTGTCACTGACATTAAGGAACCAAGTGCACAACCTTGGCTTTGGAAGTATTTCAGGTGAGACTCAATATATTGGCCAAGGTTGTTATGCACTAGAATAGCACTGGAACTCTTCTTTATGGGCTAAGTTCTAGTCTATGCAATCAGTAATATATCTGCTGGACGAATGCCTTCAGTTAAGTGAAAAAGTCAATACAGAAACTGAAGAAGAAAGCCATCTAGCTTTCTATTGTAGACCTGGATAGTTTAAGAGCTTTGTCCAGCTTTCTGTGGGCATGGTCAAGGTCAATGTTGCAAATAGGACTCATCCTATAGCTTGATAGTAAGTAGAATAAATAGTACATGATAGTAAGTAGAATTAAATGCTACATGAGTCAAAATGAGTGAATTTTGTTCCAGACTCTGTAGGATTAATCAGAGCAGCCAATGTTGTTATGTATTCAAGATAAAATATTTCCATGTGTAGGCACAAGGAGTTTATATTGTTGAAGGACAATTCTCTTGCAGTAAGTACCTGGCATTTCTGCACATATTTTAAGCAGAGGTGCTATCTGTCTTTATTCTAGACTATCTTTGCAAGGATGTTAATAGAGCAAGTAAGCTCTGAAGACAGAGATAGTGTCTTCCTCTGGAACAGAGGACCAATTTCCTTAAAAAATTGAGATAGAGATATTGTGTTTTCCTTCTGAGCAATGGACAGACATATTCACACTCGAGGCTCCAAAGCAAAGGTCAGGTAAGTTTACAGCATATTATAAAATAATCAGGTCCCCTGAGCTTAGGACGTTTCTTCTATAATGTAATTTACTATGTTTGCAGGTGTCACCTGGCATTATTCATGCTTCCCTGTGAAAATCGAGTCTCAGGAAACCAGGAAAGTTATTGCTGGTACAATGGCTACTATTATTGCTGTCAGTAAATAATAGGCCCCTATCTCTGACTTGGAGTCTCATGTCTTCTGCCAGAATCTATGAAATTACAGCAAGCTAATTTGTTAGCTTGCAAATGGGGTAACATTTTAGACCTTTTTTAGTCTTAAGAAGGCAGAAAAATGAAGAAGAAAAAAATAGAGAAACAAAACAGAGGAAATAAATAGAAACAAATAATAAATGCTAGACCTAATACCAGCAATATTTAAAGTTGTATTAAATGCTAATGTACAAAATACTCCACTTAAAAGGCAGCAATACCAGGATCAATAAAAAATAGACCAAGTGACACCCTGTTTACAAGAATATTTCTTATTTTTTATGCCTCATTCCCTTTCATAACAATTTTAAGATTTTGCCAAATTCTGTAAACACAAACTTTATTACGATTTAATCATCTCATTGCTTTATAGATGGTGCTATTTTCATGCTAGTGAATCTTCCCAACCATAATTGCTAATCTCTCCATTTATTTTTTATCATTTTCATATATTTAAATACAACACTACAATTTACAAATATCTTACACTTTTTGTCAGGGATATTATTTGGTGTTATATAATTTTGGCTAACTACGTAAATCATTATTTTTGTAAAAAGATTTATCCTAATCATTTTTCTGATATCTAGAAATGCTGCTTTCTCATATATATGAATGTTTTTCAGCAGTTTTGCACATTTTCTATTTAGGCAGTTTCTTCTTTTTCAATTCTCATACATTCTGTTATTTTTTTCTTCTCTTACTCAGATAGCTATTAACTCTCCAATATATTAACTACATAACTATGATTTTAAGCATTTTTATTCTTCATTGTATCATAATTGCTTCATTTTAGTCAAAGAAAATATATTATAGATTTTTGGTATACAGCTTTATTCCTGTATACCAAAATTTTCTGCTTATTCCTGAAATATTAAGATTTTTTTGAAAAAATGCATAAATATTGAATTGCATCGTTTATTTCTAGAATAATGTATATTTTCTCCATTAATTTTTAATTGTGTGTAATTTTCAGAGATATTTCTTATGTTAAAATATTTTCTGAGAAAAAAGTAAACTTTGTCATAGTATATTTTTACATCATTGTTGGATTTGGTTTTCTAGTATTTTATTATTTTTGTCTTTATATTCAGAAATCATTATAGCCTATAACTTTATTTACTATAATAATATTAAGACTATAGCCTCGTAATTTTGAAAAAATTTTGAAAAAAAGGAAATTCTTTTTTTCTCTTGTCATGAAAGTTGACATAGAAAAAAAACTATTTCCTGCAGTCTTAATGATATTTAACTTTTAAATTATCTAGACCTGGTGTTTTAATGTGTGCCTGAGAGTGGTGGATTGTAGATTACAATCTAATAATTTTTATTCTTTAACTGATAAATATATATTCACACTTTCAGTTTCTTCAGAGTAATGTTTTACTAAATTATACTTTTTCTTGAAAATTTTTCTTTGGTCTAAATTTTCAAGTTTAAAAAAAATTTTAAAAAATTTGGCCTAAATATTTAGATATTTCAAATACTATAATATTATGTGTGATATTTTATTCTGATTACAAAAAATGCTATAATTATGTCTTCCATTTAATTCCTTCTATATTTATTTTTGCTTTCTCTCTTTTTTCAAGATCCATTTTGGGAGATGTATTTCTGTTTTATTGGCTTTTTCAAACAAATTTCAGTATGCCATATCTTTCATTGTTATATGATAAAAATTATATATTTATGTTTTTAATTTTTATTATTTCCTGATAGACTTATTTGGGTTTACAATATCTTTGTGTTTGTTTAATAAACCTTTACAAAGATTTCAGAGTTTAGTTTTAAAATGTTTGAAAAGTTTTAAATATAGTACAGAAAATATAACACTCTATTCCCCTATTGTTAATATATTACATTACAGTGGTACATTTGTCACAACTAAAGAATTAATTTTGCTGCATTATAATAAGCTAAAATTCATACTTTATCTAGATGTCCTTAGTTTTTACCTAATGTTCTTTTGTTGTTGTTGTCTGCAACATTCAGGATATCCCATTCAGGATATCAGGTTGCATTTAGTCATCATGTCTTAGGCTCCTCTGTTCTGTGACCACTACTCAGTTTTTGTGTGTCTTAGTTTGATTTAGCTGCTATAAGAAAATGCCATAAACCAGGCAGCTTAAACAACAGACATTTATTTTCCACAGTTCTGAAGGCTGGGAAGTCCAAGATCAAGCCAAGCCAATTTGGTTTCCGGTGAGATCCTTTTTCCTAGCTTGCAGATAATCATCTTCTTGCTGTGTTCATCACATGACACAGAAAGAAAGAAGTTCTCTGGTCTTTTTATATAAATAATTAATCTAATCCCATAAAGGCCCTTTCCTCTTGACCTTATCTAAACCTAATTACCTCCCAAAGGCTTCATCTCCAAATACCATCACATTGGGATTAGGGCTCCATTGAATGAATTTTGGGGAACAACAGTCTGTCTGTAGCTCCTTGACTTTATGGTGCTGGCATTTTTTGAGTACTTATGAGGTATTCACCAAATATGAATATATTTGAGGTATCAAATAAAGGAAGAATGTTACTATACTTGAGCTTATCCCACATTTTTTTCATGGTTAGCCTAGGGTGTCACTCTCATTATGTCATATTAGGGATATATAATATCAATATGACTTATTACTGAATGACATTAATCTCGATGACCTGACTGAGGTAGTGTTTGTCAGGTTTCTCCACTGAAAAGTTCTCCTTTATTCTTCCTGTTCATATTGTATTGAATAGATGAAAGTCACTGTGTGCATCCCATATTCAAGGGTTGGAAAATCATGCTCCACTTTCCTAAAGGAGAAGTATCAACAAAGCTATATGGACTCTTTCAATATGGGAAACTAATTCATTATTCCCCCATTAATTTATTTACTCAATCATTTATTTATATCTGTAAGCACACATGGATCTTTGTTTTATATTTTAGGCTGTAATTTAATAATACTTTATCTATTTTGTGTTTAAATTGTTACAACTTTGACTATTGAGAGCTTTTTCAGTTGGGTCATGTGTCTCTTTAACATGTACTTACTATTTTGGTTTTCTTTCTTTTTTATCTTTTTTTTTTACTTTTAATTTCTGTGGGTATATAGTATGTGTATAAATTTATGGAGTACAAGAGATATTTTGGTTTTAAGCACGTTCTTATTTCCTGTCATTACAAGATGCTACAGGCTCATATTGTACATTCCCTGTCCCAGCCCCCAATTCAGCCATTTTCCGAGGTATTCTGGCTTCTTTCACTGGATAACAGTATTAGAAACAAAAGTGTAGTGCTTTTTTTTTTTTTTCCATGGATAGGATTCCAAGATTTTCAATCATTTTTAATGAAACGTATTTGAATCATACTGTAACAACTAAGATACTGCTTTATGAAAACTAAAATTTTGATCTTTTAACCATTCAGTTCTAAATATTTGATATTAAGTTTAAAATATTCTTTGATTAATAAATTATTGAAAAGTATGATTTAACATTTTTCAACACGCAAGTCTTTATATTTTTGGTGTGTTTTATTCATAAATTTTTTGAATTGTAGTTGGAAAAATGACATCTACACAATAAATAAAATTGGATATTTATTTATATTTGTTTTGTGTCCTACATGTTAAACTTCTTGTTTTGTTTCACATGTCAATATTCACTTTATGTATTTAGAAGCTGTTATTATGTGTATGTAATCAATGAATCATTATTATACCCTGTACGCTTTTTAATGTGTCGTATAATCCTAATAATGATTTTTACCTTAAAATAGACTTTAATTTAGCTACCAGAGTAGCATTTTCCTGTGATACCTTATTTCATCCAATATTTGACTATTTATGTTTTTGCATGTTATATATTTTAAATTTTATTTTTTTAAACATATGCTTAAATTTTGATTATTCAACTAGAAATTCTGTGAATCTAAAACAAAGGATTTTAATACATCTATATTTATTGTGATTACTTGTATTATAGATTTATTTACAACTCAGTTTTTCATATTTTCTGCATTCTAAGCTTTTCCTTGTTCATTTTTCTGTTTTCAAAAGAAGACATACAAACAGCCAACGAGCATATGAAAAAAAGCTCAACATCACTAATCATTAGATAAATGTAAATCAAAACTGCAACGAGATACCGTCTTACACCAGTCAGAATGGCTATTATTAGAAAGTCAAAAAATAACAGATGCTGGTGAGGTTGTGGAAAAAAGGGAACACTTATACACTGTTGGTTGGAGTGTAAATTAGTACAACATTATGGAAATTAGTGTGGTGTTTCCTCAAAGACCTAAAAACAAAACTACCATTCAACCTAGCAATCTCATTACTGAGCATATCCCCAAAGGAATATAAATCATTCATCATTCTATCATAAGGACACATGAACACATATGTTCACTGCAGCACCATTACAATAGCAAAGACACTGAATCAATTTAAATGCCCATCAATAAAGAAAATGTGGTACACATACATCAAGGAATAATACGCAGCCTTAAAAAATAAAAAGATCACATCCTTTGCAGAAACATGGATGGAGCTGGAGGCCATTATCTTTAGCAAACTAAAACAGAAATAGAAAATCAAATACCACATGTTCTCCTTTTAGTGGGAGCTAAATGATGCGAACACAGGGACACAAAAACTGCGGGGTGGACAGTGAGAGGAGGGAGAGGATCAGTAAATATAACTAATGGGTACTAGGCTTAATACCTGGGTGACAAAATAATCTGTACAACGAACACCCATGGCACAAGTTTACCTATATAATAAAACTGCATGTGTGCCCCTGAAGTTAAAAGTTTTTGTTTTTTTTTTAAATCTTTCTTATATGGGTTGTTTATCTCTTGAAATGCTACAGGTATTTGCAGTGTTATTTCTCATATTCGTTTTGTGTTTAATTATGTCAAATGACCCAAAGATATCACCAGCATGAGATCATTTTTTATATTATTACCTTATCTTGGAAAATTCATGCACCCAATACATACAATAAATATCTGGTAAATAGAACCTACATATTGGGCAGGCTATTGGTTACATATTTACATATATTCAGGATAGATTTTAATTTTTTTCTACCTAGAAACCAGAATATTTACAATTTAATACTTTCCTTTGAACACCTCAGATTTATAAAGCAGTTTGTTTTCAATCTCCCTAATTTTCAAAGGCCAAGATTTTGTTTTCTCTCCTCCTTTAAGCATGATAAAACATATCTTAGTAGTTATGAACCTTGAGGATGGAAGAAAAACAGCTAACCAACATTACCATGATCTATTAGTCACTCCCTGTCCCAAATTCTTTCCATAGTATGTCCTTTTTAATCATGATAACGATCTTATCAGGTAAAATTTATTAAAATCAATTTTCAGATTTGGAAACAGTCTCCAAGATGTTAATGAAGTTGATTAATAAATAACAGACTTGAAATTTGAACCAATTTTTAGCTATAGAGTTGGTCAATTTAAACTACTTCTCTGCATTACAGAATAATGTAGGGCAGTAGCTCTTCAAAATATATTATTTATTTTGTTTAACAAATTGATAAGTTATCCATTATCTATAAATAACATAATATGTAAATACTTAGTGTGTTTCTAACTTAAATTAACAATTTATAATCACTCATTTTTCTAGGGTCAGCCACATATTTGGTTTTTTGGTTGAATCATACAGGTAATACCTTGCTGGTTTTTTCATTATTTTTCTTTTCTTCATTATTTATATTTCATATGATTACATGTGGCAAAGAGATCATAGATTTTGTCTGCAGAAAATATCTATTTTTAAAACCTGTCATTACAACTATTATTATAAACTAATTGTTTTGTGACATAAACAATTGGTAACTGAGTAGCACCATATTGTGCTGTGAGACTGAGTGAAGTTGAAATTAATCTGAGGTATTTATGTAGCTCAGTTCAGTGTATTCGTCTTCACAATTTATGTCCATTGTGAAAGTGATATAAAGTAAGCACCAGAAAGAGTAGACCTGTTATCAGGAAAATTACTATTCTTGTGTGTGTATCAGTGTGTAATAATTAAGAATATGTCTGAAAAAAAACACACATACCTGTGTCTGCATAGATGTGTGTGTATGTAATATTCTAAAGGATTTTCATGTTTTTTGTAGAGCTTTACTGATATTTTGGGTTCTTTCCAAATATTCGTAAAAATACAGATTTGATTTGTTGATGAATTTTATATTCTCCACTGAGAATAAAAACTTAGTTGACCTACACTAAATTTTACTCATCATAGGCTTATTTTACTCATTTCTCTGCTGGTTGAGAACTATAACAATGAAAAATAGTTGCAGATTCTCAGCAATTACCAAAAGTTAATTGGAATTATTAAGATAACAAACATGTACACATAATGCTTTTGTTGATAAATTTTAACTACATTTAATGAGAAAATCCAAGACTAAGCCAATCTCATAAATTGTTCTATGCTATGTTAATGCTTTCTCTGGCTGGTCAAATTAAATATTGATAAGACTGTCCTCTTAGAAAGGGTTAGACAAAGACATTGTATTTATTTCAAAGGCTAAAAGCTAAAATGGAGCCAACCTAGAAACAGTGTGTTGACTCAGTTAGATAGCAATAATGAACATAATTATTTGTTTTCAGCTCTATTCTCAACTGATGAAGAGACAAATTATAATATGGGATTGAGACCATGACTGGGTAGTCAGCTCATTTCTCATGTTATATGTTTTAAGCACCAATAAACATTTAAATGAGATGTTTTACTTTTTTTCCAATCAAATATATTTTAAATGAGATTGTAATGGCAATTTAAAAAACTAACAACAAATTATTGTTTTCCTGAGCACATATTTCAATTTCAATGTTGTGCTAAGTATCATGTAGATTTCCAAAGATGTAAATGACAAGGTCTCTTTTTTTAGGGAGGTTATAGTCTCTGGGGATGTCAGATTAATCCACATAAATTAATTTATATCCTATAGTACAAATACTTTATTAATTCTTTGTTTTTTTCCTAAGTGTTATTACATAGGTTTTCAATAGGAAGTTATATTAGTGAAATAAACTTTTTTGCAACAAAAATGAGCTATAAAAGTGGTTTCTAGAATGTTTATTTTCTAAATGAATATTTTAAAGTGCAATTTATTTTCCATGTTAAAGGAAGCAGCATTGCTTTGTCCATCAATAAGCAAACAAACAAATAGGTACATTAAGTGAGAAAGTGTCCAAAAATTTAAATATCGTATTCTCTTATTAATATTTAAATAAAAGTAAGAAAGCTCAAATATACTATATACTATTTGTCTGTTTCTCCACTGTCGTACTTTAAACTGCTTTTGATTTGTCACATTGTACTTTAAACTGCTTTTGATTTGATTTATTGTAACTCCAAAAGCTGAATCAGCAATTTTATATCTTACTATCTTACTTGCATGGATTTTTAAAACTAATGTTTTCTACCCATAAATGTTATGCCAACTCATAACTCATTTTTTTATTCCTGTTTAATAGTTTCTTGGAAAAATAGAAAAAAGTAAAATCGAAATACTATAATCTTTTGTAAACAGACATTAATAACCATCATTCTAAAAAGAACAAAATAGTGTTATCGTCTGAATTGTGTTCCTCCCCTGCAAAAAAAAATCAATCTAAAAAACACTGAAGTCCTAACCCCTCAGTAAGTATCTCAGAAAGTGATCTTATTTGAAAATAGAGTTGTTGAAGACATAGTTAAGATGAGGTTATCCTGGAGTAGGCTGAGTCCTAATCAGACATGGCTGGTGTTCTTATAAGAAGTCAGCAGGTGAACACACTTAGGCACACAGGAGAACGCCACGTAATGAGGAAGCCAGAGACTGGTGTTAGACAGCTGCTTACTTGAGCTTTACTTCACACTTGCAACACCATGAGTGTTTCATTGGCCTTGATTCTCATTCCTGTATAAGGATATATAGTTATACCTATGATTGTAGGTGGAGGAATGTGATTTTGGAGGAAGCTTTAAAAGTCATAGAACAGAAACATGAAGATGGGGTTCAAAAATAAAGATAGTATTCATAACATCCTCATGATCAGATACTCCCTACCTTTTCACCCTCTCCATTCGACTGGGAATCATCATTTTTATTACTAGGATTAAAAGAATTAATTTTGTACTGTTTAAGAGGTTTCAGACACTTGCTTGAGCCAACATTAAACATTAAGGGGTTAGGCAGCTTTTAAGGACTAATAGTAACTATTTTCAGCAAGATTATTGGTGGCTTAAAAGGTGAAAATATTAAGACTATCTCCTCTATTTTGAAATAAGAAAACTGTGATGCATGTATTTCATATCACTTGAGAAACTGAAGGTGAACAGGGATATTAATTTAGGACGTGCATTGGTCTTAAACCAGTTGCTGAGCTCTGAAGCAGTGGAGCCACAATCAAGAACAAGAAGGAATCTGTATCTTCTGAGAACTTTTAATTTGGAAAATCAGACATGCACAACTAAAACAATTCTAGGTAAATAACTCCTGATATTGACTGAATTTTTTTTTTCTTTTTTTGAGACAGAGTCTTGCTCTGTCACCCAGGCTGGAGTGCAGTGGCGCGATCTCGGCTCACTGCAAGCTCCGCCTCCTGGGTTCACACCATTCTCCTGCCTCAGCCTCCCGAGTAGCTGGGACTACAGGCGTCTGCCACCACGCCAGGCCAATTTTTTTTTTTTATTTTTAGTAGAGATGGGGTTTCATCATGTTAGCCAGGATGGTCTCGATCTCCTGACCTCATGATCCACCCGCCTCGGGCTCCCAAAGTGCTGGGATTACAGGCGTGAGGCACTGTGCCCGGGCTGACTGAATTCTTAACTGAGAAAAAAAAAAAAAATCTGCTGGAGGGTTACATTTCTTTGTAGAGTAAGTCCTGAATTTGAAAGCAATGTGGATTTAAACCGACAGTGGTGAATGACAGAGCAGGCGAAGGCACTGCAGCAAAAAGCAGGATGGAGCATCGTGATGAAAAAAAAAAAAACCCATAAACAGATGGGAGAACAATTTTTAGATTATAAAGAGAATAGTGGTGGGAATGGAGGTAAAAGTAAGAGGTAATTTCTAAAGAATTTGGCTATGGAAGCAATAAAAAGGAGCCAGAATTCAGTGAAGTGCAGCAGTTAAGAGCTTTAGACTTGGAGTAGAAAAGATTTGGGTCAAATTTTAGTTTTTTCCAATTACTCATTCTGTGACTGTGGACAATAAATTAACTTCGCTGGATCTCAGTTTTCTCCTTTATAAAATGGGAATGATGATATGCACTCTACAGGCTTATTATGATGATAAAATGAACTTGTATTTTATTTGGTACCTATAGCCATAAGTCAGATTGTAGGGACAAAAATAATATATAGTAAACATTGCCTTTGAAAGAGAAAAACTTTTATAAATCACAATATACATAATTCTGCATATATAACCCTGTATATTAAAATGCAAAATGTGATTTTATCACATTCCCACTATGTAAAATTATATCTCTCCTTATTTTTTTTTAATTTTAATTTTTTAGTTATCACGAAGCAGGTTGCATTAGTTTGCTAGGGTTGCTGTAACAAAGTGCCATAATCACTGTGATTAAACAACAGAAATTTATAATTCTGGAAGATGGAAGCAGAGTGGGTTCCTTCAGAAGACTAGGAGGGAAGAATCTATTCCAAGCCTCTCTCTGTGGCTTGTAGATGGCTGCCTTCTCCCTATCTCTTCACGTTGCTTTTCCTCTGTACTTGTCTGTGTCCAAATTTCCTTTTCTTATAAGGACATCAGTCTTATCATATTAGGGTCCACCCAAATACTTCACTTTAACTGACTTACCTCTTTCAAGACCCTATCTCCAATAATAGTCACGCTCTGAGATACTGTAATTAAGGACTTCAGCATATAAATTTGGGGGAAACACAATTAAACTTATAGCACAGATATAATTGAACTTTTATAAATTAATTACATTACTGCTTGAATTTATACAGAGCAAGCCTTCATTAAATAACTGCTATTGCTAAGATAAAGACCTTTGCTATGACTTTGAATTTTGAAAACGCCAAACAAAGAATGTGAAATCATGTTAAATTAAATTTCCAAAAATGTGAAGATTAAAGGAAAGCTTTTAAAGAGAGGAAAATGAATATTTTGAATTATGGTATTATATATTAGTAGAGATATTAATGGTTTTGATGCATTTTAAAGTAATTTATCCAATATTGCTTCTTTACAATAATCCTAGAAGGTGAAAAGGTCAAGTGTTTGTATATCCATGGTATAGATTAAAAAGTTAAAAAAGAAAAACCTTGTAAAAGTTACTAAAATGGTAATTCTTAGTTCATTGGTTTCATAAATAATCCAACTGTGGTTAGTTTAGCCTTCATACTCTAAATGTACTTGGAGTAATAGCTTCAAAGTGGAAAAGGAATAAACTATCACTTCTAGATTCTATATTTAGGCAAATTATGAGGAGTAAGAATGCTAGCCATGACAGAGTACATGATATTGGACTTAACCCCTGTTTGCCTACCATCACCATTAAAAATAAATAAAAGCTTTACAAGATATATAAAACAACTGATTGCATGCATCAGAAAGGAACCAACACAGTGCTACCTTCTTTGGACAAAAAAATGTACAGGAGGTGACATCTTGGTTTTCTCTCTGAAAATTTTGTAGAAACTACTGATGGCAGTGTCTGCCCATCTGGAGTGGCCACTGTGAGGATGACAGTGGAGCTGGGGAGGCATGGTGAGGGCTGTGTGCTCCCTGGAGCCAGCAGGAATCAGGAACAGGTGATCCCAGCAGCAGACCCTACTGAGTTGGTGGGGTGAGAGCCTGCACTCCTGGGTGCAGCTGCAGCTGCCCAGCCATGTCTCTGGACCTGGGCATCCCTGTGCTCTCAGGGACCTGGGAAGCCCCCTGTCCCCCCAGGCTCAGAAGTGCCTGCTCCCACTCCCTGGCCTCTCCCCACTCCCAGTGCCTGCTCCAGTGTGGAGCAAAGTTGTAGCCAAGCCTAGAAACTGTCGCAACCTGGCTGGCTATGCATGCACTTGGGGCAGCATTGACACATCAGGCCCCTGCCACCTTCGCTCCTTCCAGATGTTGGGTGCTGACGAGCATGGGAGGGAGGATGGGGGGCTGAGAGTGGCTTAGCACGGGCCTGCAGGCACTCCTCAGCACAGATAGCCTGGGTGCCATGGATGGCATGTAGATGGTAGCAGGAGGCAGATACATTCCTAGGTGGGAAGGGCTGAGTCCCTGGTGAAACCCCACCTTCAACCCAAGGACTGCCAGAAGCCTGGGGACTGGGCTGCCAGCTCCAGGTAAAGTCTGCCACCTGGAGTAAAAACTTCATTGATGCCTTTCGGCCAACCAGATGGTGCTTTTCCAGACCTGCCTGGTCACCCATGGACCAATCAGCACACACTTCCTCCATTCTGAGCACATAAAACCCCCAGACTCAGCTAGACTCAGACACTCACTGGGACTACCTGCCTGCAGAAAGGAACGATCAACTTTGGGTCACCTGAGAGCTGTTCTGTCACTCAATAAAGTTTCTCTCTGCCTTGCTCACCCTCCAGTTGTCCACGTAACCTCATTCTTCCCTGACATGGGACAAGAACTCAGGACCCAGGAGCACGAGGAGCTGTAACACATTTCTTTCTGGCTCGCTGAGCTGTGGGCAGTGACACACTCCCGGACTGCAAGAGTGAAGAATGTTGACCTTATGGGGACCCAGACCTTGGGATACCCTGAACCGGAGCTGCTGTAATACTATAGTCCTCTGCCAGCAGTGGGTGGCCACCCCATGTGAGGGAAAGCAGCAGTGGGACTGGGCCAGCCCAGGATCCATGGCCCAGAGTGGGGCAGCAGGACTGAAAGAGCTGTAACACAAATGGACTGAAACACACCCCCAAGAAACTTGCCCCCTTACTCACCATGCTGCAGGCCACAAGAAGGAGAGAAGAGCTGCAGCCTTTCTGGGAGTCCAGACCTACCTCAGGTCTCCCCAAGCCAGGGCTGTGACATTCTGTAACACGATTGCTGGGCCTCTGTAGTTCCTGGTGTCTCTGAGTTTTCAGGTGCCACTGCGTTTCCCTCATCCAGGTGCTGGTGCCCGCAGCGGAAGCTGCTTGAGGTATGTCTGGTCCAGCTGCAACTTTGCATGGAGCTGGCGTCTGTGCCAGCACCTGTAGTTGCCTGAACCACCACAGCAGCTGGTGTGCCAGGCTGTGTACAGTGGCCACACCCCATGCTTGCTTGCTCACATGCCTGTCACTGCTCCGCACCTGGCTTGCCCTTGGCAGGCATGAGATTCGGGCTGGTAATGTGAGCCGAGTGCAACCTGCCAGGCCAAGTGGGTGGAATGAGCCCAGCAGGCACAAGTAATACTATACTCCAGCAAAAGGGGACATGGGTCACAGAGGTTTCCAGCTGGCAAAGCAACACTCTAAGGACCCTGTGACACTATCCTGCAAGGAAGATGAGCCCATGCAGAAAGTCATAGTTTTGAAGCCAGCCCAAGAGTCCCACAGACAGTTGTTTTTGGATAAACATAAAAATGGACTCTTCTGGTCTTAAAAAGCTTGGAACTTTTATTTGTTTTATCTGAGTTCCCTCTTCAGGGAACAACCTTTAGGCCTCTCACAAAAAGTGTCAAAGAACTGAAACCAGATGACTGCACCAGATGCCAGACCCCTCATTCACCATGATTGCTTCCTTGTCCCTCACAAGTTCTTGCTTTCTAACACCTTGCTACATTTCTTGCCTGCTATATAAACCCCTCGTTTTAGTCAGTCAGGAAGGTGCATTTGAGACTGATCTCCCATCTTCCCAGCTGCAGCAGCCAATTAAAGCCTTCTTCCTTGACAACACTCACCATCTTAGTGATTGGCTTTCTGTGTGGTGAGCAGCACGACCTATACCAAACCCCTGGTATTTCAGTAACAGTTTCACTGGGTGTGGGAACAAAAATCAGGGTCCAAGTTAGCAAAATGGCTATTTATGTAATAATTCCACTTCACAGAGTATTATTAATGGAGTCTGTTATACAGATCAATGATAATAGGCTGAAGAGATGAGCAGATTTCAGATACACACAGTCCGAAGGAGAAATTGGAATTTGATTCCTGCCAGAGTAGAAAGTTTTTGGAGAATACCTCAGGCTTTCAGTTGAAATCTCACAAAGGTGAAGACCTTGAAGTAAGACCACATCCTAAGAATGTTGGCAAATTTGAAGAACACCTATACTAAGGCTAAAGTCAAACCTGAAAATTATGAAAGTCATATCTAATCCCTGACATGTAAAGAGCTTGGAAACTATCACTCCCATCCTCACAATAAGAAAACAGCCAAAGCCAGGCATGGTGGCTCACGCCTGTAATTCCAGCACTTTGGGAGGCTGAGGTGGGTGGATCACCTCAGGTCAGAAGTTCGAGACCAGCCTGGATAACATGGCGAAACCCAGTCTCTACTAAAAATACAAAAGTTAGCTGGGCATGGTGGCATGTGCCTGCAATCCCAGTTACTAGGGGGACTGAGGCAGGAGGATCGCTTGAACCTGGGAGGCAGAGGTTGCAGTGAGCCAAGATCGTGCCATTGCACTCCAGCCTGGGCAACAGAGAGATACTCCATCTTAAAAAAAAAAAAAAAAAGAAAGAAAGAAAGAAAAGAAAAGAAAACATCCAAATAAGATAAAAGCCAACAATTCTCCCTAGGTCCATCAGAAAACTAAGGTCACAGGCCAAACTGATGCCCTAGGGGGTGGAGGGCGAAACTCAAGAGATAAGCAGATATAGAGTCACAGCTGACCAAGAGCAGAAGTCACTGGAGAAATAGGATTACACCAAACATTTCCAAATAACACACTGGTCAAGAAAGTCTGAAGATAATCTAAAAAATATTTTGAGTGAAATGAAAGTACATCAGTTTGTGAGATGCAGCAAAAGCATTGATTAGAGGGAACATATAGCATTGAATGACTATCTTAGGAAAGAAGAAAGATGTAAAATTAATCATCTAAGCTTCCACCATAGGAAACTAGAGAAAAAAGAACACTATAATCCTGAAGCTAGTAGAAAAAAAGAAATAATAAATAGTGCAGAAATTAATGAAATTGAAAAGAGGAAAACAATTGAGAAAATCAGTGAAATCAAAAGCTGATTCTTTAAAAAAAACTTCTATATAATGATAAAACTCTGACTAGACTAACCAAAGAAAACAGAGAAGACACGAATTGCTAATAGCAGAATTAAAAGAGGGCCCAAGACTACTGATACATGAACAATAAAATCACAATAAAGAAATATTAATACTTTATGCCTACAAATTTGATACTTTAATTGAAATGAACCAATTTATTGAAAGACACAATCTACCAAAATTCAGAAAAGGAGAAAAGGATCATCTAAATAAGCCTACATCTATTAGATAAAGTAAATTGAATCAATAATTAATAATCTACCAAAAAAAGAAAGAACTAGACCAGATGGTTTTACTGAATTTTAGTGAATTCTATCAAACATTTAAGAAAGAACGATACCATTTTTTAGTATCTCTTCCAGAAAATAGAAGCAGATAAAACACTTCACAGCTCATTCTATGAGGCCAGCATGAGGCCAACATTTCCTTGATACCAAAATATGAGAAAGACATTACAAGAAAAGAAAACTACAGACAAATATGTGCCATTAACAAAGGTAAAACAATCAACAAAATATTAGTAAATCAAATCCAAAAATGTAGGAAAAGAGTTATACCCTACATAAAATGGATTATACAGGTAAACAAGGCTGGTTAAACATTCAAAAATCAATTAAGTTAATCCATCATATCAATAGGCTAAAGAAGAAAAATCATATGGCTATATTACTAGATTCAGAAAAAGTATCCAATACTACTTAATGAAAAAAAAAACTCTCAGCAAATAGGAATGAAATAACCTCCTGAATTTGATTTTAAAAGTTTATAAGAAAACCTACAGTTAATATCCTATTTAATGTTGAGAAACTAGATAGTTCCTCCCTATAATCTCATACAAAGGAAGAATGTTGCCTCTCACCATTCCTACTCAACCTCATATCAAAGGTCCTAGGAAAGGAATAATACAGGCAAAGGAAATAAAAGATGTAAAGATAAGGAAGGAAGAAATAAAACCATATTTGTTTGAAAATCACAGGATTATTTACATAGAAAATCCTAGAGAGTCAACAAAAAACCTGCTGGAACTAATCAGTGATTATAGCCAGGTTGCACAATAACAGGTTAATATACAATAGTCAATTGTTTTCCTATATACTGAATGAACAATTATAATTTGAAATTTAAAACACAATATCACATACATTAGCAGCACATAAAAATAGTGAAATACTTCATAAGTCCACAAAACATGAAGTTCAGTATAAAGAAAACTATAAAACTGTGATGAAAGAAATAAAAGGAGATCTAAATAAATTGAGAGATATTCCATGCACTTAAATCAGAAGATTGATTGTTGTCAAGATATCAGTTCTTCCCAACTTGATCTATAAATTCAACGTAATCCCAATTAAAACCACAAATTGATTCAAAATTCCATATAGAAAAGCAAAGGCCCAGAATAATCAATATTCAAGTTCAATACACAACTTCAACTACTGAAATACTAGAACTGAAAATACTAAACTTCAAGGCTTATATAGAACTATAGTAATCAAGGAAGAATGGTATTTGTGAAAGAATAGACAAATATAATACATCAATGTAACAGAAAAGAGAGCCCAGAAACAGACACACACGAACATAATCAACTGACCTTTTAGAAGCAGCAAGGGTAATGTAATAGTGAAGGGATGATTTTTTTCAACAGTGCTACTAGAACAATTTGGCATCTACATGAAAAAAAAAAAAGATCTAAGTACATACCATACATCTTTCACAAAAGTTAACTGGATAGCAGTTGTAAATGTAAAATGCAAAACTATAAAACTTCTGTAAGATAACAGGAGAAAATCTAGGTGACCTTCAATTTTGTAATGGCATTTTAGATACAGCACCAAAAGCATTAACAATGAAAGAAAACATTGATAAGTTGGACTTTGTTAAAATTAAAAAGTTCTGCTCTATGAAAGACACTATGAAGACACTGCTCTAAAAAAGACATGCTACAGACTGGGAGAAAATCTATGCAAAACATATACCTGATAAAGTGCTTTTTTCTAAAATAAAAGAACCCTTAAAATGAAACAATAGCAAATAAGCAACCTAATTAACCAATGGACAATAAATCTAAACAGATATCTCAACAAAAAAGATATACAGGTGGTAAAAAAAAAAAAAGCATATGAAAAGATGGTCAATGTCATGATCATTAGGGAATTGCCAATTAAAACATAATGAGATACCCTTACATGCTTAATTCGAAACGTTGACAAAACCAAATACTAGTAAAGAGGTGAATCAATAGGAATTCTCATTAATTTATGGTGGGAATGCAAAATGGTACAGTCACTTTGGAAGACAGATGGACAATTTCTTACAAAGCTAAATGGTCCTACCAAAAAATCTGGTAATCATGACTCTAAGTATTCACCCAAATGGAAAAAACTTGTATTTCCACACAAAAAAACTTCCACTCAATGTTTATAGCAGCTTTATTCATAATTGCCAAAAACTAAAAGCAACTAGTATGTCCTTCAAAAGGTGAATAGATAAGCAAACTCAAGAGAACACTATTCAGTGATAAAAATGAACTGTTTCCCGCCTGTAATCCCAGCACTTTGGGAGGCTGAGGTGGGCGGATCATGAGGTCAGGAGATTCAGACCATTCTGGCTAACATGGTGAAACCCCGTCTCTACTAAAAATACAAAAAATTAGCCGGGCGTGGTGGCGGGCGCCTGTAGTCCCACCTACTCGGGAGGCTGAGGCAGGAGAATAGCGTGAACCTGGGAGGCGGAGCTTGCAGTGAGCCAAGATCGTGCCACTGGACTCCAGCCTGGGCAACAGAGCAAGACTCCGTCTCAAAAAAAAAAAAGAAAAGAAAAGAAAAGAAAAGAAACTGTTTAGCCATAAGATTATGTGGAAGAAACTTGAGCAAAAGAATGTTACTAAGCAAAAGAAGCCAGTCGGATAGGGCTAACCACTGCATGATATTAGCTGTATGACATTCTGGAAAAGGCCAAACAAACAAACAAAAAAACAAACAAACAAACAGAGACAGTAAAATGATCAGTGGTTGTCAGGAGTTAAGCAGGGGGAATGAGGGAGGAATGAAAAGGTGGAGAACAGGGGTTTTTAGGGCAGTGAAATTATTCTGTATGATAGTGTAATGTTGGATGCTTGTCATTACGTATTGGTCAGATCTCATAGAATTGTAACAACAGAAAGAGTGAAACCTAATATAGGGCTTCAGTTAATAATAATTTATCAATATTGGTTCATCAATTTTAACAAACTACCACACTAATTAAATATGTTAATAGGGAAAACTGAATCTCTGAGCTGGAGGTTAGGGAGTGATATGGGAACTCTCTGTACTATTTGTTCAATTTTCTATAAACCTAAAACTTCTTTAAATATAAATTCTATTAATTTTTAAAAATGAAGGTGGTTTGGGGTAATTTAACTGCATTGTAAAATAACCCAATACTTTTGAGGAATATTGTAAGAACGAGAGCCTAAATACTGGAAATACCATATTCTACTTACAGGGAAATAAAATCTGATATATAAAGAAATAGGAAAATGCAACTAATCCTCAAATAATAAGACATTAATAGAATCAGACACAGAGAAGATTTACATATTATCTTTGGCAAGTAGACAAACAGCTGTAATTAGTATGTTAAGGAAGAAAGAAAAGATAGAAAAATGAAAGAATAGAATAATTTAACATGACGTAGAATCTATAGTAAAATCAAAGGACACTTTGGAACTTAAAAACATCTGAAATGTAAGGATTCATTGAATGGGTTGAATGGGAGGCTGAAAATAGCTGAGTATAGGACTTGGGAACTCAGGGAAAGGTCATTAGGAGAGATATGTGATGCAGTCAAAAGTTCTAACATACATGTAATTTAAGTCCTGGAAGGAAAACAAAGAGAGAAAAAGAAATCACAGCAATATTTGGAGAATTGGTGGTCAATGATTTTCTAAATCTGATGAGTTATCTACCCAAAGATAAACTAGATAAATTCAGAAAACTCCAAGCAAAATAAACACAAAAAACCCACTTGATCTCATTAGGGTTAAACTGCTAAATATTAAAAATAAAAGGAAAATGTTAAAGCAGCCAGAGAATATAAGAAGTTATTATCTAAATATAAACATCAATAAGAAGTTGGATGACTTTTCAACAGTGACTACAGAAGTCAGAATGCAATGGACTAATTTTAAAGATTAAGAAAAGAATATATTCTGCCAACTTAGAGGTTGATATGGAATAAAAATATTCTTTACAAAGGAAGGTCAAAGAGGATGTTTACACACACACACACACACACACACACACACACACGTCACCAGTAGGTTTGAACTCTAAGAAATACTGATAAGAGTTCTTCAAGCTATAGACAATTATCTCACATGGAAGCATGGAACTGTACAAAGGAATGAAGAGTATAAGAAATGCTGCTTTGAAATCAAAGTAAATACTGTTTAAAATAAAAGTAAAAATAAAGCTCTGTGGAAGTTACAACATATGTAAAACTAAGTAAATATCAATAACACAATGCATCAGAGGTGGTTAAAAGAGTTTAACTGTTAAGAGGCTTTACACTGTTTGGGAAGCGGCAAATGTCCTGTATTAAAGTAGACAAGAATATATCTTTTGAAAATCTCCAATGTAATCACTAAAACATAATAAAAATGCCATAGATAAACAATTATAAGAGAAAAATGCTGCTACTTAATCAAAAGTAGTTGATTAATCCAAAGGGAACAGATAAAGGAAAATATATGGAAAAAAGAGAAAATAAATACAAAGATGGCAGAGTTAATCCTAACTCAAGAATTATATTAAACATATATGGTGAAGGAAAAAAACCCTAAAAATTAGAAACAAATGGAAATAAATGAATTTCATTGCATCAGAAAGAGGAATTATTTCAAGTGAATTTATAGCACAGAATTTTGATTTTACATGCTTAGAGGAACATGGGTCCTAAGCAAAAATGAAGCTATAAAAAAAAATCTTAGTTTGCCCCCTATAACTATCTGTAATAGTCTATTTATAACTATTATTATTATTTGAAACTAATTTATAGTACTGTAAAATAGTGGAAATAAGAATTGGAGGTACCTAAAGTACACCTGATTGAAAATGGGAAATAAAATAAAATTATTAAGTATTTAACTCTTCTTTTACAAACTCTATTTCAATGTAACAACACTTTGTTGAAAAGGGAAAGGTTTTGTTGTTGTTGTTGTTTGTTTGTTTGTTTGTGACAGAGTCTCCCTCTGTTGCCCAGGCTGGAGTGCAATGGCGCGATCTCAGCTCACTGCAACCTTCGCCTCCAGGGTTCAAGTGAGTCTCATACCTCAGCCTCCCAAGTAGTTGGGATTACAGGCGTGTGCCATCAAGCCCAGCTAATTTTTTGTATTTTTAGTGGAGATGGAGTTTTGCCATGTTGGCCAGGCTAATCTCTAATTCCTAACCTCAAGTGATCCGCCTGCCTTTGCCTCCCAAAGTACTGGGATTACTGGCATGAGCCACAGCGCCCAGCTGAAAGGGGAAAGATTTTAACCAAAGAATTCTAACTAATACATGTGGGAGAAATTATAGTATTACAAAATCATTAGTTTGCAAGCCTAATAACATAATTCAGGCAATGATTATCAGCAGTTGAAACATTAGATAAAAAGTTGATGGAGAATTTTACAATAGGAAAATCGGCCTTAAGTAGTTGAACTGAAGCTAATCCAGTATCTGGAGCTAACTTTCATTTCCAGAGTATACCAGTATAACAACAACAAAAAAGTTAAATGACACCAAGGAAATAGACAATCCAGAATGTCAAATATTTCACAGAAGAATCAACTCCTCTGTAACAGTCAATAGCAGGAAAAAATAAAAAAGGAAAGGGTGATTGTTGAAGATTAAGAGATTAAGGAGAATTAACCACCAAATGTAATGTATAGATCTTCTTTGATTTGTGACTCAAAGAAACTAGCTGTACAAAGATGTTTTTGAGATCACTGGAGCAATTTAATCATGTAGTGAGTATTAGGTGACCTTAAATATTTATTTAAAAATTTTGTTGGCATCGTGGCTATGTAAAATGGCCATATTACTTTTAGAAACACATACTAAAGTATATAGAGATTCAATGACTGAATTTTAGGTTTACTTTTAAAATATGAAAACAAAAAGGTAAAAAAGATAGATGCAGCAAAGCAAACCTTTATACATGCTGAATCTGGAAGATGAGTATATGTGGGTTTATTGAATTATTTCTCTACTTTTATTTATGTGTGAAAATGTCCAAGTAAAATATGAAAAAATGTTTCAAAGAATATTTAATCACATGGGAAAATTACCATGGCACGAGCAGCTATATATATGGGTCTGATTTTATAATTTTCTCTGGGTAATAATACTGTAATTTTTTCCTTTAACCATGTCTATATGTTTATATTTTCTAATATGAAAAAATATTTGTAATCATAAAAATCCATATAATTGTAAAATAAATATTCATAAAACCACGTGTAAGCCCTGAACTAAGCTGACACAGCTTTTACATCTTTGTCTGACGTGCCACACCTTTGATTATTTTAGCTAACATTAACTTGTCACCTTCCCATTAACAGAGCTGTCAAAAATTTCACCTTTGGTATTATCTACTCTAGTATTTTAACATGTCTGATTATCATCATTATTAATAATTACAATTCTGTAAAATTTGATCATTTTAAGTCACAACACTATTCCTTCAGCAAACATTTACTCTGAGTCTAGTATTTGTCAGGCACTGTTCCAGGCACTGGGGCATAAAACATAAATAAACAGAGTCCCCGCTGTAATAGAGCTCAGAATTCCAGGCTAACAAAGAAAGAAAAAGAGGGCATAATCTCAAAGGTGTCTACTAGCAATGCCACCTCATGAAACAAAGACAAATATTTTTAGGCCTACAAAATATTCAATTACCAGATCAAATCAAATAAAATGTCAATACTCAACAATTTGACCTAGAAAATGGCATTTTCTTATGTTTTAATTTAACTTTTTTTCAGATTTGTATTTTAGAGACAAAACAGACATTTGAGGGTATATATTTAATTCTCTTCTTTCACAGGTCATGAAACTGTGGGGGGGTGGGCGGGGAGCGGAAAGTGTTGTCCAAGTCAAAAAGCTAGTGAATCAGAGAAAGTAGAAAACAGATATTGTGCACAAATTCAATTAAGGGTCCCCTTTCTTTAGTTATCAGTAATATAAAGGAAGACTTAGATTCAGATTTTAAAAACCAAATATAATAGAATTGCTATAACTTACAAAACCCATTACTTTTCTCCAAATTTTCATGAATACAGTAAACAGTCTGACTCTTAGATTCAGTGCTCAAAGCTAGGGAAAAAGAAATTGAACAAAAACATAATATGCATGTTATAGGATGCTAAAGAAGAAGTTTCGCAAATGCTGTGACTGTCCTCTACTTGCTTACAGTGTATATAAATCCCAAATGGAAAGTAAAAGCATGAGCCATAGAAATACCATTGATTAAGATCATAGTTTAAATGCTGTTCTTTCAGTAGCTGCATGCACAATGACTCAAAACTTTGAAATTTATAAATAAATTCAAATGCAAATATAGAGCCATACTAATATGAACTATTGTGCTGTGTGGTATAGAATATTATAGCCTGTTTATGTGAGAAGAAAGGGAAATTGATGAACAGCTAGCCAGACTGTTGTTTTTTTTGTGAAAAAAGTTGAGTTGCTAACTACAGACCCACATTGTAGCTATATCTGATTATTTTTAATTTTTCAAATATGCTTATATCTAAGTTAATGTTTCATAATATTAACATAATTAATTTTAATGAGTAGAATTGGCTTTTCTCAACAAATCTTCTTTCCTTTAGCAAATCCTAAGACCTTTCCACTATTAGAAAAGTTTTTTAAGTTTCCTTTTTAACTAACTAGCTAATCAATTGATTAATTAATTCCACAATAGTTTACGAAACAGCAAGTGGAGTAAGCATTTGGGTGGGATATTGGCAATGGAAAGGTGAATAAGGGGGCTGGATCCCGGCTTCCTACAGGTCCACAGATAGTCTTGGGCTACACTGATAATATTGTTGTTTGTAATATACTGGTTCTCATTCTCATTAGAAAGGTAATAAGCTAGGCAGATGCTAATGCCTATATTAAAAAGTGTTACTTTATTCATCTTTGAAGTATTATCCTTCAGTGATACATATGATTAATAACATTAACTCATGTTATGAATAAGTAATCAAGAAACTATTTTAAAGAGCAGCAAAATCAGCAAAATAGAGGTTATCTTAAAAACCAGTTCATGTCTAAAAGACCAGCATTTAGGAATATTTATAGACTTGAATAAATTAAGTTTCTTATAAACTAAGGCTAGAGCCTTCTGGTTGCTAAAATTTAGTGTTCCTTCTAGTACATTATGTCATATAACTTTCATTTTCTATTATGTGTTCTGATATTTACAAAATAAACTTTTAGAAAATTATTTAAATTAAATTATAAGTTAATTTTAGAATTCTGTGAATGCTAATTTTAGGCCATCAGGAAAATGCAAGCTGAATGGAAAGATAATAAATAAATAAAATAAACTCACATATTAAACTGATTAATTCAATAATTTTATTTATTTATTTATTTTTGCTTTTGGCTGAGTTATGTCAAGTAAAAATTTTAGAAGAATGTCCGGACTGTATAACTCCTGAGCCTCATATATTTGAAAATGTCATTGCCTTGCCTTAGGTCAACTACATGCTGTGTAGCTAAAGAATTCTCAGTTTATACCATCAACTGTAGATTTTCTTGTTCTTAGTCATTATCAATGTTTTTTTCTCATACATGGTGATATCAATCATTTGTATTGTTGGATTCAAATCCTCAATAAACTTTTATCTTATTCAAATTCTTCATGAATCTTCTGTATGACTATCTTCATTATTATAGTTTTCTTAGGCTTTCTTATTTTCTTGATTTGTTATTTATAGCACTGATTATGATGATAATCATGATATAATGATAATCAATATTATAATTCATGTGATAAATACTATTAAGCTATTTATTACTATTAAAACACTGAAAGCACCTCCAAATTTTTAAAAACATGGCCAAAGAAATGTTGATCCTTACATGAGCATATATATATATACTATTAATAGGGTGTATATATTATTATGAGTTTCATTTGTATTATACATTTACATGAGTACATATATACATGAGTATATATATACTCTTTAGAGTATATATAAGCTTTTTAGAAATTTGATCCAACGGGTCGGTGGTACAAGATACCAGCAACTGTTATATATATTCATATACTAGAGTTTTGAACATTTGATTAACAGAAAAATTTTCCTGGTACAATGTCAAAAGATATAAATATATATATACAATATGATTACAAGTATAAACGTGTATATATATTCATATATATTTTCTCTATATACATTGTAATTATTTGTAAAGATATTCTTCGCATGAATGAAAATACTGAATTCAAACACACCAAACACACACACTTGTCCATTATCCCAAGGACGTGTGGGAAGGAGAGGTTCTAACAGGTGACATACTTTTCTCTCTTTAATTGTTACTATATTATTTATAATGAGCACATGCCTCTTGCTTATATTGAAATGGTATTAATAAAAAGCAAATCTATATTATAACTATTAAAAAAAACCTTTAACTATGGGGTAAGTGACATTTGTCAAAGAAAGAAAATATCCAATAGAAAAAAACAAACGCAAATGCTTTTAAAACCACAGCAAAGTAACACTTTTCCAAGAAGGATACAATTTTTGAGAAGTCACTGTGTAATCAGATTAACTTCTGTATACACTGGGAGAAGGGAGGTATATGTTAAGTGAACTCCCCTCCTTATATAACAGTCATGGCCAATTATGACACTGAAATAGCATTTTATTTTAAATGATTTATCAATTTCACTGTAAGCATTCACAATTATTCCCTTACATTATTGTACATTTTAATCAAGAGTGCATATTTAACTCCAACATTCTTTTGTCTAGTAGGGTTACTGTTATTCTTTCAGCTGGAGTTATTGCTTCTGTTTTTTAGAAGGTCTGGTATTCCCCAAACAGCAGTAAAGTGAGCAGGATATCTGCCTTCTACAGAAATGTTTTTCATTCATAGGACTTCATGCTCAAGTTCAGGGCAGTTTCATTTATGGGAAAAATTATTTTTATTGTTGTTCTGAATCACTTAGTGTTTATTCAAAATTTCCCTAAATCTCAGAATATTCTTGATATTTATGACTTTGGAGCATAATGAAATTATTCCCACGGTCCAGGAAAACCACTAGACTAATAATAGAATGCTGTGTTTGTGTGCTGATGAGCTCTGTGTCCCCAGAAGCTTAATTTGGTGTAGTCATTTATTATAACTTAACAGAAACATTGATATAGGTTTCTTGACTCAATAAAGGAAGCCACAGTTATTGGAATATGAAAATATACAGTGGGAATGTATTAATTTTTGCACATGAATGTCTTCTTTAGGTTTAATAAAGTTGCTCTAAAAGCTCTTTAGAAATATGATGCAACGGGTTGGTGGTACAAGTTACCAGCAACTATTAGCTTGTGGTTGCTCAACACATACAATATAACAGCAGAATATTTGTAGCATCATATTACCACATGAGGGTGCTATCTCCCCAAAAATGTTATCTGTAAAGTGAGCCGACCACCGCTAGGAAAGATTGTTTTGCTATTTTTTTCCGTATACATTTTGGAAGACAAGAAATGATTTGTTAGAATAAACACATTCTGTAGGAAAAAAATAAATAAAATAAAAGTCTCAGCCTTAACACCAAAGGACTAATACTCTTTCTATAACTATATAGTATGAATCAGGCATACAAAAGATACCTTTGATTTAAAAATATGGATCTACATGAAGGTTTATAAGTGTTAGGCAAAGCGTGATCCATGGACGACCTATACTGTAGTAGTAGAGAGACATTAGAGGTTCACGCTCATTAAATAAGCATACCTCTGTGCCTTACTCTGACCTACAAAATCAGAATATCTACAGGTCAGCCCCAGTAATCTTCATTTTTATGTTGCTCCTCAGGTAATTCTCATGCGTTTTAACATTTAAGAAGCACTGGTATGAAGTCATTTTAAAATTGTTATTCTTGTAAACATTGACCCACTTGAATGTTTAAACCCAATAAACTAGGTGATTCTTTGACAACCATGTCATCAACTTTTGCAAGCAGTTCAATCATAAGGGAATCTTTTCTAAAGTACAACTGAAAATTCTCACCTAACATTCTTACATGTTTTGCGGAGAAAATAAATGTAACATCTGCTCTCTGAGACAATAGAGAATTTTACTCACCTTGCCAGCTCATTGACTTTTTGTTATCACTTTCCCTTTGACCTAGTTCAGTAAACAAAAGATAACCCCATGTTTCAACAAGTAAACTTCACACTTGATGCTTTGTCATTTCCAGAAAATTGCACGAATTTGGAAAAGTTTAAGAACTTATACAATAGAAATATGTCCTGTAAAATAGAACTGTAATTATAATTGTATATTCTGTAGAAAATGATTTATACTCGAGAAAATTTAAAACTTAGGTTTAGCAGTAAGTAATGTCTGGTAAAAATATTTAACAGCATACCTAGATTTGATCTTAAAAGCCCAAAGTTATGCTTATTATCCAAAGACTTTTGTGGATGAAATTTTATTTCCCTACAAAAGAGAAAATAAGGCAAGAGAACAGGTTGTAGTAGCTGAACTCTGAGCTTAGGCAAAGGTTGATATTACAAGATGAGTTTTGTATGCAATGAGGTGGTCTCCAGGGTCCATTTAATGTCCATATCAATAAAACTGGCATATACATGCATATATATGTAGATACACATAAATCTAATCTCATATATAGATATATATACTTAGACATATGGCTGTTCATTTAGCCTTATTTGTACATAGATATATGCCTATTAATAGAAAACAAATATGCAACGTAAGACTTCAAGTGGGATGTACAAGCCTCACCTCCCATCCAATGCACATCTCATTTGATAATTTTCTACACAGTTAACCATCTGCCTTCTACTTCAGCTCTCCCTGGAAAAGGAAGCTTCCTACTATTATAGACCATACAGTTAAAAATATTAATTGTATAGAATATTGAAGACAACTTTTCAAATGTTGAACCTGCATCAGCATTTTTCACCTATTGTTACTATTCTTTCTGAATCTACTCATTATAAGATTAATTCATTTTTAACACCTCAAACATGTGAAGTATATTAATTTAATTCAACTTTTCCAATTTCCTACTCTATTATATCTATGATCTCTAAATTATTTTTGAAAACTTTTAAACATTCTCTTCAGAATCTTCTTGATACACAGATGTTTTTCAAGTGTCCTCTTCAAAGGCGTGAATGCAAAATGAAAAGTTTGTGCTGGTGCAGGAAACAGAGGGTTTTTATATTTCTTTTTCTGGACCCCATTCCTATAAACTTGGATGTTTTTCTTTTTTAGAGGCCTCACAATTATGAACATTTTACCTGGTTATGTTATACTCTACATCCGTTTCACAGTACCTTTATTTACTCATCCTTTAATTTGTTCCCATAACGATGCTTTTATTCAGAAATAATTACTGCACACCTACTATATGCCAACACTATTCTCAGAGTGAGGGACAGAACAGTGAACAAAACAGGAAGAAGTCCTTGTCATTATGGAATTTATGTCAGGGGAAATAAAGATAATAAAATATATAAATTATATTTTAGTTCAGAGGGTAATATATGTCATGGAGAAAAGTTAAGTATGGAAGCAAGTTTTCATTAGGTGGAATAGAAATTTTAAATAAAGGAATTGAGACCGTTTCACTTAGAGAGTCATATCCGAATAAAAAATTGAAGGATATAAAGGAGTGAGCCACAAAGAGATCTCAGAGAAAAGCATTATAGGCAACATGCAGATGGCTGAGGCAAGATCAGGTCTGGAACAGGCCTGGAATAGAAGGGGTCACTGTGGCAGCAGAAATTACATTAGGTCAGAAATGGAATGCAGTAGTAGCGACTTGAAGAATATTGTAAAGAGACGATAGGAGTACATCCTGAGTGAGAAGGTACACCATTAGAAGATTGTGGGCTGAGAAGTAATATCTATTTAAATGTAAGATAGATTATTGAACTATAGCATTCAAAGTACATTGAATGCTGCAAGGGTGGACACAGGAAAACAGTTGCGAGGCTACTGCAATATCCAGGTGAGAGATGAGGGTAGAGCTGATCAGAGTGCCAGTATTGGGGATGTTGAAAACCTAGGAATCAGAAATCTTCAGGTAATTTTCTGACTAATTAGATTTGAGGTGTTAGAAAACGTGAGGAATCAAGGATGACTCCAATTTTTTTTGTCCTGAACTGCAGGAAGAATGGAAGTACCATTAACTAAGGTGAGAAAACTAAAGTTAGTTAAGTTTTGAAGAGAAATTTAGGAATTCAGTCAGGTTAAGTATGAGAAATCTAGTGGAAATTCAAGTGGAGAATTCATATCCCAGTAGGCTGCTGAATATATTAACCCAGAGTTCAGAGACAGGTGTAGGCTTGAGACTTAAAAATGGAGAAGTTCCCATACATAAAGGAACCAATGCTATGAATCAGAACTCACTCACAAAAGGAAGGAGTGGAGATGAAAACGGAGGTACAGAAACTGAGGCTCTCCAATTTTCAGAGGTACAGGAGATGAGGGTGAACTAACTAGTAACAGAGGTTGAGAAATGGTCTGTAGAGCAGGAGGAAAATCAGGAGAGTGCTATTTCCTGAAGGCAAGTGAAGAACACATTTCAAGGAGGAGATGTACTATCAAAGCTGGTTTTATTTCAGGCTGAATAGCACGGATTACTGTTAATCATCTTGTTCAATTCTACCCAGAATTCTAGGCTGTCAAGTTAGTTTGAATCTTGAGTCTGCAATTCACAACTTTTCAAGGAATACAAGTTCTTGTTCTTTTTTTTTTTTAAAGAAAATTCTCCATTAAGCATCATCTTTAAAATTAAAAAAATCCTCTTAACTCATATCTTGTTAGTTTTTTTTACATCAAATCTGTTCAAATTTTAACTTCGACAGTGCATATATTAACTTTTTCTCCCAGCTTTGTGTCACCTGATAATTTGATAAGCTTGCCTTCTATGAATTCATTCATTCAAGTCATTGAGAAAAATATAGAACATGACATAGCTCAACATATAATCTGATTTTATAGAATGCTGTAACTTCCCATCTATTTAGTGAATATATTTTAAGTAAAGTTATTTACTTAGCTATACATCCACCTAATTGTTCTAAATGTTGCATTCAAGGCTATTCCTCTTCAGCAGTAAAAGTCTAAATGTCAATTTTTTAGCTTTAAGAGGCCTTGAATGACCAGGCGTGGTGGCTCAAGCTTGTAATCCCAGCACTTGGGGAGGCCAAGGCAGGCGGATCATGAGGTCAAGAGATGAAGACCATCCTGGCCAACATGGCGAAACCTTGACTCTACTAAAAATACAAACATTAGCTGGGTATGGTGGCACGCGCCTGTAGTCCCAGCTACTCGGGAGGCTGAGGCAGGAGAATCACTTGAGCCTAGGAGGCGAAGGTTGCAGTGAGCCAAGATCGCGCCACTGCACTCCAGCCTGGCGACAGAGCAAGACTCCATCTCAAAGAAAAAAAGAGAGAGAGGGAGAAAGAAAAGAGCCTTTGAAGATCACTGAGGCAAATCTCCAACAGGGAAGATAACAGATAATAACATACCCTGAAGGTCTTCATCACATTTTTTGATACAGTGGTCTAATTAATAGATATTTTGCCATTATTTGCTTTCTCATAAACTGGCCCATTATGCAATTGTTTTCTGAAGTGTTCCTAAGCTATTGGTTTTTGGAGCCATCATATAATAATGCCTACCCAGAGATTAGTAAGTGTCCTCATCTCTAGTTATTATAATTTTTCTTTTGTTTTTGCACATTATTTATTTTACTTTATTCTTATAATTTCACCTTTTATTTTACCCAGGCAACAAACGTGCACCTGCACCCTCTGAATCTAAAATAATAATTTTTTTTTGACATGGAGTCTCCTCTGTCTCCCAGGCTGGAGTGCAGCAGCACAATCTCAGCTCACTGCAACCTCTGCCTCGCAGGTTCAAGCGATTCTCCTGCCTCAGCCTCCCGAGTAGCTGGGATTACAGGGGTGCACCACCACTCCCAACTACTTTTTGTATTTTTAGTAGAGACAGGGTTTCACCATGTTGGCCAGGCTGTCCTCAAGCCCTGCCTTGGCCTCCCAAAGTGCTGGGATTACAGGCATGAGCCACTGCACCCAGCTGAATTTTTCTTTTTTGTTTTAGTTTTTGCTTCTGGAAACTCATCTCAACTGTTGTCAGTGGTAGTTTTTCCTCTTCCATGTATAAATACTTCCATTTCTTTGGAATGCAATTCGTTTGGGCCGTGCTCCTAAATTGATTTAAGAAGATTTAAATGATCTGTTTAAATACTTCATCCTTTCTGTGCTTCAGCCAGTGAGTGCCAGTTGTTTGTTTGTGCTTTAGAATTTCCCATTTGAAGTCTATCATTTTAGGACTTTTCTTTTGTAATTGTCACTTGTAAAGATTTTACTAACTATACAAGTTTGTTCACTACAACTTTTTGCAATTATGAAAATGTTCTCCATGTGCATGTGACATGCAACTAGATATGCAGCTAATGTAACTCCAGAATTAAATTTTTATTTAATTTTAATGAATTTAAGTAGCCCATCTAGTGGCTACCACACTGAACAGCAGGGATTTTAGCTATCTTATTCTAGCTCTGAATGTAGTTCGATCTGTCCCATAGGTTAGTTCTGGAAATTTCTAAGGACAGGGATCTTTGTGAGCTTGAGACATGATCTACAAAGCCAGCAGCTAAAGGTCATAGACAGATTATATAAATGAGTAAAGAAGATCAGTGGGTACTGTGGGGACTAGAATTCTATATAACCATTCTGTAAAGGTATCTACCTCAACAAAAAGGGCCAGCCAATCCTGCCAGTTGTAGTCATCCTAAGATGCAAAACCAAAATTGCTAGACCTTCTAATTTTTAAGTAAAATTTCCCATCGCTTAAGTGTCAATAACAATTGCAAATATTAGTAAGTATTGCACATGTCAAGTAAGACATGTCTAGAAGTTGCCTGTTTGTGATACATTGCTTAAGCTATCTTTATACTTCCCTAACAGGTACAGTGTGGGTATATGTGCTCATTGTGACCATGTGCTCCTTTCCAGGTTTTCTTGACACTACTACTACTAAGATTAGCTAATCTAAGATTCTCTACAGCATCACGGCTTTATTTCAGAAGGCTTCTACTTTATCACTTAACAACAGTTTCTGGTTAGTATCATGTACTAACTGTTCAAAATACTCAATAAGATGTAAAAATGTGTAAAAGTTCTCAATGCTGATAAATTTCTCCAACACCTACTAAAGCTCAGAGAGTCCGTAGTCGTGACAATTTGAAGCTTGCAATTTCTTTATCTCCAAGTTCCAGAGTCACCTCATAATTCAATTTGAGTTTCTTCCCAGAAAAATGATAGAGTAGTTATTTTTTTACAATGCACAAGGCAGAAATACCTGAGCACTTGTAGGTATTCTTAAAGAACATTATCAGCAAACAAATTTAAATGGACAGAGAAAGAGTTAAAAGTAAACTAAAGGCATATATGACTTCACTGGCTTAATAACTCACCTCATGCATGAGTTATCTTAAGCATAATGCCATAATTACCTAGAAAACAATTATTCATTAAAGCAACTACATTCACGGCACTGTACCTGGCACTAAGGAGGAGTGTTGAGAAATATAAAACATGGTCTCCAACCTCTAGGAGTTTGAGATTTTATGAGAAAATCCCACATGAAAGCATCAAGAAGCATATCAATAAGAACAAAATGATGTAGCACACAGACTGCACATAAGCCAAGGGGTTTTGGGTTTTGTATTTTGTTTGTTCCTAATTTAATCAAATTAATGGGATTTACTTGCAATAATGGGTATAATCCCCTATCCTAGATTTGGTACCGCCATCCTGAAATTCCTCTCAAAACTGAATTGTATATTTGTTTTATGGCAAAAGCTGGCTGTATGTTGGCATTGTGAAGAAATCAGGAATGGCATAATTTAAATGTCTACAGCTTCAGTTTTTCAATGGTTAAAAGTCTAACTGCAAGAGCCAAGAGCAAAATGTGGAAAATTCTGCAATGCTAACACCCACACTTAATTTAAATTGCTCACTTATTATTCAGTATATGGAAGTGTATGTCATTAACAAGGAGGTGTACGAATGGTGCAGCCACATGTCACTCTACTTAATACATCACCTTAAATAGGAAAACATTTCACCAGTGCATAAGAGCACACAATAAAACTCACAGAAAACTCACAGAGAAACTCACATTTCTCCTTCTCTGAAAACTTCTTATCTTCTTGATTACTAAGAAAGGGAGAGTCTCAAGTTCTAGAAACAGAATAATACTATGGCTTTGGTGACTGAATATTTTCAAGGTAAACTATTATGTTTACTTTAAAAAATAATTACTACTGTCAAATCTCCCATAAATCACCAATTCCTTTGCCTTCCAAATTTAAAGTTTATTTTTACACTAAGGGTCTCTACTATAAAAGGCAAGGATCCCTCTAAATAAGTCATTTCAACTTTTATACAAAGTAGCCTTTTTAGATGTTTGTGGTCTTTTGCTTGATTTATTATTTTAATGTAGTTTATGTGTAATTCTACTAAGGAAATTGAGGGTTGAGTCAACGTTTGTTTTAGCACTGCACTTTACTCAGATAGCCTGACGACGTAAAAACTATTAACGTATCAACATAATAAGACCATCTTCCATTGATTCAGGTGTTATTCATTATAACCACAACTTCTTGGCAAAATAATTGATGATAAATAGCAATGCAATTTATTAAATGATTTTCTGTTAAAAAGAAAACTATACTGAAGTTTCAGCTCCTTAATCTTTGCTGAGTCTTCAACATGTTTAGTGTCACCATTAACATAGGTTGAAGGGAACAGCATGGAAGGTATCTACCAGTTCCACAATCTCCTTCAGGAAAATTCCAGTGTACTGGTCTTACCTACAACCTTTCTCTAAAAATATCATTATAGGTACATAATCTCAGAACTCCACCAAAATGATTGGACTAGTGAAGGATTCTGACCCCAAGACAGCATTTTTTTTGGCCTATATTTTGACTCTCAAGATAAACTCCAAAACACTTAATACCAAATAAGTACTAGTGATTCTTTTGAAATGGCTCTTGAGTTTTCCTGACATGAATTGCACCAGAGATACATCATATTTTGTGACTCTTTCATCTAATCGGATACTCTCACTGAATTTGGAATCTATGACACACAAAATAGAAAGAGGTGATATGTTGAGCAAATTTGGATACATACAAAAAGAGAAGCCAAAAAGCAGACCCTATGAGGCAACCAAAGCCTACATAAGCCATAAGTAATCAGAAATCATAAAGACATGTTGTGGCTCATGAAAAAAAAGAAGGGAGGAATCAATCCATTTGCAAGGGCAAGAGCTGTTGAAGTTGAAGATGGAAATAATTTGAGTCTTCACAATGGAGAGCATTAGAGGAGAGAACTACTTCCATTTCTGCGCTCAATGGAAGTAGTTCCCTGAGCTGCTTTGCATTTTGAGAAGTATTTTACTTCTCACATAAAATTTGTTTAAAATTGTGTGCCAATATTTCATAGGTCTGCTAAGAGAGGTTAGTTTCATTTTTTATATTCTGCATCTATTTTATAAACATTTTCAATCACTTAAGCTAACCTGAGTGGGTCTCTATTCTTTGTCCCCATCTATCCTTCTTGAATTTCCCCCTTCAATTCCACATTTCTTAATCCTTTATGGAAACAAAATGCTTACTATTTTGTGAACTGACTTCTTTGTAATGGATACTCTATTATTACTGTTATGATCGTGATTCTAATATTTCATCTACATTTATTATTATAAATTTCAGGATTGGTTGGTTGTTTAGTTGTAACAACACTGGTTAATCTCTGAAATCATGCATATTTATCAAAGTGGATTTTTCACTGATAACATTTTGAATAGTTTTTTTCTTGCCATAGAATGTTTAATTTAATTACCAGCTAAGTCAGAGTAACTGTATATTCAACAGCAATTTCCCACCAAATTCTTGGATTTACTTTTAACAAACCGTATTGGCACATAAACTGACACATAATAATTGACCCTATGAAATTCATTATTTCCTTTTTAGATTAATTTTTTACTCACTGATTACCTAATAAATGAAATTTCAAAGATTTTCAGTAAACAGTGGACATAGAAGAAATTTAAATCAGCTTAGATTTATCTACTCGATTATGAATGGGTTTTTTTCTGCTGGCATTCATATATCTCAAGTAAATGTTACTTAGAACCTTCATTCATTTTCTCATTCATTTACTTATATTTATTCAACACTTTTAAAAGGTCTACTGTATACAAGGGGATGAAACATGAAAAAAAATGATTTCAATTAATTTTTTGTTGTCCAAGGGTGGTTCCTTTATGTTCTATTACTCCCAAGGCAACAGAACCAAATGTATTTTAATATTTAGGGGGTGTTGTAATTTTTCCAGCATCGTGGAATAGTTATCACAGTATATGTTTCCCTGAATCATAAGTTTAGGGAGGAAAGACGATGAGGAAAAGCAAATGTGATATCTGGTCCCACCTAACCACATCTCCTAGATGTCTCTCCAGGTCTCTTGCCTCCAACTTCATCTAGAAAACTGAAATTTAGAAAAATGGGGAGATAATTCAATGTAAAAAGAGTTGAAGAAGCGATAAGCAGATGATGAAGGGGGGCACTTTATCCAAAATCATTTTCACACACTTAAATAACAGAAATTAGAATGTGAACATTAAAAATAGCAACCACACACAAGCTTAATTATCTCTTCCCCCTCCTTCTCTTTTTACTCAAGTTCTGTCTCACTATTAGATATACTGTTCAACATCACTAGCAATCAAAGCAATGCAAATAAAAACAACACAGAGATCCCATTCTCAGCCAATTAAATTGGCAATGATCAATAACATGTGGCATTAGCAAGGGGAGATTGGCATTCCAGTACACTGGTGATAGGGTGTAAATTGTCACTGTTCCTTTATCAGAAGTCTTAAAATATATCTGCTTTTTCATCCAATAATTCTATTTCTAGAAATTTTTCATATGATTTGCCTTTTCAATAAAATATCTAGATTCTCATAGCTAAAATGAGGTAAATAAATGGCTGCAAATTTTGATCACATTTTTGAAATGTGAATTTTGTAGAGAAACAGCTTTAACTGGTGAGCATGCTTTGGTAAAATAAAATTTGTTTTCTTCAGTCATAATTGGATGCAGTAGCTTCATGTTTTCTAGTCTACTTAGCATTCTTTATGAGCATTTCTTTCTGTAACAAGGAATTTAGCCAGCTCTACCACTAGGAGGGATAAGAGGAGGAACCAAAGTGTTCTACATTGGCTGGTAATGATAATGATCATCACTAGACCAAGGAACTTCAGAAAATTTATAGTAGCCTCATTCACAAATGTTTGAAATGCGAAGCATCCTGAAGTTGGCATCCACTATAAAATGGACAATTGTGGTATATTCATAAAATGAAATGCAATACAAAGTAAAATAAACTATAGTCACATACACTACGAAAGAACTTCCCAAGAATTAATTTGACAAAAAGAAGTCCGACCCTCACTCACAAAAATGCTACATGCTGTATATATAGTTTAAAAAATAGACAAAACTCACCTGTGATGTTAAAGTCAAGGTAGTGGTTAAGAGAGGGGTATATAACCAATGTACAAAATTTGTACAGTTAAATATTCATCAGAGAAATTCTGCCTCAACATCTAGAGCTTTCCAAAGTCAAGCTGACATACTATATTAAACAATCTGACCAATAGTCTAGTATGGTATAGGTATCTATGGGTTTGTATATATCCCTAATGGTACAGAGAAACTTTCCATGGGGCTCAAAGTTTCATAAAGTCAATTTCTAGATCTTCAATAGAAATACACACTCCTCCTGAAAACTGACCTGACTGAGAAAGTAGGAGCAATAAAAACATCATGCAGGCTTTCTGCTTTCAGCTCTTCATCCATACTCTCCCATCTCATACTTTACCAAAGACAATCATACTCCCCAAACATTTCAAATCTCAGAATTACACAATGCCTTACAATGCCAAAATCTATAAGGCACCAATAAATGGGGGTAGAGGGGAATTCAAATATTGCTATCAGAGAATATTCCTTTAATTAACTCACCATGCAATTATGGCTTTTCTGTATTTTTGTTACGGATGAAAAATGACATTAGAATGGAATACAATACCAAAAAAATGAACGTGGTTGAATCTCACAAATGTAGTTTGGGTGCTGTGAATTAGATATATTTTATAGTGATATGGTAGAGCTGATAACTTTTGTTTAATAATTTAATCTGTTCTATCCCTTGACTATCATTAAGGAATCTGTTGCTTTGAGGGAGTATCACATGAGGTAAAAACAAAAACATTGAGGTTAGTGGAAATGTATTTCATCCAAGTGAGACACTAATGTGAGGCTTAGCTATTTAACAACCTAGATATTTAGAAATTTAAAATTTGAATATTATGTCTTAAATATTGATATAGTTTGGCTGTGTCCCCATCAAATCTCAACTTGAATCGTATCTCCCAGAATTCCCACGTGTTGTGGGAGGGACCCAGGTGGAGGTAATTGAATCATGGCGGGGCTGGTCTTTCCCGTGCTATTCCCATGATAGTGAATAAGTCTTACGAGATCTGGTGGGTTTATCAGGGGTTTCTGCTTTTGCTTCTTCCGTATTTTTTCTTGCCACCACTATGTAAGAAGTGCCTTTCACCTCCTGCCGTGATTCTGAAGCCTCCCCAGCCCTGTGGAACTGTAAGTCCAATTAAACCTCTTTTTCTTCCCAGTCTTGGGATGTCTTGATCAGCAGTGTGAAAACGGACTAATACAAATATTAATCTGCTACAAACTATACTTTCTCTACAATTTTATCATTCTCAATAATGAGAAAGAGTTTGGGGAAGGGATTCTCACTGACCAGTGTCTGTACCAGTGACATATTTTTGCCATGATTTCAAACAAGATATAATAATATATATTCTGCATTTATTTACAACAGACCAACATTACATCTTTGAATTAAATGACCATATACTGAAGGCAAGCTAGTGCTGCAAATTTCCTCAAACACTTATTCAGGCTCATAAAAATCATTTCTATGAATTTTTATAGACTTCTTATTGATATCTGAAAACCTATATTTATTTTTACTTACATGGAATTTTGAAAATTTTTTCATCTCCACCATGTACTTATAAGAAAGTATCCTTAGAGAAGTATTTCACAGGACCTACTCTAAAAGTAGACTCACAAAAATCATTAATGAATTTTTGTAAGTCTTGCACTTAGTGGCCCAAAAACTGTTCTTCTTGCAATTACTTTCTACTGAAACTTGTAACATTCCATCAATAATATTAATCCAAAAGTTTATAAATTAATTGAAAACGGTCATTGAGTCATTGCCAATATAATTTTATTTTCTGTATTTAATATTTATCAAAATCTGTTATGTATTTATTCTGATAATATAAATAATGCTCACAATGATAGTTGATCCAAAAAGAATTCTTAAAACTTAGATTCCGATGGTACAGAAAATTTTAAAAATTGTTTAATTTAAATTTAAATTTAAAATGTAGATAAATATATCTATATAGAGAGAAGTTGCTGTTGCAGAGACATAAGAAAACTTGATCAAGAAAAGACTTTCAACAATCAAAATGTAAATATTCTATATGTATAATAGAATGGGCATCTGAAGCAGAATGTACAATTTTTGTCTGGTTCATAAATCTTAAAATTGATTTTGGTAGATATCAAATTACTAGAGTAATAAGATTCTATCGGACACACTAAAAGAATGATTTGACAGTTTTATTTTAAATATTCATAATTATAATATTTCAGAAATTACATTCATTACAACTATTTAAACTTAGTATAAGATAAATAAGATGCCAATTTAAAATGTACAAGGGGACAAATTATTTTTGAGAATTCTTTCAGAAAGTAGATGAGCAAAATTTATAAAAATAGCTCCTCTATACTATCTACAGTATATCATTAAATTAAAAGAGAATAGAGGCTTGCCAGGTATGTTAATAAACATTAGTTTCTTTTATAACTTCCTTCACAAATTTTTAATGTTTTCATTATTATCTTCAGCTTATTTCTTGTTATAAGATGCAATAGAAATAGAATTTCTATATGATTTGTAAAAAGTTTATGGGAGATATCTTTTATGAAAAGATCTTCCTGGTATAAACCTCTTCTTATTGAAAGCTAGAGACAGTTTCTTCAACCAAATAAATTCTAAAGTTCCCTTTGATATGAGAATGAGACTATAAGAGCTATGTAATTCATCTTATTTTCCTTTATGATTTACCTGTTAGAAAACTCTGAGCTAAATTTAGCACTTAGCTCTTTAGTACAGTAATTTCTCCCTTCATTAATTTCGTGACTTTGGATTTTCCAATTTTTATTTTAGTGGTATTTTTGTGTGTCTTTTATTTTAATCTAATTTAAATATCTTTAGAAGTAACTGGCCACATTGCATAATGGTGAGAACACACATTTTGAAGTCAGACTGCCTCTGCACAAACCCAGGCTTCGCCACTTTGTGTGGTATGACCTTGCACAAACTCAAGATTCCTGTGCTTCAGTTTATTCTGGTAAAATAAAAATGATAAGAGTAACCACCTAATAGAGTCATTATGAGAATTAAATGCATTATAAAGCATTTAGAACAGTGTCTGACACATAGTAAATGCTATTTAAGTGTTTATTAAATATTATACAAATAAAGGGAGAACTTAAATTCTTCTTGTAAAATTATGAAAATCAGACATCATATTTCTTCATCATGAATTAAGTGCCAACTATGTAAGCACTCATTTGCTCTGAAGTTTTTAATGAATATTAAATATATAAATATGACCACATACCAACTCGAATGAAAGAAGTAGTCAGTACCAACCAATAGAAATCTCAATCTGTAGCCATAAAAACATTACCAAAAGTTTTTTGTAAATGTTGTGAGTTGTTCTCATTTTCAGCAGTAATCTTAGGAGAAGGTGATGACAAACTTAGATAGCCTCTGTATTAGTCTGTTTTCACACTGCCGTTAAAGAACTGCCCAAGACTGAGTAATTTATAAAGGAAAAAGATTTAATTGGCTCCCAGTTCAGCATGGCTGAGTAGGCTTCGGGAAACTTACAATCATGGCAGAAGGCAAAGGGGAAGCAAGGCAACTTCTTCGCATGATGGCAGGAAGGAGGAGTGCTGAGTAAAGTGAGGGAAGAATCCCTTATAAAATCATCAGATCTTGTGAGAACTCACTCACTATTATAAGAACAGCATGGGAAAAACTGTCCCTATGAGTCAATTACTTCCACCTGGTCTCTCCCTTGACATGTGGGGATTATGGGGATTATGGAGATTACAATTCAAGATGAGACTTTGGTGGGGACACGAAGCCTAACCATATCCTCCTTCTTACCATGTTGTTTGCTGTACGTTACAGCTCTCCATGTGTAAACTCAGTCCCATGCTTAACATGAATAGCATTCAAAATTAGTCTGCAGAGAAAGTATGGGACTGTCTCTGAGGTCTTGGATTTTCAGCTAAAACTTGAAAGCTGAGAACAATAGGAATGGTGTACCCCTAAAGTTCTAAAGAGTGGTAATAAAACCATCCATGTGACATTAACCAAAATGGAGCAAAACCAGTCAGGGTATCATGATCCCTAAGAGTCTTTATAAGGAAAGACTCGAAATGTTTAAGTAAAGTGTTTCAAGAAAATTCCTAGAAACACAGAATGATTTAACTCTTGTCTTCTTGTTGAGAGAAGGGGATATGTAGCCCTCCTTCCCCACTGAAGTTAAGTGATGGACACCCCAAAAGAACTGCTTACAGGATTAGGGTGCTTATAAGAAGGGAAGAGGCATCTCATTCCACCACAGACTTGTTAGAGCCCATATTTTTCCTATCATTAAGATGAGGTAAGATGAGAAAGCTCCAGAGAAAACCTGACTTTAGGGGAAAACAAAAACATAGAGAGAGGTGCCTGCTATTTATACAGAGAGGTCTAAAAGCAGGAGCTGGCTTGGACTGCCCGCATGGCAGGAGGAGAAAGAAGGAGTCAGAAGTTAGGAAAACTGTCTCCTTCAGTTTGGTGAGACAAGGATACATGAGAATCCATTGGGCAAAGTAAGTATATGCAGAAAGTAGCAGACATGAGGAGTTTTAAGGAACTCTGGCAAACAGAAAGATCTGCCAGGGGGAAGAGTGTACCACCAGGGTTATAACAAGACCTCAGGGGAGTCTCCCCAAATTCTGCAAATTTATTTCAGTTTTCAAATGCCTGTCACATCGCAGTGATTAAAGACAGAAAATGTCAACCAACAGAAAACCACAGGTGGCATCAATGAAGTACAAACAATTGTGCCTCCTTTTCTAATCTTTCCACATCACCTCGTGCCCTAATCCTAGAAGAGAGAGGATGGAGGTGGGAAGGGAAGAGTAGGTTAAAAAAAGTGATGAACAAATGGACCACCCACTCCCTACCATGTTGCTTACTGGTGGTTTTAAAAAGTCAGACACATCATGCCTAAGCTAATAAGGGGGAAAATGTTTTAATTGTATGTGGGATGGAAATTTTAATTTAAAAACTAGGCTGAGCGTTGTGGCTCATGTCTGTAATCCCAGCACTTTGGGAGGCCAAGGCGGGAGGATCACCTGAGGTCAGGAGTTCTAGACCAGCCTGGACAACATGGTGAAACCCATCTCTACTAAAAGTACAAAAATTAGCTGGTCCTGGTGGTGAGCGCCTGTAGTCTCAGCTACTCAGGATGCTGAGGCAGGAGAATCACTTGAACCCAGGAGGCAGAGGTTGCAATGAACCGAGATCACGCCACTGCACTCCAGCCTAAGTGACAAGAGTTAAACTCCATGTCAAAAAACAAAACAAAACAAAACAAAAAAACATAGACTGAACATTTTAACAATTGGACATAAGGCTATTTTTACAGTCAAATGAGACAGGAAAGTTATGAGACCTATTTGAGATTCTGTCTAAGGCAGGAAGGAGAGATTTGACAGATCTTGATTAAAAGTGTAGTGAAGAGAAAAATGAAGATGTTTTCCTGCTTGTACTTGCTCTGAGTTCATTCTGACCAACTTACCATGTAGAAACATTATGTAACTCATGTCTCCAAGGCCAAGGATAACATATCCTCCCTAGACAATTCTTCACAGTTTATGATATGAAAAGTAAGAGAAAAGATGACTTCAACTTAAATCCTTTATAAAAACCCATTAATCTCAGGCATTTATTCATTAACATTTGCCTAGCAATAAAACAAGCTGCCTACACAATTTCCCATTAACAATTAAACATTCTGTAATAATTCCTCCACCCACCCTGGTTTTGCAAAGCAAAAAAAAAAAAAGTCTTATATTAACATGCATGTACATTTTCATTGACTTAAAATCTTCTATCAGCTATCACAGTCATATGAAAAATGATCTTTTTCTGGTGAAAATGTTTTATTCACTTCATTCAGATTCTCACATTCAAAAAAACACATAAAAGGAATTTGGCTTTTAGGTTTTTGTTCATTTTGTCCACGTTTTCATTTTGTCCATTTTTTGAAGTTGTGTTCACGATTTAGATCAAGGTAGGTTTTAAAATCCTGTTTTTCCCAAAACTCTCTTGATGGCAACAACCCGCCTGCCTAGTCACACATTTCTCCTCATCAGTACTCAACAATTCTCTGTCTCTAAGACATCAAACTGTAAAATCTCCTTCTCACCTCTTTCAATCACTTCTACTAAATTTGGGCTCGGTTCTCATCACAAACTCTAGATGTTTCCCTTTTTCTCATCCGCAATTTCATCCCATATTTTATCATCTTCCCTGACTTTTTAATAAACTGTGGCATCGAAGTAAAAAATGTTGTGCATTCACTTCTACTGCAGAGTATTGCTTTTTCCAATACTCCTTACTGGTCCCCAGGTCTCAATCATCCCTACAGTCTGCATCCTCTGTTTTGTCTCTGGGGCTGCTGAGCATTACCAGAAAAATCACATAACTATGCTAAGATTTACTACAAATCCATGCTCCCTAACTTCAGTTTGAGGTGCTCTGCTAAACAGCATATATATGTATATATAATTCAACTTCTGTTGGTACCAAAGCAAATAAAGCAAATTTATAATGCTGGCTTTTTTCCTACACTTTTTCACTGACTCTAGGCCCAATATACACTCTTTATTGTTTTATTGTAAGCACATGATGTCATATCCTACTTTCCTTAGAAATTTTGAATCTGGCTGGGTGTGGTGGCTCACGCCTGTAATCCCAGCACTTTGGGAGGCCGAGGTGGGTGGATCGCCTGAGGTCAGGAGTTCGAGACCAGCCTGGCCAACATAGTGAAACCCAGTCTCTACTAAAAATACAAAAAAATTATATGGGCTTGGTGGCTTGTGCCTGTAATCCCAGCTACTTGGGAGGCTGATGAAGGAGAATCACTTGAACCCAGGAGGTGGAGTTTGCAGTGAGCCGAGATTGTGCCATTGCACTCCTGCCTGGGCAACAAGAGCAAAACTCCATCTCAAAAAAAAAAAAAAAAAAAAAAAAAGAAGAAGAAGAAAAAGAAAAAAAGAAAAGAAAAGAAATTTTGAATCTAATGGGAACTATCTCCATGACTTTTTGAGACTTCTCTTTTCTTTATTCAGTCTTTGAGGAAAAATACACCCTTCTTTCTTACCAAGGTTTCTCCTCTGCCTGTCATACTGATTGTTTCTCTCCTTTCTTTAAATCTAAAACTTGCTCAGTCTGTTGTTTTATTCTCTTGTATTTCTTCCATTTCTTTTTTTTCTATGTGAAGGTATTGACTCTGCTAAAATGAATGTTAATGCTGATTTTCTAAAACTACTCTGCTCTTTATCTTTATTTTCATTGTTTTGAATTTATTCACAAATTATTCTACCATAACAGCTTCTAGTAACCAGGTGGTTCCAAAACTCACCAATCTAATTTAAGTTAATTTTTGAAAATTCACCAGTGATAACCTAATCTGTGCATCCCGTGACCCCTCTAACTTTTCTGGTCTATACCTCTTTGGAGTTGAATTGTGTTCTTCAAGGAAGATATGTTGAAATCATAATCTTCAGTACCTCAGAATGTGACATGATTGCAAATAAATTATTGACAGAAGTGATCAAGTTAAAATGAGGCCATTAGGGTGAGTCCTAATAAGACAAAAAAGGATAAATTTGGATACAGAGACAGACTTTCACAGAGGGAAGATGTAAAGACATACAGGGAAAAGACTGCCACATAGCTAGAGTGGTGCATCTACAAGCCAAGAAATGCCAAAAACTGCTGGTATTTCTTGGAAGAATCCTTCCCTGGAGTTGTCAGAGAGAATATGTGCCTGTAGAAAACTTGCTTTTGGACCTCAAGCCTCCAGATCTGTGAAGCAATACATTTCTGTTGTTTTAAGCCATTCAGTGCTTGGTACTTTGTTACAGCAGCTCTATGGAACTAAAATAATACCCTCTGCAGCTGTCTATACTGGGGACCATCTTGTTTTATAACTGTCTTCTCCATTGGTTTCCAAAGTCATAATAACATCTCTATTCTCTCCCTAACTCTCAACTGTCTTTTATTCTCTTCCTCTTCACTCCTGAGGTGTCTTCTCTCTTTATTTTTCCTCATCTCAAACTTATCCCCCTTAATTAACTACTTTCTAGAATATTACCCTTATTTCACTACCCATATCAAATTATTTCTTACTCATATAGCCTTTCCTAAATATTCTAGCCAAAAATGATCATATTCTCTTTCATACTTGTAAAATATTTTATTTTTTGTCTCTCTGCCACCATTTGAATTTTATATTTTTCTTTTATTATACTTATATTTATTACTTATACTAAAACATGGGTCAGCATACTTTTTCCTAAAGGGACAGATAGTAAATATTTTGGGCTTTGAAAATTACACAGTAGTTTAGCCAACTACTAGCTCTGCTGTTGTAACACAAAAGCAGCCATAGGCAATACACAGATGAAAGGGCGTGTGTATGTGTCTTTAAAACCTTATTATTATTATTATTATTTGTTTGAGATGGAGTCTCGCTCTGTCACCCAGGCTGGAGTGCAGTGGCGTGATCTCAGCTCACTGCAACCTCTGCCTCCCAGGTTCAAGCGATTCTCCTGCCTCAGCCTCCCGAGTAGCTGGGACTACAGGCCTGTGCCACCACGCCAGCTAATTTTTGTACTTTTAGTAGAGATGGGGTTTCACTGTGTTAGCCAGGATGGTCTCGATTTCCTGACCTTGTGATCCACCTGCTTTGGCCTCCCAAAGTGCTGCAATTACAGGCATTAGCCACTGCGCCCAGCCAGTAAAACTTTATTTATAGGAACAGGCAGCTGGCCAGCTGGCCATAGTTTACCAAATTCTGTCTAAATGAAAAACTTTTTGAATATAGATGTTAAATTTTGATCTTTTATGTATATTGCAGAACTTCTATTGTCTTTCATATTGCATATTATCAATAACTACATTGAATAAAACCTATTACACTTAAATATTCTCATGTATTTCCTACTTCCATTTTCCTATGTTTTATCTCTAAAAGTTTGAGAACAATCTGTGTAATAAAATGCAAAACCAATCAGGTTTATTTAATCTGAACAGATGATTAAAGGGCTTCAAGGACACTAAATACCATTTAAAGAATAAGGAGCCATCTCTCTTTAAAATATGCCATTCTATAATAAAATAATTTACATTATGATTGGAACATAGAAGTTTCTTAAAATATGAAAAGCACAAGATAGCATTAGCGGATATACAGTGCTACAAATTTCCTAAGGGGAAAGTGTAATGCTGATGGATATAAAAGGAAATTATTATAGAGTGGACCATATGACGATCATCTATTGCTTTATATTATTGTTATTTATTGTTGTCTAATACACCATCCCGAAACTTAGAAGCTTGAAACAATGATTTACTCATTCTCATGATTCTGTGCATTGACTGTGCAGCTCCTCTGCTGGTTTTACCTGAGCTTGTAGATGAGACTGATTTCTGATGGAGGACTGATTGACCCAGAAGGTTGAAGAAATTAGTGTTGGTTGTTTTCTGGGACACTTTGGCTCTCCTCCACATGACCCTCATATTCTAACAGGATAAACCAACTTCTTCATAGCATGCTGTTCTTAGGATTCCAAGAGGGCAAAGGTGGAAACTTCAAGGTCTCTTGAAATATAGGCTTCAGATCACCTCTGTCACATCTGAATGACCAAGGCAATTCCCAGGCCAGTCCTGGTTCCTGAGATTCCATCTTTGGGAGGAAGGAGAGGCAAGGCCATATTGCAAAGTGGTATAGATGCAGGAAGGCAATGATTCATTGAAACTATGATTATGATACTCCTCAAGGGGATCCTGAAAGGATGGGGAATTTGACTGACATTTGGAGGTTGCATAGAGAAGTAGTGGGAGAAAAAAAGTTCAAATGATAGAAGTTGGCAAATGCCAATCTAAGGATTTCAAATTTATCTTTTTTTTTTTTTTTTTTTTTTTTTGAGACAGAGTCTTGCCATGTCACCCAGGCTGGAGCGCAGTAGTGTGATCTTGGCTCACTGAAACCTCTGCCTCCCAGGTTTAAACAATTCTAGTGCCTCAGCCCCCCAAGTAGCTGGGATTACAGGCATCCGCCATCATGCCTGGCTAATTTTTGTAATTTTAGTAGAGACAGTGTTTCGCCATGTTGCTCAGGCTGCTCTTGAACTCCTGGCCTCAAGTGATCCACCCGCCTCAGCTTCCCAAAGTGCTGGGATTATAGGCATGAGCCACTGTACCCAGCCCAAATTTATCTTTTTATAGTGAGAGTCAGCAAATATTTTTGAGCAGAGAAGTCTCCCTCCCTCACAAATAATTCACATTCCAGAAAAGAGGTCATATGTAATTTCAGCATAGCGATGTTGTTTTTTATTTTGCGGGGGGAGTTAAGGGTGGGAGGGACAACATAATGATGTCTGACTTTGATAAGAAGGGGATAATCTTAAATCATAGCATATAGTAAGTGCTCGCTAGTTGAGAGAATATCCTGATGATGAGTATACAAGCCTCAAAGTTACAGAAAGATGTTGAAAGCCTATCTCTAAAATTAATCAAACCAAAACCTTTTCTATCCATGATGCCTTCATTCATCACAAGCCACAGGAGCTTGAGTCCAGCATTTAGGAAAAAGAGAACTAATGGGTGTCATAACTTTCAAGATTTTCCTGTTGTGGGAATTTTTAGATATTCCTTGTCATGCCATTACTTTCTATTTATTTGACTCTCTATTTGGAAACTAATAGAAACAATATTTTCCTTCACTTTACTTTCTATTGTGGGCCACGATTCTCAGAGTATATGTTTAATTCAAACTACTTGATTTAGTTATTAGGAAACTCCTAGCCAATCGCTTTGTTCTATGTGACTCACAAATAATAAATGATACTGGAGAGTGTAGCATAAAGATGAAGAATTCCTGGTGTTAAGGTAATATCCACAGCATATTGTTAATCAACCATTTAGTTCACTCATTTTAATCTCTAATTTCACACAAAAGCAATTTGTTCAATTAAATTGGCTACTACAGAGAAATTCCAAAGTTGGTATAATTTAGTGGCTGCTGTTAAAAAAAAAAAAACATAAAATTCTGTCTATTCACTGCATGTAAGTACAGTGCATTGAGATAGAAAAGGACTGATATTATTTTTAATCTTATTGAAAGTGTATGTCTACAATTCAGATATCCTTTCTGAATGGTCATGCCAGATTATATGTATAAGCTCTTGTAGATAGCCCCAGGCTTACTAAGTACTGTTTAGAGCAGTAAACAGCATCCAGGGGATTTGTTGACATTTCTTATTGGTTGCTACAGGGATATGACCAAATTACAATCCTCAGTATAAAGGACCATGGATATTAACACACAAACTACTCAGTCTGAATTCAAGAAAGACAATTCTATAATGTTCCAGGTGTTCTCAATATATCTGAATACTAATGTACTTAACAACATAAAACTATGTATAGCCACAAGAATTGGAAATTTATTACTGCAGTAATAAAATGAGGCTATAGCTTTCTATTGATTCAGGTTACATATCTAAATTTTTAGGTTTAGTTTTCATGTAGATTTTCAATGAAGCTTGTTTTAAAAGATTCTTAATGTTTTCTGGAGTGTGTAAGTGTATACATTTTGTGTACATGGTATAACAACATTTACCAGGGAAATATATCCTTCCCTTCTTTTTTATTCTAACATATGAAAAAGATAAAGAAAAAAATATTTACCCTAGTTTATTGCATAGTATAATGCCTTAGAGGCCAAACTAGCTAAAGCTCATATTAAACTTTTTAAAATAAGCTAACTAATAAAATTGAATATTATCTGGCTTCTCAGATAACTCATAGTGATGAAAAATGGAATCACAATATTTAAACAATGGTGAAATTCAGGAGGGAATAGTGAGATAAAAATAAAGACCAATGCAATTATATGATCGAATATATACTAGGCATTAAAATCAAATAGGTTAAGAGAAATTTAACAAATTTAACCTTCTTTTTAGGCAAATTACAGTGCAATGTGTAATTTATATAAGGCATTAATTAATTTTACTTCAGATATCATGCCTAAAAAACAGATGTCATTAATCACACATTTTTAATTTCATTAAACTTGTGTCTAAATCAATCTTTTCTTATAAACTTCAATATCTTGAATGTCATAGAAAAGTCAAGTGACAGATGGCTCTGTTTCATTCAAAAGAGTCAATCTATGAAGCTACACCTGAGGATTTTAGGATTGTGTTGGTTGCTGATGTACAGATTCTTATTTGTAAGCACTCTCTAGAATCACATAACTTTTATGTGGTACACAAAGCTGAAAAGATAAGCTAATTTAAGGACTTTTATCAGGACATACTCTAAGAGAGTTTAAAGATACCATGGAAACAAGTTACCAGCTTATAACAACCTCAGTGATATTTATGCAACCCACTAGACACCCACTATGCCTTCGTTGTCACTAGGGCAGATAGTTCCTATTTGTGAGTTACATCATCCTTGCTGCTATTTATTCAGTTTTTCACATCTCTGTCCTCTTCCTCCATCATCCAAAGTATCCCCTTTTCCTTGCCAAACACTTAAGCAAGTTTCTGTTCTAGTTTCTGTTTTCTATTATTCCAATAGTTCTTTTTATCCTTGAGGTATAAATTCTTAGTTTGTTAAAATAATAATAATTACCATTTTGAGTGTTCATACTGTGTTGTATACAGTACTTATTTTTCTATATATCACCTTGTTCAATTTTCACAATCAACTTACGCAACAATAGCAAACTAACTATGGGTCAAATAATGATTCTACCACTTATTAGCTATGTAACCTTGGACACAGCTTAACCTCTCTGTGCTTCAAGTTTGTCATCTGAAAATCAGAGTCATGTACCTACTCAATGGGACTATTGTGAGGATTACATGAGTTAATACATGTAAAGCACTTAGAAGAGTACCTGGCACATAATAACAGCCAGCATATATTAATAGCATGCTATTACCTCCAATATATATGAGGAAATGGTTGAGAAATATCAGGTAATTTGCCACGATCATATCATTAGACAGGGAAGAGATTCAAATGCTGATCTGTTTCACTCCTAAACTTTGGTGCTTCCTAAACTGCATTGCCTTTCTTTCTTGGGTATCTTTCATCGTTAACACATTTTAAATGGTAATTTATAGTTCATAGAGCTCTCATGTAAGTTTGTCTCATTTGATCTTCACAATTTCAAGAGATAATAACAGCCCTGCATATTACACTTTTGTGTGTGTGTGAAGACACTGAGGCTTAAACAGATTGTATGACTTAAACAGATTGTACAACTTAAACCTGGTCTCCCAGAGAAAAAACAAGTCAGTCCAGGCTTGGGATTCAGGATTTCTGATTCCTTTGCGAAAATTCTATTTTAAAACATTTGAGAAGCAAATAGAAATAAATGAATGAATTAGTTAATTTCATTAATCAATCTTTGTCTCCATTTCCTCATCTGGGTATATAATGAGGACCGTATATTTATTTCATAGGGTTATTATGATAATTAAATAAATTAATCTGTGTAAAGCTCTCAGAACAGTACATGGAACATAGTAAGAGCTAATAAATTATGGGTGTTAGGTAGAGGAATAAAAAGAACAGGAGAAGGTGATTTTTTTTTAAAGTGAGATCTTGTACTGTTTTCAACAGATTCAATATCTAATGAACTTTATTGTTTTACCTCTCATAATTAGCTCTGCAATTCATTTGGAATTTATTTCTCTGTGTAATACAAGGTAGAGATAAAGATTTTCTTTTTCCATATGGCCATCCAATTGATCTGGCATCATTTATTAAAAACACAATCCTTTCCCCATTGTTCTGCAATGAAATCATTATCATCAATCTAATGACTACACGTGTGAATCTATTTCTAGAACTTTATTTCCTATACCAATACCCCACTATCTAATTCATAAAATACACTGATGTCTAATAAAATCTTCCAATTTTGCCTTCTTCTTCAATATCTTAAATGTTTTACAAATTTTATTTCCATAAAAATTTTATAATAAGCTTGTTAATTTTTCACAAAATACTTTGACAATTGTGATTGGTATGTCACTGAATTTGTGGGAATTGATGTTGTTCCAATATTGAGTCTTTTGATCCATAAAACATACATAATAAAAAGTGGCATGCCCTAGCATGTTAAATATCTTTCAAAATTATTTTCTGGTTCCCTGTGTAAATTTTGTATTAAATCTATCCATAGATATTTTATGTTTTATTTGTAGTATTTTTTTAATATTATTTGATTCACTATTGACAGTAGATAAAAATATAATTAAATTTGTATACTGACATGTGTCCAGCAAACTGCTAAATTTACATTTTAAAGTTATTCATATATAAGGTATTTTTCATTTTCAACAGACACAACCATATTATTTGTTAATAATTACAACTTTCTTTTCTTTCTTTTTTGTATCATTCTCATTAGCAGAAGGAATGGTTCCAATTTTCACTATGGAGTTTGATTGCTGTATTTTTTTTGTAACTACAGTTTATCAATTTAATGAAGTTACTTTTTATTCCTAATCACAAGTGGGTGTTGAATTTTGTAGTTTTTCTGCTTCTGTTGAAATAATTATTTTTCCTAATGAGTAATAAATTCCATTTATTAAACATCAAAATTCTAACTATCTTTATATACCTTAAATAAACCCTACTTGGTGATGATTTGACATTACGCTAAGGATTTTTATATCAATATTTATGAAATATATTATTTCAAATTATTCAATTTTATTTTGTAATTTCTTTGGCAGATTTTTGAAGCAGATTTTGCTGACCTTATACAGGGTCAGAAAGTGTTCTTTATTTTCAAGGAATGTTTTTTCATTAAATTTTTGAAATAAGACACTGGTAAAGGCTTCAGTAGCTGCAGTTTTCTTTATGAAATTGAATTAAGGAAGTGACTCAATTTCTTTAAACACATAACAGACCCTCTGGATATTTAATTTCTTCTTGTGTCAGTTTTGCTAAGTCCCTCTCCAAGAAATTTGCCCAATTCTTCCAAATTCCTTTCAATGGACTTTTTTTTTTTTTCTGGTAATCCCCTCTTATCTTTTTGATATCAATAGGATCTGTAGGTATCTCTTTTTAAAAATTATTGATACTGGTAATTTATGATTTCTCTTTTTTTAGATAATTCTTGTTGAAGTTTATGCTTTTTATCAATCTTTTTATATAACTCTTGAATATTTTCCACTTTATTTAACAGCAGTCTTATCTTTGTATTATTTGTTTTCTTCTACTTTCCTTAGGTTTGCTTTGCTGTTTGTTATTGTTCTTGTTCACTTCTTTTTGGTTCCTAAGATAGAAGCTTGTATCAGTGATTTTTCAGCCTGTTTTTTCCACATATGCATTTAAGGCTACATATTTTAGTATAAGTAGTGTTTTTGATGCAGTCCACAAGTTACCAGGTTATAAATGTATCTAAGTTATATTTTTGACTTTTTCAAGTATATTGTTTGATTTCTAGTTCATTCAATTTTTTCTGTTTAACAGTTCAGTATTGGTTTCTAGTTTAATTCCTTTAGATCAGAGAATATTCAATAAATAATATATATCTTTGGAAGTGTGCTGAAGCTACTTTTTTGGAACAGCATATGGTCAGTTTTGTTAAATGGACATTTGAAGGCAATGTAAATTCTTATATTGTTAGATGCAATATTCTATCATTGTCAATTGTATATGACATGTTTTCCTCATGTAGTCTTCTGATATTCTAAACCTAACACATCCTTAGGTTTTGTCTGCTTGTTATATTAGCTTTTGAAAGAGATGAGTTAATGTTTCTCACTATGATTATGCATTTGTCAATTTCTCCTTTTAGTTCTATAGGTCTGCTTTATAGATTGTAAAGCTATGTTATTGAATGCATACACATTTATGACTTTATTGCTCTATTATTCCATTGTAATGATATCTTATTCATTATGAAATGTCCCCTTTCTTCTACTAATAATTCTTTATTTAATGTTTACTTTGTTGGCCTGCTGCATTACAATAAAAATTAACTTATCCATTACCCCCAAACATTTTTTGTGCCTTTTTATAATTCCTCACTATTGCCCCTTCTTGCTTTTTTCCCTACCCTATCTCCATGCTTTCTGTCATAATGTTAGTTTGCATTTCCTAGAATTTTATATTAACAGAAGAATACAGTATTTTTTCTTTTCCTTCTTCTTCTCCAATTTCATCTTGCTTTCTTCCTCTCAGCAGAATTATTTTGAGATTCATTAATTTTATAGCATGCACCAATAGCTAATTCTTTCAACTGCTAAATAATATACCATTGTATACTATACCATAATTTGTTTATCTAGCACATGTGAATTTCTTCTGGTTTGTACTATTAGAAATAAAACTATATGAACATCTACATGCGAATCTTGTGTAAAATGTTTATTTTCTCTTGGGTAAATAACTAATGGTTTAATTTCTGGATGACATAGTAGGTTAACATTTAAAACATTTAAGAAACTACCAAACTATTTTCTAATAGCAATTTGTTTATTGCTAGTTTATAGAAGTACAATAGATTCTTACATATTGACCTTAAACTCATTTATGGTCTTCTGAGATTATTTGTATAGAATTTTAGATAATTGTGTAATCTGCAAATAAAACAGCTGTACTTTTACTTTTTTTTTTTTTTTTTGCATCTAGGCTTAGACTCTTTGGGAGGGTATTGTTTTAAACTCTGAAATATGTTTTGTTGGTATAACTCTTTAGGAGCTTTTACTTCTGCAGACACCATAACTTTCTCTTGAAGTCCTTGAGACTGCTGATTTCTGACTGAGCCCTGACTCCCTTCAGTGAGACATGGAAACTGCCTCCACTCAGAATTTATGCATCTTACGTCCCTTCTCTTGGGATTCACAGTTCCATGTTGCCTAATGTTCAATATATGAAAGCCATTATAACTCCAATATTTGTTACCTCATCTTGAAACAAACCAGAAGTATCAATTACTCTCATTACATACTTTTAATGTCTTCTATTAAAAAAGATATTTCCAGCTGGGCACGGCGGCTCACCCCTGTAATCCCAGCACTTTGGGAGACTGAGGGAGGCAGATCACCTGAGGTCAGGAGTTTGAGACCAGCCTGACCAACATGGTGAAACCCCGTCTCTACTGAAAATACAAAAATTAGCTGTGTGAGGTGGTGCGTGTCTGTAATCCCAGCTACTCATTCAGGAGGTTGAGGCAGGAGAATCGCTTGAACCCAGGAGGTGGAGGTTGCATTAGCCAAGATCGCACCACTACATTCCAGCCTGGGCAACAAAGCAAGACTCCATCTCAAAAAAAAAAAAAAAAAGATATTACCTTCATTTTATCTCTCTTCCAAAGCCAAACTTTAATCTGACTTTTTAAAGTATTTTAAAGATATTTTGTTTTAAAACCAAATTTATATAAAATGCCATATTCCCATCTATCATTGTATAATTTTTAAAATTATTTATTATAAGAATGATTCCATGATATTACCAGGTGGTAGCCTGATGCAAAAAAAATGTAATTTTTTTACGTCTTGTATGTGTTTAAATCTAGTATCCATATTCCGTTTCCAAGCCATATTATCCTTTCTGCATTTCAGGCATCAGTGTAGGTAAAAGCTATCTAAAAATATAAGCTTTTTCATTGTTTCTGGGTAATTGACTGAAATAAGGGAAAAGTTATTATTCCATCATTCATGTCATTGATATGTCACTGAATGAAAAATATTTCCCCTTTAGTCTTCTATTCTATTTCTATCTGATATTAGTAAAAACAGATATGAAGCCCTCATCAAAACGTCTTTAAAGTCAGTAAACAGCAAGAAGTACAGACCTCTCTGTTCTCAGTTAATGTCACCAATTCTCAAAACCAAAGGACTGCATAATTAAGAAAAATTATGAGTTCATCTTGGCTTCTTAGAAAAACATGCATATATTAAAATGGCTAATTATAATCTACACCTATATCTATAGCTATAGCTACAGCTATATAGACTAAAGTAAATGAATCAAGGATGTGACAAGATTTGGAGAGAAGCTATCCTAAAAGTGATAAAATCTCAGATCCTGACCTAACACTACTTTGAGCAGTTTGGCATTGAATACATTAAAACTTCTATAAATCTTAGTGACTCTATTTATAAAAAAGATAATGTCTGTTTGTTATTGTCAAATAAGAGATTGAATTTTTAAAAACTACTATAAATATTATAAAGAAAAACAAAGTCAACATAGATTCTTAACACCGTTGACTACAATTTAAAGTTCCAATAGTAATTCTAATTTTTATCCACTCTGTATCGATCTATATCAGGGATGTGAGAATAACATACAAATTATATAATCTTTAAAACAGAGAAATTAAAATATATTGTATTTCAGAATAAAAAGGCTTGAATGCTATGTACTTCAAAAAAGTAGAATCTGAAGGTAGCACTGTATTAACAGCTTTCAGTGTTGAAAATATGAGAAAAATTCAGGTGTGTCTTTGACTCCTGCCCAAACATGCTTAATGCTTCCTAGGTAAGCTAAAGTTAGAAGTATTTTGAAGTAAATGATATACGTAGCAACTGCAATTTATTCTCATTCAAGTACAACTAAAATAAACATTGAAGCAGAAAGCTTGGGATACTGCATACTGAAATCAATATATAAGTGAGTGAAGTTTCATACTGCACTTTACAGCTTTGGAAACTAAGATTTTTCCATTTTATGAATACATTCTTGAATAAAAGAATTTCATTCTTCAGGAGCATGCTGTCAGCAGGAGTGGGAGCACTAAAATAGGGTCACACAAAAAAGTGCAGATCCTGATCCAGGCCCATGTCCTCTCACTTAAAATTCATGAGATCCTTCCTTAGGAAAGACAACAAGTCAAATCACATCATGTCACAGACTCTCCCTCCTCCAAAATGAAACAAAATAGAAAAATCAAGTTAGATCTAGACAAAACTCACTGACAGCCCTGTGAAAGAAGAAAGCACAACCCCCTGACATATTCTTTGATGGTGCCCAAAAGGAAAAAAAACATATAAATGCTTGTGGAGTGAGGCAGAATTAACTATGCTCACTCCTACTCACAGTAACCGTGGTGGGAAAAGAAGATGAATTGCTGAAATCTTGATTATTCTTATTGACCCCAATTTTGAGATAAAATAAGAGTAAGAAAGAAGCCTCAGGAAATTATCTCTGGAACCCGAAGAATAATCTCAAGAGTAAAACTATCTACTAATAAACACAACATTTCATTAGATGAAGGGGAGGTCCAAAGGGCTTGTCATTTTTATATCATTAATAACTGCAAGAAAAATAAGACAGTGAACATAAAATGATCATAAATGTCAAAAGTTAATTATCTTCAGGGGTGTAGTAGTTTAAAAATATGTCCACAAATTTTTGGATATTTCTGACTTTGATGGAGCTTCATTCCCTTCTCTTTGAACAGTTGTCCTGTGCCTATCCCATCATTAACTGTTGTGTGGGTTGGAGGCATGTAATTGGTCTTGTTAATTCACAGATCTAAAAGAAGCTATACCTGAAATGCTTTATTTAAGCAATTATATCCATGAGGCCCCATCCATGCCTGCACCTAGTTTAGAAGCTAGGATCCTGGATTTTGAGGTGAGCATGTAAAGGATGAAAATATGGGGGTCTTGGAGTAGGTAAATGCATTTAAAATGCACGTGATAAGAATGTTTATAACTGGAGGCCAGAAGGCTGACTATGGTGGTTCTAAATTATGTACATGAACTATCTTCTGTTAGGGCCTAATTTCCAGCCTCTTGAGTGTGGATTATACTTAGTGGCTTGCTTTTAATGAATTGACTCTGGCAGAAATGATGGAGTACGACTTCCCAGTGTAGACCAAAGAGGGTTTGTGGCTTTCACATTGCTCTCTCTCAGATTTTCACTTAAGGAAATTTATCTGCCATGAAGTGAGGACACTCTGTCAACCTTGTGAGGGTTCCTATATACTGAGACTGAGGCCCCTGGCCAAAAGTCAGCAAGGAACGGAAGCCTCCTGCCCACAGCAACGTAAGTGAGTAAGAAAGTAAATATTTTAGCTTAAGTCAAGCCTTCAAATGGTAACCAGGCTGAGTAGAAAACGTCATAATTCATGCTCAGAAGACCTTTGCCTTAGTAGAAAGATAAAATTAACACTAAATACTATTAACACTAAGTAATATTCTGTAACCACCTTAAAAAAATACTTTAAGATTCAAACTGATTCCAAGTAGTTTAACTATGTCTGCAAAAAAGCTCAAGAATATTTCTAGGATTGCAACAGTAGAACTCAGTAATGTAAAATTGATGCTATCTAGCATCTAATAGCAATGATAAGATAGCCAAAGAACCAGTTATCTATGATCAAAAATGAAGAAAATAAGTATCAATTAAAATAATGAAATGACACAGATGACAGAATTAGTATACAAAGACATTAAAGCAGTCATTATAAATATATTTGATATATTCAAGAAGTTAGAAGAAGGATTTATCACGTCATGATAAATATAGATGTGGACGGTAAAAAATGAACTGTATCAAAATTTTAGAAGAGAAAACTATGATTTCTGAGATGAAAAAGACACTAGAATGAGAGCCAATTATACATTGCAGAAGAAAGATTTGTGTACTTGAAAACATGTTCTTGAAATATATACAAAATAAAACAGAAAAAAACTGAAAAAAATGAAAAAAATCAATTCTGTTGGACACCATCAGGTGGCCTAATAAGCATGTGATGAGACCCTTAAAGACAGGAGAATGAAGAGAGATATGAACATATTTCAAGAAAAAAATGGTCAAATATGTCTCAAACTTGATGGAAATAATAAATATGCAAATCAAAAAAGTTCAACTGGTCAGGCACAGTGGCTTACACCTGTAATCCCAGCACTTTGGGAGGCCGAGGGGAATGGATCACCTGAGGTCAGGAGTTTAAGACCAGCCTGGCCAACATGGCGAAACCACATCTCTACTAAAAGAAAACAAAAATTAGCCAGATATGGTAGTGGGCCCTTGTAATACCAACTACTCGGGAGGCTGAGGCAGGGAGAATTGCTTGAACCCAGAAGATGGAGGTTGCAGTGAGCCAAGATTGCACCACTGTACTCCACTTTGGGTGACAGAGCCAGACTGTCTCAAAAAAAAAAAAAAAGAAAAAGAAAAAGAAAAATTATTCTACCAAAAAGACACCTGCATTTCTATGTTTATTGCAGTGCTATTCACAATAGTAAAGATACGGAATCAACCTAGATGTCCATCAATGGTGGACTGGATAAAGAAAATGTGGTACATAATACCATGGAATACTATGCAGCCATAAAAAAGAACAAAAGCATGTCTTTCGCAGCAACATGGATGGAGCTGGAGGTCTTTATTCTAAGTGAATTATGGCAGAAACAGAAAACCAAATACTGCAAGTTCTTGCTTACAAGTGGGAAATAAACACTGGGCATATATGACATAAAGATGGGAAAAACAGACACTGGAGACTTCAAATTGGGGAAGGGAGGGAGGACAGCGAGGGTTGAAAAATAACCTATTGGGTACTATGTTTACTATTTGGGTGATGGATTCAATGAAGTCCAAACTTCATCATCACACAATATATCCATGTAACAAATCTGCACATGTACTCCCTGTATCTAAATTTTTTTAAAAGGTACATCATAATCAAATACCTTTAAACCAACGATTTTGAAAAAATTTTAACAACAGTCAGACCAAAGAAAAGAAGACACACGTGCAGAGAAACAAAGGTAAGAATGAAAGCTGACATCTCATCAAAAACAATCTTACCTGGAAGACAGAAGAGAACCATCTTTAAAATACAGAAGTAAACAACAGTCAATCTAGAATTCTTTACTGAGCAAAAAAAATCCTCCAATATCAAAAGTGAAATAAAGGCATTATTAGAAATGCAAAAGCTGAAAGAATTCATCACCAGCAAAGTGTACGAGAAGAAAAAGAACATCAGGCAGAAAGAAGACGATACCATGTACAAATCTGGATCTAAATCTAAACAAAAGAATGAAGAAAATTATGTAATTAAAGAATATATTTTTCTTATTATTTAAATATCTTTAAGTGATAGTTTATTATCTAACACAAAAATCATGTTGTACACAGTGTAAGATACCCTCATCACAGAGATGTGCACATTCTAATCCCCAGAACCTGTGGATATGTTAGGTTATACTGGAAAGGAGAATTAAGATTGCAGATGGAATTAAGGTTCTTAATCAGTTGACCTTGCAATGGCATGATTATCCTTGATTACACAGGTGGTGGACACATTGTGATTATTAGAATCCTTGTAAGTGAAAGAGAGAGGTGGAAGACGGGGAATGTCAGCGTGAGACAGTATAAAAAACACTGACCAGCCATTGCTGGCTTTGAAGATGGAAGGGCACCAGGAGCCAAGGAATGTAGGTCACCTGTATAATCTGGAAAAGGCAAAACAGATTCACTCCTAGGCCTTCCAGAAAGAACACAATCCTGCTGATAGCATGATTTTAGCTTAATGAGACCTATTTCAGATGCATTTTTAGACATTTCAGGGCAAAATGTTTTTAAATTGCACTAGAAAAAGCTGGAGTGGAGGAATTAAAACATGCTGCTGTTAATGTCCAATATTATACCTAAAGTCTAATACTATACTATCACTTGAAGTAAGCTATGATCAATTAAATGTGTATACAGTAGCTTTCCTTTATTTGCTGTTTCTCTTTCCATGCAAATTTTGGTTACTCATTGTCAACCAAAAATATTACATGGAAAATTTTGGAAATTAACAATTTATTAGTTTTAAATTACATGCCACTCTAAGTAGTGTGATAAAGTCTCACCCTATCCTGCTCCTTCCCACCCCCCCCAGGATGTGAATCTTCCCTTTGTCCAGTATATCCATGTGGTAGATGCTACCCGCCCACTGGTCACTTAGTGGCCATGTTGGTTATCAGATAGAAAAAACAGTGTGTGTATAGGGTGTGATATTATCTGTGGTTTCAGGCATCCACTGGGGGTCTTGAAACACATTCCCTGGATAAGGGAGGACTACTATACTATAAACCCTAAAATAACCACTTAAATATCACAACAAAAAATTAGCCTAAAAGCCGAAAGTTGCTATAAAATGGAATCATGATAAAATAATGCAAAAGATGCAGAAAAGTAAGGCAAAGAAAACAAAGAATAGATGAGACAAATAGAAAACATTTTATTATTGTGGTGAAGTCTACCTATATTGATTAATATGCTAAACTATCCATTAAATATAAAACAACAGACATCGCCACAAAAGCCTTGTCATATATTTATTACTGAATACTTTAAGTAAAAAACTCTCTAAAATAAAACCACACAACTTAGAGAAGAATCAAAGTAAAGTTTAAAATGAGAGAAGGTGTTGTAAAAAATTAGAGCTGTAAAGATAAAAATAATGCCTTGGAAAGTTAATATGTTTAATCTTGACACATTTTAAATAACTTCAAAATCAATAAATGGTATAATGAAAATAGAAATAAGTATAACTGAAAATGCCTTCATTTTATCAACAATGAGAGTTTAAATATACCACATGCAAGGTAAACTGTATTTTACTTTAAAAACTAATATCTGTGTTTATCTTTTTAATTTAGGGAAAAATTTAGGTATTTTATAATAAGTAATTCTTAATTTTAATATCTAATTATTGTATATGTTAAAATAAGTTTAATACTATTTTTAGAAAATAAAATGCAGAATAAAATGTCAGAATCTCAGTCTTTTGATTATTCCTCTCTCTTGTTGTCTATGTGTAAAGTGTGAGTGAAAATATATTAACCTATGAGTGAAGCCTGAAATGACATCCATCTAAATTGATAATATTTACTTCTAAAGGTTGGAATTTAGGGCAATCTTTTTCTTTTCTTTTCTTTTCTTTTTTTTTTTTTTTCCTGACAGGGTCTTACTGAGTTGCCCAAGCAGGAGTGCAGTAGCAGGATCATAGCTCACCGTAGCCTCAAACTTCCAGGCTTCAAGTGACCCTCCCACCACAACCTCCTGAGTAGTCAGGTCTACATGTGTGTGCCACCATGCCCAGCTAGCCTTTTTTTGTTAGTTTGTTTTTGTAAAGACAGGGTCTCCCTATGTTGCCCAGGCTGGCCTCCAACTCTGGACTCAAGTGCTCCTCCTGCCTCAGCCTCCTAAAATGCTGGGATTACAGGCATGAGTCACCGCACCCAGCCCTGGGTGATTTTCTTTACCATCTTCTTTTACCTTCTCTATTGCTGTGGTTTTCCTGTGAAGGGCATGTTAGCATAAATAAAATCACTATTTTTTTTAAAAGCATTTAATCTTAAGTGAGTCAAAGTATTCAGGCTCATCTTTTTATCTTAAAAAATTATCTACAGGAAAAATTAGGAACCATATTATCTAAGATGGTCTATAATATTAAATGTAAATATATGCGAAATAAGAATACATGAGAAAATGCAGTGGGACCTCGAATGTTTTCACTGAATTATGACTTAGTCTTGTGCCTTTGTCAATGTAAATATGTAGAGACTTTCAGTCAAGATGTCACACTGAGGAATAGAGATATTCCCCTTCCTATTTTAAATTTAGAAACAAGGGAGAAAATATGATTTAAATATATACACAGACAAGCTAATTAAGAGGAATCTGAAAATGCTAGAAATAAAGAGGGCACCCAAAGACTCAGCGGTGCATCAGACTTGATATAATACGGTCCACAGAAGGACCTGACTGGTCCGTGGATGGCACAGAGCTGGCCCTAGACTCCACGCATAGAGCAGGAGCTTCCCACCCTGGGTCATGTGTGCCACAAGGGTGAGCTGTGAGAACTTGAACTTTGTATAAGGGATTGATTAGAGACAGAGAAACCAGCACCAAAGTTAGTGCAGCAGGTCAAGTACAAGACAAAGATGCCTTAGACCAGGGTGCTAGCAGCAGTGAGGGGTAACTGACTCAGGCCATGTTTTGGAGATAGACTCCACAGAATTGCTAATGATTCAAAACAGAGAAAGAACACATTAAGTGAAATAAGAGTCAAGAGAAACAGGATCATCTTAAGACCTGACATATGGTAAGGCTGAATAAATGTTAGAAATTATAATTATTCATCACATATTTTATTCAGAGAAGATAATAGGTAGCTCTTTTCTAACCTCCTTTACACAAGAATGTTCAATCCAGAAAATGCTGGAGTAGAGGGGCACCTGAGTATCACAGGCCAGAGATCCACAATTAGGAATCTGCCTCGGGAGGTAGCTCTTTATTACACAGCACTCAGAAGACAGCTCAGCTTACAAGTCTGCCTCCTCAGAGATCAAGAGCCAGTGTGTAAAAATAAGGATTATGGCAGAGTTGATCTCTTCTGATCTTCTAAAATCTCCAAGTGAATTTTCAAGTTATACCAACAAGCATAAGGCAAGCCTCCATCTGACAAATGACTGTTAACATCAGAAAAGTCTATGCATATTGAGTCTAGAAACTTGAAAAATATTTTGTATGATAGCTACCATTTCCTCTATTTTCTTTTTACCAAGTTAATGCTAACACCTCCAGTCCATCACCCTCTCAAACTCTCCTCCCCATATCTAGAAAAAAAAAAAAAACCAAAAACAAAAATCATAAACAAACAGATTTCTTTCCACAGCTGAAGTGAATTACATCACTGCGTGTGAGGTAGATCCATTATTTCATTGTTTCTATACTTTTAAAATAAAAATATAACAAATACAGAAAAGTACCTAAATAATACATAATAACATTTAATTATACACCAAGATAATCATACAACTCTACAAATTTTCTGAATGTGAACATATACATATTACTTTCGCTCAGAACAAGAAATAGAATATTGTCAGCATTCCATAAGTACCCAGTATGCTCCCTCCTGTTTCGTACTTCTTTTCCCAAAATAAGTACTATTCTGATTCCCATCACCATTGATTAGTTTTGTTGGGTTTGTAATTTATAGAATAGATTCACATTCCATATACTCTTTTTTAATCTGGCTTCTTTTACTCATCATATTATTGTGATTATGATTGTGACATTAATCCATGATGTTACTTTGTAGCAAAATGTGTTTATTTTCACTGCTGTATACTATTCAATTGTAAGAACATACCACAAATTATTTCTTCATTCTACTTATTGATAAACATTTGGGTAGTTTCCAAGTTTTGACAATTATAAATGGTGCTCCCGTGAACATTCTTATACATATTTTTTAGTGCATAAGTGCATGTATTTCTGCTAGGTATATAACTGAGGGTCCTAAGATACGTAAATGGTCAAGTTGAATAGAAAATGCCTAAAGTTTTCCAATGTAAGTTTACCAACTTACACTCCCAGGGCTACGTACGAAAATTTCAGTTTTCCCACACTTTTGACAACACTTGGAATTGTAATTTTTATTTCAGTCCTTATGGAGGATATGAATTGAAATCTAATTGTAGTTTCATTCTGTATTTTCCTAATTTCTAATCAGTTTGAATCCAATTTCATGTTTGTCAGACATTTGGATACTCTGTCTTGTGAAGTGCTTGTTAGTTAAGTCCTAACTGCTTTTCTTCTGGAATATTTGTCATTTTCCTATTGATTTGAAAAAGCTTTTTACTGTGTATATGTAGTGGCTCTGTTTTAAAACTAAAGCAATTATAGGCAAACAAACATCATTTTATATGAGTATTATTTCAATGCGATGTCCAAGTAACAAAAATAACCTTAAAAATGAAATGTCTTCTTTTAAGTTAAGATGTATGATGATGATATTGGTAGTGACAATGAACACACACACACACACACACACACATATCTCAACAGGAAAAGCACTTAATATTTATTGAGAGGTAGGATGTTCTATACTAAGGGTTTATATGCATGGTTTCCTCAAATATGTTCGAATAAAAATAAGAACTAGATGTTGTTATCTATTTCCAACAGAGACCAATGGGTCTGTATTAGTCTGTTCTTACACTGCTAATAGAGACATATCCAACACTGGGTAATTTAAAAAGGAAAGAAGTTTAATGGACTCACAGTTCCACATGGCTTGGGGAGGCCTCACAATTATGGCAGAAAGCAAGGAGAAGCAAAGTCATATTTTATGTGGCAGCAGGCAAGAGAGCTTGTGCAGGAGAACTCCCATTTATAAAACCATCAGATCTTGTGAGACTGATTCACTATCAGGAGAGCAGCACAAGAAAGACCCACCCTCATGATTAAATTACCTCTCCCCTGGTCCCTCCCACTACACGTGGGAATTATGTGAGCTACAATTCAAGACGAGAGTTGGGTGGGGACATGGCCAAACCATAACAGGGTCTTAAAGAAATCAGGTAATTTGCCCAAGGCCACATAGGGAAATGACATCACCTTTATTGCAATAGAACTCTCCCTGGTCATGAATATAAGATGAATAAAGACAACCTGAAGCACCAGAAAATTGTGGGTCTTCCTATCTAAAAGGAAGGTATTAATAGGGAAGATAAAGATCAACATAAATTAAACTAAGTGTGTCCTTTTATTGGGGGAAAATCAATTTTTGTGCCCATCTTCAGATTTTGTCACAAGGAAAGGTTGTTTGTTAAGCTTGTACTGCAAAGCATCAAGTCGTTTCTTAGCACACAGTATGTGGCATATATTAGACATGCAGAAAATATTTTCTGATTTAGGAAACAATTTTAATGTCACTTTCTCTATAACTACAGATAACATCTAAATTGTTAATGCAAATTGTCTTTATTCAGGTCTTAATAAGAAGAAAAACTAAATAAAAATATTAACTATGTACTCAGTGTCAAATAAGCAGGCAGATATTGTACAATGCATGGCTTTGTATCACCTTTTCTTTAAAGGAATTGCTTGATTTAGATTAAACTTGAAAAAGAATTCACTAGCACAGTAGTTGACAGAGGAAAGCTGACTTCTTTCTTTTCTAACAATAATTCACACCTGAAGACAAATAATAAATCAAGTAGGTAAATCCGGTGTTCAATCCCAACTAAACGAAAAAAAAATCACACTAAACTAAAATTAATATGCTGTGAATTTGTCCATAGATTTACAGGCATATAAATACACATACACACATATTTCTCTCTCTCTCTCTATATATATATATATCACTTTCTCTCTCACCTCCTTTCTCTTTATTTCTCTCTCTCTCACACACACTCACATACACAAATATTCTGAAATAAATATATTTGCTGTATAAAAATTATTTAAGTATCTAAAGTGAAACCTAGCCTGCTGCTTCTTCCCTTCATCACCCATGAATAATCACAATTTGGGCTATTTTTTAACATTTTTTTAAGCCCGGAAGTAGAGTTATTTTCTCTATTTCCTCACCTGTTCAGGTTAAACCAATGTGTCAAGCCTCTCTCCAGAATCAGGAGCTCACGTCTACTGTTAAAAACAACCAGTGAAATTTAGCTTTCCTTGGCTGGTTGGGTTCCTTGTGCAGGGGAAAAGCAGCAGCCCCCAGTGGTTACAGGTAGCTGAGAGTAGGTGCCCCTTCTCCACAAGCTACTATCAGCCAGAATATTAGAATGAAAGCAAGTCTCAGTTCCAATTTTTGCATACATGTACACATTTTTTTGTGTTCTACAGGAACAAAAAATATTCAATTTGCATGGAAGCTAAATGTAGCCCCCACCTCCTATCTCTTTAAGGTTTCCGGTAAGCAACACTTCTAAAATAATTGCTCAAAAGCAATTATGATTTAATAACATACTAGAGACAGGATAAGCTAACCTTCAAATTCTATTAGGAGACAGAATCTTCTATTAAGTGGGCAGAACAGGACAGAACACATTTTTGACCTTGGACGTCTGTCTGAAGATCCCTACTTAACCAGATTTGTATAAGAAAGAATTAGATGCTGGTACACCACATCTAGTTAACTCACCTTACTTTGAACAACACTAATCCTATAATTCAAAAAGTCTTATCAAATATTCCTTTTGTTAACTATGGATATCTCCAGCACAGACTCAGATAATGATATTTGCAGGTTCTGCCTTAGCTACTTCCAGAATGTGGACTCTTAATTAGGATATTTCACATGCTACTAACTACATCACACAGTTCAGCCTCAAGTATTTTAAAGAATACTCAACAAGCAAACACAGCAACCAGGGAGATTGCAGAGGTGTGATTTTTGTATAATCCATGAGGAATGGTGGGTACTATCATGTGGAATTGTTTTCTGGTCTAGAGGGTAAAGCCTCAGAAGCCTGCAATGACCAGAAGTTTGGTGGGTGGCATATTTGCAGCACAACTGAATTCCCCGTGCCATGGTCCTGACCAAAGCCAGGTGCTTTGATGAGTTCTCCTGTTTGGTTAATGCTTTGCTATCTCCCTACTTCTCAGAGCCTTGCGGACTTCAGACATATCCTAGAATGTCAGTTTTTCTAAAAGCAAGAGCCAGGATTCTTTCCTTTACTTTGTTCCACCAACTTGCACTATCATTACTTTATGAGCTTTGGTACCAAAGATCTCTCCCTTTCATTTTTCTTGGACAGTGAAGCTTTGTTGCAGATAACAGGGTCATACATTTAAAGAATAAATAACTTAATTATATCTTTTCTCCTTAGTAGCTTGCACTCTTTGGGCAACTTCTAAATTTTTAACTGTTAAACACCAGTGGCTATTTATTTCCACTTTTTCTAGACAGCAGAGATTGACTGCTGCCAAGAGACCCCAGAACTTCAAAACAATTGCAAGTTACTTACTTTTTCTTGGTAGGAAAATTCCAAGCATGCCTTCAACAGAGAGGCCCTTTCCTAAAAGTTGGAGCAGCAGAATTTTCTGTGAGCCCTCTGTCTTTTGAGTAGAGGAAAGCACACATTTATTTTCTAGGGACATTTTTCTACATTTGCATCCATAATGCCAGTTTTTATTGTGAGACATGTATGTTGGGACATCTTGCTAAAAAATCTAATTTAGAAATTAGAGGCAATGAACTACCCCCGTTTTCAAATACAATAGAGGATAGGGAACTTGAGAAGAACATAGAATTGTTTTTGCACTTTCTTCTTGTTTTCACAAACATGCAGTTAATACATGGTTACTGAGAGAATATTTTGTTGGTCACTGTTCTAGAAATTGGATATTCAGTGGTGAACACAGAGAGAGAATGCCCCTTTGTGATGGTTAATATTGAGCATCAACTTGATTGAAGGATGCAAAATATTGTTCCTGGGTGTGTCTGTGAGGATGTTGCCAAAAGAGATTAACATTTTAGTCAGTGGACTGGAAAAGGCAGACCCACCCTCATTCTGGGTGGGCACCATCAAATCAGCTGCCAGCGTGGCTAGAATAAAGCAGGCAGAAGAAAGAGGAATGAGCAGAGTCACTGAATCTTCCAGCCTTCATCTTTCTTTCCGTGCTGGATGCTTGCTGCCCTCCAACATCAGACTCCAAGTTCTTCAGCTTTTGAACTCCTGGACTTACACCAGTGATTTGCCAGGGGACTTGGGCCACAGACTGAGGCTACACTGTCAGCTTCCCTACCTTTGAGATTTTGAGACTGGGACTGGCTTCCTTGATCCTCAGCTTGCACACGGCCTATTGTGGGAGGCCTATTGTGGGACTTCACCTTGTGATTGTGTGAGTCAATTATCCTTAATAAACTCCTCTTCATATATACATCTATCCTATTAGTTCTGTCCCTCTAGAGAACCCCAATACAGATTTTGATACCAAGAGTGGTTCTAGAGGAACGGAATTTTAAGAATGGATTTTAGTTGGTTTTGGGGTTTCTGGAGTTGGCTGCTTAATACGATTAGACCCCAAAATGCTAAGGACTCTACTTCTAATAGTATGGAAAACACTGATAGTCCTTGGCATTAATTGTTTAGAGAGTTATGTACAATAAATGCATTTGATACTCCTGATTCGCCACTTGTGAGCGGCAAGGAGTTTAGTGACTCTATACATAATACCTTTGACCATATGTGGAGAACCAAGGAAAATAAAGTTGGCTGGTTGCTTTTAAGTTCACTGGACAAAGTGACAAAAGAAAAGGATGAGCACAGGGATTCTAACTCCCAGCTTCAGAAGCACATACTGAGCCTCAAGTCTTCTAAGATTGCCCTGAATGAGAATCTTATCTCCTGTAGACAAAGGGCTGAAATTGCAGAAAATCAGACACAAGCACTTATCATGAGAGTGGCTGACCTGCAAAGAAAGGTGCACACTCAGTCTCACCAGGTGTCTACTGTTAAAGTGAGGGCATTGACTGAAGAAGAACAGGACCCTGCAACTTGGAATGGGGATCTGTGGGAGGAACCTGATGAAGCTGGAGACACTGAGCTTGTAAACTCTGATGAGCCTTTTTGGCCAGAGGAAACAGCCTGCTCACCCCCAGTGGTGGCAACATCCCCTCCCCCAACCATGCTGCCATTAGCCTTTCCACATTTGTCTAAGGAGATTACGCATGCACTGCCTGAGGCAACAGTGATGGCCTCCCCTGAGGGAGTTGCCAGGCAAGACAATGCTGATTCTCCTCAGGACCCAACCCCAACACCCCTGTTTGCTTCTACACCTATAACTAGACTTAAGTCCCAGCAGGCCCCTAGAGGTGAGGTTCAGAGTGTGATGCACAAGGAGGTGTGCTACACGCCAAAATAACTTCTTGAGTTTTCTAATTTATATAAGCAGAAATCTGGAGAACAGGCATGGGAATATGAAGGGTGTGGGATAATGGTGGAAGGGACGTTAAGTTGGATCAGGCTGAATTTATTGATATGGGCCAACTAAGCAGTTATCCTGCATTTAATGTTGTAGCTCGGGGAGTTAAAAAAAAGTTCTAATAGTTTACTTGCTTGATTAGCTGAACTATAGATCAAAAGATGGCCCACTGTGAGTGAGCTGGAAATGCCTGATCTCCTTTGGTTTAATGTAGAGGAAGGGCTGCAAAGGCTAAGGGACATGAGAATGCTAGATTGGATTAGTCACTATAGATGTATTCATCCCAACTGAGAGGGTCCAGAAGACATACCCTTCACCAATACTTTGCGAAATAGATTTGTGAGGGGAGCACCTGCAACCTTGAAGAGCTCTGTGATTGCTCTTCTCTGTATGCCAGATCTTACAAGTGGGAACAACAGTTACTCATTAATTAAAAAGTTTAAATGCAATGGGAATAATTGGATCCAGAGGTGGCAGGGGCCAAATTGGTGGCACTCAACCATCAAAGTTGAGGTGGGCATAGTTACCGCAGTGGACGGCAGAGGCAAAGCAGCAATCAGAATAGGCAACTCGTGTAGAGCTGTGGCATTGGTTAATTAATAACAGTGTTCCTAGAAGTGAAACTGATAGGAAGCGTATTGCATTCTTACTTAATTTGTGTAAGAGAAAACTTCCAGGTTTTGTGGACAAATGAATAATTTGAATTATAAAAATAGAAAACCATGGCCCCTCAATCAATTTCCAGACTTGAACCAGTTTACAGACTCCAAGCCCCTTGAATGAAGGGGACACCGAGTCCCTTTGAGGAAGAACCCCACTACACTACCAACAATTTATGCTGTTAATCTTTCTCCCATCTTTCCCCAGGAAGACCTCTGGCCTTTTACCAGGGTAAGTGTGCTTTGGGGAAAGGGGAATAATCAGACTTTTCAGGGACTACTGGACACTGGCTCTGAGCTGACGTTGATTCTAGAGCACCCAAAAAATATCATTGTGGTCCTCTGGTTAAAGTAGGGGCTTATGGAGGTCAGGTAATTAATGGAGTTTTAGCTCATGTCTGACTTACAGTGGGTCCAGTGGATCCCCAGACTCACCCTGTGTTCATTTCCCCAGTGCCAGAGTGTATAATTGGCACAAAGATACTTAGCAGCTGGCAGAATCCCCACATTGGCTCCCTGACTCATAGGGTGAGGGTTATTATGGTGGGAAAGGCCAAATGCAAGCTGTTAGAGCTGTCTCTACCTAGAAAAATAGTATATAAAAAAAAATCACATCCCTGGAGTGATTGCAGAGATTAGCGCCACCATCAAGGACTGGAAAGATGCAGGGGTGGTGATTCCCACCACATCCCCGTTCAACTATCCTATTTGGCCTGTGAAGAAGACAGGTGGTTCTCAGAGAATGGCAGTGGATTACTGTAAGCTTAACCAAGTGGTGACTCCAATTGCAGTTGTTGTACCAGATGTGGTTTCATTGCTTGAGCAAATTAACACATCTGCTACCGAGTACGTAGTCATTGAGCATACCTTTTTATCCATTCCCAAGGCCCACTAGAAGCAATTTGCCTTCAGCTGGCAAGGTCAGCAATATACCTTCACTGTCCTACCTCAGAGGTATATCAACTCTCCAGCTGTGTGTTTTAATCTTGTTCACAGATATCTTGATCACTTTTCTCTTCTACAAGGTATCACAATGGCCCATTACATTGATGACATTATACTGATTGGATCCAGCGAGCAAGAAGCAGCAAATACAGCGGACTTATTGATGAGATATTTGCATGCCATGGGATGGGAAATAAAACCAACTAAAATTCAGGGAGCTTTTACCTGAATAAAACTTCTAGAGGTCCAATGGTGTGGGGCCTGTCGAGATATCCCTTCTAAGGTGCAGGATAAGTTGCTGTGTTTGGCCCTTTCTACAACCAAGAAAGAGGCACAATGCTTAGTGGGCCTATTTGGATTTTGGAAGCAACACATTCCTCATTTAGGTGTGTTACTTTGGCCAGTTTCTCAAGTGACCCAAAGGTTGCCAGTTTTGAGTGGGGTCCAGAACAGTAGGAGGCTCTGCAACAGGTCCAGGCTGCTGTGTAAGCTGCTCTGCCACTTGGGTCATATGGCCCAGCAGATCCAATGGTGCTTGATGTGTCAGTAGCAGGTAGGGATGTTGTTTGGAGCCTCGGGTAGGCACCCATAGGTGAATCACAGCAGAGGCCTCTAGAATTTTGGAGCAAGGCCCTGCCATCTTCTGCAGATAACTACTCTCCTTTTGAAAGACAGCTCTCGGCCTATTACTGGGCTTTGGTAGAAACTGAACATTTGACTATGCGTCATCAAGTCACCATGTGTCCTGAACTGCCTATCATGAACTGGGTGCTTTCTGACCCATCTAGCTATAAAGTTGGGTGTGCACAGCAGCATTCAATCATCAAATGGAAGTGGTATGTAAGTGATCAGGCTAAAGCAGGTCCTGAAGGCACAAGTTGCATGAGGAAGTGGCTCAAATGCCCATGGTTTCCACTCCTGCCACCCTACCTTCTGTCCCCCAGCCTGTACCAATGGCCTCATGGGGAGTTCCCTATGATCAGTCGCCAAAGGAAGAGAAGACTAAGGTCTGATTTACAGATAGTTCTGCACGATATGCAGGTGCCACCCGGAAGTGGACAGCTGCAGCACTACAGCCCCTTTCTAGGACATTCCTGAAGGACAGTGGTGAAGGGAAATCTTCCCAGTAGGCAGAACTTTGAGCAGTGCACCTGGTTGTGCACTTTGCATAGACGGAGTAATGGCTAGATGTGCGATTATATACTGATTCATGGGCTGTAGACAATGGTTTGGCTGGATGGTCAGGGACTTGGAAGCAGCATAATTGGAAAATTGGTGATAAAGAAATCTGGGGAAAAGGTATGTGGATAGAGCTCTCTGAGTGGTCGAAAACCATGAAGATATTTGTATCACATGTGAATGCTCACCCAAGACTGATGTCAGCAGAGGAGGATTTTAAAATCAAATGGATAGAATGACTCATTCTGTGGACACCACTCAGCCTCTTTTCCCAGCCACCCCTGTCATCACCCAAAGGGTCCAAGAACAAAGTGGCCATGGTGGCAGGGATGGAGGCTATGCATGGGCTCAGCAACATGGACTTCTACTCCAAGGCTGACCTGGCTATGGCCACCAGTGAGAGCCCAGTTTGCCAGCAGCAGAGACCAACACTGAGCCCTAGATATGGTACCATTCCGAAGGGTGATCAGCCAGCTACTTGGTGGCAGGTTGATTATATTGTACCTCTTCTATCATGGAAAGGGAAGTGGTTTGTCCTCACCCAAATAGACACTTACTCCGGATATGGGTTTACCTATCCTGCACACAATCCTTCTGCCAAGACTACCATACGTGGACTCATGGAATGCCTTAACCACCCTCATGGTATTCTACATAGCATTGCCTCTAACCAAGGCACTCACTTTATGGCTAAAGAAGTGAGGCAGTAGGCTCATGCTCATGGAATTCACTGGTCTTACCATGTTCCCCATTATCTCGAAGCAGCTGGATTGATAAAATGGTGGAACGGCCTTTTGAAGTTACAATTCCAATGCCAGTTAGGTGACAATACTTTACAAGGCTGGAGTAAAGTTCTCCAGAAGGCCATGTACGCTCTGAATCAGCATCCAGTATATGCCACTGTTTCCCCCATATCCAGGATTGATGGGTCCACGAATCAAGGGGTGGAAGTGGCACCACTCACCATTACCCCTAGTGACACACTAGCAAAATTTTTGCTTCCTGTTCCCACATTATGTTCTGCTGGCCTTGAGGTCTTAGTTCAAGAGGGAGGAATGCTGCCACCAGTATACACACAATGATTTCATTAAATTGGAAGTTAAGATGGCCACCTGGCCACTTTGAGCTTCTCCTACCTCAGAGTCAACAGGCTAAGGGAGTTACAGTGTTGTCTGGGGTGACTGACCTGGACTATCAAGATGAAATCGGACTACTACTCCACAATGGAGGTAACGAAAAGTATTTGTGAAATACAGAAGATCCCTTAGGGTGTCTCTTAGTATTACCATGCCTTGTGATTAAGGTCAATGGCAAACTACAACAACCCAATCCAGGCAGTACTACAAATGGCCCAGACCCTTCAGGAATGAAGGTTTGGGTCACTCTACCAGGTAAAAAAAACACAACCTGCTGAGGTGCCTGATGAAGGCAAAGGGAATACAGAATGAATAGAAGAAGGTAGTCATCAATACTAGCTATGACCATGTGACTGGGCGCAGAAACAAGGATTGTAATTGTCGTAAATGTTTCCACCTTATTTTCTTAAGAATATGTTTGTACCTGTATACACTCGTACTAAGAAAGTATCTTCATTTTTCTTTTCCTTTGTCATGTGACATAAGATTTATTAACTTCATATCAGCATTTAAGTGTTGTTAAATTTTTGTAATAACATTTAAGTTAAGGCTTAGTGTGCTTCTGGTTGTATGAAGGATAGCTGTATCACATTAGGCATAATTATGACCTTATCATTGTTTTTATTTGTAGGTTATGCATAATTTCAGGAGATGTGTATGGGTTTAAGTTGATGAGCAGTGGACATGTGATAGTTAATATTGAGTGTCAACTTGACTGGATTGAAGAATGCAAAGTATTGTTCCTAGGTGTGTCTGTGAGGGTGTTGCCAAAGGAGATTAACATTTGAGTCAGTGGAGTGGGAGAGGCAGACCCACACTTATTCTGGGTGGGCACCATCTAATCAGCTGTCAGCATGGCTAGAATACAGCAGGCAGTAGAAAGTGGAATGAGTAGACTCACTGAGACTTCTGGTCTTCATCTTTCTCCCAAGCTGGATGCTTGCTGCCCTCCAACATCAGATTCCAAGTTCTTCAGCTTTTGGACTCTTGGACTTACACCAGTGATTTGCCAGGGGCTCTCGGGCCTTCGGCCACAGACTGCAGGCTGCACTGTCGGCTTACCCACCTTTGAGGTTTTAGGACTGGGACTGGCTTCCTTGATCCTCAGCTTGCACAGGGCCTACTGTGGGACTTCACCTTGTGATCGCTGAGAGTCAATACTCCTTAATAAACTCCTCTTCATATATACATCTATCCTATTAGTTCTGTTCCTCTAGAGAACCCTGACTAGTACACCCCTGTACTCATGGCATTCACATTGGAATGACTCACACCACAAATTGCTCTGCAGTTTTTTAAAAAAAAATTAAAAAATTAAAAATATATAATGTATCTGGGTATGGTGGCTCCTTCTTGTAATCCATGCTATTTGGGAGGCTAAGGTGGGAGGATCGCTTATGGCTGGGAGTTTGAGACCAGCCTGGGCAATATACCAAGACCAGTTTCTTAAATAAATAAATAAATAAATAAATAAATAAATAAATTTTTATATATGTATATTATATATGTCTTTATTATACATATTATAAAGGGGTGTGTGTGCGTGTGTGTGTGTGTATAAACCCACATAGTTACCATTTCCAGTGTTCCTTATTGCTTTAAAGTTCAAGTTTTCATTGGGTATCAAAGTCCTCTTGAAAATTTTCTCGATATTTTTTGTAGTTTGGGCTGGCTAGTGGTTAGTTCTTTCACTATTTTTTTTAAGTCTAAGAAAGCCTTTATCTTCACTTTTGAAAAATCTTTTCACTGGTAAATAATTATAGGTAAACAGATTTTTTCCCCTCTATAGTTTAAAAAGGTTACTCCACTATTTCCTGGCTTGTATTTTTTTTTTTTACAAGAAATCTGCTGTCAACTTTGTTTCTATGTATATCACGTGCTTTTTTTTTTTTAATCTGGATATTTATAACATTTTCTCTTTATCGCTGATTTAAATAAATCTGACCATGATGTTCCTTGGTGTAGTTTTCCTCCTGTTTTGTGCAGGGGAATTTGTTGAGCTTTTTGGATCTGTGGGTGTAGGGAGTTGAATGCTGGCTCTCCAAAAGTTATGTCAACCGCCCAGAACCTGTGAATGTGACTTTATCTGGATAAAGGATCTTTGCAGATCAATTAAGATAAGGATCTCAAGGCAAGATGACCCTGGATTATCTGGGTGGGCTCTACATCTGATGGCAAGTGTCCTTATAAGAGAAACTCAGAGGGAGATTGGAGACACACAGAGAAGGACACGTAAAGACAGTGGCAGAGATTGAAGTTATGTATCATAAGCAAAGCAGTGCCTGGAGCCACTAGAAACCGGAAGAGGCAGGGAAGGATCCACCTTAAGAGCTTCCAGTCGTAACTCTTTGATTTAGGACTTCTGGCTCCCAGAAATGAGACAGAATAAATTTCTGTTGTTTCTAAGCCATTAAGGTTTCAATCGTTTGTTATAGCAGCCCTAGAAACCTAAGAGTAATAGGTTTATGTTTTTAATCAAGTTTGGAAAAATTTCTGCCATTATTTCCTTAAATATATTTATTTTCTCATTCTTCTCCTTCGAGGACTTAATTGTGCTGAGCCACACAAGATTCCCCAAAGTTTCCTAATGCTCTATTTATTTCAGTCATTTTCTCTCCATGTTTATTTTTTATAATTTCTATATCTCCCAAGTTCAATAATCTTTTCTGATGCAAAATCTGCTATTAATTTCATACACTGCATTTCTCATATCAGACACTGCAGTTTTCATCTGTAGATGTTTAATTGGATCTTTTCTTAAATATCCTGCGTACTTTATATATTTAACCTTTCCTCTATCTTCTTAAACATGTGGAACCCAGTCATAGTAAATCTTTCAATACACTTGTCTATTAACACAGTCTTTGTGTCATTTCTGGGTTAGTTTCAATTGACTATCTTTATTCTCACTATGGGTTTTGATTTACATTTCCCTGATTATTAGTGATGTTGAGCATTATTTCGGATATTTGTTGGCCATTTGTATATTTTCTTTTGAGAATTGTCTATTCATTTCCTTAGCTCACTTTTTGATGGAACTGTTTGTTTTTTTTCTTACTGATTTGTCTGAGTTCCTTGTAGATTCTGGATGTTAGTCCTACATCAGATGTATAGATTGTGAATATTTTCTCCCACTCTGTGGGTTTTCAGTTTACTCTGCGGATTGTTTCTTTTGCTGTGTAGAAGCTTTTTAGTTTAATTAAGTCCCATCTATTTATATTTGTTTTTGTTGCATTTGCTTTTGGGTTCTTCGTCATGAAGTCTTTACCTAAACCAATGCCTAGAAGTGTTTCTCCAATGTTATCTTCTAGGGTTTTTACAGTTTCAGGTCGTAGATTTAAGTCCTTGATCCATCTTGAGTTGATTTTTGTATAAGGTGAGAGGTGAGGATTCAGTTTTATTCTTCTACATGTGGCTCTACAATTATCCCAGCACCATTTGTTGAACAGGGTGTCCTTCCACTATGGCTTATATTTTATTTCTTTGCATGCTAATTTTGATTGGATATCAGAAATTGTGCATTTTTACATTATAGGTGCTGGGCTTTTTAATGGTCATAAATATTTTTGGAGTTCGTTTTGGGAAATAATGAAGTTACTTAGAAACTGTTTGATATGTGTGTGTGTTGTTTTAAGCTTACTTAGGCAGGACCAGGCTAGCATTTAATTTTGGGCTAATTTTCCCCAGGACTGAGTGCTGTAACCAGTTCTTTGTGCCTTATGAAGTTTCCCAATGTGTCTATTGGAAACAGCCACTCTTTCTGACCCACTGTTTTCAGCCATTGCTCCTTCTAATTCTTTAGGGTATTTTTCCTGGCCACAAGTAATACCCCTAGACAATGAACCAATCAGCACTCTTATTACGTATTATATGAAACCATCAAAAAAATCTCTGGAGTTCTCTATTTGCAGCTCTCTTCTCTCTGGTATTTTTCTCTATAAACTCTTGCTACTTTGCCTTTTTTGGAATCACAGCAAAGGCTCCTCAACTTAAGAAGTACCCTTCACTTTGCTGAGGTCTTTCTTTTCTGTGCCGTGGCTTAGAAACATTATTAAGATGGTAAACCGATTCCATCAAAGGGTTTATTTACCTCTTTTGTTTCCTCTTTCTCAGGCAATGCCCTCCTCCTTTGACTGATGTGCAATGTCCTGAATATTGTTGCTTCTTATATATTTTCCAGATGTTTGTATTGTTTTGGTTGACAAGGTAAATCTCATTTCATTTTACTCCAACTTTACTCCAATTCCATTTTACTCTAATTTTGACCAGAGTCAAATTTTCTCCTTGCTTTTTTCACTGGGTGCTGGACTTTGTAGGTGAAAATATGTAGAGCTTCTAGATGAAGTTATATTCCTCCAAATATAAACTCTCCTTTAGCAGGAAGAAAGAGTAGCAGCATATCACTTTGACAATACAGTGTTTGAGATTTAAGCTTCATTAGGGTTGGCCTACTTTATTTGTTCCCATTGCCTTAAGTCATAGTACTTCTGAGATTTCAAGGGAAAGTTGAACATTTTTACCAAGCCCCTCTGATTTGTCAGGACAAAAACTCCAAACTGCATCCCCCTACTCCTGACAGCTTCTAGTCTTTGCATAGCTCTTCATCCCCCAAGCTATTTCTTTATGCTGAGTTCTGTAGAGTACAACCCTGGGTATGCACAGTTTGGAAGCCAGCTAACTACCGAAAAGGAATTTTATGCAGATGTTGGGACTACACTCTCGGTGACTTCCCCTGACGTTTTTCTTCTCAATTTTCAGCTTCCCTTTCAAACTACCACTCTGATCTGTTTTCTCAGTCCAGAAAGATTGCTGCGTATTGAAGGATTTACCTGCATTCTGAGGATCTAAGGGTTGTCCTCAGGGAAAAATCTTGGTATACATTGAACTCACCTAATATGTTTCCCTTCTTTTAAGGATCATATCCTTTCTAGTTTATATCTTCCTACTTTGGTTGCCTTCAAATACTTGTCTTTTATATTTGTCCAGCTTTAATAATTGTTGTTGGCAAGAGGTTTAGTCTGTTACTCTGCCATGACAACAACCAGTCCTCTCTCTGTTATTTGGAAAGCTTTTTAAAAATACCAATGCTTGGGCTTCACTCCAAACCAATTAAATCAGAATATCTGCAAGTGAGGTCCAGGCATCCATATTTTTAAATTCTTTCCAAGTGATCAGAATATGCATAGAGAGCTGAGAACCAGTGGTCTAGGCTGACTATTACTGACAGCTGGGCTGGATTGCTTTAATCCAAATGGAAATCCCTGTTGTCCAGACCTTAGAAACAAGTTTGATTGTAAAAGTTTTAGTGGCTCCTAGTCCTAAGAAACATCTTGCAACAGTATCCACTCCTTTTCTCCAGCTATAATGCATGGATGGCAATTTCCACAGAATCTCATTCCTCTTATTTATTGAGCTGGACTCATGGTAATCACCACAGCTATAACTAAGAAGGGAAACACAAAGCCTTCCTGCATCCCTTTAATTCTCCCTCAGTCTTTCCCATTGCTCACTTCTACTTTTGCACATGCTGCCTCTGATATTCAAGGCTATTCCAGAGCTCTGATTGGAAAATATATTTTTTAGAATCCTCTTAACTATATGGAGTTTCACGGTTCTTGGAAATGAGAGGTTGGAATGTTAAGGAATCCCTGTGCTCTCGCCTCAAAAATTGTTTTGATATTCAAGTCATAATAAAATCCTTAGTAGCTTTATATCAGCTTTATGAATTTATCCATAATTTTCTATTTATTTTGTAGTTGTAATGAGTCTGGGGTTTAATATAAAAGTTGCCAGTCATAATGACCTGGTAATTTGTGATTATAAAACAAAATATTTCGGTTCAGACTAGACATACAATTTTTATTTCTACCAAGTTTATAGTATTTTCTCTCCCTCTCCTCACCTCTTAGGGAAAAAAAAATCATATGAATCAAAGGCAGTAATGTTCTTCTTAAGCAAAGAATGTGTCAAATAACTCAATAAATTTTGGTGCTTAAGTCACAAATGTTCAGAAATATATTATGCTATTGTTGCCAATATCCTTCTCCCAGATTAGTTTATTGAGGAGAGGTGACTTTTTCTTCACTAGGAAACTTCCAATAGATTCTCTACTTTAAGTGGGATATGAAAAGGCATAGTTAAAACCTATATTTTTCTTTTGGAAGAAAACAAAAAGCTAACCATTTCACTATTAAGTCACTGGCTACTCATTGATTATTAGCTCCTGAATTACAGTTTTTTTATTGTCACTAAGAAACCATGATCTTTGGGAAATACAACATTTTATCTTCTGTGAGAGAACAGTAGGCCAAAATGCTAAAATTCACACTAACACCTCTTGATAAATTATAAGCTAGTGCTGAGAATCTGATCCTAACAAATCCTTTCCCTGTTCACTCCCACATGTGACTGGATAAAATGCTTTGTCTTTATCTCCTTAAAACGTAAGTTCTTTCTCAACTAAGATAGCAAACTTGCCCTTGTTCTAATCCATCTCAACCTTTATTGTAGAAGCTCTGTAAATCATCAAACCAAAGAAATCTGGGGAAATAGCCAGAATAAGACTGGGAAGACATAAAATAAATGAAAAAGTGCAAACCCGTGAGGAAAGTATGAAAGAAATTTAAGACTATTTAGAATACAGTGAAGTCCTATGAAAGTTTGCTAACTCTTACAAATATTTGAAGTATTATCTATCACAAGGTCCTTGATCACCTGTACTCTATCTTCACTGAAAACTAAAAAGGAAAAAAAAATGTGTTTAAATTAGCCAGAGAAGACTTCTGTTAGACAAAGGGCATCATCTCTGCTGCATAAGTAATTAGCAAGTGAATGGCACTGAGAGTTGTCCAAGGTCTGCAGATGATACTACAATGGTTTGCAGAAAATCCTTGTCAGAGCTCCTTAGACAAATGGCATCCCAGGTGCCTATAATGGTTGTCTTCGAAGCAGTCACTGAACTGCCTCTTAAAAATCTTTTCTACTGTGTAAGCTTATTATGACTTTCAGTGGATAACATGTTTAAAAGAAACTTCACTAACACCTGCTGAGCCTCAAACCGTAAAGCTGAGAGGGGATGGGCACGAAGTGAGAATAAAAGTAGAGGAAATAAGGAAAGGAAAAAAAAATTAAAAAGGAAAAACTGACAAGGGAAGGAGAGAATCACATCTAAGGCATCAGAATCTCTAAATCTTCTATTTCAAGCACTGGTAGATATGAAGCAATGATAGATATGGCAATAAAGTGGATAGTTATTGCCCTGTGCAACGGACATATAAACCCCACAGGAATTTTTTTTTTAATCAAAACACTCTTTGATGTTTTTGCAGGCAAAAAACTTCTTGTGGTAAATTCTAAGGAAAAGTATGGCAAGTCTCTGGAACCTCCTTAACTGAAAAGCATGACAAATTAAATTTCCACCACAGCTCATAACAAACTGCATGAAATCAACTTATTGTAATCAATGATGGCAAAAGACAGAACCTTTTTGCTGTGACTCTCCCAGGCTCTTCATCAGAACACATTGCTGTTCTGGCGTTCTGGTAAAAAAGCATTTAAGAATATGTTCTTTCACTCTAATGAAGATAAGGAAGATCATTAAAAAGATGAAACGTTCCTAGCCCAGGGTAATATGTCTAAACTAAAAAGCATGGGCAAGAGATCAAACCACAGAAGTGCTGTGCCTGCCTCAAAAGTGAGAAATGATGGATGATGGCAAGAGAAATCAGAAGAAAAATAAAGAGTTTACATCAATCTGGAAAGTACCACAGGGCAAAGCAGCTAGATCATGTTCTCTGATCAATACAATAAAATGCCATAAATAAACTAAGTGAGCACCAGCCCTCACAAGGCACACGACATGTGTAAATCTCCTCAGCTTCCACAAAGAGAGATTCCCTCAAAAAGCTGCCTGCGCATGGGCATTCATCGCAGGCGCAAGCCTATTTTCACAGAAAAATTTGACAAAATTTGTCCTCTTTTGGCCAAATATACTTTTGTCACTTATTTTAAATATAGAAAAATATTCAGTAAGTACCAAAAAATCTAAGGAATTCAATGAAGTGCCTTGATAGAAATTTAGGGTAACCTGCAGGATAAATCCAATGCAGAATAATTAAAAAAAAAAAAAAAAACGGAAATAATTGCAAAGGGTGGTGGTCTTTGTGTAGTATTTGTGTTCACCTAGCAGTAAAAAGGGATTTTTATTGGATTAAGGGTCAAGGCTCATTTGAGGAAAGGTGGTTTGAAAGGAAAATGTACGAGAATTGAGTAGCTGTGGTGGAGCCAAGATGGCCGAATAGGAACAGCTCCAGTCTACAGCTCCCAGCATGAGCAACGCAGAAGACGGGTGATTTCTGCATTTCCAACTGAGGTACCGGGTTCATCTCAATGGGGAGTGCTGGACAGTGGGTGTAGGACAGTGGGTGCAGTGCACCAAGCATGAGCCAAAGCAGGGTGAGGCATTGCCTCACCCAGGAAGCACAAGGGGTCAGGGTATTCCCTTTCCTAGTCAAAGAAAGGGGTGACAGATGACACCTGGAAAATCGGGTCACTCCCACCATAACACAGCACTTTTCCAATGGTCTTAGCAAACGGCACACCAGGAGATTATATCCCGCACCTGGCTCAGAGTGTCCTACACCCACAGAGCCTCGCTCATTGCTAGCACAGCAGTCTGAGATCAAACTGCAAGGCGGCAGTGAGGCTGGGGGAAGGGTGCCTGCCATTGCCCAGACTTGAGTAGGTAAACAAAGTGGCCAGGAAGCTCCAACTGGGTGGAGCCCACCGCAGCTCAAGAAGGCCTGCCTGCCTCTTGTAGACTCCACCTCTGGGGGCAGGGCATAGCCAAACAAAAGGCAGCAGAAACCTCTACAGACTTAAATGTCCCTGTCTGACAGCTTAGAAGAGAGTAGTGATTCTCCCAGCATGCAGCTTGAGATCTGAGAACAGACAGACTGCCTCCTAAAGTGGGTCCCTGACCCCCGAGTAGTCTAACTGGGAGGCACCCCCCAGTAGGAGCATTCTGACACCTCACACGGCCGGGTACTCCTCTGAGACAAAACTTCCAGAGGAACAATCAGGCAACAACATTTGCTGTTCACCAATATCCACTGCTCTGCAGCCTCTGAGGCTGATACCCAGGCAAAAAGGTTCTGGAGTGCACCTCCAGAAGACTCCTACAGACCTGCAGCTGAGGATCCTGACTGTTAGAAGGAAAACTAACAAACAGAAAGGACATCCACACCAAAACCCCATCTGTATATCACCATCATCAAAGACCAAAGGTAGATAAAACCACAAAGATGGGGAAAAAACAGAGCAGAAAAACTGGAAACTGTAAAAATCAGAGTGCCTCTCCTCCTCCAAAGGAACGTAGCTCCTCACCAGCAACGGAACAAAGCTGGATGGAGAATGACTTTGACGAGTTGAGAGAAGAAGGCTTCAGACGATCAAACTACTCCGAGCTAAAGGAGGGAGTTCGAACCCATGGCAAAGAAGTTAAAAATCTTGAAAAAAGATGAGATGAATAGCTAACTAGAATAATCAATGCAGAGAAGCCCTTAAAGGACCTGATGGAGCTGAAAACCATGGCAGGAGAACTATGTGACAAATGCACAAGCCTCAGTAGCTGATTCAATCAACTGGAAGAAAGGGTATCAGTGATGGAAGATCAAATGCATGAAATGAAGCAAGAAGAGAAGTTTAGGGAAAAAAGAATAAAAAGAAATGAACAAAGCCTCCAAGAAATATGAGACCACGTGAAAAGACCAAATCTACGTCTGATTGGTGTACCTGAAAGTGACGGGGAGAATGGAACCAAGTTGGAAAACATTCTGCAGGATATTATCCAGGAGAACTTCCCTAATCTAGCAAGGCAGGCCAACATTCAAATTCAGGCAATACAGAGAATGCCACAAAGATACTCCTCAAGAAGAGTAACTCCAAGACACATAATTGTCAGATTCACCAAAATTGAAATGAAGGAAAAAATGTTAAGGGCAGCCAGAGAGAAAGGTCGGATTACCCACAAGTGAAAGCCCATCAGACTAACAGCTGATCTCTCAGCAGAAACTCTACAAGCCAGAAGAGAGTGGGAGCCAATGTTCAACATTCTTAAAGAAAAGAATTTTCAACCCAGAATTTCATATCCAGCCAAACTAAGCTTCATAAGTAAAGGAGAAACAAAATACTTTACAGACAAGCAAATGCTGAGAGATTTTTTCATCACCAGGCCTGCCCTAAAAGAGCTCCAGAAGGAAGCACTAAACATGGAAAGGAACAACCAGTACCAGCCACTGCAAAAACATGCCAAATTGTAAAGACCATCAAGGCTAGGAAGAAAACGCATCAACTAATGAGCAAAATAACCAACTAACATCATAATGACACATTCACACATGTGAATGTGTGATCAAATTCACACATAACAATATTAACCTTAAATTTAAATGGGCTAAATGCTCCAATTAAAAGACACACACTGGCAAATCGGATAAACAGTCAAGACCCATCAGTGTGCTGTATTCAGGAAATCCATCCCAGTGCAGAGACACACATAGACTCAAAATAAAAGGATGGAGGAAGATCTACCAAGCAAATGGAAAACAAAAAAAGACAGGGGTTGCAATCCTAGTCTCGGATAAAACAGACTTTAAACCAACAAAGATCAAAAGAGACAAAGAAGGCCATTACATAATGGTAAAGGGATCAATTCAACAAGAAGAGCTAACTATCCTAAATATATATGCACCCAATACAGGAGCACCCAGATTCATAAAGCAAGTCCTTACAGACCTACAAAGAGACTTAGACTGCCACACAATAATAATGGGAGACTTTAACACCCCACTGTCAACATTAGACATATCAACGAGACAGAAAGTTAACAAGGATATCCAGGAATGGAACTCAGGCTCTGCACCAAGCGGACCTAATATACAACAGAATATACATTTTTTTCAGCACCACACCACATCTATTCTAAAATTGACCACATAGCTGGAAGTAAAGCACTCCGCAGCAAATGTAAAAGAACAGAAATTATAATAAACTGTCTCTCAGACAACAGTGCAATCAAACTAGAACTCGGGATTAAGAAACTCACTCAAAACCGCTCAACTGCATGGAAACTGAACAACCTGCTCTTGAATGACTACTGGGTACATGACGAAATGAAGGCAGAAATAAAGATATTCTTTGAAATCAACGAGAACAGAGACACAACATACCAGAATCTCTGGGACACATTCAAAGCAGTGTGTAGAAGGAAATTTATAGCACTAAATGCCCACAAGAGAAAGCAGGAAAAATCTAAAATTGACACCCTAACATCACAATTAAAGGAACTAGAGAAGCAAGAGCAAACACATTCAAAAGCTAGCAGAAGGCAAGAAATAACTAAGATCAGAGCAGAACTGAAGGAAATAGAGACACAAAAAACCCTTCAAAAAATCAATGGATCCAGGAGCTGGTTTTTTGAACAGATCAACAAAATTGATAGACTGCTAGCAAGACTAATAAAGAAGAAAAGAGAGAAGAATTAAATAAATGCAAAAAAAAAAAAATGATAAAGGGCATATCACCACCGATCCCACAGAAATACAAACTACCATCAGAGAATACTATAAACACCTCTATACAAATAAACTAGAAAATCTAGAAGAAATGGATATATTCCTCGACACATACACTCTCCCAAGACTAAACCAGGGAGAAGTTGAATCTCTGAATAGACCAATAACAGGCTCTGAAATTGAGGCAATAATTAATAGCTTACCAAGCAAAAAAAGTCCAGGACCAGATGGATTCACAGCCGAATTCTACCAGAGGTATAAGGAGGAGCTGGTACCATTCCTTCTGAAACTATTCCAATCAATAGAAAAAGAGGGAATCCTCCCTAACTCATTTTATGAGGCCAGCATCATCCTGATACCAAAGCCTGGCAGAGACACAACAAAAAAAGGAATTTTAGATCAGTATCCCTGATGAACATTGATGCAAAAATCCTCAGTAACATACTGGCAAACCGAATCCAGCAGCACATCAAAAAGCTTATCCATCATGATCAAGTGGGCTTCATCCCTGGGATGCAAGGCTGGTTCAACACACGCAAATCAATAAATGTAATCCAGCATATAAACAGAACCAAAGACAAAAACCACATGATTATCTCAATAGATGCAGAAAAGGCCTTTGACAAAATTCAACACCCCTTCATGCTAAAAACTCTCAATAAATTAAGTATTGATGGGATGTATATCAAAATAATAAGAGCCATCTATGACAAACCCACAGCCAATATCATACTGAATGGGCAAAAACTGGAAGCATTCCCTTTGAAAACAGGCACAAGGCAGGGATACCCTCTCTCACTACTCCTATTCAACATAGTGTTGGAAGTTCTGGCCAGGGCAATCAGGCAGGAGAAGGAAATAAAGGGTATTCAATTAGGAAAAAAGGAAGTCAAATTGTCCCTGTTTGCAGATGACATGATTGTATATTTAGAAAACTCCATCGTCTCAGCCCAAAATCTCCTTAAGCTGATAAGCAACTTCAGCAAAGTCTCAGGATACAAAATCAATGTACAAAAATCACAAGCATTCTTATACACCAGCAACAGACAAACAGAGAGCCAAATCATGAGTGAACTCCCATTCACAATTGCTTCAAAGAGAATAAAATACCTAGGAATCCAACTTACAAGGGATGTGAAGGAGCTCTTCAAGGACAACTACAAACCACTGCTCAATGAAATAAAAGAGGATACAAACAAATGGAAGAACATTCCATGCTCATGGGTAGGAAGAATCAATATTGTGAAAATGGCCATACTGCCCAAGGTAATTTATAGAGTCAATGCCATCCCCATCAAGCTACCAATGACTTTCTTCACAGAATTGGAAAAAACTACTTTAAAGTTCATATGGAACCAAAAAAGAGCCCACATTGCCAAGTCAATCCTAAGCCAAAAGAACAAAGCTGGAGGCATCACGCTACCTGACTTCAAACTATACTACAAGGCTACAGTAACCAAAACAGCACGGTACTTGTACCAAAACAGAGATACAGACCAATGGAACAGAACAGAGCCCTCAGAAATAATGCCACATATCTACAACTATCTGATCTTTGACAAACCTGACAAAAACAAGAAATGGGGAAAGGATTCCCTATTTAATAAATGGTGCTGGGAAAACTGGCTAGCCCTATGTAGAAAGCTGAAACTGGATCCCTTCCTTACACCTTATACAAAAATTAATTCAAGATGGATTAAAGACTTAAATATTAGACCCAAAACCATCAAAACCCTAGAAGAAAACCTAGGCAATACCATTCAGGACACAGGCATGGGCAAGGACTTCATGTCTAAAACACCAAAAGCAATGGCAACATAAGCCAAAATTGACAAATGGGATCTAAACTAAAGAGCTTCTGCACAGCAAAAGAAACTACCATCAGAGTGAACAGGCAACCTACAGAATTGGAGAAAATTTTTGCAATCTACTCATCTGACAAAGGGCTAATATCCACAATCTACAATGAACTCAAACAAATTTACAAGAAAAAAACAACCCCATCAAAAAGTGGGTAAAGGATATGAACAGACACTTCTCAAAAGAAGACATTTATGCAACCAAAAGACACATGAAAAAATGCTCATCATCACTAGCTATCAGAGAAATGCAAATCAAAACCACAATGAGATACCATCTCACACCAGTTAGAATGGCAATCATTAAAAAGTCAGGAAACAACAGGTGCTGAAGAGGATGTGGAGAAATAGGAACACTTTTACACTGTTGGTGGGACTGCAAACTAGTTCAACCCTTGTGGAAGTCAATGTGGCGATTCCTCAGGGATCTAGAACTAGAATTACCATTTGACCCAGCCATGCCATTACTGGGTATATACCCAAAGGATTATAAATCATGCTGCTATAAAGACGCATGCACACATATGTTTATTGCGGCACTAGTCACAATAGCACTTAGAACCAACCCAAATGTCCAACAATGATAGACTGGATTAAGAAAATGTGGCACATATACACTGTGGAATACTATGCAGCCATAAAAAAGGATGAGTCCATATCCTTTGTAGGGACATGGATGAAGCTGGAAACTATCATTCTCAGCAAACTATCGCAAGGACAAAAAACCAAACACCGCATGTTCTCACTCATAGGTGGGAATTGAACAGTGAGAACACATGGACACAGGAAGGGGAACATCACACACTGGGGACTGTTGTGGGGTGGGGGTGGGGGGGGAGATAGCATTAGGAGATATACCTAATGCTAAATGACGAGTTAATGGGTGCAGCACACCAACATGGCACATGTATACATATATAACAAACCTGCACGTTGTGCATATGTACCCTAAAACTTAAAGTATAATTAAAAAAAAGAAAAGAAAGGAAAATGTACAGACTCTGTTGTGACAGGTTTCTATGAACCCTTAGTAAAGTGTATGTATATTGAATAAAAAGACTTTAAAAAGGCCCTCTTCAGTGGGAAAGGTGACTTGATTGAGAGTTAGCAGGCTGGGAGTCTAGTCCTACTTTGCAGCTACTTATAAGTGTGACCTAAATTAAATCATGTCACCATTCTGAGCTTTATTCTTCATATAGAAATTGAGAGGGTTGTGTTGAATCTGTTCCAGTTAAAGTTTAAAATCACATTTAAATCCCTGACTTTAATAAAACAGCAGATTATGCATGTTTAATTCACCATTGCACATCTTGTGCTGTTAAAATCTTAGAAGAGGGTCAAGGAGGCAGCACAGCAACTAACGAAAGACAAGAATTTCAAATGTAGGATCATCCTACCATTCCATAAGTTTTTGCTGTCACTCTCCTATATCTATATATAGATAAAATATTCTACTATAGATAATACATATTATGTATAATATTTTTATTATAGATCATACTCTTCCATATATAAATATATAAATTCCCTTTTTTTCTTTCTTACCACCATGTCATGGTTAACTTCATGCATCAACTTGAGTGGGCTAACAGATGCATAGATAGCTGATAAAACATTATTTCTGGGTGCATCCATGAGGTTGTTTTCAAAAGGGATTAACATTTAAATTAACAGAGTGAATTAAGAAGATCCATCTTCACCCGTGTGGGTGAGCATCATCCAATCTGCCAAGAGCCCGAATAGAACAAAAGTTCAGAGGAAGGCTGAATTCTCACTTTTCATGAACTGGGACACCCATCTTCTTTTGATTGGACATTGGAGCCTCTGGTTCAAGCCTTTAGACAGCAGGATTTACATCAGTGGTCCCTTGGTTCTCAGGTCTTTGGTCTTGAACTGGAAGTTACATCATTAGCCCATGTATTTCTCAGACCTTCTGACCCAGGCTGAATTACCTCACTGGGTCTCTTGATTCTCCAGTTTACAAACAGCATACCATGGGACATCTTGACTTCTATAATTGTGTGAACCAATTCCCCAAATAAATATCCTCTTATATAGAGATCTATCTATATCTTTCTATTCAACTATATTCTATGCGTTCTACCTCTTTGGAGAAATCTAACACGCATCATCATTGCTATTTAAATGATTTATTTTTCTTCTATGTTTATTTTATGATTGCACCTGTGTAGTAAGAGTGGATTAGGACATATCCTCTAAGACTATACTTGTTCTTGCTTCTCTAAGACATACAGCTGAACTACAGGAAACTCATTGGATTCCTACAGAAAAATTTTAGTGTAAAATTGACTGTACCCTACCTATTTCAGGGTTTGAAAATGCACCTGAAATCCCTTGGAGTCAGATAATTGAATCAATATGATTCACCCACATATTGGCTATGTGACATTGGGCTTCAAAGCCTTTCAGTCCTAGTTTTATTATTTGTAAAATGGAAATAATATATCTACTTTATAGAATTTCTAAATTTAAATTAGGTAATTTTAAAAAACATTTAAATTTAAATAAAATTTAAAAATATACTAGGGATTTATTAATCCTAAACCCATAATAAATGTCTATATTTCATCTAAACAATAACATTAAAGAACCTAAGTTTATAATAATTGAAGTTATAGCCCATTCCTAAGACTGCCTAATAGCTTCACTGTTTTCAGGGAATAATTCCATGAATGGTTAAATGGGAGTTCAACCAAGGCAGTAGGGGAGAGTCAGCAAAATCCATTCCTTATACTGGACATTAAGACAGAGGTAGGTCATGAGAGATTTCCTTTAAATAAAGTAGAATCTATTACATTGTACTTCTATTACATTTTATAGAAACTATATACAAATCTAAGCCAAACTGAGAAGTATGGCTCATTACCAATAAAAATTTTGGACTTGTAATGCAATCAATCCAATCTACCACAAAACCCCTATTCCTCCACTTGATTTAACATCAGTTTTATGACTGGAATAACACATTATCTTTCAATTTACAAATTAACTTTATTTAAAAGTATTTGTCTTCTAAATACAAAAAAAAAAGGAATTGGCATTGTCCATTTGAAAATCTAGGAAAATCACTCAAAAGCCAACGTACCAACAATTTGCTCTATTAATCAAAAACTTTATGTCAAGAATTAGTGTCTTCTTTTCTAAACCAGGGAATGCATTTATAACTCATGTTCCAACAAGCTGAAGCTAATAAAATAATCCAAAGCTTATCTGAAATTCCATCATCCAAATATGTATTTTGATGGCTTACAAAGAAAGTAATCTCCAAAATTTACTACTCTAATTGAAATGTTTATGCATACACCAGGGAAACATTTAAGTCACACAGGAGACCAAGGGAGAAAATGTTTAGTAGCAGATAGTCATATCTCAGGTATTCTGATAGGATCACATCTTGTGCTTGTCTTGTTTAAATACACTATATATTAGGATGTGTTATCATCTTTACTCCATATTATGATAAGTATGCCTTTTCTCTTGCTGCCAAATGCCACTGAGGCAATTCTTCTACTAGGAAGTTCCAATGTTAATTGCATTATTACTTATTTTTTATTGCTAAGAGTTATTTGCATTCATTATGTAGCTCTAACATATTCATGTTTTACATCACACTTTATTCATTTCCATGAATTTCCAGAAGAAAAAGAATTCACATCTATTATTGTTCAGTATTGCTGCATACTGCAAAGCCCAAATATGAGTTCATTCAATATCATATAATTAGGTAATTGGTGTTTTTCATGCTTTATATTCTGCAGAAATCCTTGGTAGATGTTATAAATGTGTCTAAGTATATCTTAGTGATATTTGGAGAATTGCTTAAGATTATGAGGTGGACTAGGAATAAATTACTTTCACATTTTCACATTTAAAAAATGTAAGATTCAATGCTTTTTCAGGAGCAGATTATATTCACATCTAATATTGGCCTTTATGATTAGCATTAGTCAAAAGACCTACCTAAATGTAATCAGTAAATTGTTATCTTAACAATACTGGTTTATTTGAGGACTTCTAATTGCTATTTATGTAAGACTGATAAACTCAGATGTTTAAAACTAATGTTTGGGTTCAAATCTTGCCTCTATCACTTACTAGCTGTTTGAATTGGGCAACTCAAATAATGTTTGTTTCTGATTTCCCTCATTGATAAATTAAGGATACTAGTATTACTTCATAGGCTTGTTATGACAATTAAATTAGTTAATATTTGAAAAGTGTTTAAATAGTGTCTGGCAAATAGTAATTGTGAAATGATAGCTATGAAGGAAACAAACCAGGAAAGTGAGACCATTTTAATAATATGAAAAACATTTTTTTAAATAAAGTGTTGCTTAAATTATTCAAAAGAGATTTACCGTTTCCTTTTCTAAGTGGAAGATAGGAGATACATAATGTAAGTTCAATAGACAAGGAAGGACCTGAGTTTATAAAAAACTTGGCTTGAGAACCTTATGGGGAAGCTACAAAATGCAGATATCCAAAATAATACAAGGAGGAATAAAAATATGTTGGCAGCGAGCTAATAGTTTGGTTACCAAGGTAACAGAGGTAAATTTAATTGAGCAGAAAATAATCATGCTACAAGTAGCCTAAAAGGATGCCATGCACTTCTCCTTTGAGTTTAGTTTGAGTAGAGTTTGTTTTAGAGGTTGAATGGTATAACACAAAAATGTTCCATTGCATCAACTCAGTACAGGTGAAGAACACTCTAAAATGAAATAGCTAGTTATTAAAAATATAAATTGTGACATTTTAGCTAAGTACAAAGCAAACCTTGACACTGGTGTTAGCAGAGTCAGGAAGAGCAGCACTGGTCAGCACTTCTTGCATAGAAACTAAACAGCATCTGAAGCCATGTATTCATTCAGCTGAAATGATGAGCATTCCTGGATGAGTTTAGGTTTGCCTTGATTCTTGTTTCAAATACAACTACTATACTTAATGTATTTTAAGAATAGATCATGTGAACCATGTGATTACAATATTTTCATTAAAATAACCTCAAAATAACTATATTGAGTATGTATGTTTTCAAATGCCTGCAGATTGCCTGGAAATCCTTGGTCGGCAATACTTAGCTACTAAATAAAATATGTTCACCGTCTAGTGCCGAAACCCTTTAACAGCCCACAAAACAAGCTGGATGTCTAGAGATGCACATTTCAGACCATGTGTCCAATATACTGCACAGCCTAACAATAGGACTTTTGTGACGAAGTAATATATTCTATTTATTTTGGCTACCTATGATAGACACTTTTATAATAGCCTTTTAATGCGATAGCTACCTCTAACAAAGAAGCTAAATATTTTGTAAACATATATGCCACAGGATTTGCTAATCTATGATGAAATATAGATTAGCAAATCAATCATATCATGAGCAGCTAAGACTTACAAGTAATAACTTGGATAATAACTTCTAATTCTCTTGCATCAAGTAGGATTACTTTAGAAGAATATGGTACAAATAATTTCAAGTAATAAGAAAATGTATTGTCTTTGAATCATGAGGAAACAATTCCCAGAAGACTTCTCTCATCTCATTGGCCACAACTGGTCACAGAGCTACCCCTAAAATAGTGATTCTCAAATCATGGTCCCTACCAGCATTGTCACCTTCACTAGGAACTTGTTAGGAATGCAAAATCTCCAACCTCATAAGACACCTCCTGAATCAGAAGGTCACGGTGGGGTCCAACAATCTGTATTTTAACAAGCTCTCCAAGTAATTTTGACATACATTGAAGTTTACAAACCACTAACTACCCTAATCCAATCACTAACAAAGGAAAGATTACTATGATGATTTAAACTATCAGAATATACAGCCAGAGTTGAGGATAAGGGCCTTTCCTGAGGAATTGAAAAAAATCAGTATTCAGTTGGCAAAGAAGATATCGGACAATGAGAATATGGAGGAGTGAGTGGATAATGTTGAGGAGGCAACAAATAATGTTTCCAAATTCCTTTTTCATCAAATGGTGTAATTCAGGAGAAAGACCGTAAGCTTTTGACTCCAAACAGATTGATTTTGGAGACCTAATTCCACCCCTCAGTGGAATAAATGGCAAGTAATTTCATTTCCAGGCAGCTCTGCTTTCTCATCTCTGAAATTAGAATAATAATGCTTTTCTCAAAGAGATTTTGTGACTGGGACATAGTAAGCACTGAATAAAATGTAATTTCCCATCAAAATTGCATCAGAGCTACCAATGGGAAAGATTAACACTTTTGTGCTTTCTTTTTTATGTTATTTCTAATTAGCCAGTTTGTATGTGTTATCAAAAATATATCAAATTGTGTCTTTTTATTATTCCTTTGTACAGCAATAGTGCCACCTCAAAATTAACTGGTTATTTTCTGAAAAATGAGCTTAGAGAAAAAGAAGCTGATTCATCTAAAGGATGGAATACTGGATTTCAACAGACTTTTGTCTGAAGCTTTGAAACAAAAGCATTTTATTGTTTTGATTTAATATAGGCTATTTTACAACAACCCTTGTTCTAGGGTCACCAGATTTAGCAGAAAAAAGCTCAGGATACCCAGTTAATTTTGAATTAGATAAGCAAAGAATAATTTTTTAGTATATATCAAATATTGTATAGAAAGTATGTACGCTAAATAAAATTGTTTATCTGAAATTCAAATTTAACTGGTGTCCTGTATGTTGTCTTGCAACTCTGCTAGCACTTCTGTTTTTATATTGCATGGTCTCATTGTTAAGATAAGCTGTAGAAATCAGCTGAGATTTATCAGTAAATTTAGTCTTTCAACAATGATAAGGACAAATGGTGTCAATGTTTTCAGACTCAATTTCCTCAGGTGTGAAATTAGGCTATTGGATTAAAGAATATCTGAGGCCTCTTCTTATCTTAAAACTTTGATTCTCTGAGTGTGGAAAACACAGCATTTTTGGGATCATATAAAAAATTGAATGATGCACTATTTTAAAGCTAAAAGTACTACACAAATATTGGTAATGGTGATGCCAGAACACCACAGCATTATATGTCTGACCACAAAACTATTCAAAGCCTCTTTATATATTTACCCTTTGTTAAAGAGTCTCCCTTAAAAATATTGCCACAGAGGTCAATGTAAGCAATATTTGTATTTATCCTACTTTTCCAGCCTGTTGCCATTTATAAGGCCTTGAGAACTTTTCCTACTTTAGATTCCCTTCTAGTTCAGTAGAGTAAGCTACATTTATCTGTTACCAACAAACCTAGTAATAATCCATAAGTAAAATATGTGTGGGCAAATTTGCCTCTTGTAATATCTTAATGTTCAAAAAATAGCCTCATTTTATCAATATTTTAAGTGTCAATTTTCCTCCATGTAACAAATTGGTTATATCTCAAAGGTCACTCACTTCTGCCAACCCCTGGCAAAACACTGTAGATGATATTTATTAACTTTATGTATAGTAAAACTTGATTAAACAAAATCTGTGGTTAAATATAAGTCAAAGGAAACAGAAAAGCAAACAAATTAGTTGACTTTAATTTATAATATTCATGCTTAAGAAAACAGATTTAAAGAGAGATAATCATGAGATGAAATTAAGGCATAAGAAAATTCTAAAATATAGTCACAAATCCCTTAATAATTGGGATATGTTCTGAGAAATGTGTCATTGGTGATTTCATTGTTGTCTGAACATTTTAGGGTGTACTTACACAAACCTAGATGGTATAGCCCACTGCACACCTAGGCAATATCATATAGCCTTTTGTTCATAGGCTACAAATCTGTACAGCTTGTTACTGTACTGAATATGGTAGCACAACGGTAAATATTTGTGTATCTAAATATAGGTAAACATAGAAAGAGTACAGTAAAAATATTATATGAAAGGCATAAAAAATGATACAACTGTATAGAGAATTTACCATGAATGGAGCTTGCAGGACTGGAAGTTGCTCTTGGTGAGTCAATGAATGAGTGGTGCGTGAATGGGAAGGCCTAGTATATTACTTTACATTTCTGTAGCTTCCATAAATACTACACATAGCCTACCCTGAATTTACAAAAAAGATCTTTCTTCAATAATAAATTAACCTTAGCTTACCATAATATTTTGACTTTATAAACTCTTTAATTTTTTTTTAAATTTTTGACTGCTTCATAATAATGCTTAAACCAAACATAACAGAAAATGATGTAGTCAAGAGACCAGGTAAACATTGAAATGAATGAGGTTGTTGATGGGGTAACATAGCATACTATTATACAGTAAATTGTTTTCAATAAGTAGAAAGGGTAGAATCTAAAATAAGAATAAAAGTATAATAAATACATAAACCAGTAACAGAGCAATTTATTATAATTGTCAAGTGTTATGTACTGCATATAATTGTGCTATAATTTTATATGACTAGCAGTGCAGGAAGTTTCTTTATACCAGCGTCACCACAATCATGTGAGTAATACATTGCACATTATGATGTTTACAGGGTACTAGGTAATAGTGTTACAGGACCACAGGTTTGCATGCCCACTGCACAGTAACATCCCAATACATTGAGTCAGCAGGATTTGCAGCAGAGAAAGTTTAATAGTCACAGGGCAGCTGAGCAAGGAGATGGGAGGAACCCACAAACCTGTCTTCTCAAGGAGTTTTGGGCTGGAGTTTTTAAGGTGGTCATGGAGAGCAAGGGGCTGGAAAATTTAGGGTCATTGATTAACTGAGACAAGGAGGATGAAATCAATAGAACGTGGAAATTGCATTCTTTAACATCAGTTTTGCCCGTAGGCAGGACCTGAAAGAAAATCTTGAATGGAAAACTTAATGCTTCACAATGCTTAAGTTGTTATCTATAGAGCAGTTAAGGGGGACAATAATCTTGAGACGGGGTCCACGTAACTCTGGGGCAATAGGAAGCAAACAACTATGAGGAAGTGGGTCAGAGAGCAGTCTGACCTGATGGTTAATGCTGAATGTGCTGCAGCTTGGTTTATTTTCATTTCTACCCTTCCTTTCTTCCCTGATTAATTTCATAAAATGAATAGGGATGATTTCAACAGGAATTTTTCACTCCATTATAATCTTATGGGACCACTGTTGCATATGCAGTCCATTGTTGACTGAAATGTCATTATGTAGCACAAGAAGGTACATTTATTTTGCTTGAAATATATGAACTTGCTGTTTTTGAAGGTCAATTGTCAAGTATCAGTAATTTCATACAGTTCAACCTAATAGATGGACTGTCAAATGCCTTGGAAGTTGAAACTGATTAATTTTACTTCAGATTCATGATTTGTAGCTTCACGCATAAAGATGTTTATGCAAGGCTGAGCATAGTGGCTCATGCCTATATTCCCAGCACTTTGGGAGGCCAAGGCAGGCAGATTGCTTGAGCTCAGGAGTTGCAGACCAGCCTGGGCAATGTGGTGAAATCCTGTTTCTACTAAAAATACAAAAATTAGCCAGGTGTGATGGCACACATCTGTAGTCCCAGCTACTTGGGAGGCTGAGGTGGGAGGATGGCTTGAATCCAGGAGGTTGAAGCTGCAGTGAGCTGAGATCACACCACTGCACTCCAGCCAGCCTGGGTGACAGAGTGAGACCCTGTCTCAAAAAAAAAAAAAAGAAAGAAAGAAAAGAAAAGAAAAAGAAAAAAAAAGATATTTATGCAGCAAGATATAATTTAAAAATTAGAAGCAATTAGAAGCAATTGCTTGTCCCCATGGACAAGTAATTAGGAAAAGTATAGTTCATATTTACTAAGGACAAAAGGAAAAAAGCAAAACTACATGCATAATATAATCTCAACCACTATACAAATGCACAGAAAATTTCTCAGGAAATATATCTAAGTATCATCAGTGGATTATTTGTGTGATTTTTTTTCTGGTATGTGCCCAATTTTCTAATTATCATATGATTGGATTTTCTGGAAACCTTTTGATTCTATTTTTGTCCAATGGAACATGGAGAGAAGTGACCATGTGTCAGATCCACATAGAAGATTTGCGAGTTTCTTCTATCATGCTTGCACTCACCCTTCATCAGAAGGACAGCATGTCCAAGTTAGCAGCTGTCCCTTCAGCCTATGTTAGGGTGTTCTTGCATTGCTATAAATAAATACCTGAGACTGGGTGGGTAATTTATAAAGAAAAGAGGTTAAATTGCCTCACAGTTCTGCAGGCTGTACAGGAATCATAGCACCAATATTGCTTGGCTTCTGGGGGCCTCAGGGAGCTTTTACTCATGGTGGAAGGTGAAGCAAGAGTTCGTATCACATGGTAAAAGTAGGAGCAAGAGATAGAAAATTGGTGGGGGCAGGGGGATCTCGGGGGAGAGGTGCCACACACTTTTAAATGACCAGATCTTGTGAGAACTCACTACCATGAAGACAGCATCAAGGCACGAGGGATCCACACCCATGATCCAAACACCTCCCACCAGGCTCCACCTCCAACATTGAGGATTACATTTCAACATGAGATTTGGGCAGGGTTAAATATCCAAACTATGTCACTAGTCTTTGCATGGAGAAAACATGCCAAGTAAACCTGAACGTGACTAACAGCCTAGAACAGTCCCACCACAGTTGACCTGAAGATCCTTGAGTGAGAAATAAGTATTTATTGTTGTAAGTCACCAGTATTTGGGGGTTAATGCTTACAGTGAATCTTAATCGGCCTCATCCCAGATCTCTCTGACCTTTCAAATTTCCCAGCCCTTCCTTGCCTACTGACCTTTTATCTTTGCTTCTCTGCCAGCTGCTATCTCCACGCTACACAAGGGTGGCAGTGGCAGGTGCATGCTTTTCTAGTGCCATATTAGGTGAGACTTCGCTTAGAGGCAGTTTCCTTGGGCTACACCCCAAAAACTGAGGCAGAAGCCCCTTAATCTCAATGGGTGATTCTATCACAACTCCCTGGGATTAAATCCCCTGGGGCTGAACAAGTAGCGTGCCTTTCATTCCTAAAATTCTTCATTCCATCTGCCGATTGGAATTTTGATTGGGGTAGAAAAAAGGATTTTATAGTATCTAGTGCTTTTTCATAGTCTAGAGGCCAAGGTATAAATTTTAATTTCTAAGTTGCCAGGTTCTGGATTCTTACAATCAAATAGCATATCAAGCTTGTTTTGGATTCAAAACTATTGTGTGCTTTAAATTTCAATAACTTATTTTGTAATTTAAATTACATAATTTGGCATTCTCTTTCTTTCTCCTCCCACCCCGTCTCTGAGTTGCATCTTCTTTGTGAGTGTTATGGTTACCTACAGAGGCAGACATACCCCCACCCAAAATGTGGTTCCAACATCAAGACTGATGATACCACATACACCAAGAGAGTACGAAAAGTTGTATTACTTACATGTTTGAGGTCTCTGGGGGAGATTAGGGCAAATCTCTTAAACATGTCCAAAATGACTTGAGAGGGAGAGGAATGAGAATAAACTGTGTTTTTTGTTTTGTTTTGTTTTGTTTTGTTTTGTTTTGTGGCTAGTGGGTGGGGCTCGGGTGAGAGTTCCTGTGGGTGAGCAGAGGTTTACAAGGTTTGGCTCTCTCACAGATGCCAAAGGAGGAAGCACCAGGCTTTTTTATCAGCTCACCTAGATGTGGAAAAGGGAAGAGGGAAAAGTGGCAAAGGGAAGAGTGAAAAGTGAAAATTAAAAGCTGACAGCAGTGAACATCAAAAATGAGGCATCAGACTCCTCATTCCACTGGGTTTTGCATGTAGCAAGTTCTGGAAATCTGATGGGAAAAGAGTCAGTGAAGACAGACAGCCTTCTTTTAATATTACCTTAGTATATTAAAGTGTTATTTAACCTGGTCAGTATTAACATTAGTTAAACTAAGATTAGGCCTCCCCTCCTTTTTTTTTTTTTTTTTTTTTTTTTTTTTTTGCCAGCTAAGATTAGCAACACCACCCCTCCTCTTTTTTTTTTTTGCCTTCAAGCTAATCAATGTACCATTTTTGGGAAAAATGGGAAAAAATAAAGAATGGGAAGAAAGAAAATAACATTTTCTGAGCTTGTAATATATTCCAATTGCTATGATATATATATATTGGGAAGTTTATGGAGATGTTTGTGTTTTGTTCTAAATTTTTCTGTTCTTCTTTCTCCACTAAGTAATAGCCAAGGCTTTGTCAAGGGAGGGATTTGTAAAGAAAGTTTCAAAGCAGAGTTGTCCGGAAATTTCTGTATCCATGAGGGATTGGTTCTGGACCTCTTGCAGATACCAAAATCCAAGGATGCTCAAGTCCTTGATACAAAATGGCATATTTGCATATAACCTATGCACATCCTTATACTTAAAAGCATCTTTAGATTACTTATAGTTCCTATGACAATGTAAATACTATGTAAATAGCTGTACTATACTGTTTAGGGAATAATGACAAGAAAAAAATCTATAGATGTCCAGTACAGATATAATTATTTTTCCAAATATTTTTGATCTTCAATTGGTTGAATCCATGGATACTGAACCCAAAGATATGGAAAGCCAACTGCATTCTTTTTCTGGATTTTGCTTTTCAAGGTCTACATTATGGGGATCCCACTAAATCATATCCAAAGGAGTAGGGAAAGAGTTGGGTACCCTGAGGATATCCTTGAGGTCAGGAGAAAAGAGGAGAGTCCTCTTGGGAGCTGAAAGGGAATAAAAATTATGACTCTGAACCTCATACCCTTTGGATACCCTAAGAGAGTATCAGGGCTTACAGCAAGTTACAAGGCTGGTCTGTGCTCCCAGGACTCATCAAAGATTCCATTCACTGCATTTGATGTCAAAGCAGAATCATCAACTTGAAGGACCCTGCATGTTCAGATAATGAAAATATTAGTAGTGACTAGTGCATATGGAAATTGGGAGGCCTTACCTTAGTGTAATGTTCTATTTAAGATCCTGGGAACTGTTCCAGGCCAGAAAGAGGGGGAGAAGCAATAATTCCAATGACTAAACTACCTAAACATCTGGTGTGATGGAAGCCCAGAATCGTATTTCATTTGATTTTAGGTAAAAAGAGGTCATACAATATTTTTCTACACCTAAATTTGAATCAAAGAAAAATTATCTCCTCTAAGACATTTGACTAGGCTAGTTCACAAAGGGCTGATTTATGTTCAAAAAATGGGAAGAATGATGATTGGGACTTGGCTTAAAGTGTTTCCACTATCAAACCAACAATTGGTGCCAAAAAAAAAAAAAAAATACACAAGATAAAGGGAGTGGATGCTATCCTCAGTGACTCCTCCTTCTCCTGGAGTATGGTCAAAATTCAGTAGCTGCTGCAACCAGTGCATAGTGAGAAGTTTACCAGCTCAGAGACTTGGCTGCATTGCCTCTTATACCATAAGCTGGTGGAGAGGCTAACTAAGTCACCTTGGGCTGCTATAACAACATATCGTAGACCAGGTGGCTTAAACAACAGAACTTTGATTTCTCCCAGTGCTGGAGGCTAAGGAGCTAAAGATTAAGGTATGGTTCAATTCCCCGTGAGGGCCTTCTTCTTGGCTTGCAGATGGCTGCCTTTTCACTTGGTGCTCACGTGATGGCAAGAGCACTCTGGTGTTTCATCCTTTTCTTATAAGAACACCAGTCCTATCAAATTAGGACCTCACCCTTATGACCTCATTTAGCCTTCATCACCTTCTCACAGAGCCTGTCCCTAAACACAGTCACATTGTGGGTTGGGGCTTCAACATATTCATTTTGAGAAGACACAAACATTCAGTTCATAGCAGAGGCCATAAATGGTCAAGGATCTATATATCTCTATCAAGGAAATGTTGGTGGTATCACAGCTAAATACTTGCATGTTTTTCACCAAGTCATAGCCTGCCATATATTTAGCAACCCAATAATAATAACCACCCCAATTTACAGATGAGAAAATTGAGTTTCAGACAGATTGTGAAACTTGCCCAAATAACCTCGATTAGTTATTAACACTTAAGTCTGTCTGACATCAAAGACTTCGCCTTTTGTCCTAAACTATGTTATTACAAAGTTAAAAAAAAAAAAAATTGGGGGGGTGGGGCTAAAACAGTCGATTAGAAGCAGCGGCATTTGGAGCCTCCCATGGAAAAAAACCCATAATAAGTGTATGAATCCTTCACCAGCAACCAGGGCAGCCAGGTTCTCTCACCAAAATTGACTAGAAGGCTGGTGTGGCCCACGGAGAGAAGGAAGAGCAGTGTGGTGCAGCGGCCCAGCTGAGAACCACACAGGGCAGGGGAATACCAAGGGAGGTGGTGAGTGAGCATGCTACCCAGCTGAGGAAACTGTGCTTTTTCCATGGAACTGTGCAACCCACGGATCGGAAGATCCCAGTCACGAACCCACACCACCAGGGCCTAGCGTCCCAACGCTCAGCTCCGGAATCTGCTTAAGCCTACCAAACTCCTTAGGGGAGGGGCGACCGTGAGCACCACAGCTGCAGCTGTCTGCTGTCTAAGCTGTTCGAGCTTCTTGGGGGAGAGGCAGCAGCCAGCAATGGGACTGGCAACTGCCTAACACGCTGAGCTCCCTGAGCGGGGGGAAGGGCGGCACCCATTTCTACAGCTCCAGGCTGTGCTTTTCACCTGCTGGAGCCAGGGAGGCTGGACCGCTTGGTCCCAAGACTCGTCTCCACAGCCCAACACACCGGCTGTGGTAGTTTGCAGCCAGTGTCTCTTCAGGCATGACCCTGACCCATCCTTCCTCATTGCGTGAGGCCGGGGGGTGGGGGGGGAGCGGGGGGGGGGCGGGGGTGCTTCACTGCAGGAAGTCCAAAAACTCCAGCCAGAGGCTCACGGACAGAATTTGGATCTCCCTGGGCCTGAGCCCCTAGCAGGAGGGGTGGCCACAGTCTCTGAAGATCAGAGACTTAGTCTCTCCTCCTGGTAGTTCTAAGGAATACAGGCAGCCCAGATGAGATGGTTTCCCCCCAGTGAAACACACCCTCTCCACCAAGGGACAAAGTGCTCCCTTAAATGAGTCCTGCTCCCTGTGCCACCCAACTGGGTGAGACGCTTCAACAGGGGTTGTCAGACACCCTATACAGGAGTGATCCTACTGGCATCAGGTTCTAGCCCCTTCGAGGTCAGAGATCCCAGAAGAAGGAGCAGGCACCCATCTTTGCTGCTCTCCAGCCTCCTTGAGTGACATCTCCAGGCATGGGAGCAAATCAGATGAATAGGGCCTGAGTGAACCCCCAGCAAACTGCAGCAGCCCTACAGAAGAGGGACCTGACTAGTGAAAGAAAAACAAGCAGAAAGCGACAACAACAACATCAACAAAAACAACAACAAAAAGGCCCCCACAAAAACCCCATCCAAGTGTCAGCAGCCTTGAAGACCAAAACTAGAGAAACTCATGAAGAGGAGAAAGAATCAATGAAAAAATGCCGAAAACCCAAAAGACCAGAGTGCCTCTTCTCCTCCAAATGATCACAACGTCTCTCTATCAAGGGTGCAGAATTGGATGCAGGATCAGATGGACAATTGACAGAAGCAGGCTTAAGAAGATGGGTAATAAAATACTATGATAAGCAAAAGGAGCATGTTGTAACCCAATGCAATGCAAAGAAGCTAAGAAACTTGATAAAAGGTTAGAGGAATTGCTAACTAGAATAACCAGTTTAGAGAGGAACATAAACGACCTGATGGAGCTGAAAAACACAACATGAGAACTTCATGAAACATACACAAGTATCAAAAGCTGAATCGATCAAGCAAAGAAAGGATATCAGAATTTGAAGACCACCTTGCTGAAATAAGACATGCAGATGAGAATAGAGAAAAAATAATGAAAAGGAATGAACAAAGCCTCCAAGAAATATGGGACTTCATAAAAAGACTGAACCTATGATTGACTGGAGTACCAGAAGGAGATGGGGAGAATGGAAACAAGGCTGGAAAACACGCTTCAGGATATTATCCCAACCTAGCAAGACAGGCCAACATGCAAATTCAAGAAATACAGAGAACACCGTTAAGATACTCCACGAGAAGATCAACCCCAAGACACATAATCATCAGTTTCTCCAAGGTCAAAATAAAGGAAAAACTGTTAAGGGCAGCCAAAGAGAAAGGCCGGGTCACCTACAAAGTGAAGCCCATCAGACTAACAGCAGACCTCTCAGAGAAACTCTACAAGCCAGAAGAAATCGGGGGTCAATATTTGAGATTCTTAAAGAATTTTCAACCCAGAATTTCATATCCAGCCAAACTGAGCTTCATAAGTGGAGAAATAAAATCCTTTCCAGACAAGCAAATGCTGAGAGATTTTGTTACCACTAGGCCTGCCCTGCAAGAGATCCTGAAAGAAGCACTAAATATGGAAAGGAAAAACCAGTACCAGCCACTGCAAAAACATACCAAAATATAAAGACCAATGACACTACAAATAAACTGCATCAACTAGTGTGCAAAATAACCAAATAGTATAATGATGACAGGCTCAAATTTTCACATAACAATACTAACCTTAAATGTAAAAGAGCTAAATGCCCCAATCAGAAGATACAGACTGGCAAATTGGATAAGGAGTCAAGACCCATCAGTGTGCTGTATTCAGGGGACCCATCTCACATGCAAAGACACACATAGGCTCAAAATAAAGGGATGGGGGAAAATTTACCAAGCAAATGTATAGCAAAAAAAAAAAAAAAAAAAAAAGCAGGGGTTGCAATCCTAGTCTCTGACAAAACAGATTTTAAACCAACAAAAATCAAAAAAGACAAAGAAAGGCATTACATAATGGTTAAGGGAAGAATTGAACAAGAAAAGCAAACTATTCTAAATATATATACCTCTAATACAGGAGTAACCAGATTCATAAAACAAGTTCTTACAGACCTACAAAGAGACTTAGCCTCCCACATAATAATAGTGGGAGACTTACCACTGTCAGTATTAGATCAACAAGGCAGAAAATTAACAAGCACATTCAGGACTTGAACTCTGCTCTGGATCAAGTGGACCTAGTAGACATCTATAGAACTCTCTACCCCAAATCAACAGAATATACATTCTTCTCAGTGCCACATGGCACTTATTCTAAAATCAACCACATCATTGAAAGTAAAACACTCCTCAGAGAATGCAAAATTACTGAAATCATAACGAATAGTCTCTCAGACTACAGTGAAATCAAATTAGAACTCAAGATTAAGCAGCTCACTCAAAACCATATAATTTCATGGAAATTGAACAACCTGCTCCTGAATGACTCCCAGGTAAATAATGAAATTAAGGCAGAAATCAAGAAGTTCTCTGAAACCAATGAGAACAAAGAGACAATGTACCAGAATCTCTGGGACACAGCTAAAGCAGTGTTAAGAGGGAAATTTACAGCACTAAATGCCTACATCAGAAAGCTAGAAAGATCTCAAATTGATATCCTAACATCACAACTGAAAGAGCTACAGAGGCAAGAGCAAACCTGTCCAAAGGCTAGCGGAAGACAAGAAATAACTAAGATCAGAGAAGAATTGAAGGAGATACACAAAAAACCCTCCAAAAAAAAAAATCAATGAATCCAGGAGATGGTTTTTTGAAAAAATTAACAAAATAGATAGACCCCTAGCTAGACTAATAAAAAAGAACAGAAGAATCAAATAGACACAATAAAAAATGATAAATGGGGTATCACCACTGTGACCTCATGAAAATACAAACTACCATCAGTTAATACTATAAACACCTCTATGCAAATAAACTAGAAAATCTAGAAGAAATGGATAAATTCTTGGATGCATACACCCTACCAAGACTAAACCAGGAAGAAGTTGAATCCCTGAATAGACCAATAACAAGCTCTGAAATTCAGGCAGTAATTAATAGCCTACCAACTAAAAAAAGCCCAGGACCAGACAGATTCACAGCTGAATTCTACCAGAAATAAAAAGAGGAGCTGGTACCATTCCTTCTGAAACTATTTCAAACAATTGAAAATGAGGGACTCCTCCCTAACTCATTTTATGAAGCCAGCATCATCCTGATACCAAAACTGGGAAGAGATGCAACAAAAAACAAAACTTCAGGCCAATATCCCCGACGAACATCGATGCAAAAATCCTCAATAAAATACTGGCAAACTGAATCCAGCAGCACATCAAAAAACTTATCCACCATGATCAAGTCGGTTTCATATCTGGGATGCAAGGCTGGTTCAACATATGCAAATCAATACACATAATCCATCACATAAACAGAACCAAAGACAAAAACCACATGATTATCTCAATAAATGCAGAAAAGGCCTTTGATAAAATTCAACACCCCTTCATGCTAAAAACTCTCAATAAACTAGATATTGATGGAACATACCTAAAAATAACAAGAGCTGTTTATGACAAACCCACAGCCAATATCAGATTGAATGGGCAAAAGCTGGAAGCACTCCCTTTGAAAACCAGTAGAAGACAAGGATGCCCTCTTTCACCACCCCTTATTCAACATAGTATTGGAAGTTCTGGCCAGGGCAATCAGGCAAGAGAAAGAAATAAAGAGTATTCAAATAGGAAGAGAGGAAGTCAAGTTGTTTCTGTTTGCAGATGACATGATTTTATATTTTAAAAAACCCATCATCTCAGCCCCAAAACTTCTTGAACTGATAAGCAACTTCAGCAAAGTCTCAGGATACAAAATCAATGTGCAAAAATCACAAGCATTCCGTTACACCAACAACAGGCAAGCAGAGAGCCAAATCATGAATGAACCCCTATTCACAATCACTACAAAGAGAATAAAATACCAGGAATACAGCTAACAAGGGATATGAATGACCTCTTCAAGGAGAACTACAAACCACTACTTAAGGAAATAAGAGAGGACACAAACAAATGAAAAAACATTCTATCTTCATGGATAGGAAGAATCAGTATAATGAAAATGGCCATATTGTCCAAAGTAATTCATAGATTCAAAGCTATTCCCATCAAACTACCATTGAGATTCTTCACAGAATTAGAAAAAACTATTTTAAATTTAATATGGAATCAAAGAAGACCCCACATAGCCAAGAAAATACTAAGCCAAAAGAACAAAGCTGGAGGCATTATGCTACCTAACTTCAAACTATACTACAGGGCTATAGTAACCAAAACAGCATGGTATTGGTACCAAAATAGACATACAGACCAATAGAGCTGAACAGTGACCTCAGAAATAAGACCACACATCTACAACCATCTGATCTTCGACAAACCTGACAGAAACAAGCAATGGAGAAAGGCTCTCCTATTCAGTAAATGGTGCTGGGAAAACTGGCTAGTCATATGCAGAAAACTGAAACTGTACCCCTTCCTTACACCTTATACAAAAATTAACTTGAGATAGATTAAAGACTTAAATGTGAAACCCCAAACCATAAAAACCCTATAAGAAATCCTAGGCAATACCATTCAGGGTATAAGCATGGGCAAAGATTTCATGACAAAAACGCCAAAAGCAATTGCAACAGAAGACAAAATTGGGTCGGGTGCAGTGACTCATACCTGTAATCCCAGCACTTTGGGAGGCCGAGGTAGGTGGATCACTTGAGGTCAGGAGTTTGAGATCAGCCTGACCAATACAGTGAAACCCTGTCTCTACTAAAAATACAAAAATTAGCTGGGCGTGGTTGTATGCACCAGTAGTCCCAGCTACTAGGGAGGCTGAGACAGGAGAATTGCTTGAACCCGGGAGGCAGAGGTTGCAGTGATCATGCCACTGCACTCCAGCCTGAGTGACACAGTGAGACTGTCTCAAATAAAAAATAAAAAAAGCCAAAATCGACAAATGGGATCTAATTAAACTAAAGAGCGTCTGCACAGCAAAAGAAACTATCAGACTGAACAAGCAACCGATGGAATGGGAGAAAATTTTTGCAATCTACCCATCTGACAAAGGTCTAATATCCAGAATTTACAAGGTACCTGAACATATTTACAAGAAAAAAACAACCCCATCAAAAAGTGGGCAAAGGATATGAACAGACATTTCTCAAAGTAAGAGAGGAGACCACCCCTCATATTGTCTTATGCCCAATTTCTGCCTCCAAAGAAAGAAGAAGTAAAAACTAAAAGGCAGAAATGAAATCCACAAGCAGACAGCCCGGTGCCACATCCTGGGCCTGGCAGTTAAAGATCGACCCCTGACCTAATCCATTATGTTATCTATAGATTACAGACATTGTATAGAAAAGCACTGTATGTGAAAATCCCTGTCCTATTCTGTTCCGTTCTAATTACCGGTGCATGCAGCCCCCAGTCACGTATCCCCTGCTTGCTCAATCGATCACGACCCTCTCAAGCAGACCCCCTTAAAGTTGTGAGCCCTTAAAAGGGACAGGAATTGCTCACTTGGAGAGCTCAGCTCCTGAGACAGGAGTCTTGCCAATGCTCCCGGACAAATAAACCCCTTTCTTCTTTAACTTCGTGTCTGAGGGGTTTTGTCTGTGGCTTGTCCTGCTACAAAAGGAAGACATTTACATGGCCAACAAACATAGAAAAAAAGCTCAACATCACTGATCATCAGAGAAATGCAAATCAAAACCACAGTGAGATACCATCTCACGACAGTCAGAATGGTGATTATTAAAAAGTCAGTAAACAATAGATGCTGGTGAGGCTGTGGAGAAATAGGAACGCTTTTACACTGTTGGTGGGAATGTAAATTAGTTTAACCATAGTGGAAGACAGTATGGCAATTCCTCAAGGATCTAAGCCAGAAATGCCATTTGACCCAGCAATTCCATTACTGGGTATATACCCAAAGAATATAAATCATTCTACTATGAAGACACAAGGACGTGTATGTTTATTACAGCACTATTTACAATAGCAAAGACATGGAACCAACCCAAATCCCCATCAATGATAGACTGGATAAAGAAAATTTGGTACATATACACCATAGAAAACTATGCAGTCATAAAAACAAATGAGATCATGTCCTTTGCAGGGACATGGATGAAGCTGGAAGGCATCATTGTCAGTAAACTAACACAGGAACAGAAATTCAAACACCTCATGTTCTCACTCATAAGTGGGAGTCAAACATTGAGAACACATGGACACAGAGAGGGGAACAACACGCCAGGGCCTGTTGGGTGGTGGGGTTGAGGAGAGGGAACTTACAGGATGGGTCAATAGGTGCAGCAAACCACCATGGCACACGTATACCTATGTAACAAACCTGCACGTTCTCCACATCTATCCCTTTTTTTGTTTGTTTTTAGAAAAATATAAATAAAAATAAATAAAAATTGGAGGTTTATAAAACAGGAATGACTGTAGTCCAAAAATAAGCCCATATATACAGGGTTAATTGACTTTCAATAAAATGCCAGTTACGTTTAAAAAAAAAATTTGTTTAGTATTACTGGTTAAGATTTAGATGAGTTTACAAAGGGAATTAAAATGAAAGTATACTATTATATTAACAGAAAAATTGCCTTGAAAGGAAATAGCTGAGCTTAGGTGGCAAAAGACAAAGAAATTCAGGAAAATCATGAGGACTGCTGCTCTCTTCTACTCCACCCCCACCCCCATCTAAAATCTGGGATTCTCCAGTCAGTGTGCAGGATGGACAGTAGATGCACTTGGCTTGGGAACTCAAACACCAGAATTCTGTGACTGAGCGATAACCTGGAGGAGGAATAGCTAAGAAATAAGTAAAAGGTGAGTCACCCTGTTGTACAACAGGTTTGTTGAATTTATTCCTTCTATCTAACTAAAATTTTGTATCCTTTGACCAACATCTCCTCAACCTTCTATCTCTGCCACTAGCCTCTAGTAACCACCATTCTATTCTCTACTATGAGTTCAACTTTTTTAGATCTCATGTATAGGTTAGACTTTGGGTATTTGTCTTTTTGTGCTTGGCTTATTTTACTTAGCATATTGATACCGATGATCATCCAGGTTGTCTCAAAGGACAGGATTTTCTTCTTCTTTAATGGCTGGATATATACCAAATATTGTTATCCATTCATTTATTGATAAACACTTAGGTTGATTTCATATCTTGGCTAATGTGAATAATGCTGGAATGAACAAGTGAGTGTGCAGACATCTCTTTGACATACTGATTTTATATCCTTTGGATATATACTCAATAGCGAGATTTCTGGATCATATGGTAGTTATAATTTTTTGAAGGGCTCTATACTCTTTTTCATGATGGCTGTACTAATTTATATTCTCACCTGATGTATACAAAGATTTCCTTTTCCCCACATCCTTGCCAAAACTTACCTTTTATCTTTTTGATGCTAGCCATTCTAAGAGGTGTGAGATGATATCTCATTGTGGTTTTAGTTTGCATTTCTTCACTAGTAATGAGCATTTTTAAAATATATCTGCTGACCATTTGTAAGTCTTCTCTTGGGAAATGTCTATTCAGGTCCTTTGTTCATTTTTAAATTGGGTTGTTTTCTTGCTATTAAGTTGCTTGAATTCCTTACATATTTTGGATATTAACTTACCCCTGATAAGATGTATGGTTTGCAAATATGTTCTCCCATTCTATAGGTTTTCTCTTCACTGTGTTCTTTTCTTTGCTGTATAGAAGTGTTTTTAGTTTGATGTAATCCCATTTGTCTATTTTTGCTTTTGTTGCCTCTTGGGCAACAATCGTGTCTATTTTGGGCTTTTGGGGACATATTAAAAAAAGTTATTGCCTAGGCCAATGTCATGGAGCCTTTCTACTATGTTTTCTTCTAGTAATTTTATAGGTTTAGGACTTACATTTAAGTTTTGAATCCATTTTAAGTTGATTTTTGTGTACAATGTGAGATAAGGTTCTAATTTTATTTTTTTTCATAGGAATAGCCAGTTTTTCCAACATCATTTATTGAAGAGACTGTTCTTCCTGCATTGTGTTTGGGGGACCTTTGTAAAAAATTAATTGAATAGTTTTGTAGTATATTTTAAAGTCAGATAGTACGACAACTCCAGCTTTGTTCTTTTTGCTCAAGATTGGTTTGGTTATTTGGGGTCTTTTTTGGTTCCATATTAATGTTGGGATTGTTTTTTCTATTTCTGTAATAAACAGCTTTAAAATTCTGACAAGGATTGCATTGAATCTGTAGAGTGCTTTGGGTAGCATGGATATTCTGACAATATGAAATTTTCCAATCAATGAACACTGGATATTGTTCCATTTATTTATGTCTTTTTAATTTTCCTTCATCAATATTTTACAGTTTTCACTGTATGAGTCTATCAACTCCTTGGTTAGATTTATTCCTAATAGTTTTGTAGCTATTGTAAATGGAATTGTTTTCTTAATTTCCTTTTTGGATAGTTCGTTGTTAGTTTGTAGAAAGGCTACTGATTTTTGTATGTTGATTTTGTATTCTGTACTTTTACTGAATTTGTTTATCAGTTCTAACAGTATTTTAGTGGAGTCTTTGGAGTTTTCTACCTATAAGATTATGCTACCTGCAAACAGGGAAAATTTAACTTCTTACTTTCCAATTTGGATGCCTTTGATTTCTTTCTCTTACCTCATTGCTGTATCTTCAACTTGCAGTACCATGTTGAATAGCAGTGGCAAGAGTGGGCATCCTCTTCTTATTCCAGATCTAAGAAGGAAAACTTTCAATTTTCCACTGTTGAGTATGATTTAGAAGAAATTTCAAAAGCATAATTTAACATAATGTTCCTGAATAATTTTCATCTGATAAGTGGTTAAATTTTGGATTGTGAATTTCTCTTGGACTTAGATTCAAATTAGATCCTTCCTGGCCAGGCCTCCCTGGAATTACACCCCAAAAGTGATCACTGTCAGTGTTTATAGAATCATAGCATTTTTAGCAATCATTTAATACCTTAGTTTTAAATATTGGAAAAAATAAAACTCCGAGAGGTTAAGTGAGAAGTTAAAGGTACAGCTAGGGGTAGAACCAGTTTCCTGATTTCCATTTACTACATTAAGCTGAATGGTCAACTAGGGCAGCTGTGCTATGAGAAGATAGGTAATCTTATTTCTCACATTGGGCAATATTTATTTTCATGAAACTATAAACAGCCCTTAGATTGCTAGAGTCTGAATTAGATACAATAGATAAGAAGTGGCATAAATTTTGCCATTCCCTGCTGAAAATATAAATGAGTGTACACAAATATGCTTAATTCAGGCAAAGAGGCTATCAGTTTCTATATGGCATATTTTCCTTGTTCAACCAAGGATGACAAACTGACACAGAATAAATAGGATCAGTGTTAGTAAGCTGTTAAGCACTGCTGTTTCTCTCCTCTGTCTCTTGCTCTCTCTCATACAGCCTCCTCTAGGCATCATACTGTTTCAAGAACAAAGAAATGCCAAATACCAATTAACAAGCTAAACCTGATTCACACGTAAACAAGCTTGGGCTTGTATTTTTATGAAAAGTACTGACAAAATTAGTTTTGAAAATATTTAACTCCTATTGATTTAATTTTTAGATGTCTCATTACTAAGGCCTTCTTGTCCCTCCTATAAATCTGGTATCTGGACTCACTTTTCTCAGAAGAGGTATGGTTTTCTTCTTTGAGAGAAAAACAAAAGCATAAGTGGCTTTAGTTAAGCATCACTATCCAGCCCATTATTTTATCATAGCTGTGGTAATTAATACAGACTAATCTGCTTCTCTTCATGGTTCACACTTAACCATTTTTGTATTTTATTTGTTCATCAAATATATTTCCACAAAATACAGTTTGATTTGGATTTATTTGCCACCAATTTGAGAAATCAGTGTCATTCTTCACTGCTGTGAAATAGTATGTGAATAACTCATTTTCAGCTTTAAAATGCATCAGTGAGTCATGGAGGCTCATAAGAACCCTTTGACATAGTTTCCTGGAGAATTCTGAAAAATTTCATGTCTATTCTGAAGTGGCAACCTAAATCACTATTTCTTTTCGAGAAGTGCTTCCCAAACTTTAGTGTACATAAGAATCATCTGAGAGCTTGTTGAAATGCAGATTCCTGGGCCCTGCTTCTTGAGGTTCTGGTTCAGGAAATGTCGTGTGGTGCCTGAGATTTTTACATTTCCCAGATCAAGCTGAGGGATCTACTACCCTGGTACAGCTTCTGCCTCAGTCTCCTGGAAACACTGTTCACATGTCCTTTTTTTTTGTTTTTGTTTCTGTTTATTTTTTTGAGACAGAGTCTCCCTCTGTCACCCAGGCTGGAGTGCAGTGGTGTGATCTCAGCTCACTGCAAGCTCCACCTCCTGGGTTCACACCATTCTCCTGCCTCAGCCTCCCAAGTAGCTGGGACTACAGGTGCCTGCCACCATGCCTGACTAATTTTTTGTATTTTTAATAGAGACGGGGTTTCACCGTGTTAGCCAGGATGGTCTCGATCTCCTGACCTCGTGATCCGCCTGGGCCTCCCAAAGTGCTGGGATTACAGGCGTGAGCCACTGTGCCCAGACAACCACATGTCCTTTTAAACATACACAATACATGGATACGAAGTTCCAACCTTGCACATAGTAAAAAGGGATATTTTGCCATTTCACTGTCATCATTAACTATGTTACATAAAATAGATGTTCAGGAAATGATAGCGCGGTAGTTTCTATCACATGCATCACATGTTGATCCCTTCCCTCTGTAATTATGCCCAACTGAAAAGTTGTGCATTTGTACAAGAGAAAGCAATGACTTGTGCAGGAAACAAACTACTATAGAGCTTCATCGGTATTAAAATGTACATGTGTTTGTGAATTCTCATTATTAACTATAACTGTCCACAAAGCTCCAGTGACTCAGCTCTTCATCTCTAACATTTTGCAGACTGAATTGTTAGGTCTGTGGACAGACCTTTGGAGGATATAAGACAGCACGAATAAATAGTTAATATAGTATAAAATATAAATTATCTGTAGGCCAATTAAGGTCATGAACATTTTAGGGAGAAGGGCTTTAGGAGCCATGGCTTTAAGAACACCTCATATATCCTACGAAATGGTGATAGACAGCAATCAATTCGCTTGTAATCTAGCAAGGTATTAAGAAGTTTGAGCTTTCTGAAAGAGCTGAATGATAAGAGAGGTTTGACTAATGTTGGGAAAAGAAGCATGTCTTTTGCTTTGGAAAAAGAACCAAATTATTATGATCATTCTCCATTTATCAGTAAAATATTTTTTAGCACACACATGCTAATATATGCATATTTACTTATTTCTAAGTATTTATGCTCATCATTATAATCTATACATACTTTATACATAAATATTTCAAACGACACACTACAATATACATTTGGAAAATTGAGATAAAGATTAAATTTAAAAATTTGTCTTACCAATATCTGCATATTATCATTAATTCAAAGCAAAAAGCATAATTTACAGTTAAAGAAAGGGTTATCATTAACAATATTAAATGTGAATCCATTATTTAAGTGGACTTACTGATAATTTTAACTTTTTGGAAGAAAATGTGTCAATATAAATAGATAACATTTTCTTTAGTCTCCTAATGTGGCTTAATGCCCATAGTAGAAGTAGGGTAAATATTAGCTGTGCATTTTTTTGTTCTCTGCCTGTTCTTGTATTATTATATTACATTCAAGTGGTGGTTTCTTTGCTGGAATCTTTTTAAGCTTTCCATCTAAACCCTAGTTGGATATTTTCTCTTTTTCCTTCAACTTTCTTAGCACTCTTGATATGTGTATCATTTCTTTAGTCAATGATCAGTTACAATCTATAGATTCTTGGTTATCTATTTTTTTTTTTTTTTTTTTGAGACAGAGTCTCGCTCTGTCGCCCAGGTTAGAGTGCAGTGGCGCGATCTCAGCTCACTGCAAGCTCCGCCTTCCGGGTTCACGTCATTCTCCTGCCTCAGCCTCCCGAGTAGGTGGGACTAAAAGCGCCTGCCACTACGCCTGGCTCTTTTTTTTTTTTTTTTTTTTTTTGGTATTTTTAGTAGAGATGGGTTTTCACCGTGTTAGCCAGGATGGTCTCGATCTCCTGACCTTGTGATCCGCCCGCCTAAAGTGCTGGGATTACAGGCGTGAGCCACCGCGCCTGGCCAGATTATTGGTTATCTATTACTCCTTGCAATTTCATTACCGAGTGCCCAATCTTATCCATAGCAAATGCTTAACAAATATATATTAACTAATAAGTAATAGAGAGAGGAAGAACAATTTTCATATAAATGCATAATAAGAGACAAAAGAAGCTTTTCATTTTTAGTTAGGAATTAAATCTATCATGTTTTTTCTTTTTTAAAAAAGGCTTTAATTTTAATTAATTTTCAGCAATAATATAATAAAAGATTGTTTTTCTGTGAAACTTCATGCCATGCCAACAGGATGATGACTCATACGCCACTAGAAATCTGACACATCACATTACTTTCACTTATTTTTATAGCATGTAAATTGTCTCACATCCGATAAGTCGGCAACAGAAGAACTCCCTGGAGATGGACTAAAATAATTCAGGAGGAGCAAGTGTCTTTAAATCTAAAAAATATTCAGAAAATATCTGCTTTGAATGTAATAGAAAGAGGGTAATAAATGTACATTACTGAGTCTCTTTTACTAGTGTTACAATATATAAGCACATCTATAATTCTGGCATTTCATAAAAGCATTGATTTTTAAAGTAAACGTATTGATATTAGTTTTAGCAATAGAAAATGACAACTATTTCACAGTAACATCTACAACTTCACAAGCTGGGAAACTTCCCTAAAATGTATTTATTTTAAATTGAAAAAAATCTAAAATTACGTATACTGACTCATTTGAAAAATAGCAATAGAATCAATGAATTCAGAGCAACAAAGCTAAATTTGGCAAAAATATTTGTTAAAAAATCAGAAGACAGATTTTATACACACTCATAACCCCTTCTCCTTTGAAGAGTCTTATATTGTGAATGATTGGTTTTGCAGGTTTATTATACAATCTTCTGTTAAAATAAAGTTAACAAAAATTTATTTTTCATTCAAAAGTTAATTTAGACATGACAAACCTAAAATCCTCCAAAAATGTCTTGTGATAGTTTTGTTGACAACAGCCTGGGACTTTCTGTACTTTTTGAACTTTACCCCCCTGTATGGGAGGAAGTCAAATAGCCACAGGTATCCCTTAGAAGTTTTAATGAGGTCCATTTATTTTTATTTCCCTTCTATTCTTAGGTATTTTCCATTGTTAGCAGGTCTGTGGACAAAAGCATTTAGTTAGGCATGAGCTTCTAAATCCAATTTATCTTTCGTTTGGAAAAAAATAGAAAGAACTTGTACTTTTTATTTTTATGCCATGCATAAAGAACCAACACACCAAACTCATGAAAACCCAAATTACTGATACAAGTTGAGAGTAAAATGTGGCTAATTTTTTTTTTTTTCTCCCAGATAGCAACCACTACCAGTGTTGAACACAGGGGTGCAAATGAGACCACATTGTCTCGGACATCTGCTGCTGTATTGGTATGGGAGCATGACTCAGAGGAAGAAATGAATAAAGTGTTTATACCCAAAGGGATTATAAATATTCTGGAATATAAAGACTGATAGAAGATTACCAAAGGGCTCACTTAACAAAGTGTGGAAATTTAACTCCATAACTACATGTAATAGCTGATCATAAAACAGTAATACATTACGGCACATATTAAGATTCTAGAGTCCTTTTTAACCCTTAACATCCCTAATTCTCCCAGACAAAATGTGGCAAACTCCCTGAAATTTTTAACAATACCATGTGTGAGTCAATTGAGAAAGAATTCCTAATAGAGGTTAAAACCACAATAGCCTCTGAGCATGCTAGGAGGGAAAATAGGTAGACATTAAATTTAAAAACATATTTCCTGCCCTTTCAGATAGGGGATATGTTGTGATATGGACATAGACACACATACACCATAAAGTCTAAAACTGTGCTATTACATAAGGTGACATATCAGGGCAGATAATATATTTATTTTTAAACCTTCAGTGTTAATCAGCTTAACTGACCAACAACAATTATACCTCTCCTAGAGACAATCATTTTTACAGTCAAGGCATATTTAAATGCCAGAATAAATACCCACATTCACATGTACACACTAGAGGAAAAAATAAAGTCTTTTAGGAAAATAAAAGATAAAAATGTGAGGAAAGGGTTTATAGTAGATAATTCTAGCATATTATCATTCCTGCTTTAAGTGGTGTGATCTTTGAAACTCATTTAATCCTGGAAACACTTTAGAGAGCTTCAAAACCTATTTTGGAATTTGCCTAACTCAGAAGAAGGCAAAATATCATATAATCAAAGAAAAGATTTTTGCTGTGGTAAAACATAGATAAAATTAAAAACCATAACAAGTGGTCTGATAGATTAGCATTTCAGCTGCCATCAACACAGCACAAAATTTCCTATAGTCAAGTGAAACTCCTTGTGGGATATATATGAGTACCAAGGAACTTCCAGTCCACACAAAGAGAATCACTTCTGTAGAATCTTTGGATGATAAGGCTAAGGGGAAGGCATGCTGAGGCAAACAGAATCCAAGACAGAGAGAGCTTGGTTCTTACAGCGATCTATAATTGGTGATACGCACAGGGTGGTCTCTGGGCCAACAGCATTAACATTGCCTCGTGTGGCAGGCAGAATAATGGCTCCACAAAAATATCCACAATTGATTCCTGGAAACTTGTGAATATGTTACCTTACATGGCAAACGGGACTTTGCCGATGTGATTATATTAAGGGTCTTGAGAGGGAAAGAGCATCTTGAATTATCCAGATGAGTCCATTGTAAGCACAAGAGTCTTTATAAGTGAAAGACAAAGGCAGGAGAGTCAGGGGTCAGAGTCAGAAAGATATTAATATTTGAAGATGCTACTTTGATGAAGACACTTTGAAGACAGTGGAAGGAAGCATGAGCCAAAGAATGCAGACAGTGTCTAGAAGCTGGAAGAGGCATGGAGACTGATATGGTATGGCTGTGTCCACACCCAAATCTCTTCTGGAGTTCCCATGTGTTGTAGAAGGGACCTGGTGGGAGGTAAATGAATCACGGGAGCAAGTCTTTCTCATGCTGTTCTTGAGATGGTACATAGGTCTCATAAGATCTGATGGTTTTAAAAAGAGAAGTTCCCTTGTATAAGCTCTTTCTTTGCCTGCTGCCATTCATGTAAGAGATGACTTGCTTTTTCTTGCCCTCACTCATGATTGTGAGGCTTCTCCAGCCATGTGGAAATGTAAGTCCAATTAAACCTCTTTCTTTTGTAATTTGCCCAGTCTTGGGTATGTCTTTATCAGCAGCATGAAAATGGACTAATACAGAGACAAAGTCTCCCCTAGAGCACCCAGAAAGAGAACACCTTTATTTTGGTCCAGGCAGACCTGTTTCTGACTTCTGATCTCCAGAATCATACGATAATAAATTTGTGTTGTTTCAATCACTTAATTTTGGGTAATTTGTCAGGGCAGCAATAGGAAACTAATACATCTATGAACTTTTTAGAACTATGAATTCCCAGGAACTACTCAAGACTTGATGAATCAAAAACCTAGAGGAAAGGAGCAGAAAACTATTTTTAACAAGCCTTTCAAGTGATGCTGATGCACATGAAATGTTGAGAACTACTGCTCTATCTCAATTCCTCTTCTTCTACACTGAATTTTGCTTAAATATACAGTACACAATATGCATTTTTTGGACCATGCCATACTGAAGAAATTAATTACAAAATGAATAAAATTAAAATTAAAAGACCTATATCAGTTATCTATTTTTGTGTAATAAATTAGCACAAACTTAGCAGCTTAAAACATTTATTCCACAGTTTCTGTGGATCAGGAATTTGTGCAAAAATCAGCTGGTTGGCCAGTTTCTGTGGATCAGGAATTTGTGCAAAAATCAGCTGGTCAGGAGTTTGAGACTTGCCTGACCAACATGGTGAAACCCTATCTCAAGTAAAAATACAAAATTAGCTGGATGTGGTGGCACATGCCTGTAATCCTAGCTACTCGGGAGGCTGAGGCAGGAGAATCACTTGAACCCAGGAGGTGGAGGTTACAGTGAGCCAGGATCACACCACTGCACACCAACCTAGGCAACAATAGCGAAACTCTGTCTCAAAAAAAAAAAAAAAAAAAAAAAAAAAAGCACCTGGGTCCTTTGTTTCAAGGTCTCTCACAAGGCTGCAATCAGAGTATCAGCCAGGGCTGGGGCTCATCTGAAGGCTCAACTGGGTAAATATCCACTTTGTGCTTACTTACAAGAAGTCTGCAAAACTTCAGTTCCTCAAGTGCTCTGGGACCAAGGGCCTCAGTTCCTAGGAGGCTATTGGCCAGAAGCCTCATTTTCTTGCCACATGGCAAGATATTTACCCTTTTTGGTAAATATGACAGCCAGGATAAAGAAGAATCTTTTATAGACTACCAAGCTATTAACCATAGACTATAGCTATCAAGATGAAAGTTAGTTTCTTCTAAACTAATCACAGAAGAGAAATCCCATTCTATTCTATCCCATCTCACTCTTTTCTATTGGTTAGAAGCAAGTCACTGAGCTAGCCCACACTTGAGGGGAGGGGATTACACAAGAGTAAGAATACTAGGAGCGCCGGGCACGGTGGCTCACACCTGTAATCCCAGCACTTTGGGAGGCCGAGGTGGGTAGATCATGAGGTCAGGAGATCGAGACCATCCTGGCTAACATGGTGAAACTCCTTCTCTACTAAAAATACAAAAAATTAGCCAGGCATGGTGATGGACGCCTGTAGTCCCAACTACTTGGGAGGCTGAGGCAGGAGAATGGCGTGAACCCGGGAGGCGGAGCTTGTAGTGAGCCAAGATGGCACCACTGCACTCCAGCCTGGGTGACAGAGTGAGACACCATCTCAAAAAAAAAAAAAGAATACCAGGAGTTGGAAACTATTAGAGGCCATGAGAGAATTTGCTTGCTACAGGCCCCAAAATAGTTAAGAACATGTTACAACCAAATAGAATATTTTAATATTTTATTTTTCCTATATTATTTTTCCTGAATTTATACATTCTTTTAGAAAATTTATGTCAGAAAACAGATTCCTACAGCTCTTTCAGCAACTACATTTCTCTTCTTACTCAGATTTTCCCAGAGGACTTAGACTCTAAAGCCATCCCCCAAGATACTATTTCATTCAAGTCTGTTCGTGTGTCTTTGGCATGAAATCTACCTGACATTAAATATATTACAAATAAATTTAAGAATTATGACCATAAATTGAATGATTCTCATGTCAAAGTGTTGTACAAATTAAAATTATTAACATAAAATTTACAGAAAGTAATCCAGGAATACTACATTCAGAATCACATTAAGCAATAACAAATTCATAATTGACTGCCCCATTCTTTAAAACATAATTATTCCAGTCATTGAGATTAAAAATGTTTTAAAATGTGTATCTTCATCATAGAAACTCTTTTCTGTTTTCATATGTATATGCTAAAAATATTTCTTAAATGTGCAAAGTGGAATAACTCATGTTTTATATTAACCACCAAAGATCTTATTTTTCCTCTATAATATATGTTTGATATTAACTAAGACACGTATACTTTAGATTGAAATTGAAGTTGTGGGCACAAATTATTTGTTAAAACAACAACAACAACAACAAAAACCACTCCTATAGGCCACCTAACTCCCTGTTACCTTTAGAGAGCCCACAGAGCTTCCCTAGAATGCTATTGAATTCTTTATTACTGGCTTTGGAAGGCAAAAGAGGGGAGATAGGATTATCCTTGAAGCTTCCTAGGTCCTCCAATGCAGTTTGATGTGTGGCCATTAGAATACCTCCTAGACTTTGTAAAGCATACCATAAATCACATGATATCTTAGTCCATTTTGTTCTTATAACAGAATATCTGAGACCGGATAATTCATAAGGAAGAGAGATTTATTTAGCTTGCAGTCCTTCAGGCTGGAAAATTCAAGGGATATTGCACCAGTAACTGTTCAGCTTCTGGTGCTGCTTCACAAGGTGGAAGGTCAAATGGGAAGCAGACATGTGTGAAGGTGCAAAACCTGAGAGGCTGGCTTTATAAACAAGCCACTCACAAAGGAGCTAATCCATTCCAGCAAGAACTAATCCAGTCTCCCAAAGTGAGAACTCACTCAGCACCAAGCCATTCACAAGGGATCCACCCTATGACCCAAACACCTCCCAACAGGCCTCACCTCTTAAAGGCTCTGCTTCCCAAAATTGCCATACTGGGGTTAGGGTTCCAAAGTGTATTTTGATAGGGACACACCATATTCAAACCAGAGCACATGGTATTCTCAGGCAGCCCTCCTACTGAAACTGTATTTGGAAATCAGGATAAAAGGATTAGTCTTTAAATAGTTGCCACAGAAGGGCTTAGAGCCTGTATATAATGTGGAAGAGAGAAGGGAAGCCTTCTTAACTGGTTGTACAGTGGGGTAGGGACTTAATTACTGATTGATTGTAATAAAGGATATTTCCTCTAGATAGCTTGGAATTTTTCTTTTTTTTTTTTTAATATTGGAGCAGAGTTGCCTCCTTTTCAGTCAACAGTTTTACTAAAGTGTGTATAGTATGATTAGGGACAAGGACAATCCCCCAAATACTCTTCATCCCAGAAGTGTTTTTAATAGTGCTGCAATGGATAGTATAACTACAGAAATAAACAAACCAACAGAAATCAGTGTATCCCTTTAAGCTAAAAATTTGGTGTCTAAATGGACCTTTGGATAGAGACATAAAATAGATTATTCGCTTTATTTTGATAAGATATAAACAATTAATTTAACTCCATTAAGAGAAAATAAAATTGTTCTTATAAATGAAAGACTAAAAAACTTAGAAATTTTTTTATATTAGTTGAAAATTATGCTTAGTGGAAAAATTAACTTATAACATGACTCTTTGGGTATTAGCTTATAATTCAATCATTAAAGCAGGACATTCTTTAGAGTTAACATTAAACTACAAACTTGCAAGTTCTTATTTATATAAAGTATTTTGTGTGAAATGAAATAATAGAATGTCTAGGGAAAACCCTTGATAATTTTACCTCATGATTTAATTTAGATAATAAAAAAGATAAAGTGATTGCAACATTTTGCAATTAAGTGAGAAGCTTAGAGAAATGAACTACTGAAAGGGAAATATAACTACAACTATTTATACTGCTATAATATTGCCACTTTTTTCAATAACAGGACGTGTAGAACAAGTAAATCTTCCACAATTAGAAAGAGAAATCAAATTGTGTAGAACAAGTAAATCTTCCACAATTAGAAAGAGAAATCAAATTGAAATTGTGTAACAAGTCTTCCACTACTAGCCTGCGAATATTAAAGCAGTAGGACAATACACATTTTTCTTTCAGAAGAATAAAATAGAGATTGTCAGGTATTGAAGATCCAAGAGCAAAATGCTATAATACGAAAATAATAAAAAGCACAAAATGCTGAAATGTCCCAGAGCCCCCATTCCAGAATATGTCCAGAAGGTATATTTTCTCTACTTCTGCATATCTATTATTTCTATGAGATCTTATATTAGTTTTCACTGGTTTATATTATGGTAGCAAATGGCTCAGCATCAGTGGCTTTCTACAAGAAAAGTTCATCTCTAATTTCTCATCTGTGTTACATATTCCTACAACTGCACTTATGTTCTTGTCTCTCCAAGATCCTGGCTAAAAAGTAGCCCATGTCTCTATATTGCTATTCCCATGGCAAACAGAAAAGAGCAGGAGTAGAGCCTCACAGTGACTCTTAAAGCCTCTGTTTGAAAGCAGTACACGTCACTTCCAAAGCCAGCACTTAGCCAAGCCTGCTGTCATAGACAAGTGATGTAGCACCCTACAAGAGGGGGAGATATTGGACAGTAACAGAACCTACCATGGATCATCACACCTAAACAGACAATCTGGACTAAAGAGTGACAAACTCAGACTTTCCTTCATTAGGAAAAAGGGAAGATTTGGTGTTGAGTGTTTATGTCTTACATATTCTCTCTCCACAGGAAAAAATTCGCCCTTGTCAGGGCACAAAGGTACAAATACACTCTAGCAAGAGTGGAACAGCTCCCATTGGCTCATTGTCATTATATTTTTACTACCAGAGTTTTACTATGAAAGTAACATGTGATCATGATAAAAACTCTAAAAGCAACAGAAAGCAACACAGTAAATCATAAAATAGCCCCATTATATCTCTCAGTCCCATTACCCAGAAATACATTTTCTTTGCAGACATTCTCTTAAATATTATTCTAGAAATTATTCATGAATATATTCTGTATGTGAATTTCCTCATTTGAAAATTGAGAATAATACCACTTCAAATGACTGTTATGAGTATCAAATGACTTAAAGAATGTACAACATTTAGAAGAGGACTTTACACACAGTAAATTGCATATGAGTGTTAACTACTATTATTTTTGCCATGCACTATTGTAAGTGCTTTGTATGTATTATCCCTGGCCCCACCACACACCCACCATAATCATTACCACCAACTCACGCATATAGACTTTGATTATTATTCAATAGTATGGTCTTGGAATAGTTTCATATTAATCCAGATACATCTTACTTTTGAAAGGCTGCAAGGTATCCCACTGAATGGATCTAATGTAACTTTCTACAACTTAAGTGTTTTCTTACTTTTTGCTATTACAGATAACACAGAAACATGCTTGTACCATAATGTAAATACAATTTGAACTAGTGATTTCATTTCATTTAGAAATCACTAGGTCAAGAGCTATACGTATTTAATTTTTGAGTGATTTTTCCAAATTGTCTTTGAGACAGTCATTAGAGCTTTTAGCAAGACTATGGTTCTGGATGGATTGCACTTTCCTTCCTCACTGAAATTGGGCATGGCCATGTGACTTACTTTAACCAACAAAATGTTAGAAATAACATGCTGCATATTCTATTACAACTTGCCTACTCCCCACCTCAGTGAAAGACAATGTTCCAATAGTGCCTGCTCTGTGATCTTGGTCATTTAATGAGAACAACATGAAGGAGTCCACCTCCCCTGCTACTCTGAGAAGGATCTTGCAGTGAAATCAAGAAATATACCTTTCCAGTTGTAAGTACCTAAGATTGTGGTGTTGTTTTCACAGCATAACTAAGCTTATCCTGATTAAGACATGCTTCTACTAGCAATTTAACAGTGTATATCAAAGCATATAAATGACTCAAGCATAATCTACAAAAATAATCAGTATATACGCAACTGTTTATTCCAACTCCAGGAACTAGAGAATATACGCATATTATTTTATCAAGCAAATAGGTATAGTCATTAATTATCTACAACACCCAGTGTTAAAACTGTAGCCTCTTTTGGCTGGGGTTGCCTCATCCCTGACCAGCTTCCTCCCACATTGTATGGTAGGCAGAATTCTGCAGTGGCCCAAGATTTCTTCCCCTAATCTCTGGGCTATGAATATCATCAGATATTATATCCATGAGTACATTATATTGCATGAACAGGGGATTTTATAGATGGGGGATTTTATAGATGTAATTAAGATTACTAATCAGTTGACTTTGAATTATTTAAAAGAGAGATTTTCCAGGTAGACCCATTCTAATCACATGAGCCATTTAGAAACAGAGTTCATCCTGGCTGATAAGAGAAGCAGTAGTCAGAAATTTGAAGCAAGAGAGGAATTCCATATGAAAGAAGTTCTCTGTTGCTGAGATGTGGGTACCTACAGGGTAAGGACCTGAGAGTAGCCTGTAAGAGCTGAAAATGGTCTCTGGGATAACCAGCAAGAAATGGGGACCCCAGTGCTATAAAAACAAGGAAATGAATTTTGCCAATAACCTAGACAAGCTTGGGAGTAGGATCTTTCCCAGAAACTGCAGATCAGAACCTGTCGCCCATACTTTGATTTCAGCTATGTAAGACACAGGAGAAAAGCAACAAAAACCAGCTAGACTTCTGACCTACAGAACTTGGAGATAATAAATGATGTTGTTTTAAACCTCTATGTTTGTGGAAATTTCATATGCAGCATAAAAAACTAATACGTATGGCCTCCCTGAATTCATAGAAGCTTTGTCTGGCTATCAGGGAAAGGTGGTTGCTTGCTATGCGGCATCCTCACATCCTCTTCACCCAGTCAGAGAGCCCCAGTCAGCCTTGACATTTCTTTTTTTTTTTTTTTTTTTTTTTTTTTTGAGACGGAGTCTCGCTCTGTCGCCCAGGCTGGAGTGCAGTGGCGCGATCTCGGCTCACTGCAAGCTCCGCCTCCCAGGTTCACGCCATTCTCCTGCCTCAGCCTCCCGAGTAGCTGGGACTACAGGCGCCCGCTACCACGCCCGGCTAATTTTTTGTATTTTTAGTAGAGACGGGGTTTCACCGTGTTAGCCAGGATGGTCTCGATCTCCTGACCTCGTGATCCGCCCGCCTCGGCCTCCCAAAGTGCTGGGATTACAGGCGTGAGCCACCGCGCCCGGCCAGCCTTGACATTTTAAAACACTGGTCCATTATGTAGCCTCCTAATTAAAGAATGCATGTCAAACTCTTAGTAATCTCCCTAAGATCCCTTTTACTTGGCTTCAGATCAGAGTGAAAACTCCCAACAAATATCCCCAGGAGGTAAAAGGAGGAAATGCGTAGTCATGAATATTCTCTTCAAAGAATTCACGCCTTTAATGTCTAAACCCTCTGGTGCAATCCTTAGCCTCCATTTCTATAGCCTAAAGGTGGGTGATGCTTGAGAACTGCTAAACTTATACAAAGTCAGTTTTTTGAATTGTCCTCCCAAGGTCATCTGGTGCTTCACTTTCACTTTGCAATGGTGGGTACTTATCTATTATATTAGGTAAGTGCTAATCTTATCTAATAAGCCAAAAGGAAAGTAAAGGAAGTTTCACTTTAATACGCTTTTAATTGTATAGGTTTGAGGTTTATTATGAGGTAAATTTTTATAAAGTGATTGATCCATAGTAAGCACATATTAAGCATTAATAATTAAATATAATAAGCCATATTAAATAAATTTCAACATGGAATCAAGCCAATAATCAAGACTGACAACAAGCCCTGCTTCCTTCTGGTTCACAGATTTGCCTCTCTCTACATATCCTTTCTAGTAAGAAATTAGGATTTTTTTCCTATAAAATCTAAGAATATTTTATTTAATTTATATGTTCTTGTTGGAAGCCATTTACATGCAAAAGTTAGACATATTATGAGATTTATTCACTCTGCATTTTCTTAATGTTGAGGTGGACAGATCCAACCTTTTAATTTCAACAGGATTTGTTTTTATTTCAACAGCATCAAATTACTATAAAGACAAAGTGGTATATTATTTTAAAAAACAAAATTTAACAGATCTAAAGAATATACTATTTTATGCAAATTTCTCTATATTAACCAACATTCATAATAGAGCAGTTGTAAATATCTGCTCTAAGTTTATTAAAATAGTAACTAGAGATGTCTATAGTCACATATTTTAAAAAAAACTCTTTGTCAGAGCTATTTGTTTCACTATATAAAGATATTAGAAAGATATTGCCAATAAAAATTGGTGCTATTCATTGTATGCTACTCAATGAATCATGAAGTCCAATGAAAGAACTGGAGAGATTTGTTCCTCATTTGTAGTAATCATGTTTAGCTACACGAAAAACAAACTGTTGCCTATGTGCACTTTATCAACCACTAACACACTAGTAAAGACACATTCTAAAATACCAAACAATGCATTTTCAAGTGTTTTAAATCTATTCATAAAACATTCCTGGTTTAAGACTAAAAATAATGAAAGAAATACAACTAAGTAAAGTTCATAAATCTTCTGTTTTTTGTTTTTTTGGTATTTTTTCGGAGACAAGTTCTGACTCTGTCACCCAGGCTGCAGTTCAGTGGCCCAATCTGGGCTCACTGCAACCTCTGCCTCCCAGGCTCAAACCATCCTCTCATCTCAATCTTGCAAGCAGCTGGGCTGACAGGCACACACCACCACGCCCAGTTAATTTTTGTATTTTTTTTGTAGAAACAGGGTTTCACCATGTTGCCCAAGCTGGCCTCAAACTCATGAGCTCAAACAATCCACCTTCCTTGGCCTCTCAAAGCGCTGGGATTACAGGCATGAGCCACCATGCCCAGCCCATAATTCTTCTTGATACAAGAAGTTTATCAAAATATCACTATTATAATAAACTTGCACTTTATAAATAAATTGGTAATATTCCTTTTTTATATTTGGATTCTTATTCAGGTCGAATTTATTTGTAACCTGCTGCTTGTTCTAGGGAGTGAAGAGTCGGGGGAGATGGCTACCTGTAATATTGTACGGTACATCTGACAAACAAAAGCATGCTCCAAAAGCAGGACAGATTACTGTTACAATTAGTCACACTAGAATAGTTTCTTTCTCTGTGATTATGTAAATTTGGGAGAAAATAGATCTCTTAGTAAGCTACAAAGAGCAGTTTTAAGGTAGATTTTTTTTTTCTCACATGGAGTCCACTGTATATCATAAAATTAGGGCAAATATTTGTTACATAAATCTACGTAGGTATATCAATCAACTATAAAATTTTACTGGAATGTCATAACTGTCAATAAAATTAGAATCTGGATTCCATTTTCTCAAGAAGTGGAATAACAAAATGTACCAATTAATCCAGTTATTTTTATAGCATGCTACATTCTATATATCTTTCCTAAACAGAATCTTAAAAACCCAAACACATGTTCTCACTCATAGGTGGGAATTGAACAATGAGAACACATGGACACAGGAAGGGGAACATTGCACACTGGGGACTGTTGTGGGGTGGGGGGAGGGAGAGGGATAGCATTAGGAGCTATACCTAATGCTAAATGACGAGTTAATGGGTGCAGCACACCAACATGGCACATGTATACATATGTAACAAACCTGCACGTTGTGCACATGTACCCTAAAACTTAAAGTGTAATAATAATAAAATTAAAAATAAAACAAAATAAATAAAAAAACCCAAAATTATATATAACGTATAGCAGGCCAAAATGAGAGAATTCTCAAACTGCTTCACTGTGTTTCCCTCTGAATTGAATCACCCCCATTCAAACATTTTTTTCTTGATCTGAGTAAAGACGACTTCAGTGCAAACATATCAGGTCCAGACCAAATCTCCACAGCAGGTGATTCTTCTTGGTCAGAAGTGTATTGCTTCATGACTCAGGGAATTCCAAAAATTATTGATCTTTGTTTCCTGAGTTTATGACCTCCATGAATAAGACATAGCTTCCATCATACGTCCAAAAATGGAAGGTTAATTCTGTTCCTGAAACCTTGTGTTCCATGTCTTCACCAAAGGACAAGAGCCATATTGACTTTCACATACCAACCTTTGGCACTAACTCTAAACTAACTTTGTTATACACTTTAAGGCATTTCAGTTTAACTCTGTATAATCAAAATTGTTCTGAAAGCTCATTTACTTTACAGCAAAGAGATTAGAGAGTATGTTTATTTTTTGGATAATGAAATTTGTTGGACAAGTAAAGATTTTGACTAGATATCATCCTGAGGTCTGATATAGGAGAATGTCAATCTGCAAGTTGGTCTGAGGTGGGAAGGGAGGACTACCTTGTGAGTCTCTGCTTATGTTACCATCTTATTCAGCTCATAAGCTTCCGTGCTGAGAAAGAAATGTTTAAATTGTCTTTAATGTTACACTGGGGACTCAAGGGGGAAAGCCTATGAACTAACATGCATGAAGCAAAACAAACGTTTCATGGGGAGAAAGGATTTTATTTCGGGGTATTTTCGTTTTAAAGTTGAACTCTTCAATTTTTACTTTCAAATTATTACATATTTTACTTAAAGTTAATAAAGGCCAGAGAACACAGATGAATGAGAATCTACTTTTAAATCATATGCAACTTTATTTTAGGAGTATATCTAGCTTTTTCTAGGAAATAAAGCTATTCTTATTCAGTTTTGCTTACAAAAAAAAACCATGTAATAATATCTTAGACATTTAAAAAATTGTTGTAGTCATTGTTTCCCTTTTGCATTTTCTAAGCATTGATTTTTCCAGTAGAGCTCAAATTGAAGTGGGTGTACTCGTATGACAGGAAATTCCCATAATATCCCAGTGTGTTGTCAATTGTGTTACCATTAGTCCAATAATAAATACTGGTTTGCTAAATATTACATCACGGGCAGTAAGAAAAGTATAATATATTGATTTTGCATTATTAACTCTCAAAACTACTGTTCAATTATTTCTTAATTTTGTAACAGTATATTTTATTGAATTGAATCAAAATTAGGGCTGTTTTCTACTTAAAGAAAGAAGGATGTATGCATGTGTGCATGTGTGTGTCTATGTTGCTTATTTCAGGGTAAAATTCATAGCCAAGCTGGTGGAGCTATTTGATATAATGAGGGAGGATATTCTTTTCATCATCTATACTGTTGACCAACAAACGTGGATTAGAAAGAGAAATAAATGTCTGTTAGTATGTGTGTATGTGTGCGTGTGTGCTTATGTGAACTATAAAAGATTCTTGTGCTCTTAATTCTTTAACTTAAAACATTCAGAATCATCTCAAAATTATTTTATGCTCTCAGAAAAAAATCAGAGAAAAAGCAAGTATTCATATGTAAATATAGAATGGAGTTTTAAATAGATCTTGAGACACACTGTGATTTTATTCTCCATCCTAATGAACATGTGGCCTTTTGGTGTAATTCTGTATCTTCACCATTTTCTTTGAATGTTCTCAAGTAGGTTTCATATTTCCTTTGTAGAACTGTCCATAAAAACACAAATGAAAGGACAAAAATCAGACATAATAAAGATTGGAGACTTGAAAGTCAAAGAAGTAACCAAAGCCTCACATCTAGTTTACAACAATTTCTGGGCTTGAAAAAAAGGTCTTTGGGCCTAACTCACGGAGTTAACACCATTGAACTGGTAGAAGCTGTATTTCTCTTCTCTGCATAGCTAGTTTTTGAAGAACTTCATATTTTCAACAAATTTTTCCTACTTTTAGTAGTGGAGCTGATCAGAAGAAGGTGCAAAATGGAAGAGGGGACTGTGGAACATGATCACCACTGAGGTGGGGCATGCAGAAGTTATGTAGGTGGGCCTTCCTTCCAACAACAGGCTGATTGGTGCTGCTGTTGCTTATAAGGTGGGTGAAGATCAGAAGCCACCCAAAGACAAGCAAGTCTACAGGTCTGGATTCAACCAGTTAGAGCTGTACAAAGATGGAGGCAGGTAGGTAGGCAAAAGTCAGTTGAGGAGCTGCCTACTGAAACAAGTAGACCAGTAAGAAGGATCTGGAGTAGGATACTAACACATACATGGTCAGGTTGTGTGGTCAGAAAATTAGTGTCTATGCTCAAGGAAGCCGAAAAGTTTTGGTGAAGCCACAGTCATGCTTTTCTATGAAATAATAAAAATTTAATAGTGTTTTTGAGAAAACAGTAATGGTAACAAAATTTACTAATAGTGAGAGGTATGGTATATTGGAAGAAGATCCCTAATTCTTCTATACTCTGAATATCTATATCTTTTACAACGTAAGACCTAGAGTCTATTTGCCATTCTCCTATGTTTTGGCTGGCCTTGTAACTTGTTCTGGTCAATAAAATGCAGCATAAGTGACAGTGTGCTAGTTCCAAGTCTAGGCCCCAAAAACCTTAGCTTGCCTCTCTTCATTCTCGTGAAACTCTGACCAGTCACCATGAGAACAAGCCCAGGCTATCCTGCAGGATGATGAGAAAACACAGAACCAAGGTGAGCAGCTCCAGCTGAGGCCATTCTAGACCTGTAGTCCCCAGCTGACCTGGAAGCTGACTGCAAACACAAGCTCAGCTGAGCCCAGTCCATATTAATGACCAGCAGGATTATGTGCTAAAAAATAAAAGAAATGGTTGTTTTAAGCTGCGAAGTTGTGTGATTTTTTTAACATGGCAAAAGCTAACTGATGCAGAAATAATTGGTTCCTAGAATTGAGGTGCTGCCATAACAAAAATCTAAAATAAGTGCCATTGGCAGTAAGCACTGAGCAGAGGATGGAAAAATGGCAAACAAACTCTTAGCAAATGCGGAGAAAAAAAAATCAAATTGTTATTGGAGGTTAGGAAAAAAAATGGTGATCTGTATTTTTGAGAATAAAATAATTGTCAAAAGTGTTGCCTATAGAAACTTGAAAGATGGCCAGTGTATATAATGAACTTTTGATTTTGGCTAAAGAGACCTCCACAGAATGTTGAAATGTCAGATGGTTGGTCCTAGCTACATATAGGTACAAGAAGAAAGAAATGGTCTAAATAAAGACATGGCCAGCTTGCAAGGAGAATTTTGAGGGAACACAGAGGGGACAGAATTTTCTGGGTGGGAAAATATAATTGTTTCGTATCTTCTGTCTTTCCATCCAGTAAAAATTCTCAAAGTAAAATGAGGCATCAAAAAGAAAAAAAATCAATTCAAGTGCGTAGCTCTGTAATCCTTTGTTAAGAAATCTGAAAGAATTTATATGTTGTCTAGTTCTCTCTCAAACTAAAAAATACAGCTCCTCAGCTTCGTAAGAGTATGGTCTCACAGAAGCCCAATCCCAGAGTAAATAAGTCTATACAGAAAGGCATGTCTTGAAAACAATCAGGTATGGCTTTCTAACAAATGATGTGCACATAAATTAAACTCATAGTAAGTCCACCATGATTTGGAAGAAACTGAATTTATAAAAATGCCATCAACCTGAATTTTGAAAGAATGATTTTACTTAAATTGCACAAAGGTCTCTGTGGCTCCAACTTTCTATGATCCAGAAGTCGACTGAGAACGTTTTTCAAAAGGCTAAGGAAGGAAATTAAAAAGAGAGAATGTTCTAGAGAGCAGAGTCAAGATCCAATAAACATGAAGAAGAAAGAACTGGGAAACCACCCCCAAAAAGCATAACCTTGCCTTAACGAATAGTTACTACTCCCAGGTAGGAGAGCCTAACAATATTTTTCTACATATATTTTAAATTTCCGACAGATCAGTAACTGCTATGTACCTCCCATTTTTTTTCTTTCAGAATGGCAGTATTTATCAGTTACCCTATCCCTGTGTTAATATTGTAGGTTGGATGTTTATGGGACATATATTTTTTTTAAATTTCATGACTCTCTGAATCAAAAAAATTTACATTTGATAGGCTTCCTCTCAACTTTAACTGGATAACTGAATTCTAGAATTCAAGCCTGATGTCATAGTTCCATGAGAATTTTATGAGAAGGAAAAGGATGTTGTACATGGGCAGAAAGGTGAAAATTGTGGCCAGAGGCAGATTGTGGTAAATTACAAAATTGGCTCATAATCCTTTATTCCTTCTTGCCTCCATGCTCTTTGCAATGTGACTTTGCCACTTTTCTCATTAAGAGATGGATTCTGTTCTCCATTGCCTTCTGTCTGGACTGGTCTTGTAACTTGTTCTGGTTAATACAGAGGTAAATGTGATGACACATCAGAAGCCCAGGCCTCAAGCAAGCTTTCCCACTTGTTCTCTTGGAACCCTTCCCAGCTATCAGGTAAATAAGCCCAGGCTATTGTGCTGGATGATGAGAGGTCACTGGAACACTGATGAGCCATAACAGCTGAGGCCATTCTAGAATAGGCAGCTTTAGCCAACCAGGCAGCTGACTGCAGATACAGGCCTGCATCCAGATGAGTCCAGAAAAGCAACCTAGGTGAGTCCAGCTCTCATTGCTGGCCCATAAAATCATAAACAAAATAAACAATTGTTATTTTAAGCCACTTGGTTTTGAGATAGTTTGAGATAAAATGAAGCTAACTTTGGGCATGTTTCTTAGCTTTTCTCACCTTCTTTTGTTCACACACACACACACACACACAGACAAATCATATGAAAGAGTTTCTACCTGTTATGTTCTTAGGATAATAGTGAGTACATAGTAGATACTCTATAAATATCAGCTGTTATTATCCTCATTAGTGCTTCTGAGGAGGAAGCTCTGAGACATATTCAATATAATTACGTTATCATTAATTGTATACCTATTATCTGGACTCCGTGCTAGCTAGGCACTTCATATATAACACCTGTAATCATCACAACAAAATTCTGAATAATTGTTTTATTTCCTTTTTACAGATGAGGAAACCAAGTAATGAAAATGTTGAGTAACTGCATCTATGTATATAAACAAGTAGCCAAACCAGGGTTTGAAAAACCTCCTAAATTTTTCCATTGCACTATGTCCTCGGAGGTACAGAAAATAATGTTATCAATTCTTCACTTACCTATAGAATTATTATCCATCCATTCCTTTGCCATGGCCTTACGTGGTTGGTGACATGTACTTCTCTGTCCCTAGACTTTGGCATTGGCAATATGACTAGCTTTAGCCAATGGGATATTAACAGGTGTGACATGAGTAGAGGCTTGAAATACGGTTAAGCATTTATGCTTGTCATCTTGTGCTTCTATTAAAGCCATGAGAAAAACAAACCCCAGGTAGCTGCTACCCCTCCAGTTGGGAACTCTAAATGAGACAAATGGAACAGAGCTGCTTCTCACAGATGCAAAATAATTATAGCCACTTCACAGGTGCCAGGGTGAGACAGAAATGCTTAGTATCGTTTGCCACAGAGATATTTGTGGCTGTGTGTTACATAGCAATATCTGACTGATTCAGCTCTTTAGAGCCTTCAAATGTTGAATAATATAGCAATAGCAAAACATTTCATAGAATAAAACATGCTATAATCTGGTGGAGGTAGACAGGAGATAAGTGAATTTCAACCAGAAGAGGGAAAGATAGCTCTTTCATATGTGGGATAAAAATGTGGCCTCAAATTGGAGTTATTCTGCTTGGGAAATTTATGGAAAGAGATCTTCTATAAAGATTACATCTCCTAAATTTGAATGATAAAATATGCTTGTGCAGGGACAGGTTGACTCAGCAGGTCTGAGGAGTGTAAACCTTGCCCATTCCAAAGAAAGGATGGGACCCTGAATGGCTCCTAGGAGCCTCTAAGCCTTTAGAATATGGTACCTCATAAGAGTGTCTTTGTTTACCTGGAGCCTTGGGCCATGTGAGGCAGTTTATGCTAACAATGTAAGTTATGGTTGGGGCCTTGGGCCACATGATATCAGTTTGACCTCTGGAGAGGCTGAAGGCTGAGAAACTAAGGTCAGCCTCATGTGCATGCATGCCATGCCTATTTGACCAACCTCCAATAAAATCCTGGACACCAAGTCTCAGATGAGCTTACCTTGTTGACAACACCCCATTTGTGTTGTTACAGATTGTTGCTGGAAGAATTAGGTGATGTCTGTGGGACTCTACTAGGAGAGGACAACTATTAATAGAAGCTTGAACTTAGCCTTTCCTGGGTTCTGCTCTATCAGCCTTTCACCTTTGCTGATTTTAGTCTGTGCTCTTTCACTATAATCAGCCATAACCATTAGTAAAACAGATTTTCTGAGTTCTTTGAGTTCTAGCAAATCATTGAACCAGAGGGTTAACTTAGGGATCCCTTTCAACAAGGGTATTGGCCTCACACATTCTTGAAACTCAGTAATAATTCTGCTGTGCAGAAGCTTTTTAGTTTAATTAAGTCCCATCTATCTTTGTTTTTGTTGCATTTGCTTTTAGTTTCCTGGTCATGAAGTCTTTGCTTAAGCCAATGTCTAGAAGGGTTTTTTCAATGTTATCTTCTAGAATTTTTATGGTTTCAGGTCTGAGATTTAAGTCTTGGATCCATCTTGAGTGGATTTTTATATAGGTAAGAGATGATAATCCAGGTTCATTCTTTTACATGTGGCTTGCCAATTATTCCAGCACCGTTTATTGAATAGGGTGTCCTTTCCCAACTTTTTTGTTTGCTTTGTTGAAGATCAGTTGAATGTAAGTATTTGGCTTTATTTCTGGGTTCTCTATTCTGTTCCATTGGTCTATATGCCTATTTTTATACCAGTCCCACGCTGCTGTGGTGACTATGGCTTTACAGTATAGTTTGAAGTCAGGTAACAGAATGCTTCCAGATTTATTCTTTTTGCTTAGTCTTGCTTTGGGTATGCAGGCTCTTTTTTGGTTCCACATGAATTTTAGGATTTTTTCTAGTTCTGTGAAGAATGACAGTGGTATTTTGATGGGAATTGCAGCAAGTGTATTATTGTCTAGATATGGTTACTGTATCCCTGGTGAAGTGGTAATCAGCATCCTAGGGAACCCCTAGGTTCCTAAGGATCTAAAACAGTCTTGGTAGTCAGGTATTGCTTTTCTCAGATAATATAATATTTTAAAATATTGATTCTGAGGAAAGTATACTTCTGGATTAGATCAAGACTATCATGGGGTTGGACGGGCTTCTGGCATTTCCAACATCTGATTCTCCAAGTGACTGCTGCAGACTCTGAGCAATCTGAACTGAGTGAAGCTATTGCTTTATTCTCTAAAATAAGAGCAGTATTTGAATAGCATTTGGATTGTAAAGACTTTATCATTCACTGTTTTGATCAATTCATTATTGATAGCTAGGATAATTCAATGAAGACAAAACTGAGTCACAGAGTCCATATATGTCTTGGAAGGAGAATGGGGCAGATAACTTTTCTTTTTGGAAAAAAAATCTAAAGTCTCTGGATCAAAAGCTGCCTCAAATTAGGGCTCACAAGTTGGAAATGAAAGATTTTGGGCTCAAAATTGTCTATTTTTCTGGAAGGTAGAAGAGTGAAGAGCAAGGTTCTCAAATTTCTGATGGCATAAATGATTTCTAACATATAATTGTACACATAGAAAAACTATCAAAATAACTGAAAAGAGTACTGTGACAGAAGCCACATATGGTCCGTAAAGCCTAAAAATTTACTCTCTGGTCCTTTTACCAAAGAACTTATCGTAACAAGTAAGAACACTGCTTATCTTTGCCAAAGGTGGCCTATGTAATGACTACAATTTAGCATGTGGGAGTTTCTAGGGCTATAATGTTCTCCTTCTTAATGTGAGAGCTACTTACATTAGTATTCCCAGCAGAAAAAATATGCATCCAAATGTATGCCTATGATGTGTGCTTTGTATACATGCATTTCATTTCAACACAAAATTTATATTTATGTATGTATGCAAATGTGTGTGTATTGTGTATATGTATTAACCACTTGCACCACTACTTTATTCTTTTTTTTTTTTTTGAGACAGAGTCTCACTCTGTCGCCAGGCTGGAGTGCAGTGGCACAATTTTGGCTCACTGCAACCCGTCTCCCAGGTTCAAGCAATTCTACGGCCTCAGCCTCCTAAGAAGCTGGGACTACAGGCGTATGCCCACCACATCCAGCTAATTTTTGTATTTCTAGCAGAGACAGGGTTTCACCATGTTGGCCAGGATGGTCTCAATCTCTTGACCTCATGATCCGTCTGCCTTGGCCTCCCAAAGTGCTGGGAATGCAAGTGTGAGCCACCGCACCTGGCCCACCACTACTTTATTCTAAGCCACATGTATCTTTCACTGGAATTATTACAATGGCTTTCTGCAGATTCTTGCCTTCTTAGAGTTGATTCTCCATACAGCAGTCAGATACTTAATAAATCTGGTCAAAAGCCTCATGGGGCTTCTCAGCTCTTTCCAGGTAAATTCTAATGAGCTTGCTATGACCCACAAGACTCTATATGACCTAGCTCCCCTCTCTTCCTCTGACCTCTTCTGTTATACTTCCTCTGGCTCATTTTAACGCAGCTTCAAGGTCCTCCTTATTTATCCTAAGCACCAGGCAGAGTGTGCTTATGTATCAAGGTCTTTATACCTACCACTCTTTCTACCTGGTAGTACTCTTCCCCTAGACATTTTCATGGCTCATCCCCCACAGTTTATTTTGTTCTCTATTCAAATGGCACTGTATCAGAGAATAAACTGGGAGACTGTTAGTCCCCTGCACAATTCTATTTCCCTTTATCCTGCTTAATTTGTATTAATAGAACTTATTTCTGCCAGGCATAACGCATATATTATATTTGCAATTACCATCTGTCCTGTCCATTAGAATGAAAGCTGCATGATATTCATGACTTTATCAATTTTGTTCATGACTCACCTCAATACCTTCAATAGTACTTAAGACATATTTATTAAATAAATAATAAAATATTCACTTAATAAAGTATGAATTTGGATGTGGTCATTGAGTGAGAATCCCTATAGGCAATAAGTCTGAAGGCCGTATTTATTATTTTTTAAACTAGTCAGATATCCTGCCTTTCTGTGGGACATGGGTCCTTCCTACAGAGGTATGTGGTTTCTAGAGACCAGAAACCCTAATTCAAACATTGCCTCTGCCAATTCTTAGCTGTGTGGATCATGTTAAGTTTCAGTTTCCTAGACTATAAATTGGAGATAAACATAGCAGTTATTTTATGATATGGTTGGAAGAATCATATGGCAAATCCATATAAATCACTTAGTACAGATTTGGCATGTAAGTACTCAATATGTATTAACTGTTTTATTATTACCATTATTAGGATTCTAGTACCCACAGGTATTTGTGAATTCCTATACTCACAGCATCTGGGAGGGACAGTGGAAGTTCTTTATACTCAGAGCTGGATAACTGGAATATGTATTGACTGATAAATATATTTCAGATGAAAGAAAATGAGGCAGAAAATACTGGTTTACACATTTGTATTTCAGGTTAAGCTAAACTGAGGTCAATTCTGAATAAGAGGTGGGATAGAAGAGAAATGAAGGAAAATAATTAGCAGAGATCTAAGGATATTTGGGGAGAGAAATGAAATACAACATAAGTAGGTTGGCCAGGAAAAACAAACTTCAGCTAACAAAAGCAAGAAGACATTAATAGCAGCAGCATCAGAAAGTTGTCACCAACTAACCAGCAAGACCAGATTGGAGTGAAAGAAAGTAAAAAGAGAAGAGGGCTTTTCATGCTTGTGACCAAATTTTCTAGGTAGTAGATTCTATTATAATCTTAGTGCAAACCATTCTTCATGAAAATTTATTGACAACTTGCTGTGCAGAAATTGGGTTGAATAAAAATTCCATATGGATATGCATATAACATATGTAGAATTCATAAATTAGCAATTTAACTTAATTGTTTTAGGGTGGTACAAAATTAATACATCAATGAACACATTTTCTAAAATAATATATTTGTCTAAACATTTCAAAACTTCTGTCTTTCTGAAACTTGTTAACATTTCAGGATAAAATTAGTGTTGGAGAAAATTAAAGGGAAGAAAATCTTATTTTCCATAAACCCAGGAAGAAAAATAATGATAATAAAAGTTAAAACGTGAATTCAGTGTATGAGGTGCCTAATAAAGCTTACTTTAAGAAATTCTGAGACAAGTTTACGATTTTTGCTTCCATATAATATATTCCACTTACATAGTAAAAAAACCTCTTTAAATTAAAAATTTCTGTATAAAGAGATATTATTTCAGCATCATAAGTGCTGAATTTCCCAATTGTCATTCACTTATTGAATAATTTTCAAAAAAAAGGGCCAATTACCTAATACGGAACTTGCTTTCTTCTCAAAGTAATTTTCCATCTTATTAGTTTTATATCACAACTGATGCAGAACATGCTTCAAACACTATATATCATTTCCCAGTGTAGTTTATAAAAATGCAAACTAATAGAGAGTCTTCAAATCTTGATTAATTTATAACTTATTTGAAAAATTGGAATGTATTTTCCAGTTAAACTACAGACTATGTTCTACACAAACTCCTTGCAAATCTGGGTTGATTTGACAAAAAAGAAAAAAAAAAAAAGACAAAAACCATTGCAATGCTCTCTTCTGAAATAAAATGTGCATCTGAAGCTTGTGAATGCATCCATAAAAATTTAAGGATCTGTCCAACAGAACATCAAGTACACAAACTATTGCTTCAGTTTTCAAACTCAGTTAGTGACTAACAGTTAATCACTAACATGTAGCACATGTGACCCTGCGTAAGCCATAGTCTGATCTCTCCCGTGTTTTTTTATATTCTGAACATGAAGCAAATTTGACATTTATTCCATAACTCACTATTGAGAGTATAACACTCTTCATGTCTGCCTTTCTCATATGCACACACACACTCACATCCACACACAGGTATACATATACTTAGCTAATTTTATTAAGGAATATCTCTGGGAAAAGATCCATTTTATACAGAGCTAAAGATCAAAAACCACTCTGTCAGTTGCAAAAAAGCTTAGCAGCTTTCAGTTTATCTAGATTCATCACCACTGCTTTCCATCAGAAAACCCTTTGCCCAGATAAACATTTTCAAAATACAAACAGCAGATTCATCACACAAAACATTATTCATCTCAAAGTACATCTGAAAGAAAATCTCCAGCACAGTCGAGGCTTGTGACTCTGGAATAACTGGACAACTGACGGTCAGGGTTAGTGAGCAAAAAGTTTTACGTTCCTGCGTTTTTATCTGAAGTTCTCATATCTATCACACTAATACATTGTAAAGAAAACCAGAAAAATGTGCCACATGAGTTTGCCTTGATGTTTTCAAATGCTACAAAAGAATATTTTAATAAAGAGTTGAACACTGATCCATTTTTGTGAATTTGTACATTCTCTACTAGAGCTAAATCTAGCATTAATTCACTGGATCTGTTTTTTATGAAGGTTAAAAACTTATTTCAACTGTATAAAATACGTTATTTACTGAGACCCTCAAGGCGCATTTCCCTTTATGGGGCATTATGGGGCTTATATGGCATTATTTAAACACCAACATTAGTTTTCTAATTGCTTTCTTATTTGGCCTTATTTATACATACAAGACAAAAGAAAATTTATATATTAGCCTATCTGAATTAGATCAGGCTACAGGAAAATTCAAGAGGCATTAATCAGTTGCCAACAACTAACAGAGATGATATTAGGCCGGTTTATATTTTATCCATTGTCATTAAAATTTAGATATTACTCTAGTTCCTAACACAGCCCTATTCCAACTCTTAGGCAAATGAGTTTCATTACACTTGACTTAACAGAGAAAGAGTGTGGTCATTTGTTTTGTTATTGTTGTAGGTGAATCTGACATGATATCTGAAAAGATTTAGCCAGTTATGAAGATGATCAAAAATCTCAGATGAAAATGTCATGCCTTATCTACAGTAGTCATCACATACTCTTACATACTTACTGGGGAGCAGGGAATATTCTGTTTACCCCAGCTGGGGTTTAATGTATGGAAAGAGAACTTCATCTCTACTGCCGATCACTAACCAATCAGGTGTTCTCATGTATTCCACCCCATTAGTGAATGTATTATGGCCTGTTCTAGAACAGTAGGAACACCTATGAGCAAAAATGGTGTGCCTTCACACTGACCTTTACTTTCTACCTGATCAGTTGCAGTTTTATCATGTCAAATTCAAAACCAATAGTCATTCTTGTCATCAATCTTTAACAAGTTATGTGTTTCATGAATCATTAATTGAATCTAGAGAATTTTACCTTATAAAAAGTGTCACAGAGGAGAACCTCACATACCGGGGCCTGTCGGGGGTTGGGGGGCTGGGGGAGGGATAGCATTAGGAGAAATACCTAATGTAGATGATGGGTTGATGGGTGCAGCAAACCATCATGGCACACGTATACCTGTGTTACAAACCTGCACGTTCTGCTCATTTACCCCAGAACTTAAAGTATAATAAAAAAGAAGTTTTTCAAAAAAGTGCACAGATTGCTCAGAAACCCAAATCTTCACTCTGAATTTGAAGATATATGGGCACCATGTTAGACATGGTCCATCAAGAAAAGAAATGCCTAAGTTTGAGGAAGCGAGTCCAGATTCTAAGATATAACCACAACTGGGAAAGAGGGGGGAAAAATGAAAGATTTTGCTAATTCTTAATAACCCTGAGGTTATTGATTAGATCATTTTCTCTTTATAGTCAAAATTCTAAACCAAATTCATGTCTAGCATTTGATGAGCTCCCTTTCTTCTCTGTAGGTGTAGTCTATTTGTGCAAAAACTATAGCTGATGCTCTATCTCCCTGGGAAGTCTTCACTCTAATCTGGCTAAAATTTAAATGAGGAAAGATAACAAGATTGCTGAAGACTAACATTATTATTCTCAATTTATTTCCTTTCTGCAGACACTACTGGCAAAGACATTGAAAAGAATCACACTGCTAAACCAGTAGCAGCTTTTATCTTCTTCTCAGATTGTATACATGCAGGATAAAAGTGTTTCTAACACATAGACTTCTATATTCCAGCATAAAGATGTATTAGGCGCATTTATACTTTTACATCGAAGCCTGTTTCAACATGAACGGAGCCCAGGCAAGTGTCCTTGTCATCAATCGAGAGTGAAAGTTAGCTATACTTAAAAAAAAAATAGGTTTTAAAAAATATCAAAATAATTAGAAAAGAGTTTCAACTAATAACATACTTACTATTTGTATTCCATTTTGACAGTACCATGTTAGATCAATGACTTCATTTATCACAATATATTCCATGTTACAGTTACCTCTCAGGAAAATGACATTGATAGAGTCAACTTTCTTGAGAATTAAGCTTCTGTAACTTTTATTTAAAGGTGTCTCAAGCTTGTGCTTCTTAGTATTTTATGATATGTCTTTAGTTTTTGTAATTTCACTTTGTCAAAACATTACATTTGTCATTATTCATACTGAAAGACAAGGTATTTTGAAGATAAAAATCTACCAAGGATCATCTACCATTTGCTTTTGATATAAAAGATTTATAAGACCATTTAGACCACAAAAACAAACCTTCCTAAGGACATATCTATACATCAACAAATATTAAAAATTACATTTCTAGGAAATTAAAAACAATTTAGAAAGGTGCTTAGTTGAACAGAAATTAGCTACAACCAAAATAATGATTAATATTATAACCATAATCATAGAAAATAACAGTTGATTGCCACTTTCAAGAATAAAAGCAAATTCTGTGAATACAGAACTAAAATACTAAAAATAAACAAACAAGCTTGGGAGAGATTAGTCATGCAAAATCCAACCCTAGATATTTGATGGCAATTATCTTAATTTTTTACCTTATAATTGAGATGGTATTTCACTGGCAAAGCTTAAACCAAGTAATATTCACAAAAATGGAAGAAATTCATAATTAAAGAAAGTCATTAAGCAAAACAGAAAAAATATTTCAGTATCAAATTTTAAAGTTAATATTTTTTTTAAATGATGGATAAAGACAAAGCAAATTGATGGTATGAATTAACTAATAGTAATGAACATTCTTCTCTTAAATCTCCATCAGATACATTCTTATTTTGAAGAAATACCAAGGCAATTTAAGATAGGGGTATTATCAAATATTCCATATGTGATTTTCAGGAAGCAAAGCTATTCATTGCAGTACACTATGTCAATATTCTAACCATCAGAGAAGATATAAAATTTATAAAAGTCTTCTGTAGCACCCAAATCACAACAAATGGAATTGCTAAACATATCAGGTTTACAACATGTCATAACCTCAGTGTTCATTCCTGCTTTCTCTCTTGGCATAGGAAGCTAGCTGGCTCATAACCCATGCTTTTCACAACCACAGGTTCTTTATCCCTATATAACCAAATCCTCAAGAGAACAGCAGACAGAGGGAGAAGACAATTTATTTAGAGAACTATTATGTGAGGAAGAAAACAAGCTGCCATTTCCAATTTGAAACATAATTAGGAAGACAATAGCCTCCTGACTGATGCTCTTTGTTCCCTTTAGATATTTATGTAGGCCAGTAATTGGAGTGTATTTCCCTGTTCAATTTCACATTGTCTATAAAAGGGTTTCTCATGATCGATGACTTTCTAGTTAAATTCAGAAGAAAACATCTTGCAGCTACTGCCCTATTGCCATGGCCACACATCACTGCCTTCTAGACATGGTCAGTTGCTGAAACTTATTTTCAATTCTGCCAAACAGTTGAGTTAATAGGATTTTAAGAAGGAAAAAGTTGTTCCATGGGACTTGGGTGATTGAAGGCTTTCTATCCATTATTGAAAAACACTGGGAAAGTTAACCACCCTTTTTTGCTGAAAAATTAACATATATACTTGATGTAAATAAATGTCTATAGACATATTAAAGCATTCAGTCAATAACAACATCAAATGAAAGTTAGGATTGAGGCCCATTACATTTCCGAAAAGATGCTTTTAGGAGTGGAGGGAGACAGCTTCCTCCTTTCCTTTTATAAGCAGAGAAAAGTCATTTTTTTTCTCATTTATTGCATATGCACTTTCTGGCTACTCAGGTGGGAAAAAAATCCCATTGATTCTCATTACATTGCCCTGAGGACAAGCAGTGGGGCAAGGAGGCTTATACACTTGTTATTTACTATTAAGTAATTACTAAGCCATCCATCTCTGATCCCAAACACCCCATATGCATATTCGGAATAAAATTAACAAAGATGAATATTAAAAATCCAACATATTTATTGAGCAACTACTGTGTCTGACATATTGATTAACTTCACAACAAACTTATAGTCATTATATCCCCACCCTTCATAAGCTGAAATTAGAATTCAAAACTTAAATAACACCATATTAAAAACTCAGACTGACCCTTTCATTTGTCTCCTTTTTTATTTTGCTATGATATACTTCTCCCAGGGAAGTTGGTGACTTAATCCTCGTTATACCCTGATTTTGGACAAATTTTACAAGAAGAATAGGACTTCTACTTCTCTATGTCTACATGCACCTGGAACAGTGCTAGGTCTATGCTTACAAATTGATTGGTTCAGGTCACCGCCATGAGCCTCAGGACAGAAAATTGCCGGTAAGCAGTACTTCCAAATACTTTATAGGTAGATCAGGATCATGGTGATTTTTAACCCTTCATGACCCATAATCTGGACTGTGATAGAACCTTATGAAAAATAGCTATGCTATCTAATAAAACCTTGATACAATCAGAAATATATTAAACCAATTCTATATCCTTCTCTTTTCTAAGCTGCATTAAATGTCAAGATCATTTTCTAACTTTTACTCTTCAAATATTTAAAAGCTTTGGACTTTAAACTTGGTAAATATATCTATTTTCATAGTTAATATTGACTATATTATTCAGAATGGGATATATTAAGCTGCAATCATAAGCAACACCCAAATCTCAGTTGCCTAATATAGTAAAATATGTTTTTCTTTCTGTACATTGTATGCTTATCAGAGCCTAAGTCAGGCTCTGTTACTCATCATCCCCATTCTAAAACCCAGGTTCATAGAGCAGCTTGAATGTATAGCATTGCCAGAATCCATGGGACAGAAAGAGAAAGAATGGCAAATCTTGCACTGGTTTTTGGAGCTCACAGGCAGATATGGCACACATCATCTCCACTCACATTCCGTTGTTTAAAACAAGTCACATGGCCACACCTACTTATAAGCATGGAAGGAATGCAATCCCACCATTTGTTCAAGTGGACCAGAAATATTTGATAACAAACTCTAATGACAAAATACCTGGTTTTTGGCTACCAAATATTGGGTTTACTCTTCTTAATGCAGGCAAATACACTCATCCTCCCCAAAGGAAACAACCTAAGTGGTCAAAGTTTCAAACTTAATGTCCAAGATCTCTACATGATGCCTGATGTTGCTTTATCAAGTCCAAATATAGCTCATTTTGATCACTGTGAAGTAAAAAGGCAAGTCTTCTACCTTATTTTCTATATTGTATTCATAACCTTAACCTTTTAATCTGGTCTTTATGTTACAGGATATGAGAGAGAGAGAGAGATTTGACTGGGCTAAGAAAGAAATGAACACGATTTAGAGATGGAAATGGTGACATATGGGCCTTTGAAGCCTCCCATGTTCCAGAGAAGGTGAGCATGGCTCTGGTCATATGAGGGATATGTGTATATATGTGTCATATTAAAATCTTGATTTGTTGGTGGTAGAAGTAGGCAGAAGTTTAAATGTGGATAAAAGAGTGTCAAGGGATGCTGAGATGAAATATGAGTGGACTGTGCTGGATTAACTGTCGTCAGGTTAACATCATTGCCACTCCCATTGGTGGTCTTCTCTGCATTGCGAAGAGAAGGCTAGAAGCACATTCCCCAGAATCCTTTTCCCTGTGTGGTTTCCTGTATAGTTAGTTCCATCACTGACAGTCACTTCTGTGAACTTCGGAAAGTAAAAGGGAATAAAATGACGATATTCACTGGAGGCAGATTCACCCAGACACATGAGTACATATCAGATGTGAAGTTTCAAGGAAGTTCAGGGTGAACTTCTGCAAAATATTTACTTAGGTGCTATAGGCAGCTTTAGCTGATACGGCTTCTTGGGAACCACTCATCTCAGTGCAGCTGGCTACATAGTCATTTGGAACTTCCTAGAAGCACTTGAGTTCTGTGGCAGCTCCCAAGCAAGCTCTTGAGATCTACCACTTCCATTCTGCAGGCTGAGAGTTAGTGACTGCTTCTCACCTTTCACTCCACTGGTTTCCCACAACTGTGAATGCCTCTCATTCCATGTATTACCATAGACATGTAGAGCAGCTTCTATTTTTTTTTAAACCAAGCACTGACTGAACCTTGAGTAAGAAGGAATATCACAAGGAAGTTACTCGACATTAACCACGATTACATTTTGTTGGTTTTCAAAAAAATAGATTTAAAAAATTTTATTTGACTATCTTTAAGAAGACTTACTAGTAAGATAATAATGAAAAGGCAAATATCTATTTCTGTTCCTACTGTTATTAAATTTTCAAAACGCAGTCATTAATACTATTGCATTGTAAGAAAAAAATAATTTAAACAAATCCTAAAAGTTTTCATTGACTTTTCAAGTAAAAGTATAAACTCACAAGAAAGAACTGTGTAATACAAATTTTGTACTGTTTTTAAGTCTAGTTCATTTGAAACTCTGCCAGAAATAATATATGCTTTGAAAAATAACTACTTGAATGTTAATATTTTTGATTTCAAATCAAAATAAATAAAATCTGCAAGAAATGACACAAAATTCTACTTATAAGCGTAAGGAATCATAGATGAGAGACATGAAGAGTTTCAAATTATCCAGTATTTTTTTTTTAATAAATGACACGTCTGAAAATATAACAAGTATCTCCCACCCCTAACAGACTATCACATCCCTATTTAGCTTCTTATTTGTCTCTGTCAGGCTGATCCATGGGTTTAGTCCCCAGGTCATCACAATGAGACTTGGCATTGATCACTGAAATTTATGATACTTTGAAAGATCGCACCTGATTAATGGCGCAGCCACAATTTATGTATTCTCCTAGCCACGTTCATTCACAGTCAGTGCTGGCAGGATGTTGAAATTGTGGGAGGAATTTTAAATAAATTGGAGACTGGCATGAATCCTGGGGTCTCTATCCCTTTATGATTAAAAAACCTCTTTATTTCTTCAGGTAGTACCAAAGGTTTTTTGAGGCACATTTTGCCCAAAAGATGGCTTCTTTGTGGCAGCATATTTGCTTACTCCTGTAGCCTCAAAGTTAACTTTAAAAATTTTAAAACGTTATTAAACTCCGAAAAATGTTAAAATCTTGGCACTGTTTCACAGGCTAAGTCTTATCCACCAATCCCATCCATTGTCTCTCCTTGTCCTCATTGGGCTCTCTCTAATTATACTAATAGATTGAAGATGCTGAGCCTCAGTTTCCTCATGTGCAACGCAGGAGTAATTACAGTGCATCTTTCGGAGAGTTACTGTGAGATTAAATGAGATAGTCATGTGAACTACTTGGCCCTGTGCCGGGGATCAAGTAGTTATCAAATGCTATGTATTAATTTCCTCAAATAGTATCCTATAATATAAGCAACAAATGAAGATTAAATAGAATAATTCAAGTACAGTAATCAAAGGTCATACAACTGTTTTCTAACTTTATCTCAATGCCAGATTTTTTTTTTAGGTTCTAACTTTAGAATCCATGTTATATTCATGGTTTTCTTACTGCATCAACAACTTTGGCATTAAGTGATACCATGCACAACTCTTCTAGGTGGTCTTTTTTTCCCTCCCAACCTAACTTCTGACTAAGCTTTGCTCGGTCTATAAACATAAGGAGAGCATCCATGGTGGTATGACCCTAGGCAAATGAATGCAAAAACAAAACATCTAATGGGAAACAAAGTAAAAATCAATTAAGTGAACATGAACAAAATTCTTGGAAACAATGTCCACATTCCTTGAGATTCCTTTTTATCAATATTGGTTCCCTCATTTACGTGTGTCTAGTTGGTTTCCCTCCCTTAAATCATCACTTCTCCCAGCAGTTGGTAGACCTCCCAGGTATCTCACATATGGGAAATTTGAGGTCTGTGCCCACCTGTCCTCTCTGCTCCATTCCACAAAATATGAGCTCACCCTCCACAGCTGTCAATAGCTTTTGAAGTTCTCTTCATGTATCCTGTCATGCTATTAAATCATTTTTTCCATGTAATTTTCCTTACATAAACTATATTGTTTGGCCTGTAAAACTGCCAAAACCTCAAAGGAATGTCTTTAACAAATTTTAATGATCCTTAATTTTATCACATAGACACTCCTCCACGTACTTCTAAGGTTTACCAACTTAAAAATTAAGGTGAGAATTTGCACCTGCTACTGTATCTCGCTTCCACCCTGGCATATTTACTTAAGGTATTCTTTTTTTCAAATCAGAGATTTGTATTTTCCACAAATAATTTGTGAACCTGTTATCTGACTTATTTTTGATGGTAGAAAATGAGTTACTGGACACTGCACATAAAACATCTTACAGTTAAAAGGGAAACAGGTGGTATTTAAGGTGGCATTTACATGGACAATATGGGCAATTAAAAGCAAAACATTTTTGATTCATGACTTATCTTAATCATCTTGGCAAAGGGCTAAAAAATGTAAACAACTGGAGATTTGACATGACCTAAGAGGTTTTCTAGACCAGAATGCTAGGGAATAGTTAATACCCCATAAACCTATGTAAAACTACTCTCCTTTTTCTAAAAAGTATGTGTGTGTTCTAATTAAATAGTATTTTTTAACTCATGTAAACAAAGAGGAAAGGTCACTTAAAAAATTTTGTTCTGCATTTTGTCAATGACTATAAATCCCATACCTAAAAATGGAGCCTGCCTAATTCAACATCATTTACTTCTCAAAAGCAGTCATCAAGGTGGGCAGGAGAAATATATAAATTTAAAGTCTGAACAGATTGGGGTTCTACTTCCATAGAATAAATGGTACTCTGCTTCAAATCTACAAGCCTCATTTTTCTCATCTTAAAAATGAAAATAAAGATTATTAACCAAATTAGGGTGCTTAGGAGAAAGGAAGCCCTGAGTAAATGCTCTTTTCTTTCTATCAGCCTTTTCTAGCTGATCTCCCACCATGACATCCTTCCCCCACAGCTGGTTTGTCTGTTATTCCACCCTCTGACTTCATCCTTCAGGTATTTCACTACTGTAATCCTCAAAACAGCCCTCTGAAGTTGTTTTTTTATCTTCATTTTCAAGGGGTTGGGGAATGGAGGTGTAAAGAGGTATATCAGTCAGGAAAACAAATACCACTCTAGGTATTTCAAACGGAGAGAATTTAAACTCAAGAAATGTCCACACAGGTAATGGAAAAGCAGAAATAGCTAAGGGGTATCTGAGGGAGCCCAAGTAATAGCAAAAGCAGAAAACTACCCGTAGCCTTCCTAGCCATGGAGGTGGCTAAACCCAAAGCCAGGGTCATCCTGTGGAGGTGACCTCAGGTATCCATTCAGGGAGAGCTGAGGCCACCAGAACATGTAGCCACTGCTGAAGCTGCTGCTGAAGTTGGAACAGGAGCAATTCAGTTACCCTCCCAGCAAGCAGAAGGCTCAGAATTGAAATCCACATACTTATTATAACTCTTTCCTTATGAAATGGATATTTTACATGTGAGAAGGCTTACAAATCATAAATCCCAATAGAAATTTAAAACCTTATAATACAGCATTAGGATATGAAGAACTTTGGAATCCCCTTCAAATAAGAGATCATGAAGAATTCTTGGCCCCAGAACTTGCTTGACAGTTTCCTTGAGTGATTTCATACATTCTAATGGCTTTGGGTCAAAAGCAGGGCTTCAATAAAGGTTTGTTGAATGAAAGGGCGTCCAGTTGGATTTTACCATAGTTTTAATTATGACATCTTTTGGCCCACTAGATTTGATCATGAACTTTCATTTCAAAACAAAAAATCAGAAGACTAGAAGAAACATAGCGTGGGATCACAGTTTAGATAGATCTTTTTTGCTTTTTCATCTTATTTCTATAGTTGAATTAAACTTTCGAAAAAAAAATACATAAAGCAGAGGTATTTGAAGCAATGAATAATAAGATTGGACTTCTGAAGTGTGGTTCACACCCACCTCATTTCCTAAGCCATAATCCTGGTATAATGTGTAAAGGGATTTGCAATGAAAGATAGTAAATCCAGTGTGTATCAATTATTCATACATTCCAATTGGCAGTGAACCCAGCAAATGTATTCAATGAGTGGTCTCTATTCCCACAAATTTAGAAAGTGCATAATGGATGGAAAAATAAAGAATTTACTCTTCAATACTCGCTTACAACAGCTCAGTAAAAGAATGCTTATATATAGATAAAGTTTTCAAAGTATTTGTTGAAACTGCTGACCAAACTACCCAAAACTACAGCTGAACTTCTGCCAGCTATGAAAGGGCTGTGCTTGAACTCCATTTCACAGTTTCTGGTTTTCACAGCCTTTAGGCAAACACAATTCAAACCCGTTACTATGCTTGAAAAGATCTGTTTCAGAAACTGTTACACAAACAGAGAAGCTAGCACACATTATCCTAAAATGCTGCTGTGTTTAAGGAAAAAAAAAAAGCCATCTGATTTCTTAAAGTTCTATGTGATGCACCATTGAAATTTGCATATGAAAAATTTCAAAGCTTTAGCATTTAGAGGCTTTGAAACCCTTTAAGTTTTAATGTTTTCAAGGACCTGAAGTTTGACCAACTTCTCTTATTTTCCAAACTAATTGGTGAATAGGGAAGAATATTTTGTACTTTATGCTTTGTAAATGATAAAGGCAACTGCATTTTGTATTGAAGGTATTTGTTTAACTGAAATGTGAAAAATCATTGACAAAACTAGAAAAAGTCAATGGTCCCTTTTACTTACAAACACAAGTCACCAAGAGCTACCTTATCTATAATTATTTGCATTGTGACAGCAAAATCTCAATAAAGTAAGTTCCTTCCATTGGAAATATGTATACAACTTTCTTAACAATAATTAGAATGGAACATTATTTTTGACATTAGGAAATTCTAGATCTAAATATATAGTTAATTCAACCTTGAAGCAAACTTTTAAGATTCAATGAACTGTCAAAATTAATAGAAAAATCCTCGTATTCAGATCAGTACAAAGAAAAAAAAAAGATGATTGAGTTAGGCATAATACACACTAGGGGCCTAGTAAAAGTTGAATGAAACAAAATTAGCTTCTTCCTTGTCAAATAAGACAATACCAAAAAGCAAAGAAAACACAAAGAATATGATCACTGCAACGCAAATTAACAAGCATCCCCAGTTTGGGCTTTTAATTAGTAGAAAACCTAAACTTTTCCGAGTCAGACTGCAGTTCTAAAAGGGAGTTTGGTGAAATGGTTTTGCTTAGATGAGATTATTTCTAGTAGTGCTTGCTCTTGTGGTACTATGATTGTTTTAGGATTGGAATCCCCTCCCTTTTGCATGGCCAACTTCAGTCTTATCCAGTAAGATAAGCTCCATTGTTACCTCTGGTAGATGGTATTATCTGATGCCTCTTTCAGGTAGCATTGTGTCACCTCTTCTACTTGTACTGTCTCTGGTTTGTTACTATTCTCTTTATTCATATGTCTCTCCTCTCCCACCATACAGTAAATTCATAAGAAGCAGCAGAAACCACTTTTGTTTTTGTTTTTTGAGATGGAGTCTTGCTCTGTCACCCAGGCTGGAGTGCAGTGGTGGGATCTTGGCTCACTGTAACCTCCATCTCCCGGGTTTAAGCCATTCTCCTGCCTCAGCCTTCCAAGTAGCTGGGACTAGAGGTGCGTGCCACCACGTCTGGCTAATTTTGTTTGTATTTTTTTTTCAATACAGGTGAGGTTTCACCATGTTAGTCAGGATGGTCTCGATCTCCTGACCTCGTGACCTGCCCAGCTCGGCCTCCCAAAGTGCTGGGATTACAGGCATGAGCCATTGCGCCTAACCTCAGAAACCATTTTTATAACCTCAATACCTAATAGAAACTGGCACATGGGTGAGTACTGAATAAATATTTGTTAGTTAGCCATGTGAAAATTTTCTTTATACAAGTTGAGATTGGTAAAGAATGGACCTTCTCATTTTACCAAACTGTTCTACAATAATATTTTGTCAATAATTTTTATTTCAGCCCAAATTTTAAAATAGTTGTTATGTTAGGAAAAACAACCTCTCAGTTTTTTAAATGATGAAACCAAACTTTGTCAGCTGCTAAGTTTTAAATAACTGAGCCGACTATATCAAATTTTAATGGAAAATTATATTTTAAGTATTGTAAAAAAAAAACAGATTTATCACAAAGCTGGCCTATCCTCCCTAAAAATGAAAAGCAAAGAAAAGGGGAGACTTCATTCATTTTCTTAAAAAATACTACTCTCATATTTTAGATTTTATATTGGTTAGTCAATTCTAAAGTTTGAAAATCTATCCTTGAAGTTACAGGGTTCTCAGTCTTTGAGGGGACCTGATAAGATGACTTTTTTGAGGAAATGTTGTTTGGCTGCTACTCAGGATACTAATGCTTCATTTGTTCAATTCCTTGCGACTCCATCATCGGTAATTCATCATCACAATGTCACCTTGCCTGTCAGACTCAACGAAGGAGGGATGCGCATGGGCATTTAACTGTTTTCTCCCTTGCTGGAATTGGCAGCTATTATTAAGAGTTAGTAGCACAATGGGGTAGGAGAGATGTCTTAGCTTTGGCATATATGCTGTACATGAACAAAGAACTTTGATCTTCAAACCTGCCAAGCTGACATCTTGCACAGGCATAATGTTCCCTCAAAATTTAAATACAAAACCAAAAAACTCTTCCATCTGGGATTACAGTCATATAATTTCTATATATTGCTAGCCTCAAAGGACTGAATTCTTTACAATACTATTTCAGTCATTTTAAAAATAAAAAAGATGAAGTCTTGGAATGGTTGACCCACATAGCAGCTCAGCTGGACAATGATAATGCTTCTGAATTTTAACTAGAAAGTATCCATGCTGTGCAAAGCCACAAACTTTCCATTCAGGATATAAGAAAAAGTGAATACTCCTAGTGAGATACTTAGCTAGTTATAGACAGCTGAATACTAGCTAGTAGTTTTTACACTTACTTTGTTTGTCTGTCTAAGGCTTTATTTGAAACAGAATTTGTAATCCTAATTTTTCAGACTGTGTGCGAAATGTTCAAACTTGCTCACTGGGTTAAAAAGGATGGACAGCTTAGAGAAAAAGAAGAAAAAAAGGAAACTCGGCTGTGCGCAGTGACTCATGCCTATAATGCCAGCACTTTGGGAGGCCAAGGTGGGTGGATCACAGGGTCAGGAGATTGAGACCATCCTGGCCAAAATGGTGAAACCCTGTCTCTACTAAAAATAAAAAAAAATTAGCCGGCTGTGGTGGTGCGTGCCTGTAGCCCCAGCTACTTGGGAGTCTGAGGCAGGAGAATCTCTTGAACCCGGGAAGCACAGGTTGCAGTGAGCTGAGATCACACCACCGCACTCCAGCCTGGGCAACAGGGCAAGACTCCATTTCAAAAAAAAAAAAAAGCAAGCCCATCCTCACATCCAAAAAACTTAGTATCTGTGTCCTAGTAATGATGGAAGTAGTCATTTCTTCACATGTGTATAACATGTGTCTATATAGATAAGTAAATACCATTAGTCAATATAAAACTTAATAATTTCATGACTCATCTCTTCAGGCAACTTTGCAAATTAAATGGTTCACATATGAAGGAGCACAGCTGTAGAAGGAAAATAAGGAAGAGAAAATAACTTCGGAAAATTCCCAGGACTCATACTCTAAAGGTCATGGTTCCAGTACCAGCTTGGCTAGTAATTAATTGGATTTTGGTCTTAGATAAATACAGACTTCTAGATCTGTTTCTTCACATATAAAATGAGAATAATCACCACAGTCCTGATCTAATATACTAAGATTTAGTGTCAAAAAGAAGTGTGGTTCCAAGAGTCAGTTATTGTGCAAGTGGGTAGAAGTGCTTTAGAGTAAATATAAATTCTGACTCTTTGCTACTTTCTTACTAGACAGTTAGACAAGTCATTTAGAACTCTATAGATCAGCAAAATAGGTATAACATTTTCTGTTTCATATTTGTTTTCTAGGTTTAAATGAGAGAATGAGTATCAAAAAGTATAGCATGTGCCTCCGTAGGAAAAGTTTGGTAAATCTCAGCAGCTAATTATAGGAATAATCATGGTGGAAAAAGGCAGCAGCAGTATTTCAAAGCCAGTTGCTTTCAGGGGAGAAAATGACTGCAAGGTTAACAAAACTTAGCCAAAACCTGATTGAAAATAGGGATATGATTCAAAATGGCAGATGGCAACCCTAAGTAAGATTATTTAGCAATAGAAGCATAGATACAGAGGAGCCATTGAGAACACATAAGCAATGATTATCTGAGCTCTATGAATGAAGATCTAGTGTCAGATGAATGTGAGTGTAGGTCCACTGAGCGAATACATTTCTATGAAAGGAATTCACGTATCAAGTTTTGAGCCCTGATGGTATCAAATATTCAAAAAGTTGTAAACACCCCTTCTTGTTCTGATTCCAAAATAATCTAACAACTATATAATTATTTTTATGTTTATATATTCATCTATATAGAGAAAATGTAATGATCAGGCTAACATGAGAATTCATTCATTCTGCCTGACACATCTCTCACTGGGAGTTGACAATCTAATGTTCTGAATTTCTATTCCAGCCCCTGTGAGCTGTGACTGCAAGAGTCAGCACCTAAATTAGATCAACACTACAACATCAAAAAGGTAGAGGGGTTTTATGAGCCATAAAGTCAGACTCTGAGCTATGATACCTTCATTTACACACTGCTTTTAAAATATTCTAAGTATCTGACGTATTTGACACCAAAACCTTTTTAAATGCTATTCTTTTGATTTTCCAATACAATTCAAACATTATACAATTCATTAGTTTATTAACAAATTGCCACTATAATATATAGATATAGGTATAGTAAATCTGGGTTCTAGATTACCTCTCAAGTTAGCAAATATAAATCAATATATTACCCAATACTAAATGCTAGTGATAAAACGACAACTCTACATTATTTAGACAATGATGCAAGAACCCTAAGATAGTACAAATACTTCAGAAAGAGATTTATTTCATATTTGGCAAGAACCTTAATAATAGAAAATAGGCCGTAAAAATTCACAGTCTATGTAAATATAATTATGCAAAAAATTAAAATAAGAAAGCATGTATTTAAAAATGACTGAAGTCAAGTTCAAAACATGGTGGACTGAAATGATGCAGACTTCTACCTCATTCCAAATACTTACAAATGCTAAGATATGACAATTAAACAAAAGTAAAGAAAATACTTAGCTAACCTTGAAAGACAGACAAAAATGACCAAGTCTCAGGAACTTGAAGTCAGAAGAACAAAACACATGAGGCAACACTTCAGAATGAGATCTAAAATGAAAGACGAGGGAAATATGACCTCTAAAATGAGCCCAACATGTCAAGATCAGGATAGTATTTCACAGGCAGGGGCAGAGGACAAGTTCACAGTTGGAACTGGAATCCCTGAATGAGATTTGAACCCTGGGAAATCTTCCTACTTGGTGAAAATTGACTTAGAGAAGTTGTACCTTCAGGCCCAGAAAAGTCCCAAGAAATAATTACGTTTCTGTGTCTGACTAGGATTCTGTATTTCTTTTAAAGTCTCTTTGCAGAAACTGAAATCCCAAGACTGTCCTCTGCATATATACATTTCAAATTTACACTGTACTAATTGTGCAGAGATCTCAAAAAAATTTACATAAGGACTGATACCAGACCAATTAAGCCTCTGAAGGCAGTGGCAGTTGTAAACCAAAATTACTCTGAAATCCCATTTTCATAATCTCGCGCTCATAGAACACATGCAGAGAAAAGAGAACAACAAAAATTAAAGAAATTCCTAAAAAATATTTCCATGATGAAGAGAGGAGATGCAACAAACAGAAGAACTTGTAACAAAAAAACTTGTGAAATAAAGCAACCTACAGTGTGTGAAAAATAGGTTTTTAAATAATTATTTAAGGTGCAAAAGAAGGAATAGAATCCTATAAGCTAAAAGACACCAAGAATAGCAAATACACTTAAAGGCATTAGAGATATGATTATTAATACCACTAAGTTTTTTGTAACAATTTAACATCAAATAAAGCTGGACTCAAAAGGAATATATAAGCTGGAAGCTGGGTATGGCTACATTATTGAGGAAGCAAAAGAGAGACATGAATGTAGACAACACAATGGAACAACCACCTAGGCTAAAATGAAAGGATCTGACTTAAGTTCAACAAAGGTTGATAAAAGAAAAAAGAGTTAATTGGGGACAGAAAAAAATCAAAGAAATAATAGGTGAAATTTTTCCAGAATTAGTGAAAGGCATAAATTCTTGGATTAAATAAGCAAAATAAATATGAACTCAATAAATAAATATAGATCCAAACCTCCGTATATTATGGAGAAAATGCAGGATCTAAAAAAAGAGAAAAGTTTTACAAATCAGAAGTTTTTAAAGAGTAAAAAGACTTGGTTATTTACAAAGGAATCAAAATTGTTAACAGTTTACTTCTTGGCAAAAATGTAAGAAGACAATAAAATAATATCTTCAAAAAGCTGAGATAAAAATAACAGCCTAAAATTCTAAAGTTCCAGTGAAACAGTTTCAAATATTAATACAAATGAAGGCATTTAAGAGACAGAGATAATTTACCACTCAGATTCTGATTGAAAGGTCAATTAATAGATGTTCTTGATAAAAAATAAATTAAATCAAAAACAAACCTACAAGAAGGAATAAGGAAAGAAATTGCTCATCAAATTCTAGAAAAATTGTTTAGAATTTTAGAAGAATTTATGAACTTAGGTATTTAAATAGACTGTCTTTTCGATAAAATAAAACTTTTAGGTAAATTGTCTAAATACTTTTTTTTTAATCACAATTACCAATTTAGAGGGGAATTAAAATTACAACTAAAATTCGAGACAACAATTTGAGAGTGATTAATTGCAGTAAAAATTTAAGTTCTATTGAATTTTTTAGACTAAGTGGGGATAAACTGGTCAAATGTAGACATTATTAAGACAATTGGGCATGTTAAAATTTTAAGGCCAACTACTAATATAATGAAAATTGAATAAGCTCCAAACAAGAAAACTGTGGAAAAAATGAAATAAATTAATCATTAACAATTCAATAGAAGGAAAGAGGTGGAAAAAACAGGCAAGAAAAACATACTGTATGAAGAAAGCCCAATACTGAAGAAGTAAGGCCAAGTATAACAAAAACCATAGCAAATTTTATTATATTCAAACCATTAATTGAAGGACAGAGTCTCAAATTAAAAACAATAGAAGACCAATTGGAATTTGGCTATAAAATCAGTAAGAATAGACTAGGCCAAGCTGTGATAACAAATTATAATCTCAGTGGTTTCAAGAAACCTATAGTTGATTTTCATTCCCATGCTCATGAATCCATGCTCATAAAAAAAGCACCCTCAATTAATAAATATTTTTTCTTATATAACTTGTTTTAGATTATGGAGAAAATATAAAATTACAACTCATTTTATAATACTACAAACATTTTTGTATTAAAACTACACAATGACAGAATCAGAAAGCAAAATTATTGGGTAATTAAACTTATAAGACCACATCCAAAAGCACTAATTAAATGAATCAAAGGAATCAAATCATGAAACATCTTTTATGATTGAGTATAGTCAGTAATAAAGGATGTTTTAATTTTAGAAAATCTATTAATGTAATCTTCTGCTTTAATGATCATATAATTATCTCCACAGAGAAAAGCATTTTATAAAATTCAACTCTTAATTTTGATTCAAAATTGATAGCAAACTAGTAATACTAGTGAGTTTCCCTAGATATATGACCAAAACTTCTAGTAAATAGTATACTGTGTTAAAATTTTAGATCTATTCCTTTTGAATCAGGAACAGAGAAAGCATGCTTATTGCCACTTCTATTAAACACTGTATTGACTACATTAAGTAACCAAGTTAAAAAAGATTGAGAAATTTAAAAAATGAAAACAGTAAGGGAAAATTGCAACTATTAGCAGATAATATGAAGGTGTACTTAGAAAATTCAAAAGAATCTCCAAACAAAATTTAGATCTAATGAGAGAATTCAGTGAGTTTCCTGGGAACAAGATACATATAAACACATGAAAACTTTTCTTATTCATCAGGAAATATATTGTTAACAGGTAACTGTTCATTAGAATATCAAAAAACGTATAATTACCTAAGAGTAGATTAAACAAAGTAAGTTTTTGGAGAAAAATAATAATTTTTAAATTAAAAGACAAACAAGATCTGGATAAACAAAATAAGTTTCTGGAGAAAAATACTATGTTCATGAATGGGAGGAGTCAGTATTGTAAATCTGGTCATTCTCCCTAAATGAATTTAAATTTAGTTAAATACCAATTGATCAGACACAGAAACTTTTTTGAAGAATTTGAAAAGTTGATTCTAAAATTAATGTGAAGAATAATGGGCAAGTAGAAATCAAGATAAGTTTAAAGAATAATAATAAAAGGAAAACACAATGGATATCATATTAAGCATCTGTATATAGATAATCAAAATATATGTGTATATTTTAAATTAAATATAAATATGTCACATTTTAGATTTAATTAAATATGTTTGTTTACTCTTTAGTTTATTAGATATGTAGTTTATATATAAACAATAAATTTAATTGAATTTTTTAGTATATATATTTCTATATATATATACTAAATATATATAGTTTATATATATAAACAGTAAATTTAATTGTTTTTTTAGTAACTAAATGGTTTAAAAATGGCACTGAGAAGCCATTGAATAATTAAGACTTGGCATTGGGAAAAAAAATACAAAAAGGCAAGTTAGCAACCACCCACCCCACAACCATAACCGTGAATATATGACAGCAATAGCATTACAGATCCATTGGAAACCAAGTGCTGTTTGCATTAGGCTGGATTCAATTAGGAACCAGAAAATACACGAAAATTGAAACCTGGGAAATTTGATATACCTATTGTTTTGATAGAAGAATGACTATAAAAATGTAAAACGATCCCTACAGTGTACCCTGGAGCTGAGGAAGGGTATCCAAGGAAGGGCAAACTTGGAATGTGAGTTCTTCTCCCAAAAGGCTGGAGCTGAAAGGTGTGGCTGCAGCCTCCCCATGTCAAAGGAGCCTCTGGGTCACCTGGGCCAGAACAGGCCTGGCATATGCATTACCTCCATCTAAATGGTTCTGGAAAGATGGCCACTGGGCCCAAGCCAGGGCTGAGCAGTTGCTGAGAGCCTAAGCACTCTGGGTGACCCACATTACTGAACAACCACACAGCAGGAGCAAGAAGTGGCAGATGGAAACACACCAGAACCCAGAAGAGAAGTCCCCATCTTACTGGAATGTTCCTCAGACACCCTCTCCTGACAAAGCTTAACATAGTGCCCATTAGAAAGAAATTCAACACAATCCCCATCAAAATACTGCCATCATTCTTCACAGAATTAGAAACAACAATTCTAAAATTCATATGGAACCAAAAAAGAGCCCGCATAGCCAAAGCAAGACTAAGCAAAAAGGACAAATTTGGAGGCTTCAGACTACCTGATTTCAAACTATACTACAAAGCCATAGTCACCAAAACAGCATGGTACTGACTGGAATAGAAATAGGCATATAGACCAATGGAACAGAATAGAGAATCCAGAAATAAACCCAAATACTTACAGCCAACTGATCTTTAACAAAGCAAACAAAAACAGAAAGTGGGAAAAGGACATCCTTTTCAACAAACAGTCTTGGGATAATTGGCTAGCCACATCTAAGAGAATGAAACTGGATCCTCATCTCTCACGTTATATAAAAATCAACTCAAGAAGGATTAAGGACTTAAACCTAAGACCTGAAACTATAAAAATTCTAGAAGATAACATTGGAAAAACTCTTCTAGAAATTGGCTTTGGCAAAGATTTCATGACCAAGAACCCAAAAACAAATGCAATAAAAACAAAGATAAATGGCTGGGACCTAATTAAACTAAAGAGCTTTTGCAAAATGAACAGTCAGCAGAGTAAACAGACAATCCACAGCACAGAGTAGGAGAAAATCTTCACAATCTATGCATCTGACAAAGGACTAATATCCAGAATCTACAATGAACTCAAACAAATCAGTAAGAAAAAAAAATCCCATCAAAAAGTGGGCTAAGGACATGAATAGATAATTCTCAAAAGAAGATATACAAATGGCCAACAAACATATGAAGAAATGCTCAACTCACTAATTATCAGGTAAAAGCAAATCAAAACCACAATGCGATACCACCTTACTCCTACAAGAATGGCCATAATCAAAAAAATTAAAAAAAAACAGTAGATATTGGCATGGATGAGGTGAACAGGGAACACCACTACATTGCTGGTGGACATGTAAACTAGTATAGCCACTATGGGGAACAGTGTGGAGATTCCTTAAAGAACTAGAAGTAGAACTACCATTTGATCCAGCAATGCCACTACTGGGTATCTACCGAGAGGAAAAGAAGTCATTATTTAAAAAAGATACTTGCACACGCATGTTTATAGTGGCACAATTCACCATAGCAAAATTGTGGAACCAACCCAAATGCCCATCAATCAATGAGTGGATAAAGAAACTGTGGTGTGTGTGTGTGTGTGTGTGTGTGTGTGTCTGTGTCTGTGTGTGTCTGTGTGTGTATACATATCGTGTGTGTGTGTATATATATGTGTGTATGTGTATACATATATGATGGAATACTATGCAGCCATAAAAAGGAATGAATTAACAGCATTTGCAGTTACCTGGATGAGATTGGAGATTATTATTCCAAGTGAAGAAACTCAGGAATGGAAAACCAAACATCATATGCTCTCACTGATATGATATGTGGGAGCTAAGCTATGAGGATGCAAAGGTATAAGAATGATACAATGGACTTTTGGGACTTGGGGGAAGAGTGGGAGGGGCCAAGGGATAAAAGACTACAATATGGTACAGCCTATACTGCTAGGGTGATGGGTGCACCAAAATCTCACAAATCACCACTAAAGAATTACTCATGTAACTAAGTACTACCTATACCTCAATAACTTATGGAAAAAATAAATAATAAATAAATTTTAAGAAAAAGAAAAAATGTTGAAGATTCTAGTGCATTATAACAGAGGAGATTTTCAAGTATGATTTATGGGCTGAGTGGCAACAAACTGATCACTGATAAATATTGAATTTTCACAATTTGAAATAAGTTACATATATGCATAATATTAAATATTTGAAAACTAAATTCAATATTCAGAAATTGACTACTCAGGTAGAACAATAGGACATGATAAACCTTTTAATTAATTCTAGATGGTTTAAACACTTAAATTTTTGTGAAAAACTCTACAATTTTAGAAGAAACTACAAACTTGTTATTAAATCTAGGGAAATATTTTCAAAGACCTATACATAACACAAAATTAAGATTTTTGATAAATTTGGATATATTTAGCTAAAACCAGCCAACCATTGTTTCAGAGTCGGTGTCCCCAGGGATTCAACTGCAATACCCACCTGCAAATTAGCAACATTATACACACACAAACCCACAAATACTATTTGTGAATGAAAACCCTGTAGCAACACAAAGCCTGTTAGGAAAAAATTCTAATGCTTACTTTGAAAAAAATCTGTAAGTTAATAAAAGGACCCATTTAGTATACAAAGCATGGAAAGAAGGCTAAGCTATGGCTGGATAATTGTGAATGGCTACTATATACGTTAATATTGTTCCTAACCTAATGTTTGCGTACTTACATATACTCATTAATAGATTTTGGCAAGATAAAAGGGAAATTAAAAACACTATTGGCCTAGGGAATAGAAGAATAAATGTAAGCACATTAAACAAGACTGCTTTGCCATATTAGTTAAGAATCTGATAGTTAAATTAACTACTTTTTATTGAGAACTTTAATTGGTTAATTAATTTTGAATAGTATAGAAGGCATGTTTATTGTATTTTTTTGTTTGTTTATCCCTAAGTTCCTTATGAGAGAATATTAAAGGACTATACCTAGAAATTATTTCAAAACATTTAATTCATCCTCCTGTTCAAATGTAACTAAATCATCTTTTCAGATGAGAAAAAAAAAGGTCTATAAAGGACTTCAATGCCATTGGCTTTCATATGACATCTAGTTCCACCTTTTCCAAGATGCATCAGGAAAAGGTGATGCAAATATAAATTGATAGAATCAATGGCTTAATTTCTCTTTATGGAAATCTTCCTTGAATTTTGGAAGGTAATTAAGAATAATCTGAAAGGTTTTTTATTTTTGCTTTCATCTGGGTACGCTGTGGGTACTAGGACTGGCTGGTGGTAGGAGCATTCTATAGAGGTTTAGAGTTGTAATAGTCATAGAACAGCCTAGGAGTGGGGTCTTGTGCCTCTGTTCAGAATGCACAGGAGCCTGGAGTCCTTCCTAATCAAATCCACATTCCATCTCTCTGACTGATTGGAGATGCATGTTGAACATCACAAAGGCAAAAGGCGAATGAGTAAATAAGTGGCCTTTGCTGATTAGAATTAGTGTGCTTCATTGTTACGGTTCTTGATTATAGGTCAGTGGTAGAAAAAACACAAGTATCTTTATCTCTTACTGCAGCCAGCTTGATGGCACAGCGGGGAGTGAGGAAGACTCGGTGGACAAATCTGACTGGAAAACAAGTAGGCGTTGCAGATGGTGAGTTCAGCACTGCCTCTGCTGTAGTGAGCTACGCCCAACCTAGAAATGCATCTTGCTGGCAATGTCTCTCCAAGAGCCTCCCCTTTTGCTGTCAGGAGCACAAGGGGCATGCAGAGAAGTTGAGAGCTGAGCATTGCATGCTACTGAGCAGCTGCACTCAGTGGTGCAGAGGAGGGACAGGAGGCACCCATAAGGGAGGAAATGAATAGGGCTGTTTTACTTGCTAAAAAGACTCACCTTTTGTCTCCTCCTGAGCTGACATCCTTTTCTTGCTACTCCACCATTATATTCTCTTTAAACAGTCATTTTTATTACAGTTAATATTAGAGTTGTACTTGCATTTATGAGGTCTAAAGAGCTCTTGGGAAATAAAACGGGACTATCCAGTCTGGAAGAACTTCATATTATCCACTCATTTCTTCTATTCTTACTTGTATTCCCATTACACATGTGATTCCAACTCATAGCTTAAATCAGTTAAGAATCTGTAATGGTTAATTTTATGTGTTAGTTTGGCTGGAGACATTTCTCAGATATTTGGTCAAACATTCTTCTAGATGTTTGTGTGAGGGTGTTTTTTTGGATGAGATTAACATTTAACTCTGTGGCCTTTGGAGCAGACTGCCCTCCATAAAGTAAATGGGCCTCTTCCAATCAGTTGGAGGCCTTATGAGAATGCAGACTTCCCTGTCAGCAGACTACTTTTAAACTCAAAAGTCAACTGCTCCCTGGATCTCCAGGCTGCCAGTCTACTCTGAAGATTTGGAATTTACCAGACCTCCAGGCACTGAGACAATTCCTTAAGACAAATCTCTCTCTCTGTCACACATACACCCACACAGAATACAAAGTCAGGCTCTTTGATTCATTACCTTGAAATCAAATGTTTTCTATCACCAACATCCTCTTGTATAGGATATATATGTGCATATGGTTCTACATAGAAATCCTGATTCTGTGGCCCAGCATTCCTGCATGATGCCAGTAGATAGTAGCTGAACAGGTACAAAGATGAGCATCAGTTGTTATCTTTAAAATAATTATGTTGGTGACTTTTAAAAGTCTTTTTCTTTCAGTTAAAAATGTAGTTCAAAAGGGATCTAGTAAAACATCTCTCTGCATTAAACTCAGCTTCGTTTACTTATTTAAGCTCCTAATCCTTTCAAGTTTTTAAAAATTATCTGGTTATATTTAATATTGAGGAACTTTTTTATTAACACCAATATCTGTAAATTTCTCTAAGTCAACATTTCCTCTGCATTTGGGCAGTTTCTATTTATCAATGTGATGGGTGGTCCATTTTCAAATCAGCTCGTTTCTCCACAGTTGTCACAGTATCATAAAATTAATGTCATATATTATATTCTAAAGTAACCTGGCTGATTAATTCAAGGTGATTCCAGGCTCCCAAAATAATTAATCAACACAGGGATTTATGCCCATGTCCTTCTACATGAATTGATGGCTGCGCAATAAAGTAGTTCTAGTAATAATCATTACTAAGAAATTATGTACAATGATAAGTAACAAAATCTCATATTTCCCCAATTTTCAGTTCCAAGAAATCTTTGACTTCTTTTATTTTATTTAAATGCCAGCCTGTAGTAATATAAGTGGTAGTCGTGAGAATTACTGCTAATTCTCAAGACTATTCTGCTCAAAAAAAATCTCCACTGCCCCAACCAAAGAAATAAGAATCCTGCTCTCAGCCTTGGGCATTGTGATGGTAATTTTATGTATCAACATGCCTCAGTTCTATGCTGCTCAGTTATTTGGTTAAACACTAGTCTAGATATTGCAGTGAAGGTATTTGTGGATGTAAGTTAACATTTACAGTCAGTTAACTTTAAGTAAGGCAAATTATCCTCCATAATTTGGGTGGGCCTCATCCAATCAGTTGAAGGACATAAGAGAAAAGACTGAGGTTTCTCAAAGAAGGATTTCTGCCACAAGACTGCAACATGGGAATCCTACCTGAATTTCAAGTCTGCTGGCCTGCCCTGCTGATTTTGGATTCAAGATTGCAACCTCACTCTTACTTGAATTTTCAGCCTGCTAGCCTGGCCAAAGAATTTCAGATTTGTCAGCCTCCACAACTCCTTAGAATAAGCCAATTCCTTAAAATAAGTCTCTCTCTAAATCTCATATATATATATCTGTGTATGTATGTGTGTGTATATATGTATCCCTAATATATATCACCTATTGATTCTTTTTCTCTGGTATGTACAATATAATGTACATTATAAAATCTAATATCCAACCTTTACATTAGCTTTTAATTTGGAAGACCCATGTAAGCATTTATTTTCTTTTTCATGTTTTGGCCAATAGCTTTGGAGTGTATACTCTTTTTACTTACTCTCGTAACTGGCACAGGGCTGAAATATATTAAATATTTTTTGGTCTATTCTTTCAGCAATTAGTGACCTATTATTAGGAGATCCCACTATTTTTATTGATTTATTCCAAAAGAAGAGTGGTTCCAACTTATAGTTAGTTTAAACTGCCCTTTGAAGGTATCTGAAGGGCAATCACGAGGACTCATGATTATTCTGTAAGAAAAACAAGGTCTAAACATTAAAGATCCAGGAAGCATCTGTGTTTCAGACGTAGACTGTAAAAGAGCCTCATGCAAAACTGACAGTAATGAGTTTGAAGATAATTTCCTCACAACTCAACCTAAAATGTCTTTCCATCTATATTTATCTATTTCAAATAATTAAGACCTGAATTAATTATTGTCTTAGCTTGAGATGTTATAACAAAGCACCATAGACTGGGTAGCTAATAAAAAACAGAAATTTATTGTTCACGGTTCTAGAGGCTGAAAGTGCAAGACCAGAGCACCAGCATGGATGGGTTGCAGTGAGGGCTCTCTTTTGAGCTGCAGGTGGCTGTCTTCTCATTTATCTTCACATGGTGAGAAAAGGATGAGAGAGTTCTCTGTGAACCCCTTTATAAGGATGCTGAACCCATTCATAAGGGCTCTCCCCTCAGGACCTAATTACCTCTCAAAAACCCCACCTCTTAACACCATTATATTGAGGGTTAGGATTTCAACATATTAATTTGGGGGGCTACAAAAACATTCCATCCCCAACAGATGTTAAATTGAAACATTTTTAATTCTCACTCTATGTTCTGTGCTAGGCGACAGAATTCCCTCCCTAAAGACATTTACCTCCTAATCCCCAGAATGTATGAGTCGTTATTACTTTACATGGCAAAGAATTACTTTACAGATGTGGTTAAGAATGCTGAGATGAGTATCCTGGATTATATAGGCAGGCTCAGTGTAATCATACAGGTCCTTACAGGTGAAAGAGGGATGCAAGAGAGTTAGAGGCAAAGAAGATGTGCAGAAGTTGAGTGACATGGCTGTGAGCCAAGGATGGTCAGAAGCCTTTAGAACAGGGGTGTCCAATTTTTTGGCTTCCCTGGACCATATTAGAAGGATTGTCTGGGCCCGCACATAAAATATATTAACACTAATGATAGCTGAAGAGCTTTAAAAAAAATCGCAAAAAAAAAATCTCACAATGTTTTAAGTTTACACATTTGTGTTGGGCCGCATTAAAAGCCATCCTGCACCACGTGTGCCCTGCGGGTTGGACAAGCTTGCTCTAGAAGCTGGAAAAGGCAAGGACACAATCTCCCTAGACTTTCCAGAGGGAACATAGCTCTGCTGATATTTTTAGTCCTATAAGACTCCTAACTTGTAGAGCTCTTAAGATAATATGTTTGAAACCATTAAGTTTGTAGTCATTTGTTAAGTAGTAGGAAACTGATGTCCCTTCTTTTCCTAAACAGGCCAGAGATTCTATATCTGTCCAAAGCCTCTCACAAAGGGTGTCTACAACTCCAAATTTCTTCTTCTCCTTTTTTTTTTTTTTTTTTTTTTTTTTTTTGAGGTGGAGTCTCACTCTTGTTGCACAGGCTAGAGTACAATGGCATGATCTTGGCTCATTAAAACCTCTGTCTCCCAGGTTTAAGTGATTCTCCTGCCTCAGCCTCCTGAGTAGCTGGGATTACAGGTGCCCACCACCATGCTTGGCTAATTTTTGTATTTTTAGTGGAGACGGGGTTTCATCATGTTGGCCAGGCTGGTGTCGAACTCCTGACCTCAGGTGATCCACCTGCCTCGGCCTCCCAAAGTGCTTGGATTACAGGTGTGAGCCACGGCGCCCAACCTACAACTCCAAAATTCTGTAGTTATTTCTGGTTAATTTTATAAAAGATAACCTTACTGTACTTTAGCTGTTTTGCTGTAAGTTCCCATAGTAGTAATTTTGCAATGGAAGAACTAGTCCCCAACGTATTCACCACTTATTTGTTCGCTTATCTTTTCACAGTGGCATTTGAGAATGTAAATTATGTTTGTCTTTTTCACAGCTGTATCCTTAGCACAAGTTCAGTGCCTGACATACAGTAGGTATGCCCTATTCCAGCATTTTTTTTAAGTATTAAATCTCCTTGCTTCACTCTTAAGAACACAAACAAGAGAGATGGAACATAGATTTCCTTTTCAAGTTCATAATGACCCAAGAAAAGAAGGTCTAAGTAACAATCCTGTCACTGTTCCCAAGGGCCTTCTCTTATGTCAATAATTTTTGTTAACCTAACTCAGCAGTTATCCCTCTCATGCTATGAAACTGTCTCCTCATTGGTAAAATGAGGGCAAATGAGACAAGAGCAAAATTCTAGACTTCCTGAAAATTGGGCTATGAGATAAGGGAAGGAGTTTGTGAAAGTTTTCATTTAATTTAAAGAAACAAGAGAACATGGTAAGAATTGTACCTGGATGGTTATGCAGCAACAATACTTTTTCAACATGAAACTTAACACACTTTCCAGAAAACTGCAAGTACTATACAGGTGACCCTTGAACAACACAGGTTTGAACTGTATGGGTCCACTTACTGACATTTCATCTTCCTCAGTAGTCTGCAAGGTAGACAGAACTTGGAGCTATTCATCTATAGGTGCCTCAATTTGATTATCTAGATGAGGGTATAACAGCTACAAATTTCCTCTCATATACATTTCCACAGCCCTTATCAGCTAGTCATAGGACTGAGCCCAAATGGAAATCACATTCCAGGAATAGCCCCATATGGCTTATGTGCCAGATAGGCTTGAAATCATCAAGCCATACAAACAGGCAATACTGGCTCACACTAACATTTCCACAGTGTTACTTTTTCTAACTCTTCGTGGCATCAATGGTGTTATACGTGGGTATATTGATATAAACAAATTGTACACATAACATATTGAACTCTTAGTAGTATAGATGATATGACTTATAGAAAATGCTTCAGAACTTCCAGCTTATAGAACCTATATAAAAGCCCATTTTCTCCTTCATTGACACTTAATGCAGACAAAAAGAAGTTAACTGCTTCCCCACTTCTCCAAAATTGTTATGAAGGACATTGAGATACCATGTGTTTATTATTATGAATATATTTAGGTTTAAAAAATTCATGGAGCATCATGGGATTTTCAGCTTTAATCATGAGACTGGCTTTTGCCAGGACCTTACTGAAGAACCCAACAAAACTGCCCAAGCTGATGAAAAACAACTTCTCTGGCAACAAAGCTCTTAATCTTCCAAACCACAAGTTCATAACCAGAAAAATCACAACTTGATTCTATCATAACCAGAAAAATATTTACCCTCAAATTGCTTCAATACTCCGAATTCATCAACAAAGTGTCATGTCAAACGTCTAGTTTTGCTTCCTTTATTAAAGGTTTTCCTGATGTATGAAAAGTCATTTCAATTAAAATGGAAATGAATACCTAATATATATATATTAATTACTCTCTAAAGTCTCACTGCTTCTCCATATAAACTTTAAATTTTTTTTCATAAATTCATCATAAATTTTAAGTAATGGTTATAGAAAATGAGATATTCAACATGATGGGGAAGTAGCACTCTCCTCTATCTTTAACCCTATCAGTTTGAAATTATCAGAAATATTTATATTTATTATAGCTCTTTCTCTAAACTTAGCTTTTATTTTGCAGCAAATAAAGGCACAGTATCATTTTCCTCATACCTAATGTATATCTAGTCTATTCAGCCATAGTCTTTTATTTCATCCTTGCAATGACCGTTTCATTGGAACACCTGAGAAGAAAAGTGACTCACCTCCCAGTGAGATACTATGCCAAGGTTCAAACCACCATTAACACACTGTCCCCATGGCTTTGGAGAGAAAACTAGGTCACAGTGATAATGGAAAGGAAAGAAATCGAGTAGTCAAGTCTGACTTTTCTATCAGCCTCATAGGGCTCTGAGTCAAGGTTTATGCACCAGCACTAAACCTTCTGAGAAAGCAGCTACCCATTCTGAGATGGGACTGCACGTGTTAGATGGGGTCCTTGAATGAGCAGCCACTACTACAATGACAGTGTGCAGCCAGCATCTGGGACAGCTCAGATTCCTTGCTCCATCTGTACACTGAGTCAGACTCAGGTGAAGGAGACCTAAATGATAAAGAAAGTATTCAGGGATGACAGCCAAAGGGAGGGCCAGGTCTCCTGGGAAACTTGGGGTTTAGGCCTTATGAAGACAGGTTCTTATTAACAAGAAGTCATTCTAGTTTCCTTCCTGAAGGAGGAATGTAGATTCAGATACTGACAGATTTTAATTTTCTCAAGATTACTGAGTCTACAGAACCACTTTAATGTGGCTTTTTGCCACATTTATAGCACAGAACAGGTCGGCTGTCCTCTGTTCTCGGATTTCTTTTCCTACTTGGCAATTCCATTTCCTCCTGACTCAAATGTGCTTCCTCTCTTTGGGAAGGCACAGGATGCCACTGACTCAGCACCAGAAGAATGTGTGCTTTGGGTTGTTTCGCCAACCACGGGCATGAGCTGAGTGAAAGAAGGAAGTAAAGGAAGAGGTGGGGCACCCACTGCTGGCTCAGCTTCTACCTCCTTCACTTGCAAGCTGCCTAACCTTGGGCAAATCATGCTGGTGTCTTATACCCTGTGTTTGTAGAAAATGAGAGTGGGGGAGGTGACAACATCTCGCCTTTGAAGCAGAGGTGGTTAATACTATGGGCTTCTGGAAGTCCCTTCCAAGTTAAAGTCCAAAAGTATGAAAGTAGTAATATCTAATATAATTAACTGTCTATTGTGTTCCAAGGTCCTTGTTGATCACCTTACATAAAATATCTCGATTCCTCACAAGATCCTACATGGTGGGTATCACTGGCCACATTTTTCAGAGAAAAACTCTCAGAAGAAAGTTGAATAAATTACAGTGGTTGGGTAAAGCTTTCAGTTCTTGGTGTATATGACTCCCAAATTTGTTTTCTGTCCTTTGTGCAAGGCTGTTCTTAGGTCTATGATATATACTATATGTGATCAATGTTCCCTGTAATTCTTTCAGGTTGACAGTAGCCAGCCATGTTTCATGAACAACAGCCTTTGATGGCTGAGTATGCATGAGAGGAATTTCATGTTGCAATTAAAATTATAATAAGATTAATCAGACACATATTTAATGATATGTATAACAGCTATTGTGCTACACATCATTAGGCAAAAGTGGTAAGCCATTCAAATGAATGAAAATAATTATTTTTACACTGCTGAAGCATGCATGGCTGTAATCAGACAGGAATTGAGATGAGATGAAAAAACTGTTAGAATAAAAATATAAAAATAATTGTTCTATTTATTAAATGTACTGCTAATCTCCAAGCATTATGCTAGGTATTTTATATGTGTTATCTCATTTAATCCCCCTAACAACAATATGAGAAATATATATATATTTTTAACAGATGAGGAAACTGAGGCTCAGGGAAGTTGAGAAAATTTTTCAGGGTTGTTAATCTAGTAGAGATTGGGATGAAATGCCAATATAGGAAATGTCACATAACATCATTTCTCTTATGCACTGTGCCCCTCAGCCACCTCTAAATGGAAGAACCACTCACTCATTCTTCCCTCTCATTTCACCAGGTTTGCTTTTAATAGGATGCACTGCTTTACCTTCAACTAAATTGGTGTTAGAATGCCACTGTTCATTCTGCCTGTATTACTAGTTGTAATATGTAGGTGTTATGGACTGAATGTGTCCAGAAAATTCATATATAGAAGCCCTATCTCCCAACGTGATAGTATTTGGAAGTAGGGCTCTTGGGAGGTAATTGAGTTTAGATTAGGTCCTGAAAGTGGGACCCTCATGATGGGATTACTGCCACTATAAGGAAATGAAGAAACACAAGATCTTCACCCCAGCCCTGCAGCTGTCTATAAGCCAGGAAAAAGGCTCTCACCAGGAACCAGATACGCTGGTATCTTGAACTTGGGCTTCCAGTCTCCAGAACTGTGAGAAATAAATGTCTGTTGTTTAAACCACCCAGGATATGGTATTTTGCTATAGTGTCCTGAGCCGACCAAGACAATGAGTGACTTTCTAATCTCCTGTTCCATAAACAGAACTCCATTAATTTTTTACTAGGAGGGGAAAAAGCGGGGAGGAATGTATTAGTTAGGAAAGGCTAATTTATGCTTAGGATTTTGTAACACACGGATACAAAATTTCAGTGGCTTAGAGTTACAAATTATGTTCCATGTCTATCATTGAGAAATTGAGGTTGGGAAGGCCATCTCTCCCAGCGCTGGACAAATGCTGTTCCCAACGGTTCCCAAATGGAACAGTGCCGGTTATCTTAGCAGAGCAAAGAGAGGACTGCAAAACCTTTGCTCTCTCCTCAATGCTACATGCCAGAGAAAGTGAGGTTCAGGTCAGCCAGAAACCCATTTGGGATCAGCACCCCAGTAGTTCAGCAGACAAGAAGTTTTCTTATTGATTAAAATAGACATCTGGAAATGAATAAAAATTCCAAAGAGAAACTTCACTAGCTTTGCAATTTTTCTTTGAAATCTGCTCTGACTTTACAGGTCAATTCAGGTATCACTTAACATTGTCCATTCTCTCTCCTGTCTCCATCCTTTCTTCACCACCAATGTCTAGGACTCTGAGACTAAGCAGGGAAGAGTGTTGAGATACCCTGATAGGTACATTGTAGTGCTTTGCATGTCCTCATAGACACAAACAGCATTTGTTTACAAAGTGTATTGTTCCCTTAGTGGTGGGGAATATCTATAGATTTGTGGAAACTTCTTGTATCCTAGGATATGCCCAATCACAATGCTTGTCTTGGTAAGACAGAAAACTAAATGGTCTGAAGTAGGGATAAATATTGACTTGGTTAATCTGCTGCATGCATGCACTGATATGAAAAATAAGTACCAAGGGGTTCTGAATTTATTTATGTTTCTAGATAAATAGAATACATATATTGAACTTAATACCAAGAATAAGTAGCAGTGACTAACTTCCTTTCCTGTCAGTCAGTTAAGCAATATTATTGACAATGTATGTACTGAACATTTCACAGTACAGAGGGGGTGGGTCTGAGCCAGGGATCCAAAGGCCCAAGGCATCTACCTCCAATTAGGTGATGTGATATTTCTGGACCTCAATTTCTTAATGCAAACAGTAAGAATGAATGAGATATATCTCAGGTCCTCAGGAACCATAACACAGTATTATCTCTTCTCAGGCTTAAATTACATTGCAAAAGTTTTTGTTAGTTTTGGTAGGTGAAAGCTTCCAGGAAGAGGATGAAGAGGAGGAAGGAAGAAACACTTATGTTCCCAGTCTGATAAAGGATGTCAGGTTTGCGTGAGAAAAATAATAAAGATGGTTTTGGCTTGCAAAGATTCAATGGACTAGAATCCATGCAGTATAAAGGTGGCACTGCAGAGTTAAGATGCTTTAGATTTCCCTAGGGAGTTGGGTCAGATGGACTGTTTTGGCCTCAACTTCTTTACTCCTTCCTTTGATGCATTTCTTTTGTCTAGGGAGGATGATTTAAAGAGTAGTTACTGATAGAGACAGAGTCACTAAAAGCTACTGGGAACAGGCTCTCCCAGCATTAGTAAGGTTTTACAATTCTAGTGCTGAAAAGGAATCTTTTCTATTTGAGCCTAGGTCCATGACACCAGCTGACATATCTCTCTTTGCCTTTCTCCTGCCTGCTTTATTCTAAGTTCACTCCTTTTCTTGTACCTCTGCCTCCGAATTTCCAGTACAAAGCTCTTTCTGATAATTATGTTTGCACTCCTCTGTGCCACTACTGTGACCCAACAATGAAGTGTGACCATTCTGACTTCCAGATTGCCAGCTCAAAATATCAATTCTGTTGATCTGTTTTTTCTTCTACGCTCAGAAGACCTGGAACCATGGTAGGAAGTGGGACAGGGAGCATTTGGACAAGCTGTTCAAGAACTGATCATGCTCATGTGTATGGGAAAACAGATGGAGGAAGAGAAATTCCTGAAGAGCACAAGACTGGTGGGGCAAGGAACAAGCCTACTGAGATGAGTTGCAGATTTGAAGATGGGAGAAATGGTTTCGTTGTCTACCATGTAAAAACTCATTTATGCAAGATGCTTGATATCTGAATTTCAATTTCTTCATTATCAAAATGAATATTAAAAATACTCTACTTCTTAGAGTTGTCAAAAAGATACGGAGATGTGAATAATTTGAAATTATTATCTATATGTAAAGTATTACTATATTTACTATCCTTATCAAATATTTATCCTACTGTCTAACACATTAAATGGACAAAATAGAACATTTGAAGGGTGTAGATCTTGAAAGTTTAATTTTACATAAAAAAGGCCAGAAACCTTTCCTAAGAAAAATGTACATATTGCAAAATGTAGCATATGATTTCAATGGGGCCCACAAACCTTTGAAGGCTAGCTGTGGATCTTCAGAGTGAAACAAAACAAAGTAAAATGCCCTAAGATATGAAAAGCTTACCTTTAAGTAGAAATATTCTGGGTACTTTTCTTCTTTTAAATTATCAACTTTATTGTATGATTTGTTCTATAGATTATCTATTTATTGTTCATTTCTAAACCTTAGGATTCCGAAATCTTCAGCAAAATAAATTACTCAACAGGTAACTAATAGTGTGGCTGAAGGAGGGACAGGAGTTGTTTTGATTATTTCATTTGTTTCTATGAGACCTGTTTGGAAAGCTAGGCTGGCAGAAGCACAGCATTTTTACAGATACCCCATCAACTAAAAATGCATATGTATAGAAAAAGAGAGATCACTGATATTATATATATAATACACATGCATGCATGCATATATACACATAATGTATACATATGAACATATATGCATGTGTATACATATAGATATATGAAATATAGATCTATATCTACATTATATATTATGTATTAGGAAATACAGATGTATAAAATGAAAGTATTTTAGTAAATGGCTGAATCTAGAATTCCCAAGTAAAGCTGTAATTGTCACTTCCCTCTTTATTCTGTGCAGATACTAAGGAACCATTATCAAAGGGCCAGTAATCCTTTGGCCATTTTTTTATTTTTCATTTTCTAAGGATAGCTTGTTTTGTAAGTTTCCTCTATGTTATTGGCATTATGTTACTGGAAAGCTTTTAATTCAATAAATATTTGGCAAGTATATATTGTGCCAAGAATAGAGATATTAATTTTTAGAAAGACTCAAGCATGAGACATAAACGTTTGAAAGAATGAGTCGTACTTTGGAAAGTACAATATAACAAGAGCAGTGCCTACTTTGTTTGTGCAAAAAAGGAGGTAATTAACATTACCTGAGAGGGATCAAGAGATGGCTTTTCAGAAGGTGACCTGCAACATCGATATCTGTCCTCCAGAGAGAAGAAAGAAGGTTTTCTTCAGAAGGGAAGATCATGTGCTAAGCAACAGGAATTTGGAGGCACTAGGTAAAAGAGAAAGTTCAAGAAAACTTAGGGTTTTTCATTCTACAAGAAGATAATTGGACTGCTACCTTATTTCCATCTCTTGCATGTGTAGCCACAGAAGGAGCAGTTGCATTTTCTTTTAGCACCTCATCTTGACTCTAATTCTACTCTAAATGTATCTGCTATAGATTAGCCTATTTTTGTTTCCATATGTACCTTTACGATAAGACTGATAATAAATATCCAGTGATAATCTCTCCATTTATTCAATAAATATTTATTGAACTACATTGTATTAGTTTCTATATATAAAGGTGATTATTTCAAAGACTTCTTTAATTAATTAATTAATTTAGAGACAATGTGTCACTCTGTTGTCCAGGCTGGAGTGCAGTGGCACGACCTTGGCTCACTGCAACCTGTGCCTCCCGGGTTCAAGCAATTCACCTGTCTCAGCCTCCTGAGTAGCTGGGACTACAGGTGCGTACCACCATGCCTGGCTAATGGTTTGTATTTTTAGTAGAGATGGGGTTTCACCATGTTAGACAAGATGATCTCAATCTCCTGACCTCATAATCTGCCTGCCTCGGCCTCCTAAAGTGCTGGATTACAGGCATGAGTCACCGCGTCTGGCCTTTAAATTTCTTACATTTACTACACAGCCCTTCTACATTCTTTTGGGCGGGGGGGGGGGGGGGGGGGACTAGCTCCAAAGAGATTTCTCTATTGCTCTAATAAATCCATTCTTCTAGCTAAAATTGGTTATCTTCTGTTGCTCAGTTTCTCCAACTCTGCCTCAGTGCTCCTGTCAAGAACGCCTCTGCCATCTCATCTACAATAATCTATCACTTAACAATGGGGATATGTTCTGAGGCATATTGTTAAGCAACTTCATCACTACATGAACATCACTTATACAAACCTAGATGGTGTAGTCTACTACACACCTAGGCTATGTGATGCAGCATATTGTTTCTAAGCTACAAACCTGTACAACATGTTGCTGTACTGAATACTGCAGGCAATTTTAACACAATAAGTATTTGTGTATCTCAACACAGAAAAAGCACAGTAGAAACACAGTATTAGAATCCGACAGACCACTGTCATATATGTGGTCTGTTGTTCACTGAAACATCATTATGAGACACATGACTGTAAAAGCACCAAGCCTTGTCTTTACCAAGTCTCACGTTTTCTTTCTCCAAGGAGATTTTTCTAGAACAACCCAACCCAATTGTTTTCTTTCCCTTTCAAATCTACTGCCTTGAATTTTACTGTTTAAATACTTTCTCCTTATCTTTCTTCCTAGATATTAATCATCTTTAGGATTAGAACCTAAAGCGTAAGTCTAATTGTGCCCAGAATTGCTTCCTTCCAGTGGGTTCCTGGTCTCGTTGACTTCAAGAATGAAGCTGCAGACCCTCACAGTGAGTGTTAACAGCTCTTAAAGATGGTGTATCCTGAGTTTGTTCCTTCCAGGTGTTCAGATGTGCCTGGAGTTTCTTCCTTCTGGTGGGTTCGTGTTCTTGCTTACTTCAGGAGTGAAGCCACAGACCCCCGTGGTGAGTGTTACAGCTCATAAAGGTAGTGAGGACACAAACAGTGAGCAGCAGCAAGATTTATTGTTAAGGGCGAAAGAAAAAAGCTTCCACAACTTGGAAAGGGACCAGAGCGGTTTGCTGCTGCTGGCTCACGTGGCCAGCTTTTATTCCCTTATTTGGCCCCACCCACGTCCTGCTGATTGGTCCATTTTACAGAGTGCTGATTGGTCCATTTTACAGAGTGCTGACTGGTGCATTTACAAACCTTTAGCTAGACACAGAGTGCTGATTGGTGCGTTTTTACAGAGTGCTGATTGGTGCACTTACAAACCTTTAGCTAGACACAGAGTGCTGATTGGTCCATTTTTTACAGAGTCCTGATTGGTGCGTTTGCAAACCTTTAGCTAGACACAGAATGCTGATGTGGTACGCTTTTACAGAGCACTGATTGGTGTGTTTACAATCCTTTAGCTAGACACACAGTGCTGACTGGTGCGTTTTTACAGAGTGCTGATTGGTGTATTTACAAACCTTTAGCTAGACACTGAGCACTGATTAGTGCGTTTTTATAGAGTGCTGATTGGTGCATTTACAATCCTTTAGCTAGACCCAGAGTGCTGATTGGTGCATTTACAGTCCTCTAGCTAGACAGAAAAGTTCTCCAAGCCCCCACCCGACCCAGGAAGTCCAGCTGGCTTCACCTCTCATAATCATTTTACACTTCTCACTATCCATTATAGTAGCCAACACAGTGCTTTGCACATCCGATTTCATATTTAATTAATGGTTGGTTTGAAATTTCGGTTGTATCTCCACATTCATGAAAACAGAAGGGTTTTTATAGCTTGGATAAACATTGAAATGCCCTCAGATTACATGAAAAGAATATGAAAGGTCAGTACTTAGGCGTAAAACAACTTGACCGTTCTTAAAACCACTTCTTTTCAATTATAAACATTTCAAAATGAGATCCAAGGTTTTGAGCATGAAACCATCTGAATCTTATTTCTTCTGCATAATTTTAGCTTTGCAGACCATATTTTCAATTTCTAGACTTTAGCACATTATTAGTAACGTCAAGGCTATATCTCTAGAATTACACTGCTCTCCTCTGCCCTTCTTGGCAGTGTTGTTTGAGCTATAGGAAAATCAGCAAAGAAGTTCTTACTGTGATGTTTTTCTATGTACTGTGGGAAGAACTGGCACCCAAGGCTATGTCTGCATTATTTATACCACTTTGATAGATTAAATCTTAACTGTACCATAGAGCTTTTAAAGACATGTCTGTAAACGTTTAAGGATTACACAGGTGTTCATCCTGACTGCAAACAAAGACTCCTTTTTGTGGCTGGAAAACAAAATTAAAATGTAACAGTGTCCTACAAGCCATGGTTTCTGCTTAAAACAGATCCTTGACTGGACACGTCAGATAGATTTGTTACTCTTGACACATTTTTGGAGTTCAACAAAGTAGCCAACATCAATAGAAACATTTCTGTGATCCTATACTTCTAAAGTTAATCTCTCTGACGGTGACATTTCATAAAGGAATGGTAATGTTGGTATTCTACCAATGTGACAATATCCTAAAGGACTTTTATCCTGAAAGGACTTTTTATCCCCAAGCTCTAAAGTATTCTTAAAGTTATTTCATCCTTTTCTCTGTGCTGTTACCAACTCTATGGTGAAATTTTGATGTGTTACCAAAAGACAAGAGCCTTATTTTTGGAAAGTATTGTTCACAGGGCCCCTGAGGATTTTTTCTTTTTATTTTTATAACTGGAAGATCTGATTTTATTCTCTGAAACTCAGGACTTGCTAGAGTTCCTTTTCAAGAAGGTAATAATTTTATGAGTTTTCCTTGGAAATAATTATAATCACCTTCAATTCAGTGAAAGATAATATTTTCTCAGCTACTAAAGGTCCACATCAGTGTAAATCATTTATTTACTCGACATTACAGAAGCTGATATAATAAGTCATTGAAATATTTAACCAATAATAAAGAAGAGTACAATGATAATTATAAGGTAGGAGGACTGTAATCATGTTTTCCTCAATAAGATAATTGAATTCTAATTTATATGCAGCCCATATGTCATAGTTTCTAATTGCAAAACCAGTTATTTACTGAATTCAACCTTTCCTTCTTCTTTGTCCTTTCTGTTCCTCTCTCACTTTTTTCCCTAGATATTACTCTAGGAAAATTTACAACCTGAAGCAAGGAGAAATAAGATTTCTCTTCTAAATGCTGAATTTGAAAGGTAGGGACAAAATACATACAAAAATTGAAAGAAGGCTTTGAAGTATTTGACAGTGTATTCTTAGGTCATACTAGACTTAATTCTCATTCTTCCGTTTATCAAATTATCATACTTAAGGTTTATAACTCATGTAACCAGAGCTGTCTAACACAATGGATATTATTTTACTATATCATTATTGAGCACAAAATCAGCAACTCCATAGGAGAGTAGTCAAGGCTTAGCCAGGGATCTCCTAATTCCCATTCTGACTCCAAAATTAGAATTGTATCTGGCCTCCACAGTATACTTTGCATTGCCCCCCAGATCAAGAGATTTTAAAACAGCAATCTCAGTTTTTTGTCTTCTTTTTTTTTCTAAATCTAGTAAACACACTCTTCAGTATGTCAGTGTAGAAATTAGATTGCTGAAAGCCCTAGCTATGTTGACAAATACAGAAGCCATTAACTACATGTAACTATTTATATTTAAATTAATTTTTAAAAATTTAGAAGAAAATTAAAAATTCAGCTTTTCAGTTGCACCAGTCATGTATCAAGAGTTCAGCAGCCATAAATGGGTAACAATTACTATAGTTGACAGTTCAGATATAGAAAGTTTCCATAATCACAGAAAGTGGAAATTAAAACTAGAAATTAAACAATATGCTTCCAAACTTCTATTTGTCTATGCATAAGTCACATTAATGGTTAAAATATATTTTAAATCAAATGAAAATTAAGAATTACATATGACACACTAAACCTTGTGAATACGGTTAAACAAAGAGAAATGTATAGTCTTAAGTGAAAGCACCAAAAAGAAATATAAATGAATAGAATCTTTAAAAAATGCAAATAAAATATATAAAAGAAGAAAATACATTTGAAATTAACAGTACAAAATAAAGTTGCAATAGGGAAAAACCAAAGTTGGCTCTTTGAATATACTAATAAAACTGAATACCAATTAGCATGAATGATAAAGAAGAAAAGGGTGACAACGCAAATTATCAATATCCGAAATAAAAAGTAGAAATCACTAGAGACCCTAGGACAATTTTTTAGAAAGATATTATAATAAAATTTATGCAAAAAATAATTTCATTGACCTGTAAATGTTATTACATAATACAATTTACCAAAATTTGCAGAAAGTGAAATTACAAATTTGAATATTCTTATCTCAAACAAATAAATTGAATCAATTATTGGAAACATATATAATACCCAGAGTCCAAATAGTTTTAACATTGAGTTTTTTCAAATTTTAAAAAATTCCCTCATATGACATATACACATCTGAAAACAGAAAAAGAGAGAACCCTTTCATAACTTTTTATGAAACCAGCATAACTTTGATACCAAAATGTGACATTATAGGGAAAAAAATTAGAAGGCAATCTCTCTCCTGAACAAAGATACAAAAATCTTTAATAAAATATTAACAAATGAAATCTAGATATATAGAAAAAGGATAATTCATTATTTTTAGTAGTTTCAATCTAGTAATTCTAGGTTGGCTTAACACTTGAAAATCAAATCATATAATATAATGCATTAAGATAAAAAAGGTGAAAAAGCATATTGTCATCTCAATAGATAAAGAAAATGCCTTTAATCAAAATTCAAATCTCATTCATGATAAATGTGCTACTTAACATTTTTTGGAGGTCCTAGCAAGTACAATAAGGCAAGAAAGAAAAGACAAAATTGAAAAGAAATAAAAATGGTATTATTTCAGACAACCTGAAACTCTCATGTAATTTTAATGCAAGCCCTTCAGAATATTCTTTGAAATTACCTACCAATGCTAAATATATGGATACTGCACAACTCAACAATTCATTTCTAGATATATATACCCAACAGAAATGTGTACATGGATTCTCCAAATGACATCTGTAAGAATGTTTACAGAGCACATTTTTAATAATGAAGCCTGGAAATTTACCAATTGCTCATGAATGCATACATATCACAACAATGAAATCCTGTATAGCACAATAATATAATCTATATAGTAACGTGATTAAACAAATGGTATATCACACCAAAGAAATACTATATAGCAATAAGAATAATCAAATAGCAATGGCATAGCTACATGGATGAATCTCACAAAAAATGTAAAATGAAAGAATGCATGCAAGGGGAATACATACTGTATGATTGATATAAAGACAAAAAACCTACAAAACCAATCTATGATGTTAAAGGACAGCGTATTGCCATTGGAGATGTAGTGACTGGATAATTTCAAAGGTTAAAACAGTAACTTCACAAAAAGGAAATCTGTTAGACACCACCTTAAGAAGTGATCAAAATTTATGTAACTGTAATTGAGACAACATTATATCATAATGCCTTTTGATTAAGGATGGCACATCGCTTCTGTGGTTTATTCCTAAAAATGCATAAGGAGATCAAGCAATCTTTAAGAGATATTATACTGTACATTTTGCATGCTGCAAAAATGTCAAACTTAAAAAGGAAAAAAATGAATGAAAAACTGTTAGATATAAAAATTAAAGAAGACATTACTACTAAATGGATTGACACTGGACAGGGGGATGGGACAAGGGGCTATAAAGAACATAATTGTAATGATTAACAATTTGAACATAGACTATGGATAATAGATAATTTCTGATTTTTCTAATCAGACTGTTATATGAAAGAATACTCATTTTCCTAAGAAATATACACAAATATTTAAGAGAAAGGGAACTCGACATTTCTAATACATTATTAGAAACAATGCTTGGTATGCACGTAAGTGTACATAGACCTGTATGTTGTATACAGAGAAAAATGATAAAACAAATGGCAAAAAAAATGTACAATTTCTAAATTTGGGGAAACGGTATAGTAAGAGTCCAATGGATTCTTCTGCCAACTCTTCTGTAAGTTTAAAATTATATAAAATAAAAAGTAAAAAATAAAAACTCAGGAGTGTAGGGTTTTATTCATCCTTTACAGATTTCTTGGATGGGGAAACCCGGTTTCAGAGAAGTCTTAAAGATACAGAAAATTGATCATTCAGGGATACAATTATAATAATGTTCAAGGAGGCCAACTTGTGTTAACCAAGCTTCTAAGAAACTGATATATCAAGTAGAATGCCAGTTTATTAACAACAACAAAAATTGATACTGCTAAATGAGATGTAAGATTTGTGTGAGCCTATCTGTTACATTTTTCTTCTTGGCAGATATACATGGAAAACCACTTAATTATCTGACAACTGCTTTGTGAGCAGGGGTTCAGAGCATGCAGAGTTGTTTGAGTGTATCAGATGCTTAATGTTCAGATACTGAAAGCCTAACACACTATTTATTTCCACATTCTTCTTAGTGGGCAGACATTTTATTTATTTATCTATTTTTTGCCTAGTATTAATTATATATATCATGCTTGATTTTACAAATAAACTCAGTGTTAAAGGGATCTTGCTTAGATCCAGCCTGTAGAGTGTATGTATATATTTTAGGCTCCTGTCCAGTCTGGAAAATCAGGACTTATTTTCATGATTGCTAATAATACTCTTTTACTGATTATTGGCTGGGCATGGTAGGTAGCTTGCGCCTGTAATCCTGGCACTTTGGGAGGCCTAGGCAGGAGGATCAGCTGAGGTCAGGAGTTGGAGACTAGCCTGGGCAACATAGTGAAACCCCGTCTCTACTAAAAATACAAAAATTAGCCGGGCGTGATGGCACACGCCTGTAATCCCAGCTACTGTGGAGGCTGAGGCAGGAGAATAGTTTGAACCTGGGAGGTGGAGGTTGCAGTGAATCGAGAATATACCACTGACCTCCAGCCTGGATGATTAAAAAGAAAAAGAAAAAAGAAAAAAAAACCCCTCTTTAAACCTCTTTTTTTGATTATTAAACAAGTAGAAGAAACAAGGTCAAAAGTTAAAACTTGAACTTATATGTTTGGCAAGATATTTTCACTGAATATGGAATGCTGATTTACTTATTTTCTTTTCACACTTTAAACATTTAGTTTGTCTTCTGATCTCCATTGTCTCTGAAAAGCTGTCAGCCACAATTCGAATTGCCTTTTCTCTCTATATAAAGTATCGTTCTCTTGTTGCTTTCAAGATAATCTGTTTTTTTAATTTACATTTGGTAATATGTTAAGTAAATTGTTCTTGCAACTTACGAGTAAATATAAAAAATCAGAAATATTTGTAAAAGTTTTATTAATTATGGCTTCCACATTTACGTTGAATACATATTTCAAAAATAACTTAAATAATATACATGAAAATCACAGGATTTTTGTGTGCTATATTTAAATTGTCAATATAACAATATACTTTTTTGTAAGAATGTACAATCTGAATTGTTGGTTGGGCAAGTCTTAGATATTTACCCAAAAGAATGATGTTCATCTACTATCATGTAATCAAATTATAGATTCAGTGTCTGGTTAAAATTATAACAAATTCAAATAAATTAAGTAAGGAGGGGTACTATAAATTCCCAGCATATTGTTATATTTAACATATATCTTAAACATGTGTGCCACTGCCAGACAAATATTTATGGTATCGTGCAGGTAATGTAATATCTGCAGAGTTTCTGTCTGTAACTTGAACTCCAAGGATGTAGCTCTTCCTGTCAAAAAAGGTCTGTTTCTGCATTTTCTATTCTATTTCATTGATTTTTACACCAAATACTACTACTCACTCCATTAATGTAATTTTTTGGTAAGTCTTTAAACTAGATAGTATTAGTTTTCCAATTCTGCTTTTCTTTAGAATTTAGATTCAGTTTATAAATTTTCACCAAAAAATAAAAATAATTTAAAAACTTGCTCATAGGCTTCATTGGTATTGCATTGGATCCATAAATTAGTTGGAAAAAACTGCCACCTTTAACAGTTCTGAGCCTTCCAATCCATGAGCATGGTATGTCTATTTATTTTTATTTTTATATTGTTTATTTCTGTTAACATTGTATGGTTCTTTTTACTCTACAGGTCTTGTAAATATTTTGTTAGGTTATGTATATCTAAGTTTTTTGGGTTTTTCAGTGATATCATAAAATGATACAATTTGTTAAATGTTTAAAGTTAAAGCATTTGTGGCTAAAATATTAAAAAGAGCCTGAGTTTTAAAATTAGACCATGTTTCCTGTGACTTTCACTGACTATTTCTAGGAGAGTTTTTATAGAATAGGTAGGATTTTCTTTGTACATGATTATATAATTATGTTGTCTGAAATAAAGACAATTTACTTCTTCCTTTCCAATCTCTGTATATTTTCTTCTCTTTCTGTCCTACTATTTACTGCAGGAGTTGGCAAATTTGTTCGTTGTTGTTGTTGTTGTTTTTGAGACAGAGTCTCGCTTTGTCACCCAGGCTGGAGTGCAGTGGCGCGATCTCGGCTCACTGCAAGCTCCGCCTCCCAGGTTCACGCCATTCTCCTGCCTCAGCCTCCCGAGTAGCTGGGACTACAGGCACCCGCTACCACGCCTGGCTAATTTTTTTTCATATGTTTAGTAGAGACAGGGTTTCACCGTGTTAGCCAGGATGGTCTCGATCTCCTGACCTCGTGATCCGCCCGCCTCGGCTTCCCAAAGTGCTGGGATTACAGGCGAAAGCCACCGCGCCAGCCGGCAAATTTGTTCTTAAAGGGCCCAGTAGTAAATATTTTAGGCTAACAAGTTATATGCTCTCTGTTGCAGATATTTAACTCTACCATTGTAACACAAAACCATAAACAACACTTAAACTGGTATGACTGGGTTATAGCAAAATTTTATTTACAAAAATAGGTGACTGGCCTGTAAGCTGACCTCTGTTCTAGAATTATTACTTTTTTCTTATTTATCTTATTAACAAGGTAAATTAATAGATCTTCAATGGTTAATCCAATTTTGTATTTCTGGCGCAAATTCCAATTGATCATGATTTTTTATCTTTTTGATATATTGCTGGGCTTGATTTCCTAATATTTAAAGATTTTTGCATCTAATTTCAGTTCATAGGGGTATCAAACTCTAATATTGTTTTCTTGTAATGTTTTTGCCTAGTTTTAGTTTAAGGTTGATACTGCCCTCATTAGATGAGTTGGAAAGTATTCACATATTCTATTACTGGAAAAATGAATTTATAGAATTGTTATATTTTTTTCTTTACCTTTGATAGAATTCATCAGTGTTGCCACCTAAGACTGGAATTCTTTTGTGAAAACATTTTTAATTACAAATTCAATTTCATTATTGGATATAAAGCCATCTATTTTTAAATGCTTTTTTTTCTTGAGTCAGTTTTTCCTTTTCCTTTTTGCTATTTTTTACTTTTAAATTTTTTAAATACTTAATTTAAATTTTATTAAAATTTTTATTAAACAATTTTGCACTCTGATTTTTAATTTTTATAATTTTGTGCCAATTTTGCTATTTTTTGCCTTTTGTTCATTTTTTTTTCTTTTTTCCCCCTTGGGTCAGTTTGCATTTTAGGGAATTTTCATCTAATATTCACCTGAAGTATTATCCATTTTATCTTTGTATCTTTCACTTTATTACTCATGGACCAGCCTGATATATTCATAACATGTTTTTAAAGTTGATTTAGAGTAGGCTTTACTCAAGTGTAGTCTGGCTCTGCCTTTCTGGGGTACTACCTAAGGCCTCAGTTACCCAATGAGGTCTTTCCGTTCTGCATAATGGAAACTCCCAGCATTGTGTGAGCTCTGGGAATTGTTCAACTTGCAGCTCCTTGATAACTGATCATAGTTTGTTTCATAAAGTTTCTCTCTGCACATGCATACATTATTATTCAGCGACAGATTGAAGGCAACTCTTGTGAATATTTCAGAAGCTCTTTCCTTCTAGTTTCTTGCTCTTTGGTATTCCATCCTGCAAATTCAAGCTGCCTCATCCCAACCCCATTTCCCAAATTATGATTTCTTTCTCTCCGGAATCCCTCCATCCCCCATGCTATGATTCAGAAAGTGACTCCATGAAGAAAGCAAGGGATGTTATAGAGCTCACTTCACTTATTTCTTTTCTCTTAGGCTTAACAGTTCTATGTCATCTTTTGTCCAATATCTGAAATCAGTTGTTTTACATTTGGTCTATTTTTCTAATCATCTACAACAATAGGGCTGGATTAATACCAGTTACTCCATCATGACAGAAATAGAAAAACTACAAATATCAATGTGTTTAATAGTGTTAATTCTATATAAATTAGAATCTTTCCAAGTCCAGGGAGATTAAACATCTTTTCTCAATTACTCACCCATGTTTAAGAAGTCACAAATCGTATGGTTAAGCCTTCTTAACACTGAAGACTTTTCTTCACTAACACTTATAGCTGATATATTCAATTTTTCTGGCTGAATATTTCTTGATAGTATCTCAAATACACTTATTTTCTTTTCCAATCCCCCTTTAAATATACTCATCTTGGACAACTGCCAAGATCTCCTGACTATTGTTCTTGACTCATGTTTCTTTCTTTTTACCCATATCACAGATAATTTCAAAATTACAATTCTTTCAGTATCACTTCTGTCATGGCGCTTGTGTATTCTATCTGATCAACTATCTAGAATATCTTTTTGGCCTGCTAGTTCAAATATTACCTCTCTATACCTCCACAGGAATTATACATGTACAGCATAAAAGACCAAGCAGGACTAGTAGACATTTATGTATTAACTCATTCAATCATCTAACACTTCTAATATACCAAGTTCTTAGTTATGCATTGGTTATTCAAAAGCAACACTATCTGGCAGGGACCCAAACAAATAAATACAAAAATTAAGACAGTGCAAAGATAAAAATAAAAGTGTTCAGAGTAAATTTTACCATTGCACACAAGACATTTAGTGAGAGCTTCATAGCATTAACGTGAGTGTCAGTGGAGAGGGCATTTCAGGCAAAGAAAATGGCATGAGAACAGGAACACAGGAGGAACATAGCATGATGTAAGTGGGAACTACAGACGGTGTATAGGTTGCATGAGCATAAAGTAAAAGGCAGAGGGTAATAGGAGATCTGGCTAGAGTACAAGAAGGAGCAAGCTCAAGGAAGCAATGTTTATCATATTCTAAAGACTGAATTTTAACAAATTACTGAATAAATTTTAATCAAGGGAATTCCATGTTCAGATTTTTGTTTTTAAAACAATCCTCATTCTAGAAATATTATTAAAGATAAATTTTAGTGGAACAGGAATGGAGTCAGGAAAGTTGTTAAGTGAGAGTCTAGACAAGTGATGACGAGTTAGACTATGCTAGCTGTGATGAAGATAAGAGAGGAAAAAGGAATGGGAAACCTAACATTAGGTAGTAATTTATAGGAACTGAAAGGTGAAGAAGTACCTATGTATTAAATTTGGCTCTTACTCTTCTAGATTTGGTGACAGCTGGGTGGATAATTGTGTTATCTATGTGAGATAGAACATAAAAGGAGGAACAAATTGAAGAATTATTTTAAAATTATTAGTTCAGGCTTGTATAAACCGAAATCTGAAGTACCCATGGGACAGCCAGTTATAACAGTCACATATATCATTAGATATGAGTCAAGAGTATATTGATAAAGAATTGAAAAACATCTTCCCATAGTAGGTAGCTGGAACTATGAGAAGGGGTAAAGTACCCAATAGACAATGTGTGAAGAGAAAGAGCAGGATTTTCAGCATTCAGAAGTCAGGCCAGGGCACAGAAGCACAGTATTTCAGCTGAAATAAAAATAACTTGGCTATAAAAGATCATTCATAGTTCTACTCTATGTTCACTTGAGGTAAGGGATATAAAATATGTATTTAGTTAAGGTTGTTGTTGGCTTTATCCTATGATATGGTAAACAGCTGATCTACTGAAGACCTAGCAAACTCAGGAAGTTGAGGTGAACCTCTGTTTCAATTTTCCCAGCAGTATACTCTGCACCCATTCCAAAAACTGAAGAATTCATGTCTCAAATTCTTAGTCCTTTTAAAGGCCCCGCTCTTGATTTGTGGTAAAGTGCGGAACACCCTATACTTCTTCCACCTTGGGAGAGGTTATGACTTAAAGTATTATTAACTAACAACTCTCTCCAAACTGTTTTCCCTCAATCTCCTCTCTAATATTTTATTTTTTTATATTTTATTTATTTACTTATTTAACATTTCTCAACGTGAACAAGGGCTTCATGAGTCATCTGATTCTTGTTTTCTTTTTTAAAATGATTCTGTATCTGTTTTGTTGTATGATCTCTCTTGTTTCTTGGTGGCTTGGTCAAAATGTCTGCTGTAACAAAGTACATATCTGTCTTTTTCACAAGAGCATGAGATTCTGAATGAGAGAGGTGGTATCTTTTCACCTTTGTGTCACCAGTCTGTAGCACAAGGTGAGGACTGAGAAAACAGTGATGTTTAAGTCATCTCGGGGGAGAGGGTGACATTTTAAAATATGAAATCTGGTACCCTGTTTGGTAGATTCAAAGTCCCAATTAGAGAAAAGTATATTTAATTGGGCAGAGGTAGTGTCTCTTCAATTCAGAGAAATAATAAATTGAGTTAATAGATATTTTTTAATTCAATGATTTGAAGTTGCTGATGGATCCCTAGTGAAAACCTCATATTACAGAGCTTTATGAATGAATGTTACAAAAAAGAGATGGGGGCTTAGAGTTGAAAAGGGTGACAAAAATAATTATGTAAGTATTTTACTGTGAAAGACTTTTACAGATTAAAGTAAATTTTACATTTTTCAAATAAAACCTCATCTATCTAAAAATCTAAGTGTCTTTAAATGAAATACTGGCTAATGTCTTAGGAAATGGTGGGCATTTTTTCATGAATAAGTAAACAAATGTTAGCCTTGAATTCAATTCCCTTCTGAATTTCTTTACCACCATACACAACGACGCAGCCTACTTTCGAAACTAAAATCTGAAATAGAGATATCTTATTCAAGAGACCAACATAGTTCATTTTTCATTCTGATGGATATCTCATTTATTAGGCACAGAATTCACTGTGCTCCAGTGCCAAGAATTACTAAGCAACAGAACATATGTAGGCGGATGTGATGTTTGCATATTCACACAATATGACATTTACACCAAGATCAGAAGTATATTATTGCTGAAAAAGAGGCACAGTGGCAAATGAGAGGTAGTAATATTCTTTTTTTGATAAGGTACCATTCACAAAAGTATCTTTATGATCTTAACAAATAACCCTCTGCTATAGAAAACAAGCAAATCCAGAGTGACATTTAAAACTTCTCGAGTTTAGTTTTTCCTAAATGCCAGGAAGGAAAACATACTGCTTGAAACGTGTTTTTATGCCTTCTATAGTATAACACCTAGTATGGCGTGAATACAAGAATTGCCTATCAGCCTGAGCTGAATACTAACTGTTTTACAGCATCAAAATTAGGAAATATTCTGGAGTGTTCTACTCAAGACATTTCCCTGGGGACCCTGGAACTTGGCAAACTGTCTCTGATAAGCAGCTACTTCTATCTTTCTCTATGCTGAATACAGGAACCAAATATGAGGACAAGGTTGAATGTCCGAGTAAACATGACTATTAAAAAAAGAATGTTCCCAAAGCCAAATAAGACAAGAGGCAGCCCGTTCAAACTGATGTATAGTTTAAGGAAGTGACTCCAACACAGCGTCCCTTACAGCCAACCTATGACATGCCCATTTCAGTTGTACACCAACTTTTAGTACAATTCACAGACAGATCAAATGAATGAAGAGAGGTTTTTGGAGGAAACTCTCCCAGAACATCTCCCAGAACATGATGGGCTATTCTGTAGGCATATCAAAAGGCTTTCATGAAGCACAATATTCTATGTAGGTGAAAATTTTGAGTTAATAGGTAAACACATTTTTAAAACATCAAACATTTCTTTATAATCTTGTCTAAATATCCTCAATTGAGACCTTTTATGAGTTGATGGGCATAGATTTCTAGAAAGAAGGGTTTCCTCTGGTAGTATTCTTTCATAATAGATGTATTTGCTAAACTTGTTTTTAATAAAGCAAAAGATTCTGAGAACTGGACTCCTTTCTTCCTTCCCAGTGAGTAGATTCTACAAGAGCTTTCCTAATTTGCTTAACTGTTTAAATATGACAGCTGTGTCTCTTAGGGGAACCACCCCCACCCCAACTCCTCAGCATGTGTAACCTTCAAATTAAGTGACCAAAGTCTTATTTGAAGACACCTGGGAAAGCAATCTTTGTTCCTATGCAGGGAGACTCAAGGTTCATTATAAACTTGCTACTACCTTGGCATAAAAATGTATGTTGGGTCCTAAACTGGAGTTTACAAAAGGAACAAGAAAATTAAAAGTAAGCTAACAACTGCTGATCATAGTTTTTCTTTCTTTCTTTCTTTCTTTTTTTTTTTAGAAGTGCTATATGTTTTCTGATCACAATGGTCTGTCAACAGCATGACAGCACCACTATCAGTAGACATTTCCATTAGTATTGCAGGAATATGATAGCTATCATCACATGGAAAGCTCAACAGTCATGAGAATCGCTAGAATGCAGCTCAGTGCACTGTTCCCATGTACTCTGCCAACTAAATTGATTTCTACAGCTGGGAGTAGTGGACCTATCAAAAAGTTTCTAATCTCTCCTGAATTTAGATAAACCTGTGCATTATATCTTTTTTTAAAAAGTTCAATTTAAAAGAATTTGATCTTAAGATCTTAAAGTAGAAAATTAAACAATTTTTATTTTTCTGACGAGGTCACAAAAGATCATCCTGTGAACAAAGCAAATGTATACCTGAACTACTTTCAGAAAGAAGAATATTTCTATTTTACTTCTAAACTTCAGAGACATTTAGTAAGAAAGGCCATGAGCTCTCCTGAATAAGAAGTTCCACCCTCACCAGGAGGACCTAGCAATTATAAATACATACATCTGACATCAGAGCACCCAAATATATAAAGCAAAAAAAAAATTTTTTTCAAACACCACCAAAAAAATAAATAAATAAAAGACCATTTTCAGCAACATCACCTGGATTGCTCATTTCTGGGCTTTATCCCAGGTTTACTAAAAAAAAGTTACAAAACTGAGGCCCAGGTGTCTGCATTTTTAAGCATGCTTCTATTTCCATTTTGCTACGCTATACATTCTGGAAAATATTGGAGAAAAATTTGGAAATCAGAAATTAGTGCTATTAGCTAAACTATTTTAATCATAATCATGTAATTTTCTTTTTCAGGAACAATAGGAAAGTTTATCAAATACAAGCATGAGAGCATATAATTCCAAAAAAAAAAAAAAAAACAGACTTTTTAAAATCCACCTAAGAGCATCATGATATCTTCCTTTCCCTCTCAGAAATCCATGCATATCAAATGGATATTATTTAAATTAGCTTTTTAGAAATAGGTAATATCCATTGAGTGAATAGAATCAGTATAGGTTCCCTGTTAGAGATTTACTAGTAATATAACTAAGTAAAATGAAAACAAAACTTAAAAATTAAAGAAAAAAAAAGGTTGAAATGTCAACACCAGCAGAATATTTTAATTCAACAGTAGGCAAACCATATCCCCCAGACCAAATCTGGCCCACTACCGATTTTTTATAGTTATTGGGCAAAAATGATTTTTAAATTTCTAAATGGTTGAAAACTTATAAGGTACATCAATATTTTATGGTTTTCTATTAAAGTGGGCTGTCTTATAGCCACTCTTCTATTTCTTTGCACCAGGGTGACCTCCCTGTTGCCCAGGTCTCCTATTTGGAGGAGAGCATCATATCTTCCTTTCCCTCTCATTAAAGCTTGTTTTGAATCCCATTTGTCAAAGCCTGTGTTTCCTAGGAGCAATGCTTTTTTGTTGTTTTGTAATTTTATTTTAAGTTCTGGGATACATGTGCAGGATGTGCAGGTTTGTTACATAGGTAAACGTGTGCCATGGTGGTTTGCTACACCTATCAACCCATCACCTAGGTATTAAGCCCAACATGCATGAGCTATTTAGCCTGATGCTCTCCCTCCTACCCTGGCCCCAACAGGCCCCAGTGTGTGTTGTTCCCCTCCCTGTGTTCATTTGTTCTGTGTTCAGCTCCCACTTGTAAGTGAGAACGTGCAGTGTTTGATTTCTGTCCTTGTGTTGGTTTGCTGAGGATAATGAGTTGCCTCTCCAATCATGTACTTGCAAAGGATATGATCTCATTCCTTTCTATGAGTTCACAGTATTTCATGGTGTATATGTACCACATTTTCTTTATCCAGTCTATCATTGATGGGCATGTGGGTTTATTCCATGTCTTTGCTCTTGTGAAGAGTGCTGCAATGAACATATGCATGCCTGTATCTTTATGATTATATTCCTGAATGATCTATATTCCTTTGGTTATATACCCAGTAATGGGATTGCTGAGTTAAATGATATTTCTGGTTCTAGAACCTTGAGGAATTGCCACACTGTCTTCCACAGTGGTTGAACTAATTTACATTCCCACCCACAGCATAAAAGCGTTCCTATTTCTCCACAGCCTCACCAGAATCTGTTGTTTCTTGACTTCTGAATAATTGCCATTCTGACTGGCATGAAATGCTATCTCACTGTGGTTTTGATTTGCATTTCTCTAATGATCAGTGATGTTGAGCTTTTTTTCCATGTTTGTTGGCTGCATAAATGTCTTCTTTTGAGAAGTGTCTATTCATGTCCCTTGCCCACTTTTTGAAGGACCTCTTCAAGGACAACTTCAAAGCACTGTTCAAGTAAATCAGAGAGGACAAAAACAAATGGAAAAACATTCCATGCTCATGGATAGGAAGAACTGATATCATGAAAATGGCCAAACTGACCAAAGTAATTTATAGATTCAGTGCTATTCCCATGAAACTACCATTGACATTATTTGCAGAACTAGAAAAAACTACTTTCAAATTCATATGGACCCTAATAAGAGCCCATATAGCCAAGACAATCCTAAGGAGAAAGAACAAAGCTGGAGGCATCATACTTCCTGACTTTAAACTATACTAGAAGGCTGCAGTATCCAAAACAGCATTGTACTAGTACCAAAAGAGACACATAGACCAATGGAACAGAATAGAGATCTCAGAAATAAGACCACACATCTACAACCATCTGATCTTCAACAAACCTGCCAAAAACAAGCAATGGGCAAAGAATTCCGTATTTAATAAATGGTGCTGGGAAAACTAGTTAGCCATATGCAGAAAGTTGAAACTGGACCTCTTTCTTAACACTTCATACAAAAATTAACTCAAGGTGGATTAAAGACTTAAATGTAAAACCCAAAACTATAAAAACCCTAGAAGAAAATCTAGGCAATACCATTCAGAACAGAGGCACGGGCAAAGATTTCATGACAAAAACATGAAAGGCAATTGCAACAGAAGCAAAAATTGAAAAATGGGACCCAATTAAACTAAAGAGCTTCTGCACAGCAAAAGAAACTATCATCAGAGTGAACAGACAACCTACGGAATAAGAGAAAAATTTTGCAATCTACCCATCCATCTGACAGAGGTCTAATATCCAGAATCTACAAGGAACTTAAACAAATTTACAAGGAGCCATAGTTTTTATGCTCCCAGGACCAGCATCACTATCTCACCTGGAACTTGTTAGAAATGCAAATGGTTGAGTCTCTCTGCAGACCTTCCAAATCAGAAACTCCGAAGGTGGGGCATAGCAAGCTTTGTTTAACCTCACCTCCACATGATTCTGATGCACTCTAATATTTGGGAAACACTGCTACAGAACTGCTAGATTAGTAGGAGAAAAGATATTAATGTATATTAATTCTGGATATCAGCTCTCACCGATAACATTTGCATTTTAATAGATATCTTCCATGCTGAAGCAAACATAGTAAAATATTAGTATAAAAAGTGCAGGGACCAAAGATTATCATAGACTAAGTGGCTTATAAACAAAATAATTTTATGTCTTACAGTTGCAGAGGATGAGAAGTTCAAAATCAAGGCACTGGTAGGTTCTGTGTCTGATGAATGCCCACTTCCTGGTTCATAGGAGCTGTCTTTTTGCTGTGTCCTCAAACGGTGAAAGGAAGCTAGTGAGCTTTCTGAGGTTTCTTTTGTAAGGGGGCTTTTTAAGCCCTTCATAAGGGCTCCACCCTCATGACCTAATCACTTCCCAAAGGCCCAACCTATTACCATCACTTGGGTTAGGATTTCAACACATGAATTTTGAGAAATAAAAACTTTCAATCTATTGCAGAGCCTTTTTAAAGTATGGCTTTTAAGCAACAGTGACTTACTTTGCTTGGTGCTTGTAAGAATGGTCTAGAGACGTTGACTATGTTTACAGTGAAATCACCTGAGGTCTTTGGTTGTTATCTTAATTGAATTAATGGGGCTGTGAGTTCCTCAGGTGATTCTAATATGTAATCAGGCTTGATCACTGCCAGCCTTGGCCATTGAGTCTTAAACTTTAGCCTGCATCAGAATTACCTGGAAGGACTGTTACAATACAGATTGCTGGACCCACCCTGAGTTTCTGAGTCAACAGGTCTAAGATGAGGCAGAAAATTTGCATTTCCAAAATTTAGCTGCTCCTGGTCTGGGAAGACAATCTGAGAATTTTTGTAGTGATCCCTAGTGACCAATTCTATTTTCTGGAAGCAAAGTGGGAGGTAGTGAACCTATTGCCACATGGGATTTCAAATGCAGTCAAGGTGATATTTAAATTCATTCGTTAGGTTCCTCATACACTCCTGTAGCAAATATTGTTACCTGTGCCTTACTACCTCCTCTAGCTCATTTTTTACTCTGTAGCCAGGCTTTCTATGAACAAAAGTAAATTCAGAAGGAAATTCATTTTAATATTACACTTCATTTTCTCCAAAGTGACTTATCTAACACCTTCACTTTTTAAAACATTTCCGTATTTCATTTCAATAGCAACATCTTTACATTTAAAAGCAAAAAAGTTTCTAGAAAGTCAAATAGATAACACCAAGTACAAAATTTATGCGGTCAAGAGGATTTGCTTTATTCAGAGGGAAGCCTCCAAGTTCTTACTCTAAATCAAATTACTCCCAATTTATTTCAAATTTTAACTGGGTTGATAATGTGTTTTCTCAGTTTGCAACAGATTAAAATCAGAAAATTGCAGGATGAGCAACTAATAAAGGAAATAAAAAATGAAAGCTAATGGTTTAAAAGTAGAGCAAAAACAATGATAAGAAGCAAACAGAAGTGGCCAGGCATGGTGGCTCATGCCTGTAATACCAGCACGTTGGGAGGCCGAACTGGGTAGATCACTTGAGATCAGGAGTTTGAGACCAGCCTGGCCAACATGGTGAAACCTCGTCTCTACCAAACAGTACAAAAAATTAGCTGGACAAGGTGGTGTGTACCTGCAGTCCCAGCTACTTGGGAGACTGAGGTGGGAGAATTGCTTGAACCCAGGAGTTAGAGGTTGCCGTGAGCCGAGATTGCACCACTATACCACCCCAGCCCAGGTGACAGATTGAGACCCTGTCTCAAAAAAAAAAAAAAGCAAACAGAAGAATTTAAGAGGTGAAAAACTTTAGTACACTTACATTTGAATGCTCCTAGGAAAAGGTGCATCCAGGCAAAGTTAAACTGTAGGACAGAAATGCATTGCATTAAGGCATCAAGGGCTAGGACAATAATCACAATACCGGCTGCTGGTGCTCTTCCATGAACTAACTTGTTAATCCTCAATCACTCTTGCAGAAGAGTCCACATAAATGACACTAAGACATTATTTAAAGCTGTCATTAATCAAAAGTTAGTTTTATTCACTTGAGATAGTGAGATAAGTTTTCATTCACACCAGGAGCGGTGGCTTACTCCTGTAATCCCAAAACTTTGGGTTTACAGAGTCACGGTTATATTATCTTTATGCTCATTTCATAGATAAAATAAATAAATAAAATAAATAAATAAATAATAATGCATGGACAGATTAAGTTATTTGTCCAAAATCACACGGCCAGAAGGGCAGAGAGGACATCTGAACCTAGAGTTGTGCTCCACTCTATGTGCTTGACTACTCTCTATTCCTGTCTTGTCACAGCGGCTTTATTATTTATTATTTCCATCCTCTTGAGTAAGGCAGTAACCATGGAGTGTGGTGTGTATATGGGTGGGGGGTGGTAGGTAGGTTAATGTTTCTCTCTGTCTCTCTCTCTGTCTCTCTCTCTCTCTCTCTCTCTGTCTCTCTCTCTCTCTATATATATATATACATAAAATAGTTAAAACAATATATTAAAGAAGACAATGATTGATTCAAGAGGGTATCTCAAATGCAGCTGGAAAAACACTCGAGACTTCATCTGTCTGTCCATCATTGGTCTTTATTTTAGCAGTTCTACAATTAAAAAAAAATGTGTCTCAGGAAAAAAAGTAATTTCCAGAAACTTTCTCAAGAATTTTTGAATATGTATTTTCAGAACTATTGCAAAAACAAATTTTAAAAAATGCTTTTTTATTTTCCAGTAGAGCCAAATAGATACATAGCCATTGTGATTATCAGCCAACAGCATGCAGACTCCATGGGAAATAAAATAACCATCCAAAGAAAACAGGCTTCTGTTTGTTGAATCAAAAGAACAGTTCTATTAGCAGTGTGACAGAATTAATAAACATTTGGTTTTGCTCTAACATTCAGCCAGTGGAAAGCCACACTACAAAGCCTGCAGCATTTCTAACGATATAGTTTTTAAACTTTTGTTTGGCAAATTAAATGTGAACATTCCAATCATCAGGACAAATAGAATTTTTTTTGTACGATTAATTAGTAAGTTAAGCATACTGCTGACAATTCCTTAAATTTCCTGAAACATTCTCTAAGACTGGATGATTTTCAATGCATATGGAAAAGAAAATTCACTTGGGAGGAAGTTGCTTTTATTTGAAGAATGTGGAATTCTTAAGGGATTAAAAAGAGAAACAAGGCCGGGCACGGTGGCTCATGCCTGTAATCCCAGCACTTTGGGAGGCCAAGGCGGGCAGATCACGAGGTCAGAAGATCGAGACCATCCTTGCTAACACGGTGAAACCCCGTCTCTACTAAAAATACAAAAAATTAGCTGGGCATGGTGGCAGGCACCTGTAGTCCCAGCTATTCGGGAGGCTGAGGCAGGAGAAAGGCATGAACCCGGGAGGCGGAGCTTGCAGTGAGCAGAGATCGCGCCGTTGCACTCCAGCCTGGGCAAGAGAGCGAGACTCCATCTCAAAAAAAAAAAAAAAAAGAGAGAAACAAGAGTTGGACTGGCTTAGTTTAACCAAAGATTCAGATTTCTCTGAAAGTCCCCCATTAATGCATTCTTATTTGTTTATTTATCCCACTGTCCCAGGTGAATGAATTTTTTTTTCTTTCCTTTCTGTCGCCCAGGCTGGAGTGCAGTGGCAGGATCTCGGCTCACTGTGACCTCCGCCTCCCAGGTTCAAGATATTCTCCTGCCTCAGCCTCCTGAGTTGCTGGGAATACAGGCACACACCATCACACCCGGCTAATTTTTTGTATTTTTGTAGAGACGGGGTTTCGCCATGTTGGCCAGGTTGGTCTCGAACTTCTGACCTCAGGTGATCTGCCTGCCTTGGCCTCCCAAGGTTTTGAGATTACAGAAGTAAGCCACCGCTCCTGGTGTGAATGAAAACTTATCTCACTATCTCAAGTGAATAAAACCAACTTTTGATTAATGACAACTTTAAATAAGGTCTTAGTGTCATTTATGTGGAAATACACTCTTGGTTTTTCTACTGAGAAGGGAGAGGCGCTGCTTAAAGAATTATGTTGGTTGGGTCAGGTGTGGTGGCTCACGCCTGTAATCCCAACACTTTGGGAGGCCTAAGTGGGCAGATCACCTGAGGTCAGGAGGAACTGAGGCCAGCCTGGCCAACATGGAGAAACCCTGTATCCACTAAAAAAATACAAAAAAGAGCCAGGCGTGGTGGTGCGAGCCTGTAATCCCAGCTACTTGGGAGGCTGAGGCAAGAGAATCACTTGAACCCGGGAGGCAGAGGTTGCAGTGACCCAAGATCGTGGCACTGCACTCCAGCCTTGGTGACATAGTGAGACTACTCCCTCTCAAAAAAAAAAAAAAAAGATAATATGTTGGTCAAACTTTTCTCTGCTGTAGTCCATAAAGTGCTTTTGCAAGTGCTGTTTAAAAAAAAAAAAAAAAAAACAAAACAAAAAAACTGAAGATGTTTTCCTGAGGAAAATTTCTGCTGTCCCCATAGTTTCCTCTCTCTTAATGGTAGAATGTTTTTCTCATGGGCAAGAATACCCTTCACCTTCTCATTTCATTAACAGAATAACAACCCTACCTAATGTCCTTCTGGTCTAAAAAGTCTATGAAGTTGTATTATATGAAATTATATTAAGCCAGTATCATATGATATCTGCATATCAGAAATTAGAATGACTTTAAACTGATACCACCTTGACTTCTAACTAAAGCCTTCTGGAGAGAAGCAATAGAGAAGAGGTTCTAATGAATACATGTATTCTCAGTTCTGATCTTATATCTCATAAGAATCACAGGAAGCCTCCATATTTGAACTTCATTTCATTTAACTTCCCATGTAATAATTACCCTTCTCTGAATTATACCCTTAAATGCTCTGACCTTAAATTTACCCCATCTCCCTTTTTTTTAAAAAAAAAGCCACATGACAGTCATTTCTGCATTTATTTTAAAACTACTGTAAAGAGCAATATTCATTACTCTGCACCTTCTACATAAAATTCCAGATAATAAATTTGTTTTTAAAATCAGTTCTTCATTGGCAATTTTGAGACTTCTCATATATATAATATATATATTTGGCCGCAGTTATTAAGAAACTCAGAGGCAAACTAATGCTCATTGATAGCAAATGTATGAAACTACATGGTCAGAATATTGATTTGTTTCCTTTATTTGATTTAATTCTTGTTACCAATCTTTGACCTATATGTCTTTAAGTTTTCTCAAAATTGTTTTTGAAAAAAGGGTGCATAACGACAGCCAAAATCAGTTTTCTTTTAAGTAAAGTCACAGGTAGTCTCACACATCAACTTACATCAGCTATTGTGATGGACCTTGAAAAATACATTTTTCTCTGCAATATTTGTTTTTTTTTCACACTAGGAGTATAATCAATAAATAAGCACTCACTATCAATCTCCAAAATATACAGTCATATTTCATTTTCAAAACTAAACACCTCTTGTGATGAATTACAGTCATTAGCAAGATGACTGTACAGAAACTTCAGACCATTTGGAAATGACTGAGCAGCTGACAGAAAAGGTGGGAGGGGGCAGAGGCATTTCTGTTCCAATTATTTTCTGGTTCTCAAATGTAAATATTTCTGAACCTATGCATCTCTGCTTGACATTCCATCAAACTAAATTTTAAAAATATTTTCAACATTTTTGTTGTCATCGTCCTATTTCCAAATGAGAAGAGAGAAGATTTTTCTTAATGTCAAGCTTTTCCTTGGTACCCAGGGCAGGCCACTCCCCTACCAAAGCCTAATCCAGTAAATGGACAGATCCAATCCTGAGAAGTCAACACCAAGAAGAATGCATTCTACATGTATCAGTATTATAGAATTTTATGGAAAAGTTGCCTCATCCAAATTTAGATTTTAATTAAATCAGTGAGTGGCCAGAGCCTCAGAGGGGATGCCAAATGAAATGCTGTCTTATGAAACACAAGGACCAAGAATTAGAAAATTAACCTAACTGGACTTTCCATATTGGCTTCACCCAGAGACCTCAAGATTCCTGGCTAAAGAAGCAGGGATAGGCAATATATGAAAGCATCTAATTCTGATTTTCTCATCATCAAATTAACCAAGAGGTTTAAGTGGCATGGCCTTCTGCTTGGAATTAACTCATTCAGTCTAATTTTCTTTAAACTCTTTTCCTAAGAATCTCTAATTAAACACTTATCCCCTTCCCCAGCCTTACCCCAACCCACTTTTTAAACTCTCTTCTAGTTCACTAGCTTTCAAACTTTAGTGAGCATAAGAATCACCATGAAGGCTTGTTAAACACACCTTATTGGGCCCTGGCCTAAGTTTTTGATTCAGTAAGTCTAGTGTGGGACCTGAGCATTTACTTTGCTAACAAGTTCCAGCTGATGCTGAAGCTGTTGGTCCTGAAACCAGAGTTAAAAGAATTACAGCTAAATACTATCAAACCACCAGAGAGAAGATAGAAATCCCTACCTAAGCCAGGCGGGGTGACTCATGCCTGTAATCCCAGCACTTTGGGAAGCTGAGGCAGGTGGATAACCCGAGGTCAGAAGTTTGAGACTAGCCTGGCCAACATGGCAAAACCCCGTGTCTACTAAAAATACAAAAATTAGCTGGGCGTTGTGGTGGGTGCCTATAATCCCAGCTACTTGGGAGGCTGAAGGAGGAGAATCGCTTGAGCCCAGGAGGCAGAGGTTTCAGTGAGCCAAGATCACGCCACTACACTCCAGCCTGGGCAACAGAGTGAGACTCCATCTCAAAAAAACAAAAACAAAAACAAAACAAAAAAATCCCTGATTTCCCAGTGAATCTGGTGACTTCAATGACCTGCACCTGGAGCTGGAAATCTGCTGTTTTTACTAAATCTTGATCCACAGGTTCATTCTCTACACATAGCACAGGGTTGCTAGATGTGAAGACCACATCCAAAGGCCTTTCTGAGCTTTTTAGGCATGGCTGTCCTCCCACATCCTTCAGGTCCCCTTCCCAGTGTTAGTTTCTCCTGTGATCCCTTAGGCAAAAATTCTTTTTTTTTTTTTTTGAGATGGAGTCTCACTCCGTCGCCCAGGCTGGAGTGCAGTGGCACAATCTTGGCTCACTGCAACCTCTGCCTCCCGGGTTCAAGAGATTCTCCTGCCTCAGCCTCCTGACTGAGTAGCTGGGATTACAGACACACACTACCACACCCAGCTAATTTTTGCATTTTCAGTAGAGATGGGGGTTTCACCATGTTGGTCAGGCTGGTCTTGAACTCCTGACCTCGTGATCCACCTGCCTTGGCCTCCCAAAGTGTTGGGATTACAGGCGTGAGCCACCACGCCCAGCCTGGTAAAAATTCTTTATATCAGGACCTCTCTCCCACCTGTAACTAACTTCTAGCTTTGTCTCCCTTTATATCTCCATCTCCTTTGGCCACCTTTCTGCCAACTTAAAGAAAGTTATGGTATTATTGAACACCATGAGCATTTAAGTCAAATCTTCATATATGTGAATGAGTCTGCATGTGCTAGTGTTAACTAAACATATTCAATTCTAAAAGGTGATGTATTAAACTCCTCAAGTATGAGAATGAAAAACAAGGTAGACATTTTTATCAATACATCTCTAACTCTATCTTGGTTTTTTTTTTTACTTTTCTTTTTACGCTTTTTGGCATTTCAATCCCAGCATTCAACACTAGAAGAATCAAATACAGTTGGAATTTTCTGACATGTTCACATATTTGTTGAATATAAGTGGTATATATTCATGGTGTTAAGCATGTTACTATATCTGGGTTTCGGAAGAAGGTATAAACTTTGCTTATGGGCATATACAAAATCAATGACACATGGCAAGAAAATATAACTGCCACAGAAAGATACAAAGGAAGTTTGCTATGGAAGGCCAAAGAGGAGAGCAATCACTTCTAATTAGAAATGTTCCAGGGGATATAAAGCAGTTAATACTTGAGACAGTTCTTCTGTAAGATATGGGATAGTCAGAAAGGTGTAAAAGCTAACAGAATAAAATGGTATGCATCCCCGAATAATAATTCCAATGCTCCAGGAAAACCAATCAGCATTCCCACACTATCCCTCCCACCAGTCTTTCAATGAGAGACAGGATTTGTTGTTAGAGGATCTGGTCGAAGCCCTTCTATTAATATAATGGCATTACTATTAAAGACACATTTTCACGGATGTGATATAAGGATCAAATGACATACTGTCTATGAAAAGAGTTTTATAAGCTGCAGAGCTCTATATAAAGATCTTTAGGACTTGTCATACACTTATTTGGGCTGTCCGGTTGTGACTTGCATTTTCGGAATAGACCAATCATCTTGGCACTGCTGTGAGAAGTTCAGTTGTCTTAGTGAGAGGCTCCTGACCAGCCACCCAAGAGCTCTGGTCTCACTCCATGAGGATCAAGCTATACACTGAGAACACTAACTTGTCCTCTGACCACAGCCACAGCTGTGGACTCTGAGCAGCTCATACCTAAAAGCCAACACAGAAAAGGAAACAAAGTAAACCATCCTCCCCACATTTAAAGCTCTAGATCTACTTCTAACAGCTTCCCTAACTGATGCTTTGATCTCCCAAAGTCTTTCTGAACCTTCCAACCTTCACGTAATTCTTGGGTTGAATTTATGGCTTGCCTTATCACCCACAGCCACCAAGTCCTTCGCAGACCCCGAACTTTGGATCCAGCCTGACTTACCACCTACTGCCATGCTCCTACCACTTAGATTTCTAGATCTTATTCTTGGCCAGCTATACTACATAACAGCTTCCTTTTTCCTATGTTCAAAATGGTAGCTTACTGTCATTCTCTTGAAAAAAATTGAGCTGTTAGAGTCTTAACATTCTTTGTGCTGCACAGGCAGTAGGTGCAACTGCATATAGAGATAAGCATTATATATTTTTACAAGGTAAAAAGAATTATGCAAGCACACTTTTCATATCTATGATTGATATGCATTTAAATTAAAAGTAATAAATTCAAGTTAGATCACAAATCTCAGGTTACTTCAGTGAGGTAAATATTAAATTATCACAATGACAACTGCTGGTTTGGCAATGCCAAATTAACAGGCAGTCCAATGCAAGGCTCCAGAAGAAAGAGCTCTTCAGCAGGTTGGGAGGAAATCAATTAAAAACTGGAAGGAACGGCTTGGAGTGGAATGAGAGGAACCAGCTGATACCAAAGACCTGACTAAGAAGTAAGATCAAGATGATTATAAAAGCAGATGACTTTTTGGTGTGGCTTATCTGCTACTAATGAGCTGTGCAAACTCATCTGTCATACCTCAACTGAATCAATTCAATAACAGGTCTCCTTGCCTATGATCTTGGCCCTCCTAAACCTGTAGCCAGAGATACCTTTCCAAATTCAGATCATGACACTGACTAGCTGAAAGCTCTCTAGAGGCACTTTGTTACTCTCAGTATAGAAGCCAAGATTCCTAATTTGGCCCACAAAACACTTCATGACATGCTACTTCCTTCTTCTTTTACTTCATCTCTCTACATCTCCAACCCCCTCTTAAATTCTTCTCCCTAAAATATATTTGTAATATTAAAACATTAATGGTTAAAAAGAAAGCTCTAGATTCAAATCCTCATTCTTCTATATACTTAGCTTTTGTCAAGTTGCTGAACCACTCTGAAATCAATTTCCTTATGTTTTAAAATGGGTAGAATATGATAAAAAATACCTGCCATCAATGTTTTGGAAGAGAAGTAAAGATAACATAATAAAGGATCTACTATTAAGTATTTAATAAATCTCAGGTATTGCTATGACCCCTACCCAATAGACATACAAGATCTACAATTGTTGAACAATCCATATCTGAACACCATACATATATCTAAACATTTATCTGTTCTCTGCCTTACTAACTCATTTTGACACTTAGCCTATGACCTATTCCCTTAAGAAAGACTTTACAGTGAAAGAAGCTGCCCATTGTTCCTGCAGTGCTTGCTCTGTAGAGGGCACATTAAAATTTGATCTTTGTGGAGGGCAATCAAAAACTGGTTTGCATATACACCTTTCCCTCGAGACTGCAGCAATTCAGGACAGGCAGGCACCATGCCTTGTCTCTGCATAGCCTCAGTGCCTACTGACTGCTAAGTTCTTAATAACAGTAATAAACTTTTAAAAAATGAATTAATGATGGTCAGAGAGCATATGCCAACCATGCTTTGGCCTTAAAAATAGAGGCAAGAAGTAGACATGAAATCTAAGTGTCTTCCTCCCCACTCTACCCCTCAAGACTATAAAAGTATTTGAATGAAGAATTCCCAAAGGTATCCTTTCTTCACTGCCTGGAAGGTAGGGAGGACTTAAGATGCTGGGAGAGGCCATGTCTACTCAAAGGTTATACTGGTTGAAGTGCTAGAAATTACAGGTAGATTTTGGGAGGCAAGCATCTTAATAGCTCAAGGGGAGAAAAGTAATATTAAGAGAATCTCATGAGGCCGCCCCTCATAAGCCAGGTTGTGACAAAGATGACAGATTAAATTTGTAAGTTTTATACCATTTTTTCCTTTCCTTATCAGCAAATTATAATGTGAACATTGTAGCTGCAATAATTAATTAATTGTAGTGCATTCACCCTTACAGGCTTAGTGCTAAAACCCTGTGACCCCAATATTTAAATTTATGCAAATTTAAATCCCCGGAGTGATTTTAAAAATCTGCTCCAAGCACTAGCTCCAATTCCAAATTCTGGTGGTGTCTCTAAGGAGTGCCTAATCCTCTTCACAGAGAAACTAGGGGTTAAATCACGAGGACAGGGGAAGTTTATAAAACATACACTGGCAGGCATATTCCTTTTTCCCTATTATTTCTCAGAGGGGGAAAAAAAGGTGGAGGACAGAAGGGATGATAGATAACACATTTTATATCTGTGTGATGTGATTAGGGGACACTGTAGCAGAAAAGAGGCCAGTAGCAGCAGCAGCAGCACCGCCACCATTGGCCCAGGAAACAATGTGCTGAGAACGAACAGAAATCAGCAGCTGGTGAACAGAATGTGTCTGTACATGGCATGGGACAGGAGATGTCTGACGAATGGCATAGAACCAGCATCTGAAACTCATCTCTCCATCCTTTCCATGCCAAAAAATGAACTAGATAAACAAAACCAAGATGGTCAGGTTTACCACTGCATTAATAGTTGGGATGAGGAGATTAATATAGATTAAATGGTTAGACTGGAAACGTGCTCCCTTTTCACTATCCAAAAGCCAATAATATTGAAGGGAAACCAGCAAATTCTTTCATTCATTCATCTTACAAACATTTATTGAGCACTTACCATTTGCCAGGCCCTGAACTTGACACTGGAAACACAAAGAGAAATAAGATATAATCCCTGTCCTATGGTAAATTAGTCTTGTAGAGGCTATGACATGAAAACTCATAAATGAAATATATTCTTACAGAGATGATATTATAGAAATACAAGGCAGAGCTGAGCATAATGGAGAGAATTATTATTCATAATTGGCTAGTGATAGGATTTACACAGCCTTCCTCCAGAAGGAGAGGCTTCGAGTCTCAACAGGGGAGTAGTTCCCAGTCTTATGATACAGAGGAAGCCCTGGGAGGAAATATTAGGAGAACTATAACAGAATGAAGAACTGGGCTCAAAGCAGCTCCTACATACTCCACATGTAACTTTCTGTAGCTTCTGATTTTAGTTTTCAAACTATTCTCAAATATGATATTCACTCTCTCCTTTTTCCACCCTAAATTCTGAGGTACAAAAGCCAAAAAACTTATATTAAAATATTTTAATATAAAGTTTATATATATGAGATACATAAACATAAATATATAAAGTTTACATGAAAAAATATACTTATGATATATTTGATATATTAGATTCCCTCCTTTAATCACTTTCAGATGTCATGTGCTTTCTATATAATCACTAGAATGAAATATATATATACATATTTATTTATTATACTTTAAGTTCTGGGATACATGTACAGAACATGCAGGTTTGTTACATAGGTATATACATGCCATGGTGGTTTGCTGCACCCATCAACTGTCATCTACGTTAGGTATTTCTCCTAATGTTATCCCTCCCCTAGTCCCCCAGCCCCCAACAGGCCCCAGTATGTGATGTTCCCCTCCCTGTGTCTATGTGTTCTCATTGTTCAACTCCCACTTATAAATAAGAACAGGCAGTGTTTGGTTTTCTTTTCCTGGGTTAGTTTGCTGAGAATGATGGTTTCCAGCTTCAACCATGTCCCAGCAAAGGACATGAACTCATCCTTTTTTATGGCTGCATAGTATTCCATGGGGTATATGTGCCACATTTTCTTTATCCAGTCTATCATTGATGGGCATTTGGGTTGGTTCCAAGTCTTTACTATTGTGAACAGTGCTGCAATAAACATACATGTGCATGTGTCTTCATAGTAGAATGATTTATAATCCTCTGGGTATATACCCAGTAATGGGATTGCTGGGTCAAATGGTACAAGCCTGGAACATCTTTTGGTGCCAGAAAGTAAAGAAACACTAAAATAATAATGGGAAAAAATGTCAAAAGAATATGAGAGTTAGTATAAAAGGCTTCCACTGGGCAAGTCTGAAATGATTTGAGCATCAAAATAAATAATAGCTGTAACAGATAGTAATCCTTTGAGTAAAATAGGAATTCATCAATTCATACTGTTATAAATACCATGGTGGGTTTGTATTGTGTCAACTTGGTCAATCTGTAACTACATTTCCCAGAATTCCCTTCCCTGCATAATTCTGAATTAGCATGGGCCAGAAGTGATCATTTGCATAAGATTTGGAATACAAAGGTATACGAACAGAAGTATTCCTTTATGCTTAGAAGGTTGGTGCAAGGAACAAGATGCTGTTACAGCTCACTCACATTACTGGCTCACCTTGTGTCAGAAGGGTGCAACCAGGTCTGCAGGTCACCAACTCCTGTGAGATCCTTGGCCTCCCTCCATCTCTCTGGTACCTGGAGAGGTACATGATTAGCCCCATGGTCAAGGGCACTGACCTTTGCCACAGAACATCCCAAAATCTAACTGGAGGCTTGGAGGTGATGAAAGACCAAGGGACTCCATTCTAACCCTATAGATTCTAGCTTATCCTTGCTTCCCCAACTTTATGTCCATTGGCCTTTCCTCATTGTCTATCCCGTAGGATTCAGAATACAGCTCCAGACACAGAAACAAAAGGCTCACAAGACTGTGCAACCAGTTTCCACTATGGCATTTGGTCATATTCTTATAATAAATCCTTTATTATATATATTTATATTTAATTTATATATATATCTCCTAGTGTCTTGCTTCTCTGCACAAAACCTGATTGGCACAAATACATAAAGATAGGACAAAAGGAAGGATGAAGGAAGGATAAAGGAAGGATGGAGGGAGGGATGAAAGCAAGGAAGTAGGGAAGAGAGGAAAGAAGGAAAGGAGGAAGAAAAGTAAGGGGATAAGGAAGGAAAACAGGGAGGAAGGAAGAGAAGGAAGGAAGGAAGGACTGTACTGTTCAGGGAAAATCTCAAAGCATATTCCCACAAGATACTTAATTATTTATTAATTAATGAGCACAATTTATTAATTAGCTCTACAGTGAAGAAGCCTAGCAGAAGCTGTATCACTCAAGTAATAAAATTTAACATTACCAGTAGTAGTAACATTACCAATGTTGCATACAACCTGATGTGATATAATGAAATAAACACAGCATCGTTTTTGAGGTAAACCTGCTGAAAGTAAGGTTTCAGCAGGCATACCTTTCAGGTATACCTTTTTTTTGGTTTGTTTGTTTGTTTTGTTTTTGTTTGTTTTCTTTTTTTTGAGACGGAGTCTCCCTCTGTCACCCAGGCTGGAGTGCAGTGGCGTGATCTTGGCTCATGCAACCTCTGCCTCCCAGGTTTAAGTGATTCTTCTGCTTCAGCCTCCCGAGTAGCTGGGACTAGAGGCTCCCGCCACCACGCCTGGATGATTTCTGTATTTTTAGTAGAGATGGGGTTTCACCATATTAGCCAGGCTGGTCTTGAACTCCTGACCTTGTGATCTGGCTGCCTCGGCCTTCCAAAGTGCTGGGATTACAGGTGTGAGCCACCGCGCCTAGCCAGGTATATCTTGTTTTATTGCACTTTGCTTTATTACACTCCATAGATGTGTCTGCATGTGTGTGTGTGTGTGTATAACAAATTAAAGGTCTATGGCAACATTGCATCAAGCAAGCCTATTGGTGCCATTTTTCCAACAGCATGTGCTCACTTTGTGTCTCTGGGTCACATTTTGTCAACTCTTGGAATAGTTCAAATATTGTCATTACTATTATACCTGTTATGGTGATCTGCGATCAGTGATCTTTGCTGTTACTTTTGTAATTGGATGGGGGGGTGCCATGAACCATGCCCATAATAATATGGCAAATTTAATCAATAAATGTTGTGTGTGTTCTGACTACTCCACCAACTGGTTATTTTCCTCCATCTCTCTCCCTCTCCTCAGGCCTCCCTATTTCCCAAGACAACAATATTGAAATAAGGCCAAGTAATAACCCTACAATGACCTCTAAGTGTTCAAGTGAAAGGAAGAATCACATTTCTCTTACATTAAATCAAAAGCTAGAAAATAATTAAGCTCAGTGAGGAAGGTATGTCAAAATCTGAGATAGGCAGAAAGCTAGGCCTCTTGTGCCAAATGGTTAGCCAAGTCGTGAATGCAAAGGAAAAGTTCTTGAAGGAAATTAAAAGTGCTTCTCCAGTGAATGCTCAAGTGATAAGAAAGCAAAACGCCTTACTGCTTGCTGATAAGGAGAAAGTTTTAGTGGTCTAGATAGAAGACCAAAGCAGCCACAACATTCTCTTAAGCCAAAGCCTGATCCAGAGAAAGGCCCTAACTCTTATCAATTTTATGAAAGCTGAGAGAGGTGACGAAGTTGCAGAAGAAAAGGCTGGAGCTAGAAAAGGTTTGTTCAGGAGGTTTAAGGAAATAAACTGTCTTTATAACATAAAAGTGCAAGGTAAAATAGCAAGTGCTGAAGTAAAAGCAGCAGCAAGTGATCCAGAAGATCTAGCCAAGATCATTGGTGAAGGAGGCTTCAATATACAACAGATTTTCAACGTAGATAGAACACCCTTCTATTGAAAGAAATCCTTTATATGGGACTTTCATAGCTAGAGAAGTCAATGCCTGGCAACAAAGCTTCAAAAAAAACAAAAAAACAAAAAAACAAGCAGGCTAACACTCTTGTTAGAAGCTAATGTAGCTGGTGACTTTAAGTTAAAGCCAGTTCTCATTTGCCACTCCAAAAATCCTAGGCCCTTAAGAGTGATGCTAAATATACTCTGCTTGTGCTCCATAAATGGAACAACAAAGCATGAATGAAAACACATCTGTTTTACAGCACATGGTTTACAGGAATATTTTGAGCCCACTATTGAGACCTATTGCTTAGAAATTAAGCTTTCTTTCTAAAGATTACTGCTCATTGACAATGTACCTAGTCACCCAAGAGCTCTGATGGAGATGTACAAGGAAATTAATATTGCTTTCATACCTGTTAACACAATACCCATTATGCAGCCCATAGATCAAGGAGTAATTTTGACTTTCAAGTCTTATTATTTAGGAAATACATTTCATAAGGCTATAGCTGCCTCAGGTAGTGATTCCTCCGATGGATCTGGGCAAAGTTAGTTGAAAACCTTCTGGAAATGAGTCACCATTTTAAATGCCAGTAAGAACATTCATGATTTATTGGAGGAGGTCAAAATATCGACATTAATAGGAGTTTGAGAGAAGTTGCTTCCAAAGCTCATGGATGACTTTGAGGGGTTCAAGACTTCAGTAGAGGTAGTATACAGTTGTGGTGGAAAGTGCAAGAGACGTAGAATTAGAAGTGGAGACTAAAGATGTGACCGAATTGCTGCAATCTCATAATAAAACTTGAATGGGTGAGGAGTTATTTCTTATGGATGAGCAAACAAAATGGTTTCTTGAGATGAAATCTACTTTTGGTGAAGATGCTGTGAATATTGTTGAAATGACAAAGGTTTTAGAATATTACATAAACTTACTTGACAAAGCAGCAGCAGGGTTTGAGAGGACTGGCTCCTATTTTGAAAGTTTTACTGTGGGTAAAATGCTATCAAAGAGTAATACATGCTACAGAGAAGTCTCTCATGTAAGAAAGAGTCAATTGGTGCTACAAACTCATTGTTGTCTTATTTTAAGAAATTACCGCAACTGTCTAACCTTCAGCAACAACCACTCTGATCACTCAGCAGTCATCAGCATTGAGGCAAGACCCTCCACAAGCAAAAGATTACAACTGACTGAAGGCTTGATTATTGCTGACATTTTTTAGTAATAAAGCATGTTTTAATCAAGGTATGCACATTGTTTTTGTAGACCTAATGCTATTATACACTTAATACACCACAGCATAGTGTAAATATAACTTTTATGTGCACTGAAAAAAAAAAGTGTGATTCACTTTATTGCAATATTTACTTTATTGTGGTGGTCTGGAACCAAACTTGCAATGTCAGAGAAACACCTCTATAAGTACCCTACTGGTTCTGTTTCTCTAGAGAACCCTGACTAATACAATCATGAAAGACAAGAAAAGACTGAAGAACTATACTAGATTGAAGGACACTAAAGAGAAACCACATTCAAACACAAGAATGACTCTATGTGGACAACAGGACAAATTTTTAATAGATGGTAATGATGGAACAATATTGATTTCCTGATTTTTGCACTCACAGCTAAGTGGGAAAAAATGCCTTGTTTCAGAAAATACTCACTTAAAAGGTATCATGTTTGCAACCATTCTTAAGCGGTTCACCACATATAGTGATATGTATGTTTGTATATATGTACACATATACTAGATTGATGAATTGACATATAATTACACATATATAAGGAGAGAGAGAGAGAGAGAAAGAAAATGGAAATGATAAGGCGAGTATGCTAAAATGTTAACAATTTGCATATACGGATGAAAGCTACACAGGAACTCTGACTATTTTTCATACTGGTTTTGTAACTTCTGAAATTTAAAATCATTTCAAAAATAAAAAGTAAAATACATATATATGTAAAAGAGGAAGGTTAGAAATAGATACTACCCAGAAAAAGAAAAAAGATATGAAATTATCTCTTACTTATTTCACGAGATTCACTGCCCACTCATATTAAGAGAAATGTATACATAATATCTCACCTCTCAGATACATAGTATAAATAATAGTGTAGACCAGTGTGTCAGTGATGGTATGAAGAGGTCAACTGAGCTGGAGATGTCCTGCTTGTACTTCTAGTCCCATTTCTCCACCCTGCTCTGTACTTCAGGCGGCTGACCTGTGGGGATTACATTAAGGGTCTGGTTTAATCTCTGGCCATCTGTCAAGTTTGGGCAATGGATGGTATCAGCAAGGCATCAGAAGGAGGAAGGAGAGTGTGGTCGAAATTATTTACTCCCTAGGCTTCCTTTCTGAGGATTTGCTTCTGGCTGGCTGCCTCCATGTCACCAATTCACAGCCCCTTTCAGGTGGCCCTCTGAACACAACCCTCTCTGCCTTCAGGCTTCAGTGAGTGTTTCCTCCTCTTGCACCCTCAGGTCCCATAGTGGTAACCTCAGCCCCTCACCCCCATCTCAATATATATTCCACGGAAAGCCCTGGGGTTTCTGTATCCTGCCCATACTTTGTAAATAATTCCTTTACTTAGTCTTCTTCATATTACCAATTAATGCATCTGTTTTCTGCCATGCTCCTTAGGATACACTGACATTCTCCAGAATTTCTAGCTGTAAAATGGTACAACTTCAATTGAGGGAAATTAGCAATATCTATCAAAATTATAAGTACATAGAACCATCAACCCAGCACTTTCACATAATTTTCATATTAATACATATATCCCAGCATATTCCAAAATGACAAATACTCTTTGTAGCTTTGGTTGTATTATAAAATACTGGAAAAATTCTAAATATCTATCAATAGAAAACAGCCCTACAATGGAATATTGTGAAGCTATTAAAAGAATGAGACAGCTCTTTATATATAACATAGAATGACTTTCAAGGTGTAATGTTAAAAAAAGAGAAGTATAGAAGAGTCTACTAGTATGCTTCCATTTGAGTAAAATATGTGTGCATGTGTATGTAATTTTATATATATAATACACATATAAATAGACACATACACTCACCATATGCACATATGTTTGTATATACTACATATGCATATGTTATCTCAGAAAGGAGGGTAAAGTACTATTAGCCATGGTTATATCTAGTGAGTAAACTGAGTGAGTGGAAGTGAGGTGGGAGGTGTCACAGATAAAAGCCACTAATTTCTATTGTGGACATTTTGAATGTTGTACTGCATACATGTATTATCCATTAACAAAATAACTAAAATTGTATTTTGCCTGCAGAGTGCCTATGTGGACTTTTTTTAGTGTACACAGGAAAAGAAAACCATCAGGTGAAGTCATGATCAATTTCAATTCAGGCCATTTTAATAAGAGAACTGCTGAGGCCTCAAACTTACAAACGCTGCAGATGTGTGGCTGAAGTTGACTATTGGTTATGGGTATGGAGAAACAAATCTAGGCATAGGGCTTACCCCTCTGAGCAAAGCTTGGTGGTGTAATGGTCAATTTCCAGCATGTACACTATACAATTAAGTATAGCTTAATGTATCATTGACTCTATATGGAAGTCAGGGATGAAGTGGGAAAGGAGGGACCAAAAAAAATCTAATAGATGGGACACTGAAATAGGAGATATTTAAAGTCTAGAAGGTGATAGTTATTAGCACAGTCCAGGAAAAAATCATCCATTCAAGGCAAGACACCAGCCTCTAGCAGGCAGTGAATGAGTTGGGGAAGTAGAACAGGTATGGGAATGAAACAGTAATAAGAAAAGGGCCAGTTTTTTAAGTAGCAAGGCAGTATGGTAGAGTCCCAGAGTCAAGCACCGTGACATCCTGGCCTGGCATTAACCTAACAGGGTGCTGGGGTACCGAGGCTTGTTGAAGCGGGTAGGTCCTGCTATGTAGACACCCAGGTTCACGAGGCATGACTTTTAATGGCAGTGAGACCGCATTGCTGGCTTCCTACTGTGATTATCTCACAAAGAAAGAACATTTTAAGTATTGGTTGGTTGAGCAATAAGCAACCAGAAAAACAGGAAAAATCGCAGTGGGCCTGAGTCCAGAGGTAGGCGGCATCCATAATCCCTGGCAAAGGGGATTAGAGGAGACAAAAACCCATGAAATGAGTCTGTACATGATAACAGATGGGATGTGAGCTATACCTAGACCACCACAGCCTGCAGATACCTTACAACAATTTCTCACTCCTGCTCCATGTCAACAATTTACAGAAATATAAACCAAGTCAATATGTACTTTGCTCACTTTAAATTAGGAGACAGAAATGTTTTCATCCACATCCCTTTCCTTTCTCATGTAAAGCCATTTCCTCGTTTTCAAATAGTTTCTTTGTCAAAAACATTTCTATGTCTACCTGGAATTCTGGAACCTATCAATAGAGTAAAAGCAAAAGCAAGAAGGTCTCCAGGGAATTATGCTCAAAGCAGAGGCACTAAAAATAGCCTAGTGTCTCATCTCAGCCTTTTCCCTTTCATTTAGAGATACACCCAGAAACCCACTGCCTTAAAGGATGTAACAGTTCAAAACCTACCAGTGTTTCAGCAAAAACTGCATTTGAATCTGTGAGTGCCACCTTCTTTTTAAAAAAATTTTTATAGGCTTATTTTCCTCATGATAGTTTCATTGCATTTGTTGGGTTGTAAACCATGTAAAGCTCAGCAATAAAATGACTGCAATCTGTACAAGTAATAGCAAGCATGTCTCATAAACAAGATAAGTTGTGCCTTGCCAATATTGCTACACTTCATAAATATGAACTCAAGTCTGTTTTGTGTTTTCTAGATCAGTAGCATAGTTTTATTTTAATTAAACACAACATATAAAATATTCATTTATGAAACAAACATCATTGTTTTTAAAAGATTATATTAAATTAAATTATACTGCTTTTGCCATAAAGCCATGCACAAAAGAACCATTCTGAATTTTAAGTGGATTGATACAGTTCAAGTGTCCATCAATAAAAACTATATTAGGAACACAGTAATGCTACCATGAATAAATGAGCTATTTATATTCCCTGATAATGTAAGTGCTTATATGAACTCATTCCAATTTCTAAACACTAGGCATTTCAGCTGTGTAGTAATTAAGAAACTATAATATCTACAGAAGAAAGGTAGATGCTGCCAGAGCCATTTTATACAGCAGATTTTAAGAATTTAACTTCATCAGTGACATAATTCGTTGTCATATTTTATTAGATCAGATCTGGATAACTTTGGGAAGCCAAATGAAGAGTCATTAAAGGTGATTCCTATACTAGACCTGCTGTGTAAAGGACAGAGCTTCCCAGTTTCGTTCTTAGTTCTGCTACTAACAAGCTATGAATCAGCTGCCTTTTTGTGATCAAAGAGAACTGCACTAAATTAACCTCTAGCTTGCAGATTCCATGATTATCTTCAAACAGGGGTGGACCTAGGTTTTATGGTGTCTGAGTTATATAAATTGAGGATGCTTTTAAGGAAAAGAGCATAAAATAACAGATACAGAAATAGATATGAAAATGAATATTTACTCTGAATGAAAAAAGAAATCATAGTAAACTACTGGAGGCTTTTTATATCTCTTTAGGTAACCTACCAGAAGCACTTATATAGATAAGCTTTTGTCATGCTTACCTTGCTTCTCCTCCCCACCTGGAATACTGTATAAATTATTGCACTCAGAGGACCAACACAAGTGAAGCCCTGATGTTTTCACCTCCTTTGCTTAACAGTATATCTACTGCTACTCCTAAATGACTAGAAACCGTTATGACATATTATTAGTTAGTGAGAAAGATTCCATCCAAATTCTACCTATAGGATTCTCCTATGTGTTCCATGAAGCTTAGCCTTACTCATTATTTTTCATTGACTTCCTCTTCTCAAAACCCATAGTACTTATAATGTGTACCACACAATTTACCATTTATAAGCATTGGAAATTGCCTTAGATTGTTCACCACTGATTCAAGCACTGTCTTCCCAGTGAGAAGAAATTGAAGGCATGACTTTTCTTATTATACCCCACTCTTACAAAGGTGGCCTTTACTACCAAGTCGATGGTTTTTAAAACTAATTTCTCAACTAAAAGAAAACTTCTTGTGTGTTGATGGTGTAGAATATTTTATGTTAAATATAATCTTCCCAACTCAATACCTTTCAGGCGCATTACAACTTCTCATGTCTATGAAGACTAAAAATGCAAAATGTTATCCTGGATTCAAGTCACAGAACACTGAAAATTTAGAAAGGACTCAATCATGTTTTCCCTTATTGTTCTAGAATGAATTGAGGTGCCCTGAATGCTAAATAAATATTTCCTTTGGAGTATATCACTTTGAGAACAGCTGTTTTAAACATTCAATCTCAACTCTTATGAATCCCCTTTACACATAAAACAATTAATTCACACTTCATGTGAAAATGTAAAACTTTCACAAATCTTAAGCACTCATCTTGGGTTGACACATTTTTAGGGGAAAATTGTCAAGACCCAGAAGAAGAAAGGAGAAAAATAACAAGAAAGTCAAGATCAAGCTCTTCTCCCAAACTATCAGATATTTTATTTTATTTTATTTTTTGCGACAGAGTCTTGCTCTGTCACCCATGCTGGAGTGCAGTGGTATGGTCTCTGCTCACTGCAACCTCCGCCTCCTGAGTTCAAGTGATTCTCCTGCCTCAGCCTCCTGAGTAGCTGGGACTATAGGCACGTGTCACCATGCCCAGCCAATTTTTTTTTTTTTTTTTTTGTATTTTTAGTAGAAATGGGGTTTTGCTATGTTGGCCAGGCTGGTCTCAAACTCCTGACCTTAAGTGATCCGCCCGCCTTGGCCTTCCAAAGTGCTGGGATTACAGGCCTGGGCCTCTGCACCCAGCCTCAAACTATCACAAATGTAGTGTCTTTGCAATAAAGGGTATTTTTGATGCTAAAAAGAATATTATCAACATGTTTGAAAAAAATTATATGCTTACTCATTTGTTTACTCATGTGATAGCTTTTTTGGTGAGGCAAATTTGTTTTTAAAATTACAAATGAATGCAGCTTCTGCCCTTGTAGGATTGCCCATAATTGACCTGGAGCTCAGGTGCCACATACGCTTCACCTTGCTGGAAGCTGGTGATGAAATAAAATAACTAAATATCGATAGTAATGACACCAGTAGAAAATGGGCATGTAAAAAAGCAGAAAAAGAGAGGAGGAGAAGTGATAGAGTAGAGGAAAATCATGTCACATGATAGAGGTGAATGCCAATAAAGAAATATAGATCAGTCAGACGTTCTTGGTGACAGGAATATTCCAAGGGGTCTTTAATAGCAGAGTTGTTTATATTCAAATTTTAATGATTTTCTTCATAGTGGCTATCATGTTATTCCCTCTACAACTACCAACCATGTCCCCTTCTACACAGACACCAAACCCCCAGGAAAATCTGCTACATATATAAATATCTTGTGGGAGTTTCTTTTAGGAAAATCAAAGAAAAGGATCAACATTTTACATCTTCATTGGCATGAAGAAAAGAGGAGCCACTGAAAGTGAGAAGCAAGTGAGACAGAAAGTTTAACAGGAAAATAAACTGGAAATAGATTTTCAGTGACATTGACATTCTTCCACTGAGAAGCATAGGTCTTTGTTCCCTCTCTTTGGATATGAGCCAAATTTAATGACTAATTTTTAACAAATAGAATATGGCAGAAATGATGATATGTGTCTCTCAAGGGTAGCTCATGACAAGAAATGCAGTTTTCTTTCAGGACATTTATTATTCGATCCCACCATGATAGCAAGTGGAAGCCCAGGCAACAAGAAGAGCCAGCAGATAAGTGTTCCAGCTGACATCTTCAGTTTAGGACTCAGCTGACAATCAGCCTCAATCACCAGCCATGTGTGTGGGCATACCTTCAGATAACTATAACCCTAGGCTTTGAGTCCAGCTGGGCTCCAAACATGGCAGAACAAAGGCATAGCTTCCCTGTTGTGTCCTGTCAATATTCCTCACCCACAGAATCAAAAGGCATAATAAATGGATGGTTCACATCACTAAGTTTTGAGATAATGTATTGCCTACCTCAGTTTGGGTAACCTTACATTTCACTTTCTCCTGGTCAATCAGTCTTACTAATCCTTCTCTATCTACAGAGATAGCAGAAATGGAGTTGAACAGATCTACAAAATGGTGTAATGTTGGCTGTTAAAAAGAGTGAGCATTGCTTCTTGAGGTATAAAATATTAATAATGTCAACAACATGAGATCTTGGAAGTGGTTAAAGCAACGCAGGGTGGGTGGATGGGAGGAGGGAAACTATAATTTTATCTGTACTTATCTGTTCATTCAGTTAACAAATATTCAACTAAGAGAAGCAAGAAGATGGATTTATTTATATTTAGTTATCCCATTTCTCCATGAAGAAGAGTTTTCCAATAAAAGGAAGAAATTAAAAAGTGAAATATTTATTAATTTGATTAAATTAAAAATGTTATAGTATAATGGTCTGTGTGTGTGTGTGTGCGTGTGTGTAATAAGAGAGAAAAAATAAAACAGTGTACTTGTAAACAATAAAGAAGTCTGTAAAGTATATAAAAAGGTTAATAACCTTAATGTATAAGGGGCAACACAGAAATTTTCACAGAATAATTAAAAACCCTAGAGAAAAATGGCTGAAGGATCTGAATATGTAATTTACTCCAAATGGCACAAGCACGCACACACACGAAGAAAATTTATCCTTACTAGTAAACAAAATAAGGCAAATTAAAGTAATAAGAAAAATGTTTACCCAAGAAACTGGTATAGTGATAGCATAGCTTTTCCCCACACTAAAATGGCAAGAGCAAAGAGCAAAAGGAGCCCAGTATTTTTTTTTTCTAGAAAGCAAGTAATTTGAAAACATTTCTTTTTCCTTTTTTTTTTTTTTTTTTTTTTTTTTTGAGACTGAGTCTCGCTCTGTCACCCAGGCTGGAAGGCAGTGGCGCGATCTCGGCTCACTGCAAGCTCCGCCTCCCGGGTTCACGCCATTCTCCTGCCTCAGCCTCCCGAGTAGCTGGGACTAGAGGCACCCATCACCACGCCCGGCTAATTTTTTTGTATTTTTAGTAGAGACGGGGTTTCGCCATGTTAGCCAGGATGGTCTCGATCTCCTTACCTCGTGATCCGCCCGCCTCGGCCTCCCAAAGTGCTGGGATTACAGACTTGGGCCACCGCGCCCGGCATTTTTTTTTTTTTGAGACAGAGTCTCGCTCTGTGTCACCCAGGCTGGAGTCCAGTGGCGCGATCTCGGCTCACTGCAAGCTCCGCCTCCCAGGTTCTAAGAGATTCTTGCGCCTCAGCCTCCGGAGTAGCTGGGATTACAAGCGCGCGCCACCACGCCTGACTAACTTTGTAATTTCAGTAAAAACAGGGTTTCCCCATGTTGGCCAGGCTGTCTCGAACCCTGACCTCAGGTGATACACCCGCCTCGGCCTCAGGAAGTGCTGGGATTACAGGCGTGAGCCACCACACCTGGCCAATTTGAAAATATTTGTTAAATGTGCCCACCACTCTCAGGAAGTAATAATGCTCCTGGGAATCAATACAAAGGGAAAGATAAAGATGTTTACTGAAGCATTTAAAAATATATGTGTACTAAGTGGAAAGATGGCAGTGCCAGGGGACTTCTCCCTGGTGCGGTAGAGGTTGCACTGAGGCTGTTGGGCCACAGTATCAAAAGAGCTGTTCATGCAAGCAAACTGAGGTGAGAGCAAGACGACTGGATTTAGAAACCTGATCCCTAGGAGAAAAGGTATCTCCACACACACATTGTGGGATGAAGGAATAAAGTTCCTCCAACAGGACCTTGCTCCTCTCTTGTGGATCCAAGGCTTTTTGATTTTTTAATGATAACACAAATTTATACCAAAAAGCCCTCCAGTTTAACATAAAAAAGGAAGATTTTTGTTTTAGAATACCCCATAGAAGGGGAGTGGGAGGTTCCAAGAACATTGCACACCTCTCATTTGAAGGGAGGGTATATTTGGCTTCAATAAATCTCTCGCCTTTCAAGGACAAGGAGAAGTAAACAGAAATACAGCAGCATAGCAATAAGGTCTTCTTTAAAAATGAATAATCCAGACAGAACAGAAAAGCATTTTTCCTGCAAAATAAACTTTTATGTAATAAAAGTGTAAATTCAGTGAAAAAAAATTTGGAAAATAGAGGTAAACCAAAAAAAAAAAAGTAAACTTCACCATTTGCCCCCACACAGAAATGATGTGTTATAAATATTAGAAGTCTTGAATAGACTAATTTCAAAACTGAATTGTGGTCTTGAAAATTTTTGAGAATGTACAGATTATATGACGCAACTAGTGAAGCCAATATACAAGTATATTGATAAAGAAGTAACTGAACAGCAGAACATAGGAAAACTGAAATATAAAATTAATTTTAAAATCTAAGTAAATGAAAAGGGAAACTAATATTTAAAATAGAATTTCAAACACTAAAATCAAGCAGAAGCATACATAAAATTGTAACAGAACTATATGCAATCAAATTTAATTTTACAAAATGCAAAGACAATATAAAGCCCAAATTTAAACAAAAAATAAGAAAAATGAAGGAGGCTTCTGGCTAAGATGAAGCAAAAGGAACCCAATTTACATTTTCACGTGAAATTACAACAATAATAAAAAGCCAAACAGTACATACACAATGGTTTGCAAGCCCCATTACATTAGGAATGAAGGGGAGTGATCTCTGAAAGATGGGGCGCTCTCAGGGAAAGATGAGTACTACCATCACTCAGCTTAGTGTCCTAAGAAAGTTCTCAGACTACAGCCCAACAAGGGGGAACCTAAGCAGAGCCCAGCAGATTCCCTACAATGGGGAGACAGAACTGAGAGTCCCAGGAAACCAAAGCAGGTCAAGGTCACAAGATAAAAGTACTGAAAAAGGGAACTCCACACATGGAGACTACTCTGGGATCCTGTGATGTGTTCCTCTCAAGTACTGAACTGGGCACTGATCAGCATAAACAAGTGAAAAAAAAAAAAAAAAGCAGACTGGAGATGAACTACCTGAAATAATTAGAGGAAACAGTAACTGGCCAGGAATTCAGTCTCTTACCAGTCAATCAGGAAAAGTTCAGATTTACAGGATATTTGATAGTATACTTAGAAAGGTCTCAGAGGTGAGGATTAGCCCTAGGATAACATTGCTCTGGTCCTACCTAAAAAAGATTAAAAGCAAGATCTAAGAAGATTAAAATCTTTTTAGGTAATTTAACTGTGCTTAAGAACAGAGCTCAAGAACATTTACAGGAATACAAAAATATGAGCTACCCAACAAGGTGAAATTCACATGTCTACTACCCAAACAAAAGATTTTGTCATGAAAGCAAGCAAGAAAATACAGCTTATAATGAAAAACAAAAATCAATCGAGAATAAACCAGAAATGACACAGGTGTTCAAATTAGCAAACAAGGATATTTTTAAAGTTATAACCACATTCCATTTGTTCAAAAAAGTTAAGTAGAGACCTAGAAGATGTATATATATGCCAAAAAGGAACTTTTAGAGATGAAAACTACAATACAGTATGAAGAATCAAAAATACAGTAGATGAAACTATTATGATATTGCAGAAGGAAAAGCTAGTTAATGTAAAGAAGACAAAAACAAACTATCCAAAACACAGAGAAAAATTAATTTTTAAAAAAATTAGCAGAGCATCAGTGAGCTGTATGACAAGTTTAGATGGCTTCATAGATCTGTAATCCAAGTCTTTAACAAAGATAAGAAACAAAGGTGACAGAAAAAAATGTTTGAAAAAACAGTCCTCATATTTCTAAATTTGATACAAATTATAAACCCACAAATCCAAAAAGCTCAAAAATCCACAGATAAGATACATGAAAATACCACACCTATGTATGTAATAATCACATTGCTCTAAAATGGTAATAAAAAGAACATCTTAAAAGCAGTTGGAGGAAGAAAATACACATTATATGGCAGAACAAAGTTAAAGGTGATGCAGATTATTTATCAGAAAGAATGCGAGTGAGAAGACCTGGAGCAGCACATTTAATACAGAAAGAAAATTGAAACCTGTCTGGGTGAATTCTATACCCAGAAATTTTTTTTAATGTGAAATAAGGACTTTAAGATATAAAAAACCTGAAAGAATTCATTACAGAAGTCCTGTACTATAAGAAATGCTAAAGGAGGTATATAAACAATGCAACTTAGGTTAAGCGACATGAACTAGAAATGGAAAGGCAAATGCCACATAATCTCATCTATTCAATCTAAAATAGTGAAATTCATAGAAACAGAGAAGAAAATGAAGGGCACTAGAGGATAAAGGCCGGGGATTGGGGGATTAGCGAGATGTCTGTCAAAGAATACAAAATTTCAGCTATACAAGAGAAATACATCCAATAGATCTATTGTACATTGCAGTGGCTATAGCTAATAACAATATATTGTATAATCAAAAATTGCCAAGAGATTAGATTTTAAATATTCTTACCACAATAATAAATGAGGTAATGCATATGTTGATTAGCTTGATTTAGCCATTCCACAATGTTTACATATATGAAAACATAATGTACACCATAAATATATACAGTTTTTTATTTGTCATTAAAAAAAGAAAGAATAAGCCAAGAAAACAAATAAAATATGTGTCTGATATGGATGGTAATTATAAGTGCGTTCATTTCCCTCAATAAAAGACAAAGATTCACATTGACTTTTAAAAATGCAACTAAAGTCTATCTACATGTGATACATCTAGAAGTAAATAGTTCACATTATTTCAAGAAGTCAAATATATATATATAATATATATAATGCACATGCAATAAAAAGGAAAAAATGTTACCCTGTAAAATTACAATTCAATTAGAACAAATAATATATAAATATGATTGTTTTGTTAATAAAGTTTATAATCAAAATCAAATACCATGTACCAAATACCACAGAACAGACTGTGATAGCATACAAAATAATAATGATAAAAGGGGTAAATAGAATAAAAAGGAAAACAAAGAGAAGAACAAGGAAGATAGAGGAAATAAAAAGGAAAAAAGGGGGAAAGAAGGAAAAGAAAGAGGAGAAGAAAGAAGGAAAAAGAAAAGCAGAGGAAGAATTAAAAGCAGTAGAAAAAATACTGTAATAATGGGAGTCTAATATATTTCAATCTTCACCCAAACAGGCAGAAAGAGATAAATAACAGAAAAAAGAAAAAAAGAAATAATATAATTAATAAGGTTGAATGATGAGAGACTTAACAGAGAATGTGTCTTTTTGCTAGCATCATGGAATAATCATAAGTATTTTCTTATACTTAAGCATAAAGAAGACATCCAAATATTTTAAAAAGAGGAATAATACAGTTCATGTTCTCTTAACACAGTGTAATAAATCTAAAAATTAATAGTGATGTTAACATTTTAATATGTATTACATATCATTCATTCACAAAATAAATACTTTCTGAGCATTTTTTATGAGCAGCCACTATAAAAAACTTCGCTATTATGATATTTTCATATAACATTCCAGCAGGGGATAAAAACAATACCTTCAAAATTAATTTTAAGATTATTTTTATTTTCTCTTTTGCTTTTTTGAATATGAGACCCCTGCTGGTTTACCCTCCACACCCCCAAATAAATATACCTTCAAGCTCTACTGGTTGTCTTGAGTGTCATTTCATGTTTTTGTTTTGTTCTGTTTTGTTTTTAAATTCCTACTGCAAGCTCTCCAACCCTTCAGCAATTTAACAATTTAGCTTGGAGAAATAAGTTGATAGAGTTCACCTGAAATAATAGAAGTTATTTCTTTCTGTCATTAAGGTTTTGATGGAGTCAGGAAGAAGAAAGGCATAATAATGAAGGATGGGAAAAATAAAAAGCCACAGTCTCCAATCAAGAAAAGGAAATCAAGAGCTTGAAAAGGAGCTCAAAAGGATTGTGCTCTTATGTTAATATTCCCCATTTCAGGCTTTGGTCTAGAGCAAAGGAGATGAGTTACATAAGTAAGGTTAATATCAAGGACAGTGGAGGCTCTTACTCCATCCAGTTCTCCCTTCTTCCTCTGGGAAGTCGGGCTGTTCTATAACAACCTGAGCACAGATACATCATTATGTGCTGGACAGCACAATGAGACCAGGAAGCTCCTGAAGTGTGGCTCTTCCCAGCTGCCCCCAGTTCCTATGTGACATAGACAGAACACAAATCCTGGCTTAAAGATTTGTAAGTAATCAAGGAAGTTATTTACAGAGTTGACAAGGTGACTCTGGGCAAAGACTGTGAAATGACCACCCAGTCCAGAGCCAGAAGGGGGAGACACAGGCCGACTTGAAAGCAGTCAGCATCACTGTGAGCTGAAAGGGCTCAGCTCCCAGGCATTGGTCCTGGGAGCATTGTCTGAGCCAAAAGGACAGTACCAGGGTTGCAAAACCATCAACTCCAGTAGGACCTGCTTTAATTAGGACCTGCCCCTCAAATTCACGTCTATAAAAATTCACATGGAAAAAATTTCTCTTTTAATATCAGAGATTCCTGGGAACAAAAGCACTTACACAAACAATTTCCCTCCTCTCGGTCTATGTAGTTGCCTCTATCGGCAAATATTGCACTGGAGTGAGGCTATTTGGGGTTGTGTGAAAAGACAATTTCTAACTGACTGGCATTTGAAAAGAGAGAGAGGAAGGGATAGAACATGCACGAGAGAGAACTCAGATTAACCAAATTCCTCACTGCTTTCTATTGTGCTGTTTCTTTAGATATAAAAATCGCAGTACATGGTTGAAGATAGTTTTGGCTACTGGAATCAGAGAATAAATCCATTTTGGAAACCAGGCAAGTAGAACCATGAATGGTACACTATCTTTTGGTTAGAAAGTACTCAATCAACTCTCTCTAACATGTGGCATATTGACACTATCACATAATTATCCAGAACTTGCCAAAGGAAGGACTAACAAAGAAAGGTGATAACAAAGGGAGGTAGTAGCAAAAACAAACAAACAAACAACAACAAAAAGACAGTAACAAAGAAAGTTACCAACAGAGAAATGTATTTGTGTGAATCTCTGTGTAATGACATGGAGCCAGGCCATAAAAATAAAGTATACACATTCACTATTGATAGTAAAATGACTCATAATCTATTTATCAATACAAAATTTTATTATTATTACTTATTTCCACAATCCACATGAGCTAGATGAAACATAACATTGAAAATACACTGTGGCTAAAGACCAAAGAGAGACTAATACCTCAATTGGGTAACAGAAAATAATAAAATATGGATTTAAATTGCTTTTCCTTCACTAAATTAATAAATTTCCATCAGTGAATAAAAACAGATTTTCCATTCCTAAAGTGTGTAATCAGGGTTGAATGGTTAAAATAAAAAACCTATAATGCCATTTGGAAATTCCTAGTGTCAATTTAAATCATGCTGACTATAAGGTTTATCAGTGCCCAACACACACTAGGTACTCTAATAAATAAAATTAATATTTTACATTTGGATCATTTCCTAAAAATTGCAAAGCACTTTCACATGCCGTATCTTCCTCAATCTTCCTAACAACCTCATGACACTATAAAACAGAAATAAGCTCTTCACACTGCAACTATGTTAGAGTTTAAGTTCACAATTCAGGCTACAAAAGCATATCATTTATGATAGAAATAGAATTAAGACTTACAAATTGACAATTATTCTTGCTGGTTGATGACTAACACATACATGAGTTTCCTAAAGTTAGTGGCAAAATTGAAATGCTAAACATAAGAATAAATAAACAATAGAGGACTTCCACACTGCAGTTTTAAGAAATCCAAACATAAATGCTCCCCTCTCATAATAAGGCCTGTTAGTATTTCATACCCTCAATCATTTCCTACTCCCAGAGTACATGAGCAAATTACATGCAAGAATGACTGGGCAGGCCATACAAACTGTAATTATAATTTAACACACTTGAAAGACTATTTGAAAACTCATTCAGAGTAAGTTTGTTGCAAAGTAACTGTATTTTAGCAAAAAAAAAAAAAAGGGGGGGGTATATGGTATAATCTGAAAAAGAAATATCTAATTAAAAAACACTTGATGTGAAAATTACTATTCCTTTGGTCCTGGTGCTTTTATGTTTTTGGTGTCTTATTCGATGCTTGTTTGAAGTGAGACCCAGAGGATACGTTTTCCTGACTCCAAGTTCTTTGAATTTCTCACTGAACCATTCATACCTCTTTCCTAGAATTTATTAAAATCCATCATGGACCATATATGTCTTCTCCATCTTTGTATATCTTTATTCAGAGGATCGTGTTTTTTTGTTACTCTTTCCTATTTCTGATAACCTTCTAATGATATTCAGTTGTTTTTCTTTTTTTGGCAGCAAGCCTTTTAAAAACTGGTATATGGAAGCCAAATATGATATCATGTTTATAAAATTTACCACGCAGAACTCATATTTAAAAATTATGTAAAGAATGAAAATTATATTTGAAGTATTCCTATTACTGTCTCATCTCTGCATAGCATTCTATGATTTAAAACACTTTATTTACAATATAGAAATTAATTTGTATCTACAAATATTATTTGAATAGTGAAAATATATGTATTTTGAGGAAAGATGAAAAAAATTGGGTCATTTCAACCAGTGTAAAAAGTACTAGTAAATATCTAATACTTTTAGTCTATTTATAAAACAGCTTTAGAAAGAAACACGTTGTCTGCTTTCCTGCACCATCATTGTAATATTGAAAACAATGATAGCAATTGAGTAAAGAATTAACCAAAATAACATATTTAGCTTCTTTTAAAACTACATGATAATAAATGTTTAGATCTTTCCATGTCAATTTCTTTAAAAATGACTATTCAAAAAGCATTTACAAAGTATTTACCCTTATGCTAGGGACTGTATCAATTATCGTATAAGATACCCAGCTATGACCCTCCCTCAAAGACATCATAGTTTAGCATAACACATAGGAATCATAATGGAAGCTGCAGAGTACACAGTGCTGTGCAATACACAAGAGGTATCTCTTAACTCTGAGTTTAAAGGATAATCTTCACTGAGGAGCTAATTTTGAGTCTTGAAAAAAGAATCAAGATTCACCAGGTAGGCTGGGTGCAGTGGTTCATGCCCATAATCCCAGCACATTGGGAGGCCAAGGTGGGATAATTGCTTGAACCCAGGAGTTCAAAACCAGCCTGGGCAACATAAGGAGACCTCATTTCTACATTTTTATTTTTTTTAATTAGCCAGGCATCATAGCGTGTGCCTATGGTCCCAGGTACTTGGGAGACTGAGGTTAGAGGATCACTTTGTCCTGGGAGGTCGAGGCTGCAGTCATCTGTGAGGGTACTGATACAGAAGAGAAGTGCTTGGAAGGGAAGAGCATGGTCCCTTTAAATGATACAGAGCTGGGGAAGGGAAATGCTGGGTAGAGGAGGGTGTGGTCCCTGGCTAGGGCTCCACCCCCACGGACCTAGGTGAGGACAGGCATTTCCTATCCAAATGTTGCATTTCCCAAGACCATTCTGGCCTGCTACGCCCCTATCCTTTGCCCATAAAAACACCCAAGACCCTAGCAGGCAGACACACAGGCAGCTGGACATGGAGAGGAGCACAACACTCAGGTGGCTGGACATGGAGAGGAACTAACCGACAGGCACCAGCACACTGGCAGGCCACCAACCATCAGAAGCAGAAGAATGTGGAGTTTGGCTGAGGCAGTCGGAGGAGAGCCCAGGCTGCTGGGAGGCTCAACTCCAGAGGGAAACCTTCCCACTCCATCTCCTTCTGACTTCCCCCATCTGCTGAGAGCTACCTCCACTCGATGAAACCTTGCACTCATTCTCCAAGCCCAAATGTGATTTGATTCCTCTGGTACATCAAGGCAAGAACCTGGAATACAGAAAGCCCTCTGTCCTTTTGATAAGGTGGAGGGTCTAATTGAACTGGTTAAGACAAGCCACCTATACACGACAAAACTAAAAGAGCACCCTGTAACACATGCCCACTGGGGCTTCAGGAGCTGTAAACATTCACCCCTAGACACTGTCACGGGGTTAGGGCTCCACAGCCTGGTTATCTGTGTGCTTCCCCTAGAGGTTTGAGCAGCAGAGCACTGAAGAAACAAGCCACACCCACATCACATGCCCTGCAAGGGGGATAAGGGAACTTTTCCGTTTCAGTACCACTGCACCCCAGGTTGGGCGACAGAGCAAAACCCCGTCCCAAAAAATAAAAAAAAAGATTCACCAGGTGAATTAAAGCCTGAATAAGAATATATAAATATAGTTATAAAAGTTTGAGAGTCAAAAGAGAAAAGTGAATCATAAAGTTGCATAACCTAGCAACCATAGGTCTTTATATACTGTTGTTGTTTTCCCCCAGGAATCTAGAAAAATACCAATTTGAGTTTCAGTCTTCGCTTGAAGCTCCCTCACATATACTTTTTGGGTGATAAGGATATGAGTTTTGGTTTGATTTTTAAAGAATAATAATATACAAGAACCACAAAAAGCTATTAAATATTTTTAAAAAATAATGAACTACCAAAGGTATCCATTTGAATAAAATGTGAAATATACGACTGGCAGAAGGGGTGAAAAATCAAACTATAATTCAACAATTGAAGACCATGTATATTAATATTAAATATTACAAAAGCTTTATTTAAAGTAGTCCATAAATTAGTCACCAATTACTTTTAGTGATTTTTTAATTCTATTCAAAATACAGTCACATTGTTTTTAAAAATTAATAATGTTTCCAATAAGACACAGAGTTTAAATAACAATGGCAACAATGTTGGAGTTTCTCTAGTGAAAGAGCCAGAGTTTAAAAAATAGTTTAAAAAACAGATTTATCAATTTCAGAAATCTTAAACATGACTTCCCATAATCAATCTTTTTGATGTGTTCATTACAAAGTACCTGTTCACAATAAGCTGATGGCAGTGGAGATTACCATACTGAAAAAGGTAGAGGTTCTACTTTTTATAATTTAAAATAGTATTTGTTATTAGGTGGATTTTTTAAATTCAACTTTTATTTACATCCTATTATATAGAAGATGCTAAGCTACTTTTTAACTTTTAGCTTTTTAACTTTTACTTTTTACTTTTTAACTTTTTACTTTTAACTTTTTAACTTTCTACTTACTTTTTAACTTTTAACTTTCTATTTACTTTTTAACTTTTTACTTTTTAACTTTACTTTTTAACTTTTACTTTTTAACTTTTATATGGTTAGGCTAAATTTATATTTTCTAGCTAGTAAGAGGCGTAAGGAGGAATATATATATATATATATATATATATATATATATATATATATATCTGCATGACTTTCCGTTATCCAGTAACCAACGGGCTAAGTGTGTAGTCTTCATGAGGACATACTTATGAGTCATCCGTTATGTTTATAAACATGAAACAATAAAAGCAACTTTGAGAAAGAAGAACAAAGCTAGAGGCAGCACACTCTTAATTTCAAACTATATTACAAAACTGTAGTAATCAAAGCAGTATGTAATGACATAGAAACACTCACATAGATCAAAGGAACAAATTAGAGAGACCAGAAATAATACAACCATCTAATCTTTGATAAGGATACCAAGAATACACAATGGTGTTAGAAAAACTGAATATCTACACACCAAAGTATAATATTGGACCCTTGTCTTACACCACACACAAAAATTAACTCAAAATGAATTAAAAATTTACATGTAAATTCTGAAATCATAAAACTTCCAGAAGAAAACATAGGGAAGAAGCTTTTAGACACTGGCCTTAGCAATTATTTTTTGATATAACACCAAAAGAACAGGTGACTAAAGAAAAAAATAAGTAAGACTACATCAAACTAAAAAGCTTCTTCCTAGCAAAGGAACAATCAACAAAATGAAAAGGCAACACATGGAATGGGAGGAAATATTTGCAAACCATATATTTGATAAGGGGTTAACATCTACAATATATAAGAAACTAATGTAAGTCAATAGCAAAAATAAAAACAAAAACCTGATTTTAAAATGAGCAAAGGACCTGAATAGACATTTTTTCCAAAGGATACATGTAAATGGCCAAGAGGCAAATGAAAAGATTCTCAACATCACTAGTCATCAAAGAAAAGCAAATCAAAATCACAATGAAATATCACTTCATACCTGTTAAGATAGCTAGTACGAAATAAACAAGAGATAACAAGTGTTGGCAAGAGTGTGGAGAAAAGGAAACCCTTGTACATTGTTGGTAGGAATGTAAATTGGTACAGTTATTATGAAAAACAGTAGGAAAGTTCCTCCCGCAATTAAAAATAGAGCCTCCCATAAAATCCAGTAATCTTACCTCTAGGTATATATCCAAAGGATATTAAATCAATATCTCCAAAAAGATATCTGCACCCCCATGTTCACTGAAGCATTATTCACAAAAGCCGAGCTATGGAAACAACCTAAGTATCTAACAACAGAAGAATGAATTTAAAAATGCTGTACATATATACAATGAAATATTATCAGCTTAAAAAAATTGGGAAATCCTGACTTTTGTGACAGCATGGATGATCCTGGAGGATCTTAGGCTGAGTGTAATAAACCAGACACAGAAAGACAGATACGTTATGATCTCACTTATATGTGGAATCTAAAAAGGTCAAACTCATAGAAGCAGAGAAAATGGTGGTTGGCAGGGGCTGGTGGGTAGGAGAATGGGGAGTTGTTGGTCAAAAGGTACGCTGTTTTCAGTCATAAGATTAACAAGTTCTTTGTATCTAATGTACAGCATGGGTGGTAATGGGTGCGTTAATCTGATTTTGGTAAATATTACACAATGTATACATATATTATTACACTGTATACTTTGAATATATTCAATATTTATTTGTCAATTACATATTTTAAAAAATAATGAGACTACAAAAGGTATCCATTTGAATTAGACTTAGTGCACGTGAAAAAATGTGAAATATATGACTGGCAGAAGTGGTGAAAAATCAGACTATAATTCAACAATTAAAAACCATATGTATTAATATTAAATATTACAAAAGCTTAATTTAAGTACCCCTTGCCTTTGAAGTTATTGAGCTTCTAGGATGTGTAGATTTATAGTTTTCATCAAACTAGATTTTAAAACAGCCATTACATGTTCAGATATTTTTTCTGCCTCCTTCATAGTCTGATTACATGTATATTAGTCCACTGGCATTGTCTACAGTTCACCGATGCTCCCTCATGTATTTGCTGTTGTACTCTTTTGTCTATGTGTTCATTTGAGGATAGTTTCTATTGCTATGACTTCAAGTCCTCTCATCTTTTCTTCCACAATGTCTAATCATCTGTTTTAATCCCATCCAGTGTATTTTTCATCTCACACATGGTATTTTTTCATTTCTATATGTGTGATTTAAATCTTTTTTCATGCATTCTATATTTCTAACTAACATTTTTAACATATGGAGTACAATTAAAACAAATGTTTAGTGTCTTTGTCTGGCTATTGTAATATCTGCATCATTTCTGGATTCATTTGGATGTTTTTATTCTCCTTATTAGGGGGTCTTATATTTCTGTAGCTTTGTGTTCCTGGTACACATCTTATTGGGTACTGGGCATTTTGTATTCCTAAAAATATCCTTGAACTTTGTTCTGAGACATATTTAGGTTACTTAAAATCATTTTGATTCTTTTGGATCTTACTTTATAAGATTTGATAGGCAAGACCAGGGAGGGGTTCATCCTGGGGCTAATTATTTCCACGAGTGAAGCAAGACTTGTTTACTATATACTCTCACCAATGCCTATTAGTTGTAAGGTTTTCCAGACCAGCCTGTGAGTAACAAGACCCTTCTTGGCCTCTGTAAGCACTGGCCATTGTTACCTCTAATTCTTTTTGGTGGTTCTTTTCCTGACCTTGGGGAATTTTTTCACATCAGTGCATTAAAATGTATTCTGCTGAATAATCAAGAGGGACATTCTACAGATCACTGGGTTCTTTATCTGAGCATATCTCTCTTTTGAAATACTTCACTGTGCAATTCCTCAACTCCAGGAGTTTGATAAGCTCCTCTTAGGTTCCTCCTCACACCACCACTGCTTAGAGACTCTTTCAAAGAAGTAAGCTGGGACAATTATGGGTTTCAACTCATTTTTTTTCAGAGTCACTGCTCTGCATTGCCTAATGCCCTGGGTCTAGAAAACTGTTTCATAAAAAATTAAGTAAATAGATAAAAATATACATCATTGAAATGATAAAAGACATACATGAAGTCAAAAGCAAATTTTATACCTAATGAACAAACATGAAAAGCATTTCATTAAAGTTAAGTACATCTACCATTAACATGATTACATTTTTCTAGGACTTCTGATGACTGAAGAAGAAATAAAAGGAGGAATTGCTATTATTTGTAGTTGAAATATAATTGTCTTAGGGAAACAAAGAATGCCACCTATAAATTGAAAAAAAAAGTCATTTACAAAGATTTGTTAGAAAATATTTGACCCATAGTCTCTCCTCGGTGTTTCATTGCTTGTTTTTCAATGTAAAGATTATGAGCTGGAATAAGTATTAATATAATAATGGTAATTATCTATGTAGCACTAACTAGATGTCAGACACTGTCCTAAGTGCTTTATAGGTACTTAATTCTTTTACACTTCACTGTTGTCCCAGTTTGGGTGATGTTTAAAGGAAGAATAAAGATGTTAAATAAATCGCCCAAAATGGAATTGGGATTGTAACCAAGACCAGATGATTTCACAGAAAACACAATCAAAAATCTTAAATCTAATCATAAAATCTATAAAAAACTTGGAAAATGCAGAAATATCTAAAATGATGGTTACCCACGGTTTTCCATGCAAAAACCATTCAGGCACAATTGTAGTTATATGGTCAATATTTGAATTTTGATGACACTTGTCTTCTCCATGCAAAAGATCTAGTCTTCAAATTTTCTTCAGTGATTTCTAGGATTGTTTCACATGCATTTAAGCCAAGTTTGTTTGTATTCTTCCATTCTGCTTTCTTTTGCTATAGCATACTCTGTCACTCTGCCAGTCACTGAAATCTTCCACTAGTGGCTTTCTTGAGCCTTCAGTTTATCAGAAGTGCCCACTGATCTGAGGTAAAGAAAATTGTCAATGGCTCATCTCTGCCAGGACATTGTTTTGTGGCCCCAAAAGAGTTCCATATGTCCCTCTAGACTCAGAGTACCCTTGATCCAATAAGCCCAGTTGGCTTCGAATTGTTCTTCCTCTTTTTTAGGGTATTAAATACAGACCTTTGAGAAAAGTGGGGACGTAAGCCATAGTGCTCTCCATTTATCACCCTTTATGTCTAAAGTGTCCCCCAACAACCATATATATATATATATATATATATATATATATATATATAGAGAGAGAGAGAGAGAGAGAGAGAGAGAGAAAGAGAGAGAGGACCAGGATGTAATTAGTTCACAAAATTCTTATGAAAACACCTGTATCTAAAAAATATGCTTATTTTCTAAATGCATCTATTAGAAAATGAAAGGAAAATGTCTCCCCCAACCAAGGTGTCTTCAATAAGAATTAGATGGCTTTATTTTTCACATTTTATCTTGAAAAATTCAGAATACTGGAATATTTTGGGAAAAGACAACTCACTAGCAAAGAACCGAAAACCACTGTATTATAAGCAAGATACAAATACATTCATTAGTGCAGTGTGAAGAGAATAAGATGATGGTAAAAAAAAAAAAAAAACCTACTGATATTTGTCTCTTGGCATTTTTAATTTTATTGCATTTAAAAGAATCAGTTAAGAAGGACTAGAAAAGAGAATAGAGATAGTGTAGATTTTATCAAGGTCCTGAAAACACATGCTGGCTGGCTGGCTGAATGGATGGATGGATGGATGGATGGATGGATGGATGGATGGATGGATGGATGTGCAGACTTTTTTTTTTTTTTTTGAGACACAGTTTCACTCTGTTGCCTAAGCTGGAGTGCAGTGGCACAACCTTGTCCCACTGCAACCTCCACCTCCCAGGTTCAAGTGATTCTCCTGCCTCAGCCTCCAGAGAAGCTGGGATTACAGGTGTGCACCACCACACCAGGCTAATTTTTGTATTTTTACTAGAGACAGGGTTTCGCCATGTTGGCCATGTGGGTCTCAAACTCCTGACCTCAGGCAATCCGCCCGCCTTGGCCTCCCAAAGCGTTGAGATTACAGGCGTGAGCCACCGCGCCCGGCTAGACTGTCTATTCTCTGTTTGTGATATTATATAGTATTAGGTAAGCAAGCCTGCTGATGGAATGGGTGTGATGAGGGATTGGATAGAAAGAAAAAAGTCAAAGATAATTTTTAGTTTTTTACTTGAAAAAATTAGTGAATAATAATGGAATATACTAACTTTTAGAAATTGGAGACAATAGAGTTGGAGAGGTAAAAAAAATCAAGGTTTTAGTTTAGCAGAGTTGTGTTTTAAATTTCTTTCAGATATCTACATAGAGCTATCTACTGGTTGTTGAATATATTTGTGAAGTATTAGGCAAAAGTCAAGTTTGTGAATACATACGTGTGAAGCGCTGATCTATAACTAGTATGTAGCATTATTAGATGTATGCAGTTACTTAGGTAAAAAGTGTGGATGAAAAATGGAGATCCCTGGAGCATTTAGCGCAGAGGAGAAAGAACTAAGAAAGTGTGTTGTCACAAGTTCAACAAGGTGTTTCAAAGGGGACAGTGTGGTCAGCTAGATACAAGATTCCTACAGAAAAGTCAAGTGAGATGAGTGCAGCAAAGGAAGGCCCCTCCAGTTTGCTCTGTGAAGCTTTCTGGTGATCTTAATAAAAGCAGTTTCAGTGGAACTCAATAGAAGCATATTCATGATACATTATTTATTTGTATTTATTTATTTTTTCTTTTTTGAGACGGAGTCTTGCTCTGTCACCCAGGCTGGAGTGCAGTGGCACAATCTCCGCTCACTGTAACCTCCGCCTCCCCGGTTCATGCCATTCTCCTGCCTCAGCCTCCTGAGTAGCTGGGACTACAGTTGCCTGCCACCATGCACGGCTCATTTTTTGTATTTTTAGTAGAGACAGGGTTTCACCGTGTTAGCCAGGATGGTCTCGATCTCCTAACCTCGTGATCTGCCCGCCTCAGCCTCCCAAAGTGCTGGGATTACAGGTGTGAGCCACCGTGCCCAGCCATGATACATTATTAAGAAAACCATTTTTATGGTCACTTAGCATGCCATCATGTTCAGTCTATGTTGTACTATAATTTATTTTATTTTATTTATTTCTTTTTGAGATGGAGTCTCGCTCTGTCTCCAGGCTGGAGTGCAGTGGTGCAATCTTGGCTCACTGCAACCTCTGCCTCCTGAGTTCAAGCAATTCTCCTGCCTCAGCCTCCCAAGTAGCTGGGACTACAGGGGCGCATCACCATGCCCAGCTAATTTTTATATTTTTAGTAGAGATGAGGTCTCACCATGTTGGCCAGGATGGTCTTGCTCTCTTGACCTCATGATCCACCTGCCTCAGCCTTCCAAAGTGCTGGGATTACAGGTATGAGCCACCACACCCGGCCTCTATGTTGTACTGTAATTTATTTAAGAAATATTTTATAATATATATTTAGTTTATATCCATTTTTCAGTATTACAAATGACATAATTATGACTCTCCTTGTACATATAGTGTTATATCTTCAATCACTTCCCTAAGACAAAGTCATAGTTGAGGTGTTTTTTTAATTCACAGATAATGTACATGGTAAATATTTTGAATATATACTTCCAATTTCCCCCTCTCTATGCAGTTTAACTTAGAGTATAATTCCTGACCTGGTGATAAAATACAAATAAATGAACTAAAAATGATTTATCTTGTTTAAATTAAAGTAGAGGTCTCCAACACCCAACAACCCAATTCATTCCTCTACACTCATTTTGAAACAATAATTCTTATTTAAAACAGTTATCCTTTTTTATACTAGAACTAACTTTCTTCAGCTTACTTTATGTGTGAGAGAGATTTGGAAAGAAAAAGTCATATAATGCTATAGTTTCTGTTACTTTGAGTCCATATTCTATGCATCTCATACTGAACAAAGGTAAGGTTTGAGTAAAACCTACACATTCTGAATTATTTGAGCTACTAGGTAAATCTACCATTAAAACTAATGAAATAACATTCTGGCTAAAAAAGCACTCAAATCTTAAGAAATAAATTCACCCATGTTATTTTAAAAAGCATATAATAGAATAGAATCAGGGTTTAAAACAATCTATTGTGTTTATTTACATCTCACAGAGCAGTAACAATCAAAGTTAAATTAAAACATCCTCGGTGCTTGGCACATTGCCTGGCACTTCACAGGTGCTTAATAAATATTTGTTGAATGAATTCAGTCAGTTCAGGAAGAAATAACATATCAACATTGCATTATCTCCTGTGGATGAACTGCCTGTTTTGCAAGGTAGTCCAAGAATCAATAGTAATTACTTTAGGATTTTGATGATTTGAAAAATTAACTTTAAAAGTGTGAATTAGGTTGTGTGTTGGCTTCTCTATCTCTAAAGTTCAATACTTTGCTTTCTGAAATGAACCTACAAAAGCATTTTTTTTCTCCAAAGGAGTCAAGTACCCTTTAGACACCAAATTAAACACCTTAGTTTATCTTTAGTGCATGGTAATTGAATAAATGTGCCTTCCCAGTAATACCCACAATTTTATTTCTCCTATTACAAATGTTCATCCAACATGAGCATATTTTAGGCTGGTCAAAATCAACACCTCTATTAAACAGTATTTTCCTCCAGTCAATATTTTTCTCATTCAAACATTTACTTTCAGCAATCCTAAAACTCCAGCGATCTAAATATAGGCAACCTCAACTTGAAAAAATTCACAGCTAAAACTAACATATACTCTCTGCCAATCTGTGCACCAGCTGTGGATTAAAATGTGCTGAAAAGCAGAACATTTTGTCTCTCTTCAATGATCAAATAGTCTCTTGCAGCATATACAACTCTTCATTAAATGGGGGGGGGGTGGTGCTGCAGGAGGGAGAGAAGAATCTGGGTGATTTATTTTGAGGTGTCCGGAAGGTGCTGAAATCCACTTAACTTACAGTTGTCACCTGGTTCTTTAAACAAAAAGCTATCTGAGTATTAAATAGAAGCAAGGAGAGCAGTGGTAACTGAGTTAGATTCTTGGAAGGAGAGTATCTTCCTGACTTTTCCAAATTACTTTCAGATTTGCTTCCTGTTTACTTTCTGGCAAACATTTAAAAATATCTGCCCAAATAAGGTCGCATTTGCAGAGACTGTAGAAATTCCATGCAACTGCAAGGTTCCGGGAAAAAAATGACAGATTTATTACAGGGGTTAGCATTAGTCAAAGAGCTCGTTTAATTATTTTAAGTCTCTTGCAAAATGTGAGTTCTTTTTTCCATTAATATAGTATTTACCAATATATATTCTTCTAATATTTGTAGCACAAAATTGCTCAAAATTGTTTCTACAATCCCATAGACCACAAATTCTTTACTTATTTACTCATTTTAAATGGCCTCAAAAACTGTACAGGGATTATCCAGCACAGAATGTCTTACTTAAAAAGATTGATGCTAACCTGATCAGCATAATATACGAATTGAAGCATAGCATCACAAGAAAAAAAATCTTAAAATTGTTGACTGTAAAATCATGATGAATATTTTTTTCAGTTTGCACAATTGTCAAATTTTTGTAGAGACTTTTGTCCAATGGCAGAACAATCTGTTTTACTTATTTAGCTCCTCAAAGTTTAAGTTCTGTTGTCTCCTAACCATATGGCAAAACAGAATTGTCACTGTCTAATCATAGCTTGTATTATTTCACGTTAATGAGCAAACCTTAAGTTCTTCACCATAATTTTATAAATACAAAGTGTATGTATGTTAATCAAATTGCCAAATTTAAGATTATTACTCACTGAGAATCAAAATGGAAATCTTACACTAAATTAAAAAAAAGGAAAAATATTTGTATGTCTATGTATATCATTATGATATTTTTATGTAGATATTTTATCTTTAGATATTATCTCAATAAAAATAAAGAAAAACAGGAAATTTGAGTAACATACTTATCTTTAAAATATGCAATTTATAAAGCAGAAATACAAAAAAATCAAAGCAATATAAGTAGCATTTTTCTTATATTTAAGCAGTACTTTATACTTTTAAAACCTCTTTTAACTATTTCATTGTGAACTTTACAATCACTTTTCAAAATACAAAAACACACTGTTATTCTTAATTTTTAGATGAGAAGGCAGATACAGAAATTAAGTGATTTTCCACAATGTCTTACAACTGATCTCATGGTGGAAGTTGTTTTTAAACTTTCTTAAACTTCAAACACACACACACACACACACACACACACACACACACACACACCTCTGAATTACAATCAGATAGCCAAATAAAAAAAATCTCCTACTTGCCATGTGTCTTAAGAGGACAATAAAGCAAAAGTTGATATATGCATTAAAATAAAATGATATAGGCAAACAGTTCAACTAAAGGCAAAGCAGGAAAAAAAGAAAAAAATGCACAAATGATTGGAAGGAAAAAGTGGTTGTCTTTCTCTCTTCTTAATGCAAAAAAAAAAATCTAATCAGAACTCTAAATGTGAATTTCACAAACACAAGGCCACACCAAGGAAATTAAGAGCAGCACAGTATAGGTTAAGGGCCACTTAATGACAAAGCATAATCAGTCCATTTCAATTGACCTTTTAGAAATAATCAGTGTTTTTGTCACAGAGTTTTATAGTATTTTTTTTCAAGCAACTTAACTTCTCTATCCTTGACTAACTTGCAAAAGGATACAGAATTGAATATACAAATATACCATGTTACGGCTACCATTGATGTTCAATTCTTTTGATGGAGAGAGTACATAACAATCATCTTAATGGAACTATATAAAAAAAGATCAGACTATCTTTGAAATCCAACATCAAAAGTTTTCTGAAATAAGTAGTTACAATTTTTTAAATTTAAGTTTTAAATATTAGGTATTGCACAGAAATCAGAGGTAAACATGATTGATTCCAGACAATTTGCTCTGAAAATAAGAATTGGCCAAATGTTAAGCTCAATTAGACAGCTGTCTATATTATCTGGGGTTATGAAAGACCCTTTTGCTCTTACACTTTTTATCTTACAGCACCTCATGGTGTCTTAAATTCCCACTAGACTTAAGATTCTGAAGGTCACTGAACAAATGTCAATGTTATCAGCACACATTTTAACACATCTCACACATCTAGTCGTTATCAGCTATCAACACCTCAACTTGGATTCATGTAAAAAAAAGAGCCTAATCAGTTACCTGGCAAAGAATAAAATAAAGAACTTGTATATTATGATTGAAGGGAAAATGTGACAAATAGGCTTTCTTGTGAGGTAGAAAGGGTAGATATAATTGGGAAAATAAGAGTGAAGGACAACCAGAGGCCGACAATGGGAAGAATTAGATATGGGTTACTCTGTCTTTGTCTTTTCCAGCTCCACAAAAAACTTCAGCTCTAATCTCATCCATAATTCTAAAGCAGCCATTATAATCTTAGAAATAAACCAATACATTCAGTATTTTGTTTCTCACATTTTTACCATATCTCAGCATCTTCTTTATCACACATGTAGAAGTCTGTGGAGTTGTCATTAAGGATGTTAGGTAAAAGATTTCTACTTTAAGATCTCTGATAACTGGTGTATCAGAGATATCTGGTAACATATCAGGATATCTCCAAATGTGATATTTGCCTCAATTTTCCTGCCTGAAATTCTTCTAATGAAGTCCAGGTCTCTATGTCCATCACAACTAAATGTCACATGTTGTGAACAGCAAGAGGTTAGACCTTGTCAAAGCAGGATCTTGACTGAGCAGGGGTTTATTGGAAGATGCCAAGAACCAACCCAGGATGTACTACAGTCTGTAGTTCAGAGAGAGAGCAAAAAAGTTCATCCAGTGGACAAGAAAAAAAGACATAAGAAGAATTACCAGCACGGTCTGATGTATTTTGATTTATCTTGCCTAGTAGAGTCTTCCTCTGTTTTTTTTTTCTAATATTTGCTTTTTCTATTCTGTAAGTAATTCACGTTAACAAGAGAAGACTTGGAAAACATGCAGATGAAACCATATACCACCTGAGATTTAACCACCTGGAGATAATCACTAATAACATTTTCATATATTTCCTCCCAATCTGTTTTTTTTCTCTGCATATATAGTTGTAGATAAAAATATAGAGGGATGTTTTGCCTCAAAAGGTACATATGCTTGTATAAGCCTTATATCATTCAGTGAATTCTTGCGAATATTTTTCTAGTCCCTCAAATTCTATAACATGATTTAAAGGCTACAAAGTTAAGTCTAGTGTATGATATGCCATCTAAGGGTGCTATTGACCCATAGGAACTCAAAGGCAAACTGATGTTGTCTATTTCTTACCTGTCTTCTCCTTTGAACACTGGAACACTCTTGGCTCTTTGCTGGGTTGAGCCACCACGATGACACCACTGTGTATCTTACTTTGGGTGTCATGCATCCTACACCTCCTTCAGACCTATGAAATTGCACCTACTGGAAAAAAAAAAACATTTGCTGAAATTGTCCACATCTTTGCACTGCCTCTTAGACTGTCTGGCCATCTGTGTCAGAGCATCAACTTCCACAGCCCCATTTCTTCAATCCCATCTAATCCTGCTTTCCTCCCTGCATGTATTTGTGGGTAAGAGATACCATATCTTATTTCTAAGCCTGTTTCTAGAATTAAAACTGTACAGAGGAAATATTAATGAAAATGCATTTATACATGTTATTATCTTGCCTGGCTATCCCTGAACAGGTATGTAGATTTTAGTATGGCAGTTCCTGAACTCAATCTCCACACATAGGTAGGGGATCTTCTTTGGACTTTTGTCATATTTATTCAACAAGTATTTATTGGGCACTTACTATGTGTCAATCACTATTTCATTTGCCTGGTCTTTAAAGACTACATTCCAGGGAAAAAATAAGGAAAACAGACAAATATAATAAATACAAATATAAAAAATGTGATTGAGGAATCAAACAGTTCGCTGGCTTAAAGAATACTTAGGGGACCAACTTTAAAGAGATCAGGAAACACTACCCTGAGGAAATCTCCAGCCCATTGTGGAGACTCGCTTTCCCCAGGATCCCAAAGAATTAAATTCACCTTCTTACCATTTTCAAAAGCACCTAGTATGTTGCAGGCTAGGATCCTTAGAATCTTGCCATTCCTGTCTCACATGTCCTTCATCCCCACCAACGTCCAGTCAATGCAACTTCTCATTAAAATATGTCTATTTCTACCTCACCTGAAGCACTTAAATACCCGCAGTGAACGAGTTAAACGATTAAAAATGCATTTTTCTTCCCAGCCTGCAGCAGTTCAACACATGAATTATGTCTTTGATTCTGGCAACTCTTCTGCAACTAAAAAGATGTTTGAAAAAGGAAAACAGGAAATGCCACAGAGAAATGTGTCTCTTTGTTTTTTTGGAGAAAAACCTTCCCATTAGTGGCGTCCAGCAGAACAAAGTGAAATATGCTAGAGTTTAAGAGTTAGCCAAACCTTGGAATTGGATTCTAGTTCTGCATCTTGCTTACTGTGGTGAGCTCAGTAAATTACTGAATCACATTAAACCTCAATTTCCTCCTCTATAAAATGAGAATACAATACTCTATGTAATGTAATTCTAAGAATTAGAAATAATATATGTAAAGCACTTAGCACAGCACCCTCTCACATATCTCTGGATAAATAGCTATTGTTATCATTTCTTAATGACCTCATGATTAATTATGAATTGTTATCCACATTTTATTTATACATTATCCTCATGGTGTGCCACCATGCCCAGAAAGGTTAAATAACTTGCCCAGAATTAGAGTCAAGGTGAGGCTTCAACTCCAAAACTCTGCTCTTAACTATGGTTAGAGCACTATGAAAAATATAAATGTAGAATAGCACGTCAGTCAATTTCATTAGGTTGCATCTCAGGTTCAAGGCTATCCATTCAAAGTAGCACGTGGCAGACGGAATATTATGTGGTGCCAGGATGTGCCTTAAAATCAAGAACCATGCCTGAGTGACACTGAGAGTACTGATTTGCCTACAACTGCCTTCACTCAAGCAAGACTGAGCTCAAGGGATGGCAGGAAAGCAAGAAGGGTGAGGAAGGTGAAACCCAGTGGATTAAGGGATGGTAAGAGGAGACTACTACAGGGGGTCTCAAAGGAGTACACATATGCACCAAATACCAGTGAGGGAACCTAATTCAGACCACATTTTAAACATATTTTACATATTATGATGGGGAAGAAATTTTAATTGAAAAGATTTGTCCAGATGTTGCAGTGCCCTAGCTACCAAACTGGATTATATACAGGTCGGGAATCTTTTCTTAGGTGAAAAGGACTGACACTAAAGAGAAAATGACAGTGCTGAAACCATGAGATCGTGGTTCAGGCAGAACTAAGGAGCAGGAACCATGGCAAAAATTCAAGCCTTTGAACAGAGCCACAGTGCAGACAGGAAAGAGAAGAAAAGGAAAGCAAAGGCGCACAGCCTCGCAGGGAAAGAACACTCCTGGGGCTTTGGCCATACATAGGTTTCTTGGTAGCAAAGGCATTGGGGGAGCAACAAAGAGCCCAGCAGTCATGACCAGATTAGCTGTTTCTCTGGGGGGCTTTAGTTCTAAGCCCCATCAGATGGAGGGACTAAGGCATTTGGTATATTTTCTGACTTAGCCAAGGTTGCTTTAGGCAGGAGATTGCATTTACATCTGAAAACATCACTGAGTACATCCAGAAGTGTTGCAAAAAATAAACGTAGGGAAAATGGGGCCTAAATTGGACCTCTGTTTATTCAGCATAGGTGGAGATACCTACAAATGAACTTTCAAACAGGGACGTGAACTCTACAGTCACAATTGATCTAGTACTGAGTAGACAGATAGTATCTGGGAAGGTCTGTTACAGCCTAAGATAATAATATTAGCTGAAGGTCCATTTTTTACAGCATAACATACTGAACCCCAGAGGTTAAGAAAGGAATGTGATGCAAGTGAATGTTCATCACAACATTATTCACAATAGCAAAGACATGGAATCAATCTAAATGCCTATCAATGACAGATTGGATAAAGAAAATGTGGTACGTGTACACCATAGAATACTATTCGGCTATAAAAAAGAATGAGATCATGTCTTTTGTGGGAACATGGATAGAGCTGGAGGCCATTATCCTTAGCAAACACACAGGAACAGAAAACCAAATACTGCATATTCTCACATATAAGTGGGAGCTAAACGAGAAGAACTCAGGAACACAAAGAAGGAAACAACACACACTGTGGTCTGCTGGAGGGTGGAGAGAAGGAGGAGGGAGAGGAGGAGAAAAGTTAACTATTGGGTACTGGGCTTAATACCTGGGTGATGAAATAATCTGCACAACAAACCCCATGACATGAGTTCACCTATGTAACAAACTTTCACATGTACCCCCAAACCTAAAATAAAAGTGATTAATTAAAAAAAGGAATGTCAGACAATCAGTGTTAGTTTCTAGTCTAGATAAGAAGTTCTCAGGCACAGAAATATGTCTTAAGGTTTGAGAATGTAGATATTAGAATTATAGCAGAAAATTTGTTAGAGCAGTGATAGGGAGAATACTGAACTGACCTATCATGGTGGCACCAAGATACTCAATGGGCTTTAGTATTGATTTGTTTTTTTTATATATACAGTACTCTAAAGATAGAGCCAGTTACTAGGGATAAGGAAGTGGGTGTGCTTGACAGGGGGTGCAAGAATTACACATCTGAGTGTGCTGGAATGGGGCCTGGAGGACCAGGAGTGGAACCAAGTGTTTTTCTACAGTGTTCATGGAAGCAAAATGGCAATATCAAGGATTCTTTCCCAGGTATTAAACCACCTTTGACAATGAGAATGTTTCCCCTCCATATCGTTGTTCCACCAACACCTTCTTGTCTGCTACTCCTTTTCCCATGAGGGATTATGGTTATCCAAGCCCTTTGATACAGCAGCCTACCCAAGTCAGCCCTCCTGAAATTGTTCCTGACTCTCCTGATGAGGGGCCCTTCAAACTGATTTCTGGATTTTTTGACACAACCCAGTTACTCTGTGATCTTTTTGTTTGTTTCCAGGACAGAAAAAAAAAAGTTCTAGACTCATACGTTTCCTGCCTTAGTTCTGGAATCAATCATTTCTCTGAGGAGCCCTGGTTGCATTTAATGGAGAATGATATTGAGAACTCATGATCTGGGCACTAAGACTGTTCATTCTTTTTAAGATTTTGCTGCTCCCAGACCCTTGCAGTAGACAGAGGTAGGAAAGGTATATAGTCATGCATCACTTAACAGTGGGGATACATTCTGAGAAATGCATCATTATACAATTTTGTCATCACAGGGACATCATAGAGTGTACTTACACAAACCTAGATGGTATGGCTTACTACTCACCTAGGTTATATTGCACAGCCTATTGCTCCTAAGCTACAAACCTGTACAGCTTGTTACTGTATTGAACACTGTAGGCAACTGTAACACAACAGTAAGTATTTGCATATCCAAACATAGAAAATGTACAGTAAAGATACAGTATTATAATCTTAAGAGACCACTGTCATTTATGGAGTCTGTCCTTGACCAAAATATCACTAAGCAGTACATGACTATATATGAGTGTGTGTATGTATACCACAACTTACATCTATATTTATTTATGAATCCACATGTATTGAAAACTTCAGAAATCATTCTAGTTTTATTCATTTCCATACTTGTAACTCTCTTCTGATACCTGGATCACCATACCTTTAGCAGAATTACTTATTTGATCAAACCCCTGTGTATTAGTCTGTTCTCATGCTGCTAACAAAGACATACCCAAGACTGGGTAATTTATTTAAAAAAAAAGAGGTTTAATAGACTCACAGTTCCACACGGCTGGGGAGGCCTCACAATCATGGTGGAAGGCAAAGGAAGAGCAAAGGGATGTCTTACATGGCAGCAGATAAGAGAGCACGTGCAGGGGAACTGTGCTTTATAAAACCATCAGATCTCATGAGACTTATTTACTATCATGAGAACAGCATGGGAAACCCCCCCACCCCATGATTCAACTACCTTCCATAGGGTCCCTCCCATGACATGTGGGGATTATGAGAGCTACAATTCGAGGTGAGATTTGGGTGGGGACACAGGCAAACCCTATCACCCTGTTATGTCACCAGTCCATCTCCAGCTTTGCATAGATGTCCTCCTCACTTCACCTAGGCTCTGACCCCCAGCCCCAGGCCAGGTTGCTCCCCATGGCCTGTGTGGAAGCCCCCATCCCATCTCCAACTCAGATAGTCCAAGTATAGTAATTTATTCAAGTATAAATAGAATTAAAATGTCCATATCTTTGAGTATCTATGGTCTACATTTCATTTTTCAGTATTTAGGAAAAGTTGATTTGAGTAGTTTTCTATTCAGTTTCTAATAAAGAACAATCTTCCCTGTGACACCCTGTATTTGTCTAATACAGGGGCTGGCAAGCAGATTGTGGGCCAAATTCTGCCTATGGCCTAATAGTATACAGCCCTGTATACTAATTGTACATAGATAATATACACACAATATACACAGTTAGTATACAGCAATCTAAGAATGGTTTTTACATTTTTTAAGGGTTGTGAAAAAAATATATGTGACAGAGACCATATGTGATCCGGAAAAACTTAAGTATTTACTATCTGGCTCTTTACAGAAAAAGTTTGCCAACCCTGGTCTGGGATATCTTACTGCTCTGCCAACTTGGCTAACTCATTTACCAGGAGGTAGTGACATAAAATGAAATAAGTTTCTGAGCTGCTTTAAGCCTCAAGGACTAAATAAGTTGCAAGTAACCAGTGAAATCGCCATCATATCAAAACAGAAATAATGAATAACTTGCAAAATCATCAGTGAGAACAGGATAGTGCTAAGGATACAATCTAAGTCACCCCACTCCTTATCTCAGATTAAACATGCCAAGCTCCATTTGCCTCTGATTTGCGTGGTCATTAGTGGAAGCCTGGCCTCCAGTACTATTTATTTCAATAAACATCTTCTTATGCATTACTATTTATTTCAATAAACATCTTCTTATGTAAAATCCTAATGCTTGATTATATGAATTCGTACAACTACAGAATTAATGGAGTATAACCCTAATTCAAATTCAAAATTAAGTCAATTTTGAACTAAAATATAATTGATTGCAGGAAATACATAACCCTGGAAGTGGAGTACTTCAAAAGAACAAGGTCATTATTTCTTAGCTACATGCCAAATATGAATAGGGTGGGAGGGTAAAATTGTCACCTTTGAACTAATATAGCACCCACTTATTAGTAAACCTTGTAGGGCCAGGTGTGGTGGCTCATGCCTATAATCCCAGAACTTTGGGAGGCTGAGGCAGGCAGATCACTTGAGATTGGGAGTTCGAGACCAGCCTGACCAACATGGAGAAACCCCGTCTCTACTAAAAATACAAAATTAGCCGGGCATTGTGGCGCATCCCTGTAATCCCAGCTACTCGGGAAGCTGAGGCAGGAGAATCACTTGAACCTGGGAGGCGGAGGTTGCGGTGAGCCAAGATCACGCCATTGCACTCCAGCCTGGGCAACAAGAGCAAAACTCCATCTCGAAAATAAATAAATAAAATAAACCTTGTATATTTGGTTTACTGCTTTGTATTAGAAACCCATAGGCCTGGTTTCTTAGAGGCAAAATTGCAGTTTCTGGATGAAGATAAGAAAAACCCATTTACATGGCTACAGTAAAAAGTGGAACGCACAGAAACCGCTCCAAAGCTCTGCTAACAAAAGCATGCCTGACACAATTTTCTTTCTTCACCAACACAAGAGAAAGAAAAGCAATGCTCAGCATTGTTTATCAATTTAAGTGCATCAATTCTGTTTTCCACATATTGTGATTTCCCTGCCTTAAAAACAAAAAATCTCTTTTTTTGGAAGAAAGGTTTTAAATAGCTTCAGTCTGTTCCCTTTATTTTCTTTTCTCACCCAAGCAGTGACCCAGACAATTGGGGGCATATAAATGAAAAGTAATATGAAGCGGGGAAAGAAATAACAACTCAAAAAAAAACAATATTCACAGTGCCGTGAATTCATATTCCACTATTAGTTTACAGTCTCACATAACAGCTTAGGCTGAAATATGAGTTCCAGTGCAATGTTTGCACTAATTGTCCTGAATAATTCAGGTTTTACCACTTTCCAGGGCCTCTCTGAAGTGGGGTTGCTGGAAGCCATATTTGTTTCTTCAGCACCCACAATATGATGATTGTTATGCTGCAGACTACACAGTGAGCTGGAGCTGCTTGATTTGGAAGGCCGAACAGAGGAGAAATTTCAGAGCATTGCCAGTCTGAGAAACCAACTGGTGTTCAGTACATTCCACACACACTAAGATTGGAATCTTACCTGAGTTTATGGATTGCTGTGCATAGTCTCCTTTAACAAGGTTAGAGAAATCTCTAATTGCAGTTTTTGTTTTCTTTGGCTCAAGAGTGAAATTCTGAAGCAGGTGATGACTTGAAATAGGTCCTGGAGAGAATAAAGAAAGAAAATTAGCAAAATAAATAAATAAAAATAAATTTAAAAATACCTCATTCAACTGCTTTGTCTGCGTAATAACATTGAGCATGACTGTCACTCTGAAGACATATTAGCTCATTTAGGTAATTAGTGTGAGCAGCATGTTTCCCTACTTATTCCATTCAATTATAGGGTTCTCACTTTGTCATTACTGGAGTGTCTTAATGTGACTTGTAATTAGTGTAATTACAATCCAATGTTAATTATATCTGCCACTTAGACATAATTTTATATAGTAATGGTCTCTAATCTCAATAACCTTATTATGTTGTTTATTCAAACAGGAATTAAGTCTTCTTTCATGCGTCAAATACGGAGATTACAAAAAAGTACCGCTTGTGTCATTTTGATAGTTATGACAAGGGAATCTCTGAAATAGCAAAATCATATTTGAGACAATGTCTGCATGTGCAAACAATTAACAGCAGTTCCTCCCTGTTTCCGGAAATATGCCTATGTATCTCCAAATAACTGTGTTTAGAGGCAGTTTGAGCCTTGACTTGCTCATGAATTCTAGGAAGAACTAATGAGTGTACATGTAGTAGAAGCCTGTTACTGTGGTTCCATTTATTAGAATACCAAATACACTCATTGCTGACCATTTAATGGACCATTGCTCTGAGTAACTAACCATTGTATACAATGTAATAATATCACCTTGCATTTGAAGAGCACATTATCTTTTAAAGTGCTTTTAAAAATATTATTTCAGTTAATCCTGGAAACAACTTCATGGGAATAGGGATGGTAGGTATCAGATCATTGCAATAGATTGAATAAAAATGAAAGGACATTGGCCATGTTCATTTAACAAGGGAAGAGCTACTAATCAGAAGCCAATTCAGTAAAGCCATTAATAGCATGGGCTCTACAGCTAACATTTCTAGGTTTTGAATCCCAGCTCTTCCACCTAAAAATTCAGGGCCCTTCAGTAAGTTTCTTAACTCCTCTAACCATCAGTGTCCTCATCTGTATGTCAGAAATAGCAACAAGATCTAATCCACAGAATAGTTACATGGATTAAATGAGCTATAGAGAAAAAGCTTAAAACAGTTTTGGGCACAAACTAAAAACTAAATAAATATTGGCTGCTATTATTGTTATTCTCAACAGCATTCTCATCTCTTGATTTGTGACCCTATATTTTTTCCCATAAACCACATCATTTTCTTATAGATTTCCATATGCTAACTACTAATTAAAGGTTTGATCTATACACTGCAAGTTTTGTGTGCAGATAGTATATTCATTTAGAAATAGATAACTCTGACCAAGAACTATTCAATAAAGCTAAAAGGAAGGATCCTTTAGCCAACTCAGCTGTTATAAAACGCAATACCAAGAAATTCCTTAGGAAAAGATTCAGTGGTTTTATTGCTACAAGCACCAACACTTCACACTTCCTGACATACTCAGAGTGGTACTTCTTGTTACTATAATATTTCATGAATCCTGAAAAACTTAACACAGCCAAATGCAATAGCATGTGCAAAGTAGTCTTTACACACAGGCCTACAAAAATATTGGTTATTATTTATTTAACAGATCTCAGTATCTGTATTTTTAACAGAAATATTAAGTCAGAATGTTACAATTTACAAATCTTTCCTTTTGAGCTTTCTCATTGCTTTTAAGCTCAAGTTTATATCCTGATTTTCCAGAAACAAATAGGTTGCATACCAAGTTTTGAAATGACTTGCCTTCTCTTAATGTATGGTAATTTCTCTGATGAAGTTGACAAAGAACGAGTATTCTCATCATCTATTCAGTAATAAACAAGAAGATAGTTTTTGCTGCTAACTTCTCTAGGCTAACAACAACATCAACAATGAGCCACTACATTCCTGGCTATTTTTTTTAGGTCATTTTTAAAGTTCTCAGGTAGGGAAAATATTAGCTCTTGGAGTGTGCTCTAGGCTGGGGGAAAACGCTGGACCCGCTGGAGGTTTAGCAGTATAAACACAACCTGTTGGGAAATCTTTGGAATGTGCACTGCTGCCACGGAGCTGGTTATTAAATAGTAACTAGCAGCTCTTCTGACTTTTTGTTTTATTTTTAATTATTTGCATGCAATGTTGAGATAATTTTGCTGAACAAAAAAAAAAAAAAGAAACAAAAAAACACTAAAAGATATCAATTCCTCCCTCTCAATTCTTGGAGCAACTGCAGTGACCCAGGTTTAAACCTGAAGCTTCAAAAGATGTGGATGAATTGTCACTCCCAGAAGAAACCTTCACAAGGAGGCATCAGGTTTTAATGTTCTCAAGTGCATGAAGACTGCCGGCCTTTCAAGCTGCATGAGGCTTAAGAAATCACAAGCCCTCCAGCCTGTTGGCCATCCTTCTGATTAGTCAATGACGACCCCAGACTGCTTCTCCTAGAGTGCGAGTCTCCATTCTTGTCTGAAAACACGGATATCGAGTGGTAGTGGTGTGCAGCTTAAGAAATACAGGTAGTGGACAGGCACAAAGGCTCATGTCTGTAATCCCAGCACTTTGGGAGGCTGAAGCGGTGGATCAACTGAGGTCAGGAGCTCAAGACCAGCCTGGCCAACATGGTGAAACCCCGTCTCTACTAAAAGTACAAAAATTAGCCAGGCGTGGTGGTGGGCACCTGTAATCTCAGCTACTCAGGAGGCTGAGGCAGCAGAATTGCTGGAACCCGGGAGGCGGAGGTTGCGGTGAGCCAAGATCGCGCCATTGCACTCCAGCCTGGGTGACAACAGCAAGATTCTGTCTCAAAAAAAAAAAAAAAAAAAAAAAGAAAGAAAGAAATAGAGGTAGTATTGTCATGAAGAAACTCCCACAGGCTGACAGGAGGCCATGGTAGGAAAAGGCATTGCTCAGAGGCTGGTGATGTATTTCTATTCCTCTTTCCAGAATCAGCTAACTTGGTTACCTTGACAGTTCTCTTGACCTCCTTACGGCTTACTTTCCCCATCTGAAATTATTTCTTGACTCCATCATTTTCTGAATATTCGTGAAGACAAAATACAAAATTAAATTATATTTATTAAATACTTTATGTTCTTGGAAAAAAATATGAGTTGCTAATAGTGGTGATGATTTCATAGGTGAGAGGTTGTCTGAGAAGCCAAAACAATGTTTGTCTAAAACGAGGGCAAAAGTTTGGAATTTGAATATACGTACACATATTAACAACAGGGATGGTAGAATTGTGTAAGGCGTTGGGATCAGACAGGACTAAGTTCAAAGCCAGGCTCCACTGCTTTGCAGCTGTAGTCATGCTGGATACTTAACCTCACTAAGACACAGTTTCTTTATCTGTAAAATAGTGACATGAATAGCATCTTGAAAGGGCTACTGTGAGGATTATATGAAATAATGAACGCAATGTACTTAGCAGGTTCTGGACTCAAAAAGGGCAACTGTTATGATGAGAGTAGACCATGATAATGAACATCAATTTTACGCTACCTGCCATAAGAAACAATTAGAAGGTTCTAAAATATGAAATACACTTTATGGTTTCAGAAGATTATTCTGTTGTGAAGAAAATGGATGAATGCTAATAGGCTAATGCAGGGAAAATCATTGGGAGACTGTCATCCAGGTAAAGGAAAACAGTTGTTTGGATATGAACTTTTGCAGTAGAAATGGTGACAGGTGAACAAATTCAGGCGATATTTGGGAGGTCTCATCAAGCGGACTCTGATGGCTTGGATGTGGGACGTGAGAAGAAGAAGGATCCAGGTTTTGAGCCGGAGCAGTTGTGGGATGGTGGTGTGATGTAGCAGATGCTGTGGTGTGCTGCCCAAATCCTTCCTTCCCACGTTCAGGAAAAAGGCACTCATTCCCCAGCCTCTGGGAGTGTTGACTGCTGACTGCTCATAGCCAAGTCCCTCCCTGGAAACTGCTCTCAGCTGAAAGTTGCTGCCTTGCCCAAAGTTGAACATCCTTCCCAGAGACAGCCTCTAGAGAAAGACTGGTAGAAAATGGGCTAAAAAGTCTTGGCCCATTAAAATGTGGGGCAAAATCCAGAACAATTCTAAAGTGCCACCCCAGCTCAGAGATTTCCATAGGTGCATTTGAGGCCTTTGTTGTGGAATGCAGTTCTGCTTCTTTCTCTGTCCAGTCTTGATTCCCACTCCCTCAGATGGTGTGGTTCCAGAAAACCCTCCCAATCATTTCCTTTACGCAGATCTCTGCTTCAGAATCTGTTTCCAGGGTATCCAACCTAAGGGGATTTGTGTTAGTTGAGGCTCTACAAGCAGAATCTAAAAATGTGATGTTGGAACTAGATCGTCACCTGCTGGCAGGCCAGCCATGAGGACCCCTTCCCTGATAGACATTGATAGTATTGTAGCATGCTATAATGGGTCCATTGTTACAACTGTCACAATTAATGAAATGGAATGAAATACTGATAGAAAGGGAAGCACTGGTTAGTGTATTAGGTCATGTGATTGAGAGGTTCAAGACTATGGCTTTGCGTGGCTTTCTGGAAACTGTCAATGAACAGAACAAGTTAATGACAGTCTGAGGTTGAATGATCACCAACTTGAAAAAAATAAAACAAAAAAAGCAGTGGATGTTTTTGGCAGAATGTAAAGATATATTCACCTACCATAGCTGCAGTGCACACAAGGTGTTTATTAAACTCAGAACTAAGGTAGAAGATTAGCAGAGCCCAGAGAAGATCAAATTCCCAACCACCAGAACATCTGATAACTATGGTCGAGGTTCTGATTGAGAAGAAGTGAGATCCTCAGAGGTAGGAGGGGCCTATTTGAGTGGATGAACAACAAAAAAAGTTGAGTCACTAGGTTTCCCTGAACTGACTTCCCTGAAGAAGTGGCCTGTCCTCCTGGTGAAAGGTGTAGGTGTGCTCCACTATTGTCTAATGACCATATCGAGGCATCTGCCTTGCAGGAGAACATTTCTCCCTACCTTCCTAAATGGGCTCTAGAGCAATAATTATAAGAATATGACATAATCCAGCTGCAAGACTGTTCGGTCTGTTGAGAAACACAAGGTAATATACACTAAAGGAGCTTCAGGATGCATCCAGCATTTTCCAACAGAGGTTGAGAGGTAAGCATGGACTTGGATTCTGAGACTATGGGTCAAGAGGAGGAGGGCAGAATACAAAGCTGGAAAAGGGATCATTTATTTTTAAAAATCACGTTAATGTATTTATTGAGATAAATTTATTGATAGGGAAACACCATCCTTTGACAACACTAGATTTAACACTATATCACTGAACTCAGAGCTCACCCAAAGAAGCAGAACCAACAGGAAATTGTGCCTGTGTGTATACCATGCATACACACGTATAAACATATATATGTACATGTATACACACAATTTTTTTACAAAGAAATTGGCTTACACACTTATTGGGGCTGGCTAAGTGTGTTCTAATTCATGGAGAAGGCATTCAATAAGGGAAGATCAAGAGCGAGATGACAATTCACAAACACAGACCAAAGTTGTAATCCACAATTATTTCTGTCTTTCAGAGAAGCCTCACCGCTGCACTTAGGGTTTCCCAGATGGATAGTGCCTCTTATATAAAATCAACTGATTAAGAACTTTAATTATATCAGCAAAATCCCTTCACAGTAACACCTAAATTAGTATTGATTAAAAAACTGCAGCTCTTTGGGAGGCCAGGGCGGGTGGATCATGAGGTCAGGAGATCGAGACCATCCTGGCTAACACAGTGAAACCCCATCTCTACTAAAAATACAAAAAATTAGCAGGGCGTGGTGGCAGGCACCTGTAGTCCCAGCTACTAGGGAGGCTGAGGCAGGAGAATGGCGTGAACCCAGGAGGCGGAGTTTGCAGTAAGCCGAGATTGCACCACTGCACTCTAGCATGGGTGACAGAGAGAGACTCTGTCTCATAAAAAAAAACAAAAAACAAAAAAAACTGGAGACTTTAGCATAGCCAAGTTGACACACTGAAAAAGCCATAGCCCATGTTTTCTTGGATATTACACAAACAGCACAAAAAAACAAAGTAAAAAATTAGTTAAATTTGACTTCATTAAAATTAATAACTATTATACTTCAAATGACATCATCAAAAAATTAAAAGACAACCTACAGAATGAGTGAAAAAATGTGCAAATCACATATCTCATAAGGAACTTATATCAGGAATATATAAATATCTCTTAAAACTTAAAAAACAAATAGCTCGGCCAGGCACGGTGGCTCACGCCTGTAATCCCAGCACTCTGGGAGACTGAGGCGGGTGGATCACGAGGTTAGGAGATCAAGACCATCCTGGCTAACACGGTGAAACCCCATCTCTAATAAAAATACAAAAAATTAGCTGGGCGTGGTGGCGGGCACCTGTAGTCCCAGCTACTCGGGAGGCTCAGGCAGGAGAATGGCGTGAACCCGGGAGGTGGAGCTTGCAGTGAGCCGAGATGGCGCCACTGCACTCCAGCCTGGGTGACAGAGCGAGACTCTGTCTCAAAAAAAAAAAAAAGCTCAATTTAAAACTAAATTAAAATAGGCACTTCTCCAGTGTTATTTTATGTGTCAATAGGCACATGAAGACATTCTCAACATCATTAGTCATGAGTGAAATGCAAATAAGAACCACGATGTGAAACCACCTCACATCCCACTAGGATGACTATAATAAAAACAAATAAATAACAGGTTTTAAAGAGGATATGGAGAAATTGAAACCCTCATACACTGCTGGTAGGAGTGTAAAATAGGACAACTACTTTGGAAAACAGACTGGCAATTTCTCAAAAGGTTAAATATAGAATTTCTATAGGATCCAGAAATTCTACTCCTAGGTGTATATGCAGACTAATTGAAAACATATGTCCATATAAAAGCCTGTATATGAATGTTCAGAGAAGCAATATTCATAATAGTAAAAACTGAAAACAAAAAAGTCCAACAGATAAGTAGATAAACAAAATGAGGTATATACATACAATGAAATATAAACAGCAACAAAAAAAGAACGTTGTAGAATATGTGCTATGACATATATGAACCTTGCAAACATTATACTAAGTAAAAGAAGTCATTCATAAAAGGCCGCATGTTATATGACTCAATATATATAAAGTATCTAAAAAATATAGCAGGCAAATCTACAGGACAAAAAGCAGATTAGTGGTTGCTCAGAAAGGGAGAATGGGGAGTGATATCTAAAGAGTACTGGGTTTCTTTCTAAGGTGATAAAAATGCTCCAAAATTAGTTTTGGTGATGGTTGAACAATTCTGTGAGTATTCCAAAAACCATTAAATTGAACACCTTTAGTGGGTAAAATGTGTGGTATATGAATTATATCTCATTAAAGCTGTTCGTTATAAACAAACAAACAAGCAAACAAAAGGCACCACCAACACCCTGGATTAGAAGCTGGGAAAGTTAGAAAAAGTAATCATTCACATGGAGTGAAATGCTAGAACTGCCACGTAAGATGGTGGAAGAAGGAACTCAAAGACTTGGGGAAGTAGTATGCTTGAGTGGACATACTACATACAGGGACAACCTCCGCTGACTTTATTCTGTGATAGAGCCTACAGGAATATCCTATTATCAAAGTGATACAGAATGCATTGGTAGAAAGGGCCCAATATCATGAGAACCCTACCCCTGATGGTATAAGGAACACTGCTAGTTTCTGTCATACTGTAGCAGTGCAATTATTAAAACCTTCACAGTGTGTGAACTTATGGAATACTGGTGCAAGGGAATAGACTGGTTAGTAAAATATTTTGAGAGGTTCTGGCAAACAATAATTATAAAAACTATAAAATAAGCAGAGACTTCTCTTGCAACTGCACTGTACTTTTCCCTCTGCCTACTCCTGCTTTCTGACTGTTCATTCCTTTACAGGTGTTGTACTCTTGTACTCAAAAGCACAGCCCAATAAAATGTCTTCACACAAATCTCCATCTTGGGAAACCTGAACAATACTGGGCCATTTGCTGAAATGAAAAGAGTACAACAGAAAAATAAAAATTAGTGGGAAGGGCTGGACATGGTGGGTGGTGCCGGTAATCCCAGCACTTTGCAAGGCCAAGGCAGGAGGATCACCTAAGTCGAGGAGTTCAAGACCAGCCTGTGCAACATAGTGAGACCTCATCTCTTCATCTCTACAAAAAAATCAAATTAACTAGGCCTGGTGGCATGTGCCTCCTATAGTCCTAGCTACTTGGAAAGCTGAAGTGGAAGTATTGCTTGAGACCACGAGGTTGAGGCTGCAGTAAGTCAAGACTGTGCCACTGCACTCCAGCCTGGGTAACAGAGCGAGACTCTGCCCCCACTCCCAGCAGAAACAAAACAAAACAAAACAAAAAAAACGGTGGGCAGAAAATCAAGGAAAACCAAGATGGGGTGGGGGCTGGGGGAGATACTAAACCCACACACATAAACTCTCAGTAAAAAAAGAAATAGAGAAAATAACCTAGAGTGCTATATTACTCTTTCTTTCCATCTATTTGGCTGATTTTCTCAAGATCCTTTCTGGACTATAATCAAAGACTAATTTCTAAGATTTCTTTCTGTCCCCTAAGATATGTATGTGTTTTCATTGAACAAATAGCAAATTCTTCTTTCTTATTCTGTGAATAAGATAAATGAGACTAACAAGTCTATGAGACTAGGAAAGGACTCTTGAGATAATTCAACCAAGAGTTTAATGATTTTTGAAAATCACAGTAATTTTGATATATGAAAATATGATTTTTCTCTTCTCTTTTAATTACAATTATTTTTTTAACCAACTCTGTCATGTCATCATTTTCTTTATCAAAGAGTCTATTTTCTGTGTGGTGATGCAGGGGTGGGGATAATTACTAGAATAAGAGAAAGTAAAGAGGTAGTTAGTAAAGGATTTGTCAAACTAACAACTGATGTTATAACTTATTTACCTGCCACATTCAAGGATTTCTGAAGCTTTCTGCTTCCTACCTTTTATTACAGTTTTGATATGAGATTTAAAAAATCATTTACTGTCTGGCACAGCAGTTCACGCCTGTAATCCCAGCACTTTAGGAGGCTGAGGTGGGCGGATGACCTGAGGTCAGGAGTTCAAGACCAGCCTGGCCAACATGGTAAAACTCCATCTCTACTAAAAATACAAAATTAGCTGGGCATGGTGGTGGGTGCCTGTAATCCCAGCTACTTGTGGGGCTGAGGCAGGAGAATTGCTTGAACTCAGGAGGTGGAGGTTGCAGTGAGCTGAGATCGTGCCACTGCACTCCAGCCTGGGCAACAGAGTGAGACTCTATCTCAAAAAAAAAAAATTATCTTCTAAATATAGTATATTTTATTTTCTAGTTTAAATTTCCATCACTATTTTTCTAGATCTGATTAATTTAGTGAAAGGTCACAAATCTGAATGCCCAAAGGAACCACACCAGTAAAAGCTAAAAGCCAGATAATGGATAAGATTTTAAAAAGTGAAATGGGGATTGTGAACTGGGACATGAATTTTGTTTAAAGGGAGCAAACACTACCCAGTTCCTGCCAGATTGATATCCTGTGGGAAAGTGGGTATACTGCACCAGATCTTGCTCTGTCGCTCAGGTTGGAATACAATGGCAGGATCTCTGATCACTATAACCTCTGCCTCCCAGGTTCAAGCAATTCTTGTGCCTTAGCCTCCCAAGTAGCTGGGACTACAGGCATGCACCACAATGCCTGGCTAATTTTTTTTTTTTTTTGTATTTTTAGTAGAGATGAGCTTTCACCATGTTGGCCAGGCTGGTCTCAAACTCCTGACCTCAAGTGATCTGCCTGCCTCGGCCTCCTAAAGTGCTGAGATTACAGGCATGAGCCACCACACCCTGCCATTGCCCATTTTTAAATGTTGACAATTAAAAAAAATTAAACAACAATTTGTGAGTGTGTTAGTCAGCTCAGACTTTCACAACAAAATTACTTAGGTATTCATTTCTCACAATCTGGAAATCTGAGATCATGGATTCTGGTGAGGGCTCTCTTCCTAGTTTGCAGACAGCCACCTTCTTGCTGTGTCCTCACATTGCAGAGAGACAGAGACAGCAAGTTCCCTGGTGCCTTTTATTATAAAGGCACTAATCCACCATGGGGGCTCCATCCTTATAAACTCATCTAAACCTAATTCCTCCCCAAGAATTTGATGGTGGAGGGTGGAGAAGGGGACACAATTCAGATGATAGCAGTGAGTCAAACAACAGCCTGCAAGTGCATGACCATCAAAATAGGTATTTACTAAATTACCATATTCATCATTTTTTAAATAATTACTGTTACATTATTATGCCTCTTCTTAAAATCTTTATTAGAAAAACTTGTGTGTCATCATACAACACTGACTCTGCAGAGGATGTTCTCTGGGTGACAAGATCTCCCTGGACACTAGCCCTGCTGTTTGGGCAGGTCCCCACATAGATGTTACAGTATGTACAGTTCTACACTGGCTCTTCCACAGCCATGATATTCCTAGCCTGAACGCTAAAGTCCCTGTGGTCTCTCTGCCTTGTATACTCATTTTTGTACACCATTTCCCCAACCTACAATGATGCAGTTAATTCTTTCTAACCTCAGGTCAAATGTCCCTTCCTCAAGTGAGAATTCTGTATCATCCAGACTTTGTCTCATCTTTCTGCCATATGTTTCCATAGCAACCCAAGATTTTCCTTTAAAGCTTCTACCACAGTTTTTAATTTTACATTTATTTGTGAATCTCCATCCCCCAACCAGACTGAAAACTTTGTGAAGCCAGAGCTCAGGTCTGCTTACATCACCATTATAACCCCAGTGCCTACTATTGGGCCTACCTTATATGGTGATTGATAAAATAAGTGTTGAATGAGTGAAAGTAACTTCCACAGAAATTATCCAAGAAAGGAGAGAGACAAGCACATGCTTCTACCCACCATTATTTTTGTACAAAACATATATTATAGTGATTTCATTAATCACTATAATATAAACATTATTTTAAGTTTGTATGATATATACAAAGACTGAAAGAACTATAGAGTATGTATCAGTACCCCAGTTCGTTGGTATCATTGTTTGCCTAACTAGATTTTACTTTTGCTATAAATAGAAAAATTATACTCTCCCTTAGGTATTCATTTCCTACCTTTGGCTTTTGAGTGATTTACCTTGCTCCTTAATCCAACCAACTCATCCAGAAGCATCAATGCTTACCATAAAATTTTGCCATTCTAGCTAGATTGACTTGCTAGGAGTTTATCTACTTTGGACACCACTGGTGGTTGAAAATCTCAGCTCATCAGTATACTGCAAACCTTGTTGAATCTTGCCTTATACCTGTGAGAGCCTCCTATCCCCACTCTTGTCAGCAATATATACAATCTGGAAAGAACCCCTACATTACATTTCATTATGCTTCTCTCTTCCCCCTATGATGTTCTTTTCTCCTACTCCAGTGAGAGCTTTTGTCAGTTACACTCATCTCTCCTCAATAAGTCATTCCTCTCTTAATTTTCCCTTTCAGTTGAAAGAAAGTGTCTTCTCTTTCTAAATGTGGAATTGTTTTTTTTTTCTAAATTTCCTGCTTACATCTTAAAATAAACAAGCAAGTATACCTTAAAATGAAATATTAAAATAAAAGCTTGAAGAAGGATAAAGCTGCAGAATTAGTATTGTGAGGTTTATCCTTTAAAGATGAGCTTGGAAAATTTGCTTTGATTTATAAGTTAATTTGCCTCAAAGACATTGTCAAAATATTAAACAGTGAACAATTTTATAGGGGGCCTATTTTATATACTATAGTCTTAAGTGCTAGTGGGTCCCTGAGCTCACAGAGTTGATTTACAGTGTAGTCAGAGAGAAAAAATGGTTTCCAAATAAAAATAAACTAAGTGTAGCCTCATATGCTGAAAATAAAATCATATAAAGAGTCAGAAAGTCTATGCTATTGGTCTTGGCTCTTTAGAAATTTAGGCAAATTACTTAATCCTTTGTCTTCCCACATAACAAAAATAGAGATTATATCCGCCCTGACTATCTCACAGAATAAAAAGGAGATAATTTACATGAAATTGCTCTGAAATTTAAAATATGCATACTATGTAGGGTAAGGTATTAAGATAAATAGCAGTACAAGGTATCTTATCACCAAATGTTCATCACTGAAAGAGACAAGTGTTTAAAATTTATGGTCAGAGAAAGTGTCACAGAGGAGGTGGTAATTCTTGAAGTAGGTGGCATTTAGAGTGACAATAGCATGGCATCCAGGTAAGTACAGAAAGGTGAGTTAAAAACTTGCTGTATAAAGTACTCTCTTTCCACTAATATGTTATTACCCAGTAGGGCAGAATTGTGGATTGAGGAAGCAGAAATAAAAATCACAAAGGAGCATCCATATCAAATGCAGATAGTAAAGTCATAGGAGGTAGACATATGTGCATACACACACACACACACACACACACACACACACACAGAGAGAGAGAGAAAAAGAGAGAGAGAGAGAGAGATGAGTATAAACTTAAGTATAGGCAAAGAAGCAAAATGAGAAGAATCATCATCCAAAATCTTACTATGCAGAATAAGCCTCTGGTAATTTTGTCTTACATCCTTCCAGACATTTTCCTTGTTTATTTAAAACACTTTCTCCATAATCGTTGATTTCTTGTACATATCTTGAGCATGTTGTGGTATCTGGTAGGCACACAGTAGACACTGAATAAGTGTTTACTGAACTGAATTGAAGCTTTCTGACTCATTTCTGTATAAAGTTTGGTAAAAGCTTTTGATTTTCCTCTCCTCAAAATTGAAGTTTAGAAAATGATTTGATTTTTTTAGGGTTTATTTTGCTAAACTAAAATCCATCAGAAGTAACATCAACTTTGCATTTTATCAATTCTCCTTCTGATTGTATTGATGCTGCGGTTGAAATCCAGTCACTAGTATTGACTTTGAATAACTATATAGTGTTCCATTCCAATTTCTCTAAGGCACAGGTTGCTTCATGATTGATCAAGGGGATTAGGTAGCTACAAGTCAATTCCTTGAGTGGGTAGAAACCTAATGGACATTTTCTTATTTTTCTTACTTCTAGTTAAACAAACACATAGTTTTTTTTTTTTAATTTATAAAGTATAATAAAAAATTAAAATCATAATTATATGACCCAGAGATAACTACATTAACAGACATAAATGAAATAAAATACATTTTAGACTTGAAAAAGTAGGCATTGATACACACTGTGAGAGATGCTTTGCTTTCAAGGTAGGAGCAGTATAATTAGTTTGTTCAAAATCAAAGCATTAGGTTAAATTAATCTTTTATCAGACATTCAAATATATACATATGTACATACATACATACAAATACATGTGTGAATATTTATACATACATACAAATATACATGTATATATAAATACACATACAAGTATATATGTTTAGGGATCAAAAAATGTGTGTGTATATATATTTTAAAACCAGTTTCTTCAGTTTTTCCACAATAATATCAAACATAGGCTTCTGAAAAGTCCCTGGTCTTTACCTATTTGTTTGACAGGTTCATCTTTATTAGCCTTTATGTTAGAAAATAATCAGGAAACAAGTCCCTCAAAAAGGTAACAAATAAGAATGGCTTTTTCTTTCCACAGTGTTTGAATTTCCTGAAGTCACTTGTGAAAAATGCAAAGATTTTTTTCAGTTGAAATGTTCCTCTAATTTCAGGTATGATGAGGAGATAATGAAAACCAGGGTACTTTGGAGACCTTCTGAAATCTCACCATTCAGGCAGCTGCCTCTTTTTTCAGCCACAAAACTTACCACAAAACAAAATGCATTCCATTTCAGACAGGCCCCAGAATAATTAGGCACCATGAAAACCAATTAAGAATTCTACTTTCATTTTTATCCTTGGCCAGAATCAACCCCACGGAGGCCCAAGGCACAGTTCCATGTATATCCCACTTCACAAATCTTTTTTTATAATTAAAGAATATTAAAATGAGTAACAGGGACACCCTACAAGGCAGAAGAAATCACACATTTGTTTTAAAGTAGTTAGGAATATTTATGGAGTCAGTGATAGTCCCATTGCCATAGTTTCCTAATGAGAAGGTTTATAGGCTGAGTGTAGCATGTACACATGTAAGAATACATGCAGATATAAAAGTACAGAAAAACATACACACATACATATGCAGTTTAAATGCTGTTTCATTACAGGCTGACAGACTGGTCTCTTTTTCATGCAATGACTGCCTATTGTAGTCAATGTGAGCTTAATTTCCATAGCAATCTAATAACTAATATATCACCTCCTCATCCTTGAAAAGTCAGAGGTCAGTGGAAATCTTCCCAACTCACCACACTCGAAAGAAGCTCCAACCACCTAGGAAAGAAGATGATATTAAATACGATGGTAGCTTAGTGTTCTAATTGCACTGTGCTAAATGTTTAATAGACCTGATCTCTTATAATCCTCCCAACAATTCTTTGTGGTAGATAATATTATCATCATCTTTATTTTACAGGTGGTGAGACTAGAGATCAGACCATTTAAGTGGCATGGAGAAAGTGACAAAACTAGAAGTGGTGGAGCTAAGATTCAAACTTGAGAGCTCCCGAGCCCAAGTCCTGAACTGCTACACAGATTGCCTCTACTAAAAAAAGACAAGTCTCTATTATGAACTACCCCTGAGCAACATAGATGGCCTCCACCTATATATAATTGAAACATTTTTTAAAACTGAAAATAAAACTCTCTCTGCTCTTATGGAAAGTACCACATGCTGTTCACAACCAGTATATTTACTTTGTTGGCTAAATTCAGGACTTGGAGATATACAAATGAAGGATGCTGACTGACTACATCTTCAAATACTTTTGAATCAATGATTTTCAAACTCAAAACCCTGAGAGATACGGCTCAATATAAGCCTTTACTCTTTTTATCCATTAGCCAGCCTATATATTATTTTAATTATTTAATTATTTTAAATAAAAATATTAAAATGAATATCGGGGCATCCTACAAGACAGAAGAAATCATACACTTGTTTTAGCTAGGAATATTTATGGAGTGAGTGACAGTCCCACTACATATTAAAAGCTATGTTTTACAACTCCATTAATACAAAAACATTGTGTTGACGCTGTGGTTGAAATCCAGTAACTAGTATTTATTTTGAATAACTATATAGTGTTATTCTCTCTATATTATACACACACACACACACACACACACACACACACACATATATATACACACATATGTATGTGGAGAGAGAGAGAGAAAATCTTATAAAGTCAGGCACTCTTAATTTCCTGGGCTTCTTCAAGAAACAAACCAAGAACCTTGCTCTCAAGATTATAATCTAGTAGGGAAGACAAGAAGGTAGAAAGCAATGTTAATTCTTTATGATGAGATATGGTGTTAGATGTGAACAAAATAAGCCCAATATCTAGGAGATACTCCTAATCCTATCTTTTGGTGGAAAAGATTCTAGAATGTTGGAGGTCATTTCGAAAGCAAGACCTGAAGATAATGACAAGTTAACTAGTTAATGTGAAAATATAAGGACACTTAAAGAAAGCAGAGGTGATGGCTGCCACATAAAAATCAATTAGAAACAGCAACCATTCAACAAAAAGCTAGTAAAATATATAGCCAAAAAGAAACGTAGACAATAAACATATAAATGAAATGCTTATCCTGACTCATAATTTAAGAAATACAAAGCAAAACAGGGATATATTTCACTCTTCATGTCGGCAAAATATAATAGTTTGATGATAATGCCACCATGCTCATATATTTTGAGGGAGAATATGATGATTTCAGGGGTGCAAAAAGGCAATACTAATGAAAAGTATTAACTAAAATGAAGGTACTCTGCAGTCTCCTCCTAAGAAATTAGTGCTATAAATACCTGCATTTGAATATATGAATTGAGACATATATTCAAGATGTCTCTTAGTACATGTTTGTAATAGCTCAAGCTGAAAATAATGCCCACTCATATGATTCTGGTTAAATAAGCATTGGCAAATCTACTTCTTTTTATGGGCTGAATTGTGGAATTGTATCTCCCCATGTTCACCCACAATTCACATGTTGAGGCTCTAACCCACCAGTATCACAGAATATAACTCTATTTGGAGACAGAATCTTTAAAGAGGTGATTAAGTTAAAATGGGGTCTTTAGAGTGGACCCCAATCCAATATGACTGGACACAGACAACACAAACAGCAGGATGACCATGTAGGACACTGCAAGAATGTGGTGATCTGCAAGCCCAGGACAGAGGCCACAGAAGAAATCAAACCTGCCAACAAAAACTGGGATTATTAAAACAAATTAGAGGAAGGGCACCCATGGAGGTGGGTCTCAGAGCTTTGGGAAGGAGGCACTTCTTGGCTGATACTGGTCCTTCTGAGCTAGGATGAAAAGCCAATGGGTCTGAGTCTGAGACCTAGGTCCAACTTATCCATAAGGCAATGTAGGCACGGTGGTGAAGCCCAAAATACTTTTGGGAGCCCATGAGAATGTTGTGACTTGTTTTAAAATCAGAAGAAAAATGAACTTTTAAGTCAAAGAAATTATTTTGAGATGTAACACTTATGTACTTGTTTTGTGTTAATGGAGTTGTAAAATATAGATTTTAATGTTTTTTGTGAAAGATGGAGCCCACAAAAGCACAAGTGCCAAAGGCCTGTGAAAGTCATAATGTGGCCCTGCACAGCCTTCTGAGGAGTGGCTTCCATGGTCAGTCCTCATGTCTCTGAGAGGATGCAAAGGAGTGCATTCTGGGTATTTCAATCAGCTGCTGCTGCTGAATTAACCGATACTTTCGGGAGAAAAAAAGTGATACTGCGATGATAGACAGGACAGACATCAAATAGGAATAAAGACAGAAGGAAATAGACAGAAAACAGGACATTCTCCATCCTCCAGCCTCTCATTCTTCTACTGCCCTTTACTGGCAGAGATTAATAAAGAGGAAAAGTGGTAGGCAGCACATGGGAAGGAAAACGTAGTTTACAGAGTTCTAGCTACCGCATCATAAGGAGTTTTAGAAGACTAGGTTTGAAACCAAGAAAAAATAACTTAATTACTGGCATATCCACATAATTGAGTAATACATAGCTGTTAGAAAATTAGATAATGCTGTGTGTTCATATAAATAATATTCAAAATATACCATGATGTATAGAAATAGAGCAGAATAATACACAGAAATAAAGATTGATAGATAGGTAGATAATTAATTAGATTGATAAATATTCCTATATCCCACCTTGGAAGGAACTCAACAAAACTTTAAATGACAGTTAAATATAGGGAGTTTGATTAGGCTGACAGATAGAAGCTTTCATTTTTACTTTATTCTTTTCTGCCTTATGTGAAAATTTTTATTTTTCACATGTAGCTTTGTTCATTTGTTTTAATATCAACAGAAGTTATTTGGATAGTTGGATTATATCCCTTTATTTGCTTTTAAAATTATCTGCATTAAAAATTAATAACTACTATTTAAACGCAATGAGGATAAAGTTCTAACAAATATTTAGAAATCTTCCAAAGAGAGGCCTCTATTTGGTGTTCTCTGATTTCATCTCTCACCACTCTCTTTCTTGTATTCTGCTCCAACAAAATTGAACTCCTTTTAGTTCCTAAAATATGCCTCTATCTCCTCCCACCAATCCCTTTTTCAGCTAACCACAACTTATCCTCCAGCTTTCAACTTAACACCACTTTCTCAGAGATACCTTCCATGATTTCTGGTTTAGAAATCAGAAATCTGTCCACTATATGTTTTCAAATTTCCCTTTGTCTACTACGTGTTTTCAAAGCTCTCTGACCTTTTCTGTAATAACACCATGAGACTTCTGCTTTACTATTTATTTAATAACAGCTTTCTCTAGTAGACTGTAAGTGCTATGATAGTAGGGGCTGTACCTCTCCATTCGCCTTGAAAATTGCCTGGCTCTCAGTAAATCATTATTTCGGACACGGACAGATGGATGGATGAATGGATGGATGAATACATACCATTAAGTCGGTTATCACTTAGCTAAGAACCTATATGTAGTTATTTAAGGGTAAAGAAAAAAATGTTCCCAGAACTATGAGATAGTGTCAGCTTTAGGTTTAAACTACTTACAATTAATTAAATATAAATGAGGGTAACTGTCTTCAAATTAACTTAGGGAAAGGGAACGCTGTATAACAAAATGACTAGGGTATAAACACAGAGAGACATCATGAACGCAATGTAGATTTTTTTTGAACCTGTAAACTATCTGAGAGAAAAAATAATCTAAGTTTAAAAAAATGGTTGCCAAACATTTTAGAAGAAAATAAAATGAATGAATTTAAAAGAAGGTATATTAGTCTATTCTCAAATTGCTACAAAGAACTACCTGAGACCGGGTCATTTATAAAGAAAAGAGGTTTAATTGACTCATAATTCCACAGAATGTACAGGAAGCATGACTCGGGAGGCCTCAGGAAAATTTCAATCATGGCGGAATATTGGGGGAACCAGCCCCCAATATTTCAATGTAGGTTCTTTTCTATTTTCCCTAAGTGTCGGCCGGTCTGAGAAATAAAGAGAAAGAGGACAAAGAGAGAAATTTTACAGCTGGGACTCTGGGGGTGACATCACATATTCGTAGGTTCCGTGATGCCCCTTGAGCCACAAAACCAGCAAGTTTTTATTAGGGATTTCAAAAGGGGAGGGGGGTACGAACAGGGAGTAAGTCACAAAGATCACATGCTTCAAAGGGCAATAAAAGATCACAAGGGCAGAAGGGCAGAGCAAGATCACAAGGCCAGGGCAAAATTAGAATTACTGATGAGGTTCCATGTCCCGCTGGGCACACATTGTCTTGATAAACATCTTCACAGGAAACAGGGTTTGAGAGCAGACAGCTGGTCTGACTGGAATTCACCATGCTGGAATTTACCAATCCTGGTAAGCCTGAGGATACTGCAGGAGACCAGGGTGTATTTCATCCCTTATCTTCAACCTCATAATACAGACACTCCCAGAGCGGCTGTCCATAGGCCTACCCCTGGGAATGCATTCCTTTCCCAGGGTTATTCCTTGCTGGGAAAAGAATTCAGTGATACTTCTCCTATTTGCTTTCTCCAAGAAAAAAAATATGACTCTCTTCTGCCCGGCTCTGCAGGCAGTCAGACCTTATGGTTATCTCTCTTGTTCCCTGAAAATTGCTGTTATCCTGTTCTTTTTCAGGGTGCCTAGATTTCATATTGTTCAAACACACATGTTTTACAAACAATTTGTACAGATAACACAATCATCACAGGGTCCTGAGGCGACATACATCCCCAGTTTACGAGGATGATGGGATTAAGAGATTAAAGACAGGCATAGGAAATTATAAGAGTATTGATTGGGGAAGTGATAAATGTCCATGAAATCTTCACAATTTATGTTCCGAGACTGCAGTAAAGACAGGCGTAAGAAATTATAAAAGTGTTAATTTGGGGAATGAATAAATGTCCATGAGATTTTCACAATTTATGTTCTTCTGCTGCAGTTTCAGCCAGTCCCTCCATTCGGGGTCCCTGACTTCCCACAACAGTGGAAGACGGTGGGGAAGCAGGCACATTTTACATGGCCAGAACAGGAGGAAGAGGGTGAAGAGGGAAGTGCTACACTTTTCTTTTATTACTATTATTATTTTACTTTAGTTCTGGGATACATGTGCAGAACATGCAGGTTTGTTATGTGTGCCATGGTAGTTTGCTGCACCTATTGATCTGTCCTCTAAGTTCCCTCCCCTCACCCACTACCACCCAATAGACCCTAGTGTGTGTTCTTCCCCTCCCTGTGTCCATGTGTTCTCATTGTTCAACTCCCAATTATGAGTGATAACATGAGGTGTTTTGTTTTCTGTTCCTGTGTTAGTTTGCTGAGGATGATGGCTTCCAGCTTCATCCATGTCCCTGAAAAGGACATAATCCCATTCCTTTTTATGGCTGCATAGTATTCCATGGTGTATATGTCCCACATTTTTTTTTTATCCAGTCTATCATTGATGGGCATTTGGGTTGATTCCATGTCTTTGCTATTGTAAATAGTGCTGTAATAAACATATGTGTGCATGTGTCTTTACTGTAGAATGACTTACATTCTTTTGGGTATATACCCAGTAATGGAATTGCTGGGTCAGATGGTATTTCTGGTTCTAGATCTTTGAGGAAACGTCATACTGTCTTCTACAATGGTTGAACTAATTTACATTCCCAACAACAGTGTAAGAGCATTCCTATCACTCCACAACCCCGCCAGCATCTATTGTTTCTTAACTTTCTAATAATCGCTATTCTGACTGGCATGAGATGGTATCTCATTGTGGTTTTGATTTGCATTTCTCTAATGATCAGTGATGTTGAGCTTATTTTCATATGTCTGTTGGCCGTGTAAATGTCTTCTTTTGAGAATTGTCTGTCCATGTCCTTTGCCCACTTTTTGATGGGGTTGTTTGTTTTGTCTTGTAAATTTGTTTAAGTTCTTTGCAGATTCTGGATATTAGACATTTGTCAGATGGGTAGATTGCAAAAATATCCTCCCATTCTGTAGGTTGCCTGTTCACTCTGATGATAATTTTTTTCTGTTGTGCAGAAGCTCTTTAGTCTCATTAGATCCCATTTGTCAATTTTGGCTTTTGTTGCTATTGCTTTTGGCATTTTCATCATGAAGTCCTTGCCCATGCCTATGGCCTGAATGGTATTGCTTAGGTTTTCTTCTAGAGTTTTTACGGTTTGGTTTTACTTTTAAGTCTTTAGTCCATCTTTAGTTAATTTTTGTATAAGGTGCAAGGAAGGAGTCCAGTTTCAGTTTTCTGCATATGGCTAGCCAGTTTTCCCAGCACCATTTATTGAACAGGAGATCCTTTCCCCATCACTTGTTTTTGTCAGGTCTTTCAAAGATCAGATGGTTGTAAATGTGTGGTGTTATTTCTGAGGCCTCTGTTCTGTTCCACTGGTCTATGTCTGTTTTGGTACCAGTACCATGCTGTTTCGGTTACTGTGTGCTACCCACTTTCTAACAACCAGATCTTGTGAGAGCTAGCTCACTATCACAAGAACAGCAAGGGGAAAATCTGCAACCAGATCTTTCTAACAACCAGACTTGTGAGAGCTCACTCATGATCACAAGAACAGCAAGGAGGAAAATCTGCCCCCATGATTCAATCACCTCCCACTACATCCCTCCTCCAACACTGGAGATTATAATTCAACATGAGATTTGGGCAGGGACACAAATCCAAACCTTATCAGAAGGATATCTGCACTTGTCCAGCACTCTTCAAAGGAGAGCGTGTAGAGAGAAGACTTGTGTTCTGATCATACCTTATCAAGGAACAGAAATGGTTTATAAGCCTTTGCAGCTTACATGAATTATCCTTTAATATAGCCACTTTTATTTTACTGTACTAAACAATATTTTGATTACTAAGTTTATTTCCTTCCCCAAACCCACAGCACCAGAAATAGTATGTCCTAACACAAATGCATAAGAATGATATAATGGACTTTGAGGATTCAGTTGGGGAAAGGTTGGGAGGGGGCTGTGGGATGAAAGACTACATATTGTGTACAGTGTATAATGCTCGGGTGATGGGTACACTAAAATTTTAGAAACCACCACTAAAGAACTTATCTATGTAGCCAAAAACCACCTGTATCTAAAAAACTATTGAAAAAAGAAGTCTTTGTTTATGCACATATTAGCATTGTCAATTAAAACCTACAAATCACAATAAATAAAACAATATGCTTAACATATTAAAAAAAGTCCTGAAAAGAGGACCTGGATTAATCATTAAAAAGCATATTTACTATTGTATTTTAATCAATAGCAACTGTAATGTATGCATCAATTTCTTATGATTTTAGACAGCATGAATCAGTTCCCAAAATTTGACCAACTCTAGGTATATTCACCAAATTTTGTTTCTGGCCTGTGAAACTTACACCCAAGTCCAAATCTTGCTTTCCAGTAAGCATAATCTTACCTGAAAGATGAACAAGCCTATCTCTCTGAGTTTGGTTAAGTAATCAAACATCTATTGAATATATTTTCCAGTTAGTATGCTGGGTACAGGAAGCAACACAGATTTTTTAAAAAGACATGGTTCTTTCCTTTGAGAAGTTTGCATTTCAATCTAGTTGAGAACACAGTAAAATAAACAGATTATTTTAATTTAATCTAATAGGTAATGAGAAAGAGGTATAACCTGAACTCTTAGAGTCCAGAGAAGAACCTAACCAGGAAGCTTAAGAAAGGCTCCCTAAAGAACAGAACAGCTGAGTTAACTCTAAGATGACCCATGTGTTGAAATTATTCCAAAAAGACTTTAAAGAAACTATAATAAGTGCACAATGTGGTAAAGAAAAACATGCTTGTAATGATCAAAAACATAAGATATCTCATCAAAGAGCTATAAAATATAAAAAATATAAATGAAAAATTTAGAGATGAAAACTATAATATCTGAAATTTTGAAATGCAGTAAACAGACTTAAGTATATATTGGAAATAATGAAGAGTTAACTTGAATGCACATTAGTAGATAACTGACCTGAAGAACAACAACAAAAAAATTATTTTAATGAATAGAACCCAAGAATCTATGGGACAACTTCAAGGGCTTGACATAAAGGTCATTGGAATCTTAAAAAACAGAGAGAGAGAAAATGGAGCAGAAAAATAATAAAGCCCAAACTTTCCAACAGCTTGGACAAAGTGTTTCTGTGTGATATGTCACCCAAAATCTTTATTAGAAAAAGTAGATAAAAGTCTTATAGCACAGTGAGTGACATTAGGAAGAATGTAGCAGTGAGAGGAAAGCCTCATTGTCTTACTATGTTAATGGCCAAGGGCTTTTCCCCCTCAAAAACTGTAGGGATATTCACATTTGTCTCTCACTTTTATGTTAATGAAAAATCTTGTATAGGAAGATAGTAGAGATAAGATAGCCAGAGACCTAAGTTTTATATTGTTTTAGCTGGTATGTTCATTTGTGCTGTAACAGAAATTCTATTTAGCTGTTTAAGCAGAAAATGTAGTTCTACCATTTCCTTTTTATTTTTTATATCACAAGATAATAAAACGAGAGCTATTTTAAAAGACCAAAGATTTATTTTAAAATATCTTATTTATTGCACAAGATCAAGTTAGTTGTTTACAGAATAAAATGCTATGGAAGATAGTGGGTGAGAAAAAATAACGTTTTAACAAATGTCTAGTACACACTATATATACTATATTTGCTCATCTTTAGTGATGAAATAATTGAAATAAATGCAAACACTAAACCTATATTGAAAAAAGTCAAATTGTCAAAACTTTCACTAGTTCAGTAACTTCATTGTATTCATCAATTATTAAGTTGGAGGTTATTGAACTCCAAAAAGGATTGTGTTACTATTTATATAATCTCAGATCAATATTTACTTCTTTTCATTGTCATTTAAAGGTTTTTTATATTCACTCTCAAATATTCTTCACAAGATCACCATATGCTTTCAATTTGTCAAACTGTTACTCATATTTCAAAGAGAGACAAACTGAAGTATAATTAAGTCAAAGAGATTGCCCCTAACCAAAAAGTAAATAGTAAATACACAAATAGCAAAGATGAATTAGAAGACAAATCTTAAAGTGATTAAATTCATCTTGGTGCAGTCTCATGCCTACAATCACAGCTACTTGGGAGGTTGAGGCAGAAGGATCACTGTAGCCCAGGAGTTCAAGGCCAGCCTGGGCGACATAGCAAAACCCTATCTCAAAAAAAAAAAAAAAGTTAAAAAAAAGTGATTGAATATAACCAGAATATTTATAGAGCTACGCAATGATAAACTAAAATTACTTTGTTAAAAATGTGGATTAAACATGGACTTTTGAAAAATAGGAGGAGAAATATTTTATATATTTAGTCAGAGGCATTTTATGACGCATTTTATTTACTAAACACACCTCATACTTTGGAGCTCACATAAGACAAAACACAAATTTTTGAATCCATATAACCATTTTTAAATTTTTATTTTATTTTTTATTTTATTTTATTTTTTTGAGATGGAGTCTCACTCTGCCGCACAGGCTGGAGTGCAGTGGCGCGATCTCGGCCCACTGCAAGCTGCAATCTGCCTCCTGGGTTCACGCCATTCTCCTGCCTTGGACTTGGGTGTAAGTTTCACAGGCCAGAAACAAAATTTGGTGAACATACCTAGAGTTGGTCAAATTTTGGGAACTGATTCATGCTATCTAAAATCATAAGAAATTGATGCATACATTACAGCTGCTATTGATTAAAATACAATAGTAAATATGCTTTTTAATGATTAATCCAGGTCCTCTTTCCAGGACTTTTTTTTTGTATGTTAAGCATATTGTTTTATTTATTGTGATTTGTAAGTTTTAATTGACAATGCTAATATGTGCATAAATGAAGACTTCTTTTTTCAATAGTTTTTTAGATACAGGTGGTTTTTAGGTACAGGCTCCCGAGTAGCTGGGACTATAGGCGCCCACCACCACGCCCAGCTAATTTTTTGTATTTTTAGTAGAGACAGGGTTTCACCATGTTAGCCAGGATGGTTTCAATCTCCTGACCTTGTGATCCACCCGCCTCAGCCTCCTAAAGTGCTGGAATTACAGGTGTGAGCCACTGTGCCCGGTCCTTTCTTCAATTTTAATAGTGATTTAAGGTTGTATATAAACTTTGACCCATAAAATAATAACAGATTCACTTATTTAATGGCATTAACCATATTCAAAGAGGGTCTGTACAGCAATGTAAAAGCTCTGGAAAATAACAACCTTAATGGTTACATTACCTTTTAAGATTTGGATGACTTTTCTGAAAGGGTACCCAAATTAGTTCTCAATTCTTTTAATAATTATCAATAAGTAAACAAATACTTAAAATCTGATGGAATTCTTACTCATATTTCACTATCCTCTTAAGATTTCAAGAGGCCTACTGATGCTCAGCAATGGTTTCAATAAAAGATAAGGAAAAGTAGAAATTTGATCATATCAGTCCATGTCCAATTAGCTTCTAGAAATCACACAGTATTTTGAATAGGGAAAATTTAATATCAAGAATTATCAACAGAAGATCAGAGTAATAAAAAATTGGCTAGGAAGAGTTAAAGAGAAGTATAAGCATTAGAGGAATAGTAGGAAGAGGAGATGGCCACTACACTACAGCTGAGATAGAGTGCCCAAGGAAGAGTCAACCATGACACTTCTGCCCAACCAGACTAAGATTGAGACTTCCTTGGAAAGGGCACAGCTAGACCTCTCTTGAAGATGGATAAATGGCTGAGGAGCCCTGCTGGTGGAACCTGCTGAAAATCTGCCCTCTGCAGATTTTCCTCTGCAGGGGAATCTATCCTCAGGAAGGTACTGCCCCTCAGAACTTTCTGTGAAAGTCACGTAAGAAATGCCAAGAGAGGTCATTCAAAGGGAGGTACCTCATCAGCAATACTCTGTCATGAAGGCACTGAAAGAGGTACTGGGGAAAGCTGCTGGCCACTGGTTCCTGTTGCAGGAACCAAGATCTGTAGAAGCAGTGCTTTGCATGGCATATATGCTGGAGAACCCAGAGAAACTGGTGGGCCGGACCCTAGCACTAGAGAAACTACACTCTGTAGGAGCCAAATGATGGATAAAGCTGCATGCTGCAGGAAGCTGATCTAAAGGAACAATAGAACCAAGAAGAAATACACCCCTTTCTCCTCCAGTGTCCCCCTGGCCTTTTCAATAGGCAAGACTATCATTCTAGCTGGCAAAAGAGAAATATTTATAAAGTCTACTTCCATTATCACATAGCAGGCAAAGAAGGGTAGATTTGGGACACAGAGACAATAAATTGAAACCTGGTATATTTGTTTTCCTAACCTAATCAGATTTTACCCTGCTATGCTTTAACACCAAAACCAGGAATTATTATTATTATTATTATTATTATTTGAGATGGAGTCTCCCTCTGTCACCCAGGCTGGAGTGCAGTGGCATGATCTTGGCTCACTGCAACCTCCGCCTTCTGGGTTCAAGCAATTCTCCTGCCTCAGCTTCCCGAGTAGCTGGGATTACAGGCTTGCGCCACCATGCCCGGATAATTTTTTGTATTTTTAGTGCAGATGGGGTTTCACCAAGCTGGCCAGGCCGGTCTCGAACTCCTGACCTCATGATCTGCCCCCCCCGCCCCCTTTGGCCTCCCAAAGTGCTGGGATTACAGGTGTGAGCCACCACACCTGGCCTGGAATTATTTTATAATCTGTGTAAAAATTAAATATATAGCCCGGGTGCAGTGGCTCATGCCTGTAATCCCAGCACTTTGGGAGGTCAAAGCAGGCGGATCACCTGAGGTCAGGAGTTCAAGACCAGCCTGGCCAGCATGGTGAAATCCCGTCTCTACTAAAAATACAAAAAAATAACCAGACGTGGTGGTGTGTGCCTATAATCCCAGCTATTCAGGAGGCTGTGACAGGGGAATCACTTGAACCCAGGAGGCAGAGGTTGCAGTGAGCCGAGATCACGCCACTACACTCCAGCCTGGTCAACAGAGCAAGGCTCTGCCTCAAAGAAAAAAAAAAAAAAGAAATTCATAAAGTACTTTTTTTTTTTCCAGAGATTTTCTTTCTCCTTTTTGCTTAGTTAGGACTTTGCCGATTAATGTTCTTGCAGAAGGCTAAGCCACCTAGTGTGCATTGCCATGACAGAGTTCAGCCTCCATATTTGCATGGCTATAGGCCTTCCCATTAGGTTTATTTGCTGGCCTTGCTCCAGGTTTTGCCAAATATTGAGTGCTCGGTAACCACTAATTGTATCGTTCGTTATTAGGTACAAGGTATTTTCACATTGAAACAACACTATTATTTTTCCAAAAGTAAGCTAGAGACACAGCTAATGTGACAAAGCTAATAAGAGTAAGAGTTGAAATTCCAACCAAAGTTGTGTATTTTAAAATTAGTACTTTTTGTAAGACCCTTGTTAGCTCTCAAATTAGTATGATACCTAATAAAGAAGTCAAAAAGTCAAAATATTTGCAAAATAGGGTATTTTAGAAAATGCAAAGTAAATTACAATTTCCTCTAAGTACTCAAGTACAGGAAGGTTAGCCCAAGGTTATGATCAACCTTTTTCCAATTTTGGTTTGGATAAAAAGCAAGAAAATTGGGACAAGAGTTTTAGCAGTGGTTTTAGCTACTCACGAGGAAGATGGATCTGATTTTCACTTCAGGTTGAATTCAGTAGTTCGACTGAAAATTTGAATTCACAGAAAGTGGTAAGTTACCATAACCTATTTTGGCTGATGTAGACCTATACACTGAAATAATTTGTGTGTGTGTATGTCACTTTTTTTTCAAGTGAATTGGCCTGATGAACAATATTAAGAGGTGCAATTTCATTTTATTGCTGTAATCATTTAAAAGACAACGTTAGAGAAAGGACATGAAAATATCAGACAAAGGTGCTTTTAGGTTATTTTTCAGTAATATGTTAAAGAAACATTTATAAAGAAAGAAAATTAAATTGCAGTTTACCGGTGAATGGATAAATGTATTAACAATCTTGATAATTTAAATGACAAAAGAAAATAAATGTGAGTGTTGGTAATCATCATTAAAAGTATACTATATTTACTAAGCATTAGCATGACTGGCATGTCTACCATGTAGTAACTGATCTAATTCATCATCTCATTTTGACTTGATACTCAGGTTATAACATCTGTAAGTATTCACGCTCAGCAGAAGATGCACAGCCAGATTTGCAGAGTGATGTCATAGTTCACCCTTTATGGCCTTTCAGCCTTGTTCAATCAGCATTTATCCCTGGAGCTCAAATCATCATCACATAAGGCTATATTCCATCAGTGCTCCCATAATCCCGGGGCAAGGGAGCCCCTGTTAAAACCGGAAACAAATGCTTCGTGTGTTTGAGCTAATGAGGTACCAACTTTTACCCTATGACAATTGACATTCATAATGTACCTATCTGACTGACCTGAGCACATTTTAGAGAAAACCAGGGTAAACTGGATTCTTAATAGCACATTTAACAGAAGTCAGTCAATGGAGGTTAACATAATTCTCAGTATGCAGTTTTAAATTGTAAACAGTTTTAGAGTGACCATTTCCATAACAGACAGGACTGATGTGCCACACAATGGGCTTTTGGCCTTCCTAGCAGATGGGCCTCCTTTGGTTTTGGTCCTGAAGACAGCATTAGTTGAAAGTGCATTCAGTTCAGAATAGAATGGCATTTTTTTTTTTTTTTTTTTTTGGTGGAAAAGCTGGCTTATTGTTTGATTCAGACAAAGAATCCTTTATCTGTTGAGTGACTTGTCATCTTATGTAGATGTAAGCTATGTAAAGAATGACTTTTCATTAAAGCAAGTTTAGCATATTTGCAATTGTCTTTGGTCAGATGGGAAAGTTTTGGGCTGAAATAGTGGAATTATATCCTGTGGTTTATGCAATCCACAAGTTGATTCTATGTGGGAAAGGAAAAATAATAAGAAGAAAAGAGTTTTGTTTTTTGTTTTCTGTTGTTTTTTTTTCCCCTTGGCTCCGCAGAATAACTGTGCCAAGCAGCAATTTTAGAACACATTGAGGAAAATCCACTACTTGTACAGGTGGCAAAATTCACCAAGTTATATAGGGACAAATTCCTGAATTTGGCTCACTCTACATTTTAAAAAATTATTATTTTCTTGCCAAGATTCTGCCATTTTCCTGTGGACTAAGAGGTATCAGTCCTCATTAAACTCTCCAATGCTGCTTCTGACATCTTTCCCTGAATCTACTGCTTGCAAATAAACTTTATAGTGTCCCTGCATGCTCCAAATCATCTTGTATACAGCATTCTTGTTGCTTCCTTTTTCACTGCCAACAATATGGTGTCCTCTGCAGGCCAAGAACTTCTACAATTGAACAAATCAACTGGAGAAGGTCTGACAAATGGTGGCACAGCCCTGTGGACAAGAACTATTTTTCCCAAGCACAACCCTAACCATTGAGAATCCTTCAAAATTCTCAGTATTTCCTGTCCTATGTGTGCTCTTTCACCATTGGTATCTGATATGGTTTGGCTGTGTCCCCACTCAAATCTCATCTTGAATTGTAGTTCCTGTAATCCCCATGTGTCATGGGAGGGACCAGGTGGAGATAATTAAATCATGGGGGTGATTTCCCCCATCCTATTCTCATGATAGTGAGTTAGTTCTCATGAGATCTGATGGTTTTATAAGGGGCTTCCTCCTTTGCTGAGCACTTAGTTTTCTCTCTCTTGCTGCCATGTGAAGAAGGAAGTGTTTGCTTCCCCTTCTGCCATGATTGTAAGTTTCCTGAGGCCTCTCCAGCCATTTGGTACTGTGAGTCAATTAAACCTCCTTCCTTTATAAATTACCCAGTCTCAGGTATATCTTTATTAGCAGTGTGAGAATGAACAAATACAGTATCACTGGAGAATTGGGGAAGCCATTAAGAAACCCATTCCAATTTGAATGAATCAAACCATTTTGCACTATTCTACCCTGCCAAATAGCCCCACTAAGTGCCATAGGAAGGTGGAAAGAGCTCAACAGAGCAGTCTTGAAACATATATCTCCTAGAAGGGGCCAAAGACCCAGAGATAACCTCGTTTCTGCCCAGGGACCTCAAGCACCTCCATCCTCTCAAGCAGCTCAACCTACATCTCAAGCTGTAGGTAATGTGCTACATGCCTCCATCAGGAGCTACACATTTCACATTGACACAATTTTGAACATCAGAACACCAGAAGTCATGGGGCAGGGTAAAAAAAAATTACGGTAGAGAAATTATGATAGAGAAATATGGCCTGTCCTGGTGGGATTTCTCCATGATTTCTGTATTGCTACAGAACAACTAGAATATTTCACACTTTACATAACGAACTTTGTTTTCTTTTACATTTTCTATTTGATGTCATTTCAGTTCCCCTTTTCCCCCTTTCCTGATGTTTAATGCTATGCTTTGAACTTATGTTATGAGACACATTATAAAGTAAGGATCATGTATTATGGAATAATCTTTCTCTTTGTGTCTCTCTCTGCCTCAGAACTAAGCCACCCATGGGCCAGATTGATGTCTCTTTCTAGGAATAGAAAGAGGACCTGCAGCAGACAAGTTCTAGACTTTTCCTTCTGCTCCTCTTAATAGTTACCTATAACGATGTCCTGTTCTCACGTTGTAATCACCAGCTCGGTGTATCAACTCATTTGCTAAAACATATTCTCAGGCCGGGCGTGGTGGCTCAAGCCTGTAATCCCAGCACTTTGGGAGGCCAAGGCCAGCAGATCACGAGGTCAGGAGATCGAGACCATCCTGGCTGACACGGTGAAACCCCGTCTCTACTAAAAATACAAGGAATGAGCCAGACGTGGTGGTGGGCACCTGTGGTCCCAGCTACTCGGGAGGCTGAGGCAGGAGAATGGTGTGAGCCCGGAAGGCGGAGCTTGCAGTGAGCCAAGATAGCACCACTGCACTCCAGCCTGGGTGACAGAGCGAGACTCCATCTGTAAAAAAGAAACAAAACAAAACAAAAAACAAAAAGAAAAAACTCACCCACAAATAGCATAATGCAATGAAAATATACCTATCTCCATCAAAGAAATCCCTCACAGAAGTTTCTCTTTGAAGTGGATGTCAGTGTCCATTATGATAGATGGATACTGGAGACAGTTGTAGTTCAGGCATTTTCTTAGAACTCTGGATTAAATAATGTAAGAATCTACTAATCCCTGTTCTGATGCATATCTGTCATAAAATTCTTTTATCTCCATGGCAAGAATATTTACTTCCTGAGTTAATTCACCAAAATACAATTAAAACACAATTCACTAATCATCAGGCATAGCCTTTTAATTAGATCAGACTGAATTACTGTAGGAATGTTAAATTGTTTCTTCTAGTTCAATGGTTCTCAAGTTTAGTGTGCATCAGAATCACCTGGAAAGCTTATTAAAACACAGATTGCTGGGTCCTATTCCTAGAGATTTTAATTCAGTAGGTCTGGGGTGGGTCCCTATAATTTACAATTCTAACAAGTTCCCAGGTAATGATGCTGCTGGCCCTAGGTCCATAGTTTGAGAACAACTGGTTGACTACATAAGCAAAAAGGGTTAAGAGTGAAGAATTTAGTGGTATTATACTTGGTATTTTCAAATTCCAATATCAACCATGATAAGCTTTGCATAGCTTAGTAACTTACTAACATAAACCACATATTACATTTAAGTTTGTATTGTTAACTGAAATTAGATTATTTTTGTTTGGATAATCTTAACTCTGTGTACACAAGTTCACAGGAAAATCACTGGATACTTCTTCATATTGTTCTTTAAGGTACCCTCTATAAGGTGATTAATTTATTTTCAAATTTCTCCTTGTGTTCTATTTGAATTTGCCAACATAAGCTCTTTTTTTTTCTTTATAAAGAATTCTGGTTACATGGGTGATTGTGAAATCATTTGGAAATGATGCCCTGTTTTCATCCTAGCTGTCAGCTATAATACTCTTAAGATAACACAGGCCCCTAAAAGGGAAAGAGACTGAGGGCAATTGGGCAATCAGTTACTCATCTTTGCACACCCCATCCCCACTCTGAAATTGTACACCACAGACAATTGTACACCACGGTTATTTTAATTATCACTTGAATTCCTTCTTGATGTTTTAAACATAATTTTTTTTTTTTGAGACAAGGTCTTGAGACAAAGTCTTGCCCTGTTGCCCAGGCTGGAGTGCAGTGGTGCAATCATGACTCAACTGAAGCCTCAATCTTCTGAGCACAAGTGATCCTCCCAAGCTCACGCAATCCTCACTTCAGCCTCCTGAGTAGTGAGGACTACAGGCACAGTGTACCACATGTCCAGCTAGTTTTAAAAAATTTTTGTAGTGATGGGGTCTTGCTATGTTGCCCTGGCTATTTACATACTTTTTAATTCCAGTAATCATAATATTATACCTCATAAACATGATCCTCAGAACTCATGAGGTTCCTCCCTCCCTCCACCAAAGGAAAGTAGAATTAGGGAGGCCAAATGCTTTAACCTTTGGAGACAGCAGTTTCTTGCAAATATTTCTACTAGAAGGCTTTTCACTCTGTCATAAAATGGATGAAGGAGAAATTCCATTCTGTTTCTCACTACTAATATTAGCACTTCTCTACAATGTCATTGATCAAATAAAATGCCAAGTTGAGATCACGTTATAACTTTCAAAACAACAGCACTGCAAAACTCATATAATTGTGTTGGATAAACAGGTAATGTTATTACATGTCATGTAGTAAGAAACTACTATTTTCTGCCTTTGTGCAGGTGAGTGCTTAAAATATGCAGCACCCATGTTAATCAATCTTAATTTTGAGAATATTTAAAAATAGACATTTCATTCCAGAAAACTTGGAAAATATAAAAAAGCACAGGGAGTAAAAATAAAAATCATCTGTAAACTCTACACTCAGAGATAAGTATGCACTTTATACAAGGAAGTTAAAACAAAAAAAGGACCAGAAGAGAATATTTCACTGAAAACAGTTGTTGAGTTCAGATTACTACCCTGTTAGGGAAAAGGAAAAGAAGTATTTCCCTTCTTTTTCTTTTTTTCTTTTTTCTTTCTTTCTTTTTTTTTTTTTTTTTTTTTGAGAAGGAGTCTCGCTCCATTGCCCAGGCTGAAGTACAGAGGCATAATCTGGGCTCACTGCGGCCTCCGCCTCCCGGGTTCAAGCGATTCTTCCACCTTAGCCTCCTGAATAGCTAGGATTACAGGCACCTGCCACCACGCCCAGCTAATTTTTTGTATTTTTGGTAGAGATAGCGTTTCACTATGTTGGCCAGGCTGGTCTCGAACTCCTGACCTCAGGTGATCCTCCTGCCTCCATCTCCAAAAGTGCTGGGATTACAGGCACAAGCCACCGTGCCCAGCCCGAAGTACTTCCCTTCTATCTCAAGAAGTGAGAAGGCTTTAAAAGGACCTGGTGGTATTTGATATGTGTTTTCTGAGATGTGAGAGCACACAGGGACTGGTGCTTGAAATTCACCAAGAATTGAGATGACTAAATGCAAGTCTGTGACAGGAGAAAATGAGGATGACAGTGGGAACTACTCCTCTGTTTCGTATGGCAAGAGCACATGAACTCCCCTGAGGCCCAAGTGGATCCTACTAGAGGAAACTGGGATGGAGATGCCTTGAAGGCATCTCAGCAATAAGCGGCTGTGGGATGTACCATCAGGGGCAGGAGCTAGGGGGACAGTGCTGTGCCATGTTAGAGACCTATACCACCTAAACGACCCCGTAGTGAACATCCAGAGAACATCAACAGTTTCCAGGAAGGGACTATTCTAGATACCCACCTATTTAGATACCAAAGTTTGCCAATGCCAAGTTATAAAAATGTCTGTAAAGTAACAACTTCCCTGCCTTTCACTTCTCCTTTTCCAGCCTTATTAAGAGGGTTTAAGAAGTCTTGGCAAAGGAGGTGGGAGGAGAAGAGAAAGAGAATGCCAGGGAAGGAGAAGGCTGACCACCCCTGGTTCTCATCAGAAGTCTCTAGACTCAGCAGAGGAAAATAAATATCTTCAATTCTACATGTAGTTCAGAATTTTCACTGTGGAAATGGTCATTTTAATTATTAAAATTAGATGGCAGCTAAAAGTAATTATGGGCCTTTTTATTATCAAAATATGACCAGAAAACTCATGGACCTCCCCTGGACTTCATCCAAGGAATGGGAGAAAACTGTTAGGTTGATGCAAAAGTAGCCACAGTTTTTGCCATTAAAAGTAATGGCATTAAAAGTAATGGTAAAAAACTGCAATTACTTTTGTACCAACCTAATATCTTATCCAGAGGAAAGGGACAAAGCTGCTTTCTCTTAATCCCTGTGGAATCCTGCTCTTTGAATGTAATGAGAATACATTACATTCCAAAATATAGTTGTGCCAAAATATATTGAACTAGTCTTCTAATTTGTTTCTTGTTCACCATCTTTTCTTGAAAGTTCCCATAATTTAGACACTATTTCTTCTCTTCAATTCTTGTTTCATCACATTGAAAGTCATGAAATTATTTCTTATTTAAAACAAACATTAAAAATAACATTTAAACATAGTGCCTGAAACATAAATATAGTAGATGATCAATAAAGGTATGTCTGAATAAACAGAATGAACAAAAGCACATTTCTTTCTGCTTAACAGTTGCTGCATGACAAAATTTAAAAAGGAAACAAAATCCTTTCAGTATTACCTAAATTTAAAATAAGCACTCAGTTATTCTTCATTTTTAAAGCCTTCCATTTTAATCTATCAAAAAAATTAAGGTACAAACTATTCTGTAGGGGTTCTAGAAGTATAATCATGCTGTATCATAGCTGTGTGATGAGATAGCACAGGCAGAAGCTTTCTGCACTAAAAGATAACTAAGAAACCCAAAATAGGGATAGAATAGGGATCAAACTGTTGAAGGCTAAGAACAGGTTAACAGTACTAGTTTCTAGAGTAAGTGGGTGAGGGGTCGTGGCTAGAGTGAAACACTTAGCTGCCAAGAGAAGTCACAGTTTGAACAAATCAAGAACTTAGTCTTGGGTTATTCAGAGTCACAGAACTAATAGGCACAAAGCAAGGGATGAGGCTGTGGAATTAGAGTGAGTGCTCATCATGGTTATGGGTATCACACATCAATTCCTTAGGAGGACCCAAATTTATACTCTCATGACAGGTACTTTGTCTATTTCAAGCGTTATTTTATGAGAACAATTGTCTGATACCAAGGCCTTGTGTAAGGACAGTAAGAAGCTCTCACCTCTGTGGGGATTTTGATCTACCTTTATCATCATGCATTTGTGAAATCAATTTAAAAATCAGTTTAGCACTGGACAGCAAAAGAGGAACGAAGCAGAGAAAGGTGATGTCTCAAGTATCAAGGGGTAAGTGACAGGGTATTGCTTTTGTGACTAAGGAAATAGGAGGGGGAAGCTCCAAGGACAACTGCCTTGGCAACATCCTTGCTTCTTCCTTCCAGGCCAGATCACCCTCACACTCTAGCTGCCCTCCCTGGAAAGCTGAAGAGTCCCAGACTGAAGAGTTAGGCTAATTGCACTGGTTCAGGTGGTGATTAATTTATAATTCCTAATGGAAAATTGTTGCTACAAAATCATTCACATCACAAAAGAGCCACAGATAACCGTCTAAGATATACGAATAGGAAATGATTGCAGCCAAATTCGGATCATTTCCAACAGTATAACATTTTTTTCTTGGATTACAAAGAGAATTTTATGACACTGGCAGGCACATAACTTTCTCCAGCATTCTAAGCGTCTTCCTGTCTTTCTTGTTCCCACACGTTAAATCAGCAGTGCATGACTTACAATTTGACTTGCTTCCTTTTTCGCAAAGTAGTCAGAACATGATTCCATTCATGAGTGACCTTTCTCCTCCCTCTCAGATGCTGATTTGGGCAACATTCAGATCACTTTTATTTCATCTTGAGAGATAAAAATTTGGTTGCCCCAGGAGTGGGAGAACTTAATGACTGTTTCAGTAAAGCATTTACTGAGTCAGTATTCAAAGCCATCTGAAATAGTTGGCAGAGTTAAACAATAAATGGCATTACTTTAATAAACTGGGAGGGAATAAGACTGTCCCATTGTGCCTAGCAACTGTTAAACATTATGTTCTTTCTTGGAATCTAACAATGCAATCTTTGTTTCATTCAGTACTCTGCATTGTCTCTTAAAAACAAATCTTAAGAAATTGTGTAAGTATATTAAGAACATAAATGTATGTGTGTATGTGTATATATATATTTGTACACACACACATATTCATAGGCATATAAAACAAATGAATGCCACTTTTTAGATCCAATCACCTGTCCAACCCATAAATAGATAACCATGCATCGGAATAACCAGGTTTATATCTGCTGTGATGAGTGTACACAACAAAAGCAATATAAGAAGACAAAAAATGATGAAAAAGAAACAGAATAATAAATTGCTAAGAGTCTAGGCTTTGGATTTACAGGTAATTCTGTCATGCACAAATAAGACTTTAACTTCTTTACTCTTTTTAGATATAAAATGGGGATGTACTAGGAGCTTCATCTGAGGGCTAGAGTGAGAATTCAATGAAGTAGGGCTTTCAAAATGTTTAGCAAGGAACTGAAAACTAGTAAGTACTCAAATGTTAGCTTTAACAATGGCTCAATCAAGATTATAACTCTACTTGGTTTCAGACTTTCGATATGTTAAATTAGGTAATACGTTAACAATAAAAATATACAGAACAACCTGGGATAGTTATCCAATATCAATCTCTATTAGCTCTCTAGTTTAGTGTAGTTACTAACTTTCTTCTTGGCCGTGTTTATTGGGAAGCAGATAGCGAATTTTTATGAGCTTGGACAATGCCAGAGATAGGACTGTATCTCTGGCATATGCAATTCATTCTACATAAAAGAAAAACAGCCCTGTACAGAAAGCATTTTCTTTGCTATGTGAACATGTGTATGTGTGCATGGAAGCTTTCATGTGTGTGTTTGTGTGCACACATGTGCTCAGGAGATAAAATCAAGGGAGGCATATAAAGAAGCACGCTCATCATTAAGATTTGATGTGTTGCTACAATTCTGCAATATGTTTGACAATTAGCAATGGCTTAAATGCCTAATATATTTAATGACTCAATATATACCATTTAGTTGGTTCCTTGTACTAAAAGAAGATACAAACGAGATTGGTGGGGAGACAGTGATTAGCCAAGGGAAGTGAGAAAACAGAGCAGCTGCTCTTCCCTGGACATATCTTCTTTTGAGACTGTAAATAGAGGGGTGGATTTTATTGACTATTTTGCTTGTAGGATGTAGAATTTAAGCTCATCACACTGGAAAGAGCCCACATCTAACACTGCTTATACATTACATTAGAATTTTCAAAGACTCTTAGTTATCTTGAAGAACAAGAAATCACAGACCAAGATTATTCCTGAAACCTGTAATTATTGCAAGACAAATGATAAGTAAAGCAGAGAGAGCTAACATCTCCTTTTCTCTATGGAAGGTGAGAGATCTTCTGTCTTACTGCCCACATCTATCAGCAGCTCCTTCTCCAAAAAGGATGACCTGATATTCTGAATGGTAGTCACCAGAGGTATTAATTGGGCTATATTTTACTAGTGCGTAAGACTATTGTGGCCTAGTGGCAATAAACCACGCTCTTCCTGTTGTCTGTCTCATAGCCACAAACAGGTTGGCAGTCATAGGAGCAGGAAAATTGTTTTCTTCTCTCCTGTCCATCATGCAGCTGGTGAGTAAATGCACTTAAGAGGGCCCAGTAACAGGTCTCTCTCCTCTCTCTCCTCTCTCTCTCTCTCTCAGTGTTCTCAAATATAAGAGTTTCAAAATTTGGGGAAAGAAAGAGTCTCCAGTTGGATTCCAAACCCAAGCTATACTCCTATATATCTACCAGAAAGCTTTGCCCTCAGACCAGATGGAGGGGGAGGTGAGGAAAGGGAGGGTTAGGGTAAGCAGTGTGTGTAACATGCTTCCTTAGCCATTACTGAAGCAGTAATGTGTTTTCCATGTAACTATTGCCCTTTAATCATGCATTTCCTTTATACAATATCCTGGGAAAAGAAACTAGAATTTCATATCAATACTTTCACTTGATCATTTAATAAAAAATTCAATTAACTCTTATGTTATTCCTGCTATGTAGATACATGGCTTTATAGTAGTATTACTTATATTGAAGGGATAAATAGTAGGGTTAGAATAAAGTTCACCTTGATCTCTTAACAAGGATAAGGATATCTTAGTAAGTTCTCCAAAATGTGATAATACAGATTAAAGTTGAAGTTCACAGCAGATAGAATGCGAGTGGGTGGGTGCAGTAGCTCACGTCTATAATCCCAGCACTTTGGGAGGCTGAAGTAGGAGGCTCGCTTGAGCCCAAAAGTTGGAGACCAGCCTGGGCAAAATAGTGAGACCCCATCTCAAAAAAAAAAAAGAAATTTAAAGAAATAGAAAGTTAGGGTTGTTGGTTTTTTACACACACACACACACACACACACACACACACACACTTCAAGACACATGAATTTTTATATATTCATATATTCATACTTTGCCTTATTCCTAAAAGGATATGAGGCAACAGAATATCATGACTAACCATCTGAGAGGAAGTTGCTTGTCCTGAGATTAATTAATTTGCCTTTCTCTCTCTCTTTTTTTAAGTATGTTTTAGAAGATCAGGGATTTTTTGAAAGTTTATCTGCTAGAATAGGGTAAAGAAATTGGAAGTTCACATTAATACTCTCACTTGATCATTCAGTAATAATTTAATTAACTTCTATTTCATTCCTGCTATGTAGACACCTCGCTTTATAGTGGTGTTACTTACATTGATATGATGCCTGATGTATTTCAATGATTAATGTCTTATTTGCTCCTCCAAACTTTGAGTAGGTCATTTGTAGAAAATTATCACACACACACACACACCTTTTAATATTAGTAAAAACAAGCCTCAAAAATACAGTAAATTGTAGAATCACACTCTCCTGACTGCCAATCTAGCTTTCTTTTCATTGCCCTGTCCTGTGCTCTCAAAGGTATAGGAACTGCGTCAACTCTGCTCTCTCTCCTATGTGAGATCTATTTAAAAAAAAAAAATCCTATTATATTTGATCAACAGTGGAAAAGAGTTTAAGATCATTGAATAAAAGACACCAGAAATGTGTTCAATTTTCTGTCACCTAAACCCCCAGGTTGCTAGGACACTGCCCCCTTCCAAGAACCTTCTCATAAATTTCACACGATCTCCTCTCTTTTCAAGATGTCTCATTCAACTGCCATTAGACTTGGTTGGGAGAATAGAATCATCTCCAGCAAGTAAAATAGCTCACCATTTAGTTATTACAACATGCAGTGCTTTTTGCTTATCACAGCCTTAAGCCCTTCCTGGAAGGTAAGATTTTTCTCAGATTGGCAATATGCAGACATGAGAAAAGAAAGCAACTGACAGAATTTGTGAGGAAAAGAGATGATGCCTGAGGTTGCTTCAGGATGGGAAAACATATCTTAATTTCTCTCTCTTTCTCTCTCTCTCTCTCCTCATCTCTCTCTCCCTGCTGCCACAAGAAGCAGAAACATAAAACCAAATAAAAAAATTTCTGTTTCTTAATATCTTAAGTCCAACAACAGTATAAAAGTATGACTGAGGAAAAGGAATTTGACAACTAACAGTTAAAACATGATACATGAAAGTAACATTCTTGTAATGAGAATTCTAGAGAACATCTGATTGATAAAAATTGTGGGGCTTTGAGATTTAAAAAAAAATTAGAATGAATCATGAAATGGACCAGTCACATAAACTTGCCGAAGGGGAAAAAAAGACTGAGAATTAAACATAGTTAGGGCAATCACATGTCAATTTTGCTGGAACTGTCCTGGTTTAACCCTTAAAAGTGATATAATCCTAGTCACTTTCAAAGGAATACTTGTTTGGACAAAATACATCTGTGGTCGCCCTAGCCATAGAGGATGAAGCAATGTTATTTCTATGCATTTCAAAAAGAAAAAAAAAACACGGGAAGTGTGTCAGAAAGCTGGGGACATGCCATTATCTTTTTGACAGTTCATTACAAAAAGGCAAATGCAGTGACCTCAACCAATGTATGTTTATTTATAAAATTGAGTAAGAACTCACAAATCCATTTTGAATTACTTAGTGGAAATCAAGATCTTTCATCACGGAAATAAAAGAAAGCAGAGAAGGAGAGATAAAATTGGCAACATTCTCTGAAATTCAAGCTGAAAACCATGTTTCAGCAAAGGAAACACAGAATCCTCAACCAATGCCATGGCACACGAGAGCCTTTCCACATGCCAGACAAACCATTCTAGCAAGATTTCTAGTCCAAACTGGGATTGTGAGTATATTTGTATTTTCCCTACTTTAAGAGAAGACTAGCAGAATTTTTCTCGTAAATTTAGGGATGCATAATCACATGTTGTTTTACATAAACATGCATTCCAATTTACATAAATTTGCATAACACTTTCCCCAAAAACCTATCTCTGAATATGTAAAACAAATTAATCTGTGTTCTCTAATATTATTATATTCAAATATGACATCCAGGGCTACCACAAGAGATAGGCTTAGGAGAGATAGCAATGGCATCACTCCAAAACTCTGTACTAAAAATAGATAATAGTTATAGATTAGATAAAAGTTGGATATTTCCAGAAATTGATTAGAAACAGTCAAAAAACTGCTAATAAAATAATCCCAGATTGGAATAAGTAGATGGAATACTTGATACAACTCATTAAGAATTAATATTAGGGAGCTAGTTTGCCAAGTTCTGCATAGCCGTGTTTACTCTAGTTCTTCAAGTGTGTTTGCTCTAGCATAGAATACTTTAAAAAAGAAATAATTTTTCTAATTTGCATTTTAACAAAAAAATAGGTAATTGTCGTTGCTGTTACTGTTACTGTTATAGCAAAAAAAGCCATGGCATGAAGTTTACTTTCTGATTGCCAATAAAATGTTTCAGGATTGGTTCTTTCCTTTTATTATAAATGGAAACACAAAAGGGGAGAAAATTAATCTTCTCTTTCCTCTCCTCTATAAATAATGTATTTGGTAAATAATTATTTCTGTGCTGTAAGATAGTCTTACTATGGCTTGCTTTACAAATGTTTTTAAAAGAGGATTTCATAAATGAATATGAAAAACAAAAACACAGCAAAGTCTTAACCTAAAACTCTTTCGTCTACTATATGGGTATAGGGTTCCTAGCTACTTAGGTTAGATTAATAGCTGGCAGCTCTTAGCATCTTAGCATCTTAACATACCAAAGAAACTTTCTGGTTTGCTGGGGAGACGAGGACATGATAAAGCTGAAGATTGTGAACCACTCAAAAAGGAGCACAGATTAAAGTAATTCCATTAACACCATTAACACATGAGTCAGATCATGGTACTTCTTTACTCAACAGCTTCTAATAGCTTCTCATCACCCTTAGAATAGAATCTAAATTTACCAGGACCCACAGATTCTATACAAATTGGCTTCTAGCATCAACTCTAGTCTCATTGGTATCTTCCTCTCACTTACTTCACTCCCTTAATGCAAGCTTTCTTGCTGTGCTCTAAACAGGCCACGCAGGGCCTTTCCTTTGGTTTTCAATGCTACTGTGGACCTGGGGAGAGGGAAATTGGAATAAGTCAAGTTGAAACATCATAAAGTTCTCTGCCCTTACCAAGATTCAGCCATTTTTATTGAGTGAATCATCCTTAGATTGTTGCATGGTTTTGGTTAACTTTCAGAGTTCTGAAAAAAAGTTGATTTTGACAACTTGTGCTAGTGTTCTCATTGCTTTTATAAAATAATAGTTTGATGGAAGTCTATATTTTGCAATTCTGGAAATTGCTTTTGGGTCAGCGCTTCCTTAAAACTCACTAAAACTTGACAAGTGGTAGGTTGTTAATAATTAGTTGCATGTAATTTCTGAAACTGTAGTAGTAGATTTTTTTGTACTCTGTTTAACATTAAATCATAAAATTTATTTTTTTCTAGATAGATCACATTAAATTTTATTCATTCAACAAATACATATTGAGTCACTGAGTTGCATTAGTCACTGTCCCAGGCACCAGAAATATGGCATGGATGAGGAAATGACATTTGCCAAGAGGTCCTAATGACCTGAGGGAATAGGTCACAGGCTACCTGAGGAAAGATAATTCCAGGCTGTCTACAACAGATATGCTTTAGATTCAAGACAAAAATATATCGAAAGTAAAAAGTTATAAAACAGTATACCATGCAAATAGTACTCGAAAGACAGCTGGAGTAGTTATACTAATATCATATGAAATAGACTTCAAGAAAAAAAGTTACTAGAGAAAGAGAAGGTCATTTTATAACAATAAAAGGATCAATCCATCAGGAAGGCAGAACAATTTTTAAAATATATGCACCTAAAAACAGAGCTCCAAAATACATGAAGCAAAGTGGACTATACTGAAGGGAAAAATAGACAGTTTAACAAGGTTCATTACCCTACTTTTAATAATGAATATAAACTATAGGAGAAAATCTACAAGAAAATAAGTCTCCAACAACACTATAAACCAGCTAGACCTAATAGATACCTATAGCATAATAGAGACATTTTACCCAACAGCAACAGAGTACATATTCTTTGAAGTGTACACGGAACATTCTCCAATATAAACCATATGCCAGGCCATAAAACAAGCCTCAAACAAATTAAAAGGATTAGAATCATATAATTTATAATAAGAGGAGGAAATCTGAAGAATTACCAGTTGAGATGAAGAATTACAAATTGAGGCAAAATTTTTTGCCTTAGAATATTTACTTACCATAATATATGTTATTAATGTTGATATGTAATGGAAATATTACTATTAGTTTTAAATGAATATTTAAACATAAAATTATTTTCAGTTTTAATTTTTACTATGGTAAATATTGATTGATATAATCAAATAAATAAAAGCTCTTTAAGAGTTTTCAATAATTTTAAAGAGGTTTCCCTTACCAAAAGGTTTGAGAACCACTGATTTAGACTAATAATTTGGGAGATATGTTTGGGAGTCCACCACAATACCTATTACTCCACATCACACCAGCAACTGTTTGCAATGGTTCCTTTGGAGGAAAGACAGAGAGGTAGTAGGAATAGGAGCTTAGTCATTTTCTACATTTTTGTATGGCTCTGAAGTCCCAGGAATGAAACATAACAAGTTGTGTTTGAGAAACTGAACAGAATACATTGTGAATGGAGCATCAGAAGGGTGTGTGATGGTGGGAGAGAGGAAATGGGTGTGCTGAAAGTATCTATCTTGTAGGACAGATAGGATACTATTATTCTAATATCTGTAATACAAGGGAATAACAATTGCATTAAAAAGTGATCAACTAAGTGCTACTCAGAGAGGAATCACTTTATTGTCATCTGGAAATCAAACTCACTACAACATTCCCTCTTGAAATGCAAAACCAAGCCCACTGAAATGTTATTAACAATCTTAACAGTTTCAAAACATGCACTCGCTCATGTAATCTATGGATATTATTCATCTCCTTCAAAATGAAAACTCTAAGGCTACAGGTATTTTTTTTTAATCTAGGCAAGTGAAGAGAATTTATGAATGTGCAGTTCTATACCCAGAAAGCAATTGCCATGAGTTAGAAAAGGAAAAAAAAATCCACTTCAAATAAAGCAACGTGACTCCTCCACTCCCACCTCCAACTCTTTGGGCTTAGGAAGACCTAACCCCCACCATTTTCTAATCTTCGGCAGGGATTTCATATCTAACAGCTGCTATTTAGGTAGCCCCTTATGCTATGAAATTCAAACCCTCATTTTATCTCCTTTCCCTACAGCAAAAATTGCAATATCTCACACCCAAGCTCCAGCTGTCAGATTCACACACCATTTCTATTTCAATGGCTAGAATAATCCCTTGCTCCCTTGTTTTCATTGAACAAGAATGTGCCAGCTTAAAAAAAAAAAAGGAACAGGGAAAAGGCATTTGTCTAAACTCAAATACTCAAAGGGGAGAAAACAGCTTGAAGAAATGTGATGCTTTGTTACAGGCATTTTGCATTTGAAGCACAGTTGTTTTTTAAGTACATATACACATTCAAACATATATAAATATAGGTAGATGGACATGAGACTCTACAGGCCTTTCTTTTTCAGAATGCACTATATAAGTCAGAGAAAATATACACACATAACTGTGCCAAAAAAACTAGACAATGTGACCATATCCATGGCAACCATTCTTAAGTTAAATTTTATTTTTTAAAATGAGAGAGGAAAATGTTTCTAAGTTTTCAATCTTTCACATCCATTGTGATACCAGCCACCTATAACATGGTGGTTATTGCTTAATATTTAGTTAGAAGCCCAAATTCCAAAGCAGTCTTAGAAGCATGGTGCTCCTAGTGATAGTTAAAATAAGCAATCCCTGAAGACACCATTTGTAAATTAACACACAGATGCAATTTCAGCTGTCTCCAGTCTGAATGGGAAGAGTCAAATGATCTCTATTGGGAGAACAGAGTTCTTAAAAGAGTTTGGTGTCTGATTCTCTTCATGCATGAAGAAATACATGAAGAGAAAGGCTCTAGAAAAACCTCTTAAGTGCTTCCTAAGATCTGTGGCACTGGCATAACCACCTGAAATCCCAGGAATATCCTTTTAGCAGTGACAAAGAACTTTATCTTGTAAATTCTTGCCTTCTTATCTAGTAAATTCTTCTCTCAAGATGTTTTTGACCAATATCACTTTTTTGCTTAGTTCCATAACCTACTGCCCATGGAATCATTATGACGGCATTCTAACTGCTCTCCCTGGCTTAAATGTTTCCCTCCCCAGTCAACTGAATGGCTCATTTTCTCTTCCCACCACTCTTTTGTTCTAAAAACTTTGATTGGCTTCCTATAACTTCATTCTCATGTACTAAATCTTCTATAACTGGGCTCGGTCTTAGCTAATCCAAAATTTTCTCTTTAAGCTTTTGATGAACAACCAAGGATGTTTCCTCCCCATTTTTCCCCAAGCCACTTTCTATCTACCTTCCCAACACACCAAGCTCAACCTTAGCTGAGGATGTTAAGAAGACAGCACCAGTTTCTTTATACTAAATGTCGTTCACCTTCCATCCAGCCAAATCATACTCAGCTTCCAAATTCCCCTTAAGGTCCATGAGGGATAGCCTGACATCAACAGCCTTCACTGATTTCTCTAACATCTGGGAGATTATTTTACTAAAGATAAGAACAAATAAGCATTAATACTAAAAAATTAGTTACTAATAAGGAACTTTTTACTAAATATAGTACCTTAGATAGTCAATTAAGACCTAAGAGTCTGAAATCATTCAGAAAGTAAAGATAACAATTACTCTTAAAAACAAAATGGCAACAATCACAGGAACCAATGTATCTAAAAGATAATAATAATCTCTCTGCCTGCCATTTCAAATATACATGACATTTTCTCTCCTTTTACAAAAAAAAAGAGTTGTTGGCCAGGTGCGGTGGCTCACCCCTGTAATCCCAGTACTTTGGGAGGCCGAGGCGGGCGCATCACGAGGTCAAGAGATCGAGACCATCCTGGATAACACGGTGAAACCCCATCTCTACTAAAAATACAAAAAAAATTAGCTGTGCGTGGTGGCGGGCACCTGTAGTCCCAGCTACTCGGGAGGCTGAGGCAGGAGAATGGTGTGAACCCGGGAGGTGGAGCTTGCAGTGAGCCGAGATCGTGCCACTGCACTCCAGCCTGGGTGACAGAGCGAGACTCTGTCTCAAAAAAAAAAAAAAAAAAAAAAAGAGTTGTCTTCTGATAAAAAATGTTTATGAATAGAACCTTTTTTAAAAAATACATTGAGGACAGGAACTTATATATTGAGGACAGGAACTCCAGCCTTTATTTCTTTTTTTTTTTTTTTTTCCTTTACAGTGGAAACCCTTACCTTCATTAGAGCACAGACATAATCTTTATTTGTAAAACTTAAAACTTTAAGCTAAATGAAAAACAGCTAATGTTTTTGCTGTAAGGTAGTTTGCCAACTTTAGAAAAATATCTTCAATTCTTCAAACAGATGGCAAGGCCACCTTTAAAAAATATTAAGCATGCTAAAATAGATACAAACTGATAGTTCTACTTCTGATAAACGCTGCTGTGGACAACCGAATGCCTCCCATTCTGTTTCAGTAATAAATCACTTTCCTGACTTGAGTTAGTAATGAGATTTTTAATCATGTGGATTGAACATATCCTCCAGTTAATAAAAAACGTATCACCTCTTTTTTATCTTTAATAAAAGATTTGTACACTGCTCAAATGATTGGTATTACATTTTTAAAGAACCCAAGATTGATGTTTTTCAATTCTCCTCTCCATTTTTCTGGGCTTTTATAATTCAAAGGTAATATGCCCTGTAATTAATAATTCATAAGGTAATTTTAAGGCTTTTATTCAGAAACCTCTTTCCTATTGACTTTAGAATGTGTCATAAAATGCAGGTATTAATATCTTGGCAATTCCCAGCTCTGTACGGATGAGGTCCTTGAATTTAAACAACTCAAGATTGGTGCTTCAAAAATCAGGAGACATAATTTTGAACCTTAAGGTACAGAAAAGACAAATATCTTTTAAAAGTGCTATTTACACCATTATATTTCTTTCAACTGACAATTAACCACAGGCACATTTCTCTTGTTATTCGGGTAATTGTCACGATTTATTTTTTTTAGCGTGACAATTATTTTGAGGAATAAATCAGAGGCAAACAGTTCTATCTGAAAACATTTTTTAAACTACTGTTCTAAATGTGCATTTAAGCATCTGGAATCACTAAAAGATTCATTCAAAGACATTTTTACCTGAAGGTAAAGCTTTGTTTTTCTCATTATTATCTTTCAGGCACAACAAAGTAGTGTGTATTAGGAGGGGAGCACAGAAAAATCATCTACACTTTTTTCTCTTTTAAATATTTTTCCATACACTGTTCTGGAAATCTGTTTGATCAGAGAGTATCAGGGTGTCATTCACCAAGTTTGTTAGAAAGTGATCCTTACAAGGGCACACAAAAGAGTGTGCTAGCATTTACTGGCCAGTAAATTCCACTCTATTCTCATAAAACTGCCAGGCATCAAATAAGTATAATTATGCATGGCAAAGAGCACTGTAAATATAAAGGGCTTCAGAAATACAAGAGGTGTTATCATCTGCCAAATAGCCCACATTTGTCTCATGGAAGCTTGGTTGAATGCAGATGGAAAAATATGAACCTATCTCTACCTATTGAAGAACAGTTCCAAGTACATCAGGATGCTGAATAAGCAATGACCCTCTTGTTTAAAAAATAAATCATGGCAACAAATTAACAACATATTACTGTCTCTCCACCACTTTGTGAACAAGATCAGTGGTGGATTCAACCCTGCATTCCTTGAGCTAGTCACAGGACCTGACATTTATAATGAGGCTCAATAAGGATTAAACAATAATATCTGAAATATGAAGAGCAATATTCGACCCACTCGGGCACTTGGAGTCTCTGTTCCTCTAATCCTTCATCTATAAAAGGAAACAGTCATCTAATCCAGATGTTGTGAAAATAGTTTAGATAAGATTAATAAATCTGAGTCATTGCTCTACTATTACAAAATATGGCTTGTAATAAATTTCTTTCCTTGGATACAAAGAACACCTGAAACCACTGTAAATCAAAATTTATATGCAAGGAGGAAGCTGTGGTGCTTCAAGAGTTTTTGCTGGCCAAGAACCAAAAATCTAAGATCTACCATGCTTTGACCAAAGATTTCCTAGAGAACTCAAGATGGGCCTTAATTGTTAAAGGTAGAGGTACAGACTGTCATTAGCTAAAGGGAGTACCATGTTTTACTTTTGATTCAGATTTAGTATGACAAGACAAATAAAAATAGCTTTTAGAGCAAAATATGGAATACAAAAAATCCATATGTCAGAAAACTTTCAGTTACACCTCTTGACTTCTATCCCTCCGGATCCGGCAGGGTGTCCACTGTGCTCCTGATCCAGCGAGGCGCCCATTGCTGCTCCCAATCGGGCTAAAGGCTTGCCATTGTTCCTGCACAGATAAGTGCCCGGGTTTGTCCTAATCAAGCTGAACACTAGTCAATGGGTTCCATGGTTCTCTTCCATGACCCATGGCTTCTAATAGAGCTATAACACTCACCACATGGCCCAAGATTCCATTCCTTGGGATCTGTGAGGCCAAGAACCCCAGGTCAGAGAACACGAAGCTTGCCACAATCTTGGAAGTGGCCCACCACCATCTTTGGGAGCTGTGGGAGCAAGGACCCCTGGTAACATTTTGGTGACCCAGATGGGAACTCCAAAGCAGTAAGTAATATTGGACCACTTTCGCTTGCTATTCTGTCTTATCCTTCCTTAGAATTGGAGTAAAATACCAGGCACCTGTCGGCCAGTTAAAAACGATTAGCATGGCCGCCGGACTTAAGACTCAGGTGTGAGGCTGCCTGGGGAAAGGCTTTCTAACAACCCTTCTGGGTTGGGAGCATTTGTCTGCCTAGAACCAGCTTCCACTTTCAATTTTCCTGGGGAAGCCAAGGGCCTACTAGAGGCAGAAAGCTGTCATCCCAAACTCCCAGCATTAGTCGGTTGAGATCATTGTGCAGCCAGAAGTCTCTATTCAACAGTCGCCCATGCACGCACCCTACCTTTCCTTCTGACCCATACCACCTGGGTCCTGACCACGACTTTCTTGAAAGTGTAGCCCCGAAATTCTCCTTACCTCTGAATCTACTTCCTCTGATCCTTGCCTCCTAGGTAGTAATGGTTCAGACTTTCATTTCCTCTAGCAAGTTGTATCTCCAAAGGGATCTAAGGAAGCTCTGTGCTGCATCCTTAGGCATCTAGATATAAACCCAGGGAGTCTCGTCCCTGGTGTCCCTACCGACTTAGGTATATAGCTCTCGACATGGCCAGTTATGTGGGACCCGTTCCCCATCACCCTTGCCAAGGCCCTAAGTTTGTAAATGGCTAAGAGAGATAGAGACAGAGAGCGAGACAGACAGAGAGACAAGGAGGAGAGAGACAGAGAGGAGAGAGACAGAGAGGAGAAAGAGGCAGAGAGCCAAAGAGGGAGTCAAAGAGAGAAAGAAAGAAATAGTAAAAACAAAACAAAACAAAACAAAAAACAAAAGAAAACAAAACAAAAACAACGAGTGCGCCCTATCCCTTTAAAAGCCAGGATAAATTTAAAACCTATAATTGATAATTGAAGCTCTTCTCTGTGACCCTATAATACTCCAATACTACCTTGTTGTCAGTGTAAACAAGAGCGTCTGAAAACACTGAGACCCCTGACAACCCGTAGCCTTCCTATCAAAAATCCTTAACCCAGTGACCCACGGATGGCCCAAATGCATTCAATCTGTAGCGGCAACTGCTTTGATAACAGAAGAAAGTAGAAAAGTAATTTTTAGAGGAAACCTCATTGTGAGCACACCTCACCAGTTCAGAATTATTCTAAGTCAGAAAAGCAAAAAAGTAGCTTACTAAAGCAAAAATCTTAAAGTATGGGGCTATTCTGCTGGAAAAAGGTAATTTAACACTAACCACTGATAATTCCCTTAACCCAGCAGATTTCCTAACAGGGGATTTAAATCTTAATTACCATACAAAGGTCCGGACCAGACCTAAGAAGAACTCCCTTCAGGACAGGATGATAGATGGTTCCTCCTAGGTGATTGAGAAGAAAAAAAAAAAAAAACCACAATGGGCATTCAGTAATTGACAGGGAGACTCTTGTGGAAGCAGAGTTAGGAGAATTGCCTAATAATTGGTCTACTCAAACATTCTAACTGTTTGCACTCAGCCAAGCCTTAAAGTACTTACAGAATCAAAAAGACGATCTCAATCCTGACTCAAAAGTTTACCTACACCCTCTCTAAATGAATTTGCATAAGAACTATTGTTCATGGGAATGCATCTTGATGGGGCAGCTGGGTTGTTATGAAATACTCAGGAACCCAGCCCAGCTCTAGGACTCACCCCTGAGCACAAAGGCAATGTTGGGCATGCTGGTAAAGGACTACTAAAATCCAGTAGCCCGGATCCCTTTCTTTGTGGTCAAGAAAGGCAGGAAAAGGGGTGCAGGACTGCTACATCGGTGAGCGTTACTAATCCGATAAGCAGAGGTCCATGGGTGGTTACGCACTCTGGAAAGGAATAAGCATTAGGACCATAGAGGATGCTCTAGGACTAATGTTCATCGGAAAATAACTAGGAGTGCTGGCATCCCTATGGTCTTTTTTCAGATGGGAAACGTTCCCCCAAGGCAAAAACGCCCCTAAGATGTATTCTGGAGAACTGGGAGCAATTTGACCCTCAGACGCTAAGAAAGAAATGACTTATATTCTTCGGCAGTACCGTCTGGCTACGATGTCCTCTTCAAGGGGGAGAAACCTGGCTTCCTGAGGGAAGTATAAATTAATAACACCATCTTACAGCTAGACCTCTTTTGTAGAGAAGAAGGCAAATGGAGTGAAGTGCCATATGTACAAACTTTCTTTTCATTAAAAGACTTCATGAGATCACCTACAAGGACTATTTCCCTGTATCAGAATCACCAAAGTTAATATTTAAAAGTACATATTTCCGGGCCTTTTCACAAATATACTGGGTCAGAATCTTGGGTTTGGGCCCAGAAATCTACATTTCAACAAAAATTTTTAGGTATTCTTTGGCTTACTAAAAGTTGATAGGAAGAATATTTCTCTCCTATTCATTGCTAAATGTCTGGTTTTTTGAAGTGCCTGGCACACAGCAGGTTCTTATAAATAATTGCCAAATGAATGAATAAAAGAAAGAAAAAAGTAAAGAGCTAAGAACATTTTGAATACTTCTTATCTCCTACTTACTCCTTAAATAAACAATTTCTCTTTGGAATTCTAGAAATATATTCCTATAGGCTTATTTTGTTCTATGTACTGTATTCATTACAAAACTAAGCATACATTCCTCTTTTCCCAGCATTACTTATGGATTACTAAGAAAAATGTGGAAACCCCTTTCATGTAGCTGTTTCAAAGTATATACACAATTTTTACTTTTTAATGGATAAGTATGTGGAGACATGAAGCAGATCATTAACCCTGAAAATTCCTTTTAAGGCTTCAGTTATTATCTGCATAGCTTTTCTTTTCTGTATCTTTATATTCATTCTTCATTCCCTCTACCCTACATTAAAAAAATCACCTAAAATATTTCTTAAAACTTCAGTTACTAACCCCATTACCCCTGACTGCAGTCTCCAAATTCCAACTACACTTTTTCTTACAACATTGCTTTTTATCTGTTTCCTTTTCTCTGATTTTTTTTTTCTTCTCCTTTCAAATGACCACCTGCTTTCTCGGCTCTTGAACTCGAATGGATTGTTAGCAGCAAAGAGATGAGAGACCTTTCTAGCTGCTGGAGAGAAGTTCTGAAGTGGTGTGGATCACCTGGCTCCAGTCTACAGGTCACCTCAGACTGGCAGGAAAAGAAATTAGACCCTCCATTCCATGTATGGAGGCATTTTATCTGCAAGGCAGCTCCCCAGTGATAGCCCAGGCACAGATTGGGGACATGCTGAAAACTTTCAACATCCCTGCTTCATATTTGATGGACACAAAGAGAAAAAAGACTGGCTTTGAAAGGCAACTTAACCTTCTTGAAAAGTAAATCAAACTCAGAATCCTCCCAGACACCAGGTAACTCATTTTCCAACTTCATCCTGGCCAGGCTGTTTGACCCTGCTTATTTGGTGGGAGTCCTTGGGGGCATCTTCTCTGATTGAATCCAGCTGCAGTCTAATGGCCAGCTGTCCCCTCAGCCTCTGATCAGGACCTTTCAAAGGTCTAGTCAAAAACTCCTGGGGAGTGGTATATGGTATCAGAGACCTGAGTGTGCTCCAATTTGTCATGGTTCTGATTAAGTGGATACATAACAGATGGTGTCTTGTTTTAGATGGAGATGAGTAGGTGAGAAATTGTCTGGCTATGTTGAATTCTTTTAATTAAAAAAAGAATGGGAAAAATAATCTGCAGCTGGTATGTCGTTTTTACCTCATAAGCACAGTTTTCTTTCCATTCAGTCATAAAAGGCAAGAAGAGAAAACGCAAACTCTCTCAATTTGGGACAAACCTAAGAAAGTCATTTCCTCTGTGGTATGAATATTGGATTAGCAAATGATTTCTTTAAAAAACAAAAAACAGTCAAGTGCATTTATTTTTCCTTTGAAATGGACAGCAACAGAATAAGGGAATTATTTATGAAACAGTTACAGGTCCCCACACCAGCATTATCATCATCACATGGGAATGTTTTGTAGACAAAGTCAGGCTCTACACTAGACCTACTGAATTAAGAAATCTAGGTTGAAGAGTCAGGTAGGGCCCAGAAACATGTATTGTAACAAGTCTGCTAAGTGATTCTGATGTGCATTAAAATTTAAGAACCACTGTTTTAGAATATTGAAAACTCACTGTACTGATAAGAAAGCTGTTAATTTTTAAAAGACTTTCAGCATCAATCCCCATATTGACATATATATATATATATTTTTTTTTTAGTATTTATCAAACGCTTATACACCATGAGGAAACTGAAGCATAGACAGGCTAAGTAACTAACCTGAGTAATACAACTAATAAGTGGCAGAGTTAGGATTTTGACCCAGGAAGTCAGGCTCTTGAGTGCAGGCTGCTCAGTTTTCCCATGTGCTCTTCAGGAAGCCGGCTTCATCTCCAGACCTAGAGGTACTGTGTATGGCTTAGATACCACACAGTCCATGTCACTCAAAAGTTTCAACATCTCCTGTCAACACCTGGTATCCTTTTTTCCTCAAACTCTGTAAATTCTACATTTAGTTACTTTATTACTTCATTCTCTTCTATTAAAACGTAAGTTCCATGCAAAAAGACATTTAAATTCTTTTCTTACTATGGAAATATTCAAACATATGTGAAAGTAGATAAACAGTATAATTAATCCAATTTATCTGTTACTACTTTCAAAAATACCAATATATGGTCATTCTTGTTTCGTCTCTATTTCTACCCACTCCCCATACCCTGGACTATTTTAAAGCAAATCCTGAACATCAATCATATCATTTCTTCTGTAAACATTTCAGAATAAACACCTAAGAGATAAGAGCTCTTAAAAATGTAACTTTAATATCATAGCTTTAAAAAACACTTATAATTTCTTAAAGTCTTCAATGCCCAAGCAATATTTAGATTTTTCTGATTTTCTTAAAAGTTGCTTTAAAATATATTTGTTTAAATCAAGATCCAAATAATGTCCATATATTGTGATTGGTTGGCAAGACTCTTTAAGTGGCACTAGGTCTATAGGTTTCCCCATCATCATTCTGTACATATTTCTCCAGCTTTTTTTCTTGAAGTATTTTGTTGTTATTATTATTGATAAAATCAGGTAATTTTGTCATGTTAAGTAGAGGTTAGCAAACTTTTTCTATACAGGGCCAGATAGTAAATATATTATGTTTTGAGAGTCATATGAGCTCTGTTTCAACTATTGAACTTTGCTGTTCAATCATAAAACAGCATAAACAATATGTAAACAAATGAGCAAGGCTGTATTGCAATAAAACAGCATTAACAAAAATAGGTGAGGAACCGAATCTGGCCCACAGGTCATAGTTGCTGATCCTTCCTATGGAATGCCACAGTCAGATTTCATTAATTATCCACCTATGGAATCCTTTATCAGGTCTTCTGTTCCTTCTAGTTTCTGTAAATTGGTAGTTAAATCTAAAGGCTTCATTAGATGTAGGTTTGATTTTGTTTTCTTGTTCGTATATTTTTATTTTATGAGACAACTTACATACATACATGTATACATATATACATATTTTGTATACATAAAATATGTATATTATTACATATTTTACATATGTATATACATTTACATATGTATGTATAAGTATGTATATTACATACTTATACATACATACTTATAAATATATAAGTATAATACATACATACTTATAAATATATAAGTATAATACATACATACTTATACATATATAAGTATAATACATACATACTTATACATATATAAGTATAATACATACATACTTATACATATATAAGTATAATACATACATACTTATACATATAAGTATAATACATACATACTTATACATATATAAGTATAATACATACATACTTATACATATATAAGTATAATACATACTTATTACATATGTATATAAGTATATTACATACTTATATACATACACGTATACATATATACATATTTTGTATACATAAAATATGTATATATGTATACGTGTATGTATATAAGTTGTCTCATGAAATAAAAATATATGAAAAAATGTGTGTGTATTTTATATATATATAAATATATAAAATTTTCATTGGGGGTTATTACAGCAAACAAAACAAAATAAAAGGAAACAAAGAAGCAGTGCATATTCATCATAGGGTACTTCTGTCACATTTTGAGATGTATTTATTCATTAATATTATTCATTATTCATTAATGATCATTGCCCAGATCTATTAATAATATCTCAAGAGCTAGAAGATAGTAATATTCTTATTTCATTATTACTTCTTTATTTATTAGATAGAACAGTGTTACAAAGAGAAATTATCTTTGGTCACCCTGCGGTACAGTTCATACAGGAAAGACAGAATAATTGCTTGATGATTTAGCTTATCATAATGAATTTGTTCTCTAGCATCCTTAAAAGATATCTAAACTTTTAAAGGATCAGTATAAACCTATGATATAAAGTATTTGAAGTTTTTCAATCAATTGTCCTTGTTATTCATATGGCACACACATTTTTTCCATCTTTGTTCAGTAGAAGTTTTTCCAAATTGTGTCTTATTCTTTTTGGCACAATCCTACTAGTCTTTGAAAGCATCCCTATTTTAAATTATGGCAAGATGTTTCAGATTTATCTTATAAATTATCTGCCCCAGATGCTGAATTATCCATTTCTCCAATGAGTCCTGGTTCCTTTTACTGACAAAAGGCATTTAGAGACCATAATCTGAGCATTAGGGTTGTACTTGCTAATGGGTTAGTCATTGTTTCTAGGGCTATTCATTGAACAGAATTGGAAATTATTTTCTTAAGGATACCTATATAACAAATTCATACAGAAGCCTCAAAAATTTTTGGCCAGGTAGAGTGGCTCAGGCCTGTAATTTCAGAACTTTGGGAGGCTGAAGTGGGAAGGTTGCTTGAGTCCAGGGGTTTGAGACAAACCTGGGCAACACAGTCTACAAAAAACAAAAAAAAATTAGCCTTATCAACCTTCAATCTGTATCTTCTTCCAATCATGCCAAAAATCTGAGTTCTCAAGGACATGGACATAATTACTCATTTGATTTATTAAATATCTCACAGTATAGACCTAACAGACTCAGAGTAACAATATTACTTTCAAAAGTATTATAACTTAAAATCATTTAATATTATTTTTAAGTTCTTTTTGTCATTTTGTTATTTTTGTCCGAGGGATATACAATCAAATTCCTGAATTTTAAAATCACCTGGAGTAGTTCCTTCCTATGTGACTATTCTGTTTCTGTGCTGTCTAGTATGGTAGCCATTAGCCACATATGGCTAGTAAAAATATAATTTAAATGACTTAACTATAACTTAAAATTAAGTTTCTCAGCATACCAGCTGCATTGTAAGTGTCCACTAGCCATATGTAGCTAGAGGCTACTATTAAATGGTGGAGATACAGAACATTTTCACCATCACATAAAGTTCTATTGGGTACATCGTTAAGTTTATTTTCTTTCCTTTTAAAACATTTTTAGAAATTCTTTTTGTATGTATTTTATTCTGTTTTGTTATTAGGTGAAAACCTACATAATTCCAAAGACAAATCAAGAAACAATATATACTCAAAGAAGTCTAGTTTCTATTACTGTTCCCTCTACCCTGTTCTCTCCTTCCCACGATAGATCAAGTTTTAATATTTCTGTGCTTTATCTTTCTATTGGTTTCATTCTTAATGTGAACAAATATATATATATACTTACATACATATATATAATTCCCAATTTTCTTAGATAAAGGGCAGCATACTATTTATTATTTAATTGAATAGTATTTTTCTATTACTTGCAAAGAAAAAAATGCAGTATAATATAACCACTAATTCTTTAGAAATAAATCTGTGCTGACTCACCATTAAAGCCTTTTTAAAAAATGAACTTGGAGATGTGGAGAAATCAACGAGAGACTAAATCCCAGGGAAACTTAAAGTTTTGGACAGTTATTAACACAGTAACTTAAAGCCCAAGTTCATGATCAAAAGTAAACTCTGAAATCCCAAGTGGTGAGTGAAGGGTGCCATATGTGTTGGAACACAAGAATGACCAGATCAGCCCAAGAGGATGCCAGAGAGTGATACTGACTTGCTCTCCAATAAGAAAATTTCAAATCCATCTGAGTTCGTTGCCAACAAATGCAATTTTTTTGAAAGGGTGGAACATGTTCATATTTCCTTAGTTTTTGTCAACAACTTAACAGCTGTGTTCCAAATGGACTGAAGTTGAGCCAAAATATTGTCTGGCAGCCCTGAAAACAAAATCTGACAATAATTGATTTTCAGAGCATTCACAGTATGAATCCCAACATTCCACAGTCTGGGGTTGTTGGGGAGATAAGGGGGTGGTGAGCATAGGTCTTTATTCTCTTAATTCTAGATAATACATGACCAAAGAAAATCTAAACAAGAGATTAGCCCAATCATTGTGTTCTATTTCTTAAGATAGAGTGAATTATCTATGAGATATGTAAAAAACAATATCTTTTTCTGCCTCAATGCTTCATACTAATCTAGAAGGAGCTTTGGTTACCATTATGCTACTTTAATGACCCAAAATAGTGTGCATGTAAGCATCATATCCCCCATTTGAAAATAAGAGAAACGTCAAGTATTACATGCAATGCTGAGGAATATATGGAAGGCAACTCTCACAAGTTCTCAGAAACCTGTGATTCTTACAAGAAGAAATAAACGAAATATAAAGTACTGAACATATTTCCCTTTGAGACATTCTCCAAAGCTAGCGAAAGGCATTGCAGAAATGTAAAGTATTCCTTGATATTGTTTAGCAATTCCATCTGTGGGGGAGGGAAAATGCAGCTAAGATCAACCTTGGGACACCCCCCTAAACAATATCAATGCCTGCTTTTCATCCTATATTTTGTTTGAGATCAAGTCATCTGACAGTACGCTCGAATTTTCACCTGAAATATTTACTCAGTTTTTAATGAAAATAAAAATAAAAAACTTTTCTCTATTAAAGAGAAAAGATCTTATATCCTCAGTAAACAACCTGGGACAAATTAATATATCATTGTCACCTCTGGTTTTTAAAATTTGTAGTTTTCCTCAGCTTTTCCAAGCTAGCCATATGTAGATATTTTCACTCAGCCTGACCATATTCACTAACCATATATGTCTACTTTTTGGAAAATATTCCCTATATAAATGTGAATGAAATTATAAATTTGAATCCCACATACTCATTTTTTGAACTCTATTTACTCACTAGCCAATATTCACTTAATTTGGAAACCTGTATGGTGAATCTCCTATTCATACCTTTGATGCTCATCTGGGTCAACCAATGAAAAAGGAGAAAAATGAATTATGCTTTTTAAAATCATTAATAAGGTATAAATCTCTAATAAAAATGCATGAATCACAAATGTGCTGTCACAGAGAAAAATAATAAGCCGAAGAAACCTCAACGTCCTCTGGTTCAATCCTTTTTCTTAGTAGAAGGAACTGAGGCTCCAAGAGTTTATGAGTGTGTTTATCTTGCCATACTTTTCTAGCGCATCAGGAGCAAAATTAAGCTAGATGGGGCTCCTGCCTACCTGTCCAGAACTATTTTCTCATAGCATCAGGTTGTGTATTATCATGTATGAAAAGGTACCAGGATTATTCTTGTTCAAAATAAACACTACCAGTGATCATCAGAATGAGTGTGTTCCCTGCCAGGATCACATCGTTTTTCTGACTCACATTTCCTGACTTGGAGAGCACCTGCCCTCACTGCTGGCACCTCACAAATCTGGGATGATTTAGCTGACCTGGGCTGGAGGTGGTTGGTTTCCAGAACTTTGGCTCCAAGAACCCAGTGATGGGCTCTGATCTTGGGGCATATTTGCTCTGCTTGCTGCAGCCAAAAATGTGCTTGTGTCCGGTCAGCATTCTTGAAAGGTTTGCCTTTGAGTCACCCTTTTCCTATGGACCTTTTGTTCATACACTGCACTTTTAATCATTATTTAACATTTATTTAATACCTTCAATATTTCATCTCACCACATACCACTAAGATATTCTACAGAACAATGATTTTACTTAGATGCTTAGAAACAACAGTAATAAACACAGTAGGAATTACAATAATTTGAGTACTTATTATATATTAGGCAACTTACACACCTTTTGTCACTTAATCTTGAGAACTTTCCTTTAACACACACTGTGAGACGGGTATTATTAAATTGATGCTACAGATGAAGAAACTGTTTCAGAGAGCTTAAGTAAATTGTCTAAGGTAAATGGAAGAAGCAGGGCTGTCTAACCCCTAAGGTTCTGTTTCTGATTACCATTGTCTTGAAATTAAGAAGTACCACCTTGACCATTTCATGGCCTACAGCTGGATCACAGTTTATTAGCGGACAGTTGGGAAATCAAGACTGTGTTGGAACATATTCAATAAGGGGAAAAAAAATCAGTCATTACTTCAATAATTACACTTCACCCTTTTAAGGAACCCCTCCCTCTCAGGATAAGTTAAGGTCTTTTAGTTATTCTTGAACCCTTTATCAATCATACTGCACATACTCCTACTCCCTCCTCCTAAATCCTCCTTCTTCAATACTCCAAAACATTTTTCTCTTCTAATAGCAGCTCTTTCAAGCTGGTCTTCACCAAACAAACTTACCCCAGTCCCTTTAACGTTTTTAATGATTTGTTTTCCTCAAGTTCACTTGTTTTTTTGTTTTTGTTTTTGTTTTTTTTGAGACAGAGTCTCCCTCTGGTGCCTAGGCTGGAATGTAGTGGCACAATCTCAACTCACTGCAACCTCCGGCTCCTGGGTTCAAGCAATTCTTCTGCCTCGGCCTCCTGAGTAGCTGGGATTTACAGGTGCACACCACCATGCCCGAATAATTTTTGTATTTTTAATAGAGATGGGTTTCACCACATTGGCCAGGCTGGTCTCAAACTCCTGATCTGCCTGCCTCGGCCTCCCGAAGTGCTGGGATTACAGGTGTGAGCCACCTCGCCCAGCCAAATTTGCTTCTTTTTAAGATCATCTTCTAAAACTATATATCTAAGTTGTTGGCCACTATTGACAGAAACCTTCAGATTTTTTTTTTAGTAAAAATAAAAGAATAATTTTTATAAAGTAGTTAATAGTTTTATTGGAGTAAAAGATTGTAAACCAGCATCTTGTTGATCCATATTATTCAGACATTTCCTTTTTTTCTAGCTCATCTTTCCACTGCCTTTTTTTACCCCAAAAGGAGACAAAAGCTCAAATGTTTCACAGCTCATTAAGAAATTGAACAAAAGATGAGAAATGCCTCCTGGAAAATGTAGCTACACTAAAACTGCCATTAAATCTAAATGCACAGCTAGGTGAATGTTCTTTATTCTGTCATTATTTCAGCGTCATGATACTGAATGTGAATGAACTTTGTTCAAACAAACATACCTCAAGGGATTCAAAGAGTATCCCTTATCACATAATCATGCCATTATTATTCATAGCTTTAAAAACATCAAGCTGAAATATATTTCTATCATAAATGTAGTAAGAGCATAGAACTTGATAGATTTGGGAATCAACACAGAACATTCTCTGTTCTTCAGATGCATCTATTGCTCCTAGACTGATAGGAATCAAGCCTATTATAAATATATAGATTCAAAATGACCTCTCTCAAACATAACTTGGGACTCAGACAACTTAGTTGGATGCAATCTGTCCCTGGATCACTTCCATCTTGTCTTCTTCTCAAGGGAGTTGGGCCATAATGTGTAACTATTCTCAGAAATGGGTAATCCTCAACCCCTGGGCATCTCTCATGAATGTTTTTTCCAGCCAAAACTACTTCAGACTTTGTAGCTTTTTTTTGATAGGTCAACTTACCATCTCTATACAAATATTTATGTCACTATTAATATCATGCCTCCGTTCCAAAGCCCTGAAATCTAGAAAATACTACACAAGCACAAGTCCTCGTAACAGCCATGAGTTAGTTACACAGGTAAGAAACAATAGGAAGATAAGGAGATTCCCAGAATCACCCTTAAAAATCAGTAAGCTACAGATTGAATCTCCACACTCTGATTCACAGGCATTTTTTTTCCTCCTCAAAGAAACAACACACACTCTCAGGAAAAAAAGAAATATTGATGAAAAAATTTAAGTTCCAGAAAATGCCAACAGCCTCTTGAATCAAATGATACAAAATTATAAATGCAATTGAGCATGATCTCCAGGTACTGAGCCTATTTGATGCTAAGCGAATGAATGTGATCACACCAGCAGATGTGGTGGGGGCAAAACCAGCTAAGCCAAATGGACCAAGATGATGCCAAGAGCCTTAAAGAAATCAGAAAAAGGAATTCAAGAATCAATCCTGGCAACATAACAGAGAGCCGATGTGAAGATTGCAAATGTGATGAATATGCTGTGGCCACCTGTAAGAACACATGCTGCTCTGTTCTGGGGAGGAAAAGTAGGATTTTGTCATTCCATGGCAAATAGAGGCTCTTGAAAGGCAGTACCTACAAAGTAGAGAGCTGAGTCCTCAAAGTAGGGAAAAACATGAATCCAGGTCCCTAATTAACCCTAAGCCCTAAGTACAAAGAAAGAGTTTATGCCCTAAGTACAAAGAAAGAGTTGGTTATCAACTAAATTCTGATAACCAACACTTGGCCTAGGCTACGTTACCTGGGCTGTTTCTTACACTGTCCTTCAATGTAGGCCAATGATGTAATATCGAAACACAATACAGTTAAGCAATTCTTCAGGTGGGCAAAGGATCAAGTCCATTTATGCAACCCCTTCTGCTCATCTGCTTAATCTGGGGATTGATTTTAAAGTAACTTGAGAAATGTAGGAATTGAATATCTTTCTGAAATTTTTTCAAAAATACTCCTTTTGTAGCTGAGCTTCTACAAAGAGTTGGACAAGAGTAAGTTCAAGATTTTACTCCTAGGAAGTTACCTAGAGAAATATGGTCATATATAGTCTGTAAATAGCTGAGAGCAGTAGCATACAGGTAGTAACAATGGTGGTAACAATATAAGAATTGATATAGCAAATATAGTCACAAGTGTGCTGAAAGAGGGAGGCAGAAGATTTGATCACAGAAGAAGAAGGCAATGTGACAATGGAAGCAAGGTGCACCACTGTCTGAAGATGGAGGAGAGGGCCAGGAGAGAAGGATGCAGGTGGCCTCCAAAAGCAGGATGAGGCAAGAAATGGAGTCTATCCTGCAGCCTCCAGAAGGAATCATCTCTGCCAACACCTTGATTTTAACTCACTGAAACTTATTTTGGGTTGCTGACCTCCAAAACCATGAGAGAATACATTTGTGCCATTGAAGCCACTAAGTCTATGGTAATTTGTTAAAGACACAACAGAAAGTAAATACACATGATGATCAAGAACATGGTCTTCAGTGTCAGGGACATCTAAATTAGAAAACTCTCTCTGACACTTACCAACCTGGTGACCTGGAACTTAATTTAATTTCCCAGAGCTTCAGCTTCCTCGTGTTTTGAGCAATTAATGAGATGATCCATGTTAAGAGTTTAAGCACAGATTATGACACAGAATGTGTACAACTAATGGAAGCTAATATCATTAGGGAGGAAAGGAACTGATGATTATTGAAGCCAACTAAATCCCAAGCACTTCATGGCTCCTGTCTCATTTAAGTCCCATGACTCTCCGAAAGGTAAGGATTTCTGTCTTAGATATTTAAAAAAATAGGAAACTGAGATTCAGAGATGAAGTCGGTTATGTAGCTGATATTAGTTTATATTTATCCCAGTAACATTCACTGTCTTTCTGTTGATACTCTGACAATAAAATCCTTCATAGAAGTTTTTTCAAACCAAAGCAAAATCAAGATGAATGTACCAAATGCAGTTGGTGGAAAGAGTGTAGTTCAGGTATGAGGCCAACCTAGTCCTTTGCCCTCCTCCCTGTGATCAATTAGTCATAGACGTGGCTATGCCTATGTTTCTTCACAGGTAAAAATAAACTGGTTGAAAGATTAATAATGAGATAAACATCTGACTTTTTAATTTTCTAGACAAATCTAACAGTTGATTTGTTATCAATTACTTTTATACTTAAGGTCTCTAATCAGCAATTTTTTTGCCAACTTGATTTTGCAGAATAAAAGATACTATAAACTCGAATTGAATTGTAGCATTCTAACTAAAATGCAACTATATCATTTCAATAAGACAACATGGAATTTCCACTATATTCTTAGAATCAGTAATATTCTTTCTTTTAAAAATATACATTAATAGGTCGGGCATGGTGGCTCACTCCTATAATTCCAGAACTTTGGGGGCCGAAGTGGGAGGATCACTTGAGGCCAGGAATTCAAGGCTAGCCTAGGCAACACAGAGATATCCTGTCTCTACAAAAAATTTAAAAAATTAGCCAGGCATAGTGGTGCATCCCTGTGGTCCTAGCTACTTTGGAAGCTGAGATGAGAGGATAGCTTGAGCCCAGGAGGTTGAGGCTGTAGTGAGCCATGATCGCAGCACTGCACTCCAGCCTAGGTGACAGAGCAAGATCCTGTCTCAGAATGTATATGTATGAACATACACATTAATAAAGGTTTGGGAATTTTAAAAAATTGCTATTCCCTGGTCTTTATACTAAATCAAGTAAAATCCTTTATGATGATCACAGAGACATTGTTAGAGAATAACAAATTAATTGGTTATAAAAGTTTATTCAAGGACTTGCTAACACCATGTCTGTTTCTGTGGCAGCACAGAGAACACTGTAGAATATGAATCTTTGTTCATAATTAGCCCTCAATATAGACACAATTTTTATCTTCAGAATTTTCTCTACCATGGCAACAGAGACTATTTAGACTCTACTTACTTTCTAGGGACACTGAAGGCTTTAAACTCCTCAAACAGCAGAGTGTCTTAGGATCAGAGGACTTAGGCTCAGAAGACTAGATCTAAAGATGACTTACATTTCACTTCTAATTTCCAAAAGCTGTTTTCTATGTCTTCTTACTCATCAGCTACTCTGCTTATGCTACATTGATGGAGTGCTTAGTAATTACACAATGTTCCAGATATCTATTTTCTAGATTAAAAAAAAAACTAAGTTCTGAAAGGTGAAGTGATATATTTCAAGTCATACAGCTGACCACCTGTAGAACAAATATTAGAACTCAGGCACCCCAAATCTTACACCCACTCTTCTCTTCCCACACCATCCACAAACTATAGCAACCTCTGTGGAAAGACAGCAATGTGTAGATGCTTTATGTGCTGCCTGAACTGAAAAATGTCATGCTTGTAAAAACTGTCATGGCTGGTTACCCAGAGGAAGTGCTACTTGTCTTTCCATTTCATTAGCCCAGTTTATTTTTAATAGAAGAAAACAAATGGTTCTCAAAAGTATTCTATACCTTGTAGGCCCTGCAATGGAAGGACACAACCACAGTAACCAACCCTGACACTGTCATTTCTAAGCTGTACAGCTTCTTCCTAGAAACTTCATTCTCTGAACTATAGTTTTTCTCATTGGCGAAGAAAAAAAAAAAAAAGCCTGGATAGTAACATTCTAAATAGTTAATACAGTAAAATAGAAACCTATGTCACAGGATTGTTTATGTGGGGGAGGAAAAAATAATTTTCCCTGTAACCTCTGAGTTCCTAGCTTAGATCTCTATAACACAGAACATATTAACAAGAAAAAAAACCAAACATGTTTACTAACATGTGAGTTTTATATATATGGGGGAGAATACTCAGATAAAAAATATTTCTCAGAGAGGTAGCTTAGAATTCCAGCTTACATGCCATCTTCACCAAAAATCAACACATTTTTTGAGAAGTGACAAGACAAAGGAAAAGGACCTTGAATCTCTAGGGGCAGGAAATGTAGGAAAGTGAATACAGTTGACCCTTGAACAACACAGTCTGAATTTTGTGGGTCTACTTATACATGGATTTTCTTCTGTGTCTGCCACCCCTGAGAAAGGAAGACCAACCCCACCTCTTCCTCCTCCTCCTCAACCTGCTCAATGTGAAGATGATGAGAATGAAAACCTTTATGATGATCTACTTCCAATTAATAATAGTAAATATATTTTCTCTTCCTTATGATTTTCTTAATATTTTATATCTTTAGCTTACTTATTGTAAAAATACAGTATATAATACATATTACATACAGAATATGTGTTAATTGACTGTGTTATTGGTAGGGCTTTCAACAGTAGGTTAATAGTAGTTAAGTTTTTGGAGAGTCAAGTTATACAAAGGCCAGGTGCAGTGGCTTACACCTGTAATCCCAGCACTTTGGGAAGCCAAGGTGGGTGGATCACTTGAGCCCAGGAGTTTAAGATCAGTCTATATAACATGACAAAACCCCATCTCTGAAAAAAAAAAAATACGGAAATTAGCTGGGTGTGGTGGTGTGCACATATAGTTCCAGCTACTGGAAAGGCTGAGGTGGGAGGATCACTTGAGCCCAGGAGGTTGAAGCTGCAGTGAGCCATTTTCACAACACTGCACTCCAGCCTGGGCAACAGAGAGAAACCCTGTCTCCACAAAAAGAAAGGAAGAAAAGAAAGAAAGAAAAGAAAAGAAAAGAAGGGAGGGAGGGAGGCAGGGAGGAAGGGAGGGAAGGAGGGAGGGAGTGGAGAAAGAAAGAAAGGAAAGAGAGAAAGAAAAAGTTACACATGGATTTTCAACTGGAGTGGAAGGAGGGGGGCAGTGCCCCTGACCCCCACATTGTTTAAGGGTCTACAGTATATGGGAAACTATTACTAGATAAAGGCCAGTTAGAAAACTTTGTGATGTAGATTCCTCTGGTGCAGTCTCTAGGCTGATCAGGGTCTAAAGTTATCACTGATAATGAATAAACTTTGTCCTTTCTGATGGAGCTGGTTTGGACGAACAACTTTGCAAATTTATGTCCTGTTTTTATGCAAATAGGAAAAGGGCAAAGAACTTTTCTGATATCTGCTTCTTCTCAATTGCCTTCAACTCAAAATAACCCTTATGACAAGGTAGGTTATATTTTGGGGTGGTGTATTCTGCTACCTTTCATTTTTAAAGTCAAATAATAATGACAGCATTAGTTAATAGCACTTTTTAAAATTATTGTAAATTAAGCATTCTGCTCAGCAGTTTATTCATTTAATTTTATTTGATCCTTGCAATCACTCTAAGAGGTAGATTCTGGCATTATTTCCATTTTGTAGATCAGGAATTAACCTTGAGTGTTCAAGTCATTTGCTCAAAGTCACAAAGCAAATTTTAACTCCTCTTCACCAGTATGGGTAAGAACTTTTAAAAATGTAAAGCACTATAGGATATAAATTACATATTCCTCGGTTTTTGTCTCTAAGACTGCTATAGTGGATAAATTGATATACATGCTTATTGCTGCAGCCACCTCTGGGATAGTAAATTAGGATAATTGCTTGCCTTTCTCTCCTTTCTTATTCCCATACTGTCAGCAGCTTAGGGATGAATTAAGAAAGCTGGTGAGAAAGACAATAGATGTGTCAGTTAGCAGGACACTGTAAGCTCCTGAAGGCAGGAACTGTGTTATTTCTGTGTTCTATTCTCTGCTCAGTGTTATATACTGAGTGCCTTGCCCAAAGTCCTGCTCATAGTGGAGGTTCAATAATATTTGTTGAGTGAATAAACAAAATGATAAATACATGCCTACTAGGACAGATTTCAGTTTTGTCTACATTCAAAGTACCCATAATGCTGACAACTATCACTAAGAACAAATTGATGTAGATGGCCAGGAAAATGCAATGTGTTCACCAAATTCTGGTTCTGTTTCCCCCAGGGCTTACAACCAGACCATATTTCCTAACCTTTCCTGCAGTTACTTGTGGTTCATGCAACCTAGATCTGCCCAATAGAATATGAACAAAATGAGCTATACCATATCAAGGCCTGGACCCCCAAACCTTGCAAGCAATTCTCCAACTCTTCCTTCTCTTGACTTCTGGAGCCACAGAATCCAGTGGTAGATTCCAGAGCCCTGGGATATGGTGAAACCACTTGGTAGAGGGATTGTGGGTCCCTGAGTACATGGAACAGGACACCACCACTACCACCACCACCATCATTGCCACCAACTCACAACGGCATGTGAGGGAAACATACTTTTAATTTATTAAGTGTTTTAGTCCATGTGGACTACAGTAACAGAATACCATAAATCAAGCAACTCATAAGCAACAGATATTTATTTCTCACAGTTCTGGACACTGGGAAGGCCAGTATCAAGCAGATTTTGTGTCTGGCAAAGGCTGCTTTCTGGTTCACAGATCACACCTTCTAGCTGTGTCCCCACATGGTGGAAGGGGCAAGGCACCACTCTGGGGCCTCTTTTATAAGAGCACTAATCCCATCACCTGATCTAATCACCTCTCAAATGCCCCACATCCTAATAAAATCACATTGCTGATTAGGTTTCGATGCTTGAATTTTGGGGAACACAAATATTCTGACCATAGCATTAAACCACTGAGATTTGGGGAGCTCTTGTTACAGCACTGTGTTTCTCTATACTTTTTCTCCTTTTCATACACTTTTTCCTATACTCTTAGAGTGCCTTCATTTATCTTCCCCATGTATTGCCTATGGTTGTTGTTGATCTTAATATAATTTGTATAAAAATACTTATACCATGGCAATGAACAAAGAGAACATCCTAGGCCCCAGAAATTCAAGGATGAGAGCTCAAGAAATAAATCCTTCTAGTTATCATATCTGATCTGCTCTTACAAAAAAGCTAGGGTGACACAACACTTGGGAACTCTTTGGCCTATAAATACATACAGGTTTATAAAGAGAATACGCAATGCTAAAACTTCCACCTAGGCAGCAAATATTGAAGAGATGTACAAAATGAACCTGAGCCCAGAGTTAAAATCCGTTCATTTTGTTTGTGTAAAAACTTGGACTATAAGAGCCTATGGTTCCATACAGCCTTTAGCTAAAAAGAATTCGGATTTAAACTTGATGGCCTGGGAGGGTGACACAAAAACATCTTTAAACACTCTGAGTGTGCGTAAATCCCTGACACAGGAAAGACTATGTTTCTTTCTATCCTTTATTATATTTTCTGATTGCTCTTCTAATAATTTGTGTGATATTTCCCAGTTGTGAAATGTCTCTGATTGCCAGTGATTAAGATTAAATGAGAAGATTGCGCTCCTCCCCCAGGTGGTTGTTAGGAAACATCTGAATCATAGTGATTTGTTGGATGAACTAAGAGAGTGCCTCTCCCTAGCCATCTCGGGTTTACATAAATAAATATTCAATATATGCCACACCAATACATTTATTTGCACTGCAGGCTTCTGATCTGCAGTATCCAGTTTCTTTATGGCTTAGCAAATCATAAGCATGTTTGGAAATACAACCGCCTGGATGTCAAGACTCATGGTTTTACACATATTAAATACACCAGGTCTGAGTTTCAAAAGAATGAGGGCATTTGAGCTTCATAAATGTAAAGGCAATATAATTCTCAATTGATGATGACATCATCCACAGTTCTGTTATACCCAGGGAAACATTCAGACTTGTCTTATTTTTTGGTCCTATGAAAACACTGAAACAAAAACACTGAAATAAAACAAAAATGATGTTCCAAGAAATGATAAAGATGTGGCCACCAGGAGGAAAAATGTACAGGCCACAGTGAAAGGCTGTGTCTGTGGTGCAGCTGACACGGAGGTGCGGTGCCATCCAATGGTCTCCTTACGTTGGGTAATAGCGTGGACATCAAACTTCTAAAAAGAATAACCAAAACCTTTTGGAAACTTTGGCAGAGTTACATGATATTTTTTACTGTTTTTTAGATGGATAGTAATATAAGCACACCACGCACTGCCATATTTTTATAGTTATTTGTTCCTTACTCCAGGAATATCTACCTCCTCTATTTGGGGTCAAGCACTTTTTCAGTCTTCAAATCTTGCCTCAAGAATCACCTCCCTGCTGTGGTCACCTCTGAGCCTTACAGACAGAACCATGATGTCCTTTCTCTGCCCCCGTAGCACAGTCCACTAACTCTAATCCAACTATTTAATAACCTGTGTCTCCTTTAGAAAAGCCAGGGCTCTTCAAGGGTAGGCACTTTGTGATAGTCATCCTCAGGGCCTACAAAGATGTACTGTACTTATGGAGCGTTCAATCAATGTTTGATTTCTTCATGAAATAGTTCTCAAAATATGGCACATGAACCCCTGGGTGTTCCTAAGAATTTTCAGAGGGTCTGTGAGGCCAAAACTAGTTTTATATTAATATTAGGGAGTCATTTGGTTTTCCCACTGTGTTGGCTTTTGCACTGATGGAGCAAAACCAATGGTGGGTGAAATGACTGGGGTCAGATCATGAATCACGCCAATGGCAATAAACACCACTAGCAGTCATTGTATTTTTCACTGCCACGCACTTGCAGAAAACATAGCGCCCATTCCACTTACAAATGTCCTTTATGAAGCAGTAAAAACATATGAGTTTTTTAGATCTTAACCATTGAGTACAAGTCTTTTAAATATGCTGCATGATGAAATGGACCAGATGGATGAAAGGCACTTCTGCTGCATTCTGCAGTACAATGAGTTTCTCAAGAAAAATTCCTTGTCTGATTACCTGAGTTGCGAGCTGAACTAGCTGCTATTTGTTTAGAGTGCTACTTTTACTTGAAAGAGCCACTGACTGTTAAGCTATGGTTATTCAGACTGGCAGTTTGGTAGAGATTTTTACATCATTGAATGGAGTAAGCCTGCCATTTCAAGAAAAACAACTGGCAATTATGTTGCTAATGATGCAATTTAAGTTTTTGAATGAAAATTAGAATTTTGGAAAATGTATATCCTCTACTTTTTGCCTGACAACTTCACAATACTTACAACTTCTCCAATGGGATCAGTGGTGATATTTACAAAAGTGAGCTTTTAGTATTTTACAATGAAATGTGTCAACCTTTGGAGATCTGTGTATTTGTTCTAGTCCTCTGAAAAGTAGGTGCTAAGATCAGAGTAGACATTCAAGAAAGCTGCTGATGGGAATACCTGTGAAGGATAAAGGGAGAGAGCCAGAGAAGGCAGAGACAGCCTTTGAACCACAATGCAGGTCTGACACCGAAGAAGGAGGGAAGAAGGAAAGTGCATGGGGTAAGAAGAGTTCTAGACTGCAGCAGTCCCTGGCATGTTTCAACTAGACCAATGCCAACTTCTGGAGTCAAACTCACCAGTTTAAGGAGGTCTGCATCTCACTGGGGTTGGATTGCCTTAGTACTTCTGTTATGTGCAGCCCCTGGCTGGGAGCAGCCATGGGAAGCGTGACCTCCGTACAAACATGATGGTGGTTCTAGAAGGACAGTTGCAGGTGCTGTCAGTCAATCATATTCCCTGCAGAGAAGATCTAAATAGTGCATTTTCTTACCCACCACAATCTGTATAACTCAGACTATATTTTCCAAAGGAGCAATGCATATTGTTATACAGTCATGCATGAATAAAATATTCACTAAAACTGAGTTTTTCAAAGTTATTCATATTAACTGTGGTTTCTGATTCCACATTGACACTAATATTTAAGTAGTATTTAAGAAACCACCAGTTGTTGGCTTTGATGTAGTATCAAAGATAGCCATAGTCATTTGAAAAGGCTATTAAAATACTCCTTCTTTTAAAACTATACATATGTGTGAGGCCAGATTTTCTTCATATACTGTATTTCAACAAAAAGACCATGTCCCAACAGATTGAATAAGAGCAGAATGAGCATACAGGTATCTTATATTAAGCCAGATAATAAAGAGAGTTACAAAAATGTAAAACAATGTCACTACTCTATTTTTCTGAAAAATAGTTATTTTTTACTAAAATATATTATTTATGTTAACATGCAATGGAGTCATTACTGTTATTTTAAAAAATAAGATGATACATTTTTCAAAAGTTTCTGTTTTAATTTTGAATACAATACAACTAGATATTACCTATATATTAGATTGGTACAAAGGTAATTGCAGTTTTTGCCATTATGTTCAATGGTAAAAGCCGCAACTTCTTTTGCACCAACCTAATAACAGAAACTCTCTTTGAGGTCTTCAATAATTGTAAGGGCATAAAGCTTACCTGAGACAAATGTCTGAGAACAATTGCATTAAAGAATCATTACATTCAGTTGTGAGCAGTGAAAAAAAAAATCAGTACCCCATTGAAGAAGGCAGAGAACCTGGTAGTTACCAGAGTGTCTCTGGTGTCAGAAAACCAAAGTTTGGATTTTGGCTTCTATATATGCTAAAGAGAGTCTTTGGACAATGAATTAAGCTCTCTGAGCCTCTGTGTCCTTATATACAGAAAATAATATCTATCCATAGGATTTGGGTAAATATTAAATTTGATACAAAGTATTTATTATAATCAAGATGAAGCAGCAAAAGCTCAATAAAGTTTAGTTTTTCCTAGTAATTATTGATAATATTATTACTCAACTGCTAGTACTTTTCTCCGATTGGAAATCAAAATAAACACCCACTCATCTTTCCTCCACAGCAGTACATAGTAAATAATCCTTGAATGCTCTGCATCAGAATCATATAAAGCGCTTATTAAAAATGCATAAAACCAAGGTGTTAGGTTAATTCAAGTCTTAAGTGCTACTAGAACAACTAAATATCTGTATAAAACAAAAATGAATCTCAACTCCCTGCCTCATTATACACACATAAATACACGTACACACTCAAATTGATAAGATACCTAAACATAAATGCCAGAACTATAAAGCTTCTAGAAAATAATATAGGAGAATATCTTTGCAATTTTGTGGAAGGAAAGATTGAAACAGACCAAACAAGCACCAACCATAAAAGAAAATATTAATAAATTAAACTTAATTAAAATTAAAATGTTCTGCTTGAATGAAAACACAAATAATTTTTTAAATGACAAGCTACAGGCTGGGAAAAATATTCTGAACACATATATCTGGCAAAAATGTGTATTCAAAAAATGCAAAGGACTCATACAAGTGAATGATAAAAAGGCAAAAAAAATTTTTAAATATTCAAATAATCTGAATAGACCTATCATTAAAGAAAACATTACAAATCATCAATAGATACATAAAAAGGAGCTCCACATTTTTAATTATTATTTTTTTAAATTTAACAACACCAAAGTTTGTGAGGACATGGAAAAGCAATTCTCCTGCATTGCTATTGAGAGGGTAAAATGCACCCATTTTGGAGAAATGTTTGGTGGTTTCTTAAAAAGTTAAACATACATCTATCTTTCGAGCTAGCAATTTCTCTCCCAGATATTTACCCAAGAGAAACAAAAACTTATGTTCACAAAAAGAAATGTATAAGAATGTTTATAGCAGAATTATATACAATAGTCAAAAACGGAAAACAATCTACTTTAGTCCATTTTCACACTGCTACAAAGACATACCTGAGACTGGGTAATTTATAAAGGAAAGAGGTTTACTTGACTGACAGTTCCACAGGGATGGGGAGGCCTCAGGAAACTTACAATCATGGTGGAGGGGGAAGCAAACACATCCATCTTCACATGGCGTCAGGAAAGAGAACAGCATGGGGGAACTCCATCCAATCACCTCCCATGAGGTCCCTCCCTCAACACACGAGGATTACAATTTGAAATGAGATTTGGGTGGGGGTACTGCCAAATCACATCATTCCAACACTGGCCTCTCACAAATTTCATGTCCTCATATTTCAAAACAAAATCATGCCTTCCTAACAGTCCCCCAAAGTCTTAACTCATTCCATATTGGGGGAACCCACCCCCAATATTCAACATAGGTTCTTTCTATATTCCATAAGTGTCGGCTGGCTGAGAAATAAAGAGAAAGAGTACAAAGAGGAATTTTACAGCTGGGCCTCCAGGGGTGACATGACCATGATGCCCACCTGAGCTGCAAAATCAGCAAGTTTTATTAAGGATTTCAAAAGGGGAGGGGGTACAAGAACAGGTAGTAGGTCACAAGGTCACATGCTTCAAAGGGCAAAAAGGAGAACAAAGATCACATGCTTCTGAGGAAACAGGACAAGAGCAAAATCACAAACTCCTGATAAGGGTCCAACAAAGATCACAAGGCAAAGGGCAAAAGCAGAATTACTGATAAGGGTCTATGTTCAGCGGTGCACGTATGTCTTGATAAACATCTTAAACAACAGAAAACAGGGTTCAAGAGCAGAGAACCGGTCTGACCTCAAATTTACCAATTTGAGGGTGGAGTTTCCCAATCCTAGTAAGCCTGAGGATACTGCAGGAGACCAAGGCATATTTCAGTCCTTATCTCAACTGCATAAGACAGACACTCCCAGAGCGGCCATTTATAGACCTCCCCCCAGGAATGCATTTGTTCCCTAGGGTATTAATTATTAATATTCCTTGCTGGGAAAAGAATTTAGTGATATCTTCCTTACTTGCACGTCCATTTATAGGCTCTCTGCAAGAAGAAAAATATGGCTCTATTTTGCCTGACCCTGCAGGCAGTCAGACCTTATGGTTGTCTTCTGTTGTTCCCTGAAAATCACTGTTATTCTGTTCTTTTTCAAGGTGCACTGATTTCATATTGTGCAAACACACATGTTTTACAATCAATTTGTACAGTTAACACAAATATCATAGTGGTCATGAGGTGACGTACATCCTCAGCTTAAAAAGATAACAGGATTAAGACATTAAAGTAAGATAGGCATAAGAAATTATAAGAGTATTACTTGGGAACTGATAAATGTCCACATTAAAATGAAATCTTCACAATTTATGTTCCTTTGCCACGGCTCCAGCTGGTCCCTCCATTTGGGGTCCTTGACTTCCTGCAACAATTCCAGCATTAACGCATAAGTCCAAGTACAAAGTCTCATCAGAGACAAGACAGGTCCCTCCTGCCTATGAGCCAGTAAAATCAAAAGCAAGTTAGTTACTTCCAAGATACAATGGGGATACAGGCATTGGATAAGTGCTCCCATTCCAAAAGGGAGAAATTGGCTGAAACAAAGGGGTTACAGGCCCCATGCAACTGTGAAATCCAGCAGGGCAGTCATTAAACTTTAAAGCTCCAAAATGATTCCCTTTGACTCTACATCTCACATCTGGGACATGCTGATGCAAGGAGTGGGCTCCCACAGCCTTGGGTAGCTTCTTCACAGGCAGGTGTTTAGTGCCTGAAGCTTTTCCAGGTGTACAGTGCAAGCTGTCAGTGTATCTCCCATTCTGAGGTCTGGAGGAGGGTGGCCCTCTTCTCACAGCTCCACTAGGCAGTATCCCAGTAGGGACTCTATGTGGGGACTCCAACCCCACATTTCCTTCCATCGACTCATGGGGAATAAAGGATTACAATTCAAGATGAGATATGGCTGGGGACACAGCCAAACCATATCACAGTCCAAATGCCCATTAAAATGAAAATAACAAACAATGTGTGGTTTGTCCAAACAGTGAGATATTAGACAGCATTAAAAAGAGAATTACTAAAGTACACAACAATATGGATAAATACGAAAAAATATATTATGTTGAACAAAAGTCAGAAATGCAAAACTGTATACAGTGTATAACTCCATTTATATAAAATCCAAGAAGAGACTGTGGCTGGAAGTCAGAAATTGAAGGGGAAGGGCAGTAGAGGTTAGAGGAAATAAAATTTTTTTGAAAGAGGGACAAGGGAACTACCTGTAGTAATGGAAATATTCTATATCTTGTTTTGTATGCATGAAATTGTTAAAACTCAATGAACTAAATCCCAAAAACATGTACATATTATATATGTTAATTATATGTCAATACAATATGTAAAGGAGAAGGAGGAAGAGGGAGAGGAGGAGGAAGAGGAAGAAGGTTATAGTAGTTGTTTGTCCTGCATGGCAGATCTTATAAATGAGAAATTCTGAGGGTGGGGACTTGGAATCTGTCTGTTTTGCAAGCCTCTGAAGGGGTTTTGATGAACTCGGAGATCTTGACAAGAATTGTCCTCATCATTGATCCACAGCTGTAAAAAACACTAGCTTTAAGTGGAAGTAAGTCAAACAGGACCCCTTGTGGCTTAGACCTTTCCTTCAGGAATCCTCTATCCTTGGGTCTCCTGAAGCAAGATTTCTATCATATCATTTATCAGATTCTTCTAATTTTTTACCTTGATCTGTAGATTATCTTTTAAAAGTCATACTCTATTTCCTCAATGGATTATAAACCCCTCAAGCTCTGGTCCTCTCTCACACATTTGTGTTGATTCCCCACAAACATTGTTGTGATGAGGTTTCTGAGGAAGGATATCCTCTGTTAACTCTCTCTACCATGAAGCTTGCACTTAGAGAATTTCCCTAGGCGCAGCCCCAGCCCCTTAAATACATGAGACTCCCATGGTGTGAGTGTTTCCAGCAGAGGGAAAGCCTAGGCAAAGAAAGGTTAGGTGCCATCCAGCCCCAGCCTCAGAATGAGTCTGCAGGATCACCAGAGTGAGCAGAGGGCAGCCCAGGGCCACAACTAGGCTATAGAAGTGTGGGGAGATCCTGGACTTTTCTAAGAAAGCCCATAAAGCCAGGAGCTTAGGGAAGCACATTGGACTATTGTTCCCAGAATGCCTAGCTTAATGCCCAGGATCAGCCCTCCTCTCAAGCAAATGGGTGTAATTTCACTTCCACAAAACCTCTTCCCAAAATATCTCACACATGGCCCTTCTGGCACCAACTATTAAATTAGGTGAAATGAAAGTTTCAGCAGCCTCTAGCCAGATCTCCAAAAAGAAAACCACATTACTGGCAATGGCAGTGAAAGCAAAGGCAGTCTATAAAACCCGAACATGTTTTTGTCACATTTCCTATTGAAGGGCAATTGTGCAATGTCTAAAAACTGAAATACAAGATTCTGGACAGATTTAATGAAGAGCTGAGTCACTTGTTTCATTGATTGCATGTCTTAAATGGATGGGCACATTTCCATTGAGAAGAGCACAACTGTGTTGTAACTATGCATTTTATCCATGGGTAGCAGAGTCAACAGTTCTCAAGATGTTTTGAGAGCCCATTATAAGTCAGGCATCTATGAAGCAATGTATGTGAATAATCATACTTAATGTTCATAGTAAACTAATAATGAGGCAAAGACCACTATAATTGTCATTTTACAGATGTGAAAACTGAAGCCAAGAGTACCTAAATAGGGGACCCAATGTTATTTAACTAAGAAATAGTCAAGCTATATTAAGATCCAAGTGGTCTTACCCCATGAGTCATTCATTTTTTAAAACATTTTTCCCACTGAGTAAATATTTATTAAACCCTTATTATATGCCAGACACTGTTCTAGGCATTGGGAACATGATGACTGTCAAAGTTTCTATACTCACAGAGCTTACATTCTGGTGAAAAAGAAAATGAGTGACTGAAATATTTATAATGTAATAAGCAATGATGAGGGATAAAAAGTGATTATGTGTGTTGGAATGCTTCTTAGTGAGATAGAATGGTCCCAAATGCCTCTTTGCAGAGGTGTCTTTGCAATGAGACTGGACCAACTGAAGGTAGGAAAGCAGCCAGGCACATTTGCAAGGAAAGAATCCCAGGCTGTAGAAAATTTCTTGCAAGGAAATATAGTCACATTAAAAGGATTGAAAGGAGGCAACTGGGGCTGAAGACATAAGCTAAGGAAGGAATGTTAAAAAAAAAGTACTAAAAAGGCTCTTAGGGGCATATTTTGTAGGACATTGTGGAACATTTTATTTTGAGGAAGGTCAGAGCCTGTGAAGGCTTTGAGTAGGGGAGGGGCATGGTCTGCTGGCTGTGGAGAGTTCAGACTTGGGAGAGGTTACAGCAATAAAGGACTCTGGAAGATCAGTCAGGGGACCACAAGAATGTAAAGCAGAGTGGTACAGTGGCAGGAGTGGTGATAAATGGTTGCATTTAGAATAGACTGTGGATATATGGCCATGAGATTTGCTTAAGGATTGCATGTAAGATGTGAGTCAAGGATGACAAGGATCCTCTTTCACTATTATGGTGTACCCTCCATGATAGTTACTCACCAATGAGGAGTAAAAGTTAGTATTTTCCCTTCCAGGAAAAGGGAATGAGATACGAGAGAAAGCCTTTCCCTAGCGATGAGCAAACTTTTATCTCTACAAAAAAAACAGTAAGTGAGTGGTTTTCCTGGTAGTGAGTTATTAGCTTGGTGAGAAGGAAACTCCAGGCTGTTACAAAACAAGGAAAATTAGACTAAGTGTCAGAAGAAGTGGATTCCATTTCTGATTCAACCATTTAAGGAGAGTGTGATGCCAGCAAGATGCCTAAGCCCACTGGTTTTATTTGCTTTAAATATTAAATGGGCATAAAAATTCATGCCCTCCCTGCTAATGAACTGTTGTAAAGAACAAGTGAAATAAAGTAAATGAATGTATCCTAAAAATTCTAAACTGAAGCATACCTGCAATGCATAATAAAAATTCTATCTTTCCAGGTTTAGTATGTCTATGTAATGTTGGCAGTGAAGTCTTGTTACATATACTTTATAAGCTGAGTGTTAATACATCTCTGATTAAGACTTGTCTAGAAGCTGAGAGATTTTCCTATTATCTACAGAAAAAAAAAAAGCCATGCTAATGTTTCCCCATGCACATGTAGTTTTCTCTCCTTTCCCAAGCCAGGCCAATTGCTGTGTTCTAATATCAGCTCTGCTGTCTTCATTTTCTTTGTACCATGCAGCTGTTTTTGCTTATATGGAAAATATCGTTGGAAACCCAAAAATAAACACAATTGCAATGAAAAAGAAGATAAAATAAACAAAAGGCATAGCATGTTCAAGCTTTAAAAGTGAATCTAGAAGTTTTAAAACAATTTGAGGAATTGCAGCCTCAACATTCAAAGAACATTGGGGCTACATAAATCCACACTGAAGACATAATAAATAGTTTAGAGGAATGCTCAGTGTATTAGCATACTTGAGACTACCAGAGACTGGGTAATTCATGAAGAAATGAGGTTCAATTGGCTCACAGTTCTGCAGGCTGCAGGCTGTACAGGAAGCATGGCTGGGAAGCCTCAGGAAACTTACAATCATGGCAGAAAGGCAAAGGGAAACCAAGTGCATCTTCACATGGCAGCAGGAGAGAGAGAAAAGGGGGAAGTGCTATGTGCTTTTAAACAACCAGATCTCATGAGAACTCAACTCACTATCATGAGAACAGCAAGGGGGAAGTCTGCCCCCTTGATTCAAACACCTCCCACCAAGCGCTTCCTCCAACACCTGGGGATTACAGTTTGACATGAGATTTGAGTGGGGACACAGAGCCAAACTATATTATTCTGCCCCTGGCCCCTCTCAAATCTCATGTCCATCTCACATTTCAGAACACAATCATGCCTTCCCAACAGCCTCCCAAAGCCTTAACTCCTTCCAGCATTAACTCAAAAATCCAAGTATGGTCTTAAATGAGACAAGGCAAATCCCTTCCGTCTATCAGACTATCAAATCAAAAACAAGTTAGTTACTTCAAAGATACAATGGGGATACAGGCATTGGGTAAATGCTCCCATTCCAAAAGGGAGAAATTGGCCAAAACTAAGAGGCTAAAAGGCCCCATGTAAGTCTGAAACCCAGCAGGGCAGTCATGAAATCCTAAAGATTCCAAGCAGAAATCTTAGTGTTTCCTGATTTGTAAAACTAAACTCAGAACCTACTGTGTAAACCCATTAATGTATCAGATACTATTCACTTTCCATTTCTCAAGTAAATGACATTCATAGAAACTTCCAGGAAGTCTACACCAGCACATAAGGGAAGTTAAGTGGAGTGGCTTCCTTCTTCATAATTCTTAAGGATGTACATATCTTGTGCTGTGTGAACAGTTGTCTGAATATTTGGGGTTGGTCAGTATAGTCACCCTAAAATTTAAAGGGTTGGAGATAATCATCTTGAACTCTGAACTTTTAGTCTTACTATTTGTATTTGAACAATCAGATGAAGAAGTATCTAGCGAGAAAAAAATAAGTGATTTTAACAAGCTGCTATTAAAACAGACAGATGAGGACTAGAGAGAAGCCCTGACTTATGAACTAAGACACACAACCCCGCCAGGCTTTTCCTGCTTCTACCTGTATTGCTCATTTCCACTTTCAAAATACCCCACTAGTCTCTTCCACCTTCCTTCCTTGTCATTTCACTGCCATAAATTACATCACACATTAACCAGGTTAAAGTGCATGCATGTAAACACACACACACACACACACACACACACACACACACACACACACACATCATAGATGCCACTGAATTGGGGCTGAAGAGAAGAAACTTTGGAACTTCAAATAAGTTCTGGTTTCAGGTGGGGAAAAAAACATTAAAAAGATGAAGAGCTTAGCCCAGGAACAAATGCCCAGTAGTAACAGTGGGGCAGAAAGTATTAATATTCACGCTATTCATGTGCTCCTCTACACGTCTGGATGTCCTTGCAGTTGGTTCAGACCTGTAACGGAGCTCTGGCCTCTGTAAAATAGGCTGATAAGTGCTATGTCACATGTCCAGTCTGTCCCTCTTCTGTGGTATTTCTTTAACAGCTGGAATTGGAGGACTCTGAGATGACAGTGCAAACTGTTTCCCCTGTTGGAGAAGAGCTGCCCAACTTTCACAGGACCTTGTGTGAACAGAAATAAACTTGTATCTTGTACTTCCACTGAGATTTTAGCATTGTTTGTTTCAGTAGGTAATGTTAATTACTTTAAAACAAAATGCTTTGAAAATTAATGACATGTTTTCTGGAGCTGTTGGAGCCAGAGCCAAGTGCTGAAGCATACGAATCTGCAGCGTAAATTCAGAAAGTTCAGGATGTGAGGCTCCACAAGCTATATGGTGGGAATTGGAAGTTGACCTGCTTCTCTGGTGCTGTGCACACTTCCACATACCAACACCTCCAGCTGCCATCATTGCATCATTTACCTAAACTTATACACTTGGGTCAACAAGTCCCCTTTTTAGTAAAAAAAGTAGTTATGAAGAAATTGTTGGTTTTCTACACCATAGTGAGATTTATTTGGTTCTGATTGATTTGTTCTTAGCAAATGTTCTGAGAAAATTGAAAATTGAGGGATGAAAGAGCATAGATCCTTAAAAATAGCACGGTGGATGACGTGCCTGGGGATGAATGCCTTAGGGAAGGATAATGTGTGTTGGCGTGGGGAGAGTCACGGAGTGAAGGAAGAGAAAGCAGGGAGAGTTGCAGAAGGATACCCAGCTGCCAATCTCACAGATTTTACATTTTTGCTTAAGGCCATCTCTAGGAAACCGGAAAACCCATTCTCCCATTTAACTCTCAAGGCTGCTTGACTCCTATTCCCAGGTGGTCTGACAGCACACACTGCAGTTCTACTTCACGAATTGAGTAAGCTTTTGTTGGTTAGCCTGACACCCTAATGCCCAGTCAATACACTGTCTCTAGGAAAGAACACTTTCCAAATTCCAGACAAACAGTTTTAGAATACAAGCTATAAAGCCTATTCATAAAATTTGAAATTGTGCAAGAATCAATCCATATACTTCCTTGCCAACACCAAGACTAAATGGTTTGTCTTCACTGCACATCTTTTTGGATGACCTTTTAAAAGCTTATAATATTTTTTCTTTGGGTTAGCCCTAGATCTTTAATTTTAACCTGATTACATCTAGTTGAATGCATTTTAAAATTTAAATACTAAAAAAGTTAAATTCTAAAAAGGGGATTGTGAAGAAAACGTCCTGTGTCATGGATCAGAACATTACATAAGTAAGAAAAAATAATAATCAATTGTTGATGCCTAGCAAATATCTGTTGGAGGTGAAAGAGTTTATCCTTTAAGAGGGGAAAACCCATGCCAACATTTCTCTAAGAAGAGCTGCTAACAGATGCAGATTATAGTGAAAAGGTTCTTTGGGAGTTTCAGGGAGGAGTGAGGTAATTCACATACTGAAGAGGCAAATGGATAACTGTGTCTTGATAAATAAGAAGGCTGCACACTAAAGCAACTGAGGAAAGCTTCCTTTTCTATGGTTCCTTCATCCAGAAACACGAGCAAGAGCTGCTTTCTATAACTAATGTCAAATTCATACAAAAAGATAAAGAAATGTTGTAGAAGGTGGCAGGTTGACGTGGGGATTCCCTGTTTCAAAGCCTTCAATTTCATCCGAGTACTACAAATATGTCATAACAGTAGCAAGGACCTTATCTCCTTATTGGCAGGAACTCAAGTCGTGTAGCGGAGAACACACACCTCTGAGAGATGATATCACAAATGAAGTGCTCACGTTGTTTCTAAATACCAGGCTCAGATGCACAAAGGCAGGGCTGGCCCTCAGCAAAGTCAGTCAATTCTGCTTTTCTAACAATTTTTACCACCATCCCAACTTCTCTGAGCCTGACATAGCACTACTACTTCTCTAACCTAACTGTAAAGTACTCAGAGATCCCAGGTCATCTGGGAAACATACAACTGTATTTGGGTAAAATTTGCCACATGTAATTAAACATGGGCAGTGTACTGAAAGAGCCAACCTAGGAAGGTTGTCAAAGTTTTACAATTGCCCTGAGAGTGAACTCAGGTTCCTGAAACCTGACACTTAACTGAGTTCTTTATTAGTCAGCTTTAGCTTCTTCCCTGGATTATTGTTTTAAGAACACCCAAGAAAGACTTCTGAGCTTCCCTTTGTAGCCAAGCTCTGCTTCTCAAAATAAACCATTTCTTGCAAGCATAATATTGATGTAGCAACTGTTGATGTCTCTCTGTTCCTTCCTTTGGAATTAAATCTTTCATATCCCTGGTCTCACTTATTCAGAATCCTAGTCTTTGACAAGTTATTGTAGAAATGAGTCATTCCAATACCTGCATTTATCCAGTTGAAAGCCATACATCTTCTGAATGTTATTTCCATTAAACTAAATTAATTAGGTAGGCATTAATTGCTTGCTACAAGTCAGGAACTGATTTGGGAAAGTGGGGGAATATAAAAAAAATTATAAGTTTATCTATGCCCCAAACAGTTTATATTTGTGGTAACCAGACACATTCTAGGGAAATAATTTATTAACGTGGATTAACTTGAATGGGTCAAAGTACTCCAAGCATATTTCTTGAATGAATGAACAAACAACAAATAACTGCTCTAACGAGCAACCCTGATAACAGGGTTAGCAAGGAAGTACCTAACATTATGTTATCGCAGCATGGGTAAACAAAGTTATCTGAAATTAAGAAAGTTCATTCCACTTACATGGCACAACTTTCTGCCCCAGGAAGTGACTGTGAATCCTTCATGGCTGCCTCTGTCTACAGGAACTTAAAATTGAACACAGAAAGTCACATTTGCCCATCCTTGGCATAGTCCCCCATCCTAGATCTACTGCTGCCTGCTGAGCAAGGTCTTTGAAATCCTTGCCATCCCAGACCACTTTTGGGTGCAGAGAAGTATCTTTGTAGTGCATCAGAAAATTGTGACTATAACTTAAAGACTAGATCAAATAGTTAAAAATATAGTTTACCCGGGCACTGGATAAATTAAACTCCTCTCAGTTACTAAAAGAACATGTTGTATTGGGCTGCATTATTGGATATGCTATCTGGTCTCCTCGTGGTGAATAGAGTTCAATGTGCTCCTCAAATAATACAAATGCTTAGCTCTTCCTCATTCCAGAGTAGTAATACTGTGTTCAATATCTTGTCTTCATCTTCATACTGACCTGAGCTTAGCAGCTCATCTTTTGTCTGATTCTACTGATTTTTGTAAAGTTCAAATTAGGTCCAATTGCTACATAAATACATAATCATTACATAATTTGGATTGGAATCATTCTAGTTGAAAGTGCTGGCCAGACACAGCATGTGGTTGAATACCTTCTCGTCTGTCTACTAACATAATTTTCCTTAGTACCTTGCCTCTCTTAGAAGGTTTTCTTAATGCTAAATGTTTGTGGGATTTTTCATCACCTCCTTAATTTGTTAATCATTTAAGTTCCCCATGTTGCCTTTTCATTCAAACAGGAGTTTCCTATATGCATCCTCTTAATTCTTCACGCTGTTACTGCTGATAAAGGGCTTTGCACTGTTTCTTTCTCTGTATATCTAATTAATGACTTTCTTTCTTAGCACAGCTTCTGGGCCTGTTTAATAATTTTCTTCAAACAAGTCCAGTGGTCTCATTCACCACTGCCATTCTGACATTTCTTCAAAAATCCTTTAGCCCTATTTCTAAATCAGTCATCAAAATCAACGAATACATCTTGGGGTCCTTCCCAAGGCCTGGGATTCAAGATTCCTACAACATAATCTGTCTGAACTTTTGCCCACATTTTCTGTTGATGAATCATCACAATGGTTTTATAGTTCCATAGGAAGCTTCTGTAGCTCTTCTAGATTTTCTTACTTGCATTGAGGACCTTAGGAAAATCAATTTAACATACTTAATATATCAAGCTAGGGCCACCTATCTAATATAAAATTGCCATAAACCAGGAAATAATTTCTGGGTTTTAGAAGTATGCAAATAAAAACTTCACACGTTTTGATCTATAAAAAGATTAAGTGTTCACATAACTTCTTGGAGTCTTCAACATGTAAGGAATTTTGATTCAAGTTGTGCCCCAAGGGAAAGAAGATTAGACTGTGTAGGGCAAGGGCCACCCTGGGCAAAGTTGCTGAAAAATATCCAATGAACTTGGTGTATCTCATGGCCCTGAGACCTCGCTCTCTCTACCAGCCCTACCCATTGACAGAAGGGAGAAGGATATTTGGTATCAGAGGTCATGCCTAACCAGAATCTCTTCCATTAAGAAGCCAACTATTTGCTTAAATCATCACCTTACTATGAGAAAAATGAAAATATTAAGGATGAAGCAGCTTAAGATATTTTTATTCTTCTCTTACTCTCCCAACATGTGGACTGAGAGATGACTAGGCAAATCACAACATTTAAGTTTGTAGAATTATAGGAATCACATTGTTCTTCAGAATATATGGGGATACTGTGATTACCCAAAGAGAAAAATGAATGTAAGGTAGCATCAAACACTATTTGAACATAAGCATGTACATACATGTGAAAACAAGATATTGTTTTTATGAATGCTAATATAACTGCAGAAAAATGTATTTTAAGTTTTTTTTAGTAGGATGGATAGACAACAATCATCTAAGATCTTCATGAGTCTCTCATTTGACATACAGTTCATCCAGGTCTCAAAGGCAGGAAGGGAGAGCTGCAGTTGGAAGAGGAGAAGAAAGAAATAACCCACTCAGGTGTGTTCAGAGACAAATCAACAAAATCAACCAAATCAGGGTATTTCTTAGGTGCAGGGTTGTAATACACAGGTAGGCACCTAAGAAAAGAACAAACAAAAGTTCAAAATAGCAAATTAACACTGTTTGGGTTTTGATGGGAAGTAAGTTTAGAAGGGAATGGAGAGAACTTGTTAGTGTTCAGGAACCTAGTTTACAACATGCAGATGAAAATTGAGCCTATCAATTGGAATTCACTCTGACCATGCTGGAAATGGATATTATGATACTTATTTTATCATCCTCAAAATTTCCAAAAGAATTCTACCACACTAAGCAGCACACTGAAGAAAATGATTTCCAAAATAATTCTACCACACTAAGCAGCACACTGAAGAAAATGTGACAAAATGAACAATATGATTTACTTTGCTTGTATTCACAGGATATTGGCTACCTTATTCTGTTTCCTACTGGTTGCCATTTAGATAAAATTTACAGGTTGATTCAGCTGACAGGAATTATAAACAAAAGTGGCATTTTTTTAAGCTCATAGTCTTGTTTTATAGATTTGCATTTGCCTATTAGAGACATTCTCAGTTTTCCATATTTTATTCTAGGGAGAGCAAAGAATAATAAATATGACAGAAAATACTGTTTTATAAGAAATATGAAGTTTTATTTCTTCAGAGCTAGATCTGTGAGAATCAGCTGAACTTAGAATGGGAAAATTTGCATTGATATAATAGGAAATTATATAGAAAGGCTTTCTAGAGAAGCAGATTGGGGGTAGGGGGATGGATACCAAACTCCAGACTGATGAGGAAAAACACAAGGTCATTCTAGCAATACATTCTGCACCCACACATGTAGCACATATAGTCAAGTTCAGTAAGAAAAAAAGATTCTCCCATTGTCATTTAAGAAACTCAGACTCTTGGCCGGGCGTGGTGGCTCACCCCTGTAATCCCAGCACTTTTGGAGGCCAAGCCAGGCAGATTGCCTGAGGTCAGGAGTTCGAGACCAGCCTGCCCAACACGGTAAAACCATGTCTCTACTAAAAATACAAAAAATTAGCCAGGTGTGGTGGCGGGTGCTTGTAATCCCAGCTACTCGGGAGGCTGAGGCAGGAGAATCGCTTGAATCCAAGAGGTGGAGGTTGCAGTGAGCCGAGATCTTGTCACTGCACTCCAGCCTGGGTGACAAGAACAAAACTCCATCTCAAAAAAAAAAGGAAGGAAGGAAGGAACGAAGGAAGGAAGGAAGAAAAGAAGGAAAGAAAGAAAGAGAAAGAAAGGAAGGAAGGAAGGAAAGAAAAGAAAAGAAAAAAGAAAAAGAAAGAAAGAAAGAAAGAAAGGAAGAAAGAAAGAAAGAAAGAAAGAAAGAAAGAAAGAAAGAAAGAAAGAAAGAAAGAAAGAAAGAAAGAGAAAGAAAGAAAGAAAGAAAGAATCTAACTCAGACTCTCAGGGTGAATTCTTGAGTTTTTTTTTTTTGTTTGCTTCTTCGTTTTGTTTTGTTTTTTATGTCTATCACAGAGAGAATAGAAACACTTGAAACATACTGAAATTTGGCCATGTCCAGTTCATCCAGTTGCCCCAAAGTTGTATCTCCTTGTGAGCAAAACAGCTGTTGTTGTTTATTTATTTACTGTAAAAAATACAGTAAATAAATGAATTTAAATGGTCTCTTGTCAGTAACCAATGAGTTTGATTCACATTTAAAGTGAGTTGACTCAATTTTCTGACAATATGGAGATGGCCATTGATATTTTTTATAGCGACAAAAGTACACTCATGTTTTCCATGTGATCCCATCTAGAGTGTTAAAGTATTAAAGATGATGTGGTTAAGGTAAGGCTTATGGCATTTCTACTGCCATGCAAAGGAGCATGGAGTAAACAATTTGTATTAGTTTGTTTTCACACTGCTATAAAGATACTACCCAAGACTGGGCAATTTATAAAGAAAAGAGGTGCTCACGGTTCTGCATGGCTGGGGAGGGCTCAGGAAACTTACAATCATGGTGGAAGGGGAAGCAGGCACCTTCTTCACAAGGCAGCAAGAGAGAAAGAAGTGCAAGCAGGAGAAATGCCAGGCACTTATAAAACCATCAGAGCCCATGAGAACTCACTATCACAAAAACAGCACAGGGAAACTGCCCCCATGATCCAATCATCTCCCACTAGGTCTCTTCCTCAGCACCTGGGGATTATAATTCAAGATGAGAATTGTAATCATACAATCATACAATTGTACAATCATACAATCATGTAATCCCCAGCACCTGGGGATTACAATCAAGATGAGAATTGTAATCATACAATCATACAATTGTACAATCATACAATCATACAATTGTAATCATACAATTACATATGTAATCATACAATCATACATACAGAGCCTAACCATATCACTATTTAACACCTGAAAGAAAATCAATCAGATATAAAGGAAAATGCAATATATATAGGAACATGGGAATTAATAATAGAGCAAAGTAATCAAGTCACCTACATCGTGCTGATGTTTACTGTCATCTTATACATGACTTTCTCTACTGGAAAATGTTACTTCAAAATTAAAACATCATAGTACTATGTTACTGAAAGACTTTTTTGAGAGTAGCAAAATTCTAGGTTTCATTTTTTCTCTCTCTCTCTCTTTTTTTTTTTTTAATTGAGACAGAGTCTCACTCCATTGCCCAGGCTGGAGTGCAGTGGTGCAATCTCGGCTCACTGCAACCTCCACCTCCCGGGTTCAAGCAATTCTCCTGCCTCAGCCGCCCGAGTAGCTGGGACTACAGGCACACACCGCCACACCTGGCCAACTTTTTTTATCTTAGTAGAGGCGAGGTTTCACCATGTTGCCCAGGCTGGTCTGGAACTCCTGAGCTGAGGCAATCCACCTGCCTCGGCCTCCCAAAGGGCTGGGATTACAGGCATGAGCTACCATGCCCGGCCCTAGGTTTCATTCTGATCTCAATTCTTCCCCCTTTGGCTAGAAGCTTAAAAAGCAGAGCTAGTTATGTCTTCAAGGTAGAGGAAATACGTGTTTATAATCACATGCAAGCTCAGTAGTGGTTGAGACTATTGTGGTCAGAATAAAAAGATGTCTAAAGAAGGGAGTGGTTGATAATGTCAAGTTAAAAGAGGATACAGGAGGCCCAGTCTCTAGTTCAACTGCAAAGTTTCACATATATTGAAAAGAAAACAGTGAGCAAGATAATTGCTAGGTTTTTTATTAATCTAAAATCATAGAAGATGAAAAAGAAAAATGGAGATTTGAGAAAGCACATGAGTTTCTTTGGATTTAATGCACTTACTAATTTTTAAATATTTTTAATGAATGAACAATCATCTTACCAACACTGAGTATCTCTAATATTGAGAATGTTGGTAGGTTGTGAAGGCATTTATTAGAACAAAGAGTGTATGTGTGTATATATATATATACACACACACAAATATGTGATAAGTAGAAAAATATAAAAATGTATCCATTTTAGTGTAGTGCAGTACACCTCAAATTTGGGTTCTGTAACCAACCAGCAGGAAGACATTGAGCAATTTACTTAACCATATGGCGATTCAGTTTCCTTGTCTGTGAAATGGGTAAATATCAACCTCACAAGATTATTATGAAGATTAAATGAATTAATATATGTAAACCAATGGGAATACAGCCTCGTACATAGCAGGCACTGTAGAAGGTTAGCTTATTTTTATTAAAACGGTAACACGGATGAGGAGCTTAAGTATCCCTAGGAGTTTTGTTAAAGAGAGCTAAAGTGTAAAGATGTGACACATGGGCTAAGAGGAGAGGTAGAAAGAAGAGAGTGAGGAGTTGGAAAAAACATTACAGGTACTGAGAACAGCTTTTGTCAGATGCAAAGATGAAAGTATAAACTCCTGGTAAGTTTGGTATTTCTAGAACTAAAGTGAAGAGACAGGGGAAAAATGCTAAAAGATTAGGCCAAAAAGGATAGGACCTCATCATTAAAGGCCTTGTGTGCCAACTAATACACTTTATTTTATTTTGTGTGGATGGAGAGATCCTAAATAGCTCTAAACAGGGAAATGACGTGATCACACTGGATTTATTTCTGGAAATGAAAAGATTGATTTTAGAATACCTTAACTGGAAGATTGAAAGACCATAGGCCTATGATTATTTCTGAAGTTAAATGACTATTAAAGGTTAATGTATAAATAAAAAATTAATTCACCAAGATTAGCTTCTTATCAATAAATGACAATTTAATGCCTGTATCTAAGTGCTTCCTATAGCAAGACTCTATGGTAAAAGATCCTGGGAGCCACTGTGACCATAATTTGTTCAAATCTAATAAAAAGGTTTAGTAAAATAGAATCTATATGAAAAATAGCAATGCGGACCAAATACTAAGCAGAGTGCTTAATCATTCAATAAAATTTACAGACCACCCACAAAACGTATATCTAAACTCTTTTCATGCAATGTAAATCATAAGCAATGTCATCTTACATTGGCATAATGCTGTATAAGCTACTTTCACTGCCACTCCTCCTTTTCCTGCTAAGATTAAAATTTCCATCTTATTAGAGAGGGTTGAACATTTCATTCACTAAGAAAACATTTTTAAGGTGCTTGGTATATGGCAGGCAGCATTCTAGTTGTTTTACAAATATTTGCTTTTTTAATTCACATAACAACCTTATGAGGTGGATGGTATTTTTAACCCCATTATAATATTAGGAAATTGAACTATAGATAAAGAAGCTTGCCCAAGGTCATTAGGCAAAGGCAAAATTTGAATCTACATAATCTAGCTTCTAAGCCAAGCTCTTAATCACTAGATGTACCCTCTCTCATACATGGAAAAATTTTATTCTAAAGGGAATTCTAGGTAACTTTAACAATTCAAAAAAGGCAACATTTTCCCCTTTTGTTTAATACTACTCTGACACTGCTAAAGATGTCTATGAGATGAAAATAATTCAACTTGTTTGTTCATAGATTTCCAAACTAATTGAGATCATCTCTCAGCTGTCTCTTCCATTTGCTTCTCTATAAGCAAAGAGACCACAAACTGACTTGAAAAGAAGACTATTTACTCTTTCCTTCTCCTTGTGTTCCAACAAATACCATTCCTACCCTGGCCTTGACACTAATTCCAAAAATCCAAGCTTCTATCTACTGAAGAAAGAACCTAGCCTTTCCTTGTGTAATTAAAACTTAATTGTAAGCCTGTTTTTTATAGTGTTCATTTCAGACTCTGCTTTCTTAAGACTCCAGTGATCTCTCTATGTTGATGTCTAAAGGACCCACGGAAGGTTTAGTCATCACTGAAACAATGTCCACCTTCAAAAAGACAGTGAGGCCGTACACGATTTAAAAAATGACTGGGCGTGGTGGCTCATGCTTGAATCCCAGCACTTTGGGAGGCCAAGGCAGGCGGATTACCTGAGGTCAGGAGTTCAAGACCAGCCTGGTCAACATGGTACCCGGTGTCTACTAAAAGTACAAAAATTAGCCGGGCTTGGTGGCATGCACCTGTATTCCCAGCTACTCCAGAGACTGAGGCAGGAGAATCACTTGAACCCGGGAGGCAGAGGTTGCAGTGAGCCGAGATCGTGCCACTGCACTCCAGCCTATAAGCCAAGCTAGGCTCCTGGTCAGAAAAGAACTACACATAAATACATATAATAGAAGAAGAAAGGAAAGAAGGGAAAAAAAGAAAATGTACACCTACCAAGACAGTGTGAAAAAATGGCTAACTACACAGTAAATTGAAATAAAAAAATCCAACCTGTTTTTAGAGCCAGCCTCAGGCTCTTTAGGGAGCCCAAACTGGATCCTTATGCATAAAGTTCTCTGCGAGAGATAATCCTGCTTCTTGGCTTCATTCAAATAGGAAGCAGAAAGACCAGAGCCAGATACTACTTCCATAGAGGGGCCTTATGGGAAAGAGCCCCTAAGAAACTCAGGTATAATGGCTATGGATATCCCAAAAAGATAATTTTCAACTGGCCTATTGTCAGCCAGCACAGAAGGCAAATGATGAGTCCTTAAAATTTTCCTACCCACTGTAGTAATAGTAGTTTGCTCTCTAAGTAAATTTTAAGGGAAGCCTAATTAGAACACACAAACTGCCTATAGGTGGCAATTGCCTCAGTGACCTGGGAGGGAGCTGTGTAAATGAGCTAAGACTAAAGTTTCTAAGCATTCTTATAAACGCCATAAAAAGCAAGGTGATAGCAAGTGCTGAGGCTTAATATCCTTAGCACCCTCTTTCCTTTACAGGCTTTTAGGTGCAAAGATGGCAAAAAAAAAAAAAAAAAAAAAGAGGCCCATAAAAGTCTCCTTAATAGGCTCTGGGTAGAGTGCATGTCACTAACAGCAATTACCATAACTGCTGTAATCTGAGATCACAGAAATGGCAAGAACATTTTTTAATTACTTTATTAATGATTTCTGAGAATTTATTTCAGGGCTGAGACACCAAGCTCAATAAAGAAGAGGAAGAGGAAGCTTCTATGTTATCCAGATCCACAAAATGCAGCAATATCTGATGCAACTATCCAAAATCATTCTCCTGTGCAGCCATGTTTAGGGAGAAATGTAGCCTAAGGAGCCAATGATGTCACTGCCTATCATGTTAATAACTGTGACTTCATCCAATTTAAACATACTGAAGGCACTAGGAGTATAGAGGTATTTTCTAGCACATCTAATTATTGACAGGTTGAGGAGCTTGGAGTTCTAGTTCTAACACACCCTTAAATAAAGTAGTTAACAAGAACAGCTCTTCTCAAATTATTGTAATCATGCAGGGTTCTGAACCTATCTAATCTTTCCCTTAGGAGAAGCACAAAGTCCACTTCCATTATGAGCTTGTTAACTCCTATAATATCTCTCTCTACTGAGAGAGTAAAGATTGTTATGTTTATCATGAAGAAAGATGAAATGGAAAAAAGAGACAACTCTCTTGTGGAGAGTTGTGTTTGCCAAGAAAGGTCATAGTTCTCTAAAATTTTTTATAATAGAGTTCTGTGTCTTCCTTTGCATTTCAAGGGACAGGGATATCAGGAGAAGAGAAGGAAGGGGGTGGGAAGAGACAGAGACTACGCCTATGTGCATAATAATAAAACACTTCTATAGCACTGAGTAATCAAAAAGGATATTGTATGTGTGCCCATGTGTGTGTGTACTTATTACTGGAATGATCTGATTGCCTAAATACCCAATTGATTTCATCTAAAATTGCCTGAATACTTCTGAAATTATGAGTATACCTATACAAAATACAGTAGAAAGGGGAAATTACATAACAGCACAATGCACTCGATATCTATAATTAACTTTCACATACAGCTTTTATAAAATTTGAATCTTATTATCCTCTCTATTCTCTATCATGACCAGGCAGAGAAGACACAAAGAATTACATGGAATTCAAACGCTGAACATAACTTTCAGCTACACTCAAAAAATACCTAAGAAAATGTGAAAAGGAGAAAAAGAAAAATGACACAAACAGCACTTTTAAAGAAATTTGTGAAGCTATTTCTTTTTTGAGACTATTTTACATGGTAGAGAGAATGAACAGAGTGAACATTTCTTTTTTAATGTTTTGCCCTATAGAGAATATCACACAAAATTATTTTTACCAACATTTGTAAGATATTTGAGAATGTTGGATAGAGAATGGAAATATAATACCATATTTTTTCATCTTTAATCTCAGTTTCTTAGGCTGTGTCATGGTAGTCCTCTTTAGGATTAAACAAAAAAAAAGCCCTTTGTCTTCTTGGACAGGAATATTCCTGAACAGGAAATAGTGCTCAGAAAAGCAGTGCATTCAGAGGTATAAGGCATAAGGTTAGAGAAACAGAAGTCTCTTTGCTGTATTCTTTCTTGCAAGGTCACAGCCACTTAACATTTAAGGAAGGCACAGCTAGATATTACGTGTCCATAGACCATAGTGCATTTTAAATTTCTTGATTTAGAAGCATGAATAGTTAGGAAAATGTAATTTATTCCATTTCTCTGATTAAACAGCTATTTTCTAACTATGTTAAGAGGAACTTTCTGCATTGGTCATCTGTAGGGCAAAAAGTTAAAAGAAAACTGTATTTTAAAAGCATGCTCTTCAAGAAAATGAGAAGACAAGCCACAGACCAGGAGAAAATATTTGCCAAAGACACATCTGACTAAGGACTGTCGTACAAAATATAAAAACAACTGAAAATATGGAAACAAACTCAACAATAAGAAAATGAACAACCCAATTTTTTAAATGGACCGAAAACCCTAAAGAGGTACCTCACCAAAAAGATATACAGATAGCCAGTAAGCATATGAGATGTTCAAGGTCAGATGTCACTGGGGAATTTTAAGTTAAAACAACAAGGAGATAGCATGACACATTAGAATGGCCAAGATCTAAAACACCATATGCTGCTGAGGATGTGGAGAAATAGGAATGCTCATTCATTTCTGGTGGATATGCAAAATGGTACAACCACTTTGGAAGACAATTTGGCAGTTTTTACAAAACTAAACCTACTCTTACCACGTGATCTAACTATTGTACTCCTTGGTTTTTACACAAATTAATTGAAAACTTATGTCCATACAAAAACATGCAAACATGTTTATAGCCAAATGTTTTATTTATAATAGCCAAAACTTGGAAGCAACCAAGATGTCCTTCGGTAGTAGTGAATAAATAAGCCATGGTACATCCAGACAATAGAATATTAATCTGTGCTAAAAAGAAATGAACTAGCATGCCATGAAAAGACATGGAAGAATCTTAAATGCATATAGCTAAGTGAAAGAAGTGAGTCTAAAACGGCTACACACTGTATGATTGCACTATATGACACCTGGAAAAGGCAAACCTGTGGAAACAGCAAAAAGATTAATGGTTGCCTGAGATTACGGGGAGGGAGGGATAAACAGGCAGTGCACAGAGGATTTTAGGGCAGTGAAACTATTCTGTATGATATTGCAGGATGGATATGTGTCATTATATATTCATCAAAACCCATAGAATGTACAACACCAAGAGCAAACTTTAATGTAAACTACGGACTCCAGGTGATGATGTGCCAATGTAGGTTCATGGATTGCACTAAGTGTATTACTTTTGGTGCAGAATATTGATAGCAAGGGAGGTTCTATATGTGTGGGGATGGGGAGTATGTCAGAAATATGTACTTTCCACTCAATTTTGCCGCAAACCTAAAACTGCTTTAAACAATAAAGTTTGCTGATTAGAAAAAAAAGCATGTTTATGTACTCTGCTTTTTAAATGTGAACAAGTTCATTTAAGTATTTAAATATAAAAAAGTTAACATAAATTCAGTGTTTTCTTCAGTCGGTCATCACTGATTTAACATTTTGTTTCTTGTATTTAACCAAGAGGAGATAGAGAGGCCCCTATCACATCAAGCCAGAGCCCTGCATTAGCTGAGAATAGAACTGTCCAAAGATTCTCCTTCAAGCTTTGAGGGATTATTGGACCTCATCAGCTTCTATAAATTAGAAGCATTAGCAAGAAATATACATAGCATCAGGGCTGGTAATTTTGAGCATTCCTTTGGTATGCGGCATTGATTTTGAACCTATTTAAGGCTTTCTAGCTCACAGAAAAGTATACCTATAAATTATGTTCACTATGACCAGAGAGCAAGCAAGATGGACAGACAAATTATTGGCAATAAGGGTATCAGAGGGTAAATGCTCCCCCAAATGCCCTTCATATTAGAATAATTCTTCTATATTTAGTTACTTCCCCAAACTCCCTTCACATATATTGTATTTTTCTCTTAAGCTCTAATTAGTTGTGAGGTAATTCAATCATGATGCATATAATTTGGAAACATATGGGGAAAAGGGGGCTGGAGAGAGATTCATACCTTATTGTGACTTAGTTGAAATTTATGGTTAAATAGTTTTGATCATCAAAATGATAATTTATGATGTCCCTGGTACTAGGAATTTAGTAGCTGAGAATAACTTAACATTTCATTACCATTTTTATCGCCATTTTGGAAAACACATCATGAACTTGGAACAGCCAGTCAGCCACATTTATTGAGCGTCACAGCATAAGAGCCCAATATTGCATAGTATGGGGAAAATACAGAAGAATCTTCTGTTCATAGGTCCAAAATCTAGCTTGCAGAAGCTTAAGTCTTAAATAATTGAATAAAAGTTTATATAATCTTATGTAATGTAATCTGAGCCCCCCAAAAAGTGATAAGTATGAATGCCTGCAAAAAGAGGCTCTGAGTATTTAAAAGGACTAAAATAGCTAATGACATATTGCTAAGAGGAAGAGCAGACTACGAAACCATGCATAAAGAGTCACATAAAAAATATATACAGGACCGGGCACGGTGGCTCACGCCTGTAATGCCAGCACTTTGGGAGGCCAAGGCGGGCGGGTCACGAGGTCAAGAGACTGAGATTATCCTGGCCAACATGGTGAAACCCCGTCTCTACTAAAAATACAAAAATTAACCAGGCATGATGGTGGGCACCTGTAATTCCAGCTACTCTGGAGGCTGAGGCAAGAGAATCGCTTGAACCCGGGAGGTGGAGGTTGCAGTGAGCCGAGATTGCACCACTGCACTCCAGCCTGGACAACAGAGCAAGACTCCACCAAAAACAAACAAACAAACAAACAAAAAACACAAAAAATAGACAGGAAAGGTCATCATGTAAATGGTGATTATCTGTTACAGCTGAATTACAGATGATGTTTGCTCTCTCTATGCCTTTCAGTGTTTTCCAAATTTTCAATATTAGGCTTGTATACTATATTAATAAAGATAACAGGTTTTATGTTAAAAAGATAAGCCAGAGAAAAAGCTCTTATTGTTATGGATCTAAGAAGAAAGTGTATAACAAAGAGAGAGAGACAGAGAGAGAGGGAGAATAATTATCTTTTCTCTCCCCCAAGTAGCAAAACTATGGGACTGAAACAGAGTTCAGTTTATCTAATAGCAAGGTTTGGGTCTCAACTTTGGTTTGCAAAATGAAGGCTTGATTGCAATTTGAGCCAGGAGGGGGCAGCAAGGAGCTGCTCATGAAAACAAAACAAAACACAAAGGCCCACTCCAGGGGCCTTTGGACTGGAAAAAGGAAGGTAGTGGAGCCAAGCAGAGGCGGATGTGATACAGCATAAGTCAGGGAAAACACCGAATGGAGGTGAGTCCAAACACAGCCAATAAAAGGGAACCAATGAGGAAAGACATCACTCCAGAAGCTGAGAGCTGAAAGCAGTCATGGAGGCACAGGCCAAAGCTGAGTTCTGTGGCAGGTTTAGGTACCAAGAGAGAAATAAGCATCTAAAGAAACAAACAACTCCAAAAGATTGCTCTAAGGGGTGGAATCCAGAACAAGAAACCCAATGATCTTCATTGGTTCAAATGTCAGGAGCTGAGGGGTCCCATCTAAAATGCTGATAAACAGAGCTATAAAGGATGCCTTCTATGCTGAAACACAAAACTCCTGTCCTTACCTTTTATGCTCTTATCTATGTGCCCAAGGAACCATGTAATCCCCAGTACAAGAGTAGATCGTATAATTTACACATATATAGTGGATCAGAGACCTAATGTAGAGACGACAGCCATGCCCAGTCTTACCCAGCCACACTCACAAATCAAATCCTCCTGCTTATCAGCTTTGGGCTAGATTTTGAACTTGGCTTAATTTTAACCCTTTTTCTGGCACCTACAATTTTGTTTGGAAACTAGGCTTGCACTAGGACCATAGGCTTGCATTACATAGATTTAGAATATTCCTATTTTACTCTTCATCCTTGGACAGAATTTAGCTCTCTTTCTCTCCCTTGCCCTTTCTGCCTATTGATTCCAAAGGCAACGTTGCCTCTAGATTGGGGGCCCAGAGATAGGATTCAAATCAAAGTATATCGAATTGCAAAGCAATTCTCACTGTTGCATAACCTCTCCGAGTCAGTTACCCTATCTTAAAACTAATCAAAATGTCAAAGACTTATAAAGAATAATTTATATAATTAACTTACATAAAGCACTTTGTAAAATGCCCTGAATGGTATAGGCGCTTAATAAATGCTGGCCATAGTTTTTTATCCTTTGCTATATTCCCTAACAAACCAAACAAAAATCAAAGCACAGTCTTTTCATGGGGCTTATTGGAAAAATGGTCATCATACCCTCTTTCCCTCTATTGTTCCTGTGACATATTTTAAGTATTTATAATTGCTGTTCAGATTGGTGACAATTTTCATTTCACAAAATGACTCTTCTTACAATTATGCTTAAAGTCCTCTCTAAATGGTTCTTAAATGTGTTAATTATGCAAGATTTATCACCTGACATATGAAAGGCTAACTTTTCAAATGATTTCAGAGTAAATGGAATGCTAAGCCCTCTCCCAACCAGTAATAGTAATGTGTTCATTTGAACCAGGTCACGAGCCTGCCTGCCTAGAGAAGTGAAGCCCCTGGAATGTCTCTGAAGCAAACGGGCAGGTGTGTCTGCATGAAAAAAGGCAAAATCGACCATGGAGCATTGGGTTAAATGCAGGATGATAGGCGACTCTGCAACTCACTTTACAATCACTTAACCCCTTTTGGTCCTTTGAGACCTAAAGGTGCTGCTGACAAGAAATGCAAGCCTGTCTGTATAGGTATTATGAGTCCAGGATAATGGTCACATAGCACTTTGGAAATAAAAAGTATTTAACCCTTCTAGCATGTTCCTCAGTCAAGAACAAAAAAAGGTAACTTTTAAAAGCTCAAATAAGTATGTATTCCCCTGTGGGGGGGAAAAGAAACTTCTGGCTGAATTTAATATTACTAACAAAACTACAACTGTAATAGGAGTACTTGAAGGAACAATTTGAGCTTACTCAAATTTGTGTCCTTAGAAGGCAGTAAATAAGTTTATCATTTTGACAGGTAAGACCGCCTGAGGTGCTTTGAACAAAAATAGGACACTGTCTTTCTGATCGAATGCTTTCATCTGAAGACTTCTTCCCATATCCACAACAGTACTTTGAACTCAAATGACATTTGTTTTATATATTAAATGAAGGGTTCCATTTTCTTGTCTTTGTTTTCACTAGTGTCCAAAAAATTGTTTCTACATGAAGTAGTAGGACCCCCAAAAAACTCAGTAAATTATTACAGCCCTAATAGAACAAGCAAAGGTAAAGAAATGGACCCCAAATTCAAGATCAAAATCCATTAAAAAGCTACACCCATGCATTAATGGCTTTGTTAAGAACCAAACAGAAACATCTTTTTTCCTCACTCCACCCCCTTCAGCTTTACTAAAATAAGCCCAAGGAGCACCATGTCATTGATACTTTTCTTTGAGAATATCAGGGACAATTTAATTGAACACATAATAGAATCATTTACCTTTGTGGACCGCTGTATACACTTTCCAAAGTATTTTCACATATATTATTACATATTAGCTTAAATCTTTTACAATCAGGGAAACTGATGTATACAGAAGTTAAACATCTAGCTCTCAGTTATTAGGCTTATTCATGTGAACTCATGAAGAGACACATCCAGCCAATGGCCACAGATGTCATCCAAAAATTATTTACAGGTTGGAAATATAAAACCTGAAGGTAACTGAAGCTGGACAGGATTCTCATTTCTACAGTATTTCAAAGGAACCTTTATTTTCAAGAGCAAGAGCCAAAGATAGACTATTTTACAATCCAATAATGTGTTTGTAAAGCTTTGAATTAACTGAAATTTCTGGATTTTCTGTACTGAAAAGACCATCTCCCCTTTTTTGCCCTGTGAATTCTTTCTCTGGTAAAGTGGGTGTGTTTGATGACAGTGTAATCAACAATATAGGAGGTAGGATATAGAATTTACATGGTAGTTTTGAAAAATATTTATGTCACTTTATTCCTACCAGAAGTAACCCATGTCTTTTACACAAGAACATCAAATTTGATGTAGAAAACAGGTGGCAAAAACAAGACAGTTAGGAGGATTCCAGGAGAACTCCAGGCACCTAAAAACTCGGGAACATTATCTTCCAGGGACCACAGTTGTGCCAAAATTAATATTTTAAGTATTCATTTCCCCTCAAATATGCCAAATGTCTAATATGATTTGCATGTGTGTGATATTAGCTACTTAAACTGCAATCTCAAAGGTATTATGTCAAGGACTGAGAGGAGGCTTTGTGGAGCATAATGGTGTCCAGTTTGTAAGACCTGCTATGGAGATGTCTTGCTTATGAATCTCCTATGCTGGAGGCCACTTTGGCCACATTCTATCAATCTAAATAAAAAGCTATGAAATGAGGACTGGCAGTATTCCGTAAAATATTCCAATCTTACCCAGCATTTATTTCAAAGTGGGTGCCTCTGAGCTCCTTTAAGCTATTCTCTCAGAAAGAACATTAATGGTGCTTTTTTGTACGCAACATATAGTATCTCTATATCAACTATGAAAATGATTCTACTGAGTACATCCATGGGTATGGAAATGACAAACTGTGATTTGATGTAATCTGTAATGAATGAGTAATAGAGTCAAATAACTAAGGGAAGGAATCTATTTTAGAATTCTCACTGTGATATACAACATGGTTGTTAGACAAATCATAGATAGAACGATCTCTTGGCTTAGAGTCCTTTCTATGTTTTATGGCTTGCTTGCGGGGAGAGGAGTTCTGGTTTCTACAACCTGCTGTGGGGGAGAAACGGGAAAAGGAGAAAGGAGAGTGGGAGAAAGTCAGGGAGAACTTTTTTTCTGAAGCCCTTCCAGCCTCCTTCAGTCCAAAGTACTCAGCAGGCAAGTGCTGTACTTTGGGGTATTGTGTTCTGAACCCCAATAAAGTTTGTTGGGAAGTACCCTTAGAATAAATACCTGTAGGGAGGTTAAGACAGTACCATTGGGCAGAGAACAGTGGAGCTGCACAATAAAACTCCAGATGATTCTAAATTGAGTTCTGGAACTAGACAGACCTTTAATACTTCCCCAACTTGAGGCAAGAGGGCTAGGCTCTTAATTAACCCCCTTGTCCATTAACAATTCCTTCAATGCTGGTATCTCTGTATTAGTTCAGGCTGCTATAAAAATTACTGTAGGGCTGGGTAGCTTAAATGAGAACTACTCCTTTCTGTCAGCTCTGGAGGCTGGAAGTTTGAGGTCAGCATGTCAGCATGGTCACTCTATAATAACATGACTCTCAAGCGTTTGCATTTCAATATGTTCACTTCAGTGGGAGGGAAGCAAGGAGGTTACATCTACAGAAATGGGGCACACACAGTATCAAAGCTTATTTTATCTGTGCTGTAGCCTGTAATAAACAACTTCTCATACTTGTGGTGATTGCAATTTATTCATGATATTTCAATTTTCCATAAAATACTTGTGAATTTCAGGGGAGTATACTGTGCACATGAACATCAGCCTTCCCTCTTATCACAGAATCCAAAAGCATGAAGCATGCTAGTACTTTGCTGTCACCCAGTAGTTTTAACATTCTATTTCAAGGCTTTCATGAAAGCATAAAAGATGTTTTACTTTTTCTTCCTACCTTTGCCCCCTCTTGATGGAAATGATTTCCTCAAGCAAGAAAAAAAAGGTTATGACAGCACCATGAGGAAGACACTATTCCAGGAGCTCAGTAATCTGGTCCTTTTCCATTTTCCCAAAGCAACACAGACAGAGAAAGGATAAAACAAAGTTGTGCTGTTTATTCCAAAACAAATAGTTGAAGGCAAACTTCTTAAAGGAAATGTAGTCTAGAAGGAAAATGAATTTAGAGAAAAGGAGAGCTTTGCTTGAAATGTGTGAGTTTTCTTTTTGGCCGAGCTTCAGCTGCTTCCTGGGTCAGTTGGCTAATGGCACATACCCCGTCTCTCTCTAAGTGGGCAATGACAATTCCAGTTAGTTTTTCTTCAACTGACTGTTTAGACAGAAGAAGAGAAGGAATGATGTAATTATAAATGTTTAAAGGCCTTATAAGCTTCTTTGCTTTTCCAAGAAAATAAACAAAGTTGAGAGTTCTCAAGTGGGATCCTTGAAATCAAGATTTACTTCCTGGCTTGGGGCTAACTTGCTATGGTTTATTGACATTTTTTCAGCTCTCTGAGCCTCGGTTTCTTTATCTAGAAAAGTAGACGGCTGGACTTGATGAGTTTTAATTTGCCTTTCAGGTTCTTTGACTCAAGAGAGGCTGTGTTGAGTACTGGGACCCTGAGCTCAGCCCTGCCTAGGCTCAAATCCAAAAGTACCACGTCCAGCTGTGTAACCCTGGGCAAGTCATTTCCCCTCCATGTCCAGTGTCTTTAATATATGGTACTACTAGTACTCACCTTATGGATGTATTGTATTAAATATGTTAATATGTAAATAAGGTAATCAGTTCATAGCCTATAATAAGTATTTAATTTTTGTATTATTAACTTGTAATGTATAAAGAACATTGTAATACCTTAGATTTGTTTCAGCCTTGGATCAGATCAGGTGTTTCTTTCACTACAATGTAAAATGTCAATATATTTTATCCTTGGTCCTGTGTATTCAAATTGTGAAAAGAAAATTCACCAAAAGTGAAATTTTTATTTATTTGTTTATTTTTTTGAGACAGGGTCTCCCTTCATCACCCAGGTTGGAATGTAGTGGCATAATCAGAGTTCACTGCAGTCTCGAACTCCCTGCCTCAAGAAATCTTCCTGCCTCAGTACCAACCCCAACCCACACCCCAGGTAGCTGGGACTACAGGTGCACGTTACCATACCTAGCTAATTTTTTGTATTTTTAGTAGAGATGGAGTTTCGCCATTTTGCCCAGGCTGGTCTTAAACTCCTGGGTTCAAGCAATCTGCCCGCCTTGGCCTCTCAAAGTGCCACCTACACATTCTCTAAGGAGTCTGCATACAATTTCCAAAATAAGTTAACCTGTGGATTTCCCAATCTCCCTCCTGTGCCACATTCTAGTTCCTCTTTAAAGGTTAATGACTTAGGAAATTACTTTTCTTAACTTACTTTTTCTAAGAAATTGTCTATTTCTTTTTGAATCATTCCAAATATATTAATCAATTGGTATAGGCTACTAGATTACTTGTAAAATACTGATACACATTTTTAAAGTAATTATTTTGTTACCAAAAAAGATGGATAATAGTGAAAAATTACCAGAAATGTCTAACATTCCTGGATTATAGCCTTTAACTGTAACAGACCCAACATATATAGAAATCATATTACTGGAAGGATTGCACAACCTACAGTAGCCAATTGTTAGCAGGGCTGCCAGAAAGCAATGTGTTCCATTCTGAAATTACATGCTTATGGTTCATGTTGTTTTATTTGTTCTAAAGGTTAAACTTGTTGCTGGCCTTAAAATGTCATGTGTAATTCTTTGAAAATCATATTTTAAAATGCTGAATTTAGGATTGTATTTCCATATAACTTACCAGTGGAAAAAGAAAGACATTCTTTATAGTCTGTTCTTTAGTGAGAAAGGATCATTTAGAAACAATAGCATCTACTTTTCTGAAACAAGGGAGTTATTTCCAACCTGGGGCTCATATGTTTGAGAATAAGCCAAAAATTTAATGGTTTTTCATAGAGCCAATAACCATTTGAAGTGCAGTCTAAAAACCAAAGGACAAGAGAATGGAGTAAAAGAGAACTTCTGCAATTGACTTTAACTGGAGAGAAAAAAAATAGGGTGCCCAAACTGTGGCCTTTTAAGAGTTATTTCAAACCTACCCAAACAAATGTTTTTGAGCTAACATGTAAAAACTTGTTGAATTCTGAATTTATCCAAACAGCCCTCTGGGCTGAAACAAATGGGTAAACTCGTTTCAACTCGTCCTTCTTGTGAGCATTTCTGAAAACATACCTCCCAAACTAATGATATATCTTAGCAAGCAACATCCTTCCCTTTTCTGACACTATTAAGTTATTATAGGCTAAGTACGTACTCTCTGAATTAATAATATGCTATTTTCAAAGTCAACAGTCTTGTTAATTTGCATAAGTTTCTGTTTTTCCTTGGAATAAACATATTCTGGACGTTTCCCAGCACTCTCTTGCAAACATATCTCCTTCTAATTATCCTTACTATAGAATTGGTGGTTTAGCAGACTAGATGCAAGGAAAAGAAAGCTGCTATTATTCCAGGGGTGGGGTGGTGGGGGAACTATTGGAGCTTGCCTTCAGATATTTCTGCTTTTGTGAATACTAATATTCAGCTGAACCACAGCTCATTTGTTTTTCCTCCCCCTGGAAAATTGGGAATTACAATATTTTATATCAAGACTATATAAGCCACACCATTACAATATAGAATTATAGAATACTAATGCTTGAAAAAGCTTCTCATACTCTAGTTCATGTATCTGATTTTATAGGCAAGAAAACTGTATTATAAATGACTAAACATTTTATAGCTTAATAAAGAGCAAGATCAGAAATTTGGGTCTCTTGACTTTCTCTCCTATCGTCTTTCAATATGTCATTTGGCCACTAATGCCTTGATATTTATTATATAGTTTAATTATATGTAATATCTAATTATGTCCCTCTTTTTTCCAGGTAAAACAAATACCCTATGTTTTAATATGATTAATCTATTAGCTATGGTGATTCAGTTTTTCTAACAAACAGGATTACTACAGGGGTATTTTTTGACATATTTTACTCTTTTAACTTAAATGTGACTCTACCAATTGGTACTATGATCTGGCAGTTCAAATATCAATGAAAGATTAACATCATTTTGGACAACTTTTAGTTTTGGAATTTGATCAAATGGAATCCTGTTTGGGGAGATGAATACAGTAAAGCAGTCTGCAGTGACCTCTGAATTAATCAAAATGGAGGGGTCATGTAGATAATAAAACAGAGGTCCACATGTAGATCAGAAACAGAAAACATGCACCAAAAGAATAAGGCAAACAAAATGAAAGTGGTACTTTTCTCACTTTTTTTCTTCCTGGGAGCAAGATGCTGATCAGTCCCCAGAACTCTGTGTCCATCCTTGCCTCTTTTCCAAATGTCATGGCACCTATTTCCAATAAACATCATCTGGTCATTTACAGGCATATCCCCAACCCCAAATACAGAAATATTCCTCCAGGAACGACTCAAGAAACCGTCAGGAACTTTATAGATCAGCTCCTCCCCTGTGTTGAAGGCAAAAATAGCTATGGCCTCTTAATGAAACACTTGGATGGTGAAGTCAGGGGACCGGAGCTTGGATAGGGGAAGGAGGGAATCTGTCATACATCTCTTCTCTTATAACCAGTTCAAACTTGGAACCTCTTGTGGCCACATCTGTGCCTGATACTTTAACATGTGGAATTGAGGGGAGCCCTGTCTTCCTCTCCAGACATGCATCTGAGACCTGCTTTCCTCCATGGTAATACAGACGGGAGACAGGGAAATACCCGATGGAAGCGGGTGGTTCCCTGGCAAAGACCCCACCCTCAAGCGTGGATACCCACGGTCCTAAGTGAGAATAGGCATTCCTGTTTTTGCACCCCGAAAGTTGCCTTTTGGCCTGCCACATCCCCTATCCTGTACCCATATAAACCCTGAACACCAGGCTCCAGAAGGAGACAAAAGCAGATGAGCAGACAAGGAGACAAATGGCAGAATGGCACAGCAGAGAAAGAGACAAGAGGAGGAACGTCTGAACGCCAAGAGGAGTCAGGCTGGGGGCAGTCAGAGAGGAGTTCAGGCACTGGACAGCCAAAACTCCAGAAGAAGATCATCTTTCCACTCCATCCCACTTCCAGCTCCCCATTCGTCCTGCTGAGAGCCACCTCCACCACTCACTAAAACCCTGCATTCATCCTTCAAGTCCCTGTGTGACCTGATTCTTCTTGGACACGGGGTAAGAGCTTGGGATACAGAAAGCTGCCATACTGGCCCTCTGCCCTTGTGAAAAGGCAGAGAGTCCATTGAGCTGGTTAACACTTAAGCCATCTGCAACAGCAAGGCTAAAAGAGCACACTGTAACATGCGCCCACTTGGGCTTTGGGAGTTGCAGACACCCACCCCTAGATGCTGCTGTGGGGCCGGAGCCCAAAAGTGCTTGCCCTGGCTCCTGCACCTGCCCACCTGCATGCTCCCCCTCCCATCAGGGCTTTGAGCAGTGGCAGCAACCGAATAGGCAAGCCACAACCCTGTTGCACATACTACAAGGACAACCAGGGAACTCTCCTATTTCAATGGCCCTTTCTCAACATCCTACCCATGAGTCCAATCCTCCTTGCTCTGAATTGCATGAGAGACTTTAACATTTATGATGGATTCTGCCCTTTTGCACTCTTGTAGCATGACTCCTACCTGTTGTAATATTGAACCAGAGTGGCCATTTATTTGTTTGAAATTGAGTTCTACCTTCCAAACTCCCCTTAATACCCCTGTATTCATGTCCACGTTTACACCAAACCCCTCCTCACTCTACTATCTTTCACACTCAGCACAATGTGGAGCCAGTGTGTAAACACTTGGTGAGAGTCTGGGGGTGGAAAACTGGCTTTGCTTTAAACTTACCCAGATGTGGTTTAGACATTCACAGATTAAGACTGTTCCTTGTTTGAGATCATTACCTCCCCTGGAAAAACTGGCTATTATCCAAAAGTCTACCTTTATTACCTGTCAAGAGCCATCCAATCTCTTTGGACCAGTGGTCTTCAAAATAAAGTGCAAGCATCACAGTGGATGGCCAAGATGACCTATTGGGCCAGATGTAAAAAGAAATATAACAACTGACATTAACGTCTATTTTTATCTTACTTTTTATTGTCAACTTTTGCAAATACTGAAATATATATATATATATATATATATAAAATGCTACTATAGTACTTTTTATAATATATAAATAAATAGCGTATATTAGGGGTGAAGGCAAAAATCATTTTTACTGATAGAGGTGCACGACCAAAACCTTTGTATATTACAACCTTTTTCTACTACGTGGAACAAGCACTGTCTGACCCAAAGTAAATAATCTATAAATTATTTTTGAGCGATTAGTCAGGTAATGGTTAAACAAAGCAGATGAAACTACTGTTATATACTATGGTACACTCTTAAAGTCTACCTTAATACTACCTCATTTACCCCCAATTCAGTTTTTGGTATCATCCATTCATACGAGTGTCCAGGAAAGAGAAAATTTGTCATCAAAAGTGAGGGCTATGTCAGTAGACGGACATTTCATGGGATTGTAAAGTGTCATGGATAAAACTAATGAAAAAGTCCAATTTGATGAGCAATGGTATCAACTGTGAGCCTCAGAATGTGTTTTCCTTGATCCCATGGGCTTTGATTTTCTTATCTTAGAATTACTGAGAAATCCAATATTCCAGCACTCAGTCAAACTAGCTATACTTTGTTGGTTAAAAAAAATATATATATATATATTGCATATATATATGTGTGTGTATGTCTGTGTGTATGCATGTGTATATATATATATATATGTATGTATAAGCAGAATAGCTTATTTCTGTTCTGGGGATCTAAGGTACAGTAGTAGCAAACGACACTGTATTGTCTACTTGAAATTTGCTAACAGAGTAGATCTTGAATATTCTTACCACAAACACACACACAAAAGTTAACTATGTGAGGTGATGGGTATGTTAACTAACTTGATTGTGGTAATAATTTTACAATATATACATATATCAAATAAAAAAGAATAGCATATTTTTGCCATGATATTTTGGAATATTCAGCTTGATTTAGAAACATTCAAACATATTCAGGGGTAAGCCATAAAAAATTCTGAGTCCAGAGTTTAAAAGAAGTTTAAAGTGACGAGTCATTGTCCAGTGTAGCTGTAGGTTAGAGTGTTTGAAATTGTCTTATATATTTCTATACCCAATGCAGGCTATACTCACGGGACTTACATATTTAAGTGACATGGTTATTAATAATTTATTCCAAGCCAAAGGTAATTAATGTAAAATAATTAGGAATTTGGCTGTGGCCTTTGTGTTTCAAACACAAGGTCTATGGGCCCAAGTGAGTGAATGCTGCATAACCAGCCAAATCTCTTTAAGTCAACATTGCTTTCTTTTCACCATTTTGATCAGAGTAATTAATTTTATTATGAGAAGCAATCATCCAATAAGAGATAAAATTTTAATGATAGGTATTAATAGAAAAATTTGGAGAAAAACAAGTTTCTGTGGGAATATTCTTGATATGAGGATTTGGGAACTCTTGTGGGTCTCTGGAAAATACCTCACTTTTTTCAACAGTGATATATCCACATATGGAGTGCCTACTATGTGTTAGGCTTTGTACTAGGAGCTTTAATTGATTTTTCTCATTAAATTCTGACAATAATTGAATGGGATTGGGAACTGAGATTTTGTGAGATTAAGGGCTTGCTCAATGTCACAAAGCTTGGAAGTGGTGAGACCAGATTGTGAAGGTTAGTTCATCTGACCCCAAAACCCCTGCCCTTCCTTGTCCTGCTAGGATATAGCATATGGCCTTTGTGCAGCCAGTCGGATGCCCTGCCAGGACTTCACATCTTCAAAGACAGACAAAAATGGATGGGATTAGAGATTACTCACAATGGTTTCAAATTAATTCATTTTCCAAGGGAAATAAAACTCCCAGTGGCATCCTCAAATAGACCAGTTTTGTGGCAGGTGTTTGCCTGTATCTGCCACTTTTGGGTCCAGGCAGTCCTGGCCCTATACCCTTCCCACTGACATCCTTCCAAAAAAATCCCTTAGCCAAAATTGGTTTCTGTTGCTTGCAACAAAAACCATGATTATTATATACCAGAATGGACATCCGTGGCAAAAATGATGCTGGGGAGATATAAAAATAAAACTTTCACTGAGAAATATTTGGGGTAATGGGTGAAGACTGAATCATGTGTCCCAAAGTACTATTTGAACAAAGGTCATCCAGGCCCTACATGGTGGAAAGGAAGTGGGCACTTTAGAGCCCTGCCAAACGTCCCACTGAAACTAAGGAAATAGAGACTATCTAACATATGTATCCAAGAAGTCTATACCAATGATATTGATGTGGGAAGCACAGGCACCCCTTCCCTCGGTGGCCCAGTGACTCATTTAGGCTCATCACTGGTAGCTCAGTCAATGCCTTACCAGACTCTTCCATATTGTATCTGTGTATGGGGATAGTCCCAAGCTCCCCTGTATGATTGAAATCTACACAGATCTAAAGAGATGGAGACTGATACAGGCCCAAGGTTAATCCTGCTACTTTCTCAGCACCATTCATGCCATGCTCCAGTGAAGACCGTCTTGGGAAATTACCATAGTCACATTGACTCTGTAGAAATCCATAACTCAGATCTCCAAAATAAGAACACACAACTGAATTCTATAATTAATTCACATTGTGGCAGTTTGTGAATGATAAGTTATAAACTCAATATAGAGTACAGTAGTCCTGCTGTTCCCAGAATGTTAATTTCCATGGCTCAATCCCTATAGCAACCTTTCCATTTGCCGAATGCTTGTATTCCTCACAACCAAGCCTTGCTTGGCAATGTAAAACTTTGTAAGCCAGAATTTCATTTGACCCTCAGAATAACTCTGTAGGGTAAAAATGATTCTCATTTGAAGATCAGGAAACTGGGGCTCAGGGTGACTAAGTGTCTTCTTCAACAACACACAGCTAGTAAATGGCAGCTCAAGGAAAGAAATTTACCATAAGAGCTTAGTGATATTGTTAGAGGATGTTTGTTTCTTTGTAATCTGTATATTATGAATATTGTCTTTTTAAAGCAAGTCTAGGGCATTATTTTGGTAGGCAGGGCATTAGTATTTTCCACTGACTAAAATATCTCTCTGACTGAGGACTGAAAGGCACTGCTTTGTGTTAAGCATGTTTTCTTTCTCTGCCAACTTTCTTTTAAAATGCATATGCCTCTGGAAGGATAACACATTGCATCAATGATTTTTATGCTAATACTCTTTTCAATATCTGATTAGTCAGTAACAATGACAACAACAAAGCAAAGGTTTTAAAAATGCTTAAAGGGTAAAAGGGAAAGGAAGAAATTAGAAGACAAGCATGTGCTGTTCGCAACTTCCTGGATCACAAGGGGCTTCTTCACCCTCCATTTCCTTCCCTAAGAGTTCCCAGAGCCCAGGCTCAGTTTCATGCCCAGAAACAGCAACAGAGATGCTAGGGCCCAACCGGTTTCAGAACTCACTGCCTCCCATAAAACTATGTCTCTTAATTCTGATGCAGATAATAACAAAGGCAGATGACCAAGCCAACAAACATTTTCCCCATGCCGCCTTCCTTATATTAGTTGAATAAATGTAAGCATATTAGGTTCGTTGCCTGATGCACACAGCAAGTCACAAAGCCGAGACACCAGGTTGCAGCAGAGAAAAATGTTTAATCGTAGGGTCACTGAAAGAGGAGATAAGAGAAAACCTCAAATCCATGTCCCTGAGGAGTTTAGGGGTAGGGTTTTTAAGGGTTTTGGAGTGGACTAAAGTGTGGAGACCCTTGATTGGTCACAGAGCGCAAGGTGAAGTCACTTTCCTGAAGACAGGAAAATGAAGAAGCTGTATTTTCATGCTGATCCTGTTCCTCTGTGAGGGTCTTCAAACTGGTTGTTGGAATTCAGGATCTGAAAAACATCTCATGCAACTCTTAAACAAACTGTCACAGATCCTGTCTATAGGAACCATGGGAATGCAAATCAATTCTTAAACAGCCTTAAAATCCTAATGTCAGAAATCCTATCAATAGAAATAATGGAGATGCAAATGGTCAGTATCTAGTGCTGCCTGACTTTTAGCAACAAGGAAGTGGGCCAAAGTGCAGCCTAATTAATCTTTAATTATAACTATATTTCTGATCAGTATCTGGCATGCAATTCTTGTCAACCCTGTAAGGATGGTTTCCTAAAGGTATGGAGTGGTCCATCCATCATGTGAACCCTCCACAGACCCTGAAACTACCGTGGAAGATCAGATGAAGCTGATTCACATGCATTAGCCTCAGAAAATTCTACCAGGACACAATTCACCCTCTACAAAACAATGATGTATGGAGCCTACACAAGTCCTTATTCTTTACAAAGCTGAAACCTGAGAGGTAAAGCTACTTTCACTGAGCTCTGAAACATTTCAGACTCACTTAGTGGAACCCTAAAACATCAGTTACTCTGAGTCCACTGAATATTTTAAGTATTCAAATGCATCCTCCCTCTAAGCAACGCATAATAGACATTCATTATAATGTTTTTTGCATGTTAGTAAGATAGCTTTTCTGAGATAGAGGTTTCTGGTAGTAGTTTATTAAAATATTAGATATTAGACCACCTTGTAATTCTTACAGATTTGTTTATATTTTCCCTTTGTCCTCTGTATTAAAAGGAATAAAGGTTTTGAAGGTTTTTCCCTAAAAATAGAAATAATTTATTTAAAGAAAAAATAATTTAGACCTTGGTTGAAATTATTAGGCAATAAGAATTATATTTAACAATGTATTTTCAATTAATTTTTAATTAATCCAGATAAAATTATGAGAAGGGTATATTTGCCAAATATAAAAATGAATGATAACAGTATAAAGACAATTAGTCAAACAGACTGAGAAGCCAAAAATGAAATTACATCTAATACTTTTGTTAATGCAAAAGAACAAATGGTATCATATTTGGAAGGTTTTCTTTTGTAAAATTGCTTAATCAAGAGCCTGAGGCTTCAGTACTGTTGGACAGTAAAGTTAGACTGCTCCCCTCCCTAACATCCATTTGTATCGTAGCTTAGATCTTTAGCTAATTCTGTTAAATATTGATTTTCAACCACTGATTTACACAGGAGACCTGGAAGTGAAGCTATTTTTAATACTCTCCTTTCATTCCTCCAGGAGTCAGGCCATGGCTCAAGGACTCCATGGAGATATACATGTGTAGAAATACATGTCCAGTGGAATAGTTGTTGGATGGAAGTGAGATTTCAGGAAAATAGTAATGGACTCCTAAGAAGGAGCACACATTACGGGGTAAGGAGTAGGGACCAATGAATTAAAAATAGCCCTCCAGGATGAGGAAGGTAGAGGAGTATAGGCTCTGAGCCTACCATGTGGCTTAAAGAGAACCCCATAATTCTGTCACCCTGGAGTATCAGATGTGCCTTTGGAAAAAAAGGTGTGTGTGCGTGTGTGTGTGCACACACGCATGATCTGGAGAGCAGTGTCACTAAAAAACTATAGCTGTCTGCACTCTAGACAGGTTCACTGTGGGACACAACTTAATAAACAGACAGAAGTAACAAACAGCCTTTTATTTTGTCAAAACTGAATGAGCAAAGTATTGGAATATCTCTTATAAAATTTGCATTGCAATGGCAATGGCAGGAAATAACCCAAGACGCAAGAACCACTCCACAGAGCTGTCAGTAAAAGGCAGCATTGGCTCTTGCCAGCAGAAGAAGAGAGGATTTTGATGCTACAACCAGGGTTAACAAGTTTTGGCCACTTAAGGTTCTGGCACCTCCATGTGGCTTTCAGAAAGGTCAGTGTTGTTGCAGCTCAGTCTTTGACTACAGTTCAGCTTCTACTTTGGCTGTAGAGAAAATGCAGAGAATTATTATGTAGGCACCAATCTCAAGCCCTGGAGGTTTTGAAAAAATTGGAGGAGAAAACTTCCAGAAAGAACTGGAGATCAAATTTGTAAAGCAGATGAGGATTTTGGACCATCATTATTTCAACATACATGTAAATGTGGCCTTATTTATACATACTTTCTTTAAGGCTTATTACATGGTAGGTAATCACTAATCTGGTTTTCTAATTTGTCCCACTTCCCTACTACAAGGAAGGTCAAAAGAGTGAATGATACAGCTCAGACGTACAAATCCTATATTATTCAAATGGGTGTTTTTATGTACATATATATGCTGAACATTTCTCCATTCGTTGCAATGTTTCTAGGGACAGGCTATAGCTCCTATTGATAGTTCTTTGAGACCAGAATATTTATTCATATGACTCAATATACGTCAATACCTTTTTATATTTTTTGGATCATTAGAGCCTTTTAAAAAGGTTATGAAAGATACAGATATTCTCCCTAGAAAAAGGCACATGTGTACATAACTTTAGGGTATCCCCATTTATAATCCCCTTTGACATTTATCCTCCAATATCTCTTTCATACCTACAATCTCTCATTGGAGTCCTCCAAAAATCTTCCTGGCATCCAGCCTCCCCAGCTTTCCTGCTTCTTTCACCCTAACCTCACCCTTCTCACACAGCAGGAACTTTCTCTGGCTTATTATTCACACTCTTCTGGACTTGACATTTCACCTGGATTCTCCACAACAAAGGAGAGCCCAGCAATGTTGACTTAGCTCTCAAGAATCCTTTTTTTCCTTCAATCTGTTCAGCCTTGTTTTTCTCTTTATGTTTGTTTGATTCCATATTCTAAGATTAGGTACAAGGCTGAAAAAGAAAAACCTCTCTTGGGAGAGTAGCGGAAGAAAAGGAGCCAAGCAGGCAGATGCCTAACTACCTTATGGGAGTGAAGAAACATCAGGTGATGATGCATTTGTCCCCATCCTATTTTCATGCACATAAACCTTTAAAAACAAAGCTGAAGATGATGTCTCTTCTGGGGTTGTGAGAGGAGAGAAACAGGTGAGGAAGCCCTCACACCAAGATTGAGATTTTTTTTGAGTCTTTGATTTTCTCTAATTGACTGTTGAGCAAAAGATTAATTTTATTCAAGACAAAATGATTTGGAAAAATGTTCATAGCATCTCAAGTAATCATATCTATAGTTTGCCTTGAAACTCTAGAATGCTGCAAAGATACCTCCTAGACTCCTGGAATACAATCCATAAATATTTTTAAAAATCAATTGTGTAATAATTGCCATCTCGAAGGCAGGAATAAAACCAGAAAATGCTACACATTCCAGGTGGCCTGGATTGACATCCCATAGAGCAAACATTGAAGTCAAGCACAGTGTCCTTCTAACTATGGAGCAAGATATATTTTCTCCCTGTTTTCTTCTTCATGGAAACTATTTGACCGAGTTACTATTTCATAGGATCCTTTTCCCCTTAGAGATTTGTATTGCTGACTGTGCTATTTTACTTAATAATTGGGTGTCCATTAATTATTTATCCTTTCATTTAGCAAACACTTATTAAACATCTTTAGGCACAATGGAAGCATAAAAATCAACATGATTTGGACTCTGGAGGCAAAATAATCTAAAAGAAGTTATATCCAGTAAAAAGGCAATTATGTAAACCCCTAAGAGGTGTTCCTAACCCTGCCTTGGGGCATCAAGAAAGGCTTCTGGAAGAAGGAAGCCTTATACTAAACCAAGAGCTGTAGTATAATTAAGAGTTAGCTGAAGAGCTATAGGATAATTAGAAGTTAGTTGGAGAGCTATAGGATAATTAGGAGTTAGCTGGGTAAAGGTAAGAAGAGAGTGCCAGGCAGACTTCCTCACTAGAAGGATAAATTTGAAGCAGAGAATACTGGATGAGAAAGTTTAGCCTCAAATCCGGTTTGTAAAGCAAGATTATTCAGGATGGAGAGGAAAAAAGATGTGTATTAAATCAGGGTGCTTTAATTATGAGCTAACATTTGACCCCTTGAAATTAAAGCTTGTTATGGTCATAAAATTCTCCCAGTGTGTGGGAGAGATGATAGTGTCGAGTGGACATCCAGCACATCCTTGTTGAACTGATATAAGAAGGAATAAGGAACAGAGATTTATTTTCTGGGAAGTTGATTTCCAAACAGTTTTGGGTAGTATGCCGTAATTGGAAAGTTACCAACACTGGTACTTATAAAGCTTTAGAATTTTGCTTGAAATATTATAAATTCCATGATTCAAATTAAAAGTGTTAATTTAGACTCCAATGCTAAGGCGAAGTTACATCTAAATTATTGACAGCCTTAAATTATCCATTCTATTCTTTGAATTTCCTCCATTAGTGCATGTAATGACAGTCATCTATATGATTGATGATATGGTTTGGCTGTGTCCCCTCACAAATATCATCCTGAATTGTAGTTCCCATAATCCCAACATGTCATGGGAGGGATTCGGTTGGAGGTAATTGAATCTGGGGTGGCTACCTCCATGCTGTTCTTATGATAGTGAGTGAGTTTTCATGAGACCTAATGGTTTTATAAGGGGCTTTTCCCTCTTTGCTTGGCACTTCCCTCTCCTGCCACCACGTGAAAAAGGACATGTTTGCTTCCCTTTCCACCATAATTGTAATTTTTTTGAGCCACTCCCCCTCCCCCAGCCCTGCAGAACTGTCAATCAATTAAACCTCTTTCCTTTATAAATTACCCAATCTCAGGGAATTCCTTATAGCAGTGTGAGAACGAACTAATACAGTGATTTTGTATCAATGGTGTGGGGCGCTACTATAAAGATACCCAAAAATTAGAAGCAACTTTGGAACTGGATAACAGGCAGAGGTTGGAACAGTTTGGAGGGCTCAGAAGAAGACAGTCAATGTGGGAAAGTTTGGAACTTCCTAGAAACTTGGAGTGCTCAGAAGACAGGAAGATGTGGGAAAGTTTGGAACTTCCTAGAGACTTGATGAATGGTTTTGACAAAGAGGCTGATAGTGATATGGACAATGAAGTCCAGGTTGAGGTGAGTGCAGATGGAGATAAGAAACTTATTGGTAACTGGAATAAAGGTGACTCTTGCAATGCTTTAGCAAAGACCCTGGCAGCATTTTGTCCCTGCCTGAAAGATCTGTGGAAGTTTGAACTTGAGGGAGATGACTTAGGGTATCTGGCAGAAGAAATTTCTAAGTGTCAAAGTGTTCAAGAGGAAGCAGAGCATAGGAGTTTGAAAAATTTGCAGACTGACAATACAATGGAAAAGAAAAACCCATTTTCTGGAAAGAAATTCAAGCGGCTGCAGGAATTTGCATAAGTAATGAGGAGCCAAATATTAATCACCAAGACAAGGAGGAACATGTCTCCAGGACGTGTCAGAGACTTTCACAGCAGCCCCTCCCATCACAGGCATGGAGGCCTAGAAGGGAAAAATGCTTTAGTGGGCCCGGCCCAGGAAACCCCTGCTGTGTGCAACCTCAGGACTTGGTGCCTTGCACCCCAGCCACCCCAGCCATGACTAAAATGGGCCAAGGTACAGTTTAGACCATTGCTTCAGAAGGTGCAAGCCCACAGCCTTGGCAGCTTTCATGTGGTGTTGCTCCTGCAGGTGTGCAGAAGACAAGAATTGAAGTTTGGGAACCTCCGCCTAGATTTCAGAGGATGTATGGAAATGCCTGGAAGTTCAGGCAGAAGTTTGCTGCAGGGGTAGGGTCCTCATGGAGAACCTCTGCTAGGGCAGTGAGGAGGGAAGACATGTGTTTGAAGCCCCCACACAGAGCCTAGTGGAGCTGTGAGAAGAGGGTCACCATTCTCCAGACCCCAGAATGGTAGATCCACCGGCAGCTTGCACCATGAACCTGATAAAGCCACAGACATGCAATGCCAGCCTGTGAAAGTAGCCAGGAGGTGAGGGCTATACCCTGCAAAGCCACAGGAGTGGAGCTGCCCAAGGCCATAGGAGCCCATCTTTTGCATCAGCATGACCTGCATTTGAGACATGGAGTCAAAGGAGATTATTTTGAAACTTTAAGGTTTAATGACTGCCCTATTGGATTTCGGCCTTTCATGGAGCCTGTAGCCCCTTTGTTTCCACCAATTTCTCACATTTGGAATGAGTATATTTACCCAATGCCTGTGCCCCCATTGTATTCAGGAAGTAACTAACTTGCTTTTGATTTACAGGCTCACAGGTGGAAGGGACTTGCCTTGTCTCAGATGGGACTTTGAACTTGGACTTTTGGGTTAATGCTGGAATGAGCCAAGACTTTTGGGAACTGTTGGAAAGGCAAGATTGTATTTTGAAATGTGAGGATGTGAGATTTGGGAGGGCCCAGGGTGGAATCATGTGGTTTGGCTGTGTCCCCACCCAAATCTCATCTTGAATTGTAGTTCCCATAATCCCCATGTGTCGTGGGAGAGACTTGGTGGGAGGTAATTGAATCATGGGTGTGGTTACCCACATGCTGCTGTCATGATAGTGAGTGAGTTCTCACAAGATCTGATGGTTTCATAAGGGGCTTTTCCCCCTTTGCTTGGCACTTCTCTCTCCTGCTTTCACGTGAAGAAGGACATGTTTGCTTCCCCTTTGCCATGATTGTAAGTTTCCTGAGGCCTCCCAAGCCCTGTGGAACTGTGAGTCAATTAAACCTCTTTCCTTTATAAATTATCCAGTCTCAGGCAGTTCTTTATAGCATTGTGAGAACAGACTACTACAATTAAAAAGTATCGTGGAGACCAGGCACTGTGCCTCATGCCTGTAATCTCAGCACTTTGGGAGGCAGAGGTTGGGGGACTGCTTTACCTTGGAGTTGGAGACCACACTGGGCAACACAGTGAGACCCTGCCTCTATTATTTTTTTTAAAAAGTATCTTGAAGAAGAAATAGAACATTTTATTCCAAAAGTACTCCACATATCAACCATAATATCTTTCAGGATGATCATCAAGGGAATATTGCCCACTGAGGAAGTCAAAGTCCAGTACTCAGAACTCAACAGTTCTATAGGTAGTTTGCTGCTCAGCCTCAGAAAAATTATCTCCATCTTTTTTGGTGTTTTTTTTTTCTTTTGTTTGTCTGTCTGTTTTAAGAAAACCACCACTCTTTTCCAGAAATACATTTGTTCTAGTCAGTACTAGAATAATTTATAGTCCTCAGATTTACGTATATTCTACAATTGGAGTTTCTCTGCTATTGCATTATTTTTCAATGCTGGAATCATGATGGGAAGACTAAGATAGTATACAAGTTTATTAATTTGTTCTAAAACTGAGATCTTTCTAAGCAGGTATCATAATAAGTGCAAGGTTGTTGTTGGGTATTTCTTTTTTCCTACTTCTTAAAGTTAAAAAAAGTCACTTTGAAACATGTTTGTTAAGTAAAAGCCCCCAGAGAGTGAGAGTAATAATGAATGATGTTTCTGCACGCTCTCTAAAGATCCTGGATTATTTCACAGCTTCACAACTTGAAATGTAAAATGGGTCCAGACAAAATTCAGGCCTTGATTTTTTACATTATTGTGCCTGGCACAAAGTCTTCTGCCAATGGCTATGTTCTGACCTTACAGGCTCATTAAGGCAAGAGTATCTGTAGCCAACACTTTCGCTAAAGTAGAGCAGAGTATATGTCTAAACCCTTATATGAGGGCCCAGAGTATATAGCCTTCCACTTTCCTTAACCTCAGTGCCTTCATCTAGAAAAAGTTATAGAATTTTGGGGAAGCAAACTCAAATATAGGAAACTCATGCTGATTCTTTGTTCTGCAGCTTAACTACCATATATTTTTTAAAACATTATTTACCCTAAGTCTTATTGTCCCAGTTGTACTGATGGGGAAGCTAATACCTACATATGTAGGTATTACATTATCTCATTAAACCTATGTAAGGTTTACTGAGATTAAATTTAAAAAAAAATTTTTTTAAAGTATTTCATAAAATAGTCATATGCAGTTCTATCAGATAGTTCCCTTTGCCAAGGCTGGAATATGTAAATGTTTTCAAATGAACAATGGGAGGCTTGAAATTATTTAATTGGTCCTTTAGCTTTTCAAAACACGCATATTTTGTTTAATTATTTCATTGAACAAATATGCATTAACAGCGCATTTCTAATTTTTAATTGCCGGGGAGAATTTTAGGTTTTGGGAATATTGTGAGGCTCAAGCCACATGGGCGACATTATTGGTGATTGGATATGGCTCCTCAGAAACAGAGTGAGCCAAGCATCATCATGACAGCAAGGCACAAGGTATACATAAATCTTTCATTCATGTAAGCCTCTCAAACTATACATTAAACCCAAATTCCAAGTTAACTGATATACTAGAACTGTTATGCTGCTCCAAGAATGCTTTGTAGAGTAGCACTGTTCTGTAAAAATAACTTTGTCTTATATTAAAAAAAAAAAAAAGCCCTGAAAGATCCTGGAATGCCATTTCTTTCCAAAAGAGTAGCCATATTTGAATTTTCTTAGCAGCTTGCTGAGAGAGTGCAAAGCTAACAAGAATCAAAACAGACTCTTTACATAGTTTGTTTGGGTCTAGAGGAAATCTGTCCATGAGCTTTTGTGAAGGGGCCAACATGTCAGCATATGCCTGACTACAGTGAGTTTATCTTTCAATTGATTTAGTCCATTCTGGGGAATCGAGATGATGCAAGAGTATGGCACATAACCAAAAGCTTTCTCTTTTCATTGACAGAAGTGACAGAAATATCCTTACTCTTACAGATCACTTGATCAGAAATAATAGAGTCAGATACTCTATTGTTTAGATTACTATTACTGTTATTTTGTTCATATTTTAAGATGTTATTAACATATGATGTAATCTTTGTAACAGTAATGTTACAAAATCACTGGTGAAGAATGGGATGGACCCCATAATTCTGTTGTTCTGAAGTTTACATATAATTTCATGGAACATATGTCCTATTAATGGAGGCTTTGGATGACTAGAAATGCTCATAACTGAGCTGCAAAGGTGGTGGACATACTTTCTGAGGTGTGTCACAAAAAAAAAATTTCAAATTGGGTGTTCCAAGAAAGTTTTGTTCTCTATTCAAATTTTTTATTTCTTTGAAATCTAATGGTAAACATATAGAACAGGAGTATGAATTAAGGTTAACCTGAGATTAGGCAGCTGACTTGAGGACACCTTAGGCTTCTATTTCTTCATGTTCTTTTATAATTTCTCCAGGTTATTTTTGCAAACCAAAGACACAGAACTCTAGAGAACATGACAGCAGGTGTCAGAGGGGTTCAGCTCACATCTGACTAGAGCAGCCATGCCCAGCAGGCTTTTCCTCATATAGAAACATAAGTGAAACACCTCTGGGACCACAGAAACTTGTGGAGTTGGGGAAATGTGGAGAGTGCCAAGATCTCACAGAAGCAATAGAAGAATGTTGAGACACTGACTGAAATTCCAATGCAAGGTAGTATAAATCCCAATGCAATCTTATTCCTATCCACAGGCTGGTGAAACCTGATAGCATATGGTTATACATAGAGTCAACAAATATTACTTGAGAAGTTAATAATTAACGTGTTCAAAATATATGTGTGTGTGTGTGTGTGTGTGTGTCTGTGTATGTGTGTGTGTGTCAATTCTAGGAGATACTCATTTTAAAACGAGAGACTAGGGTCTAACCACTTGGCATATACTAATCTTGTTTCTAGTTGAGCTTCTACTGAATGATATTGAGTCTCTGAATAAAACATATAGAATACCTCAGTTTTTTTATTATTATTTTATTTAATTAATTAATTTATTTTCTTTTTAGAGACAGAGTCTTGACCTGTTGTCCAGGTTGGAGTGCAGTGGCATGATCATGGCTCACTGCAGCCTCGAACTCCAGGGCTCAAGCAATACTCCCACTTCAGCCTCCCAAGTAGCTGGGACTATAGGCTTGCCCCACCATACCCAGCTGATTTTTTTTTTTTTTTTGGTAGAGACAGGATTTCATTATGTGGCCAAAGCTGGGAAAGCCCCAGGTTTTAATTCTGGCTTTCTTAACCTTTCTTGGGTATGATTGTGTTTTTCCACTTATACTGGGTATATTCTTCAGCTATAGAATACAATAACTCGAGAAAATAGACACTGAAGGAAACTTGCGCACCTTCATTTTGAATACCAGGAAACAAAACGTATCCCAGGCCCATCACAATCAATATGGTTCCCTCTCCCTTTCTACCTTGTTGCTTCCAGCTGTTTGTCTTCAAGCAAATGCTATGTCTGATCATCAGGATTATTAAGGAAGTCAATTATCAATTAGCAAAACCTTAATTAACTGCTCTCCCTTTAGCACCTGGAAACTCTTGGCTCTCCACCATGTTCTTCTGCTCATTGCCCCCAAAAGTACTCTTCCCACATCTTCTTTATCCCTAAGTCACTCTTGCTATCAGCTTTGCCTGAGATGCAGCCTTCCCTGACCTCTTTGTGTTTCCTCCATCACATTATTCTAATGATCTTTTCTCTCCTTGATACTCAAGTAGAGTCTTGTGCCAAAGTTATGAGGTGGAAAGAAACATAACATGTTCCATACCTCTAGAAACTAAATGTAGCTGGTGTATGGCCATGCGGTTTTACTCAGGATGAATTAGAGAAATAGGGTTTAGTTAGATAACATCTTACAGTTCACCAGTTAAAAAAAAAAAAACTAAACTTTTATCCCAAGCACAATTCAATGTCGTTGTAAAATGAGAGGCATACACAATATATGCTGAACATTAATGAAGGAAAGAGACCATATGAGCTGTGTAAGGGAAGATTTCACAGAGAAAAGAGCCTTTAAGGACGGGTAGGATATGCATTGCCAAAAAAGAGGCAGAGATGTCATGGATATAAAAGTCATGTCTGGATGATGCTAAATCAGTAATTCTGGCTGGAATGATGTTTGGGGAGAGTAGTGAAGGATAGGAGTAAAAAGCCAGAGTGGAGCCATCCTATGAAAGTCTTTGAAGCTTGGACTGATGAATTTGTACTTGATCCTCAGAACCAGGCTTCTCCCATGCCTTTTACTTATTTGTCTCCCAGAATCAGCTTTGGGTCCTATTTGCTCTCCTTATCCATCTGCCTCATGGTGAAGAGGTGCATGCATCTGTTCTGAGATTCCTGTCAATTTCTCCATGAGGCAGATGGTCTATTTCTGATTCCAGACTTTGCCAGACCCCCCTGAGTTTTTCATCCTCTAGCCCCGGGGATTTATTGCCAGTGTAGCAACAGATACCATGTGGCAGATGAGTGTAAAGAATAAGTTTCAGTAGATGTATTCACCAAGGGGCCATTCCAGCTCATTAGCTCATGTCCTTTTTCAAAAGGTAGTGTCTTCTTACCAAAAGATGGAATGGCTAAGAGGAAGATTAATGCAATTTAAATTGGGATTAATGTAAATTATTTTATTGATTCTCCTTAGATTATTTTAATCACTTAGTTTTTCTCCCCTACAATGATTTTATTATTACATTCATCCATTTTGGATGGACCAAGAGACAAAGAAAGTTATTGGATGTGTCCATTTTTGAAACTGGCACCTATTACAGATCTAAATCAAGTATCATTAACATCAGACCCCAAATTTTCTAGTCTGTCTCTTCAGCAATAATCAAAGCAATGTGGGTCAGCCAGAGCTAGAATCTCCTCTTGTCTAGCTGCGTTATGAACTTTAACCAGATCTCACCTATACCAATATGATACATTGTGTCTTGCTAAGCTGTTCATCATCTAAACCAGCTATGATATTTCCTTAAGTTCCATAGCAAAAAACTGCTTTTGGGTCTCTAACCTACGATCACAAACTGTATACCAACAGTTGCTGGCCAAGGAGAACCAACCAAAACTGGGCTGAAATCAGTATAAATTAATTCTTTGCTTGAAAATATAAAATCCCTAAATCCTTTCCCTAGAGATGGTAAGCCAATGACAGTTCTATGTGCAGAAGAGTTGTAGATGTATTTAGTGCACAGAATTAGATTTTCTCCAGCTACAGGAAACCATATGACTTGACCACCAAGTATAATGTCAATGGTCACTTTTATTTTAAAGTCCACAGTTACTAAAAATCACTTAATTAGAATGCATTCAAACTTGGTCTCAAAAACACTGCTCTCATAGATGCGACAGGACAGATTTCTCTCCAGTTGGAATGGGATTTTTGCTGGTAACCAGGCACAGGAGTTTCAAGACTTGTAACAGAGTACTGAGAGTGAATGAATGATGTCCCTGATAATTTTTTTTTAGACAACCCCAAGCCTGGCCTTTCTTTCATTAATGGGTTCAGTTGGAAGGTAGACCTGGGAAAGGCAAGGGGAAAAGAAAGGAATGGGAGGAGAGGAGTATTCTACTTAGAAATAAAATCTATACTCATTTACAACTGAGAATGTCATCTTTCTTTGGTAAAGGATTAAAAAAATTCTCTTTTTAAAAGATTATAATATTTCCTCTTTTCAGAGTTCAATAAGATATCCACCAGTTTCTTCTAAAGCTTTTGAGACCTTGCTTCAAACACACCACTGAAGAACTAAGTATTCTTAAATATCATAATGCTATTTTTAAAACTAAGAAAAGTTTTTTATTTGAAGATTATTTTTTTAAAAGCAGAATAAAAACTTGGCCTAGAGTCCTGAAAATTTACTTTTTATAATACTCAACTCCCAGAGCAGATCTTCATCTCATTTCACATTCAATATTAGAATCTCACCATTTCCATTTAAGCAAGATTTAATAAAATGCATGCTGATTTTACAGTTAAAATAGTGGGAAAAAAATAGTTGAAACAGCGGCAGAGTTCCCCCTTTTGTCATTTTCATTCTTCCTTAAAAAGGAATCAGGCAGAGAATCCACACATGGGTGTACACATGTACACACACACACACAAACATTTTCCTTTTGAGTCCCTGACGCTCATGGTCTAAGGAAATTTATTTAACATTTTACATAGCTCAAGAGGTATCTCTTCTCAGTGTTTGAATTCTACTGAGGAGAACATAAGAATGCTTTTTTTTTTTTTAAAAAAAAAATAGATTTAGGGAGTACAAGTGCAATTTTCTTACACAGGTATATTGTTTAGTGGTGAAGTCTGGGCTTTTAGTGTATCCATCCTCTTAACAGCAAACACTGTACCCAAGATGTATTTTTTTAATTCTTGTCTCCCTCTCATCTTCCCACCTTTTGGAGTCTTCAGTGTCTAATTTTTCCCCCTTGTATGTTCATGTGCACCCATTATTTAGCTCCTACTTATAAGTGACAACATACATTATTTGGCTGTCTGTTTCTGGGTTATTTCACCTAAAATAATCGCCTCCAGTTCTGTTGCTGTAAAGGACATGATTTTATCCTTTTCTATGGTGGAGTGCTATAGATAGATAGATAGATAGATAGATAGATAGATAGATAGATAGACAGACAGACAGACAGATAGATAGATAGTGTGTATATATATATATATATATACACACATATATAAGTATATATAAGTATACTTATATATATGTATATATATTCTTTTCTATGGCTGAGTGTATATATATAAATATGACTTTGCTATTGTGAATAGTGCTGTGATAAACATAAAAGTGCAGGTACTTTTCTATATAATGATTTCTTTTTTTTTCTTTTCATTTTTTTTTTTTTTGAGATGTCACCCAGGCTGGAGTTCAGTGGCATGATCTCGGCTGACTGCAACCTCCGCCTTCCAGGTTCAAGCGATTATCCTGCCTCAGCCTCCTGAGTAGCTGGAATTACAGGCTCCTGCCACCATACCTGGCAAATTTTTGTATTTTTAGTACAGATAGGGTTTCATCATGTTGACCAGGCTGATCTTGAACTCCTGACATCAAGTAATTTGCCTGCCACGGCCTCCCAAAGTGCTGGGATTACAGGCATGAGCCACCGTGCCTCGCCAACATAATGATTTCTTTTTGGGATCCAAAAGAATACCAGTAGTGGGATTGCTGGATCAAATAGTGATTCTATTTTTAGTTGTTTGAGAAATCTCCATACTGTTTTCCATAGAGGTTGTACTAATTTACATTCCCACCAACAACATATAAGCATTCCCTTCTCTCCACATCCTTGCTAACATCTGTTGTTTTTTGACTTTTTTGTAACAGACATTCTGACTGGTGTAAGATGGTACCTCATTGTAGTTTTAATTTGCATTTCTCTGATTTTGAGCATGTTTTCATATTTTTGTTGGCCGCTTATATGCCTTCTTTTGAAAAATGTCTATTCATGTTTTTTTGTCCACTTTTTAATTGGATTATTTGGTTGTTGTTATTGTTAAGCTAATTGAGTTTCTTATAAGTTCTGGATATTAGCTCTTGTCAGATGCATAGTTCACAAATATTTTCTCCCATTCTGTAGGTTTTCTATTTACTCTGTTGATTGTTTATTTTGCTGTGCAGAATCTTTTTAATTAAATCCTATTTATCTATTTTTGTTTTTGTTGTAATTGTTTTTGAGAATTAGTCATAAATTCTTTGCCTAGACCAACACCCAGAAGAGTTTTTTCTAGGTTTTCTTCTAGGCTTTTTTTAAATTTCAGGTCTTCCCTTTAAGTTTTTAATTAACCTTTAGTTAACTTTTGTATATAGTGAGAGATAGGGGTCCAGTTTAATTCTTCTGCCTATGGCTATCCAATTTTCCCACACCATTTACTAAAGAGGGTGTCCTTTCTCCAGTGTATGTTTTTGTTAACTTTATTAAAGATCACTTGGCTGTAGATATGTGGCTTTATTTGTGGGTTCTCTATTGTGTTCATTGATCTGTGTGTCAGTTTTCACACCAGTACCATGCTGTTTTGGTTACTGTAGCCTTGTAGTATAATATGAAGTCAGGTAATGTGATGCCTCTAGCTTTTTCTTTTTGCTTAGAATTACTTTGGCTATTTGAGCTCTTTTTTGGTTCCATATGAACATTAGAATTGTTTTTTTTTCTAATTCTGTGGAGACTGACATTGGTAATTTGATAGGACTTTCATTGAATCTCTAGATTGCTTTGGCAGTATGGTCATTTTAACAATATTCATTCTTCAATTCATTAGCATGGGATGTTTTTTCATTTGTGTTCATCATCTATGATTTCTTTCAGCAGTTTTGTAGTTTTCCTTGTAGAGATCTTTCACCGCCTTAGTTAAATGTGTTACTAGTTATTTTATTTTATATTTGTAGCTATTGTAAATGGGATTGAGTTCTTGATTTGGGTCTTGCTTGATTGTTATTAGTATATAGAAATGCTATCAATTTTTGTACATTGATTTTGTATTCTGAAATTTTACTGAAGTCATTTATCAAATCTAGGACACTTTAGGGCTTATCCATGTATAAGATCATATCACTAGTGAACAGAGATAATTTGACTTACTCTTTTCCTGTGTGGAGGCCTTTTATTTCTTTCTCTTGCCTGAGTGCTCTAAGTAGGACTTCCAGTACTATGTTGAATAGGAGTGGTGAAAATGAATATCTTCATTTTGTTCCAATTCTTAAAGGGAATGCTTTGAACTCTTCTCCATTCAGTATAATGTTTGCTGTGGGCCTGTCATATATGACTTTTATTATGTTGAAGCATGTTCTTTGTATGCTCAGTTTGTTGAGGGATTTTATCATAAAGGAATGCTGAATTTTATTTAATGCTTTTTTGTGTGTCTTTTAAAATGACCATATGGATTTTGTGTTTAATTCTGCTTATGTGATGAATAACATTTATTGACTTGCATATGGTGAACCATTCTTGCATCCCTGGAATAAAATCCACTTTATCATGGTATATTATCTTTTTGATGTGCTGTTGAATTCAGTCTGGTAGTATTTTTTTTTTTTGAGGATTTCTGCATCTATGTTTATCCAGGATATTGGCCTGTAGTTTTCTTTTTTTGTTATGTCTTTGCCTAGCTTTGGTATCAGGGTGATACTGGCTTCATAGAGTGAGTAAGGGAGGATTCTCTCCTCCTTAATTTTCTGGAACAGTTTCAGTAAGATTGGTACCAATTAGAAGACAGAATTTAAAGGACAAGAAAGGAGACACAAAACTACAGAAAGCTAAATTAATAAACACTAGCCTAGAGATATACATGTAACTATAGTGCTTTGAATGAAAATGGTAGCCTTAATTTTAGTCCCTTAGCTTAGCCAAGTATCTTGGTCATCCAAGACGTGGCAAAATGTCTCCCAGAAATATTTCTAACTAGTTCATCAATCAGGACAGTATTATCAGTGTCTAGACAAGACCTCTCCAGAGACTGAAATGAGGCTTTTTCTTACCAGAAGCAGAGAAATTTCTGTCTCACCTTTGCCAAACTCTAGTCTCTCTCCCTGCTGTATGTCTTTCAAGTTAGGCTTCAATCAGAATGTTTGAGAAGTGGATTCCAGTTTGATTTTGAAGTCTTGTTTGTTTTTCTGTTTTGTTTTGTGAGAGTGAATATAAAGGCAGTAAATTGGTTTAATATTTCCTGTCCCCGGCAAAACAAGAAGCCCAGTGGGAAGAGTGGGCTGAGGCCAGCATGAACTACCACAAAAATCTGTTCTAGATTTAATCTCAATGTTTATGGGTCCAGGAAATATTCAAAGTGAAGACACCTTGGGTTCTTTGGCAACTAATGTCTAAAGTAGTTTATAATGCTGTTCTTTTATGATATCTTGCATTGAGTACTGAAAGCCAGAGTATTATGGCCTCCAATAAGCAAAACTAGCAGAAAAAAAATGTCCTTGCTCTTGTCATCATACATTTTTAGAACTAAGCAGCTGAATTTATTTTCTAATGAAAAAATCTGTAAGTTTTAATTGTGCTGTGAGGAAAAAAACCCATTTGCAACTGAATACAATTACAACTCATTTGTGATTAAGATTCAGTATTTAATATTGATGGGTTGGAATTGTTTTCTTATTGCTGTCTATGGAGAATTCAATATGAACAATACGTTGAACACAAAATACACAAATGCCCATTTTTTTTACCCTATAAATATTGGATTGGATTTATATCATAAACATAAAAGAATCATTTGTTAAGAGTATTTTAAATAAAAACATGAATATGCATAAATGAAAAGTATCAGAGTTCCCATCTAATGAAATTTCGTAAGAAACATTACACAGCATTCAACATAGAGACTAAAAATGAAAATTAGAGTTACCTTCAGATACTAAACCACTCCAATTTCCAAACATCCTCTTGGCAAAACATTTAAAGAAAGATAATTTTCTATGTGATTTGTTTACAATTGAGCTTGACAACAGATGCTTGATTTAATAGCTAAGAAGATTATTGCCCAACTTTGAACTTTATCATGGACAGGCAAACTTTTGTTGTCTCAGTCCTTCCTGTATAATTTTCACTCCAAGTTAATGACCTCACAGGATGGGAGAATCTACCTTTAGTTTCTGAAGTCACACTTAGTTTCTATTATATAAGGGAGACAAAATAAAACAAAATTGCAAACAATCACAACCACTGTGGGTAACACAGGGAGATGATTAAGTAAATTGTAGTTTATTTACATAAGCAAAATAATAAAGACATGCAATATATCCAAAATATACTTTAAAAGCATTTAAAAATGAATCAAAAACATTTGTATTGCATTTTAAGTAATAAAAAGCAGAATAGCATGATTATAAATAGGTGAAAAGATATATAAAGAGATGATCGAAAAGAAATATACCAAAGATTTAATAGTTATTTTATCGACTTTGGGTATTGTAATTTTCTTCTTTATAGTTTTGAAGTTCTCAACTTCTAGAATGATTATGTATTATATTTTCAACTAGAAAAATACAATGCTTTTATGAGAATAAATGTGAATTAATAGTTTCTGCTGTACAACAGAAGGTGCCCTCAACCCTAAGGAGAAAGGTGGCTTTCAGGTGTTCATATTATAATGCCTTTCCTTGCAAATCTAGAAGACAGTGAAACCAAAGAGAGAGAATCAGGCTAATTAAGATTTTGCTCCAACAAAGTTGAAGGCACGGATATTGCACTCCCTCTGTCCAACACCAGTGTGTTTTCTGGCCAAGGCTCATTCCATAGGAATTGCCTCACTCCACTCAAATGTTCTCAGCCAATCCCTAGTGCCCATGATTCAGCTGAGAGAAATGGCCTTTCCCTACTCTCTTCCCAGCAACCTTCGCCACTTGAGTCTTTAAATCAGATCAATCACTCTTGGGAACCATCTTCTCATAATATTGTGGCATAAGACATATTTTGAATGAATGGATTTTGTAAATCTCAAATTTACTGAACTCCCAACAGTGAACTTCCTAGGGTACCTTGCAAAAAGTCAGATGACAGTTTTTCAAACCTCATAAAATACGTTTTCATTCTATTAACAAGGTTAGAACAGAGAAGCTGTTTTTGTGTGACTCTTTCTTAGATCTGGAATGGGAACTGGGTTTGCACAAGGTTGAAGGTTGTGAGGATGTTAGAATATGTCTTTAAAAACTGGGAACAGTTAGAACAGAATGGAAGAACCTATGCCTGAGTTTTGTGTGGAGAAAACTAATATTTCAGATTCAAATATCGGAGAACTTAATATCAGTGCCAGAAAAGACCAAAGATCAAACCTGACTTGAAGGATAGTATATCCAAGAGTCCAGAACAAGGTGAAGTTGACATTAATGCAAAAATATTTCCTACAGGGAACAGTGCTAGTGAAGAGTCATTACTCAGTCATAATTCGAAATAACATCTGGCGTGTTGGGCCTCATTTATGAGATACCAAAAATGAGAAGTCAGAAAAGATTAAAGGGTCAGAGTGGTGCAAGGTGTACTACATGAACCATTTAGAAAATCCTGAGTACAATAATCAAAAAGAATGATAATGGCATGAAAACAGACACAAAGACCAATGGAACAAACTAGAGAACACAGAAATACATCCATACCCTTACAGCCAGCTCATTTTCAACAACGGCATCATGGACATACATTGGGAAAAGGACAGTCTCTTTAATAAATGGTGCTTGGAAAACTGGATAGCCATATGCAGAAGAAGAATACTACACGCCGATCTACAACCATACACAAAAATCAACTCAAAAATGGATTAATGACTTAAATGTAAGACTTGAAACTATAAAACCAGTAAAAGAAAACACTGAAGAAATGCTACAGGATATTGATGTGGGCAAAGACTTTTTGGGTAAGACCTCAAAAGCACAGGCAACAAAAGCAAAAGTAGACAAATGGGATTACATCAAGCTGAAAAGTTTCTGTATGGCAAAGGAAACAATCAACAGAGTGAAGAGATAACCTAGAGAATGGGAGAAAATATTTTCAAACTATTCAACTCACAAGGAATTAATAATCAGTATATATAAGGAACTCAAACAATTCAATAGAAAAAAAATAAAAATCTGATTTAAAAATGGGCAAAAGACCTAAATGGACATTTCTCAGAAGAAGACAAAGAAATGGCCAACAGGTGTATAAAAAATGTTCAACATCATCAATCACTGGAGAAATGCAAATCAAAACCACAGTGAGATATCATCTCACCTCAGTTAATATGGTTATTATCAAAAAGAAAAAAACTAACAAATGTTGGCAAGGATGATCTTACACTGTTGGTGGGAATGTAAAGTAGAACAGCAATTAGGGAAAACAGTATGGAAGTTCCTCAAAAACCTAAAAATAGAACTACCATTTGATCCAGCAATCCAATTACTGGGTAAATAGCCAGAATAAAGGAAATCAGTATATAGAAGAGATATCTACACTCTCATGTTTATTACAGCATTATGTACAATAACAAATATTTGGAATCAATCTAAATGTCCATCAACAGATGAATGGATAACGAAAATACGGTATATATACACAATGGAATATTACTCAGCCATAAAACAGAACAAAATCTTGTCATTTGCAGCAACATGGATGGAACTGGAGGTTATTATGTTAAGGAAATAAGCCAGGAAAGAAAGACAAATATTGTATGTCTCCACTCACATGTGAGAGCTGAAAAAGTGAATTTCATGGATGTAGACAGTAGAATGTTGGTTACCAAAGGCAGAGAAAAGAAGTGGAGAGGGAAAATGAAGTTGGTTAAGGGGTATAAAAATACAGTTAGATAAAAGGAAAAAGTTCTAGTATTTGATAGTATAGTAGGCAAAGTATAGTTAATAATTTATTATATATTTCAAAGTAACTAGAAGAATTGTAATGTTCCCAAAACAAGGAAATAATAACCATGTCAGGTGATTGATATTCCAGTTACCTTAATTTGATCATAATCATAACACATTGTATACAGGTATCAAAATATCACATGTTCCCCCAATATATGTACAACTATTATACATCAATAAAAATAAATGCATAAATCTGAAAGACAAGTACTAAAAAAATTCCTGACTAGCTTAGACCTTGAAGATACTCATTTCTAATTATAGTTGACACTTGGGCAATGTGCGGGTTAGGGGGACCAAATCCCTGTGCGGTGAAAAGTCCATGTGTAACTTTTGACTACTATTAGTAGTCAACTTTTAACTACTTAACTATTTACTGTTGACCAAAGTCATCAATAACATATACTGTGGGTTAACCAATGTTTTGTATGTTATCTGTACTATATATTGTATTCTCACAATAAAGTAAGCTAGAGAAAAGGAAATATTATTAAGGAAATCATAGAGAAGAGAAAATATATTTATAATTCACTAAGTGAAAATGCATCATCACAAAGGTCTTCATCCTCGTTGTCGTCACATTGAGAAGGCTGAGGAGGAGGCAGAAGAGGAGGGGTTGGTCTTGCTGTCTCAGAGTTGGCAGAGGTGACAGAGGTGGAGAAGATGGAAGGGGCAGCAAGAGAGGCAGGCACACTTGGTCTAACTTGTACTGAAAAATATCTGCATATAAGTGGACCTCTGCAGTTCAAACCCATGTTTTTCAAGGGTCAAGTGAATATGCTTTAAAATCTACCCAATTGGGCCAGGTGCAGTGGCTCACACCTGTAATCTCAGCACTTTGGGAGTCTGAGGCGGGTGGATCACCTCTTTGAGGTCAAGAGTTCAAAACCTGCCTGGCCAGCATGGCGAAACCCCATCTCTACCAAAAATACGAAAATTGGTCAGGCATGGTGGTGGGCACCTGTAATCCCAGCTACGTAGGAGGCTGAGGCAGGAGAATCACTTGAACCCAGGAGATGGAGGTTGCAGTGAGCCAAGATCGTGCCACTGCACTCCAGCCTGAGTGACAGAGCAAGACCCCATAGCAAAACCAAACAAAAAAAGTACCCAATTGTCCCATTTAAGTTTTAAAGAAAAAGATTAATAATTTAACCTTAGCTAGGCTACTTGCTAACTATTTCAATATGGTACTAAGTAAGCGATACTAAATCTCATATAATGGTCAACACAAGCACAGAATTCATTTATTTGATAAACATTAGCTCATTGATTTCTATATTTTACTAAGATTGTAATGCTTTGCCATCAGTGAACCCTAACCTCTATATAGAAGGATATCAATTTACAACAAATAGAATATGATGTGCAATACCTGTACTAATCATCTGAGGTGCCAAAGCTAACATTTATAATAAAACTGAAATAAGTGGCATCATATTCATTTATTCATTTGCCACTCATTTTCTGAAAACCTTTTACATATATAACTTGACATGGGATACAGCAGAACATTGTAAAGGAAAAAGACATAGTTCTTGCCTTTAAGATCACATTTAATGGGCAAGAAATGAATATAAAATATATAGATGTAACTACGTACATATTTGAGACAGGGTCTCACTCTGTCACCCAGGCTGGAGCACAGTGGTGTGATCATGGCTCACTGCAGCCTTGACCTCCTGGGCTCAAGTGATTCTCTCACCTCTGCCTCCCAAGTAGCTGAGAATACAGGCATGTGCCACCATGCTTAGCTAATTTTTGTATTTTTTGTAGGGAAGGGCTATGTAGCCCAGGCTGGTCTTGAACTCCTGGGCTCAAGTGATCCATCCATCTCAGCCTCTCAAAGTGCTGGGATTGCAGGTGAGAGCCACCGTGCCTGGCTGAAATATTTTAATAATGATAATAATAATGGTTAGAGCAGTCCCTTTAGCTAAAATGGCTCAACACTATTGTTTTCTCCTTCTTCAATGCCTGATGAAGCATGGGTGTCCACCCCCACAAAACACCAGGGACACCACGTATAAGGAGGTAGATCTGAACTTGCTAGCTCCTGCGGCACTGTAGAGTCCCAAACTGCTTCTTATAAATGCAGAAGAGTTGCTCTTTTGGCAGTCCTTAAATGAGAATAATAATTACCTATATTTACTGAAGACACCACATGCCCAATACTGTACTAAGTTCTCAATATGTATTGGGCTTTGGACAAGTAAGTGTTTCCTGAACTGAGGATCCAGTTCTGTGAAAGAAACATTGACTAAAGGATAAGTCAACATTGGCTATTAAGATGGGACATTTTGATCCGCAAGATGCTAATAAGTCATGAAAGGCATCGTTAGAAAGTGTCTGGGTCAGGCACTCATCTGCCTCAAGGCTAGGGAATGGTGTTCTCCCAGGCTCTGTGAGCCTATGAAAGGGGCAAACCAGGCACAGGGGCTCATGCCTGTAATCCGAGCACTTTGGGAGGCGGAGGCAGGCAGATCACCTGAGGTAGGTCAGGAGTTCAAGACCAGCCTGGCCAACATGATGAAACCCTGTCTCTACTAAAAACACAAAATTAACCAGGTGTGGTGGCGGACACCTGTAATCCCAGCTACTCAGGAGCCTGAGGCAGGAGAATCACTTGAACCTGGGAGGCAGAGGTTGCAGTGAGCCGAGATTGCACCACTGCACTCCAGCCTAGGTGACAGAATGAGACTCCGACTCAAAAAAAAAAAAAAAAAAGTGGGGGGGCAAACTGGCAAACCCATATTACTTAGATGAACTACATCTATAGAAATCATTCAAAATAGCGGGGTAGAGAGCAACAGACTCTGACGAGTAGAGGAAAAGTATGAAAACAACAACTTCAAATCTAAAATGTCCTTAGGAGGAAAAAAACACATTTTAATTGGGTTCATGCATAGCCAACATCTCTTATGTCTTTCATTATTCCTTATGTTTTCCTCAGGTTTGAATTCTAACAAAGTGCTAGCTGTTCCTTTTCTTTATTTGCCCAAGAAACATAAACGTGTCTTGATAATCACGTGAAAACACCTTTCAAACACTGTCCCTCTGAAGCCACTTGTCACTGGTGTGAGCTTGTCTCCAACTCGAGGGCTTGGAATATTAGAAACTGCGGTTTGACAAAATTGGACAGCTGCCTTTATCTCAGGGCTGTACAGGCAATGATTTGGCTATGGATTCAGTGAATTTTAGCCTTAGAACTACTTTGCCAGAAATAATAGAAAGATTGGACAATATCTGTGATTTAATACACTCCATTGCCATGTACAGCTAAAACAATCTATGCATATTAATTAAAGTATGAGAGCACTTATTTCTCAAAGGATTTGTGTTCCAAATGATTCCAGTGACTGTGGGATTTACTGCTGTATTCTCATTGTGTTGCCTTGGATTATGAGAAACCTACAATCACAAATGGTGGCTCTTAGAGCTAGGTCATATCTGGACCATGGATGTATTTATGGGTGTGAACAAACACTTACAAAATAAGGAAATGTACAGAAGAGTACAGATTTTGGACTTTCGTTGGGCATTATTGCTCGACAACAACCAGCTGTTGCTGATTATCACTCATTGAACCCAGGGAGTATGATTTCCACTTTGCCAAGACAGCCTACTTACTCCACCACATTGTCTTCCCTTTTAACTTAAATTACCTCCGTACCCATGTTTGCATTTGAGCCTACAATTCAAGGTGTAGATTCTGACATAAAATTCATGACATTTACAGTTTTTGAATGTGGTAAACACGTTGAAAATTAAATTACATTGTACCTGTAGCATAGACGTGACAAAGAAATACAGCAGAAACTTGGAAATGAATACTTACTTTAAAAAAAAAAACCTGGAGTATTCTGGATCTTGGTTTGGCAAATCATATGAGTTCACTCCATTGTCTGTTACTAAATGCACTATGAATGGATACATTGTATTTTAATACATTTGCATGGTGAAATCATAATACCCTAGGCATGTTTGAATTGTGTACACTATACAACTGAGAGCCAATTCCCCCAAGCCATTACATTTAGAGGCTGGTATCTGATCTACTGCATTCTATAGCTTTCATCTATTCTGCATTGATCTGTGCTGAAGAATTTGAAGCTCTTGTCCTCCAAAGCAAGCTGCAGTTTGCATTGTTTCCATTAGATGGCGCAGAAGATTTTTGAGGTACCAAACAAACAAGACCTTCAGAGAGTTCTGCATGTCAACTATGGTGTAAACACCAGCAATTTCAGCTCCACCATGCACATCTTTGTAGAAGGAATCTAATTTAAAGTATTTCCAGGGAGGAGTTATTTTATAACTTATGAACCATTTTTCCTAAATGTACTAATAAGGAGACTATTTCTTTCATAACTGAATTCTACTGTTTTGTGGTTTATTACCCTATTCCTTTCCAAACTTGAGAAAAATAAATAGTTAGACCAAGTATTGCAAAAGATATTGGGGGAGGACACTTATGCAACAGTGAGCCAGATTCAAAGCTAACGCTCAGGATATACGAACCAAATATTTCTTAAAACTTTCCAGTTTTCTATACTTACCAGTTTGCTGTCAGTCCATTACTAGTCATTTTTGTCCAACTGCCTTCTGAGGCTTTTTACTCCCACTAACACTTTATCCTTTTGATAATTTAAGATGGAAAACAGTTTTCAATATCTTGAATACATCCAAATCTAGTCATATCTATGTTCTTCTCTTAATTCAGGTGCCAACCATTCTGACCATTACACACACTCATTTGTGTTTTTCACGGCTTCAGGGTTTGAAGGGCTTTTGGCATTGTTGTTGTTGTTTTAGATTCTAGGGGAAAGTGTCCCACATTAATTTCATTGGAACTTAAAAAAAAAATCAAGAGAGCCCTGCATTTGGTTTTGGTCCATACGTGGAGAACGAATTTGAGACAGAACCATTAAGACGTGTGTTGACCTGGCTTGGATATTATTAATTCTTCACTTTGCATGTGTTGAAAGACTTGGGAGTCCCACAAGACTTCATGCACTGGCCAAAATGCAAGTCAATGTTTTACATAAACAGGAAGAAAATTTGCTACCAGAGCACAGAGCTCAGCACATTTGAACTAAATTCTGTTGAGCTGATAGTAGAAGTGCATGATATTTATAAATTGCCCATATTGTCTAATGTCAGTAATTAACCCAATTGCTTTCCTAAGTGGCCATTTCTATTATTCTTTTCTATACAGTAGTCTAAATGTTAATGCTTCAAAGTCAGGCCCTTCTTGGAAAGCCACAACTTGAACTTAACATACAGCCCTGGTGACAGTGCTAAAAACTAGACTGCTTCAACCATCTCTTCATGGAGAACTGAGCACAGGAAACAAAAGGAAATTATAAGAAAAAAAATGGAGGCAGAGGGGCTACATTTAACTCTGAGTCATTTCCATTTCTTTTAAGGTAGCTTATCAGTGATAAAGAATATGAAGTTCTTGTTTATACACTAGGCAGTCCCCTTTCAAAAGAAATGAAGTTATTCTAAGGTGAATTAAGGACTCAAGGTAAAATATCATGAAAAAATAGTGCAGTGAACAATGAGTCATTGTTCCAGAGCATGTCTTGGATACAGAACAATTAGAAATAAGGGGACTGCAAACTTAGCTGAGAGGTGGCTCACTGGAATTGTAAAAACAGAAGGAGCAAACTCCATGAGAAAGTTATAACATAACTTTAATTTGTGTAAGCCTGCGGATATTAGAACTCTCTTACGACAATGACAAAAGCAGATTTCACTGAGCACAATTAACATAGCCTATCAGTTTAAAGGAACTGAAAATATAACATTAAAGAAATAAGACTAGGAGAAAGAAGACTATTAACATTCTTCCTGAGCACTGAACAGGGCATCAGGAGATCTAGGTTCAGTTCTTATTCTTACTTACATTGCATTAAAATTAGTCTCACTGAAGGCTTCTTTTATTGATTCTGTTTACAGTCTAATATACAGCTGAAGAACAGGTACACAGCATGGTGGCTTTTCTGTCCTTTAGGAAGCTATCAGCAATTTTGTTTCCATTATCCTTCCTTCAAATTCATAGCATGTGAGTACATGTGCACGTGCGCATGCGCGCGCACACACACACACACACACACACACACACACACACACACCGCTATACTGAGAACTCACTTCTCTTGCACAGCATGGATATTCCGGGCTCATCTTTCTAAAATTCTTTGAGCTTTTGATTTTTTATTTTAACAATACTTGATCATTGTGATTGAATACTTTTGACCACATACTATCTGAATAGCATGTGTTCACTTCTAGGTAATAAAAGCTGCGAACTTGATATGACAACAGCACTCACACCAATCCAACAAAACAAAACAATATATCAAAAAATAAAAATACTGATTTCCAAGGAAATGAGCAAGAAGCAAAAAGGCAGGAGTATCAACATAAGTAACGCAAAGTTTGAAAATAAACGATTACTTTGTTATGGGAACCAAGCAATCTAATTTTCACATTTAGTCAATTTGTTATTATTTTCTGTTTAAATCTGAAAAAAAAATGGATTTGATTGGATCAACAAAACCAGGTATTGCTCTTTATCTCTCATTCTAAATTATTTGGTAGATTCTGCTCTTTTTTCGTTCTGGGTTGAAAAACTAATTGTGGAGGGAGAAATTTGGGAGAAAAACTAATCTTTTTCTTGGTTGGTGGAAGGAAATCTCTTGGATAAGAAAGGTATTGTTACCAACCCCATTTGGGTTTGGGTTTTGCTATGAATTGTCTTGCTTAGTACTGGAGATAGGTTTGGACTGCTAGGAAGCACCATCACCTCTGATCTCATTTGTGAACTGTGGTGAAAAGGTGGAAAAGAGCCAGACAGAAGCTCAACTTTTTGGAGAAGAGCAAAGTAGTGACAATAGCACAGTTTTCCTTTTGCTATTAAAGAAAATATCTCCAATTATTTTTTGAGAAACACTTATGTCATACATGTTATAACTGGGTATTCTGGAAGAAATAAAAAGATTATCTATGGGTTTAGAAATCTCTGGATACACCATATCCCTCTATGAGATTCTGAGATTCACAATGTACATTCACATAGTAAAGATCCTGAGAAAAGCTACTGCAAAGAACCCTGGTTAACGGAATGCCTCCAGACTGAATTGGCCAACTAATATCCAACATGATATCTGAGTAACACTGGCTTGAGGCATTAAGGAGGAAGTTGACAAGGTTAAAATGTTAAAAGTTAATTATCTAAAGAATAGTTTTCAATTTAAAAATTGTAAGTAGGTTCTAAGGACAAATCTACTTTCCCTCCATCAGTTCTAATCCTGCATTAGGCAATACTTAGGAGAGCATATAGCAACCACCACAAAATACGGGAAATGGATTTGACTATCCTCTGAGTCCTTGACAAATGATTTCCGTTGGAAAAAAATAGTCACAGTTCAATTTGTTGTCATAAGATAAAGTATAAAAAATAATTTTACTATCAGAACTGAAATTTGTTTCAAACTTCTGGAAGACTCCCTTTTCCATATTTTTGTACTTATTTCTGTGGGTCTTCATCATCACACCCATTACTAAGCTTTCTTTAAAGGAAAGGAATTTTAACTGCCATTAAATCTTACTTTAAAGACGTCTGTGTTTGTGTTACCTTCTTCATAGGTATGTGTACTTTAAGTATTTTATCAGTTATTGTAAACTAAATATTTCTCTCCCTCATAAAGAAGTGTTTTGAAGTAGAAAGAACACATATGGGTCTACTATCAATCTAATTTATTTTTATTTTATAATTTCCTTTTAATATAAAGTTAAGTCATATCTTATTTCTTATAGTTCATAATTTAAAAGAAATGGACTTATGCCATAAATAAGAAATTTTTGTATGGAATGTGTACAGTTCATATGTGTAAAGGTGCATACTCTCATGAAGTGACATTGACAGTAAATGAACAAGGTTGTCATAAATAGATTTTTACCTAGTGAGAAAACTTGCCTAGACAAGCTTTGGCAGCTTGTTCAAATATGTGTATGAGTGACACAGATTTCTCAATTCACCTCTCTGGATTACTTCAGGGCAAATTGTCGGGTGGATGTGCAACAGGAGATCAAGATTATCGATTATCTTTTGTTTTTATTTTCAGCTAGTACTAGCACATTTGAGATTTTTCATTCACCATTTTGCAAAATCTGCTGTGGAAGTGAGGAGAAATATATCAGGTAGAAAGATGGATGCAGGACAAATGCAAGGACACAGGATGAATTGAATAGCTCAAAACATAAAAGCCCACATAGAAGGTGGGCATGGCAATTCATGCCTGTAATCCCAGCACTTTGGGAGGGCTAGGAGGGAGGATTTCTTGAGCCCAGGAGCTCGAGACCAGCCTGGGCAACATGGCAAGACTCCATCTCTACAATAAATACAAAAATTAGCTGAGCGCGTTGGCACACGCCTGTAGTCCTAGGTATTTGGGAGGCCGAGGTGGGAGGATCACCTGAGCCCAGAAGGTTGAGGCTGCAGTGAGCCATGACAGAGTGAGGCCCTGTCTCAAAAAAGAGAAAAAGACCAGCTAGAAATGCAGCCCCTCAAATGAGAAGTCTGCCAAAGAGTTTATTCTCCTCAGTAGTTCATCTTCATTTCTCAACAACTTTCTCTGAATAATCACTTGGGAATCATTGTGTAAAGAAAAAAGTATGTCACTTACAAACAAAATTCATGATCAAAGAAGAAAGCAAGTACTAAAAAGAATGAGCCAAATAAATATGTGAGATTCTATCTCACAGCATTGTTTACTCAGAGAAAAGTTGCTCTCGGGAGGGAATTACAACTTGGATTCTGATACTAGATGAAGCAAAATGTTAAAAGGGGCATACAGTCCTAGCTAGTCCTGGGCAACATGGAGCAGTAAGAGATGTGTATTTTCTACTCTGATCTTTCCCTTGGCCTTCTGCAATTTAGAGATGTTAGTTGCAAGCAACAGAAAACCCAACCCAGACGAATTTAATTTTACAAAGAATAAAAAACTTACTGATTCATTTACTGGAGTCCAGGGGCACAACAGACTTCACTCGGAGGCCAAACAGTGCTCAGGATGCTATTTCTGCATTTTTGTTGTCTCCACTCCACATCCTTGATGCTTGATGCTGGCCCTAATCGCAAGCAGGTTCTCACTCTGTGGTCCTAAAATGACTGCTGGCAACAATGGGACTGCATGCTTCTTTGTTTCTATTTGCAAAGAAGAGAGGAGTCTATGTTCCAGAATCTCAGCAAAATCCTCTAGGTTCACTCCAGCTTGACTAATTTAGATCATGGACAAATATCCTTGGACCAATTCAGGACAATGTAATATGATGAGCTGATTGACAGGGGCCTGAGTTATGGACCCACTCTGAAACCATTCACTGTGGTCATAAGTAGGTAACAGAGGAGTCTATACTCCAACACTGTCAGCAAAATCCTCTAGGTTCCTCTAACTGGACTGACTTAGAACATGGACCAATAACCTTGGACCAATTCAGGGCAGTGTAATATGATGAGCTGATTGACAGGGGACTGAGTTATGGACCACTCCTAAACCATTCACTGTGGTCATAAGTAAGTAGTTTTCAGATTGGCCTAATACAATCAAGGTCCATCCCTGGAAGTAGGGGTGGATTCAGTCCCACCCAAACCATATGACTAAGGGTAAAATCTGTACATGGGGTCTGTAGAAGGTAGGTGTTGCTAAAACAAATAAAAATTCTGTATTAGGAAGAAGGAGAGACAGTGTTGGGCAGCAAGCCAAGGATGTCCATTGTAGAGTCTCTTTCTAGATCCCCAATCCTTGACCCCAGTTATCCAGCTAGAATCCCATTTCAAGAAGCCTTAAATTCAGTTAGCCTCTTGATTCACCTGAATCGATTTAATTAAGAAATAACTCAGAACTCACTTGAAGGCCCACTTGAACGGGCAGGGGGGATGAATTCTTTTGGAAACTTGTTTGTCTACATATGCATATGTGTGTATATATATACACACACACACATACATACATATGCATATATGCATATATCTATATCTATCTATCTATATACACAGTATCTATAATTAGGTGGGTGTATTACTGAGGGTTTTCTACAGGGACAGAACGAATAGGATATATGTACATATGAAAGGGAGTTTATTAAAGAGAATTGGCTCACGTGATCACAAGGTGAAAGTCCACCACAGGCTGTCTGCAAGCTGAGGAAGAAAGAAGCCAGTAGTGGCTCAGTTTGAGTTCCAAAGCCTCAAAAGTAGGGAAGCCCACAGTGCAGCCTTCAGTCTGTGGTGGAAGGCCCAGGAGCCCCCTGCAAACCACTGGTGTAAATCCAAGAGTCCAGAAGCTGAGGAACCTGGGGTCTGATGTCCAAAGGCAGGAGGAATAGAAGAAATCATCCAGCATGGGAGAAAAATGAGAGCCAGAAGACCCAGCAAGCCGGCTGATCCCACCTTCTTCCACCTGCTTTGTTCTAGTTGCACTGACAGCCGATTAGATGGTGCCCATCCACATTGAGAGTGTGTCTTCCTCTCCCAGTTCACTAACTCAAATGTTAATCTCCTATAACAACACCCTCACAGACACACTCAGCAACAATACTTTACCAGCTATCTAGGTATCCTTCAATTCAATCAAGTTGACATCTAATATTAACCATCACAATGGGTTTATCAAAACAGTAGTATATAGCTTCTACAACTAAAGGACAATAAATTATAACAAGGCCACTTTAAATGTAAGATAATAATTTATATAAAATCTGGATGTATCAGTTTTTGTCGTTGCCATAACAAATCACAATATTAGCAGCTTAAAACAACACCCGCTTATTAGATCACAGGTCAGAATTCTAGCCTGTATAGCTGGATTCTCATTTAGAATCTCACTGACATACAATTAAGGTATCAGCGGCTGTGGGTTTTATCCAGAGCTTAGGATCCTCTTCCAAGTCCATTGGTTATCGACAGAATTTAGTTCCTTGTGGTTGTAGGACCAAGGTCCTCATTTTCCTGACATATGGCCCCCCTCATCTTGAAACTAATATTGAAACTAATCTTAAATGGACATTGAATCTTTTCTATACATTGAATCTCTGTGACTTCCTTCTCTGTTTTTGAGGTTCATGTGATTATATTCGGTCCACAGGCATAATCCAGGATACTCCCTGTTTTAAGATTCACTCTTTAGTAAGCATAATTACATCTGCAAACTTGCAAACTTGCCATGTTACATGACCACAGGTATAACACCAAGGAGTGAAGACCATGGGGGCCAAAATTCTGCCCCCCACAGTGGATAAATCTTATTTTTCACACTGGTGAAATCAAGTAGAAATAGAGGAAGCCTATCATAGGGAGGAACCCAAATGTGAGTTTTTCAGCTTTCATTTTGGTAAATAACATTCTTATATCTATTGATATACGTACATACATATGTAAATTACAGAAAGATAAAAGATGCTGAGACTTTTCATTTGTTCTGATTTAGGCTTATAAAACCTCTGTTCTGCAACCTCGGAATCAGTAATAAGGACACCTTTGAAAGAATCTGCCTGCATTTATCTTGTGTTTCTTTTTTGTCAGACAGTACAAAGAAAATTAAGGTTTTTCTTCTTCGCTATACATATAATACTCAGAAGTGAAAGCTAAATTAACTTGTCAGAATCGTGGCATCTCTTTTCCTGAGCTGCTGTATCCACCTTCCCAAAAGATTTGAAAAAGAAAGAATAAGCCTCCCAACACCTTAACTGGCGGAACAGCACATACACAGCAATCCTGCCCTCTAACATTGCTTCCTGTCATTACTGGTGGTGTTTTTATCCATCTGGGTGAGCACACGCTTTCACCATTTGTCAAGAAATGTCTACAGTGCAGAACATCAATTGTTCCATAAGGTAGGGCCCATCAGGTTGCAAAGAGGAAGCAAAGCAGAGTGGCTAATTACCATGTACCAAATTCATCTTTTTCAGGAAGACAAAAAAAAAATTAAAAGAGGCAAAGTAGTTGGCAATTCTAGTGTCGCCTGTAAGTTAATTTTCACTTTCCCACTACTGGCTTGTTAGTATTCTACTGTCTAAGAAAGTGATGTTCCCAGAAGCATCTCAAACATTGGAGCAGATCCTCTCAATGTGTAAGCTTTCCCTTGGGTCTAAATTATTTACCTTTGAAAGCTGCATAAACTCCTTCCAGAGGCTAAGAGACTGAGTGTAAATTGCAAAGTGCTTCTTTCACTTACTAAGTATAATTCGAGGGATTTGATGTACTTCTACCTACTGAAAAAGACTGACATTCACTTTCTTAAGCCTCCTCTTCCTCCCCCTGCAAATACACACACTAGAGCTTAGCTTTTCTAGCTAAGTTACACTTCGTGTACAATCCCATACCTGCCTGTTAACTCCTTTATTTTGGAATGCCATGGATTTGATTTTTCCAGTACTTACTTGCTTGTGTTGCTGAATTATTTGGTAAAGTTCCTTACTTTGCCCTATGCCAGTGTTTTCCATCTTTCCAACTGAACCCACAAAATGCACAGAAATAGAGATCACACTTTTTATTACTAATTATTGTCAATTAATGTAATTGGATCAATCATTGTTTTAGCATCTTTTTAAAATAAAAGACAAAATCACTGAATTATGAGTTCTAACGTTCTTCATAAAAAATTAGTAAGAAAACTGGAGAAGCCACTTCCTCATTATGAATTCATAGTTTTTGAATGTCTTCTGGGTTTCAGATACTCCTCCAGATTCCCTTGGCTTCTACTTTATCCAGCTAAACCATTGTTTAACCTGTTCAGCTAGTTTCATTTTTTTGTCTTCTAGACTGTTAAATCAGCCCACATTCTGCTCTAAAAAGTAAATTCTCCTGTAAAAATGGCTTACTTGCTTGTCTGGCTTTGCACTAGAAGGAACCTTATGGTTTATCAGATGTATAAAATACCTCCTTCCAAAGGATAAATTCTTCCTTAGAGCAACATTTTATCATGATTTCAGCAGTAGGAAGAGAGGAAAGAACAATGAGTATCAAAAAACCTGGAGAGAGGTTCATGTCTTAGTAGGAAAGAAATATTAGCTAATTTATAAAATAATTTGGGTTTATATTTCATTTTTTGCAGTTTATATTACATAGAAAGGAAATCTATGGCCGGGTGTGGTGGCTCAGGCCTGTAATCCCAGCACTTTGGGAGGCCAAGGCAGGTGGATCACAAGGTCAAGAGATCGAGACCATCCTGGCCAACATGGTGAAACCCCGTCTGTACTAAAAATACAAAAATTAGCTGGGCATGGTGGCGGGTGCCTGTAGTCCCAGCTACTCACTTGGGAGGCTGAGGCAGGAGAATCACTTGAACACAGGAGGTGGAGGTTGCAGTGAGCCAAGATGACGCCACTGCTCTCGAGCCTGGAGACAGGGCAAGACTCCGTCTCAAAAAAAAGAAAAGAGGAAATCTTGGCTAACTTAAGAGGGACCACACAAACAGATTGTCTTCTGAAAGGCTACCTATAAGTTTATGTGTTGGTAGGTTCAATAAGCTACTATACGCAGGGCATAGTACACTATGTTGGTGGAAAGCAAAGTTGACACATTTTTTCTTTGGAATGTAGCATTTCATTTATCTATGTACATTTTTAAGTGAAAGTTTCATAACAAGAGGGGCTTCTGTATCATGATTGAAAGTGTCAACACATGAAAATATTTACTTTATCATTTATCTTTGCCACAACAATGTTATGTAATAAGCAAACACAAACCTCAGGGACACCCACACCATTCAGTTTTGTTCAGGAGTCTGTGGGCTGGCTGGGTGGTTCTAAATTGGCTGATGTGGACTGAGCTTACGCATGTGTCTGTGATCAGGTACAGGTTGGCTAGGAGTTGGCCAGTTAAGGAAGGCCTCAGTTGGGCTGACTAACTCTGTTCCATTTGGTCTCTTGCCCTCCAGCAGACAGGCCTGGCTTATTCTCATGGTGGATATAAATGTCCAAGAACAGCAGAGGCACACAAAGATTCTTGAGGTTTAAGGTCAGAATCAGCACATCATCATTTCTGCCATATCCTGTTGGCCAAAGCAAACCATGAGGCCATCTCAGTTTAAGGGTGAAGAAAGAAATCATGTTCTGATGAGAGGAAATGCAAAGTCACTTTGCAAGAGGTGAATATATGGGAGTGCGGGGAATAATTGTAATCATTTTTTGCAGTCAATCTGCCATACCAATCTCCTGACATTCTTGAAGCAATTCAAACACATTTTCCTTTACTACATCAAATGAGGTAAAAAAAATATTTAATTTAAACAAATAATTCATCATGACTAAAGAAAAAAATGCCATACATTTGCCAGTGGGTCATGTTTGGTACACAATGCTAGCCTAATTTTCTCTTTTCCTAACATAAATAAATTTCAAAACCTCATGAAGTTCGACCAAGTAAGATTTTTGCATCTTACTTACCACTACATGTCTGTGTCTTGTTCATTTGTTTTTGAAGCTAATAGCAACAAAATCTTCATGGAGGGGAAATAAAAACATTGTTTCTATAAGATATGTATATATACATCCTCCTCTAACTAAAGGTAGTAATACCTAAGTCTGTCTTGACTTTCAGTGAGTCTTGGGACTAACCATATAACTGCATCTGCTCATAAACTCCAGGGCTATTCTATATAATTGCAGGCTTACAGACCCCTACTCCTGTTCCCTATTGAGAAATTCTATTCCCTATTCTCATTATAAAAAGTGCACAAAAATCTTAAATTACTGAGTCCCACATTTATTTCTACATGTGTAACTAATTAGACTTAGCATGATATTTTTAATGCAGTACATCAAGACAATGGCTGGAAATATTTCATTCCAGATATTTTCTTAACTATATAAATATTTGAGATCTAGATGGTTTTGAGAGAGCATCTTTTGTTGCTAGCAAACATGTCCTCCCTAAAGAAGAAAACCTTTTACAGGGACTAAGAATAGAGTATACCACTTATACTGAAATTGAGAAAGACATGAACTTTCAAGTCACTGGGGCTCTTATTTAGTACATTAAAGAGTAACTTATGAAACAAATGTTGCCTTTAACGTGTCCACATGGTGCCATATGGGCTTATGCAGAACCCTGTCCTTGTAAACAAGAATGAAATGTGACTTATCCACACTGGGTATATACCTTAAGAATAGTGTTTCATCCCAGATTCCCAATAAAAAGTTCCTTTAGGGAAATGAGTGCTAACAGAAAATGCCTTTCTTTAAAATATACTATAGTAAAAAGCTTTCTTATGTCAAGCAAATAGCTATGCCAGTCAGACAAAGACTCCTATTGAGAAAGAATTCACAATGCCTTAGGTGGTCCCGTTTTCAGCTTCCTGACTTTTAACTCCTACGACATTTATGCGAGAAAAAGAACATTGATAAGTCACCCACATTAGTAGAATCCCTCTAGGGAGAGCTCTAACTTTTTTCTACAACTGCGGAAAGAGTAAATAACAATTCAAGCAGTGATCAGCATACTCTTACAGGTTTTTGCCTGTTGTTTTGATAACCATGTCAAATAGCTCACAGTGTCTACTGAATGACAGGGTGGTCTGGTAGTAAAAGCATAAGCATAAGTTAGAGCATCTTTCAATGATTGGCTTTGAGACTTTGAAAAATTCACTTAACCACCTCAATTCAGGAATCTTTAAAAGGAGGCAATGGGGTCACCTCTATGAACTTCAGATTAATGGTGTAAACATCAAATAAGTGAATCAATGTCTAAATGTTTCTAAAGGTGCTATGAAATTTAGAAGATCACTATGATCATTAGAGGGGAGGTAGAACAATGTGGTAGGAAAAGTATTGAATTAGAAACCAGGTGACCTGGATTTCTAATCTCAGCTCTGCTCCAAACTAGCTGGATATCTTTGGGCATTTTCACACTCTGGGATAAAGTATACTAATTGAGCAGCCACATAAAATTGCAGCAAGAATAAAATGGGGTGCTGGGAAGCAAGAATGAATAAAGCAGTCTTTGCCCTGGAGGAGTTCAGTGTTTAGTGGGAGAGATGGAGGTGTAAAGAGATGAAGATGATATAGTGTGATGGATTATAAGGGGCACTATGAACTCCAATTGCTGAACATGGAGGAGGAGCGATTCATGCTGCCTGGGGGAGTTAGGTGAGTTCCACAGAGAAGGTGACATTTTAGCTGGGTCTTGAAGGATGAATAGGCATTTCCCAGACAGCAGAGAGGAAAGAGACAGGAGATGGGAATGGAAAGGTTGAGCTGTGAAGGACTTTTCATGTCATGCTGAGGAATTTGGATACAAAGGGACAGGTGACAGCATAAATGTCTGTTGATTGCATGGAGCAGGCATCTACAGATTTGGTACTGTTAATGGCTCATTCCCAGGTCTGGCTTCCCATTGCCACATGTGGAAGGTAGAAGTATTTTAGACCTAGCGTGACTCCCAACCTCTGGAGCTTTCTTGCCTCTGCATTCAATTACCTGCCTTCTATTTGCAGGGTTCCCATGTGCTAAGAGCAAATATGCTAGTACCAGTAATGACCTTAGGTTTGTATTCATGTTTGGAATCAAGGGAATGTGGGAAGGAGGATGGGCTTTCAAGAGCTCCAATACAATTCCAGCATCTTGTCATTGTTGTTACAAAATAGCTCTGACCCTCAGCTTCAACTGTATCTTGTGATAAGATCCTATCGCCCTCTCTCCCTAATCTGATTTCTCATAGAAAAGTTTTTATCCTGACTTCGTAGAGTTTGCACCTTAGAACTTATAAGAATTTTGAGTTCTTTCTTAAGGCTTATCAGCCACTTGGATCCAAAAGCTTGTCTTCTGCTGATAAACTATCCTGAAAATAGCCACTGAGCCATCTGATTAAATGCTAAACACTGCCCTCTGGGATTTCTGCTACAGATCACTACCATGCTCCATCCACCAAGGCAATGTTGCAGTTCCTATTGGGCCTCCATGACCCGGGCTGCAGACCAAGAGTCTTTTGCTGCACACCTCAAATATTGTTCTACCTTCTAGACTGGATTCTATCCCCATACCTAAAAGTAAGTTTATTCCCATAACCTGCTTCACTCCTTCAGGTAAGTCAAGTTTCAGGTCTTAGACCCTGCAGTTTCTCCTTCCACCTTACCGGTTAGCCAGGCCCTGCCTACAAGATATGACATGCACTGCAAAACAAAAACAGACAAAACAAAAAAACCTGTCTCATAATAGGTAAGAAGTTCTTCAAACTCAAACACTCAAGACCCCTAATAAAGTTGAAAAGATTTCCCAGCAGGTAAATTGATATAAATAATCATTACCATGAATACATTTGCCAATACCTGCTTACAGTTTAGTTTATCCATCACAGTTCATCTATCACATGCCAAGACCTTGGGAGCAAGACTAATAATATCTTTTGAGGGGCCTACAACAGCCTTACAAGGTAAATGTTATTATACCTATTCACAAATGTGGAAGCTGAAACAGAATCTAATGTGCCCAAGTAAAGCAACCAGTTAATAAATGAAAAAACTGTAATCATCCTCCCATCTTCCACTCATTCTTTGTGTGTGTGTCTAATAACTAGTACTGATGATTATATGAATCATTTTATAGCACAGAAAGCTAAACAACTCAACATATAACATCACTGTTCTGATTTTACATGAGGAAATTCTTCCTGATCTTGTCCTTCCATAGGTTCTAGTCTCATTGTATATTTCTTAGGCAACCCTATTCTCTAAACTCTTCCTCATGTCCTCTCCTTTTTTTTTCAGAGTAACTGGCTCCTCAACCCAGTACTATTTTATAAACAGGTTGGTTTCAATAGAAGCATCAGAAGATAAGAAGAAGAAAGTAAGAAATGGTACAGCATGAGGCATACCAAGATCATAGGCCACACATACATCCTCAGTTGTGAGTGAATGTGCATTGTAGGGGTGGGGGTAGAGTTAAAAAACAACACAAGAGTTTCACAACTGTGAGGAGAGTCAGTGCCTGGCTATCTATGAGTGGGTGTGTAGATGATTGAATAACTAAACTGGTGTAAGAGAACTGTGCAATTGGAAAGACAGGGTCATGGCCCATGAGTTAGATTCTGTCACTAGAATAATCTAGGTGAGAGGGAAAAAGAATAGTGCCATCTTTCAGTGCCTCCACCCAATTAACCCTATATCAATCTGCTTTTTGAAACCCCCTTCCTTTTTTTTTCTTTTGCCTGCCTGGCATCTCTGAAGAAAATGACAAGGTTATCCTGTTTGGAATAGTAAAATCATATGCTTCTCATCCTCTATGGCCCCTTTCCTTTCACTTAGTCCCTCACTTTCCCATTACCACATTGCATGCCCATCACCACTCCTGGCAATCTCCCTTCCCTTCCACAGTCTCACCTCCTCATGCTTGGCAGAAGCCTTGCTTCTGATGCCAAGGTTGTATTGTTATGCAAGAATACATCAAAGTCCCTCCTGTTCACCCCACTGCATTTGCCCATATATTTATCTCTTCCAGCTCAGGCGAAGCCTTGTCTCTTCTGCTTTCCAAGGCTGACGCTTCCATCTACACTCAAGCTTTCTATCCTTCTCTATGGTCTAAAAACTTGATTTTCAAGAACTTCTTTTTGTAGTTTGAATCTTTCTCTCTTTAACCACTCATTCTTTCCAACCAACAAACATATTCAAGTATCTCCGACCTCCAAAACAATGTCTTCATTTCTTGTTTCCCTTTGAGCTGTCACAGTTTTTTCTTATTTTCCTTTACCTGTATTGTTTGAAAAAATAATTTATATTCTCAGCCACAGCTTCATTAGTTTTCATTCATTTCTCAACCTGGTTACTTTTTTTCCCAATCTGAGTTTTATTTCTATTTATTTTGTATTCATATACAATAGTTGTACATATTGGGGGGGTATATGTGATATTTTGATACCTGTATGCAATATATAATGATCAAATCAGGGCATTTGGAATATCCATCACCTCTACCATTTTTCTTTTTTAAATCCAGTTTCTGTTCCCATTATAGTGTTGCTAAAATTGTTCTTGATGATGTCATCACTTGTTTAAACTCAAGTAGAATCTCAGGCCTGCTTCATCCTCAGAAACACAAAGCTGGAGAAGGCAAGAAGCCCATTTCTCAGGCTGGACTAAGAGGATTAGCAAAATGGCCTAGACACAAACACAAATAGTAGTCAATATTAGAAGAATATGTCTGTAAGATAGAAGTTGTGCATATATATATATACATATTCAAAAATACTTTTGAGGAATTTAAATCAAATTAAAAAATACATGTGACATGTTGAGTGAGAAAACACTACAAACTAGAGATGAAGTTCAAGTCCATTATCTATATATATGTACATAATAGAGAAACTCTAGAAAAAAAATTAAAAGAACGTTTACCAAAATGTTAATTTTAACAGTCTCTTTATATGTGGAATTATGAGTGGCCTTGATTTTATATTTATAAATCTTTCATTATTTTGAAGTGTTGTCTAATCAATCTGCATTAATCTTTTTTTCAGCAAAACATGTTATAAAGAAAATATCATTTTTAACTTTCTCAACCTCTCATTTTTTAAATAGTCCAGTTTCCACTCTAGGTTTATTTTCTTCTTGCTTTAAATCTGTTCACAAATTTAAGATTGTGCATTAGAATCATCATGGTGCTAGGAAAAAAATAAAACAGCAGACTCTGGACTTCGGCCCCCAGAGATTTCATATTCTTTAGATCTTTCTTTCTTTCTTTCTTTCTTTCTTTCTTTCTTTCTCTTTCTTCCCTTCTTTCTTTCTTTTCCACTCTCCCTCGCTCCCTCCCTCCCTCCCTCCTTCCCTCCTTCCCTCCCCTCCCCTCCCCTTCCTTCTCTCTTTCCTTCCTTCCTTCCTTACTTCCTTCTTTCTTTCTTTCTTTCTTAACAAGCTCTCCTGTTGGTTCTGATGCAGTAGGTGACCCATGTATCATACTAGAAACACTCATGGGACTTCAATTATTATTCTCAATATATAATATTAGCTATTGTTCCCTTACCCATGGAAGCCTAGGAAAAATAATGGATGGTAAAAAAGGTAGAATAATAGTCACCTTTGTGATGATTTTGGCCATTGATCAGATTTTAAAAATAGAATCTACAGAAGACCAAAGTCCAATCCAGGAGACAAGAAAAAGGCTAGGTTGCTAAATCCAAGGAATAAGCAAAGAATTGCAACATAACACTGAGTGGCTAATGCAAAAGCTGTTGTTCAGATCCAGGATGAGAGATTATCATACAGATATTTCCATACTAAATTAAAGGAGCAGGAGTAGTCAGGACGGCTAATGAATAAAAAATGTATGCTGTAAATAGTCAGAGGAAATAGGTCTAGAGAAATTCTCAAGCTTTATAATGAGCAATTACAGTGGTTTTTTTGAGCTCCCAGGGATAAGCAAAAGAAAAGTGGATGGAAAGTTTCTGAAATACTTCTCTAAGAGCTGGATCCATATTTCTAGCTGCCAATTAAACACTGCCACTTGATTATCACAGAGGCATCACAAACTAAAATTTTGCAAATCTGAACTTACTACCTTCCCTAATAATCAGATGCCTATTCTTTTAATCTCTGCTCCCATTAAAAATATTACTCTCCAACCACTTTCCCCAACAAGAAGCCTTAATCATCCTGCACCCCTCTTTTGAATATCTAACCTCAACTTCTGGCTTTACCATAGCCAGGGTTATGGTATATATAAAACAAGACAGAGACTTAAAGCACCTAGAGTAGTGCCTGGACAGTGTGTATTTCAATAAATGTTATTACGTTGCTGCAAAAGTAATTGCGGAATAGTTCAACCTTTTCCTCTTTAGCCACACTGAGCTACTTGTTACTTGCTCTCTGAAATTCACATCGCTTTGCACATACTGTTTTATCTGCCTAATGACTTTTCCTGATTGACCTTCTAGGTAACTGTTCCAGAAGACCCAACCCAAACACTATCTTCTCTGTTATACCTTCTAAGATCTCACCATATAACTCCATTATGGCACTTAAACTTGATTGAATTATAGCTGTTTATCTGTGTTTCTACCCATTAGACTAAGCGAAACAGATTGCACTTTGTGAGAGCCCCAGCCACATTCATCTCTGTGTCACAGGTATTTCTCCAAACTACTTTAGCCTGAGGCTATATGAAAGGATTTCATAATCACATATCTGAAATTGTTGCTAGACTTCCCTGTGACTTCAGGCTTTATCCAAGGCCCCTTTCCTAGTTTTAGTGTATGTGCGTGATCTCAAAAACAGCTCATGACATGCAGCCAGTCTCTATTTTATATTTGAGTTCTTGGCCCACCCACCTACTGAGGTACTGCCCAACCACGCCAAATGATGTTGCATTTTTAGTGCTGGTGACGCTGCCCAAGATGCCACATCCATCCTTCTGCTAGCAGCACCAGTGCTACTTCTCCACCACCATCTCACTGAAGCAGATATCTATTGTCTTTGTCCAGAACCTTAGCCACTCTTCTGGTAACAGAAACCCTTTTTCCAGCTCAGAATCCACTCCCTGTGGCCACCTAGATTTGCTAAACAGAATTCTCTATTCTCATTTCATCCTCAAGAAGTGATTCAGGAATGAGTATGTGAACCATGCCAAGCCCTCACTAAGACTATTCTAAACAAAACAGCTATGAGCCTGAGGCTGGCAACCATCTTACCTGCCACATGGAAACAGCATGCTTGCAAAATGAAGTTACACAGACCAGCAAGGCCTGGAGAATGAGCTCTAGCCCCTGAAATCTGACATATGAGACAATTCATTTTTTTGTGGTTTAGAGTAGGATTTCCATCACTTGTCACTAAAGAATTCCAATACCTTCTATTACCATTTTAGCATAAAACACAGACTGCTTGTCACTTGAGGAAGTAGCATCCATGCATTGCCAGGACTGAGCCCCAGAATGCTTCAACCCTCTCCTTTCATGGCCAGATGTGTCATTTCCCTTTCCTTTCTTCTGACCAGTGTGAATCCAATCTACAAACCTGTGAGCCTTAGCTCTCTGTCATCCACTACAGGCTGCTGCTCTACAGTTGCTATTTTGTTTCAGTTTTTAAAGGATGAATGTGGAGTTCAATCCTCTTTCTTAATCCTTTTTCAGAGGCCAGGGGTTGGATAACTTTTTCTGTAAAGGGCAAGATAATAAATATGTTATACTTTGCTGGCCCCAACTACCTGTGTCACTACTACTCAACTCTACCAATGTGGACAGAGACAATACAATAAATGAGCATTATTGTGTTCTGAAACAACCTTATATATGGACACCAAAATTTGAATTTCATAAAATTTTCACGTGTCACAAAATTTTTATTATTATTTTTTCTAATTATTTAAAAATGCAAAACATTCTTAACTTGCGAGTCATATAGAGACTATAGGTTGGCCACTCCTGCTATAGGTCCAAGAGTTCTCCCCCTGTCTCCCAAAACCATTTTCTCTTCCCTCATGCCTAGCCAACTCTCTTCACCATATTTCAGTCAACAAATTGAAACTATTTGAACCTTGTGTTAGTCCATTTGCATTGCTATAAAGGAATACGTGGGGCTAGGTAATCTATAAATAAAAGAGTTTTATTTGGCTCATGGTTCTACAGGCTGTACAAGCATGGCACCAGCATCTGTAGGCTTCTGGTGAAGTCTCAGGAAGCTTACAGTCATGACGGAAGACAAAGGGAAACTAGTATATGACATGGTAACAGGGAGTAAGAAAGAGAGGAAGGTGGTGCCAGGCTCTTTTAAACAACCAGATCTCATATAATCTTACAGAGTGAGAACTCACTCATGACAGTGAGGACAGCACGAAGCCATTCATGAGGGATCTGCCCCCATGACCCAAACACCTCCCATCAGGCCCACCTCCAACATTGGAGGTCACATTTTAACATGAGATTTGGAGTTCAAATCACCCAAACCATACCAAACCTATTCCCAAATCTGTCTCTCAAATGTATAGCTCATGTCTGTCATCTAGGAAAACATTCAACCCAGGTTTGTTAAATGACTTGATGAATAAGAACCAGTGGAAGAAGTAACAAAATTAGAAAGAGAAGAGAGAGAAAAAATTCATGATTTTTTTCTTAAGTAATCCTATGGATTCCCAATGTCAAGTTCTTTTTTTCTGCATAATTTCATCAGAAGGTGAAAAGGCCATGCAGAACAATAATTCTGGAGGGCACCCAAAGCTGTTGACTCAGTCAGGGAAAAGGTTTTTATGTTCAACCAAGAGAAACAGCCAGACAAGGATAGACGTTTGGCCAGCTGGACCCCTGTACTTTGAATGTGAACTCTGAAAGTTCACTCTGGAGAAGAAGAGAAAAGTTCTACACTGGCAACATATCCATGGTTGAGTGAAGCCAAACACGAGGCTGAAAAAAGACTAATTTATCATTTTCAATTAATCTAAAGTTTTCTCATAGTCAAACATTATCATAATTACCAAATCAATTTCCCTATGGAGTTTAGGCATTCATGTAGGAAATGAAGTAATTTCTCATATTTAAGTTTAAATATCTTGTGTTTAAATGTAATAAAGATAAAATGATAATGTTATTGCTAAGAAAGAAAAAAATCCATGGATTCCATCCCAAGCCTCATTGTTCCCAGCTGCCCCTGTGAACATGCCACATCTACTAGAAGTCCTATCACAGGCACAAATATGTGACTGTAGATACGAGCAAACCTCTGAGGGTATCTGGTTTGTTAAGCAACGACAGCTCCAAGAACCTGGAAAACCACATCTGGCACCCAAGTGTAAGAGTCTTGGTACTGGCAATAGTAACAAAGGTGGAAAAATTTCTATTTTCAGTTTTCGTGAAAGAAAAAGTCAGAGGCTCCCATGCAGATGGCTTTGGGCATTCTCTTACTCTCGCCAAATCATGATCCCTCCCCGGCTCTCCCTCTTTTCTTGTCTCCTTTCTCTCTTACTTCCTGATTCTTTCCCCTTCAAAGATGAAAATGAATCACAAGCACTTCTTTATATTACCGTATAACCAAATTGAAAGGATTCAGAAACTTTTCTTCCAAATGCAACAAGCAAACATCCAAGTATCTTCAAGTAAAACTTCTAGCTCAGGTGTTCACTGTTGCATGTTCACTTATCTCTACTATGTGCCAGGAAGGAATTGTTCTTGGTGCTTGGAAAGTTTTGTAGAAAGAATGTGGGGCCATGACCTGCTCTTCCTGATGTTACTCCTGTGCACATGTTATATGACATGGCAAAAGGGACTTTGCAGATGCAATTAAGGTCACTAGTCAATTGACCTTAAAACAGGGAGATTATTTTATATTATTCAGGTGGACTCAATGTAATCACATGAGCCCTGAAAAACAGAAGTTGGGGAAGAATTGGAAGTTGAAAGGTCTCAAAGTTTAAGAAGGATTCAGTGTAGCATTGCAGTCTAGAAGATGGAGGAGCCCCTTGTGAGAAGGAATGCAGGAGCCTTTGGAGAGCTGAGAGAGAGGATTCTGTCTGACAGCCAGCAAGGAACAGAGACCTCAGCCCTACAACTGCAAGGAGGGAGGAACTGAATTCTATCAACATGTGATGAGCTTAGAAGTGGATTCTTCCCTAGGGTCTTCAAATAAGAGCCCAGCCTAGCTAAAACCTTGATGTCAACCTTGTCAGAACCTATGCAGAAACCCCCACTGAACCATGTCTGACTTCTGACCCATGGAGAACTGTGAACCAATAAGTGTGTGCTGTTTTAAGCTACTAAATTTGTTGATAATTTGCTATTCAGCAATAGAGAACTAACATAGGGGGCATCAGGGAATAAAATGGAGAGAGATCTCTAACTGCATATAGCTTATATTCCATCAAGTAAAGATGGATAGTGAACAATAATTGTGTTAAAAATTATAGGCTGGATGTGCTGACTCACACCTGTAATTCTACACTTTGGGAGGCTAAGGCAGGAAGATTGCTTAAGCCCAAGAGTTTGAGACCAGCCTGGAAAACAAAGTGAGACCCCATCTCTACAAAAAACCAAAAAGTTAGCCAGGCGAATGGCATGTGCCTGTAGTCCCAGCTACTTGTGAGGCTGACATGGGAGAACAGCTTGGGCCCAAGAGGTCAAGGCTGCAGTGAGCTGTGATTGCACCACTGCACTCCAGCTTGGGTGACAGAGTGAGACCCCACCTCAAAAAAGAAAAAGTAAAACTGTCCCTCAGCAAACATGAGGGATTGATTTTAGGACCTCCTGAAGACACTAAAATCTGTGATGCTCAAGTCCTTTATATAAAGTGGTGGAGTATTTGCATACAACCTATGCAAATGCTCCTGTATATGTTAAATCATATCTAGATTACTTATAATACCTAATATAATGTATATGTAATGTACATAGTTATGATATGTATTGTTGAGGGATAACAACAAGAAAAAAGTCTGTACATGTTAGTACAGGTGCAATTTTTTTCCCAGTTATTTGAATCCAAGTATGCAGAACCCACAGATATGAAGGGCCTACTATACATGATATAGTATGTTAGAAGTTGATGAGTGCTATGAAAGAAGGAAACTTCAAGAGCAATATAGATAAGTGGAAATGCAGGGAAAACTAAAATGTAGAGGAAGTTTGAAAAATGTCAAAAAGAGGAAATCAGAATGCCATTTTGGTTGGCATGATGCAGATCGCCATGGGTTAAATAGGTGCTCAGGGCCTTGTTGAGAAAGTGGTACTTGAATGAAGAACTGCAGGAGCTAAGAAACTGAGTGAAACAAATCCCTGGAGTAAGAACATGACAGGCAGAACAAATAGTATGTGTGAATGTCTTAAACTAGACCAGAATGCTGGTCAGGCTGGTCAGGCTCTAGGAAGATCCAGAGACTGTGATCTGAAGCAGGCTAGTCAAGGGAAGAGCAGAAGGAGAGGGATAGAAGGCCAAGGGCTAAATTATGTGGGCCTTGTAGGCAACTCCAAATCTTTGATTTTTACTTTAAAAGAAATGGAGGGGCCATTGCAAGGTTTTGAACAAGAGAGTAACATTGCTTGCCAGGTTATAAAAAGAGTATCAGTAGTCTTAGTGTACAAGGGTAAAAACTGAAAACCAGTAGAAGGCTAATGCAATATCCAGGTGGGTGATGATGGCTTGGGCCTGGATGGTAGCAATGAAAATGGTAAGAATTGGTCTGTATACATATTGGGTATACAGCCAAGAGGATTTCACATTGGATTGAATGTGTGGTTATAAGAGGAAAGAAAATGTAAGAATGATTCCAAGGTTTTTGGACTGAGCACAAGATGAGTTGCTATCGACTGAGATGATAAAGGTAGAACAAGTTTCATGGGGAAGAATGGTAATTTGTGGGTCATTAAGTTGGAGCTGTCTATTAGACATCCAAATGGAGATTTTGTATTAAGCAGTTGTATAAATTCAGTCTGCAGCTCATGAGAAAGCTCTGGAGTGAAGAGCTAATTGGGGAGTCACCAAAGAGAGATGATATTGAAAGACACTTGGATTAATGAGATTACTAAGGCTACAGTTAAAGGAAATGAACCTTGAATAGAACTGATGCCTATGCTGGTAGAGAGGCTTCCACCTGAGAATATTAGTTGAAAGGGTTAGGTAAGCCCAGTGCTGCTGATGGCCTTACTGTCTGCACTTAGAGACAAACTACCTACAAATAAAACCACCATAGAGGGCAAGAAGGGAGAGAGAGAGAGAGAGAGAGAGACAGAGAGAGAGAGAGAGAGAGAGAGAGAGAGAGAGAGAGAGAGACAGAGGCGGAGCCCTGGAGACATTACCTGTGATCCTAGATCTAGCTATGTCTAAATGAAATCTCCCTTTCTCTCTCTTTTTAAAAATTTTTTAATATGAGTTTGAGTTGGTGTTCAGTCATGTGCATCCAAAAAAGTTCTCACTAATATACATTTATAAGCATTTGGGCAAATGGATACTTTTATTAAATATTGTTTATCTGAGTAATACCCAAATTATATGCAAGGGCATGTAACAATTAAGAGTGCAGTTTCAATAAATTAATATAATTTTTATGTCAATCTTTTTTGTACATTTTTTATTTATTCAGAAGACATTTATTGATAGTGAAACCAAAACGTACTACTATGTATTGACTTTCTGATAAGATGTAATGTTCATGTTATATTCATATATTAAGCTACCTAATCCTCACAGAGACTCAAATTCTGTTTGTCCAGGGTCCCACAGCTAATTAATAAGTTGAAGGGGTTGGCATTTAAACCCAAGTATCCCTGACTTCCTTCCTGTACTAGTCAGGGTTCTCCACAGAAACCGATCCAATAGAATATGTGTAGATATACAGAAAAAGATTTATTATGAGGAATTTGCTCATGCAATTATGGAGCCTGAGAAATTCCACAATATGCCTTACACAAGCTGGAGGCCCAGGAAAGCCAGTGGTGTAGTTCCTGTCCAGACTCAAAGACCTGAGAACCAGGAGAGCCAATGATGTAAGCCCCAGTACAAAGGCCCAAGAATCAGAAGTGCCAATGTCTGAAGGCAGAAGAGAACAGAAGTTGGATTTCCCAGCTCAAAGAGAGCAAATTCGCCCTTTCTCTGCCTTTCTGTTCTATGGAGGTTCTCAACAGATTAGATAATGCCCCACATTGGGGAGAGCCATCTGTACTAAGTATACTGATTCAAATGCTAATCTCTTCCAGAAACACCCCCACAGACACACCCATGATTATACTATCGGAGCGTCCCTTAGACCAGTAAAGTTGACACATAAAATTAACCATCACACTTTCCTGTATCACCTTTCTACTAGGTCCCTTTCTACCTAACGGAAAGTACTATGAGAAAGGAAGCTAAAGAAATGTAAATGAGGAAGTGTTTGATCACAAGGTGAATAGAAGGGAAAATATACATCAATGAATATCCTCTAAAAGAGTAACTATTCAGTGCCATATCAGTGTATGAATGAAGATATTAAGAAGAGGGCCAACTGGGAAAGGTTTTAGGAAGGGGGTACCACTAAACAGGATTTCAGCAAGAAATGGAGCAAGGTGAACAGTTTGGATGGAAAAGGTAGCACAGAAGCACAAAGACTGTTCAATTAAATATAGTATGGAGACTCAGAGAGCAGTTGGCAGAACTATAATCCGGTGTGCTCAAAGATGGCATTTCCTCAACTATATTTGAATGCATCCTCAAAATATTCTTTCATATCCATGGGCCACCTGTACTACCATTTCAATAACAGGGTATTTGAAAACAACTTTGAATCAACTCACTTATTTTGTTAAATTAAGAAATAGTGTCTATAAAATCGCATTTGCCGTACTATATTTTAAAATATGTATTACAATAAATACATAATTACTAAAATTTTTGAAAGTCAGCTTAACCATCACCTGAAATAATCTCACATACTAGTTTACTGGGAAGCAGAAGGACTTCAGAGCAAGGCTCACCTGGTTTCTATCCCAGCTCTGCCCTGTAATTTTGACCTTGGTTACTAAACCTCTCCAAGACTTCATTTGCTTATTGGAGTGTTGAGAAGGTTAAAAAGAAATAATGTACATGTGACTCACAATAAAATGATTTGTTGTTTGTACCACCATTCCTACCGCCCATCCCCACCTAGCATGGATGCTGAGGCAGATGCTCTGTTTTGCTGAACTAGAAAATGAAGTGAGAATACAATGGAGAAAAGACAAGAAAGTTCTCTAAATAAGAATAAGAAAGGATGAAGCAGTGCGTTGGAAGAGGAATTTTGGGAGAAGAGCGGAGATGCTTCAAGCGCTTGTGGAGGCAGTTTAACTATGTGGATCCAATAGAACTTGACACTATCTTCATGAAACAAAGCTTCAGTTAAATCATTCTTATTTATCAATATTTTAAGAGGCAGGTTATGTTGTAATGGAAACACAAGAATGCACTGAAACTGACCCAAGAATAAGAACAGACTCCTGGAGGCTGCTGGTGGTGTTTTAAAGGAGATCTACATGAGAAGGAGACAAATGCATTGACAGGAGTAATCCAGTTGGCTACAAAGGCCGTATCTGTGGAGGCACAGAGGAGTCTTAAATCTGTTAGTCCAGGTGGTGGCAATGGGGTCTTAGCTACAGAGGAAAGAAGAGATAAAAATGGGAAAAAAATAATGTGAAAGCAAGTGAGAATACCAATTTGTTGCCAAGTTTTGTCCTGCTGATTACATTACTGCAGAAATAGAGACAAAAAAATAAAAATAAAGAAAAAAAGAAAAGAATAACAATACTTTCATGAGAGTCATGAACAGTATTGACCAAACAATCTACAAACTGAGTTTCTGTACTTTCTTTAAGAGCCTATTTTATCAGATGGTTGAAAAGTTTAAACCAACCCCGTAAGACCTCCCATTCCCCTCCTTTGAACTGTTATTGATCTAGATTTCCCACTGGTGATGTGAAGGTGCCTAAGGGTCAAGTGAAAAACAAGAACTAAAAATAATGCACACCAGCTTCCTCCTCTTCCAACTATGCCCATGCCTGGGGGTGTATCCAGTGCTGTTTTTAGGATTATTCTTGGAAAAGCAGGTCAATTTAAGACACTTTGGAACCTCAGGGCTCCATTTGGCTTTCCTGTATTAATAACCCAGCTGTAGTTAATTATGTTAATAGAAATCTAGCAAAATGTGTTGGCAAACTTTGGAAAATTGTCTCTAAAACCTTGGCGATTAATAATGAATGCTGTGCTTGGCCAGTTCCTTTGACACAGAGTGACTCACTGTGGATAATGATAAAATGAAATGTATCACATTGGAACACAAAATGATAAATGCAAGTCTAATTAAATTATTGTAAGTGATAGCTGGACCTAACTAAGCCATCTGACTCATGGACACTAATGGGTGACATGGTATCCAACATCGCTAGTTATCAAATGTTTACTAGTTCTGCTATTGGAGCCAGTACCAGTGGGGATTCACCAGAAACAGGGTAATGTGCAGTCAAGGGAGGAAAGGAGTTCCTTAGTCATGCCTTTCAATATTCTCAGGAATGCATTTAGCATTCAGCAGTTTTCTAGCTGTACACTTGCAGAGTCAAGTGGAGAGATTTTCATATATTCTGAGCATTTGTAAGTATTCAACTTTCAGATTTGAAATGTCTACATTTCTCAGACTTTTTATGAATTCACCTCACAGAGGCCAAGGAACTGGCATTACTCAGAAATGTTAGCTTGAGTTTTTTGGAACTTGATTGAATTTAATTTACTGATTGTATATTCACATTTCCTATGAAGAAAGGAAAGTGAGCATAAAAAAAAAATCTCACATTCACTCAAAGTCAGATACCACATACTGAAATTCAGGAACTCAAGTAAATGCCTTAAAGCAATGCACTTCAATAATTAGTGATGATTCCTCCAGTTTCATGACATAAAATGGATATTTATGTAATAATGCCTGATATTGGATACATAGTGACAAAAACAGAGATATGAATTCAGAGCAAGCCTGTGAAGCTTCCAGTGGGATCTAGAAAAATTCGTGAAAAAGAAAAGCACTGTGTTGAGTGCTTACTCCGTCTCCTACCCTGTGCCATCCCCCTCATCATGTGCTATTGGTTAATTGTTACAACACTGCCAGAAGGTATTTTTATTCCCTTTTTCAGAAGAGAAAAAGCTGAGGTTCAAAAAAATTAAATAACTCCCAAGGAGTTAATTATTAGACTGTGGCAAAGCCAGGATTCAAGCTCAAATCTGTCTCCAAAACTCATATTCATTGTATAATTCCCAGAAGAAGAAAAAAGCAAATCTCACATTGAATAAACAAGATGAATCAAGTTTGGGGACAAAAATAATACAGTAAACAAACACTTTATTATTAAATACATTTTAATTTACTTGAAACATCTTTTTACTAAGTGCTGCTTCTTCCAATATGCATTTTTAACTACTTCATTTTAAATGCACAATTAGATATTCAGACCACCAGCAAGCAAAGAATGACATCTTATGGATATGATATCTAGCACAATTGATGCTTATGATATATCACAGAATGACATAATCCAGTCTAGAACATCTTTGTCTTGATTTTGGTTTTTTAAATGTGAAGCTTAATCTTTCTTAACCTCAGGTTTTATTTAAAGGATAATTATCCTTTGATAATGTTCTGCTCCATGCTAAGTAGCATTTCTTTTCAATGTCCATTCATAAAGAAGCCTAAGAGCAGAATAACTCTGTGGAGGAGATAAATAACATTTCTCCTTTTGGAGAAGGCAAGAAATAGCCCAGGTAGAATCTGTGGAAACCGTTCTTGTTATTTCTAACTGCAAACCTGGTTTATTACATACTGGGGGAGGACAAATGCTAAAAGACATGAGGAACAGGTAAAGCTTTTTAGGTTCATTATTTACTATGGGCTCTTAAAGAAACGTGCAGTTCACGAGGGCTTATTGGAGCCAGTTTCAGAATTCTGAACGAAGCTTTACCAACAGCTTTCTAATTGAATCTCAAAAGACTATAATTGTGTTCCACTCTGTAGTCAGCTTCCATTCCATGAGGCTACAGTCGGTTGTAGGTAATCAGATTACTCATGGGTTACTGCCTGCAGCCTGCAGGAGAGTGCCAAGAGTAAGAAGGCAACGTGTTGTAGGGTTAATGAAGCTTAATATGGTGCCAATATCACACTGAGCCATTGCCTACAGAGTGAGAAAGGATTATATCCCATGTTAATATGCCATTTGACCCGTGCCAGAGAAGCAGTCTAAATCACTGAATAAGTATGTAAGTCACCACAGAGAAGTGTTTGCAATGCCAGCTCTCATTGCTGTGAAAACAAGTTGTTCCCTAGCTTGTGAATTTTAACTTTGGTGCTCTTTAAAGTACAGTTTCAACATTGGCTCCTAACATCCCTGGAAAGGCCATAAGGGCATACGATTCTCTTAGCTGGAGCCAGTGCAAGGAAACTCACATGCTTTTCTTCAATTTGATCTAAACTTATCTGGAGAATACATCTAAGGTCAATGTACAGCAATTTCCCAACATCCATCAATGATTTTGATTCTTTGAATTTGCCTTTAACAGATATTTAGGGCATCTTGAGCCTTGGAATTCTTACTACTAATTAAGTTTTTGGCCAAATGAAGTCCCAAATTATGCCTCCGCAAAAAGTGAAGAAGACTCAAAGAATTGGTAGAGAAAACAGAAAAGCTCATCTGACATGCACTGCAAAACTCAGCCTCCTAATAATGAGAGGAGAAGCACGCTGCAGCATTTCCTTGAATAATGAGACCAATATTCCGAAGTCTTCTTTTCCCTTACTTGACATTTTAGGATGAAGAAGAAGGGACTCTCAATGGTATTATGAACGTACTGGGAAACAATTCTATCAGCAAACCTTGATTGTGTTCTTATATTTATAAGCATTTATGGTAAAAATCTATTCCACACATCAGAAAATTCTATAAATTTCTATAAAATTCTATAAAATTTCTACATGTAAAATTAGGTCATTTAAACATTTTCTACATTATGTCAATCACTAGATTATAGAAGCAAGAGATTAATACAAGGTAAGCAGACACTAGGGGATAGATGTACTATTTTGTGAATATTTTCTTACTGCTGCTCCCCTTTATTTCTTGTTTAGAACAGAAAATACATGTGCAGGATAGAAATTTCAAAAGATGCAAAAGGGTATGACTTGAAAAGCAAGAACAGTTTCCATTTTTACTGTGATCAATGGTTTGTGTATCCTTTCAGAAATATTCTATTTGCACACCTGCAAGTATCTGCTTTTTTATCTGTAAGTTTATGTGTGCCTATACGTATGTATGTGTGTATATATTTATTTAAATTCAGTTTTTTGAGGAGTTGACACCTGTTGGGATTTATACATATTAGTTCTTTTTTAAATGAAATAACTTACATAAAATAAAAAGCATTAAAAAACCTCAAAAGTACCATTTGATGATGTTTTATATAATATACAGTCATGTAACTAGATTATTTCCAGGTCCCATAAAGTTTCCTTTTGCCTCTTTTGATCAATAGTTCTCAAAAAACTCCATATGAATGGCTGACATTGTTTGAACAAATGTCCCTGCCAAATCTCATGTTAAATTGTAATTTCCAGTGTTGGAGGTGGGGCCTTGTAGGAGGTGCTGGGGTCATGGGGGTGGATCCCTCATGGCTTGGTGCTAAACTCACAAAAGTCAGTGCGTTCTCCTGAAATCTGGTTGTTGTAAAGTTTGCCACCTGACTCTCACCCCTGCTCTCTCTCTCTTGCTCCCGCTCCTGCCATGTGAGATGCCTGCTCCCCCTTTGCCTTCCACCATGATTGTAAGCCTCCTGAGACCCTTACCAGAAGCTGAGAAGATGCTGGTGCTAGGCTTCCTATACAATCTGCAGAATCATAGGCCAATTAAACCTCTTTTCTTATAAATTACCTAGTTTCAGGTATTTATAACAATGCAAGAATGGACTGACACAGTAGCATAACCTAGGATGCACATTTTTATCTCTTTTTTTATTCAACATGTCTATAAAATTTATTCATGCCCTTGTGTGAACAGTGGTGTATTTTCTGTTAGCGTGTAAATTTTTATTACATGTTTATCCTAAAATCAGTTGAGCTTTTGATTATTTATAGACTACTGCTGTGATGAATAAAACTACTATAGACATTATTTACAAGTCTCTGGGTAGACATCAACAATCATTTCTATTGGTTAATACCCAGAACTGAAATTACAGGTTGTGAGGTATATGTATGTTCAACTTAGTAGATATTGCCAAACAATTTTCCAAAGTGATTATAACAATAAACATCAAACCAGCACTAGATAAAGGCTCCAATTGTCCCACATCCTTGCCAAGACTTGGTGTTGTTAGTTCTTTTAATTTTAGCTGTCTTGATGGGTATCTCTTTGTAGTTTTAATTTGTATTTCCCTGATAATAAATAGTGCTGAGCAACTTTTTACATTGATTAAATATTTGAGTATCTTCTTTTGTGGAGTACCTATATAAATATTTGTCCAATCCAAAGGGCTAATATCCAGAATCTACAATGAACTCAAACAAATTTACAAGAAAAAAACAAACAACCCCATCAAAAAGTGGGCGAAGGACATGAACAGATACTTCTCAAAAGAAGACATTTATGCAGCCAAAAAACACAGGAAAAAATGCTCACCATCACTGGCCATCAGAGAAATGCAAGTCAAAACCACAATGAGATACCATCTCACACCAGTTAGAATGGCAATCATTAAAAAGTCAGGAAACAACAGGTGCTGGAGAGGATGTGGAGAAATAGGAACACTTTTACACTGTTGGTGGGACTGTAAACTAGTTCAACCATTGTGGAAGTCAGTGTGGCGATTCCTCAGGGATCTAGAACTAGAAATACCATTTGACCCAGACATCCCATTACTGGGTGTATACCTAAGGATTATAAATCATGCTGCTATAAAGACACATGTACACGTATGTTTATTGCGGCACTATTCACAATAGCAAAGACTTGGAACCAACCCAAATGTCTAACAATGATAGACTGGATTAAGAAAATGTGGCACATATACACCATGGAATACTATGCAGCCATAAAAAATGATGAGTTCATGTCCTTTGTAGGGACATGGATGAAATTGGAAATCATCATTCTCAGTAAACTATCGCAAGAACAAAAAACCAAACACCGCATATTCTCACTCATAGGTGGCAATTGAACAATGAGAACACATGGACACAGGAAGGGGAACATCACACTCTGGGGCCTGTTGTGGGGTGGGGGGAGGGGGGAGGGATAGCATTGGGAGATATACCTAATGCTAGATGACGAGTTAGTGGGTGCAGCGCACCAGCATGGCACATGTTTACATACGTAATAACCTGCACATTGTGCACATGTACCCTAAAACTTAAAGTATAATAATAATTAAAAATATATATATATTTGTCCAACCAAAAAAGGGGTCCCCTGTATTTTTTCTTATTTATTTATAGGAACACATTATATATTCTACTTATAAGCCCATGGTAAAGTATATGTGTAGCAAACACCTTCATCCAGTCTGTAGCTTACCTTTTAACTGAATTTTGTCCTTTGATAAACAAAACTTAGTCATTGCAAATAACACTTATTGAGGTACAATAATCTGCACATAAAAAATGTACAATTTGATAAACTTTGATATATTTTAACACTAATGAAGCCATAAGTACAATCAAAATAATAAACCCATCCATCACTCCCAAAAGTTTCCTGGTAGTTCTTTGTAAAACCATCCTTCCCTCCTGTAACCCACATCCACAGGCAAATACTGATGTGCTTCCTCTCACAATAGTTTATATTTTCTAGATTATATAAATGGAACAGTAGAGTGTGTACTCCTTTATGTTTGGCTTCTGTCACCTATCACAATTACTTTGAGATTCAACCATGTTAATGCATGTAAAAATTGTTCTTTTGCTATTATGGCTGAGTAGTATTCCACATTATGCATACACTACCATTTGTTTAATCATTCACCTGTTGATGGACATTTAGGTTGTTTTCAGTTTCTGACTATGAACATTCATGAACAAGTCTTTGTGGACATATGTTCTCATTCATGATGGTTAACATCTAGGAATAGAATGGCTGGGTTATATGGCATATTTTAACTTTAGAAAAAAGGCAACCTGTTTTCCAAAGTAGTTATGCCATTTCATATTCCTAGAACTGGTGTATACAAGTTCCAGTTGCTCCACAGCCATGCCAACATACAATATGGTCAATCTTTTCACAGTTTTAGCCTTTCTAATGAGTATGAAGGAATATCTCAGTAGGACTTAATTTGCATTTTCTAATGACAATTGATGTTGAGCACATATTCATGTTCTTATTTGCCATCTGTATATTTGGTGAAGGGTCTGTTTAAATATGTTGTCCATTTTTAAATGAGTTATCTGTGTTTTTATTATCAACTTCTGAGTTCTTTGCATATTCTAGAAACAAGTCCTTTGTCAGATATATGATTTGCTAGTATTTTGTCCCAGTCTGTTGCCTGCTGTTTCATTTTTCATAACAGGGGTTTTAAAATAACAAAAGTTTTAAACTTGCTTAAGATAAATTTATTGATTTTATTATTTAATAGTTCATGCTCTTTGCATTATATTTAAGAAATTTTTGCCAAACCCAAGATCTTTAAGATATTTTCCAATGTTTCATTCCAGTAATTGTATATGTAAGCTCTTACATTTTGGTATATGATCCAATTCAAGTTAATTATGGTATGGTATGTGGTGTGAAGTAAGGTCCAAGGTGGTTTTGTAGGGGAGGGTTATTTTTGTTTTTTGTTTTCTACATCTGTCAGGTTGTTCTAATTGTTGAAGAGAATGCTAATTTCCCCCCAATTAAATTGCTTTTGTTCCTTTGTAAAAAGTCAATTGACTGTATGTGTGATCCTATTTTGAGTATTTTATCCAGTTCTAATGATCCATACTTGCATACTTTAGCTTTCTAACAAGTCTTGAAATCAAATAGTGTTTAAGTTATTCAACTTTATTCTTCTTTTTCAAAGTTGTTTTGGCTATTCTAGGTCTTTTGTAATTTTACATAAATTTTAAAATCATTTTGTGATTTCTACAAAAAAATAGCTTGAATAGTTTTGACTGGGATCATATTAAAGCTACAGATGAATACGGATAAAGTTGCCATGTTAACATTATTGAGTCTACTCATTGATTAACAAGGTACATATCTTTAACTAATTCAGTTAGCTCATCCTTAATTCTCTCAGCAGTATTTTGTACTTCTTAGTGTAGAGTTCATTCACATTTTTGCCAGATTTAAACCTAGAACTTCCTATTTTTGATGCTACTATCAATGGTATTTTCAAAATTTAAATACCTGATTGCTTGTTACCAGTATACAGAAAAATAATATATTTTCTATAATGGCCTAGTATCCTGTGATTCTGCGAACTCTATTCATTCTAGTTGCATTTCCAATTCATTCCATAAGATTTTCCTTATACACAATTACGCCATTACAAGTAAATAATGCTTTTCTTTTTCTTTTTCAATCAGGATGCCTTTAAATTCTTTTTATTGCCTTATTATACTTGTTAGACCCTCCTGTACAGTGTTGAATAGAAATTATGGGAGTGGACATCCTTGCTTCGGTCCTAGTCTTAGGGGGAAACATTCAGTTTTCCACCACTAAAATGATATCGACTATTGGGTTTTTCATAGAGGCTTTTCATCAGCTTGAGAGAATTTCTATTTGCACTTTTCAGAATTAAAAAAATGATTGTATATTGTGGAATGCCTTTCTACACCTATTTAGATGACCATACAGCATTTCTTTTTTAGTCTATTACTATGATGAATTACACAGATTGATTTTCAAATGTTTAGCCAAACTTGCATCCCTAGAATAAATAGTATTTGGTCATGATGTATTATTATTTTATGTATTGTTGAATTTGATATAGTAAAAGTTTGTTAAGAATGCAATCATCTGTGTCTATGAGAGATATTGGTCTGTAATTCTTTCTTTGTTATGTCTTTTTCTGTCTTTTGTTTGTTTTTATCAAGATAGTGCTAGCTTCATAAAGTAAATTGGGAAAGCTTTTTACCCCTCCAGTTTCTTGAAAGAGTTTGTGGATTTAGTAATATTCCATTATTAATTATTCTGTATAATTCACTACTGAAACCATAAAGACTTGGAGCGTTATTTGTGTGCATATTTTTACTTAAAAATTCACCTTCTTTAATGGATTTAGGAATATTCAGGTTACCTACTTCTTTTCTGAGTGAGCTTTGGTTAATATGGGCCCTTCAAGATATGTGTTTGCTTCTTCTAAGTTATTAAATGTACGAACATAAAGTTTGCGTGGTATTTCTTTATGGTCTTTTGATTTCTATAAGGTGTGTAGAGACTACCATGTTTTCATTTTTGATCTTGGCAATTTTTATCTTTTTTTTTCTTTCCTGATCATTCTGGCTAGAGGGTTTATCAATCTTATTGATCCTATAAAGAGTAACTTGGGATATCATTGTTTTTGTCTGTCTTCTGTTTGTTTTCTAGTTTGTTGATTTATGCTCTTTTTTCTAATTTCCTTTTTTGTGCTTACTTTGGGTTTAATTTGTTCTTTTTTCCTAGTTTCTTGTGGAACAAGCTTAGATCTTCAGATTAAGACCTTTCTTCTTTTGTAACATAGGCATATAATGCTAGAAAAGTTTTCTCTAAGTTTTAGCTGCATCTCACAAATTTTCATATATCACACTATCATTTCTGTTCAGTTAAAAATAGGTTCTAATTTTCCTTTCGTTTTGTTCTTAATTCTGTAGGTATTTAGAAGTGTGTTGTTTATTTTACAAATAAATACTTGGGGAATTTTTCTGATATCATACTCTTCTGGATTTATAACTTAATTCCATTGTGATTAGAGACTATACTTTGTACTACTTAAAAGGTTGTTTTTTTTTTTAAATTTACTGAGTCATGTCTTAATGGTCCAGAATGTGATATATCTTGAAAAAAGTTTTGTATGCATTTGGAAAAGATGTATATTCTGCTGCTATTGGGTAGAATGGTCTATAAATGTCAATTAGGTCAAGTTGGTTGATAATGCTGTTTGTGTTCTCAATATCTTTACTAATTTTCTGTCTACTTGCATTTTAACAATTATTAAGAGGGTTTGAAACTTTCCAACTATAACTGTAGATATGTTTATTTCTCTTTGCAGTTCTACCAAATATTCTACTAAATGTTTTGTAACTGTGTTATTATTAGATATACAAAATATTAGAATTTGTCCTCTTGATAAGTTGACCCATTTATAATTATTAAATGACTTATCTTGTTCCTGGAAATATTTTTTGCCTTGAGACATATTTTGTCTGATATTAATATAGATATTCCAATTTTCTTTTCATTAGTATGCCATGTCAATTTTTTCCAACCAGAGATTGACAATGACTTTCTACAAAGAGCCAGATAGTAAATATTTTTAGCTGTTTCTGTTTCTCTAGCTTCACTGGCTGGCTAAGTTTCTGGGTATAGCAAATGCATCTACCAGTGATATTTTTAAGGGGTACATTTTTTATTTGTGTGTGCATGTGGTAGGGAGTTCCAGGTTTTATAGCAAGAAGTGGCAGTATCTCTTCCCTTCTTTCAGTGTGGATATGGCCTCAATCAGAATTCTTCCACATCTCCTTTACCAACATCCCACAATATATCTCATATTATCCTACTGTTGGAGTCCTCTTTTTCAGTGATGGTGCACCAGCAAGATAGTTCAACATTCCACATGTCCATGTTACCCAACCTTTCCAGGATAAACACTAGAGAACTATCTCACTGCCATTCTCTCTCCCCAGTTGTCTGCCTCTCTCCAAAACTCTTCTGCTCTCACTTACATGGGTACAGAGGGCAGGTCAGAAACTCCTTTGCATAAGCAGATTGCCCAGTTCAAGAAAACATGCCAATCATCCTTCTTGCTTGCCACTCAATGTTTAAAAGCAAATCTTTTTGAGTCCTTCTCATTTGGAATGGGAAAGGGATTTGGGATTTAAGAAGCGATCCTCTTCTTTCTCCCATAGGAAAGAAGAAAAAATGTCCAATATTTTACTTCTAACTTTATGACTCAAGGCTGTCAATTTTTTTTATGCCTGCCCAAACCCTCCCAATCATTGCCATATAAGGGGAAGTTGGCTAGCATAGCAGAGTCATTTAGCTTTTAGTAGATAAGCCCTCAGAAGGATATAATCCAAATTGTTTTCAGCTCTATTCTGAATGTGGAATAATTAAAGCCCCTTCATTCTCAGCTTTACATCCTAGTTACAAATTTTGAGGCAAGAAGAGAAGTTTCAAGTGACATACTTAAAAAACACAACAAAATAATAACAGTTGCATACTATGCACTCACCTCTGTGCCTTCTTTTAATACTATATGTTGAAGACTGCTCTGGACCAGTTCATGTATATCAGCCCCTGTTAGTTACCTACAGCTGTAAAAAAAGTTATCCCTGACTTAATGGCATCAAAGAACATCACTTATTATTTTTATCTCTTTCAGTTCCAGAGATTGACAGGACTCAACTAGATGGTTCTTTCTTGAGGCCTCTTATGTCTCTCTCAGATGGTAACTATGACTAGAGTCATCCTGAATGTTTTCTTACTCACTTGCCTGGTGGGCCATATTAGTTGTTAACTGAGAGTTAAGCTGGAGTGATCAGCTAGAATATCTACAAATGACTTCTCTGAATGGCCTGAATTTCCTTACAACATGGCACGAGTTGGATTCCAAGAGCAAGTATCTCAAGAGAGACTTCGAACAAAGGAGTGACCTAGCCTTGAAAATCTTGCAACTCACCCTGCAACTTTCTATTTGTTAGAAATGAGTCATTAAGCCTGGCCATTTTTAAGGAAAAGAAAATTAGGTCCACCTTCTGGACCAAGATTATTTACATTATCCCACATGCAAAATTCACTTGCTTCTTGTAAAATCTAATCTATCAGACCTTCAGTCTCAAGAGTAATATCTAGGATGTTACCTAAACTGGATTCAAGTGACCTTAAGTATGTTTTCTCAGGTGCTGGATCTGAATACATGTGAACTAAGAAATAAACTGTGTACCTCTCACACACCAAAAATACAGTGGTGGGAGAGACATAAGATATATGCTCCTGTATCAAAAAAAAAAAAAAAAAAAAAAAAAAAAAAAAAGAAAAGAAAAGAAAGGAAAACAAAAGAAAAAGAAAAAAAAGAAAGAAAAAGGAAAATGGGAAATGCATAATAGTCACGATCAATTGTAATTTTGAAATCCAGCCAAGCACATATTCCCAGCTCCCTTGACCAGGGCTTATTCCTAGTGCCTTGTAATGATTCTCCACGGCTCCTTGTTCCATCTTCTGGGTCTTGGTTCCACCCTTTGAATTGTCTCCCTTTCACCTAAAACATAACTTATTATTACAGCTGAATATTTTCTTCACTTGTTTCCCTCCCAAGAAGTTTGGGGGCACCGAGTTCTCTTTTCATTTCTCATTGTTACTTTTCCTTTTAGTCCATGCTGGCAGTGTTTCTGTTAGTACTATTATCTTAAAATTTTTATGGATTTTCTATGAATCCCTTTTAGGGTTCACTCCATTTAGCAAAAACCATTTGTACAAATAGTTTTGATGTAACTTTTCTCTACTTTGAGCTCCTGGTAACGTTTTTAGGGGACAGTGCCCTAAAATTATTACAAGCCCTAATTTTTAATGAAAAGAAAGATACTGTAGTGCATGGTCTTAAAATTCTTAGATAGCCTTTTTATCTGTCTGAAAAGGTGTATGAGGCACCACCTTAAATCTTTCTGAAGTCTTAGAAAGTGTTTTAAAGTCATTTTTAGATCGTGTTTTCCTGACAGTGCCCTGGATTTGATCTTTGCCTGAAAGCTATTTCCTAATTTGAGAATAGTTTACCATCTGGAGAGGTTGGGAATGAGAAACTGTTTTATTTCAAAACCCAAGTCCTGGCTTCTTTATATTTAACAGTTTATTTTTAAGCTCTTATTTCTTTGGTTCTTTACTCATTTTATTATAGGCAGCTAGAAGAAATCAGGAGAATCTTCAACACCATGCCTAGAAATCTGCTTAAACAGATCATCCAGTTCATTAACTACATTTATTTTCCAAATTATAATGGGTGACAGTGTTGCTAAACTTCCCACCACTACATAACAAGGGTCTCTTTTCCATCTTGGAACAAGGGTTCCAAGAGTAAGTATGTGGAGAGAGAGCCAGGCTGAAGCAGCACTGCCATTTAGGACTTCATCTCAGAATTTATGGAGCATCACTTCCACCGCATTTTATTACTATTCAAAGGAAAAGGACTTAGACTTTCCTCCAGCTACTAATAACTGTTTACTCGCTTGTATTTAAATTCTCACTGACAAATTCCTCAAGACCCTTTAAACTATACCAACAAACTTTAGCCTCTTCCAACTATTGCTTATGTCTTATTTCCAAAGTTAATACCCCATGTTTTTGGTCTAGTTATGGCATTTTCCTATGTGGCACTAAAATATTTTCTGGTTATCTATAGTGGCATAGCAATCTACTCCAAACTTAGCCTCCTATGTGAGCAACAGTCATCTATTGGTGTTATCTTTTAGGGTTCTGAGGGGTGCCTGGTCTCAGCTAGTTATTTCTCACAGGGGTCTCTCATAGGTTGCAGTCACATAGTGTCTGGGGCAGAAGCTATCTCAAAGGCTTCCTCACATGCCTGGTGGTTAATGCTGGTTGCTGCCTGGGACTTCAGCTAGCAGCTGTATCTTAGAACATCTACCTGACTCCTCTTCATGTGTTCAAAGATTTTGTCTTTGAAGTATGGTGTCCCAAGAGGGAGCAAGTGTCCCAACAGGGAGTCAGGTTGAGCTACTACTTTTCAGACCCTCATCTCAGAATTCACAGAGCAGCACTTCTACTGCATTCCATTTTCATTCAAAGGTAAAGGAATTAGACTCTGCCACTGATCGGAATGGCATGAAAGAATTTGCAGATGTGTTTTGAAACTTCTGCAGTCCCTTTCTCCTTAATGACTATGTGGATATATCATATTTTTAGTAATGTTACATTTTTAAATTTTGTAAATTTTAATAAAATTAAAAAACAAGAAGATGAAGAAGAAAACTGGAATGTTTTAATAGTCTCAGGAAGAACTTCTTAGTTAATCTTCAATAAAATGCCAAGGGAGCACATCTATATTCATACAACTGCAACAGAACACTAATTAAGAGATGGAATGTCACTGACCTAAAAATGTGAAAACACAAGAAAATGTCATTTCATATTGCTGTATATAAAGAAGATCCAAACAGGGTGATGATATTTCATGAAATTTCAGAGACCAGGAAAAGGGTTATCGCTTGGTTCACTGCCATCCTTACTGTAGCAAGTCACATAATATTTTAAGACATTTTCAGAAGGAAGTAAGAAAATGTATGTTACACTTGCATGACTACAGAGAGGAAACCAAGGTGTGGAGATTAGAGAGAGACAAATCTGGGCTCCATAAAGCTGCTTTTTGTTGGAGCAGGTTTTCTATCATTAAAAGTGTTCATGCAAAATACAGATAAAATTACCTACAGAGGTTCATTCATTAGCAAAACATTATTTATAACTCAGAGCTTCAGTGATAATATGGTTACATAAGGATAAAGGAAACAATTATGGAATTATAAAGGTTTCCAACAAAATGTCTGTGATTTAGTCTATGTAGATTGTCCTCAAAGTATGTCTGACTAGAATTCTACAGCACCTAGGAGATCCCACTGTCTTCTCTGAAGCCCATATAGGACCCTAATTAAGTCAGTTACAAGATGACATAAGAAGAACTTTTATCCACTGTCATAGAAACTACCAGAATTAACATAACCAACTGAGAAAAGAGACAAACAATGACAGATGTTTCAGTGATTTTGGATAGCTTGCTTTACTAATCCACTAACATACATCTCTATCAGAAATATAGCCAAGAAATAGCTGGGAGAAGGATGCTCCTACTGAACACATTTCTGGAATAACAGTGCATCTTTTATGCTAATACCTGGATTGATGTGACTTTTTTTTTTCAATTGATGATGAAAAAAAGAAGCATTCTGAAATCAAGTTCATCCTCTTCGTGTTAGAACCTGACTACTTCCTTAGGTATTTTTCTATTTTTCTATGCATATTTACCAAGTACCTAGGGAATACAAAGATGAGTAAGACATTGCCCATTTTCATAGGGAACTGAGAAGCTAATATGAAAAATATAATATCTACATTGACAAGTAACTGTAATACAAAAAGAAAAGTAGTGGGCGCCACCTGCAATACTTAAAGTAACTATATCTCACTGTAATACAACTTATAATGTAACATTATGACAAACATCCCTTCCAATTTTACAATAAAGAGTTGTTTTGTACATACTTTAAGTCCTAATGGATATTTTCTGTAACTAGAAATCAGATACCATAGTCTGAAAAATGCTTTTTGTCTCAGAGATGTAAAAGCATCTGGGAGATGTAGTTTAGATGCTGAAAAATTGCATTTTTAGGATAGTCTGTTGGCTTAGAAGAAAATGCAAATGAGTATTTGAAAATGAGAACAATTGTTTGAAATTGGGATGAAATTATCCAGAAAATCGAGTATGCTATGGTACCTATAACCATCAAAAATATAAAATAAAATGGTAAAGTACTTCAAAGAAGATACTCATATTCAAAGCACAAACATAATTTATTGAATGTCTGAAAGGTGCTGGGAGCTGTACTATATGCTTTCAGTTGCCTTCATAATAAATTAGCTTTCATAATTACGTGTGGGGTAGGTATCGTCATAAATGAAACCAAGAATTCAGAGAAAAGAGAAGTCAGATAATTTAAGAAGACTAAATTTTGAAATTAATTTAGAGTAAAAATAGGCAAAGTTATGTAAAAGCAGAAATGGATTCCTGGATTTAGAGATATAATGACAACTTGAATAATTGGTTTATTTAAGCTAAATAATAAAGTCACATAATATACTGTCAGACTTCATTGATGAACTGTTCCTGAAGGAGGATAATCAAAAGCCTTAGCCACAGCTCAGTCCTACTGAAAAAGCCTTAATATGGAGATCAGCACAAAGGATCATGCCAGTATCTGCAATATTCCCTTTTTACTACATCCCTGCCAATATGTATTGCTTTTAGACTTTTTAACTATGGCCATTCTTGCAGGAGTTAGGTGGTATCTTGCTGTGGCTTTGATTTGCATTTCCCTGATGATTAGTGATGCTGAGTATTTTTTTCATAGGTTTGTTAGCTGCTTGTATATCTCCTTTTCGGAAATGTCCATTCATGTCTTTTTCCCACTTTTTGATGGGCTTTTTTTTTTTTTTTCTTGCTTATGTTTGGGTTCCTTGTAGATTCTGGACTCTAGTCCCTTGTCAGATGCATGGTTTGCAAATATTTTCTCCCACTTTGTGGGCTGTCTGTTTACTCTGCTGATTATTTCTTTTGCTGTGTGGAAGCTTTTTAGTTTAATCAGGTCCCATTTATTTTATTTTTGTTTCTATTGCATTTGCTTTTGGGGTCAGATATGGTTTGGCTCTGTCCCTACCTGTATTAGTCTGTTCTCACACTGCTATACATAACTACCTGAGACTGGGTAATTTATAAAGAAAAGAGGTTTAATTGACTCACAGTTCTGCATGGCTGGGGAGGCCTGAGGAAACTTACAATCATAGCAGAAGGTGAAGGGGAAGCAAGGCAAGTCTTATGTGGTGGCGGGAGTAGAGAAGGAGAGAAATGGGGGAAGTGTCACACTTTTAAAACATCATACCTCATGAGAATTCACTCACTATCATAGAACAGCATGGGGGAATCCACACCCATGATCCAATGACCTCCCACTAGGTCCCTCCCTCAACATGTGGGCATTACAATTCAAGATGAGATTTGGGTGGGGATTTGGAGCCAAACCATATCACCACGCAAATCTCATGTTGAATTGTAAATTCCAATATTGGGGGAGAAACTTGGTAGGAGGTAATTGGATCATAGGGGCAGATTTTTCTCTTGCTGTTCTTTTGATAGTGAGTTCTCATGATATCTTGTTTAAAAGTGAATACCTTCCCCCTTTGCTCTCTCTCTCCTGCTGCCATGTTATGATGTGCTTGCTTCCTGTTTGTCCTTCTGCCATGATTATAAGTTTCCTGATGCTTCTCCAGCCATGTCACCTGTACAGCCTATGGAACTGTGAACAAATTAAACCTCTTTTCTTTTGTTTATAACTTCCCCAGTCTCAGGTAGTTCTTTATAGCAGTATGAGAACAGACTAATGCAAAAATTGGTACCAGAGAAGTAGGGCATTGCTATAAAGATACCTAAAAATGTGGAAGTGACTTTGGAACTGGGTAATGGCCAGAGGTTGGAATAGTTTGTAAGAATCAGAAGAAGATAGGAAGATGAGGAAATGTTTGGAACTTCCTAGAGACTTGTTGAATGGTTGTGACAAAAATGCTGATAGTGATATGGACAGTGAAGTCCAGGCTGAGGTAGTCTCAAATGGAGATGAGGAACTTATTGGGAACTGGAGCAAAGGTCACTCTTGCTACGCTTTAGCAAAGAGAATGGGGGCATTGTGCCTCTGCTCTAGAGATATATGAAACTTTGAACTTGAGAGAGATGATTCAGGGTATCTGGCAGAAGAAATTTCTAAGCAGCAAAGCATTCAAGAAGTGACCTGGATGCTTCTAAAAGCCTATATTCATTTGCCCAAACAAAGAAATGACCAGAAACTGGAGCTTATATTTAAATGGGATGCAGAGCATAAAGGTGTGGAAAATTTGCAGCTCAACCAATGTGTTAAAAAAAGAAAAACCCATTTTCTGAGGAGGAATTCAGGGCTGCAGGAATTTGCATAAGTAAAGAGGAGCCTAATGTTAATAGCCAAGACAATGGGAAAAATGCCTCCAGGGCATTTCAGAGACCTTTCCAACAGCCCCTACCATGACAGGCCCAGAGATCTAGGAGGGAAAAAAATGGTTCTGTGGGCCAGGCCTAGGGCCCTGCTGCTCTGTGTAGCCTCAGAACATGGCGCTCTGTGTCACAGTGCCTTCAGCTCCAGCCATGGCTAAAAGGGGCCAAGGTACAGCTTGGGCCGTTGCTTCATAGGGTGTAAACCCCAAGCCTTGGCAGCTTCCATATGGTGTTGGGCCTGTGGGTATGCAGAAGACAAGAGTTAAGGCTTGGGAGTCTCCACCTAGATTTCAGAGGATGCATGGGAATGCCCGGGTGTCCAGGCAGAAGTTTGCTGACAGGGCATAGCTCTCATGGAAAACCTCTACTAGGGCAGTGTGGAGGGGAAATGTGTGGTTGGAGCCCCCACACAGAGTCCCCACTGGGACACTGCCTAGTGCAGCTGTAAGAAGAGGCCACCATCCTCCAGACCCCAGAGTGGTAGAACCACCGACTCCTTGTACCGTGAGCCTGGAAAAACTGTAGGCACTTGATTCCAGCCTGTAAAAGCAGTGGTGAGGACTATATCCTGCAGAGTCACCAGGGTGGAGCTGCCCAAGGCCTTGGGAGCCCACGCCTTGCAACAGTGTGACCTGAATGTGATACATGGAGTCAAAGAGGTTATTTTGGAAATTTAAGACTTAATGATTGCCCTGATGGGTTTTGCACACGCATGGGGCCTGTAGCCCCTGTGTTTTGGCTGATTTCTCCCTCTTGGAACACTTCTGTTTACCTAATGTCTGTACCTCCATTGTATCTTGGAAGTATCTAACTTGTTTTTGATTTTACAGACTCATAGCTGGAAGGAACTTGCCTTGTCTCAGATGAGACTTTGGACTTGAACTTTTGAGTTAATGCTGGAATGAGTTAAGACTTTGGCAGACTGTTGGGAAGGCATGATTGTGTTTTGAATGTGAAAAACATGAGATTTGGGAGGGGACGGGGCAGAATGATATGTTTTGGCTATGTGTCCCCACCAAAATCTCATGCTGAATTGTAATTCCTCATGTTGGGGAAGGCACCTGGTGGGAGGTGACTGGATCATAGGGCAATATTTCCCCCTTTCTCTTCTAGTAAGTGCTTATGAGATCTGGTTGTTTAAAGGTGTGTAGCACTTCCCCCTTTGCTCTCTCTCCTGCTGCCATGTGAAGAAGTACTTGCTTCTCATTAGTCTTTCTGCCATGATTGTAAGTTCCCTGAGGCCTCCCCAGACATGCCTCCTGTACAGCCTGTATAACTGTGAGTCAATTAAACCTATTTTCTTTATAAATTACCTAGTTGCAGGTAGTTCTTTATAGCAGTGTGAGAATGATCTAATGCAGGGTCTTAGTTATTCATTTCTTTAGCTAAGCCAATGTCCAGAAGAGATTTTCCAATATTGTCTCCTAGAATTTTTATGGTTTCAGGTCTTAGATTTAAAGTGTTTGATCCATCTTGAGTTGATTTTTATATAAAGTGAGAAATAGAGATCCAGTTTCATTCTACTTGTGACTTGCCAGTTCTCCCAGCACCATTTATTAAATAGGGTATCCTTTCCCCAATTTATGTTTCATATGCTTTATCAAAGATCAGTCTGCTGTAAGTATTTGGCTTTATTTCCGGGTTATGGATTCTGTTCCATTGGTCTACATGCCTATTTTTATACCAGTACCATGCTATTTTGGTAACTATAGCCTTGTAATATAATTTGAAGTCAAGTAATGTGATGTCTCCAGATTTGTTATTTTTGCTTAGTATTGCTTTTGATATGTGGGCTCCTTTTTGGTTCCATATGAATTTTGGAATTGTTTTTATCTCATTCTGTGAAGAATGATGATGGTATTTTGATAAGAATTCCATTAAATCTGTAGATTGCTTTAGACAGTGTGGTCTTTTTCACAATATTGATTTGCCCCATCCATGAGCATGGGATGTGTTTTCGTTTGTATCATCTACGATTTTGTTCAGCAGTGTTTTGTAGTTTTCCTTGCAGAGATCTTTCATCTCTTTGGTTAAACATATTCCTAACTATTTTATATTTTTTGCAGATATTGTAAAAAAGATAGGCACTGAAAAACATTTTATAAAACCCAGCATCCCTTTATGATGAAAAAAACCCTCAACAAAATAAGCATAGAAGACACTTATCTCAAAGTAATAAAGGCCATATGTGACAAGCCCAAAGCCAACATTATATTGAATTGGGATATGTTTAAAGCATTCCCCCTGACAAGCAGAAAAAGATAAAGATGCCCACTTTTGCCACTTCTATTCAACATAGTACTGGAAGTCCTAGCTAGAGCAATAAGATAACAGAAAGAAATAAAGAACAACCAAATTGGACAAGAGAAAGTCAAACTGTTGCTGTTCACCAATGATATGATCATCTACCTAGAAAACCCTAAAGACACATCCAAATAGTTCCTAGATCTGACAAATAAATTTAGTAAAGTCTCGGGATACAAAATCAATGTACACAAATCAATAGCAGTGCTAAACACCAACAACGACCAAGCTGAGAATAAAATCAAGAATTCAATCCCTTTTACAATAGCTACAAAAAATATTAGCAATTTACAGTTTGTCATAGCACTCATTATTGCATAAAATTAAAGGATGTTACTCTTTTCTCCCATTTCTTCATCAAAAGATAGCATTTCACGTGTGATGGTAGAAATAAGTCATGGCAGGCTGAATGTAGATAGTATATTATATAGTTGCTGCTGCAATTTTAAAGATTCTGGGGATAGCTTTTCTTTCTAGGGTCAAGCTTCAATTAAAAACATACATATGCTAAAAAAGGATAACTCCATAAATACCGTCACTCAAAGCTAACATGAAGTACTATGAATACCACAACCAGATATTGTACTGCTACAACCACCTTACTTCTTTGGCCACTGACTACTCGTTTCAACTGAATGGAGCAGACACTTGCAGGAAAGGGATAAATTTAAAGTGCAGTTGCACTGTGCAAGTTCCATTTTGTATGATTCTGTTGGGGATTGATATTATTTACATTGTTAAATTCTATATTCTCTTTGCTATTCAGACAATGAGTCTGGTATACTCCAAGATATCAATCATAAAAGAGAATAGTCAAAAAGTTTCATGGTAACATCATAAGAATGAAATAAAGAGCATAATGGGTAATCTTGAAGTTGCCAGGAGAGTCCATTAACAAGCACTTTCTCCATCCCTCAAGTCGTCTAGTTCATTAAAATGTTACTATTTGTAAATAATATTGAATGTACAGCCTCTATCTTTGAGTCAGAAGTTTTCATGGCCTTTTCTTTTTTCTTATACATCCAAAGTAGCAAAAGAATTGAAAACCAGTTGCTAAATTCTAATCTTCCTCTCTTGTAATCCAATTGTAATCTAGTGCTATTTCCAGTCACACCATCAAGAAAACTAACTGACAAAATAGAGGAGCTTCCAGGATACATCCATTTGTCACATTTCAAATGAAGATAGATGTGGATATATTTACTTTTTCTTCTGTGAAATATCTACTTGAAGAGATAACGTAATTTAAAAATATAAGAAGGGAACAGCTACTTAAAAGAATCAATATTTGTACTTTAAAACTATGCAAATTAGCTGCTCTAAATGTGACCGATGAGTGGTCATATATATCAAATGAAGATGTGAATGAATGATGAAACACACTGGATTTTGAACAGGTATTAAAAAGCCTTATTTCTTTGCTTGGTTTCCTCAAAATTGTAAGTTTTGAAGCAAGAACTAGTGAGTTATATAGAATATGGAGCCAAACAATGTGAAAAAAGGTAGGCAGAGGAGGGTAAATTTACATTATTTTCTATTTCTTAAGTAGCCAAGGCTGAGAAGAGTTAGATCAAAAGAGAGAAGGCAACATTTAGGGGCAAGCTATGACATGATAGTGCAATAGTTAAGGGCATAATTAAAAGCGCCAGCTTTAGAGCCAGATATTCGGGGTTCAAATTCAGGTTCTACCACATTAACTCTGTGACCATGGGGAAGTTATTTAACCTCCTGGATCCTTTGTTTTCTTAATATAAAAAGAGAGCTAAGAATAGGCCTTGTAGAAAATTATAAGAATTAAGTTAAATAATGTATGTCCAATACCTAGCAGATTGCAAATAGCCACTAATTGTATCATCATTATTAATTCTTCTTTATGGAGAGGGCCATAAAGGATCCATAAGGCAAGGTGCTTTATTTTTTAATACCCTAAATTCTTATTTCAGCCGTAGAATTACTTAATCCCTTCTAAAAGTAAATTTCCCCAAGAAACTTCAGAAGAAAACTTTTTCAACTACAACCAAATTAAAAGCATTCAATATCTTAGTCTTCACTAAGACTAATGCAACCTTCACTTCAGTTTTTTTTTGCCCATTTTCTCTTATTATTTCTTCAGGAAAAATGAAAAGCAATTATATTTATGAAAATCTTACAGGTCCTCTTCGAAATGGTTAAGTCATGGGAGGATTCCGTTAAGGGGTGGAAAAAAAAAAACAGCCTTCCCTAGTTCAATACAAGAAGAGGAGCTTTCCCAGGATTTCTGCCTCTTCTGGAGTTTAAGGCCCCTGTCTTGCCATTCTCTCAGTAGCAAGCTTCTCTATGGGGTATTTTAAATGTAAGAAGCAGAAGGGCTATTATACCAACCGCTGTCATACAAATAAAACTTCAGCCATCCATATCACTGACACCAGCTGTTTCTGTTAAGAGAAAAAGTGTAATCATTTTTCTTGTAAGGATTCTTGCATGAATTCATGAATCTGATGTTGATTTTGTCTCTGCTCAATCTAGTTGACCAGAGTCATGACTACCAGAATTTTTAAAAAATATGTAGAGTCAGTTCTCCCTCTTGTATAACTTGACCATCCTCCACAATTGCTCACAGCCTGAGGCAGCCTGAAGATGTTTTACAAAAAGTCTGTGAGCCAAAAAGTAATCAATCAAAACATATTTAAGAAGCATTATAATCGACCTCGAAGGGAAAAGTAAAGGATGTACAGGCAGACTCCATCTGTGACTAGGTTATCAATAATAGTTGTTTGACCTTTTGTGAGTTAGCAAGCATATATACAATGTTATTGTGGCAAACAATCAGCCAACTCTAGAAAGTCATTTTATCCAATTACATATCTGAAAAGAAAATTGATAATCTAAAAGAAACTGATCATGACATAGAAAAGTGTTTCCACATTAAAACTGGTTTCCAGTTCCAAGTCGGTATGCCTGAGCCAGTGTCTTCCTTATGTCTCCTTCTTCCTTCACCTTCCAACAGGAGCTGAACAGCCCTGCCTCAACACAGCAAAGGCTGAGATTTCAGAGACTTGAGGGCTATTGGGAGCTCAGAACATGGCATCAAGTCCCAAGGAGGAAAAACTATGGATCCTGGAACCTTGCTGTTGTCATACTTGGGGGCCTGTCTTAAAAGTCTCACTTGGTGATATGGGCTGAGTCATGTCCCTCCCCAAAATTCTTATGTTGAAGTCCTAATCCCTAGTACCTCAGAATGTGATTAGATTTGGAGATAGGGTCTTTAGTGAGATAATTAAGGCAAAAGGAGGTCATATGGGTGGGGCCTCCTTACAGAGGAGACTGGTATCTCTGTAAGAAGAGGAATGAGGACAGAGACACGTACAGACCAAGGGACCATCATATGAGGACACAGAAAGAAGGGATCCATCTTCAAGTGAAGAAAAGAGGCTTCAGGAGAAACCAAACCTGCCAACGTCTTGATCTGGAACTTCTAGCTTCCAGAATTTAAAGAAAATAAATTTATGTTGTTTAAGCCTCCCAATCTGTGGTGTTTTTGCTATGGCAGTCCTAGCAAACTAATACATCTGGCTACCTGTCACCTCTTGCTTTTCTTCTAAGGGCTCTAAAGACTAACAAGTTCCCACTGGTTGTTTCAAATAGAATTTCTCCCTTCCCCCAGAAGCAAAATGCAGCCCAGATCTTTCCTTAAGGATGCCCCTGGATCAGGTACAGCCTTTTAAAAATGTGTTTATTAAGAGTTTTGAGCAGTAGAAACAATATGGAAAACTCATATGAAGTTTAAGGTTGTTTGCTTGCTACTCCTCTTAATTCAGTAATTCCTTCTGATAATGGGAATCCCTTATTTATACTGATAAACTTTCAAATTCCCATAGGGTATCTGCTGATTAATAAAATACAAAATTCCAAAAGACTATTATGTATTCAATAGTGTGCTTAAATAATGTTGAATATTTCAAATCATGGTAGTATGCATATTCAAGTAGTGTTACCCACTTTATAAGCTTGGGATACAAATATAGTAATAACTCTTTTTCAATTTATCATCAAATTTCCATAGGCTTCTATTAGCAAAATTTCCATGAATCCTATTAGATAATATTTGGGCTTACTTGGAAAAAATATACCATGTCCTTCTAAACACCAAGTGGAGAAAGAACTGTAAAATCCCACCGGTTCATGACCACTGCCATATTGGCGTTGAATGATTGCTACTGAACAATAATACCCTGTGGCACAAGGAACATGAATGTAGTGTGCAGTGACGCCTTTGTCATTCTGTTTCCTGTCAGCACCTCCATAGTTCCTCAAACAAGACTCCTAGTACCTTCAGTCATTCTTCTCCAAAGGGTGGCAGGACCTGCAGGTACATCTTGGCTCAGACACATGCCACACTAGCTCTAATCTCCTATAAAAGCACCAGAATCTATACTGAGATGAGGTTGCCAGCCATTTAACTTATAGTCAGAGCCTCTCTAGGACTTCTGGCATCCTTTAGCACCAACTAGCTTTGTCCACCCAGGTAGGTTTCCCTTACTCCTAATCTCAGAGATAAGAGGTTAGAATCTTAACCCCATCCTTCATAAACAATTTCGTGGCTTTTCTTCATCCTTCTCCCCAAACACTAACTCTGAAAACCAAGAGGCCAGGGACCAAAATTGTTTCTATTATAAGATTCCCCTAAATGACGAGTTAATGGGTGCAGCACACCAACATGGCACATGTATACATATGTAACAAACCTGCACATTGTGCACATGTACCCTAAACCTTAAAGTATAATAATAAAATTAAAAAAAAAGATTCCCCCAGCACAATGGCACTTTCTTGCCCAGCAACTGCTTAACTAAGAAGAATTACTCAAGTAAATCTTCCTATAATGAGAGAACTCTGCTGCAAGATGATTTGCAATTTCCATTTCTGTGTATAGAAGTGATTAACTGGTAATATATTGTTTCACCTACTGCAAACATACATTTGAAAAGGATATATGCAGAAATAATTTTATATCATATTATGTGTAAACAAACATAATGCACTGTGTATTGACAGATGTATTACTCAGGTTTCACTTGCCACTTTGTGCACTTGTGCTATTCCCTGGTTGAGAACCACTAGCTTAGATCCTGTAAGTTAAAATGCAGGTGACAATGGTAGACATTTGAGTTGGCACTTCAGAGGGAATCCTCAATCTGCATCTTTTGCATATTTGACTAAAATAACAGGATGAGAGGGGTAAATACAAAAAGGATTTATGAAAATATAATGGGACTATGGGACCAGCTACTAGGCAACCTTGGAGCAGGAGACTGGTGATAGTGTTGGGGGGAAAAAAAGGAATATTCACTGACCTTTCACCATCTCTGCCATACATTTTCCCATAATTTAGAAGACCTTCTAGTCTTAGAGAAGAGTAGGGTCACTCAAAAGCAGAGGAAAGGATTATAGAATATGAGGAAAATCCAGAGAGATGCTCCTTTGGCTCAGGAGTCACCACACGGAGTTACCATGGTGGGGTGGCCATTCCTTTATAATTTTGAGACCACCAGTATGGTATGTGTACCCTGCCCCAAAGAGCTTTATCTAGTCAAATGAATAACACAAACACACACAGAAGAGAGGGGAATTAAGTGCTGTTCTCAGTTCTTATCAAAAGTGCAATGGAGAATAGAGTAATGCGTTATGTCACTTTTCTCTCCTGCAATTTGCTATTTCCCTCAAGTATTTCTTCCCTTTGCGAGCTTCCCAGTATTTTACAGAATAAGATGGCATTTTATCTGAAAGCATTTGGTAAATGTTCTTTGAGTCTAGGAGGCTGCAATTTAACAAATGGCTTCCTCACACAAACTATAAGGTTGATACAGAATGATTGACAACGATGCCAACATTTGAAAAGCAGCTAAGAGCTTCAAAGCCTACAGTAGCTGAGGCCAGGAGTGGAGTTTATCACCAGCCTTGGAGATTGTGGTTTATGTTGGCAACACAAAATATCTGTCATTTTAATACAGCTCTTACAAAGATTTTTAAACATGTCATTAAACAAACATACCAGAAGGATGGGCCCAGAAGAAACCAGTTTTAAGATAACAATAGAATCAAAATACATTATCACCAGATAATAGTCTCCTACTGTTTGATAAAGGACTCAGCTTCTGAAGCCAAAACAAACACAGAGGCACAGCCAAGATGTTTGTTTTAGAAGTGGGAGACATTGATCTTATGACACGTTTCTATTACAATGACTCTATTTCTGTTACACTCAGGGCAGGCTCTATGTAAAATTATGCTGTCTAATTTTGGAGGTGTTCAATGGAAGGAAAGTTACTTGTAGTTCAGCTTAGCAAATTTATCCCTTGGGTGGTGTGCCCCCTTCTCCCCTATGCACTATCCCTTCCCAGCACCCCCAAAACAGGATTTGAACTATAGTAAGACAAAAACAAGAAGTCCCTGGGTCAAAAAGTAGAGGGGATGTATGAGAGGTGGGGGAATGTTCAGAAGCAGGATTTTTTACTACAGTGTTTTGAAAACTGATGTGTAAAGTTGAAATCCTGTACCTATCTCTTCAGCAGAGCTCAGGATGTGCAAAGCTGAGATGCTATACCTATCTCTTCAGCAGGACTCAGGACTTGCTTAGAGATGCCGTTAAAAGTGATTAAAGGCCATCTTCACTTCCACTGCTTTAGAAATTTATGCATATTTACATTATTGAAAAGGTTTGTCCTGTGTCTTTGGGGTGTAGAAATATTAGGTTGGTGCAAAAGTAATTGCGGTTTTTGCCATTAAAAGGAATGTATTAGCTAGGAATGTATTGCGGTTTCTGCCATTAAAAGGAACGTAGGAATGAGTATTAGGTAGGTACAAATGTAATTGCGGTTTTTGCCATCTTAAAAGGAATGGCAAAAAACGCAATTACTTTCGTACCTACCTAATATAATGTCTGATTAAAACCTTGGGCATTAGAATCACTTTCTTGCTCTGCTGTCAGAATAACTCTCTCCTCCTCTCTGACCTCCATGCTTTACTCAGTGTTATACTGTAGATGCCACTCTTTTCTTTCAATCAAACCTCAATGAATTCTGGTTCCTGCTCCAGCCAGGGTAAACCTTTGTATTTTCCTAATTTGTGCAATCAGAGCCAATCTTAAGAGTGGGTGGGTAGAATTTTTGAAGGGCTGATAGATGAATTAACCTGCTCAAAAATCCCTTCCTCAGTCTAACATTTCCACCGCCTGTCAGGCCTTTGCACAAATTTTATTCAATTCAACTATGTGACCAGCACTGGTCCTCCCAAATCATTTAGTCTTTCAACAGATATCAGATAGCAAATATATTGTAAGCAATAACATGGGCTAAGCATTATGTAAGACAACAGTATTATGAAGACGGTTGAGGCAGAGACTCAGACATAAAGAACTACACCTCCAAGATAGGGAGAGAGACAGACAGACAAATTTAAAACTATAATGCTGCAACACAACTCTCCCAAAGAGTACTGAATTACATTGAAGAAAAGTCCCTCAGATTGGCAATTAGATCTTAACAATGGTGATCTTAAAGAGCGCAATTTGAGGGGAGAAGATGAAAGCTTGATTTCATTAGCGTTGTAATGATTGGACAGTTAGTAGAAGAGACAATGAAATTTCCTATTGAAAATTTTGCTTGAAAATTGATAAACATGGGATGGTAGCTAATGGAATCTCCAGGGTCGAGGGAGCATTTGTTTATTTGCCTTGAAGATGGTAGAGCTGTGATCCTATTTATGAGCTGTAGTGGAAAAACTTTATGCCTTGACTCTCAGAGGACTTTTTTTTTTTAAGTTTTTAAGTCAACTTTTGAAGTGAAAATACTACTGGGAAGAGTAGGCTCTTAGTAAAATCTGTCAGTTGTCAGTTAACACCTTAGCAGGGCACAGGATGCTAGGGGGTGCCAAGAGCAGGCAGGAGAACGCTGCTCCTGACGAGGTGGGAGAGCACCCAATATCCGCTTCTTCACAGTCGCATCTGGGAGTCAGCCAACGAATCCCAGCTGGTCCTGCTTTGACAAACAATCCTCATTCTCCTTTAATAGACTGAAATACAGGAACACAAACAGAGCTCAAATTAATGCTTTTGCACATTGCTCTTCCTTGCTGAAATTCTTTTTTAAGTAAATGAGAATATAGATTATAGAAGCAAACCAAGGATTACATAAGTAGGTTTGAGTATCTCAAATGGTACCAAAACAATGCATATTTGTGAAAAGTTAAAATACAACAGGCGGAACAAAAACAGAGGCCACCTTTCTCCCCTCCCTACTCTGTATGCTCCCACACAATGACAATCCGGTTACCAACTTGATGAGGGACTTTCTATATCTATACTGTGCATTTACACCCACACGTAAACATATCACACATATGTAATCTAGTTGCCGGGCACCGTTTTCCCTTCTCTAATATATATACATTGGCAGAAATGTGATTTGGGACATGCCTACCTATCCTTAATAATAATAGCTAAAAGTTAGTAAGTACTCATTATATTACAGACACAGTACTAAGCACTTTATTATTTTTTAGTTTCACAAACAATAATTACCCAAGTGAATTTCATAACTAGCTAAAAACCAAAAATAAAGCAAAAGCTCCCATAATCAATTATCGTAATTCTCCTCTGACATGACCATTGTTGTCAGTTAGGTGGATATCCTTCTAGACATGTTTAAATGCACATAGGCCGGGCGCGGTGGCTCTCGCCTGTAATCCCAGCACTTTGGGAGGCCGAGGCGGGCGGATCACGAGGTCAGGAGATCGAGACCATCCCGGCTAAAACGGTGAAACCCCGTCTCTACTAAAAATACAAAAAATTAGCCGGGCGTAGTGGCGGGCGCCTGTAGTCCCAGCTACTTGGGAGGCTGAGGCAGGAGAATGGCGTGAACCCGGGAGGCGCAGCTTGCAGTGAGCCGAGATCCCGCCACTGCACTCCAGCCTGGGCGACAGAGCGAGACTCCGTCTAAAAAAAAAAAAAAAAAAAAAAAATGCACATAAATACTTACATGCACATGCAAAAACACAGTAAGTTTGCTTTTTGTAATTATCACCATAATGTAGATATTGTGTAGAACTCAGATTTTTCATTTTGGTCATGCAGATCTTTCCATTTCAAACCATGTTAATATAATTTATTATTTTTAACATTTGCATAGAAGGCATGCTAATCCACTCTGTGGTTTTCTCATAGATTAGCCAGTCATTATTTTACTGGCAGTCATTGAGGTTGATTCCAGTTTCACACAGTAACAAAGAATAGCGTAATAAAAAGCTCACATGGGCCCTTTGGACACATATGTCGGCATTTCCTTCAGTTAGTGAGAAGAGTGGTTGCAGGTCAAAGAACAGAGAAGACATTCACCTGGCATCCCTTCTTTGCTTCCCATTTGCAATAACCCTCATATTCCACTCAACTTCTTTTCATCTGGGAATCAGATTCTAATAGAAGTAGAGCTTGTGAATTAAGGCAATGAGCCCATTTACTATCTCTGATAAGACTGATGGATTTAGAAGGTGGTGCACACCTTAAAACTGTTCTAATCAAATGAAACTCAGGAATTTTGATGAGAATTCCGAGATACTTACTCTTTTTTGCACATATATAGGAAAAACGTAGCCCTGGGAGATGTCAAATACCATCTGTATCGGTTTGCTAGGGCTGCCATTAACAAAGAACCACAAACTGGGTGGCTTAAGCAACATAAATTTATTTTCTCACAGTTCCAGAGGCTAGAAACCAAGGTGTCAGCAGAGTTAGTTTCATCTAAGGGGCATGAGGGGAGGACCTGTGCCAGGCCTCATTCCTTATCTTAAAGATGACTATGTTCTCCCTGTGTCTTCACATCGTCTTCCCTCTGTGTGTATCCCTGTGTGTGCTTCCCTCCGTGTGTATCTGTGTCTGAATTTCCGCATTTATTAATTATCCTTATAAGGTAACCATTCATATTGGATTAAGTCCCACCTTAAGGACCTCATTTTAATTTAATGTCCTCTTTAAAGACCCTATCTCCAAATACAGTTATGTTCTGAGGTCCTAGGTGTTAGGACTGCAATATATGACTTTTGATGGGACATAACTCAGCTCATAGCATCGTCTGCAGATCACAGGTGGAGGCAAGCATAGGATAAAAGGGAGAACAGAGAATCAGCAGGAAACTGGGTGCTTGCTTATCAAGACTCACTTGAAGCTAATGTGTCTTTGCTGAATTTCTTTCAATTGAATTTTTCGGTTCAGTCGATAATTTGCTTGAATTGCATAAGCAAACTCACATAGGATGTTTTTCTTATGACCAAAGGAATCCAGGGAGTGAATAAGTTAAACTGTGATTAATACTATTCAATTGAACTCCTGAAAAAACAAACATACTTTTAAGGAGTTAAAAGCTTTAAACATGCTTTCTCATCAACAGTATATAAAAGTGCTCAGTTTCTCATACTGTCATCAGTAACAATTATTTATAAATTTGCTTAAAAATTGGACTCCTTATGAGTAAAAACCAAAATCTCATCAGTTTTTTATTTTATTTTTTCTGATTAGTAGGAGGCTGGGTATCTTTTCCTCTGTCTATTGGTCATTTCAGTTCTTTTGTAAACTGCTAATTTACATCTTTGGTCAATAATTTTATTTGGCTATTTAGTAATGTTTGTATTAACTTGTGGAGTCATACAGACAAGGCAAATATTTTCTCTTGTCCTGTCACTGTTTTAAAACTCTATTTATGGTGTTTTGTGTTATATAGAGGTTTTAAAATTTGGATTATTAGTTGGTTCAAATGCTCAGTCCTTTTCTTTGTAGTGTCTGGGTTTTGTTCCTTCTTTAGAAAGGTTGTCCCTATGCCAAAATTACATAAGCATTGTCTTATAATTTCATACATATAATACCTTTATTCTTAGTTTTCCTTATAATTAGATCTTTAGTATATTTGGAATATATTGTGAATATTATAATATAGAAAATATGATATATTTTAACGGATAGTCAATTGTTTCTAAATCTTTTAGTAAATAATTTGTGTCTCTTGTGATTTGAATTATCTCATTTATCATATATCACATTATCATATTTATAGGGCCTGTTTCTGAAAAATCAATCCTGTTCTATTGATCTGTTGTGCTTATTTCTGTACCAAAATCATACTGTTTCAATTAAGGTAGCTGTATCACATAAAATGATATTATTGAAAATATAATAAGGTAACTTTGTAATACAATGTTTGAAATACAAATCTTCCTTTATTTTTCTTTTTAAACATTTCTTGGCTACTCTTCTCCATTTACTAGAAATCAGCTATTCTAGTTTCTTAAAAATCCCAAAGATATAATTCTAGCTTCTTCCCAGAACCATAGAAAAGGAGATCACTTTTACCCTTGCAATGAAAAAGAGCCAGACTTCATATTTATGCTTTTTCTTGAACCCATTAGGGACGTGAGACACAACAAATAGTCCCAAACATCTCAGGAAAGATGAGATTTGCAGAAAGAAAGGAGATGCGAGCATTCACTCACTTGGAGTAGACAGCAAACATGGTGGGAAAAGTTAAGCTAGAATAGCTGAAAAAAATAGTAAAAGCTGAGTGTGGGCTGGCAGAGCAAAATGAAACCCATTGAGGGCCACAGGTCTTGCAGGCTATCGCTTCATGAACCCCACGTGGTGCACTGACAGAAATGATTGGAAAGAGCTGAGGAAGTGTGGGGATAACAGCTGTGCAAGAGGAGCAAGAAACACTCCCTGATCCACTCCCCTGTCTCCACTGAGGAACACAAGCCTTCATTAAAAACCATAGGAAAAAACCCACATGGCACTGGGTTAGGCAGAGTTTTTTGATATGAGACCAAAAATATAATTCACAAAAGAAAATAAATGATAAATGTGGACTTTCTAAAAATGAAAAATCTTTTATACCTGAAGGATCTTGTAAAAAGAATGAAATGACAAGCCATGGGCTAAGAATATATATACATATGCAAATTACATTTCTCAGAAAAGACTTAATGTCCAGAATATATAAAATCTCTAAAAGTACAATAATAAAAGCTGGAACATTCTAATAAAGAAAGGGCAGAATATCTGAAAAAACAATTCAGTAAAGATTACTAGATGACAACTAAGAGCCACAATGAGATACCATCTCATACCAATCAGAATGACCATTACTAAAAATTCAAAAAATAACAGATGTTGGCGAGGTTGTGAAGAAAAGGGAACCCTTATACACTGTTGGTGGGAGTGTAAATCAGTTCAACCATTGTGGAAGACAGTGTGGCAATTCTCAAAGACTAAAGACAGAAGTACCATTCAAGCCAGCAATCTCATTACAGGGTATCTATCCAAAGGAATATAAATCATTCTATTATAAAGACACATGCATGCATGTGTTTAATGAAGCACCACTCACAATAGCAAAGACATGGAATCAACCTAAACGCCCATCAATGATAGACTGGATAAAGAAAATGTACATATACACCACAAAATACTATGCAGCCATAAAAAGAATGAGATAATGTCCTTTGCAGGGACAAGGATGGATAATGGCTAAAGGCCATTATCTTAGCAAACTAACAATGAAACAGAAAACCAAATACTGCATGTTTTCATTCATAAGTGGAAGCTAAATGATGAGAGCACATGAACACAGAGGGGAACAACACACACTGGGGCTTATTGAAGGGCAGACGGTGGGATGAGGGAGAGAATCAGGAAAAATAACTAATGGGTATTCTGCTTAATAACTGGGTGATGAAATAATCTGTACGACAAACCCCCATGACAGAAGTTTACTTACATAACAAACCTGCACATGTACTCCTGAACTTAAAAGTAAAAAAAAAAGTTTCTAAAAAGTTATTCAACATCATTAATAACTAGGGGAGTACAAATTAAAACCACAAGATGATACCACAACACACTTATTAGAATGCCTCCACACCTCCAAAAATAAAACTGGCATTATTAAGCACTGACAAGAACATGGAGGAACTAGAATTTTCGTTAGTTGCTGGTGAGAATTCCAAATGCTACAGCCACTTTGAAAACAGAAGTATGGCAATTTCTTATGAAATTAAATATGCATCTAACCCACAGATCCAAAAAACTATACACAAATGTTTACAGAAACTTTATTCATAAACACGAAAAATTGGGAAAAAATAGACCTCTTTCAACTAGTGAATACAAAAACTATGAAATAGCCATACAATGGAATATAATTTAGCAATAAAAAATAACAAACCATTGATTCACACAACATGCATGAATCATAAATACATTTTACTAAGTGAAAGAAGTCTGACCCAAAAGTCACATAGTGCATGATTCCATTTATATGACATGCCAGAAAAGGCAAAAGTATAAGGGATAGAAAACGAATCAGTTGCTTGCCAGCCTCAGGGGTTTGGAAGAGATGTTGTCTACATAAGGGAATTTAAGGGTAAGTATGGTGGTAGAATCTGACATTTCCTAAAACCTATGAAACTATATACCACACAAAGGGTGAAACATATTGCACATAAAATTGTTTAAATAAATTTTTTGTGTATATTTGAGGTTTACAACGTATTATGGGATACATATGGATAGTAAAATGGTTACTATAGTGATGCAAATTAACATATGCATCATCTCACATAGTTACTTTTTGTGTGTGACCAAAAAAGCTAGAATCTTATTTACAAAATAACAGATATTTTAACAAAATTTATAACAAAATTTGGGGATTTTAACAAAAATCCCCAGTATAATGTTATTAATGATAGTTCTTATTAGAGGATGTACATTAGATCTCTAGACTTGTTCATCCTACCTATCTGCTACTTCATATCCTTTGACCTACATCTCCCCATTTCCTCTCCTCCCTGGCCCCTGGTAACCACTGTTTTATTCTCTATCTCTGCACATTTGACCTTTTTTCAAAGCTTCCATTTATAAGCAAGATTACACAATTTTTTTTCTGTGTCTGGCTTATTTCATTTTGCATAATGTCTTCCAGGTCCAACCATATTGTGGCAAATGGCAGGATCTCATTCCTTTTTCAAGCATGAATAATATTCCATTATATTTCTATATTCCTGTATATTCATATATATATATAATTCCATTATATTCCTATATATTCATATATATGAATATTATGTATGTACATATTCCATTATATATAAATTTAAAAATGTGTATATATACATTCCATTATATATTAATATATATATATTCCATTATATAATGGAATATGTATATATACACCTTTTCTTTTTCCGTTCATCCATCTATGGACACTTAGGTTGTTTTTATAACTTGGCTATTGTGAATAATACTGCAATGAACAGAGAAATGCAGATAGCTTTACAAGGTAATGATTTTATCTCCTTAGGGTATATGCTCAGGAGAGAGACTGGTGGATCATATGGTAGTTCTACTTTTAATTTCTTTAGGAACCCGCATATTGTTTTCCATAATGGCTGTTGCAATCTACATTCCTACCAGCAGTGTACTGGGTTCCCTTTTCTCCATACCTTTGCCGACATTTATTGTATCTTGTCTTTTGATAGTAGCCATCCTAATGGGTGATATCTCATAGTCGTTTCAATCTGCATTTTCTAGATAATTAGTAATATTTTACACTTTTCATATACGTATTGGCCCTTTTAATGTTTTCTTTGAAGAAATGTTTGTTTGGGTTTCTTGCCCATTTTTCAATTGGGTTGTTTTCTGCTATTAAATTGTAAGAGTTCTTTATAACTTTTGAGCATAAAACCCTTATCAGATATGTGGTTTGCAAATATGTTTTCCCAGTTCATAGGTTGCCTTTTCATTTTGTTGATTGTTTCTTTTGTTGTACAGGAGCTTTTTGGTTTGGAGTGATCCCATTTATTAATTTCTGCTTTTGTAGCCTGGCTATTTGGTGTGATATTCACAAAATTAATACCAACATCCAGTTTCAAGAAGCATTTCCTCTGTGTTCTCTTCTAGGAGTTGATTTCAGGTCTTATATTTAGATTTTTTATCTATTTTCAGTTGACTTTTTTTTTTTTTTTTTTTTTTTTTTGGTCTGGTACAAGATAAGGATTTGGTTTCATTCTTTTGCATGTGGAAACCTAGTTTTCCCAGTACCATTTATTGAAGAGACTATCCTTTCCCCATTGTGTCTTCTTAGTGCCCTTGTCAAAAATTTGTTGACTACATGTGTATAAATTTATTTCTTGGCTCTCTATTCTGTTCCACTGGTCTATGTTTCTGTTTTTATAACAGTACTATACTGCTTTGATTAATATACTTTTGTAATAAAATTTTACATTAGGAAGTATAATGCTTCCAACTTTGTTTTTCTTTCTCAGTATTGCTTTTGTGATTCAGAGTTGTATGTGGTTCCCTACAAACTTTAGAATTCTTTTTTCTACTTCTGTGAAGAATGCCATTGAAATTTTGATAGGGATTATGTTAAATCTGTATATTGCTTTGAGCAGCATAGACATTTTAAGAATATTAAGTCTTCTGGTCTGTAAACATTAAATACCTTTCCATTTATTTGTGTCTTCTTTAATGCATATGAATTTTTAAAAAGTTAAATCAGCCAACATGTATGTGTGGGAGGAAGAAAGATAAAATGTGAATTATGACAAATGAATCTATATTATAAATAAATCACATTATCATATTAAAGAGAATGGGAAGAAACAAGATGATTAAGCAACTTTGGAACAGTACTTTGGATACCATAAAGCTAAAGATGGAAAGTCCATACTCAAACACTATGCTGTAGTTGGGAAACTGTTTCTCACAGGGATATAGGGTAGAAATTTTGATTCTACTTTGTTTTTATACTTGACTTGAACAAATAAGTAAATGGGCTGTGCCTAAGGAGACCTAGAGCAAGTAGCTACAATTATGGAAATGAAGAAGACTAGAATGAATCCTGTGGGGCTAGAAAAATCGCAGAGGTATCAATACAGACATGTGGTTGCAAAAGACAGGTAGACAGATGATAGATAGATAGAAAAATAAGCATAAATAAGGCTATATACACCAGTGTGTTTGTGTGTATGTGTTCTATCTCTATCTAGAGACAGGAACTCAAAGCAGTGACACCTCAGTGGCAATTAGCATACCTAATACCCAGATCGTGGTTTCTAAACACTATTCTCTAAGAAAGAGCACCAGGGCCCACTGGAGAACTGGTTTATTTAAAAGCCAAGGCACATAAAATACAAGGTGAACCTGAAGCATCTTGCGGTGCCAGAAAGTATGGAAGTGCCCCTTACAAAGAATAAATAAGACCTAGCATTTTATAGCAAACAGGGTGACTATAGTCAATGATAACTTAATTGTACATTTAAAAATAACCAAAAGAGTGTAATTGGATTGTTTATAACACAAAGGATAAATGTTTGAGTGTACGGATACGCCATCTTCCATGATGTGGTTATTATGCATTGTATGCATGTATCAAAACATCGCATGTACCCCATAAATACAAACACCATGTACCCACAAATTAAAAATAAAAATGTTTTTAAAATGAAGAAATAAGATGTGGTCAAAAAAAAGGGATATAAACTTATAAAAAAATTATTAAAAAAAAGGATAGAAACTTATAAAAAAATTATAGAAGTCAACCTGAAAGCTCCTAATGGTCAATGATGCACTTTTAGCAACAAAATAAATAATAGTAATATTGTATTATAATCCAGAGAATACAAATATCCATGACTCTATACTATACAGATATAAATGAGAATAAACAAATAAATAATGTGGCAATTATTTCTTACAGAAGAATACCAATTAATAAATGTAAAAACAATGAAGGAAACAGAAAATCACTGCTAGAACAAAACAGGAAGAATCACTGCCAGCAACATGTACCAATGGCTACTAAAATTAGTGGTTAAAAGTTTAAGCAGAAACAAACTAAATGTTTTGAGGGTGAAACAAATGAATCATATGATCATAATTTAATACTTTTAAGGAGCTTATTAGATAATTTTTAAAAACACTGTTTTTAGTGGACACTGTAAAGCTTAAGAAAAAAACACTCAAACACTGTTTTGATATTGTATTTCTAATTACAAAGGAGTAAACAGTTATCTTAGAGTGCAGAATCCTGGCAGATACCACTTTAATCAAGTGATCATGTTTAACAAACCAACCTCATGCATAGCCTAAGATGATGCACTCCAGCATATCACCTCTGTGGGATCTGTCCCAATAATGCATAACCTGCCATCTAATGCAAAGAAAACTTCAGACAGACCCAGACTGAGGGACAGTGTGCAAAATATGATCAGTACTCCTCAAAAGTGCCAAAGTATTGAAGACAAGAGAAGAATGAGGGTCACTCACCAACTGAAAGAGACTAAGGAGATACAACACAGTGTGATATTCTGGATTGAATTCTAAAAGAGAAAAATCAGTGAAACTTAAGAAGTTCTTTACTTAAAGTATTTACCAAGGTTAATTTCTCAGTTTTGATAAATGTTCTAAGGTTCTGTAAGATATTAAAAAGAAGTTGACTGAAAGGTATATGGGGATTTTGTACTATTTTTTGTAAACACTTCTATAAACTTGAAATGATCTCAATTAAACTAAAAAAGAAAACACTGCCAGAAGGATGTTGATTGAAGCTAAGTTAAAACTACAGATTAATTTGAAAACTGATAGTTTTATGACAGTCAATCTTACATCCAGATATCATGTTTTTGTCCATTTACTCAGGTTTCTGTTTTATCTTTTAATCAACTTTTATTAATACCTTTAATATACAATTTTTATTAAGTTCCTTCTTATATATCTTATAATTTTATTACTCATTAAAATCGTATTTTTCTATCAGTTTCTAATTGGTAATTGCTCATTTATAGTCAAGCTATTTTTTGTTTTTTATGGAACCAGTAAGTGGGAATTTTGCTGAACTTCTTTATTATAGTCTTAAGGTTTTTAAATTATTTTTTCAGGATTTTCTATGTAAACAATCATAACATAGCAAATATTGACAGTTTTGTTTTCTTTCTTCTAATATTCATGTTCTGTAAACTCATATTTATTAGGTTCTATAGAACAAATTGGAACAATAACACTGATAGGCATTATTGTCTTATCCCTGACTTTACTGTGGATTGACTTGGTACAATTGACTGTTTTGTATTGTTCTTTTTTCTTTTTCATACCAATGAATTGTAGAACTAATTTATTTCCTTTGGTTACTATGATTTTCACCATTAAAGCATAGTGTATTTCCAATTATTATTAATACTATTTAATCTTCATCTTAAACAAAATAAAATTTTCAGCATGCTTTAATTTCTCATGTTCACCAATCCAACATCTTTATTTAGAAAAAGATTTGGAACTTTATTTCCAAATGTGGCTAGAGTATATGCTCAGTAATTCATTTAAAATTGTTTTGTTGGTGATCTCTGAAATCTTATATGGTTGAGCATCTTTTGCTTGGCCTCTATTCTTACATGGTATTTTAACAATATGAAAAAAATCTACATTCTAAATTATGTTTCCCAAGTGCTTTGAAGAAAATATTTTTCTTTTCTTTTTTTTTTTTTTTTTTTTTTTTTAGGACGGAGTCTCACTCTGTCGCCCAGGCTGGAGTGCAATGGCATGATCTCGACTCACTGCAAGCTCCGCCTCCCGGGTTCACGCCATTCTCCTGCCTCAGCCTCCCAAGTAGCTGGGACTACAGGCGACCACCACCACGCCTGGCTAATTTTTTTTTTTTTGTATTTTTAGTAGAGACGGGGTTTTACCGTGTTAGCCAGGATGGTCTTGATCTCCTGACCTCATGATCCGTCTGCCTCGGCCTCCCAAAGTGCTGGGATTACAGGTGTGAGCCACAGCACCTGGCCTTCTTTTCCTTTCTAATGCCTGTGCTGCAGATGAGAAGTCTGATGCCAGTCTGAGGATTATTCTATATGGCAAACTAGAATTTTCTTCTCTGAAGGTTTAGGATTTTCTATCATAGACCTTCTGAAATTGAGTTTTGTTTTCCTTGTTGACACTCAGATATCCCTCCAAATTGTTTTTTTATCTTTTTTTTATTATTATAAATTCTGGGATACATGTGCAGAAGGTGCAGGTGTGTTACACAGGTATACACATGCCATGGTGGTTTGCTGCACCCATCAACGCGCCATCTACATTAGATATTTCTCTTAATGCTATCCTTCTTCTGGCCCCCCAACCCCCTACAGGCACCAGTGTGTAATGTTCCCCTCCCTGTGACCATGTGTTCCCACTGTTCAACTCCCACTTATAAGTGAGAACATGCAGTGTTTAGTTTTCTGTTCTTGTGTTAGTTTGCTGAGAATGATGGTTTCCAGCTTCATCCAAGTCCCTGCAAAGGACATGAACTCATCTTTTTATGGCTGCATAGTGTTCCATGGTGTATATGCACCACATTTTCTTTACGCAGTCTATCATTGATGGGCATTTGGGTTGGTTCCAAGTCTGCTATTGTGAACAGTGCTGCAATAAACATACGTGTGTCATGTGTCTTCATAGTAGAATGATTTACAATCCTTTGGGTATATACCCAGTAAGGAGATTGGTGGGTCAGATGGTATTTCTAGTTCTAGATCCTTGAGGAATTGCCACACTGTCTTCCACAATGGTTGAACTAATTTACACTCCCACCAACAGTGTAAAAGCTTTCCTATTTCTCCACATCCTCTCCAGCATCTGTTGTTTCCTGACTTTTTGATGATCACCATTCTAACTGGCGTAAGATGGTATCTCATTGTGGTTTTGATTTGCATTTCTCTAATGATCAGTGATGATGAGCTTTTTTCATGTGATTGTTGGCCGCCTAAATGTCTTCTTTTGAGAAGTGTCTGTCCATATCCTTTGCCCACTTTTTGATGGGGTTGCTTTTTTCTTGTAAATTTGTTTAAGTTCCTTGTGGATTCTGGATATTAGCCCTTTGTCAGATGAATAGATTGCAAAAAATTTCTCCCATTCTGTAGGTTGCCTTTTCGCTCTGATGATAGTTTCTTTTGCTGTGCAGAAGCTCTTTAGTTTAATTAGATCTCATTTGTCAATTTTGGCTTTTGTTGCCATTGCTTTTGGTGTTTTAGTCATGAAGTCTTTGTCCATGCCTATGTCCTGAATAGTGTTGCCTAGGTTTTCTTCTAGGGTTTTTATGGTTTTAGGTCTTATATTTAAGTCTTTAATCCATCTTGAATTAATTTTTGTATAAGGTTTAAGGAAGGGGTCCAGTTTCAGTTTTCTGCATATGGCTAGCCAGTTTTCCCAGCTAAGGAATGTGTTCTTCCATTATGTTTTAAGTATTGCTTCTCCTCTGTCTCTTCTGAAACTCTCTTTACACCGATTATGAAACCAACATATCTATTTTTATATATCCTAATGTTTCCTTTGTATCTTTTATCTCTTTGACCTTTTCGTGGCATTCTAGAAGAATTCCTTCATTCTGTTTTCATTTCATGAATTCATACTTTGGCTCTGTTCATTCTGGTATTCAGCTTACCTTCTACATGTTGTCTTAAATCAATTATTGTATCTTTAAGATTGTTTCATGAATTTTGAGAGCTTCCTTATTAGAGCAATTTGTTGTTATTGTTATTAGTTTTCTTGTTGGTTTTTTAGTAAGCTTAATATATTTCCTCATGTCTCCAAAAATTTATTTAGCAGTAATAATTATATTTATGTTATTTTAACTATTTGTTCCCATTATCAATAGTTTTCCTTAATATTTTTATATTAATATTAATATTTTTATTTCCTTTTTGTTGTTGCCTGATTTTGTTTGATTGATTCATAATCAAGGTTACAATGAAGGCCTAGATTCACTTATCCTAGAAAATGCTATATATGTCCTAAGTCCAAGTGAAAAATATTTCTTTCATTAGCAGTAAATGAAGGTTCTGATTGCAAGAACCTGGGCTATGCAAATATCTGGAAGGTAAAAGGGAGTACATAAATTTAGCAGATTTTCTTATCAAGTATTGGTCATTTGTCATATAGGTATCAGTTTCTCTTTCCTCTTAGCTGGTATAAGTGGGATAGAGAACTACCCTGGTTTGATAGCCCAAAGTACCCATTCCAGGAATCTCTTGCATCAGAATTGTCAAAGGTATCTGGTACCCCAGTTAACACCCAACAAATGGTGGAGCCAGCTAATGCAAGAGGAAGGTACTAATAGAACTATTCTACTGTCCAACTCTCTATGGCCTTTTCCTTTTTCCAGCCTCCACATTCTCTCACCTTAGATTACTTTAAAATTCTACTCAACTAAAGACTTAAAGTTCATATACTTTGGAGCTGATTTCATTTGCTGGTATATTACAGGAATGACTCAATTTTTTTGGTATAAGGATATCCCATCTGCTTTTACATGATGTTATAAGAATATTATTTTATATTTATACGTGTCATTGCTTAAAATTTGGAGAGAGACAAGAGCTAATGTGTTAAGACAGCTACTTCAAACAGTACATCTTTTTTAATAGAGAAAATACAACATATTTTGTACTTCACTATCATAACCTTACATTCAGAAGATAGAACAAAAAGATTATGGCAGAGGGATAGGGAAAGATAGCGCAAAATTAGAGAACTATTGTTAACACAAGGGAGGAGAATGGGATTTAGAGGAAAGAACTTAGAAATAATAATTCATAAATATTAAGAAACTCTAAAACTCACAAGGAGAAAGATAGCTAGAGAGAAAAATAGAAAAAAGCAACGCATACACAGAAGATAACACTGAAAAAGACACCTTCAGGTATAAATGGAAATTCAACGATAAAATGAACACTCATACACACACTCACACTCGCACATGCATGTGCATACATGCCATCTACACAGAGTAATTTAACAGCCTACCAGTCATTTCCAGGAGAAGGTCAATTTTTCTTCCCCCAATTCAGAGGTACAAGAAAGTTCAGTACTACTTTTTGTTTTACTTTTATTTTCCATGCTAAACACTAGGAAACATTTTTAAATTTCATGTTGCCAACGTGAAAGAAAACGCAAAAAGTAGCAGAATTTGTTTAAATTAACTAAAATAACACACTAATAGAGATAAGGAATTGCTGAGGTAATTGCCCTGTGGTATTTCCAGATGTTCATTGTGCATCCAACAGTGATTCATCCAACCCCCCACGTAGCATCAACTGGTAATGATGACAGCCACGCCCTGTCTGTAGCAGCCGCAGCAAAAATGCCAGCTGCAGCGGGGAGGAGCAGCCTGGAATGTGTTGTTCTGCAGAGCTGGTGGGGGCCAGGAACAGGCAGGAGCCCCGTTCCCCACCGAGTCAGGGAGCAGGAGCCCCATGCTCCCCCACTCAACTTAAGCCACCTAGCCATAGCTGGCGACCAGGCATCCCTGCGCTCTTGGGGGCCCAGGAAGCCCCCCATCCCCGACAGGCTCAGAAGTGCCTGCCCCTGCTGCCTGGCCTCTCCCCACTCCTGGCACTCACTCCGGGGTGGAAGAAAGTTGTGGCTGAGCTGGGTGTGTCAGGCACTGTCGTAACCCAGTTGCGTGTGTGTGCTCAGGGCAGTGCTGACATACGAGCGCCCTGCTGCTCCAGCCCCTTCCAGACACTGGGCACTGACAAGCATGGGAGGGAGGCCAATGGGGGTCTGAGGGTGGTCTGGCATAGGCCTGCAGGCACCCCTTGGCACGAACAGCCTGAGTGCCATGGACAGCACATTGATGGCAGCAGTTGGCAGACAGACTCCTGGACAGAAAGGGGTGGGTCCCAGGCGAAACCTCACCTTCAAGCCAGGCTGCCTGTTCCAAATGGAGTCTGCAGTCTGGAGGGAGAACTCACAGTGCTTTTTCCGGGCCTGCCCATGGCTGTCCATGGACCAATCAGCATGCACTTCCTCCCTTCTGAGCCCATAAAACCCCCAGATCCAGCCAGACTCAGATGTCAGGACTACCAGTTGCGGGAAGGAGCTATTGACTGCAGATCTCCTCTCTGCTGAGAGGTGGACACTCTTCAGCACCCCTGCCTAAGGAACAGAGCTACCCAATTTGGGTCTCCTGAAAGCTGTTCTGTTGCTTAATGAAGCTCCTTTCTGCCTTGCTCACCCTCCAGTTGCCTGGATACCTCATTCTTCCTGGACACAGGAAGGGAACTGGGGACCCACCAAATAGTAGGACTGAAAGAGCTGTAACACGTGGGTGGAGCCAAGATGGCCAAATAGGAAAAGCTCCTGTCTACAGCTCCCAGCGTGAGCAACAGAGAAGATGGGTGATTTCTGCATTTCCATCTGAGGTACCGGGTTCATCTCACTAGGGAGTGCCAGACAGTGGGTGCAGGACAGTGGGTGCAGCGCACAGGACGCAAGCCGAAGCAGGGTGAGGCATTGCCTCACTCGGGAAACACAAGGGGTCAGGGAGTTCCCTTTCCTAGTCAAAGAAAGGGGTGACAGACGGCACCTGGAAAATCGGGTCACTCCCACCCTAATACTGTGCTTTTCCAACAGGCTTAAAAAACGGCACACCAGGATATTACATCCTGCACCTGGCTCAGAGGGTCGTACGCCCACAGCATCTCGCTGATTGCTAGCACAGCAGTCTGAGATCAAACTGCAAGATGGCAGCGAGGCTGGGGGAGGGGTGCCTGCCATTGCCCAGGCTTGATTAGGTAAACAAAGCAGCCAGGAAGCTCCAACTGGGTGGAGCCCACCACAGCTCAAGGAGGCCTGTCTGCCTCTGTAGGCTCCACCACTGGGGGCAGGGCACAGACAAACAAAAAGACAGCAGTAACCTCTGCAGACTTAAATGTCCCTGTCTGACAGCTTTGAAGAGAGCAGTGGTTCTCCCAACACGCAGCTGGAGATCTAAGAATGGGCAGACTGCCTCCTCAAGTGGGTCCCTGACCCCCGAGCAACCTAACTGGGAGGCACCCCCCAGTAGGGGCAGACTGACACTGCACATGGCTGGGTAATCCTCTGAGACAAAACTTCCAGAGGAACGATCAGACAGCAGCATTTGCGGATCACCAATATCCGCTGTTCTACAGCCACCACTGTTCTGCAGCCACCGCTGCTGATACCCAGGAAAACAGGGTCTGGAGTGGACCTCTAGCAAACTCCAATGGACCTGCAGCTGAGGGTCCTGTCTGTTAGAAGGAAAACTAACAAACAGAAAGGACATCCACACCAAAAACCCATCTGTACATCACCATCATCAAAGACCAAAAGTAGATAAAACCACAAAGATGGGGAAAAAACAGAGCAGAAAAACCAGAAACTCTAAAAAGCAGAGTGCCTCTCCTCCTCCAAAGGAACGCACCTCCTCACCAGCAACGGAACAAAGCTGTATGGAGAATGTCTTTGACGAGTTAAGAGAAGAAGGCTTCAGACAATCCTCCAAGCTACAGGAGGAAATTCAAACCAATGGCAAAGAAGTTAAAAACTTTGAAAAAAAAATTAGACGAATGGATACCTAGAATAACCAATGCAGAAAAGTCCTTAAAGGAGCTGATGGAGCTGAAAGCCAAGGCTTGAGAACTACATGAAGAATGCAGAAGCCTCAGGAGGCAATGACATCAACTGGAAGAAAGGGTATCAGTGATGGAAGATGAAATGAATGAAATGAAGAAGGGAAGTTTAGAGAAAAAAGAATAAAAAGAAACGAACAAAGCCTCCAAGAAATATGGGACTATGTGAAAAGACAAAATCTATATCTGATTGGTGTACCTGAAAGTGACGGGGATAATGGAACCAGGTTGGAAAACACTCTGCAGGATATTATCCAGGAGAACTTCCCCAATCTAGCAAGGCAGGCCAACATTCAGATTCAGGAAATACAGAGAACGCCACAAAGATAATCCTCGAGAAGAGCAACTCCAAGACACATAATTGTCAGATTCACCAAAGTTGAAATGAAGGAAAAAATGTTAAAGGCAGCCAGAGAGAAAGGTCGGGTTACCCACAAAGGGAAGCCCATCAGACTAACAGCAGATCTCTGAGCAGAAACTCTACAAGCCAGAAGAGAGTGGGGGCCAATATTCAACATTCTTAAAGAAAAGAATTTTCAACCCAGAATTTCATATCCAGCCAAACTAAGCTTCATAAGTGAAGGAGAAATAAAATACTTTACAGATAAGCAAATGCTGAGAGATTTTGTCACCACCAGGCCTGCCCTAAAAGAGTTCCTGAAGGAAGCACTAAACACGGAAAGGAACAACTGGTACCAGCCACTGCAAAAACATGCCAAAATGTAAAGACCACCAAGGCTAGGAAGAAACTGCATCAACTAATGAGCAAAATAACCAGCTAACATCATAATGACAGGACAAATTCACACATAACAATATTACCTTTAAATGTAAATGGGCTAAATGCTCCAATTAAAAGACAGAGACTGGCAAATTGGATAAAGAGTCAAGACCCATCAGTGTGCTGTATTCAGGAAACCCATCTCATGTGCAGAGACACACATAGGCTCAAAATAAAGGGATGGAGGAAGATCTACCAAGCAAATGGAAAACAAAAAAAGGCAGGGGTTGCAATCCTAGTCTCTGATAAAACAGACTTTAAACCAACAAAGATCAAAAGAGACAAAGAAGGCCATTACATAATGGTAAAGGGATCAATTCAACAAGAAGAGCTAACTATCCTAAATATATATGCACCCAATACAGGAGCACCCAGATTCATAAAGCAAGTCCTTACAGACCTACAAAGAGACTTAGATTCCCACACAATAATAATGGGAGACTTTAACACCCCACTGTCAACATTAGACAGATCAATGAGACAGAAAATTAACAAGGATACCCAGGAATTGAACTCAGCTCTGCACCAAGTGGACCTAATAGACATCTACAGAACTCTCCACCACAAATCAACAGAATATACATTTTTTTCAGCACCACACCACACCTATTCCAAAATTGACCACATACTTGGAAGTAAAGCTCTCCTCAGCAAATGTAAAAGAACAGAAATTATAACAAACTGTCTGTCAGACCATAGTGCAATCAAACTAGAACTCAGGATTAAGAATCTCACTCAAAACCGCTCAACTACATGGAAACTGAACAACCTGCTCCTGAATGACTACTGGGTACATAACGAAATGAAGGCAGAAATAAAGATGTTCTTTAAAACCAACGAGAACAAAGACACAACATACCAGAATCTCTGGGACACATTCAAAGCAGCGTGTAGAGGGAAATTTATAGCATTAAATGCCCACAAGAGAAGGCAGGAAAGATCCAAAATTGACACCCTAACATCACAATTAAAAGAACTAGAAAAGCAAGAGCAAACACATTCAAAAGCTAGCAGAAGGCAAGAAACAACTAAAATCAGAGCAGAACTGAACGAAATAGAGACACAAAAAAACCCTTCAAAAAAAATTAATGAATCCAGGAGCTGGTTTTTTGAAAAGATCAACAAAACTGATAGACTGCTAGCAAGACTAATACAGAAGAAAAGAGAGAAGAATCAAACAGACGCAATAAAAAATGATAAAGGGGTTATCACCACCGATCCCACAGAAATACAAACTACCATCAGTAGTTTGTATTTCTACAAACTACTACAAACACCTCTACGCAAATAAACTAGAAAATCTAGAAGAAATGGATAAATTCCTCAATACATACACCCTCCCAAGACTAAACCAGGAAGAAGTTGAATCTCTGAATAGACCAATAACAGGCTCTGAAATTGTGGCAATAATCAATAGCTTACCAACCAAAAAAAGTCCAGGACCAGATGGATTCACAGCCGAATTCTATCAGAGGTACTAGGAGGAACTGGTACCATTCCTTCTGAAACTATTCCAATCAACAGAAAGAGAGGGAATCCTCCCTAACTCATTTTATGAGGCCAGCATCATCCTGATAAAAAAAGCCTGGCAGAGACACAACAAAAAAAGAGAATTTTAGACCAATATCCTTGATGAACATTGACGCAAAAATCCTCAATAAAATACTGGCAAACCGAATCCAGCAGCACATCAAAAAGCTTATCCACCATGATCAAGTGGGCTTCATTCCTGGGATGCAAGGCTGATTCAACACACGCAAATCAATAAATGCAATCCAGCATATAAACAGAACCAAAGACAAAAACCACATGATTATCTCAATAGATGCAGAAAAGGCCTTTGACAAAATTCAACAACACTTCATGCTAAAAACTCTCAATAAATTAGGTATTGATGGGATGCATCTCAAAATAATAAGAGCTATCTATGACAGACCCACAGCCAATATCATATTGAATGGGCAAAAACTGGAAGCATTCCCTTTGAAAACTGGCACAAGACAGGGATGCCCTCTCTCACCACTCCTATTCAACATAGTGTTGGAAGTTCTGGCCAGGGAAATTAGGCAGGAGAAGGAAATAAAGGGTATTCAATTAGGAAAAGAGGAAGTCAAATTGTCCCTGTTTGCAGATGACATGATTGTGTATCTAGAAAACCCCATTGTCTCGGCCCAAAATCTCCTTAAGCTGATAAGCAACTTCAGCAAAGTCTCAGGATACAAAATCAATGTACAAAAATCACAAGCATTCTTATACACCAATAACAGACAAACAGAGAGCCAAATCATGAGTGAACTCCCATTCACAATTGCTTCAAAGAGAATAAAATACCTAGGAATCCAACTTACAAGGGATGTGAAGGACCTCTTCAAGGAGAACTACAAACCACTGCTCAAGGAAATAAAAGAGGATACAAACAAATGGAAGAACATTCCATGCTCATGGGTAGGAAGAATCAATATCGTGAAAATGGCCATACTGCCCAAGGTAATTTATAGATTCAATGCCATCCCCATCAAGCTACCAATGACTTTCTTCACAGAATTGGAAAAAACTACTTTAAAGTTCATATGGAACCAAAAAAGAGCCTGCATTGCCAAGTCAATCCTAAGCCAAAAGAACAAAGCTGGAGGCATCACACTACCTGACTCCAAACTATACTATAAGGCTACAGTAACCAAAACAGCCTGGTACTGGTACTAAAACAGAGATATAGATCAATGGAACAGAACAAAGCCCTCAGAAATAATGCCGCATATCTACAACCATCTGATCTTTGACAAACCTGACAAAAACAAGAAATGGGGAAACAATTCCCTATTTCATAAATGGTGCTGGGAAAACTGGCTAGCCATATGTAGAAAGCTGAAACTGGATCCCTTCCTTACACCTTATACAAAAATTAATTCAAGATGGATTAAAGACTTAAATGTTAGATCTAAAACCATAAAAACCCTAGAAGAAAACCTAGGCAATACCATTCAGGACATAGGCATAGGCAAGGACTTCATATGTAAAACACCAAAAGCAATGACAACAAAAGCCAAAATTGACAAATGGGATCTAATTAAACTAAAGAGCTTCTGCACAGCAAAAGAAACTACCATCAGAGTGAACAGGCAACCTACAAAATGGGAGAAAATTTTCGCAACCTACTCATCTGACAAAGGACTACTATCCAGAATCTACAATGAACTCAAACAAATTTACAAGAAAAAAACAAACAACCCCATCAAAAAGTGGGCGAAGGATATGAACAGACACTTCTCAAAGAAGACATTCATGCAGCCAAAAAACACATGAAAAAATACTCATCATCACTGGCCATTAGAGAAATGCAAATCAAAACCACAATGAGATGCCATCTCACACTAGTTAGAATGGCGATCATTAAAAAGTCAGGAAACAACAGGTGCTGGAGAGGACGTGGAGAAATAGGAACACTTTTACACTGTTGGTGGGACTGTAAACTAGTTCAACCATTGTGGAAGTCAGTGTGGCGATTCCTCAGGGATCTAGAACAAGAAATGCCATTTGACCCAGCCATCCCATTACTGGGTATATACCCAAAGGATTATAAATCATGCTGCTATAAAGACACATGCACACGTATGGTTATTGTGGCACTATTCACAATAGCAAAGACTTGGAACCAACCCAAATGTCCAACAACGATAGACTGGATTAAGAAAATGTGGCACATATATACCATGGAATACGATGCAGCCATTAAAAATGATGAGTTCATGTCCTTTGTATGGACATGGATGAAACTGGAAACCATCATTCTCAGCAAACTATCGCAAGGACAAAAAACCAAACACTGCATGTTCTCACTCATAGGTGGGAACTGAACAATGAGAACACATGGACACAGGAAGGGGAACATCACACTCTGGGGACTGTTGTGGGGTGCGGGGAGGGAGGAGAGATAGCATTAGGAGATATACCTAATGCTAAAAGACGAGTTAATGGGTGCAGCACACCAACATGGCACATGTATACATATGTAACAAACCTGCACATTGTGCACATGTACCCTAAAACTTAAAGTATAATAATAATAAAATAAAATAAAATAAAATAAAGAGCTGTAACACAAAGAGGGCTGAAACATGCCCCACCCCCCACCATGTTGCAGGTGATGAGGAGGAGAAAGAGCTGTGGTCCTTTGGGGAACCCAGACCTAGAGGCTCACGAGCCAGGGCTGTGACACCCTCTTTGGGGCTCTGTGGTTTCTGATGTCCCCAAGCTTCTGAGAACTACTGCGTTCCCCTCATCCAGATGTGGTTGCCCAGAGCAGAAGCTGCTTGCACTGCACCTGATCTAGACATGGGCTTGCATGGAGGCAGTGCTTGTGCTGATGCCTGGAGCTGTCCCCACTGCTGCAGCAGTCAAGAGTGCCTGGCTGTGTGCAGTGGCCAATCCCCAGACCCTGCGCATGCTTGCTTATGCACCTCTCAATGCAACACAGCCAAAGGATGCAGAGGATGCTGTGCCTCTGATGGCTGGGTGGGCATATGCCACTGTCCCCAGCAATACAACCAGACAACCCCAAAGTTTTCGTGTGGCTGTGTTTTTATAATTTCTAGGAGGTGGGGGATTATTAAGTTGATTAATGGCTGGTGACCTGGACAGTATCAAAACTGAATAACAAGCCAATTACTGGCTGCAGATGTACTTTTGGACAGCACTGCCCATGGAAATTAGATAAGAGAAGTGGGAGAAGATTAATGTAGAAAGTAATTTTTGTTCTTGGTTGTCCTAGATATTCTAAAGGTAATCAAAATGTAACATGGCCAGGAATCCAAAAAAGTACAGTCACAACCTCAAATCAAAAACTGCCTTTCTTTCATATTTGGTGTTACAGCATCAAATTAGTTGTCTTAGTATGGCAACAGCAAGTATATTCAACTGAGAATGTTTTATATATGAACAGTTAAAGGGAAAACTGCTGCATCTCCTGGACTAAATGAATACACATTTCCATCTTTTGGCTACTGTGTTTCTCTTTTGCAATCAAAAAACAAAAGTTGCACGTAAAAGAAAACCTAAAAATAGCTTACACAAGACGTTGGTTTAGCTCTTCCTCAAAAGAACTCTAGAGCTAGACAGTCCAAGACTAATTAACAGTTCTGTGGTCCACAGAGACACAGGCCCCTCTATTCTTCTGTCCAACCATCTTCACTATGTGACTTCCAATCTCATTGCAGTCTAGGATAGTTGTTGAAGCTACATTCGTCATAGCCACTTCTAGGTTACAGGAATCAGTTGCAGCTGGTATGTATGCAAAAGCTTGCCCTTGTTTTCTGCCCCCTTTTTACTTCCTGGAAGCCTACCAAATAATTTTCCTTTTTAATTGTAACGGTCAGTCTTTGTTATATAGCGACCCCTTCCTACAAGGTGGGCTGGGAGGCTTAGTCTAAAAGGCTTCATTGGCATACCAAGATACATTATGGTTTGCTTAGTAAGGATTAAAGTCACTACTACAGTACCTGATCCAAAGGCTTTAAAAAATCAGGTTCATAACTGGTCTTAGGTGGAGCAAAGCAACTTTACTTAAGCATCAACTCAGCATTTCAGGTGTGTTTTGGCTTCCAAAAAAAGGGAGATCATTCATACAGTAGACTCTTGATTTAATTAGCAAAGGTTCCAATATTTGGTGCAAATGAGGAGACCAAAGAGCAAGAAAAGATGAGGAATATCAGTGCAGCATCCTTTGATGGATATCACTGGGCCTAACAGAAGGGACGTGGTGGCAGTGAGACTGTCTGTTCAGGATGTGGAAAGGCTTAATTTTGTGCTTTACCATAGTCCTTTTATATTTGGGCTTATATCCCTATTGAAGAAGAATTTACATAATCTATGCTTCCAGTTAAGAGGTTTGTAGATGTGAGGCTCTCTTAATTCTTGAACCAAATTTAGAAGTCCCTGGGGTTGCACCCTCTTGGGAGAAGGAGGAGGAATAGTCATCCTCCAATTGTCCCTGATCTCTTTCTCAGCCCCCAGTTAAGTTTCATTCTGGGAAGCATGTTTCCTACAACAACTCAAATCCTGTTCCTGGCTTTAATGGTTTTGGGATTAAGTAAAAAGAAAAGATAGGATGTTTGATGTTAACCCTGCAAGGATTCTGCTCCTCTTAACTCATCATTCAGTAACCCAAGGATTCTCTGTATGAGCAGCACAGACCAAATTACTGACACATATCCTGCCTTCTGACAGAATTTGATTAATATCTGATCCTATTGAAGTTCATATATTTATTTTTCTGTTTTACCAAGGGTTTTCTTGGATTTTTTACTACCTGTTTATATTGTATTTCTTTTTAAATTTTAAACATTTTTATTGATACATAATAACTGCATGTATAATATATTTATACATGCATACAATGTTTAGTGACCAAATCAGGGTAATTAAGATACCCATCATCTCAAATATTTAGAATTTCTTTGTGTTGAGAACATTCTAAATCCTCTCTGCTAGCTATTTTGGAATTTATAAGTTATTGATAACAATGGTCACCCTACTGTGCTGTTGAACCCTAGAACTCACTCCTTCTATATAACTGTATATGTGTAGCTCTCCTCATCCTCCTTTTCACCTATCTTTCCTGGCCTCTGGCAATCATTTTACTCTCTACCTCCTTGAGATCCATTCTTTTAGCTCCCACATATGAGACAGTACTTGAGATATTTGTCTTTTTCTGTGTGTCTTACTTAATTTAACATAATGTCCTTTAGTCTCATCCATGTAGCTACAAACGAAGGATTATCATTATTTTTATGGCTAATATTTCATTATGCATATATACTGCATTTTTTTCATCCATTCATCTGTTGAATGGATGGAATCAACTTAGGTTGACTCCATATTTTGGTTATTGCAAATAGTGCTACAATAAACATGGAAGTGCAGATACATTGATTTCCTTTGTTTTGGATATATACACAGTAGTGAAATTGGTAATTCTATTTTTAATTTTATGAGGAACTTTCATACTGTTCTGCATGCTGGCTGTACTAATTTACATTCCCATCAACAGTGTACAAGAGTTCCCCTTTCTCCACATCCTCACCAGCATCTGTTAATTTTTTGTTTTCTTGATAATAGCCATTTTAACTGGGGTAAGGTAATCTCTTATAGTGGTTTTGATTTGCACTTCCCTGTTGATTGGTGTTGTTGAGCTTTTTTTCATATACTTATTGGCCATTTATATGTCTTTTTTTTGAAAAACATCTATTTAGATCATTTGCTCACTTTTATTATTTTATATTTTTCCTGTTGTTTGGTTTCTTTACATATTCTGGTTATTAATCCCTTGTCAGATGGACTGTTTGCAAATATTTTCTCTCATTTTATGGGTTTTCTTGACTCTGTTGATTGTCTCCTTTGCTGTGCAGAAGCTTTTTGCTTTATGTGATCTCATTTGTCTAATTTTACTTTTATTGCCTGTGCTTCTGAGGTGTTACCACAAAACATCTTTGTCCAGACAAATGTCCTGAATTTCTCCAGTACTTTTTCGGGTAGTTTCATAGTTTCAGATCTTACATATAAGTATTTAACCTATTTTGCATTATTTTTTATATGGTGAGAGATATGGGTCTAATTTCATTGTTCTGCATATGGATATCCAGTTTTCCCAGCATCATTTATTAAAGAGACTGTTCTTTCCCTAAAATATACTCTTGGTACTTTTGGCAAAAAAAAAAAAAAAAAAAAGATTTGGCACTAATTGCGGGGATTTATTTTCTGGGTTCATTATTCTGTTCCATTGGTTAATGTATCTGTTTGTAGGCCAGTATCATGTAACTTTGGTTCCTACGGCTATGTAGTATATTTGAAGTAAAGAGTATGAAGCCTCCAGCTTTGTTCTTTTTGATCAGAATTGCTTTGGCTCTTCAGAGTCTTTTGTGCCTTCACACAAATTTTAGGATTGTTTTTTCTATTTCTATGAGGAATGTCATTGGTATTTTGATAGGAATGTCATTAAATTTGTAGACTACTTTGGGTACATTTTAACAATATTAATTATTACAATCCATGAACGTAAGATTTCTTTCCATTTTTTTGTGTTCTCTTCAATTTCATTCATAACTGTCCTAAAGTTTATATTGTAGAGTTACTTCACTTCTTTGGTTAAATGTATTCCTAGTTATTTTTTTGTAACTATTGTAAATGGAATTGATTTCTTGATTTCTTTTTCAGATTGTTTCTGTTGGCATACAGCAATGCTACTGATATTTGTATGTCGATTTTCTAATCTGCCACTATAGTGAATTTGTTTATCAGGTCTAACTTTATTTGTTTGTATTTTTGTTTGTTGGTGTAGTCTTTGGGTTTTTCTAAATACAAGAACATGGCATGTGCAAACAAGGACTTTTTTTTTTCCTTTCCCATTTGGATTCCCTTTATTTCTTCCTCTTGCCTAATTACTCTGGTTAAAATTTCCAGTATTATGTTAACGAAAGTGGTAAAAATGAGAATATTTATCTTGTTCCAGAACTTCGAAAGAAAGCTTTTAATTTTTTACTCTTCAGAGTGATGTTAGTCATGGGCTTTTTCATGTATAGTATTTATTGTTTTAAAATATGTTTCCTCTATATCCAGTTTCTTCAGTATTTATCATGATGGAATGTTGGATTTTATCAAATGCTTTTTCTGTATCTCATGAGGTGATCATATGGTTTTTGTCCTTCAGTTTGTTGATGTGGTATATAACACTTTTTGATTTGTATATGTTGAACTATCCTTGTATTCCTAGGATAAATCCCACTTGATCCAGTGCCAATCATAATCTTGAAAGACACAATCCCACCTACCATAATTCTAAATGTTGAAATTCAAAAAGATAAAAATCCCTAAATGTTGAAACCCTGAAAGTCTCAAATCTGTAACACCTAAAATCCAGAAAATCACAATCCCAGTGTTAAATCCTGAATTTTAAAAACCCTAAAGCCAGATTCTTAGGAGATGATTAGTGTGTTTTTTGGTTGTATACAGGATAGTTGCATCATGTTAGTTGCATCATGTTAAGTGGAAATATTACTCTTACTGTCTTTATTTGCATCTGGTAGAAATTTCATGTGAGTGGATTGGCATTGTGATATGAACATAACAAAAACTCCAGTTAAAAAATACATCATTTGTCTACATTGACATGCCTTTCAGCTGATAAAATTCCAGATTTTAATGAATTAAAGCTTCATTTGCCTGAATAAGGCAGTGAAGTTACTAACTGGCTTGAAAACAATTATGTGCACAGGAAAATAAGAAGACACTTAAGCAACAGCATTGCCATTAGATCATTGGTATTATTTCCACCAAATCTGTGGTCTCTATATGAATGCATGTGGAATGGATTTCTGAATACTCAAAACAACATAGATGCACAGCAAGCACAGAATATGGGAAAATTTAATACAGGATCCTCAATCAGTTGACCTCAAATCATAGAAAATTTTCAGAAAGGGCTGTGTCACATTAAAAATCAATGTGAACATATTCACCAACCAAGGAGAGCCATACCATAAAAGAAAAAAAGTAGCTATTTATTTAAATGCAAGACCTCAAAAATGGTTAGTGATCATGAATGTCCACCAGCAATTATCGACTATTTCTGTGCAATTTCCCATAATTTGTCCTTGAATTTTCTTTTACATTTTTTTGGGGGGATGGTGATTTTTGTTATTTTAGTTTTTCCCCACTATCTTAAATTGTCAGCATTATATTTTACAATCTGCTATGCTATGTATTTCATTTTTACATCATTTTCAATACTGGAAGTGTAAATTGCATGAGGAATTTTAGAAGGTTCTAATTTGTTTGTGCATTTTCTGCAAATTTGGCTCCACAAAGGTACATTATCACAACGTTGACTTTGTAAGCATTGTGTGTACATAAAAATGTTGAAACTTTCTCAATAAATGAAGAGATGTCTTCTTTGTACATCTGCATTTGTAAAAGACAAAATTTCTCAAGATCTTGGCTCTTAGGGCAACTGCATATGTGGTGGTTACTCATCTCGGTTTTTCACTGATTGTATCAAAAGACTTAGGGTGTCCATCATAGTTTTACAAAACTGAGTGCGCACAATTACTACCATCATTATATATATTTATACATTTTTTCTTTTGATCTATTTATGAATAGAGTTCACCTGCTCATAACTGTTAAACCTGTGCAACTGTCATTACTATACCTGAGTGTTTATGTTTGATAAAATATGTATGTTATTCCTTATTTTATTGGGTAAAGTGACCTATGAAGTGTTCTGTTGTGTTATTATGTTTTTCAAATATATTCCTATATAAAAATGTAAATAAATGTTTTAGAAATAATTTTGTAAATTATTTCTTGCAGAATTATATTTTTGGGATTTTGATCTTTTGGGATTTTAACACTCAGTATTATGGTATTAAGTATTATGCCTATTGGGGTTATGACCCAAATCCCACTTGATTCTGGTGTATTTTCTTTTTGGTGTATTGTGGAATTTGGCTTGCTAGTATTTTATTGAAGATTTTTGCATTTATGCTCATCAGGAATATCGGCCTGTAGTTTTCATTTTTGTTGCACCCTTGTCTGGTTTTGGTATCAGAATAATGCCTGCCTCATAGAATGAGTTAAGAACAATTTCCTCCTAATCAATTTTTTGAAATAATTAGAAAAAAATGATGTTAGTTCTTTAAATGTTTGGTAGAATTCATTCATAAAGCCACCTAGCTCTAGGCTTTTCTTTATTTGGAGATTTTTATTGCTGATTTAATTTTATTACTAATCATTGGTCTGTTCATTTAAAAAAAAATTCTGGTTCGATCTTGACAGAGTACATATGTCCAGGACTGTGTCCATTTTCTCCAAGTTTTTCAAATTGTTGGCATATAGTTTTTCATAACAGTCTCTGATGATTCTTTGTATATCTGTGGCATCAGTTGTAATGTCTTCTTTTTAGTTTTTTATTTTATTAAGTTGTATCTTTTTTCTTTTTTTTGAGTAGTCTAGCTAACAGTTTGTCAGTTTTCTTTATCCTTTCAAACAGTTAAGTTTTCATTTTGCTGATCTTTTGTATTTATTTGGTCACTCTTTCACTTAGTTCTGCTCTCATCTTTATTAATTTTTTCTTCTACTAATTTTCGCTGTTGTTTGTTCTTGCTTCTCTAGTTCCCTGAGATGCGTCATTAGGTTGTTTATTTGAAGTATTTCTACTTTTGTGATACAGGCATTTATAATGTCTATAAGAAGGCTATACACGTCTCTCTTAATATTGGTTTTCTAGTATATTAGAGATTTTGGTATGCTGTGTTTTCATTTTCTTTGATTTCAAGACATCCCTTTATTTTCATCTTAATTTCTTCATTGACCTATGGTTGTTCAGGAGAGCGTTGTTTAATTTCCATGTATTTGTATGATTTTCCAAAGTTCCTCTTGTTATTGATTTCTAGTTTTATCCCTGTGGTCTGAGAAGATACTTGATATTATTTTGATTCTTAGATATTTTTTGGAAACTTGTTTTGTGGCCTTACATGTGGTCTTTCCTGGTGAATGTTTCACAGGCTGATGAGAAGAATGTACGTTCTGCAGCTGTTGGATAAAATGTTTTGTGTCTTTTAAGTCCATTTGGTCTATAATGCAGTTTAAGTCCAATGTTTCTTTGTTAATTTCCTATCTAGATAATCTGTCTAATGCTGAAAGTGGGGTGCTGAAATTCTTGACCATTATTTTATTGTGGTCTATCCCAGGCAGGACGCAAAGAACCCAGCAGTGGGGGTGGTGGGCTGGTTGGATAGGCCCTCAGGTTTCCAGATGGCACATGTGAGTGTCAGCAATGGCAACATTGGGCTCCAGGCCAGCTGGCCCTTAGGTTTCCAGGTGGGGTGCATAGGCACTGGTGGGCCGGGTGGTCTGCTCCTTGGGTCCCCAGGTGGGACACTGGACATTAGCAGTGAAGATGGTGAGTCGGTCCTCGAACATCTAGGCAGGCATGTGGGCACCAGCAATATCAGCAACAGGCTAGTGAGACCATTCCCTGGGCCCCTGGGTGGTGCACATATGTTGGCAGTGTCCATGGAGGGGGTTGGGGGGGTGGGATAATTGGGTGCTGGTGTTGTTTATACAAGGTGAACAGGCCAGCTCCAAGGTGGGTGAGGCATAGGAATGCATGATGTCCCAGTTGCTGGAGGGGAGCAGAGTCAATGTGTGTGGTGGTGGCCCCAGGCATGCTGCTTTTAGGCGCTGGTAAGTTCATACTTTGTTTTCCTATGTTGTGGAGGCCGCCTCCCTGATGTGATGGACTCTCTGATTCCCAGTGTATAAGGCACTGCATGGGCTTGGGTGCCAGCAGCATAGCCACATCCTCAGATCCAGCAGGACCCACAATGCTGCAGTCCTCTGGGTGAATGTGGGAGACTTTGATGGGGCCCTGGGATATGGGGATACAGAAGATAATGAACTGTCGGGTAGGATGTAGTACAGCGTTGGTTCCACTCTGAAAATGGTTCTGTGCGTCAGCAGCTTGGGTTCTATGGGATGGACCCAGCATGAATTCCCTCTCTGGAACAATGCAGTCTCACAGACTCCAGGCAGCTCCCCACAATAGGCTAAGGGTCTATGAGGGCAGAGGAGATTTCCTGTAGTTAGGAATGCAGATGTCCATGATGAGAATATAGATTTCTGGGCATCTCTTACTTACTTATTCCCTGCAGTAGGGAGTCTTTAGTCCCTGCTGGTTCTGAGCCTATCCTGCCAGCTGTGTCACTTCACTCTCTATGCTGCCATCTCTAGTGTCCATGACTTTCAGCTCTACTGGAAACAAGATAAAAACAGTAGAGAAGAATAGAAAAAAGTCAAATCAAATCAAGTGTTCATGCCTTAGAGAGTCCCTGTCACTACTCTGCTTTGGATTCCAGCATTTTCCCTTGATGCTTTATTCTGTGTGTGGTAATCTACTTTCTGTTTTGCTCTTTCTTTATTGAGAAGAGAAGTGCTAGACTCGTTGAGTCAGCCATCCTGATGACATCTCTGAAGTTCATATATAGAGAAATGAAGCCATTGCATAATGATGGGAAGATAAGAGTGTAATTTACAATACTAATGACCACCTCTGACAGGTTTTCAGTCCAGCAGCCTTTAGTCTTCTGAGATTTAAAATGGAAATCAATATCAACCATTATTGTTTCTAAAAACATTATTTTCCAAGAGCTTAAAACTCTCATTGTGTTATAAATATTTTTTCACACCACACCATCTCTGAGACATAGCCATGGTCTCCCAAGATTAATAGACTCTGGGCTTTTCCTAAAGTTATTTTATACAAATTAGATGAGACCCTCGATTATGCCATTAAGTAATAAACAATGTTAGGCAAGACACCTAGTATAAAGACAAAGAGGTAGAGCTATGCATTAATTGATCATTAGTTCTGAATGTGTATTACTTAGCTAGCTGGCCATTTAGTGTTAGTCCCTCCATGAATAGTTATAATGCTGTTTGTATCAGAGATTGGTCTATGCTATCAACAAGATCTAACAAGACAAGCAAAGGTAAGAATGAGGAAAAAAGTCTAAAAGAAAATATTTGTAAGATATATAACAAAGGATTAACAGCAATAAAACATAAAGAATACCTACAAATTTAAAAGATACATTAACAGTGTTAATCATTATAGCATTGTGGTAGTAAAAGCTGGAAACAACCTAAATGTTTATTACTAGAAAATAATACTTTAAAATACAAAGAATGATACATTCATACTATGTAAAATGTAGAAAACTATTAAGAGTTTGTGCATTTCTTTCTATATTTCAATGTTTGTTGATTACTTAATAAAATCCAGGAAATGGAAGGTGAAAACCACAGCTTTTAAACAAATGTAGTACTTTATTAGTTTATTACTTATGTAATAGTTGGTGTGAGGCTTTAGAATAAATACTGTGAACCCTAGTTGGTTCATAAATGCTAATTTGATAAGCAGGTGTAAGGATATGAACTTGACCACAAAGTAGCATACATAAGACACAGGATTTTTCTTTAAGGTTCTATGAGAAACTAATTTCTTCAGGTAAAAACTTGGCAAACAATGATTAATCTTCAAGAGGAAATTTTAAAAAATAAAATGAAATCTTAAGAATTACCTACAGCACTCTCTGACAGTTGTTAAGACAACAGCCAGAGAAAGATTTTTGCCCAACCACTCCCAATTACCAGCCCAGTTGCCACAGACTTTTATCCACCTGCCCCATCTCCTATTGTTCCTCACTTATTAAGAGGGCTTATTAAAAATGTTGACTGGAAGCACAATAAATTCAGAATTGTGGTGAATGTGAAACTGATAAAGAACTCTGTTGTTTGTCCTAATTGATTTATAATCTGATAGAGACCCTATAAATATATAAGGCAGCCTCTTCCCTACATTTAAATCAGTTTAGTAAGCAAAGAGTGATTGTAATGCTGAAATTAGTGAACTGGTCCATCAATTGTTTGTAAGAATCACTTACCATATTGATGACAATATAGTCAAGTTCCCAAACCCAATAACAAGGGTCTTCCTAGACTATGTCTACTCATCCTTTAGCATATACAGATGGTCCCCAACTTATGGCAGTTCAACTTACAATATTTCAACTTTATAACAGTGAAAAAACAAAACACATTCAGTAAAAACTATTTTTGAGTACTGATACAGCTATCCTATTTTTCACCTTCAGTATAGTATCCAATAAGTGATATGAGATATTTAATACTTTATTATAAAATAAACTCTATGTTAGATAATTTTGCCCAACTGTAGGCTGATATAAGGGTTCTGAGCATGTGTAAGGTAGGTGAGGCAAAACTATGATGTTTGGCAGGTTAGGTGTATTAAATGCATTTTTGAATTATGATATTTTCAATTTACGATGGATTTATTCAGGGCATAACTCCATTGTAAGCTGAGAAGCATCTGTACACATAGCGCTTTACTCATTACTTTTGGAAGCACAGTCATAAGTAACAGCCTTGGATGCCTATTTTTTTTCTCAGATTTTCCTTTCACAAACAGACTCAAAAGAAAGCTATGCCAAACCCTTATTCTCTTGATTCTTCAATTTCCTGACTGGAAACTCCTGCTTCTGATATTAGTCTCATAGGCTACAGAACAACCCTCAACCTTATTTTGATGACCACTTTAGACTCTATTTCTTGGAAAATTTATTTTCACTCCGCAAGCCAACCAGCGGAAACCTGAGAGTGGACTGTGTGTTGCCTTTCTGTCAGAGCAGGGTCTACAGTCACACACACGCACACCCATCACCATAATATGGCCAACTCCCAACACAATATCTCCACTTAGAGTGAAATTATGACAGAATGCACAATTAAAATGTGACTTCCTTGGTGGCGGTTAGAAGGGTGAAAAAACTAAATATATAGGTCTAATTCACAAAAGTTTCTTCAAAAATGTGCCATAATGAACTGGACAAGAGATCAAGGTCAAAATCCTGCTCTCAAATACATCTTCCCCAGTTTCTGTGGATGTATACAACTTTATACATCAGTAATTAAATCTGTGTCACCCCCCCAATGATACCTCCAAATCTTCTCTCATTCTCTCTTAAATCTACTCCAACCAGCTCTTTGTTCTTTCAAAGATTTCCACATCCACCCATGTTATCAGACATTTCCTTTCAAGATCGCCAATGAACTCTATGTTGTGAAGTCTAATGGTCAACTCTCAGTCTTCATATAGATCAGTAGCAGTATTTTAACCCAGTTGATCCCACTCATCTCTTTAATATACTTTTTGCATTTGGCTTCCAGGCTGCCAGAATCTTTTTTTTTTCCCCCATCTTATTCCAGTAGCTATTCCTTCCTATTCTCTTTTGCTGTCTCCTCCCTTTTCCCCCAGTTTCTAAGAGATGTGGCCCAAGGATCTGCTTTGGTTCTTTTCTCTTTTCTATGTATACTCCTAGGGTGATTTTTCTACCCAGGGTCTTGTGCTTTTAAGAGTATCTATGTTCCAAAGAGTCCTAATTTTTTATCTTCATTCAAAATTTCTCTCCTGAATTTCAGATTGCCTATTTGACATGTGTACTTGGGTGTTTGATATATATCTCAAACTTAATAAGCCCCAAGAGGAATTCCTGTCCTTCTCCTCTAAATCTGCTTCCCCTAAGCCTTTCTCATTTCAGGTGTGGTAATTTTGTTATTTTACTTACTCAGGCCAACAAACTTAAAGACTTAAAGTCATCTTGATTCCTTACTTTCTCTCCTTATCCACATTTATTCTGTCAGGAATTCCTGCTAGTTCTACCTTCAAAGTGTATCCAGTATCTGACAATTTCTTTTCTTTTTTTTTCTTTTTTTGAGATAGTCTTGCTCTGTCGCCCAGGCTGGAGTGCAGTGGCACGATCTCGGCTCACTGCAAGCTCTGCCTCCCAGGTTCACACCATTCTCCTGCCTCAGCCTCCCGAGTAGCTAGGACTACAGGCACCCACCACCACGCCTGGCTAATTTTGTTTTGGTATTTTTAGTAGAGGCGGGGTTTCACCATGTTAGCCAGGATGGTCTCGATCTCCTGACCTTGTGATCCACCTGCCTCGGCCTCCCAAAGCACTAGGATTACAGGCATGAGCAACCACGCCCGGCCCAGTATCTGACAATTTCTTACCATCTCCACTGTTTCCCCCTAGGTCTCCATCATCACCATTTCACATGTAGGCTGCTGCTGTAGTCATCTAATTGGCCTTGCTGATTTTGTTCTTGCCCCCAGCTTACCCCAGAGTGATCCTTCTTCACCTAAATCAGTTCTTGGTATCTTGAAGCAAATAATATATCTGAGGAGCATATCAGTTATATAAAAATGAATTTAATAATATCCGACTCATTGAGTTTATCTAAGGAATCAATGAGATGATAAAAAAATGATCACACTTAGCACATAGTATATACTTAATTATAGTAGCACTTGTAGGAGATTAATTTTTATGTCATTTATGTAACTTGTTGTCTCTATGAATTAGAAGCTATCTGTTATTTTCCAGATATTGGAGAATGCTATTGTCTTAACATTTATCCCCCCATATATATATATATATATATATATATATACGTTGAAACTCTAACCATCAAGGTGACCATATTAGGAGACGGGGCCTTTGGGATGTGATTAAAGCATGAGGGTGGAGCCATTGTGATTGGGATGAGTGTCCTTATAAAAGAAACCCCAAAGGGCTAGCTATTCCCTTCTGCCATGTGAGAACACAGCAAGAAGTTTCCTGCTTTGAACCAGTAAGTGAGCCATCACCAAATACCAAATATGCCAGTGACTTGATCTTGGACTTTCCAGTCTCCAAAACTTTCAGAAATAAATTTCTATTGTTTATAAGCTACCCAATTTATGGTACTTTGTTATAGCAGCCGAAACAAACAAAGACAAAGAATATGATTCAAAGTTCTCTATATTCACAACCACTAAGTTACTGAAGAAACCCTGGTCTCCTGTGGGGCACCGTAAGCAGCTTAGAACCTGATTTACTGGACCACAGGAATTGCCAAGAGAAACTTTTTTTTCATCTCAAGAATACATTACAACACGCCATGGATTTCCATGAATTAAGGGAATTAAGGAAAATGTCAAACCTAACCTAATAGGGAAAATAACTGTTGGATAATCACGGCTGCTCTTTCTCTTTTGAATGTAGTCAACCCACCCATGCAACAGTAAGAATTATCCTGAGACTAGCTCCTGCAGTCAGCCCGTGACCCTCTCTTGCAATGTCCATGACTCTTTCTTCACCCTCATCCCCTTCTCTACACCAGTTTTATATATTATGCCCCAAATTTGTTTTTGTGACTTGTGTGATTCCTCTTCTCGAATACCCCAATGACTTTCTGCATGTCACATTGTCTTGTATCCAGCAAACCTACAGCTCTGGGTATAAGAAGTTTCTTTCCCAACCTCAGCTCTGCAGATACCAGTCTAAACCCTAGTCCTACTTGTCACCAGGGGCATTCATCAGACAGTTCCCTTTGGGGTTCTAGAACTAAATACTACCAAGACAGTGATTACAATTTGATTAGTGCTCTTACCCAGAAGAGGAGTGGCCAGCCTGTTTTATATGCATAACAATAATAATAATAACTAACACTTCCTTAGCACTTACTATGTTTTGGTGCTTTACATATATGAACTCATTTAATCCATATAAATGAGTATGTATATTTATATTAAATTAAATATATTTATATTAAATATTTATATTTATATTAAATGAGTATTTAATCCATATAAATGAGCACTCTATGGAGATGAGGAAATTGAGGTCCAGAGGGGTTAAGTACATTTCTTAGGTATATATATGTAAATATATACATTTACATATATAGTAAAGAGTGATGTTTCTAGAATTAGAACCCGAAAGATCCACCTTAGCATCTGTGCTCTTAACTACTATACTGTGCCATACATAGCCTCATAAAAATAAGGTAGTTAGTAAAATACATCATTTGACAACTAAAGTATTTGGTCTTATATGTCAAGAAATTTATGGATTGAGAGCCAATTAATTAACTGAGGGTTTGAAATGGCTAGAATTGATGCTCAAAACTGAATAATTACATTTCATAGTTGGGACACTAAAAATCAGTAGCCAGAACTTCACAAAGCTGATGAGTAAAGTAATGATATCAGTATCAATAAACACTTAAAGCAACTTATGACAAATTCAAATGGCAAGAAAATTCTTTATTGTGGTACACAGGGCATACGGTAACATGTAGGTCCAAGTGTGACAGACATCTGTGGGTATATCTGTTAAATCTTTCAAACCAAATTGAGGTAAAGAGAGTGGGTAAATCCACATTTTACAAGGAGGCACTGGCATCAGCCATTATGGGATTCAAAAGCAATGCATCAATAAGGCTTTGCTCTTTCCCTAGATCGTTTGCCAATGGTGGTGTCTAATATTCACTGGGGACCAAGCCCTGGCTCAGTGTTTCTCCGAAAGTTCCTATCAATCAAAAGCACTATAGAAACCTGGGTAATGGTAAGAAAAAAGGCAGGCAAGCCCGAGATAAGACAGTACTCCTCAAGTGAAATTATATCACAAACTTCTACTTACTGAGCAATCACCATACTATCTACTGTCCTCGGTGCTTTACTTCAATGTATTTAATCCTACGAGAAACATGCAAGGGAGATTTGATTATCCCTATTACATGTGAGGAAATTCAGGCTCTTAAGGGACTTACTCAGCCAAGACTCCACAGTTAGTAAGTGTTGAAGTTTGGATCCAAACCCAGTTTTTATGACAGTGAAGCTTATGCTCTTAACCACAAAGCTATTGAGAAATAAATAACCATTGATAATTATGTACAATTCTTTTGCCTTATTTGTCTACAATGCTGAGGCAAAGGAGGTCAAGAATTTCTCTTTTACAATATCCATATCATTGTCTCCTTTCACGACCACTTGGCAGTAGCTGTGTACAATCTTTAAAAATAATCAATTCTTTTAATCTCCATTCCATTCCCTTTACTCTCCCATCTGTAATATATGCCATGTAGGGTAGGCAGACCCTGAGAAGGATTTGCAGAATTAAAAATGCTTCCTGAAATGTCATTGACTTAAGCTACTGTGAGCTGCCTTTATGCGACCCTGGCTAAAACAGATGTAGGCTCTGTGTTCTTTCATGCCATTGACATGTTTTCTAAGAGGCTAGAGAACAGGCAGATTGACTGGTCTAGCATAACTACAGCTTGGGGCAAAGGGAAGTCTTTGACCTTTAGGCAGTCTGTGACTTTATACTGACGTCATGACTGCCACCCAAGTGCACCCCGAATAACATTTTCCCAGGCAAGGTACCGTGGGAAGAAACTAAGCTTTGATAGGTGGCATTGAGAAATGTCCTGAAAACTCTGTAGAGAGAAAATGGCCTCTCAGACTGTTCTGGTGTCTCCATGTAGCCGTCAGAACATGTGTGAGAGCCCAAGGCTATGACAAGCTTATTGTGCAGCTTGGGATAATGCCGTGATTGTGTGGCTATCACCCCCTTAAGATTCATATCACGGGCAGGATGTGAATGTGTCCCAAGCAGAGTTTGACAGCTGTTTCTGAGCTTTCTAAATCAGAGATAGAAAGAGATATTATCTTCATAGCCTCCTTTTCGCATTACATTTCCAAATGGGTGGATTGCCTTTCACGTTACACAACCAATCCCAACAAGTTACTCAGCCTCCCACCTCATGCAGGCCTGCCCAGCCCTGCCTTGCTGGCCACTGCCATCTTTCCATAACCATTTTCCAAGATACTCATAATCCTGTCAATACCCTGAAGACCTGACAGACCCGACATTGCTTTGAAGAATCATTAATGAAGGACAAATATCAGTTACAGGTTAACAGAAGAAGGAACTCAGGCTCTTGGAAATTGAACAACATTGTGTTTCAACAAATAGGAATTATCACAGTTGTCCCACAGGCCATCCACTCATTCAACAAATATTTGCTGAAGATCTCCATGAGCTGGGCCCAATACTACATGCCTGGGGTACCACATTAAGCAATCACATTCCTGTTTCTTAGAGAGCTTGCAGTCTAGTGATGGTAGCAAACTTATATAGAGGCAACCTCACCAGAATGCAATGAGAGTTAAGCAAAGAAAACTACAGCCAACAAATAACTGTGGACCCAGAAATAACAAGTGAGACACATGTATAGATTATTCCCTTCTCTAGGGGCTAAAGCACACAAGAAATATAAACACTGGGTGGGTTTGCCAAATGCAAGAGCTACTCAGCCTTCCTCTCTCTTCTGACACCCATGAGATTTACAACACATGAGTCCACTTCCCAGACAACAGGTTGTACCAAGGGGTGCACTTGACAGAAAGACAACTTTGTAGCCCATACTTAGGTTAGAAAAGAAAATAATATTTTAGAAGGTATGACAACCCTCCCCCTCAAGATATTATATAAGCTAAGCCAATACTCTGTCCCTGTTAGGAAATTTAACTGAGAAACTGAGAATAATTTGTTACTTGGTAGTGGGGCAGGAATGGAAACCACCGCAAGAGAGTATAGCTATTAATACCAAGAGCAAGAATGAGTCCTGCATGGTTTTTCTGAAATCCTGAAATTGTTCTTGAACCCAGAGACTCACCCCCAGGTTTCAGTTTCTGTGAAGCCAGGTTGTCCCGCTGGTCCTACCTCTGGGTCCTAATGAAGTCATGTGGCTCCCTCATCATTAGTCTCAGCAAGTATCCTTTACTTGTGCTAGCCTGAGTTGTCTCTGCTCCTTATAATGAAGGAGCTTACTAGGTAGGCCTAAATGAAAAGAACATGTCTAGATGTCAAATTCAGTCAGTCAGAATTTAAGGCAAAAATGTATTAATTTTTCTGTGAAACCACACAAATATGAATTTTAAAAGTCAATAACCTCCAAATGAAATTTCCTCTGATTACCACCACTTTCCCTCAAAAAAGCCAATATAGAGTGACCTCTGCACCTTTCTCCAAACTCATAAAAACATATGCATACACAGTTATATACAAACATATAAGGTCTTTTTTGGTTTGTTTGTGGACACTTTTTTTCTAAGCATTTATAGTTGTAATGTATTTGTTCAGAGTGCTTTCTGAGGCTATTCAGGAATGGTTTGATGCTGTGAGGGCTCAAAAAAAACTAGATTCTAATTCCAAATTGTCACTAGTTCCCCATGAGATTGCACAGAAATAAATTTAGCCCTTCCTAAATTAGGGTTCCCAACTTTTTATCAAAGACAAGAGGCAATAAAGTAGCCTTGTCCTTGGTACTATGCTAAGTAAATTTTAAAAACTCTATCCTTGTCCTATAGATGCCAACACAGCAAAAAATAATAATAATAAATTTAAAAAAAAATAGTACTGAGCAATAACCTGGGAGTGATAGCGCTATGCTCAAAGGAATATGACTAGAAAGTAACACTTGCAGCCCCTCCCCACCCTCACATACTTGATACAAAGAGACAGAGACAAATACACACCCGACATAAACTACCAGTAGGAGAAATCTTTCCTGGTATTGGCTATATATCTACATGTGACTTGAGCAAATTGCTTAACATCTTGGCACTTAGATTGGTCATAAAATTCAGTTCAGTACATTTTGATAACTACATGTCCCTCTGTGTTAGGTAATAGGTACTGTGAGGAAAAAGATTAGGACAGAATTTCTGCCTTTAAATAGTTTGCAATCTCAATAACAATGGGGCAGCAATGTGAACAACAAAGCGTAACAAAATACTCTCACAGCCAGTACTCTCACAGCCAAAGGCAAAAATGTGGAGCCCCAAAGGAAGAGAAAACTACTTCTGCTCTGGGGCCTTGGAGTTGGGAAGGGTTTAATAGAGGAGGTTTCTGTTCAGCTTGAGTTTGGAAGTCATCTAATAGAGTAAGACAGTTGGATTGCAGAATCTGAGAGAACCCTTCCAGCTCTGCCTTTGAGCTTATGAGACAAAGACATGTGACATACGTTATGCTTTCTTATCCCCACATACACAAAATCAGGATACAGGTATATAGGTAGCATTTTAAAATGGGTATAATATCTAATGAGCAGGACAAGCTCTGCTTGTGTTTTCTCTATAGCGCATCAATCCCTTTCTCACATCTTCCTACCCTCTCATCTTTAAACTACAGTGACTACCTGAGACAAGTGGTAAGCTAAGCTTATCTTAAGTTTCATGCAGCTTCCACTGCATTTTATCCTCTTGCATACTAATGGAGGAGAGATGCTATTGAATCAGAGTGTCTCATTATTAAGAACACAGATAATATAGTTAGGTTTGAGTTTTGGCTTTATTATTTACTGCCTACATGCCTGTGAACAAATTCTCTAACTCCTCAAACCATCAGTGATATCTGGGTTTTTTAAATATAAAATTGAGATAAAATTTAAAATACAGGATTAAATTAAACATTTTTTGTAAGTTTTTGGCTTCTGGAACATGAATAAGATATTAATTAAATGGTTGAGGTTATGATGATGATGATGATGATGGTGATGATAACCTTTTCACACACAATCTCATAGTTCTCCAAGATCCCCAGAAAAGCAGAGATAAATATCAGTAGCTATTCCCCTTCCATTTTATGAATTCTATCCACCTTCTCAGGGTCTAATTCCAGATTTTGCTAACCCATAACATCCACTCCTAGATTCTAATCTAGCCTTGAACAAAAGCTAAATCCTGATTATACTTTGCTTCATCACCTCAATTTCTCAGCCTTAATCCTATTCCCCACCAGCACTGCATAGGGTTCATTCTGGATTTCTATTAGTTGATTCAGAGTTCTATCCCAAGCCCTTTCTTTTCCTGGATCCCTGACCTTAACCTAAATCATCTCTGATTCCATTTCAGTCCTTCCGCCTCTGACACCTTCCTTACCAACATCCATTCACCTGTGCTTGTGTTCTGACTGCCTCCTTACTTGCTCCTGTTAGCCTGCTGATGTTAGTCTTCAAGACCTTCAGGATCCCCAGTAATAGTAACTCTGAAAGTGAAAGTCTATTGCTTAAGTTTTTTCAACTCTGGCTATAATTATTTCCCTAGGTTCTAGTTCCTTATGTGGGCTCGCTAGAAGTTGCTGATAATCTCACAGGAAAACCAATGAGAAAGGAGAAATTTGATCACAGTGGTGAATCAGTACATTCAACCTCCAGAGTAATGGGAATCTAATCAGCCCTCTGAACTTGAATGCCAATTTCATATTTTTAAAGATACTTTTGCTGTGTCTTTAGCTCATTTCCATATCAAAAACACAAACTCTTTTTTAATCCTACTGACCACAATAATAATTTTTGAATTGATAGTCATCTCTTGAGTAACATGTATACCTACACACAAATAATGTGTGTATATACATACACACACATATACACACATACACATAAGTACATGTACACACAAATGTATATACACACAAATGTGTGTATATGTATGTGTGTATATATAATTTACATATGTAATGTATATATTTATATGTATATAGTTTACATAATTTATACATGTATGTAGTATTTATTGCATATAATATACTTAAGTATTATCTTATATATTATTTATATATTCATATATTGTTGATATATATCTATATTAAACTATCTAAAAATGACATATTAATAGCAGTCTTAAAAACAAATTAATAACAAAAATCTACAAAACTTCAACATGAATTCAACTTTTTATCTGAACAGTAGACTCAGAAATGTTTAAGAAAAAATTTAGAAACTTGAATAACAGACATACATATGTAACAAAACCACAACATCAAAATAGTGCCCAGCTTTCAAACCATCTTGTATATTCATGCTGCTGAAGTGCATGCTGACTCTTCTGGGAAGTAGAGTATCATCAAGGCAAAAAGCTAGAAAAGTATGTGTTCCACTTACAGTTTTGTGGCAAGGAGTCTTACATTTAGTTCTTGATTTTCCTTTCCCTCACTGAACCCCACCCTAGCTTCTTTCAGGGTCCATCATTATACTTGCAGATTTTCTTGCCAAGACCTTTTTTTAAGTTCTCAAGAACATAAAAGTTGTTAAAAGTTGGCACACACAGCTTTATACTCCCAAGATAGGAATCAAACGAAGGTGCCAGAAAAAAAGAAAGAAAATTTAAGATACTTCCTCTGGGCAACATGAACTTGGCCTGGTTCTCCTTATTGGGTCTGACTCATAGAATTATATCTCTCAACTCTTTGAGAATGCCTATTGAGAAATGGGTGTGTAAGAAATAGTTATCAAACAGGAGGTGTAGCTAGCTCATTTCTGTGATCCACCAAGATAAGCCTATGCCCTCATTTCTGCCCTTGACAAGCCTTGTTCCAAATGTGGTTGAAAGGGTTTACATTGTGTAATTTATGTAAATCTACCCACTTAAGCAATAAGAGTCAATAAGAGTGAAACACATCTAGGGGCAAAAGAGAGAAACTATTGTAATACTTATGTAAATAATCTATTCAAATTGTAGTCATTGTAATTATAGCCATTTCCCTAGTAGAAAATAAATACCACTATTTACTGAGTCACTAGAATCATTTGCTTGCTTGATCAACCAAAGTTTTCTTGTACACAAGCTAACAGTGAAATTCTCAGTCCCATGTAAAACTTTTCTAAGTAACAGGTTTTTTGAGGCGTAAATCACATACCATAAAATTCACACCTTTAGAGTGTAAAATTAAGCACTTTTAGTATATTCAGAGTAGTGCAACCATCGCCACTAAGTGATTTAGACTATCTCATCGCTACAAAGAGTCTCCATGCCTCTTCCCCCAATCCCATTACAACCATTAATCTATTATCTATTTTTCTTATTCCAGACATTTGATATACATGGAATTGTACAATATATGGACTTCTATGCCTAGCTTATTTCACATAGCAAAATGCTTTCAAGGTGTATCCTTGCCATATATTAGTAATTCATCCAATTTTTGGCTGAGTAATATTCCATTGTATAGATATACCACATTTTGTTTATTCTTTTATCAGTTGATGAACATTTGAATTGTTTTTATTGTTTTGCTGTTATGAATAACGCTGCTATTAACATTCATGCAAAGGTTTTATATGGACATATGTTTTCAATTTTCTTGATCTGATAACCAGAACTAAGTTTAACATTTCAAGGGACTGCCAAAGTATTTTAAAATGTGATTGCGCCATTTTATAATTCTATCAATAATGTATGCAGGTTCCAATTACTCCATATCTTCACCAATACTAGTGGTTATCTGTCTTCTTAATTTTAGCCATCCTAGTAGGTATACATTGGTATCTCAATGTGATTTTGATTTGCATCTCTTGTATGACTAATGATATTGACCATCATTTCACTTGATTTTCTGTCTAGTTGTTTTTGCCATTACTGAAAGTGACATTTAAAAATAAAAGTCTCCAGCAATTATTGTAGAGTGATCTTTTTTCTTCCTCCTATTCTGTCAGGTTTTCCTTCATGTATTTTGAGGCTCTCTTCTTAGGTGCATAGATGTTTGTAATTGCTATTTTTTTCAAGTGAATTGACACTTTTAAATGTCCTTTCTTATCTCAAGTAACTTTTTGTCATAAATTTTATTTTGTCTGATATTGGTAAGCCACTCCACATCTTTGCATGGTATAACTTTTTTCCATCCTTTTACATTCAACCTATTCGTATCTTTAAAGTGTATCTCTTATAGACAGTATTTAGTTAGACAATGTGTTTTTATTGCTTCTACTAATCTTTGACTTCTGATTGCACTGTTTAAATTTCATTTACATTTAATATAATTGCTAATAAGCTAGGATTGGCACTTATCATTTTTCTGTGTTTTCTGTTTTACCTTTTTTATTTCATTTCTCTATTATTGCCTTCTTTTATGCTAAATAGGTGTTTTCTAGTGTACAAGTTTAACTTTTATGTCACTTCTTTTACTGTATTTTTGAGTTATTTTCCTAGTGGTTGCCCTGAGGATTATCACTAACATCTTAATTTATAACAACCTAGTTCAGATTAATACCAACTTAATTTCAAATAACATATATATAACTAAAATATATAAAATATAATTTCAAATGTAAAATCTTTATGACTATATAGCTTCAATTTCCCTCCTTCTTTGTGCTATTATTATACATATTCAATCTGTGTTCATTATGAGCTCATCAACAGAACTTTATTGCTTTTTGTAATAGTCTTTTTTTTTAAATTAGGTTGGAGAAAAAGATTATAAACAAAAATACATTTATATTGTCTTTTATATGTACCATATGTACTTTGACCAGTGTTCTTTGTTTCTTCATGTGAATTTGAGCTACTGCCTTATATCCTTTCATTTTAGCCTAAAAGATTTCCCTTAGTATTTCTTATAGGTCAGGTCTGCAAGGGAGTAATTCCTTTAGTTTTTGTTTATCTGGAAGATGTTAATTTTTTTTTTTTTTTTTTTTTTGAGACAGAGTCTCGCTCTGTCACCCAGGCTGGAATGCAGTGGTATGATCTTGGCTCACTGCAACCTCTGCCTCCCGGGTTCAAATGATTTTTCCTGCCTCAGTCTCCTGAGTAGCTGGGACTACAGGTGTGTGCCACCACACCCAGCTAATTTTTTATATTTTTAATAGAGATGGTGTTTCACCATGTTAGCCAGGATGGTCTCGATCTCCTGACCTCATGATCTGCCTGCCTAGGCCTCCCAAAGTGCTGGGATTAATTACAGGCATGAGCTACCACGCCTAGTCAAATTTTTTTTTATAGTTTTTTAACTTCTAAATTTGCTGGATAGTTTTGCTGCCCACCACTCTTTTTTCTTTTAGCATCCTAGATATATCATTCTACTGCCTCCTGGTTTTTACAATTTCTCATGAGAAATTCTCCGTCATCATTGAGAGTCCCTTGTATGCGATAAGCCACTTCTCTCTTGCTGCTTTCAGGAGTCCCTGTTTGTCTCTGTCTTTTGGCAGTTTGATTACAATGTGTCTTAGTGAAGAGTCTTTGAATTATCCTACTTAGAGTTTGTTGAGCTCCTTGGATGTGTAGATTGTTTTTTTCATCAAATTTTGGAAATTTTCCAGTTCTAATCACTGTTGAGCCCTTCCAATGGCTCTACTTTTCTTTCACTTATCGTATTACTATTTTACTCAGAATTGCTGTTTTTAAAATAATTTCTACTTTTTAAATGATATTCTCTATTTGATAAGACACTATCTTATACTTTCCTTTAGCTATTTAGCAATGGTTTTCTTTAGTTCTTTGAACATATTTAAATAGTTACTTTAAATTATTTTTCTACTTAGTCCAATGTTTAAGCTTCCTCAGGGGAATTTTCTATTGACTGTTTTTTCTGTTTATGGGCCATGCTTTCCTCTTCCTTATATGCTTCAGATTTTTTTTTTTTTTGAAAATTGGACATTATAAATAGTAATGTTGTAGAACTTTCTCCTTAGTTCAGCTAAAAACGGGTTCCTTGTCACATGACCAGGCTCATAGACACATAAAAGGGTGAGAAAAATGGAACTTATTGGGCAGAAAGGAAAAAAAAAGTCAGCAAAGTGAGAGAGGGTCCTGTTACCAGGTCCCCATCTCACAGATTGAATCCCATGTTACCATCGAGAAACAGGAGGGGCTAGGCTTCTCCACCCTGCAAATGGTGCAAACTTGCTGAGACTCCACCCCAGTCTGCACTCCTCCCAGAGCACAGGCTGGTTGGAGGGTCTCCGGGGACCCCTTTATATTTGGCTATCTCAGTAATAACATACCAGCTCTGGAAATTCAGCCAAGTCATCCAGGATTTTTGTATTGATACAGTTTGTTGTTGCTGCAATTATTGTTTTTTATGCTGCTGTTGCTGATGTTTGTTTGCTAAATGACATTATTGAACTAATTACTTAAAGTCTATAACCTTTATTGTATGTGGCCACTGAAGTCTCTTTCATAGCTTAATGATCTGCTGTGATTGAATAGAAAGATTCTTAAATGACTTAAACCAGTAAGTCTCCCAATCTTTACTGAAGAGCTCTTCGTGTTTGTGTTGAGGCAACTTCAGTGTTCCAGCAGATAGTTTATACATCTTCCTTAGTCTTCACTTCCTATTTATACAAAGCCTCAACATCAACCAGATGTAAGAGAATAGGGGCTTTCCTGGACATGTGCACAAGCCTACACCTGTATGTTTCCTTCTAAGTTCTCAGAAACGTGTTCTAGTTTCTCAAAGCCTCCTATGGGCATCTCATTCCCCAGCCTTTTCTTTTATGTTTTTTGATCTGCTTCCTGTTTGTCCCAACTATTATTGCCACCTTCTGCAGCTTACATGTTAAACAATTGACATTGATTTTATTGATAAAATGCTCCTGAGGAAAAGCTGTCTGATTGAGTAAGCCCTGAAGCAATGCAAATAAAGACAAATTCTGCAAGTGGTGGTTTCCAGGGAACTCCCCTACATGTCAAATAATGAAAATTATCTGGGAATGAAAACTTTGGGTAGCCCAGACTCATTCTGTCCTTTCCCATGACTATTAGGTTGCTGTTTTTCATGACTATAGTGATTGCAAGGCTGTTGGTTTTTAAGATTACCATGATACTGAGGAGAGAGCTAATGGACTAGGGAAGATTAAAACCACAAAACTTAGGAAAACCAATGTCAACAAGATAGAAGAATAGGAGGCCCTCGGCCCCCTTTCCCCCTGAAAACACTGACTTAACAATAATAAGTATATTGTTGTCAGTAGACCAAATTGCCTTTGTGAGAAAACAAGAAACCAGGTAAGAGGTTGTGGCAGTCCAGGCTAGCACTAAGCCAATAGAACTGCATTAAAACAGGTAAAAAGGATTCCCAGGCAAGATGGCCAAACAGGAAGAGCTCTGGTCTGCAGCTCCCAGCAAGACCAATGCAAAAGGCGGGTGATTTCTGCATTTCCAACCTAGGTACCCGGTTCATCTCATTGGGACTGGTTAGACAGTGGGTGCAGCCCACAGAGGGCAAGCAGAAGCAGGGTGAGTCATTGCCTCACCCAGGAAGTGCAAGAGGTTGGGGAACTCCCTCCCCTAGCCAAGGGAAGCCGTGAGGAACTGTGCCATGATGAATGGTGCACTCTGGCCCAGATACTATGCTTTTTTTTGCAACCCACAGACCAGGAAATTCCCTCAGGTGCCTACACCACCAGGGCCCTGGGTTTCAGGCACAAAACAGGGTGGCCATTTGAGCAGACAGTGAGCTAGTTGCAGAAATTTTTTTTTTGCACCCCAGTGGGGCCTGGAATGCGAGCAAGACAGAACCATTCACTCCCCTGGAAAGAGGGCTGAAGCCAGGGAGCCAAGTGGTCTTGCTCAGCTGATCCCACCCCAATGGAGCCCAACAAGTTAAGATCCACCGTATTGAAATTCTCACTGCCAGTTCAGCAGTCTGAAGCCAACCTGGGATGCCTGAGCTTGGTCGGGGGAAGGGTGTTCACCATTACTGAGGCTTGAGTAGGCAGTTTTCCCTTCACAGTGTAAACAAAGCTGCTGGGAAGTTTGGACCAGGCAGAACCCACCACAGTGTTGCAAAGCCACTGTAGCCAGACTGCCTCTCTAGATTCCTCCTCTCTGGGCAGGGCATCTTTGAAAGAAAGGCAGCAGCCCCAGTCAGGGGCTTATAGATAAAACTCCCATCTCCCTGGGACAGAGCACCTGGGGGAAGGGGTAGCTCTGGGGGCAGCTTCTGCAGACTTAAACAGTTCTGCCTGCCAGCTCTGAGTTAACAGACACCTCATGCAGGAGAGCTCTGGCTGGCATCTGGTGGGTGCCCCTCTGGGATGAAGCTTCCAGAGGAAGGAGCAGGCAGCAATCTTTTCTGTTCTTTAGCCTCTGCTAGTGATACCCAGGCAAACAAGGTCTGGAGTGGACCTCCAGCAAACTCCAGCAGACCTACAGAAGAGGGGCCTGACTGTTAGAAGGAAAACTAACAAACAGAAACCAATAGCATCAATATCAAAAAAAAGGATGACCACACAAAAACCCCATCCGAAGGTCACCAATAGCAAAGACCAAAGGTAGAGAAATCCATGAAGATGAGGAAAAAACAGAGCAAAAAGGCTGAAAATTCCCAAAACCAGAATGCCTCTTCTCCTCCAAAGGATCACAACTCCTTGCCAGCAAGGGAACAAAACTGGAAGGAGAATGAGTTTGATGAATTGACAGAAGTAGCTTCAGAAGGTGCGTAATAACAAACTCCTCCAAGCTAAAGGACCACGTTCTAACCCAAGGCAAGGAAGCTAAGAACCTTGATAAAAGGTTACAGGAACTAACTAGAATAACCAGCTCAGAGAAGAACATAAATGACCTGATGGAACTGAAAAACACAGCAAGAGAACCTCGTGAAGCATACACAAGTATCAATAGCCGGAATCAGTCAAGCGGAAGAAAGGCTATCAGAGATTGAAGATCAACTTAAGGAAATAAAGGGTGAAGACAACATTAGAGAAAATAGAATGAAAAGGAATGAACAAAGCTATCAAGAAATTTGGAACTATGTGAAAAGACCAAACTTATGTTTGATTGGTATACCTGAAAGTGATGGGGAGAATGGAACCAAGGTGGAAAATACGCTTCAGGATATTATCCAGGAGAACTTCCCCAGCCCAGCAAGACAGGCCAACATTCAAATTCAAGAAATACAGAGAACACCACAAAGCTGCTCCTCAAGAGGAGCAATACCAAGCACATAACCATCAGATTCACCAAGGTTCAAATGAAGGAAAAAATGTTAAGGGCAGCCAGAGAGAAAGCCCAGGTTATCCACAAAGGAAAGCCCATCAGACTAACAGAGGATCTCTCTGCAGAAACCCTACAAGCCAGAAGACAGTAGGGGCCAATATTCAATGTTGTTAAAGAAAAGAATTTTCAACCCAGAATTTCATATCCAGCCAAACTAAGCAAAGGAGAAATAAAATCCCTTACAGACAAGCAAATGCTAAGAGATTTGGTCACCACCAGGCCTGCCTTACAAGAACTCCTGAAGAAAGTACTAAATATGGAAAGGAAAAACTGGTATTAGCCACTGCAAAAACATACCAAAATGTAAAGACCAACGACACTATGAAGAAACTGCATCAACTAATGGGCAAAATAACCAGATAGCATCATAATGACAGGATCAAACTCACACATGACAATATTAACCTTAAATGTAAATGGGCTAAATGCCCCAATTAAAAGACACAGATTGGCAAATTGGATAGAGTCAAGACCCATCAGTGTGCTGTATTCAGGAGACCCATCTTACATGCAAAGACATACATAGGCTCAAAATAAAGGGATGGAGGAAAATTTAACAAGCAAATGGAAAGCAAAAAAAGCAGGGGTTGCAATCCTAGTCTCTGATAAAACAGACTTTAAACCAACAAACATCAAAAAAGATAAAGAAGGGCATTACATAGTGGTAAAGGGATCAAGAAGAAGAGCTAACTATCCTAAATATATATACACCCAATACAGGAGCACCCAGATTCATAAAGCAAGTTCTTAGAAACGCACAAAGAGACTTAGACTCCCACACAATAATAGTGAGGGACTTTAACATCCCACTGTCAATATTAGACAGATCAACGAAACAGAAATTTAACAATGATATTCAGGACTTGAACTCAATTCTGGACCAAGTGGACCTAATAGACATTTTCAGAACTCTGCACCCCAAATCAAGAGAATATATGTTCTTCTCAGCACCACATAGCACTTATCCTAAAATTGACCATATAATTGGAAGTAAAACACTACTCAGCAAATGGAAAAGAATGGAAATTATAACAAACAGTCTCACAGACCACAGTGCAATCAAATTAGAACTCAGGATTAAGAAACTCACTCAAAACCGCACAACCACTTGGAAACTGAACAACCTAGGTAACAGAGGATCTCTCTGATTACTAGGTATATAACGAAATGAAGGCAGAAATAAAGCTCTTTGAAACCAATGAGAACAAAGACACAATGTACCAGAATCTCTGTGACACAGCTAAAGCAGTGTTCAGAGGAAAATTTATAGCAGTAAATGCCCACAGGAGAAAGTGGGAAAGATCTAAAATTGACACCCTAAAAACACAATTAAAAGAACTAGAGAAGCAAAAGCAAACAAATTCAAAAGCTAGCAGAAGAATAAATAAGATCAGAGCAAAACTGTAGGAGATAGAGACACAAAAAACCCTTAAAAAAAATCAATGAATCCAGCAGTTGGTTTTTGAAAAGATTAACAAAATAGATAGACCACTAGCCAGATTAATAAAGAATAAAAGAGAGAAGAATCAAATAGACATAATAAAAAATGATAAAGGGGATATCACCGCTGATCCCACAGAAATACGAACTACCATCAGAGAATACTACAAACACCTCTAAGCAAATAAACCAGAAAATTTAGAAGAAACAGATAAATCCCTGGACACATACACCCTCCCAAGACTAAACCAGGAAGAAGTCAAATCCCTGAATAGACCAATAACAAGTTCTGAAATTGAGGCATTAATTAATAGCCTACCAACCAAAAAAAAGCCCAGGACCAGATGGATTTATAGCTGAATTCTACCAGAGGTACAAAGAGGAGATGGTACCATTCCTTCTAAAACTATTCCAAACAATAGAAAATGAAGGACTCCTCCCTAACTCACTTTATAAGGCCAGTATCATCCTGATACCACAACCTACAGAGACACAACAAAGAAAGAAAATTTCAGGTCAATATCCCTGATGAACATCGATGCAAAAATCCTCAATAAAATACTGGCAAACCGAATCCAGTAGCACATTAAAAAGCTTATCGACCACGATCAAGTCAGCTTCACCCCTGGGATGCAAGGCTGGTTCAGCATATGCAAATCAACAAACGTAATCTATCACACAAACAGAACCAATGACAAAAACCACCTGATTATCTCAATAGATGCAGAAAAGGCCTTCGATAAAATTCAACACCCCTTCATACTAAAAACACTCAATAAACTATGTATTGATGGAATGTATCTCGAAAAATAAAAACTATTTACGACAAACCCACAGCCAATATCACACTGAATGGGCAAAAGCTGGAAGCATTCCCTTTGAAAACTGGCACAAGAAAAGGATGCCCTCTCTCACCACTCCTATTCAACATAGTATTGGAAGTTCAGGCCAGGGCAATCAGGCAAGAGAAAGAAACAAAAGGCATTCACATAGAAAGAGAGGAAGTCAAATTGTCTCTGTTTGCACATGATACGATTGTATATTTAGAAACCCCCATCATCTCAGCCCCAAAACTCCTTAAGCTGATAAGCAACTTCAGCAAAGTCTCAGGATACAAAATCAATGTGCAAAAGTTACAAGCATTCCTATACACCAATAACAGAGAGCCAAATCATGAGTAAACTCCCATTCACAATTGCTACAAAGTGAATAAAATACATAGGAATGCAACTTACAAGGGATGTGAAGGATCTCTTCAAGGAGAACTACAAACCACTGCTCAAACAAATAAGAGAGGACACAAACAAACAGAAAAACTTTCCATGCTCATGGATAGGAAGAATCAGTATTGTGAAAATGGCCATACTGCCCAAAGTAATTTATAGATTCGGTGCTATTGCCATCAAGCTACCATTGACTTTCTTCACAGAATTAGAAAAAACTACTTTAAATTTCATGTGTAACCAAAAAACAGCCTGTATAGCCAAGGCAATCCTAAGCAAAAAGAACAAAGCTGGAGGCATCACGCTTTCTGACTTCATACTATACTACAAGGCTGCAGTAACCAAAACAGCATGATACTGGTACCAAAACAGATATCTAGACCAATGGAACAGAACAGAGTCCTCAGAAATAATACCACACATCTAAAACCATTTGATCTTTGACAAACCTGACAAAAACAAGCAATGGGGAAAGGATTCCCTATTTAATAAATGGTGTTGGGAAAACTGGCTAGCCATATGCAGAAAACTGAAACTGGACCCCTTCCATACAACCTACACAAAAATTAACTCAAGATGGATTAAAGATTTAAATGTAAGACCTAAAACCATAAAAACTCTAGAAGAAAACCTAGGCAATACCATTCAGGACATAGGCATGAGCAAAGACTTCATGACTAAAACACCAAAAGCAATGGCAACAAAAGCCACAGTTGACAAATGGGATCTAATTATACTAAAGAGCCTCTGCACAGCAAAAGAAATTATCATCAGAGTGAACAGGCAATCTACAGAATGGGAGAAAATTTTTGCAATCTATCCATCTGACCAAGGTCTACTACCCAGAATCTACAAGGAACTTAACAAATTTATAAGAAAAAAAAAAAACCATCAAAAAGTGGGCAAAGTATATGAACAGACACTTCTCAAAAGAAGACATTTATGTGCCCAAGAAACATATTAAAAAAAGCTCATCATCACTGGTCATTAGAGAAATGCAAATCAAAACCACCATGAGATACCATCTCATGCCAGTTAGAATGGCGATCATTAAAAAGTCAGGAAACAACAGATGCTGGATCAGATGTGGAGAAATAGGAACGCTTTTACACTGTTGGTGGGAGCGTAAATCAGTTCAACTCTTGTGGAAGACAGTGTGGCAATGCCTCAAGGATCTAGAGCTAGCAATACCATTTGACCCACCAATCTCATTACTGGGTATATACCCAAAGGCTTATAAATCATTCTACTATAAAGACACATGCACACGTATGTTTATTGCAGCACTGTTCACAATAGCAAAGACTTGGAACCAACCCAAATGCCTATCAATGATAGACTGAGTAAAGAAAATGTGGCACATATATACCATGGAACACTATACAACCATAAAAAAAGATGAGTTCATGTCCTTTGCAGGGACACGGATGATGCTGAAAGCCATCACTCTCAGCAAACTAACACAAGAACAGAAAACCAAACACCGCATGTTCTCTCTCAATAGTGGGAGTTGAACAATGAGAACATATCGGCACAGGGAGGGGAATATCACACACTGGGGCCTGTCGCGGGGTACGGGGCGAGGGGAGGGATAGCATTAGGAGAAATACCTAATGTAGATGACGGTTTGATGGATGCAGCAAACTACCATGACACATGTATACCATGTAACAAACATGCACGTTTGGCATGTGTATCCCAGAACTTAAAATATAATAATAAAAAAAGGAGCATATAAAAAGAAAAGTAAAATGTTCATTACATTTACTTGTTATAGCCCCATCCCTAGCAAGTGGAGCATACCACTATTAGGAGAAAACTCCCAACTCACGGCTTCTACCTTGGGAAGGAAAGAGAAGAAAAAATTGTGAACCAAAAACTTTAGTTTTCAGGGGATGGACAAAGGAATAGTTTCTGTCTCGCCTGACTGAGAGCACTGACAGGAACCAGCATAGTTTGAATGTCTGGAGGCTACTGAGAATAATGGCCAGTGCAGGAACTTGTTGCAGCCTTAGAGAGACTATGTTACTACACAAAGACAACAAAAGGAGCACGAGATTTTATATTTCTTAAAAATAAATAGGAACAAAACCTTTTAGTTGGGAATTACATGCTCAAGCCCAGAAAAGATACATCCCCAGAAAAGATGACCCCAGCATATCCAGCTAGGCTGATTGGCAATGGTCTTCCCCTGTAAAAAGATAGTAAAGACTGGGAGAGGTGACTTTTTTCAAATGTCCAAATTTTAACAAATGATTTTAAACTATACACAGAAACAGAGAAACATGGTTCAATTAAAGGAACAAAATAAAACTACAGAAACAAAACCCAAAGAAATGGAGATCTACATGCTTCCTAAAAGAAAAATCTTAAATAACTGTCATAAAGATGTTCAGTGAGCAAAATGAGAACACACAAAACTAAACGAAATCAGAAAAGTGCTGCAAGAACAAAATGAAAATAACAAAAAGAAAGTATTTTAAAAAACAGAAATTCTAGAGCTTAAGATTACAGGTGAATTGAAAATTTTAATAGAGGGGTTCAACAGCAGATTTGATCAAGCAGAAAAAGGAAACAGCGAACTGGAAGACAGATCATTTGAAATAATTGAGGCAGAGGAGCAAATAGAAAAAAAAAATGAACAAAAGTGAAGAAAGCCTAAGGGATTTGTGGGATACAATTAAGCACACCAACATATGCATTATGAAAATTTCAGAAGGACAAGCAAGAGCTAAAAGGACAAAAAGGCCAGTAAAGAAATAATGGCCAAATACTTCCCAAATTTGGTGAATAAAATGAACCTTCACATTTAAGAAGCTTAATGAACTCAAACTAATTAAACCCAAAGAAGCTTATATTAAGACACATTGTAATCAAGCTGTCAAAATCACAAAAAAACAAACCTTGAAAGCAGCAACAGAAAAGCAACTTGTCGTATTTCATGATAATCCCATATGATTATCAGCAGGTTTCTTAGCAGAAACATTACAGTCCAGAATAGAGTGAGATGATATATTCAAAATGCTGAAAGAAAAAAAAAGCCAACAAGAAATGCTATATCAGACAAAACTCCTTCAAAAATGACAGAGAAATTTAGACTTTCCCAGATAAACAGAAGCCTTGGGAGTTCATTACCACTGGACCTGCACTCCAAAAAAATGCTAATGAAAGCTCCTCAAGTTGAAAGAAAAGGATACTAGATAGCCACATAAAAGCATATGAAAATACAAAGTGCTCTGGTACATGTGTAAGATGGACAAACAGAATCCTGTAGTTTTGTAATGTTGATGCATAAATTACTTCTAATTCTGGTATAGTATTTAAAAGAGAAATTAAAACTACAAATTTATTTCAATGGATACACAGAATAACAAGATATAATTTGCAAAATCAATAACATAAAATGTCTGGGGGACAGAGATGTAAACAAATAGAGTGTTTACATGCAATTCAAGTTAAGTCAATACTAGTTTAAAATAGATTGTTGTATGTTTAAGATTTTTTTAATGTAATCCCCATAATAACCACACAGAAAATACCTGTAAAAGATAAACAGAAGGAAATGAGAAAGAAGTCAATGCATGTCACTACAAAACAGTAAAAAATCAACAAAACATGAAAAAAGATAGCAGAAGAGGAAAAAAATAGCCAAAATACAAACAATACACACATAATTCAATTAACAAATGACCATAATAAATTCTTCCCTATCAGTAATTACTTTAAATATAAATGAAGAAATGCCTCCATGAAAAGACATAGATTAGCTAAAGGATTTAAAAACAAGATTCATCTATATGTTGTATGCAAGACAACTTAAATCTAAGGACACACCTAGGCTGAAAGTAAAAAGAAAAAGGTATCTCATGCAAATCTTAACCAAAAGGTAGCAGGAGTGGACACACTTGTATCAGACACAATAGGCTTTAAGTCAAAAACTGTAAAAAGAGAAAAAAATGACATATATAATGATATATATAATAATAATATATAATATATAATAATATGTCATTACATATATAATGATATATATAATAATATATAATATATAATAATATATCATTATATATATATAATGATAAAAGGGTCAGCTCATTAGGAAGATATAACAATTATAAACATATATGCCCCTAACATCAGAATTCCCAAACATATGAAGCAAACCTTGACAGAACTGAAGAGAGAAATGGACAGTAATACAATAATAACAGGAGACTTCAACAGACACTTTCAATAGTGGATAGAACAACAAGCAGAAGCTTAGTTGGGACACACAGAACTTGAACAACACTATAGGCCAGTTGGAGCTTACAGACATATACCAAACATTCCATCCAACAACAGCAGAATACATTCTTCTCAGAGACATGTGAAACTGTTCTAGAAATACCATGTTACGCCAGAGTAGAAGACTTAACAAACTTAAGAAGACTGAAATTACACCAAGTATTCTTTCTTACCACAATGGAATGGAAATAGAAATCATAGCAGAAGGAAATCTAGAAAATTTACAAATATGTAGGACTTAACACACTTTTGAACAACCAATGAGTCAAAGAAGAAATCACAAGAAAAATTAGAAAGTATCCTGAGGCAAATGAAAACAAAAATAAAACATATCAAAACTTGTAAGACGTAGCAAAAACAGTAGTAAGAGAAAGGTTTATAGCAACAAATATTTATATTAAGAAAAGAAGAAATATATCAAATAAACAACCTAACTTTACAGCTCAAGAAAATAGAAAAAGAAAAAAATGAATCCCAAAGTGAGCAGAAGGAAGGAAATAAAAATGACTTGAGCAGAAACAATTGAAATTAAGAATTTCAAAAAATAAAAATAAAAAGTCAATGAAACTAAGAATTGGTTTCTTGAGAAGATGAACAAAGTTGAAGAATCTTTACCTAGATTAACTAAGAAGAAAGAATACTCAAATAACTATAATCAGAAATAAAAAAAGGAGACATTACAACTGGTACCAAAGAAATAAAGAGGATTATAAGATATTGCTATGAACAATTATATGCCAACAAATTAGAAACACATAATCTACCAAGACTGAATCATGAAGAAATAGAAAATCGGAATCAACCAATTATCAGTAGGAGATTGAGTCAGTAATCAAAAACCTCCCACAAATGACAAAAAAGCCCAGGCCAGATGATTTCACTGAGGAATTCTTCCACACACTTAAGGAAGAATTAAACATAATCTTTCTCAAGCTCTTCAAACAAAAATTGAGCAGGAAGGAACACTTACAAGCTCATTTTGTAAAATCAGCATCATCCTGTTACTAAAGCCACAAACAATACTACAAGAAAAGAAAACTGCACACCAATATTTCTGATGAATATTGATGTGAAAATCCTCAACAAAATACCAGCAAACCAAATTACAAATTAAAATGATTGTATATTATGACCAAGTAGGATTATATATCATGACCAAGTAGGATTTATTCCTGGAATGCAAAGATAGTTTGACAGATGAAAATCAACAGAATGAAAGGAAAACAAAATCACGAGATTATCACAATTTATATAGAAAAAATGCATTTGACAAAATTCAATAATCTTTTATTATAAAATACCCAACAAACTAGGAGTAGAAGGAAATCACCTCAATATAATGAAGGCCATATATTAAAACCCTACAGCTAACATCATACTCAATAGTAAAAAACTGAAAGCTTTTTCTCTAAGATCAGAAACAACGTAATGATGCCCATTGTCATCATTTCTATTTATCGTAACACTGGAAGTCCTACTCACAAGCAATTAGGTAAGAAAACAAAATAAAAATCATCCAAAAATTGGAAAGAAGGGAATAAAATGATGTGTTCTCCAATGACATAACTTCTTATAAAAAACCTGAAAGATTCTACAAAAAGACTGTTAGAATTAATAATTAAATTCAATAAAGTTGCAGGCTACAAAATTGACATGCAAAATTCAGCTGCTTTTTAATGCATTAACAATGAACAATCTGAAAGGAAAATTAAGAAAGCAACCCATTTACAACAGCATCAAAAATAATAAAATACTTAGGAAATAACCTTAACCAGGGAGACAAAAGATTGTACATTGAAAACTACAAAATATCCCTGAAATAAATTAAAGAAGACACAAATAAATAGAAAGACATCTGTGCTTATGAAGTGGAATAATTAATATTGTTAAACTACTTATTCAACTCAAAGTGATTTACAGATCCAATGCAATGCCTATCAAAATTGCAATGTGTTTTTTGCAGAAAAAAATAAGAAATACTAAAATTCGTATGGAATCTAAAGGAACCCTAAATAGACAAAACAATCTTCCAAAGAATAAAATTGGAGGCTTCACACTCTCTAATTTCAAAACTTATTATGAAGCTGCAGTAATTGAAGTAGCATGGTCCTGGCATAAAGGCAGACATACAGACCAATGAAACAAAATAGAGAGTCCAGAAATAAACTCCCATGCATACGGTTAAATGAACTTTGAAAGACTACAAAGATGATACAATGGGCGAAGGACAGTCTCTTTAACAAATGATGCTGAAAAAACTGAGTATCTGCATGCAAAAGAATAAAGTTGGACCCTTATCTTGCACTATACATAAAAATTAACTCAAGATGAATTAAAAGCCTAAACAAAGACCTAAAACTATAAAAGTCTTATAAAAACTCCAAGGGAAAAACTTCATGACATTGGATTTGGAATGATTTTGTTTGAATATGACACCAAAATCACAGGGAATAAAAGCAAATTCAGACAAATGGGACTACATTAAATTTAAAAACATTTGTGCATCAGAGGCAACAATCAATGGAATAAAAAGGCAGCCTATGGAGTGGGAGAAAATGTTTCTGAACATGCATCTCATAAGAAGTTAATATCTAGAATACATAAAAACTTCCACAACTCAACAACAACAACAACAAAAACGTGATTTTAAAATGGGCAAAGAACCTGAATGCACATGTCTTCAAAGAAGATATACAAATGCCCAATGAACATATGAAAAGATGCTCAACATCACTAATCATTAAAAAAATGGAAATCAAAACTATGTGAAATATCACTTCATACACATAAGGATGGCACTATCAAATAAACAAAAACAAAGGAAAAGAACAACTATTTTGTAAACACACAAAAAAACTTTGGTAATAATATGGAAAAAATGGATAATTTGTGAACTGTTGGTGGGAATAGTATACCCACAATAAGAAACAATATAGCAGATTCTCAAAAATTTAAAAACAAGTTACCATATGAAACAGCAATCCCACTTCTAGGTATATAACCAAAAGAATTGAAAGTAGGATCCTGAAGAGGTATTTACAGCACTATTCACAATAGCTAAGACGTAAAAACAACCCAGATGTCCATGAATGAATGGATAAAGAAGAAGTTTTATATACCTAACGTGGTATATAAAAAAGAAGTTAATATTGCCACATTATACAACATGGATAAACCTTGAGGACACTATGCAAAATGAAATAAACCAGTCATAAAATTCAAAAACTATATGATTGACTTAAATGAGATATCTAAAGTAGTTAATTTTATAAAGACAGAAAGTAGAATGGCAGTTGTCAGGGTCAGGAGAGAGAGGAAGTAGTTGTTTAATGGGTACAGATTTTCAGTTTTGCAGATTTATTCCACAATAATGTAACAAAGTTAGCACTACTGTACTGTACATAGCTAAAACAGTAAATTTTATTTTATGTGTTTTTAACCACAATTTAGTAAATAACTAAATAAATCTCTACCAAACTCAATGTTTTTATCAAGATTTATCTAGTTTTCTCGAATAAACTCTCTGTAGATTGTCTTAAGCCTTTGATTAATTTCAAAAGCTACAAAAATGTTGATTTTGACAATTTTGCCATGTTCTTTTTGCTTTTATAAAGAAGTAAATGTTTGGAGGTGTTTACCTCACCATTCTAGATGTCTGACCTCCCCAACTTGAATCTTAAAAGATCACACCCTTTGGTAATTTGGCTCAAAAATCCCATTCATAGCTTAATTCCACAAGTAGCTAAGTAATGCCCTATATATCCTGTTTTTGATGGTATTCCTTAAATTAAAACTACAGTATACTGTTCTAAGCACTGACACGTGTAGCACAGTTGAATAGATAGAACAGGGAAGATCTATTTGAGTTTGCACAAGTCAGTCTCGGATTCCTCAATGGTAAAATGATTATTGTGATATTTGCTTCTTTCCAATAGCAGACCCACAATTTCTATTTAGAGGGGCAGTAGAGAAGTTACTGGTTGGATCTGGAGAACTATGGAATCTGCCTTGAAATCATGTTTTCATAGGTAAGACAATGCTATTTATTTAGATTGCATGTCTATTTGTGGTGACTTGGGGAGGAGCTTTGACTAGAGACTTTATTTGCTTTGCAAATGCACGGTTTTATTGAGAATGCCAGTTTATTGACAGTCTTTGTATGAGGGCCATTGAGGATCCCTAACCCTTAAGCACAGCAGCTGCTTCCCCTTTCCTTACCTTATTACTCTAAGGAAGAAGGAGGGAGCATATGCTATTTTAAAATTATTAAACTACACAAAATGAAGTGTAGCTGGAGACTATAATTATGTAATTACTTTAGCGGCTCCCACTAAGTGTGACATCTCAGACTAAACATTCTCTGTTACAAAGGGCAGGGGCTAACTGAAGACCATGTTGTGCTTTTTATGTAGATTGCTTCTGAGAAAAACCAATTTTCCCACGACCCACCTCTTATGTGTTAACTTACCTTTACAAGTCAGTAGACAGATGTCTTAGCACATAGTTTCCTAAATATCATATTGATTGATGTTACTATGTTAATTAGCTGAGCAGTCTGCCTTACAAAGGACCTACATGAGTAATCATGGTCAATCAGTTAAAAAAATTAACTTTTCCTTTTGCCTATTATGCAGCAAATGAAAGAGTGGGTCACTTGTCATACATGAAAAAACATTAAGCAAGATAAGGGAGTGATAACTAACGCTGAAGTTAGATACAAAGGCTTTTTTTATGCCTTTTTCCATTATTCCAAAAGATTCCGATGATCCACCAAGGAATCAGTATGGCTTTATGATTAATCCTAAGATAATAATGTGACTATATTCCACCACTTAGCTGAGAAAAGTGCCCACAGTGCCTAAGCCAGGTAAAAGGTTTTGACGACTGGGGAAGTGGTTGAATTGTTCCTTTAATCTAGATTCAATGCAACAGATCTCTCAAGTTCAATATTATGGGGGTGTGGAAAAGTTATTTTGGGGGGTTAATAATTCAATATTGCCTTATTCTGTGGTTTCAAATTTCCATTAGCAAATGATTTCCTTTAATAAATCTTTTATGATTAGAACTAGCTACTCTGATGTCTTCATAATTGTCGACCTCACCATTGTTTATTTATATAAGACTCTTTTGCCCTTGTTTCTTGTTGAACACAAGTCAGTTATTTGCTGTGCCTCAGTGTCTGTGTTCTCAATAATATGGTGAAGTCCGTGATAAGAAAGGCCAGATCTGCTGTGTATCCACTTTTAGGATTTAGAACAGTGTTGTGCTTTTACTGAGTGTCTAGAGCAAGTCAATGACCCAATCACATTGAGATCTTACTGTGTTTTGTTATTTAAAACACATTTTCACCTCCACTATTTTGTTTGATTAGATTCTAAGAAATGCCAATACTGTAGAATCCCTTGGCTAGTTGTAATAAATTACTAAGGTTGTTGGCATCAGTTATCTGGCCTTATAAGAGATTCCCAGGTTTATTTTAGGGAATGACTCCCTTTTTATTCTTCACCCTTGTGATTTAAGTGTGAGAAGATGACATCCCAGTTTCCAGAGAAGATACTTGATTCAGGTTTGTCCAATCAATGCATTCTATACCCCAGCCACAGTATTAATTTTCATGGATGGTATATAACAACAGTAAATTTTATATGCTTGGCACATGCATTAAACTTATTTAATACTTCCAACAAGCCTACAAAGTAGGAATTACTATTATCTTTAATATGCAGATAAGGAAACTGAGACACAGAGTATAAATTTCCTGGAAGAGATCAAATAGCTAGTGAATGGTAGAGTCAGAATGCAGACCCAGGCAGTCCACACCAGTCTATGCTCTCACCAGGGTACTTAGAGTCTAGTTCCTTGCTAGAATCAACAGAAAGGAAGTGCTGCAAGGATAAGTTGAGGCAGGAGCTGCTTGACACCATCAAGTAGAAAGGCCTGCCTGAGAAAATGTCATCATAGAGGAAAGCATATAGAAGAACAGGCTGAGTTCTGATGACATTGATTGAGGCCTTGGATTTAGTGGTTTCTGAAGCTTTTAACCTGGGACTTGGCAGTTTTGTTAGCTAATATATTTTTCTTTTCTTCTTAACTTGCAAATAGCAAGTCTAAAGAAAACAAAGTTGAAAGCAAACTTTAAATTAAATTTGCACAAGCAGTTATCATCACTGCCCTCAGAAGAACCATTATTAAACTGGTAAGTGTTGAAAGGATTAGTGATATGCACTTTAATTCCATAAATATTTATTTAGGTGAGGGGACTGAGACCTGGGAGATTCATGCTCTTTATATTATGCATTAGGTAGAACAAAACTAATCTTGTTAAGAATTGGTGGGGACGGGGGATAGTGAGTATCTTGGCAATCACTAACAAAATGGCCACCATCCTTAGAAAGGAAAAACTAAAAAATAAATAAATAAAATAAAAACAAAAAAACAAAAAAAACCACTTTGTTTCCCCCTGCTACTCCTAATGATGAGTAAACCTCAAAAAGAGGGCATTGAATTGTCAGAAAGATTTCAGAGTCGAAAGAAACACTGTAAGTTTCAAGTATAATACGAGATTCTGTATTCCAGTCCTTGATGTAACAGCTAGATTCCTGTCTACAAAGATCCTATCCTGTAGAAATACGAGCTCCTTCAGCTTCAGCCTAGATGATCTTCTCTGTCCACCCTCTGAGAGGGCAAATGAGTGACGCCAACCCCTAATAGAAGTGGTCAGAAACAACCTTAATATTATCAGGTAATTCATCCTGCCATGCTGCCCAGCAATGCCCCTCGGGGCCTGCTACTTGAAAGTGCCCCTCTTGTAGTCAGCTTGTCTGATATGCTTGTGCTGCCAAAGAGGGTGCCCCGAAAGGCACTTAAGGGAATTGAAGGGTATATGGTTACAGAATCAGTTTCATATATGAAGAATTTGTATCTGCTATTATGTCAGTGTTTGAAGAGTGAAAAAAGCACTCAATATACTTGCATTTATGAAAACTAGAGATAGGCTGCCTCCCCACTCTCCAACCCAATCTTAAGCAATTTATGCAGTATTAATGTCTACAACCTGCTTTCTGACTTCTTTTATCACTTTCCTTTTTTTTTTTTTCCTTTCTGATTGGACAATTACATCTAGACTAGTTATAACCGCCAGTGCAGCACCAGGTCCTCTAATTTATGTGTTAATGTGGTGTTCTGGAAGCTTGATGTTAAAATGATGAATATCACCTGGGAAGAAGATTGGATGAGAACAAAAGAACCGGCAAGTTGCCTTGTGGAAATAGCTTTCGACTTTATCAAACCATGGGGTAACATGTCAGATTATATTACGTACAATTAATTATTAATGCAGTCTGGGCCTTATTTTGAAAAGCGCAAACATGCACTTCCAATAATTTCCTTCCCATGGAAAATCTGTTGTGTCCCTCAAATTGAGCAGCAAAATGTCCCTCACAAAATACCTTAAAGCTTCCATTTCTCCAGATTTAGCATGCATCTGAGACAAGAAAGCTTTCACAAGCCTCCTTGCCACGGACAAAACAGAGATGTGTTTTTGCTTAATTAAAATTCTTTTTTGGCAACAGATGTCCTTGCAAAAATAGCTCAGAGTGCGGTGAAGCATTTTTATGGGCTGGAGTTCAGCAATGAGGAGCCCGTCATCTGCCTTCTCTGCTCTGAGAGCAACACAAGAGACCAGGTGGCTGGTCACAGTTTGAAAAGTGAACAAATGTATTTATTCATTCTGAGCAATTTGCAACCCACTGGGAGAGCAGGAGCCCTGTCCCAGCCCCTAGCTTTTGAGAGCTAGGACTGTGAGGGAAGGGGGCTGTTTAATTGCTTTGCACAGTTTCTCTCACTAAAGCAATTAGCACCCAGAGCAAAGTCCAGGAGAAGAACACAGCCAGGCCTCACACACATATGGTGGCCTGAAATCGGCCTGCCTACTGTCCCAGGCACACAGATGATTCAATCAGTGATTCAGGCGGAGACCACGATGCTCTGCTTCCTGGGTTTGCTGCCACTGAAATGTTATCTTCCTATTCTTGAGCTTCTAATCCATTGAAGAACTAGCATACAGAGGGTGGGAGCTCATCAACTTCACACCTCGCTAACGCTACTGGAACAACAACAACAACAAAACCTTAATAGGCTCGAGAACTGAAAGAAGAGAAGTTTTCTTCTGATCTGTACTCAAGACTAAAGTGACTGCCCAATGGACGGAGAAATCAGATAAACCAACAGAGGTCACCTGGCTAAGTATCTGAATACAATTAGAACCTGGATCTTAAAATAAATCAGGCAAAAGAACACACACTTTAAAAAATAAAAAAAAATACTTGCTAAGGCTTGTGTGGGTGGGACACATGGCTGTCATATATGACAAGATTCAGTGAAAATTACGTGAATCAACTGTGCGTTGTTGTCATTGTTGTTGTTTTTAATCTAACTACAAGGCTAGATTACAGCAAAGGCATTCTGTTTATTCTTAGTATATTCTGTCAATGACTGAACCAGATAATGCAATACAGCATAGTTCATTAATTAAGATAATCACACATATTCCATGTTAGTAAATTTTCCTGATAACTGAAGCCTTTCTCTTAAAGATTTAAGGTTTTCTAAAATATTTAACCACTTTCCTTGGAAATAATTTTAAAATATACACGTCTCTTTATTGTTAATCAAGGTTCAGAGAACACTCAAGGTTCACAGAGGGATACATTAACAAATTATTCTCTTCTTCCTTTTGTGCAAATTGTGTGCAATAATGTTCCCTTTGTGGTTAAGCTACTTTTTTATATTGAAAGAATATAATTTTATAAGTCTTACTTCTTTGCATGCGGACGGGACATCTGAGTGATTCATTCTAAAAATCTGAGGAGGTAGACAGGGTTACTGAACAGAATTATCCATATATTCGTTTAACAACAATTTAGTGATCACCTACCCTGTCAAATACTCTTCCAGGAGCTAGGATTCAACAGTGAACAAAACAAAGTTCTAGGCACCTGGAATTTGCATTTGAATAGGATAGATAGCCAACCTAGCATTAAATTCATATGCAATACCATTTCAGATAGAGCTGAGTGCTACAAAGAAAAACAAAGAAGAAAAGGGGAGGTGGTCAAAGAAAGCTTGTGACAGTTGAAAGTGATCTGAATGAAAAGAGGGAGGAGAAATTCATATAAATATGAGAGGATAACTCCAGGCAGGAGTTTTGGTTGGGAAACAATTCTCTGTGATGTTTCTACATGTGAGAACTTTGTTGGGAAGGACCTTTTTAAAGATGTTTGTATACTAAACAGCTTTGAAAGCTAAAATAGTATCTCTCTCTGGGTTAAAGGGCAGATTTGTTTCTTGACCAAGGTAATAAATGATCATTTCTTTCTGAGGGTCAAAGGTCAGGCAGGATTGTTGTCAGCGACTTTAAAAGATTAGAGTTTTCTAAACTCAAAGCTCAAAAGCTGGAACACCAGAAAGGTGTGTACAGCATCTACTTAGGCTGCCTTTGCAACAACTTCATGGAACTTGGGAGACAGAGGAACCAATGCAAAAAAGAAAGTCATGCTGCCTGCTGTGCCAGAAATAATAAACCATCTAGATCTATTTCAACTCATGGGAAAAAAGGAATTTCAAAAAGGAGGGAATGATTGACTGGTTCAAAGCCTGAGTATGAGGACTGAGAATTGGCTGTTTGATTTATCAATATCGAGGGTCATGCCAAATAAGAACTGTTCCTGAGGGCAAAATTACAGAGAAGATAAAAAGAGATAAGAGAGATACTGAGTATAGCAAATTCCTTCAAGAATTTTCCTGTAAACCAGAGCAGAGGAAATGGGTACTCACTGGAAAGGTATATGGGAATCAAGAGAGGGGTTTTGTATTGTTGTTTTGTTTTAATATAAGAGACAGTATAATATGTTTGCATGTTGGGAAATAATGTAGTGGGGGAGGAATTTAATGATGAAGGAGACAAATGGCATCCCTGGAGGAGCAAAGTTCTCAAGTAGCTAAAAAGGAATGAGCTTCATCATGACACCTGCAGTGCTAACCTTGCATTGGGGCGCAGGCAATTGATTCACTATAACAGAAGAGGAGGCTGAATCTATAGCACAGGTGCAAATAATGCGCAAAATTTGGTAATGAGTGGATAGAGAAGTTTTCTTCCGATTGCTTCTATTTTCTCAGTGACTGAAGTGAGAATCAAGTCATCGGTCCAGAATGAAGAGAGTGGAAGGGCTATTGGAAGTTGAGGAGAGAGATGATGGGGTGAAATAGTCACCTAGGAAAGTGAAAGAAGGCATTGATTGGAAAAAAAAGTAATATTGCAAGATGGCACCAGAAAGTGTCTACATTTCTGCACCAGTGGTCTTTAAGATATTAAGTGATGTTAAAAAGTCACTCTATGGGCGGGAAGCCGGGGGTGGGCGGGGGATGCTTCCATGGCCAATTAAGTTGGAACATACTTGGCATCAAAAACTGATCACGTATCTTTACTAAAGAAGATTTCAGAGGCCTTAATATGTTATGCAAATGCTGACTTTCCCAAAAGGGTGATAGTATTCAAGGTTTCCTAAATGTATTTTACTGTGGAATATTAGTAGGGTTTTACAAAACATGTCTTAGAAAATGCTGGGTTAAATCATTGATGTCCAGCTATATTTGTCTAGGTTAAATAGACCACTATTCCTTTGGAGTAGAACTAGAAACATCAGGCATGGTTCATCAGAGAACTGGGTTCTAAAAGTAGTAATTGACACATTTAATGAAACACTCTAGTCATTGTGAGACACAGCATGACCTGGAGACCCCATGACTTCCAAGGGAGATCACTAGTTGAGTTTCCAAAAATGTGACCATAGGGTAGTCAGAAGTCCAGAGGAGGAATCTTTAGACCAGAGAGAAAACAGTCTTTTTACCCTGAGCGTTCACTGAGGGTTGGAAGGGATGTCTAAGAAATGATTATGGAATAGCTTTGAACCCTCAGGCACAAGCCTTCAGCACACAGGCAGGTAGAAAGTGATTTCTGCACTTCAAGAGCCTTGAGGGAACAACCACAAGGGCTCAAGCTCAGGAGCAAGGTAAGTAAATGGGTTTTTATTAGGGATAGAGTATTTCACTGGGCTTAGTAGCAGTTCTATTCTGATTCTACTTTGAGTTAAAGTCTAGGTAGCTTATGCTAGCACATCTAAAATAAAATTCTAGCTATGTTATTAAAAGTTTTCAGTACTATGTAGGAAGGGCATTCTGAAAAGGCTGGCTAGAATTAAAATAAAATTTTAATTTGTTCAAGTAGTATAACTTCTATTTTGGCTATTTTTGTCATTATCCCTCTTAAGCTTTGTCTTAGGAATTAGAAATGAGTGTACGTGTGCATGTACACACACACACACGCGCACACACACACCACGTCTAAAAAATGAGAATACCTGCATTCAGAGGAACAGCAGGACAAGCTCAGTCAAAAGACTATTACTCCTCACCCAGGCTTGAAGTGAGTGAAAGTAGCTGAAAGAAAAGGGGTTAGGGGCCACTGCCATAGAAAAGAAAGGAAAGATTCATATGGAAAGAAAGAAAGAAACATAATGAGACATGCTCTTATCTAACCCTGAAATGTTGGTGCTCAACAAGAGGTGCCAAAGATTTCTGCAAATGAAAATGTAAGTTGATATTTATTCCTTCTGCAAAATACTTCTTGGACTCAGCACTGCAGAGGTGGCTTTTTCAAAGCCTCTTCCATTTTTCTGATGACACATGACCTTTGCTGTGTCTTTTGTAACGCTCTTAACACAAGGGTTGCAAATGCAAATGACTTCAAAGACTAGGCATGTAATGTCCATAAGGAAAGCTGGGCCTCCTATTGGAGCGGTGAGGGCCATGAAACTGGAAAGGCATTACATTCAAATCATTTAAGAGCATTGTAACTGGGCCTGCAAGCCGACAGTTTAAGACTCTGCTTGAAAGCATGCCCACCTCCTTTTGGAAAGTGGGATGCGCAGGCTGCTAAGGAGTCATCTTCGTCACCACACCTGTCCAACGTGCTGCTTCCAATTTGCTGCCTTATGTTATACATGATTGTCTAGAAGAAAAACCATCATCTTCCTTTGCAAAGAAAGTACAGAGGTTTTATGAAGATTTTTTAACATTTATTTCTAAGTTTACAATTGTATTCTAAATGCTTGCATTGCCAAATATCTTATTTCCAAATAAAAGATGGAAGATGTGTGAGTGCAAATAATAGTATATTTCAAATCATTCATGAATGTATGATTATTATATATGATAGTTCTTATATGATATACGCAAATGTAATATGACATTATATACACATGTATATGCATTTCATATTCATTTAACATATATAATATTGTATAATACATGATCATGTAGGTATACATATATACATATACATGGCTGACTGGCATTAGAGAAAGTCGTATGTATTATTTTAGGAAAGCAAGAATAAAGTGAGATAGAAGAAAAGAAAGCAAAGGAAAGTAAAGAAAAATTATTTTGAGAAAAACAGTGCATTCCTTTAATAGTAATTTCTAGTACTGTACATTCACATAATTGTCATCACTGTTTCACTCACTTTATATAACCTATAAAAGAAAAGCTAATCTGTAAACATAAGTCACACACTAGAGGACCATAAGCCAAATCCAGTTTATAAGATTTGGTTCACATTTCTTAAAAGTAGTTGGATTTAGCAAACTCCATTTTGAATTGGGACATTTCACACAGACATTCATGTTTTCCCTCCTCTCTTTTGACAGAACATGGGCTCTACAGCTCACTTCAGTCATCATCACAGCTGCCACACCCATTTACATTATGTACCGGATCCTGTTTGGCATTTGATTTTATGGACCCTCTATTTACATCTAGTACAGTACACAGGGATCTATCTGTTTTCAACAACACATATCTGGTGGATGAAGTCCAGAGAGTAGTGCAGGGGTGGAGAAGCCTTTTTAAAATAAGGCATGAAAAATTTAAACCAACAAATATAAACCTATAAAATATTCAGGGCATTAGAAGATCCTGTCTCCTGTCTGGAGGCCAAGGGATCATTTTTAAATGAGAAAGGCATCCTTGAAGAATGCATGCTGGTCTAGATCTAGGCCATGTGGCCAAACAAGGGGCTTCCAAGGAATTCTATCTCAAGCTTAAAAGTGTTGAGAGTTGAATGAAGTTTAACCACCTTCTGTAGTCAGATTCCAGGTTCTTTTCTACAAGTGCTATGTGGTTTCTTACAATGCCAAAGAATCCCTGGCCACAAAATAGTCTAGAAATGTGTCACTGAGCCCTGGTAGGGGATTAAGTTTCCTTGAAAATTGGGTCATAACTTTTAGTTTCAGATTCTTCTGTGCAGTTGGAACATCAGAATACTATATTGTAGGGGAGAAGGTAGAAAGACTGGAACATAACATTTAATTTTTTTCCCAATACTATCTTATGAAATTGAAAAATCTACCCTGGAACATGTCCAAGTCAAAGGTGCATTAGAAATTGACCCCCCAAAAAATACTTTCTATAAGAGCTTTGAAAAAATAACTTAATTTATTCCCATTTCCAATGATTTTACATTTAAATTATTTAGGAATGTCAAGGCTACGAGAGATTTAACACACAATTAAGTTTCAGGGTGAAGGTGGGAGTAAATAGAAAGAGAAGAGACTATCCAGAAGAAATAATTTTCTAAATTAAAAAATGTTGAAAGACAGGGACGAGGACATGGTTCCTGAATAGGAGAAGATAGAACTGATAAAAGTAATAAATTTTGTGAAAATATTATAAAAGGATTCATTTAACAGGGAAGCATTTACTAGTATGGTAGCCCAACATATAACTAAAATAAAAATTCTGCTTTATGGTATGTTTTGAAAGGCATAAAAAAGCCCTGAACACTAAATTAACTTTCACAAGAACTGCAGTAATGAAAAATGCTGTGAATACTGTCACGCTGATTGGTTAAAGTAAAGTATGCAGAAGGCTTCTTTCAAAAGAAGTTGGGGGATAAAACCTTAACTAATGTGTACTCATTTTAATTTGTCTGAAACTCTGTGACCTTGGATATGTTATATAATCTCTCTGGGTCTGTTTCTCGTTTCTAAAGTGTATTGGTCTGTTTTCATGCTGCAGATAAAGGCATACCCAAGACTGGGCAGTTTACAAAAGAAAGAGATTTAATTGGACTTACAGTTCCACATGACAGGAGAAGCCTCACAATCATGGTGGAAGGCAAGGAAGAGCAAGTCATGTCTTACATGGATGGCAGCAGGCAGAGAGAGAGAGCTTGTGCAGGGGAACTCTGCTTAAAACCATCAGATTTCCTGAGACTTATTCACTATCACAAGAACAGCATGGGAAAAACTTGCTCCCATGAGTCAATTACCTCCCACTGGGTACCTCTGACAACAAATGGGAATTCAAGATGAGATACGGGTGAGGACACCGCCAACCATATCATTCCACCACTGGCCCTCCCAAATCTCACATCCTCACATTTAAAAACCAATCATCCCTTCCCATCAGTCCCCCAAAGTCTTAACTCAGTTCAGCATTAACTCAAAAGTCCACAATCCAAAGTCTCACCTGAGACAAAGCAAGTCCCTTTCACTTATGAGCCTAAAAATCAAAAGCAGTTTAGTTACTTCCTAGATACAGTGGGAGGGGGGTGGAGTACAGGCATTGGGTAAATACAGCCATTCCAAATGGGAGAAATTGGCCCAAACAAAGAGGCTACAGTCCCCATACAAGTCTGAAATCCAGTGGTGGCAGTCAAGTCTTAGAGCTCCAAAACGTTCTCCTTTGACTCTGTGTCTCACACCAGGTCACACTGATGTAAGAGGTGGGTTCCAATGGTCTTGAGCAGCTCCACGTCTGTGGCTTTGCAGAGTACGGCCTTCCTCCCAGCTATTTTCGTGGGCTGGTGTTGAGTGTCTGCAGCTTTTCCAGTGCAAGCTGTCAGTGGATCTACCATTCTGGGGTCTGGAGGACGGTGGACCTCTTCTCACAGCTCCACCAAGCAGTGCCCCAGTAGGGATTCTGTTTGTGGACTCTGACCTGACATTTTCCTTCTGCACTGCCCTATCAGAGGATCTCCATGAGAAGCCCTCCCTGCAGCAAACATCTGCCCAGACATCCAGGTATTTCCATACATCCTCTGAAATCTAGATGGAGGTTCCCAAATCTCAATTCTTGACTTCTGTGCACCCATAGGCACAACACCACATGGAAGCTGCCAAGGCTTGGGACTTCCACTCTCTGAAGCAATAGCCTAAGCTGTACCTTGGCCCATTTTAGCCATGGCTGGAGTGGCTGGGACACAGAGCACCAAGTCTGTAGGTTACACACAGCACAAGGACCCTGGGCCCAACCCATGAAACCATTTTTTTTCCCAGGCTTCTGGGCTTGTGATGGGAAGGGCTGCTGTGAAGACCTTTGATATGTCCTGGAGACATTTTCCCCGTTGTCTTGGGGATTAACATTTGGCTCCTTGTTACTTATGCAAATTTCTGCAGCCAGCCTAAATTTCTCCTCAGAAAATGGGATTTTCTTTTCTATCACATTTTCAGGCTGCAAATTTTCCAAACTTTTATGCTTTGCTTTTCTTATAAAACTGAATGCCTTTAACAGCACCCAAGTCACCTCTTGAATGCTTTGCTGCTCAGAAATTTCTTCCACCAGATACCCTAAATCATTTCTCTCAAGTTCAAAGTTCCACAAATCTCTAGGGCAGGGACAAAATGCCTCCAGTCTCTTTGCTAAAACATAACAAGAGTTACCTTTGCTCCAGTTCCCAAAAAGTTCCTCATCTCCACCTGAGACCACCTCAGCCTGGACCTTGTTGTTCATATCATTATCAGCATTTTTGTCAAACCCATTCAACAAGTCTCTAGGAAGTTCCAAACTTTCCCATAGTTTTCTATCTTCTTCTGAACCCTCCAAACTGTTGCAACCTCTGCCTGTTACCCAGTTCCAAAGTTTCTTCCATGTTTTTGGGTATCTTTTCAGCAACACCCACCTCTACTGGTACCAATTTACTGTATTAGTCCATTTTCATGCTGCTGAAAAAGACATACCTGAGACTGGGCAATTTACAAAAGAAAGATATTTATTGGACTTACAGTACCATGTGACTAGAGAAGCCTCACAATCATGGCAAAAGGCAAGGAAGAGCAAGTCATATCTTACATGGCAGCAGGCAAAAAGAGCTTGTGCAGGGAAACTCCTCTTTTTAAAACCATAAGATCTTATGAGACTTATTCACTATCATAAGAACAGCTCAAAAAGACTTGCCCCATGATTCAACTACCTCCCACCAGTACCTCCCACAACACGTGGGAATTCAAGATGAGATATGGGTGGGGACACAGCCTAACCATGTCATAAAATGAGATTAAACTAGGTGATTTGTAGATACTTACAGCTCTAAAATTACATATATTTATATATCTTTTCTGGAGGAAACAATGTACCAGCAGACATTAATACTCTGCCAGATTATTAGTTAGCAATTCCTAGAGGAGGGCAAGACCTTAAGATAAATGCAATATAAGACAAATTGCAGTTTCTTAGTAAGAGGCAAGCCTCAAGGAGGCTCAAGGACTTATTCCTTGAATAAACATTTATTGGGTACTTATTCAGATCCAGGCCCAAATATGAATTAGATCCAGTCCACGGTGTTCGAGGTACTTGCTATCACTGTGGAAGACAGGCATGTAAGCACAATCTAGTAGGTAAAAGAACAGGGTGCTCTGGGAACATGCTGAAGCAGCCTCTAGCCCAGATGGAGAAAGATACTGTTTTAGAGGACAGGGCCTAGGACACATGAACACAAAACTGAGTCATCAGGGATTAGTAGGAGTCAGCCAGAAGAGATGATGGGGATAGAGTCCTTCCAGGCAAGGTGAGCAAAATGTGCAAATCCTATATAAGAGAGAGCATGACCATTCTGGGAACTTCAAATTATTTAGCATAGTGGGAGCATTGGGCTAGATGGAGGAATGTAGAAAGATGATGAGCACAGGAGTAAGCAACGGTAGGAATGTGGCACCACAGTAGGGATGGACTAGCATTTAGGTGATGCTGGGTCGGCTTGGCCTTGGCTGCATGGGAGCACTGCACCTCAGATGGTTAGAACTTAGCAAAATGAGGGTTGGTTGATGGAAAGAGAAAAGACAGAAAATCTCACATGCATAGAGTGCTATGGCAAGAGCACTTGTTCATCCTTCATTTTACAAGCAAAAAGACGGAAGCCTAGAGATTTATTTAAAGCAATATTATGTTATGCTTATTTCCTGATTTTGTCTCATGTTAGCCAGGTATGTACTCAGCTGTCTAGCAGGCATTGTTATCAGGTGTCCTGTGGTATAAAACCATGTCAGCATCTCTTCCCCCAACTCCATCCTCTACTTCTTACCAACTGTACCTCCATGAAAGGTCCATGCTCTGTGATCTCATCACATGTTTAATGTAGCACTTATACTGTAATAGAATTATCCTCTTACTTGTCTGCCTCCCCTATCCTCCATGAAGCTGTGTACTATCAGGTCGGTGCAAAAGTAATTATGGTTTTTGCCATTACTTTCAATGGGGGAAACAGCAATTACAATTTTGCACCATTACTTTTACACCAACCAAATACTTGGTGATAGAGATTTTATTTCAACTTTAGATTTTCAGAACCTAGCACTGAGCCTACCACACTTTAGTGCTTAATAAATGTTAGCAGAATAAAGTAAGATATTAATATGAGCTTTCTGGGTGGGGTTTTAGGGCAGATCTATTCACAGTGGAATCCTCAGACCAACAGCATCCTCATCACCTGGGACTTTGTTAAGGATGTAAGTTCTCAGAGCTCACTCAGACCTAATGTATCAGAGTCTTTGTTGTTGGGGGCCTGATGTGTGCTTTAACAAGCCCTCCAGTTGATTTTTATGCATGGAAGTTGGAGAAGCACTGTGTAAGGGTACATGAGAGGAGAATAAGACAGAGAAAGGAAAAAATGCACAAACTCAATAAAGAGGTATTTTCACTGTAGTCTATTCTTATTTTTAAAACAGATAAAAGCTAAAACACAAGTGAGATTACTGGAATAAATCATTGGAAATATATTCATTTAGGTGATGTGAAAAGGAAATAGGTTGTAATCTTCACTCTTATAGTTTTATGCAAGTGTTATTGGTACCTTACACTTGCATATATGTTATCTATTTTAAACAACAATAATATTATATATATTTTTTCTTTACATTTTGCTTACATGGATATATAATTATACTGAAGAATATAGGGGTAAAGTGAAAAATCTTTTCTATATTTCTGTCCAAATCCCAATACCCACCCAGAGAAGTAACCATCATTAAGAGCTTGATGTATCCTTCTAGACTTTCTATGCATTTCCTTTCTTATGTGTCCATATACTTACACAAGAACTTTTAAAATAATAAAGAGGATTATGCTATATGTTAGTTTTGTGATTTTCTTTTGGTCCTTTCTCTCTCTCACACACTCTCTCTCCAGGCAGATACGTGTGTGTTTGTATCTGAATAAATATATATATTATTTGATATGTTTTCATGTCAGTACACATAGATCTACTCTGTTGTTCTTAAAGTTTCACTATATTTTCTTTTGACTTATAAACCGTTATTAACTTAAACAGTTATGATTGATGACTGCTTAGGATGTTTCTCTGCTCTAGTAAAGAATGCTGTAATGAACATATGTGTGTGTATATATTTGAAGGTATGTGTTGAATATTTCTGAATGATAGATCTGAGGAAATTGCTGGATCAAAGAGTTTACGTATATTTAATACTATGTTATCTATCATCTTTTAACTCACACTTTCACCAACTTTGACCCCCAACATTTCTATCAGTCCTTTTGTGAATCCCAGAAGCAGGCTGGGAGACATCACCATGGTCATTATACAGAAGGCACTGAGATTTAAAGAGGTTAAGGAAGTTGAAACAAGTCACTGACCCTGTACTTATCCCTGATATAGATTTAAAAGGTTGCATATCAGATTCCGATTTATGATAAGGCAGCACCAACACTTCAGATTTCACTTTGCCAGGACTTCTTCAACTCCATGATAACACCTGCTTACTATTCCTGAAGAATCCTTGGGTGTGAATGTTCACATCAACAGTCCATCCCAGTTCAGAAATCAGCTTCTAATTCCTTAGTCTGCTCAATTTGCACAGCAACACTGTGACCTGCATGTGTTAACTCAACATCAAAGATGAGAGAACTGAGTGAATCCCAAAGAGCCAAAACAGCCTCCACTTGGCTGAAACAGGCAGAGCTGGAGCACACGGTCTACATTTCAGTCTAGCAAATTTTCCACTACACTCTACTAATTTAGCTCTCACCAAAAAATAAGGAAGGAAATCTGAAGTTAAATTTCAAGGGTTTAGAATTTCATTCCTGTATGGGCCACGTTTAGCTACACAAAATTTAGGGGCAGTCTCCTCACATAGGTTTTGAAATTTCCCACGGACGTATTTCAGGCAAAATCTAAACTACTATAATCATGATTAGAATCACCTCCCTCCTTGAAATTAAGCCAGGTGGGAGGCAACTGTGAATCACTTAGGCCCTCTCTTTCTCTGTCTATAATTCCTCAGAGTCATTCCCAAAGCCCCATTTCTAAGCAGGCCTTCAAAAACCCACCCCATTCATTCTCACAGATTTCTTAGGTGTTATATTAGTCAGGGTTCTCCAGGCAAACAAAACCAACAAGAGGACATGTGTGTGAGTGTGTGTGTGTGTGTGTGTGTGTGTCTGTGTGTGTAAAGATATTTATTATAAGGAATTGACTAATGTGATTATGGAGCCTGAGAAATCCCAAGATGTGCAACCAACAGATTGGAGACCCAGAAGAGCTGGTGGTGTAAGTTTCAGTTCAAAAGTTGGCGAAATCAAGCCCTAAGAAGAGCCAATGTTTCCATTTGAGCCTGAAGGAAAGGAAAGACTGATAGTCCAGCTCAAGGCAGTAAGTCAGGAAAAGTTCCCTTTTACTCACAGAAGGTTCAGCCTTTTTATTCTATTCAGGCTTTCAACTGATTGCATGAGGCCAATCCACATCAGGGAGGGTAATCTCCTTTACTGAAACTGATGATTCCAGGGTTAATTTTACCCAAAAATCATCCTCACAGACACACCCAAAATAATGCTTGACAAAATATCTGGGCACCTTATAGCTCAGTCAAGTTGATACAAAATTAACAATCACAAGTGAAATCACCTTTGATTCATTCTGTAAAAATTCCAAAGTTTTGGCAGTTCCAAGACTGGCCAGGAAGCGAGAAAACAAGGGAGAAGTTTTTCCATTCATCTATCTAATTAAGTCATAAGGTTGGAGGAAAGACTTCCTCCCACTAACTTCCATTATAACTATGCAGGTACAGAGCAAAAAATACCCAGGATACATTTATGACAGCATATACAATAATATATAGGTGAACACTGATAAAAACACAAAATGACAGAGTTATAGAATTCCAGACACAATAGAGGCCTCAGAGCTCACTCAGATTGACCCACTTATTCTTCATATAGGTATGTAAAAACACCAGAGACACATAATGATTCATAGACAGGAAGACACAAACACATGAGCATGCAAGAGGCAGAACATATTCAGAGGGGCAGTGATGCACACTTTTGCAGCAGCCCTCCTTTTACTCTGCAAAATATCAATTATCTGGTCACATACTCTGATTTCTTCTCACTTTTGCTTCTTATTTATTAGGATTTTATCCTGGAGTGAATCCAACCATATCCCATTCATAATATAGCCTTCTCAAACTTCCTTTTCATGCATTCCTCCTATCTATAAAGGAGGCCAGTTCAGTACCTATGGAGGGTACCAGTCCAGTTGTGGACAGCACAATGACTAGGAAAGTCTGAGTACTGACCTAAAATTATTGCTGTTCTCTGGGCTTTAACAGATAAGGGAGAAAATGCTCCAAAGGTAGGGTGTGTACAAGAACCACAGTTCTAAAAGAATTGATACCACAGTTAACTGCAATAAATAATACATAGATACATAATAAAGTACTTGATGATTCAGAATCAGTATAATAACCCACTGGAATGAATTCAAAGTGTATCTATGTTACTAATTGGACTCCCTCTTCTATCTCAAGAATATCAGTAACCTCTTCCAAGCATTCCCAGACTCTCACAAACCTGCCAATAAATCTGTCTTCTTTCAGTCAATCCCAGCCCACTTCCATGTCTCTACAAGAGTGTTTCTCTTTTGAAAACACTCTTTCCCCTAGAATTGCTTCCTTTCCTTGAAATTCAAATGCTAAAGTGGTTGGCAGGTTGTACTAATTTAATTTAGTTCAACATATAAAAACAAAAGAACTGTTTATTTATCAATCATCATAAGCCCTGAAACAAAGTATTTAATTGGGTTCTTCCGGATCTGCCTGTGTGATATAAAATTTTGCAGAAGAGGACATGAGGGGAATTAAAGAGGTTGGCCCATTTTCCAAGGGTCATACTGAGTTGGAACCAGAGTTCATAGCCTGTTTTGTTAGTCTTTCAATTTTGAAAATTTTAATAAAAATAAAGAAGGTATTTAAAAAATTTCAGGTTCCAGTTCTTTTGTGATCAAAGCCAGATCCAAATCAACCAACAAAGACGCATATGCAAATAAATGGCTTTTAAAACCATGGGAACAATATTGCCTAGGAAAGGATGTAAGCATTAGTGGGCTAAGAGGGCAGGTATGGGCAACTCAGTAATGAACTTAGATTTTATGGGCTTATGTAATTTAGAGGGCCTTCTTCAAGGAAAATAATAAAAATTTATAATGCAAAACTGGATACATTAAAATGATAAATTAATTGCAATAAATTACAGGTGTAAAAATGAGGATAAATACTACAAACATCACATAATGCAGGAAAATTGATTAATATTTGTAAGTCTTAACTGCCTGATCCACTTTCAAATGGTTTTCCCCCTATTTTTTCCTGCATATTCCAATTATTTTTCATTCAACAAAGATTTTATAATATTATTTTCCACTAGGAGAACAGAAAGGTAATCTGGTCTTTCTGCTAGCATTTTTCTCCTCTATACTACCAATATTTACCCAGTGTTGGGGCCATAGACACATTCATGTCATGGTGCTACCTTTGGCCCTGTACCCTCATGTCCTAGCAGCAGGTGAGTTGGCCAATGGGATGTTTGGCAAAAGCCTCATTAACATGACATGATTGTATGTATCACATACATGTAATCCACTAAATCCAAAGGAAACATAACCTCCACCCAAACTCCCTGTAACTGGATTCCCAAAATGCCTACAGACAATCTAATACCACTGAACATTGTGGCAAGAGGGATGGGGAAGTTGGAGTGAAAAAATGACTGTTGCTTTAACCGTTGTGGTTAAAATATCCTACTTTTGCAAATTTTGCTGAAACATATGACCATGTTAGCCCTTTCTTGGGGTTTTGGAAGAGGTCCATGCAATGGAGGGGTCCTAAACCTTATGCTTTTATCAACTTCACAGCCAACCTGCCTCTGGGTCAGGAATCTATAAAGGAGAATGGGGAAGAGAGTCATCAGCGGCATTGAAGAAAAATCCAGAAAGCAGGGTATCTTAGAAACCCAGGAGAAGGGGGTATTTATAAAAGGGCATGAGAAACTATGTTAAATTTTGCTAATAAGTTAAATAATATAAAATGAAAAATATCAATGGATTTTACAACATGGAGGTCATTATTGACTTTAACAAAGCCATTTAAGTGAAATAGTAGGGGTGTAAACAAAATTATACATAGTTATAAAGTGTATGGATGGTGAGAAATTAGAAACAAATTTATTTAGGTGCTATTAGAAGAAGACTTCCTTCCTATGTTTTGGAACCCTTTGAACCTTTGATTATGTCATCATAGGGGTAACTTCTTGGTTTTCTCATCTACCATACCAAAATTATCTCTTTACATGTTTCACTCTTTGATTAACAGCTTCTTACGATTAGGAACAAAGCTTTACATCTTGTATCTTCAATGCCTACAATGCCTACATTGAAGATACAGTGGAAGATACTGAGTAAATATTTGTTGAATGAATGAATGCCTTTTAGATATAGTTTAGTCTACCCCTTGCTCTCTAGAAATTTTTTATGTCCACCCTACTTAAAGAAAAATATTCACTCCTTGAAAGAGGACTAAATAGGATTTCACATCTTTGGTTGTTTTTCTCCCAAGAGAGAAAGAGGTAGAGAAACCGAGAAACAGAGAGAGACAGACAGACTGACAGAGAGAGGTATTTTTAAAATCATTCTTCAGAAATTCGGTCTAATTTAATCCAACTAACAGTTATTGAACACTAACTACTTCATCAACCCTAAGACTCAAAATGAAAAAAATATTGTCCAGACTAAAATTGAAAAAGTTTAATTTAACTTGGTAAATACTTAGATAGATGCCCAGGATCCCAGGAAGCAGGGAAGAGGCAGGGTATGAAAGAGGCTCCCTGGGAAAGCTAGAAGCCTGAGCTGAAGTTTTAAGAAGGTGGAAATTATCCAGGTGAAGTAAACTGAAATCTCATTCCAGGAAAATTGTGCATGTGTCAGGAGTGCAAGAAATTTGGTAACATGAGAGTCAAGAAATAGCAAGACGTATCTGAAAACGCTTAGGGAGCAATTTTGAACTACATTGCAAGGGATGCAAAGAAACTTGATTATTAGCCTGGTTAACTTCTGGTTAAAGCTAGAATTACATAGGAAGCAGAAATTTGGCTTCCAAGCCCCTCTTGAAAATAGAATACGTCTACTCATTTACTAGGAAACTTGCCTCCTATGAGTTCCCAAAGAATGAAAACATTCTTTGCTTCCTTCTTAGGACTTCACCTGTCCAAGTAACCCCTGCCATGCACTGCCCCACAGTCCTGAAAAGTTCTGGAAGTAAATCTCACTGCAGCTGCAGTACAGTCACAGTGTGTCTGCTGACTACTCGAGAGTGAAAACAAATAGCAGCCATGTGCTGGCCACACATTCCAATGGGGATCCTGCCATCTGTCTTTGTGTTCATACAGCCATTCAGATTTCCAGTTCATACCAGCTCGATGCCACTTCCAAGCAGAACTTGGAACAGTTAGAACAGAGAGCAAGTTCATGGACAGCATCAAGCTTTGCACAGGATTTAGCACACTCACAGAGAAGCAGCAATGTGAGGGCAACATTACAGTAATATTTGTGATAATGATAATAATAATTTGCCAAGATAACAAGTGGAGTAGATGGTAGTAGAGCCAGTGGTGTGGAGCAGACACAGAGCTTGCCTATATTACAAAGCCACACATACTGCATATTGGGGAAGCCAAAAAATGTTTTGCCATGGGCACAAACCTACTCTCAGCGAATTGCATTATTGAGTTAATTAATCCCTCTTGCAGTGCTCTGAAGAAGGCATTTGATTATTATCCCTGTTAGTGGTTGAATTGTGTTCTCCAAAAACATACGTAGAAGTCCTAATCCCTGCCACCAGTGAATGTGATCATATTTGCAAACAGGGTATTTGCAAATATGTATTCAAGTTAAGAGAAGCCATATCTTAATGTAGTATGATCAGTGCCCTTATAAAAAGAGGGAATTTGGACACACACAGGATGAATGCTATGAGAAGACAGAGGCAGAGATTGGAGTGATTTATCTACAAACCAAGGATTACCCAGGAATGTCAGCAGTCATCAGAAGTGAGGAAAGTGGCCTGGGTTCCCTTAGACTCCTTAAAAGGAACCACCTCCGTTGACACCTTGATTTCAGACATCTAGCTTCTAGAACTGTGGGAAAATAAGTGTCTGTTTTTCTCAGCCGCTCAGTTTGTGGTACTTTGTTACAGCAGCCATAGGTAGTCAACATATCCCTGAAACAAATAGGAAAATGATATCTAGAGAGGCTAAGTGCCTTGCATGGATAATGAAAGATCAAGCTTTGGAACCCAGCTCTGTCTGACTACAGGAGACAGCTATCCCCCTGCTGACAATGTGGCCTTCTCATGGGGTACTGCTTACATAACAAGAGATATTTAGATTACCAGTACCCTCCTTTAAATATTTGTGTTTTTGTTTTGTTGTGTTTTGTTTACCACCTAAAATATCTAGTATGGGACTGGGGGCAGATTCCTTAGTGCAAAGACAATGGGAAGGACTATTGAGAATATTCTCATATTCTGAAGATGAGATAATGTTTTTAATACTTGTTCTAAGAACAAACATTGACAATTCTAACATTGACAATGTTTTTAATTCTTGTTATTATTATTATTGATACTTAATAACCTCCCTATATTCTTAAAAAGAATAATTCTTAGTTTTGAGGATTTTTCCTGAGCATAATTATACACAGCTATAAATACTATGCTATCAACATCCAGTGATGAGCAACTGGAAATTAACCTTAAACAGTGTGTTCTCTCCTATGTATGAACATGTTATCAAAAAGAGGTCCTGATCCAGACCTCAAGAGATGGTTCTTGGATCTCATGCAAGAAATAATTCAGGGTGAGCCTATAAAGTGAAAGCAAGTTTATTAAGTAAAGGAATAAAAGAATGGCTACTTCATAGACATAGCAGCCCCAAGGGCTGCTGGTTGCCCATTTTTATGGTTATTTCTTGATTATATGCTAAACAAGGGGTGTATTATTTATGCTATTTCTTTTAGAACACATAGGGTAACTTCCTGATGTTGCCATGGCATTTGTAAACTGTCATGGTGCTGGTGGGAGTGTAACAATGAGGACAACCAGAGGTCACTCTTGTCGCCATCTTGGTTTTGGTGGGTTTTAGCTGGCTTCTTTACTACAAGGTGTTTTATCAGCAATGTCTTTGTGACCTGTATCTTGTGCCGACCTCCTATCTCAACCTGTGACTTAGAATGCCTAACAGTCTGAGAATGCAGCCCAGTAGGTCTCAGCCTTATTTTGCCCAGCCCCTATTCAAGATGGTGTTACTTTGGTTCAAATATCTCCAACATATCTGCCCTCCCTTTTACAATAGAACCCTTAATCCTAAGAGTTGCAGAGGGACAAAGATCTATCTTCTGTAACTTCTTCATGCTGAATAAGGGTGATGATATTCCTGCCTAACTATTAGGATCTCTTGTATTTGGGGTAGAGAGGAACTCAGAAAGAGTCAGTATGTCAAGGCCTATTCAAAACTCTGAGTTCTGACAAAAGGTGATATCTGGAAGATTAATAACTGTTCAGTTTAAGAAAACATTCAGTAAGGTTATCCTGCATTCCTACACAAAGAGTGTAATAGCAATATATTCCATAATACTAAAGCAAAATAAGCAAAATTGTCCCAAGTATACTAAATTAGAAAGTTTTCCATGAATTGGCAACTGTTGGAACCAAGCTGATACAGGGTTGCTAGCTGATTCCAATACGTCCAGAATTAGAATATTGACCCAGGTTTTGACATTACTCATCCTTCTTGTTTCTTCTGAGCTGTAGTCAGAGATCACTGGTAGGTTCACAGAAATAAGCAGGGTTAGTCTAAATTGCAGGAAAAATAAAACTGAAAAACAACTGAGACTAGAATAACAGGGGTACCATAGTTCTTAAAACATAATTTTTCTTTTTTTTCTCTCTACAGTTTCCCATTTTTACTAAAAACAAATCATGGTAAGACTGATTTGCTTTATTATACTTGGCTTGATTATTTGCATAAAGTGTAGCAAGAATAATTATGTTTCACATATGCTCTTATTAAATTGGCTTTGATGGAACTCTGTTCCATAGAGAGAATCTCAGATAAGACTTTTAGGGCTGAGCCCTGCCATGGGTTTGTACTCTCAGATTCCTATGATTTGGGTAAATGTCTCTCCTCTTAAGGTCCCAGGATAACTTGGGGCTTATGGGACTGTCACAAAGTGACATTCTTTACTTACCACAGGTCAGGAACTGTACACAGGGACTGTGTAGACAAGGTATGAGGCCAGTTTTCTAAGGGGCTTTTATTGGCTCTATAAGTCAAGTTTGATTCCTTAAAGGAAAGCATGCCATTCAAGTCAAAGCCTAACTAAAATAACCAGTTTCTCCAATTGTGTTTTGTTGCAAAAGTAAACAGATTCTTATATCACTTATGCAAATAACTATATTGCATAAGTTAAGAATGTTCATAAGTAATTTCCAAATTTTGGAGAAATCAGGTAGAGAGAAACAAATATGCTCCAAATTTTGTTCACAGGAGTATACTTTACTCAATTGTTAAAAGCTGTAAATAGCTCTCAAGAAAAGTTTCCTTGACTCTGAAAAACAAAACAAAGAATCAGAAACATTTTAAGTAATAACTCAAAAATATTTTACTTAACAATTATAAATATTAAAAAGATATACTAAGTCATATTACGATTATAGGAGTTTCCCATAATTTTGAAACATATACCAATAACAAATTTATAGAAACACAGCTCAAAGAAAGCCAAACACCATTTCATATTTGACAATGCTTCCTGTATGATTTTTATACCAAAGAAGGCAAATTTCACCTTTGTATTAGTGTACTATTAATGTTAAACCCAATTCTTAATAAAATCTTATAGGCAAATCTATCCAATTTAATTAGCATGATCATAAGGTAAGATTTTCATACCTTTTATAACCCTTTACAATTTTTTGTTAAAGAGCAAATCAGTGCTCTAAGCTCTGTTGTGCTTTTATTCCAATGTTCAATTTATGGAAAAACTGGATACCCATTTAACTTTAGCTAATATGTTCACACATAATTTTTTATATGATTAATTTTTTATAGACCTTCCACAAGTTGCTCAAACCTTCAGCTTTACCCTATCTAACTTAAAACAATCCTTTGACACTTTAGGAAGAAAAATCCACATTCCCATGACTTCTTATAATCTTTTACTAAAACACATTTCGCTTTTCTTATATACCTTGCATGTAAAACTGTTTTTTATTTCCTAAAGGTTACTAAAGTCACGTAAACTAAGAGGCATTACACTTTTTACTTTTCTGATAAAATTTAGGCTCTTATTATTATTAAACCAATTAATTAAAGTTCTGTCATATATAAGCATCACACCCATAATACATATAAATAAACAGAAGATAAACCAGCCAGGAATTGAACTCTGAACCCAGGCCACCACTGTGATGGCAGAAACCAAGAGAATGTACTGCCACATGGTTAAAAAGTCAAGCTCCCAAGGACATGAAACAAGATTAGAAGGAACTTTATCCAGTTGTTTTTTTCAGGGGCCTGCAGAAAAGTTTGTAACTGACCAGTTTGCTGGACCATCTTGAACTGCAGGCTAATAGGGTCCTAGGCCCTCATTCTATCCTAAGGTACCCCTCTTTGTGACAAAACAATACAGAAAGACACACAAAGCAAACTAAATTCACTACAGTTGAAGACTAGCCTCACAAATACTTTTCCCCATTAATAACAACTTTACAGAGGAGATAAACAGTGATTTTTACCATTCATTCAAATGGTTTGCACAGACAGAGAGAAACAGAGCAGTAGTCTGACTGGTAAAAAAAATTCTTACTCTTGGCCTGGCATGGTGGCTCACGCCTGTAATCCCAGCACTTTGGGAGGCCAAGACAGGTGGATCATGAGGTCAGGAGATCGATACCATCCCCGTCTCTACTAAAGTGAAACCCCGTCTCTACTAAAAATTACAAAAAAATTAGCCAGGCATGGTGGCGTGTGCCTGTAGTCCCCGCTACTTGGGAGGCTGAGGCAGGAGAATGGCGTGAACCCAGGAGGCGGAGCTTGCAGTGTGCCGAGATTGCGCCACTGCACTCCAGCCTGGGCGACAGAGCAAGACTCCGTCTCAAAAAAAAAAAAAAAAAAAAAAAAAAAGAAAAAAACAATTCTTACTCTTTTGCCAGTATGCCAGGATTCTGGGTTCCCTCCCCCTGAGCGGCCCTAGTGACCCAGTTGCCTGCACCACAGCCCTGGGGCCAAGCCACAACAAAAAGGAAAATTACCTTTTTCTGTTCTGGCCAGAGTAAAAATACGTGTGACAAAACATAGAGTTTAGTCCCTCTGCTTAGCACCCACCACCAAACTGGCAAGGCTCAAACATGCCCCTGTTGGGCCCCATCATCATTAATCCAACCTCCCACCAGGAGTTTCAACATGTGGTCTCTGGGCAAGATGGCAGCTCTGAGTAATAGAAAAGATAGGAAACGAAAAGCAGAGAGAGAAAAGCATTGCCTACGGCAGGATGGAGAAGGTGAGCAGCTCAGGGAGGCCAGAGAAAAATCCACCCATTGCAGTGACACTGAAAAGTCCAGGAGGTCATTTGTCAGTTGTGAAGGGATCTTTTACAGCAGTCCCATCAGCTGTTGGGTTTCCATCTTTAAGGAGAGAAAAAAGTTCCCCATGTCCCATAATCCCATACATGCCTAATTCTGTCACCCACAGCCATCAGCAGAGAGTGCAAGGTAGATTAATCCAAAAAGAATAGCAGTTAACATCTCATAATGCGAAATCCATTCTTAGCTGAGAGGGTCTTTACCCAGAAGGGCCGCTAACCCCCTAAATCTTAGGAAGGACTCTAACCTTCCTAAGTTGGGCCTCGAACCCAAATTCAGTCAAGCGCTCTTGCCTTTTATTAAGAGGGGCCTTTAACCCACTCTGTTGTAGGAGAGACTTAACTTCCCTAAGTTGGGTCTCTAACCCAACCTCATCCTTTACCTGGGTATATGCACCCCACTTACCCAAGTCAGCCAATTGGTGCATGCAGATGATTTTCCTCTGGGTCAGGGGGTCTCCAGTATTGTCCCTTCTGTGGTTCACCAGAAAGATGTTATCAGATCCCACCACTTACCCAAAGTTAGTCTTTGGGTCGGGGGTTTCCTCACTATTGTCCCTCCCACGGTTGCCAGAAAGATGTTACCAGAAAGGGATTCTGATCCAGACCCCAAGAGGGGTCCTTGGATCTCACGCAAGAAATAATTCAGGGCAAGTTCATAGAGTAAAGTGAAAGCAAGTTTATTAAAAAAGTAAAAGAATAAAAGAATGGCTATTCCATAGACACAGAAGCCCTGAGGGCTACTAGTTGTCAATTTTTATGGTTATTTCTTGAATATGTGCTAAACAAGGGGTGTATCATTCATGCCATTTCTTTTAGACCATATAGGGTAACTTCCTGATGTTGCCATGGCATTTGTAAACTGTCATGGCACTGGTGGGAGTGTAACAGTGAGGACAATCAGAGATCACTCTTGTCGCCATCTTGGTTTTGGTGGGTTTTGGCTGGCTTCTTTACTGCAATCTGTTTTATCAGCAAGGTTTTTGTGACCTGTATCTTATGCCAACCTCCTATGTCAATCTGTGACTTAGAATGCCTAACAGTCTGGGAATGCAGCCCAGTAGGTCTCAGCCTTATTTTACCCAGTTCCTATTCAAGATGGTGTCACTCTGGTTCAAATGCCTCTGACAAACACATCCCTTTTCCAGTGCATTGTCCAAATTTTGTTAATTCTCTTTGGTGGAGCCCATACAGGCATTAAAAAAAGTTATTTAGGCAGATAGGGTAAGGATGTCCTCAGTAAGGTTTTCCTTTTAATGAAAAGCAGCCCCCAAATCATTTTTTTAAGAAAGAGCAACCTGTAAAATTGAGCTGCTGACATAGATAAGCAAGCTGGAAGCTTGCACAGGTGAATGCTAGCCGCTTTGCCAATAGGAAAAGGCTACCTGGGGGCCAGGAATGTTCAACATGGAGGCTTCTTCTTCCCTTTTCTTTGTCAACCACATTTATGGCAAGAACAGACAACATGGCCCAGGCCAGAAAGAGACCCCATCTACATAATAAAAGATTAGTTTGGGGTGGCAGGCCTCTTTGTGCAATTTGTAAATGGCATAGCTGGTCCAACCAATCTTTGGGCCCTATGTAAATCAGACACCACCAACTCAAGCCAGTCTATAAAACCCATGCATTCTGCCGCGGGCCAGAAGACCCACTCAGGACACCCTCTCCACAGGAGAGAGAACTATTCTCTTTTCTCTTTCTTTTGCCTATTGAACCTCTGCTCTCAAACTCACCCCTTGTGAATGTCCATGTCCTTGATTTCCTTGGTATGTGGCACCAAACCTCAGGTGTTAACCCAGACAACGATGCCACTTCAGTTCTACACTCTATTGGGCTTTTATCTGTCTAAGGCCATAAACTGGGCTTGGGAACAAAGTTTTTTCCAAGCTGTGTCTTGAACTGTTACTTACCAATGTTCCTTCCTCCAATGTGGTTGCAAAGTGCTTGCTTCTGCTCTCCTAGCCAGGTCAGAAATGGCCTTCGTCTGTGTACAACTGGTTTGTTGTGTTGTTCTTGTGGCTCCACCACATGCTCTTTTCTTTTGGGAGGGATAGGAATAGGGTTTGGGGAACTCCATTGTCGGAAAAAGCCTCCTTTGTAAGGATCTGAACTGAAACAGTTCTCTCACTGCATTGCAGCCAGATCACTTTGCAGTCCCACCATTAAACATTCTCCTGAAAACAATAGTTCAGGATGTGTGTTTGTTTAATCACTTCATGCTCACTAGAATGCTACAAATGCTTCACCTCTAATCACAGTTCCTAATAGTGCTCATCATGATTGCATACCACAATGAAAATTGAAGAGTCAGTTCCTCCTTTCTGAAGGTTCAGATACTTAGAATTCTAACATACAGGCATGGTGTTAAATACTTTGTTTATTCTCACAGTTGTTCCTTCTCTAACTGTTAGAAAAAGAAGATAGAACAGCAGATGGGCTACTAAACCCATAACAATACTGTTTGAAATTCTTGTTTCCATTTCACACAAATTGGAATTTAATGAAAACATTTAAATATAAAATGTGTACAAATAGAAGAACCTTGGGAAAAACTTTTCCATGAGGAAAATGAAAAATATGGTGAAAAGAAAGAGTCTCAAGACCTTTGGGAGAAACTAAGGTTACAGACATTTTTAAGTAATTAAGCAATGTGTTAGTTGTGGCTCTCCACTACCAGCAATAGTCTTTGCTATGGTTTGAGTGTTTGTCCCCTATAAAATCTATGTTGAAACTTAAAACCCATTTTGGCAGTAATGAGAGGTAGGGCTTTAAGAGGTGAATTGATTAATCCATTCATGAATTAAGGGACTAATGAGTTATTGGATTAATGAGTTACTGTGAGAGTGAGACTGGTGGCTTCAGAAGTAGAGGGAGGGAAACCTGAGCTAGCACACTCAGCCCCCTCACCAGGTGATGTCCCATAATGACTCAAGACTTCACAGTCACCACCAGCAAGAAGGCTCTCACCAGATGCAGCCTCTTAACCTAGGATTTCTCAGCCTTCATAACTGTCAGAAATAAATTTCATTTCTTTATAAACTACCCAGTTTCAGGTATTGTTATAAGCAACACAAAATGGACTAATATGGTCCTAATATTTTATTTTATTAGATGAAATGTTTTTCTAGATTGCTGAAATCATGGATTGTAGGAAGCTAGGACTTTTAAGATGCCAAACATATATCCAATTACGTATTCTTTCCAAATATAAAACTTTGTAAATGAGTGTGCATGTGAGTGTGCTGTATGTGTATACGTGTCTGTGAGTGTGAGGGTTTATGTATGTGATGTTTGCTGCAAAGCTGCCAACTCTCATTCTTTCAGAATGAGGTGCTTCCATTTATTGTCTCAATTTCAATCTGCCTGGGGCCTAAAATAAAGAGAGTCACAATTGATTTCAGTTGGATATTTAGAAACTCATTCAGATTCTTTCTGAGTCAATTAGATGATCACAAGTTGGCAGCTCAGTAAATTTCCTGCTGAGAACTAGATTGCAAGGGGGAAAAAAAACAAAGATATTATGTGCAATTGTTCATCAAGAATCAAGAGTCATGGATGAGACCATAATTGAAACACCTGTTCTTATATTTGCTGGGGCCCATTTTGAGTACAAAGATGAAGAAAATACATCCATACTATATCTGTGACAGAATAAGAAATATATATTTGGTCTCTGCCCTCATTTCTGATACAGAGCTTCTAAAATCCCTGTAATTTCCTGACTGTAATATCTTTTGTTATAATATTTGGTCTTAGTCCTGGTTCCTGGCACAAGAGCTTCTAAGAACCTTCAAATCTCTGTAGTGATGTGTCTTTTTGCATGCTAATGAGATGACTGGTGGCTGTATTTCCTAGATACCATTAGGATGGGGCTAGTCACCAGATAGCGCAAGGCATGACTAAAGGATTGGAATGTTCAGCCCCTCTGACTTCGGGGGAGAGAAGAGCAGCTAGAGATTGACTTAATTATCAATATCCAATGATTTAATCAATCATGCCTATGTAATGAAGCCTCCACAAAAACTCTAAGCACAGGGTTTAAAGAGCTCCTGGGTTAGTGAACACATATATGTGCCAGGAGGGTGGCACACCCTCAGCTCCACAAAGACAGAGCTCCGGTGTTAAGGATGTTTTCAGACTTCATCTATGTACCTGTTCACTGTTCACCTGCATCCTTTGTAATATCCCTTGTAATAAACTAATACACATAAGTAAATGTTTCCCTAAGTTTTGAGAGCTGTTATAGCAAATTATTGAACTCAAGTTGGGAGTTGTGGGAACTCTTAATTTGCAGCCAGTAAGTCAGAAGTACAGGTGACAAACTGGGACCTGTGATTGGCATTTGAAGTGGGGAGCAGTCTTGTGGCACTATGCCCTTTACCTGGGGGGTCTACACTAGCTTTGAGTAGTTAGTGACAGAATCAAATTATAAGACACACTGTTAGTGTCCAGAGAGTTAGAGAATTGAATGGTGTGGGAAAAAGACCCATATATTTTGTGTCAGAAATATAGGTATAGAATAACAGTTGTTTTGTTTTGTGCTAAATTATCCATAGATTTTTTTTATTGTCTTTTATAGTGGGCATCAGTGAAAGCAGGGTGTCTATTACAGTAGTCTTTTTTTTTTTTTCTTCATCTCTTTTTTTGAGATGGAGTCTCACTCTGTCACCCAGGCTGGAGTGCAGTGGCACAATCTCGGCTCACTGCAACCTCCGCCTCCAGGATTCAAATGATTCTCCTGCCTCAGCCTCCCAAGTAGCTGAGCTTACAGGCACGTGCCACCACACCCAGTTAATGTTTGTATTTTTAGTAGAGATGGGGTTTCACCATGTTGGCCAGGTTGGTCTTGAACTCCTGACCTCAGGTGATCCGCTCGCCTTGGCCTCCCAAAGTGCTGGGATTATAGGCATGAGCCACCGCACCCAGCCTTCAGTAGACATTATTTTATGAGACACATGGTGAGACTGATTTAATCTGAAGCCAACAATGATTTGGGCTCCCTTTCTTGCTCTTGCTATATATTGAGAGAGTAAAAGGTCCTAAATAAGGTTTTAAAGATATTCAGAAGCACTGGCAAATATGAGTTGACACCATATTCCCATATCTGATAACAAGAGATAAATTCTAAACAATTTTATATAATTCCATTATCTCCTCAGCAATGGCCTTGTCTCTGGGAATAATACTAGAATGCCTATTATTCTCTTATAAAACTAGTAGTCAATCATTATTGTTTTAGTAGCTACCAAGAAAGTTAAGTTTTTCAGTTAGGTTATTATTTTAAGTAAAGAAAAAACTAACTGGATTATTTAAAGCAGGGGTGAGCAAACTTTTCTGTAAGAGCCAGATTTTTTTAGACTTTACAGTCTCTGTGGCAACTAGTCAATTTGCCGTTGTATTGTGAAAGCACCTATATACATGTAACGGATGAATGTGCTTGTGTTCTAATAAAACTATACCGATGAACACTAGCATTTGAATTTTATATAATTTTCCAGGTCATAAAGTATTATTTTTCTTTGTTTAACGTAAAAATCATTCTTAGCTATAGGTTATACAAAAACAGACAGGATTTGGGCCCATAGGCCATAGTTTACTATCCACTGATCTAAAGAATTAACACCGATTTGAACTACATCTCACTAAATATCAATATTCTATTTTGCCTAACGCTCAGTGCTAAATGTCATAGGGATAAAAGGCCATGGCAATTAGAAAAAACAACACTGCTTTGTGTGCCAGAAAGCATTAACAATTCCTTTCACTGCATTCCTCCAAATCACAGAATTTATTGACTATCCCCTTGTCCGTGATTGAAGGATCTAAGGAAGGAAATTAATACCTCAATTATTTGACAGGGCCAAGGAGAGATATTTTCTGACTAATGAAATATTTTAATCAACTAAAGGTTATCTGACTTAAGCATGAAGTCATTATTTGGGATGCAAGGACATGTGGAAGTCTCCTGAACATAAGAAGAACAATTTTATCAGCCACAAATCTTCCGTCTAGAAACCTAATTGTGGAACATTCTAGTAATACACACACTTTGAAGACTCAATAACTAAAAAGGATAAAAAGGCTATGTTAAGAACGTATTCTATGTAAATATATAATATAAATATATAAAATATATAAACATAATATAAATAGAATCTTTCAAATTTCTCTTCAAACAATAGTTAGCAGAAGTTTCTGATATTCACAGAATGAAAAGGTGTTTTTATAATTGAATCTGATTTAAAATGCAAAAAAACTAAAAGTGACTTTAAAAATCAAGAAGAATTTCAATGTTGTACAAATTAAAGAGTTTTTGCTAGAAAACTTTAATGTGGGAAGTTGTCTCCGCTGTTAAGTAACAAATCCAAAATGTAACATATTTTTTCTCTTAAATGAGGGGAGATAATATGGAAAAAAAAAGAAAGAGAGAAAGAGAACATTGCTTTTATTACAGTAAGTGAACAGGGAGCAGATGTTTAGCACCCATGACACAGTAGGCTTCCCTAGTTGAGATGTTGTTTTAACTGTCTGTCCTAGATGTGAGGAAGTTAAACAGTTACATCCTGGGTATTATATTATATTTCATAATATAAAACATAATACATATTACATATAAACATATTAAACATAATATATATTGGTTCTGTTTCTCTGGAGGATCCTAACTAATATACAGAAAATGTTTTGGAGTTTTGTAATGGAAAAGCCATTTTAATCTCAGATTTCAGCAAGGAAAAAATGTTCTGAAGTAAACAGACAATGAAATCTTCTTGTCACCATCACCACCACCATTACCATAGTCCATCAAATGCTATTTATGGCAGATTCAGCTGCAAGACCCTGATAGCAATTACAGAGAATTTAAAACAAACAAGCAAAGACCAAGCAAAATCTATGTTGTTAGAGAAAAGAGAACCTAAGGAATATCCCCCAAATACTTTGAATAAATTTTAGGTGTATTGATTAAGGCCTAGAAAGGAAGAAAAATGGCACACTCAAATGAGATAATTGAGGAAATTTTAATAAAGGGGCTATTTATTACAACATAGAAAGAGGTTAGAAAAAGCCAGAAGGGAAGTGAAATATCTCAGGGTTCACATCCACTCTCACAAACTCCAGGCCAGAGGCAGCATGGTAGGAATCAATTACTAGAACTTGGAGAAAGAATTTCAAGGTGTTGTAACCACCCAGTGGGTTCACTTTGCCCGCTGCCTAGACAGAGCCGATTTATCCAGACAGAGGAATTGCAATGGAGAAACAGTAATTCATGCAGAGCCAGCTGGGCAGGAGACTGGAGTTTTATTATTACTCAAATCAGTCTCCCCGAGGATTCAGAAATCAGAATTCTTAAAGATAATTTGGTGGGCAGGAATTTGGGAAGTGGAGAGTGTTGATTGGTGAAATCATAGGGGTCGAAGTGAGGTTTTCTTACTCTCTTCTGTTCCTGGGTGGGATGGCAGAACTGGTTGAGCCAGGTTACTACTCTGGGTGGTGTCAGCTGATCCATCCATTGCAGGGTCTGCAAAATATCTCAAGCACTGATCTTAGGTTTTACAAGAGTGATGTTATCCCCAGGAGCAATTTGGGGAGCTTCAGACTCTTGTAGCCAGAGGCGAAATGACCCCTCAACTGTAATTTTTAATCTTGTAGTTAATTTGTTAGTCCTAGAAAGGCAGACTGGTCCCCAGGCAAGAAGGCTGTCTTTTTAGGAAAAGTCAATCAATTTTGTTTCAGAGTCAAACCATAAACTGAATTCCTTCTCAAGGTTAGTTCAGCCTATTCCCAGGAATGAACAAGGACAGCTTAAAGGTCAGAAGCAAGATGGAGGCCATTAGGTCTGATCTCTTTCACTTTTATAATTTCCTCAGTTATAATTTTTGCAAAGGCAGTTTCACTACTTTCACATTTTCTTGATTGTCTACTTTCCTGGCTAAGAGTTTTTCCTATTCATTGTTCTGACCCTAAAATTTTCTCTTTGAGATTTCTCTTTGTGGTTTTTCTCTTCCGATTTGCTTCCTTTTGTGTCTTTCAGTTTAAGGACATGGAGGGAACACTTATAAATATGCTACCTCTGATATCTTGGAAAGAACTTCTTTTTATTCATTTGCATATGTCTCCATTTTCTAAATCTAAGGTCTCCATGACCCTTGTGGTATATCTGTGCATTTTAAAATATGTGTTTATCAATTTGTATTCAAATACCTCATATATTTTACATCTCTGTACCATGGAATTTCCAGAGAAATTTTCATTTGGCACTTGGGAAATCATTCCATTGTACATAGAATAGGTGCTAGTGTCTTTCATTTGCCCCTGTAGATGCACCCTTCCTTCATCCTTCTCTATCCTGTCCTTGCTCCAGAGGCTAATCCACATGGACTACAGCATAGAACTCTCTTGTCTACTAGCTTCTGGTTGGGTTTGTCCAATAGGGAGACCCAGGAGATTGGAGAGGAGGAATGTGAACTTGGTGTATCTATTCCCCAGCACCCTCTCTATCTGTGTGCTGTAGGTTGGCCCTATCCCTCTGTCAAAGGCCGCAGCTCGTAGCACGCAGCCCATCCTGAAACCATCTTTGCAAACATTGTAACTGAGGAAATTATAAAACTGAAAGAGATCACACCTAGTGGACTCCATCTTGCTTCTGACCTTTAAGCTGTCCTTGTTCATTCCTGGGCATAGGCTGAACTATCCTTGAGAAGGAATTCAGTTTATCGTTTGACTCTGAAACAAAATTGGTAATAACCCTTTCTCAAAAAGACACCCTTCTTGCCTGGGGACCAGTCTGCCTTTGTGGGACTAACAAATTAGCTACAAGATTAAAAATTACAGTTTAGGGGTCATTTCACCTCTGGCTGCAGGAGTCTGAAGCTCCCCAGATTGTTCCTAGGGATAACATAACTACTGTAAAACTAAGTTCAGTGCTGGAGATAACTTGCGGACCCTGCAATGGATGGATCAGCTGACACCACCCAGAGTAGTAATCTGGCTCAACCAGTTCTGCCATCCCACCCAGGGATGGAAGAGAGTAAGAAAACCTCACTTTGACCCCTTATGATCCCATCTCCAACCTGACAAATCAGCACTCTCCACTTCCTAAGCCACTACCTGCCAAATTATCTTTAAAAACTCTGATCCCTGAATGCTCCGGGAGACTGATTTGTGTAATAATAAACTCCAGTCTCCTGCACAGCCAGCTCTGCATGAATTACTCTTTCTCCATTGCAATTCCCCTGTCTCGATAAATCAGCTCTGTCTAAACAGTAGCGAGTGATCCCATTGGGCAGTTACAGTAGTATCACAAAAGATGAAGGAAAGGTGGGTCAGAGTGAAGAAATACAACCTTTTCAAAGCAACAGAGGAAAAAATAAAAGACCAAAAAAATTAAACGCCATCATCTTTGGAGAATTGTAAGTTTTAGAATTAGGGAGATAATACTAAATGCTCATTCTTTGCATCCATATACTTAACTAAGTGGATACTTTTTTTGCCCAAAGGCATTATTATTTTCATAATTAAAACCAAAAACCAAAACCAACAACAACAAAAGGTCTTGAACTGCCATTTCAATCCCATGATTTCAGGATGCCTATTCTCTTATTAGAGTCTGTGGGCCATACGGGCATACATGGCAGAGCTCCTAGCACAACAGAGGGCTTCAACAGGTGTTTGCTGAATTCATCTCAGGAACAAAAGTAGCCACAGATGAAGTAAACAACTCTTTGAGAAGCTGAATAGTGAAGGAAAAGTCGGATGAAAGGCCTAATGGGACCAAGAACTCTAACTCGGAACTAAGTTGCCACAAAGAAGAAAATTGTTTTTAAGTTACAAAATTTGCTTATAATAGGGTACTTGTTTTGCTTGCCATTGCCTTGCCAGTAGTCAGTGAGTAACTATTAGACTGCATAAGACATATTGCAATGCTAATGAATGATAGAGGAAAGGAAGTCAGGCAGTCTGTAGGACTGGGCTCTTTGGCAAATAACTTAGTGGTGCAAATAGCAGAGCTGCCATAACCCAAGTGTACTCCAGCCCTGTGTAAGTATCCAAGAGGATTGAATTTAAAGGTTGAGTGAGGCATTGGTGGTTCTCAGCAAACAGCAATATTTGGAGTTAGGTAATGGAACCATGGTAATAGGTAGTCTTTCCCAGTTAAAATATATCACCATTTGCCAGCTGATTGTTATGGGAGCATCCTACATGGAATGGTTTGCAAGATTTGAGCAGGGTCTGGGCCTTAAACTAGGGAAGGCCTATGATCTAAGTGACAGAACAAAGAACAATGTACTTGGTCGCACATATGAGGGCAGGCCCTACTTATCTATTACAAATGGTGCCTAGGACCTATGATACTTTTAGGAGTCCATAAATTTTTTATTTTTATTTTTTAAATTAGAATGAAAAATGCATATAAAAGTAATGAATATGTCATAAGGAATCCAGTCTGAATTGTATTTGTCTTTATACAAATATAGTTGTAAGAAAAATTTTCAATATTTTTTATGAAAGAAGGAGCACATAAAGGCAAAAATGTATAGGATCCAAAAAAGTCCTTTGTGGCCCAGGAAGAGGTTAGAGAGAAAAGGCTGGGGTTCAGTGACCATGAGGAAACATGGGGCTCACCCCAGCACACTGGATCCTAGCTTTTTGTATGCAAACTCTCAATTCCACCTTTTCAACCTTGGAATTGGCTACAGATAGAGTGGTACAAAACCACCAACCATTCGGTACTTGAGGAAGCAAAGGCTTTGATCTATATTCTAGATATCCTCAGGGATATCTGAGCACAACAATTTAAATTCATGAATCTGACAAGACACAGGCCTGTGTAATCACCAACCACTAGTCTTGTTTACAGACCAAATGCTGGTCTTCACAAGTCTCTCTACCCACTTGAAATGATTTCTAAGAGTCAAAGGTAATAGTAAAACCTAGAACTTGATTTCTCCCACATCTCTGGTTTTTAAAAGTGACAGCAGTTATTTTCTAAGAATTATGGGTCAGAAGGTGAGATAGGGAAGTAACAATGAAGAAAGATTAAAGGAGAAGAAAGTTTTGTTGCTGAAAGATTTACATTTTTTTTTTAAATTGGTTCCCTGAACCTGTTTCCCATCAACGAAAATATAAAAGGGAGCAAATGAGGCAGCATTAGCCTTATTGATCATAAGGCTATCAATAAAAGCCTATCACCAAGAAGCCTTCTGTGTTCTCCATGTGTGGGGAAGAAAGCATTCTGACTGCTCTGGAAACATACTAAGGACCAATATAATCCTCCTCACCAGAATCACTTTTCAGCCCAGTGTGCACTCAGAATGCACAGAGCTCCATGTAAGAAATGAGGATGTGACAGTCACTCAAGCCAAAGGAAGATCACTTTACCACAGACACCTGCACCAAGGCTAGAATGGAGATTTCACGACCATTTTTAGCTGCCGGTAGCCTTTTGAATGGGGACCCCAAGTACCCAAATTTAGTGGTTTGGTGGCATGTGTCATTCAAGGAATAGTCATCACTGAAACCAAAGGAAATTGTTTCTTTAATAAGTCCTATGTTTGAAAGTGTTGTAATTAAATTGCCAAATATATCATCAAGTAAGTTTCTTATCAAAACTATATATGTGTGTGCTTTTGTTAGAATAAAGTATATAGAATTATTTTTTATTCCCTCTGAAAGGTTTATAACACAACAAATATCTAAGCTTTTTAACATTCAAAGCTTTATGGAATCTCACTAAGACACCCAAATGTGTCTATATTTCTGAACTTTCTACTGTCTTTCCACCTGACAGCATCAGACTGTCTAGAAATCTAGCTGAAATTCCCTTCAGATGGTCAGTATTACAAAAGTAAATGTTGTGTGACCTTCAGGCAGCAGAATAACAATCCAACTTGTCAGGGTGGCAGCTGATCTGTCAATGATGTTTTTACTCAATGAAAAGCCCCTAGCGTAATTAAACATTTTCTAGGGCAAAGCAGAGCCATGAGTCATCCTACTAGAAACAATATCAAAGAGGATGGCAGAGAATGCCACTTACCAGGATCTTGTCACTCAGAGTAAGACTATATTTAGATAAGTTAAAGTTGAAATCTGAGCTGCGTTTGATGACAGATCCATGAGCACAACTGGACTACCGTTTACTTGAAATGCAGAATGGATAGCATTGCACTGACTCTGGGAAAAAACCAACTCAGCACCAAGAATGCCAAGTCATCAGAACCTGTCCTTCAAACCTGTTTGCTGAACTTAGCTTGGTAACTTCAAATCAAGTAACTTAACGTTTTAAGAGTCCTAAGATAAAAGTGATCTAGGGTTGGCCTATCTTTGGACGTTACAAAATTCTGGGGCTGAAACTAGAGGAAGAAAAAAGAGTCTTAACAAGCCTTTAACAGTTGCGTGTAGATCATTAATAACTACCTAATGATAATTGCATATTTTACCATTTTACTTGAAGATAGTTAATTGTAAATAACAGAGAATATATAATGGGACACTCTTTGAAGGAAGCAGCTAGAAATCAAAATTAAATTAATCAAAATTTTGATTAATTTAATCAAAATTAAATTAATCAAAATTTTGATTAATTTAATCAAAATTAAATCTGTGCATCTGAATGTATTTGGTCTACTAAAATACAAAACTTTAACTGACATCAGCCATATCTATAGAATACAAAAGAATAGATTTAAAGTTGAATCATTCAAAATGCTAAACACTGCATGTTCTCACTCATAGGTGGGAATTGAACAATGAGAAAACTTGGACACAGGAAGGGGAACATCACACACTGGGGCCTGTTGTGGGGTGGGGGGAAGTGGGAGGGATAGCATTAGGAGATATACCTAACGTAAATGACGAGTTAATGGGTGCAGCACACCAACATGGCACATGTATACATAAGTAACAAACCTGCATGTTGTGAACATGTACCCTAGAACTTAAAGTATAATAAAATAATAATAATAATAATTCAAAATGCTGTATAAGATTTGAAAGAATCAAAAAGAAAAAAGATTAATATACATCATAAATATATATATAAATATTTGTATTTTACAAAACAATATCCAACAAAATTGTAAAATACATCAAATATAACATTTTAAATAAACATGGTGATGGTGTTAATGTCAATTTGTACATGCTTTTAATTTATCTATATAAATAAAAGATTAACCATTTAAAGCCTACATGGATAAAGCACACAGATGTATATCTTACAAAAGAGGAAATACAAATGGCTGGTAATTTTTTATAAACAAATATATGCAAGTGAAAATGAGAATTCAAATGCCATTTTTTGATGTCAAATGGCCAGAATTTCTAAAGAAAAAATAATATTCAATAATGGTTACAATAACTTTGGTGGCAGTATAAGTTAGAGCCAGATTTCTAGAAACAACTTGATTACAGTTATTAGGAGCTTTAAAAAATATTCAAATCACACAACAGATTTTAGGAGTTTATTTAGAGATTTTTGGTAAGGAAGCACAACTATTCATATATTTCTCATGGAAGAATGGTCATCGTCTTCAACTTCCTGGGGAATGCTATTAAGATTAATGAGAGAATAAGGAAATATTGACTCAGCTCCTCAGATCAGCAGAATACTAGAAATAATTTGGGAGATGGAAGCTACAGCTTGATTATGGATACAACCTCTTTTTGATTCAGTTCATTCTCCTCAGAACCAACTCCTAGGAAATAACCAGATTATTCACCCATAGATTTATTTGCAAAGGTATTGATTACACTGTAATTTATAATTAGAAAGAAAAAATAAAATTGTCCAGTAGATGGAATAAACTTCCACCCATATTAATACACATCTTATCTATTAAAACTATTTTTAAAGATAGACTGTTAAGTAAAAATAAAAGTATATGATTTTTATAATATAGCAGTAAATCTAAACAGGAAAACTCTAAAATATTTACGATTTTGGCCTCTGAATTCTAGAAATAGGGATTTTTAAATTGTTTTACAATAAATATTTATTTTAATAATAATGTCAGACATGTCTGTTTGGTTAAAGTACTTCTTGCAAATTGTAACTACAGCACCAAAATTCCATTTGGTAAAAAGGATGGATTTATTGCCAATTTATTATAATAACAAAAGTGTAGTCTTCCTTCAAACAACATTGTAAAGACCTCATATTTTCATAAAATCTTTTCTACATTCTTTTCAAAATAAATCTAAGTTGACTAATTACTCTGTGCTTCACTGAGTTTCCTGCTTTGTAACATGGAAAATTTGTCAATAAAATTCTCCTCTTCATGCATTTGTAAATTCTATATCATATCTGCCCTAGGTGTTACAAATGACCTATAACAGTGGGCAAAAAAATAAGAGCCAGCAAATGCTATTTTCACTACTGGCCTCCTATGGATTTGTACTACCTAATGTTCTTTGAAGAGTTTTGGACCACCTCTAAATAACAGCTGTGAGGGGGAACTGCAGTACTTCAATCCTTGTTTTTGGCAGTAAGTATTTGTTTTTAATGTGAAAGCAAACAACGAAAGAAAACCTTTTCCATCTGCTTTTACCAGAAAGAAAGTCAAATGGAAGTCACACTATCCTCAGCAAATAGCAGTTGACTTTAGTGCACAAACACATCATTTATAGACACAGCCTCCTAAAGTGTTAGGTCAACATTACAATGATAAACAGTCAGGGGCTAGGTGCTTAGGGAGATTTTAGGCAATGTTGAGTAGGGCTCTCCTACAGTCTCAGTTTGGGGCTCCCTGTCCTATAGAGTTGAATCTTTAGGTGGAGATTCTAAAGTATCAATCTCATTTCTTGCTAACCCAAGCATGTTGAAGGAATATTCTCCTTCTTCAAAACTGCTTGTACGTTACAGATCAATTCATATTTACTTTTGTGAACTTGTGAATATTTATTTTACAAATAGCAAGAGTCCAAGCCACTGCCAGGTCCATATACTATTATACGGGGCACATGAAAGTGATAATGAGAGTTACCACATGCATCAGTATGTAAAGCAGTAAGCACAGCTGCTAATTAAAACTGACTTGGGAAATTGGATTAAGATAGCAAATATAGCTCATGTATTTATCTCTAAGTCCCAACTCAAATGTCCACAAATGAAGAAAACATGCCCCTTTTCCTAAATTATAAATTTATTATAGCACTGGAAACCATCAGAGAGTTAAATTTATGCCAAAAATTTTAAGAAATCTCTCCCAAATAGAAAGCAATTGGAATAAATATGCACAGAAAAAGAACTGCCACAAAAGGTAGAAGGGGCTTCAAAGTTGTTCCACACTCAGAAAGCTGAGGCAACGATCAGAGTGATCTGTTATGTTAGAAACATTTGAAGAAATTTAGCAGATTAATCAATTGCTCCCTGCCCCCAACACGACATACACACACACACACACACACACACACACACACACAGGCACACATATGCACAGAAGCAACAATAGAAATCTTTGGAATGCTGCAGCATTGTGCATGTGAATATGGCCCAAAGAGGCTGTGCAGAATGTCCAGTGTCATGAGGAAAAGGGAGTGTCAATGTCTAGGAAATAAACTAGTATAATCCACCAATAGCATGTTTACCATTGTCCTACAATTATGTAGTCTACAGTAAATGGAATCACATCTACAGACAGATGCATTGGGACTTACTGATTCAAAGATGACATCTGATCAAGAATTGTGAAACATTTTAAGAAAACCAACTCCATGAAATAAAAGGGCTGAACTAAGAATGAGAACAATTAACTGAGGAAACAACAGAGCAAACAGGAGATCCCAAAATAATATTTTTTAAATTGAAGTATAACTTACATAAATAAATGTCTAGGTATTAACAGTTTAGTTTGATAAATGTCGATAATTGTGTACATTTGTGTGACTAACACTCCAAAACAAAATTTAAAACATTTACATCACTCCAGAAAGTTCTCTCTTGCCCGTTCACTCGATTTCTCTATCATAGGCAACAAGTTTCTGATCTCAGTCACCACAGAATAATTTCGTCTGTTCTTCATTTCATATAAATGAAATAATAAAGTATATATTCTTTAAATCAACCTAGTACATTTGTGTCTATGTTGTATACATAATTAGCTTGTGCATTTTTAGTTAACAAATAGTATTCCGTCACATAATTATAAAACATATTATTGACCCATTCTCCTGTTGAAGAATGTTTGGCTTATTGTCAGTTCAAGCCTATTATGAATAGAGCACCTATAAACATTCTTGTACAAGTATTTTTGGGTAAGAATGGAATTGCTATCACAGAGGGTAGATGAAAGTTTAACCCTGTAAAAAAATGCCAAACAGTTCTCAAAAGTGTTTGTACCATTTGACACTCCAGCAAGCAATGTATTAGATTTCTGTTTGCCCTACTTCCTAACGAACATTTGGTGTTGTCAGTCATTTTTATTTTAACCATTCTAGTGGGTATCATGTGGCTTAAATTTGCATTTATATGATGAGCGATGGTGTTGAGCACATTTTCATAAGCTTATCAGAGATTCTTATATCTTCTTTTGTAAAATGTCCAAGTGTAATTTCCATTTACTAATTGCATTGTTTGTCTTTTTATTGTCAATTTTTGGAGATCTTTTGTATATTCTAGACACGAGCCCTTGTACCTTGGTCAACAATCAGTCAACTGTGCATAAGTCCATTTCTGGACTCTACCTGTTTATCCAAGTAGGCAATATCACAATCTTTATGACTGTGGCTTTATAGTAAATAGAGTAAATCTAGAAAACAGTTAATGTAAAGTTTGCTATTGTAATCTTTTTTCCAAGATTGTTTTGTGTAGTCTAGATTCTCTACATTTCCGTATACATTTGAAAATTAATTGCTAGTTTCTAGGGAGAAAAACCTATCGGGATTTTAAGTAAGCTTGCTTTGAATCTCAAGCTTAATTTGGACAGAATGGATATCTTAGTAATATTAAATCTTTGAATCCACAAACATGGCATATATCTCTACTTATTTGTTGTTTTCTTTAATGTCTCCATTCAATGTTTCATAATTTCCAATCCCCACACCTTTCACTCTACCTATCACTCTGTATTCAATGTGTTGTGCTGCTATTGTAAATGTTATTTTAGTTTAACTTACCAATTTTTCATTGCTTGTATATAGGAAGAAACTTTTCTTATATTAACTTCTATATTGCAATCATGTTAGATTCAGTTATTAGTAATAGTACTTTTTTGGTTAGTTCTTTTGGATTTTCTATGTAAACAATCATGTTGTCTATAAATAACAGCAGTTTACTTCCTTCTTTCTAATTTTGGGGCATTTTATTTCTTCTTCTTGCCTTGTTGTTGTGGCTAGAACTTTTTAATTTAATGTTAAACAGGAGCAGTGAAAGCATATATTCTTGTCTTGATCCCAATTTAGGGGACAAAATTTACTGTTTCATTATTAAAAATAAAACCATGTGAAAGTTTTTTAATAGATGTTCTTTATCAAATTTACGATGTTTCCTTCTATTTTTCATTTGCTGAGTCTTAATGTTATGAAACAGTGTTGAATTTGGTCAAATTCTTTCTGTATCTATTGAGATAATCAAACAATGCTCCTGATTTATTCCAATAATGTGGCAAATTACATTGACTGACTTTTTCAAAAATGTTAAACCACCTTTGCATTCTCCAAGTAACACTTACTTGGGCATAATGTATCATCCATTTATATATTGCTGGATTCAGTTTGCCAATATTTTGTTAAGCATTTTTGCATCTATAATCATGAGAGATAATAGACTTAAATTTTCTTTTTTCATAATAGCTTTGTCAGGTTCTAGTATTACAGTAGTGCTAACCTCATAAATTAAGGTGGGAAGTACTGCTGCCTAGTCTATTTTCTGACAAAATTTGTGTAAAGCCTAGGTTATATATTTCCTAAATATCTGATAGAATTAAAACATAAACATATCTGGTCCTGGGGTTTTCTGTGTAGGAAGATTTTGAGTTACTAATTCAATTTCTTTAATACTTATTAAACTCTTTAGATTTTCTACTTCTTCTTGATTCAGTTGTAATAAGTTGTAGAGCCTGTAGTGATGTCTCTCTTTTTTCTCATATGGGTATTTTCTGTTTTGTTCTGGTCATTCTTGCCACAGATTTATCAATTTTACTAATGTCTATAAAGAACAAGACAAGTAATGGCTAGGATTTCTAATTCATTGTTAAATAGAAGTAGTGAAGTGTGCTCATCCATTTATGTTTCATGCAGTTCTGCTTTTATTTTTGATATTTTCTTTTTTCTACTTACTTTGGGTTTAATTTCCTCTTATTTTCTAGAGCCCTAGGTCGACATTTATGTTGTTAATTTTAGACTTTTCTTCATTTAGAATATGCATATTTAAACCTATAAATGCAAAACCTATAAATATTTCTCTAAGTAATGGTTTAACAGTAGCAGCCTCCACACAGTTTTATGTGTTGTTTTTCATTATAATTTATTTTGAAATATTTTTAAATATTTTTTATTTTCCTTATAATTTCTTCTTTAATCTGTGGATTATTTGAATGTATCTTTGCTAAATTGAAAATATTTGGAGTTTCCAGATAACTCACCATTTATTGATTGCTAGCTTAATTTCATACTGGTCAAGGAATAACTACATATGATTTTAATACTTTGATACATATTGTAACTCATTTTATTGCTCAGCATATATTCTATCTTAGTGAATGTTGCATATGCCATACTGATGAATAAGTACTCTGAAATTTGGGGGTACTGTGTTCTATAAAATAGCAACTAAGTCAAGTCAATTGAAATAGTTTATACAGTATAAGCTAACTTTTTTGTAACTACTTATTTCTATAATTACTAATAGACAGTGCTAAATATCTAATTATTTTTGTGGATTTTTTCTATCTGTACCTTGAGTTTTATCGAGTTCTGCTACCTGAATGTTAAAGCTCTGTTACTACTAGGTACATACACATTTAAGATGGTTACGTCTGCTTAATAATTTGACCTTTTAATGAAATTCTAATCTTTACTTCTAAGCTTCTTCATCTTAAGATTACTTTTGTTTAAGCTTCCTTATTTGTAAGGAGTATATAGCATAACTTTTCAAATCCTCTACTTCTAACGTGGAGGTATCTTTATATATAAAGATTATTTTTTATTCATAGCATAGAGTTGCTCTTGTTTTCAAAAATTCAACAGTTTTATTTACATGCGGTGTTTAATTCTCATATACTTAACATAATACTGCTAACTTAATGCCTTTCATTATTATATGTGCTTTCTATTTGTCTTATCTGGTATTTATTCTGTCGTTCTTCTTTTCTCCCCTTATTATAGGCAGATCAGCATTTTTAACATTCCATTTTATGTCCTCAATTGACTTTAAAGCTGTAATACTCTGTTTTACTTTTTCAGTGTTCTTTTAGAGATTACGATATATACTTTATCTTTTTACATTCTTCCTTCAAGTAATATAATTCTTAAGAAAATATAAAAACATTATAGCATTATAACTGATTTTTCCTCCCAAATTTGTTTGTTTTGTCATATGTTTTACCAATGCTATAGTCTCTAAGACACATTATTTTTTGCCTTAATTAGTAAATAATTTAAGTAAATTAAAAGTATGCAGACATAAAAAATAATAGCAATTAAAAGATATTTTACATATAACCACATATTTACCATTTCTATGCTTTTTATTTCTTCCCGCAAGTGTAGTCTTCCATCTTACATCATTTCCCTGCAGCTAGAAAAACTTTCTTTACCATTTCATGTGGAGAAAATCTGTTGAAAATTTTCTTTCAGCTTCTGTCTGTCTGAAAAATCTACTTATCCCATCTTCATTTTTGAAGGATATTTTTACTGAATCTAGAATTTTGTGCTGACAATTATTTTTTAACACTTTAAAGATTCTATTTCATTTTCTTCTGGTCTCCATTGCTTGTGATAAGAAGCCAGCTGTCACTGGTATCATTTTGCTTTTTCTTCTCTAGTTGCTCTTTAATTTTTCCTTTTATGTTTGGTTTTTAGGAGTTTGACTATAATGGGCCTATGTATGACTTCCTTTGTATTTCTCATGTTTGGGATTTATTAAACTTCTTGAATCTGTGGGTTGATCTTTATTAATTATGGAAAAAATCTCAGCTGTTATATCTTAAAATATTTCTTCTCCTATTGTTGAACTTCTCCTCTTTTAAAACTCCAGGTACAAATTTTGGATGCTTTATTCCTTTTATTTTTTTCTATTTTACATTTATTTAAAATTTTGTAGCGACTTATCTTCAAATTCACTAATTCTTTCCTCTATTGTGCCCAGTCTGCTGTTAAGACCATCAAGGTGTGACTCATTTCTGATGTGTGTATGTATTTCAATTTTTACATTTTTATTTCTCTCATGAAATTACCCATTTCTTTTGATATGATGTCTAACTTCTTCACTAGATCTTAATGCATATACTCATAGTTTCTTAATGTTTCCATCTGTTAATTAGTTAATTAGTTAATTAACATTTCCATCTGATAGTTAATTACACTATCTGGTCCATCTCTGGACATGCTGCTATTAACTATTTTCTCTTTTCCATGGGTCACACTTTCCTGCTTCTTTGTGTGTCTCATAACTTTTCATTGTATACAGGCATTTTGTGATTAAAAAATAAAGCCAAGTAGAGATTAAAGAAATAAGATTTACTTCCAGTAAAGAGCATACCCTTCTTCTGTCAGGCATTAGTAATGAGAGTTGTGTCAACCTAATCTGTAGTTGAGCTGACTCTGAATCTAGGTTTTGCTGAGTTTATGTAGGCTTAACCACTAGATTCAAATGTTTTGAAATAATGATCAGGACTTTTCATTCATCAGGACTCCATAGATGAAGACACATCCACAGAATGACAGAAGAGGCACAACAGAAGAGAAAGATTTATAGTTGTGCTATATTCCCAGAATGTAACACATAGAAAGATAAAGGAAGTATGAGGGGAAGGTTCAGAGAAACGGATCATAAACTCTTACATTTATTTTCTTATTATATTGAGTTACAGAAAAAGGCCTGGGTGACAAAGCGAGACCCTGTCTCAAAAAAGAAAGAAAAAAGTAGTGGATGGTATGTGTTTAAGCAGCCATTCACAAACTTCAACACGCATCAAAAGCATTCAAGGAGCCTGCTAATGTACAGATTGCTAGGCCCCATCCCCAGAGTTTCTGATTCACAAAGTCTGGGGTAGAGCTACAGAACTGCATTTTGATATATTTCCATGTAATGCTAATGTTGCTGGTCTTAAAACTTCATTTTGTAAACTACTGTGTTTGAAGGAAGGGTTAAGGCCAATATAAACTAAGAAGATGACTGTGATTTAGAAAACAGCATTAAGACAAGAGAGGTAAAATCCTTGCTCTTGTAGAACCTATCTCCTAATTATAGGAGGTAATAGACATGTAAACTAATAAAACATAATTTTTGATAACTGAAAATTAATAAGTACTTATGGACATAAAAAGAGTGTGTATAGGGGGTAACTGAGATGGACAGAGACAACAGATAGTGTGGAAAAGGAATCATTTTTCTGGAGTGTTATCAGAGCTGAGATGTTAATAATAAGAAGGTGTTAAACTTTTGAAGTTCCCAAGGAAGGATGGTCCAAGAAGAGAAAACAGCAAGTCAAAGACACTGAGATGGCAAGAATCTTGATGTATTCAAAGAAGGAATATATACCAACAGTAAGCAAGAGAAAGCAAGTTTAAAAAAATAATGAGGTTTAAGTGGCAGGTGGAAAGAATACTATGTAGGCTGTTGTAGACCATGAGTATTGGGGGAAAATGCATTTTATTCTATAGGTAATGAGAAGCCTTTAGAGCGTTTGAACTGTCAGAATAATATATTCTATTTGAACTACTAGGCAGATCACTTAAGCTGTTACTTGGAGAATGATTGTGGGTGAGAGCAGGAAGGAATGGCAAGAAAGGAGATTGGGATAAAAGTTAGAAGAACATTACAGGATTCCAGGTAAGGCATCATTATTAATTTAACTAGAGTGGCAACAATGAATATGTAGAAAAGTGGAGATACTAGAGTGATATTCTTAAAGTTGGCTGAGAATCAGCTTCCCAGGCTCCATCAGGAACCTAATGAATCAGGTACTCTACATTGTGTCCCCAAGTGATTCTAATGGGCAGCCAGATTTGGGGCACATTGTGCTCTGTAAGTTACTGTAGTAGACAGACTATGTGAAATCACCATAGGTTTCTAAGTAGGGAATTTCATGATGTAAGCAGAATTTAAAGATCATTAATTTGGTGGTATATAAGAGAAATTGAAGACAAATGTCCTGCAGTAAAAAGAGTAGTCAATAGGATGTCACAATAATTAAGGCATGAGTTTGGACTGCCTGGAAATATGACAGCCAACAGCTACATGTGAGTATTTAATTTTAAATTTATTAAAATAAAATTAGGAATTCAGTTTCATAGTCATACTCACCATATTCCAAGTGCTCAACAGCCACATGTGGCTATTGTATACTGCATTGGACAGTGCAGATATAAAACATTTTCTTCATCACAGAAACTGTTCAGACAGCAATTGCCTAGACTATGGTATTAATGGGGGATAGAATCTGAGGGGCATATCTGAATTGGGAGAAGGGTTAAAGGAAGATTAACAGGGCACAGTGATAAGTGAAGCAGCACTACTTCATAAGCATGTGGATTTTATTTGAGAAATTTAAAAAATCTGTATAAAAATACACTCAAGTCAAGGGTGCTGTAAAATCAGCGCTTGCTGTGTTACACAATTCACCACAATATTTTTTTCGATATAGGAAAATACCATAACTGATAAGATAAATATTATGATAGCAAGTTTTTCTCCCCCTCCTCTCCTTTCCTGTGGGTAATTACCAATGTCTGCAATTGACAACAGTTGATCAAATCAAAATATGAAAACTAATAATGAGCCAGATTCTCCCACCACATTCCACCCGTTGAAGTCAGTGAAAGTTCTGTGCACACAGGGAGACACATGGCGAGCTAATCTGGCCCAGTATTTACACAGCACTTTCAATTTGACGATCTTAAAATGTTGAACAAATATTCACTTTTATAGGCCATCCTAGGAGATAGAATCATCATTTATACATCTAACTAAATTGGGTCTAAAAGTTTGAGCTAAAGACTTCATGCCACCTAAAATAGTAGTATTTTAAAAGTGTGTTTCCTTCTTTCCATACATGCATGTGTCAGAATTCACAAGATCTGAACCTTCTGTTCTAAATTAAATTAGAGTATTCTTCATGGCTTCACTGAGCTTAGCCTTTCAATTATCATCTTCTTCCCAGCCACCCATCGGATCTCAGATAAGAAAGTTAATACCTCTTACTTATGTTAACCCAAATTAAACAAATTCACTCACTTAGACACATATTCATGTACCATGCATCAGAACTGCATAATTTATTCATGATTTTAAATTTATTAAAATTTTCAGATGAACAGTGTACAAAATGTGTTAATTGAATCTCATTCTCAATTAACCACAAGTGGATTATCCAATTGATAGGTCACTCAGACATCCTGGGCCTCTCCTCTATCCCTCAACTGCTAATTTGCAGATGATTCTCCCCATCACTCTGCAGCTGGCCCTTGTGTCATTAAAAGCAAAGCAGGCTGGGGAGGGAGGAACGGGGAGAGCTGTTTGGCCTCAGTCACTTGGTTAATTAGAGAAAGAGATAATGCTGCCAATTTGTCCACTAGTTCAACAAATATGTATGCAAGTCCTCACATTCACAAGGGGAACCTCAAGATATATTTGTAGACAGAGTCTCTCTACCGTAGAGAAATAGAAAAAGGAAAAGATGAGATTTTTTCCAATTGTCACAGGTGGTACACAAATCTAATTCTGCACATGGATACTGGAAAGGCTATTCCAGTTCTTCTCTTCACCATTGTTTCCTCCATATCTTGGTGATTTTCACATCCCCAGGTTCCCAGTAATGGCCACGTTTGAGGCAACCTCTCAGGTACTGATGTATGTGACCTACAGCAGACTGAAGGTTGTGTTAGGTCCTGAGGGCTTGTGGGAATGCCAAAGATGTAAGCGTCTCTGGCCTCTAAATGATTTGTTAAATCCCTGGAAAGAACCTAAGAAAACAGAGGACTAATAATGCATTGTATGCTTCTGTTAATGCTAAAATTCAGTTTTCATTATAGAGTGGTTCTGAAGGTGTCTGCTGTGAGAGGCAGAAATGTAGGTGACAAGAACAGTGTCCTGGAGGTTAAGGAGACTCAGGTCTAGTCTGAGATTTGCTTCAAATTACCTCAGCTCACTGACTTCAGTTTCCTCTTCTATAAAATGAGGATAATTAGAGGGTCCACACCACAGAGTTGATGTGGAGGTTAGATGCTTTGAACCATTACAAATGCTTAGAATAGCACCTAGGCCTGGGTCATTCCTTGATATATGTTAGCCATGAGTACTTATTATTATTATTACTATTAACTAGCCATGGGCCAATCATCTAGTCAAAATGGACCTCTGATTCTTCCATATTATGAGGGACTGGGTTATGTTATGTTACACTGAATTTTAAGTTTTCTTAAAAACTACCCAGAGGCAACCTTGGAGGAGAAAAGGAAGGTGAAAAAGTAGAATGATGGCTAGGGTACCAGCACCTCAAGTTTTTTTTTTTTTTTTTTAGACAGAGTCTCGCTCTGTCACCCAGGCTGGAATACAATGGCCCAGTCTCGGCTCACTGCAAGCTCCCCCTCCCGGGTTCACGTCATTCTCCTGCCTCAGCCTCCCGAGTAGCTGGGACTACAGGCGTCTGCCACCACGCCCGGCTAATTTTTTGTATTTTTAGTAGAGACAGGGTTTCACCATGTTAGCCAGGATGGTCTCGATCTCCTGACCTCATGATCCGCCTGCCTCAGCCTCCCAAAGTGCTGGGATTACAGGCGTGAGCCACCGTGCCCGGCCCACCAGCACCTCAACTATATTCAACTTAAACTGTAGTAGCCCTTCCTTTATATATTTTACACATTTGGAACCAATCTTATTTCATTTAAATACACATTTGGGAAGAACAATTATGCTGATTTTAAAAAAGTTTGAAAAACACTGAGCCAGATATTCCCAAGGTCTTTTTGAGTTCTGATGCATGTATTACTTCACTTTTACAGACACAAGATGTTAGTAACATAAAAATATGCTTTATATAACTAAAAGGACCAATCATGCCCTTTCCTCCCAAAATTCAGGCACAAGATGTCTTTATCTCTTCATCTAATTAAACCTTTTTAACAGCAGTTTCAAAGGCTTTATTTGGTCCATTACGTTTTGTTATTTTTTTTCTAAAGGCTTGGATATTAAGATATATTTGATTTATCAAAGGTCTGATTTTTTATTCCCAGACTGAGATATTATAATATGAAAGTACAGGTGAATTGGGGATAAAGAATGAAGACAGGATTAAGAAAAGTAATGAAGATTGTTTAATATGAAAATGGGAAATAGTAATTCCATGATGAAAAAATAGCCTTGTAAATGAGGGAGGAGTTTAGGAAAATATTTCTTCCTTTTTATAGATTGAAATTGCACTGTTTTAGAGAATTAGTGTATGCCTTGGAAAGGCATACCTCTATGTCCATATCAATATTTACCTGCAGGATAATGAGGAGAATAAAAAGGCAAGTTTATAACTCACGATCTGACTTGAATGAATAACTCAGACTTTGCTAAATGTACGACCAGGAAAGCAGGGAAGGAGATGTGACTCCTAGGTACTTTGTGGGAACAGTTTAGGACTTCCAGAAGATAAAACTGCAAATGTGTGGATTTAAAAGGCTCTCAACTCTTTGACCCTCCTTTCATCTAGTGATGGGGTCTAAGCAAAGACTTGGCTCTGGAATACCTCTATGATTTACATAACTAGCAGGTTATGGCAGAAGTGATGGCACACAGGTTTCTGAGTCCAGATCTTAAGAGCTAGCAGCTTCTTATTCCTGTCCCCTAGAACACTAGTTCTGGGGAAAGAAGCTGACTTCCCTGAGACTGTTGTGCTATGAAGAAAGCCCAGGGAAGCCATGTGGACAGGTCCTGGAAAATGAGATGCATCTGGAGAGAGAGAGAAAATAAAGATTACAGATGTTGAGTGAAGAACTCAGCTTGGAAGTGAGGTCTCCATCCTCAGCTGATGCTGCATGGATCAGAGACAAACCTCCCAGTTGAGTCCTTCCTAAATTCCTGACCTGCAAAATTGTGAACAAAGTAAATATTATTTTAAGTCACTACATTTTGGGGTAGTTTGATACACAGTAATAGATATCCTGAATAGCACAGATTAGGAGGGAATTTCAGAAAGGTCTAAATGTGAAGAAAGAGGATCAAGGTTAGAAACTGAGTATATCCTGTGGAGATTTAATTTTTTAGTTTTCTTTTCTCTGAATTATGGGGAAAAGTTATACTGAACATATTTCTATCAGTTTTGTTTTCTAAGTAGAAATTTTTCTGATTATCCCAACTTTTAGTAATTGCCAATAAGCTAAGTACATGCAGCCTGGAGAGGGGCAGGTGGTGGTATTGTAGAAAATAAAGGGAGCAGGTCTATACAGAGAGGAGGATTTGGCCCCACACTTGCTCCTCTGCTGAGGCCAATTTTTTTTTTTTTAATATATTTTAAGTTCTAGGGTACATGTGCACAATGTGCAGGTTTGTTACATATGTATACATGTGCCATGTTGGTGTGCTGCACCCATTAACTCATCATTTACATTAGGTATATCTCCTAATGCTATCCGTCCCCCCTCCCCCAACCCCACATCCTGGTGTGTGGTGTTCCCCACCCTGTGTCCAAGTGTTCTCATTGTTCAATTCCCACCTGTGAGTGAGAACAGTGTGGCGATTCCTCAAGGATCTAGATCTAGAAATACCATTTGACCCAGCCATCCTATTACTGGGTATATACCCAAAGGATTATAAATCATGCTGCTATAAAGACACATGCACATGTATGTTTACTGCGTCACCATTCACAATAGCAAAGACTTGGAACCAACCCAAATGCCCATCAGTGATAGACTGGATTAAGAAAATGTGGCACATATACACCATAGAATACATCATGTCCTTTGTAGGGACATGGATGAAGCTGGAAACCATCATTCTGAGCAAACTATGGCAAGGACATGGCCAATTCTTAAGACCCAGTTTTCCACAGAGGGAACTGTGCCCAGATGTTTTGGGTGATTAACCTGCTGGTCCAACCCAGACCTGGAGTAGCATGCAGAAGCACATGATGTTGAGGATAAATTCCCTCATGAACAAGTTAGCTGTGCATGTCCAGTAGATCTCTTCTTTCTCAAATATACTTAAGTGGGCCATAAGGGGAAGCAAACTGACATTTAGGTTATTTGAAGGTTTTTTTTTCCTGTTATGTACACATTTTAGTCCCTAAAAAGCCCAAAGTTTTTTACATGACTGTACTCATGCAATCCATCTTTGAATCACAAAGTGTAAGATATACCTTGCCTTTGGCCTTTCTGTGTGCTGCATGTGCTCCTTCAAGCAGCTGTGTGAGTCTCACAGTTAGCATGTGGTTTTCACTTCAGTGCTTCCATACTTTAAGTGCTATTATCTCCTCTTATGCCAACTCTTCAACTAACTACTCTAATGGCGATCACTTCTTTTAAGATATCTCAGGCAAGGAATATGACTTTCCTACTAATTATTTCATTTAGTTACTCAATAAAAACGTATTGAGTTTTATTAAGCTCAGAATCATGTCTAGGATGCTGGGGCTGCAAACATAAATAAGTCATACTCCTTGTTCTTAAACATCTTAGTCTTCTTGTAGAGGTTGTGAGAAAAATACATGAATAATTAAAATAGAAGGCATAAAAGAGATTAAAAGGCAGGATATTAAAAAGAGAAACAGATTCCTTCCAAAAAGGACAAAAGTAACATTTACTGAGTATCCCCTATGAAGCACATATTTTAAATATATTATCTAATTTATAATCTGCCTCCACTCTAAAAAGTAGGTAGCATGTTTTCTTTATTTTACATAAAAACTTAGATTCAAAAATGTTGACCCACCCCCTTCCCACTCATAAAAAATAGTTAAGTCAATTAAGATCACAAGTAAATTAAAAACCTGTAACTATTCTGTCTTTGTCTGACATCAAAATCTCATACTCTTTCCATCAGCTGTCAAGCTTCCATAATGCTGTAATTTTAAAACCATAAACACTTTCTCAAAAACCATCTCATTTGACTTTCATAAAAACACTGTGAAGAAGGATGGCCTTCTCATTCTACTTTTCAGAAAGAAAAACAAACACTGGAGAGATAAAGGGACTTTTAAGTAATGACTAAAATGCAAACCCTATCCTGATTTAATGACTCCAACATGGCTTTTCTTTCCACTCTACCATGCTGTCTTTTCCAGATTGGGACATTATCAAAATGTCATGGCAAAGAATGCATCTACTTCTGGGCCTTGAGGAATGAACAAGGTTTGGACAGGTGACTACTGGGGCATGAGAAGATATTAGAGTCCGAGAACTTGCAAGCAGAGGAAACAATGAGTGGTTATCAACAACAATGTAGCTCAGTTGCTGTCCAAGATAAGTTGCTGCACTGAATCTACCGCAATCAGGCCCCAAAACACTATGGCATGGGCAATATGCCCAGATGGACTATTTTTTTGTAACAATGTCTATCATACAAATATTCCCAGACAACATAACCTGGAAATTCACATGGAGTTACATTTTTTGTAATTCCCAAGTTTACTGATTTCTTTCCCCACAAGTTGAGCTCCCTCCTTCAAAGTCTTCCCATCAAATATTCCCCTGAATACACAGGAGTTGTACAACATATGCTCACAAACAATGAAATTTATGCTGAGCATTCATTCTACTCTATCAGGTCTCACAGTCTCTGTGTATTGATAATTCCCCAATTCCAGACAGCTAAGTCTTTCTTTGCAAATCAATTTCAGTCCAGAGATCTCTTTATTTTCAGAATGAGTTTTCTGGAGAAGCTATTCAGAGGTCATCCAAATAGACTTCTAGTGGTCATTCTTGCCATTTAATTCAATAAATATACATCAATCATCGATTGTCAATAATGTATCAGGTAGTTATTCATGAAACTTAGCCATAAATGTTTATTATCATCTCAAATCAAGTATAGGGCCCTCCTTCTTACATTATGTTGTATTTCTTTTACTTTGTGGAAAAATTTGGGATAGTAGATATTCAATATTCCTGAAATATTTTCTATCATGTCCTCCAAATCACATGTACTGATATAAGCCACTAATAGAAAACATTTAAAGTACAACCAGTGGCATAGTATGTGGGATGAGTCAAAGTGGATGAAGTTCAGGTTTTGAGTCTGAAGACAGGGCTTTCTTTGAATCTAGGCACTGCTGTTTGGAAACTATGCAGCTTTAGACAAGTTTTTTTTTTTTTTTTAACTATCTTGAATCTTGGCAACTACATTTAAAATGTGAATAATCATAATATTGCCTGTTGTGACTAACCAATAACATTACTGTATTAAGTGTAATAGTGAGTTTCTTATGCCTGTACCCACTATGTGTCAGGCTCTTGCGAAGCCCTTTACATGCATTACTGATCATCCTCATTTGCACCCTGCAAGGGAGGTATTTTTAACTATGGAGGATTATTCTTTGCTCAAGAGCATACAACTGGTACATGGCAGAGACAATATTTAAGCCAGATTTGTTTGACATTAAAGCCATGTTCGTTTTAGTATACATTGCTGCTTCTATATAAATATTGTTTTGCTTGGTATTGGTGTTTGTTTTTTAGACCCATAGCCCTTAAAAGAAGTATCTGGGTCTTTATGCTCAGGACCTACATCACGTAGAAGCACAAAGCCTGTCCTCCTCACAAAAAAAGTTTCAATAAATATCTGTTGGATGTATAAATGAATAATGAAAAATAAATTGTTTCTACTCTATTCTGAACCCTAGGCTAGATAAAGAATATAACATCATCAGCATCTTCGAATATGAAAAGGACACTTTCAACATAAACAAATGTATTAAAGTAACCATAGAAACACTTTTAAAAACATAGCAACTCTGACACTCTGTCAACAGCAGCCAATTTCATTAATCAAAAGTGGAGGGGGGAAAGTTTTTACATTATTCTGCCTCAAAACCAAAATTGATTTAATACCTTTTGAAAATTTTTAAGCTATTTCAAAACCTCAGGTAAAAAAAAAACATTGGTATTTTAAATGAAAGTAAGAAATAATGTCTATGTTCATGCAAAGTGTCAAGGCTGTGATTTTCCCATAGTTTTACATTCCTCTGAGTAAAATGCTATCTACATCTCACAACTGGTGGATGTAAAAATTGTGAAACAAAATTGGGCGTAATCCATCAGACTCACACCCCATGCCAACTTTAACCACTCAGTCTCTAGAGCACAGAAACTAGGTAAAGATTTACAGGAAAATACTTAAATCAAAAGTGACTGCTATTGATGCGTATCTCCTAGAGGAATTAGTTCTTTCCCCTTTGATTTAGGTCCCCATGCAGCACTGGGCATTTGTATTTATCTTCTCTCTCCAGCAAACCAAAGCAAAGGTGAGTGTTTTTGAGTAACTGCTATATATAAGCATAGAATGAGGTACTTCCTTCAATCATCACAAGAACCATAAGAGACAGATGATATATCTCTATTTTAAAGATAAGAACATCAAAGGTTGGAGAGGTTAAGTAACCTGAGCAAGGTCATACAATTGATGAGTAGTGAGACTAGGATTTCAACTCAGTTTGACTGATTCCAAAACTACAGCTGATCCCCCAGAAGGACAAAGGATGGCTTAGCAGAACTAGAGGTTTTTAAAGTATCAAATTAAAAGTCAAACCTAACATGAACTGAAAGAAAACAGTTGTTTAAATATTGTTTTAGGATAAGGGACTTAAAGGGGAGAGGGAGAAGCAAATGGGTAGAGGAGGGAGAGGAGGAAAGGGGAAGAGGTAGGGTAAAAGAGAAGGAGTGAGAACAGATTATTCATGAAATAGGTACACTGATTTCTGGCATTCTATATGAATCTTTTGTTTTGGTGGAGGAGAGGGGATAAAGGTGCTCTAAAATGCCTAAGTGCAATGAGTTTAACTGCATTTCTTGCTCTATATACTCTCTGCAGTAACATGATGATCTTTCAGACTTCTGAAGTTGGAGCTATTTCTAGTGGCATTTGACCTGCTGTAACTTTGTTGTCTGCACAACAGGCAGGAGAAACACTGGGAAAGAGACTCCACTCACAGTTGAGGGCTGAACTCAGCCCCAAGTGGTGCATTTAGAGATATTATTCATACCCAAATATACATTGGCCTCACTCTTAGCTACTCAGCTTACTCCTTTCTTTCCTTTTTGCCACAAATCAATTTTTAGACTTCATATTTTGATGCTTTTCCTAGCTACGTGATTGGTTTTTCTTAATAGGAATTATAGATTTTTATTATCTAAATGCAGTTTGCCATTTTAAGACACTTGTTTCCTTTTCCTGCCTCTGTTCCAAGAAACTTCTACCCTAGTATCACATGTTTGGGCAACTATCTGACTTTGTTCACATCAGACACATGATCAAGGAACGTACAATAAGTCAATGACTTAGATCAACAGTTTTCAAACCTCACTACACAATCACATGGAGAGATTTCAGAAAATATTGATACCTAGCCCCCATGCTGGACCAATTAAACCAAAATCTCCAAAGGTGGTGCTCAGGCAGAAATACAGTTCAGATCTTTTAACTATAGGACAATGTTTCTACTCTGATGACTATCTTGAAAAGCTCCATAAGCCTGGAGTCACAGAGAAACTTCTTCCATCCAGTGAGCCCAAGTTCTGATTTGAATTATATTTCTGCATCAGGCTATTTCTCTGGCAGGCCAACACAATGAATATCAAGTTCAGTCAATAACATGGAAACTTTATGTGGTTGTTGTGTATCATTCAAAGCAACGCTGCAGTTTACTAACTGACATTTTCTTATGTCAGTGGGTGATTTGTGGCCCATTGACAGAGATGTATTATGACTGAGCCACCTGGTTTTACTACCTGTTGGGAGGACTAACAGCATTTGGGGGTCACCTGTCATCTGCAAAAATAAGTGATGTGAGTCCCAAATTCTACCTTTTTTCCCTACAACTCCTCAGACCTGGGTTGCAAACTCAGATATCCACAGGAGTCAGGTAGGTAATATAAGTGATAAAAGGAGTTTTAGGTGGGGGCCCAGCTAGTTCATGGGGGCAGATGCTATTTAGCTCTGACCATTTGTTTTCATGAGGCAACGTGGGTTTTTGTTGCCTTTGGCTTTGTTTTACTATTTTCTGCATAGTTATATATTCAAGTCCCAGATTCTTTAATAGCAACTTCAGGTAACCACATTACCTATTAAAAAATCTGAATTCCAAAATCTAGAATTCCAAGCCCTCCACCAAATGACTCTCTCATATTCTCCAACCTCACTTATTTTTACTCTTCAGTATAGAGTTCTGGCTTTTTCAAATACACCTTTCTGATACTGCACATAACTTGTTGATTCCCACCTCATCATTTGTGTTAGTCTTCCCAGTTGAAATAAGCTCTCTATTCTCCTCTATTCCACTCATCCAGTCCTTCACCTCTTCCTTTACTTTTGTCTTGTGTCATTATTTCTCCAACTACTCAACTTCTCTTGTCACTTTCCCCCAAGACCTTCCAAATATTCTTGTTTCTTTTGCTCTCTTCAGAAATAACAAGCCACCATCTAAAACTACCAAATAATCACCTCTGCCCTCTGACTTTATAAGAAGCATTATTAACATTATTGTATAAAAAGAAGTTGCTTGAATAAGCACGATAAAGCTCCATTTACAACTTGCCTTTATTCAGTAATGCCACAAGTTCAGTGAAGCCACAAATTCAGTCACATCCTTCATGTATGTGTGATCTATGCTACATTTTATGTGATGTGAAGGTGAGCTAGGATGCATTTATTCCCTCATCCGTAAACAATAGCGACTCAGCAAAAGTATATTTTCTCTCTGCACCGACATATTGCTCGGTAATATTAGTTAATTTAATCAAATTACAAATTAAAAAGCCATAAACCTAAAGTATCACAGAGGTGCTAAAACACTGTTTTCCTGTTTCTTGTACCTTGAAACTCTAGGAATATCATCCCACAACAGGGCTTGTAGAAAAGACCTTAAGAAAAAAAATTTGCAAAATAGCACTCAAGCACAATTAAAATCATCAAGTGATGACATTTAGATCTCCCTATTCTTCAAATCATAAGTCATCATCAGAATTGTGACAAATATTTTGTCTAGCTACTCACTAAAGAAATACAGCCACTCAGGCTAGATGCTAAATCAAATAAAATTTAAAATCCTCTGAAATCAATTTCAGAGTAAATGTAAATGGAAAACCCATAAGTTACATTGATTAATTTAAGTACATCCAATTTTTATAGGAAATTTTTGCTTATAAAATAAGAGACTCTGGTTCAAAAGAAATAATTTTTATCTTAAAGTCATAAATTGACATCATAGCATTAAATTGTTTTTATAAGGAATGAAATTCTAAAAATTGAATTATCTTTTTGAGTATAACTTTATATTACTATAAATCTGTATTTGGGCGACATACAGAATAAATATGGAAATTTTCTTTTTGCCTTAAGGAAACTATTCTTGAAGCTCATTAAATGTTTCTTTTTATTTGTTTATTTTCTGTTTATATTTTTAAAACTCTCACATTTCCAACCAAATTCTGTCCCAGCTTTGAAGCAAGAGTCCTGTACTTTACTAAGGCATTTTTTCTGCTAAACAAGAAACAAAATGTGTTCAATGAAATAAAGACACAAGTGTGCTTTATAATATATTAAGGACTCTGCAGATTTCCTGATTATTTGTCAAAAAAAATTGCTCCTATTTTTCAGAGCTGTAGATTAAGATATGTAAGCAATTATAATTTTTTTAAGATCTCAAAAGACTGTGTATGGTGCAGTAAGAGAAGTATTTTCTTCTGAGAGAGGGAAAGCATTATGAACCCAGAATTTTGAAACAAGTAATTGGAGGAAGTGAATTTATTTGTTTTGCAACAGGACTTGTAAGCATGTCTGGTATATAAAGTTTGTATGTAAATAAAACTTTTATGCTTCAGATTACTTTGGAGGTTTCTAAGTAGATGTGTTTCAGTGATACTCTGAATGCAGCAACCTAAGCACTCTGGGGTAAACAGGGAGGAAGGGGCCTGTAGAAGAGTAAAAAGAAGGGTTTGGGGTATTGCTAAGTAAAGTCAGTGCAACACCACAGAATGGATTGCAGCTGGGGATTCTGAGTGTCACATTATAAGTAATATGGGGAGAAAAAGATATCCAGGCCAGGCGCGGTGCGGCTCACGCCTGAAATCCCAGAACTTCGGGAGGCCAAGGCGGGTGGATCACAAGGTCAGGAGATCGACACCATCCTGGCCAACGTGGTGAAAACCCGTCTCTACTAAAACAAAAAATTAGCTTGGCATGATGGCACATGCCTGTAGTCCCAGCTACTCAGGAGGCTGAGGCAGCACAATTGCTTGAACCCAGGAGGCGGAGGTTGCAGTGAGCCGAACTCATGCCACTGCACTCCAGTCCGGTGACAGAGCAAGACTCCGTCACACACACACACACACAAAAATCTTACTTCAACACCAGTTTACACACCTGGGTGCAATGAAGAGATTATAGAGCAGTGTTTCTCAAAGGTTGGCCCTTCCACTATCTGACTCAGAATCACCTGTGCCACTTGTTACGTAGGACATCTAGGGTCCCACCCCAGACCTGACCTATGAAATCAGAATTGCTATGCTCAGGACCTAGGAATCAGCATTTTTAAATCTCCCCTGGGGATTTCTAGGTACCCCAAACTCTGAAAAGTACTACAGAAAACCCATTAGGATAAAATCACAACCTTTGGCACTTGGGAAACCAGGTTTGAATTGCAGCTCTCTGAGATGAACAGGAACAATAACAGTGCTCGCTTCACAAGACCATTGTTGAGGATTAACTTAATGAGACAGTATATGAGGCGTGAAGAGTAGGTTCTCCATCAATGGTACTATTAATATTCCATATCAGGGTCCTTAATACAAATGCACACTCACAAATGGGCAGCCCCTGCTGCATAAGGGAGATGAGAACCAGAATTCTGAGGAATGCTTTGAGGCACCAAAGTTTTCTGTCTGCTGCTGCAGGTATTGAAACATCTTTAGAGCAGCACAACTTAATTTTCTCTTTGCAAAGCAAAGTTCAATTTGACATGAATCAGGGCACTAATGCATTTACATATACACCAAAAGTGATGGACTTTTGTGCTTCTGTGAATTAGGAATCAAGACTCATTTACATAATGTTTAGAAAGCTCACAAACTTTGTATTTTGTCTAAAATAATTGTGATTCTCCAAGGTTTTCCCAACTGTGCCAATTTGGCTGGGGCTGCTTGCTTGGATTGCCAGCCTGCATCCAGATTTCTCAGTCTAATCTTTGGCAAGATACTACTAACTCCAGTTTCAGGACCAAGTGACTGGCAGCAGCCCAAGAGCCTAAGTGTGCACTCCTGCCAAATTAACACCGGCCAGGAAAAGCCTTCAAGAGTGTGAAACAAAAGAGATTCCTTGCCCTCAATACAGAACTCAGCTGAGCAGGCCACCCTGCAGCTGGTCAAAGGGGCATCCTCACTCCTGAAGTTCAGGGGAGTCCACAGCTAAAGATGCCATTAGAGGCACCATGGAGGCAGAGTGGAAAACTTTTCATCCTGCCCCGTAATTCAGATATAAAAAGGGGGGAAGGAAGGACCTGTGTCAAATTGGTTTGTGTCATATAAAATAACATCCCAGTGATGGGTAAGTATTTTATCTGTCTTGGTCATATATTCAGGGATTATGTAGACAGCAAGAAGGTGAAGTGTGAGCTCTTAATTATCTGAATATTTGATCAATACTTACAGTCCAGCTAACCAGTTCACTTTATGTCCTAAATTATCTTTCTATGCAGCCTACCTTGATCAATAGACCATAAAATTGCCAAACGCGCATTTCACTTTATAATCTATGCTAATAAATATAACCTGCTAATAAATATAGCAGTGGTGGCATAGCCAGTAAACTTCACAATTCTGAACATATTTATTTTATACTGCCACTTTTAAGCATCAGAATACTAAAGATATAGTCGTTTAGTCATAGGAGTTATATATATTAGGGAATCATCTTGGTCCAGCTACTCACAATACACTTGGGAAAAGTGAAATCCAGAACAAGCATCACCAAACCTGGAACTCAGCTTTAATTAGAATACATAAATTATTCTTTGTTCTTTTTCAAGTCTATGAGCTATTTAATCATAAATAGGAAGAAATGATATTTCTTCCCGTTTTATCATAATTCAAGTAATTTGGCAATTTATTAACAGCTTCTCTCCAAAGATTTTGTTCCAGGACTATTTTCAACATTTGTCCTGAAAGTTAACATTCAATCTGTTAGCTCCAATTGTCTCAGATTTGACAAATTAGGTTATCTTGTTACAGGCTTAATAACATTTTCTCCTGCATCTATTCTAAGACCCCTGATAATGCAGAAAAATGTCTTCTGAAACTCAAAAAGGAAATGAAGTCAGTATAAGTAAATTGTATTCATGTGTATAGTCAATTAAATACACAAAGTATGTGCAAGTATTAGAGGGTAGATGTGCATATTAGTAAATGCATGCAGGTTAATTAAAAGAGCACAACTGTAAAAGTTATCAATGTTTGGTTCATATCTTTCGGATTTAGGGCATAAGATACCCTTTTCCCTATGTAATCAGAAAAGCAAATTGTGTCAAGCCAAAAGACCATGCTGTTGAAAACACCTGAAGCTAATTATCCTAGGGGGCACCAACAGAACTAGTTGAAAAATGCAAATTTTAGTCAATTTTTGTGTTTTCCAAAATGCCAAGTAACTACCTGGACTCATTTTAGCACAGACTTGGCCAAATAATGTTATTTGTTGAACATCTAAAGTGCCAAGGTAACCAAGTCACCCAGTTGCTTTGACATCATCTTAACTCAAACACAATATGCATATTTTCAATCAATTTACTTTGGATTCATTTTTATATATGAAACATGGTCAGTGTTCCATGAACACATTTTCAGAGGAAAGATTGCTATAAATATGATGTGATAATGACTGGAATGTTTCAGGGAAGGACAGGAGGAGAAAAGAAGGCAAGTGCAAACTCTCATAAAATTTAAAATAAACTGTGAACTAAGACTTGGCATTTCATCATTTTTAAACCAAAATCTAATTAGTAAGTTCTGTCCTTTAAAAGAATGTTGCAAGCTTTTCCTTAAATAAATATTCAATTCAAGCTTTGAAAGAGTAATGCTTAAGACTTTTGCTATAACAATAAATTCAGCTTTCAAAATTTGAAACAAAAACAATATGGGGGTAAGAACAACATAGATAGGTAAATAGATAGAAAATAGATTTGTAAATAGATAGGTAAATAGATTTGAAAAGTCTCAATTAAAAATATAGGCTTTGATTTTGGATCTCTATTAGTTGTTTATAATTTAATCCTCCCTTAATGTGGATTTTAGACTTATAATAGAAAACTATCAATATAAAAAGAAATTTTTCCGTTATAAAGAAGAAAAAATATCAACCCCTTAAAACAATTTCCATGCTTAAGCTTTAAATTTTAGTTTTGAGTCTTGAGTTTCCTGGAAGCAAAGAAAAAAAAATGACAAAAAAACTACATACTTCTATTTATCATAGAAAACATTACTTCTTAAAGAGATATAGCTTTTTTCTCAAACCAAATTAAGGTAAAATCAAAAGGCAATAGATAAAATTTTGATGATTATTTTACAAAGAATTAAGAAACAAATATTCTTTACATTACCTCTTCTTATATTGAGGCTGAATAAAACAGAGGACATAACAATTAAACCTAACTCATGGTTTTATGTCCATATACTATACTAAGTGAATGCAAGACTTAGGTGTTGGGGATATATATGTTCAAAGTCTGAACATATATATGAACATAATATGAAACAAATCATATTAAGCATCAAACCTTTTGCCTAATAGAAAATTAAAAATTTTATATAAACTTGCTGGTAAAAGCGCAATGAAGAATAAAACTTAGAATATATCAAAAGGCACATGAGCAGGTTACTTTGCCTCTTCTTGCATGTCATTTCTCTCAGAAGCATAAAATTTTCAGTTCACTTTAAACCTTGGAAATGCCTAGAGAGTCAACATTCTATTTGGCTAGTTGATATCAAAATATTTGAGCCTTTGTTTGTCTAATAAACATGTAAGTCTAGAGATTCTGGGTTGAGTACAGGGCAACACACACTTCAGGCTTTTAATCTGTAAAAAGAATTCTCTTGAAAGTCCAGCTCAGTTTTCTGAATTATGTCAAAGCTGCACCTAATAATACATTGATCCCTTAGTTCTGTTTCATGATCTTCCTTGGGGAACCCTCATAGGATAGTAAGGGGTCTTGTCCAAGTGTTCAAGTTAGACTTTTGGTATTTCTAACATCATCCAAATTCCTGGGAATGGAGATCAGGACAGAAACTCAATTCTGTGAACATGGTTCCCCATGTTCACAGAAAAGTGAACCCTTCTGGTTGATATGAAAGGCTTGAAGTTAATGTAGGTGTGAGACAATATGTTTTATTAATTCCAGAGTCAATAAATTATTAGCCATTGACAGTGTAAGAGTAAACTAGGCATAGGCCTTCTATACAGAAAAAGTACTCTCCATTTCCAAAAAATATAAAACCCAATAGAGAAAGCTAGATAGTAAAACAGTCTCATATGTAGTCTACAGATGAACAGCTTAGAGAAAGCAAGGTATAGTGAAAAGGATTTGAACTATAGAGAAAAAGGAAACTATATTCTCAACCCAATTTAGCTGTTTTCTAGGATTCAGCTCAAGTTAGGTGAACTCACTGGATCTCAGATTTCGTTGTGTATCTTTCAGTTTGTAGCAAAAATTAAAGATGGTAAACGTAAAACACCTAGCACAATTCAGACACATAGAAGACACTCAATATTATTAAAGATGCTAAAGTATGCAGAAACTAATCATTTTTGTCAAGAACTGGTAAATATTTCGGACAATTTAAATAAGACAAAATAGTAGCAGTTAAGCTAAATGTCATAGGTTTTCCACTCGAAACAAGATACTTTCAGCAGAATGTGACTGCTGTTTCCCTTGGTTTCTTCACAACTCAGGGGATGTCTAGTGAAATAAAGTATATAGACTCCAGGACCAAGAATCACGAGTCCAAATCTTGGATTTTAGAGTTAAATATGGTAAACAAAATAAGTGGAACCAGGTAGATTCATCTTCAGATGTGAGAAATCACTTTAACTTTTTCTAAATGAAACAGGACAATATAGATAATAATATTTAAATCATCAATAAAGTTTTTCTTAAATTGTTGTGGGGTATTTTTTCCTACTAGAACCACAGGCTTTGCAAAAATATATTCTAAGAAACTCACTGGATAAACCCATTAGTGTTTCTGCATTTCTGTGTTTGATATAACTTGCTAGGTAAAGGCAAACAAGAAGCTAGAGCCATGCTATCTTACAAAGCCATCATCTATTAAATATATCCCTTTGAAGGAAAAGACTTTTTTAATGAAGAAGAGAGTAGTCCTACATTGGGAAGTCCTATGACATTAAATGGGGCAATTAAATGGGGGTAAATAATGGGAAAATTGAGTTATAAAAAAGTATTTCTATAAATTCCTATTCTTGGGATCAGCTCCATTTATGTAAGGGAAATACATAGAAAATATTTTTAACTCAAATATTTTAGTCTGACTAAGAGTAATCAGAGAATAATATTCTCACTAAATATGGGAATTGACTTACAGATGAAGAAAGACATTTAAAAGAACTACTAATTCTCTGAAAGGATTTTTTAAATTTTATGCAAGTGTTTCCCCAGTGCTATATTGTGCAATACTAGTCATTCAATAACCTTCATTTAAAAGAAAGTACTAAGGCCATATAAAGTTGGAAACAGAAAAATCACTTTCCCTCTCTTACAGAGTCATAATGTACATTAACATATTGAGAGTTTTGAGAAGTCCTGAAGATAAAGTACCCCATTCAATGTCATAGGACCTCCCCAAGTATGACCACACAATCCATTCCTAAGTAATTTCAGCAGAAATAGTTTTTCATTGGAGCATATTTAGGGAAAGACTGCTCTAAGGTGAGAGAAGAATGTAACATGCAGAAGGAGACTTATAGCCTATGAATTGTTATCAGATATTATCAGATAGCTGTTCAAATATACAATATATGCCTATAAACTATGTAATTGTAATAGCAAATATAATAGGCCGAGCACGGTGGCTCATGCCTGTAATCCAAGCACTTTGGGAGGCTGAGGCGGGTGGATCACGAGGTCAGGAGATCGAGACTATCCTGGCCAACATGGTGAAACCTGGCCTCTACTAAAATACAAAAACATTAGCTGGCAGTGGTGGCGCACACTTATAGTCCCAGCTACTCAGGAGTCTGAGGCAGGAGAATCACTTGAACCTGGGAGGTGGAGGTTGCAGTGAGCTGAGACTGTGCCACTGCACTCCAGCCTGGGTGACAGAGCGAGACTCAGTCCCCCTCTCCTCCCCCCGCCACCCCCAAAAAAGTCAGGGATTAGGAAAAAAAAAAGGTAGCAAATGCACTTTAGATGGCAGACTAACTTTCTTGATCATTTTTACCTCAACTGAATACAACATTTTTATGATTTTAACCCATACTATGGTTTGGATACGGTTTGTTTGACCCTGCCAAGTCTCATGTTGAAATTTGATCTCCAATCTTGGAGGTGGGGCCTGGTAGGAGGTGTTTGAGTTGTGGAGGTGGATCCTTCATGAATGCAGTAATAAGTGAGTTCTCACTCTATTAGTTCTTGCAAAAACTAACTGTTAAAAAGAGCCTGGCACCTCCCTCCCCTTCCTCTTGCTCCTGCACTCTTGCTATGTGATCTCTGCATGCCAGCTCCCCTTCTGCTTCCATTCAATTTCTGCCATGAGTAGAAATTTCCTGAGGCCCTCACCAGACCCAAATGCTGGCACCATGTTTCTCATGCAGCCTGCAGAACAGTAAGCCAAATAAACCTCTTTTATTTGTAAATTATCCAACCTCAGGTATTCCTCTATAGCAGCACAAGCAGACTAAAACAACTCATTATTCACACTAAGTAGCCAACTTCTCCCTCACTCATTGACAGTATCCTAGCTGTTAGTAAATCTATCTAAAGCTTATAATGCAAGATGTTTCCAAATATACATCCCATGAAACTTACTAATGCAACAGAGACACATAGAGATAAAAAAGGACATTAAAAATACAAATTGGAAAGGTACTAGTCTAGGATAGGAATTTTCAAAGGGTAGTCCCTGAAAATCTGTTAGAAATGCAAATTCTCAAGTCTCATCTCAGAGCTACTAAATCCCAGAAACTTGGGAGTAGAGCCTAACAATCTGTGTTTTAAGAAGTCTTGCAGGTGATCCTGATTCACATAAAAGTTTGATAATTCTTGTCTAAGAGCCAGAAGCTCTGTGTTCATGTCCTGTTTACTTTTTACAGATTTGTGACCTTGGACATATCACTTAATTTTTCTCAGTTTAGCCTCCTCATCTATAGGGCACTGGTAACATATTGCAACATTTATCATAAGTTTAATTAGGGACAAATAAGAAACTCAAACTTACAAATAGTATTGAGTTATAAAGAATCATCAAAAACATGAAAGATGGCTAATATTTACTTTTTTATTGATGTAAAAGATGCATATAAAATTTACCATCTTTACCATTTTAAGTGTACACTTCAGTAGCAATAAATACATTTATATTCTTTTGGTTCTTCCTTCATCTTCTCCCTCCCCACTCCAAAAAAGTGGATCTCATGAAAATAGAGTGTAGGTTGGTGGTCTCTGGTGTGTATTTTTTTTTTTTTGAGAAATGTCTATTTAGATCATTTGCCCACTTTTTAATGGGATTATTATTATTTTTTTTTACTGTTGAGTTATTTGAGTTCCCTACATATTCTTGTTATTAATCCTTTGTCAGATGAGTGGTTTACAAATATTTTCTTCCATTCTGGGTGTTGTCGCTTTGCTTTGCTGATTGTTTCCTTTGCTGTGCAGTAGCTTTTTAGCTTCATATAATCCCACTTGTCTATTTTTGCTTTTGTTGCCTGTACTCTTGGGGTCATACACACAAAAATCTTTGTTCAGACCACTGTCCTGGAGTGTTACTGCAATGGTTTCTTCTGGTGTTTTCATTGCTTCAGGTCTTAGATCTAAGTCTTTCATCCATTCTCACTTGATTCTTGTATATAGTGTGAAGAATATAGTTTCATTCTTCTTCATAAAGTTATCCAGTTTTCCCAGCACCAATTATGGAAAGGATTGTCCTTTCCCCCATGTATGTTCTTGGCACCTTTGTCAAAGATGAGTTTGCTGTAAACATGGGGGTTTATATCCGGATTCTCTATTCTGTTCCATTGTTTTATGTGTCTGTTTTTACACCAGTACCATGCTGTTTGGGTTACTGTAGCTTTGTAGTAAATTTTAAAGACAGGTAGTGTCATGCCTCTAGCTTTATTCTTTTTTCACTCAGGACTGCATGAGCTATTTGGAGTCTTTTATGGTTTCATATAAGTTTGAGAATTGTATTTTCTATTACTGTGAAGACTGTCATTGGTATTTTGATAGGAATTGCATTGAATCTGTAAATTACTTTGGGCAATATTGCCATTTTAATAATATTGATTCACTAATCCATGAGCATGGAATATCTTTCTATTTTATTGTGTCCTCTTCAATTTCTTTCATCTGAGTTTTATAGTTTGTATAGATCTTTGACTACTTTTGTCAGATTGATTCTTAGGTATTTTCTATTTTTTGTAGCTATTATAAATGAGATTGCTTTCTTGATTTCTTTTTCAGATTGTTTGCTGTTGGCAAATATAAATGTTACTAATTTTGTATTCTGCAACTTTACTCAATTTGTTCTAATTTGTTCAGTTCTAAGAGTTTTTTGGTGGAGCCTTTATGTTTTTCTAGGTATGAGATTATGTCATCTGTAAACAAGGCTAATTTGACTTCTTCCTTTTCAATTTGGATGCCCTTTTTATTTTCTTGCCTAATTAATTACCCTGTCCAGGACTTTCAGTGTTAAATAAAAGCAGTGTAAGTGGGCCATGCTTGTCTTGTTCCAGTCCTTAGAGGAAAGGCTTTCAATTTTTCCCTGTTCACTATGATGTTAGTTGTGGCTTTGTCACATATAGCATTTATTATTTTGAGGTATGCTACCTCTATATCCATTTTTTATTTCAACTTTTATTTAGATAGAGGAGGTATATGTGCAGGTTGGTTACCTGGGTCTATACCCATTTTGATAAGGGGTTTTATTAAAAAGTGATATTGAATTTTGTCAAATGCATTTTCAGTATCTATTGGAATAATGTTTATGTTCTTGAATCTGTTAATGTGGTGGATTCTGTTTATTGATTTGTTATATGTTGAACCATCTTTGAATTCCTGAATGAATTCCACTTGATCATGTGTATGATCTTTTTAATGTGTTGTTGAATTCAGCTTGCTAATATTGTGTTGAGGATTTTTGCATCTATGCTCATCAGAGATATTGGCTTGTAGTTTTCTTTTTTTATTGTTGTTGTGTTTTTGTCTGGTTTTGATATCAGAATAATGCTGGCCTCAGAGAATAAGTTTGCAAGTATTTCCTCCTCTTAAAATATTTTGAAGTGTTTGAGTAGGATTGATATTAATTCTTTAAAAGTTTGGCAGAATTCTACAGTGAAGCAATCAGGTCCTGGGCTTTTTTTGATGGGAGATTTTTTATTAAGCCTTTGATCTTGGTTGATTTTTTTGTTTTGTTGAGGATTTTTTTTCTTTTTTTCTTTTTTTTAATTTCGGCATGATTTAATCTTCGTGGGTTTTAGGTATTCCAGAATTTATCCATTTCCTCTATGTTTTCCAATTTATTGATGTACAGTTTTTGTAATTGTCTCTAATGATCCTTTGTATCTCTGAGGTCTCAGCTGTTATGCCTCCTTTGTCATATACGATTTTGTTTATTTGGGTCTTCTCTCTTTACTCTCAGTTAATCTAGCTAAAGCTTTATTTATTTTGTTTATCTTTTTAATAGAGTAACTTTCTGTTTCATTGATCCTCTGTATTTTTTTACTCTCAATTCTATTTATTTCTACTGTGATCTTTATTATTTCTTTCTTTCCACAAATTCTGAGTTTGTCTTGTTCTTAATCTTCTAGTTCCTTAAGGTAAATTGTTAGGTTGTTTACTTGAAGTCTTTCTACTTTTTTGATATAGACATTTATTGTTGTAAACTTCCCTCTTAGTACTGCTTTTGCCATATCCGATTGATTTTGATATGTTGTATTTTCATTTTCATTTGTTTCAAGAAATGTATTAATTTTCTTTTTGATTTGTACATTAACCTGTTGGGCATTCAAGGGCATGTGGTTTAATTTCCATATGTTTATGTATTTTTTTCAAGGTTACTATTGTTATTGATTTCTAGTTTTATTTTATTGTGGTTAGAAAAGATACTTGATATGATTTTTTAAAATTTTATTCAGACTTATTTTGTAGCCTAAGATATAGAACATTCTTCAGAATGTTTCATGTGCTGATGAAAAAAATGTGTATAAGACCAAATAGACCCACAGGCTCTAAACTACCAGACCTGCATTAAAAATTTCGGTTGGGGCGACCTCGGAGTATAACCCAACCTCTGAGCAACATATGTTGACTGTAGCAGTTGGTTGAAATATTCTGTAAATGTCACTTAGGACTATTTAATCTCGTGTGTAGTTTAACTCCACTGTTCCTTTGTTGATTTTCTGTCCAGGTTATCTGTCTATTACTAACAGTGGGGTGTTAAAGTCCCCAACTATTATTGTACTCCAGTCTATCCTCCCTTTAGATCTATTTATGTTTGCCTTATATACTTGGGAGCTCCAGTGTTGGGTGCATAGCTATTTATAATTGTTATATTCTCTTGCTGAATTGACTCTTCTATCATTATATACTGACCTTCTTTATCTCTTTTTACAATCTTAGATTTGTAATCTGTTTTGCCTGATATAAGTATAGCTACTCCTTTGGCTTCCAGTTGTATGCAATATCATTTTCAAAACCCCTTCACTTTTAGTTTATGTGTGTTTTTATAGGTGAAGTGGGTTTCTTGAAGTTTCTGTTTCTTTATTCATTTGGCCATTCTGTGATCTTTAATTAGCAAATTGAGACCATTTACATTCAGTGTTGTTTTTGATAGGTAAGGACACACTACAGCCATTTTGTTGCCTGTTTTCTGGTTGCTCTGAGACTCCTCTCTTCCTTTCTTACTGTATTCCTTTGTGGTTAAGTGATTTTCTCTCGTAGTATGTTTTAATTTGTTGCTTTTTATTTTTAGTGAATCTATTATAGGTTTTTGTGCTGTGGTTACCACGAAGCTTACAAAAAACATCTTATAGATATAACAAGTTATTCTAAAGAGATGACAACTTGGATCACAAAGAAAAGAATAGAAACAAAAGCAACAACAACAAAAAATGCACAGTTTAACTCCATCTCCCCCCACATTTCGATGTTGAGTTGTCTCAATATACATATTTTTATATTACCTATCTCTTAGTTGTTGTAGCTATTATTGTTTCTGATAGATTTGTCTTTTGGGCTTCATACCAGAGTTATAAGCAGATTGCAAACCACAGTTACAGTAATAGAGTATTCTGGCTTTATTCATATACTTAAGTTTACCATTGGGTTTCATACCTTGAAAAGTTTTCTTTTTGCATGTTAGTGGTTTCTTTTCTTTCAGATTGAAGAACTCTTTTTAGCATTTCTTGTAAGATGGGTCTAGTGGTGGTAAATTCTCTCAATTTTGTTTTTCTGGGAAAGACTTCATTTCTCCTTCATTTTTGAAGGATAATTTTGCTGGTTACAGTATTCTCAAATGGCAGTTTTTTTCCTTGAGTACTTTGAAAATGTCATTCCACTCCTTCCTGGACTGTACAGTTTCTGTTGAGAACTTTGTTGCCAGACAAATTGGAGATCCTCTACATGTGATTTGCTTATTTTCCCTTGCTGCTTTTAGTATCCTCTCTTTGTCCTTGACTTTTGAGAGTTTTATTATTATATGTGTTGGATAGAATTTGGGTTGGATCTGTTTGGTGTTCTCAGATGTTTCTGTACCTGAATATTTACATCTTTCTCAAGTTTTGGAAAGTTTTCTGCTATTACTTCTTTGAGTAAGGTTTCTAACCCTTGCTGTCACCAAGCTCCCTCTTGAAAAACAATAATTCTTAGATTTTGTCTTTCGGGGTAATTTCTATATCTCATAGGTGGTCTTCATTTATTTTCATCCTTTTTTTTGCCACTGAATGTGTGTTTATAAATATATGGTCTTCAAGCTCACTAATTTTTTTCTTCTGCTTGGTCCATTCTGCTGGTGAAAGCCTCTAATAGGTTCTTGATGTCAGCAAATGTATTTCTCAGTTATAAAATTTTTGTTTGATTTTTAAATTATTTCAATCTCTTAATTTTCTCTAATAAATTTCTGAATTGCTTTCTGTATTATCTTGGATATCACTGAGTTTCCTTAAAACTGCTATTTTGGATTCTTGGTCAGAGAGTTCATAAATTGTTGTCTCACTAAGGTCAGTCGTTGGAAACTTGCTTTTTCCTTTTGGGGAAATCGTAGTTCCCTGTTTGCTATTGTTGCTTGTGTGTATTTGTACTGAAGGGTTATTTATTTATTTCCATTTTATTTCCCTGGCTTATTTTGTTTTTTATTGGCTATGTTTGCCTAGCAAATCTTTACTGTTAGGTAGCTGCCTCATTTTTGGCTATATGTGGTACCTTAAGCCCAGTTTCACCTTGACTTCAGTAAATGATTGGAGTTCCACTCTCCCAAAAGGCAGCAATCTCAAAAGAATTATCCCAGCAGTGTGGGAAAGCTGGCTAGGAGTTCTTGCTGAGGGATCTATGAAATATACCTCCTACAGTGTGGTGCTGCTGAATAGCCACTTTGATTTGGTGTCACCTTTGGTCAAGTTACAAAAAAGAGTTTATAGGACTAGGGATGGTAGCCCAACCTCCCCTTGTCTCTAGCTGTCCTCAGGGATATTTCTCCCTTCAGGCAGTCATTATATTTCCTTTGGGTTAAGGAAAGAACAGATCTCCTGCCAGGGAACTCAACATTATGGGAAAATTGATTGACCACCTCAATCTCACTATTTTTACTATAGAAACCATAATTTGGGGAAAGATTTTCTACATGCTTCTTGCCAGGAAGAATGGAAGGCGGGTATATTAGTCCATTTTCACACTGCTGATAAAGACCTACCAGAGACTGGGCAATTTACAAAGAAAAGAGGTTTATTGGACTTAACAGTTCCACGTGGCATGGGAGGCCTCACAATCATGGCGGAAGGTAAAAGTCAAGGAGGAGCAAGTCACATCTTACATGGATGGTGGCAGACAGAGAGAAAGTTTGTGCAAGGAAACTCCCATTTTTAAAACCATCAGATCTTGTGAGACTCATTCACTATCTTGAGAACGAAGGAAAGACCCACCCCCATGATTCAATCACCTCCAACCAAGTTCCTTCCAAGACATGTGGGAATTATGGGAGTTATAATTCAAGATAAGGTAGAAATTTAGGTAGGGACAGAGCCAAACCATATCATTACCCCTCAGGCCCCTCCCAAATCTCATGTCCTCACATTTCATAACCAATCATGCCTTCCTAACAGTCCCCCAAAGTCTCAACTCATTTCTGCATTAACTCAAAAGTCCATAGTCCAACATTTCATCTGAGACAAGGCAAGTCCCTTCTGCCTATTAGCCTGCAAAATCAAAAGCAAGTTAATTACCTCCTAGATACAATGAGGGTACAGGCATTGGTTAAACACGGCCATTTCAAATGGGAAAAATTGGCCAAAACAAAGGGCCTACAGTCCCCATGGAAGTCCGAAATCCAGCAGGGCATTCAAATCTTAAAGCTCCAAAATGATCTTCTTTGACTCCATGTCTCACATCTGGGTCATGCTGATGCAAGAGGTGGGTTCCCATGGTCTTGGGCAGCTCCACCCCTGTGGCTTTGCAGGGTACAGGCTTCCTCCCAGCTGCTTTCACAGGCTGGTGTTGAGTGTCTGTGGCTTTTCCAGGCACACAGTGCAAGCTGTCAGTGAATCTACCATTCTGGAGTCTTGAGGATGGTGCCTTTCTTCTCACAGGTCCACTAGGTGGTGCCCTATTAGGGACTCTGTGTGGGGGCTCTGACCCCACATTTTCCTTCCGTACTGCCCTAGCACAGGTTCTCCATAAAAGCCCCACCCCTGCAGCAAACTTCTGCCTGAACATCCAGGTGTTTCCACACATCCTCTGAAATCTAGGCAGTGGTACCCAAACCTCAATTCTTGACTTCTGTGCACCCGCAGGCTCAACACCACACATGGAAGCTGCCAAGGCCTGGGGATTGCACCCTCTGAAGCCATCGTCCAAGCTGTACCTTGGCCCCTTTTAGTCATGCCTAGGGTAGCTGGAATGCAAGGCATCAAGCCCCTAGACTGCACACAGCACGGGGACCCTGGGCCTGGTCCATGAAACCATTTTTTTCCTCCTAGGACTCTGGGCCTGTGATGGGAGGGGCTGCTGTGAAGACCTCTGACCTGCTCTGGAGACATTTTCCCCATTGTCTTGGGGATTAACATCCAGCTCCTCATTATTTATGCAAATTTCTACAACTGGCTTGAATTTCTCCTCAGAAAAATAGGATTTTCTTTTCTATCACATTGTCAGGCTGCAAATTTTCCAATTTTTTTTTGCTCTGCTTCCCTTATAAAACTGAATGTCTTCTACTGAATGCTTTGCTGCTTAGAAATTTTTTCCACCAGATACCCTAAATCATCTCTCTCAAGTTCAAAGTTCCCCAAATCTCTAGAACTGAGCCAAAATGCCACCAATCTTTTGCTAAAACATAACAAGAGTCACCTTTGCTCCAGTTCCCAACAAGTTCCTTATTTCCATCTGAGACCACCTCAGCCTGGAGCTTGTTGTTCATATCACTATCAGCATTTTTGTCAAAGACATTCAAGTCTCTAGATAGTTCCAAACTTTTCCACATTTTCCTGTCTTTTTCTGGGCCCTCCAAACTGTTCTAACTCTGCCTGTTACCCAGTTCCAAAGTGGCTTCCACATTTTCGAGTATCTTTTCAGCAACACCCCACTCCTTGTACCAATTTACTGTACTAGTCCGTCTTCATGCTGCTGACAAAGACATACCCAAGACTGGGAAATTTACAAAAGAAAGAAGTTTATTGGACTTACAGTTCCATGTGGCTGGGGAGGCCTCACAAACATGGAAAAAGGTGAAAGGCAAAGGCAAGGAGGAGCAAGTCATGTCTTACATGGATGGCAGCAGGCAAAGAGGAAGTTTGTGTTTTAAAAAGTTGGTTTTTACAACCATCAGATCTCATAACATTCATTCAGTATGATGAGAACAGCACAGGAAAGACCCACCCCCATAATTCAATCACCTCCAACCAGGTTCCTCCCATGATATGTGGCAATTGTGGGAGTTACAATTCAAGATGAGATTTGGGTGGGGACACAGCCAAACCATATCAGGGGGATATTGAAGATGTGAAGTCCAATTCTTCTACTGTCTACTCTGAACTTTTTCACTTCTCTGTGGCCCCAGGTTCTATCCCTGAGGCCACATTTGAGCTCTGCATTGTTATCAATGAAATCTTGGCACTGTATACTTGCTTTTGGTTTTGTGTGGGGAGCAGAAGTAAAGCCAGCTTGCTTCTATGCTGCCATTTTAAAACCAGAAGTTTAAGGTGGTTAATTTTAGTTTTAATTTCTGCACAATTTCTGTTTAATTTTTAAAGAGGTATACATATAATCTAAACTAATCCCAAGAACTAATAAACAAAAGATAATAGAAGACACAGTTACATAAGTAAAACAATAGGATTTTGAATACCAGGAATTCTATTTTTAGTAAAACAAGTAAACAAGCATATTAAAATCCATGCTCTTAAGTCTTTATTAGAGTGTAGGGAGAGAAGATTTGGCAGCATGTTAAGAAGCAGGAAGCAATCATCAAAAAGGATCAACAGAAATAGATGTCTACATTAAGAGCCTTAAGTAAAAGAGACAGGCTGAGGAAGAAGGCAGCATCCTCTCTCTTCATAGCCTAGGTTATGGTAAACAAACATCACTAATACCTCATTAAGAGTTAGCTCCTGGCATCAGGGGTTTTTCCCAAAAGAGTTTAAATTTTAGGGGTTGTTTAAATCCAGAAATCTCTCAGCCTCTTAAGAATTTTTATAATAAATTTTCAACATCTAGGAAACAATTTCTATAGCCTCTAGGAACATATGATGAGTGGGGTTAATTGGGGAACATTCATAGAAAATTCAGAGATTCTCAATGCTCAGTTTATGAAATATAGTGGAAAAAATTAATGCCAAAGTTGTATTTATGTCCTCATCTAGGTCTTTCTTCCTTTTCAGTTTCAAGAGGTTTCTCTGAAGCATCAGACCTGGAAAAGAAATTGACATGGCCTCACAGGACAAAAAAACAAACCTGTCAGGCTTTCAAGGTAGAGCAGCCCTAAAATATCCCCAAGCCTGCAAGCCACCTGCAAGTTTGACTGCCAAGAGACTTGCCCCACTGGCATTCACATCCAATGACCTACCAGTGAGAACACAGTGACAGAAGCTTGCTGGCCTGCCTATAGCTAAAGAGGTGGTTTCCATCCATGGCATCTGCTGCATTGTTAAGCAAAAGCATATGGAGAGGCATGTTTAGAGGGACTGGAGTTATTTATATTCACAATGGAATGTCCCTATATTGGGGTCTTAACATAGCATAGGAAATCCTCTTGTGATGCTATGCTTAAAGTCCCATTTGTTCACATAGATGAGTGAAGAGTCATTTTTACTGAAAAAGTTATGCTAAAATTCAGAACACCATGACAAATTGGATTCATGGAAAAAAGTCTAAGCTATTTTGTGACAGCAGCACTTTCCACGTGTTTTATGTTAATATCCCATGCTGGCAAAGTACTTTGTCCTATTTTTAATATGATTTTTAAAAAGAAAAGTGCCCACTTTCTCTATAAGCTTTATAAAAAAGGCCTCTTTAGACCCTTCTCTCTAAGAAATTGGGTCAATGAAGGAGAATGAAATATTATAAGCACTCTAAGAGGAAAGGGAACATAGCTTACAAATTAATGTCATGATCATTTTATTACATCCACAATTGGTTACAGTAAATGCACGGACTTGCAATACATATATTTGAAAGAAAGATACCTAAACCTTACCTGAAACTTTATTATTGGTTGTTTATAATGCATTTTTCCAATTATTGGAGAAGATATTGATACTTGCTGTGATTGACTCATTTTCTTTTCATGAATGGTAAGTAACATATGTTATTGATAATAAACACATAGTATTGCCCTTTCTCTATTTGTACTATCCAAGTTTGCCATCATCATAACTACTTCATACAGCAGAATTTAGAGAACATGATTGGAGGATGCTGCCTCACTGGGTTCTTCTATTACAGAAGTGGAACTCTGACTATATATAGAGTTCCTTTGAGTGGTTTTCTTCCTGGATAGCTTACTCCTTCATTTTCTCCACCTTAGAAGTTTTAAGTTTATCTGAGAGGTAAGTAAAGAGGAATAAAATATTCAAACAATAATCTCCAAAGACAGGGTATACTTTTCCACCACTCTGCCTTTGCTGTGTTCTTAAGAGTTTTTATTACAGATGACCCTCTCCAATGTCTTCTACTTCACTGAAATCATCCTCATCCTTTAAGGCCATTTCTCTTTGAAATTACAGTCTACTTTGTATGACAGTTAGGTGTATATAGAACTATCTCTTCCAACTAGATTATAAACCTTCAAAGGACAGGATCATATCTGAGTTATCTTTGGGAAGTGAATGAATCCTGTGAGGTAATTCACAGAAAGGCATGGAGGAGAGGAAACACTTTGTGTACAAGGAGGAGTCATATTTGTGTTTGCTTGGCCTTTCTTGGATTATAATCCTGATGAGGTAGTTGCTCATAGGCAACAACTACCTCATTAGGATTATTTAGGAATCCCAGGTAATTAAGGCTGTAGACTAGGACATAAATGTGTTTGGGGTACAAAATATTTAATTATTAATCTCCCTTTATGTCAGTCATTGTATAATAATAGCCAACATTTGTTGAGCTTTTGGTAGATGAGGCACTCTCTAAGAGTTTGATCAGAGTCTCATCTGAATCTCACGAAAACAAAACTATGGAATGTGCACTATTGCTACCTCCTTTCTACAGATGAGGAAACTGAAGATAAATAATGCAAAGCAAAACAGTGGTAGAGGTAGGATCAGACTCCCAAATCCTATATATCAAAATAAAACTGAAAACACCGTATCGAGATGATTTCTAAAAATATATTGTAATAACAAAATGTAATTTAAATATTTAACTAAACTACTTATAATCTACCAGATGATATAATAAACACATTTATCTAAGATAACAGAAGGGAAATAAAAGGTATTATGGGAGGCAGAGGGATTAGTTTTAAAATGGTATATCAAAGGAGATGTCTTCAAAGAGGTAGCAATTGTAAAGGGCAAACAATAGATAAAAAACTACAACACTTTGAAATTGGGAAATGGGGCATTCCAGGGAAATGGAACATAAGACATGCAGATAAGAATACTACAATATGTACTTTTGAAAGCAGTTAGTTCTGCTTGCAGAAGTTTAGGAATTTAGAGGGATAAGTTGGTCTTGAATACCATGCTAAGGAATGTAAACTATTCCACAGGTAATAAGGAGTCACCAAGGTTAAGCTGTGCTTTAAAATAAACTGAAGTGCTTTAAAATAAAATAGATTGGTCTGACACTTGTGTTAAATTGGGTTAACATAAGGAGTGGCTGAAGGTAGGGAAATCATTTAATCCAACTCTCTAGGTAAAAATAATGAGAGGCTGAGTTGTAGTAGGGGACTCCATCTTACAGAAATGAATTCCATCAGTCAATGTACCTAGGAGGAAAGTCGATTCACAGATAATACCAAGGCTTTAACCTGAGTAACTGGTGAATAACATACTTAGTTTGAGAAGAAAATATTATACTAATTTAGTATTTGTTGAATTTAAGGTACCAACTAGACACTCAGGATTCTCTGGCCACTTGGTAAGACTGAATCATTTCAGTAAGCAGTCAGGTGATTGGAGAAAAAGGTACATGAAAGTGACCTGGGGAGAGATGATCATTGAAATCCAGGGAATGACTACATGATGATTTATACTATCATCATGCTAAGAGCATCTTAGCTGTCAGGGGCTCTCCTGAGGTGGTAGTCAAGATGGCAGTTGGGGGTGCAGTCATCTGAGGACTTGCCTGGGCTAACGGCTTCATTTTCAAGAAGCCTCAATGGCATAACTATTGAGTGGAGCCTTAGTTTATTGCAGGTTGACAACAGGCCTTGGCAACTCCCTCCATGAACCATTCATAAGCCTGCAAAAATGTCCTCACCACATGGCAACCAGCTTCCCTCAGAGCAGAAGATCCAAGAAAAAGAAAAAAGTAATAAGAAAGTCCCAGTGCTTTTTGTGCCCTAGTCAGAAGTTGTATACTATCACTTCTACTTTATTTAACTTATTAGATGTGGGGCCTTAAATCCATTCACACTCATGGAGAGGGAGATTAGGCTCTGCCTCTTGAATTGCCTGTTAGACTCTTAACAGCCATCTCAGTTATCAAAGAGAAAAATACATAGCATATATTTGGTTCAGTGCTATCTGCAGTTTCAGACACCCACTGGGGGTATTGAGATGTATACCCCACAGATAAAGGGTAATTACTATAATTCCTCTTCAAAAATTCTGTATCAATCTAACCAAAAGAATCTCATTGCTTTCATTTACCAAGAAATAATGACACCCTGCCCATCAGGAAGCCAAGAGCATCTCAGCTGGCTCAGGGGCTCAGTTTTTTTTCCTTAGTTCACCAATGCTTTTCAATCAGTTGTATAGAATTGCTCTTTAGGATCCAGCTCCTCCCCACAAACTCCTATTTTCCTTTTTTCTCTCATGCCAACAAAAGAATTGCTAGGCCCTGCTTCTATAAGTCTTAGCAGAAGCCATTATCAATCAATCTGAAGTTCAGACAAAACAAGGGTAGCACAGGAAGTACTGTTTTAAGTCTAAAGAATATCTTCTGACTGGACACTAAAAGAAAGGAGGGCCGTGTCCTGTTCCACTATCTGATATATCCCCAGTACCTAAAAAATGTCTGGCACATAGGACCTCATATACAATATTTATTAATGATAGCAACAAATAAAAGTGAGTAGATAAGTGAAATGAATGAAACATCCTCTGTATGCTTTACCTTAAAAGATTGTGACTGATGAATTTGATGCCTTCATTCCCCCACACTTCCCAGGCCACAATACTGCTGCAACTTGTCTCTCTTATGTGTTTTCATCTTAGGGCCAATATCTGTTTATTCATTTTCATATGCTGTTTTATTCATTGTTCATTTACTTTCAAGCAGGTCCATGCAAATGACTGTTTTAGGAGCCATTTTACTCCCAATTAAAAAATAAATTTGTATAATTTCAATTGTGACACCAAGAGAAAAGCATATATAATATTACTGAAAATGTTGGTTTTGTGGTGAAAATAACATAGGTTGTCTGAAAAACAACCAAATCATTGATACAGACTCTCTCAGTAATATAAACCAAATTAGAGCCTCTGTATCTTTTTTTCTATGCAAAAATGGGTTTGATTGATTTGCCAAACAAAGATTTATTGTGTCTTCTATGTGGATATTTAAGAATAAGCAAAATAGATGTGGTTTCTATCCTGTCAGGAAACTCAGTATAGTTTTGCAGCAAGTCACACAAATATACACATTATTACAACTTAATGTCCAACCAAATTAAAATTTTGGAATTAAGAACATGAAAGAAAGAAAATATGATCCAATAAGAAAATACATAGAAAACATATTCTCTCCCCTTACAATTGAAATCTGAAAATGGACTATGTTGACATAAAGCTAGAAACCACTGGTTAGTGAGCACGTAAAGTCACTCAATGCACACTGGATGGTGATAGCACATGCTGTATGTATCACATACAGCATATGCTGTATGTAACACAAATGTATGTACTATTTGTGTTAGAGATTGTCACTTGTTTTAATCAACTGAAAACTAGCTCCATAGAACTCCTATTCATGCCAAAATGGTAGAATATTTGAAACAATATATTCTACATGACTAAATGTTATCTGGAATAACTTGAAAGTAAAATTTAATTATTCTACAGCCACAAAAGGAGACAGTAGAATTCAAATCTTGGTCATTTTAGCGGGGATCAAACCTCACCCCAGAATTAGAAAGGGTCCTGGCAGTACGCAGATGCCACTCTTGAAATGGGTGATTTAAGGAGAGTTTAATAAAGGAGTTAGTTACACCTGGAGTAGGAAAGGTATAAGAAAACATAAAGGAGCATGCAGTATTCCCGAGCTAGGGGCAGTGGGTGTCATTACCCATCAGGCCTGCGGGGGCAAGAGAGTGGTGTGGGGTGGCCATCTGACAGGCTTATGGAAGTAGCTTATGAAAGTATGCTTATGGCTTAGGTAGTAGCTACTACCCAGAAAACCCATGCGGAACCATGAAAATAAGTCTCCCAACTTTACTTTTCTTTAGAACTCATGCTAGTGCTCCCCGTTGTATGAACAGAATGAGAAACTAGAAGAGAAGAAAGATGACATAATTCTTTCTGGCCAGTCTTCTTAGGTACAGAGGTGAAAGGAGAAGTGAGGAGAGTTCATCTGGAGAAGCAATGAAAAGATTCCCAGGAAAGGCAATTAGTTCACTCCTACATCCACTTTGATTCTTTATTCAGACAAGAAGTTGGTCTCCCCAACAAAGTCCCATGAGCTACTTATCATGACCATGTTACTACCTGAAACCTAAATTATAAGCCATTATCAGTTCTTTTTTTCCACAGAAGGTAGTTGGGGAGGTAGTAAAGAAAGGGAGAAAGAAGCAATTAACTGTGTTAGTCTGTTCTCACACTGCTGTGAAGAATTACCTGAGAACGGATAATTTATGAAGAAAAAAGGTTTAATTGGCTGATAGTTCCACAGGGTGCACATGAAGCATGGCTGGGAGACCTCAAGAAATTTACAATAATGGCAGAAGTCAAAGGGAAAGTAAGCACATCTTAACATGGCAGAGCAGGAGAGTGAAAGAGAGAGAGAGAGAGCAAGAGCAACAGTAAAGGGGGAAATACTACAACCTTTCAAACAACCACATCTCATGAGAACTCCATCACAAGAACAGCAAGGAGGAAGCCCACCCCCATTTTTCAATCACACCCAGCTAGGCACCTTCCCTGACACATGGGGATTACAATTTGACATGAGATTTGGGTGGGGACACAGAGCCAAACTATATCACTAACATAAAACAGAATTGCTACAGTTGCTGCTTCTACAGCCAGTCACAAGATCTGTGCTAGTAATCATAGTTGCCACTAACTATTCTCTATTCCCTTATCCTATGTAAGCACCTCAATTATATAGGGCTCTTTAGATAGTGAGATGACCCAAATCATCATTACTGGGGAATATGAGTCCTTCGTGATCTTTATTGGGTTTTCATGGTTTTCCATTGACCAGGATAATTGAGCAAGAAAATACTTAGAGATGACCTAGTGAATTTTCTGGGCTCCAAGTATAGTTCTCTTTGCCCTCCTTGACATTCCTTTCTAGAGCACAGCCACAGTTTCAGATAATGGGCATATCATAAGACCAGTTACACTTCTTTTCTGTAAAAGGTTCTCTGGTTGGAGGTAATGTTAGGTGGGATATCATGATAAGGCATAAATGTAAGTCAAAAAGTGGTAATGCTCTCTGAAGTCCTCCAGGCAAGAAAGAAAAACCTGTTCCTGAAATTTGAGAATATTCCTAAGAAAATAAAGCACTCCTTTAGCCATGAAGGAAGAGATCAAATGTAATCAACTGGCTACCAGGTAGACAGATGAAGCCTCCAGGAATTGCTCCCATATCAATACTTGACTTTAGGCTCTCTTGGCAGGTGGGAACTCAACAGTGGCAGTCACAACAGGAGCCTGGGCAAGACCATGTTGTTGAGTGTATAAGGCTTATTTTCTGATTAAGATGCAGTCTTCTAAGACCAAAGAGATTCAGAGAAAAAGGTCGAGAACTATGCGCCAAGTCTGGCTTAATTTAGGCTTTAAAAATATCCAACCTCTCTTCTAAAATACAGTACCCAGATACCTCAAAGTTTTCCAAGAAAGGGGATAATGGATTCCTAATTCAAGTAAAGGCAGGGAAATATGTGACGATTCAATTCATCAGGCCCCTACCCATGTGGAGGATCTCTTCCTCTTGCAAATTTTGGAGGTTATAGGTTTTTTATTAAAAGACAAGTTGGGTAGAAGATATTGCATATTGGATGAGTTGCAATCCCCCAACCTCTCTTTCAGCATTGTTTCTATTCTACAGGCTCTCTATATACAAATTGTGGTCCACATATCAAGAGTATTGTTATCACCTGTGATCTTGTTGGCATTGTTCTACAGACCTAATAATCAGAATCTGCAGTATAACATGATCCCCAGGTGATTTAGATACATACTAAATTTTGAGAAGTACTGCTACAGACTTCTTTTCCCAGTATCCTGTCATAGAGTTTGTTGCACGACCTATGTTCTGCCAAGCAGATACACCTGCATGTGTGCAAGACTTGGAGAAATAAACTGAACAATTTCACATAGCAGTAGTTTTCAAACTTTAGCCTGTATCAGAAACACACATCATTAGGCCTCATGCCCAGAGTATCTGATTACATAGGTCTGGAGCACGGTAAGAGAATTTGCATTTCTAACAAGTTACCAGGTGATGCTGATACTGCTAGTTCAGGGACCACACTTTGAAAACTGCTCTCAAACAGCATCGTGGCAGGGGTGTTTGGTTCTTCTGAGGCCAATAGCAGTGACAACACTTGCCCAATGCAACATCCTTCTGATTGTGGCAGAAGCACTGGGGTTCTGAGGCCAATGGCAGCAGCAGCTTCCTTAGCAAGCCAGTTTTTCAGTGTGGTTCTGGGCATCGTTCCCAGAAGCTCAGCCTAGAGTCTGTACTTTTAACTTTCCCAATAATTTTGTGAACTATCATAAATCCCTTTCCAACTAAACTTGTTAGGTCAGATTCTGTTGCCTACAACTAAGAACCTGGCCAATGTTTCTCATACATATACTTAGCAAAGAGGTCTTAGAGATTATTTTTATTGTTGAGCCCACTTCACCTTGAAAGGCCAGCAGACAAAAGGGACAAGACTTAGCTAAAGCCTTAGTCAAAAATAAAGAGTATATTTAAATAGTGTCTCCTGCGTCATATATTTTAGGAACCCAATCACAGTAGCAGGTGACTGGAGTCTGACTGCAGCACAGGTGAAGAATTCTCAGCATCTAGCATTGTCCAGAGGACCTAACCTCAATTCCTGAGGCATGACTAACATCTGCATTATGTAAAGCTTAATATAGTGATTAAAAAGATCACATTTTAGGCTGGGCACGGTGACTAATGACTCTAATCCCAGCACTTTGGGAGGCTGAGGCGGGTAGATCACCTGAGCCTAGCTAGGAGTTTGAGACCAGCCTGACCAACATGGTGAAACACTGTCTCTACTAAAAAATACGAAAAAAAAAATTAGATGGACATGGTGGTGCTCACCAGTAATCCCAGCTACTTGATGCTGAGGCACAAGAAGAATCACTTAAACCCGGGAGGCGGAGGTTGCAGTGAGCCAACATCACACCACTGCACTCCAGCCTGGGCAACAGAGCAACACCCTGTCTCAGGAAAAAAATGAAAGAAAGAAAAATCACATTTTATTTATTTTATTTATTTAGAGACAGAGTCTCGCTCTGTTGGCCAGGCTAGAGTGTAGTGGCATGATCTCGGCTCACTGCAACCTCTGTCTCCCAGGCTCAAGCAATTCTCCTGCCTCAGCCTCCTGAGTAGCTGGGATTACAGGTGTGTGCCACCACACCCGGGTAATTTTTGTATTTTTAGTAGAGGCAGGGTTTCACCATGTTGGCCAGGCTGGTCTCGAACTCCTGACCTCGGGCAATCTGCCTGCCTTGGCCTCCCAAAGTGCTGGGATTACAGGCGTGAGCCACCGCACCCGGCCATAAAAGATCACATTTTAAATATCCATTGAGAAGAAATCTCTGTTGGGTATCCAAACCATATCATGAATTAGCAATGAAAGGCTTGACTTTTGATCATGCATAAACATATATTTAAAATAATCTTTCACAGCTAATGAGGCTAATTATATGTACTAACTAATCTTCCTCTGAAAAGCAGGGCTTGCAACTGAATTATGACACCACTGTTGAGTTCTGGCTTTCCAAATACTACCACACAACTGTTGATTAGGCAAAGCTGAGTTCATTGCTTACAACATAAGGCAGGATGCCCCTCCCCTACAAAAGTGCCTTGGCAGTGTCCCAATTTATTGGGAATTGGAAGTTTGGGTTAAGGTAGGTCTTTCAATTTGGAGGTTGTGGACAGTAGTACAAGCAAGATGGGGTTGGTTAGGATTTGGTGAAGATCATGAAACAGCAAGGCAAGGATTTTTGAGATTAAGAATTCAAAGAATTTGAGGATGCAAACTGTATGTTGATGTTTTCCATGAAAAGTTAAACCCAATAGCCTGGGCAAGAGTTTCATAGAAAAAGTAAGTTATGTTAATGCAGACAGTAAGTTATGAGGAGTAAATGGTCTTAGTTTTCAGTGTCTAAGCTTTGTGGAGCATCAGGCCACTGATTTTGGTTCTTATATACTACCAGAAAGTGAAATCCTTCAGGAAGGAACCTTCTACTACAAGTGCCTAGTAAGCACCTGGTACTCAATAAATGTTTGTCAGCTGCCCCACTGGATGGATTGATGGATGGATGGGCGGGTGGATGGATGAATGAATGGATGGATGGATGGGTGGATGTATGAATTCATAATGGTTTTATCTGCAGAATCACAGAAGGATCCAGTCAGAATCGGGGGCTATCCAATATTTTCTCATATGGCAAAGAATTTTGTAGTTATAATACAAAGCCAACAGGAAAGGAGGTTTCTGGTGGGTCATAGGGAGAGTAAGTTGCTACAGTATAAATTATAAAATTTCAGTCTGAAAAGGAGATGGGGCTCCTTCTGTAAAAAATCAGTTTAGAGTGTTCTTAAATGCCAGACATGCAGACAACAAAAGCGTTTGACAGGATTATGATCTCAGAGTCAGCGTAGGGTAGATCAATATGGGGGAGTGAATGCCATCTCCAAAAACACTACATCTTGGCGTATGTTTATGATTTACATTAGCCCCAAGAGAAATCAGAGGGGAAGAAGTCTTCAATTTGACTGTATTTAAAATCAACATCACTGAGAAACCACTAAAACTGTAAGTAGCTAAATGAAGTTTTCTGCTTCAGACTGAAAAGGGGGCTCAAGATGAAAATTGTCTAGTTAACAGCTGAATTCTACCAGAGGTACAAAGAGGAGCTGTTGCCATTTTTTTCTGAAACTATTCCAAACAATTGAAAAGGAGAGACTCCTCCCTAACTCATTCTTGGAGGCCAGCATCATCCTGATACCACAACCTGGAAGAGACGTAACAAAAAAAAAGAACACTTCAGGCCAATATCCCTGATAAACAATGATGCAAAAATTCTCTGCAGCACACCAGCATGGCACATGTATACATATGTAACTAACCTGCACAATGTGCACACGTACCCTAAAACTTAAAGTATAATAATAAAAGAAAAAAAAATTCTCAATAAAATACTGGCAAGCCAAATCCAGCAGCACATTAAAAAGCTTATCCACCACGATCAAGTCGGCTTCATCCCTGGGATGCCAGGCTGGTTCAACATACACAAATCAATAAACGTAATCCATCACATAAACAGAACCAATGACAAAAACTACATGATGCATCTATTGACAAATGATGCAGAAAAGGCCTTCAAAAAAATTCAACATCGCTTCATGTTAAAAACTCTCAATAAACTAGGTATTTATGGAACATATCTCAAAGTAATAAGAGCTATTTATGACAAACCCATAGCCGAAATCATACTGAATGGGCAAAAAGTGGAAATAGTCCCTTTGAAAACTGGCACAAGACAAGGATAACCTCTCTCACCACTCCTATTCAACATAGTATTGGAAGTTCTGGCCAGGGCAATCAGGCAGGAGAAAGAAATAAATGCATTCAAATAGGAAGAGAGGAAGTCAAATTGTCTTTGTTTGCAGAAGACACGATTGTATATTTAGAAAACCCTATCATCTCAGCCCAAAACTCCTTAAGCTGATAAGCAACTTCAGGAAACTCAGGATACAAAATCAATGTGCAAAAATCACAAGCATTCCTATACACCAACACTAGACAAGCAGAGAGGCAAATCATGAATGAACCCTCATTCACAACTGCCACAAAGAAAATAAAATACCTAGGAATACAGCTTACAAGAGACATGAAGGACCTCTTCAAGAACTACAAACCACTGCCCAAGGAAATAAGAGAGGACACAAACAAATGGAAAAATATTCCATGCTCATGGATAGGAAGAATCAACATCATGAAAATGGCCATACACCCAACATAATTTATAGATTCAGTGCTATTCCATCAAACTACCATTGACTTTCTTCACAGAATTAGAAAGAAACTACTTTAAATTTCATATGGAACCGAAAAAGAGCCCATATAGCCAAGACAATCCTAAGCAGAAAGAGCAAAGCTGGAGGCATCACGCTACCTGATTTCAAACTATACTACAAGGCTACAGTAACCAAAACAGCATGTTACTGGTACTAAAAGAGGCATATAGACCAATGGAACAGAACAGAGACCTCAGAAATAACACCACACATCTACAACCATCTGATCTTGGACAAACCTGACAAAAACAAGCAAAGGGGAATGGATTCCCTATTTAATAAATGGTGCTGGGGAAACTGGCTAGCCATATGTGGAAAACTGAAACTGGGCCCCTTTCTTACACCTTATACAAAAATTAATTCAAGATGGATTAAAGACTTAAATGTCAAGCCCAAAACTATTAAAAACCCCAGAAGAAAACCTAAGGAATACCACTCAGGACATAGACATGGGCAAAGACTTCATGATGAAAACACAAAAAGGAATTGCAACAAAAGCCAAAATTGCCAGGTGAGATCTAATTCAACTAAAGAGCTTCTGCACAGCAAAATAAACTAGCATCAGAATGAACAGGCACCCTACAGAATGGGAGAAAATTTTTGCAATCTACCCATCTGACAAAGGTCTAATATCCAGAATCTACAAGGAACTTAAACAAATTTACAAGAAAGAATGAACCCCATCAAAAAGTGGGCAAAGTACATGAACAGACACTTCTCAAAAGAAGGCATTTATGTGGCCAACAAATACATGAAAAAAGTTCATCATCACTGATCATTAGAAAAATGAAAATCAAAACTGCAATGAAATACCATCCCACACCAATCAGAATGGCATTTATTAAAAAGTCAGGAAACAATAGATGCTGGTGAGGCTGTGGAGAAATAGGAATGCTTTTACACTGTTGGTGGGAATGTAAATCAGTTGAACCATTGTGGAAGACAAGGTGGTGATTCCTCAAGGATCTGGATCCAGAAATACCATTTGACCCAGCAATCCCATTACTGGGTATACAACCAAAGGAATATAAATCCTTCTACTATAAAGACACATGCACACATATGTTTACTGCAACACTATTTACAATAGCGAAGACATGGAACCAACCCAAATGCCCATCAGTGATAGACTAGATAAAGAAAATGTGGTACATATACACCATGGAATACTAGGCAGCCATGAAAAAGAATGAAATTACGTTTTTAGAAGGGACATCAATGAAGCTTGAAGACATCATCTTCAGCATACTAACACAGGAACAAAAAAACCAAACACTGCATGTTCTCAGTCATAACTGGGAGTTGAACAATGAGAACACATGGACACAAGGAGGGGAACAACACACACCAGGGCCTGTTGCGGGGTTGGGGGCAAGGGAAGGGAAAGCTTTAGGACAAATACCTAATGCATGCAGGGCTTAAAACTTTGATGATGGGTTGATAGGTGCAGCAAACTACCCTGGCACATGTATACCTAGGTAACAAACAAGCACATTGTATACATGCATCCTATAATTTAATGTAAAATAAAAAAAATTTGTCTAGTTACAGAAACATAAAGAAAGTAATATTTTGGCATCTCTGTGACTCACGCAGTTTGTACACTGCTACATAACATACATTTTCTCTCCAATAAAAGGGTTCAGCTCCAAAAATCCCTGTGTCAGGAGAATTCACATTTCCAAAAATAAGTATAAATAAATAAGCTTTTAAGAGAAAGTTAAGACTGGCCCATCAAGGTTGTGGATTAACCTATGAAAGTTTTTATAAGTATAGTTTTTTTCTTTATTGAAAGCCAAACAATAAAGAATAGCATAATAAAACATCTCCCCAGCATTTTCAACAACATACCTGTGTATTTATTATGCCTTATGGTAGACAATATGCCTCGGCCCTGCCCTATACATATTATACTCCACATAAGTTACAAGGCTTTCTGGGTAGGTGAATGACTCCTTGACTCCTGTCTCCTGAATCACACAGTGACCCTAAAGAAGTACAGTAACTTGGCTGGAAAAAGCCTTAGGCAACTTTTATTTCAGTTACTACGCATATCAAAAAGTTACCTCTTAGGGCTTCCTTATACTCACTCACAGAACTTTAGCTCTGCTTATGGGGCTAGAACACATTCACCTCTCCTTCCTCCAGCCAATATGATGCAATTCTAACTTTGCTTCAGCCACCTTAATTTCTCCCAAAGCTGCATTTTAAAAACCATTCTCCTGCTCTGCCACCTGCTTTACTTCTTTTTTGCCTTTTCAAATTCGCAAGTCCTTACTCCCTCTTTTTCAAATTATCCCCAACAGGTGTGCATCTAATCAAAGTAAGATTTTCCTGATTGTGGAAAAGTGTACAAAAGTAAATTCACAGATGTACAATTTCATGAAAGAGAAATTGAATTTGGCAAGGGCTTTTTATAAATGCAATTATGTGTGAAAAGTGCTACAGTAGTGCTGTGGACAAAGTGCTAGGGAACCATTTGAAAAAACTTTTAAGCTTAAGCACCAGGCAGCTGGAGTCAAGAACAATTTCTTGTGGTAGAAACCTTTGCCAAGAGAATTCACATTTCTACATAATAAGTCTTTAAGGAAAACATAAGATTGGAAAACCAAGGTTCTGCGTGAAACTATGAAAGTTATTGTAACTAACTTTCAGTAGAGACTGGCTCTGTGCTTATAAATCTGCTGATAAGAAAACTACAGTCAAATTAACATGTTTCATTTACTTATCCATTCATTCAACAAATATTATTAAGAGCCTAATATACTCTTACTTCTGTGTTGAGTACTGGCAATGTAAGGGTAAGTAAATACACATCCTGACCCTGCACTGGATGATCTTTAGAGTTTGGATTTCCCATGCAACAGCTGACTTTTGCCCATAGAAAGCAACAGACCCGAGGGAGAAAAAGAAAAAAATCTTCAATTTGCTGTGCTTTTTAAATTAAATAATTACATCTAAAAGAAGATCAAATTTTTGTGCTTATGTCCATTTAACATTTTATGCTACTTTATAATTTCTTACCTTAACACTTTTTTCCTGATACTTTAAAATTTAATCTTTAGTTTGTATCCCTCTTTCAGAAAGCTGGATACTATGAAATAACATCAGGCTACATTCCTTTCACCAATAAAATCTAAAATCATTGTCATGGGAAGGTCATGATTCTCCCATTTCAATAGGACTAGTGATCTACTCCACTCATGATGTGGGAGAAACCATATTCAGTCTTCACTGGAACTGGGGCATTCATTGATTTATGAATACATGGATGCATGCAGGAATTCATTACAACAAATATTTGAAGAGAAATTACCATATGCTTAGCATTGAACTGAACCATGAGGATATATAGGGTAATAAAGGATAGGACCTGCCAACTAACTGCTGCTATTACTATTAATAATAATAATAATAATTGAATATCAGTGCTATAAAGTATGAACAAATTACTTTTGGAGGAAGGATTGACTGGACCTACCAAAGTAGATGGATAAAAATTTCACAGAAGAACAAATATTTGATTTAGTCCTGTGTTAATTTGGCCCTAAAATATAATTTGTGATTAAAATAGGATCTTGTGAATGTGTAGCTCCCATATTCTTTAGCATTGTGTTTGCTTATTGACAGTATATTTAATTCTACATTTTCTTTGAAGTAAGCCCCCCATAAGCAATAAGAAATGTTACTTAATTTGACTAGCCTGTTGTGAAGCACATTTTAAAACCCAACTTTTCCTAATGAATACTCAACCTCTAGGTATTATCGTTTGAATAAACTGTTCTAATTAATGCTTTGTTGTAAATAGCTTCTTGACTTCTACATAAAGTTAATCAAGTTGGATCTTAGAGTACTATCTGATGGTGTCCAGCATGACAATGATGTTTTCTAATAGGTGGCTCCTCTGAAAATAAGTTTTATGAAGGTCTAGCCAATAGTCTCTCAGCTGTCATTATGGTATTGCCCTAAATCTTCTTGGCAAATAGTTATAGTACTAGTTAGTACTACTGGAACAGAGAATCAGTCATAACCCCAATACTCAATACATAACCATGGTAATTGAGCTTGAAGATTGATAACAACATTGCAGAACAATAAAGTGTTTTACTTCCTAAGAATAGACTGTGTAACTCTAAACTCTGAGCCTTCTAGAAGGAAGGCTGCCCCTGAGAAATTGACATCAGGGAATTGGCTTTTTTACCCTCTCAATACGATTTCACAGATATCCTGAAAAGTTGCCTGCATTTGGAAGGCATGCAAATACTCCAAGTGTCCTGAGCAGTCGAGAATAGGCAGACAGAAAGAAAATCCCAGTGAGAATGGCAAAGAGAAGTTCCCAAAATACTTGCTCATATTCTCACTCCAGCCAAGTGATTTCATTGGCAGTGGGTCATCATTGTGGAAACCTGAAGTCCATTGAAACTTCCTCCAACAAAGGGCAGTATGGCTTTTCATCCCCTCTAAATGCTTCATACATTATAGCCTTAACATAAAATACAGGACTTACATTCTTCTATCCATTAGCATTTCTCTATGGATCAACATAAGCCTGAGATGACTGCACAGGCTATTATCTGGTATGTTAAAGAAATACAGTTGATCTTGACTTAAAATTGTTCTACACCATTAACTTCCAATGCCACCACTCTCTGCATTTGACCCAGTAAAAGTAAGACCTAAAGATAAAGCAATAAAATAAAAAAGGGTGCCACCACTTCTTTATTACACCCCTTTCTTGGGTAATCAGAGTGCTGTTTTTGTAACATACCCTTGTACCCTACAATCTTTCTAAATCCTTTCCATGAAAGCAACTCACAGGAAATAATTGGGAAGAAAGGAGGGCGAAAATGTCAATGCACATCGTACCTTTGAAATTCTGATCCCCAGAAGTAAAGAGTTACACACAGACAAAAAGAACTCTGAAAATAGTATATGCTGCAAATAAAATTTTTCTATTTCCCCAGTCATTTGGCCACATCTGGTGGTAAAGGATGCTGGAGAATACAGTCTAGCTGATGACAAAGAGTAAAAATGTTTTATTAAACAGCTGACAGTCTCTGCCTCTGACAGTACAGTACTAGATTAATTCCATACAGATAAAAGAATTTTCTCAGAAACTGGCACATCATCCTACCTTCCTGCTATATATCTATGTAAGGAATTTTTCCATTGTTCAGGACTATGGTGACTGTAACCGGCACCTGGACCACTTTGGGTCTATCAAGCTTAAAATGTTACAGCAGCAGGCTAAACCTGTAAGACCCAGAACCCTCTTTTAATGACAGTTTGTAAGATCCCCTTTATTGCCCTGAAATTAAATTCAAATATATTTACACAAATAATTTCCAAAAATATTAACATAATGTCATCATTATAAAGTAAAGAGAATAGGAAGATAATTTATAATAAAATGATACCTATTTCTATATGAAAATGTTCAGGTATTATAACAAGAAGCCATATGAAATAGTCAGATGTTTGTGTCTATACTTAGAATCAGCATGAATGTGACAACTACAAATGGAGTCGGGTACAGGTGTGTTGCATTGGCAACTCAAATACTGCAAATGGCGTTGCCATTGGTGATGTGATTTTCTGAAATGGTGAGCAACTCTTGATAGAGTTTCTAACAAAACAAATTACACTCTTCCCTCAATTTACAATGTACTTGCATTCCTAGAAATGTTGGTGTATATTAAAATTATGCAAAAATACTTTTTGTTTGTATGTAAAGTGGAATTAGGTTTTAGGTCCAAATAATTATGAGTAAATTTTTTACCTGCATGAATGCCTGTCAGGATATTTTAAAGCCATGCAGGATACAGAACTGTGCTTCTTCTCATGGGTCTGCCCTACACATGGCAGGAAATGTGGAATTACTGACCCACACACTGTCAGTAATCCTACCAAATGTCATAGCATGCAAAGATGTACCCACAAACTACAAAAACACCTCCAGGGTGTGGTATTGCCCCTGTTAAGAACCACTAAAATAGGAAGACAAGTGTGGCTAGTCAACAGAGGGCAGAGAAGAAAGCAGTAGGAAATGAATGAATCAGGGTGGTAGGGAGGAGCCAGACTGTGTTGCTGCTGCTGTTGTTATTGTTAAGTATTATGGGAAACCATTAGAAGATTCTAAGAAGGAAGTAACATAATGTATGATTTTTAACCATTAGAAGATTCTAAGAAGGAAGTAACATAATGTATGACTTTTAAAATATCACTTGGCTTGCTGTGTAAAGAGTGGATTATAAGGATATAGGAGTGGACAGATAGACCAGTTAGGAAGCTATTGCAAGTAGGTTGGGAAAAGATAATAATGCTTTGTATTAGGATGGTAGAGATGGACATGGGGTAACTGGCACATTCAGGACTTACTTTTGAGAACAAGAACTTGCTCATGGAGTCAGATGTGGGAGGCAAAGAAAAATGAAATCAGGAATGGCTCAAAAATTTTTGTTTGGGCAGCTAGGCAAGTAACAGACATTTTCTGAAATGGAAAAGATTAGTGAATTAAGAGGTTTTTATGAAAAATAAGAGTTTTGTTGTGGATATGTTAAGATACCTGCTAGATATGCCAAGTGCCAAGTAGAGCAAATGGTTGTCTATGTTGTCCAGAGCTCAGTAAAGTGGCCAAGAGTATTGAATGAGTTAAGTTGGGGGACATATATAGGTGGATGGAACTTTGGCACAATCACAGGTGGCACAAGAAAGTGAGCTATTAAAGGAAACTAAGAAGTTTTCTTTCAATTAGGTAGGAAAATATATGGTTACTAAATCAAAACAAGGAAACATTATTTAGGAAAGAGTCACATCTTTCTTGAATTATGCTGAAAGGTCGAGTAAGATGAACGTAGGAAATAATCATTTATTTTGGGATCATGAAGATTACCAGTGAGTTTCGTAAGAGCAGTTTCAGTGTGGTGATAAGGATCGAAATCCTATTAGATTGGGTTAATGAGAAAACAGGTGTCAGGAAGTAGACACTGCAACTATATACAACTCTTTCAAAAAGTTTTGATGTGAAACAGTGATGGTAAATAACAAAGTAACTGGAGTGAAATATACAAACTTTCTTTTAGGTGGGAGATTTCTGAAAATTTGCGTGCTGGTAAGAAATAATCAGAAGTATGGTTATAAAGGAAAAGTACAATATGTAAGGTACAGAAAATAAGAACTGAATGATAAAATATCTGAGTCTATTAGGGGCTGAGGAGTGGATAACAGATGTTATTAGTTACTCCACCCACTTCCTTTTGCACTTATCTCCACTTACTAAAGGCTGATTACTGGATATACCTACAACTGCCCCAGCACTATTTTTTTTTTTTGACACATGAACCATGTTGGCCTATAGGTGCAGCAAACTGAACATATCAAAGAGTTAATTCCCTCCAAGCAATTTTCAACCTATGATTGGCAGAGAAATTATGGATAAACTCATTAACTTCTTCTCCCCTACATTATGATGACACCGAGGTATGTTCTACACTGTCTCCCAGACACTTCCCAGCTGAATTAAATTCCAGGTACCTAAAATGGTAGCTTTCTTACAACACACATTTTATTGACCTCCTTCTCTTCTTTATCTTAATTCCTTGCTGGTGTTTCTTGGGACAACTTTTCAAATAAATTATTTGCAATTATATCCTTGTCTTATGGTTTATTTCTGGAAGAATACAAACCAAGACCCAAAGGAAGCAGTATAGAGTATCAAATCAACATAGGAATATGATATCAACTTTGTTTAGATATATCTTCGGAAGAAAGTCTTATAATAAAATTAAATTGTTAATATGAGTTTACATTAAATGGAGGATTCCATTTCAGTTGCATATCAGGGAGGATACTTTCAGTTGCATATCAGGGAGGATACTTTCAGTTGCATATCAGGGAGGATACTTTCAGTTGCAAATTACAGGAAACTCATCCCAAAGTGGTCTTATAAGAAACAGTATTTTTGAGTTTTACATATAAAATGTGTGGAGGAAGGACATAGCTTGATTCAGGTTTCAAATAATGTCATAGATTCAGTATATCTCATTTCAGTTGTTACCTTTGGTATCAACCAAAAAGTGACAAGTCTGGACAACAATTCTAGTCCCTAAGTCCTCTGAACTTTGAAAGTCATGAAAAAGAATGTGTCCACTTCCTTGATAGGATAAACAAAAGTCCCAGAATTGAAACTTGTTGGGTGTGATGGGCCAAAGAGAGGTGTGCCTATCTGTGTAGTAATCACTGTGGCCATAGGGGTGAAAGAGATGTGCTGATTCCCTCAACCCCAGTATCCCAGAGTGACTCCAACCTCCTATCCACAAGGGGCAAGTGGTCAACATTAGGCGGCAGATTCTCCTGTGTGAAGGCCTATTGGGGAAGTTGGCACATTCCACTTGCCTTCACTCCCACATTAAATCAGTTACCCAATTCTGAATTGTCTATGTCTTAGACATTTGTTCCTTACTCCCTTACCCAAATGACCGTACTCTAGTCCAAATCATTGGCATCTATCACATAGATTAGTCAGTAGGCTCCTAACTAGTTGAGATGCATCCTCTCTCATCAACCCACATTCATCCGTTATAAAACATCCAGAGATTTGTTCATAAAACTCAAATTTGATCATGTGACTTCCTTGTTTCAATCCTTTTAGTGATTCCCATTCCACTTACAATAAAGACCAAATCTTTAGAATAGCTGAGTTGCACCCTGACCACCTCTCTCATATCATCTTATACCACTTAGTTTTCCATGTTTCCACCATGCTGGATTTCTTTTGGCTCCTTGACCAAATCCTACTCCTTCCTACCATATGAATGTTGCAAAGGCTGCATTCTGTGTTTGGAAATCATTTCTCCTTCCCAACTCCTCACCTTTCACCAGCTAACTGACCTTTATGTCTCCCCTTAAATGTTTTTTCGCCAAAAAGTCTTCACTGATTCTTGCCTACTCCTGCCCCTGCCCCAGAATAAGTAAAGTCTGCCCATCACATGCTCCCACAGAACTCTGCATCTTGAATGCTTCTGACACTTGAGATTAGTCCCTTCTCCCACCGGAATTCATTTCAATGAGGACAAGCTAGGAGCTTCATATTTTAGTGAAAAAAAATAATTAATAAATGAAAACTACTGCTTCATACTTTGTTGAAATTGAGATCCCAGAAAACATATATTTAGAAAGCTGATAGTTGAGGGTAATTATATATAAGTTATGCTTACAATTATTATGAAAATAATAAAGCACAATAAAAGTACTGGAAGAAAACACTTTGATATCTTGAGGGTGGTTTTGTCAGATGTGTCAGGGGCAGTGTAATAAGGGGACAGGTAATTGCTTTCCATTCTTCCATATTTTGAAAATAATCTAAAATAATTATGTATATAATCATATGGGGATGCCAAAAACATTTTTAAATGACAGAAAATTATCATTGCTCATATTCATGAAGAAAAATTGTGCACTTAAGTAGGGATTTCAAAGCTTAATTCTTAAAACTCCCAGCTGGCGCTCTCAGAGAGCTCATTTAACTCTGGTTTTCAAACACTTTAAGCATTTGAAACCTTTTATTTTCAGCTGACATCTCATATGGAAATCTGATATATAAAACAGAAACAGAATTTTCTGGTAGGAGCAGGGCGAGAAACAAAGGCAAGTTACTACGACTCTGCAATATCCCCACACCCCACACTTTCTCAGTGCAGCCTTGAGAGATGTCCATAGAATGTGGGACTGTGGAGAAGAGTTTGAAAACCATGACCTCACTCAAACACAGAAATGATCAACAAAACCCAAGCCCCCAAATCTACAAAGTGAAGACCCAAATAGATGCTCATCCCTCAAATCCTAGAAACATGGAGGGTCTATATGTTTTTTAAATATATATTGGTTCAAAAATATCAAATACATCGGATGTTTCAATAATGGGAAAGCTGACATTTTTATTTTTAGGACTTTTAAAAAGCTTTTCTTCCTTTTCCTTTTCTCTTTTCTTTCATTCCCTTCTAGGACAATTCAGTTCTAAAACCACTGATGAGGATTAGGTAAGGTAAATGTCCTCACCGGAGTGGAGGATAATGGCCCACAACATAGTGTAAACTCCTGAGTGGGGTCAGAAGCCCTCCCACCAGCCCTGCCACCTCCACACCCCAAACCACTGGCAGCAGTGGTTTGAAATTATGAACCAGAGATGGGTAGGATGAGAAGTTTATCTATGTGTGGGGTGGCAGAAAAGGGTGTCAAAGCCCAGGCAGAGTGAGGAGACATTTGTGAGGACTGGGGGGTTGGTATCACTTGGAAATTGATTACAAAGATGCAGATTGGTTAAATAAGTAAACATATCAAGGATAATGGGAACCAGGCATCTCACTGTTAAAGAAGGAAACTCTAAACATGGAAAGGGAGAAAGCTAGAATTAACCCTGTATAGAGCCGAAGAGAAATTCGGGGTGTTGGTATGAGCTCACGATTTTTTTTTTTTTTGACGGAGTCTCATTCTGTCGCCAGACTGGAGTGTGGTGGCGCGATCTGGGCTCACTGCAACCTCCAACTCCCTGATTCAAGCAATTCTCCTACCTCAGTCTCCCGAGTAGCTGGAATTACAGGTAAGTGCCAGCATGCCCAGCTAATTTTTGTATTTTTAGTAGAGACGGGGTTTTACCATGTTGGCCAGAATGGTCTCGATCTCCTGAAATCATGATCCGCCCATCTTGGCCTCCCAAAATGCTGGGATTAGAGGCATGAGCCACCACGCCTGGTCTGACCTCATGATTTTTTAAATATAGATAGACAGGGGCAGAGATATAAATAAATAGAATATAGAGATATAAACATGTAAATGTACAGAGAGAAATGAGTGAAAATGAGAGGGCCTGGGAACAGTGACACCTCAACAGCCATGAGCACACAGAAACTATTTTCTAAGTACCAGGTACCACTAAATGGAGCCAGGCCCCTTGGAGACATGATTCATCTCAGGACTAAGGCAAAAAAGTGTACAATCAGTCTGGAATGCCTTTTTAATATCAGAAAGCAAAGGAGTGCTCAAAAAATAATAGTGACACATCTAAAAGATACAGAAACTGGCTTGAAGGAGAAAATCTGAACAAATTGGGGATAATTCAAACATAATGAAAATTATAAATTATAATCACTTGACTAGGAAACCATAAATCCTTACTGATACAAATAAATGAATAAGTTGAAAGCTTGATGGGGAAAAGAATGAATCAATGACACCAGTTTTATGAGGAAAAGGATATTTATATAGTATCAAAATATCCTCCCATCATACTTACAAATTACAAAGGGAAAAAGAGTAACATTTCAGTGGTGAAGACTGGCAGACACCATATTTATCAAGTAATCAAAGCAATAGCATCTGTAACACGACAAATAACAATTGTATGCACCTGATAGGAAACAGTGAGAGCACAATGTTGCTTCTGGGATATTTACGCTAAAGATGCATGACTTGACTCTACTGATTAAGAAACATCAGACCAACCCAAATAGAGGGACAACCTACAAAATAACTAGCCTATAATTTTCAAAAGTATCAAGTTCATGAAAGTCAAAGAAAGATGAAGTAACTGTTTCAGATTGAAGGAGACAAAAAAATGCAACAACAAAATGAAAGATATGATTCTGAACAAGATATTTTTGCTCTAAAGAGACATTACTGAGAAAATTGTAAGATTTAAATAGGGTCTGAGAATTATACGGTAGTTAAGTATCAATGTCAATTTCCTGATTTTGATGATTGTGTTGTGGTTATGTGGGGAAATGTCATGATGGTAGGAAATACACGCTAAAGTATTCAGAGTTGATGGGACATGAGATCAGCAACTTACCCTCAAATGGTGCAGAAAAATTTGTTATTCATTTTGTACTTGCAGTTTTCTGTTAGATGGAGAGTGATTCAAAACTTTAAAAAATTATAACAGGAAAACCCTGTCTAGGTTGAATTTTCACGTAGGAGTACCTTATAAACCACAACACAGCTTTATTTGGTGGCATTTCTCTCTCCTTCATTCCACTTGCTCTCACTCTCAGTGAGGTCCCTAATTCTCGCAATTACTACATTCAGTATCTCCCTTAACATAGACTGCTTTTGCCCTTTGGCAGGGAGAATATAAGGAACTCTATTTTCTATTTTAAAATTTCTCTAAGCCATCTTATAGGTGTTGGGATTTTGCATCCTTGTCTTCTTGGCCTGCCATCTGGAAGCTTGTTTCACTCCCTGTTTTGCCCTAGCTACCTTGACTAAGTCCTTGGTATTCAGCCAGTCTTTCCATTTTTTATTTGGTCAGTCAATAAAAGATAGGGAAATACTCAGTGAGTATCAACTCTGTGCCAGACACCATCCCAGACACAGGATAATAATACAGCCAAAACCCTTCTGATGAGCCCTATGTATTGAAACAAACAAGACTGTCTTCAAGAAGAGCTCATTTCTAAAGTCACAGTTGTTACTCTTCACAACATTCACACACACACACAAAAAAAAATTAGGAGGAGGAAGATAATAAGTAAAACGATTTATATACTGTTATTCTCTGATACTATTCCCATTGGAATGAGCAACACAGTTCTGGAAAATAAATGACCCGTACCTGAACCTATTAAATTGCCATGACTCATTTCTAAAGTATCCCATTTGGCTTATAATCCTTCTGAATCAATTCTATTAAAAATATCATTAACACTTGCTTACATCATTTACATAATGTGCAGGAACTAAATTAAAAGAGTTTGGAACAAACAGTGTATCTTGAGGCCTGGGTAGAATGTTATTGTATGCCCCATGATTTTTTGTTCTTACTGCAACATTCTCTTCATAGTAGTGAATGAGTGGTGGGAGGAGCTTTCACCTTAATGCCTGTTAAAGTGTCCCATGCTAATGCACAATGACTTATCTCATCTTCAAACTTTATTATTTGGAAGGAACCTATCCATATGCCTGGACAATATACAGATAAACACACCTGTCTCAGACTGAACTGCCCCTGAAGAATTATGGGATGACTATTATACTGCAGATTCATGCATTGAATTCTGGACTTCTCAAGAAAATTCCACAGCCAATGTCTTGCTTAGAGCTGATTTCTACATTGTACATTAAATATTTTTAACTGAAAATTGGTTTTTAATTTTATTTTAGAAATTACTGTCCCATGTGTTAAAAATACAAGACAATCTTATTGCCTAGATAAGCTACACAATTGTTCCATCCAGATTTTGCATCTACCTGATGCCCATAGGTATCACTGCTCTACTTAGACCATATCTCTTGAGCGGTAGGTTTCTAGTTTTATATAGTTAACCAAATGGCCACAATTACAGCGCTTTTTTCTTTTTGGTACACATTAAATCTCTGGCTCAGTCACCCAAATGAGATCCTTGCCTATCCACTGTGGTGTATAAGTTGTGTACAAAACAAGTCAGAATTTGCTCTACTTTCTAATACAATGATAGGGACTCTTGATCTTTACTAAGTTCCTGGCATTTTCCAAGTATCATAAAGCCCTCTCTGTATTATCTCATATGTTTTGCAGTTATCCCCTACCTGTGGTGAGAATGAGACCCAAAGTACAGAAGGAGAAACTGAAACACAAATAAGTTGATGTTAATCCTTGTGATCTCCAGACTCCACATCTAAAATGTCTTTTCACATTGCACTGAGAATAGGGTTGGGAGGAGAGAATATGGTTACCTAGCTATAGGTAATAATTTATATTAAGTCATGAAACTCTAGATACTCAAAGATGAACAAGTTTATCCTACTGCCTTCAGACCAGCTCAGACCAGCACGTCATCATTCCCCAACACTAAAAGGCTCTTGAAGGGTGTAGGTTAAGCTTTAAGACCCTGTAAATATAAAGATTCATCTTTATGCCAATAAAAATAATTTCTCTTACCATTTAAGCCAAACGTTCTTGTTTTACTAAAAATCAAAAGCAACTGGTAAATTTTTTTCCATAAAGAAACGATTGTATGCATTTTGAAATTCCCATTAGGAGCTGGGGACAGATCACCACAATCCAGTAGAGACTTAAGTAGATCATGGCTAGGCTACATTTTGGTAAACCTTCATCCAACTCTGGATCACCCCTCCGATGTGAACCCTCCAGGAGTCCTTACTGAGAGACTGGTAAGCTCTTTCTGCTTAATAGGTCATGACTCCAATTATTTGTCTCTTTATCTCCATGAGAGTGCCCAAAGATGCCCCACTCGCTTGTCAGAGTGTGACTTTCTGGTTTGCTTCTTAACTTCCTCCTCTGCCCAACTTAAGAATTCCACAAAAACTCAAGGGAAGATCTGTAAAGGTTGGGTATCTCTAGCATCTTGGCCCCTCGAGCATCTCCCCTCTCTCCAGCATCTTGGTCTCTCAAGTCCTAGGAGCCTTCATAACCCTGAGCTTTAATTGTTTTCTTTGCATTGTGGATTTATCAGAAGTTCTGCTGGCTTCTCTGCCTCTTAGCTGCAAACCCCTCTAGGATTTTTAGACTCTCTCCACTGGCCAAGAATGATAAATATCTCTGGAAGGAAAGCAGCTCACAAAATATCAACTCATCTCTCAATAATTACCTTCTTTTCTAGTAACTTGGCCCCTAAGTTACCTCAACTGTTCACCAAATTCTTCAAATACATCCTTTTTATATTTTGTCCCATTTTTCTATTGTTCTCAGTGGGAGTGTTGTTCTACCATAAGCTAATACATCATGCACTTTAGGATCTACTTTAATGATCTTTTAACTGAACATACATCATAGTTTAACATGACGCAATTTAAGTGCAAGTTCATAAAAGAACTAGCTCCTGTCCCCATTTTTCTGTGGCATCTTATTATTTCATGTGATATAATTTGAATAATGGAGAAAGGGTGGGTCTCTGCCCAAAAACATTTTATTCACATATATTTGTTACTTAAGATCCAACTTTAGGAAATATGTTCAAAGAATTATCTCTGTTCATATATAAATATCTCTAGAAGAAGTTTGGCAGTCATTAACATTGATGACGACGGATATCAGACTTTTATAAGAGGAGGAAGATAGAGGAAAAATAGGAGTCCAGGTCCTGCTAAGGAGAGAATTCCATGACCGGGTAGCCAGGAAAAAGAAAGGAAAGCCACAATGTGAGAAAAGTACCCTGAGAGGATCAAGCTTTTCTATATCCCAATTTTGGCCAGGACTGGCTCTAACCTGTCAGGATATTGTACCTCTATCCAGATGAATAAATACTAGGAAGAAGCTTAATGTTCAACAAGGTTGGATACTCTTCTTAGGGGCTGAAAGGGAGCAACTTTGTCTGCTGGCTTTGTAGAGGGTGTATAGCCCAACTAGGCCTGACCTATTCACTCCTTTTCTAATTTTCTTATTAGTAGACAAATGTTTCCATTGATCCAGCATGTTAATTTTTTTTCCCCGAACAATAATGAAACACATGGAAAAGTCTTGTGCTTGCATAGAAAAAAGTAACACATATGAAAGAAATGAAACTTTTGATCTTAAAGTGCTTGTGCTGTGAACAACATGTGCTAAATCAAACACTTTCTGTATACCCAAACTTTAGTCTTAGATTTGGTTTGGACTAAAGTAAGTTCTATTACTCATTGTGAAATGGGTGTGTTTCCTGTTTCTCTGGAAATGGGTGCTGGTTTGCATCAAGAGGCTTCATAAAGAAAGAGAAAAACCGCAAATCACTATACATGATCAACATTTGCCATTCTACTAGCACGTTGCTACAGCTGCTTCCAGCTTTGCTGGGGTAAAACACTGACACCTGTTATTCAGCGAGGTATATGTGGGATGGATGGAGCCATGAGAGGGAAGCCACAATGCCAACATGCTGCAAATGGCATTTTATTTGTTTCTAAAATTAAATGAAAATGGTTACAACCCTAGCCAACCTTGACCTTGGGCTCTCAGGGCCAAATTTGTTCTAAAACCAAGAAATAACACCTATATCTCAAAGATTCACAGGTGGAAAGAAATGGAAGACTACTCCTACAAGCAATGATTAATTTCAAATTAGGTGAATAAAAAGGAAATAATATTTATTAAACTCCTACCACATACCTGCTAGGCTCAGGGCTTATTGACCTTTTAACATTTAACTTTCACATTACTCCCATGATAGCTGGGATTATTCTCATTTTTCAAAACAGAAATTCATGGCTCTGAAAATTTGGATCACTTCCTGAGATGACCCCACTAATGAATGGTAGGTATGAGATTTAAGGCTGGGTGCTTCTGATTTCAAAGCTCATTGCTCCATGATGCCAAAATATCCACTTTGTATCATCCTGTCTTCTGGATTTTTTGAAGACCTTACTGCCATAGTAGACCATATTCAATGCCTTTTAAAATCACATGGAGGCATGTGTGCCTTATGTTTCACAGCGAGACAGCTCCATACGTAAGTTAAAGCCTGAGCACATAGTTGCCAGGGCCCTGATAATATCACCCTGGCATAAACTGACATAGTGGTAGGCCTCCTCAATTCAAGTTCTGTCAAATCCAATGACTTAATTAAAGCCCTGGGAATGATGGGAATTTCAATAGCAGGGCACTCTGGGAGCTTTCTATAATCTAAAGCAAATACAGAAATAAAACTACAGGAGAGAACCTATCAAAACCACAATATATCTATTACCACGGCTGTTTCTTCTCAGACACTAGGCTCCCTCCTGAGCCTATTATTAAGTGCAAATGACCAGGCTCAGTTACTGTTATTTTTAAAAACATTACTTATCGTGCATTGTGTTCTGAAACTTGTTGACTTATTTTAATTTGCATAATTATAGTAATTTTCTCCTATGTCAATGCTGTAGGATTATATTAGGATTTTGCCTTTTATTTAAAGAACTTTGCAGGTTCAAAAGCACATTGTTGTCATATCACTTTTGACCCTTTCAGGCAGTTGAGAGGCAGTGATGATGGAAGAATATATTTTGCTAAGTTTACTTCTTGGCTCATGATTGGAAGAACTGGCAGAGGTTTGAGAGACCAAAAAAGGGAAACAGAAATGAAAGAGATTAGGAGAGTAAAAGAATGTAAGGAGATGTCAAAACAAAGGGAAGACAAGCTCCTCCTCTGTAGAGCTTCTTCAGAGTGTACTTTAGTGTTTATTATAACATTTGCTTTTTTTTTTTTTTTTTTTTTAGCAACTCAGGGTACTTGGTCACATTTTACAGAAAATGAACTTATGAATAATTACTCATCTAGTTTGCCTTAGAGCCAGGTTAGAAAAGAAACCTGTATCTCTCAGCTCTTGATCAAATGTTCTTCTCCATGGAATAAATACTTCGTCCAAGAAGATTTGCACAGCAAAATATTCAAAGGACTGCTAAGCTATTAGGTGTCCACCCTTACATTGTAGAATAAATCAGGAAGCTTTCCACTGTGTGATCAATTCATTTATTTTATTTTTAAGAAAAATTGTCTATATTTACTTACCATATGTCCAGTGCTTAAATTCTACTTCCCCAAGTATTTTCACAGGTACCCCCAGGTTCTTCTGGTATGTCTTGAAACCAAAAAAATAACAAACCCCTGATAACATCAAGACAGCAGGATTCAGAACTTGGCTCCTGCCCATCAATCCCAAGTCCAAGGCTGTCCAAGGAAAGTACAGTCAGGTTCACATAAAATCCAAAACACTCTCCCCGAACTCCAAAAGGGAGATGAAGATAGAAGCTCATGGCCCTAGAAGATGCCATTACCATTCTGTTCCTTATTTCTCTTTTTTCTAAAGCTCTGTGGCCCCTCAGTCAGTGGAAGGACAATCAAGCAATTGAAACAGCCCAGAAGGACATGGGAAGAAAGGGGGCAGCACAGGGACGCCAATAAAGCTTACTAGTCTTGTAGAGAAGAAGAAGGGTTTCTGCATGGGCCATCTGACCCTGCAGATGAATTTCCAACTTTCTTCTAAGCACGGTCCACTGGATCACTCATCATGCCTTCAAATGCCACAAGATCTAAGTCAAATATATCCTCTTCTCCTCTTAAGCCAGTTTTTCTTTATAATTCTAAATTATAGAATTATAATTTACTACTTACTGCAGGAAGGTTATGAGGACCAGATGAAAGAGAGAATATACAAACATCTGTAGGCACTCAGAAAAAGTTGCATCAACTCTTAAAATGATTTTTCTCATTTCCAGTGTCATCACACAAATTAAGCCTTTATTGGAACTCACACTGATAATTGCAATATGTTCTGGCTTAATGGCTCTCAAGTGCATTGGCCCTAGTGTTCTCTTCCAGTATTATACACGTATGGATGCCACAGTCAAAACATCCCTCCCTGTTATCAGAACACCCCTATGCTTCCTCCCTATTTCTCGGTTTCTTCCCTAGTATCCCCTTCCCATGGAATGTTCTGCTTTCCCTTCTCTTAGCGCATCTCGAATTTCTTTACTTCCATAAAGTCTTTGTTTGATTTTTCATATTACATCTGATACCTACCATATTGTCAGTACATTCTACTCTAAGAATTTCATTAGTGTCTTCCTTGTACCACTGTCCAATTCCTTGTGTGTTAATCATATGTCCCTGTTTCAGCTTCTGCGTCCCAGTTTAGAACTTCTTTACATCAAAGTCTTACTTATCTTTATATGCTCAGGGTCTAACATAATGCTTTCCACAAATTTTTATTGTTTTCAATGTGTTCTTGGAAATACTTTTTTTTTTTTTTTTTTGAGACAGAGTCGCGCTCTGTTGCCCAGGCTGGAATGCAGTGGTGAGATCTCGGCTCACTGCAAGCTCCGCCTCCCGGGTTCACGCCATTCTCCTGCCTCAGCCTCCCGAGTAGCTGGGACTACAGGCTCCTGCCACCACACCCGGCTAATTTTTTGTATTTTTAGTAGAGACGGGGTTTCACCATGTTAGCCAGGATGGTCTCAATCTCCTGACCTCGTCATCCGCCCACTCGGCCGGAAATACTTTTTTTAACTGATCATATAGTAACATAGGATACTATCAAATTGAATTGTAATTACTTAGGAAAGAAAACTATACAGCCAGCTTTGAGATTCCCAGAGATTACTTAAGATGTCACCAAAACATGATTGAAAAATCAGTCACTAATCTGAACCAAGGCAACTCTAAAATAAGCTATTATGTCTTAGAATAGAAATAAGAAATGTTTTAGCTACAAAAATAATAGTATTGACTTTAAATATGTTATTGAAAATAATCTCTCTTATTTGTGAATATATATTCACATATATGGTGACATATATGGCATATATATATATTCATACATATATATTGATGACATATATATATATGTGTCACCAATAAGAAAGCTGAGGCTTAGCAAGAATGAATAGTTTGTGTAAGGCAGCATAGGTAAAGAAGAGTTAAACCAAGACTCAAGACAAGCCTTTCTGTCTTCACTGGCTGTGCTTTTCTCATCACTTTGCACCAACTGCTAGAGTTTTATCAACTCTACTTATGAAAACTTCAAGTCCTTCCTGGGTTTGGGAATAGGCAAAGAAAGATTAAAATACAGCATTTCCTGAGTCACGATGTTATAATCTAGGGCTTGGCAAACTTTTGCTGTAGAGGACCAGATAGTAAATATTTTAGGCTTTGTGGACCATATGGTCTACTCAAATCTGCCATTATTCTGTGAAAGCAGCCACAGAAAATATGTGATGGAATAAGCATGGCTGTGTTCCAATAAAACTTGGGAAACTTTAGAAAAATCAGACAGTGGACCCAATCAGGCCTGCAGGGTGTAGTTTTGACCCCTGTTAAAATCTACAATAAAGGTTCACCTACTGTCATGGCAAAGACGTCGGCAAAGTGCTGTCTTGTGCTAGTATGAAACATTAATGAATTAATCATTCATATTACACTTGTATTAGATATTTAGGGCACAATACTGCATAAAACATGGAAATTGACAAAATTATACATAATTACAACTCCGAAACACATGTTATTCCCACAACAGAAAATGAGATAATCTACTAAAACACATTTTAAAAATCTGAAAGTGGAAAGCATTTCTTTCCTGCAGTTGTTTGAATTTAGAGTATGTCATTAATAGATTTTAAGTCCAGAAAATAAATGAAGCCAAATACCTATGACCTTTGGTTTCTACATTCCCACTCCTAAAATAAATGATCCATTCCAGTGAGTGTGCACTATAGTACCCCAGACTAGAGATGATTCAATAATAACCTAATCTTTCTTAAGAAGAGGATTGTGTAGGAAATCACAGCATGCAGGATATAACTTGCTCTTAATAGAGATGTTTTGTTTTCATATAAGTGAGTGGAAATATTTGACCCAACATGGCAGACAATTTATTTATAGAGAAAATGCCTCTTTCCCTTGTGAGCTGGTTGAGAGCATTCCCTGAGATCTTCAGGTTGGTCATACAATTGTGGAAAGCTCACACAATGTGAGGTTATGGCTGAGTAAAGAATAGGAGGCACACTGCTTTGCTGTCTCTCCGGGAAGCCTGCCCTAACCTCCACAGCAGAAACTCTATCTCCTTTAGATCTTCTCTTATACTCATGGTTCAGAGCCCTCATTTGTTCCTATGTACTGTCTGGTATTGTTACCCATTTATTTCAAATATATGTCTTATTTTTAGAATTAGATTGTAATCTTTGAAATGGGATACATGGGAGTCTAAACCTCAATTTCACTTTTTATTAGCTTTGTGATTGTTGCCAAACTATTCATCTTCTGTGAATCAGTTGCAGATAGTAATAGCATCTATTTCATAGGCTTTTTGTTGGCTCACATTTAGTAACCAGCATAACCATTGTCACCACCATCACTATCATCGGTATTTTCATGCCTTCTCCTCTATTAAGTTTTCATTAACTGCCCAACCACAATTCATTGTTCACCACCTCACAGAATTTTCAGCATTGCCAAATACTTTATCATTTTTATGCTCATTAGGTCAACCTACTCCCAACAGAATTACCTTCACTTATTTATGTCCTGGGATTGTTATTGAGGGTAGACATAAAAAAAAAATTCATTTGAAAACCACCTATCTGTTTGAGGTACAGCTATAGATAAAAAACACTATGTTGTTCAATGTTCCTTTTATAAGGTCAGTTGTGATATGAATTAACCGAGAAAATGTCACCTTTTCTCAAAAATCAGAACACTACTTTCCAAGAGTAATAAGAATTATCTAACTACATTTTACTTGTTGCCCTAGATTCTCTGGATTCTGAGTGGTAATACCTCCTATTTTGTATGTTTCTTTTTTCTTTTGTGGGGCTTTGATTCTTTAAAAACAGTTCAGTGACATATATATTAACATCTCTCAATTTACATGTTGGTTAGTTTCTTGGAAAGTGGCAAGTGATTCAAAAACACTTAAATCAAACTTAAATTTGACATAATAAAAAAGGAGATATATTTTGGTAGGTTAAAAAAAAACAGTTTATGCTCCCCTTTTTTTTCCGTATCACATCAATATGAACTGCAAATAAACATTTTATGTAAACATGTGAACATATTAAAAATGTTTATTCATGAACAGAAACAGAGTCCCTGAGACTGTCCAATAGATCTACAATAACATAAGGCATGAAACCATTGGGAATTACCGCATACAAAGTGTTGCACACCAAGGTGAAAGATAAAACCCATAATGCTCATTAATTCACCTTTTTTAATGCATCTGAGAGCCTAGATTTTTACTCCACTGGTGTCAGCCTTTTTCTATTTCTTTTTCTGTGGGCCTTCTGGCTCACATTGTATTTTTTAGTCACGATTTTTACTTGAGATGGACACAGGACTCCATAAGGCATAATCTCAGGATACTTGAAGGGTATACATAGTAACTTAAAAGGATTTTGTGAGTGCTGGCCAAGCAGTCACTGTGCATTATGACGAGGGTAATGCCACATGCTGTCGACCTGACCACCAGGCAGTACTCTCAAATTAATGAAGGAACCCCTCATGCACATAAAATCTGGCAGGCAGTTTAAATCATGCCATTCTAAACTTAGGACACATATCTGCTAAATATTGTTAATTTCCTTATCACTTTCTTTCCATAACTTGCAAATAAAATACACACAAATTTACACATTGATAAATAGGTTTAGAAATACATAGTTTTAAGTTGAATCAAATATTCAACTTCTATAAGCCCTCATTTTCCTAATTATAAAACAATACTAGTATATCTCTTTCATGGAGTTGTTGTGAGAATTATATGAAATAATGCTGTTTAGTGTTTAACAGCATGCCTGACACGGTGAGTACTCATTAAGTGTTAGTCACTGTTCTTGGATATTACTGAAAAGTGACAGATGTCAGTAAATAAAAGTATTTACTGGGGTCTACTCTATCTCTAACGCTTCAAGCCAGTCTGATACATAAATTTAAAATGCCCCTATTGGTTCATGGAGGTGAAGAATAAACACCAGTCAACATTTGTTCTAACCTTATTTCCACCAAATCCCACCATTTAGCCCTAACGTTGGAAACTTCAACTAACAGTTAGCAACCAGAAACATGTGCATCTATCTTGCAGACCAACAATATTATAATTTCCTTGTGTGTAAAACTCTGTCTCTTTGTATCCATCCTTACACCCTCACCTCAGCTTTTCTACATTATGAAAGCTCAATGACAGTTAACAACCTGGCTTCCTATCCATTACACTAACCTCTGTTATCCAAGCACGGAACAACCCTCAAGCAGCAAGGAAAAAAAGAAAAAAATGAAAAAAAAGTCCTATCCTCTCTTCTCCCAGCTCATCTGCAGCTAGAGCTATGAAAGATATTTATGTCAAGTCACCCATCATTCAAGCTGAACTTGCATCAAGACAACACTATTTACAGACACTCTTATATAAGGAAAGCTAGGAGCAGCCAGTGATACATTTAAATGCAGAAGTATTCCAGAGGCCAAAAGGATGTAAATGGAATTTTCACAGCCAAAGCTTCATGGGAAAGCTTTTAAATTTTCCATTAAAAATCTGAGTAATTATTAGGGATAAATTTTAACAACCTGCAAGTAAATTTGCAACAAGTCCCCGGGTAATTCTGAGCCTCTCTTTATCTTTTCTTTTCAGCTCTCAGAATCCTAAATAGATTCAACCCTTTTTCCAAATGGACTGTCATTTACACACACACACACACACACACACACACAGTGTTGTGCTCAAGCTAATATGTGCTTACAGAGAGCTGATTGTTATTCCGGAAATTGTAAACTGATTGATACACTGTTTGTAGCTGAAATTGGCCATGGTGGGAAATATTTACACCACAGAAATCAGCAAACTCTACAAATCAGGCCTTTTTTTCCCCAGACAGTGAGTTCACCAGCACAGGTTGACTAATGTGCTGTTATTTGTGGAATTACAAGAAGTTATCAGGACTCAGCCTGGGGACATCTATAACAAAGCAAGAGTAAGATTTCCAAAAGAGAGCTCAGATGACTGAGAGAATGGCCAGCTATCAACAAAGCAAACATTTTAAAGGTAAGTTTGGGGAAATCAGACCCTGTATATTGTTAAAACACTAATACAATTTTTAACACTGCCTATGATGGTGACTCTTTTACCTATGCTCTAAAAAGCCAGTCAAGTTTTGGATCAGCCTAGGAATTCTATGTATACTATAGCTGTTTTCTGGACTAAGAAGACTGATAGAAAATAATAATGGCTCATAATAATGTAAATGTGGCTCAATCATTAGGAACAACATATGTGAATAACTGACCTGGTAATTCAGGGCCCCAAATGCTTTCTAACAGTGATTTCATGGACCAAGTCATTGTCAGTGCTCCTAATACTTAGGTACAAAGTGGATTCTCTAAATTAACAACGCAGCACACAAAGTCCCTGACAGTCCTATCTCTGTTCTGTGACCCATACATCAAAACCTATTCATTCTTTAAGACAAGGAGGGTGACAGAAAGATTCAAGCACAACTAAAGGCATTAAATATCTCTGGATCATCATGAGGAGGCAGAGGGAGGAGTAACACCAGTTGTGACAGGAATGGAGGAGCTTAATTTTAAATTGCTAAGATTAATCATCATTTCACAGTTATAAAACTACACATTTAACTTTCTTGCACTTTTTTCCAGAAGCAATTTCTTACAATATTTGTCTAAATGCAGACATTATATAAAAAAATAAACATTAATATATACCCTAAATGGTGTCAAAACTAGAACAATCAACATCTTAAAATGAATTCAGGTTTGTAAAAGGAAGAACATAAACAAGTTTTAAGCATTAAGCAAATAACCATCAAAAATAATTTTTAAGCACCAAGTGTTCACACAGCATTGCCTTCACTATATAAGTCGAAGGCAAATATAAGCTGAAGAAGTACTTCATCTTCCAAAGCCAAGAAATCGATATCTTAGTTTTATGAATAATTTTCATAGAAAATGTTACAGATGAACTCATAAAGCTTCTAGAATTTACTTTTTTATTTCCTGAACTTACTTTTAAGGATCAATGTAACAATACACAGTAACAGGTAGCCACACATGACTTCTTCCTTACATGACTCTTGTAAACTTAGGTTATTTTTACATTTTTAAAATATTATATGAAAATTATATATACACATATACCCACACATATATATACACGTGTGTATATATGTGTGTGTGTGTGTGTGTGTGTATGTGTGTATATATATATATATATATATATATATATATGATTACTATAAGGAATTGGCTCACATGATTATAAGAAGTCCAAGATCTGCAGTTGAGCCAATGGTATAGTTCTAGTCCAAGGCCAAAGGCCTGAGAACCAGGTGAGCTGATGGTAAATTCCAGTTCAAATCCAAAGGCAGGAGAAGATCAATGGCCCAGTTTAAAGACAGTCAGGCATGAAAAACAATTCTTTCTTACTCCACCTTTTATTCTATTCTGGCCTTCAACAGATTGGATGAGGCCTATCCACACTGGGGAGGACAATTTGCTTTACTTATTCTACCAATCCAAATGTTAACTTCATCCTGAAACACCCTCACAGACATACCCAGAAATCATGTTTAATCAAATATCTGGGAACCTCCTAGCCCATTCAAGTTGACACATAAAGTTAATCATCATACTGCCCAGTTGTGTAAGTTCCTAACTATAAGTCACTCAATATGACCATGGACCTTCCATTTTTTCAGAGCAAATAGAAAGTCATACATATATTTTTCTTGTCATATTTCCAATAAAATACATATGTTTTCTATTGGTTCTGTGTCTCTGGAGAACCCAGACTAATACAGATAGTAATCTTGTCTCTGACTTCATTGTCTATTCTTATATATTTTGTTGTTGCTGCTGCTGCTGTTTTTTATTTGCTTTTGCATTTGCCAAACTTTTCAGCTTTTTATGTCTATTTTTTATATTGAAACATTTCTGTAAATATCTTAATACTTCTTAGGGCAATGCAAAATATACATAAGTAAATAAAACATTTTCTATGTCATTTTCTTTAATCTTTAAAAATCAACAGATAAAAGTTTTTAATATTTATTAGCTACTTTTACCTTTTCATTAAGATTTTACTATTCTTTTCCTTTGCCTAATATCTATGGAGTGGTTGGTTATGTTTGTTTGTTGGTTGTTTTAACTAACAATAAATAACTATTATTTTATTAAGGCTAATGCATATGATGTAAATACATTTTTCAATTTGCTACTTGTCTTTTAAATGTTTATGCTGCATTTTGCTATACAGAAGTCTTTTACATCCTGTAAGAAGTCAAACTTTTTTTCTCTCTTAGTTATGGTTTTCCTTTTGATCTCATGTTACAAAGCCCTTTTATAGTCTAGCATCATAAAGACATTTACCTAGTTTCTCTAAATTAATGTTTTATTCTTAACAGTTTTAGTTCTTCTGAAGCTTATTTTTAATAACTTTTAAAATATCTTACTATTTTTACACCCATTAACCAACTATTTCATCTTTTACCACTGATTTTACACAACATACACAACTTATTATGTATTAGGTCTCTTTCTTGGCTTTCACTTCTGTTCATTTAAAATTTTCCATCTATTTTGGAGCTACTACAGTTCTACTACAACTATTTTAACTTTATAATTGGCTTCAGAATCTGGCAGTATAAGTTCCCACTCCTCACTCTTCTTCTTAAAAATCTCCAGGTATTTTTTCTTCCCAGTTTTTCACATAAATATGAGAATTATTATTAATCCTCCGTATTGATACACATATATATATAGACACACACACTCAAAGTTATATTTGGATTTGTATTAAATTTATGAATAACTTAGATGGCTAGATAATACAAATGTTTATCAGCCTGATAGAAATAAAAAAGGTACTGTCTTTGATGGCTTTGTTCCCGAACTGGTAAAGTCACAGCATATTTAGTTTGACCTGATCTGGTAAAGAACTTCCAAATAAATCAAAACTGGATAGTCATTTTTTAAACTATATTTTAAGTTCTGGGATACATGTGTAGAACATGCAGGTTTGTTACATAGGTATACACGTGCCATGGTGGTTTGCTGCACCCATCAACCTGTCATCTACATTAGGTGTTTCTCCTAATGCTATTTCTCCCCCAGCCCCCCACCCCCTGACAGGCCCTGGTATGTGATGTTCCCCTCCCTGTGTGCATGTATTCTCATTGTTCAACTCCCACTTACAAGTGAGAACATGCAGCATTTGGTTTTCTGTTCCTGTGTTAGTTCACTGATAGTGATGCTTTCCAGCTTCATCCATGTCCCTGCAAAGGATATGAACTCATCCTTTATATGGCTGCATAGTATTCCATGGTGTATATGGGCCACATTTTCTTTATCCAGTCTGTTATTGATGGGCATTTGGGTTGGTTCCAAATCTTTGCTATTGTGAATAGTACTGCAATAAACATACGTGTGCATGTGTCTTTACAGTAGAATGATTTATAATCCTTTGGGTGTATACGCAGCAATGAGATTGCTGGGTCAAATTTTTAAGCTCCATGGTAGAAACTTGGATTTGAAACTTAGGGATCTGTCCTAAAAAATCTTTTCTAGTATAAATCCTGTATTTCAAGGAAGATAATAATGTTAATGGGAAAAATACTTCTTTAAAGGCCAGTAGCCTAAAATACTCACTAGCTTTTGGCTTTCTTTGCTTTTCTTGGTATGTTCCTTCCTTCTTTCTCACATATTTAGCTTGTCAACATTCTGTATCTAAGATGTTCATTCAGCTAATGCATAGTTTATCATTTGAGAATATAATCATTGATTTTGCTCTACAAAATCCATAAGAAATATATTCTAATTTGTGAAGTAAGATGAACATGATCCTCAAGGTTACATAATTTAGATTTTACCAATTGTATTGGTCTTTCAGTGCAAACATGTTTTCATAATTATATATTAAGAAATCATTAAATGTTAATATGAAATTATTTTATAATGCAATCAAATACAAAGCATTTTGGTTTGGTCTATTAAGCAACATAATGCATGTGTGTGTGCATGTGTGTGTTTATTCATGCTTTATCTGGGAAAATATTTATTTCTGTCTTGAGGCTTCAGAGGTTTGCTTAATTGGGTCTTCATGTTGCCATAACCCAGCACAAGCTGTGATGGTAATTGTTATGTGACTAATAACACATGGCAAAAAATAAACAATAAAACATATCTACCTATATCTAGGGTATGTATGCCATAGAAAGTAATAGATTTTTATCTATGTTAAGTACAATGAATGGATTAAGTTGAAAAAGATCATGTACATCATTAATTACAAATTATTCATTTCATAGATGAGAAAACAGAGGCTCCAAGATCACGCAGGCCATATAGGGCCATATGCATTTGTCAGTCAAGCTCACTGAGACCCAGTTTCTTTCTCTGTAAAGAGATTCTATGATGATGACAGGTCAAATTTAAAAGATTGATAATTATATTATATGGCAAATAAAAGCATAGACATTACAATGAAATAACTGCTTTATCTCAACAAAATCTTAGAGAGAATGGGAAACTGAGTCCAAAATTGCAATGAGAAGAGTCTTCATAGAGTGCTAGAACCAAAAGTTCTGGACTTGAGCATAAGAAACCCAAGATGGATCCTGGTAGGCAAGAGCAGTTGCAGCAGACGGAGAAAAAGTCTTCTGCCTCTGGCTTTTATGCTGCAGGTTTTGGTGCTGTGAGATAGGCATTATCACTCATCAATCCACAAGCATATAGTACAGTATTATTCACTACAGTCATCATACATGAGGTCTCTAGAACTTAGTCATTCTACATAACTAAAACTTTTAGATCTTGAATAGTCTCATCACACACACATAGAAAAGGTAACTATGTGAAGTGATGGGTATTTCAATTAACTTGACTGTAGTAACAATTTCACAATGTACATTACATTGTCCAACAGAAACATAAATAATTTTTATAAAATAAAAACAAAAGGTTGTTAAAAAGCTATAGGCAGAAAGTAAATACAGTGGAGAAAATCTAATTTGTCTTTTTCTATTTTGAATGACTGCATGAGTATTACATTCTCACTTATGAAACTTCAAACAAATCGAAAATATGGGCAGTAAGAAATGAAAGTCCCATTCTATCCCCCACCCCTATACACTGCAAAACAGCAAATATGGCAGCCTGCTCCTTCCTCTGGGAGTTCCATCCTGGGGGGTACCAACTTGATGCCAGTCAGAACTCTTCTGTAGGAGGTGTCTGGAAATCCCTATTAGAGGTCTCACCCAATCAGAAGGAATGGGATTAGAGTCCTGCTTAAAGAAGTGTCAGGCTGCCTCCTGGCAGAGTGAGTATGCTGCACTTGGGGGCAATCCCCCATATCCAGACCACCCAGACTTTCCAGAGCCAGCAGGCAGGAACGGCTGTCAGCTAAGCTGCAGATACAGTGGCCACCCCTCCCACTGGTGGCTCCACCCCAGAGAGAGATCAGAGTCTGTTGTAAAACTCTGGCTAGAGTTGTTGAAATTCCCAGAGGGAGGCCCCACACAGTGAGAAGGTGAGAGGTGAAGCCAGCTGGACTTCCTGGGTCGAGTGGGGACTTGGAGAATTTTTCTGTCTAGCTAAAGGTTTGTAAATGCACCAATCAGCACTCTGTAAAAACGCCCCAATCAGTGCTCTGTAAAATGGACCAATCTGCAGGATGTGGTGGGGCCAAATAAGGGAATAAAAGCTGGCCACCCGAGCCAGCAGTGGCAACCCGCTCAGGTCCCCTTCCACGCTGTGGAAGTTTTGTTCTTTCGCTCTTCACAATAAATCTTGCTGCTGCTCACTCTTTGGGTCTGCACTACCTTTATGAGCTTTAACACTCACCACGAGGGTCTGCGGCTTCACTCTTGAAGTCAGCAAGACCATGAACCCACTGGGAGGAACAAACAACTCTGGACACGCCACCTTTAAGAGCTGTAACACTCACTGCAAAGGTCTGTGACTTCACTCCTAAAGTCAGCAAGACCATGAACCCACTGGAAAGAAGAAACTCCAGACACATCTGAACATCTGAAGGAACAAACTCTGGACACACTATCTTTAAGAAATGTAACACTCACCGCAAGGGTCCATGGCTTCATTCTTGGAGTCAGCAAGACCAAGAACCCACTGGAAGGAACCAATTCTGGACACATTTTGGCGACCACGAAGGGACAATCACCAAGCGGTGAGTACCATCGGACCCCTTTCACTAGCTATTCTGTCCTATCTTTCCTTAGAATTTGGGGGCTAAATACCAGGCACCTGCCAGCCAGTTAAAAGTGACTAATGCAGCCACCAGACTAAAGACATGGGTGCCAGGCTTTCTGGGAAAGAGCTCTCTTACAACCCCTGACCCCTCGAAGTTGGGAATGTTGGTTTGCCTGGAACCAGCTTCCGCTTTTCCTGTACTTCTGGACTGAGCCGAGGGTTGACAGAGAGGAAAGCCATTCAGCTCCGGGGTCCCGACAACAAGTTGGTTGACCCTGCGGCCATGAGCAGAGCTCTCAAAGTCATGTCGCCCAAGCGAGACTTGCCCATCTATCCTATCTATCTTGAACCTAGCCTCCTGGGTCCTAATGCCTGTCAGACAAACGTCCTCTCGCCTCTCTTCTCCAAGGCTAGTCCTGCTTCTAAAAACCACTCCCTGTCTCTGGTGCTTTTCTAGTTTCTCCTATAAGAATGATTTCTAGTATAAACTCCAGGACTCTATTCCCTTCTTTAGGCACCCGGGCTCACCAATCAGAAAGACATAATTTTTGCCCAAAGCCCCATCGGCGGTGGGGGGACTATCTGGAATTTTAGGATCCCTCCTCAGACTAGCAGGCCTAACAAAAGCTATTCCTCAAGCCAGGATATGCGGCACTTCAGAAATGGTATCTTTCCTGTTCATTTAAGTGAGGACAAAAGGCATCACTCTTCCAACTCTGGAGATCCCTACCCTCCCTTAGGGTATGGCCCTCCACTTCACTTTTGGGGCATAACATCTTTATAGGACAGTGCTAAGGTCCCAATACTAACAGGAGAATGCTTAGGACCCTAACAGGTTTTCGAGAATGTGTCAGTAAGGGACACTAAATCTGACCTTCCTTGGTCCTCCTTGTGGTCTAGGAGGAAAACTAGTGTTTCTGCTGCTGCATTGGTGAGCACAACTATTCCAATCAGCAGTGTCCAGGGACTGTTGCGGGTTCTTGGGCAAGAGGTGTTTCTACTGCTGTGTCAGTGAGCACAACTATTCCAATCAGCAAGGTCCAGGGACTGTTGAGGGTTCTTGGGCAGGGGGAGAAACAAACAAACCAAAACCATGGGTGGTTTTGTCTTTCAGATGGGAAACACTCAGGCATCAACAGGCTCACCCTTGAAATGCATCCCAAGCCATTGGGGCCAATTTGACCTGCAAACCCTGAAAAAGAGGTGGCTCATTTTTTTCTGCACTATGGCCTGGCCTCAATATTCTTTCTCTGATGGGGAAAAATGGCCACCTGAGGGAAGTATAAATTACAATACTATCCTGCAGCTTGACTTTTTCTGTAAAAGGGAAGGCAAATGGAATGAAATACCTTATGTCCAAGCTTTCTTTTCATTGAAGGAGAATCCACAACTATGCAAAGCTTGCAATTTACATCCCACAGGAGGACCTCTCAGCTTACCTCCATATCCTAGCCACCCTATAGCTCCCCTTCCTATTAATGATAAGCCTCCTCTAATATCCCCTGCCCAGAAGGAAACAAGCAAAGAAATCTTTAAGGGACAACAAAAACTCCCAGGCTATTGGTTATATCCCCTGCAAGCTGTAGGGGGACAGGAATTTGGCCCAACCCAGGTACATGTCCCCTTCTCCCTCTCTGATTTAAAGCAGATCAAGGCAGACCTGGGGAAGTTTTCAGATGACCCTGATAGGTACATAGGTGTCCTACAGGGTCTAGGGCAAACCTTCAATCTCACTTGGAGAGATGTCCTGCTATTGTTAGATCAAACCCTGGCCTTTAATGAAAAGAATGCAGCTTTAGCTGCAGCCCAAGAGTTTGGAGATACCTGGTATCTTCATCAAGTAAATTAAAGAATGACAGCTGAAGAAAGGGACAAATTCCCTACCAGTCAGCAAGCTGTCCCCAGTATGGATGCCCACTGGGACCTCGACTCAGATCATGGGGACTGGAGTCGTAAACATCTGTTGACCTGTGTTCTAGAAGGACTAAGGAGAATTAGGAAAAAGCCCATGAATTATTCAATGATGTCCACCATAACTCAGGGAAAGGAAGAAAATCCTTCTGCCTTCCTTGAGCAGCTACAGGAGGCCTTAAGAAAATATACTCCTCTGTCACCCAACTCACTAGTGGGTCAATTGATCCTAAAAGATAAGTTTATTACCCAATCAACCACAGATATCAGAAGAAAGCTCCAAAAGTGAGCCCTGGGCCCTGAACAAAATCTGGAGGCATTACTAAGCCTGGCAACCTTGGTATTCTATAGTAGGGACCAAGAGGAACAGGCCCAAAAGGAAAAGCGAGATCAGAGAAAGGCCATAGCCTTAGTCATGGCCCTCAGACAAACCTTGGTGGTTCAAAGAGGACAGAAAATGGAGCAGGCCAATCACCTGGTGGGGCTTGTTACCAGTGTGGTTTGCAAGGACACCTTAAAAAAGATTGTCCAACGAGAAACAAGCCGCCCCATCGTCCATGTCCACTATACGGAGGCAATCACTGGAAGTCACACTACCCCAGAGGGCAAAGCTTCTCTGGGCCAGAAGCCCCCAACCAGATGATCCAATGACAGGACTGAGGATGACTGCGGCAAGCACCCGTTCATGTCATCACCCCCTCACTGAGCCCTGGGTATGTTTAATCATTGAGGGCCAGGAAATTGACTTCCTCCTGGACACTGGCACGACCTTCTCAGTGTTAATCCCCTGTCTTGGACGACTGTCCTCAAGGTCCGTTACCATCCAAGGAATCCTGGGACAGCCTGTAACCAGGTATTTCTCCCACCTCCTCAGTTGTAATTGGGAGACTTTGCTCTTTTCACATGCCTTTCTTGTTATGCCTGAAAGTCCCACACCCTTATTAGGGAGGGATATATTAGCCAAAGCTGGAGCTATTATCTCCATGAAGACAGGGAACAAGTTACCCATTTGTTGTCCCCTACTTGAGGGAATCAACCCTGAAGTCTGGGCATTGGAAGGACAATTTGGAAGGGCAAAAAATGCCCATCCACTCCAAATCAGGCTAAAAGACCCCATCAGTTTTCCTTATCAAAGGCAATATCCCTTAAGGCCTGAAGCTCATAAAGGATTACAGGATATTGTTAAACATTTAAAAGCTCAAGACTCAGTAAGAAAATGCAGCAGTCCCTGCAACACCCCAATTCTAGGAGTACAAAAACTGAACAGTCAGTGGAGACTAGTGCAAGATCTTAGACTCATCAATGAGGCAGTAATTCCTCTATATCCAGTTGTACGCAACCCCTATACCCTTCTCTCTCAAGTACCAGAGGAAGCAGAATGGTTCACTGTTCTGGACCTCAAGGATGCCTTCTTCTGTATTCCCCTGCACTCTGACTCCCAGTTTCTTTTTGCCTTTGAGGATCCCACAGACCACACATCCCAACTTATGTGGATGGTCTTGCCCCAAAGGTTTAGAGATAGCCCTCATCTGTTTGGTCAGGCACAGGCCCAAGATCTAGGCCACTTCTCAAGTCCAGGCACTCTGGTCCTTCAGTATGTGGACGATTTACTTTTGGCTGCCAGTTCAGAATTTCATGCCAGCAGGCTACTCTAGATCTCTTGAACTTTCCAGCTAATCAAGGGTACGAGGCCTCTAGGTCGAAGGCCCAGCTTTGCCTACAGCAGGTCAAATATCTAGGCCTAATCTTAGCCAGAAGGACTAGGGCCCTCAGCAAGGAACGAATACAGCCTATAGTGGCTTATCCTTGCCCTAAGACATTAAAAAATTTCCCAGAGTTCCTTGGAATCACTGGCTTTTGCCAACTATGGATCCCCAGATACAGCGAGATAGCCAAGACCCTCTATACTCTAATCAAGGAGATGGAGAGGGCAAATACTCACCTAGTAGAATGGGAACCAGAGGCAGAAACAGCCTTCGAAACCTTAAAGCAGGCCCTAGTACAAGCTCCAGCTTTAAGCCTTCCCACAGGACAAAACTTCGCTTTATATGTCATAGAGAGAGCAGGGATAGCTCTTGGAGTCCTTACTCAGACTCACAGGACAACCCCACAACCAGTGGCATACCTAAGTAAGGAAATTGATGTAGTAGCAAAAGGCTGGCCTCACTGTTTAAGGACAGTTGTGGCAGTGGCTGTCTTAGTGTCAGAGGCTATCAAAATAATACAAGGAAAGGATTTCACTGTCTGGACTACTCATGATGTGAATGGCATACTAGGTGCCAAAGGCAGTTTATGGCCATCAGACAACTGCCTACTTAGATACCAGGCACTACTCCTTGAGGAACCAGTGCTTCAAATACATATGTGCATAGCCATCAACCCTGCCACTTTTCTCCCAGAAGATGGGGAACCAATCAAGCATGACTGCCAGCAAATTATAGTCCAGACTTATGCCACCCAAGATGATCTCTTAGAAGTCCCCTTAGCTAATCCTGACTTTAACCTATATAACAGTGGAAGTTCATTTGTAGAGAATGGGATACAAAGGGCAGGTTATGCCATAGTTAGTGATGTAACTGTACTTGGAAGTAAGCCTCTTTCCCCAGGGACTAGCACCCAGTTAGCAGAACTAGTGGCACTTACCCGAGCCTTAGAACTGGGAAAAGGAAAAAGAATAAATGTGTATACAGATAGCAAGTATGCTTATCTAATCCTACATGCCCATGCTGCAATATGGAAAGAAAGGGAGTTCCTAACCTCTGGGGGCACCCCCATTAAATACCACAAGGAAATTATGGAGTTATTGCACACAGTGCAAAAACCCAAAGAGGTGGCAGTCTTACACTGCCAAAGCCATCAGAAGGTGAAAGAGAAAAGGCAGAAGGAAACCGTCGGGCAGATGCTGAGGCCAAAATTGTTGCCAGGCAGAACCTCCCATTAGAAATACCTACAGAAGGACCCTTGGTATGGAACAACCCCCTCCAAGAGATTAAGCCCCAGTATTCCCCTACTGAAATGGAATGGGGACTTTCACAGAGACATAGTTTTCTCCCTTCAGGGTGGTTAACAACGGAAGAAGGAAAGGTATTTATACCTGAAGGCAGCCAGTGGAAAATACTTAAAACCAATCCTTCCCTGGCAAATGACAGTTGGCTTTGTATCTCTCTTATGTTGCCACTCCCATTCCCGCAAAAAAATTGGGTCTTTAGCAACTTAACCTACCACCCTCATTATGAAGGAAAAGACCCTTTCTGACTTCTGAATATGCAATCATTAGCCGACTTCCCCATCTCTGATAGGACGTCTAACAGGACGTGCAATCCAACTTTTATGTTCTTACCTTTCCAACCTCACCTATTACACAAGTAATGAAAAGCCCATACACGGTCCTGTAACTATGAATACCATCTTAACTTTCCAAGCCCCTTTATGCATCCAATGCAACCTGCTATCAGGCCTGCCCCTGGGGCACTTACTATTCCATCAGTGTAATTACACCCTATAACTTCAAGCCCCAACTAATCATAGTAACTTCTGAGTCACTCAAACAGCTCCATTCAGATGGCTTGTCCGCCTCTCAGGGCCTCCAAAAATCATTGCCTCCTCCCTGTTTAACAAACAGTCCAGGTTTTGTAATGGCAAACATACTCCCTGGATGACCATTCACCCCTGGACCCTCTGCAGCAGCACCCCCACCACTAGTGAATGCCTTCTCATCCCCTCTTTCAATCACTCTCTCGAATGGTTCCTAGTAGATATGAAATGATTTTTTCTCCAATGGGAAAATAGAACACAGGGAGCCACTCAGTTTGCTCCAAACACCCCTTTCCAGCCACTCACCGGAGCTACCTTAGCAAGTATTCTAGGAGTATGGGAAAATGAAAACAACAAACTTACACACCTTTTTAACATATACAACCAGTTCTGTCTACCCAGCCAAGGTATATCCTTATGTGGAATGTCAACCTATATCTGCCTCCCCACTAACTGGACAGGCACCTGCATCTTAGTCTCTCTAAGTCCCAACATTAAAATTGCCCCAGAAAATCAGACCCAATTGGTACCCCTCAAAGCTCAAGTCCATCAGTGCAGAGCCATACAACTGATACCCCTATTTATAGGGCTAGGAATGGCTACTGCTACAGGAACTGGAATAGCCAGTTTATCTACTTCAGTATCCTACTACCACACACTCTCAAAGGATTTCTCAGTTTGCAAGAAATAACAAAATCTATCCTTACTCTACAATCCCAAATAGACTGTTTGGCAGCAGTGACTCTCCAAAACTGCCAAGGCTTAGACCTCCTCACTGCTGAGAAAGGAGGACTCTGCACCTTCTTAGGGGAAGAGTGTTGTTTTTATACTAACCAGTCAGGGATAGTAAGAGATGCTGCCCGGCATTTACAGGAAAAGGCTTCTGAAATCAGACAATGCCTTTCAAACTCTTATACCAACCACTGGAGTTGGGCAACATGGCTTCTCCCCTTTCTAGGTCCTGTGGCAGCCATCTTGCTATCATTCGCCTTTGGGCCCTGTATTTTTAACCCTCTTGTCAAATTTGTTTCCTCTAGGATCAAGGCCATCAAGCTACAGATGATCTTACAAATGGAACCCCAAATAAGCTCAGCTAACAACTTCTACCGAGGACCCCTGGAGTGACCCGCTGGCCCTTTCACTGGCCTAAAGAGTTCCCCTCTGGAGGACACTACAACTGCAGGGCCCCTTCTTCACCCCTATCCAGCAGGAAGTAGCTAGAGTGGTCATCGCCCAATTCCCAACAGCAGTTGGGGTGTCCTGTTTAGATGGGGGATTGAGAGGTGAAGCCAGCTGGACTTCCTGGGTCGAGTGGGGACTTGGAGAACTTTTCTGTCTAGCTAAAGTTTGTAAACGCACCAATCAGCACTCTGTAAAAATGCACCAATCAGTGCTCTGTAAAATGGACTAATCAGCAGAACGTGGCGCGGCCAAATAAGGGAATAAAAGCTGGCCACCGAGCCAGCAGTGGCAACCTGCCTGGGTCCCAGTCCCCTTCCACACTGTGGAAGCTTTGTTCTTCTGCTTTTCACAATAAATCTTGCTGCTGCTCATTCTTTGGGTCTGCACTACCTTTATGAGCTGTAACACTCACTGTGAGGGTCTGCGGCTTCACTCCTCAAGTCAGTGAGACCACAAACCCACCAGGAGGAACAAACAACTCTGGATGCACCACCTTTAAGAGCTGTAACACTCACTGCGAAGGTCTGTGGCTCCACTCCTGAAGTCAGCAAGACCACGAACCCACTGGAAGGAAGAAACTCTGGACACATCTGAACATCTGAAGGAACAAACTCCAGACATGCTATCTTTAAGAACTGTAACACTCACCATGAGGGTCCGTGGCTTCATTCTTGAAGTCAGCGAGACCAAGAACCCACTGGAAGGAACCAATTCTGGACACAGACGGATGGATCAGGGTCCCACTTAAAGAAGCAGTCTGGCTACAATCTGCCAGAGCAGCTGTGCTGTGCTGTGGGGAATTCCTCCCAGTCCAGACTGCCCAGACTCCCTGGATCCAGCAGGCCAAAATGGCGGGTTCTAGCTGCAGAAATGGCAGTCACCCCTCGCCCCGGGATCCCAGTCATTTCAGGCAGTTTCCAGCTTGCTGCCACAGGCTGGCAGCTGGGTTTCCAAGCCAATGGGTCTTAACTTGTGAGGTGCTGTGGGAGTGGAGTCCACAGAGTGATGCCACTTGGCTCTCTAACTTCTGTTCCCTTTCCAGGGGAGTGCAAGGAGGATCTTCTGTCTCACCAGAATTCCCGGGACCAGAGTATGCAAAAACCCCCATGTCTCCCTGAGTGGCATCTCTGAGTGGCCACTGAGAGACCACACACCTCTGTGCTTCAGACCCAAGGCCCTGCTGGCATGGGTTCATGAGGAGATCTGCTCCATGGGTTGCAAAGATCCGTGAGAAAATCAAGGAAAAGCAATGAGTAATTGTGTGACCCTGCCCCACTTGGCTGGAGATAGGAGTTTTCCTGGTTTCATGCCCTACCCTGTTTTTCCTTGCTCTTAGGGTCACGTTTATTGTCTAGTCAGTCCCAATGTGAGAACCTGGATACCTCAGCTGAAGATGTAGGATTCACTTGCTGTTTTCTTTCTTCTCTGTGAGAGCTGTGAACCTCAGCTGCTTCTAATCAGCCATCTTGGCCTAGGATCTATCACAACGTACATTTACAATGTACAAAGTCTCTATTAATTTAAACATTACCTTAACAATAGAAATTTAGAGAATTTCTGTTTGGTGTGAGATATGGTTTGGCTCTCTGTCCTCACCCAAATTTCATCTCAAACTTTAATCTCCATGTGTCAGGGGAGGGCCCTGGTGGGAGGTGATTGAATCATCAGAGCAGACATGCCCCTTCTTGGTCTTGTGATTATGAGTTCTCATGAGAGCTGGTTGTTTGAAAGTATGTGGCACTTCCCCCTTCTCTCTCTCTCTTTCTCCTGCTCTGCCATGGTGAGACATGCTTGCTTCCCCTTTGCCCTCCATCATGATTGTAACTTTCCTGAGGCCTCCCAGTCATGCTTCCTGTTAAGCCTGCAGAACTGTGAATCAATTAAACCTTTTTTCATAAATTACCCAGTCTCAGGTAGTTCTTTATAGCTGTGTGAAAACAGACTAATACAGAAAATTGGTACCAGGAGAGTGGCACACTGCTATAAAGGTACCTGAAATGTGGAAGCAACTTTGGAACTGGGTAATGGGTAGAGGTTGGAACAGTTTGAAGGTCTCAGAAGAAGATAGGAAGATGCAGGAAAGTTTGGAAACTTCTAGAGACTTGCTGAATGGTTTTGACCAAAATGTTGATAATGATATGGACAGTAAAGTCCAGGCTGAGGGAGCCTCAGATGGAGATGAGGAACTTATTGGGAAATGGCGTAAAGGTCACTCTTGCTATGCTTTAGCAAAGAGACTGGTGGCATTTTGCCCCCGCACTAGAAATCTGTGGATCTTTGAACTTGAGAGATATGATTTAGGGTATCTGGTAGAAAAAGTTTCTAAGCTCAAAGCATTCAAGAAGTGACCTGGCTATTTCTAAAAGTGTATGTTCATATGCATGAAGAAATAGATGGTCTGAAATTGGAACTTATATTTAAAAGGAAAGCAGAGCCTAAAAGTTTGGAAAATTTGCAGCCTGACCATATGGTAGAAAAGAAAAACTGATTTTCTGGGGAGAAATTCAAGCCGGCTGCAGAAATTTGTATACGTAATGAGAAGACAAATGTTAATAGCCAAGACAATGGGGAAAATGTCTCCAGGGCATTTCAGAGATCTTCATGGCAGCCCCTCCCATCACAGGCCTGAAGGCCTAGGAGGGAAAAATGGCTTCATGGGCCAGGCCCAGGGCTCTGCTGCTCTATGCATCCTCAGGACATGGCACCCTGTGTCCCAGCCACTCCAATTCCATCCATGGCTAAAAGGGCCCAATGTATAGCTTAGGCCATACCTTCAGAGGGGGCAAGCCCCAAACCTTGGCAGCTTCCATGTGGTGTCAGGCCTGCAGGTGTGCAGAGGCAAGAACCAAGGTTTGGAAACCTCCACCTAGATCTCAGAGGACATACGGAAACACCTGGATGTCCAGACAAAAGTCTGCATTGGGGTGGAGCCCTCATGGAGAACCTCCACTAGGGCAGTGTGGAAGGGAAATGTAGGGTTGGAACCCCCAGAAAGAGTCCCCACAGGGGCACTGCCTAATGGAGCTGTGAGAAAAGGGCCACCATCCTCCAGACTCCAGAATGGTAGCTATAACAGCAGCTTGCATCATGCACCTGGAAAAGCCACAGGCACTCAGTGCCAGCCTGTTAAAGCAGCTGTGGGTGCTGTACCCTGCAGAGCCGCAGAGGCAGAGCTGCCCAAGGTTGTGGGAGCCCACCTCTTGCATCAGCATGCCCTGGGTGTGAGACATGGAGTCAAAGGAAACTATTTCAGAGCTTTAAGATTTAATGACTGCCCTGCTGGGTTCTCAACTTGCATGGGGCATGTAGCCCCTTTGTTTTGGCCATTTCTCCAACTTGTAATTGAAGCATTTACCCAATGCCTGTACCCTTATTTTATCTTGGAAGTAACTAACTTGTTTTTGATTTTACAGGCTCAGAGGCAAAAGGGACTTACCTTGTCTCAGATAAGATTTTGTACTGTAGACTTTTGAGTTAATGCTGAAATGAGTTAAGACTGGGAGATTGTCGAGAAGGGATCATTGTATTTTGCAATGTGAGAAGGACATGAGATTTGGGAGGGGCCAGGGGTGGAATGATATAGTTTATGTTTGTGTCTCTGCCTGAATTTCATGTCAAATTGGAGGAGGGACCTGATAGGAGGTGACTGCATCATGGGGACAGATCTCCTCCTTGTTATTCTTGTGATAGTAAGTGAGTTCTCATGAGATCTGATCATTTAAAAGTGTGTGGCACTTCTCCAACCTCCTGCTCTGCCATGGTAAGACGTGCTTGCTTCCCCTTCGCCTTCTGCCATAATTGTAAGTTTCCTGAGGCCTAGCCATGCTTCCTGAACAGCCTGAGGAACCGTGAAGTCCATTAAACCTCTTTTCTTCATAAATTACCCAGTCTTATGCTTAAGAACACCGCTTCAATTATCATTTTCTTATGTGCATATTTTTGCATGAATGAATTTCCATTAGGTTAGAGCTAGAATTGCTGAGTATATACATACATTTTTATAGACAGAGTCAAATTACTCTCAGAAAAGACCAGGCTTACTTATAAAACTATCACAATGTGTAAGCATATGTGTTTTTTTACATATAATAAATCCTGGGCAAAGGTCAATGTATTTAATATTTGTCACTTTTAAGGGCAAAGATTAGAATCATTTCTGTTTAAAGTTTTAACTCTGTTATAACCAACATTTGCATTCATTCTTTTTATTTCTCCTATAAATTACTAATTCATATTTTATATTTTCTTGTTTAGGCTTTATTTTCTTATCAATTAGAAGAAATTCTTAAAATATTTTTACTACTAATTCTTGGATTTTTCAGCTGACTTCTTCCATTTCCCATAAAGTATGACTACTTACTGTTCTCTTTGCTAATTAATTAAATTAATTATATTATATTACATATATAACAGATAATATTGCATATATTTCAAATATTATATACAATATAATTAATTAGGTATTATAACACCTAATAAGTGTTATATTAGAAGTATAACACTTCTAATCCTTTTTCTTATCTAGTTTTATTTCCTAGGAATTTATTTTGAAAGCAGCAATATCAGTGGACATCTTCCTTTTATTGCTAACTTCAATAGGTATATTTTTAATTTTCATCATTGAGACACAATGGAGAAAGAACAGTCTCTTCAATAAATGGTGCTGGGAAAACTGGATTTTCACATGCAAAAGAACGAAATTAGGCCCTTATCTTACACCATATACAAAAGTCTACTCAAAATAGATTTTTTAAAAACCTATGTGTAAGACCTGAAGTCATAAATTCCGAGAAGCATAGGAGAAAATCTCCTTGAATTGCCCTTGGCAATGACGTTTCGAATATCACACTCAAAGCTCAGGTTACAAAAATAAAAATAAGCAAATGGAACTATATCAAGCTAAAAAGCTTTTGTACAACAAAGGAAATAATCAACAAATGAATAAGCAGCCTATGGACTAGGAAAAAATTATTGCAAACCACATTTCTGATAGGGGGTTAGTATCCAAAATTTATAAAGAACTCTTTCAACTCAATAGCAGAAAAATAAATAACCTGATTAAAAACTAGATAAAGGACCTAAACACATATTTCCTCAAAGAAGACATAAAAATGGACAACTAGTATATGAAAAGGTATCCAACACTACTAATCATCAGGGAAGTAAAAATTAAAATCATAGGGATCACCTCACACCTGGAGGAATGGCTACTATCAAAAAGACAAGTGATAACAAATGTTGACAAGGGTATGGAGAAAAGATAATCCTACTACTCGGTTGGTGGGACTCTAGAATGGTACAGCCATTATGAAAGACAGTATGGAGGTTTCTAAAGAAATTAAAAATAGAACTACTCATCTTTTTGTAGTTCATGAGCACGATGATTGGGTTTTCACAAGAATGTGTGAGATGTGCCACCCTCTGAACCTTTTTATGATCTTGGCACATTACCCATCTGACCTGAAAAAAAAAACAAAAAGAACTACTCTACAATCCAGCAATTCTTTTTCTGGTATACACCCAAAGGAGAAGAAATCACCACCTCATAAAGATATCTGCACTTCCATGTTCATTGCAGCATTATTCACAATAGCCAAGATATGAAAAATGAAAACAACTTAATGCCCATTGGTGTACAAATGGATAAAGAAAATGTGGTATATCTACATATTCATAAAGTTGGGCCTTGAACAACACAGTTTGAACCGCACAGATCCTCTAACGTAAGAATTTTTTCAACAAATATGTTGAAAATTGTGTGGAGATTTGCAAATATTTGAAAAAAAACTTGCAGACAAACCACATAACCTAGAAATATTAAAAAAATAAGAAAAAGGTAGATGTGTTATGAATGCATAAAATATATGGAGACACTGTTTTATCAATTGCAATGATAAAATATACACAAACCTATTAGAAAAAAACCAACATTTATCCAAACTTACGCACACAAGCACAGACCATATATGAAGCCGTTTGCTGTCAAGAGAAATGTAAACAAACGTAAAAATGCAGTATTAAATCATAACTGCATAAAATTAAGTGCATATTGTACCACTGTAATAACTTTGTAGCCACCTCCTGTTACTACTGTGGTGATTCCAAGTATTGTGAGTATCCACTTAAAGCCATGTGACACAAATCATTTCTGATGAGGATTTTGTCTCCAGTAAATTTCGTATCACAGTAAAAAGTGATACCTTGGGTTATTGTGTATTTCTCATCATGTTTAGTGCAATGTAGTAAACTTTGAATAACACCATGTGACCCCCTACAAAGTGCCACTAGTGATGCTGGACGTGCTCCCAAGGAGAGAAAAGCCATGGCATTACAAGAAAAAGTTGAATTACTTCATAGATACTATAGTTTGAGGTCTACAGCTGCAGTTGTCCAGCATTTCAAGATAAAAGAATTCAGCATAAGAACCATTGTGAAAAAAAGAAAAGAAAAATAAAATTTATGAGGTTTTTGTGCCACTGTGCAAGCAAACATGAAAACTTTGCACTTTTTGTGCAATATATTTTTATCTCATATTGAAAACCCAGCTTTTATGTGGGTATAGGATTGATATAAGAAAGGCATTCTTATAGACTCTAAAATGATTCAAGAAAAAGTGAAGTCATTATATGACAACTTAAAGCAAAAGGAAAGGGAAGGATCTAAACCTGGATAATTTAATGCCAGCAAAGAATGGTTTGATAATTTCATAAAGAGCTTTGGCTTATTAAAATGTCAGCATAACAGGAGAAGTAGTTTCTGCTGACCAAGAGTCACCAGATGAGTTCCAAGATGTCATTTAAAAAAAAAAATCATCGAGGAAAAAGAGTATCTGCCTAACACGTTTCTAATGCAGATGAAAGTGCCCTGTTCTAGAAAGAAAAAATGCCAGAAAGGACACGTATTAGTAAAAAAGAGACGTAAGCACCAGGACTTAAGGCAGAAAGGGATAGGCTAACTCTACCATTTTGTGCAAATGTGGTTGGGTTTAATGATCAAGACTGCCCTTATCTATAAAGCTGCTAACTCCTGAGCCTTGAAGGAAAAAAATTAACACCAGCTGACAATCTTTTGGTTGTACAACACAAAGGCCTGGACGAGGACAACCCTTTTTCTGAATTAGTTTCATTGATGCCTTGTCCCTGAAGTCAGGAAGCACCTTGCCAGTAATGAACTGCCTTTTAAAGATTTTTTGACATTGGACAATGCCTCAGGCCACTCAAAACCCCATGAGTTCAACACCAAAGGCACTGAAGTGGTCTACTTGCCTTCAACAAGCCTTTAATTCAGCCTCTAGATCAGGGGGTCATAAGGGCCTGTAAGTCTCATTATATGTGGTACTCTAACCAAAGGATTGTCAATGCTATGGAAGATACTCTCTATAGAGAATATGATGAATGTCTGGAAGGATGGCACCATAAAAGATGCCATCATTGTTATAGAAAAAGCAGTGAAAGCCATCAAGCCTGAAACAATAAATTCCTGCCAGAGAAATCTGTGTCCAGATGTTGTACATGACTTCACAAGGTTTACAACAGAGCCAATAAAGGACATAAAAGAGATTGGAGATTTGGCAATAAAATTGGGGTGAAAGGTTTCAAGATATGAACGCTGGAGAAATTCAAGATCTAACAGACATCACACCAGAGGCATTAACAGTAGAAGATGTGATGGAGATGAATGCTTCCAAAGCAGTGCCAGACAAAGAGGAGATAGGGAAGCAGTGCCATAAAACAAATTGACATTAGACAATCTGGCAAAAAGGCTCCAATTATTCAAGATTGCTTTTGTGTTCTTTCACAACAGAGACCCTTCTAGGACAAAGGCACTGAAACTAAAGCAAATAGTAGAAGAAGAATTGATACCATATAAAAACATTTTTAAGACATGAAAAAGCAAAAAAGTCAGAGAGAAATTATGATGTTATTTCCATAATGTTACATAGAATGTGCCTTTGTCTCCTGCCTCCTATTTCACTTCCTCCACCTCTTCTGCCTCTGCTATCCCTGAAACAGCAAGACCAGCCCCTCCTCTTCCTCCTCCTCAGCCTACTCAACATGAAGATGATGAGAATGAAGACCTTCCTGTGATCCACTTCCACATAATGAATAGTAAATATATTTTCTCTTTTTAATGATTTTTAATAACATTATTTTCTCCAGCTTACTTTATTATAAGAATACAGTATAAATACAAAATATGTGTTCATCAAATGTTATCACCAGTAAGGCTCTGGTCAATAATAGGCTATTATTAGTTAAGTTGTAGGGGAGTCAAAAGTTATATGCAAATTTTCGATTGTGCAGGGTTCGTACCCCTAACCCTCACATTGTTGAATAGTCAACTACATATATATATACACGTATATATACATATACGTGTATATATATATACACGTGTATATATATCCTTAGAAAGAGATGCTGCCATTTGCCACAACATTAATGAAGTTGGAGGATATTGTGCTAAATATAATAAGCCAGACACAGAAAGAAAAGTGTTGCATAATTTTACCTGTATGTGGAACTTTATTTTAAAGAGTCAAATACACAAAGACAGAAAATGAAACAGTGGTTACCATGAGTGAGGAGGGGGAGGAAATGGAGAGATGTAGGTCAAAGAATACAAAATAGCAGATGTGAGGGATGAAAAAACCTAGAGATTTAATGTACACTATGAGGCCTAAAGTTAGTAAAACTGTATTGTATTAGGGACTTTTGTTAAATAAGTATATTTTAGCTATTCTTGTTACAAAAAGAAGTAACTATCTGAGATGAAAGAAAGGTTGATCTGTTTCACTATAGCAATCATCGTACAATTGATAGGTATCTAGTTGCATCCCATAACATCATGTGGTAAACTTCAAATATACACAATAAAATTTATTTTAAAAAATAAATTTAAAAAATTATCAATCATTGATTGTTAAGATTTATCTAGAAGTCTGCAAATCCTCATTGTGACAGGTTTTCAGTTTATATTAAACTATTAGAATTCCAGTTTCCTTTGATGCTGTCCCTGCACGACAGGGGCTGGAAGCCTGAGGGTAACATTTTCTTAAATCCTTTGCCCTCAAGTTTCTGTTTTAGATTCCACCATTAAGATGTACTTGTTTGAGATCTGGAAGGCAGGAGGGAAAAATAAATCATCATTTCTCCTCCAGCAGTAGTGGGCAGATTTTCGAACTTTAGCAGAAGTGAGGTTTTGTGGCAATCCCTGTCATCTCCTCCTGAGTCAACCAACTCAGTACAGCGGCCAGCTGTTACCAGAAGCTGCGATTTCCTGCAGTTCCTAACCAGGGTGTTAGTGGCAACTTCCTAATTTCCTGAAAACTTTGGAAAACCTAAAATCTAATCGTAGACTTTCCAAGGCCTTCACTTCTCTTGTCCTGCCAACTAACGTGTTTCTGAAACTTCTATTGAGATTAGATACGGCCAAGTGTACTTCAGTTTTGAAAGTAACCAACTTCCTATATTAAATTCTTGTTTAAAATACTTAGATTAGCTTTTGTTTCCTCAACAGAGTCCTGACAGATATACCTTTTATTAATAATGAATATTTTCTTTTATTTCTATTTCATTAAGAGTTTTTGTCAGAAAAGAGTATTAAATTTTACCAAGTAAGTGTTAACTGTGAGAATGACCTTAAAATCTTTAATAAGTTTCATCATGGATTTTCTAGTGTTGAGTGATGCTGGCATTTCTAGCCAGTATTTACTGAGTATTTTACTAGTCATATACGTGCTCAATAAAACTGCAGCATGATGTATGATTCTTTTAAGATGCTACTGAATTTGATTGGGTTATATTTTATGTAGCTTTTTGTTTACTCATAAATAAAATTAATCGTTTTTTATTATTCTTGACTGATTTACTAACAGATATGCTAGATTTATGAATGAGTTGAGATGCTTTCTATTTCAATACTGAGACAATATTACTTAAGTATTCTTTTTCTCTGATAAGTTTGTCAAAATCAGCTACAATAATTTGTACCTAAAACTGTTTTAAAAGTAAGTCATTGACCGCCTTTTCCATTTTTTCCTGTTTATTTATATATTCAGCTTTTCATCTCTTCTTTAGTCAGTTTTGACCATTTATATATTCCATAAAATAAATAATATACATAGTCAGTAAAATAGTTTCTTCTACAGCCATCCAAAGTACTTTTTTTTTACATCTTCAAAATCTTCTCCATAGCAATAATTATGTTTTCTCACTTGTTTCTGATACTAGGTAGTTACTTATTTTTAGTTAGACCTTTTTGTTGTTGGTGGTCCATTGAGAGAACCATCTTTTGCTTTTATTGATCAAATCTACTCTTGAGTGCTTTTATTGCATTAATTCCTGCTTACTAATTCTTGATAATTTTGTTATTTAGAAGTCTTATTTTATTAATTACTGCCTAATTTCTTTTTTCTGTTTGCTTGTTTTATCCAGGTTCATTACTTACCCTAGATTATTATTATTTTAGTTCACTTATTTTATTTTTTTATTATATAACAAATGCAATTAAAAGTAAAAGGCAACATAAACCAAGTCTGTCTACTTTCACCAATAGGGAATCTGTTGAAAAGATATTAGTGGTCATCAGGAAGCAAGGGAGTTAGGCCTCCTCATTGTTGAAGTATGGATGTCTTCATCCAGGAGGGAGCCCATCAATGAACTTGAGAGGCAGGATTGTGCAGCAGATTAGAGTGGGACTGGAAGCCCAGCTTTGCCACTGACTAGCTCTGTGACCTCTGCTAAGAATCTATACCTCCCTGAGCCTTAGTTTCCTTATTTGTGCAATGAGGGTACTAATAGGAACCTTCCTCATAGAGTTGTTGAAAGGAATGAATAAGTTTACATATAAAATCTTATAGAACAGAGTCTGGGACACAGTAAATATTCAGAAAGTGCTAAGTATTGTTCTATCCTCCGGAGAAACCTCACTTTCATCTGTCTTCTTCAATATCTTCTGAGAAGACTCCAGAGCTACTTCAAGCTCTACTCTGCTTCTTTCTCAGGCTCAATATCCAAGTCAGTAGCTGTCCACAGGCAGGCCATTCACTCTCTGAAGAAGGAAGTTCTTCAGGACATTTCCTGAAGATGTGGGCCAGAGAAAAGAGGAGGACAGCCATCCCAAATGCCTTCTTTTAATGTCCCTGGACATTCTGCCACACCGGGTGTGATATTTAATGTAGGCAACTGGTCACTTAATACTCAGGACAGAGAGGTCCTGAAGGCCACTTGTGTGCTGAGTGTTAACTCCTTGGATGCTAAGTTATAGGGAGGTTCCAGGGTCCTTTTTCCCTGGGGTTCATGGTAGTGGCTATTTATCAATTCACGTAATACATTTTAATTATGAAAGTACTAGTATGGCTGTACCTGTGTAGGGCTAAACGCAGCCCTGCTGACAACACAATCTGTGTTTTAGTTTATTATCTCTGACCTTGGAGCATCACTGGAAATACTTTTACTTGTGTAGGACTTTACTCCTGCCTGACTTGAGATGCATTTTCTATTAATCTGATCGATCCCATCTGCTTTCTCTCTTCTAGGCAACTCATCAAAATCTCTAATTATACCAAATGATTATATCTTTCCTTGATTTCCATCATAATTTAGAATAATAGATAGATATACAAATTGTTTTATAGGCCTATACGTATCTTTTAGTGATTTCAGTGAAATTGGTGTAGAGGAAGACACGCTCATTTCGTTCATCAACTTGATCTATTACACTTTTTAAAAAATTTTTAACTCATTGAATATGTATTCATCCGAGAAAAATTTACTTCCACTCCATGTCTGAAAGGCCAGATGTTCAATGTATTTCAGTTAATTGAGTTCAGGTTCAAATTAAGACAATGAATGAAAAAAGGAAGTTGTTCTATCTCTTCTTGCAATAATTTAACTATAAATATTAAACCAGTCTTAACCTAAGTCTAACCTTACTAAAATTAAATCATATTATACTTAAGCATCTCTAAAGGTTTGATTCATGGCAAAATATTGAATAATATGAGAAGCTCCTTTAAACAACCAAAAGAGACACTATTGATATCATTATAATCTTTGAATTAACAGATGTGCATTAAAAGATATAAGGTTTTGGTGGGATTTATATACATTTTTTAAAAGGCTATCAAGATGACCTATATCATCATTCACTGGTTTTCATGCCATGGCTTATTTGACATTTAAAGAGGTTGAAAATAAAAAGGATATAAGGGGAATGCCAAGGGGCATATAAAGTAAGGAACTGGATCAGAAGCCATCCAATGGAGAATTTAGAGCAATGCATGGACAGAGTTCACTAATGTTACAGATGTGAAGATGAAGAGGGGAGGGGAGGGGAAGGGAAGGGGAGGGGTAGGGTGAGGTGAGGTAAGAAGAAGAAAGGAGGGGTGGGGTAGGGTAGGGTAAAGAGGGGATGGGAGGCATGGGACAAAAAAGGGAGGGGAGGAGAGTGGACGGGTAGAGTGCGATATGGAGTGGAGGCTTTAGATGTGGTTAAGTTCACAGTGGTCCTAATGATCTTAGGGATCAAACTGAAATTAAATTTTGGTCAAAATGGACTCATCAACAATGATTTTTTTCAGTGATGTTTTGCAGATCAAAGTTCGTAACTGATAACCAGTTAATGGATGAGAAGAGACGAGGCTTTGTTTTAGCATATTCTCCAACACCATGGATACATAAGGCACAGATGAGGAGCAGTTCATGGCCAAAAATCTAGTTATCTCAGTCTGGTAAAATGTCTTAGGCTTTTTCCTCAAAGAGCTGTTCCTATGACCATCCCCTTGCCTGCCTCAGATGAGTCCTACCAGCAGGATGGAGCTTCAATATGTGACTCATGTATCTCCTTACTCTGCTAAGAAAAGTGTATAAAACACTCTGGGTCCTCATATTTTAGTTGATAGGAATCAAAAGAAGCAAAAAGCAAGAACACCAACTTACAAATTAAGACTAGAAAATATGTGATATTTCTTCCTCCCACACCACATTAAGCATTGCTAAGCAATCATGTTACTTTTTTTTTTTTTTTTTTTTTTTTACTAAATACAGACAGCCTTTGAATTCTCTAAGCAGAATTCCAGGCTATGTGTTATTGGCACTCTAGGTAAAATCCTGCCGGACATGACATAAATGCAAATTATTTTATAATTGAATAAACCACACTATTTCATCTATAGCTTACAGTTTATAAAGGGCTTTCAGATACCTTAAATCAAGGTTCATAAATACAGTAAGGATGGGTTTTAGTTTCATTGAACAAATGAGAAAGTTCAGAGGTAAAGTAATGCAGTTAGTAAGTAGAAGAGCCAGGATGTGAATGTCAGCATTTTGTTTTTCAAATCTGGTGCTTTTGCTATAGCCTACCTGATTTCCTGAATACACACACACACGAACCTATATATAAGTATGTAATTAAAAAGAGAAAATGAAAACAATTGTTAAGCAACACTACTACAATAATGGCAATGACAAAATACAATAACTATTTTCATTCTTGCCGAGTTTCTCGGTGCTTGCCAGTACTCAATCACCAAATAAAGTAGCAGTTTTTATGTTTCCTGGGTTTCCAGGTGTTAGGGTCCTTTAAGGAGTAAGCTCAATTCCACAGCGCCCTCTAGAGCTTGGGTCTTCTAATTCTTAGCCTCTGAGACAAGATAATTATAAAAAACTTTTTCAGTTTATATTTGCCTTATCAATGTAATCATTAGAATTAAAACTTATTAAGCATTTACTGTTGCTAACACTTTAGTTTGTACTCTGCATGTATTCTTATTTCTTTCTCTTATTCTGACACAGTAGGCATCAGTAACCTCATATTGTAGATGAGAAACCTGAAGCTCAGAGTTCAGGCAACTTGTCTAAATTAATTTAGTTCAAACAGAACAGAGCTAGAATTTAAATTCAAATCTTGACTTCAAATCTTGACTCCATGCTTTTCTCATAATGCAATGGTGCCTCTAAACCAAGAGATGGGCCAGTCAACTTAATGAATTTACACACAACACTCTCAAATTTTCCAAAACATATAAATCTGAGGCTGTTCTCCCCAGCATCACAGATAATTTCTTGTACCCTTTTAGATCGACAGTGGAAATATTTTTCTCTCCGCCCATATATTGAGATGCACTTCTCACTCATGGTTTCATCCTCCAACCCCCAACATATGGAGATTTCCTCATTTATGTGCTAATCTTTCTGAAAATTTAGAATGCAATATATAAAAATAAACCTACTACATCACCCTGGTTATACGTTTACACATGCACACACACAACACAAACCTCCTTCTCTTCTTTTAGGCTGTGTGTGCTATAACCTTCTCAAATATCAATGTCAATGTCATAATCATTTAGACTTAAAATCTTGTCTTCAGCTTTGACATTTATCATTGCTTGCTGAAATGTGATCAATTCCTCCCCCATGATATTTCTAAATGCACCTCTTTTTTCTAGCCTCATGAAAACCCCACCACATCAGCGGCTCATTACCACTGACATAAATTGCTATTATAACATCACTTCATTCCTCTTAAGAATTCTCATTCTAATCTACTTTTGACACTAGTTGCAGAATATGCTTCCCAACACACAGTCTTGTTTATGTCTCTCTGCTGCCCAATAAACATGCTTTGGTTACTAAATAATACCTGAGCACCTTTGTCTTGGCATTCAAGGCTGTTTATGATTTAGCCCAAACCAAAACATCAAGTAAATTCCTATTTCCCATCATGTTTCATTTATTAACTGTGCATCCTTGAGAAAGTAATTTTAGTACCATGAGTCTCAATTTCATCATCCATTGATTTTACATATATATATAATATACATAATTCCATATATATAATATATATAATACCTAAAATGCTGCTGATAATAAAATGATAGCATGCAACATTACATGATTACTTGGAAAATCAAGTAAGATAAATTATACACAAGCTTTTCGTGAACTGTAAAACTATTTACAAATGTTAAAGAACTCTAAGTTTGGAAGAGCTTTTTCGCATATGGTGCACATTCAAATCTTTCTCATCACAGCTCTCATGCTACCTCTTCCATGAAGTCTTCCCTGAACCACCCAATTCCTAATAATTTCTTCATCTCTGATCTCCCCTAGCTAATCTTCATTTACAATATCTATCACAATCTACATTACTTCAATTGTTACTATGCATGTTTCATTCCCCCTGCTAGATTGGAGGAAAGTTGAGGACATGCGCCTCACAGCAACATCTTTCAAAGTGCACACCAGAGGGCTTTTCCCAATGTAGGTGCTTAGGAAATGTTTAGAAATACCCGAATAAATGCACATAGTTTTATTCATATGTGTACTTGACTATAAACTCAACGAATATAGAATTTGTCTATCTCGTTCACCAATAAATACCCAGTACTTCGCGGTTCAAACTATGTAATAGGTTGAATGAGTTATCCTAAGCAAAAACAGATTGGCAAGAAGATTTGAAGGGAAAGAAAGGAGCTATGAGCATTTGCGATGCGCCATGTGGCTGTTTTAAAACATGTCAACAAGTTTCTGACACTCCTCCAATCAACGGGTAAACAAAGTCTCTTCCCTGTCTCCTTGAAAATGGGTGGGTCTTAATCCAGTCTATCATTGTTGGACATTTATACACCATGGAATACTATGCAGCCATAAAAAATGATGAGTTCATGTCCTTTGTAGGGACATGGATGAAGCTGGAAACCATCATTCTCAGCAAACTATCGCAAGGACAAAAAACCAAACACTGCATGTTATCACTCATAGGTGAGAACTGAACAATGAGAACACTTGGACACAGGAAGGGGAACATCACACACCAGGGCCTGTTGTGGGGTGGGGGGAGGGGGAGGGGGGAGGGATAGCATTAGGAGCTATACCTAATGTAAATGACGAGTTAATGAGTGCAGCACACCAACATGGTGCATGTATACATATGTAACAAACCTGCACGTTATGCGCATGTACCCTAGAACTTAAAGTATAATAAAAAAAAAGATATATATATATATATATATATAAATAAAGAAAATGGGTGGGTCTTAGTGACCTTCTTCTAACAAATAGAATGTGTCTTTCCAAGCTATATTGTGCAACACAACACAGCTTATGCCTTCCCATCCCCCCATCCCCGAAGTGTCTGTGTCTGTGTGTGTGAGAGTATGTGGGCACACACAAGAACATGGATAGTTTTCTTGCAATTCTCCTCATTGAAATAAAGGCATTGTGTTGAGAACAAATTCTATACACAGAGTTTATAGTCAAGTACACATCTGACTCAGAACACATGGAGAGGCCAAATAGGTGTTCCAACCACAGCCATAGCTGAGGACCCAGCTGACAGACAGCATCCACCTCCAGACACATGAATGAGTGAGCATGCAGATGATTCTAGCCCACCCTTTGATGCTGAGGGGAGTAGAGGAAAGCTGTCTTCACTGAGTCTTTCCCAAATTGCAAATTCATGAGCAAAGTAAATTTTGCTGTTTCTTTAAGCAACTAAGTTTTGGAATGGTTTCTTACATAAAAATAGACAGCAAAAACAGATATGTGTGTGTTTCCCCCTCAAAACATAGTATATAACATATATATTTATACATAATATATACATAACATATATGAATATATATACATATATATATTTGTTTGATAGCTTCAAAACAAGCTATCAAGGAATGGTCTCGCATCAACCTTTTATAGAAAGAGTAGAAAACTGAGGCCCTGAGAAAGTAAGAAAAACTGCCCAAGGCCTTATAGTTTGTAAATAACTGAGTTACACACACACACACACACACACTAGCTCAAGTCTTAGTCAACTTAAGGTCAAAGTCTATACATTTTCTTCTCCATCACTGCTTTCTCCCCAGTTCTTTAGAAAACGCACCTTCCTATAACCATTGTACCTTCTCTCAAATTTACAAGGGGGAAAAAAACCCAGCCATTTAATAGATATATGCATTTAATGATAAAAGTCACCATTTCTTTTTTAACTAGAGCACCTCATCTCTTCTATGTTCATAAAGCAACCATGTCCTTAGGCAATTATCAGTAAAAGACTCTCAGCACATCAAAAGCCCTCCAAAGTGTTTCACATTCCCTAGGAATTCATGTCCTTAATTAGATGAAACACACTTACATTTTAGTCACTGTTTCTAATATTTAAAATTAGAAATTATATATATGTTTTTGTGTGTATATGTGTATGAATAACTTGCTTCACAGTTTCATAACTTACATCTGTAAAAACACCAGAGGACACATGCAATTGGAAATATTTTATTAGAAATGAGCTGATAGAATCTGTTTAGTTGAAATTTGGAGACTGTATGTCAACAGGTATCGCAGAAGACTCATGAATGAATTTTTCATATTTATACACCGTGAGTCCTTTCTTTCAAGTAGTCATATATCTTGACCTTCTTTATTTTTTATCTCCCCACGTGGAGCTGACTACCATAATAATAAACCTTAAAAGGTCAAAATTGTAGCATCTATCAGTTCATCAAATTTTTAAAATTTCTCATGCCACTCTTTCATATTTGAGGGTCAGTACTCCAACTCTACTGCAAAAACTAGAAGTCCTAGGTTTGGAGGAAAAGGGATACTTCAAGCCAATTTGCATTATGAATGAAAATGTACAAGTTAAATAAAGGTCTCTCCTCCTCCGCAAAGTATGATCTAATACATGAATAAAAATGGACAAGGAATTTGTAACATTTACTTAAGATCACATTGTTCTGACAGGCTTTAAAAACTGCCTCTTGTTGAACTTCAGAGACATGCAAAACTCTTAAGTATTTTCAATTATGGTCCATGTGAATGTAGTAATGGATATCCTGGTATAGAAACTTTCATTTCCGTGGCCCTCAAACATCAATATCATGCTCCAGAATGATAGGTGGAGGTCACTAATAAGACAAAGCAGAACAAGAAAGCCTGCAATAAACCAGTACTTTATTAAGAAAATAATAAAAGCTAACAGGTACTAGACACATAATAAGTAAAAAGTGCAGTGTATGTAATTCCACACTGCCTGGAACATATCACCTGCTTAATCCAAAAGACAAACCTATTGTATAAGGGATATTATTGTGGCAGAGAATTCCAAATAGTCATTCTCCCCTTCTTCCTCTCCTTTAGTAATAGAACACCCAAAATTTAGCAGAGCACATGGTCATCCAGAAAAGAGCTGGATTTTCTAATCTCCCTGGTTTAACCATGTGGCTAAGTTCTAGCCAATGGGATGGATGATTGGATGGATGGATGGATGGATAGACAGACAGAGAGACAGACAGAAACAGACAGATAGATTAGATAGATAAACAGATGCTAAAATGATAAAGCAATTGCAGTAAAATGTTAACATTTGGAAATTTGAATGAAGAGCATATGGGAATTCTTTGTACTGCTTTTCTAACCTTTTCAAAGTCTGAAATAATATCAAATAAGAAAGTTTTAGAACAAATAAATAAAAGAAACCTGCCAAGTATAAGTCAGTCACTTTTAAAAGTTAGGTGCAAGTTGACTATTGGAATCATTAAAAATAGTGGCCCTAACATTACATAAACAATGTATATAACCTTCAAGGAGTTAACAGACTAGGAAACAGAATAAAACAAAATAACATATGATTAAAAGTATCTCTTAGCTGGTGGTTAAAAAAATTGGGCTTTAGAGCCAGAGTGCCAGGTTTGAATTCCAGCTCCATCTTTTATCACCTGCGTAAATCTATAAATCAGGAAAGTTACCTAATGTCTCTGTGCCTCAGTTACATCAATGATAAAGTAGGCATCAAAACGGTCTACCACATGGATTTGTTGTGAACAAGAAATTAGTTAATATCATTTCAAACATATAAGTGTTGGATAAATATTAGCTATTATACTGATAAGGTGTACAAAAGGTAAGGAAGGGAAGACTGTGTCTATCTGTGGAGGCAAAAATACTTTCTTTTCACAAATTCATTAAACTGAAATGAGAGGAAGGCACACGATCAGAATTTATAGTGAATAGCAAAGTCTGTGTTGCAAGTGTAACAGAATTGCAAATGTAGCAGCAGATGTTTGAAACAGAATATCTCAACTAAGAGTACTTGAGACATTTTGAGATGTAGTCCCTGAAATTATCTTGCAAAGTAAATATGCATTATCAACCAAGATAGTTTTGGTCTCTTCTCCCAGGGAAATGGATTCGTTTGAGAAATAATGCTTTATTTTTTAGCTGTACCATTTATTTTTCTATCAAACCGTTTCAAGCTGATATACATTTAGCTTTACTTCATGTCATGTATTTGAAAAAAAAGATTTGAAAAATCAAGATTTTTAAAATATATGACATGTAGTAAAGCTAAGATTAGATTAGATAATGGTGATCACCCCTTCTACTGATGACTGTTCAATGATTATCTTATAAAGGGTATAATTTTTGGTTCAGTCATCAGCAGATGAAATTCCTCAGATAGTTTCTCAATTGTGTTAGTCATTAGCCCACCCTCTGCAATATCCTCCTCCTCTTTTTTCTTACTACCTGCTCAAGGTGATAGATCCTGATTGGACTAAGCCAATCACAGCCATCTGGTCAACAATTTATCAGTTTTCCTTGAAATTAGTCTTGGGCATGTGACCTATCTCTGGCAAATGAGACTTATGGAGATGTGGCTGGGAAATGTTTCCTTTCCTAAAAAAAAAAAAAAAAGAAGAAGGCTCTAACATATTCCCCTTCTACCTTCTTTCTATCTTGAATACATACGTGGTGTTTGGACTGAAAGACATTTTTTGGGACCAAAAAGTAACAAATATAAAGAAAAAGTAAAAAGATTCTCGCCCTTCCACCATCAAGGCACTAAATCAAAGAGAGTAGTCATCTACTTCCTGGCTTCTTGTTATGTAACAAATATAAGACGCAATTCTTTTAAGACACTATAAGCTGGGTGGTTACTTAGAGCAGAATGAATTTCTAATGGGCACAACAGCCAATTTAGGATCTTAGATAATATTGATCTCCATTGTTTTAATAGTAAAACTTGCTCATCATGAAGCAGTAAATCAAGGAACTCTTTCAATATCAAAAATTTCAGGTAGAAATGATACCAAAATGTATAAGAAATGAGTCCCAAGCTTTAAATAACTCTTCTAGCCTTGTGGATAAGAATTTAATAAATATTGAGCAAAGAACTTTAGTGCTGCAGTATTTGGAGTCATAATAAAAAGTAGAGGTTAATTTTTACAATGTCAAAAGCAGCTTGTGATTAGTATAAAATGTAAATGTTAAACTACAGAATTTTTGAGTCCTCTAATAGCACCCAATTCCTTAATCAGTTTGTACCTGATGATCGGTTATCCCCCCATAATAAATTACTGGTAAGTAATAAGAAATCAGAGGCTTTTTGGTTAATTGTACCAAAGCCAAATCAAAAAAGTTGAGAGAACAAGCAGCAGTAAGATACAGTGGTCCATGTTCACTACAAATTGGAACGTAGGCTTTGAAAGCTCTGAAAACTTTTCTAAGGTCAAAGGCAAGCACTGTTTAACTTCCAAATCCAGGGAAGAATTTTTCTTCAAGAGGCAGTAAAATGAATTAATATCACTTGCCATTTGTAAAGCCAAAACATGATAAAGATTGCATATTTCCAGAATGCTTAATCTATTTTTAATAAATGTATATTACAGATTACATGAATTATATCTTAGGGAAGCTAGCAGCTAGCTTCTTTGATTCGATTCAATCTTTAAAAAATAACATTGCAAATTCTAATTTTGCTTTGATTTTTCTAAATAAAGTATTAATGTGTCAAAAGAACATCAAATTTCTGAAGTATTTCCCCATTTGCCTTCTGCTAATTTCATAGTCAGAATATCACAGATATAGGCCATAGACTTGGCATCAAAAGCAGTGGAATCAGATGTCATAATTGGCCTCAAAGCATGTCTAGATTTCAACAACAGTTCAATGGAGAACAGTAGGAAGAAAAGGCTGAGGCTAGGTTTCAAACTAATGGCTGTAAGTATCCAGCTTCCCAATTCACAAACAACCTGGCCCTTTCAGCTCTGATTTTGATGGGTATAAATGTGTAAAGGGTATAAGCTAATGGGTTGGCACATGACAATAGACTCTGACAAAGTAATGCAAACTCAGGTAGGAATGACTATCTTGTTGCCAGAGTAAGGGAGTCAGTTGATTTGAATTGAAATAGTAACCCAAAATTAGTTGGAGCCATAAAGACCTGGTCTCCTCTCACAGAGAAAAAGGTCTAGGGAGACAGGCCGGGCCCCAGCCAAAGGATTCTGAAGAGTCCTGCAGATGCCTAGCTATAGAAAGTAGGTAAATTATAGGGCTAGTAAGAAAAGGATTTGGCTTACTAAATATACTGATGATCAGGAGTGACTGGATGATAGTTTCAGGGCAGCAAAACTAAATGCAAACCCTACACTGACACCTAACGGGTTGCAATGTGTGGCTAAGGTCAGCTGAGGGAATGCACCGAGTTATGTCTGCAGATAGAAGAACTTAATAATCATAACCTGTGCAAGGCTGGAACAGGTAGTAACTGCCATTCTGAATGAAGGCACTTAACTAAAAATGTTCTTCAGTGAATGATGATGGCCTGTGCCTCATCGGGATTTATGGGTAATAAGATATTATGATAAGCAAAGTCAAGTTTTACAAGCTGTGAGATGAGAACTGACTGTAAATTCCTACCATAGATTCAGCAGAAGTGTTTCAAACACATTGTGTGATGTCTTATCCTACCATTAAAGGTGAGTTTCTGCACAAATAGTATATGGACTATACTATTTGTGTATAGTGGCTGGATGAAAAACACCTCACTTCGTTAAATATCTTAGAACATCTTCATCCACTGCCCACCAAAATTTTAAAAATTCCTAGTTGATTTTGAAATCACCGAATCCAATTGCAATTATATTATCTCTCCTTCATATGCTTCTGTTTCTTTGGTGAACATTTTAATAACATTTTATACATTTCTGTTAACTGGCTATTCTAATAGTATAAATCCCAAGAACCATTTTAAGTTCTTTCTGAAAAGCACTTTGCTTTCCTTGAACTGTTTGTCTTGTCTTCTATTCAAACAAGGGACCTGTTTGGAAATAAAATGATTCACAAGCCAGTTCCTGGAGTATTAACTGGGTAATCACTATGATTAGCCTCAACCACTCTGACAAAAACAAACAAATAACTTGTACACAAATACTATATTGAAAATATACCTTTACCAATAATTGATATATTACTGCCTGAATTTACTTACTAGATTATATTTCAGATATTGAGCCTTTGTTAAGAACTGTTGTAGATATTGCAATGTCTTAGGGTATTTTACCAGGCGAGTGCATATCCAGTTGATTTACAAGATATCCATATCCAGCTGCTATATGCGTTTCTTAGGATTCCTTTTATTGCAAGTGATAGAAACCCAGTGAAAACTAGTCTGAGCCACCCCCACCAAAAAAAATAAAATGATTGGTTATGAAAATGATCAAAATAGCAGCAGATGTGGCTGCATTTAATTTGAAATTTGGTCCCTTATTTTCCAGGTTACAAAGTAAAGTATTTTTATTTTTTAAGATCATAAATCTTAAGGTTGGCTGATCCAGAAAAAACCACTCTAATATAAAGCCTGCCAATAAGGTAATTCTACAAGTTAACTCCTTTGATAATTTTTTGAGATGCCATAATTGAGAAGCTGCATTAGTATGATGATTTTCCAATATCCATACAGAAAAATGTTATATTATCCTGTTGTTTATACTAAAAGATCAGGATCGTTATATCTCTATTGTGGGCAATTTCCTTAAACATCCTCTTTTGCATGTAACATTGTTTGCTTTGCATTTATTTATATGAAATAATCTTTCCTAACCCTGAAATTTTGATTTCATTGGACTTGAACATACATTCTCACCTTTTCCTTCATCTTTCTAAGTGGCTTTTAAAAGTAGGTCTCTTACATTCTGTGTAGAGATGGGTTTCACTTTTTTTCTTTGTTTTGTTTTTAACAAATCTAGTCGTCTGCTTTCTTCCTGTTGTTTCTTAAATTAGGCAACTTTATTTATTTATTTATTTAGAGACAGAGTCTTGCTGGAGTGCAGTGGTGCAATCTCAGCTCATTGCAACCTCCGCCTCCCGAGTTCAAGCAATTCTGCCTCAGCCTCTCAAGTAGCTGGAATTATAGGCACCCGCCACCATGCCCGCCTAAATTTGTATTTTTAGTAGAGATGCGGTTTTGCCGTGTTGGCCAGGCTGGTCTCGAACTCGACCTCAGCTGATCCACCCACCTCAGCCTCCCAAAGTGCTGGGATTACAGGCATGAGCCACGGCACCTGGCCTAACTTTATTTTCTTTATAGTTGAATTGACATTGTTATTCTGACATAATTTTGGATTTACTTGTTATTTCATATTTGTAGCTTGTATTTTTAAACATTAGGTGTGTGTTGTCATTGTTGTTTCATTTTATTTTGTTGTCTGTTTGTTTTGATCCAGAAAAGTACTTTTTCTTTGACACTTGGTAATTTGAAAAGTGAAATATTTCTTCCCTTTTCACCCATTTCCCACTAGTGTTTTAGTTAACTCCTCTGGAATTTTCATGCCAGGACATCTTTATCAAAATATTATTGTATTACCCACCCAGTATATGCCCCCACTCGATTTCATTCCTTACCTTTCTTTATAGTTTTATCATATACACATATGTAAGTGTGCAAGCACACTGACACATAAATATGCTTTCTTAATCCACTATTTGATTTTGGCTGTTTTAGGATTCATATAATGCAATCATTCCATATGTATCATTTTAAGATTCCTTTCTCAAAATCATGCTTTAGAGATTCATCCAGATTGATGTGTGCAGCTGCAGTTCATTAATTTCCACTGCAGTAGAGAATGCTACTGTAGGAAGACAGCACAAATTGTGTAATCATTTAACTGGGTCTGGATATTCTTGTACATATGCAAATCTCCTGGTAGTGGTTACTGTATAAAAGTTTCTCCGGTGTGCATAATATGCATAGTTATGAGTTATTTTGATAATCAAAGGGGTATAGTCATGGTCATCTTTATAAGATAAATGCACTATGTTCCCAAAAGTATTGTTCCAATTTTTAAACCCAGTAACAATATGTGAGTGCCCCCATTGCTCCACATTCTTGGTAGCAAGTGACACTATCAAGCACTTTAATTGTTACCATTACAGGGAGTATGAAATGAAGTATCTCACTGTGGTTTTCAATTGTGTTTCCTTTATATTGTGTAAGCTTAAGAATATTTTCGTGTCTGTTGACCATCATTTTGTCCCTGTGTAAAATGGTCATTCAGGTCTTTTACTCATTTTTTAAAAGGTATTTTAAAAGGGACTATTTTTCTTACTGATTGATAGCTGATCTGTATATATTCAGGGCACTAACTTTGTGTTAGTTTAATATACTTACATGTCTTCTTTATGAATTGCCTGGTCACTATTTTATGATGTCTTTGATAAACATAAATTCTTCATTTTAATCTAGATGAATTAATTAATTTTCCCTATACAATTATACTTTTTGAGACTTATTTAAGAAATCCTTCACTATCCAAGGTCATGAAGATATTCTCTTATCAATTAAAAGTTGTAAAGCTTTGTCATTGACATTAAAGTTCAGTTCATCTGGAATTGTGTGTGTGTGTGTGTGTGTGTGTGTGACAGAGAGAGAGAGAGAGAGAGAGAGAGAGAGAGAGAGATGAGCTACAGATCCATTTAAATATTTTTTTCAAAATGAATAATCAATTTTCCTGGCAGTGTTGACTGAATTCTTCATGCTTTCCCTATGGGTCTCCAGTGCTAGCTGTGTCATAAATGAAGCCATTGACATGGTTGGGCTTTGTGTCCCCACCCAAATCTCATCTTGAACTGTAATCCCCAAGTGTTGAGGGAGAGACCTACTGGGAAGAGAAAGGTTTATGGGAGTTGTTTCCCCCATGCTGTTCTCATGATAGTGAGTGAATTATCAGGAGATCTGATGGTTTCATAGATGGAAGTTTTCCCTGCACCCTCACACACTACTCTCTCCTGCCACCATGTGAGAAGGTCCAAGCTGTCTTCCCCTTCACCTTCGCCATGATTGTAAGTTTCCTGAGGCGTCCCCCATCATGTGAAATTATGAGTCAATTAAACCTCTTTCCTTTATAAGTTACCCAGTCTCAGATAGTATCTTTATAGCAGTGTCAAAAGACACTAACACAGCCACCATGTATTTGTGATCCTGTTTCAAAGTTCACTATTTTTGCCATTCAATTTATATATCATTGCACAGATACTTATTGTCTTCATTACTATATTTGTATTATAAGTCGATATGTAAAAGACCAACTCCTCCCCAGATTCTTTTTCTTCAGGAATGACTTTGTTACTTGAGGTCATTTTTACTCAGGTCTTCTTTAATGACTTTCAGTAACAATTAATCTTATTACTTTCTACATAAAAGTCATTTTATTTTATTTTACTTTATTTTTTTGAGACAGGGTCTCATTCTGTTGCCCAAGCTGGAGTATAGGAGCATCATCTCAGCTCACTACAACCTCTGCCTCCTGGGTTCAAGGGATCCTCCTACCTCAGCCTCCCAAGTAGCTGGGACCACAGACACGTGCCACTACACCCAGATAATTTTTGGTATTTTTGGTAGAGACAGGGTTTTGCTATATTTTCCAGGCTGGTCTTGAACTCCTGTCTTCAAGTAATCTGCCCATCTCAGCCTCCCAAAGTACTGGGATTACAGGCCTGAGCCACCACACCTTGCCCATAAAAGTCATTTTAAACCTTACTTTTTGTTATTTTACTAATGTAAATAATATGCTTTTAAATTAATATATTGATGACCTATTTTTGAGAAACAACCCATGTCAAAACTCAGTAGCTTAGAAACAACAATGTTTTATTCCTCTTGATTCTAGCATCTGGGCTGGGTGGTTTCTTTGCTAGAAACTGACAAAGACACAGGGTATCTGCTAGGACTAGACGGTACAAGACATCTTCTTCACCCATATGACTGTTGTCTCTGCAGGAACGGAAGCAACAACTGGGAGATGGATAAGTGTGTCCCCCTCTTATGCAGCTTTCCCATGTCGCATGCTTGTGTTTGCACACAGCATGATGGCCTCAGCATAGCTGGACCTCTTACTTGGTGACTGCTTCCAAGAGAAAGGAAGTAGAAGCCCCCTAGTCCCTTAAAGGATCCTGGAATTGGCACAGCATAACTATTGCCCTGATATGTTGGACAAATTCAGTCATAAGTACATCCCAGTTTCAAGGGAAAGAGAAATAGACTCTACTTCTTGATGGGAGGAGTGACATACACAAATAAGAAGAGAAGGAATTGATGACGGCCTTGGGCCACAACAACTCACATTACTGCCAACTGCTAACTAGACTCACCCTCATTTGGGACCCCCATATTTTATCTCCCTATGGTATCAGATGCAGATTTGAAATCCGATATGTTGTCACCTAAACATGGACTATTTGGGGGAGGAGATGATTCTACAGGTCTTCAGGAGTAGAGAACTGTGAACTAAAAATATATATTATCTGCCCCCTAAACACCCAACAAATAATGGTGAGGCAAAAACAGAATAAAAACATTAGACCTTTCTGCGCATAAAGTAAAAAAAGAAACACATATAGCAATTTTACTGTTTCAGAACAATTCTGAAACATAACCAATCATATACTCCCAGTTCTCTCTGCTCCAAGAACAAGAAATGTTTCTGGACTTGGCCCTGGTTCTGCTCTCTTGAGATATTTATGGCTTGGGGCTCTGCCCTCTGAGTCATCCTTCCTTTCCCATGCAAATATTCCATGTTTGCTGCTGAATAGATTTGTCACTCTGCCTACTGCTTACATAAGGTTGGGAGCCATAAAACTGCTTTTCATTTTAGTATCATCTCTCTCTTTTTATTCTATTTTGCAATGCTGTCCTCAATACAATTTTCTTAAAAGCTTGGTGGATTTCCTATGAATTTTATTTCAGTTGGCTCCATTAGAGAAAAGTTTCACCCACAGATACTGTCTAGGCAAAATGCTCCCTTCAGGTCAGAGTGCTGTGGGGCAACACACTTAAAGTTCTTAGAAGCCTTTTTGTCTGACTTAGAAGGTGTTTGAGGCACTTACTCCAATCTTCGAAATGTTTTCAGAAAGGATCTCATAGCTATGCAACTGATTTGATTTTAACACTAAGGTAAATATTTTACTGACAATTCCCTGCACTTGTTCTTTCCCTTGAGGCCATTTCTTACTCTGGGGGCATTTTGTCAGCTGAAGAAGCTGGTAATGAGAAACAGTTTAATTTTTAAAACTAGCAAATCTAATCTAAGAAGATTAGATTTTTTTCCCTAACATCTGGTATAAACTGAGCAGCTTCTTTACTATTTTGTCTCTCTTCATGTATCTATCATAGACAGCTTCCAACATTCTGCTAGAAATCTTAGACAAACCCACAGTCCATTAGATTCACTTTCTTTCTTCCATGTAGTTGTAGGCAATGGTGCTGCCAGCATTCCACCACTATGTTAACATGGATAGTCTTTTTCACCAGCCTCCAGTAACAATTTCCTCACTGCCTTTTATGCTTTCTTCCACTCACTGCTCAGTAACAAAGCCAGTATCACATTTTAGGTTTCTGTTACGGCCACACCCTACATGTAGGTACTGCATTCCATTACAGTTATCTATTGTTGCGTAACATACTACCCCAAAATGTAGTGGCTTAAAACACAGATATATAATTTTTTAATGATTCTCTAATTTGGATTTGGCTCAGCTAGACAGTTCCTCCACCTTATAAGTTATCTTCCAGAGCAAATGTCCAAGATGGCTGCTTCCCTTAGCTTGTGCCTCAGCAGGGATGGATGGAATAGTGGGGATGTCACTAGGCATCCTCTCTCTCTCTCCCTCGCCATGTGGGTAGATTGTGCTTCCTCATAGCATGATGTCGTCACAGTCGTTTGACTTTTTACATGGTGGCCAGCTTCTAAGAGTGAAAAAGAACGAGCTGCCGGTCCTCTTAAATGCCAGGTCTGGAATCCACACACCATCACTGCTACCACATTCTATTGCAAGGACAGGCAAGACTCAAAGGAATGGGAAATAGATTTCAGTTTTTAAAGTGAGGAGTAGCGTGCATATTGATGGTGACCACACTTGGAAACTAACGCTGTTAAATTTTTTTGATTCTTTAAAATTGATAAAATTGATCCTTTAAAAATGATGGAAATAAAACAGCTTTTACTGAATGTATTATATCAGAAAACCTTCAGAAATTATTTTAATTTCTAATAATTTGTCTATCAGTTACTTTCAGTTTTCTGTGTAAACAATCATATCATCTGTGGCAAGGACCTCCAATGCAATCTGATCACTGTCTTGGCTTAGATATGATTATTCACAAAATAATCCAAACAATGTGCATGCTTCTATCCTAAGTTAACTCTAGAACTTAACATCTTCAGAGTCCTCATTAATGTGAGCAAGTCTGGATCAAAAATATTCTTTGCAAAAACATTTTTAAAAAATCAGTATCTGCACAATATTTAGAGAAACATATTGCATTCTTAAAAGAATATCTGTACCCAAATATGATTGTTGTGAAAAGACTAAATGTAGCAATTGTAGTGTTACTCTCTGAAGCAACTGTGTTTGGAACTGACAAATAATCTGTCTTAATAATGCCCCCACTTAAGTATGGCATAATTTGCAAATACAAAAACCAAATATTTGCTTTATGTAAGCCCTGATTTAAAACATGAATCAAGGACCATAGCACCTGAGTTTCTCAACCATCCTCTTACACCTATCAGCTTTATGACTTATAAATGTTTAACCTGTAAGTCTGTCAGTGTTGCCATCTTTAAAATGGACTATAGGCTGGGCAAAGTGGTTTACAACTGTAATCTCAGCACTTTGAAAGGCCATGGTGAGAGAATCGCTTGAGGCCAGGAGTTTGAAAATAGCTTGGGCAACATAGCAAGACCTCATCTCTACTTTAAAAAAAAAAAAAAAAAAGCCAGGCATGATGGTACACACCTGTAGTCTCAACTACTTGGGGAGGCTGAGACAGGAAGATTGGTTGAGTCCAGAAGTTAGAGGCTGCAGTGAGCTATGATCACGCCATGGCATTCCAACCTGGGGAACAGAGAAAGACTCTGTCTCTAAAAATAAATAAATAAAGTGGAACTATAATTATTGCCTTGCCTGTGGAAGGCAATTACTATGACTATGGTGTCAAAGATTTATATAAAAGCAATTTTTTAAATTATCAGTGTCTTGAAAATATACAAGACTACGTTTTTGTGACATAACTTTTCTCACTTAAAAACAAGGTGTTTCCCAGAAATACTTGTTTGCGCTTCTATTGACATAATTTCCAAGGGTCCACAATTCTTGCATGTGAATTTATTGCAGTATTTTGATGCTGGCCCATAAGAGGAGTTTTTGGAGGCTGAGATTACACTTGGGATATCCACTAGAGCCGACAGAATCTCTGTTGTCATTCTACTGTCCTCTTGTTATTTGTTTCTCCTATTTTCTCTATTCTACAGTTAATTCTATGACAGTATTAGATGAGGATTTGTTCTATTTATCCTGCTCATGTATTCTTGGTTTTGCTTTTTTTTTTTTTTTAACCAAAGGACTTGTGTCTTTCAACTATTAGAATTTTCAGTCATTATCTCTTCCAATATTGCCTGTCCCTGATTCTCTCTATTCTTACTTTTTTTTTTAAATTCCTGTTAAACTTCTGTTGGACCATTTCATTAGAGCTTCCATAATTTTTTTTTACCTCTCTTGATATCTCCCATCTGTTTATCTCCTATCTTCCATCTGTTTATCACTCTATAATACATTCTGGATGATTCCTCGGATCTATCTTCCAGTTTGATTTGGTTCTTTGCTCAAATCTGTCTTTTTGCTTTATATTTTCTTGTTCTCTCATTATGGTTTCAGTTTCCTCTTTCTCTCTTTAATGATTGTAAGCATACTTATCCTATATTTTTGCCTACATATTTACACATTTTGGATTGTGACTAAAATACTCATTTTCCTGGGAGTTTTTGTTTGTTTGTTTGTTGTTTGTTTCGTATCTGATGAATCACTCTTGCCAAAATTTAATTCTTCTGTGTGGATTATAATTTTTTAAGCCTGAGTTTAATTGGGCTGTCCACAATTATTCCAGTTCTGTTCTCTTTCTGGTATAATGATTATATTTCCCTGTGCCCACTGAAGTTAGGTGTGCTCAGATAACCTCTTTAAACAGCAAAATGTGAAGATAATTAACTTGTGACATTTACTTGTAGAAGTTTTACAAACCGGAATTTTATTCATCATACCCCCTTGTTTCCTGCCTTGACCATTATGTGGATCAAGTTGGAGCCAGAATCAGCATGAGTTTCTGTGTGACAACAGTGACAGAGGCCTCTGGCAGCGGCAGCTGGACATGTGGTGTGAGCCAGCTTAAGCTGTCCTATGCCGACTAAATTAATTTGCCTTCGCATGGTTTACTCCTTCATGAGAGCCCTTTCTTTCTCAGATTATGGAAGAATCCTGATATTTACTTTATGTTCAATATGTCTAAAAATTCTGCTGGTTATTAGCATCTCTATAACTTTACAGTGAGAAGAAAGCCTTTCCATATTAGCTAATTTGACTGTGTTCCTGGAAGCCAGCATGTAAACTACTAGTCATTCAGTTTACAGTTTTAAGTGCATTGCTAATAAAAGCCATAATACATGCATATTTATATGCAGTCTGACCATGCCTGTTACATTGAACAAAAGAAAGAACAGGGCACTGAATCCAAAAAAAGATGTAAGTCAAACTTCTATAATTAGGACCAATTAGGGGAGATGCATTTTAACATGAAAATTTGAAATTACTATCCACTTTTAGCAAAAAAAAAAAAAAAATGCATTGCTTTTAAAAACATATGGGTTTTTTTCAAATTATTTCAAAGGAAGCATCTGGGAAGTTATTTGCTAAAATCATTAGTGTCATATTCATATAAATTAAAACTGTAAAGTTCTAAAAATCAGTTTATGTAGGACAAAGATTAACCAAGTTTAATATTAATTATCAAAATTTCCAGGAAGGGCCGGGTGTGGTGGCTCACACCTGTAATCCTAGCACTGTAGGAGGCCAAGGTGGGTGGCTCATCTGAGGTCAGGAGTTCAAGACCAGTCTGGCCAATATGGTGAAACCCCATCTCTACTAAAAACACAAAAATTAGCCCAGCATGGTGATGCATGCCTGTAGTCCCAGCTACTTGGGAGGCTGAGGCAGGAGAATCATTTGAACCCGGGAGGCAGAGGTTGCACTGAGCCGAGACTGGGCCATTATACTCCAGCCTGGGCAACAGAGCCAGACTCCATCACACACACACACACACACACACACACACACACACACAAATTCCAGAGAGTATTTTTATGGCTAATACTGGAATTGCCATATTCTTCTATCAAGATTTTCATTCTCCCTGCTCCGATCTATTCTATTTTTCACCCAGTGACTGGCACACAGTACGCACCTAATACATAGGGTCAAACTGAATTGTGTTATTTTTTATTAGTCTTATGCTAGAAAAAGTGACAAAGTCTGAGAAGACTAAGTGAACAGTTCAGTGGCTTTTGCTTAGTGGGTTAGTCAAAGAGTAAAGACTAGAAATGGAATACTCTCAGACATGCTTGCTGTTAAATCAGTGATTACTAAACTATAATCAAAGGATATCTTTTTAGAATTAAAAAGTTCTTTTTTTTTAATTATACTTTAAGTTTTAGGGTACATGTGCACATCGTGCAGGTTTGTTACATATGTATACATGTGCCATGTTGGTGTAATGAAGACAAAGCATTTTTAAATTCTCATAAAGAACTTCTAGAACTTTTTAATTTGGAATTAAAACTTTTTAATTCCAAATTAAAAAGTTCTTTATGAGAATTTTAAAATGTTTTGTCTTCATTTTGGCAATGATCTAAAAAAATTAACATAAACACATTCTGAGTTATCTGGAATGTTAAGAAGATTGCCTTATAACCAATTTTTGCTCATGATTTGAGAATCAGTTTTGCGTGTCTCATGATCAAGGTGAGGCCAACCAGTCCCTTATGTCCTGAGCCAATGAGAAACAGAGAAGCAGACAAAATAAATGATGTATTCACACCAGTGAGACCAAACAGCATTGCAGTGCTCTAGTGATCACATAACACATTAACACCAGCATGCCACACTCTACAAAATTAGTGCCTAGGTAAATACCATGATTCCACTGTGAGTGGCCCACTTAGTTCCATAATCAACATTTTCTTTCACATTTAAGTAATGTCAATATACACTTTATTGATTTTGTGATTTTGTTTTTGATTGAATTCTTTGTTAGGTTTTACAGTGGTAGAATAAGTTGTATGTATAAGAAGGTTATTGCTAGTTTAATAAATTTAAGTCAACATTGGAGAGTCACAAGAATTACATCCTTTAAACGGAACTTATGCAGTACTCAAGTTTCTCAAACATTGTACTATTTAAAATATCAATTCAAAACAGCCTTCCATAAGATCATTGGAATATTTACATTCATTATTTCCAATTTAGGTCTCATAAAAATAAAATCATCAATATACACAAGGAACAAATGCTGATTCTTTCTCTGGCCTAAGGATTTCTCATATTACTGAGGCTAAAACAGAGTTCAAAAATATTCCTTTCTTATGAGGTCAGTGAATTCTAATCAGCCAGTTGTCTTTATGAATGCTTTCAATTATACAAGTAGTTAATTACTATCAGTCAACTAAAAACAGCTTTGAGGCTATCATTTAGAATTTAAACAAACATTCACCTTAAAAAAGTTGTTTTTAAAAGATGTGTAAATCAAGAGTATTCCTCTTTTATCTAAAAAAAATTCCCTTCAAACATAAAAATGATGACTGCCATTTGGTCATCTCAGCACCAAGATAGAACTGGCAATCATACTGCTAATAGTGAAGACAGCCTCAAGGAGTGAAGACATCTAGGAGAAGGGGTACTTTTTTTAGGGTAAATAACAACTTCCTGTGGCCACAGATTCAGACATGGATGGCTCCACGCATCAAGTTGATGGCATCATTTACATGAAGTCTCCACTGCGATCTGCTCTCTGACTTACATGAAAGAAAAATGCTTTGAAGGCCCAGTTAAAATTCTGATTAATAGATCAGTCAGGTACAGAGCCAAGATGTACAAGGGGCTGCAGTTGGTGCTTTGTCCAGGACCATGAATCATTTAGGATGAATAGAGCCCTCAGTGATGGAGTTAACGGCACCACTCAGGCAGCAACTTGAAATGCAGTCTGGGGTTTGTTTGGCCCTCTGGTTGGCACCGTGGCCAGTGACACTCCAGCTGGGCAGCAGAGCCTGGCTAGCTCTACTCACCTGACCTGCCAACTTGGGCAGGAGCTCCCCTTTCTTCGTCCAGATTTTGAATGCATGTGTTGTTAATGGAGAAGACGTGGTCTTGACAGTGACGAAGTTGAAAAGGGTTGTTGTCATTTTTAATACACTCTTATTTAAAATAGGTCAGTTTGTGAGGAAAAAAGAAAGACAAGCTTTGAATTAAAAAAAAATTAAGGAAGGATTGCTGCCACAAGAAAAACGAATCTGCATAAGTGGCAAAGCGGCTGAGTATTTGCAATATTTATTCCTTGTGAAAAGGGGTGTGAGGCATTAGCAATAGAAGGAAATCATGAAAGTGCAAGAGCAGGGATACTCTAGCTGCCCAGTCTTAGAGATGCAGCTGCTGCCTGACGCTGCAGCACAAAGAACCTGCCTGAAAGGCAAAATGGTTTCAGGTTTGCATGCTGTGGTCATTAGACATGTGAGCCGCTCTCAGAGGGTGTGTTGGGCCTGGGAAGCTAGGCACCTGTTGCCCACAGAAACACAATACACTTATTGATTTGAGAGGGCTGCATGAAGTAACTAAAGAGGACACACAAAAATCCAAAGTAATAAATGGGCCCATTACCCAATGACGTTGCAAAGGGGCTGCCACAGGAAAGCCATAGATCCAGATTACTTTATCTAAGACAGTACAAAGCAGAAGAATTGTTTATAGGAGGTGGGAGGAAGGGCAGAGAGAGAAGAATGAGGAAGGAAGCACTGCTTAATAAAAAATGGTGTTGTACTTGAGACCATCTAAAAGAACCCCTTCTGATTTATCTTCTCCCAAAGCTGCAGCAGCAGCGATTGAAGTGACTATAATAGCCCAGGAGAAATGTTGGTGCTATTAGTTGGGTGATTGATGGAAGCGCTGCCAAAACAGCTAGGGAATTTGTCAATGTGTTTTTTGAAGTTTGTAAATGATGACACTGGCAAAGTGTAAACAAACTCAGCTCCAGCAGACACGTTACACAGTCCCCAAACTGACACTTCCAGAGACTCATTTGCTGGATTGTTCCAATTACAAATCATCAGCTGGAGTAACAAGCTCCAGTTTCTTAGGCCAAGGGAGATAGGGTTTGCACAACATGTGAGATTTAAGGAAAGACATCAAAGCAACTTCTGTTGACTCATCATCCTAAGGACTGCCCTGCCAGTTTGTTGCAGGGAACCCTGCAGAAGAAAAGCAAATGACCTTGAGATATTTAAAACCCAGAGACCCAGAGGCCAACAACTCTACAACCATTGTATGAATCACATTAATTTCTTAAAGTCAATGTTACAATGTCTCCAGTTCCCATCTGCTTGATTTCCAGTAGTCTAATCCTTATCAGATCCTCTTCCTCAATACTTCTGGGTGAAAGTTTGTATGTTCCAAAACCCATTCTGATTATCAGTGGGTGATTTAGTCAGTCAGCTATTCATCCTTCTATAACTTTCCTCAAAGTTTATTTCTTCAGCAAAGATTGATTGGGTAAAGCATACACAAGGTAGGATGCTCAGCATCAGGGATACAAAGGTGAGAAAGATGAAGACAAACCTTGCGGCACTATTCACAATAGCAAAGACAGGGAATCAACCTAAATGTCCATCAGTGTGATAGACTAGATAAAGAATATGTGGTACATATACACCTTGGAATACTATGCAGCCATTAAAAAATGAGATCATGTTCTTTGTAGGGACATGGATGTAGCTGAAGGCCATTATCTCTACCAAAGTAATGCAGGAACAGACAACCAAATAATGCACATTCTCACTTATAAGTGGGAGCTAAATGATGAGAAGACATGCAAACATAGAGGAGAACAACACACACTGAGGCTTATCAGCGGGTGGAGGGTAAGAGGAGGATGAGGATCAGGAAAAATAACTAATGGGCTCAATACCTGGGAGATGAAATAATCTGTACAATAAACCTCTGTGACACAAGTTTATGTAACAAACCTGCGCATATACTCCTGAACTTAAAAGTTGAAAAAAGCCCTGAACTTAGAGAATTTACATTCACTTGATACAGACATTAATCAAATGAAGATAAATGAGTTATCTAATTACAGTTGTGGTGAGGGCTAAAGGCAAAAAAGAAAAAAAAGGGGGGGAATGATGTGAATAGTGGGTACTATGAGGACAGAAAACAGAGGACTTGACTTGGTTAAGTGAGTCAGGGAAGAATTCCTTAACGAAGTGATATGAGCAGTGTTCTAAAGCATGTATAAGAATCAGCTCAGGAAATGAGAGGGAAAAGATAGACCCAGAAAAATGAAATAGCAAGGAAGAAGGTCCTGAGACATGGAGGAGCAGAGTGTTTTCAAGAAAGACACAAAATCAGAAGAAGAAGAAGATAAGGTCATGCAGGACTCTTAGACTTTGTTAAGAATTTTCATGTCTTTAGACAAAGTCATTGAGAGGTTTTAGGTATGGAAATGACATCCTCAATTTACATTTAGAGAAGACCACTCTGGCTGGAAAGCACAGAATGCACTGGGGAAGCCAGTGCAAACATGGGTCGGTAGGCAGGAGGTTATTGCAGTAGTTGAGGTGAGAGACTGGACCAAGAATATAGGGGCAAGATTGGGGGAAAAAAACGATATTTGGGAAGTAAAAATGCACAGGCCTTAACAATTGAGTGTATTTTGAGAGTGAAGGAGAGGGAAGTGTCCCTTCCAGTTGTCAATTGTTGTCTATGGTATGCATGGAGTCACCATTTTTTTCATACAGGTAATTTTCCCAGGAAGCTAGAGGGAAAGTTCAAAGTAGTGGGTCCATGGCAATCCCCCACATACAAAGCAGGAAAATGTAGATCTTTTGAACAAAGTTCTAGACAATCAGAAATATACTGAACTATGTATCACCAACCATATTATTGTATTTTCTTCAAAAACTCAGCAGTCTTGGGCAAAAGAAAGGAAATATGAGACCTATAGATCCCCTGGAAAACAAAGGCAGGCCGTGTCAACTCTAATAGTGATTCTAAAAAGGAGCCAGAGAATTAAAAGTTATTTCCATGGAGGATACATAGGTCACCCCAAAATCACAAAGTGTAACAGAGAAATGCGAGTTTCTATTTTAGTCTAACAAACTTTTGAACATATATACACACACATACATATTCAAACATATATATATATATATTTCAGAATCTATTTCTGGGATAGATTGTGGAGCCAGGGCTGTGAATACAGGAGAAACATAGAACCCCCAGTGAGGTGAATCCTCAAAACCATGTTTCCATTCTTCTATTCAACAAGTGGCAAAATCAGTCTTAATTTGGTTCCTGTTGTATGTTTTTTTTTAATATGAGTCTTCAACAAGAAATAACCTGGAATAAGTTGTATATTTTCTGACAAGGCGAGTCAAAATGTTTTCCTGTTTTCTTACAATAATTTTCACAATGTGGCCGGGCGCAGTGGCTCACGCCTGTAATCCCAGCACTTTGGGAGGCCGAGGCGGGCAGATCACGAGCTCAGGAGATCGAGACCATCCTGGCTAACACGGTGAAACCCCGTCTCTACTAAAAAATACAAAAAATTAGCCGGGCATGGTGGCAGGCGCCTGTAGTCCCAGCTACTCAGGAGGCTGAGGCAGGAGAATGGCCTGAACCCCAGAGGCGGAGCTTGCAGTGAGCCAAGATCGCGCCACTGCACTCCAGCCTAGGCGACAGAGTGAGACTCAAAAAAAAAAAAAAGAATTTTCACAATGTGAGTTTTTAATTTTAGGAAAAACATATCTCTGTGCACAAATCCAAGAAGAATGTGCTTAGACCTCTTTTGATGCCAGCACCTGACTGAAATTCCCCACCTCCAGGTGATCCCATGTCCAAGGGCACATTCCACAGCTATGAGCTTGCTGCTGTCCCAGCACAATTCTGGATTCAGAGCATACCAGTGTCCATTGTCCGAGGGACTCAAGAGAGATGAGCTTGTCAAGATGTTTTTACTCCCGCTTTGACGCAGCAGGGACTTACTTTTGCAGTAAGGGACATCCAGACAGACTTTCAGCAAGGCAGTGACTGGCACTGAAAGTAACTTTGTCTGTCAAAGACTCTTTTCGTAGAAATGCAAAAGGAAAACGTGTACCATTGAAATAAACTGAAAGCATGTCAGCGTGATTGGCAAGCTGACTCCTCAAAAGAAGAAATAATTATTGCTTGTTAATGGCAGCTTATGTCAGAGATGTGCATTTTGGGGCCACCATTTGGGTTACTGCAGGCTGCCTGACATCACAGGAAGTCTTTTTTGGCTTCCGAAGCAGAACTGTGAAGTGGCTTTGGCCTCATCATTTGCAACCGTGGCAGCACCAGCAGCAGTGACTGACACATAACATGTATCTCCCACGTGTCTGTCCCTCCCTATTCTAACCACCAGACAAAGCAAGTTAAAAAGAGAGACTCATGGACATGTATAGTCAAGGCATTTGCTATTTTTGACCAGATTATTTTTCCAGACATATTAATAATAGATGTTTGCATAATCAATTTATTTCAGTCAAAAATCAGTTAGCTTTTCATTTTTCTGGTTTCCAAATCAATACCAAAAAAAAAAAAATAGTCTCCTACCTTCTAGAAGTTGAGTCTTTTATAAGATATTTTCCTTCACTTCTTTGGGGAACACTTTTTATGATTTTCTTTTGGGTTTGTTGTTTTTTTCTTAATTTTTCTCTAGGAATGCAAATATTTGAGGCCTTGGAAGGCATAAACTACTTCACGAGTAACAAATATCTAGGAAAAATTATTTGTATATTGGATGATAACTCTCTCAATCTACTCAAACATATGTTAGAGTCCTCAGAAGGACATCTCCTTTTGACTGTTCCATTCATATAGGCATATATCTTTGCTAATTAATCTATTTCAATAAAAAATTATTAGTACCTACTATGTTCTAGGCATGGTACCAGTTGCTGAAAGACTTACTTAGAATAAATATTTCTGAATGTCTCTAGAAGACAGAAAAAGTTTTATATGCAACTTTCCAAAAGAAAAAGAGATCTGCATCCGGAAAGACGTTCCTCTTAGAATATAGACATTTTTGAGGCAGACACAGCTAATTAGCTATCCCATATCCACTCTCCCCTTCTTCCTTATTAATTGAATTGATTTTAACAGAGGGGAAATGTGCCTAGTTAAAATGCCAATTTCTCAGCTTCCCTGACCACTAACAATGGTCACTTAACTCAATTCTGGCCAATAAGTTGTCAGAAATCTCAGGAGAGGGTGCTGTTTTCCTGGGCAAAGCAGGGGTGGAGTGTGGGGAGAAAAACACTATCCCCTCATTGTCATCACAGAGTTAGTGCACCAGCTTTGGACAACCTACCTTTGTGACTTCTTGTCACATGAGAAAAAAACCTGACCCATCTGCTTAAGGCACGGTAGCAGAGACTGCTAGTGTTTTTATGGAAAGCCATTTTCTCTTCCTCCTGAACACACAGCCAGGTGACTTTCCCCAGCCTCCTTTACAGTTAAATGTGGTCATGGATTAAAGTATAATGAAAGGGACAAGCCCTACTTCCAGAACTGACCACCTAAATTTTCTCTGTGAAAAACTTCATGCTCTTCCTCCTCCTGCTAGCTGGCAGTTGATATCCAAAGCAAACTTGGAAAACACTCACTGAAGACAAGTGACAGCAAAGCCTCCATCAGCACGGATCCCTGAGTGACCCACCCTGGAGTTTTATATAAAAGAGAAATAAGCTCTTAATGCAATAAGTCAATGAAATTTCTAGACTAATGTTTTACAATAGCTTACATTGCCCTGAATCTTAACATTATCCTATTTGAACCCAGATACTGCCGGAACAAAACCCCAAGTACTTGGCATTGGGTTAGTACTCAGGTGATCAGTGGCTAGAAGGTTGAAGAGTCCTGTTTTGTTTTGGCAAAATAGTTCATGAAAAGGGTTGCCTGTAGCAATCTGGAAGGCAGACCAGGTGTCTTCTGAGATGAGCTCTAGGGGAAGTAGTTGAAGAGAGATGTTCATATTTGTCAGTTCCTCCATGCTGCTTAAAGCAAGTTACTGTAAGGAAGATTGCAGTTCAGGCAAGAATTAACACGTTTTGAGTAAAATTCCAGGATTAAAGGAAGAGTCCGAAAATCTGAAGTCTCATAGGGTTGGAAAACCCAACAGCTTCTGAATTCCAAAAAAGTATGAAATAAACTGGAAAAAGGCTTTGAGTGGAAAAGCCCCATTAATTCTTAGCAATTAAACAAAGAATTCAAATGGCTTTAATTGACGTCAAAACAGCCTCCATTAAGTTGAGAGAAGGAGGCATTAAGATGAGAAAGCAATGAAATAAATCAGAGTTCAGAATTATATCTGAGAAAGAAGTTCAGGGGGTCGTTACTAGCACATGAAGCTAGCTCAGAAGCACATAGTTCAGAAGCCAAGTGAGCTTTTTAAGAAGTTGTATTAGCAGAACTTGCTTTAAAAAAAGAATAAAAGAAAAAAAATAGCCCATGACTAAGGAAGAAGACTTGGCACCCAAACTTGTGCTAGCAAGGAGCAGATTGCAAAAGCTATATGGTCCCCAAGGAGGGCAAATTTACCAATGGCTCACTTTATATGAACAGGAAAAGTAAGAACCTCTTGTCAAAAAAGAACACTTTGAGGGCAGATCAGATGCTGCAGAAAACAATGAAAGAAGGAGTTTGTTCTGATAGTAAATCCAGGATCTACACAAAACCTTCCTTCCCTGAAGAGCAGGGGTGGCCTTACAGTATGCACGCAGCAAGACTCCATCCTTGAAATGGACCAGCAAACACTGGGTCTCCTATCCGTTTGTTTTCTAAGGGGAATTTGTCTCTCTGTTATCCTGTGCTTGATCTGGTATTGTATACCTGCTGGTGGGGGGAAAGGGTGTGATTTTGTGTGTGTGTGTGTTGTTATTGTTGTTTTTTAGTTAGAGGTAGCTGGAACCCATGCCACCCTATCTGTACTTGATGGAGGAAATTGCTCATCACTCAGAAATTACATACTTTGACCTGGAGACAATAACTGAATTTTTTATTAATTTTATTAATTTTCTTCTTTGGGGAAGGACTGAGTATGACCCGTGAACAGAAAAAAAAAAAGAATCTAACTGCTAGCTGTTTATCAAAATGTGTTTCCTCTCTTCCCTCTATTTCTTAGCTTACCTTAAAGTGATAAAGAAATAAATCAGATTTGAGATTTTTGTCTAAGAACTTTGGGAGTGGTTACTGGCACCTGGAACTTACCTGGAAGCAAATAGCTCATTGTTTCTTCTTTTTCCTAAACATCTCACTTTCCGTTTTAGCTGATGTTTTAGCTTACGTGAGTTTCACATAAGAGAATGTGAGTAAAAGTGACTGATGATCACCACTTTCAAACTTGATCCAGAAAAACCTTTCATATATCTTCCTCTGTACTCTAATTACTGGAAACCCTATGGGGAAGATGGCAGCACCTGTCAGTCTGGTTTGATGATTGACATTTTCAGTAGACCCCTAGCCTTCAAGTCCCATGGACTAGTAACACCTACATTGGACTGATTAATGAACAAGAAATAAACTGCTATTGGGCTAGCCACTGAAACCTTGGAGTTGAGCCTAACATTAGTGTTTCCCTAATGCTAATATGAGAGCTAATATTACCTAAACTGTATGTAGGCACACAATTCCTGATGTTCCTTTGATGAATGAAAGCTTTCACTCAAATGTCTTTAGATCCACAAATGGTAACACCTGGGCAGTCTGTTATAGACTCAGGAGAAGCAAAAACCATGAAATTTTCCTCTTCTTTTCTCTTGTTCTTTCTTTTGATTTCTGTTTATTTGCATGTAATGTACCATTTTTCCTATACTCGTTTTGACTTTTATCAGCTTACGGAACTGTTCTTTGTGATTTTCCTATTGGATTACAAAGGTTGAAAGGTGATCTCACATGCCAGTCAGAGGAGTCTGAGGATTGCACTGTGACAACTTCCTCAACCCTGAAGTCAAGGTCCGAGCAAGAGTGAAAGCCAAGAAAGCAACCCAAAAAGATGGCAGCTGTGGGAACACAGATTAGGAAAGGAGTCATCTGAGCAGCAGCAAGAACAGTGGGAGGCATCAAACTTATCCAAACCCTGAAAAAAGGTTCAGAATCAGGTGGCTCCTCCTGTGACAGAATGTGAAGGAAATCTAAGACAGGCACACTAAGGGAGTGTCTGAAATTATTATCTCCGAGGATTCAGAGAAAATATGTGCAAGTACATATAAACTAGCTAATAACAGCAGGTAACCCAGAAGAATTGGCCTATGTTGGGTTCCACAGTTTTTTACATTTAACCCACCAGGCACAGATAGAGTGGGCGAGGATGAAGAGTAAATGCATTTTGATATTATACACTAACTGCAGATTGGTTCACACCCAGACCTGGCCTCATCCATGTGTATCACCCAGCACTGCATCCCAGCTGACACCAGGAGTGGTAAAAACAAAAAAAAAAACAAAAACAAAATCTCTAAATTGGATGGAATTTGAAACAACAGGAGATTGAATTTTTCTTTCTATTGTTTTTTTTCTTGGTAGTTCAAAAATGTGACATATTTATGGAGAAGTACAGATTGTTCCTATCCAAACACAGTAGTAGTTTCTTTTCTAAAAATAAACATGGCCAATTATATTTTAGGGAGATTTATTTTAATTTATCTTACTTTTAAACAAAAACATTTTAAAGAAAATTTCTAAAGACTTCTGAAATCTTATCATAGAACAAAACCCAACACTAAATATGACCGTGGGCATTTTTTATGGTACATAAACACTCTGCAGCTTTGTGTAAGTTTCACTCATTCTCATTCACCAAATATTTATTGAAAACCTACCATGTGACAATCACTATACTGGATGAGTGGAAGTCAAAGGCAATTAAAATCTGGCAGGTGAGTTTGTAAGGAACCTATACTGTAATGAAAGAGACTAACCAGAAACCCATTGATTATGGAGCCACATGACATACCTTGGTTTCCAAAAAGAGTTGAAACTCATTTTATACTCACCAAATACCTTAACAACTTGGTTTTATACCTCAATGAGGCAGTACTAATATTAATAATAATAATAGCTTCTAACACTTACTGAGCTATAATTATATACCAGGCAGACTAATAAATGTTTTACATAGATTATTTCATTTTATCTTTATAAAAACTATGAGGGAGGCAGAAAAATTAAAATTTGTCACAACTTTTCAGCTAAGGGACATGAGGCACAAAAGTATAGCAAATTTTCCAAGATCACATAGCTAGAAAGTAGTAAAACCAGAATTTGAATTCAGGTGGTTGGAGTTTTTCCAGGTGGCATCTAAATATGCCATATGAGGCATGATCCATTTGAACCAGATCTTTCCTACTAAGCTATGTTAGAATAGCTGGGCCCCGGAAGTACATTCCTCTGTACCTTCAAACTATCTAGGACTAGGGTGCCCCAGTCAGTCCATATCTATTAGCCAGCTAATATCTGGGGCACTGTTCGATACACAGTATGCATTATTGGATCTGCTGATTTAAATGGTCCAGTCAATTCCTTAATCCCTCCCAAAGGTCCTACTCATTCATGAAAATTTGCCAGATGGAAAACAATTGATTAATCTTAAGTTTTGGGTACTTCTGATTTGACCACTCTGGCCCAAAATGAACTTGTATCCCTGAGACATAAGCAGCTCCAAATTCTGAATACATACTAACCAACAAATTCTCAGAGGAAAATATCTACCAAGAGCCACTCACTTCAGGTGCTTCAGCATCTGTTACTTCATTCCTTTATTTATTCACCTGACAGTAGTCAGTGCCTACTAAGTGCTGGGCATTGTTAAGGCACTAAAGTTAAAACAGTAGATGTAGTTCCTACCCTTATGGAGAAATGGTCTACTAGGAAACACTATGACACATAATTCTTTGGCAATAGAATTTTATTTTGTAATTTTTTATAAACATTTATTTTAGTGTTCATACCAACCTGCAAGATGCGAGAAAAGTTCTTATGTCATTCATTTGTGAAATTATAACAGCTCTATTTGTTGCAGATATATTTGGTAGATGAACCACTATGAACAGGATAAAATGATTTGTCTAAATGAATACAGAATAGAATGTGGTAAGTCTGGAACAAGTTACATGACTATTCTGAACCATTAGACCCTGTAACTGACTTTAAGTTCACATGAAGTTAGTAAATCTAGACAATCTCTTCTGAAGTCATTTCAGTAAGTGTTTCTTATTCTTAAAATCCTAGTGAATTGAAGTTTAACTACCAGGTGACTTTAGAACTTCAGATTACAATAGAGATCAACTCTTTCTACAGCCCAGTCACCTTGCCTTTCCCCCACCAAAGTGATGGTTAAAAGATGAATGGTTTTGAATGCTGATTTTATTCCAGCCATTACCAAAAATATGTAGTTGACCTCTCCTCCATAGATGAGCCAAACTCTTCGCCACTGTACCAATAAATATTGGTGAATTTCTTTGCCTTACAAGGATATCTCCCTAAGAATGTTTCACTGCAAGCTGCCATGATGCATGCCAAAAGTAGCCAGAAGTAGAGAACTGCTCTGAGAGATTTCAGAAAGCCCCTTCTAGTCCACAAAACTATGAGAAAACTGCTTTCTAACATGGCCACCTTATCCTCCTCTCATCAACCTGTGGATAATGAGCACTGATTCTGAGCCCAACACTGCAGATAATGTGAACAGTAAGATATTATCCTCATCATAATGAATTTATAGAGGCAGAACTGAGAAGCAATTAAAGAAAAGAAAATAATAGATGAGCATAAAATTAATTGCCAAATTGAGTGATTCCACATCTAGGAAAAGGAAAAGGGAAAAGCACGCAACTTACATCCCAACCACTTTTGCTACCTTTTCTAAGTTGATCCTACAACAGCCTTTTAAAACAAGTGTTATTTTTCCCATTGTGACTTAGAGGTGATATACACATGATCACACAGTTAGAAGTAGGAAACACTGGCCAGGCAAGGTGGCTCACGCCTGTAATCCCAGCACTTTGGGAGGCTGAGGCGGGTGGATCACGAGGTCAGGAGATCGAGACTATCATGGCCAGCATGGTGAAACCTCGTCTCTACTAAAAATACAAAAATTAGCTGGGAGTGATGGCGCATGCCTGTAATCCCAGCTACTAGGGAGGCTGAGGCAGGAGAATCACTTGAACCAGGGAGTCTGAGGTTGCAGTGAGCCGAGATTGCGCCACAGCACTCCAGCCTGGCGACAGAGCAAGACTCCATCTAAAAAAAGGAGAAAAAAAAAAAAAGAAGTAGGAAACACTAAGGATTACACCCACATTTTTTCAACTCCAAAGTCCATGCTTTTTCCAGCCAACCGTAACAATGTATTTGATATCCTGTTAATAACATACTCTCCACAGTGGAAGTGGTGACTACACTGCATCATCTTTAATGTTTGTTCAATATGAGTATCTCTCCCAAAATAAAAATATTTTAAAACTATTTAAGTGAATAAAGAAATGCAAAGCTTGCATTACTACTTTCTTCTCTATAAATCTTCTCTTCTAATTAATAAATAGTAGTACTTGCACTTTATTATTTGTGACTTCAGAAAGATGCTCGGGGAATTACACAGTTGAATTTGGGGTAGGAAAACAATATTAGCTTTAGGCATAGAGATGAATGGATTTAGAGGCAGTAAATCAGGAAACCAAATGAGCTCTCACAGCTCAATATTTTAGAATTAGTTTCAAGTACTCAACAGACAAATCAAGAACCAACATTAAAAGCCCATAGTCAGTTATGACCTCTTGCTCTTTTTGAAATTCATATTGTGGGCTTTAAGTTGATAACATTACTTCTAATAATTACATTTTTTAGGAGCTCAAGTTGTCAGGGACCATGTTGAGTCAAATTGATAATCTCCACATAATATCTGTTGCCTATAGATTCACAACAAAATTTTAAAATTAAGAAGTTCACAATTATTTTTTCTCTAGGTCCACTCTGCCATGGCCCTTATGAGTCAATGCTTCCTAAATGTCATTCACAAACCAAGCCTCATGGATGTTGTACTCCTAACATACCAGCTGTACTATTAATAATTCCTCTAATACTTATCTTTAAAGTGATTATCTTTTTAAACTTAATTTTAAAAGGGAATTTTCTATTATAATTAAAAGCTGACAAATCAGTTTTATTTGCCAGAAATTTGAGATTTCTATAGAAATGAATATTTTTAAGATAATGCATAAATTTGTTTTTGTGCTGCCTTAATCCATTTTGCATGTCACCAGTTGCTTCCGTACCACACTTTAGTAAACATGGATCTTAGTCCATGCTTATTTCCCTAAAACTATTTCCAGAAAACAAGAGGGCACAGGTGGGTAGGGAGAGCGTCTTCCCTTATCTCAAGTGAGATCAGCAGAGAGGATTGCTTTTCCCAAGAGCAAAAGCTTAGGCATGTCTTTCAGATGCTCCTCACCAAGGTGAAAAAGAAAACAGTATTTTGATAGCCCAGAGGAATTGTTCCCTTTTCCCTTTTCTACTGATACCTGAGCTATCACGGATTGGTATCTGAGATGCTTTATAAGAGGCCTGCCTCAGGCACAGGGGAAAGAGGCAATGCTGAGAGCAGAATTCAGAACCACCTGGACTCCTCACTGTGGTTGCCAATCAGGAAATGGCAGAAAAACTCAGATTAGTCTCTCCCCAGAGAGTCCCTGGTGAACAATGGCTTTTCGTTTTCTAAGGTTCAGTATAGCTTGAACATATCTACTTCTAATTCCATCTCATCTGCAGCATGGTAACTGGGTTTCCTAAACAAAATTAACGGAAGTGTCAAGGTGAAATTGAAAGTGAAACTGGCAGCAAAGGGCAAATCTCAAAGGCCCTTAAATGGATTGGAAAGCCAAATGGCAATTTCCTTGCCTCGGGCTGGATTAAACCAAGGCAATCACATTTCCATCTGCTCTTTCAATAATTTTATCAATACACTAGGCTTTACAAGGTTTATGTGCATGATCTTATGCTTAGTTAGAACAGGTGATCACCTATATGTGATGTTTAGAATGTCACCTATATGTGATGTTTAGAATGCCTCCATGACCCCAATTATATCTCCCTTCGTGGTTTGCCTATGTTCTTGAAACTCCTGGCTATTTCTTTGGAAACAAAGTTACGAAGGTCACTATTAAAGAGCAAATGTGAATCCAACCCACTAAGGCAGATGCAGCTCTCAGCAGCAGCCAGACACAAGTTAAATGTTGGGATTACACATTTAGTCACTCAGATCTAGGGTTTTGGGTCAATTTAGGCAAAGGAACATGTCAAAATCACTTAAAAGTCTTTTCAAAATATATATTTCGATTCTCCAAAGTCCCAGATATTCTGACTCTGGGAAGTCAGAGGTCTGGGAAGACAGCCAGGAGGGTACCATGATAGGGTTGAAAATGCAAGAGACCTCTTGTTAGAACGCAGGTGGGGACAAAGGGGAATAGAGGCATTCTTAGGAGAACTCCTCCCTATTTTATACAAACTTGTCTATATCTTTGAGGTGACAGTCATGGTAAAAGAGCTCAATTTCCAACAATTATCCATTTGTGAATGAATAAGGTGTTAGAAACTATTAGCCTACAGTATTGCTTTTTGTCAGTCTGTCTCTTTCCTGCAGGGAGCATGCAGTGCCTGCAAACACCGCCAGCAGCTGGGCATCATGGGAATGTTCCTGCTTTGGGGATGTATTCATCGCACTTAAGAAAGCTAATCTGCTCTCCAAGTCTGCTGTGCCGCCTCCTGCTTTTCCTTTATTCTTACAGATATGGGAGCTCAAGGAAGACAATCTGGGAAACTCAGGTTTCAGCAAGCTATGCATATTATAAGAAGAGTGAATTCTCCCTCCCTCCCTCTCTTGCAAAATACTCCCTACTTAAATTGCAAACCTTGGAGCCAACACGTCTGGCACTAGCTGCCTCATCATTCATAACCTTGTTATGCAAATAAAACAAAGATAAATTAAAATTCTAATGGAACCCTAATCAAACAAAGTAGCCCCCAAAAAGCATTCTTAAATGATACCAAATTCCAGTACATCCCTGATTTGTGTTTGTTGTCATTTTTTAAGCAGTTAAGCAGTTGAGCTGAACAAAAATAGACGATGAATGTTCTGCTTGATATTTCTAATTTTCATGCATTTGATGCTACGCATTCTTTGATAAAACTTCCCCAAATGATGGGAGTAGGTTGAATCTTGGCCCTTAAGTGACAAAAGCAGAATCAAAGGAGAAAAAGTAGACGTTTAAATGGATCCATGGAGCCTGGACAACTGAGAACATACCTTCCAGAGGCTTTATTTATATTATTGCTGGAGGCCCGGGCAGTATCACCTTGGCTATTTTAGAGACTATGCCTCCGCCTCCTCACATAAAATCATGCTGTTCAGCCCTCTTAATCTCACCCAAAGCCTCCACGAAATGTAAATATTTATGACTCACAAGCTGCACTTCCTTCACCCTGTTCAATATTATTCTCCCACAGAACACTGCGTTTCTTTAAGGTAGTTGCAAGGCCTCCTCCCTGAGGAAAACTAAAATTTTTTTTTATTATACTTTAAGTTTTAGGGTGCATGTGCACAACGTGCAGGTTAGTTACATATGTATACATGTGCCAAGTTGGTGTGCTGCACCCATTAACTCGTCATTTAACATTAGGTATATCTCCTAATGCTATCCCTCCCCTCTCCCCCCTTCCCCCACCCCACAACAGGCCCTGGTGTGTGATGTTCCCCTTCCTGTGTCCATGTGTTCTCATTGTTCAATTCCCACCTATGAGTGAGAACATGCAGTGTTTGGTTTTTTGTCCTTGTGATAGTTTGCTGAGAATGATGGTTTCCAGCTTCATCCATGTCCCTACAAAGGACATGAACTCATCATTTTTTATGGCTGCATAGTATTCCATGCTGTATATATGCCACATGGAAAACTAAAATTTTTAAGAATCTTACTGCTACTTGCCCCGAGAGGGCAGATGATTATTCTGAATTTCTCTCAGGGAAAGACCTTGTTGACATAAAAAGTTTTTGAGAGACTTCCTATCACATTGACCACACAGGAATTTTTCTAGGAGCTCCCATTAATGAAATAGAAAATGGAACTAGAGTGAAACAGAAAACTATCAGGTGTGTGCTCCCATTTGAGTGGCATGGAAAAGCCCCCATGGCCAAAATCATCTCTCCTGCTGGTCCTTCAGTAGTTAGACAACAGTGCCGCCTGCAAAGAACCCTTGATCAATTCCCTTTCTTATCCCTAGAGACTGTGTCTAACAGAAATCTGGGGAGTAGAAAGCCAGAAGACCTGGGTTCAACTCCCAGTTCTACCCAGTTCCTGGCAGTGTTGTTTTGGACAAGTAATAATGTATCTGGCCTCAGCCTCAAAATGATAGAGAATAAAACTTGTTAAGCTTACTTGGAGGAGTATTTGTGGGGATCCAGAGGGATGAATGTGAAAGCATTGTGAAAACATTTAAGGGATCAGCAAATATTATCTAAGAAAGAGTATGCGAATAAAATCATCCAGTAGAAATGATCTTTAAAAGTTTGGCAATGTGGAATTATCATCAACTCACCCACTGGACACCATGGTTCTACATCATCATGCTAACCCATGCAGTTCATTGTGTGGAATTCTCACAGTTGAACTCCTCTGCCTCTTTCTGCCTTCATATTGAAATTTAATACATATTCAAAGAGAGTATGCAATTTACCTGAGCCTCCCGCCTTACACACATTCTCCTTCTATGCATCTTTAAAAATGACTTCCTGGAAGATGACTTTAAGATTTTAGAAGCATAGAACACTTTAGAAATGTATAGGTTGAAAATCTTCCTATCTGCAGCATTGTGACTATAAAAGTTTACAGATGACAGAAGGAGTGTGACTCAGGGTAGGGTCTGGCCTTCTAGATTAATGACGGTTGAGCATTCATTTATGAAGGGAGCCCATGTCTAATATTTCTATAGATAATGAGTCAGCAGGCTCCTATGTTATCCAACCAACATAAAATGGAAACAGGTACAGGATGTATGCAAATCTGTGTCCGTTTAAAAAGTATAAGTTTGTTATTACATCATCTTGATGTGCTCGGAATTTTCCTTTACCAGAAAATATTAATAAGAAAAGGAAGCACATGTTTAAGCCAATAGAATTAAAAAGAAATCATGCAATGACTATCAGAACCCAAAGCTGAATATGAAACACATTTCAGGCTTTGACTGATGATAAGAAGAGAATTGAAATATCTGACCTGAACTCTAAGACCACCTATTTATCTTACTTGGCTTGTGCCATGGCAAGTTAACTAACTTTCCTAAGACTCAATATCATGTCAGGCTTACTCCACAAATTTGTTGAAGATAAAATGAAATGTAGGATCCTGGACTTCTGGCCATGATGCAATAGCATGTATCAGAACAACTATTTCATTGGGAACAATTACACAATCTGAATAAAATGCAAAATATAACTCTTTGAAGGCATTAGTGAACAATGAAGGCAGCCAGGACTTGAGGGGCCAAGTTTCCAGAGAGAGGGAAAATACTGATGTGAGCTACATATTTGTCTCTGCACTTTACTCAGGGAATTTGCTAATTACATGGATAACAGAAGGAGGCTGAGTGGAAAGCAGTGGCCTAAAGCTTGCAACCATTTCAATGGGCTGCATAAACAGAGGTTGGAATTCAGGGCTTCCAAGTCAACGGAGACTGAGGGACCAAAATCCATAAGCGGTAAGCCCAAAATTCTGTGTGCAATTTCTCCTTAAGACATTTGCCAAATCCTAAACTGTGGATGGCTCAGATTGAGACACCAAGAAATCAAATGGAAGGCAACAGCTAAGAGACCAAAAGGCTGAGCAAAGATTTCAGCTGTCACATGGAGATGTAGGTAGGAGTTCATGTAAACACTCCAGTATCTCCAATGAGAACCCAGAAAGGTTATGCCCTAGGAAAAAAAAAAAAAAAGTCCTACGAGTAAGGACAAACCAAAAATAGATCAAACCCTGAAGCCCAGTATTGACTGAAAAGATGATGATCTGTTTATAATTTATCTACCTGCCAGAAAAGATGTTGTGTAAGAAGTAGATATCATCACCCAGGGCTTCTATAATATTTTATATACAATGTTTAACATTCAATGCAAAATTACTAAATATGTCAAAAACAGGTCAAAATGATCAAAAAACAAGAAAAATAATCAGATCAATTTATTGAACATTTCACTATTGCAATTATCGGATAGAGTTCTTAAATAACTATAACTAATATAGCCAAGAAAATAATAAAAATATAGAGAATTTCACAGGAGAAATAGCACTTAAGTCAAATGGAAATTCTGGAATGGAAAAATATAATAACTGAAATTAATTTAATTAAATTAATAAACGATATTAATTTAAAATTCAATAAGAAGGTTTAATAGAAGAGTGGTCAAAGAAAGAGAATTAATAAACTAAAATAAAAATTATTAAAAATATCCAGATTATAGCAGGTAAGAAAATTAAAGAAGAAAATACAGAAAAGAATATACATCACATCTAAAAAATGTATTTGAATGCCAGCAGCGAACAACCTAAAACCGAAACCAAGAGGCTGGGCTCGGTGGCTCACGCCTGTAATCCCAGCACTTTGGGAGGCCGAGGCGGGCGGATCACGAGGGCAGGAGATAGAGACCATCCTGGCTAACACGGTGAAACCCCGTCTCTACTAAAAATACAAAAGTTAGCCGGGCGTGGTGGCGGGTGCCTGTAGTCCCAGCTACTCGGGAGGCTGAGGCAGGAGAACGGCATGAACCCAGGAGGCGGAGCTTGCCGTGAGCCGAGATCGCGCCGCTGCACTCCAGCCTGGGCGACACAGTGAAACTCCGTCTCAAAAAAAAAAAAAAAAAAAGAAAAAAAGAGAAGAAACCGAGAAAGTAATTTCATTTACAATAGGTACAAATAAGATTAAAAGCCTAGGACTAAACTCAGTAAGCCAAAGATTTTTACAATGAAACTATAAAGCACTGATGAAAGAAAGTGCAGAGGAAATGAAAAATGAAAAAAAATCCCATGTTCATGGATTGGAAAAATAAATATGGTAGAATAATAAAATGGTACTCCTACCACTTGCCATATAAAAAAGTCAAATGAAAATGCATTAAAGACCTTGAAACTTGAAACTATGAAACTACTAGAAGAAAATATTGGGGAAATACTCCAGGACATTGGTATGGGCAAAGATTTCTTGAATCAGACTTCAAAAATCACAGACAACCAAAGCAAAAATTGGATCATGTCAAGCTAAAAAACTGCTGCACAGAAAAAGAAACAATCAACAAAGTGAAAAGAAAACCCACAGAATGGGAAAGAATATTTTCAAACTACCCATTTGGCAAGGGATTAACAACCAGACTATATAAGGAGCTCAAACAATTTAATAGGAGAAAACAAATAACTCAATTAAAAAATGGGCAAAGATCTGAATAGGCATTTCTCAAAAGAAGACATACAAATGGGCAACAGGTATATGAAAAAATGTTCAACATTACTGATCATCACAGAAATGCAATTTAAAACTACAATGAGATATCACCTCACTTTAATTAAAATGGCTTTTATCTAAATGATAAGAAATAACAAATACTGGCAAGGATGCAGAGAAAGGGGATCCCTCATACTTGTTGGTGGAATGTATATCAGTACAGCCACTATGGAGAACAATATGGAGGTTTCTCACAAACGAAAAATAGAACTATAATCCAGCAATCCCACTGCTGGGTATATATCCAAAAGAAAGAAAAGCAGTGTATGAAAGAAATATGTGCACTCCCATGTTTACTGCAGCACTATTCACAATAGCCAAAGTATGGAATCAACCTAAGTGTCCATCAACAGAAGAATGGCTAAAGAAAATGTAGCACATATACACAATGGAATATCACTCAGCCATAAAAAGGAATGAAATCCTATCATTTTCAACAACATGGATGGATCTGGAGGACATTATATTAAGTTAAATATGCCAGGCACAGAAAGACAAATATTGCATGTCCTCATATGCAGCAGCTAAAAAAGAACAAAAAAAGAAAAATAGAACTCATGGAGACAGAGCCTGGAATGCTGATTAGCAGAGGCTGGGAAGGGTAGGAGAGATAAAGAGGGAATGATCAATGCATACAAAAATACAGTCCGATAGAAGGAATAAGATCTAGTGTTCAGTAGCACAATAGGGAGACCATAGCTAACAATAATTTATTGTATATTTCAAAATAACTAAAAGAATGGAATTGAAATGTTTCTCACACAAAGAAATGATAAATGCTTGAAGTGATGAACACCCCAATCACCCTGGTTTGATTATCAGACATTGTAGGTTTGTATTGAAATATCACATGTACTCCATAAATATGTACAACTATTATGTATCCATAATTAAAAATTTAAAAATTTAAATTAAAAAAATATGTATTTGGAATCCCAGAAAGGAAGGAAAGGAGAAAGAGGATAAAACAAAAATATTAGTTAATGAGACAATGGCCAAATTTTCCAAAACTGACCAAGGCCAGTAAGTCACAAATTCAAGAAGCTCAGAACCTACCAAGCACACTGACAACTGCACCTAGGTACAATATAGTCAGACTGCTATAAACCAAAGACAGAGAAAATCTTTAAAGCAGTCAAGTTGAGGGGCATGTGGGGAAAACACTACTTTCCAAGGAGCAAAAATTAGACTGATAGATTACCTTTCAATAAAAACAACTAGACACAAATATAGGAAGACAAATTTAAAGAGCTGGAAAAAATTAACTGACAAGCTAAAATTCTATGTCAGAATAAAGGCAAATAAATGCAGAATGTAAATCATTTTAATGAATGTCAAAGCACTATAGGAAAATACAAGGAATAAAAAGTAACTAGATGCTGACTTTTTAAATCTTCATTCAGAAAAAATGTGATGGTAGAAGAAAGTTGTGAGTTCAATATCTGTCAGGCAAGCTTTGTTCTTCTACAGAATAGCAGACTGAAACCTTAGTATGGACCAGACTTCTCAAAAAGAGGTATCTTGAGGAGAAAAAAGGAGCTATTCGAGAAAGAACATGTGAATGAATCATCAAAAATCCTACCCTCTTGTCATGGAATTAGTTTGTATGTATCACTTTTAGACACCTCAATCTACATTAAAGTTGATTTTTTACTCCCTGCACACATACATACACTCTACTCCCCAAATATAAGCTATAATTAGGTCCAAAAACCAAACAATATACAAGCACAGAAACAAACTTTCAAGCTATTTCTAAAGTCCTATAGGGATGATGAATGCTTAATATGTAGATTTTAACCATTATCTGTTATTGTGAATCTCTCATTTCTTTAACTTCTGAATTTTCTTAGGAAAGGTTTTATAATATAAATATTTTTATTAACAAATTACTAAGTGTTTGTATGTATTAGGGGCAAGGGGGACACTAAATTGGGGACCTTCTGGTTATTAGGTACCTAATGTCTTCCAGGTAGTGTGCTGAGCACTTTACCAGAATTCTATCATTTTATTCTTACATTAATCCTATCAAGTATTATCATCTTTATTTTAAAAGGTAGAAATTGAAACAAAAGGAGAAATCTCTCAAGATTTGCACAGCTAGAAAGGGAAAAGCTCAACAAAATCGCACAAAAATGTTAACGTTATTTCTGATTCTTAGAAATATTTAAGAAGAAAATCATGTGTTTGCTATATTTGCTAATTGATGCATGATTCTTCAGATATAGTAGGCATTTTGAATGCAAGGATCTTGAGAGAGGACATTAACTCTTCCAGAATAGAGAGGTCCAATAAAACTTTCTGTGATTGTGATGCCTAGTATAGTAGCCACTAGCCTCATGTGACTACTAAGCACTTAAAATGTGGCCTGTGTGACTGAGGAAATGAATTTTTAAATATTCATTTAGATTTAATTGATTTTAATTTAAATAGGCACATACAGCTAACAGAAAGATACAAAAAGTCCTTGAACTTTTAGAAAACAAAATAGATCAAATATTTTCTGTACATGAGACAGTATAAATTCTATTCTGAACCAACCTCTTTGAAATAAAATAATAAGTCTCAGAGACTAAGTCAGCTACATCATAAAAGTTATTTCTACTAGTGTTAAAAAAGTTTTAAAAGATGACCTCCCATAATCAAGTACTAAAAAGAAACAAAGTGAAACCATCAATGTGAAAAATATAGTTCACTGAAAATATTGTATGTTTCCCAAATTACTGAGACAGAGACTTAACAGGGAACTAATGTTGAAGAACTATAAAAAGATGACCTCTGCCATGACCTTGAGAGGCAGAAAGCACTCTATAAAGATGTCCTATGTACAAGAACATGGATCTTTATTTTCATGCTACTTCTAACCCTGTTTACTTTCTAGTGAAAACATCTACTGAATCTAGTGAAACATCATCAAGAGTTAGAAGATCTGTGTATTAGGTCCAACTCTGACCAAATCCATGACCCAATCAAGTCATACAATTTCTCTGCACCTTGGTTTATTTACCTATAAAAAGAAAGAGATTGGCCAAGTGATATCAAAAGTTGCTTCCAGCCCTGATGCAGTTGGTCTCCAATGAATGCTTTCCTAGTCCTTTTAAGACTTATGCCTAAATCAGACTTTACAAACCAAACTGAGGTATTGTATAATACACAAGCATAAATTTGGCCTGGGCTGGCATATTAAAGCTGAGTCACATCCATTTTTGTGTAAAACTTGAAAATCTCTTGAGATATGTTTTGAGAACAGGTCTTCACCATGTATTGTCAAACTTCTGAGTCCTTTTTCAAATCCCTGTTTGGCATAGAGTGGATGCAGAGGTAGCGTACTGGATATATGTGATTGGTTTACAGTTCACGTTGCTAAAAAATGAGATGTTTCAGGGTCAGGGCAGTTTCAACTGATAAGAACCCTGAGCTTAAACATTGAACTGACAATGATTTATATACTCCCTTTCATTCCAAAACTCATTAAGTTGTTAAGCATATTGTAAAAGTGCATTGAATAGTTACTCTTCCCATACAAGTTAAGATCAGTAAAGACTAAACTCCCCCCATTCCACCCCTGAACCCACATAAAAATTAAACCATTTGCAACTATTTGGGGCCAGTGTGAAGCAATTCTTGTCCCTGATGTTGCTAACCATTCTTTGGACAGGCTCGCATATTAACATCTCTCATACAATGCAACAGGAAATTTGAGGTCATGGTTTCCTTATGACTATGAAATCTAAAATTCCAGAGTTTGACCAAAAGTGCTAATTAGCAAGTATCAAAGAAACTATATCTGAATTGGTCCAAACACATGTATCTGGAAGAGACACTCAAGGGCCTTGCATGTGAAGCACTCAGAAAATTTACAATGGACCTGTCCTCAAGTTGCTTTGTTTGGGAACAGAATAAGCTTGGAAATAATTACAGTGACAAAGTCAGCTTCCCTGGATCTGATCCCTGGCATTGCCAGGAAACTTAATGCTTTTTAAAATGCTGCCAAGAACTGTTGGCTAGACCCTACACAGTTACAAAAAAAAATGATCCTCTATAGTCATGTAAATCCCTGTTGCCTCAAACCCCACAATGGCCAACAATTATTTTACAATTGACAAGATTTTCAGCACAGTGTGTTGGAAAGGACCTATCATTTTCAGAGATCTTGGTCTCTTTATAAGTACTTGGGAGTTCTGCCAGACAGCAGATTTGAGTCATTATTGCTGGACTGTTGGATGGAAATGTAAAGATATATTTATCCACTATTCTGCATTATATAGCCATGGCTACTCAGGGATGGGCAGTACAAATGGGTTTTTCTTTTCATGCTATTAATTATAAATTGGGAAAACCAGAAAATGGATCAATTAAAACCAAGTTAGTCCAGCTAAAGAAAGTGCTTGGCAATTTGCTTAAGAAAGTTGTGGCAAATACAAAAATGTCAATAAACCCAAAGACAAAGAAGCTAAATAATGAAAGATTATTTTATTATTCAATGTCCTTTATAATGTTTAAATATTAATAATAAAAGATATTTAATATTTCCACTCTTGGTTCAATGTTTTTCTTCTGTTAAAACCACAAGGTGCCAAATATTTTCTCCTCGTGGCTTTGTTAACAACCAAAGGCTAATCTCTGGCAAGACTGTTTTCCAATGGGTTTCACAACAGGGTAACTTTGCTGTGTTTCTTCTGCATTTGAATTTGTCATCACTTTAAGTTACAATGTCTCTCTAGATTTCATGACTATCAATCACATGTATTAGGATATCATTCCTCTGTTTCACAAATTCAGTTCTTTATATGTTTTTTTTAAAGACCACAATTAGGTTTTTTCCCTTCTTGAATATGCAGACTATGATCAGAGATGGACTTTCTAGATATATCAGCAAGTAGTTCAAGATGCTGCTGACTGTAGCATTATAAATAATTTATAGCACATGAAATGTTTAATAACATTCCTAACAAAAATGCAAAATGAACTCTGCATGGTAATAAACCATGCTCAATTCAAAAATAAACATAAGTATTAATGTGGGCATTTGTTAAAGATATCGCTTCATGGCATGTTTACGAACCTCAAAAATGGGAAATTACACACCTACACCAGAGGCAGAAAATTATCTGGCAATAACAGAATATTTGATTTTCAAAACAAAATGTATTAGCTAGACCTATATCTACTTTTCTTTTTTTTCAAAAGCATTTCTCACCTCTAAAACAATGGCTAATAACTTCATTATATATGTCCCCTCTCTGTTCCCAGTCTCCTTCTTGTCCAAATAGGATGATTAGATGAAAAAAAGATTATATGTGCTTAATCATTACCTAAGAAGTGACTAATTGCCACAAGTTCAGTTTGAATGAGTGTGTAAATAAATTTAATAAAATATGAATTTGAGAGGAAGAGAATGATCAAGATGCATCCTACACTAAAGCTCAGAACTTTACCATTTGCCTCTCTCATACATTTATATAAATCTGTCCCTCTCCCATGTGAAGAAAATTTAATTTTGTCAAGCAAAATTAATTTTGAAAAACTTAAAGTTTGCCATCCTTCAGATTCATTTCCTGAGATAATCCCACTAAAGTTCCATTAGTGTCAATGGAAATCTTGTACCTGATGCCAATAGCCTTTGATCCCAAAGGCCCTCAGCAATTATTTCAATTTGTATTAAACTTCTGTTATAGGATGAGGTAAAGTGTGTGTGCATGTGTGTGTGTGTGTGTGTGTGTGTATTTGAAAATTCATTCATTTTTTGCTATTCACACTGGTTATTCTGCAGTTTTCTCATACTCTGTCTTCAAGTTATGCTAAAGACATGGTCTTGCATAGAATTTGCTTATGTTTTTCTTATGGTTGAGGAAGGAGATTTTTGCAGACGTTAGCTCAGCCACCACCATGGCCCTAAACTACATGGATGGCCAATAAATTTATCTTGAATATGGTGACTCAGTAGTTTAAAGAAGGCAACTTTTCTAAGTTAATTTCTAATTTTATCATGGTCCCAATCAAATTTCTGAGGTATTCATTTGGGGACTTATTCATTTAGGGTGTGGGTTTTTAAATAGCAGATTGTATCTGAAAATTTATTTTAAAGATCATTCACTAATGCATTTTTCAAAGAAAATAAATTAGTCAAGATGTCTATAAAAATGCATATGGATGAGGGATAATAATGATGAAGATAATATATATCATGTATTACTACAGGTATGTGATAAATATATCATTGAAAACTCAGAGAATAAAAAAGAAGTTACTTAATAAAGAATGCTAGCACAATTGCCAGGTGATACACACAGAAAGAAAATTGCATCCCTATCTTACCCCACCTGCAAACATTTCAAAATAATCAAATTTCTAAATATAAAGCTTAAACAAATAAATGAATAAAAGTACAATAAAAACCAGATTGCTCTTTATATAATATTAAAGTGGAGAAGGTTTTGCTATGCATATCATAAAATTTGAAAGACATAAAACTGCATATAAAATTAAACATTCTTCATAGCAATTAATATCATAAACAAAGTCAAAACACAAGGAAGAAATACTTGAAAACATCTGTCAATGAGATATTTTCTTTAAGACATCAAGGTTTCTCACAAATTGATGAGAAGATCAACAAACCAATAGAAACGTTTACACAAGATATAAATGGTTCACAAGAAAAACAAAATATTTGCAAACTAACATAGCTAAAGGTGTTCAACTCAAAATTAAACCTAAGACAAAGTTTGACACCTATGGGATTGACTTTCTCTAGGTTCCTCAACTCTTCAATTTTCACCTTCTCTTCACTTTCTGGGTGGACTCAACTACACCTCAGACATCAATTATCACCTGTGTGCCAGCCAAATGCTCATCACAGACTGTCTTCTGAGTTCCAGACCCCTCTTCTCTTCCTCCCCATAGTTTAACAGTCACCAAGAGCTTCCAGTTCTACCTCTTTCCTATCCCATTAAACCAAGTTTTCCCAAATAGAAGACAGCAATCTTTAGTTTGTCATGAAAGCAATTTAACAGGATAGGAACAGCATTTTAAAAAGAAAATATTACTAAGTGAATGAAGCTAATCTGAAAAGGCTGCATACTATGTGATTCCAACTATATGGCCTTCTGGAAAAGGCAAAACTATGGAGACAGTAAAAAGATCAGTGGTTGCCAGTGGTTTGGAGAGATGGAGGAATAAATAGTACACAGGGGATTTTTACACCAGTGAAACCATTCTGTATAATGCTATAAAAGTAGGTATATATAATTATCCACTTTTTAAAAACCTATAGAATGTACACCACAAAGAGTGAACCCCAACGTACATTACAAACTTTGGTTGGTTAAAAAAATATATAATAGAAGCTGGGCGGCCAGGCGCGGTGGCTCATGCCTGTAATCCCAGCACTTTGAGAGGCCGAGGCAGGCGGATCATGAAGTCAGGAGATCGAGACCATCCTGGCTAACACGGTGAAACCCTGTCTCTACTAAAAATACAAAAAAAAAAAAAAAAAATTAGCTGGGCATGATGGCGGGTGCCTGTAGTCCCAGCTACTCGGGAGGCTGAGGCAGGAGAATGGGGTGAACCCAAGAGGCGGAGCTTGCAGTGAGCCGAGTTCATGCCACTGCACTCCAGCCTGGGCGACAGAGCAAGACTCCATCTCAAAAAAAAAAAAATACATATATATATATATATATATATATATATATATATATATATATATATATATATATATGTAAAATAGGAGCTGGGCATGGTGGCTTACACTTATAGTCCCAGTTACTCAGGAGACCGAGGTAAAAGGATTACTTGAACCCAGAAGTTCAAGGTTGTAGTGAGCTATGATCATGCCACTGCACTCCAGCCTGGGCAACAGAGCAAGACCCTGTGTCAAAAAAAAAAAATTGTGTATCATGGGCTGAATTGAGTCATCACAGAATTCATATATTGACTTCCTAACCCCCAGTACCTCAGAATGTAGCTATATTTGAAGATAGGGTCTTTAAAGAGGTAATTAAGAGAAAATGAGTCATATGGGTAGGTCCTAATCCTATTATGACTGGTGCCCTGATAAGAAGAGGAAATTAGGAATACAGACATACACAGGAAAAAATCATCATAAGATACAAGGAAAAGATGATCATAAGACAAGGAGAATGGCCTGGAACAGATCCTTCTCTCATGGCCCACAGAAGACACCAATCCTGCCAGCACCTCGATCTTGGACTTCTATCTCCAGAACTGTGAGAAAACAAATGTACTCTGTTTAAGCCACCAGGTCTACTGTATTTGTTTCAGCAGCTCTAGCAAACTAATACAAATAGTGTAGCATGGCATAGCATAATACAGGATAGAAATTAGAGTACATCACAGGTAGTGGAAGTAAATATTGTTCAGTAAAAACATTAGTTTCTGATGGGGGCTCTGTATATGGAGTCATGTATGTCTATTTCTTAAGATAGGTCATGATTAGAAAAGTTTAGAAAGCACTGATCTAAATGATCTGCTTTTTATCCTTCTCCATTACCAATACCTTAGTTCAGGCCTTCATCATTTCTTACTGAAATTACCTAAAAAATGTATTGCATGATCTGTGCATTTATTCCTCTATTCAACAAATACATATTGAGGAATTACCATGTGCCAGACACTGTTTAAGGTATCTCCAAGACCTTGAACACACCCTGCTCTCATTCAGTCACAGTCTAATGTCTCCACTGCAGGTTTTGTTTTCTCTATATATCCATTCTCCACAACCCTGAGAGAAGTCCTTCTAGAATACATATTTGATCACTCTACTCTGCTCAAAACCCATTAGTGGTTTTCCAACAAGTTTTGTGAAAAGTGTAAACACTCTGAGCTCATGAGAGCTTTCATGATCTGCTGCCTGCTTGTATCTCTCATATTTAACAGCTCTCGCCTATACACTATGTTCCAGATATATTAAATGATGTACATTACACCTCCCCACATATCACGTGCTCTCTCAGAACTTTGTGCTTTTATATAAGCTTCAGCTTCTATCCTCCTATCTGCCTTTCACTTTGATAACTCCTAATTATACTTCAAAACACAGCTCAGCTGCAACTTACTATCCCCCAATGTCTCCTTTCTATTAACACTTCTACCACTTCATCTTCACAAAACCTAGACTAAATTAGCAGCCTTACCACATCAAGCTAATTGTTTACTTTTTTGCCTATGTCTTTCATTAGTTTCGTGAGTCAATGAGAATAATCATTTTGAGGCTTTTCTAGCTTTTTCTACATGTTAGCACATTTCCTAGTACATAAATGAGTAGATGAAAAGAGGATGGGTGGATAGATGGACAGATGCACAGCTGTTTACATGGGAATCCTTTCAGTCATTAATAATTCATCAAAATGTTTTTAGAAATGAGCATAATAGACAAAACATGCTGTGCTATGGCATGCAGAGAAGTGATAAAAATTATAGAAAAGTATAAATTGCAATAAGCCAAATAAGAGATTTTACAAAGCTATATTATTACCTACCTTGCATTTTGTAAAATATTTTACTTAAAAATTGCTATTAATGATAACTGAAATGAATGTAAACATTTCAATGATTCCTTGGAGCGAATCATCCCTTGTTCTCTAGATACCAAGTAATATAGATGTGGGATTTTGGGGGAAACTTTTTGCCACAGTGTCTAGCCTGTGATGTCTTAATTATAACAATAAATTAATAACATGAATAATGGAGAAGAAATCAGAAAAAAGTTACTTCCAACCTGGTAAAATATCACACATATATCATATGTTGTAAATGTGAGCTTAGCAATAAAATGTAATTCACCTATTCAGGGTTTTGATTATTACTGCTGTTTCTATTTATCTATCTGTAGTTATCTAAAGATTATGTTCTGAAGATGATTAAAATGGAAGGAAGACTCCAAGTGCTAGTGTCACATTTTGCTTAGGTGGCAGTCTCTTCTGATAAATCTATGCCTTCCAGATACCCACCTTTTATACCAGTGCTCATCTTACATTATTCAAGCAGTGGTAAGGAGAAAAGAAAGAAAGGGTGGAAAAAGAAAGGAAAGTAAAAAGAAAGGAGTAAAAATGGTGATTGTCCTAGTTCAGCTGCCCCTTTTCTGAAACTCGAACCAGTTTGTACAGTTTTGCAAAATTTATGCTTCTTTGAAGAAAATCAAAATGCTCTTAGCCCTATTTTCAGAATAGAACATGTGATAATCCCTGTATCTATCATTTAAGCATCTATTTGACGTAACAGACCTTGTTTGAGGTTTCGTACATATAGTAGCACAATTCACATCGTCTTTTATCACTTCCCACAATCTATGAATTTTTAGGGATAGTTGCTACATAAAACATTTCACTATCTACCTTTCTCAGAACTTCAGGAAGTATCTTAAATGTAGAACTTGACACAGAGTTATGAAAAGATATCTGGCCATGAATGAGGCCTACTGATGTAGTCCATACAGACCAGATTTCCAGGACAGAGGGCAGTGTGAAGAAGGAGAGAAAGGGGGTTTGGAGAAGCAAACAAAAATATCTTCTGACACAACATGCAAGTAATAAAGCATATTGTATAATGTGCAAGAAATAGCAATGTGAAGATTGCAATAGACACTGAGGCTCCATGGGAGATGTGAGCACGCCAAACATCCATCCTGCTGAAAAACACTGACATCATCCAATGCATGCATGGGTACACTTGCTTTTATATTCTTCCACACAGCCCTTCCTAGGCCTTCAACAGAGAGTCCTGTTGAGCCAAAATTATCTCGAAGTCCAACCTTTCATTACTGACTATATTTAGGAACATGTCAGTCTGTGATCTCTTAGCATCCTACTTCCCATGGACAAGGCTTGAGAATAGCTACTGCAGATGGAGTCTCTTCCCTTACACCATTTCCAAACGAAGCAAAAGTGCCATAGGAACCCACTCTGTTCCCTCTAAGGGAAGAAGGCAGCTTTGCTGACAATACCATTTTATCCTTTGCTTTACCCTGTTTTCTTCTCTTTTTGTAAATCAATTACTTCCCATCCCACTGGGTCCTCCACAGCAATCTCACTATAGCAATTCCACTATTACAGTGTTATTTGTTATACAATACCTCTAATCCTCAAAGCAGCCGTCCAAGGTAAGTGTTATTATCTTACATTTTGCTAATGAGATTTGGAGAAGTTAACTCCTTCAAGAGTAGACTCTTTTAGGGGTCAAGACTCTTAGGCCCATAGCATTTGGTGAGATTCCTAGTATATTTTTTAAAATCTAAAATTGTATTAGAGTTAGAAAAATTGGGTGATAGAGACAGAAAAATTGTGTGACAATCGTTGTGATAGTCAAAACCCATAGAAAATACGACACCAGGAGTGAATCCTAATGTAAACTACAGACTTTGGGTGATAACAAAGTGTCAGTGTTGGCTCATTGGTTGTAACAAATGTACCACTCTGGTGTGGGATGTTGATAATTGGGGAGGCTGTATGTGGAGGGAGTGGGCATATGGGAACTCTCTGTACTTTCTGCTCAGTTTTGTTGTGAACATAAAACTGCTTGAAAAAAGAAATCTATATTTGTTAAAAAAATAAAAAGAGAGAGCAAGAGAAAGCATGAGAGAGCAAGATTTATAGGTCCAGACATAAAGGGGTGGCTGAGACACACAAACAAATGTGATACTGTCATGTTTACATTTAATAGATTAGTCCTTTTATGCAATAAAACAATATAGTACAGTTATGATTGCTAAAAAGCAATTTTAAGAATTATAAAATTATTCATAGTATACTACAGATAGTGCAGTCTAGGCTGTACAACAGCCTGTATTTGTTGTATTTCTACAGGTCAGCTAGGGTGGTTCTGCCAATCTCAGCAGGACTAGGCTGGGCACTTCCAAGCTGCAGTTGGATCTGGAGCTGTTCCAGGTATCTCTCACCCTCCGTGGACTCATGGGCTAGCTCGGGCATGCTTTTCTCATGGTGACGGCAGAGGCCCAGAGCACCTGCTGACACACACAACACTCTTCAGGCCTCAGGCTTGTCCTGGCAACCTTCTCACTTCTGTCCATGTTCCATTAACCAAAACAGATACATGGTCAGATCCAAAGTCAGAGGGCAGGAAAGCTCACTCTCTTTAATGGGAGGAACTGAAGAGTCACTATGAAAGGCAGTGATACAGGAAAGAGGGAAGTAGTGAGTCTATTTGTTTAATCTGCCACAAATGCATGCTGCTGCTTTCAATTTACTGTGTTTCTGTGACCATATGTATAGAGTAATTTAGAGATAAAGGTAACAACAAAAGTCTAAATCAGAGGCAGGTGGCAGCCTCTGTTGGTGTCCTAACATAACCCCAATCCATTCCCCTTTGATCAAAGACTTGAGGGCTTTCTTTGGATGGAGGAGTGAGCAGGATGGGCCAGACATACTAGAAAGTTAACACCACTAGATAGAGCTTTTGACAGGTACAACACTGAGATGTGTTTCACAAAGTTTCCCAGAAGCCCTCCCTAGGATTAAGCACCAGTTTCTCACAGTGATAACATGTTCTTCAAAGTACAACATATGGGCCTTCTTCCCTCTCCCATTTCAGTTCTCCAACTCCCGTAGCTAGACTTCCCAAGATCATGACACAAATGAACTCTTTGCCCCCATATCCTTGAAGGAGTTCCTGGATAATAAGATCCCGACCCAGGCTCAGAAGCATTAGTACTTTTGGGCTTCCTCCCTCTCACTGATCATATCCATGGAAGAAACAGATCAACCAACCTTGTGCAAATCCCATTCTGTGCATCAACTCCAAGCACAACTCAAGAGCTGAGATGTGTTCCTTAAGTGATTGACTGAGTCTGACTGCAGTGACCAACTTTTCTTGTTTATCTAAGACTGAAAGAGTTTCTGGAACATGGAATTTGCAATACTAAAACCAGGACAGTCCCAGGTAAACCAGGATGGTTGGTCAGACTAAGTAGACCATAAAACATGAGAGTCAATAATATGGCAGGTGTGCTCATTTTCTCATTTTGACATCTGGTTATTGATTATTGCATAGAACCATATACAACATTCCCGATGAAAGAACATTAAATGTCACCTATTACCATCTCCCAGAAATGCAGGAAAATGAACTAGGCAGATTTGTTAAGTGCCAAATACTCTAACCTCTATTTAAACATCTTCACTGATGGGGAGTTTACAGCCTGTCCCATTACTTTTTTGTAATTTGAATTGGACTCTACCTACCTATAATCTAAATTAATTGGCCCTAGTTACCCAGAGTGAATCTCAATAAGTATAACCTCTAGTTCATATGCATAGGCAAAACAGGGTTCTTCAAATATTTGATAACAATGGTCCTTTCCCCATTAACATCCTCCTAGTCAGTGAAACATCTCTAGTTCTTCCATAGTATGATTTCTAGAAAAAAAAATAATTTTCTATTCTGGGCATCCTCCTCCGGATTTATGCCCATTTATTGATATTTATTGATACTATTCTAAACCTGAATATAATACTCTAGATATAGTCTGATTGATATAGAATTCAAGGAGACTAATACCTTGCATGTTCTAGATATGTTACTTATGTTAGTGAAACCAAAGTTTCCATTAGATTTCTTGGCAACCCTGTTTCATTATAGGTTTATATTAGACTCGCACGCCATTAAAACTTCTGGGATTATTTTTCTATGTAAACTATCATTAATCTAAGACTCACGCATTATATACTTTTGTTTTTTTTTTTTTTTTAACCATAATTGTCAGCCTTAAATTTCAACTGGTTGTTCTTAGCAACTCTTTCCTACTTGCTGGAAACTTCTAAGTATTTATTTTTATTAGTCAAAATATTATCAACACATTGTGTCTGTGTGTTTAATAATCATGTGCATGCAAGAAAAGTGACTTTTATTTTTTTTAGCTTTTTTCAAGTCATTGGTGAGAATGTGTCCAAGAACATAGTCATAGGGCTGACTTCTAGTAAGGTAACTTCAAGATAATATTGATTCACTAATCATCACACTTTAGATATGGTTGTTTAACAAGCTACAAATTAACTTAATGTCCTATTATTCAACTCAGATGTTTCCATCTTCTCCATTAAGATATAACAAGAGGCTGTGAAATGTTTTACTGAAATCCAGTTGCAGTAAATCTCAGACAGTCCAGTGAACAAATATTCTACTCACGCTAGCAAAAGTAAAGTCAATTTGTCATAATTTATTTGAGCACAGGATGATTCAGTTAGTATTTATAAATTGCTGACAGATACTAATCTTCAGGTATCTTCTAGGAAAAAGTTAGAATTCTCAGAATTTCTGAAATTGTGTTATTCTTAAAATACTTCCAACATTTTTCACACTCTTTACTCATTATTATGGCGTGATGTCTAATTTTCTGTGTCAGTTTGACTGGGTTAAAGAAGCCCAGATAACTAGTAAAACATTATTTCTGAGTGTGTCTGTGAGGATTTTTTTGGAAGAGAATAGCAACTGAATCAGTAGAAAGAAGATTGCCTTTACCAGTATGGACAGGCATCCAAATCACAGAGGGCCCAAAGAGAACAAAAAGGCGCAGGAATGGCAAATATACTCTTTCAACTGGGGTATCCATCTCCTCCTACTGGGAAAAATCAATGTTCCTTGTTCTTAGATCTTTAGATTCAAACTGAATCACACCACTGGCTTTCCTGGTTCTCCAACTTACAGAGGGCAGGTCTTGGAACTTCTCAGCCTCCATAATCCCATTAGCTAATTTCAATCATATATGTATGTGATTTTATATATATATATTTTTATATATATATAGGATATTATTTTACTGGAGAACCCTAAGACATAGATATTTAAAGCATTGTTTAATAAATAAAAAACATGTTTAATAGTAATTACAAGAAACCTAGCCTGTAGTAAATATTCAAACACTGAAAAATGCCAGCAAACATTATTAGGTAATATTGAAATAACGTAATAGTTGATCTCCTGGAAAGGTCACCAGCACTACCCAGAATTACTTATTGAAATGCCATTTTTAGGATTTGTTTCTAAACTCATTTCTTAGAACACCTTTCATAAGATTGTATACTATATAGTATGCATATAAGCTTATTAATATTTACTTTCAGAAATGACAGTTTGCAGCAGACAGGGCTGCTGACAAACAACAGCTGGAAATGTGATTCCTGATTGTGACTGCTTCCCTCAGACCTGCTCCTGTCCCAGCTCTGGAACTTGTTGACCTTAACCTTCAAGTTTTCAACTTTGCACATCAGCACTTCCTGCTCATGGTTTCAATTTGGCATCAGTGGATTCCCTACGTTGACTGCTAAGCTTTAATTCTTGCAAGAGAATTATAATGCTTTTTCTCATTTTCTCAACTAATTTTTCCCAAAATTCAAGATTGGGGAAAATACATTAATTTTCCAACAAATGCCTGGAAGAAATTCCTACATGAAAACAGTAGATAAATGATTACAGTTTCAGGTTGGGCATGGTGGCACACACCTGTAATCTCAGCTACTTGGGAGGCTGAGACAGGAGGATTGCTTGAGCCTGGGTGATTGAGACCAGCCTGAACAATATAGCAAGACTCTGTCTCAAAAGAAGAAAAAAAAATTTCTTTTTCAAAGAGGTCAAAAGACAACCAAAGTTTCATAAACTATGGAAGATGTTTGCTTTTATTGCATTAAAGCTCAACATAATGTGCTGAATGGGAAGAAGACAAGGAAGGGAGAGGACAGGAGGGCAGGAGTGAGAAAGAGCAAGAGACTGACAATAAGCAAAAGTCCTTCCTGTGATTCCATGCAGTTCAACAGCCTCTGAGGAAACAAAGATGAACATAAGACGGTCCCTGCCTTTAAGGAGCTCCCAATCCAGATACGATAAAAGTTTATATGCAAGTAGTTATGACAAAATGCATAAGCTGCTGTGATGTCATGATGAGGTCATAATGAGGTCATTTCAGTGGGATCACAGATGAGGAAACAAACCCTGAAGGAACTAAAAAATTCTATTAGCTTCCACAGCTGACTTTTTATTCTTTTCTAAATTAGAGCATTTGTCGTTGTCTTATTCACCCACCCTCTGTGAGTGTACAATATCACAACAGCATTCCCAGGATGGCTCTTGAAAAGTCCTTCCAAGAGCCAAGATCCAGAGATAACAACATTTAAAACAGCAAGAGCCTCTTTGCCATTTACTCTTCTATTATACATTTCACTGTGTAGCTCTATTTGTTGTCTTTCCAGTTAGAAGCTTCTTCCTTTCCAGTTAGAAGCTTCTTCTTTTTAGGCAGACAAGAACACTGAGCAAGGCTGTCACTGCTATACCAGGTGTGCCACAGCAGCCCTTAAGTCCATCCTTTGAGAACTGTTCTAAGTGGCCATCATTCCCAAGCCTCAGCATATTTTGAGCTCACTATATTCATAACAATTTTCCTACAATTTTCTGCTACAATTTTATGTTTACCTTTTATTTAGGATGTCCTCACTAATTTTTGACATGCAACCTTTAAAAATATCTGAGGAGACCTGTAAGCCATCATATTGTCCCTCTGACACCCCACCACACATACACTTTTTCTCCTTTTGGTGTCAGTGGTGAGTGACCCCAAGAGGAGAAAAAAACTGTTTTTCTAAAAGTAATGTATTCAAAGTGTCTTGCAGAGCAATTAGCTTATAGTAAAAATTCAATTATCACTGCTACTGCTGTTAAGAATTTCTACCTCATTTTAGGTTTGGTTTATTTTGAGTCTTGGCCATGGAATTTCAACTTGATTTTCTCTGAATTTTTTGAAGTATTCTTTTGAGAAGTCTGGTATCAGGTCTGACCAAGTCACCTTTCCCTTTGTACCTATAACAAACTTCTATTATATCATGATCATCTTTGTCCCAAATTCCCTAACACTGTTCTTTTATCAACAGGTCTTTCTTTTTGGTTTAAATAAATCCAGACCAGCAGTTTCTCAAAATGTTTTCTTATAAATGTTTTCTTATAATTCATTGTCAGCCAGGAAAATTAACCACATACCAACACCTCTGTTTTTAATAGGAGACTTCTAGTAATGTCCAAAAGTTAAAAAAATAAAAAATCTGCCACCTTTTTGTATCCGTGTCTTGCCTGTTTACTAGTTTTGTAATCTGCATCATGAAAACTTCATTCATATTCTGCATCTGACCAGGCATGCTGTAATCCATTCCACAATAATGCCAGGTCTATTCCTCCCTCTTTATATCCTTCCAGAAATCTGTCCACCATTTATCACACCTTTAATGTATTAAAAAATAGATTTCTTACTATGCCCTTACATTCCATGTTGTTATGGAGTATAACATGTTGAATAAGACAGATATACTTCCCACTGTTATATTACATTCCTAAATTTCTACCAATTAAGTCTCAATATTACAAGAAAGTTTGCTCCAAATTAAATTTTCAATTTGTTTGTCATTGGCCAACTGAGGTCATAATTTTCAACCCTATCTTCCTAATCACTTGCACATTCACTGTCATTGTTCTTCTACCTACAGACATCTGTTGTATTCCATAATAGTTCGAACATACAGCTCTTCATTATTCCAGGAATTTATTTCTCCTCCCTACAAGTTTCAGTATAATTTTACTGAACAGAACATCACCTCTTCTGACAACCACAGTCTCCAATTTTCATAGTACGCACATCATCTTTGCCAAATCATGGTCCAAAAAAATCCATTCTTCAAGAAAGAAATGTTTGAGATAGCATGAAAATCAAAGTCATAAAAAGCAAAATCTGAACTGATTGAAATGTTTAAAATAACACTCCAGTTTTCTGTGACTCAGTTTCATATTTGTAGTCATTTCAGGAACCGGATATGGAAATGGCATTTATCTATGGCTATGTAATTTACCACATAAATTTAAAGTTATTAGTAATTAGTGGGATGGAGTTTTGCCAATTTTTTACCATTGTATCCTTGCTACTGTTTCAGAAATTACCTACCAACTAAGTATGTTAAAGCTCTGTACCATGAAAACACAACCCCCACAATGTGTCCTTCATCCTGGTTTTTGGGACAGAACTTTATGTCTTTGCTGGTACATAGAAGCATACCTCATTGTTTCAGGGACATTTAGATCCCACTCCCAAAGGTCTGGTTTCATACTCAAGATGCAACAAATGATTTAGCTTCAGGAATTAAAACACTGTTTTATTTAAAACACTCCCCCTCACCAATCTATTCGTGATAATTTTAAATCTCCAATCTTCACAGAAACATTTTTCTCTCCCCATTTCCTTCTTGCATCACCTCTCCCACCTTATTTCAAATGACTTCACCTCCTTTAATAACCCGTACCATCAACAATAGTCCCCAAATCTTTACCTTCTACCCAGTACATATTTAGAGCTCTTATAATTGTCACAGCTTCAGGAAGAAAAATCTAGCTCAATTACTCTAAGTGATCATTTCCTGCGCCACTTATCTATGGCTACATAATTATCCTGAAACTTGGTGGCATGAAATAACCATTTATTATTTCTGGTGATTCTTTGAGTCAACTGAGCAGTTCCTGCTGGTCTCACCTAGTCACAGTCAGATGGGATGTGAAATGCTAAAAGTGGTACAGTAGGTAGCTAGTTAGATATGAGCAGGGCAGGAGAGGGCTCCCTGACACACACACCAGGAGCATTGGGCGACCATGAGGCAGTTGCTAACTGTCTCTCTAAAGTAACAATTTGTCACAGCTGGTGCCAGGGAAAGGCAGTCTCTAATAGAAAATACCTGAGACTGGTAATCAGCAGCTTCCCAATAAGATCTCAGGAGTGGGGAGAAGTAACGCAAGACTCCAGAAGCATGCCAACATATAAAACCCCAAGTCAAGAGGCCAAGCCTTGCACTTGGCCTCTCACGTCACCCACTCGGCCCTCTTCCAAGTGTAATTTTCTTCCTTTCATTACTGCTCTAAAGCTTCTTAATAAACTTTCACTCCTGCTCCAAAACTGCCCCGGTCTCTCCTTCTGCCTTATGCCCCTCAGTCAAATTCTTTTTTCTGAGGAGGCAAGAATTGAAGTTGCTGCAGACCCATGCGGATAACTTCCTCTGCTAACAAAAGCAGAGGCATATCCAGCATGGGTCAGCAGGAGCAGTCCACATAAGGCACAGGCAAAAATAGGGTGCATCATCTGTAAATTTTAAAGCAACGATTTAAATGACAAGAAGTCAGCCTACCTTTGATTATCACCATGTGCCAGCAATTCCAAACAGTGTCAGTTGTAAACTACTCTTCCCTGGAAAAAAAGAAAAAAAATGTGTTGGTCTAATTTCTATACAAATATTGGAGCTCTTGAGTTTTAATAACATTTACAGAAGCTTCAAAATAGCCCATTTTATTACTTATCTTTTAATAAACATTGTATTCTACATAGAAGTTAATTTGGAGAACTCACAGTTACACAGTCGCCCCCCAACCCCCAGCCCCCACAGTGTCTGTTACATATGTTTAAGAATAGTTTCATAGTGACTAGGAATTGTTCAAGCTTTCTTTGTGAGCAGTTTACATCCCTATTTCTGTGGTACTACATATTCTTGTGTTTAATCAGTAGATTTGAAATTAGCAGTGATAAAATCACAGAATAGAAGGAACTCAAATTGTGTTTCCTCGTCTTTACAATCATTCTTACTCTTCGGAATTTCTGTGCAAAAAATTTTTTTAAACTGAGGCAAGGTGAAAACTGAAGTATATTTTTTGTTGAATAAATTTTTATTTCATCTATGAAATATTTTGCTCAATATGAATATCTTTGAAATTGACATTTATTCGTTATCTTACTTGCCAACTGTTTGCTTTAAAACTAAGAAACATTAAGAAAATTATAATTTTTTATAGTTGAATATAATTTTGCCATAGGGAAAAAGGTGGTGTTAAAATGATCTACTCTGAGTGTCCAAAACTTGAGTACACTATTAGGTAGAGAATCTAAGATGCACTCACTCATATATCTGGAGTTGGTGCTTGTTGGCAGGGATGCCTGGAATCTTCTCCACAAAACTGCTTCTCCTCCAGGAGGCTAGACCAGCTGCCTCACAAGATGATCTCAGGGCAATGTTCCTAGAAGGTGAAGCTGGAAGCTGCAGGTCTTGTAAGACTTACTAGCAAAAGTTGCACAATTTCTCTTTCCCCATATTCATCGGTTAAAGCAAGTGGTAAGATCAGCTCAGACTCAAAGGGTGAGAAAATAAACTTCACCTCTGGGTAGCAAGGGCTACGAGTTTTAGTAATATATTTATAAAAGCTTGCCCCACGGGGTCCTTTGTAATACAATCTTAAAACTATCTACATAAATTGCTGGGGAAACCTAATTTATTTCTTGTTACCTAGAAGCTGTTAGGTTCCCAACATGGTAGGAGCTCCTGGAATTGCTGCCTTTAAGTCCGTCTGGCCATCCCATCACTCCTTTGGGTAATTACTGCTAATTACCTCTAGGTGTTAGCAATTAATATAGATTGACCCCAGCTGGGTACCCTGAGGCTTTGGTATCATACAGTCTTTTACCCTTATAGACCAGATATTTCAAAATCTCTTGCTTGCCTCTTCAAGGTCTTTTGTCATTCTTTTCAGAGCTACATTCTAAACTTAGCTAGGGCAATTAGGGTATGTCTGTAAGATCTCCCATGGGGGAGGATTATTTTTTGCAGCAGTTTAGTTTGTCAGTAAGAGAATATGAACTTAATAAGAATTTGATTTGATTGTGGACCAAATCTGACCAAAGCTAGAAGGAATGCCTTTCCTCTTCTTAAAGCCTTTGATTTTGATCCATTTTATAGCATACCTCCTTTTAACTTTTATTATGCTTACGTGTGCAATGGACACGTTTGAAGTCCTGGTAGACTTTAAACACTCTGAGAACAGGGTTGATGTTTTCTTCTCCCTTGTATCTCCCACAATATCTTGGGCAGTTCCATAAACAGTGAGTCCTAATAAATATCTATTGATGAATAAATGAATGCATAGAAACTTTCCCTGTGTATTAGTAGTCGTAATACAACAACGAATTTCAAAATGGGTATAACCCTTACTCCCCTACACCAGAGAGAGGAAGATATCAGAATTGAAGATCAGCTAACCAGGGGAAACAATAATTAAATTTGTGGACTTTGATTCTGTATTTCTATTCTTGGGGCTAATTTTTAATCTGCTTAAATGTAAGCTTCTCCATAAAAGAAAATCATTGTTCCAAGTTTCTTGAGGTGTAAAGGGAAAAACACAAAACACACATGTTCATTTCCTGAAAGTTCCAATAGAGGCACCAGCGTAGAGAAGGCTTCCTCCACCACCATCCTCCGGACCGTGGCAATGCTCATCTTTGTTCTCTTAGCCTTGTTGCCTTTTCATTTCCTTCAGCTGTGTATGTCTCCAAGTCTTTTGTCTGCTGCCCGGAGAATGAGTATTATCTGAAAGAATAAATGACTGCTTGAGGAAATGAAAGTGTACAATCAATCTTTTTACAAATCTGTCTAATGGTTATTTGCAAAAGAAGTGAAAATGCTGAAACACTTTTGGTTTTTAAGGACACAGTAAGTAGAAAATATGCCTAAGGATCCAAATAAGTATTGGTCTGACCACAGTGAGTTAATGACATAACTGTACTTCTTCATTTAAGATTTCCTTTAATTGTTGCTAACTTTATTTGTTAGTATTACTTTAATCTGTGATTCTTGTACTTTAGCTAACACCAGAGTTGCCTGCAGGGCTTGTCAAAATACAGATTACTGCTGGGCCCCACTTGCAGAATTTCTGATTTGGGCCTGGGGTGGGGCTCAAAAATGTGCATTTGAAATAAATTCCTGGGTAATATTGATGTTTCTGGTCCAGAGACCACACTTTCTCACAGTGTGATTCTCACATCTGACTGAAACGATCTTTATTCATATATGGCTCCCCACCCACACGTTCCTAACTCTAACACCTCCTTAAAATATTTCATGAAATTCTAGGTAATTCATCCCCTGGTAAAATACTTAATACCATAGTCGTTTATAGTTGAATTCCATTTATCATTAACAAATGTACAACTAAAAATAAATAAATGTAAATCAGAAGCGATTCAGTGGATAATGTCACATGATCAAAATGTAAAATTGTTTCAAACCATAGGCCTTTTTACCAAATCAATAACTCAAAATGATTTACTATGTATATTTAATACAAATCAGTCCACTTCAATAAATAGAATTAAATTATGCCTTTTCAGATAAGCAAAAATATCGTATAGCATTATTGTATCTAAAGTGATTTCACCTTCGGGGTAGGGGCAGAGAAGGCACCAGGATCTCCGAAGGGAGAATATCTAAGTCAGTAATATCCACCTGGTCCTGGATAAGGGCCAGAGATAAAAGATGAAAGAAAATTATAAGAATAGAGGAAGCTGCCGGGCTAAGGTTTTGCTCATATTGAAGAGAAATAGTCAAAACAGATGGAGTCTCCATGATGACCTAGAAAGTCTAGCCCCCCATCTGTGGTCCTCGAACCCACATCTTTACTCCTTCAACTTCTGCAGCTTCCAAATTAGACACACACATGTGTTCCCTCCAGTAGGCCCCTCTAGGTTGAATTCCCTCTTTCTTTCACAATGCACACAGGCTTTTAACAAATGCTTATTGAATGACTAAATGAATGAATGAGAAGGCAGTAGAAATAAAGAAAAAGTTATAAACTTAGAAGAGGAGTGGAAACTGATTTTTGCTCTGGAGTGGAGCAGGGATGTTTTGACTGAGAATGTTCTTCATATGTGTAGAGTCAGAGGGAGGTGACCTGCAGGCAGGGCTGCCATGCAGAGCTGTGTACAGGGTTTCATTAGAAAGCTCAATGTAGATTACAATGTTGATGCTAAGCCCAATAGTTGGGGGGAGCACCACCTGCCTCATTGAATGCAGAGGTCTACAGAGGACCCCTATAGTGTAGGGGTTAGAAATTAGGACTTTGGGTAAAATAAATTCTAATTGGTTCTAACTTGTGTGATATGCAGATTTAACCTCTCTCAACCACCATTTACTCATCTGTTGTTGAGTGTTAGGTAGGACTGCTCCTGCTTTCGGCAAAATGCCTAGAATACATCTTTCTCAACTGGTTTGACCTCTTCTCTCCATACCTTGACCCGCTTCTCATTTCAGGCAACTATGGGAATAAGAACTCCAGTTTGTTATTTCTAGTCCTGGAACTCACCCCTGTCAAACTAATCTAGTGTCTCCCAAACTCTCTCCTGCTGTGACACATTTGATAATTTAGGCCTCTCGTATCACAAAGAAATATCTAAGGTCGTAGTGTGCTGGTAAATATTGAACAACGAGCTCCCTGGAGGGGAAAAAAAAAAGCCCTGATTTGTAGTATTCACCAATATCTATGGTGTAAATGCTCCCACTGTGCCAATTCAAAGCTACCAAAAACAAAATCACAGAACAGAGTTCAAAAGAAAACTATAATCAGCTTTGGTGATCCTTAACTGGCTCCAGCACAGCAGTACGAGATGATTTAGGGGCATCCACCACTCCCACCATTCACTCCTTTCTTGTTCCCTGTTTTTTCTGTCTTTTCTTCCTTTCTATGATTGTCTTCCACAACTTCTTTTCCTTTCCCCATGTGTCTGTCAATTCTTGGGACTATTGACTACTCAGAAACCCCACCAACTTTTCTAAGCCCTGCTCAAGTCCCAAGTAATAAAATTTGATCTCTACAAATAATACACACCACCAAGATAGTACTGAACTATTACCACTGAATGAGTTAAGAGTTTATTCTGTGGCCTCATATAAAACTTGCTAGGTATTAAAACCAAAGAATCTCTGGCCATGAAGTTGGTATGTAAAATGAGCCAATAATTGCCACTCAATGCCTTTTATTTGCACAAAGGGATTATAAAATTTTCCTGATAAAGCAGGAGAAAGCAGTAATGGTAGAGCAAAGAGACCTGGGATGAAATTAGCTCTTCAAGCCCCAGGCTGGGATTAAATTTTCATTGTAAAATTTTTTATGCATATTCCATCCCTTTGAATTCTAAATGAATTAGAAGTGTCTCCTATAGATAGGATTATTTCTGGGACAGATATCAGGCCATACCACATTCTAAAGGATTATTCCTCCCACCAAATATAACCTCTTCTCAGCACTCCTCCAAAAGTCTTTGTAATTGGATCCATTACCCAGAATCTTCTACCTCTACTCTGCCCCAGCCACTCCTGTTGAAAAGAAGAGTAGAATACATAAGCCTATCAAGTTAAATGAGTCTTTGCCAAAGTGTGGGCAGCCCGGGCCTCTGAGAGTCACACTACATAAAGGGCATTGTGGGATAGGTTCAGATTCAAGGCCTCCTTTCAACTGCTTAAGAATTGATAATCAAGTATATTCAAGAGAGAACAGAGTGCTCCATAGCTGCAGACCAGTAATAACGCTCTTTGGAGAAGATTGTTGAGATGCATTTGTAAGTTTTCTGCATGCTTTCAGAGACAAGGAAATATGCTTAATATGGCGCTCATCTTTCTCTTAGATATGAATTGTATAATTCAATCTCTGGAGTCTAATACAGAACAATTGTTTCATATTAGTGCAGCTACTTTATATGCTGTATGCTTTAAATGTTCACCACTCTCTTTGGGTGCACTCAGCTCCTAATAAGAATGCTTTGAAGAGGCATCGTTACAAGAACAACCTTGGATTTAAATTTTGGGATGAGTAGTAAATCAAGGTGTGGAGCCATCTTTTCAAAAAGCCACTAAAATCTAAGGGAGGCCACATGAAATGTTCTGTTTCAAAATAGTTTTGCTTTGTGTAATATATGTTCCCCATTTTCCTTACTCTATTTCCATTATTGAATTTTTTAAATTTAATTGGAATTGTCCTATAGACTTGCTACCTAATTTTAAAAATGGTAAATAAGATGATTACTTTGCAGATGCTGTTTGCTTTAAAAATATATGCAATAAAGTATAATCTTACAGAACAATTAGAAAGTAATTATTTGCATTAGAGAAAGAACCATTCCTTAACAAATAGCTTCATTCATTTAAAAAAAATACTGTATTTTGACAGTGTAGTTCAACTGTTATTGATTTATGACAATTGAAAAGAAGAAAAGAATCCAGGGAAGTAAAACTTAAAAAATATACAAAAGCTAAATGAAGGATTTGGGGCTGAGAATAATAAATGCTACTAACAGCTGACTCAAATACCAATAATGACATTACAGCCAAAAGTTTATCTATTGCTTACCTAGAGCTTTTAGCCAGAGTCACTGATGCTTGTTCCTGAGACTGGATTAAAGTATACCAAGAAGATCAGTTGGCCTGCCAATGAGGAATGGAAAAATTTTCTAGCCTTAGGCAAATGCACAGATTTTTCGAGTAATACCTGAGCCTCTTGGCTGGGATTTTGATATTCTGTCCAGACCCAATTCCACTAACTTCAGACAGTGGTCAAGACACAATCTTGAAAAGACTAACTGGGCCCAACCATAGCCTCTCCATTCTCCTGAATTCTAGACTCCTGTTGCCATGCCCCACCTGGCACACTGGACCTACTTTTCAAGAATGAAAGAAAAAACAAAGTTGAAAACAGACAAAAGTAACAATGACACCCCAAGAGGAGGGTCCCCCATGCTGCATGTGCCATTCACCTGTTCTCTTACATTACTCACCCAACGTCTCCACAGGCAAGTGGAAGGTAGAAACTGCCTAACAGACCTCTTCATTCTCCAACTTTCTTGCTTCCATCATTCAATGATCTTGTAAAATCCATGGAGCCCACAACCAAAGAAGCAGTAGGTGATGGCTTTTGAGTGGACAAGTTTCAAGACAGTGTGTTTCATAATACTGAACATCAAGACATTAACCTCAACAACACAATAAGAAGCAATAGCAAAAACAGTTCTATGAGTGTCTAATACTCCTCTGTCTATAGGACTCAAAAAGTAGCATGGACCTCAATGTACAAAAGAAACAGGAATTCTCTTCACTTTATGGGAAAAGAAAGAGAACCCAGTGACAGAGTGAAGACTGCTTTAGTCCCAGCTCTCCTCTGAAATTTATTACCTCTCAGTGTTAATTCTGGAGAGGAAAGTGATGTACAAAAGAAAAATGTCCAAACTTGAGAAGTTATCTCATGCCTAGGGAGGCACTGGAGTATGGAAGAAAGAGCATTGGCCTAAGAGGCAAAAGAACTAGGCTCTGCCATTGGCCCTATGACTTCTATAAACTATGTAAACGGCCAAGTGTTTGTTTCCTCATCTGTACACTAGGAATAATAATAAATGCTCCTACCTCCAGGGGCTTCCCAGGAGGGTCAAGTGGGAAAATGAGTGGGACCGGTTTGTCTGACATAGAGCCCTAGTGAGAGAAGCCACCACTGCATAAACCCTGCTTAATTTCATCCCTTATGTCATATTCTTTGATCTCCCTAGAAACTTTCCATTTCAGTCCAACTTTGTTATTTGTTTAAACAGCAAGCCGAAACATCACCTTTACCCCTTCCAGAGGTTGCCCAAAGCATGAGGAGAAAAATCAGACCTATCAGCTAAGCTGCAATGTTCCCAAAGACATGATGAAATGCTGGGGCATGAGGTAAGGCTAACACCATCCTAAAATTGGACCAGAGATGAGATAATACATGCAAAAGAGCTCTGAAACCATAAAGCACTAAATCGCTGTGTGTTGTTACTGTTAATGAGGAGGGGTTGGGTTTGGGTGACAGTATTTCATGGCTGGGCCCAAGGTCGCACAGTCAGACCTCAGACATTGCATAGACAGTTGCTGTTCTGACTGAAGAACCAATGCCCTCATCATCCTTGTCTCAGTATAGACCCTGAACATTACTCATCCTGCTTCATTATTCTTATTTTAAGGCTTTTGTTGATTTCTGAGTAGAGTTTAAATGAGGTTTTCTTTCACATCTACTTAGAAACACTGGAAAACAACATACCCGTACCCTTGACGTGTGTCATTTTGTGTATGAGATGTCTTTAAAATCCTTGGGCTTCATTGAACTAAATTTCGAAGACTAACGTGCAAGTTGGAGGTCAACTCCCTCTTGAGAGGAAATAAAAGGAAGATACATAGCTTGGTCATCGTGGCTGTTGGACAAGATGCTAAAGCAGCCACAGCCACCAAGCTAGTGGGTACTGGTGTACTCTCTGTACTTTTTAAATGAGATGGTTTTAAAATGCACCACAACATTGACCTTCTAAACAAAAGGCACTGCCTCTAACTTCAGTTTCCTTTTCCTGGCATCTTCTTATTTTTTACCCCAGAAATAACAGAACCTTAACATACTTCTCCAATCTTCCCCCCAGTCCCCCTCACACTTGCCAAACCAATATCCTTGAACCAGAGTTCTTAACCATAGACTAAAGATTTAAGAATATACAAATTCAATGGGAGGCCAAGGCGGGCAGATCATGAGGTCAGGAGATCGAGACTATCCTGGCTAACATGGTGAAACCCCGTTTCTACTAAAAATACAAAAAATTAGCTGGGTGTGGTGGCGGGTACCTGTAGTCCCAGCTACTCGGGAGGCTGAGGCAGCAGAATGGCATGAACCCGGGAGACGGAGCTTGCAGTGAGCTGAGATCACGCCACTGCATTCCAGCCCGGGCGACAGAGTGACTCCACCTCAAAAAAAAAAAAAAATACACAAATTCAAAACAAACTACTTTAGGTGAATAAAGCACTGAGATATTAACAACTCATCCCATTATTTGTCTTCATTTATGCTGAAAGCACAAAAACAGCCAGAATATTTGTTTATTTATAAAGATGACAACCACTGGTTCCAGTGGGTCTCTGTAACAAATGTGTTGCTCAGCATTGAGTGTCAGACCTGAATAATAAAGGCCTAAGTTCAAAGCATCATGGAATTTGAAGAGACATTAAAGGTCATATCATCCAATCTCAACAGTTTACAGATAAAGAAGCTGAGATCCAGGGGAGGGAATGCCTTGCCTGTGGCCACACTGCTGGTTAATGGTCTCATCTTTCTGGTACACCACTCTGCATTACACCATGCTGAAGGTTCTCCTTGACCCTCTAAAAGCAAGCCTTATTCTCGATCCAGGACAATAACATCTTTGCTCCACGTATTGAAATCATTAGTATAAATTTTAAAATAGGTTATCCTATTCATCTATCCTTATATATAGGTCTTTGGAGCACGCTGCCATCAAAACTTCAAGGATTTGTGGATAGAAGATAGCACAAGGTCATGTGAAATTAAAATATATATATTTATTTTAATTATGAAAATTATTTGTAATTAATATTAGGCAAATAGCAAAATGCAGTAAAGTACCAAGGATTTGGAGAGGGGATCATTACTCCCCCACTGTTAAGTCACAGCATGGTAAATAGGCTATTCGGAAACGAAAATGCTCATAAATATATATATGCCATCCTGAGTACCCCTTCATTTCAATAACACTAATTGCCCTTTTTTTCCTTGCTGCTCCTAGCCATATTTCTTGGAAAACAACAGCTGTGTTTATTCAAATAGCAGCATACTGATGACTTGATGATAGGGTAATCTGCTGGAATTCCAAGTGTGACAGTCCCAGAGATAACTTCTCGGCACACCAGAAAAGTATCCTTTGCATAGTACAAAGCTTTGGAAAGGAATCCCCACTTTGTTAGCACATGGGATTGGATGTTCTTTATTTCAACTGGTTGCGACATTGAATTTCTTCCAACAAGTATCATATTTTCTGGTTCTTGCAGAATAATCTTCCCATACATCATTGTCACAAAGTAAATCTGCAACATGAACATTTTCACTCCAATGGCTTCTAAGCAAAGGGATTAAACAGTGCCTTGAATTACAATAAAAACAGCCACAAGATTCAGTTCAAAATCAGAGCAATAAATTCCACTTGTTGTTATTTTCTCTGAATCAATGGACGCTGGATGGGATAATAATAGCTTAAGAAGCCATTTACTAGAAAAACAAAACAATACAAACAAACAAACGAGACCCAAATATCCCTGGGAATGTAATTAATTAAAGAAGAAGTTTAATTTCCAAGGGTACCAAGGTTAAATTTCTACAAGAAGTTATCATCTTTATTGATGATGACCACTCAAGACATATTTCTACTCAATATAAGATTTATAAGGAGTATTTAGACATAAAATAAGTTCAAAAAAGCTAATCAATGTTTTAAAGTAATAAAGTAGTTAGTCTCTTTTAATAATAATCTTTATAACTTGTGAAGTTTTAAATTTTATTATTGAGTCTTGATGTTTATCAAGAACTTAATTCTTTTCTTCAGGAGGCATTGTCAAATCACCTTGAAAGAACACACTTGTATTGCTGATTACCTTAAAAATAACAATAAGAAGTACATATATAAAGCAATATGTTTCAGGTACTCTTTCATGTTCTTGAATACATTAGCTCTTTAAATGAAGGGGTCCTTTTTTTCAGATGGAAAACCTGAAGCACAGAAACCCTGTCACTTGTCCAAGCTCACCCAGCTAGTAAGCAGTGGTCAAGATCCCAGCCCATGCTTCTAATTCTACAGTTCATGTTCTTCACATGGACACTATACTTCTTTCAAACTAAGTATAACATGCAAGAAAAAATCATATATGACTTAAAAGCAAAATTTTATAGATATTAATAATTCCTTCATATTAAAGGGCATTTATATAATATTTCACCAAAAAGGAGCCTATGGAAGGAGACTGGACTTAGAAGTCCCGCTAAGTCAGAAAATTTTTAATGCACATATACACCTGGTGCACAAGACTGAAAATCAATTGAGGAAGCTCATCTCCTCAATATATCAAGAAATTTGGACATTTTTCAAAAAGACAATAGTCTTTTCCCGGGAAACTCTCTGTTTCCCGGAGAGAGGAAAGGGAAATACGTTTCTTAAAAAGTCTGTTCAGGTTGGGTGAGACTTTAGAAGAGCTTTCTGTCTGCCAAAATGGGTTCCCAAAAAGGTTTATAAAAATTGTTCTTCTAGAAGTTATGTTTGTATTTTGTTTTGTCTGATGTTGGTTTTTAATACAGTAGAATGCTACAGAACTAGAATGCTTGGTGAATTCCTAAAAAGAGACTAATGGTCTCTATCATTTCATGAAGGCAATTCTGTCTTTGGAATAGGGTAAGAACTTAATTCAGCAGATAACAAAGTCACACTGTTTTTTCACTCACTCAGGATAGCTTTTGGAATATTCACAATGCCACTAAACAAATTCCAAACCTCTTTATGTACCATCTTCCCCTTTCCTGCACGGATTGTATCTTCACTGTAGATTTCAGGTGGAAGTTTCCAAAACGAGAATGGCAATTTCAGACTAAAATGGCTAACACACGTGACAGAACCTCTCCTAAATTTTCATGAAAATTGCTAAGTGTCTATATGTGTGTTTCTATATCAATATGTACATAAATGTATGTGCATGTCCATGAGTATCTGTGTGTTTGTCAGAGATTTTGTGTGTGTATATGTGTGTCAAATGAAAATGAAGGTAGGCATAGGGAAAAAAAGTAGAAATTTAGTCTCAAAATTTACAGAGGATCCCAAGGGGAAAAAAAAGAATAAAAAGAATTGGAGCAATAAGTAAAGATATAACTAAAGAAAACATTCCAGGCTTTTAAAAATGTCCTAAATACATGCATATAAATAATTCAATATGTTCCAGAAAAAAAATAAGTAAAAAAAATCTATATCTAGAGGAATCCTTGGACAGTGTTTTTCAAGAATAAATAAGTTTCTTATAAACATTTAGAAAAAATGTATTCTACACTTAAAGGAACAAAATTAAAGTTAGCCTCAGACTTCTACTTTGTAAATTAAATTGCAGAAGACAAGGAAGATGCATACAGAATTTTGAAAGTAAATTTAATATCTAGAGTAATCTATTTGAAATGCATAATCGTATCTCCATATTAAAACTTCTCAAGGATTTTCATTGCCCTTATAACAATGTACCAAATTCCAACAGTAATTCACATGGCCATCCACCATCCACAACTGAGTTTTTACCCACTCTTTATAGGATTTATATGTCCCACTCCTCTTCACTTTCAGTGTTTTAAGTATACTGGTCCTCTTTCAGCCTCTCAAATTTGCCATCTGCTCCTACCTCAATGCGTCATTCATGGAGTTTCTGTTACTCAGAATATTCTTCCTCCTACTCTGCATTTCTGCTAAAATTTCAGGTCTCAGTCTAATGCAATTTTTTTAAAGTAAAAACGTTCGCTGATCCTCAAACTAGGTTGTTGTGTTGTTCCTTCTGAATTACATACCAATATAATCACCCTTATCTCTCCTTTTTGTCTTCATATCCTTTACGTTTTAAATATCTGCTACCTAGTAAATTATAAGCTCCAAGAGGGCATGGGCCATATCTGTCCTATTAACCCTTATAAGTCTAATATTTAACATTGTGCCAGGTACATAGAGGATGTTCAATAAATAATTGTTACAGGAATGAACATATTAATGAATGAAACACACAAATATTCTTAAACATTCAAGAGCTTGGAAAATACATTACCCATATGCCATTCTTTAAGAGTATGTGTGTATATGGGTGCACATTTCAGCCACTCAAAATATCAATCAAATTAAGAGCTCAGAAATGAAAACAACGTGCTGTAAAATTACCAGTGGTGAGGACTGAGATCAGTGAAATATGCATGTGCCTACAGAAGTATTGAAAACATAACACATTAAAGGCGAATAAATAAAATCCAATTTGAAGTTAGCTAAAAATTATCAGAAATATCTATTAGTTATGGCATTATGGCTGATTTTTATTTTTTCCCATGTTCTTTTATATTTACCAAATAGTCTATAAAAATATGTAATATTTTTATAATTGAAGAATTACATATTTTTCTATAGAAGAATATACAGTGAAAATTGGGGACTAAGCACAGTAGTGCATACCTGTAATCCCAGCACTTTGGGAGGCTGAGATAAGAGGATTGCTTGAGCCCAGGAGTTACAGACCAGCCTGATCAACATAGTGAGACCCTTTCTCTATGCAATTTAAGTAAAATAAAATTTTTAAGTAAAAAGAAATTAGAAAAAAAGAAAACTTGGGGGAGGGGAAGACAGTTAATAAAATGGTCAGTGCATTGTCTTTGTCAGTGATAGGTTTAAGGACATGGCCCTTTGACCCAATTTTGACCAACAGAATACAAATAAAAATCTGCTGAGAGGGAGCGTTTCTGGAAAATATTTTCCTTCTTGATGAAAAAGGGGGGAAATGGAAAAAAAAATCTTTGCTTCTTTCTTTGTCAATTTTAGATATGGCTATGTAAAAAAATTATCCCACTACAAAACATCTGAAAATTGCTCATCTACTATACTGCCAGAAAAAAAAAAACCTCTATTCTTCTCTCATTATAAAGATTTGTTTATTTTTATAACATTATTTGGAATTTTTAAAGATAATTTAAGCTTTTGTTTTAGATTGCAGATTTGTTACATGGGTATATTCTATAACACTGAGGCTTGGGGTACAACTGGTCCTGTCACCAGGTACTAAGCATAGTACCCACTAGGTAGTTTTTCAGCCCTCACTCTTCTCCCTCCCTCTCTGTTCTGGTAGTCCCCAGTACTTATTGTCCCTATCTTTATATCAATGTGTACCCAGTGTTTGGCTCCTGCTTATAAGTGAGACTAGGCAGTATTTGGGTTTCTATTTCTGTGTGAATTTGCTTAGGATAATGGCCTCCAGGTGCATCCTGTTACTGCAAAGGACATAATTTCATGTTTTATGGCTGCACAGTATTCCATGATATGTATGTACCACATTTCCTTTATCCAGTCCTTCACTTATGGGCATCTAGATTGACTCCATATATTTGCTATTGTGAATAGTGCTGTGATGAACATACAACTGTATGTGTCTTTTTGGTAGAACAATTTATTTTCCTTTGGGTATATACTAAGTAATGAGGTTGCTAGATTGAATGGTAGTTCTGTTTTAAGTTATTTGAGAGATCTCCAACTTGCTTTCCACAGTGGCTGACCTAATGTCTATTCCCACCAACGGTGTACAAGCATTTAAGATTTGGGAATTTAAAATCTTATTTTCAATCTACTCTTGTCTTACCTTAACTTTTATAAGATGCTCTTTAGTATGATGACTCCTACTGTTCTTTACACCTGAAAGGATTTAACCAGTTTTTATCCTGTGAATTTCAGTTTTTCAAGACCAATTCAGATATAATCTTCATTATAAATTATCTTTAACATTTTGAGAAATAAATTCTTTCGGATTTATTTTTTGTTAATCAGCCAACTAATTTCATTAGAAAACTCTTGCAAAGTATTAAGGAACAGGTAGTCCTATGTGCAATAAATATTCAAGAGATACAACTAGAAAACTTATATAGATTCTGATAATATGGAATAAAGATGCATTTTCTTATTCCTCTCACTAAGTACAACTAAAAGTTCTGGACTGTAAGACAAACATTAGTGAACTAAAAAATGGAAAGAAGAAGACACACTGAATAGGACCTTCAGGACTCAAGAAACAACATGGTGATAAGTTCCCTGGGTTTTCTTTATGCCTCATATATTCCAGAGTTGGACCTAAGAAACTGACAACCTCAAAGAAGTAATAGCTGAAAATTTCCCAAATTTTGCAAGAGACATAGCCTACAGATTTAAGAAGCTAAGCAAACCCAAAGCAGGAGAAATACTATGAAATCACACTACAAAACATCATAGTCAAAATTCTATAAACAAAGACAAAGAAATCCTAAAAGTAATGAGATAGAGACAAAAGCTTACCTATATTAAAAAATAATAAATCAGAGACAATGGATTTCTTATCAAAAACTATGAAAGCCAGAAGGAAGTGGCACAGTTTTTCGAATACTGAAAGAAAACAACTATCAACCAAGAATAATGTATGCAGAGAAAATATCCTTCAGCAATAAGGGGAACTCAAGACATTCTCAGATGAAGTAAAACTAAGAGAATTTGTCTTCAGCAGACCTGTCCTAAAAGAATGGCTAAAGAAAATTCTCTTAACAGAAAATAAATGATAAAAGTAGAATCCTCGAAACAAGAAGGAAGAACTTTGTAAATAAAAATATGGATAAATGCAATATACTTTCCTTTTTAAAATTTTCCCAAATCATGTTTGACAATTGAACCAAAATTATAACACTGTCTGATATGGTTCTAAATGTATGTCAATGAAATATTTAAAACAATGCTGATGGAAGAAATCAATGATCTAAAGAACAGGAGAGATATACTGTGTTTAAGGATAAAAAGACTTTACATAGTAAAAATATTAGTTTTCCACAAATTTATATGCAAGTGTAATGCAATTCCTATTAAAATCCTTGCTCATTTTTCATAGATATAGACAAGATTATTCAAAAAATAATATGAAAAGGCTAAAGAAGTGGAATAGTTAAAAACAAATTGCAAAAGAAAAATAATGGAAGAGTAAAGAGTCTACCTGATTTTAAGACTTTTTGTCTGGCTGCAGTAGTCAAGACTGTGTGATACTAATGGAGCAATCTACACACAGATCAATAGAACAGAAGAGAGAAACCATAAAGAGATCAACACAAATATGTCCAATTGAATTTTGACAAAGAAGCAACAACCAATGGAGTCTTTTCAACAAAAGGTGCCAGAACAACTGGACATTCATAGGCAAAAATAATAGTAATCTTGTCATAAACCTTACACCTCACACTTATACAAATTTGCGTAACCTTGCACCTTACACAGATTAACTCAAAATGCATCACAGACTTAAAGGTAAATTGTACAAGTATAAAATTTGGGGGAAAAAATTACAGGAGAAAATATTTGGGCTCCAGGTCTTGGCAAAGTGTTTTTAGACTTGACAACAAAGCATATATATAAAGAGAAATATTAATAAATTAGACCATGAAAGTTAAAAACTTTTGCTCTGAGAAAAAACTATATTAAGAGAGTGAAAAGACAAACTACACACAGGAAGTAGGTATTTGTAAACCACATATCAGACAAAGAACTAGTATCTATAATAGTATATATATAAAGAACTATCAAAACTCAATAGTAAAAAAAGCTGAAATCAAACAATACAACTAGAAAATAGGCACAAATGAGTGAACAAATAGTTCACCAAAGAAAGTAAATAGATAGCAAATAAGCATATGAAATTATGTCCAATATAATTAGCTATAGGGAACATGCAAATTAAAACAACAAGACATTATTACATGCCTATCAGAGTGGCTGACATTGAAACAGAAAGTGATAGCAGTAAATACTGGCAAGGATAACAAGATACTTGATCACTCACATGCTGCTGGTGGAGTTATGAAACGGTGTAGTCACTCTACAAAACAATTTGGCAGTTTCTTTAAAAAAACTAAACATGCAACTGTTATACAACCCAGGAATTTCAGCCACTTGCATTTATAACAGAGAAATGAAAACTTATGTTCATGCAAAACCTTTATACAACTGTTCATAGTAGCTTGTTTGTAATAGCCAAAACTTGGAAACAACTCAGATGTCCTTTCACTGGGTGCATAATAATTAAAAGAACTGATGCACACCTATCATACACTGCTATTAAGCAATAAAAAGGAACAAATTATTGATAAACACAGTAACCTGTAGGAATCTCCGGAAAATTATCCTGAGTAAAAAAGCCAATCCTAGACATAGACAATGTGGTACATTTACACCATGGAATACTATGCAGACATTAAAAAGAACGAAACCATGTCTTTGCAGCAACACAGATGGAGCTGGAGGCCATAATCCTAAGTGAACTAATTTAGAAACATAAAATCAAATATCACATGTTCTCACTTATAAGTGGGAGCTGAACAATGGGTGCGCATGAACATAAAGATAAAAATAATAGACACCGGGGCTTCCAAAATGGGAGATGGTGGGAAGGGGATAAAGGTTGAAAAATTATCTTTTGGGTACAATGTTCAGTATTGGGGTGATAGGTATACTAGAAGCCCAATCTCCACCAGTATGCAATATACCCATTGATATGATTTGGCTGTGTCCCCACCAAATCTCATATTCAATTGTAATCCCCATAATCCCCATGTGCCTAGGGAGAGACCTGGTGGGAAGTGATTGGATCATGAGGGTGGTTTTTCCCCATGCTATTCTCATGATAGTGAGTTCTTACGAGATCTGGCAGTTTTATAAGGTGCTCTTCCCCCTTCACTCCTCACTCTTCTCTCTCCTGCAGCCATGTGAAGAAGATCCTTACTCTCCTTTTGCCTTCCACCATGATTGTAACTTTCCTGAGGCCTCCCCAGCCATGTGGAACTGTGATGCAATTAAACCTCTTTCCTTTATAAATTACCCAGTCTTGGGCAGTTCTTTATAGTAGTGTGTGAACAAATTAATACATCCATGTAACAACACACAAAAAAAGAAATAAAATGGGTATTTTAAAATAATTTTAAAAAGAAAAAGTCAATATCAAAAGTTTATATACTCTATGATGCCAGTTATAAAACATTCTTAAAATGACAAAGTTATAGAAATGGAGAATGGATTAGTTGTTATTAGGGATTAAGAAGGAAGTGGGGGCAAGAGGGAAGTGGGGACAGGTGGGAAGTGGGTATGGCCACAAAAGTGCAACACAAGGGATCTTTGTGGTACTGGAGATGTTCTTTACCTTGGCTGTAACAATGTCAATATACTGGTTTTTATATTGCAGTATAGTTTTGCAAAATGTTAACGTTAGAGAAACTGAAAAATGAGTGCATGGATTCATTGCACGTAAATGTACAAGTATTTCAAAATAAAAAGTTTACTTAAAAAATACATATATGTAAAACTTTCCATAATAAACCCTGATAACAATCTCTAACAAAAAGCAATGAATAAGAAAATTCATTCATGAATATAAATACAATCCTAGGTTAAAATACCATCAAATCTAATTCAAAAGAACATTAAAGTAATTCTTTCTCATCTTAGCAAAGGATTTCTTTTATGACTATGAAGAGTTTGATATTAGGATATGTAGTAAGCAGGATCATAATATTAATAAGCTTTAAAATGTTATTATCCCAGCAGTTTCCAAATAGGCATTCAACAAAATCTAACATCTATTACTTATTTAAAAAAAAAAAAAAGGTATGGCAGAGACTGTTACTATTCATCAAACATTTATTTGCTCCACAATCTTTCTCAGTCCCTTGAATCTAAGTGGTCTAGGGATATGACTAATTCTTACCAATTAAACACTGGAAGAAAGAAGAACAGGTGTGCTCTCTCCACATGCAATCTCATGCAGGTGGTTGAAAGAAAAAAAGAGCTGGTGGAGTTAGAATTTGGAAGCAGGCTGGGCCCCTGGGACACTGTTTGGGAAGAAACTATTACATACTATGACATGAGCAAGGGATAAACCTTCGTTGTATTAAACCATAGAGATTTCACAGTGCTTTTGTTATTGCAGCATAGCCTTGTGTTACCTGCAACTAATATAACTGATACAACTCTTCTGAATCAAAAGACAGAATCACATTTAATATTTTCCAAACCAAAATTCCATAGAATGATTGCTCTGAGATCTTTGGAAAAATGGTGCCCTGCATACCTGATCTCTCCTTTAATCATTTTCAGCACACATTTGCATATTAAAGGCTCTGAGAAGTCCTGTAGAAAAAAATTTGTATCTTTGTTGAATTCAACATTTCACAAACTTATTTCACAATTTCATCTTTTAAATAGTGAAACACCTATTGACCAATGAAATTGTATTCTATAGCACAAATTGAAGAAAATAAGGCACTTGTGCTCGTTTTGACAGCATATATACTAAAATTAGAATGATACAGAGAAGATTCGCATGTCCCCTGTGCAAGGTTGATATACAAATTTGTGAAACATTCCATATTTTTTTTAATGAAAAAAGAAGAAAGGGTATTTTTTTTAAAAAAGAGAAAATACAGCACTGGAAGCATTTTTATGAGATTCAAAAACAGACCAAAATAGCCACAGTTTTTGCTGACTAGAGTTTATATTCAAAGACTTTTTATCATAGCTTTATTTATAGTATAAAACAAACAACAGATAAATGCATATCTCTAGGCAGAGATATATTTAAGCAATAAATATAAAATGAATTAATAGCGTTTTAAAATAGCATTGAATTCCTGAAAAATTCATATATTGCTGGATTAAGAAAGTGGGATATAAAATTATACATATAGTATAGGGCAGGTCAACATACACATATACTCACACCCAGACAAAGAAATACACCAAAATATTAATAGTAGTTATCTCTGGAGGCCAGAATCAGAGGTAATATTTCATTTTATTCTTCATACTTTTTAATATTTTAATCAGAAATATTAAACATTATTTTTAAAAGAAATATAGAAAAAGAACAGTTTCTTACAAAATGTCTGCTTTGTCTTTCAGCTAGCACCTTATTATTAAAATGCTGATTGAGGAGTAATAATCTCTTTCAGCAAGTAACATCTCATATTCATGCAAAAATAATCTTAATACTATTTTTAATAAGAAAAATGTGCTCAAGTTGAACAGTTTTTATCAAATACTTGATGTGAGTATGTAAAGGAGAACTTGACTTCGTAAAAACTGTACTATAAAACAAAATGTTATAATCGCTGATAAGATTTGGATAGGAAAAGAGAGTCTGGGGGCTGGCAGCCAGAAGAGTGGCCTGAAGCTCCAGGGAGTTCATCCCTAGAGTGTGGCCTAGAGGCAGGTAGCAATGTTGTCCAATAGAGTCCCACCATCACCACCACCATCACCACCACCATCAATAACATACACACAGACGCATGCACACACCTTCACACTTCACAATGCAAGTTTCTTGAAAGGCCCTTTTCTTTTTTTATTCTATGCCTTCCTTAAAGTTTGCAGCTGCCCATTTCCTCCTTCCAGGATTTTCTCTATCTAAAATTCCTCTGTTAAAATAAATATCTGAGAGAGCTTTCACTGCATCATTTCCAAGACAAATTTATGGCCAGTAGTAGAATCACTAGGAGTTAACTCACTGACTACTTTATCATCTTCATTGTATAAAAGTGGTTGCCTCATGGGTTACAATGATGAATAAATGGCATTAATTAAATGTGCTATATAATTGTTCATCATTGTTAATTAAAGTTTTTCCCAACTATTTTGATTCTATGTGATCTATTATCACTAAAAAATACTATTCTGTTGTGTCTAAAAGAGTCCAATGGGAGCTTACATAGCAGAGTAAAAAAAGTTTGTCTCCATGGACAAGTTGTAAAAATATACTCGTTTTTTTTTATTTTAAATTGCCCATTGACCTTTCTAAATCCTAGACTGGAGGCGACCATTTCCATTTTTGAAAGGTCACTTATGACATTGCGAGTATGTGGTTGGTAAAGCACTTTTTTTTTAACTGTAAGTTTTGGGATACAAGTGCAGAATGTGTATGTTTGTTACATAGGTATACACGTGCCATGGTGGTGTGCTGCACCTATCAACCCATCATCTAGGTTTTAAGCCCTGCATGCATTAGCTATTTGTCCTAATGCTCTCACTTCCTTCTTCCCTCAACCCCTGACTGGCCCCAGTGTGTGCTGTTTCCCTCCCTGTGTCTATGTGTTCTCATTGTTCAAGCCGCACTTATAAGTGAGAACATGCAGTGTTTAGTTTTCCATTCCTGTATTAGTTTGTTGAGAATGATGGCTTCCAGCTTCAACCACGTCCCTGCAAAGGACATGATCTCATTCCTTTTTATGGCTGCATAGTATTCCATGGTGTACATGTACCACATTTTCTTTATCAAGTCTATCATTGATGGGCATTTGGGTTGGTTCCATGTCTTTGATATTGTAAATAGTGCTGCAATAAACATACCTGTGCATGTGTCTTTATAGTAGAATGATTTGTATTCCTTTGGGTGTATACCCAGCAATGGGATTGCTGGGTGAAATGGTATTTCTGGTTCTAGATCCTTGAGGAGTCACCACACTGTCTTCCACAATGTTTGAACTAATTTACATTCCCACCAACAGTGTAAAAACATTCCTATTTCTGTGCAGCCTTGCCAGTGTCTATTGTTTCCTGGCCTTTTAATAATCACCATTCTGACTGGTGTGAGATTGTATCTCAATGTGGTTTTGATTTGCATTTCTCTAATGATCAGTGATGTTGAGCTTTTCTTCATATGTTTGTTGGCTGCATAAATGTCTTCTTTTGAGAAGTGTCTGTTCATATTCTTTGCCTACTTTTTGATGGGATTGTTTGTTTCCTTCTTATAAATTTGTTTAAGTTTCTTGTGGATCTAGATATTAGATCTTTGTCAGATGGGTAGATTGCAAAAATTTTCTCCCATTCTATAGGATCCCTGTTCACTCTGATGATACCTTCTTTTGCTGTGTAAAAGTTTTTTAGTTTAATTAGATCCTATTTGTCAATTTTGGCTTTTGTTGCCATTGCTTTTGGCATTTTTGTCATGAAGTCTTTGCCGAGGCCTACGTCCTGAATGGTATTGTCTAGGTTTTCTTCTAGGGTTTTTATGCTTTTTGGTTTTACATTTAAGTCTTTAATCCATCTTGAGTTAATTTTTGTATAAGGTGTAAGGAAGAGGTCCAGTTTCAGTTTTCGGCATATGTCTAGCCAGTTTTCCCAGCACCATTTATTAAATAGGAAATCCTTTCTTCACTGCTTATTTTTGTGAGGTTTGTCTAAGACTAGATGGCAGTAGATATGTGGTGTTATTTCTGTTGTTTCATTGGTCTATATGTCTGTTTTAGTACCAGTACCATGCTGTTTTGGTTACTGTAGCCTTGTAATATAGTTTGAAGTGAGGTAGTGTGATGACTCTAGCTTTGTTCTTTTTGCTTAGGATTATCTTGGCTATACAGGCTCTTTTTGGTTCCATGTGAAATTTAAAGTAATTTTTTCTAACTCTGTGAAGAATGTCAGTGGTAGTTTGATGAGAATAGCATTAAATCTATCAATTATTTTAGGCAGTATGGCCATTTTCACAATATTGATTCTTTCTATCCATGAGGATGGAATGTTTTTCCATTTGTTTCCTCTCTTATTTCCTTGAGCAGTGGTTTGTAGTTTTCCTTGAAGAGGTCCTTCACTTCCTTTGTTAGCTGTTGCTATTGCTATTCTTTTTGTAGCAATTTTGAATCAGAGTTCATTGATGATTTGGCTCTCTGCTTGTCTATTTTTGGTGTATAGGAATGCCTGTGATTTTTGCACATTGATTTTGAATCCTGAGACTTTGCTGAAGTTGCTTATCAGCTTAAGGAGTTTTGGGAGCTGAGATGATGGGGTTTTAGAATCATGTCATCTGCAAACAGAGACAATTTGTCTTCTTCTCTTCCTACCTGAATACCCTTTATTTCTTTCTCTTGGCTGATTGCCTTGGCCAGAACTTCCAATACTATGTTGAATAGGAGTAATGAAAGAGGGCTTCCTTGTCTTGTGCCAGTTTTCCAAGGGAATGCTTCCAGCTTTTGCCCATTCAGTATGATATTGGCTGTGGGTTTGTCATAAACAGCTCTTATTATTTTGAGATATGTTCCATCAATACCTAGTTTATTGAGAGTTTTTAACATGAAGGGATGTTGAATTTTATCAAAGTTCTTTTCTCCATCTATTGAGTTAATCCGGTGTTTTTGTCACTGGTTCTGTTTATGTGATGGATTATATTTATTGATTTGCATATATTGAACCAGCCTTGCATCCCAGGGATGAAGCCGACTTGATCGTGGTGGATAAGCTTTTTGATGTGCCGCTAGATTCAGTTTGCCAGTATTTTATTGAGGATTTCTGCTTTGATGATCATCAGGGATATTGGCCTTTTTTGTTGTGCCTCTGCCAGGTTTTGGTATCAGGATGGTGCTGGCCTCATAAAATAAGTTAAGGAGGAGTCCCTCCTTTTCGACTGTTTGAATAGTTTCAGAAGGAATGGTACCTGCTCCTCTTTGTACCTCTGATAGAATTTGGCTGTGAATCCATCTGGTCCTGGGATTTCTTTGGTTAGTAGGCTACTACTGCCTAAATTTTAGAACTTGTTATTGGTCTATTTAGAGACGTAAATTCTTCTGGTTTAATCATGAGAAGGTGTATGTGTCCAGATATTTGTCCATTTCTTCTAAATTTTCTAGTTTATTTGCATAGAGGTGTTTATAGTATTCTCTGATGGTAGTCTGTATTTCTGTGAGATTGGTGGTGACATCCTTTTATCATTTTTTATTGTGTCTATTTGATTATTCTCTCTTTTCTTCTTTATTTGTCTAGCTAGCAGTCTATGTTGTTAATTTTTTCAAAAAACCAGCTGCTAGATTCATTGATTTTTTGAAGGGTTTTCGTGTCTCTCTCTCCTTCATTTCTGCTCTGATCTTAGTTATTTCTTGTCTTCTGCTAGCTTTTGGATTTGCTTGCTCTTGCTTCTCTAGCTCTTTTAATTGCAATGTTAGGGTGTCAATTTGAGATCTTTCTACCTTTCTGATGTGGGCATTTACTGCTATACATTTCCTTCTTACCACTGCTTTAGCTGTGTCCCAGAGATTCTAGTACATTGTCTCTTTGTTCTCATTGGGTTCAAATAACTTCTTGATTTCTGCATTAATTTCATTATTTACCCATGAGTCACTCAGGAGCAGGGTGTTCAATGTCCATGTAGTTGTGTGGTCTTGTGTGAGTTTCTTAATCCTGGGTTCTAATTTGATTGCACTGTGGTCTGAGAAATTGCTGGTTATTATTTCAGTTCTTTTGCATTTGCTGACGAGTGTTTTACTTCCAATTATGTGTCAATTTTAGAATAAGTGCCATGTGGCAGTGAGAAGAATGTATATTCTGTTGATTTGGGATGGAGAGTTCTACAGATGTCTATTTGGTCCACTTGATTCAGAGCTGAGTTCAAGTCCTGAATATCCTTGTTACTTTTCTGTCTGGTTGATCTGTCTAATATTGACAGTGGGGTGTTAAAGTCTCCCACTATTATTGTGTGGTAGTCTAAGTCTCTTTGTGTGTCTCTAAGAACTTGTTTTATGAATTTTGGTGCTTCTGTGTTTGGTACATGTATATTTAGGATAGTTAGCTCTTCTTGTTGAATTGATCCCTTTACCATTATGTAATGCCTGTCATTGTTTTTAACCTTCGTTGGTTTAAAGTCTGTTTTGTCAGAGACTAAGATTGCAACTCTTGTTTTTTTGTTTGTTTGTTTGTTTGTTTGCTTTCCATTTGCTTGGTAAATTTTCCTCCATCCCTTTATTTTGAGCCTATGTGTGTCTTTGCACCTGAGATAAGTCTCCTGAATACAGCACACAGATAGGTCTTGACTCTTTATCCAATTTGCCAGTCTGTGTCTCTTCATTGGGGCATTTAGCCCATTTACATTTAAGGTTAATATTGTTATGTGTGAATTTGATCCTGTTATAATGATGCTAGCTGGTTATTTTTGCACACTAGTTGATTCAGTTTCTTCATAGTGTCATTGGCCTTTATATTTTGGTGTGTTTTTGCAGTGGCTGGTACTGATTTTTCCTTTCCATATTTAGTGCTTCTTTCAGGAGCTCTTGCAAGGCAGGCCTGGTGGTGACAAAATCCCTCAGCATTTGTTTGTCTGGAAAGGATTTTATTTCTCTTTTGCTTATAAAGCTTAGTTTGTTTGGATATGAAATTCTGGGTTGAAAACTCTTTCCTTTAAAAATCTGAATATTGGCCCCCACTCTCTTCTGGCTTATAGGGTTTCTGCTGAGATGTCCACTTTGAGTATGATGGGCTTCCCTTTTTAGGTGACCTGACCTTTCTCTCTGGCTGTCCTTAACATTTTTTCCTTCTTTCAACCTTGGGGAAACTGATGATTATGTGTTTAGGGTTGATCTTCTCATAGTATCTTAGTGGTGTTCTCCATATTTCCTGAATTTGAATGTCAGTCTGTCTTACTAGGTCAGGGAAGTTCTCCTGGATAATATCCTGAAGTGTGTTTTCCAACTTGGTTGCATTCTTCCCGTCTTTTTCAGGTACTCCAATCAATTGTAAGTTTGGTCTTTTGACATAGTCTCATATTTCTAAGAGCTTTTGTTCATTCTTTTTTTTTTCTCCAATCTTGTCTGCATGCCTTATTTCAGCAAGATGATCTTCAAACTCTGCTATCCTTTCTTCCACTTGGTCAATTTGGCTATTGATACTTGTGTATGCTTCATGAAGTTCTCATGCTGTGTTTTCCAGCTCCACCAGGTCATTTATGGTCCTCTCTAAACTGGTTATTCTAGTTAGCAGCTCCTGTAATCTTTCATCTAGGTTCTTAGCTTCTTTGCATTGGGTTAGAACATGCTCCTTTAGCTCAGCACAGTTTGTTATTACTCACTTCCTGAAGCCTACTTCTGTCAATTCGTCCATCTAATCCTCTATCTAGTTCTGTGTCCTTGCTGGAGAGGTGTTGTGATCATTTGGAGAAGAGGCAATATGGTCTTTTGGGCTTTCAGAGTTTTTTCATTGATTCTTTCTCATCTCTGTGAGTTTGTCTAGTTTTGATCTTTGAGGCTGGTGACCCTTGGATGGGGTTTTTTGTGGGAACTCTTTTTGTTGATGCTGTTATTGTTGCTTTCTGTTTGTTTGTTTGTTTGTTTGTTTTTCTTTCAATGGTCAGATTCCTCTTTTGTAGGGCTGCTGTGGTTTGCTGGGGGTTCACTTCAGGCCCTATTCATCTTGTTTGCCTGGAGATGTCACTTGAGGAGGCTGGAGAACAACAAAGATGGGTGCCTGCCCTTTCCTCTGGGATCTCTTACGTCAAGGTGCACTGACCTGATGCCAGTAGGAATGCTTCTGTATAGGGTGTCTGACAACCCCTGTTGGAGGGTCTCACCCAGTTGGGTGGCACAGGGAGCAGGACCCATTCAATGAAGCACTTTGACTGTCCCTTGGTGGAGAGGGTGTGCTTCACTGGGTGGAAGCCCACTCGTTTGGGCTGCCTGGATTCCTCCAGTAAATTTTTTTAACCAATTTCTAATGACTTCCATAACAGGAGTTAGCTGAAAATACCTACTGTAGGCTGGATATACATATATATGCCATATATATGCATCTATTATGCTTAATCTAGCCACATATATATCTCTAGCCTACATGTATGTGTGTATGTATATACATGTATATATGTGTGGATGGGTAGATAGATTAAGCATCATAGGGGCTTCTCCCTTTTTATTATTAACTACTAAAAGTATATTATGCACAATTATACACACTCATGTGTTGAGTACTTTATAAATTATTGACAACAAATTTCTTAACATATTTTCACCTACCACCTAACTTTAGCTAGGTACTAAAAATAGGGAAACAAAGTTTATTATTATAGGAGGTAATACACACCCAAAAGACAACTATATTATAGAAAATCATAAAATATGCTCCAAAGGCACCAAAATTTACATGGATTTTATCCTTTTTATGTATATTTTTTCTCTGTCAATCTCCATTAAAGCAGTAAGTTGATAGTTTATGGGAAATAAAATTCTATTTTTCTCTATCAGGCTTTCATGTTGCCAGTCTTAATTGATCACTATTTTAGAAAGATGGCAGCCCCCACTTTAAAGCTAAGAAACGCCACTGGGTATGGGGTGAAATGTTGCTTTAAACATGCTCACAACCACATTGTTGTTTTCATAGTTTGTCATGGGGTAAGGTAAGGAACGGAGAAAGTTAAGTACCTATTACAGTGTCAGCAGACATACTACTGAGATGAATCTATTTTGACCTTTGTTCACATTCCATCTGCTCTAGTGACTAGGGTGAGTTCACAGGTTTACAATGAGTCAGGCTTCATTTACATTCTCAAAAATATTTGCAGTTTGGAATATTTGACAGTAACACACCCCGAGTGTGGAAACTAAGTGACTGAGGATTTACTAAAGATGTTGCTTCAAGCGATGAAGGTGATCAAGTAGGGCTTGTGCACTAAAAGTACCTCAGTGTCATGAGGCAGCCCCTGAACCAACCATGTCATCATACAATTGCCCCCTGGCCAAATCATGACATGTTCCCAATAGAGATGAAATCAATTAAAATAAATATCAAGAGCAATCTTGAGAAGGTGATAAACCACAAAATTCTACCTTCTAAGTAGAGGTATACACAAAGGAGAAGAGGATTACTCCCTTGCCTTGAGGATGAAGTGGAAATCCAGGGAGAGCACAGATGGCAGGGATAGAACTACACTTCCAGGCTGATAACTGCAGGAAAAACTCTGTCTTTAGGGTCAAATGGTAGAAGCACTCCCTTCTCCTTTAGTGCTCCCTAGTCGCAAGAACCATCAAAAGCAAATGGAAGGAATTGCCCCTACACCAGAAACAGCAAATCACTCAGAGAATCCTTACTGAGTGACTAACCCTCCCAAGTACCTCCGAAGGTGCTTCATCTTAGTCTCTTTAGCTGGTTCCCCTCATTTGTTTGATCTCTAAACGGAGGAGGTTTCAGTTCTTAAAAATTTCTTTATAATCTATAATTAACTTCATTTGATACTTATTCAGTCCCAGAGTTTTCAGTATTGTCTGTTCATAGGATAAAAATTTTTCAAATTTTGTATAGCTCTAAGCTCTTGATTTAAATACAAACTTACCTACTTAACATCTCCACCAAATATCAAATAAGCATCTCAAACTTATCATATCTCAAACTTATTTCCCCTTCCCAGCCTATCCATTCTGTAGTCTAACTTATTTTAGTAATCAGCACATCCATTCTGCTGTTAACTAAGCCCAAAGTCCTTGAAGTCATCTTTGGTTTCCCTCTTTTCTTAACAAATCCTTCAGTAAATGTGTCAGTGCTTTGCATAGGTCCAAAATCCAACCACTTCTCAATGCTTCCACAAACTTCATCCAAGCACAACCATCTCTTGCTTAAACAGTTGCATCAGGATCCTAGCTGATCTCATTAGTTCTATACCTTCCCCACTACAGACAATTCCACAGACACAGTAACCAGGGTGATGCCTCTAAGACATAAGTCTGCTCATGTCACTCCTCTACCGAAAACCCATCAAAGACTCCCCATGTCTTTAGAGTAAGATCTCAAGTGTTTGCCAGGGCATATCAGGCCTTACTGATCTGGACTCCCAGAGCTCTGCCTTTCACTCTGCTTTCCACCAACTCACTCCGGCGCACACACCCCGGCCTCCTTGCTCTTCCTTAATCACTGCAAGCTCACTCCTGCTTTGGGGTCCTTGGACTTGCTAGTACCTCTGCATAAAATGCTCCTCTACAAAGATGCTCCTTCCTTCAGATCTCTACACAAAGGTCATCTCCTCAAAGAGGCTTTTGGTGATCAGCATGTATCCCTCTTTTCTGGCTTTATGTCTCACTAGAGTACTTATCACCATCAGACATATTTTGCATTGTTTATATTTTTATTATCTTTCTCTCCTGAATGGAATGTTAGATTTTTGAGCACAAGGATTTTGTTTATTATCATTACCACATTGTGCTCAGAACATACGACAATACCTGGAACATAGAAAGTGTCCAATACATATTTTGAATGAATTAACATATCAACACAGCTCCTGTCTTCAAGGAACTCACCAGCCAGTAAGGGAAATCATTATATGCACAGCTAGCTATAATGCAAGCCAACTGGGATTAAACAGATTATGGAGTAGCACACACAGGAGACAAAATTAATTCTAGCTGGGGTTAGAGAAGGGTCAACATTTTCTCACGTACACATACATTCAGATATACACATGAGTATTTAAATTAGGCTGAAAGAAGTAAATAAGATCTCAACAAGAAGAGACATGGAGACCAGCATGGGCACAGGGCAAAAACTTGAGTGTTTAAATGATCCTGAGTGGCTGCCATCTGGAAGCTAAGTACAAGGAAAAGGAGAAGAGGCTGGAAAAAAAGAGTAAGCCAGATTTTTGAGGGGTCTTGAATGCAACGAAAGGTGATACTGTTTTGTGCAGCCATGAAATATTTGTTAAGGAACTCCTTTTGGCCAAACTCTGTGCTCAGTGCTGGGAATGTAGAAATGACATCCCCAGTCCGTGTGCTCAGGAAATATACAGCAGAGCACAGGATATGCAAATGTGAAGACCAATGAGTGCCATAATGTGTTATGAGTGTCATAGCAGCCACCTGAGGGCAACATGATGAAGGAGTAAGAATCCTATAGTGTAGAGAGGAACTTCCAGAAAGATCTTATGGAGGAGGACAGGAGTCAAGGACTTTTGAGATGGAGATTAAAATAGTGGGCTCTAAATTTTAGAAAGATTGTACAAATTAAGGTAGGCAATTAATCAGAAGGGAGAAAGCCTGGGGGAAAAAAGATGCAACTTTCTTCTGGGTAAGTATTAAAAGCCTAATCAAATTACCTTACCTTAGACCTGGAAAGATATCTTAATCCTATCCCCTGTATTAGTGTGTACTTACCTTCCCATAAATTTCCTAAAGATAAACCAGTCTCATTTGAGTAGAAGGAAAGATGATTAAAATCCTCCTACTTGGTGATATATTACATTTCTCTTTAAATTAAAACATGTAAGAAATCTAGAAAAAGCTGTGAAAAAATTATGAAGGCAAGTGCAGAAGAAGAACAATGTGGACCAGTATTTCATGTGTAATGACATACAACATGGTATTATGTTGAATGGTCTTTAAGAAGGATGTAATTACATCACAGCACCATCTTTTATGTACATTACTTGTGTACATTACTTGTATATTCTCAATAACCAAATAAAAAAAGAACTTGCAATATGCTCTGTTCCCATCCTTCTGCAAACCCTCTTCAAGATTTCAAGATGTTAGTTCTGACAAGTTCAAATCATAATCATGGTAATTAGTATTTGACACTTACAGCCTCTTCACCAACAGTACATGTTGTTCATTTGTCAACATATAGTTTCAGTATAGAAAATATTTATCATATATAAGAACCATATTTTGAGCCATTTAGGAACATTTTGATAATCTAAACATACTGAAGGGTGCTTCCACCACTGATTTTTCCCTATGAACTATTTCTATCTTGTTAAGAAGTAATTTTATAAGCTAAATTAATTTTCAAATTTCTGTGTTTGTTGCATTGAGTCTATCAGAATTATTCTCTGACTCACAGAAATGGAGTCACAAAATTGACCTGCTGACTTTAAAAAAATTAAAGTGAGTTAATGTAATTCTCATATATATGAACACATTATGTGTCAATTCTCTGGTCACTACAAATACACAAAAAAGGATATATCACTGTTTGATGTAACATTCTGTATCTTTCCCCTTTTCTATAAAACCTAAGTACAGCCCAGTGATATTGTTATACAGATACATATTTTCTCATGGTAATTCAAAGCCATTGCATCTCTCTGCTTTCTTACAATAATTACTTTAGTTGGGATGGCATAATAAGACTTCTTCTCTAGACCAGCATGGATATTTCCTTAGACCATTGGAGTCAGGTTCAAGGTCAATGGCACCTACATTCATTAGCTGTATTACTCAGTCTTCACACTGCCAATAAAGACATACCCAAAACTGGGTAATTTATAAAGAAAAAGAAGTTTAATGGACTCATAGATCCACTTGGTTGGGGAGGCCTCACAATCATGGCAGAAGACAAAAGGCACATCTTACATAGCTGCAGACAAGAAAGAATGAGAATCAAGTGAAAGGGATTTCCCCTTATAAAACCATCAGCTCTCGTGAGACTTATTCACTACTACCAGAACAGTATGGGGGAAACCGCCCCCATGATTCAATTATCTCCCACCAAGGCCCTCCCACAACACATGGAAATTATGGGAGCTACAATTCAAGATAAGATTTGGGTGCAGACACAGCCAAACCATATCATTATCTAATTGAGAAGAAACACAAGCATGAGGTATAGCAACCTTAACAGTAGTTGTAAGTTAAAGAGTTGTTTGTCATCATGAATTTAATTTTAGAATATTTACAATCTGCCCTGCTCTGTTAAGTAGGCTCAACAGGTATAACCACTTTGATGCCTATTTATTAGGATCTGTGTATCTCACTCAGTTTCTCTCTCAAAGTCACCAGGGCTAAAAACCAGCCAGTGCATGCCACCATCTCTTCTGGGTAGGCAGCCAGATATCTAGGAGTTGGTAGCTCCTAGGTAAGCTTTTCTGACCGCAGTTTGGCCAGGCACTCTCATAAGGGAGGCTGCGAACACACGCTCGTGGCCACTTGGCGGCTTCCCCACAAACATCAACTGGAGACTGCATGGTGTGTAACGTCACAGTCCTAGAGTTCTGGGATTTTACAAAGCAATCTGATAGAGAGCTGATCAAAACAAACCATGAAAGTAAACAATAAGATAAATATACTTGGAGAAATGGGATTAGAACCTATTCGTGAAAAACAGTTCTCCCTGAAGCAGAGTCCCAGGGCTTTTTTGTCCCGGAATTATCTGATACATTATTGCAGTCTGTAGGAATGACTATAAAGTGTATGATGGTAAAAATGAGTGAAAACAGCACAAGCCTGCAAGAAACTTCAATTGAATTGAAATACACAGAGGGATTAGGTCAGAGAAAGATAAATGTATCTTTAAGCAGTGTGTGCCTGAGAAATTATGCATGATCAAAAGTCTTCCCACAGCCCCACTTATGACTAAACATCTTCAGCACAAAGAAAAGTACAAACAGGTACATTTCTGTATTGCAAACGGAAATGAATAGTTCTCTATGTTTCTTTACCTTCTTACATTTGTATAGTCCTTTACCATTTTTTTTTAAACTTTCACAAACATTATATCCTTTGATCCTTACAACAATCTGGTGGGTAGGTAAAAGTTAAAAAAAAAAAAAAAAAAAAAAGATTTGAGGAAGCCAAGTTGCAGACTTGCTTAAAAGACAGTGTCCTTGACTCCACTCACCAGCTCACTAAGTTCCAGGCTGCTGGCAGTGGGATGGAGCTGGGCAAGATACATTGTCAGAACAGAAGGCACAAGATGTGTGTGCATGTGTGTGTGTGTGTGTGTGTGCATCTGTATGTGTTTGTGTGATGTGTGTGATTGCCAACTTTTTGCCTTCCAAAACAAACTCAAAAAATGTCTGAATTTTCTATGACCTCAAAAGACCTGTTATCTATTTATTCTCCCTTTAACAAAAATAAAATATAGGCATGCAAAGAACATGGTACCATGAATACAGCCTGGTGTGAAATCTTAGGAAAATGCGAGGAAATAGAATAGTGCTCAACTTTTAGCCAATGTGAGATATGAAAAATATTCATGCAGTACATATTGGTAGAATCCATCCAGAGGCACCTGTAAAACAAATTTGGAGAAAGCCCTCTATGTTAGGCCGGTTTTTATTAAACAACTGTTTTTCAAGCTCATGCTCCTCTTTAGGAATATTTAGGTATTAAAACCTTGATTTCTCTAATATTTAAGGAGCCATTGCCCTTGAGTGTAGATCTGTGTAGACGCAACATTTCATGGCAGACAACCATCTATTTTAATTTTACTGTTAAATACAGCTATATTTCCAACTAGACACTTCTATCTGGGTGTCCTTATAAAATGCAAACTTTTAAAACTATTCTCACAATCGTTTTCCTCAAACTAAGATCTACTATAGCATCTCTTTCAATAAATGGCATAACCACATGCAATCTTCCAAGCTGTAAACCTTGTTCCCTGGTCAGTTTCCCTTCCTTCTCATCTGCACATCATGTACTCCCATTGATTTCACCTCCATAACATGCCACATATAATTGTCCTTTGCTCTAGCCCCATTGCTGTTATTTCAGTCCAAGTAAAAAGGTAACAAGGGTCTAGATTCTTCCAGAGGCTCTCTCAGGAACCCATGGGATAAAGTCCCAGGTCCCAACCATGGCCTGCATGGCTCTTACTTTATGGTCTAGTTTCCACCTAGTTTTCCAGACTAGGCTACTGAAACCTAATTCCAGCCACACTGAACTTCTTGCAGCTCCCCAAATCCCATAAAGTCTTATTGCTGTCTATACTTTCGCTCTTTTTTTGTACATTCTGCATAAAATGCACTTTCCCCAGCCCTATCTTCATTTGTTTCAAAATTCAGCTTAAACACCACCTCCTCTGTGAAAGCTCCTCAATTCTCATAGACTCGTATGCCTGATTTTCATCTAGTAAATTTTCTTTACTAGATGAAAACTATTCCTACAAAAATGGAAATTAGATGTTAAGTGTATAAATGATAGGCAGCTTCTTAAGGAGGAAAAAAAGGTGAAAACGAATTTTTAAAGGAAAAAATGGCATTACTCTTACCTTTATGATTATTGTTACTATTATCTGTGGCCTTTTGTTTATAATTTAATGTTTTTCCCATTCCTAGTTTATTTTTATTTATTTTATTTATTTTTATTTTTATTTTATTGAGATGGAATCTCGCTCTTGTTTCACAGGCTGGAATGCAGTGGTGTGATCTTGGCTCACTGCAACCCCTGCCCCCGGGGTTCAAGCAATTCTCCTGCCTCAGTCTCTGGAGTAGCTGGGATTACAGGTGCCCGCCACCACACTCAGCTAATTTTTGTGTTTGTAGTAGAGACAGGGTTTTGCCATGTTGGCCAGGCTGGTCTCAAACTCCTGACCTCAGGTGATCTGCCCGCCTCAGCCTCCTAAAGTGCTGAGATTACAAGTATGAGCCATCATGCCTGGCTCCCACTACCAGTTTAAAAATTATGTACTCTGTTCTTGTTATTTTATTTTTCACCTTTGAAATTTTATTGTGTATGCTTAATAAACTCCAACATAAATTAATATCTTAATCCTTTTCCTGAACAATACAAGGACTTTAAACCCATTTTAAAGACTCCTAATCCACATATTATTGTTGTCCAGTATTTTAAAAGTAAAATGTTTTTTTCTTTTATTCTACAAATCAGTTGCTATTATTATGATTATTTTATGAGACTTTATTGATACATGTTTACCCATTACCGCCCACCAGTTCTTTCTTTTTATTGGCGCAATCATTTAATTACATTGCTGAAACCCTGCCATTTTTTAAATACAAAAATGTTTCTATTTCCCTTTATTGTTGAGAAACAGTTGTAAGATAGTGTTACTAAGTACTCAATTTTAGGTTGGCAACTAGGTTAGTTAGTAGCCCACATAGACAAGAAAAAAATAAAAGATGGTTTAGTGTGATGATGAAAAAAAATTTTCACTCTATCCCATTCATCTTGCAATTTACCTTATCACTATTGAGTGAAGGGACGCCTGGTTTGAAGACTATATTGAAGAATAGTTATTGCTGCCTCTGCACCAGTCTGGAGTGCTGCCTTTAGTAAGCTCCCTAAGACTCAGCGCTGGTACTCTTCCTAGTAGGTTGTCTAACCCACACCTGAACAAGGGCAGCAATGCTCTATTCACAAAATGTATGCTAATACTATGACGGGAAAATCAGATTCAAAATTTTCTTTACTAGATGAAAACTATTCCTACAAAATGGAAATTAAATGTTACTGTATAAATGATAGGCAGCTTCTTAAGGAAAAAAAAAAGGTGAAAAGGAATTTTTAAAGGAAAAAATGAGAAGTATAGTTAACCAAAGTTGTATACGAATTTTTTTTTATTTTGGGTTTTCTTTTTTTTTTTTAACAAGTCAGACACCTTTAGATTATTATATCCCATTTAAGTCATCAATCTCACTCTCACAGAGTATGGATATCAGGGAGAAATTTCAGAAAAGAATTACAAAGAGTACCTAAGGAAGGGGAAGTTAGAGAATTTTAGGCTAGGAAAGAGATGTCAAAATCACAGCAAGGAGATGACTAGTGATTTGAGATATACTAAGAAGTTAATATAAAGGATATTCAAGTTCTCCCCGTCAGTGATAGACCAAAATCAGAGAATATTGTCAAAATCAAAGAGGAAGAGATTTGGGTTTAGGAAAAAGAGTCGTTTGACTTCTTGAGTGATAAAACTCTGAATGATTACTTAGCAAGGTTATGCAACTTTCCAAGAGGGATTGAAAACTGTCTATTTTGAAAGCCTTAAGCACTCAGCTTCCTGCAGGAAGGCACATGCATCATATACCTTCTCAAGAGTACTTCAGTTCTATGAGTTAATGGCATTATCTTATATTCATCATATACTTACACAGTGTGCTGAAAAGCACTATAAACTCTATGCTTATTTAATACTCTCAAGTTTCTTCTCCAGAGCGAAAATATCACAACAGGTTTAAACTCTCCTCATAGCAGATATATTTGATGTCTTTAACCATTTTTGTATCCACCAGCCAGACCCTCCTCAATTTCTTAGTAACTTCTAATAAATATGGAGCACCAAAAAATACACAGCTCTTCAACAAGATCTCAAGCAATGCCAAGTCAAAATAGGCAGATTACCCCATGGCTTCTGCATGTCTTACATCTATTAATACATCCTAGAATCATGTTTGCACTTTTAATAACAGCACTAGGCTGCTGACTCACATTCAGTCATGTCTACTTCCTTTGTATGTACATAATTATTCCCTGTCTTGTGTCAGCTTGGTTGGTTTTTATCCGTAATCTCAACCTGTTTAGCTTGGCCACTCTAAATTTTTAAGTTTATTGAATTGTTTTTCAGGTTTCCCTGTATCAATAACACTGCCAAAATGAGGACTTTGTTTTCTAACTTTCAAATAATCAAGCATAAGGGGAGTTGGGGAAAGTTCGATAATTTTTTTTTTTTTCAATTATTTGGGAGGCTCTCTGCTAGCTGTTTAGGGTGAAATAGACCTAGTTCCTGCTTCCTGATAGATCACAGTCTATCAGAGACAGATATCAATAAATAGTAAACAAACCCTATATGAGAGGTTCTATGATAGGAGAGGCAGACAGCAACCAGACAAAGGGGGACTGGGCACAGAGAGACTTATGGAGCTAGATGCTGTGGCTCCATGTTGCAGTGCCACCTGACCTCCAAAGAGAAGGGTACATAAGAGGGAAAGTCTAAAAGTCTGAGAAATTGTACAAATATGTAAATTAGCTCCTTTAATTCTCATGGCAACCCTGTAGGGCAAGTGTTATTATTCCAACTTTCTAGATCAGGAAACAGCAATTTAATAGGGTAGGCAACTTATCTGAGGTCACATACCTCCAGCTAATAAGTAACAGAACTGGATTTCCAGTCCAGGTCTATATGACTCCAAAGTCCGTGCATCAGAAGATGCTGCTTTTCAAACATTCCCCCATGTTTCTGATTTACTAACACAAATGTCGCATAGGAAGAAATCTAAAATTTCAGAAGTCCAGATAGTGTCTACTGCTTCCTCTTTACATGGCATTCAGTCAAATCGTGACATCAAACTGACTTCATACAAGCTCATCCCAAACTATTCTGGTAACTTCCTGATACTCTGAATTCAGGAAGTCAACTATCTGATGACTTGCTGGTTTTGTTTCCAGGTTTCAAAAATATAATAATCCATCCATAATTTTAAGGGCCAATATTTGTTCCAGTTTTTTTAAATGCATCATATTTTCCCATCTCAGGGACTTTTTTTTTTTACGTTTGCGGAGAATATTCTACAATTAATAACAGTGCAAAGCACTCAAGAATTTTAGCAGTAGCTTGAGTATCTATTTAGATGGTTCAGTGATCATAGTTTCCTGTCAAAAGCAGGTAGCTAATATTTAATATGTATTTAAATAGGAAAAGGAAACAATCCAGGAAATCAATGTAGTACATATAATTAATAAATGATGTCTGAAATTTTATGTTCAATTCCTGTTACTGTCATTCATCCAACAAACACAATGTTTAAGCTAGTTCCTGCAATACTAATAGGTCACTCTGAAAGGTCCTCAGAGTGAAAGTGCACCAACAGCAATAGCTTATCCCAATTCTATACTTGACAGGGCATTGGTTCTCCATCTGCTTGTTTCTCTGATTTCCTTTGGCTCCAAGGCTGATCCCATTACTAGTAGCATAAGCATATCTGGCTCCTAGAATTGCCTTAATAGATAATATTCTATTCTAATAGAGTCCTAGAAACACACTTTACCCTCCTCAAAATATACCAATATGAAATTTAATTTGGTATAACCACATTAGAAAAAATAATATTTACTAAAGCTTAACTTATACATGCCCTATAACCCAGCAACAGAAATGCCTACATATGTTCACCCAAAGAGATGCACCAGAATGTTTATAGTAGTGTTATTTGTAATGTACAAAAGTGGATACTATCCAAATGTCCAACTACAGTAGAATGACTAAGTTGTGCTGTAATCACACAGTGGAATACTTTATTGCAATGGCAATGAATAACTATATGTAACAATAGGGATGGATCTCACAAACCTACTGATGAGTGAAAGAAGCTAGATACAAAAGAGTACATATCGTGTGAATCTATTTATGTAAAGAACAAAAAGAGGCAAAATTATTTTTTTCTTTGGGAAGTCTGGAAAATTGTTACCCTTAAAGAGGAGTAGAAACAGGAAGGAGTTACAAAGAGAGCTTCTAAGATGCTAGTTAATCTAAGATGCATTATTAATTGGGATGTTGGTTAATCAAATGCATGCACTTTTGTGAAAATTAATTGACTTACTTTTCTATACATATATTATTCTTCAATAAAAGTTTTTAAAGCCCCTAAAGACTTGAAATGTTAGCTAATTTTGAGAGTATATAATGTCACATGTGGGAGAGAAAAATTTTAAGCAAGGCTCTACATTCCAAACAGTATGAACATAAATGTCTATTTCAAGATTGACAGGGATTTCAGAACTCAAGACATTTTCATGCCTCCCTATATGTTGCCCTTAGTCTTTTTTCTGGCTGTACCTCCTTATTTACTTCCTCTGAACATAAGTAATGTTCCACTTCTGCTCAGAGACTACCCCACACTTGAAGGACATTCCCTGGCCTGTAAGCTTCGAGAAACCAAGGCACCAGTCTCCAAATATTATTCTTCTGGCTCTAAATGTCCTGCCCTGGTCATGCAATCACCCTTTCTTTCCAGGGCATTCTGAGGAATCATCCCCACAATGGCCTTTCTCTCTTTGACGTCTTTAGTTTGCCTAACTCATATCTTACTGTGGCAATTAAGAGTGGGGAAGCTAAGCTGTTTCACATATTGTACTAAATTCACCCAAAGGCTCACTTGACTTAGATGGCAGATAATACATTGTTTTTTTTTTTTCACCATTTCCCAGTAAGGTCACCTCCCCTTCACAGCTCATTTACAGAATTGACCTTCCTGGGCCTCCAAAGTAGCCAAATTACACCTGCCTCATGTCACCAGCCCCTTCCACATTTCCAGTCCTCTTTGGTAAATCATTCAGAAGCCCTTCAGCAAGCTGCTTATCTAGAGTGATATGAGGACACTTTTACAATATTAAAAATAGTTTAAATGTATGTTAAGAGAAGCCAACATAACTTCACATGGGAAAGAAGAGAAGGAATCTAACATTTAGCAAGCACCTACTATGGGCAGAACATTATGTTCAGTACTTTGCCGTATGAGATCTTGTTTAAGCCTTATACAAACTTATAGCAAGGATATTATAATCTCCCTTTTGCAGATGAGAAAATAGAGCCTTGGAGTTTACGCATATTGCCCCAAATCACACATGTAAGCCAAGTATCAGCAAATTTTACGTAAAGATTCAATAAATAATTTAGGCTTTGTGAGTCACACAAGGTCTCTGTCACATATTTGTCTTTATTTCTTTGGTGGTTTGTAGGCTGGTTTTTACAACCCTTTAAAAATGTAAAAACTGTTCTTAACTCCTTGATTGGATTTGGCCCAATGTTGGTAGTTTATAGACCATTTAAAGATCCCTGTCTCAAGAGGCTGGGGAGAAATATGTAACAAAACACAGGCTCTAGACTTAGTCTGAGTTTAAATCCTAATTCCACCACTTACTCATGAGCATTTAAGAAGAATTTACAAAGTGCCAGGCAACATTCCAGGTGTTTCACATGTATTCATTTATTTAATCCTCACAACAACTCCATGAGGTAGGTCCTATTTTTCTCCCCTTCTACAGAGAAGGAAACAGAGGCCCAGAGTGATTACGTAACATCCAGATTTACACACAGCAAGTAAGCAGTGGAGCCCAGCCATATGGCTACAAAGCTCATGCTTTTAATGATCATGTTAATATTATCAGTCAATCATAAACTACCTGATCAGGACAAGTAAATAGATTAAACTTATACCTCCCCCCCCACAAAAAAAAAGGGTTTTTAAGTGATTTTCACTGATCTTATTAGTCTTGCAAGAAAAAGACTTAGCAACTGAGACTGTTGCAACTTGGAGTAAAGCATCTAGACTCTAGAAGATGCCACCAATGCAAGATTCTACAGGTGTGTCAGGATGCAACGCAGAACCCAGGCAGGGTAATTGTTCCAAGGCAAAAGGATACACTAGATTTGCATCCAATTAATCAAGGTCAAAGAAGTCCAAGGTGTGAGCTGGGACTCAAGGTATGAACAGGTGGAGAATCAGGCAGGGAACAATTGGTAGGCAACCAAATGGGCAAGCAACTGGTATTGGGACCTGTAGCTAAAACATCAGGGTGCCTGGTGGAGGGACTAAGCCCTAGAAATTTGAGATCCCCCATGTCTTCCCTGAGTGAACAGCAGGACTGACTCAGTGCTGAGCAGGGTGAGTAAGGATAGCTCTTCGGCCTTGTGTCTGCATCACACCCAGGGGTAAAAGTCTAGGTCAGTTAAGTTCACCTAGTGGAGTTAAAGATCTATAGAGACAGGCACCCAGAAAGACCCTTAAAATACATAAATCTTCAGTTCTTCAAAATCCAAAATAACAAATATTGCTATTTATTATTCTTGTAATTAGTCATCTGTGGTTCTTTATCAACCAAGGATAAGAAATACAAAGATTTTTAAAAAGAAAGGAAACTTTGTGGTCTTGTGTGGTGATGAGTTGTATGGCCTACCAGAGCCTGTGTGATCCACCCCCTAACTTCCCCACATCCTGAGACCCTTTGTGCCGGCTGTCTTCTTTCCTCAAAATGCTCACTGCTGCCCCCATCTTTATAATTTTTACAATAAGCTTAAATCTTCCACATTTTATTTTATTTTTTTTTTCCCTTGGGCACACATCACAATGTTTTAGCTGTTTCTTTGCTTGTTTTAGATTGCTTGATTCTTGCCTGTGTCCCTCACTAGACTGTAAGCTCCATGACAGCAGAGATCCATCTGCTTGGTTCACTGCAGTAACTCCACCCAGCATTTAGCACAGTACTTGGCTCAATACATTTGCCCTTGATAATTATCCTTTATGAATAAATTTATATTGGCAGAGCATTGAAATGGTCTAAATATTATTTCTCCCACCAGACTGAACAAAATTTCCCTGAAGTCAAGAAATATGTACTACAAATTATCTGTCAGTCTTATGTAACAATACCAAGAAAATCATAAGGCCTGGGATAAATAGAGTGTCATCACGTTATTTATACCAAAATATGCCCACAAGGTCCCTGGGACAGAGAAGGGACTATATAAATAACAAAAAGATTTCGCTGGTAAACAAATAGCAAGAATACTTCTGCCTTTCACACAGTAAACATTATGCTTCTTTCTTTTGCTTGCTGATGAAAAAAATTTACCAAAGCAATCAGTCCTGTTTTTCCCCTTCTATTTTTTGATTTGAGATGGCTGAAACTTACCAAGTAAACTACCTGGCATCACTGTAGTACTCAAAGTCCATGGTGTCTCTCACCACTCAAAAAGCAAGGGCATCTTTGGCATTGCAAATGCACATAAAGTAATCAATATAGAAAAAGAACAAATTAATTGAAAGTTATGTAATCTTATACCCTGAAAAGAACTTGATTAAATCTCCATCCTTTGTAGCGATTTCTAATCTAGGATCCTGCAGGTGTTTACAATCTTTTGTGAGTTGACCTCAGGTGACCCAAGGATAGTTTTAATTGCTTAGCAAATGTACTTTTACGAACAAGATAAAGATATTGTGAATGCATATAAACTACCTTTGAAATACAGCGAGCCTTTCAAGATGGGATTTTTTAGTTAGCTTGCTACTCTTTCTTTAGAGTCTAATTGATTTTCTTGACATCTCTTTAGCCTGGCAAACTGCCTGCCTAAGTACTTTATCTGACCTTCAGGCTGCTTGCCAGGTATTGATCCAATACCTACAATGGCTGTGTTGTACCAGCTCTTCTAACTTTGATAAGGGCTAATGTACTAGCGCCAGGCAGACAGGAAGTCAATGGTCTCAAAATTTCTCTCATCCTCTTCTATCTTCTAGCTTCCTCTCTTCTTATGCAAGAATTTCAAGTTCTATCAAGATCAGATCAGATGGACATTTGGGCCCAATTTATCTTCTAGGAATTTTTAAAAATGCATCTTAGAAGAGTTCTCTCCAGGCAACAATAAATGAAAATGTTGAGAAATATTTGATTTCTTGTTGAAGTTAAAATAATATTGTTACCTGATGGCTTTCCTTTTTGAGGAAAAGTAAAACTAAATATGACTTATGGGGATGCTTGGAGAGGATGTAGACAACATACATTGTGTCATAGTGAAGAGAAACCAGGTTAGCAATGGGTCTTGAAAATCATGTCATAAGTAAAAAAATGAAAAGAAATGAGTTTTTTTGTTCATGGGAAGAATAGTATACTTGGGAAGACAAATGTGATAGCACTTTGATATTAATATCTGTGAGTTTAATATAAGTATTAATTTGTAGACAGAGCTCAGGTGTTTCATAGCTTGTCTTGACAATAAATTTTAGAAAAGCATTTTCATTGGACCAATGGCCCTGGGCAAACTAGGGAGAACCTCTCCAATAAGAACCCCTGATGACTCAGCCCAGGATGAAATCCTTAACTATGGAAAAAAACGAAGGACCTGTAAGCAGAGTCATTGAGATAAGTCCTTTGGTAAACAGAGAACCTTATTGCGAATATAATTTGTGTTTCAAGGATAACTCGAAATAGATAAGAGTGACTTCCATGGAACAAAAATGTTACTGATGTGCTTTGTCCTCTGTCATCTAACTTCAAAAAAAGAAAAGAAATGGAAGGATTTAGAGACTTCATAATACCTCTGTATGGAGCAAAATGGTGATGACTGATACTACTTTATCTGATCTAGGTTCTTTTGTAGTTTGGAACAGAGAGAGAGAAATTCATACTTAAAAGCAATTCATAAATTAAAATAAATAAACAAAAATGCACATTGCTCCACATAGGCACTTCAGGCCATCTACATACCCAGGCAGCTGAGTGGAGCCAGGGATGGGAAAGGGGCAGAAGATCCCACAGAGCTGGCACAGGTGGGAGAAATGCAAAGGGTTCTGCCGGTTTGGCTGTGGGTAGGTGGAAGAGGTATGGAGGATTTCACAGGACCAGTGTGCCTAAACCCAAGGAAGCTGTGCTGAGAAAGGAGCTGCCTGGGTTATTTTAATCTCCACCTATACTCATCATAAGCCATTGAAATTTAGAGTAATTCCTCCTTGCATCAGTTAGGTTCCCCCACCCAAACAGTATTGCAGGTAGATATGTAGAATAGACTTTTCTGTTGCTCTTAAAACCATGTTAGCTTTTTGCATCTCAAATACTAGCAAACTGGGGCACACATCGTCAACCCAGTAGGAGAGGCAAGGGGAACGTCTAAGAAGAGAAGCAATATTTAAGTGAAAGCAGAAGAGTGGTAAACAATGTGAAGGCCCAGAAATGCCTTTAGATAATTATACACACAGTGCTGGCTTGGGAGCCAGATATCGACAGACTTTGGGACAAGAAAACTTTGGCCAAATCTATGGCCTCTGAGGAGAAAATGTTGAATAGAGAAGTCATGAGTGAAAGGTGATGATGGCTCCAGATTGTTTTGTGAATTATCAGTTAAATCAGTCCTGCTATTGGGATCACAATAGTGTTTGTCTCCAACAGCTGGAGGGCAAAGGGCCTTGAAAACAAGGGGAGGAAATCCACTGAAGTTTGGCACGAAAAAATAGTTCAGGCAAGTACACCTGGGGAATAAAAATTGCAAAGTGATAAAAGGTCTGAAAATACACTTTTGCTAGGAAGGCAGGAAAGGGTAGCCAATGGGACAGGAAAGTGTGCATGGCAGAGCACCAAAATGCTCTTGCTGCAAGCCATGTGGGTCCAACAGACACGCAAGGACTTCATTTGCTTTCTCTATGAAGGATCCATGGGATCTGGATTAAGGTGCAATAGTTGGGTTTGCATCTTTTAAAAAGGGACAAGAAAAGCAGAAAAAGAAGTAGAAGAAATTCAGTAAATGATAAATAAGCAAAGGTGATAGGAGTCCCCTTCCGACATAAATAAATAAGTAAATAAATAAAAGGATTGTCAAGTCTCAGTCAATACAGGGAAAGGGAAAGTGTGGTTCAAAAGCCAAATCATAAAAATCGGGAAAGAATTTAAAATATTGTATATATGAAGCTACCTCTCCAGGGAGTACAAAAATCATCTCATCTGTTTGATCCTTAGTTTCCCCAATTGTAAAAGGAAGGTTGGTAAGGCCTCTTTTAGTGTTGATTATATGTACCCCAAAGCAGTTTTTAAAATTCAACTTCTTCTAAACCCAGTTCCAACTTCACTTTGGGGAACTCTTCTCTGACATACATCCTGATTCACTCAGCCTGCTTCTTCCTCACATCTCCAAAAGGCCATCTAATTATTCTACACACTCAAAAATAGCATGTTTACTTTTTTTTATTGAAAGGATAAAGATGGTGAGGTAAAAGTGACCTGGAGTTCAGAAGCTGTGGCTTCTGGTACTGGCTCTCTTCAGCAGACACAGGGTGTTGCCCTCATCCATGAAGAGATGGTCCAAGTTAGGTTATCCTTGAAGTTCTTTCCAGATCTAATAATATCTCTCTAGTTCTCAGGCCTTTGAATGAGTTCTCATTAGATGAGAACTTGCTTAGCAAGCAGAGGTCAACTAGAGTTAAAAAAGGACCAGGTTCCTTGCATTGCTATTCTCCACCTAATCCATTTGTATAAACTACAACTAAGATGTCACAGCTAAAAGTCAGAAAGTACATGATAGCAAAGAAAATATTAACAAGATACTCAAAGATGAAGAATTCCCCAGATAGGTGGCTCAGTCCATTGCACATCAATCTCCAGAGAAACCAAGAGGAAGAGGAACTCTTCTTGAAGACACTTAAAATGAGATTTGAGAGCTAAGAGTCAACAATTTACCATACTCTCCCAGTGCTCAGAGGAGCTGTCCTGACACATTTCCTCATCTCTGTTGTCATTAGTGGTCATCTCTGGCTAGTACTGACTTGGAGTCCACTAAAAACATCCCTCGCATCTTCTAGCAACAGTTCTCCAGCTCTCCATTGTCTCCATGTCATCCCTGCAGCCTGTGGGCCACTCTGCAGCCTGCATTCCTGCCAGGTGTCCTGTCAGGCAAAGCTGGTTTATTTGAGGTCACACTGGCAGCTGAGCCCAAGAGCCTGCTGCCTATTCCGTTACCCTTGCCAAGTTGAGCTTCATCTATTTTTTTTTTCTTTAATCATTCCTAGAAATATCAATTCTGGAAAACTCTGTTTTCCCACAGAAGGTTTTGGCAGCCAATCCTCAGCAGTTACCTCATTCTTTGCTCTGCTGCCATCTGAGAAAGCATACCAGGAAAAACAGTGCACCTGTAGGCAGAACAAATGCACAGAGGGTGAAGGATTGGATCGGCTCTTCATCCTGACAGGCTTATGGAGGGAAGATCTCCATGGAGTTAAAGAACGTTAGTGCTGCCAGAAACCTGAGACTCCACCTAGACCAAATTCATCATTTTTCACGCAAGGAAACTGAGAGTGGGCAGAGGGAAGTCTCTTTTGCAGGTTATGGCTGAAAATATTTGCAAATGGATGAGTGCATAAATAAGACATGGAGAGAGAGAAATTCAGAATGGAAGAGGGAGGACAATAACTATATTTGTGGAGCAATTTGCAGAGGCAGAATGAGAGATGAGAGAGCACTGTCACTAAGTTTCTTAGTCCATTCAGGCTGCTGTAACAGAATGCCACAGCCTCGGTTGGCTTATAAATAACCAACATTTATTTCTCACAGTTCTGGAGGCTGGGAAGCCCACGATCAAGGCAGTGGCAGAATTGGTGTCTGGTAAGGGCCTGCTTCCTGGTTTGTAGACAGCCATCTTCTTGCTGTGTCCTCATGTTGTGGAAGGGATAAGAGAGCTCTCTGGGGTCTCATTTATAAGAGCACTAATCCCATTTATGAGGGTGGAGGCCTCAAGACTCAGTCATCTCCCTCAAAGGCACTACATTCTAATAACATCACATTAAGAATTAGGTACTAACATACGAATTTTGGGGACACAGACATTCAGTCCATAACAATAAGTTGGCATCCACTCCTCTGCTACTCCATCAGGTCAAAATTTAGCCACTGGTCATCACTCCTTTTTTTTGGTCCAGGCAACACCTTCTGAAAATAAGCTTTTTGTAATTTTTCTATATTACTGATAATTAATTATAAAGAGAGAGCTAGAAAGAGCCTTAGGAGGCATATAGTCACAGCCTCATATTTTAGATATGAGAGACTAAGACTTGAAAAAAAAGTGAAACAGCTTTCCCAGAATATCCAATCACCATGGGATGGTCACAAAAAGAAAAAGTGATATATACAGACCTTGATGTATTGTCCCTGGACATTATTTTCCCTACTGAAATAAGTCCAAAACATGTGTGTGTACACACACATGCCCATGCATCCATACCTACTGCAGGTATAAAGAGCTAAATTTACCACTTTAACAGCTGGGATTTTACAAGTTGACTTTTCACAAGGTGTTTTTGTGGTTTCTTAAAATGTGTTAGGCTCTCTTCTTTTTTCTTCTCCTGAGATTTTAAAAATTTAACATCAAATTTAAACATAAAAAGGCTGATGTGGTAAAGACCATTACTGCAGAATTACTTTACACTGGCAAACTCAAATCATGGGCAGTGAATTCGAGCTTGCATTAGTGTGACATCAAATCACCTCCTTTGTGAAATAGTGTTTAAATAATGTAATCAGAAGCCAAATCGGCCACCTGAAGGCCCTGCTGAAATCGCACAAGTGGGTGTTTCTCTCCATACCTGATTAGAGGGAATTCACTTTGAAGTCGGTGGGAACTGAGAACTGGGGCCAGCCCCACAGTGACCTGGGGATCTAAGCAGCACCACTCCTACCACTACTCATGGTATGGGATGAGTTAGTGAGCAGGTAATTTAGTTCAAAGATCCATGATACGCATCCCCAACCCATGAGGGAATGAGCTCCTACTGGAAGGCAGATGCCCATTGAGAACACAGGTGTGGCCTAGAGGGGTTCAATGGTCCTCACACAGGAGTTCCATTTCCCACCAAGCTTCAACTCACCTTCCTTCTCTGGTATCCCCTCAGCTCATCATCAGCACAACCATTCACCACACAGAATGTGCTGGGAACTGAGTTGGACACTCTGTTGGAGACCTCCCTCCAGTGGTTGACCATCTGATAAGAGAGCCAAGGCACGTACACAAAAGGCTAAATAATTACAACCCTAGCATAACCAAAGCACCAGTGAAGCTAGTGAAGCCATAAATAATTATGGAGTTCAGAGAAGGGTATTGTGGTAAATTACAATGAACTATGAGGCCCTTTTTTCCTTTGACGGAATCTGAATCCTTTTCCACATTTGATTATATTTCATTATTTAGGGCAGGTTTATGGTCCACCTTCATTTCAATAAGAAAGGAGGAAGAAAGCAGAAGAATCTGAATTATAAAACACGAGTTGAACACCTACTGCAACTACGTGGTAGGCACTGGAATAAAAAGACAATTGGAACATGATGCCCAGTGTTGTAATTGAACCTCACCTTAAGGGTTATATCCCAGTTGAAAGGCAAGTATGCATGAGACCCTTAGATGGATCCCAGGAATGTCACTGGCAAACTCGAGCAGAATCAAATAGAGGCCTATGAGCAGAGCAGTGAGGAAGAACATGGCTACTTACCCCAAAGAAGTACAACAGGGCCTTGTAATAAGATGCCATAGATGTGGGGGCTGGAAATGTGGGCAGAGTAAAATAGACAACTAAGAAAAGAAGATGAAGAAGGGCATACATGGAGGTGGCAATGGGATGTTATCTAAGAGATGTTATCTAGGGAACTCAGAGAGGTTAAACAAGGGTGAGAAAGATGTAAATTGTGTGGCACTGAGAATGAAGAGATACACTCTTTTCCGGACAGGCACACAGTGTCAGACAAGGGCCCCATAAAAGCTTCCTTTCATCTGCATTTGTTTCCCATATGATAGAGACATCTCCTACTTTCCAAGGGGAAAAATGGGTGCAGGAATTGGACACCAAGCCAGGAATGAGATTTGGCAATAAATCATGTAGCAGCCTGTGCCCCCCAGAACTCCCCTCGGTGGCCTGGGAGTTAGACACAATAACACCGTCAGCTCTCAGTGATCCTGCTCTGGAGGGACAACAGTACCAGATAATCATGTGTATAGTCTTCACTGGTTGCTTCTCAGGAAGAAATGTTCAAAATGAAATAAGAGTAAAACTTGAATCCTATATTAAAATAGTATTTATTGACAAAAAAAGAAATATCTACTTTCATAGTCAGATCTTGAAGAAAGATTTAGCAATAACAGGGCAATGAATTGTAAAACTAAAATACGATGCCTAGGAATTGTGATAGCTCTGTCCTCATGAGTCTCAATCAGCTCAAAGATTAGCCCTTCCTCAGCATGTTTGAGTGATTCATTTTTATTTAACAATAACTAATTGTCTCTGGGTTGTGTAATTTCTCACAATAGTATAAGTGGAGGGATGAAAAGCAACAAAAATAATGAAAGAGTTTCTGGGTGTGGAATGTTTCCATGTTTCTTCTTACTGCTAAACCAAAATGTTTCTTGGAAAAGTGTGCCTTTCTGTCATTCAATGACACAAAGCTTAACGTTAGCAATTTAGCTTACTGTTTGCATTGCTAGGCCCTGGAGGTAGCATGTCACAGGGAAAGGATGCAGGATCTGCAGCTGGCAAGCCCTGCATTCAAATCCTGGCTCTGTCACTTAGTTGTAATCATTAATAGTTAATAATTATTGAGTTAAGTCATTTTATAGAGGAGAAAACTGACACAGAGAGTTTAGTAACTTGGCCAAGGTCACAGTAAGTGCCAGGCAGGATTTGCTTCTATATCTGTGTAATACCTCTTAACCCTTAAGCCATATTACCTTTTTGATATGGTTTGGATTTGTGTCCCCACCCAAATCTCATGGAGATTGGAGGAGGGGTCTGGTGAGAGGTGATTGGATCATGCAGGTGGATTTTACGCTTGCTGTTCTCATGATAGTGCGTAAGTTCTCATGATATCTGATCGATTAAGTGGGTGTAACACCTCTCCCTTAGTGTTCTCCTGCCACCATGTAAGACATGCCTTGCTTCCCCTTTGCCATCTACCATATTGTACATTTCCTGAGGCCTTCCCAACCGTGTGGAACTGTAAGTCAATTAAACCTCTTTCCTTTATAAATTACCCAGTCTCTGGTAGTTCTTTATACCAGTGTGAAATGGATTAATAGACTCTTCTTTCCTGGATTTACACTCTGGGCAACTTAGCTTCTTTGGACTTCAGTTACTTCATCAATAATATGAAAAACATGCTATCTATCTTGAAAAATTCAGGACAAAACTAACTGAGATAATACATGTAAAATGTTTCATGTAGTTCCTGGCCCATAGAAGGTAATCATTAAATAGTAGCTATTACTATATTTGATAGATTGTTGTTCTTATAATCTCTAAGACTTTACTAATAAAGTGACAACTTTTTAAGTCATATAGCTACATTTCCATCATTAAGAATAAGTACTAGCTTTTCATTAATTAGGAGAATCACAATTACCATTTAACTTCTTTTACCTATGTATTTTGAGACTATCAAGTGCTTAAAAGATAACCAATCAGGGCTTGGTTTAGTCAGCAACTATAAACACACACACATATACACAAAAACATATAAAAGATTAAATGAGTGCTAAGTGAACCTTGGCCTCAACCTTATAATCTAAATAACCCAGAATAGTGACTTACACTGATCCTGAAACATCACATCACTCACCAAAAGCATAAGCCTAATCACATATGTGAACTGGCTGGTTATTGAACCAAATTTTCTGCAAAAGACATTATTGTTGCCTACTCAACAGGATTTACCAAACCCCTACACTCTGTGCCTCCTCCTTTTATTTTTCCTTACTTACAGATCCCAAATTTTATTCTTGGTATCCACAGCCACAGGCCCCAAAGAGATGAGGAGCCCCCCACTAACCCTAGGTAGTAAATCATGATTGATCTAAGCTAGTGCTGGTATTCCCTTTCTCCTGGCCAGTGATTGATTTAACAATGGACTTGTGATAAGAAGCTAGATAGGAAGTCAATGGAGGACTTTGGAAAAGTATATTTCCCTCTCAAACATAAACATTCAAAGAGAAACGTGGAACTTGGAATTATCTCAAGTGGCTAGCTTGAGACCATAAAGATAACCACTGTAAGAAGATAAATCAGCCGGGCGCAGTGGCTCACACCTGTAATTCCAACACTTGGAGAGGCTGAGGCAGGTACATGGTTTGAGTCCAGGAGTTCAAGATCAGCCTGGGCAACGTGGCAAAACCTCGTCTCTACGGAAACTACAAAAAATTAATCAGGCGTGGTGGTGTGCGCCTGTAGTCCCAGCTACCCTGGAGGCTGAGGTGGGAGGATCACCTGAACCCAGAAGGTCAAAGCTGCATGATCAGGTCAGGCCACTACATTCCAACCTGGGAAACATAGCAAAGCCTGGTCAAAAAAGAAAAAAAAAGAATAAATCAATATGCTGAGCAAAAGGATGGTGAGAGCATGACTTCTTCATGAGCCACTAAAGGTAATAATAACCCTGAATATGTCCTAACAAGAAACCCTCTAGACTTCTTGGTAGTAAACTAATTAATTTACTCATTGCTTAAACCATTTTGGGTTGGGTCTTCTGTTATCTGAAGCTGATTATCTGTGTCTTGGTTAAGTCTAGGGAATCCAAGATAACACAGATAGTCCAACTTTCTTGATTCTATGATTCCTACCAAAGGCATATGACGGAAGGGAGGAGGAGAAACAACAAAGCAGTATAGTGAAAGTGGAGGAACTGGGGAACTAGGAGAAATTCTCTGATCCTGTCTTCCAGATATGTGCTGTTCCTTCCCATACTCACTCCACCAACCTTGTCTAGCTAGTAGCCCCCACCAATTTGCTCATTCTAAATCTGCCTAGAAATGTCCCCAAAATGGTGCAGTAGAACTTCAAACGTTGTTGCTATCCTAGAAAAACTGCTCCAGAATTGATGCATCCTCTGAAAAGCAATGTCTTCGCCGAAATGTGCCTTCTCTCATTCTATATAAAAACATAAAGCGTCATCCTCAACTGGCTTCCATCAAGCTTTCATAGTACTGGCCACATCTGGAAAGATTGGAGTAGAGATAGATGAGCTGGCCATGAGCCACTAGGTGTGTCTCTTTGATTGTGTTGAGCATTGGAAAGAGAAACTTGCCTGAGTGGACACAGCCATAGAGAGTGAAGAACAGGAGCTTCATAGAGCTGCTCAATAAAAATCAGAGAAAAGCAGAGACTGACAGTAACAGCCTCCATTCATCAGGGTGGCTGGATGATTGTCATGAGCAGATGTTCTCTTCCACTACTGATAGGCTACAGGATTATATCTGGGAACAAAATTCCCTACAGTACAGTTTGTGGGAATAAAAGAATAAAAACATGCCATGGAAAGACATTATAAAAACCTTCCCTAGAGACTTTTTGTGTTTTTTTTCTTATCAAACCTATGAATATAAAATGGAGATACACACACACACACACCCACCCACACATACATATATACATATATCTATGCGTATGTATACATATACATACATAGAGATAGGTGGGAATAGATGATGATATAGATAGATAGATAGATAGATAGATAGATAGATAGATAGATAGATAGATAGATAGATATGCTGCATACATGTAAAATGGAAGGGGCAATACTTAAACACAGCCCTGCAGCAGGGATAGACAAACTGTTCTCCAGTCCTGTTAGTTTGTGATATGCTATATCCTAAGGACACATTCCACCCCCAACTCATCAATGATTATTGTCATCATGAATTATTCTTGCACTGGTTAGTCAATCCCTTTCTTCATAGACTTGACTAAAGAACTCTCTGTGCAATTTCAGCTGCACTTCTTCCTTACCACTGCTTCTCATATCCTCTTTGTTTTCCTGGGTCTCCAATTTCATTCTTTCCCCCGCTCTTCTTAATCCATCATTCTTTGTGAGACACTGTTGGCTGAGCACTGCACAATAGGCCTTGTCTCACCCTATTTACCATGCCCATTAAATCTATTAGTCTCACTACACCATCAGCTTTTAAAAGCACCCCTTTCACAGGCCCCCTTCTTACCTGTTCTAATGACATTGTTCCCTCTCCCACTGCCCTTTGAACACTCATGTCATTAAGCTCCAGTTTCACTTGCTTTTGATAATGACAAGATGGCTGCCCTCTATAATCTTACTCTGGAGACTAACAGAGAGTACTTCTACAGCAGCAGCCACAACACATATCTATTGATACCTATGGATGTCTCCCTTTGCCTCTCCTTCCCTCAAGGTCCCAGAGCTGTTATTACTGTGATTCTTTTACCACCATGAGTGGCCCGTTCCTCACAGCAAGTCTCATGTCATTTGTCCACAGACTAAGCTAGCTCACACAGGCTGTTTTAATTGGTCATTCCCATTTACACAGGAGGGTGGTGAATTATGTTCAGCCCTTCCCTCTTCCTCTTTCCTCCTACTAAGCGTTCTGCTCAGATGTTTAACTCCCATTCATTTCCTCAAATATTTACTTACTGAGTGTGTTTTAACCACCAGGCTCTGAGTTAGGTGTTAGAGAGACAAGATAAATGAGATTAGTCCCTTCCGCAAGGAGATTCCCATCTGGGTGCAAGGGAGGGAGAAGATGGACCAATGATTATGGGCTAATTGTTTTATCCAGGCAGGAAGGAATCCAGGCACTCCAACTTCTGTCTTGTTTCTATACTAAAAATAAAGGGAGGCTGTGCAGAGCAGTGTCAAAACAGACTGCACCAAAATCAGGATGAACCTTGGTTCAAAACCTAGTTCAGCCACCAATTTGAATAACCTGAGGCAAGCCACTGGCAGCTTCAACAGAGCCTGGGGGTCCTCAGCTCTGAAGGCCAATGTCAGTAGCACCTACCTCCCAGGGGCTATTGTGAGAATGAAAATGGAACAGCACCTGCAGAGGTTGATAGCCCAGCACTTGACATAAATGTTAATTCAAGGTGCACATGTTTCTCACATTTCCCAGAAATCCCTGATTTTTGAGGCCAAGTATCCTTCCAGGAAAGTGTTTCCCCCAGTAATATACAATTGGTAATTTTTTTCTAGGAGTGTGGGTTTGTTTGAATACATGTGTGAGATGGATCAGCTTTAACTGTACTTGGGTTGAGGCAGCTCAATTAATTCATCTAGAGATGAATTAATCATCTAGCACCTTCCCTCTAGAGACGTGGTGCCCATCAGATTTGGGGCATGGGGAAATTAGAGTCTCTGCTGGGAATTTATTCATGTTATACAGTAGAGCTGGATTTATTACCACTGACAGTCTCCACACAAGGGGAGCCTGAGACTTGAACAGCAAGGGTGTTCCAGATCAGGAGATAGCCATATTAACAGACTTTCCATGGAAGCCTCATGTCGACTGCCTGAGCAGCAAAGGCCTTGAACCCAGCTCCTGCTTCATTTCACTGTGACAGAAGACCCCCACCTTTACCCACAAGGGAAGGGGCTCTCACAAAAATCCTCTCCATATCTTACCATCCTAATGACTGCAAAGTGTCAATTGAAGGGCAGTGAAAAATGATTCTTGAGCCATGTACAGACCACCCCAGCATTTTAAATTACAGATTGTACAAGAAAAATATAACTTCTTTTGTTTTGCCCTGCATTCAATATAATCTTATCAGGATTGTCAGGAAGGAATAATACAGTAGTCAAAAGAATATTCAATGCTCCTTCAGGCACTTTTCAGAATCCAGAGTGTTGGCACATATTTAAAAACCAAATACAGAAGAAATGCATAACTTAGAGAGCTCAGGTGCTAAATTAGCAAGGGCTGAGGGAAAGAACAAGTTGGGGAAATGCTTCCTCAGAATGCGACCTAGACATTAGCCACAGTGTTTCTAACTCTTGTCAATGCACTGGAGTCTGGTGCGGATGTTAAAATCATCCGACAACTTGTAACCCAACTATAGGCAGTTAGATATAAGCTACAAGTGTCTATTTTTACACACCAGCAGCAATTCCCTTGGGAACCCTAGCCTTGCTTTCAGCCAACTCTTCTGTCATCCCTGAGAGCCATTCACTCCTATGAATGTTCCATTCTCTTGTTGGATGCCTTTAGAAAGTTGCCTTCCAGTTCCTAATTACCTCAAGCAGCTGCCTAATGCAGCTTCCAGGCTCAAAACACTGTGGAGTATCCATTTTAACACTATCACTGACTGGTGTTGAGAGAGGGATTGCTTCTGTGCCTGTCAGGAAAACAACAGTTGTCATATTTATTGCCGCCTAGGAAACTAGGATGCCCTGCCATTGTACACGGGATTTTTTCCTGGGGGGCTCTGGCTGATGGAACACCAGGCATACCAAAGAGGAATGGCTTTGCTCTGCCCTCTGCTCTCCTTGGCAAGGATACTCAAGTACTATCATCAACAAGTCTATATGTACACTGCCTACAGGAAACATTTTACAAGCCAAAAGCAGTTATGACAACACCATTAACACCAACATTGACAACACAATATTAACTCTAGGTAACATGGTGCCCACCTCTGGGCAATGGCTTACTTATTTCGGGAAATACCAAGTTACAAAAAGCATTCAATAAAGACTTGTGGATTAACTGACTCCTTGGTTCACCTGGAATTCATCTATTGAACACGTTGATATTCACATTTTGATACAAGAGGGTAGGGTATTCACGGCAATGGCATTTGCTGCCAGGGTTTTTAGCCTGCCCACATTTTACAGAAAGGAAGATACTGTCACTGAGGCTCCTTTGTTTCCCACAAAGAATAAAAAAGCTGCCAAAAAAGAAATTATTAAGAGAAAAAAGAGAAGAAGTTCTTAAAGGGTTTGGCTTTCATCATTAAAGAAAAATCAACATTTGCATGTATTGTTAGTGAAAGTGTATAGCTAAGTGCCATTTAATTTGAGACTGTTTTCAAAGAGTGACCAATGGTTAATTGCTAGTGTTTCAGACTCACTTTTCAATCATCTCTTCCTTTCTTTTCATCAATGGTTTCAGAAAATAATCTAGTTTCAGTAGAAAGTATCAAAAGTGCAGGGTTTTTAAATCAGAATAAACATGTAAAATTAGTTTTCCCAATTTGAGAAAATGAGTATTCTGGGTGCTACCATTTCTCCCTTAAAGTCCCTATTAGGACCTTCCAGCATTAAGCTCTCCCAACACCAAGTTCATTTTGCTTGGTAATTCGGAGGTAACTTCAACTTTGTGATTTTTTTCCAAATCAAGAGACCCAAAGTAGCGTGTTCTTCCTTGGAAACACCCACATCCACCTGATATCACAAAATAAGCCGATTTGCTTTGGGAAGATTGTCCACACCTTGATTTCTCAACAGTCACCTTTTGCTTAAATTTATTTGGATGACCTGAACACTAAGGTCCCTAGGCATCTACTATATCAGTGTGGTGGAAAAAGACAGCCAACTTGTTGCTGCAAGACTTGAGTTTGAGGCCTGGTTACTCTATGCAAAGTGGGCAAGACACATAATCTTCCTGAGATTCAGAGTCCTCATTCTTTAAACTAAAGATCAGAGCTAGTATCTCCCCTCTCCTTCATCCGTTTTCCTCTATGATTCTTTACCAAGGACACACAGATGGTGTAGCTAGGAAGACAAGAGGAAACAGAGAGGGAGGTGAGACTCCATGCAGTGCCATAGTTACTGAGAAACTTCCAGGATATCATGCTTTTCTTCATCAATCTTTTTTATAATTTGTACCAAGGGAGGAGAATGATTCCCAAGGAAATGGGATTCTAAACTCCTACTATATAGTAGGAGCTTAGTAACTTCAACTGAGGAGCCCAGTTATGTTTTCTAGAGATCCTCAATCAATAGAATTGGCTCTTATCAGGACTCGGAAAGCAATACCCCCAAATAATGGACTCAGAAGCAGTCAAAGAAGCAAGTTTTTCTTTGATCTTCTCCTGCCCTCCTGTCTCAGTCCCACTCTTCCTCAAGGCTAGCCATAGAAACTAGAATCTCTCTTCCCCAAGGTGGGTCAGTCTGGCTTCCCCAAAGCCAGACATAAAACCTAAATATATCACTCTAATTTTCCCTCTGCCTTTCTGTGTAAAAACTGGCCATAAAGAAATTATCTGACCTATCTTGTTTGACTGAAGGCCAAAAGACCCCCATTCCAGAAAGGGCCCAGAAGAAAGGAATATATGCTCAGAGAGGCCAAGAAGAATCTAGACAGACAAGCCTTGCTGGGTTTTCTACTCAGTCTATTAGCATTGGATCACACCGTTTTTGTCCAATCATATTTTTACACAACCCTGTCCATAGCTTGTTGAGCCTAAGCATTAAAATGGACAATTCCTCCTATACCTTTGGATCTTCAGTCTAAAGGCTCCAGGGTATACACATTAAATAAATTTGTATGCCTTTTCTCCAAACAATCTGCTCCTACACTCTCCTTTCTATGGAAAGATGGAATTACTTACAAATGCTTCTAAAATGCACATTTGGATGCTCTTCCCAAAGCGCTGATGGATTTGTGATATAATTTTTCTCCTGCCGTCTGTGTATCTGAGAATACCTGGACAGACTGCTAGAACCTGGACAAGACTAAATGCCTGAAGCTGCAACATCTTCAGCTGAAAATAATTAGCACTGAACCCTTCCCAAGGCAGAGGATCATGAAGATTCACAAGAGAAAAGAGAAACAGAGAGAAAGAGAGAACATTTGGTCCTTTTGCTGTTTACAGGAGAAAGATAAAGGAAGGGCTTTTTTTTTTTTTTGAGATGGAGTTTAGCTCTTGTCATTCAGCCTGGAGTGCAATGGCACGATCTTGGCTCAAGGCAACCTCCGCCTCCTAGGTTCAAGCGATTCTCCTGCCTCAGCCTCCTGAGTAACTGGGATTACAGGCACCCACCACCACACCCAGCTAATTTTTTATTTTTAGTAGAGACGAGGTTTCACCATGTTGGCCAGGCTGGTCACGAACTCCTGTTCCTGATCTGCCCGCCTCAAGTGATCCGCCTGCCTCGGCCTCCCAAAGTGTTGGGATTACAGGCGTGAGCCACTGCGCCCAGCCAGGAAGTGCTTTCTTATATGTCTATCCGTTACATTCTCTTTTTACTTTTAGACTTTTTCATTTTTCCATTCATATCCTCTGCTCTATATGCTCTGCTCTATATCCTTTCTCATTCCCCTAGTGAGAGAATAGTAAATGATGTTTTGACTTTTTTGTTATTGTTTTTTGAATATTCATATTGACTGTGTTCACCAATAGTCAAGATTTTCTATTAGGCCCAGAGTGAGACTGCATTTCCTTGCCCCTTGAAATTGGGCAGAGGCATGCGATTTTGTGTTACCAGTGGAGGGTGTCCAAGTTCTTGGTGTTTTAAACAAAGAACTGGACAAAATACGCAAACAAAGCAAGGAAAGAATGAAGCAACAAAAGCACAAATTTATTGAAAACGAAAAGTACACTCCTCACAGGGTGGGAGCCAGCTGAGCATAGGGGCTCAAGAGCCGGGTTACAGAATCTACTAGGGTCCAAATACCCCGTAGAGGTCTCCCACTGGCTGCTTGGTTTTCACCCCATGCAAATGAAGTGGTGGTCCACGATCAGTCTAATTGGTTGTGGAAAGCAACCAATCAGAGGCTGAAGTGAAGTTACAAAGGTTACACTTTTATGCAAACGTATGGTGGGGGGTGATTTGCAAAGGGAGTAGCCTCTGTTCCTCTTGTTACTTGGGTGTGGAAAGTTGGGGTTTTCCTTTCTATTTAGTTCTAGGAAGTCAGCATGAATCCACCTTAGGTTTTCTGCCTCCAGACCCTATTCTCCTGCCTTAAATGGAATGTGTCCAAAAATAATGTGTATTGCTTTGGAGGCTTTCTTCTCCCTACCATCGTGATCAGCAAATCTTCAGACAATGGAGAGTCCATCAGCTTGGCTCCAGATTAAGAAAACCCAGAGCAGAGCCCCCAGCTGATGATAGTGGACATGTGTTGTGAGCAAGAAATAAAACTTTGTTGTTTTGAGCCACTAAGACTTGGTGTGTGTGTGGGAGGGGGTTCTTCTTATTGCAGCATAACCTAGCCTATCCTGACTGTCACATTGTTGTTATTAATATTATCAATTATGGTTAGTTTAAGGCTGTCAGATACTGTTGCATATAGTGCAGTTTGGTAAAACACAAAATTTCTAACATTTAAATAAATAAGTTTTTCAAAGAGTGCTGTCCACAAAGAGTTTTTGTGATTGTCTGCTGGTTATGGAGTTCACCAGTGGCAGTTTCATCTAAACAGAATTTTCTGTATATTTATAGGATACTGGTTCTGAGAGAAAATGTTGATTGGAAAAAAATCAAGAACACTTTTGCCTTCATCACAGACATATTTCAGGGATTTCTATTAGTGAATAATTTGTATGAGTATAGAACAGCTGAAAACTTGCCAGAAATAGATACTAACAAACTAAAATTATTGTTTCCATGATTATTTTATCATCTCCAATACCCTGCAGCTAAACTCTCAATGATTTCTAACACCAGATAAAATTCAGCCAGTTCAAAGCAGGCTTATAAAGTAATAATCCCGTGAAGTTGAATCTATAGAAATAACAGACTGACCTGAAAGTATTTTTAGATGAGCATTTTTCGCTGGAGAAAATAATTACATATTGGAGAATGTAGATATAAATAAAAGTTATTTAATTTTTCCTGAACAAAGCCTCATCTAGCTGTTGGCATCTTTAATGCAATAAGAATCACTAATTCAACCTCCACCCAATCTCTATGTTCTGAAAACATTCTGGCAGAAGTTTAACAATTGTCATTCTTTAATCTGGCAAAAATCTTCTCCTAAATGTGAAGTTCTGGCCAATAGAAGAAAACCCAAGAAAAGAAATTCTGTCTTTCTTCAATCCAGATGAATAGACAACAGGGAACCTCAATTAGAAAGAGGCTGCTAGGTTATCTCCAAAACATTTCTGTGAAAATCAAAGGAACTTGACAAGGATAGATCTGAACAGAGAAGGGAGCACTGGGTTAATGTCTTCACTATTTATCCATGTCAAGTTACGTGAGTGAACATATGAACATCATACTTTGAACAGGCTTAGAAGCTAAGACAACTTCTTATTGTCACACATCAATTCCAGTATAAAATAAACATTAATTTCAGTATAAAATAGTGGCACATTAATTCTGGTATAAAATAAAACATATGTACACTGTTTTATAACACATCATTTTTCCTTTATTTGGAATAGTCAAGGGACTCTTTTTTAGTTTCTCTTTTTCTACTCTTGTTTTTATGTCTATAAATCATTTGTCATGAAAAGCAGCTGTCCCCATAAAATTCTTCTTTACTCCATCATAATCATGACTTGACCCAAAATATCTGTAGTGAACAGGCATATATAGTAATGTTAGTTATGAGGAACAAACATAAAATCAATATATAATAATCTCATTTAATTTAAAAATAAAAAATGCATAGGCCCATAAACCAGAGAAAAGAAATTGTCTAGCCTTGAACTACATCAAACATTGTTTACTATTTTTCAATTTTTTCCTATAGAGAAATGGTTTTTTAAATGTTTCTGAGTCCCACTTTTTATACATATATTAGGTTTTTTTGAAGTTATCAAAATGTGCACTAAACAGTGCCTTCATAGTCTTTCTGGTTGCAAAATTCTAAAACAAATGCACTGAATACGTAGCTTATAAACGAATAAGATAACTGGAAGTTAGTATATGTTTGCTTTTTTTCAACCTTAAATAATCAATTCTCAACTGATCAGAAGACCAAAATGTATTCTTATTTAAAGCTAGTTAATTCACTTTTTCTGATTAATTTAAATAGAATCAAATCTTGTTCTATGCTTTATTATGAAGCAATGCTCTCATATTTTGTTTTTATTTTTATAATAAATTTTGTAAGGCGAATATTTTTTCTCTTGTAGTCAGTACATGTTATTTACATAATTAGTTCTTCCTTTTAAAATACCAGGACTTTCAGGGATTCAAGATAGAACATTCCATAACAATGTAAGTGATAGAGATATAGCAAAAATTTAGGGTGGTGGATCTCAAACCATTTAGGGGTAAATGTATAAAAATCACTCAGAAGAGTTGTTGGTTTTGTTTTGCTGTTGGTGGTGGTGGTGTTTGTTTCAAACTACAATGTTCATCCCCACCTAAGATTCTGGAATATTTATGGTCTGGAAAAATTCCTCTGGTGATTCCCAGGTCCATTGCTTTAAGAATTCTTTTAATATAACATAGAAGTGTTTGTTTTTACTAACATTTGCATATTGAATTATCTTCTTTTTTCATCTAAAAATTATGGTGCAGCTAAAAAAACTCTAATTTAGAGAATTGATCCATCTAGTTCTTTGTAAGGACTTAACTGCATGGCTAGCTCTGCTTCTCTATCTATACAGACAAATATGCCTTCTTTGTCTTTCATCAAATTGCAAACATTTGCTTAGAGAACTGGGTCTGGTGAGTTGACACTACCAAACACGGTGCCTTGTAGCTAACTGGCTTTGCTATAGTCAGCCAGGATGAAACAGCAGCCAATGAACCAAGCCTAAAGCACAGAAAGGAAAACGGCGCTGTGAAAGAAAGAGAATAAAGCACTGGGCTTTGCAAACTAGGCTAAGGCCCCAAACCACAAGATTATCTTGATGCATGTGATTGGGAAGGAGGACTAATTAGAAGAGAGGATGTCATTTTATTTTCTAACCAGCCCTCTCTGATCTGAAGCCATGACACCCCCTCACTTGTTACCTAGCAACCCTTCTTTGTATATGTAAGGTTACTTCATTCCTGCATTGTTATTCAATTTATTTGCCATTTTAAGTGTCTTGATCCTCTCTAGGATCACCCTGGTGTGATTGGCTGGCATTAGTCTCTAAAATACCGGAGGGCAGTCTATTAAGTGGATCCAAATGTCATTGTACAGCTCACTGTAATCTACAGATCTGTGCTAAACAAACGCTGTGGATTTCACCTTGGTCTTGATGATTTTACCAGAGCCCTCCCCCTACGCAGCCCCAACCAACCAGCCTCCGCCCAACCCAGAAAATGCTGTCATTGCTTTTATCTTGATTGAAAGAATATATGCAGGACTGGTTCCTTTAACTTAGTGGAAAAATGACTATCAATTTAAACATTAACTGATGCCCAATCTAACCACGAAGCTAAAAACAGAATTCACTTCAGCACATAGCAGAGTTTCTCAGAAAATCACCACCCTACTAAACTTCACAATTTCACCTAAACCCTAGCAATATGTAAATAGGTAATCAGCCACATTTGGAAATGTATTTTTTAATCAGGTAGTTTAGATGCATAATCACCTCCAAATCAAACTGCCATTAGAGGCCATTAACTCTTAAAGGAAGGAAACTCAGTTGGCAGTCAGAATTCTATCAGAGATAAAGAGATGCTGGCTCTACCTTTAATTCTTGTAAAATCCTGGGCTTGCACTTTTCTTCCATCTGCCCCTGTTTTTTTTTTTCTCCTTAAAAGAGAATTGTGATTCTTTCCTAATGCTAGATAAGAATTAGGAGGATCAACAAAACAATGAACACATAGCACTTGAGTTCTTAGAAAAGGACTGTTGCCTCTTTATCGTTACTATTTTCCCCTCAGTCAGTCACTTCAGAATTTTGCCTAATGTGAAAACTCCAAACACCTTCAGAATACCAATCCTAGTACATTCTAATATACACTATCTATATACAAACTAATATACATACTGATGATACAATTTACTGAAAGCAATTATACAGTATTATTCATTCTAAAATGACCCCCATTGCAAAAACCCACATCCATATTCATTGCAGTACTCAAGTAATTCTAAAAGCTTCACTGCCATTCTTTTGGGGTTTTATACTGAAAAGGAATTTGCAAGCATGTGTTGTCTACCTCCCACTGTGTGAGTTGGGGGGATAATGGCAACAGGTGGACCTAAGTCCTGGGATATGAGACAGTGGGATGTATGGCCTGCCAAATTTAGATAGCTCAATTAAAACAGCCCCATTCATCCATACCAAGAACAGAATGCGGAGAAGCTGGGGGAGGGAAGGAGGGAAAGCAAGCGCAGGTGACAGCAACTGTGGATTTTCTTCTCTGGGGTCATTAGCTATGTTTATATTTCTATAGCATAACTGTGTTACAAGCTAGCATGGCTATTTTTGCCTCTGCCTCATCATTCAGTGCAAAAGGGCAGAGGTGAGTGCCTATAAATTCACACAGCTGCTGGCTAGGAGAAGGCATTTGGAAAATAATTCAGTAACATGGGCCTTTATTTCACTGAAGGAATTGTTCTTTGAGGAACATTCCCCCTAAACCATGAGAGCACTCAGGTTCCTGCAAAACCTTCCCAGGCTAAAGCAAAGCACAATTTCTAGTTCTTGTGCCAGCCGGAGATATGCAAAGATTTTTCTCAGCAGGAAGTCACTCACAGACATCACATGAATATTTAAACAATGGGAAGCCAGCAAAAAGATTCTTTCACGCTGCAGGATGATAGTGACTTCTGAAATTATCACAATTATCATTCCATTATTGCAAAACAAATGACCTGATTTATTATGCTCTGCCTCTGCTCATATCTGGATCTCTTCCTGATATATTACACAACCAGTTACTTAGGCATTCTACACAAACAGCATTTGTATCGACTACTTCATTAATATTTTGATTACTATAAATCTCAGGGACTCAATCCACATCCTAGGCTAGAGTCATCTCTCCCCAGCCTCTCCCTCTGAAGAAGACGATGAGAGAATTTGAGAGTGGGATATGATGATATAGTCTACGGAATTCTGGGAAACGAGTTAGCTCATCACCTAAGTCTCCCTTCAGGGCAATATGCTCCTTGCTTACATCCCACAGCAGAAAAAATCAACAGTTCTTCAATCAGTGTAAAAAGAAGTTTACATTCAAGAAATCTAGGCGGAAATGCTACTCTCAACAATTCCAGTGCTACATGTAACAGTCCATCTTTTAAAAAAAAAAGTTTTCTGGTTGTCTTTTCTGTGAGAAGTAAAGATGTGGAAAAAAAGTCACGGAGGAGTTATAACAGTTAAGTAATTAGTAAAGTAGCAAGACAATACTAAAAGCCCGTTGTTTTTGTTTTCAATTATGTCCTCTTCTAAATCCTTCAGCTACCTTAGGCTGCTTTGTGCACCCTGTGTACCAACCTGTGACCCATCTGTAGGGAGAGCAAGTTTGTTTACCCTCTTAGCAAAATTCAGCAGAGTTGTCATATCCCACTGGTGACATGGTGGGACATGAGAGGAATTCTGGGACAAAACGTCAAACAACACACTTGGCAAAAGCAGATTATGATAACATGCATGTTGTAATAAGACAACTAATGAGCCATGAGTCAAATTCCCACTTCAGCCACTGGAACATTATCACAGTTTAAAGTGCTTGAAAAAGAGTGTGTCAGTGATACACTAATGACTTTAAGTGGGCTCATGTGTCAGGCTGGAGGTTGAAAAGAAAACTGCAAACATTTTTCATGTGCTGTGAAATGACAGCAAGTGATTTGAAGCTTTACCTGTCCAGTAACAACTTTAATCAACTCTTTCCTCATCTGGGTCTAATTTTTGCTCAGAGGGCACAGATGGTGATCTGCTCTCAAGGTGAATCTAAACTACATTGGTCCAGGTAAACTGCCAGTTAAACCTTTAGAGGAAGGAAGGAAGGAAGGAAGGAAGGAAGGAAGGAAGGAAGGAAGGAAGGAAGGAAGGAAGGAAAGGCAGAATTAGCAGGATTCCAAAAGCAACTGACCTTGTGGAACCTTGTGAAACTTCCATTACAATAAATATTATTGAACATTATATAGAATATTATACAAAAATGAGCAAGACACATTCCCAGTTCTCAAGGAGATGATAATATTGGAGAAATATAAAGAGCAAGAAGAATGAGGGTAATTCATTTGAAGGAGGTCACTATATACACTATATTCTACTATAATCTTCTTTGTTGATTGTTTATTGGAGAACTTCATTAGAACTATGTTCCCCAGACAAGAAGAAAGCAACTAAGAAGTAATTTCATTTTGTGATTTAGGGAGAAAAATCAGGCTACCATTCAAGAGCCATTTAGATAAAGATAAGAAACATAACTCTTAGCCCTATTCCAACTTCAATCCCAGAAATGAACATAGGAGAAGAAGTAACCAGAGAATTGGGGAGATTTGACAACTTGGTATGTTCTTATCTTAGTAGGCCACAGGGATTAGTATAGGATCCTAAGAAAGGGGTATTCCTAGTATAGTCATGAAAGGAGACTATCATGGATACAGTAAGAGCCTGGCTGGCCTGATCTAGAGGGAAACACAGTCTGCCACTTCCTTTACATCCTCTACATGGGAGGGAACATCCTTGTATCACACAAATGATGCTGAGAAATATTATTCAGCCACAGTTGCCTCCTCCATTTAAACCAACATATTCTCCTTGGAGGAGTGATACTTAAGAGAAGTGTATTTATTTCCTTTTGCATTGGGAAAGGTGCACAAGAACTTGAGCAGACAAAAGACAAAACTGAATCTTCTGCAAAACAGCAATATTATTTGGTAAAATATCTTCTCCAGGGGTATTTTTCTAACCAGAATCAAAACCATTTTCAATGTTGTTTTTTACTATCAGTCCTTAATGATACATAGCTTAGAACTTTAAAGGAATTTAGCAACCAATCAGGGAACTAAAAAGAGAGAGAGACAGAGATAGAGAGGCAAGGAGAAAGACACAGAGAGAAAAGGAGAAGAAGAAAAGAAACAAAGACGGCATTGTATAAAGTGTACAAGTTTAAACCTTTGGAGAGAAGAATTCTGTTGCATTGCAAATACCTGGAAACATTGCTTTTTTTAATTGTGAAAATTCTCAGCATTCTACTATAATCTTCTATTGTTTAAATCAGACACATCCCTTACCACAAAACAAGTTGTAATTGGCCTTTGGCATTACAAGTGGGGTAACACAAGGAGAAATTTTGGCAGACATCATTTAACATTCTCCCATTATACTTTCCAGGATGTTAGTTTTATTTTCCTATTTCCTTGGATCCAAAAGGGCTTCTTTTTAATTAAGGGGTAAAGATGTTTTTCTGTGCATCTTTAATTCTTTCAGTCCACTTGCAAGTCAGTAATGATGCTAAAAAATATTTCTATCATTCTTAATCTAAGTCATAATGATTTAGCAACTGAAGAGATGACCCTCCGTTGGTCATCTCCAAGGTCTCCAGCCTCATAAACTCCAGCCTGAAAATGGCAATAACCCCAGATCTAAAGGCATGTTTTCAAAGAGCTTGCAAAATCTACAGCATGATAATCATGTAATCAGATATGTGCAAGATGCCAGTGTTTGTACTGATATGATATAATATAGATTAATTATTGCTCTTTACCTTACGTGTCTACTCCACTGATTTTGAACATCCAGATAAGTATTTGAAGAAAAATACATGAATAAGAAGCCCTAGACCAACCCCAGTCCTAATGCATCAGAATTTCAGGGACTAGTGAGCACTGTGAAATATTTGAAAGCCCCACTAAGTGATTCTGATGCCCTATACAGGCTAAGAATCACAGGTCTCCTCTGGCCTCAAGGAAGTAGATCTTCTACAATATGAGAAGCAAATGGACTTCCCATCTTTCCAAGGTTCCAAGTGGGGGCAGGGTTAAGTTCTCATGGCAAAATTATCATCCACACTTCCAAGGGAAGGCACAGCACAAGTGTTCTAAACAATTCTGAGATATCACTACAAAGAAGATCACCTAAACATTTTGTCCAGTTTTCTTTCATATTATCCTTTTAAATAGGTACACCCAATGCCCTCTCCAACCTTGACCATTCATATGACTCAATAGTTCACATCCACTTCAGGTACATCATCTATTTTACAGAGCAGTGCTTTGGGTAGACAATTTGTTCAAGAATTTCACCTTGCAGATAGGTTAACTGGTAGAGAGTAGAAGAATAGAAGAATATAAAACTGTCAAAAAGAATCACATTAAATTGATAAGTTCCCAGAACAGAAAGCCTATTGCACCCCTCACTATTTCCCAATCATATTAAAGAAAATTCAAGAAGAGAAATCTAGAAACAAAAGAATCAGATTCCCCAAATGTATGACCACAAGGTGATAAAGAGGTATACCGAGATGTACTGTAAACAGATGAGAGAAGGGAAGTGATCCTACAAAAAACAAACAAACAAAACAAAACAAAAAACAAACACTTTCTAACATCACCAATCCAGGGATATATCAATTCTCTAGTTACAAGTGACAACAGAATACAAAATATTTAAGACAAAGTAATCCACTTGCTTATTTAACAAGCATAGAAGACAGTCTTCTGTGTGCTGGGCACTGGGCTAAGCACTTGGCCAGTATTTCGTTTGACTAATGCTCAGAGAAAATCTATGAGATACTTACTCTTATTATCCCCACTTTACAAATGATGAAAATGAGGCATATAAAAAAAATAAGAAACTTACCAAAGAGTATATAATTAGTAAGCAGCAGAGCAAAGATGCGAATCAAGGCAGTCTGGCCCCAGAGTCCACGAAGTTAACCACTAAGGTCTGTGGTCTTTCAACTGTACCAAAAAGCTAGATGGTAGAGAAAGTGTATCAGTGGCTCTCCCAGAAGCTCATTTAATTTTTCCCTCCACCAAGTTAGGACATTTTCTTACCTCCCTTTTATTCTGTCAAACTTATACATGTGACATTCCATTTCCTCAGGGTCTTGATGTTTACTGGTTTATAGAATAAGCAGGTTCACACCAAGAAGTCAACAAATTAAAAACGGTTTAGCATGTTAGTTCCTAAATATCATTGGTTTCCACTTAACCACCTGCTGTTAATGTTTAACTCAAAGCAGTAGTTACTATGGGCATTCTGGCCACTGATTTCCATGTGAGCACCTTTGGAGTAAAATCTGTATCTTGATCATATATGTATTTCCAGCACCCAGCAGAGTGCTTGGAATAGAACTCAATGATAATGTAAGTTTATTGGATTATAAAAATAGGTCAGGATGCTCTACACAAGGCTAGCTGGCCCACCTAATATAAGCCCTCATAGCTCCTTTGGATAGGTAGCCACATTTCGGCCATTTATAAGGAAGAGAGAGTGGATCTTGGGCCCTGAATGCCAAGAAAAGGCAAGTTTTGGTGAGGCAATACCCAGAGGAAAGGTCTTGATCACAGATCATTGCTTAAGTGTACCAAGTTGCAGGCCCAGGGCAAGATGAAATCTTGGCTCCCTAGGGAAACCTACAAGTTAAGAGGAAAAGCTTGCTAAAAGCAAAGAGGCATCTAAAATGGAAAAGTGGCTTTGCAGCTTCACAGACTCCCCTAGGGATATGTCTATAGAAAAATCTCCAGTAAGGCAGATTGTATTTTCCAAGATGGTACAACATGATCTCCCATTCCACATGTTCTTCTCATAATATGACACTGATGCTCTTCCCATCAAAAAGTGAGCCTGTGTTTCCTCCCCTTAAATCTAGGCAGGCCTGAGACTACAATAAAAGTGAAACTGTGTAACTCCCAAGGCTAGGTCATAAGGGTGATACTACTTCTGTCTGGTGTATCTAGGACATTTACACTTGAAACCAGGCTGAGGAAGCCAAGCAGGGAAACAGAGATGCCACATATAGGTGTTCTGGCCCATATCCTTAGCCAAGGTCTCAGCTGACAGCTAGCTTCAACTACCAGCCATACAAACAAGGAAGCCTTCAGGATAACTCCAGTTCCAGCCACATTCTGACTCCAATTATATGAGACACTGTAAGAGAGAACCATCTAAATGGATCCAATCAACCCTCAGAACAATGACAGACAATAAAATGCTTGTTATTGTCTTAGGTCATTAAATTTTGGGATGATTTGTTATGCAGCACTAGTAACTGAAACAGCCAGGAAACGGGCTCAGGAGCCACTGCCTGCAAACATGAGAATTAAAACCCAAAGAAAAGTTGGGCTTTGCCCATAAAGAGAGATAGCTACAGCACTCCAGAAACTGGGTAGGATGGGCTGAGTCACAGCAGTCAGAAGTTCAGAAGCTGTAAAATCTCCCCTGAGAGCATGCTGAGCCTGCCCAGAGAGAAGCCACCTCACAGATGATTAGAATGTAAGTGGATAACGAGCCATTTGAATTATCTGCTCTAGTTCAAACACATGCTGTTGCCAATATGCTGTGGCAGCCAGCTAACATCTGAGCATCTTTAATTTAAATTGCATATACTTAACTTGAAATGGCATCTATACTCTGAAACTAAGAATTTACTGTACCATCATCAGATCACAGAAGAAATCATCTTTTTAGGAATTTCCTAAATTTGCCTTTTTACTGTTCTCTAATATGGTAACAGCTTAATGCCTGATAACTCCCAAGTAAAATGTTTCAGAGTATGAGATATAACTCCTATTCCAATCAGTTTGTTAATATACATGCTGTTTCCTGTCTACATATGTGAATGGAATGATTCTCAGCAGCTTGGGTCTCATTCCCTTATAAACACCAAAACCAAAATATGTAACCTTAAACAATAGACACATTCACAAAGCCAACATGTAACTTATCAAGCTCAATCAAAGACAACCCTTTCAAGGCAAAAATGCCAAAGGAGGCTGAAAGAAAACAAGGTTGTGATCGAAATTCAAGACTATATCCAAAATAAAAATAATAAAATTTTAATTAGCATCTGTGGAGTTCAAATTCTAGGCTCAGGATAAAAACAAAAAGCAAATCTACACAAAAAGTATATTAGACCTATTCACCCTGCATCCTCTGTTTAAAAACAGATGGGGAGATTGTCATATGCGACTTATTTTCAGCCCTCATCCCACTTGGCCCTTACCATATTTAACATTCCTGACCATCGAACATCCACCTCCCCAAAACTTCCTTTTCCCTTGGGTTTTACAGTATTCCATTCCACTTCTTTTCCTGCCTTCTAGGAGGCAATTGTCCTGTTTTACTAATGGAACCAAGCCACACTTACTTTATGTGTCCAATTCTTGAGTATGCTCATAGATATCAGAGGTCCCAGAACTGGTCCACAAATGGCTCTGTCTATGGGATACCAGTCCAGAGATTCTAGCCCAGAAGGCTCTTATGGTCACCTGTTTGAGGGGAATGGGGTCAGCAAATGAATTTTGAGGCCAGCCCTATGACCAGTTAGCAGGCTAGTAGGACAAGCCATTCTCCTGTGCGTCCTACTATTCTAGATAGCTTCACTTTACTTGTCCTAAAACAGACTCCATCTTTCTCCACCCAGCTCTCTGTCCTGGGAGACCTGCATGGACAGCATCATGACCACCCTCTAGCTGACTGGGTTTCGCTAATGAGACACCTGGTAGGACAACAGAGAGACAGAAGACAAAGAGGTTGGAATATTTATCCCCTTGGCTCCTCCTTGTGGTGTCACCTCTCTCTGCCACCTTCATTCCTTAACCAAGTATCATAATTTCTCTCATGACAGCATTCTCCAGGGGCTGTCCTGTAGAGTTCCAGACCCCCATGTTTCCAGCCCCAGCTCACATCACTAACTTGCTTCTACCCTGAACATAGTTTCTTCATTAAACCCTCCTCAAATGATCTCAGTTTTAGTATGCCATCTGTTTTCTGCTGGAACCCTGAATGAAACACCTGCTGTTTAGTAGCATTGTCTTTTCTTTTTAAAAAAATCTGTAAAATTAACTAAAAACCATTTATGATAAATGTAATAAAACTATGCTGTGAAAAAGGAAACCAAAAGTATCCATAATACAATCACACTATTAGAATGTTGATATATTGCTTTGCAGTATTTCTGATGCATACTTAACATAGTTGTGATTAAAGCATTTATAAAATTTCACATCTTACTTTTTTCATTTAACATTACAAAATAAGCATTTTCCATTTTGCTAAATAATCTTTATAAATATCACGTTTAAAAGTTGCATAATATTCTATTAAGTGGATGTGGTACAATTTGCTTGATTTCTCTCATATTATTGAACACTTGGCATGCCCTTTTCCAATGGCCTTTCCAATGCATACATTCACACATACCATCACACATACGCTTATTTCCTTTCCAGCTCTCTGCTAGCTTTGCTAGGGGGCAATTTTTAAAATTTACATATGTTTTATTTAAAAAAATTATCTTTGCTAGGATATTACTCCTTCACCTGCAAGATCATACTCTTTGACATCTTATAATTATTTAAACTTCCTGACCATGCTTTCCCATAAGATAATATCAATGATTCTTTCTCATGGCTGTAGATGAAACTGCTAATAGATGCCAACAAAAAGTGTCCTTTTGAAAAGAATCAGAAATGAATCTAGATTGTCCAAATTTTTTCCAGTGCCCATAAAACCTGGAGGCAGAGGGAAACATTTGAGGCCAAAATGGAAAAAAGAAATGAAAGCTAAGAGTAAACAAAACAGAGGTGAGCATTTAAATTATGCTAGTAGACAGTGGCACCTCAGACCCATCGCTGTCCAGTTCTGTGGACTCTGAGTCAGCAGCAGCGAGATGATAATTATGCCATCCACATCCATACAGCTTCTCAAAGGAACCGTCTCATACATTATCTCATTTTCTTCTCACAACAACCTTTTGAAGTAATTACAGCAAGATTTCCCACTGAATACATAAAGAAACAAACAGAGAAGATGACCTGCCCTTGACCTACATTTCTTTGCATGAGATTTGGTTGTTGTAAATAGAAATTAGGCAGAATGGATGGGCACCCCGAAGTCGGACTGTCTCCCTACCACAGGGGAAGGTCTTCAGGGCATAGCTGCTGGCTGGAACTTAGACTCCCTGACCCAGTGAAACCTGAAGCCCCATGTTTTACTATAGACAGCCTGAAACTATACTTTCTAGCTTTCATGACTGCCAAGATATCAATAAAATACGAGGAATATGTTCTTCTCAGGATATACCCTCACGGCTCCTGGAAACAGGGGCCCAAAATGAGCTGTCAAGAAGGAACCTCTACCAATTATTCCTAAATAACTGTAGAGATCACAGATTAATATCCACAACAAGGCACTGACTAAATGAGAAAGTAGAAAATAAATATTTGGTGCCTCTCCACTTTTTCAAACCACAGTGTGAGAACAAGAAGGGACCTTTAAAAACACTGAATTCAACCTCTTCAATCTCAGTTCCTGCTTCTCTCTCTTCCCCGTCCAAATGTCCTCTCATTCCTGTAGCATGATGTCCCAGGTCCTTCAGAAACATCGGCAGAATTTCATAATTCTCACCTATCCATTTCCTAATTCTGCCCATGAATGACAGAGGAGAACACATCCTTCTCATAGAGATGTATCCAACAGCCATTCTCCCTTCTTCCTGATGACAGGATTCCAGTTTGGGGAATGAATTGTTATTGTACTGGGTCATTTTCTTTTTTCATATACTCAACTTCCCAGTCTCCCTTGTGTGTGACTAATTCCACCCCCAAGAGGAAATCCCTTTGGCTCTCACTGCTTGATTTCCTGGCTTTGACATGATATGAAGACATAAGGCTTGAAGCCATGACCACTATTTTGCAATCATGAGATGACTGTTATAAAGATAAAAGCCAATATCATGAGGATGATAATTCAGAAACACCAGGAAAGCCCTTATAGATACTCGGAACAGGTGAACCATGAATCAAGTCACCTAACTTCCAAGTCTTTATAAACAATAAATATTGTTTGCTTGAAGCCATAGTTAGATAGGTTTTAATTCTTATAGCTGGATACATCCTAACTAATGTAGTCTTTCAGGTAACACATGTAATTTGACATAGGTTTCAAGGCCTCAATCCAAAAGACTGACTAAGGCATTAATGGTGGGTCCCAGGTGCACTATGGCAGAGGAAGGATTTTTTGAGTAAAGACGTCACCTAAATGGCCACCACAGGTGGCCCTGTACATCTTTCTGTCAGCACAGCTGAGGGCTTTTTAAAAGGTGGAAAAGGAGACACACCCCCGCTACAGAGAATTATCATCAAAATAATTAATATCACAGCAGCCAAAAAAAAAAGCCTTCTTCTTTAACCTTCACAGGATATACATATGCTATTTTCCCCAAAATAAATATCTAAATCCTTATTCCCCCAAACAAGTCCTACGTAAAAGCTGGATGGAATACACCTCACTGCCCACACCACCACCATCAAAAGACAAATAACTCATTCCTCAAAAACTCACAGTTCCAAAGAACCCAAAATGCCTCATTATTTCTTATTAATATGCCTCACTCTTTGTTGAGTTTTTAAGTGGCCCAAACTGGAAATCTCCCTTTCCATAATAGATGTCTCCCTTCATGAGAGGCTCATATAAAACCCATCTTCTTACCAAGTGGTTGATCTTGTAAGAATAGAGAGTTTCAGAATATTGTGAAGTGCCCATTCCAAATTTCTCCCAGTGGTCTCCCAAAACAGTAATTTTCAACTATCCGAGTGGGGACTTGAACCTTGGTTTTAGAAATACATTTTTCAGGTCCATTTTCTTACAAGGTATTTGCCCGACTTCAGGATTCCCTCACTACTTTTCATGGAACGTGGATCACTTTCTACCACTAATTATAGTGATGCCTGTGTATTTCTCAGGACAAGATTTTTGTAGTAAAGACTGTGTGTTTTCAATCTGCTTAGACCCATCAATACTCAGAAAAAAAGCCTTTTACTTTTTATTTAACGTCACAAGGCATCATTTTCTCCCCTACATCCTCATGTATATCTACCACGGAGGGGAATGTGGCAAGACCCCTGAGTGCAGCCTGCCCAGCAGAAAATGGAGAGACAAAGTTTTAAATATTCATCATTCCTAGGACTGATATTGAGGTCAAATTTCTCTCTTACTTAAAAAATTTAAAACACAGATACAACTGTTCAAGGGCTCAAGTTTTACAATCCCATTCCAAAAACAAAAGGAGTTGCGAGGTGGTTTCGGATTTAGATTCCTTTGCTAATCTGCAATTTTGGAGTTATGATAAAGCCATCTGACCTTTGCACATTAAACCAGCTGTCTCATCGCCCCATCTCCTCATTAAACTTATCCCCTGACTCCATACACTTTTCTTCCTCATTTCTGCTCCTGCAGACTCAAACTTCTTATCCTCTGTCACATATCTCCCCTACTTTCTTGTCACCTTTACTATATGCCTTTCCTCCCACCTGGAATATCATGAAATCACATCCCTACCTCTTGACAGAGATCGAGAGCATTCTCACTGCTCTCATTTGGCTCCAGCAGCACTAGCACTCAGACCCCTGTGAGGCAGTCATTCCTTTTGAACCCCTGGCTTGAGCTCTTATCATTCCCCAATTCCTCAGGACACGTGTGTTTCTCCTCAGTTGCTGATGGAAAATTGCATGTGCCTCTGTATTAATCTGAAACACACAGCGGTCTGTTGTGTTTTCCTTCTGTAAAAGGTGGTGCCCATATCTTCTGATCTCTTCGTCACTCCCTACATGGTTCCTAAGGGCTATCCACATACCAGGTACCCATTGTTTAATCTCCTAAATGTGAAGAAGAAATAGTTCAACGTGCACTGAAGGCTATTTTTCCAGTTGCAAGATACATTTGCTATAAGCTAGTCATACTCCCTCTTTCACATCCATATAATCAGCAATAGCCGTGGACAAGATACAGAGAGAAGACTGGATATGCCTCGGCCCCACTGTTTGCTAATCAACTACCCAATGAATAACTTCTTCCAGACATTCTACAATGAAATTTTTAGGAAAAAGCTAATTTAAATTGCCACTTTAAAAAACAGAACTGGCTAATATTGATGGAGAATTTATTATATATCCAACCAAACCTACAGAGAATAAAGAGAAATATGAGAAGGCCTCTGACTTTAATAATGATAAATTATTTGAAGAGATACTGAAAGTTTAAGGGGATTCAAATGAGAATATACGATGCTTCAACCTTTTGTACCTTCAGACTCTAGTACCAACCTGTACCAGTCCATGTGTGCCAGCAGGTTCCCACTCTCTCAGGCACATTCCCTCTTGCACTGAAAATCAGAGGGATATCCTGCAGTAAACAGCTTGCTCTCTAAGCAGATGCTCTGAGCCTCAATCCAAAAGTCAGTTTGAACCTGATGGTGGGCAGCCCTAACAGTAGTCTAATTTCGTGGATTTAACGTTGGACACAGGAATACTTTTTACTTCCATGATTCTCAGAATTTCCAGTTCCCACAGTGCACCCCATGCAACAGCCCTGGGTCTCCTCTAAGGGAAGAAAATAACAACTCCCAGATGGGATGAATGGAAAAATGAAAGAAGACAGACTTTGCATCCCTTGGAACATCAATGGACCACAACAGGACTTGCACGGTGTGATACTGCTCTTTAGAGCTTTATGACTTTATGCTTTCTCCAGGATGCATGGATAGCACTTGACTTTTATATGGAAACTGCTAATTCCTTATCTGTGAGTTATCTGTGGGTTAAAAAATCCCTTGCTTATCTGCCCTAATTCTTCTTTCATTTTGAACACTGTAAACAAAATTAAATGAAGTTACATATAAACAACAACAAAAAACTTTCCAGCTATGACAGATGGACCCAATCCATCTCAGTAGATAATATCTCATAAATGATTCATCACCATTGCTTTAACCTGAGCCTTTTGTATTTTGCACATCTAAGTAAATAACCATTAGTAAGCTTTATGCATTGCACTGTGTAAATTATCTTGTGTCTGTCATAATCGAGAAAGTAGTACTGATATTTTGGGGGAAAGGTCTCTTCTAATTATTTCTTTGCTGAATCTTTTCTCCAGATAAGAGCTGTAGGTTATCACATAGAACTAGATTCAACTCCAAACCTGATCTGGGGTTTTTCTTTAATATTTACAAATGGAGCATCTGTCTTACTTTAACACTTTAACAAATTATAGGAATTTTATGTTTTCCATAGGCAATATGAGTATTTGATATGTTTGACAGAAGAGTTAATTGTAATGAATGCTTACAGCACAGTCCTAAGGAGATACCTGAGTTTTCGAATACAGTCCTCTGTACCTTTAGAAATATAGTTCAAACCAACGATCCTGTTTACCTGGTGCAGGTACAAAACAACACAAGACTTCTAGGGCGGGCTTGCCTTTACTCTGCAGTTGAATAAGGAACTGATTGGCTCTGAATAATTCCAGGCCCAGTCTCAGCTATCCAAGCAGTGGATACGCCTTTGTTAACACAGATTTTTTTTTCCCATAGATGCGTTGTGAAGCAAGGTGTCAAATTCCAAGAATATTATAGTAATGGAGTCACTTAGGATGAAAAAATTAAGCTGAGAGGTAGCTGAGATGTTCACGTTGGGCTGTTGGGACTAGCACCCACTCTTGGCAGGATGGACAGGTGAGATGGGAGGCCTTTGACTCCCTTTCTCTCTGTTTCTCCAAGCCGTACCTCCCCTGTGTCTCACTTCCTCCAAGGCAGCTAGGCCATGCTAGTTAATCATTAATCAGTTTATACTGCAGAGTTAGTGGCTGCTGATTCTTCATGCATAGACGTCAGAGATAACCTTCTTCCATCTTGGGGTTCCTTTCATCCATGGAAATGAGGAACACTGGAAAAGACATGGTAGAGATCTCCCCAAAGAGTCCACAGAGGGTACTGGTAATGCTACGTTGACCCAGATGACACATTCTGACATCTCATCATTTGTGTTTTAAATTAAAGCTATGTTGGACATGGACTGTGGAACAGAACCTGGTCATTATAGTTTCTTTTAGAGCCATGAGGATAAGATACACAGAAATGTTACGTATCTAATGTATATAAATATCACCGGGCTAAATAATAAGAAATTATTACAAAAGACCAAATAAAAGTTATCAAGAAGGTCAAAGAAGAGGGACAGGTCTGTGAATTACCCTGGAGCAAATGAATAAAGGTTTAAAAATGTAAATGTCAAGAGGAAAAAAAACACAACCATTTTAAAGTGGGTTGACTTTTGCCCCAGTTCTGAACTATGCTGATAAATAAAATAAAAGTAACTAATTAGCATAAGTCGAGCCTTAACAGCTCACCACCCTATGAGTCATTTTATGGTGTTTTCAACAAGCAAGGTCATTAACACTAGATAGCACAAACCAAATAAATAATTTAGACACAAGCCTACTGCACACGTTTTGGGGTTCCTTTGTATGACCTCTGAAGGAAACGGCCCCTTGCTTGGCATGATAGAATACCAGTGAGGGTGAAGTCAGATGGAAACTTTCTTCCCATTCTGAAAATGGAAGTAACACTGTGGATCAGATCCAAGTTCAAGGTGAAGAGAGGAAGGAGGTTGCCAATACTATTTACTCACCCCTTCCCTTCTCCCCTTCCCTCACCACCAGGATTAACTGCAGAGTTCAAAGTCTTGTATCTAACCAGGAGGGGCTTTTGTCTGCTCCTCACTGAGGACATTGGCAGGAAAGAAGTACCACTGTGCCTGTGCAATCACAATGCAAAAGTTGTCTATAAAGGGCAGAACTTAATGAAATGTCTTGGACTCAGCTTGAAAACTTAATTAAATGATAATGATTGTGAATGAGTTAGCTTTTACCCATTGTCACTGTGGCATGGCAGTTTAAGTCACATTCTGGAGTCAGATAGATCCATGTTCTAATCCAAGTTATAGTCATTCATTAGAACCCTGGGCTTCAGTTTTCACATCTGTAAAATTGATATAATAATAGTATTTCCCTTATAAGACTGATTTTTTTTTTTTTTTTTTGAGACATGGTCTCACTGTGTCACCCAGGTTGGAGTGTAGTGGTGTGAACATGCCTCACTGCGCAGCCTCAGGCCTCTGGGCTCAAGCAATCCTCCTGCCTCCACCTCCCAAAGTTCTGGGACTATAGGCATGAGCCATGTGTCCAGCTTAAGGATTAATAGGATAATGATTCTCAAGCACTTAGCCCAAAGCTAGCCTGACATATACTATGAATTCAAAAAAATCCTAAATTTTTTTCTGTTAATATTATCATTATGTTATTATTATAAAGGCAGCAGACCATCATGAGAATACGTACCTTGGTTGTCAGGCACATTTTTCTAGAAAGTGGCAAAAAAGTGACAAATACCTTCCTTCTTAAAGTCACCCTGATCTAAGCAAAATTAAGTGGAACAAAGGCCAGTGGGTGAAATGGTCAATAAAAAGCAAACAGGCCAAGGATTTTATCATAGAGATGATCAGAGGCCAGATTTGAATATCTTGTTTAAGCCTCATAGGTAAACATAACTGCCTATCAAAAATGTCTTCAGCATTTCATTCCAAGAAGTACAGCTTATATTAAAAACTGCACAATTACTACAACTCTGAAAGATGTTATTATTTACAGAAACTGGGTAAAGGGATCACAGGATCTCTGTGTATCATTTCTTACAACTGCATGTGAATATAGAATTACTTCAACATAAAATGTTAAAAAGAAAACTACACTACTTCAAAATGCTTGACCCAGAACATGGGATCATAGAATGTTTTATTCAAAAGGGATCTGGAAGAAACCATATGGCCCAGCCATTTTTTTTGACGGATTAAAAACTGGGAACTAGAAATACTCAGCTTTTTAGCTACTAGTAGCTTCTAATCAGAGCTTGTTTCACAGCCCAATGTTGCTTCTCCATACATTAGCATGTGCTGTGTGCCCAATATATGCACCAGCCCCTTGACAGAAGCAAAGAAGTTGTATGCCATCATCCCTAATTCACACATAAGAGAAGAGAGGTATTGGGTTGGTGCAAAAGTCATTGCGCTTTTTCCCATTAAAAGTAATAGCAAAAACTGCAATTACTTTTGCACCAACCTAATACAAATCTAGAGGATAATTTTAAGCATATGGTTCTGCATTTTTACCCGGTTCTAGTATATGGCATATAATAGTTTCCTAGGGCTTCCATAACAAAGTATGACAAACTGAGTTGCTTAAAACAACAGAAATTGGCCGGGCATGGTGGCTCATGTCTGTAATCCCCGTAGTTTGGAGGCCAAAGGGAGGTGGATCACTTGAGCTCAGGAGTTCAAGACCAGCCTGGGCAACATAGCAAAACCCTGTCTCTACAAAAAAAATACAAAAATCAGCTGGGTGTGCTGGCAAGCACCTATAGTCTCAGCTAGTCAGGAGACTGAGGTGAGAGGATCACTTGAGCCCAGGGGGCAGAGGTTGCAGTGAGCTGAGATCATGCCACTGTACTCCAGCCTGGGCAAAAGAGTGAGACCATGTGTTAAAAAAAGAAATAAAAAAAGAAAGAAAAAAAAGAAATAAAAAAAGAAAGAAAAGGAAAGAAAAAGAAAGAAAGAAAGCGGAAGAAAGAGAGAGAGAAAAAAAGAAAGAAATTGATTGTCTCACAGTTCTAGGGGCTAGAAGCTCAAAATCAAGGTGCTGACAGGGTCATGCTGACTCCAGCCTATTGGAGAATCATTCCTTGTATTGTCCCAGCTGCTGGGTGCCTCAGGTTTTCCTCAGCTGGTAGAAGCATCACTCCAAACCTTCATCTTCACTGGCATTCTCCCTGAATCTTTACATCATCTTCTCTCTCTGCCTTCCTGTCTCTGTGTCCAAATTTCCCCTTTCATAAAGACATCAGTCATGGTGGATTAGACGTCACTCTAATGACCTCATTTTAAGTTGATTACCTCTGTCAAGACCCTATTTTCAAATGAGGTTACATTCTTAGGTGCCAGAAGTTAGCCCTTCAACATATCTTTCTGGTGGACATAATTCAACCCATAACACACAGTAGTTGCACAATAAATATCAGACCACTCAACCACTCACTGACTAATAAAGGGAGAAAAGTTATTGACATTACAAACCAAGGAAACCACAGGAACCAAGTCATGGAGATATGGAACAGATTATTGGATTCAGGAGTCTATAACTGAGTAGTTTGGAGGGAGCTTAATATACAAAGGAGAACAGAGATGGCAGAGAGATAGGCAGAGACCACTCATGAAGGGCTGGGTGGAAGCTTGGACATTACTCTGTAGGCAGCTTAACAGTGACTGGCAAGAGCAGCCCTTTGTTTCAGAGTTGCTCATTAAACTAAAAGTGAAAACTAAATAAGACACAGTGCCTGCCCTCAAGGGCCTCATTGTCATGCAGAGGAGATCATATACAAGCAAATCATTTCAGTTCAGTATGTGTCCTTAAGGGCAGAAATAGTGTAATATCTACAGTGTCTTTGGAGCATAACCTGTAGCAGGTAGTGAGTAATTGTTTGCTGAATAATTTTGATGTGTCAATGTGTTTTTTTTATTATTGCAGATATAATAATAAAAATAATAAAGGTAACAGTAACTAGCATTTGACAAGCACTATGATAAGCCCTTTGATGCATTATCTCATTTAATCCTCACCACAATGCTCTGAGTTGTACACTGTTGTTATCTCACTCTACAGATGAAGAAAGCAGGCTTAGAGAGTTACCCAAGGTCACAGATCTGGAAAGAGGCAGAGCTGAGACTTGAACTCAAATCCACATGACTCCTAACCCCTGGATCTTATTTCTTATACTAAGAGTTAAATTGGCAAGATTTCCAATTATCTTTTGTTTGTGTTCCAATTCTAGGGTTAATGGTTAGTTTTTTACGTAAATCATCATCCTTTCACCACAGGGGGTAAAGCCTATGAAAATGCTGATTGAGTGAAATTCAAGAGCAATGTGTTTGTCAATGGCCATTAATCAATCTATAATCAATGTGTAAACACTTTGCTAAACAATTAACTTGTTGGAAAATGTGTAAACAAGACAATTCCAGCTAAGGCAGATATTAGCCAATAGTTAGGTCGAAGAGAGCACAACACTGTAGCTCAAAAGACCAGCATGCCGCCCTTCATTTAATTATTTTTGTAACATACCTATTGTATATGTAATGAACTTCCATAGAAATCAGCCCCCTGGGACCCTCAGGTAATTGAGAATCGTTCCTTTCTGCCTGATTCACCAAATAATCAGTTTCACTAATAATAAAAAGAAGATCTAGTAGGGAGTGCAATTGTAAGACAGCAGGTTACAAATAAACAATTAATAAAACTGTTTTGGGTTCAACTATGTCATTTGTTTTTGATGCCACAGTAATTTTGGAAGGGAGCAGAGTGATCCTCAGGGTCTTACTAGGCTTTAGGGACCTGTGAACCACCTTTCACCTGTCTGCCTATGCTCGTATGAACATACACATTAGGAAGAGGAATCCACAATTTATCACATTCTTATTAGGATCCAACACTCAAAAAAGGTTGAAAATCTCCCCTCCCCGCCAGCGCCGGCTTAATGCAAATGGGCAAACTACGGCTCAGAGATGTCAAGACAGCTACACAATGCCATGCAGTTGTTTATGGAAATTCTGGAACAAGAACCCATGGCCTCCCAGCCTGAAGCTCCATCTCCTATAACAAAATTTTAATAAACTCTGGACCTGACAACATGAATGTGGCCCATAAACAACTGCAGAATAAAATCAATGTCTAGAAGAAGCAAACATCTCCCTACCACTCCACATTGAAGTCTGATACCTCCAATAGTGCCACTTTAGGGTCATATATTTAAAGGTAAATGCTTACAGCCTAACAAGCATTTGTTTATACTTCAAAAGAAATTCATCTTTCAAATACTCCCATGGCATTATATTTCGATGGGATGTAAAAGTGACTTCTCTTTCCTCCCTCCATCTCTCCCCCACTGCCTCCTCCCCTGCTGCCATGATTGGCCACATCCTCCAGCAGCAATAATAGGATCGCCTTCCCTACTAAGAACCCTGCTGTTATTTGGAATGTAATTGCCCAGCACCCCACAGAGAATGCATTCTCTCAAGCTCCAGCAAAGCTTTTCCATTGAGACCAGGCAGAGTACATTGAAGGCTAATTTGGAAGATGTTAAGAATATGTTAAAATAATGAACTTCAGTTTTTCAAATGAAAATAGAAACCCTCCAAATTAAGGACTTGACTCTCAGCTCTATTTTCATATTACCCCTGGACTAGAGTTACATTTTTTCAGCCCAGTTTATGCATCTGTGGGATTCTGAACAGGATCTAAACAGGCAATCCATCTGATTCATTGAGAATCTTCCTGACACATGACTAGGGTTTCTAATTCCCACCAAACTCCAAACACATAACTCTTCCATGCCACCTCAGCCCTCACTTCCAATTTTCCTAAATGGAGTGTTTGGCAGCTTCAAGATAGTGAAGGAAACACAGAAGCCACGTCTCTGGTTCCACCAGGCCCAACATTGGCCTGAGGGATTAAAACAACTTGCAGTGACTGGAGACCATCTTGTTCACCCTGAGGGGCTTTGCTCTAACTTGTCTTTCCCAACACAATTTCATGAGTTTTACCCATTGCCAGGTTGTTTTTACTTGATTATGTTGGACTAACATAGCAAGAGATCCACTCTTACTTCTTGGGATGCCAAGTACCTATGACTGTTACTTAAATGCTGCAAATTGACAGGAGGATGTTCTATATGTTTGTATTTTAAGTGATAAGGAAATATATGTGCTGTTTGCTGCCATGACAGTGAGGGAGTTTTGATGACATAAATGTCTCCAGAAAGATGAGTGAATTGGCCTTTTCAGAGAACAAGGCTGCCAAGAAACTGAAGGGGTGGAGGTGGTGTCAGCATGGGGGAACACAGTCTGGCCTGTAATTTAGGCAAATCACATTCTTTATAACTATACTTTAGACATTGGTTTTTCTATTAAAATGGACAGATATGACATTCAATTAACATGCCTCACCTTTATCTCCTTTGGTTCAAATTAACCCTCTGTTTAAAAGCTCTGAGCACCACTAAAAATAAATTTAACAAATTATTTGAAAGTTCTTAATTCTGATTAGAATCAAATAATTGTACTTTTTTTTACTGTAAGCATCAAAATATGTTTAAAGGGATTTATTTATTTATTATTTATTGAGGTGGGGAGTTAATTTGTTGAAGAGTGTCCTTTTCAAAATAAGAGAAAAATCTTTATACTGCTGGGCACAAAATCGCATTTCACAGTCACAAGACCAAAACCAACATCAGGATTTTCTGTCCTCAAATTTTCTTGTTTTCTTGGATAACTTAATTGGCACCTAGCAATTAAGAAATCAGTAATTCATTCCCACATATTTACTGAGCACCTACAAAGTACCTGACTGTATTGGAAAATAAGCAAAGCCTTCCTCACTGAACTGGCTTAAGAGATAATAAGCTAATGTATATGGGCTGCATTGTCATAGGTACAGCTGTGAATACATATGTCAAGCAGGCTAGGGGGATAGACAGGGACAGATGCTGTCAGTTAACAGAGATTGATCAGGGAATTCCTCTCTGAAGAAATGACTTCTAAGTAAGGCCTGCGTGTGTGAAACAGCAATGGCACATGAACAACTGGAGAAGAGCAATTCAGGCAAAGGGAACACACAGGAAGCAAGGGCAAAGGTCCTTGGATAAGAAGGCTCCCATGTTACCTATGTAACTGAGCCACAGGGATCTTGGGTGCTAGAAACAAGGTCAGAGAGGCAGCCAGGAGCCCCATGTTGCTTCTTATGGGCCACTGTGAAGTTGGGTTTAATTCTAATATTATGGGAAGCTATTGATGTATTGAGTAGAGGAGTGACCTGATTGTTTATATTTTAAGGGGATGTTCCAATCAATAGGAATTTATTCTAATTGTCTTCTATGTTTATCCTTTATCTTCAGCTCACAAATTCCATTGATTCTTCTTCACATGGCCATCTTTTTGTTTTTGGCCCCATCCTAGAGCTACATTTCCTTGTACATGGGCCATCACAACATACTTCCAGCTGGTATCTCTGCCCCTAGTTTCTCCAAGATCCAATTCATTTAGTAGAAGTGCTAAATTGATCTTCCAAAAATACAAACCCATCCATGCTGTTTTCTGGCTTTAGAAGAGGAAGCCATTGGCTCCCTACTGGCTATAAGAAAAAGCTCAAATTTCTCATTCTGTCATCAAGAACTTCACAATATGGCCCCAACATTATCACCACTAAGGCAAAAAAATAAAATAAAGTAAAATGAGCTGATCCCGGCATGAAACATTCTTGATTCACAGCCACATACCTCCAAGATTGGGATGCTATATTCCTTTACATCAGCCATATATATGACTTGTCCCTCTGGTCATAATTCAAAGACCACCTTCTCCTCTCAGGACCTTCTCAATGATTCCAGCTCAGAATGTCTACAGTGCACGCATCCAGCACTACACAGTCTGATATTTTTTTAAGACTAGTCAAGTGCAGTAGTGAGAAGGGGAGAAAGTCGAACAAGGAATTTGATCCATAACTGACTGTGAAAAATCAATTGAGGTAACTCCCCACCTTGGGACAAGCCTAATACATATTTTTATATTCCATCTTGAAATATCATGTACCAGCTTTATATAATTTATATGATATCTTCACACTAAAACTGTAAGTTCCCAGGGGCCTTAAGACTTCAGTAGCCAACTCAGTGGCCTTGCACACACAGTACAGAGTTTATCTTCAGGCAATGCTTACAATCATAGGCCTTGTAAATAAAAGAAAAGTTAGAGCTTTTCCAGTCCTGGTCTCTCATTTCGTGGGTAAGAAAATCAAGATCTTTGGATGCGAAGGGCTTTGCTCAGGGCTACACAGCTACTTAATTGCATAAAAAGAACTCAAGTACAAGTCTCCTGACTCTTTCCAAGACATCATGCTGACTGGATCAAAGAATCAATTCCAATAACTTGTCTGACTATTACCACATCCTAGCCATTAGGACTATAAGTTTCCACTCCTTCTAACACTTTTTTCTTTTCTTTTCTTTTCTTTTTATTAAACCACAACACTGCTATAAAGTGATCAGATGACCTCTACCGATTATGAAAAGCATAATTATGATCCTCAGTTACAAATAAGAGAAATAAGCTCTGGATAGCTTTAGCAAAAGGAAACCATTTAGAAAGGTAGAATAGGGCTGGCAGAAATGATGGGGGGCTTGAGAATGGAAGGAAAGCACAGACACTCCATAGGGCTGGGAGGTGGACTCTGCAGGCTTCAGCATAGAGCAAGTCTGAGCAGCCCAGCCCTGCTATGGTGAACAGTCCTAGTGCCACATGTTCAGCATTCAAAGACCCCCATCTACCCAGAAAGTGACAGATTGGTCAAGTCTAGGTACCTAGAAGATAGGGAGAGAAAAAGTCCAGACCCTTCAGCTTCTGTGGTAGAAAGCAGGTACCAGAAATAACATTTCCACCAATATCACTCATGGAGGAGATTAATCATCCCAAAAGAAATTGTGTGCTATCATGAAGGGAGAATGATAGGAAGTCAAAATCTCAAATGTCTACTGCATCAATCATCTCTACTGACATCAGAGCAAAATGTCAATTCTTCAATTCCATTTCTCCTTGGAATGATAGCATAGAGTAGGGACAGAGTGAGGGAATGAAGGGATGAGAGAAGCAGGGAGGTTAGGCTGCCTTGGAATGAGATCCACCATTTGCTTAAAATGGTCAGAATCACTTCATCTCTGATGAAATGCCAAAGCATACATATAATTACTGCCAATTACTCCTGATTTTCACACAGGGAAACTGACTCAGAATGCTGCCTATAAACAAAGGGAGGTTAGAATCAGAATTCTCCCAGGAGATATACTGGGATGCAAATGCTTACAGGCCTGTGTTGATTTCTTAGGCCCTGAGTGATCTAAATTTGATTATTATTAATAATGACAATAAAAGATTCTGTTGCCTTACTATATATGCCTGCATCTTACCAGGGACATTATGTACATTATCTCACTTGTTCCTTGGGAAAAATCATGTAAATCAGTATTATTTTTTTGCTTTGTGGTCAGAAAAACTGAGGCTCAGATAGTACAAGTCAGAATTTCAACCTAGATCTATTTGACTTCAAAGCTTCTGTGCTTTCTGTCATGCTAACTAGAAAAACAGGGGACCCAGAGTCAGAATATTTGGATGCAAGTCACAGCTCTAGCAGTTACAGGTCTATAGCTTTGGGTAAACCATTTTAATTTCTCTGTGCCTTGGTGGCTTCACCCAGAAAACACGGATAACTGGTAATTACTAGTTGTTCTCCCTCATAAGACTGTTAAGAGCAACATATGAGAAAGGGTCTTGAAAACTAAACCTATAAAATGCTATTCAAATAAATCTTAGTAATTATCATTATTATGATATATAAGACAACTGGAGACAAGCAAAATACAGGCTTAGGCACAGAAAATAATCCAGCCGTATGTGGAATGCTGGTGAGGCAGGAAACGGGATGCCAGAATGTAACTTTGCTCTGATCCACTCTACCTGCGCAGGAGAAGGAGGAGCAAGAAGTACCTTAAAAGACTGTACCCAGTAGGATCTGAAATGTAGGATATACTTTGCAGCTGCTTTGCTGTTACAGAAATGAATGAAACAAAATCACTGACTCCAAAGACAATCTCATTACTCTTGATAGATTGGCTGCCTGACAATATTTTGGAACTGCCAGAGGAGGCAAAGTTACATTTATATAACTTTAAAACTGTCAGAAAAGTGGGGAGTAAAATTAAGTTTGTTCCTTTTTACAACTACAGGTAGAGGTAAATTGCATGGCTAGATGAAGGGGAAGGCATGTGACAGCTCTAATATTACAAATGAGTATATTTATGAGCACTGAAAGTCTGTGTACAGAGAATAATTTTTCTCCCATTTGGTAGGATTATAGAAAACTGATGCATTGCAGATTAGAGCCAAAAGAGAAAAGTGGAACCAGCAACAATATAATAACCACTCAACAGGAGTACAAATGCAAGAAAAGATGCATTTATTTTAATTTAAAGACATTTCTGTTTGAAGGAGATGCAAAAATGGGAACATCCAAACTGATGTTTACATAGAATTACTTCTAATTTACACATCATGAGTCTTCCTGTTTTTCATTGGGGTTTATGAATCTTGATCACAACATGAGCATTTATTTATAAATATTGCACAGCATGCATTTAAATACATCCTCCAAACACCAAAGTCTATATCTGTAGCCATTTGCCCTCTTCTCTCTAATTACAATGAAGAAATGTCTCTTTTTCTTTCAAAGGCTAAAACTTACACATAGACCCAGGATCCTAAATTATCCAACCCTGCAGAAACCCTGTCAATAAGCCCATCTTTCTCCAGCATCATCAATCTTCAAGTTCCTCTCCACCATCACTCAAATATGCTTAACTAAGTATCTCTCACATGGGAGTCTGGGGAAAATATGGACCCCATGTCATCCTTCAGCTATTGTCCTTTCCCTCAAGGATCCTGTATAGCCAAGAATCTCAAAAATTAGACATTTGGCCTCAACTTGACCCTTCATGCCCTCTGCAATTATCTCCAATCAGGCATCTGCCCACACTAAAAACCATCCTCTTGATAAAAATCATTCACATTATTTGATTGAATGGGACTTTTTTCATTCTTTGCTATTCTCAAGTGTTTCAGCAGCATCCAACACATGTGACCATTTGCTTCTTTCTTTATCTTGGCTTCCTTAGCAGTGTACCCTGCACCTCCCCGCCACTGCCCCCAGTTTTGGCATTTTTACTTACTCCTGTTGCTTTAAATTCCAAATACACAAAATGGTTCCCAAATTTCTATGTTCAGCCCAGCCTCTTCTTCAAGGTTTCAGAACTGTATACCCAACTAATACTTGAAGTTTCCCCTTGATTTTCTACAGGTATCTTAAAATAGTCCAAAGTCAACTTCTGCTATCCACTCCAACCTTGTATTGGCCAGTCTTTCAACAGACCCCATCTGTATTAGTCCGTTTCACCCTGCTGGTAAAGACATACCCAAGACTGGGTAATTTATAAAGGAAAGAGGTTTAATGGACTCACAGTTCCACATGGCTGGGGAGACCTCACATTCATGGCAGAAGATGAAGGAAGAGCAAAGAGATGTCTTACATGGTGGCGGGCAAAAAGAGTTTGAGACGTATTCACTATCATGAGAGTTTGAGACTTATTCTCTATCATGAGAAAAACACAGGAAAGACCCACCCCCATGATTCAATTACCTCCCACCAGGTTCCCCCCATAACATGTGGGAATTGTAGGAGCTACAATTCAAGATGAGATTTGGGTGAGGACACAGAGCCAAACCATATCACCATCTTAGCATTTAAGTTATATCATATATAACCTATTGTCCATGCCAGTGTCCTCAGAGTTGACCTTAACTCGAGAGATCCCACATCTAGTCTGTGGACTATGTCTCCAGAATATAGCTCATTTCTCTCAACAACTGCTAACAATCAAGTTTAAGTTATTAGCATCCTTTACCTGGCCAGCTATAATGACATCCTAACTGATCTCTTACTTTCATCTCCAATCCTTTCTATACATGAGGATGCATGCTTTTTAGAACAAACAAACAAACAAAAAACTTGTTTTAGAGATGGTGTCTCATTATGTCGCCTAGGCTGGAGTGCAGTGGCTATTCACAGGCGCAATCATAGTGCACTCCAGCCTCAAACTCCTGTGCTGAAGCGATCCTCTTGCCTTTGCCTCCTGAGTAACTGGGACTACAGGTGCTTGCCATTGTGCCAGTCAGGGGATGTATGCTTTTAAACGTTCCTCTGATCATGCTTAATTGCACTCAGAATAAAACCTTCACACACCAGTAAGTTCTATATACTCTGGTAATTCCTACCTCTTTGTCCTCATCTTAAGCCATTCTCATCCTCTATTACTCTAATCTTCTTTCCCTTGTCCATCCAGGACATTCATATGTGTGTTCTAAATCCTGACACGCATTTCATCCAGCTCACTCCCACTCATCCTTTAAGCTGCAAGTCAAAATTCACATCTATAGGGAAGGCGTCACTGAGCCTGCCCACAATCTAAATTAAAATACCCATTATATTTTTCTGTTGTACCCTTCACATCTCCTCCATAGCATGCACCGCTGTTTGCCACCATGTGTTAGCGCAAATGTTCATTTATGTCTCTCTTCCCTTGCTTCTTTGTTCTGTATGGGCAGAAATTGCACTGTGCTCATCACTGTATCTTCACTGCCAGTACAGAACACCAGACGGTGTTGCATAAGAATTTGCTGAACCAACAAATGTACCAAGGCTGATTTTCCCATGGATTTTTCCCTTAAAATATAGTTAACATTATAGGTGGGATACCTGAGTTCCAGCTGCTTTCTAAAGATTTAAGAAAATGTTGAAGTCCTGGAAGAAAAATGATTGATTCAAAAGTATTATAATAAGAATAGTAATTAATACTTATAGTATTATTATACTAAGAAGAATAGTAATTAATACTATTCTTATTATACATGTAATTGAGAACTGTGCTCAATTACCTTTCTACAAAACACAATAATGTGTATTAGTCGACTACAGTGTCATTCAACTCTTACATCATTACACACAAATTATACAGTCATGTGTCACTTAATGATGGGAATATGTTCTAAGAAATGTGCATTAGGTGATTTCATCATTGCACAAATATCACAGAGTGTACTTACACAAACTTAGATGGTAAGGCCTAGTACAAACATAGACTATATGGTATAGCCTATTGTTCCTAGGCTACAAACCTATACAGCAAGTTACTGTACTGAATACTGTAGGCAACTGTAATACAAAGGTTAGTACTTGTGTATCTAAGCATATCAAAACAAAGAAAAGGTACAGTAAAACTATGGTATAAAAGATTTGAAAAATGGTACTCCTATACGGTGCACTTAACATATATGGAGCTTGCAGGGCTGGAAGTTGCTCTGGGTGGGTCAGTGAGTGAGTGGTGAGTGAATGTGAAGGTCTAGGACATTACTGTACACTACAGTAGACTTTATAAACACTGTATAATTATGCCGTACTAAATTTATCTTTGAAATTTTTTCTTTCTTCAGTAATAAATTAACCTTAGCCCACTATAACTTTTTATAAACTTTAAGCTGTTATAAACTTTAAATTTTTAAAACTCTTTTGGGATAATCCCTAGCTTAAAACACAAGAACATTGTACAGTTGTACAAAAATATTTTCTTTTTTTAGATCTTTATCCTATAGGCTTTTTTCTATTATTTTTTTTTTCACCTTTTAAACTTTGTTGTTAAAAACTAAGACAAACACACACATTAAGCTAGGCCTACACAGGGTCAAGATTATCAATATTACTGTCTTCCACCTCTGCATCTTGTCCCACTGGAAGGTCTTCAGCGGCAATAACATGCATGGAGCTCTCATGTCCCATGATTTCAATGCCTTCTTCTGGAATACTTTCTGAAGGACCTGAGATCCTCTCTAATCTAGCATCTTTACCAGCAACACCTCTTCCTCATGTCCACGGACAGCTGTACCATGGGCAGAGAACTACCCTGGTCTTTGGCTATCACTGTGTGTCAATTTGTCCCAAAGGTTACAACATGCAAATCCCAGAGAGAAGCAATCTGAGATAGCCCTGCCTTCAGCATGCTTGGGAGAATAAATATCAGCGAATAAGATCAACATAGGTCTGCTAGACTGAGAAATTATGTTTTGTTGTTGTTGTTGTTGTTGTTGTTGTTTTTGAGAGGGAGTCTTGCTCTGTCGCCCAGGTTGGAGTGCTGGAGTACAGTGGTGCGATCTCAGCTCACTGCAACCTCCGCCTCCTGGGTTCAAGCGATTCTCCTGCCTCAGCTTCCCAAGTAGCTGGGATTACAGGTGCCCATCACCACACCCAGCTAATTTTTGTATTTTAGTAGAGATAGGGTTTCACTCTGTAGGTCAAGCTGGTCTCGAACTCCTGACCTCAAATGATCTGCCAACCTCGGCCTCCTAAAGTGCTAGGATTACAGGTATGAGCCACCGCACCCAGCTGAGAAATTATGTCTTAATCATATTTTAAAATGAATATCACTCCTAAAATTATTTTATTAATAAATCCTTTTACTGACTGTAACTCCAGCATTTCACGCAATGATCCAAAATGATACTAAATTACCAGCATCACATTTTTCAGAATTTTTTGAAAGATTAAAAAATTAAAAATAGAATTATTATTTTATACAATACCCAACAAATATTTTTGCTGCCTTGGAGTACACTAGGTATAAAGAAGAAAAGGAAATACAAATTTAATATTCATTTCAAAAAACCTTCCATAAAGCACTGGAAATACTTGCCACTTCAAAATATGTATTTTCTGTGTAATATAAGCTTTGACATTCTTATCTTCAAAATTATTTACATAGAAAAATAATACACATGCATAATTATAATTTGCATTATTTTCTGCTGGCCTAGCAGAAAGGTACCAAAAGTTAATTCTCTAAAATCAAACCTACCTATAATCTCATTAAATTTGCACAACGAGTGGGTAGTTACGGTGACATCATTCATAGTTTTCTAAGCTCCAAAATAACTTCTTAATGATGACTTTTGTAGCTTGTAATAACCATATAAACTCATGTGATGGTTCATGATCTATTTACTGCCATCATTACTCTTCATTCAGTTATTTTACTGCCCCCACAGGGTTATATAAACCTGCTCTGTGCCACCCATCTCTACCACCCATCAGCAAGCAGAGCCGAGCTGGTCAGCCAGCCGAGCAAAAATGCACGAGGCTTCTCTGTTGTTACACCAAAATGTCAGCTTTGCTGCCTGCCTCCTGCTTATGGATAAATCATCAACCCAGAAAACCTGCACGTCCATCACCCATTGGATCTCTACCCCTAAGTGACCCATATTCAGGGCCTGCCAAAGCCTGCCAATTAATGATCCAATGGAGGAACACATTAACTACCCAATTCTCTGGGTTTTCTAGGCTCTATTCCCATGGCAAGTTAGGGTATCAAAATCCAATGTCCCTGAACTATACTAACCTACTTACTGAATTGCAATTTAATATCATGGGAATTTGCCATTTCAATATATGGGCTAGATTGTTTGCAAAACTGTAGCTGATATATTGTCTACTATGTTTCTCAGAGACAATTTAACAAATTTCTCATTGATGTAAGCATTCAGAAGTTTGCCCTTTTTAAGCAAATGGATATACTTTTATATTAGCCAAGGAGAGCTATATATTAATAACTTGTTATGTTTGTTTTTTCTTTAGCAGTTAGGAGTCAAAGAACTAAATTTACTATTTAATTCCCATGACTAGCTCACTGAGAGCTCCTGGCATAATTATGCTCCCCTTCTTTCTAAATCAATTTTTCCAACTTCTCTTCCCTACCACAGTAGTAGGATACAGTACAGGTTCATCAGTAATACTGATTCACTATAACCATAGGGCACTGACCAAGAAGTGACTAAAAGGCCCCCCAGAAAAGGTCCTAGTGTTGAGCAAAGATGTCGCCTTGAGAGAATAGAGGATAGATTCTCATCAGTAACTGGTTCAATTTGAAAGTGAGGATTCAAAGCTGGGTTCTTACCCTAGATTATCCTGAGCACCCGTATTCCATTCATTCCTTTGTCCCCTTTCTCACCTCACTTGAGTTCAGAATCATTGATCTAAATCAGGGGTTGGTAAACTTCTGTAAAGAGCAAGATAATAAATATTTTAGGCTTTGCAAGTCTTAAGGTCTCTGTCACAGCTATTAAACTTGACCACAGTAGCATGGAAGCAACCATAGACAATATGTGAACAAATGAATATAACCTTTTTCCAATAAACCTTTATTTGTAAAAACATGTTGTGGATTGAACTGGGTCACAGGATGTAGTTTACTGACCCCTCATCTAGATGATCTCTAATACCGGTTTTTAATCTTTACTTTAATGTGTTGGTTTGTTTATGTTCAGTATGGCAACCTACTTCAAAATATTTTATTTGAATAGAAGAGTACATTATAAATAAAGAATGAAACAAAATTCAAGGACTCTATATTATAAGTAGCCTATATATCATTTATTAAAGTCCTGGTACTGGAAATTGGCAATGAATCTCTGCTCTTCAGAAATTTACACTCTGATATGGGAGAAACGACAACTTTACAAATAACTATAAAAAAAGTGCTGAACAAGAGCTGCAAACAATGTCCTGTGGGAGTTCACAAGAGAGGGGTCCTTCAAACCCCAGGAATAGGAAGATATCCTGGTAGAAATGATACTGGACCTACAAGGGATTTCACTAGGCAGAGGTGAAGGGCAGGAACATTTCAAACTGAGAGTGGTGTGGTAAGGTGAAGTAGCCTGGGGTGTACAGAGAAATCCCTGTTTGGCTATAATATAGAGTAGGCATAGAAGACAGTTGAGAGGTCACAATGATAAGATTCATCAAGGAAGTGAGGTTAAGAAGTTTGGGATTTTTAGCAGGCAGTAGAGAACCATGGAAGGCTTTAGAGAAAGAAAGAATTATATCTTAATCTTTATTGAGAATCAAGAAAATTAATCTGCCAGCAGCAAATAGGAAAGAGTGAAAAGTGACCACATAACCTTTAGAAAAATGTTCAAGGTAGCAGAAGCAAGGAGGGAGAGGTGTATGTGTCTTCTTTGGGGCATATACAAATCACGTGTAGGGCTTTTTCAAACTGCACAGCCTGATCCCAAAGATTTTGATATGGCTTCTATTGGAAATGCCCCTCCCACATCATTCATTACTGGTAATTGGGAATAATTCCCTTTGCAAGCCATTGTTACAGTGTGTTGTGTGCCTCAAGAGTATTGGGGTAAAAAATAAAAGTTGAAAAAGCCTAAGAAGAAAGCTGTTGCAAAAACTCAGGCAAGATGTAAAAAGGAGGTAAAATATGGTGATAATGATGGGAATAAAAATGAGAGTTGAAGAGTCTTTGCTCAAACAGGACTTGCCTTACACTTCCCCTCTGAAATATCTGGGAGCTAGTGCAGAATCAACAGAAATGGTAATGTCAGGAGGAGCACAGGCAGGGGAAAAGGGGAGTTCAGGGATACGCATGTAGAGTCTGAAGTGTTAAACATATTATGCAGATAAAAAGCAAACAAAAGGTTGAGCTTGTGAGTCTGAAGCTTGAAGGATTTGGGGCTAGAGGTACAGGTGTGGCCATTGTCCAAAGGGAGGTGATAATCATAGCCATCCCTCTGCATCAGGTTGCCAAGAGAGAGCATGCTTAGAGAGAAGCAAGTGCTTGAGGATCACCCATATTCTGGTGGCACAAAAAGAGAGACAGCCATGAAGGAGCAGTCAGAGAAGGAGGTAGGGAAAATGCACTGTTCCAGAAGCCCAGAGTCAGGTTAAATGTGGGCAACAGAAATATGTTGGTCAAAAAACCAAGGACTGAGAAATAGGCCCTCGGACTGGGCAAAGGTATCACTATCCACCTCCGGGAGAGCAGCAGAGGGTTTATAGCAGAACACAGGCTGCAAGGGATGGAGATGTGAGCTGGGTGAGGAATTGCAAGTAGCAACTGTAAATCCTCTTGAGAAATTTGGGAGTGGTTTGTTCCTGGGATACTATAAATAACAGGAATGCAGGAAGCAAGGAAGTCGTAAGATGAAAGGGACATCAGTTTGCAGTGAACAGTGTTTGGGATTAACTAGCCCCAAGATTACAATCAGCCCATGGTGTGACGTACAGCCCTTGAGATGTTCGCCTCACAAAGAATGGAGGGTTCTGGTTTTTGGTAGTGGGACAGCTGAACAGTGGTCACTATTGCCATCATCAAAAGTAGTTAAGAGAGCCCCCAAGTATAAGTTGCATGGTAGGGCACTAAATAAAGTCTCTAAGCAAATGAGGCTTATATTGCAAAGAAGCTAAGAATCTCAGAGAGAAAACACAAACTTTGACATGCACATAAAAAAAGAGGCAGTTGAGAATACACTGAGCTAATTGAAATAATGACTACATATTACAGGCAAATGATAGAGACCATTCATTCTGTGAGACAGAAAGTGAAGACAAAGTTATAATTGGTACATGATTAAGCAGTGTTGTTGGGGGAGGCTCTCATCCCTTCAGGGAGCCCAGGGAGTGTCATAACCGACAGCCACCCACCAATTAACCACAAGGATTTACAGACCAGCTTATATCAGGAACTGTGTCAGATTTCTGGGTGTCCCAAATATCCCTCCTGAATTCTCTTCCAGCTGATTCAGTTTCCTACTAATTTCCTCATCTACAAGCTCAAGGTTTCCACCTTAAAATACTAACAAAAATATTTTACAAATGGTCTCCATCATTTGCCTATAATATGTAGTCACTATTTCAATTAGCTTAGTGTATTCTCAAATGTAGAAAGATATCATCAGCCACCACCCATACACTTCTTATGAGGTCCTTGTACTTTTATATCCCTGTACTTTTGTGGTTTTCTGTGATCAGAGCCCAGCCTGACAGTACAATCAGAGTTAATATAAACACAAGGGAGAGGAACATTTCTAAAATGTATTCATCCTCAGACGCCATTTGTTCAAAAGCCCCTGGTCCTTGAAGTACCTGAGAAACGGAATGTTTGGGACTCTGGGAATTCTGTGCTCCAGATAAGAGAACAGTCATCACTTTTTCAGGGAGAGAGAAAGAACGGCCACCATTTCTTACAGGATGTGAATAATATCTTGTGTTGTGATGATGGCAAAAACCAAAAGTGCTTTTTCAGACTTTGTCACAGTGTCTGCAAAGCTGAGCTGGGCAGAATTTAACAGCCTAGGCAAACTTGGCTGCTGGCCTGACTTTCCAGAGTTCACTTTTCCCCTGTTGAAAAGGCTTCTCTTAATTATTTTTGGATTGAGCCTCATAGACAGGGAGTTTGCTGGATCTTCCCATCCCAGCAGGCTCACACCTGGGGGATGTTATTGTGCCACCTACAGCTGGGTTAGAGTCAGCTGCATGACAGGGCAGACCAGCTTGGGTGATGTGTTAAGGTATTTCAAATAGCCATGTAACATATCATAGCCCTTCTGCCATAAGAGGAGACCTTTACAATTCCTGTGCTCCAAAACGCTTCCTCTGGCACTGCCATCCCTATTCTGATCCAAACCATTCATTATAGGCTAGGCCATTGAGAAACTTCCAACTCATGCTCCTAACAACATAGCTACAATGGAGACCCATTTCAATGAGATTCTGTCCTTCTTCTAAATAAAACTAGCACTAAACTCAATAGCTTATGACTTTGTCTTTACTGGATACCAGCCATGTATACTTGATGGTCCTACTGGGAGGGCCAGCAGTCTTATATATGGCCTGTCATGGGGCTCTTTATATTCTTTGGCAGGAGTGGATAAAGTAGTAATATAGTGACCACACAGGAACCACTTGGAGACCACCCAGCAAGTAGCTTAGGAGCACAGCTCATCCACAGAGAGCCTCTAACAGGCTCCTGGTACACTTTCCCATCCCATGTGAAGTCATGAGAGACGTCATGAAAGCTGGGAGACGCTTTCAATTGCAGAATCATTAGCAAATGATCACACACAGCTCTGTCTCTTGCCTTCTTCTGATCCTCCCTAAGCTGGTCTTGGTACCGAAATAAGGCAGAAGCTGAGGCCCAATCCACCACTCCAGTATCTCTAGAATCCATCATTTCAGGGGAAAATTTTAAGCTTCTGCAGAGCAAAAATAGCATAATTTCAGAAAAAAGCAAACAACAGATTGTCATCCATATTTGCTGAAAATATTTTCCCCAAAGAGTTAATATTTATATTACATAAAAACTCATACAAAATGATAAGAAAAATGTCTAACTACTGCCACTTATCAGCAATTCAACTTTGGGTATGAAATTTAATTTCTTCAAGACCCAGTCTCCTCATCTATAAGATGCAGGTGGGAGTACCCACCTGTCTGAGGTTCTATGTAGATTAAGTGAGAAGATGCATTTAAAGTGCCAAGAGCAGGGTCTGAGCTCTCTTCTCTTCTTTGCTCCTCAAGTACTCCAACACCAAAATGGGGAAAGGCCAGAACAAACAATGTTATGTTGGAGGGAATACAATTAGGAAAGAAATATGAGGAAATATTCAACCTTCCTTGCTATCCAAGAAATGCAGATTGTAAGACACCTTACATCTATTATTTTACAGGACAAATTAAAAATAATGACACGGCCTCACCATTGTTGATGAGGTTGTCAGGTGGACTGCGCATCTATCCATTCACTAACAAGGCTGGTACAAACCAGAACAACCTTTTTGGAAACCCATTTGGCAATACTCTTAAAGACATAAAATGTTCATGACCTCTCACCAGTTATTCCCACCCAAGAAATGTCTTCTAAGGAAATAGCCTGAAAGATGAGCAAAAGTACTAGCACAAAGATTTTTGTTGCTACAAGATTCATTATAGTGAAAAGATCCAGAAACAACTTAGTGTCCAATATCAGGTAAACAAGTAATTTAATTACATAAGGGAAAAAAAGCAGAGAATGTAAAATTGTGCCTGTATTATAGTTGCATCACATGTGTGCATGTAAACAAGGAGTAGATAAGAACATGAGCAAATTTTAAAGGACTGTTAGAATCTGAGAAATGTTTGTATTGGAGTAATTTTTGTTTGACTTTGATTTCTCATATTGTTGCTGTAATATTGCTTGTACAATAAGTAATTCTTGTAAAAAGTAACTTAATCCTATTTCCACAGCTTTCACTATAACTAGGACCTCTTCACCCCTTGGCTAGATCAGGTGCTCACTTCCTGATGGATCTCCTCTCATTGTGTTTCTCCTCCTACAATTGACAGGGACTTCCTCATTTGTCCCAGGCACTGTGCCTTTAATTAATTTTTGTAAGGCACTTTAAATACATTCCAAGTATGTTAAATATATTTTTGTCATTCTCACAACCACCCATGAGGAAGGTATTACAGTCATCTAGCAGAACAATCCATACCAATAGATTGAGCTAGCTGTCCTCCCAGGGGGCCAGCACATGAAGCAGACACCCTAATTATCCACAGCCAGCTGAAACCATACATACTGGGGCTTTTTCTGTGAGTTTCTTGGCCATGAGAGATGCAGAGGAGTGCACAATGTGTCCAAGCAGATATTAGCTCTGCAATGTCAATATCCAAAGAATATTTAGCCCCGCAGTAAGCAGATGAGGAAATGACGCTTAATCCCCCTGCCTAAAGTTTGGATGTCATTTGTGCTCTAGGATCTGAAATACAACCTACATGTATCCAACTTCAGTTTGAATATAGTTAGCTTTTAACTAGAAGTGACAATAAAGTGTTTATCTTCTCATTTCTATAAAGACAAGATAGAAATCTACCACTATAAGGCCCACTCCAGGGAGCTAAAGGCAGAATAGTTGTTATAGATTATTCTTCTTCATTGAATTCCTTTTACTCCACAATCTACAAAGTCCAACCAAAAGGCAAATGACAGATAATTTTCAACACACTACTGAGTACAGAGCAGGTGTTTAATGAATATTCACTGATAGAATTAATGATCTGCTCAAAACCCAGGAAAGATTGTAAAGTCAGTTTTCAAAGCCCCCAGGTTCCCCACTCCACTTTCTTTGCCCATCTTTTCCTATCATTTCTACTCCACCACCTCAACTCTTACTATTATCCCGCATGCCCTCTCTTCCACCCGTAATAATTTACTTTTTAAAAACGCTATATTAAACATCCAACTGTTCATATGTAAATTTTTTGAGGTCATTATCACTTGTGCTGGAAAGTCTCATTTCAAAGAAACAACTCCCTAACTGTGAAACGTTGCATTTCTAGGTATCGGCCACTAGAGAAAACAACAACTCGAGTCAGCTGTCAATGAATTCTTTAAATGATAGTTGAAAGAAGTGTACTAGTTCATTAACAAAATGCATAAACAGGCCTATTTATAATCACATGCATACCTTAAGTCACTCTCCCCAAACCATAAATACATATAGTATCCAACTATACTTGGGTATCTTAAATATGCATTTTTATAGGCTCTATTTTTTTATTCTTGTGTGTATGTTCATTCTGTCTCTCTTTTTTTTTCTTCTTTTGTTCTTTTTGAGGCAAGGTCTCACTCTGCCACCCAGGCTGGAGTACAGTGGTGCGATCTCCACTCACTGCAACCTCAATCTCCCAGTTTCAAGTGATCCTCCCATCTCAGCCTTCCAAGTAGCTGGGGCTACAGACACACACAAGCCACCACACCTGGCTACTTTAAAAAATATTTTGTAGAAATAGGGACTTGCTATGTTGCTCAGGCTGGTCTTGAACTCCTGGGCTCAAGTGATCCACCTGCCTCGGCCTCCTGAAATGCTGAGATTAAAGGCATAAGCCACTGTGCCTAGCCTGTATGTTCATTCTTAAATTTAAGGAAATTGACACACCAAGAAGCTTTTCTATTATTAAGTACAGCTAAAACAAATAAATAAAAACTGCCCTGAAATTAATTTCTTTAAATCCCTTAAATTTAAAGTAAGTAATATGCTAGGAAGCTTTTCTATTATAAGGTACAGATAAATAAAACTGATAGATAAGTTTAAACTGCCCTGATTACATAATATCTATGAAGGGTAATTACATCTATGCAAAACAGGTTAATGCAACAGCTAAAAACAGCATTAAGATATAAAAAAGGGCATTTCCCAAAGTCCTTAAGGTCACCAGATTGATTAAACTTGACATCTGTCTAACTTAATAGGGCTGATCTAAGGAATTCGGCTCTGCTCTTCTTATCCATTGTTGCTTCAGTTGAACCTTGTTAACAGCTTTATTAGTGTCAGACTAGATAAGAGGGATCAGCCTTTCCACCTTCATCCACAGGGTTTCCTGGTATGTAGATTCAGAGAATGAAAAAAAACCAACCACTTCTAGAATTTGCTCTCTCTGAAAAGAAAAATTATTGTTGAAACCATTCTTGGACCTTAATTGAAAATATTCATTTTATTTGACCAGGAGGTTAGCCAACTGCAAGGAACAAAATATATTTTCTGATTAAAGAGTTTTACCTGGCTGGGATGACATTCACATTTCTTGTAGAGGATGGACTAGTCAGGGACTCCAGTTGTGTTTCAGTTATCTTGAGAGGACAGTCTGCTTAACAGGCTGGGCAGTAATTGACGATCATGTTACACTGGCAGAACAATCCATACCAATGGATTGAGCTAGCTCTCTTCCCAGGGAGGCAACACACGAAGCAGACTCCCTAATTATCCACAGCCAGCTGAAGACATACATGCTGGGGCTTTTTCTGTGGGCTTCTTGGCCATGAGAGATGCAGGGAAGCACATAATGTGTCCAAGCAGATATTAGTTCTACAATGTCAATATCCAAAGAACATTTAGTCCCACAGTAAGCAAAGTGTTAGTCTAGTAGCCCTAGAATCCACACTGAGAAAAGCTTCCTCAGCTTCCTCAGACCCTTGACTTTGGAAGTGAATCCTGGAATAATGAATCATGACTAGGATCAACTTAAATACTGAAACTGAAAATCATTGCCAGAAATTCTCTCTATATTAAATTTATTAGCATACACCGTCAGCGTTTCTCTCCTTTCTCTCTTTCTCAATCTTTCTCTCTATTAATATTTTCCTCTCTCTTTTGGAATCAAAGACTTTGAACTATTATACATGTAAATGATATGGAAGCCGGGTTAATAGATAATCATGTGTTGATCTTGAAAGATAAAAGGAGAACCCTATTTTCTCACATAAAATCGCAGTTACATTCAGATATTTTCATACAATGAACGTGAAGGAGGCTAAATCTTACAGGGTACAATTTCTCAAATCCTCAAGACCAGGAAAATCTAATAAGTAATTTGAATTGCCTTGCATGTGAACAAAGACTTCTTGAGAGCCTGCTCAGGGTCCATCAGGTCTGGTCCCTGTTTTCTCCTCCAGCCTCACCACTCCCTTCACCTCCCCAGGCTGGGATTCCAGGCTCTGCTATGCCTGCTGAATGCCCCAGGTCAAACCTGCTTAGAGACAGGCGCAGGGTGGTGAGACCATAAGCACTGACGCAGCCTTGCTCTTTTTGACTGGCTACTGCTCACCCACTCTTCAAAAGCCCTTCTTCCAGGGAGCCGGCTCTAACCTCCTGTGCATTCCACCTTGCCCTGTGAATACCCTATGATAGCACTGTCATGTTCATAGTAGTAATAAGGCTAAATTTTTTGTCCACCCACCAGATTATGTCTGAAAAATCTTTCTATTAAAAGCACTAAGCCCCAGACCTGGCCTCTGCTAAGAACACAGTATCTGTTAAATCAATGAATGGATGGATGAATGGATGGATGGATGGATGGATGGATGAACAAATGAATGAATAAATGAATACTAACTTTTTTGCCTATAATATTTTCCCTCTATTCCTTTATCCAGTTATAAAAACTCTTCTTATCTCATCCATGGCAGGTAATGAACATACAAAAAAAAATCATTAAAACAATGTAAGCATAAATAGAGTTTTAAAATTCAATTGTGCTGATGGCTGCACAGGTCTGTGAATTTACTAAAAATCACTGAATTATACTAGTGAATTTTATAGCATGTAAATTATACCTCATTACAGCTGTTACAAAACTGAATAGAAAATAGAATGTTTATATTATAGACTAGTCCAAACTGAGAGCATTTCAGAAGTGAAACATGGTTTAGAAAGTGGTGTGATACGTGAGAGAAATGACAATGAAAATTGCTTCTTGAATTTTTGTTGTTATTGTTAGTGAAATTGTTTTTCACCTGGACCTGGACAAGACATTGCTAGGAACTTTGTAGTAAATGTATTTAAAGAGAGGATGAGAGTTCACATAATGAAATTGGCCTGTTTCCAAATTGGTAGAAGAGACTCACCTAATTTCAGAGTTTGATTCATGGCTTGAAAAAAACAACAATTTTTT